>NC_000013.11:38408106-43408106 GCF_000001405.40 Homo sapiens | reverse complement strand
CTGCTCCCACCTTTATGAACTTCTCTGTTTACCTTCTTCACAGGAAGTGCTACTTGAGATCATTACATTGAATTTGTTCCTTTTATCCCAAATATACCATTACACAGTTATACCCCAATCCTAAATCCCATACTCCAAAGTCCTGGCTGTTCTGTGAGATGATACTTACCTCCATTATTGTTTCTTGTTTGTTTTATTCCCCATACTTTGTTTTGGTTTTGTGAAGTTTTTTTGTTGCCTTTGATTTGTGTTTGTTGTCAATACTTTGTGCATTGGTGTAGATCTAGGTTTTTTAAACCAATCTGTTGGAACATTCGTGTTCCACTGTTGTAAGGTAGAGTGGAGGTCACATAAGTATTATACTTAGGTGGCCTAACAATGGTGGCAAACTCTGGGTTAAACGTAGATAAATTGCTTTCTTTGTAGGTTTTCCCAAGGCCTTTACTATGCTAATGTGCAATAAGTAGTTCTCAAAGAGTGGGATCTACTACGTACAATTCCTAACTTAATTTAGCCTTTAAAAAATGCCTGCATTAGGACAAATACCTAATGCATGCGGGGCTTAAAACCTAGATGATGGGTTGATAGGTACAGCAAACCACCATCGCACATGTATACCTATGTAACAAACCTGTACATTCTGTATCCCAGAACTTAAAGTAAAATTTAAAAATTAATTAAAAAACAAACCTGTGAGCCTCTCGTGAGACGCTAGAATATTCACTGTGGAGATCCTTCTCCACTACCATCCATCCTTCTATGCCTCATATGATATCCTCTGCATGATCTAGTTCACAATTTTGTTTATGTTTGTGCTGAACAGTGTCACTCCCTAATCTCAAATTTCAAAATTTGGGTCAGGTGTTGCCTGAAACCTTCTTCTCAGTTTTCTGTGGCACACGTTGTCCCTTTTCAGAAGGCCCCACCTCTGGTGTCACAAGTTGAAATCTAGAATATCAAATCCCAAGCTTTGGCACCTCTTGTGTGACCAGCTGCTCTCTTCCTGTATAACTTAATTTCTTTTCCAAAGTTATAATCATCAACTGGAAGGAGAGCTGAAAAGCAGGAGCTGAGTACCCAGGTTTTAAGTTTCTTGCCCAGGCCTGCATGGGAACTAATAGTGCTTTCTGGATATTCTCTGGCCGTGAGATAATACCTTGCTTTTCTATAAACTTTTTGAAATCTCCTTTCCTATTGTCAACAATATTTCTTTAGCCATTATTGACTCTGGGGTGATGCACATCTTTTACTCCAAGCTTCTTAGCATGCCATTTGTGCTATTTTAAACACATGTTCCAAAAAGACATCATACTTGGCCGGGCGCGGTGGCTCACTCCTGTAATCCCAGCACTTTGGGAGGCTGAGGCAGGCGGATCAAGAGGTCAGGAGATTGAGACTATCCTGGCTAACACGGTGAAACCCCATCTCTACTAAAAATACAAAAAAATTAGCAGGGCATGGTGGCGGGCACCTGTAGTCCCAGCTACTCGGGAGGCTGAGGCAGGAGAATGGCGTGAACCCGGGAGGCGGAGCTTGCAGTGAGCCGAGATGGCGCCACTGCACTCCAGCCTGGGTGACAGAGTGAGACTCTGTCTCAAAAAAAAAAAAAAAAAAGACAACATACTTCCCAATTAACTACATAGAGCCACATCCTTTATCAGTGACTAATTTGGAGCCAACAAAAGACTTCTTCACACTTGTAAGGGTCTATCAGCACCCTTAAGTGTTCCTTGGCTCATACCTTGCTGTTTCTTTTTCAGAAGCTCTGGGTTCACTGTCACTGCTTCTGTTTCCTGCCATTCTGAGAAGAACTTAGCTTTCTATCTCATGGAACGCCAAGATAGGTTGCAAGTCCTTCTCCGTCCCCTTCACTACCCTCTCCCATTCACTGGTGTTTCCACTTATTTTCATTCTTCTCTGCTTCCTCAGAGTACTTTTTTCTAATTTCCTTCTTGGGTTGTTTAATCCTCACAGGAACACCTTTATCCTCTTTAATATGCCCAGATATGAAGAGGGATTTGTTAAATCCTTTCATCTCCTCAAGCATCACTCTTTTAACTGAGATTTATTGAGCCAGATGTTATGCTAAATACTGGGAATACAGGACATAGACCTTACTGTCATGCTTTAGAGTGGCGGGAGAAACAGAAAAGAGTAAATACACAAAAACAAATTAACATGATAAGTGGTTATGCTACTAATAGATAAAGGGTGCTATAGGATGTCACTGAAGAAAGTTAAGCAGGGGAGTAGCAGGATCAGAATTATATTTTTACAGAGCATGTTTGTAACCCCTATAGAGGACTGATGGGGGTGTGGAAAGGTTGGCAACCAGACAGGAGTTACCCAGATAAGAGACAGTGATGGCAGTAATGCCAGCGATTATCCTGAGCAGTACAGATGGAGTAACCTGAAGGGATTCATGAGACATTTCATTGTAGAAACCACAGGAATGGATGACTAAGACCACATGGAACATAAGGAGAGTGAAGAATCAACAGTGACTCCTAGGCTTCTAGACTTGCAAGTGGGGTTAACCATAGAGCCATTTGCTTAGAAGGTGGGGAAGGCTGAAAGAGAAGGATGGGTAAGATGGCTCATTTCCTTTTGGATATGTTGAGTTTGAGGAACCTGTTGAAAGAAAACCTGTGTTGAGCAGGGAGATTTATGGGCCTGGCAAGCAGGAAGGAAGGCCTGATGGAGGTATGGCTTTGGTGGCCACAACATAGGGATGGTTGTTGACGCCCTGGGGACCGTAACGCCCAGACGCACCTCTGCTGTGAAATTAGGAAGAAGCTCTCAGATGCTCCTTCAAGTTTCAGCCTACCCTGCAGCCAGGTCTCCAGATCCCTCTCTTGTGTCCCACTACATTCCTACTATTTCAGGGCTCCAAGATTTGAAATGAGAGAAGTGGTCAGAGATAAAAAAATAGAATCTGGAAATCCTGCCTGAAACTGTCTCTTCAGCTTACAAATACACTCAGGACTGTCTGTTGATAAACCACCCCACATGCTTGTTTTTAAAATGAAAATCATACTTATACCAGCAAAGTTTCTTTCTTTAGTCCCTTCAGATATTAATGGTGGCATTCTCTGACACAGCCATGATGAAGGGGATACAGACAGCCTGGCGGGTACCAGTGGGGGTCTCTAAAGGATGATGCTCAGAGTTCTCTTTTGTTTTTATTTTCCATCTTGTTGAAAGATTTCTCACTATCAAGTGTCAGAAAACAAATAGGCCCTTGACTTATGTTTCACAATTTATGTACCTGATTTCATGTACTTGTGACAGTTCTGTTACACTCTATGCATTTACTTACCCTTTCTTCCCCAGGACATTAGGACATTACATTGGTATATTTATTTACTCACCACAGTATTACAGCATTTTTTACAAGGCACTAGAGGAACAGCAATTGGCCTGACCGACCAGTGATGCTCTTATGGAGAACACGTATCTCTAAAGAAGATGTTATCAAATAATTATACAAATGACTAATTATAATTGTGGGATGTTACAAAGAGGAATTGGGAGGCTAACTTTGTTTGGAGGTATTGGAGAAGCTTCAGAAAAGGTTCCCCTAAAGTAGTAATATTCAAACTAAGACCTAAAGGATAAATTAGACTTATCTAGTTAGCAGGAAGGAAGAGCAGAAAGAAATGGAGAATTTGAAAAGATGAGAAAGTTCTAAAAGCAGAAAATGTCCTGTTCAAAGACCTGAGATGAAAGGAGCTTATCCTCTTCAAAGAAGAGAAAAGTGGGTGTATGTGGGCCAGAGGTGGTGGTTGGGATGGAGTGGGATTGGCAGGTTGGTGCTTAACTCAAGTCTGGTAGGATAGGCTGGGGCCAGACCATGCCTTCCAAAGCTTGGAGTACAGACTTTATTTGAAGTGCAAACTACTGAAGTTTTAAGGAGATAAGTGACCTGTGACTCGTGTGTTTTGTTTCTTTATTTCTGCTAACAAAAAAGCATCTGACTTGTTTTATAGAGACTGCATTGAAGAATGGCAAGAGGGGAGGGAGGCTGGGTTTGTATCTAGAAGGCTGCTGTCCAAAAAGGGATGGCAGAGGTAGATGGGGCAGAGGTAGATGGCCTAGATACATCCAATGGGACTGGAATATGGAGCACCTGCCATGTGCAGGCACTGCCATAGACGCTACACATGCTGTCCTGCAACTTGCATCCTAGTGCTAAGCTGATGTGTGTGTGTCTACAATATTTCTTTTGTTTCTTTTTCTTTCTTTTTATTTATTTATTTTTTTTTTTGAGACAAGATTTTACTCTGTCATCCAGGCCAGAGTGCAATGGCCTGATCACAGCTCACTACAGCTTCAACTTCCCGGGCTCAGGTGATTCTCCACCTCAGCTTCTCGAGTAGCTGGGACCACAGATGTGTGCCAGCTAATTTTTTGTATGTTTAGGAAAGATGGGAATTCACACCATGTTGCCCAGGCTGGGCTCTAACTCCTGGGCTTGATCAAGCAATCTGCCCGCCTCAGCCTCCCAAAGTGGTAGGATTACAGGTGTGAGCCACTGCACCCAGCCTGTCTACAGTATTTCTAGAGATAAGAGAATGTGTAAAATCTGTTTCCAAAAAAGATTTGCTTTGGCCTATCCCATGTACTATATAAGGTAACTGACATCACTTAAAGCAAATCAAAGATTGTTCTCCACAAATGACAAAAGCCTATATCCTTGTTAGCTAGAGATGTTACAAACTTTTGTTAAATGCTTAATATAATATAGTCACTTTTCTATTCCATGGAATGAATAAGATAAATTTACTTGCTTAGCATTAGATCGACCTCTTCTGAATTATTAATATAAAAATTTTTTCATCCTATGTATACTACAACAAATACATATATATTTAAATTTTATTCCAGTTTGCACCTCTTGATTAGCTTAATCTTTATTTGCTCTGTTGTACTCTGGTATATGTACCACTCATTAGCCTTTAGAACTATGGTGGCCACATTCTTACTCACTAGACTAAAACTAGAGAAATATTTTTAAATAATTGCATGCATATTGACATATGTACATGTATTAAATATATAATCTATAATATATAATTTTTGTATGTGTATATATCACAAATACATACATTCCCTAATTTTCTTGATTTCCTCTGGAGTAGAGAAGCTTCAGTATCTTTAACAGCCCAATAAGCTGAGGGAAAATATTTGCATTCCACACTAGGAAATGCATCCTCTGCTCAGAGTGGACATTCTAATTCAGCAGAGAGTAGAAAGAAAAGCCAGACAATTAAATTCCCATATTAGAATGAGTTTGAGTGTTTCTATACTGATATAAGTGTGTGTATATATGTGTGTGCATGCATGTGAATTATTGTATATTGGATTTTTGCATTGGGTTAATGTCAAAGTCTTTTATTTGTAACTATGGATTAATTGCGTAGGGGACTTCTGCTCCAGATCCACTGTTTGCTTTTATTTCCTTTTATTATTCTGCAGCCTGCCTTCTAGTTTACAGTGTGTTACATACTGCATTCTTGAATTGTAAGCACATGTCATTTATGTGCTAATATAATTATTCTATCATCTGTCTAACAGACTGTGCTGGACTTCTTCTATGGGAAAGAACTGTAGCTAATCATCTTTGTATTTCCTCTATCATTAAAGCTGGGTGCTTGGTAACTATATAGTTGAATGAATATGTAATTTGGTTCATTTATATAAATAATTACATAAAATGCATAATACCTGGAAAAGTCACTTTTATACTTGGTCCTTAGACTGTCTAAACTATAGATTTTCTGTCTTCAATCAGTTAGATATGAAGAGTAACTATGACCTCCAGCCCCCTTATTTGACATCCATGATTTATTTTTCTCATAATTGAGCATTATATTTTCAGATTCCTTCTTTTTTAAAAATGTATCTTCCCTGTCTTTCTTTATCATGGTTATGCTTTCATCTACCTTCTTGCACAGATGGAGTATATTTATAATAGCTGTTTTAGTGTGCTTATCTACTGATTCTATTATCTGTGACATTTCTGAATCTCTGTCTTGATTGATTTTTATCTTTATGATAGGTCTTATTTTTCTGTTTCTTTGCATGCCTACTAATTTATTATTGGTTGCCAGACGTTGTGAATTTTATGTTGTCAGGTGCTGGATTTTTTTTTCTTTCCTTTTTTGTCTTCTTTAAAATATTTTTAAGTTTTTGTTTGTTTGTTTGTTTGTTTTGAGATGCAGTCAAGTTCCTTGGAAACAGTTTGATTCTCTCAAGGCTTTGATTTTATACTTGGGTTAATGGATCTAAGCAGCCTTTAGACTGGAGATAATTTCATCCGGTTTCTGAGGCAAAACACTTCTGGGAACTCTTTCCTGGCATATTGCGAGGTTGCTTCTCTCTGGATCTCGAGAACTTGAGCTACTCCCTGTCCTTTGTGAGCTTCAGAAAGGTTCCATCTGTGGCTTTTGCCCCAGCCTTTGCACTTCCCTCTCCGTCTCTCCTAATCAACATGCAGCCACAGACTCTGAGGGGACCTCTGAAGATCTCCAAAGCTCTCTCTCTCTGATTGGCTCCTTCCTCTCTTGTACTCTGCCCTGAAATTTCCAGGGGCATTGGTTTCCCCAGATGTCTAATTCAGACAGACCTCAGGCTCTGTTCTGGTTTCTCTTCCTTGCATTAAGCCCTGGAAACCTTCTAGACAGTGGCTGGGACTATCATAAGTTTCACTTCATTTATTTCCCGTCTCTCAATGATCACTATCCTGTACTTTTTGTTGTACAGTATCTGAAAACCGTCATTTCATATATTTTGTTTGATTTTTGAGTTGTTTAAAGTAGGAGAATAAATTCTATCCTTGTTACTTTCTGGTGGCTGGAAGCAGAAGTTTACAGACAAAGTCTTTTTAAAGTGAATGTATGTATTGCCTAGGGATATAAGAAGTTAAAGATCTGGGGCTATGATATGAGTGACTTTACTAGGAACACTAAAAAGAATAATAATAAAACCTATAATTATTTGGCACCTAATATGTGCCAAATACTCTAATATCTTGCATCATTGAATCCTCTGCTAGCTAAATATTATTAACCCCATTTTATAGATGAGGGAACTGAGTTTAGGTGATGTGAGTTAACTCACCCAAGGTTACTCAGCTGGAAGGAAACAGTGCTGGAATTGATAACCAGGTCTATCTGCCTAAAGTGTTTCTACTGTATTAGGATTTGGGGGCAAATGATTAAAGCAAAGTCTCCTACGTTTTTTGCCTAAGGCCAGCTCTATCTTTACACTTTTGTTTTTAAAAATAAATACCTTGGGTGGAAAGACATCATTCGTGGTGGGGGTAGGGGAGAATCATAGAGATTTATTTGTATTACATTGAAATTTAAAGATTTCAATTATGTAATTATTATGCACATCACTTTTTGTTGTCCTTGAATGCTGCAGATTTCCATTTTCGAACCTGGGTCCTGTGATCTAGATATTGTACTAAAGTTGAACCAGGAACAACTTAGTAACATCAAGTAGACTTCTATGAATAACACTATGGTGGTCATGCACTCAGGTTTATGACAATAACCAAAAAGTGATCATCAGTATGGGAGAGAATATATACATTGCAGTCTGAAAGCAAGTAACACTCTCTCAAAGAAAACAGAAACTTGGAATTTTTAAAGTTTAACACAAATGAGATGGACTTGAGTCAACCTATGTACATCCTGCATGGGAAGTCCAGAATGCAGAGCAGGTGGGATTGCTGATTTGGTAACTCAGGTGGAGGGAGTTCCTGGCTAATGGATTCCATTTCTCAGAAAAGGACAGGCATCTGCTGAGGATAAGTGGGCTGATGAGGAATGGAAGGTTGGAAGAGAAGGGAGAACCCTTGAAGGTTTCACTGGGGGAGAGACAGGAAGCTGACCAGAAAAATATGGTAAAATGTCTGGACACTCTTTGAGAGCCCTGCGTGGTTTTCTCCAGCACTGTTGTGTCCTCCCAGTAGGCAGGCACAGAGAAGGAAGTTCTCTGTGGGTTTATCCAAGGTTGGATTTTAACAGGTGGTGAGAATGAAAGGACAAGGGCACAAAGAAGGCATGAGCATTTTCAGGAGAGTAATTTCAGAGCTGGACTACACACTCCTACAAGAGTGGCAGTGGAGCCATGAAAAAAGGGGTGGGCTGATGAGGCAAGAAAGTGGAGGGGTGGCTGGATGGGCAGAGCTGAGGATGGCAAGCAGAGGGTTGGAAAGATGGGAAAGTGCAAGGACAGAGGGGCGTTAGCCTATTACAGCAGTATGTGGGGATCCTTTCTGTGGTCTTTCAGGAGAAAAAATTTTTCCTTCAACATTGAGGAACTGTCTCTGCAAGAGACAGATGGTGGCTTTAGAGCCTGAGGTCTTAGGTTTGAATCCAGGCTTGTTCCCTTAGCTGCGTAAACTTGGGCAAGTTAGTTAACTTCTCTGAGTTTGTCTGTAAAGAAGGAGGGAATAATCATCATCAGAGAATTGTTACCTTTTCTAGAATCGGTGAAGTGTGGTACATATTATAGGGATCAAATGTGTTAGTTTGTGTTACCCTCATTGGAGAGCAGTTTAGGAAGGCACGGGGAAGGGGAGAAGAGTGACCTTGGATGACTTTCTATTTTAAGGGAATGAAAAGAGAAGACTTGGCCCCTGTAGAAAATGATCCCCTTGTCCTGACATCTCCTATTGGAGGAGAAGTGACAACCATTCTCTGCAAGCCACGTGGAAGCACCCACATGTACCCAATGCACACCCACAAATCATAGCTCTGTGACACTATAGCTGACCCTTGGACAAAGCCAGGATTAGAGCTGCTCACCCCCACACAGTAAAAAACTTACATATAAGTTTTGACTCCCCCAAGACTTAACTACCAGTAGCCTGATGTTATCCAAAAGCCTTATAATAGCGTAAACAGTTGATTAACATATATTTTATATTTATGTGTATTATATGCTATATTCTCACAGTAAAGTAAGCTAGAAGAAAAATAAATGTTATTAAGAAATGATAAGGAAGGGGCTGGGCCCAGTGCCTACAATCCCAGCACTTTGGGAGGCCGAGACAGGTGGATTGCTTGAGTCCAGGAGTTTGAAATCAGTCTAACCAACATGGTGGTAAAACCTACCTCTGAAAAAAAAAATTAGTGGGGGCATGGTGGCATGCACCTGTAGTCCCAGCTACTCAGGAGGCTGAGGCAGGTGAATCACTTGAGCCTGGGAGATTGAGGCTACAGTGAACCATGATCGTGCTAGTGTACTCCAGCCTGGGTGACAGAGACCCTGTCTCAAAAAAAAAAAAAAGAAGAAGAAATGATAAGGGAAAATACATTTACTATTCATCAAGCAGAAGTGGATCATCATAAAGGTCTCCATGCTCCTCGTCTTCACGTTGGGTAGGCTGGGAGGAGGAGGAAAAGGCAAAGTTGATCTTGCTGTCTCAGGGGTGTCAGAGGTGGAAGAAATGAAGGAGATGGAAGGGGAGGCAGGAGAGGCAGGCATACTTAGTATAACTTTTATTGAAGAAAATTGGTGATAAGTGGACCTTCAAAATTCAAACACATGTTCTTCAAGAGTCAATTACATTAGAGTATTTGCTGCAGGTCATCTGTTTCAGCATCCTCTGGAAAGTAGATTTCTGGGCCTATTTTAGACCTTCTAAACCATGAGGCCTGGAAACTGCAACTAAAGTTTGAGTCCCTGAAGCACCCCAGGTTCTTGGCTGGTGGAGAAACAAACAAAAAAATCCTCATTTGGCCTTGGAATGGGTAGGGAAGCTTGTCTGATGCTACATTTCTGTGGTCTTACTTACGATGCAGTTTTAAAACTGAAAAATTTTTAAATAAAAGTAGCTGAGCTGTAAAGTACCTAAAACATAGTTGCATATACAAATTAAAACTCGTGTATTGAGTATCTGCTATGCTCCAGCACTGTGCTGTGGTCTGAATGTTTGCATACCCCCAAATTCATATGTTGAAATCCTAACCCCCAAGGTGATGATATTAGGACATGGGGACTTTGGGTGGTAATTAAGTCATAAAGGCAGAGCCTTCATGAGTGAGATCAGTGCCCTTTTAAATGAGACCCAAGAGAGCCCCCTCACTGCTTCCACCATGTAAAGACGAAATGAGAAGAGGCTGTCTTTGAACCAGAAAGTGGGTCCTCACCAGATGGCACATCTTCCAAGTGCCTTGGTCTTGGACTTCTTAGCCTCCAAAACATAAGCTTCTGTTGTTTATAAGCTACCTAGTCTGTAGTATTTGTTACAGAAGCTCCCCATAGACTAAGACACACAGTATATAATCTCATTTAATTGGTTATTATCTTGAAAAAGATGTTTTGGGCATCAAGAAAAACATGATTGAACTGTAATAAACTATATTTTCCTCTTTAACAGGGACATTATCTTGCTATCTATCATAGAAGATATAATTTTGACCTTGAGGCTTTACTTCTGAATGTTTATGCCTATAGGGCAAAAGTACTCTTTTTCTTTAAAGGGAAGGAGAAATATGGTAGTCTTAAAGTTCAGTAAGTCTTTCTGACCACAAGGGCATCTTTAAAGAAATATTCCTCACTTCACTGGATGGGACCATTGTGACCGCCATCAGTTAATGCATCCTAGCCATTTATTCCATCTCAGCAGGAAAAATGAGCCTCAATACCCTAATGTGAGGTGACTCCAGTCTCCATGGGGACCCTATGCACAGAGTGAATCACTGCTGATGAGGTTCTAACCAGAGACATTTTCATGAACTGTGCAATCACTCAAAAATGTTCATTTTATACTTTCAACACTTAGTGGCCTCTCTTGGAAACCATGTATTTGAGAACATCTTTTTGAATTTGTTCATCCCCAGCTGTGAGGAAATACTGCCTAGTCATGGGTAGGAAAAAGGCAATTTAGAAAAATAATAGAGGAAAACGATGATTTCATCCTTGTCTGAATTTTCTATGTCATCCTTGCTGGGGCTTCGCCAAGAGAGGGGCATGCCAGAGATTCTGCAGGGGCACCAGAAGAGCCCAGTGTGCCGCAGGCCTCACCCACCGGAGAAGACTGGGAAGGGCATGAAAGTGCAGGAAAAGCCACTCAGTATGGCAAGAGGAAAGCACAGGGCCATGGGCCCTGGAGAGGTGGTATTGCTCCTACCCTGCTCTATCACACGGTGGCAAAGTGGCCATGGGCAAGTTGCACAGATTTCGAGGCCCTTGTGGTGCCTAGCTGTCAAAGGCAGGTATTCAGGCTCCCTTAAAGCTCTGACTTTCTAAGACTTAGAGGGAAAATCTTAAAAATCAAGAACATAAGACATTAATATGCACAATGCTAAAATGACTAACATCTGGTTAATATCTGGAAGGAATAAAGCAACATGGTAACTTTTGACAGGAACCACAGGAAGAGTATCTCCTGTGGTTAAGGTAATCTTGGCCGGGACTGGTGGCTCATGCCTGTAATCCCAGCACTTTGGGAGGCTGAGGTGGGCAGATCCCCTGAGGTCAGGAGTTCGAGACCAGCCTGGCCAACATGGTGAAACCGTGTCTCTACTAAAAATACAAAAAATTAGCCAGGCATGGTGGTGCGTGTCTGTAATCCCAGCTACTCAGGAGGCTGACACAGGAGAATCACTTGAACCCGGAAGGCGGAGGTTGCAGTGAGCCGAGATGGTGCCACTGCCCTCCAGCCTGGGCTACAAGAGCAAAACTGTCTCAAAAAAGAAAAAAATTAAGGTAATCTTTTTGGTGGAGATGATGTTGTTTGTTTGTATATCTGGTCTTTAATGGATGCAGAGAGCTCCTACCGAGTCAGTCACACATACAGCCATGTGAGTGATGCAGGAGAATCATTGTAAGGAACTCAAATCTTGCTAGACTTTGAAGAAACAAGGAGCAAGAAAAGGAAGGACATTCTCCTGCCAGTTTCCGGGCTTTTGACGTAGCAGTGGCATCTGCTGAGTAACCAGTACCAGAGGATAAACACGAAAATGAATAGTAATTTAGATGCTAGCGATTAGATGGTCTCAGTTCAAGCAATCTTTGGAAAAGAGCAGCACAAGTAGAGATTTTCTTATCAGTAAGAGGTAACCGGGGTACATGCTATCTGAAATCTCAAATAAGTGGCCATCGTTTGTTTTTATTTGTAATTGTTTTCATCATGGCTCTATCTGATTTCTGAATTTACAGTTCTGTAAAGAAACTTTGTGGAAATATGAGCAGGAAAGAACAAGAAATGCGTATTTTCTCACCTGCATCACCTTGGCAAACCTCTTGCTATTCCTGAGCCCATCGCAGCCTACGTGGCATGGGCTTCTTTGAATGAGTAAACGAAGTATTCTGCTTTAAACAGCTTCCTGCTGGGCTCCATGCTTGTGGATAAGGCTGTGTTTCTTCGGATCACATTCATGAGAATGAAAGCAACATTGGGGCAAAAATAACGAAAGTATGGATAATTAAGAATTTATTGTGATATGTTGTCCACTATATAGGAAGATAATCACACCAACTCAATGTTAGTGGAAATCATAAGATTTGAGAGTTTGAAAGGACTTTAGATAATAATATCTCACGCTGGTTTTGTTTTGTTTGGAGGCAAAGTCTTACTCTGGTGCCCAGGCTGGAGTGCAGTGGTGCAATCTCGGCTCACTGCAGTCTTGACCTCCCAGGCTCAAGCTATCCAAGTGATCCTCCTACCTCAGTCTCCTGAGTAACTGGGACTACAAACACACACGACCACACTTGACTAATTTTTATATTTTTAGTAGAGATGGGGTTCCACCATGTTGCCAGGCTGGTCTTGAACTCCTGAGCTTAAGTGGTCTGCCCGCCTTGGCCTCCCAAAGTTCCAGGATTATAGGTGTGAGCCACTGCACCCGGCCCTGGAGATAACATTTCATTTAAATGTTAGTGATCTGCCCCACAGTAGTGAATGTGTCACGCTATTCCCATGCTCATGGCAGATGTTGCTAGTCCATCAGAGGGCCTTCTTGCTACTGAGGTAGATTAAGGTTTAAATGTTAAACCTTAGTGATCTGCCCCACAGTAGTGAATGTGTCACGCTATTCCCATGCTCATGGCAGATGTTGCTAGTCCATCAGAGGGCCTTCTTGCTACTGAGGTAGAATGTGTGCTTCCATTGCAACATAGCACTCCAAGGAGCCAACACCAATTCATATGTGAAGAAATCTATCTGCTAATCTTTCTGCTAACACTGATCTGGTCCAGCCCTTGCATTTTTTTTTTTTTCCTGTAAAGGTTTTATTATGTGGGGAGGGGAGGAATTCGTCCTTCTTGGCAGCCACTTTCCTCATGGAAGCCATGACCAGAATGTTGCTCAGCTCCTCTCTCTTCCTCCTCCTTGGCCTTTTCTTGATGAATTTGAGGGCCTGTTTGTCTTTGGAGACCTGTGGCAGCTCCATGGCATGTTGCGTGGGGCAAAGCCACATACCTCTCAGATCACATCTCCCATGAACTTGGTGTGCTTGGTGGGATGTTCGTGCCAGCGGCTATGCCTCGGCTTGCTTGTGTTCTTGGTCACCTCGTGGCCCTTGTTTGAGGCCCAGGGCCCCGGAGTAATGCAGAGCCATGGCTGCTGCTCATCATTGGCTGCCACAGCACTTTCATATTATGGACAAGGAGACAGAGGTCTGGAGATTATCTTGTTTAGTTCTACAGAACAGTGTGTCTTGACTGGTTTCTCTGCTTTTGATAGATTTGAGAGAAATACTCCAGGCACTCTTGCTTATTCCTTTCCTTGCCTAATGAAGAACATGCCAAGTTCGGGATGCCATTGAATTTTCACTCAATGAAATTGGCTAGTCATACAGGAGCAGCCTAACCTTGGGCTGTTCAAGAGGAGACTTCATTTTTCATTCATTCTCTGTAAGAATTTTGTAGATATTAAAGGAAAAGCCTATTGATATTGCACAAGTGTATTAGTTCATTATGTATTGCTGTAAAAGAATCCCTGAGACTAGGCAGTTTATAAAGAAAAGATGTTCATTTGTCTCAGTTCTTCAGGCTATACAAGCACAGCACCTGCATCTTCTAGGCTTGTGATGAGGTCTCAGGAAGCTTACAATCATGGTAGAAAGCAGTAGGTATGCCCACATAGCAAGAGAGGGAACAAGAGAGAGAGGAGGTGGTGCCAAGATCTTTTAAACAACCAACTCTCCTGTGAATAACAGTGAGAACTCATTCATTACCACAGGAAGGGGCTATCCATGAGGGATCAACTCCCATGACCCAAACACCTCCCACCAGGCCCCACCTCCAACACTGGAGATCATATTTCGACATGAGATTTGGAGGGGACACACATCCAAACCATATCAGTAAGGCAACTGAGATATGGATCAAATTAATGAACTACATTCATTTCTTTACATTCATAGAGTCTCAATTATTCCTTGTTTCATGTATAATTCTTGTAACTTTCTTTGTGCTAGAAGACCATGCTTAATCATTCATCCTCTCTTTATGCTGTATCTATTTGTCCTTTCACCCATCCATCCATCCATCCATCCACCCACCTGTCGTTAGTCCATCCATCCATCCATCTATCTAATCTGTATGTTCTGCCTAATGATGAGCCTCTTAATGGGAAGAACTATATTTTATTCATCTTTGTGTTTCTTATGCCTCCTGGAACCATTCTTGTTATGCATTGATATTCAATAAATATGTATTGAATAAAAAAACTTCAGCCTGTGATTTCTTGCCCCTTTTATCTAATCTATTTTATTAGAACACTACAAACCATTTGCCCACTTTCTTTCCAATTTGAAAAGAAGAAATTAAAAAATACCTTTCTTAAAAGCTTGTGATTACCTTTTATCAGGACTTAGGCCTAAATACCCATAGCAGGTAGCTCTGAGAATACTTAAGTTTCTTGGAATCACTTGTACTTCTAGCCAAAGGAGCAAAGTACTATTGTGTTTTGGCTGAAAATGAACTCTCTTCAAGCAGCAATTAAAAAATACAATGCTTCACATTATTTTCTCTTATTATTGGTCATCTTCCTTTTTTATATGAATTATTTCTAATGACTAACGTAAAATATCAGAAATGCCCACAGAGCTATGCCTGCTTTTGCCTCAGACTTTTTTATACTGACTTATAATTGTCAGGATAGGGACCCATCCCACTCCAGCAGCCTCACACCAATTTCTCGTGGCTGAACACAGAGAAAAGAACACAGCAAAGATATTTCTTCAAAACACATCTAATGAGAGTCATTCATTTTACACTTTGAATGAAAAAAACAAATTCATAAGGAAATCAGTAGCTTTTAAAGAAAAACATATTAATGATTTTAAATGTGTTTGTAAACATGAAACCAAAATATATAGAAAATATTGAAACTAAAATTTTATTCTCAAGAAAAAAAATGGGTGTTTGAATTAATATTACATTCCCCCTCCAGAGTTTAGCTCTTGTTGCCCAGGCTGGAGTGCAATGGCGTGATCTTGGCTCACTGCAACCTCCACCTCCTGGGTTCAAATGATTCTCCTGCCTCAGCCTCCTGAGTAGCTGGGACTACAGGCACCTGCCACTGCGCCTGGCTAATTTTTTTTATTTATATTTTTTGTATTTTTAGTAGAGACAGTGTTTCACCACATTGGCCAGGCTGGTCTTGAACTCCTGACCTCAGGGGATCCACCCGCCTCGCCCTCCCAAAGTGCTGGGATTACAGGCGTGAGCCAGTGCACCCGGCCTCATACTAGTTTTAATGTCATAGTTTAGTAGTATCCCTCCTTCACTCCCATATTTATTAACCATGTTTTATTGTGAATACCTAAAGTTATTCCTGCTGTCATGGAGCTCATATTCTGATTGTGGAGACAGGTAGTAAACAAGTAAACTGATTGATGAACGTATCATTAGAAATGGTAATGATTACTATAAAGGAAATAATACAATGCTGCAATAATAGACCATAAGGGGGAACTTACCATGAATCTTCAGGTAACCACGAACAGTGTCTTTGTGGAGACTAAATTTAAACTGAGATTCTGAGGTATGAGAAGGAGCCAGCTCTGGAAAGTGGAGAAGGAAGAGCATAGAAGAGGACCCCAGAGGCAGAAGGAGCTTGACTCGCTTGGAGAAGTCCTGGACAACCAGCTTGGTGGTTGAGGTGGAACTGGTTATGTGAAGAGCTCAAAGTGGTTGTTAGAGGCCCTGCAGGTCCTGGGAAAGGGTTTGATCTTAATTCTAAAATTAATTGATTGAAGGTGATTTATTTATTCATTCCCTGAAACAGAGGGATTCTATGATTGAATTTAATGTTAAAAGAGAATGGATTTGGGAAGTGGGGTAGGAATAGAAGCAAGAGAATCAGTTAAGAGGCCACACATGTCCAGGTCCCAGGTGAGTAGGGCTTTGACTTGGGGCATGATAGTGAAGTTGGAGAGATAAGGACAAATTGGAATAAGCTTTTGTGGTAGAAGCCTTAGGATTTTGTGATGGATTAGATGACAGGGGAGTGAGAGAGAGAGAATCAAGATGAATGCCAAGTTTCTAGCTTAAGCAACTGGGTAAATGGGTTTATGAAGTGAGAAACACAGGAGGAACAAATAGAGGGAGAAATCATGCACTCAGATTGGTACTTCCCGGGTTGGAGCTCCTGTGGGATATCTTAAGTGGTGATATTGAGTAGACACAGGGATATATGGGTCTGGAGTAAGAGATGGGTGGGCCAGTGATAATCACATCCAGAGAGATCTGTGTTCATCAGCATGACTGGCACCATGGGCATGAGGGAAATGGCATAAAGAGAATAGAGGGAACAGCAGTAGGCTTTGAAAACTTCCAGCAGTTATAGTTTAGGAAGAAGGTGATAAGCCAGCAAAGGGGGTTGAGAGGAAATGAGTAGTCAGAAAATTAGAAGAAAAAGAGAAGTGTGCAACGTTACGGGATCCAAGTCACATATTCAGCCAAGTAGTAGCCGGCATGATTGATTTCTTCTGAGGGGCAAAGTTAAAAGACTGCAATGGGGGCCGGGTTCATTGGTGACCTTCACAAGGGCCGTTCTGGGGGAGCTGTGGGGATAGAAGTCAGGTCAGTGGGTTAAAGGTTGAACAATATCATAAGAAACGGGTGAGATGGTACATAGGGAGGTCTTGCAAAAAGCCAAAAGGGCTGCACAAAGAAAAGGGATTCGTAGTAGCCAGTGCCTTCAGATAGTAATGGATGTGCTTTTTTCATTTTGTTTTTAAATTGGCCCTCCTTCGAAAAGCAAAAACAAAACCGAAAAAGGGAAGGGAGGCAGGGAGAAAGAAATGAAAGAGAATAATGAGAAATGAAAAAGAAAACTAGAAACCTTCTATAGACAACTCTTTGAAGTTATTTGTCTAGAAGTCAGGCAGATAGATTGTGAGGCAACTTAAGGGGGAAATGGCAATGAGACAGAATTAAGACAATTAGGATATGACAGTACACTTTTGGAAATGGTTTAAGTAGGAAGAAGTATTTGATTCAGGGGATAATATAAAAAGTAAAGTCCTAAAGAGTCCCAAACTCCCTGATTTGGGTAAAGGTTTTTCAGTTCTTAATACAGATGGTGAAACTGAGACAGAAAAATGGTGAATCCTTGGTCTAGGATTAAGTATTATCATAAGCCACCAAGAGGGAGCATTTTAAACTCAAAATGCATTATTGGCTGACACAGTCTTGTACTTGCCAAAAATTTTATAAACTTACTAAATTTTTGCAGGCATTCTCCTTGATAAATAATTAAACAAGTATCATATGTGTCCATTGAAGTTATTATTAGACACAGCCATCTGGTGCAATACCACTTCTCCCTCTTGAGTAATTTCTCCTCCTAAAGAGTCAGTTTACATGTCTAAAGCTCATTTATATGCCATGATTTCATATCTTTGTGCCGTAACTCATTCTAAATATTTACTTTAGCTAATTAATTGATTATTGTGAAACTGACTGAAGGCTGCTTGGCTTTTAGAAATGATGAGAATGATTATTTCTCCTGCTGTGAAATAATGCCGCACCTCCCCCATTCAAACGTGTTCTCCAAGTATATACAACACATGTAGATAATAGACCTCTCATAATCCTTACCTCGTTTTCAGCACTCACACTGTATCTTATATTTGCACATAAGTTATTTGTTCTTTCATACAGGCTAGGTCAGAAGACCAAAAAATTTTTTTTGTTCTCCCCTTCTCCCCCTCTGTCAAGTGTAGTAGAAGCAGTGTTATCATCTCCAGGGAAGAATAGGACAGCCATTGTTTCCGTAGACCCTACTGTCTTGGCTCCATGAAATGGGGTTCTATATCTAAATCAAGAGATATTTTCACTTAAACAAGATGACTGTATTTAGCCTTGTGAAATTCCAACCAGTTGCATCATGATTTTTCAGGCATATGAACTTAGGGCTAGAGAAAGTTAAATTCCTTTACCTCTTTGACCTTCAGTTTCCTCATTAGAAAATGGGACTATCAATAATATCTATCTTTCTTTCTTCCTTTTCTTTCAAAGATCATATGTATTGTGGATAATGTCATTTTTAAAAAAGGAAATAAGGAGATGTTTTGGAGTCAGTAAAGCCCTCTACGTGGATTAAGTATTTTAACTGTTGATCCCTTCTCAGCGTTTCTGGAGCTGATTCAGAGGAATGCATATTTTAAATTTTGATATTTCCAAAATTGCCCTGTATAAAATTTAAACCCATTTTACACTCACACCAACAGGGGCTATTTAAAATAATTTTAACTTTTACTAACTCCATGGGTGAATGATATCACACATCTGCTTCCATTACTTTGACTACTCTGTTGGTAGTCTTTGAGCTGTTTCCAGTTTTTCAATAGTATCAATAACTCTGCAGTTAGTATCTTTGACTTCTTATTTCCCATTTGGACTATTTCTTTAAGGTCAATTGCCAGGTCAACAGATGACATGGTCGTTTAGTTACTGTTGAGACATCACAAAATTACTTCCAAAAGAGTGTTTCTAGTTATATGCTTATCAACAGAGACACTTACTTGAATGTTTGCTATTTAGTTTCCCTGCTAAATCTGGGTGTAATTAAAATTACTTTTGTTATTTAGTAAGTTAATTTTGTTAATTTAGTAAAAGATGCTGCCTTCTTATTGCCCAAGAACTATAACTTTAAGGGCCTCCTGATGATACCACAGCCAGATGGAAGCCTGGCAGTGGCACCAGTGGTTTTTTTTCTGTTCTTTTCACCTGCTAGTTAATAATTAGGCAGTGTTTCCAGACTCACAGTTGGATAAGATTGAACAGCTCTTGTTCAGCTGTTAATGATTCAGAGACACCTTCCTCTGCCTCTCCACCTATCAAAATTTTACCAGCTCCTCCAAGGGCAGCCTCAAGTCCCACTTCATTCTAATAGCCTTCCCTGGTAGCTCTGGCCAATTTCAGAGATGCTCTCTCCTACCCACCCGAGGGCAGTTACTGCTTTTACCTTAGGATTTGACCCTGGCCTGTAGTCAATTTGTTCCCATTATTTGCTCTGCTGATAGGATTTTGTGAAATGGATACACTCCACATCCCAGGTGGTGTTAACATCATGCCTTTTCTCTTTAGTAGGTTTCACTGTTTATGAGCAGAGACACTTCCTAGTGCAGTGCTAGCCACATATAGGTGCATGATTAATACTGTCAGTCATGTTGAACTGAGTTGTCAAACAGGTTTTACCCCAAAGAGTAATGGAGTACAAAGAAACACTGTACTCTCCCCTCACAAGTCATTTTTAGAACTCTGAACAGGCAAACCAAATTTATTAATATAGGTGGCTTTAAGATATTACTTTTTTCATATTGTTCTGATTTGCTCGTTGGGTATCTTTCCCTAATGGTCTTTTCCTGTTTAGTCTTCTGGCTTATTCCACTGAGCAAGATAAATTTCTCTTCAAACAAAATAACTTAAGCATCCTCATGCAATGGGTTGAGTTTCTTTCTATTTAGATCATGTCTCTTAAGTGACACCAATCTGGCAGGCTTCATTGTTGTTACTGACTCTGTCTCTAACGTTAGCATTTTCCAACTCTGCTATTTTCAGAATAGACCTGTTCATGTCATTCATGTGTTTTTATTAGTAACCTCCGGTTTCATTGACATACTGAGCTTCTCCAGCTGGGGAAAAGCTTCCACCCACCTATGGTTAACTTTTCCTGAGCAGTCTGAAGTACTTCCAAACATTAATATCCAATTTTACCTCCTATACTGCAATTTCTATGCCACTGATTCTCTAGTATGAATCCTTGTCAAATGTTCGAAAACACCAGTTATGTATATGTCTGTCTATGTTTTTGCATATGTATCTATAAATGTTTATATATGTATATATATGTATTTACATATGTATATATGTGTGCATTTACATATTTATATGTTTATGCATATATGTGTATATATGTTTATATATGTGTGTGTGTGCATGTGTATGTTTATATATCTCCTCTAGCAATCAGAATAAAATTAAAACTACAGAGATTTTTAAACCTTTCTTTTTCACCTTTCAACACTTTTAAATGACTGTTCAAGCAGAAAGTCAATAGGCATAAAAGACAGTAGTTATCCAGTTGAGTAGTGGGGATGAGGAGGCCCTTGGGAATCCCCTGTTGAATCTCATATCTGTCACTGTACCCCTTACCCACCAGGCTCTGTCCACACTGGCCTCCTTTTACTTCTGAAACATGCTAGGTTTGCTCTTGCCTTCAGGCCTTTGCTCCCTCTCTTCCCTCTGCCTATAATCTCGTCCTCCATATCTTCCCACCACAGGCCAGCTCCTTGTTTTTAGGAACTGAACTCAAAAGTTCTTTTCCAGACAGACCATCTTAACCAATCAAACGGCTTCCTCCCTCCTCTCTCACCCCAGGTAACTCTCCTACATCCCTGTAAATGGCACTTAGCACAATCTGAAAGTAACTTCTTTCTTTACCTTTTGATTATGTCTATCAATCCTCACTGGGAGGTAAGCTTCCAGAAAGTAAGAAGCAAGTCTGTCCTGTTCAAAGTTGCGTCTCCAGTTCCTAAAACAATGCCTGGCATATGGAAGGTACTTATTAATACTTGCTGGGGGAAAAAATATTTCAATAAATCATTTGCTTTAGAGGACTCTAAATCTTCTCATATAATTTTCCTCTGCCATTTCTAAATTCATTGGAGTTGTTTTTCAACATTCCATTTTTTTAAAGGTGTTCCACTAGCTTTTTTCTATAATGTTACCACGTCAAGTTTTGATATTTAAACTCCAGAATTTGAAAGCTTGTTGTCAAAAGTTGGCTGCAATGAATAAACTAAAGTGTGTTAGCATCAATTCTAAACATGTTAAGAAAACAACCAAGGAGAAATTTCTATTTATAAAGTGAGTGAAGTGTCAAAATTAATTTCTCAAAAAGAATCCCCAAGACAATCATATTCTTGGACCATTTAGATTCTAATATCAAAAAGTAATTTTATTTCTGATTTTTTAATCGTTCAAACACAATGCTTACCATTTTACATCCAAGTCAACAATGGGTGGCTAAAAGTGGTCTTTGGTGAACATTAGTTTCAATTGACTCTCTTCACTTACAGATACACTGAATGGGGAGCAGCTGTCAAACACATTATTTCCTTAGGAAAATCACCTTAATATGATATTGTGATTTGTGTTGTTTTCATTCCTTTATCATAGAAGAGTGTTCCCAGGCTGAACTAGACTTTTTAGACCTAAAAATCATTCTATACAAAGTTAAATTTTCCCATAGACCTGTCCATTCTCCTTAAATAATGCTCTTGGGAAAACAACGACATTATTACAAAGAAATTTCATACATCCTCAGCACATCCCTGTAAGGACACAGAGGGATGTGTAACATGAATCCTGTCTCTTCCATTTGCCATCAAAGAGTTTTTGTTGTTGTTGTTTAAAGAACCTAGAATGTACCAAGGAAAGTTTTGTTTGTTTGTTTTGTTTTTGAGACAGAATCTTGTTCTGTCGCCCAGGCTGGAATGCAGTGGAACAGTCTCAGCTCACTGCATCCTCCATCTCCAAGGCTCAATTGATTCTCCTGCCTCAGGCTCCAGAGTAGCTGGGATTACAGGCACCGGCTCCCACACTCAGCTAATTTTTGTATTTTTAGTAGAGATGGGGTTTCACCATGTTGGCCAGGCTCGTCTCAAACTCCTGACCTCAAGTGATCTGCCTGCCTCGGCCTCCCAAAGTGCTGGGATTACAGGTATGGGCCACGGTGCCCGGCCCCAAGGAAAGTTTTAATAATGTAATTTTATTATAAAAATTTGAATACACAAAGGTATAAATGAGCAAAAATTGTCATTTGAAGATGCAGAAATAACCACTACATGTGTCTTGATGTATTTCCTTCCAATTTCTTTTTCTACAAATGTATAAACGAATGTGTTTAATCCTAAAAAGTTGATATCATTCCAAATATATGGTTGTTTATCATTTTTTCTTACCAGTGAAGAAAAAATGGCAAAATTTTCTCATGTAAATAAATACCTTTTGAATGCTAGCTACACATATTGTTAGCCCAGCCCTCAAATTCTCACCAAAACTACTATTATTGTTTCTTTAAATGTTTGCTAATGTGTGAAAAATATCTTGTTTTTATTTGAACTTTTCCAAATCTTAATTTACCATATCTATTTCTTCTCTTTTAAATTTCCCTTTTGTTTTTTACTTATTATCTGTTGAAACATTTTTTTTTCTTGTTGATTTACTAGGGTTCTTTGTTGTGGATTCTGCCCCTTTACAAAATAGGTCATATATGTTGCAAACATTTTTACTTTAAGGTTTGAATTGATTTAGGCTGTTGTGTTTTTATAGAATTGTTGCTCAATATAAAAGTTAATGATTATAAGTTTCCTCTCAAAATTAATCTTGAGAGTATTCTAAGAGTTATTTATTGATATTATAAGATAAAATTTTCTCCTGCTTATAGATAATTACTTTTTAATTTTTAATTATGAAATATCCCAAATGTACAGAAAAAAGGACTCATTTAAGCATCAGAGAACCTTTCCCTGCCATCCAGAAAGCGGGGCACCCACCACTAGATCCCAGTGCCACAGTCCTTCCAGTTCCAGTAGTGCCATGATGCCAACATACCACACACTTTTTTTTCCCTGAGCTTTCTACACAATATCCTTCTCTGAGAAACTAACCAATGAACAGCCTTGTTTGAATCAGGGTACCTAGTAGGGGCCAAGGAAAAAACCAGGAAACAACTGATCATCCTTTCAAGTATATTATCCTGCCACTGAGAGATGACCCAGCAATGAGGATTGCTATCTCTGTGTTCAGGTGTGACAAGTTTCACCCAGCAGTACTTAAGACTATCCTTTTAATTGTTTCACCCAGCAGCACTTAAGACTATTCTTTTAATAGTTTCAAAGACAGTGTGCTGTTGGAAACTCTGCCTCCTGACAGGTTTGTTTTCTCCTGAATGCCTTTGCTCAGAACACACCACTACCTTTTGGGTTGAAAAGGTGCATGGCATAGCGGAAAAACCTGGCTAAGAGCCAGGTAGTTCTATTCAGAAATGTTTGTCTCAGCCACGTGAACTGAGGGAAATTATTTAATTTCTCTGAGTCCCAGTTTTGTTATCTGGAAAATGGAAGTTATATCATCTAATTCATGGGGTTATGGGAATGAATAAGATAATATATAGATGCATTTTACACACTGCAGTGTGTAGAAGGTACTCAGTAATGGGTGGTATTAATATAATTATTGTTATTTAATAGGCTGGTCTTGTATGGTTCTCTCTCCCAGAAGATTTTGCTGCATTGTTAGAGGAAGTATTTCTATTTCTTGTTCCTACTGTGCTTGCCATAAGGAGGCAGCTTAGAGTAGCTGCTGTCATTCATTCTCTACAAATGTTATTGTGTCAACAAAGCTGTGTTAATAATAATAATTGCTTGCATTTATTGTGTATGTGCCAGGCATTTTTCTAAGCATCTCAGTCCTTATCTAATCCTCACCCAGTGAAATCAGTGCTGTTATTACTTCATTTTTAGGAATAAGCACACCAGGGCACAGAGAAGCTAAGTAATCTGTTTGAAGTCACACTGTTAGTGAGTGGTGCAGCCGGGATGTGAACACAGGCAGTCCGGCTTCACTGCCGATCAGTCTCATGCATTGTGTCCTGCTGCCTCCCTGTAGTGGCAGCCTTTACATTCTGGGACACTTAACTTAGAAAGGTGTGAAAACACCTGCTGGAAGGAGAGAAGAAGGATGCTCAGAATTGAGAGTCATTAACCTGCAGGGTGGTGTCCAGAAGGAGAAAGCCATTGCCCAACAAATTCATGCATTCTACTAGCAACATACTGGCTTTGTATTTCTTTCAATAAAGAATCTCCACAGTGCCAGGAGAATTCCTGTTGATGGTAATGGTGTCATTGCTCGTTCTGCTGAGAATCCTTTCTGTAATTGCAGCCCTATAAACAACAGCAGCAGGAGGCCATGAGGGAAGTCTTTGTGGAGAGTACCATGGGGTCTGTCGCCTTTGAGTAAATAGACCCTATTTATTGAGCATGCAGAATTTATTTAAAATACCAGTTGTAAGGGAAGCAAACAGAAGCATACATGGATTTCCTATGGATTGCAAACCCAAAATAATAATAGTGCAATATTAATAATACTTACACTAGCTTTATCTTAATATTCATTTTAGCACCCAGAATGATGTTTCTCTCCTCAATTCTATTTTAATCTGAAATATAAACAGCTGAAGGTTTGCTTGCCTTGAATCATTATTACCGTGAAGTTGAGCCATCTGTGTTTTTCTTATTCTGCTCATGGCTCCAAGGAGAAGTCTTGAAATTTAACAAGTTGGGAGAAGAATTTCTGTGGAGTAAATTCAGATATACAATGACACCTAAAACCCTGCAAGTTTTTATCTTATTTTGGAGAAATTTCCTCGCTTGGATTGTGTTGAGAGTGAGAATTAGCATCACTCTACCAAATCATCGACAGTCTTCAAAACCCTTTGAGGTCTGGTACCATGTTTTATGCTAGATTTTGTTCAGTTCATCCATAATCCCCAATATGCTGCTTGCTGACTTCTAAAACTATAGAATTGGCATATAACTGGCTGTGTTTGTTTAATTTGAGATCTATTAAGTATCTCTTGTTAGGAAACTAAAAAGCTTTATATATGCATATCTGATGCTTTTAAGTTGCTGCCAGGGAGGACAACCATGCCCTCCTATCATGCATTCCCTAGTTGAAACCAAGACCTTGGCTGGATATAGCTTGGTTCACTGTGGCAGTGTTTTCGTTTTTACCTATGACCTAAAGTATCTGTTATATTTTATAGCTTTAATGAATTGACATACAATAAATTGTACATATTTAAATTCTACAATTTCATAAGTTTTGACATATGTATATACTTGTGAAATCATCACAATCAAAATAATGGACATATCAGCCACACCAAAACATTTCCTGTTCCCTTTGTTATCTCTTCCTCCTACCTACTCAGACCCCCTTTCTTACTCATCCCCATCCTGAGACAACCACTGATCTTCTGTCTCTACAAATTATTTTGCATTTTCCAGAATTTTATGTAAATGAAACCTATAGAATGTACTCAGTTTCTGGTTTCTTTCACTCAATATAGTTATTCTGAAAGTCACGCATGTTGTCATATATCCTGATGGCTGAATAGAAATAGAGTGGATATCCTTGCCTTGTTTCTGACCTTATGAAGAAATACCATTTTAAGTATGATCATATGTGTAGTTTTAAAGTACATAACCTTTACTGAGGAAATTTCCTTTGATTTTTAGTTTACTGAGAGAATGGATGTCAGATTTTCATCAGACGCTTTTTCTGCATCTATTGAGATGATCGTGTGTGTGTGTTTCTCTTTTTTAGTCTACTACTTTGGTAAATTACGTGAATTACTTTTTAATGTTAAACCAACCTTGTATCTCTGGGATAAACTACTCAGTCATGATGTATTATTCATTATACTATATTCAATTTGCTAAAATTTTGTTTAGAATTTGCATCAAAGTTCATGCTGAATATTGTCTATAGTTTTTCTTTCTTCTAATGTTTTTATCTGATTTAAGTAACAAAAGTAATGCTGGAATCATAAAGCAAATTGGAAGGTATACCCTTTAATTTTCTGGAAGAGTTTGTGTAGAATTAGTATTATTTTTTCCTTAAGATTTAACCTCTACTAGAGTAGGATTCTCTAGCAAAGTCATCTAGGCATGAAGTTTCCTTGTGGGAATAATTGTAACTACAAAGTCTACTTCTTTAATAGATACAGAGCTATATAGATTATTTGTTTTTCTTTCAATGAGCTTTGGTAATTTGTGTTTTTCAAGAAATCTATTCCAAGTTGTTAAATTTATTGACATACAATTTTTGTAATATGCCTTGATATTTATGTATGGGAACTGTAGTTATGTTACATTCCTTATGTCTAATATTAGCAGTTTGTATCTTCTCTGCTTTCCTGCCTAAGGCTGGCTGGAGTTTTATCAATTTCATTGATCTTCACAAAGAACTAGCATTTGGTTTCATTGATTTTCTCTATAGTTTTTCTATGTCACTAATTCCTGTTCTTAATTTTTTTTTCTGCTTATTTCAGGCTCAATTTGCTCTTTTTTTTTTAAGGTTTTTTTTTTTTATAAGATAGAAGCCATGGTCATTGATGTAAGACCTTTCTTCTTTTCTAATATAAGCATTTAGTGCCTTAAACATTTTTAAAGTACTGTTTTAGCTGCATATCATGAAATTTTATTTTAATTCACAGTACTTCTAAATTTCCCTTTTGGTTTCTTGTTTGACCTACAGGCTATTCAGAAATGTGTTATTTATTTTCTAATTATTTGGTGACTCTCTAGATATTTTTCATCACTATTTTATAATTTAATACTATTGTGGTCTCAGAATACACTTTATATGATTTGTGTTTTTGTAATTTTATTAAGGTTTGGTTTATGCCCAGAATATGGCCAATCTTGATAAATATACCCATGTAATCTTGAGAAGAATGTGTTTTCTGGTTTTGTTGGGTGAAGTACTCCATAGATGTCAGTTAGGTCAAATTGGTTGATATTATTTAGATTTTTATATCCTTACTGATTTTCTATGTACTTGTTCTAGCAATTATTAAGAGAGGGTTGTTGAAATTTCTGACTGTTAATTGTGGATTCATCTACTTCAGCTTTCCATTTTATTAGTTTTTATTTCATATATGTTGAAGTTCTGTTATTCAGTGAATAAATATTTGGGATTGTTATATTTTCTTGTTAAATTGACCTCTTTATCATTATGAAATGACTCATTTATCCATAATTATATTTTTTATCTGAAATTCACTTTTCCTAATATTAGCATGCCCCCTTTCCAGCTTTCTTTTCATTAATGTTAGCATGGTGTATTTTTTTCAGTCCTTTTATTTTTAACTTATTTATGACTTCGTATTAAAAGTGAGTTTCTTATAAGTAGCATATAGTTTTTATATCCAATCTGATATATTGGATTGATCTCTGCCTTTGGATATTTATTTAGACTGTTTATATTTAATATGATTATCAGTGTGATTGGGTTAAAATCAATCTTAATAATTGATTTTATTTATTCTGTTTTTTATTCCAATTTTCTATTTGTCTGCCACCTTTTGGACTTAGTATCTTTATGATTTCAATTTTATCTCCTTTGTTGGCTTATCTCTTCATATATATTGTAAGAACTATATACTTTTGTATTATGTTTGCTGTCTTATATTTTACTTCTATATATATCATAAACCCAGAATACATTGTGAGTATTTTTGCTCTTTTCAGGCAATTATTTTTTAAAGAGTTCAAAAATAAGTAAAAATTTTTTTTTTCTATTCAACCATATATTTGCCATTTCCGATATTCTTTATTCCATTGTGTAGATCAAGATTTACAGCTCATCATTTTTCTCTGCCTAGAGGAATTCCTTTTTAATATTTCTTATAGTATAGATCTGCTGGTGATGGATTGTTTCAGCTTATTATGTCAGAAAAAGTTTTTCTGTCACTTTCATTTTGAAAGGTATTTTTACTGGGTAAAGAAAAAGTTAAAGAAAAGATTTTTTTTTAATTTCAGTTCTTTAAAGGTGCTATTCTAGTGTCTTCTGGCTTACATTGTTTCCAACAAGAAATATACTCTTATTTTTATCTTAGTTCCTCTGTATGTAATATGTCTTTTTTTCCTGGATGCTCTTAAGAGTTTGTCTTTATCATTGATTTTAAGTAACTTCATTATGATGTTCCCTCATATACTTTTATCATGTTTCTTGTGCCTTCTATTCTCGAGTTTCTTAGATCTGTGAGCTTATAGTTTCTATCAAATTTGGATAATCTTCAGCCATTATTTGTTCAAATATTTGTTCTTGCCCCACCCTCATCAAGTAATTTAATTACAAATATCTTAGACTCCTTGCAGTTGTCCCACAGCCCTTTTATGTTCTGTTCATTTTGTTGTTGTCTTTTTTCTCCACGTTTCATTTGAATAGTTTCTATTGCTTTTCTTTGAGTTTACTAACTTTTTAAATAAATCATCAAATCTGCTGTTAATTTCATACAGTATATTTTTTATCTCATACATTGTACTTCTCATCCCTACAAGTACATTCTGAGTCTGTTTTTAATCTTCCATCTCTCTATTTAATATGTTAAATCTCCCTTCTGCCTTCTTGAACACATGGAACACAGTTATGAATATTTAATATTTTTGTCTACGAATTCTGTCATCTATGTGTTATTTATTTTTTTGTTCTACTGTTTTATTTTTCTCATTATTATTGGTCACATTTTCCTGCTTCTTTGTATGCCTGGTATGTAATTTCTCTTTTTATTCATTTTTTACTATTGCTATAACAGGTAGCCACAAACTTAGTGGCTTAAAAACAACACAAATTTATTATCTTGTAGTACTGTGGTTGGAAATCTCATGCAAATCTCACTGGGCTAAAATCAATATGTCATCGGGGCTGCATTTCTTTCTGGAGGCTCCAGAGGAGAATCTGTTTTTTTGCCTTTTCCATCCTCTAGATGTTGCCTATGTTTTTTGGCTCATTGCTGTCTTCCATCTTCAAAACTGGTAATGGAGGGTTGAATTCTTCATACATCAAATTACTCCAACCTTCTCTTCTGCCTCCCTCTTCCCCTTTTTAGGACTCTTGTGATTATATTGTGCCCCCATCAATAATCCAGAATAATCTGTCATAAAGTTAGCTGATTAGCAATCTTAATGTCATCTGTATCCTTAATTCCTTTGACATGTAAAATAATATATTCAGAGGTTTTGGAATTATCCTGTCATACCTGGTAATTTTTAATTGGTTACCAGACATTGTGAATTTTACCTTGCTAGGTGCTGGGTATTTTTGTATTCTCATATCCGTGAAGTTTATTTTAGGACCCATTTAAGTTACTGGGAAGCAGTTGAACCTTTTGAGGCTTGCTTTTAAGTTTTGTTATGAGAGATCACAGCAGCTTTTTGTCTAGGGCTAGTTTTGTCCTACTACAAAGGTGATACCATTCTGAGTATTCTACCCAATAACATCATGAATTATGAGGCTTTTCTACTCTAACTGATGAGAATAGTCTTTTGTAATCTTTATGGATTATTCCTTCTAAACCTTTTGGGTGTTTCTTTCTTTAGCTTAGTGTAGTTTTATCACACACATACACTGATTAGTTCTCAACTCAAGACTTGCTTTATATCTCCAGGGAGAGATGTGTTTGTGTGCACACATGTGTGCTATTCTCTTCTCTCTGGTACTTTACCCTATGAACTCTAAGCTGCCATCCTAAACTACCAACTATTTCTTTACTCAGAGAGACTGTCAGACTTTTCCAGAGTTCCTCTTCCCTGTGCTGTAGCCCGGAAACTCTCCTGGCAATAAGCTGGGGCAATCATATGGCTCACTTTGTTTTACTTCTTTCATGAATCATTGTCTTGCATTACCTCATGCCCAGTATCTGAAAACCATGTTTCATATACTTTATCTGGCTTTTTAGTTGTTTCAGGTGGGAGACCATATCCAGTCACTGTTACTCTCTCCTTGCCAGAGTAAAAGTCAAACATTTGGTATTTGGCAAACATTTCATTTTGAGATGGGCAACAATGATGCCTAAATATTTAACAAATGATAGGTCTTGGGCACTGACCAAGCAGAACAGATGCTGGCCTAAAACAGTGATATGGCCATACTGGTGTTTACCAGCTAAAGATCCATCTTGTCCTGTGTTCTGGCCAGACCCTATAATCCATCCAATTTAGGGTTTTATCATTGACAGCTCTGGTGAGACAAAAAAAGCTTTGCAATAGAACTGACCTGAGTGTGAGTTCCTACTCTTCTGCTTCTAGCTGACACTTGACTTTCTCCATATCTTAACTTCCCTTGCTTTGTTGTACTGAAGATAAAATTAAATAAGGTATGCAAAAATGCCTAGCACCTTGCCTGGCGCCTATAATACTTGGTTAAAATAATTACTCTACCTTTTCCCATACCTTCTTCCACAATTCATCTGGAGTCCCAAAGGCTAGATTTTTACTCAGAGGGTAATTCACTCAAGAAAAAAAAGGATCATATCTAGGAGTTTTGTTCGTGGGAAAACGATCCAAAACAATCACAAATGTGAGGTGGGGAGTATCTTAGTTCATTTATGCTGCTATAACAGAGTACCACAGACTGGGTAATTTATAAAGAAAAGAGATTTATTTGGCTCATGGTTCTAGAGATTGGGAAGTCCAAGGGCATGGTGCCAGCATCTGCTCAGCCATCTGGTGAGGGCCTTCTTGTTGCATCATTCCATGGTAGAAAGCAGAAAAGCAAGTAAGCATGTGAGACAGAGAGAGAGTGGGGACTGACCTTATCTTTTTATCAGGAGCCCGCTCTCACAATAACTAACCCAATCCTACAATAACTAATCCACTCCCATGGTAAAAGCATTAATCCCTTCATGAGGGCATAACCTCCCTCATAGCCTAGTCACCTTTGAAAAGCCTCACCTCTTAATGCTTGGCAACATTAAATTTCTAACCATGAAATTTATAATACAGACTATAGCAGGGACAAAAGGAAAAATTGGGCAGTGAACATCATAGCTAAGAAAACCTTCTGGTCAGGCTGGTATAAAGTCTGTCCAAGAGGTAGCTGGAGTGCATGGTCACAGGTGAGGCCAGTGCAAGGCAGGCCAGCCAAGCAAGGTGTGGAGGGGTGAGGCCAGGGTAGAAGTGCCCGGATTTCAATTGGAAGAGGTTGGTAGGAGTCCATCTGACCTGGATCCTCCCAACTCATATCTCTCTGCTTCTTATGGTAATAACAAGAGCTGGCCTGGTACCACTTCTTGACAGATGGTGGCCAAGGGGAACAGTGTGAGGGATGCTTCATAGGACCTGATTTCTCTGACATTATCCTGTGGAATTAGGATTTACCTCTTACATGTATGACTTTCTGTTATAATCTGCTGTGACTGTGTCAGTCATATAACTCTGGGTAGAGTTTCAGCTCTTTAATTTCATTTTAGCAAGGTTTTCAATAACTTAAAGTACTTTTTTGTCACTTTAATTTACTCTGAAAGTTCCTGTCCCTCTTGAAGCGTGAAGCCTAAACACTTGTCTTCAACCTTTCTGTGTTCTTAGCACCTGACATGCCTTCAACACAAGTAACTTGATGATGGTGAGTATTTAGTGAGTGTATTATAGCAATCTTTGTTCAAGACATCAAGAAAAGACACTGAACAGAAGAGGTCTCAGGATAAGTTCCCATAATACACACTTCATACATCCAATTTATTCTATTTTAGTTCAGTTTAACTTAGCTCTGTTTAACAAAAGCTTTATGCTGAAATGATTCACTTCCCTCATGTCTCTGTCCCATCACTCTCTGATAGAAGGAAGTTAAATACTTGTGATATGCTTTTCAAATTCTTTTGACTGACTGACCAAATGTATTTGAAAAAACATGAAGATCTGTTTTGGTTATAGTAAAAAAAAATAATTGAATAAGGGCATGAATGTCCAAGCTAATATTTCTTTTCTGCTATTCTGGCAAATGTAAATTCCCTGTTCAGTTACAACAAGCAAATATAGATTAGCCAGCCCTTGTACTCTGTCTCTGTGACAGATTTATCCTTTATAACCTCAGTCTTCCACAACGTGTGCACTTTTGGTATAGACTCAGCTTGCAAGAGGCCTACCGATCTGGAATGTTCCTGTGTTAGGAAGAGGAGAAAGGTAAATAATAATATAGATAAAGATAAATAATACAACACCAAACAATCCTCTGCCTCCAAAATGTCTTTTGATAAATGCAGGAAAAATGACTGCTATTGAAAGTGTGGCTGGGGCCCATGGGGTAGCCACTCTCTGACCTGGGTATGTATTTACAAAATGCTCTGTGCTTGGCTTTGGGGATACAGTGGCTTAGCTAGATAGATACTTTCACTGAGGAAGTCCACATACTATTCAGAGTATGGTCAGGCTTTTTTCAGGATGATGATATAGGTACTTTGTGTGCCTTGCTAATAACACTGCCACTTTCTAACACAGCTATGTGCCCAGGTATCTGCATCACCACGGACTGGGGGCACCTTAGGGCCAGGGATCCTGACTTACCTCTATGCCCCCAGCGTCTTGCCTAGCAAACTTGTACGTAATTAATACATGTTGAATGAGCAAATATCTCAGAAGGACCTAGGGCAGTATGCCACTCTGCTTCTCAGTTTTTCCAACTATAAAAACTGGCTGACCCTAACATGGAGAATGGCATAGTTCTGCTGAGAACCATGGATTGCAAGCATCGAGGATAGACACATACATAGACACTATCTCTCTCTCTCTCACTCACCCCCCGCCCCGTTCTTTTTCTCCCTCTGTCCCTCTCACCTGTCACACTTCTGTATACTTGTTAAAACACAGTAATACACTGAATATATTGAATTCTCTTTCTGGACAAGGTGGGCACTTAGCACCATTGTAGAGTCTCAGAAGCCACCAAAATAGGAAAAAATGCTGACTATAATTTACATTTGTGTATTGATTGCTTGTTTGTAAATTGCTGGCACATAAACGTCCATCATACAGTTTGGCACTCATAATAACAACGTGAAGTAAATAGGCAGGTTGCAGCCTCACATCTGAGATGAGGAAGCTGAACTTGACATTCAGCTAAACCCTGAATACTGTGCATCCTGCTTTTCCCCCTCTGCTCTTTACCACCCTGGAGACTACAAACAAGTAGATTTTCATCCCCAGCAGGATAGTGTAAACCACAGCCTATTTCCCTGTGATTCCAGTGACACTGTGGGCAGATGTCTTCAGTCTGCCAAACCTCAACTTCCTTTTTCATCTGTGGAGGAGGAAGAATCTGGTGGAGATATAATGAGGACCAGCTTTTTAAATGACTAAAAAAGGATTTTGAAAACATAGCACTGCATAAAAGCATAGTAACAATTCAAAACTAGATGCTTCTGTGAATAAGAATGAAATATAGACCCCTGAATGAAGTACCTAACGTTCTTTGAAGTTATAACTGGGCAGAAAATACTTAATTGAAAATGAAAAATCCTTTCTGGGCACAGTGGCTCATGCCTGTAATCCCAACATTTGGGAGGCTGAGGCGGGAGGATCACTTGAGCCCAGGAGTTTGAGACCAACCTGGGCAACATGGTGAAACCCCATCTCTACAAAAAATATACAGATTAGCCAGGTGTGGTGGCACACACCTGTAGTCCCAGCTATTTGGGAGGCTGAGGCAGGAAAATCACTCCAGCCCAGGAGGTTGAGGCTGCAATGAGCTGTGATGGAGCTGCTGCACTCCAGCCTGGGTGACAGAATGAGACCCTGTTTCCAAAAAAAAAAAAAGAAAAGAAAAGATAAAAGAAAGATTAAGAAGGAAGGAAGGAAGGAAAGAAAGGGAGGGAGGGAGGAAGGAAGGAAAGAAAATGAAAAATCTGGGGGATAGTCTCTGCGAAAGAAAGGAAAGGAAAGGAGGGGAAGGGAGGGGAAGGGAGGGGAGAGAAGGGAAGGGAAGGCAAGGGAGGGGAAGGGAAGGGAGAAAATGAAAAATCTGGGGGATAGTCTCTGCTTTTGATCTTGACCTTTCCAGAAGAAAAGTTTGGGGTATGTTTTTCATGTGAGGAATTAACTCTCTGAGTTTCTAATGTTGAGGGATCAACACTGTGGAGAAAAACATTATCCAAACAAGTCATTAAGGAATGCTCCTCCAAGTATATTGCACTCAGCTCAAAAGGATAAATTAGTTTTAAATGGCAATTTGTTAGTTAAATTATTCCCTCTGAAAAATTCGCCCCTGGAATTACTCAGGATGTTGTCAGAAATGACAAGCTATGGGGGAGTATGGGTTGGCATTGGTGCTTTCTAAATTAAAATGCAAAACAACATGTAAATAAGTAAATCTGGCCAGGGCCTCGGATGTAATGAAGTATTTTTAAAAGTCTGGTGCTGCTCAGTTTTAATTTATTAAAAAGACACGTGTGTGTGTGTTTATGCACACGTGTGTGTATGTGTATGTGTGTGGGTAAAAAAGCTCAAAATAGACATAATCATTTGGATGAATAAAATAGAATTACAAAGGGAAAACTCAGTTTAAGGGGAAAGTGGGTATGCCAAACATAGGAACAAGTGCAGTTGGTGTGTCGGGTACAACACCTAATCTTCCTGGCAGAAAAAGCAGAGAGGAAACAGGTCCCAATGCTGCAACTCTCATTTCCAGGCATGAAAAATATCTTAGGTCCTGGGGGAGAAGAAAGAGGAGGTTTCTGATTTCCCTTGGAGAAGTTTCTTTTGTAGAGAAACTGTATGGCACTGTCTCCTCAGTTGTTTTCCTAGAAGGCCTTCTGGTTTCCACCCAAAGAAGTTAGGACAGATAATAAAACATGAACTTAAAAAGCCACCGAGAAGTAGGATATGCTTTTTTTTTTTAAAGGAAGGACATGAAAGCAGTCTTGTAGCACATGTACACTCTAATATACACATGCATACACTCACACACACAAATGATATAATGTTTATCAAAGTGATAGTAATATGTGTTGAGTGCTTACTCTGTACCAGGTAGTCTTTGAAGCCTTGTACATATTTTAATTCGTAACACTAATCCTCAGAACAATGCTGTCAGGGTAAATACTCTTTTTAGTCCTTTTTTTTTTGCAGATGAAGAACCGAGGCACAGTTTCTGTTAGTCTACCCTTGAACTAGAACTCGGACGGTCCCTCCATCTGTCTGCTGCTGTCTCTCCCTCTGACTTACTTCCTTTCTTTTCATCTTCAACTTTATTTCTTCCTTTTATTTCTAATCTCTACTCAGAATCTACAGTTCCTGTATTTCCTTTTTCCCTTAATTCACTAATTCACCATAATATAGAAGTGAAGATTGAGTTTATTTCATATGGTTTATGCTTCCTATTTAAAATTTTAATAGCAGATGAGTGAAATTTTATTTTTGCCTCTTTTGTAAACTTGTTTTGGTTAGCTTGCCTTTCAGTTATGTTCCTGTTAGGTTGTAGTATTCCCCTGAGGCATGGGATTATGATGTCCTCTCCTGTCCCTGTTCCTGTCCTGAATTTTTCAAGCACTCCCAAGCTAAGTGGTATGAGATGACCTTGTGTGGATTTAGATGAGACCATACTTACCCTACTGCCCCTCTGTGTTATCCTTTGATTTCAGGTCTGGTTTCTTGTAGCTAGAAAGGAAGGGAAGCATGAGGTCTGCCTTCCAGATGCCATATTAACAAGCATTCAAAGACCAATTCTGTCCATTTATTCTGTGAACACACCTTCATTCCTTGTGCCTCTTAGCCTCATTATCTGTGAAATGTAAGTCATCATCACCATAATTTTCCAACTATAATAAAGGAATAACTAACAAGAACCCTCATGGCTCTTACTATTCACTTAATAAGACAAATAGAAAGAATACCACATGTCATTTGCTTAGAATCATATATGAATTTATGTTGTGACATTGTGGACTCAACAACCAAATACTACTTTGTCTTGTCTCTTTAGGATGAACTCTGTAAATTCTGTAAATTTTATAATTTCTTTCTTTCATTTAACTGATACTTGTTGAAGAGGATACTATATGCCAAGAGCCATGTTGGACCCTGAGATAAGTGATAGTTATGTTACCCGTTCTCCTTGCCCACACAGTCTAGTAGAAAAATTAAATTAATATTAGATCAGTCTATGATTTACAGACCACACACAATTTGCAGTTCTCTTTAGGAATATTCATGATGTGTTTACCTTTAAAACAGGCTCTATTTTTGTCTCTCCCAGTCTACAGCTATATACTGATATTATTTAAACAGACCAGTTCTGTGTTGTTTCAGTCCCTTCAAGCAGTAAGTTTAAATTGAAACCTACATAAATTGTTTAATATGATGTGAATGTTTTCTTTGAAACTAAATATTGAATGTTTTTCTTTGTTCTTTTTAAAATTTATGAGACGTTACCTATCTCTCACATGCCTTTGTAAACAGAAATGAAGGTTGATAAATAAAATCAAAAGGTTAACACTTGCATATTGCCTCAGAAAGATGCAGGTTTCAAAGGGAAGTTTCCTATAAAGACATTTACATGCTGTGAATTACCATCTCTGCTGTTATAAATACTGACTATAGTGGGCTTTATATCTATATGGTGTCACCAGGCTATTACCTGACTTCAAATAAAGAGGAAGTTCTATAGAGCAAGGAGGCATTGAATGCCAGAAAGAAATTATAATTTATTTAGTCTTTCAACATATATTTGGAGTGTCCCCACTCCTCAGAAAGATAGAAGTAGATGTATAAAAATTAGCGACTTCTTAGGGGCTTGACTGAATGTTCAAAAATATTTCTCAATATTTAATAATTTTTTGCCCCTACTGTCTGCTCCCGCACCATAAGCTTGTCAGCTAGGACAAAGCAGAGAACACCAAGAGCCAATTCAGTCCTTTTCTCCCTCCCTATCATTATATAACAGTCCTGCTGTACAAAGTCACATAACATCGTACAGAAAGAAAATTAATCATCGGCTAATGAGATAGGGATGTGAAAAGAAGTCTGAAAGAAGTAATTTAGAGGCCCCAATTAGGGCCTGTTCTCATGGTTCCCCCGTGTGCATCGCTGGCTGATCCCAGTTCCAGGGGTGTGAGAAGGGCATGCAGGGAGGAGGCGGAGGGAGGAAGGGCAGGAGGGGGTGGGGACAGGGGGGATATAGAAGCTACAGTTTGTGGGGACAAAAAGAGTCCTTTGCAGTACTCCAGATGAGAGCGAATGAGGACCTAAATTAGCAATGGGAACAAAAAAGACAATGATATAGAAATCCTTTCTAAAGTGGCTCCATCTGAAAGGGTTTGGCAGGTCACTAGATGTGGTTACCTATAGAGGTTTTAAACCAGGACTGAGAGGAGTGGTGCCATTAAAAGAAACAACCAAGCCCTAAAGTTACTTAACCCAAAAGTGTCTAACAGGAGTAGAGTAGGCCAGATGCCCAGAATCCTGTAAGCAGTTTGCTGTGGAGTACATTCAGACAAGATGGAGAAATGAGTGAGAGGGAGCAGGGAAAATAACTTAGTACACATGAGCTTCCAGCCTAAGGAATTGACGGTAACCCTGTGTACATCCCTGAGACCTGGCAATGGCCCGTAAAACTGGAAATTTACAACAGAGGATTCAGAAGAAATCAGTGTTGGGGAGGGAGTCTAAGAAGATTTGCTTAAGAAGATTTTTTTTTTTTCTTGAGATGGAGTCTCGCTGTGTTGCCCAGGCTGGACTGCAGTGGCGCGATCTCGGCTCACTACAAGCTCCGCCTCCCAGGTTCATGCCATTCTCCTGCCTCAGCCTCCCGAGTAGCTGGGACTACAGGTGCCCGCCACCACTCCCAGCTAATTTTTTGTACTTTTAGCAGAGATGGGGTTTCACCGTGTTAGCCAGGTTGGTCTCGATCTCTGGACTTCGTGATCCACCTGCCTCAGCCTCCCAAAGTGCTGGGATTACAGGCATGAGCCACCGCGCCCGGCCCAAGAAGATATTTCTGTAAGCACGTGCTACAGTTCACAAACCTGAGGGTGCAGGGAACCTGGTGCACACCAAGGGGTGAAGGTAGAGAGGGGAAAGAACAGAAATAATGCTGTGGTGAGAGCAAAACAACAACTACCTGGACAGAGGGAGGAAGTGGAGGAGGACATGCTCCATGTGTCACCTCCAAGCTCCAGACCCCCAGTAGGCATCTGCCAGGAAGGCAGCTAATGGTTCACCTTCCAAATGTGGCAACAGGAGGATCTCCTTGCCCTCTGTGGCTGAATCTGTCCTGCAAGAAGAAATTTGCTGGTGAATTAGAAGGAACAGGAACTTTAAGAGAGGGTTGTCTAGCCATTATAGCTATTGAGGACAAGGGAGGAGAAATTCAAGACAGGAGGAGAACTAAGAAGACAGATTTTGGAAAACTGAACGGAAAATGCAAATTTCATTTAGTTTCAAAATGTCAACTTCAAAGTTGCATGAGAGTATCCTTCTGCAGACAGACAAGACGTGTGTGTTTTAGTAGAATGAGGTCACTTAGCATTTGTCAACTTTGTGATGGGACTGCCAAAAAGATGACATGAGATGACATGAAGCTTTCAGCACAGGCCTGTCACAAAGCAAGGAGTAAACATGACCATTACTTTTTAATCGTAACGTAACAACTTACTAAAATTTATACATACAAGTTCAGAACTAAGAAAGATAGAGACCACCATTAATAGGTTGATCAGCTTCTTCCTGGTCTCTTTCTGTGGATAACCCTGGACCTCAGAAAAGGTGGGTTTTTAGAATTTTTAGATGTCAGAAAAGGTGGATTTTAGTTCATGGAAGGACTGAAGGAAGAGGGTGCTGAGGCTGACTGGGAGAAGGTTCAGGTATTGTTGTGTGCTTTCTTTATGGATTTGACCAGGAACAGTGGGAAAGAGAATCAGACTTGTTACAGGAACCCAGGAGTACTGAATAAAGACAATGGATTTAACTACAGGTTATCAAGTCCGAAGTCAACATATTAGGGATAAATTTCTCACTTTGAAAACTGTTAAAAAAAAAAGAATGGGCAATGTCAGGAGCTAGTGAGTGCAGTGTCACTAGAGGCATCCAAAGGAAGGCATGCTGGAGAGACAGAGAACTCAGGTGCACAGTGAAGATGCAGCAGGACTCTTGATTCTAATTCCAGCTCTCCTCTTAACTAGCTGTGTAACTTTGGGCAAATCACTTCACTTCTCTGGGCATCCACTTTCTCATCTCTAAATCAAGATGGTAGGACTAGGTAATGCCCAGGTTGCTTTCTGCTTTGAAATTTCCTAATCTTTGGTTAGGGCCAGTGTCCATTGCCTGCTTGTCAAAATGAACCCCTCCACACCTGGTTGTCATATGCCAGCATGGTTTTCATGGCTCAGCTGTGAGGCCCACTGTGTCTTAAGAGTGTGTTTCAGCAGGTCCAGAAAACATGGAGCAGCTTGCTCTGACTGTGTCAGCCCAGTCCTCTGCACAGAAACCGCTCTGCCCTTGAGTTCCTGGCCCACAGTGTGAGTGAATTTTACAGAACCTGTGATGAGCGCTTACCTCCTGCTCACTCAAAACACACTTGCTTTTCAAGTGCACGCTCCATGCACAGATTGCTGGAAAGATCTGATGGAGTTCTTTGAGCAGTCAGTTTTTCTCTGTACCAGCTTTGGTCAGGAGTTTTGAAATTCTCTTTGCTTCGTGTCATGTCATATTTTCAAACATGGACACAAATCTCCTCACCCAAGTCAACAATACTTAGAATAGCTGTTGACAGCTGCATTCCTCAGTTCTGCCAGCGTTGCATCCTGGTCAAAGGAGACAGAGGGTTTTATTGATGGAATGAAGTCTTTGTTTATAAAGTGTGCACGGCAGGCACCAGGAACTCACTCTGGATACACATCTTAGGTTTAAATGAAAAACATACCTCACTGCCTTTGAAACTCTTTGGAAAGATTACAAAAGCATTTTCAGTTTCACTTTCTTAAAGATCTGGTTTGTAGGCATTCACTCACCTTGTAAAGTATTCTGTTATGTTAACATAATCTGTGTGGTTAATTTGTTCTTAACAAATATGTAACCATCTTCAGAGTTTGTTTATTTCACAAAGGGAAAACCTAAGAGCTATTCTGCTTCCAGGAGACTGGTTTTGAACATTTCTCCTAAGAGAACATTTAGAAATATCTTTGTATTTAGGATCCCAATAAGTGTATTTTGGGGATACCTTTTTACATGCCCATTGCATATACAGATGTCATCCTTTTCAAGAACCTGGTCAGCTGTCACCCCCTCCAGGATTCCTTCCCTGACACTCCCCTGGCACCCACCCCACCCCCCACCCTCAACCCCATTTGTTTTCTAGGTAGGGCTGCTGTATCAAAGTACCACACACTGGGTGAATTAAAATAACAGAAACATATTGTCTTGCAGTTCTGGGGGCCAAAAGTCTGAAATTAAGCTGTTGGCAGGGCCTTGTTCTCACTGAAGGATCCAGGGAAGAATCAGTTTCATGTCTTTCTCTTAGCTTCTGGTGTTTGCCGGCTATCCTGGGTGATCCTTGACTTGCAGGTGCATCTCTCCAGTCATCATATTGCATTCTCCCTGTGTGTCTGTGTCTTTTCTCCTCATCTTATAAGGACAGCAGTCATATTAGATCATGCCTACCCTAATCCAGTATGACCTAATCTTATCTTGATTACATCTGCAAACACAGTATTTCTAAATAAAGTCACATTCATAGGTATGGGGGATTAGGACTTATGTTAAAAGTATAATAATAATTAACATATCTTTTGGGGGGACACAAGTCAACTCTTACAAACCCTATGCCAGACGGGTTTAGATGTCCCCTTTTCAGTGTTTTCATAGCACCTTTTATTTAAATGTCTCAAAATAAGTGTCATTACTGTATTGGTATTTTCTGCTAAGTTGTTTCAGTCACTAGATTTCCACATCTGTGAAGGAAGAACATTGCAATGTCTTTGAATGCAGAGTACCTAGCAAAACACTCAACACCTAGTAGGCACTCATATGTTTGTCAAATGAAAGACTTTGTAATCATCATTATGATTGTGTGTCTGCTATGTTACTAACATATTTATATAAGGTTATGTAAATATTCTATATAATATTAATGTTTATTAATGCTGTATGTAATTGCTACCATTTATTGAGTATTTACCATGTGCTGGACATTATGCTGAACACTTTGGTTTTGTTTTATTAATCCCATTTAATCCTCACAAGAACATTAAAAGGTAAATATTATTCTCTTCATTTTACAGATATTATAAATGAGGCTTAGAATGATTAGTTAAATTTCCCAAAGTCATACAGCCAGTGCATGACTGCAGACTTGAGGTCTCCACACTTTGATATACTGCCTTCACCCAGGTGTTCTTCTTGGATGACCATGAAGACCAGTATGTCTATCTAGTATTCATGTTCTCCTTCCCCTGGTGAAGACACTGAAGCCCAGAGAGGTTAAAAAGCCAGTCAGCTGGCCAGGTGCAGTGGCTTATGCCTGTAATCCCAGCACTTTGGGAGGCCAAGGCAGGCAGATCACGAGGTCAGGAGATCGAGACCATCCTGGCTAACACGGTGAAACCCCGTCTCTACTAAAAATACAAAAAAAATTAGCCAGGCATGGTGGCGGGCGCCTGTAGTCCCAGCTACTCAGGAGGCTGAGGCAGGAGAATGGCATGAACCCAGGAGGCGGAGCTTGCAGTGAGCTGAGATTGTGCCATTGTACTCCAGCCTGGATGACAGTGCAACACTCATGTCAAAAAAAAAAAGCTGGTCAGCCTTAGGTCATCCAGCTGTGCCAGATCCCTTGACTTTAAGATCACCTTTTTTAAAATGTTCACTTTTCCTCTGCTGTTCACAAAACAGTTTTTTAAGAATGCTTGAAAAAAGAAAACATGGAATGAAAAAGAGCATTACTTTAATAGTTTACAAATTCAATGACATTATAGAACAACAAGACTTGTCAATTGCAATAGGAGACTTCTGAAAAAGTTTCTCCACTGGAAACTTCTGGTAAACAGAATGTCTTCAGGTATCACGTGGCTTCTCTGCAGAGTGATGATAGGTCAGTAATTTTAACCCAGTAATTCTGGAAAAAGAAGCAGCACAATTGCATGTTTGTTAGAGCCCTTCCAGCCTGTCTCTGTGCCCTGCACAAGTCCTGGGACCTGGCCCCACACACTTACTCTGTCCCTGGACTTGAGGGTCCATCTGGCGTCAGGCGGGAGGAAGGGGGCTCTGGAGCCCTGCATTCTAAGACTCAGCATCCAAGCAGGCTTTATGCTGGTCAGGCTGTGACCTGTGCTCCGTATCTGATAACTGAGGGGTCTATCTCCTTCCCCAAACCCCAGGCTTCTATTTTGTTGTCTGAATCCTGTCTTGCTTCTCCTGCCTGAATCCTGGCTTAGGTAACCTGCCAATTGGCCTAGTATTTCTCAACTTATGACTCCATGATGTTCCTGCAAACTTTATTTCCCCTGGGCTGGGTCTGAACCCTGGACCAGGGGGTGCAGGCCCTGTGACCTGTAGACAGAGTCCTCTGGGCAGCTGCCCCACCTGGACCTGTGTTTTATCTGCGCTAATAATCTCTGTGTTCAGCCACTTTGTCAGGACACCCTCAGCCCAGGACTACACCTGTAATGCAGCCATTTAGCCTGATTACTGCCTCTTTCTCTTATTATTTTCTTAAAACGCTATGTTCTTCCTTCCAGACCAGACTTGTTCCTAGTACTGACAACTTCTCTCTGTCCCTCCTCCCTGCCCACACCTAACCTAGTTAGTATGCCCAGCCTTGCCTGGCAAGAGGCCTCAACTGCCTTTCTTTCAAATGAAATCTAGTTCTCATCTCAAATATGAGACTCTTAACTGAGGCATTGACTAGAAAGGGCAGAAAAGGAGCAAGGCATGGCTAGCGGGCAGCAGACAAAGAGAGAAGAAGTGAGGAAGGGCGGCCCAGGCACCGGAGCCCTGGCCTGGCAGGGTGCATCTCTGACTCTGAGTTCCAGGGAGAGCAAAGTTGAAATTCACTAGCTTGAACAGCAGGGTCTCTCTGATCTGATCTAATTCCTGCAGTCTCTCCAGACATTGTGGCCACACTGCCAGATGCACACCATGAAAGAGCCATGAAAAATTGTTTGGAATTCCCCAGGCCTACCAGGCTCTCTCCCAGCAATTCCCTTCCTGGACTCTCTCTGTGTCCTCTGAGCCTCAGCTCATGTGTCCCGACTCTTTTGCTGAGTTTGGTTCCCATCCTTTATCCTCTCCTCAAACTCAAGTGGGGAACTTACTACTGTTACCTCTGTAACTCCAGATCCTGGCAGTCATACGTGCCCAGGAAATGCTGAATGGATCTTTAATTCAAATGAATGAGTGCTTTAATTAATTCAACTGCCATGCCTCTAAAATCCTGAACACAAAGCCCCAACCTGCCTTCTGAAAAATGCTCATCCAATTGATAAAACACTGGCCTGTGAATCAGTAAACAGGATTTTTTTTTGTTTGTTTTCATCTCGTCCAACTGGGAACAGACAACCAAAAAGAAACCTTTGCCGAGCCTTGGCTGTGGCCAGTCTCTGCTTGGAGCCGGCAACACAGAGAGGAGCCAGACAGGGCCACGGTCTGTGATGAATAACCCTTCCTTCCTGTCATTTCAGTACAGTTGTGATAAAGTTCTACTGTATACGTAATTGGATTCTTTCTTGCTGTGATTTAAGCAGTCCTCCTCTTTGCGCTGAGTAGAATTACAACTCATTATCTCTGAAGCTCACAGGGGCAGCTTTTCCTAACAGGGCATGGAACTGATTCTTCGGGTTGCGCTGCCTTCTCCCCTTTGTCTTCCTGTGTTTGTGTCTTCCTCGATTTTCAGTTTGTGCGTTTGCTTTAATGAGCGAGTACATCATATGCTCCTGTGCTGTTAGAGAAAACAATTTCCATCTTTACATATATTGTTAAAAAAGTAATGGGTTCTTTTTTTTTCTTAAAGTCTAATCCTTCCTTACTTTCTCCTCTCAAATACTGAATCTCCAATCCTTTCAGGTCCAACATAATTTACGTGTTAATTCCTTTCTAAGCTCTTTTCAAGCTACTGCACTTGCCATGCAGATTTCATTAAACCTCATAGTCTCCTCATACTGATGTCTCAGAAAAAAGCAAAGCAACTCTTGCTGTATATTAAAATACGTTGTACAAGAGTGGTATCTTCTGTCCCCATTTCTGGACATATATTTATTTACTTAGCCTTCAGAAAGAAAACAGAAGTCTGTTAACAACTAAAGAGAATGCAAGCACTGGGCTTCTCTTCTCATTTGTGGGAAACATCTGCTGATTATAATTCACAGGGCTCTCATTTCAGGGTTTGCAGTCCTGAGTGGTTTCAGCCTTAAATCATCCTGTGTTGGCAAATAATAGCGAGGGCCAGGCCAGGAAAAAAACAGATGAAGCCGATGTACGGAATGAGATTAAATAAAAGCACAAGCATGCCAATATTCCCATTGCCAATATTTCTTTTTCTAATATATTCACCTTGGAGGCCAATATGTTATTTTAATGATGATGATGTTGAAAACCATTCTGTTCTGGAACTTCTTTAGAATTGATCGGCAGGACCCATCTTGATTTTTTTAAGGGTAAAGTACATTTTAAGAAGTAGTGGCATGTATTAGATGAGTAATCATGTTGGGTCATTCTAGATGGAAACTTTGAAATAGTCACATTTAATACATGTTTAAATACTGAGGCAAAGACCTGGGCCCTCATTCTGACTCTGCCATCTGTTTGATTTGGAATGTTAGAAGTTTTACTTAAGTACTTTAAGCCTTACTTTCTTTTCTGTAAAATGGAAATCATACTTGTGAAACTTTCTGATGATTGACAGAATAAACAGAGTCATCTCTGTCACTTATAAAACTTTAAGTCTTTTGTGTGTCAGTTTGTACTGAGCAACATCAGCATGGAATCCTGGAGTCTTGGAATTCTAGCACTCCAAGAGATAATCCAGTCAAACAGTACCATATTACAGATGAAGAAACTGAGAGCCATAATTGTAGAGGAAGTACCTAGAATGTCAGGGTGACTACTTTGAAAGAAAATGCTTATTTGTCATTTATATTTAGGGTTCTTTTCTTTTAAAAAAAAATCCTCCTTTTACTGAAGTCACACTGATACACTATGAAATTAAATGGAGTTTTTAATAAATGGGACAGCAGTCCTCTTGGGGTTATAGATCAGAATCACATTGTTTATTCTGTTCAGCCCAGAGGAGGAGTGGAAATGTCCAAAGTAGCTGGCGGAATCTGTAAACCTTTTCCCAGAAAGGAAACGCTTTTGCTAGACCTTCTGTATTCTCTGGAGCTTCTTAGTAAACAAAGCGTGTGGTTATTCTTACATCTGCTTCTGGGCTCCTCCAGCCTTTCAGCACAGGTAAGCGAAGAGTGAGGCCATGCGGAGGCCTAAGGCACAGGCTGTACAGGAGAACTGTACAAAGGGGTTGTCGGGGGCAGGGGTGGCGGGCAGGAAGGAAGACTGGAAGTGATGTAAGATGAGGAGGGAGAAGAAGATAGGATGGTATGAGACAAGAAGGAAGTTTCATCCTTGCAGAGTAGAGGAGGGCACCATGATCTATCCTGGCCTGTCTATCTGGGAACATTTTCACGCCACCCATGAGACTTTTCTGCCAACAGGGAAACCCTCATGAACGGGATCCCCTTGTGGCTACTCAGTATAGTATTTTCATAGCCCCTGCTGTTAGAAAGGTCTTACTTATTAGTGTCTGTATGCCACCTTTGAAATCACTTGCTTCATTATCACACTAAAAAAAAAAAAAGCTGGAAAACCCATTTGTTTTGCACACTTTCTATTTTCAAGTGTGTGTGTGTGTGTGTGTGTGTGTGTGTGTGTAATACAGGGCATAAAGATTTCAAAAGGGTGGGTCAATTCTTTGTTGACTAAATTATAGGAAGAAAGTGCAATTATCCAATAGAAGCCAGAAATGTATATAGCTAATTTTATGCCTGCATGTATCTAACCCAGCCATAGTAATTGTAATCACTCTTTGTTTTGCTTTTTTTTTTTTTTTTATTCCAGGGGAAATAGGTTAGGTGGGACCTGAATACATCATTATAAAGTATGCACATATAAATTGAACTTTCCTAAATCTAGGTCACTTGGGTAAGAAGGCTCTTTTGATGAAACCACGTTGACAATTAGATTCACAGAGCACTTCAATGTTAAATGATATTCTTCCCATATTCTGGGTCATAAGGTGGTATAAACAATACACCAACGTTAAGAAATAGAAAATTGCATTCACAGTAATAGTGAAGCTTCATGGTGCATGCTTTTACATTTTAATATGCTGTGTTCTTTCTGCCATGTTAATATTTTAAGTAATATAATTTCCTTTTCATGTAGTTTAATGTTCATCTTTTACTTTTTTTCTCTTTACCCTTCTGGCATAGCTTTCTATAATATTATATCTTATGCCAGGAGAAATTCCTGAAAAATAGAAAGTATAAAGTCAAATAATCCACAGGAAAATGGCAAAAACAACAACAAAAATGGATTTAATCTCCAGTCAAAATGTTATCTTGTATACTTTACAGACTCAATCTGTGTCCCAGGCTTTGATCCAAGCCTCAACATGATGACTGGAATCACCCCCATTAACCCAATGATACCAGGCCTTGGACTGGTACCTCCCCCACCACCAACAGAAGTGGCTGTTGTCAAAGAAATAATCCACTGCAAAAGCTGTACTCTTTTTCCTCAAAATCCAAGTAAGTAACGCCTATGAGAAATATTTGCTCATTTTAAATGTTTTTCTTTTTAAATTTTAAAATGGCATTGCAGTCATTTTCAGATGTGACTCACACGTAAATGCACAGAGTGGGGATCCGTTCTACAGAAGGCCTTTTGTCTCTAGGTTACAATAAATATACAGGGATGTGGCCACGTGTCTGTCCAGAAGCTGAATCCACACTATAAAGCCAGTATGTGGGATTTAGGGATGTGTATCCAGCGTTAAGACTTTTTGCATGCAGTGAAGCCTAGTGTTTGCCGGAGAACACAGTGTGAAATATGTGAGCATTTCCATCCATCTTCACAAATGTGGGTGAAAAACTCTGAAATATGTTTTGCTAGATGGAAAATGGAATTAATTTGACAGTTAGCAATTTGGGGGCTGGGGAGAGGGAAGCCTGCATCTCAGAGTTTCTGGACCAAATTGTATTTGCTTGAAGGAAACATACATTTGATGAAGTAAATGGGCCAGAATTTTATTTTTTTAATTTTGCCTCAGATACTAAGTTTATGGGCTAAAAGAGCTAGGACTTTTTTTTTTTTTTGTCATTCATATTAATCAGTGTTGCCTTTTTTAAGTGGACTTTTCAGGAGATTGCTTTAGTAATCTACATATAAACTAGGTAAAATATTGTGAGAGTGTACATTGTATCTTTTTATACAGCCTTCCCAAAATTTAATAGTTTGCTCATTTAAATGTGAATAATAACAAAGTGGTTTTTTTCAGGCCCGGTGTTTCACAGCCAAGTAAGTATTGTGCGTGCTTTTGTAGGTTATGCTTCCCGTATTCTGTTTTGCCGCTCCTTTATCTGGAAACAAGACAAAGCAGATAACACGCTGAGGTTTTTCATCATGTTGTCATTTCGTCATGTTTTGTACTTTGGGAAGTTTTTTCCCTCCCTTTTCTGGGCTTCTGTAGTATAAAGGAGAAATGAAATTATGCAAACATTTGCTTTATCTTTGTTCATGGACAAGCATATAGCCACTCTGTGTAGCAATGAACACAGAAAGTAAAGGTTGGGAGCAGGAGGGGAGAGGAACTTAGAAACAAGACAGCCTGGGATCAATGTTAAGTTGGCATAGAAATTTACCGTCACTCAGTCTGGAGAAAGTTACTCTGCAAGCTTTAGTTTTGCCAGGAGAACCAGAGAAAGCAAATAAATGAAAGATAAAACTTTCTGTTTTGTTGTGATTATTAGATCTTCCACCTCCTTCCACAAGAGAACGACCTCCTGGGTGTAAGACCGTGTTTGTCGGAGGATTACCAGAAAATGCTACTGAGGAAATTATTCAAGAAGTCTTTGAACAGTGCGGTGATATTACAGCAATTCGGAAAAGCAAGAAGAATTTTTGTCACATTCGCTTTGCAGAGGAATTCATGGTTGATAAAGCCATTTACCTTTCTGGTACTTTGCATTACATAAGGAGTTTTCTAGGCATTTTGTTATGTTTTGTGATGTTAATATGAGCTTATTCCCTTTGGCCTTCATGCAAAATAAAGTCTTCATAGTTTGGGGCTGGAAAAGGAGGAATTCTGCCTTCTTCCTTGGCTGCCAGAAGCTCTGCGCTAAGCCTGTGAAGGTACTTCACTGCAGGAGCAATTTCCCACCATCCAGTCTTTAGGAATTCCATCGAGTTTCTAATTAATGTTCTCAAGTGCTTATTAGATGAGAAGCAATATTATGAGTACTAAGGACCATTATTCTTACTGGATGTAATCCTTAGGAGGAGTAAAGTACTCTCTCAGAATAATTTCAGGTTTTTGGAAGTGGATTCACTTTCTGGACACCAAGGTACCAAAGCAAGGTCAGTTCCTTGCAGGAAAGTAGCTTAGGGGCCCTAGGAGAAGGCCCAGTATCATTGCCTCGTTGGTGGTTCATTAAGCCTTGTCCTCTGGTGTCAATTTTTATAGGCGATTTTTACAGATACTGAGATTAGGCCTAGTGCTGCCTTCCCATCTGTGGGTATTGGGCCAAGTGAATGGAGTCTGTCCGCAAGGCCTTTGCCAAACCCAAGAATTAGGGGCTGGCTTTGGAAGGACACATTCTCAGACTGAACTCACTGCCCTTCCCTCACACTCCCCACCTCCATTTTTCAGTCTGTCCCTCTGCATTTCACCTCCCTATTCCTGAGGCAAAGCTGATGGGGGAATGTGGGAAAACAGTAGCGGGTGGGGGTGGGGAGGGGCAGGGGGACCTATCTGAGCATTCCTGCCAGGTTTTACTTAATTTCTGCAGTCCACCTCTATTGCCACGAAATTCTGTGCAAACTCCAGAAGACTTGAGGTTATTCCAATACTGCAGAGACTTTCCTAAGGTAGACAGTGATATGGAGAACTTTAAAACCCCTTATTTCAGTAAAACCTTACAAAGTAGAAAATAAAAACTAAAAGCAATACAAAATGGAGAAGGAAGACAAAGCCTAGAATGAAGACATTTCATAACACACAATCCGCTGTTAGACAACGGGGGTTCTGGTGAGTTTGTGGCACTGGGTTTCACGGCCTAGAGCCTGCCTCCATTTTCTCATCTATAAAATAAAGATAGTAACAGCATGACCTCGTAGGACTGTGAGGAGGAATAAATCAAATAATGGATATTAAGTGCTTAGCAGGGCACCTGCAACATAGAAACCATTCAGGAAATGGTTGTTTTTAACACAAATATCCTGATGATGATAAAGAAGGACGGATTTTTCTATCTCAAGAACCCTATCCTGGGGACCTGGCTTCTAATCACAGCTGTACCAAGAAAACTGCAGTCATCCCTCAGTACACTTGGAGGATTGGTTCCAGGACCCCCCGCCCCCGCCCCATGTATATCCTGCAGAACCCTCATGTATATGAAAAGTCAGCCCTCCAAATATGTGGGTTTCACATCCCTCGAATGCTGTGTTTTGGATACACATTTGGTTGGAAAAAAATCCACCTATAAGTGGACCTGCACAGATTAAACCCATGCTCACAGGTCAACTGTATTCTTTACCCTACTTGATTAAATGAGAAGGTTAGAGTAAATCAGAGGCCCTTTTCAACACTAATACAACACAATGTTCACACCCAATCAGAAGCCTCATAAGACACTGACAAAGATGAACAGTCCCAAATTTAGGCATATGAAAGGTGCTCCTTGATTATACCTTGATCCTATGATTTTCCAGCCTGGGTGCTGGTCCCGCTTCTCTCAGCAAGTCTCTGATTGCTCCTTGGTCTGCCCCATTACTGTAGGAGGAGAAGACAGCTAGGCCTCACCTCCAGCTTCCCTACCTGGGTGCAGAGGAGCCTCCTAACTCTGCCTCCCTGCCCTTGAGAGGCTGCAGCGTCAGTCCCAGGAAGATCTGCAAGGCCAATTAACTGGAAAGGCAGGAAGGAAGTCAGGCGGCCCCTCCTGTTTGTGGGCTCCAGCAAGCCCAAGCCCAAGCCCAGCTGGAAGGCCTGTCTAATTTTAGGACCACATTCACGTTTGAAGGCCTAGCTAATTTTAGACTCAGCCTCATCAGGGTCTCTTTTAAGTCCTTAATGATGATGTTTCTGTGAAAGTGAGGGTGTTTCTGGAGCCAGAAATGTTTGAAAACTGCTTCTCTGGACATGAGCAGGGGAAAGGTGCTTGGCCAGTTGGGATAGCTGGCCAGTTTAAACAGTCCTGCCTGCTCAGCTGTTATGCGTGTATCACTGTGGCCTGCTGACTTGTTAAGTTCCCATGGCCCACAACCAAGATACATTTTGCTTTTGCATTAATTCTGCACATCTGTGATTAGATGTTTTTGTTTTTGATTGGTATTGTTATGTCTTCCCATTTTCAGATAACACTTGAAAATCTAGCAGTGAGAAGGGTTCCAAGGCATCACAGAAACCAGATGTGAAGTCAATATCTTATTTGTAACTTTTCAAAGGTGTGAAGTGGCATCCTGGGGAGGAGCCAGCCTCTACAGAGATTTTCAGCTGAGGTTTATCCCCAAGTGCTAAAATAATCCATTGAAATCTACCATGAGATCTTGAACATCAGCACAGTGCAGCCTAGCATTTTACAGTTGTATCTCATTTGCAAAGCCCCCATACTGGAAAAGTGCTTATGTTGCTCTCTCCTCTGGCAGCCCCCAGCAGCTGTGTCTCTGCTGGGACCTGGATTTATGTTCTGAAAATCTGAGTACCCCAAACTGAAGAGCAACCTCAAAGTCAACTCTTCTTCATTTGAAGTTAGGCCGGCTGACTGGTTTCAGTTCTGTTAGTGTTGATCTCTCAGATCAAATTTCTGCTCATAATCTTTATCTAAGTTGGGTAGCTCACAGTGAATCCCCCAAAGATTTCCAGGCCCATTTTTTTCTTTGTCTAGCTCTGGGCTCTTGCACGGGGCTGCTGTGGCCTTAAAATATTACATGAACAATTTGTGTGGTGCTGCATACCAGATGAGGTGCTGCAGGGCTGTGAGGCAGGCAGCGGCGAGGCCTCTTGATCGAAGGTAAAATATTCTCCTGCGCACCCCAGAGGATAAGTGGAAATAAAACAGCATTGCAAAATTGCCTTGGTAATTGTGGCTTTTGCAGCTGCTGAGAGAGAATTGAGCAGCAGCATTTTCTGGGGGAATGTAGCAATAACCTGTGAGTGAGGTGTCTGGAATTCACTTTGTAGATCTTTTTAAATATCATAGATGCTCTTTATTTACTCATATTTCACCTATACAGTAGAATTATAGTAAGCTGAAAATATAATAAAACCAAGGCCATAAAAAGGTAGAGAAAAAAAATGCTCCATGCCAAATTTGTTTCTGAGCTTCCTAGAAGCCAGGGAGAAGAAGGAATGATCATGATAAGACCCTAGTTCCTGAGATCATCTTCTCTTGGGGATACTGGTTTGGAAGATGGGTAAGCAGCCCTCTGAGACAGCTCTCCAAGGTGTGTTTATCCCCAAACCTGTAATAGGCCTAACTTTACAGAGCTTCAAGATTGCTGGGGAAAAGGATAATTGTTTCCCGCTTCCTATGGGAAATGTATCCGTAGTGACAGCCAAGAAATAAGTGAGCATTTGCCTAAGCGTGCCTTGAAGGTCTGGACCAAAACTGTGGCCATTGTTACATTATGGTGTGACCAGAGTTTCCATTGGTTTCAGGTTATAGGATGCGATTAGGGTCTAGCACCGACAAAAAGGATTCAGGCCGCCTTCATGTGGACTTTGCCCAGGCCAGGGATGACTTCTATGAGTGGGAATGCAAGCAGAGGATGCGTGCCCGGGAGGAGCGGCACCGGCGCAAGCTGGAGGAGGACCGGCTCAGGCCCCCATCCCCGCCTGCCATAATGCACTACTCGGAGCACGAAGCCGCTCTGCTGGCTGAAAAGCTGAAAGGTATGGGCCACCCACGCTGGCTTTTCTTCCTCCACAGGGATCCCCAGACACGGAACCCTGTGCGTTTCTCCTGCGTCCACCATTGTCCCTTCAGCACAATGTCTGCTATGCCTTAAGAAGGCTGTAAGAGTCTGGTGTAAGCACAGACTCTTTACAGAGCTGGGGTGGGGTTAGCTGGGGGGTCTCCTGGAAGCTGCAGACACCTGGGCTTCATCTTCTGCCTGGGACAGACCCCTGCCCCTTTCCAGAATGCTCACCCATGTTCTCCATAAAAGTGTATGTACAGTCACTCAACAAAACTCACTGAATGAGGGGACAGAAAGGTCCCCAAAGCAGGCTATTATCTTCTGACCCAGTGTTTAATGAGCCAGCAACTATTTGTGCCATTGGTGGGGCGTTCTTAGTGTTCCTCCAGCTCTATAGAGTGTGCATGTTTACCAGACTCCTAAAGCCTTCTTCAGGCAAAACAGCAGACATGGTACTAGGGTCCATCGAGGATAGAAAAGAAACATAGAATGGGATCCCTGTCTTCAGAGATGCAGTTGAAGGGACACATGCAACATTTACAGGATGACTAGCAAGAGAAGAGAGTATGTTTTATTTCTTCTAATGTTTTCTGAGGCCCTCCCTGGTGTTTTATGCTGTGGGAAATAAAGACATAGGAAGGCTCTGGTACCTGCCCCCGTGAACTACAGTGATGCCAGATTTTGAAGTTAGGATGACATGTGAATTCAGTTCTATTACTGACCAAAGTTGTGTGAGCTGAGCAACATATGGGCATTTTACAGGCAAATGATGGTCAGACCCTCCTGAGGTCACTGAGCACTGTCAGGATTTGATGAGAGAATGTAAGTCACAGTTGGTGGCCACATGTAGGTGTCTACAGATAAACAATTAACTGTAATACCAAGTCAATGGCATGATTGTCAACCAAGGTAAATGCAATATGCTTTGGGGACTCAGGGGCCAGTGCAAATAATGTTGATGAAAGTGTCAAGAAAGTCTTTATAGAGGAGGCATAATTTGAAATTTGCAGAATAAATAAGATTTTTTTCCCCAGGATAAAAAGAGGCATAAAGGCATTCTAGTTAGAGGCTGGAGACCTAAGAATAAAAACCCACAGAAGCAGAAAGGAATTCAGCATAGAAGCTGCCTTTCTAGAGTGAGGTAAAGCTGGAATGGCAGTCTGGGCCAGATGGCAGAGCCCTGAAGGCTATTGCTGGATTTGGGTTTTATTCCATAAACAGTGGAGAAGCCATTAACAGATTTCTGATGAGAAGAGGGATGTGATTGATCCTTCAAGTGTTTTAGAACATAGCTGGTGTATTGCTGGCAGTGTATAAAGTGGATTGGATGTTTTCACTAAAAAAAATGTATGAAAAGCTGCCTAACACCTATTTTAGGAAGATAGGAAGTTGACATTCTATGCTTTAAAAAAAAAAAAAAAAAGGTGGCAGCGGGGGTGCTGTGCTTCCAATCTTCATCCCCCATCCAGGGCTTGAGAATCCTTAATCAACTGCAGCTGCCACTGAAATACCCGCACCGTAACCAAGGAATGCTTCTTGCTGATGCTCTTGTGGTGTGTCTGCTGCTTTGAGAAAACATGTCTTACTGATGTAAATACATAGGCCATGGCTGTGCCTTTAATAAAGGGCATATGCAGTGCAGATACAGATATCATCTCACTTTTCCCTCCAGCCTAGAAACCATAAGGAGTGGCCAAAATGAGATACAGCAGCAATGTTCTCAACAAGGAGTATTCACTGGAACAATAATTTTTCTTTAATATCCAATGTATTGTGGTATCAGATTATGATCTACACAGACTAACTGTATTCAGTTTGTCCACACCTAGAAGTGACAAAAACTGCACCTTGATCTGTGACCTCCTGGAGGAATTTCATAAAAGCGTATCATCTAGTTATGTTGTTTTTAAGAACCCAGTACAGAAGTGTCTCCGCACGTATGAAGTATGTGGCATTTGCCGCTCCTTTTAGAGGATAACAGATTGGGATGTCAATTTGGTAAAGTAATTTGCAAGCCTTGCCATTTCAAAAGTATATATTTATATAGATGAGTATAATTTACAGAATTCAGAAGCTGTACCTTTGCCAAGTACTGTGTGATCCCTTGAGGAAAGAACAGATTGGAAATTTTAATAGATGGCTGTTACAGTAGAATGAACTAGCTGGGGATACATCTTAGGCAAGAGTCAGGTAATATCAAGCTTGACAATTTCAACCCAAGCATAGAGTTTGGAATATAAACAGCATTTAATTGCTTAGGAAATTGGCTGCCTTAGAGAGGAAATCCACTCCATGCTCCTTATAATGTTGCAAAGCCAGACAGGAGGAGCTGAGGACACTGTTTCCCTGAAGATGATTTCATTGATGTGGGGACATAAAATACAGTCAATACCTAAGGTAAAGAAATCTGTGTCAGAAAGGAAATGGAAATGCAATCTGAAAATACCTAATTGGATTTGATTTTTTTCCTCCCCTGAGAAATCTTACTTAGATTTATTACAGATACTTTTCCTCTATTTTATATCATACTTGTTTATTCTTACAATTTTCTCTTTGAAAATCAGCTTTATTTAGCAAAATCTGTACAAACCAAGTCTTTCTTATGACCCACAAGGCCCTCTCCATGTCCTGTCCAATGCTAAAACTGTGCACATAGTAGGTGCTCAGTAAAAATAATTATTTTCTCTCTTCTTCTGCTATTTGGATCTATGAGCACGTTGAATTTCTGTCCAGTGGTTCTACTGGGCATGACCAGATGTACATGGAAATGATGTGATGTGTGCTCAGCCATCCTTCCAATCACTCAAGAAGTATTCGTTAATCAGCATTTTACCATATGACTGGCGCTGTCCTAGCCAGTGGTGGAAAGGACAACGGTGAACAAGCCCCTGCCTCAAAGAGTTTAGGTGTCTTGAGTGACACAGGCAATAACAAATCACCTTGCGTTTGCCACTTATAATAGTGCACTATTATAATAAATATAATAATCCTCCTGTTATATGTGGGAAGTGCACAGTGCTGTCACAGGGGAGATAGCCAGCCCGGATGGGCAGTGCTGGAGTGAGAGAGGGAGGATCTTCTGGGACCAGGTTATCCCATTCACTGGCTACTTGACCTTCTGAAACCAGAGGTAACACTGTGTTGTATTTGTGTAGTGCCTGAGACATGGAGTCACCCAGTGCCTGTTACATTAATACAAATTCTAAAAAAGAAAATTAGTAAGCATCCTGCTGGTTAAACAGACATTGTTCCGAGACAATTCAACTTAATGAAGACCGACTGGGAAGTAACTGCTCAGAAACCCAAAGTTTATAGCATGGCTTTGAGAAAGTGGGAAGGAGCTCAATAACACCATAATTACACTTTATTGGAAACAGTGGCAACCAGGCAGATGAGATAATGAATTTCAGTGTGTCTAACACAGACCATCCACCCCTGGAGGAACCCTGTGTTTGGACTGTGGGAGGAAGAGATTGATTAGACAGTGAGGAAGGATTATATTCTAATTCACCGGGATTTCTCTTGGCAAGAGCATTTAAAAGTTTTTACGTACTTTGTACCCCCTTAGAAAGCTTCACATAATCTTTCATTTTGTGATGAAATGAAGAGTTTCTCTCTGAATTAGGTGACGTCCTGACAAAGCCTTGCAGGCAGGGCCTTTGGGATTTCCTGATGTGTCAACAAGAATACCATCCTCCTGGGATCAACATTCATAATTTCCAGAGAACTGGACTCTTATTTGCATATAGAATAGCCTCATGTCAGCCTGCCAGAGGGAGGAAGGGGCAGATGTGGTACCAGCATTTTGCTGAGATGGTTGTCAGTATTTATGGTTCCATGAAAGTAAAAATCAATAATGTTATGAGCCAAGTGGATGTCCCATTAGCTAAAAGCCAGGCTTCCTTCATAGAGTAAGGGAAATATGAAACATAGGAGCCTGTTTGCAAATTATTTCCTTATGTGTTATTGACCTTCATAGAGGCAAGATAGGCCGTTTTATTTAGAAATATTTTGCTTGGCATTATTCACAATAGCAAAGACTTGGAACCAACCCAAATGTCCAACAATGATAGACTGGATTAAGAAAATGTGGCACATATACACCATGGAATACTATGCAGCCATAAAAAATGATGAGTTCATGTCCTTTGTAGGGACATGGATGAAATTGGAAATCATCATTCTCAGTAAACTATCGCAAGAACAAAAAAGCAAACACCGCATATTCTCACTCATAGGTGGGAATTGAACAATGAGATCACATGGACACATGAAGGGGAATATCACACTCTGGGGACTGTGGTGGGGTGGGGGGAGGGGGGAGGGATAGCATTGGGAGATATACCTAAGGCTAGATGACGAGTTAGTGGGTGCAGCGCACCAGCATGGCACATGTATACATATGTAACTAACCTGCACAATGTGCACATGTACCCTAAAACTTAAAGTATAATAAAAAATAAATAAATAAATAAATAAAATAAATAAATAAAATAAAAAGAAATATTTTGCTCGACCCTAAAGCAGGAATAATCAGTGCATTTTCATATTGCCCCCTTAATTTTCTCATTTTTACAGCTACTAAATAGTTAAGGAGATTGCATGTGTGTTTTGGGGGTAGAAGGGAACATTAACTCTTTGTTTAGCCTTTTATGCTGTCTGTGATCTGGTTAGTTGATGCGGGGTTAATTGAGCAGCCAGGAAAAGGAGACTTCTTTAGGGACATGTACAGAAATTTGGGGATTGTGATAGCAGCAATGCTTTGACCATACTGAAATTCCAAATCTGCTTAGATGACTCTGTGACTGTACACTGTGAGCAATTTCCAGCTATCTTTGGAGCCAGAAATCAGTGATAACTACAGACATACCTTTCCTTGTGTGTGTATGTGTGTACACATGTGTGTGTCCCTCCATTTCTTTGGAAAGAAAAGCATTTTAGAATGCCTTCCTTGTTTTCCCTCGTTCCGTTCAAACATAAAATCCCTGTCTCCTCATTGTTCCTTTATAGACCCAGCTGTAAATAAGGATACTATAGCCCACCTAAGTTTCGTATTCAGTGCTCCCGGCTTGGCTCTTATCCTATCTATTGTTCTGAAATTCAGGGCTGCTTCTCCCTGTGCACACAAAGCGGGAGGAAAAAAACACCAGCCGGGCGTAGTGGCTCACGCCTGTAATCCTAGCCCTTTGGGAGGCCGAGATGGGTGGATCACCTGAGGTCAGGAGTTCGAGACCAGCCTGACCAACATGGAGAAACCCCATCTCTACTAAAAATACAAAATTAGCCGGGCCTGGTGGCGCATGCCCGTAATCCCAGCTACTCAGGAGGCTGAGGCAGGAGAATCACTTGAACCCAGGAGGTGGAGGTTGCAGTGAGCCGAGATCATGCCATTGCACTCCAGCCTGGGCAACAAGAGCAAAACTCCATCTCAAAAACAAAAACAAAAAACACTTACCAATTTGGTTTATTTTCCCCATCATTATCTATGTATCAGTTTAATTAAAATTCACCAGGTACCCATCGCTTTGTGCCATGCCCTGGACTTTCAGATATGACTGTAGCATGGGCCCTGTCTTTTGTTAAAGAATACTGTGGCGGTGAAATCATGACTGTCTTACAAATATAAAATGAACATGTGCCAATGATTTTATTTAACTCACTAATTAATAAGGAGACCAAGAAAATGTTAAAACTGTTTCGAAGGAGAATTCGCTTTATAAAGATTTACATTTTCTACTGAACAAAAATTAATTTGCATTGTTACAGAGACGAATTATTTGTATTGTTATCAGTTTGCCACAATTTATGTTCTACTCCTACAAAGTTGTAAAATAGCCTAGTCAGAGATTAGCCAAAGAATTAAAGTTTCCCACCCCCTGTAGAATTAGGTAATTCATGCCCAGCATTCCATAGAAAGGGTCTATAGTAATCTCTATGCCCATTTCCAAGTCTTGAACCCTTTTTATTTCCTGGATAGAAGTGACAGCTGTGGGGACAGGGATTTAATTGGTCGTGGGGACAGGGATAGAGACTCACAAAGCTCTTAAGAATCACATCTATTCCTTTTGAAAGTCTCTAGTATCTCAGCTGCTACTTTCCACTTCAGGATTTCATTATCTCTTACTTTGGTCAGCTCCTAACCAGTTTACCTGGCCTTCACTGAGTCCTTTCTTCAGTGTTTCTCAAACCTCCATGTGCGTACAAATCACCTGGAGTAAAATGCAGATTCCAATTCTGGAGGTGTGAGAAAGGCTGAGTCTGTGTTTTTAACAAGCTCACAAAGGCTGCTCCTGCACCTGGTCTTAGAATATAGCAAAGAGTTCTCCCATATGCAGTTTTGTAATGCCTACTATGTGCCAAGTACTCAATAAATGTGGAAGAGAGGGAGAAGGAAGGGGGTTAACAAAGTCTGAAATAACCAGAAATGAAATGAGATGGGCGTGGATTCCAGTGGTGACATCTGATAGTATCATTATAATATTATTTACTCCTCACAAAGCTAAAGAGCAATTACGTTCCCAGAATTAAAAATGCTTTCAAAAACATTTTTGAGTTATTTGATAAACTGTTTAGTGCCTCACTGCAGAGGGCCTTGCTTCTGTGGGATTATCTGACATCACTCTTAACTTTCATTGCCAGTGATAATGACTTCTGAAGCCTGAAGTATAACGGGATCATTCAGCTTAATTGTCATGAGAACATCTATCTCTCGTAGATAATGGCATGTGTGAAAATACTCTTTGACATGAAATTTAAATGTTTATTATCAACTCTGATGTTTCCTAACTTTTAACCATTACATTTGTATCTTTCCAGTATTAATTGCTACAAATCTATTAGGAATACAGTAGTCTCCCCTTACCTTTGGGGGATACATTCCAAGATCCCCAGTGGATGCCTGAAACCATGGATAGTACTGAACACTATATATACTATGCACAAGCTTCTTTTTACTTCTTCACAATTTCATAGATAAATTGTTCTTATCCTAGATTTTAGCAACCTCAGCATACAATTTCTTTCTTTATTGTGAAGAACTTTTACCTTTTCACGTAAAGGAAGCACTTGGTGGCTTTTCTTTGGCATTTCCAAATTGCCAGCATCACTACTCTTGCATTTTGGGGCTATTATTAAGCCAAATAAGGGTTTCTTGAACACAAACACTGCTGTACCATTACAGTGGATCTGATAACCCAGGTGGCTACCAAGTGATTCACAGGGAGGTAGTGTAGACAACGTGGATACCCTGGACAAAGGGATGATTCATATCCCGGTCAGGTCAGAGTGAGACAGCGTGACATTTCATTATGCTATTCAGAACAGTGTGCAATTTAAAATGTATGAATTGCTTGTATCTGCAATTTTGCATTTACTATTTTCGGTCTGCAGTTGACCACAGTTAACTGAGACCTAGGGTAACTGAAACCTCAGAAGGTGAAACTGTGGATAAGGAGGAACTACTGTAGAATGCAATAAAATATAAAATACAAAGGGAAAAACTCAGAGTAACCAGAAGACAGAAATATGTCTAGAAATATGTCTTTGGAAATTTTATTCTCATATTAGCCCCTCAAAACTGGAGACAGATCTGTAAACCAACAATTACCATACAGTGCGACTAATGCTTTAATAGCAGGATATGCGGGGAATTGTGGAAACATAGCAAAGAGACACCTAATTCATCCTAGAGTTGCAGAAGAGATTTCTTTATTAAAGGGCACTTACGCTGAATCTTGAGGGAAGAATAACAGCTGACCAGGGGGACCAGGAGTGGGAGAGACCCAAGGATAAGTGCACAGCATGAGCAGATGCAGGGAGGCACGCCGTGCTGTTTAACAAAGAGGGCTCTGGCAAAGGAAGCGGGGACGGACGGATGGAAGGGAAAAAGGCAAGACCCGTGAATGGACCTGTCCATTAACTCAGGTGCATTAACATTGTGAGGACCTGATTAGAAAACGGTGGGTAATTTCTAATGAGCAAATGATTTATATTCACTCCATCATATACCAATCGTTCTCAATTCTTATAGTGGAAAAAGCACATCTGCACATTCTAGCTTCTAAACTGCATCCAGTTCAGAGTTATGCCTGAGCATGTTCACAGAAAGTATTTGGAATTTTTATAAGTGCATGTTTGATGTGATTTTTACAAGCAGTGTTAATTTCTTTCCACATGAATAGCTTTAATAATGCTGCAATCTAAATCCTGTTTAAATTAGTTTATATTGTTTTCTGCTTTCTCAGTGATCTTTCCACTGAATACAAAATTGAATTTACAGTTGAGTATTGAAAATGACCGCTCCCAATATCCTCCTGTAGCCATCCAGAGGGAGTTACTGACTTAGTCTTAATTAATATAAATTAAAGTCACTTCTTACATGGCAACAAATATTGACTGGAGTTATCAAGCATGCCTTAACTAATGTTTTTTTAATTTAATTTGAATGTCAGTACATCAATCATATATCGGCCTGTCAGTTTCAGAAAGTTCAGAAATGAAGATGAAATTGGGAGTCTTTGAAACTATATTCCTCTTTTAGGCTAATGGAATTCTGCTTCCTAGTACTTGTTAACATGTTAGAAAATCTCTTGGCTACTTACTTTTGAAATTGTGTATTTTCAGTGGCTTAATCCTAAGAATATTGTTTCCTCTTTCTGAAACTATAATCTGCTGGTGAACTTATTGTGCTCTAGGTCTAGGTGTGAAGGGCAATAAAATGTGGCTTTCAGAGCATTTGAGCAAACATGCATTTTTAAAATTGAAGTGTTTTTTTTCCTGATAGTAAAGTTAGTCTATTTATGAACTAAGCGACCACAAGCAAGAGAAGGAAAAACTACCTGTATATGACAGAAAGAGGTGAACAGCATTACACTCTGTCCCTGCAAAGCTCATAACAAAAATGTTAAGGATTTTTCTTTCTCTGTGTTATGTAGACATGAAACTCACAGCAAAGGGGAAAAATAGTACATGAAGTCAGTGTTCTCTTTTTCTGTTGTTATCTTTTCAGAGGAAAAAAAAAAAGATTTCTTCTAAGCATTAGGTTTATTTCTGCTGTCTGTTCTGAGGTCCATTCTCCTAACATATATTGGTGGGAAGAGAGGTAGAGAGTGTGGAGGGAGGCACAATTTATTCTGCCAGTAACGGTTGCAGTGGGCCTCTCACAAACATCATGCTAAATTATGGGCCTCTCCATGGGCTGAACGTAATGTTAAGTTGTGTGATAGATTTTATCTTACACAAGCTGCTTCGGTCCATGAAATGAGATAAGAAACCATTGCAGCTGGAGTTCACTGAGGGTTGAACTTAGACTGAAATTCCAGAGTTAACAAAATGGTATAAGTGGCTACGATACTCAGTAAGTGTGTTCTGTGCCTATGGGTTGAGATTTTCAAGGAAACTTGAGTCTGTCATTCACAGGGTGTTTTGTGGGCATTCCCAGGCCAGTTATCTCCTCTGGTTAAAGTGTGAGGGCAGGGGGGCAGGTTTGCTCAGAAAAAAAACCTTTGATCCCCAAATCTAGAAGGCTGCTGTGCAGCAGGAGAGGACTTAGAATGGTGCCTGAGCATGGGTACATCCCTAAAAGCTGCTTTCTTTCCTGGGGAAGGCAGAGGTTTCCAGAGTTCAGCCGTAGGACCTTGAATTAGGTTCAGCCCCACCTTCATTCAGGACACACACCTCCTGGGCAAGCAGCAGCCATGCTAAGGAAGCTGTACTCCTGGTCTGGGAGGAGGTCTTTGGGAGAAAAGATACTAAAGATGTTTGTAAAGCACCCTATAAATTTACAAAGCACTCAACGGTGGGAAGGTTTCGTATGATGTGTAAAATACTAATAAGAACTCAATGATTGATTTTAAAATCTGGTGAGTGAAACGAAATCTTTTTCTCAAGCATGCATCTCCCCCTGTCTATTCATGTGGAGTGTATGTATGTTTATATGCAAACAACATAAGGATGTCTCCGATGCCCCTCCAGTGGAGGGGACAGTACCTGGCACACAGTAGGCACTCAGTATTTTTTAAATGAATGGGTGAGAATCTGAATCTTTCAATCTAATTTTGCTCCTGATTTTTAGAATTCAGAGTCTACCTAGTTTACTTGTAAAAATGTAGGGTATTTTTCCCTAAAGCACATTTTCTAGGGATTGCAGAACACAATGAAAAGCTTCTCCCCTCAGGTTTGCCTGGAAAGTAGGCAATGAGCCTTCAGCAGTAGTCAGATTGGTTAATGTTCTAACAACTGACATACAACTTCCAGTTCTAATTAACTTAATCACCCACAAACTTTCTTTTTCTCCACCTCCAAGCCATACAACACGGGTTTGTTCCAGTAACCATCCCCAAATAGGCAAGTCTGTTTTCTTTGAAATAGACTTTATCACTTATTTTCAGGCGGAACTTCATTTCCCACTTCCTATCCCCCCGCCACACCATGCACATACATCTCAAACTGGGTTCAGATGGGCTCTCCATAGCCATCTAAAGCAAACACGGAACACTTCAGGAAACATGTTCTCTTTTGTGGAAAATTAGGAAATATTCTATTTTTCAGCCTAATTAAATATATGGTATTAGCCCTAAAATGGAATTAGTTTTGAACTACAGTAGAACAAGAATTGACTTATTCCTACTACCTGCCTTAGGGACAATACCATACATTACAAACACTTTTAAAAAAATCCAATCTTTCTTCCACATTTTAATACTAACTCAGCTGATTCTATAAATGAGAAAACTGGTAACACTGTATAATATTTTTGATAAAGGAACAAAGAAATGAAGTGGAGGCCAAGTAGGTTAGTAACAGTTTTTCAAGTCCATCTTAAGAAAGAGAAATCAAGGTTTGGTGGAAGAATGAGGCTGTACCTTATTCCTAAGAATGCCCAGAACAAATCTCCTACAGCTGAGCTCATGGAGTTGGTAGATGAGAGTGTGAACCTCCTGAGTGGTTCTGTGGTGCCCTGAAGTTAGATGGGAAAAGAGAAGTTAAGTGATGATATGGCAGTCAGTCTCAGGAAAGCTAACTTGCTGAGTTCTGAAAATATATCCACTAGGTTGGACTATGCTCTGTCTTTTGAGAGGAACAAGAATAAAGTGTATTTTCTCATCTTGGCATGATTTGTACTTGGTGGTTTTCCATTTCCAGATGATAGCAAGTTTTCAGAGGCTATCACAGTGCTGCTTTCCTGGATTGAACGAGGGGAAGTGAATCGGCGCTCTGCAAACCAGTTCTATTCCATGGTGCAGTCGGCCAACAGCCACGTCCGCCGGCTAATGAATGAAAAAGCCACCCATGAGCAAGAGATGGAGGAAGCCAAGGAGAATTTTAAAAATGCCTTAACTGGGATTCTCACTCAATGTAAGTAAAATTTTGGGGGCCATCTCTTTTGTTGTGATTTTGCCTTTTCTTTTTTATTAATTTTACTTTTTCATTTGGGGGTAAGTAGTTCAATAATTTCCCATTTTTACTCCATATTGAATGGCAAACTTCATAACCTATTTCATGTTCTGTGGCAACTTGGAGGAACACGGACCCTGCCCTGAGAGTTTACTTCTCAAGGTGAGCAACGTTTCTGTAGCTTTTCCTCAGAACAGCAAGCCTGGCCACCAGGGCAGGGCAGCTAGATGCATCTGTGCCTGCTGGACCCACCATGGTTCATATCATAGCTGCAGGGCCGCCACCGTTCACCTGCAGGCTGTCCGCACAGACCCCTATGTCCTCCTAGTGCTGACAGTAGAAAGCAAACTTGAACACATTTTCCTTGGGCTCTGTGTAGGAAAAGGGTACTATCAGAAAAACTCCTCAGGATCTTTTATCTGGGGGAGCTGTGGCTGTCAAAATGGGCAACTCAAGAGTAGAGATTTTTTTGTCCTTTCTTCATTTGGAAAGCAAATTGCCTTAACTACTCAATGCCAGTGATTTTTTTTTTATGTCCAGAGTCTAAATGATGAAGGGGTGTAAGTGGGGCTTTCTCTTAGAACAATAGTCAGGGTAATTACCCAGGGCTCTATTCAAAAAAAGGGCGTATATTTTTTTTATGGGCACTCTATCTGTGTCTGTAGTTAATGTCACAGTGGCATCATGCATCACAGCTGCCGATGTTCTCTTGCTTGGTAAAAGCCATTGAATGACACTGTAACAATGCCATGCTCCATTCCATACCAGGTGCAGGGCCCTATGTGGTAGTGACATATGGGATGTATATTTCCATTCTGAAGATAAGTACTATTTTCTGTGATATAGTGTGCCAAAATGCCTATCACCTCTTTCATCAGTGCAAACACAAGGAATAATGTATCTGTCAGGATAGGATGGAAGAGAGGGCAAAACTGAGATCTTAAATGTAAAAGTATCTTACATGACTTTATCAAAGACAGGTTTTACAGCAGCGTAGCATATGATATAACAAATTCCCAAATGTAAATTCCGATAAGTGATCAAATATCCAGTATAAGACCAATCTGTCTTTAAAGAAAAGGAATAGGAAAAATAAGACTTCTGTCTTCACACAGACTGATACCAGACCACATTACCTAGATTCACCAGCCTTGAGGAATGGCCCTTTACTTAAGAGTGTATGTCTAGAAACTCTAAGGTTATTAGGGATAGAATTTTTAAAAAGCAATATTTACAGCAGTTTTTAAAGGAGGGAAGAAGAGAATGGATCAGTGGATGGAGGGAAGGTAAGAGTGAACTGGTAGAGAAAAATGAGAGAGAGCATAGTAAAACAATTCTAATAATACACTTTCTTCAGAGTTATGGTAAGAAGTCATATGCCTGAACAGTGAAATGATTACTGTATGTTTTTATCTTTTGCTCACTGGCATCAATTTTAAATAAGTTCTAATTTCCATGCAGTTTATAGTCCTAATGAGCAAGGAAGACTCAACCCTTGGCTCTAACAATAAAGATAAGAGGGCAGCCATGAATAGGTGAGAACTTCGTTTTCTTTGGCAGTAACTATTGAAAGAGGCACCTATTAAAATGCCCCTGTGATGTGGCTGAAAGAACGCAAAATGTCTACCTGTCATTATATAGGTGTAAGTTGGCCCATATTTGAAGCAACTGAGAGAGGGACAGAAAAGTGTAGTATGTGGGACTACAAATACTTTTTGGTATTACCACCAAATTGGAAAATGACGTGGAGATTTACAGCAATAATTGGCTTCTGAATGTTGGACGTTGTGTTGAGCATCCAGCCTCAGGCAGCACTGAAGGCCCCAGCCACATTACCTGGAGGCTACACTTTGGATGCCTAAACAAGGGAGTGGGTGAGCAGAACAGGCACTCCCCCTGGGCAGGCTGGCTCATCACTCCCTGAGAAGGAGTGAATGAAGGGGTGGGGCAGGACCAGCAAGATCCTGTCTCCTGGAAACCACAGGAGTGGAGACTGCCTCTTAGGCACCTCAACTTTGAAATATCAAAAGTGGAATCCTTGCTTTTAATCTTCAAACCTGCTCCTCTTCTGGTTTTTCCTTCCCATTCTCATAAATTCTCAAGCCAAAGTCTTGTACTTTTTATATATCTGCCATCTCCCACCACCACAACTGACTTCTAGGTCATCAAGAAGTCCCATTGTTTCTTCCTTCAAAAATATACCCCGATTCGGCCCACCCTTCTTCATTGTAACCGCCACCACCCAAGTCAGGCTTTGGTTACTTGATGTGTCAGTTAGACACGGCATCCACATGTGAGTAACAGAAAATTCTGCCAAACGGTATCTGAAACAAGTAGAAGATGTTTCTCTCTGGACACAGTAAAATCCAGATGTGGGGTTTGTTGGTACTGGTCCAGTGGTTCAAGGCTGCCAGGTCTGAGGTCTCTCTGGTGCTATTCGCTTTACCTGGATAGTTGTCTACGATGGTTGCTGCTGCTTCGCCTGCCATCACATCTTCTTTTTCCAGCTGAAATCACATAAGAAAAGAGAAGGAAAGACACAGGAAGGAGTTGCGTCATTATAGCAAGAAAGCAAACTTGCCCAAAAATCCATCCCCAGCCAACTTCCATGTAGGTTTCATTAGGCAGAATTATTATACCTGGCCATGCCTAACTACAAAGAATGCGAGAAATATAATTTTTGACTGGGCCTGCTGCTCTCCAGAGTAAAATTGGAGTTCTCATAATAAGGCAGGAGTGGAGAATGGCTACTAGGAAGAATTTTGCAGTTTTTGCCATACAGAGTGCTTCCCTTTCTACTTCTACTCTAGTTTGATTTATTTTCACATTCCATCTGATACAAATCAGGTCATGTCTTCCCCAGTAAACCGTTTGAGTATCTCCCCATTGCATTTAGAGAATATTCACTGTCCCTAGCTGACAGAGCTCTCTGTGCTCACTTCTTTAGCTTCAGTTATCCTCAGACTCACCATGCATCATTTCCACTGGCCCCTTTCCCCCTGAGCCCATCAAAACCACCTTCCACCACTCGGCTTTATACGTTCTGTTCCTTCTGCCTGGGGTGCCCTTTCCCATACTCTGTGTGCTTGACTTCTTCTTATCCTATAGGTCTTGGATCAAGAGCCACCTCTTCAGAGAGGTTTTTCTGGTCCACCCTCTTCTAGTAGATTTGCCATCACTGCATCTCTCTCTTTTTTTTTTTTGAGATGGAGTCTCACTCTGTCACCCAGGCTGGAGTACAGTGGTGCAATCTCGGCTCACTGCAACCTCTGCCTCCGGGTTCAAATGATTCTCCTGCCTCAGCCTCCCGAGTAGCTGGGACTACAGGCGCCCGCCACCACGCCCATCTGATTTTTTGTATTTTTAGTAGAGACAGGGTTTCACCATGTTAGCCAGGATGGTCTCGATCTCCTGACCTCGTGATCTGCCCGCCTCGGCCTCCCAAAGTGCTGGGATTACAGGTGTAAGCCACTGTGCCCAGCCCACTGAATCTTTATGAAGGTCCTTTGTAACACTTATCCAAATGAGTAGTGATTTCATGATATGTCTGCTTTTAGTTATTATAGCAGGCATCACAAAGGAAGAGACATCAATATATATCAAGTCATCAATATATATCAAGCCTTATAACATAGAAATATGCAAGAAATATTTGGTGGATGAGTGAGTGAATGAATGAGTAGATCAGAAGACAGGCAGGAGGGAACCCTGAAACAGTGAGTTCAGAAATTTCTGGTGACCTCGTTGAGTAGTTTGGCATTGATATTAGCATCATCTGCAGGAAACAAGGTTTCAACTTGCATGCATAATGAAGCAAATCAGAGAAAAAGCTCAATAGCTGTACTTTTTATTGGAAATTGCCACACTTTACCAAATTCTTGGTCAGAGGCTAGGAAATATTAGGAGAGTTGGGGTGAAAGAATCATCAGAAATTTACGTTGTAGTATCCCCAATTGTAACCATCCAACAACCTCTGTATTTACCATCTGCCTGTTACTATTTGGGAGTCCCCCTTAGCCCTGTAATTTGATTCTGAGAAGTATTTCAGCAGTTGGCAGATATCAACCGAGATTGTGAAAATCCTACAGTGCTGGCCACGGTGTACACATCCCAGCAATGGAGACTCTGAGGAGCCTTCCTGTGAGTCTTTGACAGCCAAGATCTTTCAGGATGACTCGAAGATGGGGGATACCTTAAATGTGAGCCTGGGCTAGAATTAAGCCTGTGAGGCAGAACCAGAAGATTGCATATCTCATTGAGCAACCTCAGAACTTTCCATTCTCTTCTATGTGCTTTTACAAAAAGGGCTGCAAAAAGGAACCCAGTCTGTGAAACTATTAGCAGTAACCTGACTAACATGGTAGGTACATACACATCTCCTCATCCTTTAATCCAAATGCCTCTCCTTTCCTGTCCCGAATTTCCCTCTCTCTAGTGGAGCTATGTTTGTGTCTCAACTGTACTTCTTGCTTTCCACAGCTCTGTTCAGTGTGGTAAGATGTGTTTGATGTCAGGACTTTGGGGATGCTTGTAAAACAATAACTGCTAAAGTCCTCAGTGACTGACACACTTGCTGCATTTTCCAAAAGCAGAACCAGTCACACCCCATTTGTCTGCATTAATATTCCTGGCAAATACCACAGGAATCACATTTTGGCTTCTTCCCTTAGAATGAGATTAGAATTGTTAAGCATGAGTATTCAGGAATTGCACCTCAGCTTTCCTTCTCCCAGGTGGCTGGAAATCTCCTGGTTATTCCATAGCAGCCCCAACTGCTCCCTCTCCACATAAAGGATCTCCTTAGTGTCAGTGCCGAAAGATCTCCCCAGTGTCAATGCCGTCCTTCATGGCATTCCATGGTAGCCTGTCCACTAAACAGCCAAGCATGTTGGGAAATTGTTGTGAGGTGGTTTGGAAGCAGGTGTATTGGCAAACTGGCTAACTAGTGGAGCAGGCCGCAAACAAGCCAAACACGGAGGGCTCACTCCGCAGCTTCTAGGGAAGATCAGGTACATTGCAGAATTCAAAGCATGGTAAAAGCATGTGGGTCCCCTTATGGATTTGGCTGGAAATAACCAATTGGTTGAATAGGACAAGGGAAACTTCAGATGTGATCCATGAGCTGGATTAGATGCACCTATCTCCTTTCTGTGCTTGTGTACTTGTTCTTGCTTTCATTTGGAAAGGATCCATAGGCTCAAATGTTTGGCCTAGATTGCTCTCCAGCCACCGTTCCTGAAGTTCAGTGCTTAACAAAAGTTGTTTGAAAAACGTCACAAGTCATTCATAATAACATAAAGAAAAAGTTGTGATTTATTCAAAGGTCTCCATCAAAGTCCATCAGTTACCCTCTAGCTTTGTTGGTGTTTAGTTCTGCCCGTATTTATGAAAGTTCTAACCTTTTTTATATCTCTGGTCTTCACCCCAGGACCAGCTATTAAATATCAAACAGTCATTGTTTTTAGCAAAGTCTTAGCTTAAAGTGTCAGGGGGCTGTAATTAAACCCAACCCGAGGCCGGGCACGGTGGCTCACGCCTGTAATCCCAGCACTTTGGGAGGCCAAGGCGGGCGGATCACGAGGTCAGGAGATCGAGACCATCCTGGCTAACACGGTGAAACCCCGTCTCTACTAAAAATACAAAAAATTAGCCGGGGGCAGTGGCGGGCGCCTGTAGTCCCAGATACTCGGGAGGCTGAGGCAGGAGAATGGCGTGAACCTGGGAGACAGAGCTTGCAGTGAGCCGAGATGGCGCCACTGCACTCCAGCCTGGGTGACAGAGCGAGACTCCATCTCAAAAAAAAAAAAAAAAAAAAAAAAAAACCCAACCTGAATTTTGGGGAGTATGGCATCCATTCACTTCTGTGTAGGGCGATTTTTCTCTTCTGACCATGGATGTCCAGTTATGAAAAATGTTAGATGAGGACATCGTCTATCCTGCTGTGGCACCTGGGGCTTTCTCCTCCCTTCTGGGCCAGCTGGATAGACCTCATTTCCTAGATATAGAAGAAAGAGAAAAAAAAATTCGGAACAGGTAAATCATCTTTGTCATGTCACCTTATCCCGATAGCATCCTAGTCTCATCTTTATGTCATTTCTTAACCCGTCCATTTGCCAGAAACTTCCCCAGGTTTTCCAACTCGGAGACGTTGGAGTTTTTATCTTTGCTTTTTAAAAATGCATACTTCACAGAAACTCCCCATAGGCCTGCCCACTTTCAGTTTCTCAGTTATGAACAAAGCTTGTCATTTCAAAGCTCGTACAGGAGCTGTTTATAAAGTTCAGGAAGCATGGACTACCACATTCAGTTATTAATATGCATGCCAAGATGATAAGTTTTGCATGCCTTTTAACAATTACAACACACACATATCTAATAAAAATTTAAACACTCCATGATATCCCCATTTTGCTACTTTCCCAACATGCTTCCTGGTAAGAGAGAAGGGAACAAACTGGAGAAAAGGCAAATGGGAAAGCCAGCAGCAGTGCAGAAGGGTTGATTAACATTAATTTAAGAATATGTGCCATACATATAATGAGCATGGATAAAAAGCAGAAATTATAGAATGTTAGAGCTAAGAGGGATCTTAAAGGGTTGGGCCAAACCCTGTCATTTTACAGAGGAGGAAACTGAGTCTCAGAGAGCAGACGTGAGAGGCTTTGGTCATTTAGTAGTTTATGGGCAGTTTAGAACCAAGACTCTTGGCTCCTTGTACAGTTTGCTTTCTAAGTGTGTGTGTGTGTATGTGTGTGTGTGTAAAATGAAAATTAAGAATATTATAAATGTAAAGGTACAGCTTATAGGTAGAGTTGAAGAGGTGTGCTGTCATCACACTGAGTATAAATGCTGCTATCTGGCTAAAAAATGAAGTATTTGCTTCTGGCACTACCCTCTTTCCTACCTCCACACATTTGCTTGTGCTGTTTCCTTTGCCTGAACTATTTCCCCTCCTCCAAGTGCCAAAATTGAAGTCCACTTCTATCACATTTCCTCCATGAAACCTTGTTTATCCATTATAACCCATAATCATCTCCCTTTCACCTACCTTCTGCAGCGCTTGTTAATACTATCTACTTGAGGACTTACTTATTTTCTAATTATTTTATGTGCATCAAGTTTATTGGTTTGTTTGCTTGATTTTCCCTCTAGCAAGATTTTAGGCTAAATAGAGACATGAGCCACTTACTGTTCTCTTTTCTACCTCACTGTGCCACTTCTGGACCTGGCATAATTCTTGTAAGCACATAGAAGACCTAAGAAAAAAAATATTGGTTGTTGACCAATCACAGGTGGAAAGGAACGTGGTGCTGAAAATTGGGCTAGAACCTAATATTGCAGAACACAGCCTAAGTGTTTTTTAGTAAACCGTGATCTCAATGATCTTAGCTCTAATATGCCATTCTCTTTAAAGTGGAGCATACGGCATATACTTTAGTTGAGAATTTTACAGTAGGAGTATTAGAGTACCGTTATCAATATCATTTCAACCTGGAGATTGGAAAGGTTAGAACTGTCATGCAACTTTATACATTTGTGATAGGTAATGGCATCAGCCTCATCTTAGGTCTTAAAAGCTGCAAATGGTGGAAAGACTTTTGACAAGGCAGAGAGATCTGGTTCTAATCCAAGTTTGACCACTAATTAGCCTTGTGACTTTGGGAAAGTCTTTTAAGCAACTTCAGTCTCCTTTTTCTCATCTCTGTAATAAAAGGGTTTAACCAGTAATCCCTTAAAGTTCCTTTCCACCCTTAAGATTCCACAGTTCTTATGTCAACCATGTGGATCCTTTATCGTCTCTGGATATCTAAATACAGGTATCTTCCAGGACCCAACCATGAGGTTCAAAGCTCCTAAAGTGATCATAGAACAGGCAATCAGATATTACTCTGTGCAAATGTTCTGCCTATACCTTGCTGTGAAGGTTACTCCTCCTGGGCTACACTGTGAATTTTAAGCCACATTTCAACCCTGAGGTTATGTGCATTGCATTCTGCAGGTGCTGAAGATTGGTCAGAATTATTGTCAAAGACAGCTGCGCAGGGCACTGACAGTTCTCCACTGTCACGCCCTCATCTATCTTCTTGGGTAAAATTGTAAAAGCCTCAAGTGTCTGAATGATTAAATTCATTCCACAAATATTTATCAAGTGTCAAGTTGTGTGCTAAGTGCTAGAGTGAAATGTGAGGGGTTTCTGATCTCTGTGTACTGTGATCCCCCTTTTAGGCAGATTGGTGTCCTCGTCCACATTTCTTCTGCCTGAAAAGCTCTTTCTGAAATCATTTACTTCTTAGGAACATCTCAGCCAAACATTTTTTATTTCCACCAAGGGAAATTTGGCTTCTATGTCCCCTGCTGTCAAAAAGGAATTTTATGAAGTGTTAAAATGTTTGCCCATGTCTGTAGCAGTCATTGCTGTAGTTCATCCATGGGAAAAAATTCCCCATAACTGCTTTAGCAATGTGACAGGTTTTCTATTTCTCCTCAAAATTGTACTGATGGCTGTATTTGCCAATGCATTAAGTGCTGGAAACATTATTTCCATTTAAAAAAATACCTCTTTGGTCTCAGGGAATAAATATCCAGAGAAAATAATATGTATAAAAACTTCAGCATCAAGGATGAGCACAGAATGTTCTGTTTCACAGGATGCCAAAGGTGATGGTGGAGGACACTATGCCTGCCAGAACTGAAATGAGTCTTTTTTTTCTTTTCTTTTTTTTTTTTTTTGGTATCCTTCCTTTCAGTCTCGTGGAAAATATATACACTGAGTCAAATCATTATGTTTTTTTAAAAAAATCTTTAATAATACCAAAATGTAAGATAGAAATCAAGTCTTACACTCTGGAACAATAAAGAATTGGAGTGCATATTAAGTGAAATTCAGCAAATCAGGAAAGGTATAACTTCTGGGAGCTAAAGATGAAAACTCTGTCACTTTGATATGAGCCCAGGTCTAGGACTGGACTCTAGCCACTGCCCCACATCAGGCGAGGGGAATGTGTGTTGATAGCATTGGGGTACTCTGGGAAACAGTCTCTGAGCTACACTGGACAAAATCCATGCATAAAAAAAATTTTTACAAAGATTTTTTAAAGCCAAGACACTTTCAAATTGAGGAAAAGTAAGGTGTCAGTAAAGTTACTTTAAAGCAGAGATGATGTGTTCTTGACTCTGCGTAACTGAAAGAGAAGTACAACTTAGTGTTTGTTTTCCAACCAAAGAAAATTGTACCTGGGGAGAATCATGGAAGAGTAGCCACAGACAAAGTGAGAGGATTTCTATTTAAGGAGAGAAACCACTTATGTGTGTAGACACCTTCTATAGCAAGGTAGATGTATGACCTGCAAAGCCAAAAATAATTGCTATCTGTTCCTTTCCTTATAAAGTTTGCTAAGCCCTGTTCTAAAGGCTCCCAGAGCCAGAAAGGAGATTCAGGATGGTCTAGCCTAGCCCCCTTTGCCTTGGGATTCAAACAGATGGACACTTTCTTCAGGTCACACAGCTAGTTAGCGATGGAGCTAAGACTTGACCAACACAGATTTCCCAACTCTCTCTTCCCGTCTACATGCAACCCCCAAAACAGTGTTGTATTCATAAAAACACTCCCTTGGCCCCACTTCTGTAAGTTTCCCCTGCTGAGGCTTATTCAATGACTTTTATTTCAAAAAAAGTAGGACAGACTGGATTTTAGACAAAATGAGAAGGCTGAGGGCACACACTGAGAGAAATTGGTTCCAGCCTGGTAGACACAAAAAAAGTAGGGACTTTTTTTCCAGACACTTTGATTCTTCTGCACTGTGGCTCATGTTCCTCAATACACTTTTGTAGAGAGGTAAATGCAGCTTCCTGCTCCATCATAACCTCCAATGTTTGGCTTGTTTGCATTGAAAATTCAACTTAGCTGCAAGTTTCAGCCAAGGGGTCCTTTAAGCCTTTCTTGGCCTCCCTTGGCACCCTCTGCAGCTCTCTTAAGCAATTCTCATCTTGCGATTCAATCATATATATGTTGTCTCCCCCAGGGACTCTGAGCAGCTCAAGGACCAGCTGCATATTTGGCCCTTTTTATCCCCAGTGTGTAGTACAAAGTCTAGCACATTACACACCACAGAGCTCATAAGACTTTGGCCCATCATATAATGGGTATAAATACATGATTTGAAGTTGGACAGATGTAATTTCCATTGCCAACTTCACCACTGCTAAATATATGACCTTGGACAAGTAAATATTCGTCTCAGTGAACCTCAGTTTCTTCATCAATGAAATGGGCATTCATACTAGCACCTACCTCAGACAGTCGTTGCAAAACTTAGGTAAGATAATCAGAGGTTCTCAAACTTTAGCATGCCTTGGAATCATGCAGAGAGCTTGTTAAAGCAGAGTCTGTTGGGCCCCATCCCTAGAGTTTCACCTTTGGTAGGTCTGGAGTCTGAGTGTTTGCCTTTCTAGTGAGTTCTCAAGTGATGTTGATGATGCTGGTCCAGGGGCCACACTTTGATAACTACTGTTTTAAATCATCAAGCATAGTGCCTAGCCCAGTAAGGGCTAAGTAATTAGAAATTGCCTATCACAGGGCTGGGCACGGTGGCTCATGCCTGTAATCCCAGCACTTTGCGAGGCCGAGGCGGGTGAATCACTTGAGGTCAGGAGTTCGAGACCAGCCTGGCCAACGGGGTGAAACCCCGTCTCTACTAAAAATACAAAAATTAGCCGGGTGTGGTGGTGCGCACCTGTAATACCAGCTACTCGGAAGGCTGAGGCTGAAGAATCACTTGAACCCGAGAGGCTGAGGTTGCAGTGAGCCGAGATCATGCCGCTGCACTTCAGGCTGGGTGACAGTGAGACTCCGTCTCAAAAAGAAAGAAATCTCCTATTACCATTATATGATTTTCATAACCACTAAGGGAGTTAGTAGAGACTCAGAGGAGATCAGGGTTGCCGTTTCGAGGGTCACAAAGAAGAAAAGATCCCCAGAAACCAGGTCTCTCCTCCTGCTGCTATGTGATGACTTAGCATCGAGCCAACAACTGAATACAGGGCAGGCTCAATGAGTCTGGACTTGTTTCTGTTATTTGTAATGGAAACTGCAAACATACATATCACTGGTGCAGACAATTGGTTACCATGTAATTCATGCCTTCTGTCATCTATCAGGAATGGCAAAAGCTAAATTTGATTATGCACTGTTGGCAAAGGGTAAGAGAAACAAACTGAAAAACACTTCAGGGACATAGAGTGCAACTTGCCAGTACCTTTCAAAATTAAAAATTCAGGTGCTCTTTTATCTAGCCTTTCTACTGCTAAGAATTTTTTATAAAGATATTTATGTAAGGATTTCAGAAGATATGTTGGAAGATGTTTATAGCAGCCTTATTGATAACATACATATGAATAGATTTCCAAGATATATTAAGTGAAAAAACCAAGGTACAGAATAGCGTATATAATATTAGCACCTTTGTGTAAGTAAAAAAGGTTTCTCATAGAAAAATACACACTGTTTGTACTATATGCATAACCTTATTTTCTGGATGGATGTGCTAGGATCTGTTAATAGTGGTTACTGGTTACCTTTAAAAAGAGAACTTGGTAGAGTTGTCAAGATGGGAAGGTAGACTTTTTTTTTTATATCGTCCCTTTTTTCTTCTGTATATACATTACTTTCATTTAGTCAGTAGGGGTAATCTAGGCAGGAGATTTATTGGATTTAAAAAGCTTAATAAATGCTATATATTTTGAGGAACTATTAGATTTATAATCTCATGTATTGCTTTACTTTCCAAAATTTTTAAATATATGCATTAATAAAGGGCTCTACAATTCCCTGGAGTATACTTGGAGTGATGCAAATCTTTAAAAGTCACTATATACCTAATATCTTTCTGTTTTATTTGAACAATTTGATCATTTCTTGCTTGCTTGAAATTTGCTTAAAACATCCTGTTTTTTTATATACTGTGATCAGTAGGCTTCTCTTTATTCTATTCAAATTCCATTCCCTAAAACAGAGGTCCCCAGCCCCTGGGCCAGTACTGTCCATGGCCTGTTAGGAACTGGGCCGCACAGCAGGAAGTGAGCACCAGGTGAGTGAGCATTGCCACCTGAGCTCTGCCTCCTGTTAGATCAGCAGCGGCATTAGATTCTTACAGGAGCGTGAACCCTATTGTGAACTGTGCATGCAAGGGATCTAGGTTGCATGCTCCCTATGAGAATCTAACTAATGATGATCTGAGATGGAACAGTTTCATCCCCAAACCATCCCCAACCCCCTGTCCATGGAAAAACTGTCTTCCACAGAACCATTTCCTGGTGCCAAAAACGTTGGGGATGCTGCCCTAAAAGCAACAAATATCTGGCCTCATCTAGCCAGGAAGTTCAGTAATATGATGTCTGCTGTTGGTGTCTTGGCCTCAGTTTTAAGTGGGCTGTAATGGACTCACAATGTCATGTGAGGCTTTTTTTAACATATCTCAAGACAAAACCCCAGAATGCCCTTTTCTTCCTCTATTTGAAATTCCGGTCCATCCCTCCTTAAAGTATGGGTTTGACCGTATTCATTCTCTGTTTCCTGGGCTTTCTGCCAGGCTGACTGCCAGCTCCTTCATGCTCAGGACCCAGAACCCGAGTGAATGTGCAGGAGTCTGTCTGGGAATCTCTTTTATAGCAGCAGCTTCCTCTTATGTGCTGTCCGACACATACCGCTTCTCCCTTGGACCTTGTCTTGCTCCTCTGGGTATCCTGAGAGCTGGAATCGCTTACTGCATTCCCTCCATTATAATTCTTCAGTCTAAAGCCAAGGCTCACCAATTCCAGCACTACATCTAAAGCCTTACACTTTTCTTCTGTCCCTTCTCCCCTAGCTATTAGTATTTTAAAACAACAAAAACAAGCTGGGGTGGGAGAGGTCACCTATTTCATTTGTGTCATATCCCTTTGAAAATCTCTCATGGGCTATTCATAGAGGATTTGGGAAAATGTTATCCCTTAAAAAAAGAAAAATGTCCTGTGTACCCTGCAGAGTTGAGGCTCTAACATGAGCCCAGATAGCATTAAAAAACAAAAACTAAGCTTGGAAGATTTGTTTGAGGTGCTTTATTTAGGCAAGCCTACTGCCTTTAAGGACTAAATCAGTTTCTCCAGATATTTGGGACACTAACTGGATTAAGGCTCTTTCACCGCTATTTAGCTGGAACAAGGAATACAAGAGGTGCAGGGCCTGTGAGAAAGAAGGCAGTCGGCAAGACATGAAGGGAAAAGGGCTGTGTTCGTGTTCTCTAGAGGACTCTAACCTTTCTCTTTCATCTCCCATGCATTCCTGCCCAGAGCTTGAAATTCAGGAGTCTTGTGCAGCCCAGAAATCTGAGCTTTTGCACCCAGTGGCTGCTTTTTCCCAGGGAGCTTGCTTCAGTGTGGTCTGTTCCTGGATAAATGGATATTCTGTTCTGAGCTTTCCCTCCCAGAGAAGGCTGAAGACCAGCGCTTCTCATGATAGTCTGTAAAGTTCTCTATCAGTAAGAAGTGTGCTCTAAACTCAGCAAATGTCCAAACATTTTGGGGTGGGGAAAAGTGCAAAAAAAGTTGTTAAATTAGTCTTATGGGTTTGTTTAAAATTGGAAGAATATATACATATATGTGTGTAATGTGTGTATGCTAGGTGCGTGTATGTATCTCCACACATACATATGTGTAAGCTAATGAATAACCACTAGTGAGGGTTTGCAGCTCTGTGGAGTGATTAGCAACTTCATCAAGGCTCTGTTTATCCTGCCCTTAAGGTCATTTACAGCTGCTGGGTATACTAGGGGCTCTACTGTGATATCTAAAACTGGCATTCAGGCATACTTCTGAAGAATTTATCATTTTTAATTTTCTTATGATCCTCAAATAACCTAATTTAGGCAAACAATTAAAACACAGAATTGGGGGGGAAAGATTTGCAAAGTGTGAGGGGTAAATTTAAATTTTCTGATGGAGAGCTCTTTCAGTTGCTAATAGAAGATTTGGGAAAATGTTATCCCTCAAAGAAAAAAAATTCCCTTTACCTGCAAAACTTTTGAGTATACTTTCTTGAATAAGTAAGTGGCAATCAAACAGAATCTATGCTTTTTATCTGATACAGGATTGTGTGGGGCCTCTGGCCACCACTCTGTGGACCACTGAGGTGGTGAAGGCATTGGGTAGGGAGTAGGTCTCAATTTGTTCTGCCTGCAGCACAACTTCTATAAGCTACTTGCTTTGAACAAATGCCAATGCCATCTTGTTTGCTGGTTATATCTTTCTCTGAGAAGCAAAGTTTTGAAGAGCCTGTTCTGATAGTAACTTCTTAACAGGTTTTATTGTATATAGATAGAGTAAGTAGTATGAATTATACCAGAGAGGTAGTCAGTGGTCATCTAATTCATGGACTTCCTCTCTGGTGTTTCCTGCTATAAGCAATGAATAGTGTATTTACATCAATACCAGTAGTCATCCTGATTTATGAGCTTAAAAGTATGCTGTCTTTGAATGACATTCATTAGGGCATACTCTTAGAGGTGCTTTTTCCCTAATGATGATGAATTAATGCTGATGAAAGCACTCCTCCAGAGTCCTTTTTCGTGTGTGCCCAGGAACTTTCATTTGCAAGACAAATGGCTGGTTCAGGGACAGTGTGTGCAGCAATGAGAGAGGTAAAACTGGGCCGTGTGAATACTGTGAGAGTGGTTTCCAAACCTGAGTTACACAGTTATTGGGGTTTTGTGGGATTTTATTTTGTTTTGTTTTTGTTTTGCTTTTTGATTGGTATAGGGAAAAAAAGTGTATAAGTTCATAAGTATAAAATTAAATCCCACTTAGTTTTACATCTAATTAATTACCCTATTGAAAAAGAATACAAGAAATGGAGAATGGCCCAGAAAATGTTGGCCATATCTCTTTGAATTCTGACTTCTTTCTGAACCCCTAATCCATATTTCAGCTCCATTTGGATGGTCTTCAGGCATCTCAAACTCAATACGTCCAAAAGTAAATTCCTTATCTTCTTTCTCAGCCCTCCACCGATGCTTGTTCTCATAGTTTGGGATGTACTTACCAGCTCCAGTCATCGTGGTACCTCGCACCCCTCTTCCTCCTCCCATGTAGCAAGTCAGCTGCCTCCTCCTATCAAGTCTCCCTGTCAAATGACTGCCTGTGCCACACTCCATGCCAGAGCCTCTGCCTTAATTCATTCCTTTGTAATTTCTCCCAAGCCAATCCTACAATATAAAGTTCCCAATCAGAGTTAGCATACATGGTCTCTCTTGATTCATACCTAACACTAGCCCCAGCCCCAGCCCCACAGCTACTTTCACTCATCCTCCCACAACTCTATACCAGCCTTTGAACAGGCCACTCCTGCCTTCTCTGCCAAGCAGGCATTGCTTCACTATTTAAGACTTGGCAGAAATGTTGCCCTATTTGTGGAATGTTTTCTAATGCCACCTATCTACTTAGCTACTCTCTTCTCTTCTCTGTGTCTTCAAAGCTGTCATCTGCACCTCTCTTGCACAGGATAATTATCTGCTTGTCTTTCTTTCTCTTCCGAGACTATGATTGCATCAAAGACAAGACTGGGCCTTGATCATATATTTCTAGCAATTAATCAAGTTCCTGGTAGCTAACAGGAATCCAGATGTTTGTTGAATGAATGAATGAACTGAACTTATGCCTTGGGATATGGTAATAACATGTTCTAAGTAACCGAGGCACTTAGCCACAAACAGGAAATATCTAATAGCACATGGCTTGAGTAGATATTAGGGGATCTCCTTTTACCCCTAAACCTGTGCACTATTGGGCCATTGGGTCCTTCTTCTTAGTTCTTTCTTTTCTGTACTCCTCCAGGTGCATTACTAGTCTTCCTTACCTTCATTCTCTCTGGCCCCTTACACGTTTTTATGAACAGATATACTTTTCTTTAGTGTTTCATTTTTATTAACAGCCTTCTCTGATTGATGTCAGAATTTTCACTATTACCAACCAAACACTCAGTCTCAACCCATATTGTCCTTTCCCCTTAGGACTGGTGTCAGGACATCATAGTTCTTCCTCTTCTAAATGATGCCAAAGAGCTATGTTATTATAAGCAACGAAGCCCATTACTCTTTAATAACCTCTTGATCACCACCCCTGCCAGCCTAGATTTGGGGCTGACTGTTCTGTGTTGCCCCTACAGAAGGCAGCTGAAATTCCCAATGATCCCAGCCTGTGTACAGACAAAACATGCAGAAAGCCCCGGTGATCCACTGGAACAGGTTCTCTCCTCTGCCAGCTGTGCTGCAGGACAGCCAACCAGAGCACTAAGGATCAGTGGTCAGCTGATGGCCAGCACTTAGAGCAGCCCCAGGTGTTTAGTCTGGAGTTTAGTTCTTCCAGTTGAGGTCGAGGAGGGAAGCCACATGTGCCCAAGGAGAGTATGAGACAAATTGAAGGCAAATCCTCCTGTTAAAATTGAGTCAAATAAATTCATCATGTGACATGATGACAGGTTTTGCTAAATAAGGAGATTTGGGGTTGGGATTCTCCTGAAGTGGAAAATAGTAAAAATATTAATAGCAAAAAGATAAAAGCCCTCTGTGAAAATCAGCCATAGATTGAGAAGTAGTTGTTCATCAGCATAGAAAAGTATTCACGATATTGTAAGTGAATGGAATCTGCTTTTTTCCTTCTGCTCCATCATACATTTATTTTGTGTGCTAATTTAAAAATTATGGCACCAAGTGTTGTTCTTCTGTGGGGATTACTCTATTGCTCTTTGACATTCTTTGGACACCAGAAGATTTGGAAGAGCTTTGATGTCCTTTTTTATAATAGAGCCTTGGGAATCACTTATGAAAGATTTATGTTGATGGGGTGTTAGAATCCTTGAGAAGCTAATTTTAACTGAGCCTTCTTAACTAAAAATTTAGAAGTTCAGGTTTAATCATATGATTAATTTAGTGCTTTAATTTCCTTAATCTCATGCTTACTGGATCAATAACTGTTTAAGCAAGATTAAGTCTACAGTTAGTTGGCTCCACCCATAATACCCACTACTAAGAGCCCATGCCTTTGTCTATGTAGTTTTGTTCATAACCCCTCAACATTTACCAGTCCAGTAGCACCAGGCCTGAAAGCAGCAGAAGTACTAAATTAAGTCAAGATAATAGAGTTAGAACTTCAAGTGGTCTGGGAGCCAGAGGGCGGGGAGCCTTGTGAAAGTGATAATGGAATGTGATCATGAGGAGCTATGGAGGGTGCCATATGGTGGTTGAAATAAGACCTGCATGCCAGTGCCACTGGTTGGGTGAGCTTTGGTCTGTCTTGAGGTAGAGGCTATGGTTCCTGTTCCCTGCCAGAGGGCTGGAGGGCTGGCTGCAGTCAGTGCAACAGGGGGAGGAAAAAGGAGCCAAGGAGGAAAAATGGCCCCCTGAGATTGAGGGGAGACATGGCACGGCTATTCATTGTCCCAATTTGGAACTTGGACATGATAATGTCTTGAGAGGACTGTGATTGAGTCCTTGAGATAAAGACCAAAAGAGAAAATGATATGTTTGGCTCTTCCTCGTTCAGCCACTTCTCCCTGACTTCACTTCTCTGCACCCAACCCTTGCATTACTTTGTCTGTATATCTGGATGCCAACACCAGTGTCTATATATCTATAGATCTAGGTATATAGATAGACCAAATCACATATTGAAACAACAGCTAAAGAATGCTTGGAAGTAGATGCCCTTGCCCTTCTCCCGGTCATACTTAGAATTTGTTTTAACCTAAAGTTGTGGAGACAGACTTGAAGGGAGACATCCCCAACCTTGCTAAAATGTAAGTACGAAAGGCACAAATTGGATGGATATTGATGATGTTGTTTCTATTGTGACATCATCCATAGACTCCTAGTGTCTTTGCTTTGCTTCCCTATAGTGATCACAACATAAATTACTTGTCTTGTTTGACTTCCTTGTTCACCAAAGTTGAGCAGATTGTGGCCGTTTTCAACGCTTCTACCAGACAAAAAGCTTGGGACCATTTCTCGAAAGCCCAGCGCAAGAACATAGACATTTGGCGAAAGCATTCTGAGGTTGGTGATTTTATTATTACTTTTTAACCACCATCACACAGCTGGATTGGCAGAGAATAGCATGGCTGCAGCCATGATGGTTTCTGTTATAGTGGGCAGTCCGCCTGCCATTGTCTGATCTCACTGTCAGCTCCAAATGCAGCTGAGATTTGTTCCTTGTCCAGAAAAGCAGCTGACTTAACACTTAGGGAACACAGTGTTTTTCTCCCCTGCAATGGGAGAAAATACTTTTTCCCATTCATAGTAAAGATTTCAGAAATAAACCAAGACACTTTCCCTAGCAAATTATTTTGAAGAAAAATGGAGCTTACAATAGAAAACTGGCTTTTAAATACAGAGGGTTTTTTTTTTTAGTGTTCTACGTGATGATGACAGTTTGCTCTTTGGACAAGTACGCCTTTCCGTCCATATTTTCTTATCATAAGCAACATCTTAGTCCCTATGCTAGCCATTAAGTCCTATTACACTTCTCTCCAGATCCAATGTTGTAAGGGGAGTGAATATCTAGGCCAACTGGGTCCACCCATCAGCAACCATGCATGTGTGAAGTGAGTATCTACCCCCAAGAGAACAGTCTAGAATTTGACCTCCTTGCCACTTAGAAGGACCAAAATGTGTCATTAGTCACTGGTCGTCCAGCTGTTATTTTTAACTCCACAGAGTAGTGTACGCTTTGAACCTGTAATTTAAAAGTAAGTATACTGTCTTTGCTTCTTTTTTTTAATGAAAGAATGTTTTTCATTTGGATGCCTCTCCATCTCTAGCATGTTAATATTAAAGTTCTCTAAATGACATTCCCCTCTTTCAAAATCCCAAACTTATGGAAGGTAAGGTTTATTTATTTAATGATTTTGGCTTACACTTGTAAAATAAGTATTTTATATAGAGTTTGAGGAATCACAAAGTACTATGATATCAATCATTTGGGTAGCATTTTAAGTGCCCATTAACTAATGCTAAATTACAGTTGAATACCAATAGCACTAGATGTAATATCCACATGAATACCAAATGAATTCTTTATTATCACTGTTATTATGGTGAATACCGAATGACTTCACAATAATGTGACACTTAAAATGCTAGTGCAATTTATTGTTAAGAAGGACATTTTTTAGTTTGTTCACTAATGCCTACGGTGGTTGGTGACTGATACAGTTCTGTTTTTCTGTTCAGGATTATGAGTAAGGAAGAGGTGGGATTTCTCTTTAATTTTTCAGGGGCCAGAAAAATGAAGGGTGCTTACCTGATGTTCTCCCTGACTCTGACTTAAGACTGAGGTCAAGGCTGATTTTCAAGATTAAAAAAAAAAGAGTCCTCTGTTTGTGATGCAGTAGACAAACTGAGGGTTATGAAAACACAAATTGGAGTCCATAAACTATGATTCAGATTTGGGAATGATCAGTCTGTGAATTATTTATTTTTTCACATAAAAACCAAACATGATTAAAAGGAATGTTGAGAGAAAGGCTGGTGGCCTGCTGCCGAATAAACCTGAGCATAAAAAGGCCATCATTAGAATGTGAGTGTCAGCAAATGTCACATATTGATCTGAATCACACTTCCTGCCATGTCTGCCTCAACTTCTCACCTTCGCTTAACCCTGCCTCCTCTGCGTGGGTGTGGTGGGGAGCAGGACGTGTGAAGGCTTCCATGCAGGTCTAAGGAGCCTGCTTGCTTTGTTTGGTACTAGGAGACAGAAATGATGCTCCAGAAGGACAGATGGAGTGCAGCTGTCAAAGGTGCTCCTGCGAAGGGTCTTTTTGCCTTCCTGCTACTTTCCCCACCTCTTTTGATATACATTAGGCCACAGAATTCTAAATTAGCTGTGATTTTCTCTTGCATGTCGCTGAATTGATTAAATACCAGTTGGTAATTTAACATTGTGGATGATTTCTCAGTTGCGTATAAGCTTGATAATTGGCTTGATTTTTTCCCACATTCCCATGTACAGCATCTGTTAATTATCTGCAACACCTCTACAGATTTATTAGAGTGTACTAGTGATTTAATGCTGAACCAGAGGCACCCTGTGGAAACACCCTCAGCTCTTTTTCCTCAATTTTTTTTTCTTTTCCACCACCCTTTCCCACAAGAACAACTACCATATGACAGTTTGTCATTAATCGCAGGGACTAAACAACAGTCCCTTTCAGCCTCATTTATTCTTTCCACCTGACTTTTCCTTGTTTCAAGTGTTAAGCCACCTCTTTGGGAATTGGGCTCTTTGTCAGTAGAAAAATTAGCTGTCCACAGCCTAAAAATTTCCGCACTAATCACATGTGACACCCACCTCCAATGCCTGATGGTGTTATTTAAGATGGAATTGGCACCTGTTTATTCTGGGTGGCATAATCAAATTAGGAGCCTTGTCTGCCTTCCCTCTGGCCTCTCAGGGCTGCCTGTGATTGGTGCCCCTGCACCCCACCTCGGACCTTGTCTCTCTGCTTTCTCCCTTCCCTGTCTTCTGCAAGGGTGATTCCCAGGGTACAGAGTTGACCATTCAAATGCTGTTAGCAATAAATACTTTCCTCTCCATCATGCTGTAGTTAAAATCTGTGAGCTAAGGAGAGAAAAGAATGGAGAAAACCCATAACATGGAGTGATATATGCATGTCCATCAAATGGGCACAAGTCATGCCCCTAATAAATCAGTTGTAGTAATTTAGTTTTATTATTACTCATATGTTTATTGATCATAACATGAAATTATTTTAACTATTTGATTTTTATTTAGAGACTTTACAGAGGGAAAAAGAATAATGGAGGCTTCCCCTGTTTTAAGTATTTCTGAAGATAGTACATGTAAGAGAACAGAATGAATAAGGAAGAATTCACAAATATGTAATATACAGCTTGATACAAAATAATAATATAAATACTTAGCATAAGTATTACAATGTTCAGATTTTAGGCACAGTAGTAAGAAATTTCCTGTGTAATTCTTTAATCTTTACAATGAGTTTTCACATATGCTACTACATGTAAACAGCCTTGTATTATTATTCCTCACTTGTGAGTGACTAGACAAAGTCTCAAATAAATAACTTGATTGTAGTCACTCCCCTAATAAATGGAGAAAGTAAGGTGTGATCTTAAGATCTGTGGCTCTAAATTATGTGATGCTAAAGCAACCATTGCAACAAAAACAGTAACCCCAACATGACCGTGTGCAATACGAAAGAAAGGGCATCTGTTTGTGTTTTGTTCCCTAACATCTTACTAATTTTGAATTTTGGATATCTGAATGGTGTGTGTGTGTGCCTGTGTGTGTATGTGATCACACATGGGCACATACACACATGCAGGGGCACTATGTTTGCATGAGAAATAATAATGTCCAGCATTATCAACTGAGCAAACCAAGTGTCTGGCATGATGCTAAGTACTGTACATTCATTAACTCATTTCATCCTCAAAACTATTTTTAATCATAATATTCCAGTGAGCAATTTAGGTTAATAGAGATGAAGAATCCTTCCTAATGTCACACCGTGTGGGTCAGTGGTAGAACAGTCCATTTTAAAATTCCACTGTTCATGTTCTTAACCATAATTTCTAAGTCCTTACTGTACATGTGCCAGCCATGTAACAGGTATTTCTATGTAATCTTTGCAGCCCTATTAGGTGGATGTTATTATCCGCTTTGTACAAATGAGGAAATTGAGACTCAAGAGAGATTAAATTATTTGCTAAAGAGCCCTAGTCATGGGTGAGCAGGGATTAATCTAAGCCTGACCTCAGTCTCCCCTGTACCCCACACCCCTCAGAACCTCCTTTAGGTTAGGTGAGGCTATATTTGGGAGATAAAAGCTTTGGATTCTGAATGTTAATATGCCAGTCATATATACCCAAAGACCATTGGGGAAAGCCATATGTGTCTGTGACTCTGACATTTGTGTATCCTCTACTTGCAGGAGCTCCGGAATGCTCAAAGTGAGCAGCTCATGGGCATCCGCCGCGAAGAAGAAATGGAAATGTCTGATGATGAGAACTGTGACAGCCCTACAAAGAAAATGAGAGTCGATGAATCAGGTAATGCCGATAACTGCCACAGACCCATGAGGTATCATAATGATCTTCCAAATCTCAGATGGGGAATAAGTAAATGGCCCTATAACTCACTTTTATTTGAATTATACTAAACTTTCATCTTTGAGTGACTCTGCTTTTTATTAATAGAACTTTAAACTCCTTCTTGGGAACAGAGTGATTTAAATTGCTCCAGTTGTTTCTCCGTACGTAGATCTGGGGCCATTAAGCTTTTTTCAGGGATATTTGCCTGTTTCCATGAAAATCCTTTTCCAGAGTACGGCAGCCACAGCTGATGCTAAAAATATGGATAAAATTTGGTTTTAGTCAGTGTACTTCTTACATGGGAATTGTTTAATCCCTGAAGAAGCTTTCTAGCTTCTGAGCCAAGATGCTGGAGAATTAGACTTCTTTTCCCATAAATGTTCTTTCACCTAATCTGTAATTAAAAGGCTGGCCCCATTTGGTACCAAGCTAGGGGTGTCACTCCTTAGGTTGTACAAAGAAGAGAAACTTAGAGAGAACCTTGCTTTGTGTGCTCTGTCTAATGGGAGCTGCTGATTTAAAACGCTCTCATTGAATTATATATAAATCCATTGGTATTGTAAAAACAGGCAAGGGAAAAGCTCATTCAAAACATGAGACACCAAGGGAGACTGCTTGTCTGATTGGAAGGGTGTTGTCCGAAGGACCTAGGAAGAACCATAATTGCCATCATTCCCAAAAAAGAAAATTACAGAGATGGTATAGATTTGATCTGTCTCCTCATGTGTATAAGTGAATAAAACATACACCTGTTAGAGACTTTTTAACAGAAAGATTGCAGGTGACCAGGAATCGAGGATCTTTACTAATTTATTAAGAAACCAAAATCAAGATTCTAAAAGGATCAGGTCACCAAGACTGCAAAGTGGTCAGGATGCTCTGTTTCTCCAGGGCTGTAGAAGAGAATGTAGGGGTGCGAGTGATGGTCATAAGAAAAAGCTCCTGCCTACAGGCATATAGAGAAAGGGCTCTAATTTCTTTAAAGCAGTGGTTCTCAAAAGTGTGGTTCTCAGTCCAGTAGCACCAGCATCATCTAGGAACTTATTAGAAATGTAAGTTAGCAGGCCCCACCCAAGACCTGCTGAATCAAAAACGTCTAGTGGCTACAGGGTGTGGGGAAGTGAAGTCCAGCAATCTGTGATTTAAGCCCTATAGGAAATTCTGATGCATGCCAAAGTTTGAGAACCACTGCCTTAGAAACTTTCCCTTTCACCCTCAAATTCATTCATTTTAATCTTTCAGGTGCTTAACATACAAGTAGGCACCATGCCACTATTTTCTGAAGCCATATATCCCTTGTCTGAAAAATGAACCCAGCACTTATGTGTCAATGATGTATGTCTCCTGCTAAGCCCAGATCAGATTCCTCAGGACTGCTTTACTCTTGGGTTTGTTTATTTGAGGAGACCACCTTCCTCACAGGATTTCTATTCTACAAACCTTCACATAGCAAAAGAAGGGGGCAAGGATTTGTGTGAATTTCTTAAGTTCAACAAGATCTTCAAATAAAGAAATAAACTTTTTTTTTGTCAAAAGCGCTTTCATCCTTTGTGAAGCTTCTGGATGAGAGGCAAGTTGACATGAAACTTGGATTCTTAATATCCTGACAAGGTAGGTGTAGGAGAAAAGAACTGCATCAGTCAGAAATTCTCATTTGAACCTGTGGCTTTTTGTTTTGTCTTGGTGATGTTTCTTTTTAAATAACTTGTCAATTTCCCAAGTAAGAATTGTGTATAATTTCATAGTCTGCTTAGGATAGGACCAGAATAATGATGACTCTGAATAGTATGCTCACTGAGGTCTTGCGGCACGTACATGCTTATAGGATCGGGGCCCGGCCTCTGCTGCAGAAGCATCGACGGAGATGTGATCCCCCGACACCTCTCTCGGTTTATTCCCCAGGCATCTGATGAGAACGTGAAGTAGAGCCTGAACTTTTAAAAAAAACTTTCACCAGTCTTGTTACTTGGTCAGCAGAATTAATGAGCAAAGTGCAGGGCATGTTGTATGCCAAGTTCTGAGGGAAGAGATGAAAGAACCGGAGTTCAAATGCCAGGCCCCGAGCAGTTCAAAGTCTTTTCGTGCTTTTCAAAACGAGATGGACCAGAGAATGTGGCATGTGGTTTCTGAAGAAAGCACAGGACTGATTAAAGGGAAAGGAAGGCAACTAACCTTTTTTATTCCACGGGGCCCTGAAGATCTGGCCCAAAGGCAGGCAGTTGTTTTTCTTTCAGCCCTGCATATTTGGGGACACAGCCTGACAGCAAGAATTCCCATCTGGTCTTTTGTTCAAACCTCAGACAAATCCCTGCTAACTGTTGCTTGAAGCAGGAGGATGGAGGCCATAGCCCGAGGGAAACACCTTCCAGCGGTATCTTCTTGGGTGACACATCCCTTGTTTTTAGGTACACATTTGCATCTGCCAGTCACCTACATAGGAGCAGTCCTCTCAAAATGTAGCACTCTAATTCACTAACAGGGGAATTGCCAGTGCTGTAATGGAAGTGAAATTCTCCATGCTGTAAGGAATCCCCTGCCAATTTCCTCTCTGCTTAAACAGTGGGATTTTGCTTCAGACCTCCTGGGTAGTAGCTGACCCAGGAATTCTTGGAAATTCCAGAAGAGAATATCCTTCAGTTGTCACCTGCCTGTGCCGGGAGGAGGTGCTGAGGCTGCACCCACTGCAGGGCGCTCTGTCTGTGGTCCCCCAGGGCCAGCTTTGCTTGTCATCTCCATACTAAGACAAAAAGTACCCTGTAATGGGTTTTATTTTGGGGGGCAGGGAAGAGATGGAAATAATTGACTTGTTTGGTTTTTAGGAAAGGCACAATTTATTGTGTAAGGACTTATATGATACCTTGGGTTTACTTTTTAAAAAATAATCAAAATGTTTCAATATATCTCTGCTTTTTGGTTATGAAGAATATTTCATTGTACTTTTCTTTTTACCATATATAATAATTTGCAATATGTCTTTGGCTATAATTCTGCAGTATCTACAATAGAATTCTGGGTGGGGTGTTCACTCTTCTTGATCAGTTGAATCTTAAAGGGGAAAAGGAGTTCACTGGAGCAAAACTAAGATGCTGATAAAAATGAAAATCAATTTTGTTAATAAATTCAAAAATAATGACAGATTTATTGAAGCATTCATTCTAGAAGATCGGCATCCTGCTCTGAAGCCTGTGAAGATAATTTTTGATAAAAATTCAAATTTATTGTTGTTTAGTCTGCCTCCTACTGAAATGAAGCCAGACTTTAAAATCCAGATCTGTTCTTCCTTTTTCTCTTTCTCTCTCTCTTCCTCCCTCCCTCTCTCTCCCTCTCTCCTTCTCCCTTACCCTTTTCCACTCCCTTCCTCCCTCTCTCCCTCCAGGTTGACTCTGTGGGGCGGGATAGCGTTCGCAAGAAATAAAAAGGAGAAAGGAAAGAGGAAGGCTGTCCTAGATTGTAAGGCCTCAGATGGCAAAACCCGATACGTTTTAGTATTGTGAGAGTTAATAAGTCAATGCATGCAAGGCACTTCTGACTTTACTTACAGTGTTGAGCATCTAGTAAGTACTCAATAAATGTTAACTCTGCTTGTTATCTTAGTCATCCTCCAACACGTGGCCCTGGGCCTTTCCCCAAGTACGTAATCAATAAAAGTCTGTGGACTTCAATTCATATTCCCCTTCTTCTGATCTTAATGTTTTCGATGCCTTTGTCCCAGAAGTTGATAGGAGGATGATAACCCTGAGAACATTTGCTCTAATTAAATTGAAATGGCAAGTATTAAAGAGGCATGTTCAAACAAAATGTTCAGAACTTTATACGTACAAAATTCAGTGTCACATGGCGAACAGGCCATGGCCCAGAGAGCTTTAACCCAGCACTGTTTTGATTATCTACATTTTGTATGTCCAAGGTGCTGTGGACCCAGGGCACACAGAGTTAGTTAGATACAGGGTACCCAGTTCTCTAGGGTGTAAGACTCATTTGAAAAAAGTGTTTTCAGTTAAAAATATTAGGGATGTCCTAAAGCTGGTAAATTAAATTTATTATAAACCAAAATGAACATCACTACATAGTGTATGTACCTCACCCAATATTTGATGAGTGTACTTTGAACACAAATGTTAGAAGAGTAAAACTAAAAAGTCCCTTGCTCAGTAGACAATCATTATGCCTTTCCATAATACACAAACAAATGTTTTTGGATTTTAACTGCATTTCATTTAAACTCTGAGCTCCTTATAGGAGCAGACACTCTAAATTATGAAGAGTGTTTTTCTGAGCTGTCAATTTTTCATGAAAATTCACCATAACATAGGTACAAAGGAATTTTTTTTTTTTTTGAGACGGAGTCTTGCTCTGTCACCCAGGCTGGAGTGCAGTGGCATGATCTTGGCTCACTGCGAGCTCTGCCTCCCGGGTTCACGCCATTCTCCTGCCTCAGCCTCCCGAGTAGCTAGGACTACAGGCACCCGCCACCACGCCTGGCTAATTTTTTGTATTTTTAGTAGAGACGGGGTTTCACCGTGTTAGCCAGGATGGTCTCGATCTCCTGACTTAGTGAGCCGCTCACCTCGGCCTCCCAAAGTGTTGGGATTACAGGCATGAGCCACCACGCCTGGCCCGGAATTTTTTTTTTTTAATTTCACTAAGAATTCAAACAAGGACTTTCCAAATCTTTCAGCCACTAAATCAAATTAGGAACTCATAATTAGGTTTGGTTGGAACTAGCAGTATCAGCCTATCTGAATAGTTATATATGTAGCTGGAAGATTTATGTTAAAAAAAAAATAAGTAATAAAAATAATAATAATAGGGCTCTCTGACCATCCCATTGATTTCTTTGAATAGCAGGACAACCTATTTTTTCTGATTAAGTATTTTCTGGGTGGTAGTACTTCTGAAAGATCCTTAAAAATGCCCATCAGGAAGATTATAATCAGGCACAAGCTTAAGAAGAGGCTCACTGTTACCCCATCACCAGCCAGGCACAGAAGAAGGAGAGGGTTACTAAATACCAGACCAGGGTGCAGCAGCTGACTGAAGGGGCCAACTGCAAGGGGCTCTGTCATTCACACTGGTAGAAACTTCCTTTTAGGAAGCACTGAATGTAACTGAAAGCAGGCTCACCCGAGATTGGCTCAGAACTTGGCAGAGGGACAAGAGAATTCAGACACTGAAAGTGAGATGGCTCAGTCTGAGGCCACATGCCAGGATCTGAGCTCCGGGCGCCAGCAGACCCCAAGGGCAGGGGTGTCTGTGTTGAGTGGAAGCATAGAAGGATAAGCTGTTTTCACATGTAATGACAGCCGAGGGCACCATCTCCTGAAAGAGAAATAGACCAGTGGGGTGTGTCCATCACTGACCACTGAATTAAAGACAAGCATTTTCTCTTCTGGGAACCCAAGGGGGCCAAACAAGGAAATGTGATGAATCAGAACTAATGTGGCTTAAAGATGATAAAAGAAATCTTGCAAGGTGGGCTGAGTAGCCTGCTTTCTTCCTAAACTCTAAACAGAGTTTCATTTGCAAAGGAGCCAAGGCTTTCCTGTTTCTTTCCTTTTTTTTTTTTTCTTTTAATCTTGCTAATCTTGCCCAAGGAATTCAAATAAATATTTATTTTGGGTGGATTTTTAAGTTCCCTAATTTCATGTGCAGTTACAATTCCCTTTCCGTAATGGATATGCTTCTGAAAAGTGTAGAATTTTTTTTTTTTTTGTAAATTGCTTCACCTTTTAAATGCAGGAAAACAGATGCTATTTAAATTGATCCTGTAGCAGAAGATTCCATTTCAATGGAAGCACTCCTTCTGCCCAACCAGACTGTGTTTGTTTTGTAAATTCACACTTGGAGCCTAAACTGTCTTTAAGCTTAGCCCCTTTATAATCCTATTTTTATGTAGCACCTATCAATGCCATGATTCTTGACATCTCTCTCATATGTGCACAAACTTTCCATAATCTGGTATTTTATGTAAGATTAATCTGTGTTGCTGACATTGGTGTCTACAGGACCAAGGACTTTCCCTAATACTCTTAACTACTCAACTGTGCCACACCTCGGTGAAATTCAGCTGAGGCCTAGCTGAAGTTCTTAAACAATCCATACCTGTTTGATCCTAGCTTAGACCTGGGTGGGGTCTCCACAAAGTTTCCTGCATGACAGCCCAGCATGTTCCCAGCTCCTGTCAGGCCCTGGCTTCTTGCTTAGTGCTATGAGTCCCTTGAGCCTGGTGGAGGGCTTGAGCTGATGGGCAGTTGGCAGGGAGAGGAGGAGAATGAGGACATGAGCAACCAATCTTCACAAAGGGAGAGCCACTGACGCCTTGACCTGGGAAAGGTTAAGACGCATGACCAGGGAGTAGTACAGGGTCACTGCACCGCCGCCTGTGTGCAGCCCAAAGTGCCCTGATGCTTATTGACTGCCAGGAACACCATTATCTACATTACAGTTTATTATGTGTTCTGGGCATTTCATTCCGGTAAGGTTTGATGCAGGATCATTACATAGGAGAGTGGATTTAATCCTGTTTCTGTAGCAGGCTTGAAGGACACTGAGGGAATATTTATGTAATAAGATGCAAAGTTGCTATGGAAAGTACTATAGCAACCTAACGTCTTAGCAGAGCCAAGCAGCCACTTGTAACAGCAATCCAAATTTACATTTATTTTAGTGTCATTTTATCGACACTCTTAGTATCTCATTCTGACAGGATGTTAAAATATGTTTTCAGCTTGCGTTTGAGCAAAATTAACACAGTGTTGTTGGAATTTAAGTGCGGTTTGCACAACTTCTAGAAAAAATCAGGATATTTTTTGAAGGAGTTTAGATGACAGAATCTGGGCAACTTTGTAAGCTTTTTATTGTTGTTGTTCTTTCCTAAACACAGGAGAGAATTCTTCAGTAGAATTTATTCCTGATTTTCCGTTTTCATTTATAAGCAATACTCAGGAATCTCTGATTTTGAAAAACGGATTACCCTTTACAACATCGATGAATTTTGTCAAATGCTCACCTGTGATTCTAGCAGATGCTCATAGAAAACACTTTCAGTAGGTCACCTCATTGCGCTCTAGCAGCATGTAACATTTTAAAAAATGAAAGTTGTTTTTTGAATAAAAATAATACCTGGTCATTTTTGAAAACCTAACAACTAAGAATAATGAATAAAGAAGAAAACAAAATTGTGTTATAACATTACAGAAGAATGTTTTGGCTTCTAATTTTTTTCTTTTGCACAGTTAACTACATAAGTATTTTTCCGTGTATTTTTTAAGGCTCAGGAATAAAATTCTACATGATTTTGGTTTCAGACAAGAGTCCTTGTGTAACAAGCAAGCCTTTGTTAAAAGTTTTCTTTTTATATATTAATGGAATAGAAAATAGAGAACAAATAAGTTTGTATTCTTCCTGGATCATAGGCTCTTTCCTGTGGACCTTTGAGAGATGAAGCTAAAATCTTTGAGGTGGTCAGAGTAGATTCCTGAGGTTATTAAAAGCATGGTAACTGGGCCAGACCTTCCAAAGGCATCTTTTAGGTCCCTTGAATGTGAGTATGGCAGAGAAGCTATATATATGTAGGCCAGTTGGTAGTGGAAAAATAGTATCTATTGATTTTCTTCTCTACCTCTCCATCTGAAATCTTGAAGTGTGACTGTAACATTGTTAAAGTAGGACACTGGCCAAAAGAATCAGTACTAGGCCACATTAAAACATACACTGTTACCAGCCTCTTAGCACAGTGATGTGCTGTTGATGAACATCATTGTCCTAATTCTCCTCTGCTTTTATACTGTATTGTTCATCAAAACACAGTAGGTGACATAAAGCTATTATACCTTGACTCCTAACACTGTTGCACATGAGCTTCGTTAATCGAAGACTTGAAGATGCTAGGGATACTGCATGAACACAGAAAATGAAGACAGGATGATGTCTTGTAGAATTCTAGTAACCGTAGGTAGTTAAGAGCCACATAACTAATTTAAAAAGTAAGTACTTCCTTCCCTTTCTTGGAAATTCTACTTGCCATTATATGATACTTAGAAGCCCTGGAAATTGAAGTTTATAGGAAATTATTATTATAGTAAGCTCTCCCACATCTAAATGGCTTAGAGACCCTTCTCTTTCACTTGACTGAATGCTCTTGATATCAAAGAGGGAGCAAGAGCTCAGCAACTCTTCTCCCCAGTTCCAGGACACAATGTGTGAAGCCTTCTAGGAAGTGGCTAGAGAAAGAAAATTTTATTTTAGACTCCCATCACTAGCAGAGAAGTAGGAAGAACATTTCTGGAGCAAAAGTTACAAGACAGAGTCTATTAATTGTAGCATTTCCGGCAGGGCATTGCAGGGTCTTTAATGAGCCCCCTTTAAGTTCTAGAGCTGCTGTGTCCCAAAGGCCCTTGCTTTCTACTTGGGGCATGCTGGTCATTGCAGCTCAAAGCAGTTACCTAAATTATCAGTTCTCAGAATTAATTTAGAAACATCTAAACATTGAACACTAGGGTATTGATTAATTAATGTATATCCATGAGCAGTCTTGAAAGAAACCATGGTTTAGACTATATAATGGAATGAAAGAAAGTTCTCAATATGTTGTGAAGTGATAAAAGCAGTTACAAACCAGCATGGATAATTCCAATTGTGTGTGTATGTGTTATATTCACAATTTATGTTAGGGGAAAATCTGTGAGGATATAGGTCAAAATATTCAGACTGATTATCACCAGATGGTGTAATTACAAGTGATTTTTTTTCTGTGCATTTCAAAAATGTCAATATATGCATGTATTATTTAAATAATTAAAACTACAATAAATATTAATTTATAAATTACCTAGGAGAATCTATGAAAAAATCCATGTTGATTGAGGAATACTCCCTAGACATTTTCAGTCATTCTGGAAAGTCAAGAATAGTAAGGAATAGTAACTAGTATCAGATAATGATAGTTTATTGAATTGCCTTCTTTTGCTTTAAATTAGGGAATTTCCACATTTAACTCACCATAATATGCTTACCTTCCCAGACCACATAATCTTATAATTTCTTATTCTAAGAGCTAATCATATTGGTATAAATATTAAATAATGGATCCAAGAAATAATTCAAGTTCTAAACCAGGCAGAAATGTTGAGTTCTTACCCACAGAGAGATTGGCAATGATGAGAAGTTATGTTATTTACCCAAGATCGTAAGTGGAAAGCCTAGAGCTCAATACTAGCTTTCTCCTTTTCAGGTTAATGACCCTGTTATGGCACCAATGAATTTTATGGGAAAAGGACTCCAGAATCTCTTTCAAATGCCTTCAGTGATACCATAAGAGTCAGTAACCAAATAAAATCAACGAAGGATTTTGAGTGCCTGCAGTGTACATGGTGCCATAATGCCTTTTAGAGGCAAAGGTAGCCTGGAGATGCTTATTACCTTAAAATGTTAATCCAGACAAAGCCGACTGGGGCTTCTGCTTGGTCTTCCCGTCATTTTCTGTATTTTCCCACTACCTAGAAGGAGATTTGCTTCAATATAGGCAACGCACCCAGCAAACTCTTTTTAAGCCCATCCCAACAGAAATGCCACCCTTAAAAATTATTCTGGAAATTGGTACCACCCATTTGCTAATTGAGTGACATTTATTTCCTGAAAGCAGAGTCTGCTGTATGGCTTTAGACAAGAAAAAGAAGAAAAGAAAATGCTTTGAAGAGGTGAAGTGCATAGGGATGTTCACTGCTGTGTTATGTGTTTCCTTTGGTAACCATACACACTGTCACAACCCATGTTTTCCATTTCATAAGTCCCCAAAAAGATAAAGAGAAAAATGAAGACGTTCCTCAAACCTCAGGCACATGCTTGATGGTTGATCTGAAATGATCTGAGCTACAATATCAGCCCTTTGATTTCCCATCTCATCCCATGTTTTCTTTGCACCCCCAGGGTCTGGGAGAGCCTACCTGAGGATCACCAGTTTATTGACTCACCATCTAATTTCAAGACTTATTGAAGTGCCTCTCCCTGTTTCTCTATTCCCGAGGCTTTTCTTTATGAGATGTGCCTCCAATATAGCTTTAAAATAAGAGTCTGAGGGACCTCATCTACAGTAATATCAATCTTCTTGAGATTCACAGACTCAGGGAAATTCTGATCTTGGAAGTAATATGTCTTCTCCCTTCCCCCAATGTCCTAAATTAATGAGAAAAATGAATTTTGGTACCCCCAAATAATGATCAGGTGAGCTGCTGAATAAATACAAGTTTATATTTGATACTTGTGATTTTTTTGTGATTACAAGTTTTCAGGCACAACTTAATCTACAACATATATTTAGAAGATATTTTGGAAGTACCATGAGAGATTTTATTTTTCTTGTAGTGATTTACCAGTCAGTTGTTTATGAAATGTCTCCACATGCAATACTAGACTTTTCTAGTGTAGTTTATCTACCGAGCCTCCTAAAGCCATCCATTTCTCTACCCTTAATCCTTTGCCTCCACGAATTGTCTTAAACAATGTCATAATACAAAGCAGTGATAAAATTAAAACAACAAATATTCAGTAAATTCTCACAATGTGTGTGGGACCATATCCTTTGTCTTCTTTACAGTGCCAGATTAAGGGGAAAGAATAGCTAACAAAGTCTTGAAAGACTGAGACACTGACTTGGATCTGAAAGGGTTGCTTCTCTCCTCTGAAAAATCCTCGTAGCATAACATCAGTTCGGCTTTTCTTGGAATAGTGTCAGATCACAGGTCCTCACAGTCTCTGCCCACTGTGCCCTCCGAAGTCATAGCCAAAAACTAGTAGATAAACTCTAACATAAAGAAGTGTGAGAGCATAAACTTGAACATAAAGAATGCCCAGCCCACTACATTGTACATGGTAGGGGGGCAAGATTTTGTTAAATGAATGGATAGGAAATTAAAACTAGGAAGAACTAATTTTTAATCTGTTGGGGGATATTTTTTTCATTTTGAAGAAAAAAAAAAAACCCTATTACCTATTTAATCCTCACAGTACTGACTACATTTTTTGGATAAGGACCCTGAGGTCTCTTGGAGGTTTAGTTTCTTGCCCTAAGCCTCATAGCTGGTATCTGGCTTCAGAGCCCCTTCTCTTTCTCTAGCACTCCTGTGCCTCTCTCCTCTATATAATCCACGTCCACTCGACTCTTTGAGGTTGGCAGGGGTAGATATGTGGGATGCAGAGCACTATGTTATGTCGAGTGTGTCTCTCAGGGTGACTGTGCCTCAGACACACCCAGTAGTCCCCAAAGTATCACCTGTGTGTGGTGCCCCCTCCCCTCTGTGGAATTCTGCTTCCATCATTATATATCAGACACTCTGTATGTTACTCTTTTTGGTAGGAAGAAGGTGATGTTCTTTCAGGTCATTAAAATGTGGGGGACTATGGCAAGCAGAAGGATGGGGCTAAGAGGAAGATGAGTAAATGCTTTTTAAACAGCTCTACCTTTTTTTCTAATTGAGAAACAGAGCTGTTTGGGCAAGTTTATGAGGTGACCTTGATTGAATTAAAGAGGTAATGACTGAAGCTTTTTTCTGTAGAACTAGGTTGCAATTTTTGCAAATGATAAACTATATGTTGATTTAATTTTCTCTTTCTTTTTTCTTTCTTTCTTTTCTTTCTTTCTTAGTAATTGAAAGTCATTGGGTTCTTGGACTTTGAAATAGGAAATAAAATTTAAAATGGACTTTTTGACCCTTCTACGTAACACTTAGGCTCCTAAGGAATATTGTAATTGATGCTGGATCATCAGTGTCATGTTAACAAAGCACTTTAGATGAAACTACCCATAGTCCCTTCCCTCTCATGTTCAATAAAAAGCTAGTAACAAGACAGCTGCCTTCTCAGAGGAATTCTTTTAACCTTTCAGAAACAAAATATTTTATGCTAATTTCTGCTTAATTGGAAGGAAGTCATTTTTAAAAAAATCATTGAATATGGGTTTGAAGTCTGTTCCATCGCTGACCTCTTTAATTCAATCAAGGTCACCTCATAAACTTGCCCAAACAGCTCTGTTTCTCAATTAGAAAAAAAGGTAGAGCTGTTTAAAAAGCATTTAGTGTTTGATTAATAGTGCTTAACTGGCACCTCAGCACTGGCAGAGGCTTTTTTTTTTTTTTTTTTTTTTTTTTTGAGATGGAATCTCGCTCTGTCACCAGGGTAGAGTGCAATGGCGTGATCTCGGCTCATTGCAACCTCTCCCGGGTTCAAGCGATTCTCCTGCCTCAGCCTCCCAAGCAGCTAGGACTACAGGTGTGTGCCACCACGCCTGGCTAATTTTTTGTATTTTTAGTAGAGACGGGGTCTCACTGTATTAGCCAGGATGGTCTCGATCTCCTGACCTCATGATATGCCCACCTCAGCCTCCCAAAGTGCTGGGATTACAGGCGTGAGCCACCACGCCCAGTTGCAGAGGATTTTTAAGGAGGCTCTGGTAAGAATAAAACATTGCTACCTGAAAAACTATACTCACCAGAAACGCAAAACAAATTTTAATGAACAAAGCAAAAACTGTTTTTTTGTGGGGATGTGAGAAAGGTTATCATGCTCAATATATAGAGGGTTTAAATGTCTGAACAACTCTTTCCCAGGGAAAAATTGCTGTAATTTATCCATCCAGACAGTTTATAAAATACATGCATTTTCCCTGCCCAAGGACTCCAAGACTAATGCTGAGTTTGTCAAAGCAAGATTTTGTGGCACTCGAACTCTGGGGATAAAAAGAAGTGATGATGTGTCCAGTTGAAGAATGTGAACTGAAGCCATCTGAATCACTGAAATATTGAGAATTCCGAAAATAAGTCCTTGGCTTCCTTCTGCGTTTCCTCTCCACTGTCGGGCCTTACTAAGCACTGCCAAGCTCACTATGATACTCTCTTTGGAAGAGAGGCTCATCTGGGTGGTAAGAGTGTTAGAATGGCTCTGAGAAAGGGACCTCTATGAGTGAGAACAAGTGTTGTTGGCAGGGGGAGTTTAGAGTCAGTGAGTACAGTAAAGAAGTAACTTTGAGCCTGGGTACAGTGACTCACACCTGTAATCCCAGCACTTTGGGAGGCCGAGGTAGGCGGATCATTTGAGGTCAAGAGTTCCAGACCAGCCTGGCCAGCATAGTGAAACCCTGTCTCTACTAAAAATACAAAAATTAGCCAGGTGTGGTGGCACACACCTGTAATCCCAGCTAGATGGGAGGCTGAGGCAGGAGAATCGTGTAAGCCCGGGAGGCAGAGGTTGCAGCGAGCCAAGGTCACACCACTGCACTCCAGCCTGGGTGACAGCGAGACTCTGGAAAAAAAAAAAAAAAAAAAGTAACTTTGAGCAGATGAGGTCAGAGGGCCCTTGAAGTACCTTGGTTTTATTTCTGGCATGGCTTGGCAAATAATATCCCTTCACCAAGCCTCAGCTTTCTCAGCAATGACATGAGGCTCATCCTGAGAGTTCCTCAATAAGACTGTGAGAAATAAACAATTAAGGGATTCTGTGGCATTTTGCAAATACCAGGCACTGTGGCAATGTGGAGAGTTGATGCTGGTGTAGAGCAGAAGGTGTGAATGTGTGGTTCACAGCCCCGTCTGCACATGAGAATCACCTGGGAAACTTTATACACATACCAATGGCCGCAGGTTAATGCCCAGGCATCGGTGTTATTAAAACAGTCCCCAGGTGATTCGCTGCACAAAGGATTGAAAACCACTGGCCTGTAATGTGAGGATGATGGCTGTCATATAGTGCTTAACTGGCACCTCAGCACTTGCAAAGGCTTTTTAAGGAGGCACTGGTAAGAATAAAATATTGCTACCTGAAAAATTATACTCACCAGAAATGCAAAACAAATCATTTTAATGAACAAAGCAGAAACTTTTTTTGTGAGGATGTGAGAAAGGTTACCTCTTTTCCCACCTATTAGGTGGGAAAGAAGGACAAAACGGGTTGAGGTGAGGTAAAGTAATGTGGGAATGAGAAGAAAACAAAAATGGAGTAAAGTATAAAAATCTGTAGTGGACAGGAAGTGACTGACATAGGCAATGATAAAGGAGCAAAGAAAGGAGAAGTGAGAGGGAGGTAGTTTAAGTGGAGCGTGTGAGACCCAGGTGGAGAAGTCCCCTCACAGGTCTGTGTCGGGCACATTTGGAGTATCCTCTGGTTCACTGGAAAAAAGGGCGGCTTGAAAAGGGAGGGCAAAGTGTGGAGGGTGGCCTGATATGAGTGGTGATGCAAGCCAAGGACAGAGTCTCTGCCTTTCTCTACCTCTAGGAGAATAGACAGGAACTGTTTGCTCATCCGTCAGCAGTGAGAGAGGGAAGCAGGCATGCCTGGCCACTCGCCAAGGAGAAAAGCCTCTGCGAATCTAGAGACTGGTGTGGTAAGCATGTGTACATGGGAGGGGCCTCCTCTCCCACAGTGAAAAGGCTGTTCCCGGGGCCCGGTCAAGGGCAATTAGTTCCAGAGGTTCAGCCTGGCCTCTCCTGGGTGCAAGCCACAAGCCTGCCATAGCAGAAACTTTCTCCAGACATATGGCTGCAAAGAAAAGTAATGCACAACAACATCGAGCAGTTGAGGACAATGTGTTTTGGAGACACTGCCTGTAGGATTTACGCAAGCATTCAGTCACAGTGTCATTCCTGGAGAGGCAGGAGGTAGCATTCAGCAAGGAGCAGGCCGATAGGTTAATGGAATGTGAGAAGACATGGCAGAGGCAGAGAAGCCCAGAAGGCTGTGTTGGGTTGTAAAAGCAGGAGAGAAGGTCCTTTCAGCTGTTGGAAAAGGCTGAAAGAAAGCAAATATGAAAAACTAATGAAAGAAATCTAAGACTAGAAGAAAGTCATGAAGAAAGCATTAGGAAGTGGGGACCTGGTCCCTAAAGGCCAGGGAGGTGGCTCTAAAATGTTGGCATGCATCAGAATCACCCTAGAAACTTGCTGAAAGGCACATCCCTGGGCCCCATTCCAGAATCTCAGATTCGTAACATCTGGGATGAGTCCCAGGTTTCTCATTTAAGAGATACCAAAGTGGTACAGATACCTCAAGATGCCAGCTACCTGTTCATACTGGGTCCTCCCACCTTGGTTATACATTTAGAGAGGATGCAGATACTTTCTATCCTATTGCCAGACACAAGTAAGTGTTCATAAGTCAATTTCAATGTTGGTAATGAGAACAGTGGGGAGGAGGAGGCTCAGAGACAGCCCAAGCAGAGTCATTGCCCAAGCATAAAAGTGAAGTCTTGGTGCCCACTTACTAGTCTGGATAGTTAGGGTTTACCTAAGGCGGAAGTAACTTTCAAAAAAAGTTTTCTGTTCAACCCATTATTGCAAGTATTTGGCACTATAAAATAAAAACTTTACAAAAAAAGATGCTACTCCTTGCAAAGAGCAATGCATAGAACTGAGAAGATATACTTTAGGTTTGAGCTGGCCATCATTTCACATTTCATAGTGTGGATGTGTTTTATATGGTAGAAGCACCAATTCAAATACTAATATAACTGTGTGTGTGCGTGTGTGTGTTTCTATGTAGAGGGTAGAGCAGGAGAGGGGAAATACACTTCTTAAGGGGAAAGTTTCTTGATGAAAATTAGAAATGACCACTTGTTAAAAAGGAAGGACATTTGTAAGATGGGAGGAAAAAGAGATCACTGCTTTTATACTGTAGATTGGTGAGAAAATGAGAGGAGTTGTTTTGGAGGGAAGGATTGCTGTTTAAAGTTTCTGTCTTTGGCCAAGACCAACTACTGTCAGTTAGGATGAAGTCACACAGAGCCAAGCCCATGGTGGAGTACTACACCCAAGGGAGGTGCACTGTCTGCAGGGGAGGGGGTACAATTCCTGAAAGCCAGTGTCATTTTATTGTCTAGCTTGGCTTAGCTAAGCCTGACTTTCCTAAAAAAGAATCTTTAAAGCCTTTAGAAGATTTTTTTTAAATGGCCCTATAATCTTGGAAATCAAAATAGGGACTGAAAGTGAAAAAGAAAACTAAAATCGAATTAAAAGAAAAGGAAGAGTGGGGAAAAGTGCCCCCTCCTGAGATGCTCCTGCCTGGCCTTGGGGCTCAGTAGGAAGCAGCCTGCTCGCCTCTCCATAGCCATGGCACATCCTCCTGGAGATCGCCGAATCTTTTGGTAAAGCAGTGTCCACTGTGCAGCAGTCCCACTCTGCTTTCCTTCAGCTTTTCAATGTGTGAGCTCAACCACTGCCTTCCATAAAGAGCCTCCCCCAGCTCTTATGTTCCAGCCAGAAGCCTTCTCTCCCTTATTTGACTCCCACTACACAGTGTGAGGATGGCCCCTCCTGGAGCCCTTCTAACCAGTTTCTACCAGGTTCCATATCTGTAGCTCTTCCTGCGGCTGGGCTGGGAGCTGCGCAGGCCAGGCTGGGCAGGGGCTGAGAGCTCTGCTTCCCTGCCCTGTCCCCGGCTTGGCTTAGAGTAGGGAGCTCAGCTCATGCTTGCAGCGTTCACTTCTGATGTGTTTCCCGGAGGACTCTAAAGGCATCCTCACCTGACAGAGCATCCTTCAACAGTGTTTTAAATGACAGACTTATCCTGCTTTTGCAAGAAGTGAACATGTCTCTTTCCTTTGCTTATTTTCCTCTGAGGAAAATGGGGATGGTTTTGGGTCGGAGCAGAGGATAGTAATGTAAATGGAAAAGTGATGAGGCATGATGTGAAGTCTCCATAGTGGCAGCAGCCCAGCAGCACCTCCTAGTTCTGCTGCTGGTGCAGAGTACTTCCTCAGGAAGAGCTCTCTGGAGGAAGGAGCAGAGAATTTTTTTTTCCTGAGTCACCTGCTGCCCATTGTGCCTCCAGACTCACATTTAAGCCATCATCGTAACAGGATCTAGCTTACCCTGCACTCCCGAAATTACCCTTATTCCGCTGGCCTCACACAAAGATGGAAATAGACACTGCATTGTGCTTCTGTTTAGCTTTCCCTAATAATAGCTAATGTGCAGATTCGAATACACACTGCACATATGAAATGTTATGTCAATGCTAAGTTGTAATAATAATAATCCTGCAAAAATGTAGCAGAAGAAATTTCCGTGAGCAATTTGAGGAAGATTGATCAGTGGTGATACAGGTATTATTGAAAAGCAGATCAATTGTACTTTGTTGGTACCATAAGAGGCTCTCCAGCAGGAGACTGGCTGTTGGCAGATGTCATCCTAGGATACTTTCCAGCTCTGTGCCTGGCCACTGGGAGGCACTGATGGCAACAGCAGCCACTGAGAATGAGGCTACCAATGATGAAGGACCCCAAGCCTCTGTTAATCTTCTGACATGGTACTGGTCCTTGTCTTTGGCCTTCATTAGCCCAAGCAAAGTAGACTCAGGGGACAGAGTTCATGGGAGGTCAGCATAACGCAGAGGAGTTTCTGTCACCTTTATTCTAACTGAAGGCACAGACACCTTAAAAATCAAACATAGGTGAGTTCAGATGGATGGGGTGAATAGTCTCATACTGGATCTTTGGGAATCCTGAGATCAGCATGGGTCTATGGACAAAACTCTCTCAATAAAGCATTATTAGCAACTCAGGCTCTTGAGCTCTGGGATTAGTGGGTATCAGTGTGGCCGTTTGAGAGGAGAGGGACACAGGGCAGAAAGTAGGATCCCTAAGTGGTTCCAGCCAGGCCTCAAGATTTCCTGAAGAGTGAGTTTAACTTCTCCATAAATCATCCCCAAGTTTGTCCTGCAGAAAATACCTGCATGTTTATTTTAAAACAGGATCATCCTCTCTGCTTTCATAGCAGAGTCTCTCTCCAGCAGAACACTCCCCAGATAGAGCCAGAAATTGAATGTTTTACTTCTGTTAGGAGCAAACTAGCCACTACAGTAGGGTCCCTGGTTTACTCCTTTCTCTGGGATGGGCGGCACTTACATGGAGCTAAGCTAGCCTGGTGGCATTACATGGAGGAATATAGTCCTAGAGCCACACCTTTTACCTCCAACCAGCAACCTCTGTCTCCCATAAACTCACTTCCATCATCTGGAAAATAGAAATAATAATCATATTGACTGTATCATGTTTTCATGATGGTGAAAGGATACTGTGTAAAGAATATGCTTACCTCAGTGCCTGGCACATAAAAATCATTAGCTGTCACTACCACTGTTGCTATTCCCATTACTGCTACTGTTATTTGAAGAAAGCAGAATAGTGACTGTGCCTTTTGCCCAAATCTTCCATAGGAGATAGCCAGGGCACGGGGCAAGCTGAGCTCATGGGACCTGGGCACAGGGATGCAACAGGGCTGCCTTCCCAGGTGCAGAACATGGAGTCGGGGCTCATACAAAAGGAGATCAAGGAATAAAACCAGAATGACAAGCCAAGCATGTGGTTCTTTCAGAAGCATTTCTCCAAACAAGCCAACCACAACCCCAGTTTAGGAATCGGGATAGAATGAGCAGCGGTCTGAGCAGTGGCTCTCAAAGTGTGGTCTCTGCACCAGCAGCATCAGCACCACCTGGGGGACTTGGAAGAATGCTAATTCTTGGGCTTCCTCCCAGACAAACTGAACTGGAAACTGAGGGTAGGGCCCAGAAAAGTGTGTTTTAATATGCCCGCCAGGAGCTTGTAATGCAGGCCAATGTTTGGAGAACACTGGGTTAGAGTAACACCAGCTGCTGTATAAAGATGGCCTAACCAAAAAAAAAAGTGTTACTTTTTGGGCACACAACAGTCCAAGGCAGATATTCTGGGCCTGTGGGCACCTTTCCTCCATGTGGTGACTCAGAGACCCAAGCCTATTCCAGCAGCAGGCAGAGACTGAGGGACTGTGCAGAAGGCATCCTCACTCCCCCTCACACTCCATTGATGAGACTGCTCACATGGCACCCTCTAGGGCAGTCACCTCTCAGGAGCAACACTGCTCTATACAAAGAGAAGCATGAGTTTGAGTACACAGCGTGATAATGTCTCTGCCACAGAATAGCTTCTAAAGGCCTCAAGGCACCTCACAAGAAGATTCAGAATGCAGAGAAGCAGATAGAAGCTGGAGAGAGTCCCTGTCACTGGGCCATAACTACAGCTCCCTTTCCTAGTGGAGCAGGAGGCAGGATCGTGGCTGAGGAGGCAGCCGTTGAAGGCACACAGATATTGTGGTGACATTTGCCAGGCCAGCCTGCCTCTGCCCTCCTGTGTTCAGGGGCTATCGGTACAACTGCCTTCCTGGGTAGCAGCCAATGAAATTCTTGAAAAAGACTTTCTTTGCATGTGGGAAGGAAATCTACAGTTCAGCAGCGTCCTTCCAGCATTTCAGGAGGACATCTGGCAAAGTGGAGGGGGAATGTTAAACACAGAGTTCCCCAAACACACAAAGACTAAGAGTTCTGGAGAAACACAGATATTGTTAGAAACGATATGTTAAAATGTTTTATTATTTAGTTACATCTTGCCTGAGCATGAAAAAGATATTAACAGACTGTCAGCTTACTGGGACATAACCCAAAACAACTTACATTTTTCATATATTGCTAACTATTTTTCTGAGGCTGGCTCAGGCTGGTAAAAGAGATTTCAAGGCTTTCTCCAGATTATTTACTTAAAGAAGTTAAGCATGGCATTATCTGTTCCCATGGAAACACAGTAAGACAGGAGACAGAAGAGGAGGTCACTTTGACCATAATTAATATAAAGAATAATGGTTTATATAGAATCTAGTAAAGAATATAACAAGATGCCGCAATACCTTTAAGCCTTTTCTTCAGCAGTGCCGTTCAACCTTTGGATTGATTTTCATACATTAGTGTCACTTTGGTCATTTTTTAGTCTAGTGCTAAGTTTTGAAGTATAACAATCTTGCCTAGCAAAATTTTTCCAATTTTATTATTTCATTTTTGATCCAATCAGAAAATTCCAGTATTCAGAATTTTTCTAAATTACTGAGTAACTAGAAATGGGTGACTGTGCTGGCCTTAAGCTTCTTGTGAATGCTACAGCTCCTCACCATGTTTTCTTAATAAATACATAAATGGGTGGCTGGTGAATTAATTGATGGTAATCCAGAGGCACCACTAGATTCAGCAGTGCCTTTAAAATCACCAACAAAATATTTAATCACATTCAGTCCGGTTGACATTTAAGGTGTCTAATTCTATTCTTTTTTTATTATCGGAAATTGGTAATCCACATGGGGTGTCTCTTACATATTCCATTTATTGGCACTCGGTGCACTCCTTAGGAATTCCTACCGAAAGATGCACACTGTACTTTTTTTTTTTTTAATCCTTATACTTATTTGGATAGTGGATTCATTGTGCAGTCTCATAAGGTAAATTTTATTATGGAAGCTTGATGACACATTTTTTCAAAACTCTTTAATTTAGTACAGTATTCCAGAAAGAAAGAAAGAGAAGAGAGAGAAATAAAAAGTTTCCCTTTCCAATTTCTGAATTTTTAATATACTGAGAAGTTATATTAAGTCAGAAATTATTAGGATTTTTTTTCTGTTAGCGCTCTGGCCCAAGAAACATAATATAGCCTCTTCCAGGCAGCCTTGTCTGAGGAATAGATTCAGGGCTGCAGTATGACACTGAGTGGTGTTTACAAACAGGTGGCCTGAAGCTAAGTGGAGTCAATATACAATTTCTCACCCTTTAGAAGATAACTACTTGCTGCCACATGAGTAACGAAAATTTTTTTGTAAAAACCAAGCTTGAAATCATTTAATCAGGAATGTAAATCAGTTATGTGCCCCAATTATAAAAATGTTGATGGAATTTGCTATGGTATTGATTTTTTTTTTTTTTTTGGTGGGGGAATTACAGCTGTTGTGGGTTTTTTTAATATGATGATATCACATTCCTATTCCGGGAATGCAAACAATATTATATACTGCTTGGCAGGCACTGTAGTCACTTGGCTTAGCCAAGAATAAGAACTCTCAGCAGTACCATTCCATAGGTTTGTAAGAGATCCCCTAAAATAATGGATGGTACACTTTCCTATATGTATTTATGTTCAGATAATTTATTTAAATAATGCTGTTGGCACATGCTTTATAGCTGCTTGCATTTTGCTATACAGATTTCAGCATATCTTGCAGACTATGCAATTCATTTGGAAAATGTAATTTCCATCCCTGCGTACTAATCGATTTCTTCACAAACACCTGCTATCAGTTATGATAATAAAAATGCCACTCTGAATTGAAAAAGGGCCAAATAGAGCTTCCTAAGGAAATGACTTAAGTGTCTTTGAATGCTACTAAATGTAGTAATGTGCCTATGCAGTGCCAACACTTTCTTCATCATTTGCATTTTCTGTGATTTTGCCCTATTACAACATCCCTCTCACAAATGAATCCTCATAACCATTTCCTTATGGCTTGGTAAACGGAGCTGTCAGGAGGTGGTATCTCAGGGTGTGGACAAGATCTGAAGCTGGGCTGCACAATGTTAAAAAGCACTGGCTCATGCTGCGGGTTATGTGCTGGATAATTTCTGATTTTATGAGTAGGTCTCTGAAAACTGTAAAAGTGGCTGCTCCTTGGTTTTGCACACACATACACCAAATGAAATCTCCTTTATTCATTCTCTTCAGCCTCCAGTTCATTCCATGCACCATTGCCAAACTAATGTTCCTAAATCCCAATTTCATCATGTCCTTCCACTACTCCAAGCGCTGTCAGTGGTTCTCAATTGGCCACTCCATTGAACCTAACCTTCCCCATCTTCTCCCATCACCTGACGTGGATTCCCTTTCTCTCACTGCTTCCAGGCAAACACTTGGCTTTTGGTCGAGTTTCTCTCCTTCTTGCCCCAAGTGTTCTACCTTTGATTTTCATATCTGGGCTTTTGCTTATGCTCTGGCTTCTGACTGAGAGACATCCTTTCCAAGTTCTTGGGGTTTTCATCTTCCAAAGCCCTCTTTTATTCCTTCAGTCTGAATTTTTATTTCTCTTCTCTGAACTCCTATAGGATGCATTTTTTTGTCATGCATCTCGACTCATTTATTTATTCATTTATTCATTCAACCAACATTTATTGAGTGTCTGCTGTATTCCAGACATCACACTATCCTTTCTTCCTTTGAAAGCAATAGTTTCTTTTTAAATGTGTCAGTTTCTACTAGATTAAGCTCTTTGAGAGAAGAGATGTATTCTGTCTCCTCTTTTTGTGGTCTGAGATGCCCTCACGGACCTGAGCACAGTAAATATGAAGTAAATGCGTGTTAAGTAATTGATCCCTACTGGCTTGAGGTAGGGAAATTTCTGGGTAATTGCATGTTCTGTCTGATTAGTAGTTCAGTGTGTACTACACAGAGATTATCATTTTGCAAGATGGAGTACTGTAAAACACTCAACTATAAAACTATTATTAACATAATTTGACATTTGATATTTGAGGAGAGAATTCACTGTGGTCTCAGAGAACCTCAGTAAAGCTTTATCACCATGGAACTGTAATGTGCAGGTAGAACACTCAGGAGGCGACCTTGATTTGGTCCTCTGACACGGGGAGCGGGGGCTGGAAACGCGCATGCACTGACGACCTGGTGTGCAGTGGGCTCCACACCGTGCCCTTATCTACTGGAAGTTACATGTTTGAAGTTTCTGGTAACAAGCGTTTCAAATTTTCTTTCACTTTTCTCTTGCTTACACAAGTGGGGAATGGCTTTTCTGTGAGGGGGAAGATTAAAGGGAGAGTGGTGGGAGAGTTGGTGGGGGAATGTGAGACTGGTTTTGAACAGCCTGGTAAGAACTAAACACATGGACCGATGGTAATCGAGAGCAGAGACTCTGGAGCCTGCAGCCTGGGTGTGAAGGCTTTCTGCTACTTACTTTGTGGGATTGGATGAGTTACATAACTTCTCTGTGCCACATTTTTCTCATCTGTAAAGATGAGCATAAGACCAGCACCGGCATCACAGGCTTGGTGGGGGTATGAAGTGAGTGAGTTCATACAAAGCTCTTGATCCAGTGCTTTATGAGTGCTCAGCAGGCTATGTTGATTTTCGGAGAGACCCCTAAGCAATAAGGTAGAAACTAGGGAAAGGGATTTCCCTACCCTCAATCTTTGTTTGGTACCATTTGTTTCTTTTTCAGTTTCGGCTATTTCTGAAGCCTTGAGATGTGTGAGACCCTGAGTTAACTGTCTTGGTTTCTTAATAAGATAGACATATGAATGAAGTCTGAATCTAAATGTGGAGAATTTGGGGTTTCAGGGAGAGGTATTAGAGTAACCACTCAGCCTTGTAGAGGAAAAGAGTTTTAATCTGTTGGTGAAACAGATGGAACTAGCTTCCCATTCTGATAGGAGTTGGAGGAAAACAATCTGTGCAATTTGTCCCAGCAGTAGAGCAGGAAGGAGTGGTGTGCATATAATTTCCTCTCTCCCCTGGGATGCTGCCGCATGTCTCAACCTGTGGAACTGCTGATTATTTGAAAGCAAGCAGCCCTCCAAGTAGCTAAGCAATCCCGTAGAAAGGGGGAAGACAATATTTAGTAGATATGATTGTTGCCTGGAATTCTAAATGTTGTCACCACCTAGCACCACATACCAATGTCTGTGAGGGTGTCTAGCATTGAGGGAGAGGTCAAGGGATGAGAATTTGGGAGGAATTAATCCTGTGCCCATAAGAAACATTCACATGTAAGACAGGACAAACAGAATAGATAAAAGTTCCGAGAGAAGTGATGCATACCGACTACAAAAGAGAGGCCCAGGGAGTGGCATTTTGCTTTTATTTCTGAGCTGGTACAAACATTAAGAACTTGGGTGACAGACTCCCTTTCCCACAGAAGGCCTCCTCAAGCTAAGCAAGAAGGTAGCTCACCTGAACTCGTTCTGTTTGTCCCTCAGCCCTGGCTGCCCAGGCCTACGCTCTGAAAGAGGAGAATGACAGTCTCCGCTGGCAGCTGGATGCCTACAGGAATGAGGTGGAGCTGCTGAAACAAGAAAAAGAACAGCTTTTCCGAACAGAAGAAAACCTCACCAAGGACCAGCAACTGCAGTTTCTGCAGCAAACCATGCAAGGCATGCAGCAGGTACCTGGCCCAGATTTTTTTTTTTTTTTTGAGAGAAAGAGATATGTGTATTAAATGAAAATGGAAAGGCAGCCGTGTGCTGGAAAGGGTGAAGGAGAAGAAATGACAACCAAAAAGCTATGTTACTAGGACAGAAAAGTGCTAATGACTGTTTGTGGAAGGGTAGAATCTGGAGAAAAGCCAAGCCAATAAAATATGTTGAAGAAATCACCCTGGAGGTAGGAAATAAAGGAAAATGATTTGGATTTAGGAGATTGAAAGGCTGCATGTGAAATATAGCCCCATGGCAAATACCTAGCAGATCCCTGCATGATACAAGCATTTTGTAATCTTAGAACTTTTAACTTCAAAGCACGACAACTGATTTTACAAAAGCAGTTTGTTTGTCTGTCTTCAAGGTTAGTGTAAATGTAAATTATATTGTTTCCACTTTTTCTGTATTACACTTAGGATCTAGTCAGGTTCTTTGAGCACATTACGTGTTTAAGAAGTGTTTGTTGATGGAATACATGAAGCATCAGAGTTTTGGGGGATAAATAACTTTAGAAACAGGGCAATAGCTGTGTTTTTGTTGAAGAGTGCCAGACCTCATCCTGGCATACTGAATTTAAAGATGTATATTTATGGCAATTGTTAAAAAGGAAATGAAAGTTGAGGGCTTTGGAGTAGGGAAAAGGAACAGGTACTGTGGGATATAAAATGTCGACAGGAGGGGAAAATCTGACTGTTGGCAGTGAGGGAATAGAGTCAAAGATTCACAGTCAGATTTGTATCTGAAAACGTCAATTGGTACCTGATATTCTTAAGGTGTTTGGGCCTTTGAGTTACCTTAGAATAACAGAGCATATATTATCATCATGGGTATTTTTAAATTATCCCTCTGAATATACAAATCCAATCAATATTTTCTGAAAAAAAAAAGATTGTTTTTATTTAAACAAGGGAAATATAAGTAGAATGATGGAAAGTTAAAATATATAGAGTCAATTTTTTTTAATTCCCCCATCCATATTGACTGCTCTGTAACATCCAGAGCATGGATTGCCTACAGAAGTATCTTAGTGATTAGAGGTAACTACTACAGATACATCAACCTAACAGGGAAAAATAATTGAGAGGGAGAGTATAAAAAAGAATCACGGATTGGGAAGTGAACAAGTTAATAACCAACTCGTACAAATTATATCTTAAACATCTTCTGCCATTTTAAAGCAATTTTTGAGTCTTGGCTTAGAGTCCTAACTGGTTGATGTTCACAGTGTGTGTTAGACTAATCAGTGAGATTCAGAGGTCAGAGCCAGCCAGGAAAATGTCATTACAGTTATTGCTCAAGTCTCTGTACTTGAAAATCGATGTAACAGCTGCTGTGTGAGACTTCTGGGGTTGTCCATGTGCCCCAACATTGGGTGTTTGTTGGCACCCTCGCCAAGATGAGAGGCCGTCGATTTCCCCAAAGACCATGACGCCAGACCTAGCCCAAAAGCCACTATGTCACACTTTACACAACTCTCCCTTTCTCCCTCTAGAAAAGATTATCCCAGTTGCTTTAAAAGTGTATAAAGTCTTTTAGGTTATTGCAAATTCAAACCTAAAAGAAGTCAGAGGAGGCGAGGGTGAGCTGCTCAGTCAGGGTTGCAGAAGCACTGAGGAGCCACGTGCCTGGTCCACAAAGGAGCAGTGTTCCAAATCACCACCTGAGCCATCCTCCTGATGGAGGGATTCAGTTAAGGGAGCTTCTCATAACTTTTCAGAATCTCCTTGTCAGTAGGAAATGTACTTTATATAGCTAAAAATGTAGTTGAGACAGAAATGTATTGTCTCACAGTTCTGAAGGCTACAAGTCCAAGATCTAGGGTCCAAAAGCAGGGGTGGTTCCTTCTGAGGCTGTAAGGAAGAGTCTGACTCCTGCCTCTCTCCCAGATTCTGGAGGTTGGCTGGAAATCTTTGGCCTTCCTTGACTTGTGGAAACATCACCCTGCTCTCTGCCTTCATCATCCCTTGTCATTCTCCGTGTGTGTGTGTCCAAATTTCTGCTTTTTATAAATACACTGTTCATGTAGGATTAGGGGTCCACTCTGCTCCAGGATGACCTCATCTTAATTACTTATATCTGCAAAGACTTATTTCCAGATAAGGTCACATTCTGTGGTAGTAGGGGCTAGGACTTCAACATTTGGATTTGGGGCTGGGGGGCAGGGCACAATTCAATCCATAACAGACACGTAGTAGACAGTCAAAATATCTGTGTCAAATGAGGGAATGAATAGACAAAGACCTGGAGGCAAGCCTAGCATGGTGCCTATGGGAGCTCTGGGCTGTGTGGGATCCTGGATCATGAAGAGCAAGACAGGGAGCGGGAGAGCCAAGGCCTGAGAGGTGTGCCTCTTTAACCTACAGAAAGCACTGGGTCCCCGGTGGCTGCTATGATGTTAATGTTTACTGGTTGTTAGGCGGTGTATGGCTATCTCTGTGGCAGAACATCTTTTACAGAGTTTTAAAATATAAGTGCTTTTTAAAGTCTTGTTTCTATCATGATCTACCTTGTATGAATAAATGACCACAATTTGCTAATTTGAATCCCACCACAAAGAATTAGCCTGACTTTAAAACCTGCCTTCAATCTCCACACTATCCACTGTATAAATCAGAAAATCATGGTTTCACATGAAAGATGACAGAGAGAGGAGGGGTCAGCCTCCCATATGTCACCATTTCCAGTCTATGTTTGGGAAATTATTTCTGTAACAAACAACAAAAAAAGAAAGAGCCTTAATGACCTTAGGACTAGCAGACAGCTTTTGGAATCGCCTTCAGTTTAGCCAAAAATTTTCTAACCTTTCTTTCTTTAACCCCTTAAGGATATGTTCACTGACATCACACAGTTTTGCATGTGTTCATGAAGAAAACACTATGGGCAGGGTTCCTAACATGGAAAAACTCTTGGGTGACTTTGTCTGGAAGTTTCCGAGTTTACCCCTGCACCATGTGAGTCACAATTTAATAATATGAAAGGTTTCATACAAAAGAGAATAAGAGCTTGTATCCATGGTAACACGGTAGCCTTTACCTGATCTTAAACTGGCAGTGAAGTTAACCTGTCTCTGCCACAGGGATAGTGAGGCTTTTGACTTTCATTTGTACTTTTAGGTGTACAAGTAAAGACTATACATATTTTAAACTCTTATTTTTCTTCAGGTTACCACACTGAATTCTTTCGTTAGGTTTATTGAGGTAAAATTTACATACAATGAAATATATTCTTTTTAGACATACCTTCTATGAAGTTTGACAAATGCATACAGTCACGTAACCACCACTACCACAATCAATATATAAATCAGTTCCAGCACTCGCTGCCTCTTGCCCCTTTTGAGTCAGCCCCACTCCCAGCAACCACTGCTCTGTTTTCTACCCTTATAGCTTTTATTTTTCCAGAATATCATATAAGGGGAATTGAACAGTAGGCAACCTGTTGAGTTGGGCTTCTTTCTTTAGCATAATGAATCTAAGACTGATCCATGATGCTGTACGTATCAGGCATTCATTCCTTCTGATGCTGAGCAGTATTCCACCGTAAGAAAGAGCTGTGGTTTGTTTGTCTAGTCAATAGTTAGTGGATGGATAGTTTCCAGTTTAGGACAAATGGGAATAAATCTGCTATAAACATTCACTTACAGGCTTTTTGTGTAGACATAATTTTTCATTTTACTTGAGTAAATCCTAGGAATGTGATTGTTGGGTCATATGGCAAGTGTGTTTTACTTTCAGAGAAACCGCCAAACTCTTTTCCCAAGCGTCTGTACCATCATGCATTCCCTCGGGACTGTCTGCAAACTCCAGTTCTGCATCCTCATCAGGCAGCACTGGCATGGTCAGTTTGTCTTTTTTCACTACTGTAGTAAATTTATAGTGATATCTCATTATGGTTTTATTTACACACAAATTTGCAGTATTTTTATTTTCATTCATGAGGATAGGTCAACATGTCATAATTTTTTAATAATCCGCTTAAAAATCAGAATTCTTTTTGAAGCCTTGTGTAAATCATATTGACAGGACTAATAAATATTTGGATAACTGCAGGATACCATTAAAAACTGCTGATCATAAAAGTGCGTATGACTAATGATGATTATGTCAAAGGGCTCCTTCCTAAATAAGCCGATGCTTTTGAACAGTGTTAAATCTAGTCTGAAGACCAGCTGTCTTAGGCCAGCAAGCCAGTGGCCCATGTGGAGCAGTCTCTCTCACACTCTTAGCTTGACATTAGTAAGGTGCAGGCCTGGTCCACTGTCTTGACAACTTTCAGCAAGGGAAGATCAGGAAAAAAAAAATGGGAAAAGTAGGATGATTATGATCAAAAGCATTTTAGAAATTAAGTGACAAGCATTTTTTTCTTTATACTCAAAGTAGAACATATGTGTGATTTTCTGTGTATGCATTGTTAAAATCTCACCCACTTAGACTAATTTTATGGAAGATGAAGAAATATAACATTACTACTTTCCTAAAATACAAAGTAACCCCAGTTAGTTTTGTCAGATGTTGGGTAAGAGTCAGACTTTGGAATATCTGCTAAGGAATAAATGAAAGTATTTTTGAAATTAAACATAGTGATTACATCTGACCCCTTGGGTAAGTTCAGCATGTCTTCTGCAATCTTGTTTAAACTATTTAGTTGCTTAGTAAGTACGTTTTTTTTAGAGAAAGAGAAAAGCTTGCACTCAATTCCTCCCCAAAACTCACATGTAATTAAGTCTGATGTTATATGTCAAAATCAAGATCATAATAATGTTAGGGGTGGTGGTGATGGTGGCTCTGGAGATGAAGGGACTGTGGAGGTGATGGTTGCCATGGTGGTAAAGGTGACTGCAGTAGTGATATTGGCTCTGGAGGTGAGGGTGATTGTGGTGAGGATGGTAGCTGTGGTTGTTTTGGTGACTATGGTGGGGGTGGTGATGAAGGTAGCTGTGGTGGAGAAGGTAACTGTGCTTGTGAAGGTAACTATGGTGGTGAAGATGGCCGTGGTGGGGGTGCTGGCTGTGGTGGCCTTATTAGCTATGGTGGTAAAGGTAGCTGTGGTGACTGTGGTAGTGACGGTGACTGTAGTGAGAGGATGGTGACTAATGGTAATGTCAACTGTAGTGATGAAGGCATCTGTGAGGGGGGTGGTAACCTCAGTTGTGTTGCTGGCTGTGGTGAGAATGGTGGCTATGGTAGTGAAAATGGCTGTAGTGGCTGTGGTAATGAAGGCAGCCATGGTGAGGATGGTGGCTGTGGTTGTGTTGGTGGCTGTGATGGTGAAGGTGGCTGTGGTGGGGATGGTGACTCTGATGCTAATGTTGGTTGTGGTGATGGAGGCAGCTGTGGCAAGGATGGTGACTTTGGTGGAGAAGGTGGCCATGTTGGGGCTAGTGGCTGTGGTTGTGGTGATGGCCATGGTGAGGATGGTGTTAAAGGTGGCTGTGATGAAGATGGTGACTGGGGTAGAAATGGTGACTGTGATGGTAATGTTGGCTGTGGTGATGAAGGGTAGTTATGGTGAGGATGATGACTATGGTGGTGAAGGGGCCATAGTGGCAACGGTGGCTATGGCTGTGTTGGTGGCTATGGTGGTGAAGGAGGCTGTGGTAGCATTATTGGTGCTTTTAATGATTAGAAAGCTTTAGGGAAAGAGATAAAATGAGCATATTCACTAATATTTTATAGGGTTTTTTTTTTTAAACCTTGTCCCTTAAAAATTGTGGAAAGCCTCAAAAGTGCAGCAGACCAGATGCTCCCAGCCAACTTCAGAAGGTAGTGCTCCAGAGAACTGAGCAAATGCAGGGCTGCAGGCAGGAGCACAGAGTGTCACCAGAGTTTGTGACAGGAGGCTTTCCTTTTTCTTGATCATTTTTCACTTTTGTCTTCTGTTTTTAATTTCTATCTGAAATACCCACCAGTCAGATAATGGACCTAATAGGTGGGCGCTCCATGCCCATCATCTTTTTCCTAGTATCTTCCATTTTAACTTTATCTTTGATCCTTCCAATTGAAGTTTCTGCTTGGTAATCATATTATTTTATTTTCAAGAGGTTATTTTGTCCTCTAATCATTATCTTCTCATGCAATCTTATTCGTATTTTATGGGTGCAGTATCTTCTCAAATCTTTTTAAGAATACTAAGTAGGATTTTTAAGATCTTTGTGGTTCCTGAATCATCTCTCTTTACTCCAGGATTAGTTGTTTAGCTATTGTGTTTCAGTCTCTCTCTTTTATGTACAGGTTTCTTCATGAGCAAGGTGATGGCTGGCAGTCTGTGTATATTTAGGTGTGGAGGGCTTGGTTTGCTTTTCTGTGAAGCTCTGTGGCTTTGCTCATTGCTGTGTCTGGATCTGCTGCGTGGCCGAGTCTTTCTCCTGGGCAGTGGCCAGCCAAGAGCTCTTTGACAGGCAGGCTTCATTTTAAGGAGATGTGGGGATCCCTTGAATGCCAGAACCTGTCATACACTAGGAACTCCTGGAACTCACTTTCCTTTCTCCTTGTTTTTGTAAGTTTATTCATTGACAGATATTTTAATTGAGTCTCTGGAGGAAGAAAATACAAACACATACATTGCCTCTGACATCTTGAACAGGAGCCTGTTTCGGGGGCCTTTACCTTTAACCCAGTCTTTGAATGAATTCTTGGTTACCATGTGGCTGGGGTGGGGCAGGGGGAAGTGGTGCAGTGGGAAGCATGGAGAGTATTGCAAATTGTTCTGGCTGCCCGGAAACATATAGAGAAAGGAGGAACAGCAAGCAGGTTCATGAATGTCTAGGAGGAAGGACAAGGGAACTTAAGGTGGCACACTTTGGAGTGAAGATAGCTGAATCAGCAAGAAGAGGCAGATGCACAAAGTAAAATAGTTTCTGAAAGTGAGAAAGGAAGACAAATAGGAAAAGGTGACATGAAGAGGTTGAAATATGGAACAAAGATAGATAGTGAACTTGCTCTCCACACTATTTCTGTTTCCCTGTTCTAGAAGAGAAGGTGGCAGGACTAATGGTCCAGAGCAGGGCACGCCTAAGCCCCCATGCATGTGCAGGACACAGAACAGTAGAGTCCGTTCCAGACACAGGGATGGGAAGGATGTGCAGAAGTAGTGAGGGATGCAGAAGAACAAACAGTTCTTCCTCTCCAGTTAAAAACCGCTTTCAAAGGAAAATGCACAAGCATAGAAGGACAAGAAAAATGGAAAAAGAGAAACCCCTTTAAAAGAAAAATTCAACATTTGGTAATGATAAATTGTATTCTAAGAGCTTTTAAAAATTTTTTTCAACTTTTATTTTTATTTTTTTGAGATGGAGTCTCACTCTGTTGCCCAGGCTGGAGTACAGTGGTGTGATCTCAGCTCACTGCAACCTCCACCTCCCAGGTTCAGGTGATTCTCTTGTCTCAGCCTCCTGAGTAGCTGGGACTACAGGCGTGTGTCACTGCGCCTGGTTAATTTTTGTATTTTTTGTAGAGACGGGGTTTCACCATGTTGGCCAGGCTGGTCTTGAACTCCCGATCTCAAGTGATCTGCCCGCCTCAACCTCCCAAAGTACTGGAATTACAGGCGGGAGCCGCTGCACCCAGCCTCAACTTCTATTTTAGATACAGAGGGTACATGTGCAGATTTGTTACATGGGAATATTGCGTGATGCTGAGGTTTAGCGTACAGATCCCATCACCTGGGTAGTGAGCATAGTATCCAGCAGCCGTGCCCTTCTCCCTCTCTCCCCTATAGCAGCCCACAGTGTCTGTCGCTCCCATATTTATGTCCATGTGTACTCAGTGTTTAGCTCCCACTTATAATTGAGAAGATGCAGTATTTGGTTTCCTGTTACTATGTTAACTTGTTTAGGATTAAGGCCTCCAACTACATCCCTGTTACTGCAAAGGACATGATTTCATTCTTTTTTATGGTTGTAGTTGTATTCTGTGGTATGTGTGTGTGTATATATATATATATATGTATATCCCATCTTCCTTATCAAATTTATCATTTATGGGCACCTAGGTTGCTTCTGTGTCTTTCCTATTGTGAATAGCATAGCAATGAACATGTGAGTGCATGTGTCTTTTTGGTAGAATGATTTCTTTGCCTTTACGTATACACGCAGTAATGGCCTTGCTGGGTCGAATGATAGCTCTGTTTTAAGTTCTTTGAGAAATCTCCAGACTGCTTTCCACAGTGGCTTTACTAATTTATATTCCTACCAACAGTGTATAAGTGTTCCCTTTTCTCCATATCCTCACCAGCATCTGTTGTTTTTGACTTTTTTAATGATAACCATTCTGACTGGTGTGAGATGGTATCTCTTCGTGGTTTTGCTTTGTATTTCTCTGATGATTAGTGATGCTGAGCATTTTTTCATATGTTTGTTGACCATTTGTGTGTCTTCTTTTGAGAAGTATCTGTTCATGTGCCTTGTCCATTTTTTAATGGGGTTATTTGGCTTTTGCTTGTTGATTTAAGTTCCCTAGAGATTGTGGGTATTAGGCCTTTGTCAGCTGCATAGTTTGTGAATATCTTCTCCCACTCTGTGTAGGTTGTCTGTTTACTCTGTTGATAGTTTCTTTTTCTTTGCAGAAGCTCTTTAGTTTAATTAGGTCCCACTTGTCTATTTTTGGTTTTGTTACAATTGCTTTTGGGGACTCAGCCAAAAAATCTTTGCCAATGCCAAAGTCGAGAAGAGAATTTCCAGATTGGCTTCTAGGATTTTTATAGTTTGAGGTCTTGCATTTAAATCTTTGACCGGTTTTGAGTTAATAATTTTTGTAGACAGTGAAAGGTTAGGAGTCCAGCTTCAATCTTCTGTCTAAGGCTAGTCAGTTATCCTATAACCATTTATTGAACAGAGAGTCCTTTCCCCATTGCTTGTTTTTGTCAGTCCTGTCAAATATTAGATGGTTGTTAAGTGTGTATCTTTGTTTCTCAGTTTTCTGTTGTATTCCATTGGTCTAGGTGTCTGTTTTTGTACCAGTACCATGCTGTTTTGGTTGCTGTGGTTTTTTAGTATATAGTTTGAAGTCAGGTAGTGTGATGCTTCTGGCTTTGTTCTTTTGGCTTAGAGTTGCTTTGGTTGTTTGGGGCTCTTTTTGGTTCCATATGAATTTTATAATAGTTTTCCTTAATTCTGTAAAGAATGACATTAGTAATTTGATAGGAATAGTGGTGAATCTGTAAATTCCTTTGGCAGTATGAACATTGTTATGACATTGATTCTTCCAACCCATGAGCATGAAGTGTTTTTCCATTTATTTGTGTTGTCTCTGATTTGTTTTAGCAGTGTTTCATAGTTCTCCTTGTAGAGATCTTTCGCCTCCTTGGTTAGCTGTATTCCTAGGTATTTTATCTTCTTCGTGGCTATTGTAAGTAGGGTTGTATTCTTGATTTCACTCTCAGCCTGGATGTTGTTGGTGAATAGAAGTGCTACTGATTTTTGTACACAGTTATTGTATCCTGAAACTTTACTAATTTTAAGAGCCATTATGAAAGATGTAAATACTTAGATGTAGAATGTAAAAAAAAACTAAAGATAGAAAGTTTGGAAATTAAGTTGCAATGTATCAGGAGGATCTACCTTCTAAGTAGAGTTCATGAGCCTCAAAAATGTTCAATTAGAAGGAAGGAATAGCCCATACACAATGATCTGGTTATTGGCTCATTCAGGAAGAATGATATCCTAATATCTTTAATATATGACAGATTATACATTAGTGCAGAAAATAATTCAGTATCACTGGACAGGGCAAGAAAATCTTATTAACAGTGTAGAGAAAGGAGTTTTCTCTTAGACTCTCATGTACAAGTAGTCAAATATTCAGCTTTAAAAAGCTCAAAAAATAAATATGTGTATGTATAAATAGACATACACATATAAAAACCTGGAGTCTTTACAAGCTGTGGCTGCAAAGACATACCCCATGTTTATCTGATTCTTCGACAACCCAGATTAAGTTTCTTTCTTTCTGAATAGGATAGAATAGAATATGGCTGTGGGAAATGCAGAAGACATTTCCCACATTCATATTAAAAGCCACCGACATTTTACTAGAATCAGAAAAATCTTAAAACATGTACATCTCTCAGATTACACGGCTTTAAAAAGGTTTAGTGACTTAAACATCAAGGTTCACAAGAGTTGCCAAATTTGGGGTCCACCATGGTCTTCCTTTAACTATTCCAGGGTTTGTAATTTCATTTTTTATCCATTCCTCGGCCAAGAATATTGGGATGGTGCATTATAATAACAGGCCACAAGATGATAATCCTCATAATTCCTTGGCACCTTTCTTTAGGCTGTTCAAGGTCATTTGTAGGGTTCCTGCTGGCAGTGTGTGCATTTTCTGACATTTGCAGATTACACTCCTGGTACATCCTAAGAAGGTAAGTATCTCACTTCAGTGTGAGACTCTTGAAGGAACGGTTGGCTCCATTTGGAACCAGAAATAGAAACCAATTCTCCAATTCTCGGCCCAGGGCTTTACATTACAAAGCCCTACCTGTTTGAAAGGATCACACATGACATCTGTAAGAGGTTTGGGACTTTTCAGAGCACTTTTCCTTTTGATTCTGGACAAGATACAAAGACTAAAAATGAAGATGAGAGGAAGCCTCCTTATATGTTTTTTAGCAGTTTTGAGTGAGGATGGCCCACTGAGTATCTTGCCGTCTTCACTGACCAGAGGTCATAAGATGAGGAAGAAGATAAGCCGTACTGATGCCACCTAAGGGCATGAATAATGAAATGAAAACACTGAACTAGTAGAAGGAAAATGTGACTTCAGCTTCACTGTTTGTTTTCTGTACTTCTTTGGGAAACTCAGGATGTCTGGACCTCCAGTTCTTCTCCTGGAGACCAGGTGCCTCCAACCTCAGTAAGGGCTTGCTACGATAAAATCATACATCACATGTGATCATGTACGTGAGGACATTTTGAAAAGCTACTCACAAGTGTGAACTGTCATTGCCATATTCCAGGTGAAAATATGAAAAGATGTTGAGGCTTAAAAGAAGACTCAGGCTCACAGAGTTAGTCGGGACAAGTCTAGGTCATAATTTCCTGACACAGGGTGGCCTGTGCTGTTTACTCCAATGCCCCTTACAACAGGAAGGCCAGTCTCTCCAGTTAACTCACAAAAGCACCTTCATGTTATTTTATGCGGTCCTCACAACAACTCAGGGGTATGTGACTGTCCCAGTGTGTCAAGTAGGAAACTGAGACCTAGAGGTGTCAGGTGACTGACCCAGGGCACAGGTACACCATGTAGAGTCAGAACTGCAGCCTAGGCCTGTCTGAGCCCCTGTGTTCCCTCTATAACCCCACACCATGGCTTTCCAGAGTGTACCCTGAAAGCAGTGCTTCAGAACTGCAGTCATCAAGACAGCAGAAGACAAGAAGTTCCCTCCTTCATATGCTTGGAGATAGATTGCTAAAATATTACTGGCAAAAACCCATTGCCTATTTTCTGACTCTGTGTCATAGCCCCTAATTTGGTCTTTGCATTAGCAGAGCAAGAACCTGCGAAAGGAAAGTAACATAGATGCAGCTTTTATTAAATTTGAATCATGAAAATAAATCTCTGAATTCACTTCTGGGAAGGGGAAGAGAAGCCCTAATAAAATTTAACTATGAGAGGCTTCATCTCATCATTAGTTATCCTGCTCTGCCATTAATTAATTTGATCATCAAATGCATCCTCATTAGTAATCATTCCTTCTCAAAATAATGAGGCTAGCAGACAAATCAATGTAGGAGCCAGGGGCAAAAATAATGGCATTGCCCTGCAGACTATTAAAATCATTTGACTTCTGCTTTTTGCTGCTTTCCCTGATGTCTGCAATGGGAAATCCTGACTCTCCAGTAGACTTCCATTCCCAGGATAAAGGAACTCTCCTTTTCCCAACGCTGTGTTCCTGGCAGTCTTTAAATGACCTTTGAATGACCTTCCCTTTCACTGCCTCTTTTGGAAACTGCCTCCTGACTTACAGTCTATATCACATGATGAGTACGAGATTTATAGTGAAATGGATCTTTTCTTAAATGTAATACATCAAAGCGGACTTTTGCTGCAGACATATACTGGCCTACCACGCTGACCATTGTCATCTTTCTCCCTCCAGCTATGGACACTAAAATGATTCCTTGTGGTCTGGCTTTGACTTCATTTCTTTCTAGTCTACCAATGCCAAGAAGCCGACTCATTCACACTGAAGCCCTGAACCCTGCCAGCAACATGGTTGGCTGTCTATAGCAGGTGTCCTGCTCCCAGCCAGACTGATGTAATTACCCATTTCAACTCCGGCCGCAGTTGGGGGTCTTCATGCTCCAGGGCTTTCCTCTATGCAGCTGGCTAGGAGAGGCAACAGGATTAGGAAGACCAGCCAATTTCCTTCTCATCAGAAATGAAAGCAGTGAAGAAAATGCAGGGAGAAATTTGATGGGGGGACAAAGAAATACAGCATTGGAACAAAGAAGAAAGAAGAAGAGGGGGGAATTCCTCTTTTTTTTTTTTTTTTTTTTTTGAGACAGAGTCTCACTCTTGTCACCCAGGCTGGAGTGCAGTGGCGCAATCTCGGCTCAGTGCAGCCTCTGCCTACCAGGTCCAAGCTATTCTATTCTCCTGCCTCAGCCTCCTGAGTGCTAGGATTACAGGTGCCTGCCACCATGCCTAGCTAATTTTTGTATTTTTAGTAGAGACAGGGTTTCACCATGTTGGCCAGGCTGGTCTCGAACTCCTGACCTCAGGTGATCTGCCTGCCTCGGCAAAAAAAATCCTTCTTATATGACTAAGAGAAAGCACAGAGGAAGAGAAATATAGGTGGGAGTAGCAGTTTTCCTGGGTCTCGGTTTGTCATTTAAATTTTTGTTTTATTTTTTCATTTTACAAAAGAATTTATGCTCAATGCACAAAACTTGGAAACATAAAAGAACCATATAAAAGGAAATAAAAATCATTCATAATGTCACTACCTAGATATAACTATTGCTAACATTTACATATAGCCTTTCAGTCTTTTTCTCCATATATATATAAACATAGAGTGTTAATCATTTTTAAATACTGGCCAATAGAACAGCCAAACTTAGTCAGTTAAAGTGTCTGGAATTGTAACCAAAGTGTGGAATTGGGAATTCAGTTCCAAGATGTTAGATGGTTAGTTAAAGACTATGTTTTCTCCTCTGTTTAACAAAGCACCCTGAATAGTCATCAAGGGAAACTTAAACAAGTTAGTGCCCAATCTGGTCCTCACTTTACAGACCACCCATCTCACTCAATTGATCAGTGAATACACCCTGCATGGTCAAGTTCTTATCTATGTGCAGCTTCTTCCATCTGGTAATTACTGTCTGGTTTTTGTACTTTCTGTTTCTTCTCTCTGTGTCTCTGACTCTCCTTCTCTACATATTTCTATCTCCTCTTTTATAATTGCCTCTCATTACCTCTCCAGTTTCCAGTTTTTGCGCTTTCTGTTTCTTCTCTGTGTCTCTGTCTCTATTCCTATCTCCCCTCTCTCTCTTACACACACACACACACACACACACACACACACACACACACACCTTTAACAAATAGCCACAACAGCCTTATTTACTGGGGAAGAAAATAAAGAAGAAAGTATATTTGAACTTTGTCAGTAAGTTTCCAAGGAAGAGTGTAATAAGTAGCGCTTATAAATGAAAGACCAACACAGTGACTTTTCAAAGAGATAAAAATAAATTATCATATTTTCTTCTTCCTTTTGTTCTCTTAATTCATCCTGCTGACCCACCAGACAACTGCATTCTATTTTTTATGCCCTCCACCACCATTACCATCTTAATTTATTTTAAACCAGGTATCACTCAGATTCAGTCAGAGTGGCTTTCGTTGGCCAGCTTTGGAATTCTCATTCATGGTATTAAGATATGTATATTTCCACCCATGATTTACATTTTATACTGAGTCATTTGCTGAGTCAGTGTGTTACACATTTTTCAGTCATTTAAACATAGGGTGGTATGCCATGATTTTGTTCTCTCATTCTCCGTGCACCTTGTCCTCTTCTCTCTGGTGTTTATATTTCTTTCCTAACGGTTTGTATTTCTTATCTTCAGTGCCACTTAACTTCACTTTCAGGAAGTTTTTGTAAAGGCCTAACTGTGAAGTCCATAACATTGTAAATATATACTACTATAAGCTCAATATGTAGGACATATAAAGAAAATCATACTTTTCAAATATACTGGGAACATTTACAAAAATTAATCCCATACTAGGCCTTAAAGCAAATCTCAACAGATGTCAAAAGAGTGGTATTGTATTTTTTTGACCACACTAAATTGTTAGAAATCAGTGCCAAAAATAACTAAAATAAATTTTGTATATCTGGAAAGTTTAAAACATACATCATTTTTACAGCTTCAAAAAGAAATCAGAATTAACTTAAAAATACTTAGAAGTAATTGATAATTAAAACATAATATATCAAAACTTGTGGGACGCAGCTAAAGCAGAACTTAAAGGAAAAATTTAAAACTTTGTTTTAGGAAAAAAAACTAGTAACAGTGAGGTAAGCATCCAATTTCTATTGAAAAAAAAATAGGCCAGGTACAGTTGCTAACACTTGTAATTTTAACACTTTGGGAGGCCAAGGCGGGAGGATATGCTTGAGCCCAGGAGTTTGAGACCAGCCTGGTCAACATACTGAGACCCCATCTGTACAAAAAAAAAAAAAATTAATTAGCTAGGCATAGTAGCACGTGCCTGTGGTCCCAGATAACTGGGAAGCTGAGGTGGGATAATTCCCTTGAGCCTGGGAGGTCAAAGCTGTAGTGAGCCATGATTACACCGCTGTATTCTCCAGCCTGGGTAACAGAGTGAGATCCTGTCTCAAATAAACAAACAAAAAATAATAAACACAAAGTAGAGGGGATAATACAAAGAATAAAAATAACTAAAATAGCAACCAACCATACAATAGAGAAGATCAACACAGCCAAATGTTTGAAAAGATGAATAAAATGGAAAATCTTTGGCAACATGTATCAAGAAAAAAAGAGAACAACCTAAAAACAGTATTAAAAATAAGGTATAACTATAGATGCAACAGAGACTAAAGAAATATAAGAATATTAGGAATAGTTTTATGACAATTTTTTAACTTTGGAGATACAGACAAATTTCAATAGGAAAAAATAACTAATCAAAACTGAATTGGAAAGAAATTGAAAGCTCGAATTAATAGCTTAAATTTTTTTTTTTCTTTTCTTGAGACCGAGTCTCGCTCTGTCACCCAGGCTGGAATGCAGTGGCGTGATCTCGGCTCACTGCAACCTCTGCCTTCTGGGTTCAAGCGATTCTCCTGCCTCAGCTCCCGAGCAGCTGGGACTACAGGTGCATGCCCAGCTAATTTTGTATTTTTTTAGTAGAGATGGCATGTCACCATATTGGCCAGACTGGTCTCAAACTCCTGACCTCGTGATCTACCCGCCTCAGCCTCCCAAAGTGCTGGGATTACAGGCATAAGCCACCGCGCCTGGCCAATAGCTTAAAATTTTATATCAAAGCAACAGACCCAAAATTGCTTTATAGGCAAGTTCTACCAAACATTTAAGAAAAATAATACCAAGGGTGGGTGTGGTGGCTCATGCCTGTAATCCCAGCGCTTTGGGAAGCTAAGGCAGGCAGATCCCTTGAGCCCAGGAGTTTGAGACCAGCCTGGGTAGAATGGCAAAACTCTGTCTCTATAAAAAATTTAAAAATTAGCCAGGCATGGTGGCACATGCCGGTAGTTCCAGCTACTCAGGAGGATCATTGAGCCTAGGAGGTCGAGGCTGCAGTCGAGCCACTGCATTCCAGCCTGGGCAACAGAGCAAGACCCTGTCTCAAAAAAAAAAAAAGAAAAAAGAATACCAATCTTTAACTAACTCATTCAGAGAACACAAAAGGAAGACACACTTTCCAACTAATTCGTAAGGCTAGTATACTTAATACTGAAATAAAACAAGGACAGTTAAAAGTTAAAATCAAAAAATTATAGGCCAGGCTCAGTTATAAACAAAGATTTATAATTCCTTTAGAAAAGCAAAATTAATCTGGTATTTTATAAATCACCAAATTGGATTTATTCTAGGAATGCAAGGTAAGTTCAACATTTGAAAAATCTATCAATGTAATAGATCTCATTAACAGGCAAAACCAGAATAATACAAACATTTTGATGGCCACCAAATATCCATTCATGATTTTAAACTAAAACAACCAAGAAAAATGAAGGTTTTAACAACTTGGAATAGAAAGGAACTTTCTTATCCTGTTAAAGGTTATCCCCAGCAACCTCAGTGACAAAATGTGATTTTTTTAACCTTCCCAGATTAATCCCGATATAATCTCTTTCAATCCTCATATAATCACTTGGACTAGAATGCAACTGATTTATGTCACTTGCTTTGTATCATGATTTACATTTTCAAATTGTCCCTGGAAGCAGAAAAAGATTGCTACATAAAGTCTACCAGCAGACCCTAAAAACGTGGTCTCCCTATTCTTCCCTTTTGAAAAGTCATCAACACTAACCTTGGTGTTATCCCTCCCGTATTTCTACAGTGAAAACTTAAATACCCATATATCACAAATGATCATCTTTTTTGTGCCATCACTGTGAGCAGCTGGACTTTCAGATGACTTCAGCAAAACTTGTGATTGGAAATTTTCACGGGTAAACATCACATGCAATGTTAAAATGTATGCAATTGCCAACTGAGAGTAGGGGGACTGCTAAAGCTAGAGGAGCACTTCATCACAGGCATGTGGATATTAATAATAAGTGTGAAGCTGGGGCTCTAATTTCTCTTAATTTTCATATCTTGGAGGCCTTTTTTGCTGTTATCATTCATGGCCATGCTGACACCATTTATTGCAAAAGGTCTAACTCGGCTCACTTCTTTAATGCTTTCTATATTTAATGTTTCTGAAGCAGAGGAGATTGGTTTAAGATGATAATTTTCTACACTTTGGAGTCTATGCAAGATGGTGGTGCTGTATTGTATTTTGCCAGATAGATTTCAGCAGCAGGTATTAAGAATATGTGGCACATTTCACAATGGCAGTATTTGTTGAGGTTTTCTGCTGCTGCTGCTGCTATTATTATTATTTTTCCTTACAGAGAGTCTGAAGTTCAAAGACAGGGCAAATCTGAGATAGTTCAGAGGTTCAGTAGTTGCTATAGGTGGTTGAAAGCCTATGGGGAAACTGTTCCTGTCTAATGCAGCCCTCACCAGTTTATCCAGGGCTTGACCCTGGATTAGGGCATAGGTGAAACTTGGAGACCTCCAAAGGTTCTAGTTACTCTGACATTCCTAAAATGTTGGGTTCCAGACCAGCCTAAATGTGTTTAAATAACTTGGAAACTTTGGGGGAAGGAGCAAACTTCCTCTCCCTCTCACTTCCCTTAGTGATTGATGAATGTGCCCATTTATTTACATATCTTGTTCCAGAGCCACCTAAAGATTAAATGTGCTAAGTTCAGAGCTATTCTTCTCTCTTTACCCTGCTCCTAAATGTGTGATTCTCCTAGTTGTAAAAATGTTTACTTGTATTAACAAAGAAAAATTGGGAATATTGTAATCATTGGATTAACTTCACTAAAGTTCTACAATTATCAGGAGTTAAGTAATATAGGTGATACAGACCTTCTAAATCCATAATAAAGTTTTCCATCCTTAGTCAGACATCTATGGCTGATGGATCAGACCTTCAGCTGTATTTTCTCTCTTCACTGATCTGCAAAACAGGCTAGATCATTGCAACTCTCACCATTAAGATTCAACTAAAAGCTCTCTGGACTCCAACACATTCTTATTCCATAATGATTAAGGCAAAAGCTTCTTTCCTAAACCTGCAACCAAAGAGACTAGTGATGATGGTAATATCTGTTGTTAATGATGCTAAAACAAGTTATTGTTTGGTTCTCCAGTGGTTAAACTGAATGAGGCCCAGATCGCTTGCAAAAGGTACCTCCAAAGAGGGCCACAGGTCTTTGGCTACAAGTCACCCATAGGGGTTTTTCTAGCTGTAATCTCTGATCATGACTAGGTTATAAAATCTGTAAAGAAAGAACAAATTTCTGTAGGCCTTCAGGGCATAGTGCAAGACCCAGCTGTTCCATCAAGTTCTTATTTGATTGAAGTAAATGGGCCAACCTGGCTGGAAAGCATGTTAATATTTTAAATTTCTACATTAACAACTGTACACGTGCCCAGAGGATGGGTGATGACCACCTCACATAATTGCAAAAAACAAAACTGATAAGAATAAATAAATCCAAGCAAATTGGATTACCATTTGCAGAAGAACTGCCAGCAAAGGCAAGGGAGAGAATGTCACTGATACATGTTCCTACTTCAGCAAGGTATTTGACACCTTCTCTTGTGAATTGCATGAATGGTGTTAATTCAAGTTGGCTGGCCTATGTTTTCAGCATGGGCTGAAGGAGTGCACCCAGCATGGCTAGGCTGGGGCTGAACAACCGACCTTTCTCTCTGAATATTAATCCCCAGTACTGCCCACTCATATGACTTAAATGTCACTTCACCTCGTGGGACTTAGTGTTTCCATTTTTGCAAAGAGGATAATGACAGCACTTTCATTTAACTCAGCGGGCACCTTTTGTCATTCAAGGAGCATCACATACTTAACACATGTTCTTTAGTCATACAATATCCCACTGGTAAGTATTCTTATATTTATTTAACATGTGAAGAAAGTGAAAAACGGGAACCTGAGATGACCCTGCAAATTACAGTGTTAAGAAAATCATCTGTAGAAGAGAAAATAGATTTTAGAGCCTTCCAAACCACTTTTACATCTACCTTTACTGTGTTCTGTAGTCAAGAAATTCATTGATATCTTGCTTTGTGAATGATCAATAATTCCTCATTTGGCAGTTGTAAGGATAGAAGGCTTGGGGAAAAGAGGAGACCAGAGCAGTAGCTTGTTCAAGCTTGCACAGCAAGCTGATAATGGAGCTAATCACGCTAGCCTTTGAAATGCCGACATGCAGCTTCATTTTTGCCTTTTTGCCAGTCCTTGACTATATTTCTTTTCAGAATAATGTTGCCATATTGGGATATAGTATATCATGATTAATAACTCCAGTGGATTATGGGAATGCCACGAAGCATCTGTCTTTCACACCAGTCCCTCCCAGGGGTACATTCAAGCAAAGGAAATGGTCTCTAAAATCTTGTCTGATGAAACAGTTCTCCCCAGCCCCTAGCCCAACAGGCCAAGGTCATGACTCTCCCCGTCTCAGGCACTGGCTGCCTGATAATTGTGCACCTAGTGAAATTTAACACTCAGAGGATCCTTTTTTAAATATTTCCTCCTCTAAATTTAGACAACATTATTTTCATTAATTATCATAAAATGGAATGAATAATAATGGCCAAGAAAGAAATGCAGACTAAAATTTTTTTCTTTTGAACTTCATGTATATTTATGCCAGTAAGAAAATTAAATAGTGTGATAAAAGGAAAAAATTGCAACTATCTATTCAATAGTTTTCTTTACTTTACCTAACAGTTAGAACTTTGATTCTTGATTATAGTTAACATATTGCTGTATATAAATAATTGTCCAGTAAATCATAAGTATTAATAAAACCAAATGCAAAGGGCACAATTTAGGCAAGTATTGTGTCTCTGATGTAACATTTTCTTGATTTGTCTTTTAGTTTTAAAGCAAGCAATCTATAAAGAAAATTTTCAATTTTAAAAATACTGAAACGTAAACATATTTCACATATGAACTAAAATTTTCACTTGCCAACTAAAAATGTTTCATTGTTTTAAATTTTAAACATAAAAATTCTCAGAGTGGTCCTGTGGGATGAATGGAAGTAGCTCAAGTTCTAGTTCATCGTCTTTGCAAAACTGTGCTGTCATTGTTTATTTTGAATCTAGTATAGAAATGCAGAATATATGTAGTGCTACAGGAGGCTGGAGACACTGTATCCAAAGCAAGCTCAAATCAGAACAAATGTGTGCAGCTAAGTCATGTGTGAGAGAGAGCTGGGGCAGACTGTATAAAGCTAGAAATTTTCCAAATCAGTTGCCACATAAAATGTTTGTTAAAGGGTAAGCAACAGAATATGCTAATTTGAAGATTACATACATATTATTAAATCTTAACAGTAATGGCAACAATTAGAATTTAGATCAGCAAAAGATTGTTATGAGGAAGGAGAGTTTTATCAATGATTTTGCTTAGAATTGCTGGTGCATAGTGATGATAGATGGATACACCTTTAGTTTTATTATTGTTTTTACATTTTGTACAATTGTACCTGCTTAACTCCTACACCAAGGCAGGTAGCCCAGGCCCCGTCCTTGGTGCCCCGCCACTTGCTGCAGACTTAGGCCCTCAAATCTGTATCTCAGATGGCTTCCTGTGTTTTCTCAACCTCTCTGTGCCTCCTGAGGTCCTAAAAAAACTCACTCCTCCCTTTGGAGATTTTTCATGGCTCAAAGATTCTTGGATTTTTTTCCTTTTCTCTGCAGCAGAGGAAATCCCACTGCATTCCAGGCCAGCCCTAGGGAACCTGGAAACATTTTCAGCTCTAAGTCCTTGTTCTCTGGAGTTCCTCCATGCCCTCTTTTCCCCTAGCGAACACACAGCCTGTGCCCTCCCTTCACCCCTGCGCTGGGAGACATTGCTCAGATGTACGCACACAGTGTGCATCCTTCAGCTCATGCCTTACTCGGTCCACAGGGATCCTTGCCAGGTCAGGGTGCAGCAGGGTCCTTCATGCCTCAGGCACCCCCATGAGAAGCCAGACCCTTGGAAACACTTACTTGAGCTTTCTCACTCCTCTCCATAGCTGTCCCAGGCTCCCAGAGTAATGATAGGCATGACCCCAGGGTTCATTATCTTGACCTCTCAGAGATCAACCCAGGCAGGCCTGCACCTCGGCTGTGCGGTCTAGCTGACATTAGGATCTTAACAGCAGGGTCAGGGAACAGGGCCATGCTCCCACCATCTCTCAGCTATAAATGAAGCCTGATCTCATCATGAATGAGAGATTGCCTTCTGCCTAGCAATGAGAATGGCATTTAAAATTCAATATCAGAAAAGATATTGACGAGATTAAAGGCCTAGAGGAATTGATTTATGAGGAAAGACCCAAGGAATTAAATATGTATAGCCTAGTGTAATAGCATATTAGGCTGTGAACACAATTTCATTTCCATGATCCAGGATTCCTGTTATCAGTCGTCTGAATGGTGGAGTTCTCTCCAAGAGATGTTTCTCCCCCAGGGGTCACCATGCCTGAGGCAGGGAGGGGGGCACCAGGGTTAATACACTGGCCATAGGCTTGGATACCCTCATGCCTTAGTGTAAATTGAGTGCAGTTTCATCCCCAGGTGGAAGCAGATGACGTTTTAAACTAGAATAGATCTTGAGTAGTCTTACAAGCCCATGTAACAAGAAAATTCAAGCTAGTTCAATTCTTTTTTTCCCCAAGGAGAAAAGTGAGCATTGTAGATACCAGGTGGCAAATGATTGTCCTTCCCCAGAGACAGGCTCTCTCCTTTGTCAGAAATCCTGTTAGATGTGTTTGCCTTTAGGCAAAGCCTTGCTCTTAGGTTGTGATAATGTTCACTTGAATTTTTAAATCTCAAACTTTCTCTAACAATCAGGGATTAGCTCAGGATTCAGTGTCAGATGGAAAACAAGCATAGGTAGACCTCATCAGCGGGACCTAAGGCTGACATTCCTAAAGAGTTCTGAAGTCAGTGAGAACCAAAACTTGATGGAGCAGTGGATGGTCTGGAGAGTCCTGGGGAGACCTGAAGACACAGTAAGCTGTGGGGCGGTGGGATGTAACAGGATCCCACCAAGAGAAAGGGGATTAAGGGGTGTATACTTCCATCTCAAGCTCTACAGTAGGACAGGGATCTGGCAGAGCTGGTCACAGGTGGAGTTCAGATTGCAGGCCAAAATACTGGGAAAAATCAGGTTGGCAACAGGGTTACAGAGGCAGGATGGGGCGGGACACTCATGGGTATTGCCACGTAGAGCAAATGTTAAAAGGACTGCTGGGATGAGACCATCAGACGCAGTCACACCCACCATCGCCTTTGGTGAGAATTCCCTTTGGAAACCTCTGGGGCTCATTTCCTTAGGTGATACTCTGCTAGCCTTAAAGGATTATCCCACTGAGTAGGACATCTGATTTATAGCAAAGTTACAGAGATGGAACAACAGTTATTAAAACTGAACCAAAAGAGTAAAAAACACATTGAATTTAAATTGATAACATTCTGTGGGTTCAAATATTCCCAGATTATCGTGAATATTCAGTGGCTCATTTCCAATAAGTGGAACAAGTTATGATTCAAGATGGATCCCCTGAGCTCATTCTCCTGACCCCTAAACTGATCCCCAGAAATCTCCTGGATTCCTATGGAAACCATACTAGTTATAGCCATTGTAAGAGTCCTTTGTATTGTCCTGACTTAGTTATCATGTACATGTAAGAATTTTTGTGACCCAGCATCTAGAGGAGAGGCTATTTACTGTTGTTTCCTCTGTATCTTTCACATTGCCCAGCCCAGTACCATGCACACAGCAGGAGCTCAGTGTTGACTAAAGGAATGAATGAATAAATATTAGCAGATTGTTTTAGAACTAAACAAAGAGCCAAGCACTGGGGAAATCCTGAAACAGAAGAAGAAAAGAAATTGTGTGTATGTGTGTGTGTGTGTGTGTGTGTGTGTTGGTGTCAGTCACTGTCTATATCTATCTACCTTGTGTTAGTTTACCTGACCCACCACCAACCTAAATTTAGAAAGGGTACTTACTCCTCCATCCCACAGAAGTTCTCCTAACCCCACACTATCCTGCCAAAGATTCCTGAATTAATCACAATCCTGTGAATTTCAGCTTACAACAAGATGTGGCTGATGTATTTCATATAGGGTATTTGCACTGTCATCTATGACTTTCATGGAACCAAACTTACATAGTCTGTTAACTATATAAAAACTTCACCTTGGTAACAAAATTATACAATTTAAGAAAAAAGACAAGGAAGGGGTTGTTGTTCTTAAAGGGACGTCAAATTTGACACACCGCTCACAGAAGTATACACAAAAGCATGTCTGTAACAAGCCTGGCTCCTAAGTGGAAATGATGAATGTTTAGATAGAAGTCGTTGCTAGGAGGATTTTTAAGTTTGGCATGTTCTGATTTCCATTCCAAATTCACAGTGCAGTGTGATTGCCAGGATAGAAACCACGGGTTGAGGTAGGAAAATTGAACTGTGCAAGTGGTAGGTGTCTCCCAGACAGCATGACCTTAATCTCTATGTGCCCATGATTCTCCCATCTGTAAAAATGGAAATGTGACCTCACTTATTCTAGGGCTCCAAATAACATTTGTAATGCTCTTTGAATTTGTCAGAAAGAAAGACCCATTACATACTGAAGTCTGCATCCCCAAAGAGCATTACAAATGATCCCATTAAATCAGTGGCCTGGAAATATCAAGATGTGTCAGGTACAGCATTTATTTACCTGCTTATGGTCCGCCCAAGTGTTTCCACTTGATTGGCATATGGATAATTGTCTAATTGGAACACACTCCATTGTAACCACCAAAGAATGTAATAGTGCATCTGTTTAATGCCACACTCTCAAATGTTAAAATTACGCTGCCATCAGCCAATCCAACCAAGAGACTCTTCTGATTAAGTTCTAGCTGCTTATGAACTTCTATAATTGAGGCACTTTAGTACTTAAAAATTCAAACTGGAAAGAATATTATAGAGACTCATAAATTTCAAGTGAAAAAGACCAGAAAGGCTGACTTAAATCATCTAGTTGTGAACTACCTCCGTTTTTATAGGACCTCTAGTCACATGAAGAGTGGCAGTTTTGAATCACCATTGTTTTGAATATATAAATATTAGTTTATGAGTTTATACCTTGAAAACAAAAGAGCACATTAACTTTGCAGAATGCAGAAAACAGTCTAGGAGTGATTTTATTTTTCTGATAATGGTGATTTTGTTCTTATTGTGGTGAAACTTGAAGAATAAATTACGTAATTATAAATTCATTGATTGGATTTCCTTAGCCTGTTGAGAAATATTTCTTTTCAGATTAAAAAGGATATCTGGAACTGCCAGGTAATGAAACAAAATGTCTTAAATGAAACTGCTGTTTTCCTCAAAAAGTTTTATGTATCCATATGTTTAGAACAATACATTAGTAGTTTATCATTCCTCAGGTGTTTTGGGGGGTTGTTTTTGTTTTTGTTGTTTTGGTGGGTTTTTTATTGTTTGTTGTTGGATCATGGTTTAATCCCATAGAAGTGGGGAAACAAGAGCAAACATTCATTTATCCCTTCATTTATTCATTTATTCATTCAGCAGCTATTATATATTAGAGGTAACCTAATCATTGACCTTAATATTGGTGAATGTAGTCTGGTTGGGAAGACAGATATGAAATGTGGTATATTGAATTAAGTGCTTTGGGAGCAAGAAGATAGATGAACTAACTTTGCTTCAGTGATTAGAGAATATTTTTTTGGAGCAAGAACCCAAGGCTACCGCATTTCGTAGTGTAGGTTCTGCCCTGGACAAGAGCAGCAGGCCAAAGGGGTAAGTGGGAATGAAATCAAGCCTCAAAGCCAGTGCCCAACCATATGCCTGGTGAGGGATTGTCTCTACCTAGAGAGGATGGGGCTCTTTTCAGTTTTACAAAGGCATCATCTGAGTTGATCTTGGGCCAAAAGCAACATTTGAGGTGGTGCTTAAAGAATGAGTAGGAATAAGCCAGGCAGAATTCTGAGTGGTAAACTTGTCATAAGTCATGGAAGCAGCTGGCATGTCTGGGGAAGGATGAGTTTAGTGGTTTAGATTTTATCTATAGGGGTTAGAGAATTAACAGTACTTTTAATCATGGGAGCACTTTAATTCATGGGAAGTCAACTCTCTCAGGAGTGTCGGGTAAATGGCAGGGGGAACAGGAAAAACCCAGAGGAGAGGAGATGGTAGCCTTTACTATGACAGCAAGGATGGGATGGAGAAAAGGTCAAGGAACCGGCAAAGAGGTTGTGAAGGTGATGAAAGGGCCAGCGTTGACTTCAAGGTTTTAACTCTGGTTACCAGGGAAAGACGTTTAGACTGGTTGGGGTGGGAAGGGTAGGTGTGCTAATGGGCACAGTTGTAAACACAGGAAGTGAAGGGTCTGGTAGGTGGTAAGAAAGAGGCAGAGGCTGTAAAGGCAGTGTTGTAAAGCACCAGCACATGTGATGTGTAGTTAAAGCCATGGGCGTGAATAGGATCCCCTGGAGAGAGCGTGTAGTGAGAAGAAAAGAACCTGGAATACTAGCTGGCAATTAGCAAGGCACTGGTGACTGTAGTGAGAACAGTCTGAGTAGAGTACTAGGGATTAAAGTCACATTATAGTAGACTGAAGATTAAATAAGCAAGATTAAATAAGCATTTCAGGATACAGTGGTTTTCATCCCCAGTTACACATTAGAATAATTACCTGTGAAGGTGTTTTAAAAATGGTCAGTGCCTGGGTCCCACCTCTCAATATTCTGAGTTAATTGGTCTTGTGTCAGGCCCAGAAATAAGTATTTTTTTGAAAATCTTCACAGATAATGTTAATGGAGAGTCAGAATTAAGAACCACTGCTCTTGACTATTTTAAAAATTATAAATAAACCCCTATAGCTAGCAAGTATATAAGATGCTTAAAATCACAGGGAATCAAAGAAGTACAAAATTTTTCAAAGATGAAGAATCTTGGTGTTCTATTAAACTGGCAACAATTAGAAAGCCGAACAATGCTTTTAGTGTTATTATTCAGTAGAGCACAGCAGCTCTTACACACCACTGACAGGCAGGTAGACTGGCATAACCATCCCAGAGAGCAGCTTTGCCAAATTCACTCTTTTACCTAAGAGTTCCACCACTGGATATGCATCCCAGGGAAATCCTCCCACAGGGCCATAAGGGAACTTGCACTAGCATATTCCATTGCAGGCTTGTATACAGTGGGAAGAATTGGGGTAATCTGAATGGCCTTCACTGTGAGAGTGGGTTGGGTAAAATGGGGTGGATATACCCCATCAGAAGCATGGATTAGATACATAAAATAGTAACGTGTATACCTATGTAACAAACCTACACGTTCTGCACATATATCCCAGAACTTAAAGTATAATAAAAAATAATAATAAATCAAGCTCAGTAAAATCTCAAGGGAATTTCAAAGTTTCCTTATGTATAGCACATTTTGGGAATAAAAGGGGAAAATCTATTAGATTTTTAAATAAATTCATTAACAAAAAAATAGTAACATGGATGGATCTTAAAAACATAATGCTAATTTAAAACATAGCAAACAATAAGAAACATAATATCACATAAAAAAACACACAAAACAATGACAATATATGTTTTGGAAAAACACATTGAAATAAAAATCTAGACACTACATCACTGACACATAAGAAGAAAAGGAAGCACTGATGAGAGGGAAGACATTTCATTTAAAAAGTGTGAATCCAAGAATGGATGAGATAAGAGGGAGGCTAAAAGAAAAAGAGTGGTCAAGAGAAAGGGGTGTATATGCACACACATGCTTGTGTGTGTGTGTGTGTGTGTTTTAATAGAAGGAAGAGTTGTAAGTGTGCGGATGCAATGAAGACTCCAATGCACTTCTCCCTCTTATTTATTCACAGTATTGGTAATAGCTGAGAGAGGTGTCCAAGTAGTATTCCTCTCTTTGTTCTTCCCCGATCTTAAATTCATTTGATTTTTTCTCATTACTAAAGCAGTATGTGTTACAGATATACCAGAAAACTGACAAGCAAAAAAGAAAGATACATGAACCCACCCACCCAGAGACAGCATCTAGATCCTTTCCTATGAATATGCTGCAAAGTTACATTTTGTAACCTGAATGTATTTTTTGCTGAGCAGTGCTTTTTGAGCTTCTTCTGTGTCATTAGAAGACATTTGTGCAACTTCATCTTAAATGGCTGCATAGTGTCTGATGATACAGATACACGATTATTAATGTCCACCTCCCTTCTTCTGGACATCAGTTATTTTTGGTTTTGCCACCTCAAGTGCTGCAATAAGCAAACATGAGCTACCTACCTTTGAAGACAACTTCCTATCTTTCATTTGGCTCATTTTTCAAAAGAGATTTAAGGATTGGATTTGAAATCGTCTCATGAAGTAAAATTCACTCGGCATTACCCAAGTCAGGGCACCAGTTCCCTTTGGAACTGTTCTAGGGCCAGTCAGGAATGTGAATGAAGGAACAGAGCCATTCCCCACGGTCTGGACACAATGTAGGTGCTTGTCACTGTGCCAAAGTGCAAAATGGGCTCCTTGGTTTCTGTACTTTAATCAATGATGCACAATTAAATCCCACAAATTGTTAAGTGAGCGCATATGGAATGTGTACATTACCTCACATGTGATTGATTATTCCATGGGCAGGTGGTGAAATAGGACACACTGAGCTTTTAGAAAATTGCAAGAAATCACTGTTTATGCTACAGGACCAAAGTAGGTTCTTACATTTATACCCAGTGCCACAGTAGTTAGCAGAACAAGCAAGTCCCAGGGAAAGCACAGTGTGTTTTTCTGAGTACTTCCTACCCTGCAAAATCCCCCCAAACCAGTAGATTTGGAGATTTAATTTAATCCTTCCAGTTGGTAGGTTTAAGCCTGAGAAATCCAGTGCCAGTGTTTCTCCAGGCTTTGATGGTTAGGAACTGGCCAGGCAGCTCTGCAGCCAGCTTGTCAAGGCCCTGAAGAAGTAGCCTGGCTATTGGAGACAGGTCTCTTCATAGCAGGAATCCACTAACATTTCCAGATCATTAGTACAGCAATTGTTATGTACAGTAGCAGAAGAAATGCACTCTGTCTTTTCGAACCAGTCCTTTGTTGTCAAGAAGCTCTGAATAGTCAGAGCTGTTTCCAGGGCCTTTTTGCAGCTCTTGAATGTATTCTCCAGCCTATGTATATATTAACATATCACCATGTCCCAAAGAATTCGCACTGCGCAGCGCTGTGCTTTTGGCAGACAAGGAAAGCCTTCACATGAGTTACAGTTGATAGGGCAAGGGAAGCTCAGGGCTTACAAAAATCCATACAGTGGCCCTGCTTAAAAATAGCAGTGTAGGCCATAGCTTGATGTTTTGACAGTTTATATCAGCAGTTTTCTCAGCTGATATATTGATTGCAGTTTGGACTTCAGTCCTACTGATCTAATAAAACATCACCATCATAACAGAGAAAGTAAAAGGATCTTTTGTGGTCCCAGCCACTTGGCAAAGTAGCTTTATAGAGTTACTGTAAAGCTAGCTTTACTGTAATATGTGAAATGAAGCAACGTTGGACAAGTTGACTATATTATAATTTTTTCATCTATGAATGTAATGTATTAGCACTATCCTATATAGTTTTACAAATAGGCATTTGCTCAAAGGAATATAATGATGCCTTCACAAATATGAAAACAAGTTTTGTGCATCAGTATCACAAACAACCTAAAGTGTGTCAAAACTGCAATGCCCTTGATACTTAGTGCGGAAAACACACAAGGTCAACTGAGGTCTGAATTAAGCTTCAAGACTTGTAAACATCTTCTACTCATAATTTTGAATGGGTATTGTGGATATTTTTAAATCACCTGACCTTCAATCCTACTTATGCTAAATATCCTTTAATTTCACAGCAATTGCTAACCATCCAGGAGGAGTTAAACAACAAAAAGTCAGAATTGGAACAAGCAAAGGAAGAGCAGTCCCATACACAAGCGTTACTAAAAGTCCTGCAGGAACAAGTAAGTGAATGAAACAGCTCTGATTTATGAATCAGTCCAAACACCCCATTGCATACCTCCCTTGTGCGTCACCCGTGCAAACATTTACTGAAAGTAATCTGCAGTACAATTAGTCTGAACCCTGTCAAACTTCCTAGCAGCTTTGCTATGCGGAATTTATAACCTCATTCCCAGCATCGCTATCCTCACTCCTGTACTTGTTTAGATTGCCCAAGCCTGCCAGTGTTGTGTGAAAGTTTCTTCCAGAAGACAATCAAATTTCGATAAAGTTTCAAAATACTGGCAATGAGGTATGTTTCAAAGTAAGCAGCTGGTTTCCTCTTAAGTCTAACAGTGAGGAAAATGAGTTCAGCATAACCCATGAGACTCCTGCAGACACATGAACAAGGACTGATTCATAGCAACATTTAAAAAGTATCTTCCCTGTGCATCAGGGTACTTATCTAACCATGGTGAGCAACAGACCTTTTATATGAAGTTTGTAAACCTGATCATTTCATTCTGGCTTTCTTTGATACAAAAGTGTGGCCTGACATTGATAAGTGGATTGGAAAGTATTGTCTTACAGCAGGGTAAGATGGAACACTCGGCAGGCAGCAGAGTGAAATCTAAGCCCACTATCTACATGAGAGGAGCCAGGAGAGCTCTTGAAATGCCTTCCTATTTCTGGCCTTCACTTGCTGCCAACAATGTATGAATGGTAATTTGAAGGAAAAAGTTGCATACAGTTACCCCAACCCTCTGTGAGTAATCAAATGCAGATTGTTTTAAATTTTTCATACACATAATCGTTTTATATTGTATAAATAACCTTACACTGTATACATAACTTCAAAGGTGACATTTGAGAAAATATAAAGTCAGCTCTGTGTCACTTTATGAGTGATTTTTTTTTAATGGTTTGGGGTCCAGAAAATATCTTTTTAGTTATTTTCTCCCAAAGGTATGAGTGATTTGTGAGAGAAAAGTACAGATATTAGTTTATAAACCTTTATAGCTTTGGAAGAAAATGCTTTATAAAACTAATAATTATCTTTATATGATGAATATAGATTCAGTAACTTGTACTGAGGCTGACTCTGTATGATTTCAGATATAGTAGATTGAAATGAAAAATCTAGTTGACTGAATTCACAATGACCTGCAGTTGAGGAGACCTGAAATCACTGTGCTTTCCACTGTTATATTATGAAAAGACTCCCAGCAAAGTGGAACTGAGTTGGTCCAAATTTGCTCCAAATCAACCAGATATAGCTCTGAGCTTTTGTTGTTTTCTGCTCTCTCACCCCGATTTTTTTTCTTTTAGATAGCTTTGACTAGAGTGGGGAGGGGTGAATTTCTCTTTTCTCTAAATGACTCAAATCCTTTATTTTGAAGTCCAAACCCTAGTCATAAAAATAGATTCTGAGTTTTGCTGAAAGTATTGATATATCTTGTTGTGGCATGCATTTTTAAAGAGCAGAGCACACACAATTATGGGTGAAACATCACACTTCACTCTCCATTATTTTAAAAAAAAGAGAACGTGAAGAAGATTCGAAACAGCTAAAATCATTAAAGACCTAGAAAATACAATTGAGAAGGAAGAATTTTAAATCTGCAATATTAATTTCAATGGGATAGCTCTTTACAAGCACAGATACCAAGAATCTTTAAGCCTGACACCAAATGTTTTTGGGTGCTGGTGCCATTACCAAGCTGTTTGTCCAAGAGCCCCTCACCTGCTACCCCTTGGTGGTTCTTGCAAAAGGGGCCATGCAGGGTACAGGTTTCTTTCCATGTCCCTGTACCCACACACAGATGTGCACTGATGACACCTCTCACCTCCACTGACCACTGCCTTTGAGGCTTTCTTTGGATTTGTGTAGAGTAACTCTATGCGTAAACAGTTTCAGTGCCCACATAGATGTGGCCTAAACAAATGGACACATGCAGGGAAAGATACACCCTGCTCTGCAGATTTGGAATGTTGCTATTCACAGGATTGCCCCGTGCTGGGAATCCTGACAAGAAAGGATAGGTCCTGAGGGCAGACCTTTCCCACCCTCAGGCCCCAGCCCCTCCAGGGAAGGCCACGCTAACCCCTAAGCTCTCAGTCTTCCCATTTGCGAAGATGCAGCTTTTCTAGGTCCCTCCAGGCCCCACTGACTCCTGCCTTTCATCTCATTTACAATGAGGATAGCTTCCTACCTCTGGAGCTTGTTCACAAACCTCAGTTTCATCAGACAGGATGTTCAGCCCTACCTGGGGGAGAGTAGCAGCTAAAGGAGAGAAGAACAGGGAGCAGAGAGAAGAACAAAGCAGCAGCTGTCCTGGAGCTGCAGCTCGAGGAAGGAGAGGGGTGGGCTGCAGCGGGGAGGGGTTTCCTCCACGGTTCTGGCAATGGAGCACAGCGGAGTGAACAATGCCAGGAGACAGGGAGTGAGGGGAGAATAAACAGGAGCAGAAAAAGCGAGAGCAGAGTTAGAGGACATCATGGAATGGGAAGAATGGAGTTTATTTAAAAGAGAGGAGAGCAACTGGCACATTTATGTTGGTAAACACGTAAAGGTGGAACAGACATTCACAAAATAGTCCTCTACTTCTGCTGAAAAAGAACAAGACCTTCTGAGCTAACCCCACTCGAACTCATGGGAGCACAAGCTACAGGACCTAAGGTGGGATGAGCAGAGAGGTTGATGAAGATGAGGGATACCTACAATAAGAAACCCTCAGCTAGGAAAAGAGTGAGGGGATTTTAAAAAGTCCTTTTGTGTCCTGTGATAATAGACAGTATTCCTATTATTGTGGCACACCTCTGCCTTGTCATATATGCCATACATCGCCCATGCTCCCCTGTGTCTGTTGTGTGTAGAACCATCAATGATGTTGCCCTAGAGAACAGTGGGCAGACTTTTTTCTTAAGTGGGAGTGATATGGAAATGAGCCAAAGAGCCTTTGGTCCATAATCAACTACCTGATCCTCAATTTCTTCATGTTACCATTCCTTTGGCAAAACCCCTTCTTTGGCATGGAGCGGGTAGGGCTTTTTTTTGCTGGGAGTTTAAGACTGGCCTTAAAAAACTAAAGAAGCTTTCATTTTAATATGCACAAGTAGCCAGAAGGAACCAATGTTATGAATCAAACACATTGGTGGTATATGTGCATTGATTTTCTTTCAAATCTTAAGTATTTTTTCCTACCATGAATACTTTGTATTAGGTATAAAAAAGATAATGGAGGAGATGCTGCTTTCCTAAGTCAGGAAAAAATACTGGCAAAACAGTTGCAAGCCAGCTCACCCTCTTCCTTTGCCGTCTGATTCTAAATGTCTGTTTTGCGTCAGGATAGGATAAAATGACAATTAAAGGTTTCCTGAAACCTCCTTATAACTGATTACTCCTAAGCCTCTGAGAAAGAGAAATGTTTTCAAATGTTCACTGCTAAAAATCTCATTAGAGAAATATAATTTCTTCTAATGCCTCAGCGGCCAAGGAGATGTCATCCAAACTCTTTCTCTACCAAAGAAGCAACCGTCTTTAGTCCTCCAGAGATGTCAGTCATTCAAATATATTCTCAAGGAGGACCTGTCTGGTAGCACAGTAGCATGTTAAAAGCAGCTGAAAATGCATCATTCACGAATAATCGTTAATATAACATCATTTTGCTGGTGGCAACTTGCAAACACTGCAGGGTTTAAATTAATAGCAATCCAACTAGGAAATGAAATCATTTATTATTCTTAAGAACCAATTTTATACATTTTATGCCTATGGAACTGCTTTCTAATCTTATTATTTAAAAAATAATGACCAAGACCCATTTATTCTTTTGCCAGGCATCAAACTTCATAAAATATTGGTCTCAAACTGGCTCCAATAAGGCTCATTAGAAATATGTGCTCCATCTGTTTTATCTCATTGGAAGTTTTATAAAATGCAACCTCAGATAAATCAGTTAACAAGATGATATACTTAAGAGATTTGCTTGCTTATTCATTTTTTTGTTTTGTGTTGTTTTTCCTTAAAATTTGCAGTTAAAAGGTACCAAGGAATTGGTCGAGACCAATGGCCACAGCCATGAGGATTCAAATGTAGGTACCACAAACCTGGTATTTGTTCTTCTTGCTTGACGTTGGTTGAACACATGGGGATGTAGCACTTTATCTACCACATAAAGGAAATCAGAAGCTCTGCCTGTCAGCAGCTTAAGATTAATATATGGGTTTGGCAAGAAAATGTGATTGACAGGCACTGCTATTGTCAGCCTAGTTTATCAAATGTCAATTTAGAAGTATGTGAGCTAATCCCCACCATCAAAAATTCTAATTTCAGTGAGTCTGTTTGAGCTCTTTGTATTTCCAAAACTATAACTGATGATATACTGGGAGGGAAATAGCAAGAGACCCGACAGGGTAATCAGTTGCGCATTGCATGTATATTCATTAAGTTTGCCTGCCAGCGAAGGTGGTACCTAAATGACTGACATGCTGAAAAGGTCTCAGAGAAAACCCCTTCTCTCAGAATAGCCCTTGAAATGTACTCCTTCTCTGTTCCTCACCCAGAACAGTAGCACAGTGCATCCATCTTCTTGATAAAGAATAATGTGTGATGGTACAAGATCCCAGTTACACCGTGACTTCCTCTCTTAGTGTTCCTTGAATATCCAATTGTCAAAAAGTAAACAAGTGTTCTTTTTGCCTTGAAAGTTCTTTAGTCTCAGATGGAATATTATACCCTGTAGATCATTGCCTCTCCATATGTTTGATGATTTTGTCTTTTTTAAATCTCTCTGATATCTGTATTTGATTATCCTCATCAAAGAAAATGCTTACTAAGCAGTTCTTTTCACTGAACACAGAATTAGACATGATAATGAATGCCTGATTACACTAGAGCTAGGAGAAATTATATATTTCTTGTTCACTCTTGTTTTAATTATATACAACAGAGAGCCTAATATTCAGAGTATCAAAAAAATCCCACTTAATCATTATTGTTCCTACCCAGCAGATATTTAACATATGATGTTTATTGAGGACTTGTGTGCTCATAGGACTCTGCTAAGTTCTAGGGGAACAGAAATGGGGGTTACAAAGAAATATAAGACTAGTTGTCTGCCCTCGGGGAACTTACAACTGAGTTAAGGAATTAAGAAACACATGACAAGATACAGGACATGATAAGTGTACAGGAAGTTGAGGCAGCTATGATGTGATGTAGTTTGAAATCCAGACTTTGCTGCTTATTAAATGTATCAGCCTGACAAGTTACTTAACCTCTCTGAGCTTCCTTTTTCTCACTTGTAAAAAGAATGGCAAAGCCTATCTCAAAAGCATGTCATAATATTGTAATGAGCTAAGGCCTGGGAAAACCTTAAGGTGTTACACGTATGGTTTCTTTGTGCTAGATAATCAAGAAAGGTTTCCTGGATCTGTGGGACTTGGGTTTGGTTTTGGGGAGTGAATAGGATTGAGAAAGTAGAAAGCCAAAGGAGGAAGCCATTCATACAGAGCTCCCCATAGGCAATGTTGTGAGACATAGTTTATCTTTCCACTCTCATATTCATGACCCTCATCCTTACCCTAAAACCCTTCTTCAGCACCCTGTCTTCCAGGGACACAAGGCTGCCACATTCTCAACCAAAACCTTCATATCCACTCCACACACAGCCAGTCCCTCTGTGGCTTCCAGGGAAGCTGCTGTCTGTTCCAATAAGCCAGACAAAGTGGCAGTAGGCCTCAGTTTCCTGGTTTGTAAAATGGGGATAACTCCTACCTTGCCTTCCTTAAGGCTTATTGTGAGAAGCAAATGAGAGAATGTATGTGGAAGTACTTGTAATTGTGAGGTTCTAGCTAAGATGTTTTGATTATAAATTGATCTGCTGATTGAATTAGATGATACATGTATAGACAGGCCTAACACAGTATCTAGCCCATAGGCCCTTTTTGAAAAATTTTAAAAGTCACTTATTATTCAATGGAAAAAGTAAAGTGAGATAATCTTCGAGGTCTTTGTCCCTTCTACAGGAAAGTTTTCAGCTTTTTTAAGATACCTGTCTAGAGTCTATGACGTAGGCTTTGTTATCAACTCAAAGCAATGACTGTTGAGAGATGGGGTTCTGGCTCAGTAGGAAGGAAGAGCAGCACCTTGACCTAGGGGGTGGGGGAGATATTTGTGAAGTAACAGAACCTGACAGTCCTTGCCAGTCACTGCGGGTGGCCACCTCCCTCCCTAGGCAGAGGGCTGGGCTAATCTTTACAATCACTGCCTGTTTTATCAGGGGTTTCCCAGGTGGTGGATTACTTACTCACCCTCTTTTCTGTCTGAACTTTGTCTCCTTTTGGAAGTTTCCCCAGTACCTCCACTAGGGTATGTGAAAGAAAAGAATTAATCATCAATTATTTTGCCCTCACATTAGGAGCACTGGCAATATTTTGCAAATCTATTCTTAAATGTCTGAAATGAAGTCTACGTCTCATCTGAAGTTGCCACCAGCCTTGTGGTGGTCAAAAGAGACGAGGCCTTCAGACCCGACTGAGAGGGTTTGAATCCATTTTGATCACTGAGTAGCCATGTGACTGAGACAAATTATTTCTGAACTTCACCTTCCTCATTTGTGTGTTAAATGAAACCATGTACATTAACACCAAGCCTAGAGTACATACTCAACAAGTATTAATTCTCTCTTCATGCATCAATAGTATTTAATATAGGCTGGGTGTGGAGGTTCATGTCTGTATTCCCAGCACTTTGGGAGGCCGAGGTGGGCGGATCTCTTGAGCCTAGGAGTTCAAGACCAGACTGGGCAACATGGCGCACCTGTAGTCCCAGCTACTTGGGAGGCTGAAGCAGGAGGATCACTTGAGCCCAGGAGGCAGAGGTTGCAGTGAGCCGAGATCACACCACTGCACTCCAACGTAGGTGACAGAGCGAGACCCTGTCTCAACAAATAACAAAGTATTTAATATAGCAGACAGGACTTTTGGCAGGATGAATTTTAAGGCAGAACACAAGGTTTAAAGCCTCTGGACCAAAGGCTATTGTCTGAGACAAATAAATTATTTTTCATTATAATTATTTATATCTGGGGGCAGGAATTTCATGCATTATCATTTATTAATAACAATTATACAGTGGACTGGTGCCAACTTAGCTGGGTGTTCTTGTGAGAGCTGACAATTGTGTTTTTAAAACCACTATGTTTTATTATAAAAGTAAAAAGCAAAAGTATGTTTGAAGCTTGCAAATTATAGAAAGAAAAGAATATAGGGGTAAGGAAAAAAAATCTTGGTATCTCATTACTCAGAGATAACCACCATTAACGCTTTATTTTAGTTTTTTCCAGTCATGTATATGACCAGAGGGAAAAGCCCATAAATAAATGAATAAATAAATACTATCATCTTGTCTTCAGTTTTGTACCTTTTTGATTTTTCATTATATTATTATAAATATTTTTCTTGTCACCAAATGTTCCTCAAAGACATGATTTTTTTTTTATTATACTTTAAGTTTTAGGGTACATGTGCACATTGTGCAGGTTAGTTACATATGTATACATGTGCCATGCTGGTGCGCTGCACCCACTAACTCGTCATCTAGCCTTAGGTATATCTCCCAATGCTATCCCTCCCCCCTCCCCCCACCCCACAACAGTCCCCAGAGTGTGATATTCCCCTTCCTGTGTCCATGTGATCTCATTGTTCAATTCCCATCTATGAGTGAGAATATGCAGTGTTTGGTTTTTTGTTCTTGTGATAGTTTACTGAGAATGATGATTTCCAATTTCATCCATGTCCCTACAAAGGACATGAACTCATCATTTTTTATGGCTGCATAGTATTCCATGGTGTATATGTGCCACATTTTCTTAATCCAGTCTATCGTTGTTGGACATTTGGGTTGGTTCCAAGTCAAAGACATGATTTTTAACGGCTGTATAATGTAGATGTGAAATAATTGAACCACACGCCTGTGTGTCAGGCATTTAACTTCCTGTTTTTGCTATTATAAATCTGTAATTAACATATCCATAAATCTTGGTTGCATCTCATATTTGTTTCTGGGGGATTCTGTATATTAATAGCTGTGTGGTGGAGTCTGACAGGGAGCTTCAAACTTCTGGAATTGCCTGGCATTCAGAATGTTGGTGCAGCTGCTGCACCCTTATAGTATCTATTAGTCGTCCTGAAGGAATCCACTAAAGGATACGTAGAGTCTTGTATTTCCTCATTTGTCTTAGTCTCAAGACTCATCTAGCTCATGGTCTGTTAGTATTACTTTTCTGTTGTTTTTACGTTCTACTGTGTACCACCAGGATCTGACCAACACATTGTCCAGCATGCTTGAGGTCTCAAAACAGACACACCCTTAAAAAGCCCAACCCTTGCCCCTTATCACAAGATCATCTGCGAATGCATGCCCAGGAGAAGTTTTCTGAAAGCAGATTTAAAACTGTTAGGGCCAGAAACTGACGTCAACTGCAAAGGCCTTGTTCTCCAAGAGGACTTGTGCAGTTCACGCTCATGCCTGCTGGTTGTTTTCTCTTTGTAGTTGGAACTGGATATATTAACGACAGATAGGCAAGTCAACCATTTAAGTGTAACCAAATTTAAAACTAACCTTTATTCCAGTTTCTTTAAGGATTTCAGTTGTTTCAGACCCAATTTTCTTTCCTGGAAAGCAAACCTATAAATTTTCTTTTCATCTCTGTCTCTGAGCTATCTCCACGTTCCTAGGACTGCTGAATAACCTGGTCCCTGGTAATTATGTATAACAGATATCAACATCTTAAATTGTAAATATATATGTATATATATCATGTTCTTATCTTGCATCTTTTTTGATGACCTTCTTCCCAGCAGGATCGCCACCTATGATCCTTGCATGTGTGTGTCTGGTGGAGGGGAAGGATGAGGAGGGAGAACTGTAGGATCAGGTAGGAGGAATGAAATGCAGTGACAGCTTCAGCCAGCAATGTTTAAAACAATTTGATCTAAAAGCTTTCCATGAATTTTCTCTCCTCCTGTCCTTGTTTCTGTTATAGTAAAGTTGCTACCTCACATTCCTCTATTTGCTCAATTCACACTCCCACACTGGGGTTAAAGAAATCATTTGCAATTTGTAAAGAGGTTTAATTGGTGATGCTGAAGGTTGCCACTGTCAAACAGAACACCTTCCCATTCACCAGTGAAACAAAAACACAAAAGAAAAAAGACTTTTCAGTTTTTCACGTCACCTCCTTAAGAAAGTAAATCCTCAGAGCTGTCTTTAAGTCTGTCAGAGTAAAGACGTTAGGAGCGTATGGAAGAGATATGTGCAAAGAACATTCTTCAAGTTTAGTACAGCACAGCAGAAGGCTATCATTAACCATGTATTTTAATGATGTATGTGAGGGAACCTCTGCATGTGCTGAGTCCTCTGCTCAGTTTCTGAATGTAGCTTCCACCCTTTAGGCAGGGAGGCGTGAGAGAGAATACATACTGATGTACCAAACAAGGCAAAAAAGAAAAAGACAACCTGTACGAAAGAATGGGACCGTATCTTCTAAAGGTAAAAAACAACTCAGGCTGGATTCTTTCTTCCCAGAACTTGCTGCTTGGTCTTAGGGGCCCCGATCTTGAACTGGGAGAGGAGCAGACAAAGCAGAAAGGGACAAATATAAGGTTTCACACCTTCCTCACCCCAACCCACAGCTCTATCAAAAGGAAAATAAGGCCGGGCACGGTGGCTCACACCTGTAATCCCAGCACTTTGGGAGGCCGAGGTGGGTGGATCACGAGGTCAGGAGTTTAAGACTAGCCTGGCCAAGATGGTGAAACCCTGTCTCTACTAAAAATACAAAAATTAGCTGGGCATAGTGGCACATGCCTGTAAATCCCAGCTACTCGGGAGGCTGAGGTAGGAGAATTGCTTGAACTGGGACTCACGAGGCAGAGGTAGCAGTAAGCCGAGATCGCACCACTGCACTCCAGCCTGGGCTACAGCAAGACTCTGTCTCAAAGAAAAAAAGAAGGAAAATGAGCCCAGACCCACCAGGACTAAGCCCAGCAAGCACTAGCTTGGGACCAAAGGTGTTGCAGCTCTTGCATCCTGCTCCATATGTTTCTCCTTCCAGCCTTCCTCCTTGCTGCCCTTGACCTGTACAGAGACCTCATTTGTGTCCCCACACAGCCTGACATCACTTTCTACTTGGTACACCCACAAACATTCATTGAGGGAGGCAGCAGAGTGTAGAGGTTAAGAACAGATCTGGACATGAAGCAGCCCAGTTTCAATCTGAGTGACCCTAAGCCATACACTGAACCCCTGCACTTCCATTTTGTTCACCTCCAAAATTAAGGTAATAACCATACCTACCTCATAGGGTACTGTGAGCCTTGCTTTGCAGTGCTGATGTGATCAGCATGTGTTAGACATTACTGTTACCCAGCCTTGGACACACTGGGCACTGGGCAAGGTTTTGGAGACCCAGTGATGAGTAATAAAGATGGGATTTCTGCCCCCACATGGAGCTGACTCCATGTCCTCATGCCTTTCACTTACCAAAACCTGCTAGTCCTGTTTCATTCCATCAGGCCTCATTCTCTGCCTGTAGGTCAGTATCACAGTGGGAATGATGAGCTTGAAGTAATTTTATTTGTATTTTTCCAGCAATCCTCTGGAGACGAGACCTTTTTTGGAAGGACTGGCTCCATGGTAGGCTTGGGAGGAGAGTCTAGTAGGAGTGGGGCACAATGAGTGGTACAGAGAACTTTACGGCCTCCAGAAAAGCTCAACTGGAAAATCAGGAGCCACTTTGTCTTCCCTTTAGAGAGGGATGGGCCCATATCTGTAGATGTCTGAGGTCACCTTTGCTCTGCAGATGCCTGAAGTCAAGAAGTTGGATTTTTCGTGGACTAATATTTCCTTTACCCTATTGAATATATTACCCTGTCCACATATTAAATGCTCATACCCAGAACTTGCTCTTCTCCCCCAGTTATAGCCCTGTAACATTATTGCTTTTCTCCTGCCAATGTTTCCTTCCCCACCTCTAACCCTGCTCTCCCTCTACAACCCCTGCCCCTATGCAGCTGCCTTCTTCCAGCTGTTTCACCACATTTTCTGCTGTGAATTAACTGTATGTGCTGCAATTCACTGTGAAACCCATAGTTCCAACTGAAAAAATCCACACATGTCCCAACCCAGCACCCTTGAAAAGGTCAATGATTGCAAAGGTACCTTGTTAGGACACCCCCATCCCAGCATGTACAGAGCTCCAAGGAAGGATTAGAGAGGGAACTGCTGTCAAAAACAGACAGAAGCTGGCTCACGGTGAATGTTCTTGTATCCAGTCAAGGCTCAGAGAAGTTTCCTTCCCAGACACCTCAATGCCAGCTGACTATGTTTCCACTGCTGGAGGCTGGGGCTAGAAGTTTGTCCTTTTTATCAGGGCCAGAGTTGGTGGTACCTGCTTGGTCATTAGTGAATTTGGAGCATGTAACAGGATTAGCAAGTTTAATAAAGCTGACAGATTGAGTTTAGAGAAGTGAAAATACCTTCTTCCTCCAGGCCAGGTTAGAGAAAATCAGGCAAAGGAAACAAATTTCAGTGCTGTGTGAAATGGTCTGACATGGACATGGATACCTGTATAGATAAAACCAAGATCTGAACAAAAGTTACCCATTTTGGAGACAGAATGTCCTCCCCCAGAAAGGTTCATGATAATCCTACCAGAGATAAATGCAAAAGCAATTGTTTTGAATGGAGATTGGTAACTTTTATAGAGCCAATATACATACATATAAATATGCATAAATACTGTTATCCCTAAGTACCATTTTCTTTTTGTGGAAAATGTAGAAATGCAGAAAAAATAAAAAGATAACCATTTGCCATCTCACCACTCACAAATCAGTTTCCACTTCTTTGTATTTCCATTATCTTTGTTTATGTGCATGTATATACATTTTTATCAAATTTATAGCATATCATATGGACAATTTTACAACCTACATTTTTCTTTATCAATAATGAGCATTTGCCCATGTTATTAAATAGGTTTTTAAAATGTATTTTATCAGTGCATAATAGATGTACGTATTTTCAGGTACCTGTGATATTTTCATATATTCATATAATGTATAATGATCAAATCAGGACAATTGGATATCATCTGCCTTAAACACTTTTCTTTATTCTATGAACACTCAAATTCTTCTCTTTTAGCTATGTTGAAATATACAATAGATTACTGTTAACTCTTGTCAACCTACTGAACTATCACACTCTATCCTATCTAAGTGTATTCCTGCACCCAATAATCAACCTCTCTTCATCCCCAACCCTAACCCTGCCTGGACTCTGGCAACCAGTCTACTCTCTAACTCCATGAGATCCACTTTTTTAGCTCCCGCATACGAGTGAGAACACGTGGTGTCTAACTTCCTATGTCTGGGTTATTTCACTTTACGTAATCACCTCCAGTTTCATTCACGTTGCTGCAAATGACAGGATTCCATTCTCTGTATGGCTAAATAGTATTCCATTGTGTGTATATATATATATCACAGTTTCTTTATCCATTCATCTGACGATGGACACTAGGTTGATTCTTTATTTTGACTATTGTGAATAGTACTGCAATATATCAATACATCTCTTTGGTATATTGATTTTCTTTCTTTTGAATATATACCCAGTAATGGGATTGCTGGATCATATGGTAGCTCTATTTTTACTTTTCTGAAGAAACTCCATACTGTTTTCTACAACAGCTGTAGTAATTTGCATTCCCACTAACAGCGTGCTAGGGTTCCCCTTTCTTCAAATCCTTACTGCCATCCATTATTTTTTGTCTTTTTGATAAAAGCCATTTTAACTGAGGTGAGATGACATCTCACTGTGGTTTTGATTTGCATTTCCCTGATAATTAGTGATGTTCATCTTTTTTTTTCCATAAAACTGTTGGCCATTTGTATGTCCTCTTTTAAGAAATGTCTGTTCAGATATTTTGCCTATTTTTAATCAGATTATTTGTCTTTTTGCTATTGAGTTCCTTATGTTTTAATTCCTTATATTACGGTTCTTAATCACTTGTCAGATGGAGAGTTTGCAAATATTTTCTCCCATTCTGTAGGTTGTCTCTTCAGTTTGTTGATTGTTTCCCTTTCTGTGCAAATACTTTTTAGCTTGATGTAATTCCATTTGTCTATTTTTGCTTCTGCTGCCTGTGCTTTTGAGGTTTTCCTCAAAAAATCTTTGCGTAGACCAGTGTCCTGGAGCATTTCCTCAATGTTTTCTCCTAGTAGTTTCATACTTTCTGGTCTTACATTTACGTATTTAATCCATTTTGACTTGATTTTCATACATGGTGAGAGAGAGGGGTCTAGTTTCATTCTTCTGCATACTGTTTTCCTAGCACCACTTATTGAAAAGACTGTCCTTTCCCCAATCTATGTTTTTGACACCTTTGTTGAAAATCAGTTGGCTATAAATGCATGGATTTATTTCTAGGTTCTCTACTCTTAACAGTCTTATGTGTTTGTTTTTATGCTAGTAGCATGCTGTTTTGGTTACTGTGGCTTCATAGTATTTTTCTGTTTCTATGAAGAATGTCACTGGTATCTTGATAGCGATTGCATTGAATCTGTAAATTGCTTCGGGTAGTATTGACCTTTTTAACAATATCACTTCTTCCAATCCATAGGCATGGAATATCTTTCCATTTTTTTGTGTAATCTTCAATTTCTTCATCAGTCTTTCATAATTGTCTAGAGATCTTTTACTTCTTCACTTAAACTTATTCCTAGGCATTTTACATTTTTTTAGCTATTGTAAATGAGTTTTCTTGATTTCTTTTTCAGATTGTTTGCTGTTGGCATATATAAATACTACTGATTTCTGTACATTGACTTTGTATCCTGCAGCTTTACTGAATTCATCAGTTCTACCAGTTTTTTGGCCGAGTCATTAGGGTTTTCTAAATATAAGATCATGTCATCTGTGAACAAGGCTAATTTGGCTTCTTCCATCCAATTTGGATGCTCTTTCTTTCACTTACCTAATTGCTCTGGCTAGGACTTCCAGTATTGAGTAAAAGTGGTAAAATGGGTATTCTCATCTTTTTCCAGATATTAGAGGAAAAACATTCCGTTTTTCCCTATCTTGTATGATGTTAACTGTGTTTGTCATATATGGTCATTATTATTTTGATGTATGTTCCTTCTATACCTGGTCTGTTGAGAGTTTTTATCATGAAGAGATGTTGAATTTTCCCAAATGCTTTTTCACCATCTATGAAATCATCATATGGTTTCCATTCTTGGTTCTGTTAATGTGATGTACCACTTTATTATTTGCATATGTTAAACCATCCTTGAATCTCTGGGATGAATCCCACTTGGTCATGGTGAATGGTCTTTTTAATTTGTTGCTGAATTAGGTTTGCTGGTATTTTGTTGAGGATTTTTTGCATCTATGTTTATCATGAATATTGGCCTGTGGTTTTTTTAATAGTTTCAATTGGATTACTATTTGTTCTTCTTTTTTAATATGTGGTAGAATTCAGCAGTGAAACCATCAGGTTCTGAACTTTTCTTTGTAAGAGACTTTTTATTACTGCTTCAATCTCATTACTTGTTACTGGTATGTTCAGATTTTCTATGTCTCCATGGTTCAATCTTGGTAGATTATATGTGTCCAGGAATGTATGCATTTCTTCTAGGTGTTCCGATTTGTTAGTATATAGTTATTCATGATAGACTCTAAGGATCATTTGTGTTTTCTGTGGTATCAGTTGTTTTGTGATTTTTAATGACTGCCTAATATTTCATGCCACAGATGTACTCTAATTTCTTTAATCAGTCCCTGCTGTGGGACTTTAAAATCTTATTTTTGTTCTCATGGATAATAAGCAGTGGATATTGACAATGTATTGGTTAATTCAGCTATCATTTAAAGCAATTTATAAATAGGGAAGCTTTTGTACTTGATTGGAATTTAGGAACAGAGGAAGATTCACTGATTTTTTTTTAATTAAAGCTAAGCCCCTACTTGGTAAATAATGAAATAAACAGCCCATAATAATGGCTAGATATTACCACATAGAGAAGAGACTGAGTTCCTCAACAGGAGAGGAAATAGCCTCAATAATATTTGCATTTTGAAGAGAAAGGCAAATTTTATATACTACATAAATAATTTAGGAGAACAATACTTAGATATATTATTTGAGGTCGTGTGCTGTGAACTCTATGTCCGAACCTTCTTTGTGGCCTAGGGATTCTAGAGCCTATGCTCTGTATGGACCCCAGACCAAGGTTAATGGCCATCCGTACCCAAATGAGACTTGTCCATCCTCTCGAGAAAATATGTGAGATTAAGAAGAGTGATTAATTTAAAGTTTAACAAAATGAGTTCTAACCCAACCCCAAAATTAAGCATTTATTTCTACTTATGGCCAAGAAGTTCCAGGTAAGCTCCAAACCATCAACAAGGGATGCATATACAAACATACAGACATGACTTGCATGCAAGCAATATCATTTTAAAGTCAAATAAACCTAGAGGGCTCAATTACGGTATTCCTGCCTCACAAGAGGTATGGCTTAGCACTGCCTGATACCCTGAGCAACAAGGAACAGGAGGAACATTCAGTAGCATCTATGGAAAGAGTCGGGAGCCCAAAAGGTGGACAGAAGCAGATTACCCTAGTGCCTCATGAAGGCAGCAGGGGAGGGGACAAGGCACCAGGATTAGTGGTATAAAAGCAGCCAGGAGCAAGGATGCACCAGCAGGTGAACTCCCCTTCCTCTTAGTTCTGTATGCTACTCAGGAGCCATAGGGCTTCCTAGACATTTGTTTTTATGATTTAGATTATTAAATATTCCATAGTGATTTTCGCACCACTTCATTTCTGCTAACCACACGTGAGACCAGGAAGGGGAGAGTTGTGAAATGCACCAGCCAGTGCTGGTCTGACTCCATCTTTGACATTGGTCTTTGGCAAGGATTCCTTGCCTGGTACTCTCCAGCTCTCCCAGGATGGTTCTGCAGTGCTGCAAAGGGCAGTCATTCTCTATTTCTTCACACACTGCTCATCTCCAACCTCATCCATCTCATTGACACATAGCTCACTGGGATGTGGCATTTCTTTGAGGAAATATGTAGGAAAATGACAAGGAAAAAAGTAGGTACAAAGATAGAATGAAGAAAAAAGGGAAGAAAGGCGGGAAAGACTGGAACAGGAAGAGCTGCCTAAGTGTCGTGGTGCCCTGCGTGTCAGCCCTTCTAAATTGACCCTGGCAGGCGGCAGAGCAGCAGTTTTCACCATCATGCAGCTCTCCTGCCAACTCTAGCTGTGAAATCTGCTTGCATCAAAGGTATGTTTGCAGTTGCACAAATATCCACACTTAATGAAATGCTTATCCTAAAATAAGGCTCTTGAATTGGAAGCAAAAAAGCTCAAATGTCAGTCTACAAGTAACATGTTTGGTGGTCTTCCTGGGGGAAACAAAGATTGGACTTGGCAATAAATATGTTTAAATTTCCCACAACAAACTGGAGTGTGTCTTAATCCTTCCAACCTCAAAACTCTTCCCAGCTCTGATGGAGATCCCCCCTTCCCTTGCTGGGGCCTAACAGTGAGAACTATCCCCAGTTGTGAGTTCATGGCCACCAAATGCAGCTACACCTTCCCTCCTTACTGACCTGCCACCATGCCCAGGGGGACCTGACATCCTGTTTGTAGCCAGCTATAACTGGGCATTTAAATCAAACCTCCAAGACTATGAACCCCACACTGGTGGCTTTAAATCTAACCTAGGGTCTCACAAAAGTCAGAAATTCAGCAAACTGCACCTCAATGTTTATCTCCTCCACGTGTTCCTAATTCAGGCAGAGCAAAAGTTGAATTTGGAAGGAAAGCTGTTGCCCAAAGGAAAAGACATTCACATGTTTTGTTACAGTTTTAAATTATGTTTTTATCGAAAGACAGCAAGAGTTTCCTGAAGAAGAAAATAAAAAGAAAGAGTGCATTTCTAAGCTGTGCAGACATCAGAGCCAGGGAAGTCTTTCCCTGTCACCCTCTCTGGGCAGCAGCACCTTGCCAGGTATATGGAGGCCATTCTCTGAAAACTCTAGGTTCCCCTGAAGACATTCCGCCAGGCTTGGAACACTTAATAGAGCAGAAATCTATTAATTTTTTTTTCCAAGAAAAACCTCAAAGTCTCAGCTTTCCCAGCTTGAAACTGTCCTTGCAGGGGAGACTTGTGGCCGTGATGCTCAGTAACACGTCGTTTCTATTGTTCTATCAGCCTCTCTGTGAGATTACAGAGTGGCTTTCTCTGTCTGGACAATTTCCAGACTGTTCAGTGTACGCTGGTGAGCTACTTATGTTTGAGACTTGCAGAATCTAATTTGCAAAGGCAATTTCTTTCCATGCCAACTTTTAGGAAGATGACTTGAAACTATGGGAACAGTATACAACTACAATCTATATCAAGCCCCAGTACCTGTGTCAGTATAATTCTCTGTCCCCTCACTACACACACGCACAATCACACACACATATATGCATAACATATAAGTCTCACAGCTGTAAGCATATATATCATTCCTGACCATTTTATATGACAGTATTCAAACTAGTCCCCTTGGTGAAAATGGAATAACCATCAGCCTGGTATTCAGAAAAAATGTTGGCCTGATTTCCTGAATAAATGGCTTGAGTCAGCAGGTCAAATTCAGCTTGGTGCACCATTCATTAAAAATTCTAAGTAATTAGATTTTGTATTGATAACTCAGCTTCTCCATCTATCTTATCGCCCTTTTTGTCTGCAATGCAAATTCTGCCTGTTTTTAAGCCTACCTCAATTCCCATTTCTTAGGTCCTTACCCTAAGATCAGTCCAAATCAATCACCATCTTCTCTAGATTCCTACAATTTATCATCATTCCAACCATCTTGAACAACCCACTTCTGACAGGCTTATCTCCCCAACTCAGATCATGTTCCTTAAAGTGGAGAATTTGTATGTATTCCTTGCAGAACCTAACACAGTAATGAGCCTATGCAGGTAGATACATTAGTAACACTCATCGATTGATGATTGCATTGATGGAAGTGCAGCAGCCTCAGTCAGCTCATGAATCTGTTTGGAGTGGTTAGGTGAGAAGTACAAATCTTCCTTCTGCATATTATCTGCAGGTGATCTTGAAGATAAACACACATCACTCCAGTTAACTTTAAGATGTGTATAAAAGTCTCGTGGACTGACAGTTAAAACTGAGGTGGTAGAGATCACATCATCCAACTTTCTTATTTTACAGGTTTTAATTAGATATATGTTTTCTTGTCTAATTGTTGTGCCTGTGAGTCTTATGTTCTCTGAGGCTATGCTTCTCGAACTTTAATAAGCAATCGAATCAAAGATAGCTTTTTAAAACACAGATTGCTGGGCCCTACCCTAGAGTTTTCCACTGGGCAGGTCCAAGCTGGGGCCTGAGAATTTGCATTTCTAGTAAGCTCCCAGATAATGCCAGTGTTACCAGTCTGTGGACCATACTTTTCCACAAACTCTCCACCCCAGGACAGGCTAGGTGCCACTCTGGGCTTCCCCAGCACCCTGGCTCTTCCTTTGTCATGGCTTATATCATACTGTATTTAATATATTTTATATGGCTTATATCATACTGTATTTTAATACATTTTACATAGCTGGCTGCCCTATAGACTCCTACATTCTTTGATAGCAGGAACCACTATTATTCATCTTTGAATCTTGTTGTCTTAACACAAAATGTACCCTTATTGTAGGTACTCAATAAATGAAAAGAGGAGGAGGCTCAATAAATTCAATCAAATTATACTGAACTGAGGTGTACAGATACTTCATTTAATCCAAATGTTGAATTTTGCTGCCATTCAGCCCCCAAAAGAAAATACATCATTAGTAATTGTGAGACTCTGGTTCTTAAGAAATCACATTGATTTGGATAATATGCAAAAAAAGTCAGTGGACCCATAACTAGCCGCTCCTAACAAGGTCCATCCAAGTCCACATGACAGGCACAATGCCGCCTGTTGGGAGCACATTGGATCACAGAGCAGTCACTGTCCTCCAGGAGCACATGCCCAATGAAGAGAGGGCACACAACTGAAAAGGGAACTCACTCAAGACTGACTGCAGGCTTCTCAGTAAGGAACAGACTTGGGGTGGGATCAAGGGCTTGAACCAAGTGGAGAAGCTATAGTTTCCGGAGAGATCATTCAGACAGAAGGCAGCATGGACTAAAGGCCCTGGGGTATCACTGCCTGGGGCCCAGTCATGATGCCACTAACTTCCAGGTGTGTGAACTTAAGGAAGCTACTTACTATTATTATCTCCATTTTACAGATTAAACAGCGAGGCATACTTGTGCCTCAGTGTTTAATCTATAAAATGGAGATAGTAAGAGACCAGCACCTGCCATCTACCAAGCACTCAATAAAAGCTGTTAGTATTATTATCACCACTATTATTTGTATTATTTGGTTTATAATCAGAAGATCTCCAGTGCACCATGCAGAAGCAATCAGGAACGCTTGGTTCTTGGAATAGTTCTCATGTGTGGCATATGCAAGGCAGCGGTGAATAGAGAGAATTCAATTTGGGGGTGTGAGAGAAGGAAGATATTCAATGTTTACTAAGATCTCACAGTATGCCAGGAAAACCTTGTAAAATTTGATTTTACTTTAATAATAATCAAATCTTTCTCTTTCTCATTTATCAGATTGTGTCCCATCTATTTTTATGACCTAATTTACCACTAGAAAGGTCAAAAAACCCTCTAAATTTTAATATTATCATCAGTAACATAAACTCAGCAGGTGAAAATTATGATAGTGGGTGCTTTGTAGCAGAGAAAAATAAGAAATGTCATACTGAGAAATGAACTGAGAAAATAACATGCCAGGAGCACCATAATAAAATTAATCTTTACCAGCAATAGAGTTAGTATCATACAAGATAAATCAAACCGACTAATTCTGGATGCACATACATACATTTTTAAAAAGTATTTCACTTGAATGTCTTCTGTTTGCTGCTCTAGTTTTATTGGTTGAGGAGATTTTTCATGTTAGTACTTTTTCAGACTGTGAAGGGCGTGGACTTGAGTAGCTATAGCAGTGTGGGTTACATTTTCTACATACTGAAGAGAAACACACAGCTATTTTTGAGATCAAGTGTATTTTTTCATTTGGTTATGTCTACAGTGGCATATAGTAAAACTAAAAATAAAATACTACAACAGTTTAAATAATGAATGGGGTTACTGGATACAAAGGAATTTTTTTTTTCTCATTTTTAGATCATTTTTGTTTAACATGGCTGTCACAAAACTAGACCAAAAGAAAGTCATTTCATTGCCAGCTTGAGACCACAATTTAAGCATGGTGTGAACTGTGATAGTCATTATTAAGTTATGATCCAGGCAGCAGTGATCCTCTTAGTATTTAATGGGAAACATTAAGAAATTGAAATGATCCTTTCCTATCAAAGTCTCTGTTCTTTATGTAGAATATTCTACTTGGGGGCTATATATGTATCATAATCCTATTTTTCAAATAAGAGTTAAACAACAATATATACATGTATGTGTATATGCAAACACATATATATGTTATATGTATGTGGGAGGGGGTTATATATAAACTATAAAAGGCAAATATCTGAATGTTAATAGCATTTATATCTTGGTAGTAGAATTTCAGTTAATTTTTAATCTTTACTTTGTATATTTTCTACAGTGAATACATATTTTTATTTGTAATGAGAAAACAAAGGTTATTACTAAGAAAGTCAACTAGAAAATATGTCTTATATTTTGGAAAAGAAAGAGAAAAGGTTATATATTTTGGAAAAGAAAGGAAAAAAGGTTATAAGCTTATGGTTTGGTCTCCAAAAAAATTAAAAGTTAATACTTAAAACATTGAAAGCATTGATAATAGATACAAATGAAAAATTAACTTCCTTACCTCCTTCAGCCTACGAGATTAAAGAAATTGTGTTATTTTAAAATGATACTACAATAAATGTATTTAGGGACCAAAAGGCTGTAAAATGTCCAAAGCGATTGCATAGTTTTTTTCACTATCCACCATACATATATATTCCTCATAGACTTCTAGCTGACTCCAGGCCCAGGGTACTGACCAAACCCTTATGATGGCCAGTCATTTTCACCCATGAGGTCTGGCCTGTCTATGTAGTAACAAATTCATTTGATGTAATATTAGAGGGTCTACTATTTATATTTTTTCTTTTAAAAATATAAGTTGCGGCCGGGCGCGGTGGCTCACGCCTGTAATCCCAGCACTTTGGGAGGCCGAGGCGGGCGGATCACGAGGTCAGGAGATCGAGACCATCCCGGCTAACACGGTGAAACCCCGTCTCTACTAAAAATACAAAAAATTAGACAGGCGTAGTGGCGGGCGCCTGTAGTCCCAGGTACTTGGGAGGCTGAGGCAGGAGAATGGCGTGAACCCGGGAGGCGGAGCTTGCAGTGAGCCGAGATCCCGCCACTGCACTCCAGCCTGGGCGACAGAGCGAGACTCCGTCTCAAAAAAAAAAAAAAAAAAAATATATATATATATATATATATATATATATATATATATATATATATATATATATATGTTGCATCTGTGTACAGAGCACTGTGCCAGGTACTGAGGACACTGTTGCTCTGTAGAGATTATAGGTACAGTCATCACATAAAATTCAAACAGATGTCTTTGAGGGTGAAAGGCAGCACTGTTGCTACTTCTGTGGGGACAACAGGTGCACTGGGACCGTGCAAGAGGCTGGAAAGGGGTATTCCCAGCCTGAATGCCACGGTAGATATAACCAAATGAAAAAATACACTTGATCTCAAAAATAGCTGTTTCTCTTCAGTATGTAGAAAATGTAACTCACACTGCTATAGCTACTCAAGTCCACGCCCTTCACAGCCTGAAGTACTACCATGAAAAATCTCCTGACGCTTCCATTGTGCAGACCTTGACCATGGAAGGCTGCTGGGAAAGGGCACAGGTGGTGAGAGCTCATCACCCTCATCTTCCCTATTTCCAGCTGCCTTTCTAAGACCTCAGCTCCAATATTTTAAAATATTAGAGACAATACTTTTTTATTTATGTATTTATTTATTTTTTGAGATGGAGTCTCACTCTGTTGCCCAGGTTGGAGTGCAGTGGTGTGATCTCGGCTCACTGCAACCTCCACCTCCTGGGTTCAATCAGTTCTGCCTCAGCTTCCCAAGTAGCTGGGATTACAGGCGCATGCTGCCATGCCTGGCTAATTTTTATATTTTTAGTAGAGACGGGGTTTCAACGTATTGGTCAGGCTGGTCTCCTGACATCAAGTGATCCACTTGCCTTGGCCTCCCAAAGTGCTGGGATTACAGGTGCAAGCCACCGCACCCAGCCTAGAGGCAATACTTCTAATTCTTCGTGATCTCTGATTCTGGTATCAATATTCTGCTAGCTGTGTAGACCTGACTTGTTTAAATGATTTTAGCTCGCCCCTCTCTGCTTCACACATAGAATCTTTCCATTCTTCCTTCAGAATGGCTTCTTTCCATTCCTTCCGAATGGCTTCTCTATCCACCTTTTCTTTCTCTTCCTGTCACCTCTGTGGTTCCACCTTATTGCCACATCCTTGGGGTGTGGCTGGAGAAGCACCTGGGGCCTCCTTGCCTGAGCCTCTCCACCTGCCCAGCCAATCCTGCATGTGGCCCAACCACAGTCTTTTGGAGTGCTCCTCTGACCTTGGCCTTCCCCTACCCACATCCTTCAAATCAAGAGAGCATGTGTCCCACCTCTTCTTCTTCATTGGCCCCAGCACTCTGCCTTTGAAATCCCTCCCTGTTGCAGACTGTGGTTAAAAGTCACACTAAAGAAGTCCGTCACCCGCAAACAGCAGCAGCCAGCCAGCCCCCTCAGTCCCTGCTAATGCTGCTCCTCAGCCAGCCCGTGGGTGGCTTCCTCCCTGCTCCCCTTTCCTTTCATGTTTATGCAAGAACCACAGCTCACCAGGCCTGCCTGGAGCCTGGCTGGCTCCTGAGTGAGCTAGGACTATAGGCAGCCCTCAGGAGGGATTTGGTCACAGAGCGCCACAGGCACTCAATATCCACGCAACCGGCAACCTAGTGTAGTGGTTAGGACTCTGGAGCAAGACAGCATTGGTTCAGATCCTGAGTCTGCTTCTTACTAGTTTTGTGACCTTGGGCAAGTCATTAGCCTCATTATTCTTCATTTTCTTAACCTGTAAATTAAGAATGTAATAGCCTGACTTCGAAGAGCACTTATGACAATTGAGTTTATATTTGTCAAGTGCTTATAACACTTCCTGCATATAGTAAGTACTGTACAGATGTTTGTTAAATAAATATAACCAAAGATGACCTAGAAAGAAGGCCACCAGGATAAATGCTGTATCTGGATATCTCTGGCAGTAAACTACACTGAGTTTTTATCTTTCTTTAAAGGGTCCTTCGTGTGAGCCGTAACTAGTTCTCGCCTATTTTAATCTTTGCAATTGGAAATCTTAGAAAACACGGTTCTTGGAGTTGTCTAAAGACATAATGTATGTGCTTCCGATCCGGCAATTGAACCCCAATAAGGTGGAACATCTCAGAATGTAAAATATGGTCACATCATGATGAATCACTGCATCTTGGAGCCCCACACATCTGCTTTCAGATTATCTCTCTGATGCTGAAAACTATTGGGCCTCTGAGGCTCCCCTTATACAGACCTTGACCATCAAAGGCTGCTGGGAAAGGGCAGAGGTGGTGAGAGCCCACGACCCTCGGGATGGGCAGTGCCAAGATTTCACAACTGATTAGATCAGCAAGGCCTTGGGATTGCTGCCCCACAGGAAATTCCTGCGATCCTGCTCACTATTGGGGGATGGATGCATTCTTATGTTCCCATAAGAAACCATAAAAAATTCTAAAGCTTAGTCACTCATGCTCATCAATCCTTTCCTCATCCATTTGGTTTTTTATTGTTTTTCTCACTCTGCTTCCTCTTTCCTCTCTAATTCTTACTGGCATCAGAAATAAAGGATAAGTTTATATGGTCTGTACCAAGCTGGCTACCTGAATCTGAAGGGAAGGTCCAAGTCAGGGAAAAGGGCACAGAGCAGGCATGGAATCAGGGAGCAGGAAGACACTGTGGAGGTCATCCACTTCAATCCTGTCTTTGTACAAACAGCAAAAATGAAACAAAGAAACACAGCAGGCCAGCGGCAAATAGAACCAGTGTCTTCTATGTCCAAATCATCATGTTTTCAATATTCCAGGCCATTGTTTGAGGCTCATTCTTTCATTTATCAGCCACTGGGCACCTGCTATGTGCCCATAAAGGAAAGTGTGAAGGGATATCTCCATTCTCCATCCTCCCCCAACCACAGTTCTAATCATATAAGGAATAATTTGAAGGTTATTGGCAACTGGCACATCATTTGATGGATTGCTTTTGAAACTTTGCAAAATGTGAGTAAAGGATAAGAATGTAGCTGATACACATCTTGACAATTATCTATAGGGCCCCCGATTTCATGAAGTGTGATGTTTAAGAGTAGGGCCTATGAGCAATTAGCAGAACTGAGCCAACAGCACAAGAAGGCCATGGAACAAGCAGGCAGGGAAGGAAAACGAGCCTTGTGGTATGCTGCTGGCAGAGTCCGGGGTGACATGGAGAATCTTTACCACATAGATCTTGTCGACTGTCCCACTCATCTTGCACTAGCAGCTATGGAGGCCGCCAGCCCTTGGAGGGTCATAGGGGAAGTCACATGGCGGTGGTTTCTCTATTTAGGGTGTGGGTGATGTCACTCAGTATGTTACTTAATTAAGTATTCAGCAACTGGCTGTCCTTACCTATAGCTCTTCAAAACAACAACTGTATATCATTGGTTTCTTTTTCTTTCTTTACTTATAAGGATAATAACAACAACACTGACAGAAAAATAGAGAAAATAGAAAATATCCACTATTTTTGAATACAACCACAGTTATTTTTGCATAAATATTTTTATATAATTGTAGTCAAAGTCTTATACAGAATTGTTGCATGGATTCAGTACCCCAAGTATATATTAACACTTGTTCCATATCCAATCAATCCTGTGAATCATAAAAGTGAGTAATGGTTGTAATAATCATGCCACAATCTATTCCTAGAAATTTATAGTTTTTGAAAGCGCTGTCTCACTTATATTTGGTCCTCACAGCAACCATGGGGAAGAGGCACATGGTATTATCCATGTTTTTCATTAAAGAAAGTTAAGGCTTAGAGAAATGCCCTGCCTAAAGTTATCTAGTATGTAAATAATGTGACAGATTTAGAACACAGCTTCCATTCGGCCATTCTGCCTCACTTGCTTAGATGTGATTACTGTCTAAAGAAGGCAGTGGTTTTGTGGAGGAAACAAATAGGTGAAATGTGATGTATAAGTGATGAACTGCCATATAAGTGGCGTAGGAAATGTGTGCAGATAAGGAAGCCTTGCAAGTGGCCTGAAACAGATGCCTCTGGGAGATACAGGACTTGTGCTGTGTGTAAAATGTAAGTAGGAAGTGGCAAGGCAAGGAGGAGAGAGCTTTCCAAGAGCATTTCTGGACATAGCATAGAAAGAAGATATGCTAGTTTGATAGGAGTAAGCCCAAAATGCCAAGCAGCAGCATCTGACTTTTTCCTGTAGGTTATCAGAAAGCATCTGAAGTTTTAACCAGAGATAGATGAGATAAAAGTCACATATTAGAAAATTGACCTGGTGGTATTATGTAAGATAGACTGGAAGAGGAAGAGCCTAGAGGCAGAGACAAAGTAGGAGGTTCCTGCAGCGGTTAAAATGGTCAAGGTGTGAAATCTGCCAGGTGCAGTGGCTCATGCCTGTAATCCCAGTGCTTTGGGAAGCTGAGGCAAGAGGATCGCTTCAGGCCAGGAGTTCAAGACCAGCCTGCTCAACATAGTGAGACCGCATCCCTAAAACAAAGTATGAAACACGTAGAACCGAGAGTAGAGCACTAGTGGAAATGGGAATGCAGCAGGAGAGACATCTCACAGACACTTGAGAGAATTTGGATTTAGAGACATCTTAAAAGCACTTAGGGGATAGTAGAGAATGAATCAAAGACAAAATGAGGGTTTGAGCGCCAGCAAGTGGAAGAATGATGCTGACTTTAATAAAAACAGAAAAGTTAGAAGAGGATGCAGTTTGACGAGTGAGATGAACTGGGTTTTAGTCATAAAATTATAGAATTTTAGAAAATTACATTAGGAAGGACCTGGACTCAGATTTTTTTTTTTTTTTTTTTTTTTTGAGACAGAGTCTCACTCTGTTGCCCAGGCTGGAGTGCAGTGGTGCAAACTCAGCTCACTGCAACCTCCACCTTCCGGGTTCAAGCAATTCTCCTGTCTCAGCCTCCCAAGTAGCTGGGACTACAGACATGCACTACCACGCTCGGCTAATTTTTGTATGGTCAGTAGAGACAGGGTTTCGCCATGTTGGCCAGGCTGGTCTTGACCTCCTGACTTCAAGTGATCCACCTGCCTCAGTCTCCCAAAGTGCTGGGATTACAGGCTTGAGCCACTGCACCCGGCCTAAGGACATTTCTTTAAATGAAGCTTTACATAGGAGCCCTGTATCATTAAGCAAAAGAAAGGAGTGAAAGAGTAGAATTCCAGAGATGTGTCCCCTTGGACCATCCATGTCACCTCTATAAAGCTAATGAGGTTCCATCAAGTACTATTCAAAGATGATTGGCCCTACCCAGCCCCTCATTTTTAGACAAGTGATCTGGGTCTTGAAGATGTTGAGTAATTTGCCAAGGTCACCTGGCTGCTGGAGGAAGAGCCAAGGCTGAAACCCAAGTATTTAGTGTCTCTTCCACTGCCTCATGGCCACCTCTCATTCTGAATTTGAACTGGGCATTGGTAAATTCAGGCAGACAAGCCCAGTGGTCAGTTGGTGGTAAAGAACAGAAGCTTAAAGAATTAAGATTGATCATAGCTGAACCCACGAGAATGAAAGAAAGGGAACAGGTAAGAAAAATTGGGGAGCACACTTTGGCAAGGGCCAAAGCTAGAGAAGAGGAGGAAGAGAGTAGCCTCTTCTTTACATTCACTGGGCCAGCAGAGGAAACAAAAAAGCCAGTGAAGACTAAACAGGAAATTAAGAGGAAAAAGACCAGGACCTCCTGTGTAGCAGATGTGAGGCAGATGGTTTAAGAGGGGCCAATGTCAAGGGTGTCAAATATCACATGGTAAGAGGACTGGGAAAATAATCATTTGGCAAGAAGAGGGTCACTGGAAATATCTCAGAGTAGATTTGTTGGAGTGACTGATGAAAAAGCTGAGATTTCAGATGATGAGGCAGTAGACACAGGTGGACAACATGTATTCAAGAAGCTTTGCAACAGAAAGAAAACAGCCCTAAAGGTAAGGAAGCCACAGGAATAATTAAGTGAAAGCAGTAGCAGAAGGATTTTATAAGGCAGGGAAGCCATTTTCTTGGTCCTTAGGGGCTTGGGTAGGTGGAGAGAAACAAAAACAAAATAACAAAGCATGATTCTAGCTCAATAAGCTATTGAAAAAGAGCTCCTCTAAATGATAAATTACTTTGATCATTTCTCAAAGTAAGTGATGAGGACTCTTAGAAGGGAAATTTCTGCCTTCAAGTAGCTAACTCTTTAAGAAGTCTTTTAAAAAGTCTGTGACATCTAGTTTCCAGTTACTGAAAACCTCTTCTCCAGCCCTTTAATGATTCCTTCTACGTATCACAGAAATTAGAGTTAAAAGGTAGGCTGAGAAAAGATTTATTAGGTAATCTCCAATCTCATGTCAAGTGCAGAATTGTTAGCTGCAGTGCATTTTCTAGTCTGGTGTGCTTTTACTGTGTTCTTCCCACTTCCTTTGGGAGACTACTTCATAATCCAATAGATCTCACTGAGAGGAAACTCTTGATCTCCATCCTAATGTTCCCGTCCCGCTGTGTACTTTGTATACCACTAACAATTCATACATAGTAACCTTCCTCACCTCCCACTCCATCCCCACTCACTCACTTCTACTTTGTAATTGCTAGGCATCTGGAACCTCTTTTCTGGAATATCTGGTAGACTCATCATTCTTCTGGGCATGTTGCATCTATCAGGCTAAAGGATTTTAAGGTGATAAAAGGATAAAGGGTCTTCATAACTTTATGTTTCTAATGATAAAACTTTCCCATTCTGATAAGGTCCTTTCCATTCTCTAGAGATTTGGGGTGGAGAGAGTAATAAGGACCATGAACTTTTTAAGAAAGGAGCAAAACCATGTGTAATTTATGATTCAATGTCCTTATGTGTTCCCCAATTACTAAAAAGATAAGTTGGAATGTCCTGTGTAGAGAATATGAAATCCCACTGAGAGACTGTTCCCAGAAGAATTTTGGCTTCACCAGTCTACTCTCATGGATCTTATAACCTCAGTATCTCCGTAGAGGGGTCCAGAAGGATGCCAGCACATGCAGTGGTTTGTGTTACAAGATAGAAACACTGAGCTTAGGAATCTACCTTTTTTATATCAAGTGTAAGCAAGCCTGCTCTTTGTCCCACAAGAAAACATCAAGATTTCCTGCTGCAAACAAAACCAGAGAAAGGCCCCATAAAAAGAGCTGTCAGAGCCTTGCTTCTAAGTTCAGAAACGTGCACATCCTACTTCCTGGCTAATCCTACTTCCTCCAAAATATTTTGACAAGATGCTATAGAAACCTTAAGTTGAACATTTCCAAAACTGAACACACAATCTTCTCCCAGACTAGCTTCTTTCTCCATTTGCCTATTCACTGAGCCACCTACTTGTTCTCAATATTTTCATCAGCCACCAGGTCACCAGATTTTTTTTTTTAGTTCCACCTCTTAAATGCTGTTTGCACTCTGCATGGGTTTTGACTGTCATCATCAAAAGGCAAAAATGGATACATTTTTGCAGTAGGCTGACTCCAGTTTCATTTGCCTCCAAACCAATGTCCTAAAATGCAGAACTGAAAACTCTTCACTTGTTAAGCCTCCCAGATAAAATCTACACTTCTTACCATGATCTACCTACTTCTCCAGCTTCATCTTCTCATATTTCTTTCTTTTAGACCTTTTATAAGAATTGCTTGCTGGTCCCTGGGTAAGCTTGCACTTCTGATCAGTTTGAATGCCATATCCTTAAAAACTTAGAACTTCTTGGCATATAGTAGGCATGTGATGTATATATGTAGCAGAAATATTTATTTGGTGGCTGAAAGTAAAAACAGGCTTAGCTTAAGTGCAACAGGGAATTGGTTTGGGAATTAATTAATTCCACATTCTCTCTGTGTATTCCCTTCGCCTTAACCAATCATGATGATGGAGCTCTTTTGACAAATGTGATAACTTAGATTTCTAGACATTAAATAAAAACAAAGAGAGAGGGTACAGTTGTTGCTTATATCTACTTTGTAGACTACCCCATACTTGGAGATTATCGATAATTGTCCTTATCTTGTTCAACTGAACAATACCAATATAAATACAGACAAATCAAATTAACCTTATTTTTCTAAGGAACCCATGATTAGTGAGTCATTAAAACAAAACTCTCCTTTTCTAATAATTGGAAAAGGTAAAACTACAACATATAATGTGGCTGTCTAAAATCACTATCCTGTCTTCTATCCCTTGAAACACAGCTATATTAACTTTAACTGTTCTCTTTGGCAAAATGGATGACATAAGCATTCACCCATCTAATTAGCTCTGTGACTTTGTCAGCAAGAGCCTGAGCTTATACCATGCCCAAGGCAGGCTTAGCATCTGGAGCTTAGTCAGTAGTGACTCTTTTGAGTGGTCACAAGTTGGTCCACTTCACTCAATGCTATGCTATAGACTATTTAATATGCTTGGACACACCCTTGACTCTAATGGAAATGATGTTTTCCCTTTTGGAGATTCTTGAGGCCAGTTTATTATAAGATGCAAGCAAGCATTCCTTGGAGCCTGCCTGATCAGCTTCAATGATACTGTACCACTTCCAGCATAGTTCTTCTGCCTCCTAGAGGAGTCAGAAAAACAGCTCCATCTCCAACCTGGACAAAACTCACAGATGTCCCCAAAAGCTGAGATGTCTGCCAAGCCTTAGGTGTCCATCAAGCCAAGGCCTGCTGGACTGTTGTGGGAGCCATGCAGAGAGATGTGTCCACTCCAGTCACTGGCCATGACTGCATGAGAACACACCATTTGTGGTCAGCAGAGCACACACTCCAGTATCCAATCTCAAGAAATACTTCCACAGAATGGTGACCCTAAGACTCTTATCTCTCCATACTAATTTTTTCAACCCTAAAACATCACCAAAGCAAGAGTCACTGGGTCTTATCTGGCTCCTTGTAGACATTGTTGATGCAGCAGTATTTCTTTGAACCTTGCTCAGAGTCCCCCTTTCTATGTGACTCCACTTTTGGACCTGGGGAGAAAACAGCATTCTCAGGTGGTCTGTCTGTTCCACCCTTGCCTTTCTCTGCTGGCTCCTGACATCTGCCTGCCCTCTACAGTCCATTTCCCTCAATGAACCTGGATCTTCAACTGTGTGATGGCCCCAGGACACCACTCAGTCTTGGCAATTAATGTGGGCCTGTTATCTGCTAAACTCATTCTGAATAATTTCATTTGGCCCCAATTATCATCCAGGCTGTGAACAGATCACCCTCTCTTGGAGATATTATTTCCACTCAGCTCCAGGGTTCATTTTTTGTATTTTTTTAATGATGCAATCATTATCCTAGTTAATGTTCTTCCATCCACTTTCTTCCTACACCTCTCTTGGGAGACCTTACAAAGCTTCAGCTTGCGTCTGCTCAACAATCTTAACCTCCCAGGCCTGGAAGTCCATCTGCCATGTCCCTGTGGGACCTATTTGTCCTTAGGGCATACAACTAACAGAATTCAGCAGGCCCATTGACCCCACTACCCTAGAAAGATGATGTGTACACACAGACCTGCTCTGTTCCAATGGAGAAAGTGCCTAATCAGCCTAATCGGAAAGTACCAAATGTTATTTTATCATAGCAGGAATTTCTATTTCCTTTCCTGCAATTCCTCTTTATAAATGTTCTAATCCCATCTACATAATAAGCCTTTGGATTTGTTCTATTTTAAAATTCTTCATTGTGTTTCCATTGAGGCTTGCTCCCAAGATCCTGTTTTTGATTTGTAAGAGCATCTTTCATCTCTAGTAACCTTTGATGTACAGCTGGCTCCAGACTTAGCTTAGACCACTCCCCAAACTCTTTCTGACTCCTGTCCTTATTGGGATTTTCCTACCATCAGCCTGAGGCCTGTTATACCCTCTAGCCAACCAAGTTCTTCCCTGTGATATATCATCACATCACTGTGATTTTCTCAATTCTTTACCTTATCCATTTTCATTTCTCATTCAGTCTTCATCACTTGGTCTTCAGCAAATAAGTGGGACCTTAAGTGGAGCCTCTAAAATGCTTATCAGATATTACCAACTGCAATTTCTCAGTAGAGCCTTCTTTCATGGCAATTTCTAATTACCCCTGGATTACAAAGTGGTAGCTCATAAGTTAAATTAAGCTCAAAGATCTGTTTTGATGGCATGTGCTGGGTTTATTTTTCTTTGAATGCCTTCGGGTGTGGTTTTCACTTTTTGCAGGCTCGGCATGCTCCCAATACTTCCTGTACTCTTGGATCTGACCAGTTTTGTTACTTTGTACTAACTATCTAAATATCTCTCCTATAACCACTTCCAGTTCTAGGGACACCTGTCAACACATTTGTTCAAACCTTCTGAATTCTTCGTCCATTCGGCTCTCCGTACCTGTTCTCTATCATCCCTGCAGGTTCCCCACCACTGCTCATATACTAGTCCTTCTTTGGAGCCATCTTTCAGTGAGCAACTTTCCTCCAGTAAGACTCAACTTCCCTAATGATTCTACTATCCCATATATGCAGGTCATCTATGCAGATCATTAATTTGACTTTCCATTAAATCACTCTCCATTTTGAGTCCTAATATCAAAAGTCTAGGATGATATGAGTTAAATCTTCATCTCTGTTTTTAAATGTAAAAGACTACAGAAAGAACTAAAAATAGTCCAGCCTCAATGTTTCACGTGTTATTGGCTTGTTGTACAACTCTTCATTTTTAGTTTTCAAAAAAAAGAATTTACCAAGCTTTGCTTTATCTGCCTCTTGCATTTATTCATGAGGATCCATACCTACTCAATTTAAAAACACTTCTAACAATTCTATCTTAGCTCCCCAATAGGCCCTATTTCTCCACACACTCAGAAATTTTTAGCATGGTATTATAAATCAGTTTCCTGTATGCTTTCCCAAAGATTATTCATCTTTGAAATAAAACATGTTAAAGTAGCTATAATCAAACACAGTTTTAATGAACAGAGTTTAATGAAAACATGGACAAAAATCTAAGATAACTTGTGCCAAATTTGCCACTTGTGCAGAGAATTACTTGGTATGCGGGGAGCAGTACCTAGGAGCCTAACTTTACATAATTACTTTTCTACTCTTGGGCAAATAGATCAATTGTATAAAAGATTTGATCTTTAGTTATAAATAGAAGTGATGACCTTATTTATAGAGTTTAAGAGATCTGGTGTTTTTTATTGACATGCACAGAATCTACATAAACCCATATATGGTTTTTGGCTTTTAACTTTATAGGAAATCAATGTGTTGACAGTTGCATTAGTCAACCAAGACCGAGAGAACAATATTGAGAAAAGAAGCCAAGGCTTAAAATCAGAGAAAGAAGCTCTGCTAATAGGTAAGGAAATTCTGTTTTCTTCATCTGTTCTCTTAAATAATTATTAGGTAATTAACTTAATATTTTAGTTATTAACTTATTAATTTAAACAGCATTGCCTTCTGGTAAAAGGTGAGATTAATTTCATCAAGATTATATTACATACATTTCAAATTAGTGGCATACAAACTAATGGGGGTTTTGCCTTTCTGTAACTGTATATATTAACTGATTGTCAGACATGAAACTGAGTTCAAGAATACGCTAAGTTGCATCTCACATGTTACAAATCTGAATTTCAAAGCTTGGGCATGTCACTTCCAACTGGAGGCCAGGTTGCATCTAGTTCCAAACCAAGCCATATCCCCAGGCTCAAGAGCAGCTTTGAACCCTGAGATTAAACTCTAAGCCCCTTAGCAGAGGCCACATCCTAAAGTCACTCCCAAGGCTAGACCTGCAATGCTGACAAATAGGGCCATGCAGGGTACTGATGCTAGGCTAATCCAGGACAATCGGCTTCAGGCTTCCCTGTCCAAGTATGGATCCTTTTGTCCAGGATGAACAAAAGAAGCATCCTCAGTGGATCCAGATGTCTTACTTATTTTCACGAGGAAGAATTCTTGATGAGGATGTGCCGGCAGTGTGCATGGAAGCCCATCTTAGATGCCTGTATGTTTAAGGCTGTCTTTGAAGCCCTCAAATTCAGAGGAAGGGAAGCCACCACCCTCATGCTGTGATGCACAGAACTGATTCAAGCTGCACCTTGGCACTGACCCCAGTGTGGGGTTGCCAGGTGAGACTGGCTCCATGGTGGCATGGTTAAGACTGAAGAATGAGGCCAATGTACATGCAAGACAAACTGTTCTTCAGCAGTTCATTATCTGGCAGAAATAGTGCCTGGTTGCATTTTTTTTTTTTTTTTTTTGAGACAGGGTCTCACTCTGTTGCCCAGGCTGGAGTGCAATGGCACAATCTCGGCTCACTGCAACCTCCTTCTGCCGGGTTCAAGTGATTCTCCTGCCTCAGCCTCTCTAGTGGCTGGGATTACAGGTGCACACCACCACGCCCAGCTAATTTTGTATTTTTAGTAGAGATGGGGTTTTGCCATGTTGGCCAGGCTGGTCTCAAACTCCTGACCTCAGGTGATCCACCTGCCTTGGCCTCTCAAAGTGCTGGGATTACAGGCATGAGCCACCGCGCCTGGTCCCTGGGTGCATTTTGTAAATACTGCATGTGCTCACCTAAAAATGACAGGTACAACAGGACCTAGAGAAGCTGGCACATGAGGAATTAAATTCAAAAGACAGTCCAGAGTCCATCCATCATATATAGATTTTTCAACTACAGGGTTATTGAATATGACATCAACTTAGAGATACTCCCAGGAAAACCAATTATTTTTTTTTTGCTCTGATGATATACAGCTGTAATAACATGCCATGCATGAGTCTCAGAAGACATGCTGATGTGCTATCAGTTCCAGGAACCCAAAACGAACCCATATGTAGTTGGTAACTGGATTTTTCTTCTATTGGAAAACATGTCCAAGTCTGACAACTGTTTCTCTGTCACTCAGTGTGACCAAGGTGTGATTTTTCCCTATAATGCTTTTAGGGTATGAACAAAGCAATTAATGATCTGCAGTAAACTTTTCCCTCTTTAAGTAGGAAGAATTCTGTCCACTTGAAGGTTAAAAAAATGGGAACCAGTCTCTATTTTTTTATTTCCTTCCTTTCACTAGAGATAGCTGCTTCTTTTATGTTTTAATTGGAGAACACAGTTCATTTAAAATGTTTTCTAAGTAGTTATTAGGTTTTATTTATATATGTATACACATACATGTACTTTTTTCAGTTGGCTACTTCAAATATTTTTAAATGATGTGCTTTATATGCAGTACATTAATGGGAGTAGGTAGGAAGATTACATTTATAACATGCTATGCCTGCTGATGTCTTTGGTATCACAAAAAACTATATAAAATTAGTTAAATCAAGTGTGTTAGAAAGAAAAATATTAGTCAGGATCTCCAATAAAAAGCATATACAACCAATTCTAAATTTTCCAAGACTTTTCCCCTCACTGTTGGTCTTTTGAACTAGTTTACTAATATTAGCATTTGAAGTTAGGAGTAGAGCAAAAGAGAAACAGGGGGTGACACTTATTTTGAATCAATATATGAGAACATTTAGGTAGAAGGGAGGCCAGAGACTTAAGTGATTAAAATAAACTTAGGAGTTTAACTTTCCCTTCAGTTATCCATTACCTTGCTACCTTTCTCAATATTTTATTTTATTATTCTTAATGACAGTTTGGCAACAGATGTGATTTCCTTGCCAAACCCACTTCCAAAACATCTATATACTTCTACTCTTTTGTATAATCCTCCAAAAGAGGATAATCCTCCAAAAGAATGCCACAATGGGAAAGAGTTTCCAAGACCAGCAAAATGGATCCTGCCAAAAGCTGCAGTTTCTGCCTGCCACTAAATGATCCTATCTACTCATTGAGTTTGGTCATTCATACTTTGTAGATACCTGAATCTTGCGTCCATAAAGAGCTCCCCTGAAGCTTCTGGAATCTAGATACAGACTGTGGTAGGGACAAAACTGCTCTGGATCAGAATAGAGAAAAAGGATTTCCTGGTGCTGGGGCTACACTTTTCTGAAGAATTCTCATGCACTGAATGATTCTAGGAGCCCTCTGGCCTTCTGGTACATCTGGAGCAGTCATAAATACTCTTTGCAATTCCCCCTGAAATCTTCCCTTGGAATAATTAAGTCAGTAGAGAGGACACAAAAGTCATGCTCTAGGCCAGCCTAGAAGGCCAAGGACACAGCAGAAAATCTCCCACAACTTGGAAACATTAATTGGCAAAATCTTCATCATATCTGCATGCTTATAGTGTATGCTGTATGCCAATATAGTCAGATGATCAGTGCCCTCTTGGGGCACATAAATGTTATATAAGAAACGCACACTGGCAGAAAGCATTCCCTGGAAGAGAAAGGGAGTGAGAAAAAAGCTCTTCAAATGGATTCCATCTACAGAAAGAATAAAACTGAGGCTAGAACTTCCTAAACAATGAGCAATTCTAGTTACATATAATTATTTGTGACACTGATTTATCTGGGCAAAAGGGTGTATTCTGCCCAGACATTCTTATGACTATTGTATAAAACTAGAGTCTTTATTTCAAGGCATAAAGTTGATATTTATTAGAGAGGATCCGTGGGATTTCATTGACATAATTTGGAATTTTGCAGATCTGGATCCTGAGTATTATTAGAGTTCGACCATTCTGATGGACTTTCTTCTTGACAATTAATGGGTCTTCCAATTCAACTAAAGAAGACAGGCCCCTGGAAAATACTTTATTTTTGTGATTTCTGGGTTATTCATTTTGTAATCAATTTTTGTGGAGACAGGTTGACATATAATTGGACCTTAGAGAATTCTGTTTTTATGGGGGCATTGCAGGGTAGCATTTTGTTTCATAATGCTATAGTAACCACACATAAGGTCAGCTTGACATTGCTCAATGTCTATGCCAGAACTAGTTTATTTCACATATGGCCTGCATGTTGGATTGGCATACACTGAAGTTGTTTGGGATAGAATGAGTCATTACTTTTGATTTGGGGCCAAAGTTTGGGAGCTGTGTTTGGCTGGATATTGTTATAAAGGAAAAATGGATCAAATTTTTTTTATTGACAAGCTAATAGTTCTGCAGAGAGCTGAGAGTATAACTCTCTGGGTCCGTATCACTCTATATTCTCTTGCTTTTTATAATAATTCCAACACAATAGATTTCAATCCCAGCAGCTCTGATTGACGCCCTGTTGATGCTAGTCATTGTAAATACTATCCAGATGTAGTCAAAAACTTCTCCACAACTTTTAACTGTAACAAAGCAGCTTTTCTCTAAAACCTCCCTGGTCCCCTGAGAACTGTCCTCAGGTTGACAATGATTGGGCAAACTTTCTTACATATCCTGAGTCCTCTGCAGATCAGGACATACACATCATTTCCATCACAGTCACCATCTCACACGTGCACAAAACCAGACTATACCAGAAGCAGAAGGCTCCTCCTAATGTGGGTATAAAGAAACAGCTGAGTAGAATATGGAAAAATATTTTTAAAGAAGGTTAAGCAATAATTTTTGGTGATTTCAGTGAATAAAGTTGAGGCTATATTTAGGCTGTACCTGAGAAAAGTAATCTTGGGAGTATGTTCCTCTCTGAAAACTACTGACCATAAAGAATGAGTCATTGACCTAAATCTTGTTTCCAAGGCACAAATGTCCATATCAATAAATCAACAAACATTTATCAAGAGCCTACGATAAGAATAATCCGTCTTCATTGTGGAAAAGAATTATCTAGGCAGCCTATTTATAAGGCAGAATCTTTAGCCCCACACACAGGTGTGGTGGCTCACGCCTATAATCCTAGCACCTTGGGAGGCCAAGGCAGGAGGATCACTTGAGCTCAGGAGTTCAAGACCAGCCTAGGCAATATAGTGAGACTCCCATCTCTACAAAAAAAAAAAAAAAAAAAAGTTAGCTGGGCATGGTGGCATGCACCTGTAGTCCCAACTACTTGGGGGGCTGAGGTGGAAGGATCTCTTGAGCCCACGAGCATCAGGCTGCAGTGAGCTGTGAGCAGCACCACTGCACAACTGCCTGGGTGATAGAGTGAGACCCTGTCAAAAAAGAAAAAAAAGAAAGTGATCCTGTTCATTGCAATACTAATATCTGAGAGGATGCTAAAGCAGGCATATCTGGTACTATGTTTTGAGAAACGCTGGCCTGATTTATGCTATCCCATGCATTAACTGATGGTGGAAAGATGATCTCCCCTCAAGAAGTTCATAGATAATGAGAAAGAATGCAGTTAATTACAATGAACTGTGGTTCGTAGTAAAATCAGAGACACAGAGAAGGAGCTACTTATGCTACAGATGCCTTGTCAGAAGAAAGGACAGCTGAGCTAGTCCTAAAGGATGAAGAGGTTTTCACTGGATGGATAAAGAAGTTGTTAAGGGCATTTCAGGTACCAGGAACAATTTACTACTAAGAGGTTCAAATACAGTCTGAGGGGTTTAATCGAAAAAATAAGACAGACAAATATTACAACACAAAACTAACTAACCAACCATACAAGATTAGGTTTTGTACTCACCAAGTAAGCGGAATAAACTTTTTTGGAAAATTAAAGCTTTTTGGAATCCCAAGGCACTGAGAAGCATCAGCCCAAACCACAAGTGTTTGATCGGTTTCCTACAGTTTCTCTCCACTTCCCATATACGCTTCATCACTCTGCAGCTGCCCACAGACAACTGTCCCCTCAGGGCTTACTAGGAGACCCAGATTTTGCATGGCTTTTTTTCCTGCTGATTCTCCAACATCCGTGGACCATTTATATGGGTGTCAACATGAAACAAGACTATTTCAGGCTGGTTTATGGTCAGGCCTCTGGTAATTCCCAGCAAGATGTGACTGTGTCTAGAGACACAGCTGTTCATCTGCAGAGCCAAGGTCTCTGGAAAGCCCCAAGGTGCTCCTCTATCCCAGTGAGCTGATGGGCCCCAGGGTCTTTTGAAGCTTCCTAGGAGACTATCAACCAGTGTAGGTGTAGAGAAAGCAAATCTCAGCCAGAACTTTAGAACCTGACACAGAGAGTTTGGAATGAAAACTCCAAGCAGCCTGGGGGTAGTGGGGAGTATATTCTGGCAATATTCCATTTCTCATTCCACTCAAAGAGAATAATGTGCTGACCAAACTGAATGCACAAAGTGATAGTTTATTCTCATCGGGTAACCAATATAATTAAACTATAACAGGGCTAACCCATCCCACTCCCATCTTTTGTATAAGGATGCAAAGGAGAAACCATAATACCTAATGATCTCTAAGCAGCCCTGAGCGGTGGGGGAGGGGGAGTGGTCCTAAATATTTGTGGATTGAGGCATTTCATCCACCGGGTAATCTAAGGCAAATCACTTATCCAAACCACTGTGGTAAGTGTGTAAGCCCTCATACTGCATAAAATTAGGAAGTTTGATTAGATGGTCCTTTTCAACTCAATTCTCTGTAATGTATGAGGACTATTATGAAAGCTGCATTACCCCTTAGTGATCTTGTATGTAAGTGGAGCATCATGTGCATCAATATATAAACATGAACTCTACTATCTTGTACCTTTGCAACAAACGAGAAGGAAAATCTGTCTTGACACCATGACCCCTTTCCAGCAACAGTCCATTTCCTGCCCCTGTCCAAAGCAGGATTCCTCCAACGCACTATGCTCACAGTCACCATTCCCTCCTCCCCTCTCTCTCCAGCCTCCTCCAGTCTGACTTGCATCCTCACACCAAAACCATTCTTTTCCACATCACCAGAGAATTTTATGTCACCAATTTCTCAACTCCCTCTACCTGGCAGCTACTTTACGTGGTTGACTACTCACATCTGGAAATACTTCTCTCCGCCATCATGATGCCACACTTTCTTATTGATTAAACCCTCTCAGAGTCCTCTGATGAGTTTTCCTCAGCTTACCTCTAAATTTTGGGCTTCTCCAGCCTTCAGTCTTGAGGCCTCTTCTCTACCTAGGTAATCTCAATGAATACTTTGGCTTCAAATCCCTTTTTGTTGCCATTGCAAATGTATACCATCTCCAGCTGCCATTTAATATTCTTCACTTAGATGCTAATGCACATCTCAAATTTAATGAGGACAAAACAGAACTCCCGATTCCCCTTTTTCCTGCCCTAATGTGCTCCTTCCCCAATATTCTCATCTGAGAAAATAGTCCCACCCAGTTGCTCAAGTGAAAAACTGTTTACTCATCTTTCATTCTTCCCCAGCCTCACTGCTCACACCAGCCCCCTGGCTCTCCCTTTGGAGTCCGCTTCTCCCTTTGCAGTCCAGATCATGACTCACCACTCCAGTCTCATGCAAACACTTCCAACTGGCCTCCCAGTTCCCCCTCTGCTCTACCCTCCATACAGCAGCTTGAGGGAAGTTTTTAAAACATAATTCAGATCATGTCAAGCACCTGCTTAGAACCACTCTTTTGGTTTCCTGCCACATTTAGAATTTAAATCTAATCCAAACTCTTTCCCCTGGCACACAAGGTCCTGCGTGATCTGGCCCCCACCTACCTCTAAACACATGTGCCACTCTCCAGCCCAGTGTGTTCTGCCAGCTCACTTCCACCTCAGGGCCTTTGCACTGTATGTGGCCTGTACCTGGAATGGTCTCCCCCGGGCTTTCCATGGCTGACTCCTTCTCATCTCACACTTGAGAAGGTCTGCTTTCTCAGGGAGAGGGCTTCACGTAATCGCTGTATTAGTCCATTCCCATGCTGCTGATAAAGACATATCCAAAACTGGGTGTTTTATAAAGAAAAAGAGGTTTAATGGACTTACAGTTCCACAGGGCTGGGGAGGCCTCACAATCATGGCAGAAGGTGGAAGGCAAAAGGCATGTCTTACATGGCAGCAAACAAGAGAGAAGAACCAAGTGAAAGAAGTTTCCCCTTATAAAACCATCAGATCTCACGAGACTTATTCACTAGCATGAGAACAGTATGGGGAAACTGCCCCTATGATTCAGTTATCTCCCACTGGGTCCCTCCCACAACATGTGGGAATTATGGGAGCTATAATTCAATGAGATTTGTTGGGGGGACATAGCCAAACCACATCAATCGCTTTGTGTAAGGTAGCGTTCCAGCAAACTGCAGGTTGCTGTCTCTTCTGTCCTCTTCCCTGATGTGTTTTCTTCATTGTGCTAAGCACTATCTAAAAATTTTTATTTTTCATCTTTGTGTTTATTATCTGTGTTGCTCACCTGGAATAAAAGTTCCACAGGACCAGCCCCTTGCCTATCTTATACAATGCTGTGCCTCTAGCACCTTGCCACCTCCTGGCTGCTAAGTGTTTCAAGTATTAAAATAAGTGATGAAGCAGTACAAATCTGGCACTATTTGGTTAATTTAAATACTGCATCCTTAGTCTTAGTGAGACCCAATAATGTAAATAAACTAGATGGTTTTGATGGGAGAAGCTCAGAGTGCTTTTGGGTAGCCAATTTAAATGGACCTTCCTAACGAGGTTTGGCACAGGCCTCTAGAGCTAGTTACTCTTTCTAAAGTAGTTTTTAAGATTCTGAGATGTGCAAAAAGCCCAATGGTACTGAACCTCCTTTGTTCTTTTAAAATTTTTTTAAATTAGGCACTTAAAATTTTTTTTCCACTTTTGGAAACCCATTCTCCAATATGGAGGCCTTCTACATCTCCATGGAAACAAGCAAGTCCAATTGTTGAGCCATCCCCTTGGAGATCCACCAGTTCAGTAACAGCTAAATCCACCACCCTCCATTCCTAGTGTTCATTTTACCAAGCCTTTAGGTCTATTCCAGAGGACCATAAAATAGTCTCCATATTCCAGGTTTGTGGCATTTTTCATTAACTTTTGAGTTACAGCCATCCTTTTTCCATCCCCAGGGAATGTCCCAGTTCCTTTAAAAAAAAAAAAAAAAAAAAAAAAAAGCTGCAAAGAGGCTTTACTTGTTTATTTAGAAAGATTCCCTCAAATGAACCTGATCCAAAATCACAGGGCCTAGAAACATTTTCTCAAGTGGCATGACTGATGCTTCTGTGGTGCTACAGGGATGGACAGATGCAGGAGTGGGAGGTGGGCTGAGGAGAGGCAAGGTACCGGGGAGGATGATGACTCATGCTTTCCTTTCGGCTGTGTCTCTAGCAACACTGGATAATTGGGTTGTCATCCACAGGAAAAGCTTGGGAAGCCTATTTGTGACTGCCTGCCTTGGCCCTACATATATCTAGTGGCAATTGCTGAACTCTTATAAGGAAAAGCTAATGGCTTCTTAATATCAGCTACCACAGAGATGGTTCTGAATACCCTCCTAAAAGAACACTCAAGTCCACGTCAGGACTTCTAATCTGATTTTAGAATCTGATTTTCCCCTTAGTTATGAGCAAAATAGTTTCAATGAAAATTTTCCTTGCTCAAAACATCCAAGTTACTCCATCCTTCTAAATCCATGACAGGACGGGTTAAGAGTAAGAATTTTCAGTGAATAATATCTCAAAGTTACCTGGTTTTTGAAAGATCTGTTACTACTTGTAGAAATGTTTAAGGTTCTTATTTATTCCCATTTATCAATAATAGACTAATAGAATTTTTAAACAAGTATACTGGAGATTTCCAGTTCTGGCAAATAAATACGTTCAACATATACCTCTTATGAATGTGTACTATGTTCTGGATATGGAACCAGAACACACAAAGACTAAGAGCACAGCTCCTTGGGGTGCAGACCCAGGATTAGGGTTGAAAGGTAGTAGACAGTGGAGGAGCAAATCCATGTTCACAGAGGGTGCCAACTTCACAGAGGCACTCTAGGTCCTCCCATTTCTGGTGTCCCTAAATGACCCATGTCAACACTTCGTCTCCTAGGCTAAGGGTTATCAACCTCTCCCCCAACCCACCCCATCCTCCTCTGACTTGTTCTATTCATCCTATTAAAGACATTTATGTTGATAACCATACACCTATGGACATTTACAAAAGGCTGTAGGTTATGCAGGAGATGTTGAAGGCTCTCTGGCCAGGGGGAATATTAAATATGAAAAATATTGTTATTTATTTGCCTGGGGTAGTTTACTTAAGACTGCTCAAGTCTTATGCCCTCTTTCTCCATGGGAGACTTATACACCCTTGTCACCCCAAAGTCTGCAGTGCTGCTGCCACTCCCTGTCTCAGCCCTGCTGCGTAAGCAGATGTCCACCCGAGGAATGCTGCTCCCCACCTTGCAGCAGCCCTCACCTCCCTGGGAGAACCCTGCAGGGGAGGAGGAGAAAAAAAGCTTCCGACTAGGAGCACCCCCTCACCTGCTCACAAAGCCAAAGCTGACTCTTCCTTCTCCCTCCCCTGTCCTTCTCCTGCCCATCACTTGTGGGAGGCTCTCTGTGGAAAGCAGTGGCCATAGTACCTGGGATGGTCAGTGAAAGCCCCACTCACCATCGTGAAACAGGGGATTCCCTCTACACGAACTGTGATTCAGCCCTTACTCTCTCATTCAACAAATAGAAGGACTAAGTTCCAGTATTTGATAGTACAGTAGGGAAATTATAGTTAACAGTAATTTACTGTATACTTCAGAATAGCTAGAAGAAAAGATTTGGGATGTTCTCAACACAAAGAAATGATAAACGTCTGAGGTGATGGCCATGCAAATTACCCTGATTCTTATCATTACACATTGTATACAGGTATCAAAATATGCCAGGTACCCAAAAAATATGTACAAATATTATATATCAATTTAAAACTTTGTAAAACAAAAAAGGAAATGCAAATGAAAATAATCATTTTTAAATAGTTCTACTATATTCTAATTTTTTTAAAGAAATCACTCCTGAGCTTTTATATTTTAACTCTTATTAGTAATAGAATTACTTAGAATGCCACTTCACCAGAATTGAGAATTTCAGTTACAGGGAAGTAGCTGTCAGGTCTCTAAAATTAAAATATAAGTAAATAAATAAGGGGAGGGGACAACACAATGCTCCCTGAGTACATTAAAAGTGGCTATTTTTCCACTTAAAGATATTTTTAAAGTATCATCATTGCCTTCTACCATTGCCATTATTTCAAAAAAGGACATTTTGACAAGAAAAAAGGAAGAATATAACCTCAGAATGAAGTGGTAGTTCTTTGTATCTCAGGAAGAACAGGTCAGTCTTTAAAAACTGAGATTCTACCTTTACAGGGAAATGTGGGAATTGTTTCTACCTCCCCATCTCACTGTCATCCTCTAGAAGCCCTGGGAAAGCAACATTCTGAGGATAGGTCTTGGAGAGTCCCTTTGGTTTTCTGTTCTCAGCCTGAGGATGAACTGGGAACTTTTCTTTAAAAACTTGACACTCATCCCATAGCATCAGGGAGCCATGAAACCCTATGGCAGATCAATCCAAGGTCACCTATAGGATGACCTAGTACAAGAATGCTGTGTGCACCTGTGCCCACCCAGATGGCATTTCATACAGGTGAGGGTCTTCCCTGGCTCCCAAGCATGAAGGCTCACAAAAAACAGAACATGAAGGCTTACCCTCAGATTTAATTCATCTTGAAACTTTTTTAACAGAAAGCTAAAACTATCAGTCTGAGGACAACTTTTCTTTTGTTTCTTTTTCAACGTTTATTTTAGAATCCAGGGGTACACGTGCAGGATTGTTACAGAGGCCTATTGCATGACTCTGAGGTTTGGGGTATGACTGAACCCATCCCCCTGGTAATGGGCATAATCCCTAATAGGGAGATTCTCAGCCCTTTCCCTCATCCCTCTCTCCCGCCTCTAGCAGTCCCCAGTGTCTACTGTTCTCCTTCTTATGTCCATGAGTACCCACTGTTAAGCTCCCACTTATAAGAACATGCAATATTTGGTTTTATTTCTGCATTAGTTCACTTAGGATAATGGCCTCCAGGTGCATCAATGTTGCTGCAAAGGGCATCATTTCCTTCTTTTTTATGGCTACATAGTATTCCATGGTTCATACCACGTTTTCTTTATGCAATCCACCACTGATGGGCACCTGAGCTGATTCCATGTTTTTGCTATCGTGAATAACAAGTGCACAACTTCTTAACAAAAAGCAGTCTACAGTTTTTGGAGTTGACTTCCTCATGTTCACTATTTTGATTTTGGATCCAGGAGCAGGGAGAAGAGGAAGGTAATGCTTTTTACTTCATTCCTGACTTCAACGTCCAGCTTTTCATTTGTCAGTACAATGTTGACAGCTGATTTGCACGATGGAAGAGCCTTATAATTTATAATCAAACTGCAGCCAAACCATCCATTCCCAGACCTTTTAAAATGATCTTGTAAATTACAGCAGCAAGAAGGGGAGAATGAGCTGGCTCCTTTTAAACAAGAGCGACAACCAGAGAGAACAGCAAATGTTTCAGGAAGAATTTGGGCTTCCTTCAATGGCAGTTGGGGGAAATATAGATTAAATACTTTTCATATCTAGCAATTGTAATTATCAGGAAAATCTGAGGCAGTGTGATTTCTGACACAGTTGTATGAGCCATTTTCATACTGCAAAGTCCACTGAGGGAAAGAAAAGATAATTTTATCCTTCCAATAACTATAATTTTATATTGGTAAATCAAGCATAAAATTGGTAGTTGAAATGCTTCCAGGAGTCTTTGTTTTGAAATATCTTTATTCAGCTGTATATTATCTCAGAGTCTAGCTTTGCTAACTACTATCATTCCAGGAGATAAAGTGTTCTGTTTGCCATGTTACTCTTACTGCCTTCAGAATGTGCTATTATTGAATGCTTGTTGAGTGCTGCTAGAAATGGCAAGACCATAACTCAGCCTGACAAAATAGTCACTGGGATTAGACAGCATTATTTAACCAGAGACTCTCATATGCCTTTGAATAATTTCCAATGTTTGCCTTTTTAATTCAGGTATCATATCAACGTTTCTTCACGTCCATCCTTTTGGAGCCAACATAGAATATCTTTGGTCATACATGCAGCAGCTGGACTCCAAGGTAAATTATTTTGCTCGAGTGAACTTTCGTTGCTCAAATTTAGCATGTTGATTGCTGCCTGCAGGTGGACTCTGCATGAACTGAACTAGGGCTGTAGCAGCCTATGGGGGTTGATCAGCCCTTCTCTTTTGCAAGGACCTCAGTTTTTGGCAGCTTGTTCTCCTCTTTTTGCTTGCTTTTGTCTTTGTAAAAAGAAGAGCAGTTATCTAAAATGACAATGACTTTTAGCAGATGCCAAGTTAATTTGGAAAGCTTATGAGAGATTTAAAAATATAGGTTCACCTGAAAGTTCCCAAAATAAGGGTGAAATCAGGTGAGTGTGGCTAATAGGGCATTATCCTCAGACCATATTCTTATAGGATTCCATGTTCTGGACTTCACACAATTGAGGAAAAATCATCCCAAATAATATAAAGATCTGATATGACTCAAGAAAGCTGTATTAATGGCTGTTTTCCAGCGTTGTTCTCTAAGTAGAAAAAAGTGGCTGCAAAATTCTTCTCAGCTGTGCCCCTCCAGGCTCACATCCAGAGCCAGACATCATTCCTCACCTCCCTGAAGCTCGGTTTTTCCCATCCACAAATTAGCTGTACTCCTACCCCACCGCAGTATTTGTGTACCCATAGAGAAGAGACAAAAAGAATGTGATTTATGTGTCAAATTCATGTGAACAATGGAAGGGGCCCTGACAAAATAAAACAACATCATTAACCAACACTAGGGAAGCCCAGGAGCGGGGTGGACACAGAAGCAAAACAGAGAAGCTAGAGAAGCCAGCGAGTTGCCTGTCAAATTTCTGGTCATGAAGGAAAATGGAAATAAGTAAGAAGGTCCTCCATAGAGCACAGCAAAACGCATGGGATTGGTACGACCAGACCAGCAGACTGCAGTGCTGTGTCCCTGAACAGACACAGCTAAATCATGCTAAATTTTCAATGGCTAGCATGCATCAAATGACTATCATGTGTTCTTATTTTGATTCAAATAATCTTCCCAATACATGATCCCAAAACTGTTTAACCTCTTAAATGGATCTAACACTTCCCCTTTGAGAGGAATCTTTTCAGTCATACAGATTTCATGCCTTTCATGACAGGGTAGAACAAAACAGGGTGAAAGGAGTTAGAGAATTTTAAAATTCTAGAGGTTCAGAATCATCTATTTTTTTCATTGTGGTTTCCCCTCACATGCACAGGTAAGAAAGAGAAAGCATTCATGTTAAACTCAGATGAAATAAGAAGGACTTGCTGCACAATGTTCCTTTGTTGTCATATAGATTTGAAGGATTTCTCTGCTGTTGTTTCCCCTTTACTGGTATTATTGTTCCTTAATATCACCACCACCTTTGCCTGGAGGATTAAACAAAACACTGCTTGCACCAATGTGTTTGGCAAAGAATAACCCCTCAAGAAATGATTCCTATTGTTGCTACCATCCTTCCCTTGTACTGTTGACATTTCTGTTCTCCCTTTCTGCAAGTCCCAAGTGAGAAGCCTTTGTTGAGAAGCAGCTGTTGTTTTAGTAGGAGCTAAAATGGCCAACAATCCACTTGTCGTTTATCAAAGAATTTCAGGACACTTTGTTTCCTCCACTCCATCATCGCAGGCTGAGAATCTATGATGATCACCAGTGAAGTGTGTGTGCCTGCGTGTGTGTGTGTGTGTGTGTGTGTAAAATCATCTCCTGGGAATGGGCAGGGATTGATAAGTAATGAATTGATTTGTTTTGGCTGGCGGGGAGGGGGTGGCGGGTAGAAGCTCTTGTTCTATTCTTATCCTCAGGGCTCAGGTAAGATTTGTGACGTTCCCTTACCAGTCTCTGAGGAGAGAGAATTCACATGCCTTGTCCCTGGCCATTAGATGATGGGCCTTTCTGGATGGGATTCAGTCAAAGGAATTGTATCTCATCGCAGACTGGTACTTTTATTTTAGAGTGATGAAGAAAGTATTTCCCTCACAGAGGAAACACACGAGGTGTCCCCTGCCTACTCCCAGATAGCTCTCCATCTTCTGAATGAAACGCCCACAGAGCTGTCAGGTTCCTTCTCATGCCTGGGGTAGAAAGTATATTGAAAAAGTACTCTAAAACTGCTGGGCACCAGGGATCAGACCACATGCTTTCTATTCCAGTGAGGCTGAGAGGATATTTAGACTTTTTAATCCAGAGAGCAAAATCCAGTGCCCACCCTGTACTGATGAGAACAGGGAAAGCAGGCTCCACCCAGTCCTGTAATGTCACTGTTGTGGTCAGGATTTCCCCAAAGGCTACATATGGGTGTAAGAATGACTAGGAATGGAAGGAATTAATTTAAATTATGCCGGGCATGTACATTGCACATGGCTTCCTAAAACCATGTAGCCCAATAATAAGCTATTTTCCAGTTAAATATTATTCCTGCTGTTGATATTTGCATATTTGCATATTTTTCTCTTCTTGGCCTTTTCTAAATTACCCACTCTCATTCACCCGGTTCTCTTGTATCAGAAACACTTGAAAAAGGAAGATTCATTCAGAGGAAAACAGGGTCCGGGTTGGGGGCAGCCATGGCTTCTGAAGCTTTGCTGAGTCAAAAATCATGCCCAGAGCACAGCAGGCAAACTCTTTAAAATAGGCAGCACTATGATGAAAATGGTTTCTATCAGTACATAGAATCTCCCATGTCAGCCCCAGGGCCCATCAAGCCCAACCTCTTGTCTCTCCGAAGCAGCCCAGAAGAAACATTTGACTTGAGCATTAGCAGATGAATACTTCTTACAGTCAAGAGGAGGGTTCGTCTGCTCTTCCCTGTTTATATATCCTTTAGGAGATGAAGGCTCAGTTTTCCAAGCGTGTCTGGTTGCCCCCTCTACACACCTGCAGCCTCTTCCCAAGGCCCATGGTGTGGAAGATTTGGTTCTGAAAACCAGACTCAGCGTAATGTGGCCACAGAGGCTGGAGGATATAGAAGGACCTGCTATTTTGGCACGACACCACTGTGACCAGCTTGAGAGGTCATGGGCATGTGTTACATTTCCCACAGAGGGGAGAATCATTCGCACTTCTGTACTAATAGCATACCTCTGCAAACACAAAATTTAAATGTCTTGGCTATGGAAAGGAGATTCAGATCCTGTTTAATTAATTGGATAGCATTCTTTCCCAGACTATAACCAGGTGATGAGGGTGGGGAAATGCTCTCAGTAGTGTTTATGAGATTGCCCACCTGAATGATCCTTAATAGTATGCATATTCTGGGGTTCTCCTTAAGAGCAGCCTGTCACAGTAATATCAATGAGTGATCCTTTAGACAGACTATAATGAATGGGTTTTTTAGATATTACAGCACTTCTGGAAAGCATATGACAGCAGAGATAACAATACTCCCCACTTGACTACATAAAGAACAAAAAAAAGGCTGTGCACCACAGTGAGAGAAGTTGGTAAGGTTACCAGGGACCTAATGAATGCTGGGATAATTCACTGCTTTTCATGTACCCAGCACTGTCTTAGGGACCAGAGAAGAACAGGAGATGACCAAGGCACAAAAGAAACCTAAGATAGAACCCTATTCTCAACAAGCTTGTAGCCTAGTTATGAAATGATTTGAGACTCAGACATGAACTAATGAAGTGCTAAATTGGGTAGGGAAGATACTCTCTGAACTAGGAGTTAGAGAAGGGTGAAATCTGTGAGTCATGATTAACAGCAAGGTACCCTCGAGTCCATGCTTCTTCTGGTGGCTTCCCTCTGGGATGCTTTAGCCAACATTGCCACATTTCTTTCCTTTCTCCTCTTTCTACCCACCCTTTCTTCTCTCCTTCCTGCCCTCATTTTCCTTCCATATTCTTTTCTCCTTTTAATTCTCTCCTGTTTACCTTCTTTCATCACATTTTTTCTGCCTCCTTCCCTTCCTCTACCAGTTTCTTGCTTCACTCCTTCGAATTCCTGACTTCTTGTCTTCTTTCCTCTTTTCCTTCTTTCTCCCTTCCTTCCTCCCCTCCCTTTGCCCCATCTACATTTTGTATTTCTCTCTGTGAACATTTGTTGTGAGGTGTCTGTGTGTGCTAACACTGTGCCCTGCCCAGGATGTGAAGAATGAACAAGATTTAAATGTGCATTTAAAGGCTAGAAGTCAGTTTTGCCCATGGAAGGAAGTCTGGTTTTCAACTGGCTTCCCTGACGCTCCGGCCTCTGCCGGCGTCTTTTCAGTAGCCCAAACAGGAGCCCCTCTTCACCAGGCTTCCCTTGCCTGATGATACGGGGTATGGAGCCAACCATGATGAGAACAAATTGATTTGCATCTGCTTGTGTCCATTTGTACATGTGATTAGAGGCCGGGCAAGGAGGCAGTAGGCTTGGCCTAGAGTGAGCAAATTAAAAAATAAATCAAGCAGATTTTATAAATGACCTCTGCGGTATCAACAGCACACAAGCTCCTTAGTTACACACAGCCTGTTTCCTTCTGATGTTTGCTTTCTTTCTTTTTTGTATTTGTAGCAAATAAATCCTTCCTAAAAGAATAAATTTAAGAAAGTTTCAAACAAAACAGGTAGAAGAATCCACTGACAATATCAAAGATTGAAAATATATAGGCCACAAATTTCTTGGAACAAAAGCCACCTGGGTAAGAGGGTAATCAAAACTTCAGGGTTATGACTATCCTCTCCACTTGCTAGAGCACCAAATACATGGTGTATGGGGAAAAGATTTCATAGTCATGGCATCTATCTCTAATCTATATCACAGTGCTACACAGTGCTCCCTTAACCACGTGTATTGCAATCATCTCCTCATAATATGCTTGGGAGTGAGGGAATGCGTCACTCTGAAAGCCGGGCTGGATTCATAATCCTTGCTCCAAGTTCTACCCCTTCACTTACCTGCTGGGCAAGCAACAGCTCTTCCCAGGAACCCAGGGCTCCATGTGTGAACAGAAGTAGGAGCTTAGAGAGAATCCCTGGTCTCAGAAGTGATTCAGGGAAGAAAATCGTGCAGGAGATGAGGAAAGGGGTAAACTTCACTCAGAGCTCAGCCAGTGAGGTCTGGGTGCTTGGTTTAAGTAATGACTCCAGAGTCTCAATTCTCTAGACAAAGAATGTACTGGTGGGAAGGCAAAGGATATTGTGATGGCAAGATGATAATAGCTGACAAATTATTAGGAAGAGAACAGAACTGAAGTAAGTGGAAGTATTTATAAAGTAAAAATTCTTTGGCCATAGGGAGAAAACAAAGGACAAATTGAATTTTCTCTTGAATTTGTCTTAAAAATCCCAAAAGATAAAATATCATAAAGGTTATTTTGTCAGGGTAGGGGAAAAGTTTGAAAATCATAAAACTAACTTACCTGATACAGCTTTCTCCCTGATCTTTCTTCTGTCATGAGATATAAATATCTTTAAACAACTTTAAGGAATTCTTCTAGAATTAGCTGAGATCCCTTTTTTTCTTGTGTCAGGGTCTCACTCTGTCACCCAAGCTGGAGTGCAGTGGAGCAATCACAGCTCACTGCAGGCTCCAACCCCTGTGCTCAAGGAATCCTCTTGCCTCAGTCTCCTGAGTAGCTGGGACCACAGGGACATGCCACCATATCGGCTAATTTTTGTATGTTTTGTAGAGATTGGGTCTCTCTATGTTGCCCAGGCTGGTCTCAAACTCCTGGGCTCAAGTGATCCTCTCACCTTAGCCTCCCAAAGTGCTGGGATTATAAGTGTGAGCCACCATGCCCAGCTGCTGAGAGCCTTATTAAATGGATATTTTAGATAGATTTTTATTTGAAGTGGTCTGTTCCATAATTATGACACAACTCTGTATTATTTGCATCTTTGTGGCAGAACCCAGCTGTTATATCTTACACTACCAACAGAAACTACAGCTAATACATTTGAGATTAATTCCCATTACACTAATTTCTGGCTTTCTCAAAATCTGAAGTATGTATTAAGTAATTACGAGGATTTCAAATCCCAGTTTCATCACTTCTTAGCTGTTTGACCTTGGACAGCTTATTTAACATCTCTGTGCCTAAGTTCCACCATCTGTAAAGTGGTTTTTGGGGGGTTATCCTTGATATTAAATGACTTAGTAGATGAAAAGCATTCCAGAACAGTACCTGGCACACAATAAGTGCTACTAAAGTGGGGACCGTCATTTGTTTTGTGCTTTAAGGTGCGCAAAAGACCTATCACATCCTCTCATTTTAAGATCTTTGCCACAACCTAATTGACAGATAAATTTTGAATGGCTTGTCCTAAGGCTAGAGCTAGGATATGGAGAGGCCAGCACACAAACCAAGTCCTCAGGGCATTCCCTGTGTTTCTTTCCAATTCCCTTGTCTTGGAAATGAGAAGACAGGCCCAAAGAAGTTAAGTGACTGGTTACTTAACTACTAAACTGGAAGAGGTTACTGATTGTTCTATCACTGTGATCCAAATCTTTTGTGTCTCCTTTTCTTTACTCCAGCAAGTGAGGGGGGCACTTGCTTGTTTAATGAGCTTTCTGATGAGATAATGCTGGTGAAGAATTTACTCTTCCCTGCCCCACAGTGAAGACTCGGTAAATGGTAGCTACCTCTGTCCCGCTGCAAGCCTTGTCCTGCTTCCTTTGTGGTTAAAGTCTAGGCTCAGGTCAAAAGACACCATGGAAAACAAGATGTTGCCACATTTCAGTACATGCTAGCCAAGACTTCCCATGATTTGCTTACCGTTTTGATGGATGGTTAATGTGGGGGTGCCCGAGCATCAGCAATATGAACGTGTGTGAGCCAGGTGAGTTGGGAATTTTCAGTTTTTTGCTGTTGATGTTGCTATCACTCTAATAGTATTCATCACAGAGGAGCCCTGCCCTCCTGTACACAGATGCCTGCCATGGCATCCACACCCACCCAGGGCCAGAGAGGCAGTGACCAAGAGGATTATTTCCTGTCCTTACTCCATGGTCCTCTCCCTGGTGGAGGTGGGCAGGGGTGGTTAAGAACAAGGCACCACAGCCAGGAGGTCTGGTCCACACTTACTGCCTGTGTTACCCTGTGGGATTTACTGAGTCTCTCAGGGCCTCAGTTTTCTTATTGGTAAATTATTCCCTATCTTATGAGAGTGTGGTGAGAATTAAATAGTGTTTTCAGAAGAGTTTGGCAAGGAAAAGTTTCCTGGTGATTGTAAGTTGTCACACTTTTTACAGCCAGCTGCAGGGCTGCTGGGTGGCACTGCCCCTTCTGACCCCAGCTGGCCTCCTACACGTTATATTTAAATCAGATATTTATTTTACCCTCAAAAACTTAGCTTTTTATCCCCTCCCTAATGAATGGCACAAACCTTCTTCCCTACATTTCCAAGGGAGGTGGCGGTTACACTGTAAACAAGGTGCTGGTGGGCTGGCAGGCACCTCGGCCTGTGTGTTCCGCTATGGCCTCTCCTTGATCTGGGGAAGGACATGCCAGGGGTGGCACTTGAATTTGACTGGAGACTAGAGCCCACCATAGATGATCTGTGCTGTCCTCCTCCAAAAGAAAGAAGGGAACTCTTTGAGAAGATAACTTGGTCTCATGAGGCTTAAAAAAAGCTGCCTCCTGGACCTATGAAAAACTAGTTTTGACCACATACCACTCCGTACTACAAAAGGTTAGATAATAGTGTCATTTTCTATCAATATTCCATACACACACACATATACATGTCTACATAAGGAGAGAGAACTTGTGCCAGGCACTGTGTTACATTTTACATATAATCCTTACAATACCCTGAGAGATATGACTTCTATTACACACCTGAAGAAACTGAGAATTACAAATGTTAAGTAATCTTCCCAAAGTCACACAGCTTGAGGCCTAGCCAGAGTAAAATCCAAGCTTGTCTGGCTTAAGTCCCCATTTTTTTTTGAGACGGAGTCTCTCTCTGTCCCCCAGGATGGAGTGCGGTGGTGCCATCTCGGCTTACTGCAACCTCCGCCTCCCAGGTTCAAGCGATTCTTCTGCCTCTTGGCCTCCTGAGTAGCTGGGATTACAGGCACGCGCCACCACACCCGGCTAATTTTTTGTATTTTTAGTAGAGACAGGGTTTTACCATGTTAGCCAAGATGGCCTCGATCTCCTGACCTCATGATCCACCCACCTCGGCCTCCCCAAATGCTGGGATTACAGGCATGAGCTACAACGCCCGGCCTAAGTCCCCATTCTTAACCCAAATATGCCTGACTATAAGAATGATCTGGGATGGTTGTTAAAAATAGATTATGTGGGCTACACCCAAGACCAGCTGAATCCGGATCTCCAGAGAAGAGGCTGGCTGGGGGATCTGATTTTTTTAACAAGTGCCTCCAGGTGACCGCTACTGAGAAAGACCTCCCAGCACCCCTGGTTGTTCACCCCTGGCTGTTGACAATCATGGGAAGTGCTTAAGGCACACCAATCAAGGCCCAGGCCCCAACCCATGAAAGAACCCTTGGGTTCTTTCCCAAGTTGTGTCTTTGATAAAACACTTAACCCTCTGTAGCTCACACCGTTTTCTGAACTATAAAATGGAGATGCATCTTAATATCTGCTCACGAATCTCACCAGAGTGCTGTGAGAATGAAATGAGAACACTGGTGGTGACTGAAAGAAAACTTACTTCTCAAAGTTATTATGAACCTTCACATAATCTGTCTCATAGGCTTTTGTCGGTTGACCTGGGAATTTAACCATCCATCTAATATGGTGTGTATCAGAAAATGCATTCAGATTTCAAAACAATTCCCAAAAATTTTAGAATACAATGTATTTCAATTTTCAGAACTGCCTCTATTTAACTAAAGTTTTGTATTATAGGCCCAGGAATATTGAATGTGTCATATGAAGTCTTTTCCATGAGAATATTAAATAAACAGTTGATTTGACTTCTTGGTCTATTTGGTGTCTCTTTTAAATGAATCCTAATATTGTTAAATGGAAAGTGTAGACTCTAAAATGATATCTCTACAGTGATTACACCATGAAAAAGTGTAATAGCTCTGATTCAATGAACATTTCTATGTGCCCATATCTGTGGTAAGCCAGTAATTTTCATGCTATCCTTATTAAATGTTATTTCCATTTGCTGAGGCTTAAAGAGACTAATTATCTCTGTAAGGGTCATTTAACTTGTGAGAATGAAGATACAGGATTCAAACAGAGTATCAGACCCCAAATTTTGGGGATATTCAAACAGAATATCAGACCCCAAATTGGCCGCCCTGCTGTATAAAATCCACATGCATACACATGGATTGGCATGCTAACACAGGACAACAAAAGCAATCACTGTGCTAGAGCAGAGGGATTATGGCTGATTTGTTCTTTAAAATGAATTATTGGTGTAAAAATTCATCAAATAAAAATATGGAGAAGAAAAAAGTTGCATTAAAAAATATACCTGAATTTTATGACTAGATATCAAGACTTGTATTGTTGTAGGTTTTGGAGTTTAGATTCCATTCCAAAAGCTTTATGGTCTCTGGTCTATGTGAAAATTAAGGAAGAGAAAGAAATTTGGGTGGCAAGAAATCCACCCGAATGTCTTCTGCTCCTGGCAGCATTAAAGAAAATTGCTGTCCTTCATAGATGAGGATGAAGCCACTAGTAGCTTTCCAGGAGTGGTGATGGATTTGCTGGGAGCCCTCTTAAATTCCCTCCCCATCTCCTTTTATATCAGGGGAGGGCTGTTCAGGAATGGTGCTGCCAGTAAGGTAGCCATCCATATGAAGGGTGAACTTGGCACTTTCCGCCCAGCCAACCCACGCCCCACCCCGCCAGCTGCTCGGGAGGTGGGATAATCACATTCAGTACTTCTGAATGTTCCTTCTATAAGGACATCCCCCTGACAGCCCAGTAGAAAACTAAATGCTGTTCATATCACTGGGAAAGCTCATCCTTCCCCAATCCATTCCTCCTTTAAGATGAGTTCCTTTCCCCAAAGTGACTTTCCTTCCTTTCTAACAGATATCTGCAAATGAAATAGAAATGCTTTTGATGAGGCTGCCACGCATGTTCAAACAGGAATTCACGGGTGTGGGAGCCACGCTGGAAAAAAGATGGAAGCTGTGTGCCTTTGAAGGAATTAAAACTACCTAACTGCGAAGAGCAAAGCATCTCTGGAAATGAAACCATGTGAACCTGGCCAGGGCGGTGCGACGGGGAAGCAGGAGGTGTGGGGTTGGTCCAGCACGCAACCTTTGTGGAGCCATCGAAGCCTGCCTTTAGTTATATCTGTGGCGTTCTCTTGTAAGTGGAAATGTAATTGTGTACCAGTTTCTTAAAATAAACAAAGCTTCATACTGTGACAGATCTGTTTCCTATGAAAACCAAACAATGATTCCACAGTCATAATGATGGCAAAATCTTAAAATGTGCTACATTTGAGAATAGCTCACCAAGCAAAATATTTAAAGTTAATGATGGTGTAGCAATGATTGTTGCTAGGCTACAGAGTTGTATATGTAATGTATAGCTGAAATCATTAAATGACATTTTCCTGAAAGTCTTTCTGTTTTAGTAAAAAAAAAAAAAAAAAAAAAAAGAAAAAGAAAAAGAAAAAAAGAAAAAAGAAAAAGTTTTACAGTGAGGGAAAAGCATACCAAAAGAAAACTTGAATATGTGTCTAAACAGTTATTGTATTTTGTAAATTAAGTTATATGCTGTTCCAGGGACTTTTGCCTTATTGAAGAGGCAGAAAATATGATTGGACACATTGAGAATGCTTTATCAAGAATATTATTTTTCTAATGTAACAATTCTCCATCATAAGTTCTTTTAACATGGACTGCATAACAGTTTTCATAAAGTGTAAATAAAGGAAAAACTAGTGTTATTGTCTTGTACTTGGTATGTAACATTCAGGTTTATGCATCAAAATAAACATTCAGTAAATATTCCTGTTACAAATTTTATAGCAAAGATATTAATTTTTTTCAATAAATATGACTTCTACCATATTGGTTTTACAAATTATTCTTTGATATATTTTATTTCTCCCTTAAGAAATCTTTTTCTCATTATTCAGTCCCATCTCATATCCTATTGTTTAAAAATGATAAAATAAATGAGTGACATTAAGAGATAAAACATTATTTCAAATAGGAATATATAAAAATTGTGGAGTGGAAATTACCAAGAAAGGAGATTATACAGCATTAATATACAGTGTTAGAGTAGATTTTTAAAAATAGTATGACATAGCATCCACAAATAATAAATTTTACCTTGTTTTGTGTCCTCCTGGGCAGATACAAAGTAGCCCATTAATCTTATTAACTCTTGCATTTATGTATCTGTATGTTTACTGGAAAACACATTAGAAAGGAAATTAAGGGATCCACACTTGGACCAACAATTTAGATAGAATTTGGGCTTCCCCTCTTTATTTTAATAACAAATGGGATATGACTTAAAATTTTGTCCCCTTCCTGCTATCCTACATAAGAATCACAAAAAAGACAAGCATCCTTAATTGTAATTGAAACATTTTTTAGGAAGACAGCTAAACAGTTAATGTTCTCTGATATTATGAAAAGATATTCATAATTTCTTATTGGACTTTTTGTCCTTTATTGATACCTTTATTGATAAGTACCTTTACTGATCTCTAATAAATTAAGATATTTACTCATACCTCCCATAAATATCTACACAAGTGTTTTGTTCAGGCTCAGGGCTAACACTATGAATATAAAGGTAAGTAAGAAAAGACCCTCTCCTTAATGTGCTCAGAGTTCAGTGTGAAAAAGACATTTTCGGCCCAGCGCGGTGGCTCATGCCTGTAATCCCAGCACTTTGGGAGGTCGAGGCGGGCAGATCACTTGAGGTCAGGAGTTCGAGACCAGCCTGGCCAGCATGGTGAAACCCCATCTCTATTAAAAATACAAAAAAAAAAAAAAAGTAGCTGGGCGTGGTGGCAGGCACCTGTAGTCCCAGCTACTAGGGCAGGAGAATCACTTGAATCCAGGAGGTGGAGGTTGCAGTGAACTGAGATTGCGCCACTGCACTCCAGCCTGGGTGACAGAGCCAAGACTCCGTCTTAAAAAAAAAAAAAAAAGAAAGAAAGAAAAGAAAAAAGAAAAAGGCATTTTCCCAAAAATTTCTATATGATGTGATTCTGGTAACAAGAAAGATATGACAGGTGCTATGGCATTCAAACTATATGTCCATATCATATTAAACCCTACACACCTTCCCTTACCATCAGTCCATGCCTGCTACCACCATCATCCTGACAGATTTATATCCAAATCAAGAGACACAAATAAAGACACAACAGTCAGAAAGGAGAAGACATCATTTACAGATGATGCTAGTATTGTAAAATAGAAAACCTAAGCAGTTCACGTGAAAAACAACAAGGAAAAAAGAATTCAGTAAAGTGGCTAGTTCTATAAAGTCATGAAGTCTAGTAAGGATACAGGGGAAGGTACCACAGCCTGTGCTATTTCTAATGGAAAGCATGGTGGATATCCTCAAACATGCATTGATACTTTCAAGTATTACTGGCAGTCACATTAGCAGAAAGACATCCTGCACAGGGTAAACCCCCAACTCTGAGCTCTGTGCTCACACAAAGCTGAGGGACCTCATATTAGATCTGACAAGAAGATATCATTTCCAAACACGTGGATATGAGCCCTACGGGGCAACTTGGGGGAGTGAAATGGTTAATTCAGCTTCCAAAAACATTAGAGTCATTGCTGGAGATAAGCTGCTGCACTAGAAAAATCTGTTTTGGCTGTAAATTTTTTATTTATACTTGAAATGAATTCTGTTACTTGTCTAGAAATATGTTGGTTATATATTTTAACTTCAATTATGTGAATCATTTATCTTTGGATTTTTTTAAATCCTCTAAATTATTTCACAGACTCTCAAGTTTAGATGGGACTTTGGAGATCACCTGGGGAAGGAACTAACATCTGTGCCTATGAGAGTGGTCTGGAGACTACGTATATCTGTCACCCCATCCTCTTTAATCCTCCTGATAACTCTATATGAAGATAATATTATCATCCCCATTTGTCACACAAGGATAACGAGGCTCAGAAGTTTTAAGTAATTTGTCCAACTTTGCAGTTAGTAACTTTTGAATCAGGATTTGAACCTAAAGCTAACTGGCTCCAAAACATATTCTCCTTTTCACTGGTCATACTTCTATTAATAGTTCGACCCATTCCATCCACCTGTGAGCCCAATGCCATCCAGTGCCTTTGGATCCCTTTTTATTCTCCTTTATTCTCCACCATCCTTTCACATTGGTAGAGGGGTGAAGACTCTTCACGCCTTTCTCTCCTTAGAATAAGCAGAATATTGAAGGTTTGGAGATCCCTGTGATCTGGCCCCAAAGGGCCTCTCTAACTTGCTTTTTCACTGTTTCCCTGAAAAGGATTCATCTTTTTTCTTGCTTTTCTTCTTTTGTTCATCTATTTGAATGAAACAATCTTCTTCACATCTAGTTATCACAGTTCTACCCAACCTTAAATGTGAAATAAGCCTTCGTGCCCCAGCAGAAGTCGCTCCTCCTGCCTCTGCACAGCCATCCCACACTTTCTGAAGGCACTTGCCACCCAGCTGTCCTTGCCCTATTATATTACAAGCTCTTTGATGGACTGAACACATCTCATTTACTTTGAATTATTTCTCAAAGTGGTTTTGCTTACAAATATTTAGAAAGTAGGACAGAGAATGATCAAGATGTTTTTCTACCTCCAGGGACCAATCTGCCTATACTTACCCAAGGGGAAAATATTACAAAATATTTGAAAAGACTGCAAATATCTTAGATCCAAGATTCCAAGGTGGGAAATGTGAGTGAGAATGTACTGCATATTATTGAAATAAGAAAATAAAAAATAACCCAATTCCTATTCAAACTTCAAACCCAGATCAATTATCAACTGTTCTACGAGGCCCTGATTCCCTCAGGAGCCCTTCTCCTGGGCTTCCCCTACTATTCATTACATTTCTATTGCAGCCCATTTACTGGATTTTAATCATTTTTTAATGTGGCTGTCTTTCCACTCCTGTAGGCAGTAGACCTCCCTTACTCATCCCTCTAGTCCCTCAGAGTCTGACATGACATAACATTACTTTTAAATAAATATTTATCAACGTTAATGAAAGAAGAACGCCCACAGGAACTTTCTGAAGTTGTTGAATCAGAATCTATTCAGGTATTAGGTCCAGCATTAGAGGCTAGAACTTTGTGTCTCTTCATTGTAATACCTTGGCAGAACCCTTATTTTTTAATTTTTCTTTTTTATTGTGGTAAAATACTTAACAATTTAGCCAGTCATAAGTGTACAATTCTGTGACATTAAATGCATTCACAATATTATGTAACCAATCATCACTATTTATACCCAAAACTTTTACATTATCCCCAACAAAATTCTGTACTCACTATACAATAACTCCTCATCCTCTTACCCTTCTAACCTCTGGTAACTTCTATTCCCTGCATCTCCATGAATGCACCTATTCTAGGTATCTCATGTAAGAGGAATCTTAACAGCATTTGCCCTTCTGTGTCTGGTTTCTTTCACTCAGCATAACACCTTTAAGGTTCATCCATACTGTAGCATGTATCAGAATTTCATTTCTTTTTAAGGCTGAATAATAGGCCAGGCACGGTGGCTCACATCTGTAATCCAGAATTTTGGGAGGCTAAGGTGGGCGGATCACTTGAGGTCAGGAGTTCGAGACCAGCCTGGCCAACATGACGAAACCCCATCTCTACTAAATACTTAATAGTCTACTAAAATGCAAAAATTAGCCAGGTGTGGTGGCACATTTCTGTAATCCCAGCTACTCGGGAGGGTGAGGCAGGAAAATCGCTTGAACCCAGGAGGTGGAGGTTGCAGTGAGCCGAGATTACGCCACTGCACCCCAACCTGGGTGACAGAGTGACACCCTGCCTCAAAAAAAAAAAAAAAAGGTTAAAAAAAAAAAGAAGAATATTCCATTGTATAAGAACTCTTCTTGCTGGCTTAGGTATTTTTAACCTATTACAGTAAGAAAAAGTCATTGATCAGTGTTGGAAAATATTTAAATACCACATCAAAAACAACATTTGAAAGTGTAGGGAAGCTTATTTTTAACTCAATAAACAGTTCATTTTCATTGAGGGTAAAAATGAAATGAAAAAAATAGAAGATGTTGGTAGTAATTGTATAGAAAATGAGACTAAACAAATGTCCATGCAACAAATTATGATTCACAACAAGTTGTTTTTTCTTGGTAAGGGTCGGGGATATTTTACTTTGAGGTTGGTTCTTGGGGTTTTGTGTGTTGGGGGGGGTTGTAGCCCTTTTCAGGAAATGGCTACTGTGTTTATTTATTGGACTTAATAATAGGTGGTTTATCTCCAAAACATAAGACCTCTTTTCCCATAATACTCAGTTTCTTCTCATAAACTGAGAAAATAGAGATATCACATCTCTAAGAATCTTATAGCTTGACTTATTTTTCATTGAAATGGTAAAAGGTTCACACGCATATTAAATAAGCCCGTCATAAGTAGCTGAAGAAACTGTCCTGTGTAGCGCACCGAAAATGAGCATTTTAAACAAGCTATAGTGAATGTGTTTACATATTAGATCACTAAAACACCGTCCCTCTAGTTCCATCACCTCCCAATTTCCTCCTCTATTTGCAAGCAGACTTTCTTTCATTCCCAGGCTTCAAATGTTTGGAAATGTCTCCTACTGTGTAGGCGAGCACTCAGGCTGCACTGGAGTCAAGCCCGGCCCAACAGTCACTGACCTTGTGGCCATGGCACATCCCTTAACCACACCGAGGTGCTAGTCCCAGATCTATAATATGGGAACGTTAATGCCTATGTCATAGGGTGATGACTAAATAAGACAGCATGCATAAAGCACCCCCTAACATAGAGCCAGGCAGACTGAAGGCATTTGTTTCTACAAAAATAGTACTTAAACTACATCATTCCCAGAAAAGGGAACAAACCCTTTCCCTATCAGCCTATGCCTATCCTGACCACTGACAGTCAATCATACGCTTCTAAATACAAGATAAAATAAATATAAAACAAGCATAATCCCCATCAATAGTCCATTAAACATGTTCAAGTGTAAGACTGAAATTAGCAAGATAATTGTAATTCTCTAACCTGCAAAGACTTCCGCAACTCTTACAGACAAATAAGTAGTGACCATCAAAGTTCTCTCATCACAGACAAAATTAAAGCCTCAATTCTTTGTTACAGCTCCCTTTTTACTTGTTTGGTATATTTCCAATAAGCAGTAATTAGGGTCAAATACATTCAGCTGTGAAGAAACTATGCTCTGGGCTACTGCCATTTTGAATGATGGTCAACTAGGTATACAGTATGCAAAGATTAAATAAAGTATTAATTATGGTTTTTTTAAGCCAGCAGAGACATTGTCAGGAAAAATTATAGTTGTAGCTGCAATAGTATTATTTTAGAGAACATACACATCTATTATAGTTGCCGAGACTGTCAAAGTAAAAGACTCCAGTAAATCTAGTAATTACAGACTGTTTGTATTAATAAAATTAGCTACTGTGGTCCAAAATTTTAACTCTTGCCTGCTCACGAAACCGTACAGATACCCAAACAAGCTGAGATGTTTGCTCTGCACATTTCACCTTTTATATAACGTACATTTATCAGTACAGGGCTATTTACTTCATGGGAAAAACAGAAGCATAAAAATAAATTGCAGACATTTTACAGTAGAAAATATTACGTCTTCAATACAAGGCAAAAAAGTGGTTAACGTACAATAGCAAGTGCACTGCATGTAATGAAATGCATTTTTTGCCTAGCAAATATATTTAGTGTGTGTTGAAAGTTGTAATATCTTCTCCTGCACAAAGAAATTTCTATTATAAAGCTCATTTGCTATTGCACAGAGTGAAACCCTTTTTCTTGTTTACTAAAGTAGTCCATCTTAATATCAGCCCACAACACTGTCAAGTTCACTTAAGAAGAGCTATGTGTAGATAAGAATAGGACTGAATCAGAAACCAGAATATTCCATTTCATCTGCTTTTCATATCTGAGAAACTGCTATGTAATTCACTACATCTGGTAGCAATCTCATTTTGGAAAACATTTTTCTTTTCAGAGAAAAGGCTAAAAATGGGTCAATTTGAGGCTCTCATCAATAAAGAAATCTTTTGCCTTTGAATATGTTTATGCATAAGTGAGGATTTGTTTCTCTAGTATTTCTTGAGATAGAATAGCAAGTATGGTCTGGGAAGTCAAACATTATCTTCAGGTGGAGACAATGTATGAAAACCTACTGTGGGTCTTTTATTAAACAGACATTATTATATCAAAATCAACATATCATGCATCATTTTTAAGACTTGCAATCATAGTAAATCAAGTTTAAAATATGAAGTACTATTAATTCTTAGATTAATTCTCACTGTCTAAGGCTGAGCAACAACAGGGTAGGATTTTGCACCTCACTGTCTGTTCCTTGAGGAGATAAAGGGAACTTTGGTTCAATGTGTATCTAAGACAAGGTTTTGTAGGCTGAGCCTTGTATGCAATTAGACTGTGGACAGCGGGGGACAGTGTGAAATCTAGACTGTGCTAACCTATAGTCAACCTTTTTTTTTTTTTTTTTTTGAGATGAAGTCTCACTCTGTTGCCCAGGCTGGAGTGCAGTGGTGCAACCTCAGCTCACTGCAACCTCTGCCTCCCAGGTGTAAGCGATTCTCCTGCCTCAGCCTCCCTAGTAGCCAGGATTACAGGCGCCCACCACAAGGCCCGGCTAATTTTCATATTTTTAGTAGAGACAGGGTTTCACTATGTCGGCTAGGCTGGTCTCGAACTCCTGACCTTGTGATCCACCCGCCTCAGCCTCCCAAAGTGCTGGGATTACAGGCGTGAGCCACCGTGCCCCGGCCTAGTCAACCCATTTTTGTATTGCTGCTCTACCATGGGGGACTGGTAAATGAAGTGCATAGCCATTTGCTCTGGAGGGGATAGATCACCGGCCATAGAGGCAGTAGAGTGAGGTGCCCAAGAGCATTCTTCTGGAATCATCCCAATTCAGTGATCATGGGCACATGATTTAATCTCTTTGAGGTTTAATCCTGAAATGGGATAATACTAACCCTTATAGAGTAATTCTGTAATTTTATCCATTGACTAAGTAGTACTAGGTCATCTAGGATTACAGAATTCTTCAAGCAAAAGTTTTCAATCTCATGACTTCACCGTCCCCTCCCAATTGAAAGGTGTTTCCCCTCAGAGATCACCACTAATACATCAAGTGGAATCAACTTTCTGATTCCTCTCTAGAACAACAAATGCTTTCATACAACATAACAGAAAATCTCCCACCTGTCTTAAGAGCTTTGTGCACTGTGTGGAACTAGAATTAGGACTTCCAAAGAACCCCAGATTCCTGACGCTTCACTGAGAGATTCTGAGAACTCACGAAACCAGTGAATAACAGGCAAGCTCCTAACTCAAACCAGGCCTCTTGGAAGAGAGTCTTGGCAAAGACATACCTGGTATGTTTTCTCAAATATAAAGTATTTCGGAGGAAATAGAACATCATCCCACTCTTGAGACAGAGAAGGGACTAGATATCTTCTCCCGGGTCCTCTATCTCCAGTAAAGATGGGACACTTTGGTGGGAGAATCAAAGGGATAAAATCCATCTTGTGCTCCTTTGTTTCATATTACTTTATGGGAAGGCAACGTGGTTGTTTTTATCCCATATCTCCCCATGTTCAGACCGGAGGAAGGAAGTGGGGAGAGAAGGAGTTAAATGGTCCTTAATGCCATTTAGAATTTCTCAAACTTGGAAGTTAAAGCTGGGGTGTAAGAGCCCCCAACTCCTGCTTTGTTCTTACAACCTTTTTGACTCCGTATTTCATATTTCCTTCTTTTCCCATAGGGCTTTGCTCTGTGAGTACTTATGTAACTGGCTCATTGATTAATCAGGTCACGTATAGTGATTTTCAATGAACTGGGAAGGAATACTCATTACCACACACATATACATTCACTAATACACAGATGTATACACATCCACACATACCCACACTAATAAAAATTCTTGTATACACACTCATGTAAACATCACATCTGGTACAAACATATACATATGTAGCCACATTTACACACATTCACAACTTCACTGACCTCCAGATACCTCTGGGTTTGGCAATCATTTTTGACCCCTCAGGTTCTTCCCTCTCCTCCCTCTATTTCTTTCAGCTATTCACTTTCCCCAGTAGGATGACTAACTTAGGACAAATAACAGAAGGTGACACTCAACCCTGTAGGTAATAAACATATGGAATTTACTTTGAAAAGATGATACTGGCAGGAAATGTAGGAGGATTGAAAATACTTCAAACAAATTTATGAAAGAGCCGGAAAAGGAAAATAAACTGACACCGTTAACCCACAAGGACATCAGTGAACTCTGTTCCAGAGAGGCACTGGCACAAGGTTCTAACTCAGGAATTTTTTTTTTTTTTTGAGACAGGGTCTCACTCTGTTGCCCAGGCTGGAGTGCAGTGGTGCAATCTCTGTTCACTGCAACCTCCACCTCTCAGGTTCAAGAGATTCCCCTGCCTCAGCCTCCCCAGTAGCTGGGATTACAGGTACCTGCCACCACGCCCAGCTAATTTTTGTATTTTTAGTAGAGATGGGGTTTCACCACGTTGGGCAGGCTGGTCTCTAACTCCTGAACTCAAGTGATTTGCCTGCTCCGCCTCCCAAAGTGCTGGGATTACAGGTGTTAGCCGCCACACCTGGCAGAAATTCTTATATTTACACAGAAATAATTTCTATGGCATACAGAGGTTATTAACGGCACTATTTAATGGTCTATCTATATCCATACCTCTTGCTCTGTAACACTGTAATCTTGTCCTGTTCCAGCTCTGGACTTGATCATTTATGCTGCTTTGGCCAATGAGACGGCTGCAGAAGCTGGAGAAGCCTCTGTGCATTTGTGCTTGCCCTCTTGCATGGTTAGGTTTGCATACTCTTGTACTCAGACACTGCTAATGAGAATGCATTGGGCTAGCTCACTGGGCTAGCCATGACACATATGTGCAGCTTAGCCAAGTGGCCCCAGCCAAGGCCATCTGGATCTGCTGATGGTCAGTTGATTCCTCAAGAAAATATGTCAGAGACAAGAACAATGCAGCCTCAATAGTTGATCTGCAGACTTGTGAGCTAAATAAATGATTGTTTAAGCCACTGAATTTTGGGGTGACTTGTCATGCAACATTATTTGTGGCAACAAGTAACTAACATTGAAACTGTTATCTAGAATTAGGGGGCTGCTATAACAAAAAAAAAATGGGCAGAGGCTAGAAAAATTATGAGGAAACTGCTACAAGAGAATGGAAAGATGACAGCATGGGTTATGCAGTAACAAAAAAATGAGAAAACTGCTACATGTGTCAATTCAGATGGTAGAAAATGTGCCTAATAAACTTGAGATTTGAGCAATAACATTTCCAGGCATAATGTTGAAAGTGTCTGCTGCATACTGGTAAGATTCTATAAGAAATGAAAGGGCTAGAAAAATAACTGTCCAGTGCCTAAGCAAATTGAGAGAGACCATAGGGGAACTAGGACTTCTTGGTTGGAAAAGAAAATTGCTTTTCATCTGTCTCTTCAGCTGGCAAAAGAGTCTTAAAGTAAAATATAGCCTGAGACAAGGATCTAATCAAATACTTGCTTTAAGACCGTCTATTAAGACCCTGGAAAGAAACAGGACAGAAAACAGCAGATCCTCTAAGCTCAACAAATGTGCTACTAGGAGTTTTAAGAGCACTGTCTCACAGTACTTAACTTGCCCAAATAACCATGGTTGAATCTAGAGAGAGATCTAGCTCTAAAACTATTGTAGGTGTTGCTTTTGGCCCATTAGATTTATAAGAAACTCACAAAAGTTTTGATGGTACTATATTGACAAAAGGATCACCAGTTTATACTAAAAGATATTGAGACTATTCAAAATGTAAGAAAACCTCTAGGTCTCTAATTTCCACAATCTGGAAACAGGCTAAGAAAGTTGTTTAAAGCACACAGGAGTAGCCAAGGGGGTAGAAAAGACAACCCAGATGGTACAGAACACAGCCTTAGAAAACAATGGACTGGGAAGTCACTTCCACGAGGCAGAACCGAGGCCTAATCAAGAATATTCCCTCCTCTGGAAGAGAAGGTCCTGGCAGCATTTTCAGGGATGGAATTCAGGATTGCTATGAGCCAGTGCCTCTTACTAGCTTTCCATTCTTTCCCTTTTTGAATAAGATTGTCTACTATACTTATTCTGTCCTTTCTTACCCTATTGCATTAGGTTTGAAGGTCAGATTTCTTATCTTTTTCACTCATAGATCTTCAACTCAAAGCAACTGTACCCAAGGAACTGCATTAGGACCTGTTTAACACCTTGAGATCCTGGACCTTGAGCCTGATGGAATGATTAGATGAGACCTTTAAGGATCTTGGGAGGAGGGAGAGAGTGTATTTTACCTATGGGAATAAAAGAAAGAGTTGGGGCCAGAGTGTGAACATTCCACTTTCCTATCAGTTTCCATTCTAATTCCTGTATCAGCTTTACATTGCTACACATAATGCTGCATAACTGACCACACAAAAATGAGTGGCCTAAAACAACCATCATTGATTGGCTCACAGGCCTACAAGTTTGTAATTTAAGTTGGAAAATTCTCCTGATCCTAGTTGGGCTCACTTATATGTTTTCTAGGTCAGTTGGCTCTCAGCTGAGACTCACATTTCTGATGGTGGTTGGCTAGTGGTTATCTTGGGGCAATAAGGTCAAATGACCTCAGCTTTGTCAATCCCACTCTCCCCCCACATCTTTCTCATTCTTCCAGGAGGCTAACCCTAGCATATACTCATGGTTAGCACATGGTAAATGCCAACCGACAGCATTAACTTAAGCACACCCTGAGAATGACCCTATATGGCAGGTGCACCTGAATGTGTGTTCTGAGCTAGGGGATTTGGGAGTGGCCAATCTGGAGATTCATTCCTTGTCTATGAGGAACATCTGAGCTCCCTATCTGTCCAGTGAAACATGGAGATTGGGGTTGCATGAAAGTTGCCAAGTGGAGGCTGTCAGGTAAAGGGTGTTAAGTGAAAATGCTATAAAAGCCACACGTTTTTTTGCAAGCAGTTGTGATTCTCCTGCCCAGCCCACCACCACTAGGCCATGCAATAATTCTGTCCAGCCCGTCAACACTGGACTCTCTCCCCCGTATGTAAGCCCCCAGCAAAATCTCATGTCTCATTCCCTGGCTCTGGGTCTCTTCTTCAGCCTCTTGAACCTGGTACCATCCCCAGTGGAGTCTACAGGGGTTCGATACAACAGTTATGATGAAGGAGCCAGGGAAGATTAAGATTTGTAGTTATAAAGAGCAGCAAGACAGCAAGCCTCAATGCACAAGGACTTTCTCAGTCTCTGCTTGCATCATGCCAGTTAACTGCTGATCAGCCAAAATAAGTCACGTATCTGAGCCCAGAAAAAAGGAGTGGACACATCAATATAATCAACCTACCATAATTCCCAAACTGTGTCCCATGGAAACTAGCATCCCACAAGATATTATCAGATGTTCCACTTAAAAAAAGTTCTATGGTCATACATATTTGTGAAATGCTTCTTATTACATTCTCTTATTAAGTCATACCCATTAGCCTATTGAAGGCTCTAAGAATTCCTATTCTGTTTACCTTGACCTAACTGGTGTCTCCTACAATTATTTAGCCATGAAACACATTAATTATTGAAAATCTTAAACACATCTTGAGAACTGTTTCGTGAATCACAATCTGAGTAACACCCGTCTATGTTATAAAAAGTCACTGTAATAATTGCATTATAGTAAGGAGCTTTTCGAGGCCTAGACGTTTTCATGACACAGCTAAGTAAACCACTAATAATAATTATTTTCTCTACTTTCATATGAGAAAACCAAGAATCAGAAAAGTTAAGTAAGCCCCACAGAAAAGGAGGAGCAAAACTGTGCTGTATCCTCACATCTGCCTGATTCCAAATACCTATCATCTCTTTATCTCCCTACCTGTCAAGGGTGGAATGTCAGACACCATGACAAATGGCATGCAGAGCAGCACAGGGTGATGGTCTCACAGCCAGGAAGCTGGCTTTAGTTCTGGCTTAGCCACTGACTAAATGATCTTGAGCAAGTGACAGCCTCTTAAACACTTTCGATAGGAAACACCATTCTCTATGCTCCCATACAGCTAGAAGAATCTGGAAAAGATTTTTGTGAACAGTCTTTGGGACATAGAAATCTTCTGAGGCTTCCTCATGTGCCACAGTAAAAATGACCTCAAACGTACTGCCCTGTCATAAATCTAGTACCGAACATAACAAATTCATTTTTTAATTTGTTTATTTCAATCACTTAAGATATTCAAAATAGCCTTCAGGCTGAAACTCTTCCCTTGCCCTTTCTAATTTTCCAGTGAAATCTCAATGATATATTCCAGTGAGGGTATATTAATATTCTGAAGAAATACAATACCTGCATTGTAGACTCTAATTTTAGAACATTCATCACTGAGATGGTTTTCTCCTTCCTGTCCTAATTTTTTTTTCAGGTTGTCAGCCTGTTGAAGTATATTAAAGTAGGGGGTGACTTTCCTCTATGAAACATTTCTTTCTTGAGGTCCTGCCCTTTGTGAGGAATGGAGGGAGGCCCAGGAAAGGGAGGATCTGCAGCCCTTGGCCACTCTGAGTCTGCACTCTAACTGGGGAGATCAAATGAGGAGCCAAAAGCCCCAGCTGAAGAGCAGGAACAAAGTCACTTCATCAAAGCCATTTTACTGTCATGGACTCTGTCCTGGCTATATGTTACCATCATGCTGAGGCAATAGGTGAACTGGTCTCCAAGTCATTTTCAAATCAATTCTGAAATACACCTGGTTTGGGTGAGACAGCACCACACAAGACATTCAAGCCAATTCATCGTCTTAGAGGAAACATCCAAAATACATTTGAGCCTCCTGCTCTCCTGCGAGAAGCCATGCGACTCCTACGCTGTTATTGCCACCAGTGTAACAGTCCGTACCGGGGCTGCTTACTCTTCATTTAAGGCACGGAGGGCCGCCACAGCAGGATTTCTCAACCTCGGCACTACTAACATTTTGAGCCGAGTATTTTCTCGTGGGGCTGCTCTGTGCATTGTGGGATGTTTAGCAGCTCTAGATGCCCACTAGATGACTACAGCAACCCTGGTCCCCTTCATGACAATCAAAGACTCCAGACATTTCCAAAAGTCCCCTGGGGGGCAAAATCTCCACTGGCTAAGAACAGCTGCTCCAGAGTACGAGAAAAGAAAAAAAATTTTAAAAATATATATTTTTATTTTTGGTAAAAATTGATCCCCCCACCACCACCACCAGGTAATGACCGTGGGGTGCCAAGCTTCCCTCCAAGCCCCCGCCCTTGTGTCCAACTGAGACATCTCAACAGCTGTTCACACTAAAAACCCTCATCATTTAACAGCAGTTCTTTTCTCTTTTCTACTTGTCCTCGACTGCCAACACCTTTTGCTGCTCTATTCACCAGGTTTTATAGCTCTTCATTAGGCTTCCACTGGGGAGAATGTTCTCCAAGCTTTTATAGCCATCACTCTTGACTGATTTGGGATGAATTTAGTGGCAAAATTGGGGAGTAGGCACATTGAAGTCTTGCGTCCTAGTGGTGACTAATCAAGGTCATGTGCCAAGCTTGTGTCCTCCAGTTCCTTCCTTTTCAGGGTGAATTCTCTGCGGACCCATCTAAGCACATTCTCAAGACCTCCACCTCTACAGAGCTAGGGTCAAACTAAGGGTCTTAAAAAGTCCTGAGTCTCAAAAAGGTAGTAACCTTTGCTTTAAATCATAAAGTGGTAAGATGGGAGAACAAAGATTTAAGGGTGGATTGATCCACCTCCAATGCCCCTACATTTTCCTTTACGAACACACCACCACACTCCTCCAGAAAACGAGAAGCAATGATTCAGGAACAACGTGAAGGGCATTCCACATTTCCTCCCGCCTTCCTCACATGCTAGAACACACATGAACATCTTTATACGCCTACAACATCAAATCAATAGATTTGATATTGTATCAAATAATTTCTTATTTTTTTGGAGATGGAGTCTCGTTCTGTTGCCCAGGCTGGAGTGCAGTGGCATGATCTTGGCTCACTGCAACCTCCACTTCCAAGGTTCAAGTGATTCTCCTGCCTCAGCCTCCCAAGTAGCTGGGATTATAGATGCATGCCACCATGCCTGGCTAATTTTTGTATTTTTAGTAGAGACAGGGTTTCACCATTTTGCCCCGGCAGGTCTCGAACTCCTGACCTCAGGTGATCCACCCATCTCAGCCTCCCAAAGTGCTGGATATGTTCTAATATACTTGCTTTAATTTTAAAAACGTAACATTTACTCTGTGGCACATCCTCATTTAATCCTCATAACAACCTAGCAGCAAATACCCTACTCCTATTTAACAGTTGAGTAAACAGAGGCAGTGATGTTTGCAACTTCCCCAAGATCACACAAGAGGCAGGGCTAATAAGAGGCAGGGCTGGGGCAGCTCCAGAATGTTCTAATTAGCTTCTAGTCCTTTGTAGAGAAGGAAATGTTGAAATTAACTAAGTGTATTAGTTGCTTAGTGTATTCGTGCCTCTCTCCAGAGAAGCAGAACAAATAGTTTGAGTGGGTAGATGGATGGATAGGTAGACAGACATTTATTTTAAGATATGTTTCATGCAAATATGAAGTCTGGGAAGTCCAAAATCTGTAGGGCAGGTAGGCAGACTGTAAATACAGATAAGAGTCAATGCTACAGCCTTGAGTCCAAAATCTTCAGGGCAGGCCAGCAGGACGGAAACTCTGGCAGAATTTCTATGTTGCCATCTTGAAGCAAACACTGCTGCTTCTTTAGGAAACTGGTCTTTGTTCTTAAGACCGTCAACAGGTTGGATGAGGCCCATCCATATTATGGAGGGTAATCTACTTTATTCAAAGTCAACTGATTGAAATGTTAATCACATCTAAAAATTACCTTCACAGCAACATCTAGACAAGTGTTTGAACAAACAAGGGGGCACCACAGCCTAGCCAAGTTGACACACAGAATTCACCATCACCCCAAGGAACAAGAATAAGGCAGAAGTATTATTCTTGGCATCCACTGATTGCTCAAAGAGAAGCTGACTCTTCCAATTCCAGGTGCTTTGCTCAACGTGTCAAAAATAAGAACAAAGCAGTAGAAGAGCCACAAAGAGGATTAGCACAGACACTAGAGGGAACACGTCAAAGCCAAGCACTTTCCTCAAAGGAAGGTGGTGGGGAGCAATGCAGGGAGTGACAACCCAGGATGCCGCAGGAATGAACAGCAGCATGGCTTACTGCCTTGAAATCTATGCTTGGAGATTAGATCTGACTTATTTTAGGTAGGTCTAAATGTTAACATGTTAACAGGGCATGCCAACATCATGGGCATAATGGAATTCTGATGGGCTCTGAACCAGCTTCCCACCTAGATTCTTCTTCTATTATCCAAAATGGCTTGTAAGGGTGCTTAGGGGTGGTAAGCACAGGAAAATACCCTCTGAGTTCCTTCAGATTATTTCATCTAGTGACAAGCCTATGGGGCCTGAGCGTAAGTTAACACGCTTCCTTTGCAGGAGAGTGTTTCCACTGCCTACAATCCCGTCTGGTGCTGTCTGCATCCTTGGCTTGCTTTCAGTGATTTTATGTTGTTGAGGTTTTTTGGTTTTAATATGTTTTCCTCCTAATAAAAATGATTAGTGGAGAGAGGTCCTGTGTGCTGCAAAGAGAATACATTGTAGGATGTTATGTATTAAAAACTGGCTTGGGATCCAGGTGTCAGCTTCTTCCTACAACTCAGCTCAGAGCTGGTTCCAATCCTCTTTGCTATGCTCAGACTGGTCTCTGGAGAGCAAAATGTCCATGTGTAGAGATTTTGTGAAATGGTCACATGAAAAAAAAAAAAAAAACAGATAGAGATGACTCAGTTATTCAGGAGGGAGACCATAGCTCCAGTATATTCCCAGTTCTCATCCTTGCTACGTGACCTTGGGCACTTAACTACTCTGTGCCTGTTTATCTACAGTAATACTTAAATGGTAATAAGACTTGTCAGTCTTCTTCCTACCTTATCAGTAGTAAGTTAGGATGTTAGAACACTCTGTAATCTTAAAGTATGTAAATCAAGCACAGCAAGATACAGAAACCATCAATATCATCATTTTAGGTCAAAAATAAGTTTTAAACTCCAGGTTCCGGTGATGAAAGGCTAGTGGTCAGAAATGCTGTCAGCTGGCCCAGAGCTCCTCTCCATGTTTAACGTGCTCACCTTCAGATCAAGGAGTCTTTAATGAAAGACAACCTCACAGTACACTAGCATTGCTGTAACAGCAGATTGACAAAAATGGAGACAGATGGCTGCTCAGCAGCAGGTTTTTAAAATGAATTTACTGTTTATGAAATGTGCTAGATTGATGGCGCCAGTGACTGAGTCTGCTGCTTAAAGGGAGAGATCAAGGGGAACAAGGACAATGACCTGGGCAGCCTCCCCTCCATCCCCCGGTCCCTGCTAATCCCAGGCAGGAGGTTCAGGCTAGCTGCCAAGTCCCCAGAAGGGAAACAGTATCTGGACTTATGGCGACACTCACCGTGGAACAAGAGAACAGATTCAGCCCTTTACATTGGCAAAGAAAATGTCAGTGAGCCCCAGTTTTGTGAAGACAGAGGAAAGATGAGGGCTCTTCTCCTGGTAACTGTCCAGGAGAATGCTTGGGAAATTTCTTGGAAATTTCCTGTGTTCATTTCTTGGGAAATAGCTTGAGGGTGGGGAGAATGCTTTCCCCAAAATGAGATAAGCAATGCACACAGTCATTACAGCATAATCATTAAAGAGACAGTGACTGTCCTCCTCAAATCCCCTGAAGTTTGACAACCTCTAACATCATTCTTTCCAATACTGTATGATCATCAGGCAGTCCTCCCAGGCTGCGACGAGTCTTATGATGTCCTTCTTTTATATTGTCAAAGAATTTCTGCCAATCCCTAATAGCCTCATTCTGTTTCCTCAATCATTTTCTTGAAAGAGACTGAAACTTCGTAAAACCACCTCTGGCACTTTTGAGGTACCTCCAGCGTCTTTTGTCAGGCATTGTGGGTGAAGAACATAAGGACAGATCACAGCTGAGGAAAAGTGACCCTAAATCAAGGAGAGCTAGGTCTCTATGACCTGCAGGTGCCCCTGCCTGAGAGCTTCGAAAGTGCTCCCTCTATTGTCAACCTGGGGTTCTTTTGTCTTTTTACTGACTACATAAGGTTTGGCACCATCATGGATTTGCATTTGTGTGTATCATAAAAGTATTCCTGAGACAGCCAGCCCTAAGTGAATGAGGTATGACTGTAAACTGAAAAAGCATTCTGGTTTGACACTCAAGATACAGCAGCAATCTTCACAAAGCGCACAGCCCAAGTACTTCTGGGAAGCCTCAAATGCCTGCCCCAATAGTCCCTGTCTGAGGGGCTTGCCACATCCAGAACAGTGTCCCTGATGCAGCCTGGTACAAGGGCTCTGCATTCTACAGCAGGACCTCTTTTGGACATAGCTGGACAACCCAGTCAGAAGAGCTGGACGGTGGGACCTATAGTGACAGCCACCAGAAAGGAGAATCCACAGAAACTGGGAGAAACTCCAAGGCCAGACACCAGGCAGAGGTGTGAGGTTGGAGAAGAGCAAGCAGCAGTCAACGGGAATAGCAGAGGCAGGCCAAAATCACTGTCATCACAATGGTGGAGCAGCAGGTCAGGGAACAATCTCTCCTGCTCTCTTGATCTGCGTGGTCTTGCGGGAGACCTTCTCTATACATACTGAGCTGGTTTCCAGTCTCCCTGACTTCCATGTATTTTATGTTCTTTAAGGGGTTAACCTTAGCATGCTCCTGTTTCTTGAATCTCACAAGAGCCTAATACAAGTATCATCTCACTGCAGCTCAGGTCAGTGGAATGTAAGGGACAGTGCCTGCCCTGACCTGGATTTATACCAGCTACTCCTAATACTAGTGTGAGTCTCCTAAATAGCCTGTGGCTAGAGGAGGATTTATTCACTCACTTCTTCAGGCATTCAGCAGTCTTTACGAATGCCTGTTATGTGCTAAGCAATGTGCCAGGAACTAAAGATACAAGAGATAATTAGAAATGGACCTCAATCTCAAGAGCATTCTCAAAACGCCAACTTCCCTGTCTGCAGTTCTGATTGTCAGGCAGCTTGCAGATGCAAAGGTTTCCCACCCTCAATATTTTCAGTCAGAGATTATGGAACAAACACCACTGTTATATAAACACACCTTCACTGCCAGAGGATCAACAAGAGCTTAGGAGGGTTTAGTTATATAGACAATTGGGAAGAGAAAATTAGAGGGAAACATCTAAGGAAAATGATTAAAAGTTTAGCTCTTCTACTCAAAAGAGCCCAACAAAAATAAAAGATAAGCAGAAAAAAAGACACAAGCCCTAAATACTGCAAAACACTTTTTTAATAATACGTTTCCAATAGAAATGCAATTCCAACCTGCCCAGGTTTGGTCAGCAGATGAGAGAAGGAGGGTAATGACGGGTTTTTTGAGATACGAGGAAGCCCGGATCCAGAGGAAAGTAGAAAATGACTGTTTTCCCTGGTAATATTCTAGGGAAAGAAAGGGCCGCTGTTAGCCCCCAAAACACTTTTGTGTACATTAGAAAAAGATGCCTTCTCTGGGCAGACAAAATCCCATGCCAGCACTTATGCCTCAGCCAGTATAGTGTAGCTGGATTTCTGCCCTCTTTTCTCCTCTTGCCAAGGGTTGCTTGTGCACTTAACAACTTATAAACCCTTCATGTCACAGAGAATGGAGGAAAAGGGAGAGAAACAGACAAGAATCACTCAGAAACAGAAACTGAGATAGAGACAAGGAGGAAGAAAGAAGAGAAAGAAAGGCAGGAGAGAGGAGAGAAAAACTCGGAAGGAAAAAAGGAGAAAGGGCGCGCATGCGCACGCACACCAGACACCTCAGACTTGTTTCTCCCTGGCCAACCAACGCTTGGTAGTGAGAGAGGCCAGGCCAGGCGGCTCCTCTAAAACATTCGTTTGGGTTTAAATCAACACATCCGTCTTAAGGAGTGACTCGTGATGCACTGGGCTTGAGGCTCTGGACACAGATCTGGGAAATGGGCTTCCTGTCCTAAAAGGGCTACTCCCTGTTGGGGGAGCACAAAACCAAATAAAATGTCTACCAACCACTCTGGGAGCACCAGCCTACACATAGTTAATTCTGACCAGAAAAGCTCATTTCGGGCAAACGCATGGAAGTCTTATGACTTTATTACACATTTAGAAAGTCAAGCTTGACCAGAAGAAAACAACCAATTAACCATCCACCTACCAATCAACCAGGCAGGGCCCCTCCTCATATTATTGAGGTGTGTAGTTGCTGAAGGCTTTAATAAAAATGCCAGCTGTCTTGTCAGACAGTTTCAACCATCACAATTTTCTGTTAAAAACAAAAACAGCTGATCTAATTCACTCCACCTGCATCACCACTGCCACAAAAATTTCCCTCCCACCTACCCCCATCTGCTATGCGGCCTCATTTTGGAGATTCCTTTAATAGTATGGGGGAGAATCTCCTTATAGCACATGACATCTCCTAGATCACTACCTTGGTTACCAATTTAAAATCTTCCAAGCAGCTGAAAGTTTAGAAACATCTCTGTTGTTTAAAATTCTCCAAATATAGCTCAAAACAGCCCTGGTCATTGTCAACTCAGTTCGTTAGTTGAGGAAATACCTAACAGTCAACTGGGAGCTAAGCCCTATGAACATGAGCCTGGCATGTGTGGATGTATGCAGGAAGAGAGATGCTACCAGAGGAAGAAGTGCCTTGAAAACAAAACCCACCTGCTGCATGTTTTTATCATAGCCAGTGCTCCAGGGTTCTAGTTTTTTTGTTTCTCACGGTAATTCATTCAACACATATTTGCCAAGCCCTTGCTGAGTATTAAATACCGAGCGAGGTTTTGCAGATACAGCAGTGAACGAAAGAGACTTAATTCCCGGCCTCAAGAAATTGACAATCTCATTTATAAAAAGAACTACAGCACACAATAAATTAATTATTCAATAAGCATTACTGAGCAGTAACCACAAGTGTGACTGAGGCAAAGTACAAGGCTCTAGGCAAGTGTGTAACTGGGGCATCTGATAAGGTTTGCAAGGCAGAGAAGAGCCCCACAAGGCATGCACCTAAATTAAGACAAGAGAACTTGTCATGTTGGATCCCTATTCACTTCAGTAGGGACAACACCAAGTTCAAGAAGCCAAGGAAGAGTCCCAGAACCAGCAAACAAGACACAGGGTTTTATCAGTGGGAAACTTACCCAAAGAGATGGTGCAGTGACAGCAGGCTAGACAAGAGAACCACCGTTGCTTGTTAAAAAGCATGCAGTTTGTACAGCACCTTCACTTAGCACCCTCTCCCAACAACCCCCACCTGGCAACCTTAATTTAACCCAACACAAAGGGCCTAGATCCACTGTCTGACCCAGGTTCCGGGGCGGTGGGGGGAAAACGGGCTGGGGGCTCAGGTGTTCCTCATAGATAAGGAATGAATCTCCAGGTTGGCCGCTCCCAGATTCCCGAGCTTGAAAACCACATTCAGATGTGTCTGCCATAAGGGCCATTCTCAGGGTCATTCTCAGGGTATGCTTACGTTGAGTTATTGCTATCAGATGTGTCTATCATGCACCACTAAATAGGAGTTAGTCTGACAAAGAGGTAGGCAAGAGCAGGCCAAAGGGAGAACAGCCACACCGAAAACCTTGAGGCCAGTGAGGCTTCCGCCCAGATCCTGAGAAGTGATGGTGGAGTAGGTAGGGGTTAGATCACGGGCTTATAAGGCCAATTTAAGAGTAACCTCCGTTTGCTGTCTTTGAGGCTCAAGTATGGTTTTTCTTTTTGTCTCGGTTGTCTGAACAAGAAATATCTGGAAAGAAGTATCTGATCTTTAGTGTGAGATGGCTGCATCATGTGAATGCATCCTAGAAATATCAATACAAAGAAGATAACTTTGCATTTCAAAATATAGGACTACATGACACTCCAGTAGCCCCTTCCCTACCTTCCCAGTTCCAAATACAGCTGCTGCACCATCCAAGAGATGCCCCCCAACCCCCTCCCCCTCCGCCTCTCAGAGCTTCCAGTAACTTCCATCAACTTGAGCTTCCTGACAGCTTGCCTAAGGCTACTTCTCTGTGGGAACAGAGCACAGCCTCTTAATGTTAACATCAGTTCCCTCTAAGAAGTTTAAATAGCACAAATGGCTTTAGTGTATCCTCTTTGGGTCTACATTCCTGCCATTTATTCATTTTAATTCCTTTCTCATTCATTTTAATCAGTGAAATACTTAGAAAAAAAAAAAAAAGAAAAGCTAGGAGAGGAAAATCCCAGAATTATAAGTTTAATAGTCCAAAAATGTATAAAAGATTTCAGTTATTTTAACTTCCCTTCCCCTAGTCAGATTCAACTAAAGGTACACAATAGAGAGAGTCAAGGTATTCCTCTAACATTTACAATATATGATTTTGCAGCTGAGTAAGAAATTGGCGGAAATCTTTCTGGTTCTGGCATTGCTGGAATTTGAGATACAGTGTGGTCTCCAGGGATGGGAGTTAAGTTCTGCCCTGGATTTCAACTCTGATTTAATTGCCAGTGGTAGTCGACAGCAGTCGTGATGATTCCTAGGCTGCAGGAAGGTGGTGAGTGGTCAGTGATAGGGCACAGGAGTGCTGCGTCATGGTAAGCATGCCACCCATTTCCCATCCCTGGCAGAGTTCTTGAGAAAATTCATGGGCTTTTGAGCTTGACAACCTGTGGTTGAATACTGGCTTAGCTATTTACCAGGTTTAGAATCTTGAAATTGAAAGGACAAGGACATAGAAGGGTCATTGGTCCTTCAGATCTTCAGGACTTCATTAGATTAAGTCACTAACATCTGCTCTGACCTGGGGAACATTTTTCCAGTCCTCACTACTGTATGCACACAAACATGGTCACTCGAACAGTAATAACTCACATTTGATTCATCTGTGGCCTTGCAGGATCACTTAACCTTTGGAAATTCTTTGCAAGTCTTTCTATAGGTCTCTATAAAGTCATCATCATAGGCGCATAAACAGGTCTATTCCTGCAAGTGCCTCTAGCCTATCAGGCTTAAAGGATCTTGCTGCCACTCCCAGAAGTAGCCCATTTCTCTTCAATATGCCCCATGGCAAAACAGTCCCCCACTAATGGTCTTGCAGGTACAGTGGGGACCACTGCTCCTCCATCAGGTATCACTCTGATCCCAGGAACCCTCTTAGTGCCTAGCTGGATCGTGATGTGTGGTGGACTTCTAAGAATGACTCACAGTGTGGGTCCTTCTGAGTGTAAGTGGAATCTGTAAATATGATGAGCTATCACTTCTGTGATTATGCTACCTTATTTGCAAAAGAAAGATTATCCGGGTGGGTCCAACATAAACCTAAGGAACTCTTTAAAAGCAGAGTTTTCGCCAGCTAATGGTAGAGAGAGAAGGCAGAGAGATTCAAAGCACAAGAAGGATTTGAGGTGCTGTTGCTTGCTTGAAGATGGATGGGCAACGTAGGGAGAAATGCAGGTGCCTCTAGAAGCTGAAAGTGGCTCCCAGATGACAGCCAGAAAAAACATGGGACCCTCAGCCCTGCAACTGCAAGGAACTTAATTCTGCCACAACCTGAATGAGCTCGATAGCAGATTTTTCCCCAGAACCTCCAGATAAGAGTCCAGCTCAACCAAGACCCTAACATCAGCTGCATGAGACCCTAAGCAGAGAACACGGCCAAGGCTGCCTGGACTTCTGACCTACAGAACTGTGACATAATGATGATGTCTGGTATTGTGTTACACAGGATAGAAAACTAATGCCTGGCAAAAGGGGAAGAACAACACTCCCACAGCAGTGTCGTTTCCGCACTCATATTTTATAGTTCAGGTAAATGAATCTTTCTGATCTTATTTACAACCTTATTGTTTTCCAAAGACCAGACATGTGTCCAGTGGGCATTGGGCCTAAAGACAGTCATTATACTGTTTTCAGAATTACCTTTCTCGGTTACTGGTTAAAACTCTTGTAGGCCTTATTTCTTTCTGACGAGTTCCTCTGGGAGGCTTTCCAGTTCCACCTTGAAGAGATGTACGAGGTTATCTTGATTCATTTACTCCTTCATTTATTCATTAAACAGTGGAAGCCCATCACATGCCAAGCTCTGTTCTAGGTTCTGGATACACAGAAGGAATGCATTAAAGTCCTATCTCTCATTTCCATAAGGGGCAAAGAGGCAAACAGATACATATCTATGTTGGGTGATGCCAAGTGCCATGAAGAAAAATAGAGCAGGATAAGGGGATTAAGAGCAACCCAAGAGTAGAGAACAAATTTTACAGAGTGGTCTGCAAAACCTGACAGGGTTGCTATCTGAGCAGGTGAAGAGTGAGCCATGCAGATGTGTGGGGGAAGAACATTGCGGTTGGGGGATTCAAGGATAAGGGTGCTGAAGTGGGGGAGTGCTTGGTACGTTTAAGGACTGACATTGCTGGAGAGAAATGAGCAAGGAGGAGAGAAGAAGCAAATGAAACTAGTAAAGTATCAGGGCTAGATCATGCCAGGCACTATAGGCCACTGAAGAACTTTGCATTTGACCCTGAATGAGATGGAAAACATTGGATGGATTTAAACAGATGAGTTTCATCATCTGACTTGCATTTCTGGGGTAGGGGAGATACAGGGGAGGAAAGATGAGCTAGTGGGCTAGTGCAGTAGTCCACTGAGAGTGGATGGTGGCTTGTCAGGGAGGTAGTAAGGGAGCTGATGAGAAGTTATTGGATTCTGGATATATTGGAAGATGGTGGTAACAGATTTGTGGATGTCTTACATATGGAAGGTAAATGAAAGAGAAGAGTCAAGAACAGCATATGCCTCTGTCTGAACTCCAGCAGTGGATGTGGCTGAAGTTGTTTTCCAGGAGACACTCAGGTTTCCAGTCTGTTCTACCAGTTCTCCAGGAGCCACCAAACATTCCTAAAGCCCATTGGTGACGTCCACACTTCACTGGAGACCCCTGCTTTGATGAATAAAAATGTGGACACAGCCAAGCTTCTGTTAGGAGGCAAGAACCCACCTAAGCTTCTGTTAGGTGAGGCAAAATCTTCCAAGAAACAAAGATCCCTGGCTCAGCAGTCAGTCTGTTTTTGTTAACCATGAAAGGGCAGAAAGAAGCATGACAGTGGTTCCTCAGGCCCTAATTCTAACACATTTATGCATTTCTGCCAAGCTCATTTGAGTATGACATTGAAGTATGAGTATGATGTCTGGAACTGGGTCCTAGGTGATCCTGAGTCTCAGCTGGAGAACTGGTCCAGAGAGTATTTCAAGGTTCTGTACCACTTCAACCTAATCATTGTTTTTGTATATGACAGAGAACAAGCCTTGGAATCCTGGCATTAAAATCACATGTGGTCTCTGAAGGTAGAGTGTCATTTTATGAACAAGAGGAGAAGTCTGAATAGAAGAAACCTTTTATATAGCTAAAAAGAGCTAGTCTATACAAAATGGTGCAGAGCCATTTCTCCCAGCTCTTCCCACTAAACACACTATAAAATTTGGAAATAGTGCAGTAGGCCCCAAAGAAGAGAAAAGGGTGGTAAAAACAAGGTGAGCTACTGTGGGATTCCAGGACTTGAGGAACAACACAAAAGGAAAGTGATGGGGCATCTCGCATCCCAAATCAGGCCAAGGGGCCAGCATGAGACAGCCAGTTACAGTAGGTGGTCAGCCCTAAAGCCTCTTGGTCCCCATGGTCCTGAGACTCTTCTCCCCAACTCAGAGACACTGGGTTGGGGGCAGGTGGGAAGAGGTGGAGCCCCAGCAACCAAACTGACCCAAATAATACCACAAAGGCTCAGAAAATTAAAAAGCTAAAAAAAAAAAAAAAACTTTAGCTCATAAATGATTCTGATATTTTTGTAGCTAAGGATTAATAGGACAGGCTGGCATATATGGCAGCGTTGAGCTGCAGGACTAATAAAATGTTCTCAGTAAAAGGTTTTATCTAGAAATAGAGATGTCCAGGTAGGGTTGCTAGCAGTGAAAGCCCTTAACCTTAGCTTTATATTTTAAACACAGGCAGATTGAGGTTAAATTGAAATACACAATTTTATTGGTGTACAGGAAGCTAGAAAGAGACATTGGTCTGTACAAAGCTCTAAAATAAAATTTGATTTTCAGCTAAGGTGCTTTGGGGGAATACACATCAAAGCAGCTTTTGAATAAAATTGAAATGTGCTTTTGAGCAACATTTCAGGGTAGTGGACCCCTACCTGTATCAACAAGGCCTTACTTTTTTCAGGCCAATTTAAATATGAAAATAGACCATCTTCCTGAATCAGACCAGAATTTAGGATTCTAGTGCCATCATGAAAAGTATTATTACAGATGAGCAATGAGAAACTTTGGATAGTTCCTAAACTGTCCATATCTGAAGCAATAAACATCATAAGGTTGCCAGTTATCTGAAACCAAGCTGGGGAAGAAAGTAAAGTGTCGAGGTGGGTGGGAAGAATGTTTGACATGTTCACCAACATTTCAAAGAAAACAGAGGTCAGATATGAGAAATTAGTTAAGGATTAACTCAAGAATGTGAAATAAAACATCCCATATGGAGTTGCTATGTAATCAGTCAAATAACCAAACTGTCTCTTCTTACCCTCCCTCTTCCAAGATAAGATCCCTTCATAAATGACCTGTTCTGTAAAGAACAGTGGGAAAAATTGGTTCTTATGAAAATGGATTTGAAGCGTTTTGTTTTTTGGTTTTTTTTTTTCCTTTTTGGAGACAAAGTCTCACTTTGTCACCCAGGCTGGAGTGCAGCAGCGCAATCTTGGCTCACTGCAACCTCCGCCTCCCAGGTTCGAGCAATTCTCTTGCCTCCGCCTCCCAAGTAGCTGGGACCACAGGCACACACCTCCATGCCTAGCTAATGTTTTGGTAGAGATGGGATTTCACCATGTTAGCCAGGCTGGTCTCAAACTCTTGGCCTCAAGTGATCCGTCCGCCTCAGCTTCCCAAAGTGCTGGGATTACAGGCATGAGCCACTGCGTCCAGCTGGAAAATCAATTTTGAATTTCAAGAAGAGAATTTCCCTAATAACACCCAGAGGTTTTGAAAACAAAAACTGTAGCTAATAAAATCTGGTTGGATATATGACTTTCACAATGAAAAAGACTCCAAAATCTGTTGTACTTTTGTAGAGAAGTATTTTTTCAATCAGTAAGAGTCTGAAGACCACCAAGTCTACAAAGGCTGAAACCTCTGTCAACTATTGAAACAACAACTAGAGTCATGCAGCCAACTGCTCCCTGGAGCATGATGAAGATGCTCACTGTCATCTCTCCAGCAACATCCCATGTGGTTTTCTGCAAGTGTCTTTGTCTTAATTTCTAAGACTTTAAAAATGTAAAGAATTTCTAGCTTGCTAAAGTCTGTATTAAAAGAATGGAATATAATCTGCCAGATTAAAAGTGAGTTTAGGGTTTTTTTGTGACTTTTTCTTCATTATAAAAATAGTACACACTCAATATTAAAAACCTTTGAAAATACAAAAATATATAAAGAAGAAAATGTTTAAAAACCCTTAATCTCACCATCTAACATTAAGTTCATTAAAAATTGGTTTGTATCTTTCCAGCATTTTCCCTAAACATGTAACTTTTTTAAAAATTGGAATCATGCTACATGAAAAGTATGTATCATTTTCCTCTTTATATCTTATTCTTCTATATCAATAAATATTTTTCAATACATGATTTTGAATCACCACAGACTATTCTATCTCATAGATGTACCATAATTATCATCCTTATCATTGAATATTTAGTTGACATCCAGTTTTCTCTATTAAGAGTTTTAGTGAATATCCTTGTATGTAAATATATTTTCTGCCTCTCTAATAATTTATTTCTGATTTGCTCACAGAATTAGAATGGCTGAGTCAAAGGGTATAATGTGTTTAAGGCCATGGGCTAACTGAAACACTGCTTTTTAGAGAGGTGAACTAGATTATACTCTAATCAGCCATGTGTAAGAATGCTTGCTTTACCATATCCTTGAAAGAAATGATTCTTAACAAATTCGTGGGTAGACTTCTGTTTCCAGCATCGGCCAACTAGATAGTTTCAAAGAAGCCTTCTGGCTGAGAATAACCAGAGAAGCAGGATAATATATATTTTAAAAATATTTTTAAAGACATGAGACCTATCAAGAAAGTAAGACTTGTGAGGCAAAGATATGGAAGAGGAGAAAACCAAAAAAATGTAAACCCACAATTCAGAGTCACGTTGATACTTACAGCTGTTACTGATGTTCAAAGTCAAGGTGGCAGCTAAGAGTCTGAGAAACAGAGAAGGGCTTTTAACAGCTCCAGATTTAACAGTCAAAACTTGGAAATCACTAAGAAGAAGGGGCCCTGGTAAGCACCCTGGGCTTTCAGGATTGGAGGCCTAAAATGCGTGGGTGAACCAGCAACAGACCACACCTCACACTTAAGTCAAGCTTGATTGGATTAAGGTCATCAACTTCCTTGCCTAAATGCCTGCCAGAAACAAAGTAAATCCTCTCTGGAGGGGATAGCATAATCCAGAGCCACAAATTATCTCTGCCATTTTTCATGAAAAATATCTGAAGAGTTCAATAAAGAATAAATAGGTATACAAAAAAGCAAGGCTAAAGAGAAAAAAAAGAGAGAAAAAGAAACAGAAACAGAGCAGCGACAACAAAAACAATCCAGATACTGTAGCTGTAAGACACAGCTAGATATGTTCAATAAATTAACAAGAAGTTCTGACAAGAGTTAGAACCAGAAAATATAAAAAATAATCAAATTACATTCTAAAGCTGAAAACTATCAGTGAAATATAAAACTCAATAGATGGAAACAACATAAATATCCATCAACAGATGAATAAATAAAATATGGTACATGTATACATTGTTATTCAGAAATAAAAACAAATGAAGACTGCTACATGGTACAACATGGATCCACCTTGAAAACTATGCTAAGTGAAAGAAACCAGCCACAAAATACCACATACTGCATGATTTCATTTATATAAAATGTCAAAAACAAGCAAATCTATAGAGACAGAAAGCAGACTAGTGGTTGCCCAGAGGTGGGCATGATGGGAGGTTAAGTGGTGATGACTAAGAGGTCAGGGTTTCTTTTCCAGGTAATAAAAATGTTCTAATAATGTTCTAAATGTAAAAAAGAAATGTGGTGATGGATACACAACCATGTAAATATACTAAAAGCCACTGAATTATACACTTTAAATGGGTGAATTGTATGGTGTGTGAATTAATGTCTCAATAAAGCTGTTTTAAAAAAATCCTCATAGCATGATTCCAAATGGATAGATTTAAAAGCCAATTAGGTACAGTTCAAGGTGCACGCCTCTTGTCCCAGCTACTTGAGAGGCTGAGGCAGGAGGAACACTTGGGCCCAATAGTTCGAGGTTACAGTGAGCTATGATCACACCATTGCACTCCAGCCTGGGTGATAGAGTGAGACCCTGTCTCTAAAAAAAAAGAAAAGAAAGGAAAAAGATACTATTAAAAAGATGTTTAGTAAACTGGAATATAGGCCAAAATAAAATGTATTGATTGACACAAAGGGACAAAAAGATGGAAAATACAGGAAAAAAACTTAAGAATTAAATGGGACATGGTGAAAAGTCTGACAGACCTATAATGGGAGTTCCAGGGAGAGAAAATAGAGCAAAAGTAACAGCTGAAGAAATAACGATGACCCTCAATGTTCCAACAGAAAAAGGATACTAACCAAGCTCCATTAGCCACAAGAAAGATACATAGAAGGAAATCACACCTAGAAAATATCACACTTAAAATTTTGAAAATAAAAACCAGGAGGAAATTAGAAAGGCAGGAAGATAAAGTCTCATTATAAAAAAAAAAAAAAAAGAAGATAAAGACATTTTTCAGTCAAACAAAGCTAAGGAAAAAAAACCACCACAGAAGCTTCACACTAAAGGAAATCCTTTTTTTTTTTTTTTTTTTTTTTTTTTTGAGATGGAGTCTCGCTCTTATCGCCCAGGCTGGAGTGTAGTGGCAAGATCTTAGTGCACTGCAACTTCTACCTCCCGGGTTCAAGCAATTCTCCTGCCTCTGCCTCCTAAGTAGCTGGGATTACAGGCGCCCGCCATCATGCCCAGCTAATTTTTGTACTTTTAGTAGAGACGAGGTTTCGCCACATTGGGCAGGCAGGCTGGTCTCGAACTCCTGACCTCAGGTGATCTGCCCACCGTGGCCTCCCAAATTGCTGGGATTACAGGTGTGAGCCACCGCACCCAGCCAATACTGACGTATTCTTTAAGTTGAAGAAAGATGACTTCTCAATGAAGCAAGGAGATGCCAAAAGGAGTAACAACCAATAGAACTAGTGACAATATGGGTAAATGTAAAAGAATACTGACTCTATAACACAATCGCATCCTCTAGGATTTAAAATTTATATAGAATCAACACACATGACAACAATATCACGTAAGTTGATGGAGAGGGAATAGATTTAAAGTCCTTACATTGTCTGGGAGAGGTAAAGGCATTGTTTTATTTTCTAAAAAGTCAGTAATTTAAGATAACTACTAAAATAACATAAATATTAACAGAGAACATTTGAATTATGAGAAATAATTCAAAAGAGTCAATAAAGATTAGAAAAAGAAAGATAACAAGTGGGAAAAATAGCCTTTACTAAAATATATCAGTAAATACATAAATCTATACTAAATACTGAAAATGAAATATAAAGACTGGTAGATTAGACTTAATAAAAATCAGCCATATATTGCTGATAGGAAACAGGTACTAATTATAAGAGCATTTAAATATTGAAAGTAAAGAATTGTGTGATGTGTGAATCCATTGGTCAGATAAAAAAAGAAGGAAGAGATAGGACATTGGAATTTTGAGCAAAGAATTAGCTGCTACAATTTATTAAATATCAGGAAAATAAACATTGAGGCAGGGTTAATTACCAGAGATAAATAAGGATGTTTCACAAGATAAAATGGTTAATCCACCAGGATCACATACAATTCTGAAGTTATATGTACCTAACCCATATTTGTATGAAAAATATGTAAAGCCAAAATAACAGAAGTAAAAGGACATGTAAAAAATTCACAATTACAATGAGAGATTATAACATAACTCTCTCAATAACAGATAGAACAAGCAAACAATACATCAGTAAGGATACAGATTAGTGCAACAGGATTACAAAACGTGGCCTAATTGACATATTTAGAACACTGAACACAATTTCAGAATGCACATTTTTTTCAAGTGCACACAGAATATTTACCAAAATTGACCATATGTTGGAGAATGGGGCAGGTCTCAAAAATTTCAAAGAAAAAAAAAAAATCATACATGCTGTATTCCCAGGGGACTCTAAAATTCACCTAGAAATTAAAAACAAACAATAACTAGAAAATATATCTGGAAATTAAGAAATCCAATGCTAAATAACCCAAGATTCAAATAAAAAATTATAATGCAAATTAGAAAATATTTTGAACTAAATGATAATGAAAATATATCAAAGCTTATGAATCACAGTCAAAGCCTTATTTAGAGGGAAATTTATGGCTTAATAAGCCAGTCAAGAAGAACTGGAAATCAATTTATCTGAGAAACTATTTCAAGAAGTTTTTAAAAAGCAAATTAAATTTAAATAAAAAATAAAAGATATTACTGAAATAAACATAGGAGAGGAGAAACTAAGACAAAAAGTTGGTTCATTCAGTAGACTAATAGCCTAGATCAGGAATAAAATAACTTCTTCTGTAAAGGACCAGATAAAAAAAATTTTTTTTTTTTTTTTTTTTTTGGTCTTTGCAGACTTTACGGTCTCTGTGAAACTCCTCATCTCTGGCATTGTGGTGCTGCTATAGATAATATACAAATGAATAAGTATGATTGTGTCCCAACAAAACTTTATTTTATAAAAACAGACACAAGGCTAGAGTTGGCCCAGGGCTGGAGCTGGCCAGCCCAAAAAAATGAGCCCTGGTCAGGGGTGTGAGTTTCTATAGAGAGCGCTCACACAACTAAAATTAGGGCTGAGAAAGCGTACATTATTACAGGTCCCATTAGACATTAGAAAGCTCATAAGAGATCATTGTGAACAACTTTGGGCCGATTAATTTAAAATTTTAGATGAAATAAACCCTAAGGAAAGTGCAACTTATCAAAACGAAATGCAAACTCAAAATAGTTCTGTATCTATTGAAACCTTCCCTTAATGAAAATTCTAGATCCAGAATTCACCAGTGACTTCCATGAAATATTTATGGAAAAAATTACATAAAATAGACAAATTCTGTAAAGTATTAAAAGAGACAATACTCACCAAATCATTTTATGAGGACAGCATAACACTGAAACCAAAATTTGCCAGTGACATTACAATAAAACTAGAGCTCCAGCTCTCTCATTTACACAGATGCAATAAATGATATACAAAATTTTAGTAAATCAAATATAGCAAACTACAAAAATGATAACACACCATGAACAATTTGGGTTTAAGAAAAAAAGTTGGATTTCACATTCAAAAATCAATGTATTGAATGAAATGTATGTGTTGAATGTATGTATTGAAATCATTGTATTGAAAATGACTTCCAAACCATGGCCTCTAGGGAGGAGACACTCATCTTGCAACTGAAGTTGCCCAGCAGGAGGAGGAGCTCAGTTCGCGGAAGCAGACACCGGTGGAGGCTTCTGTTAAAGCACGAGCCAGAGCCTGAGCCCGAGCCCCTGGTTCGGTCTTCCGAAGGCCACCAAGTCGAGACTGCGCTCAGCCAACAGCTAGTGCTGCCTGCGCTGGCATGGCTGAAGTTTGCACACAACGACTATGTACCAGCAGTGCGGGCTGCAGTTTGAGGGGCTGGCTGGCCTGCTGGGCCTTGGCCTTTTCTGCTTCTGCTACCTCACCTTGGCCATGGATGCGTTCCCTAAGTCCGGGCCCTCACGACACTGCGCTGATCTGGCCTGCTGCTAGGACCTGATGGTGACTGTTCAGACAACATGCCGTTCACCACGTGGTTAATAAATGCTGGCCAACCTCTCCTGTGCTTGGGGGACCACGTGATAGTCTACCACTTGCTATCCCTTCCTCTTCCCCCAAACCACTTCCAACCGGGCAGATGGAGCGTGGGTGGGGGGAACATCAGGGGGTGGCAGTGAGACAGGGGTCAACATGTAGGGTTGCCTGCGGATGCTGGAAGTGCTGAGATCTCTGCTGTTTGGGCCTCTTTGCAGTAGCAGCCTGTTGCTCTTGTGCCCTAATTGGTTCCTTCCTGCCGGTTCATGGTCTAGCTGACTTCAAGAATGAAGAAGTGGACCTCCCCTGTGAGTGTTACAGCTCTGAAAGGTGGCACGGACCCAAAGAGTGACCAGCAGCAAGATTTACTGTAAAGAGCGAGAGAACAAAGCTACCACAGCCTGGAAAGGGACTAGTGGGTTGCTGTTGGCTTGTTGTGGGCGGCCAGCTTTTATTCCCTTATTTGTCCCGGCCCACCTCCTGCTGATTGGTCCATTTTACAGAGATCTGATTGGTCCATTTTGCAGTGTGCTGATTGGTCCATTTCACAGAGTGCTGATTGGTCCATTTTACAAACCTCTAGCTAGCCGCAGAGCACTGATTGGCTCATTTTACAAACCTCTAGCTAGCCACAGAGCGCTGATTGGCACGTTTTACAATCCTAACTACAGAGTGCTGATTGGTGCATTTTACAATCCTCCTGTAAGATAGAAAAGTTATCCAAGTCCCCACCCAACCTAGAAGTCCAACTGGCTTCACCTCTCACTCTTAGATGTGTTCATAGGGTATTTCCATAGTATACAGTTGCAGTGTGCTTGTGGGGCCTGCCCACAGTGACAGATCTGGAAGACTACAAGGCCTTCTGTGGGTCCTCAGTGCTGCTCCCTGCAGTTGCTGAGGATTGGATTTCTATCACAGACTATAAGCCACTTCTGGATTCTGAGACAACCAACCTTACGGGGGACATCAGGCCTCAAATGGTGGTGGATATGTGTCATTTGACTCATGCCCTACACATCCCTTTGAAATCTTTAAAATAGAGAAATACCAAAGAGCCTGAAACTGATAAGAGAAGCAATCCCAGAAGGGAAGCCAGGCAAACAGGAAGAGGCAACTCTTCCCTTTTATGTGATTTGCAAACTGAGCAAAGCTTCCCAGAAAGCCTTGAAGATCCTACAGTTCTTAACAGCGACCCAAGAGTTAGACTGTAACAGTTCAGGATGTTGTGGTGGGGCTTCATGGCCTGAGCTGCCAAAATTGATTAAACATTTCTGCAGTATATGGTATAGTCTGACCTGAGAAAGATGTGGATTACCGTAGTACTCGAACATCGATTCCTTTGCATTTTTCAGAGAAGAGCCTGGAATTCTACAATATCTGTAATTATATGGACTTCTTTTGTAAGGAGCTCTTTGTAGTTTACCAGATAGTCATTTTATGCCTGGAATTGAAGTGTAATAAACTTAGTCTTACTGAATTGATCACAGATGATATACTTAAAGGCAGTTTACTGTTTAGTAAGGCATTCTTTGGGTCTTCTCATTCAAATGATAGACTGTATCCTCAGAAATAAGTGTTTTAATATGTAAATTTTCTTAACTATCAGAGAAGTCATTTCATTAAACATTTTGAATTAATATCAAAGTGGGATATTGATAGGTTAGGAAGATAAAGGAAACAACCTTTGTAGTCTGTCAGTTTCCCTCACAAATTACTAATGTTTTCCTAAAGTTAGCCTCAGAGTCCACCTTATGTTGTACATATATAACATTTTCTAAACTATGTACCATGGTCTCACTTGCTTTGGAATCTTTAAGTTCAAACTTCCCCCCACCCCCCGTCCTTTAATTCATCTTTTCTGTTTTCGTTCAATTTATATTATTCAGCATTCTATAACCATGTAAAATTTAGGTGTTTTTGTTTATTTACATACTAAACAACATTTTCACCAAATTGCAGATAGTCTGCCCAGATTCAAAACTATACAACAAAATTAGAAGGAGAAATTTGATATGTGACTATCAGTGGCAAATTTAAGAACACGTCTTGTAAAAAAGGGATCTTTATTCTCCAGCCGATTTTGCATTAAGGCCCATTACCAACTTTTTTAAAAAAGAGAAGGCAGAAATCACAGATGTAAATGTAAAATTTTTGTATCCCTGGTGAAGAATTAAGAAAAAACAAAAGCTTAAAACTACTGTGGACCAGATAAAACCATCTACAGCCAGATTTACCCTACTGGTCACCCGTTTGCAACCCCTGGAATGGGCTCTTGTTTTATTTTAAAAGCCTGTGTTGCTTAACAATCAACTTCGAAATTGAGATAGTCATCACTTTTTCATTGTGGAATATATTGTAATTCATGCTTTGAATAGGTAGGCTTTAAGTATCCTATGCCCTTCTCTGTTATGAAGATGGAACAGGCCACTTATGACTACTTCTCTCGAGGAGTTGTAGAAATAAATGACAGTCAGATAGGGGAGAACAAAAACAAAAAAATCAAAAATAACAAAACAAAAACCTCTTTGTTCACAAAGAATAGAAAGGAATATCCTGTATCTATTAAAGAATACCTATCCAAACCTACAACAATCCTCACAGCTAATGGTAAATTGTTGAAAGATTTTGCTCTGAGCTTTGAAATGAATCAAGGACTCTTGACATCACCACTTATATTCATATTGTAATAAAGATTATAGCCAGTACAATGCAGCCAGAATAATAAATAAATATTTAAGAGTTGGAGAGGAAAAAATAAAACAACTGGTTGCTTTTTTCTTTTTATTCTAGAAGGTAAGATTATATATGTACAAAGTTCAAAGTAACCTAAAGCTACTAAAATTTATGATTTATAAGTACTAGTTTCAGGGTAAATATACCAATTATATATCTTTGTACTAGAAAAAAAGGAAAATAAAACTTTTAAAGAGATTCCATTTGCAATAACATCCCATTTGTAATAAATATGAAAAAAATCTAAAAATATATATGTAAAACCTTTACATAGGAAACAATAAAACATTACTGAGATAAGTTAGAAAATATCTAAATAAGTGGAGAGATATACCATACAAGGGGTCTTCACAAAGTTCATGGAAAATGTGTATTATGAAAAAACTATGAATGGATTTCAAAATCTTTTTGCACAAAAATAAACTTGTACTAGTTATAACATGTCTGAACCGAATCCTATTTGATGCACTAAGAAGTATAAGACGTCAGTTTGAAAAGAGCTTCTTTCAGGGAAATAATTTATCTTGTTTGCACTCTAATCGAAGAAGACCAACAAGAGCAGAAACAATAGTCAATACCATAGACATCTCAATTGGTTCAGCTTACACAATCCTGACTAAAAGAATAAAGTTGAACAAACTTTCCACTTAATAAGTGCCAAAACCATTGTGCCTAAATTAGCTGCAGACAAGAGCAGAGCTTTCAACGAAAATTTTAAAACAACTGAGATCAAGATCCTGAAGCATTTCTTTTCAGAATTGTAACAGGAGATGAAATGTGACTTTACCAGTATGATCCTGAAGACAAAGCACAATGAAAGCTATGGCTACCAAAAAGTGGAAGTGGTTCAGTCAAAGCCAAAGCAGACTGGCCAAGAGCAAAGGTCATGGCAACAGTTTTTTGGGTTGCCCAAGGTCCAAAGAACAATAATATCTCCTTATGATGAGAGTATTTTGAGAAAGTTACCAAAGCTTTAGTAGAAAAATGCCTGAGAAAGCTTCACCAGAGTTCTTCTCCACCACGATAATGCTCCTATCTTCTTATCAAACAAGGACAATTTTGTGAAAATTTCTACAGGAAATCATTAGGAATCCACCTTACAGACCTGATTTGGCTCCTTCTGACATTTTTCTGGTTTTTTTTTTTTTCTTATCTTAAAATATCTTTAAAGGGCACCTACCATTCTTCAGTTAATATTACAAAAAATGACTGCATTGACATGATTAAATTCCCAAGACCCTCAATTCTTTAGGGATGAGCTAAATGACTGATACCATAACTTATAAAGATATCTTGAACTTGATGGAGCTTATATTGGAAATAAAGTTTATACTTTTTATCTTTGAATTTCATTTTTTCCACAAATGTTTTGAAGTACCCTTATATACACATATTGAGTCAATATTGCCAAGATGACAATTTATCTAAATTGATGTATCAATTCAATGCAATACAAAACAAAATTTTTGCACCTATGCACCTAATAACAGAGCACCAAAATACATAAGAGTAAATGCTGACAGAATTGAAGAAATAGACAGCTCAACAATAATAGCTGGAGACTTCAACACTTCACTTTTAATAATAGACAGAACAACTAGACAGAAGATCAAGAAGGAAACAGAAGTCACGAACAGCTCTGTAAGCCAGCAGGAGCTAACAGACATCTGTAGAATATTCCACCCAAAAGTAGCAGAATAAAAACTCTTTGCAAGTACACATAGAACATTCTCTGAGATAGAACACATGTTAGGACATACAATAAGTTTCAATGTATTTTTAAAGGATTGAAATCATACAAAGTATATTCTCTGACCATAATGGAATGAAATTAGAAATCAGTAACAGAGGGAAATTTATAATATTTATAAATATCTAGAAATTAAACAATACACTTCTCAATAACCAATGGGTTAAAAAATAAAACATGAGACATTAATTTGAGTTGCATGAAAATAAAAACACAACATACCAAAACTTAAGGGAGGCTATGAAAGCAGTGCTTAGGAGGAAATTTACAGCTGTAAGTATTTGTATTTTAAAAAAGAAATAAGATTCTGAATCAATCACCTAATCTTTTTCCTTAAGAAACTAGACAAAGAATAGTAAATTAAACCCAAAGCAAGCAGAAGAAAGGACATAATACATCAGGATGTAAATAAATTAAAGAATAGTCTTTTCAACAAATAGTGAACTGAATATGTACATGCAAAAAGATAAAGTTGGGTGTGTACCTTATACCATATTTTTACTCAAAATATATTTACTCAAACATAAGTTTACTCAAAATGCATCAAAGACTTAAATTATGGACAATGAAGATAGCTTAGGTTAAATCTTCCACAGCCTTGCATTAGGCAATGATTTCCTAGAGATGACACGTAAAGTATAAGAAACCAAAGAAAAAATAACATTGGACTTCAAAATTAAAAAAAATTTATGTATCAAAAGACACTATCAAGAAATTGAAAGAAGCCACAAAATGGGATAGAGTATTTTCAAATTATATGTCTGATCAGGGTCTAGTATCCAGAATATTAAAAGAAGTATTACTCGATAATAAAAAGACAAATAACCCAATAAAAATTGGGAAATAATCTGAATAGATATTTCTCAAAAAATGATATACAAATGGGAATAAATACATGAAAAGGTGCTCAACATCATTAATCATTAGAGAAATGCAAATCAAGTCGGAATAAGATACCACTTCACATCCACTAGGATGGTTCTAATAAAAAATACAGATGATAGCAAGTGTTAGACAGTTTGTGGAGAAACTGAAACTGTTGTCATTGTTGGTGGGAATGTAAAACAGTACAGCTGATGTGTAAATCAGTTGGGCAGTTCCTCAAAAAGTTAAATGGAGTTGCCACATGACCCAGCATTTCCATTCCTAAGTATATACCTGTATTAGTCCATTTTCACATTGCTATAAAGATACTACCTGAGACTGGGTAATTTCTAAACAAAAGAAGTTTAATTGACTCACAGTTCTGCATAGCTGGGGAGGCCTCAGGAAACTTACAATCATGGTGGAAGGCCAAGGGGAGGCAAGGCACATCTTACATGGTGACAGAAGAGAGAGAGAGAGCAGAACAAGAAAAAAAAACAACCTGTCACTTTTAAAACCATCAGACCTTGTGAGAAGTACCTTGCTATCTTGAGAACAGTATGGAGGGATACTGCTACCATGATCCAGTCACCTCCCACCAGGTCCTTCCCTCAACATGTGGGGATTACAATTGAAGATGAGATTTGGCTGGGGACACACAGCCAAATCATATCAATACTCAAAAGAACTAAAAACATATGTCACATAAAAAATTGTGCGTTAATGTTCTCACTCATAAGTGGGAGTTGAACAATGAGAACACATGGACACAGGGAGGGGAACAATACACACTGGGGCCTGTTGCAGGGTGGGGGGCAAGGAGAGGGAACTTAGAGGACAGGTCAAAAGGTGCAGCAAACCACCGTGGCACATGTATAGCTATCTAACAAACCTGCACGTTCTGCACATGTATTCCAGAACTTAAAATTTTTTTAAAATGTGTGTTAATAGAAGCATTGTTCATGGAAGACTTATTCCTATAGCCAAAAGGTGGACACAACCCAAATATTCATCAACTGATGAATGGATAAACAAAATGTTTTATATCCATATAATGCAATATTTTTCAACCATAAAAAAGAATGAAGTACTGATACATTCTACAAAATGGGTGAATCTTCAAAACATTATGCTCACTGATAGAAGTGAGACATATAATACCACGTATTACATGATTCCCTTTGTATGAAATTCTCAGAATAGACAAATATATAGAGACCTAAAGCAGATTTGCAATTACCAGAAACTATGGGGAGAGGGAAGTAGGAAGTAACTGCTAACGTACATAGGGTTTCTTTTTGGATGATGCAAATATTCTGAAATTAGATAGTGGTGATCTATCTAGTTGTGAATATATAAAAAAAATTTGAATTGTATAATTTAAAAGAGCGAGTGTAATGGTATGTGAAGTATATCAATAAAATGTATTTTCAGTGATTATCAAGGTCCCTTTAAGTAAGTTTTCTCCAAAGTAAACCTGTCCAGTTCTTTTGATTATTCCTCATACCATTAATTCAAGCTCCTACAATAATGGTGACTATTTTTTTTCCTACAGGGATAGTCCTAAAGTTTAAACTGAAGCATTTAGAGAGCACAGTATTGGTTCAATCACTAAAAAATAGAATAATGTTACTATCTACAGTTTCAGACTTCATATTTATATTAATGCAGCTGAAGATTATATCACATAACTGCAACATGTTAGCTCATATTGACCTTACTGTCACTTTAAGCCTTGAAGTCATTTTTCACATATCGTCTATTCTATACTTGTAAGATAGGCTTTTTGGATATAAGTGTAGTAGTTTCCATTTAGCCCTACAGAAATGTATTTGATTTGGTTCAGTGTTTAAAATCTTCTAGTTATTTTTAGAAATATTCTTATGTTATTACCAGATACACGAAGTATTCCTTCCTGTTTCCTATCAGTTTCCAATTTGATCAGTATTCTACCAGTGTTCTCACCCAGGTCATTAACAGGCAGAAAGCAGAGCCTTGTCATATACCACTATACACTTTTCTCCAGGAATCAGCCACAGTTTATTGATTAATGCCCTTTCAAACTTGTGGTACATAAACTAGGCTATGCTGTTGTAACAAATAAACCCTCAAATCTCAGTAACTTAATGCAACAGAAGTTTAATTTGCAATCATGTATCAGTCCAGTGTTGGTTGTGACTCCTCTAGACAGTTTTGCTTTAACCAGTATCTAGGAAACTGGGTTGTTCCCATAGAATGGCTCCACCGTACATGAAGATAGGGAACAGAGAGAGAGTCAAGAATCTCACAGGAGATTTTAAGGGCCAGGTCTGGAAGTGTCATATATCATTTCAACCACATCCTATGAGCCGTACCAGTCATATGGCTCCAAACCAAGTGCTGGAAATTTTGTCTATGTGCCCAGGAAGAGGAAATAGGACTGATGAACATCTAGCCATACCATAATAACACTTCAATCTTCCAAAGTTGGCAATGGTCTGGGCGCAGTGGCTCACACCTGTAATCCCAGCACTTTGGGAGGCCGATGCGGGTGGATCACTTGAAGTCAAGAGTTTGAGACCAGCCTGGCCAACATGGTAAAACCTCGTCTCTACTAAAAATACAAAAATTAGCCAAGTGTGGTGGCATGCATCTGTAATCCCACCTACACAGGAGGCTGAGGCTGGAGAATCACTTGAACCTGGGAGGCAGAAGTTGCACCATCACACTCTAGGCTGGGCAACAGCAAGACTCTGTTTCAAAAAAAAAAAAAAAAAAAAAGTAGGCAATGGGAGGAGACTCCTCCCCAAATGAGAAGAGATGAATGACCTTTGCAGTTGTTTTCTTTTCCTCTCTGGATTTGCCTTCCTTTGCAGCTCTTTCATTTACATCACTGCCATCACCACCTGGACATTGGAGGCTGCTTCAGCCCCTAAGAGACACCCATCAAAGGAAGACTCACGCATTCCCCCAACCTAACAATGTGGACATTAGTGGAGTTAGATGAAATAGGTCAACTTATTACTTCCACCGCCCAAAGGAATTGGTCATAAGTCCAGCTTCTCTAATATGATCTCACGTTGACCCTCTTTTGTATGTGGGCCTACATCTGTTCCAAGCAGAAACATTCTTGGATGTTTTGCACCAAATAATTCTGGGAGTTTTACCTAATAAATCACCTCTTCTCCAGAAAAGCGACACTTAGGAAGTCCTTCTTTTTCAGGGGAGACCCCAGCCACAGCCCTCACCCCAGGAGTATAGACCTTCATGGAATTAATCAGACAATCCTAACAGAGTACCATACGTAGCACCTAGGAGGTAGGTGTGATAATTTTAGGATAATTCTTTGTTGTATGGAACTGTCGTAACAACTAACATGTACTGAACCACCTGTAGCGATTATTTCTAACAAAAACAACCCTGCAATTTTCCAAATGTTATCTAGGATCCACAGTTGAGAATCACTGGGATGTATATGTGAACTCATTCAAACTCAGCCCTTCAAAGACATGGATAATTTAGCATTCAACACCATGCACTTTATGAAATAAGGCTCAAATGCCCCTCCTCTTATTTCTCTCCTCTGTTTCAAGGCAGAATAGATTTGGCTGATGACAGATGTGGTGTAAGTAACCACTCTTGGAATGTGACCTGATGCTTCTGGATTCCCATTCTTAGTTTCTTGTTCTCCAGGAGAAAGAATAGGATTCAAATCATAGCAAAATCTGAACAAGCAGCCCCTCCAAACTGAGCCTTCTCACAGAGCTCCACTTCCTGTTTTTGCCAGGCCCATATCCCCAAGCCCTTACTTCAGATCCTGGTCCATCCCCATAAGGTCTTTTCAGAGAATAGGGCTTTATAATTATTAGTAAATTAGTTATTTTGGTGATTGGTAACATTCAGTAACTAATTTAGTAATATTTGATAATTAAAATATCCTTGTAGCCAGGGTATGGTAACCTGGACAAATGTATCTCTGATTCATATATTTATGAAAGCTTTCTAAACTGAAAACATTTTCAATATGACTTTTACTTTTCCTCATTCCAAGGTGAGGTCATAATGATAATCGTAGAAATATTATGAGATATGACAGCATAAGGTACTATGTGGACTTTTTAAAACCTTGCATCAAATATTTACTAATCCATGTGACTGTACCAACATGCATTGTTCCAGTAGGCTATCGTGAATGACTTTGTCAAATGTCAGGCTAATATCCATATGTACTTGTGTTACATTCTCCTAATCTAGCTAATACATTAACTTTTCCCAAGAACAATAAAAACAAAAGAAGCTCATCTCAATTTAAAGGCACACAGGGGAAAACAAAATTCTACAATCTGATATGTCTTTTATATGATCTTGGAAAAGTCTTTATTTGTATTATGTTTTCATTGTTATAGTCTCTAAGGGAGGCAGTATGAGGCAGTGGATAAAAGCCTGGATTTGGAGTCAGGAGACAGACCTGGACTCTGCCTCTTATTGCTGGTTGAACTTGGGAAAGTCGTTTAACTTTCTCCTTATCTCTAAAGTGGTAAGAGTAGTGCTTTCTTTCTACTTAGGATCTAATTTAAAAAACAAAATCCCTTTCAGATATTTACAGCCCAGGGAATTTAATACAAAGTATTGCTTACTCAGGTGGTGGAGACTTTAAGAGTCATAAGGGAATGGTGGAGTAAACCAGAGATTTCAACAACAGGAAGCTATACTACTCCTCAGCAGGAGAGAAAAGGGAAGAAGCAGAGTTCTGGAGTCCAGACACAAAAGGCTTTTCTCGTAGGAAGTGGACCGCCAGAGAAGCAGCAGCTACCTGCTGCTTAAGGGAGAAGGCTCTATCTCCCATTGCTTCCTATTAGCTAAACCCAGATGGCAGCCAGCTAATAAGGATGGGGGCATAGTTTGCAAGGTCTGGCCCCTGCTAATACAAAGCAGAGCAGAGAAACAGTGAGGAATAAATCTGAGGGCAAATAAAGTACCTTTGTTGGGTTACAGTAAGTATTAATGTAAACGAAAGAACATATAGGAAAGGCCTTTGTAAACTATAGAGGTCTGCAAAACATAATGAAATGTTGATTTATAAGATGCATTTCATTTAAAACATCAGGGACATCTCTCTCTCCTCTGATCTATAACATTTTACCTTTACTTTCCCTCCACTTTCTTTCTGCCCAATTCTCTTTATTTTTAAACAAATGTCACATCTTTCCTTGCATGAGTTTAATCCCTGAGGCCAAGCCTATGTCTGATTCATTTTCGTAAGCATCACCATCCATTTCCCTTAGTAGATATTTAGTAAGTTTTGGAAGGAGGAAGGGAAGAAAAGAATGAAATAAGGAAGAAAAGGAAGAAAGGGAAAAAAGAATAAAAAAGGTGGAGGGAGGAAACAAACGGCATATCCTGAAGTGAAACTAACTTAAAGTATAAAAGATGATTCCCGCCGGGTCCAGTGACGCACGCCTGTAATCCCAGCACTTTGGGAGGTCGAGTCCGGCGGATCACAAGGTCAGGAGATCAAGACCTTCCTGGCTAACACGATGAAACCCCGTCTCTACTAAAAATACAAAAAATTAGCCAAGCATGGTGGCAGGTGCCTGTAGTCCCAGTTACTCGGGAGGCTGAGACAGTAGAATCACTTGAACTCAGGAGGAGGAGGCTGGTTGCAGTGAGCCGAGATCGCGTCACTGTACTCCAGCCTGGGTGACAGAGTGAGATTCCATCTCAAAAAAAAAAAAAAAAAAAAAAGATGATTCCTATATTGAATATTAATGGCATTAAGGCAGAAAATTCTTCATCATAAAGATTTGACTGGAATGTTACAGGATGTTTAACATCCCTGAGCCCCACCCATTAAGAGACACAAGGTCCTTCTAGTCATGATAAACACAGCCATCCACATTTCATAGCCCCTAGGAGATGGCTGAGACCCATTCTTAGCTGAAGGATACATCTCCATTGAGCCCAGCCTCACGGCAATCCCAGGCATCCTTTCTTCTATGCTACCAACCCAATATACTTCCCTTTCACTTTTTATTTGATTTTATGATAAAATTATTCATTGTCATATCTGTTTGGGGAGAAAATGACTAAATGAAGTATAAATGTTCTCAATATTCATCACCTACATGCAATGCAAGAGACAAAGTGATCCAAAGGAAATTTAAGGAGGTGAACTTTGTCATAGAGGAATAATTTCATTCAGAAAAAAAAAATTAATTCCTTTGCCCTGTTGGGACAGGACTATTCATTTATTCAGTCAACAAACCTATTGATTAGTTATTATATGCCAGGTGTTGTATTAGATGCTGAGTACATGGATAGAAATAGGACATAGTCTCTGTCTTCATGGAGTTTTTGATCTAATAATGGAGATTGAGATGTGATCAGATTGATGGTGAGAAATAAAAATAAAATCCTAACTCCATCAACCAACTAAACAGACCACCTCTTGGCCAAGAGAACCCCAAGGTAACCTTAAAACTGAGTTCCTAGCCATGATGGGATGGGAGGTCGTACATGCCTCAGTATACCCCCTCCCCCACTAATGGCCATTAGACTTTCTTTTCCAAGGGTTTCTAAGCCCTTTTGAAAGACTTGCCAGACTCCCCTCCTTGTTTGTGGTTTCAACACAACAAACAACCAGCGTTCCTTCCTGATAAGAGGCTGCTGACCGTGGACTTGTTCAGGCTGGTTTACAGAGGCTGCACACTGTGTGCTTCTGTGTCTTCTATTTCACCTTTTGATGTAAAAAGCCTAATTTTAATATATTTAAATGTTAAGGCTCCACCCCAAAGCAAACATGGGATGGATGGATGTTTGCTTACTATGCATATGTATGCCCCTACATGAATATTCATACCTTTTTTTTTTTGAGACAGAGTTTTGCTCTTGTCACCCAGGCTGGAGTGCAATGGCACAATCTCAGCTCACTGTAACCTCTGCCTCCTGGGTTCAAGCAGTTCTCCTGCCTCAGCCTCCTGAGTAGCTGGAATTACAGGTGCCCGCCACCAAGCCTGGCTAATTTTTCTATTTTTTTTTTACTAGAGATGGGGTTTTGCCACATTGGCCAGGCTTGTCTCGAACTCCTGACCTCAGGTGACCCACCCGCCTCAGCCTACCAAAGTGCTGGGATTACAGGTGCGAGCCAATGTGCCTGGCCCATAGCTCCTCTTTTAACCTGTTGAATATATATACTTAGCTAACCCATTCAGCATACATTTCTGTCTCATTCTTCCCTCCCTTGAAGTGCCTGCTTTCAGTTTCTGTGGGAGGCTACACTTCTCAACCTGTGGAACAGCCAGCCTGCAGGCTGCAACTCTTTATAAGAATAAAAGCTCTTCTTTCAAAATTTACAAACTCCATGATTCTCCAGTTGACAGTGGTGTTCAGGACACACTACTTAACAGTATTTTAAGCTGAAGAAATTTGAGAAAACTGCAGAAGCAGGAAGATCACTGTCACCTTCCTCTGCCCTTCTTTCCTGAAGCAGGTCATAAAACCTAGGAAGGATTTCTTGATATTCCTCTGAAGCAGGTCATAAGACTTTCATGTGGGAGGTACCCTCCCTATACCAGGAGGAAAAGAATATCCTTATCTCTGAAGGCAAAGGGACACAGAGAAGAATCTGAATAAACAGCGCTTGCTAAGTTCTGCCAATTTGTTACCATTAGATCACACTCGTTGCCCTATCATATTTCTCCATGATGCTCCACTCTTCATCAAAATGACTGCAAAAACATTCAAATTTAACTGTTTATTTGGGTCTTCATTTCCCTATGAAGGCTCCCGTGTCACATAAAACTTATATTAAATAAATATGTTTGCTTTTCTCTTGTTAATCTGTCGTTTGTAACAGAGAACTCTGCCATAAACAGAAGATGGAGAGGAAAAAATATTTTTCTCCTCAACAAGACAATTACAATGCAGTGTGTTAAAAGCTATGACAGTAGCCAAGAGCCTTAGGGACATGTCTGAGTGTGTTCCATTTCAGCAGCTATTTAGGGACACTTTGAAAAGGCCTGGGCAATAATTGGTCCACACTGTGGACATCTAGGAACTTCCCATCACAGTCAGGGCCGGGACCTTGGAGGGCAGAAAGGATGCTGGTGAGTTGCCTGATGTGGTAATATCCTAAGTTACAACTGCAGGTTCAATTCAAACCCTTGAACTGTGGGACCTACAAAAAAGCAGGCAGCTGGTGGCAAAGCACAATCCATTTTGATTTGACAAGATGATCCTTGTTTGTCTTTCCTACTAGGCCAGCTGATGCATTAGCCTCTCTGTTGCTTAATGACGCAGTTGTTATTGTTGCTTTCCAAAATGAAGCATCACATGGATATACAGATGTGTGCAAAAAATATTTATGGCCTCTCCCAATGAAATACATGTCATGGCAAGCTCTCCACTGAATGCATTCACTTATAAATGTCACTCCACCCCCAATTTGCCAAGAAATAAGGGTCCAGGAATGGTAACATGACCCTATAAAGATGTATAAAATGCACACTGTGAATTAGTCCTTAAAGATGAAAGGCTGTGTGCTTGGAAGTACTTAAATCTTTGTTGAAATTTCAGCTTTCTCCTGCTTGAACTGTGCATGCTGACTGTGATTCATCAGGGCCTCACTCCTGTTCGGCTTCAGACATGCTGAGAAATGACCCAATAATCCCAGAGGAAGATGAGCCCATCCATCCTCTGTATTTTCAGAAACTCGATAGACATATCTACTAAGAAAGTAAGGCCGTAATGTCTCGTCATGGTGGCCTGTTGTGTCAGGGTTACCAGCCCAGGACCCAGGATCAATAGACACTGAACCAATGACTTTGTCTATGGATTGACAGAGGCCTTCTATCTCAGGGAGCTTTACATGAGCATCACATGAAACAGAGCGCTACACACGAGTCTGCATGTGTGTGCATGTGCATGTGTATGTGTGGCCATCCTCTGTTACAAAGCCCTTATTTGCAAATACTCCAGGCATAAACTGAAAAGGAAATTCATTCAAATGAGACAATAAAGAATTTGAAAGTACTTTCTAAGCTGTAAAACACATGCTAATGATAGTTGGTAGTTGCCATTTTATTATTAGTGCCATTTAAATATTTGATTGTCATAATTAGTTATCATCATCAACATATATAGAGGAGAATTTTTGTTATTTAAAAAGCTGCAACTTGAGTTCCTTTCAGGACTAGAACTATCTTTAAGACAAGAGCCAAATCATGAGTGAACTGCCATTCACAATTGCTACAAAGAGAATAAAATACCTAGGAATGCAACTTACAAGGGATGTGAAGGACCACTTCAAGGAGAACTACAAACCACTGCTCAAGGAAATAAGAGAGGACACAAACAAATGGAAAAACATTCCATCCTCATGGATAGGAAGAAGCAATATCATGAAAATGGCCACACTGCCCAAAGTAATTTATAGATTCAATGCTATCCCCATCAAGCTACCACTGGCTTTCTTCACAGAATTAGAAAAAACTACTTTAAATTTCATATAGAACCAAAAAGAGACCATATAGCCAAGACAATTCTAAGCAAAAAGAACAAAGCTAGAGGAATCATGCTACCTGACTTCAAACTATACTACCAGGCTACGGTAACCAAAACAGCATGGCACTGGTACCAAAACAGATATATAGACCAATGAAACGGAACAGAGGCCTCATAAATAATGCCGCACGTCCACAAACATGTGATCTTTGACAAACCTGACAAAAACAAGCAATGGGGAAAGGATTCTCTATTTAATAAACAGTGTTAGGAAAACTGGCTAGCCATATGCAGAAAACAGAAACTAGACCCCTTCCTTACACCATATACAAAAATCAACTCAAGATGAATTAAGACAAACATAAGACCTAAAACCATAAAAACCCTAGAAGAAAACCTAGATAATTCCGTTCAGGACACAGGCATGGGCAAAGACTTCAGGACTAAAACACCAAAAGCAGTGGCAACAAAAGCAAAAATTGACAAATGGGATCTAATTAAACTAAAGAGCTTCTGCACAGCAAAAGAAACTATCATTAGAGTGAACAGGCAACCTACAGAATGGGAGAAAATTTTTGCAATCTATCCATCTGACAATGGGCTAATATCCAGAATCTACAAGGAACTTAAACAAATTTACAAGAAAAAAATAAACAACCCCATCAAAAAGTGGGAAAAGGATATGAACAGACACTTCTCCAAAGAAGACACTTATGCGGCCAACAAACATATGAACAAAAGCTCATCATCACTGGTCATTAGAGAAATGCATATGAAAACTGCAATGAGATACCATCTCACACCAGTTAGAATGGCAATCATTAAAAAGTCAAGGAACAACAGATTCTGGAGAGGATGTGGAGAAATAGCAATGCTTTTACACTGTTGGTGGGAATGTAAATTAGTTCAACCATTGTGGAAGACAGTGTGGCAATTCCTCAAGGATCTAGAACCAGAACTACCATTTGACCCAGCAATCCCATTACTGGGTATATACCCAAAGGATTATAAATTATTCTACTATAAACACACATGCACACGTATGTTTACTGCAGCACTATTCACAATAGCAAAGACTTAGAACCAACCCAAATGCCCACCAATGATAGACTGGATAAAGAAAATGTAGCATATATACACCATGGAATACTATACAGCCTTAAAAAAGGATGAATTCATGTCCTTTGCAGGGACATCGATGAAGCTGGAAACCATCATTCTCAACAAACACAGGAACAGAAAACCAAACACCACATGTTCTCACTCATAAGTGGGAATTGATCAATGAGAACACATGGACACAGGGAGGGGAACATCACACACTGGGGCCTGTCAGGGGGTCGGGGGCTAGGGCAGGGATAGCATTAGGAGAAATATTTAATGTAGATGACCGGTTGATGGGTGCAGCAAACCACCATGGCACATGTATACCTATGTAACAAACCTGCACGTTGTGCACATGTATCCCAGAACTTGAAGTATATTAAAAAAAATTAAAATCAAAATAAATAAAAACAAAAAAAAATTTTTTTAAAAGAGCAAGAAAGTGCTGTACTAGGAATTTTTGGTGTAGAAGCTAAACCCCTAATAATTTTATTCTAAGTAGACAGAGAAATAAGCAAAGTTAAGGAAAAAGACAACCAGAAAAGAGAGGAGGAGAGGGCTAGAGGCTGGGGACTGTGGAGTCAAAGGACTTTTAAGACCTAAACGTCTGGCCAGGCGCGGTGGCTCACGCCTGTAATCCCAGCACTTTGGGAGGCTGAGATGGGTGGATCATGACGTCAGGATTTTGAGACCAGCCTGGCCGACATAATGAAACCCCGTCTCTACTAAAAATACAAAAAAAAAATCAGCTGGGCATGGTGGCAAGCGCCTGTAATCCCAGCTACTCAGGAGGCTGAGGCAGGAGAATTACTTGAACCCAGCAGACAGAGGTTGCAGTGAGCTGAGATAGTGCCATTGCACTCCAGCCTGGGCGACAGTGTTAGACTCCATCTCAAAAAAGAAAAAAGAACTAAATATCTTCAATTCAAATCTAAGTTGTGTAATGCCGCAATATAAATCCTTTCTCATTGCCCTAATACTTCAGGAAGCCTCTGCATACCCGACTTTATCGGTCAGAAAGTATCTGGAAGAGTGAAGGAATCAAGGTGGCACTGAGCAAGGGGTGACAATACAGAAAAGAATCAGAGAGCATGATATGTCAATACAGTTCCTGAAACTGGTCTGTTTTGGCTGCAGCAGAAACTCAGAGCCAAAGATTACTAGAAGAAATGTAAGTTCATCCAACAGGGTCTTTCTTCCTCATGGGGCAGAGCGAATGGTAACATTGTATGCTCGCCATTGTTCTTAATGCTCCACTTGCAATAGTTTATTGAATCAGCACCCCAAACTTATACAGGTATTATTATGCCCATTTTATAGACAAAAAGCAGAGAAATTAAATCACGTGCACCAGAGCACGGTAAGAAGAGTACCCGAATGTAGGATCTGGGCTGATGGACTCTAGGACTCACATTTTTTTTTATTATACTTTAAGTTTTAGGGTACATGTGCACAATGTGCAGGTTAGTTACATATGTATACATGTGCCATGCTGGTGTGCTGCACCCACTAACTCGTCATCTAGCATTAGGTATATCTCCCAATGCTATCCCTCCCCCCTCCCCCAACCCCACAACAGTCCCCAGAGTGTGATATTCCCCTTCCTGTGTCCATGTGATCTCATTGTTCAATTCCCACCTATGAGTGAGAATATGCGGTGTTTGTTTTTTTGTTCTTGTGATAGTTTACTGAGAATTATGATTTCCAACTTCATCCATGTCCCTACAAAGGACATGAAATCATCATTTTTTATGGCTGCATAGTATTCCATAGTGTATATGTGCCACATTTTCTTAATCCAGTCTATCATTGTTGGACATTTGGGTTGGTTCCAAGTCTTTGCTATTGTGAATAATGCTGCAATAAACATACGTGTGAATGTGTCTTTATAGCAGCATGATTTATAGTCCTTTGGGTATATACCCAGTAATGGGATGGCTGGGTCAAATGGTATTTCTAGTTCTAGATCCCTGAGGAATTGCCACACTGACTTCCACAATGGTTGAACTAGTTTACAGTCCCACCAACAGTGTAAAAGTGTTCCTATTTCTCCACATCCTCTCCAGCACCTGTTGTTTCTTGACTTTTTAATGATTGCCATTCTAACTGGTGTGAGATGGTATCTCATTGTGGTTTTGATTTGCATTTCTCTGATGGCCAGTGATGATGAGCATTTTTTCATGTGTCTTTTGGCTGCATAAATGTCTTCTTTTGAGAAGTGTCTGTTCATGTCCTTCGCCCACTTTTTGATGGGGTTGTTTGTTTTTTTCTTGTAAATTTGTTTGAGTTCATTGTAGATTCTGGATATTAGCCCTTTGTCAGATGAGTAGGTTGCGAAAATTTTCTCCCATTTTGTAGGTTGCCTGTTCCCTCTGATGGTAGTTTCTTTTGCTGTGCAGAAGCTCTTTAGTTTAATTAGATCCCATTTGTCAATTTTGTCTTTTGTTGCCATTGCTTTTGGTGTTTTGGACATGAAGTCCTTGCCCATGCCCATGTCCTGAATGGTAATGCCTAGGTTTTCTTCTAGGGTTTTTATGGTTTTAGGTCTAACGTTTAAGTCTTTAATCCATCTTGAATTGATTTTTGTATAAGGTGTAAGGAAGGGATCCAGTTGGCCAGCATCATTCTGATACCAAAGCCGGGCAGAGACACAACCAAAAAAGAGAATTTTAGACCAATATCCTTGATGAACATTGATGCAAAAATCCTCAATAAAATACTGGCAAACCGAATCCAGCAGCACATCAAAAAGCTTATCCACCATGATCAAGTGGGCTTCATCCCTGGGATGCAAGGCTGGTTCAATATACACAAATCAATAAATGTAATCCAGCATATAAACAGAGCCAAAGACAAAAACCACATGATTATCTCAATAGATGCAGAAAAAGCCTTTGACAAAATTCAACAACCCTTCATGCTAAAAACTCTCAATAAATTAGGTATTGATGGGACATATTTCAAAATAATAAGAGCTATCTATGACAAACCCACAGCCAATATCATACTGAATGGGCAAAAACTGGAAGCATTCCCTTTGAAAACTGGCACAAGACACGGATGCCCTCTCTCACCACTCCTATTCAACATAGTGTTGGAAGTTCTGGCCAGGGCAATTAGGCAGGAGAAGGAAATAAAGGGTATTCAGTTAGGAAAAGAGGAAGTCAAATTGTCCCTGTTTGCAGACGACATGATTGTATATCTAGAAAACCCCATTGTCTCAGCCCAAAATCTCCTTAAGCTGATAAGCAACTTCAGCAAAGTCTCAGGATACAAAATCAATGTACAAAAATTACAAGCATTCTTATACACCAATAACAGACAAACAGAGAGCCAAATCATGAGTGAACTCCCATTCACAATTGCTTCAAAGAGAATAAAATACCTAGGAATCCAACTTATAAGGGATGTGAAGGACCTCTTCAAGGAGAACTACAAACCACTGCTCAAGGAAATAAAAGAGGATACAAAGAAATGGAAGAACATTCCATGCTCATGGGTAGGAAGAATCAATATCGTGAAAATGGCCATACTGCCCAAGGTAATTTACAGATTCAATGCCATCCCCATCAAGCTACCAATGACTTTCTTCACAGAATTGGAAAAAACTACTTTAAAGTTCATATGGAACCAAAAAAGAGCCTGCATCGCCAAGGCAATCCTAAGCCAAAAGAACAAAGCTGGAGACATCACACTACCTGACTTCAAACTATACTACAAGGCTACAGTAACCAAAACAGCATGGTACTGGTACCAAAACAGAGATATAGATCAATGGAACAGAACAGAGCCCTCAGAAATAACGCCACATATCTACAACTATCTGATCTTTGACAAACCTGAGAAAAATAAGCAATGGGGAAAGGATTCCCTATTTAATAAATGGTGCTGGGAAAACTGGCTAGCCATATGTAGGACTCACATTTTTGTTCACTATACTCTGAAGCCAATGTCATTTGAATCTCAAAAGTCAAAAGGACCCCAGCTGACATCTGGGGTACAAATATCTTGTGATTAACAGTTTTCAAATGAGTGAAATTGGGGCTGAGCTGAGTTTTGATTGCAGAGTCTTTCCGTGTTCTTGGAAACCAGAGTCAGATCAGTGCTCACAAACAGAAGCCCCATCAGCCCGTGGAGGAGAGAGCCCATTGGGACAGCCCTGGCATGGAGGGCATGCATCGTTCCCATCTCTGGGAACCAGACCAGCACTAGCCAGATGTTAGGAATGTGAGAGGGTAGCAGAGGAACTGACCCTGATCTAGAAAAGTTGCAAGCCAGATCCAGGAAAGTCCCGAAGAAGCCAGTTCAAGTTAAGCTGGACCTCTAAGGTCCAGGCAGTATCCACAATTACAACCTCTTTTCTTGGCTTGTAATGATGAACTTGAGTAACCTGAGCAGGCCCAAGGAGTCAGGTCTCTAGAAGCCTGGGTGGTCAGTGGAGGCCTGTGTGTGTGCCCCCAGCCACCAGGGAGCAAGCAGAAACTGGTGTCAGAGAGATGTAGTGGAGACATGTTGGCAAAGCAGTGAGGACCCAAGGAGGGAAGACCAAAACAAGAACTGTGAGAGGGATGGTGAGAGGAAAGTCCATGAGGACAGAGGAACAAGTAGTTGTTTGCATTTGCTTCCCCAGCCCTTTGGCATAGTAAGGCTGGGCCAATTTAAAGGGCTTCTGCCAGAAATGGCAATAATGATTACGTGGCTGCATTTGATTCTTCAAGGCACTCTGACTGGTTTAGACCTCTGAGTCTACAATCAGCCATCAACCAGGCCTGCTTCCAGAGGCAGCATCTTCTGGAAACAAAAGGGAATTTTCTCATAACCCTTTTAAGAATCCTGAGATTACAGAAATTGGGAAGATAAAATTATTGTGAGATAAGAATACTGTTATTTGGCAAGTGGCGTTGGTGTTAAAATAAATTTTTAAAAAAAGAATAATGTGTGCAGAAAGGTGGATCAGCAGCTTTATAAGATGTAGGTTCAGGGGCTAATGAAGGCATAGTGCCCCCCAATACTGTCCCAACTTCCTCATGGTGGCTGAATTTGCTCCATCAGTAATGTGTCTTCTCTCCAACAGCCCTCTCCAGCACTCCAGCACAGAGTTTTCTGGAATATATCTATCCCCCAGCCATGGACTTGTGTACTCAGCTCACTAGCTCGCCAGAAATAACAAGTACCTGGGGACCTCATGACTATTCAGCACTGGGGGAAGAGGGTGGTGGGGAAGGTGGATTTGGGCTAATTTTCTCCCTTTTTCCTGTTCTGCCAATACCTCCCATCCCAGAGAACAATCAGATGCCATCAAATGAGCAATAGAAACTAATATGGATTTAATGAAATGAGGGCCTTGGATTGACAGTATTTTGTTTTAAGGACTCTCTGGGCTCTGGCAGCATAATTTATTCATAACCTGCTACTCCCCAGGAAGGGAAGACAGATGGTTTATCTATTTCCAAGTTGGAGGTTGGAAAACTAAGATCAATAGGCATGATCCCATGGCAAACGCTGCTGTCTGGCTGTGCTCCAAATCGCTCTCCGCCTTTGTCCTCCTCCCACTCTAAAGAATGAAAATGCCAGAGATTCATGTTACAAGCTTCCTTTGCAACTGAAGGCAGTATAACAGAACTATGCCAGTAGGCCTCTGGGAAGGATTTCTCTTCTCTGATCACAGGAGGGAGGCATGCAAAGATAACACTCTTCTGTGACCCTCCTTTCTGCCTTTGGATGTTGTTAGGTGAGGATAACCCTGGAAGCTGTGGCAGCCATCTTGTGGCCATGAGGGGAAGGCCAGAGACTGGCTAAGATAACAACCTGGTGCCTTGATGTCATGGAAGTGCTAAACTTACCCTGGAACCACCTTTGTCCAGATTTCTTGTAGACTAAATAAAATCCTTTTTATTGACCTATCCTCTGTTACTTGTAGCCAAACACATTCCTTTGAATTTAGTTGCAGTAAATAGAGCAGCACAGATAATATCTGAAAATACAGAATGGCTGAGTTGAGGTGGCAGGGCAGAGAGCAGTGAGGGTCCAGCTAGAATAGGCTGGATGTCTGTAACACTTGCTGGGTGGCGGCAAGACATTTGCGTTGGACTCTTGCTTGTCATGCCTTGAGATTCCAATCACGTGCCAGCTGAGGCTGTAGTGTTAAGGGAAATGGCAGGAGACATTTTGGATGTTGAGTTATGTTGGCTACTTCTTGAAGCTTTTGGCAAAGTCCTGCAAGAAGAAGATGAACACAGATTAGAGAAAATCTGTCAGGAGGGAGGAAAGAGAAGGAACTCTTCTGAGATGTTCTCTGTTAGTAGTGTGAGGTCTGAATTAACTGAGAGTTTCATAATTTGGAGACATGCTGGAGTCAGAAGCAGGGGAGTATAGACATAACAAGAAATAAGACTGACAACATTCCCAAGTTCCCAAACTCCCCTCATCCATCATTCTTCGACAGGCAAAGAAGGCAAGTCTGCTGGCAAAGGTCTGATCAAAATAGAGCCTCTGCACCCAACCTCTTATTCTGAATTGCTTCAGAACAACCACCATTAAGCCTATAAAGAGGGGAGACAGATGAAGCAGCCAGACCAGATCCTGGGCCATGGCCACCATGGAGGTGCCCTAATCAGATCTCCCTTCGAGAAAGAACTTGCAGTGAGAGTGGTTAGCTGACAGCCGCCAGTTCCTTTGGGATCCTGCTCCACTTTGGAGTGGAAATCATACTGTTTCTGAGCAGCTTCTAGATAATGACAAGTACAGTAGGCATCCAAGGTCCGGGCTATTTCTGCCCAATGTGTAGCTCTCTTAATGAGCTGTCTTTGCTCTGCAGTTCCCTGTTGAGTTGGCAAAGACTTCTGCCAGATCTGTGTCATAGTCTGAGGATTCTCCTGCCCAATCCTACTTCTACCCCATCTCTTGTGACAGGTGTGAGATTTACATCATAGTCTGAAGGTTCTCCCTTTCCAATCCAGCCTCCTTAACTTTTAGCTTTCATAAGTGTCACCACCTAAAAATAAATTGCTTACACTCCTAACTCCATCTCAGTGTTCTGCTTCCTAAAGAACCCAAACAGACACATTAGTTGCAGAAATTGACTTGAAGCAAAGATATCAGAAAGCCCACTAAGATTTTGAAGCAATTGCATGACCAGATAGACTCTAAGGCTGGTCAACAACAGGCTATGACCATTGAGCTCTGTTTAACTCCTAAGACAATATCAAGATCCCAAAACCTTGATCTAAAACGAAGTGAGCTGGAAAGGCTGTGCAATTTCTAAGGGGAGCGTCTTCTCTAATGTCTCAGGTGGGTCACAGAGGACATGAATGAGGAACATTTTCCCAAAGATCAGTATTATAGGCTGCCAGATGGGCTAACCAAGGAGTTTAATCCTCTCTCAACCTCATTATTCTAGATCAACAAAACTAGATATGTGGGGGGAAAAAAACCCACAGTGACGATTGTGTTTCCTATCATTCTTTTTTCCAATTGCAAGTTTTAATGAAAGGTAAATTAAACTTCAGCATCATTGCATTTGAAGCAGACACATTTTCTTTTAGTTATCAACTGCTACACCGTAGGAATCTACACCGAGATGTGATGGCATGGAGACTACAAATCACCCAGATGTGCAAGATTTGGTGCTAGCTACAGTAACTGGATGATCCTGTGGAGTTCTCTCTCAGACAATGGGCCACAGCATTCCACCCACAGTGGCTGTGGGAGAGGAAAGATATCTACAGATGGTGGGTGGCCTGTGGGATGGATTCTGGTAAGCACTTTGGCAGCCTATCCACAGACATCCCCAACTTGCTTTTAATTTGTCTTCCTTCCAAAGTAGAGGCTGAAAACCACAGATTTCTGCTTTCTCAAACTTTCTTTGCTGCTGAGACAGAGGAGAGGTCAGCTGGGGAAGCTTCTGGAAAGGTGTTTTTCTCTCTAATACTAGGAGAGAGGTACAAAGGGAGAGGTCTGTTCATCTCCCCTGCTTCCTTTCTGTAGTTACAGTCATCAGTCATGTGAGGATTTGATATCTGCAGCTGTGTTAGTTATCTTGTGACTGGGAAAAAGCAAGAAAATGGCAGAGACACAAATCCAGGCCCTGACACCTGGAACCACCCTCTTCAGACATCTTGCTGGGTAAACAATAAATGTTCCTAAAATTTCCGTCTTTGCTAGTTGGGTTTTGAGTCACTTGTAAGGGAATGTATGCTAATTGATCCAATTGCAGACTTCTCCAAAAGGAGTCTCCAGTTATTTTTGTTACCTATGTACATCTACCCTAAACTGTAAATTATATGTCTTCATATGGATCATGTAAAATATTAGAAAGTACATTAATATCATAACATTGTGAAATCTTATTTCTATGCAGTTTCATACTCACTAGTTAAGGAATATGTCATCTATTCACTGTCACATTGTCCAACCCCAAATCACTCATTCAGCTGGAAATGCTAATAAAATATCTAGTCCCATGAATTAGATTCCATACATTGGGCCAGGCCTAGAGATGCTTTTTCATCCTTGCAAGTGATAGAGGTAAACAAAGCATGGCACCGGGACTCAGACCCCTGGTATTGGGAGAGGACTTCCTGCTAAACCTAACTTTGCCACTGGATTCTTCCATCACTTGCCCCATGAGAGGGACAGAGCTCTAGATGTACAAAATGCTGTTATGCCTTCCTGCCAAGCAACTCCAGTGACTGGTGTGAGCCATCCAGGACAATGACTTTCTAATCTCTAATATTCTTTAGACATCATCCAGTCTACTGCCCTTACTACACAGATAACAAATTGAGGCCCAGAGCTATGGAGTGACTTGCTAAGCTCACTTCACTACTTAACAACAGAATGAGGTGGGAAATTAAACCCAGGTCTTTTACTCAGTGCTTACTCTTACTCAGGTGCTTTATCTATTTAACTTTTCTTTCCAAGTGGGAAAGACCTTGCACAATCTCTTCTTTTGTATCACAGTTTTCAAGAGATCTAATCCAGAGCAGTCATGATCATATCTAATAGATGTCCAATAAAGTTTTATTGAACAAATGAATGAATGGCTATAGTCTAAACATGGGAGAATTGCTTTGTGACTGCTGAAGTCAGACTTAGGAGCTGAAACGTGTTTAGAAGTTTTTCATCCCAAATTATCCCACTGAAATGAAGCATTCTGTTGCCACACTACAGGCATTTGACATCATAGGCACTTAACACTTGCTGAATTGAACTAAATGGAATTGACTCTCTGTGGGATCAAAAGTATCACAGACTTATACAGTACATATTTAAAAAGACTTCTTTGCTTTTCAATTATATTATTAATCAGAGCTGTTGAAAAATGAAGCTTTCTAAAAATATTGATGGGAAAACACAAAGATGCTTACATTTCTCAAAAATATGTAAGAAAAAATGATTTCAAAAATCATTTGCTCATGATTTCATTCATTAATTAATTGACCTTTATGGAACATCTCATGTCTGTCAGTGCAGATTATAGGCACAGTGGGAGACTCAAAGGTGAAACAGACACAGTATCTTCCTATTTCCAAAGTACTTCTATCTTGAAATGTAGATAAGATATGGATGTCTATATCTAATAAATAATTTGTTACAATAATTGGGTTATAAATACACATCTATATACATGTATACACCGTGCGCTCCCAGGAGAGGGCAGGTTCATGGACTTGGCCTTGGAAGCTGAGTGTCTCAAGCAGTGTGGATCCTCATTCATCCACCCTGAGGTTTTGGTGGTGCTTGCTATGGTCACATGTCAGCCTATCTTGACTTGGTAGCAGTTCTGTGAAAGCAAAGGTCTCTAACGTATCCTGGGGATCAGGGGCAAGTAGGTGGATGGGACATGGGGTGGGTTAGGAAAAGCTTCCTCAAGAAAGTGATAATTGACATGACAAGAGAAGGATGAGTAGGAGATAAGCAGGTGAAAGAAGAATGAAAAATATTCAACTTAGGGGAAGTAGCAGAAGGGAAAGAGGAGTCTGGGGCCAGGCAAGACTGGAGAGGCAGGCAGGGTTCTGAGCAGCCATGTTAATGATATTGGCATTTATCAGAAGAGAGGTAGAAAGCAGTTGAAGCATTTTAATTAAGAGGGCTTTTTGATATATATTTAAAAGTGCTTATTAGTGAGTCAAGGCTGAGAAGATATCTTTAACTACCTTGCAAGCTAATAATAGAGTCAGGATACTGGTGATAGACTTTGCAAACTGCTCTCAGAAGAATTCCTTCTTCAGATTTGATGGTCGTGAGAAATTCCACAGGTCCCCTTTGCTGTTCATCATCAGAGACACTTGAGGGGCACTGGCAGTGATCTGGTTGCTGATCTGGGCTGGATAAGAGTGTAGTGCTGTGTTTGTATCATGATAAATTTAATGTATGCTGGCTCACGGCATCAACGCTTTATCAAAAGAATAAATGGAAAGTTATTCCGGGCTGAGAGGGTAAAGAGATCAGTTTATGGGAAAGAGAGCCTCCTTATGCACACATTCTGTAAACTACAGATCAAAAGCCAGAAGAGGAATGCTGACTATGAATAATGAAATCACACATGCAAAGGTCTGGATGGATTCAGACATCCTGACAATTTCTTTTTCAAGGAAAAATCAAGGCTTTTGCCTGGCGCTGAATACTTTGAAGATAAGTGCTCTGAAGGCAGAGCAAGATAGCTATCACATTCAGTAGAGATAGGTGAACTTTCAAAATTGGGTTCATTTAAATAGCATGCCCTGGAGGTCCCCTCCAGACAAGGAGGGTCAGAGTGGCATTCATGACAGTTGAAGGACACTTTAATCTCCAATAACTTGGTTGTTCCACGATGTCCGGTGGTTAGGGACTGAGCTGACCTTACCCGAAGACTTTAAATTAAAAACTCAAGCCCATATCCTACGTAAGAAAATTCCAAATGTGGTTGAATTGTCAGAAAAACAACGCAACCAGAATCACGCCCCAGGCAAGTACATTTCTTAAGGCTTACTCATTCCCCAAGCCATTAAGCTTCAGCCGTGCGTTCTCCCCACATTCAGTTCTAATAGAACTGCTGGTTCCCAGGTAGAGTGTCCAACCATTCCAGTGTGCTTGGTACTGTTGGGTTTTAGCACCGAAAGTTCTGCATCCTGGACTGCCACTCTAGTCCTGGGTGAAATATATTAGTTAGTCACCCAACTGCCGTTACCAGTGTTTTCTGATGGTCACACACAGTTACCTGCTTGCATCCCCACCCGGCCTCTCAGCAGCTAGGAATGTGGTCTCTCTCTCTCTCTTTCTCTTTCCTTTGCTAACACTTCCCTACTAACGACCAGAATGTTCGTGCGTCTCATGATTCTGCCTTTAGCTTTCTCTTTTTCTCTCTTCACCATTATAGTGGGTTAAATAGCACTCCCCAACCCCAAATTCAGATCCAACTGAGAACCTCAGAATGTGACCTCAGTTGGACCTAGGATCTTGCAGATATAAATAGTTAAGATGAGGTCCTATGGGATTAGAGTGGGCCCTAGATCTAATGTGACCAATGTGCTTGTAAGAAGAGGAGAGGGCACACAGAGATAGGAAGGCACAGAGGGAAGAAGGCCATGTGGCTATGGAGGTAGCGATAGGAGTGGTGCAGATGGAAGCCAAGGAATGGCAAGGATGGACAGCAACTACCAGAAGCTAGGAAGAGTCAAGGAAGGGTCCTTCTTTAGGGACTTCAGGGGGAGCACAGCCCTGCTGACACCTTGATTTCAAATTTCTGGCCTCCGAAACTGTGTGAGAATAAATTTCTGTTGTTTCATGCTACCCTGCTTTATGGTAATGTGTTATAGTAGCCCTGGGAAACCAATATAATGCTCTTCTTAAGCAATTTTATTCAACCCTCATGGCTTCTATTTCACCTACACTCCAGTGACGTCTACTTCTACTTCACATACACTTGTGATGGGATTCCAGGGGCATCTCCATGGCCTGATGCTTTGAGGAGGATAGAAATAGTCAGGAATACTAATGTCCCAGAATCTGAATCTGTCTAGAACTGACTGCTTATTGATGTGGGTTATTCTGCTCTGTAAGGGGACACACACACATACACATGTGTATGTGCTGGCCTGGAGCTCTTTTCTGAGAGGGAGACCTATGTTTCCAAGCACCTCCTGAAACAGCAGACACAGTAGAGCCAGGCGTTCTGCACCTACTGTGTGTGTAATACATCTAACTCTAAGTTAGTCTCTCCCACATACCTCCTCTTCCCTTAATAATCTTTTCTCTAGGTTAATGGATTCACCAAACACCTGCCTCCCCAGTCTCCAATCTTGATGCTACTCCTGATTATTTCTCCTGCTCTACATTCACCTGTCCACTAAAACCTCACAATTCTCTTGCAGGAACTTCTCTCTGTTGAGTTGGGTGAGGTAGATGGTGCATCCAGCTCAGGCGACCTCCATGGCTCAGTTTCAGACAAGTTTCTAAGCAGGTCTGATGGCCTGGGGCCTGGGCCGGGGGCAGGAGGTCCAGCCAGAAGCCAATCTGGTAAGAGATGTGTATGAATTTTTGAGAGAATAGCCTACATATTTCTGGCTCACCAGCTTATGATATCCAAACAAGGTCATACTTCCCTTTTATAATCCAAATTATTATGGCAGAAGACTTCATCCTGCTTGCCTGCAGGAAATGGGTCTTCCTCAAAGTGTCCTTATGCTATTTCCTAAAGTTCCTGGAGGGATGTCTCATCTGTATTCACAAATCAAACTGGCACCTGCTGGCATCAGAAAGTGCATTAGGCAGGGCCCTTTCGGCCATGTGTGTCAGAGCCCATCACAAACTCGCTTATGAAAGACGAGAGAATAATGGGCTCCCATTGTTGAGAAAGATGCTGCAGCTTTTCATGTAATTGAAGTAGCAGTGGAGGGCACAGCAGCCTCGAGGGCCATGCTAGTGCTCAGCACCTCTGCTGTGCTGCTTCTCTTTTCCCGTCTCTCATTTTTGTCTGTCTCTGCTCTCTTTTATGTACCAGCTTTGTTTTCTCTGTAACCCATGGCACACCACATGGCAGCCCTTGCTTAGCAAACCCAGTGGAAAGGAAGCACCTTTCTCTCCCAACATCTATGAATCAATCCCAGGGACAGACTCTGATGAACTCTGTGTGGGACTCACACCCACGCCTGGGCTGTTGCTGTGTCCAGGGAAAGGGGCACTGTGATTGGCTAGGCCTGGATCAGGAGCCTGTCTTTTCAGCTAGAAGACAAGGTCTGTAACTAGGGAGGAGAGAGCGGAAAGCCAGAATCAATTGCTACCACAGGCCACCACAGCATCATCATTTGTCTTCCTTTCCTGCTCTGGTTCCTGAAGGCCCATGCCTGCTCCCTCCAGAGCCACATGCTAAAGCCTGGGCATTGCTGTCATGAGACTCAGAGCACAAGCAGCACTGCTTAAGTCCCAGTGACAAAGCACATCACAAAGAAGACCCAAAGGGGATTCTTTTATGCAACAACTCCTAGCCTGACACCCAAGGGCCCCTCTTGAAACCAGCAGTCATATCTAGCAAAGGATGTGAGAGGAAGCAAGATGACAATATCCAGCAATGTGGAGCCATGTGAAGAGGAGGTGGAGGTCATCAGACTCAAGACTGTCAAGGACCAAGGACCAAGGGCCGAGGTCAGCCTCATGGTCAGCAGTTCAGTCAGGACCAAATGGGACCAAGAATGGGGAACTCAGAGATGGAACCAGCAGGTGGAGTATTATTAACCCAGGATTTCTTCTAAAAGGTTGAGGTGTGTATGTGTGTGTGTCCCTTTACAGAGCAAAATAACCCACATCAATAAGCAGTCAGTTCTAGACAGATTCAGATTCTGGGACATTAGTATTCCTATTTCTGTCCTCCTCAAAGCATCAGGCCATGGAGATGCCCCTGGAATCCCATTGCAAATGTTTACCTTGCATTTCCAGGCCCTGCTGCCACTTCTTATGGCAACAATAACAAAGCACAATGCCCCATTTGGATCAGGGCCAGCAGAGAGCCAGACAGGGGTGGAAGCGGTGGTATGTTAGCAGGACTGCCTGCTCCTAGAGCGGGAGCCCAGGTACCACCCATTGTCCTGGGTCGTTTGTCACAGGATGCGAGGCTGGTAGTTCTGCTGCAGCCCATTCTGGTCAATATGGGCCAAGACTGCTGGCTGTGCCATTGCCTGGGCCCTGACAAGTCAATAGAGCCAAAGTTGGCAGCCAAGCTGATTTAAAGGGTCCATTTAGACTTATCCTCACTTGCAGTGTGACACACAGATGATTGTGCATGCCTGGAGAGGCTTGGGGAATAGAAGTTTGTGGCTTGACAGAGTGTAATTAACACATCAACTACACAAAGCCCAAAGATGGACTCCGCAGCAACACCATGATTACTCCCAGGAAACACTCTGGAATCGTATCATTCCATCCAAATGCATTGGGACAAGCGTTTATGTGTCTGGATGAAAGTCAAGGCAGATTAAGAAGTGCTTATGCCAGAGGCAGCTTTTCTGACCAGCATGAGGAAGCAAGAGGTGAGAGGAAACCAGAAGGGGCTGGTTAAGTAAATAATGCCACAGCTATGAAACAGAATATGATACATAACTAGGACTTATATTATGGAAGAACATGTAATGACACACTATAATGTAAAAAGGGCAGAATATAAAACTGAAGAAGCAGTATCATCGCAGAACTCCCAAATATTTAGTAATTTTGTGTGCTTTTAGAATAATTTTTAAAAGTTTGTGCACCTGGGTTACTTGCATAATCAGAAAATCTCAAATAGTATTATTTTTAAAGAAACAACACCGAAGGTCAGAATGACCTTTCTCAAGCTAGTAAATATCTTTTAAATCATTGCTACCCTTCCCTCCCCGTTCCCTGGCACTGAATCTTACCCAGGAGTCTTGATTGAGAAGTGAGGCAAGTCCTTTTCCCTTTTCTGCCCTTACTAATAGTTCAGGCCATCAAGGGGCAGAAAGTCCCAGGGTCTAATCTCATATGAGAGGCACACACAGATGGTAAAGAGAGCCATTTCCATGGAGCCTTGAAAAATAAACTGTTTAACTTAATGGTGTTCTATAAAAACCAATTACTAAATAAAACAAATTATAACAAAGCAACACCACAATGGCCATCTGTCGTGAATGTTGTAAAGGAGATTTCTGCATGGAGAAGGAGGTTGAGCCAAAATATCTCTAAGGACTTCTCCAAACCTGAGATTCTATGAAATAAATAATGAGCTGGAATAAAGGGAGAACAGAAGGAAAAAAACAAGTCATCCCTCTCTATCTATAGGTTCCGCAATCTGGATTCAATCAAGCACGGATCAAAAATATTTGAAAAAACAATTAAAAATATCAATAAGAAAAAATCATAAAACTTTTAAACAATGCAACAACAATTTGCATCGCACTTACACTGTGTTAGGTGTTAGTGATCTATAGGTGACTTAAATTAAGCAGGAGCATGTGTGTAGGTTATATGCAAATACTGTGCCATTTTATATCAGGGACTTGAGCATCCATGGATTTTGGTATCTAAGGGGGTCCTGGAAGCAACACCCCATGGATCTTGAGGGATGACTGCATGAGGAAAAACTCTGCTTTATATGTTCTGTGACTTCTGGCACCACTGCCTGAGCAGCCTCAGATTGGTAAAGTAACCCTTCTTTCATGTTCCAAAAATCTTATCCCGTATGTAGCCTGTTTCTCCCTAAAGAACACTTGGCCATCGCCATGCTTCTGTCTGCTTCTCTGTCTCTCTGTCCTTCTGACAGTGCATTCCCTTCGTTCCCTCTGCCAGCAGCATGCAGCCTGAATTGTGGCAAGAAGCTCCCTCATAACCAGCAGATGCCCAAAGGAGAGTGTCCTCTCTGAAAGGACTGAACTCAACTCCTTCTCATTCTTCTACCCTAATGGCTCTGGCACAGAATCAAACACCAGAAAACACATGGGGCAATTTCTCAGGGCATAATGCAGTGGGAAAGCAAGCAGGCGGGGCTCATGATGGCTACACACTATGCTGCCCATGTATTTTAGGACAGTGTGTTTATGTTTGCTATGCTGGGTTTCAGGAATTATTTATCAGATCTAAAACAGAATTTTATTTTTCCTGGTATGTTTGTGGCAAAGGAAGGAGGAAGAGGGAGCTAATATTGGCTAGTAATTGGGAGGCACATTTTAGATGCTTAACTCATTTCACTCTTCTCAAGAACTCTATAGAGTGGGGACTGTGAATCTTGGAGTACTCAAATATCTTTCCCAGGATCATGCAGCCATTAAATGGCAAAGCAAAGGTTGGAACTGGGTTTGTCAGTGTCTTAAGGTTTTATTTAGCCGATTCATAAGCCGATTCAAAAACATAAGATTTTGTTAAATTTTTCTGAGTGTCATGTCATTTGAAAAAACATTAATAAGTGATGTAAAGGTCATACTTGTACCTCACCAATATTTCAGCTTCAAGTTACATGTAATTAAATTGTATAATTTAGATTATAATGATGCCACTGTATTAGCAAGATAGACACACTTAGTGATGCTGACTACTGAACACAAAAGGGCCATTTAATTTAAACAAGATCATTCAAATGGTTGCTTCGCCTAAAGCTCATAAAATGCCATTTCATTAGATCACGTTTTCATTTATATAAGATGACTGTCGTATCAAAGCTGTTTGACTGTTTTAGAATTAAAACAATATGATGTATTGTTATTAAATTATGAACATATAGGGAAAATACTTTTTAGAATAAAATACACTTGGCTATATTCATTTATTTGCTAGTTTAATAAATCACAGTAGAGCATCTACAATGTGCCTGGTACCCTTCTAGGCACCTAGGGTACAGCTGATTTCCCGCACAGAGTAAGTGGAGGGCAGCAGAAATTATAGGAGGCTAGGTAATGGTTCCCATAAAATATCAGGTCCTAATCCCCGGAACCTATACATGTCACCTTACATGGAAAGAGGGTCTTTGCAGATTTGACTAAATAAGGGTCTTGACATGGGAAGATTATCCTGGATTCTCAGAGTGGACCCTAAGTACAAACATAAGTATCTTTCTGATTGAGAAGCAGAGAGAGATTTTTTTCTCCTAAGAGATGAGGTCTCACTGTCTAGCCCAGTCTGGAGTGCAGTGGTGTGAACATGGCTCACTGCAGCCTCCACCTTCTGGTCTCAAGTGATGCTCCTGCTTCAGCCTCCCAAGTAGCCAGGACTACAGGTGTGCACCACCACTCCCAGCTAATTTTTTCAAAATTTTTTGTAGAGATGGAATCTCACTATGTTGCCTAGGCTGGTCTTGAACTCCTGGGTTTAAGCCGTCCTCCCTCCTTGGCCTCCCAAAATGCTGGAATTACAGGTGTGAGCCACTGCATTTGGCCCAGAGAAAGATTCTGACATTGACACATGGAGGAGAAAGCAATCTGATGATGGAGCATAGAGAGATTTGAAGGTACTAGCCTTGGGGGTTAGAGTGATGCAGCCACAAGCTATGACACGGTGCCAGAAAGAGGCTGGGGCAGCTCCTGTGGAATCTGTCTGCCAGAGTAAGGAGACTGGATTTTAGATTCGAGAGCTGTGGAGACGTTGAAGGATGTTAATGGGGAATAACATGATCCGCTTTACATCATGTAGGAGTTGCCATGTAAAGAATGATTGTAAGGGACAAAGAGACATAATTGCAGCACTGCAGATCAGAGATGGTGGTGGCTGACTGGTGTGCCATCTTCACCTGGAAACCAGTCCCTCTTCTGGGCACCCCTATTTTAATTGATATTCCCACTATGTCCCCAGTGACCTATGGCAATAAGCTGGATGGCCCTTTCCACTTTTCCTTCTCCCAATCCACCTACCTCTCTCCTGCCATCACATCTGATCAGGTGGCCTCCAACCCTGTGACATCCCAATCCATCTCCACCTTCCCATGACCACCACTCTGCTTTTGCTCAGCTCATTGCATTTTGCCTGGATAAATAAATTAGAGCACCTGGATTGTACCCTAGGTCCACCACTTATTAGCTAGTTACCCTGGACAAGTTACTTCTCTGTTTTTCAGTTTTATTATTTGTAAAACAGTCTCACCTCATAGGAGGGTGTGAGGATTACATAAGATAACAGATACAAAGTACTTAGAATAATGAATGTCATTAATAAACAATGAATCTTAGCTGCTATCCTCATCTTCATCTTTTTCACGATTTACATCATCTTTTCATCACCATCGTCATCCTCATCCTAGCTGACAGTTCTCCCACCTCTGCCTTCCTGCCTGTTTCTCCTCCAGTCCCTCCTACACACTGTGACAGATTAGCCTTCCTAAAGTGCTGCTTTGATCAGATCATTCTCCTCAGACTCTTCCAATAACTGCAGGATACTCCCGTATGAAATATCAACTCTGCAGCCTGGCTTTCAGCCCCTTTGCCTTTTCCAGTCTTCTCACTTCCTTACTGATTTTCTATACCACAGCCAAAAGCTGACCCTCCCTTTGCCTGAACACAAACCGAGGCTGAATTTGCTTTTTCACCCCAGGTCCTTGCTCTTCCATCTGCTTCCCCCAACCTCCCGCAGCACTGCCTCCAGCTTGCATCCCTTACTGCCTGTTAGGTTTGAGCTTTTTACTCTTTGAAAACCTTCAAAATCTTATTGATACTTCCTGTGGGGTCTCACTCTTCCCTCCCCTGAATAAGCTCTATTACCTATGTGTCTATGTTGGAGCAACCTGCAGACCCTCTTTCCTGCCTGCTTTTATCAGAAGACCTACAAACAATTTAATCCACGGCACTGCCCCGCACTTGACATCGTCACTCACTCTGTGACAACGAGTTTCTCCTGATGGCCTCATAAGGCAGCCAGGCCTGGGAGGGGCAGAAGAGGATCCAATGCTTCCTTGCCCTGCAGTGAGGTGTCCACTGTCCCTAAGAGGCAAAGCTAAAAGAAAGGCAAATTGGAAACATGCCCCTTTCTCCATGTAGGATTATAGGGTCAGGCTGTGTGATCTCTAAGGCAAGGTGCAACTTCATAGATGACTTGTAAGGTGACAAGCCCACCTGTAGCTTTTCCCTGGGTCCCATTTAGGAGTTCTCAGCCCACCTGCACCCAGCAGCTGCGGTGACTCAGCAGAAAACATCATTACACATGTAGCTGAAGCTCTAGGTCACAAGAGTCTTAAATCAACCCGTAGAGAGGCACGACATTTTCCCTACACAGATGTGGTGTTCCTGCACTCACAGACCTGAGGAGATAGCTGCAGAGTGGATGATCAGAGGGAAGAAATTCAGGACAAGTGCTCACGGAACATCTGAGGAGACAGCCTCCTCATGCAGGGCCAAAATGGGAAGGTACAAGAGAAGGAAATGTCTACCTAGAATTTCAACTCGAATCCCTGCTACATACTTGGAAATAGTCTTGCAAGTTTTTGTCTAGTAGTAGTTTGCTTGCCTCATTGCCAGGAACATTCTCAGCTGCCTCCCCTACCCAACAGCACATCCAGGTTTTCATAGAGGAAAGGAGATTTCCACTCCAAGATAGGAAGTGTGGGAATGTACATTTTGATCCCCATTTTTACTGTTTTCCCCTTCTTAAAAAAAAGGGGGGATCCCCATTTTACTGTTTTCCCCTTCTTAAAAAAACTGGCTTGATTCGTGATCCAAGAGAGGCAGAAACTCTTGGGATCACATCCCACATGCCAGTGAGTGGGGTGCTTGGCTTTAAAAGTAGAAAACAGGGTCAGCCCCTGTCTTGCTCTCTTGGCCCATCTATGCTCAGGCAGGATGGGTCCTTTGTATTCAGGCTCCATGCTGGGTCACATACCAGACAGGCCTGTTATTGGGAAGCCCAAACAGGCTCACCCCTCTCTTCTATCTCATCTTTCTCCTTCATTTATGACTCAATGAGGTCAGCCTGATATTCACTGGGAGCCACATAACTTCCATTCTGGTGGAAGGAATCGGAAGGTAGATTTTGGTTCTGGGGGCCCCACAATGCTGCAGTCCAGCGTTGCCCAGGAGCCCCATGTTCTCGAGGTCACTGGGCACTCGCTGCATCTACAATAAAATAGATCCCACTTTTTGTTCCCCCTGGGGAACGCTTGCACCATTGCTCAATTGGTTAGAACCCAAATGGAAACTCCAAACCAATAGCCATTCGGTAGAGAATTCCATGTGTCTAAATTGTAGTCTCAAGTATTGAATTTGGCAAGGTCTAAAATGTAGGTTGGCCCAAGGAGAAATGGGCCTGTACAACCCTTTGGGTGGGATGCTTTTGAGATCACCTGTAGGATCAGCTGCATAGAAGAGACTCACAACCCGGGAGAAGCTAGAGAAGACTCCAGATTTGGGAGGCAATATGTCTTAACCTCTTGATTGCCCTCCAGGGATTGGCAAAGATCACCCATAAGGACAGAAAATGAAAGGTCCCTGTCACACCTAGGTAATGCATCTCATCCCCTTGCCAGATTAGAAACTCCTCATAATCTGGAGCCGTGTTACTCATCTTCGTATTCAACTGTCAAGCACTGAGCCTGGCATAAGATAGGAAATCATCCCATATGTGTTGGGCTGAATTAAATTTGGACTGAAGAAGATATGGGTATGAATTTAGGGATAGGATTGAAAGACATGACCCCTGTCAGGGTCCAAAAAAAATTCCCCCAAACTATCCCTGGTCATCTCATTTGAATAAGAAGCAAATGAATATCACCAAATGGAACCAGAATCTTTAAATACAAAAGATAAAGAATTGTGAAAAGAGAGACAAAATTATTAAAGGAATTGGTTACTAATTTGCAATTAATAATTAATTCTAATTTATTAGGTTTTCTTTTTCTTATCTCCCTTGTATTTTCTTATGCATCCTCCCATAAGTGATTGCAATATGGGTCCTCTAGTCCTTCTCTTCTGCTGGTTGTACTCCATGCATGAACACACATGCACACACATACATGCAGTTATCCCTCTCAATTGTGTATGTGCTAAGTTGCTATTCAGAAAGGAATCCATGAAGAAATAAAGTCCCAATGAGATTATCACCACAAATCTTTTCCAAGGCCCTGGGACTCTTCTATCGTGGCCTCTTAAGTATACAGCAATGATTCAGAGGCCAGCTATTTTCTGGAGATTAAGAACTAGGTAAGTTAAATTGATGACCGGAGATTCCACCTTGGGGCAATCACTTCCACCAATTATTGAAGTTACTGCTAGTTTTGAAATAGCGTTTGCTTTAAATCTCAAATAATGTAAATCTCACAGGCAGGAAGAGTCCCTCAGCAGCTATTCCAGCCCCAGTGAGAAACCAGAAAAGATGCTGAGACGTTATGAGACAGTGAAGACCGGGATCTATCATTGGACTAACACAGCAATCATCTTTAACATGCAGAGAGGAGAGGAAGACTTGTTTCATCTCATTCATGTTGCAGGGAGACGCCACCGATTTGAGTTTCAAATTATGGCATAATAGCTCATTTATGCAAATCATAAACAAGATTATATAATGTTGTTGTGAATGAAATATACACACCAATCTAGGTATGCCTTTCTCCCTTGTTAATTCTTATATTTTGTTTGTATTTAATCTACCATTAAGATTGAAAGTCCTACATTTGTTCATTCAACCAAAATTTACTGGCACACACTGTATTTGTTCTGTGTTAGGCAATGGGCTCCAGGGAACCTTAGGAGCTTCCACGCTATTGCGTGAGATCAGATATGCTCGCAAGCAAATGCAGTTACCATCCTCCTGTAAGGGCCATATGAGGTGTATTAGTTTCCCTGGGTTGCCATAACAAAGTACCACAAACTGGGTTGCTTAAAACAACAGAAATGTATGTCTCAGTTCTGGAGGCCAAAAGTTGGAAATCAAGGTGTTGGCAGGGCCACGCTCCCTCTGAAAGCCCTAAGGGAGGATACTTCTTTGTCCCTTCCTACATCTCTGCCTTCAGCATCCTGTGGCTTTCTTTGGTTCTGGCCTCATCATCACTTGGAGCTCTCCTGGTGTGTCTCTGTCTGCCCAGGGCTGCCTTCTTCTAAGGACATCAGTCTTACTGGATTCGGGGCCTGCCCTACTCCAGTCTGACCTAAACCGATTACATCTGCAATCACCCTATTTCCAAATAAGATCACATCTCTAGTATGGAGGTTAGGACTTCCTATCTTTTTGGGGAGCATAGGGGAGACACAATTCAACCCACAGCAAAAGAATCTTTAAAACCAGATGCCCTCTTGTGAATCCAGCAAAGTATTAAGGGTTCATTCTCACTCTGTGAGCAGGACCCGAGGCGTGAATATAATCCAGCTCATCTGGCCAAGGGGTCAGCACCTCACACTGGCCCCAAGTTGATGTTTGTCCTCTGAGCATCAGGGCAGTCCGACCAGAAACCCACGGAGCCTCTGAGGTTGGACTTCTGGGGAGTATTCTTCCTTCTCTTTTTCTCTTCTTTCTTTTCCCCATAGTAGCTTATGCTAAACCTAGAATGTACTTTGTAGACATTATCCTAGAAATTCTGGAGAGGGGTCTGAAAGTTTTAGTAGTTTGAATAGTTCCACTTCCAGTCATCTATATATGTTGAGCAAAAAAAATGTGGGGCTGCCTATCCTGAGCCATCTTCTTGGACCCGTGACTGCAGGACAAAGAGGCTTCATACGTGAATTAAAGGGCTGCCAGTAACCCAGGGAAAGGTCTCATGCCTGCAAACCAGTCTTCAAGGCAAGGGCCACTTTTAGTGGGAATTTATACAGCTTTCCTAGAGGGAGAACAATTTATGAGACCAAGAAAGAGAAAAATCAAATTGCCAACTCTGAATTACTCTGCAATGAGAGTTACTTTGAGGATGTTCATTTCCCGTGACATCTAGAAGAGTGCTGATATAGGTCGTTACTTGGTAAGTGCTCCTGTTGGAATTATCCTGGGAACTAGCAGACAGCTGAGTTAGGACTCAGGTCACACAGAGGGCAGATTCCTAACTGCAGATTCCAACAGCTCAGGTGAAAAGCTCCTGACTCCCCTTGCTGCTCCTCTGCCCTCTCCCAGTCCAACCTGAACCCGAAGCAGCAGAGCAGCGGGGGAGGACATGGAATTGTTCACACCTTCTTTCCCTGCAGGTTTCTGCAGGAGTCTGGTCTGAGCTAGAGAGAGAGGAGAAGCTTGAAATAGGATGAGAGATTACAGTTTTGAGATCAGGTTGTTTTTGAAGTTTTTAATATCTGATGATAAGTGTGTACATCATTACCTGGAAGTAATCAGAAAAGCTATGCACTTGGGCCTAGATACTGTCCAAGGTCAGGGAGGATTGGGGTTGAAAGACAACAGTAAGAGAAAATGAAGGGGTTTTCTGTTGGTACCCCACTGTGTCCTGCTGATATAGGTATGATAACGAGATTATAGTGGTGCCAGGAGAAAGTTATTTATTGAAAGATCAGATATAGCTCAAAGTAGCATTTCCATGAGTGAGAAATAGAAGTCCTAAGTAGATTTCATTTAACCATTGAATTCTGTTGCAGAAGGACAGCCTTGCAGACTTGAGTCTTTGGAAGGTGGAGGTTGTAAAGGGCTTCAGCTTCCCATGGAGACATCCCTCCCTGTCCTTTGTCTTGCTAATACCCTGTTTTCTCCATCCAGCTCCCTCCTTCGGGGTCCCTGCTTCCATTTGGGTTCCCTCCCCAATTCTACCACAGAGAACACTGTCTCTTCCCAGGGGAGTTTCTACCCCTTGGTTCCTTCCTTTGTGTTGCAAACTTGAGTATCCAGGGTTCAGCAGATCTTAGAGGAAGTGCTCAGCCTAGTCTGATAGACACTGGAAAGATGTTGGGTATTCTCCTGGCAAGAGTGAGGGAGGAGGTGGATCCTGCCCCTGTAGCTTCAACATCACCTGGGAGCTCAAGAAGCAAGAATCTCAGGCTCTACCCAAACTTACTGAACCAAAATCTGCAATTTAATACAATCCTCTGGTGATTCATATACACATTAGCATTCGAGAAGCACAGCTTTCCTCAGTAGAAATCAGGAAGGCACTGCCATCTGGTTTTAGCATATATCCTTGTTGTTGTCAATGACATTGAGAGAAACATCAGGCCAAATACCACTTCCTGCATCTTCTATGCTGTATTTGAACCTGTGGATTCAAAATAGTCTTGTTTCTCCCGGTCATACTCTGAATGGCAAATTCTCAAGATCTCCCTGATGATATATATAAAATATATCTTTTTTAATTTCTAAGGTTTCTGCAGTCATGCCCCATCATCCATCTTTCGCAAAGTGTACAGCTGCAACAGATGCATAACCAATTGCCCAGCAGGACTGGCAACCCTAGTTACCCCAGAGCAGGTGCTAACATCCATTCTCCAGCAAGGTACCCAAATGCCACTTGGTCACCTGCCTTCCAAGCACAGGCCTCTGGAAGTGGCAGATTCTAAGAAAGAGAGAAATTTTTTGGGTACAATTGTTGCCCTCAAAGCACTAGAAACTAAGAATCTTGATTGGAAATTTCTTCAGCGTTCCTTAGGGAATGTATTTCATAAAACCTGGCTAATTTAAAAAGCAAAACAAGATCTCTGGAGGAAGAAGTAACATTCTCCAAAATTCAAAATGTGTACAAAATATAAATCTCTGACTTTAATTTTTGGAGGTTTTTTTTCTTCCAGTAACTATCTATAAAGCTCTCATGATGGAAATTGAGAACTGTTCTGCATTTCCTCCCAGCATATTTTAACACTTGATTTTAACATTCTGAACTTTTCTGGGGCCTCCTCCCTAGCAACCACAGCATTAAATCAACATAGCAGTTCAACCTTCAAACCCCTCATTCGGGATGTGGAGCAAAATGCATCCAAAACCTACTCCAAGGTATAGATCATGTATAAACAACTCAACAATCCCTTGAATAACCCATGCCCCCTTTTTTTTTTTTTTTTTTTGGAGATGGAGTCTCGCTCTGTCTCCAGTCTTTAGTGCAGTGCCACAATCTCGGCTCACTGCAACCTCTGCCTCCCGGGTTCCAGCGATTCTCCTGCCTCAGCCCCCTGAATAGCTAGGATTATAGGTGTGCAACACCACGTCTGGCTAATTTTTGTATTTTTAGTAGAGACGGGTTTCACCATGTTGGCCAGGCTGGTCTCAAACTCTTGACCTCAAGTGGTCCGCCCACCTTGGCCTCCCAAAGTGCTGGGATTACAGGCATGAGCCACTGCACCCGGCCACATGCTCTTGTTCTCAGAATGGCTTCTAACAAAAATATATGCTCAGACATAATGAGGTCATTTTTTTCTAATCCAAATTGCAACTCAGGTCCAAGAAGTGTATTATTTTGCATGAAATATTCTTTCCAGGAAGTTTCTCCCAGGTGAGAAATTTTAAATGTGCTTCTTTCAACAGGGAAGGCAGACAAATGACTTTGGCTGGTCAAGGGTTATATTTCTCACAGCCAGGATATTCCAATTGGTTTCTCATTCCAAGGGATCAACAAACAGCCAGGCTTATATGCATAAAACTGTCTTGGCCTCACCAGTGCTAACACAGACCATTTCTTGAGCTTCCCCTAAGGTGGAGGCTTAAAAAAAATCCTGACATCACTGAAATATGTACAGGAACAAAAACAATAAAAGGAGGAACATGAGAGAGACAAACGTGGCTCTGGACGTGCCCTCAAGACAGTTGTTCAGCACAGTTCAGGCTTTCTTCTTGTGCAGAGCAAACACAGACCAAATTTAACTCTGTCAGCAAGAACAAGCTGAGATTTCTGTCATAGTCATCTTTGCCCCAGATAGGACCTATAAGAAAAACAGTCTATGTGAGAAGAATTAATGTGACAGGGGGATCACTGTTAGTCTGAAGGGCCTCAGACCTGCAGAAGAACATAAAGATAAAAAATGTTTAAATGCTATAATCCCCATTTAGAGACTTCCTCAGCGTTTGGGCTTCAGGTGGGCAGATCTGAAATCCATCAAGTCCTCTCAGCCAATGTCTGTCCCTGAGGATCAACCATCAGCTTCATAGCTCTTTCATCCCTGAAGGGGCAGAGTACATGTGGGATCACATGTTTACTCCTGGTAGCAGAATCATGGCAAAGTTTGCTTCTCTACTTCCTGGAAGGGGTTTTGTGAGAACCTGTGCTCCTCTCAAAAGTAGGTTGACTTTTCTAAGAAGCTTTTGTGAGAAGGTAGGATCAAAGCCACTCTGTCATCTTTTACCCTCTCTCATTGACAACCCTCTTTCTCTTGAGTCTCCAAGAGACACCCTATATCACTGTGATAAAAAAAAACATTGACCTTGAGATCCCAGGTGCAGGAATTTGGCTACCCATTGGGTTCATTTACCTCTATACCCTTCTACCAAATTATAGGAAGAACCATTGAGAAGACCAACTTGGATTTGTGCAAATATAGTCATCATGGCAACCATACTTGTTCAGTCATTCAACCATGGAAGAACTTTCTGTTAATATTGGTATGGACCAGCCAGATGAGTCCTCAATGAGGACAGGCCAATACAAAATTCGGTGTAAAAAACATAGGTAAGAACGCAGAAGACCGGCATCACAATGAAACATGGTGACAGGACAGCATCCTTGAAGCTCCCTAAACAAATGGGAAAAGAGATTTCAAAACAGTAATAACCACGAGCAGATATTTATAGAGCTTGTGTGCTAAACGATAGTCTAGTCCCTGCAGCTAGAGAGGAGCACACTTGGTAGAAAAACAATTTTGCCGCTGCCCTGGAGGACCTTGTGGATTAATGAGGACACAGAAAGGTGGATGTGTTTTTACAGCCCCACAGGGAGGTTCTACAACACACAGGTGGGAAGAAAGTCATCTGAGAGCAGAGGGAGGTACCCGGCTTTTTTCAGAGCAACCAGGGACAGTTTCTCAGAGGATGTTCATCACTCAGGAATCTAAAAGGACAAGCTAGGATGACAAGCCAGCAGTGTTTGCAATGTCTTGGGCTCATTGAGCAGACAGTAGTGTTAGATGTCAAACAGACCTGGGTTTCGACCATAGCAGACTCACTGCGGGACGCACGGCCCTGAGCAAATTACTTAGCCTGGGTGAGCCTCCATTTCTGAATCTGTAAAATGGGAATAGTAATAAATATCAATCTCAGAGAATCATTAGAAGCATAAAACACCACAAGACATACAAACTGCTCGCTCTCATGCCCAGTACATTTGAGGCTTTCGATAAAAAATGACTTTTTTTAGTTTTCATATTTTGTGCTTCAGTTATTAAAACTGAATGATGGACCACATTTAAGAGAGAGAGTCCCAAAAGAGAGAGGATTGTTGTGGTTTCTGCCTTCCACCCCCACAACTTTGCACTAAAAAAGAAAAAAGAAAAAAAGAATGTAATGCGGCAGCTCCCCAAGGCATTACATTAGTGAAAAAAAAGAACTTGCTGGTTTTCCCTTTGAGCCCGACAGGCTTTGAGAGAAATCTGAAGAGTCATCCCTATGAAAGTGAAGGCTGACAACACTACCCCATTTCAGCATGCCTGCTTGGTTTACAGACAGCTGCCTGTGCGATCAATACTGCAGGGCTCAAGGTAGCAGGCTGTGTTCCAGCCCACCCCACACATCAGGGCTGCTTATTGATTCCAGCTGCTGCTGGAAAAAGCCAGGGCTCCTATTCCTCGATTTTGAGAGGCAGAATTGGGGATCTGGGGCTGACTCTTGAGAAAACTGGGGGCCCAGATATTCTCACAGGTAACTCATAAACTTGGGTCATCAGAGAGCTGAGTCAGCACCCAAAGGCGGCCGAGAAATTGGCTCTCTGGTGGCGGAACTCTCCAGGCTAGTTAGTGTAACAGGAGGGAGCTCTGCCCTGGAGTTCACAGCACTGGTAAGTAGCATTTATTCAGCATCACATACTGATGGCCAGACTTAGCAAATAAAAATACAGCATGTCCAGTTAAATTTGAATTTCAAATGAGTGATGAATTTTTTTTAGCATAACTACATCCCAAATATTGCAAGATGTAATTATACTTAAAAATTGCACATTGTTTGGCTGGGTGCGGTGGCTCATGCCTGTAATCCCAGCACTTTGGGAGGCTGAGGTGGGCGGATCACTTGAAGTCAAGAGTTCAAGACCAGCCTGGCCAACATGGTGAAACCCCATCTCTACTAAAAATGCAAAAATTAGCTGGGTGTGGTGGCATGCACCTGTAGTCCCAGCTGCTCAGGAGGCTGAGGCAAGAGAATCGCTTGAACCCAGGAGGTGGAGGTTGCAGTGAGCCGAGATCGTGCCACTGCACTCCAGCCTGGGTGACAGAGAGAGACCTTGTCTCAAAAAAATAAAATAAAATAAATAAAATAAACTGTACATAGTTTATGTGAAATTTAAATTTACCTGGGCATCCTGTATTTATGTGCCAAATATTTCATAGGACATTCTTTTTTTTTTTTTTTTTTTTTGAGACTGAGTTTCACTCTTGTTGCCCAGGCTGGAGTGCGATGGCGCGATCTTGGCTCACTGCAACCTCCACCTTCTGGGTTCAAGCGATTCTCCTGCCTCAGCCTCCCTACCAGCTGGGACTATAGGCTCCCGCTACCATGCCCAGCTAATTCTTTGTATTTTTTAGTAGAGTTGGGGTTTTACCATGTTGGCCAGGCTGGTCTCGAACTCCCAACCTCAAGCGATCCACCCGCCTCAGCCTCCCAAAGTGCTGGGATTACAGGCATGAGCCACTGTGCCTGGCTTCATAGGACATTCTTTTTTCTTTTTTTTGAGTCGGAGTTTCGCTCTTGTCACCCAGGCTGGAGTGCAGTGGCGCAATCTAAGCTCACTGCAACCTCCACCTCCTAGGTTCAAGCAATTCTCCTGCCTCAGCCTCCCAAGTAGCTGGGATTACAGGCACCCGCCATTACGCCTGGCTAATTTTTGTCTTTTTAGTAGAGACGGGGTTTCACCACGTTGACCAGGCTGGTCTCAAACTCCTGACCTCAGGTGATCCACCCGCCTTGGCCTCCCAAAGTGCTGGGATTACAGGCGTGAACCACCGTGCCTGGCCCCATAGGACATTCTTATACTGAAAACTTATTTGTTGTTGATCTGAAATCCAAACTTAACAGAGTTTCCCTTGCATTTTATATCTGGCGAGGCTACCACACACATACTTATATGCATATGGGAACAGACATGGTTCTGTCTGCTACAGTCCTGCCATCCAAAGCAGAGAATCACCCTCAGCAAAAGTCCAAACTTTTCCAGCTGGCATTCCGGGACTTCCACAATCTGCCTCACTCTCTGCCAGCCCTTTTCCTACACAGCCACTCCATTCTAGCCTAGATGGTCCTCTTCCTGACTCCTGAACATTTCCAAAAATTCCTACCGCCCCTCACAAAGGAACAATGACTTGTCATGCTCTCCCTCCCATTTGAAGATTCACACTCACCTGTGCTTCAAGACCCACTCAAATCTTATCTGCTCCTCAAAGTGTTCTATAATTACCTTTTCCTCCATGCCCCCAAAGTAGCCCCCATGTGGCTCCTTCCTGCTTGGAACCCGGGGAGTGTTTGCTTTCTCCCTCATTCAGTTGCCCTGGGGTTGCCTTGCCAGTTAATTTTCATTTGTTTCTTTAGCAAGCATGAGCTGACATCTATAACTGTGGCTCAAGAAATAATACAAATCTTTATCTGTTCTGAGCCCCCACCTGCCTGGCTGGTGGGCAAACTAATCCCGGTCCTTGTGTGGGCCCCCATGGTGGGACCATATAAGCTTCATATGACTCCCAGGCCGGTAGTGTGTATGAGTGCGTGGGGATGGGGTGGGTGAGGGAGGGGTAGGAGCAGATGCTAACTCCACTCTGTCTTCAAGTCTGAAAACACAGCCTGGTACACACATGTTAACTACCAAATTACACGGTCAGTCTGGCAACACCTGCTTCAGCCGGAGTGCAGATGAATGAGTTAACACTAATCAGCTCCTGGGACCCGACTCAGAAGCAACATCTTTGAGGAAGCCTTTTCTAACTTTTTGAGAAAGAAGCCAAAGCTTTTGCAAGGGCCTGTAGACGCCACCTGATTCTCCTTCCTCCCTTTTTTCTTGGCTGCATCTCCCATCCTGAGATGGAGCAGGGACCCCTCTTAGGGGCCTGTGCCCCCCTCACTACCACAAGCATGGAAATGAAAAATCTTAAGTTCCTTCAGATTGCAGGCACTTAGCTGGCCCTGAGAAGTAAATGAGCAATTTGATCAGCAAGAAGGTAATAGTAGCCTAAAACAATAGCCAAGGAAATTAGAGTCATGGGATGTTTGGTTCCCTATAGAAACTAAAGATTAATTCTTAACGTATGTCCCTGAGTTGTTTTCAAAACCTGGACCCCCACCAAATGTATCTGCTGGCACACAGACCTTGGATAAGGGGGAACCGGGGACTGAACTCCGACCACTGCTCTTCGTTCTTTCTTCCTGATGGGCCTGGAAGAAGTCACACCTGTGAGCCAGAGCTAACGTTCTTTTCTGCTAACCCCACATTTTTAAACAAAGCTTCTTTTCCTTAACCAATTGCAAATCAGAAAATCTGTGAACCCACCTATGACGTGTAAAGGCCCCGCTTCAAGGTGTCCCACCTTCTTAGGCCAAACCAATGTATAACCTCCATGCCTTGATTTAAATTTGCCTGTATTAACTTGTTTTCCTGAAAATTTCCCTTGCCTTTAAAAACCCTCGCTTGCAAACCTTTGCAAGGGTTCAGGTCTTAAGCATGAGCTGCCCAATCAACATTGCCTGGTGCCCTGCAAATAAATGCCCTCCTTTCTCCCTCTGCAAACCTCTGTGTGGATGTTTGATCTTATTGCAGCAGGTGAGCACACCCCAGTTCAGTTCAGGAACATCGCCTCTCCCTCACTCCCTCTGCCTCAGCCACACTGCACCCCCGCCCGGCTGTTCCTCAAACATACCAGGCACTATGCATGCTCCCTCCTTGCCCTTCTCACCTTTGCTCTTCCCTCTGCTAGCTACGCAGCTCACTCTCCCTTACTTCAGGTCCTTGCCCTAACATCATTTTTCACTGAGGTCTACCTTAACCATCCTATTATAGTTGGAGTACCCTTCCTAGTGACTTCTGTCCATTTCCTGCTCTATTCTTCTTCAAAATTATGGTTATGTAAAATACATATTTTTTACTACCTTTTTCTTATTTACTATCTATTGCACCACCTTCTCCCTCTGGAATTTAAGCTCCATAGAGCAGAAATTTTAAAATCTATTTTGTTCACTATTGTATCTTTAGTGTAGTGCCTGAGACATAATAGGCAGTCAATAAGTATTTGTTGAGTGAATAATTTTTTTCTTGAATATTTTCACCAAACCTTATGCCACAATCTGTAACTCCTCCTAGTTTTTTTTTTTCTGATGTCCACAGATGCACCTCTCCAGTAGGCTGTGTGTTCTAGTAAATGAATAATGGATGCCCAAAGGAATTGAGGCCAAAAAAATGTGCCTTACTCTTTAACTCATAAGACATAATACTTGCCAATTAAATAAAAAGGGGAAATTTTAAAACATACATGCCCACGTCCTCTAACCTTAGGATAAAAGAAGTAATCTTAGGGGGAAAAAAAACAAGAAACACAGTGCTGACCTTTGCAGGGGTGGAAGGTGCCAAGGGCTGTGGCTGTTTCTCCAGCAGACATGGGGACCACATGCTGAACCATCTCCTCCCTTCCCTCTACCCCTGTGCCTGTCGCCCAGTACACACAACACAAGCTCCATTCAGAGCTGTTGAGTGCAGCCTCTAGCCACGGAGCAGGTGAAGTTAACTGGCCCCCTTGGGGATTGAACCCAGGCTTTGGCCTCATTAGCACCAGCTGCAACCAACTAGTCACACACAGGCTCCACACAAACAGAGAGATCACAGGATGGCTGGGCAGGTGCGTGAATAAACCAACACACCCGTAAATAATGAAATATTTACACGAGGCAGGGTCAGCAAGACTTTGTGAGGAGGGCATTGAGTGAGAGGGGAAGAGCATCAGCTTTCTTTCCTCTGGACAGGAAAAAGCAATGCCCCCTATGTGTGTGTTTAAAGGAGGCCAATAGCCCAGGCAATTTGTAACTTGGGGTGTTGCTACTATTGCTATTGTTCTTTTGATTATTCAGGAACATTTCTTTTCTGTTTTAAAGAAAACTAATTGCAACATCTTGGAGGCAAGGAGGCTTCATTTTCCACCAGTCAAGCCCTTTGTCAATTAAGTAATAAGGTCCATTACACTGCTTCTTAAAAACAATTAACCAACCGACCCTTCCTCAACCTCAGCTTTTGGGAAACTTGCAGCTTCCAGAGGTGGCTGTAACATCAGGGGTCATTTAGCAAATGAAGGGGAGAGTCTTTGGACTGATTCGTAGAGAAAGGCCATGATTTTCACCACCTACTCCTTTACCTAAAATGCTTGCCACAGGGAGGAGCTCTGAGTATGACTCATGTAGCTAGTTTTCCTAGCCCCGTCCTCCACACAGAGGCTGAGGCAAGGATTACAGTGCGGCTGCTTTATTGGAGAGGTGTAACCTTGGAGAGGTGAGGAAAGAAAGAGGAGGAAAGGCAGGAAAGATGAGGATCAAGGTGATGCAATGGTGCTGCTCTAGATGCTGCTTCTTGGTGAGTGGCTAGAGACACAAACTGCCCTGAGTGTGTCCGCTCAGCTCATGGGACTTCTGCAGAAGATTAGCCAGGTTGAATCACACCTCAGGGTGGAGGGAGGACATACTCTCCACCTCCAGTTACCTTGGTTCAGGTTCACACACCATGGAGGTAACACCTTGCATTTCTGGGTATCATCTGGCTCCTCAGGAGCTGCTCAGGAGGCCAGGTCCCATGCCCATGGCTGTGGTATTTTATCCAAATCCTGGAGTGGAAAAGTGACCAGGAATGAGGATGCTCAGCAGTGGGGATGGGGTTATCAGAAGTATTCAAACCAGAGTGACTCCATCTTGAATAGGAGTTGGGTAAAATGAGGATGAGACCTGCTGGGCTGCATTCCCAGGAGATCAGGCATTCTTAGTCACAGGATGAGATAGGAGGTTGGCAGGACTAGTATGAAAGGATACAAGTCAAAAAGCCCCTGCTGGTAAAACAGGACGCAGTAAAGAAGCCAGCCAAAACCCACCAAACCCAAGATAGTGATGGAAGTGACCTCTGGTCATCCTCACTGCTCATTATATATTAATTGTGATATTTGTGTGCTAAAAGACACTCCCATCAGCGCCATGACAGTTTACAAGTGCCATGGCAACACTGGGAAGTTACCCTATATGGTCTAAAAAGTGGAGGAACCCTCAGTTCCAGGAATTGCCCACCCCTTTCCTGGAAAATTCGTGAATAACCCACCCCTTGTTCAGCATATCATCAAGAAATAAACATAAGTGTACTCAGTCAAGCAGCCCATGCCACTGCTCTGCCTATGGAGTAGCCATTCTTTTGTTTCTTTACTTCTCTAATAAACTTGCTTTCACTTTACTCCATGAACTCACCCCAAATTCTTTCTTGTGCAAGATCCAAGAACCCTCTCTTGGGGTCTGAATTGAGACCCCTTTCTGGTAACAGGGTCACACAGACTCAGGGCCCCAACTGGATTCCAGGCAGTTCCAGGGCTTGGCAAAGACAGTGATGCTGTTGGTGGGGTGAGGGGTGTGAGGGGCAGGCAGCAGCTTTGGAAGTAAGGTGGCTTTGAAGGAATCTGAGGAGGCTGTCAACATTTGTGTAATACAGTGGGGATCTCAAAGAGTTCCTCCTACTTCCAACTCAGAAATAACATTTCTTCACAGAACATCTTTTGAAATCCACCAGTCATGCCTTTTGGCTAGTTTGTCTGCTTACATAGAGATCAGGCCAGAGATTCACCCGAGTGTTTCTGCTGAATGACCACTTTCCCCTCTGAGGCCCCACGCTGTCCTGCACTTTGTAAATGCCATGTTCCCAGGTTCCCCTTGCTTGGGCCCAGGTGGCACCTTTTCCCTGCTCAGCCTCTTTCCTCAGCAGAGGACTGACGTTCTTTGAGGTTACAACCAGGGCCTTGAGCAACAAGATTGTGACCTTGAGTGACACAGAAGCCTCAACCAAGAGGGCTCCACTTTTCAAGGTGGCAATTGCAATGAAGTTGGTGCCAATGGGAAAAATATCCTAGATGGAATGACACAGGGAAGGACATGACTTGGCAGTGGTCCAACCAGGTGGACAGTCTGTCTTTCCTTGTCACAGTTTTTATTCCCTGTGGCTTGAGTGCCATGCTTGCTACTTGCAGAGACTGGCATGAGAAGTCAGGTCCAGAGCATGGCACAGCACCTCTGTGAGGGGCTGGTGAGAGGCTTCAGTGACATTTCAAGGCACCAATGTCCACGGCTTTCACAAAACATTAGATATAAGTCAGAGGAGATGGTTTGGGGTCCATTTAGCAATTTCTTTCAAAAAAAGCGATGGAATATACATTTTTTTTCAGAAAGAATATGCATTTTCCCACCATTTTCCCATAGACCATTCATTGCCTTGCACCTGAGAGCCTCTAAGATGTGTGTGGATGTGTGTGTGTGTGTGTGTGTGTGTGTGTGTGTGTGCATGCGTTGGGAGTTGTGAGGACAAAGAATAAGACAGGAACAAAACAAGAAACAAATTATTTGCCCCTTCCCACCCTCCACAGCAGCAGAAAGCAAATCAATGCAGGAGGCTATTTCAGAGGCAGTAGATGACTAGAAATCTCACTGCTACTGCCCTATGCTCAGAAGAGACAGGAACCCTTCCTGCTCTAACTGTTCTGCCTACAAGATCCATTGCCATGCTTTTTTTCAAGAGGAATTCAAAATTAATTTGATTTTGCTGCATCTTGTCCCATTTATATAGAAGTGCTAACTGTTCATTCAAAAATAAAAAAAAAGGATCATACAAGATGCATGCAGCTGCCTTTTATATTCAGGGATGAAAAACTGGTTATGAAGGAGGTTAATGTTGTTATTCCAGAGAGATAACCCTGGTTGCTATGGCGAGGAATCTTCTGTCAATCATCCCGATGAAGTTGGCTTCTCTTACCAGAACAGCCTCTATTAGAGCTGCAGTTTGAATATATATTTGCCACTGAGCCTTGACTCAAATGTTTAACTTAGTGGACAGGTCTGTGTTTTATCAATTGGAACACTGTAGATGGAGACTTGTAGAAAATGCAGCTGAGGAAAGCTGCATGCTCTCAGAATGAGCCAATTTAACCACCCAGGTTAGGTATGCTTTAATCTCTGAAAAAGAATGAAAAGATTTTGGCCAGAATCAAGCTAACCATGACCAGCAAAGGAAAAGCTCAAAAGAAGATGTAAAAATGTGTGGTGTGACTTGGTTTGTAAAATGGGAATTCCTTTGGATGGATTTAAGTTAATTGATTGATTTTTTTTTAATCCAACGGTTTTGATCTGTGACGCTCACAGCTTAATGATCTGCCGTTCCTGCTGAAATTTATTCAGGCAATAATCCACAAGAAATTGGTTGTTTTCAGCAGTTTATGACTTGTTATTTAACATTTAACAGAATGGCTATTTATTTTGGAAACAACCAATTCTGAGAGGTTTATTGCTATTGTAAACCATAATCAACTGCTTGTATCATTACTAGTTTTGCAAGAGATAAAACGGGCAGCTGCAAGGGGAAAATTGTTGAGTGGCTTTAAACATTTGCATTCGCGATTGTACAGGGGAGTTCCTTCACCTTGAAGTTCGCCTGCATTTACGGCAACTATGCACTTGCCTTCAGTATGAAATTTTCAGCATTCTGGTTAAAATCGGATCCTAATACGATAATACTCCAGAAGGTTTCTGTAATTTTTTTCCCCCAATTACTTACACGGAAAAAGAAGATAAGATTTGGATGGGCAAGGACAATGCGGCAGATGACATTTTGTTTATCCTAATATCATAGCAGGAATTAAGTGTCACTACTTTTGTAGAAATGCAAGTGTTTGAGTAATTTATTCCACCAAACCCTCAGAGAGCTCCTTCCGTTGCCAGGGTTTCTGCTGCAGCTCCGGCCGCGTGGCTCCAAGATTCACTGCCATGGCCTGAGTCCGAGAACGTGATTAAATCTCTGAGCCGTTCAGCCTGGAGATGGTGGGCGCGTGTGCAGCGGGAACGATGACTTACAAAGGACACGATGTGCGAAAAAGCCACAAAGAGTCTCCCTTGGGCAGGTTTGGTGGGAGATGTTTGGGATTTCTGGTGGAAATCACAGAGCCCTAGAGCTGACAGGGGCATGGAGGGGCGCGAGAGGGGCTCATGGTCCCTAGGGAATAAGCGTTCTGCGCCCTGCGGCACTGAAAATAACTCCGTGACAGGGAGCAAATCATCGCATCTTTATGAGTATCGGTTCCCACTTTTAAAAATGGAGATAATAATAATGGCACCTCTCCTACTACAAAAAGGTTATGCTGAGAAACAAGAAGAGTGGGCTGAAGTAGCAAAAAGTAGATTATGAAAGGGTGAAGATAAAGTGCAATGCTTTAACTATAAACGTGTTAGTCTTAGTTATTCTGTGTGCCTACCAGTAGACTAAATCAGTTAAACAGCCACAAAGATTTTGTTTCAAGAAATTTGGTTTCTGAAAGTTTGTTTTGCAAGCATCGCAAAATGACTTCCTCAACCAGAAGTTTTTCCAGGCAGGACCCCATGAACAGTATTTTCTCTGTAGGAAGAGGCTGTAAGAAGAGAGATGCATTTTTATCTTGGGCCAAGAGGGAGCGGATCCACTTCTCAGGCACTGTGGTGAGGATTTGGGGTGGCTGGGGTCAGGGTGGGGCATACTCCTCCTTATTACTTCCTGTGCTCAGACCACAGCCCTCAGAGGGGCTTAGAAGATTTAAGGGACATGAAGAGCCAGCCAGAGAGCCACAGACGAGGCAGAGGAGAGGGACAGAAATAGATGCACACAGAAAGATGACGACAGAGAAATACATACAGAGAGGGAGATAGACAGAGCCAGTGAGAGACAGAAATAGCCAGTTACCAAGAGAGACAGAAAGATTACAAAGATAGACACAGGAAGAGAGAGAGGGAAAGAGAGAAAGAGATGGGGGAGACATCATAATCATAGCAAATACTTATATCACACTTATTATGCGAGAGGAAATAGAAGAGAAGATGAGATTCAGAGAAAAAGAGTCACAGGAGAGATGGAGGAAGGAAGTGTGAAAACAGCAAGATAAAGGGCAGAAGCTGGGGGAAAGGAGGAAAAGGAGGACCAGATGAGAAGGGCAGCTCTCCTGAGTCTGTGTGTGTGTGTTTGCGAGAGAGAGAGACAGAGGGAGAGGGAGGAGGGCGAAGGCAGCTCTTCCTGCCCTCCCAGGGAGCTGACAGAGGCCCTCATTAGTAGCTGCAGGACTCGAACAGAAGGGAGGAGAAAAGGCAACAGAAAGAAAACTGGAGATTGTCCCTGTTTTGTGTGGATTTGCTGCAAAGGGCAAACTCATTTGCAAGGATGACAGATCTCAAATTAAAAAAAAAAAAAAATCCCTCCAAACCCCCATGGCTTAGACCGAGAAGCATAAAAAGGTATGAGAAGTTTGGCAGTGCCCTCTTGCTGGGAGCACGCAGTGGGGACTTGGCCCAGTTGCCCTGTGGGCAGAGGGCTGGGCTGTCAGGACAGAAATCACACCCAGGCCCAGAGCTTTCCATCCACTCCAGTGGGGAGGGAAGCAACAGCCACAAAATGACAGGGACGCCAAGAGTCCCGCTCCGCTCTATTGTTATCACACGAATTTCTAGGCAAAAATAACAATAATTGCTCCCTTGTACTTAGCACTTATTATATGCCAAAGGCAGTGCTGAATTTTTTCATGCATTATCTCATTTAGTCCTTACATAGCCAAATGAGGTAACAGCTCCCATTTCACAAAGGGGGACCATGTCTGTCTGAGCATATTCTTAACTACTCTGATATGGGTAATAACAATGTTGAAGGAATTTGAAAAGAAAAATATGCCCATAACTCCACATTTCCTTACACATGTAACCAATTTCTTTACACTTTTATAATAAACTCATACTCTATACTTTCATTTTTTCATATACATATCATCACTCTCATTATCATCATTATTACTGTGTCACCCCCCTTGCCTTGGACTGAAAGGAAGACACTCTGCATGGAAATTATTGTCGTGCGTCAGGTCCCTCGGGATCTGTGTTACATCCACGTGTACCCAGTGAATGTTTCCTGAGTACTTTGATGTGTCAAGCCCTGTGCCAGGTCCTGGGGTAAGTACAAAGTCCCTGCTCAGCCCAGTGTGAGAGATAGAGAATGCAAAAACTCATTTGCATAAAGCATTTATTTGTAGGAAGCACTCATTTGCATAACACACTCATTTGCATACCTGAGATGGCCTCTGCACCAGCCCAGGCTGCAGAGCCTGGTCCAGGTTCCAGGATAATGAGAATGATGGTGAGAACTTGACCCAAGGTTGTCTTTACTTTTGTCTCCCCCTGAAGCAGCCAACAAGAAGTAGCAAAAGGGACATAGACGAAGATGCAGCAGGGAAAAGAGGGTTCCCAGAGCCTTGGCCCAGTGCTCTGTGGTCCTGGTAGCTGGTGTGGATTTCAGACCACCAGGATGGAGGAGGGCGGAACTGCTGCCTCATTGCTTGGGAACTCCCAGCCTCGTCAGCCACCAGAAGCAATAGGTGTGACTCAAAAAGGCAGAAATCCTGCCACTCAGCCTGGAATGTCAAGGTTCTAGGCCATCACCGTGCAATGGAACCTTGTGCGATGCTGGACATGTTCTCTATGTGTCTTGTACATAATGGTAGTCTGTAGGTGCATGTGGCTGCTGAGCACTCCGTAAGTGGTTGATGTGCCTGTGGAAACAGATCTTTAATTCTATTTAATTTTAACTAATTTAATTTAATGTTTTTATTGTTTCATTATATTTTAATTTTTGTGGGTACATAGTAGGTGTACATATTTATGGGGTACATGAGATGTTTGGATACAGGCATGCAATGTGAAATAAGCACATCATGGAGAATGGGGTATCCATCCCCTCAAGCATTTATCCTTTGAGTTACAAACAATCCAATTACGCTCCTGGAGTTATCTTAAAATGTACAATTAAGTTATTATTGACTATAGTCACCCTGTTGTGCTATAAAATAATAGTTATTATTCATTCTTTCTATTTTTTAATACCCACCTCCCCCTATCCAGCCCCCGACTTCCCTTCCCAGCCTCTGGTAACTGTCCTTCTAGTCTCTATGTCTATGTCCATGAGTTCAATTGTTTCGATTTTTAAATCCTACAAATAAGTGAGAACATGAGATGTTTGTCTTTCTGTGCCTATCTTATTTCACTTAACGTAATGTTCTCCAGTTCCATCTGTGTTGTTGCAAATGACAGGATCTCATTCTTTTTTATGGCTGATTAGTACTCCATTATGTATTAATATAAGTACCATATTTTCTTTCTTTCTTTCTTTTTTTCTGGAGACAAAATCTTGCTCTATTCCCCAGGCTGGAGTGCAGTGGCGTGATCTCAGCTCACTGCAAACTCCGCTTCCTGGGCTCAAGCGATTCTCATGCCTCAGCCTCCCGAGTAGCTGGGATTACAGGCAACCACCACCATGCCCAGCTAATTTTTGTATTTTTAGTAGAGATGGAGTTTCACCATGTTGTCCAGGCTGGTCTTGAACTCCTTACCTCAGGTGATCCACCTGCCTTGGCCTCCCAAAGTGCTGGGATTACAGGCGTGAGCCACCATGCCTGGCCTATGTACCATATTTTCTTTTTCCATTCATCTGTTGATGGATGCTTAAGTTGCTCCCAAATCTTAGCCATTGTAAACACTGCTGCAACAAACATAGGAGTGCAGATATCTCTTCTATATACTGATCTCCTTTCTTGTGGGTATATACCCAGCAGTGGGATTGCTGGATCCTATGGTAGCCTAATTTTTATTTTTTTGAGGAACCTCCAAAGCATTCTCCATAGTGGTCGTACTAAATTTTAACTAATTTAAATTCATATGTAAACAGTAACATGTGACTACTGACTACCATATTGGACAGTATAAATCTAGACTGTGGATTCCAGGCTAGCAAGCTCTGGGACAGTCTTTCTGCCCCCAGGCCTGTGCTGCAGGCAGGGCCCTCAAGTTTTCTGTCCGTCTATCTATCACAGGAACTCTGCGAGCAGACCTGGCTTGTGTCCTTATGCGTGTACGCATCCTTGGCTTTCACAGCAGTTTGACTTTCCTATGCCTTGCATGTGGGTGGGCGGGGAGCGGAGAAGAACAGCTGCTTGCATCAAGCAGGTTTTTTCTTGCAACCAAGCCAACTCAGGCTGATTTAAGCAGAATATACACTCATTACAAGGACATCGAGAAGATCACACATTCAGCAGGAGGGCAGAAGGAATAAGTTCAGGCTCCTACGGCCTGGACAGTAGCTTGGGTCAAGTGAGGAGGTCACAGTCTCCATTGCTGATACTGCTAGCTCCAGTCACTGGATGCCCCCACTCAGTGTGCTGCACGTGCTGCCCTAAAAAGATTATCCTTCTGCAGCCACTACCAGCACCCTTGTCATGGTTATAACTTGGGGCGATGTGTCTGTTTGGTGGTGACTGGGCCATCTGGCCACCTGTTAGCTGCAAAGGAGGCTAGAAAAGCAAGTAGCTGCCACTTTCAGTCTCTAAAATGGGAGGCAAGATCTGCCTTAGCTCAGGGAATTCCACAAAGCCAAGGAGCGGGCTCAGATGCTCAGCAGCGATGGTAAGAATGAATATTCATTCATGACTACTGCATAAACTCATTCAAGTCTCCACTGAGGCAAGCGAGAACTACATCCTGAATCCTCTAGATTCCGGAAAGCCTATTGTGAATCTAGGCAGGCTAACAGGAAACTACAGCCAAGTCCCATTGTATTGGCCACCCTGTAGAACTGCCTTCCCCGAAGGGCATGGTGATGTGGTGCCATAGGCGGACAGAAAGGATGTTATATGATACACAGTCCCATGAAACATATGTCTACCTAAGGACAATGTCCATGACATGTTAAGGACACTGTTCATGACCCCTCACAGGGTCCTTTTTATGAGAAACTATGAGCAAAGTTCCTCTTAGGCCTCAGAACTGGAAAAGCCGTGCCTTACCTGACCAGCTGTGAACAGCGTGAATCAAGGAACTGATACGCACCAGCTTCGGGTTGGCTGCTGGAAAGCTGAGGGCCAAAGCCATGGCCCACCAAGAAGACCCCAGAGTAAATATTTTACATAAATTTTTCTTATTTCCTTTTGCCCTGATCTTGAAAGTTGCCACCAACTTTCAAGTGAGTGATTTATTTTAAAGTTCAGTTATAAGTTTGTAATCCACCTCAACTCCTTTTTGGGGCAAATCAAAAAAAAAAAAAAAAAACCATAATAATATCAGCCCGTAAGTATGCCAACAGGTCATTTCAACATGCCGGAGATGCAAAAGGGCCAGTGGGCTCTCTGCCTGGGGACATGGGGACGCGGAGGCTGCGGAAAACTGCGAGGGCCCCCTTTGGAGGATGAAGAGGTGAATGCTCATTCATGAAGAGGACAAGGCAAGGGAGACCCTTCCAGGCATCAGGAGCAAAACCAATATTGATGTTCGGTTTTCAGCCCTTTTTTCCTAACGTTCCCTGCTGCAGTCTGGAGGTGGGGTTTTAACACCCAGGTTCCTGGATGGTTTTCTCTGACTCATATTTGTGCCTTCCACATTTTTCCAGTTGTAGGGGGGCTGGAGCAGAGTGGGAGAGGACTCTGGTGCTAAATTAAGAGGCTATTTTTCTGGCCCCGCTTCGATCCCATCTGCCCCATTTGGCTTCCATCCCCACAACAGGTGGGCCTGGCACAGCAGCTCGGGCCTTTCAGTTAATTGTGGGCGGCTCTGAAAAGGCCTGTTCACTCACTTAGGAAAGAAACACCCAAATAAATCCACCCCCTTTGGTGGATTTAGCAGCCAAAGTAGCTTTCTAGAGAGCAAATGGTGCCAGACCAATTTAATTTCCTTGTCTGATAGAATGAAAGAGCACACAGATAAGGAAACAACAATAGATGCAATCTCCCGGGCTGCACAAGAGCTGCAATGCTGCCCGACATGATATCCTCATCAGCTGAGCAAAATGCCAGGGTCACAATGGGGTGAGATACAGAGGAGTCAAGCAGCACTTGATGGGCCAAATGCCTGAGGCCCTGGAGCCCTGGGTGGATCCTAGGCTCTGGGGCCAAGGATTGAGGTGCGGTGTTTCAAAGATCCTCCTGAGACTGAAGGATTCCTTTGTTTTACAATTTGGTGACCTTCCTGATGAGCTTCAAGCAAGGTGCAGAGGATCTCTCATGGGAGGGGGTGGGGTGGCTGCAGGGCCCCTTGGTGGTGGGAAGGTTTAATGGACTATGGAACCACAACTGTCCTGAGAAGGGGCTCCTCTTCCCTTGGCCTGGCACCTTTTGTGTGAAACAGCATTTTATGTTTTAAAGAGCCTGGCCTCGGGTGTCTTGGGTGTCAGGCAGATCCTGAGATTTGGGTGCCATCTTTGATTCTTCTTATTAGCAGGGTGTGCTCAGACAAGTCACTTACCCTTTCCAGACCTCAGTTTCTTTGTCTGTGCAATGGGAATAATTCTGTGTACCTTGTTGTATACCGAGTATTAGAGGTTGAAATTAGTGTAAAATGCACAGGGCCTGGCACTCAGTGGGCACTAATAAATGTCTTTCCTTTTCCCTCCTACATGTATGCTTCCCAGTGCACCCCAAATAGTTTGTGCCCAGTGAAACAGCACTGGTTACATTAGCCCAGATACACCATTGTCACAAGGGGTCTATGTAATAAAATGAAAATCCCTCAGGGGCCCAGAACCCCAGGACAGGAACTGTGTAATGAGACATAATCAAATAAAAAGTAAAGCACATAGGAGCATAATCACAAATGAATATAGCCAGTTGGACTTTGTATTAGGGCACTCCAGAGAAACAGAATCAATGGGAGGTGCAGATAGAAGGGGAGATCCATTTTAAGAGATTTGCTCAGGAGGTTATAGAGGCTGGAAAGTTGAAAATCTGCCAGGTGGGTCACCAGGCTGGAGACCCAGGGAAGAAGTCACGCTGCAGCTGAAGTCGGAAGGCTGTCTGCTGGCAGAATTCCTTCTTGCTTGGAGGAGGTCAGTATTTGTCCTATGAAAGTCTTTGACTGACTGGATAAGGCCCACCCACATTATGGCGGGCAATCTGCTTTACTTAAAGTCCTCCCATTAGAATGTTAATCTCATCCAAAAACACCCCACAGAAACATCCAGAATAATGTTTGACCAAACACCGGGGCATTACAGTGCCCAGCCAATTTGACAAATTAACCACCTGCTCAGGGGAACCTTGTTTCAGTCCCCACCTCTGCCCCACTGGTTTAGGGGATACCCTTCTCTGCTCCCAGGGCCCATAGAGTCTTCTTAGAGCCAAGGCTCACGGCCTATCCAGCTGCGTATCCCAGTGACTAGCATAGGGCCAGGCACATAGTAAGTGCTTAATTAATGCTTATTGAATGTACAAGAACTAAGAGATTGTAGGTGCTTAGTGATTTCACTGATAGCCCTTCTGTCATCTTCTTGAACTAGGAGGATGCAGGAGTCCTTAGTCTGTCCGCCAACATCTGGACTTAGCTCCACCCAGGAATATACATGGCAGCATGGAGACCACCCACCTGCTTTCCCACTTAACTGGCCATGTGATTCAAGGCAGCATACTTCACCAATCTGGCAAAGAGCAGGCACTCAACACACAACAGCTCTCATTCCATAAAACCAGGATTAGCCAGAGAAATGCCTGCAGGGAAAGTTGACCAGACAGTGTGTATTCTCACACACCCCCAGGAAAGTCTAGAGAATCTTTGGCCCAGGCTTAGCACAAAGCAAGACGTGACAATGTTGGGGAGGACAATCAGGGCACTGTTATTTGAATCACTAAAAAGTGCTGGACACATTTGATTCCATCACTAAATCATCACAACAACTTTCCAGGCAGGGAGGGCTTTTGAAAGTGTTTTGTGCCATGAGTCTATGGACCTCTCGTCAAATAATGTTTTCAACTGCGTATAAAAAAAATTATAAAGGAAACCAATTAATTCAAAATGCAGTTTTTATAAAATTAAAAAACATTTGTGATATCATGGTGTATGTGCCTCATTACTAATGCATTAAATATCTAGCGGCAAGTTTAAAAGCAACTGTAATTTTGAACTGGATGAATACAAATGATATTTGGAGTTATCTGTAACAACTGTAATGTAATATAGGGGCGCAGTGGCTCACGCCTGTAATCCCAGCACTTTGGGAGGCTGAGGTGGGCGAATCACAAGGTCAGGAGATCGAGACCATCCTGGCTAACACAGTGAAACCCCGTCTCTACTAAAAATACAAAAAATTAGCCAGGCGTGGTGGCGGGCACCTGTAGTCCCAGCTACTCGGGAGGCTGAGGCAGGAGAATGGCGTGAACCCGGGAGGCAGAGCTTGCAGTGAGCCGAAATTGTGCCGCTGCACTCCAGCCTGGGCGACAGAGCGAGACTCTGTCTCAAAAAAAAAAAAGAAAGAAATAGAAAAAGAAATATGTGTGGCTTGTTCTGGTGACAAAGTCACAGGCTGCTAACAAATGTTGCTGACATTCATAATAAAAGAAAATGCTAAATTTTAGTTAGAAATTTGTGAAAAACAAAAATGATTTTTTTTCCAATCCAAGTCCAAAGACCCCCCTCTATTTCATTCACAATTTCCTTGGACTCCATTATTAAGGTAAATCTTTGTATCCCCAATTTACAAATGAGGAAACACGAGTTCAGAGGAGTTAAGCAACCTTTCAAAGATCACACAGTAAGTGAAAGAGCCAGGGCTCAAACTCAAAAGTGCTGTTTGCCCCTAAAGTTTGCTCTATTTTCACTATACACAGCAGTGCTTCTCAATCATGCTCACTTGTGAATTTGTTAAAATGCGTATTCCTAGGCTCCACCACTCGAGATTCTGACTCAGCAGGTCTGTGGCAGGGTCTGAGATTCTGCATTTCTGACCAGCTCTCCGATGATGCTGCACTGCTGATCCTGGGACCACACTTGAACTTCCCAATAATGATTCGGGGAAACTCTATTCAAAATAATGAGTCTCCCAGTCCTTGACTTCTGAGCGGGTGAAAGAGACGATCACTTTGGACAGTTGCACTGAAAGTCAGAGAGCCTTCACAGTCAGATGTGCGGGTGCAGGCTGGTTCTCACCACCCCGTTTGGCTGTCTCCTTTCCCCTTTCCTTACCATCACTCTTTAAGCTGCCTGCTTTGATCATAATCTTTCTCCAGGCTGCCCTTTTTTTCTGTTTCGCTTGTATAAAAGTGCTGTGGCAGAAGAAAAGCCCTCAGAGTGATTTGCCCTCAGTTACGCCCTGGGGATGGTCCTGCCTGCAGCTCTTGGAGTGAGCTGAGAGGTCCACACTGCCCCAGGCCCTGACCCCTGCTGCCGTCCTGAGCTGTGTTCCTGCAGAGCCCTTGCAGACAGGCTGCCCTCTGTGCCTGGGCCTCACTCAGCCTGCATCTAGTCCAGGGATGCTCAACGTTGGCTGGATATGGAGAAATACTGTTGCGTGGCTCCCACCCCAAAAAGTCTGATGGTCCGGGGTGCTGTCTGGGCATTAGAACTTGTAAAAGGTACACAGGGGATTCTAAGAAACAGGCAAAGCAGAGGATCACTGGTTTAGTGAAAGGAATTGTATTGTGCACACATTTACGGAGCGCCAGCCAAGTGTCAATGTGTTACACGCATCACTTTTATTTCATTCTCACAGTAATCCTGTGAAGTAGGTGATATACCTCCATTTTACAGTAAATTGTCCAAAGCCACACAAGTAAGTATATGACCTGGAATTTAAATCCACATTAGCCTTTCTCCAAAGTCTGAGTTCATGAAATCTGCTATTTCCCTGTGAAGATGACATAAAAATGGCAACATTCTCTCTTACACCTAGGCCCGGCGTCTTCCTTTTAAATCAGTGTTTATTCTTTTTGCTGTGATCAAGTGTTTAAAAAATGTCACGGATCTGGAAATCCATCAGGCTGCACCTTAAGGAGGATTGAAGATCTGCAAGGTCTTTTCCAGTTCCAGCTTTGGCTTCCGAAGTCTATTTGTCACAAAAGTGCCTCCTGTTCATTTCACTGGATGCCTCCTCTGGCGTCCTAAATGCAACATGACAAGTGACAAATGTTCTGAAAGGAAGGGAGGTCCTTGGACTACAATCATGTTGGAATGAATGACTACCCCGAGCAGACTAAATAAATTACCCAGCATTCACTTTAAGCCAGGAGAGAAGTTTTCAGGAACTTAGGCTAAGAGTCTTAAGCTCCCTAAGTGTCTTCAGGCAGCAGGATAAGGGGGTAAGAGGACAGACTATGCAGGTAGAAGACCTGGGAGCAGAAGCCTTCCTGACCATGTGGTTCTATGAAAAGTACTTATGCTCTTGAACCCCTTCTTTGTGAAATAAATCTTGAAATTTAATGCATTAATAATGAGGCACATACGTTACTATATCACAAATGTTTTTCAATTTTATAAAAAATGTTGTTTTAAACTAATTGGTTTCCTGTGAAATTTTTTTTTGTTATGCATTTGAAAACATTATTTGAAAAGAGATGCATAGCTAAGTGGGTGCTATAAGGATGAAAGAAATAATATAAAGAATGTTTGGCACAAATATCAGGCACTTAGTAATTAACAGCCGTTAATATTATCATACCTTGCTTTGCCATAATCCTGGCCAAAGGACTGTTTCTTTTTTCCTCTAAATGCTCTTGGATGACGTTTTCAGCTGTTAAACACGTTTTCTTATTTAGCCACAGTGTCGTTGTAAAATACTTTGGTTCAATTTCCAGTCTAGAGATGAGCATATTTGCCTACAGGCATTTCCTATAAGATCAATTCCTAAGGCTTTATGTGAATATGTACTAGAAGAGACCCCAGAAAAAAAGAATATAGTTGAGGTTAGGATGTTGGAAATACTGGTAGTTATCCATTCTTTTAAAAATCCACTTGGAATATTTGTATAGTACTTGAAATAAAATAAAAGCAGTGGAGTAAAAAAGACAGGCTGTGAAGATGAGCAGTTTTTGAAAAGCTATCATGTACAGGCACTAAGCAGGCATGTCTATATGAAAGCATTAAACTCTCCAAATAACCCTCTGAGGTATGTATTATTATACCCATTTCATGGGTCAGGAAACCAAAAGAGAGGTCACAAAACTTCCACAAGATGACTGTGCCAACAGAGAGGGTCAGGGATTCAAACTGAGGTCAGTGTGACTCGGAAAGGTGTGCTCCTTCTACAGGTCCTATGGCCATCAGTGAGCACCTATGCAAGTGGCTCAGCAAAGGCTGTCCTGCCTAGAGCCACATAGCTCATCAGCTGCAAACTAGGAGACTAGAACCCACGTCTTTGTTCCTCAAAGTTAAAGGAACTCAGGTATGTTCTTTGAGAAAAAAATTGCCTCCATCAGATATATTTTTTAAAAGAAATTTACAAAGTCCTCAAGTAAATCTTTATTGGATAATTTAGGTTGGGCCACGTATTATCAGAAAATGCCTTGATAGTAACTGAGAGATGTGTTGCCACACCCCTTCCCCTCCCCTCTCAAAGCACTTTGGATGGGTAGATACAGTTTTCCAAGAGGCATCAGCATAAATAATAGATCATGAAAAGAAACACTAGGCACCATCCTCCTTTGAAAGTGGATCAAATTGGCCACACACGTAGGTGTGTCTGCTTAATGGAGTCGAGGGAGAACAAGACCAAAGATGACTTCATGTCAAGTGAAAAACATCTTCATACAGAGCTGAACATATGCAGATCCCATTAGAGCAATGCAAGTCACTTGCAGATGTTACCTGGCAGCTTTGCACCTGGCTCTGTGAAAAATACTAATTGGCTTCAAGTTATAGTCAGACACCTGATTGGCTGGGATGTAAAATAAAAATTTAAATCCATCAGTGTGGGAGGCTTGCAGCTTGGAGCCTATACAAGGCATCTATGCACAGAGTCCGTGCTTGGCATTGGTGAATTCCTGTACCGGGCTCCAGATAGAAAACTTAAAATGATGCAGTATTACCCAACGTGGATTTAAACAAACAGAAGATTTTCCAGCTACCTGCAAAATGGAGCAAAGATTCATGCCTGGAACTGGAAATAAAAAATGCCAACTCAAATTTGGTGCTCTTAGGCCGAGGATGAGCCACTTCCTCCATGTATAAAAGAAAATGGTTCAACACTCTAGTGACTACTCTGTGCAAATGCGAAATGGTTCTTGGATGAAAAAATCAATGTTACTGTGCCTTGCAAAAATATTAATAATGCCTTGAACAAACACTTCTCTTCGAGGAGTCCAGAACACGCTGTGCATTTCTTCTCATTACTCCCTATGCCCTTCTCGTTAGTCTCACTGTCTCCCTCTGTGGGCAGGTAGGTGAGTGGTATTTCAGAAGGGGAAAGCAAGGTGAGGCGGCTTGGAGAGCTGGGTCGTGGACCCAGAGCTCCTCAACTGCCCAGCAGGAACCACGCCCAAGCACCCTGATGCTGTGGGTGTCTAGCAGATGGACACAAGTGTAACTGGTGCAAAAGCAAAAAAAGGCCAAAAGTAGGAAAGGACAAAGGATGAGGGAGAAAGAAAAGCTTTCACTGCCATTGTGGATTTGTAACTCCCAGACAGCAAAGACCAAAAGTTCTTAGGCTAAGCAGCCTCAAGAACAAGAAACGGTTGCTGATGGGGGTTGGAAGGGAGACACAAAACCTAGAGGATAGCAGAGTCAACTGCCATGCATTTCATCACGTGATCCAGAAAGTTGGAACCCTCGTCAGTAACTCAAACACCAAAAATCTCTAAGCCTCTTTTGGTTGATCAATTTGGCCCCTAAAACCAATTTACACTACAGCAGTTCCCACTGCTGCTAGCGAACGAGGCACTGAGCAATTACTGCCTGACCTATTGCTGACCCCACTAGGTGTTCATGGCTCTAGATATTTCTGGTGAGTTTACATGGGTGACACATTTGTCAACCAGATTGTTCTTCTTTCTCCAGGAGTAACTGCTGGCCAGGCTTTGAGGGAAAACACTGTACTCCCTTGATATTATTAAATACAAGAGACCCTCATACCTTCTGGCACCAGAGACTTTACTCAGAGCCCTAAGGGAAGAAGCTGCATGGAACTGAGCGCATTATTGAGCCACACACCAGATCTGAGGGACTTCCCTTTTGGCATTCCTGCTCTATTAAAAATTCAGTCCATGTAATCCCAGCTACTCGAGAGGCTGAGGCAGGAGAATCGCTTGAACCCAGGAGGCGGTGGTTGCGGTGAGCCAAGACTGTGCCATTGCCCTCCAGCCTGGTCAACAAGAGCAAAACTCCGTCTTTAAAAAAAAAAAATCAGTCCAAAAAAGAGATGGTGACACATTATAATCATCTACTTGTCTCTGCATTTCTACATAGAGCATATGTAGGGAATAGCTGCTTCACAAATATTTTGAATAAAAAATGTAAACTAATAATTTCATCAGTTGTATCTGTCTTCAGGTTTCCCACACACCATACATATTCTTGCATGGTTTCAGATCATGGTAATATGTATTCAATTATGTCTATACAGAAAATTGTTGTTCCATACATAAATCCCATCAACAGATTCAAATAGAACACGCTCGCTGTGGGATTCTGTGTATTGTTCTTAATTCACTAGACTGCTGTGAAAAACATATTCATCTCCTGAAAAAAACAAATCCAAGCTCCTGTTTTATGGTAGACAGGCCCTTTATGTTATGCAAGCCCAACACTACCAGTCCTCCTCCTTCTACAGATTTGGAAACATCACTCGATAGTGCCCATGATATCATGAGACCTTTAGGCCAGTTAAGCAACTGCAACATACACTCGGCCCACAGAATGTCTAACTGGCCTTAGTAGATATTAAGATGTGACCACTTCATGGGGCAGGATGTGTTTGTATGTGTGCCTGCCTGCATGCACACATAGGGGAAAGACAATGAAAGAGCCAGAGAGGGGAAACAGAGGGCACATATGTCTGTACTCTCCTCCTGTTGGAAGTTGAAAACAGCAGCCTTATTCTTTACGCTAAGTATAGGTTCCAGGCATTTGTGCAGTCATATTCAATAATATATTCTGGGCCTGACAGTTCAGATGTGTCAGCATTTCTATTACCATTGCCTATGTTTAGAGTTCTTTATGCAGTCAAAAGTGCTAAGGCCAAAAATTGATATGAAGATAACAGAGGCAAGATATAAGTAAATAAACCAAGGAACTAGGCACTTTTCTTTGGTATTTGCATTACAACATAAATATAAAAATCAATTTAAAAGTATTGTTGGGCTGATTTCTATTTTTTCCCTTCTTTATTTTGGTATGAGAGGTAAAAATCCAAGTTTCAATAATGGCTTCTGAGAAAATTCACATGTCTATGATTTGGGTTTCTAACAGTTGCTTTTAAAAGTGAACCAATCGATACTGTGTCCTGAGGGACAACTGGGCTGAGCATCTCATGAGGAAGTAAAGGGAAGTGTAGAAAAAGTGAAAGACTAAGATAGACTTTCAATAAATAAAAGAGTTCACAATGTAGATGAAGTTGTACAACACATGAGGTGTTCTTCAAGAATTATACAACAGAAAAATTGAGTGTAAATTCAATTTTAGCAGATTAGGTTTTATTTTAACTGCATCGGGAAAACCACATAGATAAAACTATCTTATTGTTTATCCTTTACAATTTTAAAGCAAAACAAACACAACAGCATTTTATTTATTTAATTGTAGTGCATCCGTATTTTCACATATTGGATTTTAAAAAATCTCTGCTTACAAGAAGAAACGAAAGCCCAAACAAGAATGTAGTATGTAAGCGAGTACAAAATGAGATAGAGTAGAAGGCAAACTGATTACCTAAGTCCCAAGAAGTCAGGAAACAAAGTGTAACTCAGATCCAAGCAGGGTTAACCAGGAAAGGCTGCATTTCTGTGTGTACCTGCTGCTTTCTTCAGCACTGCACTGTACAACATTCTGGGGCAGCCTGAGAGATGCAGACTATACAAATATAGTCTCACATCTCACCACCAAAGCACAAACATTCCAGAGGCATGGAAGCCAAAGTGTAAACACTTCTGCAGTCAACTCTTAACTATTCACATTTACAGAAGGAAAGAGCAAAGGCACCACTAATCCAAGAATAGATAAATGGAAAGATCACTGAGTTAGCTTTGGAATACACTCTTGCATATAGGTGTATCCATGTTCAAGGAACTCACAAGTCTGTTATGAATATTAGTCATAAGGAGTTAGAAACTTTCTCCAGGAGTCAGAAACCTTTTCACCATTTATTACAGCTACTGGAAATAGAGAATTAACTGGACAATCTCAAAGACACATTCTTAGACTGGTAACTAAAGTTCCATTGACTCCACCAGACAACTATAGAACTATACACAATTTTGGAATTTGGCAAAAAAAGTATGGCATGGACAAATAACCCTGTTCAAAATTGAAAATAAACAGCAGGAAACAATTTTTAAGAATTCTATAAAAGTACTGAAATTCCCTTTCAATTGCTGCAAGTTACCTCATTTCAGTTGTCTTGTTTTCATTGCCTCTCTGCTCCTTTCAATATATTCGGTTTTCTTGTTTTCATCTTTAATACACTGAGCTCTCTCTTCATTTCTTGTGCCAGGTCTGCTGCTTCACCTTCATGAGCTGTCTTCAGAACCTTGCTCTGGATGTTCTCCTTGAAAGCTCTTGTCCATGAACATTTCAGATAAAATCTTATCAAAGCTTCCTCCGTCATCACTCTGAGTCAAAGAAAGTCACTCTGCTAAACTTTACAACAGAACTTTTGCTATGTGCACTTGGATGGACATCGTAAGCTTCCAGGGAAGAATTAAAGAGATTAGGTACTCCTTGCCCATGATGCACAATGACACTGGATCCTTTCGTAAACCTAATTTCACATTTATAATCCCAGGTCACATGCATCAAAAAATGAGCCAAAAGTCATACAAGCCCCTTCATTCTGATTCCCACATATTTAGAATGAGTGCAATATAATATAAACAGCATGCGATTCAGAGTCTGAATTTGGTTCCTAGTGCCACCACTTACTGGCTATGTAATCTTGGAAAAGATCCTAAACTCCTCTGAGCCTGTTTCTTAACCTGTAAAATGGGGATACATAATAGTACCTCTTAGGCTGGCTATGAAAATCAAGGTAACATAGGTAGAATGTTTGGCACAGGTACTAAACGTTAGCTAATATTATTAATGCTTTTCTTAAAATGAACTTATTCTAATTATTGGCTTTTAGCATTATAGTTTAGATGTCCATATTGAACCAATATCTCTATGTGATTTTTATCCTGTCATAATTGAAGTTTGCCACTGTTGATCCCCCCTGCTAAGTTGAGATACTAATTTGAAATTTATGGCCAACATCTAGCCTGAGTGATCATATTCCACCCGTGTGAAATTAAGCTCCCTCTTAATGCTGAAGATTGAGTATTTCTCTACATCTATGTAATATAGTCTGTTCAGACTTAAAATTTGGAGCAGTGCTGCTAGATACTGTTGAATCGAACAGAGAGGGAAAGGGTTATTATGGCAGGAAGAGAAATGAAGATTACTTAATGAACTTGCATTTCAATTGAGCAGGGTTTTTAATACAAAAGAAAGAGCTTTTTATAAATTCTTTTGCTCAGCAACAATAAAAAGAGGAAAAGAGCACTCAGCTGGGAACAATAGCTACTCAGCTCATAAAAAATCATTAGAAGGAACATTTTCTTTGTCCACCATGCCCAGCAATTTTGCTGGTGGGCAATTATCCAGATCACTTAGGTTCCACCTATAAAAATGAGTCCAGAGAACCTTCTCAACTTTTCCAGCTAATAAATTATGCTAACAGAAGTCCTCATCTCTTAATGTGTGTAATGCCACCATAAATAAAATTTTGACTCATAATTCATGGAATGTTTTTGACAAGTAGATGATACTGATCCAGCCATTAATAGGATTTGCTCTTTGGGTTGCTTTTCCATTAGAAGGGACGGACTATGCTGACACATTTACTCATTCCCATCAAATCCTCCTTGCAGCCAGGAGCCTCCATCTAGTTGATGACTGTTGGGCGAGGTGCAGGGTGCCCGAGGACAGCATGGTTCCACTGTGTGAAATTGGCTGGTGTACTTGGATATTTAACTTTTCACTGCAGTCTCCGTAGCTCATCTTAAGTTGGTTGACTCAAGAGAAACTTCATATTCTTGACGTAAAGAGCCTGGCTGATTCATCTTCTCCCACAAATGGTATTAAACCATATTAAGCTAATTGTCAAGTGTGTTCAATTACCTTATCAATAAAAGCTCTTTTCTGTGTTCAAGGTTCCCCAGGACAACCAAAAGATTTCTGCACATGAATAAAATATATTATTTCTAATGATGCTGCTGGGTGATCAATCATAAGCACGCCCATTAATGCAACTCTTATATGTCTTGTTAATTAAAAAGTATGAAGGAAAAAGTTTCCTGTTTAAGAATGTATTTTTTTCAGTTTGAACATGTTGCACATTTTAAGAATGAATTTATATCTTTACTGCCTGATATAGTAAGTATTCAATATTTGCTGAATGTCTAAAATATATTTCATAAAAAGTAAAGTGCTTTGAAGACTAAACAATGTATTCCAAGCCCAACATTTTTTCCTTACTAAACTTCCCTCCACTTTTGACTTTACGCTGAAGACTGGCACCATCAACTAAAATCTAAATAGCTTTCTATGTTCCCCTTGAATTAACTGTCCTTGACTTACACTTTCTCTGCAATCGGAATTGTTTTATTTTTAAAAGGCCTTCCTAGGCCCTCAGATTGCATCTAAGATGTAAGTATGCACAGAAACTGCAATATCAACAGAGCTTAATTAAGCAGAATATGCAATGACAGCAAATATGCAAGCGCAATCTTTACTGAAGACAGGTAACCACTCAAATAAGCTTTTTACAGATAAGGAGTTGGGGGGAGGGTGTGGCTGGTGAAAATTCAGTTTTATAAGCCTACTGCCATTTAGATAATTACTCCTGAATATCTGCAACTGTACTTGTTCACTGCAACAATAAACAAGACTGATATGATCCTTGCTCTCAGAGAGCTCATAATTCATGATATTACTTTTGCTGGATGCACCAGAAAAAGAGGGATACATTTTAACCTTCTACTATGTAGGTATAGTTGTGGAGATCTGGGGATTAGGATGGCATCTTTAGGTACAAGGGTAACAGCAGAAAAATAGTTGTATTTATTATCTGAAACTTTCTGGGCTTATATTTCAAGTAACTGTAGTTCAATTATACATGCCTGACTTTGTTCTTAAGTAATGCCTTCACAGACTCAAGGGGGAAAAAAAATCCCAAACCTGTCCTGCTGCATATTAAAGATGAGCACTGATTCCTTCAGTCCTCTCTATCCTCTCCCTTTGAATCGAGGCAGGCTCTGTAATTCTTAGGCCAACTGAATATGGCACAAGTGATGCCCTGACAGTTTCCAGACCCAGAACAATTTGGCAGCTTCCATTTTTTGTCTCTCAGACCGACCACTCTCTGTTATAAGACAGCTGCTATGGTGACGATGCTCTAGTAGCCCTGTTGAGAAGCCTATGTAAAGAGGAACCTGTGCAGAAAGGAACTGAGGCTCTCAGCCAACAACCAGGCCCAACTTGCTGGCCAGAGAAGTGGTGCCTCCAGCCTGTTAATGCTGCAAGGAATAGAGACGAGCTGTCCCCACCATGTTCTATCCAAATTGCAGATTCGAGGGTAAAATAAATGATTACTGGGACATAACTGAAACTTTACCCTGAATCCAAGGTATTATTAAAGATAAAACTAATTAAATGAGGCAGTGAAAGAAGTAAAAATTACATTTTTTTAAGCATTTACGTGACTAAATGCTTTACACATCCTTATTCTCTACTATAACCTTATTTGACAGGATTTTTTAAAATTTCTTTTTATTATACTTTAAGTTCTAGGGCACATGTGCACAACGTGCAGGTTTGTTACATATGTAGACATGAGCCATGTTGGTGTGCTGCACCAATTAACTTGTCATTTACATTAGTATATCTCCAAATGCGATCCCTCCCCCCTCTCCCCGCCCCACAACAGGCCCCGGTGTGTAGGATTATTTTCTCTATTTTATAGATACGGGTTATTGACTAGAAAATTAAGTAACTGCCCAAGATCACATAACAGGAAGATAGTATTCAAAACCAGATCTGACTCCAAGGCACCTGCAAAGCAAATGGGAAATAAGGAAATTCCAAGCTAATGCTGGGGTGACTCAAATTCTCATGAATAAAGTATGGATTAGGAAAATATGACATCAATTAAAAGGTGCATCTGAGGGTGCCCCAATATTCCTTAGCAGAGCTTTAAAAATTAGTGGTAACATTTTTTGATGCATAGTATTCAGAAAACAGCAACATTTTCTTGGTACGTAAAACTTTATGATGCCTGCTAAATGCAAGTGCTCCAGAGTAAAGAGGTTACAAAGATGAATGGCAAGATCCTTGCTCTAAAGGTTCTTGCATTTTAGTATGAGAAATAAGGTATGTTACACCAAGAGTTGCTTCACAAGGTACCAAGCTATAGCCCCTATAGTTATGTACCATGTGAAGAATAAAGTGCTATGGGAATTTATTCATTCACTCAACAAATATTTATTGGGTGCCAATGTAACACCAAACAAGACAGATACAATGCCTGCTCTCAGAAAGCTGATAATTCATATTACTTTTGCTGCATGTACCAGAAAAAGAGGGATACATTTTAGCTTGGCCTTCAGCTATGCCTAGACTTTGGGCAGGTGGACATCTGGGGATTGGGATGGCATTCTTAGGTACAAGGATAACAGGAGAAAAGTGAAAACACTAAAGCATGAGAAAATTAGTAGGACACGTATGGGGACTTTAAAGCAAGAAATATATTTTATCGACTTCAAGGTTCCATCAATTTAATTCAGGATCATTATTTTATAAACCAAAAGAAAAAATAGTAATTAAAGTTTTACTGAAATGGTTCTCAACTGGGGGCGATTACTGTCCTCTAAAGGGCATTTGGCAATATCTGGAACCATTTTTGTTGTCACAACTGATGAGAAACGACTAGTCTTTAGTAGATAACAGGTCAGGGATTATTGCTAATCATCTAAAACGCACAAGAGACCTCCCACAAAAAAAATTATTTGGCCTAACATGTCAATAATGCCAAGGTTGAGAACTCCTAAACTACAGAATGTTAGAAGTTGAAAGATGCATCTAGGATATCTAAAAAGTATTTTAAGATAGAAACAATGCAGTAGTTCAGTTTACCTGGAATGAACCCAAGATTTGTAAAGGAATACTGGGAAACAATGCTGGCACTCTATCTGAATCTGTTCTCTCACCTTTGGAATAGTAAAGTGATAATGATCAGGGACTATGTTCTAAGAAATTAATTTAATGCAGTGTAAGTCACAGGGCTGGCCTTTGATGACCACTCTGTCCAAACCTTGCTTTCCAGAAACCCTGCACTCTAATCACTCCGATTGATATATCTATTTCTGCTAATTCTCATCTCAGAATAACACTTACCTCACCAATCATATGGTATCGGAATATTTTTCTTTTCTAAAGCCTAGCTCTATGCCACTTATTCCTCCTCTCATGCAGTGTTTAACACATTCTTTTCTTCCTTTGAACTTTTAAAATATATCATCTGTATCTAACAGTATTCACTATTTGTGATTTATCCTTCCTCTACATATAAGTTCCTTTGGTTCATGATCCATGACTGCTTCATACTTGCAACTCTCAGGGGACGCACGATAGTGCCTTGCACATCAAAAGGGGTCAATAAATATTTGTAGAATGAGTAATGAATGAATATACAGTACTGGAAGACTATAATTAAATACAAACTCCTCAGACTTCTCTCAACCTTTCCTCACAGGGCTCATTTTGTAAACCTGAATCATTTTAGTAGCTCTCCAAGTCCTCATGCTTTGGCTATAGGGTCTCAGAGATAGTGGGGTTCTTTAACAAGTCCTTAACCCCTACTTTACTAAACACCATTTAATAAATTCCATTACATTTCAGATCATATCTCCAAGAGGTATCAGCCAGTGCTTGTTCTCAAGACATTTAAAACACCTTATATAGGCAGAGTCCCAAATTCCCTAAAAAAAAATTGACAATGAGGGTACAAATATAAACAATAAGAGGTCTACTCATTGCTCACAAATCCCAATTGCATTCTTGATCATATTTTTTGCACGTGTGTGTGTGTGTGTGTGTGTGTGTGTGTGTAGGGGGGAATTCAGAACATAACAAAAATCTTAAAAATGTATGAATGTCACAAACAAAATAAGAAAAAAGATCAGTTATAGAATTTAAGGAGATCTTTAAAAGATAATAAAAAGCAAGACTATTAACATTTTATTGTTATACAGCTTAATGGTGGAAGATAAGACTGTGGTCAATCCATATAGAAAATTAAGAAGACCATGTTTTAGAATATTTTGCAGGGCTTTTTTTTTTTTCGAAGTCCCCTCTTTTTTTTTCCTTCAGTGTGGTCCTTAAGCATCAATGTTTGGTGGTTGTTTCTAGCAAGTCTTTTGCTTCATTTATTTTGGCTGCTACGTAAGGAGATCCACCTGAGAGAACAAAGAAAAATGAATTAAAATACATTTCATCATTGACATACTTTAAAGTCCCCAAAATATAAAAATACTCTTTTTTGAATATTGTCTCACACATTAATCCTCTGACAAATTATTTTATAAGCTAACTAGAAATCAAAACAGTATAAATTAAACTTGATTAGTGAAGTCCTACAACTACCCAACAATAAAAAAAAACCTCTGAGAAAAATGATGAAAGAAAGTTATAATCAGGAATAACTTGAACAACATTCAACTACTGCACTGGTCAGACATTCACCTTTCAAGTATTTGACCAGAGAATTTTCTAAAATTAAGTGGATGGTTAGGCAAGTAAAATAACAGTCTTTTCCATGACTGTTTTTTTTTTTTTAAAGACACATTCATCTGTGAAAACGGGTATCTTTTTGAAGAAGGTAAATCAATCCAAGGGGTCTTTTAAAGTATTAATCAAGTCTTATAATGTCACAAAAATAAAATGTATGTTTAAAAAGGCAACTATATACTACCCAGTGCCAAAAACCTATTTACTTAATAGAGATAAATGATCTAATCTTAATAAATGAGAGATAAAAATAATGTCAAAAAATTTTTTTTGTTCTCTGAAATGATTCTATTCGAATATTTACAGAGTGTAGTTTTGGATTTACAGTGCAAAAAATAAAATTAAGTCAGTTCTTTTTTAGAGTTCTTTGCAATGAATTCTTTCTAATGCAAACAGCAAGAGGAAAATTGAGGTGAATTTCAAATGCAGAATCATTGTAAATCACAAACAGAACCTACATACAAAAATACTAGCACCAAACTGTCACATGAAAGCTAAACATCATATACCTTCTAACTTCTAGTCCTCAATACTGTCATTGTTTAATGCTTAGACTAACAATCATATTACAGCTCACCAGTCTCTTTGTGTTTTTTATTTTGTATTCTCCCCTTAAGTGCAAACCATCTATAGCTGCTGAAAATATCATAAGGTCTCAGTAGCTTACAACAAACCAAAAAGCATCTAGCTAGTATTGGTGTAAATTGTTCTGACTTTTTTCTGGCCTTTTATTGATACCATACCACCCAGCTTATGAAGGGAAAAGAAAGCAAAGAAAATAGATCAACAAACATGGTGTTGTGGTAGAAGGGGTAATGCTGGAGAAAGCTATATTTACCTCTTTGCCCTTGAGGATACAACTGACATTTTCATATCAAGATCTGAATTGCTATAAACACTTATGGAATATATCATAGTATGTCCCTGAATATGCTATAAGAGTTACAAAGAAAGCTGATAAAAGTTTAAAGCACTTGGTTATGAAATATGTTGATTTCATGATTATCTTTGAAGACAATCTAGCAATCAGGAATTAGGTAATGTCAATGTGGTAAGCTGTTTAAATTCTTAGAGTTATCAGGGTGATGTCCTCGATGTCTTGGATATCCTCAGCAAATATTAAAATATTAACTGAACTTAAACATAACCTTTAATTGATATGCATTATGGATATTTAAATCATAGGCCATACTATGCTCACTCAGCAGTTGGAAAAAATCAAAGGCACAGATGATAGAGAGTCTTATTAAATATTATACTTATTGATAGCAATGTTAGAGGAAAAAAATGACATGACAATTTATTCAGAATAACGTTGAATTCTCTACCACTCACTCTAAGTTAGAGGGCTTTTAATTTATGTACATGGTAGACATTTTGGACTGGTTCTTTTGACCCTCATTCTACCTCTAAATAGTTGGAAAAGTTCCTCAGTCCAAAACTACAATTCTTATAGTCTCTTCAAGTAGTGTTTGATTCACATTAGGTTCCATTAATTAGAGCCATTCTTGTGGGACTTGGAAGGCTGAAATGAGAGAAAGGCTTTCTTGCTGCACCTCTTTATCATTATTACTACTAGTAAGCAAGAGTGTGGTATAGTGGTGGCAGCAACTGTGCTTCTCCCACAGTTCTAGTGGCAGCCTGTGAGGCAGCAGCTTCCCTGACAGAGTAGCTCTGTAATTGTTTAGGAATGATTCTTGTAGGCCAAGTGTAGAACTTGCTCCTTCAGATCTTCCAACAATATGTAACCTGTACTAAATGCTCTCCTGGTTATAATATCTAGTTGCTGGCAGTGAATCCTGACTGATAACATAGGATAGGATGCATACCCTAAATTTAATGAAAACAAAATACTCTTGGCTGGACACAGTGGCTCACGCCTGTAATCCCAGCACTTTGGGAGGGTGAGGTGAGAGGATCACTTGAGCCCAGGAGTCTGAGACCAGCCTGGGCAACATAATAAGACTCTGTCTCTACAAAAAATTAAAAAATTAGTTGGGTGTGGTGGTGCACACCTGTAGTCTGAACTACTGGAGAGGCTGAGGTGGAGGATCACTTGAGCCCAGGAGGTTGAGGCTGCAGTGAGTCTTGATCGCACCACTGCACTCCAGCCTGGACGACAGGGTGGGGCCCTATCTCCAAAAAAAAAAAAAGAAAAGAAAAGAAAAGAAAAAGAACAAAAAAAATAACACTCTTCAACCCCTCTCAGTTTTCTAGGGGAATTCAGTGGGTTCCATTTAATTAGAACACTCACCTTCACCCTTAGTATTTCTGTATCTTTGTACTTCTACCACTAAATATGGCCAGAAGTCTTCTGCTTCTGGCTATTGTGAACCATCATGTTTAAGGCCAACTCTCCCACTGACACCCAACTAGAAGAGCTAAATAAAATATAAACACATCAGTATAAAAGCACTGGAGGGCTACCAAGTCAGTCAGGTCTTGAGGGCCAAGATCCTGGAGATAACGGAAATGCACTATGATGAGCCCAACATTCTGCACTGCTTTTTTCCTTCAAAGAAGCCAGACACAGAAGAGTATATAATACTATTCCAGATATATATGAAACTCTAGAAAAGACATGTTTAATCTATAGTCTGTGGCAGAAAGAAGAATGGTGATTGCCCAGGCTGTGGGGAGGGATTGGCAATGGGAAGGGGCAAAAAGGAACCTTTGGAGCTTATGGAAATGGTGTATGTCTTGACTGTTAGTGATTACATGCACATATATATTTGCCAGAACTTGTCAAATTGTGCGTTTAAATGGGTGCATTTTATTCTATATAAATTATATCTCAATAAAGTTGATTAATAAAAATCCAGCAGGTTATATATTGTTATAAGAGACTATACTTTTAAGAAATAGAAAAAAATATACACTATCAAAAATAACGCTGACATTGTTATACTAATTATTAGATAAAGTACATTTTAAGGTAAAATGCAAAAATAAAACAGCCAATTTCACAGTGTTACAAGGGTCAGTCTACTGGTAAGAGAAAGCAATTGTAAATCTGAATATACCTAATAAGATAGCCTCAAAATATACAAAGGAAAAAAGGAGAGAACCAAAAGGAAAAACCCACAAATCTACAATTTTAGTGAGTGATGCCTCTTCTCAATAATGCATAAAACAAGTAGACAAAATGAAAGAGTAAGAACACTGAAGTTAAATAACATCAACAAACTTGATTTAACTGACACACATACAAGATTCCACCCTGCAAGTGCAGAACATATCTTCTTTTAAACTGCACATGGAACATTTACTGTAACTGATCATGTGCTAGGCTAAAAGCAAGTCTCGACAAACTTCAAAGATTAAAATAACAATAAACGGTGCTATTTAAAGTGTGTTCCATGGATGAATGTTGACTTACAACTGCTATTAGACCATAGATAGGTTTGGAAATTGAGATTAAGTGTTTAGAAAATATACCTGTTTGAAATAACAGTGTACCCCTGTAAAACCTGGATCTTATATACATACTTTTTTCTTCAATTTTCTCATAATTTCATTTTCATTGTATTTTACAAAAGCTGTCAGTTCACCAGAGATTGAGAGAAAAAAACAAAGTCCTCCAACACAGAGTTTCAGAAACATTGAAACGGAGTCTGTTAGCTGACCATAGTAGAATTAAACACATATAGAAGATCCCAATGTTAGAATATTAATCAATATACTCCTAAATAACTCATGCGTCAAGGAAGATATCACAATAGAAATTAGCATTCGAGAGAGAATCAACACAGGGAAAGATTAGTTCTCTAAAAAACTAATCAACTTCATGTCAGAGCACATAAAAATGTAAAAGATAAATTCCAAGAAAAAGAAAACATTTCAAAATTAATATAAGAAGAAATGGAAAATCAAAAGAATATTTAAGAAACTAAATATGTAATTAAAAACCTTCCCATAAATAAAAATCCTGGCCATGATTTTGTTGAATTTTTCCGAAAAACAGAAGAGAAAGAAAACACTTTAAACTCTTTTTATGAGGCTGGCATATCTTTGATAACAAACCCTAATGAAAATGTCACAAGGAAACCACAGACCCAGATCTCTCATGAGCACAGGTGCAAAACAAACAAAATACTCACTTATCAAATCAGACTAGATATGATGACCAAGTTAGGTTTATCTCAGGAATGCAAGACTGGCTTACACATTCAAAAATTAATCGATGTAATTTACCACATTAATAAAAAATAAATATATATTTATTAATTTATTTTTTGAGACGGAGTTTCTCTCTTGTTGCCCAGGCTGCAGTGCAATGGCTAGATCTTGGCTCACTGCAGCCTCCTCCCCCCAAAGTGCTGGGATTACAGGCGTGAATCACCACGCCCAGCCAAAATAAATACATAATCATGTCAATAAGTTCAGAAAATTCAACACACATTCATAATAAAAGCTTTCAGTCAAGCTTCTGCATAGCAAAAGAAATAATCAGCAGAATAAACAGACAACCCACAGAGTAGGAGAAAATCTCACAAACTGTGTATCTGACAAAGGGCTAATATACAGAATCTACAAGAAACTCAAACCAATCAGCAAGAAAAAAATAAATAATCCCATCAAAAAGTGGGCTAAGGACATGAAAAGACAATTCTCAAAAGAAGATACACAAATGGCCAACAAACATTAAAAAAATGCTCAATATCACTAATTATCAGGGAAATGCAAATCAAAACCAGAATGCCATACCATCTTACTCCTCCAAAAATGGCCATAATTAAAAAATCAAAAAAAATTATAAATGTTGGCATGGATGTGGTGAAAAGGGAACACTGATACACTGCTGGTGTGAGTATAACTAGTATAACCACTACGGAAAATAGTATGTAGATTCCTTAAAGAACTAAAAGACCTGCCATTTGATTCAGCAATCCCACTACTAGGTATCTTTCCACAGGAAAAGAAGTCATTATGTGAAAAAGACACTTGCACACATGTTTATAGCAGCACAATTCACAATTGTAAAAATATGGAACCAGCTTAAATGCCCATCAACCAACATGAGGATAAAGAAAACATGGTACATATCTATAATGGAATACTACTCAGCCATAAAAAGAAATAAAATAATGGCATTTGCAACTATCTGGATGGAATTGGAGACCATTATTCTATGCAAAGTAACTCCGGAATGGAAAACCAATCATTGTATATTCTCACTTATAAGTGAAAGGGCATAAGAATGATATAATGGACTTTGGAGGACACAAGGGCATAAGAATGATATAATGGACTTTGGAGACTTAGGGGGAAGAAAGAAAAGGGAGATGAGGGACGAAAGACTACACATTAGGTACAGTGTACACTGCTTGGGTGATGAGTGCACCAAAATCTCAGAAATCACCACAAAAAAGCTTTTCCATGCAACCAAACACCACTTGTTCCCCCAAAACTACTGAAATAAAAGTAAATAATAAATCATAACACTAAATGAGAAAGGATTAAACAATCCAATCAAAAGGCAAAGGCTGTCGCACCGGATTAAATTACAACATGACCCAGCCAGGTACAGTGGCTCAATGCCTATAATCCCAGCACTCTGGGAGGCTGGGGCAGGAGGATCACTTGAGCCCAGGAGTTTGAGGCTAGCCTGAGCAATATAGCAAGACCCTGTTTCTATTAAAAATTGAAGAAAAGCAAACAAGCATGAGCCAACTATATGTTCTCTACAGGAGACACACTTTAGATTTGAAGACAAAAATACTGAAAAGTAAAAGGATGGAAAAAGACATATCCTGACAGCAGCAAATCACTGAAAAGCTAGAGTGGCTAATGAGACAAAGTAAACTTTGAAACCAAAAATGTTATTAGAGACAAAAAGGGGCATTCCATAATGAAAAACGGGCCAATCAACCTGGAAGATGGGACAACTGTAAACATATGTGCACCTAACAATAGAGCACCAAAATATATGAAGCAAAAACCAACCAAAACAAAAACAGAAACTAAGAAATGAAGAATAAATACCAGCTAATACCCCACTTTCAATAACAGAACAACCACACAAAAGACCAACAAGGAAACAGAAGACTTAATACTATAAACTAACAAGAACTAACACATATTTACAGAACACTACCCAATAATGGAATACGCAATTTTTCTCAAATGCACAGAGGACATTCTCCAGGACAGAGCATATAATAGGCCACAAAACAAACCTTAATAAGTTGAAAAGGACAGAAATAATACACTGTATTCTCCGACAATAATAGAATGTATTAAACATGAATAACACCACCCACAGCTTATGGGACACAGCGATAGCAGTGCAGAGAAATTTATTGCTATAAATGTCTATGTTAAAAAAGAAGACGGCTGGGCACAGTGGGTCACACTTGTAATCCCAGCACTTTGGGAGGGTGAGGGGGGCACGGATCACTTAATCTCAGGAATTTGAGACCACCAGCCTCAGAAACAGGGCAAAACCCTATCTCTACAAAAAATAAAAAAATTAGCTGAGCAAGGTGGCATGTGCCTATAGTCCCAGCTACTCAGGAGGCTAAGGTGGAAGGATCACTTAAGCCCAGGAGGTCAAGGCTGCAGTGAGCTATGACTGTGCCACTGCACTCCAGTCTGGGTGACAGAGTGAGACCCTGTTTCAAAAAAAAAAAAAAAAAAAAGACTTCAATAACTTAACCTTCAACCTAAGACAATGGAAAAAGAAGAGAAACAACTGTATGTCAATAAATTAGATAATTTAGAGAAAATGGACAAGCTCCTAAAAGATACAAACTACTGATACTGACTCAAGAAGAGACAACTTGAATATTCCTGCAACAAGAGACTGAATCAGTAAACAAAAAACTACCCACAAAGAAAAGCCCAGCCCCTGATGGCTTATAGAAGAGAGAAAGAGAACATTTCCTAATTTATTTTATAAAGCCTACATTATATTATCTTCACACCAAAACCAGACAAAGATATCATAAGAAAGCTACTGATCAATATATCTTATAAGTGTGGATGCAAAGATACTAAAACACAATACTAGCAAACCAAACCCAGCAACATATAAAAAGAATATATAAACATATAAAAAGAATTATAAACCACAACCAACCAAGGGATGCAGGAATTATAAACCTTGCAAATCCCTGTGGGATTTAACACAGGGATGCAAGTTTGGTTTAACCACCAAAAAATAAATATATCGAGTCTCATCAAAAGAAAAAAAAATTCACATAATGATCTCAATACATGGAGAAAAAGCATTTGACAAGATTCAACACACTTTCAGGAAAAAAGCACCTAGCAAACTAGGAATAGACAGACGTTCTCTAAGTGTTAGTATGTTTGTAGATAAAAAGCATCTACAAAAAACCCACAGATTGAATGAGCGAAGACTGGATGCTTTTCCCTAAGATCAGAAGCAAGACAAGGATGTCTGTTCTTAATAAACCTAGTCAACATTGTAATGGAGGTTCAAGCCAGTCTAATGAGGTTAAAAAAGAAAAAGACATCCAGATTGGAAAGCAAGAAGTAAGACTATCACTATTCATAGGTGACATGATCTTGTATACTGAAAATCCTAAAGAATCCACCAATAACTATTAGACCTAATAAATAAGTTCAGCAAGGTTGTGGGATAAAAGATCAATATACAACTTAATTGTATTTCTATACATTTATAATAAACAACCTGAAAATAAAATTATAAAATAATTCCATTCACAATAGCATTAAAAAGAATAAAATAGGAATAAACTTAACAAAAGAAGTCCAAAACTCAGACTTGTAAACTACAAAACACTGTTGAAAGAAATTAAGGAAGATCTAAATAAATAGAAAAACATCATGTCTCTGTGGATCAGAAGACTTAACACTGTTAAAATGGCAAAATTCCCCATTCTAATTTACAGATTTAATGCAATCCTTATCAAAAATCTCAGCTGATTTCCTTGTAGAAATTGACAAGCTGGTTCTAAAATTCATATGGAATTATTATGGAAGGACCATAATAGCCAAAACAATTCTACAAAATAAGAATAAAGTAGGAGGACTCACATTTCACAATATTAAAACTTACTACAAAGCAACAGTAATCAAGACAGTGTGGTACTAGGACAAGGACAGACAGACTGATCAATGAAACTGAACTGAGAACAGGAAGATGAGGGGACAATAGCTAAAGGGGTTTCTTCCTGAGGTGATCAAAATGTTCCAAAATTGAGTGCGATGTTTGCACATGTCTGAGAATATACCAGAACTACTGAACTGTATACCTTAAATGGATGAATTGAATTGTATGGTATGGTATCTCAATATAGCATTAAATAATGTAGAGACAAGGGGATCTGAAGAAAAATATTTGAGTCTGATTCGGTTTATCAGATCATTAGAGAATCACAGAAACCCAGAGTTGGAAGGGTCTGAAGAGGTTCTACCTCTTACCCAATAAATATATTCCTTCTATGACATCCCTAATAAGTTGCTCTCTAGTAGTTTTCAATCAAATTACCTTTGCTGCCTCTATCTGCACATCACTTTTTCCACTGCTGTAGCTTCAGTGCCTAGAAAGTACCCTGTTCTACCAACTTCCAGAAAGCCTCAATAATTACTAGCTGACTGATGTCTTACGTTCCAGCTAGAAGAAAAGTCTTCCTTATAGGGGTCAAATTTTCACTGCTTAGAGTTTCTTCTCAGTGAACATAATTCTGTCCTCATAGAGGCATACAAGAGGGACTTCACATATACATGCCACATTTTAAGTATTTGATATTGCATAGATCCCCTCTAAGTTTCTCAGTATAGCAAATTTTCTTTTTCTCTAACCACTGCTTTGGCCAAAAACCCAGGAGTGATCTTTCCTCATTTTTTCTTACCCCTGATTCATAAGCTTTGTTGGGTGTTCCTTCAAAATATATTTTGAATTAGACCTTTCTTTTTTTGAGATGGAGTTTTGCTCTTGTTGCCCAGGCTAGAGTGCAATGGCTAGATCTTGGCTCACCGCAACCTCTGCCTCCCGGGTTCAAGTGATTCTCCTGCCTCAGCCTCCTGAGTAGCTGGGATTACAGGCATGTGCCACCACGCCCGGCTAATTTTGTATTTTTAATAGAGATGGGGTTTCTCCATGTTGGTCAGGCTGGTCTCGAACTCCCGACCTCAGGTGATCTCCCCGCCTCAGCCTCCCAAAGTGCTGGGATTACAGGAATGAGCCACCGTACCGGGCCTAGACCTTTTTTTTTCCCCTTTACCTCCTCTACTACAACAACCCTCATCCAAAACAGTATCATTCTCTTGGATTACTACAGTTTTCTCTAGTGACTGCCTTGCTTCCACTCTTGACTCCCTATTTGCTTCATAGCTGCCAAAATAGTCTTCCTAATACTGCATAACAGGTAATAGCATTCCCATAATGCCCAACAGTAAAACCTGAAGTTTGTAGTATGGCTTGCAAGCCACTCTATCATTTAGCCTTGGGCTTCCTCTCCAATTGTATTTCCTACCACTCTCCCTTTTGCTTCCTATGCTCCAGCTGATCTGCTTATAATTCCAGAAACAAACCATATGTTCTCGTTTCAGGACCTATGCACTTGGTGTTTCTTCAGCCTGAAATATTCTTTCTTCATTTTGCATGACTTACTGCCTTAGGTCTCTGCTCAAATATTATCTCCTTAGAGAGAATTTCTAAGAAGGCTATAAGTAAATCAGCATCCGCCTCCCCTCCAGCTGCCATTCTCTACCTCATGCTCTGCTTTTTCTTCAAAGCACTTATGATCCATGACATCATGGGCATTTTTTATATCAGCCTTTTCTGCATAACAAACCACCCCAAAACTTAGTGGCGAAAAGCAACAATGTTCTTTTTATTTCTCACTTTTCTGTGGATTGGTAGGGTGGTTATTCTGAGCTGGGTAGTCCAGGATGGCCTCACTAGGGCCTAAGCTGGGATAGCTAGGCCTCTCTCTACTTGGTGTTTCTTCCGTCAGGAGGAGAGCTTAGTCTTCTTCACTTGGTGGACTCAAGGATCTAAGAAGGTAAGAGCTGAAGCTGCAATGCTTCTTGAGGCCTAGGTTCAGAAATCACATGTCATTTTTTGCTATATTCTATTGGTCAAAACAAATGACAAAGGCCAACCTGAATACAAAGGGTGAAAAATCAGACCACCTCTTGATGGGAGGAGCTATGAAGAATCTGTGGCCATTTTTAAACTACCAATTACCTATCTACTATTGTCTCTCACAGTGGAATATAAGATTCCTAACAGCAAGGTCTTTGGTTATCTTCTTCAGTATCTAGTGCATTATCTGGCTTACATTAAGTACTCAGTAAATTTTGTTGAATGAATAATTGCTCATATGACATTGTTTCCAGACACCTCATGATCCTGTTCAATTTCCTCTGAATACTATTTGGTTTGTCAGTATCCATAAAAAATCTGGGATCCAGAAACAGACACAAAATTCTAGATAAGATCTAAATGCCTAGCTCAGTACAGCTGGATAAATATTAATTGAATGAATGCATAACAAATAAATAGAGGATTGCAGTAATATTTGGTCTTTAATAAAGATACTATGTGTCCTTTATGCAGCTTAGGACTGCATAAAATTTTTAGCAGCTTTTATGCTGTTGAATCTTACAGGCCTTGAGATCAAATACATGTCCCATGGCTCTTTTCCATGTGAAACACTGCCAAATCTCTGTCCCACAGTTATACAATTGACTTTTGAGACTTAAAACATTACATTTATTTCCCCCAAAATTTAATCTCTTCTAAATCACCTTCTCTCGATCATTTCCACTGACAAACAAACCTGCTAAAAATTACTCAACAAGCTTTTATAATTAAAAAAAAAAGTAAAAAGCAAAATAAAACAAAAAACAGCATTTTTCCCTTAATGACTCATCCCTCTGTTGCAGACAATATTCCATTTCTCTCCTCCTCTTCCTCACAAAACTTCTCAAAATAGTTGTGTATATAAGCTAACTCAACTTCCGCATCTTTTCATTCCTTAGCCCTGCACCAATTAAAACTGTTTTTTAAGGTCATCAAAGTCTTCCAGTGTGGAAAAAATACTCTGGACCCTCCTCTCTATCCTTATTTTAATGGTTCTCATAGCAGCATTCAGCCCAGTTGATCACTTGGTTCCCTTAAATATATTCCTTTCTTAGCTTCTATGGTATCATTTTCTCCTTACATTTTTTTCCTTCTGTCTCCTTTGATGATTTCCCCTTTTCTAACTTGATCTATAAGTGTTTGGTTCCTTAGACCTGGATCCTCGGGGTTTTTTCCTCCTATTTCTTATCCATACTTTCACTTTCCATGACCTCTTAAGGTTGGTTTCAACACCATCTTATATTGATGATTCTTAAGTCCAGTCTGCTTCTCTGAACTCTAGAGTCATTTATTCAATTCCTATTCTCTATTTCCACTTGGACAATCTACTGACTAATTCATTTAACATCAACACAGTATTTCTTTTCTCCTAAACCTGTTTACAATCACCTGTCCACTCTAGATCATCCCCATTTCAGTAAATAGCTCCACCATCTACCTAATTTTTTGACTCAGAAATCAAGGGGAAATACTAAATTTCCTGTATCAAATCAAGCAGCAGTAACTGTTGCTTCTGTTTCTAAAACATATCTCAAATTCACTTTCTTGTCTCCCTCCTAAGCTAGGTCATCATTATTTCTCACTCATATTACTGTACCAGCCTCCTGGATGACTGGCTAGCCAATTAATTTGTCATACTGTCTCAAAAGTAACTTTCTGTACTTTTGCTTTTGGTTATGATGGAGTAGTGTGTTAGATGCTCACACTAAAAGCAACTAAAAAAAGCCAGTCAAAACTCACTACAAAAATGAAACAACCACTAAAAAACCCCACCTGTTGAATTAGTGTTACAGGGAAACTTCTAAGAAAACTATGGCTTGAGGGTCCAAAGATTCCGGAAGGGGAGGAAATTTAGAGGTAAAATGACATTCTGAAATTGCTTTTTCCCTTAGATTATTTGATGATTCTTGGTGGAACGCAAGAAATTAGAAGTATGGGCAATGGACACAAGAAGGCTGCTGCTGGGGGCAGGCAAGGCTTCTTGCAGTCTCACAAGCTGCTAAGACAAAAATTGTAGACTCAAAGATTTAGAACTCAACTGAAAAAGGCAAGTTTGAAAATAGAGCCTGATACACAGCTGATTTTTCCCTCTAAGTATATACCAAATTCTGAACTTGTACAGGGTAGAAGCAAAGTAGAAAGTTTCTGAAAAAAGCAAGAAGCTTCTGAAAAGCATAGTAAAGTTTTTGGAAGTTTCAAAATGCTAAGGAGACTGCGATTAGAGATCAGAACCTGCCACGCATAGGGACCCCACTGAACACCCCAGAAACCCAGCTGGAACCCTTAGAGCGGTGATTCTCAAACATTAGTGTACATTAGAATCAACTGGAGGGCTTCGTAACACACAAAATGCTGGGCCCCAACCCCAGGTTTTCTGATTAAGTAGGTCTAGGGTGGAACCTAAGAGTCTGCATGTCTAACAATTGCCCAGGGGAAGCTGCTGACAGTGTGGGGACCACATCTTTAGAAATACTGATAAAATGAAATACATCAACATTTGGATGATTTGTAACTCTCAGTGAAGCAGTATTTGACCAATGAATGACGTTACAAAATCACAGATGGGAAAAAAAAATTCAAAGTAAAAGATAGACCAATAGATTTTAATATAATAGACCTTGAAAGTTCATTGGCATGGTTTCAGGTTCCAAAATGCAACTAATCTTTAAGAAGCTACCACTTGTTGAGTTCTGGTTTAATAGCAAGGAAGAATATCTGCAATTATTTGAAAAGATGAATAAAATACTCTTTCCTTTCCCAACTACCTATTTGTGTGAAGTCGTATTTTCTTCATACATTTAAACAAAACAACATATCACAACAGAATGAATGTAGAGGTTGATATTTATATCAGGGTATTTTCTGTTAAGCCAGACATTAAAAGAGATGTGCAAAAATGTAAAACAATGTCACTTTACTCATTAGTCTTCAAAAATTTTATTGTGGAAAAGATATATTTTTATAAAGATTATGTTATCTATACTAATATATAAGAAGTTTAATATTTTAAAATGAATTAATAGGTAAATATATTTAAACTTTCTCAGTTTTAGGCCAGCACAGTGGCTCATGCCTGTAATCCCAGCACTTTGAGAGGCCAAGGTGGCAGGACGGCTTGAGTCCAGGAGTTAGGGACCAGACTGGACAACATAGTGAGAGTCCATTTCTACAAAGATAAAAATAAAAAATTAGCTGGGTATGTTGGCACACACCTATTGTCCCAAGTACTTGAGAGGCTAGGGTAAGAGGACTGCTTGAGTCTGAGAGGCCGAGGCTGAAGTGAGCTGTGATCACACCACTGCACTCTAGCCTGGGCAATGGAACAAGACCCTGTCTCAATGAAAACAAAGAAAAAGAAAAATAAAAAGAAAACAATTTTTCAGTGTTAATTTCTATTATTGTAAATACTCACAGATAGAATCCATATAAAGTCTTTTTCGGTCTGAGACAAAAAAGTTTGAAAACTGTTGCTTTCATACAAAATGTATGGCATTCAAAAAAATTACTTTGCATACAAACAGAAGGCCTGAAAACCAAATAACTATAAGTAATATATTTAAGAAAACAGAGGGAAGATGGAAAAGATACGTAAAATTACAGAGAATTTTACAGAGAATTGGATTTCATAAAAAAGAATCAACTGGAAATTTTAGAAATGACATTAAGAGCTTAATAGATAGTTTAAGAGGAAATTAGACAGTGTAGAAGAAAGAACAATGAACTGGAAAAAATTAATAGTCCCAGTATTACTTTAGGAGTGGCCAAAGTAATATTTTATTTCAGACTGTAGTAAGTCAAGAAAGTATTCTGTATTCTTTGGACAGTCACTAAAGAAACAGTTTTGTTTTCTTTGAGACAGGGTCTCACTCTGTCACCTATGTTGGAGTACAGTAGCATGATCATAGCTCACCGTAGCCTCCATCTCCCAGGCTTAAGCAATCCTCCCACCTCAGCTTCACAAGTAGCTGGAACAACTGGCATGTGCCACCATGTCCAGCTAATTTTTTTAAATTTTTACTGGAGAAAGGGTCTTGCTATGTTGCCCAGGCTGGTCTTGAATTCCTGAGCCCAAGCAATCCTCCTGCCCAGGCCTCCCAAAATAAATGGTCTTTTAAAAAAATGTATCTATCAAGTTACTAAAGAAAAAAGTATAAAATTTTTAAAAAACAGAACCAGCTAAAAGTAAAGGGTCAGAAAAAGGAATATAGGTGAGTCAAATAGAAAACAAAAAGTAACATTTATATATATATATACACACACACATGTGTGTGTGTATATGTATATATTCAAATACCAGTAAACTACATTAAATGTAAAAGGACTGAATAGTTACATTAAAAGTCTAAAATTGTCACACTTAAAATGACTGCATTCTGCTTGGAAGAGACAAACCAACAAGAGAGATACAAAAAGGCTGAAAATAAAAAGATGGAAAAAAGATATACCATGTAAACACTAACCAAAGGAAAGGTGGTACAGCTATACATATTTTCGATAAGGTAGGCTTTATGGCAAAAAGCAGTACTATAAATCATGAGAGATATTTAAAACAAGGGAGAAATCCATATGTAAGATTTAACAATCCTAAATCATTTGTCCCCAAAATCCTTTTCACCATAAGCAAAAAAATCTAAATGAAGAAACAGACAAATCCACAATCACTGTAGGAGGTTTTACCCCTATCTTAACAGATAATGGAGTAGGCAGACAAGAAATAGTAAGAATGCAGAAGATCTGAACAATACAGTCAACAAACTTTACTCACATATCTAGAACATTGCATAGAGTAACTGCAGAATATACATTCTGTTCAAGTGATCACAAATTTTTCCCAAAATTGACCATATGCTAGATTATTGAAATCAGAGTATGTTCTCTTCCCAAATGGAATTAAGCTAGCAATCAATACTATAGAGATAACTACAAAACCCTCTATTGTTAAAAAATGAGGGAATGCATGTCAAATAACACACAGGTCAAAGAAAAAAAATCATAATGAAAATTACAGTATTTTGAACTGAATGACAGCTGAAACCAGTGATCTGACTATTCATTTCAAAAAATTAGAAAAAGAACAGCAAATAAACTCAAAGATAGTGGAAGGAATGAAATAACAATGATGCAAAAAATTATTTTATAAACAGATTAATAAGAGATGATACAAATAAAGTACTAATATTGGGAATAAAAATGTGGCTTAACAATGCAATTACAAACATTACCAAGGTAATAAGAAGATATTATGAACCCATTTGTAACAATAGACCTGAAATTTTAGGTGAAATGAACAAATTCCTAAGAAAAAAACTAACCAAAAATGATATTAAGGAGAAATGAAAAATGTGAAAGAGATGTGTATCTTTTAAATAACCTGAATTGGCCAGGCGCAGTGGCTCACGCCTGTAATCCCAGCACTTTGGGAGGCCAAGGCAGGCAGAACACCTGACGTCAGGAGTTCGTGACCAGCCTGGCCAACATGGTGAAACACCATCTCTACTAAGTAATCTACAAAAATTAGCCAGGCGTGGTGGCACACACCTGTAGTCCCAGCTACTCGGGAGGCTGAGGCAGGAGAATCACTTGAACTCGGGAGGTGGAGGTTGCAGTGAGCAGAGATCGTGCCACTGCACTCCAGCCTAGGTGACAGAGTGAGATTCTGTCTCAAAAATAAAAAATAAAGAAATAAAAAAAATAAAATAAATTGAATCTGTAATTTTAAACCTTCCCACAAAGAAGTCTCCAAGCCCAGATGGCTTCATTTGTGAACTCTTACAAATACCTAGAAATAAGACTAATCTCACTTTGGGAGGCCAAGGTGGGTGGATCACGATGTCAGGAGACCATCCTGGCTAACACAGTGAAACCCCATCTCTACTAAAAATACAAAAAAATTAGCCAGGTGTGGTGGTGGGCGCCTGTAGTTCCAGCTACTCAGGAGGCTGAGGCAGGAGAATGGTGTGAACCCAGGAGGCGCAGTTTGCAGTGAGCCAAGATCGCAACACTGCACTCCAGCCTGGGCAACGGAGCAAGACTCTATCTCAAAAAAAAAAAAAAAAGAAAGAAAGAAGACTAATCTTACACAAACGTTCAGAAAGTAAAGAATGCTGCCCAATTTCTTTTAAGAGGCCAGAGCGCCTTGATAACAATATCTGTCAACTTTCAAAAAAAGGCAAAATAACCAGTTAGTTTTTTTCATGAATAGAGGCAAAATTTTCCCCTTTAATTTATGCCATGTATAGGAAATCTTTGCCTAAGTCTATGTTTTTTTTAATATGGAAGTTAGTTTTACCTTTCATATTTAGGTTTGTTAAATTAAATAAGCAGGATGCCATTAGCCTGGGGCTGTCTCTGTACTTAGTTCCTACGTAATGAACTACAACCTAACTTAGTACTTACACAAACTGAAACCCAACTTAGAAGTATAACAAACAGATAGTTTCAGCTGATCACAAGCAGCCAACTCATCACACCATGCTCAAACAAGGTAAATGTTTCATCATACCATGCCCATGCAAAACAAGGCAGATGCCTAGCTGAAGCCAATCAGGTAATTTATCTACTTTGCTTCTTTATCTGGCCTATAAAAGCTTGCTGCTTATGCTGTTAAGGGGGCCCTCTGAACCTCTTCTGGTTCTGAGTGCTGCCCAATTCATGAATCATTCATTGCTCAAATAAACTCTGCTAAATTTGTCTGAAGTTTTTCTTTTAACAGGTTATAATCCATTAAGAATTAATTTTGCATATGGCATCACATGATTCATTTTTCCCATATGCATATATATGGATAGACTGGTGTCACTGCCTTGACTAATGTTAAGACACCACCAGTTTTACCCACCAATATTTTTACACCATCAGTGCAAAGGCTGGCAAAGTGAAAAAGGAATATAGTTATGATTTGTGCACTTTTCTGCCCATAAATTACACTTCAATTAAAGTATACTTAAAAATCAAAAATAGAGATTGACGATGAAAGAAAAATGACTTCTTAAAAGGTGTACTGAATTATATCACTCTACTGTTTAAAAGTTAACAGTAACTTCCCTTTGCATTTGGAACAAAGTTAAAATCTTATATAGAACCTACAGTATTTCATTATCATAATACATACCTAGTTTTAAAAATCTGGGTACCACTTTATCTCATGCTATCTTTCCATTTGCCTATTACATTCCTATCACACTAGTTTTCCTTCAGGTCCTTAAGCACACTCCCTCAGAGGCTTTGCACATTAGCCCCTTTACTTTGTTTACCACTTTTCACACAGCTAGCTCCTTCTCATCCTGTACATCTCCTCACAGAGGTTTTCCCAGTCATCCTATGTAAAGTTGCCTCTCTCCTGTGTTTTATATCTTGGCTCATTATACCCTTTATCGCCTTGCTACAACTTGAAATAGGTTTACTTATTTTTTGTCTGCTCCTCCATTAGAATGCATGATCCCACGGGGACAGAGATCTAATTGTCTTGTTGAAGTTGTCTTAAGATTTAGCACAATGCCTGGCACATAGTAGGTGCTAAATAAATAATTTTTGAATAAATGGAAGATTAGTGTCAGGTTGTTTCCTATCAATCTAATCTAAGAAATTATTTAATGTATTAGTTATCACTACCAATTCTGTTTTACCTACCAAGTGTTTGCCTTGTTTTTATCCATTTGTTTATTCATTTACTCACCAAAAAAACTTACGAATTTAGAGTTTATGATGTGTCAGCCATATAAGTTATAAAGAAGAGTAAGCCACGTTCTTCACTTTTAAGGATCTCAGCATTTATCAAGGAAAATCAATGCATAAAACAAAATTTTCTCTTTACCAAAAAAATTAGTTAACACAAAGCCTTAAATCTAAAATGCTGAAATGAAGGGAAAAGAAAGATGAACCCTCCAAAACAAACAGTCCAGTAAATCTATCAAAAAAAAAAAAAAACCAAGTTAATTAGGCATCACCTTTTCTTAGTGAATCCATGCTGACTCTTGGAGATTATCTCTTTCTAAATATTTAGAACACATTTTTAAATGTAATATACTGTAAGAAATTACAATATATTATTATCAGGACTTCAGATAAAAATTAGCTTACTTTACAATGAGAATAATTAGAGAAAATCCATTCAACAGTATAATTACTTTGACTTGTTTTTGATCCCAATATTTAATTTTGACTTAAACACTCTAATAAGGAAGTGTGAGAATACTGCGTGTTTACTGAAAGGTGTGTAAGTGGGAAAAGGTTGAGAATCTCCCCACTGCAGGCAGGCAGATTTCATCTAAATGCAAGAAAGAACTTTCTAGTAGTTAGAGCTGTCCACCAGTAAAGCAAGCTGCCTTGTGAAACAGGAAGCTCTTAATCACTAAAAGTCTTGAAGGAGAGCTAATAGGACATTTTCCCCGGGACAGAGCAGAAAGCCCAGATTTAGGAGGCAGCATTGATTAGATCAGTGCCTCTCAAGCTACGGCAAAGGTGTACTTTTTAAATATTTTAAACATTTCCAATCTTTAGTGGACCAATACTTTTACATAGCACAAAAGTATCACACATTTGGGTATCGTGGCGATATTATAAGCTTTCTAAATGTTTACTTTTGGTTTCTGTTTTTAACTTGCACAAACTGGACTGGTAAGAATAGGCAAAATACACATTGATTAAGACTGCATTAGACAGCCTGTAAGACATCTCTAAGCAATCTGTCCTCTCCCCTTCTATATTCACTATGCATTACTGTAAAACTACTCATTTCATAACCACCAACCTCTTTCTTCATCAATTTAAGAAAAGCAGTAATCTAAAAGATATTAGCCTTGAAAGCATTAGATCAAGGACACGAAATGTTTTTACTGCATTATTTTTTTATCTCACTACATTGAAAAAGAAAAATTTCCTTTTTACCAAAATACGTCTGAATGCTTATTTAAAACTAATTACAAAAATTTATTTTCAGCCATTTCCCACACCTAATTTTCTGGTGTCACTTTCTTTGCACAGCTGATAATGAAATGTGTAACAAATTATAGTTGGTCACACATTTGAAATTCCAAACTTGTTCTATCAGCTGGTAGCAAAACCAACAGAAAAGTTCCTTGGGGGTGGGTGGGGAAACATATTCATGAATTCGGAAGCACTGGAAATGAGATTTAAGTATTTCCAACTACCTATAATACCCAGTGGTGACCTGGCTAAAGTAAATATGTTGAAGGATTCCAAGAAGAAGAAACAAAATTAAAAGCTGCCCATTCTCATACTTCCCCAAATACTCTTGGATTTCGCTTACCAAAGGCAATGAGGCATTTTTGTTTAAAATCTGTTAGCTTCCCATTGAAAACAAAACAATCTTCCTTCTCAAAGGATAATCTTTAGATTTATGAGCTATCATCTCTCAACTCCATCAAAGAGAGAAGTTCCAACATTCCTATCACTACACTTTTACTAGAGCAGGAGTTCTTAACTGTGAGTATATGGATGGGTTTTAGGAAGTGCATGAACTTTCTGAAACTCCAAATGTTTATAAATTTTGGGTGAATGAGCAGTTATATGGAAAAAAAGTCCACAGTTGTCAATATATTCTCAGAGGGAACAATAATCCAAAAACATTAAAAGCATCTTTCTTAAGTTAAAAATCTGATCTGAACAGAAACATAGGGTACAGCCTCTACATTAATTGAATAGGCATAAAAGGTTATTAAATCATGCAAACAAAAAGGACTTTAGAAATAAATCCTGTCATTTTGCAAATAATAAAACTCATATTTGGAGTTAAGGGAGTTTTCAAGGCCACAATGCTGACTGGAAGGTAGAAGCCAAAGAAAAATGCTGATCCCTTGCTCCGAAGTCCATTCTTTCACACCCAGCTACCCCACACAGGGTGAGACTAAAGGATGTTAGTAAGCCCACTATAGTCAACAATCCCACCTCAAATAAATATACCATCTCAAAATAAATCGTAATTCTTTAAACACTACTTGCTCATAAGATAGCCCACAATGCAAAGTAAATTAGCTGAGTGAATCTTTCAGTAACTGTTGAAACTGTTTAGAAATCTTTAGCAAAACCTCTTTTGAAAGTTTATTCTCATGTTTATTCACACTAAAGAATAATAAGTGCAAAAACCAACAGAGATGATGCTTAGCGAAAAAAACTTTTATAGTAAGTAATTAAGTGAGAAAGCTGAAAAAGAATGCCTTATTTTGGTACTGGTTAGGATGGAGAGGAATCCAAAATTTGTTTTTAATTTTTTTGAAATAATTAGGAAACTGAAAGTCTGTAAATAAGAATCCAAGAAACCCTTCACTTTCCTCCCCCACCCCCCTTTGACTTCTGAAATACAGTGTAACTTTCTACCATCTGTTATTTTAAAGCAGAAACAGCAATGAACATATGGGCTTTCCCTCTCAAGCAGCTGTAGTGTAGTTAAAGTTATAATAATTGTCTTTCTGTAAGATAAATTTACATTAAAAACCTGGCCAGTTAAAAACAAATGGCTCAGCCTCAGAGCCTTCCAGAATAAAATTCAGAAATTCAGAATCATCTATGACATATTACATTCACAGATTTGGAGGAAATCCTCTAACTCTTGTGCTTTTACATTGAAGGTTACATAAATACAATTCGTGATGCCCAAATCAGTTTATACAACCAAAGAGTCCATAACTCGTGTTTTCGATTTTTCTTGATAAAAATGGTAGGCGCATCAGATGGTTCAGGAAGTCATATATAAAAACCAGCAACTAAGTTCTTGAAAGCAGATAATATAAATCCACTACTTGTGTGAATCACTGAACTCCAACCTAAATGCTCATTTATGAGAAAAAAATCACAATACATGTGGCGCACAAACTTCCATCTCAACTATATATCATATATGACTTTAATCTGAAAGGAATTCACAGCATATTTTGATATACATATTATGAAAAATAGGAATTCTACCTACCTTTATCTGGGTGATTCAAAATCATGACTCTCCTATGAGCTGTTCTAATCTTAGCCTTGCCAGCAGATGGGCTGTAAAAAGAAATTACAGTGCTTATAATAAATAGCATCAAATGCAGATTATAAATTAAGGGTTTATATGGGTTTCAAAAAATTATACCTAATGAGAATTTCACCATCTTGTGGACAAATATGAAACTACAGCTTTCCACTTAATTCCACTAACCATCAAAATAAATCATTGATTCAATGTTACATGTGTTTTTCTTCAGTCCTTTGTAATGCCAATCCTTATTCTCAATCAATTTAAAAAACAAAACAACATATAGGTTAGGGGAGTCAGCTTCTGCAGACAATACTGTAAGTTTGAAAACTTATGCTTCTAAGTTATTTGGGGGGAAGGCGGTATATACGGTGTAGCAGACAAGTATTTGGATTCCAGAGGCATACTGCTGGACTTTCCCCCCCCACCCCCCAAGAAGGAGGAGTCTTGCTCTGTTGCCCAGGTTGGAGTGCAGTGGCATGATCTCAGCTCACTGCAACCTCCACCTCCCAGGTTCAAGTGATTCTCCTGCCTCAGCCTCCCAAGCAGCTGGGATTACAGACGCGCGCCACCACACCCGGCTAATTTTTGTATTTTAGTAGAGACAGGGTTTCATCATGTTGTCCAGGCTGGTCTCGAACTCCTGACCTCGTGATCCACCCACCTTGGCCTCCCAAAATGCTAGGATTACAGGTGTAAGCCTCCACGCCTGGCACACTGCTGGATTTTAATGCCAGTATTGCCACTTAAGATTGTGTAAGCTTGATCAAATTTTTATCCTCTTGGTGCTTCAGTTTCCTCACTGTAAAACAGGGCTAGAGCAACTGTAAGGATTAAATGAGTTAATGCCTACGAAATGTTAGAACAGTACCTGGAATGTAGCAAGTGCTTCATTATAGTTATCTTTTACCTTTACAGAGGATCTCAAAACTCTTTATGTCTCATAGTTATTTAGCTTTGTGAAAAAAACCCATGGGAAAAGCTTGGCTGTTAAAGCCTATGCTGTAAACAAAAATTAAAGTAGATAATTAAATAATCCTAAAATTATTTGGGTAAAACCCAATGTATCCAGTATTGGAAATGTTGCTTATTAGTACATTTTCTAGGCAAGGGAAAAAAATTAACACTAACAACAACAAAATCCTACTACTGCTACTTAATAGCTATACTATCTTGTTTAAGCTACTTAACTTTTCTGAGTCTCAAATGGGGATAATAATAGTTGACTTAAAGCACAGTGTAATTATTGTAAAGCTCAAAATAATTTAATTTGCATGGATGAACCACAACATAATAGCTAAAAGCATGTGCTTTTACAGTTAGTCAGAAACAGGTTCAAATTCTTGATTCCACTACTTATTAGCTGTGAAAGTATGTCTTGCTTAAACTCAGTTGCAATTTTCTCATACGTAGCATACACGTAATAAAACCTACCCCCAGGTTTATTTTAAAGAAAAATTAGATAATATAAGTAAAAAGATTAACATAACCTAGCACACATGAAAGTAAAGGATGCTTATGAGACTGTATTAGATATCTCCTGCATTTTGAAAATAAAGTGTAAATAACCTAACTTAACATTTCTTGGATGGCTCACAGCATTGTCATTATTACCAATTAAACTCTCAAGGTCTGCAGATGTTTGCTTGTCCTCCTACTAAATGGACCTAGAATGTTATTCATTTAAGTTCTATTTTGAACAGTGCCTCCCCTATGCTATCAGCTGTCAATCCTTGATTCTGCTATTGTTCTAGTCTTTGGCAGTTCCTTGCTAGTTACTTGCTACCTCTGATCTGTGGGTAAGTGATAGATCACCAAGCACATTAAAATGCACTATTAATTGCTGAGTAGGCACATAAAATAGTCTTCCATGAGTAAAATGAATTAAATATTTTCCTATAAGGACTTAAGAGTATTCCTCTTGGCTGTTTACCTATGTCTTTGAAGCAGCATTCTAAACTTACTTTTTGGCTTGTAGGTACCTCCCAGATAAACAATTAAACATTGTCTGGTTAAAAGACTACTGAATTTTGAGAAAATAACTGTTAAACATCATACCAGAGGTATGAACACTATACTGTTTAACTGCCTATTAAGAAACAAAAAAAATTACACTGAAAAATTACAGCTCAATGATTTCGATTTCTGTGGCTAATCTACATTTATCAACTCCTTTTTTTGCTACACAGGTGCTCTGTGGCACATCTTGCCTTTATTACTTATGTTTTCTAGCTGTTCTGTATGTATTTGGCATGTTGTGTTAGGTAGATTCTAAATAACTTTAGGGCTGAAACTATGATTTGTATCTTAAAATAGAAATTAGGATTGTAGGCCGGGGGCAGTAGCTCACGCCTGTAATCCCAGCACTTTGGGAGGCTGAGGCGGGCAGATCACAAGGTCAGGAGATCGAGACCATCCTGGCTAACATGGTGAAACCCTGTCTCTACTAAAACTACAAAAAATTAGCCAGGCGTGGTGGCGGGCGCCTGTGGTCCCAGCTACTCGGGAGGCTGAGGCAGGAAAATGGCATGAACCCAGGAGGCGGAGCTTGCAGTGAGCCAAGATAGCGCCACTGCACTCCAGCCTGGGTGACAGAGCAAGACTCCGTCTCAAAAAAAAACAAAAAAAAGAAATTAGGATTATATATCGTACAAGTGCTTAATGCATTTTACATCACCCTCCAAAAATGACTGTAAAAAGGTAAACTCCTTAAAATAACAAATACTCCATATTAGTAAATACTAATATTATAAAGGATTACTATGCAAATAATTTTAAAGTAAAAAAGGGGGAGCTTTAAAAACCTATTTCATAAATTTCATCACCATGTGGCCCTCTAAATAATGAGATAAGTTCAGTAAAATCCAAATTTCATATATATATACACACACACACATATATATACACACATATACGCATACGCACATATATGTGTGTATATATATATATATAGGTGAATGTTCTGCTGAACCATTGTATTTTTTTAGAAGATATATGGCAAGGTCCATTTTATTCTAGATATTAAGTTTTAGTTGAGCACATAATACAAAATCTGAAAATTACTCCGTCAAAATTTCCTTGATAATTAATTACAATGCTCTGAAAATCAGTTCCACATAGTTTTGTACATAAAACTCCACAACGCATTATGCATACTGAGGTCCACCAACCACTGAACTAAAGTAAACACAAGGAAGGAAAGTTCATATGCACAAGTATGGCATTCAAAACACTCTGCCTTTAAGATAATAATGATCAGACTCCTAATGGTGAGCTCTGGAAATGAGACCTATTCTGCTTTGCTGGCAGTGTTTATTTCCTTTTAGTTATTATTATATTAAGTCTCTTGGACCTTAATACATTTTAATATTAATACATGTTTGTTGCTGTAAAGATTAAACAACATGAGAGAAGCCTAGTTTTTAAGCTTAGTATAAAAACTAAATGTAGCTATGATGATATACCTCCAGTATAACTTTAAATATGATGGTACCTAGACCAGAGATTTCAAACACCTCCCTAGAATGCATCTGGCTGGCAGTGGGGGTATGTGGAGTGGTGTTCTTGGACCTTCTGGCAAATGGAGCAGTTTTGGTTTCATCTTTTTTTTTTTCTACTACTGAGCTTTTGAGTAACATATAGTGATATGGTTTGGCTCTGTCTCCACCCAAATCTTATCTTGAATTATAGCTCCCATAATCCCCTCATGTCATGGGAGGGGAACCGGTGGGAGGTAACTGAATGATGGGGGCGGGTTTTCCTGTGCTGTTCTCATGATAGTGACTAAGTCTCATGAGATCTGATGGTTTTATAAAGGGCAATTCCCCTACACATGCTCTCTTGCCTGCTGCCACTATGTAAGATGTGCCTTTGCTCCTCCTTTGCCTTCTGCCATTATTGAGGCCTCCCCAGCTATGTGGAACTGTGAGTCCATTAAACCTCTTTTTCCTTATAAATTACCCAGTCTTGGGTATTTCTTCATAGCAGCTTGAGAATGGACTAATATAGTTTATAAACAGAATTCTACAAAAGTTTTTAGAAAGCTTAAAAATCATAAATGTGCCAGGCATGGTGGCTTCTGCTTGTAATCCCAGCACTTTGAGAGGCTGAGGCAGGCGGATCACAAAGTCAGGAGATCGAGACCATCCTGCTAACACGGTGAAACCCCGTCTCTACTAAAAATACAAAAAATTAGCCAGGCGTGGTGGTGGGCGCCTGTAGTCCCAGCTACTTGGGAGGCTGAGGCAGGAGAATGGCGTGAACCTGGGAGGCGCAGCTTGCAGTGAGGGGAGATCGTGCCACTGTACTCCAGCCTGGGCAACAGAGCAAGACTCTGTCTCAAAAAAAAAAATCATAAATGTGCATCATTTCATATAATACACAATACTGTTGATAGGTTCTTAAAAACTGTGATTTTAAGCAAAATGATGTATGGCAGGTCCCTGAATAATGTCATTTCCTTCAACATCCTTTCATTGATTTAAAAAATTGGTTTCATTATAGTCATTTTGTTTAAAGTCACAGTTTACAAGAACCCATGGGTGATATTAAGTGAGGACTTACTATACCAGGTATAAAAACAATTTTCCTGGGCAGCTTTGTAAAATAATTCAGGCTTTTTGTTACAGACATGAGTCATATTGCAGGACACTATTCTCTTGCAAGGAAAAACATAAGGCAAAGACTCAAATACACATTTCAATAAACAATTCTCATATGCAATATGTCAGAATGTATAGTATCATCTAGAACACATACAGTATTTTTAAAATAGGTTATCAAAAGGATCGGCTCCATTTTGCCTTCACCTACCTGTTATATAGTCTACACAGCTGAGATTCAATGAATATACTCACATCTTAAAATTATCTTGTCATAATCAACATTGCCTGACTGAAAAGAAAGGGCTAGAGGAAAGCAGATAAGTTTCATTTACCTTTCCACTTAATGTGTTAGGACAAATATCTAGCTTCTGCGTTCGTGACAGACATGGAAAGAAACAGGAGCCAAATTTTTTTCAGCACCTGATATTTGGTAGGTATTATGTAAAAAGGTATCATCATATCATTCTTATATTATTCCAACAAGGCAGAATATTATTACTCTCAATTCAAAAATGAAGAAGCCAAAGTATAGAAAAGCTAAAAACAAAACAAAACAAAAAAGCTTGACCAAGATCATACAGGGCAGCGCCTAAGCGACAGACTCAGGGCAATAATCTGCTTTGCTTGGCTGCTATTTATTGAGTAGTTAGTAAGTACCATGTGTTGCAGACATATGTTCACTGTGGCAATATTTACAACAGCAAACATATGGAATCAACCTAAATGCCCATCAGTGGTAGACAGGATAAAGAAAATGTGGTACATAAACACCATGGAATACTACGCAGCCACAAAAAGTAATGAGATCGTGGGCTTTGCAGAAACATGGATGAACTGGAAGCCATTATCCTCAGCAAACTAATGCAGAAACAGAAAACCAAATATCACATGTTCTCACTTACATGTGGGAGCTAAATAGTAAGAGGGGAAAAACAGACACTGAGGCCTACCTGAGGGTGGAGGGTAGGAGGTAAGAGAGGAGCAGAAAAAATAACTATTGGGTACTAGGCTTAGTACTTGGGTGACAAAATAATCTATACAACAAACCCCTGTGACACAAGTTTATCTTTATAATAAACCTGCACGTGTAACCCTGAACCTAAAAGTTTAAAAAAGAAAAAAACTTCCAAAAAAAGAAATTCACATATATTATATAATTTAATCTTCACGGCAACTTTATGCAGTTAAAACTAATCTATTATCTCTATTTTACAGATGATTAAACTGGGGTCACCCATTTAATAGGTGTTAAACTGGTATTTGTACGCATATATACTTGATACCAGAGTCTGTGCTCTTAATCACTGAATTTTCCAAGTGAATTTTATACAGCTTTCAGTTCTATGGGATAAAACTTTATAAATATATATCTTAAGAGAATGTAAAAATACAGTCAACTCCTGTCTGTCCTAACAACGTAAGTGCCCTGCATAATATTAAAGGATATCCTCAAAAACCTTTGTACTTGGTTTTATAATGTTTTATACTCAGATTTCAAGATAATCAACAGGGTATTTTGGGAGGCCAATAAAAGTTCAGGAAAAATAACAATGCCATTCTGAATGATATTAAGCAAGAAATAGTTGGCAGTATAGCAAACTTCCTAATCTGACCCTCATGCTTAAAATCATTTCCTATTTTCTATTGTCTGGTAAGGAGAGATCTCATCTAAGAAGAGATGAGATCTCTTAAATAAAGCACCAAACTAAACTGGGCTCCTCCTCCCAACTCTTGTTTTTTCTGCTAGGTCATAAGAAATAATAAAATGTTTTGGCTTTTTAAAAAATCTTTAAATTTTAAAAAATTTACAAGATATCAAAACATTTTTGTCAATACAGGACTTTATTATCTAATTTGCTTAATTGTGTTGATTATATCATCAGAAGATTTGTTGTACATGACATACTGTAACCAATTCCCACAAAAACTTGAGAGTAGGCTCTAAGGGAACATATGGTAAACAAATGATTATCATAGGGGAAAATATTCTTAACATTAAATGTTAAATGATATCACACAGCAATTATATAATATCATTAATTTTCTCTCATATTGTCCAAAGTTAGACAATAAAAGGATACTAAGGTGAAACAAGCACAATAAATATGCTTGATGTCACACTGCAGAAGCAGAAAAGAACTATGAAACATATCCTGGATTATAATTAACAATATGATATCAAATTATAAAACTGAGTCTAGAGAGAATGTCACAAAAAAGGATATTTTGGTTAACTGAAACATCAGTATTCAAATATTATAGATCCTTGTTAAAGAATAAAGGTACTTCACAACTTTGCCTGTTTTTTTGTTTTGTTTTGTTTTGTTTTTTTAGGGGAGTGGGATACTTTTAGATTTGAGGCTTTAAAATATAAAAATTTGATATTTTCTCCTCTGCCACCTACTCATAATTTTAAGTCTAAGTATAACCTTATTGTAACGTTTTCTCTTTTTTAAAGACAAGCTTGGCCACACAACAAAACAATACTTATGCTGCACACCTACCTTACACCTAAAATAAGACCAGCTTCTCGCCTACTCATTTTCTGTTCAAATCCTCCTTTATAGTAGGATGAAAAGCTCTGTATAGGAAAGAAAGAGCAAGAAATCATTAGTTCCACGTATGAGGTGGCATGACCTCAATCTCATCATGTAGCTGCAGTGAGAGTAATGCATTTTACTAGAAGTCAACTCAAAATTATGGGGCGGGGGGAAGCACCAAACAATGAAACTTTTCAAGAAATTTTGACCAATATGAAGTCTTAAAAAATACTAACTTTTTTTCACTTTAAAACAGATTAATTTTTCTACACCAAGATACAACAGAAAGAACAAAACAGACTGGTAGAAGCAAAATGCTTGAACTTTTTCTAAGCTCTGTAGTACTTTTCTCATTGGATAACCTTGATGAAGTCATTTAATGTTGATATGGCAGACATCGTTTAGCCTACCACACTAGCCAACAGAGAATGGGGAGGAACTAATGAAGAGGGGAGTATGTCACACTAGCAGACAGGCAAGCCAAGAGAGGCTGGGAAGCTGGATTAAAAGGTTTCAATGCTGCTGGAGAGGCGTGAACAAGGAGAAAAGGAGGACTCGAGATATAATGGGAACCAGACTGTGGATGGCCTTGTAAACAATGGAAGGAATTTAGAATTTTAAGTGGGAGGAGAAGCCAGAGCACTGGAATAACAATCTAACTTCGATTTAATCTAACTGCCATGTAGAGAATAGAAAGGTGCAAGAGTAGAAGTAGCAGACCAGTTCAGAAAACATAACAATAATCCAGACAACAGATGATGATGGTATGAACTAAGGCGGTAGCAGAGGAGGTGATAAAAGTGGTTAGATTCTGGATGTATATTTAAAACAGAACTAACATTTCCTTGATGGATTGAATTTGGGATATGAGAAAAAGAAAAATTAAGAATGATGTTGAGGACACTGTTATGTGCTCATCAGATCCCCATCAGGCGTGAAGGACTTACTCCCCAGACACTGGGGCTGTGGCTGGCTGATAGCTCCCAGCTGTCAGACACTTTAGGAATTGCCTTGCCTAAAGGAAGTCAAGCTTATCCCACTTTGCAGGGCAGCCTGTATCTACTGACTGGTTGACATGGGATAGAAACATTGTATTTCTCTAGGGTTCAGTCCTTGGACTTCTTATATATATGCTCACTTCCTGGGTAATGTCATTTAATCCTATGACCCCTTGCCCCAACTTGGGATAACTACAATGAGCCATCCTTGCTTAGAGGTTATTGTGAGATTGGCTGAGGCTTTTGTAGGAATGCACTGAAGCCTAACTTGTCCTTCCCTTTCTTTCTGGAGTTGTTTATGCTAAGAGCACTCTTTAATAAAAGTATAGCTTGCTAATCTTTATCTCACTCTGCTTTCCAGAGAACCCAAGCTGTGCAAATGACTTCAAGGTTTCTGGCCTAAACTGCCAAATTGCCATTTAATGACTGAGGAAAGGAGCAGCTGTTTATTTGTTGTGAATAACAGACATGAGGAGAATGATTTCGGATATACTAAGTTTAAAATGTCTTAAATATCCAAGTGGAGAATGTCTGACTTAACATCAGACTTTACATTTGAGAGTCATTAGTGTACAGATAGCATTTAAAGCCATGAGACTGAAGTAAGATGGTTTAAAAATTAGAAGTCCAAGGAGTCTTCCCTAAAGACTGCAACACTTTGTGGTATAGAAATGGAGAGGAATCAGTCAAGGAGGCTGACAAGGCCTAGCAGTAAAGGAGGATGGTAACTACAAGTCAAGAGTGAGGAAATGAAAAATGGTTTCAAAGTTTCTAATAGGTAAAGTAAAATGAGAGCCACAAACTGACCTCTGGATTTAGCAAAGAGGACATCAAAAACTGAGAAGAGCTGCAGAAAGTGAGGTGAGCGTATGATTAGAGTGTATTTAAGACAGAATGGAAAGAAAGGAATGGAGACAGCAAGTAAAGACACTATTTTCAGTAGCTCTAAACAGAGAAACAGGATGTATAAACTTAGCTTTTAGGAGGAAACATACACATATATGATTACAGGCATTAAACGTTTCTAAGCATGAAACCATTTCCTTACAAAAGTAGGGAAAAATAGGTATGCTTACATGAAATAAAATCTGAAAGCATATAACTTTAAAGTTATTTTTAGCTGGTGGGATTATAATTTTTTCTTTGTTTTTAACTTCTAAATTTTCAACAATGAGCACAGGCTATTTATACAATTAAAGAAAGAAGAATACTAAAAGAAACTAAGGAAATGACTAGAGCTTAAAAAATGGGTTCTAGGGAGTCAGATCTGGCCATTTATATAAGCTATACTCTTTGAACAGCTTATTATAAATTTCTACTTGGTAATAAATAATTCCTGGCAATTAATTCATTCAATAAACACTTCAGCAATTGCTGTGTACCAGGCACTTTTCAAATGAGAGATCAAGGACTGTCCTTCATCACACAGATGCTAATCTATCAATGAATCAATACTGTGAGAATATAATATACTCTCCAAGTTTCAAGTAATTTATAATCCAGTAAAAAAACAAATAGTCCCCCACCCCTGACACAAGTTTTGAGGAGAGGAAGGATAATCAAATTGGGTTAAGCACACATACTAACCTGAACAAATTTTATATCTTTCTAAACATACATAGAGAGTATGCACATATATAAAGAGAGATAGAGAGAGAAATACAGATACAGATACAAATGGAAAGAAGTAAGGGGGCCGACTGTGGTGCCTCACGCCTGTAATCCCAGCACTTTGCGAGGCTGAGGCGGGCGGATCACCTCAGGTCAGTTAGAGACCAGCCTGGCCAACACAGTGAAACCCCGTCTCTACTAAAGATACAAAAACTTAGCTGGGTGTAGTGGTGCATGCCTGTAATCCCAGCTACTCTGGAGGCTGAGGCAGGAGAATCACTTGACCCTGGGAGGTGGAGGTTGCAGTGAGCTGTGAGTGCACAGCTGCACTCCAGCCTGGGCAATGGAGACAGACTGTCTCAAAAAACGAGGGACTTAGAGGAATAGGGGCTGGTTTTAAGGTTTCTTTCAGGAAACCAAAATTTTTACTAGATGCATACGTTACTCCCTAAATTAAAGGTAATTAGTTGATTTAGTCATAACAAAACAGAAGTATCACCAAATATTTGCTCCTACTTTTGTTTTTAAATCATGCCTGAACTACTACATAGAATAATTCTTTATTCAGGAAAAAAATATTTCAATGAGTCTTTATTTACCTTAGGGAGCTCTAAAATTTGGAGCCAGCATAATAAAAAAGATAAATTTATCATGTTTCATAAACTGTCATTCCCACTATAGTCACCAAGCTCATTAATCTTAAAAGCAGGTATTGGTATCTGAGCAATTTTTTCACTTTCAGTTTTGCCCAGGTAGACATAGAGTTTCAGAAAAGGCTGCCAAAAATCTAGTGTCGGGAAGAAGTTCATATGAACACTGATTTTATTACGAGTAAGTCAATCTGTATATACATATAATCAACACAACCCTTCCAAAAAGATCTAGACCATTTTGAGAATAGAGACTTAACATGTGGGGCTGGGTGCAGAAAAGTATACAAAGAGAAAACAAAAAATTGCTATGTTACACACTACTAAAATACATTCAACCCTCAGTATCTGTGGGTGACTGGTTCCAGGACCACTCATACTAAAATCTGCACTCAGGCACCACGGTCAGCCCTACAGAAACCACAGATACAAAAAGTTGGCCTCAGCATAGGTGAGTTTTGCATCCCATGAATACTACATTTTTGATCTACATTTCATTGCAGACATGGAGGGCTCATTGAGTTTATTTTTTAAAATCATGATTAAGTGGACCTGTGCAGTTCAAACCCAGGTTGTTCAAGGGTCAACTGTATTTACACATTTCTTCAGAGAAAATCATGCTTCCTAAACTTCTAGAAAATTTAGGTCTTATATAACTTTAAATAGAACAAAACTGTTATCACAGTATTTTAATCCATTATTATGTTTGAATTAATATCTATGTCATGAGAAAGCACAAAATTGTAACTCTGTACTCCTCCCCACTAATAAAACTGAAAGGTCCTTTTAAGCTTGAAAATAATATACCCACATTGCATTATATTAGGACTTACAGGTATAAGCCACTGCAGAACCATTTTCTGACAACACTGTGGTAGGTCAAAGAAAATGTTTAGATCCAAAAAATGAGATTACTGTAAGGAACAAGTATACCATCAAATAGATGGAGTAAATGGTCCTTTTTTTCTGAAAACAGAAACACATCCTGGACCTTACAAATGATTATTTTGTACTATCCCATTCATAAAATATTGTATATATAAATGACAGAAATCAAAATCATTTTCCTTCTAAAATTAGCAATAAATGCTATAGTGCCATGTTAGATTATTTTGTGTCTCCTTTGCTAAGTTAAACCAAAGTATTCATTAGCTAATTCATTCACTCAATAGCCTGAAACACAAAAGTCCTCCAGACAACTAGAGAAGAACTGGATCATCCCATAGTTTTAAAAGAATACATTTATCATAAACTATAAACTTTATTATGTACAATAATCTATTTGATTTAAAGCTAACAAAGGATGATTTAATTAGTATATTTTTCCATAAATTTCACTTGATCATAAAACAAAATAAATGCAATTTAAAAAATTATATTCAAATAAAAGGACAGATTCACAAATAGAAAATTCAAAGCCTCAAAAAAAAAAGAAGAAGGATGGGTTTTCTCCCCCAGAAAAAAATTTAAGGGTAATTAGACATTGGCTGAGTCAATAATATACATTAATACATTAATTTAAAAAAAAAACAAAAAAACAAGCAAAAGGGCACTTGTTCAAAAGAGCAGACTGAATCATAAAGATCTTTTGCTTTCCGAAGTGCCTTTGAAATGAGTAAAGACACTGTAAATTTTAAAACACCCTTAATAGGCCTAGAAAACAAGAAATGGGATAAATAGCAAACCAGAAAGTTTAAAGAAATCCTAGGTAAAATTTGCATGTACAGAAAAATCCCAGCAGCTTCAAACATCAGAGAAAAAAAGAAACCCTTTTCAGGAAAACAAGAACACTAAATTCAGAGTCAACAACAATAAAAAAATCAGCGAAACTTATTAAACCAGAACAATATAAACAGATCATTCCTACTCTACTCATATAGAGCATAAGAGGCCAGGTACCTGTCATGCCCTCAGGCTGAGAAAGAGAACCATATGCCTCTTTTTCTGATACGCATCTTATTTTGGGTGGTAGGTACTAAGAGAACCAAAGAGGCATACCAGCAGATCCCATTTCAGAACCCAGAAGCCTAGGGAGGTGAGAAGCTATGCCAAGGAGTAAAATATACACGGTGCTCAACCTCTCCTGGACTCTCCAGGTACCAATGCTGCCTTCTAGTCTCCTTGCTCTGAAAGACATGCCTGTTAACAAACCCACCTATGTTATTTACAGCCCACTGTCAACACTGTCATTCAATTAAGCTGTTGAAGCAACCCTACCAAACTGCTGAAGAAAAGTCAAGAACATTACTTCTATTAGTCAATTTAGTCATCATAAATATGAATCAACAACCAAGGATCACTGGACATTTGAGCAAACCCAATTATCATGGAGGGGAAAAAAAGAACCAATATGAACACATAACAACTGACTTTAGGAAAAGGAGATAAATTAGGAAGCAGAAGAGAATTTGGCCAAATGCTAATTAATGGCTTTAGAAATATTCAAAAGGATACCACATTAATTAAAAAATGGGTTGCCAGAAAAAAGAAACAAGAAAGAATCCTTGGAAGTTAGAAAATTACTAACGTTGGCCGGGCGCAGTGGCTCACGCCTATAATCCCAGCAATTTGGGAGGTTGAGGTGGGTGGATCACTTGAGGTCAGAAGCTCAAGACCAGCCTGGCCAACATGGTGAAACTCCATCTCCACTAAAAATACAAAAATTAGCTGGGAATAGTGACGAGTGCCTGCAATCCCAACTACTTAGGAAGCTGAGGTAGGAAAATCACTTAAACTCAGGAGGCAGAAGTTGCAGTGAGCCGAGATTGCGCAACCGCACTACTAGGCTCTGTCTCCAAAAAAAAAAAAAAAATGCTGATGTGAAGAATTCGGTGGATAGATGAAAAACAGAATAGACATTGCTAAAGGCCAACCTGGTGATCTGGAAAATAAGCTGTGAAAATACTGTAGAATGAAGAGCAAAGAAAGATAAGGAGATGGAAAATAAGAGATAAAATGGTAAGAGACATAGAGGACAGACATCTTTTTATCAGGTCCAACATCTTTCTCATCTCTCTGTTCAGAGTTCCAGAAGCAGAAAAGAGAGACAATGAAAGGAAGAAATAATAAAAGAAAAAACTGTAAGAAAATCTTACAGAACTAAAGACCATTTTCAAATAAGTTAGGGCTCACTAAGAATTCTTGTGAAATTCCAGAACATCAGTAAGAAAGAGAAAATCCTACAAACTTTCAGAGCTAAAAATAAAAGCCACCACCACCAAAATGTAAAACCCCAAAACCCAAACAACAAAAGAAAACCAAAACAATAGGTTGTCTACAATGGAATAAGAATAATAAGACCACCAAAAAATCTAGCTGTGAGTATGCAGGAATGCGGGAGTTCAGGCACTAAGGCTTAGTCTCAGCAGAGATTTCTATACTTCTCTAATGTTGGCTTCACCAGATTTCAAGGAGCTAGCAGCTGATAATTAACAGTGAGAACAAAAGAAACAAACTGTTTAACAAAGCAGAAAATACATTTACCATCCATGCATTCCATATAAAAGACTTATCCAAGGCACTATTTCAGCAAGATGAAAAAAAAGTATGAAAAAGAGATAAGATTGAAAAACAACATGTTAAAGCTTAGAGAAAGCAAATAAAGTTTAAAGAAACAAGGAAAAGAGACCCCCCGTTGAAACTTGAGCCTTGGACAATCTTTTTTGAATGACAGAGATTTAGTGACCCACAATTACAGTTCCTGTCTTTTTAGTAACCCTATTTGGTTCAATAATTAATAATATTTACAAAATCAAAACACTGTGTATACTGTGTTTATGAGGTGTGACACTGGGATTCATTAGTACCAACAGAAAGTATGCACATATTTCATTTCTCAGTTTCCCTGGAAATGATTACTAGTTTTAAAATTGTTTAAAAGTACTTGCATCTTTCCTGAGGTAAAAATATAATTATGATTATGACAATGATAAAGATATTCTAAGATGTTTTACTGCAAACTCTTAAGAGTAGCACTTTGTGAAAAAGAAGCCAGATTTATTGAAGGCGAAGTTTCTTACCTTGAGCCCCACAAAGAGGGAAAAGGGGGTACACACATCATTTCCCTTTAAGAAACGCAGGTACCAGGCTCAGACTCTTAAGTAAGGCTCCTCTGAGATGAGGGAGCAGGTCATATGAGCCACTGAATAAAGAGTTTACATGAGTATATCCCTTATAATCTCTTGAATTACCCGGCCTTATCTGTAAGCCTCTACCAACTACTGAAGATTTTCTCATTTTCTTGCTCTCTCTTCCTTTACAATGTTAAATAATGTAGTTTTGCACAGCTTGGTAATTTTCTATTTACACTATATTGAAGATCACCGTAACAGAAAAGAAACGATTTCTGAAATTCTTTCCATTTATTATTTATAAACATATGGAAATATATAAATAGAATTCATTTAAAGAACTATGTTACTGTGTCCATTGCTACTACTCTATTTCAAGCCACCATCATCTATCACCCGGACTATCTCAATACCCGCTTACTGGTTTCACAGCTTCTACTCTGGCTCTAAGGTAGCAAGCAGAGTGATAACTTAAAATACAAATCACATTGCCTCCATGCTCAAACCCTTCCAAGGGCTTTCTTTCACGCTTAAGGTAAAATTTGAAGTTTTTTTTCATTGTCTATTAGGCCCTAAGGGATCTGGGCCCAAGCTACCACTATTCCCTTCATATACTCCTTTGGAGTTACTCTTGCTGCTAGACTCATTTGCACCTCAGGACCTTTGCAGTGATCCCACCACCTAGGAAGCTCTTACACCAGAGGCTTGTATGGCCTGCTCCCTTATCTTCTTGGAGAAACCTTACCTGGCCTATCTAAGGTAAAGATTCCTCATTGCTGTTACTCTTTAACCTCTTACCCTGATTTGGTTTTCTCAAAAGCACTCGACACTTTTAGGTATTATATATCTTACTTCATTTTTTTTTTTTTACACTGTGTCTCTCCACTAACATGTAAGCTCCTAGACGGCAATGTCTTTGGTCCATAACTATATCCCACTGTCTATGGTAATGTAGTATGTAGTAGGTGCTCAAAGAATATTTACTGAATACCTACCAATATTTTAGCCAAATAAAATATAAATAGGAAAACAGAAAATACACCTATGTTCCCTCTAATCACAGACATGCATTTATAGGACTGTAAAATCACTTGCTGTTTTTTTGAATCTAAGTTTAATTATTTGTCAGTATGTCATCCTTTGGTGCTGTCATTATTCATGGCTAACTAAGCCTCACAAGCCTGTAATGTCTTTGCTAAAAGAAGCAATTCATTTTTTGTGACCTATACCATAATATAAAGATACTATACATAAACATTGAAAATTTCTGGTTTTATGATCATGAACTAGAACTTGATAAATTTAATAGCTGTGATAATGGTATTAACATGACATTCTGTCCTCCAATAAATTATAAATTTGGAAAAAATGACAGTCTTTCTGGTAAGTTTTGAAATATTTATTGAAATAACATATATAAAGTAGGTAGTTTAGTAGTTTTACATTTAGTAGTATTATATCAACTTTGACATAACTTACTTTCCCTGTTTAATTACTGTTCATTTATTTAATAAACATTTAGTGAGTCCCCATCCCTGTGCCAGGAACTCAGAATAGCAGAATAGCGGATGATCAACTTGGTTTGCAGCAATTTGACAATCTCAAGTCTCAACCAAGTTGATCTATCCCAGATCTGCTTCTGTTTCCCTGAAGCCAATGTTTACGCTGCAGGGCCTCACTGACTTTTCTTTATATTGTCTTCAGTGGTTACAAACTACAATCCATACTGTTGCTTTTACGGATACATACTCTCATTCATTTTTTCACTTACATTCAGCTCCCCAGAGTAGCTATAATGCTGGTACAAAAATGTATAATAAGTTCTACAGGATTTCATGGTTGAAATCTCATAATTTTATGTTTGAGATGGCCAGGCATGATGGTATAAGGGGACTAGTTTCAAATTACAAGATGGCATCAACTCTTGGATAAGCTTCATCAGGACAAGAACCATGTCTTCTTTGTTCATCAGCTATTCCAAGCTCCTGGCACAGGGATGGGGGACTCACTAAATGTTTATTGAATAAATGAACAGTAACTAAACGGGTAAAGTAAGTTACATCAAATTTGATGTAATACTACTAAACAGATTATAATAATTAGATGTCAAAACCAGGAATAAAGTTAGATATAAAAATAATGTGACCAATAACTTAAAAGAAACTGAGCCAGTAAATTAGACAAACTCACCAATGATATAGTGAAGGAAACAAACTTCTACAAACATTGGAAAATCCAAGACATTTTCTAAGTTAATTGAAATATGTCATATGAACAAAAATCAAAATGAGTCTTCTAACTAAAGCCACGTTTAACTTACAGGAGTTGAAATCTTCTTTGCAGTTTCTGTGATAACTTGTTCTAGAGGTTTCCAGATCCGAAATGCGTAGCGACCTAAATAGTAAAGGGAATAAAAGCAAATGTATTTTCTATAATCAAAATCAATCAACACCTTCAAAGTGCTTGCAACAGTATTTATTGATAGTTTATATATGTTATTGCAATAAGTATTTCAAAACTTACCAGAAAGATGGTCAATTTTTTCAAATTTTTAATTTATTGGAGGGCAAAATTTCATGTTAATACCATTATCATAGCCATTAAATTTATCAAGTTCTAGTTTATGATCATAAAACTAGAAATTTTCAATGTTTATGTGTAATATCTTACATTTATATTATGGTATAGGTCACAAAAAAAATAACATCCTAGTATTCTTTATACAACAAACTGTAAAGTCCTATTACATATAAAAGATACTTATAATACTAAAATGGTTAATTGTATTGCTTTTTATGATAATCACTTTGAAATATATAGAAAACAAATTATATTTATGATCTATACTACACAGAAATGGTTTTAATCAATTATCTCTAAAGTAAAAAAGCAATTACATATGAAATACTTACCAAGGATGTTAATTATCAATTTTTCTCACTGAGGATGGCTACTCTCTCTGAAAACTTATTTTTAGTTCTTTCCCTAGTTGGGAATCCCAATAATCAAAACTCCCCTGAGTTTTAACAACTAAGAGTCAATAGTAAAACAGGTTCTAAATTATTTTGAGGGCATCAAATAAGAGTAAAATATTATCTAGCTACTTTATCTTTTGCACCCCAATCAGATTGTGTCTTCTACTAGTATCTCTTTCTCCAAGAGTCTTGCTAGAAAACCAGTATATGACACTACAGGCTTTAATTCAACTTCTAACCATAAGCCTATTTGCAAATCAAGAGTTCTACTGCAAAAATTCAACTACCTATGTATACTGTTTTAGAAAAATTTACCTGCCTATGTATACTGTTATTCTGTGCAAACATGTTACAGTGAAAGACAGGATGCCAGAAATGGGAAAATGTGAAGATAAAAAGGTCTTGAGATAAAGGAGAACATTAAATAAAGTGAAATTAAATGAGGCTGATTCCCTAACTTGCCTGTATCTCTTATCACATAGATGTCATCTTCCATTTGATTTTATAATAGTATGAAATGTAGCTTTTATATTACCTCAAAATTCTTCAAAACCACAGTGACTGACTTCTAATCTCAGTTAAAAAGCAGTTAAATGCTTCAAGAAGTGACACCTGGAGGTTTACTCTAACTAGAAGACCTAGTTCTAACACATCTAAGTGTACTTTCTCCTAAATTCTATTATTTGGTTGTATTTGGCTCTGGAAGAGATCTTGTTGTTATTTAATATAATATTCTAGTCAGTAATACGAGTTTGGGAATGGTGTGGTCTATAAAGAATACACACACCAATTCTTGTCATTTTACAAAGACGACCCTGGAAAAAATACATCTTTATCTAATTTCAAATCAAAACCTTACATTTGAATTCATAACTATGCCTACTCTAATTAATACTAAAATTCCTTTATGTTTAGGGGCAAGTTTGTCAGAATTCTGTTTGAGACATGATATTCTTCTCATAAAACCTCAGAAATTCATTAAGTATAAGTTATATAACTGAGACATAAGACCTTGATGACAAAAACATCAAGAGAATCTGAACCACTGATCTAGATTTTAAAGTTCTGATTGTTGAAGTGTTTCATCATTTCCAAGACAAAAGGTTAAAATAGTGTTTTAAATGATAATTGTGAGAAAATAAATACCATACAAAACAAGACCCTCTTATTTCTCATTTTTCTATCAGATCTTACTAAACTCTATATAGCCAAAATGGAATGCAGCTCTGCCTAAAAGAGCCAATTAACAAGATCAAACCGATAGAACTTACAAACACAAATGCTAGAACAAAAAAGTAAATCTTTATCAATAAGGACATATTCTCAAATTAACATTTAATTAGGATATAGCTATGTAATTTAAAACTGCTGTAAGTTAATGACAGACTCAGCAAATTTACTTTAGATCTTCAGAACTATTCTTTCGAATGGGCCGGGCACGGTGGCTCACGCCTGTAATCCCAGCCCTTTAGGAGGCCGAGGTGGGTGGATCACGAGGTCAGGCGATCGAAACCATCCTGGCTAAATTTTGTATTTTTATACTAAAAATACAAAAAACATTAGCTGGGCATGGTGGCTGGCGCCTGTAGTCCCAGCTACTCGGGAGGCTGAGGCAGGAGAATGGCATGAACCCGGGAGGCGGAGCTTGAAGTGAGCAGAGATCGCCCCACTGCACTCCAGCCTGGGCAGAGCAAGACTCCGTCTCAAAAAAAAGAAAAACTAGCATTGTGCTGTGCTGAATAATGGCCTTCAAAGATGTCCATGTCCTAATCCTTGGAACCTGAGAATATGTTACCCTTATGTAATAAAACTGACTTTGCAGATGTGATTAGGTTCAGGATCTTGAGATGGGGAGATGATCCTTGATTATCCAGGTGGGCCCAGTGTAATCACAAAATCTTTTTAAGAGAGAAGGAGGAGAGTGACAGTCAGACAGAGGTTGGAAGATGCTAAGCTGTTGGCTTTGAAAATGGAGGAAGGGTCCATGAGCCAAGGATGAAGGCAAACTCTGTAGGCCAGGAAGGGTAAGGAAAGGGCTTCTCCCCAGAGCCTCTGGAAGGGGCACAGTCTTGCCCATTCCAAAAAAAAGAAAAAAAAAAGAACTATTCTTTCGAAAAACGTAATTTTAGCAGTGAAAAAAATTCCCCAGGGTTTATCAAGGTAATTATACCAATATGTTTAGAGACAAATCAATAAACTACACGGAACAACTATGCTCATGAGAAAGAACTGACAGCTTAAAATGTATAAACCTGTCTGCAAGAAAAAATAAATATGGGAGAATAAAGGCACTCCATGCCACTTACATTGCATAATATTAAAATTTCTTTTTATAGTATACTATACTTCAAACTGAAAAAAAATGCCAGGAATAAACTATTATTGGAGCTAGTTTTTCTGGCTTTTTATCACTAATTTTCTTCCCTATAAAGTTTATCTAGATTTTGCTACAATGACAAATGTTCAGTAACTACAAATGGTGGAAAGAATGAGAATGTATTATGTCTGAAAACCAAAACCTCAGAATACTAAGGGTCTACTCATGAATCACTGTAGATGCTATTTGGAAAGATTTCTCCTGCAATTTATTGGTATGTATTCTTTATCTTACCTGCAAATGCAAGAGCTGCAACACCCAGTCCTACAGCTATCAAACTTCTTACCTATGGAAGAAAAAATGAATATTACTTATGATGTAACATGCTGGGTTTTAAAAGTAAATCATTTTTAATAATGAGAATAATTACATTACAATACTACACTTTCTTTAAGCTCTACTGTGAAGATCAGGACTTAAAAAAATATGCAGTGTCTATGGGATTATATCTGCTGCTCACTGTATCAGCTAATTCTCAGTGAACTGATTCTAGATTTTCATTTAATTTCCATATATTTGAATCCACTCTAACCCAGAGCTTTTATACTACCTATTGCTATAATTTTTTCTATAGACGATTTTTAATAGGGGGTTTAATATATTTATCTTCTATAAAGATAAAAAGCACATATTTCCTCCTCCATATTTTACATTTGCAATGTTCAACAGCATTTGCTATACTTAAAAATTTCATGAAACCTTACATCAATGTTTAGGAAAGAAGTCAAGCTTCCAAACTTATCAAAAATGATAAAAAATTCAAAAGTTAAGGTCTACCTTCTAGACCAGTGTAAAAATTTTAAAATAAGGGTCCAAAATTCAGAATGTCAGATATAAGCTAATTCTGATGATAATTTATTTTAAATTGGCTATATACCCACAATATTCTGAGCTTTTCTCCTTAAACATCTCAGGAAACTATTAGTGTCACAATAACAAAAGATTTATGTGGCAAGGATCAATGGTAATCCTCAATATCCATTCTCTTTTTTTTTTTTTTTCAATATGATCAGGAATTCCTGTTTTTAGCTAGATATATTTTTCCAAGCCTCCCTTAGATTTAGGTATGGCTATGCTAACTAAGCGTTGGCACGTAAGATACAACCAGAGTAGTGTATGCAACTTCTGAGAAGTCCTACAGAGGGGTAAGGAGATGTCCTTCTCCATTTCTCCTTCCTGCTGGCTGGAATGCATACATTGCTGCTGGAGCAACCCTCTTGGATAAAGTAGGAAGAACAATGAGATGAAAAGACATTGGTTCCAGATGATCACAGAGCTGCCTTCCCATCCCTGAATTGCCTTTATTTATTAATACATGGGATAAAAATAAAAGTTCCATCTTCCTAAGCCACTATATTTTTGGGTTTTAGGCACTTGGAGCCAAAACAAATTCTAATGGATACAAAATTAAGAAGTGAAACCACAGAAACATTTTTGTCTGATAAATGGTGGGAGAGGCAAATCCTGAAGAGTCGGCAGAGACTTTTAAAACACTAGCATAATCTCCCTAGGGAACAGAATGAATAGACTTCTTCATTGGTGCAGACATAGTAAGATGGAGGCTGAGACTAAAGGGAGGCTAAAACCAAAAAGCCATTCAGCCATTGGCATTCAAGTTCTGTAGGGAAATATACACCAAGTCATAGGAAATCAAAGTCCCAACCTTCAAGGAATGACTCTATAATGAGAAACATCAGGTCAGCAAGGGCAGCCGCATGAAGGTGTTCTAACTTTAATATGCAAAAACTCTGAGAAATCTAGAGCCGGAGGACAAGAGGAAGGACTTTCCTCTAGGCTTCTCCCCTCATCAGTTCCAGTTTTAAGTCACACCTTTTCACAAGGCAATGACAGCAAGGCCATTTCAGTAAAAGAAGATTCATTCCCTGGCAGAGGAGCGAAAGCCTAGAGCTGCCTACCAGAGAGGCAAACTATCTTTGGGGTTCCTTTCAGGTTGTCTAGCCTGCCTGAAATAGGTTATTCCTGAATAGAAGACGTATTGATTTAAAGCAAATGTTCTGCTGAGGTATATTTTTGCCATTTTCTAGCGCTTCCCTGGTGCTACATATTTTGAGCTTTCTGGTGTTAGTCCAATCAAACTATTCAACTATTTAATATGTGAATTATATCTTCTTCCCTTATAATTTTGTTTATTCTTTCATCTCACTAGAAACACTCATCTTTGCCTACCCAAATCCTACCTGCTCTTAATACCTCAGCTTGAATCTCCCAGATGGCAGAAGTCATTTGCAACACATAGCTAATAGCACATATCCAAATATACACAGGCTTCCTCCAAATTAATAATAAAAAGACAACCAAATAGAAAACGGGCAAAAGACTAAGTCAGTGATTTCACAAAACACACACACAAAATTAAATGGCTAAAACATATGAAAAGGCGCTCAATTTCAAGAGTAACCAGAGAATACTAACAATAACAACAGAATGGTATAGAAATATTAATATCAGATTATAAAGATCTGTGGCCTTTGTGGAACTTGTTTTGTACAGTGATGCATCCCAACAGTATAGCAACAGTATTGACACGTTACAGGGTTATGTGAGGATAAAATATAAGAATACACGTAAAAGATTTAGCACAGTGACCTGGGACATGTCAAACAATCAGTAAATGTGAACTGCTTTTAATACTATCAATAAAAGCTGGACGCGGTGGCTCACGCCTGTAATCCCAACACTTTGGGAGGCCAAGACGGGCAGATCACCTGAGGTCAGAATTTCAAGACCAGCCTTGCCAACATGGTGAAACCCCGTCTCTATTAAAAATACAAAAATTAGCTGGGCATGGGAGCGTGTGCCTGTAATCCCAGCTACTCAGGAGGCTGAGGCATGAGAGTCACTTGAACCTGGAAGGTGGAGGTCGCAGTGAGCTGAGATTGTGCCACTGCACTCCAGCCTGGGCGACAGATGAGAGACTCTCTCAAAAAATAAAGGCTGGGTGTGGTGGCTCATGCCTGTAATCCCAGCACTTTGGGAAGCCGAGGTAGATGGATTACCTGAGGTCAGGAGTTTGCGACCAGCCTGGCCAACATGGTGAAACCCCGTATCTACTAAAAATATGAAAATTAGCCGGGCATGGTGGTGGGCTCCTGTAATCCCAGCTACTCAGGGGGCTGAGGCAGGAGAATCACTTGAACCCAGGAGGCGGAGGGTGCAGTGAGCCAAGACTGCACCATTGCACTCCAGCCTGGGCAACAAGAGCAAAACTCTGTCTCAAAAAAAAGAAAAGAAAAAAGAAAAATATAAAGTATTTAATTTTTTATAGATTAAGTATTGCAACATTTTTACTATTTCAACCATTCAAAAGATGAAATAGTTGCCTCCAAAATTTCAAAGAGATTTTTATTTCAAGTTTTGTATATAAGAAAACATTAAACCATCAGGCATTTGCTTGTTTTCCACTTTAACAATAAAAATTCAGTTTAATTCAACAAATAAGTATTGAGCACTCTGTTGATTATTTCCATTTGTCTCCCCCTAGACCCATTTTCTAGTTTTATCTGCCTTGCTCTGCATCTCTGCCTTGCCTTATTTCTAGGGATTCACTTGCCATTTAGCTTCTGGTTGGGTTTCACCAGTGAGAGGAAGCATCAGCAGAAAAAGAAAGAGTGGAAGGAAAGAGAAATAATGGCATAATTTATTCCCCATTTCTTACCTGCCTTGTTTCTTTTTTGGCCACAGCTCCTGTTGAGAAGGCTCCTCTTTCATGCCTACAACTCTCACTGAGTTCTGGAACATGATTTCTACCCTTGCCCTGTCACCTGGATGAATAACAGTTTCCAAGTGCTGCTAGTCCCTAAGTGATTCATCATCCTTTCTTGGTTATCTTAAACCATGGTCACACCTCTGAAAACAGTCCCTTCAATAAACTATCTTCAAAAAGAAAAAAAAAATCCACCTATTACTACCAGGATCCTCACTGATAAAATCATCACTACATACCAGTCACTGTATTGCATGTGAGAGACGGGGCATGCAACAGGGTAAAGTTGGCCCAAGGGTCTATATCATATGAGTCCTACATAGAAACTTGAACATGACAGGTAGGCTAATCTCCTAAATCTCTATGCTTATCTCCTAAAGATCTTGCTTTTTATCCTTATAGTTTAAACATTTGTCCACACTCACATCTCATGTGGAAATGTAATGAGGTGGGGCTTGGCAGGAGCTGCGTAGATCATGGGGGCAAATCCCTAATGAACGGCTTGGGCCATTCCCTTGGTGATAAGTGAGTTCTCGCTCTGAATACAAATGAGATTTGGTCATTGAAAAGTATGTGGCACCTCCCACCACACTCTCCCTCTCTTGTACTGCTTTCCGCCATTTGAAATGCCTGCTCCCACTTCACATATCCTGTACCACCATGATGTTATATGGGCAGAAAGAGGTTTCCTCACTATGCAAGGGTCCTCCATCATCAATGCCTCTTTAATAAAAACTCTTCTCAAAGCTGCTTTACTTCCAAAGGAAGCTGGAGTCATTCACTGCAAAGACCATCAAAAGGCATCAGATCCCATCGCTCAGGACAACGCTTATGCTGACAAGGTAGCTAAAAAAGCAGCCATCAAAAGGCATCAGATCCCATCGCTCAGGACAATGCTTATGCTGATAAGGTAACTAAAAAAGCAGCTAGCGTTCAAACTTCTATCCCTTTTCTCCTTCTCATCTGACCACTCCCACCCACTCCCCCACTGAAACTTCCACCTATCAATCTCTTCCCACACAAGGCAAATAGTTCTTGGACCAAGGAAAATATCCCCTTCCAGCCTCACAGGCCCATTCTATTCTGTCGTCATTTCATAACCTCTTCCATGTTAAGTTACAAGCCACTAGCCCGCCTCTTAGAACCTCTCATTTCCTTTCCATCGTGGAAATCTATCCTCAAGGAAATCACTTCTCAGCATTCCATCTGCTATTCTGCTACTCCTCAGGAATTTCTCAGGCCCCATCCCTTCCCTACACAACAAGCTCAGGGATTTGCCCCTGCCCAGGACTGGCAAATTGACTTTACTCACATGTCAGGAAACTAAAATACCTCTTGGTCTGGGTAGACACTTTCACTGGGTGGGTAGAGGCCTTTCCCACAGGATCTGAGAAGACCACCGCAGTCATTTCTTCCCTTCTGTCAGACATAATTCCTCAGTTTGGCCTTCCCACCTCTATACAGTCCAATAACAGACCGGCCTTTATTAGTCAAATCACCCAAGCTGTTTCTCAGGCTCTTGGTATTTAGTGGCTCCTGGTTTTACCTCAAACGTTTCTAATCCTTCTTCAACAAACAGTTGCTGGCTTTGCATTTCTCTTTCCTCCAAAATCACCAAGGCCTCGACTTACTGTTAAAGAGGACTCTGTATATTTTTTAATGAAGAGTGTTGTTTTTACCTAAATCAATCTGGCCTGGTATATGACAACATAAAAAACTCAAGGATAGAGCCCAAAAACTCGCCAACCAAGCAAACAATAACGTTGAACCCCCTTGGACACTCTCTGATTGGATGTCCTGGATACTCCCAATTCTTAGTCCTTTAATACCTATTTTCCTCCTTCTTTTATTCGGACCTTGTGTCTTTCGTTTACTTTCTCAGTTCATACAAAACCACATCCAGGCCATCACCAATAATTCTATATGACAAATGCTCCTTCTAACAACCCCACAATATTACCCCTTACCCCAAAATCTTTCTCCAGTTGAATCTCTCCAACTGTAGGTTCCCACGCCGCCCCTAATCCCGCTCGAATAGCCCTGAGAAACATCGCCCATTATCTCTCCATACCACCCCCAAAATTTTTCGCCGCTCCAACACTTCACTATTTTGTTTTGCTTTTCTTATTAATATAAGAAGACAGGAATGTCAGGTCCCTGAGCCCAAGCTAAGCCATCATATCCCTTGTGACCTGCACGTATACATCCAGATAGCCCGAAGCAACTGAAGATCCTCAAAAGAAGTGAAAATAGCCTTAACTGATGACATTCCATTGTGATTTGTTTCTGCCCCACCCTAACTGATCAGTGTACTTTGTAATCTCTCCCACCCTTAACAAGGTTCTTTGTGATTCTCCCCACCCTGCAGAATGCACTTTGTGAGATCCACCCCATGCCCGCGAAACATTGCTCCTAACTGCACCGCCTATCCCAAAACCTGTAAGAACTAATGATAATCCACCACCCTTTGCTGACTCTCTTTTCGGACTCAGCCCGCCTGCACCCAGGTGAAATAAACAGCCATGTTGCTCACACAAAGCCTGTTTGGTGGTCTCTTCACACGGACACGTGAGACACAAACATCACAAAAATCTGTATACAATTTGAGGGGATTCCGTGGGTTTTCCTGAAGTCCTTCAGCTCACAAGCTCCAACAGAAGAATCTTTCTTTAAAAAGAAAGATCCTGGGTGTGGTGGCTCTACTAAAAGTACAAAATTAGCCAGGCATGGTGGCGCACGCCCGTAATCCCAGCTACTCGGGAGGTTGAGACAGGAGAATCGCTTGAACCCGGGAAGCGGTGAGCCGAGATTGCGCCGTTGCACTCCAGCCTGGGCAACAAGAGCAAAACTCCGTCTCCAAAAAAAGAAAGAGAAGAAGAAATATAAATATATGAGCTCACTGAAGGATATCTCATTCAATCTTCAACTCCTAGAGCACATCAGAAGTTCTGTCACATATATTTTACTTTTTCATTCAATAATAATGTAATAAAAACTTGAGTTTTTAATAATAAAATTAATAGACTACTTCTAAAGACTTATTTTACAGAAGGAAAAACAAAGGCCTTGTAACCTTTAAAAACAACAAAAAGAAAAAAACGGTGGAGAGGAAGCTGGACTAACTTCCAGCTCCCACTCGGACGTGCAGAAACAGCATGTGGAGACTCACACCGTGAACTTTTGCTCCAAGAACTACTCCAGAAACATATCAGGAAAACCAAAAGAATTCACAGACCCTTTGAAAGCAGCAGCTTGCCATTGCAGACTCCATGAGACAGCAGAAAAACCGTTAAGTGCCCAAAGTGTGAGAGGGGGAGTCTGCCTCTGAACATGCATCCTCACTGGGGAACCTGAAAATCCAGGAAACAGTAGGATTTAACCTTACCTAGAGCTGAAGAGAGCTGAGCGAAAATTAAAAGTAGAAGCAACAGCAGGAAGAGCCCTATAAGCACTCCTGGTCCCCAGGGAAGCCATTTCTGACTTTATCTCACAGGGGTCCTTCGGGAGGGTTGCCACTGGAATTAGGGAAGGACCACAGGTAGAAGGAAAGTTCCAGATGAACTTTGTGATAATTTCAATTGAGCATGAATTTTCCTGGGAGGAATGGAGGAAGGGGTGGGAGAGGTTCAAACAGGAAGTGCAGATATGAACACAGAAGATGCAGCATGCAGGGAGCCTGAAAGCCATGCTTGCTTTCTCAGTGGGAGGCTTATAGCCTGGGGCAAATTCCCAGTGCTGAGAACCACACCCCCATACCCCACAGTGGCCACAGCAAGCCCTGCCCAAGGACAATCTGAGTCAGACAAGCCTCACCCTTCCCCAACCTGGTGATCCTTCTCTACACACTGCCGCCTTCCACCACCCACACCAACCCACCCCACAGCCAAAAACAAAGGACATAATCTCTTGGGAGCTCTATGTCCCCACCCATCAGCTGAGAAAACCAAATACTTATCCAGGTGATCTTAGGGCAAGCTTGTATCCCCCATACTGCTGCAGCTGATGCTCTCTTGAAAGCTCTACCTCCTGGCTAGAAGCCAACAAACTCAAGCCATTATAGCAACTCATAAAAGAACAACCACACTCTAAGAAAAAAGAAAACAGCTATTTCCACTGCCTGTAGCATCCTGGCTAACCAGAGGTCCTGAGTCTGTCCATGTAACAACTGTACTACTAGTACCCAGTATTCAAGAAAACCAACTCACTAAACAAAACTACAAAGAGTCCACTTCACTCCCATGCTACCTCCACTGGAGCAGGTGCTGGTATCTACAGCTGAGAGACTCAAACACAGATCACATCTGTGTTTGACTCTTTGCAGACACTCCCCAGTACTAGCCCAGAGCCCAGTAGCTCTGCTGGGTGGCTAGACCCAGAAGAGCAGTAACAATCACTGCAGTCTGGCTCTCCGGAAGCCCAATCCCTAGAGGAAGGGGGAGTGCACCACATCAAAGGATCACCCCATGGGACAAAAGGATCTGAACAGCAGCCTTTGAGCCCCAGATCTTTCCTCTGACGTAGTCTACCCAAACGAGAAAGAACCAGAAAAACAATTCTGGTAGTATGACAAAGCAAGGTTCTTTAACATCTCCAAAAGACCACACTAGCTCACCAGCAATGGATCCAAACCAAGAAGAAATCTCTAAATTGTCAGATAAAGATTTCAGAAGGTCGATTATTATGTTACTCAAGGAGGCACCAAAGAAAAGTGAAAACCAACTTAAAGAAATTTAAAATATAATACAGTATATGGATAAAAATATCCAGAGAAATAGATACCATAAAGAAAAAACAATCACAACTTCTGGAAATGAAAGACACACTTAGGAAATGCAAAATACACTGGAAAGTTACAACAGAATCGAACAAGTAGAAAAAAGAACTTCATAGCTCAAAGACAAGGCTTTCAAACTGACCCAAACTGACAAAGACAAAAAAGAATTTAAAAAAAGGAACAAAGCCTCCAAGAAGTTTGGGATTACGTTAAATGACATAACCTAAGAATAACTGGTGTCCCCGACAAAGAAGGGAAATCTAAAAGTTTAGAAAATGTATTTGAGAGACTAGTTGAGGAAAACCTCCCTGGCCTTGCTAGAGACCTAGACATCCAAATATAAGAAGCTCTAAGAACACCTGGAAAATTCATTGCAAAAAAATCATGTAGGCACAAACACAGGTTATCTAAAGTCAAGATGAAGGAAAGAATCTTAAGTGTTGTGAGGCAAAAATATCAGGTAATCTATAAAGGAAAACCTATCAGAGATTAACAGTAGATTTCTCAGCAGAAACCCTACGATCAAGAAGGAATCTGGGTCCTATATTTAGCCTCCTTAAACAAAACAATTTTCACATTCACATAATAAGATAAAGGGGTAGCAAAAGGTATTCCATGACAATGGACACCAAAAGCCAGCAGGAGTGGCTGTTCTTACAACAGACAAAACAGACTTCAAAGCAACAACAGTTAAAAAACACAAAGAGGGACATTATATAATAAAAAGATCAGTCCAACAGGAAAATACCACAATCCCAGATATATATGTACCTAACACTGGAGCTCCCAAATTTACTATTAGACCTAAGAAATGAGATAGATGGCAACACAATAACAGTGGGGGACTTCACTACTTCACTGACAGCACTAGACAGGTTATCAAGACAGAAAGTCAACAAAGAAACAGTGGACTTAAACTATACCCTAGAACAAATGGAATTAACAGATATTTATAGAACATTCTACCCAACAACTGCAAGAATATACATTCTATTCATCATAGAACATTCTCCAAGATAGACCACAAAATGAGTCTCAGCTGGGCACAGTGGTTCACACTGTAACCCCAGCACTTTGGGAAGCTGAGGCAGGTGGATCACCTGAGGTCAGGAGTTCAAAATCAGCCTGACCAACATGGTGAAACCATGTCTCTACTAAAAATACAAAATTAGCCAGGCGTGGTGGTGCATGCCTGTAGTCCCAGCTACTTGGGAGGCTTGCTTGAACCCAGGAGGTGGAGGTTGCAGTGAGCTGAGATTGCACTATTGCACTTCAGCCTAGGCAACAAGAGCGAAACTCCTTCTAAAAAAAAAAAAAAAATTAAAAAACAAGTCTCAATAAATTTAAGAAAATCAAAATTATATCAAGTACTCTCTCGGACCACAGTGGAATAAAACTGAAAATCAACTCCAAAAGGAACCCTCAAAACCATGCAAATACATAGAAATTAAATAACCTGCTCCTGAATGATCTTTGGGTCAACAATGAAATCAAGATGAAAAATAAAAAAGTATTTGAACTGAACTGACATTAGTGACACAACCTACCAAAACCTCTGGGATAAAACAAAAGCAGTGCTAAGAGGAAAGTTCATAATATTAAATCAAAATGTATGTAATACATCAAAAATTCTGAAGGAGCACAAATAGACAATGTAAGGTCACACCTCAAGGAAAAAGAGAAACAAGAACAAACCAAACCCAAACCCAGCAAGAGAATAGAAAGAAGGATCAGAGAAGAACTAAAGGAAATTGAAACAGCAACAACAACAAAACAAAAGTGAAACAAAAACTGGTTCAGTTCTTTGAAAAGATAAGTAAAATTGGTAGACCCTTAGATTAACCAAGAAAAGAAGAGAGAAGATCCAAATACGCTAAATTAGAAATGAAACGGGAGATACTGAAGCAGCCTCGTTGTCTGGGGTAAATACCAAGGCTCTTGGTCGAACAGTCAAGGAGACGGAGGTCGCGAACACACACTACACACACAGACTTGAGTTTGGAGCAAAGTTGAATAGGCAAAAAGAAAGAACAGCTCTCCCTTGAAGAGATGGGTCCCGAGTGAGTTGCTTAGTAAAAATGTCAGGGTTTTTATAAATGGGCTAGTGAGGAGGGAGTTAGTGGCAGGTGGCGGGGGTGGTGCCAGTGAGGAGGGGATGTCTTATCCTCCTAGGGCCTGACGATTTAGTTGGGACCAGGTGTGCTATCTTTATAGAGCAGAGTTTTTTTTTTTATCAGCTCTCACTTTATTCCTGGATCACATGGGCAGACTTAGTCTGTGATGCCTTCTTTTGCTTATCTGAGAGGGAGAGTTTCTGTGTCTGTTCCCAGACATCTTCTTGCAGCTGCAGGCATCCCCCCAACACCCCTCCCCCACGACGTCTCCACCCCCACCTCCCCAAGTCCACTTTTAGCTTCTCTATCTTGATGTCCTAAAGGGAAAGGAATGTGCTTATTAAGGCCCACTGTTTTTACTGGGGCCCATTGTGAAGTTTGGTGATTACCCAGGAGACTCCCCGCCCTCCTTCTGTGCTCCAGGGGTTTATCTGTGATTTACAGCCTGATCTTTCAGGCTGCTTGTTTAGTTAGAGAAGTGATTTCTTTGAACTGCATGAGGTTAGAAGGGAGCTATTTCTGAGCTACTTTATGTTAGAAGGAAAGTTTTCTGCCAGGGACTCTCTTCTCCCCGTCTACCCAAATACTTTATTTCTATTTCCTATAACAATATTACAACCAATACCACAGAAATAAAAAGATCATTCAAGAGTACTATGAACACCCTTACACAGAGAAACTAGAAAACCTAGAGGAGATGGATAAATTCCAGGAAATATACAACCCTCCAAGATTAAACAAGGTAGAACTAGAAACTCAGAACATACCAATAACAATAAGTGAGACTGAAATGGTAATCAAAAAAACTGTCAACAAAAAAAAGTCCAGGACCAGATGGATTTACAGCTGAATTTTGTCAGACATTCAAAACAGAACTAGTACCAATCCTATTGAAAATATTCCAAAAGATAAACAGGGAATCCTCCCTAAATCATTCTATGAAGCCAGTTATCACCCTAATACCAAAACCAGGAAATGACATAACAACAACAAAATGAACACCTATAGACCAAAATCCCTGATGAACATAGATGCAAAAAACCTCAGCAAAATACTAACTAATCAAACCCAACAGCATATCAAAACAATAATCCACTATGATCAAGAGGGTTTCATACCAGGGATGCAGAGATAGTTTAACACACACAAGTGAATAAATGTGATATACTAAACAGAAGTGGAAACAACAATCACCCGATCATCTCAACAGGCACAGAAAAAGCATTTGACAAAATCCAGCATTCCATCATGATTAAAACTCTCAGCAAAATCAGGATAGAAGGAACATACCTTAGGGTAATAAAAGACAAACCCACAGCCAACATAATACTGAGTGGAGAAAAGTTGAAAGCATTCCTTCTGGGAACTGCAACAAGACAAGGATGCCCACTTACACCACTTCTATTCAACATAGTACTAGAAGTCCTAGCCAGAGCAATCAAACAAGAGAGGGAAATAAAGGGCATCCAAATCGGTAAAGAGGAGGTCAAACTGTCACTATTTGCTGAAGATATGATTGTATACCAGAAAACCCTGAAGACTCCTTCAAACATCTCCTAGAATTGATCAATGAATTCAGCAAAGTTTCAGGATACAAAATTAATGTACACAAATCAGTAGCTCTGCTATACACTAACAGTGACCAACCTGAGAATCAAATCAAGAACTCAACCCCTTTTACAATAGCTGCAAAGAAAAAACAAACAAAAAATTACAAAGGAATATACCTAACCATGGAGGTAAAAAACCTCTACAAGGAAAACTATCATACAAAAGACTGCTGAAAGAAATCACACACAACACAAATGGAAACACATCACATGCCCATGGATGGATAGAATCAATATTGTGAAAATGACTGTACTGCCAAAAGCAATCTACAAACTCAATGCAATTCCCATCAAAATACGAGCATCATCATTTACAGAGCTAGAAAAAACAATCCTAAAATTCATACGGCACCAAAAAAACAGCCCATGCAGCCAAAGCAAAACTAAGGAAAAAGAACAAATCTGGAGGCATCACATTACCTGACTTCAAACTATACTATAAAGCCATAGTCACCAAAACAGCATGGTACTGGTACAAAAACAGGCATATAGGCCAATAGAACAGAATAGAGAACCCAGAAATAAAGCCAAATACTTAACAGTCAACTGATCTTCCACAAAGCAAATAAAAACATAAAGTGGGGAAAGGACACCCTATTCAACAAATGGTGCTGAGATAACTGGCAAGCCACATGTGGAAGAATGAAACTGGATCCTCATCTCTCACCTTATACAAAAATCAAGTCAAGATGGATAAATCTAAGACCTAAAAGCATAAAAATTATAGAAGATAACATCAGAAAAACCCTTCCAAACATTGGTTTAGGCAAAGATTTCATTAAATAACCTGCTCCTGAATGATCAAAAAGCCAAAAGCAAATGCAACAAAAACTAATATAAATAGATGGGAACTAATTAAACTAAAAAGCTTCTGCACAGCAAAAGAAATAATCAGCAGAATAAACAACCCACAGAGTAGGGGAAAATCTTTGCAAACTATGTATCCAACACAGGACTAATACACACTATCTACAAGAAACTCAAACTAATCAGCAAGAAAAAAACAAATAATGCCATCAAAAATTATGCTAATGGCCGAGCACAGTGTCTCATGCCTGTAATCCAGCACTTTTGGGAGGCCAAGGCAGGTGGATCACCTGAGGTCAGGGAGTTCGAGACCAGCCTGGCCAACATGGTGAAACCCTGTCTCTACTAAAATACAAAAATTAGCCAGGTGTAGTGGCAGGCACCTGTAATCCAGCTACTTGGGAGGTTGAGGCAGGAGAATCGCTTGAACCCAGGAGGTGGAGGTTGTAGTGAGCTGAGATCACACCACTGCACTCCAGCCTGAGTGACAAGAGTGAGACTCTGTCTCAAAAAAAAAAGTGGGCTAAGACATGAACAGACAATTCTCAAAAGAAGATACACAAATAGCCAAAAAACATATGGCTCAACATCACTAATTATCAGGGAAATGCAAATCAAACCCATAATGCCATACCACCTTACTCCAGCAAGAATGGCCATAATTTAAAAATCAAAAAATAGGCTGGGCGTGGTGGCTCACACCTGTAATCCCAGCACTTTGGGAGGCTGAGACAGGTGTATCACAAGGTCAGGAGATCGAGACCATCCTGGCCAATATGGTGAAACCCTGTCTCTACTAAAAATACAAAAATTAGCTGGCTGTGGTGGAGCATGCCTGTAATCCCAGCTACTCGGCAGGCTGAGGCAGGAGAATCGCTTGAACCAAGCAGCCAGAGGTTGCAGTGAGCCGAGATCACGCCACTGCACTCCAGCCTGGGCAACAGAGCAAAACTCCATCTCAAAAAAATAATAATAATAATCAAAAAATAATAGATGTTGGCATGGATATGGTGAAAGGGAACACTTTTACACTGCTGGTAGGAAGGTAAACTAGTACAACCCCTATGAAAAACAGTATGAAGATTCCTTAAAGAACTAAAAGTAGAACTGCTGTTTGATCCAGCAATCCCACTCTTGGGTATCCAACCAGAGGAAAATAAGCAATCATATGAAAAAGATACTGCACATGCATGTTTATGGCAGCACAATTCACAATTGCAAAAATATGGAACCAGCCCAAATGCTCATCAAAGAGCGGATAAAGAAAATGTGATATATATACACACACACACACACACACACACACACCATGAAGTACTACTCAGCCATAAAAATGAACAAATAACGGCATTTGCAGCAACCTGGATGGAGTTGGAGACCATTATTCTAAGCGAAGTAACTCAGGAACGGAAAACCAAATATTGTATGTTCTCATTTATAACTAGGAGCTAAGGTATGAGGATGCAAGGCATAAGAATTGATACAACGGATTGTGGGGACTCACAGGGCAGGTAATGGGTGGGAGCGAGGGATAAAAGACTACACACTGGGTACAGTGTTCAGGTGATGAGTACACTAAAATCTCAGATGTCACCACTAAAGAACTTATCCATGTAACCAAACACCACCTGTTCCCCCAAAACTTATTGAAATAAAAAATAAAATAGCTGGGCACAGTGGCTCACGCCTGTAATCCCAGCACCTTGGGAGGCTGAGATGGGTGGATCGTCTGAGGTCAGGAGTTCGAGACCAGCCTTGCTAACATGGTGAAACCCCATCGCTTATACTAAAAATAAAAAAATTAGCTGGGTGTGGTGGCAGGCACCTGTAATCCCAGCTACTCGGGAGGCTGAGACAGGAGAATCCCTTGAACCTGGGAGGCGGAGGTTGCAGTGAGCTGAGATTGCGCCATTGCACTCCAGCCTGGGCGGCAACAGTGAGACTTAGTCTCAAAAAAATAAATAAAATACCAAGAAACAAAAACAACAAAAAGAAACCCAAATTAGGTAGATCACTAGAGTAAAAAAGGATGTTCAGTAAATAACCAAAATTGAGCAATCAAATCTTACTTATCCACACTAAAACGATAAAATACAGCACAGCTAATCAAAAACCCATTTATTTACTGGAATTAAAATTCCTTATTCAATTTCAAATCAAGGCTAAAAAAATTTTTTAAATCTTAAAAATTCTCTATTGAAAGGGTTTAATCTAAATTACCTCTCTTTGTATTTTAATTTGATATTAAAATAAAACTTTTTGAGCATGAACAATTGACAGTAAACAAACAAAAACATATTTAGAAGTTGAAATCAACTTGAAATTTTTTTTTAATCATGTATCCTATACAATCATATTTTGTAATCTGAAGTAAGAATAAAAGTCTTCATTTTGGGAGGCTGAGATGGGAGAACTGATTTAGCCCAGGAGTGAGACCAGCCTCGGCAACACAAGAAGACCCTGTCTCTACTAAAGAAAAGTTAGTTGGGTGTGCCTGTAGTCCTGGCTGCTTGGGAGCCTGAAGTGGAAGGATTGCTTGAGCCCAGGAGATTGAGGCCACAGTGAGCTGTGATTATGCCACTGTACTTCAGCTTGGTGACAGAGTGAGACCCTGTCTCAAAAAAACTAAAAAATTTTTTAAAATTTTAAAGGAAAGAATAAAAGTACTTATAAAGTTTCCTGTGGAAATAGTAAGGCTGTTAGATTTACAAGCAATTAAAACTGGCCGGGCAGAGTGGCTCATGCCTGTAATCCCAGCACTTTGGGAGGCTGAGGCAGGTGGATCACCTGAGGTCAGGAATTCGAGACCAGCCTGGCCAACATGACAAAACCCCGTCTCTACTAAAAATACAAAAAATTAGCCAGGTGTGTTGGCAGGTGCCTGTAGCCCCAGCTACTCAAAAGGCTGAGGCAGGAGAACTGCTTGAACCTGGGAAGTGGAAGTTGCAGTGTGCCGATTATCATGCCATTGCACTCCAGCCTGGGCCACAGAGCAAGACTCTGTCTCAAACAAATAAAATAAAACAAACAAACAAACAAAACTTTAACTGGCCCAGAATAATATGAATTGTTTCCTAGAAAAAAATTTATCTACTACCTAACATTTTTTTATTTGCTAAAAAGCCATTGGTATTTCTTTTCAGACACAGATTTTGTGAGCTGTAAAACAGTAACAATTCTCCTCAAACTTCCACATATATGAATGACTCAAACAGGAAAAAGAAACTAGTTTCAAATGTAGAAAACAGAAGTATAAGAGAAAGGGAGTCAATCTAAGTCTAAGTAAGTAACTCAACACAGAACTCCTGACCATACCTTTCTTTGGCTTTAATTTTAAAAATAAAATAACATCTAAAACACACTGGGGTTTCTGAATAACCTATGGTTTACTTGGCATAACTGTGTAAATATCAGATAATTCCATTAACATGTTCTCTATTTTACTATTGTTGAAAAACAATTAGCATGCTTTCATCACTATGCTATTTCTCGTTTACTAAACTTCAGTATCATATCCTTGGGCTAAGAGGATCTGTATTTTGTTTCTTTTATATGCACAACACCATATCTGATCCAGTTGTAAACATGAAGATGTATTTCGACTTTTATTTTGAATGTTTTTTAAACAATGATGCTTTAAAACTAAACTGCCAGTAACAGAATGAGAAAAAATGACATTGAAAAGACAATATAATAGTAAAATGGTGAATCAGGCATAGTGTTGGTACCACAACTACAGTCATTTTCTACCAACTAGGCAATAACCAGGTTAAATTCTGCAGAAACAGAAATGTTGCTGTTTCTTTGACTTAGGAAAAATTGGGATATGAAAATAAAAGAAATCAGGAAGTATGATTTAAAAAAGTAAGTATATTCCTGTACCCTAGTATAGGCTAAAACTGCCGTAAGTGTCACACATATGTAGCAGTAGATGATGAATATGGATGCCATATGAGGCTTTTTTTTTAATTCTTTAAAAAAAAATTCACAAGGCTGCCTTGGGCAAGTTTTAGTTTTGAAACATTTTATCTGACGATTCAGACGTTTATGGCTTAAAAAAGTAGCTAACATTTTCTAGGCCTGCAGAAAATCTAATTATTGGATATATTTTTGTTGTTGTTACACAAAATTAGGGTACCACATACTTCTACTTATAGAACAAGCTGATCTTTCTATAAATATATGCACATATATACTTAAAAATGAAATCAGTTACAAATGCCACCAAAAAAATTCTTTTACAACTGGTCCAGCATAATGTTTGGGAACAGTGGTCTCTATGTAAGAAAAACCAAAAACCTAACATTCTACTTACATCAAATTTAGAAATTTAGTTTTTAATAATCTGTCATGGTCACCATGGGGGAAAAAAAGATGATATATATTCAAAAAACAAATTTATGTGATATGGGACAAGGGTATTTAAGCTTTTTGTTTTTTGTTTATTTTTGAGACAGAGTTTTGCTCTTGTTGCCCAAGCCAGAGCGCAATGGCGCAATCTCGGCTCACCACAACCTCCGCCTCCCGGGTTCAAACGATTCTCCTGCCTCAGCCTCCCCAGTAGCTGGGATTACAGGCATGAGCCACCATACCCGGGTAATTTTTTTTTTTTTTTTTGTATTTTTAGTAGAGACGAGGTTTCTCCATTTTGGTCAGGCTGGTCTTGAACTCCTGACCTCAGGTGATCCACCTGCCTTGGCCTCCCAAAGTGCTGGGATAATAGGCGTAAGCCAATGCACCCGGCCTAAGTTTTTAAAATTCATTACTTTAGAGTACACTTGTCAAAAATTACAAAAAGCATAGCTTTCACTGCATTCTCTCTGACCATATACAATGCATGAATATTTTGGATTTAAAAACTTCCAGGCATATGCATAATAGCACTGCAGAAAGCAACAGATGGCAAATTGTCAGTGAAATCGAATGGTTTCAAAATGGTGGCAGAGTTACCACAGAGAATCCTCATCCTAGACTGCTAGGTCTAGCTAAAGAAAAATCTTATGTTCTCACTAAATAGCATCATTACACAGTTATGGTTTCTGATGCCCGCTGGCCCTTCAAGCCTACTCTGTACCATCATCTTCCTCATCATTAATTAGTACCCTTTCCCATTCCTCATGGCTCGTACTAAACTTTTACTTTCTAAATAAGCCTTCAAGTTTTTCATCCATGCAGCAAGCATGAGCCCCTTATACTTTCTACTCCTTCACACCTGAATGCTATGTATGGGGCTGCTATGGAAAGTCCATGGGCTTCAAGTTAATCAGGCCTGGGCTCCAATTCAACATTCTGTGATCCTAAGCTATTCTCTTTGGGCCCATTTCCTCATCTATAAAATTAAGATACAAATACCTGTATCCTAACATGCTCGTAATGATTCAAACAAGGTTATGAAAAATAACCAGCACCTATGTGAACGTCACAGACATTCCATGTTGGTCCTTTTTTCATTCTCATATTATTTACTCTTACTCCTTTTGTTCCTCTCTGCTTTACTCCTGGGAAATCTTACTCAGCAATCAACTTCAAGCTCATCTTCTCAAAAAAGCTTTCTTCACTCACCTCTCACCCAAACAAAACTCTTCAGTACTCCATAGTACTCAGGAGATCTTTCTACTGTAATATATATTACATTAGTTAATACTCATTTACCTATTTCAAATCCCTTCCAACATGTAGGCTTCCGGAGGTAGGGACTGTGTTTTATTTCTTTGGATTTCCAAAATCTAGCAAAGCGTCATTTTCTAAAAGTTTGTATAATGACATGAAAATGATCTTAAGAAACTTTACCACTGTTACGGGCGGGTCTTTGGTCTTAGAGCTCCCAACATGGGGTGGGCCGCTCCCAAAATGACGGCAAGCCTTTTGTTCTCTGACCTGGGGTTCTTGGCCTCACAGATTCCAAGAAATTGAACCTTGGGCCATGTGGTGAGTATTATAGCTATTAGAAGCTGTGGGTCATGGAAGAGAACGGTGGAACCCAGCAACCAGTGTTCAGCTCGATTAGGGCACTTAGCCGTGCAGTAACAAAGGCGAGCCTTTAGCCTGATCAGGTGCGGCAATGTGCACCTCACTGGATCAGAAACGCAGTGGACACCCTGCTGGATCCAGAGGGGTGTAAGTCAGCGGCAGGTCTGCGACGGCAGCAAACAGCAGCGGTGGACAGCGAGCAAAAGCTCAGCTCGAACCGTAACAAACACGGACCAGAAGAGTGTGCAGTTGCAAGATTTAATAGAATGAAAACAGAGCTCCCGTACAATGTGAGAGGACCCAAAGGGGGTTGCCCACTCTCTGCTCCAATGCCTGGGTTTATATCCCAATCACTGCCCCTCCCCCTGTGCTCTCAGGCGATATATGATTTGACTATTTCTTTACCTCCTGCTTTTAGCTTAATTTGTATTTTAGTGAGCCCTCTTTACTACCTGATTGGTTGGGCGTGAGCTGAGTTACAAGCCCTGTGTTTAAAGGTAGGTGCGGTCACCTTCCCCAGTTAGGCTTAGGAATTCTTAGTCGGCCTAGGAAGTCCAACTAGTCCTGTCTCTCACCACCACCGAGATGTCTCTTGTAGCTCATATTTTATGTGTACCATACTGGTGACCGAAATTATGTTTTGAAATGGGAAAATATAATGGACAATGCTAGTTAAACTTAATTAAAAATCTAACATATGGTCATGCTTCAAAATATCCTGGACCAGGTAAATATATTCAAAAGTCTCACGGAAGACAAAGAAAATAAAGTTAGGACCTTATGTCTGGTAAATTTCCTTACAAAAAAAAAAAAATGAAGATAATCCACAGGTTATGTGGAAAACATGAAAGAATAACTAATTTGTTAAACAAACATTAAGGAAAATAAACTCCCAATAAAAAGGTTAGGTAATTTAGCAAACAGGCACTTGAAGGCTATTTCCCATCTCTGACTGGTTCATTAATTAATTCAATAAATACTCAGTATTTACTATGTGCCAGTCATGATTTTAAGCCCTAGGGATATATCAGACAAAATCCCTATCCTCATGAAGGTACATTTTAGCAAGAGAGACAGACAACAAACAATTTTAACAGGAAAAATATATAATTATTTTACGCAGTGATTTGTGCTATGGAAAAAAATTAAGCAGATAAAGAAGTAGGTATGTGTTTGTATGGTGAGAGTGAGGGAAGAGAGAGACCCTCTCACATTGTTTTATATTTTATACTCAGTACCTGTTTTAAGAAAAAAACAAGGAAGTGAAATCAAAGACAGGCAGCCTGGCCCCAGGCCCAAAACCACGCCCGAGCCTGCATGGCCTAAACCTAGTAGTTAAAAATCAACTCATGACTTAGAACCCGATGTTACCCATAGATTTCAGGCATTGTATGGAAGAACATTGTGAAACTCCCTGCTCTGTTCTGTTTCACTCTGACTACCAGTGCATGAAACCCCGTCACATATCCCCTAGATTGCTCAATCAATCACAACCCTTTCATATAAAATCTTTAGTGTTGTGTGCCCGTAAAAGGGACGGAAATTGTGCACTCGGGGAGCTTGGATTTTAAGACAGTAGCTTGCCGATGCTCCCAGCTGAATAAAGCCCTTCCTTCTACAACTCGATGTCTGAGAGGTTTTGCCTGCGGCTTGTCCTGCTACAAGAGCAACAAATTTAAAGTGAGTAGGGCAAGCTTCACTGAAAAAAATGACTTTTGGAAAAAAATTAAAGCAAGAAAAAGGATTCCTTAGATTTTGGACTAGCAATGGGAACAAGTGTAAAGTCCCTAAAGCACAGGTGTGCCCAGTGTGCCTAACGAATAGCCAGAAGGCCAGTGTGCATACAGCAGGAAGAGAAAGAGAAAAAAATAGGCAACAAGGTCGAACAGGTCACAAGGGGAGCAGATCATGCTGGGCCTTATATGGTCAACATAAAGACTAGCTTTTCTCCGAGTGATACAGTACATCATTGTTTTGAGCAGAGGCCTAAGATTATTTCAATTAAAATTCTAAGGATCATTCTACTTGTCATGTTGAGAATAGATTGTAGAGGATGAAAAGCAGAGGCATGGGGATGAGTTGTAAGTCTATTAAAATAATCCATGAAAGAGATAATGGTCACTTGGGCTACAGCGATTAATGATGGAAATGAGGAAAGTGGTGAGATACTAGATAGAGTTCGGAGGTAAGGCCAATAGGATTTGCTGAGACACTGGATATGGAGTCAAGGTTTTGAAATGAGAAAATATAATGGACAATGCTAGTTAAACGTAATTAAGAATCTAACATATGGTCATGCTTCAAAATACCCTGGACCAGGTAAATATATCCAAAAGTCTCTCGGAAGACAAAGAAAATAAAGTCTTTGCAACCAAAAGGAACTAAAAGGACCTTTTAGTTGTCTTGAGCAACTAAAAGGAAAAGAGAAGAGTCAAGGTTATTGTCTTGAACAACTAAAAGAATGACACTAACTGCCTTTTGCTGCAAGGACTGTGAGAGGTCTGTGGCAGAGAAAGGGTATGTCATGAACTCTCTTTTGGACTTACTTTCTAACAATATGCCGTGACGAGTATGATAAAGCCTAAGTGAAACAGTATGAGAATTCCTAACACCTAGAGGGTAAATGGAGAGGTCTCATCTACTAATGGAAAAGAAGAATGAGCCAGATGTTTGGAAAACATTCATTCTTTGTTATCTTGCAGTGAGTTAATTCTCAAGGGTTAATCACAAGCAAATCACTTTCTGCTGAACTCAGTGTTTTATGCTGTCTTACTATTAGGTTCAGTCTCCACAAAGAAAACTCTTTGAATTTAAACAACAGCAAGTGGAAAGGAGAAAAAAAGAGAGGAAACAAGAAAGACTGCTGGCAAATCAATATAATTTGGGTAAAAGAGGTATTATACATGCAGATTAGAATAAGGAGGGGAGGAGAATTTACATTCAAGAAAAAGTGTCAGACACAATAAAATGACAATAACGAGAATTTATAAAATTATCCTGCCCTAAAATCTTCAAGCCAATATAAATTTCAGACTTTCATATCTAAATTGAACCAATCTACATTAAGACACCCTACCTTTACCATTATTGTTCCATTGCCAAAAGCAAATACATTTGAACTTCTCCCAAAACACCAATTCCCACGAAACCCTTACATTAAGCAAAAAAGAAAGGCAAAGCTAACTACATTTCTATTTGCTCTGTTTTTAAGTTGCTTAATTTCTCTTAAACCACAGGCAAGCATTAGTATCTACAGCAAGACTAGTGAATAAATAAAAGGGCGAAACAACAAAATCAGAGGCCAAACATGTTAGGAAACAAAACTCTTAGGCTTACCCCAAATGAATGTTACTCCACTCTCCAGCATAATTAAAAACTCCTCAAAGTTAAATCTTCACTATAGATAATGATTTTTTAAGAATAATCTTTTTCACACTGTCAGAAAAGGTCTAGAATAAGTAAATAAATAATAACAAGAATGATCTTTTAAGTACTGTTTTGCATTTACTCAAAATAACAGTGTGAGTCATGGCTCTACTTTCTCATAATATAAGAAGCTTTTGAGGTCAGGCATGGCAGCTCATGCCTGTAATCCCAGCACTTTGGGAGACCAAGGCGGGTAGATCAACTGAGAGTCAGGAGTTCGAGACCAGTCTGGCCAACATGGTGAAACCCCGTCTCTACTAAAAATACAAAAATTAGCTGGGAGTGGTGGCACACGCCTGTAGTCCCAGCTACTGGGGAGGCTGAGGGGGGAGACTCGCTTGAACCCGGGAGACGGAGGTTTGCAGTGAGCCAAGATCATACCACTGGACTCCGGCCTGAGTGACAGAGCCTTTCAAAAAAATAAAAATAAACAAATTTAAAAAGCAGCTTTTTTAAACCAAAATGTGAATAAATGTGACTGGTCAGAAAATCTTGCTCCTGTCATCAACCATGTCCTTCCTGACAGCCTGGAGAGCACTTGCAGCCCCTGAACTCATCACAGGCTTGCCAAACCAGGTTGCATATTTGGCTTTAAGTTCTTGAACCCAGGAACATGGTGACAGTTAATTTTATGTGTCAACCTGGCTACACTATGCTTACCCAGTTAGTCAAACACTGATTTTGGGGTTGCCATGAAAGTATTTTGGAGATGTGGCTAACACCTATGGAGTTTATCTTTGATAATCTATGTGGGCCAATCTATATGGACCAATCATTTGCAAGGATTTAAGAACAAAATTGAAGTTTCTCTGAAGAAGAAGAAATACTGCCTCAAGAATCTCATCCTATCTGAAAGCTCTCAGACTGTGGGCCTGCCCTACAAATTTTAGACTTGCCAGCTACACCACCACAGCTGGTCCCTACCTTATGTGGCACCATGACATTTTTTCTCAAGATAAGCTCTCCCTCTTTTGAATCTGCTGGCTTTCAGTTTGGGAGCTGGAGCACTTGAGTCATATCCCCCCATCCTAGTTGACTCTTAATGCACTCCTGCCCTTCTGTTTCACCACCCTTCATGTAAAGATGTTATGATTGATCCCTGTCCCTAACACAGGAGAGTGCCTGCTCTATATTGCTTCTCAGCTACTAAGAAGGAGGAAGAAACAAAACTATAGTAGTCCTCTCTTACAGTTTTGCTTTCCATGGTTATAATAATATATTTCCAGAGAAAGAGAGACCATACTCACATAAGTTTTATTACAACTATAGTTATTATTGTTCCATTGCATTGTTTGTTGTTAATGTCTTACTGTACCTAATTTATAAATTAAACTTTATCATAATTATGTATATATAGGAAAAAACATTGTGTATGAAGGGACCAGTACTATAGGAAAACAATACTGTATCTGTAGGGTTCAGTACTTTCCATGGTTTCAGGCATCCACTGGTGGTCTTGGAACACAGAACCCACAGATAAGAGGGGGCCTACTACACTATAGATAGGCAGCAGGATTAAGTAAACATCCAACCATTAAAGAAATCAATGTCAGTGTTATGGTCTTACCTATTTAAATATCACCACCTGACTACTTCCCAGCTTACTCCTCCATTGTGATCCCAGGCCACACTTCAAAACTTCCCTCCCTCACCATGCTATGAACCTCTAGAAGGCAAGAGGTAGGCTTCATTCACCTTTGTATTCCCGGTATATAGCATAGGCTAAATAAAAGTTAGCAGTTAATTGACTGCATGGATGTATGTATATGCATGGAGAGACAGTAAAACAGACAGCTGGCCAGCTGGCTGAGTACTCTACTTCTGAATCATAGATTGCTTCTTAGAAAAGTAGAACTAAAACTGAAGCATAGGGTCAAGGTTAGGCCAAGGAGGGAAATGTGAGGATACAGGGAGAGAACAAAGGTTAGATGTTGAATTCTGACTGAGATTCTGCCCTCACCTCACTGTTACTGCAATCTAGTCAATGTGTGTGTTGGGAGGCAGGGATCATCTACAAGACATGTTAAATATCTATAGTGTGGGGAAAAGAAAGAGAGATCAGATTGTTACTGTGTCTGTGTAGAAAGAAGTAGACACAAGAGACTCCATTTTGTTCTGTACTAAGAGAAATTCTTCTGCCTTGAGATGCTGTTAATCTGTAACCTTACCCCCAACCCTGTGCTCCCTGAAACATGTGCTGTGTCAACTCAGGGTTAAATGGATTAAGGGCTGTGCAAGATGTGCTTTGTTAAACAAATGCTTGAAGGCAAATGCTTGAAGGCAGCAGTGGTTAAGAGTCATCACCACTCCCTAATCTCAAGTACCCAGGGACACAAAACCCTGCAGAGACCTCTGCCTAGGAAAGCCAGGTATCGTCCAAGGTTTCTCCCCATGTGATAGTCTGAAATATGGCCTCGTGGGAAGGGAAAGACCTGACCGTCCCCCAGCCCGACACCTGTAAAGGGTCTGTGCTGAGGAGGATTAGTAAAAGAGGAAGGAACGCCTCTTTGCAGTTGAGACATGAGGAAGGCATCTGTCTCCTGCCCATCTCTGGGCAATGGAATGTCTCAGTATAAAACCAGATTGTATGTTCCATCTACTGAGATGGGGAAAACTGCCTTAGGGCTGGAGGTGGGACAGGCGGGCAGCAATACTGCTCTTTAAGGCATTGAGATGTTTATGTGTATGCATATCTAAAGCACAGCACTTAATTCTTTACCTTGTCTATGATGCAGAGACCTTTGTTCACGTGCTTATCTGCTGACTTTCTCTCATTATCCTATGACCCTGCCACATCCCCCTCTCCGAGAAACACCCAAGAATGACCAATAAATACTAAGGGAACTCAGAGGCCGGCGAGATCCTCCGTATGCTGAACGCTGGTCCCCTGGGCCCCCTTTTTTCCTTCTCTATACTTTGTCTCTGTGTCTCTTTCTTTTCCAAGTCTCTTGTTCCACCTAACGAGAAACGCCCACAGGTGTGGAGGGGCAAACCACCCCTTCATATAGAATATGTTAAAAACAGACTAGGCCTGCAGAATATTTTAAACACAGATTAGACCAGACAACTTGTAAAATGTAAAGTCAACTTCCATCTACTTAACATTATGGGGTCACTTCAAGATGATAACCAGGTAACAGATTATTACCCCCACAGATAAACAGGTAAGTCAAAAAGAGACAAAAATTTCAAAGCCAAAACCAAATTCTAGTTAGAAAATTAAGCCAGAAAAAATATTTTAAAACCTTCAGCATTTGAAACGAATTTGTTAGGAAGAAAGAACTACAGCAGGCTCTATATCTTTGCTTTGTGGGTCTTGATGGCTGGCACATGTCAAGTCTAGTAATGCAACTTCTGAGAACTGTTCTTTGGCCTGAAGCTTCAGATACAGCTGCTCTCAAAGGTTCAGTCTTCTAGGCAGCTCAAGGTTCATTTGGGTCTAGGAGTGAGATTCTTTAACTTGCTCATCCCTGCTATTTAATTCACTAGTCCTAAATGTATATATTTCTTTTTCTCTCTCTCTCTTTTGAGACAGAGTCTCACTCTTTTGCCCAGGATGGAGCGCAGTGGTGTGACCTCAGCTCATTGCAACCTCCACTTCCCGTGTACAACCAATTCTCCTGTCTCAGCTTCCCGAGTAAATGGGACTACAGGTACACGCCACCACGCCTGGCTAACTTTTGTATTTTTAGTAGAGATGAGGTTCCACCATATTGGCCAGGCTGGTCATTTTGAACTCCTGACTTCAGGTGATCCCCCTGCCTCAGCCTCCCAAAGTGCTGGGATTACAGGCATGAGCCACCATGCCCAGCCAAATTTATCTCTTTCAAGTTTAAATAGTATCCTTAGTTTTGTTTTCTAACATTTGAAGGAAAGGGCCTTTTTCACCCAACCAACAGCTTTTATCATTTTATTATTGTACTGAAATTTTATTAGAATTTTTTGGCCAATGAATTTCTAAAGTCCTGAATTAAGTTCTGAACTATTTTGCCTATGTCTTCAAATTAGCCTTCCCTTGGTGTCTCCACCCCCTGAGACTCCTAGACACTCAATCACACACTTCTCCCCTCAGTAAATTTACTTGTTGACCTTTTCTGGAAACTTTTCATTTCTGTTTGATTGCATGGAAAGGTACATGCAAAGGCACACACAGACTTCTATAGAAACACTATAATTTTATACAAAAAGATGTTTCTGTTCCATTTTCAATAGTTTCCACGAATGTTTTGTTGACATTTCTGACTGTAATAATAAATTAAGTCAATGTCACGGAATCATAGAGTTGAAAAAAATGACAGAGAACATTAGCCAAAACCCACATTTTATGAGGAAGACACTGAGGGCCCGAGAAGTTACATGACTTGCAAATTGCAGCAACAATTCTACACTGGACTAGAGCCCAGGTATCCTAATTCCAGACCAGAGCTTATGCCTTCAAGCAACAATCTGAAGTCACTCTCACATTACCTTTAATGGATTATAAAAATTACTCAAGATTTTTTCCAGTGTGAGCTCACACTCAACAAAACACCCCTATCTGCCCATTCACAAAAAACATATAAAGTCTTCTACAACTTATTACTAGGTAGGTTTTTAAATTTTCTAGAGAATACAGTGTCATTTTTATTATCTAACATCAAGCTAGATCCTAGCACCAGTCCTTGGTGTCCTTAATTCTTTATTTCATGAAATTTTCTTTGGTCTCCCTTCCCCCAGTGGTATTTTCCTTTTTTTTTTTTTTTTTTCCTATTTTTTGAGACAGAGTCTCGCTTTGTCGCCCATGCTGGAGTGCAGTGCTGCAATCTCAGCTCACTGCAAGCTCTGCCTCCCGGGTTCATGCCATTCTCCTGCCTCAGCTTCCCGAGTAGCTGGTACTACAGGAGCCAGCCACCAAGCCTGGCTAATTTTTTGTATTTTTAGTAGAGACAGAGTTTCACTGTGTTAGCCAGGATGGTCTCGATCTCCTGACCTCGTGATCTGCCCGCCTTGGCCTCCCAAAGTGCTGGGATTACAGGCATGAGCCACCGCACCTGGCCTCCCCAGTCGTATTTTTAATACTCCTATGTTTAATACAAAAATGGAATCGTTTGATAAGTATGAAACTGGCATTACTAGTCCCTCTTTCAGCTTTTCCTCTGGATGGGGCCATGTGACAATCTGTCATACCTCCAGTACGCAGCCTGTTAATCATGAGAGGTATACATTTTGGCCAACAAATCAAAGTCTTACAAATTGTCAAAAGAATGGTTCAATGAACAATCTCCTGAACTGATGGCTGATGCTAGGAATGCAAATTGGGACAATGTGTCTTGAGGTTACTTTCATCACAGGAATCAACAACCTTAAATATACTAATGTCTTTAGGCTTAGTAACTAAGATTCAAAAAATTTATCCGAAGAAAATAATCAGAAAAATCCATAAAAACATTTAAGAGAAAATTCATCACTGTGTTTTATTTGTAATACAAAAAAATGGAAACAATCTGACTACCCAACAATGGGGGAATCATTAAATAAATTAAGGCACATGTAAAATATGGATCAACAATTAAATATATTATTGAGGAATGTTTAGCAACCACATGTTAAGTACAGAATAAAAGCAGGCTATAAAAAAGAATATTTTCATTAAAACGTAGTCTTGGGATCATTAGACTTTAGAATCAAAGAAATATGGTTTGAGTTTTGGCTCCTTACTTGTCAGCTCCATGACCTGCCCAAGTTACATGACCTCCATGTGTTCCTTCATCTGTAAAATGAGGATGATGACTGCACCTAATTCCTTGGGTTGATAAGAATTTTTTTAAGTTAGGGCATTCATATATATAAACTAGTATATTTAACATGGGATAAACATTCAACAAATGGTAGCTATTACAATTACTATATAACATTACATAATCGTCTTTTTAAAATCAGGAGGTAAAAATAAAGGTTATTAAAAAAAGAAAAAGGAAGATCTCACCTGGTGAGATGGGTTTAACATGTTTTAACATCAGAAGGCAGAAAACCCTCTGACCTGTCTACTTTAAAATAAACTTTAAAAATGAATTCTTCCTTACATTCTTCAAGAATAACTACATTGATCTTCGGTGTCTCCCTTTTTATCCTTGCACTTAAATCTGCACCCTGATCATAAAAATGATCCCACTGCATCTCTAGTTGGCCTCCTTCCTATCAAGTACTCCAAGCTTTTATCATACTGACTTTGAAGTCTCCAGCAAGAACCCCTCAAACTCTCTTTTTCGGCTTATATCTGATGTACACCTTATCTGCAACATTTTGTAGTTTTGCTTATTTCTTCTTGCTTGGGAAATCATCCCCTTTAATGAAAGCTACTTTTACTCCCTTACAGCAACCGATTTTACTTTAAGGCAGTGGCTGCTACGGCCCGTCTGGAGCGGCCCCCACAAGGATGTTGGCTGCAGAGCGGGAGGCACCATGGGGGCTGGACATTCAGCAGAGCTGCCGGGAGCTGGGAACAGGCAGGAGGCCAGCCACCTATCAGCTTGGCAGGGTAGGAGCCAGTGCTCCCAGGAGCAGCTGCAGCCGCCCAACCGCACTCTCAGGGGCCCAGGAAGTCCCCTGCCCCTACAGGCTTAGAAATGCCTGCTCCCACTGCCTGGCCTCTCCCGACTCACGGCATCCACTCCAGGGTGGGGCAAAGTTGTGGCTAAGCTGAGGCACTGTCTCAACCCAGCCGGGTGTGCATGCACTAAGAGCGGTGATGACATGCCAGCCCCCTGCCACTTCAGCCCCCTCTAGACTTTGGGCACAAGCCCAGGAGGGAGGTCCAGCCAAGGGGCTGAGGGTAGTAGCTTGGCATGGGCCTGTGGGCTCCCCGCAGCCTCTAGAGCCAGGGTGCTGTGGAGGTCATGTTGGTGGCAGCAAGAGGTTGAAAGTTTCCTGGGCAGGAAAGGGTGGGTCCCTGGCAGAACCCCTCCTTCAAGCTAGGACTGGCCTGAAGCCTAGGGGCCAGGCTGCCAGTTCTGGATGAAGTCCACCAACAGGAGTATGAAGTTCATTGATGACCAATCGGCCAATTGGATGGTGCTTTTTCCAGGCCTGCCCATGGCCAGCCACCCATCAACCAATCAACATGCACTTCCTCCATTCTGAGCACATAAAAACCTGCAGACTTAGCCAGACACCCTTATCAGGATGACCTGCCTGCAGATAGGAGCTACCCACTCCAGTCTCCTCTCTGTTGAGGGCTGCACTGGGTGTGGTGGTGCGACCCGTAGTCCCAGCTACTTGGGAAGCTGAGGTCGGAGGACTGCTTGAGCCTGGAAGGTGGAAGGTGCAGTGAGCTGAGATTGCATCACTGCACTCCAGCCTGGATGACAGTGAGACCCTGTCTCAAAAAAAAAAAAAAAAAAAGACAGAAACTGAAAAACATTTTGTCCAATCACAATTTAAAAAAGTAACAAAATAAAATGGAATCTGAAAAATAGTGTTCAGATAAGAAGGCAGACTTTTAGAATCCAATTTTTAAAATGTAAAATTAAATTGGTACTTTGGACTGGGCACAGTGGCTTACACATGTAATCCCAGCACTTTGAGAAGCAGAGGTGGGAGAATCCCTTGAGCCCAGGAGTTCAAGACCAGCCTCGGCAACATAGCAAGACCCCCATCTCTACCAAATATAAAAATAAAAATTTAGCCAGGCATGATGGCACACTCCTGTGGTCCCAGCTCCTTGGGAAGCTGAAGTGGGAGGATCACTTCAGCCTGGGAAATTGAGACTGCAGTGAGCTATGATCACGCCACTGTACACCAGCCTGGGAGACAGAGCAAGATCCTGTCTCAAAAGAAATAAAATATTAAAATTAAAAAATAAATTGGTACTTTGAAAAAAGTTACTTACAAATCAATACAGAAATTATTCAAAAACCACATAAAAATATAGAAATCTCTTAAGTACTTATAGTAATGAAGTCCTTGAATTAAACTTTAACATCACTGCAGCTAGGCATTATTTGGGGAGGAAAGTGCTATTTAAAGTACCATTCTTTTCTCCCTTGGTTTAGTTCTCTTCAGTTCTAATGCCTACTATACAAAAACTATTTTTTCAGTGTGGTGGTGATTGTTAAATTCTAGGTATTCCAAAAGAAGTGAAAATCATTCTCTTGAAGACCATATTCAGTCCTTTAGAGGAATGAATATGCAATATTTAACCTTATACCCAGAGACAGGTTCTTTACTGTTCACTTGACCTGTACTAAGATTCTATAACAAACTTGAAATACAATGACAAATGGCAGAAAGGTTAATGAGTCTCTTTCTCTCTCTCTAATTCCTTTCACAATCCCTAGCACCCTCCCTCCATTAGCAGTCCCTAACACCAGATATTGAAAAACAAAAATAAAGCCCAAACTAAACAAACACAAAAGCGCTTTACTGAAGCTTCAGGGAAAAATTCTACTGTCCTTGATGGACTGAAAGCAGCAGCCACGTGTACCAAGACAAGGATATCTTTTGCTCTTACCTCATCAGCTATATAGGGAAAAGATAAAGGAATTGGGGAACATTTGGGTGGGAGGATAAAAATGGATGAGGGTGGGAGGATAAAAATGGATTAGGATCTGAAGTTATGACCCAGAATGAAGCTCCCCATGAGATAAAATGTTATATACACAGAACTCATTGGAGAAATGCCTGATTTTGGGACTGGGGCAGGAAATACACAAAATGAGCCTAGAGCACCATGTAGTGCCAGAAAGCAAGGAAGTGCTCAAAAAAACCCCCACAACGTTGGGGGTATGTCAAAGGTACACAAGAGTCAACTGAAAGAGATCCCAATGGCCAAAGATAAAACAGCTTGAACAACAAAATAAATGTGGTAGTGGATTATAATCCAAAGCATAAAATTACTATCCATGAAACCAAACTAATATAAATAAGTAATAAATGGGAGTAAAAGGACAATCTCGGCTGGGTGCGGTGGCTCACGCCTGTAATCCTAGCACTTTGGGAGGCCGAGGCGGGCGGATCACTAGGTCAGGAGAACAAGACCATCCTGGCTAACACGGGGAAACCCCGTCTCTACTAAAAATTCAAAAAATTAGCCGGGCGCGGTGGTGGGCACCTGTAGTCCCAGCTACTCAGGAGGCTGAGGCGGGAGAATGGCGTGAACCCGGGAGGCAGAGCTTGAAGTGAGCCGAGATCGCGCCACTGCACTCCAGTCTGGGCGACACAGCGAGACTCTGTCTCAAAAAAAAAAAAAAAAAAAAAAAAAAAAGGACAAATCTCCCATACAGAAGAATTCCAAATAATCTGACAGATTACTCTACATTTAAGGAGTGGAGAGCATAACTCTCTACTCCTTAAATGTGGGCTGCACAAAGTGACTTTCTTTCAAAAAGTGCAGTATGCAAATAAAGTTTACAGTTAAGAAAACTCACAAATACTGCCGCATCAGATTAGATCAACATCAATTGCAACAAACATGTTTATAGTATGTACACTTCATATGATGTGATGAAACTGGCAAGTCATTTTCTTTTTTTTTTTTTTTTGAGATGAAGTTTTACTCTTGTCGCCCAGGCTGGAGCGCAATAACATGATCTCGGGTCACTGCAACCTCCGCCTCCCAGGATCAAGCAATTCTCCTGCCTCAGCCTCCCAAGTAGCTGGGATTATAGGCACCTGCTACCATGCCCGGCTAATTTTTGTATTTTTAGTAGAGACGGGTTTTGCCATGTTGACCAGGCTGGTCTCAAACTCCAGACCTCAAGTTATCTACCCACCTTGGCCTCCCAAAGTGCTGGGATTACAGGCATGAGCCACTGCACCCAGCCTGGCACTTCACCTTTCTGATTGATCTTCCTTCCAAAAACCTAAAACCCCAGTATAATCATGAGAAAAACACCTAAGAAATTCCAGTAGAGACTATCCCACAAAATACCTAACCAGTAAGCCTCAAACCTGTCAAGGTCATCAAAAATAAAGCAAGTCTGAAAAACTGTCACAGCCACAAGCAGCCAAAACAGACACGAAAACTAAATGTAATGTGGTACCTGGTTGGGATCTTGGAACAGAAAAAGGACATCAGCTAAAAAGTATGGGAATCTGAATAAAATATGACTTGGGTTAATAATAATGGATCAATATTGGTTTATTTTTTTTTTCCAGTAGGGTCTCACTCTGTCACCCAGGCTGTAGTGCAGTGGTATGATCGTAATTCACTGTAACCTTTAACTCCTGGGCTCAACTGATCCTACCACCTCAGCCTCACAAGAAACAAAGACTACTGGCATGTGCCACCACAAGTGACTAATTTTTTAAGTTTTCTGTAGAAATGGGGTCTCACTATATTGTCTTGATATGGTTCAGATCTGTGTCCCTCAGCAAATCTCACTTTCAATTGTAATCCCCAATGTGGGAGGTGGGGCCTGGTGGGAGGTGATTGGGTCATGGCGGCAATTTCTCATGGGTGGTTTAGCGCCATCCCCTTGGTGCTATTCCTGTGATAGTGAGTTCTTGCAAGATCTGGTTTTCTGGGGGTATGCAGCACCTCCCTGTCTCTGTCTTCCTCCCGCTCTGGCCATGTGAAGTGGTGGCTCCCACTCTGTCTTCTGCCATGATTGTAAGTTTTGCAAGGTCTCTCCAGACACTGAGCAGATGCCAGCATCATGCTTCCTGTACAGCCTATGGAATCGTGAGCCAATTAAACCTCTTTTCTTTATAAGCTAACAGTACTTACTTCTTTTTGTTGTTGTTGAGACAGAGTCTTGCTCTGTCACCCAGGCTACAGTGCAGTGGTGTGATCTGGGTTCACTGTAGCCTCCACCTCCCGGGTTCAAGGTATTCTCCTGCCTCAGCCTCCCGAGTAGCTGGGACTACAGGTGTGCACCATCACACCCAGCTAATTTTTGTATTTTTTAGTAAAGGTGGGGTTTCGCCATATTGACCAGGCTAGTCTTGAACTCCTGGCCTCAAGTGATGTGCTCACCTTGGCCTCCCAAAGTGCCAGGATTACAAGCGTGAGCCACCACACTTGGCAACAGTACTTATTTTATCTCCAATAGCATGGAAATGATATTCCAAGGACATAAGACAGTGTAAATGGAATTCCACAAAATAATACTGTTACCCTTACACTGTGGATTAAGGGAATACTTAGCATTTCAAAAAGTGTTTTCTAACACTGCTTTTAGGAGACTGTGCTTTCAAATTTCTTATTATCAGTGGAATTCAAATTACAGCTGAAAACAGATAATGTGTTGGTCGCAGGCCCATATGCATTCACCAATCAATTCCTGGGCTATTCTCTGTTCTGTTAGAAGAGCTAAGTCCTACAGGCTCTTGTGTCAGCTGGTCCCAGTAGAGTCAGACCAATGGGATGCAATGGTGAAAGACTGGACAGTGAAAACAAGGAAGAAACCACGGTATTACCGCCCCTTCCTCTCCGTCTTTAGCAACTGCTCCAGCAGCAGCAGTGGCTCCAGCTCCCCCTGAACAGACATCCGTGGTTCCAATTAATGTAGAGTGGTTTTGAAAAACACCAACTCCTCCCTTTGGCCCTACAGCTCTAGGAGTGCTAGTGGTTCCTTGCTGTTCCCAATCTCTGGATTGCTTCACCATCCTAGTTTCATTTCTCAACAACTCCACTAGCTATGAAGCCAATTCCTTGAATTACATTTCCCTTGTTTTATATTATTTAAGTTATATGTTTTCCTAGTTAGACCGTGACATAATTTAAGAAGTTGAAGGGGAAAGAGAAACAAAGAGAATATTCTGAATAAGAGCACAGAGGCAACAAAGCAGAGTACCTCTGGGATTCATCTACTTCTCAAATGTGTGACTTTGCACAAATTATTTCAGTGCTTTAAGCCTCAATTTATTCATCTACAAGTAGAGGGTTATAATATTAGCAGGATCTATACCTGCTAGGATTATTATATAGACTAAATGAGTTCATGCATTTAAAACATTAGCATAAAGCCTGGCACAAAACAGTTCAGCTATCATCACTCTTATTGCTGCCATCATCTCCTCCTCTACACTCCCAAAGTACTGCCCACTGTAACGCATTTTCAACTAGGCTTGTCCTCTTCTACAGGATCTCCGCTGCTGAGGAGTTCCCAGTCTAGGAGTCTAGGTTTAGTTTCTACCCTTCTTAAACACTGCTCTGGGCTTGATTCTCCTGAAGGCCTCCACTGATCACACAACTCCTACAAAATTAACTGCCTACAAATTTAGTCCACACATTCCTTAACCCGCCATTTGGAGCTATCTACAGTTGTTAACCCAACCTACCTTTCCCTATTTTTCTTCCTTGATATAACCCACATTTTAGAAAAACTTATTTATCTCTTTCTGGTTTCTTTCGAAAAATCAAACATCTGGTAATAATGGTTTATTCCAATGATCTGCCTCCTTTAGAAAAGCAAGTGCTCTCTCATTTTGCTATAATCATCACTCACATAATGCAACACCATTTAACCCAGTCATCCCCTCACTCATTTGTGCCACGTGACTGCCCCCTTTAAGCATCTGAATTTGCTACCTCTGCCTAAGATTTTATCTTTTTAACTTAGCTCACATTCTTCCCTTTTCTCAATGTTCTACTCATTCAACTCACTTTTCACAGTTTTCTCTGATTTCCCAAATAAGAAACAATGGCTCATTCCTACGAAATCAAGCATTTTATCCATATATTTCTCTTATGACACCTATGCCTTAGTCTTTCATTCCCTTACCCTTGAAAAGACATTTACTAAGTATCTGCAACCTACCCCGTGCTGTGCTTGGCCCTAGAAGTCATTCTCAAAAGTGAATCAGGCAGGATCTCCACTGCTGGGGAGTTCCCAGTCTGAGAGTCTAGGTTTAGTTTCTGGTCAAGTCCCTTGAGGAAAAAATGCGTATTTGATTCATCTTTGTATCCACTATAGCACTTAGACTCAGAACCTTACCTAATAATGTACGACTCCATAAATAAAGTGTTAAATGGATGAATAAATAAATGAACAAAAATATGATAGCACTTAGAGAAACTGTCTTTAATTGGGCATTTAAATTTGCTCCAAATTTGCCTCCTAGAGCAACTGTTTTCATAAATAGCCACATTTATTTATTGTCTATGTGTTCAGTCTACAACAGTGTAGTTGCAGCTAGATGTGCAGGTTTGTTACACAGGTAAATGTGTGCCAGATGCTATATGGTCTGCAGAGCCTGAAATGGTTACTATCTAACCCTTTACAAATTAAGTTTGCTATCCTCTGCCCTTGAGGGTGGCAATCTTGGTTTATTTATACCCTCCCTATACACACTTAGTTTATAGCTTCCATATATTTGGTGTTACCCAAAAATCTATTAAAATGAATTTAATTGACAAATTTTAAAAACAGAACCTATTTCTAAGTTGGAGACTGCCTGTGTTATTGGAGATATTAATAAGCAATGATCAAAACTTGAAAAAGCACATCAGAAGTCAGAGTATTATACGTACTCTGATTATACACATATTTATTAGATACTGACATTTTAGGCCTCTCCTGACTATTACAAAAGTCAAAGAGGCATAGTCTCATTTATCTTATTCTTTTTTTAATTCCTGAAGGCTGTCCGTTCATCATTCTATAACATTTCCCTAATCTACTTATCTCCAAGCCTGTTGGTTTCATTCATTTGTTAATTTAATGATTCAACAAAAATTTATGAGGCAGAGCAACCATGTGCCTGGTACTATGTTGGGAACTGAGAGAACGAGTATTCTTAAAACTTCATCCCCATCTATAAAGAATATCTAATTTTAGTTAAAAAGGCATATTTCAAAGAGAAGAAACATTATTTAAATAATGCCAGCAGATCAACAAATGGGCCATGTCAGGTATCTGTTACCACTACCTGGTTTCAAATATCCACTAAAAAAACCAAAATAACAACAGCAACAATTAAAAAAACAGAAAAATTACTATAAATGTTCCACTACCATGAATCAAAAAATTTCTGAAAACTGGGAAAAAAGATCACTCCATCATAGCTGCTACAGCTGGGGAAAAAAAAAAAGGCACCAAAATTGTTTACAAATTCCCTATGGCATTTTATTCTCCCTAAACAACATAGGCAGTAAATAACTTTTTAGATAAATATAAGTTGCCTGAAAGTGTTATAAAATGCTAAAATTTCTATTTTGAGACTGAACATTTCAGTCCAAGAAAAACAAGAGTTGTACCAGAGGGAAATGAAGAAGAAAAAAAGTATTCTTCCTCCTCACAAGAGGGGTGGTAGTTGTGATGGAGAGAGGAAAGACGTAGACTATTCACTCATTCAACAAATACTTATTTAACTTTTACCATATAAATATATAAACATTTATTTGGCATGTGCCAGGACTTATGCTAAGTTCTGGGGAAAAAGCAGTGAGCAAGAGAGACACAGACTCTTGCTCTCCCTTAGAGGCTAACATATAAGAGGACCCTACAAGGAAAAAATACAGGTGTCAATGATATTAAAATCAAATATCCATGTTTATTTATTAAGTTGCTCAATAATAATAGAAGTTAATAGCTATTTCATAGACAAATAATTAAATGGCTATCATGTGCCAATTACAATGCCAATCACAGATACAGATACAAGTGTCTTCCCTGAGGACTTCACACCATAGGTGCTTATACAAATATAAATAATTTTGATGTATCTTAATAAACTATAATAAAAACTTGTGCAACTTCCTAAGGAAACACACAGTATAAAACAATTTTCTCCTACTAGGCAAAGGGAACTGGGGTCAGGGAAGGCTTCACACTGGATGTGTCTTTAAAAAAAAAATGAATAGGAGTTAGCCAGGAAAAGAATTTCAGAAGAGAAAGCTCTAGTAAAGTCACAGAACCATAAAATTTCATGAAGGAAACTTAATGTAACTATAGTACAGGGTACAGTGCAATGTAGGGGATGTGAAATGTGGCTGGATATGTCATTTAAGGATCAGTACATGAAGAGTCCTGTGTAAGATCCTAAGAAAGGTTTAGATCATGTTAAACTCATAAAAAGGGATGGTGTCATTAACAAGTCTGTGTTGTAGAAAAATAACTGATGGCAGTGTGAAGTTTAGAAAGGATACAATACCAGAAGCAAAGAGACTTGTTTTTAAAGGCGATCACTACAGGCCAGAGGAGAAACAATAAAGACTAAGAAAATAGCAAGGGAAGGAATACCATGAAAAAAATTACAGAGATGAGGCTAAGTGACTCATGAACTGAATGGTGGAGGTAAAGGAGAAAGTGCACATGATGGCACTAGTCAAGAAAGGGGGAAAGAAGAGGAGAATCAGCATGTTCAGGGAAGACTATAATGAGCTACATTTTAAATAAGCTGAATTTTCTATTTTTGTGTATGGTACTCACTGGTAGACATCTGGAAATTCTTACTCCATTCACTGAAAGAAAAGTTCTTCTCATTTCTTCCCATTCAAGAATAACATTCATTCATTCAACAATTTCTTTTTGGAATGTTTACCACACATCAGGCACCATTATAAATGCTAGAAATACATACCAGAGAACAAATAAAGTCCCTGTCCATGAAACTTAACATTCTAGCCTCCCATTATGGTGTAAAAAACAGTGGGAAAGAATCAGTTAGGCCGGGTGCGGTGGCTCACCCCTGAAATCCCAGCACTTCGGGAGGTTGAGGAGGGTGGATCGCTTGAGGTCAGGAGTTTGAGACCAGCCTGGCTGACATGGGGAAACCCTATCTCTACTGAAAATACAAAAATTAGCTGGGCGTGGTGGCAGGCGCCTGTGGTCCCAGCTACTTGGGAGGCTGAGGCAGGAGACTCAGGTGAACCTGTGAGGCAGAGGCTGCAGTGAGCCGAGATCCCGCCATTGCATTCCAGCCTGGGCAACAGAGCAAGACTCCATCTCAAAAAAAAAAAAGTTAAAAATATGGGTATACAGTACATAATCCATGTGATTACCAATGTAAGCTTCAAAGTATTGTTAAAACATGTTTTAAATCATGTTATCATTGCAAAATAGTAAAAGTACTGTCTTATTTTTGGAAATGAATAAATGCCTGAAAATTAGTTTGACAGGTTTTAGTTTTCACGTATCAGGATTGTTTATAATGAAACATATATGTGTCTAGTTTTTTTTACATGTTACACTATCCTAATAATAACAAGAGTTGTGGGGGTGGGAGGAGGGAGAGCATCAGGAAGAATAGCTAATGCATGCTGGGCTTAATACCTAGGTGATGAGACAATCTGTGCAGCAAACCACCACGGCACACATTTACCTGTGTAACAAACCTGCACATCTAGCACATGTACCCCGGAACTTAAAATAAAAATTGAAGAAAAATAAAAGTAAGAGTTACAGTTTTCAGGAAAGTAATGGAAACTAAATGACTACCGTTTCATACAAACTGAGTTTTGTTCAAACTGCTTTAAAATTTGATAATAATCTCTTAAAGTTTCTTTTCTACTTTTCCATGAGAAACAGCTTTGCTAGTGCAAAGTTTGATTATGACTTCTATTAAACCATTAATTGTAAAATGCTAACTTTATTCAAGATGCTACATATTTTGCCTATTTTTAAAAATTATTTTAATCTCCTAAGCAGGCTAATGAACATTAGTTCTTAGTTTCAAAAGAGAAGCTTACCTAAGAAAAAGTTATTTAACAAATATGACAAGATATATTTATTTCTTTTTGATTTTTCTTTTAGAAAGACAGGGGTCTCACTATGTTGCCCACCCTGGGTCTTGAACCCCTGGGCTCAAGTAATTCTCCCACCTGACCTTCCAAATTGCTAGAATTACAGGCATGAGCCACCATGTCCAGCCCAACAAGATATATTTCATAAACCTTAAAATGAATTACATTTTTAAAATACAGTGTGAAAGTTTTTCTTTAACTCATTGACAAACATTATTTTCTATTTTCCATAAGATTTCCAAATATGCCCTACACCTAGGCCATTTTTTTTTCTTTCCTAATATTTACCTTTTGTCAGCTTCTCATTGCTTTCAGTACTTCCAAGTTCCCTAAAGTTATTATCAACAATCTTCTGCCTCATTATTGGTCATTGCCTGGACCAACAACTCCCAAAAGAAGCAGAACAACCCCTTAGGGACATTCTGAAAGTACGTGAGGCCCTGTTTGGTTGCACAATAATTTGAATAGAAGGGAGGGTATTTGGTGGATGGGGGACCATTGATCGTAGAAGTCCTAAAATATATGAGACAAGCCTGTGTAACAAAAAACTGTTTGCATCCCTCAATTTTAAAAGATTAAGTAGGTGAAAAGTTTATGATAATCTTAGTCCAGAACTTCATTATATATAAATATATCATTATTACACTGTTTTAGTACAGACTGAATCTTCCATAAGTGCAAGTGCCATGTAAATTGAGGGAGATTCCACTGTTTTGTTCAAGTTTTTACCAGAAATTGTTCACCATTTAGGAGAAATAAGTTTGTAAAGAACAATGGTCCTTCTGCTACTTGAAAAGCCAATATAATACATTTGATAAACAATTTGCATTGGTAGCTGTCACATACACAGTGATTCTACAAATTGGTGTAATATGACAGCAACTAATAATTACTTCATTATGTTTTCTAATGTAGTAATGTCTAAGTATTTACATATTTAAATTGTAGACATGTTAACATGTTATTTTCTTTTTTTTGAGACAAAGTCTCGCTCTGTCGCCCAGGCTGGAGTGCAGTGGCATGATCTCCGCTCACTGCAACCTCTGCCCCCTGGGTTCAAGCAATTCTTCTGCCTCAGCCTCCCTACTAGCTGGAATTACAGACTTGTGCTACCATGCCCAGCTAATTTTTGTATTTTTAGTAGAGACACGGTTTTGCCCTGTTGGCCAGGCTGGTCTCGAACCCCTGACTCAAGTGATCCACCCACCTCAGCCTCCCAAATTGCTGGGATTATAGGAGCGAGACACCGCTCGCAGCCTGTAGACATGTTATTGTCTAATAAAATATTTCACCTTTATGTCTCAATTAAAGCATTATATTGATTATTAAAAGTTATGTTTACAGGTAGATTTTATTGTCTATGAATCTGACTTCAGGATTTCAGGATATTACAGGACACAGACAGTTTGAGAATCACTGGCCTACACTTTAGCCTTCAAGTACCTGGACTACTAAAGATGCTTCCTATGTGGTACTCTGGATTCTGTAAACTCTCTCCTCTTCCAAGTAAAAATACCTACACATGTAAAAGTCACCAATATTAGTTCTATCTTCCAATTACCACAGCTCCCAACTACCTTGAAAGCCTGATACTCGGATTTTTACGACTCTCCACAAAAGGATTACTTCTGCCTGATCTTGTTCAGCTGTATCATACACTGAATACTATATCCAGAAATCCTTATTTCTAAGGAGTCAGCAAGTCATAAGGGAAAAAGTGTAGCATTTGGAATCGTAGATCTGCCACTTACCAGGGATGATCCTGGACCAGTTACTTAAAACTTTCTAAATCTCTACTGCCTCATTTTTTTTTCTTTGTTGGAGACAGGGTCTAGCTCTGTCTCTCAGGCTGGAGTGCAGTGGCGAAATCATAGCTCACTATAACCTCAACTCCTGGGCTCAAGTGATTCTCCCGACCCAGCCTCCCAAGCAGCTAGGACTACAGGCTCACACCACCACACCCAGCTAATTTTTTTTTTTTTTTTTTAGCAGAGATGGGGTCTCCTGTGTTGCCCAGGCTGTCCTCCAAACTCATGGCCTCAAGTGATCCTCCTGCCTGGGCTTCCTAAAGCGCTGGGATTACAAGCCTAAACCACCACTTGGGCAATATTTCATATTGAATGTTGAAAATTACCATGCAACTGTGCATATATCAGGTTAAAGAAAATACATGGTTAAAATCAAACCCACCTGTTTCTCTTCAGTTGTTTAATATGGCTACAAAAAACTTAAAAATATGCCGGACGCGGTGGCTCACGCCTGTAATCCCAGCACTTTGGGAGGCCGAGGCGGGCGGATCACGAGGTAAGCAGATCGAGACCATCCTGGCTAACACGGTGAAACCCCCGTCTCTACTAAAAATACAAAAAATTAGCCGGGAGTGGTGGCAGGCGCCTGTAGTCCCAGCTACTTGGGAGGCTGAGGCAGGAGAATGGCCTGAAACCGGGAGGCGGAGCTTGCAGTGAGCCGAGATCGCGCCACTGCACTCCAGCCTGGGCGACAGAGCGAGACTCCGTCTCAAAAAAAAAAAAAAAAAAAAAAAACGTAAAAATACGTATGTGGCTCACAATATGCTTCTGTTGGACAGTTTTCTGTTAGACCCTTCCTTTTTCCAGCTCTACAGTTCATCCTGAATACACCACTTGGAGTTTCCAACTGGGCCCTGTTTCTGTGCCGGAGACTTTGGAGACAGTAGTCCTGGTACCCGAAACACTTTTTCCCCTTCTCCTTGCTGAATGGACTGTTTTTATTCATTCAGATCTTAATTTTTAACTACAGCTTTCTCCAAGAAGCGTCCCTGATCCCACCACGTCCCCTGCAAGACGTTTTTAGGGCCTCCTATGAGATAGGAAAATCCACATACAGCACTTATTTTACTGTATTTGCAATTGCCTGTTTTCTGGTTTGTGTCCCAGACAAGACTGGAAGCTCCTTGAGGAGACAGATCCTCAGAACTGCTCCGTCTTCCACGCCCAGGCGTCAAAGCCCAGCACAAAGCGGTCTCTCCACTGAACAAGTGAGCGCTAGGGCACAGACCGTGAGCGAATGCGGGGGAGTACAAAGGTTCAAGGGTGAGGCGGTAGAGGGGGCTGAAGCAGAAACTACAAGGGAGCCAGAGAGGGGTGGGGGCCGCTGGCAGGACTCACCAGTCTCTGCTGGTCGACGTCGGCGTCTGGCCGTTTGGCCGAGGGCTGCAAGTACTCAGCGTAGCGCAAACTCTCGCCAACTGGAGCGATGACACCACGGGCAGCCATGGCAAGGCGGCCCGGAGACTCAAGGCGCCGCGGCAGTGACTACGAGGCGGCCGTAGGGACAAACTAGTTAGCGCGGTTTCTTCTCGCAGATCCAGTGGACTCTGCGCTCGTTGTGCTATTAAAGGCGAGGTTCCCGGAAGATACCCTTCTCACCCGAGCTGGGTAACGTGTCCCGTGCAAGCACGGGGTCACACTCCGAAAGGAGCCAAGGGCACTGGGACGTTCTTGAATCACACTCACAGGCGCAAAGCCAACGCGGACCCTCAGGGAGCTTTATATACTTGGGCCTGGTCCCTCCCCAGGCCGCCGTAAGGGACTGGGCTTAAGCCCTGCGAACTGATGTTGGTCGAATCAGATGACTGCCCAGTAAGCTCGGAGTCTAGCTGTAGTGCCTGAGGGTGGGCTTGCCTGAGCTTTCCTGACCCCCTTCCGGGCAGCCTTTCTTCCCACTCTCAACTTCTGTTCGCACTTCTGTTTAATGCCACAGTTCTACCACCCCGGGAGAGAAATTAAAGAGGCAATTTGCTTACTCCACCCCCAAGTAAATGGCTGTATTTAAGGTGAAATTACACAGAAGAAAGTTGTGGCCGGGTGCGGTGGCTCACGCTGTAATCCCAGCACTTTGGGAGACCGAGGCGGGTGGATCACACCAGCTTGGCCGACATGGTGAAACCTCGTCTCTACTAAAAATACAAAGATTAGCTGGGTGTGGTGGTGCGTCCCTGTAATCCCAGCTACTCAGGAGCCTGAGGCAGGGGAAAAAAAGTTGTGAGCAAGTAGGTAAATCTTACTCTCCCTCAAATGAGTTTGTGCTGATTTGTATATATAAAAGCCCATTTTATTATTAAGCTTTTTTTTTTTTTTGAGATGGAGTCTCGCTCTGTTGCCCAGGCTGAGTGCAGTGGCGCAATCTCTGGCTCACTGCACCCTCTGCCTCCCGAGTACCTGGGATTAAAGGCACGTGCCACCACACCTGGCTAATTTGTGTATTTTTAGTAGAGACGAGGTTTCACCATGTTGGCCAGGCTGGTCTCAAACTCCTGACCTCAGGTGATCCGCCCGCTTCAGCCTCCCAAAGTGCTGAGATTACAGGCGTGAGTCACCGCGCCTGGCCTCCATCAAGTTTTTAGAGCAAAAATTAACCAGCAGTTGAAGCGTATGGTGTTTTCCAACTTCTGTACCAACGTGGCAGCTCTTTGGCTCCTTATACCCTTTGCAAAATCAGCTGACAGGAAGAAAAAGCTTTATTTTTTTTCTATTCCTGAATTTAAAGTTTTGAGGGTCTATTAATTTGTTCACTTAGTTAATATTATTAGCATGTCTAAGAAGTTAGGTCCTAGAAATTTACAATCTTGTAGGGAAGATAACACTGACACAGAATAATAGTACATACCAGAACATGAGCACATGCATTGCATAGCAGTATAAAGAGAACTGGACTGGGAATTAAACCGCCATTGCAAAATTACAACTGAGAAAGAGATCTGACCTAATCAACACCATCTTGCTTCTAACCTCCAAGCTGTCTTGTACATTCCTGGCCGTAGGCCAAACTAACTTTGGGAGGAATGTAATTCATAGTTTATAGTTTGAAACAAAGATGATAAAAGCCCTTTCCCAAAACAAACCTCCTTCTTGCCTGGGGACTAGACTGCCTTTGTAGGACTAACAAATTAGCCACAAGATCAGAAATTATGACTTAGGAGTCATGCAGCTGGAGGCTACAAGATTCTGACCCTCCCCAAATTGCTGCTGGAGCTAACATCACTATTGTAAAAACTACCACCAGTGCTTGAGATATTTTGCAGACCCCGCACTTGATGAATCAGCTGGCATCACCCAGATCGATAAACTGGCTCATCTGATCTCGTGGCCCCCACCCAGGAACTGATAACGCAAGACAACTTGGACTCCCTGTGATTTCATCTTTGACCTGACCAATCAGCACTCCCAGCTCACTGGCTTCCCCCTACTCACCGAGTTGTCCTTAAAAATTCTGATCCCCAGCTGGGCGCGGTGGCTCATGCCTGTAATCCCAGCACTTTGGGAGGCCGAAGGTGGGTGCATCATGAGGTCAAGAGAGTGAGACCATCCTGGCCAACATGGTGAAATCCCATCTCTACTAAAAATACAAAAATTAGCTGGGCGTGGTGGGTGCCTGTAGTCCCAGCTACTCGGGAGGCTGAGGCAGGAGAATCGCTTGAACCTGGGAGGCAGAGGTTGCAGTGAGCAGAGATCGCGCCACTGCACTCCAGCCTGAGGACAGAGTGAGACTCCGTCTCAAAAAAATAATAATAATAAATAAATAAATAAAAAATTCTGATCCCTGAATGCTCTGGGAGACTGATTTGAGTAATAATGAAACTCCAGTCTCCTGCACAGTCAGCTCTGCATGAATTACTCTTTCTCTATTGCAATTACCCCGTCTTTATAAATTTGGCTCTGTCTAGACAGCCAGCAAAGTAAACCCATTGGGTGGTTACAGGAATAAGGAAGACATCTGAGTTCTAGTGTACCTCCATTATTTTCTGGGCTTGTATAACTGAACATATCCATTAACCTCTCCAAATTACCTGTAAAAGGAGAATAACATTTGTCCAACATTCTGACTCAGGGAAGTTGTGCAAACAAATATAAACCTCAAAGAACCAATCCTTCAAGATGGATCCCAAGTGGCTAACTAGGACTAACTTAAAATAGAGCCAAACCTTCCTTTTACACTGAAATCTGTGGCTCTCAGGTTTGCAAACTGTTTATTGGGATAGTCTCTCTCCTCTAAATTCCTTTTCAGAGAACTTTTCATTTACATAGGGATAAAAAAGAAAACGACAGGATATGGAAGCAACTTGTATAATGCACTTATGAAAAGAATTACAACCATAGTGCTCTTGGACTTTACAGGAGGGAATGGCCACTTTTAACAGGGGTCATCAGAGAGGTTTAGTGAAGGCTTAGCCATTGAGATGAGGTAAAGAATGGGTAACATTTCTTTAGATGGAAGAGAGGAAATGCCAGAAATTTCAACTGGAAACAAATGGAAGGAAATGAAAAACACTGATTTATAGGACTGGGTAAAAAATATTCCAGGACTCTTCACAGAAATAATCTCATTACAGAAATTAATTTTTGTTAAACGGATCCACGACTATGAAGGACACTAGTAAACTAAGCAAATGAATTGGATCAAGGCCTACAGGTCATTCTTCCATTCATTTATTTATTCAGTAAATACTTATTGAGTATCTGTTAGATATGAAGAACTATGCTAGGCATTGGACCTATACAGTCAAACATACAAATAAGGTCTCTGATTCCTTGGAGTTTGGAGTATTCTAGTGGCTGAGCCCTAGCAGTAACAGGCTGCTGGCCTGAAACAAATGAACAATTAGAGCAAGACCCAGCTTAGCTTCAGCTCCTGTTAGGGCAGCTACTGCCCCTGCTCAGGAACTGGAGAGAAGCTTTCAGAGCAGAAGCCAGGAAAAGGGGGAATAGAAGAAGTGGGAAGGGGAGAATATAGCAAGGTGGAGGTGAGGTGGACTCAGCAGGGTTGCATGTCAGCTCAGACCCCAAACTATTGAGATCAGATAGCTGGCTGCTTGTAGACTCGACTGACCTCATTCCACTGCTGCCTCAGGCATCCGCTCTTGCAGATGTAGCCAATTTTAAAGAAAAATCTCATCCACAAAGATTACTTAGTTCCCAGCCTTTGGTTCTTTGGTAAATTCACCCTCCTCAGCAAAGAAAGGATGGAAAAAAGGGCCATGAAGTCCTTTCCTCTCCCCCACAAGGATCTCTTCCTGATTTAGTTAAACTCAATTTTCTAGCTTCTTGAGAACAAAGAAAAATATTTTTGTGAAACCCAAAAGGGAGGCCACATTAAATTTTCATTGGCCTACTTTTATTAGTTACGCCACTTCAAAGACAGATTACATTATGTTCAATAGACTTTGTAAAAGAAAGGCAGATTGCATTGGTAGTATGTCTTCGAAACATCTCAGTGGAAAATGTTCTAAAAATTTATTGTTTGAAAGGAATTTTAACAAAGACAATTGACCTCTCTGTGCCTCAGTTTCCTCATTAGTAAAGTAGGTGATAATAATAGCACCTCTCTTGTAGGGATTAAATGAGTTCACTTTTGAAAAGCTCCTAGAACAGTGCTTGATACTTAGTAACTTCTACAAAATTGTTAGTTACTATTTTCTTTATGTTACCTCTTTCACCGATTTATTTCCTTGTGTATTTTCTCTCACTAGCTCTGCCTCCTTCCCCCAGCAGTTGTGTTGATCCCCAACCAATTGTCTTGTCTTTGAAATTACAAAATCTGACTAACATCGCATAGTGATAAAATATAATTGTGGGAGAGGAAATAGTTGTTTTCATGAAAATGAAATTAAATGCCTTGGAAATATTTGATAAAACAGGTTATTTTTAAAAAGCTGTTGAATGGTGAGCATGGGAAGAGAATCACAAACACTGACTATGATTCTGTACTGTTTGCTTTTAAAATGTCTTGCTCCACCTTCATTTTAAACAAACTCAAATTAGGAATCATAGAGGATGGATTACCAGTGTGGAAGAAATCCAAGGCAGAACTGAACCAGAGGACCCACATCCAAATAAAAGGCCTTGGCCCTGCAGCCCTGCGGATGTACATAGAGTACACATACAGTGTGTCTGTTGTGACACTAAAATTTCATGTGGGTAGAGGGAGTGTATTAGAAGAAAAGTCAAAAAAAAAACTTTTGGGTGGAGATAATGAAGAAAAAAAAGGTTGAGAAACAGTAATTTATATATGTTGTAAAAAAAAAAATGGTTAAAGTGTCCAGGCACGGTGGCTCACGCCTGTAATCTCAGCACTTTGGGAGGCTGAGGAAGGCGGATCATCTGAGGTCAGGGGTTTGAGACCAGCCTGGCCAACATGACGAAACCCCATCTCTACTAAAAATACAAAAATTACTGGCCGGGCACGGTGGCTCACACCTGTAATTCCAGCACTTTGGGAGGCCAAGACAGGTGGATCATGAGGTCAGGAGTTCAAGACCAGCCTGGCCAAGACGGTGAAACCCCGTCTCTACTAAAAATACAAAAAATTAGCCGGATGTGGTGGTGGGCGCCTATAATCCCAGATACTCGGGAGGCTGAGGTAGAGAATTGCTTGAACCCGGGAGGTGGAGGTTGCAGTGAGCCGAGATCGCACCACTGCACTCCAGCCTGGGCGACAGAGCAAGACTCCCTCTCATAAAAAAAAAAAAAAAAAAAAAAAAAAAAAAAAATTTGCGGGCGTGGTGGTAGGTGCCTGTAATCCCAGGCTCTCAGGAAGCTGAGTCAGGAGAATTGCTTGAACCTGGGAGGCAGAGGTTGCAGGGGGCTGAGATCGCGCCATTGCACACCAGCCTGGGTGATGAGAGTGAAACTCCATCTCAAAAAAAAAAGGTTAAAATATGTATATTGTTGTGATCTCAGATTTTAATTGGTTTTTCAATTAACCCACCAACCACTAGCCTGGTCTGGTCAGAAAAGAGGCTGGCTTTACTGTATGACAAAGTGCAGTGGGCACCAAAAACGGGCCTGAAATGTTCAAGGAAGGAGTCGGAGAAGCCAGCATCAAGATGACAATGGGGGGATGAAAACAAATTTGCTGAACTGATAAATATGAGGCAGACTTGGGGAAACAATGTGTGAGAAAGCCTTGTATGTAAACAATACTAAAGTCATTCAGTTTTGCTGAAGTTTAAAGTATAAAGAAACGACTGAAGATGGATGAGGGTGGACAGATAACTAGACAAAGGCCAAGTATTGAACAGCTTTATATAATAAGCAGAGGCATTTAGACTTTATCTCATAGGTAAAAGCAGGACATCAAAAAATGTTGAATCTGGCAGTGACATGATCAGATTTACATACTAAGAAGATCATTGTGGCAGCAACGTAGTGATAGGCCAAAGCAAAAGGAGGGAGATCAGCTAAAAAGTTATTGCAATAGTCTAAGAGAGGCTGAGCCCTAAACTAGGGCACTGGCAGAAGATATGGCAAGGAGGAGTATAGTGGCTTTAACTGGATTCTTCTCCACATTTAATCCCTCTTGGCCCCACCTACCATGGACCCACCTATTGACTTTGTCCCCTATTCTCAGGGTGGCCCCTGATTGACCTAAGCCAACTGATGCATCCCATCACTCTAGCCATGATGTCTGTTTCATGGATGGACACTTTGCCCTTCTGGGACATTGGGATTATAGAAAAGGTTTGTTGGTTATTTCTGGGACAGCAGCTTCTCTCTTTAGCTGGACATGAACAGAGAAGTGTGAAGCACTAATTGTAGTTGGCAGTCATTTGACAACCATAAACTAGGGTTAACATTTAATTTATCATCCAAAACGAGGTCACATTTGAAAGAAAGATAGTGCTATAAATAATTATGTTAGGACAATAGATATAACTGAGACTGTCTAGCAAACCAGGATATATGGTCCCTATACCATGAGAAGAGATGGCCTTAGGATGAAGCAAACACCATTGAAAGTCATGAGGAAATTAAAAAGAAACTGAGTCCTTGATGATATTGTTGACTATATGAATCTTCACTTGATGTCTACCCCGTTTCTAAACTTTTTAGTTATGAGAGTAAAAATTTCCTTTATTATAATTTTTTAAATTTTGTATTTAAAATTGCAAGCATTGAAGAAGTAGAAAGAATAGTATAATGAACCCTCATATCTCCCAAAACCAGATTCAACAATTGTCAAGATTCTGTCACAATTCTTCATTTATTTTCCTTTTTCTGATTAAGTATTTAAAACGCATCAAGAAATTTCACTCTGGACATTTCAGTATACATTCCTCCCAAATATGGACATCTTCTGACATAGCTGCACCATTGTGACATCTAATAAAAATTAGTGATCACCTTTTGTGTCATCTAATATCCAAATTTCATTGTTACAGAAAACTTTTAAATAGCTGCTTTGTTTACGTCAGATCTAAACAAAGTCCACACATAGCGGTAGATGGTTGCTGTAGTTTGAATGTCCCCTCCAAAACTCGTGTTGAAACTTAATACTGAATGCAACAGTGTTGGGAGTTGAGGCCTAATAGGAGGTGTTTAGGTAATGAGGGCTCCTTCCTCGTAAGTGGGGTAATGCCATTATCATGGGACAGGGTTAGTTGTTGCTACAGTGAGTTGTTACAAAGCAAGCTCCGCCCCTCCTGCTTTTGTCTTTTGCATGTGCTTACTTGCCCTTCCACTTTTCCACAACGGGATGATGCAGCCCAAAGGCCCTCACCAGACACCAGCACCATATGCCCTTCAACTCCCCAACTTCCAGAACTGTAAGAAATAAAGCTCTCTTCTTTACAAATTATCCAGTCTGTAGTATTCTTTTATAGCAACAAAAACTAGACGAAGACAATCATTATGTCATATTAGTCCTATTTTATTTTAAAAATTCCCTTTCTCCACCTTTTTAAATATATTAACTTGTTGAGAAAATCATTGCCTTATTTTTAAGCCAAGTTTTAGTTGGGTTTTCTGTGTTTGTAACCACAGCATTCTAACTGATCCAAGGAGTGAACTCGATGATAAAGGGATAGTCAAGATGATTTGGGATTGAACAAATAGGAGAGATAAGGAAAGGGGAGGATCCAAGGTGATTCTTAGATTTCTTTCATTGGCAACTACTGAGCTAGGAAAAATATACAGAGTAAGAAAAGAAAGTGAAGATTACGCTCTAAGGACACCAAGACTCAAGGAATGGACAGTGGAAGGAGAGGGGAGGAGGTGACAGAAACCACAAATAAAAAGCCAAAAAGATAGAAGAAGCCAGGAGAGAGTGGGGTCATGGAAACAAAGTAAGTTTTTAAAAAACGAAATAGAGCCGGGCATGATGGCTCACGCCTGTAATCCTAGCACTTTGGGAGGCTGAGGCAGGTGGCTCATGAGGTCAGGAGTTCGAGATCAGCCTGACCAACACGGTGAAACCCCATCTCTACTAAAAATACAAAAATTGGCCGCTGCACTCCAGCCTGGGTGACAGAGTGAGACTCCGTCTCAAAAAAAAAAAAAAAAAAAATAGTGAGAAATGCCAGGGGCTCACAGATAAGTCAAGTAAGGATAAAATGCTCCCATAAGATTTGCAACTAGGTGATCACTGGTGACCTAAGCAAGAAGAGTTTAATTCATACTAGAGACAATGATCACCACCCATCCCACATTCTAGAATATTCTAGAAAGTATTCTTTTAAAAAAAGTATAAAAAGAACAACATATAATGCTATTTTTCTGTGTAGTAATGTCGAATAGTTTATACAGCAAAAAGAGAAGAGAAAACCAACTCATGCAGAGCTTATCATCATCAGTCAGATGATTAGGTCTTTGAAATGACTATTTCTCACTCTGTGATTGCTTGAATACTTGCTAAAATATTTATCCCTTGAAACACTAAAAAACCACCTTAAGGTAGGAAGACAGTGAAATGCGCTGCCTTCTTCTCTTTAATAATATTTCACTGAACTGCATACAACAAGGAAATACAGCTGAGGAGTGGTTTCAGGGCTTCATTTCTAATCTTTTTTTTTTTTTTTTTTTTTTTGAGACAGAGTCTCACTGTGTCACTCAGGCTGGAGTGCAGTGGTGCCCAGGCTGGAGTTCAGTGGCACGATCTTGGCTCACTGCAACCTCTGCCTCCCGGGTTCAAGCAATTCTGGTGCCTCAGCCTCCTGAGTAGCTGGGATTACAGGCATTCACCATGACGCCCAGCTAGTTTTTGTATTTTTACTAGAGATGGGGTTTCACCATGTTGGCCAGGCTGGTTTTGAGCTCCCAACTTCAGGTGATTCTCTCACCTCTGCCTCCCAACGTGCTGGGATTCCAGGAATGAGCCATCATGCCCAGCCTTTATTTTTAATCTTACAACCAATTAAAAATCAAGAAATGAGCTTAAAGGAAGCCACAAGGGGATATGCCAAACAAAAATGTGGGTTCATTTTTTAACCTTAACTTGTATTTTCAGTTGACTGACAGCCAATAGTTGGCAAGCTAGTTTTGGCCTATGTCAAAGCAGTAAAATAAGTCCCCGTCATGATGGTGTCCACTGTCTAATCGAGGAAAATGGGTATCTACATCATGTAGATTTGTCTAATGGTCACCCAGAGCAGCCTCTGCTGCTCAGGTGCCAGCTAGAGATAATCCCATGAAAGAAAAGCTGGCACCAGTACACATATGTTGCTTTCTGGAGCCAATTTACATTTTGTGCTTTTGTCTAGCTGAGCCAAAACAGCATAAACAATGCCAAACTCGGTTTTCTGATTATTTTCAGGCTGATTGAATCTGGCACATGACATGGTTTTATCTAATTAACCCACATGTGGTACAAAACAAAACAAATTTGAAATGGAAAGCTCTTTCTGCCTTTATTGAAAGATGGAGGTGAATATATAATTATTTTGTCCTTGTCTCTCAGCCATATTTATAGTTGAGAGAGGAGGGCTTTTTCTACTAGACAGCAAAACAAGTTCTGAGTATTACCTATTATAATTAAAATTTATTATGTTTTACATTTTTTCAAATTCAGCTCTTCCCTCTTCTCTCTCTGTCCTAAAAAGAGAAGAAATGTGTAGAAAGTATGTTCCTAATAAACACATGGGCTGTAAAAGGAAAAACCATTTCTGGCTACCCACACGACACTTTTTATACCAAATGTGTGGGGTTTTTTCTCATACCAACCAATTCTTCACCCTCCTGGAAACCAAGTGTGTGTCCTACAATTCAGTTCTGACACTAACTACCCTGTAATTACTGCAGACCCCACAGGTTACGGGCTTTGTCCCATGACACTGCCCCCACTTCAGATGCCAATTGCGAGTCCCAGGTTTCCACCTGTACTTCTGACTGACTGGCTATAAATCAGAGGTTCCCATGACCCTCTCCTCAGGTACAAGGATTTTCTGTAATGGCTCACAGAACTCAGTGAAACATTTTATTTATTACTACTAGTTTATTATAAAGGATATAACTATTATAAACAGCCACATGGGAGAGATGCGCAAGACAAGGTATCAGGAGGAGGGGTGCACAGAGCTTCTATGCCCTCTCCGGGCACCCCATCCTCTCATCATCTCAACATGTTCACCAGCCCAGAAACTTTTCAAATCCTGTTGTTTAGGGTTTACATTTTAATAAACGTAAGGGTTTTTTAATTACAAAATAGTAATAGGAAGTTCTATTACATATGCATGCTTGATTAAAACATTAGCCATTGGTGATTGAACTCAATTTCCAGCCCTTCTCCCCTCCCTGAAGGTTAGGGGGTGGGGCTATAAGTGCCAACTCCCTAAACACATGGTTGGCTTCCCTGACAATTAGTTTCCATTATCTAAGAGTCACCTTATTATCATAAACTCAGTATGTTTATGATATAGTTTATGTTATATGTTTGATATGGTTTATGTCATATGTTTGATATGATTTATGTTATGTTTATAATATGGTATGGTTGAAAGGAGCTTCTTGTGAGTAATAAAAGATGCTCCTGTCACTCCTATCACTCAGGAATTCTAAGGATTTTAGGAGCTCTGTGCCAGGAACTGTGGATGAAGACTGCTATGATTTGCATGTCCCCTCCAAATCTCATGTTGAAATGTAATTGCCAATGTAATGGTATTGGGAATGAGGCCTTTAAGGGGTGATTAGATTATGAGAGGATTAATGCCATTATCATGGGAGTGGGCTCCTGATAAATAGATACATTTAGCCCCAATTCTTTCTCTTGTGTGCATGCTTCCTCACCATGTGACATCTTTCACCATGCTATGATGCAAGAAGGTCCTCATCAGATATTGACACCATGCATAGTCGTGGACTTCCCAGCCTCCAGAACAAGGAGCCAAATAAACTACTTTTCTTCATAAATATACCTACTCTGTGGCATTCTGTTACAGCAGCAGAAAATGGACTGAGACAAAGACTAAATATATGTTTTTTATATCACAGTATGTTTGTTTACAAAAACATCTCAAAATGACATGAGAGATCATTGAGTGGCGTTAAAAGAAAAAACAAAAAAAAAAACCAGATGAGACAGTCTATCAGATTTTGAAGAAAAGTGTCAGGCAAAGTAAAAGTTCAGCTATCCATTCAGGATCCTAATTCTTCTATACTTAACCACATTAAAAAATGGGGCCAGGCTCAGTGGCTCACGCCTGTCATCCTAGCACTTTGGGAGGCCAAGTTGGGTGGATCATGAGATCAGGATTTCGAGACCAGCCTGACCAACATGGTGAAACCCTGTCTTTACTGAAAATACACAAATTAGCCAGGTGTGGTCGTGGGTGCCTATAATCCCAGCTACTTGGAAGGCTGAGGCAGGAGAATCACTTGAACCTGGGAGGCTGTGGTTGCAGTGAGCTGAGATCGTGCCACTGCACTCCAGCCTTGGCGACAGAGCAAGACTCCATCTCAGACCAAAAAAAAAAAAAAAAAATTGGTGGCCTCCCTGGGCATGGTGCCTCTCATCTGTAATCCCAGCACTTTGGGAGGACTGCTTAGCCCAGGAGTCTGAGACCAGCCTGGGTAATATAATGAGCCCCATCTGTAAAAAATAACAACAACAACCTAAAGCCAGGCATGGTGGCACACACCTGTGGTCCCAGCTACTCAGGAGGCTAAGGTGGGAGGATCACTTGAGCCTAGGGGGTCCAGGCTATAGTGAGCTATGATCCTGCCACTGCACTCTAGCCTGGGCAACAGAACAAGACCCCCTCTCTAAAAAAAAAAAGAAAAAAAAAGGTGGCCTGACAGTGGCCGTCATATTGCTCATGTTGAATTGCTTCAGAATATCCAGCCAATACTTGTTATTATTTTTGTTGTTGTTGAGATGGAATCTCGCTCTTTCACTCAGGCTGGAGTGAAGTGGCGCGATCTCGGCTCACTGCAACCTCCACCTCCCTGGGTTGAAACAATTCTCCTGCCTCAGCCTCCCTGAGTAGCTGGGATTACAGGCACCTCCACCATGCCCAGCTAATTTTTTGTATTTTTAGTAGAGATGGGGTTTTGCAATATTGGCCAGGCTGGTCTTGAACTCCTGACCTCAGGTGATCCACCTGCCTCGGCCTCCCAAAGTGCTAGGATTACCGGCATGAGGCACCGCGCCCGGCCTATCTAATACAATTCTTAGAACAATGGGGACTTAGAAAATCCTTTTCATATTAATGGAAGTGATAATGTTGTTAGAGTAGGAAGTGGTACATACCTGAAATGATGCTAAATAAAGTAAAATATACATAAATATAAATCATCCATGGGTCCATAGACCCGGGGCAACTTAGCTGGCATAGGCCCTGTGAGTGATAAGGTCTGGTTGGGAGCCATCTCAAACAGTAAGATTTACTATATGTGATAGGATCGGGATTGAGGGGCACTTAACCAGTACAACCACTGTGTGCTGTGGGGCCAAGGCCAAGGAGATGATCCACATGGTAAAGAGGTTGTTTACATATGAGGAGATTGAGCAAATAAGTAAATATCTTGAAGATAGTGGGAATCAGGTTATTAATTTTTGGAGGTACAGATATGAAAAAGGGAAAACTAGAAAAGCTCAGTGGCATTGGATTAGAATTGGTGTAAATTTATAGTTTTATATCAATATCTATCTGTATTGGTTTTCTATTGCTGATGTAACAAATTACCACAAACTTGGTAGCTTAAAACAACACACATTTATTAGCTCACAGTAGGTCAGAAGTCCAAGAGGGCTCAGCTGGGTTCTAGGCACAGGGCATCACAAGGCCCAAATCAAGGTATCAGTCAGGCTGGCCTTTGTCTGGGGTCTCTAGGAAAGAATCTGCCTTCAAAGCCATTGTTGGCGGAATTTAGTTCCCTGCATTTGTAGGACTGAGGTTTCTGTTATCTTGTTGTCTTCAGCTCTGAGACCACCTGTATTCCTCATCACATTTCTCTAATCCCATCGTCTAGCCAGCAACAGGACATCAAACTTTCTTACGCTGCAAATCTAACTGACTTCCCTTCTGCTCCCAGCTGGCGGAAACTCTGTGCTTTTAAAAGATTCACCTGAATTGACCAGGGTTACCTGAATAATCTCATCTTATGGTCAAATGATTTGGGACTGTAATCACACCTGCAAAAATCCCTTCACTACAGTACCTAATTTAATGTTTGATTGAATAACCAGGAGACAAGAATCTCAGGAAATCCGCTTTTAGAATTCTGTCTACCATACTATCTATACTTTGTCAGTGGGTTAATAGATATCTATATGGATAGATACAGAAATAGAGACATATGTACACATGTATACATACACATATTTCCTACATGTGTCTTCTGAAAGGGCCTAGAAGCAATGACACTCTAGTAAAAAGCAGTATACTTTGCACCCAAATCTTGGTTTCTAAATACCACTCCCCACTAAAAGGAAACATGTCTCCTTTTTGAAATGGGTATTTTCATGGCTGAGGCAGGAAAAGTACAAGAGAAATCTGGAACATCTTATACCAGAAAGCAAAAGAAGCACTCAAAGAATGATAAGGATGTGTCAAAAGGATGCAGGGGGCTGGGCACGGTGGCTTACGCCTGTAATCTTAGCACTTTGGGAGACTGGGTGGGAAGATTTGTCTGAGCCCAGGAGTTTGAGACCAGCCTGGGCAAAATGGCGAGACCCCATCTCTATATTTAAAAAATTAAAAAAAAAAAAAAAAAAAAAAGGATACAGGGGCCAGCATGAAACGGCTTTCACTGTTCAAATGTGACAATCAAAGTAATGATAGTAATGAATTATAACCTATTGCATAAAATAAATATCCACCAGTGCTTATTTGTATAAATGAATACCAAAGGGAAAAGGGAAAGCTCTTCCTTACAGCTGAATGCAGGCTAATAAGTAGAGAAGGAATGATGGAGTCAGAAATTACTATTTCACAATCATAAATGATTCAGGCAGAAAACATCAATGGATGCTAAAACCAGTGGGTAAAAGTTTGATGAGGACCAGGATATTTGCATAGCCTCAAAGTATCTCCTTGAAAATTGCATATCAACTGTTTATTAATTATTCAATAACCACACTGTAGAGAAACCCAGCATGTTCCATCATAACCAAGTGATAATAGTCAGCACTACCAATAATGGGACAAACTGACATACTATGTTTCCCAACATGATGCACTGAGAAAAGCACAGCATCTTCTGTGGTAGTCCTGTCCAAATACAGAGCCTTATTGGAATCTTAAGGAAACATCAGACAAACCCATATTAAAGGACATTGCAAAGTTATGAGTCTGTACTCTTCAAAAAATATCAAAATTATTCAAGACAAGGAAAAACTTGAGAACAGTTCCAGCTTGAAAGAGAAGAGATAGGACAACTAAATGGTCTTAGATTGGATCCTAGATCATGAAGAAAGAATGCAACATGGAAGAAATTTGCTTTTGGTTTGTTTTGTTATGAATAATTTACTGGAACGATTGGCAAAATTTGAATGGAATCTGTGTCTTTGATGGTAATAGGCATCCATGTTAATTTCTTGATTCTTATGGGTATACTGTGGTTATGTAGGAGAGTGTCCTGATTTTTAGAAAATACACACTGAAGTAGGCCAGGTGTGATGGTTTGCGCCTGTAATCCCAGCACTTTGGGAGGCTGAGGCAGGCGGATCCCTTGAGTCCAGGAGTTTGAGACAAGCCTGGGCAACATAGTGAGATTCCTTTTGTATTTTCTCTACTAAAAATACAAAAAATTAGCTGAGCGGGAGGCTGAGGCAAAAGAATTGCTTGAGCCCATGGGGTGGGGGTTGCAGTGAGCCGAGATCATGCCACTGCATTCCAGCCTGCACAACTCAGTGAGATTCTGTCCAAAAAAAAAAAAAAAAAAAAAAAAAGGAAAATACACAGTGAAGTATTTAGGAGTAATGGGGCAATGTGATTACAAATTACACTCAAATGTTTCAGCAAAAAAAAGTTTTAAAAACCCTCTGTGTGTTGAATTGTGCCTTCCCAAAAGAAATGTTGAAAACCTGTGAAAACCTACCCCTGGTACCTGTGAATGTGATGTCATTTGGAAATGGGGCCTGTGCAGATGTAATCAAGTTAAGATGGGGTCATACTGGATTAGGGTGAACTTGTGTCCTTGAAAGGAGAGGGAGATTTGAAGATACACAGATACATGGGGAATAAAGCCACATGATGGTAGAGGCAGAGATGGCTGTGAGGCAGCTGCAAGCCAAGGAATGCCAAAATATTTCTGACAAACATCCGCAGCGGAAAGACAAGCATGGAACAGATTCTCCCTCATATCCTCCTGGAAGGAAGGAACCAACCCTGCAAACACCTTGATTTTGAACTTCTAGCCTCCAGAACTGTGAGAGAATAAATTTCTGTTGTTCTAAGCCACCCAGTTTGTAGTACTTGGCTATGGCAGCCCTAAGAAACTAATACTATAACTGAGAACCCTGGCTTTAAGGATTTTTCCCCCTTTTCCTTCTGCTGCCCTTTGTATTAACTTTTTAGTGATAAAATAATAATTACTCTCCTTCTTTCCACCATAAGCTTGCCTTGCTAGCTTATCTAGTTACGTATGCTTAGAAGTTCCAGAGACCGGCCAGGCGTGGTGGCTCACGTCTGTAATCCCAGCACTTTGGGAGGTTGAGGCAGGCGGATCGCTTCACGAGGTCAGGAGATCAAGACCATCCTGGCCAACACAGTGAAACCCTGTCTCTACTAAAAACACAAAAATTAGCTGGGCATGGTGGCACACGCCTATAATTCCAGCTACTCAGGAGGCTAAGGCAGGAGAATCGATTGAACCCGGGAGGCGGAGGTTGTAGTGAGCCGAGATCGCTCCATTGCACTCCAGCCTGGGCAATGGAGCGAGACTCCATCTCAAATTTAAAAAAAAAAAAAAGAAGAAGAAGTTCCAGAGACCGGGTCTTGAGACAATCAGGTGCCTGTGGACTTCTCCCCCACAGGAGATTACCTCAAGGCTGCAGGTAACTGACAACCTGGACAAGCCTGAGATGGTGACAGCCCATTCACCAGTTGGGGCAATAACACAAGTCACTGGAACAGGTCATGTAGACCTGTACTGCCTCACCACCTCCCCACTTCTTAAACCCTAGCATTTTGCCTGAGAATTTTAAAGTGGTTTTCTTAAGGCAGGAGCCTGAACCACTTCCCCACTGCTAGCTTCAAACAATGAAGTCACCTTGTTTGTACTGCACTTCGTCCTTGTTGTTGGATTTTGCAAGCAGCCAGTGGCTAAACCTGCATTTGGTCACAATATCAATCCTTTGTTTGCTTGCATTAACATCAGCTTCTTAGGTATGCAATTTTCTGAACTTGAAAATTCTAAAAAGTCATCTGAAAGAGATTTATAATAATGTATTCCTATTGTAGGGAAACTTCCCCTTTGCCCTCTAAAGGTTCACTAAAAATTCAACTCACAAAAGGCAGAGTAATTCAAGAAAAGGCACAGGAATTTTTTAAGCTGTACATAGGGAGAACCACAAAGTGATTACTCATCCCCCAACAGGGATTCAGAAGTTCATACACCGTGTTGGCAAAACAAGTTATGGGAGGGGGAAAAAGAGGAATTCTGTTGAGGGGATTACCAGGGAGAAGGAATGGATCAGGGAACAGAGATTACATCGTTTTGTGAAAGGGTTTATTCAGGTTTGGTTGTATCTTGGTCTTACAGGGAGGGGAAAAAAAGAAACAATTGTTCTTTTGGGATGGTCTGGATCTTAGGCAGATAAAGGAACTTCAACTTCATTCTGTGCTTTAGGAGAGACAGTATGCGGTAGTGGGGAAGGTCAGAGAGACCTTGAGGCTTCTTCAGTTCAGCATGTTAAAGCGCCATATTTTGGAGTATGGGCTTCGGAGCCTCAGCACTGTGTATGTATAAAGAATATTTTGGCCGGGCACGGTGGCTCACGCCTGTAATCCTAGCATTTTGGGAGGCCGAGGTGGGTGGATCACGAGGTCAGGAATTCGAGACCAGCCTGACCAACATGGTGAAACCCTGTCTCTACTAAAAATACAAAAATTAGCCGGGCATGGTGGCACACACCTGTAATCCCAGCTACTCAGGAGGCTGAGACGGGAGAATCACTTGAACCTTGGAGGTGGAGGTTGCAGTGAGCTGAGATGGCTCCACAGCACCCCAGCCTGGGCGACAGAGCAAGACTCCGTCTCAAAAAAAAAAAGAATATTTTGTCATTTTTCTCTGCATGTATCTTTCATCCATATACCTATGGGAGCCTTGTGTATGATGTTACTATATATTTTAATTCTCACTTTTTTGCTGGATAGTGTCTCCTTTAAAATGCCCAATATGATAAAATAGAGAGTTAGCTAGTAAAGAGAACATTAGAGAGTTTAATGAGTTAGATTTGAAGCCTGCTTTTGGAACTAACATAACATAGGTGAAAATGCTTAAAAATGGCTGACACATAGCAGTAGCCCAATAAATACGTACGTAAATATGTGTGCGCATATTAATTACTGTACAATATGTAAATATGTGTGTGCATATTAATTATTGCACAATAATTCTGAGCTGCTTGTGTCATCTTTAAAAACTGAAAAACTAACATTCTTCACAGGTTATATCAGGATAAATAATGTAATAAATGTAAAATTTCTTTTTGATCTTTAAACTCTCTTGGGAACATTCACATTATCTCTAAAAATGGTACCATCTCACTAATGCATGCTACAATACTATCTGCAAGTGCAGATTATCCAGCATGCCATTGTTAACTTGTTAGATACTAACTATAAAAAGCACTTTATAATTTTTCATGTGGAATAATCACATTTGTCCCTGAGATCATGTAAAAGCAAATAGCAGAGGCTTTACAGAAAAGGAAAATGAATTTAAGAAGAGTTGAGTAATTTGCTCAAGGTCATGTAGCTTTTAAGAAGAAAAGACAATACAGAGAACATTCTTGTTTAACATTCCTAAAATACCAGTGTCAGTCATCTCCTTAGAACACAGTTTAGGATTCTAGCCAGAATTAAACATTTGGTTTGAAGCACAGGTTGTTGATAGTACCCAAGAGCTAATCCACCTATTACTATTTACAACAGGATACTTTTGATTGCTACATTTATTTTCCCAGTGAGTTTAAAACTCAACCTTAGCATTCTATAACCCAGCAGCACGTTTTTCTTGGATTATATACACCCTAAAAAGGAAGAACAGCCTGATGATCCCAGTCCTTTTGCCTCAGAAAACACATTGCTATCAAACAACTAAGAAATAGAAAACATTGTTTTCATTTGGGTCTCAACTTTGTTTTTATGGCCAGATTCTGTGTGAATATGCGAGGTTTTGGGACAAAGTCTGCTGGATTGTCTTAACCTAAATTAAACACCAAATCTAATGCTGACATAGTACAAACTGTACCACTTTTCTAGCATTTTGCTTGTCCTCTCTACATTGAGTCATGTTAAGTTATTGAAAGCAAAAGAAACTTAGGGTGATATAGGTTTGCTCTTCAAAATACTTTTATCTTTCACAATTCTGTGCCACGAAACCTACCTGTCTCATCAACATGATGTCCCTGTACTGTAGCCACAAGAACAGCGTGACCTTTTTGGGGTCAACTGAGTGGGGTTCAGATGGAGCTATACTCTGGCAAACAAACATAGAAATATGTTTGAAGGAACTCTGAAAGCACTATTCAAACAGTTAAAAATGTCTTATATCAATAAACAATTTGTGGCTGGGCATGGTGGCTCACACCTCTAATCCTAGCACTTTGGAAGGCCGAGGTGGGTGGATCACCTGACGTCAGAAGTTCAAGACCAGCCTGGCCAACATGGTGAAACCCCAGCTCTACTAAAAATACAGAAATTAGCTGGGCGTGGCGGCAGGTGCCTGTAATCCCAGCTACTCGGGAGGCTGAGTCAGGAGAATTCCTTGAACCCGGGAGGCAGAGGTTGAGGTGAACCAGGATCGCGCCATTGTACTCCAGCCTGGGTGACAAGAGTGAAACTCTGTCTCAAAAGAAAAACTAAAAATAAAAATAAAGAATTTGTATATGCTTACCTATTCTACGTTCTTCTGAAAAGTGCTAAATTCACTCACATTGCCTATGTTTGGATACACTCTGTGTCCATGCTTTGTGATCCTTCCCTTACAAACCAGTAGATGATTCTTCTGCTGTACTGCACACCACCTACTGTGGTACAAACCAAACAAAAAAGCCCAAATTGTTATTCTGTTTCCACACATCCTTGGGGTCTTGGCCTAATGTTCTGAGAAATACCTGCTTAGCAACAACTTAAAATATATGTTTAATGCTTCTCCCTATACTTTTTTTTTTTTGGAGACGGAGTTTCACTCTTGTCGCCCAGGCTGGAGTGCAGTGGTGTGATCTCGGCTCACTGCAGCCTCTGCCTCCCAGGTTCAAGCGATTCTCCTGCCTCAGCCTCCCAAGTAGCTGGGATTACAGGTGCCCTCCACCACACCAGGCAAATTTCTGTATTTTTAGTAGAGACGGGGTTTTGCCATGTTGGGCAGGCTGGTCTCGAACTCCTGACCTCAGGTGATCCACCCTCCTCGGCCTCCCAAAATGCTGGGATTACAGGTGTGAGCCACTGTGCCCAGTTATTTTGTCTATTTTTAGCCTCCTGAGCAGTCATGCTGTCATAGTTTAGTCACTTCTAACATCTTTCTGAACAAAAAGCAAACTAGGAGCTGGTTGTAAAGGTGCTGATAATGATGACTTATTAACTGTAGCGTTCTTTAGCTACCGTGGTGGTTTTCAACCTTGGCTGTACCTCAGAATCCCTTGGGAACATTTTAAACTCCCAGAGTCTAGGCTGCACCCCAGACCAATTAAATCGGAATCCTGGGGTGGGACCCAATCCTCAGTGATGCTTAAAGCCTGCCAGTTGATTCCAAAGTATAGCCAACATTGAGAACCACTGATCTGGAAGACAAATAACTGATTTTCCAGCTGCTAGTCAACAGCATTTCCCCCTTGTCCATGACAATATTCTTGATTGGACTTCAGATTTAGAGGTTTAGATATGTCTGTCTGTTCTTACACTGTTAGTGTTGACCCTATACCACTGGAACACTGGCCCAGCTCACTAACCTGGAAACCATGCACTCTTATTAACTAAACTTCTGAAAGTGGAGTGAGCAGGGAGAGAATTCTAGTTCTCGTTTGATAGTGTTACAGTTGCTCCTACAATTTACAGCTGTGGACAAGTCCACCCAAACTCTTTTTGATCTAAACTCACTACTGTGTAATCTCATTTAATCACTTGGCTTTGGATATACTCTATGTGACAATGAGTTCCAAACTCTTATCTTCAATCCGGGCATTTTCCCTGAATTCCACACTTGCACTTCAATAACTTACTCCACTTGGATATTTAGCAGGCTTTCAAAACAACAAGTCCAAACATGAACTCATGACTATACCCTGGCTCACCACAGCTATCAGAAATGCCTCTCACAGCCTTCCCCAACTTAGCTGATGAAAACTCCATCCTGCCAGCGATTGAAATTCCAAACCTTGATATCATCCTTGACTCTTTCTCTACACCTGACATCCAATCTGTTCTTGTTCATCTTACTTTTAAAATCTTGTTCATTGTACTTTATAAATATATCCAGAATCTCACCACTTCTCACCACCTCTGCTGCACCATGCTGGCCCAAGCCACCATCATTTTTCATCTGAATTATTGCAACAGCCTCCCAACCAGTCTCCCTGCTTCCACCCTTGCCTTTTGTCATAGTCAACTTGGGCTGACATAACAAAACACCATAGATTGAGTGGCTTAAACAACTAAAAATTATTTTCTGACATATCTAGAAACTTTAAGTCCAACATCAAGGTGTTAGCAGGGTCAATGTCTGGTGAGGACTCTCCCCTGGGGTTGCAGAAGGCCTCCTTCTCACTATCCTTATACAGCCTTTCCTCTGTTCACATGGAAAGAGAGAGATCTGTCTCTCTTCCTGTTCTTATAAGACCACTAATCTTATCATGAGGGCCCCACCCTCATGACCTCATCTAAACCTAATTACCTCACAAGGGCCCTACCTCTATATACCATCGCAATGGGGGTTAGGGTTCAACACATGAATTTAGGGAGGACACAAACCTTCAATCTATAACATTTTGCTTCAGTCTGTTTTCAGTATACCAGCCCGAGTGATCACGTTAAAACATATAACACCATGTTGTTCCTTTCCACAAAATCTTTCAAACATTTCCCGTTTCATGCAGAATAAATGCCAAAGGCTTTACTATGACTTAAATGACACTATACTGTATGGCCCACATGTTATGTTATATTATATTTCTGTCCTCATTTCCTCCTGCTCTCTCCCTCTGCTCACATTGGCCTTTTTGTGGTTTATCAAACACAGCCACTCTCCCACCCCAGGGTCTTTGACTTCTTTTCCCTCTGCTCACAGCTGATATGCAGCTGGGGCTCCACCTGAGGCCCTGATGAATGTTTATGATCTGTCTCAGTGTTTATTTTTTGGGCACCTATTCTGTTTTGTCAGTGCCCGTGGCATACTGGTTGATAAACACTTTGACTATAAACATGATTTTACCCAAAATACTCTTCCTGTGCTCACACATTCTTTACACCCCTACTCAGAGGCCACATTAATATTTCCCCTGGCCACTCTATCTAAAATTTCATACACCACGTCCCATTCTCTTTTCTTATTTTGAGATGGGATCTTGCTCTCTCACCCAGGCTGGAGTGCAGTGCCATGATCTCTGCTCACTGAAGCCTCGACCTCCTGAGCTCAAGCAATCCTCCTGCCTCAGCCTCCCAAGTCCCAAGCTGAGACCACCAGGACATGCCACCACATCTGGCTGATTTTGGTATTTTTTGTAGGGAAGAGATCTCAGCATATTGCCCAGGCTGGTCTCAAACTCCTGCCCTCAGATGATCCACCCACCTTGGTCTCCCAAAGTGCTGGGATTACATGTGTGAGTCACCACACCCACCCCTGTTCTCTTTTCACTTTAATTTCCTCTCCTCAATTCTTGTTTTAGTTATCTATTGCTTATAACAAATTATCCTGACATATAGTGGCTTAAAACAACATTAAATAGTTATTTTCTCAAATAATTTCTAAGAGTCAGAAATTCAGGAGCAGCTTAGCCGCATGTTTCTGCCTCAGGTTGCAGTCAAGATGTCAACTAGAATTGTAGTCAACTTAATGGAGGCTGAAGGTTACACCAGATAGTCCTGTTCAATGTTGGAGGAAACAAACAGCATAAGGATATAAATGCCTGAAGGCAAGAGCCATTGGAGGCCACTTTGGAGGCTAGCTACTACAGTATGCCTACATCTAGTTAAGACCACATTTCTTAGTTTCTCTTGTGACTGGGTTTGGCCATGCAACTAAATTTTGGCCAGTGAAACGTAAATAAAAGCATTGTATGCAATCTTTAAGTTGTACCCTTAAAGGGAATGAACTTGCCCTCCAGTATCCTTTTCCCCCTTCTCACTGGCTACATTGTGTATGTGTTGGATGCAAGTAAGAGCAACACGGTAGAGAAGGCAGAGTGGAGCAAATGGGGAAGTCTAGATCCTTGACTCCATTAAGTCCTCATCCTAGCCCCTGGCCTGCATATGCCCGGACTGGCATCTAAGAGCAAACTTCCATGTATTTAAACTGTAGTTATTTTCATTCTCTACAACTGCAGCTGAGCCTAAAGTTTAACTAATGTAAGTTATGTAAGTGAGATGAGTTAGACGGAAGTCCAACGACACATGGGGACGGCCTGAGGAAGTAAGATAATGGCCAACTAGTACTTACAGAATAACAAACATATAACTCCTCATATGTAGTATTATATTATAGGAATATACTGCAATTTATTCCTCTATGATTGATAGGCATTTGAGTAGTTTCTAGTTTTACACTTCAATGAATAATGCTGATATGAACATTTTCATATAAGACTTTTGGTGAATACATGTACACAGTTGTGTTGGACATCTGGGAATGGAATTGCTTGGATATAAAAATGTTCAGCCTTAGATGATTCTGCTAAACTGTTTTCTAAAAAGGTTGTATTGATTTACAAGTCCACTAGCAGAGTTGTTTTAGTTGTTTCACCTCTTTGCCCAAAACAGTCTTTCTCTTTCATTTTAACCATTTTGTTGAGTGTATAGAGATATCTCATTATGGTTATAGTTTGCATTTCCTCTGTGACAAATGAAGTTCCTTTTTATATATTTGTTAGCCATTTGGATATTTGTGTGTGTGCGTGTAAAGTGCTTGTTCAAGTATTTTGCCCTGCTCACTTTGTTTTTTCAGAGCTTAAATAATAATGATCACAACATTTATTGAATATACTATGTTGGATACATGATATGAAGCATTTCATACTTACCTAATGTATACAACAACACTATTCAGTAGGTCATGTAAATATTATTCCTATTTCACAGGAGAAGAAACTGAGGCCCTGAGATGTTCAGTAATTTGCCCAAAGTCACACAGTTGTACGTAGTAGAGCCAAAATCTAAACACAGGACTATTTGACAAAACCAGAAGCTTGAACAGCAAGCTCTTCATTGTGAAGCAAGTTCACTAATCGCTGACCCTGAGTGAGAACCTCCACTGCATGGAGAATAGCAAAGTTCACTATGCCATACATCAGAAACAGGAGTCGATATATTTATGCCCACTGCATCCTGGGCTACTATTTAGGTCCACGATATACTGGTTAGGTACTTGTCTGAGTTTAATGAGACAGAACACACTCACACACAAGTTACATGAAACTGGTTTACTACTTACAGATGGTAAGGAACAGAAGATGTCTCAGATCCATTGTGAACAAGTCCCCAAGGCTCAAGAAAGCTGCCCAGGGAGGATGCAGTCTTGACTGTGCATGCCCCACTTGCAGCACAGCTGAGGGACCCCGAAAAGCAGTCTGCCCTGGGTTATGCACTTGAGGCCATGTCACTGGGCAAAGCTTTGAAGGACATCCTGCTTCTAGGGGACAGAGGAACAAAGCCTGGGCTGTCCCAGGCAGTCCCTCTCTAACTCAAGATGTTACATTCCTTAGGAGGGACAGAAACAAGGCCTGGGTTATTTCAGGCCGTTTCTTTCTATCTCAGGATACAACATTCCCAGCACATTCTGTTGACAACCATGCGCAAGAAATGAGGGAGAACTGGATTGGTCCATGGCCACCTGGAGAAGTGTCCTGCATTGATGGATAACACAGGGACTACTCACTTTCTTCAGACTGCCTGTAACCTCATTACTTTAACCATTCTCATCACTCTCTCTTGGTCAAGGACTGTCTTACTGGTAATTCAAGGAGAGGAGCCATATATTTAGGTAGGTGCAAAAGTAAATGTGGTTTTTGCCATTATTTTTAATGATAAAAACTGCAATTATTTTTGCACCAACCTAATAATTGGTGGGCTACTGTGGACTATACTGAAAAGTCTGGAACTCTAACCCATGTGATGTGCCTGTGGAGAATCCCAGCCCTATATCCCAGTCCTGGAAACATGAAAGGTCATGGAAATTCCTAATATGACTCCTTTTCTAAGTCAAGTCAAACAGGAGAACCCAAGGCCTTATCCCCGGAAATGAAACTCTTGTTAGCTACCAGAAGATATCAGGATGGAACATTGTCACAAAATGTCTATGGAATGCCCAGTGTCTCCTAGTTATGACAACAGAGTTCCAGCTTCACTGGAAACTGTATTCTGTGCCAGGCATTTCTATATTGGTAAGTAAAACTATAAACGCTACTTTATTTCTATTCTGAAAGGGATTTCAAGATAAAACACACTCGCCGGGCGCAGTGGCTCATGCCTGTAATCCCAGCACTTTGAGAGGCCAAGGCGGGCGGATCACCTGAGGTTGGGAGTTCAAGACCAGCCTGACCAGCATGGAGAAACCCTGTCTCTACTAAAAATACAAAATTAGCAGGATGTAGTGGTGCAGGCCTGTAATCCCAGCTACTTGGGAGGCTGAGGCAGGAGAATGACATGAACCTGGGAGGCAGAGCTTGCAGTAAGCCGAGATTGAGCCACTGCACTCCAGCCTGGGCGACAGAGTGAGACTCCGTCTCAAAAAAAACAAAAAAAAAAAAACAAAAAAAACCCACTAAAGATATAGCTCTGTAATGCTTTAGCAATTTAAAACCAAAAGCCACTGAAACTGAAGTTAAGAATTCTTTGAGGACAAATTTAAGTATTATTAGAAAAAATATATAAAGCTCTAACATTGACAACTCAAAAATTATAACATCAACTTATATTGCATCAAGGTGCAATTTATGGCCCTCACAAGCTTCTAAAAGGTAGATAGGACAGGTGGGTTATTATGATTAATATTTCCATCTTACAAATAAAGCAACTAAAGTTCAGAGAGTTTCAATGATTGCCTGAGGTCACAAAACTCTTTAAATGGCTTTGCCAGGTCTCAAGTTCAGGTCTTCTGCCTTTGTGGCCATTACTCTTTCCCCTCTACCACGTTTTCTTACATACCTGGTGATATTTACGAAGGACCATGAAGCTCACAAAAGTGTTGGCTTGGAGTTAAAACATCAGAACAGTTAGGAGTTCCCTAAGAAGGGGCATCATTGGAAAAGGAACAGATATTGAGTAAAAATAACTGGTACTTTAAGGCCGGCTGCGATGGCTCATGCCTGTAATCCCAGCACTTTGGGAGGCTGAGGCAGGCGGATCACTTGAGGTCAGGAGTTTGAGACCAGCCTGACTGAGCAACATGGTGAAACCCCGTCTCTACTAAAAAGACAAAAATTAGCTGGGTGTGGTGGTGCACACCTGTAATCCCAGCTACTCAGGAGGTTGAGGCTGGAGAATCACTTAAACCTGGGAGGCAGACGTGGCAGTGAGTTGAGATCATGCCATTGCATTCTGGCCTGGCCAACAGAGTGAGACTTTGTATGAGAAAAAAAAAAAAAAGTACACACAAAAAATGAAGAGGACTTTAGAGAGTTTCTGTTTGATTCATTTATCACAGCTAAAGAAACCCTTCAGGGTAATCTCCCTGTCAACGCCACTGAGTCTACAGAAGTTTCCCCAAAGTTAAGGGAAATTCCTTCCATTCCTGCAGCTAGCAGAGATCTTGTGACAGCTACTACACAGTGTTAGAACCCAGATATGGCAGCTGTTACCTACTCCTCAGATTTGAATTTACAAACAAGGAAATTCAGCCACCTATCTGAGGGTAGGAAATATCATTTAAAGCACATTTCTACATTCCTCATTTCCCCAAGTGACAGTACACATTGTCATCCGAAAAATAGTGTATCTTTCCATTCTTAAGTAGAATTCTTTGCACTACACTATAAGGCTCACTATTTTAACACGGTTAAAGAAAAGGCCTTTTAGCCCAAATGTAGCATATTTGCAATTCATGAAATGTTGACAAGTTGTATAAAACAGCATCATTGTAGAGATCATTTGATCGTGTAATTATAGGGGTAAATATTGGAGTGTTAAGGTTTTTATTAATGTTGATTCTGACAGGTTCAGAAACTTTGGCATAGTCATTTTGATTTTAGAAAGTAATGCACAGCTGCTCATTGGGATAATTATAATAAGTAAAAAACATGCCGAATTCTGAATTTTGTCAAAAGAGACATTTTGTCACAATCATCTTCCAAAATATGAAAAGCTACACTTGGGGCTCGGACAACTTAAATTTATGTTCCAGCTATGCCACTAGTTTGTGCGCAGTGCTGGTGAGTCATTTGGCTTCTCTAAGCCTCTGTCTCCTTGTTTAGAATAAAGTGGTTAGATGCTCTTAAATATGAAGGTGGAATAACAAGATTCTGTCTGCTTACCACTGTAGCTCCATGGTATGATGCAAAGAATGATACATGCTTGTCATTCAAAAAATATTTCCTGTACGAACTTATGGTGACTCATAATTGTACCATTTCACAATTCTATGGTAGGATTTGAAGAATTTCACATGGAGTTGTCACAATACAGGTATGCTCAAACACATACATACACACACACACTAAAAATGAGGAGATACCAAATATTCAGAGTTTTACATAACTCCTTTGTTAGAAGAGAAAAAAAAAACCTTTAGATAACTGCTGTCCTAAATCTCTTAGATTAATCTAACTTTCCACTGAAGAATCAAATTTAAGGAAATGTGACTTTTTAGAATTTTCAAAAACTAAGATTTTTTTCATTTACACATTTTATGACAAGAAAAGTCTTAGAGTTTATGTATCTCTCTCTATATTTGTACATATTAATGCAGGAGTAATCTAAGGCAATTAATTTAAAAATCAGACATATATTCCCATTTATTTTCTTGAAAGAAGACACACTTAGACATGTTTGCAGTAAAATAAATTGGTAAAGTTTCTTTTTGATTTAATCTTCTCTCTTAAAGCTCATAGGGCTGGCTAAAATTGCTCATTGTATTTCTGAATTTCCATTCCCCAACAATGCCTCATTTTATGTTTTTCTTTACACAACTTTTGGAATCCTTTTTCTTTTCACTCAGTTCTCCTCTTCCCCAGCCAAAATGTCTTTTGCTCAGATTAAACTCATTTACCAAAAGGAACGAATACATGATTATTTCCCAGAGGCAGTTTCATTTGAAAAGAAAAACATTTCCTAAATGAATCTCTAATTGGCCAAATTTCAGGTAAGGTAACAATCCCACTAGATTTCACTTCTTTCTCATGTCTCTTAAAACATATTCCTAGGTAATTGTCTAGTATGGTGGTTTTTCAAACTTTTAAAAGCCATTGAATTCTTGCCTCAAACAAAATTAGGCAGTGGCCTAGTGAGTAGAAGAGATAAGGGGCTAAAGTACTTGGCTAAATAGGGATAGGGGCCCAGGACCCTCCCCACTCACCTCTGCTTCTCTCCACCAGCCACTACTATAGAAAAACGCACCCAAGAACAACTCCAGTAAAAGGCCAGCCCTTATTTTCGCCCAAATGCACACACCTACGGTGAAAGAATGGATGATACACAAGTAGCCCATTCTCGGGCATCCAAAAGGAGCCTGTAGATGTCTGTTGCCATAATAAATCACATTCACTTTTTTTTGTTGTTGTTGTTGAGACGGAGTCTCGCTCTGTCACCCAGGCCGGAGTGCAGTGGCATGATTTCGGCTCACTGCAAGCTCCGCCTCCCGGGTTCACGCCATTCTCCTGCCTCAGCCTTCGGAATAGCTGGAACTACAGGCGCCCACCACCACGCCCGGCTAATTTTTTGTATTTTTAGTAGAGACAGGGTTTCACCGTATTAGCCAGGATGGTCTCGATCTCCTGACCTCGTGATCCGCCTGCCTCGGCCTCCCAAAGTGCTGGGATTACAGGTGTGAGCCACCGCATCCAGCCTCACATTCACATTTTTTAAAACACTTTGAGAATGTGGCAAAACAAGAAGTGAATGGAGTGAGAAATCTCAGGTAAAACAAGAAGTGAATGGAGTGAGAAATCTCAGGTTTGAAACTTTGGTGTGACATGTGGTTGTGTTGTGAAACAAATATGGTTAACTAAGTATATTCTTGAGGCCAACATCCCTATTACTAGCTCCTTTAGGAGAATCAGTTTTCCCCCAGTGTGGGTTTTCCCTTCCTCAAACTTTAAATTTCATCCAACCACCAAAATAATTTTCTCCTTTGAAACAAGAGTTCCAGGGGTATTTTCCTAGTAAAGAACAATGTGGAAGATGGCCTCCAGAAAGGCCCTGCTGTTCCTCTTTTTTGTTGATCTCTAGGTCTGCGTTTCTCACCCCGCTGGTACCTTACACCCAACAGCACCTAAACAGACTTTTAGAACTTCCCTCAAAGCTTGTCCCTCCTCTAGGTTAATGGTTCTACCTCGTATCCAGTCACAAAGCTAAAAGTCACCATAAAGACAGCAACCATTAAATTACTGGGGCTATAAGGTAGGCATACTGTGAAGATCAGGATTTTTCAACTTCAACACTGTTGACACGTGGGGCAGGACAACTCTTTGTCATGTGGGCCTATTCTGTGCATTGTAGGATGTTTAGGAGCATCCCCGGCCTTTACACACTAGATGCTAGCAGCACCTACCCACTTTGAGGCTTCACAATCAAAAATATGTCCAGGCATTGCCAGATGTCTGCTAGAGGAAAAATCAACTCCATTTGAGAACCACTGATGTGGATGATCTCTATTCCTCACAATACCCACATGAGGCAGAGGAGGAAACTGGATCTCTGAGGAATTAAGAGATTTGGCCTTGGTTGTGTGGCCAGTATGTGGCAAAGCTGGTCTCAAAGCACTATAAAAGCCATCTCCCCTTCTCTCTGCTGCCTTCCAGTACTCAATTCTCTCTTTCATCTAGTTTTTATCTATGCTAATCTCTCATGTGAAATGTCTTTTATGTTTTATTTATTTGTTTTGTAGAGATGAGGTCTTACCATGCTGCCCAGGCTGGCCTTAAACTCCTGGCCTCAGGTGATCCTCCTGCCTCAGCCTCCAAAAGTGCTGGGATTACAGGCATGAGCAACTGAGCCTGGCCCATGTGAAATGTCTTGATTTTGCTCCCCACTTTCTGGGTTGCCTTAGCTCAGATCTGTATTTCTTACCTAGACGTAACTAGGCTCTGAATTTATCTTCCCGATTTCAGTCTCTTCATCTTTCAATCTCCGTTTTCACATTGTTAGAAGCTAACTTTGTAAAACAGATATTATTGAGTAACTGCCCTATTGAAAAACTTCCTGTGCCTTCCACATTGCCTACAACAGTGGTTCCCAAAGGGTGATCCTGAGACTGGCATCATTGGTATCACCTGGAAATTTGTTAGAAATGCAAATCCTTGGGCCCCATCCCAGACCTGAATCAGAAACTATATATATATATTTTTGAGATGGAGTCTCTCTCTGTCGCCCAGGTGGAGGTGGGGTTTCGCCACGTTGGCTAGGCTGGTCTTCAACTCCTGATCTCCAGGTAATCCTCCTGCCTCGGCCTCCAAAAGTACTGGAATTACAGGAGTGAGCCACCGTGCCTGGCCATAAATCTGTTTTAACGCACCCTCCTCCAAGTGGTTCTGATGCTTACTGAAATTTGTGAAACTCTGGCCTACTCTACAAAACCCTAATGTCTTAGGATGGCATAGAAATCCTGACTGACTTTCCTACCATGTTCCTTGTCATTATTTTCTCCTCTCCTGTCCCACCCTGGCCCACCCTTCAATTTCATTCTTTCATTAGCTATCAAACCTGTATGTGTCTTTTTGTTCTAAGCACCAATAATATAAGGAAGACAGTCCAGCTCCTAACTGTCTTGCTGACCTAGGACTGGGGTGCTCCAGCCACATGACAACCCCTGGAATTAAGTACACACCATGTCATTTTAAGTGACAAGCCTCTGCCATAGCATCTCCTTCTTCTTGGTGAATTCCTATGTCTTTGGTGGCTCATTCTCAAATGTCCCTGTTCCTGAATTACTCAGAGGGCTAATCCCCAGTTTCTCTGTGCCTCCACAGCTGCCTGTCATTTCATTTATCCCAAAGTGGCATTCCCATTTGTTTACCTGTCTACTAGGATACTCCTAGAATGCAGGTAGCATGAGGGAAGAGCCTTCACTCATCTTTGTGTAGACGGCATTGTGACCCTGGTGACCAACCCTGGCACACATCAGAATCATCTGGGAGCTTTTCAAAAATATGAATGCCAGAGCTCACCCCTGAACCTACAGGAACTGAGCCTTACACATCCATATTTTAAAATGTCCCCACATCACCGTTGCACACTGTTCTGCACAGAGCAGGTATTTTTAATAGTTCTCGAATGTCTAGTCAATTACTTAGCAAGGCTGCCTGGAGAATCATGTCTACCTTAGCTTACTTCTCCGGCTTTGTAGGTTTTTGTTTTCTTTTGATTTCAGTTTCCATTTCCTCTAACTTGAAAGTATGTGCATTGGTAACAGCCACACAGCAGTCATTACTGATAAAAGGCGACATTTTGTTGAGATGATTTTAGTTATTGACCTAATCTCTGGTATTTTAAGGTTAATATATTTTTTACAGTCTCAAATATCCAGCGGTAACCTCAAATTAGAGTTGCCTGTTAAACAGTTTCTCAAGTATCTTTCAGGATTGTAGTCACTCTGCGGGCTAATCGCTCACCAGGTGTCCGTGGCTGATCCCAGTTATTCTGATTAACCTCTAAGGTGATTGTGAGACTTTAAACCGTCTCACCTGTAGCCGACCAAGCCAGCTCAAGTCAACATCCTGGGCTGTTAACCCGCGATAAGGTCGGACGGGGCCTCAGTGGAGAATACGTGGGGAAGTTCTCTGGGGCGGGCGCAGTCTGCTGCTGATTCTGAGAAACCGAAACTCAGCTGTTAAAACCGCTGCCTCTGCACTTTGGAATCCCATCTTGAGACTCGCTAAGCGTCCCAGCCGCATCCCTCCCGCAGCGACGGCGGCCCGGGACCCGCGGGCTGTGAACCATGAACACCCGCAATAGAGTGGTGAACTCCGGGCTCGGCGCCTCCCCTGCCTCCCGCCCGACCCGGGATCCCCAGGACCCTTCTGGGCGGCAAGGGGAGCTGAGCCCCGTGGAAGACCAGAGAGAGGGTTTGGAGGCAGCCCCTAAGGGCCCTTCGCGGGAGAGCGTCGTGCACGCGGGCCAGAGGCGGTGAGTATTTTAACAACCTGGCTTCGGGGCGGGAGCCCGGGCCCCAAACATACTCACTCACAAGCACCTTGGTCCTTGGAGTTTAAAACCACAGGGGCCCAACAACAGGGATTTTGACTGAATGAAAGCTCATTTGCTTAAATGAAAGTATCCATGCCGCACCTTATAAATTGAGTCGGCTAGTTTGCAGTCCTTTGGTAAATAACCAGCCCGGTTCCTTCCAGGAATACTACTTTCCTGATTTTTGTGACTGGCTACAGGATTGAAAGATATGGGTGTGTCGGAACTGCCTAGGCATCCAGTAAGATGTCATTTTCCAGGTATCTCCAGAACTCATACTCCAACCAGTATGGAAATAACTTTTCCCTTACTGTTTTTAAAAATTTGGTGCTGGGCCAGGCGCGTTGGCTCAAGCCTGTTATCCCAGCACTTTGGGAGGCCAAGGCAGGCAGATCACCTGAGGTCAGGAGTTCGAAACCAGCCTGGCCAACATGGTGAAACCCAGTCTTTACTAAAAATAAAAAATAAGCTGGGTGTGATGGCACGTGCCTGTAGTCCCAGCTACCTGGGAGGCTGAGGTAGGAGAATCGCTTGAACCCGGGAGGCGGAGGTTGCAGTGAGCGGAAATTGCGCCATTGCACTCCAGCCTGGGCAACAGAGCGAGACTGTCTCAAAACAAAACAAAACAGAAAAACAAAACTTGGTGTCCTAAACGGAATTACTGTATCAGACACTAACAGGTAAGGGTCAACAAGAAATGTGATATGGGGTAGAAGGTTCAAATTCTGCCTCTAGGTAGGAGCAAGCCTACGTCCCAGCAAGACTCGCAGATAAACTAGCCTCTTACAACCAGAGGAGTGGAGCTGAGAGAGTGAGGAGGTGAGTGACCATAGTACCTCTCATCCCTGATGTTGATATGTGCTCTATGCAGGAACAGATAGGTAGCTTTTATTCCTGGTCTTTGGTTCAGGGACTGCAGTGAGTATCCGGGAAACATTTATTAAGCAAGTGTCATGAGCCTCTCTTTCTAGCCAATGGAATGAACTTTAACTCAACAGTATGGTTTATCACAACATCACTGCCTTTGAAGTGCTGCCTCTGTGAATTGGAACTGTCCAGATGGTTTTATTTTTAGTCTCTCCTTTTTCATCGACTTCTAGTCTCTGAAAGACAAACCCTGGTTGCTAAGAAACAGTATATAACCTTATGGCCGATAAACAGTAGATTTTCTTTCATCCCTTAGCTTTTGGAAAGTACCAGGCCTTTAATATTATTATTTAGCTTAGGTTTACCCTTAGATGGGGTGGATAATCTGGAAATCAATTAGAGATTGTTGCATTTCTTTCCTCCTCAGAATAATTAGTGTCTCGCCACAGTAGAAGCAGCCAATTACTTTCAAGTAACCCACGTATCTACAAGCTATAGTACTTAACAGTAACAAAGGTCACAGACATATGGTCTCGTGTCCATGAATAGTTAACGATGAACATGATTTGCATGACTTTTTTCTGTTAAAAAGCATTTATTTAGATACAACCATTTATTTCTAAGCTCATATCATCGCATAAGTATTAACTGTTGCATCTGTTTTCTTATTTGGTTGTAATTACCCTGGAATCTTGCCAGATCAAATTGCTCAGAAAGAGGCAGCTTTCTGATGGGTTATCCAGGCCTTAATACCCTGAAGAGCTCACTGTACACTATTTTGCGATTCCTGAAAAGATTTTCAAATGAACCATTAAAAAAATACCAGGAAGTGTTTAGTTATCTCTCACAGAGTCTTCCTTTTTTTTTTTTTTTTTCCTCATGTGAACCAGTTGCAGTAAGTACAGAATTATATATTCCCTTTTAGGGGTTTGATGTCTGAGATCCTGTTGGGATGACTTTGAATTTTTGTTGCATCTCCATTAGTTACTTAGATTCACTTTCTCACTTGTTTCCTTTAATGAAGTTGGAAAACCAAGGAAAATGAATGGCAAATATCTCAGTAGAATTAGCTGCCTACCCGCTGCCCCAAAATAAAGAAGGCTTTATTTATTTTGGGGATAAAAATTAGAAACACTTTCTGATTTAAAAAAATGAAGAGGCCGGGCATGGTGTCTCACGCCTGTAATCCCAGCACTTTGGGAGGCCGAGGAGGGCGGATCACGAGGTCAGGAGATGGAGACCATCCTGGCTAACACAGTGAAACCCCGTCTCTACTAAAAATACAAAAAATTAGCTGGGCATGGTGGCAGGCGCCTGTAGTCCCAGCTACTTGGGAGGCTGAGGCAGGAGAATGGCGTGAACCCGGGAGGCAGAGCTTGCAGTGAGCCGAGATCGCGCCACTACACTCCAGCCTGGGCGACAGAGTGAGACTCTGTCTCAAAAACAAAACAAAACAAAACAAAAAGCAAAAAAAAAAAAAAAAGAAAAAAGAGGATAAAGTGCTTTAATAGTACAGTTTCATTTGTCCACTCATAATGTGAATTTATTTATATGGTAAAAGATTTGTCTTGTTTTGTGGGAATCCTTCCATTAATTTCCTCCTGCAGCCCCAGTGTGGGGATTAGGAATATGGGCTCTGATGCTGGGTAGACCTGGGTTCAAGTTCTGATTATGCCATCACTTGCTCTTTGAACAAAATCCTTAGCTACTTTATGCCTCAGTTTCCTCATTACTTAATATAAGACAATACCAACTTCATAGGGTTTTAATTTTTCCACGTGTATATGTGTAAAACATAACTTTATTCCTGGTAAAGTACTATGCTGTCACCCTTAAGTCGAATGTTTGTGCCTTGTTAAAAAAAAACACTGGTTTAAAACACCTACTTGTGGTCGGGCGCAGGGGCTTGTGCCTGTAACCTCAGCACTTTGGAAAGCCAATGTGGGAGGATTGCTTTAGTCCAGGAGTAACATAGGGAGTCCCTTGTCTCTCCAAAAAAAAAAAAAAAAAAAAAAAAATTTAAATTATCTGGGCACGGTGGCACATACCTCTGTCCCAGCTACTCAAGAGGCTGAGGCAGGAGGATAGCTTGAGCTCAGGAGCTCCAAGACTACAGTGAGCTGTGATTGTACCACTGTACTCCAGCCTGGGCAACAGAGTGAGACCCTGTCTCAAATAAATAAATAAATAAATAAATAAACCACCTATTTGCATAGAAAGAAAGTATACTAGTAAAAATCTGTGGCTATCAATATATTAAATTATTCTGAGTACCTCTGATAGACTCTCAGACAAGATTGAGTTCTTTTTTTTTTTTTTTGAGACAGAGTCTCGCTCTGTCGCTCAGGCTGGAGTGCAACAGCGCAATCTCAGCTCACCACAACCTCTGCCTCCCGTGTTCAAGCGACTCCTCTGCCTCAGCCTCCTGAGCAGCTGGTACCACAGGCACATGCCACCATGCCTGGCTAATTTTCGTATTTTTAGTAGAGACGGGGTTTCGCCACATTGGCCAGGCCGGTCTCAAACTCCTGACCTTGTGATCTGCCTGCCTCGGCCTCCCAAAGTGCTGGGATTACAGGCGTGAGCCACCGCGCCTGGCCAAGATTGAGTTCTTGATGGAATTTGGATTTAAGTTATTATAAGTATTTACTAATTCATACTGGCTTTCCCAATTATTTTTACTTGGTGATTTTTGTCTTGTCCTTAAATATCAAAGCTGTCTACACAAATTAAAAGAGAAAAAAGCTTACACAAACTTCTAATCCAAAGTAAACCTTTATCCTTCCTTTTAATATTCTGCTTGTTTGTAAATATTTTACATTATTTATATCACCTCTAGATAAATATAAGACAAAGACATGCATTTACCTAGTTTTATCCAATTCTGGGAAATGGGGTCTTGCCTGTGCTGGTAATATAGGGTTGAATTCACATTCATGTACTTGTCTAACCATACCTGGTCCTTTAGCTTGATGCTGTTTGAAGAAAATAAAAATATATTTTGAAAATGAACCTATAATATGGAATTTTATTTTACAGTTAACTTGAGCTGAATTTGTATGTAAATTATGTTAATCTTAACATTTTTGTGGCCTACTTCGTATTAGTATTGTAGAGACTTCAACATGAGCAATAATAATAATAGCACTTACGTAGTAGCTAGTATGTAAATGCACACTATGTATACTAACTCTTTCAATCCTCATAACCACCATGGAATGAGAGGATCTCTAGCTTAAAAGAACTAATTAAAAACTAGGAACAAATAACTATTCAACACAAAATAAGCCCTTATGAAGCTTACTGTCTAATTGATGGGACAGACATTTATTAATATGTGAACAAATATGTATACTTTAAAGCAGGGGTATCCAATCTTTTGGCTTCCTGGGGCCACATGGGAAGAAGAATCGTCTTGGCCCCACACAAAATACACTAACACTAATCATAGTGGATGAGCTTAAAAAAAAAATCGCAAAAAAACCTCAATGTTTTAAGAAAGTTTATGAATTTGTGTTGGGCCACATTCAAAGCCATCCTGAGCCACCTGGGCTACATGCACCTTGTGGGCCCTGGGCTGGACAAGCTTGCAAGGAAAGCTGGGGTCTCAGCTGGTCTTGGGAGCAGGAAGATCTTTCCTTAGAGGTGACGTTTGAGCTTTGGTCTACAGGATCATTAGGAGTTGTGTGGTTTTTTTTTTCCTGACATCAAATATGTCATTCTAACACCAACTAACTGTGACCCCAACTAGGTGTCCCACAGTTCAATTCTAACACTAACTACTCAGAGTTAGTGTGGACCCCACAAATTAAGGGCTCAGTCCCACAAAACTGCCCCCCACTTCAGACTTCAGACACTAGCTGCAAATGGAGTCTCCAGGCTACCTGTATGTCTACCCACCAGACTACAAAGTTGGGGGTTCCCATGCATCTCCCCTTCCCCAGTTTTGATAATTCATTAGAGTGACTCACAAAACTCGCAGAAATTACTATATTTATGATTACAGGTTTATCATAAAGGATACAACTCAGTCAAGTGGAAGAGATGCGTAAGGCATCTTTTGGGAGATGAAGGGGTAGGTGGTGGGGTGTGAAGAGTTTCCATACTCTAGGTAGATACTTTGATGTGTTCGCCAACCTGGAAGACCCCCAAACCTTATAGTTCAAGAACTTTTATTGAGGCTTTATTACCTAGGCATAATTGATTAAATCAGTGGCCATTGGTGATTAAATCTCCAGCCCCCGCCTCTCCCCAGAAACTGAGATGGGGCTGCAAGTTGTTTTTTTTTTTTTTTTTTTTTTTTTTTGAGATGGAATCTTGCTGTGTCACCCAGGCTGTAGTGCAGTGGCGTGATCTCAGTTCACTGCCACCTCTGCCTCCCAGATTCAAGCAATTCTCCTGCCTCAGCCTCCCAAGTAGCTGGGATTACAGGCATGTGCCACCATGCCTGGCTAATTTTTTTGTATTTTTAGTAGAAACGAGGTTTCACCATATTGGCCAGGCTGGTCTCGAACTCCTGACCTTGTGATCCACCCACCTCGACCTCTCAAAGTACTGGGATTACAGGCGTGAGCCACTGCTCCCGGCCAGGGGTTGAAAGTTTTAACCCCCCAATCGCATAGCTGGTTTTTCTAGCTACCAGTCTCTTAAGCTAGCTGTCTAGGGACCTCACCAACAGACATTAGCATAAAAAAGACACTTAGCACTCTGGGAATCCCAAGGGTTTGGGGAGCTCTGTCCCAGGAACCAGGGACCGTGGCTAAATATTTATTTTTTATTATGTCACAGGAGTTTAAATGGCCTCTGGACAGCCAGAGAAACTTGTTATTCAGATTGTCTTCAGAAGAACTTACAGTGGGGAGCATAGTCAGCTGACGGCCCCAGCTGCCACCCTTTTGGATCCATTACACCTTGCCTGTGAGTGCTGGCTTGTGCTGCACCCATCCCAGCCAATGGCTGAGCATTCCAGGGTGCCAGTGCTGTTGCAGGACTGCCAGGCTTATACGCCCTCTGGGCAGCAACAGACCCATACACTGACAATGGCACTTGCAGCAGAGAAAGAGTTTAATCATCGCGACATTCTCAGTGAGGAAACAGGAGGAATTCTCAAGCCTCAAGTTTGTTTCTTCCATGGGTTCTGGGCAAGGGTTTTTAAGGGGATTCATGGAGGGTGAGGGGCTAGAAAATCTGGGGTTGTCCATTGGACAGCTCAAAGCTGGGCTAGTGAGCAACAACCAGCTACAAGGAAGTGGACCAAAGGGCAAGCTGGCTTAATGATTGCTGCTGCAAGCCCGGTTGGATTTTATTGTTTTGTTTTTCTCTTGCTCAATTTTATACAATTTTCTTGGGATGGTTTTAGTGCTAGCCTATTCCTGGCCCATGCAGAACTCCTCTATTAGGCAACTTTTGCTGGAAGACTCCCCATATTCGTGTCCAAGATTTTCTCAGAACTGTATAACACTGAGGATCTTGCTACTCAATCCTCTTTCCTTCGGTCCTTTCATAGAATGAAAGTTGTCAGACTCAAAATGAGGTCACTTGTGTCAAACACGTGGAGCTGGGGCCATGAAGGGAAGATTCTCATGCACATATGCCTCATAACAAGAACTCTCACAAAAGGCTCTGCAAAAACTACAACTTTGCACAAAAGCTACAACCTTACACAAAAAGTACTTCTGCAAGGACATCTGCCTAGCAACTGTCTGTCCAGCCTTGGACTGATTCTACCCTTGTTGATTTTTGTAGCCAAGGATATTTGTCTCAAACAACTTGTATCACCCTCCTTTCCTCACTTTTCCTTAAAAAACCTTTGTCTTCCTTTGCCTTCTTGAATATACCCACTGTATTCCCATTGCAATGCTCAATCCAGAATAAATATGATTTTCTTTGGGAGGGCCTCTCTCACTGTCTTTTATTTAGGTTTTGGCAATAGTAATCAGACCTAGTCTTGTTCTCAAAGCTTTCCTTCCCTACCCCTGCTCCCACTTTCATCCTTCACAAGCATTCCCCCTTATCCATCTCTTGCTTGTCTAACCCCATCTTGGTGTCAGCTTCTGAAGGACTCAAACTAATACAGTCTCTAAAACACCCTACTGCAACCTCAACACTTAGACATCTTATTTATGTCTGTTGTTGGCATGCTGTCTATGCAGATTGGGGAAACCCATTCTTTTTCTCATTTCCTCCTTCAGGGCCCAGAAAAACATTTCCTAATTTCCTTGATCCAACCTTAATGCGTCCCACCAGTTTGTTATGCTTGAGGGAAGGAAATAATCTTTGTAATCCTTCTCTTCATCCCCAAACTCTCAAGGGAGATAAAAGGAGAATAAATGATGGTTTGATAAGAGCAGTTCATCATGGCCAATCCTGATTTTTCTCTTTTCTCCTTAAAAAGCATTGTTAAATTTTGTAAAGTATTTTGTAATTATAAGATGGAATACAAGGTGGGATATACAATAATAAAGTCACTAAGTTATAGTGTTAAATTTTTATCAATATCACTATTTAGTGTCTATTTTCTGCAATCCTGAAGTATGGTTTCTTATGTCTGAGACAGAACTTAAGTCATTTTGACTCACATTATTTGCATCTGAATAAGCCACATAAAATATTCTGAAATGAAGTACAAGTTTTAACAAACTTATTAGAGCATATTAGAACTGTTTTCACTATTTCTTCCTCACTGCAATGTTCAGATGTTCAATTTCCTTCTCTATATGATTATGAGAATAAAATTCTGCTTATAGATGCTAAGTGGCCTGAATGCATCAGTCTAGTATTCTTCCCTGGAGATGGAGAATTGGGTAATGCTGGAGTTCCTTTTAATGTTATGAAATAATAGTACATTGGAAGATAGTATCTGTGATTGATTGTAATGAGTAATCTTGATGGCTCAATATAGATGGTTATTCATTAGGGGATTATTTAAGTCAATCTCTAGCATGCAGAAAGTTTATAAAGCAACAGATAGTATTTAACTCTTCCTAATGACATGTCTCAATGAGCTGGGTAGATGTCTCAATGATTATCAGATACTAATACTACTACTATTTGACTTATTTTTGAAATGAGAAATGTAATGAAGCATTGGAATCCTGTTGTAGCATAAAGTAAATTAGTTATGATCTGGAAAAATTAAACTGGGTACCCCTGAGAGACTAAAACCAAAATAACAATTAGTAGCTCATGTGTTTTCCATGATTAGCCATGTGCTAGACCTTGTGTTAAGTATGTCAGGTACATTATTGAATATTCTTTTCATGATAAGCCATTTGCTACCTTAAAGATGAGGAAACTGAGTCTTGAAAATAAAATGATTTTCCAAGATCTCATGGCTTTTTGAGTGACAGAACCAGTATTCAAACCTATGTCTATCTACCAAATTTTGGATCTTGAATATGATGTACAGATGGAGAATAGATAGAAGGATTGATAGTACAGCTAGCTAAGGTCTTATCATTGTTTTTTTTTTTTTTTTTTTTTTTTTTGAGATGGAGTCTCGCTCTGTTGCCCAGGCTGGAGTACAATGGCGTGGTCTCAGCTCACTGCAAACTCCGCCTCCTGGCTTCAAGCGATTCCCCTGCCTCAGCCTCTCGAGTAGCTGGGATTACAGGTGTCCACCACCATGCCTGGCTAATTTTTGTATTTTTAGTAGAGACGTGGTTTCACCATGTTGGCCAGGCTGGTCTTGAACTGCTGACCTCGTGATCCACCTGCCTTGGCCTCCCAAAGTGCTGAGATTACAGGCATGAGCCACTGCGCCCAGCCCTATCATTGTTTTATATTGACATTAAGAAAAGAGAAGTTCTATAGGCTAAAGAGAGTGGTAATATCGAAGCAGTAATGTGACATTTACAGTTGCAGAGAGGGGAAGATTTCTTTCCTTACCTATCCCTAGGTTCATGGCTGATATCCCTATAAAAAAAGACAGATTAACAAGAGAAAAGCATACCCATTCATTTAACATAAGTTTTATAGGACATAGGAGCATCCAAAAATGAAGATTCAAAGAACCAGGGAAAACTGTGTCTTTTTATGCTTAGGTTTGATGAAGAGTGGATAGTATATAGAAGTATGATTGGTCAAAAAGGAGTATGGTCTAATGACATAAACTGGGGAAGCTTAGCAAGTCCTGTTTGTTCAAATTCTTTGTGTCTCTATGTCTCCACTTCTTTCCTATGGGTTTAGGGAGGAGGGAGGATCCCTCTGAAATGAGGATATTATGACCTACCTTAGAGGAAGGTCAGAGAAATTTTTTATGGCTTGCTTCAGGGGAAAAAGATGGGAGAAGGTCAGAGAGGCTTTCCTCCTTTTGCTGTTTTCTCAAATACCAAGGTGCTATATTTTGGGATAACATGTCGTGAACCCCATCATAGCTTTAAAATGATTTGAATAGAGAAGTACTTTGCAGGAGAAAAGTTTCTCTGGGGATTCCCTTTGTTCTGCTGCTTTTCACAAATGACAGGTGAGCTTGGTAGCCTTGTGTTAGTGTTACTGGCAAGGGGTCCTGATCCGGACCCCAAGAGAAGGTTCTTGGATGTTACACAAGAAATAATTCAGGGCAAGTCTATAGAGCAAAGTGAGAGCAAGTTTATTAAGAAAGTAAAGGAATAAAGAGTGACTACTCCATAGGCAGAGCAGCCCCAAGGCTTGCTGGTTGCCCATTTTTATGGTTATTTCTTAATTTTATGCTAAACAAGGGGTGGGTTATTCATGCTTCCCCTCTTTAGACCATCTAGGGTAACTTCCTGATGTTGCCATGGCATTTGTAAACTGTCATGGTGCTGGTGGGAGTGTAGCTTTGAGGAAAACCAGAGGTCACTCTCGTTGCCATCTTGGTTTTGGTGGGTTTTAGCTGGCTTCTTTACTGAAAACTGTCTTATCAGCAAGGTCTTTAGGACCTGTATCTTGTGCCAACCTCCTATCTCATCCTGTGACTTAGAATGCCTTAACTGTCTGGGAATGCAGCCCAGCAGGTTTTAGCTTTATTTTACCCAGCCCCTATTCAAGGTGGAATCTCTCTGGTTCAAACACCTCTGACATTAGAGCAGTTATCTCACTCTCACTGTGCAACCTCAACAACATAGTAACTTACAGTGATTTTTTTTTCAGACTTCTGATCATAGCCTGCAGTGAGCAATTCATTTGACATCATGACCTAGTACCTGACTGAGTATATATTAGGGTATATATAACTGAAAAAATTTCACAAAACAATTTTCACCTTTATTATATGTGATGTACTCTGACAGTTTCTATTCTTGTTCATTAAAAATAAATCCACTGAATTGATTTCATAACCCATTAGAGGGTTACCTCCTACAGTTTGAAAAGCACAGTTCTATGCATGGCAGAAGAGACAGAGTGGATGAAAAGAAAAAAACATTTTGGTTTGATTAGATCAAATTTACATTCCTGTTTGTGCAGGACGGTAGAAATTATGGTCCTGTTTAGAAGGAATTTCCAACTTTTCTGCACTGGATTCCATTCCTCAGTATGGTACGCATTTGTGGTCTGCCAAGCCTTGGGGAGCAATCATTTTTGTTCAAATACAATATCACCAAAAATGAATGGGAATTGCTAAAAAGTCTTTGGCAGCTGGAACGGTGAAACAATAAATCAACAGGATGATGAAAGCTTGAAAACATATTACTAACAATAATCAGTAGAACCATAGCAGAAATGAGAAAGAAACTTAGTTCAATTACACAGTAAGGTTACTTACTTCAAAGTCAGTAGAGTGCTGTAAGGTTATACATATTAAGGTTAATTGCATCTATTCAGAATGTATTTGAATCTGAAACAAAAGCTTAAGAGGAAAGAAAATAATCAAAGGGAGATGACTGCATTTGAAGGGTCTATTCTATATCAGAGAATCGGCTGATGATGGTTCCTTTGTTCTGTAATGTTTGTAATTCCCTGTCCCCCACCCCCTGCAAATATGAAGACTTAAAAGAAAATCCATTAAAGTCCTGTAGAAAAACTGAAGATGTTTACCATCATTAAAACTCAAGGGCTAGTATTGCCCATTGTTTGTTTTACTATGGTACTAGTGAAAGCAGAAACCTATGCTACCTAATCTTGTAAGAAAAGCTGAGCCCCTGCTATAAGAAATCTTTATATTAAATATTTCTCTATTAAAAATCTTCAGAATATGTTTCTCTGATTATAAAAGTAAAGTCATATCTGCTTGTTATAAAAACTCAAACATTTCAAAAATAATACAGAATGTGAAAGTCCCCTGCAATTCTGACCCTTAGAAATAAACACTTCAAAGAGTTTAGTGTAAAGAAATCTCTAAAGTACAGATTGCACTCTTTGACTCTTTATTCCAAGTAGAAAACCTAGGGCCATGATGCCTAATATGGTTTGGCTGTGTCCCCACCCAAATCTCATCTTGAATTGTAGCTCCCATAATCACCATGTATTGTGGGAGGGACCCATGGGAGGTAATTGAATTATGGGGGCTGTTTTTTCCTGTGCTGTTCTCGAAAGTGAGTAAGTTTTATGAGACCTGATGGTTTTATAAAGGGCAGTTCCTCTGCACGTGCTCTCTTGCCTGCCACCATGTAAGATGTGCCTTTGCTCCTCCTTTGCCTTCCACCATGATTGTGAGGCCTCCCCAGCCATGTGGAACTGTGAGTCCATTAAACCTCTTTTTCTTTATAAATCACCCAGTCTCAAGTATGTCTTTATTAGCAGCATGAGAATGGACTAATACAATGCCCTTTGATTTCTATTGCCAATAGAATGTGACAGATACTCTTTTTCTAATCTTTGTTTTAAACTGTGATTGCACTCCATCATATAGACGGATCTTGTTTTTCACTTTGGCTTATTATTTAGTTGCACAAGGAAACAACCTTTGTTCTCACAGTGGCATCTTGGATAACATGTCTTATCTAGTATTCTTTCTAAAAATGTTTAACCTAATCGAATCATGAGGAAATAATCTTTTCCTTACATCCAGATTGTGAAGCATTCTATAAGAAAAGTTACCTGAACTCTTCAAATATGTCAGTCATGAAAGAAAGAAAAAAAAAGTCAAGGAAATTGTCTGAGCTCATAGGAGTCTACAAACACATGTCAAACCATAGAAATGTGTAATCCATAATTGGATCTAGGATGAGGTAAAGGTAGGGAAGAATATTAAAATGGAAACAATTTGGAAATTTGAATATAGACTATTAGGCAATATTAATGTTAAATTTCTTGGTGTGATAATGGTATTATATTTAAGTAGGAGACTGTTTTTATTTTTAGGAGATACATGCTAAAATATTTAGGGATGATGTGTTATGACCCTGCAGCTTATTTTCATATGGTTAAAAGAGAAAAAGCAAATGTGGGAAAACATTAACAGTTGGTAAATATAAGTAAACAGTATATGGATATTCATTTTAATAATATATAACTTTGCTTGTTAGGCTTAAAATTTCTTTTCTTTTCTTTTTTTTTTTTTTTTTTGAGACGGAGTCTCCCTCTGTCGCCCAGGCTGGAGTCCAGCGGCGCGATATCGGCTCACTGCAAGCTCCGCCGCCTTCCGGGTTCACGCCATTCTCCTGCCTCAGCCTCCTGAGTAGCTGGGACTACAGGCACCCGCCACCACGCCCGGCTAATTTTTTTTTTGTATTTTTAGTAGAGACGGGGCTTCGCCGTGTTAGCCAGGATGGTCTCCATCTCCTGACCTCGTGATCCACCCGCCTCAGTCTCCCAAAGTGCTGGGATTACAGGCATAAGCCACTGTGCCCCACCGGCTTAAAATTTCTTAAAACATTGGGGGAAATACAATTTTAGGTGATATTCTAAAGCTCATTGTGCCTATTGTTATTTTTTTCCTTTTCTCTTTTGGAACCTGGAGAATGTAAAAGAACTTTTCTTATGAAGCTGTATGCTTAAAATTTGTGCCGTTTTCTGTAGTTACGTTATACGTTAATACATAATTTAATGAAAAAAGCCTGGGCTCAGAATCATGCTACCATTTACAGGAGAAAAAATATGTACTAATTTTTAAGATGTATTATTTATAAATACTACTTTGTTTCATGCAGTGGTCCTTATTATTCAAAGGAAAGAATCAGGAACCAGGATACAGTTGTTAAAAGGAAGAGCCAGAAACAGGGATATAAAGAAATAATTAGAAAAAACTTAATGATATATATTTATGAAAGAAGATGCAGCAAAGGGAATCAGTCACAGCATGAAGAAAGGAGATGTCCTAGTGATTCAGGGCTAAGTTGTTACATATAAAATAGATGTCATATATGTTATATATAGTTGTTATAATTACATACAATGCAATAGATGTCCCCTTAGTTATCTTAAGTAAGTATCTATGGCTTTCTTTATTTCTCTCCCATAAAATAAGTCTGAAGGTAGGTAGTCTAGGGATGATCTAATACAAATAATGGAAAACTATAATAGAATATTTGTTATTTTCTGGCATTGTTCTCAGAACTGTGAAATGAAAAGAAATCCTGGGGTCCCCAAATCACTAAGCTAAAGGGAAAAGTCAAGCTGGGAACTGCTCAGGGCAAACCTGCCTTGCATTCTATTCAAAGTCAGCCCTCTGCTCACTGAGATAAATGCATATCTGATTGCCTTCTTTGGAAAGGCGAATCAGAAACTCAAAAGAATGCAACTGTTTGTCTCTTATTTATTATGACCTGGAAGCCCCCTCCCCGCTATGCGTTGTCCCACCTTTGCTTCCAGTTGTCCTGCCTTTCTGGACTAAACCAATGTTCATCTTACATATGTTGTTTGATGTCTCATGTCTTCCTAAAATGTCTAAAACCAAACTGTACTCTGACCACCTAGACCACATGTCATCAGGGCCTCTTGAAGCTGTGTCATGGGTGCGTCCTCAACCTTGGCAAAATAAACTTTCTTTTTTTTTTTTGAGATGGAGTCTCGCTCTGTGGCCCAGGCTGGAGTGCAGTGGCGTGATCTTGGCTCACTGCAAGCTCCGCCTCCCGGGTTCACGCCATTCTCCTGCCTCAGCCTCCCAAGTAGCTGGGACTACAGGCGCCCGCCACTACACCCAGCTAATTTTTTTTTGTATTTTTAGTAGTGATGGGGTTTCACCGTGTTAGCCAGGATGGTCTCGATCTCCTGACCTCGTGATCTGCCTGCCACGGCCTCCCAAAGTGCTGGGATTACAGGCATGAGCCACCACACCAGGCCTTTAAACTTTATAAATTAACTGAGGCCTGCCTCAGATATTCAGGGTTCACAGCACTTTATATCCTATGAAGTGGATAGTTATCCCGATTTCACAGGTGAAAAAATAGAAAAACTGAATAATCTGCTCAAAGTTGTACAGATAGGAAATAACAGAATTAGGGTTTGAAGTTGGGCAGTACAGCAACGGATTACCACTGATGTGGTGTTTTCATGGTCACAGAGCACCAGACTGCTTCTGACTTTCTGCTCTGCCATTCCTGATCATGTCTTCCATATTCAGGTTGCCTCATTGACTAAGATGGTTGCTTGAGCACCAGCTACCACATCAACCTTCCAGGAAGAAGGAAAGTAACAAAACAGCTTTTTCTATTTGTCTACCACCACTTAAAGGAGGCTTTCTAGAAATCTCTCTCCGTGACTTCCACTTATGTCTCAATTTCTCAAACTTAATCACATAATTTTACCTAACTATACAGAAGGTTGGTGGCTGTAGTCTTTTAATTGGGCACATTCTCTGTCTGAATAATACAGAAGTGCTATTAGCAAGGAGGAAGTGAGAGTGAATGTTGGGTAGGGCCTACATCTCTTTTGGTTAAAGAATAAAGGATGTCACACATAAGAGTGGAAATTAATCATATGATTATGTTGTCTCAGATTTTTGAAATGTAAATAGGATATCTAAGGAAGAAAAGTTTAAATGTAGCCCACATTCCTGTTCAGAGTATTGAATTCAGAGGACTGTTAGTGTTTTCTTCTGGATAATGTTCTGCTGAAAGCATTATGCTTTGTACATCCTGTAGGATTATTTATAATAGTGAATAATTGAAACAGTTGCAATAGTTGAGTGGTTATATGATGCACCAATATCATGAAATACTACATAGCCATTGAGAATTAAGCATGTTACATATATAATCAAATTAGGAAAACCACTTATAAATGAAAGCAGGATGTACAGCTGTACTTAAAATATGTTTGCAACTGTGTAATAATATGTATAGAGCATAGATGAAAAGTAAATTCACCCAAATAAAATTGTAATTGTGGTGTTTGAGAGGTGGGATTATATGTGACTTTTAAATGTTTTTAAAATAGTTTTCTGAATTTTCTTTTACAAGTATGTTTCTTTCAAAATCAGAAAACATGAATTTCATTTCTAAGTGTTCTATGTACAGATTTTGGAGTACATCACTATGTCTTGCATTTCTGGTTTTTTCCTTTAAGTTATAGATAACCTTGAGTAAGGCTTGAGACAGAAACATAATCCATTCTAAGTCTATTAATAATAATAATGGGAAGAGAAAATATATAGCACATTTCATAAGTAAGTGGTTTTTCTGCCAATATCAATTTATTTATCATTAAGCCATTCTTAATATGAATGTTAATACTAAATATTCTCTTGCTGGAAAAGAGAGTCCCCCTAGGGCCTCAGGTACACTTACGTTTTGTTGGATGTGCCAAGACCACTCTTTAACCTATTTCTTAGAGTTATTTATTTAGCTGGGAACCTTGAGAGATAAGGTTTGTTCTCCCAGGACAAAGACCAGGCTCACTTACTATCTGCTGTAAAAATGGTGTATTCCCGAAGGATTTTATCAGCTGCAATGCAAACACACCATGTGTGCAGCATCCATCCTGTTGCGCCCATCATAAGACTGGAGGCCAGAGAGAATAGATGTAAATAAGCTGGTGCTCATGCTGCCTACTGTGCCATCAGTAATAAAGTCTTTGACTCTGATCCAGGAATTTCATGTCTTCTGCCAGTGTCTGTGAAACAGTAACAGGCTAACTTATTAGCTTGTAAGTGGAATCCAATCAAATCCCAGACCTGACATCTCTATGTTCTGAAAATATGAATTTCTGACAGTTATTTTTACTGAGGAAGTAGTTACAAGACATTTTGTAAGTATACCTACCAGTTGGTCTCCATCTCAACGATGGTCCCATCATTGGTTTTTGGCCTCTTAAAGATGGTGAGTCTCTACAATATTGTACTTCATATACACTCTTTATATCTTTAGTGTGACTCCTTCTTGCTAACTTTTTTTTGTGTGGCTTTTACTTATGTGTGTGTGTGTGTTTAAGTGAAGAAATACATCATCTCAGGTCGATTCTATATGGTTGTGCAGATTGGTGACTACACACACTTGCCCAGCTAAGGTGTGATTTGTGGCTGAGATACATACCAAACCATGTATCTTAGTGTGGGATTACCTCCACCTGAAAGAAGCAGCACTTTTTTTCTAGTTTGCATGAATTTACAATATCTCAGTAAGCCATGGGGATCCTGGGTGTGTATGCCTCTCATTTTCTTAAAGGCATCCTATAAACAAAGGCCCCGATGATTTCCTGCTTATTTATCTGTCTTTACCCACTGTGTCTGTATTCAGCCGTCTAACAGAGGCAATGAGTTGTGCTGATGAAAGAACTAATCAATTACACATCAGCTTCTTGGGTGTGCAGACAGTATCTTAGCCTCTGTAGTTTCTGAGGCCAAAGACAATTCATAAATGTTTCCACACTGGAGATGTGGAATACTTGATCAGGGGTGGTATAATATAGGCTTAGGGGTCAAGGGTAATTCGCTCGGCCTGGTCTTGTCATTTTCTATTATTCTTGGGAATTTGATCTATGTATGAACAAACTTTTGGAAACCTAAATGCCTCAAAAGTTTTGACTCAATGTTGACTGAAAACAGTAAGTTTCTGATTCTTACATTGAAGGTCATGTAACAAAAACCAATATGGAATGTCTTATCTGGAAAGATAAGTATCGAAATGCCTTTGATTATCTCTAAGTCTTTTTTTTTCAATTTATATATACCCAAGGATAAGATTTTCTTGAACTATGAAAACTTCAACTTTTTGCAGGACTGTAGACTTTACATGTCTACTATTCTGCTTGAAATTATGTTTTTCACTTAATTTTCTCTTTCCGAACTTTTGCTCTTAACTGCATTTCTTTTTCTGTCAAACCAGTGTTGCTCCTAATTACAAATTTAAATTACATCTGGTGCAGTTTGTACACACCAGGGGATATTGTTATGTAATACTTTTAGCCAGCCAAGATATTTTTGATAACTTCAACATAACATTTTTTCAGAGTACTTATTGATAAAAAGTTATAAAAATTGTGCAAGAATGTACACACAAGATGCAGTTGTGTAACTCGAGAGACCTCGCAAGGAAAACTTTTTTTTTTTTTTTTGAGACGGAGTCTTGCTCTGTCGCCCAGGCGGGAGTGCAGTGGCGCAATCTCGGCTCACTGCAAGCTCCGCCTCCCTGGTTCACGCCATTCTCCTGCCTCAGCCTCCCAAGTAGCTGGAACTATAGGCGCCCACCACCACGCCCGGCTAATTTTTTTTGTATTTTTAGTAGAGACGGGGTTTCACCGTGTTAGCCAGGATGGTCTCAATCTCCTGACCTCGTGATCCGCCCGCCCTGGCCTCCCAAAGTGCTGGGATTACAGGCGTGAGCCACCGCGCCCGGCCAGGAAAACATTTCTTTTCTTTTTCTTTTTCTTTTTTTTTGAGACAGAGTTTCACTGTTATCGGCCAGGCTGGAGTGCAGTGGCATGATCGCAGCTCACTGCAACCTCTGCCCCCTGGGATCAAGCGATTCTCCTGCCTCAGCATCCCGAGTAGCTGGGATTACAGGCGTGTGCTATCACACCCGGCTAATTTTTGTATTTTTAGTAGAGACAGGGTTTTACCATGTTGGCCAGGCTGGTCTTGAACTCCTGACCTCAAGTGATCCACCCGCCTCAGCCCCCCAAAGTGCTGAGATTACAGGCATGAGCCACCGCGCTTGGCCAAACATTTCTTGAATATCTTTTTATTTTATGTTTCTTATGGTGCAGAAAAACATTTTATCTTGTCTGTTCTTTCATATATTCTCCCTCAGTATATCTCACGGATGTGCGCTGTTGGAAAGTGAAAATAATCTTACAAATTGAGATCTTTCATTAAATTTCAATGAGGTAATTAAGGAGACTCATTTTCAAATATATATATTTATTTCAGTGGCTTGAATGTTGCTTAATCAGGAAATGACAAGAATGCGAAATGTTGGTTGTTGGGCTTGTCTAGATTAGCAACTTTGAGAGTCAGGCTGTTGGAAGAGATAGCACATAGGTTAAAACAGCAAAGGCCTTTGCTGTGGGTACAAACTAATTGGCTGAAAACATTAATAAATTATACTTGCTCTTCATGTCAAGAGAAAGCTAAGAAAGAAGGGATGAATATTTGTATCTACTAAGGCATTACACTCTGACACATGATATTAAAAAATAAAAAGCATATCCTTTGACTTAAGCTCTTCTTCTTATATTAAGAAATAGAAATAGAAGCTAAGTTCCTTACCATTTACTTGGCAATGCTTTCTTGGGACTATTATAACATGTTTCAGATTTGGCATTTTCAGTCAATAAAATATTGCTGAGAAGGTTGCTGAGCAATTCACATAAAATTTACATAAAACGTTTATTACTGGGACCACTGCCTGGGTTTATGCTAAAATGCTTTCAGTAAAAACCCTCTAAATTCAGAGCTAATTCTTTCCCTTTATTTTATGTTTCTCTATTAGGTACCTGTAAGCTACACACATTGGCCATAGATTGACTGAAGTCCTATTCTTAAGATGGAAGATTCTAGTATGATGTCGGACTTAAAAACTTAACCAGATTAGATATTGTAGAATACAATCTTTTACAAATGAGTTGATTTTTCTCTCCAAACCTTTTGCAAAATTTCCGTAAGAGAGACTCATGGACTTGGAAAATTCTCTGTGAAGCTGCTTTTGGCAAAGTCCTGGCAAAGAAACACTTTTGCTATTTCAGATCCTATTCTTTAAGCCTCAACTTACTATTCTTATTTCGTGCTATTCAGTTTTTTACTCTTCTGAGGTCTCTATGAATCTCCACTGTTTTGGATCTCTGAGTACTTACATCATTCCCACTTTAAGACTTGTTTGGGTATTCTTTTTTAATTTATTTTTTATTTATTTATTTTTGTTTTTTTCCCCATCCAGAACTCATGTTGAGTGGTTGGATATTCTCGTGGGGTGCTTTTGTGGTTTCTTGACTTGTTCCTAACTAAAGTGTAAGTTCTGTTAAAGTGATTAGTATCCCTGTTCTGGAATCTCCCCTCACTCTCTACAAGCCCCTAATACAATAAATCCATAATAAGTGCCCAGTTAAGTAGGTTGCATTGTTTGGAAGTCTATCAAGGGACTAAAGTTAAAGGATGGTCATATTTTATGCTTTGCACATTGAGTTGAAAAGTTAGCTGCAGACAGAAAACTGATCTAAGTCAAAAGTCTTAGACTGGAGTCTCATCAGTGTTGCTCAATTGACCTGGTGATCTTTGGCCTGAGATTCAACCTCTGTGTCTTTACCAGTGATTTATGAATACCTAAGTTTTCTTTTATCCCAAATGTTCTAAGATAGCTTGATTGCTCTATAGTAGTGGTTTTCCAAGTGTGGTACCTAGATCAAGAACAGCATCATCTTGGAACTTGTTAAAAATGTAAGTTATTTGACCCAGTCGCAGGCTACTGAATTAGAAACTCTCAAGCTCGCGGACAAGCCCTCCTGGTGATTATGATGCACGATAAAGGCTGAGAACTACTGATCTGGAGTATAGTCAAATTTGTGGTATAGAGAGAAGCTCTATACCACAATGTTAGCAGACATTGAAGATTGTGTAGCAATTTCATGATTGGCATTTACGTCTCGTATCTGATGTTTCAGCTTTCAGTCTCTGTAGCATGGCTCACCATTGCATCATATTCAAGTTTCCAGGGACTACCCACGGGATTGTAGCTTCCAAGCTCCTAAAAAGTACTGGCAATTCAGAAGTGAAAAATGTTTCTTAGGGTGTACAAAGAATGTGCAATGGACAAGGGATTAATTGCCAGTGGCAGTCTCCTAATTTTGTATTCATAACGTTGTATGCATGCTAGGCTACACATGCAACGTCTGCTGATATACATTAAGTAATTGGGCATCCAGCAGCCCCATTTGCATGCAAAGGCTGTTGCACACCTCACATTTACAAGTCTAAAATTAAAGCCCAGTTTGAAGCTGGCTGAAGGCTAGCTGCTAGAAAAATAATGAGATAAGGAAGGAAATGGCTTCTGTTGATCAGTGCTTTTGGCCTCTACAGTTCAATCTTTGCTAATTTGCCCTTTGAAATTGTGTATTCAGGTAGAAGAGAGAGACTTCCAAGAGTATCTGGGTGGGGTTTTTTCCCTCCCTCTTAAATCCTACAGTTAGAAGCTGGTTGTGTTTATCCACAGCATTTCTCTTAAAACTGTACCTACATGTATGCTGCAGTCTGTTGCTGTGCTATATTATTGCTTAATGGAGTATTCATGTTCTTGTGGGATCACGTGCATCATCTCAAAAAAGAGCCACCCCCACACAGACTCACAGGCTGGGTCTGTAGCATCATTTTGTTTTAATTCAGCCCACATTTATCAAGCAGCCAATGTCTTTGTGCCAGACACTGTGCCAGGGGCTTGGAATACACATCAATCAAGCACACTCTCTGCCCTCAAAAGCTCACAATATTTTAACAGCTTCCTAGTGTCACAGAGGTGAATATTTTTCTTAAAAAGTCTTCCCTGATCCGCCTGGTTGAAATGACTCCTTGCTTCTCCGAGCCCCTGATTATGCTCAACCTGTGTCCCTAGGAGAAGAAGAGACCAGTGGACATAGGCCTAGAAAAGTCAAAGCCTAAAAGCCAGTTAGTTACTCAGATCATCAAGAGGAGGTGGCTGCATTGCAAATGGCCTCTAGGATCAGTCTGTGGGAACAGAAAATGTACCAATGTTTCCTGTACCCCGGTGTGGTCACACAGAAGAGAATGCCAATCTAAAGCCATCTTAAAGGAATTTACTCACAAGCACCACCTAGAGGAACGGTGGAGCCCTACAAGGACAGTACACCAACTAGTCACTTGTCACTCATCGAATGCTTTATATTTTCATATTTGGCCATGTCCTTTGTTTTACTTTGACATCAAGATTGTGAGGTCCCAGAGAACAGATCAGGGTCTTAAGAAGATTATCTTTCATAGTGCCTATTTGATGGTAATGATCATAAATACAGTATAATAGAAGGAAAAATATCTGGTGGCTTATATGCATTGGTAGTTTCTCATGGTAATAAGCATTTTTTTTTCTCTTCCTTTTAGCACAAGTGCATACACCTTGATAGCACCAAATATAAACCGGAGAAATGAGATACAAAGAAGTATGTATAGTCATTCATTTAACATTCAGAATGCTTCTCTCTTTTTACAATTGGTTTGTTTTGGTGTGAAGTATTTTTATTTTCTCATTTATATAGACTCACCAAATCTCATCAAGGTTTTTTGTTTTTTTTAGTTTTGATTATACCTTTAAAAATATTCTACTATTAACACTTCTAAGTTTGTTTCTCTACGTTAGTAACAGAACTCATGACATGATGGTAGATCCTGGATTTCTGTTGGCTTGAACAACTTTACACTTATTGCCAATAAACCTCCTTGAGGGTAGGGACCACATCTTACTCGTTTTTGTGCTCTCTGTACTTAATGCGTACATAACATGTTTAATTGATGTACAGTAAATATAAATGCTGCCATTTAAAGTTATAGCATTATCCTTTAGAGGTGGAAGAGAACTAAAGTTCATTTAGTTCACAAAGAAATTGTAGGCTTGCTCAAGTCCAGCTGTGGGGCTATGCTGAAATTCGATGGTCTCCTTTATTACATGATTGGTAGGAAATTTAACTTCATGACTAATGATGGACAGAAAGGCACAAAAGGGAAAAAGCTCTCTAAAGAGTCTCCACCGGACATGTAGCTCCGGGTGGGACAGCGGGTCAGTGCAGAATATGACAATCACAGCCATGCAGGGACTATGGGAACTGCCAGCAGTTCTGGTATCTTACAAGCTTTTGATTTAAATACTTAATAGGAGATTAAGTCTCAATGTGGTCTGGATTTCGAAATGTTTCAGAATTTGTTTTTCTAGTAATGGACATTTGAAACAGGTCTCATGAGGAGATAAGGGGAGGCGCTGGAGTGACAGAACTAATTTCTCTCTGGCGCCCCCTGCTGTCGTGCAGAGTGAACATTTAGGAAATGAGCCCTGCTCCCCAGGAAGCCGACTCTGCACAGTGGTCTGGAGTGCCTGAAACCAGAGCAAGGGTCTCCACCTGTAGCACCGAGCCCTCATTCCCTAGAGTCGCAGTAAGCTTGGGAGCATTGAAGATAAAGCGAGTATGGGCATCAGAATTCTCTGGGGATATGTTTACCTATGTGTGGAAAGTTCTTATTGACGTGAAAATATTCTAGTTTTGCACACATTTTCTATAGGTAACTTTAAAAATTAACTTGATATAGAGTTTTAAAAATGCCAGAATGGTAGGAAAATCTATACTTCTTTTAGTAGGAGCCCAGGTGGTTTTTCAAATTCGAACCCTCTGTGCTGACTCTTGGTGAGAATGTGCCACAGGGCCGGGCCCAGGATGACCTGTACGGGTCAGGGCTGAATATTGTGTTTCTAACCTGGAAGCCTTGTTCACTCATGCTCACATATAGTTAATTGCCTTCTAATAGTTGTTTCTTATGCTTTGAAGGGACTGGTTTTCTTTTAGAAGTCTAATAATTGACGATTTGATATTTCTCGCCTGGCTTAGTTGCGGAGCAGGAGCTGGCCAACCTGGAGAAGTGGAAGGAGCAGAACAGAGCTAAACCGGTTCACCTGGTGCCCAGACGGCTAGGTAAGCAAGCACAGCCGCTGCCGGAATGAGGGAGGGCGGGGCCACCTATGGATCCTGTAAGCAGCTTGCATATGTCTGTCTGTGAATGTCCATTGTAGTTTGTTTGGTCATTGTGCTGCTTGGGTGGAATGCATTTAATTGTGTGTGTGTGTGTGTGTGTGTGTGTGTGTGTATTTTTTTTTTTTTCTGATTTTCTGCAAGTAGCAAACCTGTAATGCCAGAGTTCTATGGGAACACAGTGATGGCTTAATTGCCAAATAATTTAGAGCCTCTTAGATGATTGACTCTGAAAAAGCTTACCTGGGGCGCTGCATATGCCCTGTCATAGCACTAGTCAGGATGGGAGTAAATGCTGGCACAAGCATATTAATCATGGCAGTTAAATGTTAATCTGAAGAAAAGGAGTGGAGAGTCAGTTCCAAGAGGGAGATGAGAGTGAGCTGGAAACCCGGTGGTGGGTATAAGAGAAACATCACCTGTGTTTTTATTCTACAGATAGAGACCTCTGGGCCTCTGGAGCAGGTGCTGCCAGTGTGATGAATTGTCTGGGCCGCCTTTGCCGGTGTTTGAATCATTCAGAAGGGATGCCACCTAATGGGAATCATTCACATCTTTTCTTTGCTTTTTCTCTTCTATCAGCAGCCGAAAATTTAAAGGGTTGGACACACAGTGTCCACAGATTTAGTTAATACAAGCATGTCTTGTGTCAGGGGCCACTTACGGTTGTGATAGTTTTAGAGAAGTTCCCTCCCCACACCCTGCCCCCCCACCAAGAACATAGGTAAAAATAATCTAATTTGGAAATTATTTAATGGGAGGAAGTAATAGTAATATTATCATCATCCCACTGTATTTCGTGAAAAGGGCTAATCTCAAGTGCCTCCTTTGTGCAAATGAGCCAGACTCGAAGGGTACAATCAGAAAACAGCTTTAATCTTTCCTAGCTTGGCCCCTGAGATTGGCTATGTGAGAACAGTCTTTCTCAGGCTTTTTGGATGATGTAAGAAATTAAAGCTTTTTGGTCTCTTTCAAACAGTAGAGTGACCTAGCTAATTCTAGGCCTAAAACAGTCTCATTTCAGTAATTAATGTTCAGTCTTAGGTACTGATCAAAATTCTGTTACTAATGGAGATGAGAGCTTCTCCCCTGCTCTAACCCAGGCCTGTTTCAGGTAGGAATCCAGCAAGTAGAACAGGGTGTGGCTGGACTTTTCTCTATTCATGGCTCTGTTCCCAGATTCTGACCTTTCTGGGATTGAAGGGGGAAGTGGAGGGAGATAAGAGAGTTCGGGGTTCGTAATGCAGTGATCCTTGTTTCTTTGAGCCTAGGTTTACACTGACTGCTCGTTCTTCTTCCTGGGAATCTTCGAGTTTTTCAGCATCCCCCACTCTCTGCTACCCATCTCCCACCTGGATTTCCCTGATACAGACGATTTCCTCTCCTGTCGGCAGGGCTTGGCCTCACTGTTGGCTCTTGGTAGACTCCTTTTAGGGTTCCATTGTTCTTGACATGGCCCTCATAGGCAAGTCCCTTTAGATGGCTTTAGGTTGGCATTCTCTTTCATGAGAATCACATTAAAAGTACAGGAAATACTTGTGCATTCTTTCTTTTCATAAACTGTGAATGTGGGCCATTTGTAATGTAGCTACCTCTTCTTGAGGACTCATCTCAGTGGCCAATGGACAACAGCCTTATACCTTTAGGCTCTAACTGTTCTAGGCATGAATCCAATAAGACCCTCAGACTCTTAAAAATGCAGGTTGAGGTCTCCAGCTGATTTTCTTTTTTTTTTTTTTTTTTTTTTAATTTATTTTTTTATTGATAATTCTTGGGTGTTTCTCACAGAGGGGGATTTGGCAGGGTCATGGGACAATAGTGGAGGGAAGGTCAGCAGATAAACAAGTGAACAAAGGTCTCTGGTTTTCCTAGGCAGAGGACCCTGCGGCCTTCCGCAGTGTTTGTGTCCCTGATTACTTGAGATTAGGGATTGGTGATGACTCTTAACGAGCATGCTGCCTTCAAGCATCTGTTTAACAAAGCACATCTTGCACCGCCCTTAATCCATTTAACCCTGAGTGGACACAGCACATGTTTCAGGGAGCACAGGGTTGGGGGTAAGGTCACAGATCAACAGGATTCCCAAGGCAGAGGAATTTTTCTTAGTGCAGAACAAAATGAAAAGTCTCCCATGTCTACTTCTTTCTACACAGACACGGCAACCATCCGATTTCTCAATCTTTTCCCCACCTTTCCCGCCTTTCTATTCCACAAAGCCGCCATTGTCATCCTGGCCCGTTCTCAATGAGCTGTTGGGCACACCTCCCAGACGGGGTGGTGGCCGGGCGGAGGCGCCCCTCACCTCCCGGACGGGGCGGCTGGCCGGGCGGGGGGCTGACCCCCCCACCTCCCTCCCGGCCGGGGTGGCTGCCGGGCGGAGACGCTCCTTACTTCCCAGATGGGGTGGCTGCCGGGCGGAGAGGCTCCTCACTTCTCAGACGGGGCAGCTGCCGGGCGGAGGGGCTCCTCACTTCTCAGACGGGGCGGTTGCCAGGCAGAGGGTCTCCTCACTTCTCAGACGGGGCGGCCGGGCAGAGACGCTCCTCACCTCCCAGACGGGGTCTCGGCCGGGCAGAGGCGCTCCTCACATCCCAGATGGGGCGGCGGGGCAGAGGCGCTCCCCACATTTCAGACGATGGGCGGCCGGGCAGAGACGCTCCTCACTTCCTAAATGTGATGGCGGCTGGGAAGAGGCGCTCCTCACTTCCTAGATGGGATGGCGGCCGGGCGGAGATGCTCCTCACTTTCCAGACTGGGCAGCCAGGCAGAGGGGCTCCTCACATCCCAGACGATGGGCGGCCAGGCAGAGACACTCCTCACTTCCCAGACGGGGTGGCGGCCGGGCAGAGGCTGCAATCTCGGCACTTTGGGAGGCCAAGGCAGGCGGCTGGGAGGCGTAGGTTGTAGCGAGCCGAGATCACGCCACTGCACTCCAGCCTGGGCACCATTGAGCACTGAGTGAACGAGACTCCGTCTGCAATCCCGGCACCTCGGGAGGCCGAGGTTGGCGGATCACTCGCGGTTAGGGGCTGGAGACCGGCCCGGCCAACACAGCGAAACCCCGTCTCCACCAAAACCAGTCAGGCGTGGCGGCGCGTGCCTGCAATTGCAGGCATTCGGCAGACTGAGGCAGGAGAATCAGGCAGGGAGGTTGCAGTGAGCCGAGATGGCAGCAGTACAGTCCAGCTTCGGCTCCGCATGAGAGGGAGACCGTGGGGAGAGGGAGACGAGGGAGAGGGAGAGGGAGAGGGAGAGGGAGAGGGAGAGGAGGGAGAGGGAGAGGGAGACGAGGGAGAGGGAGACGAGGGAGAGGGAGAGGGAGAGGGAGAGGGAGAGGGAGAGGGAGAGGGAGAGGGACAGGGACTCCAGCTGATTTTCATTAAACTTCTCCTGCTCATCTGGTGTGAAGATTTCTCCTTCCTCAAAACACAGAAGACATAGAATTCAGAATGACATCTTTCCTCAGATTTCTGCCTCCCTTTGACCTAACCAACCTCTTTTATAGGCTGAAGTTAGTTAAGGTTCCCCAAGGTAGGTTTCAGTTACCTCCTTGCAGATCCTGCTTTGAGGGGCCATTACCTCCCTTTGGAATTTGAAGCGCTCGGCATCTGTTGTCTTGAAGCCTTAGCAGAAAATGAGCAGGATTCTCATTTTGACTTCCTGTTATATGCATTATCTAGGGTTAGTCAGGTATGTGTGTGTGGGAGGGACTTGGGGGTAGAAAAGAAAATTCTAGAATGTATTAAACTTTGAGATGAGTTTTGAACAAAACTTGTAAATGCTTAGACATCTGGCTCTCTCCATTTCTTCTAATTTTCAACTCCTCCTCTATTTCTCTACCCCTTACAATATTGGAATGGTTGCAGGAGATACTAAAAGTTGCTGTAACATTAGAGAAAAATGTCAACATTCCTTACTGTTTTGAAAGAAACATCCCCCATCCCCCACAATAGCAGTCAAAGGGCCAACACCAAACAGGCCTTATATATCTTTCAGATCTCAGAAGAAAAGTCCCTATGGTATCTTTCTCAGTTCAATTATAAGATTTATAGTGAACACAAATTGTTTTAATGCATCTTCTGTGAGAGTGAATCTTTCAGAGAGCTGACACTTTTAGTGACCAAAGCACCAGAGAATTATTTCAAAGGAATCTTTATAATACGCACACCAAGCTTGCATAAACACTGAGAATTCCCTAAATGGTAATTCTTAGATGATTGTCAAGCTGCCAGGATTTCTGGCCCCAAATTCTTTTAGGTTTAAGAGAGAGCAAGTAAATAATCTAACATCCATATTTTTATTTTGACTATATAAGGAAAGAACAATAAATAGTATGGATTGATGATCAGTTACTAACTAGAATATTCCCATTGTATTTTTAGAAACTGGGTTATAAAGACTACATGCTTGTCTAGTGGCAAGACCTCTGAGAGCCTCCTGAGCCTTGCTGCTTGAATATAAGGCAATAGAGTTAGAAGAAGAAAAGCAATAGAAGCACCTTTGATCACCATCTTTACTAGGTTCGGGCATGGTCATATTCAAGCAGGAGGAATATTCTACAGTTTCCAAGACAGGCACTATTTCTTCTGTTTAGCACAGACCTTTAGGTATGATTTCAATCCAAGTGAAAACTTTAATACCTACATGATTGAAAAACCTTAGTAAAAGTGCTCTTTTGTTTTAAAAATATGGTCTCCTCTTTCTATCCAGCTCTTTCTTCTAAGTGATTCCCCTTCTTTAAGGTCTTCTTGGAAAACTGGTTATGTTCTTATTTGCAAGAGCATGAGAATGTTAAGGGAACTCATGTTATAGATTTATTATATATTAATTAGTCCTCGATGGCTGACATTTCAGCTTAATATTTATGTTTCACCTTCATGGATTTTTTTTTCCTAAGGTGGAAGCCAGTCAGAAACTGAAGTCAGACAGAAACAACAACTCCAGCTGATGCAATCTAAATACAAGCAAAAGGTCAGAATTCATCTCTTTTAGTTGAATTTTGGTAAGGAATATGAGTACCAGCTCTTACAAGTAACTGTGAAATAACACAGTAACTTTACCAAAAGTATAAAACCTTCCAACCAGTTGCAAAAGGCAGCTTTCAGAATCAAAGCTCTCAGGAAGTGAGAAGTGAAGAGATGGATACCTTCAATTCCTACCTAAGCCCTTTATCACTCAGCATGACCCTCGATTAAGGGAATTATTTTTTTCATTTAAGTTAACTATGTTTAACTATAGTTTAAAGTCTACTATGTTTGGAATGTTTTGGTTCTAAGAATATGGATTTGTTTACTGCATGGCAGTCATGGAAGTAGTACAAAAAATATTTAAGATTCCCAGCGATTTTTACAATGAACACTGAGTTTTGTAATCAGGAAAAATTATTTTCCCTTTTCCCTCCCCAATACACACACACACCACACACACATACACACAGAGAGAGACAGAGATAGACAAAGACAGAGACGTTGAAAAAGAGACAGACCAAGGAAGAAACACAAAGACAGAAATTTCACGGGCAGAAGACGTAGCCCGGCCATTCTCTGTGATCTAAGTAGCTTGAAGTAACAACCTATAATCATGGTGAGGTATAGCACAAACAATACTGTAATTTGCCTTTCATCATAATTTTGTGTTCCAGAGTTCAGACTGAAAAATGGTAACTGTTTTTGTTCTCTGTAATTTCAATACAATTTAGCTAAAAAGAGAAGAATCTGTAAGAATCAAGAAGGAAGCTGAAGAAGCTGAACTCCAAAAAATGAAGGCAATTCAGAGAGAGAAGGTAAGGAGGAGGAGGATTAGTTCACATTTGCTGATCAACAATTATAGTTTCGTTGTAGAAGATTTTTATTATAGTAACTTTAAAAATTTATCCATCTTTCTCTCTCTCTCTCTTTCTATTCCCCACTCTTCTTTTCCTCATCCAGTTTTTTTCCTTCCATTTTATCCTTCAAAGGAAGATTCATGCTTAGGTCTTGTGATTCTAGAGGAGGCACTCTCTTTACGGAGCATAGCCTGTATTTCAGGTAGAACAAAGACAATTGTTAAGTCATCACCAGGAACAGGGTGAAGAGGCTTGCAGACCCTTAATAATTATTGTATTGCAACCTCTTGTCCTAAAGATCATTTATTCGTTGTCATTTAATACCCATCATTGGCTGGCGTGTGGGTCATTTACAGCTAATTTCTTCATGGGTCAATAATGTACGCTATTCATAAATGTTTGTGGTTGAAACTGTTTCCTTTCTTTTTTTTTTGAGACGGGGTCTCACTCTGTTGCACAGGCTGGAGTGCAGTGGTGTGATCACAGCTCACTGCAGCCTCAGTCTCCTGGGGTCAGGCAGTCCTCCCACCTCAGCCTCCTGAGTAGCTGGGACTACAGGTTAACACCACTATAGCTATTTTTTTTTTTTTTTTGTATTTTTTGTAGAGACAGGGAGGGTTTCACCATGTTGCCAAGGCTGGTCTCGAACTCTTGGGCTCAAGGGATCCACCTGCCTTGGCCTCCCAAAGTGCTGGGATTACAGGAATGAGCCACCATGCCTGGCCTAAACTGTTTAAACATTGTCTAAAAGTAGTGTTTTTCCCTTTCCTAATATGATAACTGTAATTCTGTTGGCATAAATTTGCCAGGATGTGAGAGATGGGGAGAGAGAGTTGATCTGTAGACCCTTCCCATTGAAAATATGGCCCTTGAACAAGCACCATTGGCATCATCTGGGAGTTTGTTAGAAGAGCAGAATCTTGAGCCCTACCTCAGACCTACCGAATCAGAATCTGCATTTTAACAAGCTCCCCAGGTAATTCCTGTGCACATAAAAGCTCGAGGAGCATAAATTTAAATGACCTTGCAAAAGAAGGGGTGACCCATCCTTGTTCTTCCACAGATGTGATTTCTCTGGCTGATTGGCCTGCACTGTCACCATGATCCTAGCCTTCCCTGTTGTAGATAAATCTGTAGCTTTTCATGTTAAATGTGAGCCTAGTTAGTAGCTTGTGTCAGATAAGAAAAATGAACATTAGCCATCTAGAAATGACATATTTCACATTGCCAGTGTGGAAATGGCCGAGGGAAGTGATAATGGCTGTGCTTATGGAGCACTTATATTTTAAAATGCACAGCAAACACACACATGGACATCAGCCTGCAAACACGCTGCCCTCCTCCCCAGGCAAATGGCTGCTGCCCAGTAAACTCTGAGCCAAGTAGAATCCAAGCAGCCTATTGCCACCCAAGAGCCTCTAGCCTTGTCTCTGGTCTTCCCCCACTGGCTGCTGGTCCCCTTCTGCCCTTCATTTCCTTCTCTCCCAAAAGAAGTCAGGGGACACTGGGTCTCATTCTGATTGGTCGTCATCTCTGTGTGCAGCATTTAGTGAGGGAAGAATAGACTGGATTCCTTGCCAGCATTTGTGCATGTTCTTTGATCCTTAATAGACAGACAGGTGTGAAAGTCAACCAGCTCTTTAGTATCCAGTCATGTCAGTGGGGCCCAGGAAGAGTTAATCCTATGGGTACAAAGGGAAATTTGGAGACAGCACTGGTATACTTGAGTTGTATTCAGTTCAGGAATGTAACTTGCATTCCCTAGACTAGAGTCTGTCACAGTATATATACTTCTAGTGATGTTCTGTAGCTTCCTTGTACTGCCTTGTACTGTGGGAATTGTCACATTTTCAGGATTTTTTTGAGCTACTTGGCTTCATCATTGTCAGTTTGAAACCGACTGTGGTGGAAAATATTTACGATGTGGAAATCAGTAAATGCTACAGATTAATTTCCCCTCCTGCTCCTACCTGCTAGACCTGATTAAATGTTGACCAGCACACCACTGCTTAGCACTAAATGAAAAAGGTATTTTCTTACCCTCCCCTACCACCCATATTCTAAAGCCAAACCTCAGAGGGCTAGGGAGAGTAAAGATTTGGGGAAATAGCTGGCCTATTGTGTGTATGATATTTATTGATTTAAAAATAGATTATAATTCATGTAGTGGGCAGAATAATGCTCCACCCCAAGATGTCCACGTTTTATCCCTGGAACCTAGGAACATGTTTCCTTACATGGGTAAGGGGATTAAGGTCACAGGTGGAATTAGGGTTGCTAATCAACTGACCTTAAAATAGAGAGCGTATCCTGCAATATCCAGGTGCCCAATATAATCACAGAGGTCCTTAAAATTGGGAGAGGGAGATAGAGAATGAAGAGATGATACCAGGAGAAAGACTCAGCCCACCACTGCTGGCTTTGAAGATGTAGGAAGGGGCCATTAGCCCAGGAATGTGGGTAGCCTCTAGAAGCTGGAAAAGACCAGGAAACTGATTATTTCCCTTTGAGCCTCCAGAAGGAACACAGCCTTTCTGGCACCTTGATTTTAGCCCATTGATACCCGTTTTGTACTTCTGACCTCCAGAGCTGTAAGATAATAAATTTGTATTGTTTTAAGCTGTTAACTTTGTGGTAATTTATTATACCAGCAATAGGAAACTAATACTACTCATGTGGTTTTATAATGATGCATTAATTTCTTTTCCAAGAAATCTATAAAGCAGAGACAACGTCTCTAAGACATTAGAGCATTAGAGTAAAAAAGCAGTCTACCAGATGCAAGTGTTTTGCCACTGGTTCTTTCAGTATAAATAGACAGGTTTTCCTAACTCCCCACAGCAAGCATTTCACCCAAATTTAGTGCTATGGGAGTAAATCACATTTTCCCCCCATAATCACATGATAAATAATAATTTTATTTTCCCAGACTTTCATAATACCCACAAACCTAAAATATGAAAATCTTCTAACTCCATTTTAAAGACTCTCTCAATTTCCTGGGTTCATCTTATTCTGCCTTCGATCTACATATGTTTGAGATAATATACGGTATTATATAGTTTCCAGATACAGCCATCCTTTAGATATGGGAGATTGGTTGCTGCCTCCCCCTCCCCCCACAACACAATGGATACCAAAATCCTATATAAAATGGAGTAGTATTTGCAATAGCATATGTACATCCTTTGTATGCTTTAAGTCATCTCTAGATTATTTATAATACCTAATATGATGTAAATGTTGTGTAAATAGTTGTTATACTATATTGTTTAGGGAATAATGACAAGAAAATAGTCTTACATATTCAGTATAGATGCAACCGTCTATTCCTCATCCCCTGAATATTTTCCATCGGAAGTTGGTTGAGTCAGCAGATATGGAACTCACAGATAAGGAGGACCAACTATACTTCATTTGATTCCCCAACCTCTTGGTATCATAACCTCAGAGAATTCAGGAAACCAGCTAAAGATCTGAGTGGCTTCCAACACCTTTCCTTGCTCTTTCCAGTAAGCCATGGCTGTGAAAGTCATTTGAAGCACTGGAAGTCACAGTGTTTCATGCAGACACTGAGAAGCACAGTTAGTTTTAATGCTATACGGTGAAGTAGGAACTAACTGGTAGAAAATAAGTTATGCATATTAGATGCAGAGCTGCATACAGGTACATGTTAAGGGATCACACTTGTTGCTTTCTTATTTCTAGGAAGCAAGTAGTAGCAAGGGCTAACAGTTTAAGAACAATTTTAGGGGTAAACTCAACATTGAGGAAGTTATTTCAATGTTGTTTATATAAATTGGGAAACATTTCCATTTCTGAAAACTTTCAGGGAACATCAGTGTTTCCAAGAAATGTGGCTCCTACATCATGCATTTCTTTGTGGATGACTTGGTGGAAGCATTAAGCCTTTGGTTATTGAAATGTAATAGGATCTCGCTAATTAACCCCATAATGTGGTAATGTTAGTATCTCTAAAATAAACATGTGGTACTAAGAGTGTAGGCTGATAGCTTTTCTGTGCTTCACTTACCTTATTTGTAAAATGGGTATAATAATGTAATAGTGAGACTGGTAGGACTAGAGGATGCAATATATACACAGCCCTTAGTACAATACCTAGCACTTGGTAAGCACTCAGTAAAGTACCCTAACCTAATTATAAATGTAAAGAAGTGCTTTAACACTATCTCGTTGGAATCTATTATATCAACCTCTTGGAAGGGGGGCGTAGAGAGTATTATTATTTTTATGCATGAATTGGATGGGTTCAATTATTTCATTTCTACTAAACCCACATGAATGAAGTTGCTGGAGAGAAAAACATATGTGACTTTTGTTTTTTCTTTTGCCACACTACATTTCTGAGATTTGATCTCAGCTGGGTCTTTCACAATGCCCAATGCCCAGCATTTTTTTTCTTTGCATTGTAACTGGGAACCAAACCCAATTACCAAAATCCTTGCTGGCTTTATGTTCTTATGCTCTCCTTTCATTTGCAGCACGTGACCTTGTCTCTCACTTCATAGGAAATAAAGGTTGCCAGCCTTAAGTATCTTTATTTTTCTCTTTTCTTACTCTCCCTTTGCTGCACCTACCCCCATCCTATCTCAGGAGGAATCAGAAAGTCCTTTTCCTCATTGGTACCATGGATTCTTCCATATGTGTTCACCATTTCATCTTCCCTCCGGTCTCCCCAGGGACCTTGCTTCTCTATCAGTTAAGCTCCCTTTCTCCTCTCACTTTCTTGTTTTGTTGTTTGTTTTGTTTTTGTTTTTCTTTCTCAGGATTTAATCTTACTCAAATCTCTCACCTTAAAAACAAATTTTCCATATAGTGGTCTGCTTTCAACTCCTCTGTCCCAAGCATTATGGTTCGAACTTCTTGAAAGACTCCTCTACCATATTTGGTTCCCAAATGTCAGTCTGTGGACAATCACCTGAACCAAAGAATCTCTATTTAAAAAAAAAAATGTTCCCCAGGAGATGTGTGGATCAGCTAGCTTAAGAACTTACCTTCTCTGATTCCTTTCCTTCTCTGATTCCTCATTTGTTGGTGGGCTGAATTTGGCTTTTGTTTCTAATGCTTCTCTGGTTCTAATCTACCTAAGATCACCAACGGTGTTCTTAACTGAAAAATCCAGCTGGGCGGAGTGATTCATGCCTGTAATCCCAGGACACTGGGAGGCCAAGAAGGAAAGATTGCTTGAGCCCAGGGCTTTGAGACCAGTCTGGGCAAGATGGTGAAACCCCAGCTCTTAAAAAGAAAGAAAGAAAAGATCCCAGTAAAGATTCTTAAATTCCTCACTTATTTTTGCTCTGTGTAAAATTAAATATTAAGGCTGGGTATGGTGGCTCATGCCTGCAATCCCAGCACTTTGGGAGCTAAGGCGGGCCAATTGCTTGATCCCAGGAGTTCAAGAGCAGCCTGGGAAACATGGTGAGACCCCATCTCTACAAAAACACATATATTAGCCAGGTGTGGTGGTACGTACCTGTAATCCCAGTTACTCAGGAGGCTGAGGCATGAGGATCACTTGAACCTGGGAGGCAGAGGTTGCAGTGAGCCCAGATGGCACCACTGCACTGCAGCCTGGGTGACAGAGCAAGACCTTGTCTCAAATAAATAAATACATAAATAAAATTAAAATTTAAAATTAACTATTAAGTACTCTGTCCTTCAAATTCCACCTCCTGAATGTCTCTGGGATCCTTTCCTTGTACTTGTTTTTCCACTATTGATGCTTACCAGATCCCATCCCGTGGTCTCCTCTGATACTGCTGGGCCTAGGCCCCCTCTCCTTAGATGAAAAATTCCACATTTAAGGATCTAGTTATTGTTTGTACTGATTTCTGCAGTCCATATCTTCAGGCCAGACCATATTTCTAAATTCCAGAACCATATATTTTGCTGCATGCTTGATATTTCTCCCTAAATATTCCACAAGTATACCTCAAATCCAATAAATTCAAAATTGAACTCATATGTTCATTCTGGTGCTCTTAAATGATAGTAATCTTAGACTCTTCCTCCTTTTCTTACTCATCCCATATCCCTATCATCATGCTTCCTATTATTTCTGTCCTTTAAGTTTTTCTGAAGACTGTCCTTTCTTCTTTCTTCCCTGTACCTGCTGACTTAACTTGGGGCTTGTAATTTATGGCCTAGATTACTGTGAGAATCACCCCAGGGGTTCTCGTGTATTTGTGGCCCTTGCTGCAGTTTAACCTCCATGTTGCTATAAGAGTGAGCCACTTCCTTTCCTGCTTAATATAATGGCTTACTGTTGGGTTTCATAAAGTCCAAACTCCTTTACTTGGCACATACATTCCTATATAATTATTCCTTCTTACTTTCTCATCCTTATCTTCTACTCCTTTCTCTATAAACGTTGTTCAATTTATCCATGAGCTTCTTGGGTTTCCTTGAGCTAACATATTCTCTTGTACCTTTGTATATTAAAAACGTTAAGTTCTGGGAATGCCCCTTTCCTGTCCAGGGTTACTACCAGCCCATGGTTGCCTTTGTGCAAATTAGAGACCAATTCTCCATCCAGGCGGTCAATTCTGTGGGTGCTCAGACTGGTGATAGATAGTGCCTTTGTGAGACACAGAAAAAGACACCTCCTCTGCGCTAAAGCAGCCACAAGCTGCAGTACAAATCTTGGTGAGCTGAACACTGGCTCTATTTTTCCTTTCCTACTCCCCTCCTGCCTGCTGGGACCCCATGGGCTGAACAACCCATATAATGGAGTGTAGTAACCCTGTTCCTACCTTCTCCTCCTCCTGAAACACTCTTGCTTAAGATTGGGTTGGATATAGAATTTCTCTCTCTCATTAGAGCCATGGTATTTATCCTTTTATTTGGTCATCAGCTCTTTGGGGAATATGAAGAAAGCTGTGAGTCCACTCTCCATAGAAAGAAGCACCCTCATAACATGCAGCTTACCCAAAGTTAGAAACCACATTCCCAGTGTTATTCCGCTTCTTGGCTCTCGTGCTCAGGATGGAGTCTAACATTAAGTAGGCATTGAGTTACTGTGGAACTTTTGAGAGCATTTCCTGACAATCCATATAAGTGCTTTTTCTGCATTCTTACTGTTATTTGCAAACTGCTGTCCCCTAATGTGTTTAGCATACTGCCATCATTTCTTTTTTGTCTGTGTCCCCAACGAGGCTGTAACATTTTCCAGAATGGGCACTTCTCTGTTCGTAGCTGTATTCCCAGCATCTAACATGGTACCGAGCATATAACAGGCATTTGATATGAATAGGGATTGAATACAATTTTTCAACTACTCCAGAAATACTACTACTACTACTTCCCCCCCCCCCCAAATACTTCTTCATCAACTATCAACTTCTGCTGAGGCATAAACAAACATTTTTTGTTTTTTTTTGTTTTTCTTCTGAGATGGAGTTTCACTCTTGTCGCCCAGGCTGGAGTGCAATGGCACGATCTTGACTCATTGCAACCTCTGCCTCCCGAGTTCAAGCGATTCTCCTACCTCAGCCTCCCGAGTAGCTTGGACTACAGGTGCCTGCCACCACCACTGGCTAATTTTTAAATTTTTAGTAGAGATGAGATTTCACCATGTTGGCCAGACTGGTCTTGAACTCCTGACCTCAGATGATCCGCCCGCCTCGGCCTCCCAAAGATCTGGGATTACAGGCGTGAGTCACCGCGTCCTGCCATAAACAGACTTTTGTTGGATAAAATTTAGCTACTGTATGACTGTTTGTGAGTTGGAATCTATTAGTGAAAAGGTTAAAATCAGTGGTCTCAATTTCTAACCTTGCTAAAGGGATCCAGCCTTTTGTCTCTAGCTGTTTTTGGCTTTCTCACTGTTCTCTGAGTAGCATTCTGAATACTGGTTTAATCAACACTTACTGCTCGCTTGCTGTCTTTCACCCTTTTAGATCCACCACGACCCCCCAGTCCCCACCCTGGAGGGCAGGGAACTCATCACAATTGAACACTTTTGTGCTCATCAGTCAGGATTTTTTCCTAGACTAGAATCATGTTTATTTGGTTTTACAATTTTCCATTAGTTTGCCTCCTAGAATTCTGTGTTTCATTAATAATCCAGTTGCTTGCCTTATAATTGATTTTCTTTGACTGTAGTAAATTTCCTTTAGTTTTTTTCTGAAACTGAAATCATCATCCATTTTGCCTTTCAAAATGGGACTAGTAATTAGTTTTGAGTGAATGAAGACTTTCATGGAAATGAACAATACAAGCAGTTTCTTCATTTCTTTGAAAGATGGAACCAGACTTATGTTTGGGCTTGAAAGTGATGATTTCCAATATTCTCCTTTCACTGGTCCTCTTCTGGGCAAATCCAATTTTTATTAAAGCAACCCCAGCTCCTTACTGTCTCTCTTGGATTCATTTAAAACTTCATGATCCTCCTGGATAGTAGAATGTGTTTCAACTCTCCATTAAATTTGTTGTCTAGGAATTTTACTTGTTTTTCATAGGTCATAGCAAGTTAAAAAATGACAGTGTGTCATGGTGAGCAAAAAGCAAACATTCCTGGGTTATTTAAATTGGATTAAAATATGCCAGAGCCATGGTGACAGTAATATCAAATATGAAGGCCTTTATCTCCAGGCTCTCCAAACAGCTAATTAAAAAAAAGAACTATTTTCTATTCAAGTGGATGGCTTTTTTTATGACATGTGCTATTCAGTCCCTCAACAGCTTTAAGTATCTGATACTAAGTCAGAAGGGAGTTGGGTTGTCTTACTGAAAATCTCTTCTCAAATACTTTAGTAGAATTTGAGTGTATGTATAAATTTTGTATGAGCTGTTTAACCATTTATTATAATTTTAATTTAACATACTTGGTATGGAAATTTCATGTTTTCATTAAAACATTTTGAAAGCACTGCTTAAAAAATAAATGTTGCTATCATTTGAACTAAAGAATAAAAACGCAAAATGCTGGTTCTGTGATTATACCAATCAAGTTGGGAGAGGGGAGCTGTGGAAAGAACTTGGAGCTCCTGGCTTTCAGTGCAGTGCCCATGGGTCTGACAGGGAGTACCATCTTGGAGCCTCTAGCAGGATACTGTATTAGACTATCAAGGCCAGTTGAACCTTAGGATTTTGGACCTTGGGTAACTTTAACATCATGACTCTGCTTAAAGCATCTTTAATAAGTTATGTTTTGATATTTGCAATTTCAGAGCAATAAACTGGAGGAGAAAAAAAGACTTCAAGAAAACCTTAGAAGAGAAGCATTTAGAGAGCATCAGCAATAGTAAGTTAATGTTTTCAGAACTTCGTGCCTTTATAGGCAGATTGTTCATAGAGGTTTTAAATTCAGGTGATGCTAACTTGTCAAAACACCTGGTATTGGATTATTGGCTGTTGTATTAATTATGTAATTGAACTCTTTCACCATGTAAGTAAGGTGGGAGAGACATGTCTACTCACCAAAGTATCCTTTAGTAGTCAATAACACTAAATTTGAGAAATTCCCCATTATAAATAACTTGGAAGACTTGATCCTTTGGTGATCCAAGGTACTTCTGCTCATGTTGACGTCCAGGATACCAATATAAGGAATAGGGTGTTTGCACTGAAGTGCCTAAGCAGCGTCTAAACTGACCAGGGATTTATCTGATGGACTGAGGACCACTATACACTTGTGTTTTTTTCTAGACAAGAATTGAGAAATCATTTAGTAGTTATTGGCAAAAGTCTCAACTGGTGGTCATACACCAAGGTAATTTGCAGTATGATTTGTGAACAACAGCAGCTAACAGATACAGGGCAACTACTACATGCTTTATAACGTAATCTACTTTGTTATGTAGGCTTTAAGGATAAGCTCATGTCCTTTCTGGCCCTACATTAATTCTAAATGTGGTAGAAATAGAACCAAGCAGATCTGGGTTCAAAGTCCTAGCTCTCACTAAAACTCTTTGAATGTCAGTGTTTTTTTTTTTTTTTTCTTAAATACAGATAATATCTATCTTATAGGCCATTTGCAAGAATTAAATAAAATATGTAAATGACATAAAAGTGCCTGACTATTACAGGCACTTGAAATGATCCTTCTTACAGAGATCCTTATTGAATAGGATCATATAACTTTTATTTTATGGAGGCTGTACACAAATTTCTGGTCCCACCAGAACCAGTAATGGGCCCTCCACTTTCATATGAAATATTCACTGCCTGCCGCCTGTTCTCTCACTCCATTGTTGTTCCTTGTTTGCAGAATTTAAGATCACTCAGATGTTGGGGTGAGCATATTTGTGACAGCCTCCAACATATTCCCCCTCTAAGCACAGTATCTTCTGATTTCTCATGCCACTAAAATTATCCTGCCTCTATCATAAGCAGCTCCTTCTTGCTTTAAGATTCAGAGGCAGGAATGGAAGAGACGTTTCTCAACCCTCTGCTTTGCTCCTTAGCAAGTTAGGTACTGTGTTTCTGCTACCCAGGCCAGAAAATAGATGGGAGATGGTATGGGGTAGGATGAAAGTGTTGGTAAGTGATGTCATCCTCCTTAGCTAAAAGGAGCATCACTCTCATTTTCATCACAGAATCCTTAGCCTGTCTGTCCCAACTCTTCTTCTAAAGAAGGCATTTGAGTGAGGAGCTGGTGGGAAGCTAAGGAGCTAAGTACCAGGAGAAACTGTCTGTCTTGCAGAGAGATATGGTGGGAGGGAGGCACCAGATGAAGACTGTGAATGTATCATTGCCTCTCCTTTCATGGGTAGAGAATGAATGAGAATTTATTTTGAGGCTCAGCCGGAAGAGTTGAGAGAGATTAGGGGCTGGGCTGGTGGCTTTGTGTCTGGAGTTGGTTCCTTCTGGTGGGCTCTTGGACTCGCTCACTTCAAGAATGAAGCCATGGACCTTTGCGGTGAGTGTTACAGCTCTTAAAGGTGGCACAGACCCAAAGAGTGAGCAGCAGCAAGATTTATTGTGGAGAGCGAAAGAACAAAGCTTTCACAGCATGGAAGGGGACCCAAACAGGTTGCCGCTGCTGGCTGGGGTGGCCAGCTTTTATTGCCTTATTTGTCTGCGCCCACATCCCGTTGATCGGTCCATTTTATAGAGTGCTGATTGGTCCATTTTACAGAGTGCTGATTGGTCCATTTTACAAACCTCTAGCTAGTCACAGAGCGCTGATTGGTGCATTTTTACAGAGCACTGATTGGTGCATTTTACAAACCTCTTGCTAGCCACAGAGCACTGATTGGTGCGTTTTACAATCCTAGCTACGGAGTGCTGATTGGTGCATTTTACAATCCTCTTGTAAGACAGAAAAGTTCTCCAAGTCCCCACCTGGCCCAGAAGTCCAGCTGGCTTCACCTCTCAACTTTAGTAGCCTAGAGTCACAAATGAGAACAAATGTCATTGTCTTGTGGCATACTAGTTTTACATTGGAAGAGGGAAGACCTACTTAACAGTGAGGGGCCTTGGGCACAGGACTGGATAGTTGAATGGGTTCATTCTCTGGAGAGTTCTAAATATGGCAAAGTAAAGGGTAAGAGATTCTTGAAGTTTTAAAAGACATTAGAAGCTGTGCGTCCAACCTCCTTTCTTTTATAGTTCCAGCTTCTTGAGTTTGTGTTTTACTAAATACAGAAGATCAATCACCCTTTTTCTATAAAGAAAAAAGAAGTTTGCCCTCAGCCACCTGGCCTGCTATCAGTGGAGCTGAATTCAATTACACACACATTTCACTCTTGCTCTTTCTTCTGCTTATTGTAAAAGTCCCAGTTAACCAGGAAAAACAGAGTTTGGCTAAAATTGAGAAGTATCTCAAATTGATTTTTAAAGCCTATTGAGAAACACAAGAAGAGGTATATGTGTGAGGTTCTTCTTTGAAAGAGTATTATGTTTTGAATTACTTTTGAAATTAAAAGACCAATAACTCATGAAATAAGCAGTGAGTATGTAGTTAGAAATATAAAAGAGACTTATAAAAGATGGATCGTCTATATGACAAGTTTTTGTCATACCTCCTTAGAATCAGTGTATGGTGGAAAAAATGTCTAGGAAAGTGCTTTGGATTTTTTTTCTTTTTTTTGGAAATGGAGTCTTGCTCTGTTGCTCAGGCTGGAGTGCAATGGCTTGGTCTTGGCTCACTGTAACCTCCGCCTCCTGGGTTCAAGCGATTCTCCAGCCTCAGCCTCCCAAGTAGCTGGGATTACAGGTGAATGCCACCACACCCAATGAATTTTTATATTTTTAGTAGAGATAGGGTTTCACCATGTTGGCCAGGGTAGTCTCAAACTCCTGACCTCCAGTGATCCACCCGCCTTGACCTCCCAAAGCTCTGGGATTACAAGTGTGAGCCACTGCACCCAGCCACCTCTTTGGATTTTTAACAGCACAAAGGTTTTGCCAGACCAACCAGACTGCCTACCCCCACCTCCCAAATTAGATTCTCCTGAAACTGTTAAATGAAGGAACATAAAATAGAAACGTACATAAGAAATTCTTTCAAACCAGTCAATACTTTGCTAGTTTCACCATGCTGCAATGTGTGATTCATACAGCAAACCAGGAATGGTATTTTTTTTCTGTAGAGAGGACAACCATGGACTTGAGCGGACTATAAATCCAAGTTGCTGGAGAAAAAGCTCATGATAGCAACCTGGGGCACCACCATGAGAATCTTAATGTGCTCTTTCTTAACACCTTGTTCTTGACTTCGTTCATTTGCTTCTGATTATTTTTAGTGTTGTCAATTATTTAGCTAACAGGCAGAAAACTAGGCTTTTATTGACATCCAAAGGGACTCTCCTGAGTGTAATAATGAAGGCAGTTTATTGAATGCCTGTGAGGTTGCTTTCTAATTGTACGCATTAATCTGCCCGTGCAAGCTGGCTGAAAATACACAAGCAGATTGCACATGCAGATGGAGCACACAGGATGGTTTTTATGAAAAGACCTCTGGAATGTACTTTTGCAGTACTGTCTTTTCCCTAAAAATTGAATGACTGTGACTGTTTCAATGAGCGGCTGAGAGCAGAACAGATTAATGGTGCATTAAGTCTGCTACTCTGGCTAGGGACAGACTCCAATTTCATAATTTAGAATTCGTTTTAGGATTCTTGAGCCTGAAAACAGAGGGTAGAAATCGGCAGTTAGCCTTGGTCTAACTTTCAAGGTTATTTTTAGTCTCTGTAATTATTTACTACTTATAAAAATTCATGTGTGATACCTTTGGGTGGACTTTTCTATTAGATGGAAGACGTGAAGTAACAGTTGATAAGCCTTTTTTAAAAAACAATGATAGGATTTTATGATTTAGGTTGTTTAAAACATTGGGTAAAATAAATCTCAGCATTTAAAATTTTAATTGGTAATTTGTTGGTGGTGGGGGCGGGGTGTAGTCATCTTTCCAATTGTGTTTTTTTGGATGAGTGTTAAGAGAGGTTTGAATTTCAGCTAGGGTAGGAATGTGAGTGAAGCAGGACAGATTCATTTTGTGTGCGGGTATTAGGAAAAAGTGTTCTTTTAAGAATTTTCTCGAGATATAAGAATTGGCTACATTTTAAACATTAACAATTTAAAATTCATGTCTAACAGCCACTTGATGACCAAAAAAGAAAAGTCTCTCTTTTCTTTTCTTTTTTTTTTTTTTTTTGACATGGAGTCTTGTTCTGTTGCCCAGGCTGGAGTGCAGTGGCTCAATCTCAGCTCACTGCAACTGCTGCCTCCTGGGTTCAGGCGATTTCTCCCGCCTCAGCCTCCCCAGTAGCTGGGGCTATAGGCATGCAACACCATGCCCAGCTAATGTTTTGTACTTTTAGTAGAGGTGGGGTTTCACCATATTGGCCAGGCTGGTCTTGAACTCCTGACCTCATGTGATCCACCTGCCTCGGCCTCCCAAAGTGCTGGGATTACAGGCGTGAGCCACGTGCCTGGGCCAAAGCCTCTCTTTTCAACCCTTAAAGATAACAGATTCTCACTTATCTCTCCTTGATCTGGGGAAGACCTGGAAGGGGTAAGAGTGTCTCTACATATGCAAATTTTCCCCACAAAAGACAGCTTTACAGGGCCATTTCAAAATATGCCAAAGAAATATATTTTGGGGTAAAAAATTTTTATTTCCTTCAGGGTCTGCTATCTGTCGTGTGATGCTGTACTGGAGTCAGGTTGGAATTTGTTATCTTATTGCCACAAAGAGTCTGTTAGTGTTAGGGCAGTCTATGACGTCTATTTTAATGTGCTGGTTAGTTGTGCCTAAACTCCAAAAGGGAGGGGGCATTTAGAATTTGGAATTTAGTTTTTCTTTCTGGAATCCACTTGGCTACAAGGGAATCCATTAAGTCTGTTGGGGGGCTTGGGATTTTATCTCCTGTTTACACATTAAATGTAACAGATTATATATTCATATGGTTTTAAAATACAAAGTGCTTTGTTCTTTTAATCAAATAAAGTAATAAGAAGCTGCTATGAGACTGGGTGCTGTGGCTCACACCTGTAATCCCAGCACTTTGGGAGGCCAAGGTAGGTGGATTACCTGAGGTCAGCAGTTCAAGACCAGCTTGGGCAACATAGGGAGACCTCATCTCTACAAAAAATACAAAAATTTGCTGGGAGTGGTGGTGCATGCCTGTAGTCCCAGCTCCTTGGGAAGCTGAGGTGGGAGGATCTCTTAAGCCCAGGAATTTGAGGTTACAGTGAGCTATGGTCATGCCGCCACTGCACTCTAGCCTGAGCAACAGAACGAGACCTTGTCTCACCGAAAAAAACAAAAACAAAAAAAAAAACACAAAAAACAAACAAACAGCAAAAAAAAAAAAAAAACAACAAGCCACTCTGGAGTTCCTGCAGAGAGCTTGGTGAGAAGTGAAGCATGGCCACTTCCCCTATGGCCCTCCCAGGAAAGCTGGGGTCCAAGGACAAGCAAGCCTCTGCTCTGCAGGCACCTGGAGCCCTTGCCATGGCTGTGCACTGGCAGGGCCCAGGCCTTGATGCAGAGGAGGGCCCCTCTCTCCACTCCACCTCTTTGACCATCAGGCAGCTGCCTCTCTGAGCCCAGACCCAGCTGGCTGCTGGGCCTCCCGGCCTAACCCTGCCTGGCCTAGATGAAGCCTTCAGGATGCAGCCGCTTTGGGTGGCGCCGGTGTGCAGGGTGGGAAGCCTGGCAGCTGCGGGAACACCGTGGAGAGCGCTGTGGGGTGAGGCCTGGAAGGTGGGTCTGCAGACGGACCCAACTCCGCCACCTCTGTTGGCCTGAAACCCAGCAGGACCGGGGCCTGGGGTGACCACTCTGTCCCAGTTGGGTGAGGCCTGCCTCGTTATTGATGACAATGGACCAAGGCCTTAACGGTCCAGAAGGTGAGCAGAGCCCTGACGGATGAAACTGCTAGAAGCCACCAGGCGGGGTTGATCTCCCATCTATCATACCTTCATATCAGAAGAGAAACAGTAGGAGATAAGCCACATTTGGGCAACAGAAAGGCCCACTGGTCTTTGGAAAAATGTACAGGCCCTGTGTAGAAGATCTGTGTACGTCATAGGAAAAACTGCTCTCAACTGACCTCCCCAAGGTTTTAAAAGAGCACTTGCTACATCTAGCCCTTCTAGATGTAGATAGGTTTTGCCAAATTATGATAAAAGAGTCATAAAATCACACATCTTGCAAATGCTCACCTCTTAAAAAAAATCATATAAAATGTCTTCTGGGATGACTTTTTGAAATGGATTTGTGAGACCACCTCTGGAAGTGACATCAGGGATGACATGTCCACAATTGTTCAGTGGATAAGAGGACTTGGGGTGGAAGACCTGAGAAGGAGGAGAAGAAGGCTCCATGCTAGACTGATCATATTTAGGAGACATTTTCATATTTTAACCATCGCTTTGTGTGTGTATTTTATTCCTCACTACTGTATACATGGTTGGCAATACTAAGTACTTTTTTTTTGAAATGTCTGGGCTTTCTTCTAGATGTTCTGAAGTGCCTGATATGTGTTAAAAGTACAGGTAGTAAAATAACACATTTTGTGAATATCTTTTTGTTGAAATTCATATGAAATGTTGTTTTTAGTGGGGACTGGCCAAACCACCTCTTGAGTAATACAACATTGTGTTTCAGGGGAGGAGGGAGGAGGGGGAAGTGGAAAGAGTCTATGCCCGTGTGCCTGTAGTGAGGCAAGAGTAACTATTGTCCCTTACATCTGTGAGTAGTGTTTTACTTATCTGTGTTTATAGTGTATATAAAGCAGTGGTCCCCAACCTTTTTGGCACAGGGAACTGGCTTTGTGGAAGGCAATTTTTCCATGAATGGGGCAAGGGGGATGGTTTTGGGATGAAACTGTTCCACCTCAGATCATCAGGCATTAGTTGGATTCTCATAAGGAGCATGTAACCCAGATCCTTCACATGTGCAGTTCACAATAGGGTTTGTTCTCCTATGAGATTCTAATACCGCTGCTGTTCTGACAGGAGACGGTGCTCAGATATTCCTGACCTTCAAAATACATAGGGGTGGTGAGCACTGTAGAAACACAGGCTACCTGTGGAGAGGACTATTGGAGAGGGTGGGACAGACAGCTCAGAGAGAAAGACTTGGGCAGTTGACTTCTATTTCTTCCTACCAATATCTGGATTTTGCTAGAATAGGCAAAAGTAAAGAGAGGAAATGTGTCTGCTTTCTCTGGGATCAGCATATATGAATGACCTCCTCTTCCCAGACCCAACATGGATTAGTACCGTAATTAAACTTACTGTAGGGTAGGTGGGCTTTTGTGACCTCTCCTGGCTGCACTCTATTCCTACGTACAATTTCCAACATTGTTTCTAGGGGACAAGGGGCTCAGTTCTAAAAACCTCAGTTGGAAAAGCTCTTGGAACCAAGCGCATTCCAAAATAGGGTCTTCCTATTTCTAAATTGCCTTGCACCACCTTGAGCTCAGCCTGCCGATTGTAATATTGGAAAGTTTTCTTCATTTTTGCCATTGAAACCATGCATCTTCTTTACTTGCATTTGAATAATAGTGTGATTAGTTCCTATGGGGCACATCTTCATCTATTTTAGTCTCCTAGAGCTGAGAATCCAGGCAAGTCAGCTGAATATGCACACATAGGCACCAAGTTTGCCTTCCAATATGCTCACAAAACTTCTAATGCCCTTCATGGGAGCTTCTGAAAGACACTTAAGGGCTCAGTTGATCCCTTACCCATATGGTAGGCTTAAATCCAGCCTTGAATTTTATAATCCAGGTAAGGTGAATAGAAAGTCATCCTATTCATAACTTTCTATCTTATGCTAATAAAGTGAACTTATAGATACAAAAATCTCATATCTATTTTGTTCAGAATAAGACTGAACAGCTTATGAAAAATCTGGTCAGAGGAATTCCTACCTATTGAATGTAAAATTATGTTGATGGTTAGAACCATATCACAATCTCTACCCACTATCAATTCTCCCTGCAGATATCCTGGTGTATGCTACCTCATTTTCATTCCCACTGCCACTGCCCTGATGTCAGTATTATCACATGCCACTTGAATCATGGCCTGTGTCTTTTGTGATTTCTTGTCACCCCCTGGACTACTGCAGTGAGTTTGTTACTATCTTTGCAACCAGTCTCTTCATTGTCTTACATGTTTTGTCAAGTTTAGTTTTCTAAAACATAGCTTTAGTCATGTCACTCTACTGGTCAAACAGATTTGATTATCTCCTATTCCTACTGCCTATAAAATGAATTCCAGACTCCTTAGCCACACCGTGGGGAACCATGGGCCATCTTAGATGTCAGAAAGGACTTATAGCATTTGGGTCTGTGTCAGGTTGATGTGGTTTGGCTGTGTCCCCATCCAAATCTCATCTTGAATTGTAGCTCCCATAATTCCCATGTGTTGTGGGAGGGACCTGGCCGGAGGTAATTGAATCATGGGGGTGGGTCTTTCCCATTGCTGTTCTTGTGATACTGAATACATCTCATGAGATCTGGTGATTTTATAAAGGGCGGTTCCCCTGCACCCACTGTTTCTTGCCTGCCGCCGTGTAAGATGTGTCTTTGCTCCTCCTTCACTTTTCGCCACGATTGTGAGGCCTCCCCAGCCATGTGGAACTGTGAGTCAATTAAACCTCTTTTTCTTTGTAAGTTACCCAGTCTTGGGCATGTCTTTATTAGCAGTGTGAGAACAGACTAATACGTAGGTGATTTAGGGGAAGATTTAAGGAAGCAGAGCTTTGCTCTGAATTGGATCTTATCAGGAAGCAGGGGTAGGTCTATGATGAGGTGTCTTAATCAATTCTATCTAGAAGGAAGGAAGACCAGAGTGAGACTCATGCTGTAATTGATAAAGAAGCAGAAGTCACTCATATTAGCCATAATTTTGGGATCTTTGGTCACTATTATAGTTTCTACAAGGTCCATGTATTTTTCTGTGTTCAGACATGTTATAGAGTGATCTTGTTTTTGTTATGAGCTATTATAGTCACAGTGACCTCTTCTGATATTGACATTATGTAACATTGGTTACTTTCAACAGGAGAACACCAAGGCCTAGCTGTGAGTGCCAGGCCAGTTTTTTATTTTTATTTTTTATCATACTTTAATTTCTGGGATACATGTGAAGAACGCGCAGCTTTGTTACATAGGTATACACGTGCCACGGTGGTTTGCTGCACCCATCAATTCATCATCTACATTAGGTATTTCTCCTAATGCTATCCCTCCCCTAGCCCCCCACCCCATTACAGGCCCTGGTGTGTGATGTTCCCCTCCCTGTGTCCATGTGTTCTCGTTGTTCAACTCCCACTTATGAATGAGAACATGCAGTGTTTGGTTTTCTGTTCCTGTGTTAGTTTTCTGAGAACGATGGTTTCCAGCTTCATCCATGTCTCTGCAAAGGACATGAACTCATCCTTTTTTATGTCTGCATAGTATTCCATGGTGTATATGTGCCACATTTTCTTTATCCAGCCCAACATTGATGGGCATTTGGGTTGGTTCCAAGTCTTTGCTATTGTGAACAATGCTGCAATAAATATACGTGTGCATGTGCCTTTATAGTAGAATGATTTATAATCCTTTGGGTATATACCCGATAATGGGACTGCTGGGTCAAATGATATTGCTGTTTCTAGATCCTTGAGGAATTGCCACACTGTCTTCCACAATGGTTGAACCAATTTACACTCCCACCAACAGTGTAAAAGTGTTCCTATTTCTCCACATCCTCTCCAGCAACTGTTTTTTCCTGACTTTTTAATGATCGCCATTCTAACTGGCATGAGATGGTATCTCATTGTGATTTTGATTTGCATTTCTCTAATGACCAGTGATAGTGAGCTTTTTTTCATATGTTTGTTGGCTGCATAAATGTCTTCTTTTGAGAAGTGTCTGTTCATATGCTTTGCCCACTTTTTGATGAGGTTGTTTTTTTCTGGTAAATTTGTTTAAATTCTTTGTAGATTCTGGTTATTAGCCCTTTGTCAGGTGGATAGATTGCAACATTTTTCTCCCATTCTGTAGGTTGGCCAGGCCAGTTTTTGTCTTTCTCTGTATGCAATTAATAATTGGTAAAAAAATAAAAGTTGACTAGTTCCTTTTTTACAAAATAGTTTCACTTGGTTTTCTTATCACTGGAACCTAGTACCATCCATGTTCTCCTTTTGGGAGGGCAGGGGATCTGGGGGTTAGACTGCCTGAGTTTAAATTATAACATTTTTCCTCATTAATAGGACATTATTTAACCTCTTGGGGCCTCGTTTCCTCACATATAGCCTGGGGTAGGGGGTAACAATAACTGCTAACTCAGAAGAAGATTAACTGATACAATCCACATAAGAGATCCAGGATAGTGTTTGGAAAGAGACGCTGAATACAGTGTAACTCCAACAAGGACAGCAGAGGAAGAAGTGAAGGAAAGTGAGCAGCCAACTCCAGCCTTTACCCCCAACAATAGAGCCTGAGAACTCTTCTTGATGCATAAGATTCACTAAGAAGGCCCTGGGGCCCAGAAAGTGCTTCTGGTAAACATGCTATACCTGGGGGAATATGTGGTCCCCATTCTGGAGACAAGCCATCTGCATAGCCAACTTCATCACTTCTATGTGAGCTCTAAGAGCCGTATTTTAAAAATTACATGAAAATGAATGCTAGTCAAACAAGTAGTAAATCCAAGAAAGAGGAAGGCATAGATACCAGAACAATTGTGAACAAAGAAGACAGTGACATTTTTGGTCAAATATGTGCTTGTTTTTCTGTTTAAATAAGAATCAGGGCTGGGCGCGGTGGCTCACGCCTGTAATCCCAGCACTTTGGGAGGCCGAGGTGGGTGGATCATGAGGTCAGGAGATCGAGACCATCCTGGCTAACAAGGTGAAACCCCGTCTCTACTAAAAATACAAAAAATTAGCCGGGCGCGGTGGCGGGCGCCTGTAGTCCCAGCTACTCGGGAGGCTGAGGCAGGAGAATGGCGTGAACCCGGGAAGCGGAGCTTGCAGTGAGCCGAGATTGCGCCACTGCAGTCTGCAGTCCGGCCTGGGCGACAGAGCAAGACTCCGTCTCAAAAAAAAAAAAAAAAAAAAAAAAAAAAAAAAAAAAAAAAAGAATCAACAGGATCTAATTAAAATCATGGAGGATTTTAGCACTAGAAGAGGCACAAGGAAGAGACAGGGATATGAACTACAATAAGTTTTTTTCCTTTGTTGTATGAGTGAATGTTGGATATTGATATCAATTCCAGAGATTGATAGAAAAATAAATGTGCTTATTATATGTTTAATTATATGCTAATTATATGTACAAATTAGGATAAATAACACAAAAACATATAAGTATAATACAACAAATAAAAATTTGATCGTCAATTTCTGCCTTTACAATAAAAGGCAGAAAAGAAGGGGGAATTTTTCAATAAAAAGTAACAAGCAAAATATTAAGTCCAATAAGTCAGCATTCACAAAAAATGTATACAGGCTAAATTATCTTATTAGAATAAAAGCTCTTGGATTGCCTAGAAAAATACAAATCTAGCTATATTTGATTACAAAGAATATCTATAAATCGAGTTGAAAACAAAGTTATACACGTAAATGTTAACAAAAGCAGCAATATTAGTATGAGACAAATTGAATTCAAGGTGAAAAACATTCAACACAATAAAAGATATTTATGCAGATAAAATATATAATCCAAAGGAAAATGCAAGTCACAAATCTTTATCAAAATAGGTTTGAAATACATATGACAAAAACTATTTGTCTCTAATATAGACTATGGATTTGCCAAATTTTCCTTTTATTTAACTAATTCTCCATAGAAATTAACAGACCAAGTGAACCAAAAAACTCTGTAAAGAAAGGAGGATTTGAATAACAATGCTAAGCATAATTGTATAGACATAAAATGTACCCAATATATGAAAACACATATTCTTTATAAATACTGACTTTAAGAAGACTGACTAAAATCTACTACAAAATTGGCCATGTTCAAGGCCTCAAAGACTCTTGGTAACCTCCAAAAAAAAAACACCCCAAATCCTAGAAAGCCACAGTCCTTGAGAAAAATGGAGTAAAATTAGAAATTAAGCAATATGAAATTATAGTCTGTTTACTTAAAAAATTTTTTTTCTGTTTTTTTTTTTTTCCAGTGTCTTGCTCTGTCACCCAGGCTAGAGTACAGTGGCATGACCATGGTTTGCTGTAGCCTTGACCTCCTGGGCTTGAGCAATCATCCCACCTCAGCCTCCCACGTAGGGGGACTACACGTGTGCACCACTAGGCCCAGCTAATTTTTTAATTAAAAAATTTAAACTATCTTTAAAAATGACTATTGGGGAAAAATTAAAACCAAAACTGAAATTACTTTGAGATAAAAGACTAAAAACTTTAAAGCTGGTTGGAATAACAAACTGTTATTGGCATTGTAATCAATCTATGAATTGAATTATTGAATGCTATAGAGAATCTAAAGTAGACCCATGTTTATATAAAAATTCAGTATTTAGGACTTCAACTATGAATGAAAGTATTTCTTTCAAACCAATGTCAAAAGAATAGACAATTTGACAATTTGTATTGAATCAACACAATAAAAATGTAGTGAAGGATGATTTTATACTTTGAGGGTAGAAACTCCTTTTTAAGCAATATACAAATCTCAGAAGCCATAAAGAGAGACCATAGCTTTAAGTACGTAAAAATTTTAAAATCTATGATAGAAGATATAATGAAGAATGTTTTAAGTAAATAATAATCTAGGAAAAAATATTTGCCTCAAACATAATGGATAAAGGCTTAATTTCACAAAGAATGTTTATAGGATAATAAGAAAATAACAACTCAAAAATTGGCAAATTACTTGAACAAGCAGTTAAAAGAGGAAATAGGAATCAAAATATTCAGTTTCACTAATGATTAGATAAACACAAATATAGATTTTATTATTTCAGTGGCAAAAATATCAATGGATTGATAATACTTCACATTAGGAAAGGAGCTTTCATTTATTCAACAATGAGCATGATTCAGGTGTGGTAGCACGTGCCTGTAGTCCTGGCTACTTGGGAGGCTGAGGCAGGTGGATCACTTGAGCCAGGAGTTAGAGGCTGCAGTGAGTTATGATCACACCACTGCACTCCAGGCTGGGTGACACAGGGGAGACCCTGTCTCTTAAAAACCCCAAACAGAAAAATCCTCTAGACTGATAAGCACCGATAAATGTGTGTCAAGCACTATACTAGGTTCTAGGCATCTATTATGAATAAAGCAAATATGGCTCCATGAGCAAATGTGGAAAATAGACAAGCTGACAAAGAACTGTGTAGGATAACTGTGTAGGATTCGAACAATTCCTATGAAGGAACATAGTGTTAGAGGTAGGGTAAGAGAACATAATGGTACTAGGAAGGCAACACCTCCTTAGCATGATAGGTAGGACCCGACTTTCCAAGAAAATGACATTTGAACTGAAGATAAAAGGATGAGAAGGAACCAGCCATACTGAGAACCAGAAAGAAAGTTCTAGGCTGAGGCAATGGCATATAGGGTACTCAGCAACCTGAAAGGAAGCTGGTATGTTCGGGCTGAAGTGAAAAAAAGAGATGACGAAGTTGACAAGACAGGCAGGAGCTAGGCAGGTCAAGTGGACCACACAGGCCATGGCACAGAGTCTGCATGTTTTTCAAGCCACAGGGATAACCTGTAGAAAATTTTTATTTTTCAAAAAGAAATGACTACTCTAGTTGCTGTGTTGTGAATAGATTTGAGAAGGCAAGAGAATAAATGGAGAAACTACTAAAGATGTTACTGCAGTAGTCCAGATAAGAGTTGGTGGTGGCTCAGCTTAAGTGATGTCAGTGCAGAGAAAAGTACAGGCGTGCCTTGTTTTATTGCACTTTGCTTTATTGCACCTCACAGATATTTCATTTTTTAAAATTTTATAAATTATCAGTTTGTGGCAATCCTGTGTTGAGCAAGCCTATTGGTGCCATTTTCCCACTTTGTGTCATAGTGTCACATTTTGGTAATCTGTACAATATTTCAGACTTTTCGTTATAATTACATCTGATTTGGTGATCCATGATCAGTGATCTTTGTTGTTACTATTGTAATTGTTTTGGGGACCCACAAACCCTGCCCACAAATGACAGTGAATTTAATCAATAAATGTTGTGTGTGTTCTAACTGTTCCCCTGACTGGCTATTCCCCTGTCTATCTCTCTCTCCTCTTTGGATTTTCCTATTACCTGAGACACAACAATACTGAAATTAGGCCAATTAATAACCCTACAATGGCCCATAAGCATTCAAGTAAAAGGAAATATCACATGTCTCTCATTTTAAATCAAAAGCTAAAAATGACTAAGCTCTGTGCGGAGGCATGTTGAAAACCAAGATAGGACAAAAGCTAGACCTCTTGCATTAGTTAGCCAAGTTGTGAAGCAAAAGAAAAGTTCTCAAAGGAAATTAAAAATGCTACTCCAGTGAACATGTGAATGATACGAAGGCAAAATAGCTGTATTGCTAATATGAAGAAAGTTCAAGTGGTCTGGATAGAAGATCAGACCAGCCAAAACATTCCCTTAAGCCAAAGCCTAAGCTAGAGCAAGGCCCTAACACTGTTTAATTCTATGAAAGCTGAGAGAGATGAGGAAGCTGTAGAAGAAAAGTTAGAAACTAGCAGAGGTTGGTTCATGAGGTTTAAGGGAAGAAGCCAGCTCCATAATATAAACATGCAATGTGAAGTAGAAAGTGCTGATGTAGAAACTGCAAGATATCCAGAAGATCTAGTTAAGATCATTGATGAAGGTGTGTATACTAAACAACAGATTTTTTTTTTTTTTTTTTGAGACAGAGTCTTGCTCTGTCTCCCAGGCTGGAGTGCAGTGGCGCAATCTCAGCTCACTGCAACCTCCTCCTCCCAGGTTCGAGTGATTCTCCTGCCTCAGCCTCCTGAGTAGCTGGGATTACAGGCACCCACCACCATGCCTGGCCAATTTCTTGTATTTTTAGTAGAGATGGTGTTTCACCATGTTGGCCAGGCTTGTCTTGAACTCCTGACCTCAGGTGATCCGCCCACCTCAGCCTCCCAAAGTGCTGAGATTACAGGGGTGAGCCGCTGCACCCAGCCTAACAACAGATTTTTAATGTAGATGAAACGGCCTTCTATTGGAAGAAAATGCCATCTAGGACTTTCATAGCTAGACAGGAGAAGTCAATACCTACTTCTAAGGACAGGCTAACTTTTGTTAGGGGCTAATGCAGATGGTGACTTTAAGTTGAAGCCAATGTTCATTTGCCATTCTGAAAATCCTAGGGCCCTTAAAAAAATATGCTAAATTGTGTGTATGCTCTATGAATGGAACAACAAAGCCTAGATGACAGCACCTCTGTTTACATCATGGTTTACTGAATATTTTAAGCCCACTAATAAGACCTGCTTAGAAGAAAAGATTCCTTTCAAAATATTGCTGCTCATTGACAATGCACCTAATCACCCATGAAAACAACACTAATCTCCTTGTATATTTCCCAGGCATCTCAAAGTTAGCATATTTCAACTTAAACTTTTGATATTTTTCTTCCCAAACCTTGGTTCTAATACCTATTAGGATATTTGGCAGTATTTCTAAACCAAATATCAAAACCAAGAACCAAGGTTTGGGAAGAAAAATATCAAAAGTTCAAGGTCAAACATGCTAACTTTGAGATGCCTGGAAGATATACAAGGAAATTAATGTTTTCATGCTTGCTAACGCAGTCTCCATTCTGCAGCCTATGGATCAAGGAATAAATCTGATGTTCACATCTTATTATTTAAGAAATAGATTTTTAAAGGCTATAGATGGTGATTCTTCTGATTGATCTGGGCAAACTAAATTAAAAACCTTCTAGAAGGGATTTACCATTCTAGATGCCATCAAGAACACTTGTGATTCATGGGAGGAGGTCAAAATATCAACATTAACAGGAATATGGAAGAGGATGATCCCAGCCCTCATGGATGACATTGATGGACTCAAGACTTCAGTGGAGGAAGTCTTGCAGATGTGGAAATAGCAAGAGAACTAGAATTAGAAGTGGAGCCTGAAGATGTGACTGAATTGTTGCAATCTTATGATCAAACTTCAACGGATGAGGAGTTGCTTTTTATGGATGAGCAAAGAAAGGGATTTCTTAAGATGGGAACTACTCCTGCTGAAGTTGCTGTGAACATTGATTAAATGACTTGAAATTTAGAATATTGTATAAACCTAGCTGATAAAGTGGTGGCAGGGTTTAAGAGATTGACTTCCATTCTGAATGAAGTTCTACTATGGGTAAAAGGCTGTCAAACGGCATTGCATGCTACACACAAATCTTTCATGAAAGAAAGAGTCAATTGATGTGGCAAACTTCACTGTCTTATTTTAAGAAATTGCCACAGCAACTCTGGCCTTTAGCAACTACCACCCTGATTAGTCAGCAGGTTATCAACAAGAGCCTCCAGCAGCAAAAAGATTACAACTCACCAAAGGCTCAGATGTTAGCATTTTTTTTAGCAACAACGTGTATTTTTAAATTAAAGTGTACATTTTTCAAGACATAATGCTATTGCACACCTAAGAGACTACAATCTAGTGTAAACCCAACTTTTATATGAATGGAAAACAAAAAAATTTATGTGACTCACTTTATTGCAATATTTCATTTGCTTTTTTTGCAGTGGTCTGGAACCAAACTCACAATATCTCTGACGTATGACTATAACTACATATTGTATGTAAGTTCAATAGGACATATTGATATTGGGGATGAAGAAGGAGGAAGAATCAAGGATGACTCCCAAGTTTCTGACTTGAAGTACTGGAGGTGTAGTGATGCCATGTACTGAGATGGGGGCTACTAGGTGAAAACCAAGGTTTGGGAAGAAAAATATCAAGAGTTTAAGTTAAGTTTAAGTTTACATATTTAGAAAAATATCAAGAGTTTAAGTTTGAGATGGTTTGGATATATCAAATGGGCAGTTGTACACACGAATTTGGTCTCACTGAGCAGATATGTGGGAAATATAAATTTAGGAATTATATTAGCATGTAAATATAAAGCCATAAAAGTGGACAAAGTCACTTAAGATGAAATTGCAGGTTTGAGAAGAGGGCCCAGGACCAAATACAGAGGAGCTCTATCATGTAGAGTTCGGGTAGATACGAAAGGACATCCGAGAAGTCGGGCAAATTAAGAGTGTGGTATCATGGAAAACAGGACAGACATATTTCCGAAAGGAGAAATTAGTCAATTCCTTACTAGTGTTGAAAGTTCAAATGAGAGAAGGACCAGTGACAGTGGCTGTGATCTTGACATAAATGATTTGGGTATGATGATGGGGCTGGAGCTTGATTGAATTGGACTTACGAGTAAATGGAGATATGGGAATAGATTTGGCATTTATCAGTAACTCTTGAATAATTTGAAAATGAGAACAATGAAATGAGGCAGTAACTGGATGAGGCTGCGGAATCAAAAGTTTTCTTAAATTGATCATGTTTGTATGCTGATAGAAATGATCCAGGAGAGGAGGGGAAGACTAGACACAAGGGGATGACAGAAGAAATAAACTTGAGAAAGAATATATGAATAAGTTCCTGAGTATACATAACCAATGCTTAATGATTAGTCAATGATTAAAAGGAGAGTACTTCTCCTTTTATAATTGAGGAAGCAGTCTTTACATTTTTGTTAAAGGAAGATAGGTACAGATATAGGAAGACTTAAAAGATTTCGTGTTGAGAAGATGAAAGACTTATTTCTCTATTCTCAATGAAGTATGAGGAGATTGTCAGCTGAGAACTGAGAACAAACAAAAGGTACAGGAGAAGAATTCATGAGTGGGCCGGGCATGGTGGCTCACACCTCTAATCCCAGCACTTTGGGAGGCTGAGGCAGGTGGATCACTGAGGTCAGGAGTCTGAGACCAACCTGGGCAACATGGTGAAACCCTGTCTCTACTAAAAATACAAAAAATTAGCCAGATATGATGGCAGGTGCCTGTAATCCCAGCTACTCAGGAGGCTAAGGCAAGAGAATCACTTGAACCTGGGAGATGGAGTTTGCAGTGAGCCGAGATCACGCCGTTACACTCCAGCCTGGGCAACAAGAGCAAAACTCTGCCTCAAAAAAATAAAAAATAAAAAAAAGAATTTATGAGTGAAATGGAGTAGAAGAATTCGGTAGGATGAAGCTAGAGTTAATGGACTTCATTTGAAGCCAGTCTACTTTACCACTCCCTCCTCCTTCATACCTCCCATCCCCAAACACCAGATGTATTATTTTTCCCAAGTTTGATTTACTTGTTCTGGTGCAGACTCAGAGAAAGCAGATGGTTGACTTGATCTAGGTTTGAGATTTTTACAGACATATATGATGGAAGCAGGGAGAAGAGGAAGAAAGGCATTTGTAAGGGAAAGATTTAAAAAATGGACTATGGGCTCTAAGCTGCGCAAGAATTAAAATAGATGGGAGCTGATGGTTAGAAAGAGGTGGGGAATCAGTGGTTTAGAAATCCCAGAGAGACTGGAATGTTGTTATATTGATAGTACTTGAAAGAAGAACATGGAATGACAGAAAGCTGTATTCAGGAATGGAATTTGTCAGATAATTTGGAGAGAGGACATTTATTCATGACAACAATGTCCAGGGTATGGCCCTGGCAGTGTGGCTGAGGTGGAGTGAAGAAGAGCTACTGGAGACCAAGAAATCAAGAAACACAGCCTGTGGGGGGGCAGCACATAGGATATCCATGTTGACAGTAGTCAAGATAGGGAGGAAGGCTGAAGGTTTTTTCTTAAATAATAAATGCATACTATATTTAAAAGGCAGTGACACTTCTTCCATTCTTGTTTCTTCTTTCTCTCATTATTTGGAATGGCAGGTAGAAAGATCTCTCAAAGTTTGCTCCAGAGCCCATGGGAGTGAATGTTCTGGTAGATTTGGAGCTTTCCTGATGGGGGCCAGGCCATGAGGGGGCAATGCTGGCATGGGGCCCAGTCACCTCTGTACCACTCATTAGTAGTCTGGTTGATGGCAACCAGGTACAGAGCAAAGCACAGGTAGCTACCCAGGAGAAAGCTCAGGACCATTACAACGTCCCCCCAACCACAACCCCAGCATGAAGACAATTGTTAGAAAGGTCAGGAACAGGTACTAAATAAGAAAAATCAAGTCTATAAACTGGAAGTGTCCAAGGTCATCAGTGTAAGTCTAGTACAAATCCAACAATACCACCAAATCGACCAGAAACGCAGTGCTCACAATGGCCATGGCAGCAGCCAAAGCCGTCAACATCAAGAGGTAGATGAGAAAGTATTAATAACTGGCGTTCCAAGCCCAGATGCAGTTGTTCACCCAAACCTAACGATGGTCAAAACGGTGCACACACTGCAGTCAGTGCTTTGATCGAGCTGGTGTTCGTAACTCATAAGTAGAGCACCTCACCTCTTTAGAAACATCACTGAATTCATAAACTTGAAGAAATAATTCATTTGCTTTTCTTATAATGCCAGAATCAGTTACACAAGTTAGGGTGGAAATAAACGGGTTTACAATCAGAAGCAGACAGGGCAGAAGAAGGTAATACAGGAGAACTAGCTTTTGACGGTAGCCCAGTATTTCCCAGGTATATTCAGTATTTACCATTCCTTGCAAGACCAGGTGAAGGATAATGAAGGTATGGTTTCATGTATGGAAGAGGTAGTGAAGCAATCTTTACATGGCTTTCTGAAGACATTCTGGAATTATACAGGAAAATATCTGTGCCCCTGCCCTGACCAGGCATTTCAAATCATGAGTTTTCTAGCAAAAACAGGTCATAACATAACCAACTAGCACCAAAGCCAGTAGAGCAGGAAGAGAACCAGGAAGTCCATGCAGGGGGGTATTCCTCTTGTTTGGACAATTTTCAGCCAGCAGCTCTGGTGTTCCTCCTCCCAGCATTCACAGAGAATTCAAAGAGCAGCTCCGCTTGGGCAGCAGTGTGTGCCTGACATGACGAGTGGCACCCAAAGCTGCAGGACATGGTTCCTTCAGGAGGCTGGGTCTGGCACCAGCTTTGACCAACTGCCAATTACATGATACCCACACCTCCTGGGTGCACCAAAGGCTGAAATCTTAAACAAATGAGAGATGGTTGACCAGAAGGTTGAAGGATGACAATGGCAAAGAGGATGGTGTATTCTGTGTTGTGGGTACTACAGAAGCAAACATGTTTTGCAAATGATGGGGGAAGTAATGGTCTGGAAGTAGATTGGGAGCAAACAGGATGTCTGCTTCATTTTCAGGCACCAAGGAATATGTATATGGAAGTAAAATAGTTCCATTTCGGGGGGTTGTGGGAAGTACTGTTCTCAAGAGGTGGTCAGGTTTCAGACAATGTGGGAAAATGAGGCAGACTCTTTTTTTTTTTTTTTTTTTTACTTTTTATGTTGAAATAATTTCCAACTTAGAGAGAAGATACAAAAATAGTAGAAAAATAGTTTCCAATAAAATCTTCATCTAGCTAACATTAATATCTTATACAACCATAGTACAATGATCAAAATCAGAAAATTAACATTGGTACAATACTATTAATATAAACTACAGACCTTATTCATATTCCATCAGTTTCCCTCCAGTGCTCCTTTTCTATTTCAGGATCCAATTCAGGATCACATAAAACATCCAGTCATTATGATTCCTTAATTTCCTCCAATATGTGACAGTACCTCATTTTTTCCCTTCTCTTTCATGACCTTAACACATTCAGTGGGTAATGGATAGTTACTTTGTAGACTTCCCCCAGTTTGGGTTTGTTTGATGTTTTCTCATGAATAGCTTGAAGTTATAATTTCCAACAAGAAAATTACAGAAGTGATGCCATGTCCTTCTCAGTGCATCGCATCAGAGGGTACATGATGATCAGTATCCTTATCACTGGTGATATTTACTTGGATCATTTGGTAAGGTGGTCTCCACTGTTAAGTTATTGTTTTTCTCTTTATAATTGATGAATGTTTTGGGGGAGATATTTTAAGACTATACTAATATCCTGTTATCTGCAAACTTTTGCCCAGTGATTTTAGCCTATGTAAATTAATCTTGCCAACATTTTTTTTTTTTTTTACCTGGATGTTTGCCTAATGGTGATTTTGTATTTGAGGGAGACTTTCTGATATGAGGTTAAGAATCCTGAGTTGTTAACTCTTGGATAAAGATCGAGAGACTTTTGCCCCCTTGGAAAGGTTTGGAAGGCTAGAGGGAGGTGTGGGGGCTTAAGTGGTAGATATATGGGGCAGTGTGGGATTGAGAGACTGAGTCATATTGAGTGATAGGTGAGACTGGAACACTCGGTGGTGACCGAGATAAATAGGAATGTGTAAGACAGGATAGAATTAGTACTTACAGGAGGTTAGCCATGGTTCTGAATTGCCACTTTCATAAAGTTAACTTTTGGTGAAAATATAAATTTGTGTAGATCAGCTTGGCACTATTAAGCATGGTTTAATCGTGAATAGACTGAGCACAGTGGCTCGTGCCTGTAATCCCAATGCTTTGGGAGGCTGAGGTGGGAGGATCACTTGAGGCCAGAAGTTTGAGATCAGCCCGGGCAACACAGCAAGACCCCACCTCTAAAAAAATATTAGCTGAGCATTGTGGTGTGCTCCTGTAGTCCCAACTACTTGGGAGGTTGATGTAGGAGGATCACTTGAACCCAGGAGGTCAAGGCTGCTGTCCAGCCTGGGCAACAATGTGAGACCCTGTCTCAAGAAACAAAAACAAAAAATTGCATATCTATTTATGGGAACCTATATTAGAATAAAATTCTACTTCTAGGTGTATATCTTAGAAAAAATATTTATGTATTTGCACAAGATGTATATACCAGGATGCTCACTGGAAAAAACTATAAATATCCATCCATAAGAATGTTAAATGTATTATATCCATATCATAAAATGCTATTCAGCTGCCAAAAGGAATAAGATATATATTTATAAATATGGAAAAATCTCAAAGATGTGGTTAGATGACAAAAATCTATTTTCAGAACAAAATATAGTATCCCACTTAAAGAAAAAAGTCTGTTAGTTTAGGGTAGGAAAAGCTGTAGTTAAAAAACATAAACACCAAAATTTCAGTGACTTAAAGAACAAGAAGTTTATATCTTTCTTGTGGAATGATCCAGGGCTGATGTTTGAGTCAGGTTAGCTTTCGCCCCCTGGCATTAAAAGCTGCAGGCAAGGCCGGGCGCGGTGGCTCACGCCTGTAATCCCAGCACTTTGGGAAGCCGAGGCGGGTGGATCATGAGGTCAGGAGATCGAGACCATCCTGGCTAACAAGGTGAAACCCCGTCTCTACTAAAAATACAAAAAATTAGCCGGGCGCGGTGGCGGGCGCCTGTAGTCCCAGCTACTCGGGAGGCTGAGGCAGGAGAATGGCGTGAACCCGGGAAGCGGAGCTTGCAGTGAGCCGAGATTGCGCCACTGCAGTCCGCAGTCCGGCCTGGGCGACAGAGCGAGACTCCGTCTCAAAAAAAAAAAAAAAAAAAAAAAAAGCTGTAGGCAAAAGGTAGCTCTACTCTCCTTTGCAAATGCCTTGCAGGCTCACTTAAGATACCATCATCAGATAGAAGGAGGAAAGAGTATTAAGAATGCTGTGAGAGGTTATTGATGTGGATCACTTCAGCCTGGCCCATACATTTACTCACATTTCATTGGCCAGAATGCAGATGTATGCTCCTATGTCACATCTAATTGCGTGGGAGCTGGGAAACGTAGTCTAGCTATATATGCAGGAAGCAGAGAAACACATTTTAGAGAACAGCTGGCCTTCTCTGCCTTATCCTAATTATCCTCCCCCAAAGTAAACCACTATTCATTTGTATGTAATTTTAAATAGATATTTATCAATTAATAGAAAATCAGGATACATACCTGACAATTCATGATGTTGTCCTTTGGGGAAAGGAGTCAGGTTGAGAGAGGTATTAAGTAGGACCTTCACTTTTTTTCTTTATATTTTTATCTAATTTCTATTCTATTTTCTGACTCGTATTTATGTATTGCTTTTGCAATTAAAAATTAAATCATTAAAGACCAGATAAATGAAGGGAAAGAATTCTGTAAAGTGTATGCAATAGTTTGATTACTTTGATTAAGCACAAAGTTCTCCCAGCATTACTACTCACTTTCATGTTTTGTTTTGTAAATCTTGTTCTTGTGATTTCTTAAATGGGTTTTGTGTATCCCAATAGATTATCTCTCACTCTCTTACTTACATAGGCTCTGTGAGTGCTTATAGGTGTGTGAATGTCATTTGCTCATACCCAGTTATGTGAAACTGACTTAAGCAAAATAATACTTCTTTAGATTGTCCTATAACCCATATTGCTAAACACATGGCAGAGACTCAGGAAATATTTGTTGCCTGCATGAATGCATGCATGCATGTACGAATGATTACTTACCTAAACCTCATGGTGGCAAAGTTCAGGTTTGTGAAGCTATTGCAAAATACATGTAGAATGCATTATTAGATTGTACTTATACAGACAGTTCCTAAGACACGCTGAGGTTTTATTTCCAAATGTGTTGTATAACATGAATTATTCATAAGTCAGAGTCATGTAGACTTAAGATAATTATGCATATTGAATATCCATCTGTACTACTGTAGTAGTTCTTAACATCACCAGGGGTGCTTTTAAGAAACGCAGATTCCCAGATCCCACTCCAGACATGCTCAATTAGAGTCAGAGGCCTGAGTCCAGTAATTTCTAGGAAGCACCACAGATGATTCTCATATAGCCAGCCCCACACTGGTCTTCCCACTGGCATTCTGGAAACTATTGTTCTATGAAATCTGGAATGGTATCTGCCAAGTCTTTCCCTAGTAAACACCACCATAGTCTGTGTGGGGTTTTTTATCCCCTTTTTATTTAAGAAACATTTCAAACACACAGAAAATATGCATCAACCACTAAGCTCATATTGTTAAGATATTACTTATATTTGGTTAATTAAAAAAGATAAATATTACAGAGACAGCTAGCTGTCCCTCCACCCTCATCCCTTCCTTCTCTGTCTTTCTCTAGCAGTAACCACTGTCCTGGTATGTAATATTTGTCAATGTGCGTTAACCAAAAACTACCAGGAATATACCTGTAGTTGAACAAGTTGGGTTTATTACTCATTGCAGCAAAGGAAAATGCATACCATAGGGAATGGTGAGTTATCTCAGGGAGAAAGTGTTAGAAAGACCCTACTACAGGATTTGTGCTTTGGTTGGGTAATTTTGGGGAGGGTCTACGGAGGCAGGGAGTTGCTCTGGATTGAGTGCCATCAGAATGTGGGGACAGTTTTATGATTGGGTATCTCAATAAATCTTACCTATAGGAAGGACCTAGAGTGACTACGAAGCTGTAATTAGTGAAGAAGTAGTGGTCATTCACTTAGAGGAGATGATGTTTGGTACTTTGTAGATTGCATGATGACCTTGTGTGAAGTAGATATTCTGTGTGACTATTTACATCCAACAGTGGAACAAGGCTTAACTTCAGTGTCAGATCAAATCAGTTTATAATAACACTGAGATTTAGACGTGAGCATCAGATCAGTTCCTGGATGCCAGGAGCTGCTCTTCTCACTTGGCAAGTGTTTCTAATTTTACTACATATAAGTGAATTCACAAAAAGCATAGACTGCTTTTTAAAATACCATTGTGTCATAATTTGAAAGGCAGCCTCCTCCACTCAGGTATTTAGGAACCAAAACTGATAGAGACTCCACCACCTTCAATGCACAACTTCCAGCATTTCCTTGAGGGCTGTCTCTGTTCCAGCCAGGAGAACAATGTATGGAGGCACATGCATGGGAATTTTCTAATAAGTTAGTACTGGATGTGGCATTCAACACTTCTCACATTCCATTGGTCAAGACTCAATCATATAGCCAACCTTAGCTGCAAGGGAGGCTAGGAAATGTAGCCAAGTTGTGTGGCCAGAAGAGGAGAATGTAAATTTTCATGACCATTTAGCAGTCTGCTACAACTGTATTCTGTTGAGGCGAGATTTTCCTGAAGGGACCTTTCAGGATATGCCATAGAAATCAACCTAAGAATGAGCAGGAAGGACCCTTAAAGATCCTAAGTTGGACATAAGTAAATTTTATTTTGTTCTATGGAGAATAGAGGAAGAAATCTTTCATGCTTGGATCAGAGTGACAAAGTGGAAGAGGACCACCCCTCTCCAACAGGCAGTAGAGTCACGGTAGTGATAATACCAAGAACCCCCAAGGGCAAGGTGAAAACAGTGCTAGAGTCCAGGGTTCTTAGTCCAGTTGGACTTCCCACGAGGATGTTTTCCTTCGTTTGCCCCTCAAACAGGTTCTACATCTTATTTTTGTTAAATATAACCAGAGTTACCTACAGGGATCCCACTTCAGTTCAGCCAATATATGGAAATTTTATATACCAGGGACTAATGCTAATAGTAGAAAAATATGAGTTAGTGTCGTAACATGGGACTTCCTTTGTATAGTTGATCACTTGGCAGTAATCCGCATACTCTGCAGGCCCCTACCTGTATTCCTCTGGCAGTCCTGTGACCCTGTCACTCTGCTTTATATCCTGCGGCATGAGTGGGGCAGTGATAATTGGCACAAGGACCACAGATAGAGGCTGGCTCTGCAGGCAGCTTTGTGCTTGGCGTTGGCAGGTAAGAAGCGGCAGTCAGTAAACTGAAGGGCTGCCTGTCAACTTGGTCTGAAGTTTCTTCCTTGCTTGTCACAGTGTTTCTTTTTCACTGCTTTCTCCTATGGCCTGCACTTGGCTTAGGATATTCAGAGATCTCATCCAAACTTCTGGCATCACTCTTCTTTTTATACTTTTGACTGATGACTTCATAAAGCCCCAGACAATGGGGCAGCTTCCACACTCTGTGACTTCATTAGTCTCCTTGTCTATTCTGGGCAAGATAAGTAATCTAAGACAAATGGAAAGGCTGCTCGTCTCAACTGCTGAATGTTTCTCAGGGTTCTGTATGTTGCTTCACTTTTATTTCTTCCTTCCCCAGATCAAGCTTCTGACCTTTTTCAAATGCCATGTTCTACCTAAGTAATATTTGAAGTGATGCTGGCACCTGTTTAGTTTCTAATTCCTTGTTTTGCTCCTACACTGGATGCCATTTGTTCTACCAGATACTTTGTGTTTCCTTTGATGCCCATGTCCTAAGTACTTGATGAATCAGATCTTAGCATTGGGCTTAAAATATTAGGGGGAAGCAGAGGGCTAGCAGGAGGAGGGAGGGAGATGGGAACAGGCTGCGCAAGTCTGGTGCAAAGTAAGTCAGTGCTCAATGAGGTATGTGGCTGTGAATGTGCAATGAAGAGATAAAAATCACACAAATTACATGAGAAAAGGACAAAGGCGTAGAAATTAATCAAGGGTAGGCAGAATGGGCCAGGCACTGAGGTAAGGACTAGGAAACAATTCCAGTGTTCTATGCTTGGCATAAGTGAGAGGGGAAATTGGGGTGGTGGTTTGGATTTTTAAGGTAAAAACAGAGAACTTCTTATTTAAACTGAGGACATTTCTAGGTCAATTTTTCAGAGCTAAAAAGAGATATTAGAAATGCAGTCTAGAATCAGCAGCACTTTTTAACCTCTATAGATAAACCCTATGGAGGGTTTATCCTCTCTCTGAAACAAAATGCAAAGGACTGTGTGTGTGTGTGTGTGTGTGTGTGTGTGTGTGTGTGTCTGTTAACAGAGGGTTCACTTTTGCTTTCAGAGTCCAAAAGGGCTCCATGATCCATAAATGGAAAAGAGCTACTGGATTAGAGGGTCTCTGTGTCCTAACAGTGGTCAAAGCCATGAGGCAGATGAGAGGGTAAAGGGCTTAATGTAAAACTGGTGTGAAGCAGGATGTTGTAGGGCGTGAATGTTCCACAGCTCCACCCTGAAGTCTGAGTGTTAAGCATTAAATGTTCAGATAGGAAATTAGGGCTGCATGCTGTGGAATGTGCTCTGGGAGAGGACTTGTATTTATGTCAGTAATATAAAGTGGAAAAAATGAGGTCATAAGCTCACATTTCATAAAGCTAGTTTTATAATTTTGTAATATTGTTCTTGAAGAATGCAATCTTGCAATAGCATTTTGTTTTGATTTCTGCTACACCTTGTTCTCAACGTAACTTTCTGTTCTGCTGAAGATAATTTTAATCATCACCCAAATAAGTCTAGGTTAGTATCCAAAGGAAAAATAAAGAATTATGTTCATATTTTTGTGAAGGCACTAACACCTGTTTGTGTTTCTGGTAGCAAAACCGCTGAGTTCTTGAGCAAACTGAACACAGAATCGCCAGACAGAAGTGCCTGTCAAAGTGCTGTTTGTGGCCCACAATCCTCAACATGGGTAAGTGAATTACTTTGCAGGGTGCTGCCTGGCACATTTTATAGAGGTATTTAGTGACTGAAGATGAGGGATATAGAGTGACTTGTACATCATAGAATGCTGGAACTAAAGACAGATGACCTGATCCGAAACTTTGACCTCAACTGTTGCCTGAGCTATAAAATAATGCTTGTATTATTTTATGGGCACCTGGACTAAAACAGCCTCAGAGAAGTTTTTCCTCTCACCCAACCATTCATTCACCCACCCATCCACCCATCCATTCTTCCATCCTTCCATCCTTCCTACCTTCCTTCCTTCCTTCCTTCCATCCATGCATCCATCCATCCTTCCTTCCATTCTTTAAATTCATAGGTCTATATAAGGCCTACTAAGTGCCTACAGTTTCTGCCCAATGAACCTTAGTAAAGGAGAACACTAATGGTTTTAAAGCAAACTGCTGAGCACAGAGCATATCACAATAAGAAAGCACTACTGCCTTATCAGGAAGAAGCATCTAAGTCAGACCATGTGCGTTAGATGCTTCTTGGGAAATGACACCAGAGCAGAAGCTTAAACTATGAATCAGTAAAGTGATGAGTCTTTCCAGGTATCAGAATTAATAAAGACACATAGAGCAAGAATTAAGGTATAAATGCAAGAAATAAGCATGGCTTGTGTTGCGGAAGAAGAGTTATGTAGCTGCAGTGCAGAAAAGTGAGCTAGAAGGATATAGAAATGAGCAGGAACGGTGAGGACCCTTTCCCAATGGTGTTACCTCTGGAAATTCAGGTGGGACAGTTCATTGTGTGAGTTGTCTTGATTACTGCAGGATGCTTAGTATCCCTAGGCCCTGGGCATGAAGGGCCAGTAGCGCCACCCAGACACTGAGACATCTAGAAATGCCCCCACACAGTGCTTACCAATGAGACATGTAGAAATGCCCCGCATACTGCGTGCTCATGGTGCTCCTGGTAGAAAACCACCACAGAAATTTGCATGCCACCTTGGAAAACCTAAACCCCATTCTGTGAGCACTGAGGGTATTGGAAATGTTTAAACAGGGAAAACTCAAGGTTAGATTTGTGTTTTCATTCTGGATCACATTGGCAACATTGTGAAGGAGGGCTCTAAAGGAATAGAGAAGCAGAGAGGCCCCCCAAGGCTTCTGTATCAGTCTGGGTAAAGAATGATGAAGACTTCAGCTAGGACAGCGGGGGAGAGGATGGAGAAGAGAGTGCAGGTCAGAAAACTGCTTAGAAGGTGAAAGCGGCAGGGCTTGTTTATTGACTTGCTAACTGGGGACAAGAAAGTAAGTGTAATTAAGGATGACTCTGGATAAGGGTTGTAGCTGAAAGAAAAGATGAATTTAAGTTTCTTAAAGTCTCAGGTTTCTCAGAGTTTGGGTAGCTAAATGAGTTGTTAAAGAACCCTCATCTTCATCTCCCCTTACCCCTTTCTCAATAGAGACCATGTTTTTAAATGTCAGGAAGATATTATGACACTCCTTAGGAAGAGGTCATTATACTCCTACTTAGAAATCTTTAGTTGTTTCCTAATTTTTTTCTTTCTGCTTCTAATGTGATGTTCTAAAGTCTAAATTCATCAGTGTGGGCCCTACAACTTATATTAAAGGAAATTCATCATCTCTCTTCCCTCACTGCTGGGCTCTGGGGGAAAGAGTTGAGAAGCTGTAGGCAGTGGAGTTAAATCATGTGTAGATGACAGCCCTAAACACCTGTCTGGATATCCTTGTGGCTGTCAGGGAGGGAGAGGGAGAACAGGAGTTGGATAGCTTTACCAGCTGGAGTTTCGCCTACCAGGCTGGTCTTCCTTTCCGTTCGAGGGCTCCCTGTATCCTGCAATGTGGAACACCTGGCAGAACTGCGTGTGCTGCTCTATTGATTTTGGCTCATTTCTTCAATTTAACAAGATCGTCCTGAATTTTAATATTGTCATCCAAAGCATTAGCAATGTTTCCCAGAGCTGCATTTTCTGTGGATTGATTAGTGCATTTGTCATAGGATCCTCAGAGCTATTAATAGAAAATATGGAGGGAGATTGGACCCAGGACGGTTCCTTATAAACTCCACGCAATAGCTGCTCCGATTTTGACCCCAAACTATTAATACGGTTTCAGTGTTCAATATATTTAATTGACTTTTTACCCATATTATACTCTTCTCATTCTGTCTCATCCATATGCATAGAATTCTTCTGAGAATGCTTTGCAGAATCATTTCTAATGGTGTAGGAAAATCAAATATGTACATTGCACTTCTGTGAAGAACATTTCTTTGTAAAAAGAGGACACCTGCAGTTTACTTTAGCTATGGTCAACTTATAGAATGTGAACACTATGTGATTGCCATCTATATGGGATGTGATGAGCTGGAAGAATTTATATATAATTTTTAATACTTTAATTTTACTACCTAATGTAACTTTCCTGAAAAGATTTTTCCTCTTGTACTTTTCTCCTTTAAAAGTGGATCTGCCATTGGCAGATGGGGATTTAATAAATACTAGAAAATTATGTCAATGTAAAAGATTACAAGAAAAATCCTTTAGTGGTTACAAGAAAATTCCTTTTGGCTTAGGACTTCAGACAAGAGATATTTACAGGGTTCACTTTTACATGTGGATTAATATAGTTCTCTGTATTGTGTGTGTAGGCAGAAGTACCAGCATCATCAGACCTTCCTCAGCGACCATCGCTGCATATTTCTAGTCAAATATGAAATGGTTTCTAGTCTCTGGTTTGCTGCCCCCATTTTTTATTTATTTATTTATTTTTAGACAGGGTCTCACTCTGTCACCCAGGCTGGAGTGCAGCAGCATGATCTTGGCTCACTGCAACCTCCACCTCCCAGGTTCAAGCCATCCTGCCACCTCAGCCTCCTAAGTGGCTGGGACCACAGGCACGCACCCCCACGCCCAGCTAACTTTTGTAGTTTTTGTAGAGACAGGGTTTTGCCACATTGCGCAGGGTGATCTCAAACTCCTGGGCTGAAATGATCCACCCACCTTGGCCTCCCAAAGTGCTGGGATTACAGGTGTGAGCCACCGCACCCGGCCTTATGCCCCTACTTCCTCAACGAAGAATAACGATGTGAAAAAATCTTATCCTGGTGTTTCACTTCCCCAAATCATTCAGTGGTCCCCCATATCTTCAAGGATAAAATCAAAATGTCTTAGCTTAGGCACAAAGTCCTTTCCTCTCTCTGTCCCTCCGTCTCTCCTTTAATTCTAGATTCTGTCTCTTTCTTTAGAATGGCCCCTTTCTAGTCCTCTGGGGTCTGGAGGACTGGCCTCGAGTCTAAATCTTTGCTTCTGCAAAGGGGTGAGGGGAAGCAAAGCTTTTGCAAGCAAGGTAAGGGGAAGCAAAGCTTTTGAAATCAGGAGCAAAGATTTAGATGCAGATCAATCTCAGGCCCCACTGCAGACCTCCTGAATCAGAGCTTGTATTTAATACAGTCCATGGAAGATGTGTGTGCACGTTAATGTCTGAGGGGCCAAGCTCTATAGCTCATGCCTCTCCAGCTCTCCTCTCTCACACTACTGTGAGCACTCAGTGCAGGTTGATTATTGTAATTTTTATCTACGTGTCACATGCTCATTCATTAAGAAGTCAAATAAAGTACTTAACATGTGTCCCTTTGCGCCGCTTGAATCCCACTTCCACCGCAACATTTGAACACTTCCCTTTGCTGCTGTAACAAATTACCACGAATGTAGTGACCTAATAGAACAAAAATTTATTCTCTTAACACTTCTGGAGGTCAGCAATAAAAATGGGTTTTAAAATGCTAAAATGAGGGTATCAACAGGAATGGTTCCTTTTGAAGCTTCCGGGGGGCATCTGTCCCCTGTCCCCGCAAACCCTTGGCACACGGCTGCATGGCTCCAGTTTAGCTTCCATCTCACCCAACCTTCTGCACCCTCCCTGACCTTTCTGCCTTCCTCTTATAATGACCCTTTTGATTACAATGGGCCCACCTGGACTATCCAGGCTAATCTCTCCACTTCCAGATCCTTAATTTCTGCAAAGTCCCTTTTGTCACATAAAGAAACATTCACAGATTCCAGGGATTGGGACGTCTTTGGGGGGCCATTATGCAACCCACCACCTGTTTCTTTTCTTAGTTAGCTCCGAATATCTGTTAATATGTGTTGGTATCTCTTGACTAATCAATTTTAGACCTTATTAACTCATTTCTTCCTCTCATTCTTATAATTATTCAGTAATTTGAGCTTTCCCTATTATGACTATATACACGTTTTCTCACTGCCAAGCCAGTCGGTATACTCTGGTTATATCTTCTGTACAACTCTTTAAACATTTTATTTTAGCGTTTTCTTAGTTTCCTTTGAACATTTGACTGTCTTCTGACAGCTTTTGTGACTGTTCTACAAAATGCCTCTTGACGCAAATTTCTAAACAATTTTCCAACTTATGCCTGTCAGATAACTTGTGGATTTTTTTTTTTCTCTCCCTCCTGGATCCCTCTTTCCTCCTGCTTTAACCTGTCCTGGGTGTTTGTAAGCCTGGCGCACAGCTGTTGTTCTGGGACTTTCCTTTAACACAGTAGTTCTCAGCCTCCTCTGCACACTGGATTCACCTAGGGAGCTTTAAAAATCACAGATACCTGGGTTGCACCTCCAGAGAGCCTGCTGTATTGTGACCTGGGCTTCAGGGTTTAAAAAAGCTCCCCGGGCCATTCTAATGTGCAGCCAAGGTTGAGAATCCCTGTTTTAAAGTCATCTTGGGAATTGCTTTTATTGCCTTCCCATGTTGGGTTCTCTGATTTCTGGGCCTCATTTCTTCTATTTTCTTGCTTTATTTCTTTGTTTTGGTGGAGCATATTACTTAGTGGCTTCCCAAGAGAAGACACATGGAAGGTAAACATGTTCAGGTCCTTCCATGTCTGAAACTATCTTTATTCAGCTCTCATACTTTGCTTGCATTTTTATTGATGACTATTCCAAACTGGAAATAATTTTCCTCCAGAATTTTGAGGCATTGCTCTTCTAACTTTGAATACTGGTTCCTGAGAAATCCAAGGCCATTTGAATTTCAGGCTTTATATGAAGGATTTTCTCTGTTTCCCCTGAAAATATTTTAATATCATCTTTTCTTTTTCTGGCATTCTGTAATGATGTGATTTAGTGTGAAAGTCTTTTTTTAATTCATTTTCGGTCTGGAAATTCATCTCTAGTTCTAGATGATTTTCTTGTGTTATCTCTGACTTATATCCTTTCATTTTCTCTTTATGGAATTTCTATTATTCAAATTGTAGACCTCCCGGATTTATCTTCTAACTTTAGAGATTTTCTCCTGTAAGTTATCTGTGACTACCTTTTTTCTATATTTTGGCATATTTTCTTGACTTTATCTTCTAAATATTTTACTGATTTGGTTTTTTTGGGGGGAAGAAGGGGAGATTTAAAAAAATGTCTCCAAACTCCTCCTTTTTTCTTTGTTACTTTAAAAATATATATATCACTTCTTACTTCTCAGAAGAAACAGTACAGGAAGCAGAAAAAAACTTCAAAGAGAGGGACTCAGAGGCTCACTGGTCAGTATGCAGGACTTTATAGAGTCATTTCATTCTCAGCCTGGCATTTGTCCACTGCTGCTGTCTTTACACATATGCCTGGTTTAGTTTATCCAGAAAATACACTTTTCATTTCCTGTTGGTGTTTGGTGAATTAGCACCTGCATTTTCAAAGCAGGAGCAGGTATATGGGGGTGAAGGGCTTCTACTGAGACTATCTAGTAATTCCTTCCTTTTTACCTGCCTATTATCCATCTGTCTTCCTCAATAGCTGGTGCATCCATTTCTTGGGCCCTCATGTTGCTCTGTGGAGAGAACTGGCTCCCCATAGGTGTCCTCTAGCCCCTTCCAGCAAGTCTTCAGGTTTGCTCTTTTCCTCTGTAAGTCACTTACTGTTTCTTTATCTACTTGGTCTTCATAGATTTCCCTCTGTGAATATGGATCTCTTGGTTTTGGAAGATAGAGCTTGTGTGTATTTCATTTTCTGCTTTGTTTAGGGTAATTTTGGGGAGAATGGAACAGGAACATCTTTACTCCACCATCTTGAAAGGAGAACTTAATGCTTGTCATGGGTTGAGACCCACACTTCTCAAAATTTATGTGGAAGCCCTGACCCCTAGCACCTCAGAATGTGACCTTATTCAGAGATAGCATCTTTACAGAGGAAATAAGTTAAAATGAGGCTCCTAGAGTGGGTTCAAATTCATTATGAAAAGTGTCTTTATAAAAAGGGGAAATCGGGACACAGAAGCATGCATACAAGGGAGATGATGTGAAGAGATGCATGATGAAGATGGAGTCTGCAGGCCAAAAAGAGAAGCCTGGAAAAGATATTTCTCACATAGCCCTCAGAAGGAACCAACCCTGAAGACACCTTGATTTTGGACTTCTAGCCTCCAGAACTATAAGATAGTAAATTTCTGTTCTTTAAGCCACCAGTATCACAATACTTTGTTATGGAAGCCCTAGCAAACTCATGCACTGCTATTTTCCATTTGCTCATGTGATGCTCTTCTCCCGGTATAGTCTGATTCCTACTCACTCTTTGAAATATAACTTAGCCTTACTTGATTTGGAAAGTCTCCTCAATCTAGTTTAATTAAATATCCTTCTTTTTGGCTTCCTCTATCATATCACCTATCATGCTGTACTGTAACCATTAGTCTTCTCGTTTGACTTTCACACTAAGCTGTAAATGCTTGAGGCCTGGGATCGTGTCCTGACACAGTGCTTGCACAGAGGAGCCTTAAACACTGTTAATAGAATGAGTACATTATAAGCATAGCTTTTGGGGAGGATAAATAAAGGTGTATTTTGGTTGAATGATAAAATATAGCATTGGTATTGTATTAAATGAATATTTCAATGTTAGACAAATTATGTGAATACAGTGACTTAGAAATTTCTGGTGTTTAGAGCTAAGAAAAATAGTGATCAATTTATTCCCTTCTATTATTTTTGAACAGAAACTTCCTATCCTGCCTAGGGATCACAGCTGGGTAAGCAAACATTAGGATTGCAAGTAACTGAACTTTTCATAAGTTTGGATGCCATGTGACTTCCCAGTTTCTGTGGACCTTTATAAGGCACCTTATTTAATAATAAGGTATTTAATAACCACTTTTTTCTGAGTCAAAAACTAAGACATGTATTCTAATAAAAGAACAACAAAATGACAAGTTTAAAGGGAGGCTATTCAAATAGAATTTAGATACTCTCATTCAAGTTGTAATTTTGCTTTAACTAAATATTTTATTCTACCTTTTAATATCTTGAGTAGAAGCTGTCTTCTTTCCTTTCTTCTTCTCTCCTTTCCTTCCTTCCTGTCCTCTCTTCTCACCCTCCTTCCCTCCCTCCCTTCTTCCCTTCCTCACTAGGTCTTATATGGAATATTTGTGATAAAGGCTAGCCTTCTCTAATATAAAAAGAAGGGGTTGTCAGAGATAAAAAGAAAGGCTTGTCAGAGAATCACTTTTCCCCTTCTATGTCTTAGCACAGTCCCCTTGAGTTTAGGATGCAAATAAGAGAAAGTCATATGATGTATGTTTACCTGCCCAATGCAGCAGGGTTTGGATAAACCAGGGATTTCTGAACACAGGAAGCTCCAGTTTTCTAACTGGCACTGCCATAGATGATACCATTTTGAAAGCTTCTCTCTTTTTCTGGGAAGTGGTTCTTATTATTTGATGGGATATGGGTTTTTATAGTGACAGAAATGCCAGAATGAACTAAGAAGTGCTTGAGAAAAGTTACATAAAAGTTCACGTAGGCTGGAAAAAGGGGGAACCAGCCTACCTGAACTTTATGGATTATTAGTCCTGAGAACTAGGTCTGAAATATGTAACCTGCTGCCATGAAGCTGCTGATAGTTTTTTATGAGATCCATGTAATTTCCTAAGCATTAGCTCTTTGCCTTACAGAAGCTGGGGCTGCAAATCAATGTGAAGGAGAGAAAGCATATGACAAATAAACAGAACACTTGAAATGCCATAAATGTCAGAACACATGGTCACTATGCCAGGGTGTGGAACTCTGGTGTGGTGGGTCAGAGACACCGAAGGGCATTCTCCCTCATGTGCTGGCTTGCCAAAGGCTTTGTTGTCATGTGTTCCTGAATAGGCTTTGTTTTCCTTTTCAGAGGTAGAAATAAAACTTCATCCAGATTAGGGATGCAAGTGCTTAGAAAATATGCATCCTTGAAATTATATGGTATCAACCACTAGTTGACAAGCTGCTTAATCAGATATCATTAATGAGCAGTAGACATGCCCGTTCTTCTAAAGACAGTGCCACTATTGCTTGTCTTTAATATTGACTGATCAGCTAGTCGGAATATTCTTGAAAATGTCCTAAACTTTCCACTAGAAGGAATAAACTATGTTGATTATCTCTGAGGGGATATTTTTAAAGCTTAATTAAACATTTAGATCATCCTTTCAAATGTGCAGGATGATTGTGCTTACACTAGTTTTCTTTTTATATGTTCCAAGGGACGTTTTCAGACATATGCATAAATCACTTAATAACCAAGTGTGTATGGAGAGCTTACTATATGCTCAGTACGGAGGTTGAGTTATTAGCACCGGGCCTATAGTAGGCAGCTTGGTGTACTGTGACAACCCTTTATCCTATCAAGTTGTTTTTTTTTTTTTTTTTCTCTTTGTACCTTTACAGGCCAGAAGCTGGGCTTACAGAGATTCTCTAAAGGCAGAAGAAAACAGAAAATTGCAAAAGATGAAGGATGAACAACATCAAAAGGTACTTACAAGCCCCTACTAGTTATTGCTAACTGTTTATTTGAGGTACTAGATAATTTTGAAGAATTTCTGAACAGAAATATTTAGACACATGAAAATCCTGAAAACAAGAATACAAGCATTGAAAATAAAAGGTGAGTTTCTGGATGTGTTTTAAGAGTATGGTGGTGGCTCCTTCTGGTCAAAACTTTCATGGTACCTAGCCTCATGGATGCACAGTGGATCTGCTGTAGTTGGTGCCAGTAGGTCACCAAGAAGATGATAGAGCACTGGTGAACTTCTCATCTGCAAAACAAAACACCACCACCATCACTGCTATTTTTAAACCGAAGATATATGAAATTAGAGATGGTATCCAGAGAATGTGATAATGCATAAGAAAGTAGGCATGCAAAGTTATGAAACTGGCATAAATGTTCACTAAAAATAGTTATACACATACAGTAAAACCAAGTTACACTACATGGGTATAAAAATATGTGAGGCATTCCATATGTTTTGAGCAATGGAAATCAGTGAAGTGAATGCAGAGCCTTCTAAGAAAAGTGCTTAAAGAATAATCTTCATTACAATGTGAAATTTCTGGTATGGTAACTGAAAATAGTCAGTGGCATACTTGATGTTCATACCTGCTTTTAATAGGCCAGAAGCTGCTCAGCATGAAATGAGAATGATGAGAAAGACCCATGGTTAGCTCCAAAGTGCCACTTTATTTCAGATCCTTTAAACGAGAAGAAAAGGGAGTGGGGTGGGGCTCCAGCTAACTAAATGATTTATCTTTCCCATCATTATTATTTTCCAACTTTTCCTCTTGTCATACTAGTGGTTGACAAATCCTGTCACTATTTCTTATAGAACATTTCTCAAATCTGTATATTCAGTTCTATAATTAACTAGAATTCTAACTCCCATTTTGATTTCCTTGATTTGGTTTAATTTATGTTTTCTTTGTCTTTCCCCAACAAGGTAATTTATTACAACAATTGTGTGTAAAAATTCCATTGAAAAATGAACTATTTGTATTCATTAGTGTTGCTATAATTTGACCCTTTTGAGTGCTATCTTCTTCCCAACAGTGTGGAACCCCTTTCTCATTCATAGTTTCGCCCAGCATATGGTATAAATGTGTCCCTAGGCTGTTTTGGGCACCATAGGTTGTCATTAAATCATTGAAAGAAATCATGCGAGTTGTAAATTTACTTATTTAGCTCCTGTGTAAGAAAGACGAATCATGAAACATTTTTATCCCTTAGTGTTTTTTTTTTTTTTAAATAAATATCTTTTTGTCTTGGCAAGATCCTAATCTTGAAATCTACAATCAAATAGGCAATGTTATGGTAAGATTCTAGTAGTTAACAAGTAGAAGCTAAATCTGGTACATAGTCATGTTGTACTTTTAATGATGTCTGCTAAATGACGTAAAAGTGTTCATTTGCTTCTATGAGCTTTTAACTTAACATAAAATTGTGAGGTACTTAGCATACTAAGGTGAATGTTGCAAAGTCAGTTGTAGATATGATTTATTTTTAAATAACTTCTAGTGGATTTTAAATAGTGTTTTTAAAAGTTTGACATATATATTTGGAACATAAAAACTGTTAAAAGTAGAACATTTGACAAACAGAATGCTTAACAAATTAGGATACTAGATCTGGGATTTAATTTTCAGGTTGAGCAGTTATTTTAAACAGTGAAAATTAAACTTTTTATTTCTTAATCTTGTTTTTATTCTAGACTTAGATAAATATTGATATACACATATTTTCTGGTTACTGATTGAACATATTTTTATTATATATCCTTTTACATAAATTATTTCGTTTAACTTACTGTAGCTTTCAGTAAAATTAATAGCTTTAATATACAAATAATTCCATCCTTAGGGATTTCAGTAACAGTAGACTACACAAGGATACTTATCCATCTATTCTACCTTACTTTTGCTTCTCTCTTTTTTTGCCTGACGTGTTGTTGTTGGGAAACGTTCATTGAAGGCATTTCTCTTTTTTTGAGACCAGGTCTCACTCTGTCACCCATATTGGAGTGCAGTGGCATGATCTTGGCTCACTGCAACCTCCGCCTCCCAGGCTCAAGTGATTCTCCTGCCTCAGCCCCCAAGTAGCTGGGATTACAGGTGCATGCCACTATCACCCAGCTAATTTTTGTATTTTTAGTAGAGATGGGGTTTCACCATGTTGGCCAGGCTGGTCTCGAACTCCTGACCTCAAATGATCCACCTGCCTTGGCCTCCCAAAGTGCTGGGATTACAGGCATGAGCCACCGCACCTGGCCAAAGGCATTTCTTTATTTGTAGAACCTTTCATTCCTTATCACTTGAATGATTTACCTTAAGAAAACAGGAGGATCATGTTTACTGTAAAAAGATACAAAACACAACACATTTTAATCATTGCATCCATTTATGTGTTTGTTTATTCCATTCATTCCGCAAATATTTATTGGATACCTACTATGGAATAATTCTTAGGTAAATAATCTAGGTTAAGTTTAGGTGACAGCACATAAGTTTTGTTCTATGTGTCTCTCTGACTTTCACATTTTTAATTACTCTTGGCTCTGGGGACAAAAGGAGCCTCCTCAAGTTTAAACTCTAAATATTTTACCTGTGATTCACTTCCTTCTTCTAGAAACTTATTTGTAATTCCTCTTTTTTCTATATCTTCAATACATTCTTCTCCATTGGATGCTTCCTTTTTTTGTCAGAAATATGCCACAGTTGGTGACAGTAGGTCATGAAGAAGATGATAGAGCACACGTGAACTTCTCATCTCATCTTACCATTCTAAAATAAACCAGCTAACCCCTTCCTTGATTTTGCTATCCTCAGAGATATTACCTTTTCTGCTTCTAGCAAATTTAAAAAAAGACAAAGGTAATTTTACTGTAACCACTTCTTTATTACCCACCTCATCCTTAATTCCTTATGATCTGGTTTATATTCACAAATGCTGTCACTGAAATTGCTTCCTAAATGTAAAATCCCTTCTGAACATACAGTTTGGTGGTCTTTTTGTAATTCCTATCTTCTCCCTGAACTCTGTAACACTAACACCACTTTAAAGCTTTCCTTCTCTGGCTTTTATTTTTTTTTTTAACTGTATTATTCTGGTTGATCTGTCTCAGAGTAATCTCTCCCAGCACTCATTCATTCATTCTATTGGCAAACATGTATTGAGTTCCTATTATATACTGAGCCTTGTGCAAGTTGATGAAGCTATAATTAAGATCAGGATAGACAAGGTTCCAGCTCTCCAGAAGTTTACATTTTAAGGGAGGAGTAAACAATTAAAAGGAGACTTAGAAATACAACATTATACTTTTAAATTTTATAGTGATTCATCACCTTGTAGTAATCTGTAGTAACTAATTGTATTAGTCAGTTATCTCATTACTATAAATAACTATCTGAGACTGGGTAATTTATAAAGAAAAGAGGTTTAATTGGCTCACAGTTCTACAGGCTATACAGAAAACATGGCTGGGGAGGCCTCAGGAAACTTAGAATCGTGGTAGAAGCCAAAGGGGAAGCAAGCACATCTTCACATGGCCAACAGGAGAGAGAGCAAAGGGGGATGTGCTATATACTTTTAAACAACCATATTTCCTGAGAACTCACTGTCATGAGAACAGCAGGGAGGCAATCCGCCTCCACAATCTAATCACCTTGCATCATGTCCCTTCCCCAAGATTGGGGATTACAATTCAACATGAGGTTTGGCTGGGGACACAGAGCCAAACCATAATACTAATGCTGCAAGGAAATAAATTAGGCGTTGTGATAATTTCAGAGTGATGTGTCAAATATTTTTGATTGCCTGCTTCTCTACAGCTCTGATTTTTCTTCAAGTATCCATCCTACTTTGCATGAACTGTGTTTCAGAAAAGGCAGGTGCTACCCCAGCTCCAGGGATTTATTCCCAAAGTGGTCTAACTCTTCATGAGAATTCCATTCTCCTTGACTGTGATTGGTTTCTCTGTGGACATGTGATACAGTTTTGACCAATGAGACTAAGGGAAGCCTACATTTTAGGATAGATTTTATCAATATGAAGTATACTACTTTTTGTATTTAATGATTTTTTAGCTTGATTTCTTTTTTGACTATCTTGTCTGATTCTAGTAATTCCTCTACCAGTTTTTTTTGGTTAGTATTTACATGACATTTCTTTAATCATTTAATTTTAACATCTCTGTGTCATTGTTTAAAGTAGATTTTGAGTGGAAAGAAATGTCTGGTTTTCCTTTTACCTAGTTTCAGAATCTCTTAATGGGTAGATTTGATGTGTTCTCATTTATTATGATTAGTAGCATATTTGCATGTATTTGTATTCTTACTGCATGATTTACTTTTTATTAGTTTTCTTTTTTTTTACTGACACTGAATTCTCTGTTTTATTTATTTACTGTTTTTTTTCTTCTCTCCACTCCCCCTTCCTGTACTATAAGAAATTTCACAGTGTTTCTATTTTTGTTTCTAATCTTGCATAGCCTTTGGTTGTCTCTTTTAATCTGAAAATACATGTCTCTCTTCACTTTTCCTTTTTTCTTCCTAATTTTCTTTTATGTCTCTTTACCCTTATTGTCTTTGCTCTCCATTTCTGGGACATCTATCAAATGGACTTTGGACATTTCAGATCTGTTCTGTATATAACTTCATTGTTTTCTTGTACTTCTTATCCCTTTGGCCTTTTTTTTTTAATTGGATTCTGGATGAAAGCTTTAGCTAGATCATCCTGCTCACTAAATTTTTTCTTGACTTTTCATTCTGCTTATTTGGCACATATTGAATATGTTTATTTACCAAGATTGCTGATTTGGTAAGTAGCAGTGTTCTGCTTTGTAAGTGCAATATTCTTTCTCATCTCATCTTATTTAATGTTTGTATATTTGTAACTATACAAACATAAGTTTTCTATTTACCATATTAACTGTTTTTTTCTTTCCATTTTAATCTTTATCTCCCATGGAATTCTTTCTCAAATGTTTGATTATTCTTATATGTATTTGGATATGCTGCTGAATGAGGTATGTAGGAGCTTGTCTTCTGTGTGGAGTAGACTCGTGTTCTCTTATAGTCAGTAGGTACTTGGGACGTTGCCCTGTTTCCCTGAGCCCAGCCATGCCTCTCTCATTCACTTCTTACCTTATGGGCCATGATAGTGCTGCCTACTATGTAGTGCAAGTGTGGGAGGGAAAAGAACCCACCACCAAGCTGCTCTTAGTGCAGTTTTCTAACTGATCATCTAAATGACTGTCCCAGTATTCCCTCCTGGAGCTCCTTCAGAAGCAGGTGGACTTAGCTCCAATTTATCCTGCACATTGGTTTTCCCTGGTAATGTAACCTGTCTCCTTTCTCTCTTTCAGAAACTTCTTAAAATATGTGATAAGCTGATTGCATTTATTGATTGTGCATGGTTATTGGTTTTATAGTCATTTAGAAAGTCATTGATTTTACAGTCAAAATATATACAAGAATCAGTAAAATACTGAAAGTCAGAAAATAAACTATTGGGTGACAGAGAAAATTATTATTATAGAACACATACAAAATTATAGTGAGAGACTTTTATAGGGAAGTCATGTAAAGCTGTACTCAAAATTACAACATTTTAATCCATTCAATACTAAAAAAAGAAATGAATTAAGCATCTGATCTACGAATTTAGAACAAAAACAATAAATGATCCTGAAGAAAGTAATTAAGATAAGAACAGAAATTAATAATAAAACTCTAAGAAACAGCTGTTATAAAAATCTAACAGCTTGTTCTTTGATAAGGTCAACAAATGCACACATCTTTGGTAAGTCTAATCAAGAAGAGATTAGTAAAAATGCAAATACACGGCATTAGAAATGAGGGACTAGAACCATAGATTTGGAAAAGTTTAAAATTATGTTACTATAAACAATGCTATGCTAATGAATTAAAAATTTGGATTAAGTGAATGATTTTCTAGGAAAATATATAACTCTAATGACTCACATAATTAAAACTCATAAAGACCAATGAAAATGCAAGTGATTTCTGAAGTTTTCTGAGAATTACTTCCCCCAGGAGGCTGAACTTGGATAATTTTAGAAGCAAGTTCCTTCAAATTTTCAAGGAACAGATTTTTTTTCCCTATGCTTTACAAATTATTTCAGAGTAAGAAAAAAGATGAAACATTTTAGAAGTTTATTTCACTATCCCCATGATGTCACAATCTGATAAAGGAAGCATGTGCACACTCACACACGTGTGCGCGCGTGCGCGCGCACACACACACACACACACACTCTCTCTCTCTCCCTCCCTCTCTCTCTCACAGATAGACCAATCTTATAAAGACAGAGATTAACATCTGAAGGAAAATTCTAGCTGATGAAATTTTTCTCTTAATAGCAATTTACCAAAGGAAAGTAGAGTTTATTCCAGGAATGCAAAGATAAGTAGCTATATATTAAAACTTTTTATATCTTATCACTGCAATAGGATAGGTCATGTGACAAGAATATTTGGCTCTTTAGTTACACAAAAAGACATTGATAAATTTTAATCTTTACTATCAATTAAAAAACACTTCAGTGAACTAAAAATAATATTTTCTTAACATACTTGTAGTCTTCTAAACCAATAACCAACATTATATTCAGTGGTGAAATACTAAAACTATGAACAACATAAGGATGTTTGCAACCCCTACCAAACTTGGTTGTTACCCAGTATTATTCTGGGAATTCCAACCTCATGCTACTCAAAGTTATTTGATAGAAAACTTATTTTTTTAACTAAAAAAAAATTCCCTGTTTTTACTGAATGGAACAAGGTTTGGATATTTTTTAACCAACTTGATAAAACTAAAAATAAAAGAGCTTTTCTAATTATTGGAAGTAGGTTGTTATTTATGCATGGGAGCAATTTGCCTGTGCAAACTAAGAGAATCAACTGAAAAATAATGAGAACAAATGGAGTTTAATAAGAGAGTTGGACCAGGCGCGGTGGCTCACTTCTGTAATCCCAGAACTTTGGGAGGCCGAGGCAGGAGGATCACCTGAGGTCAGGAGTTCGAGACCAGCCTGGCCAACATGGTGAAACCCCATCTCTACTAAAACTTAGCCAGGTGTGGTGGCAGGTGCCTGTAATTCTAGTTACTCGGGAGGCTGAGGCATGCAAATCACTTGAACCCAGGAGCCGGAGGTTGCAGTAAGCCAAGACTGCACCATTGCACCCTACCCTGGGCAACAAGAGCGAAACTCTGTTCCAAAAAAAAAAAAAAAAAAAAAGATTTGGTTAAAAAATATATACAAGAATCAACAACTTTCTCAAATACAAGCAAAACTTAATTAGAAAATACGTTATGGGACAAAAAGATCTAATCAAAAAGCAGCTATATAAATAATTGTTCAACAACTAAAAAAAATTAAAAACTTTCCTGGAATCCACAAAATCCAATTTTAATTGACAGAAAACATTATTTGTGTTTATAATGTTCAATATGATATTTTGAAGTATATAAACATTGTGAAATGGCTAAGTCTAGCTAATTAACAAATGCATTACCTCACAGTTACTATTTTTGTGGTGAGAGCACTTAACATTCTTTGCATTTTCAAGAATATAATAAATGATCATTATTTATTGTCATTAATTACAACTGTCATTAACCTTGCTGTACAATAGATCTCTTGAATTTATTCCCTATATCTAACTGTAATTACATATCCTTTGACCAATATCTCCCTGTACTTCACCATTTCCTCCTAACCCCCCCAGCCTCTGGTAACCATGATTCTACTCTATTTCTATGAGATCAGCTTTTTAAAGTCCATATATAAATGATATCATGTGGTATTTGTCTTTCTGTGCCTGGCTTATTTCATTTAACATAATGTCCTCTGGGTTCATCCATGTTGTTGCAAATGACAAGATTTCCTTCTTTTTATGGTGGAATAATATTCCATTGTGTGTATATCCCACATTTTCTTTATCCATTGATGGACACTTAGGTTGATTCCATATCTTGGCTATTGTGAACAGTACTGCAATAAACATGGGGGTGCAGATATCTCTTTGACATACTTGTTTTATTTCCTTTGGATAGACACCCAGTAGTGGGATTGCTGGATCATATGGTACTTCTATTTTTAATTTTTTGAGAGAACTTACACCTCTTTTCATAATGGCTGTACTAATTTACACCCCCCACAAGCAGCGTGTAAGGGTTCCCTTTTCTCCATATTCTTGCCATCGCTTGTTATCTTTTGTCCTTTTTGATGATAGCCTTGTAATGGGGGTGAGATAATAGCTCATCGTGGTTTTAGTTTGCATTTTCCTGATGGTTAGTCATGTTGAGCATTTTTTCATATACCTGTTGGCCATTTGCATGTTTTCTTTCAAGAAATAGCTACACAGGCCTTTTGCCTATTTTTTAAATTGTTATTATTTTTGAGATGGAGTTTCGCTCTTGTTGCCCAGGCTGGAGTGCAATGGCATGATCTTGGCACACTGCAAACTCTGCCTCTTGTTTTCAAGAGATTCTCCTGCCTCAGCCTCCTGAGTAGCTGGGATTACAGGCGCCCACCACCACACCCAGCTATTTTTTTTTTTTTTTTGTATTTTTAGTCGAGACAGGGTTTCACCATGTTGATCAGGCTGATCTTGAACTCCTGACCTCAGGTGATCCACCTGCCTAGGCCTCCCAAAGTGCTGGGATTATAGGCATGAGCCACTGCGCCTGGCCCTTTTTGCTAATTTTAAAAATTAGGTTATTTGTTCTCTTGCTATTGAGTTGTTTGAGTACCTTATGTGTTTTGGATACTGACCCCCTATTAGATGTATAGTTTACAGATATTTTCTCCCATTCTGTAGATTGTCTCTTTAGTCTGCTGATTGTTTCCTTTGATGTGGAGAAGCTTTTTAGTTTGATGTAATCTCATTTGTCTGTTTTTGCTTTTGTTGCTTGTCCTTTTAAAGTCTTATCCAAAAAATCCTTGCCCAGACCAATGTCATGGAGCTTTTCCACTACATTTTCTTTTCCTTTTTTTTTTTTTTTTTTTCATAACAGAGTCTCTCTGTCACCCAGGCTGGAGTGCAGTGGCACCATCTCGGCTCACTGCGGCCTCTGCCTTTGGGATTCAAACAATTCTCATGACTCAGCCTCCCAAGTATCTGGGATTACAGGTGTGTGCCACCGTGCCTGGCTAATTTTTGTATTTTCAGTAGAGACGGGGCTTTGCCATATTGGCCAGGCTGGTCTCAAACTCCTAGCCTGCAGTGATCTGCCTGCCTCGGCCTCCCAAAGGGTGGGGATTACAGGCATGAACCACTGTGCCCAGCTTCCCCCATATTCTCTTCTAGTACTTTCCTAGTTTCAGGTTTTACATTTAAAGTCTTTAATCCATTTTGAGTTGATTATTTTTTAACGCCTTTTGTGAAAACTGTCAAATTGAGTTGTTTTTTGTATGTGATGAGAGAAAAGGGTTTAATTTCATCCTTCTGCATGTGGATATTCAGTTTTCCCACTACTGTTTATTGAGGAGACTGTCCTTTCCCCTATGTTCTTGGCCCTTTTGCCAAAAATCAGTTGGCTCTGCATGTGTGGATGTATTTTTGGACTCTCTATTCTGTTCCATTGGTTTGTATGCCAGTACCACGCTGTTTTGGTTATTATACATAAAAGTCAATTCGAATAAAGCAGAGATGGCTAATGTTCCCGAATGCTAAAACTCAATATTTCAGTAACTATAGTTCTATCCAAGTTTACTTGTAAGTTTAATGAAATTCTAGTAATAAATTTCAATGGAATTTGAGGTAATTTGAAAATACTGTTTCTAAATTTCAACTGAGAGAAAAATAATGAAATTTAAACTTTAGAAAAATATGAATAATAATTTGTGTATTTGTTGGGGTAAGGAGAACTTCCACTAGTAGACGTCAATATATACCACAAACACTGAAGTACTATTACTGGTGAGAGGATAAACTGAGAGGCACTTTGGCAACATCAAATTCTGAAGAGTTTCCTAAAAGTAAAAATATTAGATCTAAAGGTATACATTTATTCTGAGGAAATAATGAGAGATACAGACAAGATATTTGTACAAGGTTGTTTATTTTTAACATAAGATTAATGGGAAATTTGAAACAGTTTGTTCAGTGATACAGGATTTGAAGGTTTTGGAGTTTGGAATAAATACCATGCAGCAATTACTACCACATTTTAATAACATAATAGAAATATGCTCACATATATGAAAATGAAAACAAAGATCATAAAATAGAGTGCAGATAAGTTTTGAAACCTACGTCTACCTTGCATTTTGTGTAGGAAATATTTTTAGGTGGGAGACATAGAGCTGTGATTCCATGATTGTTGTAGCTGGAAGTTTATTTCTCTCTCTGTTAAAATGATAGAACTAGCAACAGCAAATACAAAGTTACAATTAGATAAGAGGAATATGTTTTGATGTTCTGTTATACAGTGGAGTGACTGTGGTTGACAGTAAGATGATAGTGTACCTTACAAAATAGCTAGATAAGAGGCTTTGGAATATTCTCACTACAAATAAATGATAAATGCATGAGATCATGGACACACTAAGTGCCCTGATTTGATCATTTTACAACATACATATGTATCAAAATATCAAATTGTATCCTATAAATATGTACAAACTGTCAATTAAAAAATTAAAAATTAAAAACAATAGTAAGGGGAGAGTGTACATTACTTGTGTTATTTTTAAACTCTACTTCACCCATTAGTATTTATTTCCTTTGATTTGGTTGGTGCTCTGAAAATTTTGGGTGGTAGCTTCTGCCTTTTCTCCCCATTCTTGATAGCCAAGGCCATCTTTCTCCTTCAAGGCAAAGGTATTACTGTGGATGCCGGAGAACCAGGACTTCTTTAAACTCTCCTCCTTCCCCCGAAAGCTTTTCTGTATTAAACCTTCAAAGGAAGGCATTCTTGAACTTCATGACTTCATGGTCTCAACTCTCCTGCTTCCACTATCCCTTTCCTCTTGTTGTGTTGAGAGAACAGGCTCTCCTGGGAGAAGTTTGTTTTGCCAGGCGATGGCATTTTCATGTTTACATAAAGCAGTCAAGCTGAACCATGTCGGAACATGCTCTGTTGGGATTCAGACATGGTTTTAAAATGACCCCATGTTCATCTTCAATTACCACACTGAAACTTTGCTTTGGAGCATGTTTTCCCTCTAACCTTGTCACATTTCTTAAGCATCCAGCTTTACACACACCTGTCTGTTGTATAGTTGACCCTTCTGTAGAACAGGGCACCATCAGACAATTGGAGCCCAGAGAAATGATGTTTGCAACCTCTTGCTGGAAATGGCAACCCCTCTTCTTATTATTGACCTGGGCTCGAAGCAGAGCTATTGGTGCCATCCTGCAGCTCCCCAGCAGAGCAGCCCTCCTGGGTGAGCACTGCATCGGGTGGCCACAGGCAGTGGCGCTATTTGCAGTGTTGTCCTCATTTACCACATACCACTTGGCCAATGTTTGTAGGAAGTTCCATACTTTCAATCTCTAGGATGGTATTTTGTTTATCATATCACCAACCTACCCTCGTTTGTATGCAGCTCTGTATGAATGTAGAGATTTGCATAGCACAGTGATAAGATGTGCACAAACACAAAGTGTTGAACACCCTTCTCCTGTTTGCATTCCTTCCTTGTATTCCCATGTCATGTAGCTTAATTTTGTGTTTAGCAACTCATTTCTTTTTGCCCTGTGTCAGAGTTGTTTCTGGGTGTGTCTGCCTCATTATACTGTGATTTATTTCAGGGTGGAGCTGTGCTGATATCTGTACCTTTAGCATGAACCTAGGTATCTGGAAAATGGTTGGCGTGTGACAATATGCATTGAGTAGGCCAGGCCTTAACAATGCCTCAGATGTTGCATGTCATTGTCCTCCTGCTTAGAGCACTTTGATGCTTTTCATGTCCCGAGCTTGGTCCTTGAAACAAGAACAACTTATTTTTTATTTGCTTAACTCTAGATATTGAACTTCTCTGTGGGATCTCAGTAAATGAACCAAGAATATGCTTATAAGGCATGCAGACACATCCTCGGTGGCTGTCAGTTCAGCAGAACAAATTAATTAGCTGAAATTATCCTTCTTAGTACGGAAGAAAAACCAGCCTCTCCTTAGTAAATATGCTTTGCTAGTTATAGGATAATAATCCTGAGTGCAGCGATGCCAGCACCTTCCCTTCGGCCATCTGGAGCAATGTTCTTGCATGGTGATGCCTCATCAGCTCCCGTCCGCGTTTCCCTCCTGGTCTTTATCTCTTCTCCCCTTTCCTTGCCTCCGTAATAGGATGATGTATGTTGCTCTCTTCCCGTCTTTTCTTCCTCCCTAACAGTTCTTAGCTTCATGTGTGGTGTTTCGCTCTTTTATATCTCTCTGTGTTAAAAATTACATATTTATTGGGATTTTTAAATAAAGGAAAGCATAAGAAAACAGAAATGGCCTCTCACACTGATAATAAATTCCTACTGATGGTATGAGGAAATAATATATACACATGGTTCAGAAGTTAAAAAACAAAAACTATGTAAGATAGTAAAGCATCCTTTTCTTGCCCATTCACACTTCAAGCGCCGCTACCCAGTGTTAATTACAGTTAACATTTTCTTGTGTAGTTTTTCATTAAATGTTTTGGATACACATCAGCATATAAAAGTCAAAATGAATGTATGTATATATTTTCTATTTATATAGAAGCGTCCTAAGAAAACGGCTCTGAACCTATCTTTTATCACTTAATGTATCTTAGAGATCTCTCCATAGGCCCCTGCTCTACCTTACAAAACATCCATCTTAGTCTTTGTAACTGTTCCATTGTATTCCATTGCGCTGATGGTCTCACTTATGGTACAAGTGTTTTGTTGGTGGGCATTAACATGTTTCCCTGAACTTTTACAGTTTCAATAATATAACTGTGAATATTCATATACATACATCTTTGAACACTTCTGCAAGAGATGTATACGTCTTACGTTTTGATGCTTATTGCTAAATTGACTTCCAAAAACTAAATTAGGTTTCACTAATTTAGATGCTATACCAGAGTGTTTTCTGTCAAACTTTTCTGATTTTCGTCAATACAATAGAAACACTTTATCTCATCGTTTTAATATTTCTTTGATTTTGAGTGAAGATAATGACCATTTTGAACTGACAGGCAACCTGTAGTTTATCTGTGAACTGCCTGTTCCTATCCCTTGGCCCTTTTTCTTTTTGGTTGTTTTTTCCTTATTGGTTTATGTGAAGTCCTTACCCACTTTCTGGGACATTTCCTGAGTCTCAGCCTAAAATAGTCACTGAACCACTGAATCTCACATCAGTGTGTTTTAATCCTCTGCCTGGGATTATTGTTGGATATTTTTCTCACTTGTTTATGGGTTTCCTTTCTCTAGAATATAAACTCTAAAGGAGCAAAGATCTCATCTATCTTGTTCACTACTATAGCCTATCATGTAGATGCAAGCCTGGCTCATAATAGACACTCAGATATTTAATGAATGAATAAATGAAAATTGAATTAGCCTATGCATATCCTAAACATTCATTAACAGTTAATTTTTTAATTTTATGGTATTTTTTCCAAATGAAAAGTTTGAATTTTCATGCAGCTAAATTTATTAATCTTTTTCTTTTTCTAACTTCTGGAACTTCCTCACTCCAAGTTTATAAATAAATTCACCTGTGCCACCTTTGAAAACTTCTATTCCCATCTTCTAGGCTCAAATCTTAGACTTCTATAAAATTTATTTAATCGAAATTAAGGGTCTAGTTTTGATCTTTCTTACAGTAGTCGGCTAGTCCATCATCATTCATGAAACTCTGTCACCTGCATTGGTTTAGCACAACCTTATGGTAAACTACATTTCCATATGTATCATGTCTCTTCCTAGACTCAAATTGTTTTAATTACTATAGTTTTATTTTCTTCAACTTTTAAGCTCAGGGATTCATGTACAGGATGTGCAGGTTTGTTACATAGGTAAACATGTGCCATGGTGGTTTGCTGCACAGATCAACCCAGTACCTAGGTAATAAGCCCAGCATCCATTAGCTCTCCCTCCCCCTGCATCCTCCACTCCAACAGGCCCCAGTGTGTGTTGTCCCCATCCATGTGTTCTCATATGATATCTTTCAATGTTTGATGAAGCTGGTTCTTTCTCATTTTTTGTTTTCTTTTCCAGTATTTTTGTATGGCTGTGATTGTATTTTTTTTCTCAGACAAGTTGCATGATCATTTTGCCAAGTCTGAAAAAATTATCTTAAAAATTTTAAAGTAACATGTCATAGTATGCATATATATATATGTATGTATTTTATACTTTTTTTGTCTTTGTGTCATACTCCAGAACTAATGAGAGTTAGTTTGTTCAGAATGCATTGTATTAAACTCACAATGGGCCAGATACCAGAAGTTGCTCCTTGGAGAAATAGGATTAATGAAAGTGAAAATAATCAGCATCCTTTGGCAAGAAGGATTTAGATTTGTGCTTAGGTTATATATATTCTGCTAAAACTTTTGAATGTGAATGGGTCCTGTAGTTCTGGACATGACTGTGTATACTTTATGATGAGCCACCGTGAGGATATCCTTAATTCCAACCATTTATTTTGAATGCATCCTGCAGAAGATTATTAGATACGAGAAAATGTAAGCCCTGGTCTTTATTTTGCTACTAATAAGCTATTTAGCTCTTGACAAGTTACTAAAACTGTGTCTCTGATCCCATTTCCTTATCTGTAAGGTGAGGATGATATTGCTCATTCATTTATCACATAATACTTTGTTTGCCTGCCTACCTTTGCAATTGTTGTTAGGATCAAATAATACAATTCTGGTAAAACTTGTATTTGAAAATATTAAGGTTTTCTGGTTAAACATTGCATATCAAAAGCATTTCATTTGCTTATGTTTTATCACTCTCTCCCCATATACCACTAAAAATACAGGAATTTTTTTAAAAAGCCATAAGCCAACAAGAGCAAAAGAACAGACTAGTAGACTGCAGCAAAGATATAAGCCAAAATTTTAAATCTGGAACTAGATGGTCAGTGGTAACTGATTTAGTGGAGCAGGGAAAGCCAGTACTCATCTGAAAGAAGCAGTAAGACAGAGAAGTTGGTTAAGTTGAGGAATCAGAGGCACCTGGTACCTTTGAAGCCTAGAGTTGAAAACAGGAGGATGAATTAGAAACTTGAATGAGGAGCTACAGGATTTCTAGATCCCTCTCCTACCACATTGAATGTTAAAAAAAAAAAAGTTGTAAGAGAATGACGATGGGGCTGTACTATGAGAGGAAGTTGGGATTGGGGTGAAGGTAGTAATAGAGACATCAATCTTTTTTCCATTGTAGGTAGTCAAAAGATAATACAGTTTTTTAAAAATTAAGAAATGAGTTCATGTCCTTTGTAGGGACATGGATGAAATTGGAAATCATCATTCTCAGTAAACTATCGCAAGAACAAAAAACCAAACACCGCATATTCTCACTCATAGGTGGGAATTGAACAATGAGAACACATGGACACAGGAAGGGGAACATCACACTCTGGGGACTGTTGTGGGGTGGGGGGAAGGGGGGAGGGATAGCATTGGGAGATATACCTAATGCTAGATGACGAGTTAGTGGGTGCAGCGCACCAGCATGGCACATGTATACATATGTAACTAACCTGCACATTGTGCACATGTACCCTAAAACTTAAAGTATAATAATAAAAAAAAATTAAGAAATGAATAAACATGCATACTATTAAGAAGAAGATAATTACTTATGAAACCACATGCAGGAATTGAAAATGATTGTGGAGACGAGGGAGAGGACAGGAGCTTCTTTCACATTGGTATACTTGGTAGTACTAATAAAGAGTACTAATATTTGGTAGACTAAAAAATGATCCTATTGTGCAAGAGTGAGACTTGAGCATAAAGCTTGGCAGCAAGGTGTATAACAAATGCTTATTGAGTGGACAAATATTATTCATTGATTTCAAAAACTCAAATATTATTCAATGATTTCCCCTTATTAGTGTTATATAGGAATTAGGGTTAAGTAATGTGCTTTAGGGATTGATGAGCAATGTATTTGGAATATCACAGTATAAGAAATAAGTCTTTTTATTTTGGGGGACTGTGGAATATTAGAGGGTCTTTGAACAAAGTTAATAAAATGTCAGCCTGAACTTTGAGTTTTTTTGTATACTTTTCATCAAGGAAGTTTGGGGTTAAAACAACAATAGCAACCTTTTATTGGTATGTGTTAAGACGTGACAGTATTTTCTCTACCAGAAAATCTCTCTGACTCAGGCACTGGTATATGACTTGGGCCTAATAATTTTCTTCTCTTTGCATTTTTTTTGTCTTTGAAATGGGATTAAAATTTATTCTGCCTTAGGGTAGACAGTTGGAAATTAGAGAAATCCTGGGATTGGTTCTTCGGTATAATACTGTAAACATAGTAACTAGGTCTGGAAGTTAAGTTGCCTCTTCCAAGAAGATAAGCAGACTGTTGGAAGCTAAAGATTTAGTTATAATAATGTGATTTATATGAAGCAAAGTATCTCCTCCAGAGATCTCAAAGTTCTGCTGGTATTAGAAGTAACTAATCAATAATAGGTGAGTGCTTACTCTCCAGGATGGAGAATGTTTTATTAACAGAATTACACTATAAGATTGAGTCCAATATTTATTTGTAAGTTGCTCTGAATTTATCAGGAAAGAAATGCTAGAGAAATACCAAGAAATAGTATTGTGTGATATTCCTGAAGGAACTAATTTGATTTGTTGTTCTCTGTAAGACATAGATGAGTTTGACTTACATTGTATTTTTTTCTGTTTGTGTTGTACCTATTGATCTAGTATCTTGACCATGCACACTGGCTTTTAATCTAGCAATTTTACACTCACAGAGCTATTCTGTTTGACTAAGCCACAGTTATTTGCTACCTACGTATATAAGAAAATAATTTCACATCCAAATAGTACTTAAGTAAAAGTTTCAAAAATGAAATATTGTACCAGTTGAGGTTTAAATATGTAATTGATTTGGGTATCTTCTGTACAACTGTGTTAATTGAAAACCATATTTTAAAACTTTTATTGTTCCTAGAGTGAATTACTGGAACTGAAACGGCAGCAGCAAGAGCAAGAAAGAGCCAAAATCCACCAGACTGAACACAGGAGGTAAAACTGGCTAATAAAATAAGCATCCTTGGTTAAATCAATTACCTAGAAAGTTTGTACAGTGTTTTAGGAAAGCATTACGATAACATTATTAATATGGTTTTGGAATGCGTGTTACCTTTAAATCTGTTATTGGGACGTGATATATGTAGAGGTATGCCAACTGCTACATATATAAGTACACACGTGTGTACATATGTGCATGCACAATTTTCTTGGATAGGTGGCATTATAAACTCACATTAGAAAACTGACTCATGTTCTTGTGTGTTCAATTAAGGTATATTTAATTTGCCTACCGTAGGACAAAACATCCTAGTTTGAGACGATAGTCTACCATTTATAGACTTAGTTATAACACTTAGATCAATATAGATGGTCAGATACCCATACTTGAGTGCAAAAGCTCAGACAAAAACTCACTAACATTATTTAATATTGACACATTAGAGAAAAAAAATCTTAGAACCATTAAGTAATTTTCAAATAGTCTAAGCACTCTCCATCTTAATCCTAATATCAGACTTAAGAATACCTAGTAAAATATCATGTTACTGTTGGGACAGTGCTAATAAGCACCATATTGTATGCCATTATTATGCTAAGATTTCTAGGGGGACACGAGTTGAGTTCATTAGGGGTGTACTTGAGTATCTTGGAGAAGAATGTAAGGGTTTTCACAATTTAAAGGGACAAATTCTTTTGATAGTGAATGGCTTTTTTTGAACGTATTTAACCTTCCCACTGTCACTAAACTGTATTTTTAAGTTATGTTGGTTTCATTTTCTAAATGAGAGACTTTAAAAAGCATTCAGTGGAAGCTCCCTGTTCTGATGGTGCCTCTAACTGTGGGCGGGGAGCTCACTTTTATTTGACTGAACTATGTTGTCCCCAGAGTCCAGTCAAAATAGTTTTGAAACTACAAATGTGAATTATATGTTTTTTCTCTTATTTAAGGAAATATCAAAACTCTGATATGTCGGTTAGGCTATATTGTTGGGTAAGATGGTGGTGGGGAAGCATGCTAACTACTTATTTATTATAAAGTAGGCCATAATTTAGCCATTTTATTGCTGTTTATTATTTTCTCTCTTTTTTCTTTTTTTTTTTTTGAGACAGAGTCTCACTCTTTTGCCCAGGTGGGAGTGCGGTGGCAGGATCTCGGCTCACTGCAAACTCTGCCTCCCGGGTTCAAGTGACTCTCCTGCCTCAGCCTCCTGAGTAGTTGGGATTACAGGCACGTGCCACCATGCCCAGCTAATTTTTGTATTTTTAGTGGAGACGGGGTTTCACTGTGTTGGCCAGGCTGGTCTTGAACTCCTGACCTCAGGTGATCTGCCTGCCTCAGCCTCCCAAAGTACTGGGATTACAGGAGTGAGCCACCGCACCTGCCCTATTTTCTCTTTAAAATACTTCCTGTTTAAAAAACACTTGATATTGTATTTATAAACTGATTGCTAGTAGTAGCCAGTTATTTCTCTGGATTTCTGAGGATTAATTGAATTGTAAGACTTTAAGCATCTTAAACACAGTGATGTGTCACATTAATAGGCTCCATTGCTGAAATATTTATCTTTGATGGGCACCTAATAAACACCCAAGCTATTTGATTAGAGGTGGAAAAGATAACTTTTTTGTTATAGGAATCTTGGCTTTCATTCTTTATTTCCATACTACTGAATACCTAAATATTGGTGGGGCTGTTTAATTTCTATACGTTATTTTTTCTTTCTTTTGATTCTACTTAAATAGATCCAATAAATGTATAGCTCCAAATTTAATCCAAGAAGAGATTTTTCTAGATAATAAACTCAGTAATTAGTTTTGAAGTATCTGATCAAGTCATTAAATATATATTTTATGCTCTTCATCAATTTTTGAAAAGAGCTTACGTTTGTATTGCCTTTAAAGTGTGCCATGAGCTTTCCCATGTTATCATGTGAGAATACATACTCAATGAACTCTTAATAAAATAGCCGTGTCCATTCTTACTCAAGGCAACAACACAAGCTATATAGTGTGTGTGTAGGGGATGTAAATTAGGTTTTCTCCAAAGGCACAATTTTATTGGCATCAAAAGGACAACGTGCTTTCTACAGTTTAAAAGTTCACATTGCAGAAAACTCAACTCTGAGTATTATAATAGAAAGCACTGAGATTCCTGACAAGCTTTTCAATGAACCTGTAATGAGCTTGAGTGCACCTGCACCTAACCCGTTGTAACTATTTGAGTAGGAGAAGACAAGTAGAAATTCCAGAGAGAAACGACAGAGCATGGGGGTCAAGGACTTGAAAGGATTTGGGCCATGAAGTGAAAACTGGATGAACTGAATTGATTTATTCAAACTTGAACCATCCCTGAATAATAGTTTTTATCCAAATTAACCCTCAGAAGAAAACCCAGAGCACAATTTTGACTGCAGTAGCATGTATGTACTTTCTAAAACTATTAAACAAAAATAGAAATTGGTTCTTTTCCCTCCCATTTAGATTCTTGATAGGAATTGAGAGAAACAAACTCTTTCCCACCCATTATCTCTGGTTGACTCACACTGCTGTGGACATAGGCAAGTTGAGGACACTCCTATAGTATCAAAGAGTGCTCAACCACTCTGATGTCCTCTTAGTAACTGATGCTCAAAAGTGAATCACATTACCTTATGTCTTCATGACAAGGCATCAGTCTTCGCAGGGTTTGAGTGAATTGAGAGCAATTGCCAGTGAGCTGTTTTGCAGTCTGCACTCATCATCCATGTTGTTTTCAGGGGTGAAGAACGTGTGCCAGGAAGATTTGTTTCATTCAGTAACTACATTATCAGGCTACACTCCATAAAGGCTGTGTCCTAGGCTCCGGGAATAGGGCAAAACACGGCAGAAGGGGTGCCTCACCATGTGGAAATTATAATCTGGAGGAGAGAAATGGAAGTCAACAATCAAAGGCACTGTTATTTCAGATGGTGATGTGTACTGTGAGGACAATATCACAAGGTGACGTTAAAGAAGAAATTGGAGATGATAGGTTACTTAGGAAGGCCTCACTGCAGAGGTGACATCCAAGGACAAGGAAGAACCAGCCACATAGAGACTAGGGGCAGATGCATGGACTTAGATGGCCTACGAAGAGGGGAAGAGCAAGTGCAGAGGCTCTAAAGTACAAATGAGCTTGGACTGTTTGAGTCCCAAGTGATGGGATTTTTTTTTTTTTTTTTTGAGACAGAGTTTTGCTCTGTCGCCCAGGCTGGAGTGCAGTGACATCATCTCCACTCACTGCAAACTCCACCTCCCAGGTTCAAGCGATTCTCCTGCCTCAGCCTCCTGAGTAGCTGGGACTATAGGTGCCCACCACCATGCCGGGCTAATTTTTGTGTTTTTAGTAGAGATGAGGTTTTGCCAGGTTGGCCAGGCTGGTCTCCCGACCTCAAGTGATGCACCAGCCTCAGCCTTCCAAAGCACTGGGATTACAGGCATGAGCCACCACACCTCACCCCATGTGATGGGATTATAGTGAGTGAAGAAGAGAATGATACTCAGTGGGGGAGGAAAGGTAGGCAGGAGCAAGATAACACAACCTTTTATAAGCCAGTTTTATTCTAAGACCAATGGGAAGCTGTGGGAGAATTTTAAGCAAAAGGAAGACATTTCTTTCATAATCTAGTAAGGTTGTTGTATGGGGACTAGATTACGGAAGGTGGGAGTGAAAGCACTAGCAAGGTGAAGATATAGTAATTTGAACTAGAATGGTATCCATGGAAAGAAATGAGTGAATTTAGGTTGTGTTCAGGAGGTAGAGCAAACAAGCCTTGTAGCGGTTTGGGTGTGGGGTGGAGGATGCTGAGTGAAAGCCCATCTTTGTTAATGACAAAAAGACTGGATAAGAACAGCTCCAGGCATGCAGGCAGTCCAGGATACCAGTGGTTGTGTTGTTTACTGGGGAGCAGGGTCACTTTCCTTTTCTTGATAGTTGAGTCTCCAGCGAAGTAGGATACTATTCTATCTGCATGCTGAGAGATTCAGAGAAGGTGACTTAAACATGGAGCTTGGCAGTGAAGCAGGCTGACTAGAATATGGCACTTGGGTAGATTTTATGGTAAGACAGGAAAGAAGCTTTATAATAGCTGAGGTGGAACCGCAGCCCGATGGGACCTAAAGTTGTTGAGAGACAGCAACTGAGCCCACACACGCCTGGCATCTTAGCTAGCACTGAGCAAGCGCAGACAGCCAGAAACCCCCTCCAGCCTTTCACTTTGCTACCCAGCCTTTATTTGCCTCAAAGTTCCCTAATCTCCCACAGTCACTGGCCTGTAGCCACTCACCATGACCACATTCTGCTAATCTTCATGACTGAACAAGAGGCTCATGTGACTGGTTCCTGCCTCCCTTCCTTCCATAAATGTATATTTGCTGCTATGCACCAGGCATTGTGTTTCTGCTTCCCAGAAGCTTATAGTCTTATTTCTGCACTTCCTAAATAATCTGTTGATGTCATAGGGTACCTATTGCAGTGCCATTTCTTCAGCTTCCAAGTCCCTGACTCTACTCAGCCATACGTGGGCAACTCAGAGCACGACGTTACCTGTGATTTATTATTTTAAATTTAAAAACTGTAATATGAAACACAGAAAGGTCCACAAAACAGATATTTATAGTGATTAATTATAAAGTGAACAACCAGGTAGCAAGCTCCAGAAATAGAATAATATAAGCTCACCTTCCATTTCTGCTTTTCATGTATGGGGTTTACTTTAGCAAGACTGGCAGTGGAGTGCAGGGAATATAGGAAGGACATCTATCTTGCAACAATAATGCCATAGAGCTATCTTTGGTTCTTCTTCATGTTTTGGTTCATGCTGAGGCTTCTTTCTCTCTCCAGCCTCTGAGGTTCATACCTGGCATGATTCTGAGGGCTGTAGTTTCTTTCTTGAACTAGGGTCTTGCTGAACTGGCAGGAGATGAGTGCCTGAAACTCTCAGGTTAAGAATTCGTATCCCCTTTGGCTTGAGCCAAGATTGGCACCAGCTCCAGTAAAGAGGGGTTAACAGCATGTCATATGGTTAGTGTGAAGAGAAGTTTCTGTGGATTTCTTCTAAGCTGAAGCCAGGAAGCTATCCCCATGGTCAGTTCATACAACACATTAGATTCTCAGAAATCTCTCAGCCCTGCAGCAAGTTTTCTACTCACACACATTTTTCATTGTTTTAAAGGGTAAATAATGCTTTTCTGGACCGACTCCAAGGCAAAAGTCAACCAGGTGGCCTCGAGCAATCTGGAGGCTGTTGGAATATGAATAGCGGTAACAGCTGGGTGAGTTTTTTCTTTTCTCTTAAATCATCTTTCAATGTTGAAGAATAAAAACAATGAGAATTTTTAATATATGTTTTGGCCTTCTCCCCAGATATTACGTTTTTGTTGTTGTGCTGTTTGGCAGTGTGATGGGCAGTCAGCCAGGGGGATTACTGTAAATTCCACAATAGCTTCTGCTAGAGGGAGAAAGTCCTGATTTCAGCTCTGGCCAATCACAGTAAAAAATGACACCTGCCCTTTGTTCTCAGCATGATTGCCTGGACTTTAAGGGTTTTTATCATCCCTTGCCCAGACCTACAAAAAAACAAATGAACGTTTTTTTTTTTTTTTTTTCAGAAATATGGTTATAAAAATAATAAGCATTCTCTAGTAATATATTCTTTCAGTCAAACTAACACATCAAAGAAACCAGTAGTTAATTTTTCACTATGAAATGATTTTTTAGAAACCCTATAGCAAAAGGCACTTTTAAAAAATGAAATGTCCTTACCTATTTCTGTGATGAAAACCTTGCAACTGTGTTGCAATATGTGTTTAATGTATTTTGTGTGCATGATATATTATTGAACGAGCACCAAAGCTTTGGAACATATATAATTGTGAGGTTTGCAATGTGTACAAAATCAAAACTAAAGACCATAGGTCTTACAGTTTAATTGAAGCCCAAGTGTATAACTACCTTCTCTCTCTCTCACTCACTCCCTTTATATACACACATCAGATAGAAATCTGTAAATTGGTCACAATACAACAAAATAATCAAGTGCTTGCTGACCTAGAAAATCTAGAGAAGATCTTCCTTTAATAAATACTTGACAGACAAAAGATCATGTTTGAGAAGTCAATCTGTTAGAAATCTTACAGCATGTACCTTTGAAAGACATCTAGTAATCTAGTAGTTTACATTGATGAGTGGATTTTATAAATGTATACATATTTAAGATAATTGAACAGAAGCAAATTTGCAGAGAACACTGCCTGGATGTGTCTATTTATCCGTAATATATGCTCATTTGTTACACTCTGGCATTCAGAATAGGGACAGTATGGAACAGAGAAAATAATTGAAACGCAGGATCTTTGCATTGTGTGATACAAAGTACACATAGTGTCTTGTAACAGTATGTGAGTAGGAGTCATGTGGAAAATGGGCCATTGTGAGTTGAAGACATTATCCAAGCTTGTATAACTTAGTTGTGAAACACAATTGGAATTTAGATTTTGGTCAGGGCTTGGAAACACACTGTATGGTTGTCATTTCTTCTCTATGGAACCGCTCTTAAAACTTAGAAAGCACCTATCTGGGACTGAGGGGAAGATGATGGGAGAGCATAAATGGATATTGCATAGGCTTCTGCTGAGGATGTGAGGATGTGGCAATCTGGCTCACCAATGACTATTGGCAGGCCTTAGTGAGCCATAAATCTCTGCTTAGACTCCTCACAGATCAAAGAGAGGAGCATTGTTTCCTCATGATGTAATAGTGAGGCTGATTGGGTGAAATTTTTAGTAGGATGGGCATATCCAAGTCCAAATGGGTTATCAGTGCTTTCCTTACTTAAAAGAAGCAGCAAGAGAAACCTGGGAAGTTCCTCAGGCTCCCACCTTCACCTCTGTTGACCTCCAGACATCTGCACTTCTGTGCTTGCTTTGCTTTATGATTTATCTTCTTCTCCACCTCCTGGGGGACTTTGTTCTAATAATACTCTCTCCTCTCTACTGAATTGCTGAATGTTCCATCTCGACTAGAACACTTCCATCAGCATAAAACATAAATCAACATAAATTCTGTTGATAGCACATTTCCTTCTTGCTACTGCCCTGTTTCTCTGTCCTCCTTCAGAGTAAAACATCAAAAGGTGCCTCTCCTTGCTATCTCTAATTTCTTTATTTTTTTCTTAAACCCACTGTTACAAGGTTTTAGAATCTACCCATCAAAAAGAATGTTCTTTTCATGGTCACTAAAAATGTTCACATTGCAAAATCCAACGATTATTTCTCAATCTTCCTCTTTTGACTGATCGCCATTCTTTGTCATGGTGAATCACTCCCTCTTCTTTGAAACTGTTTCTTTACTTAGCTTCTGTGACACTGTACTCTCTCCTGGGTTTTCATATACCTCAGTGATAACCCGTTTTCATCCCTCTTTGCTGAATTCCTTGCATCTGCCTGTCCTTTCAACAGTGAAGTGCCTCAGGGATCTACCTTGGACCACTTTCTGAACTGATGTTCACTTAATACATTCTTTCTTATGAAATTAGATACTCATTCATTCTTATGAAATTAGATACTATCTATATGTTCATGACTCCCAAGTTTCTATTTCCAGCCCAGACCCCTTCCTCCAAACTCCAGACTTGTGTACCCAGTTGCCTACCCAACACATCTCTACTTATCCAAGATATGTAATAGACATTTCAGCCTTAACATGTCTAAAACCTAACCTTTGATCCCCTTTACCCTAGTGCTCTGTCTGCACATTTTCCTGTTTCCATAACGGTGCAATCCCTCTCTCACACCCACACAGCTAGCCATCAACAAATCCTCTTGACTCTTCCTTCCCAATACATCCAATCCAACAGCTTCTCACCACCCTTATCATCATTATCCTGCTTCCAGCCTCTCTCAGTGCTCATCCAGATGCTTGCAGTAGTCTCCTAGATGGTTTCCTTACTCCCACAATTACTTACCTACAGTCTGTTCTCGATACAAGACTGACAGAAGTCAGATTCTGACTCTGCATACCCCTCCAATGGCTTTCGCCACCCCCAAATCACTTGGAGTAAAAGCCGAAGTCCTTCCAGCAGCTTACCAGGTGCTGCATGATCCAGACTCCTTCTTAGCCCTCTGGCTCTCCTGCTGCTCTCCTTCTTCATTTCTCTCTAGCCACACCAGCTTTCTTGCTGAGAGCACTGGGTGCTCTGTCTACACTATTCTCCAAAATATCCATATGGTTTGTCCTCCTTCATTTACTTTCTTGAATTCCACGGTCTCAGTGAGATTACCTTGGCATCCTAGTTAAAGCTGCTGCCTGTCCTCTCACCCTGGCTCCTGCAGTCCCCTTTCTAGGCTCCCCTCCCTTTTTCTATAGCACTCTTCAACTTCTAACATACTTTTAAAACATAATTTCCTTGTATGTTTTGTTGACTGTTTACTCTTCGCCTCTCCCTGTGGTGATGTATGTTCCACATTCTACAAGGGTGGGGCCATTGGATTGTTGTGTTCAGTGGTGTATCCCAGGCATAAAACAATAACTGGAACTTACCACACACACAAGGAAACAAGTGGTTGTGATTCAACATCACAAACACAATAGAAAGACTTAGAGCCAGATGATTTCACATGCTAAAATGATTAGATACTGAATTTAAAATCACGATGTATAAAACGTTTGATGAAATAAAAATTGGATTTGAAATAATGAGGAAAAAATAGGAGATAATGAAAGACAACCAAGCAGACTTCAAAAAGAATTAAACCAAAATGCCATTTCTTATCAATTATTTGGCAAAAAAAACCCTCCTAAAATATTGACAATATACTCTGTTGGCAAGGCTGTGGGGAAGTGGGTACTTTACACATTATTGGTGGGCATGCAAAATGATACAAACACTATCAACATCTATGTCTTACTGTCTTCCCATTAAACGAAGACCAGGCCTATACATATTAGAGCCAAATTCTATTAAACTTTCAAGGAACAGATTATTTCAAATGTCTAGAAAGTTTTTCTGATTAAAAAGAAGGAAGTATTATCCAAAATGATTAAGCAGGTAAACATGACTTTGAATTAAAATTAGACAAAGACCGTATAGAAAAAAAATAGACTATCACTCATAAACATAGATTCAAAACAATCACAAGATTTTGACAGAATAAATATGAAAAAGCATAACATATCCTGATGAGATAGAATTTGTTCCAGAATTGCAAGCTTGGCTTATTGCAGACAAAACAAAAAACCTACTGAGATAATTCACCTCATAAATTATAAAAGAAACTCCATACGATCATCTCAATTAGTACAGAAAAAGCATTTGCTAAATTACAATACTCACTTGTGGTAAAATCTTCTAGGAAACTAGGAATAGAAGGGAAATTTCTTTGCCTCATAAAGGGATCAAAACTGTATAATAATAATAAAAATACATTAAAAACATTTCCGTTAAGATATAAGGATTGAAAAGGGGGAAAAAAAGCCTTTATAAATCACAGATGATACAATTATTTACGTAGAAAATCCAAAAGAATTTACATTCAAATTATTAGAAGAAAAAAAGGCTTGGCACTGTTAGTAGATATAAGATCAATATGTAAAAACTACATTTCTACACATTAGGAATAAATAAAAAATCTAATAAAAAGATCCAACCAAAAATATGAATGACCCTTTTTAAAAAATTCTAAAATTAGCCGGGAGCGGTAGCTCACGCCTGTAATCCCACCACATTGGGAGGCCGAGGTGGGCGGATCACGAGGTCAGGAGATCGAGACCATCCTGGCTAACAAGATGAAACCCCGTCTCTACTAAAAACACAAAAATATTAGCCGGGCGTGGTGGCGGGCTCCTGTAGTCCCAGCTACTTGGGAGGCTGAGGCGGGAGAATGGCGTGAACCTGGGAGGCGGAGCTTGCGGTGAGCAGGGATTGCGCCACCACAGTCCAGCCTGGGTGACAGAGCGAGACTCTTTCTCAAAAAAAAAAAAAAAAAAAGAAAAGAAAAAAAATTCTTAAATTTTGTAGAAAGATGCTGTGGAATAAATAAATGGAGAGTTATACCTTGTTAATAGATAGGAATGAGCTCTCAAATAAGCTATAGATTCACATAAATTGGAATCAAAGCAAAGAACTGAGAGTAACCAATTCACTCCTAAAGATAAAGAAGTATATATGGGGACTTAATTGTGTATTTAATGCGGTATGCAGTTGGCCCAGCACACCCAACATTTCTGAATTTTTTAGTTTTTTGTATGACAGACGGGGCAGAGCACATCACTGGGGGGAAACAGACTCTGGCAAATGCTGTGGGGACAATTGAGTACTTACATGAAATTAGGTCCCGACATAATTCATAAAAAAATTCTAACTGGATTAAAGCTTATAAGTAGGAAGGAAGACTTTTACATTTTAGAAAATAAAAGAGGCTGTTTATAAAATAGAGCTGAGAAAGGATTTTGTAAGACCCAAGGTATAAACAACAATAACAAAAAAGATAACTATATCTACATTAAATTTTAAAACATCTGTTCATAAAAGAATATCATACAAAAGTAAGAGGAGAGGCCATAAATTAAACTTTTATTTAGGACATGTTCTGCAAATAACAAGTGGACAAAATTAATATATAGAATTAGCAACTTAAATTATATCAATATATTTGAATTACTATTAAATTAAGGATATGTCACCATTTAAAGACTGATAGATGAGGACTGAGCTTCTCCAAAGAATGAAAGAGGAAAGCTATGCCTCAATTCACAGAGGCTTGGAGGAAATATCGGAACCAGTAAAAAGCCAGAGACAGAGTAAACAAGGAGGAAGGCAGAAATTATGATAAAACCAAGCCATGGAAAGAAGCAGTGGTTTCTTGAAATGTCATATAGACACTTAAGCAGTAGGCCCCCAATAAGTGTGTATGTTAGGTGGATTGATTTTTATTTTTTAATCATTGTTAATTTAAATCAGTCTTCTCATATTTCTTAACATATACATTTATTCTTCAATAATTGCTTTTATATGTAAAAAATATATTTTTTTATTTTTCTAGGGTTCTCTATTAGTTTTTTCGAGGCACCTAAGGTGGGTCACTTAAAAACATCCCTTTAAATAATATTTCCTCTGATACAATAGGTGAGGCTCTTTGGGATGCTGTGGAAACTCTAAATCCTATGTCTTCAGGGGCAGTTAAGCATTTCCTATGACCAATGAGGCAACCTGAGATTTTAATTTCTCAAAGTGTTAGAAGAAACAGCAATGGTGTGTATTCCATACGTAGCGTGGCCCAGCACTGCAGAAGGCTTGATGGAGGTTTCTTGACCCTTTGCACATGGTAGGAGTGGAGACTCACCAATCTATCTCCCTACATCAAGGTCCTCTTAGAAGTCACCTTTCTGCTGTATAATACAGCGTAACCCTACTTGAGACATTTCCATTTAAATTGCTCTGTTCCACATGTGTTCATCCTGTCCTTGCTGTAACTGTGTAGGTGGGTGACAACATTTTCGAACTGTATATTTGTCACCTCTGTTAGTCTATCTCTAAGAACACAGCCAATAAGACATCACTTGACAAGCCATTACCTTATTGACCAAGACTATTTTGTGAATCAAATGCAATGTGACTTGAAAATCAAATCGTTTCAATGGTCATTTAAGTTGTTAATTTTAAAAAATGGTCATTTCAGCTTGATGCATAAGAGCGTTCTTTGCAGGAACTTCATTTTTGACTACAAAGGCTTTGAATTTTATTTTGCTGCTTGCAGTAATTTTTGTTTTCTTTTTCTTCCAGGGTATATGAGAAAATATTGACTCCTATCTGGCCTTCATCAACTGACCTCGAAAAGCCTCATGAGATGCTTTTTCTTAATGTGATTTTGTTCAGCCTCACTGTTTTTACCTTAATTTCAACTGCCCACACACTTGACCGTGCAGTCAGGAGTGACTGGCTTCTCCTTGTCCTCATTTATGCATGTTTGGAGGAGCTGATTCCTGAACTCATATTTAATCTCTACTGCCAGGGAAATGCTACATTATTTTTCTAATTGGAAGTATAATTAGAGTGATGTTGGTAGGGTAGAAAAAGAGGGAGTCACTTGATGCTTTCAGGTTAATCAGAGCTATGGGTGCTACAGGCTTGTCTTTCTAAGTGACATATTCTTATCTAATTCTCAGATCAGGTTTTGAAAGCTTTGGGGGTCTTTTTAGATTTTAATCCCTACTTTCTTTATGGTACAAATATGTACAAAAGAAAAAGGTCTTATATTCTTTTACACAAATTTATAAATAAATTTTGAACTCCTTCTGTATAAATGGGTCATTTTTATTTTTAATGAAAAGTTATTGGGGTTTTCTCTCTTGAAGGGTCTCATTTTAATTCCCTTTTCCAGGCCGTATAGATCAAATATAGTACTGTCATTACTGTTGGCTCTTGTTTTGGTCTTGACTTACTAATAGTGTTACCCTGATTTTCAGAGGGGGACAGTTTATCTCCAGAAAGGCCAATGTTTGTATACACATCAGCTAGACACAAATATAGACATCATATGTAGTTTGTACATGTTTCAGAAACTTGTTTTTTCTTTGCTCTGTGTAACCTATTTCCTATTGCTAGTTCAGTTGGCTTTCTTATTCACTTCTGTGACCCTGAACCAGTTCTCAGACCCTAGAGTGTAAGAGCATTGATTTTCTACGCTGTGTAATCTAGCTCAATCCCTCTGTCCCCTCCGCCTCACCGTCCCCCAGCCACCACATTGTATAGCAAAAGCATTACATTCAATCCTAGAATAAAGGTAAATACAACAAATCATCTTTGCAGCTGGACAACTAATAATACTTTGCAGCATTAAGAGATCTTCTGTGTTACCAGTCACTCTGTTGAAATGAACTTTCCGAATCTCTTTATTCAGGAAAACATGGGGTTTTGAAATTCTTGGGCCAAGAGACATAACTGAGGGGTTCGCAGAGCTAGGCAAGGGTGCACTAGGAAAGGGCCACATTGGTGGGTGGGGGGTAACAGAGAACAGATGGTGTCAGGAAGTTTCTCTGGAGTAAATAATGTGGATATTCTTGGTTTCCCTCTCCTCCGCCAGCTGAAGCTGTGTTAGTGCTGTTGACACTAATATAAAATGTTTGGTCCATTTGAAATCCTTGTCATTGCCTTATATGGGGGAAACTCAATCCCCCAGCCTGTGTTGGAAATATCACCAAACTGATTGTAAATGTGCGGCTGTAGCAGACATTTTAGTGTGGTGGTGTGCAGCCATTTCGGCCCTACACCTGCCAGCCTGGCTACCTTACAGTTGTGTTCCGATTTTTGCGTCTATGCTTGGTGTGCCTCACTTGCTGCATTTTCCAGCATGCAACCAGGAGTTGACGTAGGAAAAAGGGATGCTTTCTTACTTTGGAAGCTCTCAGGGAAGTTGGTGTCAATTTCTCCTCCACTGCCTGGCCTACCCTGCACTCCCAAAGATTTTGTGCAGATGGGTAGTTCCATTTTTTAAAAATTGTGCAGATATGGAAAATTGTGACTTACTTCATGACCAGAACTATCTAGAATATGTGTGGGGGTATAAACATCTTGCTTAACCAAATATCTATGTAGGCAGAGGTAACCAGGAGAGAAGCAAGACTTGCTGCCTAAAGGAGCCCACCATTTTACTTTTCACATTTAATCTGCCACGTTGAATCAATTGGAATAAAACCTGACTCGCAGGTGACTGGACAGGAAATCCCAAAGTTCCACCATTTCTATGCTTAATTTTAATGTCCCCCCGCTTTTTTTTTTGTAGAAAATAAAAACAAGAAAATCGTTCCAATGTAAGATGTTTGTTATAGAAACTTTAGGCAATACAGGTGTGTAATAAAATGTTTAATAAACTTCTAAACACTTTTGTATTTGGATTTACCACTTTTTCCTTTGTGGTTTCTTCTTGGTATTATGTTGATAGATCCTAAAATCTACAAAGCAACAACCTCTACCCAGTGGCCTATTTTAACAAAACAAAGGATTTCCCCTACTACTGGGCTTAGTTATATTATAGTAGATAGTCAGGCAGACAGGAGCAGGCCAAGAGAGGCCCCCACTACCAGGAATGTCAGGCAACCATCAGGTGATGGTCAGCCAAGTTATTTTTGTTGTTTTTCTTTTTTTTTGAGATGGAGTCTCACTCTGTTGCCCAGGTTGGAGTACAGTGGCATGACCTCGGCTCACTGCAACCTCTGCTACCCGGGTTCAAGAGATTCTCCTGCCTCAAACTCCCAAGTAGCTGGGATTACAGTCTCCCACCCGCCACCACGCCCAGCTAATTGTTGTATTTTTAGTAGAGACGGGGTTTTGCCACGTTGGCCAGGCTGGTCTCAAACTCCTGACCTCAGGTGATCCGCCTGCCTCAGCCTCCCAAAGTGCTGGGATTACAGGCATGAGCCACTGCACCCAGCCGGCCAGCCAGTTGTTAAGCTGACTCTCTAAAGTAATAATTGGTTGCAGCCAGTGCCAGGGAAAGGCAGTCTCCCAATAGATAGAAACACCTGAAACTGGTGATCAGCAGCTTCTGATAAGATCTCAGGATTTGGGCAAGAAAGCTCAAGCATGTACATTAAGGGGCAAAATGGCAGAGTTTAACTGATACATGACCTTACAGGAACATTCGACTGGTAAGGGAAGAACGCCTCAAGTAAGTATATGCACAACTCCAGTAAACACACTGGGCTTGCGGCCCCTCCCAAGTGCTGGCCGGCCACTGCGCATGCAGACAGCCCACCCCAAGGGAATCATTGACTCCAGAAGATTGCCAACATATAAAACCCCAAGTCAAAGGCCAAACCATGCACCCAATCTCCCAAGTTGCTCACTTGGCCTTCTTCCAAGTGTACTTGACTTCCTTTCATTCCTGCTCTAATTTTTTTTTTTTTTTTAACACAGAGTTTCATTCTTGTTGCCCAGGCTGGAGTGCAACGGCACGATCTCGGCTCACTCAACCTCTGCCTCCTGGGTTCCAGTGATTCTCCTGCCTCAGCCTCCCGAGTAGCTGGGATTATAGGCATATGCCACCATGCCCGGCTAATTTTGTATTTTTAGTAGAGACGGGGTTTCTCCATGTTGGTCAGGCTGGTCTTGAATTTCTGACCTCAGGTGATCCGCCCGCCTTGGCCTCCCAAAGTGCTGGGATTACAGGTGTGACCCACCGTGCCAGGCCTCTAATACTTTTTAATAAACTCTCACTCCCGCTCTAAAACTTGTCTCAGTCTCTCTGCCTTATGCCCCTTGGTTGAATTTCTTCTGAGGAGGCAAGAATTGAGGTTGGGGCAACCAGTACAGATTCACTGCTGCTAACAGTTGTAGATAATACAGGTCAGGAGATCTTATTCCATTCACAGGATAGGCCTAAGAACTCACATTTTTTGTATGTTTTTTTGTGTATGTTTTCACACTAGAGACATTTCTTGTGGTCCCTAAATACTTTATGTTCAAAGGAAACATTGCATTTTTTCTTTAGGTCGATTTTTTAAAAATCAAGATAAGAAGCCTACATATTTAATTTGGAGATTCGGTTGTCTTTCAGAAAGTATATTTAGAAAAATTACATTGTAGTTATAGTAAATGTAGACATATTTTAAAGTAAAACCCTTGACATTTATAAAGCCAAAAATTTCAAGTTAAAATTCAAAGTTTTGTGATAACTCTGGCTAAAAACTAATTTTTAAAAACATGTAATCATAAAAACAGTGCCTACAATCTTAATTTTAAATTTCAGGATATTAAGCAGATAGGTTGTAATTAGCTGGACTTGTTTGTCCAGTTATGAGAGGATGTGTTTGGAAGTGTGGCTGCCAGAGGAAGTAAAAGGAATTGTTCTGAAACTATTAGCAAGTAGAAGAAAATAGAAGGTTGTGGGCTCTTTGTTTTTATTAATAACTCAGTGGACTAGCACATCTAGAAACTAGCTCCGTGCTGATGTGCATGAAATAATATCGGAGTGAGGTATAATAAAATTTACATGTGGAGAAAGAATATGCCTCTCCAGTTACCATGAGGATTGCATAGAGAATAAATACATGTTAGGCATTCCTTCAAGGAAGGGGCTCTGATTTGGAATTCCTCCCTCCCTTTAAAAATATTCCCTTGTTTAACAATAGAGTTTAAAAAGCATCACAGAGGATTATCATTTTTTTTCTGCTCACAGAATTACATGCTCAGAAGTGAAGGGTTTATATAAAGGCAAATGGGAGAAGCATTTTCATGACATTTATTGCCATGTTGTGCCATCTGCTGGGACAGAGGCTACAGGGACAGCTGTACTGCAACACACACCTCCCCTAGGAAGCTGATTTATTACAAGCCCTTTGCTTTGCTGCTCAGCTGCAGGGCATGTGCTCTGAACATTCCTTCTCACCGTCCCTGGAGGACACTGACCACAGCTGAGCTGAAGGAATCGTCGTCAGTCATCGGGGGTGACATTTCATTCCCTACAAAACCTTACACCAGTGATTGGCACCAGATTATGAACTGATTAGAAATTTCTGTTTTAGAAACCATAGTTGAGCTAAAATGAGTAGAAATTGTGCTTTAGTATGGAGAGAACAGAAACTGATGGGAGAGGGATATTTGAAATTGGACATTGTGAATTAAGAAAAATCAGAAATCAACATTTAAATATATGTCTATAGTCTGTTTTAAATGTGGCACAATGGAGACACAAAGTTAAGTGGTACAGGTCCTGTCCTCAGGCAATGGAGCAGTCGGAATAGGCAAAGTTATGGTGACCACAATAAGCAGCCCCCACCTCTTCTTGGATTAGCAATAGTTTCTTGCCCATGCTGCACTTTATGCACAGGTCAGCAGAAGCCTCTGCTCACCTTAGTCAAGGACTGAGAAAGGCTCTGTCTGTTCTTATGCTTTCCATACACCAAGAGGAGGACATAGTGGCAGTATTCTGTGCTATCTCCAGGAAATGCTTTCTCCAGGAAATGACACATGCTACTTCTGTTCACATGTTATTAGCCAGAACAAATCATGTGGCTATTCCTAATTTTAAAGGTGTGGGAAAGAAAATCCTACAATTTTCTGCAACGTACAAAGGAGGAAGAGAACAAGAACATTTGTAAATAACCCTGATTATCCCCCCAAGGAACACATTCTACAGTTGAAGAAGACACAGACATATGAAAGCTTAAGATCAAAGACACATACAAATTCAAAACAATATCAAAAACCCAGTTCAATTCAAACTTTAGTAAGGAACTAATATAGGCCAGGCACTATGCTAGGCATGGAGACTACAATATCGTACAAACCAGCCACTAAAGAACTTTAGTATGAGTTAGACACACACACACACACACACACACACACAGAGAGAGAGAGAGAGAGAGAGAGAGAGAGTAGGAAAAATGAGATAGAAGCTATGCAAAGCAATGAGATAAAAAACCTAACACGAATGGCTTTTGGTGCCATATCAAGTAGCTTGAACTTTTAAAAGGTTATAAGCAGGGCATGGACCTGATTAGATTTAGCTTTTTATTTTAAATAAATCATGAGTGAACCCAAGAAAGAGATTTGAGGGAGGAAAGCCCAGAAGCAGAGCAATCTGTTAGGAGGCTGGAGGTGATTACATCAGTTCAAGGTGACCCGTGATGAGAGTCCTGAGCTAGAGCCGTGAGAGTATGGATGAGGACAAAAGAATGAGCATGTGGAATTCTCACGATATTAAATCAAGATAAGAAGCCTACATATTTAATTTGGAGATTCAGTTGTCTTTCAGAAAGTATCTTCAGAAAAATTACATTGTAGTTATAGTAAATGTAGACGTATTTTATAAAGTCAGGACTTTGTAAATGACTAGATATAGATGGAGACTGATGAATCAAAGATGAGTTTCATATTTCTAGCCTGTGTAAATACATTGATGGTGATGTGGCCATATATACAAAATTTATAGTATTTCAGAGGAAGGGAGATTTGATGTGGTCAATAAAGAGTTTCAAAGACTATAGAATAAAATTCCATGAGCTCGGGGACATTGTTTTGTTCAATGCTGTATTCCCAGTTCCTTGAACAGTGCCTAGCACATAGTAGTGATTCAATGAGTATTTGGTAAATGAATGGATTTGATAAAAGAGGAAAATTTTTACAGATGGAAAGAAATAAGTATGGTGGTGGCTGGTGAAGGATTGAGTGCAGGGACATTTAAAGCAGCCACAGTGGTGCAGTGATGGTGGTAAGCACGTGTTTGGGGGACATTGAGGAAGAAGAATGTTCAGGCTAGAGTAACTCCATCTTGTATACTAATTGGCCATGTTGACTTCTGATTAACCCCAGTTCCGAAAATGCCTCTAAAATTTCTATTTTATCTACTGTTAAGAGTGTATAATTACGAATAATTCCTGCCCTTAGGTCAAAACAACCTTGATGTTATCGTAAACACATATATCTTCCCCTTAGGCAAATTCCCTATGATTTGTAAGCCCTGGGTCTGTGGGGTAACAGTGTACTGTAGGGATCCACCATTCGCAGCTGCTTGAGATATGGCTTCTGTTCATAAATCCCTATTATTTCATTCTGAGAATCTGGACTTGTCAGCTTCTTTCTTCAGCTCCTCACCTTCCCTGGCCTTTGGAAGTAGGTTTGTATAGGCCTGCTCACCTCGGAACACACACACACACACACACACACACACACACACACAGAGAGAGGGAGAGGGAGAGAGAGAGAGAGAGAGAGACTAGTGTGGTTGTTGCTTGGAAGTGGGAGACAAGATATAGGAGAGGAGAAACACCCTGGAAGAGAGCTTCTCTCAATGTTTTGGAATTTGTCCCAGTTAATTGGCCAACCCCAGGTGTGATAATCAAGGATAGAAAGATTCTTGGGATAAGGATATCATATTAAGCTAATCAGTTATGAATAAACCTAAACCCCGCCAACAGCAGCTGCTGATGCAAACCAAAGGGCTGGCTTTGCCCCTTTACAGGCAATGCCTGTCCTTTAATCCCTGCAGATGGTTAGCAATGCCATGAGCCATAGCATTTTGGAAAAGAAAGGGGAACCACGGGATTTCTGGAAGATATGAGAATGTAGCTCTGCCATTCACTAATGTTGAAACCTTGGACAAATCTCTTATCTCCACCTTACCTCACAGGATAGGTTGTAGACAAACTGATGGGATAAATGCTCTTAAAAGGTAAATGGGAATGCAAGGTAGGAGAGTAGCAAGGGAAATACTATATTAGTTTTAAATGAAAAGATACTTTCTCAACTCCTTTCTTTATTACTAAAAATGTTGGTCCTTCTTTCTTCCTACCTTATCACCATTTTCTAGATCACCTGGCCATGTATACTTACAGGCCTCAACAGTCTTCCTTCCTTCTCATAATTATCCCTGCATAATTCATTGGCAGGGATTATCAATTCTACCACCACAATATCTTTAGCAACTTTCCCTTTTATTTCAGGCTCACTACCATCCTCTTTAATTGGTTTCTTGTGATGTTTTACAGAGACTATTGTCAGAAAAAACCATTGGATCTTTTTGCCTCCTGCACTTCACTTCTATGGTATAAAGGAATCTTTTGAGGAAGTGCGTGTGTCGTTTTAAGGTTTGTGCTAGCCAAGCAGGGAGGAGGCTTGGAATGCTAAGACAGGTACTCAACAATTGGAGAAGGCAGGTTTTAATGAATTCAAGAAAAGATTGTTTTAATTCTATTTCTCAAGAGGAAACTCAAAAGAATTGGTAAGCTTTCAAAATTATAATTCTATCTTTGCAATCACACATGTTGTTCATGCTGCAGACAAAAGGAAAAGACATTCGGAGCCAAGGTGGCTGCACACTCCCACTGAGAAACTCGGATTTTAAAAAGATGTGCCAAAAAGTGGAAAGAGGCACGCTGCCAAAGATTGTGTTGAAGAAAGGCAGGGACCAGTAACAGATCAGAAGGGCCAAAGACCAGAGTGAGCTGAGGCTTAGAGAAAAGAAAGTAAGGATAATGGAGGGCTCTTAAATTTAGAGCAAGAATAAGGAAGGAAGAGGCTCGCTGCCTGAGGCCAGTGGTGTGATGTTGATGGATGACATGAAGAAAACAGAACTCCTTTCCTCCCATTTAGTCCTGTCTTCTCTGTCAAGGAGAGTGATCTTTGGACTGAAAAGGGTAGAACGAACATTGTTAAGAGAAAATTGAAGCCCAAGATGGGTGTAGAGATTATGCGAGAGCATGCATCCGCTGTAAATGAGCCGAAATGTCTGGATCTGAATGAATTACAGTGCAGAGCTCTGAAAAACGTGCGAATGAATTCTCCCTACTTAAGAGGAGGGAGCTTTGGAGGTGGAGGAGGAGAGAAAAGTGAAACCTCCCTTGCAAAAATTGTAACAGTGAGAAAATTATGGCAGTGAAAGAGATCTGATTTAACCAACCCCCATCTTGCCTTTAGCCTTCAAACTGCCCTTAATTATCCCTTGGCTTGGGTCTACCTAGCTTTGGGAGACATTTAGTTTATAGGTTAAATTGCCGGGCACGGTGGCTCACGCCTGTAATCCCAGCACTTTGGGAGGACGAGGTGGGCGGATCCCGAGGTCAGGAGATGGAGACCATCCTGGCTAACACGGTGAAACGCTGACTCTACTAAAAATACCAAAAATTAGCCGGGCGTGGTGCTGGGCGCCTGTAGTCCCAGCTACTCAGGAGGCTGAGGCAGGAGAATGGCGTGAACCCGGAAGGCAGAGGTTGCAGTGAGCCAAAATCACGCCACTGCACTCCAGCCTGGGCGACAGATGGAGACTGTCTCAAAAAAAATAAATACATAAAAAATAAAGAAATAAAAATAAATGATAATACCCTCCTCGCAAGCTTAACCACCTTTGCAAAGCTAATGAGAAACCACCAGACTAGTAGGAGGATAGGAGCCTGAATTCTGCTAAGGTGTAGGCATAAACGATGGCCAGCCATTATTCCGGAGGTCACAAGATATGCTACTTCCCAATTACTCCTGCAGACAACATCACTATTTTAGAACCTAAGATTGGCTTTTGAGATGTCTTTTCAAGTTTTTTGTATGTCTGACACTGATGGCTCCACCTGGACCCACTAGTTGCTCCTGTGACCCCACCCAGAAGTGACTCAGTGCATGAGGACCATTTCCCACACTTTTATGATTGTACCCCCACCAATCAGCAGCAAGCACCCATTGCCTAGCTGTGCCCCCGTCTCTTTATCCTTGAAAAACCCTAGCCTTCGAATTTTTGAGGAGACCAATTTGAGTAATAATAAATTCCTGTGTCCTGTTTAGCTGGCTCTATGTGTGTAAAATTCTTTCTCTATTGCAATTCCCCTGCCTTCATAAATTAGCTCTATCTGGGCAGTGGACAAGAAAAACCCACTGGGTGGTTATAAAAGCAGGCCAACTGGAGACAAGCCAAGTCCGTGACCTAGGAACTGTAGAATCCAGTTTTGGAAAGCACCCTAGGTATCTATTTTAACCATTACCCAATGCATAACTAAATGTACATGTAGAGATGGTTTATGAAGAGTCAATAACTATTATGATAGGCCCAGCTTATCTGTCTGTTATTTGATTCTCTTCCCTTAATGCTTAGTCCTTAATGTGGAGATTGTTTTACAGTTGTCAAAATCATCTTTCTCCTTTTCTTTTTTTCCTTCCTTCCTTCCTCTCTTTCTCCTTCTCTCTTTCCTGTTTCTCTTTCTTTTCCTTCCTTCCTTCCTCTTTCCACAAACATTTGTTGAGTGCACACTATATTGGTGTTGTGTAGGAAAATAACACATAGCTCTTGCCCTTAGGTGTTTATAGTTAATTACAGGGAAAACCATCTTTTAGTTTTTACTTTTTCAACATGTGGTGATTAAGTGCAGAAAGAGCAAGTAAAAATGTAAGATGAGGAGCTTAAATCTTCCTGTCGAAAATAAGGGAAGAAATTTCTCCACTCCTTTTTTCTCTTTCAGAATGTTTTCCCTGGCCGGGCGCGGTGGCTCACGCCTGTAATCCCAGCACTTTGGGAGGCCAAGGCCGGCGGATCACGAGGTCAGGAGATCGAGACCATCCTGGCTAACATGGTGAAACCCCATCTCTACTAAAAAATAAAAAAAATTAGCTGGGAGTGGTGGTGGGCGCCTGTAGTCCCAGCTACTGGGGAGGCTGAGGCAGGAGAATGGCGTGAACCCAGGAGGCGGAACTTACAGTGAGCCGGCGATTGCACCACTGCACCTCCAGCCTGGGCGGCAGAGCGAGACTGTCTCAAAAAAAAAAAAAAAAAAAGTTTTCCCTGTCCTTTTCTATGTATGTGAATCTTTTTAGTGGCTAAATAAGCCTCTGGGCTACCTCACAATCTGGAGTGTTTCTTCAAGGACCTGGACGTCCTCTCTTCCTTGATGTAATCATCAAGGAAGCTAAGGCTTTAGCTTCCGGTTTCCTAAGAGGAGAGGGGTGTAACTTCAGTTGTTGTCTGACTCCAAATTGCAAAGCCTAACTAATGGTAATGGGTTGTATCCCCTTAGCTATAAAAGAGTGAGAGTTCTTTCTGGTCTTTGCCATTTCTTTAGCAGATTGCCTGTAATGTGCATCACTTTCTGGTTTAATGCTTATTTAATAATAAAATAGTTTTCCTTTTACCTTTGTAGAAAGCTTTTCTGGGTTAGGAGGACATTTCGTTTTTAATTATATTTTCCCAGGAGTGCTCACTATGTGCCAGGCACTCTTCCAGGCACCAGAGATATAGCATTAAATAAGACAGAAGCTGCCCTCATGAGCTCATATTCTAGGACAGATAGACACTGAACAGTAAGAATAATATCTAAGGAAATCATGCAGGCAGCACATTAGAAGGCGGGGCGGGGGGGGGGTGGTAAGTGCAGTAAGCCATGTGTAAACAATCGAGTGTGATGAGCTGTGTAAAGAACAGTGGGAGTTTAAAGGAGAGAGAGGTAAGTTATCCTGGGGCAGTTGAGGACTTGATGTTTGAGCTGAATCTTGAAAGATGAATGGTTTTGAAAATAGCTCATTGCTTTAGGGGAGGAGTGGAGCTGGTATTCTAGGAAGTGGAAGATATTTGATCAAAGAAATATACATGACAGCAGAGTACATTAGGGGAAGTCTGCATAATCAGCATCTCATTTGATACCATCAACAACCAGAGGCAGAGATTTTTTTTCTTGTTCTTCCTTTTTCTCTCTTCTCCTGCTCCTTTCTCCTACTCTCTTGTAATGATTCATACTGTTGACACATATTGAGTTTACTATCAGCTAAAATCTTTAAACTTTTTCACACACATTGTTCCTGAGTCATAGCACCCTAATCTGTACTTGTTGGCATACGTTTTATTCTCGGTAACCTTGTAGGAGTTTGTGTGTGTGTGTGTTGTGTATTGAAGAAGAGTTGGAGAAGAGACCGAAGTAGTTAGGCTGAATAAAATAGAACTCTGGAAATGATGACAGGCATCTCCCATACTTAAAGGTCTATCATAGGAAGAGAAATCCATTCTTTTTTTTCTATGTGATTGTTAGAACTAGTGGGTGGTACTTTAGGGATATAGATTTCTACTCTATGCCAAGAAAAGCTTTTAGAAGTTGATTTCAGAATTGACCAGGTACATCTCTAAAGAAATCCCTTGGGGAGAGGGTGAGGTCTTGGAAAAAATACAGACTCCTGGGCCCCATCCTTGACTTACATCACAAATCTTGTTACCAGGGACCAGGAATTTGCATAACAGGCTCTCAAGGAAATCCCTAGGTACACTGAAATTTGAAAACTTCAAGAGAATTAACATACCTTTTCTTTGAGAGCCCTTTCAACCTGGGGAAACTTTGATCCTATGAGACCCTAGAAAGGGGAACCACAGAACATTCATTTTCTTTGGGGTGTGGTGAGTCTGATGACTGTGTAACTAGGATGATTATTGAGAACTGAAACTAAAGTCCTTAGCTCCCCAGTCAACTGAACAGGCTGCCTCTTGGCCAAGAGGACCCCAGAGAAACCTTTTAAAAACTGAGTTTCTGGCCATCACAGGACGAGAGGTCAGATGCACCTCTTTATCTTCCCTCCCTTTTGTGGTTTAGACACAACATCTGACCAGCATTAATGTTGAAATAGAGATCACGAGACTGTCAGAACAGACTCTTTGTTCACAATGAGATACCACATTATAAACAGGACCGAAGGCCATGTTAAGTCATGGACTCCTACAGTTAAAGAAGAAACTGTGTTCCAACTGCCACAAGGTTTTTCTTTTTCTCTAGCAGCTAAACACGCGCTGGCCTTGAGATAAGCAATATTAAACAATTGCAGCTCATCCACCAGCAGAGCTGACTAACTGAGGCCCCCTGCTCCACAAGCCAGAACTACAGCTTTGATTGAATAAAAGACTGGTTTCAGTATTTTTCTCCTGCTAAGAGACCACCCACAGATCGACTAGTTCCAGCCGAGTTACAGATGCTGTGCATTTGAGTGCCTTCCTTTCCCTGCTTCACCTTTTGACATATAGGGCTTACTTGTAATATATTTCAATGTTAAGTCTCCACCTAAGGGAAGCATGAGATGCATGTAACATGCATGTTTATTCAGTATGCATGCCATGTTCCCCCTTCATGAATATCTGGACGAAAGACTGCATAGCTCCTCCCGTAACCTGTTGAATATATACATATATTTGGCCAACCTGTTCAACAAAACGTATGTCTCATCCTTCCCTCCCTCGAAGTACCCGCTGACAGAGGCTTCTCACAGAAGCTACACTTCTCAGCCTGTCAGAATGGCCACATTGTAGGCTGCGAGTCTTTATAGCAAACAAAGTCTCCTTTCTAAATTTGTGATTTTTAAGCTGATACCATAGAATTCATCTTTCAAATCAGGACACTTTTAAGAGTGAAATGAAGTGCTAAAAATCCTGGTATCTTTTTTCAAAAATTTACTAACTGACAAATACATTTTTATTTTTTGATGGATCTGCCAAATAATTATTTTGAAACACTATTTCAAAAATATTTTTTCTAGAAAGTAGAATAACATATATCTGTGTACACCAAAGAAAACTTTTAAAACTTCTTTACATATATAAAAAGTAGAAATTTTACAATAATATAATCAGAATAATTACCCCTTTAGTCATTTTTTGAAAACACATTTGTCTCAAATACCATGTCATTCTATTTTTCTAAAGAATGTTTTCTTTTCCTTATATGGTCTTGCTATGTTAAAATTTTAAATAAAATTGTCCCAATATTTTCTTCAAATTTGCATTTAATGACTAATAAATTTGAAATGAACCTTCTCTGTAGACCATATCAGGATTGAGAATATACTCTTTTTAACGTACTTAATTTGTTTAGTTTCTTCATGCTTTGGTGGGGATACACTTTGGTGTCTTCTTGTTTTTAAGACTTGTTACTAATAATTCCAATTGTCTAAACATGTGGAAAGCTAAAGTTTTTTGAAACTCTATTCATTGAAAGTGCTGATCAAAGATTTCTAACTGATTTGGACAAATTCAGCCCAGATTTAGAGAGCTAATTTTTAAAAAGAATTCAACAAAAAGATACTTAGATTGATATACAAATTATTTCTTCAATGCTCAAATATTTCTAAAATTCTCCTTATGGCAGACAGCAAAGAGAGAAAAACACATGATACTGCCTTGTATTTAAAATCATATTTTTGCAAAAACTATAGTTTAGATATTTTAAGTGTATACATATATATCATATTTATAAATTCTTCGTGACTGCTACTATTTTGATTGGTAGATTATCACTACTTGTTTGAGTACAAGTATGAATCATGTTGCACATCTAATTCCCAGTACATTTCTGCTCCATAATTCTTTAGAAAAAACATGCTTTTACAATGACACTGTGCTATGCCAAAATTTGTACTTAATTATGACACAAAGATAACTTTAGTTTGAACTTTTAAAAACAATTTATGATAGCACTGATTCATTTAACTGGATTTACAATGACATCTCACTCTAGTAATATCAGATGTTTTTACCGTCAGCAAAATAAAATTCCAAATGTTTTACTTTGATACCATGAATTGGATGAAAATAAAAGGAATCATTGTTGAAAATAACTGTTTTCCAATATGAAGCATCTGACTCCATTTCTATAAAAGTGGCATCATTTAATTGTTTGAAACTTTTTTTTCTGCCATTGGATCCAGCACCTTACCATCTATCGCTTTGTAGGGGAGGAGACCAGCTTTTCCTCTCTCCATCTTAGGTTCATGGCTGAGGCCCCTATAACAAAAGACAGATGAACCAGAGAAAAGCTTACATGTTTATTTAACATGCATTTTACATGAAATGGGAGCTTTCATAAGGAAATAAATACCTGAAGAAACAGTTAAACCTGTGTATTTTTTAAACCTGTGTATTTTTATGCTGGGTTTGATGAAGAGAGGAGAGTCATAGAGAAATATAATAGGGTGAAAAGTATGACATGATGATTATAAACTGGGGAAACTCAGCAAGGCCAGTTTGTTCAGTTTCCCTTCTGTGACCTTTTGTTTTCAGGGATAAGGATGTTCCTTTCTTCCTGGCATAGAGAGGGCACATCTTACATGAGAGTCTATGACCTCTTTCAGGGGAAGGTCAGAAAATCTTTCCTAGGTTTTATGAACTGCATCAGGGAAGGAGGCTGGGGGAAAGTCAGAGACACTTTCCCGCTTCTGCTGTTTTCCTCAAATTTCTTCCGTTTAAAATATTCAATACGCCAAGGAACCATATTTTGGAGCAGCATGCCCTGAACCCCATCAGCTTCACTTTTTGTATGTGTACAACAGACACAGAGTGCAGATTTAGAGAGGCAGTCATTTGATCCAAATGAAAAGCCATGCTTCACAGGATACTTTCCTTGTCTGCACGTGTCAAGTCCTCATGTTCATGCACAGTATGTATCTCAAATGTACTCTCGAATGAGAGTAGATACTAATAGTTTAGCAGATTCGTGTTTTCTATTTTTCATGTGGTGAGTGATGTCATATAGCCCCCATGGTAAGTGTTGATAAACATTTTGGGATTTATAGGTTTGTCATTAACATTCTCATGAACAAAGTATTTGATTTTCCATTACACATTTCCTTTCACTTTTTGAGCCCATTAATGCCAAAACATTTTTTGCAAAGTTAAAACGTGTTACTGTCAGGCCTCTGAGCCCAAGCCAAGCCATCGCATCCCCCGTGACTTGCACGTATACGCCCAGATGGCCTGAAGTAACTGAAGAATCACAAAAGAAGTGAATATGCCTTGCCCCACCGTAACTGATGACATTCCACCACAAAAGAAGTGTAAATGGCTGGTCCTTGCCTTAACTGATGACATTACCTTGTGAAAGTCCTTTTCCTGGCTCATCCTGGCTCAAAAAGCACCCCCACTGAGCACCTTGCGACCCCCACTCCTACCCGCCAGAGAACAAACCCCCTTTGACTGTAATTTTCCTTTACCTACCCAAATCCTATAAAACGGCCCCACGCTTATTTCCCTTCGCTGACTCTCTTTTCGGACTCAGCCCACCTGCACCCAGGTGAAATAAACAGCTTTACTGCTCTCACACAAAGCCTGTTTGGTGGTCTCTTCACACGGACGCGCATGAAATTTGGTGCTGTGACTCGGATTGGGGGACCTCCCTTGGGAGATCAATCCCCTGTCCTCCTGTTCTTTGCTCCATGAGAAAGATCCACCTACGACCTCAGGTCCTCAGACCGACCAGCCCAAGAAACATCTCACCAATTTCAAATCCGGTAAGCGGCCTCTTTTTACTCTCTTCTCCAACCTCCCTCACTATCCCTCAACCTCTTTCTCCTTTCAATCGTGGCGCCACACTTCAATCTCTCCCTTCTCTTAATTTCAATTCCTTTCATTTTCTGGTAGAGACAAAAGAGACATGTTTTATCCGTGAACCCAAAACTCCGGCGCCGGTCACGGACTGGGAAGGCAGCCTTCCCTTGGTGTTTGATCATTGCAGGGACGCCTCTCTGAGTATACACTCACGTTTCAAGGGTGTCAGACCATGCAGGGACGCCTGCCTTGGTCCTTCACCCTTAGCGGCAAGTCCCGCTTTCCTGGGGCAGGGGCAAGTACCCCTCAACCCCTTCCCCTTCACCCTTAGCAGCAAGTGCTGCTTTCCTGGGGCAGGGGCAAGTACCCCTCAACCCCTTCTCCTTCACCCTTAGCGGCAAGTCCCGCTTTCCTAGGGGGCAAGAACCCCCCAATCGCTTATTTCCGCCGCACCCCAACCTCTTATCTCTGTGCCCCAATCACTTATTTCTGCACCCTGACCTCTTATCTCTGTGCCCCAATCCCTTATTTCCCTGCCCCAACCCCTTCTCTGCTTTCCTGGAGGGCAAGAACCCTCCGCCCCTTCTCCCTGTCTCTACTCTTTTCTCTGGGCTTGCCTCCTTCACTATGGGTAAGCTTCCACCTTCCATTCCTCCTTCTTCTCCCTTAGCCTGTGTTCTCAAAAACTTAAAACCTCTTCAACTCACATCTGACCTAAAACCTAAATGCCTTATTTTCTTCTGCAATGCTGCTTGACCCCAATACAAACTCGACAGTAGTTCCAAATAGCCAGAAAATGGCACTTTGAATTTTTCCATCCTGCAAAATTCAATAATTCTTGTCGTAAAATAGGCAAACAGTCTGAGGTGCCTGACGTCCAGGCATTCTTTTACACATCAGTCCCTTCCTAGTCTCTGTGACCAGTGCAACTCGTCCCAAATCTTCCTTCTTTCCCTCCCGCCTGTCCCCTCAGTACCAACCCCAAGTGTCGCTGAGTCTTTCTAATCTTCCTTTTCTGCAGACCCATCTGACCTCTCCCTTCCTCCCCAGGTTGTTCCTCGCCAGGCCGAGCTAGGTCCCAATTCTTCCTCAGCCTCTGCTCCTCCACCCTATAATCTTTTTATCGCCTCCCCTCCTCACACCTGGTCGGGCTTACAGTTTCGTTCCGTGACTAGCCCTCCCCCTCCTGCCCAGCAATTTACTCTTAAAAAGGTGGCTGGAGCTAAAGGCATAGTCAAGGTTAATGCTCCTTTTTCTTTATCCCAAATCAGAAGCGTTTAGGCTCTTTTTCATCAAATATAAAAATCCAGCCCAGTTCATGACTTGTTTGGCAGCAACCCCGAGACGCTTTACAGCCCTAGACCCTAAAAGGTCAAAAGGCCGTCTTATTCTCAAAATACATTTTATTACCCAATCTGCTCCAGACATTAAAACTCCAAAAATTAAATTCCGGCCCTCAAACCCCACAACAGGATTTAGTTAACCTCGCCTTCAAGGTGTACAATAATAGAAAAAAGTTGCAATTCCTTGCCTCCACTGTGAGACAAACCCCAGCCACATCTCCAGCACACAAGAACTTCCAAATGCCTGAACGGCAGCGGCCAGGCGTTCCTCCAGAACCTCCTCCCACAGGAGCTTGCTACATGTGCCGGGAATCTGGCCACTGGGCCAAGGAATGCCCGCAGCCTGGGATTCCTCCTAAGCCGTGTCCTATCTGTGTGGGACCCCACTGAAAATCGGACTGTTCTACTCACCTGGCAGCCACTCCCAGAGCCCCTGGAACTCTGGCCCAAGGCTCTCTGACTGACTCCTTCCCAGATCTTCTCGGCTTAGCGGCTGAAGACTGACACCGGCCGATCGCCTCGGAAGCCCCCTAGACCATCACGGATGCCGAGCTTCGGGTAACTCTAACAGTGGAAGGTAAGCCCGTCCCCTTCTTAATCAATACGGAGGCTACTCACTCCACATTACCCTCTTTTCAAGGCGTGTTTCCCTTGCCTCCATAACTGTTGTGGGTATTGACGGCCAGGCTTCTAAACCTCTTAAAACTCCCCAACTCTGGTGCCAACTTAGACAACACTCTTTTAAGCACTCCTTTTTAGTTATCCCCACCTGCCCAGTTCCCTTTTTAGGCTGAGACACTTTAACTAAATTATCTGCTTCCCTGACTATTCCTGGACTACAGCTGTATCTCATTGCAGCCCTTCTTCCCAATCCAAAGCCTCCTTTGCGTCCTCCTCTTGTATCCCCCCACCTTAACCCACAAGTATAAGATACCTCTACTCCCTCCTTGGCGACCGATCATGCACCCCTTACCATCTCATTAAAACCTAATTACCCTTACCCCACTCAACACCAATATCCCATCCCGCAGCACGCTTTAAAAAGATTAAAGCCTGTTATCACTCGCCTGCTACAGCATGGCCTTTTAAAGCCTATAAACTCTCCTTACAATTCCCCCATTTTACCTGTCCTAAAACCAGGCAAGCCTTACAAGTTAGTTCAGGATCTGCGCCTTATCAACCAAATTGTTTTGCCTATCCACCCCGTGGTGCCAAACCCATATACTCTCCTATCCTCGATACCTGCCTCTACAACCCATTATTCTGTTCTAGATCTCAAACATGCTTTCTTTACTATTCCTTTGCACCCTTCATCCCAGCCTTTCTTCGCTTTCACTTGGACTGACCCTGACACCCATCAGGCTCAGCAAATTACCTAGGCTGTACTGCCGCAAAGCTTCTCAGACAGCCCCCATTACTTCAATCAAGCCCAAATTTCTTCCTCATCTGTTACCTATCTCGGCATAATTCTCATAAAAACACGTGCTCTCCCTGCCAATCGTGTCCGACTGATCTCTCAAACCCAAGCACCTTCTACAAAACAACTCCTTTCCTTCCTAGGCATGGTTAGCGCGGTCAGAATTTTTACACAAGAGCCAGGACCACACCCTGTAGCCTTTCTGTCCAAACAACTTGACCTTACTGTTTTAGCCTAGCCCTCATGTCTGCGTGCAGCGGCTGCTGCTGCTTTAATACTTTTAGAGGCCCTCAAAATAAGTAGAGGCCTTTCCTACAGGGTCCGAGAAGGCCACCGCAGTCATTTCTTTCGTTCTGTCAGACATAATTCCTCAGTTTAGCCTTCCCACCTTAATACAGTCTGATAACAGATGAGCCTTTATTAGTCAAATCAGCCAAGCATTTTTTCAGGCTCTTAGTATTCAGTGAAACCTTTATATCCCTTATGGTCCTCCAAGAAAAGTAGAATGGACTAAAGGTCTTTTAAAAACACACCTCACCAAGCTCAGCCACCAACTTAAAAAGGACTGGACAATACTTTTACCACTTTCCCTTCTCAGAATTCAGGCCTGTCCTCGTAATGCTACAGGGTACAGCCCATTTAAGGTCCTGTATAGACACTCCTTTTTATTACGCCCCAGTCTCATTCCAGACACCAGACCAACTTAGACTGTGCCTCAAAAAAAACAAAAAAACTTGTCATCCCTACTATCTTCTGTCTACTCATACTCCTATTCACCGTTCTCAACTACTCATACATGCCCTGCTCTTGTTTACACTGCCAGTTTACACTGTTTTTCCAAGCCATCACAGCTGATATCTCCTGGTGCTATCCCCAAACTGCCACTCTTAACTCTTGAAGTAAATAAATAATCTTTGCTGGCAGGACTATGCCAAATCTCCTTAAACACTCTCTAATCAGACATCCTGAGTCGTCCCAATTCTTAGACCTTTTATACCTGTTTTTCTCCTTCTGTTATTCCATTTAGTTTTTCAATTCATACAAAACCGTATCCAGGCCATCACCAATCATTCTATACGACAAATGTTTCTTCTAACAACCCCACAATATCACCCCTTACCACAAGACCTCCCTTCAGCTTAATCTCTCCCACTCTAGGTTCCCACGCCGCCCCTAATCCCGCTCGAAGCAGCCCTGAGAAACATCACCCATTCTCTCTCCATACCACCCCCCAAAAAATTTTCGCCGCCCCAACACTTCAACACTATTTTGTTTTATTCTTCTTATTAATATAAGAAGGCAGGAATATCAGGCCTCTGAGCCCAAGCCAAGCCATCGCATCCCCTGTGACTTGCACGTATACGCCCAGATGGCCTGAAGTAACTGAAGAATCACAAAAGAAGTGAATATGCCTTGCCCCACCGTAACTGATGACATTCCACCACAAAAGAAGTGTAAATGGCCGGTCCTTGCCTTAACTGATGACATTACCTTGTGAAAGTCCTTTTCCTGGCTCATCCTGGCTCAAAAAGCACCCCCACTGAGCACCTTGCGACCCCCACTCCTACCCGCCAGAGAACAAACCCCCTTTGACTGTAATTTTCCTTTACTGACCCAAATCCTATAAAACGGCCCCACCCTTATCTCTCTTCGCTGACTCTCTTTTCGGACTCAGCCCACCTGTACCCAGGTGAAATAAACAGCTTTATTGCTCACACAAAGCCTGTTTGGTGGTCTCTTCACACGGACGTGCATGAAAGTTACCAAATAATATTATTTAATAGTTGTCGATTTATACAGCATACCATTAATGTTAAAACCGCTGTTGCAAGAGCATTTAGACTCTTTCTTCATATGCTATGTGGCAGGAATTCTTGACCTCTATTTTCCATAAATATTGTATATATACCTAGACTAAAATGTCCGGTGTTTTCCACTGACAGCACTGAATGGCATCCTGCTATCTTCAGGCATCTCAAATTGAAGTCACTACAGTTGGCTGGTACATCAAGGGGCCAGCAGGGACCACAGCACCAAATCTTCTCTCACCATTATCCCAGATAAAAAGAGTGTGCTGCCTGTAGCTGCTAGCACCCTTTCTTTGATAAGGGAGCACCCCATAAGCTGTCCTGGAAAGGAAGGTGTTAGTTAAGTTGTGTTGCAGGTTGGATTCTCCGGAGGCAGATGCCTAGAAGTTTAGGGCCCGAGGTTTATTTGGCACCAACACCTGTGGAAGAGAGAAGAAGCAGGATTGGGCAGTGAAAGATGTCCAGCAGTGATATGGGCATGACAAAGTCTTGGCCAGAGGCTGTCTCTGTACCACCCACAGTGGGGTATGTGCAGTGCAGTGACATGATGATAGCTCACTGCAGCCTCAACCTCCCAGGCTCAGGCAATCCTCCTGCCTCAGCCTCCTCAAGTCCTCCTTTGAAGAGGTAGCTGGACATCACATCGTTGTCTACCACGTAGTGTGTCTAGATAAGGCTGGGAAAAGTGAGGTGGGTTATCCCTGGGCATCCTCTGGTTTAACAAGAGTAGGAACTCAGTTGACTGCTCTTGTTTCGTATACCATTAGACAAGTCCACAGCAGAAAGTGAAAGCACTGCCAGGTACAGTGACTCATGCCTGTATTCCTAGTGTTTAGGGAGACTGAGGCAGGAGGATCGCTTGAGGCCAGGTGTTTGAGACCAGCCTGGGCAACATAGCAAGACCCTGTCTCTACAAAAATTTAAAAAATTAGCCAGGTGTGGTGGTACACACCTGTAGTGCCATCTACTCAGCAGGTTGAGGGAGGAGGATCACTTAACCCGGGAGGCCGAGGCTGCAGTGAGCTATGATCACACCAATGCACTTCAGCCTGGGCAACAGATTGAGAGCCTGTCTCAAAAAAAAAAAAAAAAAAAAAAGTGAAGGCACCAAGTGGCAATTGTCAGAGGCTGTGGCCTACTCAGGAAGCAGACTTGGAGATGGAGAGTGGTGGACAGGAGGTTTGCTAGGGAGTGGTCTTGGGATCACCACCTCTGGAAGGGGAAAGGAAGAAGGATGGGGCAGGAAGAGAAGTTGGCTGATGCATTAGTCAGGGTTCACTAGAGGGAAAGAACTAATAGGATAGATGTATATATGAAGGGGAGTTTATTAGGAAGAATCAACTCACAAGATCACAAGGTGAAGTCCCACAATAGGCTGTCTGCAAGCTAAGGAGCAAGGAAGCCAGTCTGAGTTCCAAAACCTCAAAAGTAGGGAAGCCGACAATGTGGCCTTCAGTCTGTGGCCGTAAGCTCGAGAGCCCCTGGCAAACCACTGGTCTAAGTCCAAGAGTCCAAAAGCTGAAGAGCTTGGAGTCTGATGTTCAAGAGCAGGAAGGATTCAGCAAGAGAGAAAGATGGAAGGCCAGAAGACTCAGTAAGTCTGCTCTTTCTACCTTTTTCAGCCTGCTTTATTCTAGCAGCTGATTAGATGGTGCCCACCCAGACTGCAGGTGGGTCTGCCTCTCCCAGTCCACTGACTCAAATGTTAATCTCCTTTGACAACACCCTCCCAGACACACCCAGGAACAATACCTTGCATCTTTCAATTCAATCAAGTTGACACTCAATCTTAACCATCACAGCCTATGATTCAGCCTCAACAGAGAGCAACCACATGGCCAGCTCTAGACAAAGTGGGGGCCAGACCTTTATATCTCCTTATAAACCAGTTCTTGGCTGTGGGCACCCTGGGAAGAGGGCATGGTGGTGGGTGAGATGACACTCTTCATTTGAAGCAATTCCGATGAGGGCTGACAGCTGGGGATCTCTGCCAGAAGCCCTCGCTGCAGCTGGTGGAGTAGCCCTTCAGTCTTGAGGAGACTCTGGGATGACATCACAGCATCTGCTCCAGAAGTCTGCTGAACCCATCCTGGCTAACTGTAATGCAACTATTAACCATAATACTTTCCTTTAAAAATCTCAGACAAATGCTGAAAGAGATAAGATACTGAGACAGGAAGTGTAAGCTGGGACTGTCCTAAGCGAATCAGGAAAAAGTTATCCTGTCTATAATGAAGTTCAGGGAGAAAGAACAGCTTACATTAACAGCCTTGAAGGTAAGTTGCTGGTCCAGAAACCTTTTGAGTTAATTTACTTGGTTTCACTTGGGTTTCACCCAGATGCAAAAGGATTTAAGTCGATTATTTAATCCATTATTTTCTGTGGTGTAGCATGGCAGTGCTTTTGCATGTTGCAGCGTTTTCTTTCATTTTCAGCAGCCCCTCCTCTCCATTTAATCACTGTGTCTGCTGCCCTGTCCTAATCGCTCAGCAGACACCCCCCTGGCATCCCAGACACTCTGGCTGCGTGTCCCGTGCATGATTATTTGGCCCTCACCCTGTACTCCACTTCACACTCCCTTAGGCTATGAGCAGAGGATTTTTGTCACAATTGTAAAACATAGAAACTCATCTCCACCAATCCTTTCAAAGAGCCCAGGGAGTCTGAGCTGTTCCAAATGAGAAGCTTCTGCTACAAGAGCATGGCCAGAGACTCTGGCTACCAGAGGGAGGCTGGTGCATTTCATTTCATTGTGAACTCCAACCAGGGTGTCTCGAAGGTTAAAATACCTTTACTTAGCGCTCAATCACTGTCGCACCTGGTACACAGTGCTGTAAAATTAGGAGGGAAGAAGAGAGCAGGAGAAGCCCTGGATTCAACATCAGGAGACCTGGGGTCCAGCCCTTCCCAGCCTCTGGCACTCAGGTTCTCCATGGATCAGGTCTTATTCAGGTTATCATTCCCACCGCCTAGGAAAGTGTCTGGTTGAGTGGGTGCTAAGAAAAAATGTTTTCCTTTCTCCCTGGACATAGCTTGCATAAGGAATGAAGACAATGAGTGTGTGTAGGGGGAAAACGCTAAGGAGCTAGAAAAGTTTTTCATTCCATGGTGCAGTGTTCCTTTCTCTAGCCCCACCACCGAAAGCACAAGACCCTTTCCCTGACTTTATATCTTACCACACAGTTCAGCAACCCAGTGAAAAGATCCTTATTAAAATTTTATTTATTAATTTTTTTTAAGAATAGAGACAGGATCTCACTATATTGCCCAGGTTGGTCTTAAACTCTTAGCCTCAAGTGATCGTCCCACCTCGGCTTCCCAAAGTGCTGGGATTACAGGTGTGAGGCCACTGAGCCTGGCCAAGTGAAAAGATCTTAACGCTCCCAACATCACATAACTCTCCTGGGAGATGGTGGTGGGAGGATTTTATATGGACTTGTTTGGATATGTGTTCACCCTTGGACCAAACCTTATGTCCAGGATTGCAGAGTACTGTGATTAGGCAGACCTAAATACTGTACTGTTTTTTTTTTTTTTTTTTTTTTTTGAGACGGAGTCTCGCTCTCTCTCCCAGTCTGGAGTGCAGTGGTGCGATCTCGGCTCACTGCAAGCTCTGCCTCCCGGGTTCACGCCATTCTCCTGCCTCAGCCTCCCGAGTAGCTGGGACTACAGGCACCGGCCACCACGCCCAGCTAATTTTTTGTATTTTTAGTAGAGACCAGGTTTCACCGTGTTAGCCAGGATGGTCTCGGTCTCCCGACCTCGTGATCCACCTGCCTCCGCCTCCCAAAGTGCTGGGATTACAGGCATGAGCCACCGCGCCCGGCTGATACTGCAGTTTTTTTTGTTGTTGTTTTGTTTTTTCTTTACTATTCTCTACTTCTTGCTATATTCTGTTGAATACATGTCGAATTTTTTCTTCTATTCTTCCCCTTCCTTAATCCCCCTTGCCTATTTCATATTTCTTTGTATTGGATTGTACTGCATTTTGTGTTACTTCCTCAAATATATCTTGTAGTTTACTAATTCTCTCTAGAGCTGGTTTTCATTTGCTACTTAACCTACTCATTGAGTTTTTACATTTTAATAAAGTTTTAATGTTAATTACCTACAGTCACGTGTTTTGTTTTTATTTTTGACTTGCCTCTCCTTTATTCATAGCCCAGCTCTTTCATTTTAGTTTCCGTACTTATTTTATAATCTCTTTCGATTGTTTTATCAGCTACTTTGGAAATCAGTGTTGCGCCTCCTGATTGATGTGTCTGCTGATTTTCCTTCAGGTGGTTTCATTTCTTGTGTTGTTTGTAGTTTTTACTGTTAGCTCCTGCTAAACTGGGGTTGTTTTTCTATGTAAATCATGCCCCCGCCATGGCTCAATTTTGCATTTACTTTTGCAAGTAAAATTTAGGGTTTCACTACTGTAGGAGCAGTTTTTATAATCTCTTGGTTTGAGTTTATTAAACTGGTTAGGGTTTGTAACTTCTGCTACCGTATCTGGCTGTGGGCTTTCAATTTCACAGGCGATTTTGTTTTCCATTCAGATTCCCTGTGATTCCTTTTCCCTTCCCTCAGCTGGTGGGTAGAGTTTTTACAGTTTTCTTTATCCAAACAGAGCAGTCCTTTGAGGAACCTCTCTCTAGGCAGGAGTCTTATTTCCAGCTTCTTGCCTCTCAGAGCCCCAGACCCCTGTCTCCTTTGCTTACATTGCTTACGTACAGTGTAAATCCCATTCAGAGCTGATATCCTACTCACACCCTCTGAGATTCTTCTCTCATCAGTTGTGATAATTACCAGTCTTGTTTTGAGTTATGTTTTTATTCTGATTTCTCAAAGATTTCCTCCTTTCCTCTTTCCTTTTATTTCCTTCTTTCTTCTGAGTATAGGATTTTATTCTATATTATTGCTCTATACTTTAACCCAACATTCCTATGTGTTTTCAATAGGATCAGTAGTATCTGGGTGTAGTGGTGATGTTGGCGGAAGGATGTAAATTAATTTTGTTCATGTTGCCCAAGGATCTTGAATGATCTTTGAAGAATGAAATAAATCATATCACTCTGCAGGTTAAATCATTTCATTGACTTGCTATTGCACTTAAACTCCAAACTCCTTCTTTTGGGTTTATATGTCTTATAGAAGTTGACCCCTATCTCCCCATGTAACCAGGGCTTAAGCTTTTCTTTGCATCATTCAAACTGCCTTCTTTCTTGCTTTAGAGTCATTGTTCTAGCTGTCCTTCTGCCTGAAATGGTCCCTAGATCTTTGCATGGACATGTACATTCTGACATCCAGAACACAGAATTGTCACCTTCTGTGCTACTCCGTTTTCATGCTGCTGATAAAGACTGGGTAATTTATACAGGAAAAAGGTTTAATGAACTCACACTTCCACATGGCTGAGGAGGCCTCACAATAATGGTGAAAGGCAAGGAGGAGCAAGTCACGTCTTACATGAATGGCAGCAGGCAAAGAGAGAGCTTGTGCAGGGAAACTCCACCTTATAAAGTCATCAGATCTCATGAGACTTATTCACTATCATAAGAACAGCATGGGAAAGACCTGCCTCCATGATTCAGTTACCTCCCACTGGGTCCCTCCCACAACACCTGGGAATTCAAAATGAGATTCAGGTGGGGACACAGCCAAACCATATCACCTTCCCAAAAAGAGTTTTCCTGATCACCCTATCACTCCCTCCCTCTCATAACACCCTGTTTCATAGTCTACATGAAACATATCACTATGTTAATTATACTTTTAATTTATGTTTTTACTTGTTTATTTCAGAGGCCAGGCTAACAGGGACTGCTGATGGGGAAATAAAGAAATAATCAAGGATGAATCCTATATCTGGGGCTTGAGCAAGTGAGTAGATGCTTGTAAGAGAAATAGGTGTAAGATGGAAATCAAGAGTTCTGTTTTGAAAATATTTATGTTTAATATTTTTGTTCTTTATCCTAATGAATAAATCAAGTAAGAAGTTGGATATGAAAGTCTGGAACTCAAGCAGAAGTCAGGGAGATATACAAGCTTAAGTGTCATCTGCATAGAGATAATATTTAAAGCCACACTAGTAGATGGTAGCACCCAGGGGAAGAGAAAAGTGTTGTTAGAAAAGACAAGGCAGGCCAGGCGTGGTGGCTCACGCCTGTAATCCCAGCACTTTGGGAGGCTGAGGTGGGTGGATCATGAGGTCAGGAGATCAAGACCATCCTGGCTAACACGGTGAAACCTCCTCTCTACTAAAAATACAAAAAATTAGCTGGGCATGGTGGTGGGTACCTGTAGTCCCAGCTACTTGGGAGGCTGAGGCAGGAGAATGGAGTGAACCCAGGAAGGCGGAGCTTGCAGTGAGCCGAGATCACACCACTGCACTCCAGCCTGGGCGACAGAGCGAGACTCCATCTCAAAAAAAAAAAAAGACAAGGCAATACATCTTGAACATCTTGCGAAACAATCTCCAATGTGGCATAGTCAGAGCTACAGGATAATGCCACTGAATGAATATATGTACAATGAAGGAAGGGCTTTACATGAAGAAATTAAGCAGTATTATCAGAAATTTACTTAATTACCTTAACCCTTGCTTCTGCCGGTCAGAGGTTTGATGCCTGGAAACTCTAGTGATGGATGCTATGGATTTTCACGAGAGAATATAAATAAAATTTATTGGTTCTCTCTTTAACCTGACTTGACCTGCCCAAACAAATATACAGAGTGATTTTGTAAATATTAGTTCTTTCCTGCTTGTCCATGGGAGCGGGTGTGGTGGGTTCTGACACAGATGACACCTGAATATTATCTATTATTAAACACAGCTATGATCTAAATCTCTGAGAAGCTTTATCTTGTAAGTAGCCCTGAAGGCTACTGAGAATAGACCAGAAAAGAATTTTTTTCCCTTCTCATTTTGGGGAGAAAACTCATAGAATTGGGAAGCTTCTTTATCCTGCAGAGGAACAAGGCAACATTACCAAATCTCTTCAGATGATTTAGTCCAAGGTGGGAATTATGCTCTGATATTTTGAGATATATGATAAGGTTGAAAAACAGTCAACTGTGGTTCTGGTAATAGAATGAACAGGCTCTCCGTCTGCTCTGGCTTCCTCCAGCTACAGATCACCATCTCAGGTTTAAATCTAACTTGCTGCTCTCATTGTCTTCCAGACTTATTTAAGCTATAAAAGGTTTGCCTAGAGATGTGGATTGTTTATGTAGAGTGTGAGGTGCAACTGTACAATATATCCATGACTTTGCTTTATGATTTCAGTCAAAGCAAAATGAAAGGCTCATTATCACTCGTGCTCGGGAAGCAATGGGGAATATTTTAAATTTCACGTTTTCACTGGTCTGTCATCAAGAACAGGACTAAAGTTCCAAATGAGATGCATTTTCTATAATGCATGTGGTGCCTTATCTTGAAATAGCTGTTGTCTTTGTCATTCTGATTTGCTGAGCAGACAGCTGGAAATTAAACAATAAAAAATAACTTTCTGTACATGACATTTCATTTTTGGATAACCAGCAGCCCAAATTCCGGGGCATTGGGATTAGTATATTTATCTCCACAGGTGCCCACAAATGAAATGAAATGTCACCTAAAGCACTATACCCACTTCATTGCTATTATACCCCAAAGTTTCCTCCAGTAAAATATTTTATTAAAATTAAATGAAAAAGCAAAACCTGTGCAATGGTTGTTCAAGCAGCTTTAATGAGCTTTAGAATGGAGCACATCCCCGACAATTCTTCCATAGGTATTTTACTATGCACAGGAAAACTGTTCAAAGAATATTATACTATACCATTCTTTCCTCATCTTCTTGGCTGTGTGTTGAATCAATTAAATTGCAACTTATAAATTACCGGTTAAAATATCTAAGAAAATAGCTTTTGTTTCTATTTATAGGTACAGTATGCACTTCCTGAAAATGTTTGCCATCTCACTGAATCATTTTCTCCTTTCTCATCACCTAGTTGTTCATTTAGCAAATATTTATTTATGTGCCATGCTAGTTTGTTCATAGGGTAACAATTGTGAGCAAGATAATAGAGGTCTCTGGGCCCTTATGAAGTTTATAATTTGGCCAAATAGATAACAGCAAAAACAGCAGGAACATCATCTTGTCATCCTATTAAGTATTTTCTATTTTGCCAGATACTGTTCTAGGTGAAGTCATGTATTCAATCGCCTAATTATTATGATAAGATAATCATTACACAGATGCAGGAAGGTCCTAGGAGAAAGATTCCATTATTACCCCCATTGTCTGGAAAAGAAAACAGAGGCAGAGGGAAATTTTAAGCAATTTGCCCCAGGACATGTAGCTTGGAAGTAGAACTAACAATGCTAACAGTAAAATGATGAATATTATGATACAGGAAGTTCAGGATATTGTAAGAACATGAAGTAGAGGCTCTTGACCCAGTACCTGAGCCAGCTTGGTCTGCTGTAACAAAATATTATAGATTGAGAGGCTTAAACTACAGACCTTTATTTTCTCAGAGTTCTGAAGGGTGGAAAGTCCAAGATCAAGGTCTAGCAGTGTTCACTTTGGGGTAAGGACCCTTTTCCTGTCTTGCACACAGCTGCCTTTTTGTTAGATGCTCACATAGTGAGGAGAGAGAGAGAGAACGAGCTCTTTGGTGTCTTCTTTTTTTTTTCTTTATTATTATTATACTTTAAGTTTTAGGGTACATGTGCACAATGTGCAGGTTAGTTACATATGTATACATGTGCCATGCTGGTGTGCTGCACCCATTAACTCATCATTTAGCATTAGGTATATCTCCAAATGCTATCCCTCCCCCCTCCCCCCACCCCACAACAGTCCCTAGAGTGTGATGTTCCCCTTCCTGTGTCCATGTGTTCTCATTGTTCAATTCCCATCTGTGAGTGAGAACATGCAGTGTTTGGTTTTTTGTCCTTGCGATAGTTTACTGAGAATGATGATTTCCAATTTCATCCATGTCCCTACAAAGGACATGAACTCATTATTTTTTATGGCTGCATAGTATTCCATGGTGTATATGTGCCACATTTTCTTAATCCAGTCTATCGTTGTTGGACATTTGGGTTGGTTCCAAGTCTTTGCTATTGTGAATAGTGCCACAATAAACATACGTGTGCATGTGTCTTTATAGCAGCATAATTTATAGTCCTTTGGGAATATACCCAGTAATGGGATGGCTGGGTCAAATGGTATTTCTAGTCCTAGATCCCTGAGGAATCGCCACACTGACTTCCACAATGGTTGAACTAGTTTACAGTCCCACCAACAGTGTAAAAGTGTTCCTATTTCTCCACATCCTCTCCAGTACCTGTTGTTTCCTGACTTTTTAATGATTGCCATTCTAACTGGTGTGAGATGGTATCTCATTGTGGTTTTGATTTGCATTTCTCTGATGGCCAGTGATGATGAACATTTTTTCATGTGTCTTTTGGCTGCATAAATGTCTTCTTTTGAGAAGTGTCTGTTCATATCCTTTGCCCACTTTTTGATGGGGTTGTTTATTTTTTTTCGTAAATTTGTTTGAGTTCATTGTAGATTCTGGATATTAGCCCTTTGTCAGATGAGTAGGTTGTGAAAATTTTCTCTCATTTTGTAGGTTGCCTGTTCCCTCTGATGGTAGTTTCTATTGCTGTGCAGAAGCTCTTTAGTTTAATTAGATCCCATTTGTCAATTTTGGCTTCTGTTGCCATTGCTTTTGGTGTTTTAGACATGAAGTCCTTGCCCATGCCTATGTCCTGAATGGTAATGCCTAGGTTTTCTTCTAGGGTTTTTATGGTTTTAGGTCTAACGTTTAAGTCTTTAATCCATCTTGAATTAGTTTTTGTATAAGGTGTAAGGAAGGGATCCAGTTTCAGCTTTGTACATATGGCTAGCCAGTTTTCCCAGCACCATTTATTAAATAGGGAATCCTTTCCCCATTGCTTGTTTTTCTCAGGTTTGTCAAAGATCAGATAGTTGTAGATATGCGGCATTATTTCTGAGGGCTCTGTTCTGTTCCATTGATCTATGTCTCTGTTTTGGTACCAGTACCATGCCGTTTTGGTTACTGTAGCCTTGTAGTATAGTTTGAAGTCAGGTAGCATGATGCCTCCAGCTTTGTTCTTTTGGCTTAGGGTTGACTTGGCGATGCGGTCTCTTTTTTGGTTCCATATGAACTTTAAAGTAGTTTTTCCAATTCTGTGAAGAAAGTCATTGGTAGCTTGATGGGGATGGCATTGAATCGATAAATTACCTTGGGCAGTATGGCCATTTTCACGATATTGATTCTTCCTACCCATGAGCATGGAATGTTCTTCCATTTGTTTGTATCCTCTTTTATTCCATTGAGCAGTGGTTTATAGTTCTCCTTGAAGAGGTCCTTCACATCCCTTGTAAGTTGGATTCCTAGGTATTTTATTCTCTTTGAAGCAATTGTGAATGGCAGTTCACTCATGATTTGGCTCTCTGTTTGTCTGTTATTGGTGTATAAGAATGCTTGTGATTTTTGTACATTGATTTTGTATCCTGAGACTTTGCTGAAGTTGCTTATCAGCTTAAGGAGATTTTGGGCTGATACAATGGGGTTTTCTAGATATGCAATCATGTCGTCTGCAAACAGGGACAATTTGACTTCCTCTTTTCCTAATCGAATACCCTTTATTTCCTTCTCCCGCCAATTGCCCTGGCCAGAACTTCCAACACTATGTTGAATAGGAGTGGTGAGAGAGGGCATCCGTGTCTTGTGCCAGTTTTCAAAGGGAATGCTTCCAGTTTTTGCCCATTCAGTATGATATTGGCTGTGGGTTTGTCATAGATAGCTCTTATTATTTTGAGATACGTCCCATCAATACCTAATTTATTGAGAGTTTTTAGCATGAAGGGTTGTTGAATTTTGTCAAAGGCCTTTTCTGCATCTATTGAGATAATCATGTGGTTTTTGTCTTTGGTTCTGTTTATATGCTGGATTACATTTATTGATTTGTGTATATTGAACCAGCCTTGCATCCCAGGGATGAAGCCCACTTGATCATGGTGGATAAGCTTTTTGATGTGCTGCTGGATTCGTTTTGCCAGTATTTTATTGAGGATTTTTGCATCAATGTTCATCAAGGATATTGGTCTAAAATTCTCTTTTTTGGTTGTGTCTCTGCCCGGCTTTGGTACCAGGATGATGCTGGCCTCATAAAATGAGTTAGAGAGGATTCCCTCTTTTTCTATTGTTTGGAATAGTTTCAGAAGGAATGGTACCAGTTCCTCCTTGTACCTCTGGTAGGATTCAGCTGTAAATCCGTCTTCTTTGGTGCCTTTTCTAATAAGGGCACTAATTCCAGCATGAGAGCCCCAGCTTCATGACCTCATCAAACCCTGGTTACCTCCCAAAGGCCCCACCTCCAAATACCATCACCTGGAAGAACAGGGCTTCAGCATATGCATTTCATGTATACGATTCAGTCCATAGCATCTGGCTTTGTAATTTTTCCAGGTCAGAACTTTCCATAAATCAGAAATCATATTTAGCAGCCATGAATGAGACTATTTTATTTTATTCTGAGACAGGGTCTTGCTTTGTCACCCAGGATAGAGTGCAGTGGTACGATCATGACTCACTGTAACCTCCAACTCCTGAACCCAAGAGATCCTCCTGCTTCAGGCCCTTTAGTAGCTACGACTGCAGGCTCATGCCACCAGGCCTGGCTAATTTTTAAAAATTTTCTTAGAGATGAGGTCTTTTTATATTCCGCAGGCTGGTCTTGAACTCCTTGCCTCAAGTGATCCTCCCATCTTGGCCTCCCAAAGTGCTGAGATTACAGGCATGAGCCACCACGCCTGGCCTCGAATGAGACTATTTTAAACACATATACCTCTGCTAAATTCCAACATTATTATAAATGAATTCTATGTAACCATTAGCTTGTTAAGTTCTTTAAGCTTTGATTTTCCCATCTACAAGTTGGGAGGAGGGTTGTTTTGCTGTAAAACTCATGCATATACAGCATTTCTACCTGTGAATGGTGTATATTTCTATGTGCTAATGTATATATGAATAGTGAGATGTGTGTGGGGGTGTGTGTGTGCACACGTGCACATGGGGGCAGGCAGCAACCTTTCTGACACTTTTACATGTATAGCGCTTTTTAGTTTACCTCTTTGTAAAGTACATGTGATGATCATGACAGTTGAGATGTTATTTTTATTCTCATTTTACGTGTGGAGGCCAGGAGGTCAAGTTTCTTTCTCAAGGTCATGCAATTGGTGTGTGGTTGAGCCGAGGTGTGACCTAAACCTCCTGTGACTCCTGGGTTAGTGCTTTTCCTTTGTCCCATGGCTGCCTCATGCTGGTGAGCATTGTGCCTGATACTTGGGCTCTGAGAAGGAGATTCATTCTCTGTAGTATACTCAGCTGACATCTCATTTTGTTTCCTTGCTATCCATGCTAACACACCGCAGCGGTGAGTGTTGCAGTGCATTTTTGAAGTATCGATTTCCAGTCAGCCCCCGTCCCAAAGACCCTACCACACACCCAATTCTATTTGCTTCACTTCAGCTCGCCACATGCTGCTGCCTGAGAGCTTCTAGTTTGTTATCACTCTGCTTATGGGCAGACCGGCAGAAATTTACTGCAGTTACCAGGCTTCCGTGCTAGGAAACCAGCGCTGTTTCTGTTTCAGAAATGTGGACAGATTTTGCAATTTTTTAAAGATTAAAAACAATCTTCTTTATGTATGTAGAAATACAGATATTTTGACTGTTTCATATAAATCCATATATTGGGATACATCATCCTACCTTTTAAAAATGAAATCTTTTTTTAAATTTACCCTTACTTAATCTTTCCCTATTCATATCAGCCTCCACCCCCAGCTAGTCTATATTTACAGTGTAGCATGGGCTCTTCCAAATAATTCTCAGTGCTCATAAAATCATATGTAAACATTTATATATGTGTATGTCTATACATCTACCTAAAAATAAATGTATGTGCGTATTTTACAAAACCAGGTCATTGTTTACAAAAATGGATTCATACTACTATTGTGTATACTTTACTTCGTATTATTCAATATTTTCAGGCAAATCCCAGACTTTATGTTGTCTATATCCAGTAAACACTTCAGTATTCATCACTAACGGATAGAGATTTTTAAGAATGTAACCGATTATACTAATATCACCTATAACAAAATTTATAATAGTTCTTTAAAATCATCCAATACCCAGTTCATGTTCAAATCTCCCTGATTGCCTCAAAAACATCTTTTTACAGTTGGTTTGTTTGAATGAGGATTCAAATGCCAAACATTGCATTTGCCTGATATGTCTCTAAAATTTACAATGATTTTCCCTTCCCCTTCCCTGTTAATGCTTCTATTTGTTGAAGAAACCAGGTTATTTTCCTTGTAGAATTTCCCACCTTCTAGATTTGTCTTATTTCATTCTCGTGGTGTCACTTAACACCTACCCTGTGCTTCCTTTACATACTTAGTTGAATATAGAGGATTGACGAGATTTCTGGCTCGATTCATTTGGCTAGAATACTTAATAGTTGGTGCTGTGTACTTTCTATTGCATCACAGAGGTATGGAATAGGAGGAATACAACATTGGCCAGCCCACTTTAAGTGATGCTGAAATTGGCCATTGGGGTCAGGTGTGGTCAGCTTTATCTTTCCAATATAAACTTTCTCATCAAGCCTGACTTAACAGTTTTAGCATTCAGTAATGAACATTACCTATATTCATTATTTCAGTCAGAGTTGTAAAATAATAATTTTCTAAATCTATTAATCTTTCTGCCTTGATTGGCTGGAATTCTATGAAGAACTCTCTCTTATCAATCATTGGTAATCTGGAATAACAGTTTGTATAGGAGAGGCAGAATAAAGGTTGTTTTTTTTTTTTTTTGGTTGTCAATTTTCTGAATAATGAAATGATGCTTTAGCAACCTCCAATGGTGATCAATAACATTGTTGGACTCAGATATTTGTATATATTAAATGTGTTGTAGATTATGGAATTTTATGACATTTGATGCTCAGATGGTCTCACTCTTGGCCAGTGGGCACTCCGCAGAATTGCTCCTTTGGTCTTCTTTTGACAAGATCCCAGTAGTTTGTGATGATGACTTCTTTGATTTCTGGTAAATAGAATATCCTCGACTTACCCAGAAGGCTTTTTACACTAGATGTAGATTGAGTCATTTCTCCAAAGTGGACTGGTTCCCTAGTGAGAAAGGGCATTTAGAGAACATAATCTTGATTCTAGAAGTTAATTTATTATCTTTTTAATGCTTCTATGGCATTCCATGACATACCATGAAATATTTAACCATTTTCTCTTGCTGGCATTCACTTAACCTCTGGTTTTGCTATATCCTGTCTTTCAATTGCAAAGTCATGTTGAAGATGGGAAAACACAGTTCAAGAAGCTTTCTATAGGCCTTACACAATTAGTAGAAATGTAAAACTGAAAAATAATATGAGAATACTTGGAATTCTTAATAGAAATTCTGGCAACCCAGTGGTTCTTGGGAAATATGTCCTTATTCAGCTGGGTAGAGAATTCTCCTTTGCTTCCTGGAGCTTATCTTTAACAAGGTGAGAGATGATGCCCTCTCCTTCTTCCTCTTTCGGTTGGAGAACGGTTTTCCTTTCTTCTCTTATGGATTTTGGTAGAAACATATTTCTGTTTACTTTTTCTAACTGTGATCCTGGCAATGAGATGCATGGTAGCTCTCCAGGTCATACAGCAGCTTGGACCTTTCATAAGCTCCATACAACTTTGGATGGAGGTGCAGCTACGTGCCATATTGGCAGTACATTTTGTTCTTGCAGAGGGCATTCTGGCCTTCTTGATTCTATATTTTATTTCTTTGCCAATCATCAGGCAGTGTGCAATGGAGAAAACAAAATTTATTGGGGGCTTTCAGCTCTGTAACTAGCAATAACTATTCCTGGCTGGCCACAAAGTTTGCCAGATGCACCCTGCTATATAATCCTGATTTTCTAGTTCATTGTAAATTCACAACACTGTACTGTCAACTATCCCTCTTTTCATATCTACATAAAAAAGAAATTTCTTGGTAACATTCTTAAAGCATTTGATAATGCCTATAGACTTTACAAAAAAAAACTTTTATTGGAGTATAATATACATCACAGAAAACTACACATAAATATATAGCTTGATGAATTTCCATAAACCAAACACATTTATATAACCAGAACTTGGATCATAAATAGTCCATTATAAGTACACCTGAAGCCTTTTTATGCTACTTTCAGTAAGTCTCTGCCCTTCTTCCTCTAAGAACAATCATTATCCTGATCCTTAAAAGCATAGATTTATTTTGCCTGTCTTTGTACTAACATAAGTGAAATTATACACTACATACTTTCTTGCATCTGGCTTATTTCTCTCAATATTTGTACTGTTCAACCATATAAACACATGTAATTGTAGATTGTTCATTCCAATTGTTATATAGTGTTCCATTGTGTGTCTCCATTGCAATTTATCTATTCTATGTGGATGAGCATTTGGGCAGTTTCCAGTTTGGAGCTATTATAGATAATGCTGCTATCAACATTCTACTACATACCCTTGCTGAACATACATCTGCATTTCTGTTGGGTGTACGCCTAGAAGGGGGATTTATGGTCACAGTGTATGCAATATACCCTGCTTTATTAGATAATGCCGAAGAGTTCCAAAGTGGTTGTACCAAACCAAACTCCCACCATCAGTGTGTGAAAGCTCTTGATGGCACACACGCTCCCCCAACACTTGATAGTTTCCCTCATTTTCATATATATGAAACTTTCAGGTTGAAGAAGATTCCCAGAGTGTAGAAGACTTTCTAATACCATCCTCCAATTTCTGTCCAAAGTGTAGCAATATATATAGGGCAAATTAGACTAGGACTCTGACAATATCCTAATTTATTTCATTGGTGATAGGGAATGGGTCAAATGAACACATACAGGTTTGCACACCATCAAGAAGCCTATGGGTTTAGTCATTTTAGGGCAGTCAACTGTTTCCTGCTGATGTTTATTATTGTGTATATTTTATGACAAAAATAAAGTAAGAGAGAAATATCATTCACAATTCCATTACTGTAACATACTAATAGTTTTTAGTTCCCTTATCCACACACATATCTGAATTTTATATGGTTACAATCATGGTCTAGATATAATTTCATATTATGCTTTTTTGAGCTAAATGTTTTCTCTAAAGCACTTTCTCATGTTTTAAAAATATTTCCTCTATATATATTTAGGTTGCTTCCAATGTTTTACTATTCTAGAGAGGTCTACAGAAAATATCTTCACCAGTTTACCTTTACTTTTTTTTTTAAATTAATCCTTTAGGCAAAAGTCCTAAGAGTGGGATTATGGAGTAGAAAATTATCATTTTGTCTGGCTCCTGATTTATCGTGCATCTCTCTCTCCAAAAGGCTTTTCATAATTTATACCAGAGGAATCCACCTTCTTGGAAAGCAGAAGAGCTAAGTTTGACTTACAGCAGCAAGTGCTCTGTTAGCTTCATAAACAAATAAAACATATGACATATTGTTGAAGTAAAGTTTTAGCTTTTGGAAGATTTAAAAATTCTTGCCTAGCTTCCTTTGTAATACAAATTTAGAAAAAACGCAATTTTCCGCAAGCAGGTGAGTGGGATAAACAAATGTGGTATAGTCATGCAATAGAATACTACTTGATTGATACATGTGTTACAACATAAATGAATTATGAAATAATTATGCTTAGGGAAAGAAGCCAAAGAAAAAAGAGTACATACTCTATGATTCCGTTACAGAAAACTCTATGTAATGCAAACTTAACATAGTGACAGAAAGTAGATCAACATTGCCTGTGGACATGGGGTGGGTAGAGAGGAGCAGGAAAAAAGGATTGCAGAGGGGCGCATGGAAACTTTTGAGGCCAATGGATATGTTTACTACCTTGATTGTGGTGATGGTTTCATGGGGATATATGTATGCTAAAGTTTATCAAATTGTACACTGTAAGTATGTACAGTTTATTACATATCAATTATACCCCAATGAAGCTGTTTTTTAAAATAAAATTTCTTGCTCAATATTTCTAACTCTTTGAAGATCTAAAGAAAATGAGGAGCAGGAGTTGCTGGTAGTTCATTATGACTATTTAGTGTAGTGAGTTAAAGGGACACAATTAAACCTACTATACTATATAATAATAATGAACAACAATTTCTGTCCTTCATTTTGTATGCCCAAAAAAGATACGTTCAAGTCCTGACACTGGTACCTGTGAATGTGATCTTATCTGGAAAGAGAGACTTTTTGGCCTATGAGATGTGGGGGCCCCAAATCCAATGACTGAAGTCAATGGAAGAAGATGAGAGGATGCACAGAGAGACACACAAAGAGAAGAGCACCATGTGTAGATGGAGGCACAGGTTGGAGCGATGCAGCTACAAGCCAAGGAACACCAAGGAACTAGAAAGAGGCATTAAGAATCCTTCCTTAGAGCCTTCAGAGGGTAGCTGGCCCTGCTGACACCTTAATTTTGGACTTCTAGCCTCTAGAATTATGAGTGAATACATTTCTGTTATTTTAAGCCACAGAAGTGGTAATTTGTTATAGCAATGCTTGGGAACAAATACATATACCAATATGGTTCTATTAGCTAGTATACTCTAATTTTATAGTCGGTAATATCAAGGGAGTAACACAAGGTATCTGCACTACAGAAGCAGATGTCTGATTACTAGGTTCTGTGATGAAACTTTGTATTTCAAAAAATGGATCCCCTTCATTCTCTCCTTGTTTCTATGTCTGCTGTCCTGAAGCCAGATGTGTTACCATGATGTCTTTATACTAATATACTAACACAGCAGTTCTCAAAGCACTGTTCATGGACACTTTGAGCTCCCTGAGACTCTTCCAGGGGGAGGCCAAATCTATTCTCATACTTTCCCTTTTCACTGTGTTGACATTTGCAGTGATAGTGCAGAAGCAACGATAGGCAAAACTGCTGACACCTTAGGACAAATGGCAGTACCAGCAATTGCACTAGTAGACATCTTATTCTTCGTCTTCATGACTGGCAGAAAACAAACAAACATAAAAAGAATTTGACTTAAGAATGACCTTGATGAAGCAGCAACATGATTTATTAAATCTTTATCCTTCAGTACAAGTCTTTTTAATATTGTGTGTGATGTTATGGGGAGTACAAATAAAGCACTTCTGTGACATACAGAAGTACAAAAAAATAGTACTTGTGTAATTGAGTTCTAGCTAAACTAGCAGCTTTTCCCATGAACACCAGTTTTACTTGACAAACAGACTTGGGCTATTCAGGTTATTCAGACTTGGGTATTTGGCAAACATGTCCCTCCATGCTCAGAGATTCTCCTTCAGAGGCAACCATCTTAGACTCTGTTTTCTTTACTGAGAATGACATTTCTTGTAAAAGCTTAAACACAGGTAAGGCCAAGGTATTTTGCCTAAGGACAGAAAGCATAATGTTGTAGAGGTGGGTTCCCTTCCAGCCCATTACACTTCCCATTCCACTAAACGAGACAGGTGGTTTTCCACATTTCATGCATCTCCTCCTTGAGACAGTGAATCAATGCTGCAAGAGAAAGAAATGCCAGGTGGAAAAGCTGACAAGTCAGATATTACACAGCCACTTAATTTTTATTTTGTAGTTTTCACAATTTGAGCAACCAAGTAGAATACATTAAAAAGATACTAAAAATGCGCTGTGATAAAATTCATTTGACCAGGAAATATAGGCTTTCATGTTTTTGTCTCCAGCTCAGCCTTTTCTCATTTTTAATGGCAACTGTTTTCTGGATTTGGCACTTATTTTGACAAAAGCTATGTTGAGTTGCAAATTGAAACATGGTGCATAGCTTCTATGATTAAGAAATCCAGAATCTATCCAACCTAAGGCCTTAAAGGCAGAAAGAAATGCTCAGAGAAAAATTTCTCAACTTTGCCATGTACCGATAAATGCCTGATATAAATATTAACTGTTATTTCTGCAAACGTTCCCACTGTTTTATATACTTCATTTCCCCCATTTGTGAGACGGCAATGTATTCTGGAAATTTGATGGATAGAAACTCGTGATTGAGTCTTCTCAGCATGGGATAGGTCAGTATTTGTGACTCAGCTGGCTGGTGCCAGAGTGGAGAACTCGTCTGATTTGTTTCCACCCCAGGCACTGAAGGATTTTCAAGATTTTCCTCTTAATATTTGGTTTTACTTGATAATCCTAGAGCATGCTGGGAAATCTCAGCAAGAGAAAAAATTTAGTAACCACAGGGAGGCCTGCTCAGAGGGCTGTGGGTAAGTATGAAAGCTTATGTGTATGCCTACTAATAACTCTTGAATATTTTGCTTTTCACAAGGTTTTCCTTCAACAAAAAGTATGTAGGCTTGTAAGGACAGTGGGCCTTTAGAAAACTCAGCCATTCCCAGAAAGACAAATGCACATTTGAGTCATTTCCCAAGAGAGATGTCACTAGTCAGGAAGGTATGTGGAACCACACGGTTCAGCTTGCAATTTAGAATTTCAAAAGCAGGAGTTGGCCAAAAGTTGCCTAGGGTTTTTAACCTCACGTTTTTACCATAAATTTTCTTTCTTATTTGTTGAGTGCTGACCTCACCCTTGTCATAGGTGGGATAGAAGAGATGCTAGCTGCCTCTGATCAACATTGGAGAAAATGCCCAATTAAGAAATAGGCTTCATAGCCAAGGTGACTAAATCCCAAAGGCTTGTTTGTTTTCTTTGTGCAACCCAACTTCTTATGGGCTTGCTTTTGGATTCTGTTGTTTCCTTTGTTTTTGTTTGGTTGGTTGTTTATATGTTGTTACTAAGACTCTGTCTTGGAGATGTTGGACAATAGGCTAGTGTCTCATTGGATCTAGGTGTTCCAGATGTGAGCTAGGTCCTAGAAGGAGGTGGTAAGAAGGCTTTGCACTATGCCCTGGGGAGGGCTGTTTTGCTGGCGGGTGACCAGGTTCTGAGGGAGTCTGTACCTAGTAGATTTTCTCAACATTCAGCAGGTGTGTGAGACACCTGACATGGCTGATCTTGGTACAGAAGGAATCCAGCTGGAAGTGATCTGTGTGTAGCATGTCTCATAGAAATACAAGGAGCCTTGTCTTGTGACCCTGTACCTGTAAGGCCTCAAAGGACCTCACTCATAACAGCTAGGATGACTCTATGAACCCCTATATGCTGGAAATAGCCCCAGCTTAATTTAGTTTAATTCAGTTCACACTTATTAGGTTCCTACTAAGAAAAATAATTTGCTTGAACATAATTATTTTTTGTGATTTAGTTTATCCTCATTTTAATTGGAAGAAACTGGGGATTAGAGAGGGTAAGTGGCTTATCCAAGTTCATACGACTGGTTCTTCCTGCCACATGGCTTCATTTTGATAAGAAATATGACTTTCTCTTCTGTGATAAAAATAAGATCTTGTGCCCTGGTGAGTTGGACAGTCTGGGAGTTCTGCCTGTTCTGATTTTTTTTCCTGGTGGGATATTGGATGAAACATTCTAATACTCAATTCTAAATTCATGGTAACTTTGGGAAATGTATGTGCTTGTGTACATGTGTGCGCATGTGTGTGTATGTGAAATAGAATGTATGATAGTTGTCCCAGGGTAGATTTCCTGAAACAAACTCATGTCTATTGGGGCACTCATCATACCTTCCCTTTACTCTGTGTCTAATGCTGGTCTCCCTTAGGCTCATCAATTAGGAAAGCCTATAGCTGTTGCCACATAACTGTCTGGAACTCTCAATGTTGATATATCATTTTTATCTGTTTATAGACAAATGAAAATTTAGCCACTTTTTTTATTACTTAAATTGAAGACAGCTCAAGCCTGTCTCAACAATGTGAGAATGTCTTCTTTTTATAATCTCAAGTCCTTATGATGCTTATGCAAACCTTTTTAAAGAATAAATATAAAAGGAATATTGCCCCTGATTATGTAAAGCTGATGTGGCAGACATGGTAGATTGTCTTGTTTGACATCTGTACTATCTCATTCTCGTCTGCTCTTCCATATAGCGTTTGTCAGGAATCCTTGTTTTGAAGGATCTTGATATGTTTTGGATACAAATTTTAGTGGCAGCAGTGCTGAAGGCACCATTCACTCTTTTGAGTCTAGCAGAAGCAAAGCCACATTAAAGCCCATAGTTCTTAGCAGCTTTCCAATTCCCAGATTGCAGAGAGTGCAGATAAGTTACTGTATTCCTGAAGTGGTTTCCTGATTCCCTCATATATCAGTCAAGAATCTCCAAAGAAACAGAAAAAATAGAAGATATATATGTTAAAGAATTGGCTTGAGTGATTTTGGGGACTGGCAAGTCCAAAATTTGTAGGACAGGCCAGCTGGCTGGAAACTGAGATAGGAAGTGATATAGTCTTGGGTGTGAAACCTGTAGGACAGGCTGGCAGGCTGGAAGCTCAGGAAGGATTTACATTAAAATGTTGAGGCAAAAAGTAAAATAAATAAAATGGTGAGGTGGAATTCTCCATTCTCTAGAAAATCCCAATTTTTGCTCTTAACACCTTCAACTGATTAGATAATGTGTGCCCACATTATCTTTAAAAGTAATGTTCTTTAAAGTCAACTGATTGTAGATATTAATCCCATCTACAAAATACCTTTATAGCAATATCTAGATTAGTGTTTGACCAAACAACTGGGCACCATAGCTGAGCCAAACTGACACATAAAATTAACCGTCACATCTAGTTTCCTGACTGTGGCAGAGATAACGATGAACTTGATGGGCCACTTAAGCAGGATTCTTCTAGAAATCTGTCCTGGAGTTTCATCCTAGAATCTGCTATGACAACCAGCTCATCTAAGAAATTTGTAAGCATCTAACCCTCTTTCTGCTTAAAATAGCTAGAATGATTTGTTATTTGCTACTGAATCTCATTTATATTTTAGCAAAGTCTTGATATCAAAACATGACGGGGAACATGAGAAAGAAACTCTGCAGACTAATTATGCTCATAAGCATAGATGCAAAAGTAGTAACTAAAATATTAGCAATGTGAATTCAGGAATCCATGAAAAAGATAATGTATGACCAAGTTGGGCACATACCAGAAAAGCAAAGTTCAGCATTAGAAAAACAGCTTATTTAAACACCATATTAACAGATGAAAGTTTTTCTCAATAAATACGTAAAAAGCATTTGATAAAATGCTATCAGAAAACTAAAAGTAGAAAGAAACTTCCTTAATCTGATAAAGCATACCTAAAATAACAAAACATGAAACAACAGGAAACTCAAAGGCAAAATGTTATATTTCTTTTAAAAACAGCAGCAAGACAAAGACACCCACTATTATTACTTAGATGAAATGTATTGGTAAAATTTTCAGAAAGCAAACTCACAAGATAAAGAAATGATAGTTATAAAGATTGGAGAAGCAGGAACAAAAATTTTGTTACTTATAGATGAAATTATTGTAGAAAAACCCATAAGAATGTAGGGACAAAAATTAAAATGAGTAAGGGAGCTCAGTAAGTTTGCTGGATAAAGCTCAATATACATTACTCTATTAAATAGAAAGTATATGTATTTAATTAGCTGCAGTAAAATTATAAAGTGTATAAGAACAAGACAAATAAAGCAAAAAGACCAATAAGAACCAAACTATAGCAATTCTATTGAAAGACCCTAAAGAAACTAGAAATGAATATTGAACATATTTTAATTAAATGTTGAAATGAACATTTTACAATGCTGAACTTTTCTATGCAAAAACATGTTGAAATACCATGTTTTGTACCAGTGTTATAAATATGTTGTAAATATGTTAGTTCTCACCAAATTCATTTGCAGTTTTAAAGAAATTTCAATCAAAATCTCAACAAGAATTTTTACAGAACTTTCTAAGTATATTCTAAACATTTGTAAGAAAGAACAAAGTGTTATAAATAGTCCAGATGCTCTTAAAGAAGCATAAGGTGGCAAGGTGTGGAGTTAAGGGTGGAAGAGACTTGGCTACTTACAAGCATTAAAAACTGGTAATTATTTTAGTAGATATTGGCATAGTGGTAGTAAGTAATCAACGCAGCAGATAGGAAACTCAGAAACAGATAAACTATATATGAAAATCTGATACACAACAGAAATGGCACTGTAGAATATTAAGATATGAAAAACTAGAAAATTAGACCCATACTTCACATCAATTTCAAATGTAACAGCAATTTAAATATGATGGGCAAAACTTCACAACTTTTCTAAGAAAATGTAAAATAGCTTACATTTATAGTTAAAAATTATTTCTTGACCAAAACACAAAAAGAAGTACATTTTGATTCTGGAATTACTTGTTTATTAAATATTTGTTTGAACAACCATGTAAAACTGTCTGATCTTGGGTTTCCCTTTATGAAAAATTTTAAAATTGGCTCAATTTGTTTTATGGATATGGGTGACATTGATTTCTAATTGAATCTCATTGAGATCAGCAAATGCAGATTATGATAGGAGTCTTTAAAATTTATTGAGGCTTTCCTTATTTAGTCAGTTTTTAATAGATATTCCATGCATTCTTGAATAGAATGTTCTATAAATGTACATTAAAGTAGGAGTTAATAATGGGGTTACTTAAATATTCCATATACTTATTGATTCTTTGCTTTCTTGGTCTGTAAATTATTGAAAGATGTTAGAATCTTTCACTATAATGGTGGATTTATCAATTTTTTCTTTCCATTTTATAATTATATTTTATATGTTTCAAAGATGTTTTATTGTATGCATACATGTTTAGAATTTTTGTATTCTTCTGGAGAATTTCCTTTTTATTAATATATAGAAGCTCTCTCCATTGATATAATAATTTTTTCCTTTAAAGCCAATATTTTGTCTGATATTAATTTAACTGTACTAGGTTTTTAAATTCCTTTTTTTTTTGAGACCGTTTTTTTGAGACTGTTTTTGCCCTGGCTGGAGTGCAGTGGTGCAATCTCGGCTCACTGCAATCTCCACCTCCTGGGTTCAAGCAATTCTCCTGCCTCAGCCTCCCAAGTAGCTGGGATTCCAGGTATGCGCCACCATGCCTGGCTAATTTTGTATTTTTAGTAGAGAGATGGGGTTTCACCATGTTGGCCAGGCTGGTCTTGAACTCCTGACCTCAGGTGATCCACCCGCCTCGGCCGTCCAAGGTGCTGGGATTACAGGCATCAGCCACCATGCCTGGTCTTTAATTCCTAATATATACTTTTAATCTTTCTGTAAATTTCTGTTTTAAATATGCTTTCTGTAAATTCTCTTTCAAGGTGGGACTTTTTTTTTTTTTTGAGACAGTTTCGCACTGTCACCCAGGCTGGAGTACAATGGTGCCATCTCAGCTTACTGCAACCTCCATCCCCCAGGTTCAGCGATTCTCCTGCCTCAGCCTCCCAAGTAGCTGGGATTACAGGCGCCCACCACCACGCCTGGCTAATTTTTGTAGTTTTTAGTAGAGATGGAGTTTCACCATGTTGGCCAGGCTGGTCTTGAGCCCCTGACCTCAGGTGAACTGCCCGCCCTAGCCTCCCAAAGTGCTGCGATTACAGGCATGAGCCACAGTGCCCAGCCGAGGTAGGACTATTTTAAAAAATATTAAATATATAAATATACATAGTTTAACATTCTTTGTCTTTTGGGTGATTGAATTCATTTATATCAATTGTTATTACTGATATATTTGGATCCATTTCTTCCATCCTCTTTTTTGAGTTTGTGTGAGCAGACTCCTTTTGTGCAGTAATAAGCTTAAATGTTTTCCTTGAGGGTAACTGGAAATTATCAAGGTGTTTTAATATACACTTAATATACATACACAGACACACACACCATAGGAAGTAGGTTATTTTTACCTTTATTTTATGCCTAAGGAAATTGAGCCAGAATGGTTAATTGTCTAGCCTTAGGTCACAGAGCTATTCTGTGGCAAAGACTAGATTGGAACCAATATCTTCTGGAATTGGACTGCAAGTTCATTATTCTTTCATGTTTCCATGATGTCTTCAAGATAGAGAGTCTATCATCTACGTAGAACTGAAGATGACAGAAGACACCAAAGGAGGACGGGGGCTTCCAGGAAGAGCCAGTAAGATGTGCTGAGGTCAGAACTTTTATTGCCTTTAAATGGGCATTGAATGGAGTTTTGAAATTGAACTACTTTTTGCTTTGTTCTTGTTTCTCTGATGGATTTACTCATTAGAAGGTGATGATGTTGCTACATAAGTGGTATTTAAATATGGAGCCTTTTTTAATTGCTCATGGTATTTCACTCATGATGAAATGAAAGTCTCATGAAACTGTAATTTGAAACAGAAAAGAATGGTAATTTTGCCCATTTTCTTGAAAAGTAGGAAGATGTGAAGAAAATTGTTGAACATGTCTGACAATAGAAGACCTAAGGCCTAAGAAGTCCATTTCAATGAATCACAAAAGAAATCAAAGAACAGAATTTCTCTCTTTTGAAGAGAGAATAATTGCTTTATTAAGTAAGTATTGCTTTATTCAGTAATTCACTTGGCAAAAATTCACTTGGCAAAAATTTCTTCAGAATTTTTGCAGCATCACTGAGTCTAGTTTTGGCAATTAGTTTAGGATTTGAAGGAAATCAAATGACACTTGATTAAATTGATTGGCTAAATAAAACTTTAATCAGTAATTGTCCAAAGTTATAGAGGTCATGTGATTTAAGGGAAGGGAGGAAACTGCAACTATATTGGGGGATTGAAGAAAATCAAGTGCAAACAGTCTGATTTTTTGTGGGTTCTACATAATTTTGAGATGCTCATTTCTTCTCCCTTAGGTCACAGCAGCAGATTTCTAGACCCAGTGTCATGTCTCCTTGTCCAAACTGTGGCCCCTTCATGGTAGTGTGGATCTTCTGAGAAGAGCTCTAAGTAGTTTGAATGTATTGTGAGAATCAGATTGAATCTAGCTTCAGAATCTGAGTTTTGCAGGTCTAGGTCACACACAAACACACATGCGCGCGCACACACACACACACACACACACACACATATTTTCTTTTTTTGAGGTAGGGTCTCATTCTCTCACCCAGGCTGGAGTGCAATTGTGCAATCACAGCTCACTGCAGCCTCTACCTCCCGGGCTCAAGCTATCCTCCCACTTTAGCCCCAAGTAGCTGGGACCACAGGCATGCACCACCACGCCTGGATAATTTTATTTATTTTTTGTAGAAACGAGGTCTCATTATGTTGCCCAGACTAGTCTCGAACTCTTAGGCTCAAGCGATCCATCTGCTTTGGCCTCCCAAAGTGCTGGGATTACAAGCATGAGCGACTGAGCCTGGCCAGTAACTAATATTTTTGATAGAATAAGTTGCAAATCTGGAACATACTTATTTTAAAAGTAAAAAAGTCTTTTAAATTGGCAAAATCTACAATTCTAGGTCTTAAATGAAATTTAGCTGGGCATAAACAAAGGCTGAATTTCATTTTGAGTCACTGATAATCTAAGTTAAGGGCAATGTCCCTTTTCTTCTGTTGTAGGATCACCTCTACTTTGTGTTAGTCTGGGAAGTGGGGGTGCTGTGTAAGAAGTACTAACAGGTAAAAGATGTTGCAGTAGGCTTTAGTCTTTTGACTGGTCTCCTCACCTCTATTCTTGTTCCTTACAATTTATACAGATATTGCCACTGGAACCACTTTTTTAAAGCTAGTTGAATCTTATGGATAAAGTGTTAACTTTATAGCTTGGATTAAAAATGATTTCCTGTCCAGTCCTGACCTGGTCTTAATCTCCAGTCCTCTATCACCACCTCCAAACACACACACACACACACACACACACACACACACACACACACAGTTTTAACAACATGCTACTTGCTCTTTTTTTCTCTGCTTGTACTAGTCTCACTGCCTGCAGTATTCTTGACTGTCTTCTACCTTTATAATCTCAAGACCCAGATCGAATATCACTTTCTCTTTGAAGCTGTCCTGAACTTGCCTCTTATTTGTGCTCTTTTCTGTGCTCCTAAAGCACCTTGTAAATTCATCATTTTATAGAATGTACCAATCATGTTCTAGTAATCCATTACGAGACATTGGAATAGCGAACACCCAGAAAAAGTGGCCCCGCAGGGATGAACTTTCCTCTTCCTGTTTACTACCTTTGCTCCTGTCACTTCCCACCTTGCTCTTTTTTCTGTGACTCCAGAGTGGTCTATCTGGGCCTGCTGTTCTTAGGTGAACATCTGTTCCTGGAGGATGCACAGAAAACAGGCATATGTAAATCAAGAATTGTCAGTGTACCGGACACATTTTGCTTAAGTGTAAGAAAAACAAGGAATCAATTAAGTGTGTGAAACAGAAATCTTCCCCAAGTGTTGATATATTTTTTAAAACTCACACTAATCTTATATCCTATTTTAATATAACACAAATAAAAGTAAATGTTTATGCTGAGGCATTATGAAAAATAGTTCAGTTTTTACCTAAAATTTGGAAAAGTATAGTAACCTGAGCACCACAATTTTAGAAAGATGAGCCATTCGCAGTTATAAACCAGTCTGGTAATAATAGTAATAGCAGCCATTTATTTAGTACCTATTAAATCTCAAGCACTGTGAGGGGTACTGTGTACACATTTTATTTAATCCACACAAAAACTTGTGAGCTAGGTATAATTATCTCCACTTTATAGAAAAGAGAACTGACGCCCGAAGAGGTCATATAACTTGTCCAATGTCACCCAGTTTGTGAGTAGAGTTAGGATTTGAATTTCAGTCTTTCTGCCTCCAAAATACATGTTCTCTCTACCATACTAGTATAAGGTAACCTCTGAGGAATGATATCTTTGAAGAAATAAAGAGCTTTTCAGAAGCTGGACTTGAACACTAACACACCTATAACTCAATAGCAAATAATTCTACTAGCTAAGAAAAATATACTTAAGTCAATTTGGCATCTCTAAAAATGCCCACCATACATAGTGGCTACAAAATCACTTGAAATAAATGATCAGAGGTAGTTATCTCTTGAGCATTATTCATCACTGTCCCCCCAACATGGAACCTCTGACATCAACGCAAGGGCACCGTGTAAAAGCCATGACTCCATAGCCCTGTGTGTCCGTGCTCCTGTCCCACCCCCAGTTCATTTCTCTGCTCCTCCTGACTTCCTGTTTTCTGCCCCTGAGGCTGGTCACAGCATCCCGTGCTGCCTTCATTACTTCACTGTCTGCCTCTACAGCATTCTCTTTCTTCTGGGCACAGCCTTGGTGCATGACTTCCTTGACAATGGGTTAGCCTCTAGGTTGACAATGCAGACCCAGATGGCCTTGACATACCCTTATGGTATACCCTAAATATGATGGTGCTTACCCAAGAGGGATTTGAAGACCACTTCTATCAAGATTGCCTCAAGGGAGTGTGTTTGTAAAATATCTAAGTTGACTGAGTCAAAACCCCTGGGAAGCAGAGCCCATGTAATCTGCACTTTAACAAGCATTCTACTTGATTATCATGTGGCCATGTCTGTTTTGTTTTGTTTTTGTTTCTTTGAGATGGAGTCTCCCTCAGTTGTCCAGGCTGGAGTGCAGTGGCATGATCTTGGCTCACTGCAACCTCCACCTCCTGGGTTGAAGCTATTCTTGTGCCTCAGCCTCCTGAGTAGCTGGGATTACAAGCGTGAGCCACCATAACCAGCTAATTTTTGTGTTTTTAGTACAGATTGGGTTGCGCCATGTTGGCCAGGCTGGTCTTGAACTCCTGACCTCGGGCAATTTGCCCACCTTGGCCTCCCAAATCATATGGTCAATGTTTTGGTAAGCAATGCCCTACCAGTTTGATGTCAATCTTTAGCTGCCTCTAAGCTTTATGCCATCTTCTGCAATGACTCTCCCACACGTGAGGACTCACTGTCCTGACCTGAATAGATCATTGCTCTGTTCCATTAATGTGTTTAACTGATGGTTGCTTATAGTGCGTGAGCCTTTTAGAAAATCACATACTGAGAGTGACTGTCTTTCACAATCACAAATGGAGTTTTTTCTTTTATTTCATATATGACCTCAATTTCCCCAAAACCTTATCTGTTTGTGGGTACAAATAAAGCCACTTAATATATATAACCCAAATTTCAATGATTCATGCCCATACTGACATAATACAAGATCTCAATTCCCCACATAATTTTCCCCAAGTATTTCTGGGAGGTCGTGGGAGGTGCCTGGAAGGTGCTCTTAGCCCTGCTTTGTTGCACAATGAACGGGTTGATGTGTGTTGCTCTTGGAGTCATTTAGGCTGTGCTGCTCCATGTCTGGAAGTCTGGTGGCCTTCTTTCCACAGTTGCTGATATCCATGACCAGGACTAGGTGTTCTCTCTCTCTGTGCTCCACAGCCACAAATCCTTGGGAAGCTGGGAGTGTGTCACCAGGCATCCTGACCCAGATGGAGCCCTTCTGTGCTTGACATAGAAGTGGGGAGGGTGCTGCTTGCCCTGACTCTGTGTTGCTTTTTTTTTTTCCCCACCTAATCAGTACTCTTAGTTACCTAGGTCTCCAAAGCCTCTTGTGAAACCATTTCATTCAATTTCTGCATGCACCTCCTCTCGCCAACACCCCTGACACACACTAGCTTCTGTTTCCAGTCCAATCACTTCCCTGGATGAATGTGAATAGCCCCAAACAAAACCACTGTGAAAAATCTACTCTAAGTGCATAATTTTACCAGTGCATCACACATGCTCAGCCATGTCTGAAGCTCATTTTAAGCTTAGGTTGGGAGCCTGGACCCCAACACACATGCACGTGTTAAGTTCCTGATTTCAATGATCCCAGTTTAAAAAGAATCCTAGAGAAGAGGTTTAAACACACTTTAGAGAGTAGGATAGGATGTCAGTTAGAAAGCCCAAGCAGTGTTGATCCTGAAAAATGTTTTTTCTTTCCTTTAAAAGAGAACATCTGATATTTGAGTTGTAGAACATGAAAGAAAAGAGAGAAGCAGAGTTGAACCACATGCAGGATTCAGCCTTCTAAATAGAACACAATCTTCCCTACCTTTCTCCTCCTTTACCATGCAGTGCCAGCTGTCACTGAAAGCTGCTTCCAAACCAATTTCTATTTCTTTATCAGAAAGGAAGATAAAATCTTACAAAAGAACAGATGATCAGATGCCATTGGTTCCTCCAGCTCTAGAACTGCTTTAGAAAGGAAGTTGCATCTTTGCAGAATTATTATTATCAATCAACCTTTATTGCTTCAGCTTTCTTTATTGCATTCTAACACACAAAGTAATGAAAACATATAATAAAGAGAATAAAACACGTAATGCATCACTGTGCAGATATTGCAATCATAGCAAATCCGATGTAAATGCCCCTCGGGGAATACTTGAGTCTTCCAATACATTGCTAACAGTTTGTATGATACTATATCACGTTTTTTTATCTACTAAAGCTGTCATGCTCTGCTAAATATCGTGCCAGCATCAACCCCAAATAGTACTACTCCTTCTCATCCTCCAAAAGAGGGGCATATTTCTTTGCCGTCACTGGTTTTAATGTTTGCAAAGAGGAGATCCAGCTTCTGAATAATTAATGCATAATGATTACTAAACTATGGGTAGTTTACTATTCTAGCCCCTCTGGTCTTTGCAGTGCTGCTTGCTTTAATATGCACTTTGAATTGGAACCAAGAGGTAGTAAAAGCCATTAAGATGGCATGGAGCTCAGTCAATAATGATTTACAGAGTTTGGCCACATCCTGGGATTTTCATTCTTGGCTCTCAAGCCCCATCTGCTGCTCATGCTCTGACCTGGTCTCCCTTTTGCAAACGCTTCTCCGATGGCAAGGTTTCTGCTCTGTTTAGACTTAGTTAAAGGAGTCAACATGCAAAAGATCAGGTCAAGTACACTCGTCCCTGCTATTTTCAGCTCTGGAAGAACATTAACAGTGGCTAAATACACTTGGAATATTTCTGCCATATATACGTGTCAAACAACTTCATGATCTCACCCAGTATGGGTACTTAGTAAATATTCAATACTGATAATAATTATAAGGGTAATTCACCCTTAGGAATGTAGAAGGGGCTTGCAAGCTAACTGGGAGGCCTTTAAAGAGAAAGAGCATCGTTTTCTCATGGTGAGAGTGGAAGAGTACTAATGTGAAGTCTGACTCTGCTCTGTGCTACTTGTGGTTTCTGCTCAGTGACGCTCCTGTAGATGAACTCAAACTTTAATGAATTCCATATGCTGTAAGCTGTGGGATCCCAAAGGGCAGAGATGGGTCATTTTAGTGGCCTTGTCTGTGTCTTGGAATGATTTAATGTGTCAGGGATATATATATATATATATATATATATATATATATATTTTTTTTTTTTTTTTTTTTTTTTTTTTTTTTTTTTTTGAGATGGAGTCAAACTCAGCTGCCCAGGCTGGAGTGCAGTGGCATGATCTCGGCTCACTGCAACCACTGTCTCCCGGGTTCAAGTGATTCTCCTGTCTCAGCCTCCCAAGTAGCTGGGATTTCAGGCACCCGCCATCACGCCTGGCTAATTTTTGTATTTTAGTAGAGACTGGGTTTCACCATGTTGGCCAGGCTGGTCTTGAACTCCTGACCTCACGTGATCTTCCCGCCTTGGCCTCCCAAAGTGTTAGGTTTACAGACGTGAGCCACCGTGCCCAGCCTGAGGAATATTTAATGAGAAGACATGACAATGGCAGGGCAAATTCACCTTGGGTGGGCATCAGGTAGGGGACCAGTGACTTCTGTAAGGCAAACGAATTGAATTTTATTCCCCCTGGTGCTTCATCAGGGGCGAAACATATAATATCCAATAGAAAACTGGCCTGGTGAGGTGGCTCATGCCTGCAATTCTAGAACTTTGGGAAGCCAAGGCAAGAGGATCACTAGAGACCAGGAGTTCTCAATGGGCAACGTAGTGAGAACCTGTCTCTAAAAAAAAATATATATATATATTAAAAATTATCCTGGCATAGTAACATGTGCCTGTAGTCCCAGCTACTCAGGCGGCTGAGGCAAGAGGATGGCTTGAGCCCAGGAGTTTGAGGCTGCAGAGAGCTACGTTCACACCACTGCACTCTAGCCTGGGTGACAGAGCAAGACCCTATCTCTAAAAAAGAAAAGAAAAAAAAAGAAATAAAATTGATGAAGGTATTTGTGGAATGGTGTTAAATAAAAGATATATTGTAAACACCATTCCATCTTAGACAAGAATGGGCGCATTTAGGGTGGTATGGCCGTAGACACACCATACCATTTTAGCCTAATAGAGAGCCTCTTAGAGGCCCGCCCTTAATAATGTTGTCATCTTGTGTAATATTATTCCATTTCCCTTCTTTTAAGAATCCCCCAAATGTTCGCATGAAAGAGAACTTTTAACATTATATGTATATGTTTATATATATTAATATATATATATATATGTGCATGTGCTTTGAGCCTGTTTCTGTAGATTGAAAAAAAGATCTATTTGCTTATGGTGGAAGATGCTGTTAATTCTTTGAAGTGGTTCGGAAAAGGTCTTTGAGTAAGTGGATCCTGGTGACCTACATGTTAGCATAAGTGTAAAAGGTTAAGCTTGCTAGTTCCTCCTCACCCAGTGGACCAAGCCTGATGGACTGTAATTGGTGCTTTGCCCTTTCTAGCTCTTAAATCATTACAAGGCCTGGCACTGGGACCTATGTCATTGGTAAAGGGAAGGAAGCCTAACGTGTGCATTGCTCCATGACTGCCGTTGGTTTACTAATGAATCATTTATCAGAGATGAATGAGTTAAGAGAAATATCTGCAGTATGACCCAAGAAGCCCCCACAGTATGGTGCATGATGAAATAACAGACCGAATATATTATAAAAATCTCTGAGTATTGTGGAGAAATCTAGAAGACACTGATAATAAATCAGTGTCACTATTTATGTCAGATTCCCAACAGACAAACCCAATTGCATCAGGCCCCTCCATAGCTTACTATGCACAATGGGACTATTAGATACATTCTTGGTCTAATGGGTTGCTGCCTGATTGCCACAGTGTTAAGGGTAAGAGGGAGGAGAGCCTGAGAAGCACAAGGTAGACCACCAAATGGTTCAGTTCAGTTAGTCCTAGGGGCTCTCCGGATGCCATTGCTTCCATCCCTCCGGGTGTCAAGGCCCTGCCCTCCTTCCTAGTTGTTTGTGGTTGCTTAAGTGCCCCATGTCATTGAAGAGGGAGGGGAGGTGATTGTCCTTATCAGGTGGGTTGGACAGAACTTAGCAAAAGTCAGATGAGCTTCACTCCTGCTTGTCCGTCAGTGAGTGATGCCCAGACTGCTGTGGCCTGAGCGCTGGTTCTGCCACCACAAAGCTTCTGAGGTAGCAAATCTGAACAGCCTCCTGATGGTCCTCCATTCCTGCCCATGGAATCCCTCTCTCCCCTTCTCCTGAGCCAGGAAATTGTTTCCTGGACTGATGGACATGGACTGATGAGTCTATTTTTCCAAATTTGTACCATCTTGTACCTGCACTTTAGCTTGTCACATGTCAGTAAATAATTTCACTCCATTGTTCTCTTCTCTCTGCCCCAATATCCTAAGGCAGTGGGTGCTTCATAATGTCTCACTGAAGTTGGGGGAGATATTTCGTAGGACATACAAAGACAATCCAAGGAGAGGGGAAGCTGATTTGGGAGGGAGATTGAACACAGTTAAAACTTTAAAAATGTTATTTTGCATATTTGTTATCAGATGTGCAAATAACTTACTAAAGCATGTATAAGCTATTGTGGATAATTTAACCTTTTTGTACCTTCATTTTTTTTCATTTTTAATGGGTATAACAATTACAATTACATCTTAATTAACAAACCTGTGAGTATTGAAAAATGTAATTCATATAAAATGCTTCATTTGGGACTGGGCATGTCACACAAACATACGTTCAATGTTAAGGAGGAAATAGGAAGGAGTTAGCCATGCCATCTACTTCCTAGCTGACCATTTATATTTATTGTGTTAGTTTTCTGTGGCTGTTGTAACAAATTACTGCAAACTTTGTGGCTTAAAACAACAGAAATTTATTCCTCCACAGTTTTGGAGGCTGGAAGTCCCAAAATCGATTCCACTGGGCCAAAATTGAGATGTCAGCAGAGCTGTGCTCCCCTGGAAGCTCTGGAAGAGATCATGTTTGTGGCTGCACCATGCCAACGTTTGCCGCCATGCCTTTGTGTGTGTGTGTGTATGTATAAACTCTCCCTCTACTTTCCTCTTATAAGAATACACTTAGGCCCCAACAGATAATCCAGAATGATCTCTTATCTCAAGATCCGTAACTTAATCACATCTGCAAAGACCCTTTTCCTGATAAAGTAACATTTACAGGTTCTAGTGCTTAGGACCTGATATATCTGGAAGGCTATTATTCTGCCTACCACATCTGATCTCTCCTAGCCTCAGTTACCTTACCTGTAAGTTGGGAATAATAATACCTTCCTTACAGGTATTGTGAGGATTAATTCCATAACATATGTGAAAATGCCTCATTAATGTTAATATGTTATGCAAATAGTTGTTGAAAAAATCTTTGAAAATCTGTCGAGATGAATGTAACTGCAGTATGCATCCATGGCGAAGTAGAGCATACAGCCTACATTTTCTGAAATGGTGTTAGGATAATCTAATGTTGAAAATCACAATAAGCTGTCAGGTTTTGTTCACCATAAACATTACAGGTATACTCTTTGCTGGATACTCTTCTGAGGACTGAAGTTATAAGGATACAGAAGCCCTAATCTTGAGGACATTATATTCCATTTGGAGTAAAGAGGCACACAAAGTTTAAATACACTGTGATAAGTGGCGTGACAGAATATCCCCAAGAGTGTTGCGTCATGAAGTGGGGGTGGGGAGGGCTTGGACCATCACTGGGAAGTCCAGGAAGGACTTCTCATCTTTGTGGGTAGTGGCTTTGGAAAAAACTCAACTAGCCTGTAGATCTGGCCTGTCTCGGTTGCTTTGAGTCATAAGTTAAACAGATTGTTTCTATAACCCCTTTGGCTCTTGAACTTTGGAGTGGAATGGATGATGTTGTGGAACGGGATCAAAACATGGATATTTGCTACTTGACTCTTCTCCAAAGCCTGAAGGCCGCGGCGTTATATCAGGAGGATACTTTAATATAGCACAAAGAGTCCAGGAAGACCTCCTAATCCTTTTCTCCCACTTCCTAATTTTAAAAATGCCTGAATCTTTAGTAATCAAACCAAATAAATTATGAAATACCCATTGACAGATGGTGGGTTTGATGGAGCTGTCCCTGGAAATAGATTTGTAATTCTGTCCTGTTGATGGGAAAGAGGATGTCGATAGGTTTCTGATTCATTGTCATGCTTAGCAAGGGCTGCTGCCTTGTGGTTTCCTGTCAGGTCCTTGTTCAGCCTGCAGTGGGGTTAGACATGGGAATGTGTCATTCATACCTACGGGGAATAAATGTTGCTTTTTCCTCCAAATGTTTTGTTTCAGTACTCTAAGTAGTTATGATATAAGAGCTAACAACTGTAGTTTCCAGTTTCAAAGACGCTGATAAATTATGGGGATCCTATTTGGAAAGACAGGCCACATTTATCAGAAGATAACAATTTCCAGTAGCATATTCTAAGGTAGCAAATGAGTGGTGCAGACAAGGAGTTTTAAAGACATTTGAAAGAGAGTGGTGTTTGGAGAAGAGTCTATTGAAAAGGTGGGCCAAGACTCAGCTTTAGAATGATGGCAGTGGGGAGGCGGCTAGGAGGGCTTCCCAGAGACACAGGAAATGTGGCACTAGCAAGAGGCACAGACAAAAATGTGCTGATGCATCCTTGGGACAGGACTTACATCCATGTGTATAAAGTAGTATGTTTAGAGCCATACGATTGTAAAATATAAGTTTGAATAGGGAGGCTCAGTTCAGATTCATTTATTCATCAGTTATTTATTGAGAGTATACTATGTCCTGGCCTTGACACTAAGGCAAAGAAAGTTGTACTTTGCAATGTTGCAATAAAAAATGAAGAATATTTTTTGTATTGGACTAAATTATGGAAACTCCTGATTAGGGAAGATTCACATGGCTGCTTTGTATAGTGTATTAGTCTGTTCTCACGCTGCTAATAAAGATATACCTGAGACTGGGTAATTTATAAAGGAAAGAGGTTTAATTGACTCACAGTTACACATGGCTAGGGAGGCCTCACAATCATGGCTGAAGGCAAAAGAGGAGGAAAGTCATGTCTTACATGGTGGCAGGAAAGAGAGCTTGTGCAGGGGAATTCTCATTTATAAGACCATCAGATCTCGTGAGACTTATTCACTACCATGAGAACAGTATGGGGGAAACTGGCCCCATGATTTAATTATCTCCACCTGGCCCTGCCCTTGACATGTGGGGATTATTACAATTCAAAGTGAAATTTGGGTGGGGACACAGCCAAACCATATCATATAGTGTACATTAGGATGGGAAACTGTTAAACATGGAGAGATGAGTGAGAGAACAGATTGTAAGTGAGAGGTTTAGACAAGAGAGGTAGCAGAAGGAACAGGTGCAAGAGATGTTATTTGGGAAAAGTGGCTATTCTTCTGTGTTTTTGTGGTGCTTTAGAGTATGTTGTTTGCTTGCATGTCTATTTCCCCACTAGACTCTAAGTACCTAGAAGGCAAAGACCATACCTGATTTACTGTGTCTCTTAACCCCTAGTTTTGTGCCTGGTACATAAGTCCTCAGTAAATGTTTGTTGAGTTTCTGATTATTAAATACAAATTGGATGTGATAGATGATGGGGGAGAAAAGTTAAAAAAGACTCAAGTTGTGAAATCTAGAAATGGAAAGAGTATTCATTATCAATAGAAAAGGGATAGGCACAACAGAACTGCTACCGAATGAAGATATTATTTGGCTCTCATTGGTCAGGAATTTCTGACATTAAGTTGGTAATGAGACATTAGAATCTATTTAAGTTTCTAGGTTACTTTTTAGGAAGAGAAAAAAGGAGGCATAGCTTTTAAGAGAGTGTTTCAGACTCTTGAATGGGAGGGAGAAGGGGAGTGTAGTTTGAAAAAGCAAACTTTTTACTCTCAAATCAGATTTTATACTTGGGAAAATATAAATTACAAAAGGACCCTTAAATATATATCAGTAAGGGAATGGATTTTAAAAGATTAATATACTTTGATAAGTAAGTCCAGTCAGAGACCTTCTGTAGCACCTTTAAAAATCATACCTCATGGGTCTAGATCATCCTCTGAGCAGCAGATGTAGGAGGAAACTTTCACCCCATTTTTAAAAGTTTTTACATGCAAAAAGGGAATGAATTGGGGCTCACTGAAAATAAATCAATCAAGCAGTTCAAATGGTGAGGAAATATAGAGCACAGAAAGTTAAAGTCCCCTTCGTTGCCATCCACATAATTTTCATTACAGGTAACCATTGATAGAAGTCTGTTTTCTTCTGTCCATTTTAATCTACACATGCATACACACAGAGGGATTTTTTTACATGGAAGTGAGAACATATTATACCTATTTGTTTTGGATTCATTTTTTGATAACATCTATGATTTTTTCATGTGTATATGTCTAAAACAACCTCATACTTTTAACAGACATATAGTATTCCATTGTAATAGTAATAGTGGTAATAGTCAACATTATTTAAGTATTTGCTGAGTGTCAGACACTGTGCTAAGCATTTGATATGATAATCTCATTAATATTACACCAATCCTAAGGGATGGGTACTTTCATTATCTATTTTACAGAAGGGGAAACTGAGGCATTACGGTGTTGTATATGTTTACCAGGGTCACAGAGATAGCATGTGTCAGAGACAGAATTTTATTCCAGGCAATTTGATTCTAGAGTCCTTATTCTATATTGCCCTCCTGTGAATCTACCATAATTTATTTAAGTCATCACCATTAATAGACTCTTATAATGCTTTCATTTCTTTAATTCATGCATTTATTTACAGAGAAACTACTTTTTGAGTGCTCACTATCTCCTATATACTGGTCTGGGTACAGGGGATTCACAGCAAAAAAAAAAAAAAACAAAAAACAAAAGCTAGATAAAATTTCCTGCCCTTGTACAGTCTCCTGGAGAAGGCAGACAAGATGAATAGGCAAAGTGTATTATATAGATAATGAGGAAAGAAATATAGCAGTGAAGAGAGATAGGAACTATTGTGGGCAGAGTGTAGGAATTTCAGACAGAGTGTTCAGGTAAGGCCTTTTTGAGAAGTAACACTTGATAAAAGACCTGAAGGAACAAGAGCACCAGCCTTGTGAATATCTGGAGGAAGAGTATTCAAGGCAGAGGGCATGGGAGGTGCAAAGGCTTTGTGGAGCAGCAAGGAGGCCAATGTGGTTGGAATGGCCTGAGCAGGGGGGATAGTGGTAGAAGATAATGTTAAAGAGGTGTAGGGCGTCAGAGCATGTAGATCTCTTGGGTCTTCTGGTACCTATTTTGGCTTTAACTCTGGGTTAGATGGAAGGATATTGAGGGGTTTTGAGAAAAGAAGGGACACAATCTCATGGCATCAAGCTGTTGAGTACAGACTGGAGGAAACAAGGGCAGAAACAGAAAGATCTGTTGGGAGGCTGTTGCCATAATCCAGATGAGAGAATATTGTGGCTTGGATGGCAGTGACAGCAGTTGAAGTGTTCTAATTCTGGAAACTTTTAAACAGTAGAGCCAACAAGATCAGATATAGAGTGTGAGATTAAAGGAATCAAGGCTGACCTCATTGTCCTTTACTGGAGAAATAGAGCATGTTATGTTTGAAAACCTATTAGCAATCCATAGGGAGCTATTGAGTGGAGAGTTGCCTATAGAATTCTGGAATTCATAGGCGAAGTCCAGGCTGGATTGTAAATGTGGAGATTGTTAGCATATAGGTGATATTTAAGGCTCTGTCCCCAAATAAAAAGACCTAGAGAATAAATGTAGACAAAGAAAAGATAAGGGCCAAGAAATAAATCCTGGGCTATGCCGACATTACAAAATGGCTGTAATGAATATTCCTGTACGTGTTAATTGTGCATACATGAAGTAATCTCTTTGGATACTTTTCTGCTTTTCTATTGAAGGATAAAAGGGCTTTTTTTTTTCTTTTTAAGTTTGTCAGTTGCTCATAAATTGCCCTCTGTATCAATCTGTACTCTCAGTTGGAAGCAACAAAAGCCCAGGCTACATTAAACAAATAATTTTCCAAAAAATTCTCTCCCACTAAGAAAATGTAGGAGTCAGTATTGATTGGAGACAAGCTTCAAAAATCAGTAAAAACCAACGGTGCTGTAAAGGCTGGGCGGCAGGGATGGTTTGATTATGATACTACTGTAGCCATTGCTGATACTGGCAGTAGATGTGGAGCTGCATGTGGCCTTGACTTGTACCATTAAATGTACAATTTCCCCGAAGGAAATTGCACGATGCCACTGTACATCAAGGAACAGCAAAGTACAGTTCCTTGATCAAATCTGGCCCTCCACCTATTTCCATAAATAAAGTTTTATTGGAACAAGACTCTCCTATTCATCTACATGTTGTTTATGACTGCTTGTACACTTCAATGGCAGAGCTGAATTATTGCAACAGAGATTCTGTGCCGCCAAAGCTGAAACTATTTACTGTCTGGCCCTTAACAGAACTTACCAGCCTCTGTAACAAATGAAGTTCAACATTTTTGTATTAGTTTGTTAGCACTACCATGCAATAGTACCACATGCTGGGTGACTTAAACAACACAAATTAACTTTCTCACAGTTCTTGAGACTAGAAGTCCAAGATCAAGGTGTGGCAGGGTTGGTTTCTTCTGAGCCTCTTTCCTTGGTGGTCTTCTCCCTGTGTCTTCATGTCTGTGGCCTAATCTCCTCTTCTTATGAAGACACAGTCATATTGGATTAGGGCCCAACCTCATGATCTCATTTTAACTTAATTACTTCTTTAAAGGCCCTATCTCTGATATAGTTACATTCTGAGAATTGGGGTTTAGAACTTCAACATATAAACTGGGTTGGGGTGGGGAGGGGACACAATTTAGTCCATAACAACATCTTTTATCTAAGATATGCTTGCCTAAAATTTGAAATCTAGGGAGGAGAATACTGTTAGTTAAGGCTATGATCTGGCCCCTACACTTCATTATAGAAGACAAGTGCACCTACCAGTTTGATTATACACCATGGGAGATTACACTGAGACAGAAAGTTAGATGTATGGTCAGTGGAAATAACAACAAAAACAAAGTATCAATTTATATCCCTACCAAAAAATTTTGGGATGCTTGTTTCCCCACAACATTGAGGAATTAACAAATAGTATTCCTAATCCGATTAAAGAAAAATGATATTTTATTAATGTTTTAATTTAAATTTCCCTAAATAATAAAGATTGAAAATTTTCTGCATGTTTAGTGGCCAACTTTATTTCTTCTGAGAATTCATATCCTGTGTATTTTTTTCCTTGGGTTGTTTATTTCATTGACATAGAAAAGAGAAGAAGCTTTTATAAATTGGACATTTAATTTTTTTACTTCATATTTTAATCTTATAGCTCTTTTTCTTCCTATATCTAGCTTTGTGGTTCCTTTTACTAGATAGAAGTTTATAATTTCTTAATTTAGTAAAATCTGTCCATTTATTCCTATATGGCATTTGGGTGGTGTGGCGACCTTCTACACCCTAATATTATGTTTTAAAATGTACTTTCTAGCACTTTTAAAAATAGTTTTCTTTTTGGTGTAGCTCATCCGTCTATCTGAGATTTAGTTTTATATATGTAAGAAGAAAATAAAACTTTAAGTTTTATAAATATATAGCCAATTGCCTTAATTTCATCTTTTAAGTAAGATAGAAATTATACAGTTTTAGATCCACCTTAATCATTAATTCTAGTACATATATATATGGGTCTGTTTCTGAAATGTGTGTGGTTTTTTTTCCTGTTGGTCAATTATGTCACTATGACACTTATTTTATTGCTGTACTTTTTATAGTATATTTAATACCTAATGTAGCAAACACTTTTCAAAACTTTCTCAGCTACCTTTTCACATATTTCTCCCTCAAATAAACATTCAAGCAACCATATTAAATTCAATTTGTAATACTATCTTGGCATTTTGGTTGGAATTGGATTGAATATAGAAATTAACATGGGAAGAATAGATATCATTGTTATATTGAATTGTCTCATTGGTGAACGTTGTATATCTCTTAATTTATTCAAGAGTTTTTTTAATATACTTTAACAAAATTTTATCTTTTTTCATATAGGTTTTATATGTTCATATTTTCATTTCTGAGTATTTTACTGTGTCTCTGCTATTATGTATATAATATTTTTCATTACACTTTCTGATTGGTTACTATTTCTATATGGGAAAGATATTGATTTTGTAAATTGGATTGCTACCAAATACGACATGCAAAGGATATGTTCCAGTTGAATTATAATCCTAAAGTTAAAAAATAAAACTACATTGTAAAATATATTTATAATATGGAGGCACTGAAGGATTTCTTAATCCAAAGAAGAAAAACAAAATTGTCAAACAAAGAATGATGAATTTGTTACATAAAAATTAAGGTTTTCAGTTCAGTGAAGGAGATAGACAAATGAGGGTTTGAAAAAAGTTCTGGCAATGTCTAAAGCAATAAGAGATTAATATTCAGAATTTATAAGGAACTGTATAAACCAACAAGGAAAAGGGCATTAACTCTAATAGAAAAATGGGCCAAGGATTTGAACTGGCTTTTTACCTAAAAGGCTATTGGGTTTATAAAAAGATGCTTAAACATATTCATAATTTTAAAAGTGCAGATTAAAATAACAACCAGTTATCACTTTTTACATCAGACAAAAGCTGGAGAGCTGTATAACATGCATGGCATATGGACAGTGGCAATGCCAGTCGACTGCCTGTGGGAGGGTGGCAGGTGCAGCTGGTCTGGAGCACAATGTGGTGCTGCTCAGTCAGATCATAGATCTTGACCTAGGCATATGGACCTTACGACTCAGCATTTCCTCTTTTTTGGTGTATATCCCAAAGAACTTATCCCACAGGCTCATAAAGGGCTATAGGAAGATTTTCATCACAGGGCTTTGATGAGAAGTTGGAGGGAATCTGGTTGTTTATTACTGGCAGTGATGGAGGCACACCATGGATTACCATCCAGCCATTCAAGGCAACAGACTGGATGACAACACATTCAGTGTTTGGTGAAAGAAGCAAAAATTTAAAATTAGTGGAATGAACTCTATAGTACAATATCATTTAAGGAAATTTAAAATATAGCCACTCAAAATAGCGCACGCTTTGCTAGAACACATAAAAATGAATGAATACATCCCAAGTAAATTGTTGCTTATTGAGGGAGAAAAGGGGAATGGGAATGAGGAATAAGCATGAAAGGGAATGAATGAATGAGTGAATCTGAAAACCTTTTAAAAACTGCAAAAAAGAAAGAATGAACAAATTTCCCCCAACGGCCATGCCAACTCTTGCAGATGATTTGGTTAGCATACTCTTTAACAAGCTTAGGATATACGACTGCAAAGCTGACTTTCCTTAATATTTGTAGATACCGAATTATCAAATGTCTCCTCCTTAGTAATTGCAGTGGTCAGAGAAGTATTGCTTTGTGGTTCTGGTAGCTCCTCGGAAGGTGTAGCTGAATTATAAATATCAGACAGCAATACTAGGAGTAAAGTCATTTTGCTTTTATATTAACCACTCTGGAGGGATGTCTTCAATCCTGGCTGATGTGGTGGCACCACTTTGACCAATACGTACTCTTAATCGGCCATCTGACTCCTGGGAGACAGGATGATTCCCTCTTTTGAGAGAGATGATATACTATTGGGGAAATCTTTCTGAAATAAGCGAGTCTCCTCTAGATAGGGTTTACAATTTAAATGGAAATGGAGGAAAGAGCTCTGTTCGATGATGATTGTAAGGAAGTCAAGACTTTTCCCCTTCATTTTGTACTCCTTTAAACAAGCTGGGCTGTTTTATTCATTATTGCTTATAGTGTCCTAGGCAGGTGTAACTGTCACATAGCAAGAGATGAACTCAACAGGGTGCAATCATAAAATAACTTTATGTTTCCTCCTGAAGTCCTTTCAAACCTACTCGATGTGCTTGTTTAAGTCCAATAGATTTTCCAGTAACTTCTAGATTATAAAAAGTCTTCGAACACTTCAAGTCACAAGGATAGTCTTCAGCAATTTGAAGAGGCAGACAGTTTAATAATACAAATTCTGAACTTCACTTAAAGTTTAAGGTTCTACCCTCCCCCAGCTCAGAACTGCTTCAGGCTGAGGAGCCAAAGATGAGGACAGAAGGCATTACCAACATCTGTATTTCCACTTGCTGCTTTATCTTTTTCTTACACCCTCTTTACTCCATCCCACTTTGCTGTCTGCCTCCTCCAGATTTGGCCTGGAGGACAAAAAAAAAAAAAAAAAAAAAAAAAAAAAAGTCAGGAATAGGAAATTTCTTCCTTCAGTGAAAAAGGTGTTATCTGGCACTGTAGATAATTCCCATGAAATTTCAACTTTTACAGCCCCTAGAAAAATAAATTCTTCCAAAGATTTTTTTAAATGATGTGAACATAACGTTGTCATTAAATACTGAAAAAGGTTGCACAAAAATAAAGCTACAAGTTTTCATTTTGATTGTGAATAGTGAAGCAATTATCCCAAATTTAAAAAATTAAACAAAATTCAGCAGCACCTTAGAAGATAAGACACATGGCCACGTGAAATGTATTTGAGTGGTGCATGTCTAGTTTGGTATAGGGAAACACAATATAACGTATTTCATCATATTAGTAGATGTGCATTGGGAATGTACAATGATCATTTCTCTAGACACTAAAAAGGCATTTCAAAAAGTTTGACATCCACTCTTTATTTTAAAATTCAATTAAATAGAAATACATAGATCCTTCGTTAGTGTGATAAAAAAATGCCCATCTCAGTCTGCAAAATAGCATCATACTTAGTGGACAAATTCTAAAAACATTTCCATTATGATCAGAAATAAGAGAATATTCACTAGCACCACTATTATTTAACATTGTTTAGACCGAGGTACTAGCTGATACAAACAGGCAAGAGAAGTATACATTGGAAAAGAGGAGGTAAAATTATCTTTTTTTTACATATGATGTAATTTTTAAACTTGGAAAACTAAAGATCAGTTGAAAAACTACTATAAACAATAAGATAATTCAGAAATATGATTGCTACCAAATTAATATAAAGACGTAATTAGCTTTTATATATATGGTCAACAACCAATTGGATGATATTATGGAAGACCCCATTTATAATAGCAATAACAAGATAAATTTCCTAGAATAAACTCAAGAAGAAATGTGCAATGTCTATAAAATAAAACTTTATAAGACCCCTGAAGTACATAAAAATAATGACTTGAACAAAGGAAAAGGTATGGGAGAGAAAGAGATGCTATATTACAAAGAAATTAATCATACCTAGGTGATGGGTTGATAGGTGCAGCAAACCACCATGGCACACATTTACCTATGTAACAAACCTGCATGTCCTGCACATGTATCCCAGAACTTAAAATAAAATAAAATTAACAACAACAGAAAAGAAGTTAAATACTTGCCAAGATAAACCCCTACATTTAGTGCAATCCCAGTGAAATAATGATAAGGAATAATTAGAGATAGACAAGCTGATTTTTCTCTACTTCATGCCATTGTTGTTTAATCTTTAATTTCAATTTTTGATCCCTCATGTTAGCCATTTTCTCATTATTTTACACAGTTAATGATTTAGATTCAGTCATCACTTACCAATGTTTTGCCAACGTTTCTTTTGTATGGCAGACCTTTCCTCTAGGATCATTTTTTTTTCTAACCAAGCATAAACTCCAGAATTTCTTTTACTGAGGGACTTTTGGTGATAAATTTTCTCTCTCTCTGTCTTAATTTTTGAGGGTATCTAGAAATGATTTATTTTCTTCTGGTTTCCATTCTCACTGTTGAGAAATCAGCTGCCAGTTTATTGCTCCTGTGTAGGTGATTTGTCTTTTTTTTCCCTTTATTTCCTTTTTAAAATGTTCCCTTTGTCTTTGATATTCTGTAGTTTTACTCTGATGAGTTTAATTGTAGATTTCTTTTTCTCTGTCCTGTATGGGATTAGTTATATTTTCTGAATCCAAGAATTCATATCCTTCATTAATTCTAGAAATTTCTCATCCATTATTTCTTCAACTATGGCCTCTTTGAACTTCTTTTTGCTTCTTCTGGAACTCCACTTAGGTCTTTTGTGTATATATATATTTTTTAATTTATCCTCCATGTCTCTGATCTTCCTTGCTCTTTCCTGCTTTTATCTCTTTTTCTCACTGTGTACCTTCTACAAAATTTCTTCAGTTCTATCCTTAAGTACCCTACTTACCTCTAATCAGCTGAGTCCTATCTACAATTTAAGGTTTCTATTGGCTTTTTACATGTTAATGATGATGATTTTTGTACATAGGGGGAAGAGTTATATTTGACTAGTTTTCAAATCTTTCTCTTCCATGATACTATGTTAATTACCAGCTCATGGTTTTAATTACTTTTTATTTCCTTAAATATTTTAAACACATTATTTTATATTCTTCATTTAATTATTCTGTGATATAAAATAACTGTGGTCTGATAGAGCTTTTTATTATTATTTTTGTTTACTCTTGTTCATGTGGCTTGTTTCCTCATATTTTCAAAACCCAAGGAAGTCTGTTTACTTACGTAAGACCATTCAGAGTAAATTTAACTTGGAATAAAATTAACTTGGAATCTTTATTCTTTCTTATCTTTCAAGTCATGAATTCTTTCTTAATTTGCATTTAATCTTCTGTTAATCCTATAAATTGAGTTAATTTCATTTGTTAATTTTTTCAAATCTAGAATTCTCTTTCTTTCAGATTTCAGTTCTCTGCTGAAATTCTCATCTTTTATCTCCTTGAACTTATAAAATGTAACTAGAAATATTTGTCAGCTGTGTTACATTGTTTTCTAGTGATCTGTTTCTATTCTGCATTATTTCCCCCTTTTTCATATTATCTTGTCTTTGTGTGTGCCTGATTTTTTTTATTGAGTGCTAGTTTTTACTTATAAAAATATAGAAATAATTTCTGGTCTCTGGCAGGAGACCAGAGGCTTTAGCCATCCCAGACCACCTTGATTTAATTTCAGGAAATAAGATGACTCAACGCTGGGCTTCAGTCCCTGTGAGGTTCAGTTTACTCATAGGTCATCCTTACTCCTAGGGTGTATTTCTTTTGTAAGTATACAAGTTTCTCCTTCTTTGGTAATCCTTGAACTGCAGCATTTGTCTGTTTATTCCACAAGGTTCTCAGAACTCTGCTCATCTTCTCAGTTGCATATTTAAATGATAGCAGACACCCCTAGAGAGAAAGCTGCCCTAAATGTGTGGCTCACGTAGCAGGCTTTTCTGTTTTCTCTAGATCTTGCTCTTTAATTCCTCATTGTTTTATTCGTTTTCTGAATATTTCAAGTGTATATTTATTATATGTTTCCTGCTTCAGTGGGAAGATCGGCTCTAATGGCCCACCTGCCATTATCAAAAAGAGAAGTTCTTATTACTTTTTAATTAAAATATTTTCTTTATTTTCTACCAGTTCTCCATCAATATTAGCAACCAGCTAATATTTCTAGTCTCCTTTGTCTGTTTCTATCTGGCTGCTGGGTCCCTTACATGCATTTTTTTTTCTTTGCCTAAATATATGTATATATATATATTTGTTTTTAATTATTACTGCCTCAACAGGTAAGCCAGGTTGTGAGCTTCTTTTTTAGAGGGCTTGGGATCCTCTTGGGATCCAACTATTTACTACTAGTAGATAAGTAGTAGAAGGCACAGCAGTTGCTACTCTTGTGAGCCATGAATAAACAAACTGGGTAAAACTAACAGCTCTCTGTTGAAGCTTGGAGATGCAGCCTCTTTACTTGCAGGTCTCTTTTGATCACAGTCATAAAGATTGAGAGCCATGTGACCCACCTGTAAGTTTCCTTTTGGTTCCACTGGGATTGGAAGGGTATCTATGGGCAAATGGGTGATGATGGCCTTCCCCCAGACGAGTCACAGGCTTCCATCAGTTAAGGCACCTCTGGGAGCCGTAACATCTCAAACTCAGCCCCTGGTATAAAGAAGAAGGAATTTCTGGATTCTCTGGGTCATTCCATAGCTCTCACCAGGCCCCGAGAGGAGCAGAGTTTAATGTTGGTTCTCTGCCTAGACTTCCTGGGAGTATACTCAGCTACAGAGGCACCTTTAGGCTGCCAGTTATTCTTTCCTAACTGTTCTTTACTCCAGAGAGGAAGTTGTTCTGAAATCCCTTCTCAGAATCTTCTTTTTCTTTCTGAATCTACTCTTACAATTCCAGCTTTTTATCTCGTAGTGAAATATGAAGAACACTGGGCTGAGTTTTTCCCCAAGAATATGATAATGATGATGATGACACCATGAGGATAACAACAACATCTACAACCACTTATTAGAAACATATTAAATAGCAGGCACTGTGCTGTATGCTATCTATACACTGCTTAATTTAGCCCCCTCAAAAATCTTATAGCAAAGTTTCATCCGTCTTTATAATTGAAAAAATTGAGCCTTAGAGAGTGAGTAACTTGCCTATGGATTATGTAGTTAGTAAGTAGCAGTGTTAGTATTTTACCATTGTAAGAGTCTTCCCTTTTTATTACTCTCATACTTTCAGATGAAAATCATGTACAAATGTTCTGATAAAGAATTATCTATTTATGTACTTATTTTTGAAATAATCCTTACAAAGTTGTTAAAAATAAATCACATTTAGTATTATATTTAACTAATCATTTAAAGACTCTCCATGTCTCCACCCAAATCTCATCTTGAATTGTAACTCCCACAGTTCTCACATGTTGTGGGAGGAACCCAGTGGGAGGTAATTGAATCATGGGACTGGGTCTTTCCTGTGCTGTTCTTGTGATAGTGAATAAGTCTCATGAGATCTGACAGTTTTAAAAATGGGAGTTTTCCTGCACAAGCTCTCTCTCTTTGCCTACTGCCATCCAGGAAGACGTGACTTGCTTCTTCTTGCCTTCCACTATGATTGTGGGAAGGCCTCCCCAGTCATGTGGAACTGTAAGTCCATTAAACCTCTTTTTCTTCCCAGTCTCAGGTATGTCTTTATCAGCAGCATGAAAATGGACTAATACAGTAAATTGGTACCAGTAGAGGGGGGTGCTGCTGGAAAGATACCTGAAAATGTGGAAGCAACTTTGGAACTGGGTAACAGGCAGAGATTGGAACAGTTTGGAGGGTTCAGAAGAAGACAGGAATATGTGGAAAAGTTTGGAACTTCCTAGAGGCTTGTTGAATGGCTTTGCTCAAAATGCTGATAGTGATATGGACAATAAAGTCCAGACTGAGGTGGTTTCAGATGGAAATGAGGAACTTGTTGGAAACTGGAGCAAAGGTGACTCTCATTATGTTTTAGCAAAGAGACTGGTGGCATTTTGCCCCTGCTCTAGAGACTTGTGGAACTTTGAACTTGAGAGAGATGATTTAGGGAATCTGGTGGAAGAAATTTCTAAGCAGTAAAGCATTCAAAAGGTGACTTGGGTGCTGTTAAAGGCATTCAGGTTTATAAGGGAAGCAGAGCATAAAAGTTTGGAAAATTTGCAGCCTGACAATGTGATAGAAAACAAAATCCCATTTTTCTGAGAAGAAATTCAAGCTGGTTGCAGAAATTTGCATAAGTAATGAGAAGTCGAATGTTAATCCTCAAGACAATGGGGAAAATGTCCTCAGGGCATGTCAGAGTTCTTCACAGCAGCCCCTCCCATCACAGGCCCAGAGGCCTAGGAGGAAAAAGTGGTTTTGTTGGCTGGGTCCAGGGTCCCCATGCTGTGTGCAGCCTAGGGACTTGGTGCCCTGCATCCCAGCTGCTTCAGCCATGGCTGAAAGGGGCGAATGTAGAACGTGGGTTGTGGCTTCAGAGGGTGCAAGCCTTGGCAGCTTCCACATGGTATTAAGCCTGCCAGTCCACAGAAGTCAGGAATTAGAGTTTGGAAACCTCTGCCTAGATTTCAAAGGATGTATGGAAATGCCTGGATGTCCAGGCAAAAGTTTGCAGCAGGGGCAGGGATCTCATGGAGACCCTCTGCTAGAGCAGTGCAGAAGGGAAATCTGGGGTCAGAGCTCCCACACAGAGTCCCTGCTGGCGCACTGCCTAGTGGAGTGGGCACTGTGAGCAGAGGGCCACTATCTTCCAGACCCCAGAATGGTAGATCCACTGACAGCTTGCACCATGTGACTGGAAAAGCCACAGACTATCAACGCCAGCCTGTGAAAGCAGCTGGGAGAGAGGCTGTACCCTGCAAAACCACAGGGGCGGAGCTACCCAAGACCATGGGAACCCATCTCTTGCATCAGTGTGACCTGGAAATGAGACACAGACTCAAAGGAGATCATTTTGGAGAATTAAGATTTGAGTGACCAGCTGGATTTCAGGTTTGCATGGGGCCTGTAGCCCCTTTGTTTGGGCCAATTTCTCCCAGTTGGAATATCTGTATTTAACCAATACCTGTACCCTCATTGTATCTAGGAAGTAACTAAGTTGCTTTTGGTTCTACAGGCTCATAGGTGGAAGGGACTTGCCTTGTCTTGAGTGAGACATTGGACTGTCGACTCTTAAGTTAATGCTGACATGAGTTAAGACTTTGGGAGACTGTTGGGAAGGCATGATTGGTTTTGAAATGTGAGGACATGAGATTTGGAGGGGACAGGGGTGGAATTATATGGTTTGGCTGTGTCCTCACCCAAATCTCATCTTGAATTCCCACATGTTGTGGGAGTGACCCAGTGGGAGGTAATTGAATCATGGGACTGGGTCTTTCCCGTGCTGTTCTTGTGATAGTGAATAAGTCTCATGAGATCTGACAGTTTTAAAAATGGGAGTTTCCCCTGCACAAGCTCTCTCTTCTCTTTGCCTGCTGCCATCCATGTAAGATGGGACTTGCTCTTCCTTGCCTTCCACCATGATTGTGAGTCCTGCCCAGCCATGTGGATCCATGAATCCATCAAACCTCTTTTTCTTCCCAGTCTTGGGTATGTCTTTATCAGCAGCATGAAAACTACTATTATTTACCTATTTTTCAGACTCAAAGTCTAAAATGTAAAGATATTCTTGAAAATTTGCCATCCATTATTGCAAGACTTTTAATTTCTTTCCTGCCACTACTTAACTGTAGAAACTTGAGAAAATTACATGACATTTCTATAGGTCTCAGTCTCTCAACTGTGCCATGAAAGAGTTGGCTTAGATTACCTCTAGGCCTCCTTGAGATTAAAGATGGTTTTGCATTATTAAAAACATTATATAAATCAAATGATTTTTTTTTTTTTTGAAATGAAGTCTCTCTCTTGTCGCCCAGTCTGGAATGCAGTGGCACGATCTTGGTTTAATGCCAGCTCCATTTCCTGGGTTCAAGCAATTCTCCTGCCTCAGCCTCCCGAGTAGCTGGGATTACAGGAGCCTGTGTTGTAAACTCTTTATTTAAGTAGAATTGCCCCCTCTATTTTTAAATCAAATTGTCATTTTTAAAAAATCTATGTGGTTTGCTTTAAACATGATATACGTTTTCTTACATAGATAAAGGTAGATTTCAGATGTTGGGAAAAATGTGTGTGGCAGACACTATTAGCTGCTCTCCTTCTGTCTGTCCATTTCCTCTCAATCTCATTAATAGAAACTAATTTAGTTCAGCATGGCCATGTGCCCAGCTGAAAATTATAGCTTCATCATCACACATCAGAAAGATGAGCATGTGGCACAGTCCTGGCCAGTGAAATATAAAGTGACAGCTTCTGGGAAGTGATTGCTTTCCTGATTTCAATACCACCCCTTCCTCCCTGCCCACTGTTCCTTCTTCCTCCCTGGACAAATGGTTTAGGGGACCGGCTGCCATCTTGTAACAAAGCAGACAAAAGCTACACGCAAAGGATGGCAGAGCAGAAAGAAGACCTTGATGGTATCACTGACAGTCTGGAGAGTCTACTTCTAGATTTTTCTGTCATGATTGAATAAACTGCCATATTTTCTGTCACCAGTAGGGGTTTTGTTACCAATATGTTCATAACTGATTCAGCAGGTATTGATTTTAGTCCACAACAGTAGAGTGAGATAAAAGCACATTTCCCTTTTTGTTCTCAATCAAATTTAATCTTCCTGACTGTCCACATATTTGGTTGGTGGGACATTCATCCTCTGTCATTCCTGTGCTTTTCTGTCTTCTCAAGATTTCTAGATTTGGGGGTGGGGGAGGTTGCTTAAAAACACAATAATGGAGAAAATGCCAGATATTTGGTTCACAGTGGCTGCACTCACTCAACATTTATTTATGAATTTTCCAGGGGCAGTATAAAGAATGGGAATACACAATGAAAATACCTTTAGCTCCAAGTGTGTGGTCAAGGCTTGTTCCTCTGGCTTTGGTTGGGCTGCAGACAAACTCAGACACGACCCACCAGGGCCATCAGCTCCATCAACTACAAACCTACCCCTGGAATTCTAGGCCCCCGGGTTCCTAACCAGAGTCCCAGGTTCAGGCACCCTGTAGTCTCCCATCTGGGTACCACTTGGTCTCTCCTACTGGTGGAAACCTGCAAAATCCCATCCCTACTCTTGGTCTTAGGACTCTTAACTTTCCCTGGGGTCCAGGAGCGCCTGCTTTATCTACTTTGAACAGTCCCTGCAACTCCTCCCTTTACGAAGGGATCTGTCTTACTTTTCAAGATCACAGCCAGTACTTTTATTCTATCTCAGTTATACAGATGAGAAAACTGAGGCACAGAGACCAAGGGTAAAGTCACCCAGCTAGTAAGTAGCAGAGACAGGATTTGGGTGCAGATGTCTTGGCTCCAGACCCAGTTGCTAACCACTGTATTGTGCTACTCTCTTCCTGCAACACAAAAGCTCCTTACTTTCTGCTTGGGTATGGGTAAACACATCGCAACTTATAAAAATACAGTGCTGACCTTTTTCTGGGTGAGACGTGGGAAGGGGTGTTAACTCCCAGTTGGTACTTTCCTTGATAACTCACTCTGTTTTGTATCCAATTAAGAAAAATACGTTGCTTTTAAACAATGCACTAACTTAAGCTTCCTATGTCTCAGTTTTCTCATATTAAATTGGGAATAGACATTTCTATGATGACTTTTCCTCTGTATTTTACCTCATCAAGATTCAGTGATAGGAAAAATAGGGTATTAACTAAGAAGGTTTTTGAAATCTTCAGGTAAAAAAAATGTGGTATTTTAACAAGAAAATTGATACAACAGCAGATACTACAACTGGTAAAATGAATTTTAACTTTGGTGTCCCTAGATGCTCCCTATTCAGTTCTTAGTAAATATATTTCAATCTAGAAGAAAATTGGGACCCTGCCAACTAGTATTAATGCTTGCTTGCCTATTAATTGAAGCACACTTTTGGAAAATGTTGTATGTATCTGGGGAAATATAATGCATTCAGCATAAGAATAAATCTTTTTTTTGAGAGAGCTAGACCTAGAGATTTTCCTCACTTTTCAGTCATGCCACAATCTTTCTGGTTTATCAGCAACTTTTTCTCTGCTAAGCAGTGATGGTAATGCATACATTTGCCTTTTTCAGTAAATCATCCTTTTATAATTTGGCTTTCTTTCAATCTTAGATTCCCATCAGAAGGGTTTTACCTCAAGGCATATTGCAACCAATTTCCCCCATAATTAATGCCATATCTGCCTCAGAGTCCATTTCAATTCCCAAATGAAAATTGATGAGGCAGCCAACCACAAATAAGGATCACATAGCACTGATTAAACTATCAGACTAGTTTCCAGGCTATCATGTTACAGTGCTGAATCATAAGCAGAGGGTGAGTTTTCTGGTCTTTTGCAATGTATATTGCTCATAGTAAGTGTCCATAAATGGCTCTTAGCAGATGAAGAGAAGCATTTTATATGGCCCCTATCAAATTCTACCAGAAAGACTAATGATTAAAGAGGTTTGTGTTACAGGAACCAAGACTTCATAGCACATGAAAGAAAATTGTATCTAGACTTGATAAAAATGAGCCACAAACTGCTACAAAAATCACCAGGACAAGAAAAACTCACTTAGGTGTTTTTATCCCATCCACATGGAGTGTGAATGGTTAAGTCAGGTAACTGCATTTTGCCTAGGAAGACCAAATCCTCTCTCCACCAGCCTTCAATTTCAGACTCCAGCAGGGAGCTGAATTGGAGGTGGATGTGCGTAGCAACTATGCACCAGTCAGTAGCAAGAATTCATTCCTTCATCCCATTCATTCATTCATTCATTCACTCACTTAATATTTATTTACCTATTTTCCAGGTGCTGTGTGAAGAATGGAAACATGCAACAATAAAGACACCAGTCCTGGTGGACCTGATGGCCTATGTCTGGTGTGGCGGGGGACAGATAAGTAAACAGATCGTCCTATACGGGGTAGCCAACGCTATCATCTGATAGAAGTAAGCATGAGGTACCAGTCAAGTATGCAAGTATCTGTGCATGAGATGCTAGTCAAGTATTTGTGTGTGCATGTTTGAAGGCTTCCTGGAAGAGATCACTGAAACTCTAAGAGTAGGTAGCCAGGTTAAGAATGGGGGCAGAGCAGGATATCTGAGGCAGTGGAAGCAATTTGAGCAATGTGTGGAGTGGAGAGAGAACCTGACTTGTTTGATAAGCTTGGAAGGTTAAGCATAGCTAGAACAGGGTATTGGAAGAGTTTTATAGAGGAAAAGATGACTAGAGGTAGGCTGCCAGATGTTCTCTCCCAAAATATTTGACCATCAGTGTAGCAGGGCAGATATTAGTGTGATTATGAAAACATATATGTGTGTGTGTATATACATATGTATGTATATTTAAATGCATTACATATTTCAATCAGTGATATGTGTTTTTCTAGGTATCTTTTTGGCATATTTTTAAGAAACACATTTCGAAAATTAAATGTAGGTGTGAACCCTTCGCCACACCCAAAGAACCATTCTTGACACTCATGCAGAACATTTTATGCCCCAGTTTGAATATCTGACTTTGGTTTATCTCACTGATACCTGTAGCCCCTCCAAAGTAGTGGTAGACAGAGCTGAGACAAGAAATTTCACAGCTTTTTCCTATTGTGGAACAAACAATCTGAGTTTAAAACATATTGACTTACTGAATTAAAGTAAGTCACTCCACCTCTTAAAGACTCAGTCACACATCCAATTTTCCAGGGGCCTGTGGCCACTGAGTGTCACAGAGTGTGGAAGGCTGTAGGGGCCAGTCCAGAGGAGAGACCACATGGCCTGATTGCCCAGTAGAAATTGATATTCACAAAAGAATGCTGGCTCAAAAAAATAAATTGAAAAAAAAAAAAAAACCCCAGCAACACAGTGAACAGGTGGCTTAGTATGGCTGGCCGTGCTTGCACTTTTTAATGACCTGATTTGTTTCCAAAATTTGTTTTAGGTAATGTATTAGTCTGTTCTCATGCTGCTGTAAAGAACTACCCAAGACTGGGTAATTTATAAAGAAAAGAGGTTTGATTGACTCACAGTTCCACAGGCTGTACAGGAGGCATGGCTTGGGAAGCCTCGAGAAATTTACAATCATGGCGGAAGGCAAAGGGGAAGCCAGCATGTCTCACATGGCAGGAGCAGGAGGAATAGAGAGCAGGAGGAGGTGCTACACATTTCAAAAAGCCAGATCTCATGAGAACTCACTCACTATCATGAGAACAGCAAGGGGGAAGTCCGCCCCCATGATCCAGTCACCTCCCACCAGACCCCTCCTCCAACACTGGGATTACAATTTGACATGTGATTTGGGTGGGGACACAGGGTCAAACCATATCAGGTAACAAAACTCCAGTCTCAAAAATGGTAAGTCAATTTTATTGCTATTATAATTCTTAAAACTGGTGTTGATGATGATGATGATAGCAGTTATTTGTACAGTAACATGCCCAAGACAAATCCCAAGAGAGGAACATAAACAAAATCAAGTGGGGAGATTTGACTTTGCCCAAGTTCTTCTCAACTAGAAATTTCTAAAGGTGTTTTGTGTGGAGTGCTGCGCTATGTGCAGTTTTCAGCTATTCAACCTCAAGGATGTCAAATTGTTGGAAGAGATTCAAAGAAGGATAATCAAACTTGGATGGAGCTGACTTAAAGAAATGGGCTAACCTCCAGAAAGAATGCCATTGAATCCAGAGAGAGGTGCCGTTGAATCAGCCCTTGCTGATGAAGCCTCTTCACTGTACTGCTCAGACCTCTCCATCCTGGTGGCAAGGGCTTAGACCATTATTCATGGTCTGACTGGCCTCGAGGTGGCTGTCTCGCCTTTGAAAAAGGGCAGACACAGAGCATGTTCAGAGCACGGAGCCATACTGTGCGATTTCTTCAAAGAGAGCTTAACCACAGGTTTGTCACAGACTCCTCTTGCTCCTTCCTTCCAATTTAGTCCTTAAATGTGGTCCAACTACAACAAGAGGGAAGTCTCACAATCTAGAATATTGGGGGTTTTGTCACTATTCATTTTTATTAATAGAAAACAAACCTTTATTCCAAATTTGTTATACTTGAAATTGCTAATTTAAAAAAATGAATTTAGGGCTGAGGTGGGAGGATCATTTGAGGCCAGGAGTTCGAGACCAGTCTGGACAACATAGTGAGACCCTGTCTCTAAAAACACTGGAAAAACAGTTAGCTGGGTATGGTGGCAGGTGCCTGTAGTCCCAGCTACTCAGGAGGCTGAGGCAGGAGGATCACTTGAGCCTAGGAGTTGAAGGCTGCAGTGAGCTATGATAGTGCCTCTGCACTCCAGCCTGGGTGACAGAGCAAGAAACTGTCTCCAAAACAAATATATTGAATTGAAAATAATCACGTAATAATCTTGCTTTGACTAAGACAATGAAACTGTGGCTTTTAAAAAAAAAGTATTTTAGCACCATATGCTCATTTGTCTTTCAGAATTTGGATTAATGAATGACGTAACTGCTTCAGGGCAACACACCCTCACTGCAGCTGCTTAGCCCAGGAAGCAGCAAGGTCAATACAAGGAGAGCCACAGGCCTGGGGAGATGCATGCCTTCCTTCCTGGCCACGTGGATCTCACTACTTAGCCCAGATGGCCTGCGAGAAGGACAAAGCCAAGCACTTCACAACACTGTCAGTTGCTGTCCTGAAGAAGGTGGCCAGGAGCTCTAGAAGGATTCAAAGCCCCAGGGATTTTTGGTTTTTATGTATACACTTCTCTTTACATACTTGTTCCTCAACATCCAATCAGCCTTGCAGGTTTGTCCCCGCTCCTAGCATTCAGAAACACTCAAGAGCAGGGTGGGTCAGAGCTCTCCACCACATACGCAGCAGAGTGAAAGAAGCTGCCCTGCAGGACAGCTCCAGGCTCATGGCCACCCCTCCTCACATGCATACCTCCTCCTCTTCCACCAAACAACAACAAACTCCTTCATGTAGCATTCACGCCCTCCTCTTGTGGCCTCTACCTGCCATCCCACACCAATCCCTTTTTATGTCCCCACAGGTACCCAGGAGTCTCCCCTAACTAAATTCCCCACTGCTTCTCCAAATCACCCCAATCCTACTTCCCACTGAAACTAACAAGAAGGGAAGGAAGGTGTTAACAAATGAAGTCTTCGAAGGAAGTCACCCCAAGAATCTGGGCCTACTAGTCATTCCCTAAGGCTCAGCTCTTGGCATTTGCTTCGTTCCCTGGGCCATTATTTTCATACTGTGAAGAAATTTCACCCTAGTCCCATTTTGGAGAGCAAGTGTTGGTACAGTGCTGGGTAAAGACCCTGACACCAGGTCCTGGTCCCTGGCCCAGAGCAGGGGATATGAAGGGAAGCCCCACTCACTGTGTGCTCCCTCACTGACTCCTCAAAGGAATTCCAGGAAGGGTGCTTTAGTGACCCTTTGGCTCACAGAGTTAGAGTGACCTGCCCAAGGCCACCCAGAGAATGAATGGTGGGACTGAGATCACACCTGGGCCTGCCTGGCTGCCAAGCCTTTTGCTATTTTCATTATTCCACATTTCTTTCCAAGGATACAGAAAGCAGGGATAGGAAGTGCTGTGGAAACAAGCAAAAAGCCTTATCCATAGTCAGCATCCAAAAAGTACTATACCTTCTCTGACCCCTGCTTTATTTATTTGTTTATTTTCAGGGATGATGTAATAGCCAGAAAAATAAGTGAACAGAAGATTCCGGGTTCTACTTTATGCCAATTTTTCTTAAATATCTCAGTCACTAGAAAAAGATCTATTTGAAAATCTTGCTCTGAGCAGTTTCTGTCTTGGGCCCAGTTGTTTGAGGAGCCTGTTGAATTTTTAAATTTATTAGTGTTCCCATGCTTCATTCATTGGCATATATGTATATTCTCTATACTTTATAATTACAAGTAAGCTCTTGATAATAAAAAGTAACTGTCATTCTGTGAAGCTCTTTAATGCAGCCAAAGATAATTTCAGGGGGCAATTGGCAGTCTAAGTCCTTGCTTTCTCTCATTTTAAAGGAGAACCAAATCAACTTAGAGTGAATTTGTTCAAATGTGGGTAAGATTTAACAGGCACTTCAGCTGCCCAGGGTACTTTTCCATGTCTCTCCAACCAACCCCACCCAAATAGCTTAGGATTGGCATTTTCTGATGAGCACAGGGATAGAGAATGAGAACGGAGTCAGGTCCTCAGGTATTCAAGGTTAGAATTCCTTCTTAACCTTGCCCACTATGCCCTATGTGGGGACATGCTACAGCAGAGATCACTTGAGAATTATCCTGTGGCTCACACTGCCATAATTAGTTATCTGTTCGGCACCTCTCAACTAATCAGAACAATGGCACATCCAAAAGTAAAAGGAGAAGAAAGGAGACAAGAATACAGCGACTGAATAATAAAATGGGTGAATCAGTTAGCAGAGCAAAAGACAGCACAGTCATAGGCTGGCTAAGGTTATACTTTTTGTTTTTTATTTTATTTTTTAGGCAGAGCAAGACAGTCTTGCTCTGTCACCCAGGCATAAGTGCAGTGGCATGATCTCTGCTCACTGCAACCTCTGCCTCCCGAGTTCAAGTGATTCTCATGTTTCAACCTCCTGAGTAGCTGGGATTACAGGTGTGCGTAACCACGCCTGGCTAATTTTTGAATTTTTAGTAGAGACGGGGTTTCACCATGTTGACCAGGCTGGTCTCGAACTCCTGACCTCAAGTGATCCACCCGCGTCAGCTTCTGAAAGTGCTGGGATTACAGGCATGAGCCACCGCACCTGGCTAGCTTTATTATTAAGCCCTGTCAGCACCCACAAAGAGAAGTACTGGGATGGCACAGACAGCGGAGACAGTGACAAAGACCAAGGTTAAGGCTGGAGTTATGTGGAAAAAGAAAATGGAATGAGACCAAGCAATTGGGGATGAAGAATAAAAAGCAGAACCAGTGACAGCAGGGAGCAGAGATCAGAAGGAACAAGAAGATACTCTGGAAGAATACAACCAAACAAGAAAAAGAATGAATTGTATGTGAACATTGAGTTTAGGGGCAAGCTGACTGTCTTAGCCAGTTCAGGCTGCTGTAACAAAACACCAAAAACTGGGTAGCTTTTAAAACAGAAATGTATTGCTCACAGTTCTGGGGGCTGGGAAGGTTAAGATGAAGCTGCTAGCACATTCAGCATCTGTTGAAGACCTGGTTCACTGATGGCGCCTTCTAGCTGTGTCCTCACATAGTGAAAGGGGGTGAATGAGCTCCATTGGGCCTCTTTTATTAGGACAATAATCCCACTCATGAAGGTTCATGATCTTATCACCTCCCCCAAAGCCCCACCTCCTAATACCATCGCTTGGGAGTTGAGGATTTCAACGTATGAATTTTGGGAAGGACACAAACATTTAGATTATAGCACCAGCTTACAAATCTCAATGGCTCCTGAGGTTGGCATCACGGGATTATAGAAAAGCACCATAACTGAGGCTTAGCATGAGGCTGAGTCATAAAGAGCATTTAAAGTCATGAATGTGTTATATATGGAAGACCACAGAGATGTGTCATAAGTTTTAGATGGATTTTGATACAGTATAGTTGAAATTTAGATTTTATCAGTAAAAGCCTAAGCATTGAGCTATTTGCAAGGATAACCAGTTTCCAACCATCCCAGATAACTAAAGGATAGTCAAAAAATCACTATCCAAAGGCTATTGTTGTTTCCAAAGGCACAGAGATGTAAAAGTGGGGCCACCTTAAGAAAAAGACATGGATTCCTATTGCTGGATCAGAGGGTCCAGGGGGAGGGGTGGAGGTGGTGTGGAATCGCAAAGCTCGGGAGACACTGAATGCATTGAAACAAGGGTGTGTCTTGAGCTACTTACGTTTTGGAAATACAATACTGGCAGGATACTATAGGAGACTGCAGTGGGAGAAAAATTGTCCGCAGGACCAAGAATAAGGTAAGGCAAGTGAGGTGCTTATCTCTGATGTAAAATTTAAGGAAGTGCTAAAACCCCAAGTTATTAATAATAAATAATATTTTAATGCAATATTTTTAGAAATAAATATGTGTGCACAAAATACATGATGAACAAAATATCAAAAAAATTTTATTATTAAAATATCAAAAATTTAAATCAAGACAGACTCAGCAGTGACAAAGGCAATATCCAGGAGAGGCTGGATGACTCAGAGAGATGTTTAAGAGGAAGGATTAAGTAACTGATCAAATGTTGCTGGAACAGTGAAACCGGGGAGACATGGGAGTCAAGGACAAAGCCCAAGTTTATGACTCAGGGGGACCTGCCAGTCACCAGCGTAGGGCAGTCAGAGAAGAGGTAGATTTACAGGAGGATGCGGGTGAGATCTGCCGTGAGTTTGTCACATTTGAGGTGTGCATGGGATATCAAAGGGGAGGAAATCTAGCCAGTGACAGGGCATATGGACCTAGCACTCAGTAGAGAAGTCTGGGCTGGCCATAAAGGGTGGGGATTTCTCACATGTAGGTGCTGCTGGGAGCTGTGTGTGTAGGTGAGCCTGACCAAAGAGCGAGTGTGTAGAGAAAAGACAACGGTACCGAACATAATAAAAAGTAGTAATAACATTGATTGAGGCTTACTCTGCACTAGCCATTCTGCTGAGTAGTTTATAAACATTATCTAATGATCCTCACAACAACTTAAAAGGTCTGTGTTATCATTAGCCCCATTTTCCAGTTGAGGAAATGGGCAGTTAGAGAGGTTAAGTAAGCCAGGATTTGAGCTCAGCAAATAAATAACAAAACCAAGCTACAAACTCAGGAAGCCTGAAGAGAGGAGGGAGGCAGCCGGGCTCTGGAGAGTGAGGCCCAGGATGTGGATTCTAGCTTCGTGGTTTATGGGGTGTGTGGTCTTGGCCAGCACTCATGTTCTCCTGGAGCCTCTGTGTCTTCATCTGTAAGATGAGGAGGAGATACAAATCTTACATGATTGTTGTGAGGGTGAGATGGGAAAGGTGAAGTGTCTGATGCATGGTAGGTGCTCAAGATGAGCTGGTACCTAGTGCAGTCATTAGGAATGCCCCAGTGTCATGCAAACATTTAAAGGGACTGAGTGAAGAGGACACTGGGAAAGAGAATATGATGGAGAGGTAAGAGGAGACCCTCTCTGAGAGATGGAATCAAAGGAAGGAAGGGGGGTGGGCACAACAGTTTGGTTTCGTTGCTAGATAGTGATGTCCTTAGCAGAAGCACCGGAAATGCAGTGGAGCAGTGGGGCATGAATTGATGGTTAGGAAAGAGAGCTAATGAGTGCTAACAATGCTTCCCAAAAGCTTGGCTCAGAAGGGAAAGAAAGGGAGGGATGTTGCTTGAGGGAGACACAGAGATCAGGCAGAGCTCTCTTTTCACCCACAAACGCTCCACAATGGGAGAACTTACAACATTTTTTTCCTCCCTGAGAGAAGTTCATGGAGAGTGAAAAAAAAAAAAACACCTGATCTAAAAATAATGATGACTTGCCACTTACAATAATTTAACATATTTTAAAGTACTTTTACATCTAATGTGACGTGGAGCCTTCAGAACAATCTTATGGAGTAGACTAGGCAGGTAGCATCCCCAATTCATAGATACTGAAATGAAGACTCAGGAGAAGATTGGAGATTCAAAGATGATCAATGTGGAAAGATTAAGAGACTCCCTCCTCACTGCAGCTGGTGTGCAGAGTTGAGGTAATGGGCAGATTCCAGAATAGCCATGAAGGGGCTGTGTCTGCAAGAGAGAGTTACTAGCGGAGGAAAAGGCAAGCTGCCTGTAGGTAAGAATGTGTGGGAGGAAGTGAGTGGGACAGAGAAGGGACTTTGACTCCTCCCTGACAAACTCTAAACCATGAAAGAGATATCTGAAAAGGGTTGTAAAGTTTAATTTTGTATTATGAATGTATGAAGACTTTGAAATTTCTTAAAACATTGAGATAGGAGTGGAAATGTTTGCAGTGTTTTGGCTTTTCAGAAGCCCTGGGTACATGGGTGTATTAGTTAGCGTTCTACAAACAGACAGAACCAATAGGATATATATAGAGAGATATGAGAGGGGGTTTATTAGGGGAATTGGCTCACATAATTATGGAGGCTGAGAAGTCCCACGGCAAGCCATCTGCAAGCTGGAGACTCTGGGATGCTGGTAGCATGGTCAGTCCATGTTCAAAATCCTCAGAACTGTGGAGGCTGGTGGTGTAATTCTCAGGCTGAGTTCACAGACCTGAAAAGCTGAGAAGGCAAAGGTGGGGAGGTGGACAACTGTGTAAGTCCTGGATTCCTAAGGCCAAAGAGCTTGAAGTCTTGATGTCAGGAAGAGAAGAGTGTACATGTCCCAGTTGCAGGAGAAAGCGAAGGGAAATCCTTTTCTCTCCTTTGTAATTCTCTCTGGGCCCTCAGCCTGACTACATTGAAGGCAGATCTTTCCCCACTTAGTCCACTCAGGCTCACACACTAATTGCCTCTGGAAACAGCCTCATAGACACACCCCAAAATAATGCTTTACCAGTTCTCTTGGTATTCCTTAATCCAGTCAAATTGACATCTGAAATTAGCTATCACATGGACATGGTGATATTTGGATTATATGTGGCTGGCAGTTGGGTAGCACCAGACTTGATCCCAGGTCTTCGGATGTAGAACTATCACCCTATCCACCAACCACATTGCTTTTGTTTGCAAGCAGAACTTTTGCTTTCCAGAAGTGGAGTAAAAACAAATTTTTTTTGGTTTTCATTGTGAGGATTCCAACCTTAACTCCACTGAGGATCATGAACAATGCTTCCAGAGAGGCAAAAGATTAGGGATAATTTGCATAATGCTAGTTAGTTCAATTTCATTAGATTTATTTAATAATCATTGAAGGCTGGATGTCATGCAGAACTTAGAGGGGATTGTGCAGAGAAATTAAAAGCAGGCTAAACTTAAATTGTTCATTGACGTCCCAAACCTGAAGCTATTAATGCTAGAACAGAATTAGATTCACCAGCATGTACCTGACGTGCCCTTTGGAAAGCATGTTAACCGTTTTACGTAAGAAGTGGCATTTCATCCAGGTTTACTCATTTGCATACTTGTGATTTCATTTGCATATATTTTACTGTGCAGTGCTCTGGAAATATATTCACTTATTTTATTCCCTCCTTTAAGTTCCTTACACCCTCTACAGTACCAAAGGACTTACATGACCAAATATTGAGGAAAATATTCTTGTTAGAAAGGATGACAACTATGGAGCTTCCCTATCCACCAATCTGCCATCAACATTCTCTTTGATTCTTTTAAATATCTAGTGGGCATGTTTTCCTATTTTCTATTTCCACTGCATCATCCTAGAACAGGACTTACTTACCTCCTAAACAGCCTCCTGGCTTCCAGCCAAAACCATCCAATTCAATCTATCTCCTGCTTTCTGCATACCTTCCCTAAAACACCACTTACCTAATACTCAGTGGCCTTCATAGCGATCTAATGGCATTTTTATATTAGGTTCATCACATTTCAAATTCTTAACGTCTGCCATGGTCACACTTCCAAAAATTTATAGCTGTTAGTATTTACAGCCATCTTCACTTTACCATTAAAGAGAAGTAAGACTTTTCTGACTTTGCTTTTCCCCTTCTTACATCCTCTAAGAAGGATTGTGTCCTTGCCTGCTCAGTTCCTCATGGGGGCAATGAGGAAAGAAAAGCAGAAAAGTATGAATAAGGACTGCATCAGAAGGGCTGGAAATTTCCTTTTCTTTCCTTATTATTTTTGGAACAGAAGAATATAGAGGTAGAAAGAAAAGGGGAGGGACTGGAAAGATGAGGGCTTTAAGAAAGGGTGAGATTTCAGGGAAAGACTTAGAGTTTAGAAAGAGTGGTTGAAAGTGAAACTTCTGCATAGCTTTCTAACTTGAGAGTGGCTAAGATAAAAAGTAGAGCTCTGCTGAGGTCAGATAGAGGGAGAGGACATCTAAGTATTAACGGAAAAACAGGACGTGGAGAGAGAAGTTAAGTGAAAAGTTAGGATATTGGTTTGGCCATTGTGACAATTATTGAAATAATAGTAGTATAAAAGAGATGAAAGCTTTATTTCTCTTACAAAAACGTCTGGTTTGAGGGTAGTCCAGGAGGTTAAGAGTGCTCTGTGAGATGAAAAAGGAGCCCAGGTTTCCTCTATCTTGTTGCTCTTGAAGGCATTGTCCTTGTCTATATGATCAGGGTTGGTCATCCCCTCCACATTCATATTCCAACCCAAAGAGGGAGGAGAGAGGAAGTAGAGCAAGTCTTCTTTTAAGGGCAGAAACTCTGAATTGCACACATCACTCTGTTGACATTCCGTTTGCCTGAACATCCTCAGATGGTGAAACCTACTTGCAAGAGAGGCAGGGCAGGATATTCTCTAGGTGGGCAGTTCAGTGCCACGCAAAACTCAGGGGAGTACATTACTAAAATAAATCAGGGAAGACTAAACAGAGGAACAATTAGCAGTCTCTGCACTTATAGTTAGATAAACAAAAGAGCCTAAATCTCAATAAGCTTGAGTTGGCTGCAGGGAGTTTGAAAGCTAATATGGTTTCAGATTGCAGAGGTGTGTGTGTTGGTTTTACAGGGGAGCAAGGCAGTAGAAAAGGAAATCTTATAGAGTAAATCTGTATATTTAGTGTAATTGACATTGTAATATAGCAGGACACACTCTGGGGTTCATGACTCTAGCTCATAAGTATGTCTTCAGTTCAGGGGTGAGCCAACATTTTCTGTGAAGGGACAAATAATAAATATTTCAGCGTTTGTGAGCCATGCAATCTCTGTCAAATATATTCAACTCTGCCATTGAATTACAGAGGCAGCCCTAACAATATGTAAGCAAATAGGCATGGTTATTTTCCAAGAAAGTGTTATTTATGAAAACAGGCAGTGGTTCAGGTTTGACCTGTGGGCCTTAGTTTGCTGCCCCCTGCTTTAGTCTATTGCTTCTGAATCTAGTATCTGGCCCCATCTAATATAAACCTGCCATCTACTACTTACTTATCAATTTATTTAACTGAGGATGCATTCTATGCTAGGCCCTGAGATACAAAAGTGAGACATAGTACCTGAAAACAGGGAGGTATTGTCTAGAAAGGAGATATACGAGGAAGTAATTTCAAAGCACCCTGGTAATTTCTACAATAGACATATGGGCCAGAATCTGTAGGAACATGAGGGAAGGTATGCCAAAGCTTGCCTGAATGTCAGGGAACGCTTCTCAGAGGTAAGGTATGCAGGGACCTGAAGACAAATGGAAGTAGCCCTTTCCAAGGAGGAAAGAAATTTAAGGGGAAGAAATGGCATGTGTGTGAAAATGAAAGAGTTTGGCATGTTTCTAGCACCACAAGTGTTCAAGGAGCAGAGGAGAAGGCCTAGGAGTTCAGACTATAAAGGTCATTTAGGATCATTCTAAAGAATTTTGCTTTTTCTTATAGATAATGAGGATTATTGAGAAAACATTCAATCAGGCAGTAATGGTTTCACATCTGAGTGTTAGAGTGATGCCTCCTGAAGGAGTGTGTGCCATGGATGGAAGGGGTGGAAGACTAGAGCAGGGATGCCAGTGAGGGTTAGCATGTGTTTAGGAGAAAGAGGGCAGGTGGCTGAAACTAGTGGCCAGCGACAGGCTGGTACGTTAGTCCATTCTCACACTGCTATAAAAAGCTACCTGAGACTGGGTAATTTATAAAGAAATTATAAAGAACTTTATAAACAAAATATGTTTAATTGACTCACAGTTCTACAGGCTGTACAGGAGGCATGGCTGGGGAGGCCTTAGGAAACTCACAATCATGGTGGAAGGGCAAAGGGGAAGCAGACATGTCTTCACATGGCAGCAGGAGAGAGAGAGTGAAGGGGGAAGTGCTACACACTTTCAAACAACCCAGTCTTGTGAGAATTCACTCACTATCATGAGAACAGCAAGGGGGAAACCACCACCATGATGTAATCACCTCCCATCAAGTCCCTCCCCCAACATTGAGAATTACAATTCAACATGAGACTTGGGTGGGGACACAGAGACAAACCCTATCAGGAAGTAAATTTAAAAAATTGATTCAAGAGATTTTTGGGAGTTTAAGGTGATATAAACTCTTGCAAATTGTATAGGGAGAAGAAAAATCAAGAATGACACCCAGAATACTGACTTGAGTAACCAAGTGCATGGTGGCACTTATCAAGACAGAGTAGAGGACACAGAAGGACTAGGTTTTGGGAATTTCATATGTATTTGATATGCTTATGGAAAATCTAGGTGGAGTCTATCATGCAGTTGTCAGTTGCTTGGGAGACTAGAACTACAGACCTAATCAACTAAGAGGCTTCATTTTGGGGTGGGGAAATGCAATTACTTACACTCCATTACATTCTGGAAAATGCAACTTACATGATCAAAATGAGCAAATACAGAAGTCCAGGGAAAATCAAAATATGGATATAAGATATAAAATCAAACCAAAGTCTGCCCATGTTTATAATAGACTTCAAATTTTGTGCTACAATTCCTTATAACCAATGCAAAAAATGAGGCAGTCGCTTGAATCACTGTATCTGTAGGACAAACATCAGTTATTTAGGGGAAGCCACTTGGTCTAGGTACTGAGACTTTCCAACGTGATGTGATGAGGAAATACCCCAACAATATCCTCATAGAAAATAAAATGTTTCATTGGACTTTATCTTTGGCTCTCAAAAAGGTCAAACTAAAGCAAAGTTGTACCAGACCACTTTTATATGGGTTCAGTCATTCTCAATTCATTCATCTTCTTCATAAAATGCCTAGGTCAATAACCCTTCAAGGGTGTTGTGATAGAGAACAGAACCAGGTGGGATCCATATGACCTTCTGGTTCCCAGCATAGCAATATCAAGAAAACAATATAGCCTTACAGACTGTTGTCTTAAAGAGGACGGTTTTCTTCTCTCATCTTATGGATTTTACTTAACTATATTTCTTTATATTTATACATTTAAATTGTTTCTCTGAAGAAGGTCAACATTACAGGGCAGATAGTTTCAAAGTCACTAGTTTTAGGCCAGAAAAACTTTTCTTGTTTAAAATGTTACAAATGGATCAGTAGAATAGCTGTTGCTATGAGCCATTAACTGGAACATGAGAATGGACTTGTACTGAATCATTATTATCCAGCACTTTTTCCTATTTCTGTAAAAAGGTTAGCTGAGTAAACTTAGAGTCTGAAATAGACAAGGAGCAGATTATCTAAATTAGAACATATGTTCATCACTTTTCTCCTCAAAAAAGAGCATCTCTCAACAATATGTTTCATCATCTTGATTATCCAGGTTTTGTTGTTCCCATCTAAGCAGAATCAGATCCCTCATGTGCACTGTGAGAATATCCTTAGTGCTTGTTGCAGTAATCTGCATTTATTTATAATTATCCTTCAACCTTTTATGATTGGAAGATGTTGGGAATTGAGTTGGTGAAGACACACGGAGAGATATGTGGAAAAATGGGGCATATGGATATAACAAAGAGATTTACTCCACTTGCTTTTAGCTTAGGTTTCTGATACCTTTCCTCATAAACTGTTTATTCTCATTTTAAAAATTATAAACTTACATCTGGAATTAAAGACTTTTTGTAACCTACAATACATGAAAAGAAAATGATCAAAGTGTAAATACACAGCATTAAAAATTGTTACGTGCAAATACTCAGGTAGCTATCATACAGACCAAGAAATATGATTTTGGCAGAATTCCAGAAATATCCCCCACCACACCCACATGTCTCTTCCCATCATCAGTTCCTCCATGCCACAGGAATCACGACTCACTTTTATGATCATCACTATGCACGCCTAAATATTGACTTTTTGAACTTTCTGTAAATGGAATCATTGAATATGTATCTTTTGTGTCTGATTTCTTTTATTCAATCTTATGTTTTTAGAATTCATCCATGGTGTTGTGTGCTACGATGCATTCATTTTCATTGCTGTGTTAAATTTCACTGTTTGAATAAATCCCAATTACTTATTCATTTTATTATGTATGGACATCTGAGTGCTTTCCAGTGTGGAGCTCCCCTGCCCCTCACTTCTTCAATCAGTCTTGTTGCTCTTTGGTAATGCGATTTCCACAATAAAAAAGGGTTGGAAAGAGGAGATGAGGAGGTTTACTTACTGTCAGCCATTACAAACCTTTTCTGGAAAACTATCTTCTATGAAGTCATTTGACCACACTTATCTTTTAAAAAATATATAATTTTAACTTTTATTTCAGATTCAAGGGGTACATGTGCAGGTTTGCTACATGGGCATATTGTGTGATGGTTTAGAGTACAATGGATCCCGTCACCCAAATAGTGAGTATAGTATGCAATAGTTAGCTTTTCAACCCTTGTCCCCTCTCCTACTCTCCATCCATCCCCCCTCTAGGAATCCTCAGTGTCTGTTGTTCCCATCTTTATGTCCATGTGTACCCAATGTTTAGCTCCCATTTATAAATGAGAACATGCAGTATTTAGTTTTCTGTACCTGTGTTAATTTGCTTAGGATAATGGCCTCCAGCTGCATTCATGTTGCTGCAAAAGACATGATTTAATTATTTTTAATGGCCGTATAGTATTCCATGATGTATATGTACCTCATTTTCTTTATCCAGGCCTTACCTTTTGATCATACGTGATACATAAAAAAGTGCCATGCAAAATGGTAAAACACTGAACATACTGAGTATTAGTTATTCTGTTATCACAATTTTTACACTTTTAAAACTAAGATTAACTAGTTAGCTAGCATTAATGAATGTGCAGAATATCAGGTATTGGGTGCTAATCCTCCCAAAGCTATACAAAGTAGAAACTATAATTATCCCCATTTTACAGATGAGAAACTGAGGCACAGCAGTGGAATCACTTACATGCAATCACACAGCTATTAAATACTGCATTTAGAATTCAGCCTAGATAATCAGATTTCATATTATTTTCTTAACTATTGCACTAAGTACCCTAACTAAGAACAAGCATGAGGAGAAAAGGTAGAACTTTTACTTCTGATCAGGTTACATTTGTAAGATCATATGATACTTAGTTCTTTCTTTTTTTTTTTTCTTTTTTCTTTTGTTTTTGAGATGGTCTCGCTCTGTTGCCCAGGCTGGAGTGGAGTGGCACGGTCTCAGCCCACTGCAACCTCTGCCTCTCAGGTTCAAGTGATCCTCCCACCTCCGCCTCCCGAGTATCTGGGATTACAGGTGTGCACCATCACACCCAGATAATTTTTGTATTTTTAGTAGAGATGGGGTTTCGCTATGTTGGCCAGGCTGATATTGAACTCCTGGGCTCAAATGATCCGCCAGCCTTGGCCTCCTAAAGTGCTGGGATTACAGGCATGAGCCACTGCACCCAGCCAGATACTTAGTTCTGATTTAAAAACAAAACAAAACAAAACAAACAACCTTCACATCGATACAACCACAATGACCTATGTTAGGGCAGAAGAAGGATTTGTAGGTAGGGTCCCCTGCAGCTTGTTAGGACTTCATTTTTCTCTCCCACCAGACCGAGTCCTGCAAACGTAGAAGGTCTCAAGAAAACCACTTCATCAATACTCACACAGGAGCAGATCCTATCGTCTACAGCCACAGCTTCCCAGCATTGGTGGAAAAGGTCAGCTTGCAATCAGTCAGCCCGTGGTAGGTAGTCTGGGCCACAAGGTTATAAGGTAAACAGCAATGACAATCTAAGCAGAGGCATTTCACTCCACACAAAATTTGCAATGCCTTCCGTAGGACCTGCCTGCTCATCAGCACTCAATAAATGTCTGGTGAATGAGCTAGAAGAAAAAAAATATAAAACTGGCTTGACTGATTTTATGAAACTGAATCCTTTTGCCGTTATTGAGAATCATTAGAAGGTCATTCTGAGCAAAGCTCTGATCTCCACGCTTTCCCCCTCTTTGGAAATGTGTTATTCTTTGGGACCTGCTGTGGGCGTGCTCATAAACAGTGCCGCACATCGTGCTTCCTGGCAAAGCATTTGTTTGCGGTTGTGTAGACATAGCTATAAATGTGTGGCATTGTCTTCTGGCATCCAAAAGCAAAAGCAGTGAATTAAAATCCTGATTTATTTGTATGTCTCCTCTCTTCAGTTGAATATCTTGTTCAGAAGAGTTATATTAATATGATTTATCACAATAAACAGCACGGTTCCTGCTTTAATTGATTTATCTTTTTCTTCATATAAAAATTCCCTATATCTGTTCTGCACCAACTTTAAATGTCTTTTTCACCCCATAGATCTTTGTTGGCACTGATAATTTCTACAGAGATCAGATTTTTTTTTAATACAGTCTGCATCTTAAATCATTCATTTTCTCATTTTCTAAGTGCTGACTATAATCATCCTTACTTTTACTGAAATTAGCATGAGTTTTAAACAATTAATCAAAAAAGAAGTGGAGTGGGTTTTTTTCTTTTTTAAAAAGGCTTTGCTGTTCTTTGTGGATGAAACAGTTGGTAGTTTGTTAAGAGATTTTTATCTGAGTTTAATTCCCTAGCTTTAATGTATTCTTAACTGTTCTAAATGAAATGGTTTGTCTTAAATGAAAGTGTATCTGTGGTAGCATAGTTATATCCAGTCTTTAAAATGGATCATTTCATTTCATACATGCTATAGAATCTTGAATTTCACCTTTACTCAGCTCAATTTCTTTACTAAAAATGACTGTTGCTCCAAATTCCTACATCAATGGATTGGCTATATCAAATTGTAGCAGTAATTGTTCATAAGTACATATTTTATAACATGTACTAATAGAGTAATAAAATATATTGCAATAACAATATGCTCTGCCTGATAGAATTTCATCATGAGACTCCATTAACACATTCAGCTGGTATCAGCTTGTGAAAATGCCTTCCATTGTGGTGGAAGGGAAATACTCTGTATGAGTGAATGGAGAAAATGGGCTTGAGAGAGGAATTTCTAGGAAGCCTAGGTAGAATGAAAGAATCAGAACCATGAATGGATGCTGAGCAAACATCTTGGACATTCATTGTGCTGCGCCTGCACTTTCCTACCCCTTAATCCTCACCCTTCGCAGTCCAGAGGCTGCCCTCAAACCTGAATAGAGCTGCTCTCCTAAGCTCACCAACCAGGCTCCTACCCGTGATGGCTTAACTTACTCTATCCTACTTTCCGCATGCAAGCATTAACCCTTTCTTCTTTGATTTTCCTCTTCCCTTGACCTCTGTGAGGCTAACTCTCCTCCTACTTTTCTAAATATTCACTCTGGCTCCTCTTGGGCTCCATGCTGCAACCCTGCCTGTACCCAGGTCCTCTCCCTAGTTCTGTTCTCTTTTGTCTGCTCTCCTTCCCTGGTTTGCTCCCCTCCATTCACCTCAACACCGCTTCCAGGGCTGACCTCTCTCCTGTGTTGTGGCACCCATGTGAGTGCCTGTGAAATGCAGGGAACTTCAACTCAGCTTGTCCCAAACCAGATGATGTTTCACTGTCCCCGACATCAGCTTTTCTTCTGAGGGCCGTTTTCCCTGTGCTTTTTACTCTGGTCTCCTGTGATCCCCTTGGTCTCTTTTAGTAGGAGTTTGGCCTCAGAATATGTTAGGATATTCCACCCACTCGAGTTGGGTTCTTCTGGCACCAGGCCTTTTGTTTGTTTTCCCTGTATTTCATTTCCAAGTTCAGTCCTCCTCATTTCAGCTCCTGGAATGTTGGGGTACACCCCCGAAATGTTTCCCTGATTTCTTTTTTTTTTAAATCTGACTTATCCTGCCCAGTATTGGAAATCAGTCCTCATAACATGTTCTCAGGCCAACCTCCTACTAAAAACAACTCCAGTGACTCCCTATTTTCTTCCAACTAAAGTTAGTGCAGTTTCTCCATGACTAAGCCATAATTTCTTCCTAGACTTGTTTCCCACTACTTGCGTATATGTGTTCTCTGTACTTCAGCAAAAGTTAATTGCTTGTAAACATCATAGTTAATGAACATTATTCCTGCTGTCTCTCAGGTTTTGCAAATATGTGAACATATAAAATGACCAAACCACATAAGAACCACATAATATACCCCATTTCGCCACGAGATACTTAATCAAAAACTTATAATTTTGAAAAAAATTAAACTTGTATTTTTACTTCTTTTAATTATGTAAATTCTCTGAAGAATTATGCTAAATTCTAAAATGACTTTCTTTTTCTGCATATTCTCTTCTTTTTGTGGAAAAGAATCTGATGGCTTAAACCTTGAAGCCTGACTCTCTCTTCCATGAATTAAAAGCTGTTTAACTTGCATGGATTATACACATATTCTTTTGACCTTAATTCTCTGACTGCATTTTCAGCTCTCTAGTCCTTCAGTTAGAAAATGAAGCCACATTCAACACCTGCTCTACACCTTTTACACACCATCTGAACCCGCAGCATGCCTCCCAGCCCCCAACCAGCCCCAGCCCCTCCCTCCCTGCCTGACCTTAAATTTTGTGTTTCAAAGACACCTCCTGAAACATAGAGCTTTGCCTTCTGATCTTTACTTTCTTACGTAAATGCACAATGCAACACATATTACCTTACTAAATTTAAATAAGTTATATATTTACAAGAATGTGATTTTTTTCTTAAAGAAAGCCAGACTTCTGAAATATCACCGACTTTCAATGATACCTTGTCAAGTCATTTTGATTGTCCTTCTGGAAAATCAGATATCCAAATATCCTGCATTACATTATTATTATTATTTATTATTACTATTATTTTGAGATGGAGTCTCACTCTGTTGCCCAGTCTGGAGTGCAGTGGCATAATCATGATCTCAGCTCAGTACAACCTCCATCTCCCGGGTTCAAGCGATTCTCATGCCTCAGCCTCCCAAGTTGCTGGGACTACAGGTGTGAGTCACCACGCCTGGCTAATTTTTGCATTTTTAGTAGAGATGGGGTTTCACCATGTTGGCCAGGCTGATCTCAAACTCCTGACCTCAGGTGATCCTCCCACCTCAGCTTCACAAAGTTTTGGGATTACAGGTGTAAGCCACCTCGCCCAGCCCATTGCGTTATTCTTAAAGTAGGAAATTTCTTTCTTTAGGACTCTCCATTTATAATCAGGTACTTGGTTGCCCTCAGGTCTCCCATGATCTATGAGCCAGGAGGATGCTAAGGAACTCACACCACATAACATCTGAGTGTTTGATTCCATTGCAGTTGGGTAATTGCCTGTGACCCTGCACCTAATCTGTGGTTTTCAATAGCGACAGGGATTTCTTCTACTTCTGACTTGGCTGAATCCATTGTGTAACTGGTGTGGTGTGATAGCTCTAATACGGAGAAAAATGAGTGACAATTCTCTAGAGGCAGACACAGGATTGATTTTCAACACAGGGATTGATTACATTTCAGGCAACTGACTGTAATTTAGTGGGGGAAAGCAGAGTCAATGAGGCTGATATAATGGTTTCCTCTACAAGCACCGATGCAATTAGCAACTCATTTTAATTGAAAAGGTACAGGAACTCTTGAACACATTCCTGTGGCCTTCATCACAAAACACAGGCTGCTAGGAAAAGCCAAGGATTCATTTGGTAACACTGTAATGCATATTTAGTAATACCAAGGAAAAAGAAACCATTTTAGTAGGTTCAGATATTGCTTTAAAAGATATCATCAGTTCAACCAGCTTTTAAGTAAGAATAATAAGTAGTTTATCTACATGAGATATTGAGGGTTATCAAGGAGATATTTCCGCTACCCAAAAAAAGACTCTAATCACACAGCTCTTGCCCCTAAATTTTTGCCAAATTTTCCAAATAGAAATTTATTTTTTTAGGGTTAAGGCATATGACTAATGAAGTCACTCCATAAATGCAAAAGGCCATTATGTTTTAGCAAACTTAAGTCACCTGGGATACTATCTCTAAGACTCTGATCCTGATTCACTGGGTCTAGAATGGGACACAGGAATGGAATTTGCATTTTCATTAAGTATCCTCAGTGAGTTGGGTATGTGGATTGTATTCTAATAAATACTGCTCTAAATATATAGATTATGTAATAATCCTAGGTATTAATTATTAAATATTTGAGACTTATTTCATATCATTTTTCCCCAACAGCATACTGGAAAATTGGAATAAAAAACAACTAAGATTCAGGAGAGGGTCATGGAGGAAAGAAAATGAGCACCATGGAACAGTTGCCTGAGAAGACAGGCTCAGGTTAGTGTCTCTGCAGGGAGCACTAATTGGGTAGGCAGAAATCAGAATAGGTGTGTTAGGGGCATGTGGTAGGCAACAGGGTCAGGACTAGGGTAAGGTGAATGAGGTATCTGATGGGATTCACTCTCAGGGCTGTGCTAGAAAAAGTGTTACCTTCAATTTTGCACCCCTGGCATGTCACTCACTTCACCCTAGTCCTGGCTTTGGTAGATGCTTCTGAAATGGCTCCCAAAGAGCCCACCTTCTGTATTCATACCTTTGACCATGTACCTTTGTGTGGGACTGGACCTTGTGACTTGTTTCTATTGAATCGAACTTAGTGAAGGTGATAGGTTAAGTTATAAAAGATCGTGACTTCCACCTTACACGCACTCTCTGTGTGGTTTTCCAATTCTGATGAAGCAAGTTGCACTGGTGAGATGCCCTGTTGAGTGGCCTATGTGGCAGGGCCTATGAGAGCAGCCTCCAGCCAACAGCCAGTAAGGAACTGAGGCCCTGAGTCCACCAGGCCCCAGGGAACTGAATTCTGCCAACAGTTACCTGAGTGAGCTTGGAAGTGGAGCCTTCCCTGGTTGAATCTTCAGATGAGATCACAGCCTCAGTAGACACTTTGATTTCAGCATTGCATAGGACCCTGAGCCAGCAGCCTCAGCTAAGCCATGCTTAGATGCCTGACTACAGAATCTCTGAGGTAGTAAATATTGTTGTTTTAAGACATGAAATTTTGGAGTAATTTATTATGCAGCAATCAATAACTAATACAGTGCCTAAAGATTTTGGTAGTGGTGATAGGGTGTTGATTTCTGAACCTGAAGAACAATACAAACAAGGAAAGGTAAGAAGTTAATGAGTACACACTGAATCCACGCCACAGTTTTTTCCAGGATGATCCTTCCTGCAGGGGTTACTTTTTCCTTTTCCTCACTTCCTCTAATCCCTGTCTTTCCTCCCAAAAGTAAACCGGAGAGTTATCAGCATTCACTGCTAAACTTTGAAATTTCTTCTATTAAATCTCCAAGATTATCACTATCATCACCCCCATATCTATCATGATCCTCTTTCCTGAAATTTGTCACAGTTACCAGTAAGATGGTGACTGTAACTAGTAGTCACAATGCTTGTATTTTCCACATATACAAATTCTCCTCTACCCAGCAGCCACAGTCACTAGAACACAAAAATTAAAATGTTGGACATTGTAAGAATGTGGTGCAATTAGGGCTCTTATTCATTGCTAGTGGGAATACAAAATGATGCAGCCACTTTGGAAAGCACTATGGTAGTGTCTTATGAAATTAAGCCTAAATCTGCCATGTGACTTAGTAATTGTGCTCCTAGGAAACTATCCAGGAGAAATAAAAACTTATGTTCATGCAAACGCCCACATTTAAAATTTATAGAAGTTTTATGCCTAATAGTCCAAAGTTAGAAAAACTCCAAATGCTCATCAACCAGTGACTGGATAAGCAAATTGTGGTGTATTCGTACAATGGAATGCAACTCGGCAAAGAAAAGGAACAAATTGCTGACAAATGCAACATGAGGACCCTCGATAGCATCATGCTAGTGAGAGAAACCAGGTGTAAAACACTATATACTCTGACTCCAGTTATGCGAAATTCTAGAAAAGGCAAAACTAGAGTGATAGAGAGCAGCTCAGTGATTTCCATGGGCCAGACTTTAGGGGAGGAGATTGACTGCAAAAGGATAGGGGGACATCTGGGCTAGTGAAAACGGTCTATGTCGATTGTGGTGGTGGTTATGTGACTGTATGCATTTGTCAAAATTCATTGAACTTTTAACCTCTATGGAAAACAGTATGGAGATTTCTCAAAGAAATAAAAATAGAACTACTAGTTCATCTAGCAATGCTACTGCTGGGCATCTACCCAAAGAAAAAGAAATTATTTTCTCAAAAAGACATCTGCATTCATATGTTTATGATAGCACTATTCATCATAGCAAAGTCACAGTATCAACCTAAGTGTCCATCAACAGTGGACTGGATTTTAAAAATGTAATACTTACACACACACACACACACACACACACACACACACACGCACACCATGGAATGCTACGCAGCCATAAAAAGGAATAAAACATGTACTTTGCAGCAACATGAATGCAGCCGGAGGCCATTATCCAAAATCAATTAATGCAGAAACAGACAACCACATATTCTCACTTATAAGTGAAAAGTAAACAAAGGGTACATTTGGACATAAAAATGGAAATAATAGACACTGATGACTCCAACAGAGAGGAGAGAGGGATGGGGGCAAGGGTCAAAAAATGACCTATTGGGTACTATGTTTACTATTTGGGTGATGGGTTCTATAGAAGCCCAAACCCCAGCATTATGAAATATACCCATGTAACACACCTGCATTTGTACCCCCTGATTCTATATTATTTTTAAAAAAGAGGGAATACATATACAAGCAAAAATAGACTATAAAGCTGATTACAAAAAAGATTTATAATAAAATTACATAGATCTTCTTGAAATTAAAATATAGTAATTGAAATGAAGAAAAATTCATTGAACTTTGAGGGCATTTATTGCATATAAATTATACATAAAAATTGTTTTAAAAAACTCTAAACTGCCACATAGAATCAAAAATTGAAGTATTTCAGGTTCTGTTTCTTGTCTTTACAATCATGGTATAATCATTGTTTATTTCAAATCCATCATTTAAATGCAATAATATATAGTACTACAGGGGCTGGAGACACATGAGCTGACACCATATGTACTGAGAGCCAACTATATAGCAGGATATTCCCTGAATTAGTTTCCATGTGGAGTAAAATGATTATTGAAGAAAAACAGTACAAATGTGCTACTTTGAAGCTTACATATATGTATTATTTAAAACTCAACAGTAACCTCAGAAATTGTTTAGAACCTAGTTCAATAAAATATTTTGGGGGATGAATACTTTATCACTGATATTATTTAGAATTGCTGGCTCATGGTGGTAATAAAAAATAGACCAACTTGTAGTCAGCTTTATTATTGTTTTCAAATTCTTTCCAGTGTACCCTCTATTCCCTGCCCTTTGCGGGATAGACTTGTTGTCTCATCACCTGTCCTTGATATTCTACTGCTACTCCTCATCAACAATTGTGGGTTACTGGGACTCTAGAATAATATCACAAAGCCAGAGGCCAGTCTGACTTGCAGAATCTTTGAAAACCTCATTATTATTCAAAGAGTATTATTGATTGCCTACCGCAACCGGGGGCCATTCTAGGTGCTAGCAATTTCAGGTGAAACAGTCTCTGATCTCCAGGACTTAAGTTCTGATAATGTATATTGACATTGTGAGTGCAAGCAATAGCATTTTCTCCAACAGTTAAAAGTAGTAGCCTTTTCTAAAAGTTACAGGTTGTCCTCTCTTCCTTCCCCTTTGTTTATCTTTCTCAGTGTCCTCCCAGGTGCACCCCTTTCTCCCAGCACCATAACCAATCACATTTCTTTAAGTTTCAAGTAAGGTCTCAAGTGCAGGGGCATATTATCATCTTAGAAGGGAGAACCAACAAATAGAATCTTTTGCCCAACTTAGATCTATTTGTCCTTCTTATGGACCTGTGACATTCACCTGTCAATCTGCTCTTACAAGCCTCTATCAGATGCAAGGTGCTTCTGAGATTTTTGATACAGGGATGCAGCTTAGAATTGTAAGTGGCCTCCTTGATATTCTGCATCACTAGATAAGGCTTACACAGCAAATACCTATGCTCATCAAAAAAAAAAGTCTAAGATAAAAGTGCAGGCAAGCAGTTCAGAGGGGATAAAAGGCCCATTGTGAAAACAATGGGAAGGCTAGTATAGGCCAAGTTAGGTCTCCCACCAACCTCTCTGCTTTATGAGGGCTACCACGCAGCTCATCCCAGTCCCACTGGAGTCTTTTCTTCTTCTAAGCCTATGTAACAATTTCTCACTTAGAACTGTAAAGGTATTTAGAATACATGTCAGGGCCAGAATTTGCAGAGGTCAAGAAGCTTCTTTATGATTAAGTGAATGACCCCAGCAAGGTCAGTATTAGCTTCACCAAGACTTCTTATCAGACTAGTGGGCCAACCACACTTCCCATTCCTCCCAAAGAAAAGTCAGATAGGAGCTTGGAAGTAGTGCTGGACCTCAATACTAGTGTTCAGAATCTCATGACAATTTTTATATCTTATATGTTCATGATTGCAAAGAGAAGATAATGATTTTTTTTCTGATAATAATGCAGCATATTCCTTTCAGATCAATGTTAGCACATCCCTTGTCAATAAAATTTATATTCCACCTCAACCAATTCCTTTCATAGGCATCAGCTGATTTGAATGGGGTGACGTATTTTACAATGATGAGGAAGAAGCATTTTTTTGTTTTGACTTTACATGAGCACTGGTGACTGATTTTTAACACACACACACACACACACACACACACACACAAAATCTCTGGTGATGAAAATAACCATTAAATATAACTAATGCAATACTATGCCTTTGTATGATGAACTGACTCACTGCTTAGTATAGTTTTATGTGCTTTGCTTAAAACATTTGAGGCCACAGAAAGGTTGGACATGAAATAAAGTCTTCGGGGTTATTTCATATTCTTTTAAGAGTGTTTCTTCAGCTGCCAGGGAAAGATGTGTGCATGAATTCTCTTACCCATGTCAAGGCCAGTTACAGCTCCATAAAATCAATTCAGCTGTGGTAGACTGATAAGTGCATGTTTCAAGATGACACAAAGTGATCAAGCCAGGTGAGAACTAGAAGAGCTTTGGGGCTAAATTAAATGCCATTGCCTGATGGGGAAGAGGAGAGGAAGGAAATGCACAGGCCAATTGTTGCTGGGATGATATGATTTTGTAAGCCCTCTATGATCAGTGTTAATCCTGTGTTGTTTTGTATATTTTCAAAATGTATACATGATAGTTTGCTAGAAATGGTCACCCAGTGACAGAGGACCTGGCCCTTTCTGGTCACTTGTCCCCTTTCACTGTTTTGGGGACTTCTCTAGGAGGTTCTAATCCAAAGTAAACTTTTACTTTGAAAGCTTTAAAAGTCCTTTTACTCTACGGATGTTATGTGGAAAGGCTTGCTTACTCTCGGCTCCATTGCTCTTAAACCTCTTGGTCTTGCTGGCAAAATTTATATGAATCAGAGATTATTTTTAGGTCTGGGGTTTATATTAGAAATTATTCACTGTCATTCAACAAATATGCACAAAGCACCCACTAGATACCAGGGATACATGGGCAAACTTCCTGTTTCTGAAAATGCTGCCAAGTCTCAGTTCCTGAGCACTTGGCGCCTTTTACTTTGGGCCCTAGGTAGAACCACAGATACAGGTAGTACTGATGGACATCTTCTTGTCATGGCTGAAGTTTTCCGGGGAATGGTTCTTTGAGGAGCTACCTTGGCTGAGGCTCTCTTGGTTGAATCTCTAAGTACAAGAGCATAAGACAAGGCTTCCCGTTGAGTAATATAGCCTAGGGGAAAGAAATGAGAGAAACTTCAAAATCAACAATTTTACAAGGCAAATAAGAAAACAAAACTGCAAATATTTACTTATGTGTACAAAATTTATTCTACTCTTGTGGTAAGCATGCCCAGATTATATGATCTTTGAAGATTGGAAATATATTTTTCTTCTTTTGTATTTCTCATTCAATAAGTTAATAAACACTTGGTCGTTGATTAACATGTCAGATTATTTGGAAAGGGACTTGAGCCATGATATCTTCGATATCAAAACTTTCTTCAAACCAGAAAGATATATTTGATCTCTCTCAGTGTTTCTCAACGTGTAGTCTGCAGACCACCAACTGGTGAATCATTGGGCTGAGGCCACATGCTTTTTCAAAATCCTTATTAAAAATGCAGATTTATGACTCTAAAGACCTTCTGAATCAGAAACTCAGAGGGTTAATCTTGGAAATCTGCATTTTAATAAGGTACCTGGTGGATTTTATGTGCACTAAGCATTGAATACTTCTGTTTCTGGATTCATTGGCTTCTATGCAATTTTTGCTCTAAAAACAAAGCTACTAGATGATGCTTCTAGTGACACTTCAGACAATCATGGAGACCAGACTGAATCTCGGCTTCTCTGTTTACTATTAAATACTTGCATGACCCTGGTCAAGCTATTTAACTTGTTCATGTTTTAGTTTTCTCTTCTGTAAACTGTAGGTCATAAAGACACCTGCCACATACAGGTGTTTGAGTGTTAAATACAATACCTGCAAAGTTCTTAGAAGAGCACCTGACACACAGGAAGTCCTCAATAAAAGGTAACTATTGTTATTGTTTTTATTAAATCAATTGCAAAAACCATGCCTTCCTTTTGTGTAAATATAAAAACAACAGCATAAAGTAGATGTGCTAAAGCCAAGTGAGTAGATTTTTGTTTAAAAAGCACTCTAGTGGAGTTAGGAGAACGGTATGATGAAGGGCAGCCAGCAACTGAAAGCATTTCCTGCAAGAAAAGGGACTTTACAACAATTAGCCTTTCGGTAAGTTGATGCTTATAATTTGTGAAGGTCTTTCACAACCATTATTTCATTTGTGCTTTGTAAAATCTAAAGAGGTTGAAAGAAGAGGAGAGACAGCAGAGGATGGGGCTGAAAATGTATAATCTTTGGAGGTGACAGCTCTGGCTTGAAGTCCTAACAGACATTTATTACCTGTGTGTGATCTTAATCAAGTTACATAACCTGCCTGAGCTTCCATTTTCTACAGCCATAAAGTGGAGAGAAAATGAGATATTGTATGTAAAGCTCTTAGCACAATGTCTGGAACGTGGTCAGTGAGCAATAAATGTAACTATTATTGTTGTGAATAAACCAAGCCTCTGAGTTTGCACACAGCAAGGAGCTGAGCTGTGCTTTGAGCCTCGCCTGGTTTTCTAAGCCCAGACCCATTGATTTACTTGATTAAGTTCTCACAAATCTCAGAGAGTTAACATTTTATCACAATCCATACTCGAATTTCTTTAAACCCTATTAATTTACCCATAAAACCTTGCTTTCCATTGTCAAGAATAAGCACTTTGAAACTTGGCTAACCAGCTATGTTGATAAAATAGCACGCCAGTAGATGCCATTGTGCTTGAATTATTTATCTGGAAACGACTTCTGGCTACAGCACGAGTTGATTCCTTAGGTGCTTAGTTTGGATCACGTAGTTAAACTTACCAAGCAGCTGTTGGTGCTGAAGGCTGTGAATGTAGCGGGTCTGCAGGGCCTCCCACTGGGGCCTGGAGTTGTAAATCCTCATAATGCTGTAAAAGTAGCGCTGTTGCCCTTGGTTGAGGGCCTGTTGGAACAGAACAGGTGATTTTGATGAGTGTGTGGAGTTCCACAGCATTCAAATTGTGATACTCAAAGCAAACTTTTATGGAAATAAGAGGCTTTTCTTGCTAACCATATGTTTTTTTTTTTTAATGTGCAACAATTGGAAAATAACAACTGGGGAGTTTCCTCTCTTCATTTGCTTAAACAGTCTTCTGCTAATCTGTATGATGATGAAAATATGTGAGTAAAAAATTCTAGGTAATTGTCTTGAACTGAGGGACATCTAAGGATTTCCAGGATCTTATAATTTCTTTGATCCTTATTGAGGAAAGTAGGTTGTAATAAGCTACACAGAGCTGAAGTATGCCAGGCCTCTGGACTGGTAGAAAATTTTCCACTGTAAGTTCTCAGTAAGCAAGGGAGATAGATGGATGAGTAATGTGGTAAGGGTTCATTATATCATTAGTAAAAAGGTGCCATGAAAACAAACAATGTAAACAAGCAGTCAGGGAAGGTTTTCTAAATGAGATGATCATCTTATCTGAGTCTTAGATGAGGAGTTTCCTTAAGGGACTAGAATACTGGTTCTCAAACGGCATACACAACATCTGGAAACCTGCTAGAAATTCTAACATTTTTTCTTTTTAGTTCAAAGGGAAGAGAGTCTGATTGTGAAAAGACTGTTAGGGGAAGATGATGGAAACCTTTTAACTATGTTGAGTTTAAGGATTAAATATTCTATGAGGAGCCACCAAAGGTCTTTATTTAAGGCAGTGGCTCTCAACAGGGATGATTTTGACCCCAGGGGACATTTGGCAATGCCTGCAAAATTTTTTTATTGTCCTAATTGGTGGGAGGAGGAGGGGGTGCTCCTGGCATTCAGTGAGTAGAGGCCTGGGATGTGCTTAGCATCCTGTAATGCACAGGACAGCTTCCCACGCCTTTCCAGCAAATGATCCAACCTGAAACACCATACTCTTAACTGACCAGATTTGCATTTAAAAAAAAATGGCCATGCAGTGGAGAATGGGCTTGAAGAAAGAGACCATTGGTAGAGAGACCATTTAGAAGGCTACTTTCTTAAAGGTAGAAAGAAACAAGAAGTGTCAGGATTTCAATTACTATTGCATACCTAATATATCTTAAGTGTTCATTATATACGGTGCTCAACATTTTGCATTTGCATGTATTTTGTATGCATAATCTCTTAAGTTTCAACAGTCCTATGAGATGAGCAATTTATTGTGTTCACTTTACAGATAGGGAAACAATAGTGGCATCAACATTTTAGAAAAATTAAGATAAAGTAAGTTCACCCTAGGCCAAAAAATTCAAAACGATAACAGAATTTTCAAAATGGGTTGATAACTATGCAATAAAAACTAAACTTAAGATAATTATATGTAAAGGTAGAGTAAGGTGACTTTTACCTGTTAGACATTTTGTGTGGGCCTGAAATCTGTGAGTTAGTGTTTTGTTTTGTTTTTGGTTTTTTTGGCCTTAAACTTAGTATCGAAAATATATCTAGAGTGAAAGTAGCAAAGCCAAGTACTTCATAATTTGAGACATTATTTCAGCTTTAGTTTCTGAAGTGGATGTTTTAAAGGATAACATATTTGAAGAGAATGAATTCCACTCCTGAATAACTAATTTTGCCTTTTAAAATGATTGAGAACAAGATAATATGAAAATTGTAAGCCAATTTCAAGAGCAGGACTCCAAAGTACAATGGGAGTTTCCATAGAAGATAAAAATCTTAAAAGTGATGATTTTATTTTACAAAGCAGAAAATGCCTACCTCTTTTCCTTAGTAAAACCCTAAACTTCCTAAATGAGAAGTAACAGGTAACATTACTAATATTTTTACCTTGTTGTTGATCCTTCCTTGAGGGTTTGGGAGAGAACTGAAAATTTTTTTTTTATTTTTAATTTATTTATTTATTTATTTTTTGAGACGGAGTCTTGCTCAGTCACCCAGCCTGGAGTGCAGTGGCGCGATCTCGGCTCACTGCAACCTCTGCCTCCCGAGTTCACGCCATTCTCCTGCCTCAGCCTCCTGAGTAGCTAGGACTACAGACACCCGCCACGACGCCCGGCTAATTTTTTTTTTTTTTTTTTTTTTTGTATTTTTAGTAGAGACGGGGTTTCACCATGTTAGCCAGGATGGTCTCGATCTCCTGACCTCGTGATCCACCCGCCTCGGCCTCCCAAAGTGCTGGGATTACAGGAGTGAGCCACCGCGCCCGGCCGAGAACTGAAATTTTTACAGCGTATTTATGAGAATGGCTTTAACTAACTTTGACCAAAAGGAACTAACAGCTCTCCAACAGGGAGCCATAGTGTGGCCAATTAGTGAGTTTCCCATCACTGACAGTGGGTCAGCCACGAAGAGGTGACCGTCTACCAGAGCTCCTGAAATGGGACGAGTGTAGGAGGTTACCCAAGTGCTCATTCGTTCACTCATGAATGGCCTTCAACATGCAGCAAGGGCTTATTATGCGGCCAATATTCTTCTTAATGCTAGGTAAACAAAGACAGCAGAAAAAGTCCTCAAACCTTGAAGGAGAGACAGACAGGTCACTCTATCTGTGAAAAAAAAAAAAAAAAAAAAGCCATACCTTTAGTAAGGAAGTGTCATAGATGGAGGGAGGAACTCGAATAAAAGGAAGTTGTGGAACATTCCAAAGCTTTTGTTGTCTTTTCCAGTTTTGTCCCATCGTTTATCCTATACCTCCAAGAAACAACAAAGCATAGCATAAAATTTCTTTTAGCTCAACCAATTTTGGGGATGTACTTAAGTAAATAAGTAAGCAAGTAAATGAATTTTTAAAAATGTAATTTGTTCTAAGGGATAAGAACATTTGCTCACATTTCCAAGTAATTGGACATCACCAGACTACTTAATTCCACACATTTTCCTATTCTCACCCTTTATATATAAAAATAATTATTAATTATTTGTGAAGTTAAGGAATAATTCAGAGCCCTTGTCTTTCTAACTGTTTGGAACAGGTGTGTTGTAGAGCATACTATTTTTATAGTAGTAATTTTTTGATAATTTTAAATAATATTGATTTTCATATCTGATTCTAAAAGTAATATATATTGTTTTGGAAGATTTGGAAAAATTTAAAAATTGAAGAAGAAAATAAGATTACTCATACAAGTTGAGCATCCCAAATCTAAAAGCCCAAAATCTGAAAAGCTCCAAATCCAAAACTTTTTTAGTGCCCACAAGATGCTTAAAGGATATGTTCATTGGAGCATATTGGATTTTGGATTTTTGAATTTGGGAGGCTCAACTGGCAAAGATAATGTAAATTTTCCAGAATCAAAAAAAAAAAATCTGGAATTCAAAACACTTCTGGTCCCAAGCATTTTGGATAAGGCATACTCAACTTGCATCTAACTATCCATAATTATTGTTAGCATTTGGTTGATTTCCTTTTATTTGTTTATTTATTTATATGTTTTTTTGAGACAGAGTCTCACTCTATCATCCAGGCTGGAGCACAGTGGTGCGACTATAGCTCACCGCAGTCTTGAACTCCTGGGCTCAAGCCATCCTCCCACCTCAGCCTCCTGAGTAGCTGGGACTACAGGTACACACCCCACACCCAATTATTTTTTAAATTGTTAGTAGAGATAAGATCTCCCTATGTTCCCTGGGCTGGTCTCAAACTCCTGGGCTCAAGTTATCCTGCACCTCAGGCTCCCAAAGTGCTGGGATTACAGGTATGAGGCACCATGCTGAGCTTCACTTTCCTTTTATTTATTTATTTTTTTTTTCTGTGTACATTGTGTGTAATTTTAGAAAAGGGAGATCATAATTTATACATTTTGTGCACTTTCTCAGATCATTAAATATTCCTTAAAAATATGATTTTTAGTGGCAGTGTAGTATGCCTTTACGTCATTCTCCACTTCTTGCAATTTAGATGTGCAATTTTATAGCATTGTACTATAAAACTATTAAACTTGTCATGTTTCCACTTGCCTGAGAAAGATACAGAATAATAGAGTCACATTTGCTATGATTAAGTCTCCTTTCCTGGTGATTTAGGGTTTAGAGTCTGAAGTGTGTATAATAATATGAATTTAACAATCCAGCAAGAATAGACATATTGGAATAGGTTGCCAAATCACAAAGTGCAAACCCAGAGTATTTTCCCCTCTGCTTACTCCTTTGTCTTTGTTAGCAGTGTGAATTACTGAATGATAGAAAGTAAGACCACAGCAAATCAAACATAGTAACAATCTGCTAAACGTAGATTATTATTAATACCTGCACGTATATTAACTGAAGAAAATAAACTGTAATAGAGGCTGTATGGCCTTTAGAACTAGAAAGACTTGAGTTTCTTTCCTTCTGTAAGCCTCAGCCCTCTCATCCTTAAGACAGCAGTTACAATGCCTACCTCACTGGGTGTTTGATTCACTGAAATCGTGAATATAGAATGCTCTCACTTTATGCCAGTTTCTTCTCTCTCTACCCGACCTTCACGCATGTTCATGCACACAAACACATGCACACTCATAGGTTCATAAACATACACATGCTTAAGGAGTATTGTAATACATGTGGAGACTGATTTGAGTTCACACATCGAAGGTTCCATTCTTCCAGAAGAGAAATTTATTAGGAAAACATTAGTCAACATCTCTGTGTGTACTGTTTCTGCTATATAAATGTCTAAATTAAACTGTAAATATTTTAGTCAGTACTGCTTTCCTTTAATGTGCACTCCAGAAACCATACCAACCAAGATATACTCCTGTAATATTCTCTGTGATTGACACCTACGCTCTATCCTGTACTCAAATCATTTCAATATCCCTCCTCCCATTTTCCAGATCTGTAGAACAGAGAATAAATATGCTTCAAGCTGGAAAGATTTCTTCTCTCCTCAAATAGCATAAAGAAATGACTGATGCTCTTTCTTATGGCAACAATTCATGTGTGCTTTTCTGGGGCTACTGCTGAATAAATTTATCTTACCTATTCAAGTGGCCTATACCTGATAAAATTTGATTAAAATACTCATGGAATTCAGGGAGAGAAACATCTACAAAATAATATATCTGAAACAAAAAGACAGATTTGCCTAAAAAGAACTTACCCTATACTGTAGTTCCCCCACTTTTAAAAGCTGCCATTCCTATTCAGTGTAGTTTTCTTACGCGGACTCTGTTTATATGCTGGTGGTGGTGGTGGAAGTCTGTTGATAAGCTGATATCCAAGCAACATCATGTGATGAAACAAAGAGCTGGGGAAATCTGGCTGCATGCCTTTCTTCACTTCTGGGTAACATTCAGCTACACAGTTTGATATTTTTTCTTCCACATTTTGTGTCTAATCAAGTGTCATCTTCTAAATCTACCATATCTGTGTTACATGCAGATATCGGGGGTAACATGCATAGAGGCAGAGATTCTAAATATTAAAGGTCAACAAATCCATCAGGGCAATGGGCCATGACATAAATATTTCCAAAATTTGGAGTCAGTAGTCCCCTTCCTCATTGCTCAGGATGATGAAGGAAGAGTTCCTGAATATAGAGGTATGGGCATGAATTTGCCTGTGGTAACCTATGAAATTATTCCATAGTTTAAGCTAAGTTCCCTTTCATTTTGTGGGGGAATAAGATATTCTCCATATTTTATCTTAATTAGAGGCTACATATGATGATAATTAACCTGTGGCGTAAGACTAGAGCCCACACTGACCTCATCCTTTCTTCTGTGATAGCATTATTCTACTGGCTTCCTTTCTTTCTCAAGTGTCCTCCTTCTGAATGCCAGCTTATCTGCAAAGATGAAGAGTTCCTAAAGAAAAGGGAAGAAGAAATATCAAAAGAAAATACATTCAAAATTCTTAGGAGACTAAGGGGAAGAAAAAAGCAGGGAGATGAGAGTGATGAATCATATGCCTTAAAGAAGAAAGGGCTCAACAGATGCAAAAGTCTTGCATTTTTTCCCCAGTAATTTGAATGCAGACCTCCTGGGAAATAAGCACAGCACAAACAAGTGTCTTTAAATGCCAGTAAATAACATAAAATCTTTCACTGGATCTGAGAGGTTGATGATTCTTTACCAAGAGATAAAGAACAGTGGTGTGCAGAGTTGACATTGTCAATCGAGTCTTCCTCAAACGTTTTTCCAGGATATGATGAAATTCATTCTGGGTGCACTGCATCTGCTGATGTTGCACACACATGCTGAAATTCCTACCAGCTTGCCTTGGACGCTACTCAATCAGGAGAACAGTAACAGATCTGTGTTTGACAGAGGGCATTTAATGTAAGGAATCTGTTATGAAAATATAGAAATGGGTTAGAGGAGTAAAACAAGAAGGGTTAGGTTATCCAAGGACTGGCAATTGCACTAAACTGTGATTGCACATAGAGCTGGAGGACAATAGGGAAAATGATTTTACCCACAGCCCATGGACACTGTGCCATAGAGGCTGCTTCCTTTGGAGAACTGCTGCCTGAGCAGCGCCTCAGGAACCTGTGCTCACCAGGCACCCTTGCTTCTATGTTCTTGCCCAAACTGCTAATCTTGCTGTTGCTGTCACCACTGTTGCTGTCCATGTGGCTGCTGCTGCTGGCACTGCCACAGGTGCAAGCAGAAAGTATTTTTAAAAAATGGCTTCTTCCCTCCAGCCTTCATTCATGTCCTGCCCTCCATTGGATGCCAGCTAGCAAGGGATTTTGGGAAATGTATTTTGCAGTCTTCCTACTACTCTGATAAACAGAAGGGTATAGAAGAATCAACATGAGGCCGACAGATGGTGGACACTCTCTAACACAAACACAAATCTAAGAGGTACCTTTGGGACCTATGAAGTCAGGCAGGAGGATGAAGGACTTAGACATACAGTCAATGTTTACCTAACATCACTGAAAGTTGTCAATTTATAAGAAAAGAGGAAATAAGATAAAACTAGCTATGTAGATGGTATCAAAGAATGAGATCTAAATTTGTAGACATATTTTAAAATATAAGAATGAGGGAGTAATGCATATCCTAAGTTTGGGACAAAAAATGTTTTCCCAAAGACTAGTTTAACATTTCAAAAAGGATTTAAACTGATTACAAAAAAAATGGGAAAGAAACACCCATAATCTAATTACTATAGGGAATACAATGTCAACTATTAGTAGAAAAGTTGTACTATTTCACAGTTAAAATATTGGTACAGCAATGAGACTCACTGCTTAAGACATTGGCTGTTTAGAAGGTGGGTGATAAAGTGTTTTCATGGAATATCAGGGTAAATGTGACCTCATGAGTGATACCAAGTGAGGAAGAGGGACTCCTGATTGGAATCCAAGATGAAGTTAAACTCTAATTCAAAGAAACCCACCTGCTAGAGGGAGAGTGCCACTGTACATCATGGAGGTACACACTTTCCCGAAAAACTATGAACCCGGAAGGAAATGCTCTGCTCACATCCTTTTGCCAGGATCCTCTTAGCTGCAGAGATGTCTGTGAGGTTGTCTCTGCCAGGCACAGACATGCTGCTTGACTATCCAAGCCCTCAGAGGACCTCCATGCTCCTTAAGGAAGAGAAGGCAGTGTCCCTCTCCCCACTCTACTGCTGTTTATCCCCTGGACTCTACTTAGTCTTCTAGAGTCTTGGTTGAATTTCATTTCCCATTGAGCTATGTAGTCCCTTGAGCTCAAATTTTTTGGTGGGGGAAGAGGAGTTAGTTATTCCTAATTATCTTGTTTTTTCTTTGACCTCTTCATAGAAAACCCCTACTTTTCTGAGATTCCAAAACAAAAGCTGTCATATACACCAAACCTATAGGAGCCACTGGTCACAAAAATAGGGATATTTAGAGTCAGTCTTAGTTTGGATTATAAGAACCACTTTTAGTGAGTGAAAACTACTTGGGACACTTAGAAGCAGTGATTATCGGCAAAAGAAAAACTGGATGTGGTCAGATACGTGCTAAGACTTTGGAAAAACAGATTTCAAACAATTCGGGAAAAAAGTCTAAAGTGGACTTGAGAAGGGAATATCCAGAGATTTAGTTTCAACCCTATAATCTCAAATAAAATCTATAGAAGAAAGAGATAAGATATCAAAAGATTTGCATTTCTCTGATGGCCAGTGATGATGAGCATTTTTTCATGTGTTTTTTGGCTGCATAAATGTCTTCTTTTGAGAAGTGTCTGTTCATGTCCTTCGCCCACTTTTTGATGGGGTTGTTTGTTTTTTTCTTGTAAATTTGTTTGAGTTCATCGTAGATTCTGGATATTAGCCCTTTGTCAGATGAGTAGGTTGCGAAAATTTTCTCCCATTTTGTAGGTTGCCTGTTCACTCTGATGGTAGTTTCTTTTGCTGTGCAGAAGCTCTTTAGTTTAATTAGATCCCATTTGTCAATTTTGTCTTTTGTTGCCATTGCTTTATATTCTCACTCATAGGTGGGAATTGAACAATGAGATCACATGGACACAGGAAGGGGAATATCACACTCTGGGGAATGTGGTGGGGTGGGGGGAGGGGGGAGGGATAGCATTGGGAGATATACCTAATGCTAGATGACGAGTTAGTGGGTGCAGCGCACCAGCATGGCACATGTATACATATGTAACTAACCTGCACAATGTGCACATGTACCCTAAAACTTAAAGTATAATTAAAAAAAAAAAGATATCAAAAGAAACTAGAGTAAGTCCACTGGGAACTCACAGAGAATTCTAGACTCGAGGTCAGGTTATTTTTAAAGATCATAATTTACCAAAAAAGATTTTTAATTAGGGACTAGCAATGGTTCTCTAAAACAGATCCTAATAAGCACAACTGTTAAGTAGGAGAGTCAGTACTCAAATCCATGATTTTCTGAAATCTATGATTTCTTCCCTTGATCTCTGGAATGAAAAGGGAATTCAAGCAGCCCACACTGTGCTATAATAGAACATTATCCCTTTTATTCAGTCATTACCTACAGACGAAATTCATGCATCACAATTCTTTCTGTCCTTGGGTATGTTCCGTTCCCACCTGGAATACTGCTTGGCTGAATCAGGGGAGGTTTCAGTTTCACAAAGACGTATGGTCATAATTCTGGAGCAGGGTATTAGTCTTACTATGCCGAGTCATGGACCTTCTAATAAAACTCCTGGAAAGTCTTCATGCAAATAGGCATCCAGTGAGCCAGTCCAGTCATCCCTTGAATATACCCAGTCATATTCAAATTCATAGTGAATATCGAAGTGTCTTTTTAGGTCCCTGGCTATAAAAACATTCTCCAAGTGTATTCTGATTTTTTTAAAAAGTGAATTGGATAATATATACCATGCAGCACTCCACAATGGATTATCAATGCAACTTTGTAAATATTTAAAAGATCAATACTGATTCCCGGGTAAGATGGCTGAATAGGAACAGCTCCAATCTACAGCTCCCAGCCAGACCAATGCAGAAGAGGGGTGATTTCTGCATTTCCAACTGAGGTACCTGGTTCATCTCATTGGGACTGGTTAGACAGTGGGTGCAGCCCACAAACGGTGAGCAGAAGAAGGGTGGGGCGTCACCTCACCCAGGAAGTGTGAGGGGTCAGGGAACTCCTTCCCCTAGCCAAGGGAAGCCATGAGAAACCGTGCCATGAGGGACTGCGCTATCCAGCTCTGATACTACACTTTTCCCATGGTCTTTGCAACCCTCAGACCAGGAGATTCCCTCAGGTGCTTACACCACTAGGGCCCTGGTTTCAAACACAAAACTGGGGGGCATTTGGGCAGAAACAAAGCTAGCTGCAGGAGTTTCTTTTCATATCCCAGTGGTGCCTGGAACGCCAGCGAGACAGAACCATTTACTCCCCTGGAAAGGGGGCTAAAGCTAGGGAGCCAAGTGGTCTTGCTCAGTGGTTACCACCCCCATGGAGGCCAGCAAGCTAAGATCCATGGCTTGAAATTCTTGCTGCCAGCACAGCAGTCTGAAGTTGACCTCGGAAGCTCGAGCTTGGTGGGGGGAGGGGCATCCACCATTACTGAGGCTTGAGTAGGCGGTTTTCCACTCACAGTGTAAACAAAGCTGCCTGGAAGTTCGGACTGCGCAGAGCAAACTGCAGCGCCACAAAGCTGCTGTAGCCAGACTGCCTCTCTAGATTCCTCCTCTCTGGGCAGGGTATCTCTGAAGGAAAAGCAGCAGCCCCAGTCAGAGGCTTATAGATAAAACTCCCATCTCCCTGGGACAGAGCACCTGGGAGAAGGGGCAGCTGTGAGCACAGCTTCAGCAGACTTAAATGTTCCTGCCTGCTGGCTCTGAAGAGAGCAGTGGATCTCCCAGCACAGTGCTCCAGCTCTGCTAAGGGACGGACTGCATCCTCAAGTGGGTCCCTGACCCCTGTGCCTCCTGACCGGAAGACACTTCCCAGCAGGGGTCAACAGACACCTCATACAGGAGAGCTCTAGCTGGCATCTGGAGGGTGCCCCTCTGGGATGAAGCTTCCAGAGGAAGGAACAGGCAGCAATCTTTGCTGTTCTGCAGGCTTCACTGGTGATACCTAGGTAAACAGGGTCTGGAGTGGATCCCCAGCAAACTCCAGCAGACCTGCAGGAGAGGGCCCTGACTGTTAGAAGGAAAACTAACAATCAGAAAGCAATAGCATCAACATCAACAAAAAGGACGACCACGCAAAAACTCCATCCGTAGGTCACCAACAGCAAAGATCAAAGGTAGATAAATCCATGAAGATGAGGAAAAACTAGCGCAAAAAGGCTGAAAATTCCAAAAACCAGAATACCTCTTCTCCTCCAAAGGATCACAACTCCTCGCCATCAAGGGAACAAAACTGGATGGAGAATGAGTGTGACAAATTGACAAAAGTAGGCTTCAGAAGGGGGGGTAATAACAAACTCCTTCGAACTAAAGGAGCATGTTCTAACCCAGTGCATGGAAGCTAAGAACCTTGAAAAAAGGTTACAGGAATTGCTAACTAGAATAACCAGTTTAGAGAAGAACATAAATGACCTGATGGAGCTGAAAAACACAGCATGAGAACCTTGTGAAGCGTACACAAGTATCAATAGCTGAATAGATCAAGCAGAAGAAAGGATATCAGAGATTGGAGATCAACTTAATGAAGTAAAGGGTGAAGACAAGATTAGAGAAAAAAGAATGAAAAGGAACGAACAAAGCCTCCAAGAAATATGGGACTATGTGAAAAGACCGAACCTATGTTTGATTGGTGTACCTGAAAGTGATGGGGAGAATAGAACCAAGGTGGAAAATGCACTTCAGGGTATTATCCAGGAGAACTTCCCCAACCTAGCAAGACAAGCCAGCATTCAAATTCAGGAAATACAGAGAACATCACAAAGATACTCCTTGAGAGGAGCAACCCCAAGACACATAATCATCAGATTCACCAAGGTTGAAATGAAGGAAAAAATGTTAAGGGCATTCAGAGAGAAAGGTCTGATTACCCACAAAGGGAAGCCCATCAGACAAACAGTGGATCTCTCTGCAGAAATCCTACAAGCCAGAAGAGAGTGGGGGCCAAAATTCAATATTCTTAAATAAAAGAATTTTCAACCCAGAATTTCATATCCAGCCAAACTAAGCTTCGTAAGTGAAGGAGAAATAAAATCCTTTACAGACAAGCAAATGCTGAGGGACTTTTGTCATCACCAGGCCTGCCTTACAAGAGCTCCTGAAGGAAGCACCAAATATGGAAAGGAAAAACCAGTACCAGCCACTGCAAAAACAAACCAAAATGTAAAGGTCATTGACACTATGAAGAAACTGCATCAACTAATGGGAAAAATAACCATCTAGCATCATAATGACAGGATCAAGTTCACACATAGCAATAGTAACCTTAAATGTAAATGGGCTAAGTGACCCAATTAAAAGGCATAGACTGGCAAATTGGATAAAGAGTCAATACCCATCAGTGTGCTGTATTCAGGAGACCCATCTCACATGCAAAGACACTTATTGGCTCAAAATAAAGGGATGGAGGAAGATTTACCAAGCAAATTGAAAGCAAAAAAAAAAAAAAAAAAAAGCAGGGGTTGCAATCCTAGTCTCTGATAAAACAGACTTTAAACCAATAAAGATCAAAAAAGACAAAGAAGGGCACTACATAATGGTAAAGGGATTAATGGAACAAGAAGAACTAACTATCCTAAATATATATGCACCCAATACAGGAGCACCCAGATTGATAAAGCAAGTTCTTAGAGACCTACAAATAGACTTAGACTCCCACACAATAATGGTGGGAGATTTTAACACCCCACTGTCAATATTAGACAGATCAACGAGACAGAAAATTAACACGGATATTCAGGACTTGAACTCAGCTCTGCACCAAGTGGATCTAATAGACATCTACAGAACTCTCCACCCCAAATCAACAGAATCTACATTCTTCTCAGCACCACATAGCACTTATTTTAAAATCAACCACATAATTGGAAGTAAAACACTCCTCAGCAAATGCAAAAGAAGGGAAATCATAAGAAACCATCTCTCAGACCACAGTGCAAACAAATTAGAACTCAGAATTAAGAACAAAACCGCACAACTACATGGAAACTGAACAACCTGCTCCTGAAAGACTACTGGGTTAAGGCAGAAATAAATAAGTTATTTGAAACCAAAATGAGAACAAAGACACAATGTACCAGAATCTCTGGGACACAGCTAAAGTAGTGTTTAGAGGGACATTTATAGCACTAAATGCCCACAGGAGAAAGTGGAAAAGATCTAAAATGGACACCCTAACATCATAATTAAAAGAACTAGAGGAGCAAGAGCAAACAAATTCAAAAGCTAGCAGAAGACAAAAGATAATTAAGATCAGAGCAGAACTGAAGGAAAGAGAGACACGAAAAACCCTTCAAAAAAATCAATGAATCCAGGAGGTGGTTTTTTGAAAAGATTAACAAAATAGATAGACCACTAGCCAGACTAATAGAGAAGAAAGGAGAGAAGAATCAAATAGACACAATAAAAAATGATAAAGGGGATATGACCACTGATCCCACAGAAATACAAACTACCATCAGATAATACTATAAACACTTCTATGCAAATAAACGAGAAAATCTAGAAGAAATGGATAAATTCCTGGTCACATACACCATCCTAAGACTAAACCAGGAAGGAGTAGAATCCCTGAATCACCAATAACAAGTTCAAAAAAGGTTCAAAAAAAGCCCAGGACCAGGCAGATTCACAGCCGAATTCTACCAGAGGTACAAAGAGGAGCTGGTACGATTCCTTCTGAAACTATTCCAAAGAATAGAAAAATAGGAAACCCTCCCTAACTCATTTTATAAGGCCAGCATCATCTTGATACCAAAACCAGGCAGAGACACAACAAAAAAAGAAAATTTCAGGCCTATATCCCTGATGAACATTGATGCGAAAATCCTCAATAAAATACTGGCAAACCAAATCCAGCAGCACATCAAAAAGCTTATCCACCACGATCAAGTTGGCTTCATCCCTGGGAAGCAAGGCTGGTTCAACATATGCAAATCAATAAATGTAATCCATCACATAAACAGAACCAATGACAAAAACCACATGATTATCTCAATAGATACAGAAAAGGCCTTTGATAAAATTCAACACTCCTTCATGCTAAAAACTCTCAATAAACTAGGTATCGATGGAACGTATCTCAAAATAATAAAAGCCATTTATGGCAAACCCCCAGCCAATATCTTACTGAATAAGCAAAAGCTGGAAGCGTTCCCTTTGAAAACCAGCACAAGACCAGGATGCCCTCTCTCATCACTCCTATCCAACATAGTATTGGAAGTTCTAGCCAGGGCAATCAAGCAAGGGAAAGAAATAAAGGTATTCAAATAGGAAGAGAGGAAGTCAAATTATCTCTGTTTGCAGATGATATGATTGTATATTTAAAAAACCCCATCATCTCAGCCCAAAAACTCCTTAAGCTGATAAGCAACTTCAGCCAAAGTCTCAGGATACAAAATCAATGTGCAAAAATCACAAGCATTCCTATACACCAATAATAGATAAACAGAGAGCCAAATCATGAGAAAACTCCCATTCACAATTGCTACAAAGAGAATAAAATACCTGGGAATCCAACTTACAAGGGATGTGAAGGACCTCTTCAAGGAGAACTACAAACCACTGCTCAAGGAAATAAGAGAGGACACAAACAAATGGAAAAACATTCCATACTCATGGATAGGAAGAATCAATATCATGAAAATGGCCATACTGTCCAAAATAATTTATAGATTCAGTGCTATCCCCATCAAGCCACCATTGACTTTCTTCACAGAATTAGAAAAAACTACTTTAAATTTCATATGGAACCAAAAAAGAACCCATATAGCCAAGACAATCCTAAGCAAAAAGAACAAAGCTGTAGGCATCATGCTATGTGACTTCAAACTATACTATGAGGCTACAGTAAGCAAAACAGCATGGTACTGGTACTAAAACAGATATACAGACCAATGGAACAGAATGATGGCCTCAGATAACACCACACATCTGCAACTACCTGATATTTGACAAACCTGACAAAAACAAGCAATGGGGAAAGGATTCCCTATTTAATCAATGGTGTTGGGAAAACTGGCTAGCCATATGCAGAAAACTGAAATTGGACCCCTTCCTTACAAAAATTAACTCAAGATGGATTAAAGATTTAAACATAAGACCTAAAACCATAAAAACCCTACAAGAAAACCTAGGAAATACCATTCAGGACATAGGCACTGACAAAGACTTCATGACTAAAACACCAAAAGCAATTCCAACAAAAGCCAAAGTTGACAAATGGGATCTAAGTAAACTAAAGAGCTTTTGCACAGCAAAAGAAACTATCATCAGAGTGAACAGGCAACCTACAGAATGGGAGAAAATTTTTGCAATGTATCCATCTGACAAATGGCTAATATCAAGAATCTACAAGGGACTTAAATAAATTTACAAGAAAAAGCAAACAACCAATGTATCCATCTGACAAACGGCTAATATCAAGAATCTACAAGAGACTTAAACAAATTTACAAGAAAAAGCAAACAACCCCATCAAACAGTGGGTGAAGGATATGAACAGACACTTTTCAAAAGAAGGCATTTATGCGGCCAACAAACATATGAAAAAAAGCTCATCATCACTGGTCATTAGAGAAATGCAAATCAAAACCACAATGAGATACCATCTCATACCAGTTAGATGGCAATTATTAAAGTCAGGAAACAACAGATTCTGGAGAGGATGTGGAGAAACAGGAATGCTTTTATACTGTTGGTGGGAGTGTAAATTAGTTCAACCATTGCGGAAGACAGTGTGGCAATTCCTCAAGGATCTAGAACTAGAAATACCATTTGACCCAGCAATCCCATTACTGGGTATATACCCAAAAGACTATATATCATTCTACTATAAAAACACATGCTCATGTATGTTTATTGCAGCACTATTCACAATAGCAAAGACTTGGAACCAACTCAAATGCCCATCAATGTTAGATTGGATAAAGTAAATGTGGCACATATGGAATACTACACAGCCATTAGAAAGAATGAGTTCATGTCCTTTGCAGGGACATGGATGAAGCTGGAAACCATCATTCTCAACAAACACGGGAACAGGAAACCAAACACCACACATTCTCACTGATAAGTGGGAGTTGAACAATGAGAACATATGGGCACAGGGAGGGGAACATCACACACCGGGGCCTTTCAGGGGGTAGAGGGCAAGGGGAGGAATAGCATTAGGAGAAATACTTAATGTAGATGACGGGTTGATGGGTGCAGCAAACCACCATGGCACATGTATACCTATGTAACAAACCTACACGTTCTGCACTTGTATCCCATAACTTAAAGTATAATAATAATAAAAATAAAGATTAATACTAAAAACTATGCTTTCACACAGTGTCATTTCCTTTTGTTGTTACTGTTGTTAATAAGGATAGGGTTCTGAGACTTTTAGATGTAGATCTGGTGTTTCAGCATTTGACAAATTGCCTTGTGAAATCCTCATGTACAGATAAGTGCAGTTTGAAACTTGTTAAAATTTTATACAAAGGGGTAATGACTAATGGATCAGTGACAATTTGGATAGGTTTTTGGTGGCATGCCCTGATCTATTCCATCATTTTATCAAGGACTTGAATGAAAACACAGTAGGCAAGCCTATTGAATTTTCAGATGACAGAGATCTAAATTGGATGGAAAACACTGTGGGTGACAGGATCGGGATACAAAAAGACCTTGACAGGTTAAAGTGATGGGCTGCATTTAATAGGATGAAATATAATAACAATAAAAACAAGAATCTGCATCAGAGTTTCATTGCTAGTTGGATGAATACAGAAAGGGAATGTAGGTTTTAGGGGCTGTTCAGGCACAAAGGAAGTGAATGCAGAATGACTTAATGTGGCTGCTAGAGGGATTCACAGGCTTCATCAACAGAAATATAGTTTCTAAAACAAGGGAGAGGCTGGGATGGCCCTGATGTGCCTTGTGCTGCAGTGCAGTGCCCACATGAAGGACACAGGGAAAGTGGGATGTATAGACAAAATAAAGGTGCCATGCTATAGGATGTGCTGGCATTTATGTTAGACCTATCAACCCTGGAAAACACCTGTGGCAGAAGGGGCTAGGGATGGACTGTTATGTCACAAAAAATATTCAAAGGGAGAATAGATTTAAGAGAGAATAGATTTACTCTATATATTCCTAAAAAATAAAACTTAGGATCAATAAGTAGGAGCTACAGGGATACAAATTTCTAATGGAATGAACAGACTTAGGAAAGAATGAGCTTCATATTGCCAGAAGTCTTAAGAAAAATAGGCTCACTTGATGAGGACACTGTACCGGGTGTTTAAGCATTACACTGGGTCACCGACTCTATAATCCTTTTATTCTGAAAGCCGTATATTACTCACTCACCCATCTCACCAGCACCCCCACCAGGCCATCCTGCCCTTTCCTGAAAATAAGAAAATTGGTCAATTCTTATATAACTGTTCCTTACTACATACCATTCTAGGCTATGTATATATATATATATATATGTATATGTATATACATATATATACACACACACTCATTTAAGCCTCTCAACAATACTATGAGGTATATACTGTTAATATTGCCATTCTTTCCTATGAGCAAATGGAGGTAAATGAAGGTTAAATAACCCATCTGTTATGGACTGAATGTTTGCGTTCCCCAAATTCGTATGTTGAAGCCCTAGCCCCCCACATGATGGTATTCAGTGGTGGGTCTTTGGGAGGTGATTGGGTTTAGAGGAGCTTATGAGTGTGGAGCTCCCATGATAGAATTAGTGTCCATATAAGAAGACGGAGAGAGACCAGAGCCGTTTCTCTCTCTACCATGTGAGGACACAGTGAGGAGGCAGCCATCTGCAAGCCAAGAAGAGAGCCCTCACCAGGAACTGAATCTGCTGGCATTTTGGTCTTAAACTTCCCAGCCTTCATAATGGTGGAAAATAAATGTCTCTTAAGCCACCCAGTCTGTGGCATTTTTTTCCAGCAGCCCCAGCTAAGGCACAGCCCATATCTAAGCAGTTGGGAAGGAGGAGATTTGGGACTTATACTCCGGCAATCTTGCTCCATGCTGCAGCATCTGTGCCCTTTGTGGCATGAGTTTAGCGCTAAAATGAGGAGTCAGTGGAAAGGTGCTTGTTTCAGCTCTTCTTACCACTTGTGTAGGAATATCACTTTTATGATTTTTTTGGGCCCAGATGTATTAAGGAGACAGAGAGGACCATGAAAGTCCATGGAAGATGGTCAGACTAAAAAGATTCAAGATGAAACCTCCATTACACATGGAATATTGTGATATGGGGAGATGGTGCACCTAAAAGTAATGGAAGATTCTTTGAAGCAAATGAAGCTATGGGGAATATGGTTTTGTGGAGGGACATCCTAAACACTTGGGCATCTGCTGAATTAGCAGGCAATGCTGACTGAATAAGCCAACGATGTCACAAATAAAAACATAACACACAACATCTGCTTACAAACCAGAAATAATTCTGGGAATTGTCAAATATGTTAGCTTATGTCATAAAAACAGAAAATTCTTAGAGTTTAGTTAGTTCTAGGTTTCTATATTGACATGTATTACTGAGAATACATTCAACTGCAGGTGCCTAACAAATTGCAGCTTAAACAAATAAAAATGTGTTCTTGTCACTTTATAAGAAATGAAGGAAAATGGTTGATGGTATTGGTTCATTGATTTGGGGGCTGGTATCTGTGATTCCCTTGGCCTTCTTCTCATCATGAAAAGCTGGCTACTTCATTCAATATCAGGATGTGGCACTGAGTAGGGAGTTTATCTTCATGTACCTTTCTCCTACCAGAGAGAAAAACTATCTCCCAGAAGCTTCCTAGGCAATTTTACCTAATATCTCACAGGCAGATGTATCAGTCAGCTGAACAAACAACCACAAAATTATCTCAGGGACAAGCAACAATACATGTTTATTTCTTTCTCATATTTCTGCAGGTCGGCTGGGATTTCTCTACTTTAGGTTGCAAGTTTTGGCAGGTCATCCAGGGAAGCTGCTCCACTCCATGTGTCTCTTATTCTTGTGTGACCTGAGCTACCCAGGGCATGCATTCTCATGGTAAAGGTCAAAAGCTCCCTGAAGGGCAAGCCTAGGTTTGGAATTGACACACTAGTCCTGCTGCCCATATTCATTCCAAGGTCAAAATCAAAGTTGCAGGAAAGTATACTCTTCTCATGGAGGTCATGGGAAGGGGGTAAATATTTGCTGAAGGGCAATCTATTCTGCCACAAAAGGACTGGATTGAGGCCGATTCCTAGGCTGGAGGTGACCTTGACCTTCCCAGAAGCTAAAAGATATTTATCGAAAACACACAAAACATTTATCCAAAACTACTGATATAGTTTGGATATTTGTCCCCTCCAAATCTCATGTTGAACTGTGATCCCCAGTATTGGAGGTGGGGCCTGGTGGGAGGTGTTTTGGTCATGGGGATGGATCCCTTATCAATGGCTTGGTGCCCTTCCCACAGTAATGAGTGAGTTCTCACTCTATTAATTCACATGAGAGCTGATTGTTTAAAAGAGCCTGGCATCTCTCTTGCTCCCTTTCTTGTCATGTGACATGCCCGCTTCCCCTTCACCTTCCATGATGATTGTAAGCTTCCTGAGGCTTCACCAGAAGCAGATGCCAGCACTGTGCTTCTTGTACAGTCTGCAGAACCATGAGCCAAACTAAACCTCTTTTCTTTATAAATTACCCAGTCTTGGGGTATTTCTTTATAACAATGCAAAATGGACTAACACAGCTGCTAACAAGGAAGAAAGAGGTAAATGGCTTTTAGATAGGCAAGGAACAGTGTTAATAGTGTCTGCTATAAGGTGGGGTTGTGATCAAAAAGGAATTTTTATAGTTTTATCCACATTTTTAAATACAAAAGCACTAACATGCAGTGTGTTTAAGCAAATAATTTTCTTTTTCTGCTTTGCACTAGGGAAGAAGATGAGGAAGAGAACTACCATTTATTATGCGCCTAGTATGTGCCAGAAACTGTGCTAGAAACTTAAGATATGCTATTTTATTTATTCTTCGTAACCCTTTGAGATAAATATTATTTTTATAGTTTTTATGAAAGAAAACTAATGGAGACTTTGAGAAGTAACTTGACAATGTATATATATCATACAAAATAGAGCCAGGATTTATCCCAGGTTTGTTGGCACTAAGGCTTTTATTCTTTCTATTATACCATGTTGTCTTTATTGCATTTTGTTCAATTTAACAGTTATTTCTAGAACATTCTATGTGGATTCTCATAGAAGAAACTTAATTCCCCTCATACAGGATAGTTCCTTCTATACGTGAAATCAGTAATATTCTCTAAGTTATTGCCTCTTAAGGTGAAAAATAGTTCCTTCAACAATCCCTTGTATCATGTGTGTAACTTCTGTGATATTGACATTTTTTAGAAAGTCTCTGTGTAGTCAGATGTAGAAGAAGAACCCTTAACCAAAACAATCAAGACTAGTAGCTGGCTGGGTAATCACAGGAAGGCAATTGAAGCAGGAATTATTTTAAAAATAATGGCTGGCCATGTTGGCATAAGCCTGTGATCCCAGCACTTTGGGAGGCCCAGGGAGTAGGATTGCTTGAGACCAGGAGTTTGAGAACAGCCTGGACAACAATGTCTCTATAAAACACAGAAATAAAAAATTAGTTGGGTGCATTGCTGCGTGCTTGAAGTTCCAGCTACTAGGAAGGCTGAAGCAGGAGGATCACTTGAGCCTAGGACATCAAGACCGAAGTGAGCTATGATGGCACCACTGCATTCCAGACAGAGGGAGATTCTGTTGTTAAAAACAATAATAATAATAATAATGATAATAATGCTTATATGTTTTAAACGTATTATTTTAATTTAAAACAGATATTAATACATTCATTTTGTATTCTTTGAGTTAGGGCCAGGGCTTTTTATTTGAGCACAAGCAGCACTCATATTTGGCAGGGTGTACTAAAACTACTGTGTTAATTACAAGGAGCATTTGGAACTGTGCCAAGAGGGATCTTTGATTGTCCCAATGGCTGGAGGCTACACTACCATAGTGTTTAGTGGGCATAGACCAAAAAGGCTAAATGTCTCAATTCTGAACAGTCCTGCTAAATGAACCAACTTATCTACAATGTCAATAGGGCTCTCATTGAGAAGACTTGGATTGTTTGGCTAATGGGATTTCACATTAACTAACATAAAACACACTCTTAATGCATCATCCATGATTTCCGGTTTTGTTTCTTTAGAATGGAAGGAGATATTGTAAGACATTCGTGAAACAAATGGGATACAGGATCATCCTAGCTTTTAATTATTTTTTCCTTCTTTTGCAAGTATCCACATCTTACTGTAAAGCACTTTTTTCGTGACTCATTTATTAATTCTTCCTAGTCTTTCAAGTTAGTTTTTGTAGAAACTATTCTTGTAATCAGTAGTTTTTATAGTATTTAAAGTGTTTATATAGTATTTAATTAAAGTATGTATTTACAATAACAAGTGCAATAACATAAACAGGTTTGGGAGCACACCCATCTTGGTAAGTACACAAAATAACTGAGACCACCATTAATTAATCAGGAGATTCCACACCAAAAATATTGATTCAGAGAACTTCCACTAAAATATGCTTCCTGGAATTGCCGTTAATGATCTAAGGAAAGTCCCTGGCAGCCCAAATTGCAGATGTAGTAGATTGAAATCTTCTGTGGTTGAATTCCCCATCAGGCTTGTTGCTTATTTTCCTTTTTTTTTTTTTTCCAGTTTTGCTGGATCTTCTGCTTTTGTATCCTTTGTTTTGGCTTTTAAACCATTTATTGATTATTCAATATACAATATGAAGCCCAGAGAAGAGTGGCCTAATGAGACACAGCTTTATTTTCCTTGCAGATAATGAGAAATGGCTTTTCATCCTGGCATATCCTTCGCATTTTACTGCATTTGGTTCTAGTGCTCCAGTTGCAAATAGCTCACCTTGGTGAAGCTGACCTGAAAACATTTTATGATGTTACCCCTAATAGTTATCCCTTGATGTAATACCTAGAACTCTGCTCCTTAACTAATGGCACAAGTGTCAAAACTCCAGCCTTCCACTCCATCTAATGTTGGAGATTAGACCTTATGGGTATCATCTTCAGCCCTTCCAAAATCTATAGGCAATTATACTATCTCTGGTTTGGCAGTTTGTCCGCAGTCGCAAGCTTGGCTCCCTAGTTATTCTGACATCAAGTTAGAGACAGTAAAGCCTAGAGATTAAGATCTCAGATGTTTGAATCAGAACAACCCGAGTCCATATTATTTTATCTGAATACCTTTTGGCAGATTTCTTAACCTCTCAAATGGTTTTAGCTTCCTCATCTGTAAGAAGATTATTTCAACAATTCCCATTTATATCAGGCTTGTTCTGAGCATTAGATGTGACAATGTAAGGCTACAGCAAGTGCTTAATCTGTGGTAAACTTGCACAGTGCTTATGTGTCAAGCATGAGTCTAATAACTTTACATATATCATGTTTAAGCCTCACATCAACCCCATGAGCTAAGTACTGTTAGTCCTATTTGATAGGTGAAAAATCTGTAGCACAATTGGGTTTAATGACATACTCAAAGTTGTGGAGCTAAGTGGTAATCCCAGGGTTTAAACGCAGGCAGCCTGGTTCGAGAGTATGCCCTGCTGACCGCTACACTAGGCTGCCTCTATATTGGTAGCTCTTACTGTTGATGTTACTGTCCCTCCCTACATGATCTCAGAAAAGGGAAAAAAGAAGAAAGATTGAAGGTTCCTTTTCAGCATGAGGTCATTCTTCCTCCTTTCTTTTACCACTGACTTATGCTCCCCTTTCACCTTTCCTGTGCAGGAGGTAAATTTATAGCCTCTTCCCTCGGTCTTGTCACTCAAGCCCAGCTCTCCTTCTTACTGCCACCTCGCTAGGAACTTCCTATGCCATTCCATGCCTCTAATCTAGCTTTAGAACCTGACAAGGCATAAACTGACAACAAGTTTCTTGTTTGAGGCAATTAGAGCCAGTCTCCATGTGGTTTCTAAACTCCTAAATCTCACTGTGCTCTTAGAGACTGCCTTAGATTGTCAGCAGCCTTTCAAAACATGTCACCCATGGCTACACACCACATGAGTGACCAGACCAGACTCTTATGAGCCCAGTCACTTCGTATGACTTGGATATTGTACTTTATTTTTATTTTTTTATTTTCATTTATTTATTTTTTTGAGACGGAGTCTTGCTCTGTCAACCAGGCTGGAGTACAGTGGCGGGATCTCAGTTCACTGCAAGCTCCGCCTCCCATGTTCAAGCGATTCTCCTGCCACAGCCTCCTGAGTAGCTGGAATTACAGGCATGCACCACCATGCCTGGGTAATTTTTGTATTTTTAGTGCAGATGGGATTTCGCCATGTTGGCCAGGCTGGTCTTGAATTCCTGACCTCAGCTGATCCACCCACCTTGGCCTCCCAAAGTGTTGGGATTACAGGCGTGAGCCACTGTGCCCAGCCTATTGTACTCCTTTTTATACTGTCTTTGACCATGTTGGCTCTCTTAGAAGCCACATCTGGATAAGCCAAGTTAAATTATATTAAATTTATGATCAACTAAAGCATCACAAGAAAATCTTCCAGGGATGATCACCTCATCCTGTAATGGTAAAACAGATATTTTGTTACATTTTGCCTTACTAAATTTTATCTTCTTGATTTTACACTTGCATTCAACACTGTCAAAGTATTTGGTTGGTGCAAAAGTAGTTGCGGTTTTTGCCATTAAAAATAATTTTAATTTTAAATAAAAAATTATTTTTAATGGCAAAAACCACTAGTGGCAAATACCACTAATGGCAAAAACCACAATTACTTTTGCACCAACCCTAATAATTTTGATTGTGGATTATGTTATCTTTTGTATTAGTTACTTCCAAATGTTTTGCATGATCTGAAAATCTTATATATGAAATGTTGATTTTTAGAAAAAATCTAGACTTTCATGGCAAACAGTTATCACTTGAAAAACAGTCATCACTTAGAGTGATGACTCACCAAGACCAAGTTATGTCACGCTTACCTCATTTCCTTTTCAGTAGGGTCATTACTCAGTTACAGGAATGCTACGCACAAACTGTACTTAACAAAATCTCTGATTATGTTGTTGGGAATAAGAATGTGAACTATAATCTTGAGGATGGTGTGTGCTAGGAGAAAGCTTATTCAACATCTCTACTCAAAAAATACTGATGAATGACTTCAGACCAAACTAGATGATGTCTGTATAGGAGCATACAGCAATTCAGCACTGGACCTTGTCTTGTTCAATTTTGCATCAAAAAAATTGCAATGTACTGTGCATGAATCATATATAATAGTATATTCTTACTCCCTCTAGAAAATTGGGATACTTGAAAAATCTCTCACACGCTTGCTGTTGTTCAAGAGTGCCTACGGTGGTTTTGATGTTGATCAAACTTACTACCTGAGATGCCATTCAGCTAGTGTGGAGATGTGAATACATGCAAAGTGTATGCTCTGAATTGCAATTCCTTCTTTATATTATTTACTCTGCCTGGTGCTTTCAAGTTCCCATTTTGTTTTTCTTCCTGGAGAAGACAGAAGCAAAATAGGAGTTGAGTGATTCTGCTCTCTGTCATTTGTTAAAGTGTATTCAACATTCCTCAACCCTCTGTGTGTTTATCTGTTTCTTCTTACTTTTCACAGTTTAAAAAAAATCCCTTTCTGTTGTTCTGACATTGTTTTCAAGTTTCAGCTCATTCTGGAATGTTGCGTGTCTGACATCATTTTACAGGTCTGAGCCACTTACTCAACCAGTTTATGGAGCACACATTCCAATGGAGGAAGATAGACAATAAACACCATAAAAAGGTGAGTTATATTATATATTATAAGGCAAGCGCAGTGGAAAAAATAGAGGATCACAGAGATTTGGAGTTCCGAGTTAGGGGCTGAGTTGCAGGTTTAAACAGGTGGTCAAGGTCTCCTGGATGGCCCAGCAGTGGGCTAATCCTTTGTGACCGATATTAATTACGTGTCTCTTTCTCCTTTTTATGCATAGGCACTTATGTTCTGAATCAATTGTAGAAAACAAGAGGCTGTCACGTTTATTACCCCTTCAATTTTCCACTAACAACCCTCTCTCTTTCCCATCTTCTTTCAGTTAGGGACTAAGATCCACAGACTAAACCTGTGTCCAGTTCTTAATTTCAGCTGTCAAATAATCTTCTCTTAGCACACTGTAGGCACTTAGCAAATAGTTATTAAATGAATAGAAAAATGAATAAAGGCCACTAGCTATTATTGACTCTCACTAGCTAATAATAAAAGATAAATAATAATTGATATTAAAGCTTCTGGGAATATAATCCCTTGATTGGGATTCTTTGGAGAAATACAATGCAAGACAGAAAGTAGACAAAGAGGCTGGGCTCAGTGGCTCATGCCTGTAATCCCGGCACTTTGGGAGGCCGAGGCAGGAGGATCACGAGGTCAGGAGTTTGAGACTAGCCTGGCCAACATAGTGGAACTCCGTCTCTACTAAAAATACGAAAAATTAGCTTGGTGTGGTGGTGGGCGCCTGTAATCCCAACTGCTTGGGAGGCTGAGGCAGGAGAATCACTTGAAGCCAGGAGGCAGAGGTTGCAGTGAGTTGAGATTGTGCCACTGCACTCCAGCCTGGGAGACAGTGCGAGACTCCATCTCAAAAAAAAAAAAAGAAAGTAGACAAAGAAACAGTAGGTGAGGGGTTTACGGTTTGGGGCTGAACCCCACCCTTCATGCAGTGCTTTGAGGAATGCCTTGAGATAGGTGGGCATCGAAGTTCACTGCCTGAAGGTGCCCCTGAACTTGGGAACTGTACACTCAGACAAGGATTCTGTGAGACTAGGGAATGGAAAAATCACCCGTGAGGTATTTTCCATGTAGCTTTTAATTTTTCAAGCGAGCTTTGCTGTCAGTCACCACAAAACAAACAGCAAGCAGTTTTTCCCAGGGTCCCACATCTTGGGCGGGCTGGACGCAAAAGGCCCTTGCCAAAAATTCCTGAACTGACTATGCTGTTAGTAGGGAAACAAAACAGCAATTCACAAATCATGGGGTTCTGACGTACTGTGTAAAAAAACTATCTGGAACACACTTTTTTCCTTGGCTTGAAATAGGCAAATGGTGGGAATCTAATGCATTCTGTATTCTGTGGACACAGATAAGGAGAAAAAGTAACTTAGAAGATAAGTGACCATATCATTTTTTGATAGTGAAAGGGTCTCTACGATTAATCAGAATGGGAAACAGGCATAAGCCAAGACTTTCTCAGGCAAATTAGAATATATGGTGATCCTATGTAGAAGAAAATACTGTAGGCAAAAGTGTACAGAGAAGTGTAGGTAAAATTTAGTATTTTTTTTCCCTACAGCCCATTTTATATGCCTTTGACACTGCCATCTCCAATCATAGAATCACCACATCGCAGAGTTGTAAAGCTCAAAGTGGGCTTAGAGATCATCTGTGCCCATCTACTCAAAAGAAAATCCAGGCACTCAGTAGTGTAGGCAAGCAACTGAAAGCTGGTTAGAAATGCAGAACCTCAGCTGGGTGCAGTGACTCACGCCTGTAATCCCAGCACTTTGGGAGGCAGAGGCAGGCAGATCACCTGAGGTTGGGAGTTCGAGACCAGCCTGACCAACATGGAGAAACCCCATCTCTACTAATAATACAAAAATTAGCCGGGCGAGTTGACACATGCCTGTAATCCCAGCTACTCGGGAGGCTGAGGTACGATAATTGCTTAAATCTGGGAGGCAGAGGTTGCGGTGAGCCGAGATTGCGCCATTGCACTCTAGCCTGGGCAATAAGAGCGAAACTCCATCTCAAAAAAAAAAAAAAAAAAAAAAGAAATGCAGAACCTCAGGCCTCAACCCATACCTGTTGAAATAGAGTCTGTTTTGACAAGATCCCAGGCGATCCATATGCCTATCTATGTTTGAGAAGCACTGATTTAAGCCATTTAACAAATTAAGAAACTGGCATTCCAGGAGATTAAAAATCTTGGTCAAGGTCTACTAGTTATATCCAGGGCAGAATCTCATCTATTCCATCAGGATAGTTTTATTTCCAATATGCAATGGTTCTCCCCTGCCTACCCTATCTATAAAAGCCTGAGGCTAGCAGAGAATAGACCTGAATTCTAGGCCTGCTTTCACCTCAAATTCAGGAGAGTCACTGCCTCCAGTTTCCTTAGAGGTAAAAAGAGGAAATTTGACTATGTTGGCTACTAAGTATCCTCCCTTCAAATTCTAAAGTTCTATAGCTCTATGAGTTGTGGAGCATCTAGGAAGCCTGCAGCTAGACGAGAGGCATCATGGAAAATGTAGTGGAGGACAAGTGTCTTGATTAATGCCTTTCATGAGGAAGAGGAAGGGCATTCCAGAAGGTGAAATGGCAGATGCAATCATTTGTTCAGAGAAGGGAGTATTTGGGTACAAAGGAGGGAGGTGGTATGGGTTATTTGCAAATTAGAAGACAAAATTTAAAAAGGCATATTTAAGCGCATTCTTCGTAAATTTAGACAGTGCATTAAAAAATAGCCTCTAAGTTAACAACATTTTTCCTCAGTTGGAGATAACATTTGTATTCACAGCTTCTAAAATGTTTCCTCCCCAACTTTGTGCACCTGTGGCTAATGGGCAGTGTGATGGTTGATTTTATGTGTCAAGTTGGCTAGACTAGGATGCCCAGTTGTTTGGTCAAACACTAGTCTAGATGTTGTTATAAGGGTAGTTTTTAGATGTGACTAACATTTATAATCAGTGCACCTTAAGTAAATCAGATTACCCTCCATAATGTGGGTGGACCTTGGTTGAAGGTCTTAATAGCAAAGACCAAGGTTTCCCAAGGAAGGAAGAATTTTGCCTCAAGTTTCCTGAAGAAGAAGGAATTTTGCATTACAATCTTTCCTAAATTTTCAGCCTGCTGGCCTGCCCTGTGGATTTGGGACTCAAGGCTGCAACATTAACTCTTAGCCGAGTTTCTAGCCTGCCAGCCTTCCCTACAAATTTCAAACCTGCCAGCCCCCACAATTGTGGGAGCCAGTTCTATAAAATATTCCTTCCCCTTCCTACCCACCCCACTCTCTCTCCTATCCTATTGGTTCCGTTTCTCTAGAGAACCCTGACTAATACAGGCAGCATCACAGATTTATCTCAACTCTTGTTTAATCAGAAGTTAATTGGCAGACAGACTTTGGGGCAACTATTGACAAGTATATGTAGGAAGTAGAAAACGTCTTTATTCCCAAGTTCTGCCTCAAAAGGACAGGTTCATTTCTGGATCACCAGTCTATCTTCAATGCCCACGACTGTGCGTGGTGCATATGAGGTGCTCAATAAATGTTTTCAAATGAATTCACAGTAATGCTTATCTGTGTAGAAAGTTTGGCTTAGGCAATACAATCGATTGACTAACACTTTGACAAATATTAGTCAAACTGTGAACAATGACCCTGAAAACAAACTATGAACAATGACCCTGAAAAAATCATTTCCTATGGCCAGAGTCAAAGAGAAAGTCTATTGTATTCATTTGGCCATACTGGAATTTTGAGGGCTTGGAAGAGGAAAATGGAATATCCAAGTCTCTCAATGTCAATATACCATAATGGTTGAGAACACAGACTTTGTGGCCACAATGTTTGGGTTCTAATTCTATCTCTACCATTTGGTATGTATGTGATCTTTAAAAAGTTACTTAAATTTTTTTTTTTTAAATCTCAGTTTCTCCATTCAAATTGGCATGATAACATTCCTGCCTTTAAGGGTTTATGTGGTGGTTGAGTGAGTTAATACAAATAAAAAACTCAAAACAGTGCCTGGTATTCAGTAAACACAAGAAAAGTATTAGCTGTTATTACTATTTTCCTCTCCCATTCAATAATGAACACTCATTGTCTACAACTGTATTAAGCACTGGATATTTTAAAAAACAAGGCAAGTCCAGGCACGGTGGCTCGTGCCTGTAATCCCAGTGCTTTTAGAGGCCAAGACAGGAAGATTGTTTGAGCCCCAGGAGTTAGAGGCTGCTATGATCACACCACTGCACTCCAGCCTGGGCAGCAGAGTAAGACTCTATCTCTAAAAAAGAAAATTAAATTAAACTTAAAAGGAAAGATAAGATGGCAGCCTCCAGACAAAATAATTAAATGCTATGTGATTAATATGCAAAAAAATATATGTACAGTACTTGGGAACATAGAAGGCAGACAGGTAATTATCTAAACCAAGTAGATCATGAGGGCTTTAGGAAGAAGGTTGGAGGAATATGCTCAAAAGTCATAGTGTCAGCAAATTTGTCACAGTGGTTGTGAGTTCTGTAAGAAGGAGCATGTGGAATGAGAGAAGATGAGGGCCACCAAGGACCATGGTGCTGAAAGAGCACATGGAGGAGGACACACCTGAAGCAGAACTCATCAGAAAGCTAGTAAGGAGACCCAGAAGAGACTCACTGCAGAAGCCCAGGAAGGAGAGTGATATGGTCTGTCCCTGTGTCCCCACCCAAATCTCATCTCAAATAGTAATCCCCACATGTTGAGGCAGGGACCTGGTGGGAGGTGATTAGATCATGAGGGCGGTTTCCCCCATGCTGTTCTCATGAGAATGAGTGAATTCTCATGAGGTCTGATGGTTTAAAAGTGTGTGGTAGTTCCCTTCTCACTCTCTCTTTCTCTCTCCTGCCACCCTATAAGACATGCCTTGCTTCCCCTTCACCTTCCACCATGATTCTGTTTCCTGAGGCCTCCCCAGCCATGCGGAACTGTGAGTCAATTAAACCTCTTTTCTTCATAAATTACCCAGCCTCAGGTAGTTCTTTATAGTCGTGTGAAAATGGACTAACACAGAGAGCATTTCAAGAATGAAGGAATGCAAGTCCACTTTCTGTCTCTATGGATTTGCATTTCATATAAATGGATCATAAAATATGTGGCTTTCTGTGTCCAGCTTCTTTTGCTTAGCATAGGTTCATTCATGTTGCGGTATGTATCAGTGCAGATAATCCTTGATTTATGACAGGGTTATGTCCCAAGGAAACCATCATAAATTGAAAATATTATTGAGTCAAAAATGCTTTAAAACACCTAGCCTACTGAACATCATAGCTTAGCCTAGCCTACCTTAAATGTGCTCAGAACACTTACATTGGTCTACAGTTGGGCAAAACCATCTAACGCAAAGCCTGTTTTTATAATAAAGTGTGGAATATCTCATGTAAGTCAAGCCACTGAATACTGTACTGACAGTGAAAAGCAGAGTAGTTGTATGGGTACTTGAAGTATGGTTCCCACTGAATGCATATCATTTTTGCACCTCCGTAGAGTCAAAAAATCTTAAGTCAAATCATCATGAGTCAGGGACCGTTCGTACTTCATTTCTTTTTATTGGCAAACAATACTGCATCGTATAGACATACCACATTTTACTTATCCATTCATCAGTTGATGGTTATTAGTGTTGTTTCTGCTGTTCGGCTCTTATGAATAATGCTGTCATGAATATTCATATATGAGTTTTTGTGTGAACATATGTTTTTAATTCTCTTACAATTAGAGATTAGCTAAATAATGTAATAAAACACTATGGAACCATCAAAAAGAATAATAGAGAGTTGTATATGCTCATATGGTCAGAATGTTAAGTGAAAATGTGAGGTACATTAAAATGTGTATTGAACAAGCTCCATTTATAATTGAAAACAAACAAATAAGTGGATAAATATGGAAAAAAGAATGAAGGAACGACTGGGAGGAAAGTGGTTGTTCCATTTTTTCTCCCCAAATGCAAGCTCTAATTTGCAGATACCCGTAGAACATTCAAAAGGGGACCTACTAGTGTGCTTGTATTATAACAAAAAGAAAACAACAGCCAAAAAACCACACAAAACCCACCAATTACGTCCCTTAAAGGTAATCTTATTTCACCTCTGGTGAGTTTTTCATGAATGTACAATTAAGGTAATTGCCAGTAACTAGGTGAGTTTAGTCAAATTAGGAAGTATTTGCTGTTCTAGAACTTGTGTAGGCACAATTAAAAAATAAAAAAGGAAAAATCATTAATGTTCTTGAAAAGCTTCCAGTGCTTTCAGTCCTACGGTGCGACTCAAAAAATTACCATAAATCTTAGTTTTGTCCCTGTGAAGCCATCTATTCATTCCCTGGGGGATCTCTCTTCTTGCCATGTCTTCCTTTCGTTTTCTGGAAATCCTTCCCAGACAAACCCCTCTCTAGTCTGTTACATTGGAGCCTTGCCTCTCAGTGTTTGTACCTGTGGGGTCATGTCCGCTGGAATCTGGATTGGCCAACCAGTTTAAGCCCCAGAAGTGTTACTGTGCCAGTTCTGTCCCTAAATCTTAAAAAGGCCTGTCAGCTTCTGCTTTTGTGCATCTGGGAACCCTAAACCATTATGTAAAAAGTCTGGCTGTCCTGTTGGAAAGACACGTGGAGAGGCCCCATAATGAGGGGGAGGCCCTGAGATCCCAGATATGCAAGCATCCCTCCTAACCCAGTGGCTAAATGTAGCCACACCAATGGCCTCTGACAAGAGCAGCAGGGCTGCTACCCAGGTGAACCCAGTCCAGCTACAGAATCCTGAACAACAACAACAACAACAACAAACAGTTATTGTGTCTTAAGCCACAAAGTTTGCAATAGTTTGATATGTAGCAATAGATAACCCAAACAAATAACTGGCTCCTTTGCCTAAGAGAGAGAAGTTAATAAAGTTTGAATGAAAACACCCTTACCCCAAAGGGTTAAGAACTAACTTCTTCATTTTCAACCTAGTACTTTCATAAGCAACTCTTTCAAGTCCCACTTAGAGGGAGTGAGGTGGTTAAAAGCCAAGTGAACTTGAGTAGTGAACTTCAATGGAATTTGTTGTTTTTCAGCCCACATATTTTAATCAAAGAAGTGTCTCCTTCCCATTAAAGCTCCAAATCTTTCATTTTCCTCTCTGTCTGCTGTTTGTATGTGCATGTTTGCTGAGAAGTACACTCAAACACATGTTTATTCCCTTGAACATTTCTTTACCTACCTTTCCAGCTTTACTATTCCTCAGAAATCCCTTCCCCTCAGTGTCTTCTCTCATTTTCCTTTTGCTCTCTCTGTCCAGTGGGTTATCACAGTTCCTGGCTCTCTTGAACACTGGTTCGCAAAGTGGGGCCACTGGACCAGCAGCATCCACATCACCTGGGAATTTATTAGTAATGCAGATTTCAGACTCTACTTCAGACCTACTGAAGCAGAAACTCAGAATGGGGCTTGCAATCTGTTTTAACAATCCCTGCAGGTGACTGCAGATGCACACTGAAGTTTGAACACCACTGCCTTAGAACAGGGGTCAGCAAACCCTTTCTTTAGAGGGCCACGTAGTAACTATTTTAGGCTGTGTGAGCTACATGGCCTCTGTTGCAACTCTTCAACTCTGTTGTATGAGAACAGCCACAGAGAGCTGTGTTCTAATAAAAATGTTACTTATGAGCATTAATATTTGAATTTCATATAATTTTCATGTGTTACAAAATATTGTCATTCTTTTGCTTTTTTCTCCCTAACCATTAAAAAAATGTGAAAACTAATCTTAGCTCACCAGCTGCATAAAAGCTGGCAGTGGGTTGTATGTGAACCACAGGCCTCAGTTTGCAGACCCCTGCTCTAGAACATCTCTGGTTTGCTCTTACTGAGGACACATTTTGCTGAAGAATCCATCTTTAATTCAGCAGCCTTTTCTTTCTGAGGCCCCCACATGATCTCCTACACTCCTCAGGCCATTGGTTTCCCTTAAAGCTTTATCTTGAGGAAATGGCTCAGCTGGGACATTGGATCTGACCTAAGGAGGCCTGTATGTGTCCCTTCAGCCAGGGCCTACCTTCCCCAGCAGGACAACTGACTACGGCTCAGATCAACCTTGATGGGAGGAGATTCTGGCTACTCTACTCCCAAGACCAGTAGTGTAGTCCATGCTGAGCCAGACTGCTGGTGCTGACCCCAAATAAATCAAAAGTGTGGAGTTGAGGTGGCCCCTCCGGAGTCATCCCAGGGAGGGATGATATCGGACTAGATTACATCCCCAAAGCCACTGCCACCTGGAGTCATTCTCCCAGGGCTGGTGCTCCCAGGAGTCTGGATGAGGTGTCATTTGTTTAGTGCCATTCCAAATCAGACCTTCTGGGTGGTCCAAGGGAACAAGGATTATGTGTCTTGGCACAGTTGGGAGAGATTGCACAGGGAGCGGTGGGCGGGAATGCAGCAAGCGTTAGTCTTATAATTTTAAAAGAAGAAAACAACATGAGTCCTGCCACTCTCTGAGATGCTGACATCATTTCTCCCTCTTCCCTTCTCCTCCCAGGGGAACATGCAGACACCTTAATGGCGGCTGGTGTTTATTTTCCCAGGCTGTATACAGTCAAAAACCCTTAAAGCCATTAAGCTGCTCTCTCTGCCGCTGCTCTGAGAATTGCTGTGCTTCCAGGCTCCGGAGGTAAATGGCAAGCAGATGGATTTTTTTTTTGTACTATTAAAAGAAGCAAAACATTTTGGGGCTTCTTGTTTCTGGCAGAGCTGAAGATTTTGTTATTGTTGTCGTTAAATAAGTAAAGGAGAAAGGTGTTGAACTGGCGAACTTCTTTTCCTGCTTCAGAATCAGAACATATCCCTCTCCTGAAAAAGATCAAGAGCACAGTACATCTATCACTGTACTTCAGCTTCCCCATATGGATCTTAGCAATAGCTCTTCAGTGTGGTCCAGGGGTAGAGCTCAGCCTGAGCAAAGAGGTGGCTTCCTAACCAGCAACTGCATCACACTGTGCAGGAAAAAAAAAAAAGATAGAATGATTAGGACAATACTTATCATCAGCAATTACCAGGAACCAGGCATTTGACATAAAAGATAATGAAATAGAGGCACAGAGAGATCAGGTAACTTGCTCAAGGTCACCCAGTTAAGTGGCCAACACTGATTGCAGTTCCAGATGTACTTGGCTCCCTGTTTCCTCAGCCACTTTATCCTGCCTCCCAGCATTAACTAGTAGGGCCCTTTTACTGATAATAGCCCTTCAGGTACTACATACCATATGCTGTTCTAAGCACCTTACATAATTAACTAATTTAATTCTCATTGTTACATGAAAAACACCATTATTTTCCAAATTTACAAAAGAAGCAATTGAAGTACCAAGAGGAAAGAACTCCTCATAGCTAGCAAGTGACTCAGTCAGAATCTGAGCCCAAGCCCGCTTGCTACAGGGCCCTTGCTCTCAACCACCGCTCTATAGGCTCTGGAATCAGATGATAGGGCTGGAGTCCCAGCTCTGCCACTTATGAACTGTGCCACCTTTGACAAGTTGTATAATGTCATGGAGCCCTCAGCTTTCTTATTTGTGACATAGGCCTAAAATTGTTGATAGTGAGAAGTACATAAATTTTCCCCTAAAAGCTTACTGGCCAGGCAAGTAGCAAATGTGTAGTAAATGGAGGCTACTATTATGGGTCTGGAGTCCATCCAGGCTAAAGGGTGGGAATGTGGGTGGAGGGGTAGACGTGGATTTTCAAGACTTTTAAATCTTTTTAAAAATTTTTATATTTTAGAGACAGGGTTTCATCCTGTCACCCAGGCTGGAGTGCTCACAGCAGCCTCGAACTCCTGGGCTAACGTGATCCTCCAACCTTGGCCTCCTAAAGTGCTGGGATTTTAGGCTTGAGCCCCTGGGTCTGGCCCTAAATCATGTTTAGTAATTTACTTTCCTTACAGAAAATATGCATATGTTATACAAAATGCAGAAAATGCAGATAAGGATGAAGACAGCAGAGAGTCTCATAACTCCAGAAGTAAGAGATGAACACTATTAACTTTTTGATGCCTATTCTTCTGGTCTTTTTCCTATGCATATGTATACCAATATTTTTATAAAGTTGAGATTATATTGTACATTCTGTTGTATGACCTTGTCTTTTTACTTATCTATTATGAACATATTTCTATGTCATTAAATATTCTTCTACAATATCATTTAAAAATAATATATGTTCTTTTTTGTATATATATATCTGTATAGTTACACTATAATTTAAAAAATCAACTCACTATTATTGGATATTCAGGTTGTTTTCAATATTCCCTATTAGATAAGTAAATCATTGATAATTCTTGCAGTAAGTATAAGAACACAGACGTAGGCATCATTTGAGATTTTAGTCTCACATTTGAGATCTGTATTTGGGTCCCTTTCTGGCCATATATTTACTGTGTAACCTGGAACAAATTACCCTTTCTGAGTTTCGGTTTTCTTATTAGTAAGTGAGTACCAATAATATAGTAACTACTTCATGAAATTATTGCGAGAGTTAAATTGAGAGACTTAGCAAACACCCTCAATGTGTAAATGCTGGGTCAAAGGACATGTATTATTTTCAAGACAATAGGTAATAGAGCAATAGGATAAAATTGCTCTATTACCTTCCAGAAGGGTTGAGCTATTTATATCCTTGACAAGAGTGTAAGACAGTACCCATTTTCTTGGCAACTTGACAACATTAAGTATTAACATTTTTAAAACTTTGCCAACTTGATTGGCAAAAAAATACAGTGTCATTTTAATTTGCATTTCTAATCATGTGAATTTTTAATAAATGTTTACTTATGTGGGTCACATGGTCCTGCTGACCATGGAAAGAGAAGACTGATAAGTGAACAAAAATACCCAGAATGAAGGATGGCAGAGTTATAAAATATGCAGCTGATGGGGGAGACAGGGCTTGGAAGAATGACACTTTATAAGCATATAAACTGTCCCTCTAGAGACCTGAACTCAAAATTATAGGCAGTATTGTATATTGGGTTGTCTGGGAATTTGAGGCAGCCAAGATTCAATGCTTGGAAAGGAAGTTTAAGTTGGAGGACAAACAAGGGAAATGAGCCTCTTCTTTACAGGATGGTCTGCCACACGCCTCCGAACACTTTCAAGCCTGGCCCCACTCCCTACGTGGTGGGAGATCAGTTCCAACAGCCCACGTCTGAGGTGCTGTGCCCCCTACTCTCATGGTCATGGAAGGAATAGAGCAGCAGGGCAAGACTGCCATCAACCTGATGATGCAATTCCTCTGGCAGCTGACAACAACAAAGGGCAAAACAACCTCTGCCAATGAAGGAGCATAAAAACCCTGGGTGTTAGTCGTTGGCACTTCTTCATGGCTTTATTCCATGTCAGAGGAAAATAAGTTAGCAAGATGTGGAAACGGGGCTAAAATTAGCCTTCAAGATTCTATTTTACAAGACCTCTAGAGTGTCGCCCCCACACACCCACACACAAACAGTAATGAAATATATTTTCAATTTTGCCAAGCTCATCTGTTGATTGATTCCTTGCCTGAGGTCTTCTGAAATGCACTTGTTACTCTAACCTGGAAGCAGGACTGCATTTATTCATTCAGTCATGCTCGACACTCTGAATGCAGTGGTATAGAAAATATGCTCTTGTCCTGAAGATGCTCTTAGTGACCTGGGGAAACCCTCAGCCACTTGCAAGTTTTTCCAACTTAGTGCTTTAGAAAACTTACAAATACAACTCTCTCTGTATATATATATATTTTTTTTAATTATCACTGCTAGCAGGTATCAAGGAGCATTCAGTGACTCCTCCCCACTTGAAGAACCAAAGCTGATGAAAAGAAGGCCTGGTAAGGTACAGACCCTGGGTAGAAAAAGGCACTTTTCTGTTCTGAGAGGCACATACCAGCCTGGGACCTTCCTCTGCCTTGTGCTGTCTTCACTGAGTGTTTCCAGTGAACAACTCTTAGATGCCCAGGAGCTGCTCTGCTGGGTGCCACACCACTCCTCAGAACTTCCAAACAGCTCTCTCTGCTCCCACTAGGGGACATGCCCAGATATTCTCACTGCTAGGCTCTTTTTTGGGCTCCCAGGTAGCACTTCCTAAGCACCCACCTCTTGGCAGAAGAAGCCAATACATTCCCTTTAGATCTGGAGCCCATGAGAAGGAGATATTCACACTATAAAAGGAGAATCTTTAGAGGGTAACCCCAGGCATGTAATTATTATCACAAGATGTTTGAAAGCTCTGGCAGAGATTTTGACTTGCAATCGTCTGGAATCATTGCTTGGTAGACTGGGCAATTCTCCTGCAACTTTTAGGACTAATGAGCTTGGAAACAAGAGGGACACTGCCCTTGCTTTGGCATATGGGATGGTAAACAGCAGCAGGATGGACATGCTGATGGTCTAGCTTCTACAGGGCATGTAGCTATTAACTGATAGAATCAACAGCCTAACCTTGCACAACAGCCTAACCTTGCAAGGGAGAGCCCCCACCACCCGGCCTTGCTTATCTCTGCTGACCCAAGGAAGCATCTTGGGTCCCCTGTTTCCTCAAGATTTCCTCTGACTGTCCAGCCTCTCAGATCACTGATCTTGCCTGTCCTAGTTTTCTATCTTGGTACCTTCTTGTGCACCTCCAAATAACCAATCTGTCCCCATGTCTCTCTGATTTCAAATCCTAACTATCTCTCAAGTCTATTCACTTCTGATTATGTTCAGCATCATCACCCTCTTTGTAGCCAGCATCATCACTCCCCACGACTCTTGACATTTTGGTCTTCACATTTTCAGTCTTGTTCCTCTTCCATTTATTCTCCCCAGCAAGTCTGGGAGACCTTAAAATACTTCAATGGGCTTCCTATTGCTCTTAAAAAAGTCCCAAATTTCTAACATAGCCTTATGGTCCAGGTCCTTGCACATACTTTCAGCTTTTTTCTGCCTCTGTTCACTGGGCTTCCGTTAAGTTGGTGCAAAAGCAATTGCAGTTTTTGCATTGAAAGTAATGACAAAAACCACAATTGCTTTTGCGTCAACCTAATAACACCTTAGCCATAGCCATCTTTTAGTTTCTCAGACCACACTTGCTCCCTTCTCTCTCAGGCCACTCATGTTTCCCTGAGTCTAAACCACTTTCCCCATCCCCCATTTAATTCCCTGAATTGTTCAGATCTCTGCCCACAAGATGTTCATCCTCATTTCCTTGACCAGATCAGATCCCATGCATATTCTTAGCTCTCTATGTAACATGTCCATCATGGCCCTTTTCACAATTCATAAATTCATATTTACATTATCATTTAATTGATGTCTGCAGCCAGTTGGGCTCTAAAATACACAAGGGAAGAGACCAGAGTTTGCTTCTCACTATTCAGTTTCTGGCACATGTTTGTTATATAGTAGATAATCCATAAAGTACTTATTAAAAGAATGAATAAAGAAATGATTTAACAAGACCAGTTAGCTTTCTCAAGAAAACTTAAGATTTTTTTTCCCCAGAAATAAAACACAATCTATGTATGATTCTTCCTGATTTTGTCATATTGGATACTTCAGGTAACAAGATGAAAGAGGCCAGTTATCTCTGGGGTTCCATGGATTGGGAAAACAACCTGAGTTTTTACCCTTTAATGTCAATTTCATAGGTTACTGTGCTGATTTAAGGTGCATAGAGTAGGGTAACATAGTGAATGTGTTTTATTATTGACCTTTTTTTCCCCAACACCTCCTAACCTTGACCTTACTCATGAGTCCTTGTCGAAAGTTTACTCAAGGATTCCTTCAGCATCACAGGCTCATGGTCTCCTTCTTGCTGCCTCCAATCATTGGTCATTAGAAAGGTGTTTCTTGAGTGTACACACGTGTAAGAATGAACACATGTATGTGCAAAAACTGTGTATTATACTTTCATTTCCAGCGTGGAATATGACCCTCTTCACCATCCATCTACCCTAATCTTAGATTTCTAGGTCCAGCCAAAATTCTGTAAGAGTAATCGTTCCCTTTGTTGAGTAATTACAATGTGCTAAACACTGCTGAGTGCATTACATAAGTTATTTCCTTTCATACTTAGGAGTGGTGGGATGGGTATTATATTTTCTATTTGAAAAAAAAATGGGTAAGAGCATCAAAGCTCAGAGACACTGATGAACTCATTGAGGGTCATCTGGCTGGCTCTGAAAGCCACACACATACTCACTATGCCATGCTGCCTCCATTTAATCCACAAAGCATTTCTTGGTCATTTTCATTCTTATCGACTTCCTCTTCCTTTGAATTGTTATATCTCCTTCTGGCTGCAACACTCTGGATTTCATTATGCTCTGTGCAAATTTAGGGAGTCCCATGTAGATTCCCTCTGTCTCCCCAGCTGTCCTTGTGCTGCAGGAGGGTAAGGGCTGCCATATCTGCCCTTCCTCACATGGAGCCAAAGTTGGACTAAAGAACATGGGGTCTGCATAGGCCTATTTTGTAGTTGCTTACACCTACACTGTGGCATGAAGTAGTGGGAAGGAGGGGGCAGGAGTTCACCAGGAGAGCCATCTCCATGGGAGGGGTGGTGCAGGGAACGTCCTGCAACAAGTAGGCTGCCCAGTGAGTCAGCCACGCCTTTGGAAGTGTTGTGGTAGTTTTGTTTACATTTGCACATGTCCCAAACAGCTAAGTAATCATAGAAGAAGTATTGCTTCCATGGAAAGGGCAAGGACAGACCTCTGTGAAAACAAACTATATACATCTTGTCAATGGAATGGCATTCTGCAAAATAGAAAAGCATGTGCTATGTGGTGGTGAGTGTTAGAACAACAAACCGTAGCCTAGTGACGCCTCCTGAGCAGCTTGTTTTTGCTTAATTACAAGTTGCTATAGCTCTTTCCCTTACTCAATTGTGAGCCTCTCTCCTAATTGTGTCTCACAGATGCATAGTGAGGAGGTTATTCAGCTTGTATTTACATCATTACCCATCTACCATCAGAGTGTATTGCTAACTGGTTCTCCTTACAAATGCTTGTTGTGTTTGTTTTGTGTTTTTAATTTTATGTTCCACTGCTTGTCTACTTTTTCATTGTTTTTAATCCAAACTTCTACTTCAGCCTCTGCTCATGAAGTCTCCCTCTCCCGAGTCCTTTGGGCTGCAATAATCAGGTAGGTTACTTTCTCTTCCAGGCATTTAAATGAGACTCACTCCTTTGAGTCCATTTTTAGAAAAGTAGGCCAAAGTCATAAAGAACATCCTTCCTGAGTGGTGACTTTCAGGCTCATCATTAATCACCTCCTTGTGAACAACTGGGAAAGTGAATCCCATGTGACTCCAGGCAGGTATCAGGCAAAATCCTCTGCTGAGTCCTGCGAGAATATAAGTAATTTTATGGAATGTGAGCAAAATAAGTTTTCCATTTTTCTAAAGTGAGATTTCTTTTTTCCTTTTAAAATCTCAATAACTTTTGATTTTATCTTCTCAATCAATCACAGGAAATGATTCTGAGGGGTTTATATAGTCAATAGAGTAAGAGTGCTCTAGTGAGTAGGGGGCATAAAGAGGTGTCCCTAGTCCAGTGGGAAGTGTTCACAGTCTTTTCTCAGAAATAAGACCTACCTGATGAGTTGGATTTATTAAACCAGCAGTCAACGGCACAGGGGAAGGCAGTGAGCCGTGTGGACTCTTCAGTTCTAAACTGCTCTTACTTAGTTGTGACCTAGCTCCATATGATGAATTTATTATCGGTTCCAGCCCATAATAAAGAGATATTCACACTACAAAAGGAGAATCTTTAGAGGGTAACCCCGGAGTTGACATGTAATTATTATTGCAGGATGTTTGAAGGTTCTGGCGGAGATTTTGACTTGCAATCATCTGAAATCATTGCTTGGTAGACTGGGCAATTATCCTGCATCTTTTAGGAATAATGAGCTTGGAAACAAGATGGACACTGCCCTTGCTTTGGCATATGGGATTTCAAACAGCAGCAGGATGGACATGCTGAGGGTGCAGCTTCTACAGGGCACGTAGCTATTAACTGATGAGCTCAACAGCCTAACCTTGCACATTGCCATCAGGAACCAGGCCTCTCATACTGAGCCACCAACAGGAGCAGCCCCCAAAGCAGCCAACACAGTTACTGAGCACAGGAGCCTGCAGGAGTTCTCACTGTGGAGATGCCTCCCTTCACAACCTGGCCTTTCCCATCCCAATCTTTTAGGCAGAAAATAGCATCTCCCAGTCCTGTATGAACAACCATGGAGCTGCTGAATGCAAGGACGGGGCACTGTAGACAAAGTCTGCCTATTTTATTGTACTTGAGAAGTCACCCCTGGAAGAAATCTTTAACTTAATTATGACCTAGGCCAAAAACTAAAAATAAGGGGAAAGAAAGGAGCTATGCCAATATGTTTTCAGCATCTAATTTGAAAATATTGCCTTACTTTCCAGCTGTGTACAGCTTAGAGCATTCATTCATTCATTCATTTGCCATGAATCAGAGCCTGTGCTAGGCTTTAGAGATAGAGATACTCACAGGCTGAAGAGGTGGGTGGGAGTAGGCTCATGCTTGATTCTACTTCCTCTTTAGGATTTTTTTTTTTTTTTTTTTTTTTTTTTTGTCGGAATCTTGTTCTCTCGCCCAGGCTAGAGCGCAATGGCGCGATCTCGGCTCACTGCAATCTCTGCCTCCCAGGTTCAAGTGATTCTCCTGCCTCAGCCTTCCGAGTAGCTGGGACTACAGGTGCCTGCCATCGCGCCCAGCGAATTTTTTGGATTTTTAGTAGCGACAAGGTTTCATCATGTTGGCCAGGATGATCTCGATCTCCTGACCTCGTGATCCGCCCGCCTCGGCCTCCCAAAGTGTTGGGATTACAGGAATGAGCCACAGCACCCGGCCCAGGAATTTCTTTAAATAACATCACTGCAGTTCCAGTTCCAGTTTCAGTTACTTTCATTTCTGGAGGTAACTGGCTAACTGAACGAGGAAATGTTATTGTTACCCTACAGACTCAAGCTGAGTGGAGACACACACTGAACAGATGACATGCCAGCCAAACTTGCCCCAAAAGTTGGGGAGGGAAATGGTGCTCAACTGAAGGCAGCTGCTCTTGGGAGAGTCTTGACAGAGACCTCTGCAGCGATAGTGCCTGGCATCAGTGATTGACGGGGAGCCATCTGATCAACTTTTGTTTCTGAAGGAAAACCCTGAGGAAACTCACTACCATCCTCAGTGGCTGGTGGATGGATAAAGAGGTGGAAAGCAAGTTGGTAAGACTGCGGATGGTCTTTCTTTTTCTCTTTCTTTTCCTTGTTTCCTCTCTCTTTTTTTCTCTTTCTTTCTTTCTTTTCTTTCTTTCTCTGTCTCTCGCTCTGTCTTTCTTTCTTTTCTTTTCTTTTTTTTGACAGAGTCTCACTCTGTTGCCCAGGCTGGAGTGCAGTGCTGCAATTCAGGCTGACTGCAACCTCTGCCTCCCGGGTTTAAGCGATTCTCCTGCCTCAGCCTCCTGAGTAGCTGGGACTATAGGCGCCCACCACCATGCCCAGCTCATGTTTGTATTTTTAGTAGAAATGAGACTTCGTCATGTTGGCCAGGCTGGTCTCAAACTCCTGACCTCAAGTGATCCCCCCGCCTCGGCCTCCCAAAGTGCTGGGATTACAGGTGTGAGTCACCGTGCCCAGCCAGATGGTCTTTCTAACCAAACAACAGGGTAGCTGCAGGTCTCAGACCTTCTGTTTCTGCTTAACTGGTTGTAAAGAATATTCATATTGGTGGAACGAGAGGAATGAGAAGGGTGGCTGTTTGCTTTCTGTGTGTGTAACAGAGATGTAGATGGTGGCTGTGTTACATGAGAGAGGCCCAGAGGGCAGGAGAGAAGGAAGTGTCCATGCTCACTATTGCAATTTAGTGTCTTAAGATTCGTATTTTGTTAATTATTTTGCTTGGTGAAAGTGACTTAACATGTTTGAGCCATAAGAAGAGACAACCAGAAATGTGATAAAGCCAAGAAAACTATAGCAAATGATACTCTTGTGACAAGTCCTCCCCATAATGCCACACTGTTTTCCTCAAATCCCCTCAAAGCACATGGCAAAAGACAAAACTCCTGTCAACAATTTCAGCTGCAAGTGAGAATGAGAGGTTGGGAAAATTTATACAATAGTATGGTTCTCTCAGTTGTATTCTTTGGTTAAAATATTGTCTTAAACTTCAACAGGCCACACTGTTTGTTTCAGTGTGGTTGAGAAAGATGAAAAATCAAAGCCATTTCCTTTTACAAAAGCTTTCTGGAGGGCTGCTGAGGGTTACTTACCTTTGGGGGTGGCCCTTTGAAGGGAGACTGAGGAAGTGTAATGGAAGGAACCATGTGAGCATTGGCCTGTCTGAGAAGTTATCCATGCTTTCCCTACAACCCCTCACCTGCAAGACGCCTCTAAGAGCTATAAAATCTTTCCCTCCCTTCTCTCCAACAGTCACAGACAGAGATTGGCACTTCCTACAAGGCAGGCTTTCCATCATGTAGTTTGTAGATTGTGTAAGTGGTTCTGAGATGTGAAATGCTCTAAATCTCATTTCCCCATCATTTTCCAAAAGTATTTTTCTAGGTGAGATTTCTATCTCATAGATGGCATTGATATCTCAATGCAAGGACAGGAGCAACTCATGCTGCCTGCTTTGACCACCCTCCCCCACACTTCATCACCATCCCTGCCTAACCCCTGGAGCAACTGTCCCTAAAGGGCCATGGTGGTGGGGCCCCTGGCCTCAGAGCCTCCCCGCGTCCCCAGGCAGCTGTGGCAGAGCCCTGAACATCACTCCTTCGGTGATCCTTGGTCTCTCCTTCTCACCTGTATGGGAAAAGAGACTTGGGCTGAGAAATGCATTCAGATTTTTTCTGGCCTGTGGACTGTTTTCTTTCTATGGTCTGAGTGTGTAGAGTGAGCAGAAACTATGAAGAGCCATGAGCAGTTCCGGGGGAGCAGCTGCGAGCATCATGGAAGGCCTCTGCCCTGTCGGAGAAGCCGGGATCCTCTTCAGCTTGGACACTACATCAGTGACACTGGCATCTCCCCCATGCCAGGTAAAGTGGGGTGGGACCACAGGGAAGGCCGCCCTCTCCCATGCCACATCCAGGAATGTGTGTTTGGTCCCTGCTGTATACAAAGGGAGATTAGGACTAGGGGATTTGAATCTTTCAATGTTCAAGAACTTTGGAGATTATTTAATCCAGTGGTTTGCAAATGTCTTTTAGCTGTCCTTTAGCTGCAAATGTCCTTTTGCTCAGGGAAAACTATTTCAGAAGCACATTTTTGCAAGCAAAGGCAGATGTGTCTGGTTGAAGCAGCAGTAGGCTTTGGAGATAGAGATACTCACAGGCTAAAGAGGTGGGTGGGAGTAGCCTCATGAATGATTCTGCTTCCTCTTTAGGATTTTCTTTAAAATAACATCACTGCAGCTTTCAGTTAAGCCCTGGACGCTGTTCACTTAGGCCTGAGCCCAGACCCTCCAGAGCCACACAGTCCAATATGGTAGCCACTCTTGTTTTATATTTTATTTAATTTTAATTAATTTAAAGTAAGATAGCTCTATGTGAGTTAAAAATCTTTTAAATTCAGTTTCTCACACACATTATACACAATTCTAGGACCCAATAGCCATAAGTGATGAGTGGTTACCCATCAGGCAGCGTGGATATCGAACATTTCCATCATTGCAGAAAGCTCTGTTGGACAGAAGTTCTGTTGAACAGCCTCACTTTAGAGTCTAGAATTTCCTTAAGGGGACCCTGGATTCTCTTGGGCTCTGGGAAACACAGTTAGAAAAGCACTGGTAGAATCTAACACCTGAACGAGAAGAGAAGTCCACAGAAGCAGCGTGGTTTGCCAGCCACGTGGCAGGTTATTGAAGAACTAGAGCTACACCTCAGCTCTCCCACTCCACCCTACTGCACTTCTGCCTGACCCCAACCCCTAACCTAACTGTTCTCTGTTGCCTCTCCAGAATTGCCGTCCACGCTAAGCCTTTTGCCCACATCTCTACTGTTTAGAGACGGAACTGAGGTCTCAGACATCTCTGAGGTTTGAGAAGGGACATTAAATTTTATACATGTGCAATCAGCTTCAGGCACTTAATAGAGACATTTAAACTCACATCAGGCCCAAGCAGATGTAGAGGGAAATACTGTCAATTAGTGAGTGGCTAATTAATCTTTCTTTGCCACATATACTCTGGCAGGGTCTAGAAAGTGCTGTTTTGCTCAGAGCTGCAGGAGCACTTGCTATGGAAACAGTGCATGATTATAATATTGATTTCTCAACTTTGTGCAGAAGCCGGCAGTGGAGGGCAGATCTTGCCAGGAGTCACCCCACAGTTAGAAAGGAAAGGGATGAGAAAGTAGAAAAATAGCTTAATTAGTGAACCAGGGCATTTTGGGTTTTCTGCTTTGCATAGAATATGCATATTTTATCCTCATAGCATCTCCCAATTTAGGTATTTAAAAGTGATTTCCTAATCACATCTTGTTATTTTTCAATCTATGTATTATCATGTTTTTTTGCAATACACAGGTGTCCAGATTAATCAGGAGACCATTGTAGATGAGGCATCGCTCTAGGACCTGGTACCTGCTTGTGCTTTGTCCAGAACTGAGCTCAGAACTTGCCCAGTTCTACCACATGTCTGAAAACTTCTTCCTTCCTGTCCACATCATTCCGTAGTTGTCTCTGAGATATGTCTATTTACAAGAAGATACTCTGAAAAGGGCCAAGTCAGAAATGACATCTTGATGTATCCAGCCAGCCAGCAGTCTCAGTAGCCACTAAAAAATTAGGTCAGTAGTTAAAAATACTTTTACAAAGAAAAGCCCAGGCTTGGATAGTTTTATAAGAATTACACCAAACATTCAAGGAATAGTTAATAGTTCATTCAAATCTTATACAAATTCTTTCAGATAATAAAAAAAGAAAAAGAAAAACTCCTTAGCAAATATGTGAGATAAATATAAACACAATATGAAATTCACATAGAGATAATTCGAGACAGGAAAAATGATTTACTCATGAACATAAATGCAAAAATCCTTTAAAAATATTGGCAAACTGAATCCAAGAATATGTGAAAAATATAACACACCATGATAAATTTGCATCATCCTATAAATGCAAAATATATTTTGTATTAAAAAATCTAGTTTAGTTCATGAAATTAACAAATTAAATAATTATTTCAATACTATTAGATAAACTTTAAACATATGTGGTCTCCTAGCTCTCCAAAGACCTCATACTAAAATAATAGTTCTTCTTAATAGAAGGAGCAAGGAATTATTGTTCCCAAATGTTTTTACACACCTCCCCGCTATGAGAGAAGTGTACTTCCTGGTTGGCTGACATCCAGCCTGGGCCATGTGACTTGCTCTGCCAGGAGTAGCAGGAAAGCAGAAATGATGTCTATTAAGTCTTGAAAGAGGCTTTAAGAGCTAATACACTCTTCTCCCACATCCCCTCCTCAAGGGTCTCACTCCTAAATAAATGTTACTTTTTCAACTTCCATCCCAGAATAAAAAAGCATGTGGAGCAGAAATGGAACAGAGTAGAGGCCAGCTCAGTTTCCATGTTATAAAACCAAATAGACATCTTTGTTGCAGTAAGCCCCCATGATCTGGATGTTGTTTGCTATCACAATATAACTTACTCTGTGATGATTGCTATTTTAAAAAGAGTACCTACCAAAAATTTGTAGCGCAAACCATACTTACTAATAAAAAATTAACCTTACTCCCTTTAAAATAAAAAACAACAGTGATGCCTTTGATTCAACATTGTGCAGTAAGATAAGGAAAAATAAAATGTAGGAATTATAAAAGGAAATACTAAGCTTTGGTTATTTGCAGGTAATATGATTGTTTATATAGAAACTCCTCAAGAATATGGACATAATTTAACAAAACAGAGCACCTAAAATACCAACAAAATCATAATACATCCAGGAATAAATCTAACAAAATTTGTGCAAGACTTCTTTGAAATTATATATGTTATTAAAATACATTAAAGTAAACGTAAATAAATGCATATATTATTTATCTATTTATTTATTTATTATTATTATTTTTTTTTGAGATGAGGTCTCACTATGTTGCCCAGGTTGGTCTCGAACTCCTGGGCTCAAGTGATCTGTTCACCTTGGCCTCCCAAAATGCTGGGATTACAAGCATGAGCCACCACACCTGGCCTTATATTTATTTTGTATACATATAATATTTGTGATAGAAGGACACAATATATTAAAAGTTTGGTCATTCTCTTCAAATTGCTCTATAAATAAAATGCAATTCCTTTCAAATTCAATCCAGAGCTGTTTGCAGAACTTGATAAGCAGATTCTAAAATTTTTATGGAAAAATGAAGCACAAGAATAGCTGAAACACCCCTGTAGAGGATGAACAGGATGAGGCGAGCTGTTTTGCCAGTTTTCATTGCCCTGTGTATATAATAAAGCTTTGATTAATTAAGAGAGCATAATATGGCACAGGAACATAGGATAGACCAGTGGATCAGCACAGAGCGTGTAGAAACAAGCCCACACATAAAATGAAATCTAGTATATAACTGGAATGTCACTGCGGATCAGTAAGAATGGGTTGCTCAATAAATGATGCTATGATCATTTGTTTTCTATATGGACAACAACAACACAAAAAAGAATACACAAAAATAAATAAAAGGGAAAAAGATTTAGATATGGAAACCACAAACTTAAGACTTTGGGGAAAAATATAGAATATTTCTATGATCTTGGAGCAGGAAAAAAATGATGAAAACAAGACCCGAAAAGCACAAATATAAATGAAAAGATAAGAAAGTTAACTGAGTTAAAATTAATAACACTTCTTAATCAAAAGATTCCTAAATGCAAAGATAAGCAAAAAGGAAAAGTCTGCCTCCCCCAAAAGCAGTGGTAAAACATAGGAATAAACACTTCACAGAAGAGTCAGCCCAAATAGCTATTAAATAAATGAAAAATGTTCAACCTTTTAAATAATGAAGATGTTGCAAGATAAAACCACAATAAGTTAAAGTTTTATACTAAAATGTTGGTAAGGATGGAGATCACTGCAAAACAAACTGTATATATATATATATATATATATATATATATATATATATATATATATATATATATGCTATGTAGCTTTCTACAACCACTCTGTATAACAATTTGGTCATAGTAAAGTAAAAATATGCATATCCTATGACCAGGAAATCTCACACACACACACACACAAAATGCACATGCTTATGTGTACACACAATCCCTAAAAATACCCTTGAACAGGGGCACCCAGAGATATGTACAAGTATATTCATAGAACCATTATGTGTGCTTAGCTACTATTACAACCATTAACACGGTTGAAGCCCGCAAACAAAAAATTAATGAAAAAGCAAGATGCAGGATACACATACTATGGTTTATATAAAGATCAAAAAATAACAAAAGTATACTGCATATGGTTGAGAATAGCCAGGGCTGACTATATAATTTTTAGGCTCAGGGCAAAATGAAAATGTGGGATCCCTTTGTTCCAAAAGCAGGGGAAAAGCTTTTATCTTTCTTTCATGGTCTATCTCTGTAGGATAATGGCCATAGTATCTTGATAATTCATAGAAAAAAAAACTATATTAACTCTAAACATTTGAAAAAGCACTCAACTTACAAAATACACAAAGAAACCATTTTTAACCCATTGGATTGACAAATAGAAAAAATTGATAACACACTCTCTTACCAAGACACTCTCAAATAGTGCTAATGGAGAAATGAAAGGACACAGCCATTTTCAATAATAATTTGTCAATATCTTTCAAAATTTCACATCAAATACTCTTTGATTCTATGGGAACTTCTCCTATATGTTTGAAATTATACATGTAAAAGGATGTTAATTGCAGCATTTTATAATTCCAAAAGATTGGAAATACCCTAACTAGCCTAAAGCAAGAGAGAGGTCATATCTGGGTCTTTGGAAGGATAATGGAATGATATGTTATGCAACCATTAAAATATTGAGGTAGGTCTGTCTGTGCTAATAAATGATCACCAACATATATTGTTGAGTGAAAAAATAAAAAGAATTCTTTGCAAAAGAATATGACTAATATGGTATCATATTTGTTGGAGAGTAAAGAGTGAGGGGAGAGACAGACAGAGAATATATATTTGTTCATATATGTGTACTATGGTTTGATGTTTGTGACTCTCCAAATTCATGCTGGAAGTCCCCAGTGCAACACTATTAAGAGGTGGGTCCTTTAGGAGATGACTTATTAAAGATTAGTGTGCCTATGAAAGTGATTGAGGGAGAGAGTTCACCCTTTTTGCCCTTCTACCATATGGGGACACAGAAGGGAGACACCCTCTTGGAAGGAGAGAGCAAGCCTTTACCGGACACTATAGCTGCCGACACTTTGGTGTTGGACTTCCCAGACTCTGGAATGGTGAGAAATAAATTTCTGTGGTTTATAAATTACCCAGTCTAAGGTATTCTGTCATAGCAACCAGAGTAGACTAAGACAACATACATCTTCTGGAATGATAGAGTAGGTAACAGTAATTGCTCTTTAGGAAGGAAACTAGGACTTTAAAAAACACTTTGCGCACTTAACATTTTAATTTGTGTGCACGCACTACTTTTTAAAAAATAATATTTTAAAAAGTGGAAGCTTACATTATGAGTTTACATTATTGCCAGTTTATTATCAATGAAAAGCTACAATATTATTTCAACTACAGATAATTATTAAGAAATAAAAGGACCCCAGTGTGCCTGCTGAACAAAGAGAGAAGGACATTTTGGAGACCATAAAACATTCTACATTGGCTTTTGATGTGTCTGAAGTGAAACATACATACTTCCCAGAGAAAGGTAGTAAAACAACCTGTAAACTTAAAGAGAAAGAAAAAAAAGCCCACAAAGCTCTTCTTTTTACATACGTTGTTTTCCTGGTAAAATATGCTAGTGATCTAATCACCTAGTATATTTTGAGTACCCACCATGTACTACACGCTGTGTTAGAGTGTGAGAAAGGGTGTCTATAAAGGAGAGTAGGGCATAGTCCCTACCCTCCGATCTAATTAGGAAGACAGGCCACACAAGAAGCACTATTGTTCTATCTCTAAAAGGTTCCATTTAGGCACGTGATCTATGACCACCTCTAACTTTATTTTAAAATTCTAATTAGCAAATAATACAAGACGATATAGTTTTAAGAGTGTTGGAGTATGGGTCTTAGTGCTGCAGAAATTTCACAACAGGGAGAGTGTGGAGACTGGAATAATGGAAAATAACCTATTCTGGTAGGGACAGCTGATATGGACAGATGGATGGGATTTGGCTTATCTGGAGGACTATCTTGCTATTGCAGTTTTTCTCCATCTTCACACTGTAAGATGTCTTTCCTCCTCTGTTTACAGCATGGCTCCTGTTACAGCCTTCCGTTGTTCAGCTCAAACAACATCGGTCTTGACAGTGGAGAGTAAATGTGAAAGTTGGAAAGTAGCAACAGGCATAAATAAATATGCAGGCTTATCGTCATTTTATATTTATTTTGGAACCCTTAGTAAAGAAGGCTTGCATGGGCCTCTTTTCGTTCAGTAAGTTGAAAAGTAAAAACAGTCAGGTAGACAGACCTGACTTAATGTTGATCATCCCCATCGCTTATGAGCTGTGTAAACTTGGGCAAGTCATTGGGCTACAGCTTACTAACCAAAAAGTAGGGAAAATAACCACTGTGTAGTGTTATTATGAAGATTACATGAGACAAAGGTAAAGAATATATATTAGATACCTAATAAATCAAAGCCATTCACTTTTATTATTGTTCCAAATCCAAGTTGCTTCTTTCTTCCCCAGGTCATTAGGTCCGGGTCTTAGATTCCCCTATCAGGATCTCCTCATCCATAGATCAGCACACGGCCCTAGGCCTGCCTAACATCTCTTAAGGTTAATCCTTTCATTTTCAACTTACATTAATAATAATACTAATAATTACAACTACTCTTTATTGATTACCTCCTATCAGCCAGGCACTATGTGCTAATCAGCCTGCATAAATTAATACAATAAAACCCTTCTGCTATGAGTTTCTTAAAACATTTAACTCACCATTTATGCTTTCTTTATCATAGACAGCAAAACTGAAAAGTAATTTGTTCTAAATCACCTTATAATAAAAAAAAATCCAAAATTATTTTATATGTCTAGCTGGGCATTGTACAAAAGAAATTGGCAAAATATAATTCCTGTCACTAAAATTTACTACTTGAGGAAGGCAAATCAATATCTTATACACTGAGGATAGACCTATAATTATGATCTGCAACAGCCAGAATCAATCTTGCAGAGATGTCAAAAAAGAAAAGAAAAAGACAGAATATGTAAAATTTCCATTAACAGAAATCTAACTAATTATACAGTAAAATAAAACTCCCTTTCTCATCTTCTCTTCATTTTCTAGTCTCTATTCTTAGAACGAAACACACACACACACACACACACACACACACACACACACACACACGCAAAACAAAAAAACAAAGGATAACAAAACTTCTCGTCAGGGATGTAGACGATGTTGTTGATGCTGTTTGAATTCTGGGGATGTGCTGATGGGTGGCTGTCTTAGGGGGATAGTGACTGACAGAAAGTTGCCAACAGACAGAGGCAAAGAATACACATTCCTTTCCTTTAAAGGATTCAAGCAAGAACTTTGCCGCAATAAGAGTGGAGCACAGGGCGGGAGGTCCGGCAGCAAGCTGATGTTTGAAGACGTGGTCTCCTTAGCCCCACATTTCCCATACCAGGGAATGAACGGCAGAGGATACCACCACATGAGGCTGACCATTTGCTCAGTGTCCTTCCAGACTGTATCTGGGTCCTCCTGGGTTCGGGGGGGAAGCAGGCTTTGGGGAGGTGTCTTTTTACCTGTGCGGCACTTCTTTACAGTTTCAAGAGAGGGAAGTAGAAATTTTTGCTATGAGTCCACTGCTTCTGGTGGACTTAATAGTTTGCTACACAGAGCAAACTATTATTCGACTGTATGAGAATAAGAATGCATTTTGCCCTAGGGATAATTATATGCTTCTTTCATCTGCTTAAGAGCTAGTATGAGTCAGTCCTGCTCATTGCTGGGTAGAGGATACAAACTGTATTGAAGTAGTCAATCCAGGAGTCTCTGAGGTCTGGCCACCCCAAATAGGATCACACTTCCATTCTGCTTGAAGTCCAGTTCTCACTGCTAAACTTAGCAACATTCAAGACTGAAAGATACAGTTGAACAGGTTATGCACTGCACAATTCTAGGGGACCTGCTGTTTTATTATGGCCCTGGATTCTTCTCAGACTCCTATTCTTCTGCCTACCCTGTGATTGCTTAATTCCATCTCAACAGGTTAGGATATGTGTTAGTCCGTTCTCACGCTGCTGGTAAAGACATACTCAAGACTGGGTAATTTATAAATAAAAAGAGGTTTAATGGACTTACAGTTTCACATCGTTGGGGAGGCCTCACAATCATGGCGGAAGGCAAAAGGCATGTCTTATGTGGCAGGAGGTAAGAGAGAGAATGAGAACCAAGCAAAAAGGGTTTCTCCTTATAAAACCATCATGTCTCGTTAGACTTATTCACTACCATGAGAACAGTATGGGGGAAATCACCCCCATGATTCAATTATCTCCCACTGGGTCCCTCCCACAACACACAGGAATTATGGGAGCTACAATTCAAGATGAGATTTGGGTGGGGACACAACCAAACCATATCAGGATAATAATCAAAAGCACTGTAAGATCTCAGTGATCAAACGTGAGTAAGACCTATTCCCTATTTTCTACTTTATTCAGGTAGAAAATAGATAAACACAATAAATACCATGTTCTAGGATCTTAAAACAAGATGTGAAAGAAAAAGTATCTCTGCTTTACAAAAAAAAATTGATTCCACAAATTCAATTTATTTGGGGTTTTGCATTTTACAATTTTAATATCCTATTGTAATCACTGCAAAGGAAAATAGACTCTGTCTCTTGCCTGTCTCCTCACTTCATCATCCTTTCCACACTGGAAAATTTTTTTATGAGGTTTTCTTTCAGCAAGAGTTGGCTCAATTTTAAGTATGTGAATCAAGAACCTGTTAGCCTAAAGTGAATTGTGGTTTGGGAGGTTAATTTGTAATTCATGTCTCTCTCCTGATAATGCAGGAAGGTATGAATAAAGATTATACAGGGCACACACAGTATTAATACATTTTAAGCAAAAATGCAGATTGCATTGAATTAAGAGGGATTCAGCTATGCCTCTCTCAGGCTGGGATTATTACCCTTTCCTCAGATTGCTATTAGATTAGCTAGTCTAATGTCCCTGATTCCAAAATACAAGTGGTAATTAATCTCATACCCATTTATTTGAAAACCTACAGCAAAAGCAGAGGTTAAAGCCTTACGCATTTCATGAAAGACTAATATTGAATTAGAATTACATTATTTACTACAACACTCTGGTGTGAGCAGCAAAATTTCCATGTGGGGCTACAGTTCTTTTTTCTCAGATTTCTCAAGTTCAGATAACACAATCTATTTTATCTCAGTGTCTCTCACCAACTCTTTCCCCATTGAGAGTATATTAAACAGACTTCTCATCCAGGGAAGGAAAAGGTTCAAGGACTGAACACCTTGAGTGGGAGGAAATAACAATTGAACCAATTAGCCCTTTTATAACCTCCCTCTAGTTTGAAGACAGGTTTTGTTCTGACTTCTTTATACTGAGAAATTTTTTATACATGGTAATCATTATTCTATAATTACATTAAATGCCAGCTTCTGTGATCTCTCTTGAACCCCATAAAGCTGTAAAGCAATCCACCTAGGCCATGATGAACTTTCTAAATTAGACACAATATACTGATTTAATGTGAATATAGCTAAAGCTCAGTGGGGGTGGCTGATCATATTTGGTTATAAATGTTAACAAATGAGCAAAGAAGGCTTTAGTAACTGCTCTTTCTCTTTTTCATACACACACACACACACACACACACACCCCTTTCACTAGCTAAATTGCTCTCAAGTATAATTTTCAAAATGATGAAAATCATGACTCATATCAATTGAACACAAGTCAAAAATTTTGTTTATCTCTTTATTTAAAGGGTAAACCAATAAGATGTTAATGGAGAGTTTGAAGAATTCAAAGACCGAGCAATCAGAGATATTTAAATGTATTTGCTAATAAACGCAAAGCTGGTTAATAAGCTCAAAGGTAATAAAATGTAATGTTTGGCATAATCTTTCCACAGGCCAGAAATCATGTATATCCTTACCAGACAAAATCCATTTACATTGCTAAGAATAAGAATTATATACACTTCTCTCATTTTCTACAACTTAATTCCACCTCGACAGAGCTCAAAAATAGCCCAGTCAAAAGAAACCAACCAAAGGGTGCAACCTCTATAGATTCCAATGTCCAGCATTCCCAGAGTGAAGACAGTAAACCAAAACTAAAATCCTAAGCCCTCCCCAACTGATCAAATGGACACCCTCTTGGTCAAGAGGACCCCGGAGAAACCTGAGAAATGGAATTCCTGATCATGATGGGAAGGGAGGTTAGACACGCCCTGTTATGCCCTCTTCCTTTTGGAGTTTAGGAAGAACTGACCAGCATTAACATTAAAATAGAGATTATAAGACTGGCAAAACAGACTCTTTGTGGCAATAAGATACCAAATTCCAACCTGACTATGGTAGAGCACCACATGACAGATAGTAGGCCCTGAAGGAAATCAAAATATTTTACCCCATATATATTTCTTTGACATATGTTGAAATGGCCCTGTAAAGCCATCTTTTGTGGGGGAAATTTGCATCTGTAGAGAATCTTCATTAATATAGTCAAGGCTTTCCCAGACCTGGGAGAGATTTGCTAAGAGTCTGGCACCTTTTACCACTGAAAAGTAAGTATTTACCATTTATTCTTTCTGAAGGCTGTTACCTGGATGCTTCATCTACATAACAAGAATCTTGGCTTCCACAATCCCTCCTCATCTTAACTCAAGCATTTCTTTGTATTGACTTCAAGTCTTCAAACAAAGCTTAACTCTTTCAACCAATTACCAATCAGAAAATCTTTGAATCTGCCTATGATCTGGGAGCTCCACCTGCTTCAAAATATCCCACTTCTTTAGGCTGAACCAATGTATACCTTTCATGTATTGGTTTATGATGTTACCTACAATTCCTGTCCCCTAAAATGTATAAAACCAGCCTGTAACCTGACTACCTCAGGCACACTTTCTCAGTACCTCTTGAGACTATTCCCCAGGCCATAGTCACTCACATTGGCTCAGAATAAACCTCTTTAAATATTTTACAGAATTTTTTTATTTTGCTTTTTCCCCCTTGTCAACAACACTTAGCTATCTCTTTTGCCCATTTCTAAGAAGGATCATTTTTCTGGCAGTCAGCTAAAGCCAACTAGTCATATTGTGATTTCAGAGGAAGAGAAAAAGTAGTTGGAGGAAAAATCAGGTGGATCAAATCCACACGTGCCTGGGCTAAGTAAAGCAAAGACTGAAATTCAGGAACATTCAGAATCCTACAAATTTAGAGCTAGATAGGGCTTTAGAGATCACCTAAGACTTTCAGTTTACAGAAAATAAGTCTTAGACTGCCTTCTTGGCAATCGAAAGAGGATGTTAAACCACTGCTCAGGGTCCTTAGGCTTCTGGAGTCTGCCTCAGGAAACTTATTGCCTCCTTGGTATAAAGAATTTCCTTTTTCCTTCCTCATTCACACTCTGTGCTACCTATGAAATGTTTCATCTTTTATTGAGGAATAATCAGAATCACAATGCACAGAAAATGTATCATTTATTAGGTTAATATATCTCTTTTTAACCATGAATGCACACTCTAAAATTTTTCTTAGAGAGGAGTAGGATATTTAAAATGGTTTTTAAAGTAAACATTTTTGTATTTCAAATAAATGACATGGAATAGTATGGAAAAAATAGCTTTATAGGTGGGTAATAGGATTCAAACATCAAACTATGTCTTTGACCAGAGAGAGGAATAACCTCTACACCTTGGTGCCCCCACTCCCAAGTTCAGGTCCTAGATCTTTGGAACAATTTTGTTGGGTTGGCAATCCAGCATTTGTCTATATCCTAAACAGAGAAACTAGTCCCCAAAACTGTCATATAATTGAAAAGAACAAAATGCTCAGGAAAAATAAAACATCTCATTTTCATTTCTGTTTTATCTTTTATTTCCAAAAGGAGTGCTCTTTAAAATTTATCTTTTCCCACATATTTTTATGTATAACTCACTCAGATCTGGGGATCTGGGGTAGTGTCTATATTACCAACTCCTGCACATTCAATAATGATTAAACACAGAATCGTGTAGCTCTGTGTCATTATATGTATGTTATGTAATTGGTAGATTAAAGATATTTATTAATTAAAATTATATTGATGCCAGTAGGAACAAGCAGCTTCTCAAAATTTATAGCTCATAAAAAGTCAAATTCTGATTACTATAATTATTTCTTTCAAAATGTAAAGTACACGAATTATTCACATAAATGAGTGAAAAACAGAAAAAAGCAGCGGAAAATGAACCTTATTTTTCATCTTGACATTGTCTTCAAGTCTTAGGCTAAATTGCTATTATTTCATTTTGTGAAATTGAGCTCACGTCTGTCAATACTTTAGAGGTGTGAATAGAATGAACAAAGCTGAGTGGTCACCCCAAATTCAATTTGGAAACTTCATGAGGAGAAATATTTATGTAAATATAGAGTTCTGAAGGAGCTGATGTTTGTTTCTTGGGTATTTTGAGCGTTTCTTTCTGAACACCTCTCATTATGTCTACATCCGTTGCTCCCACCACCCTCATCCACAATAATTATTACGAAGAACAAAGAACTGAAGCCTGCCTTCCTGTCACAGCATTCACCATCTTAATACCTTGCTTTTAGAGAGGGATTTTCATTTGCACAGCACTTTCCATAAGGTTCTGTCCTTGGAGCTTCACAGCTAGCCTCCCTGGGAGATAAGGTAGGTATTGCCAACTCCCTACAGGGGAGCTGAGCTGTTCAGGGACTGCACAAGGCCACATTTCCAGGAAATAATAGAGCTGGAAGTTCAGCCCATGTCTTCTCATTTCAAATCTTACATCCTTATCAGAAATTGTCATTGAAAATGATTAAATTGTGAATAAATATTTGTGACTGTTAGCATTCTCTAGCCTTGGTTTTTATGATAAGTTCCAGGGATCAATACTTGCTAGCTATAGGCTCACCACAGAAAACAGTGCAGTTGTTTTACCCCTAAAATGCAGTAAAGCATGCACACAAAAAATGGAATAATTCTTAATGGAGAAGATATTCCACCCCACTAGGGATAGATAACCCATTCATTGCCACAGAAATGCAGTTTGTTCCAAATTTAGTTAGTAAATTCAAATAATTTCTTTCAACTGCTAAGGAAAACTCAACTAAGCAAGACCATAAAGCCATGTTTTTTGCCTGAGAAGAAAAGAGCCCGATTAAAAGAAAACGAAAATATAAAGGGGAACACAAAATGTGAACTTACATTGTTCAAATATTGGCACTATCAGAGGTTAGATTCATAAGAGAGGAAACCTTAGCGTACTAGGAAAGCAACACAACGTTTCTTCTTCTCCATTACATCTGAGGTAATAAGAAACGCTGATCCTGAGACATCAGACCGACAATCACCCACAAATTGCTCTTGACTACCCAGCAGGGACAAAATAATATTAATTTTATAATACAGCAAGTAAATGTCTTCCTTAGGAAACAAAGTAAGGTTCTAGGGACAACCCTCTTCTGTTGCTTTTACTTCTAAAGGTAGCAATCCTGTTCATCTGAAAGGTACATGGACAAACAATCTAATTACCTTCTGGGTACTCCAACTCCAGAAGTAGCCACTTGTGACTCAAACCCAGAATTAAAATAAGTTTTCTGGCTTTTACAGCTGCTGTTTCCAGAGTATGTCTTTTGCCCTTATGTGAAACATCAAAGCACATTGCTTGCCATACAGTGCTTTGAATGAAAATACCATTAAATGATTATGTTTCAATGTCAGAATTATGACTTTATATTTTAATTTTCATTTTTTTCTCAGTTCTTTGCTTCATCTTGAGGATATTGTGTTTGTTAGGCTCTTTCAGATGCAAAAAATAGAAACGGGTGCGGGTTCCTTTAGTTAAGGGAATACGAAGAAAAGTATGAAAAACAGGATGCTCTCTCCAAAGCACAGAGTTAGGGGTCACAGAGAATTGCGGCACTGTTCATAGCATGCGGCCTACGACACCAGCTCTGATAGTTTGTCAATAGCTTAAGGGCATAAACAGATTTTTTTTTTTCTGGGCCAAGCTTATGTTTCAGTTCCTGCGCTGCTTTTTATCCAACTGCTTCTTTTTGCTACTTTTATATCAACTTTCTTCTTCTCTTCCCCTTCTACTCTTCATGCTTCCTACTCTTCATACTTTCTGCTTTCTCAGGGCTCTGGTGCTTCACAGCCTCTGCACACTGTCTTCATGTTTTGTCTCTCCAAGCCTGAGTCACTCTGCACCCTGCTGACTTCATAGGTGTTTCATTCAAACTCCCCTGAAAAGACCCTGTCCAAGCCTGCTAGCTCTTATGCATATGGCAAGTTGTTGTGCAAAGCTGTTGTGCCAGGCACCCGGAGGGTCCCCCTCAGCCAGCTCACAGATGGTAGAGACCTAGCCCTGGTCTAGTCTGCTGAGGCAAAAGGAGCAAGGACATAGAATAAAACATGGTGACCCATATTAAAGGAGACACTCAGAAGAGAGGCTAGGGTGGGTACATTACTTGGACATCTCAGAAGAGACTGGTGAGATCTACAGGTAAGAATGTCCTCTCGAATATTCTTCTATCCCAAATTGTATTACTTCAAGATTTTGATGAAGATAGAGATGAGGCCAAGGCAATCTTATGTGATAATTCTGAATGTGATTTTTCACCTAAATATGAACTAACCCCTAAAAGAGGAAAAAGTCTCAGAAGGTTGACTCCCTGCAATAAGAAAAAGTTGGCATTCCAGGGAAAAGGCAAATAGTTATTACTTTTGTAATGTGCTGCATGATGAAGCAAGTATTCAGTTCAACCAGCAATTAATCAGGTTGCCAACAATCTGCAGTACCCCTTTAAGATGGCATGATATAGCCACAGACTAGGGCCATTGTGTACACACTAAGGCCAAGCTATAAATTCATCTCAGACACATGTTTTCAAGCATTCCTTCATACCTATACTCACATTCACTAAGGTTACCAGTTTCAATAAAAAATGGATCTATTAATAAAAATTGATCAGAAATATACCTATATGAAATGGGACATATACCAATCACTATAATCAAATATCACTTTATATGTTACATTAAGTTGTAAAGCTTTTTTTTTTTTTTGAGACAGTCTCACTCTGTCACCCAGGCTGGAGTGTAGTAGCGCAATCTCAGCCCACTGCAAACTCTGCCTCCCTGGTTCAAGCGATGCTCTTGCCTCAGCCTCCTGAGTAGGTGGGACTACAGGCCCGTGCCACCACACCCAGCTAATATAGTAGAGATGGAGTTTGCCCATGTTGGCCAGGCTGGTCTCAAACTCCTGACCTCAAGCAATCCGCCTGCTTCAGACTCCCAAAGTGCTGAGATTATGGATGTGAGCCACCTGGCCCAGCCAAGCTGTATAGCTTTTTACATTTTAAAAATTTTCCCCAAACTCATCTTTGACTTCTAAATTAGGAAAATGTATATATATTTTTAAAAGTGAAGGTCACATCTTACTGAATGTATACTTTAGCCTGTTGTGTTCCTTGATCCATAGATTACTCATGACTCTAACTTTGTTTTCCCTACGCAGTCCTTTAACATTGAAGTTGAAAAAAAAAATTGACCTGGTTTCTAAAAATGTATAGTAGCAATTTCTTTGCTGGGGGGAAAAAAAGAACAAAAACATTTCTACCTAACAATAGGTATTGTTCTCTTATGGGAAGTAAAACGTCATGTCCAAAGCATCAATTCCCTTATTTAAAAATGGAGAAAATTCTTCATTCCTGATGACAACATTTAAATTAAATTATTTCATCAAAATCAGGTGATTTCTCAAAGCACTCAGAGCACAATATCTGACTTTGCAAAAGGAAATCACCTCACTATATATTTGTAGGCTCTTGGGTCAATATAATGAAAAGTAATTGTATTGAATACCAGAATTCTAAAATAATTGTTTAAAAATAGAAATACGACTTATATCCCCCCAAATTTATTACCATTTCCCTCAGGAATTTAGAATCCATTTATATTTTTCAAGTCTTAATAACCAAAAATAATTTTTTAAAGATCACTAGAAGATACTGGGAAGATGAAAGTTAGATAAAATACTGCTTATATCATGAGTTTATAAAAAGATGTTCGATACTATTCAGCACTTCTGCACTGCCAGGCTGGTAGACAATGCTACTTGGAAATCAGACCTATAGTTATCAATTGCAACGGGTTAAATGGTGGCTCCTCCAAAAGATATGCACATTATCTAAAACTTCAAGCTTGTAAATGGTACCTTATTTGGAAACAGTGGTCTTTGCAGACATAATTAAGTTAATCATCTCCAGATGAGATCTTTCTACATTATCCAAGTGGGCCTTAAAGCCAATGAGACGTGTCCTTATAAGAGAAGAAGGAAGATACAGAGAGAAGAGAAGGCCGTGTGAAGACAAAGTCAGAGATGAGGGTGATGCTGCCACAAGCCAAGAAATGCTGACAGTCACCAGAAGCCGGAAGAGGCAAGGAAGGATTGTCCCCTAGAGTCTCTGGAGACTGTGGCCCTGCTAGTGACTTGATTTTGGACTTCTAGCCTCCAGAACTGTGAGAGAATACATGTCTGTTGCTTTAAGCCACTCAGTTTGTGGTCATTTGATGTAGCAGCCACAGGAAGCTAATACACCAACCCTTCTGCACAGACTGGAGGCCTGTTTTGAGGCACTAGAAACCCTAGAATGTAGTACCCAGGGAGCAAATTAAAGATGAGTACATTGCACAGGACTACCGTATGTGAAAATACCCATGCACAGCTCATATCACAACAGCAAAATAGAAAATCTATATTATCAGAAACAGTCCTTGCCTACATCAGAACCTTATATAGAGGACACATCATACAAATCAAACTCTTAGAGACAAACAAGAAGCAGTTTAGATTAGAAGTTTCTGAAACCACATTCCCACGAAGAATAAATCCAAAACTTTTCAGCACAGCAGACTTCCAAATCATTCATTCTACAATTCAAGGAACTTTTTATGAATGGTTATTTTGTCCAGGTAGGGTGCTGGGTGCTGGAAATACAAAGTGAATGATATATAATGTAGGCACCCCAAGAGTGTATCATCTACTGGCATAGACAGACAAGTAAATTACAATGTAATGCAATTACAATACAATGTGGTAAGTAGATATTAAATTTGTTATAGAAGCACATGGCAGGACATCTAAACCAGACCTGGTTGTGGAAGGCATTTTAGAGGAAGTGACATTTGAGTACAGTTTTTTTTTAAAGCAGAATTATGACTTGAGGATAGGTAATGATATTCCAACACGAGTAGGAATATCCTCAGATGGGATGTGCCGACCAACCTTAAAATGGCCATGTATGTTCCCATCATGGTAAGTCCCCAAAAAGGGTTCTGACATCAGAGATAGTATCAATGTGATTCTCTGCATTGTTTAGACAGTAGAATAAAGTATACTTTAGAGACTGCTCCTGCTCTAACACTTTTTCACTTCCGGGATCCCAGAGTTCCTATAAAAGAGCTAGTGCTGTTTAGTTTTAGTGACTCAATTCCATTGTACTTATTGACCACCTATCAAGTGAAGTTTTGACCATGCTTAGCTGTTGGTAGTTTATTTGCTATTACTATTACTATTATTTACTAGAATTACTTAGGTAAATAAGACCCAGTCCATCCTTGTAGAAAGCTTAGAATATTGTAAGCATGAAGGTGAAAATATTGCTTTAGACTCATAAACCAAGCATGAAATGCTACAGATCGTCACAGAAGGAAAAGATTATATCTAACAGAAAAGAATCAAAGACAGCAGGATGAAGTAGATGGCCTTTGTAAAGGACCTTGAATAATGGCTAGGATGATGAAAGATGTTGGAAGTAATGTCTTTTTATGGCACTATGTTTTATATTTAGTTTCACGTTTGCTAATTCTTTATTAAGATCCAACTTGCCTTTTATAAACTTTTTTGTAGAATTAATCTTACACACTCCTCAGCTTTAGTCATTTGGTATAATGACATTTGGCCTGTGAATAGGCAATCATTCATTGGCTGCGAAGTGAGACAGAAAGCAAAAACTTCTGCCAGAAAGAAATCTTCTCTCTATGATCCAAGGAGTCTATCACCAGTTCTTAAAGTTCCAGCATCAAAGACATTGCTTTGATTTATATCAGCATAGTATGTCCCCTTTTCCATTTCTAATAGTTACACTTTTTATTTGTTATGTCTCTGATTTTTCTTGATCAGTCTTATCAGAAATTTGGCTATTATATTAATCTTTCCAGAGAACTGTTTTTGTTTTGCTGATCTTCTCCATTTGTTTTCTGTTTTAAATCATTTGTGCTGTTATTTGAAAATAATTTTTATTGTATTTCCTTTGGTTTTATTCTTTTATAACGTGACTTCTTGATATGAGCACCTAGCTCATTTAGTTTCTGCTTTTCCTTTTCTGCTACCAGCATTGTCTGTACGTATTCCTTTAAACATTACTTTTTCTTCCTCCTGGAAGATTTTGCTATCATTTAGATATAAGTATTTTCAAATTTCATTTCCTAATACACATGGTTATTTAAAAGCGTTTGTCAAGAACAGTGAAGGGTCTGAGATTTCATCCTACTTACAAGCTTATGAGCTAGTCTGCTAGAATGCTAGATGCTGGCAAAAGCCATGAGACGCCTGGGTCAGAGACAAAGGAGGGCTTATTATTCACAGCAGTAATTGTATCCAGAATATCTGCAATTGAGCCAGTTCCCTGAACCCCAATTCTCTTAGGCCAATACAAAAAGGGCCAGGTGATGCCTCCATATGCAGTGGGTTACATTACAGCCGTGGAACCCTGAGCTTAGAAAACCCAAATATTTTGTATTGGGCTGCTGAATCTTTGCCTCAAAGAAAGGCATTTTCCTTATTTTATTGTGCCATAATATAAACAACTTGGCCTTTGCTCTGGAGGGAGACGCTATATTTTCCAAGGCTGTTTTTCACTATGCAAATATCCATGAAAAGATATTCCAGAAGAAAGGCAGTCAGTGCCTATGCTCTCAAGACACAAAGAAACAAAAGAGACCCATAGAGAATTGTCTCCCAATATCAAGTTTTAGAATTTCCAAATTATAAAGTTTTAAGTTTTTGTCATTGCTCTTGATTTTTAAAATCTAATTAAAAATCATCATGATCATGATTGTAATTCTTTGAAATTTGATGAGAATTGCTTTATGACCTAGTATATGGATAATATTTAGAATTTTTCCGCATATATTCGGAAAGAATGTTTACGATCAATTTATGGACTTCAAATTCCAATCTGTGATGTATTAGGTCAAATATTTTTTTAAAATATCTTTACTAATTTTTTGTCTGCTTAATTCCTGGTTTATATCCAAGCATTGTGTGTCTTATTTAGGTGTTTGTCTGGTGATGGGCTACATATGGGTTTTTGAAATTACAAGCAGATAATCTCTGTTGTGTAACTGGTGAGGTTAGTATGCTTCTGATTGTTTGACCAATTTCTACCGTTTTATCCTGTGCTATGTGCTCTGAATTGTCTGTGCTCCTCCACTTTCTTTACTTTTTCTTCCTTTGTTCCCTCTTTGGATTGATTAGGGTTTTGTTACGCTTCTTTACACTGGTCACAAGTTACGCAATATAGGTCTATTTTCTTAATGGAATAATTTTAAATTTTAATGTGTATATTTTACTTTTTAAGAGTTTCAAGTTAAGCAATTTGTCTACCCTCTTCTAGGACAATACATGGAATTGGGACACTTTAAATCAAATCATCTTTTTCCACATCTTGCATGTTATTTTTCTGTGGTGTTTTTGTTCTACCTTGCAATTTTGTACTTTTTGTACCTTTGTACAACAAACTGGACTGTATTATTTATTTTTATATAGTCAGCATTTCTTGACTTACCTACATGTTTACCTCTTTATTTTCTCAATATTTCCTCTTACATCTGCCTTTGGGGGTGGGGGGAGTGGTTTTCTTTTCCTTGAAATATGTCTTTTAGATGTCCATTTAGCAAAAGTCTACGGGAAGTAACTTGTACTTTTTTGTTTAAAAATATCTTTATTTTGCCCTCATGTCTGAATGAAAATTTAATATGGTAAGTATTTGGTTGACAATCATTTAATTTATCTATGAAGATTTTGTGAAGCCTGCATAGAGGGTGGGTCTCTCCAGAAAGGGTTAAAGTGGTCACAAGGTCCTATCAACCCAGCACCCCTTGAACTAGGTATCTTGGCTTGGGATCTTGTAGGTAATACGAATTTGAATCCCAGATCTATCTGAGGGAAAGCCTTTATTACTAATGTCCAATGAAGCCTTCCCCACCACCCCCCCGCATCTAGAGCCTAGGTGGATCATTTTCTAGTACGTGCCTTCATCAAGATTATAACCCTTTCAGGTTCCCAGCTGGATGTGGAGTGTCACTCCCAGCTACTCACATTGCATGGGCCTAGGTCTTGTCTCCTGTCCTTCATGTCGCTCTTAAGTATCTTGACAGCAAGGTCCACTAATGCCCACAGTGCTCTTACAGTTTTGCTTTTGTTTACCCCTCTGCTTGCACAGTTTATTTTTCAACTTGTCCATGAGGAATTTCCCTTCCATTTTTGTGAGCTTAGATCTATATTTAAAAGGATATTTCTATTAAGGAAAATCATGTGACTAGCCAATGGAGTAAGAAAGTCAGTGATGCGTGAAGCTTGCAAGTCCTGCTCTTAAAGAAAAGGAGAATTCCGAGTTCCCTCTGCTAACTCTTTTCCATCCTTCCCACTAGCTGGAATGCCGATAGGGTAGGGAGCCATTTTGATGAGACCAACAGACCAATAATGAGAACACTCTAGGGATATCACAGCAACAAGGCAGAAGGAGCCTGGGCTCCTGACAGCTTCACAGAGCAGAGCTGCAGCTCCAGTTTTGGCTTTTGGACTAGAAATAAATTTCTGATTGTTTAACCACTGTTACTGAAAGTCACTGTCATACTAGTTAATACTATATAATAATATAGCAGGTTTTTAATATGGAAAAGTTAAGAAAGAACATAAGTATAACCAGAGATGATTATGGTGTAGTGAGGAGGTGTCCAGAAAGAAGATTTTAGGGATCTTCAAGCTGTCCTCTGGCTGTTCCACAGTTTTTTTTCAAGGGCTAGCCTTGCTGTTTGCAGAAATGTTTGTCTAACAGAATGCACTAGTGTGAATTTGTGATCCTTTATATATTTGCATTTGCAGAGTTTATACTCATAGGCTCTCTATTTTTCCTTAGCAAATATCCACATTTAATTAGCTTCCCCAGAGGGAATTATGTAGTCATAATTACTGCCTCATATTCTGAAGAGGAAGGTGTGGGTGCCTGAAAGGCATGACATTAAAATGTTTTCTCCAGAAGGTGTACTTTTTTCATCTAAAGTAAAACTCTTTCCAAAAGATACGTTTGCTATTAAGTATCAGCACTTCTTTAAATAATATAAATTAAAGACTGGTAGAAAGAAATATAAACAATTACGCGTGCCCATTCCGAGAACCATCCTAGTTTACTCTTATGCAGCACTGGCTAATCTAGCTTTTGTATCTTCACAGAATTAAGGAAATGGAGATGAGTTGTAATAAATACAGTGACTCATGACATTCATTTATCAATAAATTGGTTTTTATTCAGCAATAACAAGTTACTAAATGAGCTAGGTTCTGAGGAGAGAGCAAAACTTTTTAAGACACAATCTCTGTTTTGAGATATTTATAGTATTTCTATACTATACACAATCTCTGTTTTGAGAAATACTATACACAATCTCTGTTTTGAGATATTTTAGTTACAATATGTAACTAAAACATGATCTTAAATAAATACAACATAGATAAAAAATGACAAATGTCAGAAAGGAATGGATGAGTGCTCTGTGAGTTCACTGCTCAGCGTTGCCCTATCCCTCTGATTATAACAGCACTTGCTTCTTGGTATAATTTTTAGCCAGATCTAAGGTCTTCAGGGTCCTTAGATCTTAGATCTTCAGGATACTTAGCGCTTGGTTCAGCTCTCTTGAATGTCTTCCCTTTTCCTAACACTGAAAAGAAAAAGCCTTTCTTTTATTTCAAAAACAACAACACAAAGTTGGAACAGCTTAAACCATCACTTGTGGTGGCTTTCGAAATGAATAAGCCATGAATACTGCTTCTGAGTTATCATAACCACTAGGAGCTACAAACAAACAAAAACCTGAATCAATAGTTAACGTCACAGTGAAATAACGTCTCGTTTCTTCTTTCTAGAGGGAACTGCACAAGACACTTCATTCTCTTTAATCTGCTCTACCCCGTCATATACCATTGTTTATGATGCTAACAATTATGATGGTGCAATAGCACACTCAGTGACTCATCAGCTCCCGCCTTCCAGAGGCACTCAGCTCTCACATACGCGGTGAGTAATGGCTCATAGAGACGTTGCTTAATATCTGTAATCAGTTTTAGTCTGATGCAATTCTCAAAATGCATCCTTCTTTTCCAATAAATGATAAATTATAAGGCTATTGTCTGGCAAAGAGAGTCATTTTTCCCAGCCAAAGATTTATTTCCCAACCAAGCTGCTTTTGAATCCTTGAATGTCACTTTTAGCTGTTTCCAATCCTCTAAACAAGTATCTGCCAATCACCTGGACGTGTGAGAGGCAACGCTAGGGTATATAGTTATTTAGTGTGAAATGTTGCCATCAGAATTGAAGAGACGGTCTGTCTAAATCTGAAGGGGTGGCAAGAAGGAATTGAGGAGGCTATGGAAGGGGGGAAAAAAGGAATGAGTAGGAAAAATGTCATACAGGCACAATGAGGCAGAAAATTTCATATGACTTCATCAATCTGGGCTAACCAACAAAAAATTATGGTTTTTTAAAATGAGGCTAAAGTCTTTGAATTATCCTTGGAAAAGAATTTCCTAAGTAAAGAAAAACTGTAAATGAGATTGCAAAGAGGCTCTTTAATCTGCACCTAAAAATTCTTTACATCTTCTAGTGGTGTCTGTTTGCAAAAGCAAAGATATTTCTTGCTTTCTTGTCCGCCAAAGCAGCCCTCTCCAGCAAGTCTCACTTGACAATTTTCCATTAACCACCATTTTTTGTCACTGCACGATATAATAGAATAGAATTTAAAGATTGCATAATTCGGGTTTCTCACTACAGAATTATTTTGGATTAGCTATCTGTTAGCTCATTTAGGATGAATATGTTAATAATTATTATTTTGTAGCTCTACAATATTACTTTGGTCAGCACCTTGCCGATGAAGAGTAACAATATAGGTAGTAAAAGGACCTCAGAATATTTACAGAATTAGGCAGGGTGTTTTTGGTCACAGATGGATGCCTGGACTTCAGTGTCACTTCCATTGCTCAAGGTTCCATGAGCCCAACACAGTCATAGGTTTGATGGGGCACTGGAAATTATCACCTCACTTGATGTTCAGTTTTATCATCTTTTCATTTTCTTACTACCTTCTAGCCACTATTTTATAATGATTTTCAAAGCTTTGTCTTTCTCTACCTCTTCCATTTAGTCATTTCCCACAAGATCCATTTCCCTTCCTGTTCTACATTTTCTTCCCGGTGATAGCACCACTTCCATCGTTGCAGAGGGCCAGACTTTTTAATCACTCTGCTGATGGCTGTTAAGTCTATACTTCCTGACTTAACCTGGCTTCTGAGCCTCAGCTATATTTCCAACTGGAAGTTTCTACCTGCATGTGTCCCACAGGCACCCAAAACTTGGTGTAATTGAACTAAACACATCGGCTCCTTCTGCCCTTAAACTCGTTCCTCCTTTGTTCCTTGAGTGACACCATCAGACGCAGTTGCTTCAGCTAAAGACTCCCCCCATTTCTTACCATCTGATTGTTAAGTCAGATCAATTTTATCTTCAAAGTATCTCCAAGGTGTCTCTCCAGTGTACCATTCTCATAATTTGAACTAGAAACTCCTTACATAGCTGTCAATTCTCCTTACAACCTGATCCCAACTAATCATTCCGGTCTTATAGCTCACCCATTACTCTACCACACACCTCAATGCTATGTAATTATGTGACTATGGAACCCTTCTCATGTTTGTTAATCTCTCAATACCTCAACTTTCTCCTCTGTAAAATAGGGAGAATAATAAGCCCTACCCTAGAAATTTGTCTTGAGAATTACAGGAGACAATAGATGTAAAGTATTCAGTATAGTACCTGGCCCAACCAAAGCATTATATGTGTAATCTCCTCTTCTTTCTCCCCTTTTTGCCCTCTTCTTTCTCCTCCTTCTTCTTCCAAGTGTATAGTATGTAATCTGTCAAGAATTTATTTTACTTATTTAATTATTATTTTATTATTTATTTATTAAAATCTTTATTTTGGCATAAACTAAAATGAAAACATTATCTACATAAAACTTGACCCTTTAACCATATCACATTCTATGATCTAAGTCTCCGGTTTTCCCCAAACAGCAGTAACTATACTACAAAATTTATAATTATAACTACTTTTAGGGAAATAGTGGTGAACAAACCAGCCAACAGATGTGTAAGCAGAAAAACCTTCCTCCCTATCCTCCCCACTACCACTCTAGAAGATTTCCAAACAGCCCAGTAGAGTTGCCACTTTGTCACATAGAACCAGAAAAGGCCAGCAGGGTCAGGATACCAATACCTCATGGACATTAAAATATCACTGGAAATGGAACAGAATAGAAAAGATTTTGTATTTAACAAGATTCCTTTCAGGGAGAGTTAATGGTAGTAGTGGTAGCAGAGGCAAAGGTAGGGGTAAAGTGTGGGGTCCCCAAAGCACATGCTTGAGTAACAATAAATGCTTGCCATGTCATCTTCTAAGATTTGTAGGTAGATGGGCTTTGTAGGGTAAGACTTTGGGTTTTCTGAATGGCAAATGTGATTTCGTGGCTGAAGCTGAATTGTTGCAGACTAATGCTTTTCAAACTTCTGTACACATCAGCATCTCCCAGAGGGTTTGTTAACACATAGTGCTGGGCCTCCCTCCAGAGTTTCTGATCCAGCAGCTCTGGGATGAGGCCCAGGAATCTGAATTTCTAGGGGCTTCTCAGATGAGGATGAAGTTGTCGATGTGGAGAACATACTTTGAAAACCATTGAGAAGATGCCGATCCTGCCAATGCCAGCAGTCCTACTCTGCTGCTTCTCCACCCTAAACATCGTATTTTTTAAAGAGAATCAGTTTGATGAATGACATGTTATTAGCATTCTTGATATTCCTAACTACTAATTCTTTCAGAGTACCTGCATGTCTGGATCCAGCCGTGACTACCAACTAATAAATAATAAAGCCACTAGTTTCCTCTCTTCCTCTCTCCTACATTCCCTACATGGCATTGATCCTAAAATGGCTACCTTCACATCACCCAGGGAAAAAAAGGAATTTAGGCACAAACATAAGAAAACATTTGATAAAAATATTACTTTTGTAATTTAGTAACCTAGTGAGATAGAAAAACATATTTTATCTGTTTCAAAAGTTGAATTTCATCAGCGTATGGCATATGCTTCATTATACTGGTTAGTGATGTCTGTTACAAACAAGGTTCCCAAATGCCATGCCAGCTTGCATAGTTCTGAGAAAGAGGTCCAAATATATTCCATTGCATTTCCCAATTAAAATTGTTCATTTTGGAGTGAAGTTGTAAGAATGATTGTCCAGGCAGCCCACTCTTTTATTTATAGTCCTTTCAAATTAAATCTGAAGGCATTTCACTGATGATTTGATTCTGATTTTTTTTTTATGTTTCTCACATTCAATAAATGTCAAATTGCTGGACAGCCCCGACTCTATCTTACTTAACTTTAATTCTCCAGATTCTAGCATATGCCTGGCACATAGTAGGTGCTTAATTCATTTTTTGTCAATTAAAGGGAGTATGGGTGATACTTTTACAATTGAATTATGACCATCCTGAGGGGACTTTTCCCATATGATCCACTGCTTTATAGTCTGCCATATAACCAATCAGACCCCAAACCTTCAACAAAAAGCAGAACTATAGACAAAGCCACCCATCGGGGCATGAGTGGTGTTGGGATTACATTAGTCAATTGGATTGAGCCTTGTTCTCACAAGGGAAGGAGATTTCACAGTTCTCTTAATTACCCATGTTTTATTGCTAATATTCACAGCCCTTTTTTCAAAAGACCTGAATCCAATCCATTTAGAATGGACATTTCTCTTAGAAAAGATCCAAATAATATTATTTGTAGATAATCTTTTTTAAAAGATGTTGAAGTATATTTAAGGCACAGACATAATCTATATACTTGATAAACCACCTACAGTAAATGTTACTGGGTATTCCTTTTGATGTTAAAAATATCGGGCCAGGTGCAGTGGCTCATGCCAGTAATCCCAGCACATTGGGAAGGGCTGAGATGAGCATATCACCTGAAGTCAGGAGTTCGAGACCAGCCTGGCCAACACAGTGAAACCCTATCTCTACTAAAAACACAAAAATTAGCTGGGCGTGGTGGCGGGCTCCTGTAATCCCAGCACTTGGGAGGCTGAGGCAGGAGAATCGCTTGAACCCAGGAGGCGAAGTTTGCAGTGAGCCAAGATCACACCATTGTACTTCAACCTGGGTGACAAAAGCGAAACTATGTATACATTTTTAAAAATGTGATTAATATAACTCTCCTGTTGAGGAAAGTCTGGTATAATAAAGGGCCTGACTCCATTTTTGGTGTCTGCTGCTGACAGCTCCGAGCTCCACTGCCCTCCCCTCCTCTCTGTCACTCTGTGGAAGCTGATGAGAGGGCCCCTGCGCTTCCTTTTTGGCACTGGCAGGAATGTCAAACCTGCAAGCTCTCATCCCTGTGTGTGGGAACCCTCACCTCAGCTCTTTCGCTAACACCATGAACCCCAGGCCAGGCTCCTTTCTTTGCTCTCTTAAGCTATTTTTGGAGCTGCTTGGGAGCCTGCCCTGCTGTCCCCAGAAAGCCTCATTATGTGAGTAAAAACCTTTTCCTACCCTCTTAGTGCATGTGTGACAACATCAGTCTCAACATCTGAACCAGATTTTGGGTGGAGGAACCATTAATCTCTGCAAAGTTACCAGAAAAACTGGTATCTGGAATATATAAAGAACTTTTGTCATTCAATAATAAGAAAAAAATCTAATAAAAACTAGGCAAAAGATTTAAATAATCACCTCACAAAATAAGACACATAGATTGTACATAATCACATAAAAAGATGATCAATATAATTCATCAATAAGAAAATGCAAATGAAAACCATAATAAGATATAACTACACACCTAGTAGATAGCTAAAAAAATTTTTTGAAATAGGGTCTCACTCTGTCACCCAGGCTGGAGTGCAGTGGTGTGATCATAGCTCACTGCAACCTCGAATTCCTGAGCTCAAAGGATCCTCCCTCCTCAGCCTCTTGAGTAGCTGGGACTACAAGTGTGTACCATCACAACCAGCTAATTTTATTATCAGTTATTATTATTATTATTATTGAGATGGAGTCTCACTCTGTCGCCAGGCTGGAGTGCAGTGGCGCAATCTCGGCTCACTGCAACCTCCAACTCCTGGGTTCAAGCCATTCTCCTGCCTCAGCCTCCCTAGTAGCTGGGACTACAGGCACGCACCACCACGCCCAGCTAATTTTTGTATTTTTAGTAGAGACAGGGTTTTACCATGTTGGCCAGGATGATCTCTTGACTTCATGATCCTCCCACCTCGGCCTCCTAAAGTGCTGGGATTATAGGCGTGAGCCACTGTACCCGGCCTCAGTTATTATTATTTTATAGAGACAAGGACTTGTTCTGTTCCCCAGGCTGGACTCAAACACCAGGCCTCAAGCAATCCTCACTGCCTTGGCCTCCCAAAATGCTGGGATTACAGGCATAAGCCACCACACCCGGTCCTAATTTTTTTTTCTTTAATGACAATACTAAGTACTAGTGAGGATGCAAAGTAACTGGGACACTTACACGTTGCTGGTGGGAATGGATAATAGTACACCCACTTTGAAAAACAGTTTGGCAGTTTCTTACAAAGTTAAACATGTGCATGACATACAATGCAGAAATTCCACTTCAAGGTAAGAGGAATGAAAACGTATGTATACAGAAAAATCTATATGAAAAAACTGACTAACCAAATGTCCATCAATTGCTGAATGAACAACTTTGGTATACACATTAAATAAAATTCTCTTCAGTAATAAAAAGATCAACTACTGATACATGCAACAACACGGGGAATTTTAAATGTATTATGGTAAATGAAAGAAGCCAGACTTAAAAGTCTACCTAGCATATGGTTTCATTTGTATGACATTCTGGAAAAGGTGATACTACAGAGAGAAGAAACAGATCAATGGTTGCCAGGGCCTGAAAGTGGGAGGAAAAGTTTGACTTCAAAGAGACAACAGAGAATTTTGGAAGGTGATGGATATGTTATATCATTACTGGAATGGTGGTGGTAACATAACATTTGCATCTGTCAAAACTCATAAAACTGAGCACAATAGGTACTGTATTTAAATTATACCTTGTAAACCTGGCTTTAAATAAGTTGTGATTCTTATTAGTCAGTGACTTCAACACCATTTTAGCCAACTTGTATGAAATATATAGCACCACTATTTCCAAATGTATTGCAATGCTTCTCTCAAATGGAGAAATGCAGGAACCAAATAAAAATCATACAGTTTTGTGCAGTGAAGACACAAAAGACAAAAACATTTCCCCCCTCCTTGTCTGCCACCTCGTCTTCAACCTATTTCCCTTTGCTGTTTCTTGGTAGTTACAGTGAAGATTAAATCCTACCTTTTTAGACTGCTCATTGAAGATTAAGTAAATTCAAGGGTTGGCATGAAAACATTCTAAATGGTTTGAGTTCTTTCAACATTTTGCCTAATAGCATTTTTGCTCATATATCTTATCAATTAAGGGGTAATTTTAGATAAGTGAACATCATTAGAAGGGTGCATACTAAGTGTGGATATTGAAGCACTCATATGGCCTCATCAAGAATAATTTGATTAAATAACTTGGACAGATTCTGTTTCTTTATAATTCTATGAGGAACAAAAATGGGAGAGTATCAGCTCCCTAGGGGAATAAATGAAATAGATAATGCTGTGGTCAAATGAGCAAAGAGAAGCACTTTACTAAAGATGGGGCTTTCTGTCTTCATTAGAAAAATTGAAGATGTTCTAAAGAACTCCATTAAGGATAATGGTGTCTCTTAGAAAAACTGTGTGCTTCATGGCTTAGGTACTTGATTAAAAGGCTAATTCACCCTCTTTTTATCTAATTGATCTTGTTTTCTTCTCCTTCATCCTGCCCTTGAGATATCCCAAAGTAGATTACACGTAACCACTAACAAACAGCTTCTTTCCCTTACTCATCCAGGCACGCCAAACTGTGTACTGCTATCACAGGTCCTCTCAATACCTGAAGATGATTGACTGGATTCTGGGAGTGACTACACTTCCTTTGGGAAGACAGCTCCTAGTTTTCGTGCATGGGAATCCCTTCTGAAAACGTAATTGCCTGTCATGGAGAAAAGAAAAAAGTCTCTGTCATACTCACTCCCCTTCTTTTCGAGGAAAAGGTCCTTTACTATTGTGGGCAAAAAGGGACTCACCCCTTGATCCATATCCATATTCCCACTGAGCCCTGTAGGGAAGATTCATCTCAAGAGAGGGGTGGAGGATATCCATGAGCAAACATGGCAGCCGCTTGGCAGTTTCAAAGAGGCCTTGAAAATAAATCTATTTCTATTTCTCCCTTCATGATGTGTGATGTAAGAATGCTTTCCAACCACTCTCTGTTGCCACACTGATGGTTGATGACATTTATGTACATAGCACCGTCATTCATTCATTTCAGACATATCCATTGTGTCAGATGCTCTTTTAGGCACCAGCAATACAACAGAGAACAAACAGACAATAATTAGTCCCTTGGGAATTTACATTTCAGTAACGCAGATAGGTAATAAAAAGATAAGTAAGACACATATATACATTTAAATTATAAGTAAGTATTTATTATTATTGCTGAAAACAGCAGTACATTGGAAAACAAGAGAAAATCATATAAAATAATATAAAAATAGGAAAAATGATTCAAAATAAGATTATAAATATTAAAGACCAAGCAGTTTCATCATTGTCTAAGTGACTGATATGGTTTGGCTGTGTCCCCACCCAAATCTCAACTTGAATTGCATCTCCCAGAATTCCCACATGTTGTGGGACAGACCCAGGGGGAGGTAATTGGATCATGGGGGCCGTTCTTTCTCATGCTATTTTTGTGATAGCGAATAAGTCTCATGAGATCTGATGGGTTTATCAGGGGTTTCCGCTTTTGCTTCTCCCTCATTTTCTCTTGCTGCCACCATGTAAGAAGTGCCTTTCACATCCCGCCATTATTCTGAGGCCTCCCCAGTCCTGTGGAACTGTAAGTCCAATTAAACCTCTTTTTCTCCCCAGTTTCAGGTATGTTTTTATCAGCAGCATGAAAATGGACAAATACAGTGACATATCCAAAAATAATAATAGAATAAAGTGTACATGGATTTAGTACATTATTACAAAATGTTCTTAAAATAGTCCTGAATATTTGAAAAGTTAGTGCATTTCAAGGATAAAGAATATATCCCATGGAAAATTTCTGTGGAAAACTCAAAGTATTTACAAAATTTTAGAAAATAATGTTCTCTTAAACTTGTTCATAATTATATTTAATGTCCAGAGTGCACAAAACTTTGTAACAAACCCAAGAAATTTTGTCCATAGCTAAGTTGTCCTTTGGGTCAGGAATACAAGTACTATCACCCAGACATTCTCAAACATGAGAGAAGGCATGCTCCATGAGCCTCACTTGAAAAATACTCAAGACTTGAGGACAGTATCTTTTCAACCACAAGTGAATCAGAATCGAAAAAAAAAATCAGAAATGAAGAAGCTATGGTAAAAGACCTGACAGTCAACATATAATCTATTTATTAAATTCTATAAAATGGATGGAATTATGAGGACAAAACATAATATATACGTAAAAACTGGAGAGTTAAGAGAAGGGGAGGCAGGATAAGAATAAGGGGTTTAATTTTCTCATATTAATAGTGTGAAGTCAATTGATATGGCCTAACATTTGAAGGGGTGGCCTGCCCCTCCACACCTGTGAGTATTTCTAGTTGGGTGGGACGAGACACTGAGAAAGGAAATAAGACACAGAGACAAAGTATAGAGAAACAACAGTGGGCCCAGGGTACCGGCGCTCAGCAAACCAAGGACCTGCACCAGCACTGGTCTCTGAGTTCCCTCAGTTTTTATTGATTATTATCTTCATTATTTCAGCAAAAAGGAATGTAGTAGGAGGGCAGGGTGATAATAAGGAGAAGGTCAGCAACAAATATGTGAGCAAAAGAATCTACGTCATAATTAAGTTCAAGGGAAGGTACTATGACTGGACGTACATGTAAGCCAAATTTATGTTTCTCTCCGCCCAAACATCTCAGTGGAGTAAAGAATAACAAGGCAGCATTGCTGCAAACATGTCTCGCCTCCCACCATAGGGCAGTTTTTCTCTGATCTCAGAATTGAACAAATGTACAATTGGGTTTTATACCGAGACATTCAGTTCCCAGGGGCAGGCAGGAGACAGTGGCCTTCCTCTATCTCAACTGCAAGAGGCTTTCCTCTTTTACTAATCTACCTCAGCACAGACCCTTTACGGGTGTCGGGCTGGGGGACAGTCAGGTCTTTCTCATCCCACGAGGCCATATTTCAGACTATCACATGGGGAGAAACCTTGGACAGTACCCCACTTTCAAGGGCAGAGGTCCCTGCAGCTTTCCGCAGTGCATTGTGCCCCTGGGTTATTGAGACTAGAGAATGGCGATGACTTTTACCAAGTATACTGCTTGTAAACATTTTGTTAACAAGGCATATCCTGCACAGCCCTAGATCCCTTAAACCTTGATTTCATACAACACATGTTTTTGTGAGCTCCAGGTTGGGTCAAAGTGGCTGGGGCAAAGCTACAAATTAACAACATCTCAGCAAAGCAATTATTTAAAGTACAGGTCTTTTTCAAAATGGAGTCTCCTATGTCTTCCCTTTCTACATAGACACAGTAACAGTCTGATCTCTCTTTCTTTTCCCTACAACATTGAAACACATAACCAAATACACATTCACATCATGATTCGAAACTCATGTTATTTTTCATTATCTTCCTTTAAACTTGGAGAAATATTTTAGAAACTCATAGCACTCATGGTGAAGAAATGTTTTCTTCTACTATGTGATAGGATCTTATTTTAGAAAATTATACCTAATTATCTTGATCTCTGTATAAATGCATAGAAAAATAACACAGATAATGTTCACCAGATGTAGGAAATGATTATTTCTGGGTGGCAGGATTTGGAATAATTTTTTACTTTCCTCCTTTAATTTTTCTATATTGCTTGACTAGTCATAATGAGTACATATAATTTTTTATGTGAAAACAATTAATTTACAAAAGACATGCCTATAATCCTTTATTCAAAACCCTTGGGACGAGATATATTTCAAAGTTAGAATTTTTCAAATTTTAGAAAAATAATAGGGTGCTTATGGAACATCCTTTGAGAGTCTGGGCCAGCATCCCCAAATCAAGCATGTTAATATCACTACGGCAAAAATAAGAATATTCATACAAAAAATATGACTATAATTAGCTTTTCTAGTGTCAGTTCAGGTCAGGTGTTATCAAACTGATAAATGATAATGATTTTTAGGCAAATCAACAAAAATTTTTTTACTTTCAGGGCTCTTTGATTATATATAATAGTTTTGTGGATAAGGAAATATGGATCATTATGCACCAGTTACCCATTTTTCAGGGTTTTGCTTTCTTTGGCTTTGGTTTCTTATAGTTAATCATAGTCTGAAAATACAGTACAATAAAATATTTTGAAAGAGATTACATTTACATAACTTTTATTATAGTATATTGCTGTAATTGCTTTATATTATTACAGTCTGTAATAATACAGTCTGTCATGATAATCATTACAAGACTGTAATAATATAAAGTCATGGACCACATTTATCATGGCGGTCCCATAAGATTATAATGGAGCTGAAAAACTTCTACCACCTAGTGATGCTTTGATGATCCATACCCTGTGTAAGTCTAGGCTAATGTGTGTGTTAGTGCCTTAGTTTTTAACAAAAAAGTTTAAAATAAAAAAAATTAAAAACAAAACAGTTTATAGGATAAGGATATGAAGAAATAAATTATTTTTGTACAGCCATAAAATGTGTTTGTGTTTTAAGCATTTATTACAAGGGTCAAAATGTTAAAAAAAATTTAAAGTTTGTAAAGTGAAAGTTAGAGTAAGGTAAAGGTTAATTTATTATTGAAGAAATCTAAAAAATAAGTTGAGTGTAGCCGAAGTGTACAGTATTTATAGAGTCTACAGTCATGTACAGTAATGTCCTAGGCCTTTACATTCACTCACCATTCACTCACTGACTCACCCAGAGCAACTTCCAGTCCTGCAAGTTCCATTCATGGTAAGTGCCCTATACAAGTGTACCATTTTTAATCTTTTATATGCTATTTTTGCTGTACCTTTTCTACGTTGAGTTACACAAATACTTACCATTATGTTACAATTGTCTACAGTATTCGGTGCAGTAACATGCTGTACAGGTTCGTAGCCTATGAGTAATAGGCTACACATATAGCCTAGATGTGTAGCAGGCTATACCATTGAGATCTGTGTAAGCAAACTCTACAATGTTCGCAAAATGATGAAGTCACCTAATGACAGGTTTCTCTGAACATATCCCCATCATTAACAATGCATCACTGTATTAGTTACTATTGTTAATCTCTTACTGTGCCTAATTTATAAATTTATGAATTAAACTTTACCATAGAAAAAATCAGTATATAGAGAGTTTGGTACTATTCACTGTTTCAGGCATCCACTGGGGTCTTGGAATGTATCCTCCCTCAGATAAGGGGAGACTTATTTAATTTGAATGTCCGCTTAATGTAAGCAACTTAGCATCCTCCAATCATCCTAATGTGTTTGTGTTTTTAATCTAGATATTGTGGGTAGCTCCTCCAATTCTTTATTCTCCACCTATTTTGCAAGCCACACAGTCATCTCCTTTCTGCTATATACACCTTTCCTCACCCCCATCTTTACCCCCTCACTTTCTGGGTTTCATCAGCATAGGAAGGCAGGGTGGCAGAGTGGGAAACATTCTAAACAAGAGAATTAATTTTAGCTTATTTTATTTTAGCTCTGCCATCTAACAGCTATGTGACTTTTGACAAGCCAGTGTCCTTGATAAGACTCTCCACACAGCACCAGACCTTTGTAGCACATATTACGTCTAATTATACTTAGATATAAATAACATTTTATATCTAATTATTCAAGAGGTCAGTTGTAAAGGAAAAGAAGGGAGGGATTTGTTAAATAAATGAGTGAGTGGCCGGGGCGCTGGGCTCAGGAGCTATTTGTCTACGAGTCTCAGGTCCACTTCAGCATTAACATACAGGCTTTGTTAGTGTCATAATCAAAACAAAATCTCTCTGCTTTCAAAAATATCTGTCAGGTCTTTTTATCTGCCAAGCTCTTTGATGTCAGAATATCCTAGGTTACCCTAACAATACACTTCATTTCTTCATCTTAGATAACTGGACACAAGTGTCAAACTAAATCAGGATTTAACTTGATGTTTTATGAGATCCAGTTGGATTCTAAACTCAGTTCTCCAGATCTATAAATGTACATATCATCTAATAAAGAAAAATAAGTGTCCCAGAAGTTTTCAGTCCTCCATTTCCATGAATTATTCAAATAAGTTTAGAAATAATGAAAACATGAACTCTACCTGCTAAAATTCCTATATAGTAAGCATGTAAGCATATTCATCAGACTTAGATTTGGGTAAAATAGCCTCATTCTAAAGAGCTTTTAGCTATGAAAGCAACGAAGCTGTGCTAAAAGATCATTTAAAGTCATAAAAAACAGTTGAATTGCTGAAGCTCCGTCAGCAGAAGCTCTGGAAAGACTGTATGGAGGAAATTTCCAACTTAAGACTTTTGCCTATTAATAAGCTGCAATGGGAAGTCAGGCACTTGGGTAGCTGACTCACATGGAAAAACTTTTCAAACCACACATCCCTTTGGTGGGTTACTTTTAACAAAGGGAAATTCTGCCATGGATGTCTGGTTGCATCTGACAACTGGGGTTGCCTATGGAAGAGACGTAAGATTCAACATGGCACCATCGTTCTCATGCATCAAAGGAAAATAAAATAGAAAGAAACCAATGGCTTGTTTTCTCTGATTGGTGTCCAAATTACTGAGAGAAGTTCTATCTTTAAATTTTCTTAAGTACTGTGAGTACTGGATTAGTACCAAGAGGGTCTGTGTTTCTGGGCTTGTGCTCAAACCAGTAACCTCCTATTTCTTAGGCCACAAAACATAATGACTTCTGTGATGTTGGAGGCTCTGAAAGCACAGGTCTGGGGGACTGGACTTGGCCATGCTGCCAGACCATGCATTGAGTTCAACAATCCTCATCTTTTCAGAATCTTAGTTGGGATCAACTCAAGCTTATGCGCTCAGAAATAAGTGCATACACACACACTAACACACACACACAGAGTCTCAGCAGATGGGATATTTTCTTTTTCAACAAACCAATTCATATTTCTTACAAACATGATGCCACATCAGCATTTCTTTCAGCCTGCAGAGTAGTTAACCGGATGCTGCCAGCATGAAAGCTGACTGTTTATTACGTAACTACTGGAAGAATCAATTTCTTCTGTAAAATTAAATTCTTGTCCGTGAATACATCTCAGGAATGTTGTGATGTTTAGGTGAGTGTTTTTATGACAGTGCATTTTACCTTAAAATCCTACACCAGCATTCCCAATGTGTCCCAAAGGAGATAAGTCTCCAAAAAGGTTAATAGGTATTTTGCAAAAATAAAATAAATGAATTCAATTGCCAGCTCAAATTAAGCTGGGGAAAGCTTAGGTTAAGCCAAGTGCCTTTACTGGAGAGCATACCAGAGCCTGTAAGTCCCTAATGTGCAATAAGGATTTCCAAGGGAATGGTATGCAATGCAGTACTGCCCAATGTGCCTTACCTTGGAATTATTTTTCAATAAGCATCTCAGGAGATATTTTCTGGGACACACTGAACCTTAAAAGGCGAGTCACGTTAGAGCGGGTATAAGACGAACTGACCAGCCTGGCCGGAACCTTAATGGAATTAACCTGAAAGCATAGCAACATCCATGTTTCTGCACAAAGGGGAATCTATTTTCAGTTTGGAGCATCAGTCATAAAAATATTTTTCATGCTGGAAAGTAGGTAAGAGCCTCATCACTTCTTCACAGTTTAGACAGACACATAGGGACAGAAGGCTGATTACACAGTGCTGCTCAGGGTAGACAGCAAGGCTGTGACATTCCTAGGCTGACTGATAAGCGACTAGTGGGAGCCATTTGCAGAGCATGTTGGAAGATGCAAAACTCCCTTACAGATAACATTGAAAAAAAATCTTATTTGAGAATTCTATTGAAAAATTTATTATGTGACTACATCAGCCTTGAAAAACGTGTAACACATTAGCCAGAAAAGGGTTACTAGAACATGGATGACTGAAGAAGAGAAATCCAGCAAAACCAAAGAGAAAGTCTCTTAAATGTGCATAGATTCCAACCAGCAGGGATGGAAAATCGGAAATTATGAGAACACTGTCATATTGTTTCATTTTATAAATTATTCTTAAATTAATCATATGCTAGAATACATAAAATATACATTTTATGGAGTAGATTCATGATTATCTTTCATATTGTGTTCATAAAGCTTCAATTCTTCCAGATGTTATTGTAGACAAATATCTGGACAAGAAGAATTCCATATTCATGCATAGAGATCCCAGATCGGCAGCCTCGCTTTCAGGATTTAGTTCTAACAGTGGTGTCTCCCTACAGATGATGTTACTATTATTATTTACTTTTGTAAGCCTAAGAGCAAGTCCAGGCTTATTAACCTGGGAACATTAAATAAGCATTAATGTTAATGCAACTAATAGGCTAATTAGTTGCTAAGGGTGAAGTTAACATAATAATGTCCACTCCCAGGTTAACATTTGAATCAGAAAAGTTGATATTCCTAATTCCAATTATTATTATCCAGAATATTCTAGAGCTATGTTATGAACTTAGTATAGAAAATAATAATAATAGTAACAGCTACCATTATTGAGTGCCTACAGTATACAATATGTCCAAGTGGTAGAGCCAGCATCTGAACCCAGGTTTGTTCACCAAAAACCTCTCCACTCACCACACTGACTCAGGAGGTACTACTCCAAGAAAGTTTTGAACAAAGTTAATAGTGAAATTATGCAACCATTGGCCAAAACTTACAACCTTCACCTCAAATGATCCCAATGCCTCAGGATTGTGGTTTGTCAATGACTGGCTTATAGAAGAGGGTATAGTTGGAACCCTAGGATTTTAGAGTACCTAAGTGTTGGGTTTTCTCAATATTAGCAAATGGGTAGACTGATAGCAAAGACTAGGATTATTGAGAACGCACCTAGAGAAAAACTATGTGGTTTTTAGATGGAGAATGCAAGTCTGACTAATTCTTTGGTTTTTCTGAAGGAATAAATAAGGAAGGGGATTGTGTTAACTGCTGAATGTAAACTATTTATTCTAAAAAGAAAGGTTGAGAATCTTTCACCCCCCATGCAATTAAAAAAGAGTCATCGGCCAGGTGCAGTGGCTCACGCCTGTAATCTCAACACTTTGGGAGGCCAAGGTGGGTGGATCACCTGAGGTCGGGAGTTCAAGCCCAGCCTGGCTAACATGGTGAAACCCCTTCTGTATTAAAAATACAAAAAATTAACTGGGCACGGTGGTGCACACCTGTAATCCCAGCTACTTGGGAGGCTGAGTGGGAGAATTGCTTGAACCTGGGAGGCAGAGACTGAGCAGGAGAATCGCTTGAACCTGGGAGGTGGAGCTTGCGGTGAGCCGAGATCATGCCATTGCACTCCTGGCAATGGCCTGGACAACAAGAGCGAAATTCTGTCAAAACAACAACAACCAAAAACAACAACAACAACAACAACAAAAAAAAAAACCATCATCACTGATTTGAAAGAAAAAAAAAGTTTTCTCTGGAGAAGGATTGATTTGGAGAAGAAGCTAAGAGTACAAAAAGTTGGGTGTAATAATGTAAGAATAGAGCTTGCCAAGACACAGGAAGTAGTATCCATTTTATTTAACATATCTATAACTTATCCAAATGAAGGAGTAGCAAGATATTACCATCACTACAAACAATATTAGACCTTACTGAGAGCTAAATATTGCATCAACAAAGATGAACTGGAATGAAATGTTGTGAAGATTTCATAAAACCATGGACATGGAAGCAAAGGTAGTATGTGAGCTGTAATCCATGCATATTAGGAAAGAGTCTAGTAGCCCTGTCCACTGCCTCCTGGGGACATTTGTTTGCCCTGTTCCAACAGCCCTGCCCCGCAAAGTGGTATACGTCACCAGAAATAGCAATAAAAGGGAAAACAGAAAAAGGAAGTCTACCTTCTCCCAACAAGATCTAAACCCAGAGAGCATAAGAATGTCTTCTAGCCAAGGGAGAGGAGGTGGAACAGGAAACAAGAAGGAAATTCCCATGCCCACTTCCCTGGTACAGGCTTCTGAGGTTAAGTCAACTACAAAAGGGAAAAAGCCTTAAAATGAAGGAGAAATTAAGACTGTGATACTAGACTACTCTAAGTACTTAATATCTGAAAGTGATTCAAAAAGGTCTGGGGTCTGCCCAAAATTTTACTGATGGTCAAAGAAGAACAATTCAGTAACACAGGTTTAAAAGGATAGGGCAGAGAAAGAACAAAGCTGTTCTCTACTTGCATTTTACTGAGTTCAACCTGTTGAATAAATGGGCAGTAACTATAAAATCCACCTGTTACACCATCTCATAGCTGTCTGTGTTTTTCCTTCATAGCTCTTACCAAGGTTTGAAATTAAATATTTATATTATTATCTAATTCATCTCTTCCCCAACCAGATGGTCAATTTTATGAGACCAGAGACCTTGTTTGTTGTCTGTTTTTTGTTAATTGCTGTGTTCCTACAATGTGCTTGACACAAGGTTGGCATTGGATAAGTATTTGTTAGGGAATTGAATGGGAATTGAAAACTCTATAAAATTCCAGTTATTGGATCTTAAGAAAAACATGACAGAGCTATAAGAGTTCAGAGATGATGTTTAATTAGATGAGGAGATTTATAAAACACTGTTTAAGGACGGAATAACAGATTAGGCTTTAGAAATGGGAAATGCAAGTGGACACAGCTATAAGAGACCAGAAAGAGACTGACATGGATAGGGTCGATGTGAACTAGTTAGCCAAATCCCCAAACACAAAAACCAGTACTTACAGTTTCAATTTATTCTTTTGGAATATATTAATCTAAGAAATGTTTCAGCTAAGAGTATATATACATTTTTTAAAAGTATAAGATACATCCATCACTAAGAAGTTGGCAGGGGAACTACAATGTTTTAGACCAAATGTTTGAGGTTCTTTGAAAAAAAATCTTACTCTCACATAAATTATCTCCTTATCATTATTAGAAAACAGTCCTGAGTTGGGTCATCTTAGGATACTGATCCTAAGCTGTGATTCCTATTTGCTTACGAATTCTAATGGGCAGTGGTAAGGTTATCAAGTGTTAAATACTTGGTTATCCCTGCATTTAGAAAAAAATGTGAATAGGCCTTTAGCCAATTAATTTGAATAAGCTCCCTAATGGGTAATGTTATCGTAGCAGTTACTATGTGCAACAAACCACAACAAAACTTAGCTTAGAACAATCCTAGTGTTTATTTTGCTCATGAATCTGCAGCCTGCCCGGGCTCAATGAAAATAGTCCATTTCTACCCCACTTGGTATGGGTCAGGGCAGTGAAAAGGCAGTGGGGGCAACCAGAGGCTTGTTCACTCACATGGCTGGTGATTGATGCTGGCTGTTGGCAGGGAACCTCAGTTCCTCTACATGTGGGCCTCTTCATGTAGCTCCTCCACATGAACTAGTTTAGGCTTCTTCACAGCCAAGTGGCTGGGTTTCAAGAACAAGCAACTGAGAGAAAGAGAAAGAGAGAAAGAGGGACAGAGAGAAGAAGCAATGCAAAGGCTGTATCACTGTTATGACCTAGACTCAGAAGTCAAATAGCATTCCTTCAGGCATATTGGTCTGTTGGTTGGAAAAGTCACGGGGCTCTGACCAAATGTGACAAAAAGAGACAGTCCCAGGACCTTGGAGGGAGGAAAAGTGCATATGCATATTGGTGCAGCTATCTTTGGGAAACACAATCTGTTACAGCTTTACTAGAAGAAGAGCCTGTTCTTAAGATTTCCTATTTATCTATGGAGAGAACTAAAAACCAAGTAGAATGGTAAATAGCAATGGATAGAGCTGAAATGTATTGTCCAATATGGCACAAGCCTTGCGCTTGAGTCAATCATTTCAAATATTTACTTATTATTTAGAAATTGGTAAATAACTTTTTGATAGGTAAATTTTGCAAGTGAATTTTTCACTAAGAATTCTAATTTGAGACAATATAAAAAGCCAGCGAGAGTTTTTTTTAAGTAAATAAAGGCAGAATTTTAGGAAGCTCAAATTATCTCATTAGCATCAGTTAGTAAATCAAACCAGTATAGCTTTCCTAAGTCTTCGTATTACACTCTGTGAGTTTTCAGTGCAAAGTAATAGGCCAACATTTACTTTTAATGTTTAACAAAGAAAAATAAAAAGTATAAGTTACCTTATGCTTAAAACAAAATTAAAAATTATGTTGAGAAAATTCTCTGTCAAAATTAGACTACCCTAACATTTTGAAATGGGGGAAATAGAATAATAATGTTATGAATAATTAGCATAATATAATGAATAATGATTTAGAATGAAATGGAAAAGATAATAGAAACTCCAATGCTCCAACATATTTCTCTCTTCTGTATTTATATCCTTATGCTACTTATGCCAAGTTATTACTTGTAGTCATTCTCTCTCTCTCTCTAAACACACACACACACACACACACACACACATATAATTTGAATTTTTAAATCTTGGTTTCACACTAAATGTGTGTTCACCCCAGGCTCCTAACACACTGAATGCTGTGGATATTTGATGCATACTGAAAAAATTGAATGACAATAAAGTGAGGTATATTTTGTACATTGTTTACGGCATGTAAACCTTAAGAACTTTGAATAGTTGGTTGGTTTGAAAGAATCTCTTTTTGGACAGAGAAAAGAGCTTTGACATTGTGTATTTTTTCTCATCTTGCAACTATAAGAAAGAATATGTATCAGGTGGGTGATGCTTGAGGAGGGGAAAGAGTACTCACTTCGCTTTATTGCTCACAGATTACTTCAAATTATCCTCACAGGCATCTGCCTCAATTAACATCCAATCTATTACTCTTCTACTTTTATTCGCAAGGAGGAACGTCTTTATAGCATGGTTGGTTTTGCTTCTCTCCCAGTAAACAAAACATCTTGCTAAATTACTTTTCACAAAAGCCACTTTTAGATAGATATTACGTTTTAAGATAAAAGCCTGAGGAACACAATGCTGAGTTTTTTGAAAAGGAAAAACGGTACACAAGGCCCTGAATGTTTCCACACAATACCCAGAGTACCCAAGAGTTAATCATGGGAGGTCCAGTTTTCAATTCATTTAAACTGGCTTGAATACCACCTATGACCTAAGCAACATTAATAAACCACTTTGCAGCTCTGAAACTCAGTTTACTTATATATAAAATGGGAATAATGCTCCCTGTCTTGCAGGACTGTCACAGGAATTAAGTGACATAGCATGCAAGAGTGACCAGTACTAAATAAATAATCTATGCATACTCTTTTATCACTTTTCCCCAACTTGATTGCTACATTTTTCTGTTTTTATTTTATTTTTTAACATTTCTGTTTTGTTTTTAATGTGATAGGTGAAGAGTTTGAAATTACATACACAGACACACACACAAATCTTTCTCCTTTTTAAAGGAGCTTTCCTTTGTCCTTCTTTCCTCTTTTCCTTCTTTCTTTTTTCATCCCTTTCTTTTCCACAGATGTTTTCAGTATTTGCTATGTGCCAGCCACCAATTATCCAGTGATGAGCAAAGCAGCAGGTCCCTTTCTTTACGCTGCTTAGCATCTATTAGGAGGAAAGAGCATTTGAATAAATAAATAATTAGACTCATCTATCATCACAGCTGAGAAAGAACGGTGTTCAAAGTTCTAGAAGTGATCTTCATAGACAGGATGGTCAAGAAAGGCCTTTGTGAGGAGGTGGTAAATAGAGAAGTAAAGAAGAGTGTGCCGCTTAATCTCCATTTAGAGATTGCACTCTATTCTCTGCCTTTCTCGACCTTCCTCATGCTGGGGGTGGGGCCAGGACCCTGAAGATGGCGTTCCCTATGCTCCCTTGACCTCAGGCTTGCTGGTGGGTTCTGATGAAGTGAGACAGTGGCTAAAGATTGAGGGGCAGGAGGATAGAGATCAGGGTGTCCCATGATTTGATGTTACATCTGTGGCTGTAGCTGTATCCCTCCACAATGACAGCCCCCATCAGAAGAGCCCTTCCCCGGGGTTCCAGATCATAATGGGCTCAGACAGTGCCACTTCCTTCCTGTCTTTACTTCTTCAGCCCACAGGCTGACCATGGCTTCGGGGTGTCTCACCCTTTGAGATACGAGTTGGCAAGACTGGTTTCACAAGATACAGGTCACATAGACGCTGTTGATAAAACAGGGTGCAGTAAAGAGGCCAGCCAAAACCCGCCAAAACCAAGATGGTGATGATAGCAATCTCTGGTCGCCCTCACTGCTCATTTTACACTAACTATAAAACATTTGCATGCTCAAAGGCACTCCCACCAGCACCATGACAGTTTACAAATGCCACGGCAACACTAGTAAGTTACCCTATATGTTCTGAAATGGGGAGGAACCCCCTCAATTCTGGGAATTCTCCACCATTTTCCCAGAAAACTTATAAATAATCCACCCCTTGTTTAGCATGTGATCAAGAAATCACCATAAAAATACCAACCAGCAGCCTGAGGAGCTGCTCTGCCTGTGGAGTAGCCATCCTTTTATTCCTTTACTTTCTTAATAAACTTGGCTTTTGCTTCACTCTGTCAGCTTGTTCTTGAATTCCTTCCCGCACAAAGCCAGGAACCTATGTGGCCTCCCCAGCTGAAAGTTCTTGAAGTGACCTTGATAGACACAGTGGTCAAGAAAGGCCTTTGTGAGGAGGTGACTGTTAAAACCTAAGTCAGACAATGTCATTGCCCTGCTCAAACCTCTGCAAGTTCTCCAGTTTTGGGGTTCACCCTGTGATGCCTTTATTATTTGTCCCTAACCCAGCCCTCACCTTTGAAGTCTCTTCAACTTGGCCCATCTGGTGTGAATTCTGTTTCTAGCCTAGAACCTGAGTGTTACAAAAAGGAGATCCACGTGAAGGAGTTGGAAGGAGCCGTACAAAAGAGGAAACAGCATGTGTATGAAGGTCCCAATACAGGAAAAGCCTGGAGTGTTTGTGAAGTTAGGAGGGCTGTGTGGCTGAAGTCCCACTAGTAAGGGGAAAATGGCTTGAGATGGTTATGGAGATGCAGGCAGGGTCAGGCAGTTAGAGCCTTGAGGCTACCTAAGAAGCTTGGGTTTTACTTTATGAGTGAACTCACAAGTTCTCACTCTTATAAAGAAGGCAAGTTACTTGCTAATTCAAATTGCTCTTTATTTAAGCAGGAGGACAGAAAGCCAGGAATGAATGAGAAGCTTTTGCTTCTCAAGAGGAGAATTATACATATAGATATAGATATATATAATCTTTCTGTTATCACTGTTGTTATTCTTTTCATAAAAGGCTTAATTTAGAATGCATACCTAGAATAAAATGTGGTTTGGACTATAAAATTACACTTTACTGTTTTGAAATCTTCAAGCACAGTTTTATTTCTATCATGTTGTACTTTATAAAGGTAAGGGATTATTATTACTGCTGCTCTGATAAGGTCAATGCATATCTTTTTTATCAGTGGATTAGCTCCATTTATTTCTTTATTGCTAAGCATAGTCAATTTATTTTAAGCTTACTTCAGTCTAAATCAGTGAATCTGTACATCCTTCTGTTCGTCTACTTGCCATTGAAACATTATCTATCTAAACCAAAGCAGCATGAAACCACAGAGACTAAGGAGCAAATCTCTACAGTGGGTCCACATTGTCATTTATTTCCTGCTCATTTCCAAGAGATCTTTGCATCTTCTGCTTAAAGGATGCACAAACCAGACCTCTCCCTCAACCATCTGGATGGCTGCAACAGTGCTTTTCATCACTGCAAAGTAAACTTTAATTCCAAGAAAATGTACCCTTTGCCATCTTTCTCCTTCCTCATTGTCCACTGCTTAACTTTCCTCTCAATCTCTCCTTTTTTACACTTGGCTTAAGCCATTCCTGGAGGTTACTGCCCCTGGGAGCTGATTTGGATACTTTCTTACATCAGCACTCCTAACTGATCTAGCACTGTCTTCTCTGTATGGTACCAGATTAATCTACCTACAACATCTTTTTCCTCACTTCACAATCCCCAAATTTTGCTATTCACAAACCCAAAATGCCTTTTCTTTGTTTACATCGAAAGATCCAAACCTTCCTGCCTGACTTTTAAGACTTTCCTTATCTGCCTCCAAATTTCCTTTGCATCAGGCCAACAACTTTGGAATCATCCTTTACTTCTTTTGTGCTTTCACATCCTACACCCAATCTACTAAGAAAATTTTGTAGACTCTACCCTCAAAATATATATAGAACCCAACCTCTTCTTATCACTTCCAAACTACCACTACAATCATCTCTACTGGATGACAGCTTTTTCCTACTATCCCTGCTTTTATCACTGCAGCCCATTCTCCATACTCTAAGTCAGACAATGTCATTGCCCTGCTCAAACCTCTGCAAGTTCTTTATATTTCACTCAGACTAAAGCCAAAATCTCAGGCCAGGCTTGGTGGCTATGACTGTAATCCCAGTACTTTGGGAGGCCAAAGTGGAATGACTGCTTGAGCCCAAGGAGTTCAACACCAGCATGGGCAACATAAAAACCCTGTCTCTACAAAAAATTTAAAAAATTAGCCAGGCATTGTGGTCCATGCCTGTAGTCCCAGCTACTAAGGGGCTGAGGCAGGAGGATTGCTTGAGCCCAGGAGTTTGAGGCTGCAGTGAGCTAGGATCATACCACTGTACTCCATCCTGGGTGACAGAGTGAGACCCCATCACACACACACACACAAGTGAAAATTTCTAGAATGAACTGCAAGGCTCTACATGATCTGTAGGTTGCCATCCCTTGGCCCCATGCCTTTTGATGCTGTAACCTCATCTTCTACTACTCTTTCTCTCACCCCCCTCTATACATATGTCTTCTTGAACACACTAGGCATGCTCCTGCCTTAGAGCCTTTGCACTTGCTATTCTCTCTCCCTGCAACATTTTGCCTCTGAACATGATATGGTTTGGATCTGTGTCCCCACCCAAATCTCATCTCAAATTGTAATCCTCATAATCCCCACATGTCGAGGAAGGGAGCAGATGGGAGGTGATCGGATCATGGGGGTGGTTTCTCCCATGCTGTTCTCATGATAGTGAGTTCTCACAAGATCTGATGGTTTTATAAGGCAGTTTTCCTTGCTCTTCCTCACTTTCTCTTTCCTGCCACCATGTGAAAAAGGTCTTTGCTTTCCCATCTGCCATGATAGTAAGTCTCCTGAGGCCTCCCCAGCCATGCAGAACTGTGAGTCAATTAAACCTCTTTTCTTTCTAAATTACCCAGCCTCAGGCAGTTCTTTATAGAGGTATGAAAACAAACTAATAGAAGACTCCATACAGACAACCCCTTCACCTTCAAGTCTAAGCTCAAATGCAACCTCTTCAATGAAGCTTACCAGGGCAACCTGCATCAGTCAGGATAGGCAACATTACCCTCTGATAATAACAACCTTCAAAGCTCTGTACCTTAACACAACAAAAATTTACTTCTAGCTCATGTTATACATCTACATAGGCTGCCAAGGTAGTTCTGCTTGTTCTATTCACTCAGGAACCTAGGCTAATGATGGTTCCATTTCAACATGTACTAGGCGATCACCATTCAGAGGAAAGAGGAGCTGCCTTGTCCTACCTAGGTCTTACATATGTCTGCACCCACACACATTGCTTCTACTTACATCTCACTTATTAAAGCAAGTCATATGGCCATGCTTAACTTCAAAAGATCAAATGAAAACAACCTACTACCAAGTGCCTGAAAAGAAGAGAATCAGAATGTATTAGTCATCCTGTATTAGTTATCTCTTGCCACAATAATCCCACATAGCAAATAACTGAGATATCCCAATGGCATTCAACGTTAGTGTTTATTGCTCGTGCTCCTGGGGCAGTTGGATAGGTGGCTTTGCTGCTTTTGATTGTGCTCATTCACGTGTACAGGAGACAGCTTGCATTGGCAAATCCAGGCTTGTCTCACATCGGCTCTCTGCTCTGTGTGGCTCTGAACCTCCAGTGGGCTGGGTCAGTTGTGTTCTTACAGTGATTGCAGAGGTACAAGGGAGAGCAAGCAGAAACACACTAGGACTCTTGAGGCCTGGGCTCACTGGCTGAAAATAACATACTGAAATCTTCTATTTGTCCATCCACCAACTCTGACATTGTCAAGGTTATAATATTTGCATTGTGCTTTAAAACTATTAAGTGTTCCATGTTCTTTCTATGTATTGGTTCTAAATATTGAAAGAAACAAACAGCATTTACAGTATTATGATAATATCAATATTTCCATTAGATTGCCATTAGCTGCAAGTAACAGAATATTTAACGTTAAAAAATACATGAAAGGCCATTGTTTTGGACTGAGCTTCTGTACTAGGCCCCAACAGACCTAACCAAACCAAAATGGAGTTACTCAGGCTAAATGCAACATAATTAAATTGAACTTTAAGGAAGCAGACAGATCCCCAAACAAACGAGTTTTCCCTTAAAACAGGAGATTCTAGTCTACCTGAGTCAGCATAAGGAAGTCCCCTTACCTTTAACCCTTACCAAAAAACAGTAACCTGATGTTAACCAATCCGCTTTTTAAAAAAATTCTTTTGCTCTGTTTTCTTGTTATGACCTTTAAAAATCCACTCTTCTGCTATTGCCCAGTGGGAGCTCTCATTCTATTTTGTAGAATGGAGGCAGCTCCAATTCATGAATTGCAAATAAAAGCCAATTAGATCTATAACTAAATTTGTTGTGATTTTGTCTTTTGATAGTAGCTAAAAACTCTTAAACAGTAAAGTGTTTATTGCCTCACATAATAAATAGACTATGTTAGTTATTTTGAATTTACAGAATGTTTAGCATTTGAGCTTTTTTGTAAAATAATTCTCATGGCTTTTTCCTCAGAGCTGCAACATAACTATAGGGGCTTCAGAGATCATATCCTTATAAAACAACATGCAGAGTAAGAAAGGAACAAGTCATTCCCTATGTCCTTCTTATGGAGTGAGAAAATGTTTTGCTGGAAACCCTCCTAATAGATTTTCACTTTTATCTCATTGGCCAAGATTACACCCCATGCCAGTGCCTACGCTAATCATTTGGAAGGAGAACAGAGTTTCCATGATTCGCTTAAACCAATCATCCTTCATTCCCTGGACTGAGGTGAATCCCATGTAATATATATCTAAACATAACTTGATTATTGCTGAAAAGAATGAGGGAGAGAATAATTGCTAAGTAGGCAACAGTGTCTATGTTTGCTACCCAACATCTCTACAAATACTTTGTTCCATAAAGAATTTTCGAAAATGATCAATGCCACAGAGAACACACTCAACCACTCCTTAAAGAAGAAGACCCCAAGTCTCATCAGTTGCTGTATTAAACTCCAAGTTAAGTAACTCTGGAGTTATGCAGTATTCTCTATCATAATAACTAAATATGATTTCTTGTGGTCCAGGAATCTATGTCTAAAATAGACAGGTTATTTACCTAAATATACTCAACATGTAATGGTGGAGAAGGATCTGGGAAACTTCCATTTTTAAATATCCCATTTGAGGAAGGGGAGAATAAGAAAGTATACAAAAGAACATAAGATCATGGCAGATGGGAGACGGGACTAGATTGCACCTCTGGACAGAGCAGCGTGTGGAGACTCACATTGAGAATTTTAGCTCCAGATTGATTGCAAGAACAAACCAGCAATGCTGAGAGGACGCAAAGACCCTCTGAAGGAAGTGGACTGCTCCTGCAGGACCCAGGAGACACCCCAAATACAGTGAGTGCCTCCACTGTGAAAGTGGGAAAGGGAAAGCCTCCTCTCCCGAACACACACCCCCACTGGAGAAGCTGAAGTTTGGGAAAAGTTTCCAACCTTACCTGAAGCTGAGTCAATTTGGAGAGCTGAGTGAAATACAGGGGTAGGGGAAGCAGCAGAAAGGCCCTGGGAGCTCAATGGGTCCACAAGCAGGCCATTCCTGCCTGGCACCACAGGGATCCATTGGGAGGGCGGCCAGAGGAGTGGAGGGGTAAAACTCCACAAGGAGAAGGAAATCTCTAGCTGAACTGTGTAACAATTTGAATGAAATGAGATGCCTCCTGGCCAGAACTCAAGGGAGGGTGCAGACTCCACAGGCAAGGGAAGAACCAAGCCCTTTTCTTTTGCAGCTGGTAGGCGGTTAACTTGGGACAAGTTTTCAAGCCCAGCTCACCCGCCACCTGGAAAAGAATCGGGGCAGTTGTGGGGGCACACAGTGGTAGTGAGATGGGCCCTTCAGTTTGCGTGGGAGCTGGGTGAGGCCTGTGACTGCCAGATGTAGCCCACTTGCCTGACAACCTGCATGACTCAGCAGAGGCAGCCATAATCTTCCTAGGTACACAACTCCAGTGACCTGAGAATCTAACTCCATCTCCCACAGCAGCCGCTGCAGGACCCGCTCAAGGAGGATCTGAGCTTAGACATGCCTAGCCCTGCCCCCACCTGGTGGTCCTTCCCTGCCCACCCTGATAGCAGAAGACAAAGGGCATATAATCTTGGGAGTTCTAGAGCCCTGCTCACCGCTGGTCCTTTTCCACACTACTATAGCTGATGCTTTCTGGAAAGCACCACCTCCTGGCAGGAGGCCAACCAGCACAAAAATAGATCATTAAACCACCAAAGCTAAGGACCCTCATGGAGACCATTGCACACCCCCACCACCTCCACCGGAACAGATGCTGGCATCCACAACTGAGAGACCCATAGACTGTTCACATCACAGGACTCTGTGCAGACAACCCCCATACCAGCCCATAGCTGGGTAGACTTGATGAGTTGCTAGACCCAGAAGAGAGGCAACAACCACTGCAGTTCAACTCACAGGAATCCACATCCACAGGAAAAGGGGGAGAGTACTACATCAAGGGAACACACCGTGGGACAAAAGAATCTGAACAACAGCCTTTGGCCCTAGACCCTCCCTCTGACAGAGGCTACCCAAATAAGAAGGAACCAGTAAACCAACTCTGGTAATATGAAAAAGCAAGGCTCTTTAACACCCCCCAAAAAATCACACTAGCTCACCAGCAATGGATCCAAACCAAGAAGAAATCCCTGATTGAGCTGAAAAAGAATTCAAGAGGTTAGTTATTAAGCTAATCAGGGAAGCACCAGAGAAAGGCAAACCCCAATGCAAGGAAATCCAAAACACAATACAAGTGAAGGGAGAAATATTCAAAGAAATAGATACCTTAAAGGAAAAACAATTCAAAATTCAGGAAACATTGGACACACTTATAGAAATGCAAAATGCTTTGGAAAGTCTCAGCAATAGAATTGAACAAGTAGAAGAAAGAAATTCAGAGCTCGAAGACAAGATCTTCGAATTAACCTGATCCAACAAAGACAGAAAAATCTTAAAACAAATCCTGGAAACACAACAAAACAGAACCTCTTTAAAGCATAAATCACGCAGGATCCATAAAACAAAAATACAACTTAAAAAGCAAAAACAAAAAACAAACAAACAAAAAACAAAGTACACAGGCATCAAAGAGCAAAATGAATGCAATGACACCTCACATTTCAATACTAACATTGAATGTAAATGGCCTAAATGCTCCACTTAAAAGATACAGAACCGCAGAATGGATAAGAACTCATGAACCAACTATGTGCTGCCTTTAGGAGATTTGTCTAACACATAAGGACTCACATAAACTTAAAGTAAAGAGGTGGAAAGAGGCATTTCATACAAATGGACACCAAAAACAAGCAGCGGTAGCTATTCTTATATCAGACAAAACAAACTTTAAAGCAATAGCAGTTAAAAGAGGCAAAGAGGGACATAATACAATGGTAAAAGGCCTTGTCGAACAGGAAACTATCACACTCCTAAACATACATGCACCTAACACTGGAGCTCCCAAATTTATTAAAAAATTACTAATAGACCTAAGAAATGAGATAGCAACACAATAATAATGGGGGACTTCAATGCTCCACTGACAGTACTAGACAGGTCATCAAGACAGAAAGTCAACAAAGAAACAATGGATTTAAACTATGCCTTGGAACAAATGAACTTAACAGATATATACAGAACATTTCATACAACAACTGCAGAATACACATTCTATTCAACAGCACATGGAACCTTCTCCATGATAGACCATATGATAGTAATGACCATACTACCATAAGCAATCTACAAATTCAATGCAATCCCCATCAAAATACCACCATCATTCTTCACAGAATTAGAAAAAAAACAATTCTAAATTCATATGGAACCAAAAAAGAGCCCATATAGCCAAAGCAAGACTTAGCAAAAAGAAATCTGGATGCATCACACTACCTGATTTCAAACTATACTATAAGGTCATAGTCACCAAAACAGCATGGTATAAAACTGGTATAAAAATAGGCACATAGACAAAAGGAACAGAATAGAGAACCCAGAAATAAACCCAAATACTTACAGCCAACTGATCTTCAACAAAGCAAACAAAAACATAAAGTGGGGAGAGGGCACCCTTTTCAACAAATGATGCTGGGATAATTGGCTAGCTACATGTAGGAGAATGAAACTGGATCCTTATCTCTCACCCTGTACAAAAATCAACTCAAGATCAATCAACTTAAACCTAAGATCTGAAACTATAAAAATTCTAGAAGATAACATTGGAAAAACCCTTCTAGACATCGGCTAAGGCAAGGATTTCATTACCAAGAACCCAAAAGCAAATGCAATAAAAAACAAAGATAAATAGCTGGGACCTAATTAAACTAAAAGAGCTTTCGTATGGCAAAAGGAACAGTCGGCAGAATAAACAGACAACCCACAGAATGAGAGAAAATCTTCAGAATCTATACATCTGACAAAGGACTAATATTCAGAATCTACAATGAACTCAAACAAAGCAGTAAGAAAAAAAGTCTCATCAAAAAGTGGGCTAAGGACATGAATAGACAGTTCTCAAAACAAGATCTACAAATGGCCAACAAACTTATGAAAAAATGCTCAACATCACAAATAACCAGGGAAATGCAAATCAAAACCACAATGTGATACCACCTTACTCCTGTAAGAATGGCCATAATCAAAACATCAAAAAACAGTAATGTTGGCATGGATGTGGTGAACAGGAAACACTTCTACACTGCTGGTGGGAATGTAGACTAGTACAGCCACTGTGGAAAATGGTGTGGAGATTCCTTAAAGAACTAAACGTAGAACTACCATTTGATCCAGCAATCCCACTACTGGGTATCTACTCAGAGGAAAAGAAGTCATTATGCGAAAAAGATACTTGCACATGCATGTTTATAGCAGCACAATTTGCAACTGCAAAAACGTGGAACCAACCCAAATGCCCATGAGTCAATGAGTGGATAAAGAAACTGTGGTATATATATGTGTGTGTGTGATGGAATACTCTTTGGCTATAAAAAGGAATTAATTAACAGCATTTGCAGTGACCTGGATGAAATTGGAGACTATTATTCTAAATGAAGTAACTCAGGAATGGAAAACCAAACATTGTGTGTTCTCACTGATATGTGGGAGCTAAACTATAAGGACACAAATGCATAAGAATGATGCAATGGACTTTGAGGACTTCAAGGGAAGCGTGGGAAGGGGGTGAGCGATAAAAGACTACAAATATAGTGCAGTGTATACTACTCAGAAGCACCAAAATTTCACAAATCACCACTAAAGAACTTACTCATGTAACCAAATACTACCTGTACCCCAATAACTTATTGGGAAAAAAAGAGGCAGCTAGACAGAAAAAAAAAGAAAGTACACAAAAGACTGGCTGGCTCATGTCCTGTGGCTTGCTAACTCTATTCTCTGGAAGGATTTCTCCTGCCCAACATCTTTTATGTCTGATTATCCCATCTTGGAAAACAGTGTTTTCCTGTTATACTCTAAAACCACAGTTCATCGAAGCGTTCTAGGAGCTACAGAGATTTAGCAGCCTACTTCTCTCAGATGAGTTCAAAGGTCCTGGTGCTTTTTTAAAGCTGAACAATCCCAGGTGGATGTCACTATGCATGAATTTTATTTGGCAATACTGTCCCCTTAACAACTAAGTTGACTTTCAGTGTATCTGTTTCTAGCCACTTCCATAAACTATATAACAATTAATGGTAAGGCTCTTGCCTACATACAACCTTTGAGAATTCCTGTCTTATGTTCTTCTGCTGCTAAGTCTATTGTTTTCCGGCCTCTGTGTGTTCTACCTGATGTGGAAGTAAATCATAAAGTATTGGCTTGTATTACATAACAAGAATTCTAACCCCATTTTTTAAATGTTTTATTGCTTGCAGTTTTTAAGTCTCACCCCTCCTTCTTCCCTGTGTATTCCACATCTGCACAAGCTGATAAGAAAGCGAGGGTGCTCCCTTCTTTGATTCCAACGGGAGATGCAAACAACGCAAGTCCTTTCCAGTGCACAAGCCACCCTCACCCCCACCCCCAGCCCCAGCCCCTAACCACAATAGAAACCCAAGCCAGTCTCCTTTCCTTGCTCTCTCAAGCCATTTTGGACCTGCTCAAGATGTCTTCCCTATTCCCCACAGAGATATTAATTATGTAAATAACAAAGCTTTTTATGTTCTTTTGGTGTGTGTCATCATCGGTCTTGGCATTCAAACTAAACTTTGGGTAAGGACCCGTCTGCCTTCAAAGATGATCATAACAGCTTTTCTAATGGTATTTACCATTAACTTACATTGCAAGTCAGCAGCAAATCCTATCTTAGCAAAGCTATATTTTCTTTCTAATCTGCTTTTAGGATGAACTACCTACAGACTATGTTTGTCTTTCTTTAGTGTAAGACAAATCTAAAAGCTGCAAGAATACTGTAATTATTCTCCCCATATTTAAAATGGTAACTCCATTCAGCAAATGCTCTGAATCCAAGGTACAAAAGCTTCCAGTCTGATAACATGTTTCACCTTCACCTAACAAGGACCATCAGCTGCCCAGTCTGGAAAGCAGAGGCTCTGTTTCCCCTCTATAAATGACTCCTTTCCTCAACACATTCCACATTCTAGGACCCGTTACTTCCAGCATCTTACTTCTGGCAACAAATTCTGCGTTAGTTGGGAGGCTTTCCACTGAAATTTAAAAAGCACTCAAAAGAAGAGTAACCAAAGGAATTTATTGTCTCACACAACAAAGAGTTGAAAAGTTCCAGAGTTGGCCAAATCTGTGGCTTAAAAATCTTAATGCTCTCGGTCAACTTTTAACAACAATCTGGTGAGGGAGCAGGGCTGCTGACATGGAATAACTATTTTATAAGCAATCCACGTTGGCTGCCATAATCAGTCAGTCTGCATATAATGATTTGCTGCCTGTGATATCCCACATATTAGCCTAGGCATTACAGAGACCACATCAAACAAGACAAACCCAATTCTTACCTTCAGGAGCTTACATTCTAGAATGCAAGAAATTCTTACTTGTTAAAGAATGATGAATTATGATTGGTTTCATAAGAAAATAAATATAATCCTATGTTATTATACCTAAACTTTTCCAAAGAGAATATTTAAGCCATCAAGATAATGTTAAATCTTTTTTCTTTTACTCTACAGAACCTCAAATCATACTCTATTTTAGTTTCTGAATACATTGGCTGGGCATGGTGGCTCATGCCTGTAATCCCAGCATTTTGGGAAGCTGAGGCAGGCAGATCACTTGAAGCCAAGAATTTGAGACCAGCCCGGCCAACACAGCGAAACTCCATCTCTACCAAAAATATAAAAATTAGCCGGGCGTGGTGGCACATGCCTGTAATCTCAGCTACTTGGGACGCTGAGGCAGGAGAATCACTTGAACCTGGAGGTAGAGGTTTGAGTGAGCCGAGATTGCCCCACTGCACTCCAGCCTGGGTAACAGAGTGAGACCTTGTCTCAAAATAAATAAATAAATACATGGATCTTGATTTTCTTATTCAGACTTTTTTTTCCATTTTGGAAATTTTAATTGTCTCTTTCTTGTTGTTAACAAAGTTATATATGCCTTCACCGCATTATTTCAAACATCCATGTTTTGGGGCACGAGCTCTATTTTATTCTTAAATATATTCAGCATGGAGCCCTCTGACTTTTTGGACTCACTTCTGTATGTGGGCGCTACAAAGATTTCTGGGTTTTTTTGTTTTTTTGTTTTTCTTTGAGACAGAGCCTTGCTCTGTCACCCGGCTTGGAGTGCAGTGGTGCGATCTTGGCTCACTGCAACCTCCACCTCCCAGGTTCAAGCAATTCTTCTGCCTCAGCCTCCCAAGTAGCTGGGATTACAGGTGCTCACCACCATGCCCAGGTAATCTTTTTTTTTTTTTAAGTAGAGACGGGGGTTTCACCATGTTGGTCAGGCTGGTCTTGAACTCCTGACCTTGTGATCCACCTCCCTTGGCCTCCCAAAGTGCTGGGATTACAGGCGTGAGCCACCACACCTGGCCCTCAGATTTCTGTTTTTTAGATAAATTTTATTGTGTATATTTAAGGTATACAACATGATATTGTAAGATACATACATAGCAAAATTGTTACTATAGTGGAACAAATTAATATATTTATCATGTCACCTAGTTACCCATTTTTCTTCCCTGTGTCAAGAGCAACTATAATCTACCCATTTAGCAAAATTCCTGAATACAATGCACTATTACTACTATAGTCCTCACATTGCATAAATTTTCTACTGAAATTTCTTTTCAATTCATTTCTGATTAGCTCCACTATTTCTATGAACCTACATTGTGCCTCATTTCTTGGTTTCCTTTTTTGTTTTGCTGGACTATATCCTCAAGTAATTTTTTCATGGCTAGCATGGGAAAAATATTTGCAAAACCCTTGACTATATGAAAATATCTTATTTCGACCTCATATAAAAGTGCTTTTTGGCAATGTTCTCTAGCCATTATATCAAACTGGTTATATAGCACCTATCTGCATTGTATTTTCCATAAATTCAGTGTTTCTGATTTGCTGAACCATTTTTTTTTTTAATTTAGCATGGTTCTGGTTTAAGGAGGGAGCAGGGAGAGAGATATTTAAAAAAAAAAAAAACAAACCCTATACCTAGTCTGCCTTATTTTATCAGAGGTCAATTTCCTGAGTTCTTTTGAAAATTACATGTTTAAGCTATGCCTGTCTATTGTTTTACTTCTATAATTCTATATTCCATTCTTACAATTTGACATCAATTTAATAAATGTAAACGAAGAATCAGTAGATATTATGGATAGTCCTGAACTTATTTATAAACTCCTGGGTTCAAATGGACTTTGAAAAGAAATGTGATAATATTTTTGCTTTCAAAACATTGAATTAAAAAAAAACTCTGCTAAAAAAAGGCTTATTATATTATTATCTTTTATGCTTAGGAGATAAAGAATCCTAAATGCCATGTCTGCCTAGGAATTTAAGAATTTCACTCCCCAGCTTTTCTTGACATATATTTAGTGTTAATTTCTCAATAAACTTCATTTCTATGTTTACTGATATTTTTGCATTATCCTCAAACTTGCTAAACACATTAAACCGCCTAAGCATCCCTTGCTTCACTTTTAGAAAAATTAGTAACTTTTAAATATAACTGAGAAGCTGGATCTTTTTCTATGCTGTGATGAGGAATGATTTTTCTGTTTTATATCACATGTTCGGGCAGTACAAATTTTCAAGCAAGCTCTGCTTTCTCAAAGGTGCATTACTGAAACTTTGGCCTCTAGTTTTAAATTTCCTGCAGATATCACAGTCCATTCCACAGAGATAGCATTAATCTCCTGTACTGAGACAAGATGTTCCCATTATTCACCAAGATAACTAGTTCTCAGATTTTGCTGACAAGAATCTTTTTTCAAATGTGCAGACCAAAGAGGTTGGCAAGAACCCACTTAAGAGAAGAAGGCAGCAGAGTTGAAGATCAGCCTTCCTGATGTTCAGAACACAAGTTATTTTAATCTCTATCCTGACAGTTGTGAAAATAACTCCAAGGTAATACCATCCAGTATTAAGCAAGAGATGAGTATGGTTTTTCTACATGAATAGAATTGTATTTTGTCTATATGACATATAAAATCTGCAAAATAATACTTGACATTATATTTTTGCTTTCACTTCATGTCTGAGGTATAATTTTTTGAGGCTCTATTTATTAACCAAACTGTTTGGTCATTTGTATATGATTAAGTGAACATATTAAAAAAATTTTAAATGTAGATGAGCCATCTAACTTGCCAAAGTTAAAAATACTCATATGACATCTACAAGATAAGAGTGTGAATAGCTTATGTTGAAACCTGATTAACACGAAATTCTTTCAAATGTTCTTTGAGCAGTCCAGTGGACTTTTCTCTCAGTCCTTTCTATTTTTAAAACATTTCTGAAGTGGTTTGTTGTGTAAGAAAACTCTCTTTATTAGAAGATTGAATCACCAAAAGAGCAGGTATTCGATATTTGAGCTTTACTAACAAGCTGCGTAGTTTCCCCTCTCCAGACGTCAGTTTCTTATTCTGCAAAAAAGGAAGGTTGGCCTTGATAATCTCTATAGTCTATCCCACCTCAAAAAAATCTGATTCTAGAATTTTTGTTTTGCTGTAAAATCCCCAATCAGTTGGATAAATGGTGAGCTAAGATGAGCTAACATCAGTGGGAACACCAACTACTTCTTAACCCAGCATGCTCTGTAGTTCTATGGTAGGAGTCATTAGCATTATGGAATAGAAATACGATTACAAGTTCATATTAACTTGTTACATGAAGTTCACCATCTCAGAGAGAGTGTACTGTGAACTTGTTGATAAAAACTGAGGTCATCAAAAAATGACAGTATGTGTGCACTCACATGTATACACTTCTGTGTGAGAGTTTGTGCAGGTGTGTTAGCATGTGTGGGTAAATGTGCTTGTAACTTTAGAGGAAGGAAATAATAGTGGTATAGACATGATGAGAAAAGGTAAGCTTGCCTCAGAGAAACCCCATTTTCAGGCTCTTTGGCAATGTTGATAAAATGTGACAGTTTATACAAGGTCATACTTCAGTTCAAACATACCAATTCTAGATTACTCTCCCTCTTTCAGCGCAAAGACATAAGCAAGATGCGCATTCATCTGTCACACATCCCTGTGAAAATGTGTGAATTAATGAACTGTTTAGGCTGAAAGACACTTTAAAGTTAAATGGCTTGGCATTTTATTAATTTCTTTTGTTTTTTGAACTCGACAACACACGGAGCAAATTATTCTATTGTCAAATGAAATTTCTACAAGTAATATTTTCAAGCTAAGAGAATATACAAAAAAAATTTTGATAGATAAGCACTTATCAATAATCACATTAGCACGTTTTTCAGGGCTACAGAGTCTTAACAGAAGACGTACTTTAATGACTATTTTTCAGACTACCTGTTGGCAAATTGCAGCCCATGGGCCAAATCTGGCCCACCATCTGTTTTTGTAAATAAAGCATTGTTGGAACACAGTCACATTCATTCACTTATACATCACCTGCTTTCCTGTTACGGTGGCCAAGTGTAGTTGTGACAGAGACCATATGTTACAAAACTTTAAAAATGAACTATTTGGCCCTTTACAGAAAAAGTTTGCTAACCTCTGACCAAGACCATAGGTTCTCAACTTTTATTATTACTATTTCTTTTTTAAATATAAGTGGCCCAGGCCCTTTTTTCAATATGTAAATAATTAAATTACTATTGTTTTCCCTGATGATAAGTTATTCCTGATAATACTTGTTGCAGATATTCTGGTATCTCGCCATCAGTCAAGTACTCTTTTCAATCTTCTTTCTCAACCAAGCACTCATTTTGCACCTAAAATTCTCAGTACAGATTAGATTATGCAAGATAAGTGCACTCATGCAGGTTTTTAAAAGTCCTGGAAACATGGCATATTTCTGCAGTCATAATCCAGTGTTAGCTCTTCAGCTAGAAACTGAGGCTGCGGAGATGGCACATTCCTGATTCCTGGATCCCAGCTATGGTAGCACATTCTTAGACCCTATAGTTTCTGTGGTGGTGGTGGTGGTGGGCTTCTGATCTCCTCCCTTGCTGATAAGGCCTAAGATTGTAGGGCTCCTGGCAGGCAGGCCTGCAGTTATTCTGGAAGTCATTCCAAAGCCCCTGCCCTGAAATACCTCCTTTAGCTTTTTCAATAACTTTGTAAGCACATATCTGAATTAAATCCTTTTGTATTTAAAATACCTTAAGTGTCTTTCATTTTCTGTGCAACATCTTGACGACATGCTGAATTCTTACTTACGTGAGTCTGGTTTAAGATCTTTTCTCCTTTTCCATTCATCCAAAATCTCCTTCAGCTCCATGATCACACTGTTGAATCACTGTAGTTTCATAATGAATTCGCAATTTGGTAGGACAAGAACCTTTTTATTATACTTTTTTTGGAGGGGTGGAGCATTCTTGAAGATTAATTCTTGCAAATACATTTTGGAATCAATCTGTCAAATCTCCCTTCATCTGCTCACCACAAAATAGCTGAGATTTTAATTAAAATTGCACTAAATTTATAAATTATTTTGAGGATAAACTAACATCTTTATAATATTAAGTTTTCCTATCAGAGAATGTAGTTTACCTCTTTATTTAAGGCTTCTTTCACAGGAGAACACATTTTTAAATTTTTTTAAAAAAAAGAAAGAAATAACAGATTTCACACATGATTATAGTTGTATGGATGAACACTGATGGATACTGAAACAAAGCGTAATATCAAAAGGCTAATATGAATTCTGAAAGGTTTTTAAATGAAAATTTGTACTAATCAAATAGCATCTATGTACACTTGGAAAATGAATAAAAGTGAAAGACACACTATTTATTGAATCTGAAGATTATACTCGGGGTATACATGGATTTAATCAATCAACCCTTCACATAATTTCAAGGATTTCCTAGATTATCTAGTCAACGGGTTAGGAAGCACCAATTTAGACCAACCTTCCCCCACAGTGAGAATTCTTTGGACAGCATTTCTGGGTCAATTATTGTAGAGGCTAAACTTTCAGTAAGGAGAATTTACTACCTGGTAGGGTAACTATTTCATTCATGGAAAAATCTAATAGGAAAGGATTACTTCTTCTATGGAGTCAAGTCTATCTGTGCTCCTGTCCCCTGGAGCTAAAATGAATAAATCTTACTTCTGGAGTATTTTGGTCTTTTAAATAACTGATAACAACTTTCATCTCCCCCACGCCCATCTCAGTTTTCTCTTGCCAGTTCTTTCAATTTCCTTTTAGAGCTTATTCCCAAACCCTTCACTAGTCACCCTTCTGCAAAAGTACCTCAGTTTCTCACTCCCATTTAATGAGCAAAACTCAGCAATTAGTTTAATAAGCTAACTCCAGCACCCCAGATATGTGTTTTAATATTTGAATAGTATATTTTCATGCATATTGAACTTTGGCTCCATAGCGCATTTTGTCACCTAGGTTTCTGGGTTTTCTTACCTGAGCTCTAAAGCCAAGCTGCTCTGAATCTGCATATTAAACACACACATGCTTGCACGTGTGTGCAATTTTTTCTTTTTCTTTGGAAATAATTTCAGACCTATAAGAATAAGAGTACAAAGGACATTCATATATCCTTTACCCAGATTCACTGTTGCTAACATTATACTCCACTTGCTTTATCAATTGCTCGCTTTCTCATAATTTATTATTATATTTAATTATGTTGCTGCTCATATTGTTACAGTTTGGCCAGTGAGAACATTTTCATCTGGCTCTTGCATCCTTTTTTCATGCCCTGTTTTTTTTGTTTTTAATTTTTCTTTTTTTGTTGTTGTCTTTTGATTTTTTATTTTTTTTTGCACTTCCTTACTTTCTAGCAGAGCAAGATTATTCTCCAGGCTTACCTATGCTATGCCAGCCTGGAATTAGCCGCTTCTCCAAAGAGCCCTAGTCTTTTTTAGTGGAGAATTAAATCTGTACTTGATAATCAATTGACACTTTAAGAGCCTGAAGCTGTCTTAGAGATCTTTAGATGGATGAGGTAACTTGAACCCAGAGAGCACCAGTAACTAGTTTAGTCAAACAGCTATTTAGAAGCAGAGCCGGGATCAAAGTCAGGTCTTCTAACTCCCAAATGCCTTATATCTGCTCTTTCTATTTTATAACTTTCCAGCTTTCACACAGCATTCAATAATAATCTGTGCTAAGTTTCATTCTGTTGATTTTGTTCCATCATTTTAACATCCTGAGACATTTATGTATTAACTAGTGTCCTCATTGGATACTCAATCTTAATTCAAATTCTTTAAAAGTAAGTTTCTAAACTGAGATCAGATCTATTTTCAACTTCAGAGGAGATTTCTTGGACTGAATTACAAATCTTTAAATAATGAGGTGTTTAATGAAACCAGGACTAACACATCGTTAACTGTGGGTTGAGAATGGTGCTCTTATAATGGCTATTTTTTTTTTTGGAGCTTAATGGAAAAATACAGAATATTGAAAATGTTTTCTTATTGTTATTTAATTTGTCAAAACCTCATCATTTATGCTACATTTTAAATGAGGTGGAATAGTTTTTAAAGATGCTACAGAGATCATTACAAAAGCACTGGGAAGCCAAACATACTGTGGAGGGAGAGTGGGAGGAAGCACAGGAGGCAACAAGAATTACTGAGCTCGATGTGAATCTGGGCGCCGGCAGCACACATCAGCTTAATTCATTGCCAACAGTCCACAGGGAGACATAATGTGAAAGTTAAAATGGAATTGAGATAGGTGTGTTGACAGTTCTGCATCCATAACATCCACCCATCCCAAGGCACCATCTGTTACATCTTCAGTCTTTTTGTGAGTATCAGCAATAGAGGTAATTAAGCAAATGAGCAGCTAAAATTGAAGTTTCCAGAAAGGAGGAAAAGTTAGCAAAGATATGACAATGGGGTGTCATTGTAGGAGCAGAGGCTGAACACCTGGATCATCCTTTATGGATATAAGAGAGTGAATGAGTGGTGGGACCAGGGGTGGAACCAGGAGACCTCACAGCTTCACGGTGCTCCTAGTTTCAGAAGCCGCTAATGGCAAAGGGAAAATGCCTCTGGCTTCCCTATTAAGCGGGAAGAAGAATGAACTAATAAGTTTGGAGGCACCAGGAAAAGAAAAGATGCCAATCTGCTATATTATTGACACATGGATAGCGATGCCTCTGTTTGTAAATCTGCTAAAATCAGTGCTCCTTTTAAAAAAATTGGCTGCAGTACCATGGAAGCTCCAGGCTCTGCATTGGCATCTGGGGTGACAGTAACATTAAGAGGAAGGCTGAATTACAGAGGCTCCTGGAGCTGCCGGGGGCTGCTGGTCTACCACAAGAAACCACACAGCCTCCTTGTTCCTTATGCAGAAACCATCCCTGAACCTGCTCAGAGGGCTGGAGAACTGAGAGGAAAGAAATTCATATCCTGGATGTCTTTGACAGTAATGTGTTGGTGGGAGTTTAGAGACAATGGGGTTTCCTTTTTCTAGATTTTGATTTTTTTTATTTTTGCTGTGTTAACGGAAAAACCAAGTTCTGTAATATATTTTAAAGAAGTTTATTCTGAGCCCAGGGAAAACAGTCTCAAGAGGTCCTGAGAAAGTACGCCCAAGGTGGTTGGGTTACAGTTTGGTTTTATATGTTTCAGTAAGACAGAAATTGGACATAAAATAAAAAATCAATACATAGAAGGAATACTTGGTTTAGTCCAAAAAGGCAGGACATTTTGAAGACAGGACTTACAAATCAAGGTGGGTTTTAGGGATTTTTTTAGTTGACAGTTTGTTGAAAGAGTTAAGCCTTGTCTAAAGACTTGAAGTCAGTAGAAAGGCATGCTTAAGTTAAGACGAGGGGATCTGCTCTCTGTCATGGGATGCTATTCCATGAGAGTCAGATTGGGAAGTAAGCCACATTATACCAGGTTAATTAAAAAAAAAACCATTTAACGAGATTTTATGGTTTATAGGGCATGACTTTAATCCTTGCCTGGCATAGCCTTAGGTCTTGTTTATAATTTGGTATCTTATTGCAACAAGAGTCCATTCTGGGCTGGGCGCAGTGGCTCACACCTATAATCCTAGCACTTTGAGAGGCTGAGGCAGGTGGATTACCTGAGGTCAGGAGTTCGAGACCAGCCTGGGCAACATGGCGAAATCACGTCTCTACTAAAAATACAAAAATTAGCTGAGTGTGGTGGTGCATGCCTGTGATCCCAGCTACTCGGGAGGCTGAGGCAGGAGAATCACTTGAACCCAGGAGGCGGAAGTTGCAATGAGCTGAGATCACGCCACTGCACTCCAGCCTGGGTAACAGAGCGAGACTCTGTCACAAAAAAAAAAAAGTCCATTCTGTCAGTCTTATGACCTCTATTTTAACATTAATGCTGGTCAGTTATGCCTAAACTCCAAAAGAGGGAGGATAACATGGCATGTCCAATCTCCTTTCCCAACAGGGCCAAAAATTCAGTTTTTCAGGTTTCTCTGAGGTCCTCTTGGCCAAGATGGAATCCGTTCAGTTGGTTAGGAGGCTTAGGATTTTATTTTCAGTTTACAGCTGTAATGTTTTGCTTGTGTCCCAATCTCCTGAACTTTCTTAATTTAACCGCTTCCTTCCCTGATCCTTTTCTTCCCTTCTCTGTCCCCAGCCTCACCCCACAGGCTTATAGGAAATTTGGCCTTCTCCTACACTCTGCAATCAGACACCCATCCTCTGCCTTGTCAGGAAGGTAAGAAGCTTTTTCTTGGAGTACTGTCAGCTTTGACACTGCTTCCACTCTGTCCTCAGAATGGGATGACAATCTGACTTCAGAATGCATTTCCAGCATGTAGGATTCTGCCTTATTTTTTACCCAGTCTCCTGCTAATAACTGGCTTCCCGCTCTTTCTGCCCCTACCTGAGTCTCTGCTGCACTTTGCTGACCAAGATCCTTCCATCTCAGGGAATGGAGCCACACCACTGACTGATGGGCCTTCTCAGGTTTGGTCATTTGCTGTGCTTGGATTTCTGCCAATCACCAGCTACAAGACACCCTTGCCCCAGAGCTTCACCCACTCAGGCTGAGCTCCTGGCCTGTTGTATATGTGTGGCCACTGTCTGCTTCTGGTTGCCTAGAACACCCTTCACACACTTACTCTCTCCCCTCTCCCTTCAGGTGGGCCCTTTGGGTTCAGAGCTTGGCTGAGTCATGGTTATGATTGGGGCTTGTATCTAGAAGAGGTAAACAGTGCCAGTACATGGCAAGTAATGTTCTAGTAATATAGATATATTCAAAAGAATCACTGTCTCGGCTGAGACTGAATGGCATCAAAACTGTCCCAAATTCATGAGCTCTTAAAATAGTTTCAATTAGTTTCAGTTATCTGAACAGAGTTGGAGGTGCAATAATAAGCTCCACAATGTTTTCACACTGATTCAGCTAATAGATGTCAAGCTATTTGCTGTCGGTACCCTATTGATTAAGGTAGGACAGGTAAACAGCTGAGAATCTGCGTTAAAATTAATTTAGTCAGTCAAGGAGGAATGCTCCATGGTGGGAGGTGTTTTGCTTAAGGAAGGAAAATGCATCCTATAAACATTCATATCAGAACTTTTAAATAGCTCAATCCCCTGAGGACCAGACACAAAAAGGGTCTTTGTGATTTTTCTTTTGGTCCGGGATGATCTTGTGTCCAAGATGGAAGTTGCAAGGTGTGGACCACTCCTTCTTTCTAGAATGCAACCAAGCACCCCAAGGAAGAGTGAGAAGAGTGTCTCCAGTTACTACACATGTAGATTTGTTGCAGAGCGAGTACTGAGATCACAGCTCGATGAAGGTACTGCTACTACTACGCTGGGTCCCAAATGGGCACAGCTCATTCTCCATAAAGAGAGAAGAGTTTCCCATCCTGTCAATCTGTCAATCACCACATTCTAGGCCAACAGTCTATGGACAACTCTGGAGCTTCCAAAAAGCAGATGCTGAGATGAGATTTAAACATGGAACGAATGTATTACAGAAAATGTGGAGGGATTCAGGAGAGGCTGAGAGAACCATCAGATGACAATGCAGGTCTATCTCGAGTGAGAGAGAGAGGCTAGAAGGAAGGAGTGAAGTCATGCTCACAGGGTTAACCAGAATTCTGGACAGACATACAGTTATAACTAAGCAGTAATCAGGCTGCACCTTGGCCCACTTCCTGTTGCTAAAAGTCACCATAACACTAGATACTGACCATTTGCAACCCCATTGTTCCTAGAGATAAAATTTCTGACCTTAGAATAATGAGGCTATTGCTTTATGTGTTTTTCAGGTCCTGAATTCCAGCAAAACAGCTGAACAGCTGATGGCAAGCAGTTTGAAGACCTCCACAGAGGAACCAAATCAGCATGAGAATACAGTTTCTTCATCTCCCTCCCCCATGACTTCACCCTGCACTCTTCCATCAATCAACAATCTCCACACTCTTAAAAATCCTAGCCCAGAACTCCTTGGGGAGACAGATTTGAGGTTCCCTCTTATCTCCTCATTAGGCAGCCCTATAATTAAACTTCTTTCTCTGCTGCAACCTGGTGTCTTGGTGTACTGACTTGCCACACATCGGGCAATGGACCTATTACAGTTACAGGAGGGTTGAGAGCATGCATCTTGGACCACAGAACAGTTCTAAGAAAAGCTCGGGAAGCCTGATGGGGCAAAATTGTTTATCAGAGAGACACTGCATTTCCTGGGAAGGGGCCTTCCTTAGTATGCCTGTGGTATTCATCAGGGAGCAGCCCAATGGGAAGATGGCCTCAGCACAAATGCAGCTGTGGATTTCAAAGCACAGCATTTGGGTCCATCGGTCGATTTGCTTCCTGCAATCAGAAAACCGTGAGGCCTCTTCTCACATCCACCATACAAAGTACCTCTTAAAAGTCATTTATAGTGTGTAATCCTGTCCGCATCAAGGAGATTTAAGGAGGTTTAGTAATGCATTAACAACAATAACAAAAATATCTCAAAGATTAAAAATGAATAATTAATGCAGGAAAAGAAAAAGATGTGGTAATAAGAATAACTACCCTTTAGGATATGGGGAAGAGGGAACCCTTATACGTTGTTGGTGAAAATGTAAATTAGTACAGCCACTATGGATAACAGTATGGAGGCTCCTCAAAAAAATAAAAATAGAACTACCATGTGACCCAGCAATCCCACTGTTAGGCATATACCCAAAATAAAGGAATGTTGAAGACGTATCTGCACTTCCATGTTTATTGCAGCACTATTCACAATAGTCAAGATTTAGAAGCAACCTAAGTGTCCATCAACAGATGAATGGAAAAAGAAAATGTGGTACACATACACAATGAAATACTGTTCATCCAAAAAAAAAAAAAAGAAAAGAAAAAAACTGAAATCCTGTCATTTGCAACAATATGGATAGAACTGGAGGTCATTACGTTAAGTGAAATAAGCCAGGTATGGAAAGGCAAACTTCACCTGTTCTCACTGTGGAAGCTAAAAATTAAAGCAATTAAACTTTTGGAGACAGACAGTAGAATGATGGTTACTGGGAAGGGTAGCTGAAAGTGGAAGGGAGTGGGGATGGTTAATGGGTACAAAAATATAGTTAGATAGGATGAATATGAGCTAATATTTGATAGCACAGCAGAGTGATTACAGTCCACAGTAATTTATTGTACATTTAAAAATAACTAAAAGAGTAATCTCAGCACTTTGGGAGACAATTTTTTAGAAACAAACAAACAAAAAAGATAGCTATCCTTTATTTAGCACCTACCAAGCACCAGGCACTTTATGTCCTTATCTCTAATCTTTTCAACAACCTTCAAAAGTCATTTTACCAAGGACATATGGTTAAAGGGGTTAAGTGATTGGTCTAAGGCTACACAGTCAGTGTGTTGAATAGTCAGTATCTGAATCTATGTCTTTGGGTCCAAAACTATGCTCTTTCTACTTTGTCACACTGAGGAGGAGAAGAGAAGAGAGCAATTGTGTCAGAAAATAGGCTGCAGACAATAAGCACAAAACTTCCCTCTGAATACCCTGGCAGCCAAGGAAGAGGGAAAGATGCTCTCATTGGCTTTTAAAGGAAGCAGGTGAAAAGGTAACATGAAGGGTAATTGTTTTCCTGGTCTTGAGTTCTAAAAGAAATTTGGTGAATCAAGTCTGAAAAATGAAGAATATTAAAAGATGCGGCCGGGCGCGGTGGCTCACGCCTGTAATCCCAGCACTTTGGGAGGCCGAGGCGGGTGGATCATGAGGTCAGGAGATCGAGACCATCCTGGCTAACAAGGTGAAACCCCGTCTCTACTAAAAATACAAAAAATTAGCCGGGCGCAGTGGCGGGCGCCTGTAGTCCCAGCTACTCGGGAGGCTGAGGCAGGAGAATGGCGTGAACCCGGGAAGCGGAGCTTGCAGTGAGCCGAGATTGCGCCACTGCAGTCCGCAGTCCGGCCTGGGAGACAGAGCGATACTCCGTCTCAAAAAAAAAAAAAAAAAAAAAAAAAAAAAAAAAAGATGCTTGAGAAAGAGGAATAGTCATGGATGAATTATGTGTTTGCAATATGGCTTTAGCTTTTCAGCAGTTCCATAGCATGTAGGATTTCAGCACATTTAACATTGTTCTGAAACCATCGCCATTGCAAAATTATGCCTGAGATAGTGAAAGAGATCTGACCTAACCAATTCCATCTTGCTTCTAACCTCCAAGCTGTCCTTGTTCGTTCCTGGACATAGGCTGAACTAACTTTGGGAGGAATTTAGTTTAAAGTTTAAAACAAAGATGATAACAGCCCTTTCCCAAAACAAATCTTCTTGCCTGGCACTAGACTGCCTTTGTAGGACTAACAAATTAGCCAAAAGATTAGAAATTATGATTTGGGAGTAATGCAGCCGGAGGCCACAAGTTTCTGATCCTCCTAAAATTGCTCGTGGGGATAACATCACTATTGTAAAACCTAAGGCCAGTGCTTGAGATATTTTGCAGATCCTGCACTTGATGGATCAGCTGCTGCTACCCAGATCTATTAAAGTGGCTCATCTGATCTTGTGGCCCCCATCTAGGAACTGACCCAGCACAAGAAGACAGCTTTGACTCACTAATATTTCATCTCCAACCTGACCGATCAGCGCTCCTTGCTCATTGGCCCCCACTACCCACCAAATTATTCTTAAAACCTCAGATCCCCAAACGCTCAGGAGACTGATTTGAGTAATAATAAAACTCTGGTCTCCCACACAGCCATCCCCACATGGATTACTCTTTCTCTATTGCAGTTCCCCTGTCTTGATAAATTGGCTCTGTCTAGGCAACCAGCAAGGTGAACCTGTTAGGCAGTCACAGTTCTGTCCTCAGTGAGAGCAGGTGGAAGGAATGTGGATTTCACTTCTTTTCACGTTTGTGTAGCAGACCCCAAACCCAGCACATTTCAAAGGAAGGACTGGCTCTTGACCAGCGGCTGCAAGATATTCTCTGAGCCTTTGGAATATCCTGCCTGATAAGTTTGTCTTTGTATACCCGGGGCCTAGGGCCGCACCAGATAGTTTATGCTGACAATGTTCCTTATGGTAGATGCATGCTTTTGTATACCTGAGGCTGTGGACCATGCTGTGTCAGTTTGGCCTTTTAGGGAAGCTGGAGACTGAGTAGCTAAGGCCAGTCCTATGGGCACTACCTGTCTACATGACTGGTTCCCAATAAAACTCACTGGACACCAAGGCTGAGGTGAGCTTCCCTGTTTGGCAATACTTAGTACATGTTGTCACCCATTGTTGCTGAGAGAATTAAACACTGTCTATGCAACTCCACCGGAAGAGGATAACCGGAAGCTCTGTCCCTCATCTTTCCTAAAATCTGACCTATGTATCTTTCTCCTTTGCTGCTTCATCCATATCCTTTTGCTGTAATAAACCATAACCATGAGTGTAACTGCTTTTCTGGGCCTCGTGAGTCTTTCTAGTAAATCATCAAACCTGAGGGTGGTCTTGGGGACCACTGGCACAATGTCTTACCCTATCTCCTTCCCTTCATCTTCTTCTGATATACTGACATTTTCTTTTTCTTTTCTAATTTCCTTTCCTTCCCCAAATGCCAGTAAAGGGCAGATGGTAACCTCTCGTGGCTGGGCATCTTTCTTTCCATACCTCAATAATTGCTAACAACTGTAAAATGAGAGTGAGATGGGCCTGTATTATAATTCTTTCTATTCTTAGATCTCAAATCACTTGACAAACAGCATTTAATCCTCCAAATAGCAAAGGACCATATAGTGTGATTCTTTCCACTGCACAAATGAGAAAACCAAGATCCAGGCATGACAGATTGTCCATGCCTTACAGAGCTGTCCACAGGCCATGCTTGAGAATGACAAAACTGGCCTTACTGGTTATTGCTTCTGGTCCTCCACTCCTCAGCTCTTGTTAAGACCACCTGATTAAATCATGACAGTATTGAGAAAAATGACTTTGAAAAGAGGCCGACTCCCGTGCTTTCTGCTTCTCCCTGCTCCCTGGGGGACACATTCTCAGTCAGATGTTCTTCCCACCAATTTCATTAGCACTGAGTTATAAGGATAAAAATATCCCACCCCTGTCACTGACAAGTTACCTTCTGCATGGAACTTACCGAGTCATCTTTTCTTTGGTAATATTGTCAGTGACATGTTTGTTGCTGTCAGCAAGGCAAAGGCAGTGCAACTGATTCAGGGTGACCTGGGCTCTGTTCCGCTCTGAACATCAATAAAATTGCCAGGTCTGCTTGGATTTCAGAATTTGTATTGTAGGTAATGATGATATATGAGCTCATGGAATATATTTGATCTTCAGTGATAAGAATTGTTCTGGCAGCTAAGGATGGAAAAAAATCATTTTGATCTACAGTATGGACAGGTTTCTTCTGATATGGATGTCATCAGTAGAAAATGCAAATGAGCACCAAGATGCCACTTCTACCCAGAGAATCGGCCCATATTGTCAAAGGAGTGAAAGCTGCAATGTGCCAGAGAAGCTGAGAAGGGATGGGGAGTGGGGTGGGGAAAAAGTCAACTGGGGAAACCAAATTTCAAGTCACCTGAATTCTATTCACGCTCTATTATGCCCAGCCTCTAGTGTCATGCTGAGGACACAATCACGTTCAAGCAAATGATTACCGTCCGTGCACCCAGGTAATCTGAAAAGACAATTATGGCCCAGGAAGGCAGTTTCTGCAAGGCAATCAGGATGTGGCAGGGGCCAACTGACACAGCCCCCAGTTGAGACTTTGAGGAACAGTCGGACGCTAGTGGTAATTAAAAGTGCCGAGCAGCACTGGGGAGGCTGCCTGGGCTGGAGTTTCTGGGAGGAAGCTCCTTCCCTGCCCCTGCTCCCTGTCAGCAGGAGCAGAACAGATTCTCCTGCTGGGTTGAACTGTTCTAAATAAGACTTTTTGCGTGCAATAAAATATACATAACATAACATTTACCATTTTAACAATTCCGAGTGTGCAGTTCAGTGGCATTAAGTATAGTCACATCATTGTGCAGCCGTCCCAATCATCACATCTCCAGAGCTTATTCATCACCCCCAACAGAAACTCTGTACCCATTACATAACTCCCCTTTCCACCTGCCCCCCTCTGTCCCTGGGAACTACTATATTCTTTTCTGTCTCTATGAATTTTCTAGATATAGCATAAGTAGAATCATACAATATTTGCCCTTTTGTGCATGGTTCATTTTATTTAGCACGTTTTCTGGGTTCATCCGTGTTGTGGCATGTATCAGAATCTCATTCTCTTTTTAAGGCTGAATAACATTCCATTGTATGTATATAACACATCTTGTTTATCCATTCATCCTTTGATGGACGTTGGGGTTTTTTTCCAGCTTTTGGCTTTTGTGAATAATGCTGTTATGGGTGTATAAATGTGTTTACATTTTTACTTTTCATTATTTTGAGTTTATACCCAGAATTGGAATTGCTGGATCATATGGTAATTCTATGTTTAATTATTCTAGGAATCACCATATAAATTAAAAAAATTTTTTTTGAAACAGCGTCTTCCTTTGTCACCCAGGCTGGAGTACAGTGGTATGATCATGACTCACTGAAGCTTCGACCTTCTGGGCTCAGTCAAGCCTCCAACCTCTGCTTCCCAAGTAGCTGGTACCACAAGGATGTGCCACTATGCCCATCTAATTTCTAAACATTGTTTTTAGAGAAAGGGTCTCGCTATATTGCCAAACTCCCGGGCTCAAGCAATCCTCTTGCCTTGGTCTCCCAAGGTGCTGGGGTTACAGGCATGAGCCACCGCACCCAGCCAATAGAAAATTTTAAATGTAGAAAACCTCTTAGTGTTTTAGAGAAGCCCTTTTGTGGCAGGTTGAGCAACTACCATATATTGTATGGGGAAAATTACTATAGGAAGAAGGTAGGCTGCCCCTCACACAGTAATCCTGTATCTATAATATAATCCTTGGCTGTCAAACGCCTTTAGAGCTCTATTCATGTACACACACTACTAGGTGCTAGGGATGCAGCAGTGAAAACGACAGGAGCCAACCCCGCCAAGGGAAACAGAGGGAGATAAGTTGGCATATGGGGGAAGGGCAGCTAGGGTGAGGGACACCAAAGCTCAGCTGAGAAGTGAAGCCAAGAAATGCCAGTTGCTGCTTATCGAATGCCTGATAGAAGTCAGAAGCTAGCCGTTTCTTAACATAGCCTAATTTAATCTTCACAAGTATTATCATTACTCCATTTTACCGATGAGCAAACTGTGAGGCTCGAAGAGGGAGCAAACCCCAGGACGTAAAAGATGACACAAATATCTTCACCATCTCATTGGTGTTAAGAGAGACAGAGGTACAGCCAAGGAGGCAGGGGTTTCAGGCCATTGCTTATAGTAGTGAAAATAGTTTCTCCCAACTTCATTTCAGATCACGGTTCTATGATTTACTGGGCCTGTCCATTTATGTGAGGAGATGTGAAAAGATACCATGTGCTTAAATTTCCAGCCACTAACTCATTTCTAGCAATGAGTACATTTGGAACTGGTTAAGAGAGAAAATATAGAATTACAAGCTCTTTTGAGAAATTCTTTGTTAAACCATAAATTCCTCAAAGATAGGTACATCTGTAGTCTAATACTTAATTTGATGCACCACACACTACATACAGTAGTATGATTGATTCCATAAATCAATTTGATAAATGTTTATAGAGCAATTACTATTTGTTCAATACTGAAATGTGAGCATCATTCTTTTGGCTTTAGGGAGCATGCAGTTTCGCTTATGGAGCAATAAGAGGAAACCATAAGACTACATGCATTTAGGTGGTAATTTACATAAAATTGGTACAAGCATCTGGATCCAACAGGAATGAAAATAGATGTCTTATATTGAGGGCTTACCTCATGCACTGAGTGACATAAGCTTTCTTACACACATAATCTACTATATTCCTTTTGCCAACCCACTGAAGCAGGGATGTGTTGCATTTCCAGAGGAAACATGGGGCATATGTAGGTTAAGCAGCTTGCCCAGTGTCACACAAATAGCAAATGATTGAGGTGGAATTCCATCTCAAGGCTTTCTGATTCTAAAGTCCATGCTCTTGACTATAAATGTTGGGTTTTAAAAATCACCTTTCATGAAATTCCCAAGCATAGCACAAGACAGAAATTATGGCAGGGATGTGAGGGGTCCATGATGGCAAGTGACCGTGGATAAAAGAAGAGATTGGTGAGCCCATATCAGGCACTCCACAATAACATAAGTTCAAAGCACAGGGAGGCCCCAGTGCCAAGAATTCCCACCTCCAAGCATGAGTTTTCTGCTCTATAGGAAATAGAAGAGCAGGAACCCTCATTATTTCTTTATTTTTAATAGAGTCTAATTTTAAGAGCAGTTTTAGATTCTTATGAAAATTTAGAGGAAGATACATAGATTTTCCATATGGCCCCTGCTCCCACACATTCATAGCTTCTCCCATTATCAATATTCCGCACCAGAGTGATACATTTACATCTGTTTACAGAGTGATACATACAAACTGATGAAACTACATTGATACATCATTATCACCCAAAGACCATAGTTTATATTAGGGTGATAATCTTGGTGATGTACATCTTATGGGTTTGGACAAATGTATAACGGTACATATCATATCCACCATTATAGTATCATACAGAGGGTTTTCACTGCCCTAAAAATCTTCTCTGCTCCACCTATTCATTCCTCCCACTCCCTGACCCCTGGCAACCACTGATTTTTTTACTGTCTCTATCATTTTGACTTTTCTAGAATGTCATATAGTTGGAACTATATAGCATGTAGCCTTTTCAGATTGGCTTCTTTCATTTAATAATATGCATTTAGGTTTCCTCCATGTCGTTTCACAGCTTAGCAGCTCATTTCTTTTTAGCACTGAATAATATGCCATTTTCTGGATGTACCACAGTTTATTTATTCATTCACCTACTGAAGGACATCTTGGTTGCTTCCAAGTTTTGGCAATCATAAACAAAGCTGTTATAAACATTTGTGTGCAGATTTTGTGTAGACATAAGTTTTTGATTCCTTTGGAAAAATATCAAGGAAGGTGATTACTGGATCACATGGTAAGAGTATGTATAGTCTTGCAAGAAACCACAAAATTGTCTTCCAAAAGGCCTGTACTATTTTGCTTTCCCACCAACAATGAATGAGAATTCCTGTTGTTTCATATCCTTTTCAGCATTTGGGGTTGTCAGTGGTCTGGATTTTGACCACTCTAACATGTATGTAGTGATATATGATTGTTTCAATTTGCATTTCCTTGATGACATGTGACAAGGAACATCTTTTTTGACATCATTCTGTTGTGAGGTGTCTATTAATGTCTTTGGCACATATTAAATCAGGTCGTTTGGATTCTATTGCTGCGTTTTTAAGAGTTTTTTGCATATTTTGGATAGTAGCCCATTATCAGATATGCGTTTTGCAAATTCTCCCCATCTGTGGCTTGTCTTTCATTTTCTTGACAGCGTCTTTTGCAAAAGCAGAATTTTTTAATTTTAATGAAGACCAACGTATAATTTCTTTCTTACGTGAAGAATTCCTTTTTATTTTTGTCTTAAACAACAACAAATTATCTTCTCACAGTTCTGGGGACTGGAAGTCCAAGATCAAGGTGCTGGGGTATGTTTCCTCTGACGGCCGTAAGGGAAGCTCTGTTCCCTGAGCTTCCAGGGAGGCATCTCTCCCTGGCTTGCAGCTGGCTGCCCTCTTGCTGTCTCTTCACACGGTTGTCCCTCTCTGCATGTGTGCCCCTGATGCCTCTCTCTGTGTGTCCTAGTCTCCTCTTTTTTTAAAAAAAAAACTTTTATTTTAGGTTCAGGGGTACATGTGCAGGTTTGTTTATAGGTAAACTCATTTCCTGGGGGTTCGTTGTACAGATTATTTTGTTACCCAGGTACTAAGTCTAGTACCCGATAGTTATTTTTTCTGCTCCTCTCCCTCTTCCCATCCTCCACTCCTAAGTGGCCCCCATGTCTGTTGCTCCCTCATGAAGCATTCCTTTGGTGTCATATCTAAAAAGTCATTGTCAAAACTAAGGCCACCTAAATTTTCTTCTATGTTATTTTTTAGAAGTTTTATTATTGGGTGTTTTACATTTCGGTCTGTGACCCATTTTGAATTAATTTTTGTGAAGGGTATAAAGTCTGTTCTAGGTTCATGTGTTGATATATGTGTACATGCTTGTTCCAGAACCATTTGTTGAAGGACTATCTTCTCTCCATTGTATTGCCTTAAATCCCTTTGTCAAAGTTCAGTTGACTATATTTATGTGGGTCTATATCTGGACTCTATTCTGTTCTATTGATCTACTTGTCTATTTTTTCATCAATATCATACCATCTTGATTACTATAGCTTTATATTAAATCTTAAAGTCAGATATTAACAGTACTCCAAATTTTTCTTTTCCTTCAATATTGTGTCAGCTGTTCTGTGTCTTTTGCCACATAAACCTTAGAATAGTTTGTTGCTATCCACAAACTAACTTGCTGGGTTTTTTATTGGAATTTCATTTGATCTATAGATCAAGTTGAAAAAAACTGACATCTTGACAATATTGAGTCTTCTTATTTATAAACATAGAATGTCTCTCCATTTATTTAATTCTACTTTGATTTCTTTAGTCATAGTTTTGTAGGTTTTTATTGAGATATTATAAATATTTTGTTAGATTTATACCTAAGTATTTCATTTTAGGAAGTGTTAGCATAAGCTGTATTTCATATTTAATTTTAAATTCCAGTTGTCCAGTGCTGGTATATAAGAAAGCAATTGACTTTTGTTTATTACCCTTGTATCCTGCAACCTTCCTATAATCACTTACTAGTTCCAGAAGTTTTTTTTGTTGTTGATAATTCTTTCAGGGTTTCTACATATATAATGATGTCATCTGCAAACAATGACAGTTTTATTTCTTCCTTCACTCTCAGTATACATTTTATTTCCTTTTCTTGTCTTATGGCATTAGCTAAAATTTCTAGTACAGTGTTGAAGAGGAATGGTAAGGGACATCTTTGCCTTGTTCCTGATCTTAGTGGGAAAACTTCTAGTTTCACACCATTATGTGTGAGGTTAGCTCTAGGTATTTTGTAGATATTCTTTATCAAGTTCAGCGAGCTTCCCTCTATTCCAAATTTCCTGGGTTTTTTTTCTTTCTTTCAATCAGGAATGGGTGTTGGATTTTGTCAAATGCTTTTTCTGCATCTATTCATATAATCATGTGATTTTTCTTCTTTAGCCTGTTGATGTGATGAATTACATTAATTAATTTTTGAATATTGAACCAGCCTTGAATACACGGGATAAATACCCAGGTGTTAAGAATAAGAAAAATAAGAAGTTTTTATTTTACCTTCACTTTTTCATTCTTCAATGCTCTTCCTTTCTTTACGTAAGTCCAAATTTCAGACCTATATAATTTTTCTTCTTTTTAAAGAACTTTTTTTTTTTAGCATTTCTTGCAAGCAAGGCAGGTCTACTAGCAGCAAATTTCCTCAATTTTTGTTTGTCTTAGAAAATCTATTTCTCCTTCCCTTTTGAATGACTATTTCACCAGGAACAGAACTCTGGTTATGTTTTGTTTTTTTTCCCCCTCTCTCAATACTTTAAATATTTCACTCCATTCTCTTCTTGCTTGCATGGTCTCTGAGAAGTCAGATGCAACTCTTATCTTTGCTCTTCTGTAGGTGAGATGTTTTTTCCCTCTGACTCCTTTCAGAATTGTTTTCTTTACCTCTAATTTTATGTAGTGTAGATGTGATATTCCCATGTGTAGTTGTTTTGGCATTTTTTCTTTTTGGTGTTTTCTGAGCTTCCTGAGTCTGTGGTTTGATATCTGACATTAATTTGGGGGGAAATTCTCTGTTATTGTTTGTTTCAAGTATTTCCTTTGTTCCTTTCCCTCTTTCTTCTCTTTTTGGTATTCTCATTACATATATGTTACACCTTTGGTTGTTTTCCCACAGTTCTTGGATATTCTGTTCTGTTTTTTTTCAGGCTTTTGTCTCTTTACTTTTCAGTTTGTGAGGTTTCTACTGATGTATCTTCAAGCTCAGGTATTTTTCTTCAGTTGTGTCCAGTCTACTAATAAGCTCACCAAAGTCATTCTTCATTTCTATTACAGTGCTGTTGTTATTGTTGTTGTTTTAACGTTATTTTATTGTGGTAAAAACAATTAACATGATATCTACCCTGTCAACAAAATTTTAAGTTTGCGATACATTATTGTTGACTGTAGGTACAATATTGTACAGTAGATCTCTAGAGCTTATTCATCTTGCTAAACTGAAATTTCATGCCTGTTGGTTAGTAACTCCTCATTTCTTTCTCCCCCCAGGTCCTAGCAACATCATTCTACTCTTTGATTCTATGATTTTGGCTTTTTAAGATATCTCATATAAGTGAAATCATACTGTATTTGTCACAATATTTTTTATCCCTTTTTGATCTTAGAATTTCCGTCTTGGTTTACATTGCCCATCTGTTCTTACATACTGTCTACTTTATCCATTAAAGCCCTTAGCATATTAATCATAGTTGTTTTAGATTCTTGGTCTAATAATTTCAGCATCCCTGCCATATCTGAGTCTGATTCTGATGCTTGCTCCATCACTTCAAACTGTATTCTTGCCTTTTAGAGTGCCTTCTAATATTTTTGAACTTGGACATGATGCACCAGGTAGAAGAAAATGCTCTAAATAGACCTTTCATAATGTAATAATAAGATGCTTGTGGAGGAAAAGCATTCTAAGGTTCTACGATTACTTCTAAAGTCTTTTCGTGAGCCTGTACCTCTGGGACTGTGAAGTTTTCAAGTGCTTCTCAGTTTTCCTTCCTTTAAGTGAGACAAGATGGCTAGATGACCTGGAGTTGGGTATTTCCCTTTCCTGGCTAAACCCCCGGCAGATTAGGCTGTGGTTGAATAGTTTCTCCTGAGAGTAGACCTTGTTAAGAAGAATAGAAATCTCTGACATATTTCAAAATGGCTTCTTTTCCCTTCGCCCTGCTGGAGCAAGAAGGAATTTTTCTCTGATATTCACCGTGAGAAGCAGGTTGAACTCATGGAGGTAAAACTCACAAATGTGTGAGGATCCCACTGTGACTGGAGACCCCTGGAGTTTTTAATTCTCCTTCTTGCCCATACTGAGCCCCCAGCAGTTCATTAATTACAGTTCAAGATTTTTGAACCCAGCACTTGTTCTTGTGGAGGTTTCTGCTCATGGGTTTCCACTCTGATAGGTTTTAATTCTCCATATCCACCTCTGCCTCCAATTTGTGAGGGTAGCAGTTTGACCTGTAACCTCACTTCTCTTACAGATCTGTATTAGGCCATTCTTGCATTGCTATAAAGAAATACCTAACATTGGGTAAGTTATAAAGAAAAGAGGTTTAATTGGTTCACAGTTCTGCAGGCTTTACAGGAAGGACAGTGCTGGCATCTGCTCAGCTTCTAGGGAGGCCCCAGGAAACTTACAATCATGGGAGAAGGTGAAGTGGGAGTAGGCACATCACATGGCAAAAGCAGGAGCAAGAGAGAGAAGGGTAGGGAGAGGTGCCACACACTTTTAAATGACCAGATCTCATGTGAACTCAGAGCAAAAGCTCACTTATCACCAAGGGATAAGAGCAAGAGCTCACTTATCACCAAGACATTCATAAGGGATTTGCCCATGATCCAAACACCTCCCACCAGGTCCCACTTCCAAGATTGGTGATTACTTTTCTTTTTTTTTTTTATTTGATATGGAGTCTCACTCTTTCACCCAGGCTGGAGTGCAATGGTGCAATCTTGGCTCACTGCAAACTCCGCCTCCCGGGTTCAAGTGATTCTCCTGCCCCAGCCTCCCAAGTAGCTGGGATTACGGCATGTGTCACCACGCCCAGCTAATTTTGTATTTTTAGTGGAGACAGGGTTTTGCCACATTGGTCACTCTGGTCTCGAACTCCTGACTTCAGGTGATCCACCTGCTTCGGCCTCCCAAAGTGCTGGGATTCCATGCCCAGCTGGGGGTTACATTTCAACATGAGATTTGGGCAGGGACAAGTACTAAAATTGTATCGAGATCTAAGAAGATTTGTTGAGTTTTCAGTTTGTTCTGTTTTTTTGCTTATTGTTAGGAGATAGTGGCTACTTTCAAGCTTCTTATATGCTGGACCAGAAACTGAAAGTCAGCTGTCATCTTTTAAAGAGAAGAAAGTTGTCCTTAGAGAACACCCTCTCCCATAACCTTGCTGCTAGTGCTTGGCAGACCAAGCTGAGAGAGAACCCTGGGCTGAAGACCTGATATAGCAAAACTCAGGACTTACAAGGATTTGACCGACCCCATTTTAACAGTTTGGCAGACTTTTTTGAAGCTAGGCTTTGTAATTAAAACAGGCTAAAGAAATAATGACTTCATGCCTTGCACTAAATTACTATTGGAATAAAATTGAGCAAGTTGAGTAAGATATGAAGGAGCCACTGGGGAAAGCACTGGATTCAAACAGGCTTGATTTTAAATTCCAGGTCTTTTCTAGCTATTAATAGGGCAGCTATGGGCATGGGCTGCAGCTTCTCTAAGCTTTAGTTTTCTCATCTATTCAATGAAAAGACCAACAAATTACTTCATAGGATTGTGATTTGATTCTGTGCAGCTGTTTACACATGGAGATCATCATTACTATTATCATCATCATCAACAACATCATCACCATTAATAAAGCTTGTTAAAGCAGAAAGGAGGAGATAATTGATAGAGTGAGGGCCCTGAAGGGGCAGGAAGGAGTGAAATCCAAAACATAAGTAATAGGGTTTTTGTCGGTTGGGGGTGGCCACAGGAAGGATAACCCTTCCTCTTGGCTTCGATGTCATGAGGTACTGATGGAAACAATCATAGGAAACTTACCTGTGTGGGAAGGAAAAGAAAAGCAAACTACTTCTTCGTTTAAAGAAAATTTTAAGATAATTTTCTGCCTGGCTTACCTAGTCATGTTCACTTAAGTAATATTAAGCTTCACTTTCTCCTCCTGACCCTTTATCATATAACTGTAGGGACTGGGATCCAGAAAAGTCCTATGTGTTGGGGCTGAGGACTCCATCTCAACATGAAACATTTGTGTTCAAAGTCAAGAGCCTGCTTACAGATGCTGAGATGCCAGTGGAGGTACACACATTTGTGTGTGCCGATGCTTCAGTTTCAGAACAGAATTTCTTCTTCTACAGGAAACCTCAGCTTTTGCACTTAAGACCTTCAACTGATTAAATGAAGCCCACCCACATAATGAAGGGTAGTTTTCCTTAGCTAAAGTCACCTGATCATAGATGTTAACCTCATGTACAAAATATCTTCACAACAACACCTAGATTCACATTTGATTAAATCACTGGATACTATGGTATGGCTATTTAGATACCTAAAACTAACTAACCATGGATGTAAATGGCTTACAGATGGGAGTGCTTATTAGTGTAACTATCCACATGGTGATGGCAGGAAAATTTCACTGAGCTGGACATCACTAGACCTCAGCTTTGCATGACCTCCTCAGGTGACCTGAAAGTATATCCTTTAAACCCTCTGAGTCTCCGTGTCCTGCAGCAGAGCATAATAATACCTTTCCTGTTTACCTATCACAAGGTTTAAGGAGACAAAGAAGATTTTTTGGAAAAAAAAATCTGTGCTTTGATCATTAATAGCTAATATTTATTAACTACTTACTATGTTCAGACACTGTGCCTGGTTCTTTATGTAAGTTATATTGTATAATTCTCAAAACAATCCTATGAGGTTACCTTAATATTACTCAAGTGAGCATGATTAGGTAAGCCAGGAGAGGAAACTAAAGCTCAGAGAGGTGAAGTGATTTAGACAAGATTACACAGTAAACAAATAGCATCTGGGCTTCACACTGAGCTATATGCAACTCCAAAGCCTATGACTTAACTTCTTTAGTATATTCAAATACATTAAGACTTACTGGGCCAGGCTCGGTGGCTCACACTTGTAATCCCAGCTCTTTGGGAGGCTGAGGCAGGTGATTCACTTGCCTCTTGAGGTCAGGAGTTCAAGACCAGCCTGGGCAACATGATGAACCCTAATCTACTAAAAATACAAAAATTAGCCGGGTGTGGTGGTGGGAGCCTATAGTCCCAGCTACTCAGGAGGCTGAGGCAAGTGAATCACTTGAACCCGGGAGACAAAGGTTTCAGTGAGCTGAGATCACACCACTGCACTTTAGCCTGGGCAACAGAGTGAAACTCCACCTCAAAAAAAAATACATTAAGACTTATTATGTATTCATATTCATTATGTAGCTTGCAGCAGGTGAACCATATTATTAAATTCACTTTTTGTTTTTATTATTAATTTACTTTATTTTTATTTTTTTTTGAGGAAACAGGGTCTCACTATTTTGCCCAGGCTGGTCTTGAACTCCTGATCTCAAGCAATCCTCCCAATGCTAGGATTACAGGCATGCACCACTGCACCCAGCCCCAAGATCACCTAAAATGCATTATAGAAGTCACTGAACAGTTCTCATTTGATACACAGTATCAGGGAAAACAAATGTTCAACAACATTGATGCATTCATGCACAGCTACTAACAGGAAACAAATCTATCCCAGCTAGTGTCTTAGTTTTTTTCAGCGCTTTTTCTGCATCTAAGCAACTTCCCTATGTCAATGAATCTTATCTTTGTCTCCTTATACCCAGTTCTTCAGGAAACATAAAATATGAACAGATAATTCCAATACAAGTTATTATACTGAAGCCACTAAGAGAATGTTACAAACTAATAAGATATTAGAGGATGCAATAGGAAGCAAGAAATAAAGAAAAACAAACACATAGACACAAAATTCCTGGCACTCTCTACCATAAAATTTCAGCTGTTATTAAATATGCATAAGAGAAATCTTTATTCGTTCTCTGGAAGTTCCTAATTGCTACAGGACTCTTAGCAGGCTACTCACTTGCTGCTCTTTTACATTGCTGGGAACATATTTCAAACGCTACCTACCATAATAAAAGTATCTTAACACTGTTTGCTTTCTGCTGGTATCAAAAAGAACATTAGTTCCCTGAAAATTTTTTGCATAAAGGGAAAATGTTTTCTGCTCTATAAAGCTCTAATCTAGCCTTGGCTATAAGTGACTCTGTAGGAGTTGGAGTGAAAAAACATTCTAATCCACTCTAGTATGTACATTAATGCAAATTCTGTGTCATTTCTCCCTGATGATTCTTTGTCATTAGGGAAAGCTTTTTTTATGGAATTTTATTTATCTCCGTATCTAACAAACCCCTTCTCCGCCAACTTGGCGAAACCACTCACTGGCTTTTGCTTCTAGCCTTATGAAAACCACACCCTGAATTTAGGTAATAGTACACATTATCTAAATACTTCACTTTCCCCCCACCCTTTCAGGAACATAGCAGTCCTGCACTTCCACAACCCATTGAATTTAGGGTTGCCATTTGACTTGCTTTGGCCAATGAACAATGACTGCAAGTCGCTTAAGAATGAGGAACGGTGATTTCCAAAAGACATGCTGTACAGGCAAAAATGTATATGTCCACTGCAACATCAGAGTGCTTCTAACAAGCCATCTCTCAGCATGTCTCACTCCCACACAGAAGTATTCCCTAGTACATTTTGAGATTGTAGAATGTTATTGGAGCTAATTTCCTATTTGCCCTCATAAAGTTATTTGGAGATTTCACCTTTTGCTGTGTTAGTAATTTCAAAGAACAATGCTTTTTAATAATTACTGCAACTACCAGTTGTGTGTTACATGTGTAGTCACGTTTAAATGATCAAGAAGTACTTATATTTGAAAAATCTAGCTTCCCAAGATTAAAAAGTTAAATATGTCACAATTATCCGTCTTCTGTCGTGTATCTGTAATGATTTCAAAGGTAGGTTTTATAATCCCCTTTAAGATAGAAAAAAAAGTATTTGATAAATAAAAGGTTTGCTGACATTGCAGTTATTGCATTTAACAGCTTGGGCATATTCATTTCGTGAGGAAAGAGATGAAGAGTTTGAAAGGGCCTATAATAAAGTAGCAGTTTGATTTGTGTGGAGGATGATATCTCTGCTCTGTCTTAAATTAGTTCATTAATATGCCTAGATAGTATAAAGTTTGCAATTAAACATGATAAAAACACAAACAGTGCCATCTTTTGGACAATGCTTAAACTCAATGCACATATACAGACACACATACCTGTGTCAGGCTATGTATTCAATACCCACAAGCATTCATCACAGATGCCAGCAAGATCTTGTTTTTATCATTAATTAATCTCCAGAGTATTAAAGCTTTTATTGGCATTATAGGAATGCAAGCCACCATGCTTAACTTGCACCTGTTCAAATTACATGGAATAGCACGCTCAGATTGGCTTTCTAACATCTCCATGGAAATGCCACTGTGAACATGTGTTTATTTGATTCTTGGAGCACCTGAGGAAGGTTTTTTCCTTATTTAAGTTCCTATCTAAACCTAGGATGAGCTCTCCTTGCTTCTGGGGCCATGGCTTTGCTCTCACTGTGCAGGTATTATCCCAGCCTCTCCAAAAATAAAAAAGAAAAAGAAAGAAAATAAAACTAGGATGAAATCCATCTGGCTCAGGTGTCAGGTTTTGAAAAACAGGTGGATGGATGTCATGTATAAAAATAGAAATGCTATTGTTATTCTGCTTATAACTGTTATTCCTAACTGAAGTGAGAGAATAGACAAGAAAACGCTGTTTCCCAAAAACTCATTTTCTATTGAATAGTGCAGATCAGTTCAGTATGGGGCAATCTGAAAAGATGACCTACACATCAAGATGCCAGTATTTTAAAAGAGGAATTCCAAATTGTCATTCTAGTCAAGCATTTAATAACTATCTAGCATTATGCTAGAGACTCTGCATGAAGCTGTCCTGTGGCCCCTAAAATGATTGGGACAGTTATAGCTTGAAGACTTTGTAGGAGGAAAAATGTTTCAAAGAATGATTTTAAAGGAGTGTGGGATATAAAAACAAGATGGAGGTAATTTTGATGATGATGATAGCTAACATTTACTGGACATTTACCATGTGCTAGGTACTGTTTAAATATTGTACATGAATAAACTAATTTAACTCTCATGTCAATTTAATGAAGTAGATTTAACTGCATGTCAATTTAATGAAGCTAGATTTCTCCTCACCAAAGGAGAAACTGAGACAGAGAGGGGATTAGCAACTTGTCCCATGTCAAATAGTTAGTCAGCAACCACTTACTAAAGAATCTCAGGTCAAAGAAAACTGAAAAAATAGGGATTTGCCATGATGAAGTCGTAATGGACCAAAGCTAGGATCAGGGCATGAACATCAGATTCATTCACTCATTCATTCAACAAATACACAATTACTTCAACACCTATCCTCTGCCAGGTATCATTGTCATGGCAACGGATTGAACAAAACAAACTCCCTGGCATTGTACAGCTTGCCTTAGAGTGGGGCAGATACTACACAGAAACATACTATAACATCTTGAGGTGGTTAAAAAAGCAGAATAGAGTGAATGAATGCTTGGGGACACTGTGCTAGGCTCAAATGAATACAAGATGAAATAATTGGTACCTGCCCCTCAAAGCACTTTGAGCCTGATGAGGAACAGACAGACTCAGTGACTTGTGCTATGGGAGAGGAGAGCACAGGCTGCTTGGAAGCATGTAGGCTTCCCCATCTAGACTGGCAACGAGGCTTTCAAAGGAGGCTTCTCACAGTTGGTGATGTCTCCACTGAGAATTATAAAATAATAGAATTAACTAGACAGGAAGTGTGGGGACATTTAAGGAAAGAATAAACACAAAATACTCAATTTGAGAGTTGGGCAAGCTCTGGTAACTGAAGGAAGCTCCATGTAATGGGATCTTAGGTTAGATGCAGGAGAGTGGCTGAAAATAGGGGGGTCTGCAAGTTTGAGCAGAGGTCAAATCATACGAAGCCTCGCATGCCCTGAGATGAAGTAGATGCTAACTAATTCTGAGGGCCGTGAGTAGACACTGAGGGGTGGTGATGGGAAAAGATGAGACAGATTCTGTTTTCTGCAGAGAGCACTCCAACAACGATGTGTCTCATGGGCTGGAGGGGACAAGGTAAAGACAGGAGGATAAGCACGGAGACCGTCACAGCAGTCCAGGGGAGAGAAGAGGGGCTTGGAAAAGAGGATCCCCGTCTGCAAGACTCTTAGAAGAAAGGTGGTGGTTTATTGGATTTGGGGGAGGAATGGAAAGTAAAGGGAAACAGGAAGATGTGCAGGTGGCTGGTGTGGGGGACTGGGAAGGCCGTAGTGTCATTCACAAGAAGAGAGAATACAAAAGGAGGGGCAGAGTTAGATGTTGGAGTGCTTGAAGCTTACTAGACATTCCCGCCATTCCAAACATCACTGTTTCTCCATCACGCATGCCATCATCTCTGTCTTCTCCGGGTGTTTGAAAAGGCTGTGGCCCTTACCTGTTTTCCCGCATCTTCTGTGGCCTCTCCCTGAGCTTGTCTCTGGGCAATCCCTCCTCATAACTCAGGTCTAGACTCCAGTGTCACTTACTTCCTCGCCTCCACGGCCCCAGGCAGGGTGGAGCTCCTGCGTGTGCTCCCCTCGCAGTGATTCTCCCTCTCGGCAGTAACAGTTTCTTCTCACTTGTCTCTGTCCAAAACTAAATAATAAACTCAGCCCAGATTCTCCACTACACACTTCCTGCCTCATGGTACATCCTCCAGAAATACTTGGACGTCTATATGAATGAGTGTCCTGTAAATCCCTAGATATATGGACACCAAGCTCAAAAGAAGGATCTGAAATTAGAGGTATGGATTTGGGCGTCATCAGCTGGTGGAAGCAATTTCCCTTCAATTGATGACCCCACAGCCCTAGGAGAAGAAAGTGGTTGTTTTTTTTCCAATATCATCCTGAAGGGCAGTGCCAAAAAAAAAAAAAAAAAAACCCCCACATATTTATTGTGCTCAAAACACCTTACATGTATCTTCTTTTTATGCTTTCTGTCTTCCCAGAAAAGCAGGTGGTGGTGTGCACTCGTTTTCCTTCTTTTCTTCCTCTCTCTATTGATTCCTTTTCTGCTCAAATAAAAGGCTTTTCACACTAATAGCAAAGACAACATAGACACACTGAAATGATACACAAAGAAGATCTCTTTCCTCAATTTCAGGGAATGGCTTTTCTTTAAAAACAAAGGTAAAAAACGATCTCCTTTCTCCCACTACCCTTCCAAATCCTCTCCCATCTCTGGGGACCTTCATGTCTTTTAAGTCTCACATTTCTCTGTGTCCTGCTTAACCTAAGTTTCTGTTTTGAAATAGTCACTCCTTTCTAGGTTGCCTCCACCTAAGCCTGAAACCTTTTCTGTTTGTGGCACAGTACTTAGCACCAAGCATCATGGCATGATTATCCTATGAATTTCCCCCACCAAGGTGAAGAGAGGCATCTTAGCTGGATGGGGTTCATGAAAATGCTGTTTCTGTGCACACCTTGTGTTCGCTGCCTGATCAAGATACAACTTAGTATGCTAATGAATGCTAATTAGGGTGGGCTATGGTGTGTCCATCTGTCACATCAGTTTATGTCACTGCAGCCCTCTGCGGGAAGGAGTTACACTTTACTACTCCTGTGAAGATTATTTAAATCGAATGTAGAATAAGGAGATTGTGTCCTCAGTTCGAATCTCTGTAATCATCATTATTCACATTTATTTGGTGACTTTTTCTGTACCCCTCGAGATGGCTGAGCATCTCAGAAAACATGAAAAATGATAGTGAGACCAATTAATAAGTATTAAACAAATGCACAAAGAGAGTATATATTCTTGCACTTAATTCTTAATGTAGAATTAAGTACCTGACAGACTTTCTGAAATGTGTTGCTGTAGATGCTCTGAATCACTTCTGAATTGCTGGGTGTAATTTTAAACCGGAATGAAAGCATGATTCTTGGTTGAATGGGTTATGACTTTCAGAAGTCTTTGAAAAAATTATTGTAATAGAAATCTTCAGATTTGTGTGTTAGAAGGTTTTTTGTTAAAGAGTATTTAAGGGAAGGCTTTTATTTTGAGTGTAGATGTGTATCTCTTCCAGTGGTTGGAGGAGTGACTTCAACGCAGGCTGAAATGATTTACCTTTTTTCCAGAATGTTAAAATGAGTCTCTCCTTGGTTCAGATTATGAGGCTGACTCTCCCCACATGAGGAATTTCAGCATTCTTGGACACTCCTCTTTAACTTTAACTAGAAAGGATATAACAGGAAGAGAACTTACTGAAGCAATTTCACTGAAAAGAACTATTGTCATACTGATTCTGTAGCATGATTCCCTCCCCCAGCTGCTTAAGAGGATCTGAAAGAGTGCTAGTTCCCTTAGGTTAAGCCTGGTTGGAGGACTTTCTGCAAACTACTGGAAGAGTGTTAATTATAAGGATTAGTGCCTGACCCTTCTTGGAAAGCTCAAGTTGCCTGTGACAACGGGATAGTGGTGGCTGCATTGCTGTGGCCACTACTATCAGAGCTTAAAGGGTAAAGCCTTTTTGAGTGTTTCCTGTGGAATAGACGTCAGCCAGGCAGGAGACAGGGTCATTGGGAGGGTTATTAGCAGTAATCTTGGTTTAACGACGGTGATCACAGTAGACCAAAGAAATTTTAATTTATACACAAGTTTGCTATAAACTCCTCAGCCCAACATCTACCTTTTGGAAATCCAAGCTCTTTTTTTATACATATGGATGCTAAGACCCAGTGAGTGATTTCCCAAAGCCACAAGTGGTAAGACTTAGAAACTAAAACATCCAGCAGAATTGCATCTAGAATCTTCGGGTGAGCTACTAGCCTGCAAATGCAGACCAAATCTAGATAGACACATGGCATCTACAAATTTCCAACAACCACCTCTTTGTGTGTACAGGTATACTTGGATATACTTTAGCAAAAGACAGGTCCTGGGTACAGTCTAACAGAGTTAAGTGTACAAAGATAGCACTGCTTTAGCATTGGCTCAGCATGTGTTTTATATTGTTTTGAAAATGGACATGATGGATTCACTTTGACTCTGTATTCACCATGGGTGGGGAAGCTGCTCGGTCTGACTTTTGGACCCAGATACCTGAGCAATCTGACCAAAGTGGCATGAGGTGGAAGATGGGGAGTTGTGACTCCTTGTTCTATGTAGGAGCCTTTTCCAGTCCTTCCATTTCTGCCACAACAAAACTGCCTTACATCCCACAAGAGGACACATTTCACCATTGCCCTGTCCCTAAGAAGGAGCCAGAAAGACAAAACCAACAAAACCGCACCGACCACTTTAAACACCCAGATCTTGGAATAATAGGTTTCCAAATAATAGGTTTCCAATAATCATGTTTTAACATCTGCACACAGACTTTCACTGTGCTTTGCGTGTTTACAACCGTCTGAATCAATCTCATGGAGATATCCAAAGACTTAAAATGTAAACATTGATTCCTTTGGTCATTTCTTTTCTATATTCCTACACTTTTTCATTTTGTATCAAAACCTTTAGATTTGAAGCACAGATCCTCTGACCCTTCAACTCATGCTTCTGGTCTCCAATAAATATCAGGGAAGCTTTCAGAGATGGGGTGAAGAAATCTAATTTTCCAAATTAGAACTCCCTTTCATTCACAGGCAACAAGACTTCTAGGAAAAGCTAGATGTAGCTGTTTAAAATCCTAACTATTAAATCTGGAAGGATTTTGAAGTTAAATGATGAAATAGGTGCTTTCCTCATCTAGTGAGCAAGCTCTGCTTCACTGTGTCATGCAGGCATTCTCTTTAGTTTTATGAGTGTTTTCATTTTGAAAACTTGATATCTTATTACTGAAAATTCTACTCCTTTGAAGGAGGGGATTAGGAAGATACTGTTCCAAAGCAACAAAATTTCGATTAGACAGGAGAAATAAACTAAAGATTTCTCTTGTATGACATGGAAACTGTAGTTAATAGCAATGTATTTTATACTTCAAAACTACTAAGAGAATAGATTTTAAGTGTTCTCACTGGAAATAAATGATAAGTATGTGAGGTAAGGCATATGTTAATTAACTTGATTTACTCATTCCACAATGTATATATATATTGAAACATAATGTTGTACACCATAAATATACACAATTTTTGTCAATTAAAAAATTAATTAATTCTGCTTTGAGTTGGTGTTTGCAAAAAATCAATAAACAAAGAGGAATAAAAAGAAAAAAGAGGAAAAAGAACAAAAAATAAAAGAAGAAAATTTAAAAATAAAAATAAGTTAATAAGTTATTTAAAATTAATATTTTAAAATAATTTTTATTTAGTAAAAGATTATTACTAAATTAATAAAAATAATTATTAATTGATTGTTCACCTCCTTTTTCTGTTTTCCTGAGTTTTCCTCCTTTTCATTGACCATTGCTTTATGATCTCCTCCATACAATGATTACATTTCTCTTCTCCTAGCACTTACTCCACTCCAAGATACTGTTTTGGGGAGAAGGGCAGGACTTCTCCACATCCATTTCCCTTCAGGGGCTTTTTGGCTCGTATTCTCCTCACCCAGAGGCATACAGGCAGAAGGATAAACCCTGGGGGTGCACACTCTATGACCCACTTCTCATCATGCTGTTCTCTAGGCAGTGACCACATCAACCTATATTTAAATTTTTGCAAAACCAGGCCAGGTCTCACGTTGTCACACACACAGTAACAGACATCCTGAGTTGGCTTTTGTGTTGTGCTGGCCCCTAGTTTGTTTCTTGTCTCTTTTAAGTCAACCGAAATCCATGCAAATGGGAAGGTGCTTGCCTGACACATGATTTATTACTCAGCCTTTGCAGGATCTGTACATTTCATTTGAATATTTGCAATCACATGCAAGTTGCGCCTGGGTGCTCTGTATGTTGAAGGCAGGAATCTTTACTGCACTAACTAAGACATATTATTCACTACTCTAGAGGTAACAAACAAATTGATTTATCCAGGTATCTACTGCTCACCCAGCAGCTGTTGGAGTCAGAATCATTGGCTTAGAAAATCCATCAGAATTAAAGAGCAAATTTCAAAATAAATTGTTATCGTTTACATCTGCAGCCTGGCTGCATATACCCTGTGAAATGTTCTTTTTACATAAATGTTTCTTAAAAGCTCTTTTTAGTAAATACAGTTATGAAAGCAAGTGCCTCAGGAGCTTTTCCAGTGACAACAGCCACTGACCTTGTGATGCTGAGGTGGGCTTTCAACTTCATCTGATTTATGTTAACAACAAGCTGGCTCACCAAAATATGTCAGAACTCTTGAATCATCAAAGATCTCCCAACTCTGAAGGAGCAAACAATCTAGAAACAGAAAATGGCTGCTCATCCATTCTGCTGAATATTGACAGGAGCCTAGTCCAGTGTTCTCTTCCATGCTGTAAGAAACCAGCCTGTTGCATGGCAAAAGTGACAACATCTTGGAGTGAAACCACCATGATAACTGATGTTTAATTCCTGCAGAGACCAAGGTATTCAGCAAGGTCTTTAAACAATGGCTGTGGTATAGACAAGCCCTCATAAAGATGCTTATCTAACTTTCCTAGTGGTCATGTGTTTTGCAAGAAAGTCTGAAGTGTGATCAGCTGCTAATGCCTTTCACCTAAAATCATGCTATTTAAAGGATGCTTTCTGGAGGGCAGGTTTTGGGGATCCACCATCTTAAGGCTGCCCAAGACATTGCTTCTGTTAATAAGTCCCCATTAAATATTTCTTTCTGAGAAACTGGAGTTGTCAGCCTCTTTCTTCAACCTCTCAGCTCCCTTGGCCTTTGGGGCGGGTTTTCATAGACCTGCTCACTGTGAAACACACACAGTAAGACAGACATTTTGTGAAGCATTCCTCAGGTCCTAGACATTCCTTGCCAGAAATGTTGATTGGCTCTTCTCTCCTGAACAATTCAGCTTATGTATCCCTTCCAAAGTATCCTTCAGATGACCATGGTTATCATACCCATTTAACAGGAAAATATGAGACTCAGAGAGGAAGTCTCTTTTGGCAATTTTGTGGCAAATATGAAATGAAATGTTCAGAACTCCACTTAATCCAAAACCATTGCTAGCTTTCAGTGAATCAAGTTGCCTCCCCTGACTTTATACAAAAAATACTTTCTGAGGTGTCCTGATGTGATTGCCTTCAGTGACTTTTCAACTAGTCTGATAATCTCGGCCCCAAGGTTACCTGCTCTCATCTTTTAGCTAGAAGTAAGCCACGTTGCCTAGTGGGGTTTGGAGTGCGATGCCTTGAATAATTTCTGCTCCACACTTGCCCGCTGTGTGACCTCAGACACATTACCAGGTTGAACCAGGTGAGATATGAGATTGCCATATCTGTGGGTCAAAAACAGTCAAACATTAGCAATTTTATATGATTCAGCTTTAATTTCTCTAAAATTTCGTTTCTTCCTCTGGGAAAAGAGACAAGCTAAAAGAACTTACTTTTTGGGGTTCCTATGAAAATCAAATGAGATAATACCTGTCAAAGCCTAGCATAGTACTTGGTACAGAAGAAGTGCAGCTGCTTTTATCATTTCCAGTGGGGGCGTCAATTAGAAGTCATAATTTTTGATGTGCCTCACTTCAGCTGAGTCTGCTGAAGCTGTCATTGCAGTAAGATTTTGGTGTTCTGATATATTGTGCTATTTGACCTTTTTTTTATTTTTCAAAATTCTTAGTACCCTTAAAAAGAGGATTTTTTTTCTTTTTTTTTTTCTGCAGAGATGAGTGTCTCACTATGGTGCCCAGGTTGGTCTCAAATTCCTGGACTCAAGTGATCCTCCTGCCTTGGCTTTCCAAAGTGTTGAGATTGCAGGTGTGAGCCACTGTGCCCAGCTGTTGTGCTATTTTTCAATACAGAAATAGTCATTTGTAATGTTTGGAACATGTTAAAAATCTGAAATCTGAATTAGAGGCTGTACCTAAAGAGTTAAAATTTGAGCTAAAATTTTAAATCAAACAAAGGTCATTTAGAAAGCATTCTCACTATATTTCTCTCATTTAAAATCTTTCAAAATTAATTCAGTGTTTTTGGAATTTCCATGTATTGGGTTCTTGGTGATGCTGAGAGTTTTTTGTGTGTGTTTTAATTGGTCATTTGTATTACAACCAGAGCTGTTTGGGACCCAAATCTACCTGCAGAAGGAGGGGAAGGGAGAGGGTCTCAGGTTATTTCACAGACTTTCTGGAAAGCAACCACTTTCCTTCCCTCTAGGCCACATTCCCTCTGCTCCTCTCCATCCTACTCTCTCCCCTAGGGTCTGGTTTAGGCTCACAGAGACTAACTCCTTCCCAAAAATAATTTATTTTTACCCAGGATCTTCTTCTTCAATTAACATCATAGGTGAGGCTCAGGATGAGAAGACAAAGGAAACTTGGTCCTGGACCATGGCTTTTCTTAGGCAGCCTGGCATTAAAGAACAAGAGCAGAAGACAATGGTGGCCATATCTCATTTTAAAGAATACCAGCATTAAGCAAAATAAATACCAAAATGTGAATATTGTTGTTTTGCTCCAATATGCAAACTACTGGATTGTCTCAGTCCTGTGAGATTTACATTCTAATTTAAAGCAACAAGTTGTTCCTGGTGCCCATTCACAGGTTTCTTTCCTAACCTGGAAAAGCAATTATTGCACTGCCCCTTTTCCCTCTAGAAAATGCTTCATTGCTGGTAAGTATCATTGAGTTGCATAATATGTCAGGCATGGCCCCTAACATGGATTTCATTTAATATAAATAGGCTAAAGACGTGAGTGATGGAGTGCTAAATTATGTGGCATAGCCTTTAAGTACTACAAATGTTCAGAGAAAGAATGAAGTATGGTGGCCTTCATGGAAGACCTGGACTCAAATTCTCTCCACCAAGTGATCCAGAAGAATGTGCCTCTTCTCTTTTCTGCTTCTGTTCTTGGCTTTATTCTATGACATCTGGCTCTTTGTCAGAAACCTTTAGAAATGCATGTCTTAAAGCAAATTAAAACAATCTGGAATTCCAGAAGTTTAGACTCCATAACTTACCATCTCCCATACGAAACTGTCCTCACCCCTGTTGCTGGGCTTATGGCTCAAATCCAAGCAACCCTCGCCGGCTTCATCCATTTCTCATCCACTGTTCTTACCCCTGAGCCTGCCCACTAACCTCTGCTCCTTTTGTGAATGTTGCTGCTGCTTCTTCTGCTTTTGCTGCTGTTGCTTCTGCTTCTTTTTCTTCTTCTCCTTCTCCTTCTCCCCCTCCTCCCCTCCCCTTCCCCATCCTCCTCCTCTTCTTCTTCTTCTTCTTTCTTCTTCTTCTTCCCTTCTTCTTCGCTTCTTCTTCTTCTCGAAATCTCCACATTTCCATCTAACTCTGTTTAATTTTGCTCACCCAATCATTCAAACCAACCCGACACAGCTAATTATGTCAGGAAAATGGCGGTGTTTTGGAATTTTGTTTTGGTGTGGTGGATTGGTTGTTTCTCTCACTTATTTTCTTACCCAGTTTCATTTGTGTGCTCCTGGCTGCCCCAGTAAATTTAAAGCTCTTCAAGAGCAGAAGCTGTGCTTTCTCTTTGCTCCAATGCTCCCCATAGTGCTCAATGCTCTGCACACAGTGGGCGCCACAGAGTTGTCCCTGACTGATGGATGTAATGAAAGCTCCAACAGCCTCATGAACCAATGGACCACAGAGTGGTGTAATCATGCTGCTGTTTAGCTCAACCTCCAAACTCTGGGCAAAAAGCCAAAGCCCACCCAAGAGGTTGTAATGGTCTTATAATGACACAGTATTTGTTTACAAGCCTTCTTAAGAGAAAGTCAATTTGTAGCCTCTGAAGCCTTTAAGACATATTGTCTTATTAGCCCTCCTGTTGTGGCTGGGGAGTGATATAACCCTCTGTAGAAAAAGAGCAACAACAGAAGGAACAAATCCTGCTTTATATATTTCTTAGTGATATTCACAAGAAAATGAACAGAAAAATCTCTGGTCTCCCTATTATTTGAAGCCTTCTTTGATTTCCTGGGCCAGTGATGGCTATCTCATTTTTAAAACCATAGCATGTAAATTGGTCTTGGGTATTTACAGCAATGAATAAGCAATGTTGGCCAATGATAATGTCTGATGATAGTCAAGAAGTAAGTAGGAGATTCCTGTTCATTATCCCCTGAAGCAGAGTTCACAGACATCTTTTCCTTTTCATCTTTGCCTAAAATTGGATGGCAATTAGAAAGCAACAATACCCATTCTTGGTCAGTAATGACCTGCTGAGATGAAATAAGTGCATTTTCCTTCAAGTCTGTGTGGCCAGTTCTCCTCTTTTTACCCCTGGAAATGGATATTAGCTAGACTGAAACATGGGAAGTCTCAGTCATTGGATGGTGATGATATTAAGGCACTTAACTTGTTTTTTCAGATCTGATAGGTTTCCATGGAAATAATAGTTGAAAGCCAGCAACTGAGAAGTCAGAATTCTGGCTTTTTCTCAGCTCTGGCTGCTGACAGAGAGTCAGATTTTCAAACAAGCTGAAGAATCCAGTAATCATTGATCTGGGACATCTACCATACTCCATTAAAATAAAAATCCTCATTGTTCATTATTTTTGTGACCTTCTGTTAATCTTCATGATTGTCAACTAATATTTCGATCACCCCCATTGATCTAGGAATTGGCACACAGTAAGGAAACAGCTATGGCCTATAATCAGGATCCGTGGGTTCAAATATCACAAATTCCAGTGGCAGAAATGTGGGCAAGTTATCTGGGCTCCCAGAGTCTCCATTTCTTCTTACATAAAAAGTAAATTGGCCGGGCGCGGTGGCTCACGCCTGTAATCCCAGCACTTTGGGAGGCCGAGGCGGGCGGATCATGAGGTCAGGAGATCGAGACCATCCTGGCTAACACGGTGAAACCCCGTCTCTACTAAAAATACAAAAAATTAGCCGGGCGTGGTAGCGGGCGCCTGTAGTCCCAGCTACTCGGGAGGCTGAGGCAGGAGAATGGCGTGAACCCGGGAGGCGGAGCTTGCAGTGAGCCGAGATCGCGCCACTGCACTCCAGCCTGGGCGACAGAGCGAGACTCCGTCTCAAAAAAAAAAAAAAAAAAAAAAAAAAAAAAAAAAGTAAATTATTATTTTCAGGATCAATTGCATTAAATAAAAGAAAGTATGAGAAGCATTTAGTGTAGGGTACACTGTCAGTGATCAATAAATATTTGTTGGACCTTAAAGGAGAGACTAAAGAGAAACAAAACAAAACAAAACAATTTCTTTTTGCTTCTGCCCACACCTATATTCATCAACATCCTCACCAAGCTGAGAAGCAATGCACTGCTTTAATATCAGGTTGTAACCCCTTACTCCAAATGAACTTCATGGCATATATTAGTTTCCTCTTGCTGCCATAACAAATAACCACAAACTTAGTGACTTAAAACTACACAAGTTTATTACCTCATAGTAGGTTAGACATTCAGCACCTGGGTGGTTGGATTCTCTGCTCAGGGTTTCACACAGGTTGAATCAAGGTGTCAGCAGGAGGTGTGGTTCAAATCCAAAGCTTAGGGTCCTCTGCAAGCTCACTGGTTGCTGGCAGAATTCATTTCCTTCTTATACTTTTCACATAGCCCCCTCCGTCTTTGAGCCCGCAACAGCACACAACTCCTTCTCATGCTTGGAATCTCAGACTTCCAATTGGAGCTGGGAGAAAATTGTTTTCAAGGGCTCATGTGACTGCAGTTGGTCAACTAGATACTTCAGTATAATTTCCTACCTAAGGTCAGCTGATTAGTCATTTCATTGCATCTGCAAAGTCCCTTTTGTCTTGTAGCATAGCATATGCAAAGGTATAACAATAGGGCATGAAGATCATTGGGGCTAAAATTTGGCCAAGCACATGATGTATCATGTAGAATAGAAATGTACGTCACTCCGGGCATGGTGGCAGGCGCCTGTAGTCCCAGCTACTCCGGAGGCTGAGGCAGGAGAATAGCGTGAACCTGGGAGGCGGAGCTTGAAGTGAGCCGAGATGGCGCCACTGCACTACAGCCTGGGTGACAGAGCGAGACTCTGTCTCAAAAAAAAAAAAGAAAGAAAGAAATGTGTGTCACTGCTTTTTACCTGTTACAAATAGGTACTGAAAAATGGTGGAAAGTAACTATAATCACCCAACTGTCCAGGAGCAGAACCAAAGTAACCCAATTTTCTTTTAAATGTTTCTGATAAACTTGTGATCTCCATGCCAAGCACTCTTCATAGTACCCCTGAATGTTTCTCTTCAGGCATATTTTCAGTCTCAATGTCAGCTACCTGCTCTCTTATCAGTCACCTTTTAATTTGATTCAACAGCAAGAAAAAGAATATTCAGAAAATAAAAAAAATCTGTTATTTTTTAAAAATTTGATTATGCGACATTAAGAAAAAAACCCCGGCGCTTTGGGAGGCCAAGGTGGGAAGATCCCCTGAGGTCAGGAGTTCAAGACCAGCCTGGGCAACATAGCAACACCCCATATCTACAAATTAAAAAATGAAAAAATTAGGTGTGGTGGTGCACGCCTATAGTCCTAGCTACTTGGGAGGCTGAGGCCTCCCAAGAGTTTGAGGCTGCAGTGAGCTATAATCACACCACTGCACTCCAGCTTTGGTGACAGCGAGACCCTGTCTCTAAAAAAATTTAATAATAAAACAAAAAGTAAAAAATAAAAAATCTAAAAGTAAAATATAGTTGTTTTCTCTTTGGAAAAATTCACAATGGAGATAGATTTCAATGGTGTGACTGGGTCCATGGCAGACCAGCTTCCCAAACCACTCTTCATAAAAGAGTTCCTTCAGGCTGGGCGCGGTGACTCACGCCTATAATCCCAGCACTTTGGGAGGCCGAGGCGGGTGGATCACCTGAGGTCAGGAGTTCGAGACCAGGCTGGCCAACATGGTGAAACCCCATCTCTACTAAACACACATGCACACACACAAAATTAGCTAGGTGTGGTGGTGGGTGCCTATAATTCCAGCTACTTGGGGGGCTGAGGCAGGAGAATCGCTTGAACCTGGGAGGCAGAGATTGCAGTGAGCCAAGATTGTACCACTGCACTCCAGCCTGGGCAACAGAGAGAGACTGTGTCTCAAAAAGAGAAAAATGCCTTCAGAGAGTCACATGTTCTCTGGAATATTTTCCAAAAGTCATGGGGCTTGGGCCAATGAAGCTTAATTCTTGACTCTCCCATCCACAAAGAGCAGTGTATTACTTCATTTCAGCCAATAAGAAGCCTGGGCATGAAGAAAGTCAATAAACAGATGAAAAAGAAAGATCTGGGCTATAAATATGTGAAATCAAAGAGTCTCAGCAGCTTGCTTAAACCTTGCCTAAATCAAGACAAAATAGACATATGTATGCCAGGAAGTTTTCTGAAGTTTGGTCACATTTAATTATTCATGAGAAGGAAAAGAATGCCTCTATGCTTCTTGAGGATAATTGGTAGTTGTGGGGAGAGGGGAATTCTCAGAGATGTTACAAATAAGGTTATAATCAAATGTAAGCTTCCCAGAAAGGTTTACCTGATTTTGAACTACCATTTTCTCTATGTGGGTCATGAAACAAGACCTAAATAGAAAATGTGACCTACTTTAGAGAAAATGGCCCCTCCGATCCCAGCACTGAGTTTGAACAGTGATATTCTACAAGTGAGCTATGGTGTTCCTTCAGGGGAATCTTCTGGGACTGTAAATCTGCTTGAGTGTGGCTTCCTGTGAAGGTGCATGTTACATCTCACCACTCAGAGGGCATCTCTATGCAAATGGACAAATGGCCATAATTCACTTCTTCAGCACTGCTCTATTCTCTTGGAAAGCAGGCATCCCCAAACCCCCAAGAGCATTTGCATTTTGGTTGATAATGTGGTCACTGGGAAATACTCTTGCTCACTTTACAAATATTGCACTGACTCAGGAACACCTACTTCTAGAGAAAAAATCTCTTAATCAGGGTATTGCCTGGACTTCCCCAGGATATGGTAGATTAAACCCAGTCACCAAGGCTATCTGACTTGTCCAACATTAATTCCTCATGAGAGAGAGACATCCAATGTGAAGCAAAGCTTGAATTTACAAAAGCATCCCTAGTGATATTCATGAATGTGGGCACTGTATAAGTCAGGGTAGACTAACTGCTTCATAAACAACATCCTAAATCAGTGGAATGTCAAAAGAAACACAATATCTCATTTCTGTCATAGGCCAAAGCAGCTGTTTCTTGTCGAGTGGTTCTCCTGGCTGCCTCTCCTTCCATGGAGACTCGGGGACTCAGGCTCCATTTTGTCTTCACTATCCTCCAAATCCTCAAAGTTCTCTCCATTCAACTGGCAAATGGAGAAAAAGAAGAGCGCTATGGTCCGCAAATTGTGCAACAAGGTGACCTGCAGTGCTACACTGAATTCACAAGGGTGTCATGATGCGATATTTTTAAAATTTTAAGGAAACCCAGCAATAGTCCACATCTGTTGGACAATGCAAAAACTAATATCTCAAGGTAGTTCCCAATTTCATCATGAAATCATCCGACATTAATTTCGATAATGCTGTATCTTTTTGAATCTGGGTATTTAGCAACCACTGTAATAAAAGTCAAGTACTGCATTAAAATCAGTGTGCAACAGGAAATGAAGATAGTGGTGTCCAATGTGATTTACAGATTAAAGGAGTTATGCAATGCTTAAACAGGCGTATACATCCCATTAGGAAGTAATTGTGCTTATTTAAGAATGAAATAAAAATATCATTTGGCTTTTAATTCACATGTACTACTTTTTCAAAGCACAAAGTTATTAGGACATAAATATTTATTGTTGTTTGGACCTAACTACATTTTAATTGGAAATGTTAGGTGTTTCTTTGGACGAGGAGTACAACAAAAAATAGTAATTCCTAAGTCCCTGGGAGCACCATGAACTGAGAATAGAGGATTGTGCTGAGAAATAATTAAGCGCCATCCCCACAAGTACTATAGTCACTTCCATTCACATTCCACTGGTCAGAATTTACTCGGATAGCTACATTCAACAACAGCAAAGAAATATGGGAAATGTAGTCCAGCTATGTGCCTAGGAGAAGAAGGAAAACACTTTGATTAAAAATGTGTCATTCTTGGCCGAGCACCGTGGCTCACGCCTGTAATCTCAGCACTCTGGGAGGCCAAAGAGGGCGGATCACCTGAGGTCAGGAGTTTGAGACCAGCCTGGCCAACATGGTGAAACCCGTCTCTACTGAAAATACAAAATTAGCCGGGTGTGGTGGCACATATCTGTAGTCCCAGCTACTCAGGAGGCTGAGACAGGAGAATGGCTTGTACCTGGGAGTTGCAGGCCGCAGTGAGCCCAGATCACACCACTGCACTCCAGCCTGGGCGAGACAGAGCAAGCCTCTGTCTCAAAAAAAAAAAAAGTGTCATTCTCTACTGCAGAAATGAACAAGCAGGGGCACAAAATTGTCTTGTATTCACATTTTAACTTGCACTGAAAAATGATGCAGCATCCACTTTCAGTATCTCAAAGCATTCTCATCATCCCTTCTATTCTACAGCCCCTAGGCTCTACAAAGCACATACAAACGATGGCTTCATTACTTCTCATAACCTCATGAGCTGGGCAGAGCAAAGATTACTCTCTTCACAGATTAAGAAATAAAGTGCAGACACTGGATTATTTTAGGTCACCCAGGTAGTGTAATGGTAACAGAAGTCAGACCCAAATCCAAGTTTTACACCACCTCGAGGGTTCTTTCTACTACAGTCAATGGCCAGGCCAGTGGGAATCCACTGCAAAGGTGTAGCGCTTGTGTTTAATGACAGGAATATAATCTGTTTGGCAGGGGGATGGTAACACAAAAGAGGACTGTCAGACAAGCAGCCCCTGTTCTACAAGCAGAGGAAAATTATGTCCTAAAGGTGACAGTTCTTGGGACATGAATGACCATCATCCCAGATGTAATCTTCAGCCCCTACTATACGGGGCAAACACACAGAAGGTGCCTGACCTCTGCCCCTCCCCAGCTGCTATGGTTTAAATGTATCCCCCAAAGTTCTTGTATTGAAAACTTAAATCCCCAAGATGGCTGATTAGAAGCAGCTGCAGGTGTTGGCTCCCACCGAGAAGAATGAAAAGGGCAAGTGGATCCTGCACCTCCAACTGTGGTATCCAGGTTCTCTCATTGGGGCTGACTAGGTGGTTGGCGCAACCCACGGAGAGTGAAGAAAAGCAGGGTGGAATGACGGCGCACCTGGGAGCCTCATGGGGTAAGGGGAGCTCCTATCCCCAGCCCAGGTGGTAAGTAACCCACAGATCAAGAGATCCGCTCCTGAGCCCACATCACCAGGGCCTTGGGTCCCAAGCATAGAGCTGCGCAGACCCTCGGCAGCCGCTTGGGTTGCAGCCAGCGGCAGCAGGCTGGAGGTTGCCTAAGACGATCTCGTTCCCAGGGGAGGGGCGACCACCATCACTGCAGCTCCAGTTGGCCATCCTCCCCTGCTAGTGCCAGGGAGACTGGGCGGTTTGAACCGGGAGGAATTCCCGCAGCAGAGTGGCTGTGGCAGATCATGACCAGACCGCTTCTTTAGGTGGGACCTGGATCCAGCCCTCCTCACCAGGCAGGGCCTCCCTGTGGGAATTTCAGCAACTCCACCCAGGGGTTTACAGACAGAATTCTGTCTGTAATGATCTCCCTGATCTCCCTGAGACAGAGCCCCTAGCGGGAGAGACTGCCACCGTCTCTGCAGTGCAGCGGACTTAGTCTTTCCTTCCTGCTGTCTCTGAAGAGTCCAGGCAGTGTGGACGAGGGGTATTCCACCCAGCGCAGTGCACCCGCTAGGCCAAGAGGCAGCCAGACTGCTTCATTAAGCAGGTCCCTGATCCCATGCCTCCTGATTGGATGAGAGCTCCCAACAGGGGTTGCCAGACACCTTATACAGGAGTGTTCCCTCTGGCATCAGGGGGATGGAACTCCCACAGGAAGGAGCAGGCTGCCATCTTTGCTGTTCTGCAGCATCTGCTGGTGATACCTCTGAAACTAAACAATTGAAAAGGAGAGACTCCTCACTAACTCATTTTATGAGGCCAGCATCATCCATACCAAAACGTAGCAGAGATACAACAAAAAAAGAAAACTTCAGGCCAATATCCCTGATGAATACTGATGCAAAAATCCTCAATAAAATACTGGCAAACCGAATTCAGGAGCACATCAAAAAGTTTACCCACAGCGATCAAGTTGGCTTCATCCCTGGGATGCAAGGTTGGTTCAACATATGCAGATCAATAAGTGTGATTCATCACATAAACAGAACCAAAGACAAAAACCACATGATTATCTCAACAGACACATAAAAGGCCTTTGATAAAATTTAACATCCCTTCATGTTAAAAACTCTCAATAAACTAGGTATTGAAGGAACATACCTCAAAATAATAAGAGCCATTTATGACAAACCCACAACCAATATCATACTGAATGGGCAAAAGCTGGAAGCATTCCCTTTGAAAACCAGCACAAGACAAGGATGCCCTCTCTCACCACTCCTATTCAACATAGCATTGGAAGTTCTGGCCAGGGCAATCATGCAAGAGAAGGAAATAAATGGTATTCAAATAGGAAGAAAAGAAGTCAAATTGCCTTTGTTTGCAGATGACATGATCCTATATGTAGAAAACCCCATTGTCTCAGCCCAAAAGCTTCTTAAGCTGATAAGCAACTTCAGCAAAGCCTCAGGATACAAAATCAACGTGCAAAAGTCAAAGAAGAGAGCCAAATTGTGAATGAACTCCCATTCATAATTGCTACAAAGAGAATAAAATACCTAGGAATACAACTAACAAGGGAAGTGAAGGACATCTTCAGGGAGAACTATAAACCACTGCTCAAGGAAATTAGACAGTACACAAATGGAAAAACATTCCATGTTAATGGATAGGAAGAATAAATATTGTAAAAATGGTCATACTACCCAAGGTAATTTATAGATTCAATGCTGTTCACATTGAACAGCATTAACATTCTTCACAGAATTGGAAAAAACTACTTTAAAATTCATATGGAACCAAAAAAGAGCCCTTATAGCCAAGACAATCCTAAGCAAAAAGAACAAAACTGGAGATGTCATGCTACCTGACTTCAAACTATACTGCAATGTTACAATAACCAAAACAGCATGGTCCTTGTACAAAAGCAGACACATAGACTAATGAAACAGAATAGAGAACTCAGAAATAAGGTTACATACCTGCAACCATCTGATCTTCAACAAACCTGACAAAAAAAAGCAATGGGGAAAGGATTCCCTATTTAATACATGCTGCTGGGAGAACTAGCTAGCCGTATGCTGAAAATTGACACTGGACTCCTTCCTTACACCACATACAAAAATTAACTGAAGATGGATTAAAAACTTAAATTTAAAACCCAAAACTATAAAAACCCTAGAAGAAAATCTAGGCAATACCATGCAGGACATAGGCACAAGCAAAGATTTCAGACATAAACGTCAAAAGCAATTGCAACAAAAGCAAAAATTGACAAATGGGATCTAATTAAACTAAAGAGTTTATGCACAGCAAAAAAAACTATCATCAAAGTGAACAGACAAGCTACACGATGGGAGAAAATTTTGCAATCTATCCATCTGAAAAAAGGCCTAATATCCAGAATCTGTAGGAACTTAAACAAATTTACAAGAAAAAAACAAAGAAAAAACTTTAAAAAGAGGGCAAAGGACATGAACAGACACTTCAAAGAAGACATTTATGTGGCCAATAAACATGAAAAAAAGCTCATTAGAGAAATGCAAATAAAAACCACAATGAGATACTATCTCTTGCCAGTCAGAATGGTGATTATTAAAAAGTCAAGAAACAACAGATGTTGGTGAGGCTGAGGAGAAATAGGAACATTTTTACACTGTTGGTGGGAATATAAATTAGTTCAATTATTGTGGAATACAGTGTGGTGATTCCTCAAAAACCTAGAACCAGAAATACCATTTGACTCATCAATCCCATTACTGGGTATCCCAAAGGAATACAAATCATTCTGTTATAGAGATACTTGCACACATATGTTCACTGCAGCACTATTCACAATAGCAAAGACATGGAATCAACCCAAATGGCCATCAATGATAGACTGGATAAAGAAAATGTGATATATACACGATGGAATACTATGCAGCCATAAAAAGGAACAAGATCATGTCCTTTCCAGGGACATGGATGGAGCTGGATGACATTATCCTTAGCAAACTAATGCAGGAACAGAAAACCAAGCATGGCATGTTTCACTTATAAGTGGGAGCCAAACAATGAGAACACATGGACACAGGGAAGGGAACAAGACATGCTGGAGCCTGTCGGGGAAGGCAGGGAGAGGGGGAGCATCAGGAAAAATAGCTCATGTATGCTGGGCTTAATGCCTGGGTGATGGGTTGATCTGTGCAGCAAACCACTATGGTACACGTTTACCTATGTGTAATAGACCTGCGTATCCTGCACATGTATGCTGGAACTTAAAATATATAAAAAAATTTTTAAAAAGAAAGAAAACTTAGTTCCCATTACAACAGCATTGAGAGGTGGGACCTTTAAGAGGTAATTAGGTTATCAGGGCTCTGCCCTCATAAACTTATTAATGCTGTTATGGCAGGAATGGGTAAGTTATCACAGGAGTGGGTTACTAATAAAAGGATGAGCCCAACCCCCTTCCCTTCTCTCTCTCTCTCTCTCTCTCTCTCTCGTGCTCTCTTGCCCTTCCACCATCTCTCATGGGATGATGCAGCAGAAGGTCCTCACCACAAACTTGGACTTCCCAGCCTCCAGAACAATGAGCTACATAAATTTCTGTTCCTTATAGGTTACCGTGTCTGTGGTACTTCATTATTGCAGCACAAAATGGACTAAGACACCTGCCTTGTGACTTACATGGGCTTTGTACAATCAACTCTCAATCACAGTGACAACTGATTGGGAAAAAGACTGTATCAGGCAAGAGAAATGCTATGGGGTCTTATCTATCCAATGAATTGCCTTAGGAGTTCGGCAAATTTATCTTGAGGGCTTTTTCCTAATATAATTGAGTGATAAAAGTATTCTCTCTCTTCTTTAAACTCATAATAATTAATGAAAAGAAGGCAGAGCGGTCAAAAGCAGTCTTTTGGTGTTTGGAATTCACCAGTGATAACCCACAAGTTGAATAATTCTTATGTTGTTTTTATAAACATTTGTCCAACAGAGACAGCTGCTTAGCCTTGTAAAGTCTCTTCTGCTCCAGTAAACAAGAGGTTAAAAACCTGGAAGCATTGAACCTAAAGAAATTGAAATCTATAGTTTTCCTACTCTGAATGGTGGGCATGTGGTGAGAGCTGACTGACTGGATGCAGTTGAGAAGGAATTCTCCTGCATGGCCAATCTTTATGTTATTGTATTTTCTGTTTACATTTATTTTCTTCTTCAAGCATCAAATGAAAGTCATTATAGTCAGAGATTTCATCACTGAGTGTGGGTCGGAGGCCAATTGACTTTCTGATATGTTCTTTTTTTTCAGCAGTCAGCTAAAATATGCTGGTTTTGGGGGTATGTGTAAGAAATGATTTGAGGCCAGACTCTTGGAAGAAAACTGAGTTCACTTGTGTTCATCAATGATTTATAGCTGCTTGAATCAGAACTAGCTTCCCTGCAAAGCTATACTTAGAGCTAGGCCAATTGAGTCTGACAGGGGAGAATCTCAAATTATTGATGAAAGGACTAAGGACTACAGATGAAAGGACTAAGGACTACATTTGAGAAGTTTATTCTTTTGGTGTGGTTTCTAGATGTGCATGCAACTGGCTCACCCAGCACATTTACCACCCTGCAGCTTTTTCTAGTCCCAAACACAAGCATTCTGGGCAGCTGTGTGGAGTACAACACAAAGAATTCCCAGTTTTCTTTCCTAACACTACAGAGAAATCTTTAAATTAGTGATTTAAGAAACCATTAAGGAAAATTTTTTTTCTGTAAGATGCCTTCACTGGGACTCAAGATGTGTTCCTAGTCATTCTACTCATAAAGATCCCTGGGAAGCCAGAGAAACAGCAGCATGGTCTTTGTTTCTACGTGTAGGAAGGAAAAATCCCAAAGTTTCAGTGATTTGTTTGAACTCATCTAGCTGGGAAGAGATGGTAACAAACTAGAGCACTGAGTTTTCAAGACCTCGAAAAACTTTCCCAATGTATTAGAGCCTTGTCTGGCCCAACCTCACCCAGCTTCATTCACTTACCCACTCAGTTCTCAGTGTAAGAGTCTGCTAAGGCTGCCGTAACAAAATACCACAGACTGGGTGGCCTAAGCAACTGTTTTCTCATAGTTCTGGAAACCAGAAGTCCAAGAGCAAGGTTTCAACAGTGTTATTGTCTGGTGACGCCTCTCTTCCTGGCTTGCAGGGACCTCACATTGTCTTTTTCCCTCTATCTACATTCCTGATGTTGTTTCTTCCCTCTCTTTTTTTTTTTGAGACGGAGTCTCATCACTCTGTCACCGAGGCTGGAGTGCAGTGGCATGATCTGGGCTCACTGAAACAACTGTTTTCTGGGCTCAAGGCTAGATTCTCCCACTTAGCCTCCTGAGTAGCTGCAAGTATAGGCTTGAGCCACCACACCCAGCTAATTTTTGTATTTTTTGTAGAGATGGGTTTTCATCATGTTGCCCAGGCTGGTCTCAAACTCCTGGGCTCAAGCAATCTGCCTGCCTCGGCCTCCCAAAGGGCTGGGATTGCAGACATGAGTCACCGCACCAGGCTTTCTCTTCCTCTTCTTATAATGATCCCAGTCCTATCAGATTAGGGACCCAGCCTTATGACCTCATTTAACCTTAATTATACCCCCAAAAGGCTGTATCTCCAGATACAGCCATGTGGGGAGTTTGGGATCCAACATATGAATTGGGGCCATGGTGGGAGAGTGGGGACCATTTGGTCTAAAATCAATTCTTTTTGAGAACTACCATTTACTATGGTAGGTGTGGTGCAAATGCCAGGTATGGTAAAAAATGTTTTATACACATTGTCTCATTTAATCTTCACAGCAATATAAAGGGATGGGTGAAGAAGAAAACCAAGTTTAGTGTAGAGAGTGATTGGAAGAGTGGCCAACTTGAGCTGTTTGACTCCAAAATCCACACTCCAAACCAGCATAAATAACTGCTTAGTTTGTCAGGTGGAAATAGTAATTTTCAATGTCTTTTGTGTTGTGACATCTTTTCTCAAGTAACAGAACTTTAAAAAGTGAATTAAATAGATTTTAAGATTCAAAACTGCATTAAGTCAGCAATCATTTAGATATAATCAGATTAGGGCATTACACTGTGTCACAGATTCCAATAAAAGTACCCACAATTAACACACTATTCACCTGAAGGCCCTGTGACCTGACATTGCTGTTTAAGCAGAACTGTTGTTGCCCTGCTCAAGAGGCCAAGTTCACAAATATTCCAGAAAGCACTAGATCTTCCTTGATGTTGCCTTGTTGTTCTGCTGTACCTTGTTTCTCTTATGTGGAGTAAATTGTGCCCCACACAATCCATAGCTACACAACAGGCACAGCATGATGTTCTGAAGCCGTCCTTACAGGGTTAACAAGAATTCTAGACAGAAATATAATTGGGCATTAATCAGGCTGACTTTCACCCACTTCCTTGTAACTGAAAGTCACTAGATACTGACCACTTTCTTCCCCGTTGTGCCTATGGATAGGATTTCTGACCTTAGAATCATAGGGCTTCTGTTAAAGAATTGCTTAAGATGTTGGCTGGGCATGGTAGCTCATGCCTGTAATCACGGCACTTTTGGAGGCCAAGGCGGGTGGATTGCCTGAGCTCAGGAGTTCGAGATGAGCCTGGGCAACACGGTGAAACCCCGTCTCTACTAAAAATACAAAAACTAGCTGGGTGTTGTGGCGGGTGCCTATAGTTCCAGCTACTCAGGAGGCTGAGGCAGGAGAATCTCTTGAACCTGGGAGTGGAGGTTGCAGTGAGCAGAGATTGTGCCACTGCACTCCAGCCTGGGCAACAAAGTGAGACTCCATCTCCAAAAAAAATTGCTTAAGATGTTTTTCAGACCCTGAATTTCAGGGAAACAGCTGTCACCAACCAGTTTGAAGACCCCCACAGGGGAATGGGATCAGCATGAGAAGACACTTTCTTCATCTCCCTGTCCCATGACTTCACGCTGCTCTCTTTGACCAATCAATGATCTCCACACTTCGACTGACTCCAGAACCCTTAAAAACCCTAACCCCAAACTCCTGTGGAGATGGATTTGCAGTTCTTTCCTATCTACTTGTTCTGCGATTAAACCTCTTTCTCTGCTGCCACTCAGTGTCTTAGAGTAGACTTGCTCTGTGCATTGGGCAATGAACCTATTATGATTACAGTTCCACTAACAGACATAGTTTTAATTACAACAAAACTGAGCTTTCCATGATGAAATTTGGCATCCCTCCTAAGAATATCTGAGTGTGCTGCCACAGATCAAACAAGAAACACTCGGGTAAGGTAGAATTGGAAGTGACCTTGTTGAGCCTTGCTCCTTGGTTTGCAATGCAAGCAACTCAATGAAATGCCCATCGGCTTTCATTTTTAAAAGGGCCCTCAGCAAGGCAATGGCCTCACCAAGCAAACACAAAAAGCACAAATTCAATATCTGAGTTTGCTTAGTGAAGAGGGATGACATATTTATTTATGATTTATGTCCTTCCTCCATGTGTAGGCTTATATCATGGGTATGTGTGGCTACGTTCATGGTATTCATACACCATGCTGACACGTATTTTAACGTGTTCTTTACATGTGACTTCTAGTTGTGAAAACATCTTGGTCAACTCATGGAGAGGGTAAGAGGTGCCTTCATTTTTTGGCATCCTCTTTCCACCCCCTCATCCCAACCATGATTTATAATTTAATGAGCCCTTTGAGTTTTACAGTGTTTCTGCAGACTGAGTAATGTTTTTTAAGGCAGTACAGCACAGTGGAAAGAAGGTTTAAGGACAATATAGTCCTTCAAATTATGACTTTGAAATTATTGAGAACTGGGTGGTTTTGTGCAAGTAGGATCATTACAGAAATTTGAGGCAGTCAATGACTGTCAGTGGAGTACTTCTCCAAAGGTATTGATTCCTGAGCAAATGGATGAGTGAAGTGTGATGGGTTATACCAGACCAAGCTCTTGTGCATTGAGAGTGCTCTGTTACCATCTCTTCCCAAGTAGGTGAATTCAAGCAAATCACTGACTTTTCTTTTCTACATTCAGAAACAAAGACCATGCTGTTTTCCCGCCTCTCCAGGAATCTTTATGAGTGGAATGGATTACTAGTAAAACGTATTGAGCTCCTTTGAAGGTATCTGACACAATACCTGACCATAATGCTCCCAATAAATGGTAACAATTTCATTATTGTAATAATGGAAGGAGGCTATTCCTCGGTGAGAACATCTCTGGGTTTAGAGTGGGGCTCAGGGATAATGAAAAATATTTACTGAATGAAAAGTTCTGAGGAAAAGGAGCAAACATTTGGGGTTATTTTTATATAAAGAAATGAGAGCTCACCGAGAACCCTTGGTTTGTCAGCAACATTGTGGAATCCTTGATGTGTACTGAGGCTCTGGATTTAGGATGGTAGAAATATTTTAAAAAGTAAAGATCATGATGACTTTAGAACAGTTACCAAGCAATATAAAACACTCTTAAATGGAGAATAGGTGGTCAATGCCAAGAGCCCAGTGGCTATTTATTCAACACATGTTTGCTGAGCACCTACCCTGTATCAGAGAGTACTACATGACTGAGACACAGTGGTGACAAGGCACACATGGTTACTGACCTTATTGACCTCAATGACCCAGAGCCTAGTGCGTCACACAGAGAAATAAATAGACATCCTCAATTTCGGATGATATCTGCTATGCTAGGGTATAGAAGAGAATGCTGCAGAAGCACCTAGAAAATATAACTAACCTACTGGAAGTACTGGAAGTGTCAGTTTGCTGGGATTATAAAAGACTTCCTGGGAAAGTAATTTCTAGGCTGTACTTGATAAGTGAGTAGTAGTTATCTAGATAAACAAAGATGGAAGCACATTCTAGGACATTGGGACGGTATGCTTGGAGGTCCAGAGATAAGGGAACCAACTAAGGGACATTTGAGGAATTAAAAGACACTCCGTGGTTGAAATATGTCTACACAGAAAACTGCTCATGAATGTTTATAGCACCTTTATTCACGATCACCAACAACTAAAAGGACCCAAGGTGTCCCTCAACAGGAGATGAATAAACACATTGAGGTACATCCACACACTGGTTATTATTCAGCAATAAAAAGAAACAAGCTACCAAGCCATGAATAGACATAGAAGAACCATAAATGCATGTTACCAAGCAAGAGGAGTGGTCTGAAAAGCCTGCATACTATATTATTTCAACCATATGACATTTCTGGAAAAGTCAAAACCATAGAGTAAGTAGAAGATCAATAGTTATCAGGCAGGTGGGGAGGGAGGACAGAGGAAGCCATGCACAGATAGGGAATAGGGGATTTTTAGGGCAGTGAATCTATTCTGTACACTACTGTGATGGTGGATACATGTCATGATACATTTGTCAAAACCCATAAAACGTACAACACAAACAGTGAAGCTTAATGTAAACTAAGGGCTTTAATTAATAATAATGTATCAATATTGGCCCATCAATTGTAACAAATGTACCGCACTAATGCAAGGTGTTAATAATAAAGAAAGTTGGAGTGAGGGGTAGGAGATATATGGGAACTCTCTCTGTTCTCTGGTCAATTTTTCTATAAACTTACTCTAAAAATTAAAGTCTATTGATAAAGAAGAAAGCATTCATTGTAGTTAAATCACTGAGTAGCAGATAGGATGTTTGTTCTGGGGTGGAGGGGGTGGTGCTTGCTGGTTGAGAGTTTGGTGAACAATGTCTGGAGAGGAGACTGGAGATGTAAACACTAGTTGGATCATGGAGGGTCTGTGAGTCATCAGACTCCATCATAAAAGTGATAGAGAAGCATTAGGGTGAACAGTGACAAAATCAGATATGCCTTTTTAAAGGGCAACTCTGATTGCAGGGAAGAGATTTTATTAAAAGGAAGAAGGATGAGAGGCAGGGAGGGTGGCTGCTGCTGCAGTCATCAATGAGAGATGAAAGTGGCTAACAGTAGAATCATGGCAACAAGGACAGAGAGAAGGAGTGCAGTAAGGAGATGATTTAATCTGGAAGCAATTTACCTATTAGATGGTTGGATGTAGGGAGAGAGAAAGAAGGTTTTGAGCAGATCATAAAAATGTTTTTTAAAAACAATCATAACAACCATGTGCAAACTATGAGAAGCATGCTTGCCAGAAGCTTCTGGAGAGACAGCAAATGCAGGCGGGTTCCTCACCAGGACATTTGTCCTCCTTGTAATTCACCGCCCACTCTGTCAGCCCAGGCTGTCTGTAGCAGCTGTAGAAGGGCCCTTCTACAGGCTATGGTCATCAGCTGATAATTATTTTTCTAGTTTTTTCACGAAACATGAAGCACTTTGATAGATATCAACCAAGTGTTGGAACAGGTCTTCTGGCACGAAAAGATAGACAAAGCACTTAGAGCTTCCTCAGGGTATTTATGTGGTCGAATGCTCCTAGCTTTGAAAAAACTGTGGCAGTTGGAAAAAATATTAATAGTTCTGTCTCTCATGAGAGACAGAAATGAGGGATCTGTGGTTATTTGTATTTTAATAATAGCATATACTGTTGCCTGTCTAATTATAAAAATAATATCTATGCAAAGTGAAAAAATGGAGAATATGGAAAAACATCACCAAGAAATAACAAAGGATTGGTAATATTACTACCCAGAAATAAATGTCTTGATACTTAGCTTTTTAGGTTTTTTCTATATACATGTACTTCTTTTGAAGAAAATTTAGGTCATAATGCACATCTTGGTTTCTTTTTCTTACCTAAACAATTGCTTTATTAGGGTAGATTGAGTTTTGGGATAAGTGTCTATTACAAAGACACACAAGAATATAGTGGTTCCAATAAGATATAAGCTTTCTTCTCTCTCATGTAGGGAGAAAGAGGTCCTGGGCAGCTCTGCTCCTGCATTAGCCCAGAGACCCAGGTCTATACCGTCTTGCTCTACACTCCCCGGAGCGTTGCGCTACTCCCTATGGTTGAAGCAGACCCAGCAGTACCACATGGTATCACACCAAAGAGAGAAGGAGATGAAAAGAAAATGGGAGGCAAGGAGCTTCCTCTTTTAAGAAAATGCCCTGGTAGTTTCTCCCTTCTTTTTGGACCACTTCCATTTGCCAAAACTTAACAACATGTTGTAAATACACCTAGTTATAAAGGAGCCTGGGAAAAGTTGGTTGCCCATTGCACAGCCATATATCTTGCAAAACCCCTGCATGAAAGAGCTTATTTCTAAATAAAAGGGGAAAATAGATACTGAGGACATTTGTCAGCCTCTGCCTCAAGTCACCCAATCACTCAGTGTGCTTTCCTAACCACATAGAACATACTTCTCCTCCAAGGGAGGCGGAGTAGTAACTATCCAGTTACTACTCCCACTCAAAGTCCAAGATTTCTAGGTGACATGAAGTCCTCTCCAGCAGGACTGAAGGTGGTGAGATCTGAGGACTTATAGACTAATAAGCATGTTTCCTGGCACCTTCCTCATACTTAATGGTTCAATAATGGAGTCAAACAGGAGAGCAGCGATAAAAACTCCCGTTTGGAGAAAAGGTGAATGGGAAACAGAGTCATTATGGTCCTAAATAATAATGCAATCTTATTGGGAAGAAATTGTGACAAGTGAAATTGTGACAAGTCTCAGCCAATGCAGAAAATTCCTTGGTCAGTAGACACAAGTTCTCCCCTCTGGCAGAAACTCCTTTGTCCACTGACCTCTTTGAGACTCTGCTTGTCCATTCACTTCTGTGGCCACAACTAAAGTGAGTGTGGGAAAACATGCCTTCCTTGGGGATGGACAACTTTCCTTCCTGGGGGTTGCCTTAGGGATCAGAAAATTACAGCTTTTGCAGGCCAGGTTTGTGGTTTCTTTGATCCCATAATTCTTTCAAAATTCTTAGCAGTTTTCTGGACTGTTTGCTTTCAGTCATTTCCATGAACATGGAAGGATAGCCAAAGGTCTTGTCTGCATAAATCTTAAGTTTCTCTCATTTATTTCCTCAGCTCTGTCCTTGGACTATTTTCTTTCTAACTCAGTAGCAACTTTGAGGCCATCTGAAATAACAGGCTTGGGTGAGACAACGATATGTTTAATTTTATATTTGCTATTGGATTGGCTCCCATGGTTCCATGAAGGGGCCCTGGAGGAAGGCTCATAGACACAGTATTATCTCTTTCTGCTTATGGTGCTGAAGCAGTCCAATTTTCCAGCTCCATGAAGCTTAAATTACTGGACAGTCAATTCACACTGTAGTCCCAAGCACAGGAGACATCCTTATCAGAGTTGTATTTCCTTCCACCTCTACTTGCAAACTGACACATTCTTGCCAAACTTCATCTCTCTATTCATCTCTGTCTACTAAAAGCAGCAAGGAGCAGCAGCCAGCAGAAACCAACATTCCAATTTTGTTTCACTGTTTCCCCCAGAGCTCCAGGCTTGGTAAATAGATAACCTGCCTTCAAAGTTATCATAGGACCAGTTTTACCAAATGCTTTGCTGTGGTTTGAGAGAGGTCACCAGCTTTGCAGCCTGCAATATCTGTCTCCTTGCTGCCTATAACACAATTGTTACACAAGAAAGATATAGTTTGCATTTTTGTTTCCCCTGCAGGGTACTATTTCTGGTACCAATTTATGTTTAGCCATGATTCAGGCTAACCTACTCTTACACAAGGCCCCAAAACACAGTATTGGAAGATAGATTGATTTTTTTCTCTCACAAGATAAGGAGTTGGGGATGTGAAAGCATCTCTGTTTATGAGGCCATGCAGGAACTCAGGTCTCTGTGGTCTTGTTGCTTCTTCACCTGCTAGGGTACCAGCCTAGATGCCTTATTCAAGCTTGCTCACAAGTACCGCATCTGCAGTCTGGCCTAGGGTGAGTGGAGAGGAAGGAGGGGGCAGGCAGTTGCTTTCTTTGATGGATGTGACTCAAGATACTCATGTCATTTCTGGTCTCATCTCAATTTCAAGGCAGGCAGGGAAACCTGTGCCTTGCTAAAACTTGGTGGGAGTGGGAGTCTACTACTGAATCCAAGATGCCTAAATAGATAGCAGGAGCAACTCTTCCACACTGTTGAATGATGAGTATTTCCCAATATCCTTAAATGATTTTTCAAACAAAATTTTTATTGGCTGTAGGATATTTCATCATATTCCTCTGTCATTGAACATTGTTTCCCAATTTTGGCAGCAGTATATAATGCTTTAGTGAACATTTTTATTTAGCAGTTTTTACATACATCTCTGGATTATTTACTTGAGAGAGATAGAGACTTAGAAATGGAAATGTTGTGTACAAACACTTTAAAGGAAGCCAAATGCCTTATAGAAAGATTGTAGCAATTTGTAATTCTGGCTGCAGTATGTAAATCTGCTCCATCCTCACATAATCTCCAATACTTAATATTTTTATATTGTAAAACTCTTTAAAATCCAATTTAATATATTCTCAACTTTGTAAGTGCTATTTACTGCAAGAAATAAAATCATCAACAACAAATTTACTTATTGGCCACCTATAACGATATTTCTCTAAAGAATCAAGGTAATAGAATGATTTTTTAAAGGTTCTTCTTGCTTTAAGGAAATATTTGAGTGGTGGAGGGGGAGAAAAGAGCCAGCCTGGAGCATCCTGAACATATTTTATGCTGTGTATATTTTTGTGTGAAACTTGTTTTCTAATTAAAGAAATAAATACAGTCTCATTGTGAGAAATTTGGGGGAAAAAACAGAAAAACATAAAGACAATGAGAATTATACTAATTAGACCAAACTAGAAAATCACCTTTTAATAGCTTATTGTATCTGTACCTTATTTTTATAAACTTTGTTTTTTGGTGTATATATTGTTTCAAATCCTTTCTTTTTTACTTAAAAGCATACCTACACATTTTCCCATGATATTAAAAATCCTTCAAGAATCTAATTTTAATAACTACATTATATGGCTATAATAAAACTAACATTTATTAAACATTCATTAAAATAAGAGCAATTGAATTCAATTATTCCAAACACAATATAAGGTCGATAATATTATAGCCCACAGTGGCAGATTTTATTATTGTACCTAATTCTTCACCCTTTTGTAGAGCCAAGAACCGATTCTCCTGTCCACTCTCCAGGGCACATTTGACAATGTTTGGAGATATTTTTGGTTGTTCCAACTGTTGGAGTGCTACTGACATCCAGTGTGTAAAGGGACACAGGGTTGCTGCCAAACACCCTACAATACACAGGACAGTATTACAATGAAGAACCCAAAAGGTCAATGGTGCCAAGGTGCTATAGGATCATGACTTTTACTGTGCAATTTTGTTTTTCACTCCTTGACTTGGGTTTGGCCAGTGTGACTTGCTTTCATCAATAGAATGAGGTGGAAATTACAATGTGACATTGTCTTATGTGTTTTCACTTTTCACTCTTGTGGCTCTCCTATCACCATGTCAAGAACATGCTCTGTCTATCCCACTAGGTTAAGAGAAGAGGACAATCGATGTGGAGCAGTGAGAAGCAAAGCTGCCCAGCCAAGTCCAGCATACATGCACCTGTGTGAGCGATGACAATGAACGATTGTTGTTTAAGGCCTCCGAGTTGTGGGGTAGTATTTTATTTCGCAATAGGTAATTAATAATATATGGATGAGAATACTAACTTATCCCCCAGGTCAGAAAATTAGTAAGTGAAAGAGCTGGCTTTCAAACTCAGACCTAGCTGACTTCAGAGCCCACCCTTAACCATTAGACTAGACTGTCTTTCTAATGCCATCACTTACATAACCATTCCTATGTGCCACACCTAAGTTGTTTTCTGTGCTTGGCAATTGCAAATAACACTTCGGTATACATCTTTTTACATAGAGGTTTATCACCAATGCTGATTTCTCTAGGATAGAATTTCTCTGTGAAAGGACTTGGACTTTTTAAGGAACTTGATGCTTTTTGACTGAATAATTTTTAAAGGAGATTTACATCATCCAATTCGTTCTATTAATTAACAAAAATTCCATGAGCTAATTAAGAGTTTAATTAATATTTCCTACAGCCAGCACTATAATTTTAGATAAAGTATGTAATGCATCAGAAATGGACTCTTAGGCAATGTTCATACAATTTGAAATGCATGAGGAACACTTACAGTCAGCCATGGAGTATTATGCAAGATGCAATTTATTCGTGCTTTTATATTATATATAATAATATATATATATCTGAAGAAATGAAACCCACTTCTATAGCAATTCATTTTCAGGAGGCATTTTTAGGAATAAACCCAGTAAAAAAAAAAAAAAAATGGACCTGTCTAAACAAGACACTGCCTGAAGGTGAAGTTAGCAGCAATTGTGCAGCAGCAGAGGTGTTAAAGCTGGCTGAAGAGTGATAGTTTTTAGAGGGTCTATGTCTAATAAAATGCATGTCTAAGAGTGACATGTGAATAATGTGACTTTGTAAGCCTCAGTAAAAAATATAGATGGATGCAAACGTCTCCCCAAAGCCAGCATGTGACCCCAGTGAAGAAAGCGGGATTTATTTGTGTTGATTTTCACTTACCATAACCACTTCAGTCTGCAGAACATCACTGTCAAACCCCTCCTCCCATAGGTGATGGTCAGCAAAAACCAGTACCACAAAGAAAGACCATTGCTGTTTCTCTAAAGGGAAGGCAGAGGAGATGGAATAGGTAGACTTGAGGCAAGAAGCTGAACTGGGGTTTTACATGTTGAAATACGTGTTTTGATCTTGCCTTTAGACAACATCAGGGGCTAAGCCAACACCACCTCCTCTGCCAAGCCCACTTGCCTGGGAGCGCCCAACTCTGCCACTTGTTGGAGGACAGCACAAGCCTGAGACCTGTGCAGTCACACAGGGCCCTGCATGCAGAAGGCCCCCCACATTTGGCACTGGAGGTTTTTCGTAATTTTATATTTTAATTTGTGTTTTACAACTGAAGTCTGATGGAACACTGGAGTATGCTTAGGGGGCTGGGAGTGTCACCCACAGCTCATCCCTCTCCTCATTCCCCCTCCCCTCACGACTAGTATAGCCCCCACTGAAAATGATGACTCTCTCCCTCCCTCCTTCTCTTATTAAATATTTCTTGGATAGCCCCTAGTTACTGGGGCTACAAACCCATCTCTACAAAAAATGAAAAGTAAAATAAATTAACTGGGCACAGTGGTGTGTTCATCCCAGCTACTTGAGAAGCTGAAGTGGGAGGATTGCTTAAGCCCAGAGTTTGAGGTTATAGTGAGCTGATCCAGTAACTATACTCCAGTCTGAATGACAGAGTGATACCCTGTCTCAAAAAAAAAAAAAAAAAAAAAAACACACAAGACAAAAAAAGAAGGGGAAGGAAGGGGAGGGAATGTTAAAGAGGATGTTTGAGTGTACCTCGTGGATGAGGAGCAGATAACCAGATAGAGAGGGGAAAGGCTGCCTGGATCAGAATGCACAATTACAGGTGTGGAAGGGCATGCACGATTAATGAGGCAGCAGGTGGTATTTTGGTGAGACTGGGGCACAGCACATAGAAGCCAGGGGACAGAGAGTTCAGGAAAAAAGCTCATATAAAGAAGTTGATGCCAGTAGATGTTTTGCACTTAATTTGTTGGCATTCAGAAATGACATGAGGCTTTGGGACAAGTGAGTGACAGGTCTGTAACTGTGTTTTAGAAAATTATCCTGCTGGATGCTATGGAGGAGGGCTGAGAGCCTCCTCAAGGTGAAAGTTGGGTAAGAAGAGCAGACTAGGGCTTGGCCACATCAACTTGCTGACGTGAAATGGACTTGTCGAGTTGAAACATGTTTCTCAGTCATCTTAATGACCAATTCCTGCAGTTATTTGTGCTGGTTGTGCAGCTGATCCAAAGCAGTTGTCAAGTCATCTAGGAACCCAAAATGGTTATCAATCTCATGTTTTGTGCAGCCAAGTAAATATGGAAAAACAAGCCTTGATTAGGCTCCATCAGGCCCAAAAGGGCTAATGTTAAAAGAATGGAACATTTTCATCCCAGATCCTCAGTATATTGGCTAGAGCAGAAAATTTAAAGGGAATTTTTGATTCTAGAAAAATAGACATGTGCTGGAAATTCAGCCCCAAAGCATTACATGTAAGCCAAGTAAGCATGGGATGGGGGTGGTTCAGATGAGGGTCACACAGCTGTGAGTGCAGAAGTGTTCAATGGGGTTTTACCGCAGAGAAATCTTCCAGTTTGCGTTCTGTACACAAAAGCGGCATAAAGTCCTTATCAATATGCTTCTCCATAGGCTAAGCATATAGCTCCCTCTGCTCTCCTTTGACTTCTGCCCAGACGCTGGTTTATGAGAATTGCCAAACCTATTCTTTTCACCACTGGGGGCCCCTCAAAGACACTGGTCAAGCCCAGGCCAGTTGTGCTTCTTATTACTAAACAGCCATAAAGGAAAGCAATGTCTTAAGTCCAAGGGAAAAGGTAGCCCTCTGTATCTTTCAGGGTAGGCTCAATTAGGCTGCGCCAACAAGCAACTCCAAATTCAAAAAACCAAGAAGGGATTTCTTGCTCACATTCCATGTCCATTGGGATCAGGGAGAGACTCTGCCTTACTTCGTGCTCACTCCAGGACCCAAGATGTTGGGAGCTATGCCATATGGAAAGCTACTCATTTTGGTAGCAAAGGGAAGAGACCACTAGAGGTTTTTGCACTAGGAATTAAATGCTCTGGCCCAGATGTGACACACGTCACCAAGCCTACAACACATGCTCTAAAACCAGCATTGTGACCCCATCCAGTTGCAGGGTGGAGTAGATGTGTAATCTATCCATGTATTGGAAAGGAAAAAAGAACTGAATGTAAATGAAGCCTAGTAGTTACTACCAAAAGCAGAAGTAGGCATCCACTGAGCTGAGCTCCTAGGGAGAGCGTCTCACTGTGTAGTGTAGGAAAAGAAACAGGCCATGGAGGGGCTGATTCCCAAAGGCCTCAGGTGTGACAGCTCCATGGTGTGACCTGCCCCTTTCAGACCTTACTCTCAGTTTCCACAGGAGCATACCCCTCTGCCCTTTGCCAAACAAATGAGGGCAAGTTATACTACTGATGTTCAAAGAAAGCCATTCTGAAGGATAATGTTTCTGTTGACTTCACTTTTGACTGTTAAGGAGCATGGAGAACTGCTCCCTGGTGTGACAGGGAGGATCTTGAAAGACACTGTGAATTTGCTGTTGGTCCTCAGCCCAGTATCCCTAGCTCCATACCCCCTTTTCTGCTCTATCTTTACTGGGGTTCCTTTCCTCTCTTCAATTGCCCAGTGGCTTCATTGTCTTTCATTTTGCTTCTCACCCATCCCAATTAAGTTCTACTCTCCACTCCTTCACTCTCCAGTCCTTCACCTGCTTAACTTCTACCCAAACTTCACGAAAATTGGCTCAGCTGTTATCTCCTCCTGGAAGCCCTCTCTGAACTTTCTGGGATGGACACTGTGCCTCTCTTTTGTGTTCCAAAAGCCTAAGGGGTATCCAGCTGTACCCCCTTATCTGTGGTTTCGGTTAACCCGGCCTGAAAACAGTTGAGTACAGCACAATAAGATATTTTGAGAGAGAGAGAGAGACCACACTTACTTAACTTTCATTGCAGTATACTGGCATAACTGTTGTATTTTATTATTAGTTATTATTGTTAATTTCTTACTGTGCCTAATTTATAAATTGAACTTTATCATATGCATGTATGTATAGGAGAAAAAACATAGAATATGTAGGGTTAGGTACTATCCATGGTTTCAGGCAACCAGTGAGGGTCTTGGACCGCATACCCCATGGATGAGGGGTCCACTGTGTTTATATTATGACACTTTTCACCTTACATGGAAATTTGCAGTCTCCTCCTCAAAGGTCCTAGAAGTCAGGAGGCCTGTCATTCATCTTTTTGTCCCCACTGCCTGTCTGGCACTAGCAGATGCTAAACAAATGAAGGCCTAAATTTCTGCAAAACTTCTTAGTCTAGGATAGTACCAACAAATGTCCTACAGAAATCCCTCATGCTCCTTTCCTCCAGACAGAAATTTCAAACACCCCAAGAGTTATGAGTTGCAAACCTGCCAAAGCTTTGCATCTTTGAGATCGGAGTATTAATCTCTAATACCTAGAAAGAGCACCAGGCAGAAAACAGGTACCTGAACCAGGAAGACCATTTCCATCATGAGACTTGGAAGTTTGCTGAGCATTCCTAACATTTTTTCTTCCATCACAGTCCCTTGTTCTGGCATCAACTCATTATGGAAAGGGGAGAAGGGAAGTGAAAAGGAGAATGGAGAACCTGGGACCACTGCCAAAAAAATCTTAGACCACAGTGGGATCACACATAAAGAGCAAGAAGGTGCCAGCTCTCAGAAGAATTGATCTGTCCCAATTCAAGGCATGCAGCCCTTGCTGGAAGAGGGAAACCAGCCAGAACCCCCACCATCTCCGTTCTCACTTCACCAAACCCTGCTGGAGTGACAGCTATTCCCCACCCGGGATTTCATCAGTCTTCTACTTGGCAAAGCTTCCATGGGTTCTTTTATTAGCTAAGGAAGCCACCATTACTTTTATATAAATCAGCAATAGGCCAGTTTATTGTTCCCAGGAGACCAAAAATTACACTATTTGAAAGAAGAGGGACTGAAGAAAAAGAGTTAACTCTGCTCTGCAAAACAGGACACATGTCAATTGTTCTGAAAGCCAGTACCTTTCTTGCTCTATGGTAAAAGAGAGTCTTGCAAATTGTCTGAACAGCTGGTAATGTGTTCCTCCTCTTCCTAACGAATTTATACTATATGAGCCTAATGACTTATGCTTGCCTTTGGTAGAAGCATGTGTGGGTGTTTTTATGTCTTATTTAGTGGTTACTCACTGAAAAAGTAGTAGACTAAAAAAGGCTGTCTGCAACTCCCACTGTGATGGAATCTTCAAGGTGCCTGGAACTGGAGTCCCATACTCTAGATCTCTCTGTGGGACTCAGAATGCAAAGAACTTTCTACCCATGCTCCTGTCTCCACCATCAAACTCAAACTAGTTGAAAGATTTGTAGGGCAAGAGACTACAAACTGTCTGCCTGCCATCTGCCCAAGTCGGGGATATGTTTGAAATCCAGACTGGTCACCAAGCATTGGGACTCTTTGCTTGGAATTGGGAATTTAAGAGGTGGCATCTTGCCCTATACTTGGAACCCTCAGAACTTTCATACCTGGCACTACACAGGATTAAGAATGGACCCTTGACCCTAGGTCCATCTCTGGCCAGTCGGAAGTAGGAAGATATTACCTGGGGTGCTTTAGGAAATGTTTTCCTGATCCTTAGAAAGTGATATAAAGGGATAGTTCCCTTCTTCCTCTGAACTTTGCTGTAACTGATTTGATGGCTGGAACTGCTGGGGTCATTTGGTTACCATCATGAGGGTGAAGCCAACACACAAAAGGGAAGAAAGCAAAGGCCATAATAAGCGGAGCTGGAGCCCTGACATACCACACCGGTAGCCTGATCTACTGCTGGGTTGCTTACTATGTGAGAAAACAAATTTCCTGATTATATTTCTTTAAGCCACTTTGAGTTAAGTTGTCTGTGACTTATATTAATAAATAAAAGCATAGTAAGTCACACTCCTCAAATACACATGGACACATACATACACACACACACGCACACACAATCTATGTTCTCTAGATAGTCCTTGCTGTTGGAAATGCTATTCGTTAGTGAACCATCCCTTTCATTGGGGAATATTCTTTCTGCCATTTCTGGGAAATGTTCTTTTAAGTCTGTTTATTTTTGTTTTATTTTATTTTATTTTTTTGATTTCAATAATTTTTGGGAAACAGGTGGTTTCTGGTTGCATGGAAAAGATTTTTTGTGGTGATTTCTGAGATTTTGGTGCACCCATCACCTGCGCAGTGTACTGCACCCAATATGTAGCCTTTTATCCCTCACCTCCCCTCCCACCCTTCCCCCCAGGTCCCCAAAGTTCATTATATCATTCTTATGCCTTTGCATCCTCATTGCTTAGCTCCCACTTATAAGTGAGAAGATACAATATTTGGTTTTTCATTCCTAAGTTACTTCACTTAGAATAATGGCCTCCAGCTCCATCCAAGTTGCTGTGAATGCCATTATTTCATTCCTCTTTATGGCTGAGTCATATTCCATGGTGTATATATGCCACATTTTCCCTATCCACTCGTTGGTTGATGGGCACGTAGATTTGTTCCATATTTTTGCAATTTCAAATTGCGCTGCTACACACATGCATGTGCAAATGTCTTTTCCATATAATGTAAGTCTTTATTTTTTTAAAGTTTGTTTTAAATTTTGTTTGATAATATATTGAGTCCTTACCAAATGTTAGACACTCTAGGCTCTGAAGAGTATAGGTTAAGAGACACAATGAAAAGATGGAGCTGGTCTTTAATGATTTGGATTTTTTTTAAATGAGGGAGAAGAATTGGAGAGGCCACTGTCTTCTTGGACTCCCCTCATTTTCACCATGAGGCTCACTGCAGATGAATCAGCTCCACCAGGCAGAGAGGAAAGTACAGAAGTGCTCAGTGAAGAGGAAGAAGAAGATGGATTTGGCCCTGACACCCTAATTCATTTCTACCTGGAAGACATTTTTATTTTGCCTGCAGCAAGGAGAAAGTGATCCATTGCAACTGTGATTCAAGGGTACTGCCTTCCTGCCTTCCTCCTTTCTCTTCTGCTTTAGAAGAGAGAAAGGTTTGAAGAGACAAACTCATTCTCTAGAATGTAAAACCAGAGCTCAACAAGAGAAAAAAAAATCATTACAAATGTCAGATCAAGGTAGAATTAATTTGAATATCTGGGTTACCATAGAGACCAGGGCATGAATTGACCCCACTGACCCCTCAAGTTTTCCCGAAGATGATTTCTGGTTCAGAAGGTGGCACCAAAATCCCTGGAAATGATTGCTGGTTTAGGGGGGTATGAAGGAGCCAGAGTGGGAAGGCAGCTCAGGAAAGCTGTGAGATGTTCACTGGGTCAAACTGTGTAACTAACTGGTCTTACTGATTTTGAGAACAGGGCTCTATTCAATTCCGATTACATTTTATTCTTTATGATATGTTTGCGCATCTATTGTTTTACTTGAACTCTCAACAACTCTGCAAGATAGGTGATGTGGCTATTAATATTTCAATTTTATGAATAAATAAGTAGAGTTATAGGAAGTTTAAGAGCCTTATCAAAGGTATGAAATGATTATTCAAGAGACAGGACTAGACCCCTTATCTCCAAACATCAAATTCACTCATCTTTTCACTCTGTCATACTTCACTGCCATGGGATTACATGTAAAGGCACTACACCTGAAAAAACCAACAATGATAAACGGCCCCTTTGTCTCCATCCTAACCCCCTCCACTCACCTAATTCTATGTGGTTCTGGCAAGAAATTGGGGTGAGAATTTGAAGGGCCCTTAAGTGCCACATGACAAAAGCTGGGCTGTGGATGCTCACAATTGACAGAGGACACAGGTGAATTCATCAGTCATGTATTCAAGAGGCCTCTATGGTGCTCTTCTCTGCCCCCATTATGCACTCAGCACCTTTGGGAACACAAGAGAAGCACAGAGAACACACTCCCCCCGTGCTAAAGCAGCTCACACGCCTCTAGAAAGATGAGATAAGACTCGGGAAACAATTAGTGGGTGGTCCAAGATAAGAGATAATCAAGTCTTAGATTGTGTGATTAAAACATAAAGAACAATAGGAGTTCACAGAAGAAATAGATCACTGATGGATTCATGGAGAGGTGGGTCTAAGACAGAGATTTGAATGATGGTGGGAATCTGGCCAGGTGAGAAGTAGGAGGACAGCTCAGGTAGAAGGAACTATCAGTCACATTGTCTGTGACAGCAGAGTGAAGAAAAAAAAGCCCTGTGGTTTTACATTCAGATCCCAAACACACACACACACAGTCCAGATGTCACTTAACATTTATGAGTCCGTAAACTGGGATGACGGTCACTGCGTAGAAAATAGCGAGGGTTAAAAGAGATTATGTATGAGGTCAGCTCCTAGCATAATGCTCAGCACAAAGGAGATTCTTGGTACTTTTTGGCTAACCTGAGGAGAAAAGGAGCATGTCCCGCTACTGCCCAGTTCACAGTTTTTAACCATGAGACATATGCTGTCATGGATCTTTGAAAAGAAACAAATGTAGATATTTCTTAAGCATTGATCCTGGTTTAAAAGACACACACACACACACACACACACACACACACACACACACACACAGGGCCTGGCATTGCATGGTGGCTCATGCCTGTAATCCCAGCACTTTGGAAGGCCAAGGTGGGTGGATCACTTGAGGTCAGGAGTTCGAGACCAGCTGGCCAACATGGTGAAACCCCATCTCTACTAAAAATAACAAAAATTAGCCAGGCATGCTGTGGCAGGTACCTGTAATCCCAGCTACTCCAGACGCTGAAGCACGAGAATCGCTTGAACCAGTGAGGCAGAGGTTGCAGTGAGCCGAGATCACACCGCTGCACTCCAGCCTGGGCGACAGAGCAAGACTCCATCTCAAAAAAACAAAACAAAACAAAACAAAAAACACACAAAAATGCTTTAATAAGACAATTGATAATTTTTGACAATTGGATCTAAAATAGTCTATAAATCCTTTTTGGTGATGAGAGGGAAGTTATTGTTTATGGAAAGACTGGTGACTACAGTGCTACCTTTTACAAAGCCAAATTGAAAGGACCAGAGTGGCTGGTGCCAGAGGCACTGGAAATTTAAGAAGACGGGAATGGGGAGAATATATTTACTTCTCTATGCAGAAAGAAATACATTTTTGGACCCTGGGTTCACCTGTAGGAGTCAGGCTCCTAAAGGGGAACTGTGGAGGAAAATAATAACCCCCATAAGTTCTTAGTTGGAGTGGACCCCTGCTACAAAGACAGATTAACAAGAGAAAAACAAACAAGTGTATTAACACGTAGATATCATATGTAAGTGGCAGACACCCAGAGAAGGAGTAGTTCTCAAAGAGGTGGTTTGAATTCCAGCTTATATAACATCAGCAAATAAGAGAACATTTTTAGAGAAGTGACAAGATAAAGGAAAAAAAAAAGAATTTGAGTCTCTACAGGCAGCCACATGGAGGGAAGGGAAATAAATGAAAGGTGAAGGCTAGTTAGTCCCATTTGTTAATGTAGATTCCTCTGCTATTATTTCCAGGCTGATGAGGGTCTAAAGCTGTCTTCAGTGGCCAACCTTTGTTCTCCCTGGTAGAGTAGGGAGCAGGGCTGGATACGTTTTGTTTTTGTAAATATCTGCCCTGCTTTTAAGCAAATAGAGGGAGGGCAGAGAGCTTTCCTGCATCTGCTTCTTAATTGCCTTCAACTCTTCATATTTTGGTTGACATATACCGATCTCCCACAACAGTTTCCTCTAACAAAGGCAGCTGCTCAGATATTAAGGGAGATTCTGATGGACTTCAGGAGTCCTTTCACTGAGTGAGCTATGCAAGGCTGGGCCAGATGTGAACTGTTCAGGGCAGCCAAAAGGAGCCTTCCTGCTTCCACCAGCAATGCAGCAGCACTCTTCTCTGTCCTTTCATATACATTGTTCTTCTCTCTCCTAAACAAATCTTCAACAGATATTTTAAAATATTTATTTATTTATTTTATTTATTTTGAGACAAGTTCTCACTCTGTCACCCAGGCCGGAGTGCAGTGGTGCAATCTTGGCTCACTGCAACCTTCGCCACCCCGGTTCAAGCAATTCTGCCACCTCAGCCTCCTGAATAGCTGGGATTACAGGCGTGTGCCATCATGCCTGGCTAATTTTTTTTTTGTATTTTTAGTAGAGATGGGATTTCATCATGTTGGCCAGGCTGGTCTCAAACTCCTCACCTCAAGTGATCCGCCTGGCTCTGCCTACCAAAGTGCTGAGATTACAGGCATAAGCCACCACGCCTAGCCTCAAAATATTTATTTAAAGTAGACTACGTTGGTCTGCCCCACGTGGTTCAGGACCTGCCTTCTGATACATCTGGGGCATTGAATGACAGCAAAAATCTCCCTAAATCTCCTGTAAAAACAAAACTATGTCATAAGAATTGCTTGTTTTAATAATTTAAAGGCTATAGATACTAATATTAACAGTGCATAAAATTTCCAAAGGATTTTATAGTAAAGCACAAATGAGAAAGATTTTCTCAACCCTGTTTGCTTGTTTTTCTCCCTTTAGCCAGCTCTCACTAACAAGAAATCTAAATTCTTGCAGTCCTCTTGAGCCAGAATCTTAACGCTCTTCTCAGGCCAGGAGGTGCTCTACAGACATTGTAGCTTGTAGAGTTGGATGTTATGGGCCAATATCTGAGGCTTACTTAGGAATTCCTAGGTTTAAAATGTCAAGGTTTCTATTTTAAAGAAAGACTTTCTCACAAACCCTTATTATATCCCACAAAACAATGTACGGCTGACTTTGAATTCCTTTCAACAATCCATTAAACACACATGCACATGCACACACACACACACACCCCTTATTAAACAGCCACGCCACAAGGATACCATCTTTACCCAAGCAGCTTACATGCTACAGGGACATTTCAATTAATTTATCTCTGTCTGCCGTGCTTACTCCCTTGTTGATGTCAGTAAACAGGGTGAACAAGCTGTCAAGTCATCTTTAAAAAATTAACTCTCAGCCTCTTGGGTTTGTTTAAGGCATTTAGGAAAACATCCTCCTTTCATACGGCCCTGCTTCCTCATCTTGTCTTCTGGAATCAGGAAGAAAGGTGAGAAGATGGGCAACAAGAGCAAAAACTCCGTCTCAAAAAAAAAAAAAAAAAAAAGAAAGAAAGAAAGGTGAGAAGATAAGTGTTTGGAGGAAATAATGGGGTGTTGGATGCTAAGCTTGGTTCCTGCAGGGTTTTCTAACCCCTAATTCTGAATACTTAAGTCAAAGGCTGTAAACAATGAAGGGCAGCACGCTGGGGAGAAGTCACTTCTTCCCATTCTAAATAGCTGGCTCCTCACTCCTCTTTCCTCTCCTCCAGCTGATGTGCTTTTCCCAAGCCCCTAGTGTATTCTTTTTCAAAAATGCACAGGCCAGCAGTCCTGAGCCTAGATTCATTTAGCGCCAAAAGCTGCAATCTCATTTCTCTATTGAAAAGATGAGTTTTAATGCTCTTTATTATTGAATTCAATGGCAATGTAACAACAGTCACGGAAATTTTGAAAAGAAGAAAACATCCGTAATCCCACCTCTCCAACACAGCAACATTCTCATGTTTGTCTCTCCCCTCTGGGATTTGTCTCCCTGCAGTCACCCGTTTAGAAATGTGCAGATCTAGGCATTTGCATCATTCTTTATTTCACTTATTGTTTTCCAGTCTCAGACTCTTCCTAGTAGGTTTCCCTGCCTCTCTCTGGGAGCCAGGGAAAGACATCAGTGTGCCTGGCCCCATTAACAGGATTGGCACACAGTCCAGGGGAGGGTGTTGAAGGCTGAATGACCCCAGCCTGCATTTGGGGTGACCCCAAAAAAGATATATTCATGTCTTAAAGCCTAGAACCTGTGAAGATGGCCTTATTTAAGAAAAGGGTCATTGCAGATGTAATTAAGTTAAGGATCTTTAAATGAGAACCTCCTGGATTAACAGGGCAGAACCTCAATCCAATGACTAGTGCCCTTGTTACCAGTGGTGAATCTGTACAGGTCTGCAGCAATCTCAATTCTTGCCTCCTCAGGAAGAATTTGACTGAGGGGCATAAAGCATAAGGAGAGACCAAGGCAAGTTTTAGAGCAGGAATGAAAGTTTATTAAAAAGCTTTACCCCGTCCCTACTAAAAAAATACAAAAAATTAGCTGGGTAGTGTTGGGCGCCTGTAGTCCCAGCTACCTGGGAGGCTGAGGCAGGAGAATGGCGTGAACCCGGGAGGCGGAGCTTGCCGAGATGCGCCACTGCACTCCAGCCTGGGTGACGGAGCGAGACTCCATCTCAAAAAAAAAAAAAAGCTTTAGAGCAGGAGAGAAAGGAAGGAAAGTATACTTGGAGGAGGGCCAAGTGGGCAACTTGAGAGATCAAATGCGCAGTTTGACATTTGACTTGGGGTTTTATACCTTGGCATACTTCTGGGATCTTGCATTCTTTCTCCCTTGATTCTTGGGGTGCGCTGTCCACATGTGCAGTGGCACTACCTGTACCCCCAGCCACCTGAGATCTGACCCACTTCGAGGGATTCTGCTAGTCTTCTTCCAGGGCTGAATCCCTGTTTCTGAGACCTTGACCATACACGAAAATCGTTTCCATGTTAATTGCCATTACTCCTGAACCAACAGAATCTCACCCTCAAGTTACACACTTATCTCTTTCCCATGGACCAGACACTCCTCACTGCTTCTATGCTATTGACTTGTGCCTGAACTCAGGATAAGATACGCCTTTTGGAGTATGTGCCACCTGTGTTGGTGATTTTGTAGAACAGAGGGAAGTAGCACTTGGGAGGGGCTGCATGTGCAGTGTGTTTACTAAAGCTGTACGCATGCTCACTTGATGAGTCATTCCCTTACCAGTTGAGAGTTCCTAGAGGAAAGTCACATGCCTATTAAACGCCACCATTTTGCCTCTTAGTGCTCACGTGTGAGCCCACTAGGTCAACTCTTAGAGAGCTTACTGGGAAGCTGCTGATCACCAGTTTCAGCTGTTTCTATCTATTGGGAGACTGCTGTTCCCTGGTGCCGGCCGCAACCAATTATTTTAGAGAGTTTGACAACCACCTGACCATCATCTAATGGTGGCCTGACATTCCTGGTTGGGGGTTGTTCTCCTGCACTACTCATGTCTGACTAGCTACCTATTGTAACACCCTTATAAGAAGCAAAAACAGGCTGGGCGCAGTGGCTCATGCCTATAATCCCAGGACTTTAGGAGGTCTAGGTGGGCAGATAACATGAGGCCAGGAGTTCAAGACCAGGCTGGACAACAGGCAAAACCTCGCCTCTACTAAAAATACAAAAATTAGCCAGGCGTAGTGGTGCATGCCTGTAATCCCAGCTACTCGGGTGGCTGAGGCTTGAATGAGAATCGCTTGAACCTGGGAGGAGGAGGCTGCAGTGAGCCGAGACTGTGCCACTGCACTCCAGCCTGGGTGACATAGTGAGACCCTATCTCAAAAAAAAAAAAAAGCAAAAACAGAAAAGACACAGAAAGAAGGGAAGAAGGCCACATGAAGATAGAGGCAGAGATTAGAGTGAAGTAGCCACAGAAACTCCTAGAGCCACCAGATGCTGCAAGAGGCAAAGAGGGATTCTTCCCAGATCCTCCAAGAGGGAGCCTGACCCTGCCGATACCTTGATTTCAGAAGTTCTGGCTCCAGAACTGCACAAGAATACATTTCTGTTGTTTTAGGTCACCAAGTTTGTCATTATTAGTTACAGCAGCCCTAGCAAACTAATACAGAAGGTAACAGTCTTTCACAGTTTCAGGGATGAGATTTCATAGCTGCTTTCTGAATCTACCCTACAGGGGAGCCTATCTTCCTCTCTGGCCCATTCTACCCGGGGATCATGGGCACCTGGAGTTTCCTCCCACACCTACAGCTCCCTGGTGTCTTGAAAGGGGGCACTGCCTGTACCCCCAGCCACCTGCGATCTGACCCACTTCTAGGGATTCTGTTAGTCTTCTTCCAGAGCTGAATTCCTGTTTTTGAGATCTTGACCACACACTAAAATCGTTTCCATGTTAATTGCCCTTAGACCTGAACTGACAGACTCTCTCCCCCAAGTTGCACACTTATCTCTTTCTTATGGACCAGACACTCATCACTGCTTCTGTGCTATTGACTTGTGCCTGAACTCAAGATAAGATCTGCCTTTTGGAGTAAGTGCCACCTGTGTTGGTGATTCTGCAGAACAAAGGGAAGTGGAAGGTGCTGCACCTGTCCTGCACCTGCTGTATGTATCTGATGCTCTCTGGGGGTCCTTTTTTCCCCTGCTGCTATAGATAATGTCTCTCTGAACCTTGTCTATTTAGGCAAACTTACACAAATTCTTATCCCCTATTTCATGACTTAATTCTTCATTTAGAAATTTTTTTAAAGTTTGGTGTATTATTGGGTTTCCCCTAGAGTTGTGTGCGGACTTTTCCTCTTTCATCTATTAGGGTTTAAGATGCTTTCCTTCTAAATTTGAACAAGCCACTTTATACCTAACCCAAGTGTCCTCAGTGCAGCATGACAGTTAACTTTAGGTGTCAACTTAACTGGGCTGAGGGATGCCCAGATAGCTGGCAAAACGTGATTTCTGGGTGTGTCTGTGAAGGGCTTTCTGGAAGAGATTAGAATTGGAATCAGTGGCCTGAGTGCAGAAGACCCATCCTCCACAGAGTGGGTGGGCATCACCCAATCCATTGAAAGTCTGAATAGAACAAAATAGAGGAAGAGCTAACTTGCTCTCTCAACTTGAACTGGGATATTCATTTTCTCCTGCCCTTAGACATCAGCACTCCTGGTTCTCAGGCCTTCAGATTCAGACCTGGACTTACACCATCAGCTCTCCTAGTTCCCAGGCATTTGGGTTTGAACTAGAACTACACCACTGGCTTTCCTGGGCCTCCAGCTTGCAGGAAGGGGACTTCCCAGCCTATACCAATACACTATGATTCAGTATCTCCGGAGCACACTAACTAACAAAAGAAGGCCTCCCTGCCCAGAGAAGGTTCAAGGACCCCGCCTCAAGGCACCAGCATCTCCACACCTGAGGTCGGGCCATGGCCTTGTGCTTCTCTCTGCTCCTGCTTCTGTAGCCTGCTCCATTCTGTATCTTGTAGCGCCAGTCAAACTCTGCCTTTCCACTGGGTTCCCACCAGGAATGCAACCACAACAAACTCATAAAGCTGGTCACTTTACCAAAGACTTCAGAGTCACCAATATGGTTCTGTCCTCTCAGCCCAACTGTGCCTCCTGCCATCACCCACATGATCGTCGTGTGGCCCCCTGGCATGCAGGCAGAACACCATGCTAAATCTCCAGCCCTGCAGATCCCCCTGGGGAAAGCTCCATCTAGCTGGTCCACCTTCCTCTGCACTCTGGAGCTCCGGGGAGTAACGTTTTCTCCATCTTATTCCGTATTTATTAAAGAGATGAACTATTTCAAACTGGTTAAACTCTAATCCTTGAGCAAAATCACATTCGCCATTAGAAGGAAGAAACAAGTATAAATCCAGGTAGCAGTCATCTGCAGAGCCCGGATGTCCTAGTGTAGCGTGGGTGAATTGTGTGTGCATGTGTGTGTGTGTGTGTGTGTGTGTGTGTGTGTGTGTGTGTAGGGAGGATCTTCTAAGGAGTGGAGGTAAATAGGAGTGCATATGAGCCTTGTCCCAACCCCGAAATAATCTCTTGAAAACAGGCAGCCCACAACAGCACATTGTAGCTATTCAAATGTCATCAAAATATGGTTTCACTCATATTTCAATGAAAGCAAACCCTCACTGAGTTAGGTGAGTTCAATAGTTCATTGCTTGTGCTTCTATTGTGGCATTTATTTCATTCCAGTTTGTTTATGACTTGGCTTTTAAATATTTATTTCACCCCTGAACTCTAAGTTCCTTGTATCTATACTGGGTTGAATAGCGTTCCCCCAAAATTTATGTCCATCTGAACAGGTGCAGACTTAATCAAGGTAAGATGAATGGGCCCTAAATCCAGTCGCTGGTGTCCTCATAAGAAGAGAGAGATTTGGAGACACAGAGAACACACAAACACAAAAAAACACACAGGGAGGAAGAATCATGTGAAGAGACACAGGAGAGAAGCCATGTGAAGACAGAGGCAGAGGCTGGAGTGATGCAGCTGCAAGGAAAAGAACACACGGGGGTGCCAGCAACCACCATGAGCTGGAAGAAGCAAGGAAGCATTCCTCCCAAGAGTCTTCAGGGGGGTATGGTCCCACTCACAGCTTGATTTTGGACTTCTAGCCTCCAGAACTGTGAGAAAATATATTTCTGTTGTTTTAGGCCAGCCAGTTTGTGGTCATTTGTTATCTAGGCAGCTGTAGGGAATTAATACAGTATCTATTCTGGTACCACAATGCAGAGCACAGTAATTTGCTTAATGTGGGCCCTGTCCAGCATCTAGAGAAAAAAAGCGTAAACTTTGTGCAAGGATATAGCAAATGGGCTAGGAGGATAGTGACGGTGGCTCCTATTTGTTGAGCCCGTTTTGCGCCAATCCTTATGACTCAGCTCAGGCAGGGTGACTCCTGCTTCACAAGGCAGGAAACTGAATCTAAATGATGGCCACCTGCCCAGGGTACCAGGCAGTGGAGATCAGACTCCAGGCCTGGGTCTGGCTGACACCTAAATCTGCAATCTTTCTTTCAAAAGATGTTCACATCTCATGAGGCGTTTTGTTCCACCAACCTGAGGTTGCTGAGATCACACTTCTGAGAAAACGAAGTGTCTGCAGAATCCATAGGAAAGGGAAGAAATTGGCATTTGCCCAACAGAGTGACATCCCATGATTCTAGGACCCTCTTTAGGCAGACTGAAGTAACTATCAACCTTTTTAGAAAAACTTCTTGCCTCTGAAACCACCTCTGATCCCCTGGGTGCTGCTAATGGAGTAACTTCTAGCTCACTCCTTTGCCAACTGGAAGACACACGTCTAAGAATTTTCAAAACAGAAGACTCTACATGGTTTCTTTACAGACATTGAAAGCCAGTAGCAATATGAATAATGTTGTTATAACTTGTCCACATCTGATAATATCAAGAGACTGCCACTAGAAACAGCCAGAGCACTGGTCAAGGTGCAATAATGACAAGCCCCTGCAAAGGAAATCAGTCACCAGAGGAGAGGGGAGGTGATGGTAGATGATTAGGAAATAAACATTTTAAATTACAGGAATAGAAGAGTAGAAGTATCATAGAAGTGTTATTAATCAAAAGGATAGATTTCTGCTTTATAGCTGAAATCTAACACTCACTGTGTATACACTTTTTATTGTAGAAAGTGACACAAGGCTAAATCATAATAATGTGAATCAATAACTAATTAGCATTTATAAATGCAGCTACTGGGAAACATATTTCAATTTCATAGCAAGGAAGCTGAAGAATCGATTAACAAAGCCAAAAGTGAAGCAAGCCCATGTTTGGCCAGGCTAAACGTAGAAGTGCAATTTGAGTCAAGGTTATGCTCCCAAAATGTACAAGTATAACCTGATGGCACTAGCTCAAGCCAAACCAATAATCAGACCCAGAGGGAAAGGATATACATGAGGTGCTCAGCTTCCCCCCAGAGTCACTGGGGAAATAGATCATCTGCTCCAGATATTTTTTTCTAGGATGGCCTAATGAAGATGAATAGAGAAAAGGAAATAGGCAAAGAGGGGAAAACAGGTACACTAAACAAAAATTGGTGCACACATGGCGCTTTGAAAGGTGCAAGGGTGCATGGTCTGGTGGAGTTGCAAGTCAATTCAAGAAGACAGATGGCTTCAACTTTGACACTCTTTCCTTCCTTCAGATTTGGCATGTGTTAGGAATAAGATTGAAATGAAGTCATTAAAATGAGCAAACAATTGAGTTTGCCATCATATGTGTTGGTTTCCTGACATGATTTTGTCACACCTCAACACACTTAGCTGTCACTGAGTGTTGACATGACCTGGTTCCATCTCCATTAGATGCAGCAGCCTCCTTATTCCCCGAGGCCCACCACAGAAATGAAATTGTCATCTGAGGCAAGAGCCAGGCATTGGGGGGAACAGGAAAAGAAAAAAGGGAAGAGTTCAAACACACACAAAAGGGTAAAAGGGATGAGTGAGAAGAAAAACAGAAGTAAAAAAGTAGCATGTGAAGAGGAAAGTAGGGTATTTTGCATCCTGCATTTTAGACCCTACAACTCAGCCTGGCAAGCCTTGAGCATGACTAGAAAAGTCTTTTCCATACCTCCTGGCATATCCACTTGCTACCATTGCCTCCTTCAAGGCATAGTCCAATTTATACTCACTTTTCATTAAGTCATAGATTCATTCCAGCAAAGCTCTAAAACATCTCTGACCTGCTATGATGCTAATGTACATAAAATTCACATTACAGGTAGGCTCCATTATTGAGGTCTTCTTTTTTTTTTTTTTTTTTTTTGAGACAGAGTCTCATTCTGTCGCCCGGGCTGGAGTGCAGTGGTGCAATCTCGGCTCTCTGCAATTTCTGCCCCCTGGGTTCAAGCAATTCTCCTGCCTCAGCCTCCCAAGTAGCTGGGATTATAGGCGCCTGCCACTACACCCAGCTAACGTTTTGTATTTTTAGTAGAGATGGGGTTTCACCATGTTGGCCAGGCTGGTCTGAAACTCCTGACCTCCTGATTCAGCCACCTCAGCATCCCAAAGTGCTGGGACTACAGGCGTTAGCCACCGCGCCCGGCCTGGGGTCTTCAATACAGGCTGTCCCTTGGCTTTGCAGGCCCTCTACCATGTTAGTTCTCCAGTTTGGCTGGTGCCACCATGTCTTACCTCACTAGATCCTGGGGTGTTTTTTTTTTTCATTCCTGGACCTTGGATTTTTAGTTCATCTTTGAGAGACTGCACATTCAGTTACCTCTAAGTTAAAAATGGTAACGGATATTCTATATCCACTTTCAAAGCTTTTTTCAACCCCACTTCCTATCCAGTCTGATATCATTTTCAGACTTTCTGTGGCTCCCAAGATGGGTTCCATAGCCTCCTCTCTGCTCCCACAGCCTGCGGTATGTCCACACCCTAGGGCTGACCACACACACCCTTGCTAGGCTGGCTCCCAACTAGAATGGAAACTCCTCAAGGGCAGGGAGAGTGCCATAGCATCCACATGCCTGGCACAGTGCCTAGCACATAGATGGTACTCAAGAAATAATATGGAACAAACAAATGGATGAATGTCATTCACCTTTGGAAATGACAGATTTGAAACTGTCCCTATAAACTTTATAACATTTATCAGGGAAGCAAAGAGGGGGGAAAACAAAAATAAAGCAAGCTTGCAACACACTCAGCATCCATCACTAGGTCAGCTTGCTCTCCGACCCCTTCCTCATAGCTATTTGCCTATTGTCTTAGAATCATGTAGACTCTAAGATTATAGTTCGCTTTAAATGCTCCATAGATAACAGCTTGAACATCACAAAATGTTAAGTTTTCCCTTTGAGACATTCTTTCAGGTCCTGCATATCAGCAAAACTACTGACACCAGCTGATCTGAAGAGGACCCCATGAGAAGCTCCCTCACCAAGGAATGCAGCTTCCACATCCTGAGGATTTCATCCCTCTTACCCCAGCCACTCAATGACCCCAATTTTCTAACCCCTCGCTCTCCCTAATCCCCTTAAAAACCTCAGCCCAGAACTCCTCGGGGGAGATGAATCTGAGTCTCCTTCCATCCTCTCACTTGGTGCCCTGAGATCATTAAACTCTTCCTCTGCCACAAATCTTGCTGTCTCAGTGTACTTGGACTGTTACTGTGCAGTGGGCATATGAACCTGTTAGTCCTATAACAGAATAGTATTATGAGAGCAACAGTAGCTAATGAGGCACTCTACATAATAAGACAGTGCCAATGGAGAGTGGAGAAACTCTCTGATTGCCTATCAAAATTATTTTTTCCTTAAACTAAGGCTCAGCAATTGGGACATGAAACACAGAAGTCATATTTTATACCAATTGACCTTAGACGTACTGACAGTTTTTAAATAGTAGGTCTATTTTGGCCAATGATTGAGTTCCACCATTGTAGCTCTGCTGTTTGAATTTTACAATTTCTTCTTTGTAACATCTGCTGTTTCTTCTCTCCTTCTATCCTGTCACAGCCATCTAAAAACATTTATCCATAAATGAAAAGTGCCTTAGATTATGGTGTACAGTGCCTTCCCAAGCTGCTTATTTTCTTATATCTCTCCCACATAAGTAACCAACCTGGGTCAGACAGCTTTCCTGTATAAATTTCCATGAGAACAAGAGTCCAGGACACTGTTAATTCTTCCTTACCACAGTAAGGTATAAAATGTCAGGTGTTCCTCCAGGTCAGTTATTCTTTTTTGTGTGCGTGCATTTTCTTACTATTTTTTTTATTATACTTTAAGTTCTAGGGTACGTGTGCACAACATGCACAGTTATTCTTTAAGACATTATGAACTTATACAAAGCACCATATTTTTCTCACAATATCAACATAATATAAATTTTGGCTTTTTTAAGTGAAGAAGACTCCATTTTCTATCTGGATATATCCTTGCATACAAATTCCTTGCAAATTATTTTTCAGATTCCAAGGATCATTAATTTAATTGAATCTGCTTCTAATTTTTAATTAAATCTGCATTTCTCCCAGTAACCTTTGGAAAGAGATAGAAGCCACATTACCATATTGAAAATAATAGGATCACAGAGCAAAAGAGACATGAAGGTGAAGTACAAAATCACAAGGCAGGTTTTCATATAAATTTATTTTTGTACCAAAAAATTAACATTCAAAGGCAATGTTTTTATTGTACAGTATAAGATAACATTTACTAAATTAAAATTGGACTTTTTTGCTGATAAACCACTAATAACTTTTCTATTTTGAAAAAACAAAAAAGGTACAATTTGCGGCACTTGTGGAAAAACACCTGTTCAACAATTATATAACTACTCTTGACAGATTTCAGTGGCCCATTATGTATCCTTTTTGGCAATGTCAGCTTTCTAAAGTCAATTAGTTTCTAAATTTGAAAGGCACCTGGTGGCCAACATCCTGCTTATTATTCAAGGCATCCATTTTAATTTTTTTGCACAGGCTTGACAAGTCTGAAAAAATCTATTAACTTAAAAAGAACGAAGAAATATACTGCATTTGATATTAGGAAACAACATTTTTTTCCCCTCCTTAGCTGCAAGTTTTCCCCAGGGAATTTACAAAGTGCACCAGTTAAATATGTCTGTACATTTAAAACATTAAATATGTCAACAGCAAGACATTTTTAAATATTTTGAATCAAATACTATAGCACAAATATAATTTACAATACTTTGCAAAGAAAACATTACATCTGAAATATAACTTTAGATATTATATAAAAATACATATATTTTCTCTCCTCATTAGAAAAAGTATTTTTTGCAGGTTCCAGCATGATGTAACAATTCAAAAGAATTTGCCCCTTCAGATGATCCTTCAATTGCGCTAGATGACACCCTCTCCACTTCAGCTGCGAAGGGGCACATGACCAGGGACCAACCCCTCCCATAGCCCACATGCAGTTTCTCATAAGGTCACCCCGTAATTGCTCCAATCTGGTTTAATTCTAGGAATTCATTACAAAATTTAAAAACCATTGTGTAACACACCATGAGTCTAACATCTCCCACTGGCTGTAAATACGCGTGTTCTCTACAAGGTCAAGAGCATGGATACTGAGTCGTGTACCGTTGGGGCCATGCCTCTTAGTAGTCTCACACACCTATATACATCTTTCTTGGCTTGTTTTAAAAAATGTTTCCAAACATCCAGGAAATACATAACACTCCAAAAACTGGGGCTCAATCTATATCTCGAACTTTAAAAGCCCCAAAGTATGTTGCATCCTGATCCGGATCCAGTAAGGAGGGGTTGGAGACCTCGATGCTGATTTCCTCTCCAGACCGTAACTTAAAAAATCCACCAACGTTTATGGAATAAAAATGGAATTCAGAATTCCCTGACCAATACTTGGTGCTTCCTCCTTTCATCAGGGTATGAGAACTTGGGATTTTGATGCTGGTTTTAGTGACGTACACCATTAGTTGAAGATACTCTGTAGCTAGGTCTCCTGAAGTTTCATGATGTCGAAAGCAAATGTTGGCATACAGGTAATAAAAGCCATCCTGATTAACTATTAGTTTTCCATTGCTAAAAGTCATGTTGGAGATCTTGGCCCAACCCCGATCATGGTACCAAGAGGACAGACTCACTTTATGGGAACCTGTGGAGAAGAGAGGCATAAGATTTGAAAGTCAGTCCTTAAATGAGAAGGACGTCTTCACAATTCTATGAGGTTAGGGAGAAAAAATAGTATAGCAGTCATTATTTCAAAGGGAGAATAACTTATTGGCATTTCTTTTCTAGAAGGGGAGAATACATTCAGATGTACTTGGTGCATTCTGTTAGGCACAGTAGAGGCTACGAAGACAAAAACTCATTTTTCCTGCCCTCAAGGCGTCTATAGTGCACCAGGGGTAAGTACGATATGTGTTCAGAGCAGAAGTAAGGCATGAGTAACAATAGGCAAGGTTCAGTAACTCCCATGGGAGCTCAAAGGACGGAGAGACAAGAACAACTTTCCACCCAGAAGGGTAAAGAATGCCTTTGTGGAGTTGCTGCTAAGCCTGAGAACTTAAGAGAAATGGGATTCAGCCACACAGACAGGAGCAGAAAGGTCATTCCAGGTTGAAGGAAGAGATAAGCCAAAGGCAACTGAGACAGGAAAGCAAGAAACTAGGATAGGAAGACAATTTCCACATGTCACAAGTCTCAACCTTCTCTTTTAACTCATGAAGAGGGAAAGTAGGAGATGAAAAACTGGGTCACAGTAACTTTGGCTGAAAGGTCAGACGTCTAAACTCAATTCTCATAATCTATTTTCTTCACCTCCAGTAGCCCAAGTGTCTCCCACCTTAGCTTGCACAACTGAAAAGCTAACTCCAGAGAAGCTCAAAAAGAACATATTCTTAGCATTGCACTCCCTAGCTTAACAACTTCACACAATCCTTCTGACCAAAGGTCTGTAAAGCTTCTCCTGACTGACCAGAATTCTCATTTAGCCCTACTCACCCCTGAAATGAGGTGACACCTGGTCCTCTTGCTACAGCTTCAGAGCAGTAAAAATTTCTAAAGAACCTTCTAAACCAGCAGTGTGTCCAATCCTTTTCATATTTCAGGTCCTTTGGTGTATTTTCCTGGGTCATTAAAAATTGGCAATACCTCTGTGATAAACCCAATTAATCAAAGATTTGTATTGATGTGGACACTATTGTTCAACTGGAAAAGCTGGTAACTAATGGTGGGAAAGTTGTAATACTGTGGAAAGTACAAAAATACATTTTTCTTCCAGAGGATTTTGTAAATACTTATACTAAACTAAGGTGGTCAGCAGTTTGAAATCAGCAAAACAAAGCAGAGTTGAGTCTCAGACTGGAGTTGAGAGAGTTCCTGCAGCCACAAGAAGTTCATTGCTGCCTGTCACACCCAACCACAACTTAGGTCAGGCCCTGAGATGCTGAGGGAGATAAATTAGCCCAGAGATGAAGACTTATAGTGGATTCCAGAGATCCATCAAAACTGACAGCTCTCTGATTAGAGTGAATCCTTATGAGAGCCTCATCGAGAAAGAAACACATGGCTGGGCACGGTGGCTCACGCCTGTAATCCCAGCACTTTGGGAGGCTGAGGTGGGTGGATCATGAGGTCGGGAGTTCGAGACCAGCCTGGTCAACATGGTGAAACCCCATCTCTACTAAAAATACAAAAAATTAGCTGGGCGCGGTGGCAGGCGCCCGTAATCCCAGCTACTCAGGAGACTGAGGCAGGAGAATTACTTGAATCCAGGAGGTGGAGGTTGCAGTGAGCCAAGATCGCGCTACGGCACTCCAGCCTGGGAGACAGAGCAAGACTCTGTCTCAAAAAACAAACAAACAAAACAAACAAAAAAAAGGAAACACACACTAGTTACCTTCCCAGCCTAGTCTGGTTTGGTGGGCCTTGAACATCTACATCCTTCTCTAGAGGCCCACAAGATAGAGAATGTTCTACAATTTTATCTCTAAAGAACTGGGAGCCTGGGATATGATCTGGGAGCCTCAAAACTAGGCTGTAGGAACCAAACAGGCAGTTCTTTCAACCACTTGGGAGAAAAACTGCAGCAAGGGCCATCCAACGGTGGGGCAACCCATCATGAGAAGACCAAGAATTCAATGGTTCCAATCCCTCTGTCCAGAAACAGGATATTTCCTGAACTCCACAACCTATCTGCAGCGGGGTCATCACAGGCCCTCTTGCCTCCTGGGCTCACCACAATAAACACCCTTCTTTTTCATCGGAGGTCTTATTTCAGGTCATCCCAGATTAAAGCACCCCAGATATAAATACCATCATCTGGCCCCAAGTGAGTGAGCATGATCATCACACCTTCATGAACACTAGTAAAAGCAATTCCTCTAATCCATTGACAAAATCCATGAAATTCAAGATGTTTCCCATCTCAAGTTATCCCATGCTGCCTTCATTCTTATCCCACTCTTGCAGTCAATTTGTTGTTCAATCAATGATTTTTCTTATAGTTATCTCTTAACAGAAGAGAAGTCTACCCTCTCAATGGGATGGATCAGCTGGCGTTAGAGCAAGATATGGCCTAGGAAGGCAAGGAAAGAATATGAAATAGAGAGGCAGGAGAAGAGAGGAACCTTGACCGATTACCATTCCCATTGTTAGGTAAGTCATGTGGAAGAAGTGCCCTTATTTCCTACTAAACATCTCTCTATTTTTGTGCATTGACTTACTCATACATTCACTGGTTCATGCTTTTGATCAGTCACACAATATCTACGTGGTGTTTTTAGGAACAGGCAGTCTGCCCGTAATTAAGAATTACATCAACCAACTGTGCCTTAATGGCACTCACCACTAATAGTAGAGAAAATAGAAAATGAGCATATAAAATATGCATTTTCACTTCTGCATGTTGCATAGCACATGGTTGACATTCAGTTACAAGCAACTGCCAAGAGACAGCTACAGAAATTCATGGCAAGCAGGAGAGCTCAGCTCAGGAAGGGGCAGAGAAGCCAGAGGACAGTGGGGCCTTGGGTCAGACTTGGATGGGCTGAGAAAAGGGAGGGTATTGTCAGTGAAGGAAACTGAGCAAAGAATGGAATATGCATGGCACGTATGGGGGAAAAGGAGGAGAGCCAGTCAGTGTGAAGAGAGGACTCAGAAGCAGATAATACCAGGTAAAAACATGAGAAAAATATGCAGTGATCACACAGCAGGCCTCACATGGAAACCTGGATTTTCATCACTGAGGCACACTGACAACCCCTGACTCCAGCCTGCCAGCTTTCCCAGCCTCCCCTGCCCTACACTTCAGTCCCTGCTGCTAAGTACCGCAGAAGAGGTCTCTGCAAATATTTAGCCTGAGTATCCTCCTAAAGAAAGCCATGTATTCTGACCTCACTAAATACTTCCCAACGCATTTCATCTAAGATATTTTGAAAATGCAAGTGGTATCAGTCCATATAAGGCAGATTCTGATTTTACTTGTGTAAGTAAGTATAAAACAGAGCCCCAAAATGAACATGCAAATTTAAAGCCACTTCCTCTGAAACCTCCAGTACTGGCCAAAACTGGGTAATAAATGGACTCAAGGAGTTGTGGGCCCAGCCAGAGCCACAAATTCTATTTTCTTAAACAGAAGTATACACTAACTCATCTCACTCAGTCACAAACTCAATAACTGTCAGAAAATAACCAGGAGTTTTGCCTTGTGTTTTTGGCAATGATTTGATGCTAGGTGCCTGCAGAGAGAGTTTTATAACTAAAACATGCTTGCTATTGCCAAACAGACTTTGGCAAACGGTCTAATGCAATATTTATCATATGCCATTTAAAGTGAACTGAAAAGATAAATGTAGGGAACATTAATAGCACACACAGCTGATGCATTAGTATTAATTTGACTGCCTTTGCTAACATGCAAAATAGTTTTCCACTCAGAGAAATTAATACAGATGCATCCATATTTATTTGATTGCCTTTGCTAACATGCAAAACAGTTTTCCACTCAGAGAAAATTAGTGTAGCTCCACCACAAGACATGCATAGACACACAGTGAGACAAATTATTTATGAAGCAAGTGTCTGGGACAGGAGAGGTCATTTGGAAAATCCTCTAAAAGCCAAAGAATTGGTTTCTCCCTTTCTGTGTCTTCGGTCAGGAAAAATTCCCCCTTGTCCATGCCGTAACAAAGTTTTCCAAATAACTTAGCAAAACTTGAACTTTCTTTCTTTAACTCCGAGAAAAACTTGCCTTAAATTATTTGTAGGAAAAAGGTGGAATATGTATAATTATTTAATTGAACTCAAAAATAACAAATCACACTCCCAAGTGCTTACTATGGCCGTTCTTCCACACAAGAATGTTAGCAGTCTACCTCATTTCATCTTCATAGCTACCCCTTGAGGCAGATGCTATCAACATCCCCATTTTAGACATGATGAAGCTGAAGCATATGTGATTGCAATAAATTGTACAAGGTCACAGAGCCAGGACAATGGAGCCTCAAACCCAGGCAGTCAGATTTTAGCACCCCTGTTATTAGACGTCACATGAATCTACTTCTCACAGGAAAAGAGAAACATAAGGGCTTTGAATTCTTTCCCTCTGGCCAAGCCAACTGACCACAAGTACCTTGTGGCCTGCTTATGTGATAATAGAGAGCATGGAAAGCACGGACTTAGCAATCAACGGGACGGGAATTCTACTTCTAATCCTATCATCATCATGACTGGGAACAAATGACAACCTATGTATCATTCAGTTTCCCTGTCTGCAAAATTTGCGTGATAATCCCTACCTTGCAGGATTGCAGTAAGGATGAGAGGTATTGAGGAAGGGGAAAACACCTGATTGACAGGTGGAAGAGTTCATCGGGTAGTCACAGACTCAGCCATCTCCAGTAGAGTGCCAGGGAGGACACCTGAAGATCCCCCTTTAAGATCTTCAAGTGTTCCATTAGTGGCATGATGATAACAAGAATGTTCAATTGTCACTGTATCATAAAGTTCTGTTATCTTTTTGATAGCTATCTAGCCCATGGTGAAGTAACCAGTGGGGGTTGTATGATGGAATAACTGGTGTATTACAGTAGCTGTAGGCAGAGAGCTCCGGGTTTCTTCATTTTCAAGATAATCAGGTCTCTAGTCCATCAAGCTAAGCATTTACTCAGAGAAAATGATAAGCCCTTGGAGAAGGGGGAGGAGATCTCATTTTCTAGAGGGTTACTGTCTCTTAAAGATCTTAACGGGGGTCTAAAGTGTCCTCCCTGGACCTCTGCAGGAGATAGCTGAGTATGTGACTACCTGATGAATTCATTCACCTCTGAGGTCAGCAGCAGGGCTGTGTCAACTTTAGCTTGGGAAAGTACAGATGAGCATAACAAAGGATTGTCCTTCCAGGTTACAGGCTTTCAGCTGGCAGTCATTTAAAATAAGCATCCATTCTGATGATCTGAAAATGAATAGGGTGATGATGTCCATTCTGACATTTTTGAGAATCACAGTTTCCAGGATGTGAATCATCACCTGAGGATGAATGGTCTTTCCTTTGGCTTTGAAGTAAGGGCTCTCAAAAATTCAGTGACAGACTAAAAATAGGTTTCAGTATTGAAATGGGCTGATAAATGACTCTTAAAATATTTTTCAGGCTGGATGCAGATAGAGCTTACCAGATGGGATGTCGGTGGCATTAATAGTGAGATGAGCAAAAGGCTGAGCTTCAAGCTTGCTCCTCTTGGCCAGATCTAACCATGAGCCATCCACCATCGCTGGAGATGAGAGAAACCATATTATTATAGCCAAAATAGTAGTGACCCTGTGGGATTTCATACAGATGTATGGATCCATGCTTACCTTTCTCTGCTCTGATGTGCTGTGATCCAACGATATGTTGTAATTCCTGAAATAAAAAGGAAAAATAATTTTATTTATAAAATCATTCTTTCTGTAAAGCAATAAGAATTCAGGGCTGTTACATATGCAACAAATTAACCCTCTTTTCCTTCCAAAGGTGCCATAGTAACATTGGCAGTGAAATTCCTATATGTATTAGGTGGCTATCAATGGAAGTTCCCCCAAAAGAATTGGTGTTGATGTGTTTGAGATCATACCCAACTTCAAACAAAATACTTTGGACGGTAAGAGGAAGTAAAAGACGATGTAGATTATAAACCATGGCGTAATTGAACATAATTAAAAATCTGTAGCAGGTACACAAATGGAGATGAAGTTAACTAGGAAAATAACAACTACACAGAATATATGACCCTCTTAAATCTTCTGGAAGGCTCTTTTCATGTCTATTTCATTAGTGAATTTCTGTTATAATACTAAAGCTCAGCCCACAGGAAAGAGAACGATGCTTAGCTCCCAGTGGTTAATTTTTTACTTTAAAGTTACAGTGTACTTAAAGCACTATATGGAAGTCTAAGAGCCTTTAGAGTACCAACAATTAACTTAAAATATGGCCACAAATAGAGGATTAGAAGCACAAGCCAGAAAAAAGAAAAAACATAAAGAGTATAGGTAATTGCATATCTCAATTTGAACCCTGAGAATAAAGGATGAAATAGGTAACCACATGCCCACCTGTATCCAGACATTAGCTGACACTAAAATGTCACATCTTAGGGCAAGAGTAAGGTGGAGGGGATGAAAGCTCAGGCTTTCACCTTGGTTCAAGTTCCTGCATAAACGGAGGATATTAACAGCACCCCATCACAGGGTGCTTGTGAAGACTAAAGGAGATAATGTGTGTAGGCACTTAGCAGAGTGCCTGGTAAATTTAGATGTCTATTATATACCCATCATCCCAGCACTTTGGGAGGCTGGCATGGGCGGATCACTTGAGGTCAGGAGTTCAAGATCAGCTGGGCCAACACAGTGGAACCCCGTATCTACTAAAAATACAAAAATTAGCCAGGTGTGGTTGTGGGTACCTATAATCCCAGCTACTCAAGAGGCTGAGGCAGGCGAATCGCTTGAACCGGGAGGTTGCGGGGGAGGTTGTAGTGAGCTGAGATCGCACCACTGTAATCCAGCCTGGGTGACAGAGTTAGACTCCATCTCAAAACAAAAACAAAAACAAAAAACAAAAGAGATATCTATTATAAGGATACTGAAAAAAAACCACTCTGGAGAGATTCCTAATTTCCCCTGTTACTGGAATAACTATTCATGCTAACCATTCTCCCCACGGTGTTTGAAAGATAGGCCATGCAGCTTAAGTTCTTTAAGTGTCTAGAGAGGAGGGCTTTGAGATAGACAGATAGATAGATAGATAGATAGATAGATAGATAGATGATAGATAGATAGATAGATAGATAGATAGATAGATAGATAGATAGAGGCAATAACATAATTTCAACTGTTATTAGCTGGAAGGATTCTGGAGATAACATTTATTCTTCTTTCTGCTTCCAAACTTCTGAGAGAGAGATAAGAATCTACGTTGTTTTTAATGACCGTTGGAGGAGATAGCACAGCTGTCTTCACTGACCTGTTCTGAAGTTCTAGTCACAGTGCGGCTGACTCTTAGAAAGAAACCCTAGGACTCACTCAAAGCCACTTTCTGCTGTTGCCTAGACCCAGGGCACTACACTGCACAGCTCTGGGAGTGCCGTGTGCAGGGCGGGTATTTAGGCACATGGTAGCCCCTTTTGGGTTGAGTGGCCCTTCCCAGGCCTCGTTTTCTTCCCCACTCATGTCAACCTCCAGTCTTCCAAGATTTCCTCAAGACCTCCGGGTTCTCAATGGTGCCTAATTTCTGGAATTTCCTAGTTTTGTCTCCCCTGCCTTCACAACAGACTTATAGATAACACAGTGCATCTTTTTCTTTCTTTCTTTCTGCAGGTTTTTATTTTCTCCCTTAAGGCTATAGGAAAATTTCATTATTAAGCTGCTCATGGCGCTCTACTACCTGCTGCAAATGTGAGTGTAACTGTGCGGTCTTTCTCACATCAGCAGTTTCCCAGCCATTGGGCCCCTTATCCTTCAAATGCTACTGCTTGTTTAGTTGGCTTTTGGGCATTTTTCTTGCTGCAGCAGGTGCCAAGTGCTGCGGAAGTGTGGGAGTGTGTGGAGGGGTCTGACATGTAACAGGGACATGCCTTGATAGCAGTTTCTTATTTCCCAGTTCTTGTCAGGCAGGTGGATGGGTGGCCTTAGGGAATAGACCTTCCTCTGTTCATCTCTTCTTCACTTTGGTGCCAGCAAAGCTGGATATGCAGCATATCTCTAAACATTGTGTATATCTTTATATGGTTATATATACACAGTATATCTTTACTTGATTACTGGCTCTTAAAAGATTGGAAGAGGAACCTTGGTGACAGAGTAATTCTGAGATTGAACGCTACCCCTCATTTTCCCTCTAGCTCTGATCTGCCTTTCCATCAGAGGAGAGATGGGGAAGGGGAGAAGGAAGCAGAACTAAGTCTAGCATATACCTACAAATGCCTGTTTTGTGATTTTCTATACAAACACACTTATAATCAAGAAAGCCAGGCCAGGCATGATGGCTCATGCTTGTAATCCTAGTACTTTAAGAGGTCAAGGTGGGAGGATCACTTGAGCCTAGGAGTTTGAGACCAGCTTGGGCAACATAAGGAGACCTCATCTCTATAAAAATTAATTTTTTAAAATTAGCTGGGTGTGGCGACATCCACCTGTGCTCTTCAGGAGGCTGAGGCAGGAGGATTGCTTGAGCCCAGGAGGTAGAGGCTGAAGTGAGCTGTGACGTGCCACTGCACTCCAGCCTAGGTGACAGAGCAAGACCCCGTCTAAAAAAAAGAAAAGAAAAGAAAGAAAAAGAAAAACAAGAAAAGTGCCTTTGTCCTAGCTCAGTGGTCCTCAAACTTGAGCATGTATGCATTGCACCACCACCTCCTGGAGGGCGTGTTAAAACAGGCTGCTGGGACCAGCCCCAGAGTTTCTGATCCAGTAGATTTGGGGTGGGGCCTGAGAATTTGCATTCAGCACCAGTGAGCTGGTGTTGCTGGCCTGGGGCCTCATCTGAGAATGACAATCCCTTTCACATCCTCAAAGATTCACAGAGGCACAGACTGGAGATTTTCTGGGAGCTTGATATCCAGGCCAAAGAAGCAGCAGACTCAAGCCACCGATGCAACGGACAGGGAAAGTTTGTCCTCTTCTACCCGGGAATGAACTATGAACTTTTCTTTCCCATTTAATCAGAAACTTCTAGGTCAGAGTTGCTACGGACCCATTTTGTTTCAGGAAAATTCAGTAACCAGCAGCACCTCTCAGATGCACTTTCAATGTCTGCTTTAAAAAAAAAAAAAAAAAAAAAGAACAAAAGGCTTCATGACCCAGGATGAATTAAAACTCTAGCTAGAGACCCAAGAGGTAATGCTGCTCTCATTTTATACCTTTTGGGTGTTGAAGGATTGCAATTCCCCTCAGAAACCTTATAGGTAAGTTTCAGAGTCAAAAAGAGAGCGCATGACTGTCTATAACCTCAAGGTACAAAGAAAGTATTCCCAATATCTGTATCTGCACCCCAGCTTTTTGAGCTCTAAAACCATTGTTATTTATGTGCACAGATATCAATCATAAAAATAACATTCTTCTAAGACTAGACTTTTAGGGTGTCTTCTGGCCTTGAGATTGTAACTGAAGTTTTGTAGGCAGTACTTGATGCATTCCAGTGAGGGACCTGGCTGCGCAGCAGAGACACCTAGGCAGTTTAGAAGATACCCATACCCTGACCCCAACCTCAGCCAGGATAATGAACCCAATTAGTCTGATAGTGACTGGGTAGTTTTTTAAAGATGCTCCCAGATGATAAGAATATGTAGCAGGTATTGAGAAGCATTGTTACTAATTAAGTGTTCCCATGAATAGTTGTTTGGTGACATCTCAATTTAGTTAAGGGTTTACTATAGTCTCATGACTTGCATATATATTCCACGTATTGAAAATTTAATAACCTCTTACATTTGTAGACAGCAAAGTATTTTCCCTGTTACCATATTTGACTTTTGTTAGAATCAGAGCCTGGAAAACTATAACTACTACTAACCTCATTTTTCAGACTGAGAAATGGAGGCAGAGAGAGAATAAGGCTTCACCTAATAAAGCTGAGACTTGAACTTTGGTCTCTGGATCTGTATGCCCATATCCTTTTACAAGCCATCGTCATAAAATACACTCCTGAAAGCTGGGACAAAATACCACTAGCCCACCCAGGAATCCCTAGCGTGACTCCCTCCCTGAAGCAGTAACTCTGAAAAGGTGGCTCACCTTGACTGGCATCTGGCTGCTGGGGATCCTGGGATCTGACAAAAAGGAGCCGGGACATCAGAAAATATGATCTCAGAATTCCCAGGGGCTTCAGAAAACAACTGGCTGAGAACTGGCCAACCCATGTTTATGGCTTGGCTGATGAACCCCCAAGACTAAGACCTGCAGGACATGGATAAGGGACATTGCATCTCCAAACATGACCCTATCGAGTCCACTCCACAAAGCTGGAGCCATTCCATGTTGCCATCTTCTCAAAGATCAGAGACCTTGCTATGCACATGCCAAACACAGACCTTTTGATAGCCCCCTAATATTTTTCATTTTCAGGATTATAGGAGTCCTTCTGAAGACGAACCCAAACTTCACCCCAATTGACAATTCCATTTATTTTCTAAGCTTTGCATTTACATTTCTTTTCATCCACATTAGTCCTCTACATCTGTCAGATTAATTAGAGTGTTTTAAAATTTCTATAGTTCTTTATTCCAAAATCTTATCATTCAGACGGCACTGCCGGTTTCTTTGAATTCAGAAAGTTCTGATAATCTAATTTTGGGAAAATACTACAAAAGAATATCCCGACTCCTTTCTTCTGAACAAATTATTCACATGAAAGAGATCTTTTAAAAAATGTATGTACATTTTATCTTATTTTAAGCCAGCTGTAAATTAACAAAAACCAGTTAGTTAACACTCTGAATAAACATCCAACACAACCACATGTTACCTACGCCATCAGAATGCCTGTAGATTTGCGTAGAGAAGTGCAGGTAACTTCAACAAACCTCTCAGCGAACAGCCTGGAGCAGAAGCCAGAAACAGTTACCAGGCTGAGGAAGCTGGGCAAAGGACGCCCCTATTTTCTTCTCTTGGCTAATGAGCACCCATGTCCAGCTTCCCAGGAGGATTTGTGATCTACCTTCTCAGGATACGGCATATTCATCATCTGTTACACGCTAGGATCATTAATAATAAGTTACCAAGAAAATTCACATGAATGAATAAACTCATTTATGGTCACGCTGTAACAAGTAGGCCTTGCAATGAATTTATGCATTTTTAGATAAGTGCAATTTTAGATAAGTAAATTATGATAGCTTCATTTAACCCTTCAAAACAAGACAAAAAAAGGAAACCGAACTACCAAAGAGAGCAACCAAAGAAATCTCTGCCCATTCAAGGATAAAAGAAACCTTCTGAGATACTGCCACCTAGTGGACGCTGTCCAACATTGACAATCCTGACAACGCCGCAGTCAGCCTTTGCAGATTTGAAACCCCAACGTCTAAAAACAATAGAGATGAGGATATTTCACAATATTTTTTTAAAATCTTCTCATTGTGGTATTTTTCTATTTAGACTGCATTAACTTTTCATCTTTGCTGTCAGAGTACATTTAAACAGACAGGAAAACAACCAATGTGATTTTTTTTTTTAAATTTCAACTTCTATTTAACTCATAAAAAAATGCTGGGATTACACAATTTCTTCTGCAGGAAACAAAGTACACAAAAGATCAATGTGATTGTGTAACTGTGGTCTCTAGTACTGCCTCTCCTGAACTCAACATCCAAGAAGTGCAATTCCCAGGAGCCTGGCTGTGCAGACTTTGTCTCTGGTCCATTGAGACCAGCTTCCTTCAGATCTTTTAAACATCTTTTCAAACGTTTTAGGATATTTGCCAAACTTAAGGAGGAGGGAGATGTCTCAGAGCTGGCTCAATCTCAGTAAACTAGGGCCACTCAGGAGAGATGGTACTGTGTAAGAATAAGTATAAACACTTAGGAGTATTTTCAACTCCTTTAAGTAGTTATGGGAATTTTGCTTCAGGCAATTTAAACATTTACAGCAAAGGATACGCCCCTCTTTGTAAATTCAGCTGAATAACTGCCCCAAACAAGACTTTGATAACATTCCAATTCAGGAGAGAATGTTATTAAGTTGTTTTTAAGATTGTTTTACTACAGTGTTTTTTTTTTCAACTTACAAAGTAATATAAATAGGCCTGGTGCAGTGGCTCACACCTGTAATCCCAGCACTTTCGGAGGCTGAGGCAAGTGGATCAACCTCAGGCCAGGAGTTCAAGACCAGCCTGGCCAATACAGCAAAACCTCGTCTCTACTAAAAATATTTTCAAAATTATCTGGGCATGGTGGCAGTTGCCAGTAATCCCAGGTACTCGGGAGGCTAAGGCACGAGATCGCTTGAGCCCGGGAGGCAGAGGTTACAGTGAGCCGAGATCACACCACTGCACTCCAGCCTGGGCAACAGAATGAGACTCCATCTCAAAAAAAATAAATTAATAATAATAATAATAAATAGATTTCAGCTCCAACTGAGAACATTCTCAGCTGCAAAGATATTCTGAAAAGGTCAAGTTGCTGGAGTCTGGGCTTATCAGACTGAAAATCTCACCTGTGCATTGTGATGTGAATTGTGTGATCCATGTGGTACCTGTCAATCAGAGCACAGAAGAAGGAATTTGTACAGCCAGATGCTTTGGAAATCACTGGCACCAGCTTATAGCTGGGGTCTCAGGTGGCTGCCTCCCTCTGCAATACCAGCAGCAGCTGCAGAGACATCTGGCTGGTTGAACAAGGATTTAACACCCCGTTTGCCAGATATAATACAGGGTTCATACACTTGTTAACATATGTAATGCATTCATTTTAACATCTTAATGATACCCTTCATGTAATTCTTCTCCAACCTAGTTACAAGAATAGTGCATTCATCAGCCGAGTTAGCACATGAATGCCACACATGGGTTATTTCTGAAAATGAATAGCCAGTTTCCAATTCCTGCAGAGAAGTCCTGCAGATTTCCACCTTGTAAATAGCTGGGAAATCCATTCCCTCCTCTCCAACCTGGGTACCACTGCCTTCCTTCAAGTTTTCATCATTTCTCATTAGGACTAGCATAATAGCTTCCTACCTCCTCTTCCTGTCTCCTGCCCTCCTCAAAGTGATCCACTGAGGTTAGAGTGCATCCTAAAGTACATGTCCCTTCTTAAAATCCTCTGGGGGCTGCTTCCAGACTTCAGGTTCAAGTCCACGTTCCTTACCAGGGCTTAGAAGGCCCTGCATAACTGGGCCTGTGTAATATTGTAATATAATAAGAAATATGCAATTCGTCTTCATCCCAGGTTCCTAGCACTGAGCTCCTAAAGCCTTTGGAATTTCCCGCATGACAGGTGTCACAGAAGCATCCTTTGTTATTCAAAATCAGCCCCTTCCAACCTTACCTGAGTTTATGCTAATGATGTGACCCTTGGAGAATGGGATCTGGTTTCCAGAGGGACCGGTCATGTGATTAGAAGATTGGATCTTTCAGTCCCAGCCTGTATTAGTCTGTTTTCACACTGCTATAAAGAACTGGCCAAGACTGGGTAATTTATAAATGAAAGAGGTTTAATTGGCTTACGGTTCCGCATGGCTGGGGAAGCCTCAGGAAACCTACAGTCTTGGTGGAAGGCAAAGGAGAAGCAGGCACCTTCATCACAGGGTGGCAGGACGGAGTGAGTGCAAGCAGGGGAAATGCCAGATGCTTATAAAACCATCAGATCTCATGAGATTCACTACCATGAGAACAGCATGGGGGAACCACCCCCCATGATCCAATTACCTCTACCTGGTCCCACCCTTGACACTTGGGGATTATGGGAATTACAATTGGAGGTAAGATTTGGGTGGAGACACAGAGCCAAACCATATCACACCCCTTGACTTCCTGACCTCCCGGTTGACATCAACCACCAATGGCCAATGATTTAATAAACTATGTCTATGTAATGAAGCCTCCATAAAAACTCTCAACAGTGGGCTTGAGCCAGGGTAACCACTGCCTTCCTAGCAGGTGAACATGCCAGGTGCTGAGGGAGTGGCATGCCCTGAGAGGCAAGGAGGCTCCACGACCCTCTCCATCCCCATACCTGGCCCTAAGCATCTCTTCCATTGGGTGGATCCTGATTGTATCCTTTATAATAAGCTGGTCATAGTAAGTCAAGTGCTTTCCTGAGTTCTGTGAGCCATTCAAGAATATTACCGAACCTGAGTAGGAGGTCATGGGAACCCCCGATTTGTAGCTGGTTGGTCAGAAATACAGGCAACAACCTAGCACTTGTGAATGGCATCTGAAGTGGGACAGTCTTGTGGGGCTGAGCCTTTAACCTGTTGGGGCTGTGTTACCTCCCAATAGTTAGTATCATAATTGAATTGCAGAACATCCAATTAGTGCCTGAAGAGTTGGAGAACTGCTTTGTGTGAGGGCAAACGCCACATATTTGGTGTCAGACAGGTTATGAGAGTACAGAGAAAAACATTAGTTTTTCACTTAGTCTGGTTACCACTCCGAAATCCCCTAATATTCTTCCCCTGTACTCCCAAACCTCATCACCTGGAAGGAGGCTCTGGGATGCCATAGGTTCCAGCCTCATGAAATTACTCTTAGTTCCACCTGCAAGAACTCTGCCCTCCTGTACATGCAGACTTTTGCACACACTGCTCCCTTGGAAAGCTGCCTTAGCCAGTGTTTCATCAATAGCTCATCCTTAATTGCAACGCTCTTATTTCCACGGCATTCTTGGCTAACAAGGCACAGAAAGAGTGGCCACTGGGTGTTGTGCAATAGCTAATGAGATAGGCTTTAGTATCGCTGCCCCAGCCTCTCGCTTTCCTCCCTCCCCTAAAGCTCACACTGACCTTGCAATCCACAGGATGTGGGGGAACACATATATGCACCTGGATGGAGCTGGTGACCCCTGGTTCCTTATGAAGAGCCCATAGTGCAAAAACACCCAAAGCAAAGAACTTTAAGAGCAGGATTCATTGAGTTCTCTGTTGCCTGAATACATGTTATAAAAGATCATGGTGGATTGCCCTTCTCAGCCTAGGTTCCGTAGAGCAGAGCCCTATAAGACACCAGGAAGGGAGAGGACAGGAGCACTGGGGGAGGTGAGAGGGCAGGTCCTCACCCTCCCCAGAGGAGAGGGGAAAAATCATGAGGTGGGCAAGGGGTCCAGTGGCCCAGCAGGCAGATAGGAGGAGCGAAGGTAGGTAGGGTATAGACCCCACTCATCCCGAAGGTAAAAGCCATCCTCACCTTAAATTTGTAACTTAACATTCTGATCCCTATAATTCTTTATTTTTAATATAAAAGTACTGACTAATCAAATTCTCCCAAAGCCAAACTCTTGTCAACATGAATTCTACACACTCCGCACCACCACTACCACTGCACTCAGCCTCCTAATTGCTCCAGCTCCTACTGAATCAGCGGCCACCATCCCATGCCCATCAGTGAAAATTCTCAGTGAAAAACTTTACCAAGATGTGAGTTGGCCTCCTCCCCAAACCCCAAATACAGTCACTGGTGGATCATTTCTTCCAAAAGAAGTCTGCTAATTGGAAGAGACTCGTTTTTGCAAACAGTTCATGTCCTCTACCTACCAAAGAGCTAAAGAATAGCATGTCCTTGTTTTCATAAAGCAGACTGATGCTTTTCCTGGGAGTGCGATGGGTATGCTGGGAATAGAAAATTAGTTTTTATTGTTTAACCTTCATGGTTTAAATGAGAAAGCTTCTGCTACAGATAAAGGTCCCCTTGGGTTTTCATAAAGTAGTCTTATGACAGCAATGTTAGTCTTCATAAAGAGCCCGATTTTCAAATGTCTTATACTATACTACTGGTTTAAAAAGTGTCATCTAAAAGTTTGGCAGAGTAACTGCAGTGTGGCATCTTGGGCTAATTGTGCTATTTACCATGTCTCTGTTTTCCTCTGCCACTTGAAAAATAATGCCACCTTCCATTGGCAGTGCTTTCTACATTGACAAATCCTCATCTCTTCTGGAAAAGACTTTGCTCTCACAGACTTCTCCCTAAGAATGAGACGCAAAGGGGGTCAGAGATACCAGGCCAGCTGCTTTAGATCCATGAGGCCAGGAAGAAAAGGGCCAAGGCTACCAGTGAAGGAGCACCCCCAACCCCAAGGTCCCTAACGTGTTCACGCTCCAAAGAGGAAAAGAGCTCTCCTCTCAAAGAAGCAGGAAAACACTGAGCTTGCGAGTGACCTCCAGCCCCTTAAGAATCCTATGGATTGATCACATGGCTGGCTAGCTTCTGGCAATATTAAACAACTCGCCACCTGAGCACACCAAGTGTGCACACATAGGGCACAGGTCACTCACATATTCATTAAACTTGTTCTTTAAACTTTCACTGAGCACCAACTATGTGCTTGCCACTGGGGCTGGAAATGTAGAAAGGAAACATCCCACAGACCCTGTCCTTGGGAAGCTCACATTCAAGTGAGCCAGTTCACCCCAGGTCCGTGTGGTTACTGCTGTTACAAGAAGCCCCGTGTGGGCCCAGGAGGGGCACCTACCCCCACAGGTGGGTGGGCGGGCATCTGTGGGCTCCTCCTCCAGGAAGTAATGCCTGAGTTGGATTTTAAAAGACAATTAGAAAACCGACTACACAAAGAAGGGCATGGAGTGGCATACAAAGGACTATGCACAAAGACTCATCATTCATTCATCCATTCATCCATTCATCCATTCAACAAAGTTTACCGATGGAGGCTAGGAGTCAGGAGTCCTGTGGGTTTCTGAGGACACTGTTCGCAGGACAGACATGCCCTTTGCCCTCTCTGCACTTGCTGATTACTGCAGAGAGGCAGAGAGGCGAAAGGGTATGGCCAGGTCGGGAGAGTTCAGCACCATACTGTGGTGAGGCCGTGGAGTACAAGTTGCGATGGAGGCGATGACATGGAGCATTCAAGGTAACAAGCCTGAAGAGGCAGGGGCTGGAACGAGGCTTTCCAGAATACAGAGGACTTTTTGTTACATGTTCAGCAGCTCAGACTTCATCCTGACAACCACAGCGATCTACTGAAGGATGCTTTAAGCAGGAAAAGAAATGACCTGTTCAGATGTGCATTTTCGAAGTCCCTCAGCTATGGGAAGGATGGGCCAGTGGCAGTGAGGCCAGGAGGGGGTGGCCAGATGCAAGGATGCAGGCAAGAGAGGATGATGACCTCTGTTCATGTGACCACACAGTGAGCAGAGTAGAGACAATACTTGAAGGTTTTGTAAGGCGGTAGAATTCACAGGATGGGGGAGAGGTGAAGAGTGGGTGAATAAAAGGATAAGACCATCTTCTGACTTCCAGTTTGGGGTGGTGGAGATAATGGTATTGTCATTCACCATGAAAAACTAGATCAAATGAGAAGCAGCCACAGGCACTGAAGAGAAGAGTTCTGAGTGCTTTCAAACTTTTTGATGAATATGAGCCTTAGGGTTTATCATTATGATGATTATTTTTACTGGTACCACCACCACCACCGCCGCCGCTACCTAGTGTTCTTGAAGGGCAAAGACTGAGGACAGGAGTAGCAGCCTAGTGATGCAGAAGCTAAGTGAGAATGGAACTCCCCAACACCCTGAACTTCCAAAAGTTTGAGCAAGCATTTGTTGTCTGGTCATCTCAGAAACAGACAGCTCTTGACAATTTCCGGGACCCACCTCTTTCATACCACACAGGCTTCACACTCCTTCTCAAATATAGTCACTTCATTCACCATGGCTTCCCTGTCCACCAGTGGCTCTCACCTCTTCCTAGGATGCTTTGAAGAAATCACAGAGTCCACCCCTGAACTGCCAAATCAGAGTCCCCACTGATAGATCTGGAGGACTTTTCTCTTCTCTTTTTAAAACAAGGGCCCCAACTGAGTCTTAAGATCCAGGAGGTTTGGAAACACTGCTCTAAGGCACATCCCGCTCTTCAATTACACAGGCTGTACCTCTCCTGCCGCTGCTGGTAGAACAATCCAATCTATCCCTTGCTGTCATGCTCTCCAACCAAGGACCCTCAGTTTCATCCACTTCTGGAAGGTTAGCCCAAGATCCCAGGCCACATAATGAAGGCTCCTCTTTCAAGCATGTCCTTCCAGCTCTCTGTTTCTTTAAAGATGTCATGCAGAATATCTTTTCTTCCATCCTGGGGTACTTGTAACACAAAGAAAAGCCCACCTCTGACATAACTCACCGGTTATTTTCCTCTTGCAAACCCTCCTGCTTCCTACCTTCTTCCCTGGGTCTCCCCTGAAATTGAGTACAAGCCAATAACTTATTGTTGAGCTAAAGCCAATAGATGGCCTTGGTTTTGTAGGAAAACTCTGTGGGTCTTACTTCAGCTTTCCCATAAAGACAGCTTTTATAAACGCTAAATGTGATTGGGGTTGAATTGCAGTTTCCAAAACTATTATGGCAAACAGAGATGAAATCCTATTGGAAAACCACTACATGACTAACATCGTGACTTGGGAACATGAGTGCTCCAAAAACCAAGTACCCTTGTGGGTTTATGAGAAACTTTCTTCGGACACATACTCTTGTATACAAAGGGAAAGAGGCAATGAATGGGGTTTAATCCCTCCTCTCCTTTTTTTAACTAATAGGCAAATGAGAAATAGTGGCATATAACAACTTCAATGATTACAGTTTCACAAGCAGTTACAATCTATTTAAATTTCATTGATTTCTTATTTACATTAGTTCAAAAATAGGAATGAGCTCCTTATAATAATGGAGATTGCAATCCAAGGGGATCTGTTTCCCATATGTAGAAAACACAATCACTTAATCTGGTGAACTTTCTAGTTTTTAATTAATGCTCTTTTTAATCTACAAAACCTAGCAAAAGCGGTGCAGGTGACAATCAAGGTTTATTCCACAATCACAGATGCAATCTCTAAACAGACCTTTGAAACTTCCTCAAAAAGATGAATGCTGTTGAATCTACTTTCAAATTTCTCTCACTCTCTTGCAATCTAAATAATCCCAAAGTATTTTGACCTTTTGAAAATACAATCTTGACCATTAAAATTTTTAATAGACTTATGTGTTCTCAGAGTTAACTCTTGCTTATATATGGTGAGTCCTCCTTCCTACCTAAATGGGGTTTAGTGAATGTCAGAGACTGCTCATTGTCCCCTCATCTCCTTCCACTCCTTTTTGCCTATTAGTTATAGGCAACTCCCTTCCTCAAGCTTTGTGGACAAATGGCTGCTCAGCTAGAGACTACCTTGTCCAGTCTCCCTTGCAGCAAGATGTGGTTTATGAGTAACTTCCAGCCGATATGATGCTACTGGAAGTGATGTCTCCACTTCCAGGTACTGTCTTCAGTTTTCTTTTACCCTTCCCCTATCTAGAAATAACAGCAAATGGAGAAGCCAACTTAGAAACAGAGATGGAAGGTTCATGCTGAGGACAGAGGAGCATCCCTACTGGTCCTGGATGACTCACGTCTGGATTGTTATGTGAGAGGGAAAAAGTTTCTTAGTTAGTTCACTGAATGGATGGGTCTGTTTGTTACCCAGCTCAGACTATACCAAATAACAGCAAATACTTCATTGAGGATCAAAGTGCTACAAATCTTTGGGTATATTAATCTTAATATCAGAGGATATTGTGAATTCTGAATTCTACATTATGAATTCTGAAGATGAGGCCAAATAGGTACCTGATTCCCAGGGAATAAAAAAGAATTTCAGGTAAGAATGAATTGTTTAATAATTATGGCTCCCTGGTCTTACTTCCTGTTCTCCAGTTAAGTCTTTAGAGACTCAAAGGCTTATACTCCAGGGAATGGTTTGTTGAGGATATGACAACAAGATAACTTATCAGCAGTCATTACAATACCATTGGCTTTTCATATTTTGGAGGGAAGTTAGAGAGTTTTATAAAATTTAACTCATATATGGAGCCAGAATCATGTTTTTAGTTCACATTATAAGCCCACCTCTACATAGCAGTCAGGTTATGCAGAACAAAGAAGCCTGATGAAAATGTGACTGATGTGAGAGGGCCAGCTGGGGGTAACTTCTAACAAAAATAAACCTGTGTTATTATTGTACTGAAGCATTACTGCCTCAGGCCATAATATTCCTAATTATCAATTGTAGGACTGGTAAGACAGCATCGTATAAATAAGAACAAGGCTTGTAACATTCTGAATGGCTTTATGAGTTCGTTGATGTAAAATATTAGTTTACAGAGTTCAATAAGTCATTGATCATTTGTTCATGCTTTTCTCCATTCATTCCTGAGAATAAACTAAGTGTGATATATTCAGATGTGCGCGAAATGGCTGTGGCCCTTGTCCTGATGGAGCTTGCAGCTTCACTCCATGATCTTCAAAAATGGCTGACTGTGCAGCTCCATCAGGGAAAAAATTTTTCATGCTCTGAAATGTACATATGTATTTATTTAAATATTAAATAAAATCACTCTCGTATATTTGTACATTCCAAAATATTTACTAAAGCACAGCTTTTAAAAGCTAATATTAAAAAATACATATACAGAAAGTCCCTATGCTTCTTTCCCACATCCCAGGGGATCATCTTTAATGCACTGAACATCCCATTTTGGAGAAGAATGTGATTTGTGCAATTTGTTTATTGACCTTTCTCCTGCACATTATTCTTTCAAATGCCTTTGCAAGTAAGTTTCAGGAAGGTATCTGCAAACAGGTACCCAATGTGAAATTAACAAGCCAGCACACTAAAGTCAAGTGCAGTCACAGCTCAAGTGCTCAGAATGTATAGTAAGTGCATAAACAGATGGCTTTCCACCCAGTCTGGCCAGGGGGTCTATGGGCTGAGTGTCCTCTCTGCCATTTTGGGAGTCCTCGTTTGGATCTGAGTTCACTCCTTCCTCACCCCCCGGCTGGCAGAAGCAGGGAGGCTGCCAAAACTGGAAACAAGAATCACTTTATAAATCAGACACCATATTTGTACTAGTGTTTTCTTTATTGTCATAGACTGTTATGATAGACTTTATAAATTGTGGTTGGTAGGGTTGGATCACTTAGAGGCTTTCAGAGTTCTGTGCTAAAGGGGGTGGGGGAAGCCAAGAAAACCCAGCCACAAACAAAAATGGGGAAAAAAACAGCATTACATGTCTGACCAAAGACATGTTGGGTAAACACCACTTTTCGCACACATATAATGTGATATTGTGCTTATGTCTGGTATCTGTTACCACTGGAGGGGTTGATCTCCCAATAATGATTGCAGCCACACATGTAATTTTGTTTTAAGGGTTCACTCAATATCTACATTAGAAATAAAACTAAGGTACAAACTTACTTAAGAATGCCTAATGCATCCATCCTATTTTTAGCATTGGCAAGAGAAATGAGAAATCTGATTATTTTGGCAAGATGTGTAGAATGTCACATTAACCGATAATCCTCATCAAAGGATAACACATTTGGCAAACAATTATCTGAATAGAGTAAGAGAAGGGTAAATCCTTGGGCATAGGGAAAGACATGGCAAGGTGCCTAGCACATTACGTGCACTTAATGAACACTGATTGATTCTAATGATAAGGTATAAATAAGACTTGTCTCTTTCCTAAAGATCCTGTCTAAGGGGAAGAAATGGCATCTTCTACCTCCAAACACACATTGGTATAACAGCTTTAATTTATAATTCTTTAAAAAGGATTACTTGTGTCTGATATTATTACCTATGCAAAAAGGCTAAGATCCTATAACAAAACAAAAGCAAATGTGAAATTGATGAAATAAAGTTCTACTCATCCTGTGAGTCATAATAACCTATCAGTATAATTAAGACTACGTGCCCTTAATAAGCGCAGTTGATTATTCTTGCCTGACCACCAATTTTCTCCTTATGGTTTGCCAAGTAGTGAATCGCTCATTATTAGTGTTACTCATTTGGAATGAGGCATCATGTCTCCAAAAGGATCCTAAAATAGTGAAAATTCTGCCATTATTGCTCACTAACACCTTTACATACAAATTGCTTTTCCATACTACCTAAGGAGTCACTTAGAAATCGCAAACGAAGTGGGATAATGTTCTGATGAGGCAGGAGGTGGCAGAAAAGTTCAGTGAAGCCACATTAAGTGTTAAGGGACACTACTGCCAGTGAGCAACAATTGGCTACCAAGTACTCTCTCAATCTGGGATTTATTTTTACTTAGGACAAGAGAAATTACTATAACTTTTAAAAAAGGATGAACAATATGCTTTTTAAGAATTCAGAATATGTTCACTTATTTAAAGTAATGTTGTATTATATTAAATTATATACACACATACATTCACTCACAGAGAGACACACAGTAAGCCGCTTGTTCTCTTCCATGGATTTGTCTGCTGTCCTTGGCCCAAGTTATACCTCAAAAATTATGACTGTGCATAGTTATGTCTTTACATTATCCAATTGTATTTTAAATGCCTCTGTAGAGGTTTCTAGTTTTATTCCTATAAGCCTTGTACATTTCTTGTTATGTTTATTTTTAGAGCATTTAAAAATTATGAGTGAAATCTTTCACTCATGTTTTCTAGTTATTTGAAATAAGGACAGCTAGTGATTATTACTTATTAATTTTTACAAACTGATTTATTTTATCCTGCTTGTAGCATTTCAGCTTCTTTTGAATTTTCCTAAGTATATAATTATATCACATGCAAATTCTGCCCTCTTTTCTCTATATATATTTTCTTATTTCATTCTCTTGTGTAATTACATTAGCTGGCACCTTCAGAACAACGCTAAATAACGTAGGGACAGTGGGCATCTTGGTCATGTTCCTGACTTTAAGAAACATGCTCTTATGTTTAATCATTAGGTAACTTTTAGTTAAAACTAAATGTAAAATGTTATTTAAAATTTTACATTTATGTAAAAACATAAAAAGTTATTACATTCGTAATAACATCAAGAATCCATCCAGTTCTGTTTTCTAATGGATTTTAAACATCAGAAATAGTGCAAAATTTTGTCAATCACTTTTCAGGATCTATAAGATGATAATATATTTTTTTCCTTTAACCCGTTGGTATTGAACCACTCTTGCAGTCTCATAAATAATGTTAATAATCTTTTTCCTTCCTTCCTTTCTTCCTTTCTTTTTTTTTTTTTTTTTTTTTAGCAGGGTCTTGCTATGTCACCCAGGCTGCCAGGCTGGAGTGCACTGGTGCAACCGCAGCTCACTGCAGCGTCCACCTCCCAGGCCCAAGCAGTCCTCCCACCTCAGTCTCCTGAGCAGTTGGAACTACAGCACAGGTTGCCATGCCCAGCTAATTTTTTTTACTTTTTGTAGAGATGAAGGTCTCACTATGTTGATCAGCATGTTCTCAAACTCCTGGACTCACGTGATCCTCCCACCTCGGCCTCCCAAAGTGCTGGGATTACAAGTGTGAGCCACCGTGCCTGCCCTTGTTCGTAATATTATTTATTTTCAGAATTAACTTGGCTGATTTTCCATACTTATTCTTCCATAAGGAACTCAAAGGGTAACTTTTAAGAACCAGCACACCAATGAAATAAAAAGTTTATCTCATCATTTTGAGGAGTTACAACATGAGTCAATCTAAACAGAACATTAGGGCACAATCTTTTGCCCAACCAGAATTACCTTAATATGAAATGCCATTTTGAACTAGCAGATTGCCCCTAGTGCATGTGAATAGGTTGTTTAAAGACAGATTACTCAGTATTTAAGAGATAAGCTTCACAAGTGGGACAATAAGCAAACGAATGAAAATGAAATATAAAACAGAACAATAAAAATGAATAGATTAACAGAATTGCTGTTGCTGTTGCTCAAAAATTACACTGTAACATTAAGGATCACTGAATTTAAACATATACATCTATTCTGCGTGAAGCCAAACACCTACACACTAATGATAATGAAAAAGTAATTTTCATAAGCAATGTGTTTTCTTATAGACACATTAAACTAATAGGTACTTCATGCATTCCATAATGCACAACTTTTTAACGTTTTGATATCTCTGGAATTAAGATACAACTAGAACCTCTAGAACCTATGATGATCATGTTTAATTTTTTTAATCAACAGTTTCTTCTTTCTTAGTGATGCATGAAATAACAAAGTAGGCTGAAAATTGGTAACTTAGATTCGATAAAATACAGCAAATCTCAACTATCAGGGTGTTACAGACGTTTACCTTCATTAGCTGGCTTTATAAAACAGCTACATCTTCCTTCCTCTACCTCTGATGGTATTACAGACGTTCACCTTTGTTAGCTGGCTTTACAAAACAGCTACATCTTCCTACCTCTACCTCTGACACATGTCCTCTTTTTAAATAATTATATTACTATATGTGGATTTTTAAAAAATAAACTACATTAGAATTAAATTTAGAGGTAAGGGCTTTGAGAACTTCAAGAGTTACTCTGGAATGACCAGAGACCCAGGGAGTTGCAACACAGAGGCTGGGATGTAGAAGTGGATGCATGCATGCAGGTATATAACGTACACACAGGTTTTGCACTGGGGTCACTGTTTGTGTTCTACCCGGGTTTTGGTGGAGTCAGTGAGTAAAATAATTCTTGGGCTGCAGAATTCTCAAGTGGCTTTGTCCAGGAAAGTAAAACTGGCAGTTATTACAGTGTTTCCCAACTGGGGCTGTCGGTGTAAGAGAAGTCATTGGTCTTCTCTGTCCCTAACTCTTCTCTTGTCACTCAGCTCTCCCAGAAAATGAGAACACGGACACAGAATCTCCATCTCACATTGTTTCCTGCTCTGCCTACTTCACCACAGATGACAGCAAAGGACCAAGAGTTACAACTGCTTCTCATCAGAGCCCTGGATCAACAGATGTGGAATAAGGGGCCCTGCCATTACGAAGCCAAACAGAAAGGAAACAGCTACCAGAAAGTCCTGTGAACTGAGCGGATGGTTTTTAGGTCAGGGAATTCAAACTAGCATACTGACTCACAGACAGGCCACAGCCACCTTAGTCTTAAGGTGTGAATTTAAGTGTGAATTTAAATCCCTCCTCTTTAAAAGAAAAAAGAAAAGAAAGAAAAGAATATTTGCATGAACGTCCCTGATTGCCATAATCAATCACTACCAACTTCAAAATAATTCTGCTAATCTCTTTAAAGCATTCCCTGTAGCTCTTTTACAAATTATTAGAATAAAAAGAGCAGAGTCAACAGCACTTAGCCAGTTTTAATTTTCAGTATTGGTAGAGTCAGCAAGGGCCCTTGACTTATCAGCCTCGATGTGGACTTACCTTTTGCACAGCTCCTTGAAAGGCCTGTTTAATTCTCCTACATGAATCAGGTATTAATTTTGTATCTTGACTCTCCAGAGTTGTGTCTTGAAAATCTGCATTTTCATGGAGTCTCAAAATTCTATAAATGCAGTGAGTGCCATCTTCTGATATTCTATTAGGATCCATCTGAGGAGGAGAAACAGTAAGGACGTTAGAGTGCTTATCACTAGTCATCCTGCTATTTAATACAGTGTGACTTAAGAACAAAAAATTCATACTCGCAAGAGTCTTTATGTCCCCAACAATGAATAGTTAATACAATGAACCTCAAGATGGTGAAAACGTTGACTTCTAATTCATTTGAACGAGTAACTGACTATCATCCACAGGACAAGGCACAGTTAGTCCTGCGATGGGCTTTTAACAATGACAGAAGTGTATGTGCGTGATTCATGGGGGAAATTGTCAAACTTGTCTAACAACATGAAAGTGTTCATAGAGGGGAGGGGCACCAAGGAAATCACATGTGGTCACTGAAGGCAGAGGAAGCTTTTTGTCTTTAAATCAACTATATGCAACATGCTAGATGGGATTATGAGGCCCACTTTGAAATTCAGAGCATGAAACCTATATAAAACAGGCGAAATCAACATCATCTTTAACCACCATGTTGGCCTGGCCTTTTTTCCTTAATCAGCCAAAGAAGGGAGAGAAAAATCCACTTTTTTACCTCCAAACAAAACTTGAAGTCAGACGTGTCATCTGTCTTTTTTGTTGACCCTCTCATCAGTGTTTCTCAAGCTGGAATGGTATACCTGTCAGCGGGTGTTTGGGAATGGATGCAGGTGATATTTGGTGTCATCACGTTAGGGTGGGGAGGCTGCATGAACAGATATTACAGACGTGTGCTGGAGGGATGCTAAGATTCCTGTAATGTAAGGAATTGTCCCACCCAAAATATACCCATTGAGTAATTAGCTGATTGCCTGTTAAGAATAGGTGTCCAGCATTAGAATATCTTTAATCACTACTCTTTAAAATTGTCTGCCTGCTCCTTCCAAGCCTTTGTGGTGGTTTCAACTGTGAAGTAAAGGGTAACAATAATTAGCTATCATCTGTTTTAATAATGAGAATTTAACTTGTCCTCTTTGTTTGTTAAATATTCAAGGTACTTCACCTGCATTTTCTTATTAGCATGTACAAACTAAGCGAAAAAGAAAAGCTACGTGAGATTACAAAGCTCAGTCAAATTAATGACAAGTCTCTTTCTCTCTTTTAAAAATTAATCAGAATGATGTGTTAGTTTATTAACCAACCATTAGAAATAAACTAAAAAGAGCCTATCCATATCTGAGATTCTCAAAATGAAATGACAGCCTTTTAACAAATGTACACTCACTAATACAAATTTTATTATTCCAGTCTTGCACATATAAGGACTACCTATAATCATCATGGAAGAGATACCACCGTGAAGCAAAACTGTGTACAATCTGTATTTTTCCTATATTCTTTAGAATAATTAATACAAGTCATAATATGTGAATTTTTATACAAGGAAAGTTTTCAATCAGACACTTTGCAAAAAAAAAAAAAAAAAAAAAAAAGGGCTTACTTATGCCGGTGTGTATCCCACAAGACCAGAAAAGTCCAGGCAACTGATATGAAGGGTCACTGGGTTTAGACCTCAGGAAAGAAGAATCATGCAAAGGCCTGAACTGACGCACCACCAGAAAACTGCTGAGCCAAAGGAATAATGTGGCCTTAGTGGGGAAATGCCTGGGGACCCTAGGTTAAGCTGGAGTCCTGCTGACAAGCTAAGAGCTGTCTAAGAGAAGCAGCAGTCCCCTTTATTATTTTTCTTTCTCTTTTTCTTTTCCTTTTTTTTTTTTTTTTGAAGACAGGGTCTTGCTTTGTCACCCCCACCCAGGCTGGAGTGCAGTGGCATAATCATAGCTCACTTCAGCCTTGAAATCCCTGGGCTCAAGCAATCCTCCTTCCTTAGCCTTCCATGTAGCTGGGACTACAGGTGCAGGCCACCATGCTTGGCTAATTGGCTAATTTCTTCCTTTTTTTTTCTTGGTAGAGATGGGGTCTCGCTGTGTTGCCCAGGCTTGTCTTGAACTCTTGGGCTTAAGCAATCCTCCCTCCTTGGCCTCCCAAAGTGCTGGGATTACAGGCATGAGCCACTGCACCCGAACCCTATATTCTTGATACTCAGGGTAGTCCAATGAGTAGCATCGTGGGCTCCCTGAGGGCTTGCTAGAAATGTAGAATTTCAGGCTTTACTTTGGCATACTGCCTGAGAATATGCATTTTAACTAGATCCCAGGTGATTCTTATACACATTAAAGTTTGAGAAGTCATGCTTTAAAATATAGATTTTCTGCTATTGAAACGATTCCAAAGTTCCCTGACACCAATTTTAAAATTGTTTCACAAGTAACATCAATTAGTACAAAGATACTGAAACAGTTAATAATGGTTACTGATTTGATGCAAATAAGTACAATGCAAAGATTTTGTCCCCTTTCTCTTAAAAAAATGCCCACACCCAGATCCCATCTCATTCCTACCCCACCCCTCACTGGCCAATTTCATCAACATCCCTAAGGGAAGTGTCCAATCATTGAACCTCTTCCCAAATACTTTCAATGTGCAGTTGAGAACCACTGTTTTGGAAGGCAGCATTATAGCTAAAATATGTATAAAACCCCATCCACTGTTTTTTCCCAAAAGAAATCAAGAATGCATGGAATAATTGCTTTTAATATACTCATTTATTTTGTTTACTCAAGGATCACACATTAGAAATTTATTTTTAACCTACAACCACATGTCTTTCTCATTCCAATGCCCTTGCAGCTCTCCTTTCCTGAAAATGGAGACTAGGAGAAAACGGAGGAGGAGAGGTTCAGGGTGCAAGGCCAGCCACACACACAGGTAAATGAGGGCCTCTAAGCTGAAGGAACTGCAGAGCAGGGAGGGAGCCAGACTGATGCTGGACCCTCAGCAAATGCCCACGAACTGACTGAACGAATGTATCGCCTACCCAACAACCTACCTACTAGCACACATTAGTCTGGTTGGAGGATTGCATGATTGAAAAATGATACTATTTTAGCCACTAATCTGATAATTTGCATATTACAATCAGAAATGGGCATATCTGTAGTGTTGCAAATCATTAGAAAAGACTTTGCAGTAAATTAGACATGCCAGGCACTGGGCTAGATGCTATGAATAAGGTGGTGTGCAAAGCAAGCAGTCCCTGTCTTCATGGAACTTACACTTCATTGAGGAACACAGAAATTCAACCAAAAGTCACAGTAAACTGAGTAACCAATGAATTCATTGTACTTAGACACGTCTGAAAACATTAAGTAAATCTTGAATATCTGACTTAAAATGGACTGTTAAAATGCATTTGTCAGATAATGTGCCTACGAAATACACTGTCTCATTTTTTTTAACTTCCTTGAAACTTAATCATTTGTAGGGTTAAATGAGGCAGGATGCTTGACGTTTGTGCTACTTCGTTATCTGTGTTTTCAAACAGGCAGTGCACACCTCTACATCAGATTTTCAGTAGTGACTGCTGTCCTGGGTAACAAACAACCAGGGAGGTTGGTTTGTGCATATTGGGGGATCGAGGGAAGAAGTTAAAAGGGCAAAACATCTTCAGTTTTCTGAAAAGTTTATCTTTATAGCTAAACCCTAAGCTTTGAATATGGTTATATGGATGTTAAAGACACATACACATGCACACACACACACAGAGCAACTTTTTGAAAGGGTTTTTATTTTTTTTCTTTGTAAACCAAAGTATGAATACTATGTGGTAAATATATAGCAGAAGCCACACACTATTTTCTCTTTGGCAGGGTGGTGGGGGAAAAGCCAAGCTACACCGGATCTAGTAGATATGTATTTTTTACATCTAGGCACATGCAATCTGCAAACATTTAGGAGGCTGATTCAATTTTATCTATTCAAACATTTAAGAAAACAAAACTTTTTAACCGTCACCGTAATTTTTACACTATTCTGGGCATTCTTTTAAATGCATTTAAAAACTCAAACTGCTTTTCCTTGAGGACTTGCATACCTTCTTTTCTCCACCTTTAAACAAAAACAATAAAACTAATTCGTCATTTTTAACTGTAAACTACAAACATGTTACTAGATAGTTTGTTCTCATTCAAATGCATTTAGAAACCTCAGATAGTTGATTCACAACTTTAGTGGGAATCAAAAAACTACTGATTTATTTGGTACCAAGTTCCAATCCAAAAGAGCCGATATAAGTGAAAATGTTAAATCAGCGGCAAGTCAAATGGAGACTATTCTCTTAGCTAAGACTTTGAAAGAAGATCTCTAACACACATAAAAGGGGAAAGAATTACAGAGTGAACCCCTAGGCACGCATCAGCGCTTCAGCTATTACCAATGTATGGCAAATCTTTTTTCATCTGTAAGCAACCAGAAATTATTTTGAAACAAATTCCAGACACCAAAGCAGTTTTATCTGTAAATATTTCAGAATGTATCTCAAAATGATTAGGACTCCTTTGGGTAACAATTGTAGACACAATATCCAGTAAAATGCATCCCGATCTAGTGGTATATTCATATGAACACATTGTTCCTAATATTTTTTCTTTACTGAAGGAGATAGCCTTTTTAAAATGCAATACAAAATTGGGTTCAGAATAATAGCTAAATTATTTTGCACAAGTCAAAGGAACCGAATTTTCATGGTATTTAAGAAAACCGTACCCAGAAGTCTGATGACATTAACTTCTTCAAAGGTATATTTTCTGGCTAGACTTACTAACTCACACGTTTACTTTGAAAAGGGGTTCTGAATGTTTCACTATCATCCATACAGCATCAAGACTGCTAAAGGATGATGGGAGATCACTGAAAGCCCTGACTCCTCACCCACGGGGACCACCGAGAATTCCTAGGGAAAAGCTGAACAACTCTAACAAGAGCCCAGCAGGTCACTCTTTCCTACACAGCCATGCCACCGATTTCCACAGCTCCTGCCAAGCCAAGCTGTTCATGGTTCCTAGAACTCCTTCATTTCCTACTGCTCGTTCAACATTGGACACTCTCTTCACTATTATGGCAATGAAAATGCCATATCCCGAAGGTGTTAGAAAAGATAAACAGTGGAGAACTACTGCATCTTTGATCCCTTTTCTGATTGTTGCTCTTTTGTTTGACTAAGAATTTTAATGGTTTTATTAGGCCACTCTGCTATCTGGCTCCATGCCCATAGTAAGTGGACACTGTCTGTTGAATAAATGATTCTTAACTCATTCCATCGCAGGTGACGGTGCCACGCACAACGCTGGCACTCCATGCACAAGCACTAAATGGGGGTTATTAACAAAATGCTGGATGAGAAAATGGGTAAGCCATTCTTATTGCAACACACTCCAATGAAAGAAAGACGTTTAGTCACTTTCATATAGATTTGTTATCTGTGTTGCAAGCAAACCACTCAAAAGTTGTCTTTTTAGAAACAACAAAACTCTCAATGAGTAGATTATATTTAATGCAGATTTTCTGAAGTGTGGCTCATTGCATTTCTACTTTAAGTAGGTAATCACACTAGTTCTAGAAAATGCAAACTAGCGGATAATGAATACTTAACAAAAAGCCTATGATTAAAAGTAATGGAGTTCGAGACATTGGCACATGTCAAAAAACCATACAATCCAAGCAATGCCATGTTTTGATGCATCCCGTTTGGTTTAGTAATCACCTTTGAATCTGAAAACGAATGTAGTCCAAACCCAACTTTCTTTTCCCATAAAAAAAAATGCACAGTCAGCCCCCCACTTCCTCTGAGAAAGAGTTCACAGCACCAGACAAGAATATTTGAATGAATCCAACCAACTGCACTGCAATTTCCAAGAAAACACAAGAGCATAAACCACCAGAAAGCATAATATTACAAATTTACCCCTTCCTTCCTACTATCTCTCTGCAGTTCCTAGCCGTCGTGCAAAAAACCTCTTCATCTTTCCGAAGGTTGGTTATTTGCTAGACTGTAGTAACACTGTGCCATCACACTCACCTCGCTTCCTTCCTCCGCCCACATCCCTAGCAGGCACGTGGGGCTGTCCCTCTTCCTTCACCCCCACAGGACAGCGCCACAGCCGCAGAGCCCCCATCCCGAGCCCGCGCCTCTCTGGTCGCGCCGTGTCATTCTGCCCACCCATTGGGCGACCTGGGCACGAGCACCGCGACCTCCCGCTCCGCGCAGCCCTCCAGCACCGTGGCCCCAGCACACCTGCAGAGCAGCCAGGCGCAGGAACCGAAACCCGCCGGGTGGTGGGCGGGAAGGGAAAGGTAGATGCCCAAGTGAAGGCGCTCATCTTTTTTCCTACGTGAACAGAAGTTGATTCTTAACTTCAAGTGAGAAATGACAGGGAGAAAAAGTATGCAATCACTACCAGAAAAGGTGAGAGGCCAGTGTTGTTTCCCAGCGAAGGGACGGGGTGAGATTCAAACCCATCGTCCGGCCAGGGGAGTCCGCCCCCAGAGCACCGAGAAGCTGGGGTGCGTGGGCGGAGAGAGAGCAGGGTGCGCCCGACAGCCCTGCGCCAGGTTGTCCCCAAACTCAACACTTCCTCTCTCCCTTCTGGAGTCACTTTCCCTTCCGGAATATGCAAGCTCTGGGTGGCCCAGCCCTGCCGCCAGACTCAGTTTCCAAGTGCGGGGGAAGGAGATGGGCGCTCTCAGCCGCGATCCCCTGGGAAGGTGGCCACTCACCTGCGCTCTGAAATAGAAGAACAGGGCGACGCTGCAGACAACCTGGCCCAGCCCCAGCCCCAGGAGGGCCACGAACATGGAGCGGGAGGCGGCAGGGGGCTGGTGCGGCGCAGGCGGCGGCGGGGCGTGCAGGGGGCCCTCGTGCGGGGCTCCGGGGCCGCCGCCCATCTCCTCCGAGCCACGCAGGTACTTGGTGTAGTCTCTGCTGGCGCGGCGCATGGCGCTCGGCCCTCTCGCTTCGGAGCTCTCCTCCCTCTCCCGCTCCCTCCCCTTCTTGTCTGCGGCCAACTCCGGAGGCTGCGGCGGAGCCTCGACGTGGGGCGCCGACTTGGAGCCCGGCTTTGGGTCCTGGGGCGCGCGGGCGAGCGGGCAGGGCGCCCGGCAGCCCCAACTCTTATAAACCGCTTGGAGAGCCCTGGCCTCGGGAGCCAATCAGCCCCAGGCGAGGCTGCCTCTTCCACTCCCACCTCTGGCTCCCCTTCCTTCCTTTCGCCCTCCCTCTCTCTCAATCTCTGTCACTGAAGGGCCTCCTTCATGGGGGCCCTCCAAGGAGGAGGCTGGGGGCTACTCCAGTGGTTCCAGACTCCCCTTGCCATCCTCAGCTGTCTTTCTGGAGGTCCAAGAGATGGGTTAAAGAAGACGCAGAGGACACCTTTGCTAAAGGATAAGGATTGCACCTCAGACATTCCTCCTGCATCCATTCTAGTTTGGTAGAGAAGGGACTTCACATCCTGGAGTCTCGGTTTCCTCCTTAGGATTTAGAAAGTTAAATTTGATGATCTCTGAAGACCCTTCCTGTCCAACCTCTCCCCCCAAAGTGCTTCCAAATATAGTTTCTCAAAGTATTTTGGAAGACTTCGAAAATTTCACAATCCCCTTCCCAAATCCCTATTTCTGCATCTTGAAGGTGACATTGAGCGAGGCAGGTCTTGAATGTGGCAGTAGAGAGCCTATAGACACCAACTCTGACTTTATAAAGATGAAAACAGTGCAGAGAAAAGGGTAAAGGGGCGTGTAGCCAGAAGCAAGCATCCGAGGAGGGCTCACCCAACAGTCAGGAAAGAGATGTAACACGAAGCTGATGATACAGTTAAATGTTAGTTTCATTGCTAAAGAAACCTTGCTAGGGCTTTTTAAAAACCTCTATTCAGAACTGTGGCTCTTAGTGAGAAAACAAAAATATTAACATTGCTCACAAATTCTGATACTTCTTCAGAAGGAAGTTGCTGACCAATTTAAACACCCATGAAACTTAGGATGTTTCCACTTTTTTATTAATACAGTTAGCCCACAGTATCCATGGGTTCCACATCTGTGGATGCAATGAACCACAGATCAAAAATATTTGAAAAAAAAAAAAAGGATGGCTGTGTCTGGACTAACATCTGTAGACTTTTTTTCTTGTGATCATTTCCTAAATGATACACAACTAGTTACATAGCATTTACATTCTATTAAGTATTATAAATAATCTAAAGATAATTTCAAGTGTACAAGAGGATGTGTGTAGGTTAAATGCAAATACTATGCCATGATATGTTAAGAAACTTGAACATCCATGGATTTTGGTATTTGCGGGGAGGGGTTTGGTGGTGTCCTGGAACCAGTCTTCCATGGATATCAGGGGACTACTGTGCCTTTTTATTTTGCATCCTCTTTCTGCCTAATTCGCTAATGAGTATTTCTCTAGGCAAGATTTGTGACAAATGACAGGTCTCTGAGTTATTAAAGCATGTGTTCTAAATTGAACACTTAGACCTCAGTAAATGTTGAGGAAGAGTGACCAGGTTGAATTTTTTTTAAAGGCAGCCATACAAAGAAAATGATCTGTTCAAATTCAAAAATGCCTTTAGCATTTATATGTGTATCAATATATAGGTTGGTGGAGAAGGGACAAAAAATTTTCAGACTCAAACATAGAAACAATTGACGTTAATTCTACTCCTTGTAGTCTTTGACCTCTTCCCACTTTTTGTTTGTTAACTTTGGGAAGTAGGTTTATTGTCTCCTCCTCCCCCTCCTCCTCCTCCTCTTCTTCCTCATTCTCTCCCTGCTCCTTGACTCAGGAAATAATTCCATATTTCTTCTTTCTTATAAATATTGATTGGGATCAAAGATTTTTAAAATGTGTTATAACAACTAAACCCACAATGATTTTACTATAGTGTCTTCCATTCTTTTTAATGGGTTTTTATACAACAATGTTTTATACATGTTTTTAATTCCTTGACATCTTGATCCTCAGGTTACAAGAAAGTCCCTCAAATCCCTGAATTATGTTCAGGTATACTTGACCCAGGAGCTTCATATATGGGACCGTATGTTACATTCCTACAGAGTTCTTCATATGACATTTCTACTAGTACTCCAAAAATGTCATCCCACTATCTTCTGGCTTCCATAGGCTGTATTAGATACTCCACTGTCAGTCTACCTGCTGCTGTTTCACAGGTAATGTATCTTTCTTGCCTATGTATTTACTTATTCCTTTGTCAACATTCACTCCCCAACTAATAGATAAACTCCATATGTTCAACGACTCTTGCTGTATTATTCACCTCTGTAACATTCACCATTTCCTAAAAATGTTGCCTGCTATAGTAGGTGCATGGTAAATACTTGCTGAATAAAATTTGAGCAAAGAAATCTTCAAAGCCTCTGCCAGTCTCCCAGTCTAAGCCATGCTATATCTTATCAGAATGAATCACACTTGCCCCCTGAAGAATTCTGTGCACACTGATCAGGATTTTCTTCTAAAAGCAAAAGTATATGTCATTTCCATACCTGCAATTCTTTGGTGGCTTCTAAGTGTTGTTGATAAAGTCGAAACTCTGAAGATTAAAAACCTTCAATAGGCCAGGCGCAGTGGTTCACTTCTATAATCCCAGCACTTTGGGTGGCCGAGGCGTGAGGATCACTGGAGCCCAGGAGATGGAGAATAGCCTGGGGAACATAGGGAGACCCTATCTTTACAAAAAATGAACAAATTAGCCAGGCATTTTGGTGCACATCTCTGGTCCCAGTTACTCAGAAGGCTGAGATAGGTGGATTGTTTGAGCCCAGGAGGTCGAAGCTGCAGTAAGCTACAATCATGCCACTGCACTCCAGCCTGGGAGACAAAGCAAGATTCTGTCTCAAAAATTAAAAAAAAGATAAAAATAAAAATAAAACTCTCCAATAGTCCTTCACAAGCTGGCTCAAGACTCCTTTTCTACATCAGCTTCAAATACTACCTAACTGGAGCGCTCATCTCTCCAACTTCTACACCTGGAGGACTCTCCCACTTGTCTTTCCTTTCTCAGCTCAAATGTCGCCTCTCCAGAAGTCTTTCTCAGCTCTCCTCACCCAGGTGGCTCCCTCTGTTTTATGCTCCCATGGCATCCTTAAATTCTCCTGTCATGTCACTCATGCATTTCTTCATTTACTCTACAGATATATTAGTGAGAACCCACTATATGCCAGCACTGGGCTAGAAACATGGTGATCAAGATGGAACATGGGGCTTACACCCTAGTGGGAAAAAAAAAAAGATTCAACAAATCATCACACAAATCACTAACAAAACCGTGATTAGTACTTTGAAGGCAAAGTGCAAGTACAATGAGAATCTTATAATACTAGGGTCTAGACCTATGTGGGGAGTCAGAGAAAACTCTTAGTACAATGCAAATGTGGGGAGTCAGCGAAAGCTCTTAGGCAAAGATAATGCTTTAAACTACTACTAGATAATGATTTAAACTACTCCCAGAGTAAAAACCACCCAGAGAGAAAGTGGCCAGGAGCTATCCTAAGCTGAGAGTGATTGTATTATTATAACAATTTGTTTAACATGTCTTCCTAATTGCATGTCTTATTTATCTGCCTTATTTATCATAAATTCATTAATATATTTATTTTAACAATATATCAACTAATCAATTAAGTCATTATCAAAATTATAAAATAGTTGAGTGAAAGCCTTGTAAGCTAATAGGTATTAAGAGATGCCAAGACACCAGAACATATTTGAAGATTCAAAGTTTATGTCAATACTCCACTGTAAATAACACAATGTTTGGATCAACATTTCTCAAACTATATTTCCTAGTACCTTAGTGTATTAACATAGAATTATTTTGGACTCATGTGAAAATTGATTGGTTCATGTTATTGAAAAATAGGGCTAAGTCTAGCTTCAGGAATGGTTGGATACAAGTCTGAATTTAATACCTTTCCTTTGAGCCAGGGAATTAAGTTAACCCCATGTGAACCTCATGTCATGGGCTGAGAGGAGGGAGAGATATTTGTCAAAGGAAAATTAAAGTGCAGATATGAGAAGGATAAGGAATTGCTGCACTGCTGGGCAGGTACAAATACTATAGCTGTTCATGTTCAGTCATTTGCTAGATCAGCAATTTTCAAACCTTTTACATTCTTCAAAATTTTGAGAACACCAAAGAGGTTTTATTTGTGTGAGTTATATTTATAAATATTTGGTGTATTCAAACTCCAAGCAGAAAATTTTACCATATTAGCATGTTAACATAATGTTAATATAATTTTATAAATAATTCATAATACTTTTATAAAATTATTTTATTTAAAAAAACAGATTTTCAAAAAAAAGTAGGGAGAAAAGTGCCACTGTTTTACATTTTTTCACATCTCTACAATTGGCCTGATAGAGTCACATTCAGTCCTGCACTTACTCTGTTACAATATTGCACATGATGCAGCCTTTAGAAAACTTCACTATATGAATGAAAATGAAAAAGGAAGTCATTCGTTATTATTATGACAGACGTTTCACTTTGCTGAACTCCGGAGAGGATCCATCTTCTAGAAGTCACCTAAATTCCTTGGTTCCTTCATCTCCAAACCTCATCACTCCAGTCTCTGACCTCTGATTCTGTCCTCACAGCTTCTCTCTGACTCTAACTCTAATCTCTCTCTCTCTTTCTCTTTTCTTTTCTTTTCTTTTCTTTTTTTTTTTTTTGAGACAGAGTGTTGCTCTGTAGCCCAGGCTGGAGTGCAGTGGCGCAATCTCGGCTCACTGCAAGCTCCTCCTCCTGGGTTCACGCCATTCTCCTGCCTCAGCCTCCCAAGTAGCTGGGACTACAGGTGACCGCCACCATGCCCGGCTAATTTTTTGTATTTTTAGTAGAGATGGGGTTTCACCGTGTTAGCCAGGATGGTCTCGATCTCCCGACCTCATGATCCACCCACCTCGGCCTCACAAAGTGCTGGGATTACAGGCGTGAGCCACCGTGCCCAGCTAATATCTCCCTCTTATGATAAGAACCCTTGTGATTACATTGGGCCCACCCAGACTATCCAGGATCATCTCTGCATCTCCAGATCCTTAACTTGATTACATATGCAAAGTAAGTTTTGCCATGTGAGGTAACATAGTCACGGAGTCTGGGGCTTAGGATATGGATTCCTTCGTGGCGGAGGGCGTTAACCTACTGCAGTGTGGGAAAGCGAACCCACTTTTGCTGGCCCCTGGGTTCCTTACCATCCCTTCTTAGTTTGCTTAACCCTGACCTCAACTCTTCAAATTAAAGTCTTTTCAGTTAAACCCCTTGGATTTGCCACCTATTTCCTGCCAGGACCCTGTATAAGATACTTGCTAAATCTGAAGCCAGTTGCAACTAATTTATAAGTGTGGCTATTATAAAATATATATGCAGCCCCTCATGCTAATAACAATTTTTAAAATGTGTATAATCATAGGTAATAAGTCTGTGAAAATATCTCACCCTGGAAATGGGGTCAGCCTGAGCAACTTTATGAAACTGGTGGGCTTTGTCTTTTGTACTTGCCACCTCTCCTTTGATCACTCTTCTTCTTTTTCTGTCTGTTCCCGCGTCTTCTGATCTCCGGTCCAGGCTCATATGCTGCTCACTGAAAACCTAATGAAACTTCTCACCTAGGACCGGCCTCCCTAATAATCTAATCCAGCTTACCCATTACCCTTTACAAGCAACTTGGTCTTATTACATTCCCTTCAGCTAACAAATTAACTAGTATGTGATGACAAATTAACATTCACTGTGTCAATGGACAATTGAATTAAAATTTTATGTTGGCAGTCTTCTGGAAATATACTGCCTTACCCCCTTAACTTAAATCACACAATTAATAAATTTAGAAAGGTGAGTTTTATTTCTTAAGAATGGAATTACAACCTGCAGGCAGGAAGGGCAGCCTGCCACTGGAAAAAACCTAAAGCAAGCCCTTCAACAGAGGGAAGAGTAACACAGGAATTTAAGCTGAAGGGGTTGGCAAAGCATACATATTCAACAGGACATAGGAAGAGCTATGAATATTCATGAAAGGGTGTAAGCATGCATGATAAGCAAACATGCATGTTACGTGCGTCCCACAGTTCCATTGGGATGGAGATTTAACATTTAAATGTACACAATTAGGTGAAGAAGGGACAGGAAGTCACTCAAATGTGCATCTGCTGTAAAACCAGCCAGAAGTAGTCCATGGTTGGTGGTCTCTTATCAGGAGAAAGTTACAGAAATCACTCTCTTGTCCAATCAAAGCTGTCACTGTGGCTTGTGTAACAGGTGGGGGCTCAGTTATTTGGTGTCTGATAGCTGGGGAGCTGCAACTGCTTCAACATCACTTATCTCAAAGCTAGTGTTGTTTAGCTGCTGGAGAAAGAGGGAGAAGAAACCCTGTGGGAATTAGAACATCGTTTATTTGTTAAGTGTAAAGTGTGTGACTTAACCCTTGCCTGGCATGGCCATAGCTCTTGTTTACAATTTGGTATCTTATTGCCATAAACAGTCTATTCTGTCAGTCTTATGATCTCTGTTTTAACATTAATGCTGTCAGCTGTTGTGTCTAAACAGCAAAAAGAAAGGGATATAATGAGGCATCTGACCTACCATCCCATCATGGTTGGGAACTCAGGTGGGTTTTTTTAATTATTATTATTTTAAGGTTTCTCTGAGGTCCTCCTGGCCAAACAGGGCCTATTTGGTTGGTTTGGTTTAGCTCTCACCCCTAAAGGAGTGCATTTCTAATGGCAAATTATCAGACATTACGGAAAACTGGATGGGAGGTGGAAGAGGAAAAACATCTTGGTCATGTATGAAGGAAGTAAACCTGTCCATAACTGTTTATCTCTTCTGTGCACAATGCTAGAAATATTTAGAGTAATTTTATCTCTTACTTTCTAGAAAGCAACTCTGTTTGACAGGTTTTTAATTCATTAATATTATCTCAGACTTATTCCTAAAATAAAATTAATCTAAAGTATTAGAGCTTTTAAATAAACTTTTGGGAAATACAAAAATTAATTAGGGAGATTGTAGCTGTTTCTGAAAACATAATTAAATAATATCAAAGGGTCTTATTGTATTCATTTCCTAAATGTTTCCTGAATCTGTCTCCACTTCAGTTTTCCTCAGAAAATAATTTTTTATTGTTTCTTCTTTGAAACTCTTATTTTTGCCATATTAGGTCTTCTATAATACATTGTTTAACTTGCAGTTTCATTTTATTTATTTATTTATTTATTTATTTATTTTTTGAGACAGAGTCCTTCTCTGTCACCAAGGCTAGAGTGTAGTGGTGCAATCTCAGCTCACTGCAACCTCTGCCCCCCGGTTCAAGCAATTCCCCTGCCTCAGCCACCTGAGTAGCTGGGATTACAGGCATGTACCACCATGCCTGGCTAATTTTTGTATTTTTACTAGAGATGGAGTTTTCCTATGTTGCCCAGACTGGTCTTGAACTCCTTACCTCAAGTATCTGCTTACCTCGGCCTCCCAAAGAGCTGAGATTCCAGGCATGAGCCACCACGCCTGGCCTTTATTTATGCTTCATCCTGAATATGTTCCTTCATTTGATCTAGATCTGTGTTCAATATTTCAGCAGTTTCTGTTCTATTATTCAGGTGATCTGTTGGATTTTAAAGTCCAAAATTAAATTTTATTTCAAGAAATCCTTTTTTCCCTTCAATTGATCTTTCACAATAGCTTCTTGTACCTCCTCAATAATTCTTCTTACAATCATTTATAAATTCACCTCTGTTTCTTTACCAAACTTTCTCTGTAAACAAGCTGCTGAGTTTATTTGATTCAAGTCCCTCTTTCAAGCTCCTGAGACCCTTTGGGTGATACCTGACCCTTCTTTTCCTACCAATGTCCATTGGTGTCAGTCCCCATTGCTTCTGGATATGTCAGATTATTAGAAGGGTCTTAGGCAATGGTAGACATCCATGAAGTGAGGGGTAGGGAAGATGCTTCCTCACCAGGATGGCAGCATAAGAAGGACTGGGGATCTCTCATGGCTGGAAATTTCAAGTAGATTCCATATGTCTGTCAGGATGCATGGGATTACCTGGCCAAGTGATTATAGTCTCCCAAGAAGCTATGGGATTAATTCTGTTTTCAGACTTCCCCAAATCTACTAATACTTAGGTCTGCTCATTGCTGTAAATAATTTTGTCCAGAAGTTGGCCCGTGCTCTTCTATTCCTATACTGTCTCCTTAGGTCCTAAAGCCTCAGGTAGACTTCCCATCCCCACATACTCTCTGTGTTATTGAGATGGGAGTGGGAGGGTGTCAAGAAATAAGCCTGTGCTGCCATATTCCCAGAGTGCTTTTTCCTTCCTTCTTGTCTGTAAATGAGCCTCTCATCATTTCCTGCCTAAGTACTAAAATGGCTTCCCTTTCATCCTCCTTCCAGCAGTCTCCTCTCACTTAAACCCATCTTCCAGATTGATCCATTTATCACGAACAACTGGATGTATAACTTCCCCTCTTGAAACCACTCAGCAGCCTACCAACACTTAAGATAAAGTCCAGGCTCTTTACAAACTCTTAATTTTTTCCCATCTCTGTCTTTAGCCTCAACATCCATCACTGCCTTGCACTTAAAGTTCTAGTTTTAGAACATAAGAATAACTTGTAATTTTCTTGTACATCATACTATTTATTTCAAACCTCTATTCCCTTGTTCATGCTCATAATTTAGTCATTCAACAAACATGTACTGCATACCAACCATGAGTCTGGTACTATGGTAGGCATAAGAGATATAATGCTGAATAAAATAGATAATTGTTGTCCCCACAAAGCTTACACTCTAAGGCAAATGTTGTAGTAACATTGAAAAAATAGAACCTAAAAGATGCAAAGAGAAAAAGCATATTATTTCCTCCCAGCAATGAGAGTTTAAAACCATTCAGTAAACTGCTTTATTTATTACATGGAAGATCTCAGTAGACCATGGCATTACCATAACCATAACAACTAGACAAAGCCACCAGATAAACTAAAGAAAAAAATATATATATATATATATATTTTAAAAGTTATCGATGAGCTGATAATGAAAAAAATCTAAAGGGATGGAATTCCACATGAACATTCTTTTCTAGATAAGAAAGATTAACAGTCCCTTTCCTCCCTTGGAACATTTGTCAAGCATAAACACAGATAGGTGTAGTGTTGAGTTTGCTGTAGGCAGAGATATTTTACTGGAGCTGATGTAACAGATTAAAATCTACAAATGCCCAACTATTTTCTCCAATTACTGGTCTTCTTCCCCCACAGATTTTGTTGAGTACTGGCAAAGTGGCTGGTGAACTGGGCTGGGAAGGTAGAGAGAGATCTTCTAGTGTATGAGAGAAACTTGTCAGAGAAAGAGAACAAAATAAGAACACAAAAAATATTTCCTTCAAGATATTTGAAACAAGAGTTGCACTGAAACTACTTAAAGCTGCAATCCAGCTCAGTTTCTGATTGAAGTCCTCACCTTAGCTGCAAAATAATATCTACATTAGTTCTTTTATATACAATGCTTGGTATACAATTTTCAAAATCACATGACATGACAAGAAGCTGAAATGCATGGTTCATAATGAAGAGGGAAAAAATATCCAATTAAAAACAGACCAACAGATGACCCAAATATTGGAAATAGTAGACAAGAATTTTTTTTTTTTTTTGAAATGGAGTTTCATTCTTGTTGCCCAGGCTGAAGTGCAATGGTGCGATCTCGGCTCACCGCAACCTTCACCTTCTGGATTCAAGCAATTCTCCTGCCTCAGCCTACCAAGTAGGTGGGATTGCAGTCATGTGCCACCACGCCCGGCTAATTTTGTGTTTTTAGTAGAGACGAGGTTTCTCCGTATTGGTCAGGCTGGTCTCGAACTCCTGACCTCAGGTGGTCCACCTGCCTTGGCCTCCCAAAGTGCTGGGATTACAGGTGTGAGCCACCGTGCCCAGCCTACAATAATTTTTAAATAATTCTTTTACATATAGTAAAGAAAACAGAGGCAAAGGTAAACAAAATGGATGAAGAGATAGAGAACTGCAACAAAGAAGTGGAATGTTTTTAAAAATAAGCATGTGGATATTCTAGAACAAAAAAATAAAATATCTAAAATTAATAATTAACTAGATTAACTTAATAACAGACTGGATAATAAAAAAAATAGTGAATTCAAAGCCAATTCAATAGAAAATGTCTAAAATAGAGGAACAATATTTAGAAAATTAAACAGAAGAGAACATGAGAAATACATGGGACATTATCAAAAGGTCTAATATATGTGTAATTGGAGTTCCAGAAGGACAGGGAAAAAATGCAACAGAAGGAACATAGAAGTATATTATGGTGAGAACTTTCCAAACTGATTAAAGACATTAACTCATTGACTCAAAATGTCAGAAAATCACAAAGTGGGTATGTACAAAGAAATCTACACCTAGCCAAACCATAATCAAACTGCTGAAACCCAAAGACAAAGAAAAAAACCTTAAAACCAACAAGTAGTCCATATATTTTCCCTCAGGCTGGAAATCTCAGGTAGGTTTCAAAATTTCTTTCTTCCTTTTTTTTTTTTTTTTGAGACGGAGTTTTTGCTCTGTTGCCCAGGCTGGAGTGCAATGGTGCAATCTCAGCTCACTGCAACCTCCGCCTCCTGGGTTCAAGTGATTCTTCTTCTTCAGTCCCCCGAGTAGCTGGGATGACAAGTGTCCGCCACCACACCCAGCTAATTTTTGTAATTTTGGTAGAGACAAGGTTTTACCATGTTGGCAAGGCTGGTCTTGAACTCTTGACCTCAAGTAATCCACCCGCCTTGGCCTCCTAAAGCGCTGGGATTACAGGTGTGAGCCACCCCGTCCAGCCTAACTTCTTTGTTCTTACTTAAATGATAAAAAGTCCTCTGGTCACTTTTAGTCCTGAGAACACACTCATTTCAAAAATTAAAAGAGGAGGCCCAAGTTAATAACAAAAGCTTTGATTCAATTTCAAGTTAAATCTTCTTCCCTCCTTCAATTCAGAACTTTCAGTCTGAAAACTTTACCATGGGAAGGGGAGCCTGCTGTGGGTGGGATGGAACTGGAGGGGACTTATTTGACTAGTAAAGTTATAACCTGGGTTGGTGCTCTCTGAGCTTGGTAAAATGTTCAGAGTGAACTCTTTCATTCATGGTACTCTTTTGTATTTTCTTAAAGATTTTCCCACTGGAAACATCTGACTGAAACTCCCTCTCCCTAGCTGACTGTTTACAGTTCTCCCCTCAATTTCTGCAACTAATAGTACCTCTCATTCTTTTCTTCTGGCTACAGCTTGCCTCTGGCTGGAAACCTTCTTGGATGGAGTCCCTTTAATAATGATCCTCAGACTGTCCTCTTCCTGGTTCCCCACGTCACATCCCTGGTACACATTCTGCCTTGTTGTCAGTGAAAACAAACTGTGTTTTCACTGCGTGCAGCTTGGTCTTAGCTATGCCACCAGAGAGGCAGCTTCGGCCACACCATTTGCTTTCAGTCTTCTTAGATGTGAGACAAATCCCAGGCTCTTTGTTACCTGAAACGTCACAACAAATATCAACCTCGCCCACTGCTTATCTCAAAGCTCCTCTCACAGATTCTCTAAACAAACTATGGCTTGATTACTTCAACCTCAATTATGTATATCCTTAACTTGGTTTCCAGATTCCTTCTCTACAAGTATCTTTCTTTGAAATATGGGAGTTTTTGCAACCTAGGATTTAGTTTCCACTTTAACATGCTGATACACAAGCAAATGCAGTCACCATAAAATGTAATTAGTAAAATGTGTCCTGGGAGCACATGAGAGTTCTTAACCTAGACTTGGGAGTCCAGAAAAGACTTTTTGGAGGAAGCCATATTTAAGATGAGGCTTGTGGGATGAGTCAGTTATCCAAGCAAAGTGGGAAGACACACATATAACAGCCAAGAAGCAAAACAGGATGTATTCAAGGAACTGAAAGAAGTTTAGTGTAGCTTGATCAGAGGGGAAGGAAGAATAGTGAAAAATGAGACTAGAAAACGAGCAGGGATTGAGTCACAAAGCTTTTGTCACTCACAATAAAAATTTGAATTTTATTCGGAAGCAATGGAGAGTCATTGAAAGTTTTTTTCTCAGCAAAATGACAGGTCTGTTGTGTAATTTAGAATGTGCTTTGACTGCAATGTGGAGAATAGGTTTCAGGGAGGGTGGTAGAAAGAGGTGGGCAGAGCAAGTCTGGACTCAAGAGAGCCAGTCACTAGACCACGGGCCACATCCAGGCCAGGACTGAGCATGGTGGTGGCAGAAGGGGTGGAGAGAAGCAATGGGTCTCAGAGGCACTTAGGAGTGGAGTCTGTTGGGTTTGGTGACTAACCAGCCATGACATGGTGAAGAAGAGGAAGGAGTCAAAGATGCCACACAGGTTTCTCTCTTTGGCAACTGAATTGGTGCCACTTGCTGATATGAAACACTCTGGAGGAAGAGCAGGTTGGCCAAGCTCACTTCACATTCATAGGTCTGAGATGCTGGGGAAGCCTTTCCTGCTTCTGTTTGTTTCATTGACAACCTTCTTCAACCTTCAAACCTCAGCCCAGAGGATATCGCCTTCTTGCTGTTCCCAAATTCCCAGAATTTTCTAAGAGCCCTTCCTCTCTTGCTCCTCACTCACCTTTATTTTTTATTTGTTTTATTTCACTTTTTTGAGGCATTACCCAGGCTGGAATGCAGTGGTGCAATCTTGGCTCACTTCAACATCCACCTCCCAGGCTCAAGCAATTCTTGTGCCTCAGCCTCCCGAGTAGCTGAGACTACAGGTGTGTGTGACCATGCCCGGCTAATTTTTGTATTTTTAGTAGAGATAGAGTTTCAGCATGTTGGCCACGCTGGTCTTGAACTCCTGGTCTCAAGCAATCTGCCCAACTTCGCCTCCCAAATTGCTGGAATTATAGATGTGAGCCACCGCGTCCAGCCTGTCATTCACTTTATCCTATCACTTTCCTCATTACAGTGACTTTAACTATATGAGTGTCTTCTCTAGTAGATTATAAAAGTCTTGAAAATACAGAATGTTTTATTCATCATTTGTACTCTCATCACCTAGCAAAATTCCTGCACATAGTAGGCTCTTTATTAGTGTTGTTGAATACAGTGGATCCTCCTGAATCTGAAAACATCGAAGCAGTAATACAGATGCAAACATGTATACAGTATGATCTTTCTGAACAAACACCTATCAGACATACCCACTGGGGAAGATATCATCACTACAACAATACACATGTACCACCTGCAAACAAAGTACTGCCAGCCTTCCAGGAAAGGTAGAATAAAAAGAGTAAAAACTGAGATATCCAGATGGAGCTTTCTTAAGGATTGAATGCCTGAACCAATGTCATATTGTGTCCAGAATTGGTGGGTTCTTGGTCTCACTGACTTCAAGAATGAAGCTGCGGACCCTCACAAGAAGTGTTACAGCTCTTAACGCGGCACGTCTGGAGTTGTTCATTCCTCCCGGTGGGTTCGTGGTCTCGCTGGCTTCAGGAGTGAAGCTGCAGACCTTCACGCTGAGTGTTACAGCTCATAAAAGCCGTGTGGACCCAAAGAGAGAGCAGTAGCAAGATTTACTGCCAAGAGGTAAAGAACAAAGCTTCCACAGTGACCAAGGAGACCCCAGCGAGTTGCCACTGGTGGCCAGGGCAGCCTGCTTTTATTCTCTTATCTGGCCCCACCCACATCCTGCTGATTGGTTCATTTTACAGAGAGTCGATTGGTCCATTTTACAGAAAGCTGATTGGTCCGTTTTGACAGGGTGCTGATTGGTGCGTTTACAATCCCTGAGCTAGACACAAAAGTTCTCCACCTTCTCACTAGATTAGCTAGATACAGAGTGTGGACACAAAGGTTCTCCAAGTCCCCACCAGAGTAGCTAGATACAGAGTGTCGACTGGTGCATTCACAAACCCTGAGCTAGACACAGTGTGCTGATTGGTGTGTTTACAAACCTTGAGCTAGATACAGAGTGCCGATTGGTGTATTTACAATCCCTTAGCTAGACATAAAGGTTCTCCAAGTCCCCACCAGGCTGAGGAGCCCAGCTGGCTTCACCCAGTGGATCCCACCTGCCAGTCCTGAGCCGTGTGCCCGCACTCCTCAGCCCTTGGGTGGTCGACGGGACTGGGTGCCATGGAGCAGGGGGCGGCGCTTATCAGGGAGGCTCCGGCTGCACAGGAGCCCACGGAGGTCGGGGGAGGCTCAGGCATGGCGGGCTGCAGGTCCCGAGCCCTGCCCCAAGGGAAGGCAGCTAAGGCCCGGCGAGAAATTGAGCACAGCAGCTGCTGGCCCAGGTGCTAAGCCCGTCACTGCCCGGGGCTGCGGGGCCCGCCGGCCGCTCCGAGTGCGGGCCCACAGAGCCCACTCCCACCCGGAACTTGCGCTGGCCGGCAAGCACCGAGCGCAGCCCTGGTTCCCGCCCGGGCCTCTCCCTCCACACCTCCCCGCAAGCTGAGGGAGCTGGCTCTGGCCTTGGCCAGCCCAGAAAGGAGCTCCTACAGTGCAGCGCAGGCTGAAGGGCTCCTCAAGCGCGGCCAGAGTGGGTGCCAAGGCCGAGGAGGCCCCGAGAGCGAGGGCTGCGAGGGCTGCCAGCATGCTGTCACCTCTCAGTATCAGCTCTGCCTGACTGGGGATCTTATGTATCTCCCTGTTATAACAAGCTCCCTCTCATGAAACTGTACACAGGTTTTACCAAAGTTACCCCCTGCAAAATAAAAGGATAGAAATAAGTGATTGTCTTACACATGAATATATTCATGCTCCATTACAGAATGAAAGCTTTAGAAATCTATCCTAAAACAAAGTGGCTAAAAAGAGGGACTCTGAGCCCACATGTCCTGTGATTCATTCCAGGATCTGCCACTTACTGGCTGGGTGATATTTCTGTGCCTTAGTTTCATCATTTGAAAGACAAAACACTCAATGGGAGTGGTTACAGGGTCCCACTGCTGGTACACCTAAGTGGTGCAATGGTCTGATTCAGTGCTTATGGGGTTGTTTTAAGTATAATATGAATCAATCTATACCAAATCCTTAGAACAGTGCTTAATATATGCATGTTGTTCTCACCATTCTTCTTTTCATTATTATACTTTTGTTGTTGTTGTTAAAATGACTACTAGACAGCATCATTATTCAGCCAGTCAGATTTCCATCAACATCAGTCAGCCCTGTAAGTAGGAGGAAAGGCACCAAGGAAAAGCGCTGTCACAAAGTCCATGCACTTTCCTTGGTGGCAGCATAATGAATCTTGAGTAATCATTCTGGCTCTTATCTTTGAAAATAAATCCAGTGTATATGAAAAGAGAGAAAAATCGAAGCACTGGCTGGACATTCCCTATAGTAAAGGACAGCCACTGGCCATTAGAAATGATAGGTGAAAGCTGGGGAGGAGCCAGAAGAATCCCACAGGAAACAAGGAACACGCAATAGGACAGCTGCAGCCTCACCCAGCAGGTGCCCCTTAGCAGTGCGATGGTCCCATTCAGGCCCATGGTGTCGACCATGGCAAGACCTTGAGGAAAAGTCGGAGTACATCAGCATACCCTGTTTACTCAAGTAGAGGCATTCCATGAAAATATGGTCGGGCGTGGTAGCTCACGCCTGTAATCCCAGCACTTTGAGAGGCCGAGGTAGGTGGATCACTTTAGGTCAGGAGTTCAAGACCAGCCTTGCTAACATGGTGAAACCCCGTCTCTACTAAAAATACAAAAAGTAGCCAGGTGTGGTGGTGTGTGCCTGTAATCTCAGCTACTCGGGAGGCTGAGGCAGGAGAATCACTTGAACCCAGGAGGCAGAGGTTGCAGTGAGCCGAGATGTGCCTTGCCTGGGTGACAGAGCAATACACTGTCTCAAAAAAAAAAAAAAAAAAGAAAATATTTAAGTATTTCTACTGTGATTGGTTATAATTCTCTCAAGGTGTATGTTATAAAAGGTAAGATTAATTTTTTATCTAGAACATTTACTTATTTTTCAATTGTAAAGTTTTTTTGAGAAAAAAATTATTGAGAAATACGTAAGATCATTCTTCATAGTAAGTCATCTGTTAGCATGTTAATATGCCTAAGCTCTTTTTTTTAATATTCTTTTTTCTTTCTTTTTTTAATTATTATTATACTTTAAGTTTTAGGGTACATGTGCACAATGTGCAGGTTAGTTACATATGTATACATGTGCCATGTTGGCGTGCTGCACCCATTAACTTGTCATTTAGCATTAGGTATATCTCCTAATGCTATCCCTCCCCCTTCCCCCCACCGCACAACAGTCCCCAGAGTGTGATGTTCCCCTTCCTGTGTCCACGTGTTCTCATTGTTCAATTCCCACCTATGAGTGAGAATATGCAGTGTTTGGTTTTTTGTCCTTGCGATAGTTTACGGAGAATGATGATTTCCAATTTCATCCATGTCCCTACAAAGGACATGAACTCATCATTTTTTATGGCTGCATAGTATTCCATGGTGTATATGTGCCACATTTTCTTAATCCAGTGTATCATTGTTGGACGTTTGGATTGGTTCCAAGTCTTTGCTATTGTGAATAGTGCCGCAATAAACATAAGTGTGCATGTGTCTTTATAGCAGCATGATTTTTAGTCCTTTGGGTATATACCCAGTAATGGGATGGCTGGGTCAAATGGTATTTCCAGTTCTAGATCCCTGAGGAATCGCCACACTGACTTCCACAATGGTTGAACTAGTTTACAGTCCCACCAACAGTGTAAAAGTGTTCCTATTTCTCCACATCCTCTCCAGCACCTGTTGTTTCCTGACTTTTTAATGATTGCCATTCTAACTGGTGTGAGATGGTATCTCATTGTGGTTTTGATTTGCATTTCTCTGATGGCCAGTGATGATGAGCATTTTTTCATGTGTCTTTTGGCTGCATAAATGTCTTCTTTTGAGAAGTGTCTGTTCATATCCTTTGCCCACTTTTTGATGGGGTTGTTTGCTTTTTTCTTGTAAATTTGTTTGAGTTCATTGTAGATTCTGGATATTAGCCCTTTGTCAGATGAGTAGGTTGCAAAAATTTTCTCCCATTTTGTGGGTTGCCTGTTCCCTCTGATGGTAGTTTCTTTTGCTGTGCAGAAGCTCTTTAGTTTAATTAGATCCCATTTGTCAGTTTTGGCTTTTGTTGCCATTGCTTTTGGTGTTTTAGACATGAAGTCCTTGCCCATGCCTATGTCCTGAATGGTAATACGTAGGTTTTCTTCTAGGGTTTTTATGGTTTTAAATCTAACGTTTAAGTCTTTAATCCATCTTGAATTAATTTTTGTATAAGGTGTAAGGAAGGGATCCAGTTTCAGCTTTGTACATATGGCTAGCCAGTTTTCCCAGCACCATTTATTAAATAGGGAATCCTTTCCCCATTGCTTGTTTTTCTCAGGTTTGTCAAAGATCAGATAGTTGTAGATATGCGGTGTTATTTCTGAGGGCTCTGTTCTGTTCCATTGATCTATATCTCTGTTTTGGTACCAGTACCATGCTGTTTTGGTTACTGTAGCCTTGTAGTACAGTTTGAAGTCAGGTAGCGTGATGCCTCCAGCTTTGTTCTTTTGGCTTAGGATTGACTTGGCAGGCTCTTTTTTGGTTCCATATGAACTTTAAAGTAGTTTTTTTCCAATTCTGTGAAGAAAGTCATTGGTAGCTTGATGGGGATGGCATTGAATCTATAAATTACCTTGGGCAGTATGGCCATTTTCACGATATCGATTCTTCCTACCCATGAGCATGGAATGTTCTTCCATTTGTTTGTATCCTCTTTTATTTCATTGAGCAGTGGTTTGCAGTTCTCCTTGAAGAGGTCCTTCACATCCCTTGTAAATTGGATTCCTAAGTATTTTATTCCCTTTGAAGCAATTGTGAATGGGAGTTCACTCAAGATTTGGCTCTCTGTTTGTCTGTTATTGGTGTATAAGAATGCTTGTGATTTTTGTACACTGATTTTGCATCCTGAGACTTTGCTGAACCGCTCAACTACATGGAAACTGAACAACCTGCTCCTGAATGACTACTGGCTACATAACGAAATGAAGGCAGAAATAAAGATGTTCTTTGAAACCAACGAGAACAAAGACACAACATACCAGAATCTCTGGGACACATTCAAAGCAGTGTGTAGAGGGAAATTTATAGCACTAAATGCCCACAAGAGAAAGCAGGAAAGATCCAAAATTGACACCCTAACATCACAATTAAAAGAACTAGAAAAGCAAGAGCAAACACATTCAAAAGCTAACAGAAGGCAAGAAATAACTAAAATCAGAGCAGAACTGAAGGAAATAGAGACAAAAAAAATCCTTCAAAAAATTAATGAATCCAGGAGCTGGTTTTTTGAAAGTATCAACAAAATTGTTAGACCGCTAGCAAGACTAATAAAGAAAAAAACAGAGAAGAATCAAATAGACACAATAAAAAATGATAAAGGGGATATCACCACCGATCCCACAGAAATACAAACTACCATCAGAGAATACTACAAACACCTCTATGCAAATAAACTAGAAAATCTAGGAGAAATGGATAAATTCCTTGACACATACACTCTCCCAAGACTAAACCAGAAAGAAGTTGAATCTCTGAATAGACCAATAACAGGATCTGAAATTGTGGCAATAATCAATAGCTTACCAACCAAAAAGAGTCCAGGACCAGATGGATTCACAGCCAAATTCTACCAGAGGTACAAGGAGGAACTGGTACCATTCCTTCTGAAACTATCCCAATCAATAGAGAAAGAGGGAATCCTCCCTAACTCATTTTATGAGGCCAGCATCATCCTGACACCAAAGCCGGGCAGAGACACAACCAAAAAAGAGAATTTTAGACCAATATCCTTGATGAACATTGATGCAAAAATCCTCAATAAAATACTGGCAAACCAAATCCAGCAGCACATCAAAAAGCTTATCCACCATGATCGAGTGGGCTTCATCCCTGGGATGCAAGGCTGGTTCAACATAAGCAAATCAATAAATGTAATCCAGCATATAAACAGAACCAAAGACAAAAACCACATGATTATCTCAATAGATGCAGAAAAGGCCTTTGACAAAATTCAACAACCTTCATGCTAAAAGCTCTCAATAAATTAGGTATTGATGGAACATATCTCAAAATAATAAGAGCTATCTATGACAAACCCACAGCCAATATCATACTGAATGGGCAAAAACTGGAAACATTCCCTTTGAAAACTGGCACAAGACAGGGATGCCCTCTCTCACCACTCCTATTCAACATAGTGTTGGAAGTTCTGGCCAGGGCAATTAGGCAGGAGAAGGAAATAAAGGGTATTCAATTAGGAAAAGAGGAAGTCAAATTGTCCCTGTTTGCAGATGACATGATTGTATATCTAGAAAACCCCATTGTCTCAGCCCAAAATCTCCTTAAGCTGATAAACTCTTTATTATTATTATTATTAACATACTTAAGGACACCGCAGGACAAGTGGGCAGACTGCATAACCTCATTTTATTTTGGACATTTACACTTACATTTGACATTTACCCTTTCTATACACAATTTTTATGGAAATTGTATGACTCATCTCTAAAGGCATTTATAAGAATATAAAATTTCTTAATATTTTCAAAGAAAAATTAGCATTTCTAAGAGCCATGTACTGAATTATACTAACCATCTTGGACTACAGAAAGTTCAGATAAAATCTAGTGCCTTTGAAGGTAAATGTCTATTGTTGGAATTTTCAAGCCCAACTTGGACAGAGGCTTGGTGGGGAAGTTGTAGAGTGGATTAATCATTGGGTGGGTCGTTAATCTCAGTAATCTTTAAGGTTATTTCCAGTCCTGACATACAAATTAGCAGTCTTAACTGGCCCTTCCAGGTGTGATAAACTGCAGTTTGCAAAATGTTTTGAAACAAAAAATATTCTATATAAGTCCATATTTATTGTTCATTATCTGTATCCACTAGAACATTCTGCAGTGATGAGAATGTTCTCTATCTGTACTGTCCAGTATGGCAGCCATTAGCCATGTGTGGCTATGGACACCTGAAATGTGGCTGCCACAATGGAGAGCGCAAATCTATATCCACTTTCTAGAATCTCTTATTTACATTTGCTTATTAGCATTTTGCATTTAAAACATTATATTTCAAATAAGTGCCTGGCACAGAGTAGCTCTCAGTGAATATTATACAATTTTTTTAATTCCTTGAATCTTTGGATTCAAAGTCAAACATTTAAGTCACTCAATCTTATAGGCTGCTTTTAAATATAGTAGCAGTTTCTTATTTCATTCTCATTGTGTCAGAAGTCCAAGGATAATAAAAGTTCAAGAACTTCATGAACCAGCTCAGCACATGAACTCAGAGATTAGTCAACAACTTAAACAAACAAGGCTGGCCAGCTGGTCTCTGCTCTATTTTACCACAGTCTGGGGCAGGAAAAAGGCATTTAGGAAAGGACTTGAGAGCGTTTCCCTCTCCTCATCACCCATCTCCCTCCCCCCAGTCCATCAGTTTAACCTGAACAACTTTTGGCTGATGATAAAGGAGATGGCCGTTGGCTCTAGGGACCCCACCAGTCACACCAAAACTGTGCCCCATGGAACCTGGGGCTTGTAGGGCCCCATCCCGGTGAGACACAGCATGGCTCCCTGTGTCCCAGATCTCCCTATTAGTCTGGCTGGGCCTCCTCACCATAGACCTGCAGCCACAGATGACTACAACTGCATGGCTTCTCACTCTTCTGTTGTTTAATGTCCAAGGAGGGCAGTTTGGCAACACCAAGAAGAGTTTAGACAAATAAACATGATCAGGACACACCATAATGAATGGGCTGCACCACACAGCCAGACTGCCCAGCTTCATGGTTTCAGACTGTTTGGATTCACCATAGAACTTTGCTTTTTCTGCAATTGCTCCATTTAGAAGGACAGCAGGTCCAGCTAGGCTGGCATTGAGTACATGGTTCATTCAGTACTTGCTATAAAAGTGAAGTCTTGCATGCAATGTTTGCTGGCTGAATTTTACCACTGCTGTCCTACTGGTGAAAAGGATTGAGGACCTCAGACCTACAGGCACTAAAGATTAGGAGATACTCCTATGTCAGAGTTTACCATAGGCTGAAATAAATGGGCTTTGTCAATGGGCTGAATTTTGCACCTCTTCCCCCTAGACCCCACAAAAAACCCTCCTATGTTGAAGTCCTTGCCCTCAGTACCCCAGAATGTGACCATATTTGGTGACAGGGTCATTATAGAGGTATTTAAGTTAAAATTAGGTAGTTAGGTTGGGATCTAATCTGATGACTGTCCTGATACAAAGAGAAAATCTGAATACAGCCACATACAGAGGGAAGACAATATGAAGACACAGGGAAATGACAGCCATTCACAAGTCAAGAGGAGCCCCTGGAACAGATCATTTTCCCCATGGCTTTAGGAATAAGTCAACTCTGCAAACACCTTGACTTTTGACTTGTGGTCTCCAAGACTGTGAGAACATAAGTTTCTGCTGTTTAAGCCACCCAGTCCCTGGTACTTTGTTATAGCAGCCCTAGCAAACAAATACAGACTTTTTCTCATCCCATCTCTGTAAAGCCACAGACTTCTTAGTAGGGATACGACTTCTTTTCTTGGGATCCTCTTTTACTGTCTTGAATAAACAGCCGGGAGGAACACAGGGAACTTCTCTGACCTAGGTTGGAGCTATTTTTCCTTCCTGGACTCTTTTGTCCTAAATGTAACAAATAAGTTGTGTCAATTTACTTGATAGCCCTCTCCCTGTTCTTTCTCCTCTCCCATTTCCCAGAATAAATTAGTCTTCCCAGGAAACAGCTCCAGGATCCAGTCTTTCCCCAGGGAGGCCAGGGAAGCTCTGAAGGGTTCCCCAAGTCCAAGTCAATTCTTTCAAGGTTGGCCCTAGGAAAACCCAGGCTGCCATGAACAGTAACTCTTATCAGATTCTTCTTGTCCCAGTAGTAGTTTGTCAGGCTCTCTGGGAACAAAGTACCTGCTCCATAAAATATTTTCTTCTGTGTACTGCCCCCAAATAATCAAATGTATTGATGAAATGAAAGGTATATTGCCTTTCATTTTACTTGAAAGATGAGATGTCTTTATTGCCCATCACAAGTAGTTGATTCCTTTAACCATTCAGGATGGCCATATTATAGCCATTCTATTAGACAGTTAGCCATGTTTGGAGAACCCCAAAGGCTACCGAAGACCACAGGGGACTCTTCTGCCCTGTTCTGATGCCTACCCTGGTCTGGATCTATATCCCTGAGAAAATTGGACCTCACGGGTCAAGAGCAAGGGTCAGAGCCAAGCACAAGGCAAGAAAGCTTAGGCTGCTTCTGGTTTTGTTAACTAAAACTATCATTTACTTCATCAGCATGACTCATACACCAGTACAATACAACATATAGGAAACAGTGGGAGAAGTAAATCAACCCCACCACTCAGGTTTCCACCATCTGTAATGGGGGTTATACTGAAAGGGGACCTGAATGGAGGAAGGTGATAACAAGGAGGGAACTTATTAAGGAAGGTGAAAAACAGGAAACTTAGTAAGCGAGGGCATTATTATAAATACCCTGGGACAGGTGTTTGAGCCTCCTCACTTGCAAAGCATTTGTCAAAAAAAGAAAAAGAAAAGAAAAGAAAAGAAAAACATGGCCCAGCAAGACAGTGACCCATTTCTGGCTGCAGCACTAAACCGTCCTTCCTGTGTCACCATCATTCAACAGGGGTTTAGAACACAAGAGGTGTCCTGTGGTCCAGGGTTGCCCAGCCCTCACATTCATTAAACTTTCAGGGAGAGAAATTGGCTTTCTTTCCCCATAACTCTCAAGGAGGAAGCAGCCACATATTTTACCTGAGGAGCTCATTTCAAGTACAGTATTAAATACTTTTTGATTTTCCATCAATAAGTTTTTCTTTATGGTTAACCAAACTCCATCACGCTATAATCTTAAATGTTTTTATAATTTTAATTTAATATAATGTTATATTTAATGTAAGTTTAATTTAATATAAAATATTACTTTAATATGAAATCAATGTGTATCTATAAAAAATATAAAAATATTAAGAAGAAAGTAATAGTTATTCATAATCATTTACTGGTGAAAATCAATGTTAATAATTGAGTATATGATATCTGTATATATGTATATAAATGTATGCACATGTGTATCTTGCTTTTATTTGATGTTATAAGTATTTCTCAATAAGTTATCTCATAAGTATTTCTCAATAAGTTATCTCAATATCATCAATAAATACGTTTTATCATCAATAAATAGAATCTTCCTAAGTAGAAGTTTGATTCTGTTTTTGGTTGTCATGTTTCTTTTAACACCCACAGTTATTTGGTGGCACTAAGAATAAATCACTAAACTTTTTATTCTAAATCCCAAATTATGAGAATCGTAGATGGCCTCATCCTATCTCTAAAACCCACCCAATCCCCAAAGCTCCTGAGGGTTAGAGTCAAAAATAGAAAGAATTAGGGTTCCAGAGACGGCAAGAATTAAACATATCACTTTTTTTTTTTTTGACTTAGAAATTCAGTGGTTTGTTCTTTAGGGACAGAAAACATCCATGGTATCAAAAGAGCCACAACAAAATGTCCTACTTCCCACTTTAATAGCTGCACCCCATAATTTTCTCAGCCATTGCCCATTGTTGGACATTAAACTTGTTTCCCACTTTTGGCTCGCATAAGTAACAATGCGATGAATTTTACTGGGTATGGATCTTTCACTGATTTCCATATGTTATCCTTAGGCTATATTCCTAGAAGAATTACTAGATGAAAAGGTAAAACTGTAAGGCTCTTGATTCCTATGTTAAGCTATAATTTATAGTCTTGCAGCCAACACAATCTTCAAAAAAATGTAACCTTTTATCATCTTAAAGTGGGCCATTCAACTTCCTCCTCACCAGATCCAGTAACTTCAGTTTCTTTAAACTTTTAACTTCTCCCCAAGGAGAGATGGGATTCCAGGATCTCAAGGAATTACAATCAATCCTGGATGGAGAAGCCTGCATATGACAAGACTCCACAAATAGGATGGAAGAGCATTTGGAGTCCATTTTCCCAGGAAATCACAGGCTGCCTGGACATGCTGTTCTCAAATGTATATTCTTCCCAGCTCTTGAAGGACCACTATCCCTGCTTCCACCATAGAAAAGGGAAAACAGATGCAACGACCATATTGATAAAACCCCAAGCCAGCATGATTGTTCTGGCAAACACAAATGTAGATACAAAGGCAATGGGGCTTAATATATTTTAAATCAAGGCCATCCCAACTGATATGTATTTAGTCTATTTGTAGACATTTCAACAAATAGGCACGAAGAGTCTGATAGTGCCAGGCACTGTGGTGATGCTGGGTGTGCAATAGCCAACCGCATAGGCACAGCCTCTATCCATGCGGAGTTTAGTTTCTGTGGGTAAGTGAGTATGTACAAGAAGTGCCATGATGCAGTCAGAGGGGGAAGCCTTCCTGCCCAGCTGGAAAGCCTGTGGACGACACAATGCAATCTGACCTTTCCATCATCAGCCCAACCAGCCCCACTCCCATGCCCTCCCACACCTTCAGAAGAGAAATCTTTGTTCATTTCTTTTACTTCTCTGCACATCACATGCTATTGAGAAGCACTGAGACAGAGCACAATCAAAGAGGCAAAGCACTGGATTTCACTGAGACACCAAATCTGAAAACAGGAGAGGAGACAGCCCTTGCTGACCCCTTTCAGCCCCCACATTCAATGTGTCCACAAAGGTAGACAGTAAACAGGAAAACTCACCACCACCCTCACTGTGACCTACTATCTTGGAGGCCAGACTGGCAAATCTCCTATGCAAATAAAGCCTCTTTGCTGGATGTCTAAGGCAGGTTTTATTTGCAGAGCAACTGACCAAATCCTGGGGCTCTGATGAGAGCCCAGACCTTCCCGGACCTCTCCGCAGGACCCTGGGTCGTCCTGAGCGTGTCTGCTCATAGTGCTAGTCTGTCCAGGGGTGTTTGTCATCTGCTTCATTGTATGTCTGTTTGTCTGTTTGTCTTCTCTCCAAATCTTTAGCAATTCAACAATAAACACCAGAAACCTAACTCTACTCAAAACATTCACAAAGGCGCTGCAACCATGCTTAATGGCATTGAAGCGAAGGAAGTGGGGCTGGGGGAAACAGGGTGTTGGTGGGTGTTCCCAGTTCCTATGGTCACAGCCTTAGCCACAGCCTTGAAACACACAGTATCGGGTTCTCAGCTAGCCCCCTTGGCGGGGAGAGCTGGGAGTTTCTGACCTCCTTTGGGGTTAAGGCTGCTGGTCTCAGTCTGTGCGTAAGCGAGTGGTCACAGTCCTTAATTGCAAAGGGGAAGTGGTCAGAAAACACACTCTGTCCTGGCAAGATTGATAACTTGTAAGATACTTTGGAAGAATGCCAGAAAGTAACACTGAGGTTGTCTATGAAACTAAATATACATACATCACTTACAAGTTTGCTTATAATTTCCAACATGTTCTGAAAAGAAAAAGAAAGGAAGCAGAGGGAAAGGAATTAGAGGTAGAGTTCACAACAAAGCCAATAGAATTCTCTGCCATTTCCTTTTTTGAGTGAAGAGATCACTTTAAAATAATAACATCTAACAAATCCAACAATTACTATGTTCAGGGTCCTAGTCAATGCATTTTACATGTATTGACTAATTAATTAATCATAATAGTTTTAGACACCAGTCCTTTATTTAAAATAAATAAATACTCCCATTTTATGGATAATGAAACTGAAGTCCAGAAAGTTAAGTCATATATAGGATCCCTAAGATCTAGTAAGTACTGGAGCCAGGATTTGTTCCCAGGCAAATGACTCGAGGTTAACACTAAACAATTACACCCTGCTAAAAGGGCTGAATAATTTCTATCAAATTCAAAATGAATTATCCCATGGCAAAGGGACATAGGATTTGGATCATGCTGCTAATGAAGTTGTTGTTACCAAGATCAAGACACAAGGATCAAGAGCAGTTTTAAACTGGACACTGAGGCTCAGTGAGGCCCATAAGCTGGGAAGTATATTGCTTTGGCGCTACCTTCACATTTCTTATGAAGAAAGCAATCTAGAGAAAGTCAGTAAACTTTGACCATATGAAGTTTCCAGTTTGATCTCGAATGTTGTTTCTGTTTGGGGCCACCATGCTATCTGAGCTGTCATTTTGTTACCTGACTGAAGGTAAAGGAGTTATTGCCAGGGCATGCTGTAATATTCCTCCTGGAGTTCAAAGTAGTTAAGTCTAGAAATAAAATAAAACCTTATAAGCTAGTAGACAGTGAAATTGAGACCACAAAGCACACTTGGTGATCATATGCCCACACTTTGTCTTCCAGGAAAAACATGAGAAAGAGTGATTCTGTCTTTATGAGCTGGCTCTGCTTGAAATGAAAGTGAAGGGTGAGGCTCCCAGTCTCCACTTTTCATCTCTGAAGGCTGGTGAACTTTCTGGAGACTGCCTGGAAGCCTGCATTGGGGTGACCTACATACTGCGTTAAGTCCAACAACAGTTTATGGAGTATCCACTGTATGAAGAAGGCCATGCTAAATACTGTGCAGGACACAAAAATTGAAAAGACAAAGGCTGAGCCTTCCAAGAGCCCATCGGGCTAAGAGTCATAACTGTCTGCATTGGAAGTCTGGCTGGGAAACAAGTCCTGAGACTTTGAGTTAGAGGGGAAATAAATGAAGAGATGGGAGAAATGTCTGGGGATTGTGAGGTTTGAACGGGACTGTGCAAGTGAGTAGAATGTCTTTAGGTGAAAAAGGGAAAAGGAAGAAGTTTAAGTTGAAGAAAATACCTAGAGCCAGAGGCGAGGTGTGAGAAATACATGGTGAATCTTGGACTAACAGGGGTAGGCCAGCACTACTGTGAGCCCAGAATGGGTCTGAGTGTGTGCATGCCTCCCCTTTTGCACATGTGGGGAGAAAAGGTGTGTATATTCTAGCAAAGACTGAAAACGAAGGCCTAGCCAATGCTGTGTAAGGTCTCAAATGCTGGATAAAGGACTAACAACTTTATTCTGCATGTCAAGGAGGTGGATGGGCATCCAAGTCTTTGAGCATTGAATGACATGATCAGGGATATAATTTAAGGAGACTTTAAATGCCTTAAAAAGTGCACCCTAGTCATAGGTCATAGTGACCCTAATCATCAGATCCAGAGGCTGACCTGAACAATAGCATCCCTGAAGTCTGTTTCTGGTGCTGACCCAGTGTGGGTCTTCAGATCGTAGGACAAATGTACAGGGTCAATCCCTGGGGAATAATAATATAACTGATATTTCACCAACAATGTAACATGGTAGACAACCGGTTACCGTGCGACATTGAAAATGTATAGGAACCACGCACCCCACATAGATGGACTCATCCATTTTCATGGAGCATGAAGCCTAGGCAGAGAGATCATTCCAACTCAGTAAGGACTGCAGAGAGGGGTGTCAAATTGAGCACAGGCTCCAGACTCAGACACCTAGGTTTTTGTGTCAGTTCATAACTTTAGTAGATTAGTTTACTTAGGCTGCTATAAAAAAGTGCTACAACCTAGGTGGCTTAAACAACATAAATTTATTGTCTCACAGTTCTGGAAGCTACAAGTCTGAGAGTTCCTTCCAAGTTAGTCCAGACGCTAGAAGAAAGCCCCCTGTCAGCAGGGAAGTTTCATCTGAGGGCTGTGAGACAAAGAACAGTTCCAGGCCTCTCTTCTTGGCTTATAGATGACCATCTTAATGTTAATTCTCCCTGCATGCCTGTCTGTGTCCAAATTTTCTCTTCTTATAAGGACACCAGTTTATTGGATTAGGGCCTACCCTAATGACCCCATTTTAACTTGATTGTCTCTGTAAAAACCCTATCTTCAAATATAGTCATATCTTTAGGTGCTAGGGGTTAGGACTCCAACATATGAGTTTTAAGGAGATACAATGCAACACATAACACTCAGTTTCCTTATTGGTGAGATGGGCTAGTACTATTACCCACCTATTGTATGTGTTATTAGAAATAAGTGGCTCAAGCTTGTGAATTGCTTAGAACAGTGCTTGGCACACAGTAAGCCTGCAGCAAATAATAGCTACTGTTACACAAATTGACAGAGGAATGTAGAGCATTCTCCATCCCGCCCCTCTGTCCTGACAGCTCCTATGCCTTGCTCCCAGGCAAAAGCCAGGCTGATTGACAAGTAAGCAAACCATCAAAATTCTGTCACCATTCCTGACGAAAGCGATCACAGTGGCTCTTAACCCACCTCTCACAGTTTTGAATGTAACTATTCTTCACCAAGCAAAGTTTCCTATTATAAAACAAAAGAAGGAAGCAAGCCACACTTTTCTATTTTTCCCTTGGAAAATATCAACCTCACTGCACCTTTAAACAGAGACTGACAGCAGCCTGACTGACAAGCTTGTACCTCCAAAGCCAGTTAGGGTTGCAACGTCCTGGCTCACTCAGCCCTAGCATCCCTCAAGCGGGACGGAAGGAACCCCGACAGCCCTGGGAAACAGGCTGTTTAACTGGCAGTGCCGAGTCAGCAGCAAGTGTGCAAGGCTGGTTATTTGTGGACGGCACCAAAGAGTGGCTATTATTTTAAAAGAAATTCTCATAGAAAGAATGTTGGATTTAAAACAAATAAATGGGCTCATGGAAGCAGAATAAAACTGTAATGTAAGTGAAATGCTGAGCATTAGACCGTGTCCATCCACACTCAGGAAAACAGCCGTCAGAAGGTCCAAGCTTTCAGTTCTTTCAGAATTCACATGATAATTGTGATAAAACAGAATGTTTCTGAAATACTAGTTCATATCATTGACAATGCCTACTTTATAAAGCATGAAATGTAGCTTTCACTGGGAATGCCCATATTACTGGCTCTAACAATAGGTGAAATGAACATGTATGTTTTGTTGAGTTTTTTTCACATTTTAACATCTCTGAAATAAAAATATGTATTAAAATTATTGTGAGAAGCAGCATTGTGGCCTGGCATGGTGACTCATGCCTGTGGTCCCATGTACCACCATGCCTGTAAGTGAGAAGAATCCCTCGAGCCAGGAGTTTGAAGCCAGCCTGGGCAACATAATGAGACTCCCATTTCTAAAAAATAAAAATAAATTCAACAATATGTCTTGTAGAATCTCATTTTTTTTTCAAAGAAAGAAGCAGCATTGTGTCATAGTTTAATTGGCTGCATGTTGTTTTTTTCATGGAGTATAAAGTAATTCTGAAATTAACAAACAATAGTGATGCAGATTCAATGAAATATGGGAGCAACTCTAAGTGCATTTGAATTTCCTCTGGGAATAGAAAACATGACTCGTTTCTTCTTCTTTACATCTCCCTAAATCTCCTAGACCTATATCGTGGCATGAGTAAGAACATCTTCTAGTGGCAAATGTAAAAAAAAAAAAAAAAAGGACAACAAGGTTAGTGTTCTAATTGAAGTCAGACTGCAAATTAGCAGCAAGTGATTCAGACTCAAAAAATCAGTGGAGTGGTTCCATTAGATCATGAGTAGCCACGGAATTGCTTGTGTATGTGTGTTTTGTGATGTGATTTTGTAGCTTTAGAACCATGACATAGCCTGGGAATTAGAAAAGAGATAGAAGCAGGGAGTGGCAAATATAAGAAGCCTGAGTGGCAGGCAATTGTTGAGGCCCTGAACCTCGGAGGAGAATCAGAAGCCAGTCTTTTTATTGTGCAATATACTGTCCTTACCTAACTTCTTAGCTTTGTCACCACATTTGAGCTGCAAAAAGTGGACCATGCATTTTCAGTTCCTCACATCTTAAAGAGCAGGGCATCCAATCAGTGCTTAATGGACATCTCCCTTTCTTAAGAAAGTGTTTATAACATATTCCTTTGTTGATGTCTACTATACATTAGTGGAGAAGAAAAAACAAAGATGGATAAACTTCCATCTCCAAGTGCCAGGAAAATTCTTCCAACAGAACTAAGGCTTCCAGTGTCATGGAAGTTCAAAAGAGAAATTTAATTTGTTCATACAAATTGGGAACTGATCACTCCTCTATGTTACACTAGTCTAGACTACAATGTTTTCAGTAGCACAATTTTGTCCCTAACAGAACTTTCCAACAATGTTAGACAGATGTGTGCCACTTAAGGTCAAAAAAAGTAGCAAAAATATTTTGAAACAGAGAAAGGATTGAATAGACTCACTGTATCACTCAAGGAAACTCAGACTTTACGTTCTTTCTTCTCCAGCTATGAACAATGGAAATAATAGCAATCCCTTAAGAAGCAATCCCTTTAAGAAGGTGTCTTAAAGACAGCCTGGGAAAGATAATAGAATTGAATAAGGAATATTATGAATGAAAATAATGTAAGCTCACCTGTTGCCACTCTCCCTCATTTTCCACATTTTCTCTTACTTCCCGTCTACATGGGCGGTTTCCCATCCATCTCCATGTTGTGTTTACTTTCCACACATACAGAAGATAAACAGATATTTTCTGGGAACAGATATTTGCTGGGCTCTAGGAATATGGTGTTGAACAAAACAGATGCAGTCTCTGCAATCATGGACTTTAAGCCAGTTACCAGGACAACAGCTAAATCCCCCATCTAGCTCCTCTGTGAATTTCTCAGTGAGTATTTCTCCTTGAGTTTGCAAAGCAAACAAGAATGTGGCCCCGGGAGCTAACACTAGAAATCCAAGTAAAAGGGAATTTCCAGTGGAGAAGAATACCTCTTCCATCTATGCCTGGGGCCTTGAATTTTCTCTTTGCATCCCACAGGTGTCATTGGGATGCAATAATGGATGTGAAAAGTGTCATATAACCTATAGAAATCTGTAATAAATTCCCATTATTGTTTCTGCATTATGATTATGAGCTCTATATTCCCATCACTGTCTTGTCAAGACTGGAAAAGCTCAAGGCTTCATTACTCCTTGGTGTATAACACGTTCTGAAGCATTTATATGGAAATAAATAGTGAATTTCAACAGCCTGCAGGGGCTGAGATGGAGGGTAGACAAAATGGAAACAAGGAGAGTTTGTTTAAAGTGGAGCTGTTGGCGGAAATAGGCTTCAGTTGAACATGAGGTGTGAGTTCTTAAATCAGTAGCAATCTATTGAATGAGGCGCATTTTTACTGACACGTTTACATCCTGTAAATTCCATGTGTTGTCTCGAGAAATGTGATTTGCAATGAGGAGGAATGACCAGGAGAAGTGGTCTATTATTTTATATGTCATTACAGACTTGGGATAGAACCACAAACCAGAAACTGAGGAGCCAGACAAGTTCACGACCCATCAGAAATACCACTATCAGCCATTACCATTAACTATTTTTTTTCTTGCCTACTGTGAAAAGCTCTGCTAAAGTACAGTTTGTCTGAAAAAAAAAATCATGAATTAGATTTTACTTAATTGCCACCATCTGATTTTTTAAGAAATCACCAGTTATGCATGCTAGAGCCCTGGGCAGCACTGCTGTGGCTGAGATGTGATTGGAAGGCTTAGGACTACCTTTCCTTTGAACCAAAGACTGGGACTTTTTTTCTCACCTTGGAGGGGTCCCACAAAGAGAGCTTCCAGCACTTCTTGCCAGCAGCTTTAATTCAAAAGACTGCATTGAAAAGTCCTTCAGCCGGGCGCAGTGGCTCACGCCTGTAATCCCAGCACTTTGGGAGGCCGAGGCGGGCAGATCATGAGGTCGGGAGTTTGAGACCAGCCTGACCAACATGGTGAAACCCCGTCTCTACTAAGAATACAAAAATTAGCCAGAGATGGACATCTGTAATCCCAGCTACTTGGGAGGTTGAGACAGGAGAATCTCTTGAACCTGGGAGGCGGAGGTTGTAGTGAGCCGAGATTGCACCACTACACTCCAGCCTGGGCAACAGAGTGAGAGGTCATCTCAAAAGAAAGAAAGAAAGAAAGAAAAGTCCTTCAAAAGATTTCTTCACAGAAAAGTGGAGGGGCTAGGGAACAGCTTACAGTTGGTAAAGAAGGAAAGGCTGGTTGAGAGATCAATAACTGAAAAAATGGATGTCATATTTTAGAGAGCCCTGGGTGGCCACGTATCCTTAAAAACTGAAGGGAAAAGGAAAGAAGGAAAGAAGATAAAGAGAAGGAGAGAGGTAGTCAGTTAATACTAGCCTTCTACATCTTACAACCCAGAGGAAATAGACATTAATTACATAATTGCCCACTAGTGTAAAACCATGACTGTGACAAGTGCTACAAAGGAGCCTTCCATGATGATACCAGTGCATTTGGCAGGGGGAGCCTGATTCTTTCTGTGTGGTCAGAGAACTCTCTCCCTAGGAAGTGATGCCTGAGCTGACGGATGAACACCAGAAGCACATATCACTATAAGTGGGACAATCTCTCAGGCAGAGGAATGGCATGTGCGCAGGCCATGTGGCTGGATGGATCACAGCACACTGGAAGAATGAAAGTGGGGCAAGGTTGTTGGGGCCCAAAAGACAAGGGAGTAATGGGAGGAGAGGAGGATGCAGAGCAGCTTGACCACACAGGGCCATGCCAGGCAGCAAAGGACTTTGTCTTCATCTTAAGAAAATAGGAATGCCCAAAGGGCTTTAAGCCCTTAAGTGTTTTAAAAGATCACTATGGCTTCAGTGTGGAGAATAGGTTTTCAGAGGGTGCCTTAATGCATTTAGTGTTGCTATAAAGGAATATCTGAGGCTGGGGAATTTATAAAGAAAAAAGGTTTCTTTGGCTCGAGATTCTGTTGCTAGAAAAGTTCAAGATTTGGCATCTGCACCTGGAGGACCACTCACGGACAGGACCTAAGTTTGAGTCAAGCATCTGGATGCAGATGCTTCCACTCATGACAGAAAGTTACAGGGAGCCAGCGTGTGCAGAGATCACATTGGAAGAGAGGAAGCAAGAGTTGAGGGTGGGGGGAAATTCCAGGCTTTTTTTTTTTTTTTAACAACCAGTTCTCATGGGAACTAAGAAGAATGAGAGCTCACTCATACCCACCCCACAGAAGGCGTTAATCTACTCAGGAGGGATTCACTTCCATGGCCCAAACACCTCCCATTAGGCCCCACCTCCAACACTGGGGATCGACTTTCAACATGAAGAGGTTTAGGGGGACAAACATCCAAACTATAGCGGAGGGTAAGAGGGAATATAGGAGACCCATTAGGAGGCAGCAGTTGTCCAGGCTAACGAGGCCTAAAACTTAGCCTGCTCCAAACTCAGTGTTGGAGACAGAGCACAGAGGACAGATTTGAGGGGTGTTTACGAGATTTTATATATACATATATAATTAAGAGATACAGTGATTATCGTAATGGACAAGTCTATTCACTGTTATCCTGGTTCAGTGGGAGATTTTAAACTAATTCAGCCTAGACCAGTGGTTCCCAACTGGGGTAATTTTGCCTCCCGGGGGACATTTGGCAATGTCTGGAAACATTTCGGGTTGTTATAACTAGGGTGATGATGCTGCTGATAGAGTATCCAGTAGAGTTCAGAGATGTTACTAAACACACTGCAATGCGCAGGTCAGCCCCCCACAAACAATTATCTAGCTGAAAATATCAATATTGCCAGGGTCTAGCAACCCTAATCTAGACCCATCTTGTCACTACACAGATCCCCACCTTCACATCACCCTTAGGAGTAACTGAGTCACAGAATGGAAATTGTCCACAAGACAGCAGCAAGAATGACCAGTCAGTGGCTACTCATCATCTGCCAAGCTCTCACTCTTGCCAAGGAAGTGCCTTGCTACAGATGGTGGCATTCTGCACTATCCTCCCTCGTCTCCTCCCCTACCTCACTCTGTGCATCTGTCGCAAAGTCCATGAGAGCTGGGAAGACTTGCATCCTGTCATGCATCTGCATCCAGATGCTTGACCCTCACTTATGTCCTGTCCAATATTTGTAGTCTCTGTTACTCCTGTGACAGTGGGTGACTAATGAGTGACCGTGTCTTCCAGCTTGGGGAAGAAGAGGCCTTCGGGATATAAGTACAGGGATTTTTGGAGTGTCGAGGTTGGAAAGAAATTTACTAATTAGTACTTTGTATAATTATCACAACATATTATTTCTAATGAAACAACAGTTCACCTTCCTTTGCTGGCTCTACTTCGCTTCCTTCACTTGGCAATATCTTATGCCATCCCTTGGAATCAGGAGGAAGACCCGACCCCAAATCCCTGGTCCTTCTACGCTTTTCTTGTTGGGTACCTCCTTCACCTCTTCGTCAGCTGATGCTCCCCTTCTCCCGACTCCTCCCAGGAAAGTGAGCTCTCAACAAGCTCTTACAAAGGGTTAGTCACATTTTCTCCCAAAAGGTGAGTCATAGTCCCAGGCGGTAAACTTTTCTTAAAATTTCTGCCATTGTTCTTCTGTTGCAGACTTCCTTCCTCATTGTCATGGAGAATACTGCCTGGATGCTCTGTTTCTATTGCAAGATATGGAATCACAACCTCTGCTTCTTGCAATTTATGATGTCCAGGATCTCGCGAGGCAAACCAAAAGTCAGAAAAAAGAGCAGGCAAGTGAGTGAGAATGGATGAGAATAAGTGATTGTCAAAACATTGACAATAAAAAAGAAATACAGTAACTATGTTCTATCAATGAATATAAATTTTCAAGATTTTCATGCAGAGAAAAAAAAAAATCCCCCTAATAATAGTCTGCATTGTAGAAACCAAAACCATTTGGTATTTTATCACATTTCAGGTGGAGCTCATTTCTTTTCCAAAGTCCACCTTGCCCTTACATTATCATTGTCCTCCCATTTCTGAAAGGATGCAATATTATTACCCTTGTAAGAACCACGATGACTCTGGAGGATTTATTGATGAGTCTTTCACATGAATAGCTAAAAAAGAAAAAGACTTTGACTTTAGACTGATTGATTTTTCTGCCCTAATGTAATGGGTAGAAGATTAGCTTTCTTCCAGGAAGTTTCAGATAAAAATTTGATTTTGTTTCCTTTCAGACTCTTAAGGAAACAATGATTCATGTTAACCTTGCTGTTATGATGTTTATGATGAACAGGTGAATTACACCAACACTGAAAGCAGATGCACACAGCAACACAAAGGCTATTTTTATTTATATGTGATTCCCAAACATTAACCCAGACTAAAAGAAATGTGTGTGTTATGCACCAATAGCTAAAGTCGTTTCTATGTGTGCCATGCACAGCTTCAAGGGAGGAGGAAATAAATCCAAATATGAACTAGCCCAGGGCCATCTCATGAATAGACCACTGCTTATATGAAGTGATTTCAAAGTCACTAGTAAGTACCCCTCCACTCTTAACTGGCTCTCTGATGGTGTTCAGAAATGTTCACATCACTCACTTTTTAAAGCTGAGACCTTATTAAAATGCAAATGTCAACCAAGGAAAATAAGACATTTACCCATGATAAGTATTGACACTGTATTAGTCAGGGGGCTCCAGAGAAACAGAACCAATAGGAGATATATATATATATATATATATATATATATATATATATATATATATATATATATATATATGTAGGAAGTTTCATTTATAAAATTGGCTTATGTAATTGTGGGAACTGGCAAGTCAGAAATTCACAGGGCACACATGCAGACTGGGAATTCTAGCAGGAGTTGGTGGTGGTGTCTTGAGTCCAAAGACAGTCTGGAGGCAGAATTTCCTTCCTTCTTCCTCCCCTTCTGTGGGAGAATCTCAGTCTTTTCTCTCAAGGCATTCAACTGATTGAATGAGGACCACCCACATTATGGAGGGTGATCTGCTTTACTCAGAGTATACTGATTTAACTGTTAATCCCATCTGAAAAATACTTTCACAGCAACATCTTAAACTTGTGTTTCACCAAACTGGAAACCGTAACCTAGCCAAGTTGACACACAAGATTAACGATCACAAACACCTTGGCTTAAATTAGTTTATTATGTTTATTTGTCAGTTTTCTGAGAGGTCAGTACTTGGGAAAGGCTGATTTTCACAAGGTATAAAAGAAGGGAAGGGTAAAAAGAACAACAGAATAGGAATCCCTGACATCAGAAAGCATAAGTCAAACACTGCTACAGGGAGTCCAAGACCAGGAAGATGGCAGGGAGGACACGAGGTGCAGAGAATTTGTCTGTGGGAAAGGGGAGGCCAGGGATTCTAAAGGAAGTTCCCCCAAAAGTTGAAGGATGAGGAGGAGTATGAAACATAGTTAGCCTAGAGCCTCTAAACTCATCTGTAGAGGCCCTTGGGCAATTCTTGAACTAGACCTTTGTCGAACCTTCATCTCTATTGAGGATTCACACAAGAAACAGCAAGAACAGTAACATTTATTGATTGGCAAACACCATGTGCCACAAACTACTTTAATATCTTCATATATTTAATCTTCCCAAGATGAAATGAAAGTGGTTCTACCATTGTCTCCATTTTACAAATTAAAGAACTGACACCTAGGGAAATTAAGTAACTTCTCTAGACATACAACTGGAAATTAGCATAGCTGGGATTTAAACCTATACAACCTGCCATCAAAGCTCGTACTCATGAACACTATTCCATCATCTCTGAAACTGCTATTGAAGATATTATCTAAGCTGTTTTGTGTTCCTTGTGTTAGGACATACACACACAATATGTTCCTTTTAGTACCAGGAAAAAGATTGTATCTCCCAAGGACCTGGTTTATTTAGAAATATCAGATAATGTAACCTGTTTGGTTTTCTCCTTCTGCATAGTTTGTAATTTTCTTTTTCAATTTCAATAGTCTCAGTTTATGAACACTTATTTTTCAGGTTTCCTCAAACTCTATTGTAAGTAGGAAGGATACAAATTCTAAAATATGTGTAGCATTATATACATTATATTATTGCTTAAAACACTCAAATAGCAATGGCCAGTGAGAAATTTCATGTTCTTAAAAAAAACGTTCTGTTATCCAAGAAAACAAAGTAATAAAAGTGATTTCTCTGACAGCAACACTCGAGGCTTAAATAAAACCCACCAAGCTTTCAAGAACTCACATTCCAAGATTAAGTAGGTGTAGATAGGAAGAATCCACTGGGAATTCCAGGCTTTGGAAGAACCTGCTCCCTCTCCAGCACCTGGAGGAGCCAGACTTCCCATATTAGCTCTGTAGGGGTCTAGTTAGAGAATACTAACCAGCACCCACAGTTTTTTGTTTGTTTTTTTTTTGGGAAAAAGAGATTCAGAAAGATGCAGAGTCTTACCCCTCAAAAGCTAGAACAATGCCAGAAGTAGGCTAAGGGAAAATACACATTTGCAGTTGTCTTCAGTGTCCTGGCAAAGTAATAAATCCACTCATGGGGGCTGATCCCAGTTCTGCTTCTGATCTTGCTCCTGTTTCTGCTGCTTCTCCAACCCTAATTTCCCTTGCTATTCAAGCCTGATCTGTGCTATCCACTCCCTGGACTCGATTTTTGTGTAAAGAGCCTCCATGTCCTGTCAGGGCCTCCATCTGATAGCAAGCCCATGGCCTCACTTCTGCCAATAAATCTGTCCACCCTCGCTACTGCCTCCCTGACTTTTTTGGCCAACATCCTACCTTATCTCAGCTCCAGCCCACTGTGACTTGACCCACTGATACCACAGCAAAAACACTGCCCTTCTCCCAGCCCTTCATAGTGGGATGGCAGTTCCCACACTGTCCATGGTACAGGAAATAAGATCATGGACACAAATCTCATCTATCACCTAATACCCCATGACCAGGGCTTTCAGAACCACCAACTGAGGCCTTAGGGTCCCAGCCCTGGTTTCTTTCTACAAGTACCTGAGTCAAGTGTGATGGGACTCAGCAGTGCTCAGCTATTTCCTAGCAAGGGCTGAAGTGTATATGGACCTGCAGAGAGGGCACCTGTTTCCTTAATACCGGGTAAGCTTTTATATGAAACTGCTGCCAAACGGGCACATGCCTATGTGCTCTGAACCAGTAAGAGTAGGAAACAGCAGAAAACACCAGGTCAGAAAACACTAAGACAAAGGTTATGGGACAATCTGGAAAATCCAGAGAAATTTACTAGGTTATACTTCACAAACCACACACAGTCTGGACAATAAAAATCCAGCCACATGGTGGTACTTGCAGTGGACTAAAGAATACTTGAGATGCAGACGTCTCAGAGGCCTTCAGTGACCACTGGAAACCAATGTTTTCAATGACTGATTGACTACTCCTTCAAGACTTCAAACTATCAAGTTCAGGAACTATTCACTGCTTGGATATCTCATGGTCCTACTCTGAGTTTGAATGCTGGGCCATCCTGCAGGACTGCTGGGCCCACCTGCACCAGAACTGTCCTTGTGAAAGTATCACTTGGACCATCTTTACCCAAGAAATGCTGTGATTAGGAGAGGATGAAGGCTTCCTGCATCATCCTTATGATCATACCATCAGCCTAGTCATAGGTTCACCTATACCTTCTCCCTGTTCTCTTATCCAGAGAGTATAACCTTTGGGTACTTGAGAAAAAAAAATGTACAACTATGGCATTTTTAAGGAGCCTGAGCCACCCTGGCTCAAAATTGGTAATGAGAGAGATTCTATGTAGTCCTGTATCAGAAAATGACCCATCTCATTGCAGATGACAAGAGACCCAACCCAAAAAGCTGATGTGGTTTGCCTGTGTCCCCACCCAAGTCTCACCTTGAATTGTAATAATCCCCATGTGTCAAGGTCAGGGTCAGGTGGAGATAATTGAATCATGGGGTGGTTTCCTCCATACTTTTCTCGTGGTAGTGAATAAGTGTCACAAGATCTGATGGTGTTATAAATGGAAGTTCCCCTGCACAAGCTGTCTTGCCTGACACCATGTAAGACATGACTTTGCTCCTCATTCAACTTCCACCATGATTGTTAGACCTCCCCAGCCATGTGGAAATGTGAGTCAATAAACCTTTTTGCTTTATAAATTACCCAGTCTCAGGTATGTCTTTATTAGCAGCGTGAGAACAGACTAATACAGGTGCTTAAATGAAAACGGAATTTATTGAACCACATAATGGCAAAGACTAAGGATAGTACTTGATGGCTTCAGGTTCAGCTGAACTCAGGGGCCAAACAATGCCATTCAGGTTTAGTTTTTCTCTCTCCCTCCATTTCACAAGGCTATCTTTCTCTGTGTTGACTTTAGAAAGAGTACACATGGTAATAAGATAGTGGCAGCAGATTCAGCCCTTACATCTTTTTGGGTTTTGGGTCCAGCCAAAGATATTGAGTCCACTTTCCCATCTACTCAAACAGTCATTCTGGAATTCAGTGTCATTGGCCCCTGGTTGGCCTTATTTGGGTACTGTGCCCATCCCTGAACCAATCCCAGGGGCTGGGGGATGGAATGCAATGATTGGCTTAGTCCAGCTTCACCCTGGACCCTAGGGAAAAGTCGGCTTCTCTGGAACCACATGTAGAATAGTGAGGGAGGAGTGGGTCTAATAGAATCAGAGCGCTATAATCACTAGAAGAGAGAGTGGGTGCTGGGTGGGGAAAACAGCAAAAGTCAACCCAAGATTTGCAGGGCCTCCTTAGAAACAGGCCTTGTTTCTGCCACAGTTGCTTCTGTGTTCCCACTCTAGCCTTAGCTCCAGTGTGCCTCATTCTCTTATCAGATCTTAACTCTTGTTTCTGAGCAACCCACAATCCATCTGATGCTGCTGGCCCTGCCAGTGGGTCTGCCTTGGGCAGTCTCTGCCTATTGAACCCCAGTTCCACTGAAACCTTACTGAGCCCATGTGCCAAGTCCAGCTGAAGCCTGCTATATGGTGTCTCCAACCTGATCTTCCTGACTCCACCTGCTACTGGTCATATGGAAAGTAGGCCGAACCTGATATTTCTGTGACTCGGTCCACGAGAGACAAATCTGCAAGCATGCTAACCAAACAGATACCTGGCTTTGGATAATGGAAGATATTTCTTTAGGGCTGCTGCACCCCAGGGGAAGAAGGAAGATAATCAGGTGACAGCTACAAGAAAACACCATTCCATTTAACTAAAGCTCTTTCCAACAACAGTTGACTGCAAGCCTGTTTATAGTGTGTAAACACCTGACATTTACATGTGTGTGCACATGTACACATGCATGCGATGTATATGGGAGCATGGAAGAGGGCTTGGGGAAAAAGTGCTTCCTGCAACCCTTTTTTCCAGTTCCATATGAATAATTAAGCCCTCCAGTGTAATCTCCTGCCACCTCTAAAGATAAAGTGTCAGGTGGTTCTGAGTTTGTTTTGCTGGGATCTGACTTAGCTCTAGTGTGTCCGTCACAGTCCCTGAGTGGCTACTCTAGTGTACTTCTCTGGTGTTTAAGTGATATACCATGATATACTGGTGACTTGAATAGAGCTAATGCCTTGCAATGGAAGCCTGGCTTAAGCCAGGAGAAAATCTAAGTAATGGCGGAGGAACTTTTGTCTGATGCAAAAAGGAGGCTTTTATTACACATCCTTATACAGAGCCCCAGAACTCATGAATTCACACCAAAAAGTGTATGAGGACATATGGCATAATCAGTGCCACTTACGGCCTAGAGCTGAAGTACAGAAGAAGAAAAAAGAATTAGAAATGAGAATAGCAAAGTCTAGGGGCACAGCATGGTACGAGAAGGGGAGAGCCAGAAAATTGTTTGTTTTAAGCAAAAGTGTTATCCTTTTGAAATTATTTCCTATATTTATCTTCTAAGAACAGAATCCACACTAAATAACCATAAATCCAACTGAGTTCTGAGAAATAATACATTCTCAGACTTGTCTGAGGTAGGGTTTGCATGGCTGTATGTTTTTCTTGGTTTTATTTGCATGAGAAAAAAAAGAATAGAAAAAAAAGGCTTACCAAGCGCAGCTGTAAGACTTTAGTTTCAACAAGCTATTAAAATTACTTCTCAGTTCAAAGGGTGGATTTTTATTTTTCATATGCATATCTTTTACAAAAAGGTAGCCTCATAATTTTCTTTTATATTTAAATTATTTTGTAGATTTTCAGTCTTTCATTTTGTATAAGCATGAGTAAAGGGGAAAGAAAGCCAAGGGTTTTTTTTTCATTCCTTAAAGAAAAACTACTAAATGTATCACTTCAGACGTGATTCTTTAGGTAGACTGGCTGCAGTAAAGATGGCTTTCAAATAACAGCTAACCATTTTTCTGTCTAATTTTTTTATTTGTTTACATTCCTCATCCAATAAATGATTTAAATCATTTTCCACTTCCTCTTTTACTATCCATTATTGTTTGCTCTGAGTAAGAAAGTTGTTTGTCACAAGGATGTAATACTGTCAAACATTTTAATCCACTTTATTTATTAAAGTAGAATTACACATTGTTGAATGGAATGCCATACGTGGAAAGTATTGACTTGACCCCTCACATGTCTAACTTTGGGGGCAATGAGTGTCCTCTGAAGTGGAAGAGTGATCTTCCATGGGGAAGTGAAAGTTCGTGTTTCATTTGAAGACTTGTTTGCTGATAACTTGCTTCCCAAGAGCATAAAATTGGCTAGAAAGCAAAACTAGTTGCAACACAATATTTGGAGAAAATTTTGAACTGTAACAAATTTCCCCACTCTAATCGCAATAATTTGTAGAACAAAAACTGTGGTCTATGAAGAGTCTATCTGAAAAAAATTGGGGTATTTAAAAAAACTTCTGTTGATTAATGGATACAAATACAGAGGTAAATAGAAGAAATAAGACTTGGTATTTGAATAGATCCATAGAGTGACTATAGTTAACATTAAGCTATCACACATTTCAGAATAGCTAGAAGAGAACAATTAAAATGCTCCTAGCATAAAGAAAAGATAAATATTTAAGTTGATGGATATCCCAATTACCCTGATTTGATTATATGAATGTGTCAATTTATCACATGTATCCTGAAAATATGTACACCTATTACATATATATAAAAATATAGATAAATAAGTAAATAAAAATAACTCCTCATCACTCTCTGCCAAGTGTCATGGAGCCGAGTTTAGACCCATAAACATTGCATGACATTTTAATGAGTTGATATCCCGCTTTCCAATCCAATGCGTGAGATGATTGAAATCAAAGGAAAGCCTTTGCTCCTTTGGATTCTTGTATGGAAATCAACAATACCGTGACCTCTTGGCTGTTTGAACCTTCAGGAAAAAGAATGACAGGACATATGTTCAAAACAAAAAACTTCCAGTGATTATGCAGGATATCTAAGTGCCTGCCAGTTTTGAGTTTTCCAAGTTTTATCCTGTAAGCCTAGTTCAAGGGTTTCAATCATCATTTAGCAGACTTGTCAAGGGTGGTATTGGCAATGATAGATTTTGCCTCTGCATACTTTGTAATGAAAAGCAGCTTGATCTCAATGTAAGGATTTGTGTTCATTTTCAACAATCATTATTATATTTTATAAAATAAAGCTCTTTGATTTTCATTTCTAGTATTTTAACAGATTAATTCAATGCATTTGTCTCCCTCTAAATAACATGCTATGGTAGGAAGCATATTGACTTTAGAAGAAGAGGGAGATGGGTTGAAACATGGTGTCATCATGTGAGAGCTGGGAGAAGAGTAGACAAGTTATTAACCAGCTATCCCCCAACACTAGATGTTTCTCTTCTACATGATGAGAGAAAGTCACTTGACTCAGATTGTTGAAGGTTAAAATGAGGTGATACATGAAAATTATCTATTAATTTTTGGCACATAACAGCTACTTGATGAATACTATTTCTCTTCTCAATTATTTTTTGGTTCCAATGAGTCCTGTGCCCGTAAATTAGACAGCTGTGCACTTAGGTTTTGTCTGCAAGTGCCCACCAGTCTTTGAGAGTCCTCCCAAGACCAGATGACCACACATGTTAGTGCATCTGCAATGGGACTCCTCTTACCACTCATATACACTCACTTGTTCAGTGGGCACCTGCTGAGCATCTACTTACTAAGGTGAAGAACCCCCAGGGCCAGCACTCAAAGAGTCAATTACCTCCTTAGGAAGATGGGTCAGAAAACCAACAATTACCCCACAGAGTCATACGTTCTCTCTAGAAGCTTTATCCAGATTTTTTCTAGATCTGCCCACATTTGAAGGAAGAGAAAAAGAGCTCCTAATGACGGTGGAGGGGAGAGAGAGGTCCAAGAATACTTCAGCTCAATCTAGACCTACCAGAAATGTTAGCTAGGCAAGAGGGAAACAGGAAGAGACATAAGAAAGAGTGTTCTGGGTGGAAGAAGAGATTGTCTGTTTTTTTGTAACAGGAAATTCAACACACACAGTGTCTATAATAGTCTTGTACTTAGATTGACCATAGATAAAGATGAAGGAGCTATTTGAGCATCTGTTGTGGCCAAGGTAGTCTGCTAAAAGGATGGAAAGATGGAATTAGTTCTTTCAGGACCTTCAGGAAGCCTGTAAGCTAGCTGGAAGAGTGAGAAACACACATGTGGCAAATAACCATGTAAGGTTGGAATTGCCAGCGCTATCCAGGATTGGTAAGTGCTGCACAGTGATTTATTAAATTTATATTACAGAATGAATGCCCCCCAACAAGGCCAAAGGGATTGAATGTCAAAGTGTTAAAGCCACAGCTTTCTAACTCCATTCTCTGAGTTAAAGTTAGAGTAGATGCAAAAGAACTATTCCTACTCCAAAAAGATGTTTTCGAGTTGAGCACTTGAAAGTGAATGAATTTCAATTCATCTCACATTTTAAAATACTAGAAAAGTTGCAAGAATGAAGATTTTAAAAACAAGCAACGGAGAAGAAAGCAATTAACCTAAGTATCTTTTTAAAAATATTTTGACTGGAGTCTGTTAAGCTAAATATGAAAAGAACTGCACACAAACACTACAGTCTAGCTGGTAAATTTTTTCCCCACAGTGAGGAGGTTTCACAATTCTGAAACAATTTTGTAAGCATAATAGGGATGAGCTAATAAGCAAACATACTATAGATAATGAGAGCCAGGCTTCTCAAAATTGGAGACAAAAATTTGAAATAAATAAAAAGAAGTTTAAAATGAACCTTGTGGTGTGGGATTGAAGTTGGAAAAATCAGTGTGAGCTGATTTTTAAAATACATATATATGCATAGATAGATGCAGATATATATATACACATATATAATGTGTGTGAGGGGGATTGGGTTAGTAAACATACATATATCTCGAGTTTTGTCTGCTGGGAGGGCCTGAAAGCGTGACACTCCATTAGCAATGAGCTCATCTGATGCTCAGATCTTGGTTTCTAAATGCTATTCCCCAATAAAAAGAAACAGGGTGCTCCTTGGAAAAGTGGTTGATTTCAGGGCTGGGACAGGGAAAATATAAAATGAGCAGTACTCAAAAAAAAAAAAAAAGGCACGGAGAGAGGGGGGACGTGGACATTTTGAAAGGGCACAGAAACCTACCTGAAAGAACTCCCAATGGCCAAATGCAAAACAGAGCCACAGAATGATGATAGCATTAGATCATAACCCAAAGGATAACATAAATATCCTTGAGTCTGTAAGTCTATACTGATATAAATAATAACTGAATAAATAAAAGGCAGAGAAGAAATAACTTTTCTTTACAGACTCCCACTAGTAAATGTAGAAGGAGCAAGGAAACTAGAAAGTCCCCACAATTACAGCACAGTGGAAATTGGTGAGGGCAAGATTTGTTAACGGATGATAAAATTAGTGAGCAAATGTTTAAGGTTATTTGTATAGTCTCAAAGCATATCTTCCAAAATATACACATAGTAATTTTAAAGGGAGAGATGGAAATTTTACATTGGAAAAACCTTTAGCCAGGTGATCAAGGTTAACATGATCAGTAACAAGGCAAGTGAACATCAGGTACCTCTGGTGATGCACTGAGAAAGATACACGTCCCTGTGATACCTCCCCAATAATACATGACTTCAATCTAATCACGAGAAAATTCCAGGCCGGGTGCGGTGGCTCATGCCTGTCATCCCAGCACTTTGGGAGGCCGAGGCGGGCAGATCACAAGGTCAGGAGATCGAGACCATCCTGGTTAACAGGGTGAAACCCTGTCTCTACTAAAACTACAAAAAATTAGCTGTGTGTGGTGGCGAGCCCCTGTAGTCCCAGTTACTCGGGAGGTTGAGGCAGGAGAATGGCATGAACCCGGGAGGCAGAGCTGGCAGTGAGCCGAGATCACGCCACTGCACTCCAGCCTGTGTGACAGAGCGAGATTCTGTCTCAAAAAAAAAAGAAAGAAAGAAAGAAAGAAAATTCCAAACAAACCCAAACTGAGGAACGTTTTACCAAACAGCAGTAGTCTTCAGGAGTGCGAAGGCTCTGAAAGACAAGGAAAGTCTGAGAAACTATCACAGATTGAGGGAAACTAAGGAGATAGACAACTAAATGCAAAGGGGGATCCTGGGACAGAAAAAAAGAGAAGACCTTTGGTGGAAAATCTGGTAAAATATGAATAAAGTCTATAGTTTAGTTAAATGTATTGAATCAGTATTAATTTCTTAATACTGATCAATTTACTAGTATGTATGATGTTAACATTATGGAAAACTGCATGAAGGGTATATGGAAACTCTGTTCTGATTTTGCAACTCTTCTGTAATTCTAAAATTATCTCAAAATCAAAAGTTTTAAAAATAAAACCGAAAGAAATTAAGCAGCATGTCTCTTCTTGCTACAAATGGATTTGAGATCCTTCAGGGATTATATGTGTTTCCTGTTGCTGCTGTAACAAATTACCAGAAACTTAGTGGCCTATCACAACACAAACTTGTTACCTTATGGTTTTGTAGGTCAGATTTGAGATATGTCTCACTGGACTACAGACAACGTGTCATCAGGACTGCGTTCCTTTCTGGAAACTCCATGGAAGGATTTTCTTGGCTTTTTTTCAGTTTCTAGGAACTGCCTGCACTTCTTGGCTCTTGACTCCTTCCTTCAAAGCCGGCCATGGTCGGTCACACTGCCATCTCTCTGATCTGCCTCCCTGGTCACATTCCCCTCTCCGACTATAACCAGGAAAGGTTTTCCTTTTTTTTTTTTTTTTTTTTGGAGAGGAGTTTCGCTCCTGTTACCCAGGCTGGAGTGCAATGGCACGATCTCGGCTCACTGCAACCTCCGCCTCCCAGGTTCAAGTGATTCTCCTGCCTCAGCCTCCCAAGTAGCTGGAACTATAGGTGTGCGCCACCACACCCAGCTAATTTTGTATTTTTAGTAGAGACAGGGTTTCTCCATGTTGGTCCAGCTGGTCTCAAACTCCTGAACTCAGGTTATCCGCCCGCCTCAGCCTCCCAAAGTGCTGGGATTACAGGCATGAGCCAGCGTGCCCAGCTGGGTTTTCCTTTTTTAAGGACACAGGTGATTAGATTGAGCCCACCTGAATAAGCCCATCTCAAAGTCTTTAACTGAATCCCATCTGCAAAGTTCCTTTTGCCACATAATGAAACTCAGTCACAGGCCTAGAGGATTAGGACATTTGTGAGGTGGGAGCCATTATTCTGCCTACCACAGAAACATGTCAGGGAAGAGGAGAAGCCAGCACCAGAGAACCCTCAAAAAGTAGGTGAGACAAATTTCCATAGCATCCTGCAGTGTCTATCACATAAGAAGTTCTTCATTAATTAATGACTGCTGATTTATACTGAAAACGAAATTACCCCACCGTTGCCACTAGTCCTTCAGTCAATGTACGACTGCCTCCTGGGTGGTTCATGTCTATCCAAATGGCGTTCCTCTTTCCACTATGAAGGCCCCACCTTTTTAGGATCTGTATCTTCAGACCTCCCCATTCTCAAGCAGGGCTGGGTCTGGGTGTCCTAGGAGTACCAGTAGTCATCCTGTCCTATGACATATCTGCTTCAGTGTCCCCCAAGCACAGGGTAAGTATTTAATGAATGATTGTTACAGTGAACCCTCAGGCAGGAGTTGCCTTCTGCTGTGTGTGCAGTGGGCCTATACATTCTTGCTTCAGATCTGTTTTGACCTGTTAAGAATGGAAACCCGTTTTCACTCTGCCTCCAAAAGAAGTGTGTGAGAGGGAATGGGAAGCGGTTCTATCCATAATTTTGATGTGACAGAGCAGATAACGTTTTTATCATGGTCTTTGATGCAAACAGGGAGAGTCAGGCTGAAAACACAATTTTCATGGATGATTTAAATGTTTACAAATCTTAGCACTTTGAAGCATCTTATGCAATGCATGTACCCTCGAATTATTCTCAGAGATTTATGTGAATAAATGCATATTTTATTCATGGGTCCTTCACAGGCTCTGTTAATAGTTTTTAGACCCATTTGGTAAAGCAGCTAAACTTGGGCTGCACATTGGCACCACCAGAGGTGCTTTTAAAAAATGCTGATATCTGCACTTGCCCTCAAAAATTCTCATTTAATTATTCTGTTAAAGTTTCAGATATTTGTATATTTCAGATCTCCAAATGATTCTAACATAAGACCAGGAAAGAAAACCACTATGCTAAAGAAATCACGTGTGTTTCTTCATATTAAAGCTGAAATGTGCCTTGCTGGATGGGGCGAGGTAGCCACCCTTAGGTGAAAATATGCGTCTATTTCTTATGAGCAAGTAACACCCACACTTTAATCTTTCTCTGCTAAGGTCTAACCAGCAGTCTATTCACTCCTGCTCCAAATTTTTTACTCACTCCTCTCCCAGTTGTTCCTGCCCCCACCCTGCCTCTTTCTCTTTGATCTGTTGCTGAACCAGGACTAATTCTCCATCTAATGCCCTGCAGCAACCTTCACAAAGCCCCATTTGCCACTCTCCTGACCCTGCTGCTTTCTTTCATCCTCGTGTCACACATCCTCACTCCTCACAATCCTTTGCTATTTCTAAACACAAATGATGGGAAGAATCGGGGGGGCAAGGAATTCAGGTGATATACTGTGACTGCCAGAAAAACATGCTTCTCAGATCTGCAACTACAGCAAGCACATGGATTGCTGGCCCCGAGTGCTACGCTCTGAAACCCGCCATTGCCTTAGCACAAGGCCAGCTCCTCACGCCCCCACATCACCCTACTCGGTTGCTCCCCATCAATAGCTAAGACAACGGCAGGATCCTAAGTCTGGCCCGTCCCTGGGAGCCTCAAGCTTCTCTGACTGATCACTTTGACTCAAGGCTCCCCATCAGCCTTGCCAGGCTTACCTACAACTGCACTCAAGTTAGGACTCCTCATCCACCCCTTATTCCTTCACTCTCTCCCTCCCAAAGTTCAGACCAACAGCTGGCACTATCAGCTGTCACAGCCCTTCCTAGCTTCCTCTCTATTTTCCCTCCCAGGCATCTTGTTGGTAAATTTCTTGCACATCTAATTCCAACTTGGTGTCTGCTTCTTGGAAAATCCTAAGTAGCACCTTACTACAGGAGGAAGCTATAAGAATAATTGAATTTTACTCTAAAAGAAGATGACTATTTTAACCATTTATTTAATAATCATAAGCTAGTATGTATATATACATATGCATGGATATCCTCTCATTTAAAAAAAAAAAGATATATTCAACAGAAACCAGGTGTCTTCAGAGGCTCCCTGATTAAATAAACCTTTTTTTTGTTTTTTTCAAAACTGGCTACTCTTTGGGTCACCCAGAAAACTTTTTAAAGATGTCGATCCCCCTCTTGAGATTCTGATGCAATTAGTCTGGAGTAAGCCTGGAAATTGGCATTTAAATACCTCCCTAGATGACTCCAGTGTGCAGTAAGGTTTGAGAACCCTACCCTATAGGTACACATAGGGACAGGCCACAATTTACAATACCTACAAGATGTCAACTGCCCAGCTGCTCAGGAGAAATGTGGTTAATCATCATCCTGAGGGGAGAGGAAAATTTCTTCAGCAGATCATCATAAAGGAAACACTGTGGAATGTCATCAACCACATCCTTGACAACATCCCTGCAGTAAACACAGAAATAAGCTTCATAGAATTGCTTCCTATGACATTCCTCAGTGTCGCCAGGTTCTTTCCATGTGCTACCACAGTGCAAGCAAGTTCTGTTCCCGTACAAATTTGCAGAGGAATTTTCCACTTTGGTCAGTGGTATCTCTTCCTGAGCAGGCTTCATGCTGTGTCTGGGGGTAAAGTCTGTGGTTGGACACCAGGGGTACCAGAGAACATCTACTTTTACCTATTTCCTATATTGGAATTCTGCAGAAAGGTGTGTTTGACCAAAAGAGTCTACTGCTAAGGAGTGTTTGAAAATCACTCTCCAGTCAGCAGGAAGAAAGTAACCCTCTCATTCTTTAATGATTCTAGTTTCATCCTGATTGAACTCACAACAGACCATGACTTCAGAGTCTCAGAAATAATTAACTTCACTATGAGATGATCAATGAAGATGAACTTCAGACCATGACTCGATACCCAAGCACACAGTACACAACTGGCCAGGAGTGACATCAGTGCTGAGATGGATCCCCTCCAGCTGACACCAGGCCACATCAGACCAGAGAAACAAATTCCTCCCATATGGCCAGAAAGTTTTATGGCAGTAACACTAAGACTGACAAAGTCACTGTTTCATAGTTAATTATTTTCATTTCCTCATAGCCATGGAGAGAAACTATCTAAAACCTTGAATTTGAGGAAATGAGTTCGTGAAAATCTAGCTCTCCTGGGACATGATACTATAACTCATCAGAAGGGCCAACCCATTGACATTCTTGACTCTAGGCTCTAATCAGGCTACCCACCATCTTCAAGAGGCGTACCCTAGTAAACCTGCCAGCTTGGACACAAAACACACCTTCAGCAGTTGGCTGTGCCTGACCCACACCAAGGCTGCATGCTGAACTTCTGGATTCCTTTCCCTGAGCTTCCCGTCCCAGCATTCTTGCAACCAACCTGGAATGGCAGGGTTGAGTTTTCTCCATCAGTTATGATGTTCTAACCTCCTTGTTTGTTGAGCTGCAGTTCACAGCAACTTCAGTGAAATGGATTAGAAATGTTTTAATGTTCTACTACCTATGGATTAATATATGTTTCAAGGACATTGTTTTTTAACTGATGGAGAGTGCATGCTCTCGGTATTACAGATCAACTATGGTAGTGATGTTGAATAACTTAAGTAGGAGCTGAATTGAAAACTGTAAAAACAAATAGCAATAGTGGAATATAATTTCCAAAATGAGTCTTTATGCTAATCCAGATGAGTGAACAACATTGTTCAAAGAAGCAGAGTTCAGGGACACCCAGTAGAGGAGAGCAAAAGAAGAGAAAAATTATAACTGCTGATCAATTTGGATTATTGTTATTATATCACCGCTATTCTTGACTTTAAACAGACATACATAGAAAACTCTTATGTGGTACTAGAGTTTTATTTTTTAATTTATAACTTGAAATGCACATTCACCTACAAACTCCATTTCATTTTCTTCAACAAATTACTGTTCTCCAAGAATGGTGGAATAGAAAGAGCCATTGTTACTCTCCTTACAAGAAGAAAGGGAGCCCCCTATGACTGGTAGCATTTTGGAGGCAAGCCATCCTCACCTGCCCTGCCAGTTTATCAATCCCTAACTTCTGCTAAAGGCTAAAGTGTGGAGATAATTAATCTATCAGATTCTTTCTGGAAAAAAAATCTTGATAATGCAGGTATATTTTAAAAATCCATGAGCATATGAGAAAAATAAAGCTACTAAAGTAGGATAAATGTGGAGAATGGCTAGAAGATCAACATCTCCACCATCTTGATTTTGCTCCATTTATCAGCATCTCCACCATCTTGGTTTTATTCCATTTTGCCAACATCTCCACCATCTTGGTTTTGCTCCACCTCAGCCTTAGCTACAGACCTGATCCCAGCAGAGCATGGATGAGCCAAAGGGCTCAGCACTGAGATTCCTTTGGAGTGTTAATACTGTTCAGTTTCTGTTCGTTCTTTTCTTCTGCTTGCCACCATTCTGGGTCCCCATGCTGCTGCCTCAGTGTGGTCACATCAGGGCAGCTTGGGAAGCAGTCACATGAGACAGGTTCTCCCCGTGGAGTTCATTCAAGGCTTGTGGAAGGCTTACTGGTTACCAAAATAAAATCTGTTCTCTTTTCATTTCAAAGCCTGTTCAGTTCTTCATGTGCCTAATGACATGAGTGGAACTGAAAACCTGACAATTTGCTAAATTCTTCACTTCTCTTAAAATCTGCAAAACCTTTACTGAGACAATGCAAAGACAGCTGTTGAGATCTTTTTTCCATCCTGAGTGAAAGGCAGGACGAGGAAGTTTAAAATGAAGGACTCCAGTAGTGCCAACCAGGCTGAGAGGAAATGAGCATAAAGCCAGCCTGTGGAAAATGTCAGTAAATCAGGTCTGGAAATTGGCTTTCTTTTTTCTTCCCTTAAGGCAGAGAAAGTGAAGGAAGGAGTGAGAGGTTTTATCAAATTGGACTTTACTTCATTATTCTCACTAAATCACGAATTCCCCACTCCAGGGTAACCTCACCCGGGGTGATGCTTTTTTAAATGAGGTGTCTTTCTCAGACATGTCTAGTCACAATTCACTGGTGACTGCACAAGAAGGTTAAAAATGGGAGATTCTGCTGTTAAAGATTTGAGGTAGGCCTGGGGTATTCTTAAATTTATTGAATCTTTTCTATTGTGTGTCTGTGTCTGTGAATGTGTAGTCAGTGGCATTTTAAAAAATAATTTTTTAAAGATCTTTTAAGAGCATTTTTGTCATGTCTATAAATTTAAAAAAAAATGTGATTACTGTGGAAAATGTATCAAAAGGAAATATTCAGAAATATGCACAAAAGTTTAGTGACAAAGAGGTTTATCATTGCATTTTTTTACATATACTTTAAGTTCTGGGATACACATGCAGAACATGCAGGTTTGTTACATAGGTATACACGTGTCATAGTGGTTTGCTGCACCCATCAACTCGTCATCTACATTAGGTATTTCTCCTAACGCTATCCCTCCCCTAGCCGCCCACCCTATGACAGGCTGCAGTGTGTGATGTTCCGCTCCCTGTGTCCATATATTCTCATTATTCAACTCCCACTTACAAGTGAGAACATGTAGTGTTTGGTTTTCTGTTCTTGTGTTAGTTTGCTGAGAATGATGGTTTCTACCTTCATCCATATCCCTGCAAAGAACATGAACTCCCTTTTCTATGGCTGCATAGCATTCCACGGTGTATATGTGCTAATTTTCTTTATTCAGTCTATCATTCATGAGCATTTGGGTTGGTTCCAAGTCTTTGCTACTGTGAACAGTGCTGCAATAAATATATGTGTGCATGTGTTTTTATAGTAGAATGATTTATAATCCTTTGGGTATATGCCAAGTAATGGGATTGCTGGGTCAAATGGTATTTCTAGTTCTAGATCATTGAGGAATCGCCACACTGTCTTCCATAATGGTTGAACTAATTTACGCTCCCACCAACAGTGTAAAAGCATTCCTATTTCTCCACATCCTCTCCAGCATGTTGTTTCCTGACTTTTTAATGATTGGCATTCTAACTGGCGTGAGATGGTATCTCATTGTGGTTTTGATTTGCATTTCTCTAATGACCAGTGATGTTGAGCTTCTCTTCATATGTTTGTTGGCCGCATACATGTCTTCTTTTGAAAAGTGTCTGTTAATATCCTTCGCCCACTTTTTGATAGGGTTGTTTGTTTGTTTTTCTTGTAAATTTGTTTAAGTTCTTTGTAGATTCTGGAAATTAGCCCTTTGTCAGATGGATAGATTGCAAAAGTTTCTCCCATTCTGTAGGTTACCTGTTCACTCTGATGATAGTTTCTTTTGCTGTGCAGAAGCTCTTCATTTTAATTAGATCCCATTTGTCAATTTTGGTTATTGTTGCCATTGCTTTTGGTGTATTAGTCATGAAGTCTTTGCCCATGCCTATGTTCTGAATGGTATTGGCTAGGTTTTCTTCTAGGGTTTTTATGGTTTCAGTTCTTACATTTAAGCCTTTAATCCATCTTGAGTTAGTTTTTGTATAAGGTGTAAGTAAGGGGTCCAGTTTCAGTTTTCTGCATATGGCTAATCAGTTTTCCCAACACCATTTATTAAATAGAGAATCCTTTCCCCATTGCTTGTTTTTGTCAGGTTTGTCAAAGATCACATGGTTGCAGATGTGTGGTGTTATTTCTGAGGCCTCTGTTCTGTTCCATTGGTCTATATATCTGCTTTGGTGCCAGTACCATGCTGTTTTGGTTACTGAAGCATTGTAGTATAGTTTGAAGTCAGGTAGCATGATGCCTCCAGATTTGCTGTTTTTGCTTAGGATTGTCTTGGCTATATGAGCTCCTTTTTTGGTTCCACATTAAATTTAAAGTCGTTTTTTCTACTTCTGTGAAGAAAGTCAGTGGTAGCTTGATTGGGATAGCGTTAAATCTATAAATTACTTTGGGCAGCATGGCCATTTTCACGATACTGATTCTTCCTATCCATGAGCATAGAATGTTTTTCCATTTGTTTGTGTCCTCTTTTATTACCTTGAGCAGTGGTTTGTAGTTCTCCTTAAAGAGGTCCTTTACATCCCTTGTAAGCTCTATTCCTGGGTATTTTATTCTCTTTGTAGCAACTGTGAATGGGAGTTCACTCAGGATTTGGCTCTCTGTTTGTCTATTATTGGTGTCTAGGAATGCTTGTGATTTTTTTGCACATTGATTTTGTATCTTGAGAGTTTTCTCAAGTTGCTTATCAGCTTATGGAGTTTTGGGGCTGAGACGATGGGGTTTTCTAAATATACAATCATGCCATCTGCAAACAGAGACAACTTGACTTCGTCTCTTCCTATTTGAATACGCTTTATTTCTTTCTCTTGCCTCATTACCCTGACCAGAACTTCCAATACTGTGTTGAATAGGAGTGGTGAGAGAGGGCATCGTTGTCTTGTGCCAGTTTTCAAAGGGAATGCATCCCGCTTTTGCCCATTCAGTATGATATTGGCTGTGGGTTGTCATAAATAGCTCTTATTATTTTGAGATATGTTCCATCAATACCTAGCTTATCGAGAGTTTTTGGCATAAAGGAGTGTTGAATTTTGTCAAAGGCCTTTTCTGCATCTATTGAGATAATCATGTGGTTTTTGTCATTGGTTCTGTTTATGTGATGGATTATGTTTATTGATTTGCATTTGTCGAACCAGCCTTGCATCTCAGGGATGAAGCTAACTTGATTGTCGTGGATAAGCTTTTTGATGTGCTGCTGGATTCAGTTTGCCAGTATTTTATTGAGGCTTTTCACCTCGATGTACATCGGGGATATAGGCCTGAAATTTTCTTTTTTTGTTGTGTCTCTGCCAGGTTTTGGTATCAGGATGATGTTGGCCTCATAAAATGAGTTAGGGAGGATTCCCTGTTTTTCAATTGTGTGGAGTCATTTCAGAAGGAATGGTATTAGCTCCTCTTTGTACCTCTGGTAGAATTTGGCTGGGAATTCGTCTGGTCCTGGGCTTTTTTTTGATTGGTAAGCTATTAATTTCTGCCTCAATTTCAGAACTTGTTATTGGTCTATTCAGGGATTCGACTTCTTCCTGATTTAGTTTTGGGAGCATGTATGTGTCCAGGAATTTATCCATTTCTTTTAAATTTTCTGGTTTATTTGCATGGAGGTGTTTATGGTTTCTCTGATGGTAGTTTGTATTTGTGTGGGATCAGTGGCGATATCTCCTTTATCATTTTTTATTGTGTCTATTTGATTCTTCTTTCTTTTCTTCTTTATTAGTCTGTCTAGCGGTCTATCTATTTTGTTTATCTTTTCAAAAAACCAGCTCCTGGATTCTTTGATTTTTTGAAGTGTTTTTTCGTGTCTCTATCTCCTTCATTTCTGCTCTGATCTTAGTTGTTTCTTATCTTCTGATAGCTTTTGAATTTGTTGGCTTTTGCTTCTCTAGTTCTTTTAATTGTGATATTAGGGTTGATTTTGATCTTACCTGCTTTCTCCTGTGAGCATTTAGTGCTATAAATTTCCCTCTATACACTGCTTTAGCTGTGTCCCAGAGATTCTGGTACAATGTGTCTTTGTTCTCATTGGTTTCAAAGAACTTATTTATTTCTGCCTAATTTCATTATTTACTCAGTAGTCATTCAGGAGCAGGTTGTTCAGTTTCCATGTAGTTTTGCTGTTTTGAGTGAGTTTCTTAATCCTGAGTTCTAATTTGATTGCACTGTGGCCTGAGAGACTGTTATGATTCCCTTTCTTTTACATTTGCTGAGGAGTGTTTTACTTCCAATTATGTGGTCACTTTTAGAATTAGTGTGATGTGGTGCTGAGAAGAATGTATATTCTGTTGATTTGGGGTGAAGAGTTCTGTAGATGTCTATTAGGTCCACTTGGTCCAGAGCTGAGTTCAAGTCCTGAATATCCTTGTTAATTTTCTGTCTCATTGATCTGTGTAATATAGAGAGTGGGGTGTTAATATCTCCCACTATTATTGTGTGCAAGTCTAAGTCTCTTTGTAGGTCTCTAAGAACTCACTTTATGAATCTGGATGCTCCTGTATTGGGTGCATATATATTTAGGATAGTTAGCTTTTCTTGTTGCATTGATCCCTTTACCATTATGTAATGCCATTCTTTGTCTTTTTTTGATCTTTGTTGGTTTAAAGTCTGTTTTATCAGAGACCAGGATTGCAACACCTGCTTTTTGTTTTGCTTTCCATTTGCTTGGTAACTATTCCTCCATCCCTTTATTTTGAGCTTATGTGTGTCTTTGCACATGAGATGGGTCTCCTGAATACAGCACACCAATGGGTCTTTACCCTTTATCCAATTTGCCAGTCTGTGCCTTTTAATTGGGGCATTGAGCCCATTTACATTTAAGGTTAATATTCTTATGTGTGAATTTGATCCTGTCATTATGATGCTAACTGGTTATTTTGCTCATTAGTTGATGCAGTTTCTTCATAGTGTCGATAGTCTTTACAATTTGGTATGTTTTTGCTGTGGCTGGTACCAGTCTTTCCTTTCCATATTCAGTGCTTCCTTCAGGAGCTCTTGTAAGGCAGGCCTGATGGTGACAAAATCTCTCAGCATTTGCTTGTCTGTAAAGGATTTTATTTCTCCTTTGCTTATGAGCTTAGTTTGGCTGAATATGAAATTCTGGGTTGAAAATTCTTTTCTTTAAGAATGTTGAATATTGGCCCCTACTCTTTTCTGGCTTGTAGGGTTTCTGCAGAGAGAACCACTGTTAATCTGATGGCCTTTCCTTTGTGGGTAACCCGACCTTTCTCTCTGGCTGCCCTTAACATTTTTTCCTTCATTTCAACCTTGGTGAATATGACAATTATGTGTCTTAGGGTTGCTCTTCTCTTTGTGGTGTTCTCTGTATTTCCTGAATTTGAATGTTGACCTCTCTTGCTAGGTTGGGGAATTTCTCCTGGATAATATCCTGAAGAGTGTTTTCCAACTTGGTTTCATTCTCCCCATCAGTTTCAAGTACACCAATCAAACATAGGTTTGGTCTTTCCACATAGTCCCATATTTCTTTGAGGCTTTGTTCATTCCTTTTCACTATTTTTTCTCTAATCTTGTCATCATGTTTTATTTCATTGTGTTGATCTACAATCTCTGATATCCTTTCTTCTGCATGATTGATTTGGCTACTGATACATGTGTATGCTTCACAAAGTTCTCATGCTGTGTTTTTCAGCTCCACCAGGTGACTTATATTCTTCTCCAAACTGGTTATTCTAGTCAGCAATTCCTCTAACCTTTTTTCAAGGTTCTTAGCTTCCTTGCATTGGGTTAGAACATGCTCCTTTAGCTTGGAGTAGTTTGTTATTAGCCACCTTCTGAAGCCTACTTCTGTCAATTTGTCACACTCATTCTCCATCCAGTTTTGTTCCCTTGCTGGTGAGAAGTTGTGATCCTTTGGAGGAGAAGAGGTGTTCTGGTTTTTGGAATTTTCAGTCTTTCTGCAATGGTTTTTCCTCATCTTTGTGGATTTGCCTACCTTTGGTCTTTGACCTTGGTTACCTTCGGATGGGGTTTTTGTGTGGACGTCCTTTATGTTGATGTTGATGCTATTCTTTTCTATTTGTTACTTTTCCTTCTAAAATTCAGGCCTCTCTGCTGCAGGTCTGCTGGAGTTTACTGGAGGTCCACTCCAGACCCTCTTTGCCTGGGTATCACCAGCAGAGCCTGCAGAACAGCAAAGATTGCTGCCTGTCTTCCTCTGGAAGACTCATCCCAGAGAGGCACCTGCCAGATGCCAGCTGGAGCTCTCCTGTATGAGGTGTCTGTCAACCTCTGCTGGGAAGTGTCTCTCAGTCAGGAGGCACGGGGGTCTGGGACCCACTTCAGGAGGCAGTCTGTCCCTTAGCAGGGCTTGAGCGCTGTGCGGGGAGATCCACTGCTGTCTTCAGAGCCAGCAGGCAGGAACGTTTCAGTCTGCTGAAGCTGCACCCACAGCTGCCCCTTCCCCCAGGTGTTCTGTACCAGGGAGATTGGAGTCTTCTCTATAAGCCCCTGACTAGGGCTGCTGCCTTTCTTTAAGAGATGCCCTGCCCAGAGAGGAGGAATCTAGAGAGGCAGTCTGTCTACTGTGGCTTTGCTGAGTTGTGGTGGGCTCTGCCCGGTTCAAACTTCCCAGTGGCTTTGTTTACACTATGAGGAGAAAACCACCTACCTACTCATGCCTCAGTAATTGTGGACACCCCTTCTCCAATCAAGCTCGAGCATCCCAGGTCGACCTCAGACTGCTGTGCTGGCATGAAGAATTTTAAGCCAGTTGATGTTAGCTTGCTGGGCTCCAGGGGGTGGGATCCACTGAGCTAGATCACTTGGCTCCCAGGCTTCAACCCCCTTTCCAGGGGAGTGAACAGTTCTGTCTTGCTGGCGTTCCAGGCACCACTGGGTATGAAAGAAAAAAAAAAAAACCTCCTGCAGCTAGCTCAGTGTCTGCCCACATGGCCACCCAATTTTGTGCTGAAACCCTAGGCCCTAGTCATGTAGGGACCCGAGGGAATCTCCTGGTCTGTGGGTTGCACAGACCATGAGAAAAGCATAGTATCTGGGCCAGAATGCATGGTTTCTCATGGCACAGTGCCTCATGGCTTCCCTTGGCTAGGCGAGGGAGTTCCTGAACCCCTTGTGCTTCCTGGGTGAGGGGATGCCTCATCCTGCTTCTGCTCACCCTCCATGGGCTGCACCCACTGTCTAACCAGTCCTAATGAGTTGGGCCGGGTACCTCAGTTGGAAATGCAGAAATCACCCACCTTCTGCGTTGATTTCACTGGGAGCTGCAGACTGGAACTGTTCCTATTTGGCCAGCTTGCCAGCCATTGCCCATTGCATTATTTTTAATTCCAAAGCTGTAAACAATGTAAATAACCCCAAATAGAGTTGTGATTTATATACCTATTTTGTGGAATTATTAAAAATCATGTAAGGATATGGGTCAGTGCTCACAATATACTAAGAGGGAAACTATAAGGCTACAAACAATATATATATTATGATCCCATCCATTTTAAGTACTTATTCATTACTTTATTTAAAAAAGAAGAAAATATTCCAAAATTAAATATGTTATAATTTCTGGATGATTCCATACCAAGTAATTCTTATCTGATTTATATTCTTCTGGTTTTTTTTGTTGTTGTTGTTGTTTTTTTTTTGAGACAAAGTTTTGCTCTTGTTGCCCAGGCTAGAGTGTAGTGGCGTGATCTAAGCTCACTGCAACCTCCACCTCCCAGATTCAAGCGATTCTCCCGCCTCAGCCTCCCGAGTAGTTGAGATCACAGGCGCCTGCCACTACTCCCAGCTAATTTTTGCATTGTTAGCAGAGACGGGGTTTCGAACTCCTGACCTCAAGGGATCGACCTGCCTCACCCTCCCAAAGTGCCAGGATTACAGGTGTGAGCCACCGTGCCTGGCCTATTTTTCTGTATTTTACAAAATGTCTGCAATCACTGTATATTACCTTTAGAATTAGGAAAAAGAGGATCCTTTTGGTTTTTTTTTTTTTTTTTTTTCAATTTTTAAGTTCAAACCAGCCAAATACCAGTACCTAAAGAGCTACCTGTGTTCTGCAACTCTGCAACAGGCTAATGGGTTATAATGGTCAAGTCAGCCTTCTGTGGGGCTGGGTCTTCCTGTTTCTCAGGAAGAGACGTGAAATGTCCCTGCCTCCTTCATAGCTAACGTAAGAGAGCTTCTACTGAAGCTCCTAGTCTTGCAAGCTATTTGGCTTCTCTAACTCCCCTGGATAAGGGACAATTTTCCCCTCCCAAAGCCTTTGCTCTCCATCTTCTTCCTGGACCAGGCAGACAGAAAGAAAACACACATGCCTGCTGCCCTTTCACCTCTGAGGTCTTCTTAATGAGGGAGGGCACCACCACCCAGCCACCTTCACTGCAAGGTAACAGACCAGCGTGTTCCAGGCAAGAACCCAAGGTCTAGAGAGATTATGTGATCAAAGTTCTCCTGCTTCTCCAATGCTGCACACTCGCACTTTCCTTTGCTTAAGGAAACCAGGGAACATTTGAGTGAGAAAATGGCATACTGAGAATTTTCTACAACAGTGAATCCAGGTTTCCTACCTACATTCTTTCCAAGGTAGTTAGTGACTAAGTCAATGTTCCAGAACTTGAATTCTAACACACTAGGTGTATTCACCCTCATCAGCAAATTCTCACTGGGCACTATTGTGCCCTGCACTGGGCAAAGTCGTACGTAAAAAGAAGTGACTGCAGTTTTCCTGCCCTTAGGAATTAGAATAAAGGGAAAGTCACATAACACTATTATGGAAGCATGAGCTTGTTGTTGGTAGAATAATATATTTTGGGGACTTCCAGCTTTTTATTTTAAGTCTCCCTGTGCTATAAATAAAACAAATGGCCAGAATAACCTTAGTTTTATTGTACAAAATTAACATTTAAAAACATTTGTGTATTCTCCCCCGAAATCTCAGTGTTTCAGGGGACTGGAATTTAATTAATGTAGCTATTTAGAGATACAAATCAGCCATTACTGTTCTTTTTTTCATAAGGATATTGACTTAATGATATCATTATCTTCACTAGCTTCTAACACTAGAGAACATAAGATTGATCCATTTTCCCCAAAGCTTTTGTGTAGTAAGTTTTTATGTAAGTGGAAAACTTAATGCTAACAGAAACAAATTCAACCACACTTTTAAAATTACAGGATAATTGCTAATTCTGTGGTCATTCATTCCCAGGCCATACTCCAACACAGGAAACTATGAGAAATGTAACCACTGGTAAAATTAAACCTGCAATTATAGCACCAATTTCTAGGATATGTTGATTTTTCTCTATTTTGCAACATGTGCACAAATATATAAAATTTTCTCATTTACTTACATGTTGACCTTTTAAATTCAGAGTCTGTCATATCATGATTACTTTAATAAACTTAAGACAGGTTTGTTTGTTTGTTTTGAGACGGAGTCTCTTTCTGTCGCCCAGGCTGGAGTGCAGTGGCATGATCTCAGCTCACTGCAACCCCTGCCTCCTGGGTTCAGATGATTCTCCTGCCTCAGCCTCCTGAGTAGCTGGGATTACAGGCACCTGCCACCACATGCAGCTAAGTTTTGTATTTTTAGTACAGACAGGATTTCACCATGTTGGCCAGGCTGGTCTCAAACTCCTGACCTTAAGTTGTCAGCTCGCCTCAGCCTTCCAAAGGGCTGTGATTACAGGTGTGAGCCACCACACCTGGCCTTGAGAAAGGTTTTGATGCTGGTTATAGTCTTCTTTATTGCTTAAATTTTTAAAATTCTTATCAAATGCCACGGGTAATAATATACTCAGTGAATTAGCACAATCTACCTTTGAAAATACTAATCAGAAAAATAAGAAACAAGCATGTAGCAAACCCATGCTTTATCCTAATGCACCATCCTTTTACCTAATAATTATCTTTGTCACCTAGCATTTGGATCAGTCTCTCTATTTGCAATAAACTCTCAATGCACCCCATATCTTTACTAATATCCACCATCGGCTTCCAGAACTTTTTCTAGGTACCCTCTATTTCTCTCATCCACTACCCTCAGCATTTCCCTGTTATTGGAGCAGTGTATCCAAGGCTTCACTGTACCCTAACCTAGAACCATTCACATGCCCCCATATTTTCCTCATTGGTTGAAGCTTTCTCTAACCAGAATCCTTCTTCCATCACCATTAGCTACATCATTAGTTTTTGATCTTTTTCCTTTTCCATGGCCTTAGTAAACTATTAGTTTGTCATATTTCATCCAATTCTACATATGTGTTGTATGCCTCTCTGGATCAGAGTTTTTGGCTCTAGCGCATCAATTCTATTGGAAGGGGCCCTGGCTAATTCCAACGACACAACAGCACGTCTGGTATGACACAGCCCCACCCACATATTGGGAGTGGGGATGATGGCAATTCTAGAAATAGTAAATATTGAGCATTCAGTGTTTTGCATGTACTATCTGGATTCAAACCCAGACAGTCTGAATGTAGAGCCAGCACTTTTCACACTGCACTATGCTGTTGTGATGAAGAGGAAAGAAAGTAAGATGCAGAAGAGGAGGAGGCAACAGAAGAGGAGGAGGAGGCAGGAGGTGGAATTCCAGTGGTTAAATCTCTGGATCCAGAGAAGTACTGTAATAGAATCCTCACTGTGGCACTTCCTACTATATGACTGCATATATGGCCCAAGGGCCACATGTATTCAACAAATACAAAGTCTCATGTACTAGGTCATGAGCTATGTGCTGCATACTGCCTATTGGGCAAAAAGTCGTATGGTCCCTGCTCTTCCATGGCTGGCAGCTTCGTAATCCAGAAAGATAAGGGGGCATACAAGGACATGGAGACAGTGCAGTCTTCTCAGAGGAAGTAATGTCTGATGGGTGGCAGGATGGGTTAGTATTAATCAGATGGGTTAAGGATGGGCTAGTGTGCATCAGAAAGGGGCAGAGAAGGGCATTCCAAACAAAGGAACTAGCCTGTGCAAAGGCCCCCACCTCATATGAAAGTGAGGTTTATTAAGGCAGTGCAAAGAAAGCACTGAACATAGTTCCTGGCACATGGTAATAGTTGATAATGTTTGCAATGATCACAATAATAACAATGATGATTGTGGTGGTGACCAACTTTGTGATAGAGGAACATATCCTTTTTAAATTATTGCCATTATGGTTTTTGATTTCTTTTGTTTTATTTTGTTTTTTAGTGACAAGGTCTTGCACTGTTGCCCAGGCTCGAGTACAATGAAGTAATCAAAGCTCACTGCAGCCTCGACCTCCTGGGCTCAAGCAATTCTCCCACGTAGGCCTCCCAGGCAGCTAGTATTATAGGCCTGAGCCACAATGCCTGGCTAATAATGTTTTTTAAAAAAATTTTGGTAGAGATGGAGTCTTGCTTTGTTGTCCAGGTTGGTCTCAAACACCTAGGTTCAAGTGATTCTTCTGCCTTGGCCTCCCAAAGTGCTGGGATTACAGGCACGAGACACCATGCCCATAATCAGCACAGATGATTAACTGAGATTTATTTTTTTCCCTGCTTCCATCTCACTCTTTAATGAGGGCACTTTTTAAAGGTGCATTTCCCTAAGGATAGGCAAGAAAAGGAAAAAAGAAAGAGAACTAGAAGCCCAAATCATGGACCTGTGACTAATCTTTCTCTTATTTGTAAATTCGTTTAAGTGCAGTGTTATAGGGCTAGTTGGTTTAATCTTTACAAATGGAAAAAAATGTGGAGATAATGTGTGGTGATCATTATCATAGAGGTGATCAGTTTCTCCAGAGAAAAACCTAACTAGAACAATTAGATGAGACATTTACCTAATGATTCAAGTTTCTCAGTAGTAGCAGAACAAAAAAAAAATCTTTTTTTCCAAAGTAAACAACATCTTCCAGACCACACCTTTTTCAGACCACTTCTAAGAGATGAATGTCAATGGCAGTAGGGATTTTTGAACAGTCTTGCAGAACGTATGGAAATCATGGTCCATGTAGTTTCCTTGTTCATCTTCATATTTACCAGGCAATTCAAATACATAGATACTTCCTACAAAAACTTCTGAAATGCTATGGTAACATATGCCATGAAATACAATTTGCATGGATGATTAAGTTCCTATTTACGGCCTTCACCTCTTTTTACAGCTGCTGTACAAATAAAGTTCAAAGGATGGAAAATCTAACAGTTATAAACACTGAATTCCCACACTCAAAAGATTTTCATAAAAGCCAAATAGAAACATCCAGAAAAGTGTGGTTGCTCACTCTCATTTTCTTTTAAGTTGAGTGACTATCTCCTGTTAGACTTCACCTGGTTTGTTTATTTAATGATTCTTTCCAGTAGGCTGTTATTACCTGAAGGAGCATAAAATAGAAACTACAAGCATGAGTTAGAGAAAACTGCAATCTTCCTACGAGAGCATGGGAAATAATTAATACTCTAGGAATATTTTTCCACCCAAATCCTGAAATTATGCTCAGAACTGTGGTTCATACGCGTAGGTGCACTGTTCCTCCTTTAGGAGAGGAGCCATAGCTTTTTTGGGGGTCTTCAATAAAGTCCATAGCTTCAAAGAATATTAAAACACATCATTCAACAGTGTTTTCCTTCTGCTGTACTTTCACTCGGTAACATTTCCACACCTAGAAAGATACTTTAAAAAGCAAACACCTTTGTTTAAGTGCTCATAAATTAAGCCTGAGCAACATAATATACAGTAAGTATAAAAATAATATGGACGTTAAACAGTGTGGCAAAGTGGTCACCAGTCCAATCATCAGAAAATATCGAGAGGGATCCCAGATGAATTGGAATATATAACCCTATTTTTTTTCAATTGCTGTTTTAAAAGTTTGAAAACCTCAGGGTGTGAGTAGATTATTGTGTGATGTCCTTCGGACAAAATTCTTTTAAGTTGACATGCAGGACAGGAATTTGAGTGCTGTAGGAAAATCACCACATTTGCTGATGGCATCTTTTTTGCAATTGTCATGCTCTGTGAATTTTTGGAGTCATAGTTTCATTTCCCCGCACTTGGTCCTTCTATGCCTTGCTCATTTTTTCCAATGATCCTGATCCTTCAATGGTTATAATCCTAAATATCCTCAAAGGTGGGATGCTACAGCTGATAATTGAGTTCACGTCTACCTATAACCAATAATTTATTTATACTGGAGAACTAAACTAGCAGTTCTGCAACAACACGAAATGCTGGGGTGCGGGATGGGCAGTTTGGATGAAGTGATACTATTCACTCTTCAGCAGGGACATAATAAATACCTGAATTCTTTTCCTATAAAAGTAAAAGATTCCACTGAGCTTGCATTACTTATGTGATGTCCCTTTTAAGATGCCTTTTAAGGCATATTATCATTAATGATGCAATTTTGTAAAATGATTTTTTAAAAGGTAGTTTTTGAAAGAAGAAGGAGGAGGTGAAGCAGGAAAGATAGAAGCAGCAGCAGTTGAGGTGAATCAGAGGCAGAGGAGGAAGACGAGAAGGAGAAAGAGGTTGAGAAGAGAAGTGAATGTCCAGAGAATTGCTGGTGCAATATGGCCTTCAAAGAATAAACTGGGCCAATAAACACTAGTTTCTTAGAGCTAAATTTCTGTCTTTCTGTCCGTGGAGAGGAGAAGACCAAAAATGAGCAAAGAGGCAAGAAGACCCAGCTCTTCCGGCCAAACTCCAGATGGAGTCATCCTGGTGAAGGGTTCTGAGGAAACATGGACAGTGCCCCCATAGTGCCAGGCACTATTTCTCCAAAGCAGAGGTTCAGGGAGGAAAATTCCCCATACGAATCCTGAAATTATATTCAAAATGATGCATTCATATGCAGAGATGCATTTTTTGCCCTAAGGGAGGAGACATAGCTTTCTTTAGATACTCAACACAGTCTATAACCTTAAAAAGACATGATGAAACAGGTTGTTCAAGGCTAGGGATTCCCAGAACCTCTCTTTCCAAAAGCATCCAAGTTGTCCTGCATTTATCTCCTAAGCGTTCTTCCCTAGGGGGAATAACTAACCCCTTGGGGTGATGGAACAGCTTTTTCCTGAGGATAAAACCTAAGTAGCTTGAATCATTAAGTAACTTCAGCCTCCTTAAGCTTATGTGCTAAATTGGTTAACAGCCCAGATTTCAGATGATCTGCCACGGCTATTTGTGGGCAGTATTTTGCAGTTTTTCATCATCCTTTCCCATTTGCTATATCATTTGTTACTCACAACACCTTTGGAGTTAAGTAGGACACCGTCCCATTAGTTCCCATTTACAGAACAAGAAATTGAGAGTCAGAGAAGTAAAGTCACTTGCCCAAGTTCCCAAGTAGCAGCCTGCCAGGCTGAGAATCTAGGCAGGGACTCCAGGGAGGGTAAGGCATGTCTCTCTGCAAGGAAGGTAGTCTAAATACAGTTGTTATTGTTGTTGTTGTTGTTGTTGTTGTTGTTTTCCTCCAGTGGCAAAATGTTTTAATTCCCCTAACCCAACCCTACACACATTCCCTGGCCTTTCTCATACAGAAACTGAATCAAAATCACTCAGAGAGAGTCAGTGCTTTTCTCAGACAACAAAGAAATAGCCAGAGCATATCACGCTGCCAGCAAACTCCAGATACATCAGAAAAACAAACAAACAAACAATGTTCCTCATCACATTTTTGAAGAAATATTTTGTTTAGAAATACAGAGCCAGAAACTGCCTCATAGGGAAAATCATCTTCCTTTAGTAAACATGTATTGTGCATATTAATTTTTTAAGAAATATGTTTATTTACTAGAATCTTCAATAGATAGTGTTATTGGCTCTAATATTTTCCTCCTCTCTGTATCTGCATTGTTCTCCACATAACTCTGCAATGCACCCACAATGTGGGAAAGATGTTCTTCTGAGATTCTTGGCTTTGGGTTTGGACATAGGACTTGCTTTTGCCAGCAGAATCAGGCCAAAGTCATACTGTGCTCATTCTGGGCAAAACCACAGAAGCCTTGTGTTTCCTCTCCTCTCTTGTACTTCTGCTGTCACCTTGAGAAGACTATGCCAGGCTAACCCATTGGTACCAGGAAGGGAAGAACAGACATTTAGGATAAACCTACATCAACCAAGTCACCCCCACTCATCGTAGGCTGCATTAGCCAACGCCCCAAAAGACACCTCTCTGAAGATGGCATGAAGACCAAACTATCAGCTGTGTTTGTTACAAAGTGAAGTTCTCTTCGCAATAAACCATGTATTTTTTTGTCCGAATGCAGCAGATAAGGCAGTATTACTTGATCTCTGCTGTTGAGTTTTCATAAAGAATTTTTAGGACTCTGTGGTTCCCTTCCATGAGTTCTCTTTATGTAGGAAAGACCAGATGTACCTAAGGAGTTTGGCCCAATTGCTAACTGGACAGTTCACGAGTATCTCATCTTCCACACCAACACATTGTTCTTGTCTACATGAAAGTTTGTGGTTGGAAAGACAAAAACATAAAGAGAATAAATTACTGAGTTGATAAGTAGCCTGTAATAAAAATTTAGATTCCATCACAATGTCTTGAAAATTCTAAGGGAAAATTATTTGTAACCAAAAGTTCTATACCCAGCTAAACTATCATGCAAGTATATGGGTAGATGAAAACATTTTCATATACATAAGAACTACCTGAGAGAACCTCTGGGACACAGCTAAAGCAGTGTTTAGAGGAAAATTTATAACATTAAATCCCCACAGGAGGAAGTGGGAAAGATCTAACATTGACACCGTAAGATCACAATTAAAAGAACTAGAGAAGCAAGAGTAAACAAATTCAAAACTAATAGAAGACAAGAAGGTCAGAGCAAATGCAAAACAAATTCAAAAGCTAGCAGAAGAACTAAGATCAGAGCAGAACTGAGGGAGAGAGAGACACGAAAACCTTCAAAAAATCAATGAATCCAGGAGCTGGTTGTTTGAAAAGATTAACAAAATAGATAGACTGCTAGCCAGACTAATAAAGAAGAAAAGAGAGAAGAATCAAATAGACACAACAAAAAATGATGAAAAGGATATCACCACTGATCCCACAGAAATACAAACTACCATCAGAGAATACAATAAACACCTCTACGTAAATCAAATAGAAAATCTAGAAGAAATAGATAAATTCCTGGACACATACACCCTCCCAAGACAAAATCAGGAAGAAGTCGAATCCCTGAATAGACCAATAACAAGTTCTGAAATTGAGGCAGAAACTAACAGCCTACCAAGAAAAAAAAAGAAAAAGAAAAAAAAAGCACAGGACTAGACAGATTCACAGTGAATTCTACCAGAGGTACAAAGAGCAGCTAATACCATTCCTTCTGAAACTATTCCAATCAATAGAAAAAGAGGGATGCTTCCCTAACTCATTTTATGAGGCCAGCATCATCCTGATACCAAAACCTGGCAGAGACACAACAAAAAAAGAAAATTTCAGGCCAATATCCTTGATGAACATTGATGCGAGAATCCTCAATAAAATATTGGCAAACCAAATCCAGCTGTACATCAAAAAGCTTATCCACCACGATCAAGTTGGCTTCATCCCTGGGATGAAAGGCTGGTTCAACAAATGCAAATCAATAAATGTAATCCATCACATAAACAGAGCCAATGACAAAAACCACATGATTATCTCAATAGATGCAGAAAAGGCCTTTGATAAAATCCAACACCTCTTCATACTAAAAATTCTCAATAAACCAGACATTGATGAAATATATCTCAAAATAATAAGAGCTATTTATGAGAAACCCACAGCCAATATCATACTGAATGGGCAAAAGCGGGATGCATTCCCTTTGAAAACTGGCACAAGACAACGATGCCCTCTCTCACCACTCCTATTCAACATAGTATTGGAAGTTCTCGCCACGGTAATCAGGCAAGAGAAAGAAATAAAGCGTATTCAAATAGGAAGAGAGGAAGTCAAATTATCTCTGTTTGCAGATAACATGATTGTATATTTAGAAAACCCCATCATCTCAGCCCAAAAACTCCATAAGCTGATAAGCAACTTCAGAAAATTCTCAGAATACAAAATCAATGTACAAAAATCACAAGCGTTCCTAGACACCAATAATAGACAAACAGAGAGCCAAATCCTGAGTGAACTCCCATTCACAGTTGCTACAAAGAGAATAAAATACCTAGGAATACAACTTACAAGGGATATGAAGGACCTCTTCAAGGAGAACTGCAAACCACTGCTCAAGGAAATCAGAGAGGACACAAACAAATGGGAAAACATTGTATGCTCATGGATAGGAAGAATCAATATCATGAAAATGGTCATGCTGCCCCAAGTAGATTCAACGCTATCCCCATCAAGCTACCACTGACTTTCTTCACAGAATTAGAAAAAACTACTTTAAGTTTCATATGGAAGCAAAAAAGAGCTCGTATGTCAAATACAGTCCTAAGCAAAAAGAGCAAAGCTGGAGACATCACGCTACCTGACTTCAAACTATACTATGAGGCTACAGTAACCAAAACAGCATGGTACTGGTACCAAAACAGATATACAGACCAATGGAATGGAACAGAGGCCTCAGAAATAATGCTGCATGTCTGGAACAATCTGATCTTTGACAAACCTGACAAAAACAAGCAATGGGGAAGAATACCGTATTTAGTAAATGGTGTTGGCAAAACTGGCTAGTCCTATGCAGAAAACTGAAACTGGACCCCTTTCTTACACCTTATACAAAAATTAACTCGAGATGGATTAAAGACTTAAACATAAGACCTAAAACCATAAAAACCCTAGAAGAGGCCAGGCATGGTGGCTCACGCCTGTAATCCCAGCACTTTGGGAGGCTGAGGCGGGAGGATCACGAGGTCAGGAGATTGAGACCATCCAGGCTAACACAGAGAAACCCTGTTTCTAATAAAAATACAAAAAACTAGCCAGGCATGGTTGTGGGTGCCTGTAGTCCCAGCTACTCAGGAGGCTGAGGCAGGAGAATAGCATGAACCCGGGAGGCAGAGCTTACAGTGAGCCGAGATTGCGCCACTGCACTCCAGCCTGGGCAACAGAGCGAGACTCCATTTGAAAAAAAAAAAACACAAAAACCCTAGAACAAAATATGGGCAATACCATTCAGGACATAGGCATGGGCAAAGACTTCATGACTAATACACCAAAGCAATTGCAACAATAGCCAAAATAGACAAATGGGATCTAACTAAACCAAAGAGCTTCAACACAGCAAAAGAAACTATCATCAGAGTGAACAGGCACCCTACTGAATGGGAGAAAAGTTTTGCAATCTATCCATTTGACAAAGGGCTAATATCCAGAATCTACAAGGAACTTAGACAAATTTACAAGAAAAAAACAAACAACCCCATCAAAAGTGGACAAGGTATATGAACAGACACTTTTCAAAAGAAGACATGTATGCAGCCAACACACATGTGAAAAGAAGCTCATCATCACTGGTCATTAGAGAAATGCAAATCAAAACCACAATGAGATACCATCTGACACCAGTTAGAATGGCAATCATTAAAAAGTCAGGAAACAACAAATGCTGGAGAGGATGTGGAGAAATAGGAACACTTTTACACTGTTGGTGGGAGTGTAAATTAGTTCAACCATTATGGAAGACAGTGTGGCAATTCCTAAAGGATCTAGAACTAGAAATACCATTTGACCCAGCAATCCTATTACTGGTTATATACCCAAGGATTACAAATCATTCTACTATAAAGAAACATGCATATGTATGTTTATTGCAGCACTATTCACAATGGCAACGACTTGGAACCAACCCTAATGCCCATCAATGATAGACTGGATAAAGAAAATGTAGCACATATACACCATGGAATACTATGCAGCCATAAAAAAGAATGAATTCATGTCCTTTGCACGGACACGGATGAAGCTAGAAACCATCATTCTCAGCAAACTAACACAAGAAGAGAAAACCAAACACCACATGTTCTCACTCATAAGTGGGAGTTGAATACTGAGAAGATATGGGCACAGAGAGGGGAACATCACACACCAGGGCCTGTTGTGGGGTGGGGGGCAAGGGAAGGGATAGCATCAGGAGAAATACCTAATGTAAATGACGGATTGATGGGTACAGCAAACCACCATGGCATGTGTGTACCTGTGTAACAAACCTGCATGTTCTGCACATGTATCCCAGAACTTAAAGTATAATAATAAAAAACACACAAAAAAGAACTACCTGAGAATATGATTCAGCAAAATAACAAAGTAAATAAAGAAATAGCAAGCTATAAGTGAACCTACTCCAGGAGATAAGTGAAGGAAAAACCTAGGATGACACCTATGCAGCAGACCTTAAGAACTATCAGATAGGATTGGAATGGAAAGGTGGGAGTCCTAGGAAGAAAGTCTTTCAAGAATCTTGAAAGTCAATTGATGGAGTTTTAGAAAAATAAAAAATAAATGAGCAGAAAGAAATATAATGAAGCAATTAAGTCCCCTAAGAAAAATCTATACAAGAAAGACAATCATAATACTATACTTGGTTCTGCAGTGGATTTTACTTATGTAATCATAATACAATAAATCTCAAGTGATAGTTTTTTTTTATTGTTTTGAGACAGGGTCTCACTCTGTGGCCCAGGCTTGGGTGCAGTGGCACAGTCACGGCTCACTGCAGCCTCAAACTTCCAGGCTCAAGCAGTCCTCCTGCCTCAGCCTCCCAAATAGCTAAGATTATAGGCATAAACCAGCACACCTGACTCAAGTTTTAGTTTAATATAAAGTAGTGATTAGTAGTATTTGAAGGATAGGAGGTAAGGGAATGGCAGAGGAATAGTCAAATGCTCATCAAATAACAGGAAATAAGTAATGTATAAAAATGGATATGTGAAGTAGCAGTATAAGCATATTCTATATAAATATGACCATAAGTATCATATGAAGTAGCTAAAAGTTAAGTTGCTTCTTAGGTGGGGAGGAATGGTAGATAGATAGAGGTCTTGTCTGTTGTCTTTACATTTATAAGCTTTTCAGTGTTGTTTGATTTTGTTTAATCATGTATTAGTATACATTATTACTCTGATCAAAAGAGGAGAAGGTGGCAGCAGAGGCAGGGCAGTGGCAGTGTGCGTGGCAAACAGAGAGGAGGAGACAGAGTGGTGCGAGATGAGGCTGGAGAAGTTTGGAGTCAGACAGTCTGGGCTCTGACAGAGGAGGTTGAGGATCCTGATCTTCAATGGAAAGCCACTGAAAATTCTTTGGCTGTGTGTGTGTCATGAAATAATTTTGAAAAGCACTCTGGCTTCAATGTATGAATTGGTTTGGAGGGTTACGACAGCACATGAGAGGTAGCCAGTTAGAAAGCTATTGTTATAACTAAGATAGGATATAGAGGTACCTTGGATAGGTTGGTAGAAACAGAAAGGATTTGATAGAAGAGTGAAATTTAGAAAGAAAGACTGATAGGTTATAGCAATTGATAGCATATAAAAAGTTGCATAAAAATGGAAGATAATGGAATCCACACGATGGGGACAAAATTATGTATAGCTCATTCTAGATAACTTTAGCCTTGTTATACAAAAGTAATTTCAAATCATTTTCACTGGTAAATTACCACACCCTCCTACTTAGGGATTTGGTGGAAACACCTACAAAGGTATGACAAACAGCCTTTCTCCAACCAGGGTTCCATGTGAGAATTAAGCTGTTAGAGAAAATTACTGAAAACTATTTTTTTTCAATTCTCCTAAGGATACATAGGAGAGTACCATTGTAGATGCACATAACATCAGGGATTAATTCTCCCCTAAAATCCTGGTTGATATGGGCTGGTAACAAGGATTGTTTCTGGTCTGATTCAATCCATATTTTTCTTCTCTTAATGCCCAATTGATAGTTCTTCTATGGTTCCATATTTCACATGCTGTTGGGCCATATCTGTATGACCCATACCAGTGTATGCATCCACTGTATACATTTGTAGATTTGCAGCTGCTCAAAGTTCCCTAAGTACAGCTTTTTTAATCAGTTGGATTGCCAGGATAGTGAGATCATTATTAGAGCAGTTCCCCAGATAGTTCCAGGTCTCCTTCCAGTTGCATGGTATTGATTATATATTCCTGATCCCTTGAAGTTATGGGTGATCATGCAATTTCCTTTGATCATTAAAGTATGAGTAAAAGTGAAAGGTGTCATTTCTTTTCTTTTCTTTTTTTTATTATACTTTAAGTTTTAGGGTACATGTGCACAATGTGCAGGTTAGTTACATATGTATACATGTGCCATGTTGGTGTGCTGCACCCATTAACTCGTCATTTACATTAGGTATATCTCCTAATGCTATCCCTCCCACCTCCCCCCACCCCACAACAGGCCCCAGTGTGTGATGTTCCCCTTCCTGTGTCCACGTGTTCTCATTGTTCAATTCCCACCTATGAGTGAGAACATGTGGTGTTTGGATTTTTGTCCTTGAGATAGTTTGCTGAGAATGATGGTTTCCAGCTTCATCCATGTCCCTACAAAGGACATGAACTCATCATTTTTTATGGCTGCATAGTATTCCATGGTGTATATGTGCCACATTTTCTTAATCCAGTCTATCATTGTTGGACATTTGGGTTGGCTCCATGTCTTCGCTATTGTGAATAGTGCCACAGTAAACATACGTGTGCATGTGTCTTTATAGCAGCATGATTTATAATCCTTTAGCTATATACCCAGTAATGGGATGGCTGGGTCAAATGGTATTTCTAGTTCTAGACCCCTGAGGAATCGCCACACTGACTTCCACAATGGTTGAATTAGTTTACAGTCCCACCAACAGTGTAAAAGTGTTCCTATTTCTCCACATCCTCTCCAGCACCTGTTGTTTCCTGACTTTTTAATGACCGCCATTCTAACTGGTGTGAGATGGTATCTCATTGTGGTTTTGATTTGCATTTCTCTGATGGCCAGTGATGATGAGCATTTTTTCACGTGTCTTTTGTCTGCATAAATGTCTTCTTTTGAGAAATGTCTGTTCATATCCTTTGCCCACTTGTTGATGGGATTATTTGTTTTCTTCTTGGAAATTTGTTTGAATTCTTTGTAGATGAAAGGTGTCATTTCTAAGCAGAATCTTTAAGAGCTAGTACATACTTTACCATGTTCCCTTTTCCCACTTCAACAAACATGAACCCCATGTTCAGATAAAGCCTCTGTCCCAGAGTCACTACAATGAATGGGAAGTCTCTTAGCCTTCCACAATGAACAGGTACCATGGTGTGAAAAACAACAAACAAAAGAAACCTGTGCTCATCCACTGAGATTTTTGTGTCATTTGTTACTGCAGCACAATCCTACCTATCCTGTCTAATACAGGTGCTTTTCCAAAATGCTCTGCAAAATTTCTATCCTTAATTGCTTATGTACCAGGAGTGATTTATTTCTGTACATTTTAGTGACACTGCTTTGTGACTCCCTCTCATGTGAATATTTTTGTGAATATTTTATGTTCCATGGGTCAGCTGACTCTGTCTTCTACCCTCAATGCTATGAGGAAGGCTATTATTTTTTCCCAGAACCATACCAAAGGCAAGGCAGTGGGAATGGCCCATGCCATGGAGGAAATAAGAAGGTGCATTTTCTGTAGAAATTTTTAAAACTGTAACAAAACCAACTAAAGATCAGTGTGCTTTTTATTATCATCATAGGACTGCAGTGCAATGCAGTTTATAAGAGCCTGTTACATATCATGCTAGAGAACTTCCCCAGCAGTAAACAACCAAATTAGCTGGGATCCATGAATTAATTCATTCATTTATTAAATACCTCTTTTGAACAAGACATGGTGCTATGCACTGCAGATAAAGGAAGGAACAGCACTGGCACTGTCCCGACCCTCATGGCATTTATACTTGGAGCACAGGAGCAGGAATTCTACAAGTGTGCAAGTTGGCATGATATGCATTTTTCCTCCTTGAGGAGGTGCCATTTGAGTTAGACCTGAGTGATAAGGAAGAGGCAGCTGTGCAAAGATCTAGAAGAAGAGCATTCCAGGCAGAGTGACCATCAATGCAAAAGCTTTGAAGCAAGGACAAGGTTAATGTGCCTGAATATTGTGAATGCAGTTGTGAGTGGAGAGAGAGGGGGTCAATGAGAGAAGCAGGGATCAGGCACTATGCGATATCTTTCAGGCCATCCATTGTAAGGAATCAGAATTTTCATCTGGTTGGGAAGGGAAAGCACTGAAGAGCTTGAAGCAGGCAAGTGATATAATATGACTTGTTATTTACAAAGACCTCTCTGGCCTCTGTGTGGAGACAGAGAGGCAAGACGGGGAGCAGGACATCAGTGTTGGGGCTGTTGCATTGGTCCAGACAAGGGACGGTTGATATGCCTTGAATGAGAATCTTAACAGTGGTTATGACGAAAATAGCCAAATTCAGAAATTGACAGGACAAGACTTACTGATCGATTGGACATCAGCGGCGAGTGAAAGAGAGGACACATAAACAACTCCCGGTTAAAATTTTGGATTGGACAATTGAGTGGATGGTGAGCATCACTTACTGAGACATTTTTTTCTTAGTATATGTTCCATTAAACTGAAAAAAATTAAAGTTAATCCCCCTTTCTTAACTTCCTTCTACACTGGCAAATAATAATAATAATAATAATAATAATAATAATAATAATAATGAGAGACATATTTTTCAGTTAAATGACATTATCAAATTAGACTACTAGAAAATACCATAGATCAAATCATCTGGGAATTACCACCCCAGAGCATCCAGGACTGAACTCAGACAGGCAATTTGATTGGCTCACAATGATATCATAATTCTATTTCAGGGCAGAACTGGAGGTCTGCCTGTTGATGCCCAGAGCCTGAGGTCTGGCCACCCACGGGTCCCTAAGCCCTCATCTAGATTCATGCTGTGCTGAGACCATTCTGTGAGTTGATAAAAGGCTGTAGGGTGGCTGGGCCTTAGGGTAGAGGGTTGTGTAATGCAGTGCATAATGGCAGTGGAGGTAAGATTAGAAACCAGAAAATATATGTCAATGTGGTCCGACCCCTTTCTGGGTTCACATCAAAATCCCCGTTTGCTTTCCAGAAAGTAGTGGTACAAACCATTATTCCTGTTCATGAGCTCCTTGGGACAGTTCTTCTAGGACACAATTCTCCCTTGCACTAGAAACTATTTTAAAAGTAAACAACACCAGACACCACTACTTAAAGAAAGTCTGGCTCTAACATCCTTCTCAGAAACATTTTGTTGTTGTTGCACAAAAAGTGGCCTCATTACAAAGAGCTTTATTCACAGATCTACAAAGAAGGTAGAGACCATAGGGTCACACACCCAGGAGACAGAATTAAACAGTGTCTTTCCAGAAAGGCAGCAATGAATTCCAAAACAGATTTCAGCTATGAAGATAGATTTTTGCCTATTGCCTGCAATAGGAATAGGAAAACCCTCATGTGTCTAGCGTAATAATATAAGACTTTCAAAGGGCATGGTATTTATTCAAACCACACCATCAGTACAATCTGCAACTCAAATTGCAATGTCAATTTTCCCTTATTGTGCATGTTTCCAGTGCAGTGCCTGGAGCTGAAGAGTGGTGGGGCTGTAAGTCAACCTCTTCGGCTTTGGCCAACTCCTTTGGGTGTTTTGAAGGCATCTCCACCACTTGGCTCATAGCATGTGTCTGATTAAGCCATTGTAATAGGATAATGGACAATCTCATATTGTGGAATCATAATATGGCATTGTAAGATGGACCCAGAGAATCATATCAACGCAATTCTCAAGGGTGGAGTACACACACACACACACACACACACACACACACACACATATATATATATGCACACACACACACACACATATATATGTACACAGTATCTAGACTACAGCAGGCTAATAATTTAGTGGGCAGTATCGCATAGTGGTTAAAGGCTTGGACTCGAGACAGACTGCCTGAGTTCACGTCCCATTTCTCTCATTTACCAGCTCTAATGTGAAACCTTGGCAAGTGTTAAACGGCGTGACAAAAGTAGAACGTATTTCATGGGATTGTTGAAATGATGAAATGAATTAATACACATAAATGACATAGTACAGCACCTGGCAAATAGTAGGGACTATTTGGTATTATTATGATTACACTGCACACTTTTAATCTAAGGCCACACTTCATGTGTGTCCCCTTCATGACTTCATGTGCTGTCAGAAATCATCCTAGAGAAAAGGATGTGAGAAACTAACATGCAATGAGCCTCTACTCAATACCAGGAACTATTCCAGAGAATGTACATGTGCACTATCTCTAAGTCTGAGTCATTTCCCCAACTGCAGTAGCCCATGACTCAAGTGGGGAGAAGTGTGGTATGATCCAGGTACTTAGTATAGCCTTGCCTAGATTTAAAACCTGACTCCACCACTTACTAGCTGTGTGACCTTGGACGAGTTATTTCACCCTCTAAACCATCATTTCCATATCTGTAAAACAGGTATAACATCTAACATTCATGGTGCTTCTGAAGATCTAACAAGCTGACATATGTCTATGACAGTGGCTGGCACAGTGTGGGTTCTCAGAAGCAATGTTGCTCCTCTAGTTACTTCTTAGCTTTTACCTCCAAGGGAACTGGTAGCCTTCCCTGGAAGAACCCAAGGCCAATAGGCATTTTACTATTTAAACATAATTTATTCTTTCATGGAAAAAACATTTTAAATCATTACATGTATAGTGAAAGAAAAAGTAAATTATGTAAACATCTGGAAAGAGTCTTAAATTTCCAATAGACATATGTTTTCTTACTTAGCATATATTCACCGTTCAGCCCCATGTATTTGTCAATACAGAATTTCCTTTAATTCCCCCGTAACTTAGTTGTTTTAACCAAAGAGTAAGAGTTAATTGGAGCAAAGAGAAAGATGAGATGATGATCAGCAGTTCTGAGATGACAGGGATTGATGGCTTTCTCAGTAATCTGTGGGGGCTCACCCTGACTACTCATTCTGAAATGAATCTGTAGCTTTCTCGACCAAATCTTACAACTTTGAGGGATAGGCATTTTATAATTTTTTTAATCTTTTTTTTGAGACTGAGTCTTGCTCTGTCACCCAGGCTGGAATGCAGTGGCACAATCTTGGCTCACTGTAACCTCCGCCTCCCGGGTTAAAGCAATTCTCCAGCTTCAACCTCCCGAGTAGCTGGGATTACAGGCACATGCCACCAAGCCCGGCTAATTTTTGTATTGTTTTAGTAGAGATGGGGTTTCACCTTGTTGGCCAGGCTGGTCTTGAACTCCTGACCTTGTGATCCACCTGCCTCGGCCTCCCAAAGTGCTGGTATTACAGGCATGAGCCACTGTGCCCGGCCGGCATTTTACAATTCTAAAGATAGGAGGGCTGTGAAATGGCCCTCAAGGAGCTAGGCTATAAGGTGTCATTATGTTTGGTATCACTGTCCTTTCCTTTTGGTTCCAAGGCAGTGATGGGGATGTACATTACACCATATCTAAAATTAAAGATACCAGATCTAAACACATGCCTCTACCTACTGAAGCCTGGCGCTAGACCAGTGACTGACCACAGCATACAAGGTCAGCTGGTATTGTTGAATTATATAAATTTGGGTTGGATTGGGTGGCAGAAGGTGCCAGAGCCCAAGCAGACTGATATGAGGCAGAGCTTACCCAGGACTACCATTGGCGTGGCCAGGTACTTGACAAGGCAAGTGGGCATTGGGGCCAGGAGGGAGAAGCCAGCAGGGACAAGGCGTGGGCTTGCAGAGGTACAAAGCCCAGTGCTCCTTACTGGAAGAGGATGCTTGTTCAGTCTTTTAAATGCAATACACCCTTCTTATGACACAGCAGGATTGTCGGGACTCCCTGCCCCCCATAGGATTGCTGAATACTAACGCCAGGAGCCAAGTCAATCAATAATTCATTCATTCTACAAATATTTATTGAGTACCTACTATGTGAATAAAATATGCCAAATTTCCATGACCTGGCAGTGCTTACAGTTTAGCAAGCAGAGACAGATAGTAAATGAGTAAATTATTCAGTATATCAGAAGATGAAAAGTTCTCAGGGAAACAAAAAGTAAGGCAGGGTAAGGGAATTGGGAATATAGTGGGAAGACTACAGTTTTAAAAACAGTGGTCAGAGTAGGTCTCATTGAGGAGATGACTTTTGAGCAAAGACTGGAAGGGAGTGAGGAAGTAAGCCACGTGGTCACCTGAGTGAAGAGCATGCAGGTGACCAGAATGAAAAGGATTATTTGCAGTGCAAAGGCCCTAGGATGGAACACACCCAAGGAGGCTGGTATGGGTGGAGAGCTGGAGGAGAGGGGGAGAGCTGTAGGAAATGACATCAGCGAGGTAACAAGGAGGGTGACCAGACCATGGAAGGTTCTGAGAACTTTCATTTTTACTGAGTGAAATATGGACCTGCCGGGTACAGCGGCTCACACCTGTAATCCCAGCACTTTGGGGGGCCGAGGCGGGTGGATCACCTGGGGTCAGGAGTTTGAGACCAGCCCGGTCAACATGGTGAAACTCCATCTCTACTAAAAATACAAGAAATTAGCCAGACATGGTGGGGGGTGCCTGTAATCCCAGTTACTTGGAAGGCTGAGGCAGGAGAATCGCCTGAACCCAGGAGGTGGTGGTTGCAGTGAGCTAAGATAGTGCCATTGCACTCCAGCCTGGGCAACAAGAGTGAAACTCCATCTCAAAAACAAACAAAAAAAAGAAATATGGAACCAGAACCATGCAGGGTTTTCAGCAGAGGAGTGACATGATCTGAGTAATGTTTTCAAAAGATTAGGAGGCTGTTGCAATAATCCAGGAAAGATACAGATCAGGGTGGTTCAGCAGCAGAGGTGGTGAGACATGGTCACATTCTGGATAATTTTTGAATCAGAATTTCCTGGTAGAACCAATGCTAGATGTGACAGAGGAGACTTAGGAAGAACTCTGAGGTTTTTGGCATGGATATCTGGAAGCTTCAAGTTGCTATCAACTGAGATTTAGAAGGAGGAGGTTTGGGGAGAAGTCAGAAGTTCACCTTTGGATGTGATAGGTTTCAGATATCTGAGAAATATGCTGGAGGAAGGGTAGACACTTGTGTACAATGAGTCTGGAGTTCAGGAGAGAGGTCTTTCTACACTGGAGATACAAAAGCAAATGAGAATGAGGTTTTCAAGGGAGGGGTTGGTGACAGAGAAGAAAGTCAAGGACAGGAGACTTCTATTTTAAAAGATAGCCAAGAAAAGAAGGAACCAACAAAAGAAGTGGATAAGGATTGACCAGAGGTGACTCTCTTTCAAATCAGGAGGGAGAAACTTCTCTCTAGGCTGTTTTTATAATTTGAAATGTGTGATTTGGGGAAGTGATGTGATCCTTGTGTATGGCTCACAGTGGTTTCATGGAAGCTCTAGGTTTGGAGAAAACAGCCTGGGTTATATTTTCCTGTGTATGTTTCTAGTATGTTTGGATTGTGTGGCTAGTGGACCCACATGCCCCAAGAGACAGAACCTTGAGACCAGGGACACCCTCTGAATAAGTCTGCTGAGGACATTTCCTTCCATTTGCCAAAGAGGGGGTGGGGGAAGTTTTATTTTTCATTTTGCCTGTTGAGAGCATTTAAAAAATAATATTCTAATATGAATTCTGTTGTGTGTAAATAGTCGACAAAAGCCTATTTTTTCTGAATTTAATGTATCCGATCCTTTTCTTTAGGACTGGGGCTTTTCTAAACTCCTTATTGATTATTGTTAACTATTAGGGTTATTATGGACTTGTTGACTGTTAGTGGTTTTTTTTCCTTTTTTAAAAATAGTCCTCTTCATTAATTTATGTCCTTTTTATCATTGTTCCAAATCACGTCTTACTTCCTGTTACTCAGCTACACAACTGAGAGTTATGTCCCATCCTCTTTAGAGAAATTTATTCACCAAATTGACTCAACCACAGCATCAGAGCTTGAGATACTATCTTTCAGGTTTTTCCTGGGGTTGAGCTATGCAAAAGAATATAAATCCTCAGCTACTCGTAAGCTGAAGTGGGAGGATCGCTTGAGGCCAGATGGTCAAGACCAGCCTGGACAACAGAGCAAGACCCCTGTCTCTAAGAAATAAAAACAAATAAAAATGTAAAAAACAATATAAATCCTTATGTCTCTTAACCTGTACACTTAGTAATTATCATATAGCAACTATAGTTGGCCAGAATTAAAAGCTTGACACATAATAACTCATTTTATCCTCTCAAAACCCCTGCGAGGGAGGGACTATCATTGTCATCCTCACTTTAGAAATGAAGAAAATGAAGTACAGAGAGATTAAGTCACTTGCTAAGGACACACAGCTAGTAAGTGGCACAGCCTCAGTTTGAACCCACAAGGCTGGGCTCTAGAGCCCCTGTGCCTAATCACTAAGCTTTGCTATACCCTTTGCCTCTTTTGGTAGCTTTCCACCATGTGAGCTGCTTCTGGCTTTGTGTTGTTGTTGTCGTTGTTTGCTGATGTTTTTGTTTTTGGTAAGATCAGAACCTCATATCTGGCACTTTCAGATCACCCTTAAAGTTAACCAAACAGCATCTGAAGAATGGCGATGCCATGAGCCAGGGAGGCCAAATGAAGGGCCACACAGATGAAATTGCTCCGGCGGCCTTCCCTGCACGAAGGCAGCTGCTATTCTTGGTGCTACAAGGTATAACGATTGTAGCTATTGGTATTTTAAGCACATTCAATGTAAAATTGACTGTTTTAATACTCTAAGGAATTCATCCATATGAAGATTTAAAATGCATTTCTTCTCAATATGATTTTATTATGATTTTTCTTTTTTAGAGACAGAGTTTTACTCTGCCGCCAGGCTCGAGTACAGTGGCACAATCACAGCCTCAAAATCCTGGGCTCAAGTGATCCTCCCCACCTAAGCCTTCCAAGCAGCTGGGACTACAGGCAAGTGTCACACACCTGGCTAATTTTTTTTTTTTTTTTTTTTTTTTTGAGATGGAGTCTCACTCTGTCTCCCAGGCTGGAGTACAGTGGCATGATCTCAGCTCACTGCAACCTCCACCTCCCAGGTTCAAGCGATTCCCCTGCCTCAGCCTCCCCAGTAGTCCCCAGTAGCTGGGATTATAGGCGCCCACCACCACACCTGGCTAATTTTTGTATTTTTATTAGAGACAGAGTTTCACCATGTTGGCCAGGCTGGTCTCGAACTCCTGACCTCAGGTGATGCGCCCACCTCGGCCTCCCAAAGTGCTGGGATTACAGGCTTGAGCCACAGTGCCCAGCCTAATTTTATAATCTTTTTTACAGATGGGGTCTTACTGTGTTGCTGGTCTCTGGCTCCTGGGCCCAAGCGATCTTCCTGCCTTGGCCTCTCAATGTGCTGGAATCACAGGTGTGAGCCACTGTGCCCGGCCTCAATTTGATTTATTAAGTGAAAGGCTCATTGCAAGAAACCATGTTTGGACACATTAAGAATCAACGTTGATATGTGGATTCAGTCACGAGCATATTCTATTGCCTGGTCTGAGTATCTGTTCCTTTCACACACTCTCCAGTGAGTCAGTACCAGCAGCAAGTTTCCAGTTTCTGCAGATATTTGGTTCTTATCCTGTAGTGAGCATCTCAAAATCTCTCTCTGCTGGACTTGCTTCTCACTGCTTGATTTCTCTGCAGAGCTCCCAATGCACATGGAGGCTTGAGATGTTTGCTCGTTTAGATGCAGGTGCTGACTCAGCAGCTTGGGCTGGGGCCTGAGATTCTGCATTCTAAGATGCTCCCAAGCAATGCTGTTGCTGCTGGTCTGCCCTGCAAAATTCAGAAGGAAGGGCCTACAGCTGTGATTCTCAAGCTTGGCTGCCCCATTGGAAACACTTGGGACTCTGAAAAATACTATTGCCTGGGTTCTGCCTTCAGAGATTCTTTGTAATTGGCCTGGAGTATGGCCAGGGCAGTAGGATTTTTCAAAGCTCCTCGGGTGAGTCTGCTGCTCAGTCATGATTAAGATCACTACTTTTGTTTAGAGCAGTGACCCTCAAATGTGTGGGCTTCGACCATCAGCACTGGCATCTCCTGGGAATGAGTTAGAAATGCCAATTCTTGGGCCCCAACCCAGACCTGAATTAGAAACTCAGGTGCACCTGGCTTCCATGTTAACAAACCTCCATGTGATTCTGATGCACATTCAAGTTTGAGAACCACTGGTTTAGGGGCTCAAACAATATATTTTCCACTCCTCTTCCTATCCTTCTTGGTCCCTTTCCCCCTCTTCTTACCTCCGTCCTTCTCCTCCCTATGAATCCCTCAACCCAATGTTTGCAAACTGTTTAGAACAGTAAGGCTATGCTAAAATACGATGATAAAAAGCTAAGAGTTTGGGGATGGGTGTAGAGAAAGCAATTCAATTGATGCCAAATATGCAAATATTTGGGTCATCTTGATAATTGACAGTTGATCACTGCTATGGTTTGAATGTATTCCCTCCCAAAATTCATTTGTTGGAATCTTAATCCCCAAATGCAAGAATATTGGGAGGTGGGACTTAATGGGAGGTGTTTAGGTCACAAGGGTGGTGCCCTCATGAGTGGATTAATGCTGCTATAAAAAGGGCTTAGGGGATTGAGTTTGACCTGTCTTCTGCTCTGCTGCCATCTGAAGACACAGCATTTCTCCTCTCCAGAGGGTGAAATCTTCAAGACACCACCTTAGAAGCAGGGACCAGGCCCTCATCAGACACCAAATCTACTGATCTTACACTTCCCTACCTCCCAAATAGTAAGAAAAAAAATTTCTGGTTTTTATAAATTACCCAGTCTGTGCTATTCTGTTATAGCAGTACAAATGGACTAAGAAAGGCAATCCACTTAGGGACTGTGTACCCCAAACTAGAGTGAACTGGATGCACCGAAATGTTGTAAATCCTTTGGTTACACCTTAAAGCCAGTAATGTCCTACTACATGTTTGGAAGGATACCAAATGGAAATTGTTCTAATATATGCTTCTGCCAGTCACCCTCTAGTGCTTTTGATAGTACTGCGTAGATCTACTCAATCAGAACCTTCCCAAGCCCAGGCTGACATGGTGCCACTGTCTTTAAGCCCCCACTAACACCTCTGGGGTGATGTTCTCAAAGTCTGTAGAGCTAGTTCTTCACCTGTGTCTTTTATGGCCCTTGATCCCCGAGGCTGTCAGGCCCTGTATACTTGAATCTCACTGCCCTTCACATCTGAGGAAGAGGCTCCCTGTGGGCATCGCACCTAACTTTGTGCAGGTGACAAATATTCATGGAGAGCAGACTGTGGCCAGGCTGCCAGGGGATTGAGGAGGCAAAGCAGCTTCTGGTAAGCGATGTTCCAGTCCAGTGGGAGGGTGAGCCCAGCACACAGAAATGAATGACTCTGCAAGCCTAATGCAAACACCTGGTTCAGTGTTCAGGTCACTTGGCATGCTATTTACACAGAAAGAGAGCAACGTGGGCCTACTCCTAGGAGAAGGAAGGATACCTTTTGCCTCAGGGCATTAATATTAGGCGATCTTTCATTTACTTGTGGCAAGATACATATATCATAAAATTTGCCATCTTAATCATTTTTAAGCATATAGTTCAGTAGTGTTGCTCGTATTTAAATTTTTATGCAATCAAACTCAAGAACTTTTTAATGTCACAAAACTGAAACTCTATGTGGATATCCAATAAACAACACCTTCCTGCTTCTCCCTCCCCACAGCCTCTGGCAACCACAATTCAAGTTTCTGCTTCCATGAATTGGGCTACACTTTGGCACCTACCTTATATAAGTAAAATAATACAGTAATTGTCTTTTCATGGCTGACTTATTTCACTTAGCATAATGTCATCAAGAGTCATCCATGTTATAGCATATGTCAGAATTTCCTTCCTTTAAAGCTGAATGATATTCCATTGTACGTACATATCACATTTTGTTTATCAGTTCATCGGTTTGATGAATACTTGTGTTGCTTCCACATTTTGGCTATTGTGAATAATGCTGCCATGAACACGGATGTACAAATATCTCTTTGAAACCCTGCTTTCAATAGATACATATCCAGAAGTGAATTGTTTCGATGATATGGTAACACTATTTGTAATTTTTTGAGGACCTGTCATTCTGTTTTCCAAGGCAGCTGCACCATTTTCCTTTCCCAACAGTGCACAAGTTTTCTAATTTCTCCACATCCTTGTCAACACTTGGTATTTTCTTGTGTTTTGGTAGTAGCCATCCTAATGGGTATGAGGTGATATCTCATTGTGGTTTTGATTTGCATTTTCCTAATGCTTAGTGATGTTCAGCATTTTATTTTCATATGCTTATTTGCTGGCCATTTGTATATCTTTTTTGGAGTAATGTCTATTCAAGTCCTTTGCCCACTTTTAAATAGTTTGTGTGGGGTTTTTTGTTATTACATTATTATGTTGTTATGTATTTTTTTTGTTATTATGTTGTAGGAGTTAGTTTTGGCACCTTTACTGAAAATCATTTGATCGTATAGAGGAGGGTTTATTTCTGGGCTCTATTTCATTCCATTGTTCTGCATGCTTGTCTTTATGCCAGCACTACCCTGTCTTGATTACTGTAATTTTGGAATAAGATAAATCAAGAAATATGAGTCCTCCAGCTTTGTTCTTCTTTTTGAAGATTGTTTTTGATTGTTTTGGGGATAATATTAGGCAATCTTTTAAACCAAAATTCAGATTTCTCTCTCTTAATTTTTTAAACTAAGGCAGAGGAAATGGGGATAGCAAGAAGGAGCAAGAAGTGTGTGTGTGTGCGTGTGTATAATTTTTTGGAGGGAGGCGCGGAGTTTAGAGACGGTCTCACTCTGTCACCCAGGCTAGAGTGCAGTGACATGATCATAGTTCACTTAAGCCTTGAACTTCTGGGCTCAAATGATCCTCTGCCTCAACCTCCCAAGTAGCTGGGATTACAGGTGCATACCACCACACCTGGCTGAATTGTAAGAGTTCTTTACATATTCTATACAGTAACCCCATATCAAATATATGATTTACAAATATTTTCTCCCATTCCATAGGTTGCCTTTTCACTCTGTTGAGTGTGTCCTTTGATACACAGAAGTTCTTTTTTCTTTTTTTTGATGTAGTCCATTTACTTTTGTTGCCTGTACATTTGGGTAATATCCAAGAAATCATTGCAAAATCCAAAGAACCTTTTCCCCTATGTTTTCTTCTAAGAGTTTCATAGTTTTAGGTTTTATGCTTAGGTCTTTGATTCATTTTGAGTCAATTTTTGAATATGGTGTAAGACAGATCCAAATTTATTCTTCTGCAGGGAGATCTAGTTTTCCCAACATTTGTTGAAAAGACTATTCTTTACCCCATTGTCTTGGCACCCTTACTGAAAATCATTTGATCATATACAGGATCTCTGGGCTGTATTTCATTCCGCTGTTCTACATGTCTGTCTTTATGCCAGCACTACCCTGTCTTGATTACTGCAATTTTGTAATAAAATAAATAAAGAAATATGAGGCCTCCAGCTTTGTTCTTCTTTTTGAAGATTGTTTTGGCTATTTGGGATAATATTAGACAATCTTTTAAGCGAAAATTCAGATTTCTCTCATCTTAAAAGTCTCCAATATCTTCCTATGACATGTACAACTCAAACTTCTTACCAAGAGGACCCAAAACCTGCTGCGTAACCTGTGTGCGACCTGCCTGTCTGCCCTCCCATCTCAGCATGTTCTCTGCTTGTCCACAGTGCTCCAGTGCCACTGGCCACCTGTCTGCTCTCCAGCCCAGTTCCTCTGCCCGAGCGCTGTTCACTCACACATCTGTCCGTTTGTGCATTCTACATGTATTTATTGAGATCCTACTCTGTGTTGGGTCCTGTTATAGGTACTATGGATACAGCAATTGATGCTCATGGCTGATGCCTTCACAGCCTTTAGCTGAGAGGCTTTCCTCCTCACCCTGTCTAAATTTGTTCTTCCTCTTATGCCACCCCCCGCCCCATTCTCCACTCCTATATTCTACTTTTACTGCTTTCACAGACTTACTCTTCATTTTTTTAAAAAACCTGCATATTTTCTGTCTCTCTCATCAGACCTTAAGCTTCAAAAAGTCAGAGACTACAAAGACACTTGGGGGACATTCAGTACACATTTGTTGAAAGAATAAAGTGCGTTTGGCTGACGATTTTCTGAAAGGACAGTAAACTTGGGTATATAAAGGCTTCCTTTTAGAGGACTGAGAGGTCATTCACCTCTCTGAGCCCCTGTCATGGCTGTCGGTTTGAATGTCACCAAATCGCCATTTAGAAAGCTGGGTTAAACTTGCACTGAACACCGAATAAAGCATTATAGCCATAATTTCACTGTTTAAAAGAAGCAGGATTTCTGTGGACACTGAACATTTGTTTTCTCATCTTCTGATCTGATCCTTTCCAAAGAAAATTGGAAGATAAGAAATGTACCCCCATGTGTCATCTGAGAGCGAGAGTCTAATATCTGAGTAAAGGAAAGAAATACTTTCCCCTGAAAAACTAGCTTGTATTTTTTCTTATGAGTACCACTCACTGATTCAAAGTCATTGATTTAAAACAGAGAGTTGTTGGATTCCATTACTCTTCTGGACAAAAATGCTTTAAAATGTGAGTCAATCCAGGTTTAACCGAAAAGAAGAAGAAATGCTTCCTAAATAATCCCATGTTGATGGTCATTTAATTAAATGTAACCACTGATGTTATAACTCCCTAAATTACAAATGTGCCCCTGCCACGTTCGTATTACCCGAGTAAACTGAAATTCATGCGGCAAAATAAGCCATTTTACCACTTTCTTCCCTTGGGTTCACAACCCGAAAGTATTTGCTCATAGTAGATGAATGTAATATGGACACATATTTGCAAGTTTACCTCATAGTCAGCCACAAGGTAAATAAAGTCATCCATATTATAAACCCCCAAAACCATATTATAACTTTATACCATGAAACCTGCCAAAATTACATTTTATATCCTTACTGAATGTACACTGTGAAATTACCACTTCTTATATGGAATAGGAATGTCAGACTTGGTTGTCCTGCAGAAGATGAATCATGTGAATTATATTATTTTATCATATTTTATTTTCATTCAGACAGTTTCAATCCCCTGCAACACGTTCGAGCTGAACTGTTTGTTTAGTACATTCCCCTGGCCTATTAGTCATGAAAGAACCAGATAATCTAGTGATTATCTTGCGGGGGCTCACTCATTGCTTTTGGAAACAGGCCACAGATGAAGTAACAATAACCACACTGACAGAAAAAAACAAAAAAAAGCCAAGCCAGCAATATAATATTATGACAGCAGATCACATCTTGACTTGAAAAAGCAGAAGTAATAGTCTAGTTTCCTCCACTTTATACATATATATCATCTCCCTTGATGTTCTGCCCCTGTCTGCCACCAATCAATCTTCATCCAAGAAACATAGTCTAAATTTTCCCCAAGGATCTTCAGGAATGACTCACTGAGTGTAGCTGGAAGTACATGAGAAATTTTATTTCAAACATAAATATTTCCATTATGCTTCCTGAGGGGATACATAAGGTCAGGATATGTCATAGAATTTTGCTTCACAGCACATAATTTTCTCATTTTCACCACAATTATTTCTCTTCAGCAAACAGGTTAGAGTCCTTGCTAGAATGTTCATTACAAGATTGTTCAGAGTGACAAAAAATGAAAATCAACTCAAACGTCCAACATCAGAGGATGGGTTGAATCAACCATGGCCCACACATATCACTGGAATATGAGACAGGCATTAAAATAAATGATGATGTGAGAACATATTTGCTAATATGGAAAGATGTTAATTTTATATTGTCCATTGAAGAGAATAAATTCAGTAATATGTTCTCTTATACATGTTACATTATATATGAGAGAAGTATGTATAAGAAATATATATATAAGAACTAACCTATTTGTAATATAAAAGTATGTGTGTATTATAATAGATGCAACATTATAGTTTTTATGTATTTAATACACGATATGCGTAACATTATTTCTTTTGGAAAGTTTTTCCTGATTCCAGATTATATCATGCCTTCTTTTTTTTTTTTTTTTTTTGAGATGGAGTCTCGCTCTGTTGCCCAGGCTGGAGTGCAGTGGTGTGCTCTTGGCTCACTGCGACCTCCGCCTCCCGGGTTCAAGTGGTTCTCCTGCCTCAGCCTCCCGACCAGCTGGGATTACAAGTATGTGCCACCACGCCCAGCTAATTGTTGTATTTTTAGTAGAGATGGAATTTCACCATGTTGGCCAGGGTGGTCTCAAACTCCTGACCTCAGGTGATCTGTCCGCCTCGGCCTCCCAAAGTGCTGGGATTATAGGCATGAGCCACCATGCCTAGCCTATGCCCTCTTTTTAAATATTAATATTATCCTAGAATACAGACTTTCCCTTTATAGCACTTATCACAATTGTAAATAAACATGTAATTGCATCATAGTTGTTTGAGCCTGTCTTCCTACCCAATTTTTTTCTTCATTTTGATTTTCTGTATTTTCTAATTTTTCAACAATGGTTATATACTTTTTTAACAAAAAGAACTTAATAGAATAACAAATGGAATTGTATTAGTCAGCTTTTGCCGTAATGATGCTGCAATCAATTCCAGAATATCAAAGTCTAAAACAATAAGTCTTCATTTCTCTCCCAGTGTCTGTGGGTCATCTGGGTGGCTCTGTTCCAGAACGTAGGTCAAGTTCAGGTTTTCTCCTATGGAGAGTTAGGCAGAAGGATTAGTTCTTACCTGGGACTTGCTGTTCTCATGGCAGGAGGCAGGAGCACAAGAGAGACCTGCAGAAACATGCAAAGCCTTTTAAAACCTCTGTCAGAATTGGCATTTACATATGCCCACCCTCTATCTGTCAAAACAAGTCACACGGCCAAGCCCAAGGACAATGGAGCAAAGATGTGTATTCTGCCTCCTGTGAGGCATGGTAAGTCACCTGACAACAGGAAGAAATGTATTATTACAGAGAAGAAGGAAAGATTTGAGTATAATAATCCAATATAGCACAATACTAATATTTTCTAGTAACTAAGGCCAGTTTTGTGCTAGTAGTCCAAGTATAAAAGGCAGAATCACAAACAACATCAAGCTCTAAACACAAGGGCTGAGTCCTTGAACTAAACAACAGCTTTCAAAAACATACACATCAGTGGAGATAATTAGCAACAGTGTCCGAATTTAAGAGTAACAACACAGCAAAGAAAAATAAGCTGACTATATCAATTGTTGTATGTGGCAGATTGTTGCATTAATAGTCCTCAAAGTTTCACACCAGATTCACATCTCCCTGTAAACCAGTTATTTTCAACTGAAGGCAATTTTTCCATGCAAAGGTCATTGGCAATGTTAGAGACATGTTTGTGTGTTATGGTCTGGGGTGTGTGAAGGTTATGGCCTGAACTGCTACTGATATCTGAGGGGTAGAAGCCAGGAATGCTGTTGAATGTCCTACAATGCACAGGATGGCCCACAAGACAAAGAATTTTCCAGCCCCAATATCAGTAGTGTTGCTGTTCAGAAACCCTGCTGTAAATATACACCTTCCCACATTCACTCTTGGTTTGGCCATGCTATTTTTTTTGGCCAGTGTGGCATTACCAAGTATAACACAAGCAGGGGTGTAAAAAGTGATTGCTCACTGGGGCTTGCTATCTCTGGTTACATTTGGAATCCAGCCACCATGAGAAGAAGCCTGAACTTGTTAAATGCTAGAGACATGGAACACAGTTGCTCCCACTGCCCCTGTCAATCACATGAATTAGACCATCCAGAGCCAATTATCCCTTGGCACACCCACCAGCTACCTGCAGCCATGTGAGTGAACCCAGGCAACTGCCCAGATGAGCATAGACCATATTGACAAACAACAGTATCAGGAGCTAATAAATGATTGTTTTTTTAAGTCACTGCATTTGGAGACAGTTTATTATGAAGCAAAGATATTGTACTTTTGGGAATACAGCACAAGATGCTGTGATCAAAGGACTCAGACATACAATAGTTTAAATAGAAGTTTTCACATAAAAGTCCAGGACTCCTCAACACAGGTTTTCCATCTCTGAGTCCAAAGTGGCTCCTCCAGTTCCCGCTATCACAACTACATCTCAGTCAGCAGAAAGGGAGAAGACACAATGGATGTTCACATAACAATCCTTTCAGGTCAGGACTTGAATGTGCCACATATCATTTTTGTTCATATCCCATCGCCAAAACATAATCACATGGCCACATCTAGCTGCAATAAGAAGCTGAGAAATACTGACTTTAGCTGTGGCAAAATTCTTTGTGCTTAGGAAAACAATCCAGTAGAGTAGAAGAAAAGAAGAATGAATTTTGGAAAACAGTTGACTGCTATAGTGATTTAAACTTCTCACGAAAAATTGTTAATTACATGTACATATCAGATGAGGTGGTCAGGTGGTAGCCTGGGCTATCCAGAAAACTGCTTCAATCCTCCATTTCACTTTGCCATGTCACTTTAAAAATCACTTGCACTTGAATCTGTAACACGATTTATATTTTTTAATGGGGAAAAAGTTGATTTCCATCACAGTAGAAGATAACATGAATTTTCTTAACACAAATATTTTCTTCTAATTTCCACTATGAAATCCGATTATTTTCCCAAGGAAATATTCCCAGTATGTGGAAGTTTTTAAAGCAAAAGTGAGCACCCAGGCCATAGCCTTTGGAATGCTTTAGCATCATTTTTCCATTTTTATCATCTCTCACAAATTTTCTCTGGTATTATCTAATCCACAGAAAATTTTACACACCTGGGTACCAGATCATAAGGCCTTCTGGACCCTAGTAAGGGTTTAGCTTTAACAGGGTAATATAACCAACATAAAAGAAAACTAGACAAAATGTATGAATGAGAGTACACAGAAAAGGAAATATGAATGACCTATAAACCTAGAAACATGTGTGTCCTCCCTCCATTGAAGAAATAGAAATCAAAAACTACACCGAAATACCACTTTTCACTTATACAATTATATGCTTGATAACACATTGTTGGTGAGAATGTAGATAGTTACTCTTATTCATTGCTAATAGGACTATAAATTGTTTAATCCTAGAGAAAAATTATCAGGAACTGTATAATTTTAAAAATGTATATACTCTTTGAGGGGCCGGGTGCGGTGGCTCACACCTGTAATCCCAGCACTTTGGGAGGCCGAGGTGGGTGGATCATGACGTCAGGAGATCGAGACCATCCTGGCTAACACGGTGAAACCCCATCTCTACTAAAAATACAAAAAATTAGCCAGACATGGTGGCGGGCGCCTGTAGTCCCAGCTACTCAGGAGGCTGAGGCAGGAGAAAGGCGTGAACCCGGGAGGCGGAGGTTGCAGTGAGCCGAGATTGCACCACTGCACTCCAGCCTGGGCGACAGAGCGAGACTCCACCTCAAAAAAAAAAAAAAAAGTATATACCCTTTGAGTTAATAATTCCATTTCTAGAAATTTATCTTACTAATATATTTATACACATAATGCTTTAAGATGTTTTTCTGAAGCTTTGTTTGGCCAAGGGAAAAGAGGGAAAAACCTAACTGTTTATTAGCAGGGGATTTGTTAATCATAGTACATCCACACAATGGAATATTATATAGCTATAAAGAAGAACCAATATTAAATAATTTCTGAAATACTCTTTTAATTTAAAAAGGCATAGAGGTATAGAACACTGTGCATAATGCTGTCATTTGTTTAAAAGGAAGAGAATGTTTGAAACTACACAAAATCGTTAGAAGAATAAATGAGTTGACACCAGTGCTTACCTCTTGGGGGAGATGGGAACCAGGCTGACACAGGATAGAAAAGGAGTGTAAATTTTTCAATAAACATATTTTTATATTTTTTTATATTTGAACCATGTGAAGATATTTTCTCTTCAAAGAAAATTACACAGGGTTTGGTGGGTTTTTTGGTTGTCTTTCTTTGTGTTTGAGTCGGATTCTGTCTCTGTTGCCCAGGCTGGAGTGCAGTGGTGTAATCTCAGCTCACTGCAACCTCCACCTCCCAGGCTCAAGTGACTCTTCTGCCTCAGCCTCCTGAGTAGCTGGGACTACAAGAATGCTCCACCACACCTGACCAATTTTTATATTTTTAGTAGAGAGAGTTTCACTATGTTGGCCAGGCTGGTCTTGAACTCCTGACCTCAAGTGATCTATCTGCCCACCTCGGCCTCCCAAAGTGCTGGGATTACAGGCATGAGCCACCATGCCCGGCCTACACAGGGCTTGTTTTTAAGTGAAAAGTACTATATCGCTTGTTGAAGATACTGTATTATATTAATGCAGCCTAAAATTATATTTCTTTATTTTTAATCATTACATCATATTGAGATCTTAGTAAATTAAAGCCTCTATCTCCTTTCTGGATGTACTGCTCTTATATCAAGTCCTTTTATTTGTACCTACTTGATTTTTTTCATCCAAACATACAGCTGTTTTTAAAAAGCTTAAAAACTTTGGCCGGGCGCGGTGGCTCACTCCTGTAATCCTAGCACCTTGGGAGGCTGAGGCGGGTGGATCACGAGGTCAGGAGATCGAGACCATCCTGGCTAACATGGTGAAACTCCGTCTCTACTAAAAATACAAAAAAAAATCAGCCAGGTGTGGTGGCGGGTGCTTGTAGTCCCAGCTACTCAGGAGGCTGAGGCAGGAGAATGGCGTGAACCTGGGAGGCGGAGCTTGCAGTGAGCCGAGATCGTGCCACTGCACTCCAGCCTGGGCGACAGAGACTCCTGTCTCAAAAAAAAAAAAAAAAAAAACTTAAAGTAAGCTCCCTCCTGTCATTTGCATTTCCTACCATTTTTAATAAGTAAAATCCAGAATAGCACATACTTCCAACAATTATTTACCAATTATTGAGATACTAAAACTAATATTCTGGTACTAAGTTAAATTCTGTGGGTGATACAAAGATTTCATATATGTATAAATGTATATTATATATGTAAATTTTATGTATGTAAATGTATATTGTGTGTGTGTGTGTATATATATAAGTATGTGTGTATACACATACACACATATGCCACAGCTTATATATGATAGTCATATGGTTAAAGTTCTTAGATATACTACTTATTTTTTTTCTTTCTTTCTTTTTTTTTTTTTCTTTTTGAGACAGAGTCTCACTGGTCACCCACCTGGAGTGCAGTGGCATGATCTTGGCTCACTGCAAGCTCCGCCTGCTGTGTTCACGCCATTCTCCTGCCTCAGCCTCCTGAAGCTGGGACTACAGGTGCCCGCCACAATGCCTGGCTAATTTTTTGTATTTTTAGTAGAGACGGGGTTTCACAGTGTTAGCCAGGATGGTCTCAATCTCCTGACCTCGTGATCCGCCCACCTCGGCCTCCCAAAGTGCTGGGATTACAGGCCTGAGCCACCATGCCTGGCCTACTACTTATATTTTTAAACATTTTGAGTAAAATCTCAATTTGCATTTTCTTAGAAACTTCCAAGTATACAAGGCAGATTTACAAATAGGCAATCTATTTTTAGGGGCTCTCAGCTCTGTCATTCAAAAGAAACAGAATGGTAATTCCTTTCAATAAAAACTAAGCCATCTTTTCCCTAAAATTAAACACATTTCACATAGTTATTAAAACTGGTGAATTTGAGAAGTATATATAATTTTACAGCAATGGCAATAATAAAACTGATTTTTCATCAGGTTTTTTAAAGAGCACGTGCTCATTGCAGAAAACTTGTAAAATACACAGACCTACAAAGAAGAAAATTAATGTCACCTGTAATCTCACGAGTTAGAGATACCCACTGCTAACATTCCAGTTCACCACCAGCCAGTCATCCTAACCAGTCAACATTAACTCCATGTCAAACCATCAGCTTTGACTTTTGTCAGTGTTCTAAAGCTGACTGGAGTTCATTCTCTCATTTCTCAGTAGATGAGAAAACTAAGACTGGTTTTCTCATCTACTCATGAGACCTTCAGCAACTCAGCTTTACCTCCAGATATTGGTTTAACCTAGAAGATCAAGAGAGGCAAGAGATTCATCCAGAGTGTGGGAGTGGGGAGGGCAGGTTCCACATCAGAAGGAAGGGCAGCACTTCCCTTCCCCTGCCTGTCCAGCACATTTTGGGATGTCTTGTGTCTGCTCATCCAAGTCTCCTCTGCCTCCCCTTTAGGCCACATCATGGGTGTGGCTCCGAGTTATGAGTTCTGACCAGCACCCAGAAAGGGATGGAAATTCCTGGAATTAGGGGTAGAGAGAAGGAAGGGCAGAAAACAAAGGGGATAAGTAAAGCAATCTTCTCGACCAACATGCATTTCTTCAAGGCCTAAAGTGGAAAAACACAAGAATCAGTGATAAGTGATGATAGAGCATTGATAAAATATGGGGAAATCAGAAACATCTTAACTACAGTTCACTTCTATTATCTGAGTATAATAAAACTATCTGCACTTTAATGTCTGTGAATCCATGACTACTCATCCTCAGTTTCTCCTTCCTCAGCTCCCATGGCACTCTATCACCAAATCCTGTCAATCACATTGGCCTTAAATGTAATGCTTTCTATCTCCACTGCCACCATAATCTTTCACGAGAATGTATCTGGTCTCCCTGCTTCCACACCTGCCTCCCACAATCAGTGGTCTTTGGGAAAAGAAAGACCATGGCATATCAGTTTCCTGGTCAAAACTCATCAAACTTCCCAGTTGCCCAAATGCTGGGCATGCCCCACAAGGTCCCATGTGATCTGGCTGCCAACCTGCAACTTCATCCCACTGCTCTTGCTCTCACCCTCGACTCCAGCCCCCTGATCTTCTTCCAGGTCCTTCCACAGGCCGGTCTCTCCCCTCTCGGGGCCTTCCACAAGCTCATCTCTGCCTGGAGGCACCTCCCATGTCTCTGCTACCACTCCCTTCTTAATCTTTAGGTCTCAGTTTAAACATCACAGAGAGTAACAAGGAATCACACCTAGGTGTTAAGAAACACATCAAAATGTTACAGTTCTTTCTCCGGGGAGAGATTCTGGAGGGTTTGTTTTTTTTTAATACTAACGTGTATTTCCTAAATTAACTACAATTAAATAAAACTATCTGCACTTTAATGTCTGTGAATCCATGACTACTCATCCTCAGTTTCTCCTTCCTCAGCTCCCATGGCACTCTATCACCAAATCCTGTCAATCACATTGGCCTTAAATGTAATGCTTGTTGTTTTCACAATCAGAAAAAAAAAAAAACAAAAAAACCTCTGTTAATCATTTTCCTAGCCTGCAGAGTGTTGTCATAGTTGATGGTCCCAGCACCTCTGTGAAGTAAGGTAGTACAGGCACAACACCTCACTGCTGCTGCGCTTCGCACTTCTGCCACTCTGTCTTTCTCCAGGAGCAGCATCTCCCTGTTTCCAGATACTCTTTCATTGCCTCATGTGACCAAACACACTTTCCCCTTTGTTCAGAATGCACTCACCCTGCTCCTGCTCCAAGTCTTGACAGAATCCCAGCTCATCTTTTTAGCTCAGCGCAAAACATCACCTCTAGATGGAGCTTAAGGTCCCAGCAGAATAACTTTCTTTGGCCTCCATATTCCAATGACTCTGGGTTCTTTTCTCTGCAAGAGCACCTTGTTCTTTGCTCTGGGATTTGTCCCTGAATAATGACTCTGTTCCCTGGAACAGGAGCAGGACCCAGTCTGTCTTCTTCCCCATTGTACCCCCAGGACCCAGGCCAGTGCCTAGCAGGGAGAAAATATTCAACTGCTGTGGCTGTGTATTGAATGAATAAATGAACTCGATTATACAGGTAAGGAAATTGAGGCACAAAGACTTAAGTAATCTGATAAATTTGCAACCTCTTCACTCATTTTCTTTTTAATTTGAGAGATACTTCAATACAAAATAAAGTTATTAAAATAGGAACAGGACCAAATTTAAAATACATTGAAAACATTCAAGGGCCCAGCTTATAAATGGTGAAGCAGAATATGCAGAGGCTTCCTGACTACAAGCTCAGTGCTTTTCAACTGCACCATGCTTTACCAAAAGTGGGTCTATGTAATCTGTTGTTGACTGGCAGGGTTTATCTCTTATTTATTGTTTAGGTGACTTCAATCTTCAGAGTTGAACCAGAATACACTCGGGGCAGCATGTTTTCCCACTAATATTTTGCTACAGACACAACCGTGAAACCTATGGCTTCTGTCCAATGAACCCCCTCAGTCACCACAATTGCACAATGAAGCACATGCAATGTATAAACAAAATGGCTTGAAACACAGAACATAGACTTAGAAGTTACAGCCACATAAAGCAGTGAGATACTTAAGCTAGTGTGACCCCTGACTGTTCTGAACACGCCGACCAACACATTTATCCAGTGGCCAGTTGGCCCCCAGAAAGCAGCTCACCGACATGACTTGGCAGTACTCCCTGGGGCTACACTCATTCCTGGTGGCACCAGGCAGGGCGCCAGGCATCACCCTCTGCATGCGAGACAGCAGGGCAAGGTGCCCAAGGCTTTGAGACAAAAACATCTGTCGAAGTCACCAAGTTGTCGGTTGTCTGAGTTCACCCCGCTGGGTGAGTACACTGCCAGGCCAATTCCAGGATCAGTCCCTGTCCCTGTGAGGGACATTGCAAGCTCCAGAACCCAAGCCCAAGGGTCAGCTGACATGGAAACAAATGCAAAAGCCTCCCCATCACCATCAGCAGGTGGATAAGGGTTGGGGGCAGAAGCTAAGCCCCTCCTGACTCATGCTAAGATCCGAAACATAAGGCTTGAGCCATTTCTAGATGACAGCAAAGCAACTTGTAGAAATGCAAATTAAAAAAACTTGTCTCATAATCTTTTTTTTTAACTGTGCCTTTTCAACAAGATGCCAAATAATAGATTGATTAATTTTTTTTTTTTTTTTTTCACAGAAAAGACTGCTTCTGGAAGTGGGCTTTTTCCTTTTTTGTTGTCTTATTTTGTTGGTTTTTTAATAGGCTTAGAACAATTCAGGGACAGAAGGGTCCTTAAATATCATCCCCTCCAGCCCCCTGACCCATGGAGTGGCTGCAGTGTTTTCTACTGATTTAGTCACTACTGTGCTTTATAACAGAGGCATCAAGATATGCAAGAATCAGGCAGAGCAAGTGTTAGCTAAAGCAAGCTAGCTCACCTTACCAGAAGGAATTTAAAGTTCAGAATCAAATTCCTTACGAATGAACTGTCCAAAGGGATTCCTAATCACTTTGCCATTCGATGCACCACCTTATTTTTTTTTATTTTTATTATTATTTTTTTTTAGTATTTATTGATCATTCTTGGGTGTTTCTCAGAGAGGGGGATGTGGCAGAGTCATAGGATAATAGTGGAGAGAAGGTCAGCAGATAAACACGTGAACAAAGGTCTCTGGTTTTCCTAGGCAGAGGACCCTTTGGCCTTCCGCAGTGTTTGTGTCCCTGGGTACTTGAGATTAGGGAGTGGTGATGACTCTTAACCAGTATGCTGCCTTCAAGCATCTGTTTAACAAAGCACATCTTGCACCGCCCTTAATCCATTTAACCCTGAGTGGACACAGCACATGTTTCAGAGAGCATGGGGTTGGGGGTAAGGTTATAGATTAACAGCATCCCAAGGCAGAAGAATTTTTCTTAGTACAGAACAAAATGGAGTCTCCTATGTCTACTTCTTTCTACACAGACACAGTAACAATCTGATCTCTCTTTCTTTTCCCCACATTTCCCCCTTTTCTTTTCAACAAAACCCCCATCGTCATCATGGCCCATTCTCGATGGTCGCTGTCTCTTCGGAGCTGTTGGGTACACCTCCCAGACGGGGCGGCCGGGCGGAGGCGCTCCCCACCTCCCAGACGGGGCGGCCGGGCGGAGGCGCTCCCCACCTCCCAGACGGGGCGGCCGGGCGGAGGCGCTCCCCACCTCCCAGACGGGGCGGCCGGGCGGAGACGCTCCTCACCTCCCAGATGGGGCGGCCGGGCAGAGGCGCTCCTCACTTCCCAGATGGCACCACCTTATTTTTATAATCAGAATGGATACCTACTTCACATGATGCTTATGCCTATATTGCAATCTGTAGAAATAATGTGATTATTTGGAGGGTAATAGCAATATGACCAATTTATTTCCAAACATCCTATTTGCTAGTCAGCAAATGAATCAATACACAGTAACTTTTCCTGTGTGGTCTACTTCCCATGTGCACATCTATATTTGTTTATTCATTCAATCAAAATACTTATATTCCCACTATACATTAGGCACCATGCCAGACACTAGATTTATATAATGCTGCATAAGAGACAGAACCTTCCCTCAGGAAACTTTAGCTGGAGACTCTTCATCCATCAAATCTGTCCGTTCTAAACATGGGGAAGGTATAGACACTCCAGGTTCATGATGCACAGAGGTGGTAGAGCAGAAACCATGACCATGCTGGCCTCAAGAGAGCCCAACACTAGCCTCAGAGAACTCAGGGGAAGCACTGGTATTTGTAACATATGTCTTTGGTTGTTTTTCTATTTTAAATCACTCACCTCGAGTCAGGTTATAAATTCTTCAAGATTAAAATGAATAGTCATCACAATGCAATAGCAGAGTTTTATGTACTGGGTAATAAGAAGTCATAAAGCTCATCACAGGAAGAGTGCCATAATGCAAATAGCATCCCCCAAATCAAAGGCCAAATCTGGATCATAAGGCTGATCCTTTGTAGCTTGCAAAGTTGGTTGCTGCAAATGTATCACTAGAACTGTGTGACAGCGACAGTCACCTAAAATGGAATTTTACCTGGTCAATGTCACTTTTATTTTAATCATCCCCAGCTCAGTATCCTTGGTGTGATCTCTCTATAGGCAAATCTTTTTCCCTTGGTTTTTCATGTGTATAAATTCAGAACCTATTTTCCAAATGGGCATTTGGCTGTGTGATTTGGCTCACTCACACAACTAAGATGGCAGAAGTATCCTGAACTCTACGTGTAGTCCACGGAGACATTCCATGCGGATGTACTGTTTCACAGGAAGCTAGCTGTTGGGTTAAGAAAACATATAGGCCAAACATACAATGACATCAGGCCTCCTTCCCTGACGCCAGCTGCGTGTTTGATGTGGTGACATTCTAAAGCCATGTGATGCCAATTTCAGTTGTATGATTCATATTGTTAACCTTTGGAAATGCTGAACATAAATGAATGACCCTAAATTCTACCCAGCTGTACAAGAAGCACTATTTGTAAATAGTCTCTTCCCTGTCATCATCCTCTAACTTAAAGAAATTCTTTAGTTAGTTCAGCAATGTAGGCAATTAGTTCAATAGTTCATCAAGCAACTACAGTCACAACTTGCAAATTGCTTTAGCTCAGCTCCCCTCTGCTAACAATGGACCTAATCAGCATTTATCCTATAGTATCATTATCCAAAAATATCTGCTTAACAGAAGTGAATCAGAAGCAATAGCTTCAAGGATTGGAAGTCAACCAAGTTCCCTTTATGCTAGCCCCTCATCACCAAGAAAGAAGACATCCTTCAAATCCATTATGAATTATCATTTGAATTCTCACACACTCTTCTATCATGCAACAACAGAGAGTGTTTGGAGAGATGGGCCAGTACCATCCTGAGATCATTTGCTGTCCTTTCAAAATAAAATATGAGAAATGCTAGCATAGTTTTGATGCTGATTAGATTTCCCATGACCTATGTTCAGAAAAGTCATAAGCAATGGCACTTGTCTTGAAAATCTTTTTCTGATACAGACTCGTGAAGTAGGAATAATTTTGATATCTATGTAGAATGTTAACTTTAGTGCAATAGAAAAATTAATGAGCACGCACCATGCAACATGTAAGTGTTCAATGAGTCCTTACAACAGGGATGGTAGCAGAGGTCAAATGTTTATAGCAATACTTCTGAGAGTAACTCATGGCTTAATTCTTTTATTAACACTTCTAGTCATAATTCCCGAACAAGCAAGACAGTGAGTAATTGACCCAAATTCAATCTTCATTGCATTTTTCCCCACATCTTTCATTCTCAAAAGACCAGTCAGCTTGATTTTTAATTTTTTGGGATATCTCAAATAGACAGACTTCATATAAAGTATCCATTTTAAGCACATAGTGAATTCCAGATGTGATCACAACTGCATATCTAAAGAGCCACCTGATGCTGACTGAGCATTTCCTCTGTGTCAGCCACCATGTTTAGTGCTTTATGGACCAGTTCTCTTAATCTCACACCAGCCCTATTGTTTTATATGATATTGTATTATATATTATTTTAGGTTATTTTTCTATTATTATTCCTGTTTCTTAGATGATGAGACTGAATCACAGAGATTTTCGTTACCTCTCTGCAGTCAGATAGCAAGTAAACAGCAGAGTTGGGGTTGAGATCCAGGTTTTAGAGGCTGTGAAATGTCTAAGCATTTAACCCTTAACCTTGTATGAATGAATTCTTGAGAGCAATTGTATCACCTTCACGTTTCTTCCAGTGCAAAGAATACCATTTAACTCATTTCACATTGGCCAGTGATTGAAGTGTGGTAGAAAGTGGCTGATTGATCATTTGCCAAATGACGCATTAAAATCAGGAAACCTGAGCTGGTGTTGCTGCCACGGAAACTGACCAGAAGAATTTTCTGATAGTTGAGAAACTACTGGGGCAAGAGAGAGGTCCCCACCGGTTAACACGCTTGCTTAAAATTAAACAAAATCGGCTGGGTGCAGTGGCTCATGCCTGTAATCCCAGCACTTTGGGAGGCTGAGGTGGGCGGATCATGAGGTCAGGAGTTCGAGACCAGCCTGACCAACATGGTGAAACCCCACGTCTACTAAAAATACCAAAAAAAAAAAAATTAGCCAGATGTGGTGGCACGCACCTGTAATCCCAGCTACTCAGGAGGCCGAGGCAGGAGAATCGCTTGAACCCGGGAAGCAGAGGTTGCAATGAGCCAAGATTGCGCCACTGCGCTCCAGCCTGTGCAACAGAGTGAGATTCTGCCTCAAAAAAAAAAAGTTAAACAAAATCTTTTACGGCTTTTGTTGTTGTTGTTGTTGTTGTTGTTGTTGATGTTGTTGTTGTTGTTGTTGTTGTTGAGACAGAATCTCAGTCCCCCAGGCTGGAATGCAGTGGCCCAATCCCGACTCGTTGCAACCCCTGCCTCCCAGGTTCAAGCGATTCTCCTGCCTCAGCGCCCTGAGTAACTGGAATTATAGGTGTGCACCACCACGCCTGGCTAGTGTTTGTATTTTTAGTAGAGATGGGGTTTCGTTATGTGGCCCGCGCTGGTCTCCAACTCCTGGGCTCAAGCGATCCACCTGCCTCAGCCTCCCAAAGTGCTGGGATTACCAGCATGAGCACCGTGCCTAGCCCAAAATCTTTTAAAGTCAGAAACTTGTAGCTATATCCTAATCACAGAGATATTTTCAATATGTTCAATATTTTAGTGTGTTCTGAATTTGATTTTATCACCAGTGGAAATAAACTATATTAGACTACATGAAACCAAATAATCAACCTGACTGAATTTTTAACAGGTTATCTTTTTTTTTTTATAAGAACAAGATACAAGAGTCCAAAGATTTTTTTTAAAAATAACGTTGAGAAATGGAAAGTATGCTGAGATCAGACACTTGAGTAAGAAGATAGTTAATTTATTTAAAAGAATAGGGTCTTAAGAGAGTCTTTTAATGGAGGGTTTTTTAGTTGCAGTCCCAAAAACACAACCTGAACTGACTTAACACACACACACAAAAACTTTACTGGCTCATGTAACTGGAAAGTCTAGGAGATAAATCTAGTTTGTCAGAAAAATCACACATTATCTTCAAGAATCTATTCCTCTTGTGTTGGCTTCCTTCTCAGACAGATTTTTTCTCTGTCGTAGTCTGGATAATCCTTAGCAACTCCAGTCTTACATCCTATCAGCTTAACATCCATCACAGAAACAAAGCTCCTCTTTCCTAACAGCTTTGGCAAAAGTCTCAGGACAAGCTCCCATTGGCTCAATTAGAGTCACATGTTTATTCCAGATCCACCAATCACTGTGGGAAGGGAGGGAGCTATTGGACTCTAGGTCTGGTCAGATAGTCATTTCTGGAATTGCAGGAGAGAGTGGGAGAAAGCGAACCACTAAAGGAAAATGAGGCTGCTATTATAAAAGGAAGGAAGAAATAGGGTTTTGAAGACAAAAACGACAGATTCCTAGGATCAGGGAGAAAACTATTCTAAGGTCATAATTCAGTTTCTGACAGATAGTTTATTTGATTCCTTTGCTAACCTGTACGTTGCTTGTCTCTGATGAGTCTTTGTATGAGCATCTCACATAGACAATATTCACTTTGCAAAATCAGGAATAGAGGTGCGGGGAACAGTTCCTCCTCTATCCACTTGCAACTTCTCTATCCTCTATCCACTTGCAAAGGAATTAGAGTCTAATTCCTTTGGGTATTGAAAACATCAGATTTTTAGAATCTTATATTAAAATGCAAGAGTCTTCATAAAGAAGCTGTATCTTAAACATTTACCAACTGTCAGACACATTGAAACGGGAATGAGAGGATGCTGAAAAGAGCAGCTGAAACTTACTGAGGAGAAAATTTGCTAACCGCAGTTTCACCTAGTGCCGACCCAGGCAACCATCCTTATAACTGATGGCTAGCAATGATGAATGCATATACGTGTGTGCGTGTGTGTGCGTGTGTGTGTGTGTGTGTATGCATGATTTCATCGTAACTGTTTTAGTACAATAGTAAAACATGTTCATTTTAGTAAATAGATAAATTAATTAAAAGAATACAAAAATCAACTGTTCCTCCCCCAAACCCATAACCCCAGCCTAATCATAACAAAAACATAGACAAATTCCGATAGTGGGGCATCCTACAAAATACCTGACCAATACTCCTCAAAACTGTCATGGTTAACAAAAACAAATGTCTGAGAAACTGTCACAACCAAGAGGTTCCTAAGGAGACATGATGCTAAATGTAATGTGGTATCCTAGATGGGATCCTGGAACAGGGAAAAAGACACTAAATAGAAACTAAAGAAATTCTAACAAAGTATGAATTTTAGTTAATGATATTTCAGTGTTGATTTATTAATGTAACAAATGTATGCTACTGATATAGGATGGTAATAATAGGGGAAACTGGATATGGGATATATGGTAACCCTCTCCACTATCTTCTCAACTTTCTGTAAATCTACAACCGCTCTAAAAAAAAGTCTATTTAAATTATGTAAAAAAAAAAATCAATTGTAATCTCACCATTCAAAGTAAACGTGTTAATATATTAGTATCTATATTTCTAAATGTTTTATCTATGTATACATTTTCTTTTATAAAAATAAATCGAAATATTTTGGATTATGTTTTATTGCTTTTAACAATAAGTTATGAATATTGTGTCAATCAGTTTTTCTACAGCTATATTTTTTCTGAATAAAGTTTTATTGGAACACATGAAATCCATTTGTTTATATATTGTCCATGGTTACTTTTGTTTATTTGTTTTTTTTAATTTTTTATTTTATATTTCTGTGAGCTCATAGTAGCTATATATATTTATATGGTACATGAGATGTTTTGATACAGGCATCCAATGTGTTTACATCACATCATGTAAAATGGGGTTTTCATCCCCTCAAGTATTTATCCTTTGTGTTACAAACAATCCCATTATACTCTTTTAGTTATTTTTAAATGTACTATTAAATTCTTATTGACTGTAGTCACCCTATTATGCTATCAAATGCTGGGAATTATTCATTCTTTCTAATTTTTTTGTACCCATTAACCATCCCCACTGTGCCCCCACCCCAACCCTCCCACTACCCTTCCCAGCCTCTGTTAACCATCCTTCTGCTCTTTAGCTCCATGAGTTCAATTGTTTTGATTTTCAGATCCCACAAATAAATGAGAATATGCTATGTTTGTCTTTATGTGCCTGGCTTATTTCAGTTAGCATAATGACCTCCAGTTCCATCCATCTTGTGCAAATGACAGGATCTCATTCATTTTCATGGCTGAATAAGTACTCCATTGTGTGTATATGGGACATTTTCTTTATCCGTTCATCTGTTGATATACACTTAGGTTGCCTCCAAATTTTGACTATTGCAAACAGTGCTGAAACAAACATGGGAGTGCAGATATCTCATCAATATACTGATATCCTTTCTTTCAGGTATATGCCCAGCAGTGAGATTGTTGGATCACATGGTAGTTCTATTTTTAGTTTTTTGAGGAACTTCCAAACTGTTCTCCATAGTGGTTGTGCTCATTTAAATTCCCACCAACAGTGTACATGTGTTCCCTTTTCTCCACATCCTCAGCAGCCTTTGTTATTGCTGTCTTTTGGATATAAGCCATTTTAACTGGGATGAAATAATATCTCACTGTAGTTTTGATTTGCATTTATCTGATGATCAACAGTGTTGATCATCTTTTCATATATCTGTTTGCCTTATGTATGTCTTCTTTTGATAAATGTCTATTCAAACATTTTGCTGTTTTTAATCAGATTATTATATTTTTTTCTATAGAGTTGTTTGGGCTCCTTATATATTCTGTTTATTAATCCCTTGTCAGATGGGTAGCTTGCAAATATTTTCTCCCATTCTGTAGGTTGTCTCTTGACTTTGTTGATAGTTTCCTTTGCCGTGCAGAAGCTTTTTAACTTGATGAGACCCCATTTGTCCATTTTTGCCTTGGTTGCGTGTACTTGCGGGGTATTACTCAAGAAATCTTTGCCCAGACCAATGTCCTGGAGAGTTTCCTTGATGTTTTCTTGTAGTAGTTTCAAAGTTTGAGGCCTTACATTTCAGTCTTCAATCCTTTTTTTTTAATTTTTTTTAATTTTGATACAGAGTCTCTCACTGTCACCCAGGCTGGAGTGCAATGGCACAATCTTGGCTCACTGCAACCTCTGCCTCCTGGGTTCAAGCGATTCTCCTGCCTCAGCCTTCCAAGTATCTGGGATTACAGGTTCCCACCACCATGCCCAGCTAATTTTTGTTATTTTTAGTAGAGATGGGGTTTCACCATGTTGGCCAGGCTAGTCTTGAACTCCTGACCTCAGGTGATCCACGCACCTTGGCCTCCCAAAGTGCTGAGATTACAGGCGTAAGCCACCATGCTGGACCTTTAATCCATTTTGACTTGATTTTTGTATATGGCAAGAGATAGAGATCTAGTTTCATTTTTCTGCATATGGATACCCAGTTTTCCCAGCATCATTTATTGAAGAGACTGTCTTTTCCCCAGTGTACGTTTTTGACACCTTTGTCAAAAATGAGTTCACTGTAGGTGTGTGGATTTGTTTCTGGGTTCCCTATTCTGTTTCATTGGTCTACATGTATGTTTTTATGCCAGTACCACGCTATTGTGGTTACTATAGCTCCGTAGTATAATTTGAAGCCAGGTAACGTGATTCCTCCAGTTTCGTTCTTTTCACTTAGGATAGCTTTTGTTATTATGGGTCTTTTGTGGTTCCATATAAGTTTTAGGATTATTTTTTCTCTATTTGTGAGAAATGTCATTGGTACTTTGATAAGGATTGCATTGAATCTGTAGATTGCTTTGGGTAGTGTGGACATTTTTACAACATTGATTCTTACAATTCATGAACATGGAATATCTTCCCATTTTTTTAGTGTTTGCATTCCTTTGATGGGTATTTTATAGTTTTCATTATAGAGATCTTTCACTTCTTTGGTTAAATTAATTCCTAGGTATTTAATTTTATATGTGATTATTGTAAATAGGATTACTTTTTAATTTATTTTTCAGGTTGTTCACTATTGGTATGTAGAAATGCCAAATTTTTGTGTGTTGATTTTGTATCCTGCAAGCTTACTGAATTTGTTTATCAGTTCTAATAGTTTTTTGGTGGAGTCTTTAGGTTTTCCCAAATGTAAGATCATATTATCTGCAAACAAGGATAATTTGACTTCTTCCTTTCCAATTTGGATGCCCTTTATTTCTTTCTCTTGTCTGATTGCTCTAGCTAGGACTTCCAGTACTATGCTGAATAACAGTGGTGAAAGTGGGCGTCCTTGTCGTGTTCCAAATCTTAGAGGAAAGGCTTTCAGTTTTTCCCCATTCAGTATTATATTACCCGTGGGTCTGTCATATACGGCTTTTATAATGTTGAGATATGTTTCTTCTATACCCAGTTTTTTGAGGGTTTTCATCATGAAGGGGTTAACTTTTATCAAATGCTTTTTCAGCATCAATTGAAATGATCACATGATTTTTGTCCTTCATTCTGTTAATATGATGTATCACACTGATTGATTTGCATATGTTGAACCATCCTTGCATCCCAAGGATAAATTTCACTTGGTCAGGAGAAATGGCCTTTTTTAATGTATTGTTGTTTTGCTAGTATTTTGTTGAGGATTTTTGCATCAATATTCATCAGAGATATTGGCCTGTAATTTTCTTTTTCTTTTTTTTTTTTTGATGTGTTTTTGTCTGGTTTTGGCATCAGGATAATACTGGCCTCACAGAATAAGTTTGGAAGTGTTCCCTCCTCCTCTATTTTTTGGAATAATTTGAGTAGAATTCATATTAGTTCTTTTTAAAATGTCTGGTAGAATTCAGCAGTGAAGTCATCAGGTCCTGGACTTTTCTTTACTGGGAGACTTTTTATTACAGCTTTGATCTCATTACTTGTTATTGGTCTGTTCAGGTTTTGGATTTCTTCATGGTTCAGTCTTGGTAGATTGCATGTGTGTAGGAATTTGTCCATTCTTCTAAATTTCCCAATTTATTGGCATATAGTTGCTCATAGTAACCAATAATTGTCCTTTGAGTTTCTGCAGTATCAGTTGTAATGTCTCCTTTTTCAACTTTGAGTTTATTTATTTGGATCTGCTTATTTTTTCTCAGTCTGGCTAAAAGTTTACCAATTATGTTTAACTTTTCAAAAACCAACTTTTTGTTTCATTGATCTTTCGTATTATTTTCTTTATTTCAATTTCATTTTTGTCTGATCTTTATTGTTTCTTTTTCTTCTACTAATTTTGGCTTTGGTTTGCTCTTGCTTTTCTAATTCTTTGAGATGCATCATTCTTTTTTATGAAGTTTTTCTTCTTTTTTAATGTAGGCACTTATAGCTACAAAATTCCCTCTTAGTACTCCTTTATACAGCCATATTTCAAGGCTACATATATATCTACCTCAATTTATTAAGCTGGTGCTTTATAGTTAAACATTTAGGTGTTCCCCATTTTCTTTGCTCTGAAGTATGTTTTGATGTTTCAAATTTTCTAATGTTAATAAATAATGTTGTTTAGTGTTTCATTTGCCTGTTTTTTTATTTTACAAAATGGGATAATATGGTGTTTTATGCTCTGCTTAAGTCACTCACAATACATTATAAACACCTCTCTGCATCAGTGAACATGAACTACAACATAAAGTCAAAACCTTGCCCCTTCTCAACAGCTGCATCCACTAATAAGCAATACCCAAAAAAGTTTTTTCAAGTTGGGGCTTTGTAAAAACCATTACGGAACACAGAATTACATCATGAATTAAATATAGTTTATTATCAGATGAACTGAATAGGAATTTGAATTAAACAACCCACAACCAGAACATTTATTTATTTATTTAATATGGAACTCTCTTCTTAACTAGTAATGGCCCCTCCTTAAGAGATGTGGCCAAAAGCAAGTTTTCTGTTCTGGTTATTGACCCGGACCTATTTAAGAGGTTATTTGCTGGTCCTTGTTACACTCTACCTGGGCCCAGAAACCACAGTAAACATCATTAGATGGTATCAGGATTTATCTACAAATTGTAGAAAATCCCAGGCCTTTCTGCAATTACTCAAAAGTTGCTTTTTTATTTTTAAGTGTAGAATCTTCATTTCCTTAGTTCTAACCACGTCTAATTTTATTTACTACTTCCTTGGTTCTAACCGCACTATTTCCTTGGTTCTAAGCACGTCTGTCATTTCCTACTTTATAGATTCTAATTATATAATGAGACAAACTATATGAAGGACTCAGTGTGGCACATAGATTACTCCAATTACTCAATAAGAGTTATTGGTTACTATTAGCTATACGAATGCTGTAAATACAACTCTCCTATGAGTCTAGAGAAAGACTGCTGTCAAATGTCTCACTGTGGGAGGAGGAAGGGTTTTAAAGCTCCCTTAGCTTTTGGCAAGACAGGATCAATTTCTAATCTGTGTAATTCCTGAAAGACTTTAACCTCTCCATTGTGTAGTGTTATTTACTTTCTCTATATTTCTCATTCTCACAATAGCCCTCCCCAGCAGCTATAATTATACTTAAGAGGCAACCTTTCTTACCTTTCTTCTGCTCCACCAGACCCCTTCTATAGAACATTAATCATAATGATATGTACGTATATTTACACATCTGAACAGAAAATTGGATTTCGGACAGATAGACACACAAGGAATATGTGTATCTGTTACACAAGCCGTAGTCTAGCTGTTCCTTCATCATTCCATTTGTGAACTGGAAATGACAAAGTATTTGCAACATTCCTAATTATGTTAACAAATATGAAAATATTTAAATGACAATAATTAAGCTCTGATGAATGAAAAGCTTTCAGAAAGAAGTGCTAAAGTATGTAAACTCACTTATTAAAGTAGTGTTAAGTAGTGTTGGTTTTGCTACTATGGTATTTAGACACCAGAGGGTTTTTTTTAAATAATTTCAAATTTCATTTTAGATTCAGGGAGTACATGTGTAGGTTTGTCACATGAGTATATTGCATAACGCTGAGGTTTGGCATATGGATGATCCTGTCGCCCAGGTAGTGAGCATAGTACCCAATAGTTAGTTTTTCAACCCATGCCCCTCTTCCTCCTTCTCCACTCTAGTAGTCCGCAGTGGCTATTATTGCCATCTTTATGCCCATGAGTATCTAATGTTTAGCTCCCACTTAAAAATTAGAACATGCGATATTTGGTTTTCTGTTCCTGCGTTAATCTTTGAATAATGGCCTCCAGATGCATCCATGTTGCTGCAGAGGACATGATTTTATTCTTTTTATGGCTGCATAGTATTATATAATGCATATGTACCAATTTTTTTTTATCCAAGCCTCCACTGATGGACACCTAGGTTGCTTCCATGTCTATTGTGAATAGTGTGGTGATAAACATATGAGTGAATCTTTTTGATAACATATGAGTGTGTCTTTTTGGTAGAATGATTTATTTTCTTTTATATATATATACCCAGTAATGGCATTGCTGGGTCAAATAATAGTTCTGCTTTAAGTTATTTGAGAAATCTTCAAACTGTTTTCTACATGGCTGAGCTAAAAACATTACTACCAACAGTGTGTAAGTGTTACCTTTTCTCTACATTTTTGCCAGCATCTGTTGTTTTTTTGACTTTTTAATAGTAGTCATTCTGACTGGTGTAAGATGGTATCTCACTGTGGTTTTTATTTGCATTTCTCTTATGATTAGTGACATTGAGCATCTTTTCACATGTTTCTTGACCACTCGTATGTCTTATTTTGAGAAGTGTCTGTTTACGTCTTTTGCCCATTTTTTTATTATACGCTAAGTTCTGGGATACATGTGCAGCATGTTACATAGGTATACACATGCCATGGTGGTTTACTGCACCATCAACCCGTCATCTACATTAGGTATTTCTCCTAATGCTCTCCCTCACCTAGCCCCCCCAACTCCCCAACAGGCTCCAGTGTGTGACGCTCCCCTCCCTGTGTCCACATGTTCTTGTTGTTCAACTCCCACTTATGAGTGAGAACATGTGGTGTTTGGTTTTCTCTTCCTGTGTTAGTTTGCAGAGAATGATGGCTTACAGCTTCATCCATGTCCCTGCAAAGGACATAAACTCATCCTTTTTTATGGCTGCATAGTATTCCATGATGTATATGTGCCACATTTTCTTTATCCAGTCTATCATTGATGGGCATTTGGGTTGGTTCCAAGTCTTTGCTATTGTGAACAGTGTTGCAATAAACATATGTGCACATGTGTCTTTATAGCAGAATGATTTATAATCCTTAGGGTATATACACAGTAATGGGATTGCTGGGACAAATGGTATTTCTGGTTTTAGTTCCTTGAGGAATTGCCACACTGTCTTCCACAATGGTTGAACTAAATTATACTCCCACCAACAATGTAAAAGCATTCCTATTTCTCCACATCCTCTCCAGCATCTGTTCTTTCCTGACTTGTTGATGTGTAGTGCTATTTCTGAGGCCTCTGTTCTGTTCCATTGGTCTATATATCTGTTTTGGTACCAGTACCATGCTGTTTTGGTTACTGTAGCCTCATAGTATAGTTTGAAGTCAGGTAGTGTCATGCCTCCAGCTTTGTTCATTTGCTTAGGATTGTCTTGGCTATACGGGCTCTTTTTTGGTTCCATATGAAATTTAAAGTAGTTTTTCTAATTCTGTGAAGAAAGTCAGTGGTAGCTTGATGGGGATAGCATTGAATGTATAAATTACTCTGGGTAGTACAGCCATTTTCACGATATTGATTCTTCCTATCCATGAGCATGGAATGTTTTTCCATTTGTTTGTGTCCTCTCTGATTTCGTTGAGCAATGGTTTGTAGTCCTCCTTGAAGAGGCCCTTCACATCCCTTGTAAGTTGGATTCCTAGGTATTTTATTCTCTGTGTAGCAATCGTGAATAGGAGTTCACTCATGATTTGGCTCTCTGTTTGCCTGTTATTGGTGTCTAGGAATGCTTGTGATTTTTGCACATTGATTTGGTATCCAGAAATTTTTCTGAAGTTGTTTATCAGCTTAAGGAGAATTTTGGGCTGAGATGATGGGGTTTTCTAAATATACAATCATGTCATCTGCAAACAGAGACAACTTGACTTCCTCTCTCCCTATTTGAATACCCTTTATTTCTTTCTCTTGCCTGATTGCCTTAGCCAGAGCTTCCAATACTATGTTGAACAGGAGTGGTGAAAGAGGGTATCCTTGTCTTGTGCCGGTTTTCAAAGGGAATGTGTCTAGCTTTTGCCCATTCAGTATGATATTAGCTGTGGGTTTGTCATAAATAGCTCTTATTATTTTGAGATATGTTCCATCAATACCTAGTTTATTGAGAGTTTTTAGCAAGAAGGGGTGTTGAATTTTAACATAGGTCTTTTCTGCATCTATTGATATAATCATGTGGTTTTTGTCTTTGGTTCTGTTTATGTGATGGATTATGTTTATTGATTTACATATGTTGAACCAGCCTTGCATCCCAGGGATGAAGCCAACTTGATCATGGTGGATCAGCTTTTTGATGTGCTGCTGGATTCAGTTTGCCAGTATTTTACTGAGGATTTTCACCTCGATGTACATCAGGGATATAGGCCTGAAATTTTCTTTTTATGTTGTGTCTCTGCCAGGTTTTGGTATCAGGATGATGCTGGCCTCATAAAATGAGTTAGGGAGGATTCCCTTTTTTTCTATTGATTGGAATAGTTTCAGAAGGAATGGTACCAGCTCCTCTTTGTATCTCCGGTAGAAGTTGGCTGGGAATCTGTCTGGTCCTGGGCTTTCTTTGGTTGGTAGCCTATTAATTACTGCCTCAATTTCAGAACTTGTTACTGGTCTATTCAGGGATTCGACTTCTTCCTGGTTTAGTCTTGGGAGGGTGTATGTGTCCAGGAATTTATCCATTTCTTCCAGATTTTCTAGTTTATTTTCATAGAGGTGTTTATAGCATTCTCTGATGGTAGTTTGTATTTGTGTGGGATCAGTGGTGATATCCCCTTTTTCATTTTTTATTGTGTCTATTTGATTATTCTCTCTTTCCTTCTTTATTAATCTGGCTAGCAGTCTATCTATTTTGTTAATCTTTTTGAAAAACTAGATCCTGGATTCATTGATGTTTTGAAGGGTTTTTCATGTCTCTGTCTCCTTCAGTTCTGCTCTGATCTTAGTTATTTCTTGTCTTCTGTTAGCTTTTGAATTTGTTTGGTTTTGCTTCTCTACTTCTTTTAATTGTGGTGTTAAGGTGTTGATTTTAGATGTTTCTTACTTTCTCCTGTGGGCATTTAGTGCCATAAATTTCTCTCTAAACACTGCTTTAGCTGTGTCCCAGAGATTCTCTCAGGTAGTTCTTATGTATCTGAAAATGTCTTTGTCCAGATGATGAGTTAATGGGTACAGCACACCAACATGGCACATGTATACATATGTAACTAACCTGCACGTTGTGCACATGTACCCTAAAACTTAAAGTATAATTAAAAAAAAAAAAGAAAAGGTCTGTGTCCACCCATATACTTGCATAATAGTTTAGCTGGGTATGGAATTTCAGGTTACAAATCATTTTCCCTTAGAATTTTCAAGACATTGTGATGGAATCTAAATTTTTATCACAGGCTATTTATCAATTCAGTAATTTATTCTCTTTATGCTTCTGTCTTTCCAACCACAAACTTTCATGTAGACAAGAACAATGGGTTGGTGTGGAAGATGAGATACTTGTGAACAGTCCAGTTAGCAACTGGGCCAAACTCCTTAGGTACATCTGGTCTTTCCTACATAAAGAGAACTCATGGAAGGGAACCAAGGAGTCCTAAAAATTCTTTATGAAAACTCAACAGCAGTGATCAAGTAATACTGCCTTATCTGCTGCATTTGGACAAAAAAATACATGGCTTATTGCGAAGAGAACTTCACTTTGTAACAAACACAGCTGATAGTTTGGTCTTCATGCCATCTTCAGAGAGGTGTCTTTTGGGGCATTGGCTAATGCAGCCTACGATGAGTGGGGGTGACTTGGTTGATGCAGGTTTGTCCTAAATGTCTGTTCTTCCCTTCTGGTACCAATGGATTAGCCTGGCATAGTCTTCTCAAGGTGACAGCAGAAGTACAAGAGAGGAGAGGAAACACAAGGCTTCTGTGGTTTTGCCCAGAATGAGCACAGTATGACTTTGGCCTAATTCTGTTGGCAAAAGCAAGTCCTATGTCCAAACCCAAAGCCAAGAATCTCAGAAGTACATCTTTCCCACATTGCGAGTGCATTGTGGAGAACAATGCAGATACAGAGAGGAGGAAAATGTTAGAGCCAATAACACTATCTATTGAAGATTCTAGTAAACAAAAATATTTCTTAAAACATTAATGTGCACAATACATGTTTACAAAAGGGAGATGCTTTTCCCTATGAGGTAGTTTCTGGCTCTGTACTTCCAAACAAAATATATCTTCAAACATAATGAGGAACATTGTTTGTTTGTTTGTTTGTTTTTCTGAAGTGTCTGGAGTTTGCTGGCAGCATGATATGCTCTGCCTATTTCTTTGTTGTCTGAGAAAAGCACAGACTCTCTTTGCGTGATTTTGATTCAGTTTCTCTCTGAGAAAGGCCAAGATGTGGTGGAAGAATGTGTGTAGGGTTGGGTTAGGGGAATTAAAACATTTCAATTAGGTAAATGACCAGTTAATGGGTGCAGCACACCAACATGGCACATGTATACATATGTAACAAACCTGCACATTGTGCACATGTACCCTAGAACTTAAAGTATAATTTAAAAAAATAAATAAATTAAAATATATATATATATGTATATACACATGTAAATTTTGCCACTGGAGGAAAACAATAACAACACAACTGTATTTAGACTAACTTCCTTGCAGACAGACATGCCTTACCCTCCCTGGAGTCCCTGCCTAGATTCTCAGCCTGGCAGGCTGCTACTTGGGAACTTGGGCAAGTCGCTTTACTCTCAATTTCTTGTTCCATAAATGGGAACTAAAGGGAGGGAGTCCTACTTAACTCTAAAGGTGTGTAACAAATGACATAGAAAATGGGAAAGAATGATGAAAAACTGCAAAATACTGCCCACAAATAGCCGTGGCAGATCATCTGAAATCTGGGCCGTTAACCAATTTAGCACATAAGCTTAAGGAGGCTGAAGTTACTCAATGGTTCAAGCTACTTAGGTTTTATCCTCAGGAAAAAGTTGTTCCAATACGCTTAGGGGTTAGTTATTCCCCCTAGGGAAGAAGGCTTAGGAGATAGATGCAGGACAACTTGGATGCTTCTGGAAAGAGAGGTTCTGGGAATCCCTAACCTTGAACAACCTGTTTTATCATGTTTTTTGAGGTTATAGACTGTGTTGAGTATCTAAAGAAAGCTATGTCTCCTCCCCTTAGGAGAAAAAATGCATCTCTGCATATGAATGCATCATTTCGAATATAATTTTAGGATTTGGATGGGGAATGTTCCTCCCAGAACCTCTGCTTCAGACAAATAGTGCCTGGAACTATGGGGGCACTGTCCATGCTTCCTCAGAACCCTTAACCAGGATGACTCCATCTGGAGTTTGACAGAAAGGGCTGGGTCTTCCTGCCTCTTTCTTCATTTTTGGTCTTCTCCTCTCAACAGACAGAAAGACAGAAATTTAGTTCCAAGACACTAGTGTTTATTGGCCTGGCTTATTCTTTAAAGGCTATATTGCACCAGCAATTCTCTGGACATTCACTTCTCTTCCCAATCTACTTCTCCTCTTCCTCCTCTGTCTCTGATTCACCTCAACTACTGCTGCTGCTTCTATTTCTCCTGCTCCACTTCCTTCTTCTTTTAAAAACCAACCTTTTAAAAATTATTTTATAAACATACATCATTAATGATAATGTGCCGGAAAAGGTATCTTAAAAAAGGACATCACATAAGTAATGCAAGCTCAGTGGAATCTTTTACTTTTATAGGAAAAGAATTCAGGTATTTATTATGTCCCTGCTGAAGAGTGAATAGTATCACTTCATCCAAACTGCTCATCCCACGCCCCAGCATTTCATGTTGTTCCAGAACTGCTAGTTTAACTTCCAGTATAAATTATTGGTTATAGGTAAACATGAACTCAGTTATCATCTGTAGCATCCCACCTTTGAGGATATTTAGGATTATAACCATTGAAGGATGAGGATCATTGGAAAAAATGAGCAAGGCATAGAAGGACCAAGTGCGGGGAAATGAAACTATGACTCCAAAAATTCACAGAGCATGACAATTGCAAAAAAGATGCCATCAGCAAATGTGGTGATTTTCCTACAGCACTTAAATTCCTGTCCTGCAGGTCAACTTAAAAGAATTTTGTCCGAAGGACATCACACAATAATCTACTCACACCCTGAGGTTTTCAAACTTTTAAAACAGCCACTGAAATAAATAAATAGGGTCATATATTCCAATTCATCTGGGATCCCTCTCGATATTTTCTGATGATTGGACTGGTGACCACTTTGCCACACTGTTTAACGTCCATATTATTTTTATACTTATTGTACATTATGTTGCTCAGGCTTAATTTATGAGCACTTAAACAAAGGTGTTTGCTTTTTAAAGTATCTTTCCAGGTGTGGAAATGTTACTGAGTGAAAGTATAGCAAAAGGAAAACACTGTTGAAAAATGTGTTTTAACAATTCTTTGAAGCTATGGACTTTATTGAAGACCCCCAAAAAAGCTATGGCTCCTCTCCTAAAGGGGAACAGTGCACCTACGCGTATGAACCACAGTTCTGAGCATAATTTCAGGATTTGGGTGGAAAAATGTTCCTAGAGTATTAATTATTTCCCATGCTCTCGTAGGAAGATTGCAGTTTTCTCTAACTCATGCTTGTAGTTTCTATTTTATGCTCCTTCAGGTAATAACAGCCTACTGGAAAGAATCATTAAATAAACAAACCAGGTGAAGTCTAATAGGAAATAATCACTCAACTTAAAAGAAAATGAGAGTGAGCAACCGCACCTTTCTGTATGTTTCTATTTGGCTTTTATGAAAATCTTTTGGGTGTGGGAACTCAGTGTTTATAACTGTTAGATTTTCCATTCTTTGAACTTTGTTATTTGTACAGCAGCTGTAAAAAGAGGTGAAGGCTGTAAATAGGAACTTAATCATCCATGCAAATTGTATTTCATGGCATACGTTACCATAGCATTTCAGAAGTTTTTGTAGGAAGTATCTATGTATTTGAATTGCCTGGTAAATACGAAGATGAACAAGGAAACTACATGGACCATGATTTCCACACGTTCTGCAAGACAGTTCGAAAATCCCTACTGCCATTAACATTCATCTCTTAGAAGTGGTCTGAAAAAGGTGTGGTCTGGAAGATGTTGTTTACTTTGGAAAAAAAATTTTTTTTTTTGTTCTGCTACTACTGAGAAACTCGAATCATTAGGTAAATGTCTCATCTAATTGTTCTAGTTAGGTGTTTCTCTGGAGAAACTGATCACCTATACCATAATGAACACAACACATTATCTCTATATTTTTTTCCATTTGTAAAGATTAAACCAACTAGCCCTATAACACTGCATTTAAACAAATCTATAAATAAGAGCAAGATTAGTCACATATCCATGATTTAGGCTTCAAGTTCTCCTTCTTTTTCCCTTTCTTGCCTATCCTTAGGGAAATGTACCTTAAAAAATGCCCTCATTAAAGGGTGAGATGGGAGCTGGGAAAAATAAATCTCAGTTAATCAGCTGTGGTGATTATGGGCATGGTGTCTCATGCCTGTAATCTCAGAACTTTGAGAGGCCAAAGCAGAAGCATCACTTGAGCCTAGGTGTTTGAGACCAACCTGGACAACAAAGCAAGACTCCATCTCTACCAAATTTTTTTAAAAAAATTATTAGCCAGGCATTGTGGCTGAGGCCTATAATACTAGCTGCCTGGGAGGCCTACGTGGGAGAATCGCTTGAGCCCAGGAGGTCGAGGCTGCAGTGAGCTTTGATTACTTCATTGTACTCGAGCCTGGGCAACAGTGCAAGACCTTGTCACTAAAAAACAAAATAAAACAAAAGAAATCAAAAACCATAATGGCAATAATTTAAGAAGGATATGTTCCTCTATCACAAAGTTGGTCACCACCACAATCATCGTTATTATTGTCATCATTGTAAACATTATCAACTATTACCATGTGCCAGGAACTATGTTCAGTGCTTTCTTTGCACTGCCTTAATAAACCTCACTTTCATATGAGGTGGGGGCCTTTGCACAGGCTAGTTCCTTTGTTTGGAATGCCCTTCTCTACCCCTTTCTGATGCACACTAGCCCATCCTTAACCCATCTGATTAATACTAATCCATCCTGCCACCCATCAGACATTACTTCCTCTGAGAAGACCGCACTGTCTCCATGTTTTTCTATGCCCCCTTATCTTTCTGGATTACTAAGCTGCCAGCCGTGGAAGAGCAGGGTATTTGCTCAATAGGCAGTGTGTAGCACATAGCACACAACCTGGTACATGAGAGTTTGTATTTGTTCAATACATGTGGCCCTTGGGCCATATATGCAGTCATATAGTAGGAAGTGCCACAGTGAGGAATCTATTACAGTACTTCTCTGGATCCAGAGATTTAACCACTGGAATTCCACCTCCTGCCTCCTCCTCCTCTTCTGTTGCCTCCTCCTCTTCTGCATCTTACTTTCTTTCCTCTTCATCACAACAGCATAGTGCAGTGTGAAAAGTGCTGGCTCTACATTCAGACTGTCTGGGTTTGAATCCAGATAGTACATGCAAAACACTGAATGCTCAATATTTACTATTTCTAGAATTGCCATCGTCCCCACTCCCAATATGTGGGTGGGGCTGTGTCATACCAGATGTGCTGTTGTGTCGTTGGAATTAGCCAGGGCCCCTTCTAATCGAACTGATGCTCTAGGGCCAAAAACACTGATCCAGAGAGGCATACAACACAATGTAGAATTGGATGAAATATAACAAACTAACAGTTTACTAAGGCCATGGGAAAGGAAAAAGATCAAAAACTAATTATGCATCTAATTATTATTAGAAGAAGGATTCTGGTTAGAGAAAGCTTCAACCAATGAGGAAAATGTGGGAGTTGTGTGAATAATTCTAGGTTAGGGTACAGTGAAGCATTGGATGCACAGTTCCAAGAACTAGGAAAAGCTGAGGGTAGTGGATGAGAGAAATAGAGGGTACCTAGAAAAAGTTCTGGAAGCCGATGGTGGATATTAGTAAAGATATGGGGTGCATTGAGACTTTATTGCAAATAGAGAGACTGATCCAACTGCTAGGTGACAAAGATAATCATTATCCAAAAGGATGGTGGATTAGGATAAAGCATGGGTTTGCTACATGCTTGTTTCTTTTTTTTCTGATTCATATTTTCAAAGGTAGCTTATGCTAATTCACCGAGTATATTATTGCCCTTGACATTCGATGACAATTTAAAAATTTAACTAATAAAGAAGACTATAAGCAGAATAAAAACCTGTCTTAAGGCTGGGTGTGGTACCTCACACCTGTAATTCCAGCACTTTGGGAGGATGAGGCGAGCTGATCACTTGAGGTCAGGAGTTCGAGACCAGCCTGGCCAACATGGTGAAACGCTGTCTCTACTAAAAATACAAAAATTAGCTTGGTGTGGTGGCAGGTGCCTGTAATCCCAGCTACTCGGGAGGCTGAGGCAGGAGAATCATTTGAACCTGGGAGGCAGAGGTTGCAGTGAGCCAAGATACTGCCACTGCACTCCAGCCTGCACAACAGAGCGAGACTCCATCTCAAAAAAAAAAAAACCTGTCTTAAGTATATTCATCATGATATGACAGACTCTGAATTTAAAAGGTCAACATGATAAATAAATCAGAAAATTTTATATATTTGTGCACATGTTGCAAAATAGAGAAAAATCAACATATCCTAGAAATTGGTGCTATAATTGCAGGTTTAATTTTACCAGTGGTTACATTTCTCATAGTTTCCTGTGTTGGAGTATGGCCTGGGAATGAATGACCACAGAATTAGCAATTATCCTGTAATTTTAAAAGTGTGGTTGAATTTGTTTCTGTTAGCATTAAGTTTTCCACTTACATAAAAACTTACTACACAAAAGCTTTGGGGAAAATGGATCAATCTTATGTTCTCTACCTAGCATTAGAGGCTAGTGAAGACAATGATATAATTAAACTCAATATCCTTATAAAAAAAGAACAGTAATGGCTGATTTGTATCTCTAAATAGCTACATTAATTAAATTCCAGTCTCTTGAAACACTGAGATTTGGGGGGAGAATACACAAATGTTTTTAAATGTTAATTTTGTACAATAAAACTAAGGTTATTCTGGCCATTCTTTTTTACTTATAGCACAGGAAGACTTAAAATAAAAAGCTGGAAATTCCAAAGATATATTATTCTACCAACAATAAGCTCATGCTTCCATAGTGTTATGTGACTTTCCCTTTATTCTAATTCCTAAGGGCAGGAAAACCGCAGTCACTTCTTTATACGTACGACTTTGCCCAGTGCAGGGCACAATAGTACCCAGTGAGAATTTGCTGACAAGGGTGAAAACATCTAGTGTGTTAGAATTCAAGTTCTGGAACATTGACTTAGCCACTAACTACCTTGGAAAGAATGTAGGTAGGAAACCTGAATTCACTATTGTAGAAAATTCTCAGTATGCCATTTTCTCACTCAAATGTTCCCTGGTTTCCTTAAGCAAACGAAAGCGCGAGTGTGCAGCATTGGAGAAGCAGGAGAACTTTGACCACGTAATCTCTCTAGACCTTGGGTTCTTGCCTGGAACACGTTGGTCTGTTACCTTGCAGTGAAGGTGGCTGGGTGGTGGTGCCCTCCCGCATTAAGAAGACCTCAGAGGTGAATGGGCAGCAGGCATGTGTGTTTTCTTTCTGTCTGCCTGGTCCAGGAAGAAGATGGAGAGCAAAGGCTTTGGGAGGGGAAAATTGTCCCTTATCCAGGGGAGTTAGAGAAGCCAAATGACTTGGAAGACTAGGAGCCTCAGTAGAAGCTCTCTTACGTTAGCTATGAGGGAGGCAGAGACATTTCACTTCTCTTCATGATGAACAGGAAAACCTAGCCCCACAGAAGGCTGACTTGACCACTGTAACCCATTAGCCTGTTGCAGCGTTACAGAACACAACTAGCTCTTTAGTGGTGTTTGGCTGTTTGAACTTGAAAATTAAAAAAAAGGATCCTCTTTTTCCTAATTCTAAAAGTAATATATAGTGATTGCAAACATTTTGTAAAATACAGAAAAATAGGCCAGGCACAGTGGCTCACGCCTGTAATCCCTGCAGTTTGGGAGGCTGAGGCAGGCCGATCACTTGAGTTCAGGAGTTCGAGACCAGCCTGACCAACATGGCAAAACCCCATCTCTACTAAAAACACAAAAATTAGCTGGGTGTAGTGGCCAGTGCCTATAATCCCAGCTACTCAGGAGGCCGAGGCAGGAGAATCCCTTGAATCCAGGAGGTGGAGGGTGTAGTGAGCTGAGATCCTACCACTGCACTCTAGCCTGGGCAAAAAGAGTGGTACTCTGTCTCAAGAAAAAAAAAATGCAGAATAATATAAAGCAGATAAAAATTACTTGGACTGGAATCATCCAGAAATTATAACATATTTAACATTTTGGAATTTTTTTTAAATAAATTAATGTATAAGTGCTTAAAAGTAAGTGGGATCATAATTTATATATTGTTTTTAACCTTACAGTTTCCCTCTTAGTATATTGTGAGCACTGACCCATGTCCTTACATGATTTTTAACGATGCCACAGAGTAGTTATATTTATCACAACTCTATTTTGGGCTATTTACATTGTTTACACCTTTGGAATTAAAAATACTGTAATGGGCAGTGGCTGACAAGATGGCCAAATAGGAACAGCTCCAGTCTACAGCTCAAAGTGAGATTAACATGGAAGGCAGGTGATTGCTGCATTTCCAACTGAGGTACCGGGCTCATCTCATTGGGACAGGTTAGACAGTGGGTGCACCCCACGGAGGGCGAGCAGGACCAGGGTGGGGCATCACCTCACCCAGGAAGCACAGGCGGTCAGAGAGGGAGTTCGAAGGGAAGCCATAAGGTACTGTGCCATGAGGAACAGTGCACTCTGGCCCAGATACTATGCTTTTCGCATGGTCTTCGCAACCCGCAGACCAGGAGATTCCCTCAGGCACCTACACTAGCAGGGCCCTGGGTTTCAAGCTCAAAACTGGGCGGTCATGTTTGGGCAGACACCAAGCGAGCTGCAGTTTTTTTTCATACCCCCAGTGGTGCCTGGAATGCCAGCAAGACAGAACCCTTGACTCCCCTGGATAGGGGGCTGATGTCAGGGAGCCAAGTGGTCTAGCTCCGTGGATCCCACCCCCACAGAGCCCAGCAAGCTAAGATCCACTGGCTTGAAATTCTCACTGCTAGCACAGCAATCTGAAGTCAACCTGGGATGCTGGAGCTTGGTGGGGGGAGGGGCGTCCAACATTACTGAGGCTTGAGTAGGCGGTTTTCCCCTCACAGTGTAAATAAAACCACCTGGAAGTTCAGACTGGGCAGAGCCCACTGCAGTGCCACAAAGCCACTGTAGCCAGACTGCCTCTCTAGATTCCTCCTCTATGGGCAAGGTGCATCTGAAAGAAAGCCAGCAGGCCCAGTCAGGGGCTTATAGATAAAACTCCCATTTCCCTGGGACAGAGTACCTGGGGGAAGGGGCGGCTGTAGGCGCAGCTTCAGCAGACTGACATGTTCCTGCCTGCCGGCTCTGAAGAGAAAAGCAGATCTCCCAGCACAGCGTTTGAGCTCTGCTAAGAGACAGACTGCCTCCTCAAGTGGGTCCCTGACCCCCGTGCCTCCTGACTGGGAGACACCTCCCAGCAGGGGTCAACAGACACCCCATACAGGAGAGCTCTGGCTGGCATCTGGTGGGTGCCTCTCTGGGACCAAGCTTCCAGAGGAAGGAACAGGCAAAAATCTTTGCTGTTCTGCAGCCTTTGCCTGTGATACCCAGTCACAAAGGGTCTGGAATGGACCTCCAGCAAACTCCAGCAGACCTGCAGCAGACAGATTTGACTGTTAGAAGGAAAACTAACAAACAGAAAGGAATACCATCAACATTAACAAAAAGGACATCCACACAAAAACTCCATCTGAAGGTCACCAACCTCGAAGACCAAAAGTAGATAAATCCATGAAGATGGGGAAAAACCAGTGCAAAAGGCTGAAAATTCCTAAACCCAGAACACCTCTTATCCTCCAAAGGATCACAATTCCTCGCCAGCAAGGGAACAAAACTGGATGGAGAATTAGTTTGACGAATTGACAGAAGTAGGCTTCAGAAGGTGGGTAATAACAAACTTCTCCGAGCTAAAGGAGCATGTTCTAATCCAATGCAAGGAAGCTAAGAACCTTGAAAAAAGGTTAGAGGAATTGCTAACTAGAATAACCAGTTTAGAGAAGAACATAAATGACCTGACGGAACTGAAAAACACAGCACGAGAACTTCGTGAAGCATACACAAGTATCAATAGCCGAATCGATCAAGCAGAAGAAAGGATATCAGAGATTGAAGATCAACATATTGAAATAAAGCGTGAAGACAAGATTAGAGAAAAAAGAATGAAAAGGAATGAACAAAGCCTCCAAGAAATATGGGACTGTGTGGAAAGACCAAACCTATGTTTGATTGGTGTACCTGAAAGTGACGGGGAGAGTGGAACCAAGTTGAAAAACACTCTTCAGGCTATTATCCAGGAGAACTTCTCCAAACTAGCAAGACAGGCCAACATTCAAATTCAGGAAATATGGAGAAACCACAAACATATTCCTCGAGAAGAGCAACCCTTTTGTCCATTATTTAAAGAGATTATTTGTTTTTTGATTCTTGAATTGTTTAAGTTCCTTGTTGGTTCTGGATATTAGACCTCTGTCGGTGCATAGTTTACAAATATTTTCTCTCATTCTGTAGGTTGCCTGTTTACTCTGTTGATAATTTCTTTTGTCTTGTAGAAGCTCTCTAGTTTAAATAGATCCCACTTGTCAATTTTTGTTTTCGTTGCAATTGTTTTTGAGGATGTTGCCATAAATTCTTTTCCAAAGCCAATGTCCAGAATGGTGTTTCTTAGGTTTTCTTCTAGGATTCTTATTGTTTGAGGTCTTACATTTAAATCTTCAATCCATCTTGAATTAATTTTTGTACCTGATGAAAGGTAGGGGTCTAGTTTCATTCTTCTGCCTATGGCTAGCCAGTTATCCCAGCACCACTTATCAAACAGGTAGTCCTTTCCCCATTGCTTGCTTTTGTCAGCCCTGTCAAGATCAGATGGTTGTAGGTTTGTGGCTTTATTTCCAGATTCTCTATTCTGTTCCATTGGTCTATGTGTCTGTTTTTGTACCAATACTGTGCTATTTTGGTTATGGTAGTCTTATAGTTTGATGTGGGTAATGTAATGTTTTCAGCTTTGTCTTTTGCTCAGTATTGCTTTGGCTATTCAGGCTTCTTTTTGATTCCACATGAATTTTAAAACAGTTTTTTCTCATCTATGAAAAATGACATTGGTAGTTCAATAGGAATAGTGTTGAATATGTAGATTGCTTTGGGCAGGATGGTCATTTTAACAATATTGGTTCTTCCAATCCATGAGCATGGAAGGTTTTGTGATTTGTTTGTGTCATTTATGATTTCTTTCTGCAGTGTTTTATAGTTCCCCTTGCAAAAATCTTTCACCTCCTCAGTTAGATGTATCTTTAGGTATTTTATTTTTGTGTATGGCTATTGTAAATAGGATTCCATTCTTGATTTGGCTCTTAGCTTGAGTGTTATTCATGTACAGAAATGCTACTGATTTTTGTACACTGATTTTGTATTCTGAATCTTTACTGAAGTTGTTTACAGTTCCAAGAAACTTTCAGCAGGGTCTTCAAGGTGCTGTAGGTATAGAGTCATATCATCAGTAAAGACAGATAGTTTGATGACTTTTTTCCTATTTGAATTATTTTTAGTCTTTCTTTTGCCTGGTTGCTCTGGCTAGAACTTCCAGGGCTGTATTGAATGGGAGTGGTGAGAGTGGCCATGCTTGTCTTTTTCCAGCTCTCAGGGGGAACACTTCCAGCTTTTGTCCATTCAGTATAATGTTGGCTGCGGGTTTATTATAGATGGCTGATTATTTTGGGTATGTTCCATCAATTCTCAGTTTGTTAATGGTTTTTATCTTGAAGGGATGTTGGATTCTACCAGAAGCCTTTTCTGCATCTATTGAGATGATGATGTGGTTTTGGCTTTTAGTTCTGTTTGTGTGATGAATCACATTTATTGACTTGTGTATGTTTAACCAATTTTGCATCCCAGAAATGAAGCCTACTTAATCATGGCAAATTCTTTTTTTATGTGCTGCTGGATTCAGTTTGCTAATATTTTGCTGAGAATTTTTGTGTCTATGTTCATCAGGGGTGTTGGCCTGTAGTTTCCTTTTTCATTGTGTCTTTGCCAGGTTTTGCTATCAGGGTGATGCTGGCTTTATTGAATGAGTTAGAGAAAAGTCCATCCTTCTCGATTGTTTGGAACGTTTCAGTAGAATTGGTACCAGCTCTTCTTTATACATCTTGTGGAATTTGACTGTGAATCCATCTGTTCCAGGGGTTTTTTGGTTGGTAAGATTTTTTTACTGATTCAATTTCAGAACTCAACATTGGTGTGTTCAGCGTTTCAGTTTCTTCCTGATTCAATATTGGGAGGTTATATGTTTCCAAGAACTTATCTATTTCCTCTAGATTTTCTAGTTTTTGTGCATGGAGGTACTCATAATAGTCACTGTGGATCATTTGTATTTCTGTGTGATTGGTTGCGATGTCACCTTTCTTGTTTGTGCTTATTTGGATTGTCTCTCTTTGTTAATCTATCTAGTGGTCTATCAATTTTGTTTATCCTTTTAAAATCTAACTTTTGTTTTCATTGACTCTTTATATGGATTTTTGGGTCTTGGTTTCATTCTGTTCTGCTCTGATTTTTGTTACTTCTTTTCTTCTACTAGCTTTGGAGTTGGCTTGCTCTTGTTTCCCTAGTTCCTCTAGGTGTGATGTTAGATTATTGCTCTGAGATCTTTCTAACTTTTTAAGGTAAGCACTTATCACTGTAAACCTTCCTCTTAACACTGCTTTTGCTGCATCCCAGAGGTTTTGGTATGTTGTGTCACTGTTTTTGTTTATTTGAAATAATTTTTTGATTTCTGCCCTAATTTTCTTGTTTATTCAAAAGTCATTCAGGAGCAGGTTGTTTAATTTCCATGTAATTGTGTGATTTTGAAAGATCTGAATATATATTTCTATTTTTATTCCACTGTGGTCCAAGGGTGTGCTTGGTATAATTTAGATTTTTTAAAAAATTATTCAGACATTTTTATAGTCAATCTTGGAGCACGTTCCATGTGCAGATGAGAAGAATTTATATTCTGTGGTTGATGGGTGGAGAATTCTGTAGATGTCTATTATGTCCAGTTGGTCACATGTCAAGTTTAAGTCCCAAATTTCTTTGTTACTTTTATGCCTGAATGATCTGTCTAATGCTGTCAGTGGGGTGTTGCAGCCCCTGAATATTATTGTGTGGCTGTTCAAGTCTTTTTGTGGGTCAGAAGTATTTGTTTTTGGAAACTGTGTGCTTTAATATTGGATGCATATATATTTAGGATAGTTAAGTCTTCTTGTTGAATTGAACTCTTTATCATTATGTAATGCTGTTCTCTATTCTTTTTTACTATTACTGGTTTAAAGTCTATTTTATCTTTATCTCTTTTTGTTTTCTGTCTGCATGATAGATCTTTCCTCAGCCCTTATTGCTGAGCCTATGGGTGTAGTTGCATATGAGGTGGGTCTCTTGAAAACAGCAGAAAGATAGTTCTTGTTTTTCTTATCCAACTTGCCACTCTGTTCCTTTTAAGTGGGGTGTTTAGACCATTTACATTCAAGGTTCATATTGATATATGAGATATTGAACCTATCATGAAGTTGTTAGCTGGTTGCTTTTGTAGTTTCTACTATGTGGTTATTTTATAGGGTCCGTGGGCTATGTACTCAGGTGTGTTTTGTAGAAGCAAGTGTATTAGTCCATTCTCACACTGCTATAAAGATACTACCCAAGACTGGGTAATTTATATAGAAAAGAGGTTTAATTGACTCACAGTTCTGTATGGCTGGGGTGGCCTCAGGAAACTTACAATCATGACAGAAGGGGAAGATGCACATCTTATATGGCAGCAGGAGAGAGAGAGGGGTGAGTGAAGGGGGAAGAGCCCCCTGTAAAACCATCAGATCTTGTGAGAACTCACTCACTATCATGAGAACAGCATGAAGGAAACCACCCCCATTATTCAATCACCTCCCATTAGGTCTCTCCCTTGACATGTGAGGATTACAATTCAAGATGAGATTTGGGTGGGGACACAAAGCTAACCATATCATTTCACCTCTGGCCCCTCTCAAATCTCATGTCCTCACATTTCAAAACCAATCATGCCTTCCCAGCAGTCCCCAAAGTCTTAATGCATTCCAACATTAATTCAAAAGTCCAAGTCCAAAGTCTCATCTGAAACAAGGAAGTTCCTTCTGCATATGTTTAACCAAACCTGCATCCCAGAAATGAAGCCTACTTGATCATGGTGAATTTATTTTTTAACGTGCTGCTGGATTCAGTTTGCTAATATTTTGTTGAGAATTTTTGTGTCTGTGTTCATCAGGGATATTGGCCTATAGTTTCCTTTTGTCATTGCGTCTTTGCCAGGTTTTGGTATCAGGGTGATGCTGGCTTTATTGAATGAGTTAAGGAGAAGCCCCTCCTTCTCAATTTTTTGGAAAGTTTTGGTAGAATTCATACCAGCTCTTCTTCATGCATCTTGTGGAATTTGACTGTGAAGCAATCTGTTCCAAAGGATGGATAAAGGAAGCCTGTAAAATCCCAAGCATGTTAGTTCCTTTATTATACAATGGGGGTACGGGCATTGGATAAATGCTCCCATTCCAAATGGGAGAAATTGACCAAAACAAAGGGGCTACAGGCCCCACGCAAGTCTGAAATCAAACAGGGAAGTCATTAAATCTTAAAGCTCCAAAATTATCTCCTTTAACTCCATATCTCACGTCTGGATCATGCTGATGCAAGAGGTGGGCTCCCATGGTCTTCGGAAGCTCTGCCCCTGTAGCTTTGTAGGATACAGCCCCCCATCCTAGCCACTTTCATGGCTGGCATGGAGCATCTGCAGCTTTTCCAGGCATGTAAGGCAAGCTGTCAGTGGATCTACCATTCTGCGATCTGGAGGATGGTGGCCCTCTTCTCACAGCTCCACTAGATAGTGCTCCACCCAGTGAGGACTCAAAAGCAAGTTAGTCCTCAAAAGCAAGTTAGTGTGGGGGCTTCAACCCCAAATTTCCCTTCCACACTGCAGTAGCAGAAGTTCTCCATTAGGGCTCCACCCCTGCAGCACTCCTTTGCCTGGACATCCAGGCACTTCCGTACATCCTCTGAAATCTAGGCAGAGTTTCCTAAACCTTAATTCTTGTCTTTCTGTGCACCCACAGGACCAACACCACATGGAAGCTGCCAAGGCTTGGGGCTTGTACCTTCTGAAGCAATGGCCTGAGTTGTACCTTGGCCCCTTTTAGCCATGCCTGGGTGGCTGGCACCAAGCTCCAAGGCTGCACACAGCAGAAGGGCCCTGGACCCAGCCTATGAAACCATTTTTTTCTCCTAGGCCTCTAGGCCTGTGATGGGAGGGGCCGCGATGAAGGTCTCTGACATGCCCTGGAGACATTTTCGCATTGTCTTGGTGATTAACGTTTGGCTCCTCATTACTTATGCAAATTTCTGCAGCTGGCTTGAATTTTCCCCAGAAAATGGGTTTTTTCTTTTCTATTACATCATCAGGCTGAAAATTTTTCAAACTTTCATGCTCTGCTTCTCTTTTAAACATAAGTTCCAATTTCAAACCATCTCTTGGTGAATGCATAAAACTGAATGATTTCAGAATAATCCAGGTCACATCTTGAATGCTTTGCTGCTTAGAAATTTCTTCCACCAGATACCTTAAATCATCTCTCTCAAGTTCAAATTTCCGCAGATCTCTAGGGCAGGGGCAAAATGTCACCAGTCTCTTTGCTAAAGCATAGCAAGAATTACCTTTGCTCCAGTTCCCAAGAAGTTTCTGATCTCCATCTGAGACCACTTCAGCCTGAACATCATTGTCCACATCATTATCAGCATTTTAGTCAAAACCATTCAGCAAGTCTCTAGGAAGTTCCAAACTTTCCCACATCTTCTTGTCTTCTTCTGAGCCCTCCAAACTGTTCCAAACTCTGCCCATTTCTCAGTTTCAAAGTCACATCCACATTTTCAGGTATCTTTATACCAGTAACCTACTCTACCAGTAGCAATTAACTATATTGTCCATTCTCACACTGCTATAAAGATACTACCCAAGACTTAGTAATTTATAAAGAAAAGAGGTTTAATTGACTCACAGTTCCACATGGCTGGGGAGACCTCAGGAAACTTACAATAATGCTAGAAGGGGAAGAGACACATCTTACATGGCAGCAGACGAGAGAGGGGGGAGTGAAGAGGGAAGAGCTTCTTATAAAACCATCAGATCTTGTGAGAACTTGCTCACTATCACAGAAACAGCATGGGAGAAATAACACTTATGATCACGTCCCACCAGGTATCTCCCTTGATATGTGGGGATTACAATTCAAGATGATATTTGGGTGGGGACACAAAGCCAAACCATATCAGCAGGTATCATTCTTTCATTTCTATGTTTAGAACTCTCTTAAGGGTCTCTTGTGATCAATTAGTTGTAAACACCAGTGTACTCAGACCAGCCATTAAGGATCTCTTATAAGCCTGGTCTAGTGGTAACAAATTCCCTTAGTGCTTGCTCGTCTGCAAAATATTTTATTTCCCCTTTGTTTATGAAGCTTAGTTTGGCAGGGTATGAAAATTCTGGATGGAATTTCTTTCCATAAAGAATGTTTAAAATAAGTTTTCAATCTCTCCTGGCTTGTAAGGTTTCTGCAGAGAAGACTACTGTTAGACTGATGGGGTTCCCTTTGTATGAGATATGACCTTTTTCTGTAGCTGCTTTTACTATTTTTTCTTTATTGGACATTCTGGTGACCATATGCCTTGGTGATACTCATTTTGTATAATATCTCACAGGTGTTCTCTGGATTTTTCATATTTGGATGTCTACCTTTCTATCGAGATTAAGAAAATTTTATTGAATTATTCCCTCAAATATGTTTTCCAGGTTGTTTATTTTTTCTCCTTCTCTCTTGGCAATATCAGTAATAATTCATAGATTTGGTTGCTTTACATAATCCCATATTTCTTGAAGACTTTGTCCATTTCCTTAAATTCTTTTTCCTTTATTTTTGTCCAACTGGATTAATTCAAAAGACCAGTCTTTAAGCTCAACATCAGAGTTTAAATACAAAAGGAGCTCTTTCTGCATAGCTTGCTGTTCCTCAAACCCTGTTTCTTAAAGCTTAAAAAAAACCTCTGTATTTCCATTTCTTATTTGCTATCAACCTGTCCTCAGACATCCTGACTTTCCACCCACTTCTATGTGTGACATTGGAGTTACATCATTATCTTTGTTTTCTGAGTCCCCACATGTGAACTCCAGTCTCTGTGAGTTATTAGTTCTGTGAGTACTTGACCTGATCTAGCTATACTTGGCATTTCTGTCATGTTCTTTATTCTTTCTGTGACCCATTTCACAGAAACATCCACCAAAGCTAGGCACTCTCCAATTTGCATTTGATAAGACATGACAGAGCCACATCAGAACCTATCATCATAATCTGCTACTGCCTTAGGATTAGTGAGCAGTGTCCATGTTACTGAACTCCACCATCCACAGAGTCCTTAGAGGCCTCCAGAGAGAGGTTCTCTGGGTCTTCTCAATCTCTGCTCCTTCTTACAGAGGAGCTCCCAAGGCAAATTGTGGAAGTAGACCAAGTCCACCCTGGGCCCATTTAGGAAACTCCTGTCTGCTTAAGCCTATTACTGCTTCTCTAGACAGCTCCAGATTTTATAGTTCTTCTTTCTTAAAATTCACCATTCCCATATTCTAGTCCTGCATGGTCTTTACTGGACTAACCCATGCTGATGTGTGAATGACAGGGTATATGTTATCCTACTCAGGTAAGACAACTGCACTTTAACAAAAATTTTCTGGATATAGTGTTGTAACCCAAAGGAAATTCTCTTAAAAAGCTCTATTCCAACTCTAAGAAGTCTGCTAGAGGATAGGCATTTGTGGCAAATAAAGCTTGCAGTGCTTCTGAAATTATAGGATGTAACCAGCTCTTTATTCCACCTCAACATAATGCCAGTCCTCATGGCATATGAATCCTTGTAAGAAGTGTCCCCAGATGCAAAGTAGTGGGAAATGGAGTAGTGTTAATCTTATGCACATTAGCTTGAAGGGGTAGACAATCATTAAGTATCCAATTTATTCTGCTGCTTCTTCCTGGGAGGGAAGAAAAGGAATTAACATTTATTGAAACTCAACTGTGGGCAGTTATTATGCTGGAAACTTGATATATGCCATCTCATTAGTTCTAAGAATAGCTATCATTTGTTAAGTGCTTGCTTTGTGCCATATTCTAGACTAAGAGCTTTAAATATATTACTTATTTGAATCCTACTGACAATCCTATAAAATAAGTATTATTATCTTTCATTTTACTAGGCAGAAACAAGGCTAGAGAAGTTAACTTGCCTAGTACTATGCAACTAATCAATGGCAGAGTAAGAGTCAGACTTTGATCTAACTTCAAAACCTGTGTCCTTAACACAGTCCTCTAAGACAGCTATAATAATCCCATTCTTCAGATGAGGAAACTGAGACTCAAAAAAGTTAAGTAATTTGCTCTTTGTCACAGAGCCAATTGGTGATGAACCCAGTTTCCTCAAATTCAGGTCTACCTTAGTATAAAGCCCTTATGTTCCTACTTGTTGACCCTTGGCAGGAGTTGAAGAGATGCCCTCCTCTCAAAGACCTTTATTTCAGCAGATGGGTCATTCCAGGATAAATAATGTGGGTGAATATCAGAAAATATGTACAAAATGCACAAGGACCACTCCTCAAGATAAAAGTTGACCTAATGTCTGGGGTTTAATCTTCGTCAATAATACTATGCTGACCTTCAAATGTCTTTCTCTAAATTTCACCATCACCACACTTCAGTGTATGATGAGGAGGGGCTTGGTTATTGAGAGAAGGCTCCAGTCTTATTTGCTATATACACATAATTGCTTATATTGCTTATTCCGATGAAATAACGAATACTAGGAATGCAGAGTGTGGAAAATAGGGTACAGCCAATGTTGAAATGAAGTTCAAAGCAATGACTAAAGGTGTTAACATAAAATTATTCTGGAAGAAGAGATTTGTTGGGGTGGAAGGGATGTGGACAATTGTGAAAAGAACTATGCCTGAGAGGGGGTGGTGGCAAAGACAGACAGGAACAGATCAGAGAAATAAACAGGCTTCAAGCATTCTGTGTCAGGAAAAAAAACCAACAAGGCCTTTACATCTTTCTCCAGAGCTGTCCTTGGGTAATTTCTAGCTCATGAATTCTCCCTGAAGGCTGCCAGGTGGACTTGGCCTGCACTTCTTTGAGGCTGATTTTGTGACTTCACTTCCCAGTTATAACCTGTGCTGGGAGCACATAGGATCTGGCAGACCCACTGTGAATTCAAGGCAGACATTCATGTAGATGACTGCATAAGGTAAAGTGTGTTGACTAGGGGAAAGAGCACTGATGTGGGAACTAGCAGACTAGGTTTTAATCTCATCTCTACCACTGCAAGTTTTCTAACTTCTCAGTGCCTCAGTTTCCCTAAGATTGGAGGAATAAGTGCAAATTATTGTAAGAAATGTCACATGAAACCATCTAGGACAATGCCTGGCACATGGCAGATGTTCTTTCACCTTGCATAGGTCTTTTTAATATAAGAAGGTATAAATCCTACCTACCTTGAACTTAAAACAAATTTTTCCCTTCCTCTCATAGGTTTTAGGTGAAAATTATAGTCCTCTTTGGAATCCATATCAAATTATTTTTAATATTTTTATGATACCAAATTTTAAACCTTTAATCATGGGCATGATTCTTTGGAAATATCTAAAAATCACTTAGCACCAAGCCTGGTGAATAAACTAGATAATATGCTTTTTTCATTAACAAGGAAAGAAGGGAGAGAAGAAAGGAGGAAGACAGAAAATTGCCCAAAGTACTGATTTTCTTGGGTGACTCAAACTGACAAAATGTTAGTCCAAAAAGAAGTTTCTAAAAATGGCAGCAATTTGGAATAAGAACCTACTTTGAAAGGAACAAGAAGATAACATTCATTTGGATATGAATGTCCTTTTGAACTTGACCAAAAAAAAGCATGCAGTCACACCTCGTAAGCCTCTGAAAACAGGAAAGAGGGAAGGGATCAGATGATGCAAAATCTCTCAGTCATCCTCTCTCAGATTCTACTGGGTTGGCTATGTCCTCCTTGTTGGCTGTGTGTATACAGTACCTCTATAAGGAAAAACAGACTGTAACATATTTACTCCTATTGTTTCCTCTGGTTTTACAAGCTTTCCTGGGAAATAGCACAGAAATACCAGTCTGAAAATTGAAGTTAAAGGAAGCAGATTCTAACACTGATTGTATATGTGATGTTGGGTGTTACTTGTCCTCTCTGAACCCCAGTTTCCTCCTCTGTTCCTCTGTAAAAGGGCAGGATTCATTTTAGGTCTGATTGGATTAATACAGTATTTTGCTCTTGCCTCACTCTGTTCTTCTCAGGGAAGCAACATGATTCTCACGTGTAGATGCGGAGGTGGATTTACCAGGAAGTCATAAAGCATGAGATTCAGGGCCACTCATCTGCACAAACTATTCCCTGGCCCTGGAGGTGATGATGTGTTCACAGGGTCATATATTTTTGTAAAATTTGCCAATGTAGGTACCTTGTGTGTTTTTTAAAATTATTTCTTTCTTTCTCTTATTATTATTATTATTTTGAGACAGGATCTCTCTCTCTCACCCAGGCTGGAGTGTAGTGGCCTGATCACAGCTCACTGCAGCCTTTAACTCCTGGGCTCAAGCTATCCTTCTGTCTCAGCTTCCCAAGTAACTGGGACTACAGGTGTGCTCTACCATACCTGGTTAAATTTTTTCACTTTTTGTTTTTGTAGAGATAAGGTCTTTCTATGTTTCCCAGGCTGGTCTCAAACTCTTGGCCTCAAGGGATCCTCCCTCCTCGGCTTCCTAAAGTTCTGGGATTACAGGCATGAGCCACCATGCCCGGCCCGTATTCTTTTTCTTTTTTTTTTTTTTTTTTTTTTTTTGAGACGGAGTTTCGCTCTGTCGCCCAGGCTGGAGTGCAGTGGCGCGATCTCGACTCACTGCAAGCTCCGCCTCCTGGGTTCACGCCATTCTCCTGCCTCAGCCTCCCGTGTAGCTGAGACTACAGGCGCGCGCCACCATGCCCGGCTAATTTTCGTATTTTTAGTAGAGACGGGGTTTCACCGTGTTAGCCAGGATGGTCTCGATCTCCTGACCTCGTGATCCGCCCGTCTCGGCCTCCCAAAGTGCTGGGATTACAGGCGTGAGCCACCGCGCCCGGCCTCTTTTCCTTAAAGAGGGTTTCCAACATTGCTTAAGGCTCAAGCTCCACAAAACCTGGATCTGCCCATATATAGAAGACATGTTTCTTCCAAACCCACCATAAAATTTAGAATTCATGGAAAGTAGACAAAACCATCAAGTGATGAAATAAGAAAAGTCCAGAAGCTAGCTTTAAAAGTGAGCACTTTCAAGTTCCTCTACCTCTCATCTCCTCTTTGACTTATTCTGTTTTTTTGTTTTGTTTTGTTTTGTTTAAGAACAAGAAGTGGAGACTTTAAATGGTAAAATGGCTGACCCAAATTCACAACCTAGATTGAAGTCATAAAATTTACTCCTGATAATAGTTCTCTGCTCCAGTACCAGGGGCAACAAAAACCCTGAAAGCATGTGGAGATCTACTTCACTAACTGCACAAATCACAAACTGCAGAGCAAAACCAGTGAAACTGGATATACAGCCAGTTGCCATTCCTTGAAGGCCAGTTGTCACATTCACCTCATGTTTTTCTACTTCATGTAAAATAGAGTATCCAAGAGCTGTTTTTCAGGCACAGTGGAGATTATTTCTACTCTCAATTACAGTGACTAAAATAGTAAGAAGTGCACTGGGAAGAGAGAATGGGCTGGCATTTATTTAATTAGTTTTCAAGACAGAGTCAGTCTTCACAAAAATGAATTGGGGGTGTGTGTGCTTAAGGTTCCTCCCATTTGCTGCATGCTCCCACGGCTTGCCTTCCTCACAGACATCTCTGGCTTGCCATCTTCACAGCCCCTGCCTCTGGCTTGCCTTTGGGGTATAACCAGTAACATGTGTTCTCCTGCTGCAGCCTCACAGGCCATCTTCAGGTTCTCGGAGCTTGAACCAAGTTCCCTGGACTGTCTGTGTACCCACACCTCACCAAGCTGCACGGAGTCTCAGCTCCTCTCCACATGGGGGGCATCAACCCTGGTGTATTCTATTCCCGCAGGGAAAACATAGTCACCACGAGATTACTAAACACAAATCTGACTTCAGCTGCAGGGAAGCCAGGAGAATTGTCCTTGGGGGGTAAACTACACACACACACACACACACACACACACACACACACACACACATATTTATTCAAGTTGTTGGGAATGTGAGCTACGATGTGATGTTTCACAAGCCACTTATGCAACGGTCAGCCTACTTCCTGAAATTGATTCCACTGGTGGTGCCAGTAGGAGAAATATATCATGGAAATTTTTTAAACAAACAATAATTATGCATGTATTAAACTCTACATTCCTTTGTCCATGAAATTCTTTCCTTCCCTATCTTGTTCACTGCTGTGCTTCTAGTTCTTTGCTCTGCCTCTACCCATAACCAATATTGTCCTCTGGAGACATTAGTTGTCAAACTCTCTTAACATTCATTCATAAAAATGTTTATTGAGTGCCTACCTTTTGTCAACACTGTGTTTTGCTCTTGGGGAATGAAAATTAAGAAGAAATGGCTCCTGCCCTTATGGATTATACAGTCCAGTGGGAATGATGAAGAAGTAACAGAAGCCACAGTGCACTGCAGTTAAGTATTGAGATCAGGTTTACTCATAGGATGTCTATATCTAAATCTATTCAAATGCTTTGAGGGGATGCCTGGAAGATATGTTCAGTGGAGTCTCACACACAATCCCTAGATGTGACCAAAGAAGCTCTGCAGTGATCCAAATATTTCATCTGGAGAGAACGTTCTACTGTTTTCAACACATAAAATGAATATCTAGTGCTTTGGTTTTCTATTGCTGCCACAAAAATTACCACAAACCTGGCAGCTTAAAACAACACTCATTTATTATTTCACAGTTTTATAGGTCAGATGTCCAGCAGACTAGGCTGGGATTCTGCTTAGGATCTCACAAGTCCAAACTCAGGGTGTCAAGGCTCTCCATGGGAGGTTCTAAGGGAGAATCCACTCTCTGGTCCATTCATGTTGTCGACAGAATTCATTTCCTTCTCATGGTTCCCATGTTTCCCCTCTGTCTTGAAGCCAGCAATGGTGGATTTAGCACTTGTCATACTTCACAGCCCTCTGACTTCCCCTGTACCTTCCTCTTATGATTTCAAGGGCTCATATGATTACATCTGGCCCACCTGGGTAATCCAGGATAATTGTCCTACTTTAAAGCTTTTTAGGAATAATTCATTGATACATAATATCTCACAAATCTATTTCTCTTCCTTAGGAAACATTTCATTTCCCCCATATTTTGTCTGTAGAATTTTTGTCCCAATCCTAAATAGGAAGTTGGCAGTTAACCCTAACACAATGAAAAAACAAAATTCTGTGGAAGTTCCGTTGTGAGAAAGAAATCCGTGAGAGAGATTAACAAGTTCTAAATTCTACACCTCATACCTGTTAGAATGTCTGTTATTTAAAAAGAAAGAAAAAAGAATAATGTGTTGGTAAGGATGTGGAGGAACTGGAACCAGTGTTGGTAAGACTGTAAAATGGTGCAATTACTATGGAAAATAGTGTGGTAATTCCTCAAAAATTAAAAATAGAACTACTATATGATCCAGCAATCCCATTTCTGGGTATATATCCAAAAGCATTGAAAGCAGGGTCTCAATATGTTCATAGCAGCATTATTCCCACAATAGCCAAAAGGTAGAAGAAACCCAAGTGTTCATCAAAGGATGAATGGATAAACAAAATGTTCTATATACATACAGTGGAATATTACTCAGCCTTAAAAAGGGAGGAAATCCTGTCACATGTTACAACACGGATGAACCTTGAAGACATGCTAAATGAAATCATCTAGTCACAAAAAGACAAATACTGTATGACTCCACTCATATGAGGTACCTAGAGTAGTCAAATTCATAGAAACAGAAAGTAGAATGGTGGTTACCAAGGGGCTGAGGAGAAGAGGAAAACTGGAGTTGTTATTTAAACTCCTGCAAGATGAAAAAGTTCTGGAGATCTGTTTCACAACAGTGTGAATATACTTAACACTACTGAACTGTATGCTATAAATGGCTAAGTGGTAAATTTTAAATAAGTATTAATATCATATTTTTTTAAAGCAGAACATACCAACACCAAGAGTGAACCCTAATTTAAACTATGGACTTTGGGTGATAATGATTTCTCAGTTCGGGTTAATTGGTTGTAACAAATGCACCATTCTGGTACAGGATGTTGCTAGTTTGGGAGGCTATGCTTGTGTAGGGGCAGAAGGTATGAGAATTCTCTATACTTTCTGATCAATTTTGCTGTGAACCTAAAACTTCTCTAAAGAATAAATCTAGTTTAAAAATAGTTCTGAGTTTTAGACTATGCAAACATTGTAAACATCCAAAAATACCTTCAGAAAAACTTGCTTATGCCATGGGTGAGGACGTCAGTGGATGGCCTCAAAGACAACATCGGTGTATTGTAACACAAGCCATAACCTATGGTCAATTCTTGTTCCTTTGGGAGTCACTCCTTTGGAAGAAGCAGAACTCCTTCTTTCTTCATCTGCAACATAAGGGAACACATTAAGTGACCACTAAGGCCAATTTGACCAGTACATAACTTTATGAGACTATGATTGTAGGTTCCATACATAATTTTCGTTGAGTGAAAGGTTGTAAAATAGATGACTTAACTTAGGATTCATGTTTGTGATTCATGATTATGTAATACTTCCCAGATTCCCCATTTAGAGATGTAACAACGACTGTGTCCATGAATTCACACCTAACTATAATTTGAATTTTCATATGCAGGACCTAAAAGCAATTAAGCTGTCCTTCCTTAAAAAAATATACAGCCACAAAACAAAGCTCAACAAATTTTAAAAGACCAGTATTATAGAAACTATCTTTTTCTAAAAGTGGTAAAAATAAACTAGAAATCAATAGCAGAAGGAAAACTGGAAATACACAAATAAGTGGAAATTTAAAAACACCACCTTAAACAACCAATAGGTCAAAGACGAAGTCATAAGAGAAATTAGAAAATATCTTGAGACAAATAAAAATAAAGCTTACGAGATGTAGGAAAAGCAGTGCTAAGAGGAGAGTTTATAGCTATAAACATACAATTAAAAGAAGAAGAAAGATCTCGAATTAAAAACCTAACTTTACACCTCAAGGAACCCGAAAAAGAAAAACAAACTAAACCTAATGCTAGCAGAAGGGAGAAAATAAAGATTAGAGCAGAGACAAATGAAATAGAAAATAGGAAAATAATAGAAAACTACATAAAACTAAGAGTTAGTTCTTTGAAAATATCAAAAATTGACAGTCCCTTCAACAAATGGTATTGGGAAGACTAGATATCCTCATGCAAAAGAATGAAATTGAACACTTATCTTACACCATGTTCAAAAATTAACTTGGGCTAATGACCCAAAGGTAAGAACCCAAACTTACAAAACTGTTACAAGAAAAAGGGGGAAAGCTTTATGATATTGAATCTGGCAATGATTTCTTAGAAATGACACGAAATAGGCAACAGATGCAAAATAGGTAAATGAGACTATTTCAAACTCAAAAACTTTTGTTCATCAATAGACACAATCAGCAGAGTGAAAAGACAACCTATGGAATGGGAAAAATATTTACAAATTATATATCTGATAAGGGGTTGGTGTCCAAAATATATAAAGAACTCCTAGGACTTAACAACAAAAAATCAAATAACTTGATTTTTAAATGGGCACAGGACTTGAATAGACATTTCTGCAAAGAAGATGTACAAGTGGCCAAGAAACATATGAAAAGATGTTCAACATCACTAATCATTAAAGAAATGCACTTCAAAACCACAATGAGATATCACCTCACACCTATTAGGATGGCTACTATCAACAACTCAGAAAATAACAAGTGCTGACAAGAATGTAAAAAAAAGTTGGAACTCTTGCATACTGTTGGTAGAATTGCAAATGGTGCAGCTGCTATGGAAAACAATATGGCAATTACTCCAAAAATTAAGAATAGAACTATTATATGATCCAGTAAGCCCACTTCTGGGTATGCATCCTAAATAATGGAAAGGAGGGTCTCAAAGAGATATTTGCACACCCATGTTTATAGCAGCATTATCCACAATAGTTAAGAGGTGGAAACAACCCAAGTGTCCATGGACAGATGAATGGATTAACAAAATGTGTATATCCACATAATGAAATATTACTCAGCCTTAAAAAGGAAGGAAACCCTGTCACATGCTACAACATGGATGACTCTTGAGAACGTTATGCTAAGTGAAATAAGTTAGTTACAAAATGACAAATACTGTGTGATTCTACTTACATTAGATATCTAAAGTAGTCAAATACATAGCTATAAAACATAGAATGAAAGTTACTAGGGAATGGGGATAGGAGACAAATGAGAATTGTTTTTTAATGGGTATGGTTTTAGTTCTGCAAGAAGAAAAAATCCTGGAGATCTGATTCACAACAATGTGAATATACTTAACACTACTGAACTGTACACTTAACACTAGAAAGTTATGACATGTGCTTTTTTCCACAATAAAAAAATACTTACAGTTCATATTTTTCACTCCAACTGGATACAGCCACATGGTTTTCATCTCTATCTCCAAATATATAGATATTTATTATGATTTGGTAGGTGAGACCTGTAAAAGAGGTGACAGAGTTAACGCTACACTTAGGAATGGCCTCAAGAGCAGTACAGCACCGTGGGCAACAGAGAGTACCAGATCACAACTCAAACTCATTGTCTCCAGCCCCATCAAGTCATGGCAGGGGCCACCAAGCTAGTTCATTCTATCAATGGGCAAATCTCCTACTTCATTATGTCAGGGTTGGATTCTGTTCCTGTCTTCATGGGACTCATAATTTCAAGTTTTTGTGTTCTCTCTGCTATCTTCCCTTCCAACTTGTTTTTCCTAGCTCTTGATGCTTCTATTCTCAAACTCTTCCAGAAACACATTCTCCACCCCGCTGAATGTTGAATGAATATTGGTTCTCCCTAAAGGATACCCCTTCTGCTGGGAATCCTCTAGAGAGATGCTGAAATTTTCTCAACAGTGGGCCTATAATATTGGTTGAATGAGTGAATGAATGAATAAATGAGTGAATAAGAGCCAGTCCATCAGTGTGGCTCTGCAATATTTTGTGGCCTCTGATAAGCCATAACTCCCACCCTTCTCAGAAGTTAAAGTCTTAATCACTTCTCACCATTCCTTTATCTTCCTTTATTTGTTCCTTCCCTTCAATATGTAGACATGTCCAAGTCTCTCATCTTAAAAAAAGTTTTCCTGGCCAGGCACAGTGTCTCATGCCTGTAATTCCAGCACTTTGTGAGGCTGAGGCGGGCAGATCACTTGAGGTCAGCAGTTCGAGACCAGCCTGGCCAACATGGTGAAACTTCATCTCTACTAAAAACACAAAAATTAGCTGGGGGTGGTGGCACATGCCTATAATCCCAGCTACTGGGAAGGCTGAGGCAGGAGAATCGCTTAAACTGGGGAGGTGGAGGTTGCAGTGAGCCCAGATTCTGCCATTACACTCCAGTCTGGGCAAAGAAGCAAGACTCCGTCTCAAAAAAAAAAGTTTTCCTTCAAACCCTACATCCTCTCTATCTTCCACTTTCTTGCCTTCTTTTCAGGCTAACTTTCTTTAAAATTGTGTCAGCACAATTTTAAAGCACAATTTTAAAGTAGAGTTATCTCTACTTTCACATTTCCTATTCTGTTATTTTTGAAAAATTTATTATGACAAAATTTATACATACAGACAAGCATACAGAATAATAACACTTCATATACATATCACACATTTTTAAATCTTAAATTTTATATTGGCTTCAACTCTTACTTTTTAAGAAATACAACATTTCAGGTGCAATTGAAGTTCCTGTATATACCACCATAATCTTACTTTCCCCTTTTCTCCAACAATAATTGCACCCTAATTTTAATATCTATCAGTCTAATGAAAGTTGCTTATATTACTAATACAAACATGTATATTCATATACAATTCATATTTATAAATTTTTGAAACTTTTTGTAAATAATATTCCTCTGTCTGAATATATTTCATTTATTAATTATTCAAAATATATGTACTGCATCCTTACTACATGTCAGGCACAACTTTGGGATCTTAGAATATATTAGTGAAACACAATCAAGACCCTCACCCTTCTGGACCTTATTGTTTTTTATGGAATTAGATCATCATAAACAATGAGTGTATTAGTCTGTTTTCACACTGCTATAAAGAACTACCTGAGACTATATAATTTTTTGATTCACAGTTACGCATGGCTGGGGAGGCCTCAGGAAACTTACAGTCATGGCAGAAGGCAAAAGGAAAGCAAGGATGTCTTACATGGCAGCAAGAGACAGAGTGTGAAGATGGGGTGCCACAAACATTTTTATTTATTTATTTATTTTGAGACGGAGTCTTGCTCTGTCACCCAGGCTGGAGTGCAATGGCACGATCTTGGCTCACTGCAACCTCCACCTCCCGGGTTCAAGCAATTCTTGTGCCTCAGCCTCTCGAGTGGCTGGGATTACAGGTGTGCGCCACCACACCTGGTTAATTTTTGTATTTTTAGTAGAGACAGGGTTTCACCATATTGCCCAGGCTGGTCTTGAACTCCTGACCTCAGGTGAGCCATCCACCTCGGCCTCCCAAAGTGCTGGGATTACAAGCGTGAGCCACCATGCCTGGCCATGTTAGAAAGTGATAAATACTATACAAAAGGTCATGAAAGCAAGTAAGGTGGGTTGGTAGTATCAGTTGCGGAGGAGGTGGCAATTTTAAATAGAGTGGTCAAGGCAGGCCTTATTGAGTTTGTGACATTGGATCAAATACTTAAAGAAGGTGAGAAATATGGAAGAAATGTGCTTCAGGCAGAAGGAAACATCCAGTGCAAAGGCCCCTGAGGTAGAGGAATGTCTACAATGTTTAAGGATCAGCAGAGAGGCCAGTGTGGCTGGAATGAAGCAAATCAAAGGAAGATCAATAAGATTATAATGAGGGCCAGATTACAGACAGCCTTGAAGGCTATGGTAAGAACTTTGACTTTGACTCTGAGTGCAATAAAGAGCAACTGCAGTTTTGACCAGAATGCCCCAGGTTAGCTGTATATGCTCTTGTTGATGAATATCTAGATTGTTTCCAATCTTTTATTGTTACAAATGACGACCTAATAAACATTCTTGAGCATGTCTTCTAGAGCCCATGTGCAAGTTCCTCTGGAGAATATACCTAAAACTGGAATATCTAGATCATAAGTATATGTATTTTCAGAGCTTATCAAATTACTCTGAAAAGTGGTTGTATTAATACCAATTTGTTATTCTACTTAGCACTGTAGGAGAGTTCTAGTTTATCCACTCATCCACAACATTGAGTATTTTCAGCTATTTTGTAATTTTTTATTTCAATGTTAACTAGTAAAGTTGGGCATTTTTAAATATGTTTATTGGCCATATGCATTTTATTTTTTGTTAATTGTCTATTTATATCCTGTTTTCATTTTGTATTGCTTTTAATGCATTTCTTATTGATTTGGGGGAGTTATTCATATATTATTGATATCAATATTTTATCAGTTATATGCATATATTGCTTTTTTTTTGCTACTGTAACAAATTGTCACAAACTTAGTAGCTTGAACAACACATATTTATTGTTTCACATTGCTGTAGATTGGCAGTTCAACATGGGTCTTAATGAACTAAAATCATAGTGTTGACTGGGGTGCATTTATGGAGCTTAGAAGGAAGAATCCCCTTTCTTGCCTTTTCCGGCTTCTAGAGGCCACCCCTCTTCCTTGCTCACAGCTCCTTCCTTCATCTTCAAAACCCAGCAATGTTGCATCTCTGACCATTCTTCCATAGTCATACCTCATCTGACCATAGCCAAGAAAGGTTCTCCATTTTTAAGGATTCATTCAGGATTATCTCCCCCATCTCAAGGTCCTTAACCTTAGTCACAAATACAAATTCCCTTTTGCAATGTAAGGTAACATATTCACAGATTCTAGGGATTAGGATGTCGAGAGAATGGTTTGATAAACCCCCATAAGCCCATTCCCCAGATTCAACAATTACCAACATTTCATCACATTTGCATTAGCTCTTTGGTCCTTGCTTTTTAAAATATTTTTTCAGTGAGGTACAGCTTACCTACAATAAAATACATAGATTTTAAGAGCAAGATATAGGACATTTCTATCCCCCAGAAGGTTTCCTCCTGCCCCTTTGTTGAATCCTACCCCCCATTGCCAGCACCGCCAGCATCCCCTAGGCAGCCATTGTTTTTATTTCCATCTTAAATGTAGTAATAGAATCTTTTGCAGCTGGCTTCTTTTATTCAAAATAATGTCTTAGAAGTGTGTTCATGTTGTTCCATGTATCAGTAGTTCCTCCCTTTTTACTGCTGAGTATTATTCTAATGCCTAAATATGCCACAATTTGCTTATTTATTCTGCTAGTCGAGGGACATTTTAGTTGTTTCAAGTTTGGGTTATTATGAATAGAGCCACTATTGATATTCTCATAAAAGTCTTTTTATGGACATATGTGTTCATTTCTCTTGTGTAAATACCTATAAGTCATGGGGTAGGTATATACTTTACTTTATAATAAAGTTCAGAAGAAATTGCAAAATAGTTTTTCAAATTATCTAATTTTACTTTCCCAGCAGCAATGTATGAGAATCACAGTTGCCCCACATCCTTGCTTACGTTTATTATTGTACATCTTTTTTATTTTAGCTATTTTACTTAGTATGAAGTGGTATTTCCTTGTGATTTTTATTATATTTCCCTAACGTCTAATGATGTTGGGCAGCCTTACATGAGCTTACTGGCCTTTCATAACTGATTTGTTTTTGTGTCATTAATCATTTTATTTTTGAGTTGTTAAGAGTTCTTTTTTTTTTTTCTTTTTTTTTATTATACTTTAAGTTTTAGGGTACATGTGCACATTGTGCAGGTTAGTTACATATGTATACATGTGCCATGCTGGTGCGCTGCACCCACTAACTCGTCATCTAGCATTAAGTATATCTCCCAATGCTATACCTCCCCCCTCCCCCCACCCCACCACAGTCCCCAGAGTGTGATATTCCCCTTCCTGTGTCCATGTGATCTCATTGTTCAATTCCCACCTATGAGTGAGAATATGGGGTGTTTGGTTTTTTCTTCTTGCGATAGTTTACTGAGAATGATGATTTCCAATTTCATCCATGGCCCTACAAAGGACATGAACTCATCATTTTTGATGGCTGCATAGTATTCCATGGTGTATATGTGCCACATTTTCTTAATCCAGTCTATCATTGTTGGACATTTGGGTTGGTTCCAAGTCTTTGCTATTGTGAATAATGCCTCAATAAACATACGTGTGCATGTGTCTTTATAGCAGCATGATTTATAGTCATTTGGGTATATACCCAGTAATGGGATGGCTGGGTCAAATGGTATTTCTAGTTCTAGATCCCTGAGGAATCGCCACACTGACTTCCACAATGGTTGAACTAGTTTACAGTCCCACCAACAATGTAAAAGTGTTCCTATTTCTCCACATCCTCTCCAGCACCTGTTGTTTCCTGACTTTTTAATGATTGCCATTCTAACTGGTGTGAGATGGTATCTCATTGTGGTTTTGATTTGCATTTCTCTGATGGCCAGTGATGATGAGCATTTTTTCATGTGTTTTTTGGCTGCATAAATGTCTTCTTTTGAGAAGTGTCTGTTCATGTCCTTCGCCCACTTTTTGATGGGGTTGTTTGTTTTTTTCTTGTAAATTTGTTTGAGTTCATTGTAGATTCTGGATATTAGCCCTTTGTCAGATGAGTAGGTTGCGAAAATTTTCTCCCATTTTGTCGGTTGCCTGTTCACTCTGATGGTAGTTTCTTTTGCTGTGCAGAAGCTCTTGAGTTTAATTAGATCCCATTTGTCAATTTTGTCTTTTGTTGCCATTGCTTTTGGTGTTTTGGACATGAAGTCCTTGCCCATGCCTATGTCCTGAATGGTAATGCCTAGGTTTTCTTCTAGGGTTTTTATGGTTTTAGGTCTAACGTTTAAATCTTTAATCCATCTTGAATTGATTTTTGTATAAGGTGTAAGGAAGGGATCCAGTTTCAGCTTTCTACATATGGCTAGCCAGTTTTCCCAGCACCATTTATTAAATAGGGAATCCTTTCCCCATTTCTTGTTTTTCTCAGGTTTGTCAAAGATCAGACAGTTGTAGGTATGCGGCGTTATTTCTGAGGTCTCTGTTCTGTTCCACTGATCTATATCTCTGTTTTGGTACCAGTACCATGCTGTTTTGGTTACTGTAGCCTTGTAGTATAGTTTGAAGTCAGGTAGCGTGATGCCTCCAGCTTTGTTCTTTTGGCTTAGGATTGACTTGGCGATGCGGGCTCTTTTTTGGTTCCATATGAACTTTAAAGTAGTTTTTTCCAATTCTGTGAAGAAAGTCATTGGTAGCTTGATGGAGATGGCATTGAATCTGTAAATTACCTTGGGCAGTATGGCCATTTTCACAATATTGATTCTTCCTACCCATGAGCATGGAATGTTCTTCCATTTGTTTGTATCCTCTTTTATTTCCTTGAGCAGTGGTTTGTAGTTCTCCTTGAAGAGGTCCTTCACATCCCTTGTAAGTTGGATTCCTAGGTATTTTATTCTCTTTGAAGCAATTGTGAATGGGAGTTCACTCATGATTTGGCTCTCTGTTTGTCTGTTGTTGGTGTATAAGAATGCTTGTGATTTTTGTACATTGATTTTGTATCCTGAGACTTTGCTGAAGTTGCTTATCAGCTTAAGGAGATTTTGGGCTGAGACCATGGGGTTTTCTAGATATACAATCATGTCATCTGCAAACAGGGACAATTTGACTTCCTCTTTTCCTAATTGAATACCCTTTATTTCCTTCTCCTGCCTAATTGCCCTGGCCAGAACTTCCAACACTATGTTGAATAGGAGTGGTGAGAGAGGGCATCCCTGTCTTGTGCCAGTTTTCAAAGGGAATGCTTCCAGTTTTTGCCCATTCAGTATGATATTGGCTGTGGGTTTGTCATAGATAGCTCTTATTATTTTGAAATACGTCCCATCAATACCTAATTCATTGAGAGTTTTTAGCATGAAGGGTTGTTGAATTTTGTCAAAGGCTTTTTCTGCATCTATTGAGATAATCATGTGGTTTTTGTCTTTGGTTCTGTTTATATGCTGGATTACATTTATTGATTTGCATATATTGAACCAGCCTTGCATCCCAGGGATGAAGCCCACTTGACCATGGTGGATAAGCTTTTTGATGTGCTGCTGGATTCGGTTTGCCAGTATTTTATTGAGGATTTTTGCATCAATGTTCATCAAGGATATTGGTCTAAAATTCTCTTTTTTTGTTGTATCTCTGCCCGGCTTTGGTATCAGAATGATGCTGGCCTCATAAAATGAGTTAGGGAGGATTCCCTCTTTTTCTATTGATTGGAATAGTTTCAGAAGGAATAGTACCAGTTCCTCCTTGTACCTCTGGTAGAATTCGGCTGTGAATCCATCTGGTCCTGGACTCTTTTTGGTTGGTAAGCTATTGATTATTGCCACAATTTCAGCTCCTGTTATTGGTCTATTAAGAGATTCAACTTCTTCCTGGTTTAGTCTTGGGAGAGTGTATGTGTCGAGGAATTTATCCATTTCTTCTAGATTTTCTAGTTTATTTGCGTAGAGGTGTTTGTAGTATTCTCTGATGGTAGTTTGTATTTCTGTGGGATCGGTGGTGATATCCCCTTTATCATTTTTTATTGTGTCTATTTGATTCTTCTCTGTTTTTTTCTTTATTAGTCTTGCTAGCGGTCTATCAATTTTGTTGATCCTTTCAAAAAACCAGCTCCTGGATTCATTGATTTTTTGAAGGGTTTTTTGTGTCTCTATTTCCTTCAGTTCTGCTCTGATTTTAATTATTTCTTGCCTTCTGCTAGCTTTTGAATGTGTTTGCTCTTGCTTTTCTAGTTCTTTTAATTGTGATGTTAGGGTGTCAATTTTGGATCTTTCCTGCTTTCTCTTGCGGGCATTTAGTGCTATAAATTTCCCTCTACACACTGCTTTGAATGCGTCCCAGAGATTCTGGTATGTGGTGTCTTTGTTCTCGTTGGTTTCAAAGAACATCTTTATTTCTGCCTTCATTTCGTTATGTAGCCAGTAGTCATTCAGGAGCAGGTTGTTCAGTTTCCATGTAGTTGAGCGGCTTTGAGTGAGATTCTTAATCCTGAGTTCTAGTTTGATTGCACTGTGGTCTGAGAGATAGTTTGTTATAATTTCTGTTCTTTTACGTTTGCTGAGGAGAGCTTTACTTCCAAGTATGTGGTCAATTTTGGAATAGGTGTGGTGTGGTGCTGAAAAAAATGTATATTCTGTTGATTTGGGGTGGAGAGTTCTGTAGATGTCTATTAGGTCCGCTTGGTGCAGAGCTGAGTTCAATTCCTGGGTATCCTTGTTGACTTTCTGTCTCGTTGATCTGTCTAATGTTGACAGTGGGGTGTTAAAGTCTCCCATTATTATTGTGTGGGAGTCTAAGTCTCTTTGTAGGTCACTCAGGACTTGCTTTATGAATCTGGGTGCTCCTGTATTGGGTGCATATATATTTAGGATAGTTAGCTCTTCTTGTTGAATTGATCCCTTTACCATTATGTAATGGCCTTCTTTGTCTCTTTTGATCTTTGTTGGTTTAAAGTCTGTTTTATCAGAGACTAGGATTGCAACCCCTACCTTTTTTTGTTTTCCATTTGCTTGGTAGATCTTCCTCCATCCTTTTATTTTGAGCCTATGTGTGTCTCTGCACGTGAGATGGGTTTCCTGAATACAGCACACTGATGGGTCTTGACTCTTTATCCAATTTGCCAGTCTGTGTCTTTTAATTGGAGCATTTAGTCCATTTACATTTAAAGTTAATATTGTTATGTGTGAATTTGATCCTGTCATTATGATGTTAGCTGGTGATTTTGCTCGTTAGTTGATGCAGTTTCTTCCTAGTCTCGATGGTCTTTACATTTTGGCATGATTTTGCAGCAGCTGGTACTGGTTGTTCCTTTCCATGTTTAGCGCTTCCTTCAGGAGCTCTTTTAGGGCAGGTCTGGTGGTGACAAAGTCTCTCAGCATTTGCTTGTCTGTAAAGTATTTTATTTCTCCTTCACTTATGAAGCTTAGCTTGGCTGGATATGAAATTCTGGGTTGAAAATTCTTTTCTTTAAGAATGTTGAATATTGGCCCCCACTCTCTTCTGGCTTGTAGGGTTTCTGCCGAGAGATCCGCTGTTAGTCTGATGGGCTTCCCTTTGAGGGTAACCCGACCTTTCTCTCTGGCTGCCCTTAACATTTTTTCCTTCATTTCAACTTTGGTGAATCTGACAATTATGTGTCTTGGAGTTGCTCTTCTCGAGGAGTATCTTTGTGGCATTCTCTGTATTTCCTGAATCTGAACGTTGGCCTGCCTTGCTAGATTGGGGAAGTTCTCCTGGATAATATCCTGCAGAGTGTTTTCCAACTTGGTTCCATTCTCCCCATCACTTTCAGGTACACCAATCAGACGTAGATTTGGTCTTTTCACATAGTCCCATATTTCTTGGAGGCTTTGCTCATTTCTTTTTATTCTTTTTTCTCTAAACTTCCCTTCTCGCTTCATTTCATTCATTTCATCTTCCATTGCTGACACCCTTTCTTCCAGTTGATCCCATCGGCTCCTGAGGCTTCTGCATTCTTCATGTAGTTCTCGAGCCTTGGTTTTCAGCTCCATCAGCTCCTTTAAGCACTTCTCTGTATTGGTTATTCTAGTTATACATTCTTCTAAATTTTTTTCAAAGTTTTCAACTTCTTTGCCTTTGGTTTGAACGTCCTCCTGTAGCTCAGAGTAATTTGATCGTCTGAAGCCTTCTTCTCTCAGCTCGTCAAAGTCATTCTCCATCCAGCTTTGTTCTGTTGCTGGTGAGGAGCTGCGTTCCTTTGGAGGAGGAGAGGCGCTCTGATTTTTAGAGCTTCCAGTTTTTCTGTTCTGTTTTTTCCCCATCTTTGTGGTTTTATCTACTTTTGGTCTTTGATGATGGTGATGTACAGATGGGTTTTTGGTGTGGATGTCCTTTCTGTTTGTTAGTTTTCCTTCTAACAGACAGGACCCTCAGCTGCAGGTCTGTTGGAATACCCTGCCGTGTGAGGTGTCAGTGTGCCCCTGCTGGGGGGTGCCTCCCAGTTAGGCTGCTCGGGGGTCAGGGGTCAGGGACCCACTTGAAGAGGCAGTCTGCCGGTTCTCAGATCTCCAGCTGCGTGCTGGGAGAACCACTGCTCCCTTCAAAGCTGTCAGACAGGGACATTTAAGTCTGCAGAGGTTACTGCTGTCTTTTTGTTTGTCTGTGCCCTGCCCCCAGAGGTGGAGCCTACGGAGGCAGGCAGGCCTCCTTGAGCTGTGGTGGGCTCCACCCAGTTCGAGCTTCCTGGCTGCTTTGTTTACCTAAGCAAGCCTGGGCAATGGCGGGCGCCCCTCCCCCAGCCTCGCTGCCGCCTTGCAGTTTGATCACAGACTGCTGTGCTAGCAATCAGCGAGATTCCGTGGGCATAGGACCCTCAGAGCCAGGTGTGGGATATAGTCTCGTGGTGCGCCATTTTTTAAGCCGGTCTGAAAAGCGCAATATTCGGGTGGGAGTGACCCGATTTTCCAGGTGCGTCCGTCACCCCTTTCTTTGACTCGGAAAGGGAACTCCCTGACCCCTTGCACTTCCCAGGTGAGGCAATGCCTCGCCCTGCTTTGGCTTGCGCGCCGTGCACGCACCCACTGGCCTGCGCCCACTGTCTGGCACTCCCTAGTGAGATGAACCCGGTACCTCAGATGGAAATGCAGAAATCACCGGTCTTCTGCGTCGGTCATGCTGGGAGCTGTAGACCGGAGCTGTTCCTATTCGGCCATCTTGGCTCCTCCCCCCAAGAGTTCTTTATACAGTCCAGATCTAAGTATTTTGTCAGATATAGGTATCACAAATATTTTCCACCAGTCTGTGGTTTTATTGATTCATTTCTTGTATATCTTTTAATGAGTATACTTTTTTTTTTGCTTTTTTATTGAGGTGTAATTGACTTACGATAAACTGTATATGTTGAAAGGGTTCAATTTGATGAATTCTGACACAGGCATACACCTTTGAAAACATCACTACAATCAAAATAATGAACATTTCTATCACCCCTAAAATTTCCTGGTGCCCTTTAATAATCCATACCTCCCTCCACCCCTATCCTCATACAACCACTTATCTTTCTGTCACTATATATTAGTTTGCATTTCTTAAAATGTTACATAAAATACATTGAATCATTCGGTATGTATTCTTTGTTATACCTAGCTTCTTTCACTCAGCATAATGATTTTGAGATGGATCCTTACAATTGTGTATATCAATAGTTCATCCCTTTTCATCACTGAGTAGTATTTCATTGTATAGATATACCATAACTTATTTATTTTACCAGTTGATGGCTATTTGCATTTTGGGAGGTTTTGGATATTACACAAACAGCTGCTATGAACATTCATGTACAAGTCTCTGTGTAGACGTGTTTTCATTTACCTTGCATAAATACTTAGGAGTAAAATGGCTGAGTTGTATGGTAAGTGTATATTTAGTCTTTTAAGAAACTGTCAAACTGTTCTCAAAGGGTTTTATAGCACAAATTGTCAGCAGGGCCATGCTCTCTCTGAAGGCTGTGGAAAAGAATCCTTGCTTGCCTCTTTCCTAGCTTACGGTTGTTGGCAATTTTTCATGTTCGTTGACTTGCAGCTGCATCACTGCAATCTCTGCCTCTGCCTTAATATGGACCTCTTCCCTGTGTTTCCTTTGTATCTGTGTATCCAAATATCCCTCTTCTTCCTCTTACAAAGTCACCATTCACAGAATTAGGGCTTATCCTAATCCAGTATGATTTGATTACATCTCCAAAGATCCTATGTGCAAAAATAGATTCACAGTCAAGGGTTAAGACCTCAACATATCTTTTGCGGAACACAATTCAACCCATAACAATGTGAATTTATCTTTACTAGTCCTACTTGTAAGTTTGAGTTCATAAGTGCACACTTGCTATAAGGATTCATGTCTTTCTTTAATTCAGGAAAAATGTCAAATACCTCTTAAAATATCTAGCATTTTATTCAGTCTCTTTCTTTGGAACTCCTCTTAAAAATATGGAAAATCATAAATCTACTTGCTGTGTCTCTTAACACCTTTTTCATATTTTTGAATCTCTTTATGTTTTTGTTCTATTTTCTGGGTTAATTATTCTATACTATCTTCCAAATTTCTAATGCTCTTTTTAACTGTGTTAAAACTATAACTCATTATACCTATTGAGGATTTTTGCTTTTGTTTTCGTTTTTTCATTTCAGTGACTGTATCTTTTAGCCTAAATGTATCTTTTGAATTTTCTTCTTTCATATTTTATCTGTCATTACTGTGTGTTAGGAGCAGATAAAAATCTGTCAAAGTAACAATTTATGTAATCATCTAGATCAAAAGTCTTCTTAAACTCCTTCCCAACAGATTCCTAACCCTAAGAATTTGGCACTGTTTACCAACCCTTCTATTTTGAAATGCTCTTCTCCATTGGCTTCAAGATAAAACTCTATCCCTCTTCTCCTGTCTTCCTTCTTAGGTTTCTTCTGGGTTAATCTTACCCTGGTCTCCCTTCAGATGTTAGGTGATCTCATACAATTCTATTATTCTGTAGGTAAGAAAAAGTTATTAAAGGTTTTTGAAAAGAAGAACAGAATACTTCGGACATCTCTGTGAAAAGGATTTTTTAAACCCTATGTTGAAGAAACTCTTTGCTACATTCAGCTGTAGATATAGATTCAGATATCCCCAGGAAAATTGCTCTACCCAGAACTCTAATCATTCTTCACTGCAGAATCAGCGTGACAAATTATCTTGTACTGACACAGATTCTTTCTCCATAGTGACTGTAACTCACCTTTGATATCTGACAGGATTAATGCAAGTACTGTCAGGTTGGCAACTGGCAGAAATCAAACATGGGGCTACTCTGAAATGCAGATGATTCTTCTTGGCAATTAATCTTTTTCAAGGCAAAATGTGTGCCTTGGTTTGGAGGTTGTCTGTTACCCAATAGCAGTACCAAATAATAGCCACACATATAACCCCCTTGGAAAAGTGGGGGGAAAGGATTCCTCATTTGCTACCCTTCCAAATGATAAAAGTAAAGTTAATTTCAGTAGTACAAAAGAGAAAAGGCCAGACCAAGATGCACCCAGTTGCCTTGGAATGATACTTATAGTCCTAATAATAATAATAATAGCTAACATGGACAAAGTTTTTACGTAGTCAGGTATTTTTCTGAGTACTTTATATACATTAACTAACAATCCTCATAACTTCTCTGTAAAGTGAGTACTATTTTTACCCCCACTTAACACCTGACAAAACTCAGGAACAGAGAGATTAAATAAGTTATCACAGATGCAATATGTCTTATAGGCCCCCAACTCTTGGCCTTTTCTCTTCTTCAAGAATTACCTTCACCTTCTCTGATCACTCAGAGACAGAGTGACCAGATAAAATACAGGATGTCCAATTAAATGTGAAGCTCCAATAAACAGCAAATAACTTTTTAGTAGAAATATGTCTTATATTTGGGACAAACACTAAAATATTATTTCTTGCCTATCTAAAATCCAAATTAACTGGATGTTCTGTATTTTTATTTACTAAATCTGGCAACCCTGCCTAGGGACTTTGTGTTCTCCCTACCTCATCAAAATTGCTTGTCAAGAAAATTATAGGCTGGGCGTGGTGGTTCACACAAGTAATCTCAGCACTTTGGGAAGCCGAGGGCAGGTGGATCACTTGAGGTCAGGAATTCGAGACCAGCCTGGCCAACATGATGAAATCCCATCTCTTCTATAAGTACAAAAATTAGCCAGGCATGGTGGCACATGCCCGTAATCCCAGCTGCTCAGGAGGAGAATCACTTGAACTGGGAGGCAGAGGTTGCAGTGAGATGGCACCAGCCTGGCTGACAGAGCCAGATTCCGTCTCAAAAAAAAAAAAAAAGAAAAGAAAATTATAACTGCCCATGTATTTTTTAAAATTGAAGTCAACCTGTCCTCCTTCTCAGATATAGTCACAATTTAAACCTCATTTCAAATTTTGATATAACTTTAGAACTCAGTAAACAAGTGAGGGAGATTTTAGGGGAATAATGAGAAAACTTATTTCTCTAGCCCCAAGAGTTCACTGGAGACCTTTCTGGACTAAGCCCTATCTAGAGCTATTCTGGATGGAGATTCAGGATAAGCACCAGAAGGAGCCTCACCCAGACTATCCCGCCAGGCCAAAAACATCTATTCCAGGGTCTTGCAACTGCATGTGGGGCTGGACAGTCCTCTGCTGTGGTGGCCTGTCCCATGCATTGCAGGATGTTCAGCAGCATCCCTGGCCTCTGCCCAGTAGATGCCGGTAACACCCACCCCTTTAGTTGTAAAAACTAAAAACATCTTCAGATATTGCCAAATGTCTTCTGGAGGCAAAATCCTCCTTGGCTAAGAACCACTGATCTAGGGCAATCCCAAACACAGGAGTCTTCTGGAAGGTAAATCCAAGAAATCTTTGAATGAAATAGATACACTCCCATCCTACTTGAAACAAATCAGGTGTGCATTTAATCGGCATTCTTATCACCCTGGCTGGTCGGTGACAAGGGTTCTCTTGGCTGCATTTGTCTAATTTCCCTTCAGTGGGCCACTACAGAATGCACATTTTTCAAAGGATGGTCTCATTCATATAAATAGATAAGAAAAAAGTGCAGATGCTGCCTTATCTAATTAACTTTTATACAAAAATGGTATAGTTCTAGAAAGCTCAATTTAAAATCATTAAGATAATGGGCCCTCTTTAGGAATATAAAGCCATTTATTTAGGCCTAAGAAAATTTAGGGATGGAGAGCATTACAAAGTTTTTAAAGCTATCCTTTGAAACATAATTACTTTCCCTATACTTAGTTTGTATATTGAATTTTTTAAAGTCATAGAATTTTTGTTTACAGCTGCAGAGTCCAAATGATGAGGCTTTGATGCAACAAGGTGGAGACTACAAATGTGTGAAATATTAGTATCTGTATAGCCCAGAAACCATGCCAGTTTTTACAGGCTTGGAGCCCCTATGCCCTGCTGGACTTAGAGAAAGTCAGCCTGGTTTAGACTGATCTAGAACCCTTTAAATTCATCTTTCACTCTTGGTTTCAGTTGTGGTAAAAACCACTCCACTGCATTACATCTCTAGCTGAAGTGATACATCAAATCACATCTTCACCTCCTCCTTTCCCTCCCACGCACACCCACTCCAGATGCTGGTGTCATCTCCTTAGTATTTTTCAGATTGGGGATCAGAAACGATGGTGTTCTTTAATATCCTTCAGCTCCATTTTCATTGCAGATATTGAAGGAAGAAAGTTAGATTTCTAGACAACCTAAGCCTTTTGCCAGTACCCCAGCCAGGACAGCAGTGGGATATTAGGGCATCTGCAGTTAGCCGTGCAGCAGTTGCGGTCGCAGTAGTTAACATTTTGGAATGCCTAATGTATATATCAGGCTCTGGTCAAAGAACTCTACATGTATCATCACATTTACTCTTCACAACAATCTTATGAAATAATATTATCTCTATTTTGAGATAACTTGAGACACAGAAAGGTAAAGCAACTCATTTAAGATCACAAAGCTAGTAAGTGATGGTGCCATCCTTTGAACCCATATGCCTGACTTTGAGGTTCAACCTGTGACCCACTGTGCTATGGTGCACCATGCTGTAAGCTCCACTGAAGAGCATGCGGTTTATCCACAGGACAACAAGGCATCATTGGTGATCAGATGTGTGTTTCAGAAAGATGACTCTCTCTGCAATATTTGGGAAAAGACTGGAGGCAGAGAGGTCAATCCAGAAGCACTGTGGGTGGCAAGATAAGGTGGCCTGGACTAGGACAATGCCTGTGGGGAAGGAAAGAAGGTAAAGTCAAGGAGGATTGTGGAGGCAGATGCAACGGAATCTGAAGGTTGAGTGGCTGTAAGGGTAAAGATGAAGGGGATCAAAGATGATGCCGAGATATCAACTTGCTGGTGCTATCAAGCTATCATGATCCGGGGAACACAGAAAGTATGAGAGTGAGAGAGACAGAGAACTAAATGTGGGATATGTTTCCAACAGACAGGCTTCTGCTGCAAAAGGTACTTTTAAAAGTCTCATTAAATGGTGCGACACGGATCTAACGGTGAACTAATGGGCAAGTAGCATCTGCTGGCAGGTGAGGGTAAAGGTGTATGGGGCCCCATGACATCAAGCTGCCTGTCTGAAAAACAAAACAAGAACTGTGAGCCTAGTAGAGTGCTGACAGCCAATACCCAGATAGGGATGAGCTGGAGGGAGAAATGAATGACTCTCACTATGGACTGATCCTTCCCTTTCAATAGCCTCCAGATGGTCTGGGTACCAAGCCTGGCAAAGACAGAAGTCTCTCAAGTAAACCTGAGAAAAAGGGATAATGAAGCTCTTGTCCTGTAAGGGGGTCAGAAGGATGGGAGGAGAAGTGGGAAAGAATGAAGATGAAAATCACTTTTGACATGTGGATATCTCATAGATATAAAGGGGATTTCCACAGAAATAGCACATGCATTCTAAAGCAAACATCAAACTATCAGCCAATGCCCCCATCACCCGAGCTATCTAATGTGCAACTCCAGAGGGACCCAAGTTACCAGAGAACATCCATTAGATGCTAACTCCTTTGAGTAACAACTGCCTCCTATCAAATCAATCTTCAGACATCAATGCAGGAAGGGAGGGAAAAGTTTTGGAGTTTTAGCATACAGAGAATATTAGTCATCCAACATCTCCAAAATTTGTATAAATGATACCTAGACAATATTAAAGCAACGTTTATTGAATAATGATTAAGTACCATTAATATTAAGTACTCTGTGCTGAGTGCTTTCTATTCAAGTTTCTTTTTTTAAGGATGTGAGGCTTTTAACGTTGTCCAGGTTGGCCTCAAACACATAGCCTCACCTCCTCATATGCCAGGACAACCGGCCTGAACCACCACAGCTCCCAGTCCATTCAGTTTTCACAATGAGGTAAATCATGCTAATACCATCCCAAATAAGGAAACTGATGCTTAGAGAGATCATCAACTTACCAATATCATACAGCTAATCAGTGACAGAGCCAGGATTTGAACCCAGGTCTGTCTGACTTCAGAGATCAAGCTCATCAGAACAGTACTGTTACCATGACTTTGAAGCTTATGAGAGAAATAACACGTTTCTCAAGCTGTCTGTCCATATCGCCATTGTGAGGAAATCAGCATGGAGCAGCCTTATGCAGTGCTAGGTGAAGGGGTGGCTATTTCCTGCCACAAGAATGAGCCTCATTTTCCCTTCTCCATCCAGTGCAAGGAACTGCCAGGGAAAATTAGGCTCACTAAGTTGATCACACCTCTACAGGCTTCAATTTGAGAACAGAGTTAAGAATGAAGATATTTCACAATGAATATAGCAAAGCACTCAGGCCCTGTCACTAGACTCTCTTTAAAAATATTTATACAAGAGAAAAATGTAGATATTTTAAAGAAAGAATCTGAAAAGACTCTGAAAGTTGAGGGCTTCTACAAAGCTAGTCTAGACATTTACTTGTTATTCATGAACTCTAAAATGTATTGGAATAGAATCTGAATACGCTTAATAGATTTCATGTAGACTTAAATTAAACTTATGGAACTTCCCTAATTCAATTCCCGTTGAAAAAGCAAGTCATATTCTCCAGTGCTGGATCGAGCATGTTTCTGGAAGTCAATGGAAAGTGCTCAGAAGTAGGAGAGCTATGCCTTCACACATGAAAGAAGGCTGTGGCAGGCAGCTTTGCACCTGTGGATAGAGGCTGGGCTGGCTCTTTACACTGCTTGGTAGCTCTGGGTTTTTGGTAGCTCTTTACACTGCTTGGTAGCTCTTGGTAGCTCTTTACACTGCTTGGTAGCTTCTGGGTAGCTCACTTGGTAGCTCTGGGTTTCCTTCACACACCCACAATGGTATTTTCCCCTGTTGTCTTCGGAACAGCTAAGAACAACAGACCTATGCCTTGATAGCCCCCAAATACATGTACCTCTCTGTACATCTGTATATCATGCAAAATTGCCAATGTGCTTTTAGGAGATCTCATCTCCCTGCTTTTTTGACCTTAAAGGTTTATTGGCTGGATGCAGTGGCTCACGCCTGTAATCCCAGCACGTTGGGAGGCCAAGAAGAAGGACTGCTTGAGCCAGGAGTTCAAGACCAGCCTGGGCAACATGGTGAAACCCTGTCTCTATTAAAAAATATTTAAAATATTTAAAATATTTTTAAAAATATTTTAAAATATTTAAAATATTTTTAAAAATATTTTAAAATCAGCTGGGCATAGTGGCACACATCTGTAGTCACAACTACTCGGGAGGCTGAGGTGGGAGGATCACTTGAGCCCTGGAAGTCAAGGCTGCAGCAAGCCATGATTCCACTACACTCCAGCCTGGGTGACAGAGAAAGACTCTGTCTAAAAACAAACAAACAAAAAACATTCTTCATTTAATGGAATGATGGAACATATAGATGATTGTATTCATTTTCTGTTGCTACTGTAACAAATTACCACAAATGTGACAGATAGCTCAAAAAATTACAATGTATTATTTTCCAGTTCTGGAGGTCAGAAGTCCAAAATGGATGGGCAAGACTGTGCCCCTTCGGGAGGCTCTGGGAGAATCCCTTTCCTTACCCTTCCTGGCCTACAGAGGTTGCCTCCATCCTTGGCTTATGGACCCTTCCTCCATTTTCAAAGCCAACAGCGTAGCATCTTCCAACCTCTGTCTGACTGTCACTCTCCTGCTTCCCTCTTAAAAAGATTTTGTGATTACACTGGGCCCACCTGGATAATCAAGGATCATCTCCCCATCTCAAGATCCTGAACCTAATCACATCTGCAAAGTCAGTTTTATTACATAAGGGTAACATATTCTCAGGTTCCAAGGATTAGGACATGGACATCTTTGAAGGCCATTATTCAGCATAGCACAATGCTAGTTTTTTTTTTTTGAGACGGAGTCTCGCTTTGTCACCCAGGCTGGAGTGCAGTGGCACAATCTCTGCTCACTGCAAGCTCTGCCTCCCAGGTTCACGCCATTCTCCTGCCTCAGCCTCCCGAGTAGCTGGGACTACAGGCGCCCACCACCACGCCCAGCTAACTTTTTGTATTTTTAGTAGAGACGGGGTTTCACCATGTTAGCCAGGATGGTCTCGATCTCCTGACCTCGTGATCTGCCCACCTCGGCCTCCCAAAGTGCTGGGATTACAGGTGTGAGCCACCACACCAGGCCAATGCTAGTTATTTTTAATGAACTTTCTTATTTGGAATAAGTTGAAAACCATATGTTAATCCCCAGGGGTTTTGTTTTGTTTTGTTTTGTTTTAAGCTTTACTATCCACGAATTGCAAAAGTTGAGCTACGATTGTTATGAACCTCCGGCCAGTTTAAAGTTTAACATGAGCTTGGATAGGAAACAGAACAGCAGAGTACAGAGAACCTGTCTTGTGACCACCCAAAAAAGGAGTACAAAAAGATTATTGGTTTTTATTCATGCATTCAACAAGCATTTATTTACCAAAGCGCAATCAGAGGTTTTTATGAGATACTTTGTAAGTACTGAGCACCATGGAGATGTAAAGAAAGATAAAACATGATTCCCAAAAGGCTCATATTACAGCCCGTCCTTCCTATCCATGGGTTCCACATCCACAGATTCAACCAACTGAGGATCAAAAATATTTTTCAAGAAACAATAAAAAATAATACAAATAAAAATACAGTATAACAACTATTTACTTAGCATTTACATTGTGTTAGGTATTAAAAGTAATCTGGAGATGATTTAAAGTATACGGGATGATTGGGTGGATTATATACAAACATTATGACATTTTATATAAGAGACTTAAAAGGTACCCAGGGATTGTGGTACCTAAGGGGGTCCTAGAACCAATACCCAGCAGATACTGAGGGACGACTGTATAGCTGGAGCAACTGTAACTAGGAACCAGAGAACAACCTAAGGCAAAGGGATTTGTTTACGTTTCATTTGGAATGCAGAGCCTCATTTTCTATTATTCTTTATCCTGGCCGCAGGCAGGCAGAAGAACTAAATCACACTGAAATAGTGAGACATGCCCACCAGCATTTTGGTGGTGGACATTCAAGAATTGAACACCATCAGAATCAGAATACATACATGAGATTCGCCTTGGAACTGCAATCACATTTTGGCTACCAGAACAGGGAGTCAAAACAAAAACCAGAGTTGTTGACCCAAAGGTTTTCACAAATACAGGTTTAAAGGGCAATGAACTAATGCTTCCAAATGGCTTTAATTCAAGGAGGGCACACAAATGGAATTTTAAAGAAAATATTATAGCCAAATGAATATAAAAGTGGTATTTTTAATTTCATGATACTTTTAAAATAATGAATCTATAGCATAGTCTGAGAAGCCTAGTTGAGTGTGAATTTATTCCCAAGCTATTATTTTACATGAAAGCTGCAGAAATAGCCACAAGTCCAAGTTCACCTGACCAACGCCATCATTTCCAGGTGACGCCACCCCCAGGAGGAAATTCTGTGGCTCAGCCACTGGAAAGGGCTTCATCCCAGCTCAGAGCTATGGCAGGATGGGCTCCATCAAGCTCATTCTGCAGGTGCCTCCTTCCTGTGAAGCCTCAGCAGCTCAACAGGGCAAGAGGTGTGTACTGCCTCAGGGCTTGGCATCTGCGTGAGAAACAATCCCCCCACCTCCACTTTCACTGCTTTAGTAAATGTTGTGAGTGAAATAAAGTGAATGATGTGATGATAGTAACAGCTAATATTTACTTAGAATCTACTGCATATCAGGCAACATTCTAAGTGCTTAACATGTATTAGGTCAATGTAATGGTTAATACTAGGTGTCAACTCTATTGGATTGAAGGATGTCTGGATGGCTGGTAAAGTATCGTTTCTGGGTGTGTCCGTAAGGGTGTTGCCAGAGGAGATTGACATTTGAGTTGGTGGACTGGGAGAGGAAGACTCACCCTCAATGTGGGTGGTCACCATCCAATCAACTGCCAGTGTGGCTAGGAGGAGAGATAAGCTGGCTTGCTGGGACTTCTGGCTTCCATCTTTTTCCCTTGCTGGATGCTCCCTTTTGCTCCTCCTGCCTTTGGACATCAGACTGCCAGTTCTTTTGCCTTTGGGCTCTGGGACTTGTACCAGTGGCTTGCGGGGGTCTCGCAGGCCTTTGGCCACACACTGAAGGCTGCAGTGTTGGCTTACATGGTTTTGAGGCTTTCAGACTTGGACTGAGCCACTACCAGCTTCTTTCTTCCCCAGCTTGCAGACAGCCTATTGTGGAACTTCACCTTGTGAAGTTTCTCTCTAAGAAACTCCCTTTCATATATACATATATCCTATTGGCACTGTCCCTCTGGAGAACCCTGACTAATAAAGTCATTTAATCTTCTGGAAATCTTATGAGGTTGGTAGTATTATAACTCCCCACCCCCCATCTTATTGATGCAAAACTAAAGCACAGATAACTTATGTGACTTGCCCAGTTAGTAAGTTGTGAAATTGGTATGTGAACCTAAATAGTGTGGCCCAGAGCCATACTCTCAACTATACATTAGACCACCTTGCTTTACAGCTAGGGCCAGGAGTGTGGCCTCAACTTGGGGAGTAGAGTGGCTCTTAAGAGAAACAATCCAAGTGGATGGAAAAGAGCCCAGGAGTAAGAGCCATGCAAACCAGGCTGGGATCCATAAGAGCCATGAGCCTTTGAGGGCTTGGCGGAAGTATCTGTAAAGTTCATGTTATGGTTTTGCGGGGCTGCTCTCATCTGGCCTGGAGTGCTGCAGTAGGCAGGGTACCTCCTGGCCTCTGGATGAAGTCCCAAAAGCTCCTCTTCAATGGAAGAACCCAGCTAACATGCATGAAGAGGTCTGCTTTCTTCATTCGTACTGACTGAAGAGCTGGAGCGCTGCTTTCAATTCTTAAAAATAAATTCAAAGCAAGCTACAGAAATTCTGATACAAAAAGAGGGCTGCTTCTTCAGTGATCACAGAATGGGAACATTTCCAGTTTGCTGGGCCCTGCTCCAGAAGTGTTACCAGGCTATCACAAAGGACTCCGAAATCCTCAAGGGAGTTTATTACAGCTCTTGGAATCCAATGGCTAGTAGAAGAAAAGACTTTCTTAAAGTTTCTCAGACATCTGTTTCTTCCACAACAACAACAACAAAAAACAATTTTTTTCATCAATCAAAATTGTCAGTTAATTCCCCATACTACCAGCAGTCCATCAATATGTTAATCTTTTACTTTAAGATGATTGCTTAGTCAAATGGAGAAAAACAAAATATGCATGTCATATATATACCAGATTCAAGAAATAAAGACAGCCTTCTTGCTGCATGTTTATTGGGTAGATTTTTGCTATTTTTTTATTGCATTTATCTTTCATATGTGACCTCAGTTTTCAACCATAGGAAAAGTGTCACGTAAAATCTGATGCCAAGGCCACTGATACCTTCGTGAAACTCATCTACCTCAGTGGATTCCAGGTGGAACAGCATCACGAGCGAGCTATGGGGCTGCCACTGACATTCACAAATCACCATCAAGGCTGCTGAAACCTAGCTATTAGACATTGATTTCTGAGTGCAAAATTAGTTTTTTTCAAATGAATTTCAGCAGGCCCTAGAACTAATTTTAAATTTCTTTTTAGTTGATTCATAGTGAAAGTATTGATTCATTAGGGAGTTTCTAGGGCCAAAACTGCATCTTTCATTGTTATTAAAGGACTTTCAATTGTGTGCGTGCATTTTGAAAAAATATTTAGAACACCTGAAGCCATTCTCTCTTGGTTATACAGATGATTTGTGCTTCAAAACCCCCAAAACCTAAGTCTCACCCGAACGAGGTGATTACATATTTGAAGGAAATATGGATATTTTGTCAGATTGTTACATATTTGAAGAAAAAGAACCAAAACCTCATGTAAAGTACTACCAAATAGTTGGAAAAAGACATGTAATTAAATGTTAGTGTACTACTATTGCTTTTCTTTCATGGAGAGCTAAGAGTCTGAAAAAAAATGACATCTGTGTGTGTATGTGTGTGTGTGTGTGTGTGTGTGTGTGTGTGTGTGATGTAAGAATGTTTGATACACTTCATTGACATGAAAATCATTGGGAAATGGGAAAAGAGCCAATGATGAGGGGACATTTAGGCACTGGTGGTCTTTAAAGCATAAACCAGTTCAAAGTCTACAGGGAGTAGATGAAAAAAATTTAGTTATATTTTTCCCAATGGAAAGAGTGGGGACATGGATGGAAATGGTTAAGGCAGTGACTACTACCTTGAGAAAGCCAGGCTGGAATTCTGGGAACTGACCCTGAATGCTATTCAGTCTTCGTACTCTGACATCTATATTTGAAAGCCAACATTTGAAGTGCAAGTATGCACCTGGCCATCTTCTAGGAATGGTATTAAAGCACCCAATAGGGTCAATCATGCAGCTTCTTGAGAGTAACTGTGGCCTTGACAGGAAAGGGACAGGGGAAGCCTCTGCTTTTTCTATGTATTTCCTTCCCTCTTCTTTTGTCATGAGCACACCCTAGCTCCTTACGTACTTTATTTCCAGTGGTTCCTTCAGGCTGCAAGCAATCCAAGACCATGCAGACAGGCAGCCAGCTCTTTACAAAAATCACTCCTGCCTTAGACAGCCCAGGTGAATCTGCAGAGTTGCTCCAGGGACAAGCAGAAATGAAGTCACATTCCTACTTAATTCTGTTTGGAGAAAGGCAGAGAATAACTCAGCAGCCATAGAAAAGAGCACTAAACCTTGCACACTGTTTAACAGAAAATATGCACTTTATTCTACAAATTTCAATGAAATTTGCCTGCCAGAAACAAAGAATGGTGCTGGCTACATTGAATAGTACACACATTATGAGACATATACCCAGTGCACAAGATGTTTGCAACCTTGTTGAGGCTGAAACATTTACATCGAAAATCCAATCAGGTTATGAGCAAACTACAAGAGATATAGACTGGGAGTCACCAGTGTATGGTTGGTGTGTTAATTAGTTCTATTGGTCAACTTGACTGAGCTAACGAATGTCCAAACAGCTGGTAAAATATTTCTGGGTGTGTCTATGAGGGTATTTCTGAAGGAGATACGTATTTGAATTGGTAAACTAAGTGAAGAAGATCACCCTTACCGAGGTAGGCAGGCATCCTCTAAAAAGGCAAAGGAGGGGCAAAATTCTCTCCTTCTCCTGTGGAGAAGAAGAGGCTTCTCCTATCTCTATCTTCTTCTGGTCATCAGAACTACAAGCACTCAGGACTTCAGACTCCATGACTTACACCAGCAGCCCCCTGAGTTTCTTAAGCCTTCGGGCTTGGACTGAATTACATCACAGCTTTCCTGGTTCTCCGGCTAGCAGATGGCAGATCATGGGACTTCTTGAGCTCCATAATCCCATGAGCTGATTCCCATAATAAACCTCCTGTTATATATCTGTGTATACACCATATTGGTTCTGTTTCTCTGGAGAACGCTGACTGACACAGCTGGCAACTGACATCACACAAGGAATGGCTGATGTTAGCTGAGGGGACTTTCTTGCTCCAACTTTTCTGACCTTCCCCCAGTCTCCTATATTGCAGACCTCTCTCAAACCTCCAGACCTTTGTAGATGCCCTTCCCCCAGTTCTGGCCAGCTGCTAGACCATATTTTCTTTGAAAAAATTTTCTTGCCCCCTGTTATGTATTCCCACAACCCTGTGCATTTCCCTACCATAGCATTTATCACACAGCATTGTAATTTCTTATTAATCTATCTCCCTGATGAGACTTCAGCACTGTAGACTAGAAACTACATAGCATAAGGTTATGCTCGCTTTAAATCTTGGCTCTACAACTGTTAAGCTATGTAATATTGGATGAGGTTCTTAGCCTCCCTAGGAATCCATATCCTCAGGAATAATAATTGTACTCAACTTTACATAGTTGTGTCAACTGATAAAATGTGTGGAAATTCTAGCATGAGCCTGGCACATGGAAAGGGTTCTGGAAATGCTGGAAATGTAGACAGGTATAATAATTGTATTCTAAGTTGTTCCTGTTGTATTCTGAGTTCTATAAAGGCATTTGTTTATTCATTTATTATTGTGTAAACTTATTATTTGTTGCATGTTAAGGGTCAACATAAGGTTTGCATACACTATGTACTCCAGCGTTCATTCAATGAATAAATGAAAGGATGAAAATTGTATTCATGAAACTTGAGCAGACCAGAGGACAATACTTACATCCACTAACTCTGCATTTCTGAAGTTGTTATGGATTAAGAATTCGTGTGTGTGTGTGTGTGTCTGGGTGTGTGTGTGGCTCTAGGTGTGTGTGAGTCTAGATGTGTCTGTGTATGTATGTACATGAACATACATGCACAATATATAAAACTGGTAAAGACTCCTACTCAGGAAATAGTCCATGACTTAAACAAATCAACAAAGTGGCAACTCCCCCTAAAAACATACAGCTTAAACCCTTATTTGACTTCAAATGTAGGTCCATTGTCAAAGACCACACATCTGGAAAAGCCATGACATAATGCAGGCCATAATTCAGGGTTTGTCTGCTTCACAGCACACCTTAACATCACCCTCCTGTATTCCCACTCTGCCTATGCTCCCACTTCCCACAGTTCTTATCTTGTTATATTATTTATGAGCCTGAACTATAAATACATTGAAATAGGGAGGATTTTGTTGGCTTGGTGCAGTTTAAAGTGCTTTTCAGTACTATATATATTTACAACATCTTATAAATATTTAAAATTGTCATAATAATGACTCCATTGACTCATAATAAATTCTGTGTTTAGTGTAGGGATGATTGCCAAATTGATAATCCAGAAAATTGGAAAACCCCATCAAACTTTGTGACCTGATGGTCCCCAAAGAATATCTTTCTAATTACTGGAAAAGCCTGAGCAGTAAGCTTAGCTATCTTAGAAGTTGATCTTAATAGATAAACATCCTGAAATTTACCTCTTTGGGAAAGATAAGTAAAAGAAATATTTTCTGCTGAAAGAAATATTTTCTGCTGAAGAATTTGTTTATTGGACTGTATCTTAAAAGTCGAATAATTTTTAAGAGCTATCAGGCAGTGTATAAAAAAAATCACAGATCAAGAAGTACCCTCCATGGTCTGAATGGAGAATTCCAAGCATGATGGAGAATAAAGTGTGTGAGAACACTGAAAAATGATGCTGCAGATGTATAGCAAGGATCCTTGGGAAAGAGCCTTGAATGCCATAAAGGAGTGTGAACTTTATACCAAAGGGCAGTGATTCTCCAAGTGTGGCCGCTGAGCAGTCAGCAGCATCAGTGTCACCTGGCAGCCTATTAGAAATGCAAATGGCCCAGCCCTAGCCTGGGCCTATGGAATCAGAAACTCTGGGGCTGGGGCTAAAGCACAGTCATCTATGTTTTCACAAGCCCTCCAGGTGACTCTGATGCACCTCTGCCATACAGAATATTTCTAAGTATTGGAATTATATAATCAGATCTGGGTGTGCCAATGGCAACGTGAAAAACGGATCAGAAGAGAAGACACTGAAGGTGGGAGGGGCTGAAAAGAGTAATGAAAGTATTGATTGATCAGAGATTTTTGCATTTTATCTGTATTTTTTCAAGCCTAAGATGACATTGATGATGTCACACCACTATTATATTCACCTCTAGAAAGAACACGTCTGCCAATTAAACAATAACCTAATGTTTCTTATCACTTGGAATTTGTATTTTATACTTACTAAAAGGGATCCTTTATACTTATACTGTCAGATTTTTATCATATATCACCCTTGCACATACATAAATGGGAAAATATAAGCAAAATAATTTGGTCAAGGTATTTCTAACATTTATTTTCTATTCAGAATCTGACTCTTCTGAAGCACTGTCCACTCAAAAGCTATCTAGAATGTGAATGGAGGGAGCATTCTGTGTTTTTATAAAGCTCCACTGTTGTTTCTGGGATTTTCTTCCAAGTGCCTGATGCCTATTCTGCAAGTCTGGATGCACACGCACAGACCATGGTGTCCCCCTCATGACTGCTGCCTGTAAGATGCTTCCTGGCTTTGCAGATGATAAAGTGTGGGATGTGAAGGACATTTTAAAATTGATGATATCCCAATGAGCACTCACCTGGGCCTCTACTAGGGCAGTAATGGGAGTAATAGGAATAAGGGGACAAAGGCCAATCAGAATCCATCAGAGGTGGATTCTAAAAGTTGTGTGCCCAACTAGATGCAGAGAAAGGGAAGAGGTACATGACTCTGAGGTTTCTAATTTGAGTGACTTAATGGATGGCAATGCCCTGGATTGGAAACTCAGGAGGAGTGGGTTTTAATAGCAGAAGGAAAGCAGTGGATAAGGTAAAATGGGTTTGGTTTATGGTTTTTTGAATGGGACATCCCAGAGGGATTCCCAGGTAAAAATGACTGGGATGCAGATATAAATAAAACTTCATAACTCAAGGGTGAGTGAGGGTGAATCATGGTTAAAGAGAAATAGTTTTTAATCCACAACATCTAAATGGTAGTTGAAACCAGGGTGATGAGTACCATCTTCCAAGGAGGATATACAGAGAAGTTGAAGACAGTTAGTTATAGAACAAAAACAAAAATTAAAGAAGTAAATAGAGATTTGAAGGAAGGAGCAGAGAGAGAAAAAAATTGTTAGATGATGTTTACATATCTTGTGGGCACCTCAAAGACAAAAACTGTCTTACATGTATTCTCACTCCCTAAGACAATGCCTAATCCAATAACATTTGTTGAACCAACATGAAAATGGTGACCCAAAAGCCAAAAAGGTGAATATTTTAAGGAGAAAATGATCAACAATATTAAATGTTATAGCTGATATATAAATAAAATGACAAAGAGGCCACTGGATTTAGTAAATCCAGTTTAACTTGCACCGCTACCACCAACTTCATTTTACAGGTTAAGAAAGAGAGGCCTAGAGACTTGAACACACATGTCCAGGACCACCAGTTGGCTGACTGGAGAGTCAGAGGCAGGACTCTGGTCTCCTGGCTCTTTTCCTGGGGCTGTTTTCTCTATACGGAGCTTCCCCTCTTAGAAGAGGATTACATCCACTGCAGATAAAGCTCTGGATCCAGGCAATCAGATAGGCTCTTTTCTTAGTCCATTTTCTGTGGCTATAACAGAATACCACAGGTTGGGTAATTTACAAAGAAAAGAGATTTATTTGGCCACAGTTCTGGAGACTGAAAGTCCAACATTGAGGGGATGCATCTGGTGAGGACCTTCTGCTATGCCATGACTGACGGAAGGGCATCATATGGTAAGAGCAGAAGAGACAGACAGAGATAGTGGAGGCTAAACTTAACTTTTTATCAGGAGCCCACTCCCGAGATAATTAACCCAGATAGCAGCATTAATCCAGTAACGAGGACACAGCCTTCATGACCTCATCACCTTTTAAAGGCTCCACCTCTTAATACTGTTAAAACGGCAATTCAATTTTTTTTTTTTCTTGAGACGGAGTTTCACTCTTGTTGCCCAGGCTGGAGTGCAGTGGCATGATCTCAGCTCACTGCAACCTCTGCCTCCAGGGTTCAGGCGATTCTCATGCCTCAGCCTCCCGAGTAGCTGGGATTACAGGTGTCTGCCACCACGCCTGGCTAATTTTTTGTATTTTCAGTAGAGATGGGGTTTCACCATGTTGGCCAGGCTGGTCTCGAACTCCTGACCTCAGGTGATCCACCCACCTCAGCCTCCCAAAGTGCTGGGATTACAGGGATGAGCCACTGCACCTGGCCAGCAATTCAATTTTTAACTCATGAACTTTAGGGGACATATTCAAACCATAGCAGCTCCTACTGACCAAGTCCACCCGTAACAACAAACTCCACTAACAGCCACATCACCTCCACGGAGCAGGAGAGAACAGAGCAAGGGGTCTGGTCCTGGGCATGCATTTTAGGGCTTGCCCTAATACCTGATCATTCATCGCCGGCGGAGTACCCAGTGGAAGAAAAAGTTCAGGGGACTTTACTCTCTGGGTTCTATCTTGAGCCAGAATTTCCTCTGACTCTGGTTACATGTAATAGAACAGAAAGTGACACCACAAGCAGGCAGCAGAAAAACAAAACGGGCTTCTTCTATAGTATGCGGTCATTAACCAGGATGTTCATACCAGCTTCTGTATGAAGAAGAGCAAAATTTGAATTCAGTGAAGTCAAAACAAAGATAATGGTATCATTCTTTTTGATGTCAATTAAGTTGTATCACTGTTTATTGGGCTGATGACATCCTGAGAAAATGAGTGATTTCTTCAAAGCAGTGATTCTCAAACATCAGAGCTTATCAGAATCACCTGGAAAGGCACCTCTTTCAGAGCTCCCAGGGTAGCCTAAAGTGGGCTCTGCCCTTAAAGCTCCAAATTCTCTGGAGGTTTATCCCAAGAGAAATAGTGAACATAACATCTCCCACATTTCAAAAGTAAAACCATTCAAAGATCAGGCTCCATGACTTATTTCCCTCTTTGTAATCCTTGCAGGGCCAGAGGGTCGACAGGATGAGACGTGTGGCCAAAACCCATGTGGCTTCAGTGTTTTTATTAATACAGACATGTACAGCCATGCGGAGGTGTCCGGAAGCCCCCATCTGGCAAAGATGACTAATGGGACTTTCCCACTGACATCCTAGTAAAGGTGCCAGAAGTATATTCATTCCAGATCACAGCCGTAATAGGGCAGTTTCTCTTGGGACACTACCCTGACAGACAACCGTCTTCCTTTTACAACCTACGTGACACCCCCATGTGGTACCTTCCTCTCCACAGTGGTGAGCACAGAAATGCATATCTGACCAGAACCCGGGAACTGAACGCTTCACAGCAAATGTCAACCTTTCTATAAACTAGTAGGAGTGCAATTTTTCTTCCATTATGCAGATTGCAATTTCCACCCACTTTTATATTCCATGTCCCAAAAAGTGAAAAGCAGATACTGTAGTTAGAATCTCTAATCAAAGGAGCACTAAGTGGGTACAAAAGTAGATGAAAACTCAAGAAGATACTATTGGCTGTTTGCAGAAAATCATCAAAGACTTTCTCACAAAGCAGTGGGAAGGAATTGAGTGAAGAGTGATGTATTCACTGATGGGTTCTATGGAGTCAGAACATGCAAATACATATTAGGCTAAGAAATACAGAGTACATTTATTCAGAGCCTACTCTCACAAAGATAGGCAAGATTTCTAACTAGAGATAAAACTCATATAACCATTGACACAATCCTAGTCCATTAATAATTGCTTTTTTTCATATTGTGAAGAGAGGAACCAACAGCATTAATAAGAAATAGGTATCTGGAGTATGAACTGTCCTATTAACTGAGTGACCTTGGGAAAGTCATATAATCTTTCTGGGCTTCAGTTGTATCATAAGTAAAATAAGATTGAACTAGGCCAGGTGCAGTGGCTCACACCTGTAATCCCATCACATAGGGAAGCTGAGGTGGGAGGATCGCTTGAGCCCAGCAGTTCGAGGCAAGCCTGGATAAAACAGTGAGACTTTGTCTCTATAAAAATTTTTTTAAAAAATAGTTAGCTGGATGTGGTGATGCATACTTGTGGTCCAGCTACTTGGGAGGCTGGGGAGGGAGGATCACTTGAGCCCAGGAGGTCAAGGCTGCAGTGAGCCGTGATCATGCCACTGCATTCCAGCCTGAGCAACAGAGTGAGACCCTGTCTCAAAAATAAGAATAAAAAAAATTGAACTATATGCTTTCTAAGATTTCTCCCAACCCTGAAGTTCTGTGTCTATAACCGAGGGAACACTGGCTATTGGAAGATTTAACAGAGATATGAAGCATCGGGGGATATGTCTTATAATAGCAAAATAATTCTCTTTCATCATGGACAAGAACACAAATAAATATGACTGTGGTCATAACAGAAGCAGGATTTGAAAAGCTGCAAAGATACAGGAGCTGCAGAGCAGATTCCTAGAACACCATACTCAGGCAGAAAAAATCATCTCTCCAAGGATGCCAAACTATATTTTCTAAACAGTGTCTTACAGAATGGCAACTCTGCTGGGTACTAAAAGGCTTGAGAAATGAACAAAGTTAAATAAGTAATTTTGCTGCAAGAGGTCTCAGAGCCTTTTCTGCACTGTCCAACATAACTTTCTGCAATGATGGAAATGTTCTATGTATGTACTTTCCAATATGGCAGCCATGAGCCACATATGGCTATTAAGCATTTGAAATGTAGCTAGTGTAATGGAGAAATTGAATTTTTTATTTTATTAATTAGTTTGTAGTTAAATAGCCAGATGGGGCTAGTTTCTATATTTCAGAAAGCACAACTTATATCACACATACACATTTATAATGCTAGCTCTAAGAGGGAGCCAGCACATACAGCATTTACCAAACTTGTTGAGCCATAAAATTCTGCTTCCAAAGGACTGGAATTCTTTGCAAAACCATTTGGGAAACACTAGACTACGAGCTATCTGCTAGGTGGTTGAAGCCCCAGGAGACCACTCTAGCTTTGACATTCTAACTAGCCAGCACCATCATGGGCATCAGTCCCCACCAAGTGGTAAAGACTGGGTTGTTCTCTGTTCTCAACATGTGATAATATCATCTCACAATTCAGTCACATCAAAATTTCCCAAGTCCCAACAGACACCCTTAGCAGAGGTAGCCCAGTGCAGGTACAGTCAACGGGAATCAAGCAATGTTAAACAACTGGCTGTCCCTTTCCACCAAACGTAAAACAATGATAATCTAGTGCAACTGGGCTTTTAAGTTCACCAGGCAATCTTGGATGCAATGATATATCATTATCTCAACAACCCAATGAGATAGGCAGCATTCCATTTTGTAGGTGATGAAAATGGTGCTTACACAGCTAAAGTGACTTAGTTGCTCAAGGTCACACAGTTACTGGGACTTAACCTCAATCTTTGAACTACACCTCCTCAGTCATTCTAACAAAACCATTTTGAACTGAATTTTTCCTTACAATGCCTAGGGCCCATAAAAATATTGAATTAATAAATTCTCAAAATACCAAAACATTATAGATCCCTGAGGAAAGTACTTTGTGTTACAAGCTTTGCTCACACATACCTTGAGAAGTATAATAAATGCAAGAAATGTGTAATGATAATGGAATATATAAGAGACTGACGTAATTATTCATGAATATGTGTAATTCCTATTCTCCAAGAACTCCTCCACTGGACCTGTAATAATTATGTGCCTCTCAACTGAAAAATCCACATTGGTGTGTAAATAACCAGCTACAAACTTCATTCGCCCAATTATTTCTCCTTTCCTGGGTATGCAATCAATTTAGTGCTTCTGAATGCTATTTATTCAGACCGCAATAGCATACACAACTGCCCATTTGTGCCTCAAATTCATGCTTGACTCCTTGAGTGGCAGCTTGTGGGCCAAAGCCCTTGAACTAATTTGTCATCACATCAGATGAGTGCATTTGACTCTGACCTACACAATTGCAGAAATCAAGGTTACTCCATGGAATATTGTTTCTTGAACCATCATTTGGCCTTGCAGGAAATTAGGATTTGCAGCTATGACTCCATGTTCCAAATCCAAGCATTGCCGAAAGAAGACAATACAGGTCTTGAAACAGCATGTCAAAGAGGTGACTCTCTACAAATTACACAGGCATGGCTGGCTATTAGCAGGGCTCACTGCACTCACTTTGGCTTTTAGATTAAAATATAATCACTTTCAGTCAAATATATAGCAGTCATTATTTTCTCTTCACTAAAATTATATACACTTAATATAAATAATAGACTTTATTATGCCATACTGTACTCTGAAAATAATTTATACTACAGTTTTCATTACAATGTGGCATACAAAATGCCATCTGCGGTCATCTCAAGGGTTCTGAGAAACCCAAAGGGAAGGAAAAGTGGGAGGTAAAATAGCAATGAAAGAAGAACAAAAGGTCAGCTGGAAGGAAGATACAAGGACATTTAAAGGCGAAGGCTGGGTTGTCAGGCAGCTTGAACAAAGTGATGAGACACATGGAGGGCCTGGAAAATCTGAGAGAGAGATGATTTAAGTAATCAGCACTCTCAAAGGCACAGTGGACAACACAGGAAAAGTTGTGGGGAACGAAAAGGTTGGTTAAGGGGGAAGTTGGAAACACATGAATGGGAAAGGGGGAACAAAACACCTCTGCACACAAATCCACACATCCAGCTAAGAAAGCTCAGGGGCTGGAGAGCTCTGGTACACCACCACCAGATCTTACCACCTGGGACTTTGTTAATATCTCACATTCCTGGTTCACAGGAATCTGTGGTTTTAACAGGCACCTCCAGGTGACTCTCATGATGGGCCAGTTTGGGAGGCAGTGCTAGTGAAGAATGGCACAGATGTGGGGCTGACAGCCTAAAGTTTGAAACCAGACCCATCCACTCACCAGCTCCGTGAACTTGGAAGACACTTGACTTTCTGAGCCTGGGTCTTCTTGTCCATAAAAGTAAGAATATGTTTTGCCCCATAACGATCCTCCAGGTTAGGTCTTATTATCAACATCCCCACTTTACAGATTAGGAAGCCAAAGTAAAGAGTGATGAAGTACTTCGCCCAAAGCCATGCTGCTGACAAGTGGCAAAGTTGGTATCAAAGCAGAAGACACCTGGCTCCAGGTGCTATGCTCTCAGTCAGACACTGTTCTGCCTCTCCTCCCAGAAAGGAACGCTCTACTGAGAAAGGCAGGAGAAAAGCTTTCCAGGCAAAGCACTTTATGTTAATTCTTATTCACATCAGATAACAACTGATGTCCCACTTATATAAGTTACTCTGTAAACTAGCAAGTTTACTCAAATTAATTTTTGAATCAAGCGTTTCTTCCCCAAGATTAATCATTTATAGGAATCAAGCCATGACTCCACCTGGGAGATGGCTCGAGCATATTAATGCTTCAACAAAAGTCACAGCTAATAATGGTACCACAAGTAGTAGAAATGAGTATTCAATCAGGCACCCTTAGTCTACGTGCCCAGACTTGAATCTGCCCTAATGGGATTCACTGATGCAAGACCATGTGCCTTGAGTGGATTCACCTCTACACTATTTTACACAGGCTTCTAATCTCCTCAACATATTCCTGAGCTGCAAATTTGCATTCTCTTTGAAATTGGGTCTTACTAGTTCATTTCTGAAGACACTGCAGCATATATCAAAATGAAGATCTAATCACCTGCTGTTCTGACAAAGAATATTTATTTTACCAGGATGTGTGAAATGATTCTTTCTCATTTGTCATCATGCTCTTCACTCCGGGGTGAAAGAAGATGCACATCATGCATCCTGAAAGATAGAACATGATGCCAGAAACTAATTCTGAATGTTCTGTCTTTCAAAATACATATGTATATATAAATATAAATTTTTAAAAATATATGTATACTTCAGAAGACAGAGTCCATTGGACTCTGAACCAGAAGAATGACTTTTTCTTATTCCTTCCCATTGGCAGATATTCTGCCTTCTGGAGGTTTTACACCATTCCATGTAAAATATTTAAAGGTAGCTGCCATGTTCTGGGGTTCTGGTTAGTGAGCTTTCTGCCATAAGAGGTATTCAGACCAAGTCAGTTGATCATCTGGCAGAAAGGTGTAGTGCTTAAAATCAAACACCAGAAGCGGTATTTAAACTGGATCACCTTTACCTCCTAACCTTCAGCTTCTAGGACCATCCTGGCCTCTTCTGTCAGGCTTCAAAGGTTCAATTCTTCCATCATTACTCCTAGAACACTGTCTTCATATTTCATCAATCTAGTTGTCCCACCCTCATCTGGATATGCCCTCATTGATCAACATGCCTCTTAAAGGGTGCTCCTCAGAACTAAACAAATGTGATCTGACCAATGAAGAACACCCTAGGACTGTCACCTCTTTAATCAACAGTCACTTCTATAATGTGCTCTGGAAGAGCACTTCCTGTTGTTAAAGCTATGCCTCACCAGTGGCTCTAGTTGAGCTTGGGGTAACCTCAAGTGTCCAAAGTTGTAGCAACTTGGACACAGATTTTGACAGGAGGCTGGGGAAGGAGGTCATCTGTGCAATGAGCCATCTGTTTAGAGAGACTATCACCATGGGGAAAAGCATCCAGGAGATGGAAAGGGAGGTGAGAAACTTTCAGAGGTAAATTTCACTTTTTCAGTTTTGCCTCTGATTGGCCCTGGGATTCAGGACCATGGAGACAGTCAATCCAAAATCTCCAAAACAAAGTTTATACCTGCCTTTAGTCTAAATTATACCAAGAAACATTCCCCCGACCCTTCTTCATCTCTACATCTCAAGATTTACTGTCTGAGCATACTTGAACTTTGGATAGTCAAATATTTCACTAAGGAAGTATTTTAGGGTTCAAAAATAGAATCAGAGAAAAGGATGCCCCAAAACACAAGAAAGTATCCCAAGATATAGCATAATGGGATGAAGTGATGGAAGCTTCCTCCAAGTTAGGAATCAACTGTGTCCTGCTTCACTGCAATGCAGTGACAAGATCCAGTGTAGACTTCCACACATATACACACGCACACACACACACACACACACAAACCCTCATATTGCATCTTTGAGCATTAGGGCAGACAAGGAGCAGAGGGTCTTGCCTTTGCCCTAATGCTCAAAGATGCAATATCAACTAAATGACTCCCATATTAAGTTCAATCTGTCAACCAGGAATGATTGACCAACTAATTTTCTTGAAAATTATCCACAAAGGTTCTACACTGGTACCTTCTTCAACTTCATCCTGATCACACCTTTATGTCATGCATGTCCACAGGGCCACATCACAAACAGGCACTCAAAATGTTTACAAAGGAATGCAAAATCCATCTCTGTTCACTCATTCAAAAGTACTCAGCATCTACTAAGTGCTTATCTAAAGAAGTATGAGAAGATTCTTTTCCTCCAAGAACTTACCCTGTAGTCACAAGATGCCTCTATACTAAATATTTCAATCCAGCACACTAGGCAACCACATGACCCCATGTCCAAAGGAGTTGTAAATGCATAATAAACTGGAGGAGTTTAAAGGAGGGGAAGGCTGAGGGCTGACCAGCTACAACCTCCTGAAAACAAGGGAATCAGAGCTGCATGGGATAGGCCCAATCTTACAACCAGGTTACAAGAGCCTGGAGGAGTCCAGCTGCCATTTCCACTGCCAGTCTGGAAGGCTGCAGGGAATCACAATCATTACAAGCCTGAAGAATTATGTCTTGAGTATTCCTGGCAACTCAATTACAGCATGCAAATTTTCCGCGGAGTTGACTTCTCGGCTTCAGAACCACGCACACGCTCCTTTGGGCTTTTTGCACGAGGAAAACATTGTTGGGAAAGGAGTCTGAGGATCAGCCACTGGGAAGTGCACTCAATAGCACTTTGGTTGAGATAATTGCCGCTTTTTTTTTTTAAATTGTAGGCTTTAGAGATGACCACAAGCAAAATTTGTGACAGACATTTGACACTGAGAAACTCTGCTGTGTATGGGTGAAATTTTTCACATCCCCCGCCCCAAAGGCTGGTTTATTGACCAACAAAGGGAAATTATCTAAAACCACTAGAATATGTTAGCCAAGTTTTCTCTTTTGTCACAATGCTTCTTTGCTAGGTACCAATATTTCTCCTTGTGTACAGTCATGTGGATTCCCATCCAGGCAAGCCTGTTCAACTATACTGCTTCGGGTGACGGCACACCAGCCCAGCTGCATGGGTTTAGTGTTGCTCTGTGAGCACAGACATGCACATTTGCAGCAAGACTCCTCACCCACCATGGACTCAAGGGATTTCACAAGCCCTGTTCAGTGTCTGCAGAGCTGCCTTCCTATCCTCAGGGCCAGCTGTTCTTTGTCCTTTCTGCCTGCAGCAAGCTCTGTCTAGAAGAAAGCTTACAGCGTAACAGTGCACAGGACACAAGTGCATCAAGTGGAAAGAATCCCATGCCAGGGAAAATAAAAGAGCTTTCAGAGGCACGCTCCTTGCCTATGGCCATCAGGACCCTGGATATCAGTTAGCATAACAAGGCTATAGTCAGAAGAACTGAGCAGAGAGTTTAGAGACACTTAAGAGTCTCTAGCACCCAACAGGGCTGTGGGAGCTTGCCAGCAGCTTGCACAGTCATTCCCTGAGGACACCTCCAACAGGTCCCAGGGCTCCTGAGGAGCTGACTTCCTAAACAGGCTTTCCTACCTGTAAAAGGAAGCATCCCTGCCTCCTGGCCTTCTTGATAATTTTTATTGTGAAGATGGCATTGCAAAAGAAGTATTAGACTGGGAATTATACTGAATTTGGCTCTGCCATTTCCTGGCTTGGGGACATCAGGGAAGCTCTTTGTGGATTAGTTCTGTCACCTAAAAATTATAATAATGCCTATCTCCTAGAGTCCCTAGAAAGATTCAAGTAGACAGTGGAGGTGAAAATACCTAACAGAGGGTCTCGCACATGGTTTGCTCTACATGAAAGTTAATGAACACACGAACTACATTAACAAATCATTTCCAGGGTGCCTATTGCGTGTTAGACAGTGACATTTATAAAAATGAGCAAAGCATTTTTTTCCTTTGCTGAACTTGTAGACTAGTTAAGAAGATGGTATGAACACATGCAAGAGAACACATTAAAAAACTGACCAAGCATCCAGAATGGATATACATGACAAGTGCCAAGGGAATCTCAAAGAATAAAGGACAAGCGGAAGAAAGAAAGTCAAGGAAGGAGATATTTTAGCAGAACCACAGAGTTTGAGGAGGATTTTGATGAAACAAGAAAATATCCCAGATGGAGAAAGCCTTTCAGAATAGAGAGACATCCCAGACAGAGACAGGCTTTCAGGAAAATAATTGTCTGTCATGAATTTACATAATAAAAGTTGGTTTTCCAAGGGCCCAGCACAATTGCATTTAATAACTATTAAAACTCAAGACCAATCCCAGCATGTAGAGAAAGAACATCTACTGACCATCTCCTGCATGATGGCATCTTTGATTCAGTACAAGAGAAAGTATATCAATGGTGTTCCAATCTCAGAAAGAGAACAGAAGGCAAGAAAAAGAAAGCATGCAGGCAGATAGCCATCTGCGTGCGCTGGTTTCGGCTTCCTTCAAATGTGTAATTATGATTTCAAGAGCTGAGTTGGCCATTTTGAGAACTGATGGTCCAGGTCAAACAAGTAACCAACAAAGGAGGAAATCAACATACAGACAATATACCATGGTTTTTTGGTATGGTTTTCTCTTAAAGGAGATTTATGTTTGTCAACTAGAAACTAAGTACTCCCTCAATATGTTTTAATTTGGTAGGAAACATCAAATTCACAAGTCTTCAGCAAAGCCTAAAATGGTGCCAACCACCTCATCCCTAGAATAAAACATAAAACTGCATTATTTTCATTTTCTATGAAACACTCAAAGTTCAGGGCTGGAAAATTGTGTGTGGGCTGATGCCTGATGGTGTAGCCGGTTATTATGTGTGACTCACGATAAATTTCCAGAGCTACCACACCTTAAAGTTAAACTCACCCAAGCCAGACAGTAAACTATTAGCAAAGATATTTTGTAACCATAATTTCTAGTCTTTTAACTAGTTTTTTGTTAAACTTGCGCATGGCCAATTTCATAAAAGTCATAGAGCTCTCTTCTCTGGCATCCATGTTTTCAAGTATTTATCCTTTCAGAAACAATACAAAATAAAAACAGGCCCCTGGGGTATTTTAAGGAATTTTTCAGCTGACCAACTTGGTCAACCAGCATAATCCTGGAGCACCGGCACACTCATGTCAGCTGGCCTCAGCTCCTCACCACAACTAGCACTCAGCAAAGGACGCCTGCGGTTGTGGCAGCGTCTGCCCCAGGTACCCAAAAGGAAGTCTCTTCATGGCAAGGCCACGCAGGAGATGGCACCACCCAGAAAGGGCTGATGACAAGGCACAACAGTTCTGACAGAGGCTACGATATAGAGGAGGAGCCGCCAAGCTTTCTCCCGACACAAAACAAAGCAACTAGTAAAGCACTTGTATCTCAGGGAGAGTCCTCATACCTCAGTCCAAGTCCAGTTTCGGTCACCTGCAGTAACACACTTCACAGGAATCCACAATGAACTCACATCAGCCTGTGCCCAAGAACCTAGAGCTGGAAGCTCCTGTTTAACATAAACATGGGTTCAAAGAACAAGTCTAGAGATCTCATTAGAGCACCTGAATCAACTGGCTTTTCTTTTCTTTTTTTTTCTTGTCTTTAAAAAAAAAAAATTCGTAGGGATTGAGTCTCACTATGTTGACCAGGCTGGTCTTGAACTCCTGACCAGAAGCCATCCTCTGACCTTGGCCTCTCAAACTGCTGGGACTACAGGCATGAGCCCTTGCACCCAGCCTCTTTATTTTTAATTATTTTAATGACATACTAGGGGGTCAGTGATGTAGAGGGTGCTTGTGGGCCATGGTGGTCAGTCCTTTGATTCTGATTTTTGAGCTCTGGTTTTCACATGGACGTATCCATTGTTCAGATGGAATGGATGAAATAAATAATTTATAATGTGGGCTTGTTGTCCATTTAGTCCTTTCTCTGACACCACAAGGGTCTCAAATTCGTTCCTAGAGTAATATCCCCCACCCTTTTTACACATCTAATTAATGGAGTGAATAATTATTTTGAGGGTCTCCAAAAACTCTCCCCATTTGGGAGCAGGGCTGGGGGTGGGGAGAGAAGACCTTCATCAGCCAGGGGCAACCAGAAGGCTTCCCATCGGTGCTGGCAAGCCAGCTGAACTGCATTGGGCAGGGCAGAGGCTGGCAACAGGAGACGGGGGAGGATGCTGACGTGCCGCAGACAGAGCACAGAGTTTTTCCTTGGTCAGGAACACAAGCTGTGCACACACCTCAGTCGTTAAGCTCTTAAAAAGGGGAACCTGATGCAATGAATTAAAGGGCATGGAGGAGCCAGAAAGGTGGGAGCAGAAGCCACATCTGTGCCCTGCTTGGCTTTGCCCTGGCCCTGAGCTGACAGGCAGCACGTAGGCGCTGAATCAATCTCCCACAGATGAGTTTTTGGATTAAAAGCCAGCGATGGCTGAGGGAATTGGCTGTAGACTAGAGGAGACACACAGAGTGTACTGGCCTCACAGACAAAAGGTGTCTGTCTGCCTCCTACACAGCATGGGTGGGCCACGCTCCTCAGTGTTCTCTGTGTGCTCTTTTTTGTCTAAATGTCAATCGTGGCCAGGTCTGGTCAGGGCAGTAAGACTGTCTTGTGGTAAGAAATCCCACACTTTCTCAGCAGGTTTCCTCTGATCTCAGCCCTCTGGGCTCCACCTGGATCAGGGCCTAAGGTCCAGGATCTTTCTAGAAGCCCAACATTCCATGCCTCGCTTACTCGGCTTGAGGGCAGCTTCTGGTGAAGAAACCATCTTCACTTGCTTCTCTTTTGTTCTCCTACAAAACCACTTCCTCTCCCCATCCCGTCCACCTGGCAACACCCACCCCAACACTGCCATGCTTCGCTCCTCAATGACAGTTTCAAGGTTCCTATTCCAATCCATATTCAGACTTAGGGGTTCCCTTGGAACACAACACATAGAAGAGAAGAGCAAGATTCTAATCAGCAATCAGTCCCCTCATTCAGCCTTGCCTTCTACTGATTTCTATGTCTTCTCCTCCTGCTGTTCCTCCTGCCCCACACAGTCTTACTGCACCTGTGTACCCTGAGTCAGAACCTCCACAGCTTTTTGGTGGAAAGAGGCAAGCTCAGAGGTTCTCTGTCCTATCTTCCTTCTCTTGAACTTCTGAAAGCCCACCTGTTCTACAGGAGCTCCCAGCTACACAGACCACGCACACTGTGCTGTTTTTCTACAGGATATGTTCTCCTGTTGTTTGTAGAATCTTGTGCCCAATTGTGCTTTCTGACTGCTAGGTTATTTTGTTCTCAAAGCAGGAAGGAAGTGTGATCTGATAAATAGAGCACTTGCCTGGAAATTGGGATACTTGTGTTCTCAATTGGTCTCACTGTGGAAAAAGTACGTTGACTCTCTGGGTAAACTGATATCTCGGCAGGCTTGGGTGAATGAGCAGGAAACGTGGCAGGCATCCAGAAGGCACATCCTCAGTCGCTGGCCCTTCCTGTATTTAGGCACACAATAGTTGCAGTTCCTGGATGGCTCCTAGGATCAGTAGGTTCCCTACTTCATGGTCTTCTTCCTCCTCTCCTTTCCCCAGTCTTGACTATTTGGCTCCTCCAGCACTAGTTGATAAAAGAAACTCAAACCTTAGACACCCAAAAAGTCAATTATTGTCCAAAATCCTTCATAAACAACTATGCTGAGAGTGCCTAAGGGCCAGGCATGCATCATAAGTAGCCTGGGCTTGAAATGAGTGAAGATGTAAACAGAGCATGCTCTCAAGAATTCTGTTAAATGATTTCTCACTCCTAACTCCTACACATAAGGGTCAGGACACTTTCAGTCTTGAGTGACAGAAATTCAACTCAAATTAGCTTAAATCAAGAAAGAAATCCATGAGTTTATTCACTGAAATGCATTTGACCTCGGGCAAGGCTGATGTAAGGTTTCAGACAATGTCATCATACACGTGCCTCTCTCTGCACCTGCTGGACAGGTGCTCTCCAAAAGGTGAGAAGGTGGTTGCCAGCATAGAATTCCAGTGGAATGAAAGTAGTTTCAAATAGTTCCAACAGAAAGGTCCTGGGAAGCCTCTGCTTGGGTCATGTGCCCATTTCTAAACCACTCCTGGGTCACGTGGCTTCCTCTGTGGCAGGGTGGGTCTGGCTCCAGTTGTGGAATACGTTCTCCACCAGACAGAAACATCCAGTTCCTAGAAGAATGGAAATAGATGCTGGACAGGCAAAACACCCAATGTCTCCCACACCACGCTGAGCCAGCAGTGAACCAGAACTGTAGAAACTCTCAGCAAACTGGGATGCCAAATGCATCCAGGGAACAGTCTTCCAAATCTCACAAGTTTCCAATAAAAGACAAAGAAAGAGCGGAGGCTGGATCTCTGGAACATAACAATGTGGCACTCTATTTCTTTCTATTACTGGATAAAGTGTTTCCAGTGTGGTAGAGCTAAGTAGCCACAGACTTTGCTGCAATCATCAAAATGTTTTTATGACTCATGAGATAAATGAGAAAAACACACGGAAGAGTCAAAGTTACACTGAAGTTAGATTGTAATCACACCCTTTACTTCTAACAACCCGCTGCTGACAAAGTTTCCTGCTGAGAGCACATTACTGACTTATTTTCTCCACAGAGGGCATCTATCAATCCTAAAGCAGATTATCGCCTGGACAGATTATGTGAGACCTGCTTTTCACACAGGTTGGTGTCCTGTCAACAATCAATGCAGCTCCTGTCTCTACCACTGAGGCAGTCTGCTGAAGAGAACACTGACCCACTGGCCCAGGAATCCAAATTTGGGGATATTGAGTCTTCTGATGGGCCACAAATCAGCTTAAATGACAACACTTTCTTTAAACACTACACGAAAGGCTCATAAGTGGATGAGGATGCTTTTCTGCACTAAAAGGATCAGTCCTCTCTCTAGTAGCGAGGACACTTTAACACCCTGATAGTCCTTCCAGGAAGTAGAGCTTTCTGAGATAGGCCTCCAAGTCACAGAAGAGGGCCTCAGACAGAGCTTTCCCTGACTTTGTGGTAACTGGGGTTTTCTCACCATCAGGCCTCTGTGCCTCCAATAGGCCCATGTCTCAGTAACAGCAAACCACCAAAATTCATCAAGCACCTGCTATGTGACAAGCATGGGAACACAAAGATTAATAGGGAGAGATATTCCCTGGCAAAATGGCATTTTGAGCTCAAGTTGTGGGCCCCCTCATCTCTACTCCAAACACAGCAATAATATGTAAAACATGTATTTCTGCAATAAAAATAAAATCACACTGAAAAATCAGATAAATACTTCCATGAAAAAGAAAGAGTAATAAATAGTGTCAAAACCATGGGCCTCTTGGTCTCTTGGTCAAGAAGGCATAGATGACCAAAGTCTGATTCTTTTGGGGTAACAGGGAGCAAAACCTTCCAGATATGGCAGAGGACCCAAGTCAGGATCACCACCTGAAGCCAGGCATGGTGCTGAGCTCCCTTGTTTGTAAAAGGAGGTGGAAAAGCTAAAACATTGGCCTTTCTATAGGCCAGTGGATGGGCAGGAAGCAGGCACAGCCCTGGAGCCCCGTCCTGGGGGAAGCCACCCACCAGCTGAGTGGCTACATGTAGGTATCCCCAGTACATGAGGTAAGAGCCCATCCACCAACATTCAACCTGGATCCAGAACAGAGTTCCTGGGAACCAGACAGAGGCAATGTCAAAACCATTAACTGGGGAGGAAAATAACCCAGAGCTATGGGGAGAAGTGAGCTCCTCAGGAAGAGCATACAAACCTAAATTTGAAAGAAAATTTAACAGGAAGAAAGTTAGACAACAAGCTCAAAGACCAGCAACATTTACTCCCTCCAAATAGAAACACCTGAGCAATCTCAAAAGCATTTAAAAGAAGCATGCTTAAAACCCTCAGAGATAAAGGAAGTAATTACATCTATGAGAAACAAACAAACAAAAAAAGCAGATATGAATAAACAATATATGGTTCTGAAAAGCAACCAAATACTAGTCCTGAAAACAGAATATACTGTCATTGAAATTGGAAGCTCACAGACTGCCCAGAAGATAGCACAGAAGATAAAAAGAAGACATGAAAAGGGTCATCAGAAGCCAAGAGGACAGACTGAGGGATTCCAACAGAAGACTCACAGCAGCCCCAAAATGAAAGAATAGAAGAATTGGTGTAGAAAAAAATATATAGAAGGAACTAACAGTTCATAATTTTCCAGTATTGAAAAAAATCATAGATTTATAGTGAACACTGGGCATCAAATATATATATTCCTAACTAGATGCATTGTAATGAAACTGCAGAACATTGCTATAGAGAAAAAAATTTAAAATCTAACAGGGAAAAAGACAATCCACAAAAGAGTAGCAATAAGACCAACAGCAGACTTCTCATCATTAACAACAAATATCAGAAGACAGAAGAGTGATGTGATCAAAGCTTAAGGAAAAATAAGTATTCTTTACCTATTTGAACTATCATTTAAGAAGAAGGTGAGGTAGATATTTTTAGACATATGAAGTCTAAGAACTTTTAACACCTACGGACACTCACTAAATGAAAAATAGTTCCTCAAGAGGAAAAAGGATCACAAAGAAGGAGTACAAATTTATTTTAAATGGTGAGCAAAGAAACTGGTAAATTATATTGATAATTTAACTACTAACTATCAAAAATAACTCTTTTATTTTAAATTCTAGGTGACAAAAATAAGGAAGATAGAGGAATGAGAGTGACTGAATAATTTCAGATGTTATTAGAAAACTCATGTATGGTAAAGATATAACCTACCAAAAAGTTAAATGTATAGTTTCCAAAGCAATGGAGAGAAAAAAGTGTTGGGAAGAAATTAAAATGTATGTATTTTTAAGATGTTAACAATAAGTCCAAATATGGTGATAATCACAATAAATATCAACATATTAAATTCATGTATTAGAAGACAATCTATCAGGTTGAATTTTTTTAAAAGCTCATGTATTTTAGAAAGTGCACGTTGTTGGCAAAGCAGTAGAGGGAGTCGAAGTAGATGTCAGGGTTTCTGCCACAGAGACTTGGCTCTGCCACACATAAGATGAGGAAGACCTTACCTAAGGCAGCTCTGGGATGGGGCTGTAGAGAAGAGAAGGGCCTGAAAGGACATACAGCAGGAAGAACTGATGGACATACCAGCCAACTGGATTGGGCTAAGTTCAAAGAGCCTCCTTACAAAGATAGCACAGTTTTATGCTGGGTAACATCTACAAATGGGTGGTGGTTAAAAGTGAAGATACTGGCCAGGCAAGGGCTCACGCCTGTAATCCCAATACTTTGGGAGGCCGAGGTGGGCAGATCACTTGAGGTCAGGAGTTCGAAATCATCCTGGCCAACATGGTGAAACTCCGTCTCTACTAAAAATACAAAAATTGACTAGGCATGGTGGTGCGTGCCCGTAGTCCCAGTTACTTGGGAGGCTGAGGCAGGAGAATCGCTTGAACCCAGGAGGCAGAGGTTGCAGTAAGCCTCGATCACGCCACTGCACTCCAGCCTGGTGACAGAGCGAGACTCCATCTCAAAAAAAAGTAAAGATACTGATCAAATTGCCTACACAAACGGGAGAAGACTAAGGCCCAAATCCTTGGCAACACCAGCTTTTAAAAGCCATACAGAGGAAGATTCAACCAAGAACCCCCAAAACATATAAGATCAAAAGAGAATTTTGTCATATCAGTCACTGATTTAAGGGGTAGAGGGTCACCAACATCAGTTAATTTTAGAGGTCAAGAACCAAGAAGCACATAGTGAGTTTGACAATATGGAGGTCACTGGGGAGCTTTGGCCTCATTGATTAATGAGTCGTGTGTCAGATTGAATCCCAGAAACCTGATCCCATCTACCCACAGATTTTCTCCAGATGACCTTGGTTATTAATTAGACAATTTAATGCCCATAATTAAACATCATCTTCTTGTAGCCAGGATTCTCCTTGACCACTCTTGAGGCTTCTTCAAAATTCTCATGATAGACATATACACAATGCAATATTATTCAGCCTTTTAAAATAAATAAAATCCTGTCATGTGTAACAACATGGATGGAGCTGGAGGTCATTATGCTAAATGAGACATAGAAAGAGAAATACTGAACAATTTTACTTACATGTGGAATTTAAAATAATCAAATTCATAGTAAGATGGTGGTTGCCAAGGGTTGGCAGAAGGGGGAATGGGGCGATGTTGGTCATGAAGTATAAAAATGGTAACTACAGGCCAGGCACAGTGGCTCACACCTGTAGTCCCAGTACTTTGGGAGGCTGAGGTGGGAGGATTGTTTGAAGCCAGGAGTTTGAGACTAGCCTGGGCAACAGAGCAAGACCCTATCTACACACACACACACACACACACACACACACACACACAAAATTAGCCAGTCAAGGTGGCACACACTTGTAGTCCCAGCTACTCAGGAGGCTGAGGTGGGAAAATTGCTTGAGCCCAGGAGTTTGAGGTTAGAGTGAGCAAGGATTGCACTACTGCATTCCAGCCTGGGCAACACAGAAAAAAAAAAAAAAAAAAAAAAAAGCATAACTTTGTAGAGGCAATATATATGTTAATTATGTGGAAAGCAGTGATTATTTCACAATGTATACACATATCAAAACATCAAGTTGTATGCCTTAAATATATACAGCCTTCATATGTCAATGATATCTTAAAGCTGTTACCAAAAAATCAAGAGTTCCCAATTCCCATAATATCAACTTCAAAGCAGCTGGCTTCAAGAACAGATGTTTGAGCTCTGTTCCCTGACTTCTCTGCCCCTAGTTTCAGGATTTTCTCACTTTTTCTTTTAAGGAAGGGATGCACCTTCTTTTGTTTTGGAGGGGTAGAAGGAATCAGTCATCTTACGTTTATGTTCACAGTAGCCAATATTTACCAAGCACCTTCCATGTGCCAGGCACTGACCTAGGGGTTTTCATATACTGTATTTAATTTTCTCCTTACAAGCTTGTGGTAAGGCAGGAACTGTTGTTCCATTTTACAGAAGAAGGAATCCTCAGACAAAAATTACAAACACTGCTTCTTTTCAGCTAAGAGTGAACAGAAACACTCCAGATGCCATCACTCCAGGGTCCAAGTTCTACTGTAGCCACACTGAACATAAATAACATGCCATGGGTCCAATAACATGAGCTGAATTGTGGAATTATGAATAATTTTTTAAACATTTTGGGTAGAGTGTGTGAATGGAACTGCCTCAAGAAAGTAGACTTGGGGAGGGAGGGAAAGAGTAAGCAAGGAAGGAGGGGAGAAAGGGAGAAAAGGCAAGAAGAGATTGTGGGAGTAGTGGGGAAGACTAGTGGCACCAGGGACTTGGGCCAGAATGCGCAGCCACCACAGGAAATACTCAACCCAAACAGCCTCCCCGCCAGGAAGAGCAGACAGCTTACACCTGGCTTCAATAAAGAGCCCATCCTGCAAACCCTGCCTTGGTCTTGCAATGGTCATGAAATATTGGGTTTTTTAAAACCCAAAAGGCAACTTGCCTGGTGCTCTGCCACTTCAATCTCTGCATTGTTTTTGGAAGCAATGAATTTATTTATGTTCTGCTCATTAAAATGCTGTTTGAAAAAAAAAGACTGCTATTTATGATGCCCAAATTGAAAGATCCTTTTCCAAAGAAGAGAATGCAGGTGGAGAAGCTCATTGATAATTAATTGCTCCTTACTACCAAACACATTAATTTTTCAGTGAACCTTCAGGTTAGACAAACTAAAAAACATGTTCCTTGACACCCCCTTTGCTTTCTGCTGACACAGGCATGTGAGAATAATGCTTTAATGGTCTTTCTACAGTCTCCTTTATAGCACCTGCATCATCAACACCGTTTCAATGTTCTCCATGTCATTGCCTGGACTTGGACAAAAGCTATTGTCAGTCTGGTCGCTTATGGTTTCTTTAAGTTGATGATTAAGCCAGCAAAATTCTGTTTGAAATTGCATCTAATTTAAGGTTTCAAGATCCAACCATGTATTTCCACTTGTCTGTGGTCCCAGTATTCTACTTGTCTTAAAGCCTCCCCAAATCAGTAGTTATGAGCTCCTAACTGCCCCACTCAGCAGCCTAAGGACATTGGTGAAGTAATTTCTCCATGTAAGATCACAATTTCTGAAACCATTTCCTCTCCTCACTCTCCTTGACCTCTCTTCAGCATTTGGCTCTATTAACCACACCCTCCTTGAATATCACTCACTCTCTCTCTCTGAGTGTGTGTGTGTGTGTGTGTGTGTGTGTGTGTGTGTGTGTGTGTGTGTGTGTGTTAAGGGTAAAGATTCTGGCATCAACAAACCTGAATATGAATTGCAGTCTAACACTTTGCAACTGCAAGACATTGAGGAAATTGCTTGAAAACTATTGAGTGTCTGTTCCCACATATGTAAAAAATGAATGATAATCCCTTCTTTGTAAGAGTTGTAGTGAAGACTGAGTTAGCTGCTTATAAAGTGTTTAATAGATACACAGTCTCCATGAGGGGACAATAGACTGATCTGATCCTCTCTGCTTCACATTTTCATCTCTTTTAAATATTAACATTGTCCAAGATTCAGTCTTAACTTGCTGCAGTCTTCAGCCATCAGCCAATATACTTCTCTCTCTACTCTTTGCATATGTCTCTCTGTAACCTTCCCCGCATCCCAGACCTCACTTGGAAGCCAGCAGACTAGCCTAGCAGTCTTAAACTCACCATATAATCCTTGGAGACATGGCTTCATCCCTAGGTCTTTGTTTCCATGTCTATAAAACAAGAAGCTGAGTTGGTGAATGAACAATAGAGCATGATTCCCCATTGCTCCTTCCTACATAAGTGAAGTAATTTTTCTCACCTGTTTCCCAATCTTTCCTTTATCTCTTTGGTAAACTTTGTATGTGTGTCCCTCCAATCTCATGTTGAAATATGATCCCCAATGTTGGAGGTGGGGGCCTAGTAAGAGGTGTTTGGGTTATCAGGGTGGATCCCTCATGGCTTGGTGCTGTCCTCTAGATAGTGAATGAGTTCTCACAAGATCTGTTTGTTTAAAATCTCTCTCTCTTGCACGTGCTCTCACCATGTGATGCCTGCTCCCCCTTTGCCTTCCACCATGATTGTAAGGTTCCCAAGGCCTTCACCTGATGCGGATGCTGGAGCAATGCTGCAGAACCATGAGCTAATTTCTTTATAAAATGAGTGAACTCCCATTCACAATTGCTTCAAAGAGAATAAAATACTTAGGAATCCAACTTACAAGGGATGTGAAGGACCTCTTCAAGGAGAACTACAAACCACTGCTCAAGGAAATAAAAGAGGATACAAACAAATGGAAGAACATTCCATGCTCATGGGTAGGAAGAATCAATATCGTGAAAATGGCCATACTGCCCAAGGTAATTTACAGATTCAATGCCATCTCCATCAAACTACCAATGCCTTTCTTCACAGAATTGGAAAAAACTACTTTAAAGTTCATATGGAACCAAAAAAGAGCCCACATCGCCAAGTCAATCCTAAGCCAAAAGAACAAAGCTGGAGGCATCACACTACCTGACTTCAAACTATACTACAAGGCTACAGTAACCAAAACAGCATGGTACTGGTACCAAAACAGAGATATAGATCAATGGAACAGAACAGAGCCCTCAGAAATAACACCGCATATCTACAACTATCTGATCTTTGACAAACCTGAGAAAAACAAGAAATGGGGAAAGGATTCCCTATTTAATAAATGGTGCTGGGAAAACTGGCTAGCCATATGTAGAAAGCTGAAACTGGATCTCTTCCTTACACCTTGTACAAAAATCAATTCAAGATGGATTAAAGACTTAAACGTTAGACCTAAAACCATAAAAACCCTAGAAGAAAACCTAGGCATTACCATTCAGGACATAGGCGTGGGCAAGGACTTCATGTCTAAAACACCAAAAGCAATGGCAACAAAAGCCAAAATTGACAAATGGGATCTAATTAAACTAAAGAGCTTCTGCACAGCAAAAGAAACTACCATCAGAGTGAACAGGCAACCTACAAAATGGGGGAAAATTTTCACAACCTATTCATCTGACAAAGGGCTAATATCCAGAATCTACAATGAACCCAAACAAATTTACAAGAAAAAAACAAACAACCCCATCAAAAAGCGGGCGAAGGACATGAACAGACACTTCTCAAAAGAAGACATTTATGCAGCCAAAAAACACATGAAAAAATGCTCATCATCACTGGCCATCAGAGAAATGCAAATCAAAACCACAATGAGATACCATCTCACACCAGTTAGAATGGCAATCATTAAAAAGTCAGGAAACAACAGGTGCTGGAGAGGATGTGGAGAAATAGGAACACTTTTACACTGTTGGTGGGACTGTGAACTAGTTCAACCATTGTGGAAGTCAGTGTGGCAATTCCTCAGGGATCTAGAACTAGAAATACCATTTGACCCAGCCATCCCATTACTGGGTATATACCCAAATGACTATAAATCATGCTGCTATAAAGACACATGCACACGTATGTTTATTGAGGCATTATTCACAATAGCAAAGACTTGGAACCAACCCAAATGTCCAACAACGATAGACTGGATTAAGAAAATGTGGCACATATACACCATGGAATACTATGCAGCCATAAAAAATGATGAGTTCATGTCCTTTGTAGGGACATGGATGAAATTGGAAATCATCATTCTCAGTAAACTACCGCAAGAACAAAAAACCAAACACCGCATATTCTCACTCATAGTTGGGAACTGAACAATGAGATCACATGGACACAGGAAGGGGAACATCACACTCTGGGGACTGTTGTAGGGGGGAGGGGGGAGGGATAGCATTGGGAGATATACCTAATGCTAGAGGACGAGTTAGTGGGTGCAGCACACCAGCATGGCACATGTATACGTATGTAACTAACCTGCACAATGTGCACATGTACCCTAAAACTTAAAAGTATAATAAAAAAATAAATAAAATAAATAAATAAATAAAATAAAATAAAATAAAATTACCCAGCCTCAGTTATTTCTTTACAAGTAATGCAAAAACGGCCTAATACATCATACCTTCTTCTTCCCATCTTCCTCTCCCTCATCTCTGAGGCCTGGGATAGAATTTGCATAGTTTACCAGGTTGCAATAGTCGAGGTTGGGATATAATAGTATAAGATTCTGTCTCCTAGCTCTCATCACCCAGCACGGCTGTGGCTTTGGAGATATGGAGTAACTTGGATGCTTCTGATAGGAAACCTTCTTAAGAAATTTAGTTCAGCTTAGTGAAGGGCATAAAATTCATGAAGATACTAAGGTGTTTCCTCCCACCTTAAGCTAAGCTACATATGGTAATAAATCATTTTCATGAGAGAACAGCTTTGTGCAGCCATTCTGGAAAGCAATCTGGCACTACTTAAGCAAACTGACTACTTAGTTACACTGTATGACTCACCAATTCCACTGCAGGTGTGTGAGTCCATGAGGGAAGCTGTATGAGAATGGTCATCGTGGCAGAGACTTGGAGGCAGTCTTGGTGTCCATTGGCTGAGTAGATAGGTGAAAGGGGTTACACGCACCATGAAGACTCTTCAACAAGTAGAAGCTAAGAACCAGATGTACGCACATCATTATGAATAGATCTTTAAAACACAGTACTGAGTTTCTGAAAAGGAAATAAACAGAATACAATATTTAGCACAATATTTACATAATTAACAATACCTGCCCATGTAATTGACCACCATTGGAGAATGCAAGGGAATCAACTTATTAGTTTTTAAAACTGGTAAGTAAAAGGGAAGAATCAAGCATTTATTCTGATCCCTTTCTAAAATATACCATGGATAGTCAAACAATACAAGGAGAAGTTTTTTCTTATAGAAATATTCCAGCTAGTAAACAAAGAAGAAATCCCAGAATTACAATATCATCAGTTTGCAAACTCAACTGTGGCAAATAGACTCTAAGACAGCCTGCAATTATCCCTGATACTTACACCATTGTGCAATCCCCTCCCCTTGAGTGTGGATGGGACCTGTGATTTACTTCCAACCAACACAATATGTAAAAGCTATGGGTGTCACTTCCATGATTATGTTACATACAATTGTAGCCTCTCTCTTGCTAGCAGGCTTTCTCTATGGGTCTCTGTACTGCTGAAGTTGATGAACTAAGCTGCTATATGGGGAGGCTCACAGGGCAAGCAACTAACGGTGGCCTCTGACCAACAGCCAGCAAGGAAATGAGGCCCTTAGTTAGACAACCCCCAAAGAATGAAATCCTGCCAACAGCCACATAAACTTGAAAGGGGATCCTATATTAGTCAAGCCTCAGGTGACACCCCAGCCCTGGTCAACACCTTGTTTGCAGACTTCTGAGACATCTGGAAGCAGAGGAATCAGCTGATTCATGCCTGGATTTTGATCCATAAACACTGAGATAATTAATATGTTTTGCTATAAACCACTAAGTTTGCATCAATAGTGTTACACAGCAATAGATAAGTAATACAAAAATAAATAGTCCTAGGCTTTGATCATCAGTGGCTGCTAATGTCACATAAAAAAGAGACAACCACGTTATGCACATCCTGACGAAAGAACACAAGACAAACCATGAAACAGTCTTGTTAAAAAAATTAAATACAGATGTGATGAGATCCCTAGATTCAGCTACCAACTCAAAGAAACTACAAAAGAACGGAGGAACTCGTTAAACTACACCACAGGGACGCAATCAGCAAAATCTACACTTTGTTAAATTCTACGGGACAAAAGACCTGAGTTTCTCAACAAACAAACTGTAGGGGAAAAAAGAAACAGATTCGGTAAGAAACCTGCTAATTAAAAGAGACTTATAGAAATATAAACCAATCACTATGTTTAATCACTATGTTTGGGCCTTATTTAAATCTGGACTCATATAAACAAACTGTGGAAAAAATAACAGTCATTAGAAGATTGGAAATTTGAGGATTAGCTTTTTGATATTAAGAAAACATTGTTCTTTTAAAGCTATTGATGAGGATTTTGTGGTTGTGTTATCTTGCAGAAAAACACACTCAAATACTTATGGGAGAAATGATCTGATGTGTGGAAGGCAGGCAGTGGATGGGATGTAGATGAAGTAGGACTGGCCATGGCCTGATGGTAGTTAAGGATGAATGATGGGCACACGGGATTTATTATATTCTTCTATGTCTTTTTGGATATGTTCAAAATTCCCCTCCACAATAAAAAGTTTTTAAAATAACATACAAACAAGAAAACAACAAACACTTTGAAAGAACACTCAGAAACAAAAAAGCACAAACATTAGACAAGCTGCATATAAGGGGGGAGAATAACAACAGTGCAGAATGGGGATTAAAAAAATGAATGACTAAGCAAATGAATACACAAACTAAGTGAGGGCGCCAGTGAACTAATGATGACGGTGATTATACACAGAAGAGTATGATTAACTCAACCCGCTACTCACTCAGGTCCAAAAGAAAAAAATTTCTCGGGGCTTTGTTAGAAGCTCCCCAGCCTGCCCCTTGTCTGAAGCCTGATGCTAGGACTGAGTACTTCTCTAAACTTCATCCATTTCCTGGAGGCCACATGCTAATCTAGATGTGCATCACCTGTCCTTCAACGGTCTCCCTTCCTCTCTTAGCTCCGTTCTCTCCCCGCAATACTCCCTGGCCCCCACCCCCCACTGATTTACAATTTTCGTGAAATACAACCTTGTCACTGTTCTGCTCAAGATCCAACAACCGTTTCCCAGTAACCTACAAGATACAACACAGTTAAAATCTGTTTCCCAATATTCAAGACCTTCAACGTCTGGCCTGTCACTCCTTTCCTACTTTCGCCACTTCTCAACATGAACTCATCACCCTACCCAACTCCCAGCACCCCACACTCCTGTTCCCCAGCTCAGCCACAGCCAGCCAACCCAATTACACCCTCCTTAGCACGTGCAGTGGTTCTCCCTTGATTGCTCCTAATCTTGTCTATAACAGGGACACACCCCTCTTAGCTCTGCCCCAAGAGGAGGGGTTGCTAATCTGATTGGGCTGCATCACCAATGCACCAGCGAGTGTGTCCAGGAGTTTGTTCCTTCCAGTGGGTTCGCGGTCTCACTGACTTCAACAATGAAGCCGCGGACCTTTGCAGTGAGTGTTACAGCTCTTAAAAGTGGCAGGGACCCAAAGAGTGAGCAGCAGCAAGATTTATTGTGAAGAGCAAAAGAACAAAGCGTGGAAACGGACCCAAGCAAATTTCTGCTGCTGACTGAGGTGGCCAGCTTTTATTCTCTTATTTGTTCCCGCCCATGTCCTGCTGATTGGTCCATTTTACAGTGTGCTGATTGGTCCATTTTACAGGGTGCTGATTGGTCCATTTTACAAACCTCTAGCTAGCTATAGAGTGCTGAGTGGTGCGTTTTTACAGAGCACTGATTGGTGCATTTTACAAACTTCTAGCTAGCTACAGACCATCCATTGGTGCATTTTTACAGAGCACTGATTGGAGCATTTTACAAACCTCTAGGAAGCTACAGAGTGCTGATTGGTGCATTTTACAATCCTAGCTACAGAGTGCTGAGTGGTGCATTTTACAATCCTCTTGTAAGACAGAAAAGTTCTCCAAGTTCCACTGGACCCAGGAAGTCCTGCTGGCTTCACCTCTCACGAGGGGGCGTGGGCCGCAGCCCCACGCTGGGGTGAGGTTATCTGGCACTGTGGACCTCAGTTGGCTGAGGCCATAAGCAGAATGGAGCTGTTTCCCTAGGGCAGCTGAATCAACTCACTCTCTTTCTAGGGACCTTGTTCATCTCTCATCCCTGAGACAGAATGAGTAAACTGAGGTAGGACTGTCTGGCTCTGAGCTGGCCCAGTCGTCTTGCTCTCTGCCCCCTCCCCTCTGTGCACCCTGCGCTCAAGGGCAGGTGAGTAGGAGGAAGTAGCAGCTTCCCTAAAGCTGTGAGCCAGCTGAGAGCCTCAGCCTCCGCTGAGCAGAGAACCCCCGCCGGTTCTCAGGGCGATTTAAGATGACACGAAGTTTGGTTAAAACCTAAACAGTACTCAAGTGAAAATCGTAAAGAGTGGAAAATGCCCTTAAAAATGTCTTAAACTGTTCCTAGAATACTGCCTGGAATAAAAGGCTATACGTATACAATTCTGTGTCTGTTCTCCCAATTCTTTGTTGGTCATTGTTTCTCTATGACTTTCAATTAATTCTTCAGTTGATTCCTCCACTCTTCCACCAGCCTCGGCCAGGCCTCCTGAACAAAGTGCTTCTCTTCTCTGAGGGAGGCTGGAAAATCATTAAAATCGTTTACAAGAGGGAGGAAGAGAAACCAGGGCTGGCAGTGAGTGGGACAAGGGAACCTCTGGGGTTATGATGAAGTTCTGTTTCTTGACCTTGGCTGTGGTTAATACAGGTGTGCTCACTGTGTCATAATTCATCAAGCTGAACACTGGTGACTGTGCGCTTTTCTGTATGATCATAATACTTCAATTTTTTAAGGTTTATTTTAAACACATAATTCTTCCCCTAAACTTTCTAGCAAGGCTGGACTGTTTGAGGCTTAATGGTCCAGGACCCATGATATCTGCCCTAAGCCCTCTCTGTTTGTTTTCTTTTACCCAGTAGTTGAATTCCAGTAAATTAATTGAGGGTAGGATGAAAGTAAATTATAAAGTAGCTCCATTACTAACTTGCTGTGACTTTTGCAGTTACCATGTTGTACAACAGATCTCTTAAGCATATTCCTTCTTTTAGTTTTAGAAAAATTTAAATATTTTTCTTAGTGTGACAGCTCTTACATAATACTCTAAAATGAATTTCTGTGCTGCTTTTTAACTTTCTACCGTTGGCTACCAAGTTATAACCCGAGAGTACTGTTCTGAGCTACATTGCATCTTCCCCAAATTTATATGTTGAAGTCCTAACCAGCCAGTACCTCAGAATGTGATTGCATTTGGAGATAGGGTATTTAAAAAGGTCATTGCATTAAAACGAGGGCACATAGAGTGGGCCCTAATCCAAAATAACTGGTCTCCTTATAAGAAGAAGAGATAAGGACACAGACAAAGACAGAAGGAAGACCATGTGAAATCACAGAGAGAAGACAGCCACCTACAAGCTAAGGAGGGAGGCCTCAGCAAAAAACAACTCAGCTGACACCTTGATCTTGGACGTACAGCCTCCAGAATTGAAAGAAAATAAATTTCTGTTATTTAAGCCAACTTTATTATGGCAGCCCTAGCAAACCAATATAAGTATCAATCTCCATTGCAAGTGAAGTATTGCTGTAATAAATAACACACAATTTCATTGTGTATGTACCATCTCCAAGTAAACTGGAAACTTTTTGATGTTCGTGAATGTGACTTTTATTCCTTGGACCATCTCATAAAAAAAGCACCATTTATATACATAATAGATGCTCAGTAAATATTTAAAACCCATTTCTTAAACTGCAGGATATATGAAGACCTCTTTGTCTTCCTCTATTTCAGGGTTTCAGCCTTATTGACATTTTGGACTGAATAGTTCTTTGTTGTAGAGGACTGTCCTGCATGTTGTAAGACATTTAGCAGCTTCCTGGGACCTCCCACTAGACACCAGTGGTACAAACCCCCTTCCCATTGTTGTGAAAACCAAAAATGTCTCCAGACATTGTCAAACCTCCCCTGAGATTCAAGCCACTCCTGGTGGAGGACTGATCTATTGTAGCCATTTCTTTTTCTCCTCTTCTTGGATATTCTGTTTCAAGTATTATACAAATCTGGAGATTCCTTAGAGATATGTATTATGAATCCTGAGCATCATCAGGGTAACAAGAAATAAGGCCAAATTTATTGGGGGAGGGTGGCTGGTGCACCTCTGATTATGATTTGGTAGGGCTATTTTGTCAAATCTGGCCTGTAGAAAGAAGTCTCTATAGTAGGACAAGACCAAAGAAAAGACTAAAAATGTCAAGACGGTGGTTTCTGCTGAGTCAGAAGCCCAGGCCTCTCTTCCCAAGATTTCACCTCCTGGACACTGGTCACTAGCTAGGATCAACACAGGCAAGGAGTTATTTCTATCTCCAGTAGGATTGACTATTTTAAATGATTTGCGGATTCAGCCATTTCATAGCAAACAAATCCCACATCACAAAAACCACCAGGGAAATTGCCACTAATGAGTATGCTTGTTAACGACCTTAGTAAAGAAGGCAAGAAGGCAGTGGCTGAAACGGCTGGGCCCCAGAACTGTGGTCTCCCCTCTGAAGCTGGCCTCACACCCTGAGGCTGAGGTTAGTGTGAGAAGACAGTGTGACCTCTCACTTCCTACGCACCTCCCTCCTGGAGAACCATCTCAGGACCTCAGGATTGGCCTCTGGATCTCACCAACTAGTGCCCATGACTTTCATGGGTGTAAAAATAAAATTATGGTGGTAAAGCTCATGGGGTCATCCCATCTACTAAGAATCTGAAAGACTGATGGGTCATGCTTTGTGGCCCAAAACCACAATCTAGTCTGATGGTTCCATTGCCTCTGCCATCTGATATGATATCACACGGAGGGAAGAGGCAGAGCCTAGGAATAAGGCAGCCTGGAGCCAGATTATGGAGGGCTCCATGCCAAAAATACTAAATATAGATTATTTCTGGACTCATAAACTTCCCATGCCAAGAAGTCATTTTCTCTGATGTTTGTGGGGGAAGCATGGACATGGTATTGAAGACACCAGTGATTTAGTTAAATCACAGGAAACTCCTATAATCCCTGTGCTACTAGAATTCCCAGCAATACGTTTATGTAAGTAACTATAACATGAGATAATAAAAAGCTACCTAGAGAGAAGAAGAAGAAGCCCAAAACTCTTCAAGTCTCTTTAGAAGCAAAGGAAGTACTTTTCTGATGCAAAGCTTCGTAGCAGATATAGTAACACTTTCCGTTTCCACTTTCTGAATTACTCATCTCACTATTTACCATCCCAGAGTTACCAAGGGTAACAGTGAGACAAAAATGTACCCCCACTGGGACTAAAAAGGAAGTCTGGGTTGTATTTCACACCTGCTCCCTCTCCTTCAGCTCTGCATTGGGTGACAGATGCAAAACTCCTTCAGATTTGACTAAAGGTAACCCACACTCCTGGAGTTTGAGTGAATACCCACAAGCCACAGGCTAAATATGTCAGAGGGAGTTTTATAGGGGTTCCCACAGCTTCCCCATTTCCTTCCAGCTAAGTAACATGGTGCCCAGGGTTCTTTTGGTGCAGTGCAGCTTGGAGATTTGATATACGCAAAGGGGTGCATCTGTTTCCAGAAGGGCATAGTTAGCTGCCATTGGCCATCATGCTCGACACAAACTACTCCGCGTTCACATCATCACAATTTACATTATCTTCTATATCATTTTCTGTGACACATTAAATTCCCCATGCAAAAGCCATTTTCCTATCTCTTTCCTTTGCTAGAAAAAGAAGTCAATAATGACCACATTGCTTAGTGCTTACAATAGTTTTATTGCTTTTGTACTAGGTTATGATAGACACTGCACAGACATTTTAATTCCATTTAACAAAAATAAAACAGAAATACAACTTTCAAAATGAAATTGAGTACTGGCTAGGCACAGTGACTCACGTGTGTAATCCCAACTCTTTGGGAGGTCAAGAGCAGGGAGTTCAAAACCGGCTTGGGCAACATAGTAAGACCCAATTTCTACAAAAATAGAAAATTAGCTTGGCATGGTGGCATGCTCCTACAGTCCTAGCTACTCAGGAGACTAAGGCAGGAGGATTCATTGAGCACAGATGTTCGAGGCTGCAGTGAGCAAGGATGGGACGTACTGTATTCCAGCCTGGGCAACAGAGCTAGACCCTGTCTCAAGAAAGAAAGACAAAGGGGGTGGGGGGAGGAAGGAAGGAGGGGAAGGAAGGAAAAAAGGAAGGAGGGAAGGAAGGGAGGGAGGGAGGGAACCAAGTACCAGTGCTGAGGACATGTAATATACTAAAAGAGCCTATAATGTGAATTTGAACTTTGTCTGCCACCTTGAAAAAGAGTAATAGAGAAGTCTTTTTTTTTTTTTTAACATATGCTGTGTCTCACAAGCCCTTCATCCAATGGGAAAACAGCAAGTGTGGAAAATTTAGAACACATCTAGTATTAGGGCATAGCCCAAGTTGCTGTAGCAAAGTTACACAAAACACAGTGCCTCAAGCAGAATGGAAAAATATTTCCTTTTAACAGAGGAGCACATAGGTTGTGGGTAAGGCAAGGCCAAGAAGCTGACTCTGCTCCATGAGGTCCTCCAGGGACCCAGGATCATCTTCTGTTTTTAAAAAAAATTAAATCTAATTTCTATAGAGCCAAATACACTTTTCCAAGTGTTTCCACTTGTTGCCCTAGCAACATTCCCTAGAATGTTGCTCTTATCTGCAGCACCTCCTCTTTATTCTGCCCCAAAGGAAGGGTAAAAGAGAGTACAGAGCAATCAGTTTCTTTTTAAAGGGTATTAGCAAGAAGTTGCAACTCACATCCCATTGGCCAGAATTTAATCACATATCTAGCTTAAGTTACCCCAGGAAAAGGAGTTTGTGTGCCCAATTAGAACTTGGAAGATTATAATACAAAAAGGATAAAGGGGGAAATGAATACGATTACTATATGCCACAACATCAAAATCTTTACAAAGCTTGGGGATTGGATTCTTTTCTAATATCTTTCAACAAATGAGAATATAGTACTGGAACGCAATTTGCAAACAACACAGCAAAAGTTTCATGCAATGATAGTCACTTCTGGCATCTTTGTTGTTAATTTTTGTCTATTACTTCGTTCCACTTTTTTGCAAAGATTGGAATCAATTAAAAGCATGAAATTGTCTGTCAAATCTGAGAGACTGATCCCAGATAGTATCTTTGTTATTTCCCTTTAGCACAATCCAAAATTTATTTTCAATGACTCTGGCAATCATAAAATGAAGAAGTCTGTGAAGCAAGAACACTCCAGCCCAAAGCATTTCTGCAGTGTTTGGCAAGGGTCTACAATTCAAGGTTATCTGGTGACCACATCAAATACCTTGTGCTGTTTTTGAACCATATATTTCCTATACTATAAGCTATGACTCTGATCTGATCTTAATTTCCCATGACAACTACAAAAATGCAAGAAGGACATAGTTCTGTAGAATGTCAATATTCCTTTAGGTAATCATTGCTTTTGATGAAATCAAGACTAATTGTTGGCAGAAAAAAAAACTCTGAGTGAAGGAAAATAAAAGATGCTATCAGTGTGTTAATGAAGAGATTTTTATGGTGTGCCTACAAATATATGATGATGTCAGTTCCAAATTATAAAAACAGCAGTTGATACAATGTTTTATCTGTTTAGAAAATGTCAGTGCCTTAGAGCAATAATTGCTATAATCCATTGTCATGATGTATTGTACTGATGGCACAGCAGAAGTAGATATTCTTCCAGCCTCAGTAGTGATAATAATAGTAACAACAACATCAATAATAGTAGTAGTTACATTTTCCTTAATTCTACTCTTTATTGGACACTATGCAAATTACTTTTTATGCAAACTTTCTTATAATTTTCACAATAATATTGCAAGGTAAATAAAATAGGCATCACTCTCAGGAAGCCTCAGTGAACAGGTTGACTAAGCTCATCTGGTAGTTGTGGCAGTGGTGATAATGAAGATACATGAAGTGCATTCTCTGTTCCAGACCATGTACTAAGCACAGTGAAGCTGGGATTCAGAGCCATGGCATCTTTGCCGTGGTGCCTCATAGACACAGGCAGAAGCCAGGTTTGTCACAAGCCACAGGATTCATCCTGCTGTAGGCAGCCACTCAAGTTGCCTCAGAAAGCATAAGTTCTGAGCATGCCAACAAGACTTGAAGTGATGTGACATTCTAAAATTAATCCAATCTATGGGATGGTTAATACCCATTCCATCACATGAAACACCTACTTCATCCTACAATGTATTACATCTGGTCTAAGGGGGATGGATGATGGCCAGACTATATAGCAAAGAAGTGCTGGAATGGAATTTGGGGCTATCAACAGCTGTGCTTTAAGTCAAATTCTCCAAATTTGTCTGAAGCAGATAAATACAATGGTGATCAGAATACCATACTCGACTGCTATAGTTTGAACATGTCCCCTCCAAAATTTAAAATAGTATTAGAAGGTGGGGCCTTTAAGAAGTGATTAGGCCATGAGAGCACCTCTCTCAAGAATGGGATCAGGCACCCTTACAAAACAACTTGACAAAGGGAGTTTGTTCCTCTTTGCCTTCCGCCTTCCTCCATGTGAGGACACAGTGCTCCTCCCTCTGAAGGATGCAGTTTTCAAGGAGCTATCTTGGAAGCAGACAGCAGCCCTCATCAGATGCCCGAACCTGCAGTCAACTTGATCTTGAAACTCTAACCTCCAGAACTGTGAGAAGTAAACTTCTATTCTATATAAATTACCCAGTCTCAGTTATTTTCTTATAGCAGCACAAAATGGACTAGGACACCTCAAGTACTTTGAAGTGGGGGAAAAAAATTAAAGGAAGCATGAACCAAGTGCCACGGGAAGAGATTCCATGTCATTTTATAATTCTTTCCAGTACCTAGCCCAGTGCCTTTCCAATTGTCAGTGCTCAATAAATAATTGTGATTGTATTTTAAGGGGGAAAAACTGAATTAACTATGCAGGTCACTTTATCTGTTTCCTGAATTTTAAATAATTGGGTTTATGACTAGTAAATTGAACAAGGAGATTTTGGTTAGCTGATTACATTGAGGTGATGCTACCTTGCATGATTAAATGGCAGATTTCTACGTTTTGATTTTCTTCCATTAAATAGATAGAAATAAGGACCCTCTTGTTGACAAAGTGGTTTTTTTTTTTTTTTGCAAGCACCTGCATCCACTCATCTAAAATGTAAACTTCCATTTGTAAAACATGTTTTAATAGCTTTTAGAAAGTCATGACAAATGGCTGGAGGAAGGCATAATGAAAGTCAAAAATTGTTATTAACTACTTTGGATATAAGTGAGTTTAAAATAAATTTCCTGAGTTTTATTACTGTCATTATTAGCAGTTGTATTAATATTTACTTGAGTCTTATGTCTTTAATTAAAAAAATTTTAAACCCAGAGAAGTTTTTAGTGTTGCAATGGCTATTAGAATTTTGTCTCCTTTCCACAGAAGCTCACAATGACAAGCTCAACCAAATAATAGAGATTCTGACAGTTTCTAACTCTAAACCTGTATGTCTCAGCATGTGTCTGTCATCATACTTGCCTGGCCACCCACTCGAGGGGACACGGGGTAGGTTCTGTCTGTCTTAGGATTCGTTGTATTTAACCCACTTTACCACAGCCCCTGTAAATTCCCACAAGTTTTTCTAAAAAGAATAATCACCTTAATTTGTAAATTCCTTAAGGGGAAGGATTTTGTATCCTTTTTTCCTTAGTGACTATGAAGTTTCTTCTCTAGGTTTGATGAGTGATCATTAACTTTGATGAAAAGAAACAGGGACCAAAGTGAACCTGTCAGTCATCACATCAGTTGATATGCAAACTGAAGATGATTTAAAGTGATAAATCCTGAGGTAAATAGGTAGCTGCTTCACATTTTAAGTCACACAGTTTCCAAGTCACATCTAGAATTGGCGAGCAACGCCTATATACGCAGGGTCCATTGTTGCCAAAAAAGCCACAACCACAGTGATGAAGCTTATAAACTTGATGAAGATATTCACATCAATTCTGTTTATATTTATTGAGTGAATACTAGGCCCAGCACTATCATGGGCACTGTGAGAAATATTAAAAACTCAGCCAGTCGCAGTGACTCATGCCTGTAATCCCAGCACTTTGGGAGGCCAAGGCTGGCGGATCACTGAGGTCAGGAGTTCAAGACCACCCTGGCCAACATGGTGAAACCCTATGTCTACTAAAAATACAAAAGATTAGCTGTTGTGGTGGTGTGTGCCTGTAGTCCCAGCTACTCAGGAGGCTGAGGCAGAAGAATCGCTTGAACCCAGGAGTTGGAGGTTGCAGTGAGCCAAGATCCCACCACTGCACTCCAGCCTGAGTGACAGAGTGAGACTTCACCTCAAAAAAAAAAAAAATTCAATGAGACTCTATAAAGAAGACATTACTAACAATTCAAGAGAGTTAACCCAAAAGATAATGGTGTCTGTTGACTTGTTTCTTGTGGTTTTCCAACTTTCTAGTCTTAGGACCCTTTTAAACTCTTAAAAGCTACTGAGAACTCCAAAGATCTCTATTTATGTGGTTACATCTATCAATATTTAGCGGTTAGAAATTAAAACTAAAAGATTCTTTAATATGTAGTAACTTATTTTAAAATAAGAATAAGCCAGGGGTGGTGGCTCACACCTGCAATCCCAGCACTTTGGGAAGCCGAGGCAAGTGGATCACTTGAGGTCAGGAGTTCGAGACCAGCATGGTCAACATGGTGAAACGCCATGTGTACTAAAAACACACAAAAAATTAGCCGGGTATGATCTCAGCTACTCAGGAGGCTGAGGCAGGAGGATCACTTGAACCCAGGAGGTGGAGGTTGCAGTGAGCCAAGATGGCACCACTGCACTCCAACCTGGGCAACAGAGCAAGATTACATCTCAAAAAAATAAAACAAAATAAGAATAAACCCATTGCGGCCGGGCGCGGTGGCTCACGCCTGTAATCCCAGCACTTTGGGAGGCCGAGGCGGGCGGATCACGAGGTCAGGAGATCGAGACCATCCTGGCTAACACGGTGAAACCCCGTCTCTACTAAAAATACAAAAAATTAGCCGGGCGTGGTAGCGGGCGCCTGTAGTCCCAGCTACTCGGGAGGCTGAGGCAGGAGAATGGCGTGAACCCGGGAGGCGGAGCTTGCAGTGAGCCGAGATCGCACCACTGCACTCCAGCCTGGGCGACAGAGCGAGACTCCGTCTCAAAAAAAAAAAAAAAAAAAAAAAAAAAAAAAAAAAGAATAAACCCATTGCCTGTTAACATAAATAACATATTCTTATAAAAAAAAGAACTATATCTTTTAAAACAAAAAAAAACAGTGAGACTGATGTGGAAGCTCAATAAATTACTCTCATAGAAGTAGAGGATAGAACAGGGGGATCGAGAGGCTGGGGAGGAAGGAGGGAGAGGAGATGACAGATTGGTTAGTGGATACAGGATCATGGCTGGATAGGAGAAATGAGCTCTAGTGTTCTTTAGCGCTGTAAGGTGACTAGTTAACAATAATTTGTTCTATGTGTTCAAATAGCTAGAATGTTTCAGCACAAAGAAATGATCAATGTTTGAGGTGATGGATATGCTAATTACTTTGATTTGATCATTACACATGGCATAAAGGTATTGAAATATCACACTGTACCCCACAGAGATGTACAATTAGTACATGTCAATTAAAAATTAAAAAGAGATTAACATCAACTAATAATAAAATGGAACAATCATAAACAGAAAAAACAACATATCATAGGGAGAAGGATTGGGAGGAGGGAGGTGCATATGGTCATGAAAGGACAACAGGAGGGACCTTTGTAGAGAAGGAACTTCTCAATATCTTTACTGTGGCAGAAGAAACATGAAACCACACATGCATTAAAATTGCACAGAACTAAATATACACATGCATACAAAAAGATAGAGTCACTCTCTCCCCAGGCTAGAATGCAGTGGTGCAATCATAGCTCACTACAGCCTCGAACTCCTGGGCTCAACTGATCTTCCTGCCACAGCTTCCTGAATAGCTGGAATTACAGGCATGAGCCACAGTGCTCAACACACTGTATTATTTTCTACAATTTTCTGCAAATCTACATGTATCACAAATTTAAAATTTTAATTTAAAAAATCAGTGAGAAAACTGGCATTGTTTTATATTTTTGCAAATTTCCTTAATATCTGGCTTACTAGAGGACAGCTGGACTCTCAAATCCACTTGTGCATTCAATCTGTTACAAGGTATGCTTTTGGTTGAAGTATATGAAGAAAATTCAGCCTCACACAGATATGCAATTGAAAGGAGGGTAAGCAGTATAATAGCCATTTCAGATCATCGGGATATTCTTCTCTGATAGTGCACCAAACCTGAACAAGTGGTAGTTTCTTAAAGATGGGCTGCAACGTGGAATCTAAAACCATTACATTAAAATCCATTAGTCTTCCTTACATTTTGAATTTTGTTTGTGTATTAGCCCATTTTCATGCTGCTGATAAAGACAGACCCGAGACTGGGCAATTTACAAAAGAAAGAGGTTTATTGAACTTACAGTTCCACGTGGCTGAGGAGGCCTCACAATCATGGTGGAAGGTGAAAGGCGTGTTTCACATGGTGGCAGACAAGAGAAGAAAGCTTATGCAGCGAAACTCCCATTTTTAAAGCCATCAGACCTCATGAGACTCATTTACTATCACAAGAACAGTGCATTAAAGACCCGCCCCCACACATAATTCCATCACCTCCCACTGGGTTCCTCCCACGACACATGAGAATTGTGGGAGTTACAATTCAAGATGAGATTTGGGTGAGGTCACAGCCAAACCATGTCACTTTGCAACATCATGCATTGGTCTTTGGGAAAATATCAGCAGATCTTTGAAACAGTGACACTTCTAGTATAAATATCAAAACATTACATCCATTCATATGACCGCTGTTCTCATTAGAAAAGCCTTTAAGTATTGCAAAGCTGCCAAGCTCATGGTGGCATATGCAAGTATCCCAAAATTCTAATTTTCACTTAAGAGCTCAAATTTTATCGTTGGCTATAAATACTGTCATTTGTTTTCCTTGTGATGTCAGACTCAGATTTCTTATTTTTTACAAAATGCCTGCCAAATATACAAGTCTGAATAGCCACAGCCTGTCTATCAGTTGGCCTTTCAAACAAATATGGTGTTCCATGGAAAAGCAGATAGTTGAGCTCACAGCTCAAACAATCATGAAAGTGCCTTTCCTCAGGAGCCTGCATTTATTCATCTAAAATGTAAGTTTCTGCTTGTAAAACATGTTTTAATAGCTGTGAGAAAGTCATGACGGATGAGTTGAAGCAAGACGATACTCACAAATTATATTGCCACTGTCTGGTGGGGAAAAATACAATGAGCATTAGCACAGTTTAGTGCCACTGCCTCAACTGGTCCTAAGGCACCAAAAATTGCATCCAATATCGGCAGTCCAACTCCTTGCACACCTGCTCTCTCACAGCTTCTTTCTCAGTCTAGGCCAGCATCACCATGGTAGATGCCTTCCTGTGCACCTGGAAGCTCTCAGACAGCAAGAATTTTGATGACTACATGAAGTTAATCGGTGCAAGTTTTGCTATCAGGCAGGTGGCTAGCATGACAAAGCCTACCACAATCATCAAAAAGAATGGGGACATTATCACCTTAAAAACACAGAGCATGTTCAAGAACACAGAGATCAGCTTTAAGCTGGGGATGGGGTTCGATGAGACAACAGCAGATGACAAAAAGGTCAAGTCCATTGTGACACTGGATGGAAGCAAACTTTTTCACCTGCAGAAGTGTAACGGGCAAGAGAGGACACTTGTGCCAGAGCTAAGTGATGGGAAACTCATCCTGACACTCACCCAGGGCACTGCGGTTTACACTCGCACTTATGAGAAAGAGGTATCGTCTGCCTGCGCTGTCACTGACTGTTCCTCTGTTACCCTTTGACTCAGCACCACATTGCCTCATTTATTTCCCCTGCATTTTGTATAAATCCACCTTGTTGAAGAATTCTTCTGAGGTCATGTGCCTCAGAAGACTTCAGATCCAGTTCTAGTTCCTGTTGTGTATGTGGTTTGCTTTTTAATGGCATTCAAAGTGTGCTCTGAGGTCAACAAAGCAGATCCAAGGCCAAAAAAAGAAAAATTGTCCAATATCAGTGCAAAGTCAACCTCGTGAAATGGGCAAATTGTGTCTTTGAATTATTATGAAAACAGCAAAAACTCTTTTCAGGTATAACTGAAAAGGTTTCAGGACCTCACTTTGAAAACTGCCGAGGCAGAAGAACCTACCATGCTAATTTAAGGATTTAATTTAATCATATTTAAGGATTTAGGGTTCTTAGTGTCCCTTGACTTCATTAGCAGCACCAGTGACTATTAACTCAAGTATAGAATAATGTATTTAACATCATCTGATTATAGATTAATGCTTCTGTACCATTAAAATCACAGTAGTTTGCAATTGGCCACTGCAGATATTGTTAGGTACCAGAATAAAATAAAAACCCCATTACCAATTCTCTTTTATTCTTAAAGGCAAAGCATTTTCTGGCCTTCTTCTTCTAAATTACCCCTGATGGATGGCTAGCAGGACAAGTTAGCTTTTCAGATTTCAGCAAGCTCTGCAGTGGTGATCAAAAAAAGAGAAGAGGCTTAAATGTCCCCAACCCCACTTAATAAGGTCAGAAAGACCGGAGCCCCAGCAATCAGGATTCTTTTAAAGCCTTTTATCAAGTATGCTTCTGTGCTTGCCTTAGACTAATTTAAAAGCAAGAGTGTCAGAAAGTGAATCAGCAATTTACAGAAAAAAATGCCAGAAAGCGATTCTAACTTGGTTTTTAGCCCTATAGCCTTTTTCCTTATATTGCAAATATACCCAGTACAATAAGGGCTCTTAGGCATAGTGTATGGCGAAAAAAAGTGCATTCTACTGCTAAATGTTTTATTGCATAGGAACAAAAGAGCTTGAGTATTTTCATTATAAAAACAAACATCTGACAAAAAAATATATATATAGGCTAAGAGGTTGATACGGTAGGTTGTGAAAGGGGCCAAGATCTCTTCAGGGTAAAGGAGTTCATTCAGCTTGGTGCTTATTCATCCCAGTCTGCATCTTCCTGCACCTTGTTAAATCTATAGAAAAGCAACATTGCATCATAAAAGAGTGAGCTCCTTTAAAAAAAATGCACTTCCTTTTTTAAAACAGTTTATGATTTAAGCAGATAGCTTAGAGAGTTTCCACATACCCCCCCCCCACACCCATGCAGTTTCTCCTCCTATTATTACATCTTGCACTAATGCGGTACAGTTGTTACAATCAATGATTCAATATTGATGTATTATATTAACTAAAGTTCACGGTTTACATTAAGATTTACTCCTTATGTCATACAGTTCCATGGGTTTTGATAAATGCAGAATGTCATGTATCTACTCCTATAATATTGTATAAAACAGTTTCACCACTCTCAAATCCCCTGTGTTTCACCTGTATTCATCCTTCTTCTCCCCACCCTCCCAACCCCTGGCAAACACTAACCTTTTTACTGTCTCTTTAGTGTCTTGATGTGATGGATTACATTAACTATATTTCAAATGTTAAACCAACCTCACATGCCTGGAATAAATTCCACTTGGTTGTGGCATATTCTAATTTTTATATATTGTTGGATTCAATTTGCTAATATCTTTTGAGGATTTTTTTTATCTATTATCTATTTTCATGAGAGATATTGATCTATAGTTTCCTTTCTCATTGTGTCTTTATCTGGTTTTGGTATTAGGGTGATTCTGCACTCAAGAATAAGCCAGAAAGTGCTCCATTTGCTTCTATTATCTACAAGAGATTATAGAAAATTGCTATTATTTCTTTGGTAAATGTTTGGTAGATGTACCAGGAAAACCATCCAGGGCTGGTGTTTTTTTTTTTTTTTTTTTTCGGAAGGTTATTAGTTATTGACTTAATTTCTGTAATAGATATATGCCTATTCACAATATCTATTTCCCTTTGTGTGAGTTTCCCATATATTCCATATATTTCCCCTTGTACTGTGTGTCTTTCAAGAAATTGGTCCATTATATTTAAGTGTCAAATTTGGGGGGGTGGGGCATAGAATTATCTATAATATTCCTTTGTCACCATTTGAATGTCCATGGGATAAGTAGTAATGACACTTTTTTCATTTTTGATATAAGGAATTTGTATCTCCTCTCTTTTTCTTCATTTGTCTGGCTAGCAATTTGATCAACTTTATTGACTTTTTCAAGAAACCGCACAATTTCCCTGTGACAAATGTACCAAACCAATAAAAGATGTTGATCATAGTGCAAACTAGGTAAGGATATATGGGAAACTCTGTACTAACAAGTTTTCTGTAAATCTAAAACTATTCTGAAGTAAAAGGATTGTTTAAATAAATAAAAATAGATACAAGCAAAATTCATATATTTGATGTACACAGTTCATAAGACACATGTAAAACATATCGACATTGACAAGAAAGTTTGAAATTGAGGTATACTTATACTTCAGGAAAAGGCATGGGTAGAAATACAAATATCAGTAGCATAAACAAGATATTGATACCACATACATCAAACCAAATAATATACCTTATTTTCACAGTCCAGTGAGATACTTATTAATTTTCTGACCACAATACAATAAAACTAGAAACTGACAACAAAATAAAATTTAAAAAGTATCTTCCTGGAAATAAAAATTTGATCTATAAATAATTCTTTCATCAAAAGGAAAGTAAAACTTGAATTATACATTCTTTAAGAATTAATGGCAGTAGGAATACTCCATAGAAAACTCAAAAAATATAGCCAATGTCACTTTCAATAGAAAATCCATTACTTTTAACATTGTTATCACATAAGAAAAATTTCAATTAAATCAAAAAAGCATTCAACTTAAGAAGCTAAAAAAACAAAATTAAAAAGGAGTAAATAATAATCAGAAATAAATTATTTAGAAAAAAATAAAAGCATCAGAATGAATAAGATGTACCATTGAATAGATGTTAAAATAAACTAACCTGTGAGAATAGAAAGCACAACTGCATAATATTGGGAATTTTTTAGAGAGTTTATAACCCTACATAGAGATCAGATTTTTTCATAAAGGAATACTGTGTAAAAAACTTATGACTATAATAATTGTAGGAAATTAAAATTAACAGAATTTGCTCAAGAAGAGATAGAAAAACTATTTTTTTAATTGAAAACACAGGTAAAGATTTACACCCTGAAAGTGGATAAGGCCTGATTAATTTTATAGAAAAGTTACAACAAACATTCAAGACATAGATAATCTCTGTGATATTTATGGGTTTTAGACAAAGAAAAAATCTGAAACTTTCCCATTTTTTTAAGACTTACATAGCTCTGATCCCAAAACTCGATCATGACAACAAACAGAAATAACTGCCTTATAGTTTTGTTCCTGAATATTTATCCAAGAGAAAAATTTAATATTGGCAAATATTTTAGTAGCCAAAAATAAAAAAGCAAATATTCATGTATTATTCATACAATAAAGAGATAATGCATATAATTAAGAGTTTTATTTTAAGAATGCCAAGATTGTTCAAACTGAGAAAATCATTTATAAAAGTTACCATGTAAATTGGTCAAGAGAAAAAAAAATTAGCATCTCTGTAAATTCCAAAAATGCTTTTGATAAATATTCCTACTGATCAAAATATTCAGTAAAATAGGAATGGATGGATACCTCCTTATCATGATACTTATTTCTCTCTCTCTCTCTCTCTCTCTCTCTGTGTGTGTGTGTGTGTGTGTGTGTGTGTGTGTCTGTGTGTGCATCTATGTGCCTGTAATCAAGAGTCAAACATGCTTCAAATTAATCAAGAACCAGAAAGTTTTCCTCAATCACCATTTACATTTAACATTGAACAATCTAATCAATGCAATTGCACAGAAAGCCACAATGAGTCTATATTGGAAAGAAAGCAGGAGAATTATATTTACAGCTGAAATAATCAGAGCTTAGTAAAGTGGAAGCTTACTAAACCGATATGTGGAAAATCAATTGCTTTCCTATAGACAAATAACAGTTAAAAATTTTAGTACAAGCTGCACATGCCTGTGTCCAATAGCAACAAAATCATGAAATAGCTATTTGGGAAGAGCCAGTTAGCTCCTAGATGCCTTCAGCTGCCCTCCCTCAGGGAGTCAGCAACTCTGGCTCAGCAGAAAGCTCTAAGCCCCTACAGGCAACTTCCCAAGTAATTAGTGGGTGGGCACCAATCACTTCTCACACTAGCAAAGCTGTGATTTCACTTGCAAAACCTAGGTCCTGCTAACTTGATTTCGACTCTGCCCCTTCCAACTCCTCTACAAGCACAGAAGGCAGTAGAAATACCAGGGTTCCTCTCCTGGAGTTAAAACCCCAGTGCATCCTGTTCTTGAGTGAATGATGCCATGCCTCCCGCTGGCCCTGAGTCTGAAGCCTTCCTCACAGATCTGCATCAGCCTGTCCTGTGTGTCATTTTCTCCACCCTTTGTGAACCAGTTAGAATTTGATCAGGGAAGCAGAACTACTGCAAATATTAAGGAATAAGACATTTATTATCTGAATTGCGCCTTAGAAAATTGTGAGAGAAACTAGGAAAGTGGAGCTCTGAAAGGGATCAGAGAAAAGTCACTCCCTATCCCTGAGGTGGGTACATGAGTCAGAGCTTGCAGGATGTGAGGCACACGCAGCTGCTGCAGAGGAACCCAAAGGGGGACTGGTGCGGAAGTCCATGGAAGGCTGGTGCCTCCTCATGGTTGTCACTGTGTGAGCTTCAGGGAAATATCTGTGGGTGCACCTGGAGTCACTGCCAATGGGGTGAACTGGAGGCACCTGGAGTCACTGCTTGTCAGTGGGGTCAGCAGAGGACAGAGAAGGAAGATATGGCATTGGGAGAAACAAGGACAAACTGAAACCCATCAGGACCTCTGCATCTGTCCTTCACCACCTCTGACTGACAACTATTGATTCATTTCTGACTCCAAAGTCCATGCAAGTTTCTCTTGTAGCCAACCCTAACCTGGGTCAACAGGGGAAAAAACTCTGGAAAAAGTGGTTCCTGAGTAGCTGTCATGACATGGTACAAAACATTACACTTTGCTGAATAACTAAAAATAAACTTCATGAGCAATGCATGGGACTCTATGGAAAAAACATATAAAACATAAAACAGTACTGATAGACATAAAAACAATATGAATAAACAAGAAAGGTATTGATCGATAAAAAAATTAATATTATGGAGATCTCCGCTCTCCTAATTAATCTGTAAATTTGGTATGATCCAAAAGTCAATCAGAAATGCTTCTGAAAGATTGCTGGCAGAAAAACATGAAAAAATATCCATCTTAGAAACAAGAAAAATTGGAGGTGGGGTCAGCAATAGGGAACTTGCCCGTCATATATTTAAAATACATAACAATAATAATTTTATAAATGAGTCACTAGTGCAGGAATAGGTCAAATGATAAACTGAATAGAAACAATAAACAATCTCATAATAGGTTCAAACATGTAGAAAATAAAGATCAATTTTAATATCAATGGGGAAAATATGATACATTTAATGAAAGATGTTGTTGGAAAATTAGGTAGATATTTGGAGGGGGGCGAGAAATACAAAAAGATCCATACCCCTTTCTCTGTATTAAAATAAATTCCAGATATCTCAAAGATTTGAAGACTTGAAAAATAAAATTAAGTAAGTACCATAAAATGATATGGTAGAATATTTCCATAGCTGAGGGAATAAAAGTAAGCATCTCTTTCTCTATCTCTCTCTCTCTTTCTCTCCCTCCCTCTCTCTCTCTCTCTCTCTCACACACACACACACACACCACCACCACCACCAAACCAGAAATTAAGACTGAAAAATTTAAGTTTAAATCATCACCACATCATTAGAAAGAATTGAAAAAAAATTAACCTAGAGGAAAATATTTGCAGTATATACAAAAGACAAGGAATTTATAACCCCTATTAGGGTGTGAGGCACAGGCATTCATGTTATCACTTGTGGAAGTATAATTTATATAATATGTATCAAAGCATAAATTTATATAATATGTATCAAAATGTTAAATGACCCAATAAACTAACTTTTTAGAAACTTACCTAAAGTGATTATCACCCAAATGGAAAAGAATATGCCCAAGGATATTCATTACAGCATTGCTTCCCATAGCCAATCAAAGGAGACTCTTTAAATAATAACGGGGCCATTAACGATAATGACGAAAACCTTTATCATTTGACCATAGAAATCTGTTAAGATATATGGTTGAGAAAAATGCAAGTTGCATAATACCATTTATGTAAAATTATATGCACATATTTTAAATAAATAAATGCACAGAAAGATGTCTGGAAGGACGTTTATCAATTTGTTAAGAGTCATTACTCCTAAAGGTTTGGATATCAAGTTCCCCTCTATCCTGAATTAAATTTTTACCTTAAGCATGTATAACGTAAAAATATTTAAGCTTGGAACTTTTTTTTAAAAAAGGCATTTCTTTAACCTCCACAATCGTCCATCTCCAGGACTGCCTCCTCAGTCTCTTGGAGACCCCTCTTGCCAACACACTCAAACTTGTTTCCCTCTAGAGGCACAGGATACTTCTCCCTTCAACTCCTTCTTGGATGAGGCCTTTGTTAGGATCACTTATGAAAGTGTGATTCTGGCCGGGCGCAGTGACTCACGTCTGTAATCCCAGCACTTTGGGAGGCCGAGGCGGACAGATCATGAGGTCAGAAGTTCGAGACCAGCCTAGCCAACATAGTGAAACCCCGTCTCTACTAAAAATACAAAAATTAGCTGGGTGTGGTGGCATGTGCCTGTAGTCCTAGCTACTCAGGAGGCTGAAGCAGGAGAATTGCTTGAACCCGGGAGGTAGAGGTTGCATTGAGCCGAAACCACACAATTTGGACTCCAGCCTGGGTGACAGAGTAAGACTCTGTCTCAAAAAAAAAAAAAAAAAAAAAAAAAGGATTCTACTCCTAACATATGTTAATTGGAGACAAAATTTAAGTACAGAAAATCACCAGAAATACTAATAAGAATTGCCTGAATTCAGTGGCTTAACTCCTTATTGCCATGTTTCCACTTCCCATTCCGCATCATTTCTTGCCATGTTTTTTTTTAATATTATGTAATTTGAGGAATATATCCAGGAAGTCATGGCGTGCAGTTCAGCAGCCCCTTTCTGGAAAGCTCTGGCTTTTGTTTATGCAGCAGGAGCCTCTGAACAGCTGCCTTGTCAGGCCAGTGGATGGAAAATCTACAGAAATAAATTAGTTGTTACATACTCTAACTTCCTTTTTCAGCGCTCTATCTCGGGTCTAGATCTCATCTTTTATGTAGGAGGTGATGCCTACAGTCAAAGTGCTTAATTAAGGGCACACTCGTTCTACTCGTACAATAGCCATCTTCTATTTGGAGGCTGCAACAACCGACCACTTATAGGTTTCTTTCCATTCCTGTAACCACTTGCATTAAGAAGGATGAGATGGAACTGAGGGAGAAGTATTAATCAGGATTAGCTACTTCCCCAGAAATTAAATAATAATTCCTTAGATAATCTAAATGTCCGAGGCAAGGATAATTTGCTATCCTTGAAAGGAAGAAAGAAAGGTAAGGGAAAAGGTGAAATAGCAGTAGGGAGCAAAATATTTGGAGTGTTTGCTGTGTGCTAGATGTTTTACTGGTGCATTCAGCCACTCAGAAATACATATACATTTGGGAGGCTGAGATGGACGGATCACTTAAGGTTAGGAGTTCGAGACCAGCCTGGCCAACATGGTGAAACCCTGTCCCTACTAAAAATACAAAAATTAGCTGGCATGGTGGCTTGCATCTGTAGTCTCAGCTACTCAGGAGGCTGAGGTAGGAGAATCGCTTGAACCCGGGAAGCAGAGGTTGCAGTGAGCTGAGATCATGCCACTGCACTCCACCCTGGGTGACAGAGCAAGACTCCATCTCAAAAAAAAAAAAAAAAAGAAAAAAAATACATATACAACCCTCTTGTGCTACCAATTTTGTTACCCTTGTTTCAAAGAGGAGAAATATGAGGCTTCCAGAGTTAAACAAACAAAAAAACACAGGCTAAGGTCACGCAGCTAGGGATGGCCTAGAAGTTTCCCAAAAACTGGAGAAAATCAAAATGCACACCTATCCCCAGTCATTTCATGAAATTTAATACTAATGAAATCAACTGACTTGTACAGATAAATTTGAGTGAAAGGGCCATTGAGAGAAACTATCTAGTTCTTTGATTTTTGATGGCGCTGGACCACAGCTCTGCAGTGCAGTTGAATTCAATTCAACATATCACTTATTGCCTGCTTCTATGTATGAGGCAATGTGCTTTATAATCTTGGAAAGAATAAAACTGAACACAGTTCATTAAAATATACATCAACATATTATGATGAACTAAATTACCACAACTGAGGGCACCTGGAAATACTATTTCTGAAGTCTACTGTTTGTGAAGAATTTAAGCCTACTTATCAGGCTAGAGAAAAAAAAAAAAGTCCTCTTGGCTTATCTCACTCTGAAGAGAGTACCAGCCTTCCATGGTTTTGTGCTTGCATTCCCACACTCATGTGCTAATCTATGTATGTTTTCCTGCTTCACTGACTTACACATTCTACTAAACGGCTCTGTTTCCCTCTTCTCACTTGATAGATTTGCGCTCTGGTCAACACTAACCAACCCAAGGCAGCTAGGACAGGAGCGATGTCATTGATCATAACCAGAGGAGGAGCAGGCCTGACAGAAGGGAATGTATTGGATTGTATAATAATCACAGCTCATTACAACGGCGGCAGCAGGCTGTAGTGGGCCCAGCACCGACACGGGTCCTGATTTTGGCACAAGTGGTCACGTGACTTTAGAGAAACCACTGCAATTTTCCTTCATTTATAAATAAGGAAAAACAGAGATCTGAAGAGTCAAGATGTCTAAGACTGCATTCAGCACTAACATGAAAGCTGATAAAATCATGTAATTTTTTAAAACCACTACTTAACATGAATATATATTATATTTATTCAGTGTTTCATTTACCAAGCAATATATTTGGAAAAATACAAAAGCTTTTCCAACAAATCTTCCAGAGGCTGCCCAGCTTCTTCTCCATATTTCTGCATCTTATCTAGCTGGAGCTATTTTCACTCCGTATCAGTCTGCTGGTGCTCATCTTTGGACAAAAATCAGATGGGCTACTGACTTTTATTGCGCTAAGAACTTCTGATAAAGCAGGAAGTTACCCCCATCTTATCTTCCAATTTTCTTCCCACATTAATTATAATTTTTAATTCAGCTCCTCAACCTTTTACTAAATGCCAGCCCATGAGCCAGGCAAGGTGCTAGGCCTTAGAATTCAAAGAATTGACAACCCAGTTTCTGCTCTGAACACTTTTGGTAACAGCAAATAATAGTTCATATGTATTGAATAGTTACCAGGCATTGTTCTAAGGGATTTACATGTATTACTAACTTAATCCTCACCACATTTAAGACATTAGTGTTATTATTCTCGTTTTATAGATAATGTGAAAAAAACTAGAGATGACTCAGCAGCCAGGTAGCAGAGCCAGAATTCAAATTCAAGCAGTCTTGCTCCAGAATCCTTGCTCTTCACCACTGTTGAAAGAAACCAACACATAGAAAAGCAATTCCATGTCAGAGGACTTTCTACTCCACAAACTCCTGAACTTAATCCCTAGCAATAAGGTCCGGGGATCATTAAATGTTAAAAGCTGCACACAGACGATGTTGATGCTTAGGTCTAGTTGAAAAGCACCATCATACAGAGACTACAACAGATGTGAGATTCGAGGCGGCACCCAGAATGGTTCAGTAAGGAGAGGTGGGAAAGGCTTGCCAGAGGAATGAACATAAGCTGACTGCTGGTGAGTGAATAGGAATCTGCTGGGAGAACCAGAAGAAGAAACACAAAGTGAGGCAGGTGTATAAAGGGACGGAGGCATACGATGTTAAAAGATTTCACGGGAGCTGAGTGAGGGCAGAAAGGTGATAGGATCCAGATCACAGGAGGCTTGGAGAGCCCTGGTAAAAGAGTTGACTTTATCCTATTAGCAAAGAGGATTTTAAGCAAGAACCAGTTAGGATCTGATTTGTATTTTTAGAAAAATAATTTCATTATTTACCCATAAGTCATTCAGAAGCATGTTGTTTAATTCCCATGTAATTGCATGGTTTTGAGTGATTTTCTTATTCTTGACTCCTATTTTTATTGTGCTGTGGTCTCAGAGTGTGTTTGGTATAATTTCAGTTCTATTGCATTTGCTGAGAATTGTTTTATGTACGATTATCCGCATAGTTATTCAACATCCAAAGGCTGCTCAAGCATGATCATCTGATGGCTTCAGAGTTCCCAGCAGTACTAGCAGAAGCCATGTGGCATCTTGAGACTTAGTATCAGAACTTCCACAAAGAAACCTGATCAAAGACAGTCACAAGGTGAAATATAAAAAATTGGAAAGTAGACCCCACCTCTTCATAAGACGAATTGCAAAGTGCCGTGGCCATGTAGGAGATCTATCTTGGGAGAGGATAGGAGGAATAACTGAGTTTCAGTATTCCATGCTACACTCAGATTGTCCTTTCAATCTTTTCTATATCCTTTTATCCCCAGTCCCCACTTCTATTTCTATCACCCTATGCCTAGGCAACCACTCTGACTTGTTCATCATGCCTCTTTTTGTTTGTATAAGTTCCTGCAAAAGGTATATTGGTGTTTTGTGTGCATGTGCTTTTGACTTATGTAAAATGTATTTTGTGAATATCTCACCTATTTCTTACTTTATCCAGGTTTATACCTTTAAAATCTCTTCTTAATGCTATGATCCATTTAATGTTATTCTTGCATTTATCAACATACTCCTATGAGATCATGATGGGTTTATAAAAACATTGTTGGATTTAGTTAGCTAATGTTTTATTTAAGGATTATGCATCTACATCCAACAGTGAAATAGGCCTATATTATTTTATAGTTGTAAAACATAGTCTATACTATGTTCTACATACTCATCCTTTGGTCTTTATGGTGACTTCCTTTATGGCTTAATAAATAGTCTATTTTCATTGTCTTTGATGTTCCCATATTTCACTGTAATCTATCTAGGTGTGGGGTTCTCATTATCTTGCTAGGGGTCTTTTAATATGTTTTTGCATCTGTAATTGCATCTGTTAATCTCCATTATTTAATCTCCATTATTTCTCCAAATATTTCTTCTTTTCTTTTTTTTGTATTTTTCTTTCTGGGACTCCTATTAGATGAATAATAGATATTTCCACTAATTCTATCTGTGTCCTTAGCTTTGGCTTTTCTTCTCAATTTCCTATCTCTTGACCCTTTCCTGCAAACTTCTAGGAGAGTCCCTCAATCTGATATTCTTTCCTTTTCTTTCTTTGTTTTTCTTCTTTTTTTTTTTTTTTTTTTTTTTTTTTGAGACAGAGTTTTACTCGGTCACTTAGGTTGGAGAGCACTAGTATGAACATGACTCACTGCAGGCTCACCCTCCTGGGCTCAAGCGATCCTCCCAACTCAGCCTCTCCAGTTGCTGAGACCACAAGCTCACACCCGCACACCTAATTTTTTAACATTTTTGTAGAGACAAGTTCTCACTATGTTGCCCAGGATGGTCTCTAACTCCTGAGCTCAAGCGATCCTGCCACCTTGGCCTCCCAAAATGTTAGGATTACAGGCATAAGCCACCATGCCTGGCCTCAATCTGATATTCTAACTCACAAGCTTACTTTCAGCTGTATTCTTCTGAGTATTAATCACTTCACCACACTATTTATTTCTAAATTTCTCATACATATTTCCATTTTGTTCCTTTTTGCTTCTCAACTTGTTTCATATCACTAATATTGTCCCTTATCCCTCTGGGTATATTAATCATGCTCTAATGTTCAGTGACTGTTTTGAATGCTAAAGCTGTCCAATTTATTGTTTTTAAGGTAGTTATTATCTGGAAGCTCATTTTCCCTAGGAGTATTAGTTCCTGTTTTCTGGAAATGTGTTTTGGGGAAGAACCAAAAGCTAGACCCTGGTCTGTGTCACTGCAGGTGATTTTAAGGAAGAGGGGGATGAGCCCCAAGGTGGGGAGCCCCAGGCACCATGAAGCATTGTTGGCTACTCCCAGCAGCTGCATCCTCACCAAGGAACTACTCCAGCCAGAGTGGTTCATTTAAGTCCTAGAGAGGCACAAAGCTGGAAGGCCACAGTACCCCTCGTCCTAAGAGCCAGAAGAAGGCTGCAAGTCAGCAGATCCATCTGTACCTGTTTCCTCCATTCCTCAGTTCAGCATGACTTTTGTACCATTCTGAAGTTGCCCCAGAGCACTGGTACCAGGTGTGCCACTGTACAGCATCCTATTGCTGCTGTAACAAATTAACCACAAACTTTGTGGCTTAAAACATTTATTCTCTTACGGGTCTGGAGGTCAGAAATCCAAAATCAGTCTCACTGGGCTCAAGCCAAGGTGTTGGCAGGGCCAGTTCCTTCTGGAGGCTCCAGAGGAGAATCCATTTGCTTGCCTTTTTCGGCTACTAGTGGCCACATATATTCTTTGGCTTGTGGCCTCTTCCTCCATATTCATCACTCCCACCTAGGCAGCTGTGGCCACATCACCTTCTCCTCTGACTCACTCTTCTTATAAGAACTGCTATGATTACCTCAGGCCCACTCAGATCATCCAAGATAATCTCCCCATCTCAAGATCCTTAGAAAGATGACGTTTTCAGGAAGTGAACATATCTGGGAGCCATTATTCAGCCTATCACAGCCACCCAGGCTCATGTAGGCTGAGGAAACTTCGAGTATACAGACATGTCAGATGCACCTACTATGTGCAGAGTATTGGGCTGCGGGAGAGGAGTGGATGTTAGGAAGTACAAACGCAGCCTGTGAATATAAATGAGACTGTAGCTTCACCTATAAAGAGATGTATAGTACAGAAGCTGTACAAACGACAGACATGGAGATGAAGAGGATGTGGGGTGGATATAAAATTAACCAGATTCACAGTTGTCATGTTCCAACTCTACCCTGCAGCATGGCTGTGCCGAGAGGACCTTCCATTGCTGGAGCATAGGCGCTCTCTTGGGCTTGATATGGGGGTGTTCCTCTTGAACCATCAGTCTCCCTTCTTAGGCAGGTTCTGTGCTAGGCACTTGGGACTCAGAACTGGGGGAGGTGGTGTAAAGATGGATAAATCCCAGCCTATCCTTAGAGAGTTCAGCCTAGTGGGAGAGTCAGACACACAATGAATGGTGCAGGATGACACCATGTGCTACAGCGGGGTACTCACCAAGACCAAGACACCTGACCCCCCACCAGGCCAATACCAGTGAGAGCTTCACCAGTCCCCAGGTGAGGACGGAGACAAGGGCAGCCCTAGCTCAGAGGACCACAACTGCAGAAGGGCTTGAAGGAGCATGAGACATCCTGGAAGCAGCCGGCACTTGGCAGCTTTAATGCCTCTCTCCTCCTGAGCTCTTAGGAACAGATGCCATCAAAGACCTCCCCTTCCCTCCCCCTCAAACCTTCCTTCTTTCTCTCCTTTCTTCTTTCCCATTTCCCCAGTGGAGGGATGAGGAAGGAGACCTCACAGGCCATTACAGTACCATGTTCCCCGCCTCAACTTAAGTCTTTACCTGGCCACAAACTGAATGACAAGGGCTTGGTGAGAGAGAGGGGAAAATCAGCTGCAGTGATGGCAGCCCTCCAGAGGCCTCCTGATCACTGTTTCATCTCCGGAAACTTTTATCTCACACTCTTACAGCACCTGCCTTCAAAGGCCTAAAAGCCTCACAGATACTCTCCCACCCCTTGAACGTAGGCAGGGCTCAGCTCTCAGATCTTCACTTCACAGATAAGAAAGGGAAGCCAGCAGGATCTCAGCACTCCTGTGCAGGTCTCTCGGAGAGCTGCAGAGTGCTCAGGCTCAGAAACACCCCTGACTCTGGACACTGGATCCTTGGGGAAGATAGAGCACACAAAGCCACAGCTCTGTCATTACAGGACAGACTCTGAAAATAATGATTCTCCAAATTGCCTTGGTCCATGACCTTTTTTACACCCTCATCCTGTTGCTAGAAGGGAAAAAAGACTAAAAAAGCACCATCTCCTTGAATCTTCCTCCATGGTATTTATTTCCACTGCCTCACAGAGGAGAATGCATTAAAATTACCACAGCAATGGAAAATGAGAAACGACTATTGTTTGATACAAATTGGACCAGATATCTTAGACCATTACTAATGTGTCTCCTTCATAAACACTGAGTCAGGAAATCCACAAAGACCAAACTGACATCATAGTTCCTTTCTGGCTAATAATGACTCCTTAACTAGACAGAAGTGAACAGCACCCAACTGTGGTGCTAAGCCTCTGTATGCATTTCTCCCTAGGAGGAAATTGGGAGACTGCCCACGTGGGCTCTGCCCACAGAGCCTCAGCCCTGCGATTGCTACTACATGTACTGCAGAAGGTTGGAGCAAACATCTGCTGCTCCCTGCACTGATCTTATGAGCAGTACTCACTGCAGAGGTTGTGCTGATGCTGAGAAGGCTGCCCTCAGTCTGTGCATGCATGTAGTGCATCAGACGACCAGGTTTCAGGGTCCACGTGGATTACCATAAACAATGCAGTCAAGTTAGAGCAGTGGCAGTAGGTTGGCTTTGATTCAAGCCCAGTTCAGAAGCACAGATAGAAAGGAGAGGCCTCTGGCAAATCAGTCTCCCAAGGTGGACTGACTGGTGGCATTCAGAAAGCCATCATCACCAAGTCATTATGGTAGTTGTATTCACAATTTCCGTGGCTTGCTTGAATGAATTATATTTGCTCCATGAGTAACACAGAATACACTGCCATGTTTTCACCCCAGATGTGTAATTAAATCATCCTATTCTCTCAGTCATCTACTTCCTATGCTTAAAAACAAAAAGGTGGTTGTACTTTATAAGATCAGCTTGGGGCTTTCCAAGGAGTCTATAATTTTAAAGCATTTAATCCTTACAAATTCGCAGTATCCAAGGAAATCCCTGAACCAGATAATGTGAGAATCTCTACGAACACCGATGCTCTTGGAAGCATATTTTCCAAATATAAAAGAACAAATTCAATGATGTTCAGGCTATCAGTCTTTAATAAATTTAAAAATAAAGGATTTGAATGAAAACTAATCCGTAATTTCTGTGAGGGCCCAGGAACCATTCCTAGCTTCTTCAATTCCCTTGCATCTCTTAACATACTTAACACAACAGGTGCAAAGTAAATGTTGCTGCTATGCATTAATTCATTCATTCAAAAATATTTTTTGAGTGCTTATTATAAGCCAGGCACTTTTAGGCACTAGATATATAACAGGGAGCAAAACAGACAAAAAAAATCCCCACCTTGTAGGTTTTATATTTTAAAACTTTCCAAGTCATCATCAGCAGGACAAAGATAAAAAGCAATAAAGTCACTGAGATTCCTGAATAGACTTTTCTCAAAAGAAGACATAAAGACATACAAATGGCCAATAGGTATATGAAAAAATGCTAAATATTACTAATCATAAGGCAAATGCAAATCAAAACCACAATGAGCTATCACCTTGCATCTGTTGGAATGGCTAGTATTCAAAAGACAAAAGATAACAGATGCTGGTGAGAATGTGGAGAAAAGAGAATCCTTAAACATTGTTGGTGGGAGTGTAAATGAGGACAGCCACTATGAAAAACAATGTGGAGATTCCTTAAGAAACTGAAAATAGAACTACCATATTATCCAGCAATCCCCTTTCTGGGTATATTTCCAAAGGAAATAAAATCATCATGTCAAAGAGTTATCTATACTCCCACGTTCACTGCAGCATTATTCACAATAGCCAAGACATGGAATCAACCTTCATCAATGAATAAATAGATAAAGAAAACATGCTATATACAAAAGTCTAAAAGCGTAGACCTTGAGTTCTGAAAGAAGCTTAGAAGCCTTGGGGAAGGGGGATATTTTTACTTTTCACTTTATTTCCTCCTATGTTGTTTGGGTATTTTTTTTCAATGAGCATATTTTACTATCGTAATAAAAAATATATTTTAAATGTATATACCTCAAAAAAAAGGAAATGTACTATATATACACAACAGAATACTATTCAGTTTTAAGAAAGAAGGAAATCCTGTCATTCACAATAATATGGCTGAACCTAGAGGACATTATGTTAAGTGAAATAAGCCTGGTACAGGAAGACAAATACTATGTGAGTGCACTTACATGTGAAATCTAAAAAGGTTGAACTCATAGAAGTAGAGAGTAGAATGCTAGTTACCAGAGACTGGAGAGGTTGGGGCTAGGGGTAGATGGTGGTCAAAGGATACAACATATAAGCAGACAGGAGGGATAAGTTCAACAGTCTGTTGTACAACATGGATACTATAGTTAACAACAATGTACTGCATTTTTGAAAATTGCTAAGAGTAGATTTTAAGTATTCTCATCACAAAATTAAGTATGTGAGATAATGATTATATTAATTACCTGGTTTGAGCCATTCCACAATGTATACATATTTCAAAACATCATGTTGTGGCCGGGCGCAGTGGCTCACACCTGTAATCTCAACACTTTGGGAGGGCAAGGTGGGCGGATCACCTGAGGTCAGGAGTTCAAGACCAGCCTGGCCAACATGGTGAAAACCCATCTTTACTAAAAATACAAAAAAATTAGCCAGACGTGGTGGCAGGTGCCTATAATAATAACAGCTACTTGGGAGGGTGAGGCAGGAGAATAGCTTGAAGCTGGAAGGCAGAGGTTGCAGTGAGCTGAGATTGCACCACTGCTCCCCAGCCTGGGCAATAAGAGCAAGACTCCGTCAAAAAAAAAAAAAATCTGTGTTCACAATAAATATATACAATTTTTATTTGTCAATTAAAAATAAATAATAATGGAGAAAATGTCACTGAGATCACAGACCCTGTGCCTTCTTTGTCACCACAACTGAACCCTAGGAATGGGAGGGTGGGGAGGATGGATGAAATGGAACTTAACAGGAGGCAATTGATTTTCTGGGGCCTGGATTTATTGCAGTAATTAACAGGGCTGCTGTAAAATAGGTTATTTATCCTACTGCCTAATCAAGAATCTCTAAATAATTTCTTTTTCTCTTCCTAGTGCAAATGTAAATTTTTAAAAATCTTATTTCAAATAATGCACAGTAGCTTTGCTAGTTGTATGAATAAAATTCAACTGGTCCAGTGAAAAAGCCAAACTCAAAATATGTAAGAAAAAAGGGGGATCTTATTTGTTCCCATGATTGGGACAGCAAAGAGGTCAGGCTAGCCTCAGGCACACTGGATCCTGGAATTTCAAAAGCCGTCTTCGGGATGTCAGCTCTTTCTCCCGGTCTTCCAGACTCACCTTACTCTGCGTGCTCCATTCCTGGCAAGCTCACTCCATGTAGTGGCTAAAGGGGCTCCTACAACTCCGGGTCTTGCGATCCTTTACCCTTGTGATCTTGGGTAAATCTGGCCTTAGGGACACCAGCAACTCCCAAAATGTAATCAGGGCAGTGTCTCTCTCTATACCCATGCCTGCCAGTCCCGGTCTTCTCTCTGCGTGTCAGCCTTACTGTCTCTGCTGTGGCGCACACCCCCTATGCAGAGGGAGAAGGGAGCACCAGGTCACAGAGGGTTCCAGTCTTTCTAATCCCCAGCTCAGCAAGTCTTGGGGAGAGAGTGGTAGCCCGCCATCCCAGCGGTCATATCAAATCTCTGGAGAGGACCCTGATTGGTCCGGCTCAGGACTAGACCATCAGGCCAATTACTGTGGCCCTAAGGATAGGATATCATTATTGGCCGGACCTGGATCATGCATCCATTACTGAAGCTGCGGCAAGGGAGGGCCCACCAAATGCAAATGCATTGCTCTCCCCTAGACCCAACGGATTTACATGACTCTTTTTTAAATCACCCAAATTTCTTACAGCTTCACCCCAGTTGCCCTAGTTAAAGTGCAGCTTTCGAGTGCTCAGCAGTCCCCTGTGGCCAATGGCTACCTTATTGGGTGGTATTGTTCTAGACCCTTGGTCAGGGCTCTCCTCTTTTACTCTGGGGAGTGCAAAGCATTTGCTCAAACATGAAGTCATTGTATTAGTTTCCTCTGGGGGCTATAACAAATTACCACAAACTTTGTGGGTTAAAACAACAGAAACCTGCTCTCTTACTGGAGGCCAGAAGTCCAAAATGGGTTTCACTGGGCAGAAACCAAGATATAGGCAGGGCCACATCCACTCAGCAGCTCCTGAGGAAAATCTGTTTCTTTACCTTTTCCAGCTTCTAGAGAACATTGCTTGCCCATGGCCCCTTCCTCTATCTTCAAAGCCAATGTCATGGCATTCTCAAATCTCTCTGTTTCCATTGTCACATTGCCTTCTGCCTTCTGAGTCAGACGTCCCTCTGCTTCCCTCTTATAAGGATGCTTGTGATTACACTCGGGGCCTACCCAGATAATCCAGCACAGTCTCCCCATTTCAGGAGAGTCCCTTTATCCTTATCTGCAAAATCCCTGATATCATTTAAGGTAACATTCAAAGGTCTCAGAGATTAGGACCTGGATATCTTTGGGGACCATAATTCAGCCTACCACAGAGGCGTTGGGGTGGAATGAGCATTCCAAACAGAGGGAACAGCCTGTTATGGCTCAACTGCCGGTTGGAGAAGGCACCCCCTAGAGCTGCAAGGCTACTGAGACTGAAGCATAGAGAGCTCAGAGGGGTGGATGAGATGGGGCCAGAGGACTGAGTGAGAACCCGAGCACTCAGCCAATGCCATGTGAGAGATTTGGGTCGTTTCCTGAAGAGAAATGCAAATCTGTTGGGAAGGGGAAAAGGGATGCATTTGCATTTTTAAAAGGTCACTCTGCAGAGTGAAAAAGAAACAGAAGGAGGAGAGTCATTGAGGATAGAGGAAGACCAGATTAGGCTGCTAATGCAGGCATCTCAGTGAGAGGTTGTGGTGGCTTGAACTACAACGGTGGCAGTGGAAATAGAAGGAGGCAGATATAAGAACTCATTATTGGTAGCACTGATAGGGGTTGGTAATGAATTTGCTTCTGGAGAAAAGTGAAGGAGAAAGCAGTCCAAAGGATAGCTCCTGGGTTCTGGCTTACATACATGATGGGGCATTCAGAAAAACTGGAAGAAAACCAGAAGGGGGCATTGGAAAGAGGATGGACAGCATGAATTTAGTTGGACCTCAACTTTCAGTGCCCTAGAGACATTCAAGTGGAGATGTCTAGCAGGCATACTAGTCTGGAGCTCAGGGATACAACTTAGGAATCATCAGTACAGAGGTAGTCACCAAAGCCCTTGCCTCAGATGTTGATGCTTGGGAGGGAGAAGGAATGAACAGAGCAGGGAGTCTAGGGCCGAGCTTTAAGAAACATCAATTCTTAATGGCTTTGAAAGAAGAATCTTCAAAAGAGACTGAAAAAGAGTAGCCACAAACAGAAGGATGTGACACAAAAGCCAAGAGAAAAATGTGTTTCAAGGAGGAAGTGGCCAATAGGATCAAACAGTGGGAACAGATTAAATCGCATAAGGGCTAAAAACTACACATTGGGTACAAATGTAGCATCTAAGTAATGTTTTTTACAACTTCCTCACTACCACCAAGCACATACACTGCACCCTGTACATATTATGAATTCATGAAGTGCTGACATATCAATCTAGCAATATACACTGCATAATAGGAGGCAGTGCGGTGTAGTCAGAAAAGCATAAGCTTTGAATGCCAGCCCATCCGCTTGTTAACTGGCATGCCTTGAACAAGTCATCTAATACTCTCTGGGACTTGATTTCCTCATCAGCAAAATGGGGATGGTAATAATAGGTTTAGTATGGGTTCAAGAAATTGTGACAATTAGTGACTCTATTCTTCAAGGTGATTTTGGCAAACTGCAGGTTAAATGAGCTGTCCAAGGGCCATCAGGTGCCAAACCAGTGTCTCTTGACTGCCAGTCCAGTGCTCTGATAAGGAAAAAATCTCTCTCGGGATCTCAGAGTTGTTGCTTTTTACCTCTACTGTTCTAATTCTATTGTTCAACAGTCATTCTTGGATACCTGTGATGTGAGAGATCCTGGGTGTGGGACTGGAGATGGGAAGAGGAGTGAGATACAGTTCCTGCCTTCTAGCAGGTCTTGGTCCCATAAAGGAACGGAAAATATAAACAGATAATTATAATATCAAGTCATAAACTCTCGGGTGGAGTCTTCAAGGGCAAACCACAGTGGGAACCCAGTGGAAGGAATGATGAACCCCAGAGCATGGGGGAGGGAAAAGAGAGAAAGTCTTGGTAAGTGAGAACAATACCTCCTGATTTAAGCTATAGCTAGGAACGTGTGATTGCTTTTCTTTTCCTTCCATTAGAATCAAGAACTTCAGATCCAGAAACGACTTTCTAAAATTTTCACACTCCTATATCAAAGATGGTGGAATTGAAGACCAGAGAGGTGAGGTATTTCCTAAGGTCAAGAGTTGGCAAAAAATCCAGGAGTCCCAGCCTCCAGTCTATGGCTCATTAAGCTCAGCTGTGTCTCAGTGAGGACCATAGTCATCCAGCACAGAGGGCTCAACTGACTGCTCAGCTGGGCTGGCCCATCAACTCAGGCAAGAATCACCTGCCCTGATGTCAAAGGCATCAACACCTGGGAGGGATCACTTGGATCACAAGAATCACAGCCTCGAGAAGTTGTTTGGCATTCACTGGCAGATTGTAAGAAATGTATTTCTGTGAGAGATAAACTGTATTTCTATGGTTTTCTTTCCTTCAGTAGCTTATGTATCTGGTTTTAGGAATATGGGGACAAATGGTAGGGTAGGGGAAGGCTAACAGAATCTTCATTAAGACTGGGGATAAAAACAAATTGGCAATAAGGAGAAAAGGATGACATTCTCCTTATAGATCAAAGCAGAAATCATTGTGACAAAATCTCCACATTAAAAAAAAAAAGTCCAGCCACTGTGGAGAGCAGTTGGGAGACTTCTCAAAGAACCAGGAGTTGAGCTACCATTTGACCCAGCAATCTCATTACTGGGTATGTACCCGAATGAAAATAAATTGTTCTGCCAAAAGATACATGTACCCATATCTTCATCATAGTGCTAGTCACAATAGCAACGACATGGAATCAATCAAGGTGCCCATCAACTGCAGAATGGATAAAGAAAATGTAGTACCTGTATACCATAGAATACTAAGCAGCCATAAAAAAGAATGAAATCTTGTCCTTTGCAGCAACATGGCTGCAGCTGGAGGCCATTATCCTAAGCAAACTAACACAGAAACAAAACAAAATACCGCATGTTCTCCCTTATAAGTGTGAGCTAAATATTAGGTACTCATGGACATAACGATGGGAACAGTAGATACTGGAGACTATTAGATGAGGGGAGAGGGAGAAGGGCAAGGGCTGAAAAGCTACCTTTGGGGTATATGCTCACTAGCTGGGTAATGGATTCATTTGTTCTTCAAATCTCAGCATGATGCAATATGTCAATGCAACAAACCTGTACATGTTCCCCCTAATTCTAAAATAAAAGTTGAAAAAAATGGAAATTCAAGGCCCATAATTTCAAGAATATTCAATACAATAAATTTACAAAATAGGTTAGTAAAATGAGACATTAACCTCGTAATTCAAAGCCATTTAAGGAATGACAGAGGGCTAGGGAGGGAAATCTGACTCAAAAAAACCAAAATGAAATGTATCATTGTTACAAGTAGATTAATAGATTGCTGTCGAGTAAATCTCTTGGAAGTTAAATTTTAAAATGAGGTTGATCAGGAATGTCATATACCACACACCATTTGTTTGTGAACAGACATCTGCAACAAAACCTGATGATACTTAAGGAGTTTGTTTCCTGAAAGTTAAACATGTTATCTGCTTTGTAAACCCTGTCTTTATAGATGGTTAAAGTATAAGCTTCTATCAGCTCCTTTCCTAACTGCAAATTCCATGTAGACTCCAAATGAATTTATCTGGAAAGTCCCTTGAATTCTTTGGAATGGAATTAGAACTGTGGGTCATTTTTCCAAGTCATGCCACGGCCACTTTCAATATTTTATAGTGACACTTTCTTAAACAACTTGAACAAGGAGGGACTAGTATAATCAAAGATAGCTAACCAAATAATCAGCAAACAGATTTGTCTGAAGATAGCATTTTTAAAAGTAACTATACTTTTAAGAAAAAGAAATGCGGTAAAGGCCTCATTTATCCAGCATTGTTAAGCAATGAGGTTGTCCATATAAGTGCATTGTCCAGATAGCAGCTGATTTACCCTTTAAACGACAACACTTCAAAATTATCTTGATGGAGATTAAGATGTACTACATGCGTCCTTGCTAGCTTACTTGAACCAATATGTTTTTGCTAAGCCTTTCTTGCAATGACTCAAGATCCCCAAATATTAATATCTATCGTGTTAGCTGTAGTATTATCCAAGAGTTGCCTGGAGTCCCTAGGATTTTAGCTGTAGACCCCACTATCGGGTTTCTTGATTCTTATATGTCCCTTTCCCCTTTTGTCCCTTTTTCTTAAAATTGTCCACAGGTCTTCCTCCAGCAGTCATTTCTCTCTTTTAATTTGATACTCTTAAAAGTGTCTTCTTCCTTTTTATGTTCAATTATGAAAACAACACATGCCCATTCCCTAAGACTGGAAAAATACGGAAAATTTAAGAATATTCACCTACTCATACACAGATATTCCACCTTTGTCTTTTTTAACTCATGAATTTGTTTTAAAATATACTGAGAAAGCAATATCTGCAGTCATAAATAGTGATGTGTATTCTGCTTTTTGTGCTTAAGGTGGTAAACATTTTTTTCTTCAAAAGAAACATCTAAAGGGCAATGTAGTATTCCTACAGAGGAATTTTCTTCACTTAAATAGTTCTCCCTATAACTCGCATGTAAGTAAACTGATTTTTCGATACCACCTTGAAGCAGCATGCACATCTCAAAGTAAATCCATTTCATAAAGCATGAGGGAAAAAATGTAGACTGCATTGATTTTATGGAAAGACAGGGAAGAATTTACTTCATAATTTACAATTGAATAATATCCATCGAAATAAAAATGTACTAAAAGGATCATTGCAACATTGTAAGACAAAGGCTAGAAGCATCTTAATAGCCCATTTTTAAGGGACTGGTTTTATATATCTATGAAATGAGATACTACATTGCCATTTAAAAGAATTATATAGATCTATATTGCAGATATGAAATAATCAGTATGATACGTTAAGATAGGAAAATACAAGGTGTGAAACTATACATATACATGTACACATGTATATGTGTGCAGATATATATATACACACACACAGATTGACACACACACATTTCAGATTCAGAGACAGGAAGGCATACACATACACCCTAGAAACTCAAAGTGATTCTGGAAGGATACACCAGAAACCGAACAGTGACTGCCTCAGCCTGGGGAGGCCTTGGGAGGCTTTGGGTGGGAGTTTCATTTATGATTCACCCTTGGCTATTAATAGAGGGCTGTAACTGTGATTGTCACATCCCCATGTGCACGTATCACCCTCTTTCAACACCAACATGAATTCATTTAATTTTTAAAAGAATAATAACAATAGTAAACCCTTATTGTTTACTCCATGCGAGGCAGTGAGAGCTTGTAACATGTATTCCACTTCATCCTCACAGATTATTTTCTGTGAAGGATACATAGAAATATTATCTCCATTCTATGGATAAAGAAACTAAAAAACAGGCGAGTTAAGTAACTTGCCCAAATTGCACTTCTGTGAAGCAACAGAGCTGAGATTTAAACCTAGGTGGATTGGCCCCAGAGTTTGTTTTTAAAGCTCCAAAACGTACAAGCTACAAGCACAAAACAAAAACAAAAGGCATGAAGTCATTTACAAAGGCAAAATTGACTTTAAAAATGAAAGAATTATTGATTTTAGGAAGGGAAAAAAATCCACACAGGTACTAGGATACTATTTTTCTCTCACATCATCTTTAAAGCTTAAAATTGAAAGCAACAGTATAGTGGTGAGTGACAGCTATACTGGAAAAATAATTATGCTGGGTATTTTTGATGTATATAGACAAAGTAGTTTTTATATAGTTAACACTGTAATAACTGGAAAAACACTCCTCTACTGCAGAAGCCTCCAACAGCATCACCCCAAGGTCCCTTCCCATTTCTATTTCCACACCTCGCCACGGGTGCCACAGCTCTCCCATGGAACTACTCAGGGGACCCTGAGGTCCGGCCCTGACATGTCCCACTCCTGTGCTCTGTTGTGCTAGAACTGTTCTTTCCACCATGCATTCCTGCCAATCACAGTCCTAGATGTCCTTCGAGGTCATGACCAAATTCCTCCTTCCACAAGAACACTCTCCTGGTCATCTACGTCAAAGCTCTTCTCTCCCTCCTCTGGTGCTTCCTTAACAGTCCACTCAATAGAAAGGTAAACACAAATAAAGAATGCAAAGAAAATGAAGATTATGAAAATGCCTATCTACCTCTCCCTCGAAATGTAGGTCCCAGGGGAACAAGAACACTTTCCATTATTTGCCCCACCACCCTCACACTGTCTGGCACAATATTTGAATAACTGTTCAAAAAAGATTACAAGAAATGGAATACAGGGAATGGTGTGAGTTCTTAAGAAACCTGGGGCAGATGGAAGAGCAGGAAGTGCAAGCAGCCACTGCTCTGCTCTGGGACATGAGGCATCTTTGCTCGCTCCAAGGTGTGAGATGAAGATGCCTCTCACACAAGAAGCAGGAGTTTGCTGCCAAAGGAAGTAGGTGTTTTGAAAGAAACAAAAACTGTTGGGTAACATATTTCCTTCCATAGTGGGACCTGCGTGATGCCACCAACCTCCAAAACTCAATGGACCTGGGAGCTCCCAGGGCTACTAGAGAATTGCTAATGGCAAAAGATGAGCTTGTATTCACCTTATCCTCCCAACCCTCACCCCTGGTCTGTGTTGTGTGTGTGTTTAGGGTGGGAAGGTTTGGCACATTATACATCGAAGTTTTATATTAGCAAGAGGGTTTCTTTGTTTTGTTTCATTTTATTTTGTTGGAGAGGGTTTGATCTTGTGGGCTGTGGCTCTGAAGAACATTAAGGATCCAGGGTTAACAGAGTTGATCCACACGTCAACAGCAAGAGAAACTGTCCTTGCTGAATTAAATGGCACCCCTGAAGGAGAGAGAAAAGGAAAGCAGGAGAAAGACCAAAAGGGGAGTCTGGGCACCTGTGCCAGGTAGGTGTCCTGTCCAGAGGAAACACTAGAGGATTCCCCTCTCCCAGAGAAAATGCCTGCACCACAGTCTGGCCTCTGGGTGTGTTCCAACTGGCATAAGGAAGAAGGGACCTTTTGCTGATGGACCAAGCCAGCCCATGGGCCTTTGCAGCGATTACAGGGTAGGACCCAAGAGCCAGTTTGCAGCATTTGAATGCTCAAAGAAGCCAGGCTTCCCCCAAAACTGGGATATGCTTTCATCATTGGGTAGCACTCTAGATGCTCTCTGACAGTTTGGAAAGAAGAAATGGGTGAGGCGTTAGGGTGGAATCTCACTGAGACCTTCCAAAGGAAGAAAATGAAGGAGGTGACTGCAAGGTCAAAGCTGGGTGGCTTGAAGCCCAGAGAAGCATCCTTGGGGAAGGCAGAGGAAAGTACCCCTCAGTGTGAGGCAGCCCTGGAGAGGAAGTGGCCAGGGAAAACACAGCAGTGTAGCCAGAGAGAGGACCCAGGGGTGACAAGCAGGGAGGCAGACCCTGTGCAGAAACCCTGGGTCACCATCCTACAAGGCCACCAGCTCCGCCTAGTGCTTTGTTCATATCTGCGAAGATACACAAAGCTTTTTCTTCCTTGTGTCTCCATCCATTTTACGCTAGCTCTCTTGTAAGTCAGTTGCTTGGTTCTATTTACCTAGCTTTTCCCGTCAAATTATCAATCTATACCTTTAGGAGCTTTATGAATATGAAGAAGAAAAAAAATGCCTTGAGTGGAAACTCAAAAGGGTTACTTGGAAGTCTTCCCACTGAGATATCCTTAACAAACATAGATAATCAACACAAATTGCTGGAATTACTCTACCCGAGTTGTTGGAGTTGTTTAGCATAGACTTGTGTTAGATTATATCAGATGTGTTTCTTTTTGTCTTTAGGAATGAAATGACAAATTCTTCCCAGGTGGCAGCAAGAAAATTAAAAGCCCATCTGCACTCTTGCCTCAAATGGAAAAAAAAGACAAAAAAATCCCATTTCAAATGAATCTCTGCCATAAACTTAAGCACAGCAACAGATGTGAAAAAGTCCTGTGAGACAAAACACAACACACTCAATCCCCAATAAAAATAATCAATACTGGCTAAAGTGCTAAAAAACACAAGTGCTTCCAGAATGCTTCAGGGTATGCCAAGAATCCTACCTGGAGGACAGCTGCTGTTGACAATGCAGCCTGCCAGTGGAAGATTACCTGGAGGAAGTTCTTACATTTCATCTGCAGAACCGTGGGAGAATATGTGAGGACGGCAGGAGGAATGGTACGGCCTGGGGTAGAGAGGAGGAAAAACAGTCAAAATGGACACATGGGAGTATACATCATAATCACTGACAAATGATTCCTGGCGTGCATGAGACCAGAAACTCAGCAGGGTTTTTTGAGGTTTTCTGTTTTTGTCTTATTTTGTTTTGTTTCCTTTGTGAGACAGTGTCTTGCTCAGTCGCCCAGGCTGGAGTGCAGTGGCACGATCTCGGCTCACTGCAACCTCCGTCTCCCAGGTTCAAGCGATTCTCCTGCCTCGGCCTCCCGAGTAGCTGAGATTACAGGTGCCCATCACCACGCCCGGCTACTTTTTGTACTTTTAGTAGAGACAGGGTTTCACCATGTTGGCCAGGCTGGTCTCAAACTCCTGGCCTCAAGTTATCTGCCTGCCTTGGCCTTCCGGAGTGCTGGGATTATAGGCATGAGCCACCACACCCAGCCACATTCACCAGTTTTTAAATGTCCTAATGCCAAGGATTATATGTAATTTGCTGGTATTACTTAATAGAAACACCACCAGATGTATTCTGGAAAGGTGAACTGATGTTCCACGATGGCAGAGAAGCCAAGGCAAATGTAGAAGCCAAGGAAGGGCCAAGAAAAGCAAAAGCCAGTTGCCTTCATGCTGGGCCTGGTTTTGTGTATCGTGACTGTATTGTCATCATCACCGTAGAGCATTCAACAAGGATCTGAAATGGGTCCTAAATGCATCTCCATGATTTGTTGTGTCAACATAGCACACACACCCTGCTACAGCTGACTCTAAATCAAATCCAGTTACAAAAGGTAGATGGTAGTTATCAAGGTGGGTTAAATGAATTTTTACCCATGTGCAAGTCTGCATGGATGCACATACAGAGACACGCTCAGTACCCTATGCCAACCAGAGTTCCATCCCTACAGCACAGGCTCACCCAAACCCTGGCCTTCCCCTCAATGACCTCACCCCCACTCCAGAGCCAGCCCTGGGTGTTACTGCCCATGGGTGTTTCTGACTCTTCCTCTCTCAGAAGTCACCAGAAAATCCTAAGAAGTGGTTGATATGGCTTAAGATCCTCTTTGATAGGGGCTGGGCTAACTCAACAATTGTTATCCACACCCAGTGAGGTGCCTGTGGCCCAAAAGCCTTGTGGTTTCCAGGAAAATGTTTCATAGATGATTCTCCTCAATTTTTAGTCTCTTTAAAAAAAAATCACTACTTTTTTAAATTGACAAAAAGTATATGTGTCTATGGTGTACAACCTGATGTTTTAAAATGTATATACATGTGGATGGCTAGATCAAACTAATTAACTTATGCATCACCTCATGTACTTCTCATTATGATTTTTGTGATAACACCTAAAATCTGCTCTTTCGACAATTTTCAAGTGTACAATACATTGTTATTAACTATAGCTACCATGTTATACAATAGATCTCTTGAACTTCTTAGTCTCTTGATTGGATTTAAATAACTGCCTCTCTGTACGTGCCTGGGCTATAGATGTTACCAAATAAACAGAGAGATTTTGAAGATACATACACATTCTTTAGTGTGATTTTTCTTTTGACAGCTTTGTTCCACATCCAACAATAAGCGGGACATTTAAAATTTCTGGTCTTGATGGCCGAAAATGATAAATCTTGGTTTTTTTCAGTATGATAGAGCTGGTCAAAAATGTTAATTCCTGGAGCATCTTGTAGTGGCAGAAAGTGCCGGAAGGGCTCCCAAAAACATCACAAGAAAGGGGATACATCAAAGAGACATGGGATCCCACTGAAAGAGTTCCCAATGGACAAAGCTGGAACAATCTGATTAACAAAGTAGCACTGGAGTATAACTTGATATTCATGAGTCTATACTGACATAAATAAATGAACATATAAATAAACAAGTGGGGGAGAATAGATAAATCTCTAGACAGAAGAATTCCATCATGTATGTAGCTACTCCCCCTCAGGGAGGTGGAGTACAACTCCCACTCCTTAAGTGCGGGCTATCCACAGTGACTCCCCTCCAAAGAGTAAAGTATGAAAAGGTGGAAAAAAGAATCACTTTACAGTAGAAAAACCTGTCAAGACTACCTCAGCCAGGTCATCAAGGTGAACATCAACTGTGAGTTGCGTTGAGGGTGCCACTGATGCAACGTGATGAGAAGGGCACTTTGCCTCTGTGATCTTTCTTCCAGAAACCCATAACCTCAGTTAAAACATGAGAAAAACATCAAACAATTCAACTAAGGAACATTCTACAAAATACTCTCCAGGACCCTTCAAAACTATCAAAGGTCACTGAAAACAAGGAGAGTCTGAGAAACTGTCTCAGCCAAGAGGAGCCTATGGAGACGTAACAATTAAATGTAACGTGGCATCCTGGATGGAATCTTACAGAAAAAGGACATCAGGTCATAGAGTATTGACTTTGGTTAATCATGAGATTGTGACAAATGCACCTAATGTACATTCATACATTCAGATTTGCAAAAAAATTTTAAAACTAGTACAAAGCATTCCCATATACCTCACACCTAGCTTTCCTTATTAATATCTTACATTAAGATACAGATAATGTACATTTATAATGTGGTACTGAAATATAACTTGGTATTCATGAGTCCATACTGACATAAAAAAATGATCAAATAAATAAACGAGTGGGGGAGATGTACATTATCTGCATTCTAATGTAAGATGTTATTTGTACATCACAAAGTACATTACCTGTATCCTTCATTAGGATTTACATTGTACATTACATTATGATACAGATAACGTATATCGTACAAATGTACATTTTATATTACTTACATTGCACATTTGTACAAATGTATATTATATGTATCCTAATGTAAGATATTAATAAGGAAAACTGGGTATGAGGTATATGGGAACTCTTTGTACTATTTTTACAACTTTTTTGCAAATCTGAAACTATTCTAAAATTTAAAGTTTATTTAAAGAAATTTGGATTCCTGAGTGCCCCATCCCCAGAGGCTGTGCTTCAGTATATCTGATCTAAGACTCGTCAGCTGGTAGGGGAGTAAGCTAACCAGGTGATTCTGTTGCAGGTTGCATCTGCAGTTTTCTAAAAATCTACAATCCAGGATCTATTTGTTTAAATACAAAAGCAACTGGCCATTGAAATGTCTACCTCCTCTACGCTTGAGTGCCAGCAGCTCCAGAGACAAAAATGACTGCCTCCTACTTGCCTGACCCAAGGGTACCATTCCCAGTGCTGGACTACTCCAGAAATGTTGTCATATTATGCCATGGCCGGTCACCAAAGGCCACATTTCCACAGGTTTTGACAACCCCCAAGTACAATCGCATTCACAAAAATAAGCTTTTAAAGCAGTGATGATGTAACAAACAGTCCTGTGGCCTCCAGCTCTGTGAACTAGTGAAGTAAAGAAAATGAAAAGAGAATAAAAGGTAGTGCTTCCAGCAGCCCTCAAACTGAACAGATTAGTGCAGGGAAAAAAGCTACTCATTCACCAGGAAGAGCACGGGCGGGAGGAACCATGCACATCTTCAAGGCTCAATCCAACTGTGCTTGGTTGTGCATGGTCTAATGGTACTCTCCAAAACCCTCCGATATTTATATATGGTCAATTAAAGCATAATAATTTTAGCTAAGGAGATGGTCTTCAATATTAAATAGGAGACTTGTGGAATTATTTAAATAGTTTGGTTGGAGAAGGTAAACCTATATGGCCATTATAAATCTTAACCATATCATTAGAATAGGTTGCTGTCAACTAGTATAGAACAGTTGGATTGTGTCTGTCTTATTTTCTCCATGGGTATTCAATCCCTTGATCCCTTCATTTAGGCGACCTGATTTTTGGCAGGTGTGTTATTCATTTCCTATGAATATGACATTTTCATAGTGAAAAGATGATCAGTTACTCCCAGATAATATCATTTGTCTTAATTTGCAGACTTTCCTGAAGCATCAGGAAAAACGTAACAGATGGGTGGTGTGTGTCTGTGTGTGTGTGTGTGTGTATGTGTGTATTTTCACATGGGCCACCCGTACCGGGGGCCAGACAAATGAGTTCAGCCTGTGTACCAGGCAACAGTCTCCACCAACAATGTTTTCATTACTAATTCTTTCTTGCTCCCAGGATCAAATTGTAACACTCTGTTTTTAACCAAAATACAATGAATTCTCAGCCTAACCAACCTCAGAAGGAGACTTACTGTAATTTCCGACAGGCTAGCACTCTGTCAGAGAGCTCATGAGCAGGTTTGCTTTTGGAAAACAGCCTAGGGTTGGAGATTTTTGGTCTGAAGTAGGGAAACGTAGAAAAAAATTCATTGAAGAAATTTAGCCCAAATCCATGTTGCCAACCTCAAATGATTAGTTTCCATATAGAAAACAAAAATAAAGATGAGGACAAGATAAAGTTTATTCCTCAGACTGCTCTACTGCATGAATCATCCAAACCCAGTAACCAGGATATTTCCGTCCGCAATACCTCAAAACAGACTCAAATGGCATTGAAATAAATTGTGTTTCCCCATTTTTAATGGCACAAAGTTCATTTGAGTTAAGCAAATGACATCATATGGGGGGAAAACTGTAACCTTTAGTTACCTGTAACCATAGCAGACACTCTGAAATATGATATTTGAACTTATAATACCTGTTAAACCACAACAGATTCTGCAAATGTCAGTGTCAGGCTGTTAGGGAAGCAACTGATCAGAATCCCAAATCCTGTCCCAGAATCCCAAGCCAGGATAATTTGTTATGGAAGCAAATTATTCTTGATATTTTAAAAATAATTCTAAGTAGAGTCACTAATTAATCCTCACCTCGTAGCGCTCAGTCCTGATAAATGTAAACACTTGCCTCTTAGCAGGCATGATGAAGGGGACTGCAGGGAAGCTAACTTGTTCATGGAGCAAGTCAGAGGAGAACGCACATTTCAAATGGAAAGTTCATCTCCTAATTCTGAGCTCAAGTCATTTTTCTCTGCATTGCTGAGAAATTGGCACCGAGATAAGAAAGAGGCCAAACTGAAATCATTACATGAATGCTTCTTGGTATTTGGGCTCTGATACCCAAGGCTGCCTTTTGGTTTGTAATTCTTTTTGAGATCTTTCTTTCCTGGAAATGGTAAATGCCCGTGTCCATGAGGTGTAAGGTGGGGCAACAAATACTGGTCAAACGGGAAAAGACCCAGTTGTTGCATCCTGTTTTCTGTTAGACCACAGTTTCAAGTTCCTTCAGGGCAATTGTTTCAAGACTAATTTTCCACCCTTTGGTGCCTTGTCAAAGAACTTTCTAGGGTCAGCAACATCAAATGGATGCTCTGCAAACAATTTCTGAGTATGTGCCAGGCCCTGAGGACATAAAGACCCATACAACACCTTCTCTTATGGTCCAATACAGGAAGACGTAAGAAAGCCTGACCTCTCCTCCTGGAATTCTGTGCCTGGACTTTTTCATCACTCACCACTTGGTTGGAGACCTGTCTACTGTTGAAATGACCACCTCCTATATTTAGGGATTCTCTAGAACAGCCCTGTCCAATAGAAGTATAACGTGGACCACAAATGATTTAAATTTTCTAGTAGTCACATTAAAAACAAAAGTTCAAAAAATATGTGAAATAAATGTTAATAGTATATTTCACTTAAACCAGCATATCCAAAGTAATGGCATTTCAACATGTAATAGACACGAATAAATTATTAAATTAGGAGATATTTTCTTTTTCACACTCAATCTTTGTGAAATCGACATCTATTCTACACTTCGGCACATCTCAGCACTCATTTCAAGGGCTCCAGTAGCCACATGTGACCAGCAGCTACCAAACTGAAGGGCACAACTCTAGACCCTAGCCTGGCTTCTTTTCTTTTACACTGCGGAGCTGAAAGCCTCTGTTCAAATAAGAAGGTAATGTATTGCTATTGCTGCTGTAACAAATTCCACAAACTTAGTGCCTTACCATACACATTTTATTATCATACAGTTCTGGAGTTCCGTCTGACATAGGTCTCACTGGGCTAAAATAAAAGTCTCATCAGGATTATCTTTCCTTCTGGAGGCTCTGAGGAAGAATCTATGTCCTGCCTTTTCCAGCTTCTAGAAGCTACCTGTACTCATTGGCCCTTGACCCCCTTCCTCCCTCTTCAAAGCCGGCAAGGATGCATCTCAGACGCTCCCTCTGATCGTGTTGTCCTCTGACCATAGCTGGGAAATGTTTCTCAGTTTAAGGAGATTAGATTGGATCCACCTGAATAATCCATGATAATCTCCCCATCTCAAGATCCCTCCTTTTATCCCATCAGCAAAGTCCCTTTTGCCATGTAAAGTAACACATTCGCAGTTTCCAGGGATAGGGACCTGGACATATTTGGGAGATCATGAGTATGCCTACTACAAGTTTGGTTTTGTTTTCATTACAAAGACAAAAGAATAAATATTTGAACTTGAGGACTTGGAGAATCTATCAGGTTACACTGGAAAAACATTGATTGCCTTTTTCCCTCAAGTTCATTCAGAAAGAACAAAAACTTCTTCCCTTGGATAAGAAAGACACAATCACTTTCATGAAGTTCCACCCATATCCCAGGATACGAATTTTTTCCTCCCACATGACACTGACTCTTCATTAAAAATATTTTAATGTCTTCTAGATGCCAGACATATACCAATCCTAAAAAATAACCACAGCCAAATAGCAAGAGGAAGATTATGGCATAAGGCGATGGTTCTTTTCAAAGGTAAGAGGGTTTTTAAAAAATTACTATTGTTTTATTTTGAAATATTTTTTCATGTTGGATGCACACTAAGAGCATGACATCTTTCCCCAGAAATGTTACTAATGAGAAGAAATAACCTAGGAAGAACCCAAATAAGCAATAGCAATTTTTAAAACCTTTTATTTGTCAGAAAAATATCAGAGTCATTAACACATGGAGCCAGAGATCAAAATAGAAACATAAGGCCAATACATTTGAGACTTTCTTAAGGACATAATTTTTAAAGACTTAAAGATTGTGAAGTAAGTATGTTTATTTACATATATCAATGCATCTTTTGATGCTAGCTTATTACTTGCAAGTGTCATGCCAATAATGCATATTGTCTGTCACCTGGCTTATGGCTTTAGCCCCTTTTGGAGGATAATCATAAAACCAAAAACTGTTGGGGCAGGAAGGAACCGCAGACAATGCAGTCCAGTCCACTCATTGTGCAGATTCAAAAATAGGCCATTGGGGAGGCCAAGTGACTTGCTCAAAGTCTTACAAGTAACTAGTGGCTCAGCCAAAGCCAGACCCTAGACTACAAACTGTCAGAACAATGCTTTTGACCTGTTGGGAAGGGGTGAAATTCTCCCTAGCCACTCATTCATTCATCCATCCATCCATCCATTCAACCAGCATTTGCTGAGTGCCCACCACATGCAAACGCTGTTCCAGGGCTGGAGATGCAGAAGAGAACAAAACTGGGGGCCTTCTGCCCTTGGGGGTGAAGAGATAACAAATATATACTTATGCCAGGTGGTGAAAGGGCTAAGAAGGAACATAAAGCAACATAAGGGGCTCACTAGTGATGGAAGGTTGCTGCTGTTCACAGGTGGTCAGGGAATACCATATGGATAAGGTGACATTTGAGTAGAGAGTAAATTTGGAGTAAAATTTAGAGTATGTTTAGAATAGAAGCGAATTCTAAACAGCATGGATATCATGAAATGTTAATAGAAAATTCCAAAAACGATAGTGAGGATGTATATGAAGGGGAGGCCAGTGGGAATCAGTGAAATAAGGAAGCAGGTGGCTTAAACAGAGAAGGGACGCTGGTGGTGGCAGTCTGCAGTCTGCTCACCTGAGCCTCCATGCACCTAAGCAGGTGTGACCTCAGAGGAACCCCCTGGAACTCACCTCTGCTGTCTGCCTGGCACAGGTCCAGGTGGCGCCTATGAAGACAGGCCCCATGACCACAGGGGAGCAGTTCTGGCCTGAATCTGAGGAGGGAACCTGGGCAGAAAAGGATTTCCTTTTCAGTAACCAAAGAACTAAGAAAACCCTCCCGATTCCGAGTGGGGATGGAGGTGGATGAGCCAGCAAGAAAGGACCTCAAAGGTCAGGCCAGATTAGAAGCCAGGCTATTTGAAACAAGGAAGGGAAGCGACTGAGAAACAGTTCAAATCGTCAAGCTAATTGTGCCCAAGGAAGCTTTTCACAAAGTGTAATTCAGGCTTTTTTAAACCATAGACTGTGTTGCTGTACCACCTTGAGGCTCCAAGTAACACTGCAGCTTTAAGAAAGCAGAGTTGGTCATCAATGCCGCTGGACTTCTGTGGTCTCTGCCCAAAGCCTCCTTCTCACTGTGATAAAATTCTATGTACCCCTGGATTGGTGGCAAGCACCGCCCTGTAGTGAACCCCACGGGAGAGACTGCAGGGCTGTTTTCGGGACAGTAGCGAACTCAATGGCTGCCACTCAGCCCTGTGACGCTAAGACCAGCCCAGCCTGGCTGAGAGGTGCATAGGCACCACTGTCTAGGGCAAACTGCCAAGATGGCCATCTTAGCCTACCCCGAGCTCCAGCACCTCAGATCCTGTCCCTTCACGCTCAATCACAAGGCAGCTTCTGAGGCCATCAGACGTCCCTACTCATGGCTGAGGACCACAGTGGCCATTCAGCAGCTTTGCCTTCCTCTGCATACCCTGGCCAATGGTGTCCTTCCCTGTGCCGGTATTTGCTCCTGCTAGAAACTCTGGCTTAAAGCCCCCTCCTCCATCTCTTCCCTCATCCCACCCCTGCACTCTCCTCCTCCAATCCAGTCCCTTGGCAGGACAGCAGGCACTTCCTAGTTACAGACTCGGGGTTGGGATTTGGATAGCCAAGCCTCTGTGTCAGGAGACGGGGCGGGGGTCCAGACGTGGGAATAGGGACTGGTGTAGTGGGGTGCAAGACCGAGGCAGAGATAAGACAGGCAACTGCAGCAGCTTCTCTCTGCCTTCCTCGGTGGAGAGCAGTCTTCCCCTCACCCTAACCCACCCCAATTTTAAGAGGCGAAAAAGAAAACCCAAGTAATGTGTGCTTTTCAGGAGGCATTTCGGGACACAGAAAAGTTTTCTGGCTTTTTTTTTTTTTTTTTCTTTTTAATAAACTACTTTCATTTGTGCCTAAACATATTAACCTGCATACTATTTCTTTTTTTTTTTTTTTTTTTTTGAAACAGAGTCTTGCTCTGTTGCTCAGGCTGGAGTGCAGTGGCAGGATCTCGGCTCACTGCAACCTCTGCCTCCTAGGTTCAAGTGATTCTCTTGCCTCTCAGCCTCCCGAGTAGCTGGAACTACAGGCATGCGCCACCAAGCCCAGATAGTTTTTGTATTTTTTTTTAGTAGAGACGAGGTTTTGCCATGTTGACCAGGCTGGTCTTGAACTCCTGGCCTAAAGTGATCCACCCACCTCGGCCTCCCAAAGTGCTGGGATTATAGGTGAACCACCACACCTAGCCTAAACATTATTTCTCTTCGAAGTTTTCTCTCTTGTTTTTGCAAAAATTCCAGAAGCCACCTTGTTAATACACCCACAACCTCTTTGATCAAATCTTGTTGAATAATATATTTGAAATTAATTTTCCACCATGAAATACAATATACATTTAAAATAGTATATAGAGGATGTGTGCAATCTGAAGAAAGATCATAAATTAAAAATCCAGGGGCATAGAATTCATAAACAGAATATTACTAGTACCTTAGAAGCCTGTGTCACATCCTCCTCTCTTCCCCCACCTTTAAAGGTCACTGTCACTATCAGGAAATCACTATCCTGAATTTTATATACAATTTATTTCTACCCTTTTACCATAGAATTTTAGCTTGTTTTTTGAATAGTCCAGAAAAATAGACAAATACATGTATAGCCCTCCCTAAGAAATTTAATATGTATTCTGTTTTTGCTTGGAAATTGTTAGGTTTTTTTGAATCTGTGGATTATCATCTTTCATTTCCAGAAATTTTCCAGCCATCGTCTTTTCAAATATTAATTCTGCCCCGATTCCCTCCTTCTTCTCCTTCTATACTTTTTAGGCATGAGTTAAATCTCCTTTCCCTCAAGGTCACTTAAACTTTTTCCATATATCGCATTTTTGTCTTTCTGTGCCGCATTCTGGATAAGGTTTTCTAATTCACTAATTCTCTCTCAGCTATGTCTAATCTGCTGGTAAACTCAATTGTTGAGTGTTTTATTTCAATTATCTTAGTTTTGATTTTTGAAAGTTTGGGCCAGGTGCAGTGGCTCACGCCTATAATCTCAGCACTTTGGGAGGTCAAGGCAGGCAGATCACTTGAGGTCAGGAGTTCGAGACCAGCCTGACCAACATGGTGAAACCCCGTGTCTACTAAAAATATAAAAATTAGCAAGGCATGGTGGTGGGCACCTGTAATCCCAGCTACTCGGGACGCTGAGGCAGGAGAATCACTTGAACCCAGGAGGCGGAGGTTGCAGTGACCCAAGATTAGGCCATTGCATTCCAGCCTGGACGACAAGAGGGAAACTCTATCTCAAAAAAAAAAAAAAAAAAAAAAGATTATTTTTTAAATCAGTATACTTTCAGCAAGTAGATGACCCTCCATGATGTGAGTGGGCCTCATTCAATCAGTTGAAGGCTTTAAGGAAAACAGACTGAGGTCCTGCAAGGAAGATGAAATTCTGCCTCCAGACTGTCTTCAGACTCAAGCTGCAACATCAGCTCTTCTCTGGGTCTCCAACTTTCCTGCCTGCCCTGCCAATTTTGAACTTGCCAGTCTTTGCAATTGCATGAGCTAATTCCTTAAATAAGTCAATCTCTCCCTCTCTCTCTCTCTATATATATATGTCTATAGACAAAGATACACACACACACACACACACACACACACACACACACACACAAATATCCTATTGTCTCTGTTTCTCTGGAGAACCTGACTAATACATGCAGCTTCTCTCTCCCATGCCGCATCAGTCAATCAAACCTGAAGCTCAAGTTCACTGGGCTCAGCAAATGCCTTCAAAGCCAAAGTTGGTTTTACTGCCTGCTTACAGTTGCACATTTCTACCTTCATTGGGTTTTTGGCCTGCATAAATCCTGCCTTCATGCCAGCCCAACAATGCTTTTAGGAATATTTTTTATATTTTATCCAAAATGTTTAATTGTTTCCCATGGGTGGGTTGGTCAGAGTGGCTCATTCTGCCATATGAGTACAGATGAAGTCAGTAAATGAGCTGCTTTATTGTGCTTTTCCTTAACTTACCTTGCAAACCATTTCATCATGAAATGTGGCTCATCCCTTGGTGACCTCTATCATCTGGGCATTGCTGAGTCATCTTCTTTTTGCAATACTCAACTTACTGCATCAAATAAATAATAATAGTAATGATTATAACTATATAAATCTGATTCAAAATCACCAAGAAGCAAGGTAAATCCTTCCTTGCTAAAGTTCTCTGATGGCTATGGAGTGTGGGGTTACACTGCATCACATTACGAACATCTTTTAACATTTCACTTTCTCTCCCTTCCCCCCTGGATGGAGGACTGTTTGCTCCCCGACACCTGCCATCTCTCCTTCCTCTCATGTTATCACCCCGCTTTCTCTCATCTCTTGGAGAGAGGAGGCGAGATGGAGAGGAAGAGGTAGATAATACTCAGAGATCATTGGAAGGTGTTACACCTGAATGGCCAGCATAATGTAGGTAGGATACCTGGAATAGGTGCTGGGGCAAGAAGAGCTTGATTTTAGACATACTGGACTCTAAAGACAGAGGGCAATGGGAAAAGACCGCCCAATAACTGAAAAAAGGGACCAAGAGCTTGAAAAGGGCATTTGTTCTTTCGGTAATTTTTTCTTCAGACCATGTTTTGTGAGACATGGAAACCATGCATGAAATGGCCTCTATTGCTGTCAGCTCTGACAGGCAGCAAAAGAATGAAGGCAAAGAAAGAAGAAAACCATATAGTTAAGCTGAGATAATAAAAACTTGTGCCTGGTTTCTGGAAGGCACCCAGAGATCCTTTTTACATGTTGTCCTTCTCAAAATTTATCTACTTAAAATCCTTACTTTGTAAAGATTGTCAGCTGTATCAGTCTGAAGCTCAAAGCAATACCACATAAGAAGACAAAGAGAATCCGACTATGTAACAGTCAGAACAAAGAGCCCCAACCAAGATATTTCCAGCCATGACAATGGCCAGATTCATCATTGCCAAACTTGAAAAGGCCAAAGGTCAGTTTGGGGGTTTTAAAATGTTTTTGACAAATATTTATGAAATAAGGGAAATTTCACTTGTTTAAAATATGTATGTGGGAGTAAAAACGGGAAAGAAATATACTACTATATAAATAATTGTTATCTATGTGATATGGTTTGGCTGTGTCCCCACCTAAATCTCATCTTGAATTCTAGTTCCCATAATCCCCACGTGTCATGGGAGGGACCTGGGGGGAGGTCATTGAATCATGGGGGTGGTTACCCTCATGCTGTTCTCGTGATAGTGAGTTCTCACGAGATCTGATGGTTTTGTAAGGGGCTTTTCCTCCACTTCGCTCTGCACTTCTCCTTGATGCCACCATGAGAAGAAGGACATGTTTGCTTCCCCTCCCACCAAGATTTTAAGTTTCCTGAGGCCTCCCCAGCCATGCTGAACTGTGAGTCAATTAAACCTCTTTCCTTTATAAATTACCCAGTCTCAGGTATGTCTTTATTAGCAGTGTTAGAACAGACTAATACACTATGTGTTATTACAAGTGATTTTGTCATCTTTTTATATTTCTGTTTCTAAATTTGGTGATAGATTGTAGTGCAATGGACAGAACTTGGGCATTGGAGCCTGCCAGACCTGGGCATTCATTACCACTATGCTCATTGGGTAAGAAACTTAACCCCTCTGAGCCTCAGCTTCTCACATGAAAAACAGAAATAATAATGACAGGGTTGATACTGGATTCAATGATAGGAAATGCTTGCCATAGAGAGTAAACAGGAATTATTATATGAACCTGCATTACATTTTAGGTGCTCACTCTTTCTCTTTCATTTTCTATTTTAATTCTTATTTTAAACAGTGCTATTTCCTTATAAGCTCAATTTCCTTCTTACAAAAGTAATATATCCTTCAGTAGTTTTTTTCAGCACAGTTCATTGTAAACTCTTTCAATCTATTAGAAATTACTTTAAATTTACATTCACTCTTGAAAAACAGTTTTGAAGGATATGAAATTCTAGACTGACTTTTTTAAAATCAGCACTTTGAAGACATTATTTCCTTTTGGCTTCTATCATCATCTTTGAGCACACTACTGTGAATCAATTTTGTTTTTCAGGTAACCCATTTGTTCTCTCTGGTTGTCTTCAAGATGATCAGTTTTGCAGATTTTTTTTAGATGTGTGTGCATGTGCATACACATGCATGATGTGAAATATATACACAGAATTGCTTAGAATCTATCTGGGCAGTTTAACCACAATCCAAAGTCAAGAAAACAGAATATTGTTGGCACCATGGGAGGCTCCTGTACCTCCTTCTCCCCTAGAAGTAACCACTATCCTTACTAAATGATTTGGTCATTTCCTGTTTTTTGAAACTTTCAGATTTGTATCCAACTACAAGTTACAAAAGCCAATCTAAGTTTTGAAAGGTCCTGTATAGCACAGTGCTGATGGAACAGAAACTGGTAACAGTGGTTATCTCTGGGGGTGGTGGGGGTACTTGGTGGCTAGAGAGTGGTGAGAGGGATACTTGTCACTATACATTCTTATACCTTTTGGAATTTAATACCATATGCATATATAACCCTTTCAAGAAGATAAATTAAAATGTAAAAGAAAATTAAAAGGATATTAACAGTTAATCACATGGAGCTAAGCAAAAAAAATAATAATAATAAAAGTCCTTCATGTAAATTAAAATATTAGAAGTAATTAAGTTGGATAAAATATGAAACATCTGGAGGCCCAGTGGCTCACACCTGTAATCCCAGCACTTTGGGAGGCCAAGGCGCGTGGATCACCTGAGGTCAGGAGTTTGAGACCAGAATGGCCAAGATGGTGAAACCCCGTCTCTACTAAACATACAAAAAATTAGCCAGGCGTGGTGGCGGGCACCTGTAATCCCAACTACTCCAGGGGCTGAGGCAGGAGAATTGCTTGAACCTGGGACGCAGAGGCTGCAGTGAATGTAGATCGCACCACTGCACTCCAGCCTGGGCGACAAGAGTGAAACTCCGTCTCAGAAAAAAAAGAAACACCTTCTTGAAAGCATTTAAACAGCTAGTAAGATATTGAGGATGCAATGGGTCAAATATCTAGCAAAAGCAAAGAACCCCAAGAAGTAAACCACTGAGCATTCAAAGCCACTCTTTCATCCTAAGAATATTTGTCAAACCTGAAGGAAAAAAGACTGTGATACAGGATAGTATTTTGGCAGACTCACAAGGCCAGAAAGGCAAAAGTCAGTTCTCCCCACCCCCTCCAACAAAGAGATTCTCATAAACCATCCCCTCTCTACTTGTAACCCCAAAGGGCTACACCTTCCAGACACAGGCCCTGACCTGGACATGCAGCACATCAAGCCACCAGAGGGATCCAAAACCCTCAAAGCTTGAATTTAAATCAAGGTGCTCCAAGACTAGCTGTGCCCCCAGGCACCTGCCAGAAGAAAATGAAAATCCCCCAAGATACCATCATCCTGGGCCTTTGCTCTGGGATTTTAAATCAAGTTCTTTTGACCCCAGAGCCCAGGTTCTTAACAACTTCACTAAACGACTGTGGAAAAAATTAAGTAGTGTGTGGGAAAGGACGTGTTGGAACACAAAGGTCACCTAATCCAAAGTTATAAGCTGTTTGGATTTCTTATCAAAACTTGCAGGAGTGATCAGCCAGCACTGTGGAAACCTCTCCAAGGGCCAGAAATGCTCCTTTTCATTAAGGGGGTCTCGCCCATATTGCAAAGCTCCAATTTTTAGAGCACAAGCTGAAATCCACTGCTAATTTCTCCTCATGGGACCTCATCCCCTCCACTAGGGTCACAGGTTTTAATCTGTCTCCACTAAAAGCACTTCATATATTTAAAGGCAGTTTTGAGGTTACTCCTACATCTCTCCTTCTTTAGGCCAAACAGCCTTTTTGTCTTTCACTGAACTCATTTAATACATTTTTAGCTCCTTGGCCTCATTAGACAGTCATGGATGTGGATGGTTCCATGTATCTCTGTCCTTTGTAAAATGGTATCGGGAACTAAACACAATACTCTAGGCATGGTCTGGAAAGCACAGTGTCAAGTGAAGACGATCATCCGCCATGCCTTGGACTTAAAACCGGTGACTTGTGGTGTAACAAACTACAAACACTTTCTTGGACCACCTGGCTGACAGCCAGCTAGATGTGTGTTTCTCAGGATGTGTCACTTCTCTTCATGCTCCAGCCAAACTGGTCTTTGGTTTTCCAAAGAAGTCCTATACTCCCGGGCATTTGTGCATGGTTTTTCTCTAGTGGAAACCTCTTCTCCCCACCTGCCCTTCTCACCTCCACCCTCCAACTCCCCTTGTCTGGTTCCTACTCAGTTCAAACCTAGCTTAAGCCTCAGAACGGCTTTAGGGAAGCTTTGACTAGATTCCCGTCTTTAGCTTCCGACACCTTTGAACAACAGTAATTAAATATTTACCTCACTTCATTATAAGGTTGATGAGAAAATAATGATTTCATTATATGGCATTTTGCTTAAAGTTGCAGTTTCTAAGATCCTCTCAATGACGTAAGCGAGGACTTCACTGTATACAGTCACTCATTTAATGACTCTCTGCTTCACTAAACAAGAAGCTCCATAAAGGCACGGACTATTTTCATCTCCTACCACTCTGTACTTATGCAAGACCTAGTATTTACCCCACCTTATTAGAGCACTTAGCCATTTGGGTCTATGAAGGCCTAATTGGATCTGTCTTCCCACATACTGTCTCACCAGCTCTGTATCACTGCAGACTTTGTCACTCAACCAAGGGCCCCCTCCTTCTGGAAGCCATGGCTTCTCAGGGTTCAAGGACAGTGAAGTCCACTGGGTTTCAGATTAAGCAGCTTAACCTCCCAGCGTTTGTCACAAGCCATCTAAAGTTGACTCAAAGAAGATTTATAGGTTGGAAACGCTATTGTAACATCACGATCTCCTGGAATCCACATTCACCTGCCACAGCCACCCACATCCCGTTATAAACAGAAAAGAGGTTAAGAGGTTAATTGTAGATTATTAGTGGTTCTGGTGGCCTTTTTTTTTTCTGATAGCCTTGTGACTCCTCAAAAGTCCACAGCATTTTAAGCTCTTATAGGATTTAAGCTCTTATAGGATTCCTTAGCATCAGTTCCCATATATTTAGAAGTCCCGGTTCATATAATTTACTAAGTAACAGGGAAATAACTAAGTTTATATCAAGAAAGCCATAAAAATATAGTATTTGAAGGAAAATATTCAAGTCCTAGTTATAAAATGGCAGTATGTAAACACAGAACCTCCCCACCTTTGGAGGAGAATGTCAAATCTGTGGCTGGTCAAAGGACAAAGGGAAGAAATAGACTCAAAAGTCTCTTATCCGCTCTCCCAGTTCATTTCAACTGTTTGAATATTATCCCTCAGTATAGTTACTATGTAATAACTCTAATGCTTTTTGACATCCTTGAGGAGCTTACTCCAACAAAATCTTCACTCCACGGCTGGATAAAAAGGCCATACATGAAATGGCCTATGACACTGATATGATCAGGATGTGTCCTCACCCAGATCTCATGCTGAATTGTAATCCTCAGTGTTGAAGGTAGGGCCTGGTAGGAGTTGATTGGATTATAGGGACAGTTTCTCATGAATGGTTTAGTATCATCCTCTTGGTATTGTCCTCACAATAGTGAGTTCTCACAAGATCTGATCATTTAAAAGTGTGTAGCACCTCCCCCATCCTTCTCTCTTGCTCCTGCTCCCACCATGTGATGTGCCTGCTCCCCCTTTGCCTTCTACCATGACTGGAAGCTTCCTGAGACCTCCCCAGAAGCAGATGCTACCATGCTTCTGCAGAGCCTGCAGAACTGTGAGCCAATTAAACTTCTTTTCTTATACTCAGTCTCAGGTATTTATAGCAATGCAAGAACTAATATAGACACATAGCACTGACCTCCAGGTAGACAATGATCTATTAACCACAAGCCTTTGGGAACACATTTCTCAAAACGTTAGGAAGCCAGTTATTCATTCCTTCTCTCCATATAAAAATGCCTCAATAAAATCTAGATACTGTATCTCTCATCCTCTAATATGTCAAAATAACTCTACTGAAAATAAAGTGTAAATCTGATAGACTCTGCTCTTGGTAAACCTATGCTGGCTCTCCCTTCTCCACATACTTAAAAAAAAATAAAACTATGCTTTTAACAATTACTATTTGTTTTCTACTCAGGAGCAATAAACTCAGCTTTTATAATTTCTAGAATGTTCCTCCCCTCTTTGAGCAACCCTAGAGAATGAAAGAGTCACTAGAATGTTGTTCAGATTTTCTAAGCACATTATCTTATCTGCTTTAAGTCAGTGGGTGCATCTCAACTGTCTACAAGGCCCCAGCAGGCAACAGAAATGAGGGAATTGGAGTAAGTCATGCCAGAGGCAAAAAGAGAACTTACTCTGGGATTAAAGGGGCAATCACTATTCAGCTCCTGCTAAATTGTTGCCATATAAGAGCCCAGTCACTGCTTCAGAGCTTTCAATTGTTTCAAGAAGATGAAAATACAAAACTTATTTAAATGTGAAATCTTTATTTTTAAGTTTGGTAACTATTTTTAAAAGATTCTACACCAGACCAAAACATACAGACGGGCAGAATTCAGTACACAGAAGTCTGGTTTTAATCCCGTGCTTTAACAAATTCATTTAGGTGTCTGTTTAAAAGGGGGTAGGGGTGCAGAGGGATGAGTTAAACTCAAAATTGGGGCTTCAACCCCCTCTTGAAACTGTTTTTCACTCTCTCCAGTCTAAAGTATTACCCTCCTTGACCAAAAGTTAAAATGAGAGGTGACTATAAAATTACAAAGGATAGAGAAAAAAGTGCAAAATATACTCTTTATTGTTCTTGCTGTAAACTCAATGACGCAAAAACACTGATTTTTACTCTTTGTATTATAGGAACAACAGTACATTCATCCTTAGATAAATGACCTCTCCATCTCACACTTTAAAAAATCTGAGGTAATTCAAGCCCTGTCCCTCACCTTCCTCTCTGTCCTAGCTAAGATACAAATCACATATGATCCCTCTGTGTAAAACTGTCAAATGTCCTTTGCCACATTTCCCATTCTTTTTGAGCCATACTTCCTTTTTGGCATTATAATCTATGGAATCTTGCTTACTTCTTCTCAGCACTTTTGGTTTGCTTAGTAACTGGGGTGCACTTACAACCAAACCTTCTCATTGTTTGCTATTATTTCCTAGCATTTTAAAACATGAAAAAAATTTTAAAACAATTTCCTAATTTCTGGGCTTAAATTACATTAAGATAGGGCACAGTAAAACTATTTGTATGATATTACAGTTATGTACATATAATTATGTATTTGTCCAAACCTACAAATGCACAAGAGTGAACTCTAATGTCAACTATGGACTGTGGATGATAATGGTGTGTGTGTCAACGCAGGACCACAGATTGTAACAAATGTCCCACTCTGTTGTGGGGTGTTGACACCGAAGGAGGCTGGGCAAAGAGGGTATACGGGAGCTCTGTATTTTCTGCTCAATTTTGCTGTGCATCTAAATAAAAGTGCTCTAAAAATGGTCTATTTAAAAGGAAAAAAATTCTTAAGACAAAGTCAGATCCATTAGTAATTAAAAAAAAAAAAACCCAGCAGCTTTTAAGTTATCTTGTGTACATGGTTTAACAGAGGTATGGTCTTATTATGGAAAGAGTGTTCAAACCAGGCCAGAAGAATTTCATAGCCATGTTCATATTCAAGGCAACCATAATATTCTACTTTGCAAAAACAGGTTGGGCAACCAGCCTTTTAAGTCACTATGTCTGCATTTGGGGTATCTATAAGTAGGTAGAATCTAGTGTCCAATTGGAAATATTTCTAACTTCTCTTGTTCTCAAAACCATGATCTAGCACTTCAGTCCTCTTATGTGGTCTTCTGTCATAGCAGTCCCACTCAGTACAGAGCAGTTAATGAGATATTATAGAATGAAAACCAAGACCAGGTATTTCTTAAATTTATTGAAGAACTCTTAGCTGGGAGAAGAAAGATCACAGGCTTAAACAATTGTAAGATAAAAGAACAATTAATTGCAAATAATTACAAAAGTAATTTCTGAAATTTTTTGAGCCACTGCTGAAACAAAACTTTAGTGCATCTCAAAGTTCGTATTTTGTTAAGTGAACATATTAAATTACTGAAAAGCAAAAAAGAGTTACTGTTACACAGTACAAGATCTTAATATAGTAACTGAGCACAGCCAAATAAACAGCTATAATTATTCCAAGCTGCTTTTGCTATGTATCTGGTATATTAAACAAGAAAGTGGATTACTTTTAACACTGCACAAGTAACCAAAGGTAGCAAATCCAGCAATATTAAAACCGGATATTAAATAGTATTCAAACATTACAACAAAAACAAAATAAGAACTTCTAGAACTAGAACTCTACCCTATGAAAGGAATGTACACAGATGGTTAAAAAAAAACCAATAAATAAATAAAGTGACAAGAGTGACTAATTCTGTATCCACATCTTCAGAGCAGGAATACAGTAAATGAGTAAATGCTTAGAGGAGTCTTGCTGAAAATGAGAAAAAATGCATCTCACTTTAGTATAATTTTTCTAAATTCTCACTGAAGCTCTAATTCTCTTGTGCTGGTGACAGGTGGACAGGGTTTTTAAATGCAAAGTATTCTCCCTACACCCTGAGTATGGATGCATCAGTTGTTTAAAATTCTGTGGAAAGTTTCCTTAGAAAAACATAAAATTTAAAGTGATATACTGATGGGAAATTGAATATATTAATTGTGGAAGAATATCAGCTAACTAATTAACTAAGTAGACATTTAAATCTGGACTCTGTTGAAGAATCAAGGTTAAACTCTGCATTATGTGCACTAATGTCAGCCATCTAATATCAAAGTCAGATAAGTAAACTATCTTTCACTTTATACATAGTGCATTTAGTAAATAAATTCTCTTACCAGCAACATAAAGCCCTTGTTGGAGCAAAATTAAAGTATTAAGAATTGAATTAACTTACAACAAATATCTGAAGGGTAAGTGGAACATTTTTCAAAGTATAAAGATGTTATCACATATATTCACCATGAATCCTCTTAAAGGTTTTATAACACCATTAAATTATATCAAATATCCAACAGATATTGTCATTTTCTTCTGTGATTTATAAAGGAAACATTCCTTTTGTACAAATCAGAAGTATCTTAAAAATCAACCTTAACACCAAAATATACATGTAATTTTAACTTGGTTTAGGAAAACATGAAAGAACTGTCACATTTTGGTGTGAACAAGGTTCTGAAAACCCCCTATCAGAGGTCTCATTCACTTTTTTCCACATATCACTTGAAGGTTTTGAAACTGGTAAAAACAGAATTCAGCTCGATGTACATCAAAACTTTAACAGTTCTGAAAAAGACGTATTTCGTAAGGGCCAAAATGTACAGCACAGCAATATTACAATGTTACAGTATAAATATGTCAAGCCAATTTGTAATAAAATAAGACAGTTGTCTTCAAAAGAGCTGTTTGACTATAGAGCAACCAAATAGATCTAGAACATCTTTGGAAAAACCACAAAGTGCCTTTACAGAAAGTTAAGTTTAGACTACACTTAATTAAAAGATAATACTCTAAACTCAAAATTATTTTCTCTATATGAGGAATTTTGACACTTGTTTTCACACCTGCCAATATTCAATATTTTTAACTCACACTTCTTTTCATACATCTGCCAATATTTAATATTTTATTCTATGCCCCTGCACTGAATTGATGTAAGTGTGAAGTTCCACTATTATTATTACCACACATGCTAATACCTAATAACTGGTCTGTCATTATGTAGTGGTTAAATAAGCAAATGCTGAACTCAGCACAGCTCTAGCAAAATGCAAAGGAAATAAGAAAAGCCTCACCTCAGAATGATTACACCATAAACAGAAATAAACATTTTCAAACACAAAGTTTCACAAAATAATATATCATCACTTTAAAAGAAATTCAGAACTCTATTTTGCTGTTGATCAAACTTGTGCATACACTCAAGTTACTAAACACAATTTGATAGTTAGATACTTGTAAAAATGCATTCTAAACTTAATAATCAATTAATTCATAATTAACAAGAGCAAACATTCCTAGTCCTAACATTTAAAAAAACCCAGTCCAGTGCTGCCACATCTCAAGTTCTGAAAAGCTAAAGGCAGGAACAATTCTGGTTATACAATTCCTGCATTTCTCCACCTTAAAAAATACTTGAAGAAACTTTAGGAAACTTTATATTAAGGCTTGCTGTATTTCTGTATCTTAAATTGAGAAAAATCAAAACCTACGATGTAACCTCGAATTATTTAAATAGCTTTTGGCATTTTTCTTGAAAAGCAAATTTGAATCTTTCACTATAAAACATTTCTATACCACAATTACTAATTCACATTAATGTGTAAGTGCCCTCATTTCCTATTCCCTGGCAGGCGCTATGTCTTCTTTCTACGTTTTGTGCAGCTTTCAGAACAGTCAGTGCTCAGAAAAAATGAAAACGTAATGGAGCAAAATCAAAGTCCCCAAAAAAAGTGATTTATCCTAGATTACAAAATCCAGTAGTGGAAGAACCAACATTTACACACCCAAATACACACACACCCACACATACACAGGACACAGCGAGAGATGAGAGAGAGTGGGGGGTGGGGGAGGTGAGAGACAGTGGGAGGAGGGGGGAGGGGGAAGAGAGTGGGAGGAGGGGAGAGAGAGTTGCAGGGAGGGAAGAGAGAGACAAAAGCAAGACACAACCTTTGTCCTCTATTCATGTCAACTTGCAGTTTCTGGACACAAACTAGTAGGAAATGTAGAGCCCAGAAAGATCGTGTCAGAGAACTTGACGAGACAGTGTAGATATAGTTTATCTGGGTGGGGCGGGGTGGGGGGAAATCCCAATTTTTCTAAAACAAACAAACAAACAAACAAAAAAAACACCACATTCTTGGTAGAGGTTTTTTCAAAAATCCAACAATAAAAACTACTGGGCTTCTCTAAATGCATTTCCATATTAACATTAATTTTTAAAATTTCAACATGTTTTACAATTTAAGTTTTCACTTGTAAGATAAGTTGGGAACCCAAAATTGTCAAAAAAAATTTTAATTATTGTCAATAAAAATTCTTACTGCACAATCTTTATAGGCGTTTTATTTTAAAGCACCTTTTTAAATTTTAACAGTGGGTTTCTAAAAAGAAAACAGTAAAATAAAAGAGGGAACAAACTGGCAAGGTTAAAGTACTCCCTTACACACACACACACACACACACACACACACACACACACACACACCTTTCATGCCAGAATGACTGGCAGCATTGGCAAATAATGTCAATGAAAGGATGGGGGAAACTATCACTTATAGTGTTTATAGAAACCTAAAATACTAATGTTTCTGCTAAGAAATTAAATAGTTTGGGGAAATCAAAAAGCTACCAATAGCTGATCTATGAAATATGAAAATGAAACTGATTTTTAAAAACAGGAAAGGCCAAAAATCTACTAGAAATTTTTAAAAATCAGCCTCAATTTTATTTTCTGATGTCAGACTAGTTATTAATTAGATACCATTTGTTTGCAAAGGAGCAAAATTATAACTCTATCACTGGAACCTATCCTCAGCCACTTCAGTGCAGTTTCTAGCAGCACTATTTGGATACAAAAAGAATGTGGTCAGACAATGCCCCTGAAAACCCCCTGGTTAGACCTTCCTTCAAATACATGTTCTTAGGGTCTTGACACACTACACATGTGTATAGAAGAATAAATGAAGGTAGTATTTTGACAGATTACAAAAGTATGAACTATATACACCGAGTGATAACACAAAGCGCTCAGAAAGCTATATTTACTTGCCTCCCAACTGACTTACGATGTTAATATTCACTATTCAAATTTTATCCTAAACATCTTTATTGGCTTGTTCCCCTCCCCAAACAAATACTAAAATATACTGGTTTGGGGTTTGCTCTATGCATTTTCCAAGAGCCAATCAAACAGCGACTTGCATCTCTCCTCACTGGAAGCTTTTTCCATCACTTCATAGTATTGAAGCACAGCCTGCAGGAGGTCTCCCACTTTCCATCCTTTCTCTTGTAATTGTTTTGAAAGCTAAGAAAGAAAGATGTGTCAAACATTAACCAAAAACAATTTTATAACAAAGCTTTTATTTTTATTTTCAATATTAGCTGAAACTTAAGAATCCTGCTGTTTACAATTAAATACCGTTTCCTAGTTATAACAAGGTCTTCCCCTCTAAACCGCTACCCCTTTACCCAAATTAAACATTTTCCCTTCTTCCCCTTTATAAACACATCTCCTCCAGAGAATGACACTTTGGGATCGCTGGAGACAGAGCTCCACAAACCTCACCAAGCAAATAGTCTGCATGGACATGCAGAGGCTGAGTTTCTACAGGAAATTCTTCACCTAACTAAATACAACTGCCACACCCTCAATTAGGACATAAAATAATAAAGACAACGTCAAACTCAATAAAAGGATGTGGATTTTCCTTCCACAACATATAGTGTGGCATTTTTCTGGAATACACACTCTAGCCTCAATGGAAACATGGCTTTCTAAGTTAAAGAATGTTAATGTTTCAACAACAAAACAACAAATAAATAAATAAATAAATACAGGTTTAAATAAATCCTGTTGTCACCACTCACGACATGCTTTTGTTCATTTCTTTTTCTACTAAGTTCTGTAAAAGCTCTTAAGTTTTGAAAGATCTGTAAGTTAAATTCTGAAAAACTACTTTAATTTTGTGTAACATATATATGCTTAACCTTTTTAAAAACAGCTTTATTGAGATAAAACTCACATAACATACAATTCACCCAAAGTGTCCTAGTCAATGGTTTTTAGTATGTTCTCCAAGTTGAATGCAACCAACACCACAATTCGAATATTTCTACCACCCCAAAAGGAAAGTTCTGATAAAGAAAATTATGGAACAAAAACCTTAAGACTGTAAACTGAAAATCTTGACTAATAAGGTACTTGGCACATAGTAAGCATCTTGTTTAAACTTTTATCGGCTTTTAATTATGACAGCTGCTCATACAAATGAAACTGGATTATCAGAGAAACAGATATATTAATCATTAGGTACAATTACAAATCAATTAAATACAGAGAATAATTCAATTTTTTCATAGGAACACACACAATGCTTATTAATAGCATCTACCTTTGAGAGCTTAGTGTTATGCCAGGCATTAGACCAAGCATTTTTTTTAACATTATATTTAATCCTCATAAACCCCTGTAAGGTAGATTCTATATTCATTTGCATAGTGCAGTTAGGGGCAATGAGACAGACTGGTGAACCTGCCTCTGGTTATACTGCTAGAAAGTGGCAGAGCTGATGTCTGAACCCAAACTGTTGGACACTACAGCCTAAGAATTTAACCATCACCAGGCATCTTGTTAGACCAATCACATGACAAGAACATCATATACTGTTAAATGTATCCTCACACTCTGTAAGGTAGGTACTTACTAGCATAAACTCCTTATTTGCAGAGTCATGAAAATAAAGTTCTGCAACTTCAGCCTCAGAGGCAATGAGCCACTGAAGAATAATCCTTAGCTGGGGGTCTACCGTGCATGGCTCCATGTCAATATTCGTAATTAGCAGTGTCTTTCCATCTTGCCCCAAACCTAATATTTAAATGTAAACAATATAAAGTAAAACTCATCAATTTAACTCTCAATACTCTGGTTGTCAAGTAGATACAAATATTTTCTGGTTCTTAGGATTCTAATGAATGGTGAAAAAAATATCCATCTTTTTCTAACCACACCATAACCTCAACTAAAACTTCTAAAGGGCAAAATAATGTAAAACAAAGGAATAACTTTGATCATTTATTGATTGCAAAAATATAAAACATCATTTTAACATACTGAATTCAAGTTCTATAAATGCCATAATTTGATATAAATTATGACCAGTGGGTTAGAGAGAAAATAAAACTATAAAGCTATCATTACAATAAAAATAAAAATGAGGCTGGGCATGGTGGCTCAGGCCTGTAATCCCAGCACTCTGGGAGGCCGACGTGGGCAGATCGCTTGAGGCCAAGAGTTCGAGACCAGCCTGCCCAACATGGTGAAACCCCAGCGCTATTAAAAATACAAAATCCGGCCAGGCGTGGTGGCACATGCCTGTAGTCCCAGCTACTCAGGAGGCTGTGGCACAAGAATCGCTGGAACCCAGGAGGCAGAGGTTGCAGTGATCCGAGATTGCACCACCCAGCCTGGGCAACAGAGCAAGACTTTGTCCCAAAAAACAAACAAAACCCCACAAAAAAACAGAAATCTCAAATAAAGAAGAGCAGCAACATCTGTGCAGCACATATTCCATCCTAAGTATTGTTCTAAGCTCTTTATATGTACAAACTCCTTTAATCCTCACAACCACTCTATGAGGTAGAAACTATTATTGTCTCCATTCTACAGGTGAGAGATCTGAGGCAAAGAGAGCCCCAGAGTCTTCCAGTGGGGAAGTGGCTGAGCCAGGACATTTACACAGGCAGTCTGGCTCCATGCTCTTAATCTCTCATTCTTCAGACAAAAGTGGGGGGAAATGCCATATGCAACCACTTACACCCAAAAGCCAGATCAGGGAATTTTCTGGTATACTTCTAGTCTCAAGATTATCTCAAATTTATTTTCTTTTTTTATGATAATTATGTTTTCATCACAAAGAGGGATCCATCTCTGTTGACAGAAATAATGACTTATGGGCCAATATCATGCGTTTAACATTCCTGCTGCTTAATGATACCTGAGCAATAAGGAGTGCTGAGACCAGGACCCCTCCACCCCTTAACACACACCACAAGAGGTGAGCACCAGGGCATGCTGGCAGACATCATGCCAACATGTACCAGTAATGGAAGGTTGTTGACAGATGTCTCTGATTCTCTGCTACAGCTTGCAGGCCATTCTAGACCACTATTAATTATTTTTAGGAGTTGTGTTGGTCCCTAATTTTTAATTAAAAAGATTTGGTCCACATTACTCTCTAAAAATAAATGTATTGTCTCTTCCCTCCCCTCTCTCCAACACTCTCAATCAAAAATAGGTTTGGCATACCATGGTACAAGGCATGGTCTCTGGGCCTTTCTGCAATCCTGAGGAGTTCAGGGGGCTAGAAGCTAATCATCCCACTGCTTCTTTGCACTGCTGGTGTTTTCTCAGTTCAGGACTCCTGGTTGCCTGGCCTACAAGAACCTCCAAACGGCTCTCTCTTTAGAGAAGTCTCTAACCATTAGTGAAAAGGGGAGGGACTGACATCCTGCAACTACAAAATTATTTTTTTAAAAAAATAAGTTTGTTGCCTTGGGATTTCCATAATTTTGAATCTTTCTATAAATCCAGACCAATCTAGCTCCTAATTTACCAATCTCTAACAAATTTAAAGCTGGCTGTAACTTTCTATATAATGAGAAATACCTATAATCTCAAAAACTCAGTAATGACATATCAACATATAATTAATCTCCTGATTTCTACCAACTACAAAAGAAATCCTTAACAGCCTGGTTAGTGCCAAAAGTAATCTTTTTCAAGATAAATTTCATATTTACATTAACTTGTATCTTCTTTTTTCTTAATCATTCCTCAGTAAAGCTAGTTAAACAATCGCTAGTTCATTAGAGAATACGTAACCACATGCATTTATACGATGTATAGCCTTTAGAATAACTGTTCACAGATGTTACTTGAGAAAAGGCATAACTTTTATAAACAAAGTCAACACTTTTTTAGTGAACAAGAATGAAACAAATATTGCAGTGGGGAATATCAATATCAAATATCAATAACACTAAAAATATTGCCCCATCTCGACTTTATATCTGATGAGAAAAACTGACTTCTAGAAGCCTTATATAAAGAATGTCTACTTACAGAGGCATTAAAACTAAAAAATAATAATCTTAAGTCTGAAGATTACAGCTTAAAAACTGGGATGTGACTTCCCTAAACAAGGTGTTAAACTAACTGAAAATTCAGGTGTCATAAAGTAAATTTCGAGAAATTCTTTTTAGCTATTTTCTGTTTGCCTGCTTCTAGAGAAGCAATTTTTAAAACATCACTAGTTCAAAAACAAATATCTCAAAGAGTACAAATACTTTTATAAGTGCACTTTATAGAAGACATTATTGGTATTTTCAAAATTAAGAAAAAAATTAGACTTTCAGAAAAAAATTCAACAACCGCCTGAATATAATGAAAACTCAGCTTCAAAGTAAAGTTTCTAAATTCACTCAGATGAATAAACTCAGATACTCTAACATGAATTAAGGATTACAAACTATGGTCCAAAACTCTGTGGCCAGTGATATCTAGTATTGACATACTTGGAACTATGTTCATTAAGGAAGGATCTGAGTATTTTCTTCAAATATGTGTATGCGTGAGTGAAGCACTGGAACTGGGGGAGGGAAGAATAATTAATTTAGAAATATCTTTTAGAAAACAAGGTAAGTAAAAATATTACTTACTGACTCACGTAAGTTTGACATGAAACCCTGGTTCTACAAGTTACCAGTTTGGAAGGAAAATATTATGAAAATAATATGCCATAGTTATAATAAATTATCTTATAACATGAGTAAGAATTTTAGCTTTTGTATTTTGAAAATAATTATGTAGAGAGACTGTAATTAATCTCTCTCAAATAGTCAAATAATTCTCATAAAGTATTCCTTTTTTTTTTTTTTTTTTTTTTTTAAGTCAGAGTCTCTGGCTCTGTTACCCAGGCTGGAGTGCAGTGGCATGATCTCGGCTCACTGCAACCTCTGCCTCCCAGGTTCAAGTGAATCCTGCGCCTCAGCCTCTCAAATAGCTGGGATTACAGGTGCCCGCCACCACGCCCAGCTAATTTTTGCATTTTCAGTAGAGATGGGGTTTCACCATGTTGGCCAGGCTGGTCTCAAATTCCTGGCCTCATGCGATCCACCCACCTCAGCCACCCAAAATGCTGGGATTATAGGCGTAAGCCACCGTGCCTGCCCAGTATTTCTTTATACCAATGACAATTTCATTAGTGTAGCAATCAAATAAAACTACTCAACAAAGGATCTAAAAGTGGACAAACAAAATTAGTTCAAGAATACCCTGATTTATAATGTTTTACACTGATAACCTAGAGCCTATCTGATGAAAATGCATAAAGACTCTTCTAGGAAACCTTATACAAAACACATGCCAACACTTTGAAAAACAAATCAAATTACCTTCTACTTCGTCCTCATGCTCTTCATCTTTATCATCTGGTCCATCACTTATGAATAAAATAGCAGAAGCAGTTACAAAAAAAATTTAATTAATAATGGTATCAAAACAAATTCTTAAAAATGTGGTAATGAATGAATGTTACAATATGACATATGACATTTAGAAAGGGGAGAAATGACAATTAAAAAAGGAAGCTTTGCTTCTCACATCATTTCATGTTAAAATCTGAATTGCAAATGATCCCTAAAGTTATCAAAACCAAGAAATCCTACCTTACCATGATACATAGTGCCATGTAATTTCATAATATTCAATTTAAAATCATTTAAAGTTGAAATAGTCTACTAATTTAATGTAGCATTTGAATATTACAAAATGCCAGGAATATTTGTTAATGGTTTAGCTGATGCAATTTATATATATTTTTAATACAGTAAAAACACTTTTTACCTATACTTTTCTTATATATAAAATAAAATCACACACAAAAATAAAACATAACAAAAAAACCCAACAGAAATCCTGTAGGAAGCAAGCTCTTTTGAATGAAATAATTGGTAGAATGAAAAATAGCAAGCAGAGCAACACATGCATAACAGTGACACATTTTGCAATTAGATGTCAGTCATATCTTAGCACAGTTGAAGTTTTTCATTAGATGTGAATTCATCAAGCAGAATCATGTCAAAATATAGGAGAAAAGCAGGTTGATACATACTGGCACTGTAACCCACATTCTTTGAAGAATATGACATCATGCATTAGTGGTGACAGACTCATCAGTTTTTAAGTTTCTAGACTGGACCAACCTGTCTGATGTTGGAAAGGATAAATTGTCCTCATACAAATCTCCTTCTAAACCAAGACTGCTCCAGCTACTGCTGTTACCATTACTGCCAGAGGAAGAAAAGAACAGAGCTGAACTAGAAAATGAATAGTAGAAAAGACCTTTGTTTCCTCGGAACAGCTTCTGTCCTTGATAACTGCAGATGTTCTGAAGCTGCCACAGTGAAGGGGAACATCCAGAGAGGAGATTGACCATCACTCCTATGCTAAAAGGTGCCTGACAAGTTCAGAGATTCGGGAGTTTTTTCTTTCTTCTCAACAGATCATGAAAATTATCTAAACTTATATTTTACAGATTAACAGAATGACTTTTAGGACAGCAAATGAATGCATGAAGTAATAAGTTTCACAGGAAAATTAATGTCTTAGGACCAATCTTGAACTATAATTTGTGAAATGCCAATACCTTTCTATTTGGATAAAGTTAAAAAAAACAGGTTAACATTCTCTCAGGTCTTTAGATAGTGCAAAACAGTGACAGGTATGGGTGAGGGGATGTTGGGGGGAGATGGGATGGAAGACTCTATAAAGACATAGTCCCAAACAGACCTTTTCTAACTATTTGGGCAAAACATGTTCTCAGATTTTAAAATACTATTATGTCAATTATCTTCATTTCATATATTATGTATAATTCAGTAGATGGCAAATAACAAACATTTTCTTCAGAATACAGCTAGAATAGCCAAGGCTTAATCAAGCATTACACTTGTCTAGTTGGCCAGTCACAAATGCCACATACAGATAATGTCTTACACTACCTAATCAACTGAAGAAGAAAGCAACTACTTTCTAAAACTGCAGCAAAGCAATTTTTAAAAAAAGCAACCATGTTCAGAAATAAAATTAAATTCAAATTTTCAGATTAAAACCCTCAGCATGCAATTTAAAAATTCTAATCATTTCTAATTATTAAACATTAGTAAGCACATTAGTTTGCAGTGATAAGCAGCGATTTTTCCCAATATTATGCTAGGCAATTATAAAAAGTAATATTTATACAAACCAAAATTTTGGTTCTAAAAAAGTAAACATAAAATCATTTTATGTACATCAGTAAATGTTGGTATGGTTAACAAAAAAAGGTGATTACTTCAAGTTCTAAAAAACTTCCAAGCAATCTCAAATAATTTGCATAGTTATATTCACTCTAACATGATCAAACTGTCACAAATCATGATGTATTAGAGAGTAAAAGTTAAAACTGAGCAGGGTCTTTTTAACATATGTTCAAACAAATATAGCTCTATTATAAAACTGTTAAAACCCATGTAGTTCATTGTCAGATAAACTAAAAATAAGAAAATATACAAACAAAGAATGGACAGACAGCTGTGAGCAAAGGAGAAAAAGAAAATTAATCATCTCAAACACTCTATTTACTTCTATTAATAGAATGATTATAACAAAAAAATATAAAATTTTTCTACCCATCACACAGATTCTTCCACTTAATAAAATCCATCACCTACCTATTACATAAACATTAAAAAAAAACAGCTAAACGAAGTAAAGACTAAAAATTCAAATTCCCTCTAACCTTATCACCCCTCCCTCTTTGTGCCTCCAAATGGGTATTTGAAGTCATTCTTCATAAAATGCCACTTCTAACTAGGTGACTGTATACATTTTTCATCTAACCAGGACACTTTTTTAAAGACCTCACCGTTAATAATTACAACAGAACAGCAGAAATAAGCCAAACTATCCTAAGTGGGAAGTATGATCACCCTGTATTAACCCAACATTTAAAAAACTTAATTTCTTCACTTAAGAGTTTTCCTACTTCACTCTTGAAACACTACCCTGCTTCCATCACTTTCTTTTATGTCTTTTCATATTTCCTATGTCTAGCACAGGAGTACTCCAACCAGTGGTATAAGTACTACAGTGGTCCAGTACTGCAATGCTTTATTGCAGCTTTTAGCCATATCAAGACTGGTCTTGATTGTGATACATCTTATAAAAATTATCTGAAACATTCTGCAAATCTGGCCCCATCCCTTAACCTAATCTAATTCATAATTCCTAAGAGAATAACAAACTACCTAAATATTTAAGACAGTCACAGACAGAGACCAGTTCTTTTCTGATCAAATAATTATATAATCCTCCTAAACACTTTTGAAAATCTGAAATTAGTGTGTTTTTTAGTTGTTGCCCTCCACTGAACTTCCTGCTTATAATGAAACTGGCAAGGTGTTTTCAAATTGTCACAGTCTTTTTTTTTTTTTTTTGACGGAGTCTGTCTCTGTCGCCCAGGATGGAGTACAGTGGCACAATCTCAGCTCACTGCAATCTCTGCCTCCCAGGTTCAAGCAATTCTCCTGCCTTAGCCTCCCAAGTAGCTGGGATTACAGGTGCCTGCCACCACGCCTGGCTAATTTTTGTATTTTTGGTAGAGACGGGGTTTCACCATGTTGCCCAGGCTGGTCTTGAACTCCTGACCTCAAGTGATCCACCCCCACCCCCATTGGCTTCCCAGAGTTCTGGGATTACAGGCGTGAATCACCGCGCCCAGCCCAAATCGCCGAAGTCTTTATCTCCTACCTTGATCTCTGTAGCAGAAAAGAACAGTATAGATATCAATTGTCATCAACAGATGCAACATATCTTGTAAATCAATATATTTTCAAGTGAGGTCTCTGAATCACCTGCACTGAAATCATCTGTGATGCTTATCAAGCATGCAGATTCTCAGGACCCTTCACTGACTTCATAAATCTTCATCTCTGGAGGTGAGACCCTGGACACTGTATATGCAACGAGCACACCACCAATCCTGGATGAGCCCCGCTTTTTCTCTGTGCCAGAACCTTAATGCCACGCAGCATTACATTAAGTCACATTACAACTTTGGTCAATGGAAACACAGGTCTTTTTCTGACAAAATGCCATCAAGCCAGGTTTGCTCCCCACTTAAGTTCAAATATTAATCATTAATTTTCTGAGCCTAAATGCATTTATCCATGTTAAACATAATTATTTTAACCTCAGCTTGATTTGGTCTTTTTAACCTTTGTTCTGTTAATGAGATTCTTTTTTCAGCCTGTGTTGAATCATCCACAAATGAGTATTCCACATCATTAATAAATAATGCTAAGGAGGACAGAACCAAGGACAGAAACCGGTAAGACGACTCCTTTTTCTCATCAAATTAGATAATATTCAGCACAGAGTTGTTCAACTGACTACAAGTCCTCTTAATGCTTAAAGCCTCTACCCACACCTCAATCTCCCATTTTAACGCCAGGATTTCCTAGGCAACACTGTCAACCCCACTGAAATCATAGAAGCCTGTGTTTCTCAAAATGAGAGAAGAAACTAAATGTTAGTATCCTTTTCTAGATAAAGTTATAGAAAAGGGCCAAATCATGATTTGTGACATTGCCCCCACTTGCTTCTACCAGTTTTAAACACTGTCTTTTTGGACCTAGATTTTAAGAAATATTGGTGGTTTATATAGCACCATAATAAACTATGACAAAATATACTTTACAAAAATATTAATATTTCCAGGTTAATCCAAGCATCGAACAAAACTCTTCGAGATGAAGTGTTCTATCAGGTGAAAAGCCATTTCCTTTCCTTATGCTACCTCATTCCCTTTTCCAAGAGTTGCCTTCCCTCCCACACCTAGTTTGCCATTTCCAGGGGCTAAGTTCAACTGATGGTCCACAGGTCCTTTCCACACATGCCTGAAACCAGCAATATGCTAAGAACCCTTTCCTCCCTCAAGACTCTGCTACAAATGGTATCTATTATTTCCAGTTATCACTTAATGTGGATAAAGAGTTTATAGAATTTTATAGGTTAGTCAGAAATGCCTTTAGGTAGAGGTTAAGACTATAAGAAACAACTGTCTCATAATTAATAAAATATTTCAAACACCACTGTTATGAACAAAGTTAACTAAGAAAAGTTATATATGAGGTAAGTGCCTTGTGCTATACAAAATCACATTTTTATAATGGCTTTGACTTACGTATTTTCAATCATTCAAGCATAAGTCTTCCAGGTCATTTTGTTCCTAACAGCAGGACAAGCAGGGACCCTCGCCCCACCAAAAAGATACTATTTTAACTAATGTCAGGAAAAGTACAGGGCTACTTTGATGCCTTTTACAGATACCTGTCCTTTTTCTTGTTCTTTAAAGAAAAAAAAGTACCCTTTTTAAAGTGAAAAAAAAAATTTTTCCTCAGAAGTTCATAAAAAGTTTGGGAGAAGCTTAAAAGGCATAAAATTAAATGTATGCAATATTTTTCAAATCAACTATTGGCACACCCCAATAAAATTAGCTGGGCTACTTACTGTATTAAATAAGTGTTAAAAACAATTAGAAATACATTGTGAATAATAAAATACATTTTGAAAGTAATAGCATATTTTCAAATTTAGAATTTTTAAATAATAATGTAAATTTATAGCTCACTTCTAAGATCTGAGGACCTAAACTACACAATTATATGCAAAAGTGTAGTTACCTTTCACTTAGATGATGAAAACTGCTGCTTTCATCTTGGTGTTCATCTTCAAAACTTAAATTGGACCAGCTACCAGTGCTGTCATCACCAATACTGAGGTTCATCTGCTGGCTACTGACAGACTCGGTTGACTGAAAGTCTTCTATTTCTTTTGAACTAAAAAGAAGAAAAAAAGAAAAAAAATCAAATTGAAAGCATCCCAGATTCTGAACTTACAAGACTATCAATTTGATGACAAAGATGATAAAAACAAGAAATGGTATTCGGAATCAGACCAGTGGCTCATGTAATCCTTTATTTGAGTCTGCCAACAAACAGACTGTAGGATAGCGTATTAATTTCAAAGTTAACTGAGGTACCCACCAACAGCCATAACTTACTTTGTTAATCTACAATGGATCTATCCCTAGGGCATTATTTCTCTAAATTCTACTTAAAGCAGTTCATTTTTCAACTGAGATACCATGGGGCAGTACAAGTTCCTAAGTTATCATCTGCTTTGTAAAACAGTACTTTTATTTATGTTAAAGGAGTCTCTTTCTGGCTTTAAGAACAAAAAAGTCGTTCAAGAAATTCTAGTATTGTCAACCAAGCCTGTATTCAAACTAACCAAATCTCTTCAAGATTTTGAACATAGATCATAACCCCTTTCATTTTTCTCAATAAGAGGCATTTATACTTTTATTCCATCATCACAAGAAAGTCCATTCACTGCTCAACTATTTTAATTGTCCCACTACATTTTATGTTCAACAAAGTAGTTCAAAGTGATGTTTCCATAAAAAGAAAAAATGTCAGTCTTCGGATCAAAACCTTCCAATGGCTTCCCACCAAGCCGAAGAGCCCAAATCCTTAAAACATACTGCCTGTCCCCTCTTATAACATCCATCTGAACTCCTACTGTTCTCCCTGGCCCACTCCTCCTATGTTCTCCCTGGCCCACTCCTCCCACTTCAGCAATACAAGCCTCTCTGTTGTTTCCCAAACATGCACAGTCCCACCCCTAGGCCTGGAAATCTGTTCTCGGTGACTCCCACATGACTTATTCTCATTTCACTTTTGGTTTTTGGCTCAAGTATCACTTTGCCAGTATTGTTTCCCCTGCTACCTATCCAAAACTGTAAACCAGCCCTAATGGCCACCGCCACTGTCACCACCAGCACTCTCTAACTCCCTAACTCCCTACCTTGCTTTATTTTTCCCCCAAAGCACTTATCACTATGTGACATACTATATATTTTACTTACCTATTGTCTTATTCCACTATAACATAAGCTCCAAGAGAATGCAGATTTTTGCCTGTTTTACTTACTTCCGTATCCCTAGTGCTATCCTGAGAATAGCCCCTGAATTGCCCCCCATTTTTTCAGCTATTCTAATTTTGTAAGATACAGAATGATACTGAGCATTCCAAGCATAGGCACATTATAGTTCTGAACCATTGATAGATTACTACTTTGTTTTTTTGAATACTTTTCCTAATATGTGCCACATTCTCATGGTTTTTGGCTGAAATGACCCAAAGGATGAGGTCCAGAGAAGAGTTTATAATGACTGTGAGGTTATTTTGGCTCGGAATGATAGCTTAGAATATAATCGTTTTGTTGGCTAAAAATGCACTATCAGCCAGGCACGGTGGCTCATGCTTGCAATCTCAGCACTTTGGGAGGCTAGGGCAGGAGGATTGCTTGAGCTCAGGAATTCAAGATCAGCCTGAGCAACATAGTGAGATCTCATCTCTACAAACAAACAACAACAAACAAAAATGAATAAAAATGTACTATCACATAATTTCCCAATTGCATTCACATGCCACCTCTCTGTTCATTACAGTTTGTGAAATATTTATGGTCATGTTCATGAATCAAACAAAAAGGGACATCAGGTGAAATAATACCTTAAAGAATAATCCATCTGAATGAATCTCCTTTCAAGTTTGAAAGACAAATTTAACTTTAGAAATAAAAAATGTTAAACGTAAACTCTACACACTAGAGTCAGCTTTCCTTAGTCAGTATTTACAGAACCCTAGCACAATTATTAAGAAGAGAAGCAGGAAAATAATTACTCCAGCCTTAATAAAAAGCTGAAATTGGACAGCACTGGCTTACAGGAAGAACTTTAGGGGCTATCTACTCACCCAACTCTAAGAAGGAAAAGTGGAAATTACTGAGAAAATCAATAACAAAGGCATTTGCTAGCCCCTGAGAGTGATGTCTTAAAAACTTTAGAGGACAGTCTCTTTTCTTCCCATGAGGGTGGGAGGAAAGGGGGATGGATGGGTCCGTAGGGCAGACAGGACTGAACTGAGGAGGAGTAAAAAGTAAAATAGCCTGAAGCAACCTGTATGAGGAAAATTATTTCAATTGTAAAAAGGCCTAATTTATTACCTATTCATGAGAATATTTATTAACAATTTATTATGTTTATTATCATACTAGGAACTGGTATGTAGTGAAAACGAAAATGTGGATCTAGGACAGAGGTTCGCAATTGTTTTCTGTAAGAGGCCATGATATGGTTTGGCTCTATGTCCCTACCCAAATCTCATCTCAAATTGTAACCCCCAGGGAGGGACCTGGTGGGAGGTGATTGGATCATGAGGGCGGCTTCCTCCATGCTGTTCTCATGACAGTGAGGGAGTTCTCATGAGAGCTGATGGTTTTAAAAGTGTCTGGCAGCTCCCCCTTCTCTCTCTCTCCTGCTGCCTTGTGAAGAAAACACTTGCTTCCCCTTTGCCTTGTGCCATGACTGTAAGTCTCCTGAGGCTTTCCCAGCCATGCAGAACTGTGAGTCAATTAAACCTCCTTTGTTTATAAATTACTCAGTCTCAGGTGGTATCTTTATAGCAGTGTGAAAATGAACTAATACAGGCCAAACAGGAAGTACATAGGCACTGCTGGTCATACAGCCTCTGTCCCAACTACTCAACTCTGCCATTATAGCACAAAGGCAGCCACAGAAATGTGTAATTGAATGAGCATGGTGGTGTCCCAATAAAACTTTATTTATAAATACTGAAATTTGAATTTCATATAATTTCCACATCACAAAATATCATTTGATTTTTTTCAACCATTAAAAAAAAACATGAAATCTGTTCTTAGCTTGCAGTCCATACAAAAACAACCAGTAGGCCACATTGGCCCACAGACTGTAGTTTGCCAACCCCTGGTCTAGGAGAAAGAAGGCTGCCTGATTAGGGCAAATAGAGACCTCTCCTAGTTCACCAGAAACCTACATCATCTCTCATCTCAAGTAGACGCTATGGAGCAATTGGATTCAAGAATCCTGGCCAAGCTATATCTCCCTATTTTAAGATGGATAAGAAAAGAGGCAGACCATGTCATGGCTTTAACAGAAGCTACTCAAAAATCTGGAATATCATGTGACTCAATTAAATTCCACCTCAACTTAAAGCATTTTCTCTTTCAAGCAGGACTTACAAATATCATCCTATCAACTAATAACACAAGTTGGTCCTGATATCTTCTCAGGGACAAAGAAGGTTTAAACTGAAAAACTGTAACTAAGTTGTTATTAAAGAATCACTGAGCATGGCTGGTTGCGGTGGCTCACGCCTGTGATCCCAGCACTTTGGGAAGCTGAGGTGGGCAGATCACCTAAGGTCAGGAGTTCAAGACCAGCCTGGCCAACTTGGTGAAACCCTGTCTCTACTAAAAATACAAAAATTAGCTGGGCGTGGTGGTGGGTGCCTGTAATCCCAGCTACTAGGGAGGCTGAGGCACAGGAATCGCTTGAACCCGGGAGGCAAAGGTTGCAGTGAGCTGAGATTGTGCCACTGCACTCCAGCCTGGGCAACAGTGCGAGACTCCATCTCAAAAAAAAAAAAAGAATCACTGAGCACAAGAGATAGCTACTGAAAAACAGGACACTGTAGGACTACCAGAAAGAACTGTCCTCTTAGATTGTGAACCAATCAAGAGAAATGGTGTAAGTATGTAAAGAATTTTCACTTTCTTCTTCAGAGTAGTTTAACCATGGTCTTTATAAGAAAACTTACCCTTGTGAATGAAGAAAGGTGTACAAAAATTTAATCTCAGAATAGTAAATTAATATAGTAATATTCTACATTTACTATAGAATAGTCCCCCCTTATCCATGGGGGATATGATCTAAGACACCCAGTGGATGTCTGAAACTGCAGATAGCATCAAGCCCTGTACATACCAGGTTTGTGGACCTGATAACTGAGATACCTTCTAAGTGACTAACAGGTGAACAGCACATGTAGTATGGATAAACTGGATAAAGGGGTAATTCACATCCTGAGTGAGATGGTGTGAGACTTCATCATGCTACTCAGAACATGCAACTTAAAACTTACGAATCGCTTATTTCTGGAATTTTCCATTTAACATTTTCAGATTGAGGAAAGCAAAATTGAGAATAAGGGGGGACTACTATATAAAATTCTCTAGCTATTTATTTAATTCAACTTTACCTATTTCATAGCTCTATGAACTTGGATAAGGTGATTATTTTCTCCAACCCTCATTTTCCAGCTCTGTAAATGGATAACACCTTCCCTCAAAAGGGATCAGGAGACCAAAATATATTAAAGTCATGTGTAGGATATGAAACAATACATAAATGCAACAGGGAAAACTTTTGTTTATGTAGGGTTAAAAATAATCATTCCTTTATGAACAGGACCTAAGACATATAGGATCACATTTATCTTTTTAATTTATCATTAACAACCAAAAGAAACGTGAAACTTACCTGCTAACAGCATGCCCAACATTTGTGACAGCTGCTGTCATGGTTTCTGTGGCAAGGCTTTCAGCAAAGCTGGCACCCTCCTGTCCGATCCCACTGTCGGCTGCCAGGCTGGTACTGCTCAGCTCTCGCTCAGCTTTTTCAATGGCTTCAGCAACTATCTTCTCAGCAAGCACTGCCTTCTTATCAAGATTAACATGAATCTGAGGGACACTGAGATGAAAAATCCTAGATTTCTGATAGCGGCTGCTAAATTTTGGATTAGAAGCTGGCTTACTACTGGCGAGAGAACCCTGTCTGAAAAAGTGCTGAGATGAATTTCCAGTGCAATTGTGGAGTTCTTTAAGGTCACAGTATCTGCAAGCTTGACCTGTAAGAGGTGACAACTTTTCTGCATAAGTGACCCTGTCTGCTGATTTTGTGGTCTCAGACACTCGGAACACTGTAGATCCTAGAGTTAGCTCTAGAGTGTCATCCACTACTTTTTTGGCATACTGTTCTACAGCTTGAACAACATTGTCTCCACAACCATATCCATTTAAACTGCCAGTGCTGTGGTAAAACCTGTGATTTTGTGAGGAAGGCTGAAGAGACTTAGGCAATTCTGGTGTAACGTGACACTCATTATCTTCTTCATATCCAGATTTTTCAAACAAGCAAGAATCTGTTAAGGATTTTGGTAGGCCAACTAGAGAGGCTGTCAACTCTTCCTTAGCATCTTTTGTTATGCTGTGAACCAGAGAGGTTGAAAAACTATACAGTTGGGAGACCTCATTTCTATATGGATCCAGGGTCCTTTCACAAGTTTGATTTTTACAAAAGTAACCTTCATTTCTTTTACTTTGTCTCTTTTTGTCTGCTTCTTGGTGGTGCTCTTTGTTTGAAAACATTAACAGTTCCTTGTTTGTTTTCACTTGTGAACTTGGCACAGGGAACATTCTTGAGTTGCACTGCACTTTGGTTGTCTTAGCTGCTTCCTGTAATCCTGATTTAACAGATCGGTAGGCAAGCCTATTGGCATACTGATCCATTATCAACTCACTATTACCACCTTCCTGTTTTAGTATCTGAATAAGGTGACCTGCATATTCATCTGTCACACTTTCACAGCTGGGATACTTATACATCAGACCTGACATACAAGAACTTGGTGGTAATGAAAGAATAAACGGATCCACTTCTCTTGGGTGCACTACAGCCTCTATATCCAACTTCTCTTCTACTTTATAATCTTCGTCACCATCAGCATAACAACTGTTCTTCTTTTGCTTGAAAAGCATACAATTTCGGACTTTTGCTATTTTCTCAGCTTCTGTAATGACTTCTGCTGCCAGATCACCCGCAAAATTGCATAATGTTTTCAAATTTTCGTCTGAGGGGTTTAAAAAAGTAGGCGACACACTTCTTTGACTTTGCACATTTAAGCAAGGGTTTTTAACCTTGGGTTCTTGAATTATTTTGTTATCTAAATGGGAAGCTGCCATTTCAGTTGCAAGAGAAAGGATGTGTGTAGCTAATGCTTCTGCAAACTGAACCTTCTTCCCTGAGTGCTCCGACTTCACATCCACTTCTGGGAGCTCTCCACTTTCACTACTCTCAACTTCTTCAGAAAGAGATCGCATGAGTTTCAACATGAACTCTTCTTTTTCTATAGTATTTTGTTCATTCTCAGACAAACTACCAACAGATGAGTTGTGTGGAGTAGAAGGTGGTGTAGCAGGTGCAAACTCTTTGGCTAATTCTCCCTTGAGCTTTTTAGTTAACTTCTTGATATCCCATTCAGAACTAGCCCGGGATGGTACTAGAGGAGTTGATGGAGGAGTATCAGGTATTACATTTCTGTCTCTGACTTTCTGTTTATCTTCCACATGCAAACCATCTACACAGGTAAGTGCTGTAGATGAGAAAGTATGTGAATGAGGAAAGGGGTTTTCCTGTCCAAAAGACAAGGCCTCAAGTGATGTACTATTCAAGTTATGCTTTTTCAGTGGTTGATCCTTAGCAGATTCCTTCAAGTCAGATTTCTGACCTGTCACAGCTGGACAAGATGGCAGTGTCTCTAGGGAGGATCCATGAACCATAGAAACTTTACATTCTGGAACACAATCCTTTGCAGCTGAAAGTGAGCAGTGAGTTAACTGATTCTGAGAGTCAGGAAATTTGGGAGACTTTTCTGGTGTCAACTGTGATTCTTCTCCAGAAACAGGCAAGCTTTCCTTGTATACTGCATTTTTATCTATATTTGGGATCACTGATTTGCTCTTATCTATGGAATGTTTAATAATAGATTTAGATAACCGGTCAGCAAACATGTCCTTATTGCTACTAGCTTCACTGCATTGCAGCACTGCCTGATCACAGTGGGAAAATGGAGGGGTTTTCTCCTTTAAAGATTTAGTTAAATAATCTGTACGTTCATCAACCATTTTTGTAACTTCCAATGATGTCATTGACTCTAAAGTTTCATTTACTATCGTATGCACCACTGCTGCAGAAAAGTTGCTAATAATTGCAGGATCATTTGGTAATTTTGAGGAACTCTGCATTTCAATATCGTCATTAGTTGGTTTAAAATCATTCTGATTACCTGGATTGTGTTCTGAAGGTAAACAAATATTTCTGAGACAAGCTGCTTTTTCTTCTCTGTTTTTTGTGGCAATATGCACTTGGGCAGAATCACCATTTGAATTACTATCATCAGATGACAGATGAGCCTTGGCCTGACATGCAGTAGATGAAATATGATATGGGAGAAGGGCACTTCCTGCCAAGGGCACCGGTATAGAAGTAACAATTCCAGAAGTACAAAACAAGGCCTGCTGCACTGTGTATTCCTTTTTATATTCCTGCACTGGTTTTGTCACCATAATTGCTTGATTGTGAAAAGAAGGGGAAAACGTGACAGCCTGTGTCGATGGCACTACACTTTCTGCACTCACATACTTGATATTATCCGTAGAGACACTAACTGCTGCCTTTGTTGTAAAGGTCACATCAACTTGTGATAGCTCAATGAATGCTTCCTGTATTACAGATTCAGACAAATCTTTTGCATACAACTTCACTACTTTGTCTTCAAAGTCAAACGACCCACACTGTGGAGATGCAGGCGTTTGAGGATATGAAAACTGACACACCTCCATGATGCCTTCAAAAACAAGCTCTTCAGCAAGATCTGCAGCAAACCTAGCAACTGTGTTTGTGAATATCTGCTTCTTTACATACTGTAAATCTTTTAAGGCATTTGATAAAGCTTCACTCACCAAAAAGTTAGCCAGGCCACTAATGGCACGTTCTTTTAGTGAAAATGCACGCTGCCTTCTCAGCTCATCAAATGCCATCTGCAAAACAGATGATGTCAATTTGATGGCTAAGTGGTACAAAGCATTGGTACATGAAGAGACTCCTTTCTGTAAGTCTTTAAATGCACTGCCAAAACTTTTTTCCACAAGATCTGCTGCAAATTTTTGAATGCTATCTTTAATCATTAAGGATTTATTTTTAGATTTATTTTTTTGATCAAGGTTTCCATGCTTAAAAGTTACAGTTTTATTTTCTCCATGTTTAATACTGTTAATATTTGATAGGGTATTAGTATGGTGGGTACGAAGAACTGAGCCTAGTACTTCACATGAAATGCTTTTTGCATAGTCTTCATAGGTGTAATAAACAGAATCATGATTTTCATGAATCCTATCTCCACCAATATCTGTTTGGCAAAAACATTCAGCTGGAGTACAGCCTCCAAGAGGACTAAAAGCAGAGGATCGAATAGGACTAAATAAACCACTATCTTCCCTTGATGCCTTCACTGGGCGAGGAGAATCCGGAGCATCACACAGGTTACCATATGGAGATTCTGGTTTACGAGGAGTTGGCTTTCTAACATTAGCTGGGAGAGCTGGACGATCAAACTTGAATTTTTGAGGATTCATACATGACTTTCCATGTTTGTGCCCTTTCCTCTGCGATGACTTCCCTATGACGGGATCTTTGTTAAACAGGCAAGTCTCTAAAGTTTGTTCTAGTTCATCAAACTGATCAAAACTATCAAAAAATTCACTTACTTCTGAGTCTGAATCCTCTATATCATCTTTCATCACAGGAATTTTAGGCAGCTCAAGTTTTGCTTTTAAGCTTTTTTGATATCCCTCTTCATCCAAGAAAATAACAGGACTTGGACTTGAACATTCTGATTCAGATGAGTAGGCAGGAGAAGACGAAAAAAATGTTTTCTGTAAATCACTATCTTTATCTGAAGCATTAGATGACCTATAGAAACTCCTTTGGGTCCAAGGCTCTGAAATTGATGTTGTGACTGAAGTTTTCACAGAAGGTAGTTCTTTATGTCCCAGGACATTCACTGAGGAAGTTGAGGGTTTAGCCAATGACTTCTGCTGTCCAGAGCTAATGAGAATCTTTAAATCATGGGTTTCTAAATGATGACCAGTAACCGTCTGGGAAGCAGCATCACACTGGCTCCTTAGCACAGTAATGTTCATTCCTATAGGAAAAGAATGAAATGGTGAAATTATTTTTGAACAAAACTTTTTGGAAATTAACTTAAATCCATGGAATAAACTGACTTTAAACATATAATATTTATGTGTATCTTCTAAACTATGTTTAACAGAAAGATTCACCCAAGTAACATTTGAAAGTAAATATACTGTTTATAAAATAATTTCAGTTTACTCTATGTCTAGGGATACCTGGTCTATGGGATGTTTTGCATGCTGTCACGCATGTTAGAAAAATTACCGTGGAGACTCTGCCAGCTAACTCTTCCAAAATTGGAACCTAGGAATGTTCCAGACACTTAATGATGTAACCAGTGCGTGAACAGCACCAACTAAATATGAAAACCTGAAATAAGCAAAACTGAAAACCAGATTACAATGAACTTAAAAATCATAAGGAATTTCCTTAGGTAATCAGAAAAAAAGTTAAAAGGTTTAAATTGAATCAAATCTCAACATAAATTTCAACTGAACAAGCCTGCCTTAAAATTTTCAAAACTGAAAAATTTTAATTCCCTATTTTAGGAAAAAGTCTAATGAAAAACAAACCATCATTGTATGGCTTTGAAGTCTCTTCCTCTTCTAAGTGCTCAAAAGCAGTGACAAAGTCATCCTCTATGGATGACACAGACTGGTTAGTATCATCATCATCTTCATCAGTGGTCTCAAGTTGGTGCTTCTGATGCAAGAATGTGTCCAAGGTGTACCTTATACCAGTAGCATATTTACTTAGGAGACTAAAGATAAAATCAATCCTAAGTCTTGGTGATGTAGGTGACACTCTCATGACACAAAGCATTCCAGAAGGATGACTCTTGGGAAAGATAAAAGATAATAAAAACAATTTTAATTTCAAATACAAAACAACATGAAGTAAAGCCTAGATATAAGACAATCTCAGAGAAAAAAACAAACAAGAAATTCATGCATCCTGAAAAGCTCCTTGGTTTTGTAATGTTTACTTCTTAATTCTTTCTCTACATTTTTCACTTTCCAGTCCTTTTTTCTCCCATCTTCTTTTATCCAGGTATTCAAATTCTACCCAGTCTCCTGAAATGTTATGAAACTTACTATCCATTCCTTTGAGCAATTATGTTTTCCTGTATTACTGTACAGCCCTATGATTTTCCTTAATCATTCACCTATCTCACTAACTATTATAAATTGTTTGGGGGCAGCAACCAAGTTCTATTTTCTTTTATTTTTAATCCCATTTTCCCGTAGTTTCAAGTATGATGCCATCTTCCTTCCTATCACAATTGTTAAAAGTCTACTCCTTTTACTTAAATTTCCCTAGCATTACAACTTACAATGTTTATAGCTTTAAAAATACAAGTAACCAGATTTTCCCCCTCATACTACTTTTTTCAAGTAAATACTGATGAAATTATTTATTCAAAAAACTAGAAATCAAATATAATAGCTTATCACCTCTTATATCCTAGCAAATAAAGCAAATACGAATAAAGAACATAATTAAGGAAATGAAGCAAGCAGTTCTAGTTTTATTGGCAGACCTTATAAAGAACAACATAGCAGTTTTTTTAAAACTAAAATAATCCAAATTTTAAATTTTCTGGTTCAATTGTATATGTCTTATCTCTTAGAATGCAAAGCATTTTCTCTGATGCATTATCAACAAAATCATACTTGGTAAAGAACTAAATGCTGAATATTATAAAACTAACCACCTGTAAGAAATGGTAACATTTTTATTTATAAAGAACACATCAGATGTCCACTTTACATGGAATTTTTTTAAACCAGAAAATGAACTGAAGTACATTCTCTAAAACATATAGCGTAACATTTATATAAATTTGAAATTGGCCATAATAGGGAAAAGTCACTGTAGCTTATACAAAGGTAAAAGTAGTTCAAGAAATCCAGAAATAATAAATTTTCAGAAAAAATTAACATGTACTTGCATACCATCTACGGAACTTCACAGTTAAAAAATATAATTTATAAGATATGACCAAAATTATTATATCCTTCAGGGATGTCAATGCTTCATGAGTTATATTTCTTATGAATCATATTTCCTTGAGATACCATTTAAAAAAAACAAATGTCATCCAAGCATTTAAAAGTTTAATCATCTTTATCAAATATAGTAAAATTTGCCCTAAAAATCTCATTAGAAATTATCTACAAAAGTTACCTGATTTAGAGGATCACTGCTTATATCTAATGGTTTATTTATATTCTTCATACAAATAATTTCATTTTCATTTAGACTGCAGAAGTGGAGTGAATTCAGAATATCTGGAAGTTCCAAAGAAACTGCAGCTAAATCCTGATTTAAAATAATAACAATAAGTAACACTGTAGAGTAACACTTTTGTTAAGGTTCCTATAATGTGGACCCTATCCAAAAATTTTAAGGTCTACTGGCTAGTGAATTTCCTGGTTCATAATAGTTAACATATACAGTTTATTATTCACAGATAATTTTTCAAAAATTCAAAAATAAAATATACTAAAATTATTAAATACTGGCTATCCCCGTAGCCTTTAAAATGTACTGATATCAAGCTATAAAAAAATTGTACAGGGTACCTAACACATCCATGACAATTAAGCATTTAATAGTTTTTAGCAATGTCAACATATAGGTCTTAACTTAACTTTATGAAATTTTTTTCATACAAAATTTTTTGCTAGAGAATGTACATCTTAAAAACTTTTTTTTAAAAACTCTGTACAATATAATCCGTTTTTCTATCTTTCCTCTCCAAGGTATTGTATTAGACTTTAACTGATAATTTTAATGAAGATTAAAGGAAAAGAAAATCGCTTTTATTTCTTCTTCTTGTTTGCCCTTTATACACAAATATTTTACCCAGCTAAAGAATTATTAAAGTCTTTGACCCTTTGTAGAGTACTTTCCTTTATAAACATGGTTTTATCAGTAACTCTTAAAGGAGAAGAAGAACATTAAAGAAATATCTTGGAATACTTCTCTTTCCAGCTATGTATGTTCTCAAGAATATATCCTCTCTTGTTCCTTCTGTCCAAATTATTTCCTTCAAGCAAGGCCACAATCAAAATATACAGCAGTTTTTGCCCATAATCACCTGATATGCATTATTCAGAAAGACCTAAAAATGTTATTTCCTCCTCTATGAGGAGACACTTTACTGCCACAAAAGGAAATATGTAGGAATCACAAATTTTTAAGAAGCAGCACGAGGGAAAAAGAAAAGTATGCCTATCATATGTACAGGAACTTCAACCACTGTTTATGTAACTGTGAAGCTTTCCTTTGCTGATCCCAATCTCAAACATCAGTCCCTCTGTCAATAACTGCCTAAATCAAACAGGCTAAATTTTTGCATTGGCTAATTGTTAATTTTTACAAATCTTACCTTTTAAATTTAACTCAATCTTAACTAAAAACATAAGAATTTTTACTGTTAAGGTCAAAATTATTAAAGCCATCAAAATAAACAAACAAGTCATACATTCTGTATTATACACAGAATGCAGAAAAAGTCAGTCTGCGGTTTGCAACCTTCTCAGATAAATGACTTTTGTGGTCAAACCTAAAGCTGATTTCCATGACAAGAATACTCAGTAAAAATGCTAAAATTCACCATACCTGTATATGAGCAGCATCTGTCTCTTCATTAAAACCCAGAAATGTGACCTGAGTAAAGAACAAATAAACCTCCATTAATTTGAATTTTTAAATCTTTCAGGCTGGTGACAGAGCTGACAAACAGGAAAAAACAGACAAAGCATTAAAATGCTGTCTGCTTGAAAAGGATTTTTTTCAAAGATGACCCAAAAATATTTTTCACCAAAGATTGGGCTCCAAAACGCAGTTCTTAAACCTCATCCATTCTCCCTCACTAGCAAGTTCAATCAATTCTAACCCCAAAACATATTTCAAATATATCCACTTCTCTCCATTCCCCAGCCACCCTTCTCACCTACACTAGTACAATCCTCTCCCACCTGGTCCTATTACCATGCCACCTCCCTATTCAAACTCCTCCATGCTTCCCATGGCAAAATCCTAAGTGAGGTTACCTAATGCTTTCATCCTTCTACCATTTTCACTTACACACGAGCCCCCTTTCTGGGTCTGGAACACGCCCTGTACATTCCTGCCTAAGGACTTCACAGTTGCGCCCTCAATCTGGATCTCTCTTCCTTGGATGGTTACATGCCTGGCTTCTCATTCTTCAAGTTTCGATGCAAGTGTCACCTCCTCAGAGAGGCCTTCCCCCTGGGTAGACTCCTGAGGCTACTTCTTCATTGACTCTGTGATACCACCATTTATTTCCTTCAATATCCTTATGTAGAGATTACTCTGCAGAACTTTATATAAACAGACTTTCTAAAGAATACCTAATGCATGAAGAACTGTCACATTATTAAGTAAAAAGGACAAGTCATAGAAAAATGATTTACAGCCTGCATACAATTTCAACCTTATTTTTAAAAACATATGCATGGAAAATAATACTGGAAGGCAATACACCAAACTATAAGCAGTGATTAACTCTGGATGATGGAGCTATTTTTTTCCCATTCTTTTCCCCTCTGCATTTTTTCCCTAAGTCATAAGATCAATGATAGTCATTTTCTTTGTTCTACTTTGAGTATTTCTTATTTTTCTACAAAGAATATATACTGGCCAGGTGCAGTGGCTCATGTCTGTAATCCCAGCACTTTGGGAGGCTGAGGTGGATGGATCACTTGAGGCCAGTTCAAGACCAGCCTGGCCAACATGGTGAAACCTCGTCTCTACTAAAAATACAAAAAATTAGCCAGGCATGGTGGTGCATGCCTATAGTCCCAGCTACTCGGGAGGCTGAGACAGGAGAATCACTTGAACCCTGGAGGTGGAGGTTGCAATGAGCTGAAATCACGCCACTGCACTCCAGCCTGGGCAGCAGGGCAAGACTATGTCTCAAAAAAAAAGAAAAGAAAAAAATATATATATACTACTTTTATAACCTGAAAAAGTGTTACTTTTTACATTTATATTCTCTATGTATTTGGCATCATAGTAAGACATTTTTTCCATTTGAAGACAGTGTAGTAAACTGTCCACTAAGCAACCACTGTGGCTAAAAAATATGCAATACTTAAATGACGGCAATATTAATAATCGATTCTCAAGAATGTGGGGACAATAGTATAGTCAGAATATAGCAACACTGAATATATTTTCGATCTATTTCTGATGATTCAGAAGCAAGTCAGAATCTTATATTACTCTGAGATCTTTATTCTGATTAATTATGGCTATTACTTCATGTAAGTGTTACATACAGTTAACTTCTAGGCATCTAGGTGAATTGCTAACCTCTAGGAGCCTGTCTCCTTATCTGTAAAACTTAAGGCAATACAACTTCCCTCTCATAGTTCTGAGGTTAACTGGATAATGTAGAGGAAAGTGCCTAGCACATTACAGGCACTCAATAACAGATAGGCAAATAACTAATTTCCTTCCTTTATTTGAAAAGATACTCAGAGATTTGCACACCCTAAAATGGAATAGAAATTCCATCTATTCCTTCAAGTTTGCTTTACTGAATACAAGAGAGAAAATAAGCTGGCATAGGGTTTTGAAGATGCCGGGGGAGTTTTATCTTTCCCATTGGTCAAGAAAGGCCTCACCAAGGAATGTGGGCTTGGAAAAGCACTGCGACCTATCCGAGCTGGAAAACCACTGGAGGACAGGACACAGGACATCATTTCATAGAAGATGAGCATATGTATTAGGCCTGTTATGTTCTGCCACTGTTTATTTGGAAACAACCAAGTAGATTAAGAGTGGCTTGGTTTTGCTAAAGTAAAATGAAAAAGGTTAGCAAAGAAAATAATAGTGAAATTAAGCTGACACAAAAAGAGGATGAGGCACCAGAACACTACAGGCCTAAAACATATGCTCATCTTCCTATGAAATGACGTCAAATAGAGAATTTCTCAAGGAATATTAAGAAAATCATCCACCCGAAAGAGAATACATACAGTCCCCAACTTATGATGGTTGGACTTCTGACTTTTTAACTTTACAATGGATTTATGAGGTCTTAAATGCATTTTCAACTTAGAATATTTTTGATGAAAAATGGATCTATCAGGATGTAACTCGATCATAAGTCCAGGAGCATCTATCTATAACCACGATTTTATTAGAACGCTTATTTCAAAATAAAATGTTTTAACTTCAAATATTCATCAGTTGTGAGCTGCAACGACCTAATACATCTCGTATTTGGTAACAAATGTGATGATGAAGTATGGATATATTATAGAAAAGGATCTTACTCTTTTTATAATAATAAATTCAAACAAAGATTTGAAACACTGGATGTAGCAGAGAAATAGGTGAGCAAGGTATATTATCTTATCCTCAAGTAATAGAGTAAGTATCTTAATTTCAAAGATAAATTTATCACTACTTTTTCATTTTTAATCAAAGCACTGAATTTAAACAGTCAAGAAAATAACCCAAAAAATCAACATAAGAATCATGCATTTGTTCTATGTTTCAGAGTAGAAAAATTCATATTAAAGTATCAGTTGCTGAATATAGTAGGCATCATCTAATGTAATGCTATATATCCAATTAGTACTCTGCATAAAATAAATGTGCTCATTTGTTTGAGTTCATTGTCAATTAAGAAAATTATTTTAGCCAGTATTTAAAACAGGTACTTCTTTTTTTTCCCCTCTCCCGCCCACAAAACAGGTACTTCTGATACATGTAACAACAAATAGAGATTTTAGGCATTTTAAAAATAGATCATAGAGTCCTACAAAGATGCATGAAAATATGCTGTGCATTATTAGGAAAGGGTTTAGAAAGTAGTATGTTAAACCTCAGTTAAATTGGCATGCTCATCCTGCTGTAAACAGTCCTCTGCTGTTACACTGCATAGTTCCTTCTGACTCTGCAATAAAGACTTTACAGACTGGAACACATCTTCACTGAAGCTCTGCAGGGGAAAGAAAGCAAAGATATTTCAAATTTATTTAATTCTAAGACAAGGGTAAGAGATCCTGGAGATGTTTTAGATAGTCACTCATTCTCTAACTAATATTCACTGGCACCTTTTGATACTGAATGCGGAACTCAATTCCACTGAGAAGAAAAGCTCCATTCAGCTGAAAAGGTTTAGGCAGAGTTTCACATGCCCAAAACACATACTACTGGAGCCTGGGCATTCAACTCACTAGAAGATCACGTGAGATCTCATACCAGGTTCACTTACTCTTACCTTACACTAAAACTTAACAAACTGCATATCTGATTTCCAAGTCACTGGCGTAGAACAGAAGCAACAATTTATATGATTGAATGAGATGATGTGGGAGCTATGGTAAGGTGCACAACAGTGATTACTCCCTTAACAACAGTGATTACTCCATTAACAAAGTTGGAGACAGAAAAATAAGATAATAATCCAAAATAAGGTTTTCCATGGATCTTAAGGAAGCTGTCTGATGAAAATGAGAGGGGATTCCAAATTTCAGGGTGAGATGTTTGTCACAAGTACAAGGAAAAAGTTACATAAAGAAAATAATGAGTATTATAGTCAGGCATAAATAGAACACTTATTTCCTTCTACCTTATGCCCCCTTCCACTGACTTGTCAATCTGCTCTTCAATCAGAAATGTCCTTACTTCCCAGTCTTCCCATGTAGAAATCCTACCCATCCCAAGACCTGTGAAGATTTTTCCATTCCTTAGTCCTAATAAATCTCTCTCAAAGTTCCTGCTGTATGTTGTGCACTAAGATCATTTAATCCACACCAAAACATATTATAATTATTGGCTGGGCACAGTGGCTCACGTGTGTAATCCCAGCACTTTGGGAGGCGGGTGGATCACTTGAGGTAAGGAGTTCGAGACCAGCCTGGCCAACATAGCGAAAGCCCGTCTTTACTAAAAATACACAAATTAGCCTGGCATGGTGCCACGTGCCTGTAATCCCAGCTGCTCGGAAGGCTGAGGCAGAAGAATTGCTTGAACCTGGGAGGTGGGGGTTGCAGTTAGCTGAGACTGCGCCACTGCACTCCAGCCTGGGCGACAGAGTGAGATTCCGTCTCGAAAACAAAAAACATATAATTACTATAATCAGATTCTTTCCTACCCATTAAAACAAATTATGGAAGTCACAGACTGTGTTTCACTCACTTTGTTTCCCCATATTTCAGAACCTCACACTAGATTAACTCAAACAGCTGCAATCTTAATAAATTAAAATAAATGGAAATCTTTAGTCTAAGAGGTACAAATATAAACTCAAAGAATTTATGATAAAAAGCTGTACTGTTACATTTGAATCTGACCTGTCATTACAAATTCGTAATTCTTTGAATACATGTACTACCTTTTTTCCACTGAAAAGTCTTAGAAACAATGACCTTCAGTGGCAATGAGCATAGTCAGCACCCAGCTTTTGGTCTGTAAATATCTATCACCAATAAAAAGAACTAGATTTCCCTGGGGAAATGGCTGGTTCCAGGTCTGAGGCTGAGAATGTATGAAGCGAGCCTGGAACATCTAACTGTGCCAGAATGCAAGGAAATGCTCAAAGACTAATAGGGTAATTTCAAAAAACACAGAAGCCAGCTTGAAAGAATTCCCACTGGCCAAATATGGGACAATGTGGAATCAAGAAGAATGAAAATGGTAATGAATTATGACTACTGGATTAAAAAAAATCTGTGAGTCCATTAAAAGAGACAAAGTCAGAGGAGCTCCTTTACCTAAAAATGCTGGCTAGTATGGACAGAATGACAAAGTTAGAAAACCCCATTTGTAAACTCCCAATGCAATTACTGATTTAGGAAAGGATTATCCATGTATCCTAAATCTACTGGGTTAAAAGCTGGGGAAAAGGACACTCATACTGTCTCAGAGGATCACCTTATAGTTTATTAAGTGTATTAATCATAAAGAGATTATGTGCATTTATATTGGAGATATCTGGTGGTTATTACCTTAACCACCTAGTCAAGCCTAACATCAACAATATGGACTTCAGATCTGATAGACCGGAATGAACACAACATCACCTTTCAGGTGTTGTGTTGAATCTAATTACAGGGAAAAACAAATGAACCCAAATATAAAAATATTCTACAACACAACTGGCCTAGACTCTTCAGAAGATTTGCTGCATGAGAAAAGAATTTAGACTATTGGAATGGTCTAGAATGGGGAAGACCAAAGAGATACAATCCCCAAATACAGTGTGTGAACCTTGACCAAATACAGTGTGGATCCTAGAAGAGAAGCAAGGAAAAAGTTACAAGGATACTTGAGACACAGGGAAATCTGTGTTTGGAATGCATGCTAGATGATGTTACTGAATTAATGATTTTCAAAGAGGTGGTAATGATACTGACATACTTAAAGGTATGATGCTAACCGAGGGTGAATCTGAGTGAAGACTATATGAGGTGCTCATTGTACTAGGTTTTTTTCTCAACTTTTCTGTGGGCTTGAAAATATTCAATATTTTAAACAATTTTGTTTTCCTTAATAAACGGGGATTTTCACACTAATTTAGAAACAGGAAATCAAAACAGGAAAAAATATGTGAAATCTGAACGTGAACTGTCAATATAAACTCATGACATGGTAAGTGCAAAGGCAACTCCTAGTATCCAGATCTTGGGTTTTAAATACTATTCAGGGTTCTTTAAAAAAAAAATAGCCAATTTCAGGTCTGAGGAAGGTAAAGTAGGTGAAATTAGGTCATCCTGTACCAAAAGGATACAACCCGAAAGTGAAAAAGCAATCAAAGTTATGAGCCTGAGACAAAAGGATATAGGTACCTACTTGGAGGGGCTCTCAGGTATCAATTTTGGAAAAATTTGAGCAACTTACATAGATGAATTAATGACTGTAAAGAAATAAAAGGTTATAAAATATAGAACTGCAAAAATCCATGAGTCCAGAGCATTACAAATAAATTAGTGAATTAATGTGGGGAAATAAACTCACTTGCTACCACTGGTGTTAACTATGATGCCCTGTCATTAATCTGAAAACTGGTAATTAAAGGGCATTTGCCCTGCCTCTATAGGAGATATTATATAGTTCATCTAAGGTGAATGAGGGAAGCTTTTCTTTAATACCAGCAAATAAATGTGAAAGGAATGGTAGAATTAGGAAAATCACCATTTTGCAACTCCCATGAAATAATGAATTCAGGAAAGAGTAAGCAAGGGATGCCAAAAACATTAGCTCAATGGTTGTTGGGGGAAAAAAAGGATATTTGCACACAGCCAAGTATCATCACAGATTATGTGCTAACCAAAAAACAGAAAATGTACTTTTACAATGGAAATGCTAGCAGGGTTATCACCTTAGTCAACTGATCAATCATAGCATCACTGATCATGGGAAAACCTGAAATTCTGTCCTCACATCACCCTATAAAGTATTCTTGCCATAAATGCTTAACCTGATCCAATTAAACCTTTAAACATAACTTCTACTTTATGTGAAATATACAAGGGAGAGGATCAAATTAAATAGCAATATGAGAAAACAACCAGAGAAATCCAGATGTGAAACATGGTACAAGAAAATAAAACTAGCCTGGCCTATTCAAGATGTCAGAATTGAATATAAAGAAAAAAAGGAAAAATTCTTTCAAACCAAAAGAAATGCTAAGTCCTAACTGCCAAAGGCAACAGAGACTAAGAGGCTAGACTGGATCCAAACAGGGGCAGAGTGAACTATAAAAGATATTTTGGGGGTAATACAGGAAATCTGAGTATGGCTGAGTATTAGATATATGGGAATTTATTTTTCTTGGATGTGTTCATGGTATTAGTGTTATGTGGGAAGATGTTGTTATTCCTGGGAGAAGCATGCTGAAGTGTTCAGGGTGAAGAAACATTATGATCATAACTTGCAAATGGTACTGCCTGAAAGTAAATACACACATACACAGACACAAAGCAAACAAGACAAATTATTAACTACTGTTGAATATGGGTGGTAGGTACGTGGGTTTGTGTGTGTATTATGCTTTTAACTTTTCTATGTGTTTGAAATTTTTCATAATAAAATGTTAGAAAAAATTACTGGGGTAGAAACTATAGCTATTTTTAATTTTGCAACATTAATTCCCAATAAATATTTAATGTATCTCTATATTTAATGCAAATTAAAGTGAAATCTAAAGAATTCAAGTATATCTTTCAATTTCCACAGTAGCCAATAGGGAAGTGTCTGACATTAAGATGCACCAAGATGTAGAAGGTGGTGTATGTGTGTGCATAACTGTTTATATAAACAGTATGTAATATCTGGATTCACATACTTTTATCTAAAAGGGATTCCAATAATTCAAGTTGAATTCAAATTAAATCTTTACTGAGTGCCTAATATGGACAATACGTTGAATAACAAAAGACACTAACCTGGTAATAATAGTATGAAATTTCAGCTGCTGTCTAATCCCTGAATCTCTGGCAATGTATGGGGTAAATATTCAAGTCAGGTAGCATCATTCTTGAAGACCATGGTTATCAGTTTGCTATTATATTTTGTATATATTATTAGTTATTAGTTTAAAGCCAGCAGTATAATCAATTTAAAGCTATGGGTCTAGTTGCTAATCTGAAAAAGTATAATAAATACACTATAGTTTACAAAGAGTAGAAACAGAAAATAGTTTTTATTGTACTTTTTTCAAATTAAAAAGTGGACCTATTAAATTTAAAGGTAATTTACCTCAAAACATATGGAGCATATTACTTTAAAATGTAATTGGCCAGACGCAGTGGCTCACACCTGTAATCCCAGCACTTTGGGAGGCCGAGGCAGGCAGATCACGAGGTCAGGAGATCGCGATCATCCTGGCTAACACGGTGAAACCCCGTCTCTACTAAAAATACAAAAAAATTAGCCAGGTGTGGTGGCGGGCACCTGTAGTCCCAGCTACTCGGGAGGCTGAGGCAGGAGAATGGCATGAACCCAGGAGTCAGAGCTTGCAGTAAGCCAAGATCACGCCACTGCACTCCAGCCTGGGCAACAGAGCGAAACTGTGTCCCAAAAAAAAAAAAGTAATTAACATACTGTTTAAGGATAAGTTTACTTTCTATTTTGCAGGCATCCTGTAGATTTGGAAGCCATCCTCTTAGACTTAGCAGTCAAACCTATACATCTTTTAGCTCTCTACATAAATGAATGGCAGGCCCAGAAGCTCATAGGAACACTGATAATTAGAATTTGGAAAGATTAGCAAAGGAGACAAGAGTTACCATAAAAGAGAAGGAAACCAAGAAAAACCTATAATGAAAATCAAATATTGTCTTAATGTGTAAGGATTGGTCAATGGTGTCATATAATGCAGAAGATGAAGTCCAGAAAAAGAAATAACAAAGACTGTTAATTATCTTCCAGGCTCCATTCTTCCCTTCTTTGTTCATGGGTAGTGCCTCCAAAGTTTTAGCAAAGACAAAAATGTCAAGAAATGGAAGGTTAACCAAATTGTTTTAAGAAAGGAAGTGAGGAGGTTCCTCCTTAGACTAGAAGGAAGAAAGGATTAAGAATCATATTTTGTTTGCTTGTTACTGATTACCCAACATCTAACATATGGTCTGGCTTATAAGAACTCAAGTGTGTATTTGCTGAATGAAGGAATGAATGAATGGTAAAGCTAAAGGTATATAAGAAAGCTTACACCTGACAGCCTATATTGCAAAAAAGCACATGGATATCTATGTGTAGAGAAAAAATGGGGAGAAAGCACTGTGATCTTTAGGAAATAAAATCACTGTAATCATGATTTTGTATCACTATTTTCATACATGCCAATCTTTGCAGTAGTTCAATGTTACTAATTCAAATAATAAGATTCATTTAAACAAAACATCATAGCTGTAGGACTTAAAAAAAAATCAACATTTTAATTAAAACTTTCACTAAAAGAAACCTAATAGAGTGAACTTACTTTTCTGACAGATGCTTTAGTCTTCATGTGATTGTTTCTGAAAGTCGCCATAACTATTTTTTGTTGTATATAATCAATGAAGAGTTAATCCACAAAACACCTAAAGAAAACATATTAAAACAACTTATTTATTGATCTTAACAATTCAGGCAAGCATTTTGTGCTAAATTAATTTATTTTAACTCAGTCATTAAAAGAAAAATAAAAATGAAAACAAAAATAATCTGAGCACCCCCCCCAATTTACTTGCAATCCAGCAAGAATATTTGAAAAATATATGAATATTGGTACCTTAATGAGATAGAAAATTATTATAAAAATCTTATATTTTGGTTCAAAATTATAAAATAGTTTACACCCTTACCTATTCAATCTCACTGCCCTTTTTTATTGCAAAGTGTCAAAGAGAAAGATCTGAAAAACAAGTTTTTTAAAAAACATTTTAAAAATAGAAGCTTAAGTAGAGAATATTACAAAAAGAATTCCAACTTCCCTGCCTCCCAAGACACTCTTATCTCTATGGCAACAGTGAATGCTCTTGACATTCTTATTTCTTGGGCAGAAGGGTTTGATAATAGACGAATGAGAAATCTGTACATATCAAATTAGATACATTCTTTGTATAGGAAGCTTAAGAGCATACCATTGACAAAATTTCAGAAGACATCCAAGTCAAATGATTACCAGTACTTAACACACACAACACCTGCCAGGTGAAACACTCAAAACTAAGTCTCAACTTTTTAAAGATGCTTTAACATCTTTGAGAACTTAAATCCACTCCAGGCATTAACCACTCGGTATCTGCATTTGACCACAGTATCTTGTCCATTCATTTAAAATCTACTTGTGCTAGATGCTATGGATACAAGAGAAACAAGATAGATATGGCCCTCCTGCATTCAAAGCCTTCAAAGGAAAAAGTTTCATCACAATAAAGAGTAGAAGTGGGGAACTAAATACTTTTTTTAAAAAGTCAAATAAATATTTAAGAAATTCTTAGTTTCAAGTATTTTCAGAAAATCAATCTGGTCTTATCAAGAACTGCCTAGTTGAAGCCAGGCACAGTGGTGCATGCCTGCAGTCTCAGCTACTCGAGAGGCTGATGTGGGAGGACTGCTTGAGCCCAGGAGTTCAAAGCCAGTCTAGACAATATTGTAAGACCCAGTTTCTGAAAAAAACAAAAAGACAAAAAATGAATTGCTTAGCTGAGGTTTCCAAGACATTTGGTTAACATAAATTTATACTATGAGGAGATTTATACGCAAAAACAAACTTCAATCTAGCCCCCCACCGTCAGAACTTTTAAAAAACTAAATTTTAGTGAAGTTCAAATTGTATATTCTTTTGCTATGCAGATAAGACTATAGCGTGAGTGCACAAACACACACACTTCTTTAGAGATTTCTACATTTTAATTTTTAGACAAAGAAGTATGATTGTATTCTATTCTGAACTAAGATAAGCCCTAGTGGTCTCTATAACAATAAAATCTGATTAATTACTGAAATTGAAGCAGCAGCATGAGAAAGGCTCAGCCTAACACAAGGAGTTCCCAACAGCACAAGGTAAAGGGTGATACCCCAGAATCCAGAAGACGATCATGCGTCTCCCTGTGCTGCCTCTTATTAGCTTTGTTTCCTCTGGGTAAACTGCAATGTCTCTGGAACTTTTTCCTCAATGTATATGATACCGTATTTACCAGAGAAGTTTACTGTGAGACTCAAATGAAAAATAATTTATGGGAGGTACTTTGAAAACTATAAAACACAGGCAAAAGAAGACTTAAATATTTACCTAAGGACCAAAATGATCAAGTGGACCAAAAATTATCAAAACAAAGTTTAAGTATAAAAATGTATAGTGGCCAAAGCAAAAAGATAATCCTTTTATTTGTCCCAGGCCACTTCACTCTCCTTTCTTCTCCACAGTGTTCTCCTCAACTGCCAGAAAGCCTCAGAGGCAAGTGGGCTTTTCTCAAATGTAACATAAAACATAGAAGCCAACATAAGGGTTCCAAGAAACCAGAGACTGTCAAAGAAGGCTCCTAAGTAAAGTGGCACCTGCAGGGCAGTTTTGTAATGCGTGTCAAAACCCTGGAAATACTTCTTTGACTCAGCATTTCTGCTTTTGGGAATGCATCAAAGCAAATAATGATCCTAGAGCATCTAGTTTATTAACAAGGGCTCATAATGCACCAAGTGTTCTGTTTTGCTAAGAGGTTTATGTAAACATCTCATGTTGTCCTTAAGACTACAGAATAGGACCCCGGTTTGACGATGAGAAAAACTGAGGCAAGAGGAAGCTTAGCAATTTGCCCAGGCCCACAGAGTAAATAAATGGCACAGGTGGGATTCAAGTCCAAATTTTCTAACTCCAGCACTGGGGCTCTTCACCACTCCTCTACAGTGCATAAAGGTTTTATAGTCTGGTTCATTACAACTCACAATAGAAATACGAAGCAATCTAGATGCCAGAAACAAGAGAGTAATTAAATGATCTTAGGTTCATTCCCACAATGACGCCATGGCAGCCATTAAAAACAATACTGCAGGACAAAGGAATGGCACGCCTTACATCACTTTCTCTGAGTCTGCTCCTAACCTTGCCTAAAAGGGAAGTAGGGAAAAGAGATAGGAAACAACAATTACCTTTGCAGCTGCTGACTAAAGTCAACTGAGCAAAGATAAACATTAACTCCCAGGAGACTTCACCATCAAATAAATGGGACCAACTATCTAAATGAGCTGCTCACCCTCAGGTGCAACAAGCACCTAAGGTAGAAGAAACAGTTTCAAAGTTGGGCAGGGAGAGGTGGGAGTGCTCTGAAACAACATCCGGGATTTGACAGGGCTGGCTACCCCAGTTCACTTTACCCACAATTTTCCTGAATAGCAGATCCAGATAAAACACCCTTATTCAAGATTGAATAATAAAGCAAATGGAATTCAGTATGGGATCTGCGAAGGAACACTGAAAAACAAACAACATACAATATACATAAAAAGAAAAAATCCAGACAAATATAATCATGCCCCTGAGACTCACATTATCTCAGAATTCAAATCATTGTTTGAAATTAATGAAAGAGAAACAGTTTAATTCTATATTTACACTCTGTTTCACTCATGGAAGAAAAACAACTTACTGCCTTACTCCACCACTTTTTCATTTAAACATAAATAAAATACTGTCTCAGGAAGAAAGAAATCTATTAGAGAATATCTGTGCAACATAAAAGTGAATCCAATATGAGATGATATGACATACTTTTGTAAAGCAAAGAAAAAAATCATCTTTGGAAATGATGCAAAGATTGATGGGGGAAGAAAGGATAACAGCTACTAGAGCAGGATTTCTTTAGCATCTTATATAATTAGAGAGCACATCGTTTTTGACAGATTTCACAAGAAGAACAAAAATACAGTATATTCACCTAAAATACATTTGTATTATGATAAACTTTTCATTTAGTGCTTTACTGCTTTGTGCCCTATTCTGGATGAAGAAACAAGAGTCCTAAGCAAAGAATAACTAAGTGCGTTATCTATAGTCAAAGAAATTAAAGTGAACCTACATGGCTTGGAAAAAAGCAGATGAGAGACAAGAAAGAGGCAGACAAGGCAAACAACTACGAAGTGAACCACTATAGCTCAGGAAACACACAGAAAACTATCACTAAACAAATGAAATCCCCTTAGAAATAACAAAAAAGCAGAACAGACATTGCTAAAAACAATGGAAAACCAAGAAGATTTTAAGAAAAATCACAGAATGCAAAAGTAAACAAATGAAAGCAATTACAGAAACAATTATAAAGAATACAGAGAACAGAGATATAGGGCACTTTAAATAAATACACATATCCTTTAGTCCTGCTATTTCACTTCTTAAAATTTATCCTACATATATACTTGCACAAAATTCACAAAGATATGTGAAAGACTATTCACTGAAATAAAATGAAAAAACTGAAAATAATCTAGAAGTTCATCAATTCAAATAAATTCACATGATTATTACTCAGCTATTGGAAATAATGAGTTAGAGTGATCCATACTGGCGTGAAAGAGCAAGTTGCAGAATGGTGTTAATAGGATGCTCTCACTTGTAATTTAAAAAAAAAAAAAAAAAAAAAAGACTGGCCTAGCACAGTGGCTCCCAGCACTTTGGGAGGCCAAGGCAGGAAGATCACTTGAGGCCAGGAGTTCAAGAACAGCCTGGGCAACATGGCAAAACCCAGACTCTACTAAAAATACAAAAATTAGCTGGGTGTGGTGGTATATGCCTGTAATCCCGGCCACTCGGGAGGCTGAGGCACAAGAATTGCTTGAACCCAAGAGACGGAGGTTGCAGTGAGCCAAGATTGTACCACTGCACTCCAACCTGGGCCACAGAGTCTCAAAAAAAAAAAAAAAAGAAAGAAAAAATTATATACAGACACAACTCTGACACACATATGTAAATATTTGTGCATCCACAGGAAATGACTTGAAGGAGGTACACTAAACTGATGCCAGTGGTCACCCATGCAAGTGGGACTTTTAAATTTTATAAAATGTCATCTATCTACAATATGAGAAGATGGTAGATCATTAAGTAAAATAAGACAGGTTCTGGCATATTAGCATTATCCCATTTTGTGAAAAATCTGTATAACTACATGTGTGTATCTATATATGTAATATAAAAGAAGACATACACTAGATGAGTACAGACATTGGTTTCATCTGGGTAGATACAATCATGGGTGTTTCATTTTGTGTCTATGTATGTTGAGTTTTGTACTTTTCTGAATGAACATAAATTCTTTTATAATTAAAAAATATATATTCTCCAAGTCTTTCCTTATCTCCTCTGACCTAAGAAATGTTCAAGTTGACATCACCTATTACTTGACCTTTTTTGTATCAGGAGAATTAACTATGCCAGTCTGTGAAGCGCCTGTCAACAATATTGCCATATCTTGACTCTCTTCCTACTGCACTAGTTCTCAAACCTCAGTACCTGTACACATCAGCTTATTTCTAACACACACAACTCCCCCACCAGAAGATCCAAATTCAACAGGTCTACATGGAACATAGGAATCTGTACTTTTAACAACTGCCACATGTAATTTCTGGTTGAGAAAAACTTGTCTCTCTGTATGTAAGTTTCCTTTCCTAAATTATTTCATAACTTGTTACTCAAATACTAATATTTCTTAGTCTTCATCCTTATCCTCTTGTCTCATTTTATTTAGTTTTTCAAGGACATTTTATCCTTACCTCTGGTTTTAACTATGCAAATAACTCCCTAATTTATTCTTCAGTTCTGTATATCTAATTTCCTATTAGACACTTCCAACTAAATATCCCAGTTACTCCAAAATTTGTATGTTCAAAAGGTAAATAAAACTTTCTCCCTAAACGATCTCCTCCTGTATTCTCTATCTCAGTAAGAGCCATTAAACCAAACCCAACCAGTAGGCCAAGCTGGAAACTGGTCTTCCCCTCAATTCCTACAGACTACCTCGCCTAGTAAATTGCCAAATCCTGACTTGTCATTCTCCTAAACTTCTCTCAAATCTACCCTCTCTCTTCCACCAGCTGAACTGCTACTTACTATTCACGCACCAGTTCAAAAACTTCCCTCCCTAAAATAGGCTTGGCTCATATCTCTCCTTTATCCCTCCTTGCCCAAATAGTAACCACCTCCTTTGTGCTCTCTAAGTGGTTTATAATTTAATCCTCTGGTGCCACTGTTTGCATACTTCCCTCCTGTTGTAAGTTCCATGAGGACAAAAGTGTTTTATGTATTTTTACATAGTAGGCATTCAAACATCTGCTGAACTAATAAATAAAAAGTAACATATTTAAAGAACAAAGTTCAAAGCATGATGTAGGCTGAAAAATATAAAACAGAATAAAGAGCAAAGTATGCCTTCAAATATTTAAATGAGTATGTCTACATTTAATGAGTTTGTGAAAATACATTTGTGTTTCCAATAATTTCTACTTTATAGTATCTGAGATCACATTTAGAGTAAACACTCCAAATACACATTTTGACCAAATGCCAAATGGCCAAGTGTTAAAAATTAATATTCTGTTGAATATAACTACAAGAAAACAGGACAGAATATATATGAAACATTGGTTTTAAACATCAGACAACAGGGAACACGGGATTGTGATCCCTGAGAGAAGGGAAACACTGGCTGCCAGCTACTTCCAGGTCACAATACAGGGACAGGAAAGCCAAGCAGTCTGGTGGTTTCACTGAGTTTTAAACACAGATCAGTTTGGAGAGACCAAGATGGCTAGAATTTACAGGGTATTAAGCTGGAGGGAGAGCTGAAAGTAAGTGAGAGCCCTAGAGATAAACCATAATATATTCCACCAGAATAGAAAAACCTTGTAATGTATCAGGTAATGATAGACTCCTCAGAAGAAGTAGCAGCCTTAGTAGAAGCAGCCTTAGTAGAGACAATAATTCAGCACTACGTTAAAAACTGTTCTGGACCCACACTAATAAATTCTAAAAGCAAGCCCTGAAACAACCCAACAGATTCCAAGTAACTGTGCACCCCAACTAAATCCAACACACTTCAGTAATATAATAAATCAAGCAAGCAACAGTATAAACTCAATGGCTGGCATACAATAAAAATTACCAAGCATGCAAAGGAAGAGAAAAATATGAACCATAACCAAGAGAAAAAAAGGCAATAAATGAAGACCTAGAAATGACAGTGATGATGGCAGGAACAGAAAAGGATTGTAAAACTATAGTACAAATATGTTCCATATACTCAAGAAGTGAGAGGAAAACATCACCATAAGGAGAGAAGGAGAAGATACAAAAGACACCAAAATTGAACTTTTAGAGATGAAAATTAAATATACTGAAACGAAAACCATACTGGATACAATTAACAGATTAAACTAGAGAAGAAAAGCTCAGTGAACTTGTAGACAATGTAATAGAAGCTATCCAAAATGAAACATGGAGAGACAAAACTTAAAAACAAACGTAGAGTGTAAGTGACTTTTTAAGCACCATAAAAGGTGAATAACTGGAGTTCCACGAAGAGACATAGTGAGTAAGCGAGTGAGTGAGTGAGAGAGAGAGAGTGTGTGTGTGTGTGTGTGGGTGTGCACGTGCGTGCACTGGGGAAGTGGGTGCAGAAGAAAAAAAAATTTGAAGACAAAATAGCAGAGAACTTCCCAAATTTGATGAAAACCGTAAACTGACAGTACCAAGGAAGCTCAGCAAACCCTAAGAATAAACATAAAGAAAGCCAAGGCAAATCATAACCAAATGGCTGAAAACCAGTGATAAAGAAAAAATATTAATTGACCAGAAAAAAAGTACACATTATATACAGAGGAACCAAGGACAACAGACTTCACATCTATATGAACCGGAAAACAAGACAATGGAGCACTATCTTCAAAGTACTAAGAAGAAGAAAAAAAAAAAAGCATCAACCCAGATATACTCAATGAAAATGTATTTCAAAAATTAAGGCAAAATAAATTTATTCACATGAATAAGGGCCGTGAAAATTCACCACCAGTTGACCACCACTAGAGTAACTATGGAAAGAAATTCTTCAGGCAAAGTAAAACAATACCAGATGGAAATCTGAATCTTACACGAAGGAATAAAGAACATCTGAAATGGTAAATATGAGGGTAACAGAAGTTATTCTTCATTTTTCAATCCCTTTTAAACAGTTAAAATATAACTGTTTAAAAATAGTAACAATTAATTAGAGGGTTTAAGACAGACATATTGATAAAATGTATGACAAAATAGGATAAAAAATGTGGCAGGGGAGATGGAGACAAAAAAAGACTGTCATAGATTTCTACATTAAACATGAAGTGATGTTATTTGAAGAAAACCTGTAATAAGTTATCTTGTAAACCCTAACACAAACACTAGAAAAATAAAACAGAATAATACCTAATAGGTGAACAGCAGAATAAAAGTGATGTTATCCCCCTTTTTGCAAATAAGGAAGCTAAGTTCCTTTCTTGGGTACAGACCTGTTATTTGACTTACAAAATCTAAAACTACTACAGCTATCAGATACTATTTTGTTTTTCAAAACAACAGTCAATCGTATAAAATGATTTTAGTATGTCTTAATATCTATTAAGATATTTGCTTCTTTATAGTTTCTGCCTTTTTCCTTTTTAATCCTCAACCTCATTCCTGCATTCACAATATATATGTTCTTACCGCTACAGAGTTTCTCAATCTCAGCATTACTAACATTTTGGGTCAGATAAGTCTTTGTTGTAGGAGGCTGTGTATGCATGGTAGGACACTTAGCAGCTTCCTTGGCCTCTACCCACTAGATGCCAGTAGCACTCAGTTGCAGTAACCAAAACTGTCTCCAAATATTACCAAACATTTCCTTGGGGAGCAAAATCACCACTTACCCTATTTTAGCACTTTAGACTACAGTGCCTTATGTAACAGTTAAATGTCTACATGTCTATGCCCTGCACTGGACTGTAAGTACTACCAACGTTCAACACATACATTCACCAAGCGTCTAAGTAACAGTGATTGGGATACAACAGTGAATTTCATTCCATCGCCATGCCTTACTCATCTCTGCATTCCCCAAAGGCCTTACTCATAATAAGCAACTATAGATTTACTGAAGTGAACGAGCTGTACGGTGAAGAGAAATTTCATCAATGACGTGAATGCAGACAGGCATTTGGTGGCAAAAGCAACATCACCAAATAGAAAATAGGGCCACTTACCTAATGACTTTTTACAAAATTAATCCAAGAATATTTGTTCTGTCACTTTTGTTTTCCCAAACAGTCACAGAGAAAAATTATTGATTTTTCAACTGCATTCCAGATTGAGATCTACTTATAAGGTATGTTTGAGCCCAACTAGCCACTGGTATTGAAAGGAATAACATGGGTCTAGTTGACAAAGTACTAAGTGTGAATGGCTACTGACTTCAAAACTACTTATTCAGCAACAATAAACACAACTTTTAAACATGCAACGGTCCATTGTTAGAAGTTAATTAGAATAATCAGATGAAGGCAGGAGGATAAAACAGTTAACATTTTCATAATAAAAAACTCATTAGACCTACATTTGAATACAGTTTTAAGAAATCACTGTAAAGGATATATGCCCTCAAATGATTATCTTAGTTTCACTATTGAGTGTGCATCTGTAATATATTTGACTTTCAAAAATATTTTCAACAACTGATTTATAATAAAACTTTGTATATGTGTATGGCAATATTATAAGGATGATATGCTATAATTAAAATGCTATGTAATTGAATACCTACAAAAAAATGCAACAACAAAAAACTAAAATCTTGAGATTGTGCTTTCAACATGAATATGCTCCCTAGAAAATGGAGTAACATTCTTAATCTTGTACGTAGCCCTATCCACAAGACTATTTCTAACAGAAAATATGTTCAGAATTTTAACCCAGGAACACATTTCTTTTTATCAGTGACATCTATGACGCCATGACTCTAAGAGTATATTGCTGAAAAGGCATTTAAGTAGCTCTTACAGATATAAGGATCTATCCTAAGCTGCCAGTAGCCGAAATAAGTCAACAGATCTACTTTGCAGATGGGCCAGTCATAGGAAGCACCCAAAAGCCCACACAGAACCTATTAACTAACAGGGTATATTACAGCATAAAAAAAGAAGAATGTGAAAAATAACTTTAAGGTTTTAAGCCTGGGATGCTGAAAGAAAATTTTTTTCTTTGCAAATCAGAAGGTAAATCAGAAGGCTTTGCAAATTAGAAGGTAACTGGAAGACAGTATTTTATATCAACATAGGAATATCCAAGAGGCTAGGTACAGTGGGCGCATACCTGTAATCCCAGCACATTGGGAGGCCAAGGCAGGTGGACGGCTTGAGCCCAGGAGTTTGAGACCAGCCTGGCCAACACGGTGAAACCCCACCTCTAAAAAAATATAAAAATTAGCTAGGCGTGGTAGCACACACCTGTGGTTCCAGCTACTCGGGAAGCTGAGAAGGGAGAATCGCTTGAGCCCTGGGAGGAGGAGGTTGCAGTGAGCCAAGATTGCGCCACTGCACCCTAGCCTGGGTGACAGAGCAAGACCATGTCTCAAAACATATAAATTATATAAATAATAATACCCAAAAAAAGAACTAAAAATTAAGAGATTTACTTGGGGTCAGAGATGGAGATGTTACTCTAAGAATAATCCACATATAGAGAACCTGAAAGCTGGTCTCAGCGACTGGGAAAGAACAGAAATTCAAGAGAGCATCTATGAAGACAACCATGATAAAGGGTTCCAGGACCGGCATAAAAGGAACCACAAATAAATGGCAGTCAGAAAGGTAGGTGAGGTAGAGATTTAGAAGAATTTAGTGTCACTGAAGTCAAGAAATGGTTTTAAGCATGAGTGGTCAGCACTGGACTTCTAGACTTCTTGAGGGCAGAAATTCCTTCCTCTCTGAACACGACCAGAAGCCTGTATCACAGTACCTGCCACACGGTATGCTCTCAACAAATACTAATACCGTACCCTTGCATTGTGCCTGCCATATGCCAGACACTGTTTAATTGCTTTACATACATGAATTCATAATTCTCACCACAGAAGGTGCTATTATGCCCATTCTACGCATAGGAAAACTGAGTCATCAAGCATTTCAGTAATTTGCCTGAACTCCCACACCCAGGAGAATCTGTCCTGTAAAGAGACTACTGGTTAGATCTGGTTAGAACATTACCAAGCTGAGAGCAAGTTCAATGCAATGCCAGAGGAAGAACTCAAATTGCAGGATGTTAAAGCACACCTGAGGTATCCATCACTTCCTCCCTGTCCACTCTCCTTTTGTTAAATATGTTGGCATGGCCAGTTTAAAAGGAGCAGCCCTGCAAACTGTGAGACAAATCTAAGTCTCTTCCTCATCCATTTTTCCCATTCCTATCTTTCCTCACTCTCCAGCCAACTGTGCTAGAAGCAGAAACCTGACCAATTGGATTCTCTCTCTAGAAACATAACTGAGACTTGGAGATGTTTGCTGAGAACCATGTTGCATAGTCAGTGAGTCTGATGTTGGCATCATGGCAAACCAAAGTCTCATGCAAATCAAAGTTTTGGGGAAGTGGAAACCAAGAGCTTTAAAGAGAAGGCCAATCTGAAAGAAACTGGAACAGACCTGCGTGAGTAGCAGAGACATAAGACCATGTGCTTCCAGAGAAAAACTGGAAGAGTAACTGCCTGAAGACTTTCTGGTTCCCAAAACGCTGAATTGGAATCATGCAATGGACTTCAGCAGCACTGTATGACAAATGCTTTTTTTTTAAGTAGGCTAATTAAATTGGCTTTTTCTTCCTTGCAATCAAAGAATCCTCAAACCATTACGGGAGGTAAAAATAAAAACACTGAGTAAGCAGCTACTATGTGCTTCGCACTAACTTTTTGAGGTGGGTATGAAGAAAATGAGGCTCATTTAATTAATAGACCTGACTCCCAAACCGAAACTCTTTACAATATACCTCATTTTCAGTCAAGTAACATCCTCTCTGTTCCAGGCCTCTACCCCATTTATTTCCCAAGAAACATTCTCAGATTATTCTAAAAATGATAACTTTTCTCCTTTTACCATGTCCAGTCTCTAATCTACAAATTTCAAATGCCTTTACTCCAGAAGTTTTTTGTTGTTGTTTTTTGAGGCAGAGTCTCACTCAGTCGCCCAGGGTGGAGTGCAGTGGCACGATCTCGGCTCACTGCAATCTCCCATCTCTCAGGCTCAAGCGATTCTTGTGCCTCAGCCTCTCGACTAGATGGGATTACAGGCATGTGCCATAACACGTGGCTAATTTTTTATTTTTTAGTAAAGACAGGGTTTTTCCATGTTGGCCAGGCTGGTCTTGAACTCCTGGTCTCAAGTGATCCACCCGCCTCAGCCTCCTAAAGTCCTGGGATTACAAGTGTAAGGCACCAAGCCTGGCCCAGAAGTATTTTTTTAATAAACTTTTATATGTAAGGATGACTGGGAGAATCGAGACACTTGGATCTTTCCAGGCTGTTTTTAAACTGATAAAGCATTTTTCTTTCTCTTCCCCATATTACCAGCTCATTGACCCTTAACTCATGCCCAGGCTTAACTTAAAGCTTTTCTCGACCTGTCCTCACCCTTCAATCCTTCCAGGTAGTTGATTAATAAAATGCAGACCACAAGACAGGAAAAAAAACAAAATCAGTTACCCTATCCAAAGTTACTTCAATTACTTTTGAAAAACCAAACACCACACGCCCTACAAGTTTGAAACCCTTGCCAAAAGGTTATGAAGACCAGCCAAAAAATTTATTTTTCTACTTCTGAAAATTAGTTTGCTAAGATGGAGTAAGAAGGAATTTTTTCTAATCAACACTGGTCTCCTCTGCCCATTCACAAAGAGATATTTTCTAAGTCTTTCACATTTTTGTCACGTATAGACAGAATTCCTCTACCTATTTACAACTGGCATTTTCTCTTAAAACGGCCTTTAATATATTGTCCAAATTGGTTTGAGTTCCTTTTCCAGACAGTAAGTTCCTAAAATTAAAAAATAAAAAAATTAAAAGTACCGTATTTTTTCCAGCCTCTAAAGGCAAAAGAGGACTTCTTCAGCTTCTAGACTTATCCCTGGAGTTCAGGGGGCTAGAGAAGGCTAGAGAATTTCTCACTATGGTTCCATGTCTTAGGCAACTTCCCATATCCTCAACAACTGCAAAATATCACTGGCCTAGGAGTCCACTGCTAGGCCCTTATCAATATTGTCGATACTGCAGTTATGTGGGTACATACATTAGTCTCTAGCTCAGCTTGGGAACCCACTTCTTCCCTGATTTCCTTACATTCTTTGACCTTTCATAAATTACTGTTACAGCTACAATAGTGACATTCACTGTCCACCCCTGGGTCAGTTTTGTCAGGAGGAACAACGACAAGAAAAAATGAATAATCAGGGTACCGTTTGAAAAAGTAAATGTGTTTTTCAAAAAAAAAAAAAATCATTCAATTGCACTATTTTAACTGACACCAATCATGCCAGGCACTGGGCTGCCATCCTAAAATGATGACATTAAAAAAAATATATCTGTGCATTACTGATACCCCATTTTTTCTTAGTACTCCATATTTTGAGTATTTTCAGACATAACAAAATAACAATCGACATGACATTTCTAAAACAGTGGGAAGCAGCTAAGCAAAACGAGCATTTTGCAAGCGATTGAAAAGCTGAAAAGAGAACAGGAATTAACTCCAGTTTGTACTAAAGCTATTAGGTATGTATCTCAGCAGTCTTTCTCACCATGAAACTCCTTAACATCTAAAGCTAAACCACATCCAACTTTATATGGTTTTAGAAGACAGACAAAGCAGAGAAAAAAAATGAAAGCTGGTAATATGGGGAAGAGAAAAAATGTTAGCTTTTACTGTCATTGTCACTTTTTAATACTTCGGTTACATCTACATATTTTTTATAAAGCAGCTTAGATGCCTGGATTAACAGCAGTATACTCAATCCATTCGGGGTACTTTATGGCCAGCCTTAAGCCATTAACAGCCTAGGAGAGTATTTGACAGCAAATCCAAATATCAATACTCTGAGGAGCCCCTTGACGCCTTCCGTTTACAAGATCTGAGCAGCGCCTGCTTCCAAGGCTCCGGGGGTCTGACAGTGAAGGATGCTGTTCGGGAACAAAGTGCAACGTCCTCCCAACCGCTGCAAATGTTCCTGTGCGCACACCACGAACACACACTAAGCACGCGCACCACGCACCCGGGGGGCCGTCTCTGAAGACCACCCCGGGGATGGAAACAGCCTGTCATTAAAAGGGGCGGCAGCTCCACCGCCACACTTGGGACCCCAGGAAGACGCGTCTCGAGACCCAGCACCTCCCTCTACTCTGGGCCCGGTGCGGTGAGTTTCCTCCTTCGGCCGCGCTCCTCCCGCCCTCCTCCCTCCGCCATGCGAAGGCGCAGCTCTCGGGCGGCCCCGAAGCCAGAAGGGGGACCAGCGGCAGGCGGAGGGGCTGGAGCGCCGGAGCCGGGCCGCTCCATCCATGCCGGCCGCACACCCGCCGCCACCCCATCTAAACGCAGCCTCCGCGGCGAGCACGTCGGCGCCCGGCTCACCTGGGGGCCGCAGCCTCCGCAGCTCACAGACATGTCACCGGCCTCAACGACCCGTGAGCGAGCCGGGCAAGCAAGCTGGCCCCCTCCCGCGCTGACCCCCAGCCCTCCCCCTCCCAGCCCCGCGGCCCGCCCCCGCCCTGCCCACCCCTCGGCTTCCGCCGCCGCCGCCGCCGCCGCAGCTCCGGCCCGCAACACCGCCTACTCTCCACGCCTCCCACTCTCTCTCGCGAGAGGGCAGCGCGCCTCTCGCGAGAAAAATTCCGCGGCCGAGCCCGCGCAAAAGTGGGTGGGCGTTTAAAAAGGGAAAGAAGGAACAGGAAAAAAAGCCTTCCCACGTGCTCCAGTGCAGCCCGCGGAGCAGCCCGCGGGGCAGCCCCGCTGGTCACATGACTTAAAGGGGGCCTCTCCATTGGCCGGGACCCACTCAGCCTTGGGAGCTTTAAATTCGAGGGCGACCTACGAACCTGCGGCGGACGTCTTGCGCGCTTCCTGGTCCGTTGCCTTGGAAACGGCTTAACCCTTCCCTCTGGCAAGTCCCCAGGCCTTGGCTTGCTCCGCAGATTTGGTTTCAGGCTCTGCCTCTTTTCCCTCGACCCCTTAGTCTTAACAGCCTGGGGCCAGCTGGGCTCCTTCTTCGCCACAAGGCTAGTTTTGCTTTCTTCCGAAGCCCGGGGCCCTTCCCAAAGTGGCAGCCCCACCAGATCCGAAGGCCCAAGGAAGGCTCATCCTTTCTGATGGCTCCGCCCCTTCTCCCAGCATCTCCGGGGAGGACCACTCACAGCGCACCGGGCAACCAGCCCTATCCCAGCCAAGAAGTAGCTTCCAGGGTTCTCAGGGCCCTAGTGCTCACCCTGATGTCTTTACGTGGTATGGAAATCGGAAAGTAAAGCTTTGGTCACTGGGAAGCCTAGCCAGAGATGAAAAGCTGTTATGGTGATTATTTTCACCTAAAATCGGAAGGGCCAGTCCAGTCAAATTGCCCTGTCTCCTAAAGGGCATCTGTTCCTCAAGAGTGGAAACACCTGGCAATAAGAAAGACATTTTTGAGTGTATCCTCGTTATGAGTTAAGTTTTGCCCTGTTCAGAGGAGAGGGTCACGGAAGAAAGGGTGCATTCGTTTGTTCATTTCTTCATTCAACAAACACTACTCTAGGCTGTTGATTGAACAATGATGAAGACAAGTAGTGTAGATTCTAGGGAACTTATCTGAGGGTGAAAAGAAAAAAAATCTGTTGGTTTTAAGCTGTATGCAAAGAAGTTACAATAAGTGACGTGATGGTGATGGTGACTGAGTGGCTAGTAAAGGGGATGCCCTTTTAAGGAGGAGATATTTTAGCAGCGATTTGAATAACAGACGCAAAAATCAGAGCATAGAGCATTCCAGGAAAAGGATAACACTAATTCAAAGGCCCTAAGTAAGGATCTATTCTAGTGCATTTGAGGGAAGAAGAAATGAGAAAGTAAACTTTCTTGAGCCTGGAGATGGAAACTGTAAGAGTTAAAGAAAGAAACACAAAAAGCAGCTTAACAGAGACAGGTTTATTTTGGAGAATAAACCTGAGAGGGGCTTCTGGCCGATTTCGGTCAGGAGTGTTCTCTCTTACAGACTAAAGGTATTTAGTGGTTTAGGGAGGGAGAGCATATTGTAGACTTGGAATGTTTCTGGGTGGAGGAGAGTTTTATTGTCAGGGGTGTAATGTCTCTGGTTGGAGGGGAGGCATATTTCTGATCAGAGTGGGGTTTATCTCAGGGTTGGAAAGTTTCTGGTCAGAAGTGTTATTTGTGGTTTATGGTCATGCTGACATTAGCCATTAGGCTGATGTTTCTGGGGCTGGATTTAGGCGGTTTTTAATCAAGGGGAACTTAAAATGGCGGTGCTTGTCCAAGATGGTGATGCTCTTGCTCTGTCAGAAACTAGCATGGGCCAGATCCTGTAAGGCTTTGTTAGCCAAGAAAGGAATTGAAAGTTTATTCTAAACGCAATATAAGGTATTACAGAGTTTTTAATAGGGGAGAGACACCCAGAGTTTACTTTTTTTTAAAAAAAAAAAGTCTCGTCTTTGAAAAGAATGGGTCTTAAAGAGGCCAAAGCAGAAGTAAGGGAGATTAGGAGATTTATAGGCCAGGTGAGAGACAGTCATGAAATTTAATTTAATTTCCTATGATCTCAACATTTCTAAAATCCATTAGGTCAGAGTCCTCATGCTGTTTCTGCCTTTGTTGAAACATGTGGATTTCTCCTAATTACTAGGAAAAATAAAATGGAGGATTTTCTTTTGTTACCTGGGGGAAAACAAATGGCTGAAAAGGAAGGGCCCATCTTTAATTTTTTTCCCTCCATTATGCTACACTGACAACCACCTCTTCTGTCTATTCTTAAAGTCAATTCTGGGAACAGAAAATGAAATTCTACGCAGATACTTATTCTTTAGTGTAAGATTTGAAAAGATAGAGGTTGAAAGCTCAGAAATCAAGAGGATGTTTCACCAAAAGAAACGAATCAGGAGATGAGTTCCAACTCGAAGCTCTGTCATTAGTGATACAACCAAATCAAGGTTCCTTATCACCACTGAGTCTCAGCTTCCTCATACATAAAACAAAGCAATGTAACTAGCCTACACCTAAAGTAGTTAAGCCTGAATTACACTTTAACATGCACATACCAGTAGGACGGAAGCTGGAAAGGGAAATGAAATGATTTTTTATGAAAACCTAACAGAGTCAGCGGCTCAACCCAAATGAAATTAGACACACACACACCAGCTGAATAACTCTGAAAACGGTTGATACAGATACCAGGAATGCTTCCCTAAGAAACCTTGGCCTTCTCAGAGTGTGAAAACGGAAACACCGCCACCTGCTCAACCTCGAATTCCATCTCTCTTAAGCTATTTTGAACCTGTGTAGTATTAAATAATGATTCATGTGTTCCTAATCAGAGTTTAAGAACTAGATAGCAAATACATTTTTTAAAAGGTCTGAGGCAATATCCTAAAGTTAAGCTAACACCTTAATTTTAACGAAAGCAAGATTTCAAGATACATAGGGCTACTTTTTAAAAGGAAAAACGCCAAAAAGAGAAAAAGTACTATTTTAACAAAGTAGGACCATTCTTTTAAAATGTTAATTGAGTATTTTTTGAGTGTTTACAGCCCTCATAATGATTAACTGAAACAGCTGCTTGGTACTACTAATTTAGATGAACTCTGGGCCCAACTCTCCCAATCGAACATGTATTAACAGAGCCCGAAATAAATCCTCCCAACTCACCTTAGCAAGACAGTCATTGTGCTCTCTTGTGCTAGCTACAATTATTTGCAGTACATTAATACAAAGTGAGAAAAAATTAGGATTGAGATCCAGTTCTGCTGTGTCCCCAGTTCCTGGATTCTTTTTAAAACTGTGTTTTTTAACAGTTTTACTGAGATGTAATCCATTTACCATACAATTCAGTGCTTCTGGTAGATTTACAGTTGTGCAACTGTCATCAAAATCTAATTTTAGAAGTTTTGTTCCTCCCTAAAAGAAACTCACATACTCAGTAGCAGCCAATCAACTTTATGTCTATAAAGACTTGCCTATTCTGAAGGTGGAAACCATCATTCTAAGCAAACTATCACAAGGACAGAAAACCAAACACCGCATGTTCTCACTCATAGATGGGAGTTGAACAATGAGAACACATGGACACAGGACACAAGGCGGGGAACATCGCACACCGGGGCCTGTAGGGGGTTGGGGGGCTGGGGGAGGGATAGCATTAGGAGAAATACCTAATGTAAATGACAAGTTGATGGGTGCAGCAAACCAACATGGCACATGTATACCTCTGTAACATGTTGTGCACATGTACCTTAGAACTTAAAGTATAATAAAAATAAAATAAAAAATAAAAAAGACTTGCCTATTCTGGACAGTTCATATAAATGGAGTCATACAATACATGGTCTCTTGGGTCTCACTTCGTTCATTTAGCATGTGTTAAAGGATCATCCATGTTGAAGCGTGTATCAGTACTTCATTTATTTTTTATTGCCGAATAACAGTTCCATTCTATGTATATAGCACAGTTTTATTGGCCAACTTATCAGTTGACAGACAATTCAGTTGTTTCTACTTTTTGGCTATTATGAATAATACTGCTTTGAATATTCCTATACAAATTTTGTGTGGATGTTGCTGATTCTTTTTAATACTCTAAAAAATAGAAGACGTTCTATTTATCCCATTTACAGAGTTCATATTTCTCCTCCTAGCACCGTTCCTTTGCTTCCAGGATTTGTCTTTTTTGCCTGCTGGTTGAAGTATGTGCACTCTATCTCCAGAGGGCTGCCATTTCTACTGCATCTGACCATGCCATTCCCCTGCTTACAATCCTTCAGTGGCTTCTCATGGTTTTCCTCATAATCTGCTTTTCTCCTTTGCTTTCATATCATTCTCCCTTTCAGACTGTCCCCTTTTCAGTTCCTCAAAATAGGACCAGACCCTGCCTGCCTCATCACCTTCCACAGGCTGTTTCTTCAGGATCCAATATTCTTTCTCTGTCCATCCCTGTTAACAGCTGAATGCCCAAGAATCCTTCACCTTTCAACTCTACTGTCACTTCCTCAGGAACTTTCGTCCTAACTCCCCAGACTAAGTAAATCCCCTTTACTTAGGACTCCCTACTTTTTCTTCAACGCATTTATCAACTTATAACAATTTTTATTTGTGTGGTTACCTAGTTAATGTCTGTCTCCCTCCTCCACTGAACTGTGAGATCCATGAGCAAGGGCTGTTTCTGTTTTTGCTTAGGAGTTCCTAAGGCACATAGTAGGTACTCAATAACTATTCAAAAAAAGAGAAGCGGGGAAGGAGGGTGTCTTACCAGACTATTCTTTATTCTCTTTAATTTGTATTGTCAGGAGTCCTCAGTAAAGTCCTGATAAATGCTATAAGCCAAATCTGTGCTATGTTAAGGGAAATGAATGTCAAGGCATGTCCCATGCTTGGGATGTTGCAGCAGGGAGAAAACAGGTGTCCCCTGCTCATACTCCTCACAGAAACGGGGTAGGGAGAGGAGAGACCAGTGGTGTACAAAGGAGCCAGGGCAGCAGGGTGGCAAGTCAGGGAACACAGCCTGTGTCCAAGGGCACCCAAGAGGGTGCCTGGGAACCCCTGTGTGTCTCCTAGGGACATTTTAGTGGGCCAATTTCCAGCAATCAAATTGGTGGTGTCTCCTCCACTGTAATTTTCTAAGTTAATGGAAATATTTCTTTCATTTTTAGACATACTGTAATAGAAACAAGACATTTGGGTTATAGGCACATGAAAGAATTATGACCCAGCAAGGTTGAATGATTTATTCTGGATCACATGGGGCACTAAATGGAATAGTTCAGACTAAAATTAGCTAGTTCGGTCTGGTCCTACCTTTCAACAAAACTAAGCCTAATACACAAAGCTAGCCTCTCAGCTTAATACCCTTGGTGACCTTCTGACTACAAAGGCAGGCATCATCTTTCCCCAGGAGCTTTGGAGCTTTACAGTAGCAGCCTCTGACAGCCAAGAGCAGATTCCATATCGCTTCCTGTTTGAAAACTTGAGTCTCCCTTTGGCCCACTTGCTGAATTCCTGCCTGAGTGATATTTCCTGCCTGAGTGATGGTCCCAGCTGGTGGCTCACTTGTAAAAGTGAGATGTCAAGTCCTTCTTTTCTACATTGTTCAGTTTTAGGACTTTGTTTTTTATGATTATGAATTAATACACACGTTATATAGAACATTAGAAAATACAAGAAAAAATAATGGAGCAGACCAGTTATTTGATGGTTGCTTTACATGTATTATTTAACTTATTATTATTTTGTGTTTGTTTGGAGACAGAGTCTCTGTCACCCAAACTGTAGTGCAGTGACCATAGCTCAGTGTAGTCTTGAGCTCCTAGGCTCAAGTGATCCTCCCCACTTACCTCCAGTGTAGCTAGGACTACAGGTGCGCACTACTGCATCTGGCTATTTTTTAAAATTTTTTGTAGATACAGAGTCTTGCTATGTTGCCCAGGCTGGTCTTGAACTCCTGGGCTCAAGCCTCCCAAAGAGCTGGGATTATAGGCGTGAGACACTGCATCCAGCCAAATTTGTTAATACTTAATAAACCAATGTATTAATAAAACATTCTGAAAGGGGAAAAATGTGGAAATTACAGTTTCATCAGCTGTTTAAATATGTAAAGGTGCTTTTTAAGTTCAAGAGGTGAAATACCTCTTTTATGCCTTCGGTTTGAATGCCTATATATTATATCACAGTCTACTATATACTTTATAATGTACATACTGTCAACCTTAATGAGATTCAGAAAATATGATTCAGTATGGAGTTTATTTGAGCATAAAGCTTGAGGATGACAACCTGGGAACAACAATTCCAGATGAATGGGGTCAGTATTCCAAAGTGGAGAAGTTAAGGTTTCACTTACATAGTCTCAGAGAGAGAAATTTTAGCAGGATTATCACATTTTCCACAGGAGACCAGTGTATTACAGCAATTTGATTGGTTATAGATTGCTACATTCCAAGGAAGATGACTTTATTACTCTGTGAGTAAGAGTAGTGATCTGAGAGGGTCTTATATCTGGTGCCTTTTGATCTTACTAATTATTTACAGAAAAAAAAGAGCAGAAGTTGCAACTGCATGCCGTGTGACTCAGGCTGCAGAGCCATGTTCCTCTCAAGGCACAGAATAATGTAAAGTTCCAACAGCTTTAAGTTTAAATGATTTAATTTCACAGCACTTACCTAATTCTTTTGTAGCGAGTGTCTTTATAAGGATAGAGACACATCTTAACCACTGTTAAAATTATACCTAGTGATATTTTAATACACGGTGGCACTCATTAACTGTTCAATGCTAAAATCATAGAATCCTAACTATACTAATTAGTAAATATAGTACAAATGATAATTCAGAAGTGCCAATCCAAATTAAACACTTCTTGAACAGCAAAATCAATCTGAGTCCTACTATATATTTTACTCAAATATAATGATTCTTCTGATTTAAATCATAGCTAATTACTGAATTATAATACTTCTAATATGTAAAACATAGATGTACCTTCTTTTAAGAAAATGTAATATATACTTGTCCAAAGTTCAAAAACAAGTAATTATGCCTAAATGTAACTAGTTGATAAGATAAAAGAGTTTATTTAAATATCATTGCTCTGCTGATTTTACATGACTGGTTTATAGTTAAATTAGAAGTGCAAGGTATTATAAAAAGCTTATGTTACAGACATTACAAGTTCAAAGAAGCATGAATGTTATCAAGCATTTCAAAAGCATTTAGCATAAGTAAATAATAGTTTAATTTACCATATAAAATTTATACACAACTTTTAAAAAATGTCTTTTGCAAAAAGTGAGATAGACTTCCTCTTCATGTGAGCCAATAGCATACATGCTTACTGCTTTAAAAAAGATGTTAGATGACTTCCCCTGGATTATATATCTAAAGGACAAGGTCAGCTTTTGGAATATTGTCCTAACTTTATGACAAGATAAAACAGATCTTAGAACAAGTTATTTCTGGGTCTGTCATTCCTGTTGCTTAGCTGCTTTGCTTGAAAAATGAAACATTAATTCAAAGTGTCAGTCAGAGCATCCTTATTCATTAGTTAGCTCACATGAAATTTAACAGAAATATCCTTACGTGATTAGATCTTTAAAGGAGGTAATAGTCATGCATATGAAACATGAATATTATTAATACATGCTTACATACGGTACAGAAAGTCATTAAACACTGGGGTAAAAATCTAGGTTGAAAAGTGGTAGAACTTTTAAGACCCCCAAATGCCTCCTAGCCCAGGCTGTAGGAAATCCTTGCTCTATTTGCAATTTTAAGCCACTAAACTACGTTAGAGATATCCAGTCTGTCCCCTTACTAGATTTGATCCCAATTTATTTTGGATTGCCCAAAGTCATCTTGAACACATTTGTTCCCCTTCACCACAATGGAATATGTGAAATCAGCTAAGCTTCTGAAAGATAGACTAGGATTTCTTGATAGCCAATCTTCATGAACATCAAAGTAGCCAACCATTTCTGATTTATTGGTTTACTGGCCTGCAACCCTTTATGGTTAGTCCAATCTTCTTCATCGGAAGGATGCAGCTACCAAAACATGGCAAATGCAACTTTAGGCTACATGAATGCTAGTGTGATGCTCAAGACAAAAGAGGTGCTAGTCCTACTGTACTCTAACTAGTCAGTATGCACCTGCATTAGCCATAGTGAAATATGACCAGAGGTGAGGAGCCTAAGGGAATATCTCATATGTGAAACTTATCTTGTTGGTATTTAACCTGAAGAAGGGGAGACTCAGAGGGATATAGTAAACTGAGGTTGAAATGCTAATGTCTGAGAACTATCTGAGGCTTCCTCTGTCCTTCCAGAGGAAGAGGACAGATTTTTGTTCAATGTGAGGGGGAAAAATAATAATTACCATTATTTTTCAAATAGATGGGTTATCTTTATAAACAATGGGTGTCAAATTTCTTGGCACTTTTGTAATTTATTTAGAAAATTCCCTTTGTAGAGCCCAAATTTATAATTCATAAATTTATATTATAAATGTATAATTTGTCATATTCTGCTCTTTATCTCTAAACTGATTTTACCATTCTTCCTGTTTAAGTGTGTCCTTACTCACATTTGATTGTGCAGGTTAGTATCCTTATCAGTTGGTGTAATAATCTTACAATGATTTTGTTATCTTCAAACAGTATGCCTATAAGCTTACTATAATGGGTATATTAAGATTCCTACAGAGCTCTAGCTTAATAGTATAATGGCCTGTACTTTTTCTATCCTTTTTAGATGGTCAGTAGCTATTCTGAAATTGCATATAAACTCCGGATGAAAGTAATATCTGCAGTAAAATAAGGTCTGATAAAATATCATACTAATTTTCATGTATGGTTTGAGGAAACGGCATTTCTTTTCTGTGAAAGAGAAGCCAACATTTATAAGGTGCTACTTGGGTTTCAGTGTCAAACCCTATGCTCTTCGAAGTTTAATATTAGTCTATATTTTTGTAACTTTAAAAAAATTATTGTGAACACTTCTTGCTCATTTTACTCTTTATGTAATTCTAAGAATTCTCACCTAAGTTCCAGGAAGGAATAAAGTCCTCCACTGAAGTCCACTGAAATGTATACTATGCTATCTGTTTCTTGATCATTACTACCTTTCCACATCAGCCTCCACTGAAGTACCCACATTTCTGCCTGGTCTCTAGCTACATGGTCAGTGCAGCTGTCTGCTACAGCATCCCCTCATTAAGATATGACTGGATGATGCCATCCTACAAACAGAGAGCCCTCTCTACAGAAATGATGCTTGATTCTTAGACACCATACAGAATCTATATTCCAGCCCCTTCTGCCAGAACATGGCAAATGTTTCCTCTCCTTGTTCTCAGTAATCTAATTTACCACCTCCATTGGGGACTGGGTTTTGTAATACTATAGTGTTTTCTCCTATGATCCAGCTTCTACTGGACCTTCTCATTTCTCACCCAGGAATGGCAATAATATATTAAGAGATCTAGCAAACCCTCTGCTTGCCCTCAGACAGAAGTGTGTTTCAAATGACTTACATGTTATAGAAAATTGTCATGAATCCTGCCCTCTGTTTATTCATTCATTTTGGTGAACACAAGGTTCTACTTTCCTTGACTCATGACTTCTAACAACTCTAGGTCAAAAAATGGAAGTAGTGGAATACAATGATATACAAAATATACAGAAGAACAAACACCTACTGGGAAAAGCCAAAGGTTTTCTGTGATCCCTGCCAAACATTCAGTTCCCCTGGGCCACCTTGATAATGGATTTCCTCACTAAGCTCCCTTCCTCTCAGTAATATAATACCACTTTCAGAGCTGTTCCAAGAACCAGTGGCTCACTTCCACCTATGCCAGGGAACCCCCAGAGGAGTCACTTGGATAGTAATACTGGTCCACAAAGCCATGAACAAAATTGCTGTGGTCTGAGGACCCTTCTGTATTTCTATTTAGGGTGATTTTACATTCTATTTTGACTGGTACAATCACAGTTGCTGCCTGTTATTAGCGCCTCTTTTATTTTTCAAAAATATCTCAGTTTAGAAAAGAATTTGGATACCCTGTTTATATCCTGCCTTAGGCAGAACCTCTTCTCTACCGGTCAGTCAAAATGGACCTGTCCTGGGATACGACCCCCAGACTACTAGCTGTACAGAAATAATCAGCCAACCCCTAAGGCTATAATATATTTTCAATGTGAAGTCCTAATTTGGGAAAAGGAATCAGACTGCAGGACCACAGGAAAGCAAAAAGAAAAAACAGGTAAGTTATAAGTCTGCCTTTCTTCATGGTCCAGGACACATAGCCCTCTTGCACATTTAACTCACAATCTTCCTGTGCCTAGCTATCACCAGACCCTTGGCTGATAGAAAAATGCAAATTAGCTCACTGAAACCTTAGTGTTATCAGTACTGCACAAAGCCCTCTTCACATAACAGAAGCACCATCCTATAAAATCTTCAGCAGGCCTTTGTCTCCTTGCAGTCAGCTCCTCTCTTGCTGACCTGCCCATTACTTCCTTGAAACATACTTTCATACTTTCTCTAATAAATCTGTCTTTCTTTACTTACAATTGTCTTGGTGTATTAGTCCATTTTCACACTGCTGATAAAGACACGCCCAACACTGGGAAGAAAAAGAGGTTTAATGGACTTACAGCTCCACACGGCTGGGGAGATCTCACAATCATGGTGGAAGGCAAGGAAGAGCAAGTCACATCTTACATGGATGGTGGCAGGCAAAGAGAGAGAATTTGTGCAGGGAAACTCCCATTTTTAAAACCATCAGATCTCGTGAGCCTTATTATTATCATGAGAACAGCATGTGAAAGACCCACCCGCATGATTCAAACATCTCCCACTGAGTCCCTCCCATAACACGTGGGAATTATGGAAGCTACAAGATGAGATTTGGGTGAGGACACAGAGCCAACCCATATCACTTGGTAAATTCTTATTACCACTTACACAACATCGGCCTCAGATAGTCACTATCTGCAACATTCAGTGCCACCCTTCCCACTACCAAGATAACTAACTGATCGTTTCTTCTTCCTGTCAGCTAACTTGCTTATTTAAATGTCATCCACTCTTATCTCGGAACACAAAATGTGCATTAACTACATTTTCTAACCAGGGTATTTCTTGGGCCTACTTGTGTTTGCAGCTGTAGAATATGTTGAAGAATTCTAAGCCACCAAGAATAACTGACAAGTTTTCTCAAGGATGTTAAGACCTTCAAATGATATGTCAACAGTGGTACCCAGGGACAACCCTAAAGGAATGTTACTAGTCTCAGTGACATCTTGGTAATTTCTCTATACATAACTCTTAACAAATCTACATGTTACCGTTCTCATCTCCTCATCATGACCATTGTGTATGTAACACATAATTACAACTCCTAATGCTTTCAAATTCCAGAGTGTACTTCATTAGTCCCTCCTTCATCCTGCCAAATTCAACTCCTATTCTTCATACTTTATATTTGGGAATATGTAGTTTATGTCACCTCAGACTCTCACTCCACTGGAAAGAAATCCAATACTTTAACAAATGGAATACAAGAAAAAAAACAAATACTGAGAGCCTGCCACCTCATCTCTGCCTGCCATTGGGATCTTTGGCCACTGCCCTACAGGGAAGATGCAGAGACCCACAGTGCTGGGATTTCTACTGCAATTTGGTCCCTAGAAAACTCATTAGTCCAGTTGAAGGGGGTAGCATCACCTCCTGTCCCAAGGATCTGACTCTCCTTGAGAATTCTTGAAAAGACATTTGTCAGGAAGCCTACATGGGATACATTTCCCTAGTCTGTGACTCTGGCCATACACATTACTCCTGTTTTACACATTATCTTTGGTTCTTCATAACCAACTTGACCAATGTGCCACTTGAAGGCAGGTAGCGACTGTGCCTTATTGACTCCCAAGGGTCTGTCACAAAATCAAATAATTGTCATCAATTGTTATCAACAGGCACATTTCTGCTGTTCCACAATACCTTTTCATTCTTTCTTTTCATATGGTTTCTTGAGGCTTGACCTGAGGAATGGGGACAAAATAGCAGTGAAGGTCTGGCTTGGAGTCAGTAGCCTTGAAGACAGTGGGGTGCTTAGGTTGGGTACGATGCAGTTACTAAAGAGTCTAAGTCAAGCATAAGCTGTGGTCTCTAATAGGGAAATAAATAGAGGGGTCCCAGAAACAAGCAAGAAGCCAACCTAGCATAGAACCGGAGGAAAATTAGCAGGAGGGCCAAGCTGTTCGAAGCAGAACTATTCAGGTAACCTAAGACAAAAGGATTGCTAAGAGGTGTTGCATTTTATAAGGCAAGTAGCTTGGGGACGTGACTTCCTGTGTACTCACTTAAAAGACTCCGGAGGCCACTATCATCTCCAAAACAGAGGGTTATAGTTCCAAGAAATACTTTATCTCTAGGTCTGAGTAAGGAAAGGTAATGAAAGACAGCTGTGTCCCAACACATTTTCTATTTCAAGAGCCTGCATCTCCAGTGCTTAATTTGATCAGTCTGACACAGGTTAGGAAGGAAATAAGGAAGCTTAGCAAGTGCTGAAAACTGTAAATTTTCATCTTGGCTTAGGCCCTCTATTACATTCATCTACTAGATTGGAACAGGTTTTAGGCAAGAGAGCTAGGTGGAAATTCAGTCTGGAGCTCAGAGTTCCATGTTCCAGAGACAGTTCATGAATGCACCAGGTGTCAAAGGATCCAACACCAAGTATAAGAGATGATCCAAAAAGCTAACAAAATATAGCATTAGAGAATCAGGAGATACTCAGAAACCCAGCCTGACAATGGGCAGGCACTGAGAAAGTATATCAACAAATAAAATGGCCTCTATCCCTGTGGGTGTGGAAGCAGGACACCACAGGGGACAGGGATGGCCAGGACAAGTACTCGGTATATATATTACTGTTGCAGAATTTTTGCCCCTTAGTTCAGCTAAATTCGGGTTTATCTCACAACCAGGAAAACTTAGACATGCAGACACATTGAAGGGTGGGGAATGGAATTTATTGGGCGAAAAGGAAAAAAGAAAAAACTCTCAGCAAAGTGAGAGGGGTTCCTGCCAACGGCTCCCATCTCACAGATTGAATACCAGGCCACCACACAGGAGCTCAAGAGCCCAGGCTCCTCCCCCGTGCACAAGGCAGAAACTTCTCGGTGGCTCCACCCCATTCTCCCAGTGGCAGGTGGGCTGGAGATTCTCCAGGGATTCTCCCTCTTACATGCTTCCTGCATCTGTCAGTACCAGTGAGCAGTACTCAGTCAACTCCTTAGTTACCAGGGACCTCAAGTTCAATGAAAAGAGAGAACTGAAGTCTAATAAATTAGGAAACCATGTTTTCAGAACGGGGGCATAAGATTAACGCTAGAGGCAACAGTAGGATATTTTGTGTATTCTAAAGAGGTTTTGAGCCTAGAGCCTTGCTCAGGTTGTTCTGCAGGGAGAAAATGAAGGCAGAGGTTGGAACTAGTTAGGATATTGTTTTAAATTATAAAATATTTAAAATAAATCCAAAATAGGCCAGACGTGGTGGCTCATGCTTGTAATCCCAACACTTCGGGAGGCCAAGGCAGGTGGATCACCTGAGGTCAGGAGTTTGAGACCAGCCTGGCCAACATGGTGAAACCCCGTCTCTACTAAAAATACAAAAATTAGCCAGGCTTGTTGGCGTGTGCCTGTAATCCCAGCTACCTGGGAGACTGAGGCAGGAGAATTGCTTGAACCCGGGAAGCAGAGGCTGCAGTGAGCCAAGATCATGCCACTGCACTCCAGCCTGGGTCGCAGAGACTCCATCTCAAATAAATAAATAAATAAATAAATAAATAAATACAGGTGTTTTATTTTAAGAAGTAAAACGTTCCAGGGAGAGCTAAAGCCCCTTTCTCAGAGTCCCTTTTCTCTTCCTTTCTCTTCATAGGAACCCACCATCCTGAAATTGATGCATATCATTACCACGAATGTTTTTATACTTTTACTACACATATATGAATCCATAAACAAGACATACATTGTTTGAATGTTTACAATTTTTACAAAAACGGTATAATGTAGTATATAGTTTTGCAGCCTGCTTATTTTTTCACTCAACATTGTTCTTGGAATTTATTCATACTGATTGGTCATATTGATTTCATTCACTCAGTTGAATTAATAAATGACTTTATTCATTCTCCTATTATTCAGTGCCTCTCATATTCATTAACACAATCTTACAATAAGCATTGTTTCAAGTACCTTTGTGCCCATATATATATACTAGTAGCAGGACTGTTGGGTCACAAACTAGACGCATCTTCAACTTACTAGGTATTACAAAATAGGTCTCCAGGTAGTTGTACTGATTTAAACTCCTATCTACAGTGTGTACAAATTCCCATTTCTACTCACCCCTGCCAAAATTACACAGCTTGGCCAGTCCAAGGGACCCAAAATGATATCTCATTTCCCTGCAGTTCTCTGACTGCTAGTACTACTGAACATATTGTTCGATGTTTACTGATTCCTAAATTTCTTTTCTGGGAATTCCCTGTTCATACAATTGTCCATTTTTCAAATGGGTTGTTTGGTTTTCTAAAAATTTACTTGTATGAATATATACAGATAGCAAAGTGGCACACAAAAAAGATGCTCAATATCATTAGTCATTAAGGAAATGCAAAATAAAACCATGTGAGATACCACCACTCTCCTATTAGAACTGTCATAAAAATGACAATACCAAGTATTGGCTAGAATGGAAGCAATGAAAACAGATACTCATACATCGATGGTGGTAATGAAAATGGCACAGTCACTTTGGAAAATAGTTTGGCAGTTTCTACCTACCATATGACCCAGCAGTCCTGTGGTGCTTTCCTGAAAGGAAAATACATGTTCATACAAAAATGTATACAAATTTTTATTGTGGTTTTATTTGTAATCACCCCAAACTGGGAACATTCCAGTGTCTTTCACTTGGTGAATGGATAAACAAACTGGTCTATCCATATAATGGAATGCAACTTAGCAACAAAGAGGAAAATCTATAGATATAATCAATATTTGTATGTTAAGTTAAAGAAGCCAGACTATAAAAGCTACATTATATGTGATTCCATTTAAATGGCATTTTGAAAAGGCAAAAATACAGGAATAGAAAACAGATCTGTGATTGCCAACGGCTCAGGTGTGAGAGGGATTGATTACCTAGAGGCCCTACAGACCTTTCTGTAAGATAAAACAAATGTTATATGCATTAATTATAGTGATGGTTGCAAAATTGAATGCATGTATTAAAATTCATACAGCTGTTGTAAAAAGGATGAGTTTTCTTGCTTGTAAATTACACCTCAATAAGCTTGACTTAAAACATAAGTAAGTGACTTTAGGAGCTATGTATGCATGTTGGATGCTAATCCTTGATCACTTGTATGTTTAAAAATATTTTTACAGTCCACAGCCTGTCTTTTCAACTTTTATGTGTTGTTTATTATTGAATAAAGCTTTTGCATTTTTATTAGTCAGATTTATCAGTTTTTTAAAAAATTATATACACGTTTATTTTCATTATAAATTTACTTAAATCACTTTGGACTCAGCATGTCCTTAGTTTTTACCTGTTCATCAAACTGTTCTGGTGTGAGATAGCCAAGTTCAATAACAGTTTCCTTTAAGGTTGATCCATTTTTGTGTGCTGTCTTAGCAATCTTTGCTGCCTTGTCATACGCTATACGAGGATTGAGAGCTGTCACCAACATTTGAGACTCATTCATCAGCTTGTTGATCCTTTCTGTATTGGCCTGGATTCCCACCACGCAGTTTTCTGTAAAGGAAACTGAAGCATCCGCCAGCAGCCTGGCTGAGTGTAACACATTTTTAATCATCATTGGCTTGAAAACATTCAACTCAAAATGTCCACTGCTGCCTCCAACTGTTACAGCAACATGATTCCCCATGACTTGGGCTACAACCATGGTCATTGCTTCACACTGAGTAGGGTTCACCTTGCCTGGCATGATACTACTTCCTGGTTCATTTTCAGGCAAGATCAGTTCTCCCAGACCTGACCAAGGGCCAGAACCCAGAAAACGAATATTATTTGCTATCGTCATCAGACTACAGGCAGTAGTGTTCATGGCTCCACTGAGCTCAACCAGAGCGTCATGAGCAGCCAGAGCTTCAAATTTATTTGGAGCAGTGACAAAAGGCAAGCCTGTACGTGCAGCCAATTTTGCAGCAACCTTCTCTATCAGTCTCTTTTTTGAAGATAAAAATGGGCTGCCCTTTTTATATATTACTTAAAATAATCTTTCCCTAACCCAATGACAGAGAAAATATTCCCTTATATTTTCTTCTGAGAAGTTCGCAGTTTTGCTTCCCACATGTCATTTATTTATTAGGAACTCATTTAGAATATGGTATGAAGAAGGGACTTAATATTTTTTCTTTTTTCATATGAGCATCTAATTATTCCAACATCATTTGCTGAATAACGTTTTTCTTCTCTTAATTTTTAACCACCAACTTTCTTAAAGTCTAAGGAACATGGCTGACATTGCCCAAATTTTTCTGCCTTCACATTTTGTCCTCTACAATAATGTAATGACATTTTACAAGCCAAAAACCTTGTTATTTCTGTATCTCAGAACACTCAAACAGATTAGGGGCTGTGTTGGAATTCATTGTTTCATTTGCCTTCTCAGAGATAGCACTGACAGCAAATCAAATGTTTATTATATGTTCTCTTTTAAAGTAAAAATTCTAGGAAATAACTAGAACTGAAAGTCTCCCCATTTAAGTTGGTTTTTTAAAAAAATTCTTATTCAATTAAAAAAAATCTCCATTCATTCTCATAAAATATAAGCAATCTATCAAGTATTCTGCAACATATATTGAGCATTCATAATGTACAAAAGATTAATAGCATGGTTAAAAGATATGTTCCCTAAACAATACTGCACACTAGATTATTGAGACTACCACAGTCTAATAGAAATATAATGTATGCCATTATATAATATTAAATTTTCTAGTACTCTCAGTAAAAAAGCTAAAAGAAACACGCAAAAATAATAGATTTTATTTACCCCAATATATACAAGATATTTTCAACAATTAGTCAATATAAAAATTTTTGTCTAGCAATGTAAGAATCTTTTATTAATAAAAATGCCAAAAATAACATCATTGCTTTTTCTATGAAAGCATCACATTCATTATTTTAAAAAAAGAAATGCATAAAGATGGCAAAATCATTTGAAAATGATCTCTAATTCTATGTAGAAATCATCACGAAACATTTCATTGAACATTCATCCAGAATTTATATTAGTATATACACACATACGTACACATATGTATAATTCAAAATAGGATTATAAAGCATATATACTGCCTTCAATTTAGTTTATTACTTAATACGTTATATTGTTTCCATGCCAAACACAAGGAAGGTATAACTATATAACATTCTTTTTTTTTTTTTTTCTGACGGAGCTTTGCTTTTGTTGCCTAGTGGAGTGCAATGGCATGATCTTGGCTCACTGTAACCTCCACCTCCCAGGTTCAAGTGATTCTCCTGCCTCAGCCTCCCACGTAGCTGGGATTATAGGCACCCGCCACCATGCCTGGCTAATTTTTTGTATTTTCAGTAGGGACAGGGTATCACCATGTTGGCCAGGCTGGTCTTGAACTCCTGACCTCAGGTGATCAGGTGATCTGCCTCAGCCTCCCAAAGTGCTGGGATTACAGGCATGAGCCACCACACCTGGCCATATATCCATTGTTTTAAGCTGCTTTGTATCCCACAAAATAAATGCATCATGATTTGTATGAACATGTCCCTATCATCTGGCATTTAGATTGTTCTCAGTATTTCACTATCTCATGCCACACTGTGATTAACATACTTATGCATACATTTTGAACATTCCTCTATTTATTTTCAAGGGATAGATTCTAAGAGTGGAATTACTGAATCTTATTAGGGTAGAAAGATAATTTTAATTTATGTTGCCAATTTCTTTCCCCAAAATGCTACACCAATATACTCTCCCACCAGAAACATCTTAAGAGGTAATAAATTCTGGGCTTTAAGCAATTAATATACTTTTTTTTTTTTTTTTGGTAACCCACTCCCAATTTTGAGGCTGCCTATGTGAACAATATAACATTATTATGGGGGCATTTTACATTCTTTTTTTCATACTAAGTTGCAAAATCCAATGGGTATTTAGAAAATTCAGAGGAGCTACATTTCATATGTTCAATAGACACATGTAGCCAGTGGCTACCATATTGAACGGTGCAGATTTGTACCACCTTTCCTTTGTAAATAACTGCAAATGCAGGATAAAACAAAATGAAGGCAAGAACCTAGAAAGTTAAGCTTATCACAGAATCAGATTTTATCTGAAGGCATTTACCACAATGGCTAAATTCAAGCGTTATTTTTATTATTCCCAGGAGCTTAGGAGAAAGATAGTCAAGCTAGTACCAACTCTAAGTGGGGACTTTCACAGGAAATCTCCCCGCTAAGCTAAAACACCAAAGGGCAGCACCTGAAGTGTCTTAGTTCATTTAGGCTGCTATAGCAAAATACCATAGACTAGCTAGTTTATACGTAAGAAATATTTCTTTTATAAAATAAATAAACATTTCTTTCATAAATAAGAAACATTCATTTCACTTTCAGCTCTGGAAGCTGAGAAGTCCAAGATCAAGGCAATGGCTGATTCAGTGTCTGATGAGGTTTTGCTTCCTGGTTCCTGGATGGCCTCTGCTTGCTGTGTCCGCACATGGTGGAAGGGTTAAGGGAGCTCTCTGAATCCTCTATTATAAGGGCATTAATCCCATTCGAGGACTCCATTCTCATGACCTAATCACTTCCCAAAGATCCCCCTGCCAATACCATTACCTTGGGGATTAGGTTTCAACATGTGAATTTTAGGGGGACACAAACTAGACTATAGCACTCAGCATAAAGGTGAACCAGAAATTAACCCATGCCACACCTTCAACTTTAGGGTAGAAAGCTGCCTTTAACACATTTACTAAAATCTTGTGAATCAAAGAAATTATAAAGTCAATTATAAAATGCTTGAAATTGGATAATAATGAGACTACCTATTAAAAGTTGTAGGAGGCCGGTCAAGACCAACCTGGCCAACATAGTGATACCCTGTCTCTACTAAAAATACAAAAATTAGCCAGGCATGGTGGTGGGCACCTGTAATCCTAGCTCCTTGGGAGGCTGAGGCAGAAGAATCGCTTGAACCTGGGAGGTGGAAGTTGTAGTGAGCTGAGATCGCACTACTGCACTCTAGCCTGGGTGACAGATCAAGACTCTGTCTCAAAAAAAAAAAAAGTTGTAGGATGCATGAGACCTTCCCCAACCGACTCAGTTGCCATAGGTCTCTGCGCAGTGGAATTTAGCATATAGAATTAGCGTGCAATTGCAGGTTTAGTGTCTGGGGAGCTTACCTTCAAGCCTGAGCATCCATGGGATCCCTATTCTGTGGCTCTTTCCTGCTTCCACCATGCTGGTCTAGGATATCTCACTGAGATTCTGCCTGGACTTCCTAAGTACCAATTCATTCGCTTGGGATATAGGCCGTGTGGAGTCTCAGGCCACTTACCTCCTAAAGGAATTGAAGTTGTCCCTTGGATTCCTAGAGAAGCAGGTGACCATCTTGAACTCATATATATCCTCTAAAAAAATAGAATAAAATTCTATTTTGAAAAATGTTTAAAGAAAACTTACGGGATGCAGCTAAAGTAGTACTTACAGAAAAATAGACAATTCTACATGCTTTTATTAGTAAAGACACTGTATTAAACATCCAACCCAAGAAGTCAGAAAAATAAAACATACCCAAAGAAAAGATTGCCACTATTACTGGACAGTTTTACAGATAATTCTACCATACATTCAAAGAACAGGTAATTCTGTTCTTACACAAATTCATCACAGATTGGGGAAAAAAAAAAAAGGAAAAGCTCTTTCATTTTATGACCTACTGTAACCTTGGCTCCCAAACTAGACAAAGGCAGTGTAATATCACTTGTGACCACAGAGGTTAAGAGTTTTAAACAATATTCCAAGTGAAATACTCTCCTCACCCATTCAAAGGACATTTTTTGAAGACCAGCTAGGAACCAAACTTTGTGCAGCGTGATGAGGACAGGATGAATAATACATGCTCTCTGTTCTCAAGCAAAAGCTAATTAAGTGGAAAGATAACTGTGTTAATAATTATGATGCAATATAATTGCTTTAGTGGGGGGTATGTAATGGGAACACGCTGTAATGGGAATAGAGATGAAAATATCTAAGCATTATACACTCTTGGTGAGTTTTGAAAGATTCTGTTGAGGGTCCCCGTGAGACTTTATGGATGAGTAGAAGGTTCACAGGTGAATACGAGGTGGTAGTGGAGGTGGAGAGGATGGGAGGGATATAATGCAGGGTGATGCATGTGTTCACAGGTGTGCATATCTGTATGTAGTGTGTGGAGGATGAAAAATGGACAAGGATGAGAAATCAGAGGAGAGCTTGGAAGCGTTCCTTTCATTTTGACTCAATACACAGAGGGAAGAAGTGATTTCAGTTAATACCAAAGGGATGAAGTTATCAGAGACTGCAGAACAGACATGAGTGGGTATAAAAGGAATATAGATATAAAATAAATAAATAAATATATGTATTTTTTCAGACAGGGACTCAATTGATCCTCCCACCTCAGACTCCCAAGTAGCTGGGACTACAGGCACATGTCACCATGCCCAGGTAATTTTTGTATTTTCAGTACAGACGGTGTTTTGCCATGTTGCCCACGCTGGTCTTGAACTCCTGGGCTCAAGCGATATGCCCACCACAGCCTCATGAAGTGTTGAGATTACAGGTGTGAGCCACTGTGCCCGGCCAATACAAATATTTAAATTCACAGAGCTTTACAATAAATTTTTCACTAATCTCGGTTTTTAACTTTTAATTTTTATTTGTGCCTATTTTTACCCATTTTATTCTTTCAATATATTAAAGTTCATATATAAAGTCTGTATCAAGATAATTTCTATCTTGATGAAAATAGAGACCAAATTTTACTTTTAAAATTAAGATTACTGCAGGCCAAAACAACATTAAACATATTGCCAGCATGCTGTAATCACTTTCAAATCAGCCGATATGCTTTAATAATATCATTTCCCATTGAAATTGCATAGCTCATGAAATCATAATTAAGCTAATTAGAGTGCTACATATTAGTGTTTTTTGTTGGTTGAAAATTTGTTATCATGCAGTAATGAGCTTCTAGACATTTATGCCTTTAGGCTGAACAACCTTTTATAGTAGCCATGAGATGCTTAATATTCTTATTATCACTTTAATGGGCACTGGCTTCTGTCCTTTAATTGGTTGTCACTTTCTGCTGAAGTGCCGCAGGGATATGTATTGAACAAATTGTAAGAGTGAGTATTATGTTCTGTTTCAGATTTTTTGTTATTAATTTATAATGTGACTGCACTGTAGTAAGAGTCCCCAGTTTGTATGACCCAGGTTCTTCAACATTATTGACAATTGTTTGTAGCCCAGAACATAGCTTTTCAAGGCTTCAGTTTATTATTTGTAAAATAGGGGCTGGTGATAGCATTCAAGATCCTCTTTTCTAGTTATCTTGAAAGTTATTACCATCAAGAAATGATAAAGGTTCGAGGTGATGGACATGTTAACTATCCTGATTTGATCATTATACAATGTATACAGGTATTGAAGTATCACATTGTACCCTATAAATGTACAATTACGTGTTAATTATAAACTTTTTTTTTTTTAAATAGGAGCTGGAGTGGCCGGTCGTGGGGGCTCATGCCTATAATCCCAGCACTTTGGGAGGCCGAGGCGGGTGGATCAGGAGGTCAGGAGATCGAGACCATCCTGGCTAACATGGTGAAGCCCCATCTCTACTAAAAACACAAAAATTAGCTAGGTGTGGTGGCATGTGCCTGTAGTCCCAGCTACTCGGGAGGCTGAGGCAGGAGAATCGCTTGAACCCGAGAGGCGGAGGTTGCAGTGAGCCCAGATCGCGCCACTGCACTCCAGCCTGGGCAACAGAGCAAGACTCCATCTAAAAAAAAAAAACAAAAAAACAAAAAAACTGGAGCTGGAGTGAATGAGGAGGCTGGATCAAATCAGTGATCCCTAATCCTGGCCACAGGTAAGAATCAATGAAGGAGAGTGATTCAAATGTTGGTGTCCCAAACCCCTTCCCAAGAGATTCTAGTTGTGTAGGTCCAGGGTGGTTCCTGAAAACTTTTTTAAAACATAATCTGCAAATGATTCTTAGACATTCAGCTAATCATTGGAAACTGTTGAACTAGCTCTGTGGTTTTAAAAATTAATACTGTGGGCTATGACCTATTAGTGTAGGGATGTGCCAACATCTGTTTTTGTAAATAATGTTTTATTGGGACCCAACCATGCCCATTCATTTACATATCGTTTGTGGCTGCTTTCCTGCCACATTGGCAGAGTAGAATAGTCCTGACAGAGACCACGTGTCCTGCAAAGCTGAAAATATTACTATCTGGCCCTTTACGTAAAAAGTTTGCTGACCTTCTCATTAGTGGGTTACAAAATCAGTTTAATAGGTTGCAATCAGTATTTTTGTTTACAATCAGTATTTTTGTTTGTTTGTTTGTTTGTTTGGAGACAGAGTCTCGCTCTGGTGCCCAGGCAGGAGTGCAGTGGCATGATCTTGGCTCACTGCAACCAAGAGGGCCGGGCTCACTCCATCCTCCCAGGCTCAATTGGTCCTCCCGGGCTCAATCGGTCCTCCCACCTTAGCCTCTCTAGTAGCTGGGACTACAGGCATGCGCCACCAAGCAGAGCTAATCTTTGTATTTTTTGTAGAGGCTGAGTTTCTGCAAGTTGCCCAGGCTGGTCTGGAACTCCTGGGCTCAAGCCATCCACCTACCTTGGCCTCTCAACATGCTGGGATTACAGGCATGAGCCACTGTGCCCGCCACAATCAGTAATTTTTTTAAAACAAAATAGAATAGAAAATATTAAGCTATATTGCATGTACATAAGTGCTATTTTGTTAAACTTGTGATATATAAACATATCTGCTTATATATCATGTATATATGTGTGTGTATGCACAGTCACGCATCACCTAACGGGGACACATTCTCAGATATGCATTGCTAGGTGATTTTTTTCATTGTGTGAACATCACATTGTACTGACACAAACCTAGATGGGATAGCCTACTACACACCTAAGCTATATGATATAGCCTGTTGCTTCTAGGCTACAAACCTGTATAGCATGTTAGTGTACTGAATGCTGCAGGCAATTGTAATAAAATGGTATTTGTGTATCTAAACATATCTAAACAGAGAAAAGGTACGGTAAAGATATAAAAGATATCTACAGTAAAAATATAAAATATAATATAAATATATATCATAATTATATATTACAAATAATATATATTATGTATTATATAAATTATTACATTGAAATTATAAATTATTTTATATTTATATTAAATATTAAACAATATAATTTAAATAATTATTAAATAATTGCATAAATATATATTATTTAATTATAAATTATATATATAATATTATATATAAATTATATATTATACTTATGTATATCTATATTATATATATATTTTTTTGAGACGGTGTCTCGCTCTGTTACCCAGGCTGGAGTGCAGTGGCCCCGTCTCAGGTCACTGCAAGCAACCTCTGCCTCCCGGGTTCAGACGATTCTCCTGCCTCAGCCTCCCGAGTAGCTGGGATTACAGGCATGTGCCACCATGTCCAGCTAATTTTTATGTTTTTGGTAGACACAGGGTTTCACTATGTTGGCCATGCTGGTCTCGAACTCCTGGCCTCAAATGATAGGCCTGCCTGGGCCTCCCAAAGTGCTGGGATTACAGGCTAAAGGTACATCTGTATAGGACACTTAATTCATGAATGGAGCTTATAGGACTGGAAGTTGCCTTGGGTGAGTCAGTGAGTGAATGGCGAGTGAATGTGAAGGCCTGGGGCATTACTTTGCACTACTGTAGACTTTACAAACACTGTACACAGGCTAAACTGAATTTATTAAAATATTTTTCTTTCTTCAATAATAAATATTAGCTTACTGAAACATTTTTACTTTGTAAACTTCTTTTAACTTTTTGACTCTTTTGTACTAACACTTAGATTAAAACACAAACATATAGTTATACAAAAGCTTTTTCTTTATATCCTTAATCCATAAGCATTTTTCTATTAAAATTGTTTTTGTTTTTAACTTTTTTACTTTTTAAACTTTTTTAAAAAAAACCTAAACCACAAAACACATTAACCTAGGCCTACACAGTTTCAGGATCATCAGTATCACTGTCTTCCACCTACACATTTTGTCCCACTGGAAGGTCTTCAGAACAAAAACATGCATGAAGCTGTCATCTCCTATGATAACAATGCCTCCTGAAGGAACTGCCTGAGGCTGTTTCATAGTTAACTTTTTTTTCTTTCAATAAGTAGGAGTACCCTCTAATATAATGATAAAAAGTGTAGATCTGGGCACAGTGGCTCACGCCTGTAATCCCAGCACTTTGGGAGGCCAAGGCAGGCGGATTGCTTGAGATCAGGAGTTCGAGACCAGCCTGGCAAACATGGTGAAACCCCGTCTCTACTAAAAATACAAAAATTAGCAGGGCATGGTGGCGCACACTGGTAGTCCCAGCTACTTGGGAGGCAGAGGCAGGAGGATTGCTTGAACCCAGGAGGCACAGGTTGCCGTGAGTCGAGATCATGCCATTGTATTCCAGCCTGGACCAACAGAGCAAGACTGTCTCAAAAAAAAAAAAAAAAAAAAGTATACATAGTGTAGGAAATGTATAAACCAATCAGTAACATATTCATTGACTGTCATCATTAAGTATTATGTATTGTATGTAATTGTGTGTGTTATATGGTACTTTAATATGACTGGCAGCAGAGTAGGTTTGTTTACACCACAAACATGAGAGTAATGTGTTGTACTACAATGTTGTGATGGCTATGAGGTAACTGGGCGACAGGAAGTTTTCAGCTTCATTATAATCTTGTGGGACCACGGATATCTGTGTGGTCATATATGTGGTCCACTGTTATCTGAAACAGTTATAAAGCACATGACTGCATGTGTGTGTATATACACACACACATTCATATATATTTATGTATATTGGGGAAAATGTATTTCTCACCATGGGGAGCAGTCAAAAAAAGCTTGAAACAAATTAAACGAGATCTCAGATCACTTTCATTTGTGGCCTTCCTCTCAGTTGCGGGGGGTGATACAGCAGCATGGATTAGGGTGCGCGGGAGGCCTGCGTGGGAGAGAAGCTATGTGGAGAGCATACTTTACCTGACTCACTGTATTCTTGTGCTGCCTTTTATTCGATAAGTCAGTATCGCTCCTCTAAGAAAGGGTAGTGCTCCAATGCCCACATTCATCCAAAATGTCGTTGCCAGAAGTAGACCCAACTCCAAGGGTGTGAGGGTGTTTCAAATGGGGCTAATAATAAACTCACGGGGTTGGTATGAGGATTAAATGTAGATATAGTACCTCAAACTAAGAAGTGTTATACACTGCTATGACACTATATATTTGCCTGTATTCTCTCTCTCTTTTTTTTAATAGAGATGAGGCCTCACTATGTTGCCTGGGCTGGTCTCAAACTACTCCTGGGCTCAAGCGATCCTCCTCCCTTGGCCTCCCAAACTGCAGGGATTACAGGTGCGAGCCACCACGCCCAGCCTTGTAGTCTCTCATTCTTGCGGCTGGTATCACCATCCCAGGCTTGCTTTGGGACAAGCTCCATTATGTTGCCAACCATACCACCAATTGTTACATTTTGTGAACGTACTGGTGGTGGCACAAGAACTTATGGAGACAAACACCAAGGCCACAGTAGGACAGGAAAGATGGGGTTCAGATCCTTGGATTGCTTGGATGATTCTTGATTTCCACATCAGAAAAATCTATTGTATTTAGATTTCCTGGTGAAAATTCTAACTTGCTAGTACTATAACCCATTAGCTGCCAAGAGTTATGGCTATGTAAACACACTGCTACTTTTTAAAGAATTAGGATATATAATACAATTAGCATTTTAAAATAAAAGTAGTTTAATATGATGATTCAGCTAGCCCTTCAGAATCAGGCGGTGCCTCAGGGTCATGATGTAGATGGCTCACACCTGTAATCCCAGCACTTTGGGAGGCTGAGGCAGGCGGATCATGAGGTCAGGGGTTCGAGACCAGCCTGGCCAATATGGTGAAAACTTGTCTCTACTAAAATTAAAAAATTAGCCAGGTGTGTTGGCGCGTGCCTGTAGTCCTAGCTACTTGGGAGGCTGAGGCAGGAGAATCCCTTGAACCTGGGAGGCGGTGGTTGCAGTGAGCCAAGATCACACCACTGCACTCCAGCCTGGGAAACAGAGTGAGACTCCATTTCAAAAAAAAAACAAAAGTATTGGTTAGTAGTGACCTGCTTTTAAAGGGTGTGGATAACCAACTTATTTGGAGTTTAAATTCTGGTTCATTTATTTCCTAATTCAGTGAGGACTCTGCATATTTTGCCTTTACATATGATCAATTGCATTCAATCTATAGGTGAAAGAGACCTCAAGATGATCTGGTCCTCTGATCTGATGCTTAAATTACTTCTGATTTATTCAACAAATAGATAATGTGCACATACCACATGCTAACCACTATTCCGTGCATTGGGATAGCGTCATGAAAAAAATCCTTTCCCTCATGGAGTTCACATTCTCAAGGGTCAACAACCGTCAAGTGTTGGTAGCCTCTGTTTGAATCTCTCTATCAAAGGAGATCTCATTTTATGAGATACTCCAGTGCATCTTTAGATAATCAGTTTTTGCTGTCAATTTCACTTGCTTGTCTCATTTAGAACTAATGCAAGCCCACTTCTCCATCACAGTCCCTCAGATATCTGAAGGCAGTTCTTAAGTCCAACTTCATTTCCCACCTCTACCCCCAATCCCTGCCCCTGGATGTTCTCTTTTCCAAGCTAAGAATCCTCCAGTCCCTCAAGCATTCCTTCTGGGTCAGCTTCTTGCCCCACTTTCCCCTGAAGGTGATAAGATTGTGTATGTTGTTCTTTTTTTTTTTTTTTTTTTTTTTTTTTTTTTGAGACGGAGTCTCGCTCTGTCGCCCAGGCTGGAGTGCAGTGGCGGGATCTCGGCTCACTGCAAGCTCCGCCTCCCGGGTTCACGCCATTCTCCTGCCTCAGCCTCCCAAGTAGCTGGGACTACAGGCGCCCGCCACTACGCCCGGCTAATTTTTTGTATTTTTAGTAGAGACGGGGTTTCCCCGTTTTAGCCAGGATGGTCTCGATCTCCTGACCTCGTGATCCGCCCGCCTCGGCCTCCCAAAGTGCTGGGATTACAGGCGTGAGCCACCGCGCCCGGCCAGTATGTTGTTCTTAAGAGCGCCTTGTTAGACTTAGTGGCAAACTACTGGATTATTGTTACTCAGTGCTAGATACACTCCTGACACTCTGCTCAGTGATGCTGGCATTGGGCTCTGCGATCAGCACTGCTGCTTTGCCAGCTGCTTTCCTGCAGAAGAAAAGAGGACTTGCCCTTTCTGTTTTGCTCACTGTTGCTGCCAGTGTCTCAGGGGCACTGGTTCTCACCCTGGCAGAGGCAGGTGGCTTCATTCATTCTCCGGCTTCTTCCTCTGGCATTCCTAGAACCACCATCGGGAGAGCGCCCCCTTCTCAGAGGTCTGAATCCCAGTTCTGTGGGGCTCCTTTTCTAAGTTCCTAAGGATCTTTCTGGATAACTTCATCTTCTCCAAAGGTTTCAGCCCATATGGCAATGACTCTCAGATCTGTATTTCCCTCCCGTACCTCTCTCCAACATGATGTATCCCATAGACAGTCACCTTGAAACCATGATGGCTGAGTCTGAACTTGAATTTCATGCTTCCCTCTTCAGTTATCAGAAACCTGGGATTTGTTATGTTTCTTCTCTCCCCTCATCCATCCACAGCCAATCTCAAGTACAGTCCATTTACACCTGAGTATTTCTGAGATCTGTTCCCTCCTTTCCATTTCCACTAAAACTGCACTAAGGAAGTCCCTTGCTATTTCTCACTCAAACTTCTTTCATAACCTCTAACCGATCTCCTTGTCCTCTGCTCTCTTCACGTCAATCCCACCAACAGAAGTCACGGATTTGGCCAGGGCTCAAACCGGATTGCTTAGTTCTGACCTTGCCTACTCCAGTTCCACCTTCTATCTCTCCCTTATGTTTCAGCAACAGCATGTTTTACCCTCCATGCTGCTTGCCTATCTTTGCTTGCACTGTCCTCTCTGCCTTTCTCACACACATACTTCACCTGGCTAACTGATGTAAGATTCGACTTAATGTCCCCTATCCAGGAAGGTGCCCCTGAACTTTCTCTATCTCTGCCCTTCCTTTGTCCTCCCCTAAACTTGGTGGCATATTTTTTATCACTGCACATAACACTCTGTGTTACAACACTCTTTCTTCCTCACCAGACAGTGATTTTAAAGGGCTATTCACAGATCATTACCACTAGAGACAACACTTGTCATGCACTGGACTTTTAACGAGTGGTTTTTTGGGGGAGGTGAACTTTAAGGAATCATTACTATAAATGCAAACCAAATTATGTTCTTACAATCAAGAATTCCTTCACCAGATGCGAGACTACTCAGCAATAAGAAGAAATGAACTATCAATACACACAATTTAGATGAATCTCCAGGGAATTATTCTAAAGTGAAAAAAAATCGCATACTGTATGATTCCATTTATGTAATATTCTTGAAATGATAAAAGTATAGAAGTGGTTGCCCGGGGTTAAGAAGTGTGTGAGGGCAAGAGGGAAGTAGGTATGCCTATAAAAGGGAAACATGAGGGATCTGTATTACGGGTCCTTGTGGTGATAGAACTGTTCAGCATTGTGACCTTATGCATCTCAATGTCCTGGTTGTGATACTGTACTACAGCTTTGCAAGATGTTACCTTTGGAGGGGAAATGGGTAAAGGGTACACGAGCTCTCTCTGCATTATTTTTTACAACTGCATGTGAATCTACAATTGTCTCAAAATTAAAAGTTTAATTTTAAAAAAGATTTCCCACCAGAAACAACGTAGACTTCACACTTTCTTCAAATGCATTCTTTTTATTTGAGAAGGATGATCTCAAGGCAGTGCCCTTTGGGAAAGATGTCTTTCATCATCATGTACATCAGGATCAACCATTACTTTCAGCAAAGTACAAAAATACACACGTCAGTGACTTCCGTACAATAAATACATAATCATGCATCCCACAATAAAAGGCACCGAAAACTGGTCACTTAGTAGTCATAAAAATTACTAGCTACATTAACAAAGCCACCAAAATTATCTGTACAAGGAAATGTAACAATATATTCCAAAGGTGAAAACACATAAAACATCTTTAAAATAGTAGGCAATAAATATCTCAATTGTATATATTTTTAAAATTATGCCATTGTAAACAGCATGTAAACAAACAAAACTCACGTTGTCTTACCATTACTAAAAGTAATTAGAGCCAAAGTTATAACCTCTGCTCTGTCAGGTATATTTCACTGGCAAGTGTGCTAAGCAGTTAAAAGTTTCACTCTTTTCTGCAGCAAACAGAGCCCACTGTGTAATAAATAGATAGATATTATCTGCATCTTTCAGACACAAGTGCTTAGTTTCAAAACAGACTACCAAAATGTAGTAAATTCCTAACTATAAATAATACGGCAAGGCTAAATTTAAAATACCTTTTCCAATGTAAGGGACAAAAGGAACTATACTGTTGTGTTTTCAACATGATAATAAACAAGAGGCAAATGATTTCTGGTTATCTTTATCGAAAGATAAAATGAATGTGCTGAATGTCAGGGTAAAGTGTCCAATCTTTTGAGCCTCCTCCTTTTGTGGACCTTGTACAAAGTCAAACAAAGAGTAAAGCTGTATCACACTAAGAATTTTCTTTTGCTAGAGAACATAGAAATGGATGATACTTAATACTGATGGAAAACAATGACTTCAAAATATGCCTATCAAACTGTGAATACACATACAAGTCGGGTTTTTTTCCACACTTACTGACAATAAAGATACAGTTTTTTCCTTCTCATGAAGGAACCCTATTGCCTAACCATCCATAAATATCTAGAGAATTTTTTAGAACTAAAAATATTTTTGTTTCACCTATGTATTAGTGCCTCATGGCACACAAGTACTAGTAATATTTACTATATGCTTAGATACGTATGCTACCTGTTAAATATTACCGCCTACTCCTCATTCAAAATAATCAAGGAAACATCAACGCACATCTTCAAATGGAGCCTCTGAAGTATACCAGAAAGCATTACTTTTTCCCTTCTACTGTGGGTTTACCATGCACAGCTCTTATATATTTTGGTGTGTGTGTCATCAAAAGGCATATATGCCTTCCCAAAATAAACTTTAAATGTGAGTTCACATTCTACAGATCTATCAGTCACTGGGATCACATGTACGGCTGTGGAAATAGGATTGATGAAATATGTACTTGACAAAACAGTCAAAATTATTGGTGGCTGATACAAAAATGTAAAAATTGTGGACATAAAAATGGGATTACCTCTTTATGATAAAATAATTTGGTTAGTTTTTTTGGGTGGAAGGAGACTCCTCTCTGAAGTAACCTGAAAAACACTCGGTTTATAAAAGTCCTCCTAATACCTTAAACAGACTGTGGAAAAATAACTGTGAAAACAAACTTGGACTCTACCAGATGGGAGCTTTGTCTTATTTTATCTGTATCCCCAGAATCTAATTGAGTGCCAAGTATAGAGCAGGTAGAAAAGTCTATCAAGTGAATGAAGGAACAGGGCATTTCAGTTAATTACAATTATTTTGATTTTTTTTCTTTTTTTTGAGACAGAGTCTCACTCTGTCGCCCAGGCTGGAGTGCAGTGGTGCAATCTCAGCTCACTGCAACCTCCGCCTCCTGGGTTCAAGCAATTCTCCTGCCTCAGCCTCCCGAGTAGCTGGGATTACAGGTGTGCATCACCATGCCTGGCTAGTTTTTGTATTTTTAGCAGAGATGAGGTTTCACCATGTTGACTTGTCTCGAGCTCCTGACCTCAGGTAATCCACCCACTTCGGCCTCCCAAAGTGCTGGGATTACAGGTGTCAGCCACCACACCTGGCCCTGATATTTAATTTTAGAAATTATTAACTTGGAAAAGCTTTCTGTGTTAGCCTTTATGAGTATTTGGTGATATGGTAGAAAGGCTTTATCTAATCCCAAAGAAAAACAGGCCCAGAGGTAATAGTTTTTATTTTTAGTCTTTATATTCTATAGAGGGTGATAAGAGTCACAAGCCTTCTTATGTTTACATTAATAACTCTAAATAACCTGAAATCACACAAACTCAGTCTATTTCCCCCCAGCTGAATATTATTTAAAAATTCCACCATCACTATTGCTTTTGATTCTTTCTGAAGTCTCATTATTGTCTGTAGGTAATCAGTATATGTATTTATGTGGACTGTATACACTAAATGTCTATAAAAGAGAAAGATGATCTTTAGGGCATATTTAAGAATTACAAATAAGAGTTTGGCAGTTATGTGAAAATTTTAGAAGCCTCATTTTAGAAACAAGAATTCTGATTTGGCCAATATTTCTGATTTACAGCTAACAGATGATTATTTTTCACAAAACAACTGCTCTTCCTTGCTGTTTATCTTCTGTTGGTTTGCCCAGAGTGCACACATGCTCATGAATGCACACTTACCTCATGTGGACTTTCATGTGGAATTCTAAGCCTTTGTTTGTGAAAGTACACAAATATAGAGAAGTTCGGGTTTTCTATTACCTTCATTCAAAAATATTTATCAAAGTCCTATTATGTGTAGCTAGACACTGAGAATACAAAGGGGGAGAGAGAAGTTCAGTGGAAGAGACAGGTTGTGTGTGTGTAATTGAAATGTTATGTTATTTTAACAGAAAAAGTTTCAATATACTATAGGCATGGAGAAAATACCTGCCTAGGGAAGTCAGGTAGGGCTTCACAGAAAGTTAAATTTGAACTGAGTCTTGAACATGTTCATCTATGGCATGTGATTATGCCAAGGCACTAAGTCATAAGTAGTTCCAAATTCCTGGATTACAAAAGTCAACAGAGGGAAGGTTGGTGAGGATACTAAAAAGGAAGAAAGAGGCAAGGTCATAGACACTGACTCATCTTGCTTAGGAGTTAGTTTGCTATTCTGTAATTTAGAGAAAAAAGAGCCTACTTAAGAACTTTAGCAAATTTGTTTTAGAGAGACCACTCTGGTGGGAAAGAGTGAAAGTAGAAAAACTAGTTGCTGGAAAAAAACCAAAAACAAAAAAAAACCTATGGCAAAAGCACAGGAGTGAAAAATGGTGAGGGTTTGTATGATGAAGGCCTGAAAGGCAGCAATGAAATCAACACTTTACTGCAACTAATGAGAAACACAGCATAAAATGAGAATTCAACTTTTGACATAATCAAAAAATGAAATATGCAACTGCATACTGAAAAAAATTGATGCAGAAAATGCTTTTGCTTACAAAATCCAAAGCCAAGATTAAGATTAAGCATTTGTGTTATTCCATACTTTAGTTTATGAGTTTCTTGGCAGAAAAACCTAATTTGCATACTGTTGCTATGAAAACTGTGTCATCTTTCAAAAGCTTTCTGAAAGCTTTTCAAGTAAAAGGAGAGAAAACAAAAGAACTGTTCAAGTTTGCAATTCTCTCATCCTCATAATTATGTATATTTTTTTAAAATGCTGCGCAATTATAATCTGTAAACAGAGCATGTTCTAATTAAAATTATAATTAATTTCAATTATACTAAGGTCACCTGTATATCAGGTCATTATGGGAAGCAAATTCCCAGAAAAACAATTTCTTCCAGTCACTGTACCAAATCATTCTGGATTAATCATTCAGAGATCTATCATCATGAAAATTAAGTTGTGTCATTAAGACAGATCAAAATTCCACGGTGATGAACTCCAATCTTTTCCCTGTATCATATGGCATTCCAACATTTTTGGGGCAGTGAGATGCAACAGGAGCTCCAAATTATCATATTATACTATAATAAATATCAGATTTAGCAAAGAAACCTTTAGGTCAAGAATCAGATAGTGACAGAATTCAAATGTCATGTAAAAATCAAGTCATCGTTCACTGACTCTCATGTATAACTAATATAATGATTTTAACTAGGTTATTCTACTTTCTAATTTAATTCCCTTAATCATACCCAGAGTTCCATTAATTAATAAAGACAATCTCTAGTTTAGTTTCTTTATGGGAAGTTTTGAAAGTACTTTGCATGAAAGAATACCATTCCACAGTCAGAGAACGCAGTCAGTGATCCATGCTCTGGATTAAACATTCAGAACTCAGTACAGAGAAAGGAACATCACATACTCCATCTTTTTAACTACTGGTTTAAAGAGACATTTTCCTCTTTGGGGAGTTAAACTAAGAAAAGATATGAAGGACTTAACTTTAAAAAACATATATTCACATCTATAAAATTGTCATTTGGCTTAAGTATTGAAAAAATGAAACTATTCAAAATTTTTGAAGATTTTAGAAGTGAGTTTTGGCCTATCCTAAAATGAATAATATGAACATGTAATATAACAGATGAAAATACCCATAATCTACTCTGGTACAAATGCTACTAATTTTAACTTTACTTTCATTTTTAAATTAAACATCAGGGATATCAATTTGAACTTCTAATTTCTAACCTCACTGTCTGGGAAGTCTATCTTTATATCCAAAATGACCGTGGGAAAGAAATTGTAAAATTAGGTATGATTCATACTTATATAATTCCTTTAGTAAAAGAAACGTTACCAAGTACTAACAACTGATAATATTGTGTGCCATTTCTAACTGGGGACACCAAGTCACCAAAACATAACTTGTAGAAAGGACACAATGAGCCAATGCCAAAGTCAGTTACAGAACTGGATAAACCTAAACCATGTTCCCATCTCTAGGTATTGTGAATTTCAATAATTGTTTTGTTGTTTCAGTGAAAGGAAAAAATCCATTTAGCAATTATCATTGCTAATACTTGGCAAGTTTAAGAAAGGCTTAGCAAGTTTAAGAAAATCTCCTTGGTCTGCAGGGTATGGTCTGATCCACATTTACTGGTGTTTTTCTATAGGAACCAGCTAAGTGTGTCTGACTAGTTCTCCAGACATCAATCACTGAGATGAGAAAGCACAGATATTTGCCCCACATCATAAACCCTTGTGTGGACTCCATCAAATGTCTTGAATGATTAGGTCATCTGAACTACCTTCTTACTGACTTCTCAATTTCAGCAGCAGGATGTGCTCCCTGAATTCACTAGTTATGCTAAGATCTAGATACAGTCTCGGACTTCATCAATGTGATATTTTTTGTTTTCTGGGGGTGTGCTCAGCACACTATACAGCTCACGTGTGCCTTGTGTTTCTATCATATAAGGTGAAAGAAATCTATGTTCAAACTATTTGTTCCCAAATCTTTGCCAAATTACCAATTCAAGTTCCTTTTTCCTATAATTTCCATGTAATTTCTCTCACCAGTTTTCTTTTTTTCCCCCACTTCCAATAACTGCTTGTGCAACAGTAAAATTAATATAAAACTCTTTGCCTTTAAAATTATAGTAAATTAATTATTAGTCTCCTATGAGTTCTTAAACAGTACACAATACATCAACCGCTAACACTGTAACATAGAAGAAAACAGTTAAAGTTAGGGCTTATTAAAGCAATTTTCTTTGGTAAACCCCTGCTTCACATTAAGTCAAAACAGTTTTTTCTTCTTCCTTGAAAACATGTGTTTTATTCTGTGTCGTATGTTGTGCCATTATGTTTTAAATTTTTAGTTTTTTAAACAGTTAAATTGAGAGTAATTTTAAATAGAAATAATTCAAACAATTAAAATCTCACCGACTTGACAGAAACAAACAATTATCCATAACGGTTACTATCCCAGAACCAAATGCAAACATATGTTAAAAATATCCACCCTGGAACCTAGAACTGCTAGATATGTGATATTTTGGGGGGTTCAAAATTCTTTTTTTTCCCCCTGAGACAGAGTCTCGCTCTGTCGCCCAGGCTGGAGTGCAGTGGCGAGATCTTGGCTCACTGCAACCTCCACCTCCTGGGTTCAAGCAATTCTCCTGCCTCAGCCTCCTGAGTAGCTGGGATTACAGGCACCCACCACCACACCTGGCTAATTTTTGTATTAAGTTGGCCAGGCTGGTCTCAAACTCCTGACCTCAGGTGATCTACCTCCCTCGGCTTTCCAAAGTGCTGGGATTACAGGCCTGAGCAACAGCGCTCAGCCATGGTTCAAGATTCCTAATGTTCATTTGAATGTCATATTGGCAGTACAATCACTGAGATCTCTCTTCAACTAAAACTGAGAATTGGCTACAGAAAATAAGTTGTGACATGAAGATAAAATACATATTGGCAAAATATAACACACTGAATCCCTTGGCTACATTAAATCCTTAATATTGGTGAATTCATTTTGGCTTTATATTTTAAAAAAATATTTATTTTAAACATGAAACTTATTTTTTTAACAAAGTGTCTATTACTATTCCGCTATCTATTGCAGTAAAGAATACAGTTTTTTAAAAGGAAAATAGTTGGGCATCTGTTTGACAGAAATGAGTACTTCAAGTACATAAGTAAATCATCAACAGAACTACACACTCTAAACAACAGCAGTAAAAAGGAAAAGAGCTAGAATATGTATTTCATATAAAGCTTAAGTTTCACAACATAATAAATAAATGCACTGATTTATACAACTTGTGGAAACCTTCTTTTGATGATTACAAGTAATACTGTCTGTTACTGACTTTGCTGACACCAGCACTGCCTCACATAGAGAAATCCAAAGGTAAAATTCTTGCCCCTAATGCCACAAAATATACAAAGCTTTTATATTTGTTATTAAATATTTTGTCTGCCAAAAATCCTGCAAACTAAAATACATCTTGGCAGTTTGAATAGCCAGCATAATTATTTTGATATAAAAAGATAAGAAAAATTTTAATATGAAAATAACAGCAAAAGGAGAAACCTGTTGTATAAATAGACATTTTAACATAAAAGTGAGATTTATCTCACTTAAGAGGAAGAAAAACATTCGATACAACTTACTTGAAGATTTGAAAATAATTATATTTTCCCAGCTGTAGATAAATATATTACTTGAATTTACTAGTCATCTTCAATATACAATATATAACTCACAAAACTGGGAATGTTACAATACCAAAACCTTTCACAGCACTAGTTACCAGTTACCAGAACTGTAAGAAATATTTAGCTACATATCAGCTTAATACTTGGTATACAGAAATAGATACGGCTAAGCTGTGGGAAACAATAGTGCAATCAAACATTAAGGACCACAAAATATATTCTTTTTCCTTTTTTAGTTTGTATATGTAACTGCATTATCCTACCTTAATGGCCTTATCAACTGAATATGAAACTTCTTTATTTTAATGCATTTTAAAAGTAACCCTTTTTTTAGGTTTGGTTAATTCACTTTTGAAATGCAGTTCCTATGAAATACCCAGACTATTTATAAAATCCTATGCAATGAATAACTTGTAGCTAAAATGAAATATTTTATGTGAAGTTTTTAATAACTTTTAAGTAGTAGCTTGGTTTTCATTTTTCCAACTAAAACTTGGAAGTGCATAAAAAACTAAGAGAGTATATAAATAATGTAAATAGAGTATCTTAGTTACATGGAGGGAATTAATCTGTTCACCTATATTATGTAATATGGAGTTTATCATGAACAGAGTTTAACAGTCTCAGTCTGAGTTACTCTGTTAAACTTCTTTTCCTAAAAATATCAGAAATAATTACACAAACAGGTACAGTCCAGCTGTCTTTGATCTCTCTGTTCTCTACAATGATAAAACTTTATAGTTTTTCTTCTAACATAAATGTCTCCAAACAAAAGTTGGAAAGAAATAATAAAGAGAAAATAAGATAAGAAAAAATTAATGCTTTGTGTATTATAAAAACCAATAATCATCACGTTTTAAAAGTTGCAGTTACTTCTTTAGGAAGGCCTCCTATTACAATGGCATCATATTACTGACTTGACACAGAGGTTGCTATACAAAAGTCAATCAGGGGATGCCATAGAAGAGACAAGCCCCAGACATCATGGCACTGGGGCAGGCAGTGAGAGGAGAGAAACCCATGGCAACCAAGTGCTGTGGGGACTGCTCTGGGAGGCTATTCTATTGGCTAACAATTACTAGTGGAGGAATTTTCAATTCTCACTCTTCTTTTCAGCTGATCTAAAGAATTTGGTGTTTTAAAACTGCCACTTGTATTACCAAACTTCAAACCCACTCTTATCCAACTTACATCTGAGAGATGTAGGATGAGTTAATTGGAGTGGGGCGTAGAGGGGGCAGACAGGAGAGATCCTAAATGTCAAGGTTGAGAGATGCATTGTTTTTACAGCTTAATTAAGGGCTACATCCTTAAAGAATTCATATCCATAGAACATGAAAGTCCACTATGTTGACAGCCCAGTTGGAGATAGAAGATGTTTTACTTTAGAAGTGCTGTATAGTGGCAGCCCCTATAACTTTCTAAGTCATAGCTCTGCATGAATATTTTCTTCCTTGATTCCTGTTAAAAATAAGTTCCATGAAGACAAAAATATTGTCCTCTTTATTAATAAAAATTAGCTAAAGCATCTCTAGGCAATTGTGTTTTGGTACATTATATCAATATGTAAAAGTTATTAAGAGAAGGATTCCTGAAAATAAGTCTCATTGGGAAAAATCTTATAAAATTAAGTAAACTGTTATTTGGGGGTCAAGAATATGAAATATTATTCTTCAGGCACTATTTTAAGGAATTATTAACCATGTGAACATCAAGATAAGTGAGTGTAAGGAAAACAGATCTAAATCTAGCAAAGCATGCCTTTTTAGAGGGCTTAAATGAGATTAACTTGCAATCATCTTGGTTCATTCCTTTTCTTTTTTTGCATGACTAACAATTCATTCAATGTGTGTGTACTGCTATGTGTCCTCATGCATGAGCTATGTCAACAAGGACAATCTACTGATAAGAGAAAATGAAAATGTACAAGTTGTAGGAGACTAAACATGGTTTTAACTTAGTACACATTTTTCTGAAATGTCCCCCGTGATTAAGTTGTGAACAAATGAACATGCCACATGTCAACAAACTGAACAAACATGGATTGTTAGTGACTTAGAGGTGGAGGGAGGGCTAGAGAGAGGCTAGCTGTGTTGGTCTGCCAATCTCCTGTGTCCCACACTGGCTACAAAAATACAACCACTGGGTAGGTAGGGCTCATCTAGAACCAGAATTAGGAATAAGGATTGAGAAGAAAACTCAGCAAGGGTGATGAATGAGTTTCAGCTCATTGCTGGAGTTAGCTGAAGAATGAATAGGACACAGTGGATGAAGGAACAAGCTATTCCGGGGACCTTTTGAAGCCCTCGGACCTCACATCCCTAATAGCTAAGGAAGGATAAAATGGATGTAGGCCAGTGCTAATCGTTTGAGAAATTTTGCTAAAGGAAGATTTTGATTCGGTAGATCTGCAGTGGGCCTGAAATTCTGCATTTCTGTAAGCTCCCAGGTAATATTGATGCTGCTGGCCCATGGATCACATTTTGAGTAGCAATGATCTGCACCAGTGCTGTCCAATAGAATTTTTGCAGTGATGGAAATTTTCTACATCTGCACTGTCCACTATGGTTACTGAACACTTGAAATGTAGTTAGTGCAACTGAGAAATGGAGTTTCTAATTAAATTAATTTTTTTAAAGAGTAGGGGTCTTGCTCTGCTGCCCAGGCTGGAGGGCAGTAGCATGATCATGGCTCACTGCAGCCTTGAACTCCTGGTCTCAAGCAATCCTCCCACCTCAGCCTTCAGAATAGCTGGGACTACAGGCGCATGCCACCATGCCTAGCTAGTTAAAAAAATTTTTTTTCAGAGACAGGGTCTCACTATGTTGCCGAGGCTGGTCTCAAACTCCTGGCCTGAAGCCATCTTCCCTCCTAAGCCTCCTGAGTCACCGGAATTACAGGCTTGTGCCATTATGCCTGGCTTAATTAAATTACATTTAAATTTAGATAGCCACATGTAGCTACAATATTGGACAGGATAGATCTAGACATTCATGGGTCATTTCTTGTCAGCAAGAACAATATATATCACAATCCCAAATGACCTAATCCATCAATTCACTTAGATTATCCAGCAAGTATCCTTTTACAGAACGCAAACTGTAAAATTAGTGTCTTTAAATTGTTTTCTTCCTAACACTTAGTTAAATGACCCACCATGTATGCTTAAGCGAGAAATGAAAGGGGTCATTTTGTAGTGGGTTAATTGATGGGGAAAGGAAAGTAGAAGGCAGTGAGAATTTCAGCAACCATGATTATATTGGGCATTGGGAAAATGAAGAGCCAGGATGTAGGAAAGAAACTCAGAAAGGGAGGTGAAGAGACACTAAAGAGAAATATTGCATACTCAGGAATTTTATTTAGGTCTGATTCTGTCCCTTTCCTCCTTTAAAAGCAAGTTCTTCCTCAGGAAATGGAACTGAAAGAAAATACATTCTGGCTGATGGCCTCCCCTTCCCTGCCCTCCCACCAGCCCCGATCCTCCAGGTGAGGAAGAGCCTATCAGGGAGAAGAGGTGACAATTCCAGCCATTACAGTCATTGCAGTCAGGTGCAGGTGGGAACTTCTCACCCCAGCTCATGCATAGATCAAAGCATAGAGGCCCCATCCCACTCCCCAAAGCTGTGATCTGATCCCATGGAGAAGCTCTTCCCTACTTTTTATTTTTTTTGGTAACCCCATCCGCTATAAGAAGAGGAATTATTTATGATACTGACAAGAGCCTAAGGAGGCTCTGAAGACCCCCTCCTGGAAACAGGTGTCAGTGAAGTCATTTGGGCCCTGCACAGCCATGCATAGACAAAGCATACAGAGAAAATTGCTCTCATTTAACAAAAAGTATATCCAAATTGTCATTTTATAGAATTTCCCTCATCCAAAGCCATTTGCAGGAAAATTCTAGCTAATTAAGGATTCCATTAAGAGACTCACGCTCTACCAACCGAGCTAGCCAGAAATGCACTGTAGGATTCCATTAACTGAGACTTTACAGCATATACAAAAGATGTCACCTACGAGTGAAAAGCTCACCAAACGAACAAACAAAAATTCAGTCCTTCACATCACACTCTTAAATTTGGGACACATCATAGCTAGACTCTTTTCTATTAGCAAAGGGGAATGGGGGGTGAAAATCAATATAGATATTTATATTAATACATTATTTATGCTAGAGTTCTTCCCCTTCTTTCCCTCACATTTCCTTTTTTTAGTAAAGATGGACAGAGATCTGTAATGTTAGAGAGTTCTGGGAACCTGGCACCTCCTGTTTGGTTGCACAGGAAAGTGTTCACAGGAGCAGGACAGCACTTAGGTGGGACTATCAGAGGGACTGAAAAAGGAGACCTCTGACTTCGTAAGTGCAGATACAATTAGAATAATTGCATAATTCATGACTATTTTTTTTTGAGATTGAGATGGGAGTCTTGCTCTGTCACCCAGGCTAGTAGAGTGCAGTGGTGTGATCTCAGTCACTGCAACCTCCATCTCCTGGGTTCAAGCAATTCTCCTGCCTCAGCCTCCCGAGTAGCTGGGATTACAGGTGCGTGCCACCACACCCGGCTAATTTTTGTATTTTTAGTAGAGATGGGGTTTCATACACTGGTCAGGCTGGTCTCGAACTCCTGACCTCCGGTGATCTACCCACCTAAACCTCCCGAAGTGCTGGGATTACAGGCGTGAGCCACAGCACCCTGCCTCATGACTTTTTAAACTACTTGATATAACTGTCTTTGGAAAATTTCCATTTATTTACAACTTAGGTAAAATATATAGTCAGACATACTTGGTCAGGAATCCCTCAGGGTCATTTATTTTAAAGACATTAAAATTTTGTGATTTTTACTAGTAGTTAAATACCCAAGTTATAAACAAGAGTAAAGTGTCAAACAGTTAAACTCCTTTGATGTAATTAAATAATATGCCTGACAATAGTTCATTTTAAATGCTCGCCTATTAGTATTTCTCTTTAAACACTGGGGAAATAATTGTCTAGAAAATATCAATGATGCCATATCACAAGGTTATATGTATGTAGGTATATATATACACATATAAATGTATATGTGTATGTATGTATATATACACATATATGTGTATATGTATATATCTGTGTGTATATATATCTATTAAGCACCTAGCAGGCTACTTCATAAAAATTGTCACCACTGAGTCAGTACCCTGTTTATTTCTCTTATATACAAATTTTAAAATATTATAATTAATGTTTTGGTATATAATGGCTAAAGAAAGCTTATTTAAGGATATTTTTGTGACTTTTTGATACGTATGCCTTTGGCTTTCAAAGATTTGATCATTGTAATGTTGACTTCTAATAATAAGCTACACTGAAGTACAGTGGTTTAGAAAAAGGAAAATAATATCCACCTGATAAGAATTAAGAATTAAGTGAGATAATAATAATAACAACATAAAGCCCTTAAGAAAAAATTTAAATCCCTTCTGTTTGGAAGATCGTGTCAGAAGTCACTGTAGAGAGCGGGTGAGTCTGGGTTATCTGTCAGTATATAAATCTCAGTTGACACCTCAGGGAATTCCTGGATATCAACACTTTACTATATTATAAATTCAAATAGAATATTAAATAATTATTAAATTGAAATTAAAAATTAGAAACAAAATGTGGAAATTTTGGTTTGGAAAGCTGTAACAAGTTTTGTCAGGTAAGGGAGCATGTAATTTTATGAAAATATCCAGAGAATTTTCTTAACGTGCACGCCTACTGCTTATGATAGATTGAAATAAAATTGACTTGCATGTGATGTATATCATTTGTTGATTATGGCACAGACACACTTTCACAAAGTCTTAGGTACAGAATATTTACGCAAAATCCCACATTAAAAAACAGAAAAGTGCAGTGCCCTTAACCAACAAAAATGTACTTTAGTAATAAATTAAATCCCATTAACATTAAAACTGACATGAAAGCTATTTAAAGTGTTACAGTATTAGATGTGACATGCAAGAAAAAGAAAGACATTTCAGGCAGGAACATCGTGCATTAAGATTTGCATTCATTCATAGTATTGGAAAGGTTTTCAACATATTTGACCACTAAGCACTAGGAGTTGGAGGTGATACCAATCTACATTCAAATCACAACTTAATTTATATTTTAGTCTCCTAACCTATGATTTTAAGAAAATGGCCAATGCCCCCCCGTAATGAAACCTAGGAAGTTTTAACCACATATTGTTATGCAGTTGCACAGTAGGAACATTCCATCAGACCAGATCTATGGAAAGTAAACATTTTGCAATTCCACTGTTTAGACAATGCAATCGTCTCAGATTCCTCCTACCTTATTACCATTGTGAATATATTTGAACATGTCAGGTTTGCACAAAAAGAAAATGGCTTTGTGGAATGTATTGTTCGGCACAAAAATATTTTCTAATACCTCAAATCAAAATTTCACCCACAGCAAAATATCAAGCCACAGAGGTGCTTCAGTGGTGCTTACTTATCTATGCAGAAAACTACAAGAACAGCCACTTGCTTCCAAGGACTTTGTATTAAGTGGCAATAACTTCTCTTCCAAGAAATAGCACCAATATGATTACACCTCCGACTGTGGAGTGCTCCTTCCAAGCTCTTTAATTCCCTGGAGAATTCGCTTCACATGACCCACTTTCGGTATCCCCAGATCCTAAAATAAAAGAACAGAAAAAGGTAGAAATAATTAAAAATGAAAGAAAAAACACAGAAAGAAAATTTTAAAAATGAAAGAAAAGGAAAAAAGTTTATTGAAAATAGAAAATTGGGGATTAAATATTTAACCAGCAAGAAACATAATTAGCATTCAGTTCATTCATTTTAGTTTATATTCAGTGATTCAGGAAGTGAAAGCTAGAAAAATAAGTTCATAAAACAAAAATAACCTGACACCAAAGAATTCCCAACTGGTACAAAAAAAAATCACATTCTACATAAACTCTTAACTGTGACATTCTCATAATTATACACAGTGGCTTTTGACTTCAAAAGTCAAAACCAATTTAGTTTCTTTCTTTCTCTTTCTTTCTTTTCTTTCTTTCTTTCTTTATTTCATCTCTCTCTCTTTCTTTTCTCTTTCTTTCTCTCCCTTTCTTCTTTCTTTCTTTTCTTTCTTTTTCTTCTCTCTCTCCCTCTCTCTCTCTCTCTCTCAAAGGCTCTTTTGGGATCTCTGAGAAAAAAATGATGCGGGACAGCAGGGCACCCACAATTAGTCCTAAGGCAACATTTCTTGTGCTAAAATATTAAATTTAAAAGTGAGACCTAATTCTAGAGAAAGATACCAGTATCTGCTACATAAATTTGGACTGTAAATGCATTTGCAGTTGCATTACAAGGCTTCAATTTGAGAGGAATATTTAATTTAATTAGTCTTTATACTTTGTAATGTATGTGTGTAAAAAATTACTTAAACATAATTATCTGTTGGTTGATGCTTTCCCTCAAAACACTATTGGCTCTTTTCTCTCAAAATTATTATTCTTGCTTCTTAAAGAAACTTCTTCTTATAAGTGCCAAGAATTCAATATTTAACTTTCAGAAATAGATGATGACTGCAGAGTGTGCACAGCAAGTACCTTGCAAATATTTGTTGCAGGAATAAATTAAACCTATCCAAGGGTGAATAACTGCTAGTTATTCACTGTCTGAAAAACTAAAAGAAACAGTTAAGGCCTCCAAATCCTAGTTTCTTTAAGTAAAAGGCATAGTCAGTTTGCTAATATGTGAAGTCAAACAACTTCTTCCAAAAAAATTGAAATATTTGAAAATTATTAAAAAGATGACTTCCAAAATGGCCTAAAAAACAGGGTTATAAAATAACCTGTCTGAGAAGTTAAAGATTCCAAATATCCACCCTGTTTTATAATTTATTTATTTTTCAACTTTTGAATGAAATAGATCAAACTGGTTTAAGTCTTCGGTCATTGTCTCTCTCTTTCTCTCGTTTACCCTTTAAGAGCTCTTGGAGTTCTTTAGCAGTAATGAATCCTTCTGGAAAATACTCTTTCCATAGCCAATGCTATTGTCAAACTTGAGATAATTTCAAGATATTTCATAAATATTTAACTGACTCAGAAAAATATTTTCTCCTATGACACAGGGCATCCAAAATTAGTCCTAAGGCAACTATACATTTCCTGAATACGTGCAAAAGTATCAAGCTTAAAAGCAAGGCCAAATCCTAGAGGAATATACCGATGCTTGCTACCTAAATTTGAAATGTACATGCGTTTACAGTCACATTTAGATTTTTTGAGTGGAATATTTAAATATCTTTACACTTTGTGAAAACATAGGTATGCAACTACAAAATATATTTAAATATTAAATATTTTATTTTAGGCCATAAATACATTGTATTCTCAAGACTAAATCTTCTTTGGGGGAGGTAGAATCTATTTAGAATTACTATTTTGGTATAAAATGAGAAGAATGTTTTCCATAGAATTACATTAACTTCTTAGCTATACTTTTTTTTAAATTAATTTAATTTTAAGTTCCAGGATACATGTGCAGGATGTGCAGGTTTGTTACATAGGTAAAAGTGTGCCATGGTAGTTTGCTGCACCTATCAACTCATCACCTAGGTAGTAAGCCCCACAGGCATTAGCTATTTATCCTGATATTCTCCCCTCCTTCTGCCCCCACAACAGGACCCAGTGTATGTTGTTCCCCTCCCTGTGTCTATGTGTTCTCATTGTTTAGCTCCCACTTACAAGAACGTGTGGTGTTTGATTTTCTGTTCCTGTGTTAGTTTACTGAGGACAATGACTTCCAGCTCCATCCATGTCCCTGCAAAGGACATGATCCAGTTCCTTTTTATGGCTGCATAGTATTCCATGGTGTATATATACACCACATTTTCTTTATCCAGTCTACTATTTTTTTTTTTTTTTGAGACAGAGTCTCATACTGTCGCTTGGGCTGGAGTGCAATGGCGTGATCTCGGCTCACTGCAACCTCTGCTTCCCAGGTTCAAACGATTCTCCTGCCTCAGCCTCTCAAGTAGCTGGGATTACAGGCACCTGCCACCATGCTCAGCTAATTTTTTTTCTATTTTTAGTAGAGACAGGGTTTCACTATGTTGCCCAGGCTGATATCGAATGCCTGACCTCGTGATCCACCTGCCTCAGCCTCCCAAAGTGCTGGGATTACAGGCCTGAGCCACCACACCCGGCCTATCCAGTCTACAACTGATGGGCAATTGGGTTGATTCCATGTCTTTGCTATTGTTAACAGTGCTGCAATGAACATATGTGTGCATGTATCTTTATAATACAATGATTTATATTCCTGTGGGTATATACCCAGTAATGGGATTACTGGGTCAAATGGTATTTCGGGTTCTAGGTCTTTGAGGGATTGCCACACTGTTTTCCACAATGATTGAACTAATTTACATTCCCACCAACAGTGTAAAAGCTTTCCTATTTCTCCACAGCCTCACCAGCACCTGTTGCTTCTTGACTTTTTAACAATTGCCGTTCTGACTAGTGTGAGATAGTATCTCATTGAGGTTTTGATTTGCACTTCTCTAATGATCACTGATGTTGAACTTTTTTTTCATATGTTTGTTGGCCACATGTCTTCTTTTGAAAAATGTCTGTTCATGTCCTTTGCTCACTTTTTAATGGGGGTTGTTTTTTTTCTTGTAAATTTGTTTAAGTTCCTTGTAGATTCTGGATATTAGACCTTTGTTCAGATGGACAGATTGCAAAAATTTTCTCCCATTCTGTAGGTTGTCTGTTCGCTCTGATTATAGTTTCTTTTGCTGTGCAGAAGCTCTTTAGTGTAATTAGATCCCATTTGTCAATTTTGGCTTTTGTTGCAATTGCTTTTGACGTTTTAGTTTGAGTTCAATATTTTTATGCCTTTGAGGGTATAGGCTGTAATAAAGCTATGCTGTGACATTTGTTCTATCTTTATTTTTATCACATATCATTATATATTAATTTTTATCATATTCTTTTTTTTTTTTTTGAGACAGAGTCTCAATCTGTCACTCAGGCTGGAGTGCAGTGGCATGATCTCAGCTCACTGCAACCTCCACCTCCTGGGTTCAAGCGATCCTCCTGCCTCAGCCTCCCGAGTAGCTGGGACTACAGGCATGCACCACCATGCCCAGCTAATTTTTGTATTTTTAGTAGAGATGTGGTTTCACCATGTTGGTCAGGCTGGTCTTGAACTCTTGACCTCATGATCCACCTGCCTTGGCCTCCCAAAGTGCTGGGATTACAGGGATAAGCCACCTCGCCTGGCCAGTTTTTATCATATGAGTAGCTTTCTCTTTCCCTGGATAAACAGTCCAAATTTTGACAAAGCATGCTTTGTAGATATTCAGTTATCCTTCCAGCCATACATACACAACTTTCCAAATAGAAAAAACAAAAAATAAACTAAACAAAAAACTCTCACCATATGTTTACCATTTTCTTTGGTGTCTCTTTTTTCTCCTACTGTGTTCTAGCAAAGAAAATGATGCAATCAGTTTGTTTCCTTATCTGCTAAAGCACATTGGAAATACTTTCCTGGCTGGGCATGGTGGCTCACACCAGTAATCCCAGCATTGTAGGAGGCCAAGGCAGGCCGATCTCTTGAGGCCAGGAGTTCAAGACCAGCCTGGACAACACAGCAAGACCCTGTCTCTACAAAAAATAAAAGATATTAGTTGGGTGTGACGGCATGCACATGTAGTCCTAGCTATTCAGGAGGCTGAGGCGGGAGGGTCACCTGAGCTCAGGAGGTTGAGGCTGCAGTGAGCCATGATTGCATTACTGCACTCCATCCTGGGTGACAGAATGAGAGTCTATCTCAACAACAACAACAAATATATGTATATATATATATATTTTTTTTTTCCTTTTCCCAACTTTAGACTGTCATGTTACTATGTCTAGTTGTTTTGGTGATATGGGAGTAACACTTGAGCTAATCTCTGAGCAGGAGTTAACCAGGTGAAGGGTAGGGGAAGAAGCACAGCAAAAGAGAGTACATCCCCAAGGTGAGAAAAAGTATAGAATTTTTAAGCAACTGAAATAAGGCCAGGATGAATGGAGCATAGCCCAGGGAGGAGCCAGAGACTTCACAGGAGGTTGAATACATAGGCAGAACCTTGTAGGCCTGCATAAAGATGTGAGTTTTTATTCCCTAGAAATGGGAAGCTACTGAAAAGTTTTAAGCAGAAAAGTGTACACCTGATTGATGATGCTAAAATAACACTCTGGTTGCAACGTGGATAATGGACTGTGAAGACAGAGTGGCAGCGGAAAGACCAGTTAGGAAGCTATTGATCTTATACAAGCAAAACTGGACAGTAGCATGGAGCAGGATTGTGGACAGGATATAAAGAGAAGTGAATGGACATTAGAATCAATATGACTTGGTGATGGGCTTGATGGGTTAGGGGAAGATGGACAAAAAAGAGGAAGGTGCTAAGTATGAGCCTCATTTCTCTGCCTAGAGTGCCTGGAGGGCCAGAGATCTGATTTATAAAATGCAGAGCACTGGAGAAGGGGCAGAACAGGAGTGCAATAGGAGCTCAAGAGTTGCTTTTGGACATGTTAAGATTGAAATTCTCTAACCTAGGTTTCCATCAATGGATGACTGCATAAAGAAAATGTGGCACATATATACATTGGAATATTATTCAGCCATAGAAAATAAATTTTAAAAAAGAATGAAAACATGTCTTTTGCAGCAACTTGGATGGAACTTGAGGTCATTATCTTAAATGAAACAAGAAGACACGGGAAGACAAACATTGCATGTTCTCACTCATAAGTGGGTGTTAAATAAGGTATATACAAGGACCTAGTGGAATGATAGACAATGGAGACTTGGAGGGGTAAGGGAGTGGGAGGGAGTGGATAAGAAATTGCTTATTGGGTACAATATATGTTATTCAGGCAATGGATTCCGTAAAAGCCCTGACTTAACCACTATGAAGGTAATAAAATTGCACTTGTATCCATATATATATATATTCATTTTTGGAGACAGAGTCTTGCTCTGTCGCCCAAGCTGGAGTGCAGTGGTGTGATCTCGGCTCACTGCAACCTCTGCCTTCTGTATTCAAGAAATTCGCCTGCCTCAGCCTCCTGAGTAGCTGAAACTATAGGAGCGTGCCACCACACCTAGCTAGTTTTTTTGTAGTTTTAGTAGAGATGGGGTTTCATTGTGTTAGCCAGATGGTCTCGATCTCCTGACCTCGTGATCCGCCCGCCTCGGACTCCCAAAGTGCTGGGATTATAGGAGTGAGCCACCGTGCCCAGCTGTACCCATATATTTTTGTATAAATAAAAATAAATTAATTTTTAAAAAGCAAAAACAGAGATTGATATCCCTGTATAATACCTGAGTACCAAGTAGCCGGTTGGTGCTATAATCCAAAAGTTCACAAATCAGGTCAGGCAGGGCTGAGAGAGAACCTGTGTGCCACTGACATATTCACAAGTAGTACCGGAAGCAATGGAGTACCTAAGGAGTGAGTGATCCCTCACCAGCATTTAGAGGCATCGGTCTGAAGGACTTGCCGCTGCTGACAGCTACAACCGCAGAGAACAATGGGAGCTCTTCTCTAGCTTTATGATTTTGTGCTACAGAAGACTCTTTCTGTGAAATGTTCCTTTTCTCATCCACCCCCCACATCTTGTTTCAGACCTAATACAATTTTTAAAATCCATGTCAATACAAATGTCTAAAAGTTTTAAGAGAGAGAATGTAATTTGCATTAAAAATAAAAACAAAACAGAACAAAAAAGTCCCATGAAAAGCAAAAAGAACGTTTTCTAAGATAATTCTTAACCATCTTCTTTCTATTCTTTTCTAACTTTGCCTTAGTGTATGTTTTTCCATTCTACACATTCATTCTGCTACATTCATTGTGTGTGTACCTGTATATATCTATGTTTGTATGTATATATATAACACGTACACATATATGCATTTATGTATGTATATTTTTTATACATACACACACAGTCTTTTCCCTGAATGTATGCTTATTCACAGCAAATGCGGTGCATGCTTCTAGAGGACAGGTATCATGCAGAGAAGCTAGCATAATATATTAATCAGTCATTAATAAATATTGGTATCTGCCAAGGATATCAGAAGTTACAAAAACATGTTGGATATCATGATCCCCCCTACATTTACTTTTTTGTGGACTCATTTCAAGCTTGGAAGCCAACTTTTGCTTTATGAACTCTAATACTACATATTTTGCTATGTTCCAGATTTAGGACTCTCAACTAAGGTAATTAATTAATTATTTTATTTTATTATGGCTAAAGTTGTTTAGGTATAAGTGGTGTCATCTTTTGATGTGCTAAAACTCTTTGTGAATCTGTTTAATAAAGATCTTTATACTACCAATTATCTATTCAAAGATCTTTGCTAATGTATTTGTAGATAAAGGTGCAACAACAGTTCATTAATTTGTTAGGAATTCTCTGTATTATGATAAAATTTAATGCATTTTAGAACTTGGTCTACATGAAAGGGATCACTCCAACAAACGTTACTACTTATTGGAAATTTAAAATGGCAATATGTGGTAAGAAAATACAACGTGACAAAATCCTACTCCTAAACCTTGGCCAGAGAGCCTACTTCAGCTGTTTCTACTACTACTGAGACTTCACCCACAGAATAAAAGGGAAATGCCTCAGGTGATGAAGGAATGGTTTTCTCTATCGTCAATTCACAAATAGGCTCTGAGCTGTTTTCTAGCAAAAGCTAGGCAAAATTTTTACCTCGTTTACTAAAGAAAAAAAATTCTTTTTGAGAATAATAGAATTTTAATAATATGTCATAGAAAGGAAATTTGAATTTCTCAGTCTAGTTATTCATGTGACCTAAAAAAGGCTGACTTAGAAATACAACAAATTGTAAGATTCTAAGTAGCCATTGCTGTAAGTCTCTCTTCTCATTCCATATGTTAGAAAGGCTTTGTTATTGGTATTTTGCATTAATTTTTAGTTGTTAACCATATATTAGATTTTAGTCATTTTCAGCCAAATTATCACCTTCCATGCTGATGCAATAAAATGAGCTGATGGAAACATGATCCATTTGGAAATACTAGCACAGCAACAGTCATATCACTAGATGCAGAGAAAAATTACTAAGTTCATGCTAAGCTTTAGCTATAATAGAGTGATTCTGACAGGAAAATACTGCTGACATTCTTGTTAAAAAGCATACAAGAAACTCAGACCACAGGACAGTGAATGTTAGGTTACTACACATTTGCATGACATAAGCGAAGCTAAAAGCAAGTATCAGAAGAGGCACAGGAGAAAGGATTCTGTTTTGCAATAAAATTTTCAAGAACAGAAGAGCACAAAGGAAATACCTTAAGATCTCGCCTTTCCAGATGCAAAAGTTCAGCCCCTCTGATGTCATGACGGATGAAGATATCTTTGTACTCTCCCAAATTGAGCAGATCCAGCCAAGCAGCAACTTCCTCTGTGCCCCATTTCTGAACTACCAAAGTTAAGAGCAAAACCCCCTTAATTTCTACATGCTCAATGCATTACAAAGCAAAGGTTGGCCAAAGAAGATGCAAAACAGAGTGCAGCGGCAGTGCTAGCAAAAGAAAAGGTTAAAGGTGTTGTTTCAACAAAACCATAGTTCCACTTTTTCCCATGCAAGTTACACACTATCAACACAAGGATCCGACTATACAAAACCATTTGCTGCCGTGCACCCATGCTTAGCTTTAGTCCAGTTTCCTCATTAAAGCCACCCAACCTACACAATATGCATACAAAATGTATTTCACATCATTAGGATCAATGGTGCAAGCTCTAAATAAGCTCTGATGATTTCCTTCAGACCCTGTATGAAAACGGCTATAGACTGAAATGAGCTACAAATGCTAATTACAATTTAAAATCTGATATGGGGTATTCAATTTTACACAGACTTTTCTGCTTAAGGTCTTGCTGACTTCAAGTGTAGTGTTGATTGATTCTCCTACTACTGATAATAACGGCAATCAATGTGCTATTAAATCACAATTTAATATCATTTAAAAAGTCCATAGCACTGCTCTCTGACATTAGTTGGATTACGTTATTTTCAGTGTGTATCATTTGCTTATACATTTTATTCAACATTGATTAGCTTAATAAAAGCCTACTTATTTGCTGTATTTGGTTTTTAAATGGCTTTCATTAGCTGCTTTATGAATATCACAAATAAGGCTTTACATCACTTTTTTAAAGATAGCACACTCAGAGGAATTTATAAAATTATTTGGTTATGAAAGGCAGCTACCATTGTATAAACAGAATTTGAAGGTGCTTTAGTACTAGCATACCTGTACATTTAAACTCTAAGGAAAGGTGAAAAAGGAACGAGAGAAATAGCAGCGAAGAGGGGGCTTAATCTTTGCTTGAGAATGCAAGTATCACAGCATATTGTCATTGTCGAGGGGTTGAAACAGTGTCCTCAAAACAGGAGAAAGGGAATATATAACTTTAGGTGGAAAATGTAATCGGCAAGTTAAATGAGTAAATGAAAGTTTCTATGTTCCATTTATCAAAGTAATCTAAAAATTGTACTTAAAAGAAGAAAAACAAATTATACACTGATGCTTTGACTTGCTGTTGAGAAAGAACCATCTGAACAGAAATGCTGACATCCACTAAACAAAGTAGAAGCAAATTAGCAACCACTTCATTTTTTTGTGTGCTTCCTTACTAGAGATTCCCACTGATACTCAGATGTGTTTTAGGTATGAGAGGATTCTTTTATGGTAAAATTCATAAAGCATGAAATTCCCCATTTTAACCATTTTAAAGCATAGAATTCAATGACAGTATGTTCATCATACTGCACAATGCTCAACCACCATCTAGCTCCAGAACATTTTCACGACCTCCATGATGTCACTTTAATCAGCTCTTTTTTCATAATGTTATATTTCCCCTTCCATATGGACCACCTACCAGGCTGTGAACTTGTCTTCTGCTTCTGAACCTTTTCCTTTTTAAACTTTGGCACTATTCGAAATACGGTGCTTCTGTTGTTCCTTTTGGTGCAATCCATAGGAGGTTCCTGTTCAAATCGAGCAAGAAAATAATTTTTTCAGGATATGAAAAGGAGAAAAACCTACTCTGATAATAGGGATAACACAGGAATAAGTTATAAACACTAAACATTATAGAACAGTGATAACTTCTTCAAAAAAAGTTCACAATGTACTACTAAAAATGTCCCAATTCCCCTAAAATGCGTTCACATAAATGCCTTTTCTCATTTGTTCAAGAACAGAACATTTGAAAGTAGTATTCAAAATTCATTTTTCCCTAAATATCTCTTTTTCAAAGATGAGTTCAAATTCTATAGCAATATGGTCTACATTTCTAGAGAAACAGGCTGAATTTTACATACCTCATCCTCATTTGGGTGTAAGATATAATAAAGCCAAGGAATCTCTGTCAGTTTCTGTAATTCCACCTCCACAGAGTGTAAGGCATTGGATACTCGCTCTTCATGTGGCGATTCCAGCTGCTATTTACCAGCAGATTAAAAGACAAAACAAAACAAGACTCAGTGGCCAGCCTCACGTAGAATAAATCATTGTACTTTGACAGTGAACAGCCTCACTCCTTATTAAGGTAGTATTTTTTAAATTAAGGAATATTAAGAGAAGAATAAATTCTTTTATATTGATTTCATTTTTAAAAAATCTGAATAGATTTAATCTAATCATTACTTCCCAAAGATCATATGAGTAGCTAGTGTAACTTTAATAACTTCATAGAAAAAGTATTATTTTGGTGTTTTTTTCTGTGTAAATGTCTTCTTTCCTGTCTCCCTCCTTCATGCTTTCCAAGCATTTATCTACCAATTCTTCCTGGTTGTATAAGTGTGCAGTCTTACTATTCTACTTATTTGTGCCAAAAATCCTTCTGATTTAAATAGGTCACCAGGCTGGGCATGATAGCTCATGCCCATAATCCCAGCACTTTGGGAGGCCAATGTGGGCGGATCATTTGAGGTCAGGAGTTGGAAACCAGACTGGCCAACATGATGAAACCCCGCCTCTACTAAAAATACAAAAATTAGTTAGGCATGGTGTTGGGCGCCTGTAATCCCAGCTCCTTGGGAGGCTGAGGCAAGAGAATTGCTTGAGCCTGGGAAGTGGAGATTGCAGTGAGCAGAGATAGCGCCACTGCACTCCAGCCTGGGTGCCAGAGCCAGAAACTCTGACTCAAAAAAAAAAAAAAAAAAAAAAGTCACCACATGAACAAATAATACTTTTTAAACTGGTTAAAAACTTGTCATATAAAAAGAACTGCAGAAAAATCTCCTTGAAAATTTAAAGAATAGGCTTAAGGGTAAAAAATCATGAATCTTAGAAAAATCTGTGATGAAAAACTGTTGTAAAAATTAGGGCAAAGCAAAAAGCTCAATGGCTTATCATCTGAAACTGGGTTTGGATATTTTAAGGAGAATTTAACTGCTCACCTATTATCTGCATTAACTCATTGAAAGCAGGTATTAAAATGCACTTACAAGTTCAATAAATGAATAAAGATTAAATAAACATTCCTCTGCACAGAACTGGAAGGCAGTCGATTGGATTCTACTCCTGGCCTTGTAATTAACTAAGTAACCAAAGGAAGGTTAATTGACTTCAGGAGACTTTATTTCTTCCTCTGGAAATAGCACAAGGTGATGATGATGATGATGATGATGATTTGAGACAGAGTCTTGTTCTGTTGCCCAGGCTGGAAGTGCAATGGCGCAATCTCAGCTCACTGTAACCTTGGCCTTCTGGGTTCAAGCAATTCTCGTGCCTCAGCCACCAAAGTAGCTGGGTTTACAGGCGCATGCCACCAGGCCTGGCTAATTTTTGTATTTTTAGTAGAGATGGGGTTTCACCATGTTGTCCAGGCTGGTCTCAAACTCCTGGTCTACAATGAGCTGCCTGCCTCAGCCTCCCAAAGTGCCGGAATTACAGGCGTGAGCCACTGAGCCTGGCCGACTAGATTATTTTTGAGGTCTCTTCTAGCTAATCAATATATTTATAAATTACTTTAAAATTATAGAGTTCTCATAAATATGTTTATAGAATTTTAGAACTAAAAGTTCAGAGATAATATTACTGTTATTATGAACTTTTTTTTTTGTTTCCCCTTGTTATTCACAGTATCTACCACTTCTAGTAGTGATTAAAAATACGGAGATTCTTGGCTGGGCGCAGTGGCTCATGCCTGTAATCCCAGCACTCTGGGAGGCCGAGACGGGTGGATCACTTGAAGTCAGGAGTTCGAGACCAGCCTGGCCAACATAGTGAAATTCTGTCTCTATTGAAAAGAAAAAAAAAAATTGCCAGGCATGGTGGTGCGCGATTGTAGTCCCAGCTACTTGGCAGCTGAGGCAGGAGAATCACTTGGAACCAGAGAGGCTGAGGTTGCAGTGAGCAGAGATCACGCTACTGCGACAGAGTGCGTCCCTGTCTCAAAAAAAAAGGAGATTCTCTACCCTGTTGTGTTTAAAATTTATTAATTTTCGTTTAGTCTAAGAATATGTGTTATAAAACGTATAAAATGGTTATTACAAATTCATTCTGGCACTAAAATATAGAGTAAACCTTAGTTGCTCTCAAATACAATCAATTCCTTATTGTAATATCACTATTGTCAAAAGTTTTGGTAAAATTCACCAGTACACATTTTAAACCAAAATTCATATTTAACAATGAGAGAAAATTAAAAGTGGAGAAGGAAAGTCCATCCATATTAACATAATACAAATAATAAATATTAGCAAGGTAGCACTCAGCAGGTACTTTTCGTGTAGAGAAAATAAGTACAGAATAAATTATGCTTTTAGTTGTAAGAAATGATCGTCATAGGTCACTGGATTTCCTATAGGACCAGCAGAAGATTCTGGTTAAAAACAGTAGTGCCAAAAAAAGCCAAGAAGGGGCTCCACTGGTTTTATCAAAAGAGATAACCAATGTTTCTTCGTAAAAGGTTTTCTTCATGGCCATAGTAGAGCCAGTCACCTCTTGTCCCAAGGAAGCTGTGTTTCAGTTTCCTTTGGAGGTAGGTAAGAGTGATGGCTTTCATGCAGCCTTTCAGCTTCTCTTCTCAGAGCAAAGGATGCCCCAAAGGTGGCACTTTTCTGGACCATAGGCGAAAACAGAAACCCTAAGCTCAGGCACTTAATAGCAAGGCTGTGGGATGCACCTCCCATTCATTCACCCACTGTGCCAGATACTATGACTCTTAGTATCACTTTTATTTAGGTGTAGATTTGCCCAACCAAGTGAGAAAATTACTTTCAAAAGAAATGTTTTAAGATCATCAACTACCAATTAACCAGAATTATAAAAAGGAATAAAAAAACAGCAAATGAATTAGGCCTTCCACACAGTGATAACAGCATGTGGGAATAAGCCACAACCGAACTCTAGGTGGCGGCAAGAGCCAAGATGCTAGAATACTTGAAAATGGTGAGGTATTTATAAAGAAAGGCTAACTCGTGCTGCTAACAAAATAGGACATCCACAAGCTTCCAGCATTTATGCTTGAGATCCATGGACTGTGGTCTGATTCAGACTTGGCCTAAACTTGATTTCCAGGACCAATCTGGATTAAACAAGGCAGAGTTCTTGAAATTTACTTCTTGAAACACTGTGTCTAGAAAATGTCCTCTTTTAAGCAAACCTGGAGGACCATACCAGTCATATTCAAATGCTAATTCAGGGAACAAACTCCATGAGTTCCTCTACTTGTGTGCAATAATAAGTACCTAAGGAATGTCTACTACACTTTATAAAGCTCACGTCTCTCGAAGCTGAATGGGGCAGAGCAGGGCTGCCTAAAAACAGGATGGCATATATGAGGGGAAATCTCCACTCCTGTTAGCCTGAATCATGACTCCCAACTTCAGCCATATATTTTCTTGAAGACAAAAACCAGGTGAAGAGGCAGCTCTCAGGATGGAAGCCAGAAGGCTGCTTCTGCCTTAGAATCTGCCAAATGCCTGTTCCCCAATGAAGGTAAGACCCAGACATTTAATTCATCATTCTTATGTTACCAGTCATTCTTTTCCTTACCAAAGGAACCCTGCCAACTAGCAAAGATTCTGTTTCATTATACAGCGCCTTCACATTGATGGCTATTTCAGTGGCAGTGTCTCTTGTAAGACTCTAGAAAAGAAGAATATCAAAGACATGTGATCTGTATTAAAATAGGATTTCATTACCATAAACACTTTAAATTTTATTCTTATAATTTAAATTCACAGCACACATTTTTAATCTACCAAAATTCTATAATCGCAAAGTTTCATACATTTGTTTGTATGACTATCTCATTATTATTATATTACAGAACAAAAAGAATGCACCGATTACAGTGAATACACTCAGGATCACATCTCCTACCTAATGAATATGTATATGCTAGCACCAGCATATACATATTCCCATTAAAAAGTTAAGTCAAAAAAAACTTTTACTCTCAGTAACACTAACCATATTGCTTTTTAGACTATTATCTTGAGAACAAGCACTTAACTGTATATTAATTTAAGTAACTTCAATCAAATAATTAAAAAAAAAAACGCTATCAGTTTTCTCCATACTATAGCATTGTACCATGTGGCACATTTTAAGAGTTATATTCTATCCATTCTATTATTAACTTATACATTAAAAATTTTACAGAAGCATCAATTTCCGATTTAGCAAAACAAAATGAAGTAGGAATAATTTCAGTGCATAACTTCAAAAACGAGTGGACATCTCTAACAAAATGCACGCTGATGATATCTAGGATTGCCCTTTAACAAGGTACAGGGCAGAAGGTAAGGTAAAAGAAGGAGTAAGAAAGGACGATTAAAGTTCAAAAAAGAAAGAAGTGAAGACAGATGGAAGGTGACAAGTGATTGAAAGTGAAACATAAAAAATGAGAGAATTTAAGAGCAGGAATGAAAAAATAACAGGAAAAGGAAAATAAAAAGTTGTCCACGATTTTACTGCAGGTTTGTAGAGACTCATATAGACAACATAACTTTCTGTCACAGGGCGTGGCATATTTTACAGTATTAAAATACATGTGTAACACCCAAAAGAATCTGTGGAATGAGAATTTACCATTAGATCCTCACCTCCGGGCACCTTGGGTTGGCTTTATTCAGGGCATGGGAGCAGGCATTCACAGCATGGGCCAGTTCTTGCTCCAAAAGACAGTGAATTGTGGCTGCGTCACATATCCTAAAAGCAAAAATGAAACAAATGAATAAAAAACTTTTTTGAGTATTGCTCATTTTTTTTGAAGTATAGAAATGTTAGGATAAAACAAGTAAAAAATATATGAAGATCAGTATGGAAGAACACTTTTAATGGCTGCTCAATTATGAATGGCACAGGTAGATCTATAAATCCAGACCCCACTGCAACAAAAAATATGAAATAAAAAATCTTTGTATAAAAAATTAGGCTTAAAAATCAGAGGGAGACATATTGAAGTGCTATTTTGAAGAATGAAATATAGTAATACTTCATTTTTCAGTATCCTTGGAAAGTGAGAGGGATCACAAGTATAAAGACTAGAAACTTCTCTTTCATTCATTGAAACTGCAAATGCAACAGATTAGGGAAGAGCATTACCATATTTGTCATCAATACACAAAGTGATCATAAGCAGTATATAAGTTAACATTCACAGCCTTTAAATGTAGCTATGATTTACTATCTCCATATTATTGATGATGACATTGAGGCTCAGAGAGACGTGGTAGGCATACAGAGCCAGTAAATCGTAGAGCCAGGATCGGAATCCATGTCTATTTAACTCCAAAGCCTGTTGTGCCATACTCCACTGGTATCCAAACCTCTAAGAATAGTCCTGAAAAGACCAAATTCTGGAAGGCACTAAGGCCAAGGACAAGAAAGGAGAAAAAGTCCCTCCGATTGCTAGAAAATGATGTAAGACCTGCAGATGAGCAAGAAGGCAGGGCTGTTCAAGTGTTTTTTTTGCTTCTGACAGCTTCATGGAGAAATATTTTCTATCTGGAAAGGACAGAACAAGAAAAGGGACTGAGGCCCTATATAGCTGAACCAAGAGTAAAGAAAAAGAATTTAATTCTTAAGGATTATACAATGGATATCTAAGGCACAAAGAAGCTTGCAAATGTCACCTCAGCACTATTATCAGCAACCCTGAGAAACCATGAAGAATGGGCTATTTTTCAGAAGAACAGAGATGGATAAAGGTTATTCTAATTTTCAGAGAAAGGGAAAGACATAAATCAACTTCAGATCAACATTTCTAATTGCCTACTGAAATCTGCTAGGTATTTTTAATGTAATTTAAATTCTAAAGCCCAACATGGAACCCATCATTTTCCTTCTAATACCTACTCCTCTTCCTGAACCCTATGGCTCCATCAAAGGCACCCCACAATCATCCAGCCATTCATTAGAACATTAAGGTCAACCTGTTTCCTAATTCATACCCATTTACCAATTTTAAATCCTAAACTGTCTTTAATCTTGCTTGTCCTTTCTATCTTTACTGCTTTAGTCTATCATTTTTTATAGGGACAACTTCTACAGCATCCTCAGTGTTCACCTTGCCCCAGCTTTGCTGTCGTCCAGAAAAACCCCTCCACACTACTTCTAGAACAGCCCAGTAAAGATCTGGCTCCTCCTCACCTCTTCATCTACATTCCACACAATCTTGCATATACTATGCCAACCTTTCAGTCACCCCAAACTCTCTGAGATTTCCTGAAAGTAGCATGCATTCACACTCCTCTGGGCCTCTTCCTAAGCTGGTTCCCATGCTTAAATTGCTCCTTTTCTCACTCTTCCCTCAAGACTCGGATGAAAGGTCACTTCTTCCAGGCAGCCCTCCTTCACTGCCTCTGACTTCCTCTAGAGTGTATCTACAGAGTCCACTGTGTGCCTCATGTCAATCCTTTGGCCACATTTCTCCCTCCTACTAATCTGTGAGCCAATTAAGTAGGGCTGTCAAATAATCATCTTGTATCCCCAGCCTAAGAAGAGGTTCAAAAATTGAATATGTTTGCATAGTCAATGAATAAATTCTGAAAATAGACAAGTGAGCCTGATTTCATCTGCAAAATTTAAAAACAGATGGGAAGCCAAACTACGTTGACCAGAAGCAAGCCTAGTCAATCTTCGCTTCCTTTTTACAATAAGATTATTTGGTTGGTTCACAGGATGAGAACATGGGAAGTATATTTTGGTTTCAAAAAAACACTGTAAATTAGAGGCCACAGAAGTTGTCTGTAGTATCTAAAAGAGATGTATTTAGTCTGAAACTAACAACCCTATGGATAAGAAGCCGAGATGTACAATAATGCAGCTGTGTGGGTATAGCTGAGTAAATATTCATTTTCTCTTCCCTTTCTTCTGAGCTGCCCAGTATTTTGCAGTTGTAAGACTTGATTCTAATTCTGAATGTTGGTCCAGCAGTAGGGGGTGTATGCCTTTTCTCTTCTGTCTCTAACATCTCACACAGTCTAGTTATCTAATAAATATTTAAAGAGAGTAAGGAATGGGAGGGGAGCAGATGGCAAATAGTAGAGAGGAGGAAAGATGTGAGTTAGCCGCTGAAACCACTGAGCTTTGCTTTCCTTCTTTTCTTTTTCAACATTTTTATCAGTGACCAGATGAAGGTGTGGGAAGAATCTTAAGTTACTATACACAGAGCACTCAATATGCCAGACATGATGTGTCATATCGTTTGGCTGTGTCCCCACCCAAATCTCATCTTGAATTGTAGCTCCCATAATCCCTATGAATCATGAGAGAGACCAGTGGGAGGTAACTGAATCATGGGGGTGAGTTTTTCCTGTACTGTTCTCGTGATAGTGACTAAGTCTCACAAGATGTGATGGCTTTATAAAGGGCAGTTCCCTTGCACATGCTCTCTTGCCTACTGCCATGTAAGACGTGCCTTTGCTCCTCCTTTGCCTGCTGCCATGATTGTGAGGCCTCCCCAGACATGTGGAGCTGTGAGTCTATTAAACCTCTTTTTTTTCTTCTTTTTTTGAAGACGGAGTCTCACTCTGTCGTCCAGGCTGCAGTGCAGTGGCGTGATCTTGGCTCACTGCAACTTCCACCACTCAGGTTCAAGTGATTCTCCTGCCTCAGCCTCCTGAGGAACTGGGACTGCAGGTGCCCACCACCACACACGGCAAATTTTTGTATTTTTAGTAGAGACGGGGTTTCACCATGTTGGCCAGGCTGGTCTCGAACTCCTGACCTCAACTGATCCACCTGCCTCAGCCTCCCAAAGTGTTGGGATTACAGGCATGAGCCACTGTGCCTGGCCTGAAACCTGTTTTTCTTTATAAATTACCCGGTCTCAGGTATTTCTTCATAGCCATATGAAAATGGACTAATACAATGTGCTTATAGGACTCATCCCTAGAGTCTCATTTAATCTTCACACACCCTATTGAAACAGCTCTTATTAGCCCCATTCGGTAGATAAGACTCAGGTGAGGAGGTAAGACACTGGCCCATGGTCCCTCCTCCCCTCTGAAGTTTTCCCTGGTCATAGTGATTTTTATTTGTTTAACACTCATAGGCTTGCTTTTTATCTCTTTTCTTTTTGTCTATTGGAATTAATGTTATGTGTGGTCTCAAAATCTCTCTAATAACTTGTCAGAAATTGGTTTTTGAAGTCTTTTTATTCTTTTTGCTCCTGACTCTTCTCTGGAACAGGATGAATGTTTAGACTTCCCTCTCCATTCCATAAACATTTAATTAGTAATTAGAAGGCAACATATAAGTAGGTAGTATAGTGTAAAGATGTATATAAAATGGAGAAATAAACAATAATGGAAAGAGTGCTGTGTGAAGAAGAGTAATTGCATCTCTTTTTGATACCACTACTGAAACAATGTATTAAGATTAAAAAAACAAAAATTGGCTGAGACCACAGTTCCCACAGCCTGAAAAGTCAGCAGAGCCCCCTACCTAGTAATGAGCTCCTCTGCAGCCTGGGAGCATAGCTGCATCTGCGACACCTCTTCTGTTGCCAAGTCAATGGCGTGATGGATGTACAAATGGGTTCGGAGAACTGGTTTACCAGAATCACACTTCTGCTTATCTTCCCAAGATTTCAGAGTGCTCTCAAAGGCCTATTTAAAGTCAATATTGTAACGAATTGTTAGTTTAGAACTCAGAGGTCCATGTAAATGTGTGCTTTAATAAAACTACAATTGCTTTTTCTCTAATGACTCCTCAAATAAATCACAAGTATAAAAAAGACATTTCAAAGTTTTCCAATGTACTGCAACACATGAAAAGTAGTGCAGTCAATGATCATGAATACATCATTTAAAAGTTAAAAAAGAGATTTAGGTCAAGGCGGGACAATCACCTGAGGCCAGTCTAGGCAACATAGTGAGACCTCATCTCTACAAAAAAGATTTTTTTTTTAATTAGCTGGGCTGAGGTAGGAGGATTGCTTGAGCCCAGGAGTTTAAGGTTGCAGTGAGCTATGATCACACCACTGTACTCCAGCATGTGCAATGAAGCAGGACTGTTTCAAAACAAAAACAAAAACAAAAAAATATTTCATGCTTCAATCTTTACTATTGCTTCAATTTATTCTTTAATCTTTACTATTTTATATATACTAGATGGGCAAATATTAGCAGTCTTCTTTGATAAAGACAGACCTTAATTAAAAACATATTCTGCAAAAGGAAAAATAATAGAGACAGTAAAAAAAAAAAAAAAAAAATCAATGATTGCCAGGAGTAAGGGTAAGGGAAGGAGGGATGAACAGGTAGACCATAAGGAATTTTTAGGGTCGTGAAATAATTTTGTATGATACTGCAGTGGTGGATACAAGTGATTATATCTTTGTCCAAACTCACAGATGTACAACTCAAAGAGTAATGGAAACTATGGACTTTAGTTAATAATAATCAATCAGTATTGACTCAACAGTTGTAACAAATGTGCCACACTAATGCAAGATGTTAACAGGGGAATTTACATGTGTAGGGAAGAAGGGGGAGGAGGAAGTATATAGGAACGTAATTCGAATTCTCTTTACTTTCTGCCCAGTTTTTCTGTAAACCTAAAATGGCTCTAAAAAATAAACTCCTACTGAAATAAATAAATATTTGTTCATATTTCAAACCACCATGACCTAAATGTCAGATTTAAGAGACAATTTAAATGTTTTCATTTTCTATTTTTTTATAACAATTTCAGATTCTTTAAAAACCTGACAATATTCTAGAAGAATGTTTTTGTTACATACTCTGTCCCTTGTTAGCATTTGTGCTCTGTTTTTGTGCACAATTTTGATAATCCCTGGAGGCTGAACCCACGCTTCACCATCCACTTGCACTGGGACTCCTTCGTCACCAAATATAGTGATTTTCACTGTACGGCACTGAAATAAAACAAATCATTTTAGAGTACAAATCATCCAGAGAAAATGACACTCAATCTTTATGAAGGCTTGAGTATTAGACTATTCTACAGAATAGACTATTATGCTTTATCACTTATAAATGACATGGTAAAAACTGATATGACAACAAAGTCAGAATATTATAGATGAATATCCAGTGTACGAGTTGTTTAGAATAGATTCCTTCAACCCTCCTTAGCCCAAGAAGTGCAGTCAGGTTTGACGAGAGAAACCAACCTGGGCTATTCGATGATGCTGCAGTTTAATGACCCTTGAAACTGCCATTTGCATGCTATCAAATATTGCTACAACTTCCAGGATCTTGTCATCAAAGGATGGTGCAGCAAATATCTGAAAGAAAAACTACATTACACTTCTACTGAATGTTTAGGTGAAGAGCACGTTAAGCAATGTAAACTGCAATATATATCTACATATATTTAATATATTTAATAATATATTTAAGTAAATATTATTAGGAAATAATAATCCAAGAAAAAAATCTCTGAAGATGACTTCCAATAAACCTAACTTTAAAAAGGGTTTTCAAATATACACGGATATACTACTCATACCTCTCATTAAACTACTCTTTGGACCAGTTAACTAATATATTTCTAAATAATTCACCTTGGAATAAAACATGTTAAATACATGTTCATACCTAATTCAAACATGTTAATAAGATGATACATGTAAGTTTTGGAAATCTAAAAAAAACTACAAAGGCGATATAGTGTCATAGAAAGGTGATATAGTTTCATAAAGTTAAAGCTAATGAAGATGCAAATTATGATCCAGTTTACTTGATATATTCTAAGGGAAATCTTTCAAGGTTTTACAAGCAATATACATATGTGCTTTATATTTTAATACAAAACTTTTGAGGGAACTTGAGAGTATGCAAATAGAAACCTCAGAAGATAAAAATTATGCAGACTTATTTTGTCTTTACATTAGATGCATTTTCACAAAATTAATTTACTCTAAAATTTTATATGTAGGCTGTATTACCTTACTCTCTCTTTTACTATATCATAAATAATATGCATCTGAAACAATTTTCAGTATAAAGTAATAAGCTAATTAAAACTTTCACTGAAAATATCAGGACACAAAGTTGCTAACATTGTAATTTGTAATTTTTTTATTATACTGCCTGAATTTAAACCCTGTCTCTGCTATTACTAACTGGAAACTTTGTCTTAGATTCTTCAGCAGTAAAAATCAAATAAACAACGTGGACATTAAATAATGAATGTGAAGCTCTTAGAACATTGTCGGACTACCTAGCAGGTGTTCAAGGAATGTTGGCTTTATTTACCTTAATCTCACTGATTTCTCCCCTTCAAAATACTTAATAGTGACAAGCAGACAAAAGATGCTTTTATACTCGAATAGGACTGGAATATATTTATGTCATGAAAATTACAAATACTTTCCAATTGATCTTATACTGTATCCCTATCTGTCCATTTAAGATCTTTGAGAATAACAGATCAGTAGGAACCATTATATCATTATATCATAAACTCAAATCAATGGATGTGACTCTTCAAATAAAGACTGTGATAACACTTCTCATTTTTACTGATATATATATATATATATATACACACTTTAATAATTGTGCCCTCTCTTTCATTCTTTTCACAACAATTACATTTGTAAGGTTGTGTTTTCTTCTTTTTCTAATATAGAAAAGTATGAAAAGAAAAACAAAAATAGCCCTAAACTCGACCGGCCAAATGAGCCCTCTTGATATTTCTGAAAATAAAAAATATATACACACACAAGTTTAGAAAATTAAAAGTACTGAGGCTGGATGCAGTGGCTCATCCCTGTAATCCTAGGACTTTGGGAGGCCGAGGTGGGTGGATCACCTGAGGTCAGAAGTTCGAGACCACCCTGGCCAACATGGTGAAACCCCCGTCTCTACTAAAAATGCAAAAATTAGCCAGGTGTGGTGGTGTGTGCCTGTAGTCCCAGCTACCCAGGAGGCTGAGGCAGGGGAACTGCTTGAACCTGAGAGGCAGAGGTTGTAGCGAGCTGAGATTACGCCATTGCACTCCAGTCTGAGCGACAGAGTAAGATTCTGTCTCAAAAAAGAAAGAAGGAAGGAAGGAAGGAAGGAAGGAAGGAAGGAAGGAAGGAAGGAAGGAAGGAAGGAAGGAAGGAAGGAAGGAGAGAGAAAGAGAAAGAAAGAAAGAAAGAAAGAAAGAAAGAAAGAAAGAAAGAAAGAAAGAAGGAAGGAAAGAAGGAAAGAAGGAAAGAAAGAAAGAAAAAGAAAGAAAGAAAGAAAGAAAGAAAGAAAGAAAGAAAGAAAGAAAGAAAAAGTAAAAGTACCAAAAGGTATTGTGGTAGGCAGAATAATGCCCCCTCTCTGCCCCCTAAAATGTCCATGTCCTAATCCCCCAAACCCGTGAATCTGTTACCTTACACAGCAAAAGGAACTTTGCAGATGTGATTAAATAAAGGGCCTTGAGATGGGGATGATCCTGGGTGATCTAGGTGGGCCCAATGTAATCACAGTGGTCATCAAAAGTGGAAGAGGAAGCAGCAGACATCAGAGAGATGCCATGTGAGAAGGATTCAACCTGCCTTTGCTGGCTTTGAAGATGGAGGGGAATGTGGGCAGCCTCGAGACGCTCCAAAGACAGGGAAATAAGAGTCTCCCTTAGAGCCTCCGGAAGGCAACAGCCCAGCTGACACCTTGATTTTAGCCCAGTAAGACTGTGCCAGTCTCCCATCATATACAACAGTAAGATGATAAATGTGTTTGAGGTGGCTAAATTTGTGTTAACTTGTTATAGCAGCGATAGAAAACAGATGCAGGTATAAAATTAAAAAGTAAAATCTTCCCTTCCTTATTTCATAAATCTACTTTCCAAAAGCAGACCCACTATTTAATGTTCATCCAGAAAATTGTGACATACATCCCAAGATACGAATATCTGTATCTTCAACATGAGAAAAGTTGGAGTACATCCACAAGAGACTGTTACAATAAAATCTTAAATAAATCTATTCCATGCCTCACTTACCCAATGCAAAATATTTAACATGAAATTAAACTACTATTCAACAGCCCATTTACAAAAGCAAATTATTCCAGTGATATAATTATTTTTGAGGAAACAAACTATTTACTCCCATTACTTACATCATCCTCTTTAGTTCCACCCCAAAAGTTAGTGCCTCCAGCATAGCTGGGAATGTTCAACACGGCTATGCCTTGCAAGCTGGGAAGAGGAATATACTGCCCATCACACTGTAAGGTAAAAAAAAAAAAAAAAAGTAGAGATTAGATAAAAAGAGCAGAACCACTAGTATGGAAGATACTAAAACACTAAAGATGAAGGACAATGGAGCACAGTGTGTTCGTAATGTCTGCTCTCTACACGTTACCAAATCATTTATCTTATTTTTTTTAATTAAAAAAAGTTTGAAGTATAAATAACTATAGCAGAAGTTATTACAAAAAACTGATTTTTAAAGAAATGCTTTACCTCTTTCCTCCAAAACCAGGGAGTCCTTTTCTTGAATCATTTTCAGGCCTTTTATGTACTTTCACCTGCATTGTGGTCCTCTATGTACTTATTTTAAGCATCTTTTTGAAAGCAGACTGGGTAAGAGAAAGTTGATCCTAACCATCTCACTTAGCCCCTCTCACAGTCCCTGGTACATTGCTGGGGCTCTACAACCACCTGGGGACTGGTGAAACTCAAAGCTGAATACTTCAAGTACAAGTCAGAACCAAAGTCAAGCAAAAATATATGCATCTCAGAAAGCTCCTTGCAGTCCTTACTTTCTCATTAAGCACTTAAATGAAAAGTAAATTACCATGTAAATGGAAAAAAAGGATATGGCTGGTGAATGGATGTGAATAAATTCTTACTGAGTAGAAGCAGAACTGTTACCTTCTCTCATAAATGTTGTTTCTTAATTTCAATTAATGCTGTTTATTCTATTAACTTTTAAATAAAGTCTAGTTGGCTATTAAGGAAACAATTAGTTATGAAACTAATTTTTTAAAAATTACTCAAGAAAAATGAGCATAATTATGTTACATACATTTTATGATCATACTTATTATTTTAATTAACATTTAAACCAAACCACTTAACATTTTTCTAAGTGAACATTTAAATCCAATGGAAATGTTTAAGCCTTCATTTTAAAAGAGAACAGCTTACAGATGTCACACCTAAAATGGATGCTATATTTTCATTAAATAATTCTTATATTAAAAATAATTAACATAGCTTCTTAAAAATTACATTTTAATGCCCAATAAAAATGATTTCCAACAGAAAGAAATAAACTGTATTTCTGAGACTGTGAGAGAATAATTTGTTCTAGGGGAGAAACCAAGGTGAGGGAAAGAGTTTCTGTAATGGGACATCTCATTAAAAAGAGTATTAAGTCCTACTGGTCTAGGATGGTTTGGGTTTAGCAAAGATGGAAGGAAAAGGTCTCAATGTCAAGAGTACCAATATTTTCTTTAATGTCTATTCAGTAGTGAGGTTCTGATTCTCCAAGTTAGCTCGCTAAACTGGTGAAAATCCAGGGCAGAGACCAGCAAACACTTGGAAATTGTTACAGCTGGTCCAAGACCAACCCGTAAGGGACTTCTCTGCTCTGTGAATCTGAGAATGGGGAAGAATAAGAGCTTAGTGAGGATGCATAGGAGATTAATCTCATCCCCAAGTACTGCAAAAAATGTTCACCATCAGAATCACACAGAAGCTTGTGTTCGCTAATTCAGCCAAAGTCAGTTCTTGGGAAGACCTCAGGGTTATTGGCTGATTGGAATGGTGTAATGGATGAAGGCCAGGATTGGTTGATTTACCTTCACGGGAATGTTTCACAATTCCTTTTCTTCTTTTTCATGAAAACACAGTGTTAACCATTAGCAGGTTTAGCTTTTCACATTCAAAGGTCCATGCACCTGGGGGTTTGTCTGGCACATAATTGGTGCTCAATGTATATTTGTTGAATGAATAAATATGAAATACTTAACAGAATAATAAACTTTTTCTCAACCCAATACATTAAACAGATATCTTTATGTGCTTTAGAAAAAGCTGCTTTAAATCATATGACTAACAAAGGAAATGGGGAAAAATACTATCTCTGTAAATATAAAAGAAATATTTTAAAAATATTTTCCAAATGGATGCACTTTATTTGCAAACATGGTATGGAAAACGATGAAGATTTTCAGAAAGAAGTCCTATGTGCGGTGCTGAAGTGAATATATATATATTAAGCAACACATCTAAATCTAAATGCTTAATGTCCATTTCATAGAGTCTCATAGGAAAAATACGAGGAATACAGATTCAACAAATTAACAAATTCACATGATTTAAAAGTTTCTCATATCCAGGAAAAACTTCAGGAGTGTTAAATTTTTAAAAAATATTTCCAGTAGCCCCATATATCCTTTATTTTTATTTATTTATTCTTTTTGAGAGATGTGGTCTTGCTCTGTCGCTCAGGATAGAATGTAGTGGTGCCATCACAGCTTACTGCAGTCTTGAACTCCTGGGCTCAAGCAATCCTCCTGCCTCAGGCTTCCAAGTAGCTGGGATTATAGGTGCACACCACCAGAGCTGGCTCCCTAGCCATCCCATGTTTCTATTTGTGGTTCATGATGTTGCAAAATGCTACAAAACTGCAGCTATATATATATTTCTCATTAGTGTTTGTTTTCTCTGCTCCTTTCACCAGACAATCTGATATGGAGGGAAGATGGTGGAGCTGGATTGAATTCTGTCACTTAGTATTTGGGTAAGTCCCTTAAGCTTTTAGAGCTTCACTTTGCTCATCTGTAAAATGGGCTAACAATTCTTAGCACACAGTGAGGCCAATGAGATAAGGTAAAGAAAAGCACCTAGAACACATGTGGGAAGTCAGTAAATTTCCTTCTTCAGTTATAATTACAAATTGTCTTATGGAAAAAACACTGGATTTGAAATGTTGGCTCTTCCACTTATCAGCTGTTTGAACTTAAGCAATGCCTTTACTCTTCCGAACTGAATAATAATACCTACCTCATGAGTTGTTAAGAATTAAAGGTGGTATGTAGAAGGCACACAGTAAACTTCATTCAAAATGATTTAAAAAGTAGTTACAACTAGTTATTACTGAAATGAATTAAACAAATACAGAAATTACTATTAATATAATAAACTAAATTTATTTTGTTTTTTAAAAAGATACAGATTATGGGAAGATTTGAAATAACTAAAAATGTGAATTAAACAACTACTTGTTCTCAATCACATATTTCATTATAGCCTACAGATGAAGACTGTTTTTTAAAGTTATTTGTTTTTCTTCATGTATCTTAGTACTTACAGAACTTGAAACAATATATAATTATTATTTCAGTTAATAAATAGAACAGTCTCCTTAACCCATGTAAATTACGTATATTATGGGCAAAAAAGTCATCCTTCTTACAAAAAATGTTTGGAATTTTAATACAATTCTTCCATTTACATGTGAAAGGTGTTTCTACTCTAAAAGTAGCAAAATATGATACTGTGACGTTATTTACATTTCTGGAATTCCCATCATTGTAAAAAGGATTCTAAATCTCACTCCAAGTTTCTGAAAGTTGAGTATATATCAGAATCACTGATAATGTGGCTTGGGAAACAAAGTTTGCATTTGTACAGTTCTTTCCCATTCACACTGTGATTTACAGTACCTTGGGCTCATTTATTTATGATTTGCATAAAATCATTATTTTATCAATTTCGTATATAGGGAAACCAAGGTCAAAGTCTTTGTTCTGCACAAATTTAAAGTTAAGACATGAAGTCAGCCTCGTTCCATACCAACAACATAACGGGGAGGGAAAACTTATCTGAGGAAAAAGGTAAGAGTAAAAAGCTAAAAAGGAAGGCCATTGGTGAAGGCGTCTCTCTGGAAAGAGCCTCCCAAGGTGTGGGTCTCTCTTTTCCACCTTTATCCCGAGTGAACCATCATCAGAAAAATGAATTTTTAGACAACGGCCTTCCATCGTCTTTAGAAGTAGAATGTATCTTTTTGGTTTACTTTATTGTTACTATTTTTTGTTAATGATGGCAAAGAGTGCTCTACTTTTTCTACTTTATTTTTATGTATATTAACATGTTTTCATTTATCTTGTTTTACTCATTTTATTTTCCCTTATCATTTAACATATACATCTATATCAAGTGTTCTTAACTTAAGGTTCAGAAACCAGGAGTCCATGGATAGATTCAGGTGACTTGTTAACTTCATGGTAAAAATCTGTATCTTTATGTTCACTAACCTCTGAAGTTTAGCATCGCCCTCAATTATAAATGTAGGGGAAAAAAGGCATTAGTAACACCCGTGATTTCATCATCAATCGAAATGAGACATTTTTATATTACGTTATAGATGTTTCAGATATCTTGTATATAAGTTCATCATCACTTTGAAGTTATGGTATTTATTAGACATGCCATTAGATTTTTATTTGATACGGTAACGATGAAACACATATATTATTCTTTAGCAACATAAAAATATGTTGTTAATTTATTTTAATCTTATTGGTAAGTCTTCTTTTGTAAGTCTGTATTTCATATAATGCATTTGAAAACAATATTCTGAGAAGGGGTCTTTATTTTCACCAGAATGCCAAAGGTGCCTACAACTCAAAAAAGATTAAGAACCTTTTAAAAAGGAGAGTACAAAGCAGCTGTGTAAATAAGATATCTTGTTCAAAATTTGGAACACCAGTACAAGAGGTTACTAATCCTATTTCTGAAGAGCTGAGGCTCTTCCAGGAACTAAGACCATCCAGCCATTCAGATCCAGCCAGTTTTTCAACCCTTAAAGATAGCTGGCTATGCTTGATCACAGCACTTAATAAATTGTGCTAAAGTGATCACTTACCCATCTATTTCACCCTCAAAATAGGACCAGTGCTGAGCTAAACACTGGGGATAACAAAGATAAAAACAACTTCCTATGTGTCCTTGGGTGTGGCCAAACTGGGCACGGTGGCACACACCAGTAATCCCAGCACTTTGGAAGGCCGAGGCGGGCAGACCATGAGGTCAAGAGATGGAAACCATCCTGGCCAACATGGTGAAACCCCATGTATACTGAAAATACAAAAATTAGCTGGGCGTGGTGGCGTGCACCTGTAGTTCCAGCTACTTGGAAGGCTGAGGCAGAAGAATCGCTTGAACCCAGCAGGTAGAGGTTGCAGTGAGCCGAGATCGCACCACTACACTGCAGCGTGGTTGACAGAGCGAGACTCCATCTCAAAAAAATAAATAAATAAATAAATAAAAAGAATGTGGCCAACCGGGGTACATGAAGAAAAAAAGGAATGATTACATGATTAGGAGAGCACCTAAGCTGACCTGGGTATGGGGTGTCAAGGATAGCATTTACAAAATGTGAACCTTCCTGATTTTGTACCTTTTTATCCAGTAAGTCTATCTTAATTTTATAAGCAATAATAAATCAAACCAGCTGATCATACAGTTGTATGTTTAGAGTGGAAAGTATAATAGGCTCATCTTCACTAGGAAATATAGTTTTTAAAGAATGAGCGAGACACCTCTTTAGTCCACATTCCAGTGTTTGGATAACACCCCAAATAATAATGTTCTATTTATTTTGTTGAGCTGTAGACTTAAGATTTCATAATTTTCTATATGTATGATATGCTTTAATTAAAAATATATAGTTACAAAAAGATACAAGATAGGAAAGACATGCCCCATCGGCATAAACAGTGAGTCCTGGATCAAAGGTAAAATAAAATAAAATTCACAGAAATTAATAGTCTTTTTAGAGCTATATCCTCAGCCTTGTTGTTTCTGTTGTTGGAAGAAATAAAATAACTTTTTCTGTCCTTAATTTCCTATTTAAATTAGTAAAAAACAGTAAAACATTTAAATGCTCAAAATCTCTTTTAATTTTACTTGTTGTTAGAAATAATTGGAGCAAAAAATAAACGTATATTTAAATTAAAAGATTCTATTTACTTCAAATGCTATTTTCAGGGATTTGAAAAACTTTTGTTATTACAGAATTGGGTCAGAATTTGGAAGCTTAAATGAGAAAATCCATTAAAAACCCTCTCCTATAAATGTGCTCCCTTGGCTCCACTTTTACGTGGGGCACCACAACTCCAGAGTAGCCCCAATTTCAGGAGATAATGATGATGATAATTAAGTGTGTCATTCATATCCTGTGTATATACTTCCTTTAGTACAAAGTTGATAATCACATTCATTTTTCCCCTTGAATATTTATTTAATTGCTAATCAAAACGCATTTAGGTCAAATTAGCTCCAAAACGATATTTTTTTTAAGTAAGATAATATGAAATATCTTTACTTTAAGATGAACTTACCTCAAGTTGAACCCTTTGTTCTAAATTCTTGTACGATCTCTGTAATAACTCCCGGGTTCCAAGGACTCCATACCACATCAAGTTTTTAGTTCGGCTCCTGAAAATAAATATTGGCAGGCAATTTCAGGAAATTTTATTTATTTACTCCTTAAAGGCAGAGCAAGCAAAAAGACATAATAAATGAAGAAAAAATTGCCTTTATGTAATAGCATTATTACTTTTACTAAAATTACCTGCATTTTTCAGGGTGCTCCTCTCTTTTATTATTAAATTCTAATGAAATTTTTGCATCTAATCCAATCCCAAAGTAATTGTTCATGACACATTTTTCTGAATATCCATCTCTATGATCACAGGGAAAAGTACATCAAAGTCAATTTGAGATTCATTATAACAATTACAATTTGTACACAAGATAGTACTTAAAACCATTTAAGCTTTCATTTTATAGCAGATTGTAAAACTTAGCACTAATCACTTCCTATTCCTATGCCATGTGTACAACCACAGGACATGTGTACAATTTCTGGTACATGTGACATAAAGGGATGGTGAGTAAGACACACAGTTATGGTGTGATTTTCTCTAACTGTAACAAAATCTTAGTTCTATTTCTACTTAAGTTCCTCACTACACAGAAAAAATGCAGGTGATTATGGGAAGGCTTTACAGTCAGGTGCCAATTCTCTCTCTCTCTTTTTTATCATTAGAAAGTCCCCTCCATTTCTACACTTAACAATGGACAAATATTTATTGAGCAAAAAAGTACTAGATCCAATCCATTCTTCCAGGTGTTTTGGAACGTTTAAAATATGGTACTCTCCTTGAGGAATGTCATTACAGAAATGATATAACAAAAGCAAAATTTAAAAAGGAAGTAAAAGAAAGTATATCTTGAAATGCCAAAAAATTGTAGGAGTCTTAAGAAGGGAAGAGATCAGTGTGGGCCAAAAGATTCCCAAAATAAGTAAACCTAGAAGCTGACGTGGAAAGATGACAGATCTGGCAAGACTGAGAAGAAAGGAGGTAAAGGGAATAGCATCAGTTCTATTTATTGGTGCCTTCCTTTGCCAGAGGGTTGCTCTCAGAGAGAACGGGCTGGAAAAGGACCTATCTCAGGGACAGATCACGGAGACCACTGAATTTTAAAAGACTCAATGTGCTTGGCATTATCAACTTTTGTAATTTTCTGATCATCCTTTTTTTACATGGGACCATATTTATTGTAATACATTTAAAATGTTACAGTTCATGTTGAAAAAAAAAAAAAACAAGAAAAACCCAAACAAAATATTTGCAAAAGCATTTTCTTACACGGAATCTAGATCCGGGTCAATAAACGGCGTGGCACCAAAAGGATCAATGTTTGCCAGTAACATTTTGTTGATAATCGAACTCCCAGCAATTGAGGCAGCCAGTCCTGCTCTTAAACCTGGAAAGAAAAGCAAACACATATGGGATCGCATGTTAAGAAAAAACACAGAAAGAACCAGTCCATCCAGGCCTGATATCAAATATCTTACTTTTAAAAGCAAGGTTTTCAGTGCCTTATTTCAGTGCCTACTCTTCTCATTAATGAAAATTAAAAACAATGACATTTGTGAGTACAAGGCTTTTGACACTTCCAAGGATCTATATGTTATCATAAAGAATTAAGGAGAGGAGGACCTAAATAGGAATGGCTTTGTGACACTTTCTCATTTACCATCCCAATAATTCTATAACAAATACATTTTACTTCCTTTGTTATAGCAAAGATGGTATTAAGTCTATAAGGAATTTACAATAAAGGCGGAATTACCCAAAATGTCATGGAGTTATCAGTTCCATATTCTCAAATCATAGATAATGATACTTAATTTAAAATATTAAGAGATGTATTAAGGTGAAAACTCAGTGTTAATTTTAAGAATAAGCAGTAAAGTATTAAATGTAGGTATCTGTGAATTTTAGAAGAATATAGTATTAAATATAAAAAATGAAGCCTCTTACTTCAAATTTATTTCAACATGCTTTCCAACTAGTTTTCTAACTGTTACAGTATTCAAAGCTAATGAATTTTATGATCTACTCAACCCAATATGAAAGCTAGAAGCACTAAAGACTGGAGAGGAGACAAACTAATAGGAACCTACAAGAACAAGGGAAACACGAGGAAATTAGAAAAACAAGTTCTTTCTTTTTATTTTATTTTTTTTTAGAGATGAGTCTCACTCTCTCACCTAGGCTGGAGTGCAATGGTGTGATCACAGCTCACTGCAGCCTCCATCTCCCAGGGTTCAAGCGATCCTCCCACCTCAGTCTCCCAAGTAGCTGGGACTACAGGGCATGTGCCACCATGCCCAGCAATTCCTTTCTTTAGCAAACATTCCTTTCCTCAGCACTATGCTCTTCTTAGGGAATTATTATTATTCATTATTTTAATGTTTAGGCAATTATCAAATACAATGAATTTTGTTCTTTCGTTTAATGTCATAGTTTTGAATATACTGTGGCATACTTCTTTATGCCAATTTCCCTTATGTCTAAACAAGTAAATGAATGAAGAAAACAATAAATTTAGTAAGCATAAAGAACAGTTTGGAGAGGTGAGAGCCACACTCCAGCTGCCCTAGAGGGAAGTGTTAATATTTTCTTTCTTTTTTTTTTTTTTTTTTGTTGAGATAGAGTCTCACTCTGTTGCCCAGGCTGGAGTATAGTAGCATGATCTCAGATCACTGCAACCTCCGCCTCCCGGCTTCAAGGGATAATCCTGCCTCAGTCTCTCAAGTAGCTGGGATTAAAGGGGTGAGCCAGCATGCCTGGCTAATTTTTGTATTTTTAGTAGAGACGGGGTTTCACCATGTTAGCCAGGTCTCAAACTCCTGACCTCAGGTGATCCGCCTGCCTCAGCCTCCCAAAATGCTGGGATTACAGGCGTGAGCCACCACGCCCAGCCATGTTAATATTTTCTAAGATGTTTTAGGGTTAGCCATATTCCTTTCAGCTTTATTCCAGAGGGGTTATCCCAAGGTTCCTAGTTGGAATAGAAACACAGCATCTAAACCTGAAGGCCTTTCCAGAACCAGTTTGTTTCAGATTGATCTTTCTTTTTTTCTTTTAATATTTCTATTCTGATACAACTGATATATTATAAAATTAACCCTTTTAAAGTTTTTAGATAATTCAGTTGTTTGTAATATATACACAAAGTTGTGCAACCATCACTGTTAATTCTAAAACCTTTTCGTTACCCTGCAAAGTAACGGTGTACCCACTAGCTGTCATTTTCCATTCCGTCGATCACCTCACCTCCAGGTCCTTGGGAACCACCGTCTACTTTCTGTCTCTATGCGTTATGACTATTCTGCGCATTTCATATAAATGCAGTCATATTACATTTGGCTTTTATGTTCATTTTCCATAGTGTTTCTATATAGCATGTATCAGTGCTTCATTCTTTTTAATGGGTAGATAATATTCCATTGTATGAATATATCACTTTTGTTTCTTCCATTCAACTGATGGATGTTTGGGTTGCTTCCACTTTGGGGCTATTGTGAATGCTGCTATAAATAGTCATGAACAAGTTTTTGTGTAGACATGTATTTTCAATTCTCTTGGGTGTATACCTAGTAGTAAAATTGCTGGGTCACATGTAAACTCTATGTTTAACTTTTTGGGGAACTGTGAAACTATTCTTAAAATGGCTGCACCATTTTACATTCCTACCACCAATGCATGAAAGTTCTAATTTCTTCACATCTGTGCCAATATTTGTTATCATCTGTCTATTTTGATCACAGTCAACCTAGTGGCATAAAGGGGCACCTCATTATGGTTTTAATTTGCATTCCCCTGGTGACTAACGATGTTGAGCATCCTTTCATGTATTTACTGGCTATTTGTGTATTTTCTTTGGGAAAATGTCTATTTAGATTCCTTTCTCATTTTAAAAGTGAGATACTTACCTTTTTATTGTTGAATTTTAAGGGTTCTTTATATGTTCTGGATACTAGTCCTTTATCAGATATATTATTTGTAAATTCTTAAATTGTCATTTCACTTTCTCGATAGTGTCCTTTGAATCACAAAACTATTCATTTCGGTGAAGTCCAATTTATTTGTCTTTTGTGGCGTGTGCTTGTCATATCTGAGAAATCATTGCCTAATCCAAAATCATGAATAATTTACATCAATGTTGTCTAAAAATGACTACAGAGAGACTCATGGCTTAAAACCAAAAGGATTCAGCAGAATGCTGACTAAAAAAACACCAAAGGAAAGCTTAAGAAGTAGTAGAACTTAGTAAGTTCAGACTTACTTTGGGAACTTAGTAAATGCAGATTCCTGGACTCCACTCCAGAACTACCGACTCATAATTTCCCAGGGCAGGGCCCAGAAACATGTGTTTGTTTGTTTGTTTTCTGAGACAGAGTCTCACTCTGTCTCCCAGGCTGGAGTGCAGTGGTGTGATCTCAGCTTACCGCACCCTCCGCCTCCCGAGTTCAAGCAATTCTCGGGCCTCAGCCTCCTGAGTAGCTAAGATTACAGGGGTGTACCACTACACTTAGCTAATTTTTTTGTATTTTTAGTAGAGACAGGCTTGTCACTGTGTTGGCCAGGCTTGTCTCGAACTCCTGACCTTGTGATCTGCCCATCTTGGCTTCCCAAAGTGCTGCGATTACAGGTGTGAGCCACTGCACCTGGCCGAAACAAGTGTTTTAATACTTTCTAGGCAACTGTTACACAGGGAAGAATCTAAGGGCCTGGATTCTGACTGAAAGTATAACAAGAACATTCTACTAAAGAATATTTATCTTTAAGAACATGTTTCCACAGTAATAGAAATAAATACTTACACCTTTTCACAGAAATACTGAAAAATACACGATGTTTCAGAATCTGTACTACCTGGGCAGATTATTCTGGTATTGAGCACAGGGAGGTTTTCTTTGCTGGCTGCCACAGCTGGACCAGGGACAGAATCAGTTTGGGAATGGCCATAACTTGCCCGGGCATCTGGAGACCGAGGTGCAGTTTTAACTGTTGGCAAAAAGTCCAGATTAAAAAGAGATAATGATAAAGCTATAAAAATAAGCACGTTCCTATAAATTTAAAACATAAAATAATGTTTAAATCAATCAGTAGAAATGAAAATATTATGCATAGCTATCGTTTACATTTTCTTGAGACTTACATGGAGGGAATAAGAAGTCTTGATTCCTCATCTCAAATCAATGAATATCAGTAGAAAATAGATGTCTACCATAATTAAAGGTCACTAATACTCAAAATTTGAATATGATCAATGCACACTTAAAGATAAATGAAGCTTTTGAAGTCCATTTTTGAAAATGAAACATATGTATTATAATGCACACTACCCATGTAATCCTTGTCTCATAAATATCAAGTGAATGATCAAATTTAATTAATGTAATTCCCAGAGCAAACACGTGAAACATGATTTAACATTGTCTTCAATAAATGGAAGAGGCCAGGTGTGGTGGCTCATGCCTGTAATCCCAGAGCTTTGGGAGGCTAAGGCAGGAGGATCACTTGAGGTCAGGAATTGAAGACCAGACTGGGCAACACAGCGAGACCCTGCCTCTATAAAAATGTTAGCCAGGCATGGTGGCATGCACCTGTAGTCCCTGCTACTTGGGAGGCTGAGGCTGGAGGATCACGTGAGCCCAGGAGTTTGAGGTTGCAGTGAGCTATGATCACATCACTGTACTCTAGCCTGGGTGACACAGTAAGACTCTGTCTCATACATAAACAAATAAATGGAAGAAAAATAGCATCCATCTTCAAGTGAAATGAACGTATTTTTCCTGTACTTCTCAATTATTTATTCAAAATGATGATTTGCCCAAACAGTTCTATCATATTCTTGTAAAAGCTCAATACATTTAAAAAATTATTCTAAAACATAATTATTCTCAAAGTACACAAGAAGAAGAAAGATTTAACTCTAAACTGAGGCAAGTTAATGCAGAGCAAATGGTACCTTTAACCAATTTAGGAGTTACTGGTAGGTATTTTTAAGAAACAGTAATTCTCAAACTCAATTTTAAAATACTCTAAAACTTAATTATCTTCACTCTCCCTAAAACTAATTACAAGCTAACTATATTAATTTTACACTCTATTGTCTCATTCAAAAACAGTCCCATTGCACTAAAGTAACAGAACAGCCACCCCTTTTTTAAATAGATAGGACTCCTGGGCTAATTTCTCATAAAAACAACTTTTTGATGTTCAACTCTGACAAAAAGCAGAGAGCGTACTAATGACTAAGACTGATGTTCCATTACAAGTAACTAAATTAATGTTTTCTGGTTCTTCTTAAATAAAGCATCTCATCAATCATATTAATATACGGTATTTCTCACATCTCAGACATATGAATTATTACATGATGATACAATAAATGTGCCTCAAAAAGTAGTATTTCATATACTTCTACTTCCACTATTGCTATTCATTTCCAACAAGTTAGATTACTAGCCAAAATAAAGACCAAATACTGTACCATTAAAGACTTTTCTAAATCTCTGTCTATTTCAATATCAACATTTACAGCACTATATTTGTATTTTTTAGTTTCCTTTATAGGCCACAACGGAAGTGTCAAGTTTAAGAGTATGGCAAGGTGGGATGATAGCCGGTTGGAAAACCATTAAATAAGCTTTGACAAACCAATCCTCCTAACAGCCATCATCTTAGGAGGAATTATCAGTGTATAGTAAGGATGCCATTGTCATCTCTGCTGTAATCAACACTTTCTAATAGATGAAAACATCAAAGGCCTGCTTATCAAATTCACAGATGAAATAAACTTAAGATGATAGAATCAAGCTTCCAAAGAGCTTCACAGGATGAAATAATAGATCTAAATAAAAAAGATAAAAGTTCATTGGGATGAGTGTAAACTACTATAATTAGGTTTTTAAAAGAGAAGTCTTGAGTAGTCTTTGTAACATCAAAAATGTCCTTAATGAGTAGTGTATGGGTACCAATGTGCTAATACACCACAGAAAATATCTGAAGAATTTTGTTTAAAATGGTGCATCACATTTTAAGATAAACATTGACCAAATGGGTGCAACAAGGAAAACAAAAGGTTTAAAATCATCAGTTTAAAAACTGGTAGAGAAACCTTAGGGCAGATCATCTGGAAAAGAAGATGTAAGGTGAGAGAAGATCTGATCCCACCAAAGCTGTTTTTGGTATCATTAAAGGGCTGCCACATGAAGAACAAGAAGAAGAAAGAAGAAAGAAGGAAGAAGAAGAAGAAAGAAGAAAGAAAAGAAGAAGAAGAAGAAGAGGAAGAGGAAAAAGAAGAAGAAGGAGGAGGAGGAGGAAGGGAGGAGGAGGAGGAGAAGGAAGAGGAGAAATAGCTCCAGAGTCAGAGTCCTCTTTGATACAGTCAAATGTATATGAAATTGCTCCTTAAACTAACCATAAACACTACATAAAGGCCAGTAGTTGTTACTGTCAAACTATCATTCATAAAACCTAATAATTACTGTAATCATGGGTAGAAATTTAGGGGAGAAAATAGAAAGCCCAATATAAAGAATGACTTTCTAACAATTAGAGCTGACCATAAGAGTGGGATGTATTGAAAGTGAGTGGTCCTAAGGCTTGTGGCCATCTGCTTCAAGGGTCCTAGAACATGCCTGCATTGGGTGGTATGCTGAACATGTGAGGTCCATGAGGTCTGATTTCAAAGTTTTTAAGAGTCTCAAGTACAATGAAATATTCTCTCACCGTTAATGTAATTAGTGACAGCAGCAGCAGCAGTAGTAGCAATAAAAATAACAACAATAAAGATGACAGTGAACACTCAGGCAGCACTATCTACCAGACACTATTCTAGGCACTTTACTTATAGTAACTTTTCAACCTTCGCAGCAACCCAATGAAGTAGGTAGATTATTATCCTCATATTAGAGATGAGAAAACCAAAAAGAGGTTAAGAAATTTGCCCAAGTTTATATGTAGTGAAAGTAAAAGCAAAAATTTAATGATTGCAAACATTTTTTAAAATTTTTTGAGAATAAGATAAAAACAGGTTTTTAAATTTAAAGTAACTTTATCAACTACCCTTTCTTTTACTTATTAAGTTTACGTTTTACTTATTTAGCTTCATATGAAAGCTGGAATAAATTTAGCAACAACATATTAATAAACCTACTATCTAATTTTTTTCATAGTTAACAAGAGATGTTTCAAACATGTAAAATTTAAAATGTACTCACTACTACTAGTCCTGTGGAAAAATCGGCCATAAACATGGGGAATGAAAGGTCTTCATCATGCCACAGCTCAAGCAGAAAATGTTAATCTGATATGGTCAGCTCTCCAAAAATTTGGTTTTTTTTCATTGTATGAAGACAATTTCTTTTTTTATAATTTCAACTTTTATTTTAGATTCAGGGGGACATGTGCAGGTTTATTATCTGAGTATATTGAGTGATGCGGAGGTTTGGGGTATGATTGATATCATCAACAAGGTACAGAGCATAGGACCCAATAGTTAGCTTTTCTACCATTCCTACCCTCCCACTTCTAGTAGTCCCCAATGTCTATTGTCTATTGCCCCCAATGACTGCAAACAATTCTGATATAATTGTGCTGACTTTTCATAAGTGCCATGTATTTATTTTCATATTGTCTCATCTTCATTAATAGTTTAATTTCTGCTTTGTTTTATTCCAGTACGTTAGAAACTTTTCCCTTAGGCAATATACAATATTAAAAGTATAAATTCATTTTCAATTAAAATCTAAAAGGTAGAAAGATATTTAACATTCTTCAAGCAATTACATATTCATTTCCTTACCAAAATAGTTTTGACAAAGCAAGGGCTGTAATTAGAAGTCCAGTGATTTTAACGCTTGCTTTAAAGTCCTATGATTTTGAAGCTTAATAAGGACTATCAACCCAGAAGGTTGATCGATGGAACTTAAGGGACTGCTGAATCACTTAAATGCCAAATTTTCTGCATTTGGAGCGTTAGGAGAGCTGCAGCTTTCTTACAATTCTCAAAGAAATCTGTGAGCTATAATAGGTTCAAATCAGATGATTTAGGTGTTTCCTCTTTCCTCAGGAAAACCAACATATTTAATCATCCTTAGTCCTATAATCCTTAGTTTATTGTTATAATCTCTAGATTACATGATAAGAGAGGGATGTGAGAGTACTGGACAATAGTCTAGGTGTTATCTTTATTGTTTTATTATTCATGAATATTTATCTAAGCTTTAACTTCCAAAAAGCCTTTTCAAAAATAAAAATACAAATAGTTTTTTTCAAACTGATCAGCCTTTTGAAAACTAAAAGCAAAATGACATTTTATTTAATTCCAAAATAATTTTTTCCCAGTTTCCTCACCAGTTATTGATTCTTTGGCACCATCATCTTTAGCTTCCTCCTTAGATTCATCTGTTTCTGTGCTGTCATAATCAGAGGACTGATTAGCTGGTTCACAGGGGTGAACTGTCGGGTCATCCATAACTTCAGGTAGTAAGAAGACAAATAGTTTGGATAAGTGAAAATAAAGCCCATTAATATTAAGATATGCTCAGGAAAGGCAAATTGAAACATATGCCAAACAAAATTCCAGATTCACAAATAAACACTATTTAGCAATGAACTTGGGGTTGATGTCCGAAGAACTAAAGATCAAAAACTAAAGTTGCTAAAATTATATTTTTATCAGAATAAACAAGTAAAGTATAAGAATTTTAGAGAATGAAATACAATTACAAGTTACAATCTATAAAGGGGTTTTTGAACATTAATTATTCATACTAAAATTAACATTTAGACTATAGCTAAAATTCTGAGAAGTATTAATATACACATTAATTAAAACAAGGCAGAGCTTTTATAAGCTCTTAATAAAGCAACATAAACATTTGGGAAATTAATGTTAAGAAAATATTTTCTGGCAGGGTGCAGTGGTTCACGCCTGTAATCCCAGCACTTCGGGAGGCTGAGGTGGACGAATCACTTGAGCCCAGGAGTTTGAGATCAGCCTGGGCAACATGGTGAAATCCCATCTCCACCAAAACTACAAAAAATTAGCTGGGTATGGCGGTGCACATCTGTGGTCCCAACTACTCGGGAGGCTGAGGGAGGAGGATAGCTCGAGCCTGGGAGGTGGACGTTGCAGTGAGCTGAGATCACGCCACTGTACTCCAGCTTGGGCAACAGAGTGAGACCCTTTCTCAAAAAATTTTTTTTTCTATATTTTCAAAGTAGTTTATAGGTTTTATTTTCTTTAAGAATTCAACAGATTCCAATTAAGTAAACTATATCTAAAATTTTTTAAATGTCATTTAAACTAGTTTTGTATTTTAGATAGAAATGTTTCCATTTATTTCTGCTATTTTATTTTATTCCTCACTAATATGCTGATTCTTACTACTACCATAACAATATATAAGACTATGTACAAGTTTTCTTATAATGACTGTATCTTCTATCTTGCCTTAAAAATTTTATTTTTAAAAAGTGTGTCCAATCTGACCACTATGGAAACTCCGTTATGCTTGCAGTAGAAATGCTGCCAACTTCTTCCAAAGCTAAATTTGTTAATGTGTACCTTTTCCGGCTTCCTCAATGACTTGCCTCACTGCTTTCTTTAAACTATTTGCCCGCAACATGATTTCCCTTGGTTTGACGGCTTTCTGGGAGGAAGGTTTTGTAACGTCATCCCCAAGCTGCTCTTTGCTTTCACCCAGGGACTCTTCACTGGACGATTCCACAGCATCTTCTTCCACAATGAGAGGGCTGAGGCCAGGGAGAACAGGCGCAGCCTGGGAATCTGTGTGCAAAGCCTGCAGCAGTTGTTCGAGCTTCTCGTTTAGGACTGAACACTGAGAGGAAAATATGGCAATGAGAAAAATACTCAAAAAGAATCAAGATCAGCAGACAAAGTACAAGAAATTTTTATAGAGATGTTTTGAAAGTTTAATCACTAGAGAGAAAAACACCAAAATTCTCACCTTTAATTTTGTAGATGTTTTGGTTCTGGAAGCAGCTAATTTTAAAATCTCCATTTAGTAGAGATAGACAACTATAATTTAAATTATGGCTTTTGATTTAGAGGGACAATGGCTTTATTGATGTTTACTACATGAAATAATTTATAATTTTTTAAGTTGGCACAATTATTATATAATTTCAGAGCCACTCAGACTCCATTTCATGGGGAAAAACATCTTTATAATATTTATACAGCTATTTTTCTCAAAATAACACAACAGACATTTTATACAAAGGGATGCTTTATATAAAAAATTACACAAAATTTGCTATACATTACACAAAACATTGGATCAACTTTTTAAAAAAAGTAATTGACTTAATGCACCATTTTGAGCGTCATAAATGGCACATCTGGCTGAGTTGTGGCAAACTCCCCTTCAAAGCTTTGGTTTGCAAAGGAGTGAACAATGCCTAAGGGATTATTGGCTCAAAGAAAGTGCAGGAAGGAAAATGCACAAGGATAAGGAGGGAAAAGAAGAGGGATACAGAAAGAAAAGCATGCACTAGGCAAGCCCTTGTTTCTTTCTGCTTTTCTTGTATTACGAGAGGTGAAGAAACATTTAGGACTGAAGCTGTTGATGCTACCCCCCAATATACTTTTCATCTCCATAAAATTTCCAGTCCCTTTCCTCCTCATCTATTTGTCTTTGATGATATGCTGAGACAAGGTTAGAGCAGAAATACTTTAGAGACAGAAGTATGGCCAGAAAGGGTTTCTATTTTCTGAAACTCTCCACAGAGCAGAAAGACAAGAGAAAAAGGCAGAAAACTTCAAATGTATATTTATTTCTATTTTCTTTTTCTTCCACTCAATTAAACTGCCATCTCCAACATGGATTTGGGGAAGTTAATTCCTTTGCAAGCCCAAGATACTCAAGCCTTTTGTAAGAAGGTCCTGTTGTGAACCAATGAAAGCAAAGATGGTAGTTTTTAAGATTCAGTAAACTGTTCTTATTTTAGTTTATAAAGGGGGAAAGAAATCTGTAAAGAAAAAAGCAATGCAAGAAGCAGCACTCTGAAAGAGACCAAGAATTGTAATGTCTAGGAAATCCAAAGAACCATGCTGGAAGACAGCTGAACTGGCCCAAATCTGCTTGGAAATGGAAAACCTTGCTTTCTCCACTGGAGCCCAGCTGCATGGGATCCCCTGTGGTCTGACTGCTATGCATCTCCCCTTCAGTCAATCATGGCCAGGTGTGGTGGCTCACACTTGTAATCCCAGCATTTTGGGAGGCTGAGGTGGACGGATCACCTGAGGTCAGGAGTTCAAGACCAGCCTGGCCAACATGGTGAAACCCCGTCTCTACTAGAAATACAAAAATTATTTGAGTGTGGTGGCAAGCACCTGTAATCCAGCTACTTGGGGGGCTGAGACAGGAGAATCGCTTGAACCTGGGAGGTGAAGGTTGCAGTGAGTAGAGAGAGCATCACTGCACTCTAGCCTGGGTGACAGAGCAAGACTCTGTCTCCAAAAAAAATCAATCACTGGGACAGGGATTTGAGTTAGGTTTTCAGCAATGCAGTTTTCCTACATATTAAAGGGTAACAATAAAATAGAATATTTTTTAAAATTCTCAGATCTGATCCAAAGTAATTTTTCTCTCGATTTAAGATGTTTTGGCAGGAAAACCACCTAATCAATTTAGCTTTGAAACACAGTTGAATGTGAGCATTGTCCATAAACAACTCTCATGCCCTGAAGAGTCCCCTCTTACTTTACTGGCCACGGCATCAGCTACAACGGCATTTTCCAAGGTTTTGTCATACGTCTTTTCTACTTTGGCAACGAAGTCCTTTACAGTTTCACATAGCGTCCTTTGAGGAAAAGAAGTTGTACAATTTAGTAAGCTTCATGAATTAATTTGCCTTGATTTATGAATATATTTAAAAAGAAACACAATTAAGCAAACTGTCAAATATCTGGGTCATCTGTATATAAATCTATGCTTCTATCTGCTGTGCAGTTTGTCTCACATAAGTCCAAGACATTCTAAGTGATAAATGCATACATGAATAAGCCTTGCTGTATATTACTTAAATTATAGTAATTAATGTTATAAGAAGCTTTCCTCAAACATTTAAATTATTTTTAGATCCCATTTAAAAATGATAAAGCATCATCTTGCTTTCTCCACTGAAATTCTAAACTTACATATTTTCATAACAGAAATTACATTGCTGAACAAAAATAAGATTGTCACTTGTCACTGTCAAGCCACGACTCATCATATGGATATTTTGATTGTTACAGTTACAATATATTATTACTGAAGAGAAAGAGGTTGTGCGTTATGCTGAAAACAAATCTGCCACTTGAGTTATATTCTCTGTAAATCTATTCATTTTTTCCTTGAGATAATCAATGCAATAACTACAAGACTAATTTAATTTAGGTCTTGTTAGTGTCAGCAGTATATGGTTTACTTGTTTGTTTATTTTAATTACATTTGGCTTCTTTGCGATAGAAATAAGCTAAAAGACAAAATAACTTGAAACACTAACAAAATCTGCCTTTTGAAAGGCTTTGGATCTGGATCTGGATCTGGTGCTGGATTAAAAACAACAATCAACAGAATGGTATATGACCAGCTTTTTTAAAGCCAAGGCTTATGCTGATAGAATCAGGCTATTTTTTAAATCATAGTATTGCTTTCTATCATTGATATAAATTGAGAAATTTAAATTTAAAAAAGGTTCCAGCAGTTATTTTTTCTATTACACTCACAACTTTCTCTGGTAGTTGAGTGGCAAAATGGTAAATTTCCATATACTTCAGTATTATGAACTTGAGCAATTCAATAGACACAGGACATACACACACACACACACACACACACACACACACACACACACCACCACCACCACCACTCCTCCCCCAACAGACACACACACTACCAACCTTCAGATTTATCACCTTGGAAATTGTATTCCTCCTAACAATTTTTGTTTTATTATTTTTTAGCAAACATTTCTAGATTTTATTTGAACAAAAGGTAATATTTTCTAATCCTGAACCTTCTTTGTTGGCTTTTTAAACTCAAATTTCTACAGAGAATCTAGCTTATCATTTACTAGACATGCATTCATGTACTTCATGTCAAGTTTTGTCTTCTTTGATCATGAACAATACTTCATGGGATTTCTCGAAATATATATAACACTATCACAAAATCTCTTCTAGGCATTTTACTGAAAGTTTCTGTAAAATGCGCTACTTTAAGGGAGAGGAGCATTGATGCATCTTCCTGTAACTCTGAAATAGAGGTTTTTCTTGCCATTATTATAACATCATCTTGTCATAATTTTCTCTTGGTTTGTGAAACTGCATATGTCATATCATTATCATAGCTGCTTTTGTTGGTATCTTATTCACTCCTAGAGACAGAGCCCTTCAGTCCATCAGCCTAGGAATGAAAAGGGCAGCAGGGGTGCCCCTCCTCAGTGTGCCATGTCACTGAGGCAAACAGAGGCTGACAGAGACACTATGATCCTGTGGCAGTGGTGGCCAAAGGAGCTGAGGAAGGGGCATGTGAAGGTTAGGAGAGTGCTCGCCACACAAGTGTGGAAAGAATCAGAAGACATGCTCTATCTTATTGCTCATTAAGTTCCATATGCTAAAAGGAATATAGGATATTTATATTCTGGGGGAATGAAGTAACCTTTTATTATACCTAAATAGTGAATGTAGAGTTATTAAAACAGAAATAAAATATATACTTAAAAACAGTATGATTGCAAAGTCCTACCAACCAGAAACGTGCAAATTGGAGAAAAAACAATCTTAAGATGTATTTACTATAGGAAGACAAAAGATATTCTCCAACTATACACACAGTTTTCTACTTTATACATAAGACTTCCAGAAAATATGTGCAAAAGTCAAATAAATGAAAGTAGAATGCAGATTTTCCCATAGAGATTAAAAAATTCTAAATTCCTAATTATATCTTTAATCAATGTTAGAACTTTTTTTTTAAAAAAAAAAAAACATTTTTAGAGATGGGGGTCTTGCTCAGTTGCCTAGGCTGGAGTGCAATGGTGTGATCATAGGTAACTGCATCCCTGAACTCCTGGGCTCAAGTGATCCTCCCAGCTTAGCCTCCTGAGTAGCTAGGACCACAGGTCCATGTCACCATGCTGAGCTAATTTAAAAAAATTTTTTTTGGTAGAGATGTAGTCTCTCTGTGTCGCCCCAGCTGGTCTCTAACTCATGGCCTCAAGCGATCCTCCTGACTTGCACTCCCAAAGCAATGAGATTACAGGGGTGAGCCACTGCATAAGGCCTAGACAGAACTTTTGGCATTTCCAACATTTTATTTCCTTAATTTTGTTCTCTTCCTTCAAAATTGAACATAGTCAACTGTGTGAACCAAATACTCAGTTGAGGCTAACAACAGTCCACATTTCACATACCTGATGATTTCCACTATCATCTCTACTATATTACATATGTTAGACCCATACTTCTCATCACTAGTATTAGTACCCTCATTTATCACCTTTCCACTTAATTTCTTAAAGTGTGGGCAAATGACAGTAAAATATGCACATACTACACTAAGATAAATATGGCAATGGTACCCAGACAGAATCATAGATTGGCAGGCAGGGTCATCATATCTGAAAAATTCATTTTTCATCTAATAAAAAGTTCCAATTTGAAACTGAAGATGATTTAGAAGTATCAATGCATAATACATAAAAATCTCTAGCTATCTTTGTCTCTAGCTGTCTTTGTGCTCTGAGGAAATATTTTTAACAACTACCTCACTTTACCAATTAAATGAGGCGGGTTGGCCTAAATTATCCCTAAAGTAGATTCCAAATCTAAATTCTATGGTTCTATGACAATGGCGTCAATATTCCTGCTAGCTAGTTATCCCATTTTCTGAAACTTTTGTACACAGAACAAAATGCATTTATTTCAAAACTTGGGGGGTGAGTAGAGTGCGTAAGTAAAAAACCTAATTAACTCCTACTGTTAAAGCTAAAAAAGTTTTTAAACTACTGACTAAATAAAAGGAGAGACATACATTGTAGCTAAAGACAACTTATTTAATAACTGTTTTACATTTTTACTAATAAATGGTATCTATGATTGCTAGTTAGAGCTGTGATTCTCAGAAGATAACTCTTATTACCATACCAAATTGATGAAGTTCTAAGGTCAAAGAAATGTTGTTTTAGGTTAACCTACATGTTAGCTATGTTAGTGGAATACAACTTTTCCATTAGCATTTCAACATTTTAAAAATAGCTGAAAACAGTTAAGGCTACTGGGAATTATTATTGCATGAAATAAATACAAACAGGCACAAGAGGGTTTAAACATTTTGCCTTAATATTGTATCACTGAATAAATAAATAACATTCACAAAAAAAGGGAATTCTTTATCTAGGTAGTAATTACAAGTGTGTATGTGTGTCTGTGTGTGACTGTGCGTACATGCAGTATTTTTTTAATCATTGAGTTGTGCTCTTGTGATTTAGGTGCTTTACTGTATATGTCATGCCTCAGTAAGAATTGTTTTTTAAAGGGAAACCATTATAGAATTTTTAAGTGTTTTTTTTTTTTAAGACGGGATCTCACTCTGTCATCCAGATTGGAGTGCAATGGCGTGATCACAGCTCACTGCAGCCTCGAACTCTCATGCTCAAAGGATCCTCTCAACTCAGCCTCCTGAGTAGCTAGGACTACAGGCACATACCACCACACCCAGCTAATTTTAAAACTTTTTGTAGAGATGGGATTCCACTATGTTGCCCAGGCTGGTCTTGAACTCCTGGGCTCAAGTAATCCTCCCACCTTGGCCTCCCAAAGTGTTGAGATTATAGGCATGGACCACCATGCCTGGTCAAGATTTTTAAAGTCTTAAAGAGATATCACTCAAATGTAGTGTGTGAGCATTGTCTGAATTTTGAACAAATAAAGTGTGTGTGGTTTTTTTTTTTTTTAAAGACCTTGTCAAAATTCAGACAAGGTTCACAGAAAAACCTCTGAGAAAACTAAGGGAAATGGGATATGGCTTAAGTAATATTGATAGTGTTAGAGAATTATTATTAATTTTTAGATTTTTAAAAAGATTATATGTGCGCACATGCACACGTGCACACAAGCACACACACACACATACAGTTAGCCCTCCATATTCATGGGTTCCACATCCATGGAGTCAACCAACCATGGTCTGAAAACATTTGAAAAAGAAAACAGATTGTTTTGTCTACACTGAATATGTGCAGACTTTTTTTTGTCATCATTCCCTGAACAATACAGTATAACAACTATTTACATAGCAAATACATTTGTTATTATAAATAATCTAGAGATGATTAAAGTATGTGGAAGGATGTGTGTAGGTTATATGCAAATACTATGGCATTTTCTATGAGGGACTTGAGTACCTATGAATATTGGTATCCAAGGGGGTCCTGGAGCCAATCCCCCATGGATAGAGAGGGAGGACTATATACCAAAAGTGTAGTAGAATAATTTTCAGGATGTTCTTAGAGATACTGTAGCAAAATAAAGTAGGAAGCAGATGGCAAAATGTTGGTAAATACTGAAACTGAATGATGGGTACAGTGGGAAGTAATTATATCAGTTTTGTTTGAAAATGTCCATAAAAATAAAATTTAGAGATGCTGAGCCACTGCCCATTTGTGATGGCACATGGAAGTCAAAGCTGCACCTCCAGCATGGCCCCTCTGGCCAGCCAGCCACCTCCAATGAGACCTGCACCCCGGCCAGCACCAGCAGCTCAGCTGCCAGCACCAGCAGCTCAGCTGCCAGCACCAGCAGCTCAGCTGCCAGCACCAGCAGCTCAGCTGCCAGCACCAGCAGCTCAGCTGCCAGCACCAGCAGCTCAGCTGCCAGCACCAGCAGCTCAGCTGCCAGCACCAGCAGCTCAGCTGCCAGCACCAGCAGCTCAGCTGCCAGCACCAGCAGCTCAGCTGCCAGCACCAGCAGCTCAGCTGCCAGCACCAGCAGCTCAGCTGCCAGCACCAGCAGCTCAGCTGCCAGCACCAGCAGCTCAGCTGCCAGCAGTGGCCCCACCCACTGCAGTTGAGTCTCCTGCTGCTGCATCCTGGCAGCCAGGTCTGATGGTCCAGATGGCAACCACTGCAGCTGGCGTGGCTGTGGGCCCTGCTGTGGGGCATATACTGGGTCAACTATCATGGGAATGGGGTGGCTTAAACAGAGGAAGTAATGCTGGGCTCACAAGGCCTGACATCACTTACCAGGAGCCTCTGGGAGACTAGCTGCACAGCAGCAGCAGCCTTGCTTGTATAAGACAGAACAGTTTCTGGAGTGTTCCCAGAACTAGGGTGATGTCAAGCTCAGTGAGGGTTCCAAGGAGGTGCTGAAACAGTGCAGACGTGCACATGGACTGGCCTAATCAAGTTCAGCTGAAGACATGGAAAATCAGCTTTCATGACCAAGTAAATTTAGCATAAAAATGTAACAGATAGTGAAGGTATAAAGTGAGAAACCAGCAGTTAAGCCTCTCCTCTGTCATTCATAGCTTCCTTGCTTCAGAATTGCAGTGGAAGAGGATATTCTTTTTTTTTTTTTTTTTTTTTTTTGAGACAGAGTCTCGCTCTGTGGCCCAGGCGGGAGTGCAGTGGCGCAATCTCCGCTCACTGCAAGCTCCGCCTCCCGGGTTCACGCCATTCTCCTGCCTCAGCCTCCCGAGTAGCTAGGACTACAGGCGCCCACCATCACGCCCGGCTAATTTTTTTGTATTTTTAGTAGAGACGGGGTTTCACCGTGTTAGCCAGGATGGTCTCGATCTCCTGACCTCGTGATCCGCCCGCCTCGGCCTTCCAAAGTGCTGGGATTACAAGCGTGAGCCACCGCGCCCGGCCGAAGAGGATATTCTTACTGTGCAGAATTTCATTAAGATGGTATAGAATTTGGGACTGGGTAAATGTGTGGCCTCCTTAAACCAGCTGTTGTGATTTTATTGTTTGTGAGATAACTGGAATAAAGTGATTTTCTTCCAAAAATAATAAGAAGAAGAAATAAAATTTAACATATATTGTATTACTAGTACCAAATAATTATATATTGTCTCCTCTTTTTTCTCTTCAGCCTCTTTATGGCAAATTCCCTAGAATTGTATCTGGGGTTGTAAAGGCCTGGAAGCATAGATGAGTGAGTGACAGGAGGGATGCTGCATCAGAATGGAATCTGCTTAAGGGCAGGCAAGCTGGTTAGGGAGAAACCCAAAGCTAGGGCTGGGAGCAGAGCCTTAGACAAAGAGTCAGGCCAAGGTCAAAGAAAACATCTGAAATGTAATCGGGTAAAACGTGAGGTGATGCTACCATAATTTAATACAGCCCTCTGTCATTTATAAGCTCTATACTTATTATATTACTCAGCTTAATTATCCTAGCAGTTCCATGAGGGAGAAATAACAGGCCTTCTTTCCATATCCCCCACAAATAGGAAACAGGATTGAACACTAGAAAAAACGCTGAATGGAAGCACAATGACTGGCCCAGGAGAGGTGGGCTACACACTCTCTTTGTTTGGTGGGCAGTGCCACTGGGGTTTTCAATGAATTGTATTGCTTGATGGTGAAATGGACAAATCTCCAGTTTGTCCCAGGCTTTAGCACTCCCTATTGTCTTTCTCATCCCAGGCCCAGTTCATACACCTAAGTGATGGGCTGGCCCTTGCCCTGTGAATCAAATGTATTTTGATATGACATTTCAGAGGACATTGCTAGAAAAGGTGGAAAGCTGTAATGGAAGCTTTTTTAAGGTATAGCAAGTCATAAGAGAATTATTTTTTGTTTAATATAGTTAAGTAAATATTTTAACTGGCCACTTTTTATAGTTTGGATGTCAGCAAAACCTTTATATTTACTTTCATGTGTTTGATCACTACCTTTCATATATTTCACATATTTTTAATGAAGTGGAATTCTTGTTAAGAAATTTCTACAGATGCAAACAGGATAATTAGAGTAGCCACCCCTTTTTCTCCCTATCATTCTTAATCTTAACACCTTTGTAGTACAACATTTTTGGCAGTGGAAACCTTTTCTCTAATAAAATCTTTTTTTTTTTTTTTTGAGACAAGATCTCACTCTGTCACCCAGGCTGGAGTGCAGTGGTGCCATCTTAGCTCTAGTACAACCTCCACCTCCCAGGCTCAAGTGATCCTCCCACCTCAGCCTCCTGAGAAGCTGGGACTACAGGCAAGCACCACCACACCTGGCTAATTTTAGTATGTATACTTTGAGTAGAGATGAGGTTTTGTCATATTGCCCAGGCTGGTCTTGAACTCCTGGGCTTCAAGTAATCTGCCCACCTTGGCCTCCCAAAGTGTTGGAATTACAGGCATGAGCCACGGTACCTGGTTCAAATACAATCTTACACAGAATTCCAATATTAAAATACTAAAACTCTGTTTTGTTGACATTAATAAATTAGATAGAATTAAATTTTCTCCTTTACAAGAAAAATTAAGCAATAAAGTTACAGATGACAGTTACAGTCTTCTATTCGATGCAGTTTCCAATTATTTCTGTATTTTATTTTAGTTGCATGATTGTAAGGAAAATTGTTTTCAATTAAGTAAAAATGGCAGAAGATGCTTTAGTCCAATATTTGCACAAAACAGAAACCTGCAGCACTGCCCGCCAAATACAGTCTGCAGCCCACCTCTCCTGGGCCAACTAGTGTGCTTCCCTTGCTGTAAGCCATTCAATTCTTTTCCTGTTGTGCAGTCCTGCTTCCTATTTCTGGGGAATATGTTGTCAAAAGCAATTGTTACTACATTTGTACTTTTTTCACAAGCAAATTTGTTTATAATGATTGATCTTGTCTTTCCTCAACTTTACTGTGAATTAAGTACATAATATACCAAAATTTGTATATTTTTTCTTTACCACTTTCCCACTCCTTTTCTTTCTTTCTTCCCCTTTTCTGCTCTCTTCCTGCATAACAGTAACCCGTGCTTGCTAAGCCAGAATTTGAATGCATTCTTTTGCTTATCAGTTGAAAATTTCAGTTGGTGTCACCCCTTCTTCTAGTCGACTTTCCAGTCTCTTGACATCAGCATAGGATGTTTCAAAACTAAATTCTAAATTCCAGCCAGGCAACATTTGGGATAATAACATCAAGTAGCTTTGGCTCCATGTACAAAATCAACTTCACTAAAATATGATAACTTTGAATTAAAATGTAATTATTCAATTTAAACATGCTGAGAAACATCATTTTGAAAAATCTCATCATTTTCCTTTTTCTAATGTGATGTAAACAGTTCCTAAATAGTAGTGTTTATGGAAATAATGAATTATAATGAAATGTGTTTTCCATATTATAAGTAATCATAAACATTTCCTTAAATAGACATTTAGGTTAATTAAACTCTAAACGCTTCTTACACCTTTTTGATAAAAATGTTTCAAATTAAACATTAAAAAAATACCCTCTAAGTATACACCACTGCAAATAAGATGCTAACATGATTTTTAAAAATCAATTCAAATTTAGTACATCTAATTTTATAAGCTACTTCCAAGATATTTTTTGAGAAGAAAACTCACAAAGAAATGACCTAAATGGTAGGAGCCAGCTATCATTTCATTTTCACCATATTTAAAGACTTAAAACCCACAACTCACTTGGCAGAAGATATGACCACTGCATGTTCATCAGAATTGAGGATTTTTGTAAGATGCGTTGCAACTGAGTCTTCATAAATCGTCATCTGAAGAAAAGAAAACTCTACACTGTATTATTGTTGCTGGCATTTATACAACTCACTTATTGCTGCTCCAGAAATGGAACCCTTCATGACATATGTTTAGGCAAGGCAATCACTATAATGAAATATATGAAAGAGTCATCATGCAAAATAGATATTTCCTTTTGGCAAAAGGCTTTCGGTTTCTGGAATTCTTTAATTTATATTCTTATAGAAATCCATAAAAACTCCTTTACAAAATTTTTTAATGTAAAAATATCTCAATATAAAAATAATTCCTACAAAGTAGTACAATAAAAGCCAAAAAATCTAATAAAAATTGGGCAAAAGACTAGACATTTAAATATAAAAATATCCAAATGGCCCATAAACCGATGAAAACATATCCAATCTCAGCCATCAGGCAAATGGAAACTAAAACCACAATGCAGTACCACCATGCAGCTCCAAAATGGCTAAAATGAAAACAACTAGAAAATGGCAAGTGCTAGCAAGGCTATGGAGCTACAGAATTCTCAAACGCTGCTGATGGGAATGCAAACTGATACACTCTCACAAACGATTTGATAGTGTCTCTTAAAGCTGAACATATGCAATGATATCACAGGACTCAGAAATTCAACTTCTATATCTACACCCAAAAGAAATGCAAAATTGTGTTCACCAAAAGACATGCACTAGGATGTTCACAGCAGCATTCATCTAATAGTAGAATAGATGACAAATTGCAGTGTATTTGTGCAATGGAAGACCATAGGAGAATGAGAATGAATGATTTATAGCCAAGCCACAGTATAGATCAATCTGATAAACATAACATTGAGTGAAAGAATCCAGAAACAAATGAGAGCATACAAAATGATTCTATTTTATAAGTACAAAACAGATACCAATCTATGCTATTAGAAGTCAGCACAGTGATTATTGGGGTAGGAGGTGGGGGTCTTGACTGAAAGAGGGCATGAGGGGGCTTATGGGATACTTGAACACTGACGGGTGGCCTGGCATAGATTTGTTTAGTTTGTGAAAATTTACCAAGCTATACATTTATGACCTGTGCACTCTTCTGTATGTATAATTCAATAAAAAAGTTTTTAAAAATGCTGAATACACTTTCATATAATCATGTAAATAAATATTTCTGTTAAACAATAGTCAAAATGCCAAAAGCATCCATAATCCCTTTTCTATTTGACTCAAACTTTAACATCCCGTTGAAAGACCACATACATTTTCCTAATATGTAAAAATGTGCACAATATTTAAACAGCCTCATATTCAGAGCCTTACATCAAATGTATGCCTCAAATAATATTCCATTTCACACAGCGCAAAATTTTCTAGTATAAATGATCTGCTCTAGGCAAGCTGGCCGCCTATGCTCTTCTGCCTGACTCAGGTATCTTTTCATTACTTCTACCAATCAGCCTCAGTTTATTCAGACTTATTTGAAGATTCAATTAAGTCTGAATAAGCCTTCCCCACAAAGCTTTCCTGACTAGACTCTTCCCAAAAGAACCACATTCCTAATTTACCTTCATTCCACAAGTGGTTATGTTACTCTTTCAAAAGTATGTTACTCTTTTAAATTTCTACATTCTCCTTCAAAGGCAGACCACTACAGGAAAGCAATTTTACATCAAAGAAAGGAAGTGAGGCCAGGAGCTCCCAAGTTACACAAGATGTTGCATTTACCCACAAATCCACCTTACTGATCTCTTAAACACTAAAAATTACATCTTTACAGCTAGGATGAGAAAAATGAAAATATATAATCTAAAAATAAACTTTAAAATTTGAAAAAAGAAAATGTTCTCCAGAGATTGGTTTTATTTTTCTTCCCTGCAGGGTAGAAAATATTTTACATGATCATTAATGCTATTAATAAATTCATTAATGCCAGTTGACTAATGTATTAATTAATAACATTTGATTAATGCCATTTGAAACTTACATTCAAAAAATCCAAGTTTTTGTCCATTAAAAATATTTGAAGATCAAAAAATACAATTTCTCTCAGAGGAAAATAAAATAGCCTCTATGTTCAAAGATAAAATTATAGATGTAACTTATTAACCTACTATGCAGTCACTTAGCACGGTCAGAAAGGTAAGTAATAATAAGAGTTAATATTTTGCATTGTGTACCAGGCGCTGTAATTAAGCACTCTGTATATATTTACCCCTCTGTCCTGTTTTATAGCCAAAGAACCTGAGGCTTACTGAGTAATTTGCCTAAGACCCACAGCTAATGAAGTATACAAAAGCTAAGAAGAAAGATTTAGTCTACTTTTATCGCAGTTTTCAAGGTAAAAAGGCCACACACAGTAAAATGCATTCCTGGTGCCAGCCTAGTTCAGGGCCTAGTCAGGGCCATTCAGAACACTCATTTAATCTGTTATCTTAAAGTATGCTATCCCTTTGTTACAAAAGTAAGTTTATTTTTAAAAAGCAAAGTTTCATTTAAAACTCTTTTGTACAAAAAAAGAGAGATTTCCTTCATATCTTTAGAATTGTACCTCATATTTAGTGATTATACACGTGATAAAAGTAAATATTTACTGTTATTTTATATGCTAGAAAACAGACATTTCTGAAGTAAATGGAAGAAAAAAATTCTCCTTTTTGTCTTTTTTGGAAAGAAATTAATAACATTTACAAAAATACTGTTAAGATAAAGGACTGATTTCCATAAAAATGTGTTATGTTTATGGAATCACATAACTAAAAATGCTGCTGAAAATAAAATGGTAAATATATTAATCTTTAATAGTGATTATCTCTGGGTGGTAGGACTACAGGTGATTTTATTTTCTTTTTCATATAATTTTGTATTTCCCAAATTTTTTTAGAAGCAGTTTTGGCTATCAGCAGTTTTTATGTCAGAAAAAGTTTTTAAAATACAATTAGCTTCTCTAAGAAACGGCCCCATGTTTTTAGTTATCATTCCTTGCCTTGGTTTTGACAAGATCATAATTTTCTTAATGACAAAACAAAGATTTCAACTGTAAAATAAACAGATGAATTTTCCTGGAGGGAAAAATAAGCTAGCATAGATCAAATGGTCTTAATGAGTCAGAGACTAATCCTTTGAAAGTCAGGTTCTGTTTTAAATCTACACCGCTTTGAGGTTTAATCAGAATGCTGAATCTTTAAAAACGTTAGTCATTTATGGTCTGTAGTAGAGATGGAATTAAGTGGTCTTTCTTTAACTATATCAACAGGCTTAACCCAGAGACCTGTCTTGCTGTCCCTTCAGAAGAGTAGGGGCCGGCCACAGTGTCTCATGCCTGTAATCCCAGCACTTTGGGAGGCTAAGGCAGGAGGATCTCTTGAGACCAGGAGGTCAAGGCTGCAGTGAGCTGTGTTTGCATCATCGCATTCCAGCCAGCCTGGGCCACAGAGCAAGACCCTGTCTCAAAAAGAAAAGAACAAGAAAAGAGTACGCAAAGCAAGCAGTAAGACAGAAATTGCATAATATTCTGGCCACGAGTATTGGTATGTTTGGATACTGTTTAAAGAAGCTAACATCTTATAATCAAACAATCTAATGGCCAAAGTAGAAGATGAATAAACACTAACAGGAAACACCAGCTGACCTTCCTAGAGCTCTGCTGATAAAACGGAAACAGGCAGATAGAACATGCAGGGAGGAATTATCTGGGCAGGAGAAGAGATAGTGCTTTACACATCTGTTACATCATTTAACTCCCATGACTTTGTAGCCTCACTTTACACATGAAGAGTCCCAGGAAGAGGAGTGACTGGGCACTCCCGGTGTGGGTGGTCATGGAAGGACTCTAGCCTAGATTCAGGATTCTTCTCTCTGGGGGAGAGGACTAGAGGTAGTCAGTCAATGAGACCATACCCCAAAAATAAAATTAAGTTAACATGCTACCACAATATATTAGGAGTACATTTTCTCTCTCTTTCTTTTTTTTTTCTCAAGATATCCACCCCCATTTCAAATGATAGGTAAAGGGTTAAGTCTTACATAAAATTCTTCAGATGCTTCTGGAGGTCCTGGAAGTAGGGAAGCTTTTGGTGGCAATTTGAGTTCATATGTCATTATACTCCACCTGAAGGGAGAAAAACTCTTTGGTCAAAGATTTCCTTAAAATTGGATAAACTAACTGTTAGCATCTCATAAACGCGCACACACACACACACACACGCACGCACACACACACACACACATTCATGAACTATGGTTTATTTTATCTTAAAACAACCAAAAATGGGAAAAGAGATCACATTTCAGTAATCTCATAAAATGTTGAATTTATAATTTATGATTTCTACATCTTACCATTTCTCCAATTAGTGGCTTCCAAATGTTTTAAGACCCATAGCCCACAATAAGAAATCCACACGTTACAACGCCCCCATTTCTTCTCAGGTGCAATGCATTCTGACTTTTCCATTCTTTTCTGTTCTATTTAAAAAATAATGCTCATTGCAGTTTACTAACTAGGTTATAAATTACTAATGAGTCATAACCCAAAGTTTTAAAACAATGTCTTAAATTAAATAAATACATACTACCTATAAACTGTTACTCAATCACACTTGCCAAATCAGCTTATACATACATAAAATGAAAATTAGCTAAATACCCCTTCTTAAATTAAGAAATAATGAATGTAAGCATGAGAGTAGGGGGAAAATATTAATAATACTTAACTGAAGTAAATTTATTTCAATTAGCTACAAGTATTAATTTCAAAGCAAACATAAAATCATTTGGTGTTAGAGAAAAGCAATCAACTCAAGATAAGTCCAGTTTTCTATCCAAAATAGTAATTTCAAAATTTGGGAAGAAGAGTTGGGCCAGGACATTATTGTAGACTAACAAAATATGAAATAAAGGCCAGGTGTGGTGCCTCATGCCTGTAATCCCAGCACTTTGGGAGACTGAAGTGAATGAATTGCTGGGGCTCAGGAGTTCCAGACCAGCCTGGGCAACATGGTGAAACCTTGTCTCTACAAAAAAATTAAAAATAGCCTGGCATGGTGCTGTGCACCTGTAATCCCAGCTACTTGGATTGCTGAGGAGGGAGGATCACTTGAGCCTGGGAGGTGGAGGTTGCAGTGAGCTGAGATCATGCCACTGCACTCCAGCCTGGGCGACAGAGCCAGACCCTGTCTCAAAAAAAAGAAAAAAGGCCAGGTGCAGTAAATCATGCCTATAATCCCAGCACTTTGGGAGGCCATGGCAGGTGGATCACCTGCGGTCAGGAGTTCAAGATCAGCCTGGCCAACATGGTGAAACCCCGTCTCTACTAAAAATATTAAAAATTAGCCAGGTGTGGTGGCGGGCACCTGTAATCCCAGCTACTCAGGAGGCTGAGGCAGGAGAATCACTTGAACCTGCGAGGCAGAGGTTGCAGTGAGCCAAGATCATGCCACTGCACTCCAGCCTCGATGACAACAGCAAAACTCCATCTCAAAGAAAAAGATGTAAAATAAAGATTTTTACACAGAAACAAAGCATAATAAAAGCAGTACCTTAACAAATGAATTTTAAGAAAAGCATAACACAGCTGAAGCTACTGATAGAACCCAGAGGAAAATCCCAAGATCAATATTTAAACAGAACCTAGTGTATCATTCAGCCTATGAGAATAAATATTTGCATAAAAATTCAAATTCCCAGAAAGCCCCCCAATAGACATACATTATATTTTGGGACATGTAAACTAGTTACTTTTAGCTACTATTCAACTCTTCCCATGAAAATACTTTAAAAGAAATTTACTTTGGGAGGCTGAGGCGGGCAGATCACGAGGTCAAGAGGTCAAAAGATCAAGACCATCCTGGCCAACATGGTGAAACCCCATCTCTACTAAAAATACAAAAATCAGCTGGGTGTGGTGGCACACGCCTGTAGTCCCAACTACTTGGGAGGCTGAGGCAGGAGTATCGCTTGAATGTGGAGGTTACAGTGAGCCGAGATTGTGCCACTGAACTCCAGCCTGGTGACAGAGCGAAACTCTATCTCAAAAAAAAGAGGCTGGGTGTGGTGGCTCATGCCTATAATCCCAGCACTTTGGGAGGCCGAGGCGGGCGGATCACGAGGTCAGGAGATCAAGACCATCCTGGCTAACATGGTGAAACCCCGTCTCTACTAAAAATACAAAAATTAGCCGGGCGTGGTGGCGGGCACCTATAGTCCCAGCTACTTGGGAGGCTGAGGCAGGAGAATGGCGTGAACCTGGGAGGCGGAGCTTGCAGTGAGGCAAGATCGCACCACTGCACTCCAGCCTGGGCTACAGAGCGAGACTCCGTCTCAAAAAAAAAAAAAAAAAAAGAAATTTATATTTGAAAACCAAAAGCCATCATTTATCCATGCAGCAGATATACTATATTGAGCATCTCAAAGTCACAGGGTCTGGAAACACAAGGGTGAATAGGCTTCCCCAATGAAGCTAACATTCCAGTGCAAAAAATAGGTATGATGCAAGCAAACAAAACAATTAAACTTTGTAAATATCCAAACAGGGAAAACCACGAGTAGAAACATAAAAGTCAAGTTCCTTATAGCTGGAAATACTTTTCTGGTCAAAGACAGTTAAATAAATGGTAAATAAATCCATCCAAATGTCTGAGTTCCTTGCACCCTCCATGCTATACCTCCCCACTCGATAGGAAATGGTTGGAGCTAAATAAAAAGGAGAAAGTGGCAGCAAGAGATGAAAAAGTGAGGAAGAGGTGCATATGAGTATCAGCTAAGCAGAGGCACAGGCCAGAAGGAAGGAACCATCTGGCCTACACACATAAAGGGGAAAGAGTGCAGAGTTGAGAAAGGACCCTGGACACTAGACAGAGCAGGGATTGCAGTTTACCATGCCCGTTCTATTACTTATTAGCTATTTAACTTAGATAATGTGAAAGCCTCCTAAACCTTTTCACCAGTAAAATGGAGATGGCAATATTAGCTATCTCTAGGAGAAGGGATTTAATTAAATGAGATGATACACGAAGTAAAGCAACTAGAAAGTGCTAGCAGACAAAAAATTAGTTGTTTTTATTCCCACTGTATCCAGAAAACTACATTTTCATCTTTGTAAAATAATGCTTTTCTGACCCAACCCAAAGTGTTGTTCTGAGGATCAAATAAATATATTTGAAAAACTCATCTAATTTAAAACATTAAACAATGACTTTTTAACTGGTGTATTTTTTTTTTTTTTTTTGAGACAGAGTCTCGCTCTGTTGGCCAGGCTTCAGTGCATTGGCATGATCTTGGCTCACTGCAACCTCCGCCTCCCGGGTTCAAGCGATTCTCCTGCCTCAGCCTCCCGAGTAGCTGGGATTACAGGTACCCACCACCATGCCCAGTTAATTTTTGTATTTTTAGTAGAGACGGGGTTTCACCGTGTTGGCCAGGCTGGTCTCGAACTCCTGACCTCAGGTAATTCGCCCACCTGGGCCTCCCAAAGTGCTGGGATTACAGGCGTGAGCCACTGCAACCAACCCACTTGTTCTTTACAAACAGTAAATTAATAAAGGAAACATAGGAATAAAATATTCCTATGTTTCTAACAAAGATCTTAAGTTTCTGAATCCACTTTGATTTTTGTGTGTGTGTATTTTCTTTTGTTTTGTTTTGATTTTGCATATCAGTTGGTATTCAAGGAATTTCACCATGGGGGTGCTGTTTCTTGGCTAACCACCTGGAGAAGTGACTTTTTATTCATTTATTTATTTATTTTTAATTTTTTTTGAGACAGGGTCTCACTCTGTCGCCCAGATTGTAGGGCAGTGGTGCAATTGTGGCTCACTGCCACCTCCACCTCCTGGGCTCAAGTGATCCTCCCACATCGGCCTTCCAAAGTGTTGGGATTATAGGCGTGAGCCACCTCCCCCGACTGAGAAGTGAATTTCTATAGCACACGAGGGGAAAGCACATACCCAGGGTAGATGAAATGCCTAACAGCAGGGGAAGTGGTCTTTACATTTGCAACAAAGACAGCATTTAAATAACCCCTTTTGTTTGGTAACCACAGAATTGGACAGTTGTCTGGGAAGTCACCTCCAGGCTCATTTACAAATAATGGTGATTTTATTTATTTATTTCCAATCTTTTTTCCCCAGTTAGGTATAATTGACAAATAAAAAATTGTATATATTTAAGGTGTACAACTTGATGTTTGGATATATATACAACACAATCAAGCTAACTAACATATCCATAGGTACCATTTCTCTTTTTCATTCCTTTTCTTCTTTTAACCTCCAGATTATTTTAAAGGATGGAGGCTGAACCCAGTAGCACATAAGATTATAAACTTTTATGCACCCAAGCTACTGGAGTATCTCTCTCATGTAATTTTGGATGAACAGAGACAAATGTTCTATTTCCCAGCTCTCTTTTTAAATATTCTGTCAGCAAAATATTTTACCTTATGACAGGCAAGGTTACAATTAATTAGGTTATAGCCCATCTTAGAGTAATTACATTTCAGATTGGTGGCTCCCTGGTGAAATTTTGTTATTTTCGGGAAGAGTTCCACAGATGGCTAATTCTATCAAAATTGTTTTGATTTATGCTACCTCAAGTTGATCATGATATTTTGACATCTGTCTTCTACTGACATTGGGGGTTGGGGAGTGGCTGGTTACTGAGTCCTGTTGTTCCTTATACCCAAATTTTAAACACTTCCTCCATAACACGCAGGGTACACACATTGTAGCTTCTTTTTTATACACGGACATTCAGAGAGAAAGCAATTAAGAGATGTGATCAAGAACAGCATAAACACAATGATAGTCCCTTCATTTGAAGCTGTCTTCCTAATATTTTCCTGCCCCTGGGAAAGGACTGCTTATATTTTAACATATCTAGTTCTTATTGGATCAATGCATTCTTAATATGTATATTTAAGAGGAGATATTCTAACAAATCTAACGTTTATATGTCCTCTTTAGCTTTTTGGAAACCATACAATGACAGGAGACTACCTACCATACTCATCAAAAGGCCCCCCACAAAATGAACTATTTTCGTTTTCTGACCTGAACTGCAATTAAAAGTAAATAGTAGTAACATAGCCTTCTGTATTTAAAATAATGAGTTCCTCAGACTAGTTTTTTATAATTCATTCATTCACTATAAAACATCTTTATTGAGTGTCTTCTCTGTGATAGGCCCTGTTCTCCATCTCAGGGATTAACCAGTGGACAAGATCAGGAAGGCTCTGCCTTCGTGGAGCTTCTAGTCAGTAAAATTTATTAATAAATATTTATTAAGAAATCATCAAAAAAATGATTTCAGTATGCCATTTTCCATCTAGTTGTAGAAAAGAATTTACTTTTACCTGTCCAACATTTTGGTACTGGCTCGTTCCAGTTTCTCTAGGATCTGAGGAAGTTGGGTGTCATCGTCATATGAACCTCCCCAGCCAAGAACTCGGGCAAGGTCATTTCCTGTACCCAAAGGCAACACTCCCAGCTGACACTGAAAGACAGTGCAACAGGGTGACTTTCAGACAAGTTGAGAAATAGGGACTACTGCATTTCTGCACCTCTCTGGTAAGTATGTTAGTATGCATTCATGTTAACTAGCAAGTAAAAGAATTAGCACTTGCCTGTTTATTCAAGTTGAGCTTATCGATTTCTGACAAAACCCAACCTACACTTCCATCGCCTCCACAAACAAGAATCCGGAAATTGTCAAACTTCTGAAATAATCTTAAACTGAAAGCAAAAAGGATTTTATTTTAGTATAAAGAAATAAAAATCACTTTCCTCAATTCTTTGTTATTCTGTATCAGTATTCATATTCAGATTAAATATAAGAACTCCTACTTACATGTTAATTATACCATAAACATTCACTGAAGTGTAATTTTAACTCAAGAAAACTTCTGAATCATAAGGAGGAAAGGGAATGATAAGTAGAAATGAAGATAAAATTAGGAGGAATGGGGGTGAGAAATGAGAAAACAAAAAAGCAGCAGAAACCGGGAAAGGTAAAGTAATACAAGATGGTGGAAGTAGTGGTTCTTCTCTTTCTATTACAAGAATAAATTCTTTCCTTAAGAATTACAAACCATGGGTAAGGAATCTAGGGTGCTGATGCTAATGAGTGACGCTCAGGCAGTTCCTAAAGACACCAATCATTGTATTGCTCTCAGGACTCCCAACTGGCTTTTTCTCCTCCTCTTCTCCTATTCTCAGGCCCATCCTTCTATTTTCCCTCATCTCAACTTTTGACACATCCCGTCTCCTAAATGTACCCTTGTACACTTACTTCAAGTATTATGGAAAATCTGAAAAATATTAGAGGGACAATCTCAGGAAGTTTCATCAAGAGAGGTCCTTGAAGCCTTCGAGGACAAATGGGAAAATAAATCAAGACTATAAGATAATGGAACTATAAAGGATTATAAAATGGACGTGTTAGAAAGGGGGACAAAACTACCCTAGCATGGCAGAGACAAAGAAGGTGAGAAGAGAGGCTAGATGAGGAAACTCTAGGACCTCAGCAGAGGAAAGGAAGGGCAGTACACGTAGATAAGGAGGAAGCTGGGTATAAATGAAGAAGACCAACATCCATGTGACCAGAAGGGCCTGAGACTTAGCAAGATAAAGGCAATGGAAGCAGGAAGGAAGACTCAGGGGGCAAAAGTGAACAGAGGCACCAAGAGAGAAGAAAGGAGAGAAATAGAGAAGACAGAGGAAAGTATCACATTACGAAACACAAAATGCCTTTTCAGGCACTGGTATCAAAAATCCCCACTTCTACTTCCGTGTTCATGCTTTAAGGTAATGGTGGAACCCAAGAGAAAAGCTGAGTTGCTGTAAGTATGTTACATAGAGGTTTGAAGGCCCCTGGTTCAGAAGACATAATATCGCCTCTTAAGAAAAATCATATGCATACCCTAAAAATGTATTGAAAGTGCCAAAAGGTATATTTTCCCTCAGTGAAAATACCACTTAGTTCATTTTATCTTACAGATTTTAAGTTATATGACATCCAGAAAGCTGAAAAGAATCATCAATAAAGTATTTCTTTGTCATTTATGTGAACTGAGTCTGAGATCCTTGAAGAACTGCCCTTGACAGCCATGAGAGTCCCTGTACTTTGGTTTAATAATCGATTATTTATATTGTATGTAAATCAATATCAGCCTTCCATGCAAATCATTTTCTAATATTACTTTATATTTCTATATTTACGCAAGTTGATCTTTCTTGGAGCTAAAGAAATTGTTAGTATTGTTTGATGTAGAATATATTCTAAAACATTTTCTAAACAAATTTTGGAATTGAGAAATTAGGAATTTATACAAGACAGTTGTATAACTATCCAAAAGGTTGTGTTAAAACTTATAATTAGAGCTTTAAAAACGAGGGAGGGATCTAGAGGAATCTGTAATTTTCATGAGCTGAAAAACCAAACACATTTAACACCTAGTCCTACATTGTATTCAAATAAGATTTATCAATAATCAGTTACCCTAAATGAGGACCTCCATTCATTAAATCAAACACCTGAGCCGGATTTAGCAACTGTTTAAAGCGACGGAGGAACTTTACTCCCTGATTATCTCCACTCTTAGAATTGACAAAAACCAATAGAGGACTAACACAGAACGAAAATGTTGCTCTACAGAAACCTGTGAAAAAAACACAACACAAGATCAATACATACAGCTTTCTCTTTTAAATTATTAGCAAACATTCAGAGAAAAGAAAATAAATTCATAAAAACTGGAGCATTAAGTTATAATTTAGCTCTCCAAATAGAGATAGGTTAACTATTTACATACAAACCTATATGTTTGTATGTAATTCTTATGTTCATATTCAATATTTCAAAGTATTTTAACTGCTCTTTTCTGAAGTCTGAGAGAATATTTTAAAATTTATAGTAAACAAAATCAGGGCTTAGGTTGGGGGAGAGGGCTGTTAATAGCACAGGTTTTTAAAAAAGTCACATATTTTGAGGTTTATAAACTTACATCTTCAGGTTTATAAACTTATATCTAAGATATCTATTGGCATAAATTAAAAAGTTTGAAAAGCATAAGGCATGATATCAATGCAAGACATTAATAATAGTACAGTCCTCCCTGTATATTTTGGGGGAATTGGCTGCAGGAACCCTATGAATATCAAAATCCACAGTTGCTCAAGTCTGTTACATAAAACAGCATAGCATTATACATGGTAAAAAGCCTTTGCAATACGGTTTGCTTAGAAGGAAGTAATTAGTATGCAATCCCAAAACCGGTGTTGTAGAGGGGTTCCTCAGCACTTTAGAGTTAAGTTGTAAGATTTTGGGAAAAGTGCATTTATAGGAATATAAATTCCTACAATGAAATTACAGAAAAACAGATTTTAATAACAGCCATGCTAATAGGCAGTTTCAATTATAGAGGAAAAAAACACTTATAAAAATTAACCTTTTCAGATTGTATTGCCGTACAGAGTAATGATCTTGTTTTATTTACTAAAACATAAAATCTAGAAGTCTTATATACAGTAATTTCGCCAATGTTAACAGCTATTCTACAACTTTCACTTAAATATATTCTTTTAAAAATGGAATGTACTTTCAGCAATTTAAATGGAATTATTTTAGAAAAACTGACTACAATAGTCAATTACCATCATAGTTATTATTCTAGGAAAAGAAATATACATATCAATGTTAAATATACCAGAAATATACGTACTTACACTACTGCTACATACCATCGGAATCGGTGCTGTTTAGTGCAATTGGAGGTATGATAGATACTTTACATTGACCAAGTGGACATATTGGATGGTATAAATCTTTGCAGGCAGTGTGTACCTAATGACAAACAAATATACCTTCAAGAATCATAAAAATAATGTTCTGCCATTATAAATCACATCTAAGGAACTGATAATCTAGAATCAACTGTACCACAAAATGTTCAGTAATTCATAAACTACTTTAAATGGTATAACATTTATACTTCAGGAAATGACTAAACATTTTAGAAATGGAAATTTGATTTTAGTCCATGCAACCAATTTTTGTAATTATCTCAGAGAGGAATATATAGTTAATGAATAACTGTTGAAGGCGAAGAGAGAGAAAGAGAAGAGACCAAGTGCAGAGGAAGGGAGGCAGAGAAGAGAAAAAGAAGGGGAAAAGGAAGAAGAAGGACGGAAACTAACCAGTGTGTCAATATCATTGCCCATAAAATAAATTGATGACAGAACATTTATTTTGTTCTTATAAAAATTCTTATAAAATTTAACAAAGATAAAATCTATAAAGTGCCTGCTTTTTCTGCAGTAATCCCATAACTTTCTATTCACATTTCTTTTATGACATTTCCCTATTATTAAAGTTACAAGTACCCCCATGCTTATTTTCTCAGCTGGACTGCTGCCCTGTAAGGTAAAGGAAAGTGATGCGTATCACAGGCACCCAGTAAATGTGCTTTCAGTAGAAATGAGTTTCATGGTCATGCAAGGTACTACTGAGAACAAAAACAAGGATAACTTATTAAGTAGGACCCAGGCAATTTAGTTTGTGTACTTGTCTGGAGAGCCTTCTAAATGTTTTAACCAGTAAAAGCAGACACTTTTCATCAAGTTCTTATTTAATATGACTTTATTTTATTAGTCCTTTTAGAAAACTGGCATAATTAAACCTGTATTTATCAAAACCTTTGGGAGAATAACTAAAATTCAATAATAATTCTAATTCTGGTGAAGACCTGTTTTTAGACAGTTTTCTATTATGCTTTACAATAATTAACAATCCAAATGCATTTTAGAAAAACTAGCACACACAGATAGCTTTAAAAGTAATTTTAAAATGTATAAGAACCATGGAGCAAAACAGAAAGGTATTTATAATAATGCTAAATAAGAAAAGCAGATGATCAAATTATATCTTCACAATTTTTACAGAAAAGGTAAAACTATGTCCACAGACCTGGATGACAGTAGGAAAAATTATAAGTTGATTCATTAGGTTTATAGGGCTATGGGCTTTTTTATTTTGTTTGTTTTCTTTTTTCACTACATAGATTATGTTTTAGGCACTAGATATCCTGCTGTTAGAAACTCATAAAGCTGAAACTGGATCCCTTCCTTACACCTTATACAAAAATCAATTCAAGATGGATTAAAGACTTAAACTTTAGACCTAAAACCATAAAAACCCTAGAAGAAAACCTAGGCATTACCATTCAGGACATAGGCATGGGCAAGGACTTCATGTCTGAAACACCAAAAGCAGTGGCAACAAAAGCCAAAATTGACAAATGGGATCTAATTAAACTAAAGAGCTTCTGCACAGCAAAAGAAACTACCATCAGAGTGAACAGGCAACCTACAAAATGGGAGAAAATTTTCGCAACCTACTCATCTGACAAAGGGCTAATATCCAGAATCTACAATGAACTCAAACAAATTTACAAGAAAAAAACAAACAACCCCATCAAAAAGTGGGCAAAGGATATGAACAGACACTTCTCAAAAGAAGACATTTATGCAGCCAAAAGACACATGAAAAAATGCTCACTATCACTGGCCATCAGAGAAATGCAGATCAAAACCACAATGAGATACCATCTCACACCCGTTAGAATGGCAATCATTAAAAAGTCAGGAAACAACAGGTGCTGGAGAGGATGTGGAGAAATAGGAACACTTTTACACTGTTGGTGGGACTGTAACCTGGTTCAACCATTGTGGAAGTCAGTGTGGCGATTCCTCAGGGATCTAGAACTAGAAATACCATTTGACCCAGCCATCCCATTACTGGGTATATACCCAAAGACTATAAATCATGCTGCTATAAAGACACATGCACACGTATGTTTATTGCGGCACTATTCACAAAAGCAAAGACTTGGAACCAACCCAAATGTCCAACAATGATAGACTGGATTAAGAAAATGTGGCACATATACACCATGGAATACTATGCAGCCATAAAAAATGATGAGTTCATGTCCTTTGTAGGGACATGGATGAAATTGGAAATCATCATTCTCAGTAAACTATAGCAAGGACAAAAAACCAAACACCGCATGTTCTCACTCATAGATGGGAATTGAACAATGAGAACACGTGGACACAGGAAGGGGAACATCACACTCTGGGGACTGTTGTGGGGTTGGGGGAGGGGGGAGGGATAGCATTAGGAGATATACCTAATGCTAAATGATGAGTTAATGGGTGCAGCACACTAGCATGGCACATGTATACCTATGTAACTAACCTGCACATTGTGCACATGTACCCTAAAACTAAAAGTATAATAATAATTAAAAAAAAAGACATACGCAAAATAAAAAAAAAAAAAAGAAACTCATGTTTTTGTTTGTGTTTTGACATGGAGTTTCACTCTTGTTGCCCAAGCTGGAGTGCAATGGCGCAATCTCAGCTCACTGCAACCTCCACCTCCAGGGTTCAAGCAACTCTACTGCCTCAGCCTCCCAAGTGGCTGGGATTACAGGTACCTGCCACTGCTCCTGGCTAATTTTTGTATTTTTAGTAAAAACGGGGTTTCACCATGTTAGCCAGGCTGGTCTTGAACTTCTGACCTCAGATGATCCACCCGCCTTGGCCTCCCAAAGTGCTGGAATTACAGGTGTTCATGTTTTTTTATTTTTTATTTTTTGAGATGATGTTTTGCTCTTGTTGCCCAGGCTGGAGTGGAATGGTGCAATCTCAGCTCACTGCAACCTCCAACTCCCAGGTTCAAGCGATTCTCCTGCCTCAGCATCCCAAGTAGCTGGGATTACAGGTATGCACTACCGTGCCCAGCTAATTTTTTTGTATTTTTAGTACAGATGGGGTTCCACCATGTTGGTCAAGCTGGTCTCGAACTCCTGACCTCAGGTGATTCACATGCCTTGGCCTCCCAAGGTGCTGGGATTACAGGCATGAGCCACTGCACCAGGCCAGAAACTCATGTTTTAAAGGCAAAATAATATGTAAACAGGCAAATGGTTGTGTATAGGAAGTGCAAGACTAAGAGAGGTGCTATAAGGTGATGGTAGCTCAGAAACCAGCAAGTCCAACTTACATAGGGTGGGGCAGGAATGATGTCACAAGGTGAAATTTGAGTTTGCCACGAAAAACGAGAGAAAAGGCATCCTCCCTTCTACCATCTGTAATACCACTGCTATTCTAGTTAAGAAATGTTTAAAAGTTAGGGGTGAATAGAATGAGCAAGTAATAAACCTAATTAACTCCTGCTGTTAAAGTTAACAGAGTTTAAAAACTACTGATTTTTTTTTAAAGTAAAGATATACAAATTGCAGGGAAAAAAATTTACATAAAACCTTTCTAAAATAATTCATCACACATTATGTGTTTTCTTTTTCTTTTCTTTTCTTTTTTTTTTTTTGAGAGGCAGAGTCTTGCTCTGTCACCCAGGCTGGAGTGCAGTGGCACGATCTCAGCTCACTGCAACCTCCGCCTCCTGGGTTCAAGCAATTCTCCTGCCTCAGCCTCCCGAGTAGCTGGGATTACAGGCGCCCACCACCACGCCCAGCTAATTTTTGTATTTTTAGTAGAGATGGGGTTTCACTGTGTTAGCCAGGATGGTCTTGATCTCCTGACCCCATGATCCGCCCACCTTGGCCTCCCAAAGTGCTGGGATTACAGGCGCCCACCACCACGCCCAGCTAATTTTTGTATTTTTAGTAGAGATGGGGTTTCACTGTGTTAGCCAGGATGGTCTTGATCTCCTGACCCCATGATCCGCCCACCTTGGCCTCCCAAAGTGCTGGGATTACAGGTGTGAGCCACCGCGCCCGGCCGTGTTTTCTTTCTAATACATTGGAAGTGAACAGTTGAAGCTCTAGAAGTAGAGAAATCGACTTTAGTAAATGTACAGGCCAATAAAAATAGCAGGAAAATTTGTTATCAGTGGTTGTCCTCTCAAAAAGAAATCTGAGGTGGAATGATGATTTAAAATCTTGTTTATGGGTAGAATTCCTTTAAAATAAAAAAATGGCATGACAAGGTTTTAGGGGCTAGGCTTGCACTAAGATTGTAAAGAGAGACACCTGTTACAGTCTATATATTAGATTAAATGAGATAAGAGAAAAAGTATTAGTAACATATCTAAGGCTAGTAAAAGAGGCAATCAATGAAGAATAACAAAAGCATGAGGACAAAGAAAAGAAACACAGATTTACCTATCAGGCCTAACTAAAAAGTTGTAGGACTTATTTTCCTTTGTAGCCTATCAGACAATCTCATTGATTAGGAAAGCAATACATCACACATCTCTTACATTTGCTGATCTACACCATACATACCAAAAACAATAGTTTTTCCATATTTTAAAATTTGAGGCTGGCTTCCAAATTTCAGCCAGCAATGTTAAAAGACAAGACTCAAAACCACCAAATAAGTCAGCCCCAGTGCAAGGCAATCACTATCATTGTAGAGCAGCATCGCCCAGTGCTGAGATGAACGCTCACACCCACGACCTCCTCATCCTGCAGTTTTTCAGTCCCATGCCACTGTCTACATGATCTCCTTCCTACTCTGACTGTCTTCACACAGTCCAGAGGCCCTGTCCTCACCATATCTGGCATAAATAATCAGCTGTTGGCTTCATGTTCGGCTGCATGTGCTGTTCACCTCTGTCAGAGAGCACTGGTAGGGTTGTAGCAAATTTACATGTCACATGTCAACCAAAATTTGGTGACATACCAGAGAAGGGCTTTCAGGTAGTAAAATAGGCCTGAATACAGCAAATCACTTTGTTGATAAAGCAAAATGAAAAAACAATACAACTATGGGTAAGAGATCCTGAGGCACAGGACACGGATGAACAAGAATAAGTTTTACAGGGCATTTGAAACAATGACCAGACTAGGAGGACTATACTGTAAGGAAAGAAGAATGTCATCATGAGATGCGTATGCTACCAGGTTCAGCTCTGTCATAAATTCTTTGCTTTGCCTCTAAACCACGTGGATGACAAAGTTAGGGAAAGAAGCTAATTAAAAAGGATGAACTGATTCCAAAACCCTCACCATTGTCTTACACCAAAGGCATTTCCAATCCTGTAGACGGAGAACACTGCCACATGTTTTGTCGCAGACAGCACACTTGGCACTTACAGGCAGGTTGCCCTCAAGCCACTGGTGAGGCATCGCGACCTGTGGAGAAGGAAGAAAGGGCAGCCAGGTGAAGACTGGCGGACACCAACCTTACCCCAGGGGAGATTTTGAATCATTTCTCACTCTAGAGGGTCAGTAGTACGTTTCATGCATAGCATTCACTCATTTACCCCACGTTTATTGAGCATCTATTATGAACGTTCAAGGAATATAAAAGTAAGGTAAAAGCTTTTCCCTTCAGGGTTCAGGTAGATTTAGCTGAGGCATGTAAAGGGATTACAATAAAGTGATCACTAAGCGTTCCCAGAAATCCATATGCATGGTGCAGTGGAGGTGAGGTTTTGAAAGTGGAGGTATACTGTTGAGAGGCAACCCCAATGTCTGAAGAGTGAACCTCTCAGCTAAGCCTTAAAGAACATCTCAGAGTTCATCAGAGGTCGACAACAACAGCCCAGCACAACGGCCACTTCTAAGCCCTATTCACAACAGATTTCCTTCAAAATCTAAGAGCTAAAGAAGCTATGAAGGATTGAATTAAAAATAAAAACTCAGAATCAACCAAACCTTCTATTAAATCCTAATAATAAGCATTCCTACTTATCTTTCTCAGCTTCCACAAGAGCAGAACATAAAAGAGGAGTTAGTGGGAAGAGAGCAGAGACAGAGCAGCAGCTTACGCCATCTTCATCTTCTATAATGTCCTTCCCGATGGAGGCCAGGGTAGTCCATTTACAGTTATTTGTTGCTCTCACTGCACATCTTTTGTGAGCCTTGAATTTACACACTAAAAAAAAAAAAAAAAAAAGAGCAACTGCTTTTAAGTGGACAAGAAATTTTGGACCAATGATTAAAGGAAATCACAGCATAAAATTTTAAAAGGGAAGGAGGAAGTAGAAGAAAACAAATATATTTAAAAGATTAAATTATTCTGCAACAATAGTAATGGTATTCTAGAAAACAAATACGGCTATGTATTTATGAAGCACTTTTATAAAGCTATAAGTAGACTGCTACTTAGAGGAACAGAAAAGAAATAAATGCAAAAGAATTACTGCTTGAGAAGGCAGACAACACACACATAGGAGAGAGGGAGAGAGGGAAGCAAATAAAATTTGGTAGCAGGTCTGCTGGTGACATCCCATTTTAAATGTAGGTGCTGATTATACGAATGTGTTTAATTTGTGAAAATTCATCAAGCTGTACATTTCTGGTATTGTATTTTTCTATACATATAAAATACTGATTATAAGTCTGAAAATGTCAGTACGATAAAGTTGATCCAGGGGGCTGTAAAGTGCAAGTATACCAACAAGACAGCCAGGCATCATGGAAAATAGGTTGGTGAGGGTGACCAACACGGCCCTATCTTTGGAAAGTATTATGTTGAGATGACCAAATGACAAATGTAGAAAGAAGGGATGATGAAGTGATGTTGTCACTACAGGCTTCACTAAATCTCCCCAGCCATATTATCAAAAGGAACTTATAAAAGAGAAATTGGAGGAAATAACTAGGGAAAAAAAGCAGCACATATATGGAAAAACAAATGAACTATAGGTTATTTGAAAAATTGACCATACTTACAAAAATTGGAACTTGACTATTATTAAACATGTTTATCTCTCTAAGGAAATTATTCAAGTATGAGGGGATACTGATATTAGGTCAGCTCCTGACTTTTAGCTAAACAGTTAAAAGTAGAGAGCATTTCAGTGGAAACATACTAAGGTAAGTGTTGCTAAATTTAAATGAAAGGTATCTCCTTTTCATGTGATTTTTCTGGATTTCTAAGTCAATCATTAACAAATTTTGCATTACACACCATTCTCTTGAAACTGTCTTAATTGGATATAACACGAAAACAAAAGTTTCAGGTAAAATAACTAAGATGTCTTTAGCCAAATGTTCAAAGTGCTTCAGGTATCATGACTAGTCTATGTACAAATGGATGGTTAAACTGAGCTGGTTTATCCTTGAAAAATATTCGTCTAGGCCAGGCACAGTGGCTCACGCCTGTAATCCCAGCACTCTGGGACGCTGAGGTGGTGGATCACCTGAGGTCAGGAGTTTGAGACCAGCCTGGTCACAAAGGTGAAACCTTGTCTCTACTAAAAATAAAAAAATTAGCCGGGTGTGATGGCGCATGCCTGTAATCCCAGCTACTCGGGATTCTTATGAGACATAAGAATTGCTTGAGCCCAGGAAGGCAGAGGTTGCAATGAGCCAAGATCATGCCACTGCACTCCAGCCTGGGAGACACAGCAACACTCTGTCTCAAAAAATAATAACAATAATAATAATGATAATAATGTATACACACTGAAAATGTTTTGCTTACCTTCTCTTTTGTGTACTTTGAAAAATTCTTTCCCTTCCACCATTTTTGTTATAAATGAGTGTGTAACTAGAACACAGACTTCATATAGAAAATAATACTTCACTTGAGGCTGGGCGTGGTGGCTTACAACTCCCAACCTCAGGTGATCCGCCTGCCTTGGCCTCCCGAAGTGCTGGGATTACAGGCGTGAGCCACCGTGCCCGGCCGAATATAACAAATTTATTTAAAGACTTTTAAGTTTCTTATTCTCACCAAATAATGTAATTTTCATTTTTCTTTTAAAATGCTTAGAAAAATACTCAGTCATTCCACTACTGACTCAATTTTTAAATAAAAATATTTAATAATGTATAACACTCAAATCAGAAGGGTACCACAGAGTGTCTCAGATGTGGTGTCTTTTCAGCATTTTTGGAATAAAGATTTTAGTAAAATCTTTAAAATAATACCATATTACAGACCTGGTAGGAGTTATTCAGCTCTATGTGAATCCTTTTAGATTACTAAAGTCATAATACAGGCCAATCAGATCTCTTTTGCAATCATTCTTTAAGTCTAAAAAGAAAGCTTTAATGCCTTCTCCAAATTTTCTCCTTCATGAATTTTAATGCATCAAGCCCATGATGCAAATTTGGAATAAGTTTCTTACAAAACAGTTACAAACTTCTTCCAATTTATTGAACTAGAAAAGTAGTTTTATTGTATGTATTCCCTCATTTAATTTTTATAGTGATTCTATGAGGCATAAATGACTATTATCCCCATCTTATCGATGAGGAGAGGAAAGCCTAAGTGAGTTAAACAACTTCTCCTGGTTATAGTTTGTAATGGTGGAAGTGGAAGAGGGTTTGACTGAAGAGCTCTATTCTTAACCACTATGGTGTATCATATTAAATAGTTGAAACAATGACATATCACAGATTTTATAGTTTAAAATCAATTAAGGCTGTGATTCTATTACTACTTTATTACTTAATTATAAATAAGTGATATTCCAAATTACGAAATTTTTGGATTAGAGAAAAAAAGCTGGTATTATTATTATCATATATAGTTCAAAAAGTAGTATACAACAGTGTAATCACTGAAGTATGAAATAAAATAAATCTAAAGAAGTTATGAGTTTTCTGTTGGCAATTATTAATGTATTTGCTTTTGGTGGTCACTGCTCTTATATTAAAAATAACTCACAAATTTGCTCATGCCTCTTTGGGAGGCCAATGTGGGAGGATTGCTTGAGCCCAGGAGTTTGAGACCAGCCTGGGCAACATAGTGAGACTTAAAAAACTTAAAAAAAAAAGATTAGCCAGGTGTGGTGGTGCTTGACTGTAGTCCCAGCTACTAGGGAGACTGAGGTAGGAGGATCGTTTGAGCCCAGGAGGCTGAGGCTGCAGGGAGACTTGATCATGCCACTGCATTCCAGGATGGGTGACAGAGTGAGACCCCTTCTCGAAACAAAACAAAGTAACAACAGCATAGGCCTTATTTTTAGAAAATTTTAAGGAAATTAAAAAGGATGATACCTATTCAGATTAAACAAATGAAATGAAAGAAAACAATATTTAAAACAATGCAATATAATTAACAATCAGAAATTCTGCCAAAGAGTATATACTGTCCTCACAAAAAGTTTTGCTCTCCATAATCAACCAGAATAAAGAATACCAGAATGATTATACAAAGTCCAAAGATTTTTTTTTTTAGACAGTAGTTCCTAGTTTCTTGGGGGTGAAATGCTGTATTTTGATGTATGTTTCCTTTAAATGACTATGTTTTTTTTTCCTGAGCAAAAATATTTTCCAAGCTAGTCCTATGTGTGGAGAGCTCAATTTTAAGCTACAATAAAACCAGTGGCAGCATGTCTACAGTATGGTTACTGTTGGGAGAAAACACATGCTAGGTGCTACAGTACCTTCGCAGGACAGGCCATGGGAGGTGACTCCAGAAAGACTCTCTCTGCACACGTTACAGAAGGTGGGTCGGGCGTGGGAGCAGGCGTACCAGTTGTGCATCCCTGAGAAATGTTCCACATTAAACTGGGCCACCTAGAAATGAGATGTGAGGACAGATTTGCCAAGCCAGTGAACAAGGCTACAGATGCTGAACTGTTTGGAATGCATATAGTTATGGTCAAATTTTCAAATCCATCATTTTTAAAACCAAAGCACTTTGCTTTAAGATAAGAATTTCAAAATCTGGTTTAAACAAGTTGCTGAATGAGTGTACACATACTTATGTTTGCACGGTAGAGCTCTAGCCCTTTGGTTAACATTTATTTCCTAAGAACACGAGATGAAAGAAAAGATGCTATTTTACCTCGTAGGGTTCTCTGGTCTGTACAGACTTCAGTGAGCTGATCCAATCCTCCATCTCCTTTCTGTTCTCAGCACACAGCATTAGCCTTCTGAATGGAGTGATGATCTGAAAGGGATAATTCAATCTAATGATTGTTAATACCCAAAGAGAAAGATTGTTGCAAAACCTAACATCTTCTGAGGTAATTCCATTTCTAACTTGAGTCTTTATTTCTTACGTTTTTGTAATCTGTATGATAAAATAATGTGGTCTAGGAAAGAAAAAGCCTAAGGAGTTTTTCTACCTTTGATCCTTTTGCTACTGACTTGGGCTCTTTAGCCCTTTTTTCTAAGGCTATGGACCCAAATACACAATGCATTCTTATTCCACGAAATACATCTTACAAACTGATTTTAAATATACTTCAAAATAATTCATAGTAAGCTTAGCAGGAATACATAGTTTTCAATATGGAAAATATTTTTAAATTAAAAATCAAAGGAATGCAATATTAAATGATTTCTTAATTTTTTTTTTTTTAGTAGAGGCAGGGTTTCACCATGTTGGCCAGGATGGTCTGGATCTCTTGACCTCGTGATCCGCCCCCCTCGGCCTCCCAAAGTGCTGGGATTACAGCCGTGAGCCACTGCGCCCGGCCACCTAATTGATTTATTATGGTATCAAGAATATTCTGTTAATATTTAAATAATATTGAGTTTACATATCACTTCCACTGTCTATTTTAATGATTTATGAAGATTCTTCCCCCACTGTGTAGAACTCCACTGTACTAGTATTTAGCGAGAGCAGGGACAAAGAATTACCATAAACATCCTTTTGTTGGCTTTAGGGAAGGAAAGAATTGCGACTTTTATCTTTTCTCATGTTATTAAAAAGGCAACTTAATTATATTAAGGACCTTAAAGCAAGTGGAATGAAAACTTCACACTCTCATAGGATCAAAGTGCTTCAAAGTAAGGTTCTGAAATGACTTGAAAGAAGCCCCTATTTATTTGTGAATACAATATTCTGGTTGGAATCTCAAAGTTACTAAATCCTACACATTTACTGTCAAGAAGAGATCATTTATTTACTTGCAGAACAAGAGAAAAATGTTGCATTCCTACCTGGAAACTATTTCCAAAGAATAAAGCACATACCTATTTATATACCAAATAAGAATTTTTCTCAAGTTAAAAGCTTCTTGATCAAGTGATAAGTCTAAACATTACATTGGATTATAGAGCAGATTTCACAAGTAATGAAAAAGCAATAATCTTCTAAAACAAACAAACAAAAAGAATCCTTCCCAAAAGGAATAAACTAGTAAGCCTAAATCATTACTATTCATCTTAGAAAATAAGTCCAATATTCAAAACAACAGAGATCAATCCAGTCTTAGCTACTCACGAGTCATTGCCGCCTCTCATTTGTCATGGGTTTAGGCTACAGAATCCTTCCTTAAACCCAGAAGCTTTGAATACATCTAACAGGCACTCACCCTTAAATACAGCCAGCCAAAAGTCACATGGAAGAGGAGCACCAATCAGTCAGCTCTGGATATTTGTTAATTGCATATGAAATTGAAGAGAACCTCACTTTTGCATTTTCTTGTTTTCCACGACCCTCTTTGGATAAAGCTTATTAACAGTTGGTCACTTCTCTTCCTGAATAAATAGTTAATGCAAAGAACAATGCCTCTCATTACTTAGGAGCCAAATGGATGCTTTATTGCTTCAAAATGTTTTTCTAGGACAGCTCATGAGATGCAGCAGAGAGGTACCATTAAATCATAATACACTCCTGGCTCTAATGACTGGCACAGCATTTCAGAGTCTCCAAGTTTCACTGGACTCACTGATGTTTTCTGAATAAATATTGTCTCTAGCATTTATTGTATTTATTTTTTGCTACCTTATATGATGTAACTAAGGATTTCCTCTCCTTCCCTTATATGAGATAAAGTATCATGAGACAAGCATTATTCAGACAAATAAACCAGGCTTGCTATTTTGTTCTTTAACTTTGTTCTTTGCTGAATTCTAAGTAAAGCATGATGACTAATGGTTTTAACTGTCTTTAGTGCCTTTACATTAAATGTCTTGTAAAGTCATTGTGAATTCAAGAAAAAGGGGAGAAAGAAGGATAAAGAATAGCTTCTAATTTTTCTTTGTGTATTTGGAATTACACAAATGCCTCAATTCTAAATGATTTCAGCAAAATAAACCATGTGTACTTATATACTACTAAAGTAAAATGTATACATTTGCAATTTCTCCTTTTCAATAAAAACTTGTTTTAAAGTGAACAGTAATGAGCAAGGAAAGATCATAACACACTTAATACAGTTACGTTTTCCAGAGGCAAAAAAAACTGGAAAATTATTTTGATTTATAGGCCTTGTGATTAAGAAATCTACTGATTAGATTTGTCCACGGACAGCAACTGCTAAAAGAGCATTAATTGTAACACACCCCCAGATGCTACCGTGGGGCTGGAGCCCAAAAGCACTCACACCTGCCCCAGGACCTGCTGGCCCATGTGCTCCCCCTCCCACAATGGGTTTGAACTCGGCCCAGCGAAACAAGCCACCCCTCCCACCCCTGTCACAGGTCCCGCGGAGGAGTCCAGGGAACTGTCCCCTCTTAATGTCTTTAAGCCTGTATTTCAGAATCATGGTTCTAACTGTTACTTCACAGAAGTCTCTGGTTCACCAGAGCATCAAAAATAGAAGGTGATAGTGAAACCATCAAGAATAAAGAGGTCCCTGTGCAGCTGTGCCCTTCTGCCCTGCCTTCCATGGGAAAATGACATGACAAAGGACTTGGCCTTGAGGAATCACCAAGAAAGGCTTCATGTGTTACTTGTTGGGGTATCTTATTATGTGATTTATATATATATATAATATATATATGTTTGTGTGTGTATGTGTGTGTATACATGTGTATGTATATATATGTGTGTGTATGTATATATATATATACACATATATAATCATATGTTCAATAATAAACCCCCATTTCTTTTGAAGACTATTGGTCAAAGCTAGAATTCAATTTCACCACCATTTCTTTTGAAGACTATTGGACAAAGCTAGAATTTAATTTCTTAGAATTCAAACAAATTATAGTTATTAATGTTTAGTCAATCCACATTGTACTAGTTTCCTATTGCCATTGTAACAAATTATCACAATTTTAGTGGCTTAAAACAACACAAATGTACTCTCTTAAAGTTGTAGATTTCAGAAGTTTAAAATCAAGATGTTGAACAAAATGACAACAACAAATAGCCTCATTAAAAAGTGGGCAAAGGACAGGAACAGACATTTTTCAAAAGACATACAAACGGCCAAGAAACATACAAAAAAAATGCTCAACATCACTCATCATGAGAAATGCAAACTAAAACCACAATGAGACACCATCTTAGAGCAGTCATTAAAAAGTCAAAAAACAACAGGTATTAGCAAGAATGTGGAGCAAAGGGAATGCTTGTACACTGTTGGTGTGAATGTAAATTAGTACAACATCTATGGAAAACAGTATAGAGATTTCTCAAAGAACTAAAAATTGTACTACCATTTGACACAGCAATCTCACCACTGGGTATCTACCTACAGGAAAAGAAATCATTATATTAAAAAGATACCTGCACTTATATGTTTATTACAACACTATTAACAATAGCAAAGATATGGAATCAACCTAAGTATCCAGTATCCATCAACAGATGATTGCATAAAGAAAATGTGATATATATATATTTTATTCTTTTTTATGACTGAGTAGTTTTCCATGGGGTGTGTGTGTGTGTGTGTGTGTGTGTGTGTGTGTGTATACATATAAGTGAAACTACATATATACACGTGTATATATATATATACACGTGTATATATATACATGTGTATACACACACACACACACACACACACACACCATGGAATACTACTCAGTCACAAAAAAGAATAAAATCATGTCTTCTGCAGAATAATGGATGGAACTAGAAGCCATTAATCTTCAGCGAAATAACTCAGAAGCAGAAGTACCACATGTTCTCACTTATACGTGGGAGTTAAATAATGTGTACACATGGACATAGTGTGGAATAATGGACACTGGAGACTCTAAAGGGTGGAAGGGAGGTGACTGATGATAAATTACTTAATTTGCACAATGTGCACTATTCAGGTGATGGTTACACTAAAAATCCAGACTTCACCACTATGCAATATATCCATGTAATAAAGCTGCTCCTGTACCCTCTAAATCTATTTTTAAAAATGAATAAAATAAAATAAAGATGTTGGGAGGGCTCCATTCCTTCCAGAGACTCTCGACTCTAGAGGAGAATCCATGTCTTTGCCCTTCTCAGCTTCCAGGGTCTGCCTACCTTCCTCCGCTTGCAGCCCCTTCCTTGCATCTCTCCAACCTCTTGCCTTCATAGTCACACCTTCTCTGACTCTCTGATTCCTCTTGCTTCCCTCTTATTGCACTGGGCCCACCTAGATAATCCAGGATCATCTCATATGAAGATCACATGATCACAATTACAAAGTTTCTTTTGCCAGGTAACGTGCCACTCATTCTGTAAGTTCCAGGGATTAGGATGTGAACATCTTTGGGGGTCCATTATTCAGCCTACCACACCCATAAAAAAAATAATTACAAATTTTGATATTGTAATAAACTGGTAAATCAATAATACCTGAAATCTATTCTCTTATATTCGTAATTTCAATAATATCAATTAATATCTATGGTTACAAACAACCAAAAGAACTAATAATTAAGCTCATTAAACACAGGACACTTAATGGGGCTCTGATTTTGATAAATAAACAGAAGGATTACTTCCGCAGCATCTTACATTTTCAAAGTGCTTTGCTATCAATATGATCATATTCACCATCTCATTTAATCTTCCATGTAACTGGTGTATATAAGAGGTAAAAAGAAATGTAACTTTTTTAAAATTGCAAACTTGGTAAGTCACGCAGGCAGAAGATGTAGTCAGGTCTTTCAGCTTTAAATCACAACCTCTTTCTCCTGTTATACTAGACAAATAGTGCCTATTTCTCAGGCTCCTCCACGTAGTCCATGGAACCCTGTCTAGGGCACAATCCATTTTGCCATATTTTGTTATATGGAACTCTAAGATTTCAAAGGTCATAAAAAACAACTGTTCAACAGAAATAAAAAGGTTAAGATATGGAAAGAAAGTTTCAGATTACCAATAACAAAATTATTTTTCCTATCATAATTTTTAAAATAATTAAGCATAATTTCATTTCACTATATAATACATAGCTATGTCTTATTACTAAAATTGGTTTTAAAAATCTAAAAAGTACTTAGTACTCTAAGAACAGACTAAAGTCAATTAATACTACACTGCCAATATAAAGCAAGCATATTTTACAAGGTAAATAAAAGAACTCAAAACTGACACGCAAGCCACACAAATCTGCAGCATAATTCTATGTAGTTTGCCTAGTGTCTCCAAGTTTGTGAGCTCCTTGTGAGTTCAATAAACAAGTGTTTGAAAAATAAGAGTTTTCTGGTTTTCCCTTATAAGTTTATCTAAGGTCTCCCCTTTTATTCTCCATCACGACATGCTATTCTTATCTTTATAGCACTTTTCTCCACTTACATATTAACATTTGATTTGCTGCACCCACTTCATGTCTGTTTTGTGACTTTATTCTAAAAGACAATCCAACAACAGAGTATGTTAATGTTTTCAGTGATGGGCAAAGGTGAAGGGTTAGATAAGCTATAAGGTTGTGAGCAAAGTGCAGAAGGTCACCTATTGTGATAGTTTAAAACTTACACTCTCCATTTGAATCCATCCGTTCATTCATTAGAAAATACAAAGTATTCCTATTTTCTGCCAAACAATGTTGCAGCCTCCAGGAAACAGAAATGAAATACCCAGTCCTTTCACTCAGAGAGCTCACAGTCCAATGGGGAAACACAGATAAGTGAAACTAATTTCAGTGGAGTAGGTTCCTGTCATCTTCTAAACCACTTGGCATGGCTTACAAGACCCTTCGTGATCTGAACTGTATTTATGCTTTCAACATCTGGGGTGCAATGAGAACACAGTGAAGGGGAAACTAACCAAGACTAGAGGATCTGAGAATGCTTTGTCGGGGAAGAAGATACTCAAATAAGAAGGGAGGAAGAGGTCAGGAGCGATGCCTCATGTCTGTAATCCCATCAATTTAGGAGGCCAACGTGGGAAGACTACTTGAGGCCAGAAGTTTGAGACCAGCCTGGGCAATATCACAAGGCCCCATCTCTACAAAAACTCAAAAATTAGCCTAGCATGGTGGCATATGCCTGGGAAAGCCGGAGCAGGAGGATCACCTGAGCCCAGGAGATTGAGGCTACAGTGAGCTATGATCACGCCACTGCATTCCAGCCCAGCCAAGAGTGAGACTTGTCTCAAAAAAAAAAAAAAAAAAAAAGAAGGGGCGGGCGGGGTTGTGGGTGGGAAGGCCAAGTAAGGTTTCCTGTGTATGTCGGCGGGGAAGAAGCCACAAGGAGGGAGAAGGAGAAGGCATGGATACTGTAAGCCAAGGGACACATGAGCACATTGAAGAAGAGAGATCAGGCAGGGGCTGGGCATTATAAACAGCGTGATGTGACAACCATGGGCTGCAAATGGAAAATAAAAGCAGAGGGGCAATTATGAGGAACCTTTTAACCACACCAAAGAGTACAGATTTGATCCTAAAAGTGACAGAGCACGGTTACTAAAGGGGTTTAAGCCAGGAAGAGACACAAACCAGATACTCATTTTAGGAAGATAACTGGCAGGGCAGCAGTGTAGATGGTCCACTTGGTAGTGGAAAGCCGTGGTGGGAGACTCTTATTAAATGGCAGGAAAGGCATGGCAGGGCATGAGTTAGGGGTGCAGTGAGGCTGCTGTGCATAGGAGCACTCCATGAAGATTTCAGCAGCTGACAGAGATAAAAAAGGATTCCATAGATTTTTAGGAGGTAGAATTCATGGGACTTGCTAACTCATTGTGAGGAGTGACCGTGAGGGAGGGTTTAGATGACTCCATTATTCATGTTTGGAGTTGAAATCATTTCACAAGTCCAAAATACTAAGATTTACCATTTATGGAGTAATTATAACAGGCCAGGTATATCATCTCATTTCATCCACATAATTCAAAGAGTGGCAAGCAGTCCTTTGCTGGGAGGACCCTAAGGCTTAGAAAGGTTTGCAACTTGTCCAAGGTCACGATGTGTAGGTAAGATTTGAAACTATATCTGCCTTCCTCCCTAGCCATCTACGAGAGAATGAAGGATTGGCAAAGAATTTACTGACATTATCCTGAAAGGACAGGCAGAAAAGACTGCACGTGCTGCTCACTTTTTCTCCCCTTAAGAACAATATTGAGGGCTGCTGCACAGTTGCATCTCAGCCTTATACCTTACTATGCATTTTTAAATGGTGAGCAAGAAAGGAAATGTGAAAGTGCTGGCTAGTAATAATAATAGTAATAATGACTTCATTCACTCACATAGGCAAGTCTATGTAAGCCAGGCACCTTCCGAGAACAAAATATTTACAAGATATATATTAACACAGGGCATTGTTTTGGAACTATTACAACGCACATGGGAAATTGAGAAGTTTTTTCAGTATTAATTGTAATTACAGGGATCACAGTGACTTCAGAAATTATTTATGTAGGCTTTCACACACACTCCCACTGTAAATTAGCAGTATTAGTTAATGGACACATTAAATGTTTTACCATTCATTTAATATTTTCCGACTGTACCAGAGATTGGAACAATCCATTAGTCTCATTCCCTTGGCACAAGCTCTTTTAGTTTATAACGGTAAATGGCTTTGTACAAGACACATATGTAATGGGAAATTTCAAAACAAAATAATTATCTTGTTTTGTATTGGTCACCACAAAACTAAAATATTTTTAAAACCTAAATTTTCCATTACACCATAATCATACTTAAGGAATGGAAAAGATATTTGAGTATGCTAAAAACTTCAAAAGAACTATGAAAATGATAGCAAAAAAGTACTTTAAGCCATTTTAATAGTGTTTAAAGCTGTTCTCTGAATTGACTGCAAGACATCACCAGGGTATCTCACATCACTTCAAATTCACCATGTCTGGACCTGAAGTCTTCTTTTCACAACCCCCACTACCAACCTGCTTTTATTCCCATTTTCAACTCTTAATTAAAGGCATCATTTATATACCAATCCTCCCCAAATCAGTAACTCCACATTCACTTCCTCCTCTCCTTCTCCCCTCCCTTCGGCCACACAGCTCTCCAGTCCTTGTGCACAAAGTCTCTCATCTAGCCCTTCCTTCCTTCCCAGTGCAGACAAGCTAATCTATGTCCTTATCCTGGTTTCCCTGAACATCCTGACAGTGTCTAAGGTGGTCTTCCTGCTGAATCCATCACTCCTATCAAATGCATTCCAGAAGGTGGGTCCCATGTAGCATTTTTTAAAATTCTGAATAGGCAATAAACATTTATGATACAAAATTCAAAATGTATTTAGAATGAAAAGCACATATCCCTCCTAAGCCTGCCCCCAGCTACTGACTTCCTTTACTGAAGGCAACTATTTATCTTCTTGTATTTCTCTCCAGGGATATTCTATCCATATACAACAACTATATGCTCTGTTGAGGTTTAAATGCATGCATGTGTGCACACACACAAACACACACAGAGTAACATCTTACAATTCACACTGTTTCCCATCTGGCTTTTCCTACTGAATAAAACTTGAAGTTTGGTATGTATTGTTACAGACAGAACTCATTCATCTTTTTAATGGCTGCATAACATTCCATTGCATGATATATTTCACAATCTACTCCAACGGGTCTCTAACTTGTGCATTTGGGTTGTTTCCAATCTTTTGCTATTACAATGTGCAATCATATCCTTGTATACATGTCTTTGTACACATAAATGGCACACTTCAGTACGCCTGCTGATTCCAGATAATGATAGTAGTGAAGGCACTGATGAATCTAAAGACTTGAAAACCTTTCTTTACACTCTGTCCTATAAAGTGTGTGTCCTGATATTGTGTTAAACTTCAGGTAAACGCCTTTTAGAAGTTTATCTACAGTCATTTTGAGGATAGTCACGTCTGTCCTTGCTGGTGGACAAGATCCTACATTTTCCTAAAAAGGTCCATGCAATCTAAAGTACATTCATATGAATACTTTACCTGTACAAAAAAAAAAAAAAAAAAGCCTCCCCAGAATCTGAACTCTTACAAAGGCTCCAAAGGGAAAAGGATTAACTGCTTTGTACTGACAGCTTTTCTCACATTATGGTTCTAACAAATGGGGCAGCTCTAATAATATTGTTGAGTAATTGGGAAAAATTAGTTATTATTAGCACCCTTTACTGGCGGAATTTTGAAAAATAAAATGACCAAAATTTGTGCAGAAACCAGACCACAAAGGCCAAACACTCAGCCTACTGCTCTTACAAACATGAGATCTATAACACAGAATGCTGTGACTCTTGCCACTTGAAATATTAGGCCTATGTGGCTGCTAGTTACTCCCCCAGTAGCTAACTACTGTCAGACATTTCATACTAAATAGTGTTATGCTAGATTATTACAAAGCATTAATGAAGTATGTCAAAGCATCCCCTACCAACAAGAAACCCTACCAACTGATTCCAAAAAACTACATCACTAGGCATTGCCTGGTGTTTGGATCAGTGGAAGACATCGCTGATGTCTTGGCCTTACCAAGTCCTGATGTCAAGGGCCAGGGCTGTTGTGTAGCCACACCTTCTAAGATGTCAGCTCTCTTTAATAGTTTCTTACTACTAATCTGTTTATTTCCAAGATACAAAGACTAACTTCTGCCTTGAGTTCCATCTCAGTGGGAGCAGCTTACCAGAAGGTTCCGAGAGCATCCTGACAGCTGGCCAACCCTCCACCTCAACCCTGAGTTCCAGGATTGTCCCAAAGACCTTAGATGTGCTACCAGCAAGTCTCAACCTGTGGCAACCGACAAAATAAACAACTAAAAAATAAAATCTCCAACTAGATAACACTCAACCTATCTGTTGTCAACAGGAAGATCTTGCTTCTGACTTCCCTTATCTGTTGCTGACTAGATTGTCATTTGTCTCTCTTAAGTACAAACCTACTTTTGCCTTCATAAATTGAGATTTGGGCTCAGCGAAGCTTAAACTGGATCCAGAGACCACAAAAATGTGTAAGGCAGAAACCAGTAAATAGAAAATCTCTTTTTGCCAGAAACTAATTTCATGATTTTCTTGTTGGAAATTAAATCCTTACGTAAGAATAAAATGCAAAGGGGAATCAAAATTGCTAATCCTCTCTCATCCATTAAAGACAATCAACCTAGTGACCGCAAGAATCAATGCCATGGCACAAGCACTTTAATCACTGCTAGCTGCAACACTGTTCTAGGTGAGCTTTCTTCTCACTTGAAGGTAATAAGGATTCACTAGGAATGGCCAGGCTAGACTAAATCCTATTTAAAAGGGTGGGCTTTTACTTGGTTACTGTGATTTTACTGTCTAATGGAACCAAAATCTGTGAGGTATAACAATGTGTTCATATTTTTAAAGCATTTCATACAGGATGTAAAGCCCAATTCTGGAGTTGTCAATAAGACCACGTGTGATGGACATGGAACCCCTTTCTTTTCTTTCTTTCTTTTTTTTTTTTTTGAGACACAGTCTCACTCTACCACCCAAGCAAGAGTGCAGTGGCACGATCTCAGCTCAATCTCTGCCTCCAGGGTTCAAGCAATTCTCCTGTCTCTGCCTCCTGAGTAGCTGGAATTACAGGCACGCGCCACCATGCCCTGCCCATTTTTGTATTTTTAGTAGAGAAGGGGTTTCACCATGTTGGCCAGGCTGGTCTCTAACTCCAGGCCTCAGGTGATCCACCCACCTCGGCCTCCCAACATGCTAGGATTACAGGCGTGAGCCACCGGGTCTGGCCCACTGAACCCCTTACCTTCACCCTAAGATTTTCGTGCACATCACTGGGGGCCTCTTAGGGTGATTCAGGACTTCACCAGGCTTGGGTTGTTCACGAGGCATAGGGTTGCAAACATCTCTGGGATTTTCCAGAGAGTTTGAGCACCATGCCTCCCTACTATACCTTATTTCTTAACAGGTATAGTTAAGAAACTGTAGTTAACACCAAAGATTCTGGCTTTCAAGGAGGTTATGGAACATAAAAAATTTCAGCAAACAGAACTCCATCATGCTAGCCAGGATAGAACTGTCAAGATATTAAAACTCTTCAGAGCTCTGCTGTTTCAATGAGATGGTTACTGTGTATCAGACTCTCTTTTGCTAATATCCAGATATTTATAGTGGGAATTAAAATAATTTTTTTTAGTTATTTCTTGCCTTCTGCTAGCTTTTGAATGTGTTTGCTCTTGCTTCTCTAGTTCTTTTAATTGTGATGTTAGAAATAACTAAGATCAGAGCAGAACTAAAGGAAATAGAGACACAAAAAACCCTTCAAAAAATCAATGAATCCAGAAGCTGGTTTTTTTAAAAGATCAACAAAATTGATAGACCACTAGCAAGACTAATAAAGAAAAAAAGAGAGAAGAATCAAATAGATACAATAAAAAATGATAAAGGGGATATCACCACTGATCCCACAGAAATACAAACTACCATCAGAGAATACTATAAACACCTCTACGCAAATAAACTAGAAAATCTAGAAGAAATGGATAAATTCCTCGACACATACACCCTCCCAAGACGAAACCAGGAAGAAGTTGAATCTCTGAATAGACCAATAACAGGCTCTGAAATTGAGGCAATAATTAATAGCTTACCAACCAAAAAAAGTCCAGGACCAGACGGATTCACAGCTGAATTCTACCAGAGGTACAAGGAGGAGCTGGTACTATTCCTTCTGAAACCATTCCAATCAATAGAAAAAGAAGGAATCCTCCCTAACTCATTTTATGAGGGCAGCATCATCCTGATACTAAAGCCTGGCAGAGACACGACAAAAAAAAGAGAATTTTAGACCAATATCCCTGATGAACATCAATGCAAAAATCCCCAATAAAATACTGGCAAACCGAATCCAGCAGCACATCAAAAAGCTTATCCACCATGATCAAGTGGGCTTCATCCCTGGGATGCAAGGCTGGTTCAACATACGCAAATCAATAAACATAATCCAGCATATAAACAGAACCGACAACAAAAACCATATGATTATCTCAACAGATGCAGAAAAGGCCTTTGACAAAATTCAACAACCCTTCATGCTAAAAACTCTCAAAAAAATTAGGTATTGATGGGATGTATCTCAAAGTAATAAGAGCTATTTATGACAAACCCACAGCCAATATCATACTGAATGGGCAAAAACTGGAAGCATTCCCTTTGAAAACTGGCACAAGACAGGGATGCCCTCTCTCACCACTCCTATTCAACACAGTGTTGGAAGTTCTGGCCAGGGCAATTAGGCAGGAGAAGGAAATAAACGGTATTCAGTTAGGAAAACAGGAAGTCAAATTGTCCCTTTTTGTAGATGACATGATTGCATATCTAGAAAACCCCATCGTCTCAGCCCAAAATCTCCTTAAGGTGATAGGCAACTTCAGCAAAGTCTCAGGATACAAAATCAATGTGCAAAAATCACAAGCATTCTTATACACCAATAACAGACAAACAGAGAGCCAAATCATGAGTGAACTCCCATTCACAATTGCTTCAAAAAGAATAAAATACCTAGGAATCCAACTTACAAGGGACATGAAGGACCTCTTCAAGGAGAACTACAAACCACTGCTCAATGAAATAAAAGAGGATACAAACAAATGGAAGAACATTCCATGCTCATGGGTAGGAAGAATCAATATCATGAAAATGGCCATACTGCCCAAGGTAATTTATAGATTCAATGCCATCCCCATCAAGCTACCAATGACTTTCTTCACAGAATTGGAAAAAACGACTTTAAAGTTCATATGGAACCAAAAAAGAGCCCGCATTGCCAAGTCAATCCCAAGCCAAAAGAACAAAGCTGGAGGCATCACGCTACCTGACTTCAAACTATACTACAAGGCTACAGTAACCAAAACAGCATGGTACTGGTACCAAAACAGACATATAGACCAATGAAACAGAATAGAGCCCTCAGAAATAATGCCACATATCTACAACCATTCGATCTTTGACAAACCTGACTAAAACAAGAAATGGGGAAACGATTCCCTATTTAATAAATGGTGCTGGGAAAACTGGCTAGCCATATGTAGAAAGCTGAAACTGGATCCCTTCCTTACACCTTATACAAAAATTAATTCAAGATGGATTAAAGACTTAAATGTTAGACCTAAAACCATAAAAACCCTAGAAGAAAACCTAGGCAATACCATTCAGGACATAGGCATGGGCAAGGACTTCATGTCTAAAACACCAAAAGCAATGGCAACAAAAGCCAAAATTGACAAATGGGATCTAATTAAACTAAAGAGCTTCTGCACAGCAAAAGAAACTACCATCAGAGTGAACAGGCAACCTACAGAATGGGAGAAAATTTTTGCAATCTACTCATCTGACAAAGGGTATCCAGAATCTACAATGAACTCCAACAAACTTACAAGAAAAAAACAAACACCCCATCAAAAAGTAGGTGAAGGATATGAACAGACACTTCTCAAAAGAAGACATTTATACAGCCAAAAGACACATGAAAAAATGCTCATCAATACTGGCCATCAGAGAAATGCAAATCAAAACCACAATGAGATACCATCTCACACCAGTTAGAATGGAGATCATTAAAAGGCAGGAAACAACAGGTGCTGGAGAGGATGTGGAGATATAGGAACACTTTTACACTGTTGGTGGGACTGTAAACTAGTTCAACCGTTGTGGAAGTCAGTGTGGTGATTCCTCAGGAATCTAGAACTAGAAATGCCATTTGACCCAGCCATCCCATTACTGGGTATATACCCAAAGGACTATAAATCATGCTGCTATACAGACACACGCACATGTATGTTTGCTGCAGCACTATTCACAATAGCAGACTTGAAACCAACCCAAATGCCCAACAATGATAGACTGGATTAAGAAAATGTGGCACATATACACCATGGAATACTATGCAGCCATAAAAAATGATGAGTTCATGTCCTTTGTAGGGACATGGATGAAGCTGGAAACCATGATTCTCAGCAAACTATCTCAGGGACAAAAAACCAAACACTGCATGTTCTCACTCATAGGTGGGAATTGAAGAATGAGAACACATGGACACAGGAAGGGGAACATCACGCACTGGGGCCTGTTGTGGGGTTGGTGGGAGGGGGGAGGGATAGCATTAGGAGGGTTCAGCACACCAACATGGCACATGTATACATATGTAACTAATCTGCACGTTGTGCACATGTACCCTAAAACTTAAAGTATAATAAAAATAAAAATAAAAAAATAAAAAATAAATAAAAATATAAAATTTTTTTACTGCCAGTAGCTTATTTTCCCGTATTAGGCCCCTATTCCACATACTTACATGAGACAAGCCATTGTCTTTTACAGAGTTTGAGGCTTTAGTCTGCACCACAAAAAGGGACCAGAAGTGAGAGTCAATCTAAATGAGTACAGGACTAAAGAGCCTTCAACAAAACACTTCAGCCACATCAAGACCACAGTGACGTCTAGGTAAATTCCATTGCCCTTCTTCAAAAAGTACATCAGTATATCAGTCAGGTGGGCAAAAGAAGAATAAACCCTTCATAGCACTCTGCATAGCTTAGAAGCCTCTGTATAACAGAGTGGTTGGTGGAACTTGGGCTGCTGGTCCAAAACTTGACCCATCCTTGCCTGTTTTCATGCAGTAACTCTCAGAAGAGACAGGTTTTAGAAGTTTACTTCCACACAGCTACAGGCTGTGTCTCCAGGATCATGGTGACAATGACAGTATCAGCTCAGGACCATCTATTTGGAGTCTGTAAAAGGCCTCGTATAGGAACACATGAGTGAACTGCAGATTTATAACCAGCCCCAAGACCAGGAGGCAGCACAGCACGTGGCCATGCACTGGGAGCTACAACATGGCACACACACTGGGAAGGTCAGTCCTCCATGATACAAGGTTATAACTGGCCAAGCTTTTCATGTGACAGCAGTCTGCCACTGGCAATCCACAAGGTGCCAAAGGCTAAAGGCCACCTAGGAAATCAGCTTCATAAAACATGGATATTCAGACTCAGGGATAAAAAGTTCTACACAGTGGCCAGGGTTTGGCCTCAGAAATACTGGGAGGGGGGCATGTTTGTGGAGAAGAGCAGATGAACTAGTCTCACAGAAGTTTGTTTATGGAATCCTGAATGGTCTGGGCCTCAAGTTCTAAGAAGATTGTAATTCCGTCCCCTCCTTCCTATAACCTGGGCCCCTATGATGGCACAGTTTCCAGTCCCAGTTGGGAGGCGAGTTCCTCGTTTTTGGTATCCAAATAATCCTATTCACAAGGCCACATACTTTAAAGACAGGGACCTATCCCTGAAGGCAGGCAGCATAGCCTTTAAATTTGTTTAAATTCAAGCAAAAACTTTTTAAAAATTTGGTACTCAGTGGCCAATTTTTTTTATTTAGCACTGTATATCCAAAATCTAGCACAAATGCCTGCTATATATAATGAACTCTTCGATAAATATTTGTTAAATAAATGAATGAATGAATTCTAAGGGCAGTCCTGGAAGTGGACAGATAGATGGGGAGTGGGCTGCTGTGCAACAGACTAGGACAGAAAAAGTACTAGAGGCAGCAGGTTGAAGGTTACTGAGCAGGAGCACTATGTTTTCCGAGTCATGGATCTTCAGTAAGGGCAAGGGGAACATGGTAACACCAGGCACAGCAAATGATCATGACACCCTGACTGAAAGTCCGACACAGCTCTTTGGATGACAAGTGCCCTCTCCCAACCTATTGATAGTGTCTATTAACCACCTCGGACCCTTTGATGAAACTGATCTATGTCCTGGGACTCCCCTGGTCTGGTTTTGCAAGCAAGTCCTAGGTTCCCAGAGCTCCAGAGTTGGCAGAAGAACCGAGGACATGCTCACTGGGTCTTGCCTTACTTTAGAAAGCCCATTTGAAAGATTTCTGGAAGGCTACTAGTGAAGGTGGAGACACCGGTTCTGTTCTTCTTCCACACCTTATCTTCACCCCAAGATTTTCGTCTAGCTACAAAAGGACCAATGGTTTCTTACGCCCTAAGACTTTGGTGTGAGGAAGCCAATAATAACCTTAAGAGCTATTTCTCTGGGTTAGTCTTGGAAAAGATGCTATATCACTAAATAAAAAGATAAATATGAAACACCCACAGAAACAAAGATAAGATATTTCATTTCTAAAAGCCCCTAATTTCTAAGATAGAAAAAGGAATATGAATTTTAAACTTAACATAAATTATCAGCTTTCAGAGTATAAAGCCATCTAAATTGTACTTAAATCAGTTTTAAAAGGCAAAAAACACAACCACTTAAATTGCATTAATATGGCATCATTTTAGAGTGCTATAAAATATTTTAACTAATATAAATGTTAAAATATGAGGTTTGCTGCTATCAGTCATCTAAAAATTATGTAAGCAAAGGTGGGACCACTGCAATGATTAATGAAAGGCAAGAATCATGTTTGTAAACATGGTATAAAATAGTCAAGTCATTACATAAATATTTCAATGAGGGTGCAAGAATTTATGGGTATAATATATATAAACCAATATCATAGGGAGGGATTAGAAAACTGTTCTCTAAGCCAAAACATGACCTAATACTTTTTGTCCAAAAAAACCCACTACAGTTTACAAATGTCACTAATTCATTCATCCAACAAGGATATATCCCTTCATTTATTCAACAAATATTTATTAGCTTTCCCTCTGTGCCAGGCACTGTGTTAGCCTTGAGGATTCAGTGGTAAAGAAGACACAGTCTTTGCATCTGCAAGGAAATTTCAGTTTCCACCATCTCTCCTCACCCCCTCTCACATGCACACACTGTGCAAAGAACTCCCCAACTGCATTCTAGAAAGATGGTCATTTAGCTCTTGCTGTGTGGTATAATGGGCCTCCATATGTAAAGTGTCTAGCATAGTGCCCAGCAGTCTCTAAATCCACTCTTCTTTGCCTATTCCCAACAAACATCAAGAGCTGAGAGCCCTGAATTCCATATTAGCTGTGCCCTGCTATTAGCCATCTAACCTTGAGAAATTCATTTCAGCACCTAAAGCTGAGTCTGCTCTGAGAACTCTCTTCTTGAAGGCCCCTTTCAGCTCACAGGGAATGAGATGACTAAAGATTTCTAATAATGGGAAGAGCTATTACCTCACAAGGGGCCTGTTCTATCAGATGACTCAAGTTAGAAAGTTCTCTGTTATACTGAGCTTGAATTATTCCTCCACGAATTCAACCACAGGTCCTGCGCACTGCAGTAACACAAAACCTGTCTACAGCCTCTCCTATATGATAACGCCTCAAATATTAAAAATACATTTGTCACATTTTTCCAAATTTTTAAAATAAAGAGTGCCCTGAAATGCCAATCAATCCCAGGATTCCCAGACCTTTTTTATAATAATGGTTACCATCCTCTGTGAGCTCTTTAGTCAACATTTCTCTTTAAAGTACAGTGCCAAAATACAATGAAATATTCTAAATTTGTAGTCTGACCAGCAAGTGCTTGCTATTCATCTGGTGATGCAGCATAAGACTCTGCTTGACTTGTAGAAAAAACAACTGAACATGTAATAACCAGTTAGAGGAATACTACCTAAACCACATTTATTTAAAACTCCACAATAAAGACGCAGCATAGCAAAGTCATGAAGATAGAAATTGAGGCCAGATGATGTGGACAGGTTCAGATTCTAGTCATTATATTATTAGATGTTAGCCTCTCTGTTTCAGATTCTTCATCTATCAAATGGGAATCACAATAATTCTTGCACTCTAGGATTCATATAAAGAATTGAATGAGTTATCAGACATAAAGCATTCAGAACAGAAATATAACAGTTACAACAAATATCAAATAAGGTAGGCAACTTACTTGTCAGTGATTATTCAGGTGATAATCTAAATACCTTTTGTGTGTGTGCATTCACAAGTGATATGAAAAGAAAGTAGCTTTTAGTTATTGCCTTTGTAAGTAAATATTGATAGATTAATGGAGAAAAATAAACTGACAGCTTTTTAAGTTCAAAGGATGTGATCTCCCTCTAAGAGAGAGATGAAGTAAACTGTATTAACTGAGAGGAAGCTAAGGGAAAAGCAGAATAAATAGAAAGGAAACATTAAAGGAATTCTTAAGAACATTTTGTTCTGTACCACTAAAACCCACTCTGCTCATTTCAATTATATTATGAATGCATAATTTCTGATATTTGATGTGCCATAAGAGTATGTTCTCATGTTTATTGGTGTCTTTTTATGTAGACCTTTTAAACCCTCGTAGAAAGAATAATAATCTAATGCTAATAAACTTTACTCACATCTGCTGTGGAAAGGGACCCCTGAACTAAAATCCCTTTTTCTTCCAGTGATCATTTAGTTCTAAATATAAGTGTTACCAGAGGGTGCCTGTGTTTCATCAACCGAGTAAGCCCATGTGGGTGTGCCGTACCCATGAAATTTCACACACACCTACAGACTGCCCCCAGAAAATGTTATGGGTGGTTAAATAAATGAATTAAATTACCTATGTATTTCTTTCTACTTCAAACAAACAAATAAAAAACACATGCTACTTTCTCTAGCAAACTTCCATAAGAAGTTTTAACAATACCAGTACAAAAATTTCTTTAAAATTGTGACTCATTTAAGAGTTAGCCTAATCTTCATTAAAATTTAAAGAAAACAGTCATTTGAACAGCATGCTTTGAAAGGTTAACATATGCCATGTGATTGTGATGACTTTCATATCATTAAATAGCTCTTCTTTCGCAAATAACATTTACCTAACATGGTCAGATTATAATTTCATTTATTATTCCCAGTCATAGTTATTAATATGAGATAAAAGTGGAAATAAATCTTTGCTATATCTCTGAAAGATAAGCAGCATGGAATGTTTTCTCAAGATAAAGTTCATCCACATTCTTCTTCCAAATTCCCAAACTTTCAGGAATCGGCAACATACTGCTACTTGGAAATAGGGAGATGATAAACTCGGGAGAATAACTGCCACTTTTATTAAACTGCAGGTATTGTGGTGTATTATCACATTTAATTTAATCCTTATAATCCTATGAGGTAGGTACTCTTGTTATTCTCAATGACTGTTGAGGAAACTGGGATTTAGAAAGGTTAACCCATTTGTCCAAGGTCACATAACTGGATGTAGCCAAGTCAGGACCCAAACCCAGGCTGTTTGACTTTCATGGTCTAAGCTCCTATCCTCTACAAATTGGGTAAATAAAAACAAATCTGGGGATAGACATATCATGATTAGTGAGAAAAGAGAGCAGTGTTTGAGGAAGAAAGAGAACAGTAGAGGCAGAGACTACCCAGATAGAAAGGACTCTGTCTGATTGGAAAGAGCCTTAGATTAAACATCAGGAGGTCTGGGAGCCCTTTCCCAGGGTGGCATCAGTGTGACCAAAAGGAGATCAATTCTCTCTAGCCTCATCTGGGAGGAATACATTCACATACAGCATAGGGCTATGTTAAAGATAAAAATGAAACTTCCAGAACACCATGCAGATAGCAATCAAATTTTTAAAATGAATTTTTTTAAATGAACAACAAAAAAGAACATTTTATTGATTTAACAATCATAGAAAATGCCATGGTAGAACTTAAACTACAAATAAATTATTATTTTTTTTCTTTTTCTCTCTCTCTCTTTTTTTTTTTTTTTTTCTGAGACAGGGTCTTTCTCTGCCACCCAGACTGGAGTGCAGTGGTGCGATCTTGGCTTACTGCAACCTCCGCTCAAGAGATCCTCCCACCTCAGCCTCCTGAGTAGCTTTGACTACAGGCATGCACCACGATGCTCAGTTAATTTTTTCATTTTTTGTAGAGATGGGGTTTCGCCATTTTGCCCAGGCTGGTCTTAAACTCTTGGGCTCAAGTGATTCTCCCACCTCGGCCTCCCAAAGTGTTGGGATTACAGGCATGAGCCACCATGCCTGGCTTGAACTACAAATATATTAATAAACATTAACCTAAATCCTGTCAGAAATTGTCCTTTTCCATTCCCTGATTGCATCACTGCCACCTAAAATCACAAAAAAATACTTTCATTGTTAGTAAGTTTTATTATGGCAGAAGACACTTGTGTAATCATAAACTCAAACTATGGCTAAAATTAGCTTAATTTGAGTCAATACAAGTATATATATAAATTTGTCATATCTGTTTCTTTCTTTTTTTTAGAGACAGAGTCTTTTCCTGTTGCCCAGGCTGGAGTGCAGTGGCACGATCTCGGCTCACTGCAACCTCCGCTTCCCGGGTTCAAGCAATTCTCCTGCCTCAGCCTCCCAAATAGCTGGAACTACTGGCATGCACCAATACGTCCAGCTAATTTTTGTATATTTAGTAGACAAGGGGGGTTCGCCTAGCCTCAAGCGATCCACCTGCCTGGGCCTCCCAAAGTGCTGGGATTACAGGCATGAGCCACCACGCCCAGCAAATTTTTGTATTTAGTAGAGACAGGGTTTCACCATGTTGGCCAGGCTGGCTTCAAACTCCTGACCTCAAGTGACCCACCCACCTCAGCCTCCCAAAGTGCAGGGATTACAGACATGAGCCACCCTGCCCAACCCATATCTATTTATTTATATTGTAAGACCTGGAGCAGAAGAATCTAGCAATACTGTGTGGCCTATAAAACCTGAGATAAATGGGCTTTGTTTTTTTAAGCCACTAAGTTTGTGGTTGGTTGTTATACAGCAATAGAAAACTAATAGAATACCTGAGGCAATTTAGATAACTGAAAAAACAAAGTTATTAACTCCAGAGATGGGAGTGAGAGACTGCACAAGAAAGGAAGAGTAATCTTACTGTGTGTAGGTTTTAAATCATGTCCCAAATCCTTTGACACGACTGTCTTAATGTCTGTGGCCCCCCTTGAAGCCTGGCTGGCCTTAGTGACTCATTCATACCAATTGAATACCAACTGAATGTCGTGGAAATGACACTGAGGAACTTCCCAGGCTAGGTCAATCACTGCCCTGATCTCTAGAACCCATTTTACCAGAGAGTTCAGCACTGGGTTTTCAGGCAAAGCACAGGTTTTCCATTTTCCATTTACCGTTTATGTAGTTTCCACCCACTATTGTACTTTGTCAATATATCACCCTTAGAAACTTCAGCAAGAGGAGGGATGGCTGAAATGAAGTCGAATTTGGCCATTCCTGGATCCTCCAGCCATAATACACCAAACTGCACCATTAGCCTCTGACACAAACCAGCCACAATAACAGCATCAGTAGCAGTCACAATAATTGAGGAAGGTAAGATATTTAAATATTTAAAGAGAGGAAGGTTTGTCAATTACTGGTTGAAAACATGTCTCTTGCTCCATTTTATACCCTGGAAAGTTCTACCAAATTCATTTGCTCTAAAACCCTAAGCAATCTGCCTAACTTTTTAGTCCCTACATTTGTTTTTGTTTCTTTGTTCTTTGTTCTTTTATTTTGTTTTGTTTTGTTTTAGAGACAGGGAATCACTTTGTTGTCCAGGCTGGAGAGCAGTGGTGCAATCATAGCTCACTGCAACCTCAAACTCCAGAGCTCAAGCGATCCTCCCATCTCAGCCTCCAGAATAGCTGGCACTACAGGCACGCACCACTACACCTGGCTAATTTTTGGATTTTTTTTGTAGAGAAGGGGTGTCTCACTATGTTCCCCAGGCTGGTCTCAAAGTCCTGGCTTCATGAGATCCTACCACCAGCCTCCCAAAATGCTGGCATTATAGGCGTGAGCCACTGTGCCCAACCAGTCCCTATATTTCTAGTCCAGTAAACTAAAAAAATAGTATTTGGTTGAATGAAGAAACTTCTTCAAAATATTTCAACAAAAAGTCTTCTCATGCCTAAAATAAACATTCATCTTATTAGTTAAAATCAACAAATACTTATGGATAAGGCACCATAAGATTAAAAAGGTATGACAGAGTCCCTATCCTCAAGGAGGTTATAATAAAAATAAATAGTAAAAAAAAAAATTTTTTTTTTTTTTGAGACAAAGTCTTGCTCTGTCACCCAGGCTGGAGTGCAGTGGCGCAATCTCGACTCACTGCAACCTCCACCTGCTGGGTTCAAGCGATTCTCCTGCCTCAGCCACCCAAGTAGCTGGGACTACAGGCACGTGGCACCATGCCTGACTAATTTTTTGTATTTTTTTTAGTAAAGACGGGGTTTCACCGTGTTAGCCAGGATGGTCTCGATCTCCTGACCTCATGATCTGCCCACCTCAGCCTCCCAAAGTGCTGGGATTACAGACGTGAGCCATCACGCCCGGCCAAAAAAAAATTTTTTTTAGACAGGGTCTCACTCTGTTGCCCAGGCTGGGATCATGGCTCACTAGAGCCTCAAACTCCTCAAGCAATCAGCCTCCTGAGTGGCTGGGACTATAGGTGCATGCCACCATACCCAGCTAATTTTTGTATTTGTTGTAGAGATGGGAATCTATGTTCCCCAGGCTGGTCTCAAACTCCTGGCCTCAAGTAATCCTCCTGCTTCAGCCTCTCAAAGTGTTGGGATTACAGGTGTGAGCCACTGTGCCTGGTCAAAAATAAATACTTAACTAAGTATAAGGCAGCATATGCTAAATTCTGTAAGAAAGACATTACAGGAGAGATCACAAGCCCAGCTGAAGGGCCAAGAAAGACCTGTATAAGGATTTGAATAATTTCCTACTCCAAAACCCTAGACCTTGTCTTCACCAGAAATTAATGCATGCTTCAAATCTTAAATTCTGAAACCCTCTTTCAGATTAAACTCTTAAAGGATACAAAATTCTAGCTAAATAGGAAGAATAATTTTCAGTGTTCTATAGCACCGTAGGATGACTATAGTTAACAATAACATATTATATAGCTTCAAACAGCCACAGGAAAATATTGAATGTGTGCAACACAAAGAAATGGTTGATGTTTGAGATGATGGATATCCTAATTACCTTGATCTGATCACTGTACATTGCATATATCGAAACATCACTATGTATCCTACAAATATGTACAATCATTGTGTGTCATTAAAAAAATAAAAAGCATTAAAAAACAAATAAATGTTGATTGGGGGAAAACCTTATTCACCCTCCATGAGGCTCCAGCAGAGAGACGATTATTCTTCACTGCTCAGGGAAAAGCAAGTGGCTAATCCTACTAGTAGGACTGGTGAAGTTCTTTCTATCTCACCCTACCCCACCTTCAAGTGGAAGAAAGAAGGAATAAGCAAGGTTTTGGCCTTAGGTCTCCAACAATTCATCAGAAGCTCTGCATTTAGTGGTTGTTGGATCCTGTTCAGCCAAAGCTGTCCCCTACTCTTTGTACTGTAGTCTCAAAAACTGAGAAGAGCAGGGAGATGGATGAGTTAACAATCCCTCAAATATCTAGCAATCTCTCCCTTTCTCTTTCTGTCCAATATGCCCTATAAACCACCAACCCTGGATCAATTCATTTGTTTGTTCTCTACTCCCACTTAAAGAAAATGTTATAAGCACAGCGAGTAACAACATTACTAAACTTGATCTCCAATCTTTGGTAGACACCACTCACTACTTAGTAATCATCTATAGGTCCCTGTTCAGTTTCGATTATCTTTTTCTATAGAAGCCACTATTAACCATCCTCAACTTTCACTCACAGCAAATAACCTTATCCTTCAATTTCAATGAGAAAACAGTATTTGGTTTTGAAATATATAAACTTCCTGGTCACACCTGCCTCTGTAAGCTTTCTGTCTCCCGTTCAATGCTGATCTCTTAACCTGCGCTCTGATTCCTACACCCGTCAGCTTACTCAGCAATCATGCTTCATCAGTCATTCCCTCTCTCTCCTGAGTCTTCAACTTTTGGTTCTAACTATTCCTCCTCTCTTCATATAAATGCATTCAAAATCATTTTTAAAACACAACAAAAGAACAACAACAAAACTAAAATTCTCTTCTGGATGAAACATTTTACTAGCTATCTCTGTTCTCCTTTTAACAGCCAAGCTTTTAGAAAACAGTTACCTACCTTGTCTCTGCCTGCCTTTCACTTTGCATTCACAGTACAGCCTAATGCCTGCCCCCAGCCTGCCCCACACTGAAACTACTCACATCAATGGGACCAAATGACCTCCAAGTTAACAAATTGAACCATCACTTTTCAATTCTTCTTTGACTTGACCTCTCTACAGTATAGGACGTGTCAAAGCATCTGTCTTGAAACTCTCTTCTGCTTGGTTTTTATAACATCACTGACTCCTGATTCTCCTTTACTTAAGAATGCTCTCAGTCTTTATTGGTTAAACCTTGAATTTTAACATTTTCCCAGGACTCTATTCTTGGCTTTCCTCTTCTCAAACTAAACTCTCCCTGGGGATCAGGGGAGACGGGGAGGAATATTTACACTATGAATTAACCCACATGCCCATAAATCAATAAGGCAACATCTGAATTCATTTGTGTCCTCTCTTCCCCCAACCCCTACCAGTGCTCACCTCTATCATGGCACCGCTGTGCACCTGTTTAGCAGTCTGTCTCCCCTGCTCTGTCATGCCTAGGGGATGGACACTGCACACTGCTGTCAGGAGTGGTAGCTTTCCAGGGAGGACTGGGAGTGTGGATGGGAGTGACAACACAGCAAGAACAATGCACCTTTGAAGACCTAGGGAGTATGTAGTTATAAAAAGTAGCCCACATGAAATTGGGCTGAACGACGTCAGGAATATCTTGAGGGAAATTATATACATACACATTCACCTCTGAATTTCTTGTGCTTAACACATGGTGGGAACTCAATCCATACTTTGTGAATGAAAGAAGCTGGAAAAAAATGGGTTATCTGAAATAAGCTTTGAAGAATTGGTAGGATTCCCACCGTGACAGATGGGGGAGGAATCACTGAAGTCAGAGGGAACAGGAAAAGCATAGGCATGGGTAGAATTGCTGCACTGGTGGGACAGAGAAGGACAAATAAATTGTCTGGTAATACTAGAATGCTGAGGCATGATCTTACAAGATCTGAAGACTGAGTTGGGGGATGCCATTTGCAGGCAATGTGGAACCAGTGAGGTCTTTTTAAGCAATGTGATCTGTGATCAGAAAAGAAGAAACTGGAACAGAGCTGCCGAATGAATCACCTAAGTGAGAAGTGACCTGAACTATGGCAACTGCCTGAACGATGGCAACTGGGGTGAAATGGAGTGAAAGTAGGCTACATGGAGAAAATATTATATTTAAGACTGAAGGTAAATAAACTTCTTAAATATTCAAGAACAATGGAATTAATTGAAGTATTAATTTAGAGGAGGTGAAAAACTTAAAGCACTAAAATTAAAAGGGAAAAATTATAAAATTTTTAAAAAGTATATTTAACCTCAGGTTAACTGAGTCATAACTGGTACTGGGTGTTAGAATATACAGTGTATTTAAAGCTGATTGTGTTGGTAGGAACTCCAACATGCATAAGTTAGCAACAGTTTGTAATTGAACAGGGCATTCTGTACACGCTTAAGAAAGGTCATTCTATAACTTTTGAGAAGGGAGTTAGCAGAATATAACCATACCGTGAAGCTGTTGTTAGCATTTTTCGTGCTTGCTTCAGCTACACTAGCATCTGAGAGGTCAACTTCATCAAATATCAGAGACTGTTAATGAAAAAAAACATACAAAGACATTAGAAGAAAACCTAACTCAATGCTCTTCAATACATTTTTTCAATACAGGAATTAGGAATAGAAAATGGGGGAAAAAAGTTAAGTTGGTGGTACTTTCTGCAATTTCTTCCTAGAAAGGAAAAATAAAAGCATAAAGTACAACTAATCCATAAATCCCCAACTGAAAAGGGCTTTAAAGACACCCTGGGAACACTGTTTCAATGCAAATGTGCTGTGCTCTCTGGAAGCATAACAGCTACCACTTACGGGGAACCTGCTGAGTGCGTGGCATACACATGCACAATGCAATGTCTCTGAAGCTTGTAACAGCTCTGCCAGGGAGGCAGAGGCAATATCATTGTTTCCAGGTTTGCAAGGTGAGAGCTGAGAACCAGTCCTGGCTTAGCTCACAACAAGTAACTGAACCTTCTGAACCTTATTTTCCTCATCTATAACTATGCGTTCAAATGAGGTAATGAATTTGCTTTGCAAGTAGCAGATGACCTTTTTTGTATACTCTTAACATCCAAGGTAGCAAGTAGGAAATCCTAGTCAATAAATGTAGGCTTCCCACTTTTAGTCACTCATTGTTCATACTCATTCAGCGTTGTTCCAGCAAGGCAGGGATAACGGTGCACCGCAAGAACTGCGGAAACTAGAACTTGAAGTAGTTGACAGCGGAACTTGAAACTGAAGTAGACTGTAGAACTAGTCTACTTCAATTCAACCAATGTGACTGTAAGACTTGTTCGTTGACTGGAAGGAACCTACAGTCTAGCACAGGAGATTAAATAGACACAACTAACTTTAAGGTAAGATAGACAATTAAAAGAGAAGAAATACAATGAAATGCTATAGAAGATCACAGATGATTTATCCAGCAGAAAACTGAACTCTCTCTCGTGAATCATGGAATAAGGACTATTTGAGGGGATCTTGAAGAAAACAGGGAACTTTGTCAAGTGCAGATGGAAAAGGAAAAGTCATCCTAGTGATGGTAGCATGAGCCCAAACTGGAGGCTGTCAAATAGCCAATGCTGTCTAGAGATAAATGTGAAAAATCAGGATGGAGACAGATCAGGGACAATTTTGAACATAATGACTTGTAAAATAAGATTATTTTACATGGTTATTACTTCTATAGATACATAAACTTAGAATTAGGTTTGTTTGCTTGTTTTTACCTCCTGGTGTACAACCCTACCAATTATATCAGGAGCATACATTTATAAAAATGAAAATAATTAATTATTCAACTGGCACAGTAGCCAGAAATCTTAATTTATTTTTGAATACTAAAATACGAGTTTTTACAAATTGCTTCTCCCAAAACTATATTATTATTATTTGATTCAATGGTTATATAAAAAATATTTTAAGTCTTGATTTTATTTCAATATGATTTGTATTCCTAATTGCTAGCATACTGGAGTGATTATTTTGAATCAGGTACTATGGAAGCTCTTGATGTGTATTTTCTCCTTTAAGCCTCCTCTCAGCAACACATGCTGTCCACAGCCACTCCATTGGAATATGCTGGAAGTGGGATATGAGCTCTTGTCTGAACACAGAGCATGAATTCTTAGCAACTATAGCAGCTCTCTCTCTCTCTCTCTCTCATGGTCAGGGAAAGATTTACAAGGTAAAAGGTGGAAACCCAGAATGTTGCGTTTATTACATCTAATAAGGTTACATTTAATGTTTTATTTTAATTGGAAAGAAAGAAGAAAGGAAGAACGAAATGAAACTACACTAGAGCCTTCCTAAAAGATTATTCTTAGGGACCTGTTATGGGACTGACTCAAATAGACCCGCTTGGGATGGGGTCACCGATAGATCACATTTATATTGAATTCATATAAGAGCATAATGCTACAGTGCGCTTCCAAGACAAAAACAGCTTACAGAACCAAAATTTTACATCCATCCATAGCCTCAATTGCTTGAAACTAGTATTCTCGTGAGTTACCTTTGAGTCCTTTGCATAGTAAAGGGTGCGGCCTCGAAGTTTGAAGTATCGCTTTTTCCACCTTTGGAAAGAACTGGTTTGCTTCAATAGCTGTCCCTCTTTAATACTGGTCTAGAGAGAAGCAGAAGCACAATGACACGATTAAAATGAAATTCAAAACCAAATGAAATTCAGAGCCAATGGTGCATTTTCATTAACATTTTGAATAATATTTCTCATGTCTTACAAATTACAGGAGAATATTTTACTCTCACCACAGCTTTGCATATGTGCAAAGCCCCAAAGAGCAAAAGTGAATGTGACATGGTTCTCCGCCCTCAAAGAATTCACAAATAATAGGCAAGACACATGCACATACACTAATACTTGCAATACAGTGTTATGTGCACACTGCCTTGTATATATTAAGTATGGTGGAGGTGCAGTATAATATGATTACGAAAGAGCAGAGGTCCTGGAGCCAGAAACCTTGGGTTCACCTCCTGGTGCCACCACTTAGTAGCTGGATGATCTCAGGCAAGTTACTAAACTTCTTCATGGCTTTATTTATTCATCTGTAAAATGGGGATGACAATAGGACATACCTTATAGGGTTGTTGTGAGAAATAAATGAAAAACACGTTAAAGGACTTAGTGCATGGTGTATAGTATGTGCTCATTAAAGTTAGTTACCATCAGCCAGGTGTTATTTCTAACATATACACAGTACTATGCAGGTGGTCCAGAGAAGGAAGCATCAACTCGCCTCAGAGGGAGTCAAAGCAATGTTCCCAGACAAGGGCCCAAGGTGGGTCTTGAAGGAGTTTATGACAAGAGATGGGGGAAGGGCATTTTAGGTGTGTGCAAAAGTAGAAAGGTTAAAACAACATGGATATTTGAGGCATCTTCAAAGAGCTTTCTGCTATAAATGCAGTGAAAAGTTTGCAAGAGGGAGCAGAGGGAGATGCAGCTGTAAGAGGTAGGCAGGGACTCTGTGGCCCTGGGCCAGGCTCTGGTTAAGTGCCTTAGGTATGCTAGTTCATTTTGTTTTCACCAGCAAAATACTTTGAACCTCTCTGACCTCATCTAGCGTTTCCCTCTCTTGATTTCCTCCATCACAATGGCTGCGTTCTTCTGCAGTGGGCCTACATACTCCTGCTGTAGGCTGGCACTACCTCCCCTCTCCTCCCTCAGATATCCCTCTGGCTGACCCCTTCACCTCCTTCAGGTCTTGACCATCTCAATGAGACCCACCTGAGTAACTGCGTGTTTCACACTGAAACTTGTGCTTGCTCACCATATTTTCCCCCATCCTGATCTTATTACCCACCCCACGAAGTACTTTCCATCTTCTGACACATAATGTAATTTACTACGTTTATTGTGCTACCCCTATTAGAATATAAGGTCCCTGAGTTTATTATATCTAAAAAAGTTAAATTTAATGTTTCATTTTAATTGGATGGAAAGAAGAGAGGAAGGAAAAAAGAAAGCAAACTACACTAGAGCCTTTCTATAGGATTACCTTAGAGGCCATGTCACAACACTGGCTCAAATAGACCCCCTTAGGATAGGGTCCAAGATGGATCACATTTATACAGCATTCAATAAAGAGTTACAGTGCTATAGTGAGCCTCCAAGACAAAAACAGCTTGTAGAACCAAAATTTTTAATCATCCCACTGGATTGCACACTGACAATATCTCCAGTGCCTAGAACATTATCTGCTACATATGATAATGAGATCTATATGAATAAATGGCAGGTGCTGAGATCATATTTCTGTCTGTCTGATTCCACAGTTCATTTCCAACTTTTACATGACACTATTTCTTACTACCATAAAGACATAATATATTGAGAAAAGTTTGTTGTCTCCAATAAGACAGTTAAGTTGAGTTAATATTTACTTTGAATTTCAATAAGAATTTTACTCTACAGCTTGCTCTAAGACTGTCTTCCTGGAACTGTTATGAAATCATTACAATTTAATCGTAACAAAACACTTTTGAAAGTCAGTACCAAAGAGCAAATTTAGAGTCAGACAGACAGATTTCAAGCCAGGCTCCAGCATACAATAACAGTATGAACCTGGACAAATTACCCCAACTCTATGCCTCAGTTTTGTCTCCTAAAAATCGGAAATAACAATACCAACTTCACAAGCTTGTTGCATCTAACTTAATTATAAGATAATGCCTGTAGAGCACTTAGCACACTGTCTGGGTTAGAGAAAACATTCAATAGATGGCAGAAAGTGTTATTATTATGATATCATTATGCTATTAAGTCCAGGGAGTGTTTGCCAGGCATCAAATTATAAGAGCTTCTTGTAAGAAGTAAATAAGTGTTTGCAGCCACTGTCAGGACAAATAACAGCTGGAGTAGGACTGTATCAAGAGAGGAGGTTATAGGAGACAAGAGTCAGAATATGCTGGACACAACAGGGAGTGTGCTTTTTCTTCTAAGTGCAAAAAGCTAGGGAAATGTTTAAGGCAGGAAAGTGACAATGGGGAAACGGGTGAGAAAGGAGGTGGCGATTCAAATGGCAGCCACGGTGGAAAACCACTGCCTTAGACTAGGGGAGGGTCTAGCTGCACATCTAAACCAATTATAGCTGTCGGAGTCCACACAGAAGCAATGGTAAGAGAGGTCTCCTGAGAGGAAGCAGTGAGAAAGGCCAGGTGTCAGGAGAAAATCTTGCCCTTAATAAGCTTCATGTGGCAGCAGCTAAAAGTGCTCCTGGAGTGAAACTCCAGGCCCCATTTTGCACAGACTCTTAAGAAAAATAAGATTTAATGCCAGCATTCTATGGCCTCCCTCCTCCGCCTTTGTTTTTATAATTGCAACTCATTTTTTATAGTGTAAACAACCATTTCAATGTCCTACCACATGGTACCAGCTTAATATACAGGGATGGGAATAAGTTATCTTCTATCATCTCTCCCATCACCAGAGCTCAGGACCCATGTAAACACAGGGCAAATCCCATCACCAAATACACCATTACCACCACTGACTGTAGCAGGAATTAAAAGGTCCCCAAGTCTCACCCCAAAGCCTACTTATTTTTAGCAATATTTCATAACATGGAATCCCAATACAGAAAGGAAATAACATGTACCAGCAATTCACACTGACTTATATTCTATAATTACCTTTTTATTCCATAAATCACACTAAAGTTTTGCTTATAACAATAAAAATTAAAACACATGCATAACAAAGGTATTTTTAAAAAGGGGAAAAACATAAATGATATAAATTTCTAAATAAGTCAAATTATTTAAATCTATTGAGGCTGAGAGTGTTATAGTAAGTGCGTATCAGTATTAGCTACATGTCAGTTACCAAAAATATTCAGATTTATTATGTGACATTTATACCAGAAAGACTAAAAATCCATATTAATCATCTAATTATTTTGTATATTTTAAATGTCATATATCTTGAGAATTTACCCCTGAAATAAAATCTATGTTATCACCAATTAAGTCAGAAATACAAACCAAAGGAAGCAACATTACAGGAAAAAAAATTTACAACTTTATTGAGATATCATGATCATATTAGAAACTGCACATAAAGTATACAATTTGATATGTTTTGACATACAAATATGGCCATGAAACCACTACCATAGTCAAGATACTGAACATATTCGCCACACTCAAAACTTTCCTTGCATCCCTTTATAATCACTACCTGTCCCCAGGCAACCACTGGTCTGCTGCCAACAGTTGCTTCACATCCTCACCAACATTCAGTCAGTCACTTTAATTTTAGGCATTCTAATAGGTACATAGTATCTCATTGTGGTTTTAATGTGCGTTTCCCTAAAGACTACTGACTTTGAGCATTTTCCTCTGCTTATTTTTCATGTGCACATCTTCACTGGTGAAATGTCTGTTTGAATCTTTAGTCCATTTTTAAAATTGAACTGTTTTCCTATTTTTGCATCTTAAATGCCCTTTACATATTCTGGATGCAAGATATTTATCTAATATGTGATTTGCAAATATTTCTTCCCAGTCTGTGACTTTTTTTTTCCATTGTATTAATGGCATCTTTTGAAGAGCAGAGGATCCTGAATTTGATGAAGTCCTATTTATCAATTTTTTTCTTTTATGAATCATGTCAAATCTAAAACAGCTTTGTCTAACCCAAAGTCACAAAGATTATCTTCTATGGGAAAACATTATTTGCACATGCATGACTATTAATCTCAACATAGAATCTAGTCATTCCAATTTTCAGTTGTTCTGTTACTAATTTCCTGTCTACATTGCTTTATTTTTTTTTTAGAAAATATGAACAGGTATAATTATCTAAAATACTGGTTTGTAGCAATTACCCTGTAGATAAACTATTAGAGGAACATCATAAAATGTATAACTTTTGAAATTTATAATATACATTTTGCATATCCATAAAGAGGCACCTCCATATTTGAGGAATTAGCGACTTAATGTAGCTAATATGTAACTAAGAAATAGACCACAGTCCTCTACGTTGGCTTTTTGGTAGCAAATGGTGAATGTACAAGCTAATCCAATCTGACTTTTCTAAAGTTAGTCACATCTTTTTATAACGCTAAAAATTATTGTGGTCTTGGATCATACAGATTTTTTAGTCAAATCAAAGAACATCTTGCAAAATTATTTGGCTAAAGTAATTATAATTCTTAGTGTAAATTCATGTTTAACTCCAAAACATGACCACTCTTTGCTGTATTCTCTGAAGACAAAATTTCCTCCTATTCATCTATATAGGTGGAGCATGTCTTCTTGATCCATGTTTCAAAATATGTGCACACATCATATGCAATGACAAGATACGCTAACAGTCTAATCTAAAAAGCTTTCCCAGGACCTGTAGAAAACATGAAGAATTATAAAGAAAGACTGACACTGTCTATTATAATTTGATGTCCCCTCTGAAACTTATGATGAAATACAATCCTCAATATGGCAGTGTTGAGACCTAGAGCCTTCAAGAAGCTATGGGGTCATGAGTGCTCTGCCTGCATGAATGGATTAATCCATACATAGATTAATGGTTAATGGATCAATGGGCTAACATGAGAGTGGAACTGATGGCTTTACAAGAGAAGAAAGAAAGATCTGAGCTAGCACATTAGCATGCTCAGCCCCCTTGCCATGTGATACTCTGTGTAACCTTGGGACTCTGCAGAGAGTCCCTGCCAGGAAGAAGGCTCTCACCAGATGCCCAGCTATGCCCTTGGACTTTCCAGCCTCCAGAACTGTAACAAATAAATTTATTTTCCTTATAAATCACCCAGCCTCAGGTGTTCTAAGCAAGAAAAATGAACTAAGAAACTGCCACTCTTTATGTGGCATAATGAGAAGCTAAATCTTGTGATGACATCATGAAGCACTCATGCCCTCTCATTCCACTTTCTCTTTCTGCCCTCTTTCACCCTTTAGCTTCTCCCTTTGGTCAACAACTAACATATATTATAAAAGTTCTACCAGAAATTATGTAGTCTAGCTACAAAGAACTATCATGTCCCTCATCAAGAACCTAATTGGGGTAGTGGGGAAAATTTTTCATGCCGCACCTCAGAAAGAAAAGTCTGACTTATGAATATTTCAAACACAAATGGTCATTAGTAATGAGAAGGTCTTTATTCTGGCTGTGTAAAGAACTCTTGAGGGAGAGACTCCACGGCGGAGGTGAGGTGTACTCTTCATTCATCACACAGACAGTATCCACTAATGAGGCTCCAAGTGAAGGACTCTCTGTGTCCCAGGAACCTGGGTTCCAAGTTAGAACTAGGAGTACATCTTTCCATAGAAACCATGTCATAAATCTGCCTTAACGCTTAAGTCCCCATGCTATAGTCTCATGTGTCTGAATCCCAAGGATACCAGTTGCCTAATACTTCTATGGGTGTAGTGGTGAGAAGGAATGAGTCCTGACATAGCTGCAGAAAAATGAACAGGAAGGTCACAGGCAAATTAGGAGGTCAATCTCAACTGAGGATAGGTTTTACCTGCCTTTTGCACTGGCCTGGATTATAAACTCCTTGGAGTCCGGGAGGTCTATCTCATTTGTCTTTGTATCACCATTGTGAAGGTTCTATAATTTATGTAAGTACAGATGCTCCTCAAGTTACAATGAACATACTAATAAACTCATCATAAGTTGAAAATATTGTAAGTCAAAAATGCATTTCATATACCTAGCCTACTGAACATCACAGCTTAGCCTAATCTACCTTAAACGTGCTCAGAACACTTACGTTAGCCTACAGGTGGGCAAAATCATCTAATACAAAGCCTATTTTCTAATAAAGTATTGAATATCTCATGTAATTGAATATCACACTGAAAGTGAAAACAGAATGGTTGCATGAGAACTCAAAGTACGTTTTGTACTGAATTCATACTGCTTTCATATCAGAAAATTGGAAAATTATTAAGTTGAACCACTGTAAGTCAGGGAATGTCTTGTGTGCGTGTGTGTGTGTGTGCGCATGTTGTGTGTGTGTGTGTGTGTGTGTGTATAATATATATTATTACTTTCATAGAAAAATGTGGTCTAAGTTCCAAACAACCAGTTCATAAACAAACTACTTCTGGAACAAAATCTAGTTGTGGGTTGGGGTCTGTAAGTAAAAAGGAAAATGGGCAAAGTAACCTCTGTGACAGTGGTTCATAACTTTGGTTGGATCAAGATGCCTTTTCAGAATCTGTTGAAAGTTGTGAATACTATCTCTCCAGAAACATGCCTGCATGTGCGCACATACACACACAATATACACACTAAAAATTACATACAATTTTAGAGGGTTCATGAACTTTCGAGATCTACCATAACTAAAAATTACAGCCTCCATATAACAGTAAATTGGATTAGTGTTTTGGTGGTTGTTTTTTAAATAATTGGATTAGTTTTTTGGTTGTTGTTTTTTAAATAAATCATATCCTTAATATGGTTATGGGTAACAAATAATAATTCTTTTAAACTTTGTCTTCAGTTAGCTTAATGGTCTCCTATACCATTTGAAACAGCGTAATTTGATATTACTTGAGGTTAGAGAGCAATAACTGAAAAATTTTGAGTTCCAATTTTCTGTTGCATTTTCAGCAGTAGTTAATAATTATATAACCAAACAAATCCTAAAATATACAGGCATTTCCTAATTCGAAAGTTTGAAATATACTTATTTATTCAATTTGAAAATTTTATTTTTGAAGATATACTACATAGTTGTTCTTCCCAAGATGATTAAACATTATTTTATAAAAATGAAAAGCTTACCCTAAGAAAAATTAATTTGAATTCAAATATTCATTCCTTCAAAACACAAAAGAATATATTTTCATTCCATGTTTTCAGTCCTAGTTTATTTTCAAACCAAGATTGGAGATGTGGAACCTCTGGGTAACATATTATTTTCACTTTAGACTAGGAAAGCTCAATTAGCACCCACACCTCAATAACCTGAAATAACCAAACAACGGTTCAGAGTCTTTAATGTCCTATCCAGTTTCATGGTTCACTGCTGCATAAAGTGTGCACTTGTGACTCATAAAAGGACACTGCCATAGAGAGAGGTCAAAAGATAATATGGGGAAAATATAACCACAGTAGAAAGGAAGTATCAAAGTTTGTATTATCAGTATTTAAGAGAGTTATTCTTCAAAAAAATAACATTGATTCAGCATTTATGATTAAAAAGAGAATGTGCAAAAAATAAGAGGTATAAAAATCAAGACTTGATAGTATGTTAAATAATCATTAACTTGATGAGAAAGGAATATGAAGTATTCATTTAAAAACATACAGATTACATGGCAAAACAATGTGAATATACTTAAAGCTACTGAAATGCACATTTAGAAATGATTAAGATAGTAAATTCTGTTATAAAATTTTTGTTATAAAATTTTTACCATAATGTAAATAATTTTTTTAAAAAGAAGAGATTACAACACTCTTAAATATCCCAGAAAGTCCTTGGGATAAGAGCTAAAAACTTTTAAGAGGATAATGTAGCTTCTAGTCTAACAAAGTTAGTGAGAGAAGGAGAAAGAAACTACACTGAATGTCATGGAAGAGCCATCTCACCGTGTTCAGAACTGAAGACTTATGGCCTAGCACTGACCACAGGACTGCTTTTTGGACCAGAGTGCAGATGACCAGTAACACCATGGGAAGCCACCTCGGCTAAGAGGAGCGTCTCTGAACTTTGTCATGTGACATCATGCTAGTCTTTTGTTACTCTAAATCCATTCCTCTTCTTTCAGATGCTTGCTCAGATTCATTCACATACAAATTCTTTATTTCTTTTCCTGAAAATGCCTAAAATATGCAGTCCAGTCATGCCCATTCAATACAGTCCTATTTCAAGATGCTTTGAGGAGAAATACGGGAAGCCTGCAGCCACTGCCAAGGGGGATTCCGGAGAGTTATATGATGAGCTGCATCACCGTAGCATCTGGTGTCACCCAAGGTAGGCAGCCCATAATTCCTAAACCCAAACACAGAACATTAAAGTGCTATAAAAATACATCTTGGCCAAAGAATAAATCATTTGGAAATTCAAATGGCAGAAGTGGGTGTATTCGGATTTTTGTAAAGTTCTGTTTAAGGCAATGGGGAAGAAAAGTTAATGTTTGGTCTATTTATGTTCTAAAAGTACTGTTTTAAGGAAATGTAAATAACCTACTTCATTCTCCCATGGTTTTGCGTGTAATTTTCTAAAATGAAAATCTAGTTAAATTACGCCACCGCTTCAAGCCCTTCATTAGTTCTCTTCTGCCTGCTACATAAAGTCCAAGCTCCTACATGTACCATAGAAGGCCCCTACACAGCCCTCCAAATGCGTGGCCTACCCCTCCTAAGCTCCTTCCTCTGCCCTAAATATCCTCTGCTCCACTTGTCTGTCTTGAAATCTATTCATCTCAACATTCATCCAGCACCATTAGCCCTGGGAAGGCGTCCTTGACCCCGTAGGGGTAGGAAGAAGCCACCACTCCCACCTTCGGGTCTCTAATACATCCTTATCCTGTCTGTGTAACAGCACCTATGACACTGAACAGTGTCCATCCACATATTTATGGTCCCACCAGGTCGCGGCCTTTAAGAGGGCAAAGACAGCAACCTACCCATTTTTGTAACATCACCATCCATGGCATTAGGTAACACATCATAGGGCCTCCATAAATAAATGTTGGTTGAGTTGACCTAAACAACTTTTACCAACAGTATACAATGGTATGTAAGGTAACTGTGTATTTTAAAACAAAGACAAAAAATTAGAAAACGGGAAAGCGCTGGGCCCCTGATTGAGGGGAAATGGTATCAATGAGTAAACAAGAAACACAGGCTGGAAATGCTTTTTTTTTTGAGACGGAGTCTCTCTCTCTTGCCCAGGCTGGAGTGCAGTGGTGCGACCTGGGCTCACTGCAAGCTCCGCCTCCCGGGTTCATGCCATTCTCCTGCCTCAGCCTCCCGAGTAGCTGGGACTACAGGCGCCCGCCAACACGCCCGGCTAATTTTTTGTCTTTTTGGTAGAGACGGGGTTTCACCATGTTAGCCAAGATGGTCTCCATCTCCTGACCTCGTGATCCGCCTGTCTCGGCCTCCCAAAGTGCTGGGATTACAGGTGTGAGCCACCACGCCTGGCCGGAAATGCCTTTATGGTTTCCAGGGTTCAGCAGATTTCAGGCTGTTTCTTTTCACGTGTATGAAAATGGACACAACGCTCAAAGGTATACCTCTGGAGGGGCAGAAAATGTCTATCCTGATTTTTTATGAGAATATTGTGCATTTAGAGATGTTCCTTATAGAGTCATTTTCAAAGCAAATAATTTATGTTTTTTCTATAGAATTATTACATTCTTCAAATCTTACATAAGCATGTATTAATCTCCTGTGATGTGTGAGGCTGTGGTGTATATATAAAGATGTATAAAATATAGTCCTTGCCTTCACGAAGCTACAAACCTCTCTATGTTACAATATACAAACAGCTAATTTTAAATTCTTGAAGAAAAAAAAGAAAAGGAAAAAACATTCTTGCCTTCCTCTAAAAGATATGATTAAAAAGATTTAGCTGGGAGGCAGTTATTCACGTGAAAGTTAATCCTCAAAATAAACTTCTGTTTATGTACGGCTAAACAGACGCTTCTCATAAAAGAACAAGCATAACCAAAAAGTGATTAATTTGTAACAGCTCTAGCAAATATAATCATACAATCAAAGTGTGGTTAAGAAAAAAGCAAGTGGCTCCAAATATTTCAAAATAATGAGTATACCAAGTGAAGAAACAAAGATTCATTTTTTAAAAATCATGCTATTATATTCGATATTAATGTTCAACCAAAATAACAAAGTTAGTAACAAATATAAGAAATAGTTATAATCAGAGTTATGGTTAAGAATCTGTTAAAAGCAAGTATGTTTTAGTTTTACTTTGTTCACAAATTCTAGGATGAGGCATTAACTCCCCCCTCCTCCCAAAAAGGGCTTAGAAACATTTGTATTAACTGCCATTTAGTCATATAATCTGGCAGTTAATGGTTTAGTACTACCTGACCCTCATGGAAAATCAGTAAAGCCATATAGACTCCAACTGGAATCCAATAACCTAGTTTAAAAAAATTAAAAGCAAAAAGATCAATGAACCTGACTTTGAAAAATCGTTTTCCAAAAATAAAAGCATTACAAGTTGAATAAATTTTTATATAGCTGGCTTTCTGTAACTGTTTTTAGTCCAATGTCTTAAAGCTGCAGAATTGCTCATTTCATGCCCTTTGCTTAAAGAAAATAAAAGTAATTTCTCTTTTAAATTATATACACACATGGATGCTCCAGGATGTCACCTAAATTTTCAGAAACGCCTCTGTGTCACAAGTGGAAGCTCCTTAGATGGAAAACCACTTTAATGCCCCAAGGAGAATGCAACTTTAAAAACAGCCCTTCGATGAGCCTTTTGTAAAGCTAAGAATCCTTGAAAAATCAGGCACTGCCTGATTTATCCAGTAGGTATACACTTTCATATGCGATGCTGGCTTTTAGAGGAGTGTTAAACAGGTGTGTAAAGTGCAAAGGTCAGTGAGGATGCATGTCTTTTACAGATGCCTTCAAGAATTCCAGAAGAACCTCTAGCTTCTACCAGTCATGTCCCAGCATGACCTCCACTTCTCATCTAAGGAATGGAATTTGGCGTCATGGGAGAGATGGATCAGGGGAGATTTCAACACTCTACATTTTATTTGTGTCACTTCTTTCCTGTCTCTTCTAACTACTATCTATTGTGTCCTCTCAAACAATTTTTCTTTGGCCTATATATTTCCTTATTCATTTGTCATATAAATTCCAGGAAAGCTGTGTTAGGCTTTCTTGGGTGTCTGTACAAAACCTGTAACATCATGAATCTATCTGACTATCTTTAATGGTCAAACTAAGCCTCTATAGTTAACAGACTTACACCTCTGAAATGGAAATAATGCCTGCATATCACTATGTGCTATGATGATATGTGAGGCAATGGATTCAAAATAATATATAATTCTTTAAAAACATGGCATGTCAAGATATTATCATCATAACAGTCCTCATCCTAAGCATTATTTATTATGGAAAAGTTTTTGTTCCTTAAATCCATCCCTTTCCACTCCTCTTGCTATTGCCTTAGTTTGGGCTCCTCTAATTCTCTTGGACTCAATAGTTTACTAGGTGCTCTCCATGCTATCAATTTTTCCCACCACTAGTCCATTCCTTCCACTGTGGACAAAATTATCTCTGAAAAACTGCCAAACTCTGGTTCAATATGTTCAAGGTGTACCCATCACCCGCATAATTCCAGACCTCTTAGCTGGTCATACAAGACTCTTTTGTCCATAAGTGCCCCACCTTCCTTAACAGCCCCATCTTCAGCAATCCTCCTAAGTTCCCCTAATAGTAAAGTAAAAGAGAAGTACTTGGTAATCCCCAAATACACCATGCTTCCCTGTGTCCAAGCTTTTTCACCAGCTCTCCCTTCTACTCAATATCGTCCTCCACTGCCTCTTCTAAACCTCCCACCCCATCCCATCCTCCTTCAAAGCTCTGGCCACTATCACATCCTTGGTATACCCACAGCTCTATGCTCATGCATTATTTATAGCATTAATCATGCTGCATAGGGATTTTTTTTAATGCCTGGGTCTCTCCTATAGGACTGAGTTTCTCAGTGACAAAAACTGTACCTCATTTATTTTTCTATCCCACATATAGCCAAGTATTTGATATGAAGAAAATAATTAATACATGTTAACTAATTTGTTGAAGAATCAGGAAACAAAAAGTAAGAAATTAAACGATTAAAACTTTTTTTCTTTGATAACAACTGGAGGAATTCAGTGGAAAAAGACAATTCGATTTTTCTTTCCAGCAAGTCACTATACTGGCAGGAAGCATAAAACAAAAATAGACCTGACTCCTGTAAAAGAGCCCCAGGCTGGGTTCCACTTCCGCCTCCACCATTTACTAGCTCTGTGACTTCACATAAGTAATCATATCTATGAACCTAAGTTTCCCCATCTGTAAATAAATAAACATCACCTGCCCTGTATTCCTCAGACTTGTCAGGAAGAAACAAAATGATAAGCAAATATCTCCTGTAAACTCCGAAATGCTATGAAGTATCAGAAGTAAGGTACTATTTGAGTAGGTCACACTTTGGGGAAAAAGGTGTTTTTAGTGGGACTGATACAAAGTACATAAAGAGACAATCCTGGACAAGGGCCTAATGCTTCTATTTGGATAAATTATTGCACAAAACCCTAATTTAACCACATAAAGAAAATGTCTAAAGTTTTCTAAATCTTAAGCATAAAAGCAAAAATCAATCATGAAATTTTATTTAATATAATAATGGAGCATGGTTTATAACAAGCTATGTATATTATTTTACTTCTTAGAACACCGATCTTATCTTGTTTACCAGTGAAAATTAGGAAATGATTAGAATTGCTGCTGGATAACTCCACTTGGATGCCACTGGCTCTTCAAAATTCAATAAGCCCCAAACTAATATGTCTGTCTCCCTGAGTAGCCTGCATGCTCAGCGAGAGCAGAGGCCATGTCCACCTCAGTCATCACTGGAGCCCTGGCGCTTACCAGAGTTCCTGGCACAGATAATAGCTCTTAGTAATGATATACTGAACAAATGAATGAATGAACACTGACATTCCGATAAAGTAGCTGAGATGGCTTTTGGGGGAAACTTGCACAGAAGCCTATCTTTAGGAGCTCTTCAGGCAGACCCTTGGCAGGAACCCAGCAGCACTGTAAGAACTCTAGCCAGAGGTGCCTATTTTGTGGCGGGTCATCTCCTCACTTGCAAATTGTCCCTGTGGCAAATATAAGCAATTAGCTGTTGTCTATTCTGGACTTTTTTCCCCCAAATTAAAAGCCATTCTGCTTTTATCCACTACCATTTCATTGTTATTAGGGGAAGCTATCTATCTTGTCCACATTAATATTATCTTTGTGGAGAGGATGGGTATACAGAAGAGATATACCTACAAAATGTGTAAATGAACTACTATTTGTAGAGAGTGAAATTAAAAGACAGTAGATTTTCTATCCTTCCATATTTTATCCAGCAGTTAAACTTAGCATAATTTAGCTTCAAAGGTGGCCAAACACAAACCACACAGACCCATGTTTTACCCCATCCTAAAGCCTATCTTCACCACAATATATTCAATATATTGTGTCTCCTATCATAACATTGCTTTTTCCTTTTATTTGCCCTTCTAAATATTTTTATGTGATTATCATATAAGAACTATTTTTCCCCGTAGCCATGCCGGAACTCATATCTCAGCAATGACTGCTCCTCCTCCCGTGGGTCTGGAAGGGAAGTCATTTGATCTTGCTCTGATTCCATCTGTCAACCTCCTTCATCGGCCACCTGTGAAACTGCTTCAAGCCTGGCTTTCGTATCAGCCTCCAAACTTTCCCATCAGCTCCTTTTGACTCCAGACTCTTGGCTTTGTGCTGGTATCCTCCTTTCCCCTTGTGAATTTTGTCCCACCATGAATTTCCTACTTTCTTAAAAGTAAATGTAAGACTCTGTATTTAAATAAGGATACATACATGACACTAAGCTCTATTAAATAAGCCAGTTGCTCTAAAGTCTGGCTGATCATTACTTGGAGACCTTTATAAACATTAATGCACTTTGATTCAATTGGTTTAGAGTAGGGCATAGGAACCTACACATACTAAAATCTCTTTTGGTGATTGGAATTATCAGGCTTAAAAGACTATTGTACATATAATAATTTGCATAAACCCTTTAAAAAGGTATAATTCAGCACTTTTGTTCCTTTTTCCACGCACCTTTAACTAATATCATTAAGTGTAACCACTTACTTTTACCTGGCTCTGTGCATTTTAAAAATCTGGTGTCAAAATCTTCCTAAAACACATTTTTAGGAAGCTCTGCCCCCACCCAGGAGTAGGAGCAGAAGCTAATTTAGGTTTAATGACTGAGCATGCTCACTGTAGCTCTTCAGGGCTAGCCACCCACAAGAAACCAAGCTACACTCAACTATGATCCGAACAAAAGCCAGATCCAACTGCAGATGAAGACTGGAATATGACCTCCAACGAGGGAATAAGAGCTGCATGGGTACTGGACTCAACCCTGTGTGCTGGGAAATTTCTGGACACGGGCAGAGAAGAATGGCTCCAGCTGCTGTATGCCCCCTTTTGTGATATGTCCATCCCCGCACTGTCTCGCTGACCTCGCCAGGAAAGCAAATGCTGGTGGAAGAACTACAGCGGGAACAAGGGGAGCTTCAGAGAATGATGTCCCCGCTTACAGGAGAATGGCGGTGAGGGATGTTTCTGGGATCAACATTTAATGACAATGCAATCAGATGATGAGGGTGATTTGTCATTTACAATATCACAAAACATTTCCCTTTTTATAAACTGCCACCAGGAGTAGTTGTTCTCAAGCAGTTTGGTGTATCAGGATCATCTGAGCTTTTCCCAAATACATGTGACCAGGCACTTTGAACAGGCCATCCAGAATCTAAGCAGCACAGCCTCCCCATTCTGGGATGCCTCTGAGGAATTCTATGGCTCTGTGAAACAGAGTTCCAAAGCCACGTGGGGCCAGGCATCGTGGCTCACTCTTGTAGTCCCACCTACTCAGGAGGCCAAGGCCAGAGGATCGCTTGAGCCCAGGATGTCAAGGCTGCAGTGAGCTATGATTGCACCACTGCACTCCAGCCTGGGCAACAGAACGAGACTAAGTCAAAAAAAAAAAAAAAAAGCCACAAGGCTAGATGGTATGCATTGACTATAATGACATTTAACATTACATAAAACCTTGATATTTAATATTCTAGAGGTTTGTACAATAGTCTGTTTTCATTCACAAAAACCATATACGACTTTTGTTTTTGTTTTTAATTTCACTAGAAGTAATCGTTTACTTTTACATATAAAACACACACATGTTCTGATTCTGGTTGTCTGAGACATCCATGTGACAGAAAGCTGTAGTCTGGCCACAGTGTAATGTGTGCTGGCAGCATTCACTCTCTGTGCAGGGCATGCCAGGGTGAAGCCCAGTGAAGCGCTCGCTCTTCAGTGGGTCTGTCTGCAGTATTCCATCCTGCCATGCTCAACCCAGGTATAAAAAAAATGGCTTTCCACCACAATTCCTGTGCCCTTTTCCCTGTCCAGAAAGGAAGAAATTCAACCTGTCAAAAGCCAGTTATGCTGCAGCCTGTGCAAACCTGAGAAGTGGTTATGTCTGCCCCGCGAGACCTAATTGAGGGAATGTATGCCCAAGAAATGCACAGAAGCAAGCTTCCCCCTGTCTAGTGAAGTATTCCAACACCTCTGGATATATTCAAATATCTTTATTATTTTGTTTGAAATACTATAAACTCTAATATTTGGGACATTTACATTTAAATATAAATTATGCATTCTAAAGCAAAATAATGAAGATTATCCAACATATTTTTTTTTGAGATGGAGTCTCACTCTTCCCCAGGCTGGAGTGCAGTGGCACACTCTCAGCTCACTGCAACCTCCGCCTCCCAGGTTCAAGCGATTCTCGCACCTCAACCTCCCAAGTAGCTGGGACTACAGGCACGTGCCACCACGCCCGGCTAATTTTTGTATTTTTAGTAGAAACGGGGTTTCACCATGTTGCCGAGGCTGGTCTCGAACTCCTGACCTCAAGAGATCTGCCCACCTCGCCTCCCAAAGTACTGGGATTACAGGCATGAGCCACTGTGCCTGGCCTATCCAACATATTCTAATCACCCTCTGTATCAGTAAACCATCTAGTGATTGCTAATGTACTTTGTCCCTTGCAATGGCTTATAATTTTCTCGAGAATATCTATAATGATGTAATTACCTCCTTGAGACTGTATTTTGTGAACATTTATTTATTAATTTCTAAAATTAAGCTGTCTCTCCTTTTTTTATATGTACCTTCTTTAGAGCAGTTTCTGAATGTATTTTTCTTTTTTTAATTTTTATTTTAAGTTCCGGGGTGCATGTGCAGGATGTGCAGGTTTGTTACGTAGGTAAACATGTGCCATAGTGGTTTGCTGCACCTATCAACCCATCACCTAGGTGTTAAGCCCAGCAGGTATTAGCTATTTTTCCTAATGCTCTTCCTCCCCCCACTGAGTGTATTTTTAAATTAGTATTAGGTAAAAGTATATGGCTTTATAACGTACCGTTACATGCAGAAGGTACAAAATGTACATGCTGTATAAATACCAGACATAACAGTTTTTTCATAAAATATAATGAACTACCATGCATTACCACAAGGTGGCAGTGGTGCTATGCTAATGATTAGGATTTTCTTTCTCAAATGTGAACACAGATGGGCTTTTCTTCAGTTGCACAAATCCTTCCCGTAACTGGTAAATGCCTGAATGTCGTATGTGTAACTGTGTTGTAAATGGGTAAAACAACGAATGAATGAATGAATGAATGATTATCCTTCAAATTCTGAATTTACTTCTTCCTTATCAAATGCCCCTACTCACATCCAAGAATAATCCCTTTGCCCACACATGACATTTTGATGTAACCAACCACTTTCCCCCATGGCCACAATGATGCAACTATTTTGATGTGGGGACATTCTGATGTTGTCTAAAATAAACCACTAGACATCACGTTTGTTTTTTTAACTAATAACTAATGTGCAAAGTAGAGAGCCTCACACCATACCTGAGTCTCACAGGACTGCTGCGCTTACAATGTCCCCTATCCTGGAATGCAGTTTGTGGCTGCAGGAGGAGCTGGGGGTCAGTGGTAAGGTCAAGGGTGGGATGGGAAACAGGGTGAAGTGCAGGCATCTGACTGCTGAGCCACAGACAATCAGGAATCTCACATCTACCACATACAGTTATCTCAGAAAGAGCTACTCAGCATTTCACGCAAAAGATCTGCTTATTTTCTGGAATTTCAACTGCATCTTCAATAATCTGCCTCTGAAATTCTCTAGTTCTTTCCCCAAAGAATATCTGAGTCCCAACTACATGGGAAATCAGAAATCAGTTAGAAATCTGTCAGTTCTCTGGATGGGTAGACAGATTAGATACATAGATAGATAGATATAGATAGATACACATATATATGTTATATTTAATATCATAAACTCCACTCCAATGATGATTTTGATGGACCAGACTGATACCCCTAAAAAGGATAACCCAGTTCTAGTAGATTTTTTAAAAATATCTTATTAATAACTGTTCACAGAAATGAAGAGAATCAAATGTGAGTGTCCTCTGTGATTAGCATGGAACCAAGAAATGGTTAGCATGGAACCAAGAAATGGTCAGAGATGAAGGCTGTGCAAATTACTAGAAAAAACAGCAACAGACACACACACACACACACACGCACACACACGCACGCACAGGCACGCACGCACAGCTGCACATGGGTTCTCTACTTTGGTCTTGACAGCATTTTCTTGCATCCCTTCATCTGGATCCATCCTGTCTTCCATTTATTCCTCCTTTGAGATCTTTCTATATTTCTCTATCATTTGCCAAAAAAATCTAAGCCCTCTCTCCCTTAGGCTACTTCTGTTTATTGTTCTTATTTCCACCTTTGCGTTGTGGTGTAATCGTCCATCTCCATCATGCACAGAGGTGCAGAGGTACGGCCTGGGTTCAAACCTTGGCTCCACGGCTGACTAGTTGTTAAAGACTTTGAACAAATTACTTAACGTTTCTGTGACTGAGTTTCTGCTTCTTTATGGATAATAACAATAACTAAGCCATAGGGGTGTTGTGAGGACTCAGTGAGTCAATGCATGTAAAGTATCTGCAATGGTTCCTGACACACGGTGCTCAGTAAATACCAGCTGGTCTTGTGTTACTCTCGTTCCTGTCCTTTATTAGACAGTAAATGTCCCCAAGTCAGATTCATGTTTACTTCATCTTTGTCTCCTTAGCACCCAGCACTATGCCTATCACCTCAGTGGTACTTACAATTTGTTTGTTAAACTAAATTGAACTAGTCCCTCTGTCTTTCATCTCTAATCGTTCTCTCTCCATCCATTCCTTCCCGTTGGCATATCTTATTTTTAAAAATAACAACTTTTTCCACCTCTTGATTATGTCCCAGCTTCCAAGCTATGCCTTCCTCTCCATTATGACAAAACCGCTTTAAAAAATTAGAATCCTCTCGCTGCCTCTGTCCTTTCCTTTCCTTCAGCCTTACTGCATGCATTATAGCTTCCACTCCCTCCTTTTCAGGAAATCTACCCCTTGGCTATTTCCAATTACAGCCTATGTGCCAAATCTCTCTGAATGAACTTCTTCCCATAGTTCCAATTATCTCCTCTAAATATATACATAACTCCTAAAATAAATTTCTGTATTTATTCTCATTTTCACTCCAGCTCCATTTACAACTGCCTGCCTGACATCTCCACTTAGAGATGCCGTCACCACCTGAAACTCAAGTACATTTTATTTCACGTAACACATGTCTTAGTTTAATAGAAAAGACACTGGCCTGGCTTCAGAAAACCTAGATTCTAATTCCAAAATTGCCAGCAGCTAACTACACGGCACTGGGTAAAAGTCACTCTATACGGAATTCCAAATGAATTCAGCACCTTCCCGTGGCAATTCTGCTCCTCTTCCTATGACCTCACCTGCTAGCAGCAGTGTATTTTCCTAAGCACTGCTTAGGAACCCCAGAACTCCCAACCTATCTTTTATTTTCCCTCACCCTTAAATTTATTTTCCCTCACCCTTAAATTAATCTGCCAATCAAAAGGTTTCTGAAAACTGGTCTTCCTTTTTGCTCCTGTGCCCAGTGACCTAATGCTTGTGATTTTATTATTCTTGCCTAGACTATAACAATGACCCCCTATGAAGAAATGCTTCCAAGACCAGCACACCAGAAAGAACCTCCTGATGGTGAGCAGGGCCAGAACCACCACCTGCCTGTCACAACACTAACTCTTCATTTGATTCCTCTTGAAGTTTGGCCCGAGTGTGAAAAATGACTCTTCTTTTAAGGACTCGTAATAAAGCAGAGGTGACACAGAACACTCAAACAAGACTTTTCTAAAGGTTGGCACTAATAAAAGGGAAGTAGACAGAAAGTACCATTTTAGACAATAGGACAAAATCCCTTTTGTCCTCCATGCCTCTGAGCCCAAAGAGAGACTCTAGGACCCTTCTGTCTCAGCTCCCCCATCAGGGGCATACCAGGGGTCCCCAAAGGCCAAGGAGCACAAGCTCAGAGAGACAGCACACTCAAGGTCTCCACACCAAAGCTAAGAAGCCGAGCCCTCCTGCTTGCCTGTCTACGATCTGTCCTTGCAGTTCTTGTTCCTGTACTCACAGCGGGGCTGCCTTACCCGGGCAGGCCTCAACTGAACACCACAGTCCCACAAAAGTCCCCCACTGTTCACAAGACAATCACATGGACAGAAACAGGAAAAACAGATGTATTTCCTTACACTGAACTAGCCCCCTGTCTAATTAATCCTCCATACTCCCTCCCTCCCTCCAGAATTGTTTCCTTAAGGCAGATCTCATCTGGTCACTTCCCTGCTCAAAATCTTTATTGGTTGTTCATCAACTACAGAACAAGGCAAAGCCCTTTAATTCGGCATGGAAGGCCTCCCACTGGTTTCATCTTCACAGCTTCACCCTCTTGAAACATCACTTCTATCCCCACTCCCCACTGCCTGCAGTGTCTGCTCCTGGCATTCTGGTCTACCTGCCATTGGCCAAACAAAACACTCATCTTCCTCCCACCTTGGGTTCTTCATATGGGTGGCTTTCTGCAGGTGCAGAATGCACACCCCCGCCCTGGACCTTTCCTCTCGTGACTCACCCTTAAATGCTGGACTTAAATAACCGCTCCTCCAAATGTCACTCAAGCAGAGCTCACTCATTTGCAATTCTATGTTGTCAGTCCTCACAGAGCCATATTTGTAAATTGCAATAGATTCACACAGGAGTGTGATGCACAAAATTATCTTTTCTCTCTTTTTTTTTGAGACACAGTCTCACTCTGTCGCCCAGGCTGGAGTGCAGTGGTGCAATCTCAGCTCACTGCAACCTCTGCTGCCCAGGTTCAAGTGATTCTCCTGCCTCAACCTTCCGAGTAGCTGTGATTACAGGCACCTGCCACTGTGCCTGGCTACTTTTTTTTGTATTTTTAGTAGAGACGGGGTTTCACCATCTTAGCCACGCTGGTCTTGAACTCCTGACTTGTGATCCACCCGCCTCGGCCTTCCAAAGCGCTGAGATTACAGGCATGAGCCACCGCGCCCAGCCTCTTTTTTCAATATTTTCAGTGGTATATGAATTCTGAAATCTGTATTACAGTATGAGGAGAAGGTAAATCATAAAACAGGTTAAGTTTATCCACTCAATCTTTAGAAGATAGTCTAACTTTATCTCCCTAACCCCAAAAGTCATTCCAGCATCCAAATTACTTTATTTCTTCATCCTACCCACATGCCACTCTACTTGAGAATAGCTGTCTTGAAAAGAGTAGACTTTTTTCATTGTTGGGATGAAGTGAAGCATTTCTTTTCCTACGTCCTGGATGTGAGGCCATATCACATGTTACTCTCATTGTCTATGCTGCTCTGCACACGGTGCAGTCGTCCTCTGCTGAGAGTATGCAGAGCCAGGCAGGACTCGAAGGCTTGCTGAGCTTTTCACTTGGAAGGCATGGCAAATAAAGATGACTTCATCCAGATGCCTAAGAAACACACATTCCTGAGGCCAGGCACAGTGGCTCATGCCTGTAATCCCAGCACTTTGGGAGGCCAAGGTGGGTGAATCACCTGAGGTCAGGAGTTGAAGACCAGCCTGGCCAACATTGTGAAACCCCATCTCTACTAAAAATACAAAAACTAGCCAGGCATGGTGGTACACGCCTGTAATTCCAGCTACTCAGGAGGCTGAGTCAGGACCATCACTTGAACCAAGGAGGCGAAGGTTGCAGTGAGCCAAGATTGTGCCACTGCACTCCAGCCTGGGTGACAGAGCAAGACTCTGTCTCAAAATAAAAAAAATTAAAAAAAAAAAAACCACATTCCTTAAGTTCCAAGGTAAAAATCAGGTTTAATTATTCACATATGAAATACATTGTTTTCACAGATCTATTCATTAATTAAACATAGTTACTGAGTGCCTACTGCATGCCAGGAAGTGCTGAGAGTGCTGGAGATATAGCAGTAAACAAAACAAAGAAAAATGCCTGCTTGCAGGGAGCTAACCATATATCGAAGGCCATATTTAAGATCTAGAAAGGATTTCTGACACCTAATTTCATTTACCTACATATAAAAGGTTTGTTTAATCTCCTTATCTACTTATAAAGCTTACCAGTTTGTAGGCATGACCAAAGAAAACCTGAGCTAGCATGTGGAAGAATAAACATCAAAGTTTAGGACAACATCCTATGACAACTCAGACAATACTTTTCCAGATAAGAAAGCAGAAGTCCACATCAAAGTAGCAGAATCAAAGTCTAAACAGACTTTGAGAAGATAATTCACTACTCATCTCCAAAAGGATGCCTTTTAAAAAAAATCAAACATACAATTTTAGGTCACTGCTATGGTTGGAATGTATCTCCCACAGTTCATGTGTTGAAAACTTGATCCCCAGTGTGGTGGTGTTGGGAGGTGGGGCCTAATGAGAGGTGTCTGGGTCACAGGGGCTCTGCCCTCATGAATGGATTAATGTTGTTATCATAGAGGGGGTTCCTTGTAAAAGGACGAGTTTAACCCCCTCGTGCACTTGCTCTCATTTCCTCTCTCTCTCTCTCTCTGGCCCTCTCTTGCCCTTCTGCCTTCAGCCATGGGATGTCACAGCAAGAAGGTCCTTACAAGATGCCAGCCCCTTGATACTGGACTTCCCAGCCTCTGGAACTGTGAGCCAGTCAATTTCTGTTCATTATAAATTATCCAATCTCAGGTATTCTATTATAGCAGCACTAAACAGACTAAGACAGTCATAAAGGTTTAAAACTACACATACATACATACATACATACATACATATGTATGTACATAAACACATGATACAACTATACAAGTTGTTTTAGAAGGCCAAGTTCATATATTTTATAAAAAGCATTTTGGAACTTTTTTTTGTAATGTCTATTACAAAAAAGTAATATTGCTTTACTATTAATATCAGTCTTTCCTATGGTAGAAGAATGGCAAGTTACCAAATTCAGCCAAATAATGATGAGGAATTACCAGCTTTAGGCATTAGATAAAATTTTCTTTAACATTTAATAAGTCAGGTCTCCAGATAGAAAGATCCTATGCAGAGCAGAGAGAAATTTTTGTGTGAGAGAAACAGCTAATGGTCTACCATAATCCATTCTTTCTCCCAGTACTTACCCTCCCAGCTACAAACTCCATTTCCTGACCTCCCTAGCATCTGGCCATGTGAACAACTTTAGGCCAACAGGACATGAGCGGAAATGAGGGATGCAACTTAAGATTCATCCTCTTAAAGACACCTGGTCCTATTTCTTTCTACTGACCAGAAATAGGGACGACTCAAGCAACACTGAAAACTGCCCTGTGAGACTACATATCCCAGGCTATTTGAAGTTTGAAGCCCCCATGTCACTAAGATCTTGCCAATGAAATGCGAGCAATGGTCACGGGTGCCACTTTGGCCTAGGCCTTTATAAACTGGTCTATCTCCTTCATGTTCTCCTTTTCCACTTTCTAGCTGGAACCTGGAAGTGGTGACCCAGTTTTAGCCCAAGCAAAGACAATTCCCTGGGGGGGAGAAATGGCAGAGCAACAACATGGGAGGAACCTGGGCCCTTGAATGGTCCCGTGCAACAGAGATACTCACTTCAGCAGCTTTCCTTGGACTGGGATATAAGAGAGAAATGTCTTTGTTCCCTAAGTCCCTGAATTTGGGGGACTTATTTGTTATTACAACTTTACAACTCTAATATTTAAGCTATATTAGAGGCACCCCACCAGCTTAGGACCACATACCTCTGAACTGTTACTGGTGAGAGAGAAATAAACTTTGATGTTATTTGAGCCACTGCATTTCTGACATTTGCCACAGCTTGTTAGTCTATATATACTATTAATATGTTCCTACCATCTAATCCGTAATCACTCATTTTTGATTAGTTATAGTAGTCATTCTATATAATTCTAGGAAGAGGTGCAAGACTACCCAACATCCATTTCCCCTTTCCTCCTTCCTAACCGAACCCTGATTTGGTTTAGGTATCCACTCCTTCTCTCCAAGTCATGTGCTTAGGGAATGCTGACTCTATTCCTGGCTTTAGCAAGTACATACTAATTAGTTTAATAAATTGCTTATGAGGATTCCTTTCCCCTTGCCATTAGCAATTAGTTCAGAGGTGAGATGTGACCCAGTTCCAGCCAATCAGAGGTAAGTGGAGGTGCCATGGGGGACTGCATTTGGTGCACAGCAAGAGAGAACCCTTTTTCTGTCTGCTGCCTGGATGTGACACCTGGAATTGATTCAGGCACTTTGCTAAGGATAGCACTCATGCGGGAGAGCAGGGACTTGGGAATCGCAGAGGGAAGTGAGTCAGAGCTGGCCCTGTCTCCAGGTGCTTCGCCAACATGATGTGGGTTTTTTTGTTAACTGCAGCATCCTAACAAATAAAATACAACAAGAGTCCTCATATAATGTAGATAATAAATAAACCATGCTAGAAACAGAAATATTATACTACTCCCTATCCCAATCATTTCATATGGAAGAAACGTGTTTAATTACTACCACCCTAATAACATCAAAGGGCTCCTGCACCACCACATGCAGAAGAAAACCCAGCTGCATTCAAGTAGCATTCTCCATTTACCTTATGCTTCCTTCAAAATGACACTCCACAAAACCACAAGGCTTCCAATTACCCACACTATAACCCCAAATAAATATACAACAATCTCCTGATCCCAGACTGCAGACTTCTTCTGGAAAGGGAGGCAAAAAATCTCATTTGAGCAGTCCACTTAATTCCTGCTGCTTCTCTTCAATCAGGCCTCTTGCAGGTTATTATTCACTTACTTCTTAATTCTCAACACATCTCTCAGAGCTTTTCTAAACATTCTGTACTCTCATCAAACACCAAATCAGTATAGTCATTGTCCCAAGTAAGTAGGACCCTACAGAGTGCAAGCAGCAAAAAGCCATGCTTTCTCCAGGCATCTAAAGTCATTCAGAAGCCTATTCATTTCTTGTCCTGAATGAACTCCGTTCCAAGGCTTTCCTAGTCTTTCATAAAAAATTCAAAGTTCTCTGGTCACCTCTACTCACAAAAACATGTTACATTTCAGTAGGGAAAACGTCCAGGCCCCAATTCCAAACTCTACTCAAAGTTGTCTCTCCTCTCCCCCATCTGGGCTATTCCAGGCAGAGCAGGATTCTCCTGAATCAGTCAGCTCCTTCCTTTAATTCACTAGGCAGAGTGTCTGCTCCTCAAATGGGACTTCTTCATTCATTCTGCAGAGGTTTTCCTGCTGGAAGGAGCCTTCTGCAGCTCCCAGGGTCCAAGCAGGTGGTCACTTAGAATGCTGCCTACACTCCAACATCTGCGTCTGCTGGGCACACCTCCAGCCTCCACTGCCAAGGCCACATTGTCCATTGGCAGGAAGGACTCTTGAGTGGGGCCACTTTTTAAAAAGCCACCAGGCTTCTCCTGGCCCCTGGACAGCAGATCCTGCTGCTTTATTAGCAAAAGCACAGCTGGCTCCCAGTGCAGCTGCCTCTTTGCTCTGCAGCCAGCCAGGCAGGTGTAGCTCCAGCAGGTGTTTGACCTCTAAACTTCTCTAGTTCAGGGTTAGTAGGTTTAGTGTCTCCACAGCCTCCAGAGGACACAGAGCAAGTCAACAGAGCCAAGCAGTCTCCTTGCAACTCCCTCACTCAGCCTGAGGTGAGACGGAATCATCCCTTTCCTTCCTGCCTTCCCAGCCCCGGCCTTGATCTCTTGGACTTCAATCACACCATCAAGATGCTGGGCTGAGGGTTAGAAACCTTCACTAAGGAATGTGATTTCATTGCCACTTATTGTTTTCTTGGTAATGTTTTGGGGCCTCAGCCAAAACTGAGACAGAATGAAACCTATCTCAACATCCTGTTTCACTTGTTTTCCTGACATCCAATATGCCTACCTCTTCCTACACACTCTTCTTCCAATGTCTACAACAGATCCAGTCTTTCCATTGCCACAACTTTCTTTGCCTTTAAAAATGTTCTTATTTCTCTCTCTTTCTCTCTCTCTCTCTCTCTCTCACACACACACATACACACATACCTCTTTTAACTTGGACGTTACCTGTTCCCCGTCCCTCTTTCTTGCCACTGTCAGACCTCTAGAATCAATACTCCTCACCTCCATTTCTTTATCAAACATTTCCTTCTGGACCATCTGTAAATATATTATTTCTCCTCCAGAAGTCCCTGAAACAAAACTTTCAAGCCACCCATGACCAGCACTGTCCAACAAACCTTTCTGCAATGATGGAAATGTTCGTTGTCTGCACTGTCTGATAGCGTAGCCACTAGCCAAATGGAACCATTGAACTGTGACTGGTAAGACTGAGAAACTGAGTTTTTCATTGTGTGAAATTTTAATTGGTTTTAATTTAAATAGCCACATGTAGCTAGTGGCTACTGTACTAGACAGCACAGCTTTCAACAAATCAAATGGTTTATTCCTAGTTCTCAATGTGCCTTAATGCTGTATCATTTGGTGCCGTTATTGTTCTTCCAATAAATTTTCTTTAACCATAAGTTCTAGAAGACTATTTTTAAAGGATACGCAGAATGTAAGTCAATGAACTAAAGAGGCCAGTCTGGGCTGGGGAAATAACATCAACATATGCGAGCATAATTAATCAGCTAGTGGTGTGTGCATTGCAGAAGGAAGGAGACAGGAATGAAGAGAATGGCCATGCTAGAGCAGAGGATAAAGGCAGAGATTAGTGGGGGAGCCAGTGCTGGATGGATAAGCTAGAGACAGATCACAAAGATCATCAACAGCTAGTGAGGAGAGTTATGGGAGTAAAATCTGAGAGCAAAAAAGATTCTTACAGATGAGAAAACAAAGACTTGCTTAAGGCCACAGAGCATTTTGTGGCAGAACTGTAACTAGTAAGTCTACTTGCCCCCACCACAGAGTTTGAGTTTCAAGCATTTAATTAAAAGATTTAGTGATTTAAGAAAATTAACTCTAGCAATGGTATGCAAAAGAGATTAGAAGGGAGATAATTTGAAGGTGCTGAGGGCAACTATGATAATCCAAGAGTAAGGCGGGTTGAATTCCTGTAAGGTGAATGTCCAATAATTTCAGCAGTAGATTCTCTTTATACAAAATGTGTAAATGAGATGTTTTATTAATGTAAATTCAACTTTAGGTTTAAATGGGCAAAATTATATATTATGAAGTCAATTAATAAAAAAAATTGTTTTAAAATCCACGCATTTTTCCAAACATGAGCTACCATGGCGGCACCAGTTAATGCGCTGGTGGTGTCTAATGCAGCAGTCCCCAACCTTTTTAGCACCAGGGACCGGTTTCGTGAAAGACAGTTTTTCCATGGATCGGGGGTGGAGGGGGTGGTTTCAGGATGACTCAAGCACATTACATTTATTGTGCACTTTATTTTTATTATTACTACATTGTAATATATAATAAAATAATTCAACTCACCATAATGTACAATCAGTGGGAGCCCTAAGCTTGTTTTCTTGCAACTAGACAGTCCCATCTGGGGCTGATGGGAGACAGTGACAGATCATCAGGCATTAGTTAGATTCTCATAAGAAGTGCACAACCTAGATCCCTGGCATGCACTGTTCCCAACAGGGTTTGCACTCCTATGAGAATCTAATGCCGCTGCAGATCTGACAGGAGGCGGAGCTCAGGTGGTAATGCCAGCAATGGGGAGCAACTGTAAATACAGATGAAGCTTCACTCACTTGCCCCCCACTCACCTCCTACTGTGTGGCCTGGTTCCTCACAGGCCACGGACTGGTGGCCCAGGGGATGGGGACCCCTGATCTAATGTGTAAATTTTCACAATAATGTATCTGTTTGCTCATGCTGTTCTTCATTACTGTTTTTGAAATGTTTTAAGGCATATTTTAAAACAAAATTTAGAACAATTCTTATAGACCCCAGAAGCACCTCTGCAGCCCCCAGAGTTCTGTGGAGTACACCCTAAACATCCTTCAACCCCAGCTTAGGGCCCAAAGTCCCCAACTCCATCATCTTGCTTTATCATTTTCGACAACACATTTCACCTTCACACGCGCTACTCAGTCATCTTATTTATCATACTTATGCTTTTCATGTTTTCTTCACTGTTGCATTCGGTTGCAAAATAGTTGCCTAGCTCGTAGTTGGCACACAATAAATATTTGCTGAATGGGTAACACACCTTTCAAGCCTTTACCCTTGCTTACTACCAGTGCTGCTTCACCTGCAGTGAAGATGGCCTCAGCCCCGCCATTCACACTTCAGAGACACTGAACTATGCCCAAATACCCCCTGCTCTCTCAGGTCTTCTCCCCAGGTGGCTTCAGCATCAATCCTCCATGCTGCCACAGACCCAGTGTGAACACTTTCCTAGCACACCCCACATTTTTCCGGAAATTTTCTGTGTCCACTGCACACATGAAGGGATGCAGGCTCCTTCAGGGCCCTTATTCAGCCCCGCACTCTGCACAACATCTGACACACAGTAGATGCTTAAATAAACATGTTGAGGCACTAGATTGAATGGACAAACTGAGACCTGTTACAAAGGAAGAATCAACAAGCCTTGATAATGTGGAATAAGGCAAAGAAACACAAGCAGGACAGGATGAAATCAGCCGGAAAGCGCCAGTGAACTGAGCACCTTTAAGGTTACTCGCAAACCTGACTCTATGAATTAGTGTGGGCGAGAAGATGAGGAGTCCAGTTTTAAAGGTGCATTTTTGACAAAAGGCTACACAAGCAGGGATGAAGCAACCTCTTGCTATCCTGGCCCACACTGATTTCTCTCTCTCTGACCTTCTATTGCAATTAAGTCTAATATAGAATTTGGCATTTAATCATGTTTCCTATGAATTTGTAATTTTTCCAACAAGAAAACTCTTTGGTAACTCCTTATGCACTCCAGTGTACTTCCGGAATGTGTCCTTTCATATTAAAAGTTATTTTTCTCACCTGAGAGTAATTCGGAAGTGCTGACTTTAGCTTAAGAATATAATTACCTCATAGCATTAGCACAAAGATGCACTCAAACAGTTGTTAGTGGATTTTTAATAAAATTCACTTTATAAATACACACTATTAACAAATTTAAGATTAAATTATTTGTATTTATGAAATATTCACTGCATCATTTAGATCACAAAGAGACCAGCATGACATTAAGAACATAAAGAAAATAAAAACTTGAAGAATCATATACTTAAGAATCTTCTGATTGATTTTGTAAGTGTCATCAAAAGGAATGGCTCCTAAAATATGACACAAATGCCACTACACATTAACAAACTTTTAAGTATTAATTTATTTTTTTTTTTTGAGACAGAGTCTCGCTCTGTTGCTCAGGCTGAAGTGCAGTGGCATGATCTTGGCTCGCTGGAACCTCTGCATCCCGAGTTCAAGTCATTCTCATGCCTCAGCCTCCCGAGTAGCTGGGACCACAGGCATGTGCCACCATGCCCAGCTAATTTTTGTATTTTTAGTAGAGACAGGGTTTCGCCATGTTGGCCAGGCTGGTCTTGAACTTCTGGCCTCCAGTGATCTGCCCACCTTGGCCTCCCAAAGTACTGGGATTACAGGCATGAGGCACCGTGCCCTGGCCTAATTTTCAATTTATAATATTAATTATTTTTTCACCTGTGTAAAGTTTTAATTTCTCAAATTCCTAATTAAAAACACCTTAATGAGTGTAGGCTTTTAGCTCTACTCATTCCCAATAAAAAAGAGACTTCTAAAAATGTGTAAAACTATAAGGAAAACAAAATGGGAGAGAAGACAAGAACTGGAAGATTTTGTAAGATATAAAGCAGATGGATGGCTGAGAATTGACTTAGCACAACCAGAAGACAGATATAGGGTTGAAAATCAACTCACTTGAACAAACAATCCTCAAATGTCTCAAAAACTGGCAGTACCATGTACCTCTGGATGCCAGGATAAGATGAAGCTAACAAGGATTGGGTGAAAATGTATTTTAGAATCACTAAGTGCTCCTTCCTCCCCTTACACACCCCCTGCACCTCACTCCCTATTTCTTCACCTCTGGAAAGCTGCAACTGCCTCCCCCACCCAGGAATAAGGCTGGAGGTTTATTCTGGAGAGGGTCCAGCAGAGAATGTCTGGAATAGAAGACCCAAAAATAACTGAGGGCAAGAATATATTATTGAAAACAGGAGGGTTACACAAATTTTACATATTAAATATTCAGAGTTCCCTGGATTTCCTGTTTATTGGGCTCCCAGTTGCCGGCATCTGGGGCTACAACTTTCCACTGGATGAGTCTTATTTGGGGATCTAACAAAGTTGAGAGAAAAGAGTTAAAAAATGCTGATAACAGGGGTTACCAACAAAATGACTAGTTTGATTAAACAGTGACGGACACAGGCGACAAGTCCCCCCACTGAACCAACACAGAGATTCCAGTCGGCTTCAAGGGTATTCGTGTTCTCTTGTGTGTGTGAATGAAAAGACAAAAAGATGAAAAATGGGGGAGATAGGGAGATAGGAAAATTACACAGTAAGTGGAAGAGGTCCAACATCTAAATAATAGTGATTCCAAAAAGAAAGACCAGAGAAAACAGAAGGAAGAGCTAATTCAAGACAATTTCCCAGAACTGAAAACTGAAAGGGAATACAAAAAGCCCACACAATGGATGAAAATAAACCCACACGAATTTCACTTTGAAGTTTCAGATTCCTAAGGAAAAGAGAAGATCCTGAAAGCCCCGGAGGGAAAGGCTGGGGAAAAGCTATTATACAAAGATCCAGCTTGTAAAGGATTTCCCAGTTCTGGAGGCTAGAACTCAGTGGAACAATGCCTTCAATGGTCTGAGAGATAAATGGCTTCTCACCTAGAATTCTAAACCCAGATGAACCACCAATCTTGTGTTAAAGAAAAATGGAACCATCTTCAGACACGGAAACCCACGTGTGCAGGACTTTTTCTTCCCATATGATCAAACTCATTGGTCCCTGAATAATCTTTGTACATTTTCCTTTCTCATGTGGTTCCCTCAACCCCACCTCAAATGATGATACCTCCATCTTGAAAGGGTCCTCAGTCAGGTAACAGGAACATTAGCTTCCAGTAGGGTAGCAATTTTATTCATCTTTGCCAATTCCACTAAACCTTGCAGAATGTGCAATGCATGACATTATTGGGTAAAAGTCATTGAAATTCATTGCCAGGAGAGAACAGGCAAGTCTGGAGTGACTGAAAAGCTTACCACATAAATGGGATCTGAATTAAATTTGAAGTCTCTCAAAAATTACTTGTCATATGGCAAAAACATGGAATCATCCCAGGTGTCCATCAATGGTGGATTAGATAAAGAAAATGTGGTACATATACACCACGGAATACTATGCAGCCATAAACAAGAATGAAATCATGTCCTTTGCAGCAACATGGATGCAGCTGGAGGCCATTGTCCTAAGCAAATTAACGCAGGAACAGAAAACCAAATACTGCCTGTTCTCATTTATAAGTGGGAGCTAAACATTGGGTACTCATAAACATAAAGATGGGAACAACAGACACTAAGGACTACTAGATGGGCAGGTGGGGAGGGGTTAAAAAATTAACTGTTGGGTACTGTGTTCAGTACCTGGGTGACAGGATCACTCATACTCCAAACCTCAGCATCCCACAATATACCCGGGTAACAAACCTGCACATGGACCCCCCTGAACATAAAAGTTTAAAATAAAATGAAAATCAAATTAAATTTGAAAGACAAAACATTACTTGTTGTGACCTAAAACTACTGAATTTACAAAAATCAAAATATAAGTATTCATAAAATCAAAAAAGTTTTCAATTCTATTAAGAAAATAACAAGCAATGACATAGAAACAATATAACTTTAAAATAAACAATTAGACATTTGTAAGTACTCTGTTCTATAAATTTAGACAGATTGGTTCAAGCAAATGTAAAGTTTTTAAACCAGAATGCCAACAAATGCATAGTTACTTCCCAACTAGTGAACAAGTCAGGTTATAAACTTAATTGAATTGTAATTATGGCAGTATTAGGCTAATAGTTATCCATAGGTACCAAATCAAATACTGCTTTATAGAAGTGGGGCATATAAATATATATTCACATAGATATATAGAGATGGTAAAATTTTAAATTCATTTTAAGAAAAACAGGAAGAACGAGTTTCCTTTGCTTTTCTTTGAAGGAGAGGGAATATAGAAGAAAATTGGGAGGAACAAAAAATTACTAATCATCAGTGTCTAATTCAAGTTAAAAGGCTAAAAACACAGCTCCTAACTCCAACATGTAATTTCTTCTACCAATAGGTATTAAGCACTCATTAAAAGTAGTCAACATTTGGCTGGGTGCAGTGGCTCATGCCTATAATCCCAGCACTTGGAGAGGCTGAGGCAGGGGGATCACTTGAGTTCAGGTGTTCAAGACCAGCCTGGCCAACATGGTGAAATCCCATCTCTACAAAAAATAAAAAAATTAGCCAGGCATGGTGGCAGGTGCCTGTAATCCCAGTTACTCAGGAGGCTGAGGCAGGAGAATCACTTGAACCTGGGAGGCAGAGGCTGCAGTGAGCCAAGATCGCACCACTGCACTCCAGCCTGGGCAACAGAGGGAGACTCTGTCTCAAAAAAAAAAAAAAAAAAAAAAAAGGAGTCAACATTTATTGAGCGGCTGCTATATCTAGGAAAGTATTACAGTAGTATCTCCCACAGTCAAAATGGAAAAAATTATAAAGCAGGAAAGCGTCTCAGGAGGACCCACCGCTCCTTCCATGGCCCCTTCATATCCTGCTGCCCAATTTTTCCTTTCCTTCCCAGGTTAACACAAGTTTTTTGCCTTATTTCAAGGGTTTCTATAGTTAGGGAACTAGCTGACACATATCCCACTACCCATTTGTTTTCTGCTACCTTTCTACAGGTTTTCTTTTCAAACACAATTGCTAAAAATCTGGCAGGAAATAAGTGAGTGGTAGCAATGATACATATGTATCCTGTGAGATACAGATGCAGGAATCTGTCAATTTGCACTCTTTTTGAGACTGTGGAAAACAACATATGGGCTTTGCATAAACAAAAATTAATTTGGAATCTCTCTTTTGGCAGAAATTTGACTGTATAAAAATTTAAATCTCCTTTTGAAATAAAACTTGTAAATGGTACAATGTTGTACGTTTGGCTCTTAACTCCATCCAACTGAGGACGCTCAATTCACTACACAGACCTAGGCCTGTGAGAAATAGGAAGATAAAATGTAAACTCTTTGTGAAACATCAACATTCAAACAAAGCATTACCACAGAGATACCAAGACAGACCTCTTTGAACTTCGTGATGCTTCTCAAAGACTCACACTAAATTCTAATATTTCCCCCAAGCCCAACTCTAATTTATGATTGAAAAAAATGTATATTTAAAGATGAAAACTGTACTAACAAGTTTGAGTCAAAGTTTGCCTTTTAAAGCTGCTTAAAATTTAAAAGTATCATCAGAGTTGATCAATTGTTAGATCAGAAATGCTATTTTGACATCTTTTTTTATTATTATACTTTAAGTTTTAGGGTACAGGTGCACAACGTGCAGGTTTGTTACACATGTATACATGTGCCATGTCGGTGTGCTGCACCCATTAACTCATCATTTAACATTAGGAATATCTCCTAATGCTATCCCTCCCCCCTCCCCCCAACCCACAACAGGCCCCAGTGTGTGATATTCCCCTTCCTGTGTCCATGTGTTCTCATTGTTCAATTTGACATCATTGTTATACAATTTCTGCAAGTTTTTTTTATTGAGGGAAAATACACATGACAAAATTTACCATCTTAACCATTTTTAAGTGTACAGTTCAGTGCTGTTAAGTACATTCACAGTATTGTGCAACCAATCTCCAGAATTCTTCACCTTGCAAAACCAAAACTCTACACCCATGGAACAACTCCCCACTCCCCCGCTTCTCAGCCCCTGGCAACTACCATCCTACTTTCTGTCTTTGTAAGTTCGACTACTCGAGGTACCTCATATAAGTGGAATCATACAGAAATATCCCTTTATGACTGGCTTATTTCACTTAGCATAATGCCTTCAAGGTTCATCCATGCTGTAGAACATGTCAGAATTCCCTTCCTGTTTAAGGCTGAAAAATACTCCACTGTATGTATACACCACATTTTCTTTACCCATTCGTCTGTTTATTGGCACTTGCGTTGTTTATACCTTTTGGCTATTAGGAATAATACTGCTATGAACATAGATGTATAAATATCACTTTAAGACCCTGCTTTCAATTCTTTTGAGTATATTACCAGAAGTGAAATCGCTGGATCATGAAATAATTCTATTTTAATTTTTTTAAAGAGCCATCATACTGTTTTCCACCATGGCTACACAATTATACGTCAGTGCAGAAGGGTCCCACTTTCTCTACATTCTTGCCAACATTGCTATTTTCTTTATCTTTTTTTTTAAGAGCAGCCATCCTAGTGGGTGTAAGGTGGTATCTCATCGTAGTTTTGATTGCATTTCCCAAATGATTACTGATGTTGAGCATCTTTTTTTTTTTTTTTGGAGACAGAGTTTTGCTCTGACGCCCAGGCTGGAGTGCAGTAGCATGATCTCAGTTCACTGCAACCTCCATCTTCCGGGCTCAGGTAATCCTCCCACCTCAGCCTCCCAAGCAGCTGGGACTACAAGTGTGTGCCACCATGCCTGGCTAATTTTTGCATTTTTAGTAGAGATAGGGCTTCACCATGTTGCCCTGGCTGGTCTGGAACTCCTGGACTCAAGCAATCTGCCCACCTCGGCCTCCCAAAAGTGCTGGGATTTTAGGTGTGAGCCACTGTGCCCGGCCAATGCTGAGCATCTTTTCGTGTGCTTGCTGATGATTTGTATACCTTCTTCTTAAATTTTTTTGTACTTTTGCATTGTTGTATCATAATTGTAACATTTTGGGTGTACACATGCTGTTTTTGATACTTGTATACAATGTGTAATGATAAAATCAGGTTAATTGGGACATCCATCACCTTAAACATTTACCTTTTCTTTGTGCTTGTAACATTACGATTATTTTTTTCTAAAGTTCTTGAAATAAACAATAAATTATTAACTATAATTTCCATTTTATACTATCAGACACTACAACTTACTCCTTCTATCTAACTATATTTTTTGTACCATTAACCAGACTCTTTCATCCTCTCCCTCCCCGTTTCCCTTCCCAGCCTCTAGTAACCACCATTCCACTCTCTATCTCAATAAGATTCACCTTTTTTAAAGCTCTCACATGAGTGAAAACATGCAATACTTGTCTTTCTGTCCTTGGTTTATTCCCCTTCATATAATGACCTCCAGTTCCATCCATGTCACAGAAAATGACAGAATTTCATTCTTTTCATGGCTGCATGGCTGAATAATATTTTATTTTGTATATATACCACATTTTTTATCCACCCATCCATTGATGAATACTTCGGTTGATTCCATATCTTGACTATTGTGAACAGTGGGCAATAAACATGGGAGTACAGATATTTCTTCAGTATACTGATACGTTTCTTTTGGATATATAGCCAGCAGTGGGATTGCTGGATCATACAGTAGATCTATTTTTAGTTTGTAGAGGAACCTTCTACTACTTTCCATAATGGCTGCACTACTTTACTACTTTCTATTCCTACCAATATTGTGTAAGGGTTCCCCTTACATCCTTGCCAAAACTTGTTATCTTTTGTCTTTTGATAATAGCCATTCTGACTGAAGTGAAATGAACACTCATACAGTGCTGGTAAGACTATAAAGTAGTACAGCCAATTACAGAAAACAGCGTGGAGGTTCCTCAAAAAACTAAAAAAGAACTACCATATGATCCAACAATCCCAGCATTTATTATTTTTTGCCTTTTTGATAATAGCCATTCTAACAGGTGTAAAATGATAGCTCATTGTGGTTTTGATTTGCATTTCCCTGATGATTAGTGATGTTGAGCATTTTTCCATATACCTGTTGGCCATTTGTATGTCTTCTTTTAAGAAATGTCTATTCAAGTATTTTGCCCATTTTTAAATCGGATTTTTTGTTGTTGTTATTGAGTTGTTTGAGTTCCTTCCATATTCTGGTTATTAATCCCTTGTCAGATGAACAGTTTGCAAATATTTCCTCCCATTCTGTAGGTTGTCTCTTCACTTCATTGTTTCCTTTGCTATGCAGAGCTTTGTAGCTCGATGTAATACCATTTATCTATTTATGCTTTTGTTGCTTGTGCCTTACACAAAATGATTTGTATATCTTTGAAGAAATGTCTATTCAAGTCCTTTGCCCATTTTTTTAATTGGGTTGTTTGTATTTTTGTTGAATTGTAGGAGTTCTTTTCATTTTCTGGATATTAACTGCTTATCAGATATATGATTTGCAAATATCTTCACCCATTCTTAGGATACCTTTTCAACCTTGATAGTGTCTTTTGACACACAGAAGTTTTTAATTTTAATGTGGTTCAATTTATTTATTTTTTCTTTTATTATCTATGTTTTGGTGTCATATCCAAGAAGTCATTGCTAAATCTAATGAAACTCTTCATGAAGCTTTTCTTCTATGTTTTCTTCTACGAGCATATCTATGTTCTTCTAGTTTTAGCTCTTATGTTTAGGTCTTTGATCACTTTTGAGATAATTTTTGCATATAATGTAATGTAAATGTCTTAGTCTATTTGTGCTGCTATAACAAAATACCACAAAATTAGTAATTTATAAACAACAGAAATGTATTTCTCACAGTTCTGAACGCTGGGAAGTCCATGATCAAGTCACCTGCAGGTTCAGTGTTGGTGAGGGCTGCTCTCTCTGCTTCCAAGGTGGCTCCTTGTTGCTGCATCCTCCAGAGAGAAGGAACGCTGTCTCCTCACCGGCAGAAGAGCAGAAGAGAAGCACACCCATTCCCTCAAACCCTATCATAAGCACCCTAATGCCATCCATGGGGGCTCTGTCCCCATGGCTCAATCACCTCTTTAAAGCCCTACCTCTTAATACCTTCACACTGGCAATTTAGTTTCAATGTGAATTTTGGAGGAGACGAAAACATTCAGATCATAGCAGTAAGGGTCTAACTTCATGCTTTTGCAATACAGATATCTAGTTCTCCCAAAACAATGTGTTAAAAAATTGTCCTTTCCCTAGTGAAAGATCTTAGCATCGTCATGGAAAATCATTAGACCATATGTGTATGGGTTGATTTCTAGGCTCTCTATTCTATTCCACTCGTCTATATGTCTGTCTTTATGCCAGTACCACTCTTTGCATTATTGTAGTTTATAAGTTTTGAAATCAGGCAGTGTGAGACATCCAACTTTGTTCTTTTCCAAGATTTGTTTTGTCTATTTGGGGTCCCTTGAGATTCTACATGAAATTTAGAACGTATTTTTCTATTTATGAAAAAAATGCCACTGGAACTTTCATAGGGATTACACTGAATCTGTAGGTCACTTTGGAGAGTACTGAAATTTTAACAATATTAATTCCTCCCAATATATAAACCCAAGATATCTATTTTATGCATGTTTTATAATATTTAGTTCACAATTTTGCATACAGTTTTTTAAAATTTATTCATAGATATTTCATTTTGATACTATTTTAAGTGCAGTTTTCCCTCCTCAGATGCCAGGACTGTTGCTCCACAAAATCAGAGTGTCCCACTCCAGTAGCCACATCTTCACCTTTTTTCCAGTCAGCTCCTCTGGGATTTCACCCAACTTTTCCAAATATATTATAATTAGGGTTGTGATTTATTCTTTGATCCATGGGTTATTTGGAAGTGCATTATTTGGCTTCCAAATATGTGAGAATTTTCCAAATACCTTTCTGGGGTTTGTTTTTTTTCTAATTTAATTTTTTGTAATCTGAGAATATATTTGACATGATTTCAACCATTTAAAATGTAGTAGGCAGAGTAATGTCCCTCCACAAAGAGACCATGTCCTAATCCCCAGAACCTGGGCATACTTTACTTTATGTGGCAAAGGGGGATTAAGTTTCCAGATGAAGTTAAGTTTGCTCATCAGCTGATCTTGAGAGATGGAGGTTATTCTGGATTACCCAAGGGGGCCCAATGAAATCACAAGGATCCTTATAAGTAGAAGAAGGCAGCAGAAGGCAGAGAAGCAGAGATGGTGGTGTGAGGAAAAATTAGATATTGCTGCTGTTGGAGATAGAGGAATGGAACTGCAAGCCAAGAATGTTAGTGGTCTCTAGCACTTGGAGAAGGCAAAGAAATAGATTCTCTTCCCAGAGCCTCCAGAAAGAACACAGCTTTGCTAATACCTTGATTTTAGCTGAGACCCATTCTGGACTTCAGACCTCCAGAACTATAAGATAATAAATTTGTATTGTATTAAGCCAATAAGTTTGCAGTCATTTGTCACCATAGCCATAAAAAATGAAAACATTAAATTTATTAATACTTTATTATCTAGAATATGGCCTATCTTAGGAAATATATTTGAAAAGAATGTACAGTCTGCTGCTGTTGGATTGAATGCTCTGCAAATATTAATTAGGTCAAGTTAGTTAATGATGTTCCAGTCAATATCCTTACTGATTTTTGTCTACTTGTTCTATCAGTTATTGAAAAAGGGTGCTGAAATTTCCAAATATAATTGGGAATTTGTCCATTTCTCCTTTCAGATCCATCAATCTTTGCTTCATGCATTTCAAAGCTGTTATCGGCTGCATGCACATTTAGGATATTAGATCTTCTTGATGAATTTACCCCTTTGTCATATGTAATATCCCTCACTATCCCTAGTAATGGTTCTTGTTCTGAAGTCTATTTTGTCTGATATTAATATAACAACTCTAGTTTTTCCTTTTGATTTACATTTGCATGGTATATCTTTTCCCATCATTTTACTTTTAAAACATCTGTATCTTTGTATTTAAAGTGAGATTCTTGTAGAGCAAATAATTGGATTGTATTGATTTATCCAGCCCAACAAGGCATTCAAAAGGAAGTGTTTAGAAAACTTACAATTAATGTGATTATCAATATAATTAGGTTTAAATCTACAATTTTGCTGTTTAATATTGGTCTCATCTCTTCTTTCTTTTTTCTTGCCTTCTTTTGGATTAACTCAGTATTTTCTAGGATTCAATTTATCAACATTTTTGGCTTATTACTCATGCTCTTTTTTTTAGTGTTTCTATTTTTTAAAGTGGTTTCTCTAAGGTTTACTATATCCATCTTTAATTTATCACAATGTGCACTCAAATAATATTTTCTCTTCGGTTACAGTATGAGACTCTTACAATGGTAAACATCCATTTCCTCAAACTCCCCTCCTTTGTTCTACTGCTATTTCACAAGTTTATAAGCCCCAGAAAACATTATTAGTTTTACTTTAAAAAGTTGATTATCCTCTAATTTGGAAAATAATCAGAAAATGTCTTTTGTATTTACCCATATTCTAATTATTTCTAGTGCTCTTCATTCCTCTCTGAACTTGCAAATTTTCATCTGGTACTATTTTTATTTGGCCTAGATAGCTTCCTTTAAAATTTCTTCCAGTGAAGGTCTCCTGGTGATAAATTCTCACAGTTTTTGTTTGTCCAAAATTATTTATTTTGCCTTCACTTTTGAAAGATATTTTTCACTGAGCATATAATTCTAGGTTGATGGTTTTTTCTTTTAGCCATTTAAAACTGTCGCTCTATTGTCTTCTATCTGTCATAGTTTCTGTTGAGAAATCTGCTATTAATTTTTAATCTTTGTTCTACATAAAATCTGTCTTTGTTCCTCTGGCTGCTTTTAGGATTTTCTCCTTACTCCTGGTTTCCTGCAAGTTGATTCTGATGTGCTATCAGGTTGTTTTGTTCATGATTCTTCTGATTGAAGCTGATGGAGCTTCTTGGATTTTGTGAATTTATAATTTTCATCAAATTTAGGGAAATTGTGGCCATTACTTCCTCAAATGCTTTTTCTGTCTCTCTCTCTTCTCCTACTGGAACTCCAAATACGCTTATGTAAGAAGCATGATACTGTCCCACAGCTCATTGCAAAAAAAAAAAAAAAATGAGCAGTGCATCAACTTTTTATTCTGTTTTATATTGTGTATTTTTAAATTCTGTGTCTTCAAATTGACTTTTCTTTACTTCTGTAGTATCTGTTAATCCCATTCAGAGTATTTTCATTTCAGATATTGCATTTTCATCACTAGAAGTTGAATCTGAGTCCTTTATGAATCCTCTTGTGTTCATGTTTTTTTTACCTCCTTGAACAAACGAAGTATACTAATAGTAGTTGTTTGAATGAACTTGTTAACCAATTCTATCATCCCTTTCATTTCTAACCCCTTTTCTATTGGTTACATTTTCTCCTATTTCTGGGTTGAATTTTCCAGCTTTTGTATGTGTGATGATGCTCTAATGAATATTCAACATTATTAATGTTACACTGTTGGGATCTGGATTTTGTTGTATTCCTTTAAATATTGTCAGGCTTTGTAGTGGGATACACTTAAATTCATTTCAGGCTTACTTTTTAAGTTCTGTTATGGCATGTCCAGAGCAGCCTTTACTCTAAGGCTAACCTGTCCCATTACTGAGGCAAGGCCCTTCTGAGGCTTCTACAGGATCTCTGTGTATTATGAGGCCTTTCCACTCTGTCCAGTGGGAATATGAACTACTCCTAGTTCTGTATGAGCTTCAAGGATTGTTGTGCCTACTCTGTTCTGAGGTGTGTGTGTGTGTGTGTGTGTGTGTGTGTGTGTGTGTGTTTTCCTTCTGGCATTTCTTTCCTCGAACAATTTTCTCCCATTAACGCACAGAATAGTTCTTGGCCACAGACTCAGGCCGACACAGCAGATCTCTAGAGCTTTCTTTCTGTGTGGTTCCCAACTCTCTCATATTTTCCCCCACAAATTCTAGCCTCCTCAAACTCTGAACTCTGCTGCTTCAACTCAACAAGACCATAGGGCATTCTTTGGGTTTCCCCTCCAGCACTGTGGTCTGAAAACTCTCTAGGCAGCAAGTTGGGACAATCAGAGGGCTCACACCCAGGTTTGTTTCTTACATTGCTTTTCCCTCTTTCTCTAAGTGATCACTGTCATGTCCTGCCTGTGGTCTGAAAACAGACCATTGTTTAGAATAGTTCTTTAAGGCAGAAAGTCCCTGTTAGTCTATCTTGCCAAAGACAAATTATTTTGTTATTAATTAAAACTGTTTCCTTTCTCTAAAAATCCATTTGTATAAAATCAATTTTAAAAGAACATATTATAACTGATTTTTGTTGTTTGCTTGAGAAAAATTATAGTTGGAAGATATATGTTAGAGTAATTTTTTCCTCAGTATACAAAACCATAAAAATATAAAATTTTCAGGTTGACCATGTAACAATAAAGTTATCATAGCTTTCAGGCTTGTCCTTATACCAATATTGTAGAGACAGCAAAGTAAGAGAAATGGCAAGGAAATTTGCTCACTTCTTCATAATAAACACTTACTGAATCTGATTATATCTAAAGCAACACTTTAGGCAACAAGGTTGACACAAAGATGAGTGAAAGATCCCTGTTTTTATTGCTCTTATAAGAAATTTAAGGTTTGCTGGGCATGGGGGCTCACACCTGTAATCCCAACACTTTGGGAAACAAAGGTGGGCGGATTACTTGAGGTCAGGAGTTCAAGCCCAGCCTGGACAACATGATGAAACCCCATCTTTACTAAAAATACAAAAATTAGGTGGGTGTAGTGGTGCATGCCTGTAATCCCATCTACTCAAGGGCTGAGGCACGAGAATCGCTTGAACCCAGAGGCAGAGGCTGCAGTGAGCCATGACTGTACTACGCACTCCAGCCTAGGCAACAGAGTAAGACTCTGTCTCAAAAAAAAAAACTTAGTTTAATAGGTTAGATAAAAATACAGACATCATGCATGAGTATCAGTATGTAGTAAATATCTTTGGAAAAATATTTCTTAAGTGTTACAGAAATTCATAGAGGAAAGAGATCACTCAGACTATGGACTTCAAACATACCTGGATTTTCCAAGAGTTGAATAATTTTTTTAAAAACAATTATTTCAACTTAAATATTCTGGCTATATTAGCTTCAAGTAAAAAGCACAAGATTATGTCTTAGAATCAAACTCTGGCTCGTTTTTTTGTTCTCTTTGAAAATGTTATTTCTACTTTACATTTTTCCCCAAAAACAATCCTTTCCATCCACATAATAGGCTTACTCTGCTGTAAACCTACCATCTTAAATCATTTCTTTTAACATTTCACAGTGTAGGTCTGCCATATCATAGCAGCCTTATTGCTCATATTTTGAGAATGGTCAGAACCTTCAAATTACCTATTGCCACAAACTCCAAATCACAATCACTGGGCTTTTCCCTTTACAGCAATGTATCTCAGAGTGTATTCCATGGAACCATGGCATTTCTGGGCAGCTTCTAGAGAGGTTCACAGGCAGGACGGCCATTTTGGGGAGAGAGAAGCATAGGGGGAAGGGAGAAAGGGAATCCATAAACTATTTTGCTCACCTACATTTCACCAGCATGAAATGTAACATTAATTATGATTTACATATTCAGTTATATTCTAAGAGGTTTCGCATGCCCTATAAAGACTGCATTGGTCAGTATCCCCCAGCTATTAATTCAGGTAATGATCTAGCATGTCTCAGCTGTTTTTATATCATCTGCATTAACATAACCTAAATTTAAATTTTTTTCTTATATTATATCATATGCCAATTCATAAAATGGGTAACTCAAAATGGACAACTGCTTCATGTTTAAAAGTAGGAATAAAAATAGCAATGTAAAGTATCATGAGCAAAAACAGAAATCCAGAATGCATACATATCTATTTATAGGATTAATTTTTTTTTTTTTACTAAGAACAATCATTATGAAACTTTTCACTAGGTTAATAAAGCAAGATTAAATTAACCACTAACATCTGTTTTCCAAATTGCTATACATCTTAGTTATGGTTAGAACCTAGGTGGCATTAAAGTCCTTGTCATTTTGCCAGACACTACCAACCCAAATTATTAAGGGTATATAAACTAGTAGCACGTTTATACTACTAGCCTGGAAAAAAAAAAGTCTAATCCTTAGCTGTAGCAACCTATAAAGAATATTGTTAACTGTAAAATTATATTCTAAAAATATAAAGGTTAAATAAAACATAGCCATCAAAGTTATTTTAACATTTGTTTAAAAATACGCAATACATTGTAATACATATAACTAAGGTTAACTCTATATAAACATAGATCTAGTTACCTAAAATTTTTAATTATAAAACTCTTTAAGATGAATGAGGCTATTGTGAATAACTTCCTTTAAAAAAATCTGGTAGTTTTAAATATTTACACCTAAACTAAAAACACACAAGCACTCTTATATACAACACTGAATAGCAGATGGGATCATTTCCTAAGATGTAGTATCAAAGAAAAAGAAAACAGATTGTACTATTTCTATTTGGACAGCAATAAAATGAACAGCAAAGAACTTCCAAGAGATACCTGTGAATAAACATGGCAAAAAAAAATTTTTAAGTGATTTTTAAAAATAATTTTATGGAGCAAGCATCTGTAAGCGTATACAAACTATGATGCAAGACATATATGTATAAATGTCTATTGTCTTTTATATTAAATATTGAATATATTTACATGAATATGGATGACCAGGAGTTATTTTATATCAATAATTATGTCTAGATTCTGATTAAAGGTTAGTGATCAATTTCTAGTTATGGCTTCACCATAATTTGCTCTCATATTTTGGTCGCTGTCTCTACCTGTAAAAGGTCACTTTTGGTCGCTGTCTCTACCTGCATTCCAGGTAGAGACGGGCAGGAATGCTGCCCATCCCCGTGTCGTTCATGCTTCTTGAAAGTGGGTTTAACACTAATTCCACTTTTATTTCTTACAAAGTACAATACTTGAGAAAATATCGTTGGTTTCCAGGAGTACTTTTTCTCTTCTCTCTCTTTTTATTTAGCCTGTTTCATTTTTTCAATATTTCTTTAAAAGCTTTTAAAGACAGAGGTTAAGTTGTCTGTCCTAGTAGCTTGGGCTCCCTAAAGGGAAAAGATTAGTGGGTGGGTTAGTGACCCAGACATGGGTCCTCAAGAAGCAACGAGTTGCTCAGGGAAGCCACAGAAGCCCAGTCCAACCCGAAGCCCAGTTCAGCCCGCATCCAAACTTCCGCTATACCCCAGGGCAGGGAAGGTACTTCCACGCCTACAGCGGCGGCGCTAGATAAAATGGCGCCAGGAACCCCGCCAGAACTTCCTGCATTACCAAATAGTAAAATAACCCAAACTTGCATTTGTATAACTATGGTTTTTAAAAGTTCTCCATTTGAGCCTCGCAGCTGAATAAAACAGAAAGAGGAGAGCATGTCACCATTTTACAAGCGGAAAAAAGAGTTTCAATGACCTTCCGACGTCATACCACTACTTACAGTATCACCACACCCTCGCATCACCACCCCTCTGGATTTCTCATCATTTAAGTTGCAAGTTCCTTGAAGCACGAAGCAAATCTCTCTCCCTCTTTTTTTGTGTTTTTGTTTTTGTTTTTTGCTTCACACACATTTTAAAATGCTGACCACTGGCAGCATATTTACTAACAGTGTCATCTTTAAACATCTTCATTTATATTCACTAATCTTTTAAAATCCTCATGACCTTAACAGTTTTTGTTTTGACATACTTTCAAGTCAGTTACTACTGTTACTCTAGCTGAAGTTGGATTTTCTAGCTTTTTTCCTAAAAACCAAAAACAGGAAGAGAGTCCCAGCAGTAAGAGCCTCTAGCATAAACCTTATTAGCTTTCCATTATCCCGAAGAACTAGAACTATTATTCACATTCTTCAATTCATTTCAAAAGAACTTCAACAGGCCCTGTGATGAGCCCCAGGGATACTTAAACAAAACAAGCAAGGTTTGGAGGCTTTAGTGGGGAAACAAATATAAATTGACAATGCAATTTGTACATGTAAAGGAAAGGGAAATACAGAGTATTACTGATGTCCACAGAAGGGGCATCTAACCTTCTACAAGAAATGTCAATATGGAGTGCCTTTCTCTTAGTAAATTTAGACAGCATTCTAGAACCTGGTGAAAATGGTGACTTGAAAATACTGACTACTTGGAGCAACCTAGCATTATTTTACAAACATTATTTCTACTGCAGGACAAGCAGTGAGATCCAATCATCCATGACCTCAAGCAAAATCACTGTACCATAAACTAAAGTTCAAAAGAAAATGGGTCTTTGTCTTGGAAATGTATTAACTCTGGGGAAGGAAAAATCCTGTAATAGAAATTGATGGCTGAATATAATTTGGGATAATAAGGCAAACAACATGAGAATAAACACTAAGTAAAGAATATGAAAATCCTAAGGACATAAAGAAGGTCATTAAAAATACAATTGTAAGGTCTAGAAAAATACTCTTTTAAAATAGCTTTACTTTTGCTATTATTGCTATCAATAAACATGTAAGATGTTTTCCCTTCTTTAATAACTCAACCCAAAAGCCATTAGGTGAGACTGAGCAAGGTAGACAAGTGTGGGGTGTCAAATGCCCAGAAGGGTAATGCAGGTCTCCTCATGAGCCAGTGCCAGTGTCAGAGTCCAAGCAGAGCAAGAAGGATACGTGTGCAGCCCAACAGGAGGTGTGAGAGACTACATGGAATGAGGATAGCAATGAGGATTGATCTGATAGGTTAAATATATTGAGGATAATGAGAGCCACATTTCTCACTGTCTAAGGAAAAAAATGTGAATGAACTTTGTGGGGTGGACTGGAATCAAAGGTTCCTATGTGAACTCATTGTTTTCAATATTAATTGATACAAAAATAAATAAGATGTAACTCTGTCCACTGAGAGGGCCTGGGAACAGTGACACCTCAATACCAATGAGCACACCTAAGGCTCAGATCTTGGTTTCTAAATACTATTCTTCACGGAAAGGAAGCAGGAATCCTTGGAGAAAGAGCTATTTCAAAGCTGGGGCAAAGAGAGAGCAAGATGAACTCTGGATATCTCATTATGCCAGAAAATTAAGTGCTTAAGAATGCTGGGGACATATCAGAAGAATTGAGAAAACAGCCTGAGGTGGCTCCTACTGTTATAATCTGAGACAATTCAGGCATCCAAAGAAATAATAATTCTAATGGCTTATATACATTGAATAAAACATGGAGCTGTTTAAGTCCAAACTGATATATACAAAGATAATTTTAAAAATAGGAGAAAAAGGCCAGGCGCAGTAGCTCACACCTGTAATCTCAGCACTTTGGGAAACCAAGGCAGGTGGATCACTTGAGGTCAGGAGTTCAGGACCAGCCTGGCCTACATGGTGAAACCCTGTCTCTGTTAAAAACACAAAAGTTAGCCAGGCGTGGTGGTGCACACCTGTAGTCCCAGTTACTTGGGAGGCTGAGGTAGGAGAATCGCTTGAACCCAGGAGGTAGAAGTTGCAGTGAGCCAACATCGTGCCGCTGCACTCCAGCCTGGGCAACAGAGCGAGAACACATCTCCAGGAAAAAAAAAATAGGAGAGAAAGATTTTTCTTAGTAGCATGGCAACCTAAATAGAGAAAAGAATGATGAAAATAAAGAACGATAAAATTGGAAAATTCATTTGGCAACCATGATAGTAATTATTTCAAAATAAAATGTATCTCTAATATTAAAAAATATGTATATAGCATGGTAAATTTTGAACAAAGAATAATCCAAGCTTTCATTTCCCAGTATTGTTTGGCTAAAGAAGCATAAAAATTAGGAGTCAGGCTCTGTGACTTACTGGCTGGGCTGGGCTAGGTCACTTACTTCTCTGATTCTTAGTTTCCTCGCCTGTAAAGTGATATGAACTTAGATTCATAGTTCTAAACTATTAAATTCAATAAAGCCTCTTTTTTCAAATAAAATCTTATAAAAAGCTGTAATATATAAAACTCGGATAAATAATGAGATAAAAATCTTCCGAGGAAAGCTTAAATAACAGTTAAAATTGGTATACTTATCAGAAAATGCCTGGAAACCTGGAGCTTACAGATTTCAAGAAAAAAAAAAGTAGGACAGGCAAATAAATAGTCACAAAGATTATTTGTTATACTCTAATATAATATTGTAGACTTGATTTTTCCTTCATTCACAATTGTCATATTTAGTAGCCTTTTCCGAATCTAAAACTCTTCGAGGAAGATTTCTGTAAAATGAATTCAGAAGTTAGTTTTCAAGAGATTATGACCAAGAAACGGAAACAGTTCATTCATTTCATTACACCAAACATAATGACCACTCAAAAAATTTCACTAGAATACGGCCTAGGTATGAGCTTATACTGGAAGTCATAATATACTCATTAAGGAATAACAAAGCTGGGAAGGAACTTCTCTCCCAGGGGGCAGAAATCCATCTCATAACCACAAGTGCTCATCCACCTATATGGTACGAAACTCAGCACCTCATAAAGTATAGAGTGAATCTGGAATCGTGCAGTTAAATGCCTTCTGTAACACTCTTACATTTGATCTAACAAACATTAACTATTCTGTAGAATGCACCACATCAAAAAGCATACAATAAAAAGGGCACCAACAGATGAGGAAGAAATCTAAATTACCATGTTAAGTAGCAATTTAATTTTGTATTTGGGTATAGTGAAAACAAAGACATTAAATTATTGAACTTCAAAGATAAAGAAAGAATTTTTCAGGTTATCCTGATCGAAAAAGCAACGTGAGAAAATCAGGCTGACCTCAGGTTTTTCCACAATAAAAAAGTCAAAAGAAAGTGGAAGGAAAATGGGACCAAAGAGTGTCATATTTAGCCAAGTTATTTGTGTATTAAAAACAACAAGCAGACATTTTCAAACCTCAAAGAACTCAAAAAACACCCATGCACCATTCTTGGAAGTACTACTTAACAATGAAATACAAGTAATTAAGAACAGAGTCAAAAATAAAGAACTCAGAAGTGCACAAACTGTGGTAAAATGACTTATGGTGAGTGCTGAATGCATTCAAATAAAAATAATTTTTAAAGTTAGCATTATGGTTACAAAACAAAAGGTCGACATGATCATACAAAGTTAGGAGGTGGTGGGAGGGGACAGGGATGAACTCCGTGAGTGAGAATAGTTCATCTTTCCTAGTAGGTCAAGGGAGCACACCTAAACTGGAATGGGGGTGAAGAGCAAAAAAACCCACTGACCAAAGCAACTGAAATCATTTTTTTACTCTGTTCTTAAACCTAGAGGTTTCTTTAAGAATATCCCTCTTTTAGTGAAATGAGACAACGGAGGCTTGGAGGGGCGAGAGGGTAGGAGGGGAATGGATGATGAGAAATTGGTTAGTGGGTACACTGTATATTATCTGGGTGATGTATACCCTAAAAGCCCTGAGTTGATCACTATGCAATCTGTGCATGTAATGAAATTGCACATATACCCCATAACTTTGTACATATACCCATAACTTGGTATATATTTTTTAAAAATATACAAATAACTTTGTGCATATACTCCATAACTTTGTACATATATTTTTAAAGAATATGCCTCTTGGGCCAGGCATGGTGGCTCACGCCTGTAATCCCAGCACTTTGGGAGACCGAGGCAGGTGGATCACCTGAGGTCAGTAGTTCAAGACCAGCCTGGGCAACATGGCAAAACCCCGTCTCTACTAAAAAATATATAAAAAATTAGCTGGGTGTGATGGTGGGTGCCTGTAAATCCCAGCTACTCGGGAGGCTGAGGCAGGAGAATCGCTTGAACCCAGAAGGCGGAGGTTGCAGTGAGCCAAGATCATGCCACTGCACTCTGGGCAACAGAGACAGACTCCATCTCAAAAAAAAAAAAAAAAAAAAAAAAGGAGAATATACCTCTTTAAGAGAGGAAAGTAATGTATTTGAAATTCAGTCATTCTGTCAGTATGTTAAAGTAAAATGAATTACTTTTAAAATATCTATTGTATGAACCTAATTCTTAAGGTATTTTTGTCTATCTGTCTATATGCATAGAAAGTATGTCTGGAATGAAGTACCCCTAATGTTAATTAGAGTTATTTCTGGCAAGTGGAATTTCAAGGTTTTTTTAGAGTTTTCAGTTTTATGCTTCAGTTTGGTATTATCTGTTGGCATCTGGCATCCATGTGCATCCCCCATGTCCCCCGCCCAACCCCTCAGAGCACATGGGCAGGAAAGCTAAAAACTCCATTTCCCAGACTCCCATAGGTTCTGGATGTGATTTGAGTTCTGCCAATCAGATGCACTAGATTTGAAAGGTGAAAGTGAAGTAAAGGCCATCTTTTAGCTGTTAACAGGTAGCCAGAAAACAAGGTCCAACAGAAGTATGTGTTTGCAGTGACCAGAATCCATATTCCGGCATCTAGTCACCAGCCCTGTAGGTATGAGACAGCTATGGCAGTGGCAGCAGTGCTACCAGTAATAGGAGCGGCCTCCTGACCTCTAGATGGCAACTTAACACTTACAGTCCAGTGGCAGCCTCTGATTTTCACACATCCCGACCTCTCAGGAATTTTTTAAGAAGGCAATTCCCTGAATTAAATCCCTTTCTGCTTAAAACGCCTAAAATATTTTGCTTCCAACATTGAAAGCTCACTGATGCAGTACTTACTACACTTCTTTTGATTCTTTGATGTATCATATTTATATTTGCAAAAAGAACAGAGTAATTTTAGTTCCAGAAAATAAAAACAAGAATAGGAGCAACTATATAACAAGATGTTCATGCTATTTAATTCTGGATGGTGGGACTATGAAAGACTATTATCTTCTTTTTACTTTTCCATTCATTTTCCCCAAAATATTTCTCTTTTAAAGAAATAAACAGATCATTTTAACTGTAGAGAAAGAACTAGGGGGAAGCAGGGCTGGAATCAGAAAAATCACTTAGATTGCTGATGAAATAACCCCAAACTACCCTTGCAGCTCACATTATAGCTGGATATTTTTATCCTAATTCTATTTGGTTGGAATGGAAGTAGACAGCCTTTAAATCTGGATGGTCAGCTGTCTCTTTTATTTTCTTTAGACAGAAGAGAATATGAATGCCTTCAACCAAAGACAAACCAGTCTAAGATGTTTCTAAATAGGCTGACCTAAATCACTCTAACTTTTCCATTAACCAGATAAAAGTTCAAGGCCAGGGCCAAGCATAGTAAAAGTTATTTTCCAATTTCTATTCTGCTTCAGATGGATAATATTCAGAAAACTGTATTTGTCATTCCTTGTATGACCATACTATTGATCCTTTTTTATATCTTGGATAAATGACTTTATTCTTTCTTGCTATTGAAACATTAAGGTAGTGTCACCAGTAATAATCAATAGTAAAGCTTCATGAAGCTTTCCAAGGTTCTGATACCAGACTTTCTCTAATGATGTTTTTCTGCTCTGAAGTTTGCAACTCATGTTTAAGTATTCTAAGTATTAATTTATTAAGTATTTTAAGTATTAATAAAGTGGAGATCTAAACCACATCAGGAAAACATACTGTTATTTTTACAAATGTTGTGAAATTCATAATATGGGCAGAATAATAAAGCAGCTTTTAGTCTTTTTATACACTATCCAGTCTCTCAGGGGCTATGTTACAGAATTTATTAATGGTCTAGTGGAAGAATTATTACAAATATGAGCAATTTGAAAGTACCAAGAAGAATATCTAAACCAAACTGCCAAAAGAAAGTAAGTAAACATTATGAAGAGAAAGTGATGCATAATTCTATATTCTATAAAAGGTGATGAAGAAAATCTTTGAGGGCTTTCATTTAACAGGATAAAAATCTCAGCTATGAACTACTGAAAGAAAAAAATTACACACAGACACATTTTACAGCATGTTTAAGAAATAAGAACCCATAACTTCCAATAACTTATATAACTTCTTTCTCATCCTACAGAAATTGGAGCTATAACAAGTCATTTTAATTAGCAGATTCAAGCAGCTTCCCTTGGATGAATTACACTGTCACATCTGTAGAAAGAAAAAAATCTAAACAGTACTTTTTTTAAACCAATATTCTGTTGCTTATATATTCTTGGAAAAGAGCCATAAATTATTTGTGGTAAAATAATTACATTCCCAACATTATATGTTAAAACATTATGGTCACAAGACATAGAAACAAAGTAAAAATAGACCCAACTGCAGACAAAAAGGGGTTAACCTAAACTTGAATAGCAGTAAGATTTCTGGAAAATGGGCAATAAAAAAGAGGGTTACGATGTTTTCTTACACAACACTCTCCTGATATAAATACCGTGTCTTTCTCCCTCCAGCTCTATGTTGGGGGTTGATTTTCTTTTCTCTCTTCAATTGGCCATTATCCAAAAGGCCAGTACAGAAAGTTTGCGTGACAAGAATATGACAGGTAATAGAAAATGAATCACTACTTTAGATCAGCTGCACATACAAATATAGCATACATGGAATTTCTCTCTGTGTAATAATTCTTTTATTCTTTACGCCAATAAAGAATTGAGCTGTCTCCTATCCAACAAACACAGCAGTCTGTTACACAGGCTGCAAACAACATGAGAAATGATTTTACTTGTTAAGTGATTTTTAAAAACTTAAGTTGGTGTCTTGGTGCCTACAGACTTCGGTTTTTTTAAAAAATCATAGACTAAATTTTGAGGAATTTATTTACAAAATACACTTGCACAATATTTACAAACACCATCTGGAATTTCCAGAAAAAGGCTATAAGAGGATTACACGCAACAATCCCAAATGGAAAGTAGAATCACATTGAAAGTGGGCTATATTAAAAAGGAAAAGGCTATTATTGTATGATACTTAAAGCTTATGGTATTATAACATTGTTTAAGACTGTTCTGGAGATTTGGTGCCTTTAAAAATAAAAACAGGAAAGTTCAATTAGAAGCATAGAAATCAAGGATGGAATTAGGTAACACTGGCAGAAACAAGGTGACAATGAGCTTGTAAAATGTAGATAGCAGTCTGAAAATAGGAAAGAGTAGGAGGAAGCTGCTGAAACAGGTAGCAGCCAGTGCTTGCCATGGTAACCATGATGACTGGATGAACATCCATCATGGCATGAGGCTTAAAAGAGTCCCCACCTGCACCTTTCTTAAGTTTCAGTTAGTGGCTCCAGCAACCTGTAGACATTAATAAATAACCTTTCAGTAGACTAAATAAGCTAGCAGCAGCAACAGGCATGAGTTGACAAATCTGTTAAGGGCTAAGTTTCAAAGGGGCTTCTGAAAGATTTAAGGAAAGAAAAAGTTATTTTATATACAGATTAACAATGGTGCAAAAATAATGATAGTGGAAGTTGCGCCAAGTCCTTAGTGCACTTTTACACTTAGATCTCATATTCATTGATGTCCTGGGTCCCAAGAGACACACTTTCATGATGAAATAAATATTTTCATTATAAAGTTCTTTCACTTTAGAACAGTGAGAAACAATGTGACAGCATGGTCACCACCAATCTTCTAGCCCCAAAAGCACTATTCTAAATGTATTAACAAATTGGAAGGATTATTACACCTTCAAACACCACTAGAAAATGTACACATGAATTTAACAAACTGCAGAAACACGACTAACACAGGAAAAAGTATGAAAAAACAAGAAGTAAATCAAAGCTCACTTGCAGTTATCTCGTTTAATCTGTATAACAATCCAACCATATGAATGTATCTCTATTTTAAAATTAGGAAACTGAGGTTTTAATATGTTACATAACTCCTTTATTATCACACAATTAGTAAGTATAAAAGGCATAAAGGCCTGTTTGCTGTACTAACTTAATCTCCATTACTACACATTGCCACTCTCATGCTCCATGTGAAACAAAGCCCCACGTAACCCTTATTTCATGAGTGGCACACACTTTCAAATTCCAATTCTATTTTTCCAAAAACTGTTTTGCTAAATTAAATTATGCATTTATTAGAAGCATGTCTCTAGCTTTTCTTCAACATTAGATAACCACACTAGATAGTGAACAGCTAAAATGTAGACGTGTTTCATTAGTCTTTGTAAGTCCAGCACATAAATAGGATCTATATTCAAGTTGTTAGGGGATGAGTGGATGCATGGATGGATGGATGGATGGATGGATGGATGGATGGATGGACGGATAGATACAATACAGACAGTGGCCTGTTTTGATACATCATTTGGGTTAGGAAATAAACAGGTAAGTTATAGCCTGTATGCCAAGGTAGGGCAAGGGTGTCTTTCTTGCCCTTCCATGTGGATTCTTTCAAATCATATCTTAATAGTTATTTTACTATGTCACTGATAAATAAAAAGTTTGCAAATATTTCCTTTATTTGAAGGAAAACAGGAAGATGAAATCTAGGTAATTTTCACAACCAATTTGGAATGAGATACCTGAACTTTTATCATCCTCAGGATGGAAATTTTGATAAATGATGTGAAGACCTGACAGAAGACATGAAGCTGTAAGAATAATAGGGTTTAAAAATGGCAGAAATCATATTCTGAAGAATAGCAATACCTAAGCCAAATTACTCTTTAAAACAAAACACATTACCCCAGTAATAATTCTCTATGTCCAAAACACAGCAATGCAAACAAATCAGCTTCCTTCAACTATTATTGAGTTTTCCACTATGTACCTTAAGACAATAATGACTCTAATTTTATATATATTTAATTCAAAAACACTTATTTGATCATAATAAGAGTATAAACAACTCAGTAAATTTTCTAGTTCATCTTTCCTGTTGTAGACAGTCTAACAAAAACATCAAGATAATTTCTATGAGAACTAAGTTCCATGAATTCAGTGGACGCTTCATAGCAGAGTACTAGGAGGAAATGCCAAAGCCATTGTGCAGTTCAGTCATGCTAGAATGCTATCCTTTTCCTGGTGCACGACTGTCATTAACCACATTTCAATACTCAGCTCAATGTGACCCTCTCTGGAAGCCTTCCATATCTGCTCAAGAGTGCCCGCTATGTTTGTTTCTGTGACAGCATGTATCCATTACCATATATATTTGCATGCATGGTTGTATACCATATACAGATGCTCCTCAACTTACAATGGCATTACATCCTCTTAAACCCATAGAAAGCTAAAAATATCATAAGCTGAAAATGCATTTAATACGCCTAACCTGCCAAATATCACGGCTTAGCTTTGCCTACTTTACATGTGCTCAGAACACTCACATTTTGTCTACAGTTGGACAAAATCATCTAACATGAAGCCTATTTTATAATACAGTGTTGGATATCTCATATAATTTATCGAGTACTGTACTGAAAGTGAAAAACAGAATAGTTGTATGGGCATTCAAAGTATGTTTTCCACTAAATATGTATTGCTTTTGCCACCGTAAATTTGAAAAATCTTAAGTCAAACCATCAAAAGTCAAAGACCATCTGTATATCTGTACATATAGCTGTCTCCCCCACTATAAGAAAGGACTGCATTCTACTAATTGTTGATCTCCTGCACAAAATACACACTATTTTAATAAATGGCAAAGAAAACAAAGAATTAATACACTGCATACCCTGCTCTAAAATCTTGAGGGTATATCGAGCAGGACACTGCTCTAAAATTTCATTCCTCTTACCAAATAGATAGCAAAGAGAAGGATGAACATTATCATAACAGCTAAAATATATAAAAGAATTTCTCAAAACTAGAACCATTCCCTTTTTCATTCAACAAATATCGTTTAAGCAATGACTATGTAACAGGCAGTGTTCTGGGCACAGGAGACAGGGCAGGGAAAAAAATAGACAAATATCCCTGCCCCCATGGAGTTTATATTCTAATATTAGAAGATGGATTTAGAGAAAATGGTACTATCTAGTGTATTCGGTGGTGATCAGTGCTAAGGGGAGAAGTTAAGAAGGAAAGGAAGTTGGGGCATGCCAGGTTGGGGGTGGGGACTGCAATGCTGGATAGCATCACCAGGGCAGGTCGCCCTGAGAAGGTGACCTCTGAGGTGAGGGAGGGACTTTTATTAGTTGAAAATCCCTTTTTCTTTTGTTTAAAAATTCATTGGTTAAAAACATTACATTCTATAAGGTGTTAATTATAAACAGAACTCCACATACATCACCCTGTCTAGGCTTTCATAATGAGATTTTACAATCTAGTAAATTTAGAAATGATCTAAAACAGAGCTAATGGGAAGCCACTGTCTCATGACAGTGGGCAGATCTGTATTTCTTTGCAAGGTAAACATTTTTTTTCTTGATCATCACAATTCAAGTTTGTTTTAGATGCTGATTTTATTTACTTACTGTGGAACATCATCTATATTCTTTTAACATCAATACAATAATTTATCTCTTTTAAGAACCAATATGTTCCAGCCACAGTTCTAAATACTCAAATTATCTCATGCAAATCATCACGACAACTCTGTGAGGTAGGTACATTGATTGTCCAGATTTCAGAGATAAGGCTGGGTTACAGAGATTAAGTAACTTACCCGAAGTCACTTAGAGGGTAAATAGGACAACTGGGATTTAAGACCAGGCCTTTCTCAAAACACAAAGTCCATGATCTTAACCACAACACTGCATTGCCTCAAAGATAAGAGCGGTTATGTCATACAGCATTTCAATATGCCTGCTTACTAACTGTTCAAATATAAACTTAATAAGAAAGTGACCTAACAAAAGTTTTTTCTTCTAATTCAAACATTAAGCAATATGAACTCATAGGAGCAAAATACAGCTCCTATTTTTAAAGACCATCTTGGGAATCTATTACATAAACACTGAGTAGTGATGCCAGGGTCTTTACGATAGGGAAAAGGAAATAAAATGTACTGATAAAAGTAAACCACATCCTTCTGTCTCTAAGAATGTCTCTAGTCTCAGGGTTGTTCCTTTTAAATTAAACCAACATGGCCCTCTCTCACGGGTCGGTGTTACATGGCGGTGACTGCGGCAAAGTGAGGGCCTCAGAGACACCACTGCCGCCAGCACAGCCAGAGACCTGAGCTGACATTGGGGGCTGTCCGCGGGGCCTGCACTCTCTTGATGAGTCAGAGAAGTCCCGTTGTATCAGAGTAAGATGGACAGTAGCTTTGATTTTAATTGTGGTGAGCTGGAGCCACCTGTTCATTAACAAAGGACATCTTCTGTTATCCAACAGCCGCCAGGGGTTCCTGTTGAAATATATAGCAACAAAGGAAGAAAAGAAGCAAAACGCAAATAGTGCTTACCAGCACCTTAGAACGATGCTGCTCAGGACCAGTCCAACACTGAATGTATCTGCACTGTGAGGAGAATGTTCATAGAAGCCTGTTGTGTGCATATTTATTCACATTTTTGTTAAATGTTAAATCGTTTAGCAGAGTAATCTGAGTGCATAGTATGTCATTTCATTCTGTTTGAGTTTCTTGAGTGTCTTCTTTAAATGTCTGCAGAGTTGCTGCCCCTTTCTTGAACTATGAGTACTGCAATCTTTTAAATTCTCAACATGAGTAGAGCTTTTTGAGCTTTAAACCTACGGGGAAATCAACAGGCCTGTTTGGCAGAAGCAATGAACATCAAGAAACCATCTTGCTGTGGAAGCATAATTATTTTTCTTATCCCTTTTTGAAAGATCTTTCCTTTTGATGCCAGTTTTCTTCCTTGTTTACACAAGTTCAACAATTCCAAAGGAAAAGGCAATCATAAGGGTTTCAAAGTGGCAGAGAAATTTGAAAGTCTCATGAACATTCATGGTTTTGATCTGGATTCTACGTATATGGACTTAAAACCACTGGGTTGTGGAGGCAATTACTTGTTTTTTTCTGCTGTAGACAATGATTGTGACAAAAGAGTAGCCATCAAGAAAATTGTCCTTACCAATCCCCAGAGTGTCAAACATGCTCTATGTGAAATCAAGATTATTAGAAGACTTGACCATGATAACATTGTGAAAGTGTTTGAAATTCCTGGTCCCAGTGGGAGCCAATTAACAGATGATGTGGGCTCTCTTACGGAACTAAACAGTGTTTACATTGTTCAGGAGTACATGAAGACAGACTTGTCTAAAGTGCTGGAGCAGGGCCCTTTACTGGAAGAGCATGCCAGGCTTTTCATGTATCAGCTGCTACGGGGGCTCAAGTATATTCACTCTGCAAATGTACTGCACAGAGATCTCAAACCAACTAATCTTTTCATTAATACTGAAGACTTGGTGCTGAAGATAGGCGACTTTGGTCTTGCACGGATCATGGATCCTCATTATTCCCGTAAGAGTCATCTTTTGAAGGATTGGTTACTAAATGGTACAGATCTCCATGTCTTTTACTTTCTCCTAATAATTATACTAAAGCCATTGACATGTGGGCTGCAGGCTGCATCTCTGCTGAAATGCTGACTGTTTTGTAAAACCCTTTTTGCAGGTGCACATGAACTTGAACAGATGCAGCTGACTTTAGAATCTATTCCTGTTGCACATGAGGAAGATCGTCAGGAGCTTCTCAGCGTAATTCCAGTTTACATTAGAAATCACATGACTGAGCCACACAAACCTTTAACTCAGCTACTTCCAGGAATTAGTCGCGAAGCACTGAATTTCCTGGAACAAATTTTGACATTTAGCCCCATGGATTGGTTAATAGCAGAAGAAGCGCTCTCCCATCCTTACATGAGCATATGTTCTTTTCCAATGGATAAGCCAATTTCAAGCCATCCTTTTCATATTGAAGATGAAGCTCATAATATTTTGCTTATGGATGAAACTCACAGTCACATTTATAACTGGGAAAGGTACTATGACTGTCAGTTTTCAGAGCATGATTGGCCTATACATAACAACTTTGATATTGATGAAGTTCAGCTTAATCCAAGAGCTCTGTCTGATGTCACTGATGAAGAAGTACAAGTCGATCCCTGAAATTATTTGGATGGAGATCGGGAAAGGTATCTGGGGGATCCTGCTTTCCATACCAATTACTCTGCTGAGCCTTGTTGGCAGTACCCAGATCATCATGAAAACAAATATTGTGATCTGGAGTGTAGCCATACTTGTAATTACAAAACGAGGTCATGATCATATTTAGATAACTTAGTTTGGAGAGAGAATGAAGTTAACTGTTACTATGAACCCAAGCTTATTACAGATCTTTCCAATTGGAAAGAACAAAGCAAAGAAAAATCTGATAAGAAAAGAAAATCAAAATGTGAAAGGAATGGATTGGTTAAAGCCCAGATAGCGCTAGAGGAAGCATCACGGCAACTGGCTGGAAAAGAAAGGGAAAAGAATCAGGGATTTGATTTTCATTCCTTTATTGCAGGAACTATTCAATTTAGTTTCCAACATGAGTCTACTGATGTTGTTGATAAATTAAATCGACTTGAATAGCTCAGTGTCCCAACTAGAATTGAAAAGTTTGATATCAAAGTCAGTAAGTCAAGAAAAACAGGAAAAAGGAATGGCAAATCTGGCTCAATTAGAAACTTTGTACCCATCTTCTTGGGACAGCCAGTTTGTGAGTGATGGGGAGAACTGTTTTCTCATAAATCAGTTTTGTGAAGTAAGAAAGGATGAACAAGTTAAGAAGGAAAACACACTAGTTACTTAGACAAGTTCTTCAGCAGGAAAGAAGATCCTGAAATGCTAGAAACTGAGCCAGTAGAGGATGGGAAGCTTGGGGAGAGAGAAATGAGGAAGGATTTCTGAACAACAGTGAGGAGTTCCTCTTTAATAAGCAGCTCGAGCCCAATAGGCATCCCGCAGTTTCACAGTCCAGTTGGGTCACCACTTAAGTCAATACAGGCCACATTAACAGCTTCTGCTATGAAATCTTCCCCTCAAATTCCTCATCAAACATACAGCGGCATTCTGAACATCTGAACTAAAACACTCAGCAGACATTTATCTTTGTATTCTTATGAAATGTATTTTGTCTTTTTTATTACTAGAGTTTAAGTCATTTTTTACTTGAATCAGATGGTGTCATTTAGTAAGGATTTTATGAGTACTTGGTTTTTAAAATCCAGACTTTCTTTTTCTACATGTGAGATAGTTTTCATTTTAACTGACATGTCATTTGCAAAATGAATAGAGCAAAATAATGCAATGCAGGAGGAGACAAAAGAAATGCACTAAGACAAGTGAAGACCATCCTCTCATAGAACAATGATCTGTTTTACAGGAAACAAATTTTGCCTTGAAATTTACAGTGAGACTGTACATAATTGCATGAAAATATCTATTTTTATCCTAAGACATTTTTCATTCATGAGTAGTTTCAAGTTTTTCATACTGTACACATTTCGTAAAACACACGATACCAGAAGCAACTGAAAATGAATGCTGAATTTGGTATATGTGTGTTATCTACCTCAAAGTAACAAAAATATGCGGCAAAACATACCACCCATAGTGCTTCACAAAACGCACTTCTATTTAGCCAGTGTGTATTGTAGTAAACTATTCTTAATAAGACTCATTCACTGTTTATAAATGTTCTGGTATTCATTCTTTATAGTGAAGTGTTAATACATCACATCTTATTTATTTTAGCAAATCAATATATTTTCTGTATTTAATTATAAAAATTAACTTAGTTTTTAAAATTTATTTGCAAATACACTTTTTCCATTTGGCACTATGGTTTGTTGCCTACCTAGCCGAATCTATGTCAGTTTATCCTAAGGCGGTCCACATACTCATTTTAAGTAACGTGCTCACTGTGTATAGGAATTTGTATTTTGGAGGTGCTTGATCTAGCTACAAAGAAAAATTAATTAGGAATTACTTTATTATAAAATGCTCTAGAAGTCTTAATTGTGTTTATTTTTTTAAAAAAATGAATGTTAGAATTGTGTGCATGGAAGTAATTAAGGTACATCATTATTATAGTTTAAAAGTTGTACATGATAAGACATTTTGTTTTCACTGAATGATCTATTCCCCATCCCAAGGCAAGCATGAATAAAATTAGGTTAAATGTAGCATGTGGCGTCACAGTCTCTTAGAATTTGTTTCATCTATTTTATTTTATTGAATACTGTCTATATCTTTGGTTATCCTGTTTGAAGTAAAAGGACAAATAAAACATGGCCAGCAAAAAAAAAATTAATTAATTAATTAATTAAATCAACTATAAAAGCAAGAAATGTACTATTAATTGCTAGATCAGTTGTGGCAATAATTAATTAAAACTAAAGATTAAGAGGTAATATAAAATGTTGGCGTTAGCACACACAATGGTATCTATTTGTCATTTCAAGCCTTTATGATCTTTCTAGAATAAAAGACATTTTTCTATGACATGAACAAATTATCTCAAAGCCAGATATGTGCTTGGTGAGGAGAGAAAAATGGTCTTCTTAAATGAAATGAGTAATTCTGTGTTCTATCTTCAAATTCTTTTTTAAGCGTGTTGAAAATTAAAGCATAAACTAGTATCTATTTTTACAGAAGAGATTTTTGGGTATACTATTCTGATTTGATATACTATTCTCATTTGATAGGTTCTAAACTGATGGATTTCAACTCAAATATTGGTTTTCCTTGAAAAGCACAGAAATTAATACTATTTTTCCCTTAAAATAGTTTAACACGCATTTGATTCTCATTATTTGCAGTAGTTATGTTCAATAAAGTCACTACAACTCTAGATTAACAGATATTGAACCACTGACCCTATGGGAAATACTAGGTTTAGGTTCCTGCAAACCTCTGGTCACAACATCTTTGTCAATTAATCAACATATAATTTCATTTTATGTGTGCTTCTGTTTAAAGAATATGTGTATATACATATATATTAACAATATATATGACATATATAACATCACATGTTATATGTTATATTCTTAATAAAACATATACATACATTCTTTAAACAAAATGTAAGTATACTTGATTCATTAACACTGAACTCAGGGCCAACGGCACTATAGCTCATGCCTGAAGGAAGCCTGACTAATACACATATTTTTTCAATAATGCACATCATAACATTTTACTTTTAGGAAAAAACCAGACAGCACTTCCGCACAGGGGGCCGCTGTAAACAGTGAGATCATCAACAAAAAGTACAAAAATGCAAAACCACGTCATGAAAGGGTGCTTGTTTATTGCATGAGAGCTAAAACAAGAAGACAGAGCACAGCCAGGTTCAACCTTAGCTGCGAATGTGCACATTGGGCAACTCCAATTTTTCACATGTGAAAAATTACATACAAGTATTGATTTTGGAGTCACAAATAAATGTTAGTGAGTAGGTAAATTAGCAAATACTGAAACCATGAATAAGGAAGATCGACCCTATAAAATGTTAAGTACATACATGTAGTGTTTTTTGTTATGTGAAAATATGCTAAATGTGGTGGTGTTCAATAATGTCAGCAAATTGCAGTAAAGATTCCCTGACACCTGAAAATGCGACCTTTCACCTCACAGTGACCTGTCAGAATTTCCCTCCAGTTCAAGGCTGAATAATGTCCCATTATTATATGTGTGTGCCACATTTTGTTTATCCATTCATCCATCAGTGAACAGTTGGGTTGCTTCCACTTTTTGGCTCCTATGAATAACGCTGCTACGAACATGGTGTAGAACTGCTTCACAATTGTATTGTTTTCGGCTGGGCGCGGTGGCTCACACCTGTAATCCCAGCACTTTGGGAGGCCCAGGTGGGCGGATCACTTGAGCTCAGAAGTGACCAGCCTGGCCAACATGATGAAACCCTGTCTCCAATAAAAATACAAGAAAATTAGTCAGGCATTGTGGTACACGCCTGTAATCCCAGCTACTCAGGAGGCTGAGGCAGGAGAATTGCTTGAACCCAGGAGGCAGAGGTTGCAGTGAGCCAAGATCACACCACCGCACTCCAGCCTGGATCACAGAAGGAGACTCTGTCTCAAAAAATAATAATAATTTTAATGTTTTATATATCATATGATCACATTGCTTGTGGCTAATTAAAGAGTACATCAAGCTCCCCAAGCTTTATCAGCCTACAGACAAACATGGGGTTACAATGATGACAATAATCCACATTTTACTACTGGCTATTTCCCTTACTTACTCCGATGGGACCCCGGCCTCCTTCCTCACCCAAGTATTTCCTACAGAATGTCTCACATATGCTCATATTCGCCTCTCCCTTCAACTACCCCCAGTCCACCACTGTACAGGAAAGTAAAGTTCCTGTGACTCACCTGTTCACTCCAGACCCTCAATTACTCCACACACCCTGGGGCCTTAAGGCAATGCCATAAAGTGATTCTCTCCTCTCCCTTCATTATATCCACTCCCTTGTTCCATAGCAAATGACAATGAAGGAGTTGATCCAACAGGCTAGGGTGTTGCCTCTCTAAGAGGAGAAAGAGTAAGACCACAAATACTCAAACGGTAATAATTTAAAATTGTTGTGACATCCATGAATGATGATAAGGTAGAAGTGTTTATTACCAAGGGAAGGTTGAATTTCCTTCAACATTCTTCCCTTCCTACTGTGGAATCTTAGCTAGATCTATGATAAAAAGCTCTGTCTACTTAGATGATACTCAATCTACAAAATCTACAAAAAGGTTTACAAACAGTTCTGGTTTCTGGCTTGTCCAAGGCAGAACATGCATGAGAATTCTTTCCCTGTGACTGGAAGATTTCACTAGCTTCTCATTCACTCACACCCTTCTGACGTTCGGAGGTGCCCTATTGGAAAAAGTGCCCTTCACGTCAAGATTCCTGAATACGTAATTGGCATTTACTAGCACTTACTGTATGCCAGGCTGAAGGTTTTATCTCCTTAATCCTCAGAATATCCTTATGAACGTTTACATATGAGGAAAAGTAAGGTTTGAAGAGGTTATATAACTTGCCTAATAGGAACTCAAACTGGGACTCGTGTTCTTCAATGCATTTCAGGGTTTCATTTGTAAATTTAAAAAAAAAAATCCAAATCAGATTTATTTCTTTCTTTAGGATACTTTCTTTTTGTGTTCTAAGTAAAACGGTCTTTGTATTTTACTAAAGAGGGCCCCCAGCTGTGCATACATGAGCTAGAGATTTTCCCCAGCAAAACCTGTTATTAACGCATCTCTAATGCATATCTAAAATCATTAAAATTATACAGTTTCTTTTAGTACTCTTTCTTTTCTTTCTTTCCTTTTTTAAATTTGAATGATTAAAGTTTAATTCTTGGACTTAACCTCTGCCAACAGTCTTCTCTTCCTTCCTACCTCAGCTGCTCAGTCCCATGGTTACTCCCTAGGACCTGACTCGAGCCCTCACTCTTCATCCAACATCATTTCCAGAGCTTGTTACTGTATCCACCCACGCTTTTCCTGGCACACACAGACAAACCGCAACAGTGGTTTGACCCTGTCCTCCACTTCACTTACTGCACCCAAGCAGCTGAACATGATCCCACACCAGGCTGACAGCGCTTAGAGTCCTGGTCACCCGGCTCAGGTGTGCCCTAAATGCAACTTGATATTCACACTGCTGCATTTCTCTAGTCTATTCCCTTTCCCACGCCCCTGTTCAAGCATTTCATACCTTTCCTCTAGCCTCAGACCTCCATACCCTCTCCATCTTGATTCTCAGCTGACGACCTAACTTCATATTCCACTGGGAAAATCAAAATAATCAGAAAATAATTTCTAGAAGTGCCAACCTCTGCCCCTACTGCATTTTATGGATAAAGTGGCTTGTATGGATAAACTGACCTGCTCTGAGGGAAGCCCAGCTCCTCACGCCATCCCACCCCATCTCGCATATATAAGGACATTGCTCCAGTAATTCTCCTCTCTTTTTTTGCATCATTTAATCTTTTCTCTCAGCTAGATTATTCTCCTCAGCCCACAGTATATATATATATATATTTTTTTTTTCAGACGGAGTTTTGCTCTTGTTGCCCAGGCTGGAGTGCAATGGTGCGATCTCAGCTCACCACAACCTCCGCCTTCCAGGTTCAAGAGATTCTCTTGCCTCAGCCTCCCGACTAGCTGGGATTACATGCATGCGCCAACAAGCCCGGCTAATTTTGTATTTTTAATAGAGACGGGGTTTCTCCATGTTGGTCAGGCTGGTCTCGAACTCCTGACCTCAGGTGACCCACCCGCCTCAGCTTCCCAAAGCGCTGGGATGACAGGCGTGAGCCACCACATCCGGCCAGCCCACAGTCTTTCTCCTAAAAAAGTCATTTCACTTTTTTAAAAAAGCTGTAGCTTGACCCCAGCATCCCTCTCCAGCCACTGCTTCATTTTTTCCCTCCTCTCGTTTAAAGGGTTTGTTTTAGATGCTGATTTTAAAGATCAAACTTGCTAATGGATCGGCAATAGTATTCTTTTAATATTAATATGGTAACTAGCATCTATTAAGTGCTAATTATGTGCTAACCACTGTGCTAAACTGTCAAGGAAATTGTCACAGCAACCTCTCTACTGCTCCCCTGATGTCTGACTTTTTTTCCTGCTACTCACTTTCCCCTCACTCCCTTCCCACCAGCTGGAATGTGTCAGCTGTTCGGGAATGCTCATCCCTGGAATGTGTCAGGTGTGTCTCTTCCTCAAAACCTTTGCATTTGCTGTTCTTTCAGCTTGCTCTGCTCTTCCTCCAGATATCCTCATGGCACTCTCTTCAAAAAAAAAAATAGGTCCAGATACATTGCCCTAGCAGGATTTTCAAGTGTTCCCAAGACCTTTTTCAAAGGTCCATGAAGTCAACACTATTTTCACAATAATCCTAAAATACACACAGCTTTTAATATTCTGCAATGCACTCATAAAGCTCCAAAGAACATTTTTTAAACCTGAATGTAGAATCATTTTACCAGTTTTTATGAGAGCCACCAAGAAATACCAGATTTTTCTTCCCATAATAGCTAAGAACATATCACTCCATCCCCTTGTATCAACTACAAGTGAACAGATAAATAAAAACGCAGATAACCTGAGATTCTACACTTTGAAAGTATTTCAGCAGATACCTGGTTTAACCCGAGAACTGTTTCAAGTACATGCCATTTATTCAATCTTCAAAAATAATTTGGATTTTATGCCTGAAGTTGGCCGTAACTAAAACTGCCTTAATTACATCTCCTACAGAACTACTGTCACACAAAGTTGAAGTCTGGATTATGTCCTGACCTCACAAGGGAGGACATCATAAGGACACCTCCCAAGTGGATGTAGGTGAGGGGAACATATTGCAGACCTCACTCCCACCCACATCAAAGACTGATAGAACATATTTCTTTGGTTCCCCCAAGGAAAGCTAGAAAAGCTTTTCCCCCTTAAAATCTAGAGGGCTTTTTTCCCGCTGGTAATACGACTTTATAACTGGTCTTGCTGCTCTGGCTACCCGGGATCAAATTTACAACTCATCTCTAGCTGTGCAAGACACCTCACTCTATATATTAGCCTTCTAACCTTCTTCCTAATCTCATAGTCCTCTAGCCCTATTTTACCTAAGCTTAATACACAGTGTGGAATATAAACCATTTTGAATATTTTGAAAAATGTGTGGAAATAATGGTATATAAATAAAAAGTCAAACAGAGAAATAGGAAAAGGGAGATACCTGTAACACTTGGATGGATGAAAATGCCTGCCTTACTTTGGAAACAGAAGAGTTTGCATGACTGTACAGAGGATGACAGTGACAGAAAACACAACTGGAATACCATGGCATTGGCTCTGCCTAGGGTGCTTGGAGCCCAGATATCTGCATACATAGCTTCTGTCACTTCACTAAGATCTCTGTTCAAATATTACCTTATCAAAGAGAGTCTATCCTGGTCAATTGAACCCAAATATTTTACACACACACACACACACACACCCACACACACACTCTCCATCTTTCTCCCTTTACCCTGCTTTATCTTCCTTCATTATGCTTATGAACACCAGCTATATGATAGAACTGTGTCTGTGTATACGTTAATTAACTTCTCCCTTGATAGACTATAAGCTCTATAACAGCAGGGCTTTTATGTTCTTTTACCATCTCAGCACCTAGAATAGAACTCAATAAAAATTGGTTGAATGAATAGAAAGGTCATTTAGTATCAAATTAGAAAAGACTAATTTAGACTTTATCCCACCAGTAATGGGCAAAGTCTAAGAGCTTATGCAAAATGTATTATGTATCATATTTCTCTTTTACAAAGATAACTCTGGCACTGGAGTAGAGAATGGAGAAGAGAGGAAATATATGGCAAAAATCCAAATGACAGATAATAAAGGTTAAATGAAGTTAGGGTAAGCAGCAAATGGAAAGGGAGAAATGAATTCAGGAGAGATTCATGCAGCAAAGGGACAGTATATCATAATGATATAGGAGTTAAGAAGAAATTACTTAGACAGATAGCAAGAGTATGGGAGTCCTCGGTAAGGCTTTTCTTTTTAATAAAAAGCAGCCCCAAATCATTTTCTAACAAAGAGCGGCCTACAAGCTGGGAGCTTGCATAGGTGAATGCCTGCAGGAACTAAGGACTAGACATTTTCAAGATGGCAGTTCCATCTTCCCTTCTCTGCCAGCTACGTGTATTGTAAGGAGCAGACAAGATGGCGCAGATCAACGGGAAAGCCCAGTTGCATAAGAAGATTAGGGTGGGGCAACCAGCCTTCCACACATGCTATATAAACATCATACCTGATTGAACCAATCTGTGAGCCCTATGTAAATCAGACACCGCCTCCTCAAACGGGACTATAAAACTCAGTGCATTTGCCATCAGCCAGTCCTTTCTGCTCGGAGACCCCTTCCTCTATGGAGGAAGTTGTTTCCCTTTCTCTTTTATTCTACCTATTAAACCGCCGCTCCTAAACTCCTCCTGTGTGTCCATGTCCTAAGTTTTCCTGGAGTGTGACAATGAACCCCAGGGTATATACCCCAGACAACATAGCCACTTCAAAAACAGTTAAATCAGGCATCAAACAAGTCACTTGACATGTGTGACCTGGGGCATGTTACTTATCTAATCTTTGGTTTTCTTATTTCTAAAAAGGAGAGAATAATTGTACTTACCTACCTCATAGTTTTACTATGAGGATTAAATAAGATCTAAGATATACAGAAATGAACAAATTTGGTGACCACTGACTATGAGTGAGGTCCTTGTGGGTGGGGATGTGTCTCTTTCATACACTTCTAAATCACCAGCACCTAACACTATGCCTGGCCATAGCAGGCACTAAATGGGTATTTGATGAAAGCAAATGAATTAATGATAGTGATTAGCAAGACAAAAAGTCAATCCCTTCTATACGAGGCAATTTATTCTACAGGACATAAAAGCTGTGGAGCAAAATTTGGCCGGGAATGAGTAGACTGCACAAATATGTTCAGTTTGAGAATACGGAGACTGAGATGGCTAGGGGACCCCCTACAGGAAATGTCTGGTAGGCAAAGGAACTAGAGGCCCAGATCTCAGAAGTACAGGCTAGAAAAAGACCGATAGAGGTGGTGGTCAAAGCCTAATCTAATTAATCACATTAACTTAGGAAGGGGCAAACAGAATTAAGACTTCTAGGAAACAAAAACATTTGACAATAGATAAAGGAATCAGGGATAGAGGCTAAGAGGCAGTGAAAAGACAGTAAGAAAGATAAGAGAACTTGGCTGTGCCCAGTGGCTCATGCCTGTAATCCCAACACTTTGGGAGGCCGAGGCCGGTGGATCACCTGAGGTCAGGAGTTCGAGACCAGCCTGGCCAACACGGTGAAACCCCATCTCTACTAAAAATACAAAAATTAGCCAGGCGTGGTGGCATGCACCTGTAATCCCAGCTGCTCAAAATGCTGAAGCAGGAGAATCACTTAAACCTGGTAGGCGGAGTTTGCAGTGAGCCAAGATTGTGCCACTGTACTCCAGCCTGAATGACAGAGTGAGACTCTATATATATAAAAAAAAAAAAAAAGAAAAAAGAGAGAGAACTTAAACTTTGAAAGCAAAAGAAGAGAAGATGTGAGAAGATGTGGTCAATAGCATCCAAATTGGCAAGAAGCAGTTGACTGAAAACTAGAGACCACTCGATTTTAGCAATTAAAATTACTAAGGGCCTTTGCAAAAGAAGTTTCATGAAATAGCTGCAGTAGAATGAAGAGTAAATAGAAGCTGAAGAAGGGCAGATAAGAAGGCTCTTAGAAAGATATTTCAAGATTAAATAGAACAGGCCATAGAAGCACCTAAAAGCCAACCTGGCCAATTATTTCCACTACCACCTCCAAGTGGTCATTCATTCTTATTAAAATATTTTTTCATAAGACACTTGAAGGCCAGGCGCGGTGGGTCACGCCTGTAATCCTAGCACTTTGGGAGGCCAACGTGGGCAGACCACTTGAAGTTAGGAGTTCAAGAACAGCCTGGTCAACATAGAGAAACCCCGTCTCTACTAAAAATACAATAATTAGCAGGACACAGTGGCACGCACCTGTAATCCCAGCTACTTGGGAGGCTGAGGCAGGAGAATCGCTTAAACCCCAGAGGCAGAGGCTGCAGTGAGCTGAGATCATGCCACTGCACTCCAGCCTGGGCAACAGAGCGAGACTCCGTCTTAAAAAAAAAAAGAAAAAAGACACTTGAAAAATCATTAACAAAAGACAGTGGCCTATACACACCACAGATTAAATTATGTAAAAGACACACATAGGAGTAATTATCAGAATTTTAATACCAATTTTTTAAAATAATTATAATAATTACAGATACAAAAACATATTTTATATTTATTTAATCACCATTACTACCTTACAAGGTAGGAATACTACGTCCAATTTGGAAATGGAGAAATCCTCAATTCAGAGTGATGATGTGTATTGCTCAGGGTATGCTAACTGCTATAGCAAACAATGCCCAAATCTCAGGGACTTAACACAATAAAGCTCTATTTCCCCCTCATGTCAAAATCCAATGTGGCTAATGGGATTCAGGGAGGAGCACAAAGGGCTCTGCTCCATGAAGTCATTCAGGGATCCAGGCTGCTTCCACTGGATAATCTGTATCTACCTGGCAGGTGAGGGAAAACATAAGGCATGGAGAGTCCCACAGCTTGAGAGGCCAAGTGACAGACATCACTCTCACCTGTATTTCACTGGCCAGAAGTCAGTTACATAGCTCCATCTATCTGCAAGGGGAAAAGGAAGTCTAATGGTGGGCCAAGAAGAATAGAAAAACACAGTTATCAGTGGGCACAGCATTCTCTGCCCCCTTAAGTAACATGTCTGAGGTCATCTAATATAATATAGTACATGACAAGCTGAGAATCAAACCCAACACTATCTAACTTCTCCAGGAACCTTGCTATTCTATGCCGCTGGCTCACTCCATTTCATTGAACCCACCAGCAAATTTAACATTTCTCCAAATGAAAATGACAACAGCTGGTTTATATTCAAGAGTTCAATATTACTGTGGAATTATATTGTGTATTCAGTAAGTCCTCACTTAACAACATCAATAGGTTCTCAGAAACTGTGATGTTAAGTGAAATGATGTACAGTAGGTCCTAGAATAACACTTTTTCATGCATCATTTCATTATAACATCAATGAGAAAGAAAATTGGTTTTGTTATATGTCATTTCACTTAAAAGTCAGTTTCCATGAATCTATCAACGATGTTAAGTGAGGACTTACTACATATATATGTATTTTTTTCACCTATCTCTATTTTCTGACCTGCAGTTCCCTTTCACAAATCAGTGGTTTTAACCTTCTGAGGGGCATACACATAGACATAAACTTTGGTGGAGAGCCCTCTAAAACCCAACAAAACCAGGGATGCATGAACCCAGGCTAAGAACTTTTCTCTATAGTACCTTACTTTGGACACTGTTAACTCACTTTCAACTTTCTACTTGGTTCCCCCCAACCCCCTTCAGCCCCACTGACCTCCCTCTTTGCAGCTGCTGTTCCTTCTACTTAGCCTGCTCTTCACCCAGAGGTCCACATGGCTCATTGCCTAAAAATCCCTTCCCACTCCACCTCCACTCACAGCCATGCTCTATTTCTCTCTATAGCACTTATCACCTTCTCATATACTATGCGTTTCAAGTATTTACAAGTTCATAAATTCTCCTTGCATTAAAATGTGAGTTCCATGAGGGCAGAGGTTTTTGTATATTTTTGCTTACTGCTCTATCCCTGGTACCTACAGCAGTACTTGGAACACCATAGATATTTCTTTGAATGCATGAATTGAGGAGCAACAAAGGAGTAAACTGAGAAGGAGCACACAGGAAGATGCATGATATTGAAAATGTTCCCATTCTGAAGCTGGATTCACGGGTGTTCATTTTACCACTGTGCTTCACAAACTACAGAGATATTATATATTCTTATAAATATCAAATATTATAATATCACATAATTTTAAAGTACTACAAGAGTGTCGAGGAACAATACAACTCAAATCACCGTGCCTGCTCAGATAAAACTCTTGCACTTTTTCTTACCTACATAAAATAGTGAGATGGAGAAAAGTAGGCCAAAAAATTCCTGTCGTTTTCATTCTCTAGCTAGGTAAAAATAAATTTTACTCATATTTTTTCCTCAAATATGTTTTAATAGGCCATGTGGAAAATTACTTCACATGATTCTTTTTAACACTATACCATGACCTTTCAAAAATGGCATCTTACCTTATAGAAGTGAAACTAACAGTTTTCTTTGAAAACCTATTTGAAGAGTTAGGTACCTAGAAGCATTTTTTTCTAAAATAATCCTTTTAAAAGTACGTTAAAAAGTCTCAATAATTTTTGTTAAGTTTAATTCAAATGAATATAAATTTCAGCTGGAATTTTTTATTTCAAAATTTACTTTTCAAATGTGCAGTCATATATCTGTCCCTAAAAACGTAGGATCCAAATGCAAAACGGCATGATGAAACCTAAAACATTGATGAGAGATATGCTCATGGATTAAACAAACGAATAAAGGCAGGAGCAGGAAGAAGGGGGAAATAAGGGAGAGGAAAAGAGGAATCTAAGGGAGAGAGAAAAGAGCGAAGGGAAGGAGAAGGAGAGAGAGGCCAAGAGAAGTAAGGAGCCTGTCTGCCTGCACACACACATGATTGCATGCTGTAGATTAAAGTTTCACTGCCCAAGAAGCTACAGGGCTACCGAAAGCAAGGCATCTGGAACCCACCCATTTTAATCCACTGTGAAAGGGATATGGGTACAATCATCAGAAGGAACTGCTTTTGAGTTCCAGCTTTGTCCGTTACTCAGCAGATATTCAAACTTTTGTATAATCATTTATAAAATTTAGGTAACTGTACACAACTGTTCCATAAGATCATGTATAGAAAACTGCTCTGTAACCAATAAAATGCTAAATAGAAAAGTATTTCTAAATTTCTGAATTAAATGCACCAAGCTTGTATTTAAAAAGATCTATTATGCTAAATTACATTCTGGTGGTCTGAAAAAGTGCTGATACTCAAATGACACAGTGAGAAGGTCAGAGATTCCAGCCCTACACATGACAAAGTTAACCGTACTTCCTCATATAAAACAGAAGCCTAACAGTCTCCCAAATAGCCTCATAACAAAAAGCAGGAGGGAGAGAATTATTACCATATATGATCATTTGAAAAAAAAATAAGGAACTATATAAAATAGGAATGATGCACATTAACTCCTAATTTAATACTATCACCAATAGCTGTTGACCACTTTAAAATCATTTAACCAACTCAAAAATACAAATGTTTCTTTATTTCTTTTGTTTTAGAGGCAAGGTCTTGCTCTGTCACCCAGGCTGGAGAGCAGTGGTTCCAAGTAGCTGGGACCACAGGTGCCACCACGCCCAGCTAACTTTCTTATTTTTTAATGTTTTATAGAGATGGGGTCTCCTTGTTTTGCTAAAGTTTGTCTCAGACTCTTGGCATTAAGCAACCTTACCAGCTCAGCCTCCCAAATTGCTGGGACTACAGGCATGAGCCACGGTGCCCAGCTACAAATGTGTTTCCAGTGACTAAATAGTCATAGAGTAAAATACTCAATATCCAACAAAACCAAACAAATTTGCCAAGGGAAACTGTAATGTACTAACATGTTATGGCCTTTTTCAAAGGTCTATTCTTAGATGTAAAACAAACTCTCTTTAATTAAAACCTTTGCTTATAAACACATTTCCTGAGTAAGTAAAGCCTAACAAATCCAATATGAGTGAAAAACACTGTACCCTGGAAACAGAACGGGGCCCCACGTCCTTTATACTGGTAGTTTCATATAACCTTTTGCCTCTTTACCACAACAGCAAACAAGCAAACTTAAACTAAGTGAAAGAGTTCTAAATTTAGATACTTTAAAATACGGCATCGTTAAGTTATATGTAAAGGTTTAGTAAATTATTTATTATGTCTCTTATCTTTAATAATGGGATATCATGTTTAACTTGTAATCAAAATGGAAAGAAAGGTGTTATACCATATATTACTGTACTGAGAGTCAGAATTTCCAGTCTATATTTAGTTCACATTAAAATGGAAGCAAAGACGCAAACCAAGCTAAAAATAAAATGTTCTACAAAGATTAGATTTTTTAAATGGACTGAAATCTAGCTTTATTTGGTCCCTTAAATGTGGATCATATTTAACAGCACCTTAACTTTGCAATGCTTGGCAAACCTAACTATACTACCTTCCATTTTCTAACATAGGTGCCAGCAAACTACAGCCCACAGACTATATCCATGGGCCATATCCTGCCGGCCGCCTGATTTTATATAGTCGACGAGCTAAGAAGGTTTTCACATGTTCAAACTGATTTCTTAAAAAGAGGAATAATAATATTTCTTAGCACATGAAAATTACATGAAATTCAAATTTCAGTGTCCTTAAATAAAGTTTTGTTGGAACACAGCAACACTTAAAGTATTGTCTATGGCTGTTTTATGCTACAATGACAAAGTAGAGTAATTTTTTTTCTTTTTCTTTACTAAGGTATAATTGACAAATAAAAATTGTACATATTTCTGGTACATGGAGTGATTTTTCATGTATGTATTCATTGTGAAATGATTAAATCAAGCGAATTAATATATCCATCACCTCACATACTTAATTTTTTGTGGGTGAGAACATTTAAGATCTACTCTTAGCAATTTTCAAGTATACAATGCTTTATTATTACTACAGTCACCTTACTGTACAAAAGAATTTATTCTATTCTCCAGAATAAGAACTTATTCTCAGAATTATTCTGGAGTTATCCAGTTCTCCCCAGCACCCTCCCCTTCTTAGTAACCTCCATTCTCTGAGTTAAATAATTTCAGCAGACACCTTATGGCCCACAGAATTTAAACTATTTACTATCTGGCCCTTTATGGGAAAAGTTAGCCAACTTCTGACCTGGATGTGTGTTAATTGCTTGAGATATCTTTCTGCTCATCACCTATCAAAATGTAAAAGTTCCTACTTGCTTCTCATTTCATATTGAGTTTCAGAGCAATAAGGCTGTCAGTATCACTTTACTCTCATTTCCTAATATTCTTCTGGCCATGTTTCTGTTTCCCATCTATTTGGATCATTATGATTCCCATGTTTCCACACAGAACTCTAGCTAAAAGTTTTAAATAATATTTCCTAATTTATTCTGTTTCTCTTTTAAATGCTGGCCATGAACCATATGACCCAGTAATGGGCTGCCACCTACAATTTCAAAAACACAGAGCAAGGCTTCCCCAGCATACTTCACCTAGGGTTTGTGATGAAAGATAATGTTTTAATGGCACAAATTGTACTTTGTAAGGCAGTGAAAAATGCAAATCAATACTTTCATATACTGCCTTACCATAAAGGAACAAGAGTTTACTTATACATCCTTCATATTAAATTAAAACCAAGATATCAATTGAAGAATGTGATCATTATCCTTACTGGGCTTAAAAATACATGTTTTTGGCCAGGCGTGGTGGCTCACGCCTGTAATCCCAGCACTTTGGGAGGCCAAGGCAGGTGGATCACAAGGTCAAGAGATCAAGACCACCCTGGCCAACATGGTGAAACCCCTGTCTCTACCAAAAATACAAAAAAATTAGCTGGGCATGGTGGCATGCGCCTGTAGTCCCAGCAACTCAGGAGGCTGAGACAGGAGAATTGCTTGAACCCAGGAGGCGGAGGTTGCAGTGAGCCGAGATCATGCCACTGCACTCCAGCCTGGCAACAGAGTAAGACTCCGTCTCAAAAAAATATATATATATACATATATAGTTATATATATACATATATATAGTTATATATATACATATATAGTTATATATATACATATATAGTTATATATATACATATATAGTTATATATAGTTATGTATAGTTACAGTTCTATACATATAGTTATATAGTTATACATATAGTTATATATAGTTATATATATAGTTATATATAGCTACATATAGAGTTACATATATAGTTATATATATACAGTTACATATATAGTTATATATAGTTATATATATAGTTATATATATAATTAGTAGTAGTAGTAAGATTTTTTTTTTATTTTACTTTAAATTCTGGGTTACATGTGCAGAACCTGCAGGTTTGTTACATAGGTATACATGTGCCATGGTGGTTTGCTGCACCAAAAATATATCTTAATCCAGATAGAATACTGGTGTGTTTTTTGGTCTTCTTTTGGGTTTGTTTTTTTCTTTGAGATGGAGTCTCACTGTTGCCCAAGCTAGTCTTGAATTCTTGGGTTCAACTGATTGTCCTACCTTGGCCTCTCAAAGTGGTAGGATTATAGGCATAAGCCACCGCCCTCAGCCTAGATAAAATGTTGATGCAAAATTCTGAATATCTTTTTAGTGTTTAGGTATGTTTTACCTAAATTTAGAGACTCATTTGTGGCCATTAGCTGTAAGAAGACATATAAATGTCAAAAAATAAAAAATAAATGAGAACACAATAAACCTCATCAGGAGTATTTTTGACACATGCAGCTTCACAACCTTAGCCGAGATGACCCAAAGGCAGAAAAAGTCATTGAGATGGTTCCCATTTGTTTATACTGTTTGGTTTATGATTGTTGAACAATCCTAGGCTGTAAGCCTGACCAAGTTTCTTCCAGCCATTCCCATAAAATGAAAGGTTGCAGTATTCATGGGCCAACAAAAAACACACAAAGCTTCTTTCACATTCATCCTCAAAACCCAATTTGTCTGAATCTGTATTAGCGTTGTTTCAAAAATATCTTATTCTCAGTAAATACCTGTGAAATTCTCTACAACAGTATGTCTGAATGCAAATCCAAAAACTCAAGAAGGTAAAGAGGGGGAAGAGATATGACAAGTGTTAGGACTCCATTTTGGCTTTCCTGCATCAGCACCACTTTCACTTTTGTACATAAGTGACTTTTTGTCTTTGGGAAATAAAGGCAGGCATAAAATCATTTAGTGTTTAGCACCTGAGTGGCTAGATGAGACCACCTGAAATTCCACTTAGGTTATTCAGAGAAAGGAAAAAGTTCAAAACAGAGGAAGAGGAAAATAGTAGAGAGGACAGCATAGACATACAAAGAAACCAGGAATAAATGGAAAATGAAAAGGGGAACAAAAAGTATACTGTATGGAGTTATGATGAGGGTGCTAAAATACACATGAGGATTTTATTAAGCCACACTGATTTCAAAAGCATACCAGTTCCATTCTTTACTTAAAAACCATCAAATCCACTATGAAAAAGCTGAGATTAGTGCATTGTCCTAAAACAACCCATATTTACTTCTGCAAAAAACTGGTTAAATGATGACATATTAGATTGAACCATATGAAGCATTCCATATTTGACCAGTTTTGACCTACTGACAAAGCAGGATAGATGAGCAAGAACTGCTTGTGCTGTCTTAAAAATGACTGGGGCTGAGGCCGTGGCTCACCCCTGTAATCCTAGCACTTTGGGAAGCCAAGGTGGGCAGATCACCTGAGGTCGGGAGTTCGAGACCAGCCTGACCAACATGGAGAAACCCCATCTTTACTAAAAATAAAAAATTAGCTGGGTGTGGTGGCGCATGCCTGTAATCCCAGCTACTCGGGAGGCTGAGGCAGGGGCAGGAGAATCGCTTGAACCTGGGAGGTGGAGGCTGCAGTGAGCCGAGATCACACCATTGCACTCCAGCCTGGGCAACAAGAGTGAAACTCCATCTCAAAAAAAAAAAAAAAAAAAAAAAAAAAAAAGATGGCTTTGAGCTAATCTTAGGGCCTACCTCTCCTCCAGGTGCTCCCATCTTACACACCTGTGCGGAGACACAGAAAGTATTTGTCTTTTTCTAAAGATCCTTCCTTAATTCTCATCTGAATCATAATTGAAGACTGGGAACCAACGTTAAATTTAGTAGTTCTCATTCTATAAATTCCCCCTATTGCTCTCACTTTCTTCCCCAAGAATCAGTATATGTGATAAAAGACGTAAATAATGAAGTCTGTGACATACATGAACAGTCCAGTTGCAGGAGGCGGGGTATGAGGTTGAAGCTCACTGGTCTCAGAATCTTATACCCTGATCTCAAGTGTTCATATATGAAAATGTTGATGAACTTACATGCACTCTAACATAGGAGAAATTGTAAAATGCTGAATTTCTGACATTCAATACACTTTTGAAATTCAAGCAATATTTGATTTCATAGTCAAAAATGATCTCTCATGGCAAAATGTATGTGCTAAATGTTTTTATTAGAAAGTCAGATAGAAAATCACAAATAATGTGCTTTTTAAATTTACTTGTAGTCTCCATAAGCATATAATCTTAGCTATTACAACGAGCGCATGAAACCTATAAAATACAGTGGTACTCCCAACAAATTTGTTGTTTGACATGATTCAATTCAATTTAGAGCCATCTCTCAGTTTTCTTTCGAACAGTATAAATCTACTGGTTAATCCTGATATAAGTATGCATGGAATTTTGACCATTTCATATAAATATGTAACATACACGTTTGTTTGTTTGTTTGCTTGTTTGTTTAAGAGACAGTCTCGCTTCATTGCCCAGGTTGGAGTGCAATGGCAAGATCTCAGTTCACTGCAGCCTTGAACTCCTGGGCTCAAGTGATCCTCAGGTACCTTGTTCTCCCAAAGTGCAGGGATTACAGGCGTGAGCCACCATGCCCGGCCCCTATACAATTTTTTTTTTTACCTGCCATTTTGCCCATCATTAACACAGTTTATGAACTTTTTTCAGAATTAAGATTTGAAATATTAAAAACACTTTTAGGAAAGTCCCTAACTTTGTAAAAGCCTTAATCTTAAAAAACACATTAAATGCCATATTCTTAATTTACTACAAACTCAAAAACGTCACTATTAAAAGGAGTTACAAGATGTACTCTTAACTAAAGTGACTGAATCCCTAACTCTTTAGTAAGTGCATCTTGTCAACAGTTGTTCTTGTGTGTTGTTCTTACACACATGTATTTCAGAAAATAAGGAGGCAGGCTACTACAAACATTAATCCACTAGCTTTTTTTTTGTCGCTCAGGCTGGAGTGCAGTGGCACAATCTCTGCTCGCCACAACCTCCGCCTCCCGGGTTCAAACGATTCTCCTGCCTCAGCCTCCCGAGGAGCTGGGATCTCAGGTGCACGCCTCAAAGCCCAGCTAATTTTTTTATTTTTAATAGACATGGGGTTTCACCATGTTGGCCAGGCTGGTCTGGAACTCCTGGCCTCAAGTGATCTGCCTGCCTTGGCCTCCCAAAGTGCTGGGATTACAGGCATGAGCCACCGTTACCGGCCTCCACAGGCACTGAATAAAAATTATGTTTCCAAATAGGAGTTCATTGACCTTAGGGAAAATTTTTCATAAAAATAACTGTAGAATGAATTTTTTGCAAATTTATTTTTAAAAACGGTACCCCAAGCCAATGATTTTGTGGTTCCGTTTTCAATATCCTCGTTAAATTTCCCTACTGATAACAGACTCTCTCTGTGAAGATTTTTAAATTACAATGAAAATTAGAATACATAAAAATCCTTTAATATCCATAAGCATTTGCTTTGGTATGTTCATGATCAAATTAAAAATTAACTTTGAGACCTCACAGGTCGACAGCACAAGCTTCATTAACAAGAGTAACACACCATCCTAATGTCCACACAGCACAGAGGTAACTTCTCATTATTAAAAAGAACCATGGACGCATGGTTCTGAACCCTGCCTGCACTTGGCGGGAACCTGCGACACGAAAGCCTGGCCAGCCCTTGGAGCCATGCAGGGTGCGGTTAAGCCGCGAACACCATGTCCCACTTGCCTGCCTCGGGGCTTCTGCCTTCCAGACCGCAGCAGGAGGCAGAGGGGCAGGAAAGGCTGACCGGTGTCACCTTCCACCCACCCTCTGAGTGGGCCTAAGTGGGAAAGCAGCAGGGCTCACTGCAGCGCAGGCTGGTTGGCCAGCACATGCGCACGCTCCCCCGAACGGCAGGGAAGAAAAATTGAAACTCTCCTTTTAAGTTCCCTAAGTAGGAACTCGCGACTGCGCGTCAGCTTTTTCCCACGCTCCCGCCGAGCCGCGGGTTCCCTGCACCCGCCTCTGCCAGTCGAACTCCCTGGGAGCCCAGGCTCGCAGCCTCCCGCGCAGCCGCCGGGAATCCGTCCCGCAGCACCGCGGTCCAGCGCCCCCGGGCCCCGCCCCACCCCTCCCCGCCCCGCCCGCGCCCCAGGCCCCGCCCCGCCTCACCGTCTCACCATCCCCGCCTTCCCCGCCTTCCCCGCCTTCCCCGCCTTCCCCGCCTTCCCCGCCTTCCCCGCCTTCCCCGCCTTCCCCGCCTTCCCGGGATCGCCCGGCGCGTTCCAGCGCCCCCGCGCCCTCTCCACCTCCCGCTTTCCACGCGGCCCTCAGGCCCGCCTCCTCCGCCCTACCTTGGTCCGGATCTGCCCCGAGGTAGACACTTTGCGGATCAGTTTCTGGGGTCCCTCTTGCTCCGCTTCGCTGTCAGACGAATCCTCTCCCGGCCCCGCCGAGGCAGCGGCGGAGGTGACCGCGGCGCCGGCTCCGGCGGCCGCTCCTCCAGCGGCGCCCGGAGGGTGGTGCTGGCCTCCGGCCCCTGCCATCCTCTCCGACTCCTGCGGGGACACAGCACCGCCCGGCGGGGGCGGCGGCGTTGGTCAGCGGGTGGGCTCTGCCCGAGCGGAGCCCGGAACCCCGTGCCCGGCCGCCGCCGCCATCTTCCGTTTCCCTAGCTACCCCCGCGAGGTAAGGGTCGCCCGGGGCAGGCGCCCTCCAGGCAGGGGTCCACCCGGCTCCTCCGCTCGGTTCCCGCCGGAGCGGCGGCCACGGTGGGACGCAGAGGTAACGGACCCCCGCCCGCCTCGGACCCCTGCGCACCCAGCCTCGGATAGGACCAGCGCGGGTAGAGAGGATGGGGTGACAGGGTTTGGAGCAACATCTCTTCCACTCCCTTACGGTCTGGGTCCCTAGGATGGACAGGAGGGTGGGGGAGGCAGGAAACCTCTGCAGCCCACCCCGTAGTGGCGATGCCCGCACACCCCCTCTCACTTCTGGACAGCAGGGGCAACGCCGATCCCTGGGGAAGAATGGGAACCTGGAGCTTCCTCCCAGCACCCTTGGGTGCACCCGCCACCTCCTGAACCCCGAATCTCTCCAGAGACACTTGGGCCTCGCCGCGCGGTTCCAGCTGAATAAAAGTCCCCTCTGCCACCAAGACAGTCGGGGGCTGCCCCTCGTCGGTTTCCCCACCCCCAGCCCCACTCCGAGGACCGTACCTCTCCCGCCTCCGCCAGGGCCGTCGGGTCCCCTCAGCTCTCCTGACGGCGGCGTTCAGTTTCTGGCCCACCCCCACCCCCATCCGGCGCACACGGAAGAGAAGAGCATTTTCCGGGAGGTTCAGCTCCGCTCTGAGAACTTTTCGTTCAGAAAGAGCGATCCCCTTCGGCTAACAGGAAACTGGGAAGGGCGTGGAGAAAGCGCAGAAACAAGAGACTACACGCAGCCCAAGACGACAGAACGCACAAGAAGTGTCTAAGCTGAAGCGCTAACCGAGATTGCCTGGAAGAAAACAATACACTCGAGCCATGCGAACACCAGTACCCGAGACAAAAAGCCTTGGAAGTCCTGGCAGAGCCACTCCCTAGCCCGGACTAGAGCAGGAGGAAGTGGGATCAACAGGCTGTAGCCACCGCGCACAACTCCCCTGCAAGCTGGCTGCGCGGGCACTTGGGAACCGCGGACTGGCAGCGGGTTGTGCACGCTCAACGTCAAAGAAGCCTCACAGGTGTGAGGGGGCTGCGGTGAGGGGGCTGCGAGAGAAGACATTAAAACGACAGATCCCTCTTGTCATCCAAAGAGAACACCAAACTGGTGTTAGCTATATTTTTAAATAGGACAAAAAGTCCCTGCCAGACTGTGGAGTCTCTCCACCTGGAGAAAGCATTCAATCTCTGTTATGTTCATGCCTTTCAGTACCATTCCTTTCGTATTTTTTCAGTTGACATGACCTTTAAGGTTCCTCCAAACTAAGGTTCTAATTTTTTTTTTTAACTTGCAGTCTTACTCCCAACAAGAAATTTGATATATTAGAGCTAACAGTTCTAAGAAGTTTTAAGAAATAGTATGCAATCCCAATACTGGACATCACACTGTAAATTAAATTCATTAAAATGTAAAATGTGTTTAGTTCAAATATTTAAAGACAGGAGACTGCTGCTATGTAATAATAACAGAGAGGCTATTTCTGCAGCTTCTGTTGTCTCCTTTAGGAAAGGAAGGAGTTGGGCAAAATGAATTTTAAGAACGCTTAGAACTCTACAAATATGTAATTCTTTATCTACAAAGAACATATTTCTGGAAATTCTTAAAAGAGAAAAATAATCAAAATAATGGCCTTCATTCCCACCTGTTTGGTCATGGACAAGTCCAATATTTTGGAAATGTAGACAAGGACACCTAGTAAAGGGTCTTTTGAAAGAATAAACTTAGTTTAGTCTTCTCCTTTAATGTAAAGAAACTAAGGCCCCAACTGACAAACTGAGACCAAAGTCAAAATCATGCGGTTAGTATTCTAATGTTCTATTCACTTTATCACACTGTATAACAAAAGTCTGTCAGTTACCATATACTTCTATTCATACATTATGTGTTTTATATAGCAACATTTTCCAGAATCCAGGCAGCGAGTGATTAAACTGAAAGGCATTATCTAATGCCCAGCCTGATTTTGTGATTTTAACAGGTCAGATTACGCATCTCACTCTTTGATTTGAACACTGATTGCTTAAAGATACTTAAAAAGTTTCATATCCCAGAGCTGAGCCATTTAATACCTCAAAGTAAAGGTATTCCTTTCTCATAAAGATTTAACCTCAGAGCCAGCTTTGCACTTCTGCAATCACCTCTTCTGAAGAGCCAGTTTCAACGAATCCATTATTTAAGATACCTGACTTACTAGCCTCTTCTCGGTCTTATCTGTAAATTAGAAGTTTTTAGAATGAATATCTAATTTGTGCACTGTGTACCTGCAATGTACTTCACCTTCCTCAAGAGTATTACAAGGTCAAGGTCTCAATCTTTCCAACCATTTCAACCATGTAGCTCAAAATAGCAACTGAAACAATTTCAAATATGTGGTATCTTACATTATTTATTTGATTTATAAGAATTCCTTGATCTTTTCCTTACTTAGTGATTTCAGATTTTTCAGTAATTGCTTAGATGCATCTTACATTTTTATTGTTACTTTGAAATCTCTGTTCAGAACATGTGACAAACACACTATTAAAGACTTCAACATAAGCTGTGTAGACACTGCATTTAGGGTGAAATGGAAATAGGTGGTAGCTACCCCTAAATTAGGTTTTTACTTAATAGAGATCCTGGCCCATTAAAACAAAGAACACCTATTAGACTGAAGATGTGTAAGTCACAGCCAAATTTCATGTCAACTTTATGAATATTCGTGTATTATTTTCTACAGAGGTATTTTGAATTGTATTTTTACTGATCACTACTCATAACAAAAGGGGTTTTATACCCATTGGCAACTTTCAAATCTCACATATTCTATGGCTTTATCTTAAATATTACGCCATAAATACGCAGAATGTTACATTTTATATCCTGAAGAGTTCAAAGTGTTCTAGGACTTGTGTTCCTAATCAATAAGGAACCATGCAAAGAATACTGCAGGTTGACCAAGTACAGGCATTGAGAAGCTGCCTTAATTAAAACTTAAGAACACGCTATTTGCTACATATTAAGAATTTAACATTCGAAACTTTTAACCTATTACCATTTCCTTAGTTGTTACCTGAATGAAAAAGATTTGGGGATTAACTGTGATATTAACTGCATATACATATGGTCATCCTCGTATCTGAGGCAAAAACCTTTCATCATCTAGACCTAATGCAAAGATGTTTATAACCTCTCATTTACATTTTGGCCCTATCCTTTGAAACTCTTTCCTTCCTAATTTTCCTTTCGACCTGGATAGTTTTATCAGCGCTAACTAGTATAAAACCATTTCAAAATAAAGCAAATTTTTTTTCTTTTTTTAGAGACAAAGTCTTGCTCTTTTGCCCAGGCTGGAGTGCAATGGCCAATCACAGCTCACTGCGTCCTTAAACTCTGGGCTCAAAGGCTCCTCTGGCATCAGCCTCCCAGGGTAGTCACAGGATACCTGGGACTACAGACATGCATCACCAGTCCTAGCTAGTTTTGTTGTGGTTGTTGTTATTTAGACATCATCTCCCCCTGGTCATCTTCCCCAGGATGGTCTCAAACTCCTGGCCTCAAGAGATCCTCCCACTTCGGCCTCCCAAAGTGTTGGGATTACAGGCATGAGCCACAGCACCAAAAGCAAATTTTAATAAGTGTACTCTAGCATCCCCCAACTAAGGACTACTTTGTAAATACTTCCACATTTTTGAAGTGTTGGCTAGAATTCTAACTACCTATTTTCCCCCCAGTAAGGCTTGTTTGGCTAAATATCTTTCTACCCATCCATGCCCACCACTAAAGTATTTTTTAATTGATTAGAAATTTAGTTTATGCCTCTATTTCCACTGAAATTTGATTGCATTTCAAAGCTAGCATTAAAGAAAATACACAGAAACTTAGAATGCTAAAATTTATCTTCTTTAGGCCCAATGACTTCCCCAGAATGCTAAGGCTGATCGTTTATTTAAATGGTTCGCTTAACTAACTTCAGTTCATCTCCCAATCGTGTCGTAAAGTTCAGCAACAGCTCAACATGGCTGCGTTTTAAGAAAGAAGTGCTGGGGCGGGCGCAGTGGCTCACTCCTGTAATCCCAAAACTTTGGGAGGCCAAGGCGAACGGATCACGAGGTCAGGAGATCGAGACCATCCTGGCTAACAAGGTGAAACCCCGTGTCTACTAAAAATACAAAGAATTAGCCAGGCATGGTGGCACGCGCCTGTAATCCCAGCTACTTGGGAGGCTGAGGCAGGAGAATCCAGGAGGCGGAGGTTGCAGTGAGCCAAGATGGCGCCACTGCACTCCAGCCTGGGCAACAGAGTGAGTCTGTCTCAAAAAAAAAAGAAGAAGAAAAAGAAAAAAAAGAAAGAAGTGCTGTTCTCTTTACTGTTTGTCAGCATCAATTCCTGATACTGTGTTTACTCTTCTGCCTGAATAGTTCCACGCAGAATCACACCATCATGTTTTAGGTTCCATCAAAAATGAATGAGGAGAGGCCAGGTGCAGTGGCTCATGCCAGTAATCCCAGCACGTTAGGAGGCTGAGGTGGGCAGATCGCTTGAGCCCAGGAGTTCAAGGCCAGTCTGGGCAACATATCTAGAACTATAGGTGCGCACCACCACGCCCATCTATACAAGAAAATGCCAAAATTAGCCCGGCATGGGGGCAAGCACCTATAGGTCCCAGCTACTCGGGAGGCTGAGGTAGGAGAATTGCTTGAGCCCAGGAGGCAAAGGTTGCAGTGAGCTGAGAATCAGGCCCCTGCACTCCAGCCTGGGTGACACAGTGAGACACTGCCTCAAACAATGAGGAGAGTAAATGGTTACATGCATGCTATTGTTATATGTACATGCCCTTATGTTATCCCATAAGGGATAATGCAACAGGATCTGTTCATTATTGAACAGAATGAATATTAAGCGTATTCAATATTGTTCAGTATTGAACATTCCTTTTCATAAATGTAAATGAGCATACTTTTATGGTAAAGCATTAAGTTGCCTATATTTGAATTTAAAAAGCAAATTTTACATAACTCTGACCTGTAATCCTAGCTCTTTGGGATGCCATGTCAGGAGGATCTCTTAAGGCCACAAGTTTGAGACCAGCCTGGGCAGATCCCACCTCTACAAAAAAAATCCAAAATGAGCCCAGCATGGTGGCATGTGCCTGTAGTCCTAGCTACTCAGGAGGCTGAGACGGGAGGATCCCTCCTGGCTGCAGTGAGCTACGATCATACCACTGCACTCCAGCCTGGGCAACACAGCAAGCCCCTGTCTCAAAAAAAACAAAACAAAAAAGTTTTTAAATTAAAAAAAAACTTTGAAATGGAGTCCAAGTCAAAGCAGGTATTCCTAACCTGAGGTCTTTGAGGATCCACAGATTGGTCTTAAAGAAATCTGTGGTACTCTTGAAATTGTATTAAAATGTTTTACATATATATATACACACACACATCAATACATATATAAAGCATATGTATGTAACATATATGTCACATAAGTGCATGTTTGAGGGAAAAAGGGTCCATAGCTTTGATCAGATTCTTAAAGGGATTGCTGACCCCAAAAAAGGTCACAAATCCCCAATTTTGATGGATTTTGTGTCCCTTCAAAACATATTTAATCTGTCTCTCCACCCCCTTTTCCCCTTGCTCCAAATGCCTGAAAGGTTTAACATTTAAACACTACTTTTTTCCCTAATGTATCCCACATTTATCTTTATATGCCACTTTTTAGTAATTTGGATAAATTGTCTTTTTTAAGAAGTTAAATGAAAATTCCCTTCATTAGTTCTTCGATGGACTTGGTGATATCTGTACGACCACAGGGTTTAGAATAAAGTCGCTTGTAAAAAGTATTATTTTATGCCACATAGCCATGATCTCTGAATGTATTTTTTGTGACTTTCTGATTGTAAACCATTAACATATACGAAACAAGACATTCTGTTTAGTTAAGAACGTTAGCTTTCTGAGGTCAAGGATCTGTTTCTCTGTTGTTGGTAACTGCTATCCAACAGTCCCGGAACATAATAGGTGCGGAATGAAAATAGGTGCAGAGCAAATGAAAAGGCCTTCAGTGTTTAAAGAAAATAAACCTAATTTTTAAAAGATGGCTCTGCAGTCTGAATAAAGTATTGTAGTCCATTCACACATTTATGTTAGGGCTCTAGTTTTAGAGGCTCCAGTGCTAAGACTGGAAACTGAATATTTTCTGTGGAAAATAAATGAGCATTTTACTTGTCACTTTTGAGAAGAAAAAAAAATTATCTAATTTTCTAAATGTTAAGTAGTTCCGACATCAGCAGCCTAAAGCAAAACACATACACCCGGATATTTCCATTGTGATTGGTGTTGGCTTAAAGTATGCAGGTTCCTACAGGAAAGTTTAAAAGTAAAGTCACTGAATTTAGTTCTCAATGATCTTTGATTTAAACTTCAAAACTGGATTGTATTTTTAATTTGGAGACTAGCTTAAGCCCCTGTGATAACCACAATGGAAGAAACAAGAGCAGATGGGCAACCTGACGACATGTTCAAATTCACGAAAGCAAAGACAGCTGCAGATGCAGAGGGATCAGAGTCGAAGGACGCTTCTGAAAGGTCAGGAATCAGGCCGAGAAACGTACTCTGGGCAAAGGAGGTACTCTGGGCAAAGGAGCTGAGAGCGTATATACTAGAAAAGAAAAAGGACAGCCAACCCTGGCACCTGACCTAGCGGCTCTCAACAGGCAGAGGGCCGGCCTGAGCAGACTCGGAGAGTCCCTGGGAAAACAGCATCCGAACACGTTGACCGGAACATGGGTGAGGCCAGAAATTTCGGACGGGGCTTTTCAGACTGGCTCACAATGTCAACCAAGAAGGAGTAGCAAATATCGAGGCAGGGCGTGGAGAGTCAAAATTCGACGCCAGGGAAAAGGCAGCCCACACAGGCTTCCAGAGCTCTGAGTGAGAGGGGGATTCCGGGGTGGAATCCCTGGAGGGATGTGAGACGGTTCTGTTTGAATCGGAAGAGAGAAGGAAGTTGAGGGAGTTTGAGGGAACAAATCCAAAGCCCCCTGGTCTCTTCCTCCTTATCCTCGCACACTTAAGACACGCACACACACTACTCTTGGTTCCTAAAATTACTCAACCTCCGCGTTGCGTGTGCAGCGAAATCCCAGGCGAAAGCGAAGTCAGCTTTCTGCTTCGTCCCCGGCAAAACCCGTTGCACCCTCCAGACGCCCAAGCTTTAGCGGCTGGCAGGAGTCGGAGGCGTGGTTCTGGGCTCCGCGCCGCGCTCAGCCTCTCCAGGCGCGTGTCCCCGGGAACCTGCGCGCCCAGGTGACGACCAGGGCGCGGTCTCGACAGGGAAAACCGGGCTCCTCAGACTCCCCACGCTGACCGCGCAGCCTGGCTTCTCCTCTCCCCCGCCTACATTCCACGGTCTCAAAGCAAGTGAAAAGTTGAGGAGTCGGTGAAGCCGGGAAACGGTCCTCGCAGGGCCGTCGCCAGCGGTTTGCCAGCGGTTCCTCGGGGAGAGCCTCGATCAGCCGGACAAAGGCGCTCCAGGCGGCGCGCGAGGAGGAGCCCGGGCGGCGGAGGAAGCGCTAACCCGGCTGGGAAGCAGCTGGGGACCTCATCCCGGGCCATTTCCTGAACGGAACCCGGCCCGGGCGGGGGGAGCAAAGGAGAAGCGGGAGGGGGTGGGCGCGGGCGCGGTACCCACCGGTTCCTCCCACGCTGGGCTGCGGGCGCCGGGCGCGGGGCGCACGTGCTGAGGCTCCATCGCGCCAGCCCGCGCCCGCCGGCCGCCCGGGCGCGCAGACCCGGGTCCCCGCCGCCGCCGCTGCGCCGGGGCTCCTGGATGCGCTTCCCTCGCCGCGGTCCCTCTCGGCCGCCGCCGCCGCCGCCCCGGCTCCCCGCCCGGGGCCAGCCACCGGCCCACCCGCCGTCTCCGGCTTCCGCCGCGCTCTCCCGCCCCCGCGCCGGTCCCTTCCTCCTCCGCCGCCTCCTCCTTCTCCACGGTCCCGCTCCCCTGCGCGGCTCCGAGCGGTCCGCTCCCCGCCACCGCCGCAGCCTCCCACGGGCGCAGAATCCGCCCCTCGCTCCTTCCTCCGCCCCCGGCGCCCTCCCCTTTTCCTCCCCGCTACCCGCCCCTCCCCCCCGCCGCCCCTCCTCCCGGCGGGTGGCCCGGGACACACGTGACCCCCCTGTCAGGCCTTATAAGGCGCGGAACCGAAAGCGGCCGCCGGGTGGTCACGGGCACCGGGCGGCCGCGCGGAAAGGAGCGGCCTCCCCCGGGGCCGGGCGCGCGGAGAGCGGCGAGGAAAGCCCGGGCTGGGCTGGGCTAGGCTGGCCACCGCGCTGGCGACGGGAGCAGACGCGGGTCCCGGGAGACGCCTCCCAGCGCCCCTGTCTCTCGCTCTCGCCGTCTCCCGGTGCAGCCCGCACCCGCCTCCCTCCAAACGCTGGCGGCCCGCGCTGCAGGCGCCTCCCCTCCTGGGGGTGCTGAGGCTTGAGCGAAATCCCACTGGACAGTAACCGGCTTCAGCGGAGCGAAAACTCAGCCGCACTCCAGCTACGCTCCAGGGCAAGCTGCGCCGGGCACCGTTTCTTCCTTGTGACGTTCAAAAGAATGCAGATGGGTTACCAACTACAGGAGAGGTTAAACTTGAGGGCGTGCTTTTTAAATTCATTATCAACGTTTTCATGGAAAGAACCGGCTAAGGAGTCGATCTGTCTTCCAGTTTTATCCCTAGACTCAAATTAGGACATGGGCTGGCTCTCAGTGAGCACTCAGTAAACAGCAAGTCTCCTCCTGCCCTTTGAAAAAGCGTTTCGGATCATCTTGGCATTGTAAGCGATTTTCATCTAGTTCCAGTCCAAGTGTGACTGGCTTTACACAGGTTACTCCCCCTCCTGGACTTTCAGGTTCGTTCTTTCAGCATCTTTTCAGGGCCCTCAATCATGCCATCATGTCAAATGCATTCACAAATTTTAAAAACAAATCGTCAAGTCAAAAACACATAATTGATCTAGCCCGTCCCCAGCCCTCTAATTCTTCAGGATCCTGCAAACCGACTTCTGTGCCGGCTGTTCCACGGGGACTGCACTGACGAAAGTCACTTCGTGGTTTTGAAAATCCCCTAAACCATTGTATATTTTCCAATGCCCGTCTTACTTGACCTATTTGCAGCGTTTGCACTGTTGATCAGATATTTATTTATTTTCAGACAGGATCTCGCTCTGTCGCCCAAGCTGGAGTGCAGTGGCGCGATCATGGCTCCCTGTATCCTCGACCTCCTGGGCTAAAGCGATCCTCTCGCCTCAGCCTCTCCAGCACTGGGACTACAGGCGGGCGCCACAAAGCTCAACTAATTGTTTTATTGTTAGTAGAGACGAGGGGGGACTCACTACGTTACCCAAGCTGGCCTCAAGCGATCCTTTGGTCTGGGCCTCCCAAAACGCTGGGATTACAGGAGTGAGCCAATGCGCCTGGCCCCGATTTTTATTCTTGAAACCATCCCTTCCATTGGCTCTGTGACACCTCGGTCTCCGTGTTTCCTAACCTTTTCTTGCTCAGCCACCTCTTGCATGTTGGAGCATCTAAATGGTCTTGCCCTTAGTCTGTCTCTAATGCTGCCTAGGCACATGGCTTCAATTACCAACCATGTGCTGATAACTCATAAATTTCCATTTCTGTCCCACATCTCCAGTTCTATAAAACGAACTTTTTACCAGAAATCTCTACCCAGATGTCCCATCGGCCTTAAACTCAACTTGACTAAAACAGAACTCAACTTTCCTGCCAGCTGGCTTTTCTCTCTAGTCTCATTCTCAGTAAATGTCACCACAATCCACTTAGTCACCCAAAGGAGAAATCTGGAAATTATCCCAGGCTTTTCCTTCTCTCATCTGCTGTCTGCCCATCCATGCACCTATCATTTCTGTCTATCACCTTCCCTCCATTCCACTGCTTTTTGCCTAGTTTCAGGTCTCTTGTTTCAAGACCCTGAAACACTATATTACTCTCCTTATTAGTCTCACTGCCTCTAAGTTTGTTGCACCTCCACCCTTGCCATCTCACGTTGTGACCGAAGTAAGCCTTCTAAAATACAAATTTTTGACCAAGTCATTCCCCACATCAGCCCTGCCAATGGCTCCCCATAGCCTGCAGGGTAAAGTCCCGATATCTTAGCCAGGGCCTAAGTCTCCACTCTCTTTAAACAGTGAGTTTCTTGCACCACCATTCCCTGTTGGGCCACTTACTTTTATGCTGTGCCCTCACATGGAGTGTCCTTTCTCTTACACAGCCTAAGTTTACCTGCTCTTTCAAGATTCACCCTAAGAGTCACATTCCTTATGAAATCATTTCTGACCCTGCTGCAGGTTAGAACTGATTTCACTGAGCTTTCTCTACACTAAATGCCTCTCTCCCCCAATTATAATGCTTTAGAAGACTTTATTAAACTCAGTTTTTATTTATAGTCTTCCTGATGGCAAGTATTATGACAGACTTACTTTCGTCTTCTTAGTTCCCAGTACAGTTCCTGACATTAGTAGGTGCTCAGTGTTTGTGGAATGAATTAATTATGTGATGTACCTTGAGTTATTATATTTTTGTGGCTTATAGAAAATCGTTTTCCCATGCGTTATCTCATTTCACTCTTGACAGTTCTGCAAAAGATATATCATTATCACCTTTTATAGAAATGGAAACTGAAGCTACAAAGGAATAAAGCAATCTGCCCAAGGTTCTACTGTATATACTTCAGAGCCAGGACTTGAACTCAGTTTGCCCAGTTCAGTTCATTATATGTTTGCCTGTTTCTATGGTCTGAATGTTTATGTCTCCCCAAAATTCATATGTTGAAATCCTCATTCCCAGGGTGATGGTATTAGGAAGTAGGAATTTTGGAAGACTATTTGGTCATGAGGGTTGAGCCCTCATAAATGGGATTAGTGCCCTTATAAAAGAGGTCCAGAAAGAGACTTCTGACTCCTTCTGCCATGTGAGGTTAAAGTGAGCAGATGGCTAACTATGAGGAAACGGGCCCTCGCCAGACAACACATCTGCATCTTGCACTTCCCAGCCTCCAGAGCTGTAAGAAATACATTTCTGTTATTAGCCACCCAGGCTATGGTATGTTGTTAGAGCAGCCGAAACAGACTATGACAGCTATCCATTATTTTTCCCCTTAAATTCTGTTTAGTATGATTCTATTTTGTAGATTTTTGTTAGTGGTTGCCAAGAATCTCTCCATCTTTTTATTTTAAACCAGTCTGAGTCATTATGTTTTAAGTGTGTCTTGTAAATAACACTTGAATTTTTATATTATTGACCCGTTCTGAGAGTCTGCCTTTTAGTAGTCTATTTTCATCTGTTTTCATTTATCATGTCTATTAATTAGAATAAAAAGTTGTCATAAGAAAGATCCTTCCCCCTGCCTCACCAGACACACAGTGTTGCTTTCTCTCATGGAACAGTGCCAGGATTAGTGGTCAGTTTGTTGGGGGTGGCTTCTTTGTTCCACATTGCCGTTCCAATTTCTAGAGCATTGCCCTTATCTACAGGGTGAAAGCTGATTAGGGAGACCCTGTTTAAGGAAGGAAGAAGAGAGCATAAAGGAGCACAAACCCAACTGCTTAAGGCCCAGACCCAGAAGTGAGTGGTGACCCACTTCTCACCTGCTCATATCCCAATGGCCAGAACTTAGTTTCATGACCGTAGCTAGCAGCAAAGGAGCAGGAAAATGAGGTCACTAGCTGGACAGCTGTATCCCAACCGCAATTCTATTACTACCGAAGACTTAACAGATTTTGCTGAAAACTAGCACTCTCTGTTAAATTATGATGACTATCTTTGGATTTATTACCACATTCTCATTTTGTATTTATTTCACTTTCTTTTTCTTTGCTTCTTTTTTCTCCTTTCTTGCCTGCTGTTTTATTAATTGAATTGATTGAATTTTCTTTAGTTTACTCACTTTTCTAAACACTTCTACTGATTTAAAATGTATACCTCCTGTTTCAATTCTTAGTGATTACCCTTAAAATGTTAACATTTATACTTAATATCAAAGGTTAGTTAATATCTCCCCCTTCTTTTCAAGATCTTAAACAAAAGAAAACATTTTAACTCTCAAATTCCCCTCCTATAAACTATGTATTACTGTCTAGTATTTTTAAATTCCCTCTTATTTTAAATTCTCTACTGATTAGTCATCATTGTTACTGCTTTTATAGTTATTATCTAATTCAATTTACCAACATATTTTACCAATGTTTTCTCTTATTGCTTGTTTTTTTATCTCATGCTTTCCTTTTGGGCTTAATTTCTGTCTTGAGGAAGCACATTCTTTAGGAGTTCTTTCACCAAAGGTCTGTGGGTAAAATTTTCTACAACTTTGTATATCACTCTCACTCCATTTCCCTTATGCTTTTGAGTAATAATTTTATCAGCTAGGGAATTCTAAATTGACATCATTGACACTAACATTTCAAAGTGACTATTCCATTATCTTTTGTCATCTGCTGCTGTTGATTAGAAGTCTGCAGTCAGTCTCATTATCACTTACAGATTTTTTTTTCTCTCTAGTTAACATTTTCTTTTATCACTTGATATTTGCATTATTGCACTGTTTCAAGGTGGGTTTTGTTTTTGTATATCTTGTTCAGGACTTGGTGTGCATTTTAACCTGAAGACCCCAAAATCCTTCAATTCTGGAAATTTTTCAGCCCTTATGTATTCAAATATTACTTACCCCACCCCCTACTCCATGCATTTTCCTCTGTTTTATCCTTCTAGAGCTCCTATTAGCTATGGGCTGGAGTTTCTCATTTTATCCTCCATGTCTTAATTTTTCTTTAGAATTTTCCATCTTTTTACTTCTCTTTGCTAGTCTTGGGTAATTTCCTCAAATTTATTATCTGATTCCCTAATTCTCTTTGCAATTATATTCAGTCTATAATATGTCCATTAACTTTTTATTTACATTTCTAGAATGTTCATTATTTTTCAAATTTACATTCTTTTTTCATAATATCTAACTTTCTCTTAGAGTCTAGTCTTTCTTTGTCTTTTTAAACATTTTAAACACATTTATTTAGAAGTGGGTTTCAAGTTGATCTATTATCTAGAGTTGCTGGTGTGTAAATTCTCGCATTTGTTGCCTTTGCTGACTCATATTTGCAGTGGCTTGTTTCCTTGCAAGCTTTATGTTTTCTGTGAGCTTCTCTTCAGTAGGACTTGTTCTCCGTGGAAGTAATGCATGCCTTATGGAGCCACCTATCTAGAGGGGTCTTACTTTTGACTCTGCCAGGAATCTATAGGTTTACTTGGCTCACTCATATTCTGGCAGCTGATGCTGGAAGACTCAAAACAGCTGAGGGCTATCATAACTGGGAATCCTTGGGTATTTCTCCCTATCTCCAAGAGCCCTCCCCACAACTCCTCACAGCATCATAGCTTTGAAGTAGCTGAACTGACTTCTTACATGTAGGATCAGGATTCCTATGGTGTATGTCAAGAGTGAGAGCTAGGTGAAAGCTCTATCCTTTTTATAAAGTCACCTCAGAAGTCACATAGCATCACTTCCACCAAATGAATTGGTTGGAACTGTAAAAAAAAAAAAAAAAAAAAAAAAAAAGAAAAAAGAGAAGAAAAAGACCTTGTCCAGATTGAAGAGTATAGAATATAGACCCTCACCTATTAGGGGGAGAAGTCAGGAACATTGTAAGAAGTACACGTGGAATGAGCTATGTATGCTTGTGGTGTCATCTTTGGAATAATCCAATACAGCATTGGTGTATCTCAGTAGGTTTTGGTGTTCATGCTCCTGGGGACTCAGAGGTCCATTATCAGCACAGCCTGCAAGCATAGAAGGATATTCCTTCCCTCTGACACAACACCTGGAGACCATGGATTCTCTTCAATGGGGAATGTAACCTACTAAAATACAGGCATAGAGTCCTCACACTGGAAAAGCAAAGCGCTGCAGCATTCCACTGCCCACCCAGCCAGAGCTTTTATGGAGCATACATTGGAGTCTAACAAACCTTCTCATAGAAATAATCTGATAAAGACTTTCTCATTGAGGATTACACTTGAAGCAGGTTCATAAGCAGATGGCATCGTAGTAATAATGAACCTGAAGCAAGAGATGGAAATTTCAGCCCCCATTTTACTTTATGAAAGTAATCTGAAACACACAAAAAGAGGATTCATAACAAACCAAACTATTCTCTAGTCTCATTGGCTAGATTATCCCTGCTGTCTTTAGTGAGAATGGCCTTCATGGTTCTTCATGTAGCCAAGTGTGCAGTGATATTCTCGATTTCTTATAGACCACAACTCAGGTGTGCAAATTCTACAGATGATCTTATCTTTCTCTCCTGCCCTCATCCCATACAATATAAAGAGACAAAAAAAACTTAAAAATTATTTAAAATATATTGGCCACCTGGGCAGTGGCTCACACCTGTAATCCCAGCACTTTGGGAGGCCAAGGTGAGAGGATTGCTTGAGGCCAGGAGTTCACCAGTCTGGGCAGTGTAGCGAAACCTCCTCTCTACTAAAAATGTTTAAAAATTAGTGAAGCTTGGTGGCAGGTGGCTTCAGTCCCAGCTACTTGGGAGGCTGAGGCAGGAGGATCACTTAAGCCCAGCAGGTTGAAGCTGCAGTGAGCCCTGATGGCGCCACTACACTGCAGCCTGGAAAAGTGGTTAGTGATTAGTGATGGACAGTAGGATTCCGTAATCCTCATGTGTTTTTTCCTTTCTTGTTTTTGTTTGACATGTGGTAGGATTTTTTATATTCTTTGTTTTCCCACAATAAGCATTCTTTGCTTATGAGAGAAGAAAATTATTAATAATTGCTCATAATTAGGTTAACAAAAAAATCAATGTAGAACACAATTATGAAAATATAAATCCCTAAATACAGAAAAAATGTATTTGGGGCCTGAGAATGAGGTAGCAATGGAGCAGAGGAGAAGGCAAAATAACAGGGGCATAGGGTTCTGTCCGCTAGGGCAGCGGTCCCCAATCTTTTTGGCACCAGGGACCAGTTTCATGGAAGACAGTTTTTCCACAAGTTTTCCACGGACAATGGGGTGGGGGATGGTTTTGGGATGAAACTCTTCTATCTCAGATCATCAAGCCTTAGGTTCTCATAAGGAGTATGCAACTAGATCCCTCACGTGCACAGTTCACAATAGGGTTTGCGCTCCTATGAGAATCTAATGCTGCGGCTGATCTGACAGGAGGCGGAGCTCAGGTGGTAATGCTCGCACAGGCACCTCTCCAACACCTCCTGCTGTGCAGCTCAGTTTCTTTTTTTTTTTTTTAATTGTACTTTAAGTTTTAGGGTTCATGTACACAATGTGCAGGTTAGTTACATATGTATACATGTGCCATGCTGGTGTGCTGCACCCATTAACTCGTCATTTAGCATTAGGTATATCTCCTAATGTTATCCCTCCCCCCTCCCCCCACCCCACAACAGTCCCCAGAGTGTGATGTTCCCCTTCCTGTGTCCATGTGTGCTCATTGTTCAATTCCCGCCTATGAGTGAGAACATGTGGTGTTTGGTTTTTTGTTCTTGCGAGAGTTTACTGAGAATGATGATTTCCAATTTCATCCATGTCCCTACAAAGGACATGAACTCATCATTTTTTATGGCTGCATAGTATTCCATGGTGTATATGTGCCACATTTTCTTAATCCAGTCTATCATTGTTGGACATTTGGGTTGGTTCCAAGTCTTTGCTATTGTGAATAATGCCGCAATAAACATTCGTGTGCATGTGTCTTTATAGCAGCATGATTTATAGTCTTTGGGTATATACCCAGTAATGGGATGGCTGGGTCAAATGGTATTTCTAGTTCTAGATCCCTGAGGAATCGCCACACTGACTTCCACAATGGTTGAACTAGTTTACAGTCCCACCAACAGTGTAAAAGTGTTCCTATTTCTCCACATCCTCTCCAGCACCTGTTGTTTCCTGACTTTTTAATGATCGCCATTCTAACTGGTGTGAGATGGTATCTCATTGTGGTTTTGATTTGCATTTCTCTGATGGCCAGTGATGGTGAGCATTTTTTCATGTGTTTTTTGGCTGCATAAATGTTTTCTTTTGAGAAGTGTCTGTTCATGTCCTTTGCCCACTTTTTGATGGGGCTGTTTGTTTTTTTCTTGTAAATTTGTTTGAGTTCATTGTAGATTCTGGATATTAGCCCTTTGTCAGATGAGTAGGTTGTGAAAATTTTCTCCCATTCTGTATGTTGCCTGTTCACTCTGATGGTAGTTTCTTTTGCTGTGCAGAAGCTCTTTAGTTTAATTAGATCCCATTTGTCAATTTTGGCTTTTGTTGCCATTGCTTTTGGTGTTTTAGACATGAAGTCCTTGCCCATGCCTATGTCCTGAATGGTAATGCCTAGGTTTTCTTCTAGGGTTTTTCTCATTTTAGGTCTAACGTTTAAGTCTTTAATCTATCTTGAATTAATTTTTGTATAAGGTAGTAAGGAAGGGATCCAGTTTCAGCTTTCTACATATGGCTAGCCAGTTTTCCCAGCACCATTTATTAAATAGGGAATCCTTTCCCCATTGCTTGTTTTTCTCAGGTTTGTCAAAGATCAGATAGTTGTAGATATGCGGCATTATTTCTGAGGGCTCTGTTCTATTCCATTGATCTATATCTCTGTTTTGGTACCAGTACCATGCTGTTTTGGTTACTGTAGCCTTGTAGTATAGTTTGAAGTCAGGTAGCATGATGCTTCCAGCTTTGTTCTTTTGGCTTAGGATTGACTTGGCGATGTGGGCTCTTTTTTGGTTCCTTATGAACTTTAAAGTAGTTTTTTCCAATTCTGTGAAGAAAGTCATTGGTAGCTTGATGGGGATGGCATTGAATCTATAAATTACCTTGGGCAGTATGGCCATTTTCATGATATTGATTCTTCCTACCCATGAGCATGGAATGTTCTTCCATTTCTTTGTATCCTCTTTTATTTCATTGAGCAGTGGTTTGTAGTCCTCCTTGAAGAGGTCCTTCATGTCCCTTGTAAGTTGAATTCCTAGGTATTTTGTTCTCTTTGAAGCAATTGTGAATGGGAGTTCACTCATGATTTGGCCCTCTGTTTGTCTGTTATTGGTGTATAAGAATGCTTGTGATTTTTGCACATTGATTTTGTATCCTGAGACTTTGCTGAAGTTGCTTATCAGCTTAAGGAGATTTTGGGCTGAGACAATGGGGTTTTCTAGATATACAATCATGTCACCTGCACACAGGGACAATTTGACTTCCTCTTTTCCTAATTGAATACCCTTTATTTCCTTCTCCTGCCTGATTGCCCTGGCCAGAACTTCCAACACTATGTTGAATAGGAGTGGTGAGAGAGGGCATCCCTGTCTTGTGCCAGTTTTCAAAGGGAATGCTTCCAGTTTTTGCCCAATCAGTATGATATTGGCCGTTGGTTTGTCATAGACAGCTCTTATTATTTTGAGATACGTCCCATCAATACCTAATTTATTGAGAGTTTTTAGCATGAAGGGTTGTTGAATTTTGTCAAAGGCCTTTTCTGCATCTATTGAGATAATCATGTGGTTTTTGTCTTTGGTTCTGTTTATATGCTGGATTACATTTATTGATTTGCGTATATTGAACCAGCCTTGCATCCCAGGGATGAAGCCCACTTGATCATGGTGGATAAGCTTTTTGATGTGCTGCTGGATTTGGTTTGCCAGTATTTTATTGAGGATTTTTGCATCAACGTGCAACTCAGTTTCTAATAGGTCATAGACCAGTACCCGTCAGTAACCGGGGGGTGGGGGACCTCTGTTCTAGGCTGGGCAAGGGTGCAAAATTAGATCTAGGATTAAGATACAATGTGACAGGTTTAGTTGTGATTCAAACAACAGCAAAATGTTGGGTTACTGCAGGGGGTTACAGCCAGGCACAACTGGCTCACGCCTGTAATCCCAGCACTTTGGGAGACTGAGGCAGGTGGCTCACCCAAGGTCGGGAGTTCGAGACCAGCCTGGGCAACATGGTGAAACCCCATCTCTACTAAAAATACAAAAATTAGCTGGGTGTGATGGTGGGCACCTGTAATCCCAGCTACTCAGGAGGCTGAGGCAGAAGAATCGCTTGACCCTAGGAGGTGGAGGCTGCAGTGAGCCGAGATAGTGCCACTGCACTCCAGTCTAGGCAACAGAGCAAGACTGTATCTAAAAAAAAATGGGGTTCCCACCAAGCAAGCAGAGTAAAGGATGAGGAATGTAGCTCTCGTGATCCCTGAGAATACATTCAGCAGACTTCATCTGGGCAGTGGCAAGGCCCCAGCTGCTTTAAAGGACTGAGTTCTAGATTGTAGTAAGGGGGCTGTCAAGAACTGAATAGCATGAATCAAGCCCAGGTGAAGTGCTGAGAACTGGGGCAAGGGGGATGAAGGAAGTGCCAAGGCAGGTGGCTCAGGACCAAGCTGAGTGCCCATCGGCAGAAAAGGAATCGGGAGTCAAGGAGGCTGGAGAGCACAGTGGGAGCAGTGGCCAATTGTTGGCCTTCGACACCAGGGGCAGGGAACTTCAGCAAAACCAGGCCAGGTTAAGGGACTAACCTGAAGCAAGAAATGCAGCAATGTTTATGCAGTGGTTTTCTCAAAGAGGGTTAGGGACACTTTTCTTTTGGAAAACTATGCAAGGAAGGAATCATGGCAAGAAGAGTGAGGGTTGGCACTTTGTCACCAAGGTACACTAGCTACACTAGCGCTTAGTGAAAAGAGCATGGAATTTGCTGTTAAAGAGAACAGTGCTGGAACGCCTGCTCTTCTGTTTATCAACCTCAGGATTTTAGGCAAGTTGTTTCTCCCATTTTATTTTATTTTATTTTATTTTTATTTTTTGAGACAGAGTCTCACTCTGTCACCCAGGCTGGAGTGCAGTGGCGTGATCTCAGCTCACTGCAATCTCCGCCTCCTGGGTTCAAGTGATTCTCCTGCCTCAGCCTCCCAAGTAGCTGGGACAACAGGCACGCACCACCACACCCAGCTAATTTTTGTATTTTTAGTAGAGATGGGGTTTCACCATCTCTACTAAATCCCTAAATACAGAAACTCTTGGTCTCAAACTTTTGACCTCAGGTGATCCACCCACCTTGGCCTCCGAAAGTGCTGGGATTACATGAATCAGCCACCCCACCCAGCTGTTTCTCCCATTTTAAAACAAGCATTATAATACCAATTTCTTAGTACCCTTGGAGGGCGAAATGAAAGACTGTACTAAAAATGTCTGGCATGATATGAGTTCTTTACATGCATAAAAACCCCAGCTGAAAAGGAAAAGAAATAGGAGGATTATTACTTTTATGTCACCAAATTACTTGGGGAGCATTGCCTCTCATTATTAATGCAGGAAGTCATATACTTTTAGTGGCTACTAGAATTAGAAACCCATAGGTTTTAAAAACTTTTGCACATAACAGGTTTTTAAAGCTCTCTTTTAAATGAGTGACACTTTAGTTTTAATCATCAGAACAACCATATGAGGAGATTATCATTATCCCCATTTTATAGATGAGGAGACCAAGGTTCAGGAATTAAACAATTTGTCCAAGGTCAGAGCACTGTTAGGAAATGGAGCTAAGATGTGGAGTTCTAAGCGCACAGAAGTCCCCTCACAGTTTAATTTTTTTACCAATAAAAAGGGGTAGAAGACGAATCAGGAAATCACGGTGCAAAGGGAGGAGTGGGAAGGAGAATGGACTACACTTCAGGAACTCAGGTGGTGAAGTTGTGGAGGGAGGTTATTATTGTCTTGCAATAGAGGGAAACAAACATGTGTTAAGACAAGTGTAAAGGAGCTAGTAGGGGAATAGAAAGACATTCCAAAGAGAGAGGACTAATCAGTGGGGAAAGGTCTGGTGTGCAGGTTGAGGAATAAGACTTGGAGAACTCTGTCTTTTCAGAGCCAAGAATAAAGGACACAAGGAAGAGAAACGCACTGCAAATGTTAACTGTTGTTATGACCTGGACTGGAATCCAGTGCTAAAGTGTGTTTTCTTTCCCGTTGCCCCAGGATACAGCAGCTGCCCTCAGTACAAAGGTCTTAAACAGGCTGGGTCCAGTCTGTCCCTCCCTTTTACCAGCCTCTTGCATACATGACACCTCTTTCCTAGACACTCTCCTTCATTTGATTTCTTTTGACCCTGCTTCCTGCACCTTCTCACCCACCGGGGACCCAGCTAATCATCCTGAGGTGCCCCTTTCTCTCCTCCATCTCTCTGCCTTTTTAGCCCAGAAGGAGCCTGGAAGGCCACAGGCAGATGATGGGCTAGGACTTCAGGAGCTTGGCCTGACCTGGCTGGTGTTACCTCCTGTGTCATGCCTGTGCCACAAATGGGTTCCAGGTGTACCTGAGCCCAGAATAAACTGCATGCCATTCTGTCTGCCCAGTCCTGCCTGTCCCCTTATGCAGCCCCCAACCTGTGGGTACTCACACAGATCATGCACCCAGTGAGGCTGATGGCAGACTGGGGGGTCCCATTAGTGGCTGCTGGAGAGGGCAGTGAAGAATGTGAGGGCTAGAGGGGTGGGGTTGTTTGGGTTTCATCTTCATGGTAGAAAGTGCACTGCATGTCACAGAGGACACTATAGTGCTGCTAACTTGGATGTGAAAAACCATTTCAGTATACGTATGCTTTTTGTCATCAAGAAAGTACCTCAACATCTTAAAGTTTAATTTCTTTACCAATAAAAAGAATACCTACTCTGTGTAAATCATTAACTTTGACTTGTGCAGAAATCTTATTAAATAGTCCTCATAAGCTTGGTGTCTCTGGTCACAAGACATGGAACTTTTAGAACTTTACAAACTGTCAAACTAAAGTTAAATTTGTTTATTTAATATTTTATTTAATATTCATAAAGTTAATCTAATGTTTTACTTCTTACTGTAATTTGTAAAAATGTGTTAAAGGGAAGTGTGTTTTTAATTTATTATTTACAAAATCATATTATTCAATGTATTCATTCAATAAATATGTATTGAGTAACTACTATACCTGAGGTTTGGTACCAGGGAGACATGTGCACCAGCAGCTGTACTTTTACAACAGGGTGTTATAAGTGCTGTGATGCAGGGAGTACCAGGGCATGGAAGAGGGATGTCTAATCCAACCTTGGATAGTTAGGAAGGTTTCCTGGAGGAAGTGACATCTAAAGTGAGACCTAACTCTCATTCATTAACTAGAACAAGATGCCTAGAGAAAGGAATGGAGGAAGAAAAGTATTCCTAGGGGGGAAAAAAACTAATTCATTATTAAGGCCAAGAAACAAAAGAGAGCTCTCCTGGTTCTTTCAGGTTTTGAAAAGAATTGTGATATAATTGTTAATTACAGTATGACCTGGGGAATAAGAGATGAGACTGAAGAAATGAACAAAGAATGGATCATGAAGGGCTTGATACAGCAGCAAAGACTTTCTGTGTTCACATATTTTAACATAATAATAATAGCAAGCAGTGAGCTCATCATTTGATTGATTAATTAATTAATCCTTCTAACCCCTAGAAGGCAAGAGAGGTTCGATTATAACAACTTATTATCTTCCATCGTTAATACCCTGATATTATGCCTTCAAAACTAGAGAGCACAGGTGCCATTTTAAAAGATCGACTTTTCTCCTCTTTTTTTTTTTTTTTTTCGAAGTGGAGTGGGTAAGCATAAGAGTGATGACTGAATAGAAGGATGAATTTTGAATGAGCTTAGAAATCCTCTGACTAACCAGTTTGGCATCTTAAAAGATCTAGAAATGAACAGTTTCCTCTAGGGTGGAGCAAACAATACAAGCTGGAGCAGGCTTTAGCCTTCAGGACAGGGTGGGGGTGTGGGTTGGAAACCTATTTCAAACACAAGGTTCTTAACCATTTAGTGTTTAAAGCACTGCTTTGGATAGAGAAATCAAAGTGGGCCGGGAGCGGTGGCTCACACCTGCAATCCCAGCACTCTGGGAGGCCGAGGTGGGCAAATCGCTGGAACTCAGGAGTTCAAGACCAGCCTGGGCAACATGGCAAAACTCTGTCTCCACTAAAAATACAAAAATGAGTTGGGCATGGTAGAGTGCACCTGTGGTCCCAGCTACTCAGGAGGCTGAGGTGGGAGGATTGCTTGAGCCCGGGAGGTGGAGACTGCAGTGACCCAAGATCACACCACTGCACTCCAGCCTGGGCAACGAAGCAAGAGCCTGTCTCTCTCTCTCTCTCTCTCTCTCTCTCTCTCTCTCTCTCTCTCTCACACACACACACACACACACAAGAAATCAAAGTGAATAAACAATTTTACAGGTTCAACTGGCCTATTATTAGAATATTATATTCTTGCCTCACAGTCTGAAACACACGCTATCTATGACTAGACATCAGATGAATGTACCTGCAGAGTGAACTTTCCTAAAGAGAAATTTCCTGTTGGAATCAGCCAGCGACTAGATCACAGACTTAGTCATGTTGTTTAATTTGTTTAAGCATATGATTAACAAGATTAAAAGCTTTCCAAAAACTAAGATTGAAGGTAAAGGGTCATTAGCATTAAACACCTATACCAAAAAAAGAAATGAAGTGATTTATGAAATTAATAGTCTAATAGTTTCTTGTCAGTGTTAAAGATAACTATAACTTGATTTTCTTAGTGAATAGAGAGAAAAACAGATTGTGACAAAAAACTTGGATGGTACCCTGCCATGGCCAGCCCTGCCCGAAGGTTCTTCAGAGATAAAGAAAGTGCAAGCAGAAAGAGGCAATGTGAAGGACTCGGAGGAAGCAATAGAAAAAAAAAATACTAAAAAAATGGGTGTTTTGAAACTGCAAACTTCAAGTATGATTCTTATGCAAATATTATTTAAACAAGAACGCTTTTGCTCCTCCCTGCATAAGATTATATGGAAATTAGAATTGTTGATTTATTTCTAGCAATATGATAAAGAATGAATTCACTTAGATTTGATGATCAATCAGTCTTCAAGGAGTGGATTAGCAAATTTTCTGAATAAACCTAAATGTTTAAACTCAAAAAAAAAAAAAGAAGAAGAAGCAGTGTGCCTCTGATGCAGTCCCTTGCTGAGCTGAGCTAGGCTAGAGGCAGGCCTTTCTTACCCATTTTCCCTTGAAAAACAAACTGGCCTTTCCTTGCCTTCTTTCCTTACTACTTACTCTAATGGTGAGGAAAGAGCAGTCCAAAAAATACAGTCACTGACTCCACTTCCCCACTCCCCACCCTCTGCAGGAGTCACTTATAATCCAGCTTCTGTTCCTCCCCCATCATAGAAACCTCTCTGGCCAAGGTCACCAGCATCCTCCATGTTGCCAAATCCAATGGACAATTTTCAGTCCTCATCTAACTTAACCTTTCTACAATAGTTGACCTTTCAACACAGTTGACCATTCCCTACTTTTTGAAATTCTTCCTTCTCTTGGCTTCTGTGTTTACAAAGAGCCATGCTATTACACTCCTTGAGTTTTCTTCCCACCTCATTGACCATGCCTCAGACTCCTTTGCTAGCCTCTCCTCTTCTGCCCAACCTCTGACTGTTGATGTGTCCCAGAGCTCAATTTCAGGGCCTTTTTTCTTCTCCATCTATACTTTCCTCCCAGGTACTCTCAGTCAATTTCATGGATTTCTCTTCCAACTAGATGCTGATGATGAGGTAGGAGGCAGGACCTGACTCCAGAGGCAGGGCTCAGACACTGGATCAGATTGAGAACTAGCCAAAACTGGACAAGGGCAAAAGGAGTTTTCAATCAGACATGCCCATCAGTGTGCTGTGTCAATTTACCATTGCCATGGCAACACCTGAGTGTTACTGCCCCTTTCCATGGCAATGACCCAAAAGTTACTACCCCTTCCCTAGAAATTTCTGCATAAACCACCCCTTAATGTACATGCAATTAAAAGTGAGTATATATATATGACTGCAAAACTTCCCCGAGCTGCTACTTTCTGTCTAGGGGGTATCCCTGTTCTCCAGGAGCAGTCATAGAGCTGTAACATGTCTGAGGTGTAACACTGCTGCTTCAGTAAAGCTGTTTTCTTCTACCTCTGGCTTGCCCTTGAATTCTTTCCTGGGCAAAGCCAAGAATCTTCATGGGCTAAGTTCCATTTTGGGGCTTTCCTGCCCTGCACAATGACATCTGTATTTATATTTCCAAACCTGAATGTTCCTTTACACTCCATTCTCATATATCCACCTGCATACTTGACATCTCCATGTGCCCTCTTAAACTTATCTTAAGCTTAATATATTCTAAATAGATTTTCCCTACAACCTGCTTCTCTCCCTGTTTCCCTATACCAATAAAAATATCAATATTTACACAGAAGCTCAAGTCAAAGACCTAGAATGAGTTCCCTTTTATCCTAAACCCCCATATCCCATCCATTAGCAAAATCAAATCCATACACTTTACATCCAAAGTGTATCTATCCACCTGTAGCTCTCTCTACTTCCACCTTAGTGCAAGTCACCGTGATCTCTTACCTGGACTATTGCATCAATCTCCTAACTGGTCTTCCTGCTTCCACTATTGCCCCTCCTGTACAATCCATGTTCACCATGGCAGACGAAGTGATTTTTGCAAAGCATAAATCAGACCATGTCAGTCGTCTGCTTAACATTTACTAATGGCTTCATATACCACTCAGAGGATATCTGAAATTCTTGCAGACATTCTAAAATTCTTAAGGTCCTTTATGATCTGTCCTCTGCCTACTTCCTTGATCTCATGTCATACCACTCTCCATTCTCTATACTCCAGCCACATTGTCCTTTATGTTCCCAAATATATCGAGTGTCTTCCAGCCTTGGAGACTTTGCACAAGCTGTTCTCTTTGCCTGTGATGCTCTTTCACTGATCTCTGCATGGCTGGCTCCTTTTCACTCAGTGTCATCTCCCCAAAGAGGCTGTCTCTGCACTCAAACTACAGTAGCCCCCCAGTAATTCTCCATCACTTCAACCTGTTTTATACTCTTCATAGCACTTATCACTGTCTCTTATCTTCTCTCTTTACTTGTTCGTTGGTTTACTAATGGCCTTCATGATAGAAGGTAAGCATCATATATGTAGGGACCTGATCTTATTCACTGCTTTATTACCAGGACTTAAGTGCCTGAAACATAGTAGATGCTCAATAAATTATTGTGGCATAAGTACTTTGGCCCAGTGTCTAAAAGCTAACATTTATGTAACATCTACCATAAACCAAAGACTGTTATAAGAACTTTACACATTTTCCTTTATTTAAATCTCAAAGGAACCCTGGAGCTTGGTATTATTGTTTGTGTATTTTACAGATGAGGAAAATGCAGCACTGAGAGGTTACACACCCAGTAAATGGCAGGGTTGGAATTTCAACCCAGGCAGCCTAGCCCTAAAGTCCATGCTTTTCAATACTATACTACACTGCTTAGTTTGAGCTGCCCATCTTTGTCCTTCTTGGGTCAGGAAAGGATCTTCAGGCCTGTCAACCTGAATATCAACGAGAGAAAGAGAATCCCAAGGGGGAGCAGAAAGAGCCTAAGACTGTGTTAAAAAACAACCCATCTGGATTTGGTTAGTTAGACCTATGGCTTTTGCTTGTCTTGGCAGAATGCTCCAACCACTCTAATTGTGCTTTAATAACACATCCTGAGTGTGTGTGAGTGTGTGTGTGTTCATCCCCACCACACCACACCCCCAGGGAGCAGAGGAAGAAAGGAGAACAAAGGCCAGCATTCCTCTGGTTTTTGATTAGCCACCACAATGGTCAATCGGAAGGGAGGAGATCAGTGCAACATAAGAAGACCCCTGCCTATGCTTTCAAGAGGCTGGGGCCTAGCAGTACCTTCAACCCTTGAGGGTCCTTTCAGGACCAATGGCATGGGGGTGCCTTAGTCCATTTGGGTTGCTGTAACAAAATACCATAAACTTGGTGGCTTCTAAACAACAGAAATTTATTTCTCACAGCTGTGGAGGCTGGGAAGTCCAAGACCAAAGTACCAGAAAATTCGGTGTTGGTGAGAGCCCACTTCTTCATACAGCAAAGGAGCAACAGAGCTCCCTCGGGCCTCTTTTATAAGGGCACTAATCTCACTCATGAGAGCTCCACCTTCATGACCTAATCACCTCCCAACAGCCCCATCTCCTTATACTGTCACATTGGTGAATAAATTTAAGCATATGAATTTCAGAGGAACACAAACATTCAGACCATAGCAGGGAGGCTCAATGCTTTGAGGTCCCCACATGATTTTGTTATGTCCCTCTAGCCACAGTGTTCCGGGAATCCTTTTCATCCTTCCCAAGACCGAGGATATGTTGTCAACAGATATTACAGTTTATTATCGGGGCTCTTCCCTCTGCCTCTGTTAACCACGTTGAGTCCAGGCCCTAGCCCTGACTATGGAGCATTAAACCCTCCTGCTATTTCCAGTCCTCATTGTGAAAAGCAATTAGATGTGGATGCACATGGCTCTTTCCTGACCTCTAAGATCTCAAGCCACCATCTCTCTCACTTTCAGCTTCTGTGGTCCAGTCTAAAGCTAAGACTGTTTCCTGGGCAACTGCTGTCTGCATTTGTAATGCCCTGTGTTGCTCTGCTGGCCAACCAGATAACCCCTGTTTCTGTACCAACCTGATAAGCCAAGGCCTTTCTGGTACAGAGTTTTTCTTTAGCAATGTTGTTGATGTTTGGATTTTGGATGATCTAATTTAGTCTTACCTCTGCCCAAGGAGAAATTATGGCAGATCCACCTGTGCCTTTGTATCTGTTCACTGATGGACTTCACTACTCTGGGACTCTGGCATCCCTAGCCACAATCTAGGCTTCTCTAGCATCCATGGGGACCTCTATGAGGCCTGCTGTCAAACCTCACAGACCACTGTGACTAGCCTTTTTGCTTACCTTTCTATCTTCCCTGCTGGCTTATAGACAGCAGAGGTCTGTAACTGGAACCAACCTGGGAGCCCGTGGCAGAGTCCAGAGGGACTGTGAACAAGCCACAGGCATTCTCACAGTGGAATACTACCTTGGATCCATTTTTAATTGTAGATTGGCTCTAAGATGTTGGCAAAGACAGGAAAACAGAAGTATTTTTAAAAATACTTCTGATCGGCTGGGCGCGATGGCTCATGCCTGTAATCCCAGCACTTTGGGAGGCTGAGGTGGGCAGATCACGAGGTCAGGAGATCGAGACCATCCTGGCTAACACGGTGAAACCCCGTCTCTACTAAAAAATACAAAAAAATTAGCCGAGCGTGGTGGCAGGCGCCTGTAGTCCCAGCTACTTGGGAGGCTAAGGCAGGAGAATGGCGTGAACCTGGGAGGCGGAGGTGGCAGTGAGCCGAGACTGCACCACTGCACTCCAGCCTGGGCAATAGAATGAGACTCCATCTCAAAAAAAAAAAGAAAAAAAAAAGTGTGATCTGGGGCAACAAATCTAGAAGAATATGGCACTAAGAATGAAAAAAACAGAATTCACACATGATGATGCTGTTTATCTCAGGATAGCCTACAGTAACTATGTTGTCTTCACCACTGTTTTGTTGTTGTTATTTTTTTATTCACAGTGCTCTTTCCAGCATGATCTTCACCACCATCGCAGATGACCAGCAGTAGGTAAAGTGAAAGTAAGACAGATAAACCTAGATAGAGAAGGAAAAACAATGACTAGAGGATAGAGTTTTAATTTTGTCTATGGAAATACATAGCATTACTTCCCATTCCATCTTCACAGCAGAACGGGTCTAGGTATAAATGTGTACTTCTATGATAGTCTCCTGTTCCTTCAAGAACACACCTCTGCCTACAGAATCAAGTTCAAACTCTTCAACATGGATATCCAAGGTCCTCAATAATTTAACTTCCCTTTTTTATTTTATTTTTTGAGCTGGAGTCTTTCTCTGTGGCCCAGGCTGGAGTGCAGTGGCATGATCTCGGCTTACTGCAACCTCCGCCTCCCGGATTCACGCCATTGTCCTGCCTTAGCCTCCTGAGTAGCTGGGACTACAGGCACCTGCCACCATGCTCGGCTAATTTTTTTGTATTTTTAGTAGAGACGGGATTTCACCATGTTAGCCAGGGTGGTCTCAATCTTCTGACCTCGTGATCCGACTGCCTCAGCCTCCCAAAGTGCTGGGATTACAGGCATGAGCCACCGTGCCTGGCCCATGCTCACTTTTTAGATTATTATTTGAATAAATAATGTGGTTCCCAGACTCAGAGAAACCTATATCAGATGGATGCTGTGGGTGAGGGTTGAAATGGCTTTAGTCTATGAAGAGGAATTTGAGATCACCTCATCCAGTTCTCCTAACTATTCTCTACACGTGCCATCCCTCCTTTTGTCCCATCCTCCTGGGGGTTACAGTTAGGAGCTTGAACTTTATTTATATCTAGTTTAGAGTCTTAAAGGTTTTGTCAACCATAGTGCATAAATCTTTGTCAACCGTGCATAATATGGCATTTTCCAATAAAATTTCAAAGTTTAATTGAGGTATTTACAATTTACTTTGGAAGAGGCTCTGTAAAGATAATAAAACTGTTCTTAATTTGTATGTGAATGCATAAGTGGCTTTACCAGTTGTTGGAAGAAACACAGAAACAATCTGTCTTAACTCCATTTTACTATGTTTTCTATTCTCTGTTTGACTTCTGTATGTCAATTCAATAAATTAACTCAATAGGTACAGTTTGCCAACAGGTGTTATTGATACATAAGTAACTCTAATTTTAAGATTTATTGAAGTGACTTTAAAGGCCATCTTCAACAAATATAACAATTTTATACAACTGATAATTTCATCCCACTAATCCAGGTATGAAGATCCAGAAGATGATTGAATCTGGTTTTGGAATTCCTTCAGAAGAATATTCCAAGAATCAGCTCAATAGATACCCTCAAAAAGCATGTAATAAAGTTCAACACTTATTCTCAATAAAAGCTATGCATAAGCTAGGAAAAGAGAGACAATTTCCCAAGTTGAAAAGGAGTATTAATCAGAACCAGCAGCAAATATCGTCCTTAACATTTGTCCACTAAAACTGAGGAGACAACACAAAGGCCTTCTATTACTGCTACAGATTTTTATAAGAAGCAATAGCAACAAGTTTTACTTTTTAAAAATGCTATTCATAATAGCAACAAAAATATAAAATGCCTTTGTTAAATAGAAATATAAGACCTACATGAAGAAAACTGTAAAACTTTGCTAAAGGACATTCAAAATATATATCTTATTCCTAGATAGAAAGATTTAATATTATACATACATAAAATTTCCCCAAATTAAGCTATCAAATCAATGCAATTCCTAAAACTGCAATGATTACATCCATCCACAGATGTCTCTAATATCTTTAAAAACAAGTTATAGGATAATATGTGCAGTAGGATGCCATATTAAAAACAAACAGTGTGTGTTCATATATATATGCATATAAAAAGGTTTGGAAGGTTACACAGTAAACTATTTGCAAGGTTTGATTAATTGAAGAAAATAATTATAACATCTACATCAATATAATCAATGTAACCACATCTATAAATCTATACATAATCTGTGTAATTATTTATATGATACACTTATATAATTGTCAATATAACCAAATATTGATTCAAAATATCATGTATTCAAATTTATCCAATCATCACTTCATAATATATAGAAAAGTGGAAGCTGCTTAAGAATTTCTTTTATTTTAAAGTTTGTACTTTTCGAATATTTTGAGGATTATTTAGCTAATCTAATACATCATAGGCAAACAAGTAAGTTTTAGGCTACTAATTGGAGAAAAGACCATCACTGTCATGATGATAAAAACAATCAGAACATCATCTTCTTTGTCATCTCCTTTATTATTTTTGTTTTGTTTTGACGTGAAGACAACGAAGAAATGGGACTGAACATAAGTTAGGTCATTTTCTCTGACATAACTGAACATTTATTTTTAAAAATTTTTTCCAGTTTTATTGCAGAATAATTTACAAATAAATATTAAATATATTCAGGGTTTACAAGGGCATAATCTCATGTACATATACATTGTACATGATTAATACAATTAAATTAACACATCCATCACTACACTATTACCATTTTGTTTTTGTTTTCTTTGAGACAGGATTTCTCTCCTGTTGCCCAGGCTGGTGTGCAGTGGTGCCATCTCTGCTCACTACAACCTCCACTTCCTGGGCTCAAGCAATCCTCCTGCTACGGCCTCCCAAGTAGCTAGGACTACAGATGCATGCCACCAACCCCGGCTAATTTTCATATTTTTAGTAGAGACAGGGTTTTACCATGTTGGCCAGGCTGGTCTTGAGTTCCTAACCGCGAGTGATCCACCCACCTCAGCCTCCCAAAGTGCTGGGATTACAGGCGTGAGCCACTGCGCCCAGCCCACAGTTACCGTTTTGTGTGTGTAGTGGGGATGAGGGGTGAAGACACTTAGGATCTACTCTTTTAGCAAATTTCAAGTAAACAATATGATGTTAGCATTATTATTGTTTTTTGAGATGGACTCACTATGTTGCCCAACCTGGTCTGAAATTCCTGAGCTCAAGTGATTCTCCTGCCTCAGTTTCCTGAGTAGCTGGAATTACAGGCATGTGTTGCCATGCCAGGCTTAGTGTTATTAACTATAGTCACCATACTATACATTAGCTCTTCAGAAATTATTCATCTTATAACTGAACATTTATGTCCTTTGACCATCTCCCCATTTCTCCCACCTCCCCAGCCCCTGGCAACAACTTCTCTCTACTCTCTACTTCTGTAAGTTTGACTATTTTAGGTTCCACATATAAGTAATATCATACAGCATTTGTCTTTCTGTGTCTGGCTTATTCATTTATCATATTTTCCTCCTAGTTCATTTATGTTGTCAAAGATGGCAGGATTTATTTGTTTTTTTATGGTTGAACAATATTTTGTGGTCGAATAAGAAATACATTCTTTGAACTAGTGACTAAAGTGACCAATATATGGTGGTGTTTCTCCTACAGCCAGAATACTACCTTCTATTTTAATTTGCTTGTTTGTTTGTTCTATGAGAAAGAAGTTAGGAAAAAGCTGTATATAACATTGAGGTGTGAAAGCAGAAGTCACTCCTCTCACTACTACATGTAAGAACTCACTCACAAATATTTGCTTCTCATCCTACAACTTTAGGCTCCGCTGGTTTAACGACATAGTTCTCAAGGCAGTAATAATTCCTCTGAAGTCTATAACAATGCTTCTTTTATTGACATAAAAGTTGAGACTGTCACCTGGCCATTTGAGCTCCACTGAATTAGCTTTTAAAGAAGAAATAAACAATGTGAGGTGCCTCTTCTATCTTAAGCCCACTGAGAGAGTTGCAAGTATCTTTAAAAGTTCAACAACCATAGAAAATTAAATCCAAGAAAGATGGTTTAAAATTGAAAGGATTTTTCTTTTAAAAATACTCGTATAGACCTAAAATAACAGATCTAATTCTATCTGTGAATTGTGTTGCCAGAGAAAAAGAGAAGAAAAATATACTAGAAAGCACACTGATAGAAATCATTGAAAACAATTTATCTTCAGTTAAGAACAACAAATCTTTCTTGAATACCTAGAGGACTATTCTGAATACCTACTTGTCGAATTCTTGAACTATAAAGACATGGGATATTTAATGGAAATAGATGAAGAGAAGAGAGAGAGTTATCATTCAGAGATTCAATGACTATAAGTTTTTGTTTTTGTTTGTTTGTTTGTTGGTGAGACTGAGTCTCACTCTGTCACCAGACTGGAGTGCAGAGGGCAATCTCTGCTCACTGCAACCTCCATGTCCTGGATTCAAGCAATTCTCCTGCCTCAGCCTCCCAAGTAGCTGGGACTACAGGCGCATGCCACCACGCCCAGCTAATTTTTGTATTTTCAGTAGAGACGAAGTTTCACCATGTTGGCCAGGAGGGTCTCAATCTCTTGACCTCGTGATCTGCCCGCTTCAGCCTCCCAAAGTGCTGGGATTACAGGCGTGAGCCACCGTGCTCGGCCGACTATAAGATTTTTAAATTCATTCAAGAGGGAACAAGGATAAAATTATAATAGAACTTTTAAAAATACTTGATTCTCACTACAAACTCATCATAATGCCACTTCACTGGTTTTTTGTGTAGTACTTGTTTTGTTTTGGTTGTTGTTTGTGTTTAAGGCAGAAGGGTCTTTTGCAAATATAGAACCTAAAAGAATATTTCAACACACTCTACATCTACAAAAAGAACTACAAAAGACTGGGGCTGTAGAGGGAGACAATAAGTTTAAGTGATTTAAACTTATTGATTTAAACTAAGTGATTTAAACTCCACTGAGCTGAGGCTGTGCTGATGGCAATACTCTTGCTCTTCCAAGGTGCAGATCTTCTTGAAGCTCAGGGCATCATGACAAATTGGCATACATAAGTGAGTGGCTCTGTTCCACCTGAGTAATGGTCTGTTAGAGGAATCCCACAGCAAGATTATCTGGTTGGAGAGGTGTTCCAGAGCTTATTAAGGTTCTTCTTTCAGTTCACACAGAGCTTTTTCCCCTCAGTGCACAAACTATCTGTCGTGGTTGCAACTGGTTCATACGGGGGCCACCACATTGTGGCCACAGGCTATTTTTTTTAACTCATCATTGTATCTGACTCCTTTTATGGAGGTCTCTCTGTCAGAGGGTCCATATTCTTCTAGTAATTTATCACGTCTCATCACAACTCCTAGTCTTAAAACGCACCCATACGTCAGTTCTCCATATGTGCATATCTGTGTCTACAACTCGGGAAGTAAGATTTTTTTCCCCCAGGAGGCTCCTGGCTGTCATATATATCAGTGATGTAGGTAGGGGTGGGCAGGGACAGTACCACCTAGCTCCATCTACCCAACAAATTTAAATTTCCTCCATGATCTAGCTGATAGGCCCTGTGTGTTAGTTAGAGTCCAATCCGGAACACAGAAACAACTCTCGTAATTCAGCAGACATAATACAAGATAATATGCATGTGAGACTGCTTGATATCTTCTAAAACACCACACACAATAGAAACCAAAGTCATTAAAATTTCAAATAAACTCCTAAATGCCAACTGCACTGGACACACCTAATTTCTTTGTGATATTTAAAGCCACTGGACATTTGCTTCCTCCTGAAACTGTCCCGGATAAGCTTCTCTGACACTTTTTTATTTCCCTACCTGTCCAAACATACCCTCGTGGGCTCTTTGCAAGCTTTCCTACCTAACTTATCACATGATAAATATTTACTGAATAAACTACATTAGCATTGATTATCAGAAAAATTTGCAATTTGACATAAACTATCATTTTTCTTATTTTTCCCTGATCTGTCACCAAAAAAATTTAGATTATCAACATTTAAGCACTTTATCCCAGAGAGTTCATTCAATATTGTTATTCTATTTTCCTGAAGAGGAAACCCAAGACTGGAAGTGAAGTCATGCATTTAAGCTACCCAGTGAGTTAAAATCAAAGATCCAGTGGCATTTATATAAGCCCAACTCTGAGTCCTGGTTCTGAGAGCTGGTCTGAGACAATAGTGCCTCTTCGAATAACAGGCAAATAAAAATTCCCGAGGAAGTGACAAAATATCAGTAGGCATTGTTTCTTGTCATTTCCTTGTTTCTGTTTTAATTTGCCTGTTTGTTTGTTTGTTCTGTGAGAAAGAAGTTAGGAAAAAGCCATATATAACATGCATATTTCTATTTTGTCCATTTCCGTCCTCCACCCCAATAACATGTTTAGAATTTGAAAAGCAGTTTTCATTTAACTAGAATTAACTTAATGAATTTATAATATGACAAAATTATTAATTGGAATTCTATTGTATTGAATTCTATTTATATAAATTCACTTGAATTATGTTTATAACAAACATATTCATGTGACTTTAGCTTACTAAGTTTATAACTGTTATATGTTATATAATGTATATATAACTATATGTTTTATTACCATATAACATTGAATTATTTTGCTACAAATATATAGCCTATTCTGTATTGGAAAACATTAACTGCCAATTTGATTGACTGCGTAAGTTGCTTAAATGAGTTATTTTGGTGCTATTTGGATTAACTTTTAATATTTAGCCATTTGCAGTACAAAGAAAAAAGGCAATGAAAATGAAGTATGATTTTACTAATTTGCAAGTAGGCCCTGGAGGTCCCACCCCACTCACTTCTCTGGCCTTTTACCCTCTTCTTCCTTTCACTCATGCAGAGATTCTCGCTGGACCTTTACCGTGCCAGGCACGCCCCACCTTGGGACCTTCACACAGGCTGAGGCAGGAGGATCCCTTGAGCCCAGGAGTTCAAGACTGTAGTGCATCATGATCCCATCTGTGAACTGCCACTGCACTCCAGCCTGGACAACATAGCGAGACCCTGTCTGTAAAACAAAACAAAGAACTAATTAAAAATAAAAAACAGAGAATGTCAGCAAAAGAGGAAGGAATACACATTAGGCTCAGGACTCCAATCTTCATTTTCTGCATTTTCAGAGCAGGCATGGTGGCTATGACTTGCTCAGGGTTGTGCACAAGTCACCTTCCAAGAGAACAGCCTGCTGAGTCACTGCTAACACCTAGACTTACTTTCAGCAAGGAGTCCAACACTACTAGCAGAAATCCTCTGCCTCTAACAAGCTCTGCCTCTAACAAGTGTGCTTCGGCTTCCCTCCGCGGAGTGTGCTTCGGCTTCCCTCCGCGGAGTGTGCTTCGGCATCTCTCCGCAATAGCTCCCGTATCTCTCCGCAATAGCTCCCGTCCTTTGGAAGGAAGAAGAGCCAACTGGGGTCATTTGCCTTGGTCTCCTCTCTTCATTAGATCCATATAAAGGTAAAAATATGCCTCACTGGCCTACTTTAAGGAAGAAGTGACTGGGGAAAGAGGAGTGAGAAAAGCCCCTGTCCTGGATAATCCCCAAATTGTTAAGATTATATCGTAGAGCTACATGTAATACTTTTGCCTTAAAAGTACTCCATAGAAAGAATATTCAATAAAAGGTATTTGAAATATTTGGAAAAATATAACATTATATCCCCACCTTATACTTTACACCTGAATAAATTTCAATAAGGTGTGAAATAGAAAAACAAAAAAGCATGATAATAAAATATAAATTAATATTAATTTATTATTTAAATGAGGTAAGTTTTTCCTGGGTGTCTTAGCAAAGGCAGAAAAGAATAGATTTCACATATTTTACTCCATACAACATTTAAACTTTTACACAGAAAAAAGGCATTCATGAAGTTAAAAATAAAGCAAATTAAGAAAAGTAGTCAAAGGTAGAATTTCCTTCACATATGAAGGCCTTTTATAAATCAATAAGAAACACAAATGTTTAGTAGAAAAAAACTGGTCTGAGAAAATGAGTGATCAATTTACATGAAAAAAAACCCCCCAGGCCAGGCGTGGTGGCACACACGTGTAGTCCCAGCTACTTGGGAGGTTGAGGTAGGAAGATGGCTTTGAGCCCAGGAGTTTGAGGCTGCAGTGAACTGAGACTGCATCACTGCACTCCAGCCTGAATGACAGAGCAAGACCCTGTTTCAAAAATAAAATAAAAAATAAGAACCCCAAAAGAACCAAGTACAATTTCTAGCTTGACAAATGTCTAGTGTTGGTAAATGCTGTAGGAAATTGATGTTCTTATATCCTTTTGCTGGGAGTGTAAACTGGTACACATTTTTAGAAATGGTGTGCCAATGTGAACCAAAATGTAAAGTGGATATACTGTGTGATCTGGCAATTCCATTTCTAGCAAACTATACTATGGATATCCCATTATAAATAAGCCAGTATGTGTTTATAAGGATGCACATTGTTGCTTTGTTTGGAAAGCCAAACCTGAAACTACTTAAATTTCCATCAACAGTGGACTGGTTAATAAAAATAGTATATCAAGACAAAGATATATTATGAAAATGTGAAAAGGAATGAGCTAGATATATAAGTAATGATTTGTAAAGATAGCCCGTATATTTTATTAAGTTAAAAAAGCAAACTAGAATAGTAGGTACAGAAGGATTACACTTTTGGGCCAAAAAAAAAAAATCTGTAAATGTGGTGGGAGAATCCTTTGTTTACTGAGTCCTCCTCCCCACCGCCATCACCATCATTGCCATTACCTCTGTACCCCAACACCCACTGCAGGAAGCAATGAGGGCCTTCTGGGCCTCAGGGAAGCAGGGCCACAACTGAACAGAGAATAAAAGAATTAATTCTCAGCTTTTTAATTTCAAAATAGACTTTTGAAACTACTGGCAGAGACAATGGGTTAAACAAATAGCGTTGGAAAGAATGACTGTTGATCCAAGAGCCAGTTTTCCTGCTTTAGAGGAGATAAAAATACTCCAGGAGAGAAGGGAGCAGGGGACAGAGGAGAGCTGGTGGGAGTAACATCGTGCAGAGGACCAGAGCCCCGCCCACCTTGGGCTGGCCGCAGAGAAGGTAGGGGAGCAAGAGAACAAGGACGTTCTCTTTGCTGTCGTGACACAGGAGCATAGAGAGAGAGGTAGAAGGTGTGCCAGGCCGATGGGCCTGGGGCACCTTCACTGGCTGGGGTCCAGGAAGCAGACTCCGGTTTCATGGAAAGAATCCACAGCCAGCTGGAAGCTCTGGGTCGGCATTAGGCAACCCCATTAGCAGATGCAGCTTCAGCCACCTGGTCTATACCTGATGCCACGGTGGAGGGCGAATGGACAGCAGTAGCCCAGAGCCAGATGTGGGCAGTGGGCACCAAAGTAGATGCTAGTGTGTTTAGATCTGACCGATAGCTGGCCACCTCCACAACGCCCCACCCCCAGAATCTAGAACAACAGCAAGAATGACAATAATCCAGGGCGGAAGAACAGAGAGGAAGCTCCTCCAGCGACTGCAAACTCCTGAAATGCCTGAGTTTCCTCTGAGTTGACAAACATAACGTGTTCTGCTTCTTGACAGAACTGGTGCTCAAAATAGAGATTAAAATGTTATTTTTAAAAAGTTACATTTTCCACTCCTGAATGTGAGGTCCTGAAAATAATCACGCCTGCTATGTATAGACACATGCTTGTTTATACATAGGGAAATTCAGGAAGGTATTTCAGAGATTTAACAGGGGACCTTTCTGGAAGTAGAAGTGAAGGATTAGGGGCATGCGGAACTTTCTGCTTGTGAACTGTTTGGATTTTTCAGCATGATTACTAAAGATCCTGTCCTTAAAGAGCTCAGAGGATATGAATTCAGGCAGACAGCTAAAGAAATACTTGCAGTGGAGTGTGATGCATACTGCAATTAAATGTCCAAAGAAGTGCAAATGAGGCAAGACACATGTTCCTCAGAGGCAACTGTGCAAAGCATTCAGGTGAGCCTTTGCGGATCTCAAGACATTTAGCAGGTGCAGCGGCGGCTGACAGCACCCTCCATTAGGATTATTTCAGATGTCCCCTGAGGACTTGATCGGTGAGGAGAGGTTGATTCTGGAATACAAATGACCATTTTTTAGGAAGAAACCACAAAGCTAGGAATTAAATTTTCGACCTAGATGCAGGAAGAAAAGAAATGGACATCAAGCAATACAATTGTATTAATTCACTCACTACTTTATATTAATCTTGCAAATATAAGTTTTTAAAAAAATCTAATTAAAGCTAGCTTTGCAAATGAGTACCACAATATTGGTCAGTATCCTTGACATTACTTTTTAGCATGTGAGTTCCCAGGGTGGTACCTGTGAGACAGTAGAGAACATCTACATCCTCATCTTTGGCACTTACGCTGTTTAAATTGTGCCTCTTCCCAGAGAACTGAGTGGAGAGACCCTTGACAAAAACTGTAAACAAAGGTAGAAAAGACCATGTTTTTATTGCTATTACTACTGTTATTGTCATCAATATTTTTATTATTCGTGGGATTGGGAGAGGCTGAAAAAAGGAAGAATGTCATTTGAGCAAGGTTCTGACAGATAGCTGATGGAAAAGAATTCCAAGCTGAAGGAATAACAGGAGAAAAGGCCACAGTGAGGAAGTCAGCAATGTTTGATGACAGCAGAGCCCAAGTCAGTGGTAGGTGTCAGAGACATCACAGGGAGCCCAGGCATGAAACCCTAACAGGCCATCGTGAGGACTCAGGTTTTACCCTGAGTGAGATGGAAAGCCAAGGGAGTGGGTTGGCGGGGTGGGGGGGGGGGGCCTGTGTGGATATGATTTAGAATTTAAAATCATCCTTGGGCTACTCGGATTTCAGTGGATTGTAGTGGTACAAGGACAGAAACATGGACCCTTGTTAGGAAGCTGGTGCAACACACAGTATATACAAGGCAAAGAGTTTGTGTTCCTCATATGGAGCATCTCTACTGCCTCTGGGTGTCTTTTTCCTTCTTTTAAAAGGCATGCTTTGTTGTTCAGTGTAGTTCAATCTCATCAAATAAAAATAGGATGGTGAAAAGTGGGTGATCAGCCACAGCATGTTCTACCCCTCCAGTGTTCATAAGACTATCTCTTTTTAGTAGGAACTACCGAAAGTTAGAGGCAGAAAAACCAGCAAGATGACAGTTAAGACCACATTGACTAAGAGAATAGGAAGGGAACAGCAAGTCTTGAATCTTGTGATGGAGGCAGAAGAATCTGGGTTTAGCAATTAAGTGTATGTGGACAGTGCAACAGAGTTCGGAGGCACTGCCTGGACATTCAGTCATTTAGGGACATTTGTAATCAACTTATTGATTTTATTTTAAAAACCCTGGGCTTCTTTTTTTTTTTTTTTTTTTTTTTGTAGTGAAGTCTCGATCTGTCACCCAGGTTGGAGCACAGTGGTGCGATCTCAACTCACTGCAACCTCTGCCTCTTGGGTTCAGGAGATTCTCCTGCCTCAGCCTCCTGAATAGCTGGGATTACAGGTGCGTGCCACTGTGCCTGGCTAATTTTTTTTTTTTTTTCAAGTAGAGATGGGGTTTTCGCCATGTTGGCCAGGCTGGTCTCCAACTCCTGACCTCAAGTGATCCACCCACCTCGGCCTCCCAGAATGCTGGGATTACAGGTGTGAGCCACCGTGCCTGGCCAATTTTGAAAGCACTGGGTTTCTATAAAAATCAAAGGACATCTCTGTATGTATTGTGATGTCATTTCAGGCAGTGGAATTACTGTGGGAAATCCTAGTAACTCAGAACAGAAGGAAATGCTTGTGCAAAGGACTGCCCTAAGTGAAATAGTGGGGAGTGGCCCCACTAACTATTCAAGTGAAGGCTGAAACGACTCCGTGGATGGGATGCAGCAGAGAGAATCTAGTTGTATTAGTCTGCTAGGGCTGCCATAATAGAATACTGTAGACTGGGTGGCTTAAACGACAGAAACTGATTTTCTCACAGTTCTGGGGGTTAAGGTGCTAACAGGAGTGGTCTCTGTGGCTGGCAGATGGCCGCCTACTTCCTGTGCCCTCACATGTGCACATGCATCCTTAGTATGTCTCTGTATGTCCAAATATGCTCTTCTTATAAGGACACCAATGATATTGGATTTGGGCCCACCCTAACAGGCTCATTTTAACTTGATCACCTTTTTCAAGGCTCTGTCTCCAAATACAGTAGCATTCTCAGGTACTAGAGGTTAGTGCTTCAACATATGAATTTTGGGACACATAATTCACCCCACAACACAATGATTCTATATGTTTTTAATAACCACAAACACATATAACCAAAAATGTAGTCGTGTGTTAAGGGATAAGTGTAGAGGAAGAATAGAGATGAAATTTAAATGTATTAAAATGCACTAAAAAGGAAAAAAAAATGGAAAAAGCATTTCCCAAAAGAGTTAAACCATTGCCAAATCATTTCAAGCCAGTAGTAAGCTGGGTTAATTGTCAAATGCTTCAGCAAGCTCTAGTGGGGGAGTTAACAGCGGTTGTTATCTTAAAAAGAACACATTTCTTTTAATACTATTATGTTTTAGAAGTGCATAAAAGGTTTCCAAGGAGAGTCCCTTTTGTGTAATGATGCAAATTGTACTGAGTGGTATGCATCATTTCTGGGGTGACATCTGGGGGTCAGAAAAATCTAAAGCCTTAGCAATATGTTAAGGTAAATTTTCTTGAACTGGAAGAATGGAGGTAGCTTCTGAAGATGGAATACACAGAGCTTTGTAAAATAGAGATAATAAGAGGGAAATAACAGGTTTTAGAATCTTGCAGGTTTCCTACTGTTTATAGTTCACAGATCCAAATATAGCTGTGTTTTAAGTTTTTAAAACATCCATTTTGTGTGAAAATCCATCTCTATAGATAGTCTCGGCCTTAGTGAAATAGACTAGGAAAGGAATATCAGTAACTGCACAAGTCTCTTTGAAAGAAAATGATTTGCACCAAGGATTCCTGGCTATCTGGATTTTCTGAATATAAACAAAAGAACTTCTGGGGAAAAACAGCAGAATAAAAAACATTAAAATGGAAGAAAAAAGAAATAAATCAAAAGAGAGATATGAGTCTACTATGACTAATTTTTACTTCTCCTAAGTTACTCTTTTATTTCCTGGCACTAATCTCCTTCTGAGGCCAAGAAGTTTTATCTCACTTACTTATGCTCCATTACAAGTATTTCTCCTGAGGTTGGTATTTGGGTAGTGTGGAACAATCAAACATTTGCAAATGCCTTGGGAATGAATCGTTGTTTCTGTTTTCTTTCTCTCTCTCTCTCTCCTTTCCACCATAAATCCATTAGACATTTACCTTTATTACATTTATGAATGCACCCTGAGTCCAAGAAAGCTCTGGGTGAATCTAGACCATACATCAAATATCTCTAAAGTGTTTAGGTGCTACTGGGATGAGAACTTCATAAATAATTATGTCCTAGATTTTGTTATTATTCACTAGTGAGGCATATTCCTGTCTAAAGTTGTTTCAAAGAACTCACCTGTGAAATTCCAGTAAAAGATGTATCACTTTTTTAATATCCCCCAAGCCCCCATCACTGATACCCAATCTTGCTTCCAAACTTCTTGAGGAAGTTGAAAGTTCAGTGGCGGTGCTTCTGTTGACTCAGTCTTTATTATTGTCTCCATCACAGGTATTTTGTTCTAATGGCATCTCCCAAAGAACCATTGTTCCATTAAATTATCAACCAAATGTTCACACAGAATCTGCGACTATGCATACAATTAAGATGTGATGTAATTTACAAAGTGATGTAACAATGGGATGCGGCTCAGTCTCATAGTCCCCTTATCATGAATGGACAAGCAAAAACCCACCCTGTGCCTGTGTTTTACTTTGAGACGATTTTCCAGTAATATTCTTTATTTGCATGGCATTATTTAAATTTTATACTTTCACAAAGTGAAAAGTACAGCAGTAGGAATAGCCAGCACTAAGCACAAGTGATATTGGCCAAAAGTCTCCTTGTCGGCCAGGTGTGGTGGCTCAGGCCTGTAATCCCAGCACTTTGGGAGGCCAAGGCGGGCAGATCACTTGAGCCCAGGAGTTTGAGACCATCCTGGGCAACATGGCAAAACCCTGTCTCTACTAAAAATACAAAATAAACTAGCTAGGTAGGGTGACACATGTCTGTAGTCCCAGCTACTTGGGAGGCTGAGGTGGGAGGATCACTTGAGCCCTGGAGGCTGAGGCTGCAGTGAGCTCTGATTGTGCCACTGCCTACTCCAGCCTGGGTGACAGAGTGAGACCCCGTCTCAAGAAAAAAAAAAAAAAAAGTCTTTTTCTCTCTCTCTTTCTACCTGCTTTTACATATTTTACGTAATGTCTATTTTAATCCAGGCTCTATATCAAAGCACTGGGTATTAAATATTCAAAGATGAATAAAGTAAAGTAGCAATGATAATTCAATATAATAAATTCTATGCTCATGGTATAAACTAGAGGCTATTAGAGCATATCTTAGTTTGGGTACCCCCACCCATCTAAATTGTAGCCTAAGAAAAATATGATGTATGAGTGTTTACTTAGGTGATCATTCCAAGAATCAGAGGTGAGAGTGTGGAGGGTGAGACAGGGGATAAAAAAAGCTGATAAAGGGTGTCAGTGAGCAACTGTGGGCATCAGGGGCACAACCCCACTGGAGTCCCTCTGAAGAACTGGGTAGAACGAGCCTCAGAATCATCTCCCTGGAGGATCCACTGATTCCAGCCCCTTACTAATTGGCGGTTGCCTCTGGGGTGTATTAGCGTCCCCCACCCTTCTATGTTGCTTCTGTAACCAAGCTGAGCAGCTTCCTATGGATTCAGAGAAAGCCCAGAGGCAGCAAAGCAGAGGGAAGCTTCAGAGAGGACTGGAAGTGGGGAGTGGGCAAAGCACATGAGCCCCTTCCCAGGCAGGCCAAGAAGCTGTGGCACACAGCATCACAAGCATTGGCTACAAAGAGTATTAAGGGGCTCCTAATTTTATTTTGGAGAAGGGAGAGGAGGTTCCCCAGAGTAAACAAGCCCGAAGCTAAACCTCAAAGAGGAGTGGGCAAAGGAGAAAAGGCCTTCTAACATACAGAGGAGCTTGAGCAAAAGAGGGAGCACACTTGGAGAAGTGCGAATATTTAGGTAGGGATAATGTGCAAGAATAGAGAGAAAGAGATGAATCCAAAAGAAATTTAGGAAGTTGACTGACAAGACTTGTGTAAGGCAAATGGTGTTTTAATGGGAGAAAAGGGGAGAAAGAAGTTTCTGGTTATGGCAGTAGAGTAGGTGGATACAGAGGGAAGGATAGAAAACTTGTTTATGGGATGAGGAATATGGCAAGTTCAGCTTTGCTCATTAGATGTCTATGGTGCCTATAGAATGTACAGGTGGTAACGTCTTATAATTAGATGTCTGAAACATGAATCCATTCGATACCTGCCTTTATTCGATTTATAAAAGCACTCTGAACCTATTTAAGCACTGGGTGCATCTGGCCATGCATTAACTGTCTGTGAACTGAGGGGAGAGGTGAGGTCTAGAAACACAGATGTATCTAAACCCATTCCAAGGGGTTATCAAGGATGTAGGTGTAAGTGAGATTATGCAGAATATGTACAATGAGGAAAGAAGAGAGTTGATGACAGAGCCTTGATGTTTAAATGGCAAGTAAAGAAAGAGAACTCCAAGATGGATATTGAGAACCTGTGGTTGAAGGAGTAGAAGGAAAATCATGAGAAAGTAATAAAACGAGAACCAAGGGCAGTAAGAATGCCAGGGAGAGAGGACAACAATGCCAGCCACCATACAGAGGTCAAGGAAATTAAAAGTGAAAAGTATCTTTTGGGTTTAGGGATGGAGAATTGGTTGGGGATCACAGCATAGTGAGAGTTGCTGCTGCGATGCCACACCAGGCCGTGGGCTAGGTGCTTTGTGTCCACTCTTTCATGGAATCCTCAAGCCAGCCCTCTGAGTTGTTGCCACTGTTCTATGCAGAGTGCAACACATGAGGGGTGCAAGACACAGAAAGATTATGTCACTAGTTTAGGAAATGGTAGCGCCAGGGTTGACAGCCAGGCCATCCGATTTCTACATCCAACATTACATTATTGTCTTAGTCCATTTGGGCTACTATAATGAAATACCATAAACTGGGTAGCTTATAAACTACAGGAATTTATTTCTCACAATTCTGGAGTTTGGGAAGTCCAACATCAAGGTGTCAGCAGATTTGGTGTCTGATAAGAGCCTGCTCTCTGGTGGCCAGGCGCAGTGGCTTATGCCTGTAATCCCAGCACTTTGGGAGGCCGAGGCGGGCGGATCACAAGGTCAGGAGATCGAGACCATCCTGGCTAACACGGTGAAACCCCCGTCTCTACTAAAAATAAATACAAAAAAATTAGCCGGGCCTGGTGGCAGGCGCCTGTAGTCCCAGCTACTCAGGAGGCTGAGGCAGGAGAATGGCGTGAACTCGGGAGGCGGAGCTTGCAGTGAGCCGAGATCGTCCCACTGCACTCCAGCCTGGGTGACAGAGCAAGACTCCATCTCAAAAAAAAAAAAATAATAATAAGAGCCTGCTCTCTGGTTTATGTATGGCCACTTTCCACTGTGTCCTCACATGGTGGAAGGGGTGAGAGAAGTCACTAGATCTCTTTAATAAGGACACAGAACCATTTTGTGAGGGCTTCACCGTCATGACCTAATAATCTCCCAAAGGCCCCACCTTCAAAAACCCTCACATTAGGGATTACGTTTCAACACATGAATTCTGGGTACAGTGTTGGAGGGGACTTAAACATTCAGTCTATAGCAACTATAATACCTCATAGATACCACACCAGGAAGAAGAATATCTTTTCCATGGAGACAGGAGGGAAGAAGGTAAGGGACATGTGAAGGCAGATATTGGCTGTGTGGGAGTGGAGGAAATTTGTGCAACTCATGCCAGCCTCTATTTTCTCTGTTAAGACTTTGAGTTCCTTTTCTGTTTGTTTGTTTGTGTTTGTTGGTTTGTTTGTTTGTTTGAGACAAGTGTCACTCACTCTGTTGCCCAGGCTGGAGTGCAGTGGTGCAATTTCAGCTCACTGCAACCTCCACCTCCCAAGTTGAAGTGATTCTCCTCCGTCAGCTTCCTGAGTAGCTGAGATTACAGGCATTTGTTACCACGCCCAGCTAATTTTTGTATTTTTAGTAGAGATGGGATGTCACCATGTTGGCCAGGCTGGTCTCGAACTCCCTGCCTCAAGTGATATGCCCACCTCAGCCTCCCAAAGTGCTGGGATTACAGGCATGAGCCACTGTGCCTGGACTTTGAGTTCCTTTTCTGAGGCAAAGTAGGGCAACGTGAAGTTATGATAGGGAAACTGAGGGCAGAGGTGAAATTTCAGAATAATTGCTGGGGGAAGAAGTGGACATCTCTAAATCTGGGGCCTCAAAGCTTGTCTGCTTTTAAGAACTGTCTCTCCTCCCATGCCATCTACCCAGATGCAGTTGGATCACCCATGTTCCAATTTTCTCCTCATACAATATAAACACTTCATTTAAGAGCAACAGATATTCCATGCAGGCCAAGTGGTCGACCTATCTAAGACCAAGTAGCAGGTTCCATGTAGCCTGCAAGCCTCTAGCTCTGACCCCCAATAGGGTGAGCACATCTCCCTCCCAGCTGTGGCCTTTTATGTTCTTGATTATGGAGTAGCTCAGGAAGTCCATGAATTCCACATGCACCTGTGTGTACTGTCCCTGCTAGTCAGTCCTGCCCAGAACCTTGGTATCACTGGCCAGCTTAATGGGCTGTACATGGCTTGTGTTCATGGTAGTAGCACAGCTGTGGTTGGGCAGAGATGCTGTGTTAGAAATTGACTTACCCTTCTGATCATAGATGTTTGGTTCATCAGTGGGCATCTGATCCAAACTTAGCCAGTCCTATTTTCTTGCCTCCCAAGTCAGGGTTTATTCTGCACTAACTAGAGTCCCTCCCCAGGAAATTTGGAAGTAGAAGTGAAAAGAAAATCATCTCTCTTCTTGTGTAAAAATTGTAAATATAAAGATGGAGGATGTTGGTGACTGGAAGGTCTTAGGAGGATCAATATATAAAACCCCTGCTATATTTATTGATGTATACTAATATATTTCACATTAATATGTATTATAATAACACATTAATATGCATCCAAGCTCAGAACCAACTGAGAGATAGATGCAGGACTCAGACCATTGGAGATCAAAATGTCATATTTAATAAATGTCAAACAAGCCTGGAGATGGTAGGAGAGAATATGATATATTGACCTACTTATGTTCCACCCTTGAATTAAAGAGAATTACTCACCCAGTCATAGGCACAGCTGCACTAGTGCTGGCTCTCCCAGTAGGGGTCTGACTCTTTAAAACTCATTGCATGGGCCGGGCGTGGTGGTTCACGTCTGTAATCCCAGCACTTTGGGAGGCCGAGGCAGGTGGATCACCTGAGGTCAGGAGTTCGAGACCAGCCTGGCTAACATGGTGAAACCTCGTCTCTACTAAAAATACAAAAATTAGCCAGGCATGGTGGTGAGTGCCTGTAATCCCAGCTACTCGGGAGGCTTAGGCAGGAGAATCGCTTGAACCCGAGAGTTGAAGGGTGCAGTGAGCCGAGATCGCACCATTGCACTCCAGCCTGGGCAACAAGAGCAAAACCCTGTCTCAAAAAAAAAAAACAAACAAACAAAAAAAAAAAACCCAGAAAAACAAATACTCATTTCGCAAACAGAGAGAAGAAAGGATGCATCTCAGCCACATATATTCTGTCTCTTTCTCCAAACTCACAAATCAGCTAAATCACTCCTTCCCTGGGGAGAGGTTGAGGTGTAGGGCTGCAGAGAAAGCAGAGGATGTGCCTTGACAGAGGTGCCTGCACTTGGAAATAGGGGGAAAAGGGGGAAGAGTCCCCTCTGCCCAACGCTGATACTTTTTTACCATGTGAACCAGAGAAGCAGATGCAACTGCAGAGACAGGGAAACAGAAAAACAGAAAGACAGAGAGATAAACAAAGCAAATGAGAATTGTAGAGACAGTCCTGATAGCATTTGAGTCTCTGGTTCCAGTTCTTCCTCCTGTCTGTGGATTTTTTCCATTTTACTATGTTTCATGAATATTATAACAAAATCATCAGGCTCAGGTCTTGGCCATGTAACATACGGTGATCATATTTTCAGTGCATTTTTCTCCCAGCCATCACCAAATTGGACCATCATCAGAGCCATAGTATTGTATATTGGGGACTGTCATAGCCTGGGTTCCCCTTAAAGCAGAGCCTGAAACAAATACTGTACTTAACTTGAAGTACTTTACTGAGGAGTGTGATTCAGGAAGGAGGAATGACGGGGGAGAGCTAATACAAAGATGCACTCCTGTTTGCTCACTCCCTCTCACAGGACCGCTGGACTGCCTTGTGAAACTCAAGGCTGCCCAACCAGGGGGAAAGTGGAAAAAGCATTTATCTCATCAAGGGTTTGGCCCTGCCTTTGCAGATTGTTGCAGCCCTCAGTGTCGACAGAGAAGCCCGGGCTGGAGAGCCGGAGACGGCCATGTGCAGAGAGGCCAGGCAATGCCTGATTGTGATTGCAGGAAACTGTTGCCCACACAGAACTGGTTGCTGCAGTAGGAGCTGGAATAAGAGACAGGTGAGGCTGGGAGGATTTCAACGGGTGCCCAAGAAACATCACACACAGAGACCTTCATGATGAAATTGGTTCAACTGACTCGTAAAGAAGTAATACACTTGTCTCCTTTAAAAATATAGTACACATTTCTGTTTGGAAAGTTAATCTAAAAAATCCCAACACTTTCCTCACTCAGTTTTTAAACAAGCTCTTTTCAGAGAGGCTAAAATAAAATCATTTGTAGATTATTGTTGTAAATATCTTGGCTTTAGTTGTCTTTGATAATATACGAGGCTTCCTCTCCATTCTCCCCACCACCTCTGCCCTAACGAGTTAAGCAAAGCCTTAAGTCATTCCACATTTACAAAACAGAAGGAGTGTATCTAATAACAAACAAAAAGCCAAAAGGATTAATATAAGATCCCTGCCCTTGACACAATTGATTAATTCTATAAAATGACTAATAATATAACCAGTAGAATGCCATTTAAGACCTTCCCTCAGCCTAATGGGGGCCCAAAAGAAAGCACATAAACGGGATGTCATGGTTGGAATGTGGAGTATTTAGGATTGATCCTAGACATTCCTCCAGCAGCTTTAGCACCACAGCAATTGTGGATTCTTGCTTAAATAATGTTCCCTTTTGCTCCACTAGATGTTATTGGTTTCCTAACGTTGTTCACCTTTGGGTAGACTTCCCTTCCCTTCCCCCTTTGGATCAGCAACAATTTTTAACCAATTCTTGTATTAAATTCTCTCTGTTTGAAATACTTAGAATGGTTTTTGTTTCCTGGAATGGACACTGATAATACATATACACAGGGGTTTGTGTGTGTGTGAGCACGGGTGTATGTGTTTACAGAAGTGTATCTTGTCCAGGTACTGTGTATCCTTTCCTTTTTGCATTGGTGATATCACACTGTTCATATGATCCTGTCTCTCAATTTTTTTCAATTAATAGTACATTTTGGAAATTTTCCATATCAGTTCATATGAGCTAGCTTCCTCATTGATTCTAAGAGATGCAAAGTATTTCCCTGTTTGGATATCCCATCATTTATGTAACCAGGACTCCACAGGTGAGCATTCAATTGTTTCTAAATGTTTTGCTATTACCAACAACGCTGCAGTGAACAGCTTTGCACGTATATGTTTGCATACTTGTTCAAGTAGATTTCTAGAATGACATGGAGTTTCTGGCTTGCTCCAGTTTTAAAAACTGTTTCCAAGAAGAAGCCCCTGGTTTGTGGCCTCCTTCTAGTAAGTGGGTCACAGATTTGACTTTCCATGTGGGAGTCCTTGCCTTTTGTTTATCAGGACTCCAATCCCCCAAAGAACTGAGACTCGGCTTTGCTCTTGTTAGTTTCTTACCAGAGACTAAAATCCTGTATCTGAACCTCCTTCCAAGTACCCTGCTTCCTACCTTGCCATCTCCTAGCAGACTTCCCTGATGTCTGCTTCCATATTGAAATATTTCTGTACCTAAATTCCAATTTCCATGCTTTGCATATTGGATACCTGTTAATAAATACTGAATCTCATTGATACCATCTATATCAACTTCAATTTGTTGCCTGAATTTCTGGATAGCGCTTTATCTGCTGAATTGGATTGCTTCTATCTGTAGATGAAATTCTTGAAAACAGACAGAATTGCATATTATTCTTCTTTGTAGCCTTAGGGGCTCTGTCTTATGATAGGGGCTTGCTCCTTGCCATGATGTACTTGTGCATCTGGGAATTATCAAAGATTAGGGGAGGTAGTCCTTGTGCATGCAGAATATACTTTAATTAGAAAATGGAATTAAGGATTAGGATAGAAAAAGGAAGTAAAGAGGAGTGCAGAGATAGAGTTTCTGCAATTCTCAAGATCAAGTAGATGAAATTCGTGGTGTTTGCATCCTGCTTTCTAGTACTAGAGCCAGAGGAAAGGGAGAGCTCGAATGATTGGAGGATGGAGTATAGGAGGGTCTGAGGTTTGGTATGAAGTTACCAGGAAGGTTATTATAGCCTCTTGGTACTCTGAGATACTGAGGTTGGCTCCTGTTCCCCAAGCCAATAACTCCAGTTACACAGTCACATGCCTCTGGAACAAAACAGGAGACATTCACAAGCATCTCACTGAAACTTCAGAGGAAGAAAATCCTTAAAAGTATCTATTTAGCAAAAAGTGGTAAATGCAAAAAGCAGACCGCCAATGTTGCCAATGTGATATATAGAACATCATTGTTCCTATCATTACATAGTAAACTGCTTGTATTATTTAAAGGAATATAAAAATATCTATGAGGACTTTCATACATTCATTCCCAATTTCAGTCCTCAACATTTTAGTTTTTCCATAAAATCGTAAAGTTGCTAACTGAAAATTCTCCTGCCTGTAGTTTTTCAGGGCTCTCTAATTCCTATAGGCAGAAGGGACTAATAAACACAGGAAGTCTGCCCAGGGAAGGCAGTGGCGTTTTCTGGTGGCAGTAATGCCTGAGATGTGTCTTGAACATCAAGAGTTGAGAGTTTGTCCATCTGACGTCTGATCAGATAAAAGGGAATACTCCAGGCAAGGAAATGTCGAGAACAAAGCTATGTAAGACCAAGAGAGCAACTAAGTTCAGAAACTGCACATAGATAAGTATTGTTGAAGTATAAAATAGAAGGGGCAGTATATTCATTATCTATATTTGTATAACAAATTACCACATATTTAGTGGCTTAAAACATCACAGTTTCTGTGACTCGGGAGCCTGGCACGTTTTAACTGGGTCCTCCACTGAGGGTCTCATAAGGCTTAAAATCAAGATATTGGCATCCTCTCTTGGAGCCTCAGCTAGGGAGAAATCTTGTTTCCAAGTACCATTGGTTGTTGGCAGTTGTAGGACTTGTGGTTGTAGGACTGAGGTCTGGTTTTCTTGTTGGCTTTCAGCAGGGAACTACTCCCAGCTCAGAGAGGTCGCTCTTGGGTCCTTGCCATGTGGCTCCCTCCGGTTCAGCAATGGAGAAGAGTCCTTTCAGTGGATCCCTCTCTCGATTTGAATCTCTTTGACTTCTGCAACCAGCAGGAGAAAACTCTCTGGTTTTAAGAGGCCCGTGTGACTAGGTTAGGCTAACCTGGGTAATCTTCCTTTCTTACTGTCAACTGATGAGCAAACTTAATTCCACCTGCCATCTTAGAATTCTACCTACCACAGGCAGACTTTTGGGTAATGATGCTGAACAAGGAGCAGTTTTGGATGCCTCGTTTTGAATAGATGTTGACACTTAATGGATATCTACAAGAAAGAAAACTATATGTTAAAGGACTAAAAACTACATAAAATGAAGTCTGTTACTTAAGCAAAACTGAAGTGTTTTCCCTCAAGCAAAGGAGACAAATTCAAATTTTGAAAGTGACAAAGAGGATGGATTTGATTTATCTGTGTAGCAGCTGATGGTGAGCAGAAGTCACAAATGGAGCCAGTACAGTGCTATACAGAGAAGAATTTGAATTTTCCACATTCTTTGTGTTTTTTTTTAAATATTAATTCTTGAACCTCACCCAGATCTGTGGATCCAGAATCTCTGGGAGTAGAGCAGGTGGTCTTTAACATAGAGTCAAAACTGCCTCTTGTCTTCATGCCTCCTCCTGTTTATTATGTAGTCAACCTACCACCACCACTGCCATCACCTCCATTACCACTGCTTTGTTATTATGGGTTTCTCTTAAAGGGGACTCAAATCACAACTCAGGCAAACTTTGTAGAGTCCCTTTGAAGTAAGTTGATATAAAATATTATATGGATATAAAAAGATTAAGTGACTAGGGCTGCTTTTTTGTTTACCCACTGAAACAGGAGATTGTAGACTCATGCTACAACAGGAATGAACCTTGAAGACATTATGCTAAGTGAAATAAGCCCATCAAAAAAGGGCAAATATTGTATGATTCTATTCATATGAAGTACCTAGAGTAGTCAAATTCACAGACACAGAAAGCAGAAATGATGGCTGCCAGGGCCTGGAAGAAGGGAGAAGTGGAGTTGTTGTTTAATGGGTGAAGAGTTACAGTTTTGCAAGATGAAAAGTTCTGGAGGTGGATGTTGGTGATGGTTACACAGTAATATGGATGTACTTAATGGCTTTGACACAATACACTTAAACATGGTTAAGATGGTCAATTTTATGTTAAGTGAATCTTACCACAATTAAAACGATTTTTAAAAGGGAGATTGTATCAATGTAAAGGTATGAGAGTTCCCTAGTAAGTTTCTTTCCTTGGAGAGTCCTACTGTGTCCTCATAGAATTAAAGCACTTTCACAGAAAAAAAATTTCTCAACTCAACGATTTTAAGAACTCAGAGCTTCAGTGATAGGCCACATGCTGGAAATGAGCCTAGCTTTTAGAATACAACATATTTTAATAAATGTGTTTAGTTTATTTTATTTGTTTGGTACAGATTATTAACCACTTGACTAGATTGTGATACAGAAAGAAAACACAATCACCAGGACTTGTTTTCAACAGGCAAGTCTTCACAGAGTGATAATAGGTTATCTATAATAGAACCCTTTCATCCCCTAAAATAAATGTCCAAATAAATTAATATTAATATCAGAATGTCAAATTCCACCTACCTCCATGTTCATGTCTAGGCCCTGGGTTTGCCTTGTTCTACATATAGAATGTGGCAAGAGCTGAATGTCAAACATATTCGGAATCCAAATACTGTTGCACCTACAATGCTGTGATTTTTTCACTTCTAGAAGAGCCTCTATTTTATAGTCTATTTGTAAACTGTAGATTAATCTCTTCTTTTTCTAAACCCTTAATGCTCAAATTCTCATATGTAATATTAGTTTTGAAGATTTTTATCTCCAAAGCAACTTTTAAAATTCATGTGAGCATAGTATTTGAGGTTTCATTCTTCCAGAAGCCATCAAATTACACATATAGAGAGATTCCCTTTACTGTGCTTCCCACATTCATCTTTACAACACTCTGAAAGGTTTTTCAGTCAAGAATCTCATTTCATTGGGTTACATGTGCTCTACAATAACCTCTGTGTTTTTTTATATAACAGTAACAAAATAGCACCAGTATTTTTTTTTCAAATCATGAGCAGATCCGAGAAAGACACAAGTAAAATTTTGCACTCTTCCTTTGGGAATCCAGATCTAAAATATCTACTAAAAGTAAATTAAAAGTTTACATAAGATCCAATACGTATATAAATGATGACACTTGTTTGTTTCTGAGGCAGGCATTTAGAGACATATATTTTCTGATAATTATGTAGGCTCATGTCTAATCCTGCTGTAGCTGTAGAAGCTACTGATTATCCACCCTTAAGTCAGAAAGACTGCCGTCTATGAGTGAAGTATGATATCGTGGTTAATTGCAAAATGCTAACAGCACTACCAGAGGCCCAATTTGTCACCGCCCACGGGTCTACCTTGTGGGTTTCCAGGCCACAGTCTGCACTGCTTCTCCAACATTATCGTGAGGCTGGCCATATTTGGCTGTTATCTCTGCTGGGTGTTTGATCACCATGACTCTGCATGTGTTTGTGTGGACATGATAGAAAATTAGTCCAGGCATGAGGCACTTGAGAATGTTCTGTTCACTGACCACAAATTTTAATGAAGCATATAACCTGAACTTGGGTTCTGTTCAATTATTTGGCTCCTCAGAATTGCTTACCTTTGTGGAAGGTTGTTAGCAGTTACAATTCAGTAGTTTCTTTTTTCTTATTTTTTTCCTCCTTGGTACATGTCTAAGATACTGATTTCATTTTGGTTCTTATTGGTAACCATAATATTATAGTCTAGTTATTTCCTGCCTGATTGTGGAATGCTTTTTTTTTTTTAACAAAATTCTTCTCTTTAATATTTTCTATTTGCTACTAAGTTTAACTTTTTAAATAATATTATTTTTCCTTAGATATGTTTCTAAGAAGCCAAACTGTTACTTATTTCAAAAAACTCTGCCATATATTAAACTAAAACATTATTTTTCTTAATCTATGTGAATAAGAAATTACATTATGATCTTATTAAAGGGAAAGTGTTTCTACTAATAAATTTCAAAGGTAAAAGGAACCATTTGGAAGCATGTTAAACTGCTAGCACGACATCATATGTATTATATTATCAACAGTTCATGCTTGACAACTCAACCTGATAAGCTTGGTTGGATAACACAGCTAGTTTAACGTAAGAAATAGAGTAGGTCAGCCACATGCGGTGGCTCGTGCCTGTAATCCCAGCACTTTGGGAGGCCAAGGTGGGTGGATCATGAGGTCAAGAGTTCAAGACCAGCCTCACCAACATGGTGAAACCCCATATCTACTAAAAATACAAAAATTAGCCTGGCATGGTGGTGCGTGCCTGTAGCCCCAGCTACTCGGAAGGCTGAGGCAGAAGAATTGCTTGAACCCGGGAGGCGGAGGTTGCAGTGAGCCAAGATCTGCACTCCAGCCTGGGCAACAGAGCAAGACTCCATCTCAAAAAAAAAAAAAAAAAGAAAGAAAAACAAATAGAGTAGGTCAACCTTTCCCAAAATATATATGCCATAGAACCCCAGTTCTATAAGATATTCACAGGCATTATGCCTCAAAATGTTCTTGTATTCAAAAAATTTTGGAAGCAGTGAGTTAAAGTAAACAAGCTTATTTACAGTATGACTTTTAAGAATCTTTCAAATGCCAGTGTGCACTGTGGAGCTCTAAGAGTCAGATAATAGCATGCAACATCTCCAACGTCTGTGTGTGTGTTTCAGAAAATCTGATAGGACTGGTATTCTTTAAAACACACTTGGAGAAATACTGAAATACCAGAGGAACTCTTGACCTAGAGAATAGTCTGACATGGTATACATTTGTTGATACAATTTCCTAAAATTTTGTAGTGGCTTTCTAGGGGTCATGCTGAAAAACTCTGTAAAAAGTCTTGAGGTCCTAAACTGTCCATTTAATTAGTTAGCTTCATGTCATTATTTATTTATTTATTAGAGACAGGTCTTGCTCTATTGCCCTGGAGTGCAACAGGCTGGAGTGGAGTGGCATGATCATAGCTCACTGCAACCTCAAACTCCTGGCCTCAAGCAATCCTCCCACCTTGGCCTCCCAAAGCACTAGGATTACAGGTATGAGCCACCATGCCTGGCCTTCATGCCATTATTTAGATAAAGACAGGGTCTGACTCCATTGCCCTGGAGTGCAACAGACTGGAGTGGAGTGACATGATCATAGCTCACTACAACCTCAAACTCCTGGCCTCAAGCAATCCTCCCACCTCGGCCTCCCAAAGCACTAGGATTACAGGTATGAGCCACCACGCCTGGCCTTCATGCCATTATTTAGATAAAGGCAGGTGAGACATGAAGATGTGTAGCCCATTTTGGGGTGGGGACACCCTAAAAGTCTATTAGTCAGACTTCATGTTATTTGCAGCTGGGACGCCTTCCTGACTGTATCAACATTCTGTCTTGCTTGGGAAAGGGCCACTGTGGAAATAATACACCTATGTAGCAGGTAGACTGAAATCAGATGTGTCTAAACATTTTTTTGGCAAAACAGTGGGATGAACTTTCCAGAGGCACATTTTCCTAAGCCCTGAAAAGCCTCTTGGAGAAAACTCATCCTGGAGAAAGCGGATGCTAGACGTTATAAGAGTTGGACTCAGTAAGAAAATGTTGGTAGTTGGAGGAGGAGGGAATCTTATGGAAACAACATTGATATCAATATTAAATGTCAAGTCCTAATATTCAAATTTGTTTCCTGACCCAGACAGAACCCACTGGACTTATATTAGGTAATTGGGAAGAGGGGGTCTGTAAAGGAAATATTAAAGGAGATACTTAACTTTGTATAACTCACAGGACTAGATCGGCTTTCCACCTCCTCTAAGAGTGTTACACATAAGAAGCCCCTGCTTTGTAACAGAACAGTATAAACTTTTGGCACCTCAAAAACTCTGTGCATCAGCTGTCTTGGGAGGTGCTGAAGCCCCAGGAAGCTGGTGGATGCCAAGTGTGAGGTGGTGGTACCCAGTGGAGAAAGGTTTGCAAGGGCATAAAAGACATTCTATGAGGACTCACAGAAGTATCTGAAGGAACCTTTGCAGGGGGACTCATAGGTAGGCTGGTTGGGGCAGAAGTTCATTTATCCAAAGGAGTTGGGTAACTGCCATTAACGTAACCCCATTGATACCTACAGGTCTATGGTAATTTATGATACAGAATGTGCAGAAGTGTTAGCCACACACTCAGCTTTTGCCCTTTCATACTAGCGTCCACTGGGCAGGGATCTTCAGGGCCAAGAGCTAAAACACTTAGCTGGACTTGTGACAGAACTTCAGAAGCATCTTCTACTCTCATGTGCATTCTCTATACTTTCTGTCTTGCAGCATAAGGCACAGGCTGTATGTGCCATCTTAGGCGACATCTTTGATTCTAGAATTTCAAGAGGAAATAGAGTAAGGCCAAAGAGAGTGGGATTTAGATGTTTGCTGTTTAGAGCTGGTCACAGGCTTAGGAAGACATACACTGCTTCTGAAGGTATCTGTGTTCTCCAGTCCAGTGCAACAGGATAGGAAAGCAGATAAAGATGCAAGAAGGAAACTCTAGCAAAGTGTGTGTTTGGCTAGAATAACTCTGTGCATTTTATTTCTTGTAAACCATAGTACAGCAATAAGCAATAGACAGGATTTGGATTTACCTAATCTAAATTATTGGGGAAACAATAATATAAACTCAGAATCTAAAGGGAGAAAAACTGCAATTGATTTCTCCCTCCTTCTGATCCCTCCTCCTACCTGCCCCCAGCCCACACACAGAAGCCATTCCTGAGCATTCATCTGCCCAACTCAGGAGTTGAGCCTCTTTAAAAGGAGGGAGGGGGACAGACTTTGTGGGGAAGATCAAGAGCTATAAAGAGAAGCCCAGGGCCTTGAGACTCTTGGTCCTGCATTTGCTAGCTGCCTAAATGTGGGTAAGTCATCCTGTCTTTAATTCTTAGTTCCCTCATTTGTCAAATGCTGCACTATCTACCTCAGAAGGATATTGTGAGGAACAAATAAGATATATGCACAATAGAGCACTTTGTAAACAGTAAAGTGCTGCATGGATGTTTTGCCTGTATTATACGTGCAGAGTATGGTAGCATCTGAACAGAGTATGTAGAAGAGACCAGAATTTAGAGTACTGCTAGGTGATTCTGGCAGGGATCATGATCAGAAAGACCATGGATGAGGCCAGAGAAATGCTCAGGATTGGAAGGATGAGCTGGATATTGAGACTCAGGAAGGCTACACATTGAGTGAAGGGCAGGGATGTCTTAAGCAGGGTGGAATCAATCATATTTTTATCCTGCAAAGAACGTATTGGTTCAAGAAGAGAACAAATATTGTATGATTTCACATATATGAGCTACCTAGACTAGGCAAATTAATTGAGACAGAAAGTGGCATAGAGGTGACCAGGGGCTGGGGTGAAGGGGAAATGGAAAGTTAATGTTTAATGGATACAGAGTTTCTGCCTGGGACAATGAAAACTCTGGAAATGGATAGTGGTGATGATCATGCAACATTGTGAATGCACTTATGACACTGAATTATACACTTAACAATGGTTAAAATGGTAAATTTTATGTTATGCCTTTTTTTTTTTTTTTTTTTTTTTTTTGGCAGAGTCTCACTCTGTCACCCAGGCTGGAGCGCAGTGGCGCAATCTCTGCTCACTGCAACCTCTGCCTCCCGGGTTCAAGCAATTCTCCTGCCTCAGCCTCTCGAGTAACTGGGACTACAGGCACATACCGCCACACCTGGCTAAGTTTTTTGTATTTTAGTAGAGATGGGGTTTCACCGTGTTGCCCAGGCTGATGGCGAACTCCTGAGCTCAGGCAGTCTGCCTGCCTCAGCCTCCCAAAGTGCTGGGATTACAGGCATGAGCCACTTCACCAAGCCCATATTTTAAGACCCCTCAGAAATACTGGTTCAGAACTCAACATTTCAAAATTTCTAACATGTAAAAGCAATAATAGTATGATAGCTATGAGCCAGGGCTGTAGAAATACACAGAATTGGGTCCAGGGTCTTCCATCATCTAGCTATGTGAAGAACCTTATCAAAGCTACATAGGCTGGGTGTGGTGGCTCACACCTGTAATCCCAGCACTTTGGGAAGCTGAGGTGGGTGGATTGCTTGAGCCCAGGAGTTCAAGAGCAGCCTGGGCAACATGGCAAGACCCTGTCTCTACAAAAAAATACAAAAAATAGCTGGGCATGGTGGCATGAACCTGTAGTCCTAGCTACTTGAGAGGCTGAGCTGGAAGGATCGCTTGAGCCAGGGAAGTTGAAGCTACAGTGAGCTGTGATCACACCACTGCACTCCAGCCTGGATGACAGAGTGAGACACTGTATAAAAATAAAAATTAAAATTAAAAAATCTTAAAAAGCTGCATGTTAGTGTCTGTAAAATGGATATACAAACAGATCCTGGCTCCCAAGTAATTTGAGGGTTAACATAATGTAGCAGAATCCCTACAACATAGTAGGTGCTCAATAAAAATTCACTGGTAGCAACAATGGTAGTGAATAGAAGACCCTGTTCATATTTATGTGCTGTGTGTAGGCAGACAGGGCTCACAAGTCTGAGCTTGCCCCAGATGAAAAGGTAGAGTTGAAAATTTGCAATTGCTCCTGACTAAAGTGAGAGCAGAGGGCATAAGCTCCCCAGGATGCTCTTGGAGAAGGGAATAAATAGAGAAGATGGTTGAGGCCTGCAGCTGGGAGTCAAGGATAATAGAGAGTGGTTTGCTCCTAAGTAGGGGATTCAGGTGGCTAAAAGAAGATAAGGAGGACCTCTTTGTCCTGTTGCTTCCAATATTTCACTTTGGGTGCTTTTAAATGTTTTATGGAAATAAAGAGGAGGGAGGAGGAGAGGGATAGAGGGAAGCTTCCCGTCTTAGTCTATTTGCTGACACACACACAGGACCTTCTTATACATCTGATGACGTTTACCAACTCTACTGGGACGGCAGCTCTGACAGGAGGGTGGGCTTCTCTCTATTTGAATGGAGCTCCCCAGAGAGCACACATAGGACACAAAACCCTTTATTCTGCTTCAGGAGGGTAACTGGAGCTGATGAGGAGAAGTTAGATTGGAAAATGGAAATGAATTTAGTTAAGTATTTAAAAAATGTTTCTGCCCAGAAATAAAATGAAATCTGTGTTTTTCAGTCCACTAAATAATAGCTTTCCTTTTTCCTTTAGCAGATTTCTATGTCTAGAATTCACATATGATCACTGATTTTAAAAGACACATTTTACTTGCCAAATAGAAGTGAGAAGAAGCACCCTTCTCCCAATGCTTTCCTCGGAGCTGCAGCCACTATGTCTTCGCCAGTCAATGGGGTGGCTGTGTTGGACCTTTTGATGAATGGCCAACCTATTTTTCCAAAGTAGTTGTACCATTTTGCATTCTACCAGTGATGTAAGAAAGTTCTAATTTCTCCACATTCTAGCCAAGACTTGTTACTGTCTTTTTTTTTTTTTTTTTTTGATGGAGTTTCACTCTTGTTGCCCAGGCTGGAGTACAGTGGCACGATCTCGGCTCACTGCAACCTCCACCTCCCGGGTCAAGCAATTCTCCTGCCTCAGCCTCCTGAGTAGCTGGGATTAGAGGCGCCTGCCACCACACCCAGCTAATTTTTTGTATTTTTAGTAGGGATGGGGTTTCGCCACGTTGGGCAGGCTGATCTCAAACTCCTGACCTCAGGTGATCCTCCCACCTTGTCCTCCCAAAGTGCTGGGATTACAGGCAGGAGCCACCGCGCCCGGCCTGTCATCTTTTTTATTATAGCCATTCTACTAATATAAAGTGGTATCTCAATATGGCTTTGATTTACATTTCCCTAATGACTAATGATGTTGAGTGTCTTTTCATGTTTATTGACCTTAGGTCTTTTTTTTGTTTCGGAGAAATGTCAATTCAAGTTCTTTGTCCATTTTTAAATTGGATTTTTTTTTAACCTTAAGTTGTAAGAACTCTTCCTATATTCTGGATGCAAGTATCTTAGTGGACATGGGATTTACAAATATATTCTCCCATCATGTTGGTTGTCTTTTCACTTTCTTACACGTATATTTTAAAGCAAGAATTGAGTATAACTTTACACATCACATTTAAGAGTATCATCATTCATGAATTAGGTGAGGTGGAGAAAAAGTTGAAAGCCATAAAAAATGGCTGATGAGAGTGTCAGTGTTTAACCTGGAAAGGAGAAAAATAAGGAGATATGTACCTCAATATTTAAATATAAAGCACTGCCATGCAGAACAGAGAAGGCATGATATGAGTGACTCCAAAAGGGAAAACTGGTACCAAATGGAAGTTCTAGAGCAGATTTGGATTCAAATTAAGTGATTTTCTTAATCTTAGAGTTTTTTTTTTTTTTAATGAAAGTGAGCTTTCATAAGAGCTCTCTACAATAGAAGCATTCAAGCAAAAACTAAATGCAAAAACCAAATTATATATCTCAACAATGTGGCTGGAGAGAATCTGCACTCTATAGGAAGTTAAACTAGACAATCTCCTGATTTTCCTTCTGTCTAAATTCTTTTTTTTTTTTTTCTTGAGATGAGGTCTCCCTCTGTTGCCCAGGCTAGAGTGCAGTGGTATGATCTCTTCTCACTACAACCTCCACCTCCCAGGTTCAAGCAATTCTCCTGCTTCAGCCTCCCGAGTAGCTGGGATTACAGGCACCCGCCACCATGCCTGGCTAATTGTTGTATTTTTAGAGACGGGGTTTTACCCTGTTGGCCAGGCTGGTCTCAAACTCCTGACCTCAAATGATCCACCCGCCTCGCCGCCCAAAGAGCTGGGATTACAGGCATGAGCCACTACGCCTGGCCCTTCTGTCTAAATTCTATGCTTCTATTACATTACACATTTTCAAAAAAGATAGCGTTGGTCAATATACAAAGTTTTTTTTCACTTAATCAAGCTGTTAGAATTTTGAATAGTCATGTTAAGTTATATTAAAAAGTAACTATTTCAAGGGAAAAAATTGGTAGAAACCATTCTAGAAATACTGCTCTAAACTAACAAAGTATAAAGGTTTTAGTATCCCAGTAAAAACAATGTTACATAACTAATAATGAAGCATTTCATAGTACAACTGTTCCTATCATGTGTTAATAAATAACTCAAACAAAAATAAACATGAATCTTGCCCATTTAACTTCAATTTTTCTCTTTCAGCTATAGAGGTTAGATCCAAATATCTTCATAGAGCAATATTACTCCATTCTCCTTCTGTGGTTATGGCAGGTAGAAGGAAATTGCTAAATTGTTCACACAGCATAATAGCCAGAGAATACAATTTCTAGAAAACATTGGTTAAACTATTTCCTGGCCCATGGTACAGAGAATAAAAGAAAAATTCCTTCAGACACAGAGCTTAATGTAAAGAGCTTGAAGCACAAAAAAAGGCCAGTAAAATCATTGTTCATTTCCCTTAGAAAATATACAAAGCCTAGAAATAAAGTCCAAGAGAAAATTGAACATGAAAAAGAAATCCAAGGATAATTATTCTTACTACTATAAAGCTGGCTTAGCAATAACCACTCAGTCACTTGCTCAGGGCAGCTGAGAATTTACACCAGATGAAGGAATAATAAGGAATTTTGGCTGGGCATGGCAGCTCATGTGTGTAATCCCAGCACTTTGGGAGGCCGAGGCAGGTGGATCACCTGAGGTCAGGTGTTTGAGACCAGCCTGGCCAACATGTTGAAACCCCATCTCTACTAAAAATAAAAAAAATTAGCCGGGCTTAGTGGCAGGCACCTGTAATCCCAGCTACTTGGGAGGCTGAGGCAGGAGAATTGCTTGAACTTGGGAGGCAGAGGTTGCGGTGAGCCAAGATCGCACCATTGCACTCCAGCCTGGGTGACAGAGTGAGAGTCTGTCTCAAAAAAAAAATAAATAAAATACAAAGTAAGGATTTCTGACTATTTTATTCTTATGGGAAGCATTGACTGGTTGAAACAAAAGCAAAAATTAGTAAGTGTTTTAAATTTATTTTCATTTTTGCATAAGAAATATCTGGGGACAGGAAAAAATAAAAATTAAGGGACTCAATAAGAAAGAAAAGAAGATCCAAAAACAGAGTGTGAGCTACTACAGATCATTTCCATGGCTTAGAAGGAGATTCACCATGTATGTTAAAATGCACAACAAAAATAGAAATAGTAAGATGAAGTCAGAAAGAAAAGTTGTCATAATCATGCAAAGTAATTAAAAATAACAGACAAATGCAGCAGTACTCATTACAAATTGATCAGAGGGGAAAAAAAAATTTTAAAAAAATACTTACATGTAAGAAAATATTTGTTGTAGGAAATATTGATTTGGAGGAGAAAGCCCAGATAGTAGAAGAAGAGTTACATGAATCAGAAAAGAGCGCAGGCCGGGCGCGGTGGCTCACACCTGTAATCCCAGCACTTTGGGAGGCCAAGGTGGGCGGATCCTCTGGGAGTGACCACTCCTAACCTCTCTCCTTGCCTGCCTCCTTTTGGCAGGGTGTGTCATCAGTTGGGTCCTCAGGGAAGCAGACGTAGGAAGTTGAGAGTGCAAAAGATTTACTGGAGAATAAGACCTCTTATTCCCACCTCTTATCCCACCTCCAGTGGGAATAAAAGGGAAGAGCTGGGATTGGCTAGGAGAGCCATCTTACTGAGATGCAGACCTAACAAAGTCTCTTCTGCCCAGCAGGAACTCCAGATCAAAGCTTGTCTTGAGAGGAGCCCACCTTTGGGCAGAAAGGGCTAGACCCTTGGACCACAGTCTTTCTTAGTCATGGGCTAAGGCTACCTAGAGAAGAGAAGGAAGTGCATGACCTTGACTCAAAAGCTGAGGTGGACCTGCAGAACTGAATAGTTGGAGGTTGTCAGCTAACCATATTCCTCGTAGCTGGGCATGAGTCTTCCTTAGCTGGAGTTCTGAATGCTACACATTCCCATGTCTGCCACACAGTTCAATGCCTCTAGGTATTCACTCCAAATCATCAGACATGCCTCAGCATCACTTTGCCCCACCATTTCAGCCAAACTGACCCCCGACCCAAAAGAAGAAAGTCTGAGGCCTGATTTTTGTATCCTCAAGTCTTCCTCCAATACTGACCTCTCCCTCTCCCCACGATGACTCACCATGAGAATGTCCATGCCATTCAGAGGAAACCCTAATGCCACCCACAGAGGGTGCATGGCCTACAGCCCTCATAAAACAATTACACAAAATTCTAATACTGATATATTCCTCAAACATGAGTTGTTCTGTTTTGAGAAGTACCACATGTGGCATATCAACAGCTAATCCAAAGGGCAGTCTGCCAAACTCAGTAAAGATGCTTATCAGTCTCTTCTTTTCAAAGGGGTCATAACCTAGTTGCATCCAGTGATGCCTTATTAGATGTAAATGGGCTTTGAGAGTCCCTTTCTATGTCAATGCAAGAAATTATCCATATAGTGCCAAATATTTATGGGTGTATGAAAACATTCTTGACTGAATTTCTCACTTTTCTTTTAAATAGAACTATCATGTACTTTCAAATAGTGAGTAATCAGCAGGAACAAGCCAAAGTTTAAAGAAGAGAGCATTTAAAGCACTTCCTGATTTTCTTCTTCATAGTGTATATATTTAATATGGTTAGTACTGGGCTCAAAGACAGATTTTTTTCCCGAAAAGTTAATTGTAAGACATTTGTTTGGAACTCAGTCCATATTCCCATTGAAATAATGACACTTTACTTTTCTGGGTGAAGGTAAAGTTCAAGTACCTGGAACTGTAAGAAGTTACCTTTTCTTCTACTATAAAATATACTTAGAGATATAATGCATAGCAACACATTTTTAAGTAAACGGATTATTCACCTCCCTTCACAATACTATTCAACATGGTTACTTAAAATATAAAAAAGACCCAACAATGGAAACAGAAGCTGTCATAAAGGAGGAGGGGACCAAGGGCTTGGAGGATGGATATGAAAAATAAGGCTGAATAAGTTTCCCCACTTCTCATTTTCAATTTTGATTTTTCTGTTTTTCACCATTTCTTAGTTTCCCCAGTCCCTCTCAATTGCCTTACAAGCACACAACCAGGCTGGCGGACATGGTGGAAAGAGCAGTAATGAAAATTTCCCTGCTTTTTTCTCTTCCTCTTTCCTCGTTTCTTCCAGTTCCATCTCTCCTCTCCATTTTTTCCTCTGTTATTTCCCTCTATCCTCTCTCCCTCTTTTCTCTCAAATGCCTTTTCTATTCTTCCCTGAGCCATATGCCCCATCATTCCTTATGTGATATTGTTTTGGTCTTTAAATTCCTCCCTAGTTTCTTAAATTCCCCCCATCCCATGGCCATTGCCTGGATTCAGGCTCTCACAATCTCTCACCTGCAGCCCAAATGTTTCTCTCTGCCTGTACCCTTATGCCTCCCATCCATTCTCCATGCTATAAGTAAGATAAATCTAATCATGTTACTCTCCTAATTGAGGAACCCAATATTTGGGGGGATTAAATTTAAATTCCCTTTATTTGGCTCCTATCTCCTTTCGAGCCTCATCTCTTTGCCAGCCCTCCATCCATTCCATCTGACTGATTCCTTCCTAGATCTTCAGCCTGGGTTGAGGTCTCCTTCAGCGTTCCCTCAGCATATAGCTTTAACTTAGCATTTTTAGTAACTTTCTTCCATTTCTCTAGACTCTGAGCACCTTGAAAGCAGACATTAAATCTTTTTTCTGTAGCACAATTCTGCAGAATTAGGAAGTCCACTCCCTTACCAGTTTTGGGCACAGTGACAAGTAGAGAGAGTCCCTGCTAGAACGAGGCAGGAACTGACCAGGAGTGATGAGGGGTAAGAAACAAGAGCACATGTGAAAGAGATGTGCCGTTCTGGGTAGCAGAGGCTCTGCATTAGCACAAGGGAGAGGGATCCCAAGTCAGGAGGAAAATTCTTAGCCGATGCAAAAAAGGGACACTTTTACAGCAGCATCATTAGAGCTCAGGCAAGAGAAATGAGCTAAGCTGGGCACAACTAAACCAGGAACTTTCTATACGCTTGTTTAATATATCACAACATAAACAAAAACAAATACTAAAAATCAGTGTCATGGTTCTAATGCTTTAGTTTTGTGAGTGCCATTAGAAATGACTGCTAAATATATAATTTGCTCTAAAAAATCTTGGCAATTCAATTTTTGTGAAGGAAACTTCATCTAATACTTGGCTAATTTAAATATATTTTATATATAATATATACATATGTATATATCATATATGTAATGATATACATATACTATGTATATATTATATATATATGATGTACATTCTGAAACAAATCCTGCCGAATAATGGTTAACAAGCAGTATAAATTAAGAATCCCTTTTACATTGGGAGGGCTGCCTTCAATCTACAAAGCCTTTCCTCCCAGCTAACCCAGCTAACCCAGAAGAACAGGGGTAGAGAAGAGGGAGACCATGCTGTTTTGAACATACCATGTTTGAAAGACCTGTAGAAGAACCAGATAGAGCTGCTAATTCAAGAGTTGGAAATACAAGACTAAGAGCAAAGAACTTGAACTTGGAGGTCTTCCTCTTAGAGATGGCAACTAAAGCTGCAAGAGCAAGAGAAATGAAGTGGTAGGAGAGAAAAGACCAAATCTTGTCCTTAAAAATAACGCTTTTGACAAGAGCAACAAAATTAACCTCAGATCCTTGGTAACACGAATGCTTGCCTAAACATTTTTCTTCATTAGGAGTTGAAGGTGACCATGCATACACTATGTCAGGCCACAGGGAGACACTACTTTACCAATCCTGAAGTGGATATTCTTCTTCTTCTTCTTTTTTTTTTCTATCCCACTGGGGGAAAAAACAGTAACAACAAAATCAATCAAGGCCTACGAAAATATGTAACTTAATATAGGCTTTAAAAAGAGAAAGTGTTCCATTTCATGCTTTAGTACAATAAATATTTAATAAATTCAGCAAACAAAAAAAAAGTTTGTTCTTTCTTTTGGTGACAAGGAAAGCAGAAGATAAGGAAGAATGAGGAAGGATATAGAAAGGGGAATAAAATGAGAAAAAAAGCTCCAGAGATAGATAGCCACAAGGAACTCAATATACAAATGGAAAAACAGAGGAAGACAAAAGCAGAGTCCAGGAAGGTAGAAGGATGAAGCCTTGGCAGTTGGCAGTGAGTTGTGAGAAGAGACAGATGAGAAGAAAAATGCAGATGTTTTGAATCACAGTAAAAGGTGGCGCCACTAACCCGGATAAGGAACACTAACCAAGGAGAACAGGGGTAGAGAAGAGGGAGACCATGCTGTTTTGAACATACCATGTTTGAAAGACCTGTAGAAGAACCAGATAGAGCTGCTAATTCAAGAGTTGGAAATACAAGACTAAGAGCAAAGAACTTGAACTTGGAGGTCTTTAGAGATGGCAACTAAAGCTGCAAGAGCTAGAGAAATGAAGTGGGAGGAGAGAAAAGAAAGAAGAAACTAAAAATGAATATCAAAGAATGACTACATTAAACCACTGCAGTAACTTTTTTAGTGAAAGCAATGAGATCAAATGTGCTGCATTATTTTACGATACTTTGGCTTGACATTTTGTGATACATTGATCTAAGTGTCTATTTCTAATTTGATTTATGACTACACTTTGTTTTAATGGTAAAGTACAAAGACATGCAGAATTAAATGGAAGTGCATCATTGGTGGCACTAAATAACAGTACTCAGGTTTCTATCACATACATTGATTATGCAGAAGTTTTTGTTGAAACCCAGATGGTCAATTTCTGCTTTCCCTGATGTCAATGAGAGGTCCTCGCAAATTAATTGGAAGGCATTGTATTTTACAATTTTTAACAAATGGATCAAAATCCACAGAAACTCTTCATTTGGAAGATTTTAAAATTAGTTAGAAAAAAAGTCTTTTTCCCAAGTTCTTTAGTTATGGAGATATGACGGTTTTAGTATGTGTCATGTTTACATTGATTAGGCAACAAAATCACTTAACAATGGGAGCACTGCCAAATCTCTGTTTTTAAAATGTTCTCTTCATAACTCAGTTTCTTTTGAAGAGTAATTAATCAATTGCTCACTCATTAGCTGACTTCTGTTCAGATCTAATTGGATTATTATTGTTTCTCCTCATAATGTGGCTGATCGCAGAGCTCTTACTAGAAAGTCAGTTCTTACCATTTCATATTCCCTTGGCTTGCATTATTGGTATCGTCTTCAATCAGGAGCTGCTTTGCAGAGATATTTAAAAATCATTTGTTTTTGGTTTGAGGATTAGTTTATTTAAAACTAGACATTATAAGTCATAAATCCCTGTAAACTGCAGTATGTGGCATTATGCTACAAGCAAGTGAATGAATGAGATCACAGAGGTCAACAAGGTCATTATGCAATGCTCAGTCTTCCCCCAGGACATCTTGTGTACCTGACATGACACAGATGGGATGGGGGCAACAATGTCATTCTATATATAAATATGAGTCAAGCCTTCCAAGTGGATTTCCAAATGTTAGGAAAATGTCATTTCTTTCTCATGTTAACATTTTTAAAAATATAAATAGGATTTCAATTATATTCTTCCTGTACCCCAGCGGCTTGTCTTCCAGAACCCTGGAGAAGTGAGTCCTCATTTTGGAGACCACGACTTAAAAGCAGTAGTTCTTAAGCTTTAGGGTTTCTAAGAATCTCTTGGAGGTTATTTATTTATGTGTTTATTTATAGCCAGGTTTACTGAGAAATAACTTCTATGTAGTAAAATTTACCTTTTGGGTTATATAGTTCCATGAGATTGGCCATTGTATGTGTAACCACCATCACAATCAATATTTAAAACATTTTCCTCAAGCCCCCCAAATTACCTTGTGATCTTTTGCATTCCATTCCCTCCTCCTAGCTGCAGCCTCTGGCGATGTAATTTCTGTCCCTCTAGTTTTATTTTTTTAATTGAGATAAATTCAAAAAACATAAAATTGACCATTTTAACTGAAATCATTTCAGTGGTTTTTAATATATTCACAATGTTGTGAAGCCATCACCTCTATCCAATTCCAGAAGATTTTCATCATCTGCAAAAGAAACCCTTTACCAACTAAAGCAGTTGAAAACTTTTACTTTAAAAGCTGGCTAAACATGCAAGCTTTGAAAAACTTGTTAAATAAACATGCAGATTCCCAGAGATTCTGGTTCAGTAAGCATGAGATGGGGCTCTAGAATCTGCAACTTTAACAAATTCTCAGGTGTTCCTGATGCAGGTGGTCCCCAAATCACATTTTGAGAAACTCTCTTCTAAAGATAAAGCTATTTTAATAGAGCACAATAAAGTCTAATTTTAGAAAAGACGGACATGTAGTAATTGGAGTGATCCCTTGTAAATATAACCTAGATCTCCTTGAGACCTCACCATCATCTTGTAGCAAAGGATGTCTCATTAACATTAATAACTACACATTTTTCTCTTAACCCTGCTGCCCATTCAGGACCCTATCTCTTTGGCAAAAACTCTTTAGATATTTCTGACCATCTGTGAGGGATGTATGACACCTCTTTGTTCCTGTCTTCTCATTTCAAAGTCACTTGGAGACTCCTCCTAGTGTCACAACTCATAATGCCAATACCAAGAATGAATATCAAGAACATCAAAGTCCATGGAACGGTTGTGACTTCCAACTATCCCTGTCTTGAATTGGATTCCCTGAAAACAGACTTTGAGTTGGAGAACTGTGTGTAGAAGGTTCTTTGGGGAGTGCTCCCAGGAGACAAACCTGTAAGAAAGGAAGGAAAGAAGACAGACTGAGCACAGAGAGAGAGAGGCCAAGGGCCCAAGTAGTCCTGTGGCCAAATCTTGAGGATGGCCTTCCAGCATTGTCCCCTATTGAGGCAAGCTGGCTGGGCCTTTGTATCCTTGCAGGAGCCAGTCATTGCTGCAGGGTGTTCTCCAGAAGAGGGACAGTTCCCTGTGGTGAAGGGCATTTTCCCATGAGGGACACAGCTCTGAGCCATCAGCAGTTGATATTCCCTGCATCTGAGGTATGGGTGTTTAGGACCTGAAGAGGCTACCTGAGCAGAATACTACAGAATCTACCACAGTCAGCTCTGCACCTGTCATATCCACATGCCTTTTCATAGTAAGTTTACTTCATCTGCAGTATTCTGGTTGGTCTTGTTTCCTGTGGAACTTGTTTTTTTTTTTTTCTTTTTGAGGTGGAGTCTTGCTCTGTCACCCAGGCTGGAGTGCAGTGGCATGATCTCGGCTTGCTGCAACCTCCACCTACCGGGTTCAAGCGATTCTCCTGCCTCAGCCTCTCGAGTAGATGGGATTACAGGCCCCCATCACCACGCATGGCTAATTTTTGTATTTTTAGTAGACAGAGGGTTTCACCTTGTTGCCCAGGCTAGTGTTGAACTCCTGACCTCAGGTGATTCACCCGCCTTGGCCTCCCACAGTGATAGGATCACAGGTGTGAGCCACTGTGCCCAGCCTCCTGTGGAACTTATAAGAGAAGGTAACTGGGAAGAACTCAATTTAGCCCGTACTGCTGCAGTTGATTAGAGGCTGTAACTGATACTCAATATCCACCTCTTCCTTTACCCATTTTTTTCGATTCCCTTTAACCTCAGCTAGGACCTATGCTTGTCTAGTACAATGACCCAGAAGCTCTTTCCTGTAGGGTTGGAGCCCTTGGCTACCATGATCCTGCAGCTTCTGTAGTTGTTGATTTACCATTAAAACTGAGCAACTGAGAAACAAGAGATGCTCCCATGGATTATCCCTGCGCCAAACATATTCTACGCGGCCCCCAACGTGTAGCAGAAACTCTGACTCCTCCTGATGATTAGGGTCAATTACTCATCCACCTAAGGGGAGGATTTTGACAGAAACTCTCATAACATTCCTCAAGCCAATGGAACTTTAAGAGACTGTGCATTGCCTTTAAGGTGTTATAATGTGTAATTTATTACAAAAAAAAATTAATGTAAAAAGGAAATAATTTGGTGAGATATTTCTGAGCTGCCCTGTCATGACACCCCAAGCCTTTTCCATCAAAAGCAAAACGCTTCATTGACCTGAATCCTTGTCTAGCTACTCCCTGCCTCTTTTATTCCACAGCCAAAATCCTCAAAACGTAGTCTCTACCTGCATTTTCCAAAGCATCTGAGGAATAATAGTTCCATGGTATAAAAAAGCAATTTTAAGGTAATTGAATTTGCAAATTTTCGTTATAAATAATAGTTAAGATTTGCTAATGGCTTACTGCAAATCAGTATTATCTTATTTATTTTATTCAGGCATTCACTCATTCAACAAATATTTACTGAGTTCTTACTATGCACCAGTCACTGTGGTCAGTCCTGGGAATGTAGTGTAATACAACTACAAGAATGTAGTCCCTACCCTCATGGAGTTCATACTTTAGACTTTAGTGGAAAGACAGACATTAATCAAATAATCACAAAAACAAATGTGAAATTGATGTGGTGCTTAATGCTATAAAGGAGAAATAGATGCTCCTATAAAATAACTGGGAAATTGACTTAGAAAAGTCATGAACAACTTCCCTAAGGAAAAGAATATTGGGCTGGAATTAGAATAATGAATAGGAGACATGTATATGTATGTATATATTTATATTCACATACCAAAAATTTTCCACATTTGATTTTTTAATAAAACAATCCACAGATCAGGAATTTCAGCAAACTCTAAGCAGAACAAATACAAAGAAAAACATACCTACTAACATTATGGCCAAACTTCTGAAAACCAAAGATAAAGAGAACAATCTTAAAAGCAGCTAAAAGAAAAAAGACATTATCTCTCTTACACACACATACACACACAATTATAAGAATAAATGGATTCCAGAATATAGTAGGATGACACCCTTTAAAGGGCTAAAAGAAAAAAAATTCAACTAGAATTCTCCATTCACTGAAAATGTCCTTCAGAAAGGAAGAAGAGATTAAAACATTTCAGCTATATAAGAATTGAGAGTCATTGCCAGCAGACTTGCACTATCAGAAATGCTAAATGAAGTTCTTCATGCTGAAGGAAAATATTGCCAGATGGAAATTCAGATCTATAGGATGGAATGGTACACACTGAGAATGGTAAACATGTGGGTAAATATAAACAAGTATTTTCATTTCTTAAAAATTTTAAGCAAGGGGATGTATGCTGAATTGTGTCTGGTCAATTTGGGACCCCCACTCCTTTTGGAGGCTACATTTTCTGGAATCCTTTTCCCCTTGGTTCTAAGTTAGAGTTGACCAAAAGAAAACCTTGCCTGAGATCTGGAAAGCAGAAATAAAGCAGAAGCCATTACTCTTGAAAGGCTGTGGTCACACATGCTGTAGTAACTAGCAAGTTTCACTTTGTTCTCATTCTCCTGTTCTGTGTCCAGCTAATCTTCCCGACTGCTGGTCCTACTGACAAGTAATGACCCCAAATCCAGCACCAAGTACTTGACTAGAGGCCCACAGAACATTAAAATGACTCTATTCAAGGCTGCAACCAGCTACCATGTTTTCTGATATGTTGTACTATTTTTAGTTTTCATCTTAGCTGACTTCTGTTTGAGGTGTTTGATGGCTCTGTTTTCCTGAAGATGATCTACTTGACTCTCAGCTTTGTTGACACTGTGATCTCCTGGGTTCTGCATCTCTCACTGCTTTCTAGTCTCCTGAGTTCATCTGCCTATCCTAACATGTGCTCTTCAGGATTCTGTCCTAGGTTCTCTGTTCTCACTCCTACACACTGCAGAGTGATCACACACTGAGGAGGTCAGAGTGTCTCCTTCATTAGTTCAACAAAACGAATTTGGAATTTTGCTAGCTGCTGGGGTAGATGGGGAGGGGGTGTGGTCCAGAGATAAAAGACACTGATCCTGCCCTCAGGGTGCCCATAGTCTACTGAGGGAGACAGAACTTCAAGAGAAGATTGTTGATAGTATAGCAGCGAGTGGTGGGAGAAGGCCGGATCATAAGGGGCTTAGATTAGTAAAGAGTTTTGAATTAATCTTGAGAGTAAAGGAAAATCAGTCAAAGATTTTATATAATGAAGTGACATAGTTAGATTTGCATTTTAGAAAGATCTTCCTGGAAATGATGGGGAGGAGATTAGACGGTGACAATATTGGAGAAAGAAAATTATTAGGAAGTTCCTGCAGCAAACCAACAAGTTATGATTTAGGCCTGAAACAGGGCAATGGCAGAAAGAGCTTGAGATGAGGGAAGGGATTAGATGGATAAGCGGTGGCTCACTCTTGTAATTCCAGTGATGCAGGAGAATCTCTTAAACCCAAGAGTTTGAGGGAGCAGTGAGACTGGGTGGCAGAGTGAGACCCTGTCTCTCCCTCTTTAAAAAAAAAAAAAAAAGAGAGAGAGTGAGACAGAGGTCAATTTATTGGGATTTGGTTCTCATTTGGATATGAGAGAAGTAAAGCTATGAGAAAGTTTAAGGAGGACCTGTGGTTTCTAATTTGGTTAACATTAAAAAGACTTACTATGACTGGGGTAGGGACATAAGAGGAGAAACAAATTTTAAAGGAAAAAAGGATGAGTTCAGTTTTGAGTTTAAGTTATCTGTGAATCATTTAGAGTAGGACTATGCGATTTAGGCACTATTGACATTTTGCGCCAGATCATTCTTTGTTGCAAGGGGTTGTCTTGTGCATTGCAGAATGTTTAGCAGCAGCCCTGGCCTCAGCCCAGTACATGCAGGTAGTACCCTACCCCCAGTTATAAAAATATAAAATGTCTCCCTTCAGACATTGCCAGCTGCTCCCTGGGGGACAAAATCACTTCCAGTTGAGAATCAGTGATTTAGATAGAGGTTGCTCCCATGGTTTCAGCTGCCATGCATATGCTAATGATACTCGTATTTGCATCTCAGCCCACACCTTCTCCTGAGCTCTAGACTCGTGTAATAAACAGCTTACCAGACATTTCCAGATTGGCTGGACAGGATGAGGGCCAATTCAGTTCAGGGTGATATTTACATTCCATCTGTACGAATTCTATTCAGAATCCCATTCAAGGTGCCAGTTCTTTAAATCCATAAGTGGCACAAACTGTTGTCAAATTCCTGTATGTATAGAGAAGTTTCTCTTAAAAAAAAAAAGTGAGAAAAAAAAAGATTTTATTTTTATTTTGGGGATTTCTTTTTTCCTGGGAGTAATGGCTCCATAGTAGCTAAATAGGTACATATTTCAGGACCACAGGGAAATCTATGAATTCAGAAATGGACCGTTCAATTACGTGACATTAGTCAGAAATAGGTTGTTCTAAATTTATGGATTTAAATGTGTCAAGGAGAATTAATTCTCTCTGTGGAGGACTAAGCTAATGTTTTTTCCCTTCATTTTACTTCTCCCAATACTAAGATGAACATATGTTTATAATAGAAATTTTTGAAACATAGAAAGGATAAACGAAAATTTATAATTATTTTTGAATCATTCAAATGTACTCTATAGTTTTGTATATTTACTATATAATTGTTACAAATTAGAATCATGTTGGATATATAGTTTTGTTTCCTAGCCTTTTAAATATTATGTTACAAAGATTTTACAACTGCATAAATTATAATTATAATTTAGTTAGCCATTCTTATTGAATAGTTTTCAATATTTCAGTATTATTAATAATACTGCACAAAACATACTCATACCAAATCTTTGATAACATCTCTGTTTATTTCCTCAAGCTAGAGTCCTAGAGGGGTATAAAATGTTTCTAGTTCCCTGACATGTTGTCATATTGCATCCCAGAATAACTGTACCACTTTACACACCCACAGGAATATATAAGAGGATTCTCCTACTCCATTCTTATTTCTGATTTCTTACTCTCTTACTCCATTCTTATCTTCATTATCAAGGGGTTTTTTTGGTTGTTGTTTTTAAAAAAAACATTGCCTATCTGATATGCATAATTTTTTTTCCACCTTAAGTTGAGCAATAAGGTTTGTGCTATTAGGCATTTTTTTTTTCTTTTTTCCTTTTTTTTTCTTGTTTTTGAGACTGAGCCTCACTCTGTCGCCAGGCTGGAGTGCAGTGGCCTGATCTCGGCTCACTGCAACCTCCGCCTCCTGGGTTCAAGTGATTCTCCTGTCTCAGCCTCCCGAGTAGCTGGGATTGCAGGCACGCGCCACCACACCCAGTTAATTTTTGTATTTTAGTAGAGACAGGGTTTCACCATGTTGGCCAGGATGGTCTCTATCTCCTGACCTCATGATCTGCCTGCCTCGGCCTCCCAAAGTGCTGGGATTACAGGAGTGAGCCACCACGCCCGGCAGCTATTACGCATTTTTAAGGGGTGCACCGTGCATTGTTACAGAGGGAAGGAAAACACTCGGGCCGAATTGCTACTCAGGGAAGCCCAGGCCTGGTCACCTTGGGGAAGGCTATGAAGGGGGCTCCCAGCACCCCCTCCCTTATGCCTGGTTGCCTCCCATAACCACCCTGCCTTGGGGGCCCCAGCTCTTTTATGCTTTTTACTCTCAATCTTATTTTGCTCTCATGAAAGGATTGAATAGATATGGGTAAGGCTAAATTCCTTAACCATCGATGCACATTTAAATTATGTTTTGTTTGTTTTACTTACAAATACAATGATATGTTTCTTCTACCATACAGGGTCCTGCAGATCTTTGAGCGTTAAGACAAAACCTTTGTCCTGAAAGACTTCGTGAGCTGGTCCTGAGAGACTGTGGCCAATGCCAGTGTGTTATCTATTTCTGAAATCCGAACTTCAGAATGAACGGAAGGGAGTCAAAAACCCTGCCTCAGCATGTCAGGCAAACCTGTATATGAGAGCTGCGAGTTTGTTTTGTTGATTAGTTGATTGGGGCTGTGGTTGTGGGCATGGTGGCGTAACACATTCTTTGTTCTCGTCTACCTTTGCTCCCTTCCCTTCCTAAGTTACAGAAATAATACATGCTTGTTTGAACGCGCATTTGTTACAAGCATGTGATTTTTTTGTATCTTAAAGTAATACCAAAGGAAATAAAAGTTTTTCCCTTACCCCATCATTATCCCTCCAAGGTAACCATGTTAACAGACTGGTATGTGACCCTCCACACCTTTCTTCACACTTACACAACACATACCAACAAAAGTACATAGCTGGGGCTGGGTGCGGTGGGTCACGCCTATAATCCCAGCACTTTGGGAGGCCAAGATGGGCAGATCACTAGGTCAGGAGATCTAGACCATGCTGGCTAACATGGTGAAACCCCATCTCTACTAAAACTACAAAAAATTTGTATTTTTTGTATTTTGTATTTGTGGTGGCACACACCTGTAGTCTCAGCTACTTGGGAGGCTAAGGAAGGAGAATCACTTTAACCTGGGAGGCGGAGGTTGCAGTGAGCCGAGATCGCTCTGCACTCCAGCCTGGGCGACAGGGCAAGACTCCGTCTCAAAAAAAAAAAAAAAGTATGTAGCTGGAACTGCGCATTCATTTTCCTTTTACTATTATGCCTATTGTGATTGCTATGATTACTATTATGTTCATTACTCTCCAGCTTGTTTTGCTAACTTAACAATACTTCATGTACATCATTTTAAGTCAATGCACACAAACTAACTTATTCCTCCTCCCTTTTAAAAATAGACAACTCTTAATTGAATAAAGTAATAAATGCACATGATACAAAGTCAAACACTACAAGAGAATACAGTGAAAATATTTGTTTGCCTCCCAACCCAGACTCTCAGTACCCTCCCCAAGGGAACTGACTATGTAGAGTAACAAGACATGAAGAAGGAGTTTTTCCTTTCTCCCTGGAAGTGGAAAATAGGACCCAGTGCTAAGGACAGAGAGGCACAATGACTTTGCATTCTAAAGAGTCCTGCCAATATTCGGGACTGGGCACCTTCCCCAGAGTTTAGTAAATCAGGCAGAATTGCCTTCCTACCACTAGCAGGCACCCCATCTAAAACTCCGTAGTGTATAAGGAAAGGTGCTGGGGAGGCGAGAGAGGAAACGTGCCATTACTTTGATTGTAGGTCTCAAGAGGAGAGAAAAGACATTTTTCTCATGCATGCTGTCCCTCTCATCCCCAAAGCCAAGTCAAGGGGGACGGTCCCAAGGGAAGCACAGGGGTTGGGTCTAGCAGTGGCACAGCCATTTCCCCAAGCTCGGCAAGGTGCTGGAGTTCCCTGTTAGTCAGGGGCATGTTGTGTTGCCTGCAGGCAAACTAGAGTCCTGCAGCTGTTCCCCCCGGAGGGCAACCCCAGCAGCAAAGGCTGTGGGATGTGCCACAGGAGGCAGGAGCAGGGCAGCAAAAAGAGGGCCAGCAAGAACTGGGTGGTCCACTCAGGAAACTGCGCAGAGAAGGGTCTCTGACAAACTTGGGCCTACAGCCCTTGTGGAGCTCACATTTGCACAGTGGCCACACAGAGAGTAGTGAGGACTATAATGTAGCTGTTAGGTTGGTGCAAAAGTAATTGCAGTTTTGTCATTACTTTCAATAAATAGCAAAAACCTCAATTACATTTGTACCAATCTAATAGAAATTGTGACAAGTAACTGGGAAGGGAAAGAATCATATTGTGCCCAGATAAATAAGGAGACTTTTGTTCTTTGCCCCAAACATCCTCTCTGTACCCAGCAAGGAGGCTCTGGGGCAAAAGCTCTCAGGTGGAATAGTACCAGGGGCTAGGGTGAAGTTGGGAAATCTGGTGGTGGGGGGTCTCACAATGACAGGGTGCCATTCCTAGCATTTAATGGTCAGGCACCAGGGATAATAGACAACCTTCAGTGCCTAAGTGAACCCTCATTATAAAACTTGACCAACGCAGTTATTCAGTGTTCTTGTGCACAGTCATGTGAGGGAGAAACCTGCACCTATGTTTTAAATAGAAATATATTTTTATTTTATTTATTTTATAATTTCATTTTAATGTCTATCTGTGTATAAATATTAAATATACATACAAAAATTGTTTGCAATGTTCTAATATGCACTGAATTTTATTCTGCAGTGGTTATGGGTTGTGATTTTCCAGCAACCCTCAACTTTTAGCTAGGGAGTATGAAACACATCATGGCATTTCTGCTGTATTTTTGGGATTTCACTGGATTTGTGAAAGGGTCTTAATAAGTCGTGTAGATTTTGAACAGGCAGGTATAGTTGAGTCTCTATTTTGGGTCACAGATCATATTTTCTTCCTGCTCTAACAGTGCATACTAAGGAGAAGGAAAGGGAGTCGTTGTTTGTGAGGAACGTGAAATATGTTGAAGATGATGCCGGGCAGCTAGCTTGGAATCCTTATGATTGCTAGTTGTCTGAGCTACATGTCGTTATCCACATTTTATTGGCATTAAAACAATAAAACTAAGGAAACAAAGGCTTTCACTAACATCAAGCTAACCTTGCTGGATTATACTTCTTTTCTTACTCCTGCTTTTCCACTCACATTTTAAACTTCAAATGTTTTTGTTTTCTTTTTACGTAAAGTCACCACTTTTTCTCAAAATGGCATCCCTTGTCTTTTGTGGTTACCGATATCTCTAAAATCTGGTTTCCTTTGTCACAATCTTACGTTAGCTTTGGATGTCTTTCTCTTTTGATTTTCACGTGTAATTAGCCACTTGATAATTATTCCAAAATGGCTCTTGAATTTAACCTTCTCTTCACAACAATCAAGTCCCTAGTTACTTTACATGTAAATATGGGGAAGTTATTTATGTCCTGTAAGCCTAGGTGTTCCCATTTGTAAAACAGAAATAACTGCTCTGATACTTAGTAATCACTCAACAAAGGGTACCCAGGAGGCCATTATGGAGAACAGAATTTACAACTAGTATGAAACTTTTTTCCCAATCCCCTCCTTTGCAGCCACTGAAGAAGGGGTTCTATTCTGACATCAGCTGGTATAGTGCATTCCAATTCTGGCACTAACAATCTGGAGTTAGTACAGACCCCACCAGTTAAAGGGCATTGGTCCAAAGCAAAACAGCCCTCACTTCAGACTGTTTACAAATCCAGAGGGGGATGGGTCTCACAATAATTCACTAAAATGTCTCACATAACTCAGGAAAGTGCTATATTTACAATAACAGCTTTATTATAAAGGGTACTAGGCAGGAACAGCCAAATGTAGAGACGCATAGGGTGACATCTTGGAGGGTTCCAAATGTAGAGATTCTACACTCTCTGCCACTCTGCATTCTGGTGTGTTGAGGTGTTCATCAACCAGGAAGTTCCACTGAGCTTTGGCATCCAGAGTTTTTTGGGGTTTTGGCCACATGAGTGAGATCCATTTCCAATCCCCCTCCACTTCCTGACGGTCAGGAGGCTGGGCTGCTATCATATGGTTCAAAGCCTCAACTCTTTAATCACATAGTTGATCTTTCTGGAATGATCAGCATCCATCCTGAAGCTATCTAGGTTCCACCATGAATCACCTCATTAGCACAAACTGAAGAGTGTTCGCAAAGGCTCATGAATAATAAAGAGACTCCTATTTGTGCCAGGAACCCAGGACAAAGACCAGACAAATTATTGATTATATGACAGGCTTCAAACAGAGTTTGAAAACCACTGACCAATAGGGCAAACTCAAACTTCTAAATATAAAACAGACTAAATAGGTCCCAAGTTCCATAGGAAACTGTCTTATTTACTATGGTTTCCCAGTGAATAGTGCAGTACAGGGCATATAGCAGGCACTCAATAATATCGTATGGAACAATTTCCTTAAATTCAATCATATGTTGTCTAGGACCCTTTTCCTAGTTACTGTGAGCACCAATACATGTTTTCCCTTCCCTATATCTAATCTAGGCTCCTGGAGGCCTCTGTATATTCTGACTAAAGATTTGGTAAATGCTCGTAAACAAAGTAATCCTTCTTTATGAATAATCACAATGCATGATGCCCAAAGAATGATTTACTTAACATGTTTCAGTAGTTTGAAAGAAAACAGATATCACACACAATTTGGTCATAACACAAATAGTTCACAATGACGAATTTAGAAAATCATTTACCATTAAATTTTAGGGTCCCTTGTGTAATAGAGAAAAGGCTATAAAGGTTGAGTGTGTGTAGAATCAGTAGTTTAGAAAAAGAGTTAAGGGTCATCTGTGTTCTCAGAGGTAGATTTACATTTTAATACTAGATACATTTGCTAACATTTCTATTTCTCCAGTGATGGTCACTGTGTTTGGCATGAAGTCATATTAGATAATGAGGAACTACACTCTTTGTTTTCCTCCCTCTTGCTTCCCACTCTCAACTAAAAATATAAATGACTTTATTATAACCATTTGGTTCTAAGAAAAAGATCTCTTTGTAGCATACTGCCCACAACCATGACTATTTCCTCTTTGCCACCTATTTTGGCCTGTTTTCCCCAGGCCTACCACTTCCTATTTCTTCTCTAATCTCTATTTACCATATTGTGTTTTGAAAATTACCACTAATTAGTACTAACTAGTTACCTACTGTATCAAGCATCATCCCTAACACCTGGATCTATAGTCATAAAGTAAGTGACAAGCCTAGTACATGACAAAAATGGACAGAAAGTGACAGAAAATGACTAACATTTAAGTGCAAGAGAAACTAATAACCACCTCACATGCATTAGGAAAGTCTGCGATTAAAAAAAAAAACAGAAAATAACAAATGTTGGTGAGGATGTGGAGAAATTAGAACCCTCACACGCTGATGGTAGGAAAGTAAAATGGTGCAGCTGCTATGAAAAACAGTATGGTGTGTTCCTAAAACAATTAAACATAGTATTACCATATGATACAGCAATTCTACTTCTGGGTATGTACCCAAAAGAATTAAAAGCAGAAACTAAAAGAGATACTTGTACACCCATGTTCATAGCAGCATTATTCACAATAGCCAAAATGTTTGTAACCCAAGTGTCCATCAACATATGAATGGATAAACAAATTGCAGTATACACATAAATGAAATATTATTCAGCCTTAAAAAGGAAGGAAATTCTGACATGTGCTACAACATGGAAGAATCTTGAGGACACTATGTTAAGTGAAATAAGCCAGTCACAAAAGGACAAATACTGTATGATTTAATTTATATGATGTTATGGTCAATTTTATGTGTCAAGTTGACTGGGCTACGGGGCACCCAGATATTTGGTCAAATGTTATTCTAGGTATGCCTGTGCGGATGTTTTTGGATGCGATTAACATGTGAATCCGTAGACTGAGTAAAGCAGATGGCCCTTCCTAATGTGGGTGGGCCTCATCCACTCAGCTGAAGGCCTGAATAGAACAGAAAGGCTGACTCTCCCTCCAGTAAGAGGAAGCTTCTCCTGCCTGGCTGCTTCAGCTGGGGCAGCACATTATTCCTGCCTTCAGATTTGAAGGGGTCTGGAACCTGCTGGCTTTCAGACTGGAACTTATACCATTGGCTTTCTTGGGTCTCCAGTTTGTCAAGTGCAGATCTCAGAACTTGTCAGTCTCCATAACTGTGTGAGCCAATACTTTCTAAGTCTCTCTCTCTCTCTGAAATCACATTCTGTTGATTCTGTTTCTCTGGAGAGCCCTGACTCTGGAGAAACCCTGTTTCTCTGGAGAGCCCTAATATATTTGAGTAATCAGAGTAATCAAATTTGTAGAGACAAAGTGTAGAATGGTGGTGGGCAGGGGCTGGGAGTGGGGTGAATGAGGAATTATTATTTAATAGGCACAGAGTTTCTGTTTTGCAAGATGAAAAGAGTTCTCTGGTTGGAGGGTAGTGATGGTAGCACAACAATGTGTCAGCACTTAATGCCACTAAACTGTACATTTGAAAATGGTTAAGGTAGTAATTTTTATATTGTATATATTGTACCATAATTTTTTAAAAATATAAAAACAATTATCTTATATATTAAACATACCAAAGTTAGCTGTGATGACAATAACCAAATGTAACAGCATAACTGTCTTTGTATTATCCATCAACCTCATTATCTATGATTTGTGTTACGAAAGATGGTATTGGTGGGAGTAATGGCGGTCATCACCCCCCTTTGCTATTTCTCAAGATTTTTTAAGAATGTACAAAAAAAGAAATTCATTTAAGAAATACTTAATGAGTACTTACTCTGCCAGGCAGTGTGTGAGGCACTTTGGATATAGTGCTCAGCCAGACCATCCTTCTGAAGCTTAGGCTCCACTGAATGGGAGAGACAATAAAAGATAAACCTGAAGTACTTATAGATTGTGACAAGCGAAATGCTGAGGCATGACACTGAGAAAGAACCAGTTATGGAAGTATTAGGAAAAGCCATTTCAAGCAGAGGGAACAGCAAGGATAATAGTACAATAATCCCTGAACTACTTAAGAAAGTGATACTTACATGAAGTTGTGGACTTTGAAGGGTGCCGAGTGAAGGGAATTTCCTCAAGCTTACAGAGTAATAAAATAGGAGACGCCATGTTTCCATCTATAAAATAAGAGGCTAATATTCTACGATAACCAGATCCTTTTTAACAATTATTTTGAGGATAAATACATGGATCAAGGAAAGTAATTCCTAAAATAAATAGACTGCTTATTGAAAACTTGAACATGAGTTTTTATCAATTAACTATATATACTATGGCTTGACAATTTTAATGGAATCTTATAGATCATTCTTTTTTAACAAAGGAATTTCTAGGCCAGGTGTGGTGGCTCACTCCTGTAATCCCAGCACTTTGGGAGGCCAAGGCAGGCAGATCACCTGAGGTCAGGAGTTTGAGATCAGCCTGGCCAACATAGTGAAGCCCCGTCTCTACTAAGAATACAAAAACTAGCTGGGTGTGGTAGCAGACACCTGTAGTCCCAGCTACTCGGGAGGCTGAGGCAGGAGAATTGCTTGAACCTGGGAGGCAGAGGTTGTAGTGAGCCAAGATTGTGCCACTGCATTCCAGCCTGGGTGACAGAGTAAGACTCCATCTAAAAATAATAATAATAATAAATAAATAAATAAAATAAAATAAAATAATTTCTAAAAAGCCTCTAAATTATCTTCTTGAAAACTCATATGTGGTGAGATAGATCTGTTGTGTCCTCAGACCAAACTCAGTATTAGAACAATTGACATAACAGGCATTATATCAGAATTAAAAGGTGGCTCTGGGAAAATGGGTCCCAGAATGGTGGAGAGCATGAACTAGAGACACTCAGGCCAACTCTGTTCTCCTTTGTTGGCCTTTGCTGATGCAGGAGTGAAGCCAAAGATCCAAAGAGCCTGATATTGTAAATATTTCTTCCTAAATAATAACACAGGCCTTGAAAATTATGTAATTCAAATTATAATGCTATAAGAACTGAGCTTTCCTTGCTAGGTAAGACAGTGCCTTGAGTGGACAGTAGTGCTGGAAGCATGTGTTCCCATTAAGGACTTGGTGAGGAGGCAAGGGAAATATACATATGTGGCCACCTTGCTTCCACCAATATTTTTTCTTGTTTGTTAATAAGTTGGGAACTTGATGTAACTTACAGCTATAATCTACAGCCCACCTTACTTTTACATATATGGAGAGGCATTATGAAGTGATCAATACCAAGGATACCCATATCTCCCAGTAAAGCAACTCCTACCAAGGTTTCAGGGGTAAGAGATGGCATCAGCCAGAATTCTTGGAATTATGAGCAACAGAAAGCTATGACAAACTTACTTGTATACATTAAGTCAGGATTTATTTACTCATGATGTCCAAAGCAATGTTTCAGATTGGGGTGATTCACAGTTCAAAGTATATCACCAGGACATTTTGTTTCCCTTGGTTGCAATCATTTGTTTCACCTTTCTCTTGTCTCAGTCAAGCTCTTCTCGAATTAAAGCCAAGATGGCCCTGACAGTTCTGGAGTTATGTGAGGCTATAAGCATCCATAATCTTAGAAAGAGTCCCTGCACCTATATCCATCTCTGACAAAGCTCTCTGATTGGTGCCGGGTCAAGCACTATGAGGCCAAATCACATGCCGAACCTGTGTGCCTGGTGAGGTGGAGTTAGGTGATGGACAGCCTCACTTGGTATGCAAGATGCAGGTGTAACTTGCATCAGAGAAGCAGAAGGAGTGGTCTGGCAGGCAGATATGACAGAATATCTAGTAAAGAGCGAAACATAGACATTGCTCCTTTGGAGGTAAAGGGATGGAATACCAATGTACCCTTTTATACACTTCTTCATATGTAATGAAAAATACTTATCATAGTAATCAAGGCTTCTAGACACGCCTCAAACACTGAATTTACATTTAATGCCCATTCAAAATATTTTAAATTATGGAGTTGCCTAACTTCTAAAGATTGGTTACTCGAATTGTTAACATTTCCTGAATACCTACTGTGTGCCAGGTGTTTTGCTAGACACTTTACATCTGTTATTGAAGCCTCACAACACTCTATTAAGTACTATCATATCTTTTTTTTTTTTTTTTTTTTTTGAGACAGGGTCTTGGCTCTGTTGCCAGGCTGGAGTGTGGTGGAGCGATCTTGGCTCACTGCAACCTCGACTCCTTGGTTCAAGTGATTATCCTGCCTCAGCCTCCTGAGTAGCTGGGATTACAGGCACGTGCCATCACGCCCAGCTAATTTTTGTATTTTTGGTAAAGACGGGGTTTCACCATGTTGGCCAGGATGGTCTCGATCTCCTGACCTCATGACCACCCGCCTCAGCCTCCCAAAGTGCTGAATTACAGGCGTGAGCCACCAAGTCCAGCCATATCTGTTTTACAGATGAAAATATTGAGGTGCAGAAAAGATAGCAATTTGGCTAATGTCATACAACTAGAAGTGATGAAGTATGATTGAAGCCCAGATTTGCCTGGTTCAAAAGCCCATAGTCTTCTTCGTATTTCTTCCTTACTTAAATCTATTTGCTCACATGGATTTGAGCTGCCTAAGTGTGGTGGAGGGAAAAAGTAATGTAAGTTGGCAACCTACTAGAAAGTGTCAATATTCTTAGTATGCAGAAAGCTCTTAAAATTAGTTAGAAAAATATTTTAAAAATACACAAAGGAGAATTAGATAAATAATAACTAAAAACACAAATTACTTATGAAAAAATGTTTATCCTTACTGGTAATCAAAGGGATAAAAATAAAAATACCCATCTATCTGGTCAGCCCTTTCTCTCTCTCCAAACCAGTCCCCCTAGCCCCTGTCTCCCACCTGTCTTCTCCAGCTCTGCAGCAGGCATACATCAAATGAAAGAGGCTGGGAATGGTGGCTCATGCCTGTAATCCCAGTAGTTTGGGAGGCAGAGGCAGGGAGATCACTTGAGCCCAGGAGTTTAAGACCAGCCTGGGAAACATAGTGAAACCTTGTCACTACAAAAAAACAAATTAGCTAGGCATGGTGGTACATGCCTGTAGTCCCAGCTACTAGGGAGGCTGAGGTGGGAGAATTGCTTGAGCCCAGGAGGTAGTGGCTGCAATGAGCTGTAATCATGCCACTGCACTCCAGCCTGGGTGACAGAGCCAGATCCTGTCTCAAAAAAATGGAAAAAAGAGCAATAAGAGGTCAGTCTTGGAGTACCAAAGAACCAGTGACTTTTGTGTTTTTTTTGTTTTTTTGTTTGTTTTTTGTTTTGAAACAGAGTTTTACTCTTGTTGCCCAAGTTGGAGTGCAATGGCACGATCTCAGGTCACTGCAATCTCTGCCTCCTGAGTTCAAGCGATTCTCCTGCCTCAGCCTCCCGAGTAGCTGGGATTACAGGTGCACATCACCGCACCCAGCTAATTTTTTGTATTTTTAGTAGAAATGGGGTTTCTCCATGTTAGCTAGGCTGGTCTCGAACTCCTGACCTCAGGTGATCCGCCCGCCTCGGCCTCCCAAAGTGTTGGGATTACAGGCGTGAGCCACTGCACCTGGCTGTGATTTTCCTTTTTCCCTCCCTCTCTATAAAGAACAGTTGTACAGCTTCATGACTGAAATGTGTGGCACATGGGTGATCTCCTATAGGTATTACTAAAGATGAATATTCTTGGGCCCTTTCAGACCTATTGACTCAGAATCTCTGGGTGCAGGGAGGAACGAAACCCTATAATCTGCATTTTAATAAGTTCTCCAGGTAATTAGGATGCACACAAAAGTCTGGGAACCAGTGGTATGAACCTTTGATTTCTTAGCTGGGGTAGACAGTAGGGAGGAGTGGAGCACCCACCTTTTTTCAGTCAGACATAGCATGGAAGGATTATTAGTTGCATTTTTCATCAAGTTACATTAATGTGGTATGTAAAAAATATTCCTCCCAAACTCTGGAAAGAGCTTGACAGTCAATACTAGCTTTTGGTAGTGTGATTTTCTTTTTTCTTTTTTTTTTTTTTTTTGAGACAGAGTCTCACTCTGTTGCCCGGGCTGGAATGCACTGGTGCGATCTCAGCTCACTGCAACCTCTGCTTCCCGGGTTCAAGCGATTCTCCTGCCCCTGCCTCCCGAGTAGCTGGGATTACAGGCACCCACCATCACGCCTGGCTAATTTTTGTATTTTTAGTAGAGATGGGGTATTGCCATGTTGGCCAGGCTGGTCTCAACTCCTGACCTCAGGTGATCCACCCATCTCAGCCTCCCAAAGTGCTGGGATTATAGGTTTGAGCCACTGTGCCCGGCTGGTAGCTTGTTTTTTAATAAGCATGTGATCAGATATTTTAGTGAGAGTTTGAGAGACTTTACACAGATTGTGATGAACATCTTTTAAAACAAAACACCTTTGGTTCTTCTTTAAAAACATTGTGAAGGTCCATTCTTTCCCATTCAGTCTCATTGCCATCAGCACTGTTCATCATTTCAAGTAGAGACTATTTTTACTGCCACGTAGCTAGCACTTGATGCTTCCTGTCTTCCTAATTCAATTCATAGTATGTCACCACCTAAAACACGATCAAAAAGTCCAGTAGCTGCCCAGTTTGCTCATCGGATGAAGTCCAACTTCATCCAGCTACTCAAGATTCTTCACTCTGTAACCTTCTCCTCCTGCTCTGCCAACACCTTCTACTACTTTCGAAAGATTAACCTCCTCATCTGGCTGGTCTCATGGCCCCTGTAACTGAACTCTGTCAGGACTCCAAGCCTCTACTTAGGCTCTATACCCCGCTTCTCTGTGTATCCAGTCCTAAATGGCATTCAAAGTTAAGCTCAGGTGCTGCCTTTTCTCAGGCTCAAAGTTTTCCTCCCCATTGTAGCTTTGTCACTCTAAAAAACCTTCACCATTTTTCCATTTCCTGGAGGTTAATGTGCAAACTCCTTCTCTTGGCATACAACATGGCCCCAGATTCTCTTTCTGGTCTTATTCTTACAAACTGTTGTATATACTTGACCTCTAGACACACTGAATCACTCTCTGGTTCTCAATCATGCCCTGCACTTTCAGCTGTTTCTTTCTCTCTCTCTCTGTACATGATCTGTCTGCCAGATTTGACTTGTCTCAGCCTGACAAACTCTTGTATAATATATCCTACATGAATCATTTCAAACACTACCTTCTCTGTGAAGACTCCAGGTGCAGCAATCCACTCCACAGTATGTTGAACCTAAATCTCTTGACACGTGTCTCACTGTATTGCAATTCTTTATTTGCATATTTATCATCAATACCTAATGTGAGCCCATTGATTCACAGTATCTAGCAGGGTACTGTTTATACAGCAGTTACTCAATAAATGTTGTCGTTGGGAGGCTGAGGCAGGAGGATCACTTGAGGCCAGGAGCTTGAGACCAGCCTGGGCAACATAACAAGACTCCACTGCTACGAAAACAAAAACACAAAAATTAGCCAGGCACAGTGGTGCACGCCTGTAGTCTCAGCTACTAGGGAGGCTGAAGCAGGAGGATCACTCGAGCCCAGGAGTTCGAGGTTGCAATGAGCTATAATACTGCCGCTGCACCCCAGCCTGGGCAACAGAGTGAGACTTTGTCTCTAAAAAAAATAAAACTAGGCAAAAAATGTTGTTGAATGCTCTAACTTGTGTTGATCTCTCCATTGTCTTAACTCCAAGAGCTCTTAGTGCTTATATCAACCACTTTGCAAAATTGCCTTAGGTTGTTCTCCCATTCTTTCAGGTGTCTACTGAGTTCCAGCGAGATTAAATGGAGATATCTTGACCAAGGTATTCAATTCTTCTAGCCTCAGTTTCTTCATCTGTAAAACGGAGGATAATAATAGTACCTCAAAGCATTTTTATGTGAAATGGGATAATTCATTAAAATCTTGATACATACAATGTGCTCAAAGTAGGAAAAGCATTTTATAAGCTTACATCCTAAATTTATGTCTTAGGGTTGCTATGAGGATTAAATGAGAAGATACACATGAAACGAAGTCATAATATATTGTGTAACTACTTATTACCTTTATTTTCACTGTCTCCTCATCTAGGTTAGAAGCCTGGTTCAGCCTTCATTCCTCAAGTTCTTCCGCTGGATGCCCAAAGCCTTCCTTACCTAGCCTTGTTTGACTTTTACAGTCTCCACTCTAACACTCTCTTCTCAGCACTCATCACAGGGTCAGGCGCAGGGTAGGTGCTATGTATTTAGACAGTGGCAGCTCTAGAATTAGCAAGGTCTTTAGCTGAAAGTGAGGTCTTCTGCCTTCTTTTTGATGTTTGCTTGTATAACTTGTCTCAAATATTTTGCCTTAGTCAATTCACTGTGACATTTTGGGGATGCAGTCTAATTACATTAGGCTTAGTTTGCTTTGTGGTAGGACCATTTCCGATGTTGGAATGTACAAGAGGGAGGCAGCCTTAGCCAGTGTCCTACTTTTTCCTTTACTAAAGACATAAATCATCTTTATATAACTTTTGTATTACAGCATGACTAGAAAAGTGCTTGATCTGGATCCTTTCTGATATTTAAGCAATTTCCATCTATCACTAAGATGTGAATTTTTTCCTTAGAATTTAGGAAGCGGTAATAAAACACAGAAACAAACAACCACCACCAAAAGGACAAAGGGTAAAGCTTTCACGTACGGTTTGGAAACACTAGTGTGGTTACAATGAATCAAGACAGTTGTGAAAGTTCCCATCATCTTGTGCATGTTTTCTCCATTTCCGAAATCTGAAGCCGAATACAGGGAAAGCTCCCTATACTTACTGGGCCTTTAACTAAGAAACGAAGACTTGGGGCAAGCATCTGAAGAGTCACACCGACAAATGCTCCTAAAACCCTTGGCATTTACTGAACTCCTGAGATTCTGTGGGATCGCAGGGAAACGGCGGGTGAAGGCCTGGTGCATCCAGGTGAACAGACAGTCTCACGGACTGCGAGGCGCTTGCCAGAGCCCAGCGCCGCAGCTCGGAGCACCCCCGCGGTGCGGGCAGTCCCGGGACGGTGCCGGCTCTTTGGGCTGGAGCTCCGCAGGCTCTTTCCGCCCGTCTGGGCCATGCAGGGCCGGGTAGGGCCGGGCTGAGTCTACTGAGCCGGCCGCGCCGCGGGGGAAGGAGTTTCCGGCGGACTCGGCTAGGTGCCGCTTCCTGTCCCCTTCTCCGCGCTGCCTCACGGTGCCTGCACGGGACGCCGCTCGATCCCCGAGCCCCCTCGCCGTCCCCGACAGCCCCCCCGGCGCCATGCAATCCCGGCTTCTACTCCTCGGGGCACCCGGAGGCCACGGCGGCCCGGCCTCGCGGCGCATGCGGCTGCTCCTGCGGCAGGTGGTGCAGCGCAGGCCGGGTGGCGACAGGCAGCGGCCGGAGGTCAGACTGTTGCACGCCGGCTCGGGGGCCGACACAGGTAACTCGGGGTGCGCCCCTGTCCTCCCTGGTGCCCCTGCGCTCCGTGCCGGGTCCCCGCGCGCCCCCGCCCCTCCTCTCTGTTGCTTCGCTGCGCTTGGAAGGACCGTTTGCCGAGCGGGGAGCTGAAAGATTGAGGTTCTAGTCCCGACCTCGGCGCTAACTGCTGTGTAACGTGGGGGCAAGGCGCTCGCCCTCTCTGTGCCTGATTCTGCAACCCGAGGGGTCTGGACTAAGGTTTCTGATGACCTAGAAGAGTGATTTCTCCTTCCCCTGCCGCTGCCTTTACCCCCAGAATTCTGACTTAGGTTATAATACTCGTAGAGGTTAATGCCTCAGCCCTATGGAATTATTGAAAGCTGGATTTGACCTTGCTCTCTGAGCCTCAAGGGCCTGGAAGCCGGTCTGTGTCATGTTCTAGCCAGGGCTTGTGGCGGCTTAGAAGGGAACATTCTTGCCAAAGAACCCATAGTTCACGGTGTTTTAAATGCATCCCCGAGCCTTTCCAAGTTTTACAGGAGTTTTCCTTAAAGTTTCACGTAATTCTTAGAGCTGACAGTTACACCTTAATTTAGTTAAAACACTTGCCTCTACAAATGAGGTAATTGAAACCCAGAAGGGAAAAGTGATTCGCTGGAGAACACACAACTAATTACTATGCTAGAATCACATGCTTTGATTTCTAAGCTCAGTATTTTTTGGCTCTACTTGAGCTGGTTTTAGGAATTCTTTTTCTTGTGTGTTGGTGGAGTTAGAGTTACTGTGATGGTTAAGGAAAGGATATCTGTTGTTGCTACCCTTGAATGGTGAAGTGATTCCAGACAAGATTTTGTCAATGTCAGTGCTGCTTGGAATAACAGGTTTTCACTATGAAATTGTAGGTTTCGTTGTCCTCTTGCATTTTCCCCGCAACCCCCAGTTTTCCTTGCTAAGAAATGAGCATATGGGCCGGGCGCGGTGGCTCACGCCTGTAATCCCAGCACTTTGGGAGGCTGAGGCGGGCGGATCACGGGGTCAGGAGATCGAGACCATCCTGGCTAACACGGTGAAACCCCCGTGTCTACTAAAAAGAAAATACAGAAAAATTAGCCGGGCGTGGTGGCGGGCGCCAGTAATCCCAGCTACTCCGGAGGCTGAGGCAGAAGAATGGCGTGAACCCGGGAGGCGGAGCTTGGAGTGACCGGAGCCACTGCACTCCGGCCTGGGCGACAGAGCAAGACTCCATCTCAAAAAAAAAAAAAAAAAAAGCATATTTAGGTCCCACGTATTTCGTTTTATTCATTGAAGACATACACCACCCCCGTCCCCCACCATAGTGTTGCAATTTCAAATTTTACTTTTTGTTTTTTTTTTTTTTTTTGCTTTTTCTCAATTACTCTCACTTCTGGGCTGTTTATTCATTTGTTTTTTACATTTTTTGTGTGTTCTTTATTTGTTTTTTGCTCCTTTGCCCTAGAAGGCAGAGGTCAAAGGTGGAAGTATAGCATAAACTATAGGTTGGGTTTTGGAGTTAAACAATTTGGGTTGGAATCCACTTATCCACTATCTAACCATGGGTCGTTGAGGGTAGGTTACTTAACTTTGTGTCCTAGTTTTCTTAACTGTAAAAGGATAAGAAGAATATATCTATTATGGTTGTTGTGAGGATTTATTAATTAATATAATCTGTGGCACATATTAATGCTCAATAAAAGTTAGCTTTTTTATTCTTAGTATGTACAGTTTTAGCTATTTGAGAATTATTCTGTTTCCTTGCCTTTAGAAGACATGAAACCAAGTTTGTTTAGATTCAGGACTGTTCAGACTATCTGGGTAGGCAGATTTAGCCGAGTGAATTGACTTGAACTTTTTAAAAAACAATTGTTCTTTGTACATGGATAATACATGTTGATTGTAAAAACACATGTGGGTGTGAGTTTTTAAAGTCTGTATTATATACGTATTGGTAGATAAGTTGTAAATGTCCTCAAATTTTGTTATAGCCAGTAAATCAAAGTATAGGCTTTGCTTCAAATGTGAGAGTCATGGACATATTACAGAGAACATACTATCTTCTTTAAATCAGTCATTTACTCTGGCAGGATCAGACCAAAAAGAGGTATTTTTTGAGGGTGTGAGAACTGTAACTGAATGCAGCTGGGAACCCACCAGAGATCTGGACTTGAGTAAGAGCAGTTGTGAGCCAGGTAAATGGACAGCACACTTTTGGCTACTCTGAGGCCTGAGAGTAAGGCTATCAAGATGGAAGTGTCCCATTTTGAATCAGAGATCATACATGGACAAGTGTAAAACTACAAATAGCAATAGGCCATAATGGATTACATCTTATGTTGGGATGATGCTCTCAGCTGCATTCATACATGTGACCAGTAACTGATTATCTCCTCTCTCTGTAATTGACATTGCTTCCTAATAGTTTGAAAAAAGAACAACAAAGTTCATAAATAATATATTTAAGTTATATACTGCTGTTATTTCTCCTGGAGTATTTGTTTTGTTTATCTATATATTCGTTTGGTGCCTGCCAACACTTTGTACCTAGTAAGCATTCAGTGGCTTATTTTGTGAAAGTTCATACAGAGAAGGAGCAGGAGAGGCTGGAATTGTCGTTTGCTCTCAAGAGAGGACCTTTGTTAAGCCTGATAAGCAGAAGGAAAATAGGTCATTTATGTTAAAAACAAAACAAGCAGATAAACTCAACCCAAACCCACTGCTTTTTATCCTGTGCTGTCAGATAGTATAAGTATCTATAATTGTAAATTCTTTATATCTCTTTATACTTCCATTAAAATTACTGTCTCTTGGTTTTAAGAGCAAAGAGGTTAACAAGGATATCTACTGCAGAGAGTTTTCAATAAAGATTATTGTAGTGTTTTTACAGATGGAGCCAAGCAAGTTGTTTCAGTGGGACTCTGATGTTAAATGGATTCAAATATACTATAGATCAAATGATAAACCTAGAAACATAACTGTATAAATATATCATGACATTTTGGTGCTTTCCTTTAACGCCATTATTATTAAAGGGATTCACAGTTTTTTCTTTATGACTCTTGTATATGAAGTAAATTTGTTTATAGAAATACCCTAAAATACTTTTACACAGCAATCTATGTTTATTATAGAAGAGTGATAAGTACAGATTCCCTAAAACATGATCCTCCCACCCAAATTTATAATTATCAACTTTTTAGCATTAATCCTATCAGATTACATATATATGTATAATTATTTATTTATTTATTTTTGAGATGGAGTCTTGCTGTGGCACCCAGGCTGGAGTGCAGTGGAGCAGTCTTGGCTTACTGCAACCTCCACCTCCTGGGTTCAAGCGATTCTCCTGCTTCAGCCTCCCAAGTAGCTGGGACTACAGGTGTGCACCACTGTATTAATCTGTTCTCACACTGCTATAAGGACATGCCAGAGACTGGGTAATTTATGAAGAAAAAGAGGTTTCATGGACTCAATAGTTTCGCATGGCTGGGTAGGCCTCACAATCATTGTGGAAGGCGAAGGAGGAGAAAAGTCACGTCTTACATAGCGGCAAGTAAGAGAGCTTGTGTACAGAAACTCCCCTTTATAGAACCATCAGACCTCGTGAGACTTTTTCACTACCACGAGAACAGCACAGGAAAAACCTGCCCCCATGATTCAATTACCTCCCACTGGGTCCCTCCCATGACACATGGGGATTATGGGAGCTAGAATTCAAGACAAGATTTGGGTCGGACACAGGCAAACCATATGAGCCACCCCAGCTAATTTTTGTATTTTTGGTAGAGATGGGGTTTCACCATGTTGGCCAGGCTGGTCTCGAACTCCTGACTTAAAGTGATCTGCCCATCTTTGCCTCCCAAAGTGCTGGGATTACAGATTTGAGCCACTGTGCCTGGATGATATGTATATTTATACAGATACATTTTTTTAAAGAAATGGGATCATGTATGTTTTATAATTATTACATCCATTATTGTGAACATATTAACATGGTAATAAATATCATTGTACATGATTGTTTAAAGTAGTTATTAAGTTTATATGTTTGTCCATATAATTTATTTTACTGTCTCATTCTTGCACATTCATGTTGTCTAAAATATATAAACAATGCAATAAACATCCATCTACATGAATTTTTGTTATTTTAAGATTATATCCTTGGGCTACAATAGGATTAGATAGAAATAACTTTGAGGAGGGGAAATATAGAACTGTGGCTTCAACTGAGAAATACAGTGTAAAGAGGAAAGAACTATACTGTGGTTTTGGTCTAAGTTTTGTATTTATCAGGTATTGAACCTTGGGGAAATTATTAACTACTTTAAACCTGCAGCAGGTTATTTTGACCCTGAGGATATTCTGACCCCATTGTGTATTCAAGAATTTAACAGAAAGGCTCAGAACAATGGTAAGCTTATAAATCATTAGGCAGATCTGCATTAGGGGCACATAGACTAGTGTGGGAATTGCTGATATATTTAGTTTTCTCTTGGGTCTAAGTTTAGTATATATAAAAATGATGACACTAACCCAGTAGTTCTCAACCCAAGGTGATTTCTCCCCCTCAGGGGACATTTAGCAATGTCTGGAGATGTTTCTTTTTGGTTATCAGAACCAGGAGGGAGGGGTGCTACTGGCATCTAGCGGGTAGAGGCCAGTGATGCTGCTAAACAGTCCATGACACACAGGACAGCCCCTCACAACAAAAAATTATCTGGCCCAAAATGTTCATAGGGCCGCTGTTGAAAAACCCTCATGAAACCAACTTCTTTGTCAAAGCTACTGTTAGAAACTTTAGACTCACTAAACTTAACAGAATTTAAGCACAGAACAATTTGTGAATTGGGCAGTCCTCAGAACCAGAATAAGCTCAGAGAGCTCCATTCTGAAACGTGAGCAGGCAGCATTTATGGACAGAAAATGGAAGTCAGGTACGGAAACAGCTTACTTGGCTATAACTCAGTGTTTGCCTTACTTGAACACGGTCTCATCAGTTGGCAGCCTGTGGTTGACCCAAGCTCAGCTGCTCAGATTGGCTAAGACTCATCTATTTGTTACCAAAGTATACTCCTAAGTTCCGGTTTCAGTTAATTTACATACAAAGTTATGTTGCAATTCATTACATAAGGACTCCAAGTACGGAGGCATCCTTAGACCAAATTTGGTTGAATTTAACAATTTGCCCCTTTGGTTAGCTTCTCAATTTTGACAGATTCACTGAAACTTTGGGCATTGTTGCCACTCTCTGTCACCAACTTAATGGACTTACTTGGTCTCATTATGGAATTTAAAAGCCATGATGTCATATCAGTTGAATAATTCTTTATGTTCTTGCTGTTCTGGTCAAAGTGAGACCATTGAATGCTCAATGAATGGCTGCATACAAACATTTAAGACTTGAGAGGATATGGTGCACCAGAAGGGCTATCATGAAGAATCTCAGGATAATAATAAAGACTGTAGTGTACTTCTTAACAGGAGCCCCTGTGAACTGAACCAATCAGAAATCCAGCAAGGTTCAGGCACTTTAGACACTTCAATAGTATTTGAGTCTAGTTCAAGTAAACCCACAGTTTACATGAAGAAAGGCATACATTTGCTTCTTTTGCCTAAATTATGTTACCTGTTGTCTTATAAGTATTCTTATTCCCCTTTAGAGAGTAAACTACCTCACTTAAATCATTATAGATGGCTTGACTTATAAGCACATTAGTAGGTGGGATGTTTTCAAAGGAGAAAACATTACAGCTTAAAAACAATACTTAAGAAAAAATTTAAAATTATAATTATTCATTTGTCAAACATTTATTGAATATCTGGTAGGTTTCAGGTATTGGGGATAAAATGATGATTAAAACTTAGGCCTTGCACCAAGAAAAAAAGAGTCCTGTAGACTAAACAGTAGTCTTCAAAAATTTTTCTTATTTATCTGCTAGGAGGATTTTAAAAATATGTATCCCTTTGAACATTTTTAGGTTAATAGCTAAAGTTTTCCTGGTAAGTTTAAATAGTTGCAAACGATGACATTTCCAGTATGTTGTAAATATTGGCATTTAAAAGAAAAAATATTACAAATTCTGAGTGTATCTTTTAAGTGGAAACAGAATATTCTAGTAATTTAGTACAAATTCTGAGTGTATCTTTTAAGTGGAAATAGAATATCCTATCTCTATTTTGGAAGTAGATAAAAAGCTCTTCTTTAATTGTTAGAAAATGTCTCTTATCTCCTTGAATTTGTATTTCCATTACAGAAGCATAAATCAGATCCTGTGCTAGCAGAAAGACTAATGGAGTGATCAATTTGTGCTAGAGGAAAAGTTAGGGAAGGTTCAATGGGGAGATGAAGATATTTCAGTAGTAGTTGTGTAGAGGGCAAGTGGTGTGAGAGAGATGTGGAAGGTCTTCTAGGCTGAGGAGATAAAGTGTTAGTCACTGAGATAGGAATACAAGAGGTGGAGCTGGTTAGAGGTGGTTAGGCGCACACAATGGACAATATAGAATTCTGTTTCTGTGTGTTTGTTGAGTTGTCTCTGGAATATCTAGGTAAAGTCTCCAGTAGGCTACTGGCAGGTATGAAACTCAGGAGAGAGATCTGAGCCAAAATAGACATTTAAAGAATTAGTTGTATATGGTGTTTGAAGAGTACCCTTAACTGAAAAAAAAAAAAAGGTTGTATAGAGGTCAGAGTTGGGACATTGGTATGGATTAAATGACTGAGGAAAGTGTAGTGTAGTAACAGAAGATGGCCAAGAACATCAATGTTTGAGGCAGAGATGGCAGATGCCTGGTCCATATGAATGTCATAACTTTTCCCTTTTGTCTATTGCAGATGTGGCTCATTGATCACCACCCTGTTTCCCAATGAGTCCAATTTCCGTTGTGATTTATTTTTTGGATTTTTTAAGAAGCCTGTTGCTTGATTTCCAAATGTTTGGGGATTTTCCAGTTACCTTTTTGTTACTGATTTCCAGTTTAATTCCACTGTGGTAAGAAAACATAATCTTTATGACTTCCATCCTTTAATTTTCTTTTTTAATTTTTTTTGACACAGAGTTTCACTCTTGTTGCCCAGGCTGGAGTGCAATGGCGCTATCTCGGCTCACTGCAACCTCCGCCTCCCTGGTTCAAGCAATTCTCCTGCTTCAGTCTCCCAAGTAGCTAGGATTACAGGCATGTGCCAGCCACCACGCTCAGCTAATTTTGTATTTTTAGTAGAGATGGGGTTTCACTATGTTGGTCTGGCTGGTCTCAAACTCCTGGCCTCAGGTGATCCACCCACCTCGGCCTCCCAAAGTGCTGGGATTATAGGCACCAGCCATTGTGCCTGGTCTCATCTTTAAATTCCTTGAGACTTGCTTTATGGTCCAGCCTATAATTTATTTTGGTGAATGTTCCATGTGCATTTAAAAAGGATATGCATTCTGATCATGAGGAACCAATTACAATACTAAAAAGTGCTTTATAAAATACAATATTCAGTTGATAGGTTGAGAAAATAAAAACATACTTGCAGTAATACTTAAATAAATAATAAATAGAATATGCATTCTGTTGTTGGGTGTAGTGTTCCATAAATGTCATTTAGGCCAAGTGATTAATAATGTTTTCCAATCTTCTCTTTCTTTACGTCTATACTTGGTCTTTGCCAGAAGGCTGAGAAAAAATTATCCTTATCCTGTATCCTTCTTTATTTTTTCCTACTTCTTCCATTATTTACCAAGAGAGCTACTTAAAGCTATTAATATCTAGATGTGATTGTGCATTTTTCTATTTCCACTTTTAGTTCTGTCCGTTTTTGCTTCATGTTTATTTCCCAGCTCCCTCCCTGCCAGGTCACCATTATGGGTTTGCTGTGTTACCCAGAAGGAGGCTTCCTAACACAGTGACCCTCTCTGCTTGCTCTCTCCCCTTGCCCCTTCAGGCCTAGGGGCGGTAATGACTTTCTGTTATTGCTAGTCCTAGGATACTGCACCATCTTTTTTGGTTTCCGTAAACTCTGCTATACCTTTGTAAATAGTTCCCTTTTTGTACTCTCCTCAGTTACTCAGTTTGAATGTACTGTCTTTCAGAAATGTGAGGTATGAATTTTACTTTTTTTAAAAAAAAAATGGACAGCCAATTGTCAAGTTACCATGAATTTGTATAGTCTGCCCTTTTTCTAGATTATTTATTAGAAGGATGATGTCGGTCAGCTCTAACACTCAGGGAATGTTTGTAATGAGAACCTGTGCCTGAAAACGTTTTTCTTATGTTCAGATTAATTACTCAGTATCATTTTGTCAGGAGGCCAAATAATTACAGTCTTTTCAGGAAGTGAAATAACATTTGTAAAGACATCCTATTTGAAAATACTGTAACTATAATTCTTGAAACTACTCTGTAATAAAAGCCAGTAGATAATATCACTTATATTTGTAAGCAAGCTTATCTTTTAAAAGAAAAGCTACTGTAGAAAGTAGCTAATTTATAGGTTCTTTCCTGCATTAAGGAAAATAGGGCGAGATGACCAGTCAACCAATACCTGGCAGTAACTAAGATTGTACTATATGAGGCACTGCTGACCACCTGTTTTTTGAGGGTGTTAGAACTTAAACGACCAAATGATCTCAAACATGCATTAGAGATCATCTGGAGGGCTCATTGTAACACCGATTGCTGGACCTTAGGGTTTCTAATTCAGTAGGTCTGAGGTGGGGCCTGAAGATTTATATGACTTACAAGTTCCCAGGTGACGTTGATGCTTTGAGAATCTCTGTGATAGATTGCGTGAAGACAAAGAGTTAATTGGACAGGGGAGGAAAAGGGAGCGGTGCACGGGTTATGGAGGAGCTTTGCAGGCTTTTGAATTTTGGTCCTCATCATCTTTTGCCTTGCTTTTTTCTGGCTGCCAGTTTTGGACCTAGCAGGGATTTAGCTTTGTGTGTAGTCCTTATCTTCCTCTCTCAATTTACCACATACCTGTAATAAATTTCTTTATCTGTTAAAAACTCTGTTATGGATTTACAAATTTTCTCATTTGTAAAATTTCTGTCTCATAGGATTATTTTGAGAATGCAAAAAATACTTAGAAGGTAGTAAGCATTCAACAAATGTTGGCTATTGTTATTAGTACCATGATTTAAGGCCTTAGTGTTCAAGGTATCTTGCTAGCTTTAAACTGGCAGTGCTGAAAGATGAGTTTTGCACGACTACTTTTTTGGAGTGTCTCTGAGCCCTTTCCAAATGAAATTCTAGATGCAAATGGTATCACCATGCCTATTTTGCTGTTAGAGAGAGCACAGCGGGGAGAGATTATTCAGTTTAGTCCTCGGCTTTAGAAGATCACTCGGAAATTAAGGTTACATTAAAAAATAGAACTGTATAGAACTTACTGAAAACTTTTGCCTGCTTTTGCTTATTTCATGTAGGAATTCTTGGCTTTTATTTTTTATTTATTTGAGACGGAGTGTCGCACCGTTGCCCAGGCTGGAGTGCAGTGGCGTAATCTTGGCTTGCTGCAACCTCCGCCTCCTGGCTTTAAGCGATTCTCCTGCCTCAGCCTCCCAAGTAGCTGGGATTACAGGTACGTACCACCACGCCCAGCTAATTTTTGTATTTTTAGTAGAGACGGGGTTTTACCATGTTGGTCAGGCTGGTCTCTAACTCCTGACCTCAAGTGATCCGCCTGCCTTGGCCTCCCAAAGTGCTAGGATTACAGGCGTGAGCCACTGCACCTGGCCAGTTCTTGGCATTTATGCCACTGGGGCTTTATTCCTTTTATGCACCTAGAAATGTTGAAGTTTGAGGATATGTTGCTGGATAATTTGAAACTGTATGCAGTAAAAATACGGGTGTACAAAGATATGTAAAAAGGTTGAGGATCTGTGTTAAAGGTAACACTCTATGGGCTGGGTGTGGAGGCTCACACCTGTAATCCCAGCACTTTGGGAGGCCGAGGTGGGCGGATCACTTGAGGTCAGGAGTTCAAGACCAGCCTGGCCAACATGGTGAAACCTCATCTCTACTAAAAATACAAAAATTAGCCAGATGTGGTGGCACATACCTGTAATCCCAGCTACTCAGGAGGCTGAGGCAGGAGAATCACTTGAACCCAGGAGGCGGAAGTTGCGGTGAGCCAAGATCACATCACTGCACTCCAGCCTGGGTGGCAGAATAAGAGTCCGTCTTAAAAAAAAAAAAAAAAAAAGGCTGAGTGTGGTGACTCATGCCTGTAATCCCAGCACTTTGGGAGGCCAAGGCGGGCAGATCACGAGGTCAGGAGATCGAGATCATCCTGGCTAACATGGTGAAACCCCGTCTCTACTAAAAATACAAAAAGCTAGCTGGGCATGGTGGCAGGCGCCTGTAATCCCAGCTACTCTGGAGGCTGAGGCAGGAGAATGGTGTGAACCCGGGAGGCGGAGCTTGCAGTGAGCTGAGCTTGCACCACTGCACTCCAGCCCAGGTGACAGAGTGAGACTCCATCTCAAAAACAAAAAAAAAAAAAGATTTTACTCTATGGATACTTTGAATGATCTTAAACAAAATGCATTCTTCTGTATTGCTTTTGCCTATATTAATGTTGCTATTCATGAAATAAAGCTTGTTGATGTATTTTATCATGTTTTTGTTTGTTTGTTTGCTAACACATTTAAAATGTGAATTGCACTGATGCCTCACTTCTCCTTTATACATATATACTTTGGATAGAAGTTTTAGAGCATAGTGCTTGACTTATAGACAGCTGCGTAGTACATTTCTGTAACATCCCTCTCTGTAGGTCAGGACAAGCATTGTTGCATAGTCTATGGTTTTCTCGTTTGTCTCTTATAATTATTCTGTTTTTAAAATCTCTTTTTAGGTGATACAGTTAATATTGGAGATGTATCCTACAAGTTGAAAATTCCTAAGAATCCAGAACTTGTGCCACAGAACTACAGTAAGAAATATTTATTAATATATGAATGAATAACTTTTAACTTTTCATTATAGGAATTTTCAAAGTTATTTAAAGCTAGAGAGAATAGTATAAACCTAATGATTTTATCATCCAGCTTCAACATTTATCAATATTATGCCAATCTTCTTTTAACTGATTTTTGTTCTGGAGTATTTAAAACCTATCCCAGACATCCTATTACTTCACCCATCAATATTTCAGTAGAAACATTTATTTTTCTCACATCCTACTGTTTCTTTTTTACCTGGAATAAGATTTACATATAATGCACAGAACTTTTTTTTTTTTTAATTATACTTTAAGCCCTGGGACACATGTGCAGTACACGCAGGTTTGTTACATAGGTATACACGTGCCATGGTGGTTTGCTGCACCCATCAACCGGTCATCTACATTAGATACTTCTCCTAATGCTATTCCTCCCCTAGCCCCCTACCCCCTGACAGGCCCCAGTGTGTGTTGTTCCCCTCCCTGTGTCCATGTGTTCTCATTGTTCAACTCCCACTTATGAGTGAGAACATACAGTGTTTGGTTTTCTGTACCTGTGTTAGTTTTCTGAGAATGATGGTTTCCAGTTTCATCCATGTCCCTGCAAAGGACATGAACTCATCATTTTTTATGGCTACATAGTATTCCATGGTGTATAGGTGCCACATTTTCTTTATCCAGTCTATCATTGATGGGCATTTGGGTTGGTTCCAAGTCTTTGCTATCGTGAACAGATGCACAGATCTTAAGTATTTATTTTGGTTGGTTTTGACAATTTTATAAACCTGTATAACCACCAAGATTACATTAATCATCCCAAATGTTCTCTTGTGTTCCTACCCCTTTACCCTGCCCTGGAAATCACTGTTCTTTTTTTTTTTTTTTTTTTTTTTTTATGATGGTAGATTAGTTTTGCTTGTTCTTTAGCTATATATAAATAGAGTCACATGGTATGGTTGTATGTGTGTATGTATTTTTTTTCTCATGAAGAGCATTAATTTGAGATTCATCTATGTTGCTGTACCTATCAGTTTGTTTTTAATTCCTGAATAATGTTCCATTGTATAAACATACCACAGTTTGTTTATCCATTCTCCTATTGATAGACATTTGGATGGCTTTCATTTGAAGCCTGCTGTGAACATTCCTGTACAATTCTTGTAGTTATCAGTTTTTACTTCTGTTGAGTAAAAATCTAGGAGTTGAGTTGATATGTCATACTATAGATGCCTGTTTAACTTTTTAACTCACTGCCAAACAATTCTCCAAAGCAGTTGTACCATTTTACCTTTGACCGACAGTGATGTTCTACATCCTTGTCAGCATAGTCTTTTTAATCTTAGTCTACCAGGTGTGAAAAAGTAACTCATCATGGTTTTTGGTTTATAACAGTTTTATTGAGATATAATTCATATACCATAAAGTTCACCTTTCCATATTGTACAATTCAGTAATTTTAGTTTATTCAGAGTTGTACAACCATACTGTTATCTAACGTTTTCATCACTCCATGAAGAAACTTTATACTCATTAATAGTTATTTCCCATTTTCTTTCTTCTCTCTCCCCCACCACCCTCCCAGCATTTAGCAACTACTAATATACTTTCTGTTTCTATAGATTTGTCTATTTTGGACATTTTATATACATGGGATATGTAGCCATTGTATCTTGCTTATCTTAGCATAATGTTTTCAAGGTTTATTGATGCTGTAGTTCATTGCTTTTTATGGCTAAATTATATTCCATTGTGTGGATATTCCACATTTTGCTTATCCTTTCATCAGTTGATGGACATTTGGATTGTTTCCACTTTCGGACTATTGTGAATATTGCCACTCCAAGCATCCATATGCAAGTTTTTATATGGACATATTTTCAACTTTCTTGGGTTTTACCTAGAAGATAAATTGCTAGGTCACATGGTAACTCTATGTTTAACATTTCAAGGAATTACCAAAATGTTTTGTTTTGTTTTTTTTTTTTTTTTTTTTTTGAGACAGGGTCTCACTTTGTGGCCCAGGCTGGGGTGCAGTGGTGCAATGTCGGCTCACTGCAACCTCCCCCTCCCAGGTTCAACCTCCAGGTCCTCAGCCTCTCCAGCAGCTGGGACTATAGGTGCAGGTTACCATCCCCAGCAATTTTTGTATTTTTTGGTAGAGATGGGGTTTCACCACATTGATCAGGCTGGTCTCAAACTCCTGTCCTCATGTGATCCGCCCACCTCAGCCTCCCAAAGTGCTGGGTTTACTGGCATGAGCCACTGCGCCCGACCACCAATATGGTTTTCAAATCACCTACACCATGTTACATTCTAACTAGCAATGTGTGAGGATTCTAGTTTTTCCACATCCTCACTAACACTTGTTATTGTTTGTCTTTTTTATTACAGCCATAGTCAGACATGTGAAGTGACATCTCATTGTGGTCCTGATTTGTATTTCCCTAATGACTTGCAATCATTATTTGCCCAAAATCATGTCACTTCTTTTCTCAAAATTCTTTAAATGAGTTTTTAGTATTTTGGGAACAAAGGTCCATCCTTAGCTATTAATTTCTTGATCTAATCTTAGTCTCATCTCATGCCACTCTCCTCTCCTATTCTTTGTTCCAGTCATTGGTCATGATATAGAATAGCTTTTTGTTCACTCTTCAGATTCTTCCACTAGACTATGTGCTCTGTTAAAGAAAAAATAAATCAATGATATGTGTTAAAGCCGGGTAAGGAAGACTTTATTCAGGACTGTCACTATGAGTCTTGCAGTGGGGGAGAAAGACTGGGCTCAACCCCCAATGCAGCATGGGCAAGTGGTAGTTTATAGCCAAGGAACAGTGTGGGAGTTGGTGGATAGAAAATTGTTAAGAGGAAATGTCAGGGTTAAGGGAGATTCTGGCTAAGCCAACCTAACAAAATTCTTGCTGACGACAGGCTGGGGTGATCAGACATCACCTGGGGGATTGTAGAAGATGAGGACTCTGATCAGCTATCAAGGGTGATTAGATTATGAGGATGGGCGGGTTCTGGATAAATTGTTTTAATGGCGTTCTTTTGCTACAACTGGATTTTACAAGGAAGTACACAGGTGTGTCTAGGAAAAGGTTTAGAAACCTGACTAAAGTTTGGGCAAGAAGAGAATCTTTGTCAGCTTCTTGAGGGAGAATATGTCACTTTCATCTAACCCAAGGTTCCATTGACTCTACCCCCTAAATGCCTCTGCAATCTGTCCTTTCCACTCTGGCCCACTTTTTCTTTTACTACTCTTTTTTTTTTTTTAATTATTTTGTTAGTGGTCATCCTAGGGATTCTAATTAACACTTTAACCTAAAACAATCTTGTTTAGATTAATGGTAACTTAGTTTCAATAGTATATAAACTACTCCAATGTAGCTCTGTTCCCTTCCAGCTCCTCAGTGCTATTATTGTCATACAAACTATATCTTTATACATTAAAAGTTTATCAGCACAGTTTTATAATTATTGCTTTATGAAGTTTTTAAAATCAGGTAGAAGAAAAGAGTTACAAACAAAAATAGGCTTACGTTGTCATTATTATTTATCTATGTAGTTCCCTTTACTGATAATCTTTATTTCTTCATGTGGATTTGAGTTACTGTCTAGTGTGCTTTCATTTCAGCTTAAAGGAAGGATGCCCTTTAGTAAGTATCTTCTAGATGGCAGGTTTGCTAGTGGTGAATTATCACTTTTTTTTTTTTAAATTTGGAAATGTCTTCATTTCTCCTTTGTATTTTGAAGGATAATTTTACTGGAAATAGAATTCTTGGTTGACAGGTTTTTTTTTTTCAGCACTTTGAATATGTCTTCTTACTGTTTGTGGACTTCCTAGATTTTGAAAAGAAGTCAGTTATCAATCTTAACAAGGATCCTTTTTATATGATAAGTCAGTTTTTCTCTGCTATCAAGATTCTCTCTTCAGCTTTTTGATAGTTTGACTGTGGATGTGTCTAAGTGCAGATTTCTTTGAATTTACCTTGTTTTGAGTTTGTTGAGCTTCTTGGATGGGATGTGGAAATTAATGTTTTTCATCGAAGTTGGCAAAATTTTGGCTATTATTTTTCATTATTATTTATTTATTCTCTTTTTTCTCTCTCCTTCGAGGACTCCCATTATATTTGATAGATTTGATGGTGCCCCACAAGTCTGTGAGACTCAGTTCATTTTTCTTTATAATTTCTTCTTTCTGTTCCTTAGATTGGATCATCTCAACTGACTAATCTTCAAGTTTGCTGATTCTTTCCTCTGCCTGCTCACATCTGTTGTTGAGCCCCTCTGGTTAATTTAATCAGAGTTTTCAAGTTCAGAATTTTTATTTGGATCTTGTTTTATAATTTCTCTTTATTGGTACTCTGTTTCATGAGACGTTGTTGTCATACTTCTTTAGACATGATTTCTTTTAATTCTTTGAATGTATTTGTGGTAGCTGATTTAAAGTGTTTTTCTACTTAGTCAAATGTCTGGTTTACTCAGAGATAGTTTTTATTGACTCCTTTTTTCTGTATGTATGAGCCATACTCTCCTATTTCTTAATTTCTTATAATTTTGTTGTTACTGAAAGTAGACATTTTAAATAGTATAATCTCTCCTTCCCAGGCTTTGTGGTTGCTCCTTGTGTTGCTGTTTTTTTTTTTAGTGATGTTCCTAGTCTATTTCTTTAAAGTCTGTGTTCTTTGTCATGCCTTGTTAGCTTAGTGGTCAGCTAATGTTTGAACGGAGATTTCTTTAATGCCTTGAATCAATAAGTCTCTTGGCTTTTGCTGAGAGTCTGTGTGTGCAAGTTGGACATGACTTCAGTGCTCCATAGGTAGCTTACAGTTGTGTCTCAACCTTTTCTTTCTGCTTGTGTGGACCCTCAAGATTAGCGGAAGGTGAGAGAGAGATTAGGCCCTTCTCAGGATTTTCCTGAATATATGCATGGCCTTCCAGATTCTTAGGCATACACTGAAGCTTTTCAAAGCCTTCTGCAAACATCTCATTTTCAGTTTTTGTTTCTGTCTTTAAAGTTTTTTGGTTGTCCTCTTGTTAGCTCCAACTGGTTTTGCTGCCTCAGGCAGCTGTGATGTTAAACAATTGTTGATTTTTTTTGACAAATGCCCCGAGTTAGTGCTGTTTGCATACAGTAGCTCTGAGTACATCAAATAAAGACAAATTCTAAAAATGGAGCATTTCAGGGAGCTGCCAGACAGGTCAAGTAGGGATAATTTTTTGGGATTGAGGCTTTTGAGGAGCTTCTGTATAGTTCTGTTCACTTCAGTGACTTCCAGGCTGCTGGTTTTCACCATGATTATGGACAGTTTGTTGTAAAACAATTGGGCTCACGCCTGTAATCCTAGCACTTTGGGAGGCTAAGGTGGGATGATCGCTTGAGGCCAGGAGTTTGAGACCAGCTTGGGCAACATAGTGAGACACTAAAACCCTGTTTCTGTAAAAAATAAAATATTGTTTTTTATTGTGGTTGAGGCTGCAGTGAGCCATGATTGTGCAACTGCATGCCTCCTGCTTGAACAACAGAGTGAGACCCTGTCTCAATAAAAGAAAAAAGAAAAGAAAAACAATCACAGAGCTAGGGACATGGGGATGGGGTTAGGGCGAATTAACCCCTTTTCTTACATAAATGCTCATGAGATTGTTGAAAACTTTTTGATTTCCAGAGTTCTAAAGAAGTTGAGTTTGACAATTTATGCCATTATTATTGTTTTTTTAAGAAGGAATGAATTTTCAGAGGTCCTTACTCTATTCCAGTAATGCCTGTCCTCTCACTGTGGTTTATTTATTTATTATTATTATTATTATTATTATTATTTTTTGAGACAGAGTCTTGCTCTGTCGCCCAGGCTGGAGTGCAGTGGCTCAATCTTGGCTCACTGCAGCCTCTGCCTCCCAGGTTCAAGCGATTCTCCTACCTCAGCCTCCCGAGTAGCTGGGATTACAGGCTCACGCCACATTGCCTAGCTAATTTTTGTATTTTTTTAGTAGAGACAGGGTTTTACCCTGTTGGCCCAGGCTGGTCTTGAACTCCTGACCTCAGGTGATCCACCCACCTTGGCCTCCAAAGTGCTGGTATTACGGGCATGAGCCACTGCACCCAGCCTCACTGTGGTGTAAGTTTGCATTTCTCTGATGAACAGTGATGTTCAAGATATTTTTCTGTGCTTATTGGCCCTTTGTATTTCTACTTTTGTGAAGTATATATTAAAGTCAGTTGCCCACTAAAAAAATTGAGTTGTCTGCCTTTTTATTATTGAGTTGCAAAAGTTTTTTATGTATTATGGATCCAAGTACTTTGTCATGTATAAGTATTATGAATACTTTTTCTCAATCTATTTGCTTAGTCATTTTCTCATTGATATCTTTTGGTTGGCAGAAAGTTTGATTACACATAATTTATTGATTATTTATTTTTTAAAGTTAGTGCTCATTGTGTCAGAAATCTTGGCCTACACCAAGACTGTAAAGACATTCTGTGTTTTTTTCCTAAGAATTTTATAATTCTGCTTTGTTTTAAAAGGATAGGTCTATTACATCTCTGCTTCTAAATTCATCAGCACCATTTTTTCATAATATAGCCTTTATTAGTTAAATATCTGAGAATCTGTAGTGATTAGTGATATCTGTAGAATCTATAGTGATAATTCTCTATTTTGTTCTTGATACTGGAAATTTGTATTTGTGTTTTTTCCTTTTCTTTTTAATTAGTCTTACTATGGGTTTATCAGTGCTAATAACTTTTCAAGGAAACAGCTTTTGACTATTGATTTTTTTCTCTTGCTTGTCCATTTGTTATTTCATTGATTTCCAAGCATTAATTTTTATTTATTTTTATTTTAGTTCCTCTTCTAACACCAGCTTCACAAACTGTGGCAAACCTGGGGCCAAAGAGGTCTGTGAAAATCTCTTTGCTGTATAGCTGCCAGATTTTTGGAATGCTGGGGAATTCTCTTTGCTATTCAGTCTTATATTCTGCTTGCTGCAACTCAGCTGTCTCTTGTCTTGTTGTACTGCCCTCAGCCTCCAGAGGCCACTTCAGTGAAGGTGGAGAGTGCTTCTGAGGGATTTATCTCAGCTATCTGGCCCCAGTACCATCCTTAAGGAACTGCTGTCTTGCACTGGATAAAGACCTGGAGTGCCTAGGAGGAATCTCTGTCACCTCTTCTCTCCTACCACTGGCCTTTTAGTGGGATGTTGCCTTGCACTAGGGAAAGGTCCAGCATGCTTCAGGAGGAATATGTCTCAGCTCCTGCCCTGTATTTGGTCTGTAGTGTACATCCCTGTGTACTTGTAAGGACTGTTGGGAAGGAGTAGGTGGGTGGATGCAGGTTTTCTATGTGGCTAGGACTTCTCGGTACATTATGTCTGCCCATGCGTGGCCATCATAAGTTTGCTGAAAGTTCAGTTTGTTTCTCCTGACACATCTATGCAGATTGTTTCTCCTCCTGCCATTCTACCAGGGGTGAAAGTTAGCTGCGGGTCTATTCTTTCCTTGAAAAGGCTCAGTCTTTTCTAGAATTTAGTTCATGTAGGCTTCTTTGTTTTGTTAGCTGTGTGATGAGTTTTAGAAAACTGTGATTTTTATAGATTAGCTGGTTTATTCTGGTTGTTAGTTTGGAAATAAAATTCTCTTGCAACTCATTTCATCCTAACTGGAAGTGGGAGTTGGGAATATTTATTTTTAATATTCATTATTTAATGGTTATGCCTAAGTGTGTTATTTTAATAGGTTTTCTTTTCCAGAGGTAAGACTAATGACATAAATTCTTCACCAAGTTGTTACACTTGTCTGGAGAAAAATTAACAAAATAGATGTATAATAACTTACATGCCATGGGCACATGATAATTGGGGGGAAAAGGGCACTTTTCCTGCTTTCTGGGTCTTCTCTTATTATGAGTGTAGCTAATGTTTTACATTAAACTTGAGAGGCAAGGGATAATATCCAATCTTGACAGACAATAGGAAAACTTTTATGTAATTTGAGTTCTGTAGGAAAATGATTGCTGGGGTGGAAATTAATGTTTAAAATTTTGGCTGTACTACTTTCTAGCAGTGCCAGTTTCTGCAGGTTATTTCACTGCTCTGAGCCTCCTTGACTGTATAGGGGTGATTGTTTCAACTTCACAGATATATTATAATGATTAAATCAAATAGCATATATGAAATGTGTAGGATACTGCCTGGTGCTTAGTGCTCAATAAATGTGGTTTGGTTCTTGTTCCTTTTCGTTTTCCATTATTCTGTGCCTGTGACACTGTTGAGTATGGGGATTACTAGGGGCTGCTATGATTATGCTGAAGAGATATGCTAAAAATATTTTAGTCTTCATTTAGTCTTGTTCTTAATAAATAAATTCTGTATGCATTTCATCTAAATTTGATTTTTAATTTAGGTTGTTTGCAGGATTACAAATGGCCGTAGGCTTTTCAAATAAGCTTCAGTTTCCTTCAGAGATCAAATATACTGTGTTTGCAGTGTAGCAAGAATGTTGGCATTTTCAGTCTCACTTAGACGTGAAGCATTGTCATTGCCTGATAGCGTTCAACAGAGGATAGCATTAGTCATTCCTTCTTTTAGCTTCTAAGGTGCCGTATTATATCTGGGGTCAGCTGAAGTACTTGTCATAGTCACAAATGCTTAATTATATTGGGAATCTTCTTAAGTGAGAGAATTCACTGTATTATCTATATTAGCTTTAAGGATTTAATAGATCGTAGCAATAATACACACTTTAAAAGCATAGGCTTTGAGTGAATGTATTTTAGTATTTTGCAAATGACTGAGGAGCAATACAGTGACTGGCTGAGAGCAAGTCATCAAAAAACCTCCAAAAATCACCACATTTTCTTGTTTACATACTTTTATTATAGTTTTCATTCACCCTCTAGGTAATCAAAACTTTTTGTTTGTTTTTTGTTATTAGTAGCTTGCTCTTTGAAATTTACCTGAAGAGTTAATATTGAAAGCATTTGGATAGCCTGTAGACCCAATTTGCATTTTCTTTTCTTGCTATTCATTCATCATTATTCCTACCATAATCACAATATAAGTATTCCTCATCTATTAACCTTTGTACATCAAGATGATGATGGTACCATATATTTTATCCAGTAGTAAATTGTTGCATTGTTTCTACTAATCTTATGAGCAACTGTGTCCATTTGTAAGAAAAATTCGGCTAAGGAGTTGATGAACTTGAAATAAGAGAAGTGACTGAGCTACATCAACTAAAATCTTTAGCCACATATGCATTATGCAGTTGCTACATATTGATTAGACAGATAAATTGTCTTGCATAATACATGTTTTTGTGCATTCATTTACTGTATTGTTTTCAAATATTGTATTTGTTGAACTTTTTCTTCCTCTCTCAGGGACTGTTTCCAAAATGAGTGAATTATAGTTCTTTGGCTTCACTGTGGCTGTTGCTTGATTGATTAGAGATTATGGCTTTGGATTATGAGAGAATTTTGATGGACTTTTTTTTTTTCTGTTTTGAAGTTTAAAAAGTATTTTAAAGTACTTTGGCAATGGTGTTTTGTTGAAGTTTGATACCCTCTTACTTTTCTTCCTGTATTTATGCTTTGATTTACCTAATTCTAAAAAGATTATTGCTTTTTAGATATTTAATATTTTCAAGTGAAACATAAAATGATAGACTTTCACTTTTCAAGTGAAACATAAAATGATAGACATTGAAGAAAGGGACTTCAGCAATTATTATCCTCTCTGAAACTTTCAGTTCATAGCCAGGAAAGTAGGACCAGAGAAGGAGGTCAGAAGACTGATTAATTAGTAGCAAAGCCCAGATTTCCTGACTTCAGTTTGGTTTTCCTTTTACAGTCTGCTACGATGTCTCTAGCTATTTACTAGCTACTCTTGATTTTCCTGAGAATAAGTCCTGGAATGAGAAGAACAGTGTGTTAGAAAATTCTTTTGGAATTTAAAAGTGTGAAAGATTATTGAAAAATACTGAATTACTTGAGGCATGACAGTGCTATTTTATTTCTATCTTTATCAAATTTATTGTTTAGAGCACGGAGAATCACTATTATCTTACAGTAATGAAGAAATAATAAAAATCACAATGTTGAAATATGAACTGATATTCATATTTAAAATTTAATAGAATGGTAGAAATCCTGCTAAGTGGCTGATGCTTAAGACTAGAAATATTCTTAGCTGGAAATCTAAACTTCAATGCAAAACTACACAAAAGCAGTATTATCTCATCAAAGTAAAATTTCTTAATTCATTGACCACCTGAAATAATAAATATGTATAGTCTACAGGCAGCTGTCAACTTCTCTTTTGAATTGCTTCTGTCTTCACAGCATTGGGCACAGCATTGGGCACAGCAGGACATCTTCCCCAGTGCAGCATCTAGCATCTGGCACATCATAGACATGAGAGTTGGATTACTCTTCAGTTTTTTTTTTTATGATCTAGGTCTTGTTACCTCCTGCCTTGATCATTATAACTTCCATTTATCATCTTAGTCCCAAGTCTCTCACCTGTAAGTGTTGAAGTGGATAAATGCTTTTTTACTTTTCTATGTGAAAACGGAATCTTAAGGCTTAGATGAATTTGGCAGTTTTCAAAAAGGGATTCTTTCATGCTTTTGTGCTTGAAGTTAAACTATAGTGTATCAAAAATGGTATTTCTTCCAGGGTTTGCCTCACGAGGTTGTGCTCCAGCATAGCAAGTTTTCAATAGATAACTTTCAACCTGACCTCAGAGTTATATTTCTGCTTGCTTACATAATCTTGTTGCAGTTGGTAGACCAATTATACATGAGGCCATTTAAGGTTTACTGGACACACTGAACTCTTATCCAAGCAATTAGGGCCCACAAAGATTTCTGTAAGAATTACAACATTGTGCTTTTAAATGGTGAGTTTTGACATAAAATCCACAGGAGGAGAGAATTTTTTCCTTTAGTTTGTAAATAATTTTGAGGTTTGAGAAATTCATCAGTGTCATAAATGATAGCATGGAAAAACTGATTTTTGTGTAAATATAGATAATATAGAACATCATTGCAGCTATTTGTCAATTTTAGTGAATTAGTGACAAAAATTACACAAAACTTCACTGGGAAAGTGTTACCTAAGAGTCCCTTACTTAATAGAGTTAGAGCTTGGGAAAAAATCAAAGATGCAGGGCTGCCACTACTGAAGATCTGCCTTATTTTCAATAGTTGGATTAATTGCCTCTCATTATGAAAGAATTTTCTTTGAGATTTCTTTAGATGTATTTTTTTTTTTTTTGAGACGCAGTCTCACTCTGTCACTCAGGCTGGAGTGCAGTGGCGCAATCTTGGCTCACTGCAACCTCTGCTTCCTGGGTTCAAGCGATCCTCCTGCCTCAGCCTCCTGAGTAGCTGGGACTACAGGCACGTGCCACTACGCCTGGCTAATTTTTGTATTTTTAGTAGAGACGGGGTTTTACCATGTTGGCCAGGCTGGTCTCAAACTCCTGACCTCATGATCTGCCTGCCTTGGCCTCCCAAAGTGTTGGGATTGCAGGCGTGAGCCACTGCACCTGGCCTAGATGTATTTTTAAGAATAGAGTCCTTAAAAGGAAGAGGCTCATCAACGTTTAAAGCCCTTGAACGTGTTCTGAAGTATCCTGTAGAGTCTCTATAGCAATCTTTATCCAGTGTGCCTACTTTTTCTTTTATCTTCTTTTTCCCAGGCACCATATTCAAGAAGGATTCAATATTTTTGATGCATTTTATTACCTTTTTTTTTTTTTTGAAAGAGACCAAGTCTCACCCTGTCACCCAGGCTGGAGTGCAGTGGCGATCTCGGCTCACTGCAACCTCTGCCTCCCAGGTTCAAGTGATTCTCCTGCCTCAGCCTCCCCAGTAGCTGGGATTACAGACGTGTGCCACCATGTCTGGCTAATTTTTGTATTTTTAGTATAGTCAGGGTTTCACCGTGTTGGCCAGGCTGATCTCAAACTCATGACCTCAGGTGATCTGCCCACCTCGTTGTCCCAAAGTGCTGGGATTACAGGTGTGAGCTACCATGGCTGGCTGCATTTTATTACTTTTTATTTTCTGCTTAATTCCTCTTGTTGCTTTCTGCAACTTTCATTGCAGATGTATAATTTTAAAAATTAATTTATTTTTTAATTGACAAAAACTGTATATACAGTTATGTGTTGTTTAATGACAGGGTTGTCTTCTGAGAAATGCATCATTAAGTGATTTCATTGATCCTTGTAACATCACAGTGTGTACTTACACAAACCTACATGGTATAACTGATGGGTCCAGTACTGGTCTGTGGCCTATTAGAAACAAGGCTGCACAACAGGACGTGAGCAGCAGGCAAGCGAGCAAAGCTTCATCTGTATTTACAGCTGCCCCACCTTGCTGGCATTACCACCTGAGATCCGCCTCCTGTCAGATCAGTGGTGACATTAGATTCTTATAGGAGGACAAACCCTACTGGTAACTGTGCATACAATGGATCTAGGTTGTGCGCTCCTTATGAGAACCTAATGCCTGACGATCTCTCACTGTCTCCCATCACCCCCAGATGGGACTGTCTAGTTGCAAGAAAACAAGCTCAGAGCTCCCACTGATTCTACATTATGGTGAGTTGTATAATTATTTAATTATATATTGCAATGTAATAATAAGAGAAATAAAGTGCACAATAAATGTAATGCATTTGAATCATCCTGAAACCATTTCCCTCCCCCCAGTCTGTGGAAAAATTATCTTCCCTGGTATCAAAAAGGTTGGTGACTGCTGGTATAGCCTACTAAACACCTAGGCTATATGGTACAGCCTATTGTTCCTAGGGTACAAACCTATACAGCATGTTACTGTACTGAATACTGTAGACAGTTGTAACACAATTGTTACACAATGGTAAGTGTTTGTGTATTGAAACATTGAAAAGGTAATGCATTAACTACAGTGTTATGACACTATGACATCACTAGGTGATAGGAATGCTTCAATTCCAGTATAATCTTATGGGACCATCATCTAATATGCAATCCATCATTGCCTGGAACGTCATTATGTGGTGCATGACTGTATTTATGGTGTACAAAATGTTTTGATATATGTATATATTATGGAAGGGCTAAATCAAGCTAATTAACATGTCTGTTACCTCACATAGTTATCTTTTTTGTGGTGAGAACATTTAAAATCTATTCTCTTAGCCATTTTCAAGTATGCAATACATTGTTAATAACTATAGTCACTATATTGTACAATAGATCTTCTGAAGTTATTTCTCCTAGCTGAAATTTTGTATCCTTCAACCAACATCTCCCCAATGCCCTCTACTCCCAGATGTACAATTTTCGAGCTATGTAATGTGCTAAATAGGCTTCTGTGGATCCATGTGGCAATTTAGTCACCATTAAAGACATTGTTTAAATGAGAAAATGAATTCAAATAGTAAACCCTTAACTTAAAAATCACATTTTTAATGCCTATATAACACAAATGATAGAGAAATAACTCACTTAATATACAAGTATCTCATGTAAATTGATGAGAAAAACCATGTGATCCAATAGAAAATAAATGAAGGATTTAAACAGGCACAACATAAAAGAGGAAATTCAAATGAACAATAAACATGTGAACGTGTGTTCTAACCCTGCTTAATAGCTAGAGAGATGGAAATTATATAGCAAGATAGCAAACTTTCATACATCACTTGGGCCAAAATTAAAAAATATCGTAATGTCCAATACCTATATAGTTTCAGGGAAATGGCATTTTCATACATTGCTGGGAGAAATATGAGTTCATATGACTTCTTTAGAAAGTAATATTGGAGTAGTGATTAAAATAAAAAGTACATCTTCTGACATTTCTTTTTTATGCTTTATCCATTATGAAAAAATCAGTACCTAAAAAAGGATAAATGTACATATTATGTATTACAGCATTTTGGTGTTTGTGGTAGAGATAGAAAGTAGAAGCAACCTGAGTCTATCAGTGGAGGAGCCGTTGAATAAATTATTGTATACCCACATTATGGAATCTTCTGTGGCTATTAAAAAAGAATAAATTAGACTTACATCTTTGTACCTAGAGAGTGTTATAGTTAAGCAAAATAGTACAGATTTCAGAGTGTCATATAAGATATGATACCACTATTGTTAAAAAAAAAAAAACCTCGAACAATTTGAAGCACCTTTATAGGTCTATTACATGTCTGTCTGTGTTTAGAGAGAAGTGTGGGAGGAGCACTGCAGGCTCTTAACTTTGACTTCCTTGTAGGGCATTGGGTTAGGAGTGGTGCTTGAAAAAGACCATTTATATATTTTTCTTTTTACATTTTTGAATTTTTAAAATTATAGTAAGTATGTACTACATTTGTAATTTTTAAAATAGCTAATAAAAACCTCATGTTTAAATGCAACTTTTATTAACATATACATCTATTATAAGTTCTAACCGCTTTTTCTATGACCTGACCCACAAAAATAAGTTCATGCTTTATGTTTAAGAAATTTGGACTCATTTTATAGGACCTGAAAATTCTTGGTTCTTTTGAGATGTGCTCATAACAAAAGTTCATTCCTTGGTTTTATTTTATGTTTGTGGTTGTCATTGTCATAAATATGACTAGCTATACTAAGCCTAACAAAGGTGCCTTCAGCAAATTATAATTTAGCAATGCCTAATACATAAGCACTTTAGGAAGCTGAGCTGCAAGTTGAACTTTGGATATTAAATTGTGATCTCTTGACCAGCCACACTACCCTGAGGTATGTCACCAATCATATTGCTCCTTTCGTGCATGTCAGTTCTTTGCTTCCAGTATGGCTGTTATTACTTTGCAGTATGGTTTTTCAAAACATAAGAAGTATAAATTTTTGTTCCTATTACAAATATAAAACATAATCAACATAAAAACTTGGAAAACATTGAAAAACACAAAAGATAAAACCAAAATTGTCCATAAGCCTAAATAGACACTATTAATAATATATGTAATTCTAATTTTTAAAAACAGTATTATTAGGTATAACTGACATGCAATACACTGCACATATTTAGAATGTATAATTTGATGTTTTTACATATGTATATAACCAGGAAACATTACTATAATCAAAATACTGATCAAATAAATTTATCTCCCCAAAAAGCTTACTTGTGCCTCTTTGTAATGTTTCCTGGTTCCTCCATTGCCTAGGAATCATTAATCTGCTTTGTAGATTTATTCGGATTTTCTAGAATTTTATATAAATGGAGTCATACAACATATATACTTTTCTGTCTAGCTTTTATCACTCAGCATAATGATTTTGAGTTTTTTTCTTTCTAAGTGGTATTCCATTGTATGGATATATTACAATTTGTTTCTATATCCACATGTTGGTAGACATTTGGGTTGTTATAGGCTCTTAGAAATAAAGCTGCTCTCAACATTGATGTACAAGTCTTTGTATGGACATAGGCTTTCTTTTTTCTTGTGTAAATACCTGCATCATGCGGTAGATGTTTAACTTTTTAAGAAATGCCATTCTGTTTTCCACAGTGGTTGTATCATTTTACATTTCCACCAGCAGTGTATCAGAGTTCCAGTTCCTCCATATTCTTGCCAGCTCTTGGTGTGGTCAGACTTTTGAATTTTAACCATTAAAATAGTTATGTAGTAGTATCTCACAGTGATTTTAAATTGCATTTCCTAGTGACTAAAGATGTTAGGCATCTATTTCTGTGTTTATTTATCATCTTTATATCTTTTGTAAAGTGTCTGGTCAAATCTTTGCCTACATTTTGGGTGGGCTGTTTGTGGTTTTTTTTTTTTTGAGTTGCTTTTTCTTTATATAGTCTGGATATAAGGACTTTATCAGATATAAGATTTGCAAATATGTTATTCTAGTCTATGACTTATCTTTTTATTCTCCTAATAGTGTTCTCTGAAGAGCAGGAGTTTTAAATTTTAATGAAGTCCAACTTACTAAGTTTTTACTTTTATGGATTGTGCTTTTGGTGTCACCTAAGAAATCCTAAAAAATCTTTGTTAACCGAGGGTCACAAAGACTTCTTTTCTCATTTTTTTCTAGATGTAGTTGTACTTGTGCATTTTACATTTGTGTCTGTCATCCTTTTTTGAGTTAATTCTTGTATGTGGCATAGGGTATGGGTCAAAGTTTATTTTTTGCATATGGATATCCAGTTATTTCAGCTCCATTTCCTGACAAGACTATCCTTTCTTCACTGAATTGCCTTTGTAGTTATGTCAGAAGTCTGATGCCTGTGTGTATTGTGAGTCTGTTTTTAGACTCTGTTCTGTTCCATTGATCTATTTTTCTGTCTTGACATCAGTGCCTCACTGTTTTGACTACTGTAGCTTTACAATTAGTCTGGAAATCAGATAATGTTAGTTCTCCATCTTTGTTCTTTTAAAAAGTTGTTTTGGTTATTCTAAGTTCTTTGCATCTATATGTGATTTGTAATCAACTTGTCAATTTATAAAACAACAAAAAAGCCTGCTGGGATTTTTAATGGGGATTGCATTAAATCTGTAGATCATTTTGGAGATAATTGCTATCTTAATATTATTGAAACTTCCAACTCATGAACAAGATATATTTCTCTATTTAGATCTTTAATTTCTCTCAGCAATGTTGTATTGTTTTCAGTGTACAGGTCTTGCATATGTTTTGTCAGCTTTATGCTTTGAGTATTTCATACTTTTTGATGTTATTGTAAATGATATTGTCTTTTTAACTTAAACATAGAAGTACAGTTGATTTTTGTATACTAATCTTGAATCTTGAGGCCGTGCAAAACTCGCTTATTAGTTCTAGAGCTTGTTTTTGTAGATTGCATCACATTTTCTATATAAACAATCATGTCCATAAATAAAGACAGCTCTACTTTTTCCTTTCCAATCTGGATGTTTCTGATTTCTTTTATGTGTTTACCTTATTGTACTTGCTAAAATCTCTTTAATATGTAATTTATTATATAAAACATTAAAATATGTTGAATAGAAGTTATGAGAGAGAACGTCTTATTCCGGATGTTGGGGGAAAGGGTTTTTAGTCTTTCATTTTTAAGTAGGTTAGGTAAAGGTTTAGGATGTTCTTTATCAAGTTAAGGACGTTTTTTTCTATTCATAGTTTGCTTAGAGTTTTTAATCTGGAAGAGATGTTGGATGTCATCAAGTGCTTTTTCCGTGTCTTTTGATATGATCTTGTGTTTTTTTTTCTTTTTCTTTTTTGTTTATTAATGTGGTGAATTACATTGATTGATTTTCAGATGTTAAGCTAACTTTTCAACTTCTCATTCCTGGGATAAGACCCTCTTGGTAACAATGTGTGAGTCTTTTTATATATTATTGGACTCAGTGTGTGAACATTTTGTTTAGGATTTGTACATCTCTATGAAGGATATTGATCTGCAGCTTTCCTTACTTGTCATGTCTTTGTCAGATTTCGATATGAGGGTAATACTGACCTCATAGAATGAATTGGGAATAATTTCCTCCTCTTCAATTTTCTGAATGAATTTGTATAAAATTGATATTTTTTCTTAAATGTTTGGTAGAATTCATCAGTGAAGCCATCTTGGCCCAGGGTTTTCTTTTCGGGAGGTTATTAACTGTAAATTCAGTTTCTTTCATAGATATAGTCATTCAAGTTATCCCTAATTGTGTCAACTAAAAAAGGAGCTGACTCTTTTAAGGACTTTGTTCATTTCTTCTAAGTTGTGGAATACATTAGCATAAGTGTTTTTTTTTTAACAATATCCACTTATTATCCTTTTAATATCTGAAGTATCTGTATTTTCTGTCTGTCTGTCTCTCTGTCATTCATGATGTTGGTGAATTGTGTCTTCTCTCTCTTAATAGTCTGACCAGAGGTTTGTCAATTTTATTGTTAGTCTCAGAGAACAAGCTTTTGGTTTCATTCATTTTTCTTTGTGTTTTTGTTTTCTATTGCATTGATTTTTAAGCTATGATGAATATTATTTTCTTTCTTTGGATCTCATTTTCTCTTCTTTTTCTAGTCTTTTAAGGCAGAAGCTGAAGCCATTAATTGGAAACACTTCAGTTTTCTCAGGATAGGCAATTAGTGCTGTAAAATTTTCCCCAAGTACAGCTTTAGTGGAATGCTAAAATTTTTGATACATTGTTTTCACTTTCATTCAGTTCAAAAAGCTTTGTAATTTCCCTTTTAATTTCTTCTTTGCCCATGTGTTAGTTTTTTTTTTAATTTTTTATATGTAACATATAACATGATGTTATGAGATATATATAGATAGTAAAATGGTTACTATAGTGAAGCAAATTAACATATCCATCATCTCACATAGTTACTCATGTTTTTTTTGGTTTGGCAAAAGCAGCTAAAAACTACTCATTTAGGAGGAATTTCAATACAATTTCACAGTACAGTTTTATTACTTATAGTCCTCATATTGTACATTAGATCTCTAGACTTGGTCATCTTACATATCTGCTATTTAAATACTCTGACCTGTATCTCCCCATTTCCTACCCACCCCTACCCCTGGTAACCAATGTTTTTTTTCTGTATCTCTGTGTTTTTTACTCCCCCTGCACCCCACCGCCCCAACCAGATTCCACATATAAGTGAGCTCATGTAGGGGTTTTTTTTTTTTTTTTTTTTTTTTTAACCCTGGGTCTGGTTTATTTCTCTTAGCATAATGTCCTCCAACTTCATTCATGTTGTGGCAAGTGGTAAGATTTCCTTCTTTTTAAAGGCTGAATAATAAATATTCTTTTTTTTTTTTTTTTTTTCCCCTGAGACGGAGTCTCACTCTGTTGCCCAGGCTGGAGTGCAGTGGCGCAATCTCGGCTCACTGCAACCTTCGTCTCCCGGGTTCAAGCGATTCTCCTGCCTCAGTCTCCTGAGTAGCTGGGACTACAGGCGTGCGCCACCATGCCCATCTAATTTTTGTATTTTTAGTAGAGACGGGGTTTCACCATGTTGGCCAGGATGGTCTCAATCTCTTGACCTCGTGATCCGCCCGCCTCGGCCTCTCAAAGTGCTGGGATTACAGGCGTGAGCCACCGTGCCTGGCCTAAATATTGTGTAGATATACAAGCTGACCATCCCTTATCTGAAATGCTTGGGACCAGAGTTATTTTGCATTTCAGATTTTTAAAAATTTTTGAATATTTGCGACATTGCGGGGATGGGACCCAACTCTAAACATGAAGTCCAGTTGTGTTTAATGTATATCTTATACACGTAGCCTGAAGGTAGTTCTGTTTTTCCCTTGGGGATGCTTAGTAAATTGGGTGTTGAATGCCTGCTTTTTGACTGCGACCTATCACATGCAGTCAAATGTGTGGAATTTTTCACCTGTGGTGTCATGTCGACACTCAGAACATTTCAGATTTTAGAGTATTTTGAATTAATGATTTTGGGATTAGAGCTGCTCAACCTGTATCATGGTTTCTTTATTCATTTATCCATTGACATTTTGGTTGTTTCCGTATCTTTGCTATTGTGAATAGTGCTTCAACGAACATGGAGTACAGATATCTTTATGAGGTGATTTTATTTCCTTTGGGTATATATCCAGAAGAATTGCTGAGTCATATAGTATTTCTAGTTTTAATTTCTTTAGAAATGGCCACATTGTTTTCCATTATGGCTGTACCAATTTACATGTCTACCAACAGTGCGCACTCTTTTCTCCACACCCTTGCCGACATTTATCTTTTGATTTTTTGATAATAGCCGTGCTAACACATGTGAGGTGGTATCTCATTGTGGTTTTGATTTGTATTTCCCTGACTCCTGATTTAATGATGTTGAGCACCTTTTCATATACCTGTTGGCCATTTTTACACCTTCTTTGGAGAATTCAAATCCTTTGCCCATTTTTAAATTGGGTTGTTTTTCTACTATTGAATTATATGAATTCTTTATAAATTTGGATATTAGCCCCTCACCAGATATATGGATTGCAAATGTTTTTTTCCTAATTGATAAGTTACCTTTTCATTTTGTTGATTGTTTTCTATGCTGTGCAAAAGATTTTTAGTTTTATGTAGTCTCACTTATTTGTTTTTGCTTTTGTAGTTTGAGCTTTTGGTTGAGATAATAAAAAAGAAATCATTGCCAAGGCCAATGTCCAGGAGCTTTTTTCCTAGGAATTTTATATTTCAGGTCTTACATTTAGAGTTGATTTTTGTATATGGTATAGGTTAAAGGTCTGATTTCATTCTTTTGCCTGTGGAAATCCAGTTTTCTCAGCACCATTTATTGAAGAGACTATCCTTTCCCCATTGGGTCCTTGATGCCCTTGTCAAAAATTGGTTGACTGTATATGTTTGAATTTATTTCTAGGCTCTTTATGCTGTTATACTGGTCTATGTGTCTGTCTTTTTTTTGCCAGTATCATACCTTTTTAAAAACTGATACATACTAGTTGCACATATTTCTGGGGTAAGTGTGATATTTTGATACACACATAATTTGTAACACAGGGCTGAGTGCTGTGGATCATGCCTGTAATCCCAGTACCTTGGGAGGCCAAGGCAGGAGGATTGCTCTAGCCCAGGAGTTCAAGATCAGCCATGGCAACATAGTGAGGCCCTGTCTCTATAAAAAAATTAATTAGCTGGATGTGGTGGCACACACCTGTAGCCCCAGCTACTTGGGAGACTGAGGTGGGAGGATTGCTTAAGCCTGGGAGGTTGAGACTGCAGTGAGCTATGATTGTGCCACTGCACTCCAGCCTGAGTGACAGAGTGAGACCCTATCTCAAAAAAAAAAAAAAAAAAAAAATTAAAGTCAAGAAGTGTGATGTTTCCAAGTTTGTTTTTCTTTCTCAGAAATGTTGGCTATTTGAGATCTTTTGTATTTTTACACATATATTTTAGGATTGTTTTTTCTATCTGTGAAGAATGCCATTGGGATTTTGAAAGGTATTGCATGGAATCTGTATACTGCTTTGGATAGTATATACATCTTCACAATATTAATGGACATGGGATATTTTCCATTTATTTGTGTCCCTTATGTTCCTTTTTATTCCTGAGGCATCTGTTGTAATGTCTTTACTTTCACTTTTTATTTATTTGAGTCTTCTCTTTTTTTTTTCCCTTAAACAAGCTGAAGGTTTATCAGTTTTATTTTTTCAAAAAACCTCTTAGTTTTGTTGATTCTGTCTATGGTTTTTCTGTTTTCTATTTGATTTATTTCTGTTATGATGTTTATTTCCTTTCTTCTGCTAACTTTGGGTTTATTTCTTTTTTTCGAGTTCTTGAGGCATAACGTTCAACTGTTCAGAATCTTTTTAATGTAGGCATCTATTGCTGTAAACTTTGCTCTTAGAACTGCTTTTGCTACATCCCACAGGTTTTGGCATGCTGTGTTTCCATTGTCATTTGTCTCAAGATATTTTAAAATTTCCCTTTTGGTTTCTTCTTGGCCCACTGGTTGTTCAAGAGCATGTTGTTTCATTTTCACATATTTGTAAATTTTCCAGGATTCTTCCTGTTACTGTTTTCTAGTTTCATATCATTATGATCTGAAATGATACTAGATATGATTTTGGTTTTCTAAATTTGTTAAGGCTTGTTTTCTGGCCTAACATGGACAATTTTGGAGACCATTTCATGTATGCTAGAGATAAATGTGTATACTGCTGATGTTGGATGAAAAATTTCAAATATGTCTGTTAGGCTTATTTGGTCTAAGGTGCAATTCAAACTCAGTATTTCCTTATCAATTTTCTGTCTGGTTGATATATCCTTTGTTGAAAATTGAGAATTGAAGTCCTCTATGATTATTGTATTGCTCTTTATCTCTTCATGTCCATTAATATTTGCTTTAATGTATTTAGGTGCTACAGTGTTGGGTGAATATATATTTATAATTGTTATGTTCCCTTGAAGAATTTACTCCTTTATTATTAAATAATGACCTTCTTTGTCTCTTGTGACAGAATTTGACGTGAAGTCTATTTTATTAGATATTAGTATAGCCATTCATGCTTTCTTTTGGTTACCATTTCCATAGAATATCTTATCTTCTTCCATCCCTTTACATTTGTCCTGTCTGTCCTTAAAGCTAAAGTGGGTCTCTTGTAGGCAGCATATAATTGAATTCCCCCCTTTTTTTAAATCCATGCAGCCACTCTTAGATAATTTATTTACATTCAAGATAATTATTTATAGGTAAGGACTCACTGTTTCCATTGTGTTATTTGTTTTCTGGCTGTTTTGTAGATCCTTTGTTCCTTTCTTTCTCTGTTGTTACCCTCTGTGATTTGATGATTTTCTATAACACTATGCTTTGATTTCTTTCTCTGTATTGTTTTTGTATCTGCTATACTTTTTTGTTTTGCAGGTATGATGAGGCTTACATAAAACATCTTATAGTTTTTTTTTTTTGAGAGGAGACAAATGGTTTATTTGGTAACAAGGAATAAAAAGAAATTCTTAATTCCTTGTCTCTCTTCTGATGGCTGAATGGAACTGTGGTAGTCAAATGGAAAGCAACACACAAGAATTCCCTTGCAGACCTTGATCTTTTGCAGATGTGCAAAGATGCTTGACTTATACAACTTGCAATTATTATTTTCTAGACAGAAGTGCCAGCTGTTGTGCTTTCCAGCATATCAGTGGTTGCTACATTCTCCTTGTCTTTGGGTTTTATAGCAGGAAATAGAAGTACTTCCTTGATGTTGTTGGAATCTTTTGAGAAAAATGGTGACTTGGTCAATGCCCATGCCTGTACGTATTCCAGGGCAGTACAGAAGTTTTCATCTGTGAAATGGCCTCATCATCACCTGTGGCCTTGGCTTTGGCCTGTTGTTCAAAAACCCGCTGCTGCGGCACAGGATTATTCAGCTTAGTTTAGGCATCGCTTATCTCTTTCTTCATGACAAGCAGCTCAAAGTGCTTGGACAGATTCTCTTTAGAGCGGTGCCATTTGCCATAGCGCTCATTATCTGTGGATGATCACAGATTAATGTAGGATTGATGCAAATCATTTCCAGGAACTCCCCTACAAGCTTGTCAAGGAGCCTGGCTGTGGTCCAAGGTAGAGGGCATTCAACAGCTTTTGCCACACAGATATCATTAAGAAGTTTGCAAGTTTCATCAGTTTCAAAGAGGTTAGTTTCTGGCAGCTTTACCCCCCAGGGCTTTCTCAAGTTCTTCTACCATGCTGATTCTCTGGAAGGGTGGGGTGAAGTCAGTATCATAGGCCTGGCCCTATGGGCCATCTGGGTGGTAGCTGACCTTGTAACTGCCTGTAATATGCTTTACCATCCCTGAAACCATCTTCTCTGTGATTTCCAAGAGATTGTGGTAGTCTGCATAGGCCATATAGAACTCGCAGGTGGTGAACTCAGGATTGTGCCTCAAATCAATCCCTTCATTCTGGAACTGGCATCCAGTTTCATAAATCTGCTTGGTGCCACCAACCACTAGCATCTTATGATAGAGTTCCGGAGCAATTCTCATGTCCAGCGCATTGTCATAAGTGATGAAAAGCTTGGCCACAGCTCCCCCGGGATGATGTTCACCATGGGAGTTTCAATCTTTAGGAATCCCAGTTCATCCAAGAAACTTCTTATACATGTGATGATCTTAGAGCAGATGATAAATTTCTGCCTCACAAAATCATTTAGTATCAAGTCCAAGTATTTCTGATGATACCTTGTTTCCTGGTCTTTGAGGCCACAGTGAAGATGAGGTAACATATGCATGTGGGGAGACAGCAGTGTGATCTCATAAGGAATGATGCTCAGCTCACCCTTCTTGGTTTTCCCAGGGTTCCCCTGAACTCCAATTATGTCTCCTTGATGCAGTTTCTTACTAATATGAATAAATTCTTCTGATTTATAATTTCTGGGATTCACCATGACTTGCAACTTGACCCCCTCTCCTTGAAGGTCATAGAAGATGAACTTTCCCTCAGAAGCTCTTTTAGCATGGATCCTACCTGCCACCTTTAAGGTGACATCATTCAGGTGACCCCCAGGCTGCTGGTGACTATATTCTTGGATGAAGTCATTGAATGAGATGTCTGCATGGAACTTGTGTGGGTATGGGTGTTCCCCATTGACATTCAGTTGATAAACTGCCTGACTATGGATCTTGTAGTGTTGATTTGGGTCCAGGCTCTTCTCCTCAGTACCCACACCACTGTCAGTGGTATGGTTGGTGACAGCAGCTGTGGCCTGGTTTAACTTTCTCACTGAGTTCTTCCTGCTTGGCCTCCTTCTCTGCCACTTTCTTCTTGGCTTTCAGGGATCTCTTCAGCTCATTCTTGCTCAGTTTTGGCTTGCTGCCATCCACTTTCACCTCAGCCCCCTGTACCACTGCCACCTTTCCAGAAGGCTCCACCCAAAAGTCCATCTTATAATTGACTATTTTAAGCTGATAACAACTTAACTTCTGCCACATACAAAAACTCTAGACTTTTACGCACTCCTCAGATTTACATCTTTTTATATTATATGTTCCTTAACAACTTATTTTAGCTTTAGTTATTTTTGACTGAATTGACTTTTAACCTTCGTACTAGAGATATGTATGATTTACACACTGTTTACAGTATCGGAGTATTCTGGATTTGATTATGTATTTACCAGTGAGTTTTATACTTCAATATGTACTCATAATATTAATGACCATTCTTTTATTTCCACTTGAAGAACTCCCTGAAGCATTTCTTGTAAGGCAGGTCCAGTGGTGATGAATTCTCTCAGTCTTTGCTTATCTGGGAAATACTTTATTTCTCCTTAATTTCTGAAGGGCAGTTTTTTCTGGGTGTAGTATTTTTGACTGGCAGTTTTTTTCTTTCAGTACTTTGAATATATTATTCCATTCTCTCCTGGCCTGCATGGTTTCTACAGAGAAATCTAATAGTCTAATGGGGATTCCCTTATATGTGACTTGATGCTTTTCTTTTGCTGCTTTTAAAACTCTCTGTCTTTGACTGACAGACTAATTATAATGTACATTGGAGAATAGCTTATTGGATTAAATCTGTTTGGAGACTTTTAAGCTTCATGAATCTGATGTCCATATATCTTCCAATACTTGGGAAATGATGAGTTAATGGGTGCAGCACACCAACATGGCACATGTATACATATGTAACTGACTTGCACGTTGTGCACATGTACCCTAGAACTTAAAGTATAATTAAAAAAAAAAAAAAGAAAGTGCTTCAGAGAAACAGACCTCAGCTTTGTGGGAGAACTGTATCCACTTTTGCCTTGGAAAGTGAACCAACAGCTCAAGTCATAGTGTTTCAGTAATTTTGTAAGACCCCGGGCCTAGGAATTCTGGACCTCAGCATTTATTTCATTAAATAAGCTTTCTGTCCCTGTCTTTGTCTCCTCTCCATCTGAATATCCCATAATGTATTTGTTCACTTAGTAGTGTCCCATAAGTCCCATGGGCTGTCTTCACTCTTTTTCACTCTGTTTTCTTTTTCTTTCTTTTTTCTTTTCCTTTCTTCCTTCCTCCCTTCCCCCCGCTTTTCCTTCCTTCATCTCCTCTCCTCCCCTCCCCTCCCTTCCCCTCCTCTCTTCTCTCCTGTTTCTGTTTCTGTTTCTTTTGACTGGGTAATTTCAGAAGAGCTATCTTCAAGTTCAGATATTTTTGGTTTTGCTTGATCTCATCTATTTTTGAAGCTCTGTCTTGTATTTTTTATTTCATTGACTGCATTCTCCAGTTCCAAGATTTCTATTTGGTTCTTTTTTATGATATCTATCTGCTTGTTGAATCTCTGAGGTTATAAATTGTTTTCCTGTTTTCATTGAATTTTCTATCTGTATTCTCTTATATCTTGCTGAATTTCCTTAAGACTGTTTTTTTGAGTTCCTTTTTAGGCCATTTGTAAATATCCATTTCTTTGGGGTCAGTTACTGGGGAATTATTATGTTCCTTTGGTGGTGTCATGTTTCTTTGCTTTTTCATTTGTGTGTGTTTGTGTGTGTGTTTGTGTTCTGATGCTGATTTCTGTGCATTTGATAGAGCAGTCACCTCTTCCAAACTTTACAGAGTGGCTTTTTTAGGGGAAGACTTTCCCCTGCAGATGGGCCTGAAGATATTGGTTGGGCACGTTGGAGCAGTGGTGTAGTCTCTGTGTAGCTACAGCTTCTTTAGTTATGATCAATTTCAGCAATGACTACAGGTGTCTTGGTGGTCTAGGCTGCAGGAGTTTGTGTCAGTGATGGTGGCAGCATAGGTTATTAGGATCCTCAGTGGCCAAAGCTTCAGGGATCCTCCTGTTCTTGTCTTTCCCACAATGGAGAGTCTTAGATGAGGGTATCTCTCTTGATGTCTAGTCTGACACAGCCCACAGGCAGATGCAGCAGCACGGGGATCTGGGGCACAGGTCCAGAATTCCTAGGCCCGGGGTCTTACAAAATTACTGAAACACTATGACTTGAGGTGTTGGTTCACTTTCCAAGGCAAAAGTGGATACATTTCTCCCACAAAGCTGAGGTCTGTTTCTCTGAAGCACTTTTTTTTTAAATTATACTTTAAGTTCTAGGGTACATGTGCACAACGTGCAGGTTAGTTACATATGTATACATGTGCCATGTTGGTGTGCTGCACTCATTAACTCATCATTTACATTAGATATATCTCCAAATGCTATCCCTCCCCGCTCCCCCCACCCCACGGCAAGCCCCGGTGTGTGATGTTCCCCACCCTGTGTCCAAGTGTTCTCATTGTTAATTTCCCACCTATGAGTGAGAACATGCGGTGTTTGTTTTTCTGTCCTTGTGGTAGTTTGCTCAGAATGATGGTTTCCAGCTTCATCCATGTCCCTACAAAGGACATGAACTCATCCTTTTTTATGGCTGCATAGTATTCCATGGTGTATATGTACCACATTTTCTTAATCCAGTCTATCATTGATGGACATTTGGGTTGGTTCCAAGTCTTTGCTATTGTGAATAATGCCGCAGTAAACATACATGTGCATGTGTCTTTATAGCAGCATGATTTGTAATCCTTTGGGTATATACCCAGTAATGGGATGGCTGGGTCAAATCATATTTCTAGTTCTAGATCCTTGAGGAATCACCACACTGTCTTCCACAATGGTTGAACTAGTTTACAATCCCACTAACAGTGTAAAAGTATTCCTATTTCTCCACATCCTCTCTAGAACCTGTTGTTTCCTAACTTTTTAATGATTGCCATTCTAACTGGTGTGAGATGGTATCTCATTGTGGTTTTGCTTTGCATTTCTCTGATGGCCAGTGATGATGAGCATTTTTTCATGTGTCTTTTGGCTGCATAAATGTCTTCTTTTGAGAAGTGTCTGTTCATATCCTTTGCCCACTTGTTGATCGGGTTGTTTGTTTTTTTCTTGTAATTTTGTTTAAGTTCTTTGTAAATTCTGGATATTAGCCCTTTGTCAGATGGGTAGATTGTAAAAATTTTCTCCCATTCTGTAGGTTGCCTGTTCACTCTGATGGTAGTTTCTTTTGCTGTGCAGAAGGTATTTAGTTTAATTAGATCCCATTTGTCAATTTTGGCTTCCGTTGCCATTGCTTTTGGTGTTTTAGACATGAAGTCCTTGCCCATGCCTATGTCCTGAATGGTATTGCCTAGGTTTTCTTCTAGGGTTTTTATGGTTTTAGGTCTAACATTTAAGCCTTTAATCCATCTTGAATTAATTTTTGTATAGGGTGTAAGGATGGGATCCAGTTTCAGCTTTCTACCTGTGGCTAGCCAGTTTTCCTAGCACCATTTATTAAATAGGGAATCGTTTCCCCATTTCTTGTTTTTGTCAGGTTTGTCAAAGATCAGATGGTTGTAGATGTGTGGTATTATTTCTGAGGGCTCTGTTCTGTTCCATTGATCTATATCTCTGTTTTGGTACCATACCATGCTGTTTTGGTTCCTGTAGCCTTGTAGTATAGTTTGAAGTCAGGTAGTGTGATGCCTCCAGCTTTGTTCTATTGGCTTAGGATTGACTTGGCAATGCAGGCTCTTTTTTGGTTCCGTATGAACTTTAAAGTAGTCTTTTCCAATTCTGTGAAGAAAGTCATTGGTAGCTTGATGGAGATGACATTGAGTCTATAAATTACCTTGGGCAGTGTGGCCATTTTCACGATACTGATTCTTCCTATCCATGAGCATGGAATGTTCTTCCATTTGTTTGTGTCCTCTTTTATTTAGTTGAGGAGTGGTTTGTAGTTCTCCTTGAAGAGGTCCTTCACATCCCTTGTAAGTTGGATTCCTAGGTATTTTATTCTCTTTGAAGCAATTGTGAATGGGAGTTCACTCATGATTTGGTTCTCTGTCTGTTATTGGTGTATCGGAATGCTTGTGATGTTTGCACATTGATTTTGTATCCTGAGACTTTGCTGAAGTTGCTTATCAGCTTAAGGAAATTTTGGGCTGAGACAATGGGGCTTTCTAAATATACAGTCATGTCATCTGCAAACAGGGACAATTTGACTTCCTGTTTTCCTAATCGAATACCCTTAATTTCTTTCTCCTGCCTGATTGCCCTGGCCAGAACTTCCAACACTGTGTTGAATAGGAGTGGTGAGAGAGGGCATCCCTGTCTTGTGCCAGTTTTCAAAGGGAATGCTTCCAGTTTTTGCCCATTCAGTATGATGTTGGCTGTGGGTTTGTCATAAAAAGCTCTTATTATTTTGAGATACATCCCATCAATACCTAATTTATTGAGAGTTTTTAGCATGAAGGGCTGTTGAATTTTGTTGAAGGCCTTTTCTGCATCTATTGAGATAATCATGTGGTTTTTTGTCTTTGGTTGTGTTTATGTGCTGGATTACGTTTATTGATTTGCATATGTTGAACCAGCCTTGCATCCCAGGGATGAAACCAACTTGATCATGGCGGATAAGCTTTTTGATGTGCTGCTGTTTTTGGTTTGCCAGTATTTTATTGAGGATTTTTGCATCGATGTTCATCAGGGATATTGGTCTAAAATTCTCTTTTTTTCTTGTGTTCTCTGCCAGGCTTTGGTATCAGGATGATGCTGGCCTCAAAAAATGAGTTATGGAGGATTCCCTCTTTTTCTATTGTTTGGAATAGTTTCAGAAGGAATGGTATCAACTCCTCTTTGTACTTCTGGTAGAATTTGGCTGTGAATCCATCTGGTCCTGGACTTTTTTTGGTTGGTAGCCTATTATTGCCTCAATTTCAGAGCTTGTTATTGGTCTTTTCAGGGATTCACCTTCTTCCTGGTTTAGTCTTGGGAGGGTGTATGTGTCGAGGAATTTATCCATTTCTTCTAGATTTTCTAGTTTATTTGTGCAGAAGTGTTTATAGTATTCTCTCATGGTAGTTTGTATTTCTGTGGGATCGGTGGTAATATCCCCTTTATCATTTTTTATTTCATCTATTTGATTCTTCTCTCTTTTCTTCTTTATTAGTCTTGCTAGCGGTCTATCAATTTTATTGATCTTTTCAAAAAACCAGCTTCTGGATTCATTGATTTTTTTGAAGGTTTTTTTTGTGTCTCTATCTTCTTCAGTTCTGCTCTGATCTTAGTTATTTCTTCCCTTCTGCTAGCTTTTGAATGTGTTTGCTCTTGCCTCTGAAGCACTTTCTAACAGCTTACACCCAGGGGGCAGGAATATAGCTGTGGCTCTGACCATGGAGGGCAGTGTGCAGAACTGGCATGGCTCCAGGGAAGAAGGGGAGCCTCAAAGGTTCAGGCCCCAGGGAATAGGGCACAGCTGCAATTTGGGACCTAGAATCAACAGGGCACAGTGGCAACTTGAGCCCTGGGAGATGAGATGTCACACACTAATTACTCTTGATGCTGGGATGGTGACACTCAGCAATAGCCCAGGTTCTGTGCAGCCAGGTGCAGCACTGTCAAGAACCCAGAAATGGCAAGGCACAGATACGGCCCAGGGGACAGGGAGCAGTACAGCCTCAGTCTACTGCCTCGGGAGGTGGGGCTCCTCAGCAGCTCAGATTCTGAGTTCCTAGTCCTGTTCTAGGGAGGAAAGGCCCTTTGGCCATTTGACCTGTAGGGCAGAGGCACAGCTCATCCAAGGCTGTGATTCCCTGGAAGTAAGATGCCGTATCAGCTTGGCCCTAAAATATACAGCTACGTGGGTTGGAGGAGGTGCTAGGTCCCTGAGAGGCAGGGTACAGTGTCGGCTATGGCACTGGGTAGGACATCTTCTCTGGTGTGCTGGAGGGTTGGGGCATCCAGGAGGATAGGATGTTGCATGGGTGTGGTGTCTGGGGGTAGTTTGATGCTGTGGGTCCCCAGTGAGAGCATCACTTCAGCTCAGGCCTTGAAGGGCAGGGTACACCAATGTCTGGGATGCAGGGGATGGAGCAGCTTCAGGGTAACTTGGAGCATAGCAGTAGCTAAATTCAGGGATTGGGGGCTACCAGGTAGCTGTGCTGCAGTGATGGCAAAGCCTCCAGGATGGAGGGGTGCAATGACTACCCATCCCTGGAACAGGATGCACTGGAGCAGTGGCTCTGGTTACAACACAGTAGCAGCTCAGGCAGGGGACTGGGGTAAGGCACAGTGTCGGTTTGTTCTCTGGGAGTAGCACAGAATGTGTACTCTGGGGAGCTCCCTCAGCTGGGCTCAGAGCCTGTGAGGACTGCAGGAATCTCTGGTAGCAAAGACTGCAGGTATCCATAGTAGTGATGCGAGCTGGTAGTGTCCTTCTGCTTACCTTTTTCCTGCAGAGAGAAATACCTCCTGGGTCCAAGCTGATCCCCAAATAGGGGCTGAGATCATCCTTGGCAGAGGCAAAGTTTCCTTTCCTTCTCTATGTGGCCATCCTGGGTTTCTGTGCTCTACAGGATTTCTCCTACTCCTTTGCAGTTCTCCAGGGCTCTCCTTTATTTATTTTGGTGGAAATGTCGTTTTTTCATTTGTTTGGCTTGGTTTTTTTATGGGGGAGGAGTGCTAGGAACTTCAAGTCAGCCATCTTACTGATACCACTTAGCAATGATCCCATGTGCTATGTAGAATTATGCTGTTTAGTCTCTAAATATTTGGAGATTTTCCAAAGATCTTTTTATTACTAATTTCTAATTTAATTTAATTTTGGTCGGAGAACACACTTTGTATGGCTTGAATCTTTGTGAAACGTATCTAGTGTTTTAAAAAATGACTATGTATATGTGTATCATTTAAGAAAATAATAGTATGTACTGTATATACTATTTTGTATATACAGAATGTTTTCTTACCTTTTTTTATTTGCAGACCATACTTTTGTATGTACAGACCATTTTCATAAAGCAACATATTGTGGACATTTCCTTATGTAAAATATTTTCTAAAGCATGACTTTAAAAAAATAACTTTTTTGCAGAACTAATATATTTTTGTCATTCAGAAATCAAAACAATATAAAAAGATATACATTGAGAAATTATATATTCACCCCTATTTTCATTCATGTTAATTCTCACAGTATTAGTTTCAGGGGAATCTGTCTTGCATTTTTCTATACAAACACAAGCAAATATACATGTATACTCTTATTTTTGTACCCTTACACAAAAAGTGAACAACATGACACTTAGTCATTGAATATGGATATGTATAATTATTTCATACATATTGATGAATTTTTCCAATTTTAAGAAAAGCTGAATATCTTCTCTGTGCTGAGCACTGTGCTGGCCAGTGCTGTAGATTTAGTTTTGATAACAGCTATATTGGATCATAGAAACATCAGCCCACTTTATAAATGATTGGCTTTATATAAGCTACGTAAGCTGATGTTTTATATATGTATTTTTCTTTTGATGTCTTCAAAGAACCTTATTTTATTCATCTTTGTATTCTTGGTGCTGAGCATATAGTAGGTCCTTAATAAATATAGCTGTGTGAATAAATTAATTTTTTAGTTCAGTTAGTTCGTGTTGTAAATAATGAGGACTTTGGTGCTAAATATTTTCACCCTTCATGTCCATTATATCTAACTACAGAATGTTACATGGTAAATAGGGGAAAGTTTAGCAGATGAGCACGTAGTTGCAGTGAGGAGGTTAGTCATGCTTCCTTTGAAATCTTGTGTTGTGATGTGGTAGAAAAATCAAATTCAGGGGCATGTTATGGGCCTAGATGTAGATTCTTTCTGAGCTATTTTGTGGGGTGATGAAATGGTAATGAAATGTCAAGTGAAAGTACTCTAACATAGGCTTTACCAGTGAGGATGTAGTAAGTACTGGGTTCCTTTCTCCCTTATTCTTCAGATTTGCCTCTAGGCCCAGCAGGTAATTTGAGTGTAAACTCAGGAGCCTATTCATATCCACCAAATCCACACTATACAGCCTGGTGTCCAGGGTACACAGCAGAGATAGGAGTTTGCAGGTGAGGATGAGACTTGAATAATTCTCCCGTACCTGGTTCTCATTGGCTGAGGGACTGGGCATGGTGCTTTACCTATAATCCTCACAAACCATACTCAATAAGTATTATTATCTTTATTTTGAAAATAAGGAAACTACAAATCTGCGTGTTCTGCACATGTATCTCAGAACTTAAAGTATAATTTAAAAAATTTAAAAAAGAAAATAAGGAAACAGACCTGAAAGAGTCAAAATGCTTGTCTAAGGACATGGATAAAAGACAGGATGAAAAATCACAGTAGGTCTGTCTGGCTTCAAAGACTTTTTTTTTTCCTCCATTATATTATGCTGCTTTTTGGGATACTAAGAAAACATCAACAGTTTTGAAGGATTTATTATAATAGAATCTGACCTATGCTTAATTTTCTAGAATTTTAATTTTAACTTTTATATGTATGAAAATTTGAGTTCATGAAGGGAGAAAATTATAATTTAGATAACTATGATAAAATTACTTTAAAGCCTTTGAATATGGCTGGGCAAAAAATAGTACATATTTTTTGAAAACAAATATTGGTTAGGAATTGAATCAGGGATTTAGGCCAGTATGAACTACATGTTTTTATCTTTACATAGAAAAGGAATCTTAGAATATAGGATCAAGCTCTTTGGGATTATTTTGACATCGGTTTATTATTATGTGGACTCCTGGAAGGTAGCATTTTGTGCCTGAAAACATTGAAGTTGGGGATTTCTCTCGTGTACTGTGCTATGTTTATATTAGGTTATGCATGGCAGTTTGGCACTTTGTTTTGCAGATGTTCGTAATGTACAGTCTTGAATCTTGTTTCTATTTCTGGCGTGCTTTTAAGTATGACTCATGTTTTCTTGAGGCCATTCTAAAAATACAGCTAGTTTCAAGCATTAATGTAAAATATACCACAGATACCACATAGCACTGCATGATGCTTTCTTTCAGTAGTTTAGTGCAATTTCCTGACAAATTAAATATAGACATGCTTTTTGGTAAAATACGCTATACTAAAACATGAATAAGTGAAAGTTGGATTTTCTTTGAGAAGTAGATCCTCTGATAACATAATATTCATTACAAAATAACTTTGAAATTTTAATAAAAGGAATAAAACATACCATTGATACCACCAAAAAGAAGTAGAACTAATGGCTGGAACAGCAAGTCTGCTAAATTTGATGTAGCCCTGAGAGGTCCACACTTGTAGGGAAAGTCTTGCACCTGAAGCTGGACACCTGTTGAAAAGCTTTTGGAGGGACTGTAGAACATAATGACTGAAATACAAGTTTTGGACTTAAACAACTTAGGTATAAATCTTGGTTTATGGACTTAGCAGCTATAGACAAATGATACTACATTTCCAATTTTGATTTTCTTATTGTAAAATGGGAGTAATGAGTATTTAACAAACACAGCATTTACTGTTATTAGACACTGTTCTAAGTGCTTAATATAATCCTCATAACAACTTTATAAGTAAGTACAATTGTATCTATTATACAGATGAGGAAACTGAGCAGAGAGGTTAAATAACTTGATTAAGGTTACATAGCTAGTAAATAGTAGAGTTGGAATTTGAACCCAGCCAATCTGTCTTGAATCTGTGTCTTTATACAATAGGTCTGCTGCTTTCTAGAATTGTTATGAGATCCTATGTGAAAAATCGTTTGTATGTTTACCTGGTACCTGATAGGAATGCAATAAATTATAGCCATTATTAGTATTGTTATTGAGGGAGAATAAAAGCAGGGAAAATGTATTTTCTTTGTGAAGGTATGCCATAGACTACAAGGCCAGCCATGGGATTCAGAAGTAGCTTATATGTATTAAGAAACTTATGTAAAATTGGAATGTGATGATGAGAGCCTTAGATATCCTGACAACTCCTACAGACTTACTCTAAAGGTAGAACTTATTCTCTACTGATTTCCTCGCTAAAAGTTTTATCTTTCAGAAGGTAAAGGAAATAGAGAGAAACTCTTTCTCTGGGCTTAATTGTGACAAACTCATTAGTGGTGTGCAGGCAACAGAGGCCTTGAGAAAAAATAATGACTACACAATATTTCTCAACTATGGTGCCATTGACATACTGGGCAGGATGAGACCATCTTGGTCATTGCATTTACCATCACAAAATATCAGTGGTGTACCAAATTATTTCTCATTTCCCAAAGCTTTACAACAACCCAAAGTACTCCCAGACATTTTCCAAATGCCTCCTGGCAGGCCTAGAATGGTAGCAGTATGGTCACCAGTTGAGAACCACTGCTGAGTGCTAAGAATAAAGGAAGGACTGAGACTAGTCAGATGTGCCTTAAGGCAGTGTTTCTCAGTACATGTGCATCATGCTGAAGTGGAAGACACTCCCAGGAGCATAAACATGATTATACATAATTCCCAGGGCTCTAGCTTTAAATAACTCCATGCTTTTCTCTTCTACTTAAGAAAGTACACTGCTGTACAAATGTCTCTATTATGGCTATAACCTCAATTCTGCTCCAGTTTGCTTCAAAAAATGAAAAGATAAGTTATTCCTAAACATCAGCACTTTATTATACAGACAATTTATGAGGGGCAGGCCTCACATTTGATTAGGAACTGCTACCTTAGATTTTAAAAAATCTTGAAAATGATTATGGTTCCAAGGTCAAAACATTCAAAACAAACTGGAAGTATAGAACTAAATTGAGACTCCATAATTATAAACAGTTACCAATAGTCATAAATAATAAAAGGTGGGAGGAAGTTAAAGAAACCAACTTGGCTTGAACTTCTAGAACTTTACAAATTTTGGATTTTAAATTATCAAGTCCAGATAATGGAAGGTCAGGCACATTGCCAAAGTTGAATACAAAGTGACACAAAACTGTGAGAGTACTATAGAGAATGCCTGTGGCCAAATTAAGCTGAGATTTATGAAAATGTAAAGAAAAAACCCAAAGTGTTTTTAAGTTTTTAATTATATGTTTGATATCAGAGTAGGAAGAGGTAATAGATTTACAGCATAGAGAACATTGTGTAGTTTTACTAATAAAGAAGTTAAGGTGTCTTAACTCTTATTTTGTTTCATCCTTAAACAGCAAGGAGGCTGACTTGTCTTGAAGCAAGAAAGAATAGACTGTATATTATAAAGATTGATTTAAGCTTCAAGTAGAAAAGAAAATAGGTAAAAGGGCATGTGATAGTTATAAATAAGATTAACTCTCTAGACTCAGGCCAGTTGCATGCTAGCATCATGAAACTACCTAATAGATTGCTAAAAAGTATAGGTTCTTAGAGCAGTATTTTTCAATCTACTTTTCTTTATTACTCTCCTGCGGATATTTTCTCCCTGTTATTATTCCTTCCTAACCCCAAGAAACTTGAATACCATAGATATGTTATATATCTGCTTATGTACTGTGTCCTTTTAGAGATGGAGTCTCACTTTGTCGCCCAGGCTGGAGTGCAGTGGCGTGATCTTAGCTCACTGCAACCTCTGCCTCCCCTGTTCAAGTGATTCTTCAGCCTCAGCCTCCTGAGTAGCTGGGACTACAGGCTTCGCCATGTGGGCCAGGCTGGTCTTGAACTTCTGACCTCAGGTGATCCACCTGCCTCGGCCTCCCAAAGTGCTGGGATTACAGGCGTGAGCCACCATGCCTGGCCGAGGACCACAAACTATTGTAACATCTAAACATTTTTTTCAAGTCCCCCTTCCAGGAACCAACTTTTATCCCGCTAGGGATGCATGTCTTAGGGATTTTATCCTGCTAGGGATGAATGTCTTAGAGGATTTGTAAAAACAAGAGAGAAACCAAACAGTTCTACTTGAAGTAATGAGTCTCAGACATATGGGCATTTGTTTTGGGGAGATTATAATATGCTTTAGTGTGACTCCAGTGACATGATAAACCAAACAATTTACCCAAAACCTTGTCCTTGATCTTCCTATCAGAATAATGAAAATCAGAAAATTATCTTTTCCAAAGATTAAATGTTTGCTTTCTTTGGGGCAGGGGAGTACAGGAGAGACTATCCTAACAATATTGTGCTGTCAGAGGAGGAGAAGCACTAGAAGCACTAGATATTTAGTCCTAGGCTTTCTTAGTTGGATCTTTGAACTAATCCGTGACCTCAGTGGGGTGATTAAACAAAGTTTAGCACGTGTGGAATATTTGCTACATACAAAAGACATTATGTAATACAGATGTCTGTGTCTGTCTGTATAAAATGCAACATAATAAACACTGTAACCCACATCTAATGTAAAAACTAGAATATTACCAATATCCTTGAAGCTATACATAAGAATCTCTTTGATTCCATGGCCACTCCTTACCCCCAGGTATCCAGTTATCATCAACTTACAATTCCCTTGCTGTTTTGCTTTTTCAAGTACTGTTTTATCACATATATATCTATTTCTAAAGAATTCATTTGCTAGTTTACTGAGATTTATTAAAATGGTATTATACATGATTTATTCTTATTTTTTTTCACTCAATATTATACCTTTAAGGGTTAAGCATATCATTGGAAGTGGGGGTCTTTTATTCTGTTTTTGTTGCTGTATAATATTTCATTCTGTGTATTTATTCATTGTTCTGTCTCCAGTTTTATTTTGGACAGTTCTGCTCTGAGTATTATACATGTCTCTTGATGTACAAGGTTATGAGTTTTTCTTTTATACCCAGGAATGGACTCACTGGGTGATTTACATATGAGCAAAACCAAACTAATTGTATTAATTTAAACATTTTAGAAAATGCTGAGTTAGAAGATGAGCACATTGATGGGGTGATTTAATAGTAGACCTGGAAGGGCGTTGCATGGGGTGGTCTTCTATTCACAAAAGAATTTGGTATAGAAGAATAGACTTAAATAGTTAATTCTAAAGAAGTAGTTTTAAGTCTACATCAAATTTTCTAACCATGATCTTACAACCCATTACCAACTTAAGTTGTAGTATGCTTTTCTCAGATTTTTTAAGACTATGATAATCATTAACTATCTGGGATGATTTGATCATATCTCTCTTTTAGAACAAAAAGATTGGACTATAAAATTGTGATTAATCAAATCAGTTCCTCAAATCATCCTTGAAGATCGCTTTTATTTCGTTAGGAACAGTTATAGGTTATTATTCAAATGTTATGGAAAGCTTTCAAGTAAGGAATATGTAATTCTTTGTGATATTATAAACTTAATCTTGTTTTAGCATCGACAATAATGGTTTTATTGTAAAACTATGTGAAAATTCAGCAGGTGTCTACATGTTTGTCCAGATAAACATATGCATATGTTTATATATATTTATATACATATGTTTATAAATACACAGATAAACACATATTTTATATACGTTATATATATATATAAATATGTCCACATTACTTGGAGATTTATATTATAAGTAATACTTAAATTTGCACTTCATTTTCTCTTTTTTCTTTATAGTTTCAGACTCTCTGGCTCAATCTGTAGTTCAGCATCTAAGATGGATAATGCAGAAGGATCTTTTGGGGCAAGATGTTTTTCTAATAGGACCTCCTGGGCCTCTTCGACGCTCTATTGCTATGCAGTACTTGGTGAGCAGTTAATTCTTGTCAATTTCTAAGGGTCTTAACTTTGTAAGCTATGAAATAAAATAAGATTAAGAATTTATAAAAAATATCAGAATTAGTCATTATTTGAAACAAATGCTGACATCAAAGGGTGATTTGTTTATAAAGTGTTTGGCATAAGTTATTTGGGAGTCAAATGTATAGCTTTAGCAAATTTTCATAGCTGTAGCAAATTTTTACTGTAACTAGAAAGTCCCCCACTTCCAGTAGAAAAGAGATATAAATTCAGGCAATGAGTAGCAGATAGAATCAGCAAGTCTGAAATTACAAAGCAAAACTTGGTATTATACTGCTTAGTGAACATTCCCTTATCTCAGGCTCACATTTTAAAAAGCCAAACAATTCCCTTGACTTTTGGAAGTTATGCAGTCTTTAAAGGAAGCCTAAGGTCTGTAGAGTATCTCTTCTGTGTTATATATCTCCTTGTTTTTTCTTTAAATAGATGAGAAAACAAGTTCACAGAGGTTAAATAACTCACTCAAGCTTTATCCAGCTGGTAAATAATAGAGCTAGAGTTGAAATCCCATGTTTCCCCTTTCTGACATGTTGTCCTCTTAAACATTTGCAGTTCTTTGAGAACTGTTGTTAAGTGAACTGAAGCTCAAATCTCAACCCAAATAAGAAAATTTACAAGTCTTGACCAGGCACAGTGGCTCACACCTGTAATCCCAGCCCTTTGGGAGGCTGAGGTGGGTGGATCACCTGAGGTCAGGAGTTCGAGACCAGCCTGGCCAACATGGTGAAACCTCGGCTCTACTAAAAATACAAAAATTAGCAGGGTATGGTGCTAGGCGCCTGTGATCCCAGCTACTCGGGAGGCTGAGGCAGGAGAATTGCTTGAAGTTGGGAGGTGGAAGTTGCAGTGAGCCAAGATCGTGCCATTGCACTCCAGCCTGGGTGGCAAAGTGAGACTCCGTCTCAAAAAAAAAAAAAAAAAAAGAAAGAAAATGTACAAATGTTTTCCGCTATTTTGTCAGTATTGGTAGGCATTACCCTAATGATTAATGAAAGAATGCCACCAGATGAAGCTGTGTTCTGAAGACATTTTTTAGGATGAAGAGAAAAACCTTATTTAAAGATTCCTTGTATTATTTGCTATGAAATGATTGATTTCAATGCTATTGAAATCTACCTTGTACACTCTTTTATTTCAGTGGCGAATCTTCTTTGGTACTTCAAAAATCATGTGGGGCAGAAATAATAAATACATGAATAAATCAGAGCCTAACTCGCACTAGCTCATTTATCTTTTATTTATCCCTAGAACTAGTTTGTGAGGTAAAACGTGCCACTGTAGAGCCATCCTCACTTTATTAATATGTAAGGTAAAAGTGTCTTATCTAAGAATGCGAAGTCAGCTACTGAGAATTACAGATCTAGAGCCATTTTTGTTGTTGTTTTTTTTTTTTGTTTTTTTTGAGATGGAGTCCCACTTTGTCGCCCAGGCTGGAGTGCAGTGGCTTGATCTTGGCTCACTGCAACCTTTGCCTCCTGGGTTCAAGTGATTCTCCTGCCTCAGCTTCTCATTAGCTGGGACTACTGACGCATGCCACCACACCCGGCTAATTTTTCATGTTTTTAGTAGAAATGGGTTTCACCATATTGGGCAGGCTGGTCTCCAACTCCTGACCTTGTGATCCATCTGCCTCGGCCTCCCAGAGTGCTGGGATTACAGCCACCGTGCCCGGCCAAGCCTTTTTAATTTTAAGATGTGCACTTGCTACCTTGCTTATTTCAAAGACCACAATATCTCACTGAGATTTTGTTTTTGGCAAGGCTTTGAAGCTTATTGAGAATGTGAAATGAGAAGGGCTAAGAGATTATGAGAAGCCTCGTTGGTTCAAAAATGCAACATAGATTTGTAAGTGTGAAACCTGTATCTTTAAAAAAGAAACCAACAACACCCCCAACTTTAAATTGTGGAATGGAGCTGAGGCAACCATAGGCTGTGGATATACATAAGAAAACTTAATACTAGCTTAAGCCTCCTTGCAGTGAGTACTATTGCCCCTAAGAATAACAGCCTATGTATAGTGATAGCCAGAGTGGATGAGATCTTTAAAGGCAGAAAATCTGGGGCAAGCATGGTAAACCATGAGAAAATAAATAGGAATAATTTCATAGTTGTGTTTATTTTATACTTATATAAAAGGACTTTTGTAGTTTGTTCAAAAAAATCATACCACTGCTGCCTCCTCCATCTGCTGCTCCTGGGGCTGTTTGTGAATGTACTCATGCCTCTTTCGTGAATCAGCACCTGGGGAGACTTTGGTGCTTGTCACGGCCAATGAAGAACAAAGGAAGCTGAGGATAATGATCATGTAGCAGTTCAGGGTGTAACTCTGTGCAGTTTAACAATAAGAGGCATATATAACTTTGTCAACTAATGGAAGCCTATTGTAATGACAGGGTTTTTCATTGAGGGAGATCACTTCCAGCCAGTCAATGAAGCAGACATGAAGATACTAGTGATGTGTTCCAGAAGCAAGAAGTAATACCTGCCAACAAGAGAAATTGCCACTTTACTCCAAAATTGTGCTCTCTCAGCCAATTCATTTGTTTTTAGGGAAACATCCTTAGGTATCACCACATCTTTGCCACTAGTCGGTGTTTTCTCTATTTAAAAATTTTTCCTCCTTTTAGACTGGGTGCGGTGGCTCATGCCTATGATCCCAACACTTTGGGAGGCCCAGGTGGGCAGATCACTTGAAGTCAAGAGTTCGAGATCAGTCTGGCCGACATGGTGAAATCCCGTCTGTACTAAAAAATACAAACATTAGCCAGGCATGGTGGCATATGCCTATAGTCCCAGCCACAGCCACTCTGGAGGCTGAGGCACAAGAATTGCTTGAACCTGGGAAGCAGAGGTTGCAGTGAGCTGAGATCGCACCACTGTACAACAGCCTGGGTGACAGAGTGAGACTATCTCAAAAAAAAAAAAAAAAAATTTTTTTCCTCCTTTACGTACATAAAGTTATGTAACATGGGGACAGGCACATTAAAGGAGACCTAAATTACAACAATAATATGTTTTTATCAGTAGCATATGGAGATAGGATGGAGAAAAAATCCCCTTGTATGGCAGTATCCCTTTTTGCCATTAATGGCATGTTCATTCCCATTTTCCATTATACTTAAGTAACTCAGTTTGTTCCTCATGTTTAGTAAAAACTTATTGTGTGCCTTATTTGATTGGAGAATGTCATTGTTTTTACTTCAACATTGTAAAACCAAAGATAATGTTAAAAACTTTTTGTACATGATTATAGGGCAAAAGACTTTTAAGGATGGATAAATTATCTTGAAACAGGTGAATTCTGCATCGTTTCCTCTTCAAATCTCATGATTTTTTTGATTATTTTTTTGTCCTCTTTCTGTTCCTTCTACTCCTCCTCCTTCCTTTTCCTCCTCCTTTTTCATCACCTCCTTCCTCTCCTTTTTAAAATCCTCCTTCTACTTCTCCTACAACTATGCATGTGTATTTATCTTCTGTTTACCTGATTATTGGGTTTGTTTGTTTTTTTTCCCTTGAGATGGAGTCTTGCTTTGTTGCCCAGGCTGGAGTGCAATGGTGTGATCTCGGCTTACTGCAACCTCAACCTCCACCTCCTGGGTTCAAGCAATTCTCCTGCCTCAGCCTCCCGAGTAGCAGGGACTACAGGCATGCGCCACCATACCTGGCTAATTTTTGTATTTTTAATAGAGACAGGGTTTCACCACATTGGCCAGGCTGGTCTCGAACTTCTGACCTCAAGTGATCTGCCCACTTCGGCCTCCCAAAGTGCTGGGATTACAGGTGTGAGCCACAGCGCCCAGCTGATTATTGGGATTTTTACCTTGTTTTCACATTTGGTAAAGTACCTAACATACTGTATACACTTGGCAAACATTGATCCATGGAATAAATTAATCTAAATCACCCCTTTATAAAAGATGAACATTACTTACAGAAATGGCTATAGTTTGTGGGCAAACCAAATAGTAATACTGTCAAATTATTGCTCATTATATTTGGAAATAATTCTACAGGAAAAATTAAGGTTTGTAAAATTGGATTTTGATTATTATTGCTTAAGTAGTAGGATTGAGTGCCATAGAAGAAGAGCTCTGAGGAGATATATAGATATTTTGATTAAAGTTCAATTTATTTCTTTTTTCTCAAACTTAGATTCAACAAGTTTCAACCCAAAATTAGGTTTAACAATGCACTTCTCATGGGCAATGGCATTGTCAGATAACTAGTTCCAAATCATATGCTGGAAATTTGATTTTATTTTTGGAATAATTTCATTCTCTTCTCTACAGGAGCTGACCAAACGGGAGGTCGAATACATTGCCCTGTCAAGGGACACCACTGAAACTGATCTCAAACAGCGACGAGAGATCCGTGCAGGCACAGCCTTTTACATTGATCAGGCAAGTTCTGTCACACTCTAGCCCATGACTGTGTACTCCAGGTCTATACAAGATTGATTTTTAAAGTAGAAAGAGAGTAGCTCATATAACAGTAAAAGGTAGTTGTATTGTGCTCTCTCTAGACAGATTTAATTTAGATTTTTAGTTTCACTGTTCTTGGAAATGTCTTCTTGGTTTTGTACTAAATGAGAAATCCTAGATGAAATTAATGGTTCTAAAACGTTAAAGATCAATGTGCTGATTTCATAATTTTAAATTGTTTCCTACTACTTGCCTATAGAAATTTGATTTATTAAAAAATGAATTAAGGAGATTTGATATAGGAGATTCTCTAGCATATTTATTAAAGTATTTTCAATCTATAGGTCACTTGGGTAAAGGGGTATTAAAGGTAGTGAGAGTATACACTTCCAGAAACTATAGCTTTTTCTCTGGTGGGAGAGTATCTTAGGTACAGATTACCAACTAACATAATGTTTTATGAACATTATAATGAAACTTGTTTTACACTTCTTCAAATACATTGTTTAAAATATTGTTCTTAGGAGTATTTAATAGAAAAAGGATAGAGCCTATAAATAAGCAATTCATAGAGAAAATATTTCAAATATTCAATAATTTCATGAAAAGATGCTTGACTTTCTTATTTACAAAAATAAAAATTAAAAGACTGTCAGCTGCTATTTTTCTTTTACCTCTCAGATTGGCAAAGATTAAAGAATTTGCTAATGTCCAGTATTAATGAGGAAGAAGAGATGAGAAAACAGCATTGCTGTTGATGGCAGCAGAAATTAATGCAATTTAAAAAGAAAGTTTGGCAATATTTATCAAAAGAAAAGAAATTACACATGCATTTGGACTCAACAGTTATGTTTCTAGAAATTTTAGTCAAGTATATTCACATAAAACATGAAAAGTTATATGTACAAGGATGTTTAATGTAACATTGTTTGAAATTGTATAAAACTGTGAATGAACAGAGTGATGTATACTTAAAGAGACTAATGAAATAATGGTAAGTAGAATACTCTTTAGTTATTAAAAAGAATGAGATGAATGTGTACGTACTGATAGGAAAGATGTGCAGGATAAATTAAGTGAAAAAAATAAATTTATAAGACAGTATGTATACTGTGATCCCATTTGTGGTAAAAAGAAGACAAGAAATGCATATATGTTTGTTTATACATTGAAAACTTCCAGAAGGATGCACAAGGAGCAGTTAACAGAGTGTACATAAAGTATGTTACAGAAGTGTGAGTTGGAGTCTGGAGTAGGATAAGGAAGAGACTTTCGTAGTTCTTTACATTTGAAACTTTAGCATGGGCACACTGTTACGTTATAATTAAAAGACTGTAATTGTAAAAAATCACTGAGTGGAAAGTTTTTGAGGAATAGGATATTCACATGGCCTCATGTGTTACTTATTAATTACAAAAGAAAAAAATGCACTTAAAATGGAGAGATTTGGCAGACACTACCTTAAATGATGGCTTTCAAAAAAATTTAGCATCATCTAGTGGGAATGTCTGAGAAGTTCAGATTTCCCATAATCAAAAAGTAATCCTTCACAGACAGAGCACATAAACAAATTTTAAAGGAACCCATTTTGTTTACATAATGCCAAAAGTTCACTTCATAGATTACTTCTGATTACAAATGGGAAAAAATAATGTACCTTTACAATGATGAGATCTGGCATTGGCTCCATTAACCAACTCATACAACAGAATTATCATGATGTGAATGCTGATGTGATTCAATGAGGGTTTACCTCTACAGGGTAAGAGCACTCCAACAGGTTTACTAAGAGTACTACAGCATTACCAATGTAGTACTCTTACTAAAAACGTTTAACATTAACAATCAGACTGATCTAGAATGTGTGATAGTCTGTAAGACAACAACTTGGACTCCTAAAAAATGTTCAATGTCCTAAAAGTCAAAACAGGTAAGGAATGGTTCCAGATTAAAAGGTTGGGGAGGGAAGATGATTTAGTTTCTTTATTGCACTGTAGTATAGATAGCCATTTTTATGTTTGTCTTTTAGATTCAAAGTTCTTACATTAAAATGCAAATTAAAAATTTTAAATAATTTATAGTCAAATTTTAAAACAAAGAATAGAATTATCAGATATAATTTTATAGTATAATTTTACCAGGGAATTTTTAAAGAGCTCTTTGTGCTCATGTACATTACCTATAAATGGTAATAGGTAACAACCATTACTAATAATTTTATATCTAACTGTCCAGTTTTGTAATGAAAAATTCTCTCTTGTAGCCAAGAGGTTCTTGTATTCATCATTTTAAACATTTTTAAGACCCCTGCTGTGTTTTCTTTGTGAAGAAGTCCCTTAAAAAAAAATGGAATGCTTTATGAATTTGCATGTCATCCTTGAGGAGGGGTCATGCTAATCTTCTTTGTATCATTCCAATTTTAGTATATGTGCTGCCGAAGCAAGCACTAAGTGCCTTTTGAAATATGAATTTGAATTTATATTTCTATCTTGTTGACTTCGACTCTCAATTTAATGGTATTTATTCCAAACCTAGTGATTCACATAATATCCACATTATAAAAATATATTTTTATTCAAAAGCTTATATTTATTTTTAGAATGAACAACCTGCATTTTTCACGTGGTAAGAAAGGTAACAGGAAAGTCCTAATTTCTTTTTCCAGTTGGTTATCTTTTAGAAAGGGTAGATATTAATTCACAGGATCATTTCCACTGAACTTCTTTGCAAGCTGTTTGGAATAGTGGATAGAGTTATTTGATTAAGGGTGTTTAATTTTTTAAATTTCATATTGGGTTAATTTTCTAAAATATATGGTCTGGTAATCCCTAAAATTTTAATACATTTAAAACTTATGTGAAGATTTAGGCTACTAAACAGTAAATCTGGAATATTGCAGTTAATACAAATAATAAAATTTAAAATTCAGGATATTTTTTAAGCATACAGCTTTTGATTGCTTACATTTCTGTTCCCATGATAGTTACACATAAAGGTGCTGTAAACCCCACACCACCCCCAATTGACAAGGTTTTAAAAAAATTTGCCTCTTTTCTATACTCAGAGAAGATAAGAGTGAGGGATGGGATTTGAGCTGGAATAGTGAGGAGCTGGGTAAAGGGATTAGAAGCTGGAACAATGACCTAAGTAGAGGTGAGGAGTCAGGAATATATTTAAATAATGGTGAAAGAACTGGCTTTGTTTGGTAGAGTATGGATTTAAAAATATATTTTTAAAATGAATTTTATAATTTGCAAATAGTAAGGAAGAGAAAATGGATTTTTAAATGTGTTTATTATTTTAAGGAGAGCTTAACACTTTAGCTTTTTAGAAATTGTTTTAGGAAACTAAATTTATCGATTATCTAAAGATTTATTTGTTGGACCATTATAGTAAATTATTTAGATGAAACTTTCTGAAGTTATACAGTCCTTTGGTCCTTCTAAAAAGAATATTTTTAGATGATATATATTTTAGTTTATAAAGTTTATAAATATTTTAAGTGTCTTACCTTGGCAGCATTTTACACTCTTATGTTTTGTTGGTGAATCCTGCTCATTCTGATGAGCATCTGTTATTTACTGTGCTCTAATCCCACTGATACCTTCGGAGCCCGTGACTGAGGTGCAGGAATGTTAGTCCTTTCTTTATTGCTTCAGATGACGTTTTGAGGTCTTATCTGATTTTCATATTTTTATTTTATCTTATTTCCTTGCAGTTAGTATTCCTTACTGTGCTGTTCATAATCAGATCCTACCAGTTCCTTGCTGCTTAAAGCCATGCAGTAATGTCCCATTACATCCACCGTCAGATCCAAACCCTGTAATATGGCCTACATCACTCTATAGGATCGAATGTTTGTCTACCACCTTTCCTTTTACTCCTTGCCTTGCAGGCTGCAGCTGCAGTTGCCTTCCTTTGTACTTGGTGTTTCCTCTGCTTGGTGTGAGTTTCTCTTTGTACTTTATATTCTTGCCTCCTTGTAATTCAGGTTATAAATTTCTTAGCTAAAGTAGCCACTGGCCATGCCTACCCCCTTTCCAAATATACCATGCCGCACCAGGCTGTCATCGTACATGATATTATCTCCAGAGCACTTAGCACTCTCTGAACTTACCTATTTCCCTGCTCCCATGTTTGTTGGCTCTCCTCCCCCGCTAGAATATAACTGTCTATCTTGCTCATCTCAGGCACCTAAAAACTGTCTGGAACATAAGTGACACATATATTGATGGTAGATTTCTTCTTTGGGTAATCAACTTTATTACAATTTTAACTAAATTAAGAATAAGTGGGTTCTGGCCTTAATTTATTCATGAAAACACCAGGTGGGGTTTTCTATGGATGTTTGCCTTTTTGACATCTATTTTGAGTCATCACAATGGATAATTTCCATTTGAATTCTAGATAGATGAATTTGCCAGTTGACTACCAGCTAGACGTATATTTGTTACACCGAAAGGCCTTTGCATTTATTTTATTTAAAAATTCCTTTTTATTTATTCAGTGTTCTTAACCATTGAATTTGATGTTTGGGCTGAAGGGACGGGCAGTATTTTTATTCACTGTTAGGTGATCCCTGTAACTTGATGGCCCAATATAGGTGAAAAAGTACCTGTGGCTCTCTGGTGGGTATTGGGAGAAAGTTTGGGATTTTCAGTATCATTCCCATTGTACGCACCTATGACTGGTATCCAGGTTATTACGAATTGACATATCAGCTGGAAACACCCAAATCCTGAGTTGTTGGTCATGGCCATTAAGCTCTTCACTAATTCTCACCTAAAACTAAGGATGATTGATGATAAAGCAAGAGGTTTAAACTCAACTGCTACCTTTGAAGGCGAGAATTAGGTTAATAATAATATGTAATAGGGAATTTATATTGTTTTCAAAGTAAAGTTTATTTTTTCTGATTATGCAAGTCATAAATGCTCATTTGATATAAATGCATATAATATTTGTATTTATTAACAAATATATATTGAATGATTGATATGTGCAAGGCATTATCCAGATGCAGTGAACAAATAAACCAAAAATCTCTGTTGTTATAGAGCTTATGTTTTAGTTGGGGAAACCAAACAGTAAAGAAGGGTAGCATAATTGAGTAAATACTAAAAAGCATACGAAAGAACTGAAAAATTACTTGCTGTATTCTTCTTCAAGACGAGCAGCATGAATATTTTCTGTATTTCTTTCTATGTGCATATGTTTATAATGTATAATGTATAATTTTTACAAAAATGGTATGCCATGTATATAAAGTTTATAGTGTTTTTTAAAAACCTGGCATTTTATCAGGAGCATCTCCTTTTGACATTAGATGTTACTCAAAGATATGATTTTTAGTATCCGTACAATATTTCATCAGATAGGTATGCTGTTATTTATTTAACATTCCTATTTTTTCTACCTTTTTATATTATTGGTTATTCAGGTTCTTTCTCACTTTTCACTAGTACAAATAACCACATCATTATTTAAAAATACATCCTAATTTGCACTTGGACAGTCGGGGAAGATCTCTCTCTGTTTACTGTGGCCTCTGTGTTAGAACTCAAGTGTTTGCTCGTTGTTATGTTGCTATCATACTCAGAAGAACTCCTTTCTATTTGCATATATATGTATGCAAATATATATGTGTGTGTATATATATATATATATATATATATTTTTTTTTTTTTTTTTTTTTTTTTGAGATGGAGTCTTGTTCTGTCACCCAGGCTGGAGTGCAGTGGCATGATCTCGGCTCACTGCAACCTCTGCCTCCTGGGTACAAGCAATTCTCGTGCCTCAGCCTCCCGAGTAACTGGGACTACAGGTGCGCACCATCACATTTGGGTAATTTTTGTATTTTTTCATGGAGACATGGTTTTGCCATGTTGGCCAGGCTGGTTTCGAACTGACCTCAGGTGATCCGCATACCTCGGCCTCCCACCGTGCTGGTATAACAGGCGTGAGCCACTGCGACTGGCCTACTTGTATAATGTTAACTGTTTGACAGATGCATATAATTTGTTTTGAAAGAAAAGAGAGAGATGAAAAGGAAACTTTTATTGGGAGACCTACGTTGTGCTAGGTGCTTCGTATTATTGCATTTAATTCTCAGAACATCCTTAGGAGGAAGATGACTTTTCCATCTTACAGATTAAGTAACAGGGGCTTAGAAGGTGATGGTTGTACAACTGATAAATAGCAGAGGTAAAATTTGAACCAGGCTCTGTCCAATTACAAAGCTCAAGTTCTTTTACCATATTATGCTACTTCTCTAAAAAAGTGATGATGAGCTGAGTGCAGTGGCTCATGCCTGTAATTCCAACCCTTGAGGAGGCCAGGTGGGTGGATCACTTGAGGCCAGGAGTTCAAGGTTACAGTGAGCTATGATTGAGTCATTGCAATCCAGCCTGGGTAACAAAGTGAGACTCTGCTTGTAAAAAAAAAAAAAAAAAAAAATGATGATCATGATGACAGTGACAATGATGATTGTATTCATAACAGTAACAGCAACTAATTGTTTTTTAAGGTTTACTGTGTGCCCAAAGTTATCTGATTTAATCTGCAACACAGTCTATGAGATAAGCACCAAAATGAGCCTAGTTTTAGAGAGAAATGGAGGCTCAGTGAGTAATCTAAGTCACCTATAATAAGTAAATGGTAGAGCAACCAAAAATCAATCCGATTCTATTCTGATGTGTTAAAATGAAGAACTTGAAATGTAATTTAAAAAATTTTTCTTTAGCTTCCTCAGTACTTTTACACCGTAGCTATTTTGAGTAAATTTGAAGCTTTATGGACTCTATTTTTATTAAATAATGACTACATTAATAATAGTTTATATTTTAGTAGGTTCAGTTACTTTAAATTTTTTTTTGCAGTACTGCTTTGACTCTTAAACTGTTACACTGTATAATACCCCTTGAGGATATTCTAATTTTGTAAATGAGGACAAAGACATCCAGATTAATTGTTTGCCTAAGGTCTTATATCAAATCAGAAGCAAATCTAGAACAGGGACTTAGATACTTTTTGATTTTAGGTCACACACCTACTTTTATCTTGAAATCTTTCATGTCCATGTGTTGAGTGGTTAAAGCTGTGATAGGAGATGGCTGGGCCAGAAGGATCCTGCTGCATTTTTTTCTGAATTCTATTTGAGAAAATTAGGTCTCTGGAAGTTCTGTAGCTTGAAGGACAAGAAGAGCTCCTTATAGATGGTCTAATTTCTACTTTGAGGAATGATTACAACTAGTCATTCCACATTAAAAAAATACATATATTGCTCCTTTTTAAGAAAGATTTCAAAAAAATTATACTACAATTATTTTATGTTACAACCTGTATAGAAAAATCTTCCAACTATCTAGCCTAAATCTCTCATGCTGATAAACTTGTTCTATTCTGTTTTCATAACAAGTGTAGGCATAGATAACTATCATCCTTCCTACAAAAATTCTTCCTAACCTTACATAACAGCATCTTTTAACTGAGTGGTTGCATGTTTATTCCATAAATGCTAATAGCCTGCTGTGAGCCAGTTTTGTACCAGTATGCCATAAAAGACAGGGTTCTCATCCTTCGTAGAGCTAAGAATCCACTGGGGAGATGAAACGTAGGTATGAAAGAACAAGAATACTTCGAGATTGTACCCCCACACTTACATGCTATGCAAATGAGGCAAAGTGGGTATTGATGTAAGGAGGTTAAGATGCTTGGGCCTCTATTGGGCAGAAAACTTGTAACATTTACTTTTTTCTCTCCAGTTGAGTCTGAGATATATGGTATGGCACAGTACGTTGTTGCTATATTACTTAATGGACTTGCCATTTGTTCTATTCAGTTGCTTATTTTTAAAATTTATTCTTTACAAATGTAGTCATATTTATAAAGTTTGATAGTACTTTTTGATAGTACTGATTAAGTATTTTAATGATTTTATAGGCTATTTTAAGGAAGAACCAGGAAGCAAAGTGATCCTGAAATAGTAACTAACTAGTATTAGTTCTGAAAATTGAGCGTTTCAGATTTTGTTTCCAAAGAGCATCTTCTCAAGATTTTCTCCTTTTGGCTAGTATTCTTATTTATATTTTTAAAGTTTAGTTTTCATATGTTCTGGGTCTACAACTGTGTAACCAAAGGGCAAATAGGGAGAAAATTTTAAAATCTTGGGCGATTCATTTTTGTCTTTTGTTTTCTAAAAATTATACCAGCCTTACACATTTGCAATCCCCTTATAATATTCTTGCCTCTGGATTCAGTTGCACTATAAAACATCCATTCTTGTTGCCATTTAGATAGTGTGTAAAATTAATAAATAATTTATATTGAATTAATCAGAAAAAAGGTTGGGAAGATTTTTCATTTATTAATTTTCCTTTTTAGTTGACAATAGTCCATTTTCACAGGATATAGAGTGATACTGAGAGGTGACAGGGTGCTGGCAGTCCTCAGAGCCCTCGCTTGCTCTCGGCACCTCCTCTGCCTGGGCTCCCACTTTGGCGGCACTTGAGGAGTCCTTCAGCCCACCGCTGCACTGTGGGAGCCCCTTTCTGGGCTGGCCAAGGCCAGAGCCGGCTCCCTCAGCTTGCAGGGAGGTGTGGAGGAAGAGGCGCGAGCGGGAATCGGGGCTGCGCGCGGCGCTTGCGGGCCAGCTTGGAGTTCCGGGTGGGCGTGGGCTTGGCGGGCCCACACTCGGAGCAGCCGGCCGGCCCTGCAGGCCCCGGGCAATGAGGGACTTAGCACCCGGGCCAGCGGCGTGTGGAGGGTGTACTGGGTCCCCCAGCAGTGCCAGCCCACCGGCGCTGCGCTCGATTTCTCGCCGGGCCTTAGCTGCCTTCCCGCGGGGCAGGCCTCGGGACTGCAGCCCGCCATGCCTGAGCCTTCCCCCGCCTCCGTGGGTTCCTGTGCAGCCCGAGCCTCCCGGACGAATGCCGCCCCCTGCTCCACGGCGCCCAGTCCCATCGACCACCCAAGGGCTGAGGAGTGCCAGCGCATGGCGCAGGACTGGCAGGCAGCTCCACCTGCAGCCCTGGTGCGGGATCCACTGGGTGAAGCCAGCTGGGCTCCTGAGTCTGGTGGGGATGTGGAGAGTCTTTATGTCTAGCTCAGGGATTGTAAACACACCAATCAGCACCGGGTGTCTAGCTCAGGGTTTGTGAGTGCACCAATCGACACTCTGTATCTAGCTGCTCTGGTGGGGCCTTGGAGCACCCTGTGTCTAGCTCAGGGATTGTAAATACACCAATTGGCACTCTGTATCTAGCTCAAGGTTTGTAAACACACCAATCAGCACCCTGTGTCTAGCTCAGGGTTTGTGAGTGCACCAATCGACACTCTGTATCTACCTGCTCTGGTGGGGCCTTGGAGAACCTTTATGTCTAGCTCAGGGATTGTAAATACACCAATCGGCACTCAGTATCTACCTCAAGGTTTGTAAACACACCAATCAGCACCCTGTGTCTAGCTCAGGGTTTGTGAATGCACCAATCGACACTCTGTATCTAGCTATTCTGGTGGGGCCTTGGAGAACCTTTGTGTCAACACTGTATCTAGCTAATCTGGTGGGGATGTGGAGAACCTTTGTGTCTAGCTCAGGGATTGTAAACGCACCAGTCAGCGCCCTGTCAAAACAGACCACTCGGCTCTACCAATCAGCAGGATGTGGGTGGGGGCCAGCTAGCAGAATAAAAGCAGGCTGCCGGAGCCAGCAGTGGCAACCCGCTCGGGTCCCCTTCCACAGTGTGGAAGCTTTGTTTTTTCGCTCTTTGCAATAAATCTTGCTACTGCCCACTATTTGGGTCCACACTGCTTTTATGAGCTGTAACACTCACAGCGAAGGTCTGCAGCTTCACTCCTGAAGCCAGCGAGACCACGAGCCCACCGGGAGGAACAAACAACTCCAGACGCGCAGCCTTAAGAGCTGTAACACACACCGCGAGGGTCTGCGGCTTCATTCTTGAAGTCAGTGAGACCAAGAACCTACCAATTTCGGACACAATACTTTAATACATCTATTCAGTCCATATATTGCTGGATCAGATGATAGCTCCTCTTTTAAACTTTTGAAGAACCTCCATATTGTTTTTTATAATGGCTGTACTAATTTACATTTCCATCAACAGTGTGTAAAACTTCTCTTTTCTCCACATCCTCATCAACATCCATTACTTTTTTCTCTTTTTCACAGTGGCCATTCTAACTGGAGTGAGAGGTCTCATTGTGGTTTTCATTGCATTTCTCTGGTGATTAGTGATGTTGGGCATTTCCTTACTGGCCATCTGTACGTCTTCTTTTGAGAAATGTCTGTTCAGATCCTTTACCCATTTTTAAATCTTATCTTTTTTTTTTGCAATTGATTTGAGTTCCTTGTATGTTCTCAATATTTGTCCTCTTATTCTCTTTCCTTATTCGCTTAGTCCTGGAAAGGGAGTTATAGCTTTTTGAGTAAACAACATATTGTGGGCCTTTTCACAGGTAAAGATGGAGCTATATCATTATTTTTAATATCTGTGTAGAAGTCCATCATATTGAATTACCACAATTTTTTGCCAATCCTTCACAGATTGGCATTTACGGTTTTTGGGTTCATTTGTAATTATAAAACAGTGTTTTGATGACTGGATAATACACATCATTGTACACTTATCATTTCCTTTAGATAAATTTATTGAAGTAGAATTTCTGGGTTAATAACATAGCCATTTACATTTTTATATATCTTTCTAAGTTACTCTCCATAAGCTTATCATTTTGCACTCTGACCAACCATGAATGAGAGTTTTGGTTTCATCTTAATCTTACTGACACTGGATATTATCATTCTTTTTTAATCCTTGCCAATTTGAAAGTCTAAAAATATCATGTTTTACCTTTAGCTCTCTAATAACCAGTGAAGTTGAATATATATTTTTGTGGTGCTAATTTGCATTTTATAGGGGTATTGTTAATTTTCTTAATAATCTATAAAAATTCAATTTATACTAAAGATATTTATGTGGTCTTTATTGTATATGTTACAAACATCTTCCAAGTTTTCAGTCTTTTAGTTTGAGATATTTTTTGCTGTATAGACCAATTTGAATGTAGTCATATCTATTAATCTTTTTCTTAATGGTATCTGCCTTTGAGTTATTGGATTTTTCCCAATTCAAGATTATTTTCAAAAAGTCACATATGATTATCCAGTAATTACATGATTTTACTTGTATCATTAAATTTTTAAATTCATTTGGATTTCTTTTCCAAATTCCTAATTTCTACTAATTTGAAGTGTACTTTTCTTATATTTTAAAATGTTTAATCATTTTTATTAACTAGTTTCCTTACATAGGAAAGGTAATACATGTAATAATAGCAAAAAAAATTTTTTTCCAACAGTGCGAGAGAGTTATATCAAATCTCTCTAACCTCTTTCATTTACAAGAGTTTCTTGTTCATACATTACATTTCTAGAGAGACTAGCATACCTTCTTAAATTCTGTTTTATTGATTTGCCTATCTAGTCATGGTTCTTTGTATTCCTAAATTAAACTCACTCCTAATTGCTCTTCTTTTACAGAATTTTCCTGGCAATTTGTCTAATGGATTATTAAAGGAAAGTTAGAGACATTTAGAAGCCACTGTCAGAAACTGGATCTTTGCCTAATTGGTTTTTTTTACATTAAGATTTTTTGGGAGAAAGAAAGAGCTTTGGTAAATGTTTTTGTAAGAAAAACTAAAAAAAAAAAAAAAAAAGAAAATTTGCAAGTAAAACAAATGAAAAGAGGCTTAAACTGAAGTTTGTTATATCTTGAAAACAATTTAGCAAACAGGACGTATCACAGTTCTTAATTAAGTCACATGAGGATAATAGCACAATTAGTGGGTTAGGTTGATTTAAAAGACTAATGAGCCTTTTCTGTTAACTACCTCTCTTTTCAGATATTTTTAGGCAGGTGGTTAGTTTCATTGCTGAGTTGATGATGATTTGAAAAACAATGTTGATTTGGGGAAATGTAATTGTAGTTATCTGTAGAAGACTTTGAGGCAGATTGCACTGCTGTATGACCATGTATGCTCTATGTTGAACTGAGTATTTTGTGTGTGTAGAGATGTTTTGTGTGTGTTTGGTTTCGTTTCTCTGCATAGGTAACACAGCAAATTCCTATGCCTAGTAAAACCAGACTCTCTGAGATTACTAGTAACCTCTAGATGTGATTATTTAATGACTTTTTTTAGTTCTTACTCTACTCGTTTTCTTTCAATTTAAGGACAGGCTAAAATTTTAGCCATGCAATTTTCAAATTATATAACCTCTCTTCCAGTAAATTGGGTAAAATATTGTGTACCTCAGAGGACTGTCATAGGGTTAAATTAAATAGTATACTTGGAAGCGCCTGATATGTATCAGTTATAAACTTGTAGGCCCTACCATGTTCCCACTCAGTAAACAGACCAAACTATCTCCAACATCTAGTAGCAACTCTTTTAGTTTTATTTCAATAATTATACGTTCTCTTTTCTGTATTCCTCTACTAGCTCCTCTTCATCATTTAAACATGCTCAAGTTTTTGAATCATTAAAAAAAAAGACTGTTATCTCCCACACGGTCCCCAACCAAGTCCCTGCAGCAGCCATCTCCTTTTTCCTCCTCATGGCCAATTATTTTGCAAAATGTTGCTCAATTTAGATTTGTCTGATGTTTCCTTATGATTTGATTGAAATGATGCATTTTTAGCAAGAATAATATAAAAGTGATGTTGTGCCCATCTCAGGGTATCATATTAGAAGTCTGGTATGTGAGATTGATATAGCTCATTACTGGTCACATTGACTTTGATCACTTGGTTAATTAAGGTGGTATCTGCTAGGTTTCTCCAGTGTTGTATTATTTTTCACTTTGTCATTTTAAAATATTTTGTGAGGAGATATTTGAGTATATACAAATACCTGTTTCTCATAATATACTTAGCCACTAATTTTACCATCCATTTTGGATTCTTGACTGCAGCAGTTACTACTGTGGTGTTTGCGAAATTGATCATTTTCTATTTCTATCATTCGTTAGTAGTAGAGATTCTTAAATTGAGGTCTCTGCTCTATACATATACCTGCATGCATTTGACTGTGGAGAAAAGTTGCAGCATTGACCAGATTTTCAAGAGATCATTAAATTGTGTTATCCTTTTTCCATCTATCCCTACTTTTTCAACTTTGTGGTCACAGTACTGCCATTAGAGTAGATGGAAAAAAAACCTTGTGTATTTAGCTTCTGTTTTTGATCTCTCTGCATAGCTTGTTCTGAATTCCTTTGAAGAGATTCAATGCATAGCAGACCACAGTACACCTGAGGTGAATGAAAGTGGAGCTGCAGTGTTTGTTGTTGTCCTATGTTGTCAAGACTTTGCTTTTTGTGGCCCATAGATGGTGAACCATTACATTTTGATCTGTATATTTCTAGTTTTATCTCAAAGAATGTGGGTTTTCATCCCTATGGAGTTTTTAAAAAGTCAAATGCAATATTTAGTCTGTCGTATAAGAAAGATTGCTAAAAGTTTTAGATTTCTTAAAATAATATTACCCTAGATTATGATAACAATTAATTTCTTTTTTGTTCTGAGCTGTGCTTTCTTGAAGTAAATATATTTTTGCGAGCAAAAGCTTAATTGAAACCTTAACTGAAATGTGAATTTTTATAAGAAGTAGTTTGTATTCTTGCTCTGTCGCCCAGGCTGGAGTGTAGGGGTGCGATCTTGGCTCATTGCAACCTCTGCCTCCTGGGTTCAAGTCATTCTCCTGCCTCAGCCTCCCACGTAGCTAGGATTACAGGCGCCCGCCACCACACTTGGCTAATTTTTGTATTTCTAGTAGAGACGGGGTTTCACAATATTGGCCAGGCTGGTCTTGAACTTCTGACCTTGTGATCCACCCTCCTCAGCCTCCCAAAATGCTGAGATTATAGGCATGAGCCACTGAGCCCGGCCAATATTTTGACTTTTAATATCCCAGAATCTATTTCTACGACTTTGTCCTTTATACAGCTAGCAAAAATGAGATTCTTTTTTTTGTTGTTGTTCTTTAGAAACTACTAAGTCACTTCTACCCATGCTTTTTTTTTTTTTTTTAAATAAAGCTTCTAGAACAAGATGGCTACTCTGGTAGAAGAGAATTAAAATATTGCAGTAATGATATATTTGAGGGATTATTCATGAAATGATCTTAAAATGGATGATTCTCTTGAGTCTAATATGGCTTTCATAAAGTTTATCATTTTACAACATTATGTAGACACTTGAAATAAACTAAGCTCTACTATACAGTGCAAAATTCAACAGTGTATTAAAAGAGGATAGTATGCAAGCTTGATTAAGCAATGCCTCTTTTCTACACTTGGAAAATCAGTACATTGCTACTCCAGAAATTTATTTGGATATTAAGTCTTAAAAAAATAGAGATATGTTTTCCCCTCATCAAACATTTAGATCCTTTTTTTGGACAATTACTATAGGGAAAATTAAATTTTAAGTGAGGGGTCAGTATAAGTAAAGACATTTTTCTGGTAAAGCAGTATGGTATGTACATGTGTAGAAGGAGATAACCAGTTTATTGTCACAGAAATACCACATGTGAGGCAACTAATATCAGGAGATGGTGTTGGAGAGGTAGGTAGATGCTGCATTGTGATAGGCTAATATGCCAAATTAAGGAGCTTGGACTATTGGGAGGTGATCTGAGAGGTAAGGAGAGCTTGAACTAGGGAAGGGGTAGAAAGGGATGAGTTCAAGAAACATCAAGGGCTCTGACCTGGGTCAATGGTGCTCACACCCCAGATAGAAAATAAAGAAGAGAAGCAGGTTTGGAGAAAATAGGATATTTTCAGTTTTGTACAAGGGACCTGAGGTGCTCATGGGGTCTGAGGGACCCCATATGAGGTACTAATGAGGGGGAGTTTCAGAACCCCAAGATTCTGGGGGGTCATTAGCATAAAGGTGGTAGTTGGAACTATGTGATTGAATAAGATTTTCAGGGAGGTCCTAGTAGGGTAAGAAGAGCTGTGTGTTAAGGATGTAATTCTGGCCATCATCTACATTTAATGGACAGGCACAGAAGACAAAACAATTTTCCTAGGACAATGCAGTGCCATGGAGACTAATGAAGGCGAGTTTTAAGGGAGGGAATAACAGTATAAATTTAGCACCATTAATCCTCTGTCTGTGGTTGAATGTGCAGAAGAAACATGACAGGTTTTCCTTTTTTAGCAGAACATGAAGGATTTTGACAAAAAGTAGTTTTCTATGTTATTAAGGACCTATAGTTAAAGGAAAATATTTTTTTCATATCTATAGTAATTTTTTTGTATTACAGTTTACTTTATTTCCTAATTTTCTCCATTACTAATTTTCTTAAAATTTATTGGAAGACTTGTAGTACTGGTTAAGTCAGTCTGCTATTGGCCAATGTAAAATCTGATTCTTTTTCTGTTTCTAAGTGTGTAATGTTGTCAGCATCATCACACAAAACCTCAATTTATTTGGATGATGACTTATGTTTACAAATGTTACAGTCTCCAAGCCTTCTCACCTAGCTTTTTTGATCCTTACAAGAAGCTTGTGGGATAGGTAGGGCAGATAACTGTCTTCATTTTTCTTTTCCAGTTGTGGAATCTGTGCCCTTGTTTAATTATGTTCCTTGTTCATAGATAGCTGTTAGTTTTTTATTTCATTGGGTATATAATCTAAAATATCAAGGCTGAAAGGAACTTCAGCGATCCTCTTTTTTCAATCCCTTTATTTTACAAACGAATAAACAGGCCCAAAGAGGTAAAATCACTTTCCTAAGATCATATAGGCAGAAAAAGCAAAACAAGATCTGGAACTCAGCTTTATTGATTTCTGGTCCCTATAACAAGAACTGCAACTTAAATTTGAATTACAAGTAATGTTAGGCCAAGCTCTGCAACTTCAGTATTCTCATTTTGCTTTTACGTTTCTTGGAAATAGTGTGCAGTTCGTGCAGCCACAGAAGGCAGAACTCTCATTTTGGAAGGTTTGGAAAAGGCAGAGAGGAATGTTTTGCCTGTTTTGAACAACTTGCTGGAAAACAGAGAGATGCAGCTTGAAGATGGACGCTTCCTGATGTCTGCTGAGCGTTACGACAAACTTCTCCGAGTAAGAAAAGAAAATCCTGTTGCTTTGTCTTTGCTGTCAAGCTATGGGCAGTGCCATTTTATTGTGTAAGACATGGCTCTGTTGGAATCAGGACAGATGTTCAGATGGCCCTTATCTTGGGTAAATTGCTAGAGTCATGAATTTACAGCTTTACAACACTCTTCTGTTTTAGACTTTGTCAAAACACCTCCCAGATTTTTACTGTCTTTTTTTTTTTTGGTCAGTCTAATAACTATTCTCTTTTCCATTTTTTTTCCTATTTTTTCTTCTTCTCTTTCTTCCTCTTTTCCCATCTCCTTTTTTCCCCCCTTTCTTTCTCTTAACAACTATTTAATAAAAGGCTAATGACTTCTAGATAGTGCTGGTCACCAGGGATACAAAGCTGAAGAAAGTCCAGTTTTTAGCTTCAGGAAGCTAAAGGTCCAGTAGGTATTGACAGAAATGAATAAAATATTTAAAGGATATCCTGTTCTGATGACCCAAGCCACCAGCATCACATGCCGAGGTTGCTGTAGGAACCTCCTAACTGCACTCCCTGCTTCCATCCTTCCTTCCTGACACTGGTCTCAACACAGCAGTCAGTGATCGCCTTAACAGTGCATCCATTTGGGGGCATTCCTATGCTCTAACCCTGATAGCTTCTTGTTCCACTCAGAGTAAAATTCAAAAGTTTTTACAATGCAATACAGTGCCCTTTGTTGTCTGCTTCCCTCTACTAGAATATAAGTTTCACAAGGGCAGGGATTTTTGTAACTGGTATTATCTCAAGTTCCTAGATCAATGGCTGGCACATGGTAGGTGCTTAAAAACTATTTGTTGAATGAATGAATAAGTACCGTGGAATGATTAAATGCTGTGAGAAACATGCATATAAAGAGGGCAACAACTAGGGAATGTGGGGACTCTTCAGAGGCTTGGGAGATGGGTTCATGTAATGTCACAAATGACAAGAAGACATTTAGCCCTTGTTCATCCAGCTCAAGCTGTACCATGCTGGATCTCTCTGTGGCTAACCCAGCCTTCTGTGACTGACTGCTCTGCCTGTACATTCTAGGACCTAGAGTCTCATACCTGTTCTGTAGAGATACATATGTGCTAATCTTACTACCCCAGGTTGGTTGCAAATTGATCACGAGCAAGATCTGTGTCTCATACTTCTTGATCTTGCTCCCAGGGTGCTAATATGAGCCCAGAACACACTAGGCCCTAAATAATGAATGCCAGAGGGTCTGATTGAACTGATGCTGCATGGCCGGCAGGGCCAGAAGCAGTCTGTTTCTTTACTGTTTGTGGGAGTTTCTAGATGATGCTTTACTGTGAAGTACAGTCATTTTCCTCTAGATCTATTCATGGAACATCTTGTTCTGATATAATCAGAAGGAGATAATCAAGGATTTAATCAAGTAGAAAAAGTTAAATTCATTGATTCATGTTGTTAATTTATCAAAATGAAAGCTTTTAACTTTATTTTTTAAAAGGCTATTATGCAGAACGTTTTCTCTTTAGATGCTTTCTAATTACAAAATAACTACTTGCCACTAGAGATTACATTAGTGTTAACCATTTTTAGTAAATAATTTGGAAAAAAAATACTCAGAATATGGAATCATTTTTTTTAAGTATAGGAGTTACTTCACAACAAAAAGTTTGATATATTCTTTATAGTAGAATTCTGTGCAAAGTTATTGAACATATTACTTTGGATAGGAATTCAGGATATGCGAGTCAAAAGAGGTTTAGTGGCTGGGTGCAGTGGCTCACACCTGTAACCCTAGCACTTTGGGAGGCTAAGGCAGGCAGATCACCTGAGGTCAGGAGTTCAAGATCAGCCTGGCCAACATGGTAAAACCTCGTTTCTACTAAAAATACAAAAATTAGCTGGGCGTGGTGGCATGCGCCTGTAATCCCAGCTACTCGGGAGGCTGAGGCAGGAGAATCGCTTGAACCCAGGAGGCTGAGATTGTGGTGAGCCAGGATTGCACCACTGCACTCCAGCCTGGGTGAGGGAGCGAGACTCTGTCGGAAAAAAAAAAAAAATAGGCTTAGTACGCAAAGAATGCTTATTATTAAGTGAGAAGGGTCTACTACATTTTTCTCCCAAAGTAAATATCAGTATAAACACATAAGTTTTTATCGGTAAATGTTATTTCTGTGTTCATAGAATCTGTCTCATGAGAACCTCACAGCATATAGATAAGATCCCTTCACAAAGCACTATCATCTTAAGACAACTTTTATGGTAAAAAGATTCTAACACCATAACTTAAGCCCCATTTATTTCTAGGTAGCTTTGATATTCTAAATTTAATATCTCAAAAATGTTATTGGTTTCATAAAGGTGATTATAGTAGAATTCTGTTACTATGGAAAGAGATACAAAGTTCAGTTTGTATGAACTTTATATTTTATTTAACATTTTTGAGTAAATGAAAAAGAGAAATATTTAGTCAGCTCTCTGAAGATTCTACTTTTGGTTTCTCAGACAGGGCTAGATCCAGATTTTCACTTTCTAGTGTATATGACATAGTTTCAGTGTGTTAATTAGGTGTATGATTTCTGATTTTGATTCATACCAAAATATGATTGAAATAATTATTATTTTTAAAATTAGTTCATGCAATCAGTCAACAGACATTTGTCCTGTTATACACTAGAGGTAATAAGTCCTTTCAAGAGTGTGGAGCTAGCATGAGACAGTCATGTATAGAAGCAAATGCACAAATAAATAATGATAGAAGCTTGCATAAGATAAAGTAAAAGGGTACAAAAATGGTTCTGATGAGGGAAGGGGATCTGAGTTTTATGAAGATATGAAGATGTTTTTTGTGCTGAGCTTTGACTGACCCTTGTGTTTACGGTGTGCGAGTGAAAAGGGTGTTGTTCCAAGAAGATGGAGTAGTGTTGGTGAAGCAGCATCATGTGTTTGGAGAGCTGCAGTTGGGAGATGGATTGGAGCACAGGGTCACGGAAGGAGGGTCAAGGGGACGGGCGTGTACTGGTTGCTGAGACTGAGAGAATCAGGGCTTCTGCCAGGAAAGGCCTTAAGTGCCATCTTAAGAGTTTCTATATTGTCATTTGGGCTGTGAAGAATTGCTGAAAGCCGTGGACGTTTCTCTCAGAGTGTACAAATGTGCATTCACACAAATTTAGTCAATACTGTAGATCCTGCTGCTGAAGAATGTGAAGAGCCATTGATAAGAGTTAGGCAGAGAAGGAAGGAAATGAGATTTAACAGGTGCCTCCTTTGGGCCACTTGTTTGCACATACATTTACACATTTAGTTTTCCTAGCAGTCACAATAATGTAGGTGATATTTTTCCTACTAAGAAGGCTAAGGTTCCAAAGGTATAATACCATGCATACGCTAACATTTAGTAAAAGTGTACATCAAGCAGTTGAGCCAGGATTTGTGACTCTAAAACCCATACTGTTTCCATTCTCTAAGCTCCACTGTATGCTAGTTGCAGGACGATGGGCAAGTTATATAACTCCTTTGAACTTTGATTCATTCATTCATATAAAAAGGAGATAGTCTATATTGGATTCTGGTGAAAGTTAAATGAGAAAAATCCATGGAATGTGCTTACCACATAGTAAGTTTCCAAAACATGTTAGTTATTGCTAGTAATATGCTTTGCTAGGAATAACCATAAACATAATTATCTATTTAAGGTCCACTGGTAATCAATCACAGCTTTGCTGGTGATCTGCCCGTCGGGGACTACCTTTGTTACAACCTCTAGTCATGTATTTTCCTTACCCCCTGACTGTTTTCCTCTGTGTTACTGACTAAGGCTTGGAGATCTGACCCAAGTCTCCTTTATTCCTTGGTGTGTTAACTGCTTTTCCTTTCAAACACCCCAGTCTTCATGTTGTGAGCCTGCCCTGGCATCCTGAACCTGATTTCACTTTGCTGCCTTCCTTGACAGTATGGATTTGAGAGTGTTCTCCAATACAGTTTTCTCAACAGTCAAGTCCTAAGTCCCTGGACTTGGCAGCTCTTACAGTTGTGATTTGTATCATTTATGCTATAGCTTCCGGATCTCTTACTTTTATAGGATCATACCAAAAAAGAGTTGGATTCTTGGAAAATTGTCCGAGTTAGTGAAAATTTCCGAGTGATTGCCTTGGGCTTGCCAGTGCCAAGGTATTCTGGGAATCCATTAGACCCCCCTCTTCGTTCTCGATTTCAAGCCAGGGATATTTATTATTTACCCTTCAAGGTAAGTAAGACCAAGGATAATTTATTTGTTAAACAGTTTTTCTATTTATAACAAGAACTTCAATGCTATAAAAATGTTACTGCAGTTTTGAATGTCTTCCTGAGTAGGTCATGGAAAGATATGAGAATAAAGAGTAAAGAAAAGCTCTGGAAACTAGGAAGAAAAATTATTATGGCATTATTTGAAGGATTTTTTTTAAAAGGCTGGCTTTTCTTTTAGAAAATGAAATGTATCAATAAATGATTTTTTGCTGTTAAATATTTAGTGTCTGCTTAATTAAAAGGTTGGATTGTATCTACAAAACATTTGCATTTAATCTGTTACATTTCTTGTTAATTAATTTAATATGTTTCTGTATTACTTTAGGACCAACTTAAGTTGTTATATTCAATTGGAGCCAATGTTTCTGCTGAGAAGTAAGTATATTTTTATAAATGTCTGGACACTGAATATTGAATTTGTTTTGCCTGTTCATTGATTGATTGATTAATTAATTCAGTCATTCAACAACTAGAATTCTTATAAGAATTTTTCAGTATTAGGATGTTTGGTGATAAAATTAATAAGATATCTTTGGCAGGAAACTCAAGATCTAATAGAGTTGAAAGATATGTGAATAGCTTTGGTTAACATGGTATAGTAAGTGCCATAATTTGAAAATATTTGGGGGCATTAGTTGAGACTTTATAAGGGCTTCATAAAAGCATTGGTGTTTGAAATGGGTCCTAAATAATGAGCAAGTTTTTGCCAGATAGAGAGTGGAATCAAGAAATTCGAACACAACAAGTGTTTTTTTTTTGTTTTGTTTGTTTGTTTGTTTTAAAAGCATGGAATGTGAGAGTTTATGCCTTGTTTTTAGGGCCATAAAAAACTCTTGGAGGCTAGAGTTTAGGTTTGGGATTACGAAATGTGAGAGATGAGGCTGGCAGGGTAGATTTGGACCAGGTGGTGAAAAACCTCAAATATTGTGATGAATTTAGGAATATATTTGCATCTAATCAGCTTCTGAGTTTTAAGTAGGATATTATGATGCGGAACCATTGTTCCTTAAGAATTAATATTAGGGATCTTTTTTAGATTAATTAAATTGGCCCCTGTATTTTATATTTAACAACTTACACATTTTATATTTTAAAACTATTAAAATTTAATATCATTTTTCCCTTAGAGTTTCTCAGCTCTTGTCCTTTGCCACAACTCTGTGTTCCCAAGAATCTTCTACTCTTGGACTTCCAGACTTTCCTTTAGATAGTTTAGCAGCTGCGGTTCAAATCTTGGTAAGTAAAATAAATTAATGACTGGCATACCCAAATATGTTAAAAATTTTGAAAGTTAATCATTAGGGATTAATGACTTCAGTTTGCTTTTGTCATACTCTTCTATAAATATTGTAAGGCCTGAGATTAATTTGTTGTGCAGTGCAGTAAACTGTACAGAGACCAAGGACATGTTCTGAGCCCCTAAAGAGCTTTCAGCTTTGGAGTAGGAGCTAGACATGCAATCTCAGTAAAGTTCTACAGAGGGAAGGAAGGCTTTAGCCTGATCAAGTAAGAGGTGTGCTGCAGTGTGAGTTAGGCCTCAGAGCTGTCCTTACCTGAGTTAGGGGAGCTAGGGCTTTCACACTGTTCTAGCTTCCATCAGTCTCTGTGTCATGGTTGTCTCAGGGGACACAAATTCCCAGACACTAACTGCTCTCCCAGCATGTGTGCAAGGGTGGCTTCAAGAGCCCAAGGATCGTCTTCTTAGAAAGACCTACAGCAATTGCTGTTGGAAGAGAAAGCTAGGAGGCACAAGAGAGAATGCAAACAGATCTGAGGGGATCTGATAGAGTACAGACATTGTCCACTACAGTTTCACAAAGGGCATGGCGGTCATGTCTGGAGTGATAAAAGGCCCAGGAAGTCAAAGCACAGGCAAATGTGTTTAATCACAAAAGGGCCTAGTATCTTTGGAGAATGAGAATAAGTTGTATCCCTAAAGCAAGTGTGTGTGGTAGAGGGAGAAGTCAGACCGCTATTGTGAAATGTTTTGCATGATGAATGAAGTTTCCTGGATTTTATGATATGGAAAAAGTGGCTTATCAGACAATATTAAGTTGGTGGGCTATGAATGTGACCAGACTTATGTTGGAGGAAGACACCTTTGTTGGAAGTGAGGGAATGACTAGGAAGCTTTTGTAACACTCAGTGAGACCCTGTGGAGGAGGGCACCATCCAAGATAGTGGGAATACTATCTTAGGCAAGAGACTTATTTTTAAACTTGTATGTATGTATGTATGTATGTATGTATGTATGTATGTATGTATATATGTATGTTTCATGTGAGTCAGGGAGCCTAGGTATTGTTGACATTGTTCTATACATCCAGAACAGAATTTCTCCTCCTGTTTATCAAATCTTATACTTTTATCAAATCTTTTTGTTTTTGCTTAGAACATTTTATTTTGAAAATTCTTATGAAATCTTTTGTTTTTGCTTAGAACATTTTACTTTGAAAATTCTCAAATGTAAAAAAAAGTTGAAAAACAGTAAAACATTCATAATCCCCTCACCTACAATCACCCATTATTAATATATTGCCACATTTGTTTGCATGTGCTTTTTTCTTTTTTTTTTTCCTGAACCATTTGGAAGTAAATTGCAGTCAGTACTCTTAAATACTTCAGTGTGTGTATCAGTTCGTTCTCCCGCTGCTATGAAGAAATACCTGAGACTGGGTAATTTATAAAGAAAAGAGGTTTAATTGACTCACAGTTCTGCAAGGCTATGGAGGCCTCAGGAAACTTACAATCGTGGTGGAAGAGGAAGCAAACACGTCCTTCACATGGTGGCAGGAGAGAAAAGTGCAGAGTGAAGGAGGGGAAAAGCCCTTTATAAAGCCATCAGATCTCATGAGAACTCACTATCATGAGAACAGCATGGAGGTTAACTGCCTCCATGATTCAGTTGTCTCCCACTGGGTCCCTCCCATGACACGTGGGGATTGTGGGAGCTACAATTCAAGATGAGATTTGGGTGGGGACACAGCCAAACCATATCAGTATGCAACTTCTAAGAATTAGGACATTCTTCTACATAACCAGAACAACATTATCACACTTCATATCATGTTAACAGTAATCCATAGTATCATCTAATAGATAGTTCATATTGAAATTTCACTAATCTTTCTTGTCAACAGACTTTTAAAGTGGGGTGAACAGAATTGACAGTGCAGATAATGTGAGGAAGGATTTGAGGATAATGAATACTTTCTAATTTTGTAGTTATAACTGTGAAGCTAAGTGAATGTGGATGAGATTAACTTAGGAATAAAAAGGGATCAGGTACTTTGGGATGAATAAGGTAGAGACATGTATTCTGTTTCAAATGGGGGTCTATGGGATATTCATATAGTCACATGTAATGAACAATTGAGGGTTCAGGTTTAGAGCTCAAGAAAGAAGTCAAGACCAGACATAGAAGTGTGGGAGCCATCAATACATAGAAGATAAATGAAAGATGGGAATGGGTAAGCTTACCCAGAGAAAGGGCAAGGAATGAGAAGAGAAAATAATGAATATTTGCTTTTGTAGACTTACAGAAAATACCAGACACCTATTGGTTACTTTTATAAGTCAATTTTAATGTCATATGTACATTTCAGATGTTTTCTGTGATTATTTTGAATTTTGCTCATTCCTATGTATTTTTGCTCCTACATAGGATTCCTTTCCTATGATGCCAATCAAACATGCAATCCAGTGGCTTTATCCATATAGTATTTTACTAGGTCATGAAGGGAAGATGGCTGTGGAAGGTGTTTTAAAGGTGAGTGTCTGCTTCCCTTTCTTTCCTTTCTTTTCCCATTTTCCCTTCCCTTGCCTTTTCCCATCTTCCCCTCACTCCTTTCCCCACCTTTCCTATTTTTCTCTCCCCATCCTTATTTCTTTCCTTTCCCTTCCCCTCCATTCTTTACCAGGCATGGAGGTATCAGCATTCCAACAAGAAGACAGCTGTGATAAATAGGGCAGCAAACACACAGGGGCTGGTGTGATTGGGAGATTGGTTATGTTGAGCAAATAAGTAAATAGATTGAGCAAATGAATGAATATATTAAGGATAATAAGAGTTATGCTTCTCACTGTTGGATGAGGGATTTATAACCATGGAAAGGGGGAAGGCAAGAAAAAACTCTAAGGTATTGGATTGGAATTGGTGTTATTATGAATCATGACTTTTTTTAAACAATATATATGAACAAATAGATAGAGATAGTATGTGTATATGTATACATACACATATTTTCTAGCTGTCTCCTAAGGCAGCCTAAAAACTATGATGTTCTCATATTTAGTTAAAAAAATAGGATTGCTCTCCCTCTCCCTCTCCCTCTCCCCACGGTCTCCCTCTCCCTCTCTTTCCACGGTCTCCCTCTGATGCCCAGCCGAAGCTGGACTGTACTGCTGCCATCTCGGCTCACTGCAACCTCCCTGCCTGATTCTCCTGCCTCAGCCTGCCGAGTGCCTGCGATTGCAGGCGCGCGACGCCACGCCTGACTGGTTTTCGTATTTTTTTGGTGGAGACGGGGTTTCGCTGTGTTGGCCGGGCTGGTCTCCAGCTCCTAACCGCGAGTGATCCGCCAGCCTTGGCCTCCCGGGGTGCTGGGATTGCAGACGGAGTCTGGTTCACTCAGTGCTCAATGGTGCCCAGGCTGGAGTGCAGTGGTGTGATCTCGGCTCGCTACAACCTCCACCTCCCAGCTGCCTGCCTTGGCCTCCCAAAGTGCCGAGATTGCAGCCTCTGCCTGGCCGCCACCCCGTCTGGGAAGTGAGGAGCGTCTCTGCCTGGCCGCCCGTCGTCTGGGACGTGAGGAGCCCCTCTGCCTGGCTGCCCAGTCTGGAAAGTGAGGAGCGTCTCTGCCCGGCCGCCATCCCATCTAGGAAGTGACGAGCGCCTCTTCCCGGTCGCCATCCCATCTAGGAAGTGAGGAGCGTCTCTGCCCGGCCGCCCATCGTCTGAGATGTGGGGAGAGCCTCTGCCCTGCCGCCCCGTCTGGGATGTGAGGAGCACCTCCACCCGGCCGCGACCCCGTCTGGGAGGTGAGGAGCGTCTCTGCCCGGCCGCCCCGTCTGAGAAGTGAGGAGACCCTCCGCCTGGCAACCGCCCGTCTGAGAAGTGAGGAGCCCCTCCGCCCGGAAGCCGCCCCATCTGAGAAGTGAGGAGCCCCTCCGTCCCGGCAGTCACCCTGTCTGGGAAGTGAGGAGCGTCTCCGCCCAGCAGCCACCCCGTCCGGGAGGGAGGTGGGGGTCAGCCCCCGCCAGGCCAGCCGCCCCGTCCGGGAGGGAGGTGGGGGGGTCAGCCCCCCGCCCGGCCAGCCGCCCCGTCCGGGAGGTGAGGGGCACCTCTGCCCGGCCGCCCCTACTGGGAAGTGAGGAGCTCCTCTGCCCAGCCAGTCGCCCCGTCCAGGAGGGAGGTGGGGGGGTCAGCCCCCAGCCCGGCCAGCCGCCCCGTCCGGGAGGTGAGGGGCGCCTCTGCCCGGCCGCCCCTACTGGGAAGTGAGGAGCCCTCTGCCCAGCCGCCCCTACTGGGAAGTGAGGAGCCCCTCTGCCTGGCCACCACCCCGTCTGGGAGGTGTACCCAACAGCTCATTGAGAACGGGCCATGATGACAATGGCGGTTTTGTGGAACAGAAGGGGGGAAAGGTGGGGAAAAGATTGAGAAATCGGATGGTTGCCGTGTCTGTGTAGAAAGAGGTAGACATGGGAGACTTTTCATTTTGTTCTGTACTAAGAAAAATTCTTATCCTGTTGATCTGTGACCTTACCCCCCCCCCCCCCCCCCCGGCAAAAAAAAACTATGATGTTCTAGTAGCAGTGATCATACCAAGTACCTGGACATTGGTTTCTAAATACCATGCTCTCTAAAAGGATTAGGTCAGGGAATGCAGAAGATGAGCCTGGACCATCTTTTTGTGCCAGAGAGTAAGGAAATATTCAACAAATGATGTCGATATGTCAAAATGATGGAGTTCCCAGGTTGAAGTGGCTGAAATCTGGGACAATTTGAGCATAAAAATAAATGATGATGGTAATTGGTTTTAACCTGTTACATAAAATAGGAATCCATGAGTCCATACTGATAGAAATGAACAAAAAATATGGAGATGGGAGTTCTCTTTTAAAGTGTAAAATGCCTACTTGTGAATCTAGAAGGAATTACATAAATAGAAAAAACACCATTTGGCAACCATCAGAGTGGCAGTTAATTTAGACAGGAGTCATCAAAGGATGTTAAAGCTGGCAGGTGGAGCCTCTATGAGACACAGGGTATTGACATAATCTCTGAATATCTCCCTCCAAAAGACTCAGTTGACTACAAAACAAGAAAGTGGTATTTTTACAGTAAACTTCAACTTGACCAGGTGGGACAAATTGACATTGTATGCCTCCCAAATTCCCCATTTCTGGGGAATTTTTGCTGAGAGTTCATGATGTATGTTTGGCCATGAGGAAATATTGTAGATTTCTAGGTTGAGGGTCATTGTATAGAACATAGGCCTCTATTCTTTAAAACTGTTCAGACATGAAAGACAGGGAAAAACATAGAAATGTTCCAGGCTAAAGGAGACTGAAGAGATTGGATAGCTAAATGCATCATATGTTCCTGAATTAAATCCTGGACCATTAGAAGCAAGTGACAATATTGGCACTGTTGGTAAAACTTGAGTAGGGTCTGTGGATTGGATAATAGTGTTATATTAAGTGGATTTCCTCATTTGGAGGCTTATGTGGTGATTATACTGGCCACAGTTCTTGTTTTCAGGAAATACCAACTGGAGTGTTTAGGGGTATAGGGGCATCATATCTGCAGCTTACTCTCAAATTGTTCAGATAAAGATAACTGATAAAATAGGCAGGGGGAGTAGGAGGGAGGGGGAAATGTGCTAAAAAAATGTTAACCATTGAGGAAACTGGGTGAAGGTTATTAACTTGAAAAGCAAGTATTTTATATAAAACTATGGAAATTGCTATAGAGCTTTCATTTAAACTAATGAAGGTCTCATTTTTTGTCATAAGTGGTTTATAATACGTGGGGCATGGTTTTCTTTTAAAATATGTGTGGCATAATTTCCTCATTGTATAGTTAACAGTGGTGTTTTCCAAAAGGCCAGTCACACTCTAAAATGTCTTATAACTATATGTTTAAAGTGTTGACCCTTGGCAGAGACTTATTGGCTCACCAAAATTAATTCCTCCATATGAAAGATGGTTTTTGTTTTTCTTACATGGTTTGGCTCAAGGTGTGGATTTCTAAGAAATAGAATGTGACCACTAAGCTGTATGGCTTTCTGTATAGAACCTTCAGTTTCTGGAGGCCAGGATTTGACAACGTTAAGCATATGGAATGGTATTTCTCTCTCCCTTATCTTCAAATCTACCCAGGGTCTTTGGGATACACAACACCCTCTGTGTATCTATTAATAATGAGAAGACCTTAGAAGAGTGGAACATTGGATTCTAATTACTTAAGTGGTATTTTTTTTTTTTCAGAGCAGTTAGCCAAAGAACCCAAAGAAACAGTATTTTCATTGACTGGTTATGTCAATAATAATAATAAGATAAAATTAATATACAGCTGTTCCTAATAGATAATGAGAAGAGAGGTGTAGTTAGAGACGGAATCTATAAGAGAAGCAAAAAGAAGCAAGGGGAAAATAATGGTCAATAAAGAGACAAAGGAGGGAAGAGACAGCAGAGGATGGAAGCAGTGAAATAACCAATGATGAAAGAGAAGAAAGGTGTGTGTGTGTGTGTGTGTGTGTGTGTGTGTGTATGTGTGTATGTATGAGAGAGAGAGGAAGAGTAGGAGGAGAAGGAGGAGGAGGAACAGCAGCAGAAAGAGGAGGAGGGTGGATATTAAGAACCATGTGGAAATGGGGAGATTAATTCATAGGCTCAAGGAGTCAGGAAATTACCATCTTCTGACAATATAGTTCACTTCAAGGTTTATTCCAGGTGCTGGGGAAAAAGAGAACCGGAACTTATCTTTGATTTAATCAACACCTAAGCTAAATTGGCCATTGGTCATCGAAGTAGAGTACCTAGTGTTTAAGATCAAAGGTCGTGACTCCAGATGAACTTTAATGCCCCTCAGCCCAATGTGCAGTGCCTTGGGAACAAGGGCACATCCTCAGGGAGGAAGAAACTCATGAGAAGTTCTGATAAAATGAAGCAATGTAATGTTTTTTGTGAAAAAAACTGAGAGAAGATATTCAGTGTCTAATAAAGTCAGTTATGAACAAAGGTCTTTATCTTTACCAAGAAACCACTTTGATGTATTTTTTGGTCTGTAATTTCAAAACTAGTCATACAAATTTATTATAAAGTTATAGAATATCTTTAAAGAGTTGAATTTTCTTAATAAAGTAGCTAGTGTTGCTTCATTTTTTGGTCTTTATTTTAACCATAATTAAGGGGAACGTAGAAAAATGATTGCGTTTATATTGGAACAGAAATGATTTCAAATTTGAATGTAGAGTGTTTTAAAAAGGAAAAAGGGATTGGTATTAGATAAGAGGAGAAAGTATGGCTGTCTTCTCACCTTAATTATGTGAAGAGCTAGTTAATGGACAGTTGTAACTCAGTAAACTGTCAAGTGGGAGGGCTTAAGTTCATTTGTCTGATCTTAATGAAGTACTTTCTTTTTGTAAGATCATTACACAATGATGTATACAACCAGATTAGCATCTTAAATAGCTTTTCTTAAGAGTGGAAGAGTCAAAAAAAAAAAAGAGTGGAAGAGTATTTATTGATATAATTCTTTATCATCTGTTCTGGGAAGTCTATGTGGTCTGTTTGTTATTGTAAGTTTCTACATTTACCTCAAAGCATTATTTTAAGCTAATATTTATAGGTGGGTGAAATATATGTGCTCAAATAGTTTTGAATTAGAAGAGGTAAAAATTAATAAAATATTGTTGAATTTGGAAAAAAATGTTTACTTAAGAAATAGAAGTATGTATTATAATGGTAAATTAAGAAGGTATGTATATATACACATTAACTTTTCCTTGATAAATGATAATTATTTTTTCTCCTAGATTATCATAGAAATTAATGTATAGTTGCATTCAAATTAGAAATCCATTTAAATTTTAGTGTAATTACTTAATTAGACTATTTTTAAGGAAAAATTATTAGTCACTGAAAATTCAATCAGATAGAATTCACAATACCTTTCTTTTTTCTGAACAAGCTATAAAAGTGGCTGGAATGACTTTCATTCCCCAGATGGTGCTCATCATGTGATGTTCATACTCTAAAAACATGTTTCTGTAGTCATGAAATACTTTCTAGCTTTTAGTTAAGGATGTCTTAAAGAAAACCCTCTCATTCTGAATCTGCTATACTTTGAGAATAGTATGCTTTCTTACAGTTTAGTAACAAATACATCCAGGCTTCTAGTAACGTGTCTTGGCTCTTGGTCTCAGTTAAGACTGCATCATAACAGTGGTTAAATTGGTAAGTTCTCTTGGTGATTTAGAAAGGATATACTGCCACTTATCCATTGATAATGTAATCTGAGCCATAGTTTTTTTCTAAGAAACTTGGATCTTACATTTAGTATTTTTATTTAGTTCAACAAACACTAATTGAGCATTCATTTTTTGGCAAATTATATGCATATAGAAAGGTAGTGATACAGAAATGGATACAATCTGATTTCAGCTCCTGAGGAAGTTACAATATTAATGTCTGAGGAGCATCAGATATTTCAATAAATAACTATTTTAATATGTGTTTTGTTTTTTTTTTAAGCAGTGTAGCATGATGACTAGCTCTGGTCAAAGCAGTAATGACCTGAAGTAGGCCAGTGAAATAAGAATTAAACAAATATGAGAAATGTTTCAGAAGAAGGATGATACATGTTACTAACTGATGAAATATGAGGTGGGTTAAGGGAGATATGAGAGAAAGTGAGAAATCAAAAATGTCCATAAATCCTACCTTGGACACGTGAGTATAGTTGCTGTTAATTAATATGATAAAGTGGGAGAAGGATCACATTTGTGGTGGGGGCTAAATAATTCCATATACTAGAACCCTTTTGAATTTGAGGTTTTTCTGGTGGTTTTATCTAGCAGACTTGAAAATATGGACCTGGTTCTAGAGGTATTTTGATATTAAAGATAAATACTTGGAACCCGTTAATGTGTGGGTGTTAGTTGAATTCATGGGGATGGATGTAACAACTTAAGGAATGCAAGTATAAAGAGAGGAAAAATCTGTCTGCAGATTGAACATTTCAGGATTGGATAAGTAGGGAAAGAACCTTCATATTAGGCAGAGGAAGAGTGGTTAGAGATAGAAGCAGAACTGCGGAGAGTATTCTTAGAGAGCATTGGGAACAACTGTTTGAAGAAGAAAGTAATAGCAACTGTTTCAAATGCTGCAAAGATGCCTTGTTAAATGAAGAGTTATAATATTCACTCAAAAAAGATTATTCATTCCATCCATCCTTCCATCCAATCAATTAGCCAGGCACTATTGTGCTGGAGATGTATGCAAAACAGAAGTTTCTACCTTCGTGGAGCTTATTTTTCAATGAAGGGCGACTGTCAGTCAAGTAAGTAAATAAGTATATAATATATCAATTGAGGAATGGATGCTGTCACTGAGAAGATGACATTTGAATAAATTTCTGAAGGAGAGAAGTCCTGTGGGTAGAAAGTATTTCAGACAGAAGGGATAACCAGTATAAAAACGCTGAGGCAGGAGCACACCTGGGAACTGTAGGAAAAGCAAAGGACAATGTATTGGGGCAGAGTGAGTGAAGGAGAGGTGATTAGGAGAGAAATCAGAAGGTAAAGAAAGATCATGTAGGGCTCTGTAATCCATGGAAAGGACTTCTGCTTTCAGTCTGTGTGAGGTGGAACACCATTAGAGGGTTTTGAGGAATGTGTTGTATGAGTGATCATTTTAACAGGCTCATTCTGGTTGCTGAGTAGTGAATAGACTGTGGAGGGTATGAATGAAAACAGGGAAAAAATAGTTGGTAGACTGTTGTAGTAATCCAGTTGAGACACTATTGTAGCTTTGACCAGCTGTGATGTTGATAAGAAGTAGTTGGATTTGGGTTATGTTTTGAAGGTAGAATCATTTTGATTTGCTGAAGGGTTAGATGTAGGGTTGATACAGAGTTAAGGATGATTTCAAGCTTTTGGACTGAGAAACGTGAATGATGAAGTTGGAGATAGAGAATATGGAGGTGGAGGGAATATCAGACCTGAGTATTGGACATATTTGATTTAAGATGCCTATTAGCCAACTGAAAATGTCAAAGAGGCAGTTGCATATACAAGTCAAGATTTCAGGAGAGAGATCTGTACTGGAGAGAGAAAATCGGGGTCATGATGGTTTGTAAAGTCATGCAAGTGATGAGCTTATTTAAAAAGTGAATGTAGATAGAAAATAAAAAGTTCCACTCCTGAAGTACCTTACTGTGTACTGGTCAAGAAGATGAAGAAGAAACTGCAAAAAAGACTGAGAAGGAAACAGCAAAATAGGAAGAAAACTAATTTATTTAATTTGGTAAATAGGATATTATTGATGGACCTACCAAGATCAGTGTTAGTAGAGTGGTGGGAATGTAAGCCAAAAATCAAGGGGCTTACATTTTAAATTGGAGATGAAGCTGAACCCCCAGTGATTATAATTCATATGTATCAATGAAGTTTGATGGTGAACAAAAGCCAAAAGATGATAGATCACTTAAGGATGAGGTATAATGAAGAAATGACTGTTTCTGGAATGGGGAGACAAACATTTTTATAGGCAGAAGGGACAAAAAATGTGGAGTGCATGGAAAATGTGCCCTAGCTGAGGTGGAAAAGGACATTTTCAGAGCACCCTTGTGTCTTGTTTTGAAATGATGGAAGAACATGCTTTCCACTCAGGAACTGGAATGATGAAGCTGCCATAATATGACATAGTAAGTCTTCTAGGGGTTTCTGTCTACTCATAGTTAAAGCAGAAGTCCTTTCTACTGAAACAGTGGGAACAATAACAAGAATTGATTAAAACATCAATGATTTTGAGGATGAAGGAAAAATAATTTTGTTTGTTCATTTAACAAACCATTGTTGACCATTGACCGTCCCATGTGTGATTCTAGGTTCTGGAAATTTGGAGTGAGCCAAATAGATACATTTAATATTGCCCTAATGGGGCTTACATTCTAGTAAAGTATGGAGGAGTATGTGTCTGAAAGCTCTGTTCTGAGTGGAGGAGGCAGCTAGATTGCCTCTTGAAAGGGTGGTAAATGGGCTCAGATTTACTTCTGAGGAGAGCAGTAATGGTTTGTATTTGTTGCTGAGGGGCTATGAGAAAAGAGCCCAGGAGAGATTGTGGCAACATATTTGTTCAGGCAACATGGTATGCAGAATTTCACTTTCAGTACTTAACAATCTAGAAAAAGGTATGAAGAAAGTAGATGGCCTGATGGGACAGGATTGGGAATTGTAAGGATGAATAGGGAAGCCTGACAGACCAATATCCAATGTGATTTATATTTCATTTTATTTAATTATAATTCACAGTTTAAATAACCTAATTCTAAAGAAAGTGTATTAGAAAATGGGAGTTCACTCATGATTTGGCTCTCTGTTTGTCTGTTATTGGTGTATAAGAATGCTTGTGATTTTTGCACATTGATTTTGTATCCTGAGACTTTGCTGAAGTTGCTTATCAGCTTAAGGAGATTTTGGGCTGAGACAATGGGGTTTTCTAGATATACAGTCATGTCATCTGCAAACAGAGACAATTTGACTTCCTTTTTTCCTAATTGAATACCCTTTATTTCCTTCTCCTGCCTAATTGCCCTGGCCAGAACTTCCAACACTATGTTGAATAGGAGTGGTGAGAGAGGGCATCCCTGTCTTGTGCCAGTTTTCAAAGGGAATGCTTCCAGTTTTTGCCCATTCAGTATGATATTGGCTGTGGGTTTGTCATAGATAGCTCTTATTATTTTGAGATACGTCCCATCAATACCTAATTTATTGAGAGTTTTTAGCATGAAGCGTTGTTGAATTTTGTCAAAGGCCTTTTCTGCATCTATTGAGATAATCATGTGGTTTTTGTCTTTGGCTCTGTTTATATGCTGGATTACATTTATTGATTTGCATATATTGAACCAGCCTTGCATCCCAGGGATGAAGCCCACTTGATCATGGTGAATAAGCTTTTTGATATGCTGCTGGATTTGGTTTGCCAGTATTTTATTGAGGATTTTTGCATCAATGTTCATCAAGGATATTGGTCTAAAATTCTCTTTTTTGGTTGTGTCTCTGCCCGGCTTTGGTATCAGGATGGTGCTGGCCTCATAAAATGAGTTAGGGAGGATTCCCTCTTTTTCTATTGATTGGAATAGTTTCAGAAGGAATGATACCAGTTCCTCCTTGTACCTCTGGTAGAATTTGGCTGTGAATCCATCTGGTCCTGGACTCTTTTTGGTTGGTGAGCTATTGGTTATTGCCACAATTTCAGCTCCTGTTATTGGTCTATTCAGAGATTCAACTTCTTCCTGGTTTAGTCTTGGGAGAGTGTATGTGTCGAGGAATTTATCCATTTCTTCTAGATTTTCTAGTTTATTTGCGTAGAGGTGTTTGTAGCATTCTCTGATGGTAGTTTGTATTTCTGTGGGATTGGTGGTGATATCCCCTTTATCATTTTTTATTGTGTCTATTTGATTCTTCTCTCTTTTTTTCTTTATTAGTCTTGCTAGCGGTCTGTCAATTTTGTTGATCCTTTCAAAAAACCAGCTCCTGGATTCATTAATTTTTTGAAGGATTTTTTTGTGTCTCAATTTCCTTCAGTTCTGCTCTGATTTTAGTTATTTCTTGCCTTCTGCTAGCTTTTGAATATATTTGCTCTTGCTTTTCTAGTTCTTTTAATTGTGATGTTAGGGTGTCAATTTTGGATCTTTCCTGCTTTCTCTTGTGGGCATTTAGTGCTATAAATTTCCCTCTACACACTGCTTTGAATGTGTCCCAGAGATTCTGGTATGTTATGTCTTTGTTCTCGTTGGTTTCAAAGAACATCTTTATTTCTGCCTTCATTTCGTTATGTACCCAGTAGTCATTCACAATTGCTTCAAAGAGAATAAAATACCTAGGAATCCACCTTATAAGGGATGTGAAGGACCTCTTCAAGGAGAACAACAAACCACTGCTCAATGAAATAAAAGAGGATACAAACAAATGGAAGAACATTCCATGCTCATGGGTAGGAAGAATCAATATTGTGAAAATGGCCATACTGCCCAAGGTAATTTATAGATTCAATGCCATCCCCATCAAGCTACCAATGACTTTCTTCACAGAATTGGAAAAAACTACTTTAAAGTTCATATGGAACCAAAAAAGGGCCCACATTGCCAAGTCAATCCTAAGCCAAAAGAACAAAGCTGGAGGCATCACACTACCTGACTTCAAACTATACTACAAGGCTACAGTAACCAAAACAGCATGGTACTGGTACCAAAACAGAGATATAGATCAATGGAACAGAACAGAGCCCTCAGAAATAACGCCATATATCTACAACTGTCTGATCTTTGACAAACCTGAGAAAAACAAGCAATGGGGAAAGGATTCCCTATTTAATAAATGGTGCTGGGAAAACTGGCTAGCCATATGTAGAAAGCTGAAACTGGATCCCTTCCTTACACCTTATACAAAAATCAATTCAAGATGAATTAAAGACTTAAACGTTAGACCTAAAACCATAAAAACCCTAGAAGAAAACGTAGGCATTACCATTCAGGGCATAGGCATGGGCAAGGACTTCATGTCTAAAACACCAAAAGCAATGGCAAGAAAAGCCAAAATTGACAAATGGGATCTAATTAAACTAAAGAGCTTCTGCACAGCAAAAGAAACTACCATCAGAGTGAACAGGCAACCCACAAAATGGGAGAAAATCTTCACAACCTATTCATCTGACAAAGGGCTAATATCCAGAATCTACAAAGAACTCAAACAAATTTACAAGAAAAAAACAAACAACCCCATCAAAAAGTGGGTGAAGGACATGAACAGACACTTCTCAAAAGAAGACATTTATGCAGCCAAAAGACACATGAAAAAATGCTCATCATCACTGGCCATCAGAGAAATGCAGATCAAAACCACAATGAGATACCATCTCACACCAGTTAGAATGGCAATCATTAAAAAGTCAGGAAACAACAGGTGCTGCAGAGGATGTGGAGAAATAGGAACACTTCTACACTGTTGGTGGGACTGTAAACTAGTTCAACCATTGTGGAAGTCAGTGTGGCGATTTCTCAGGGATCTAGAGCTAGAAATACCATTTGACCCAGCCATCCCATTACTGGGTATATACCCAAAGGACTATAAATCATGCTGCTATAAAGACACATGCACATGTATGTTTATTGCGGCACTATTCACAATAGCAAAGACTTGGAACCAACCCAAATGTCCAACAACGATAGACTGGATTAAGAAAATGTGGCACATATACACCATGGAATACTATGCAGCCATAAAAAATGATGAGTTCATGTCCTTTGTAGGGACATGGATGAAATTGGAAATCATCATTCTCAGTAAACTATTGCAAGAACAAAAAACCAAACACCGCATATTCTCACTCATAGGTGGGAATGGAACAATGAGAACACATGGACACAGGAAGGGGAACATCACACTCTGGGGACTGTTGTGGGGTGGAGGGAGTGGGGAGGGATAGCATTGGGAGATATACCTAATGCTAGATGACGAGTTAGTGGGTGCAGCACACCAGCATGGCACATGTATACATATGTAACTAACCTGCACATTGTGCACATGTACCCTAAAACTTAAAGTATAATAATAAATTTAAAAAAATAAAAAAGAAAATGTTAATACTGTTTAATTGAAATTCAAGAATTCATAGGAAATACTCAGAAAGTGGTAAGTTAACAAACTCTTATTTTCTACTTCTTGCTAGGAAGTAACCTGAAATAATTATATGTCTATTGTTCTTCTGACCAGCTGTGATGTTGATAAGAAGTAGTTGCATTTGGGTTATAGTTTGAAGGTAGAATCATTATGATTTGCTGAAGGGTTGGATGCAGGGTTGAGACAGAGGTAAGGGTGATTTCAAGCTTTTGGACTGAGAAACTTAAATGATGGAGTTGGAGATAGAGAATATGGGGGTACCTTTCTGATTAATACCTTTCTGAGTAACAATCCTCTAAATTTTCCATGCCAGAAAATGATAATTCACCTTGCAATTTGAGGTTTTTACTATCTTAGTGTATTCTGGCCTACTATTTTTATTTTACTAAAATATTTTAGCTTTAATTATTTGTGTGGACATAACCAGTGTAGCAAGTGGCTCAGGACATAGTGTTTATTTCTGGAATATGTGTCCTCTGACGTCACTCCTGTATCAAGTTAGATTGACACTACTCTAGCTGTGGGAAAACATACATTTAAGCTCATTTATTTGTTTTCCTAGAATTTAATGAATCTTCGTTCTAAATTTTTTTTCTTTTTTTTTTTTTTTTTGAGACGGAGTCTTGCTCTGTCACCAAGCAGAGTGCAGTGTCACGTCTTGGCTCACTGCAACCTCCTCTTCCTGGGTTCAAGCGATTCTCCTGACCCAGCCTCCCGAGTAGCTGGGATTACAGGCACATGCCACCACGCCCAGCTAATTTTTGTATTTTTAGTAGAGACGGGGTTTCACCATGTTGGCCAGGCTGGTCTTGAACTCCTGACCTCAAGTGATCCACCCATCTCTGCCTCCCAAAGTGCTGGGATTATAGGCATTAGCCTTTGCGCCCAGCCATTTGTTCTACATTCTAATGAATTTAATTACTTGGGTAGGTCTTGCTCCTTTCCTGTTGAGTTCTCCTTAAAATACAGTGGAACTTTTTTTTTTTCATGAAATTAAGGTGTCAATAGTTGTTATTTGTCTACAACATGGAAGCAATTCTTGTCAAATTATGTGATACTGTGGGGATTTGCATATATAAATTGTATGAAATATAGAACTTTTTAATGGCAGTATAAATTCACAGGTTTTTTTTTAGGTTTGGGGAAAGGAGTTAGTGATTGTCTTGAGTACTTATGACATCAAAATGAAGACTTGAACTGGGATGTTAAGTTTAGAATGTTGAGGTTAAACATGATTTTCTTCCTCCCAAATCTATTTTCTGGAGTTCTTTCATTCTGCTGAATACATGATGATCTGTTCTTTCATTGAGTTTCAACTCTTTCACTATAGTAATAATGTTCCAAAACTAGTGTAGGATTTTGGGGGTTAATTTCTGCCTATTTAATAGTAAAAATAAATTCAGTTTTTTATATTGAGCATGCTGTTATAAATAAGGCATAGAACTTAATTTTCAATTTATTTTCATCTTTCACATACTTACCTGTATTCTTTCTGTGTAGTTTTGATATAGCTAGCTGGAATGAAGTGGTGTAGTCAATGTTAGAACGTTGATAATTGGGCCACATCAAGAATCAATGGTTCTAGCCTTTTTTTTTTTTTTTTTTTTTTTTTTTTTGAGACAAAGTTTTCGCTCTGTTGCCCAGGCTGGAGTGCAGTGGCACAATCTCAGTTCACTGCAACCTCTGTCTCTGGGTTCAAGGGATTCTCGTGCCTCAGCCTCCCAAGTAGCTGGGACTACAGGTGCGTGCCACCATGCCCAGCTAATTTTTGTATTTTTAGTAGACAGGGTTTCACCATGTTGGCCAGGCTCGTGTCGAACTCCTGACCTCAGGTGATCCGCTTGCCTTGGCGTCCCAAAGTGCTGGGATTACAGGCATGAGCTACTGTGCCTGGTGGTTCTAGCCTTTTAAATCCAGTTCAACAAATATTGAGACCCCTATAGTGTAGAAAGCACTGTACCATATGCTGTGGAAAATTGTTATAATAATTTTAGTTAAGCTATTCACATAGCTGACAGCAGAATGATGGCCAAGAAGTTCTGTTTTCATGAATTTCAGGTAACACATTAACTTCGATTGATTTAAAGAATAAACCAATATGGGCCTATTTCAGCATATTTTGAAGGGTCTCATCATCTCCTTCTAGGAAGTTGATTGTCAAGAAATGTAAACTATGAACTTCTACCAGGTCAGGAATTCAGTGATTCCATTTCTTGTCATTTAGTAAATTTTAGGGACTATTTTAATATGATCTTTAATAATTATTGTAAGTAGAATGGTATTAGTAGGAATAGAAAAAAATTTTCGTTAACTTTTTTTAACCTCTACTTTTTTTTTTTCCTTTTTTTTTTTTTTTTTTTGAGACGGAGTCTTGCCGTTTTGCCCATGCTGGAGTGCAGTGGCGCGATCTCGGCTCACTGCAAGCTCCACCTCCCGGGTTCACGCCATTCTCTTGCCTCAGCCTCCCGAGTAGCTGGTACTACAGGTGCCCGCCACCACGCCCAGCTAATTTTTTTTCTATTTTTTAGTAGAGACGGGGTTTCACCGTGTTAGCCAGGATGGTCTCGATCTCCTGACCCTCTGATCCGCCCGCCTTGGCCTCCCAAAGTTCTGGGATTAACAGGCCTGAGCCACCGCCCTTGGCCTAACCTCTACTTTTATATAATAATATAAAATGGATTTCACTTGTAATTAAGGTGTAATCTGTCAGATAGCCAATGTTAATGCTAAAATGAAAAGTAAATTGCATGATTTTCTTGTAATTTTACAGCGCTTTGAACTTCAAGATTCAGGAAGCTCTCTACTTCCTAAAGAGATTGTAAAAGTAGAGAAGATGATGGAAAACCATGTGTCCCAAGCTTCTGTGACCATCCGGATTGCAGATAAAGAGGTGACCATTAAGGTAATTAATCACAGGTTTATTCTTTCTATGATATACCTTATTCTGCCTGTTTTTATGACCTAAATTGGGTTTATGATCTCCTTGTAAGTCTTCTCTCTTGATAGTACTGCTTCTGTCGGTATCTATATGTCTATGTCTCCAGAGTCATGTGTGCTTATAAACTGGAAAAGTTCAGGAGAAACATAGGGAAAGCCTTTCATCAAAAATTCAAAGTTGACCTGTGGGAAAATCAAGTCACAGGCTGATTACTGACAGCATTTTGTGCTATGAGTCCTTGGTAAGAAATAGTGTTTTCAAACATTTGAGCTGCTACAGAGACCTATTTTCAAGTAAAATCTTTCTTAGCTATGTGAAACGGTTTAAAAAGGATCTGCTCTGGTTGAATTGTTTTTAGAGAGGGAAATAATATTTGGTCATAGAGCTCCATCTGCATGTATATATGTTATATATATATCAGCTCCTTCTATATATATCTATATGTGTATATATACACACATTTTATGGAGTCTTACTATATTGCCCAGGCTTGTTTTGAATTCCTGAGCTCAAACAATACTCCTGCCTTAGCCTCCTGAGTAGCTGGGACTACAGGCACATGCCACTGTGCCCAGCTCATGATAAACTTTTTTGTTTTAATATTTGATATTATTAATATTAATTCATGTTACTGTACTTATTCATTGAACTGAATATTGATTATATCCACCATGAGCTAGGTTCCATATTATGAGTTTACTGTGTACTATTTACTGTATTTGTCTCTGCATATATTACACGATTTAAATCCCGCAAGATCCATTAAGGTAAGTTTTATTATCTCCATTTTGTAGATTAGAAAACTGAGATGTAAAGAGGTTAATGATTCACCCAGAGACAGCAGCTAGGAGATGGCACAGCTGGGATTTCTAGACAGGGACAGTTCCCCACTATACTCTCTGTTTTGTTCAGATGAATGGTTCATCTAGCTGATAGTTTAGGATAGAGGCAGACGAGTTAAGACTGCATTGGAATGACTGGGGATATGGAGAAGAAAGTAATACTGGGATTCAGGAGACGGAATAGGGAAAGCTTCAGAGAGAAGATGAAGCTTGAGCTAAGCCTGCAAGAATAATATAGGATTTTTCAAGTGGCTCAGGAGTGGATAGAACATTTTTGGCAGTTTAAACAATATGTTCAGAAGCATGAGGTATGAACAAGACTTCATTATTTGCTTCCCTTTGGTAATGGCTTTTTAACCTCATTGCCTCTAGTCTCTTCCAGTTAGCTTTCCATGTTGATACCAGGTTAAATTCTTAAATGCAAATCTGATCCTGTCACTTCCAAACTTAGAATTCTTTGGTTCGTGTGGTATATAACATGATCCAGCCCAGAGTCCTCATCAGAACATGGCTCCTTGGGAACTAATAGTGGAGGATAAATAATAAAAGGGGAAGACAAAAAATAAAATGAGAAGTAGATGTAAAAGATGGGAAGAGAGAATATGTGAACAGATGCCTCTCAGTGGTAAACTAAGATAAACCTGAAAAGGATTTGTGGACTTGACTTTTAGAAATCAGGAGGTCATTGGTGACTTTAGAGATTCCAGTGGACTAACATTAAATTCTGTGCTTACAACTAGAATTTTGGGAAAAAAATTTATTCTCCAGTAGTAATATCTTTACTATAAGTTATAAATAGCATTAAGATGACATGATTTTTATGAATACATCTGATAATGTGGGACTTTAATTTTAGGGAAATAATTGATTTGGAAGATTTGTAATAATGATCATCAGATCTATTAAATGAAAAAATAGTTGCTGCTCTATTGAAATATCAAAAACAGTAAAGAATTAAATTGAGCAAGCTATTAGTTGGAGGCTTTTAAGTGGCAGTTATATACTTTAAGTTACTGATATTTTGAGAAAAACATGCATGTTTTACACACACACACACACATATACACACACACACGCGCACACACACACACATATATATATATATATATTTTTTTTTTTGGGACAGAGTCTCGCTCTGTTGCCCAGGCTGCAGTGCAGTGGCGCAATCTTGGCTCACTGCAACCTCCGCCTCCTGGGTTCAAGCGATTCTCCTACCTCAGCCCCCTGAGTAGTTGGGATCACAGTTGCGCACCACCATGCCCAGCTAATTTTTTTGTATTTTTGTAGAGATGGGGTTTCACCATATTGGCCAGGCTGGTCTCGAACTACTAACCTCAAGTGATCTGCCTGCCTTGGCCTCCCAAAGTGTTGGGATTATAGGCGTGAGCCACCACATCTGGCCATGTTATATTGACCTCTCTTTAATTATAGGTGCCAGCCGGGACCAGGCTATTAAGTCAACCTTGTGCGTCAGACCGTTTCATACAGACTTTGAGCCATAAGCAGCTACAGGCTGAAATGATGCAGTCTCACATGGTTAAAGATATATGTTTAATTGGAGGAAAGGTAAGAATGACAGTCTCACTGCAGACTTTTAGTTTCCTGGCTTTTGGTTATTTTGACTTACCTCTTGAATAATTTTTTCCATTTGTAGGGTTGTGGAAAAACAGTGATCGCTAAGAACTTTGCCGATACCTTAGGATACAACATAGAACCTATTATGCTCTATCAGGTACAGTGTTCATTTTTAGCTGCACTTGGACTATAAGCATATATGCTTAGGCCATCAGCAGAATTTATGGATATCTTCTTGTTATGACCTGTGTTTTTTTATATAGGTAAAGAACCAAAATAGTAATAAAATTATTCAAATTAAAGTGCAATTATAATTCTTTGGAGCTTTTGAAAGTACATTCTAGGATATCTGATGTGCACAACATACCAGGGGCTGTTTTTCAAAGATATTTATTTTCCAGAGGCCTGGAAGGGTAGGGGGAAAGGAGGAGTGAAGAGAGGTTGATTAATAGTTATAAAAATACAGGTAGGTGGGAGAAATAAGACCTACTGTTTGATAAATAAGTAGAATGACTATAGTAGACAATAATCTATTGTATATTTTAAAATAGCTAGTAGTTAATAATTCAAATGTTCCAGCATAAAGAAAAGATAAATGTATAAGGTAATTGACACCTTAATTACCCTAATTTTTAAATTTCACATTATATGAATGTATCAAAATATCACATGTGCTGTGAAAATATGTACATATATTATGTGTCAATTACAAAGTGAGATTCATTTTATGTGCATGTCCCCACACAGAATACATTTACTAGTAATTTGGAAATCTAAACAAAATAGGTTTCAGCTACAGTGGGAGCTAATTATATATTCACTGAATAGATTATTTTTTAAATGGTGACAAAATATATATAACATAAAGTTTACCACATTAGCCTTTTTTTTTTTTTTTTTTTTGAGATGGAGTTTCACTCTTTTGCCCAGGCTGCAATGCAATGGCACAATCTCGGCTCACTGCAACCTCTGCCCACCCCGGGTTCAAGCAATTCTTCTGCCTCAGCCTCCTGAGTAGCTGGGATTACAGGCGCCTGTCACCATGACTAGCTAATTTTTTTGTATTTTAGTAGAGACAGGGTTTCGCCATGTACAATTCACTGGCAATAAGTACATTCACAATGTTGTGTAACCATTACCACTTCCTTTTTCCAGAGCTTTTTCATCATCCTAAACAAAAACTCTGTACTCATTAAACAGTAGCTCTCAGTTTTTCTTTCCCTCTCAGACCCTGGTAAACTCTACTTTCTGTCCCTATAAATTTGCCTATTCTAGGTACCTCATATAAATGGAATCATATAATTTTTGTCCTTCTTGTCTAGTTTATTTTACTTACCATAATGTTTTCAAGATTTATCCATGTTGTTGCATATATCAGAATTTCATTCCTTTTTAGGGCAAAGTCATATTCTGTTGTATGTCTATACCACTCTTTGTTTCTCCATTGGTCTGTTGATGGACCTTGGGGTTGTTTCCTTTAGACTATTGTAACCTTTTGGCTATAGTAAGTAATTCTGCTGTGAACAGTGGTATACAAGTATGTATTTGAGTCCCTGCTTTCAGTTTTTAAGGTATATACCTAGGAATGGAATTATTGGATCATATGGTAATTCTGCGTTTAATTTTTTAAGGAGCCAATAAACTGTTTTCCATAGCAGCTGCACCATTTTCATTCCCACCAACAATGCACAATGGTTCCAATTATTCTACATCCTCCCTAACACTTTTCTTTCTTTTTTTTTTTTTTTTTTATAATCATCATCCTAATGGCTGCGAAGTGGTAATTCACTGTGGTTTTGATTTGCAGTTCCCTAATGACTACTGATGCTAAGCATCTTTTTCATGTACTTACTGGCTATTTGTATATCTTCTTTGGAGAAATACCTATTCGAGACCCTTACCCATGTCTGTCTTATTTATTTTTTCTCTTGATTTTTATTTTAGATTTGTGGGTACATGTGCAGGTCACAATTTACATGGGTAAATTGTATGTCACTGAAGTTTGCTGTATAAATGATTCCGTCACCCAGGCAGTTAAACATAGTATCTGATAGTTTTTCAACCCACAGCCCCCTCTCAAGTAGTCCCTATTGTTTGTTTTTCCCATCTTTATGTCCATGTGTACTCAATGTTTAGCTCCCACTTATGAGAACATGCAGTTTTGACTTTTTGTTCCTGTTAGTTCACATAGGATAATGTCCTCTAGCTACATCCATGTTGCTGCAAAGGACATGATTTTCTTCCTTTTTATGGCTGCATGGTTTTCCATAGTGTATCTATGCCACATTTTCTTCATCTAGTCCACTGTTGGTGGGCACCTAGGTTGATTCCATGTCTTTGCTGTTGTGTGTAGTGTTTGTATTAGTCAGGGTTCCCTAGAGGGACTGAACTAATATATATAGACAGAACTAATATATATAGTGTGTGTGTGTGTGTGAATATATATATATATATATATACACACACACACACACACACACACACACACACACACACAAATAGGAGATACACACACACACATATATATATATAAAGAGGAGTTTATTAAGTACTAACTTACACCATCACAAGGTCCCACAATAGGCTGTCTGCAAGCTTGAGGAGCAAGGAGAGCCACTCCAAGTCTCAAAACTGGAGAATGTGGACTCTGATGTTTGAGGGCAGGAAGCATCCAGCACGCGAGAAAGATGTAGGCTGGGAGGCTAGACCCGTCTTGCCTTTTCATGTTTTTCTGCCTGCTTTATATTGGCTGGCAGCTGATTAGATGATGCCCACCAGATTAAGGGTGGGTCTGCCTTCCCCAGCCCACTGACTCAAGTGTTTATCTCCTTTGGCAACACCCCCACAGACACACCCAGGATCAATACTTTGCATCCTTCAATCTAATCAAGTTGACACTCAGTATTAACCATCACAGTGCTGCAATGAACATATGTGTAGAACAGTTTATTTTCATTTGAGTATATACTTAGTAAGGGGATTGCTAGGTCAAATGGTAGTTCTGTTTTAAGTTGTTTGAGGAGTCTCCAAACTGCTTTCCACAGTGGCTGAACTAATTTACATAGCTGCCAGCATTGTGTAAGTGTTCCCTTTTCTCCACAACCTCATCAATATCTGTTATTTTTTGACTTTTTAATAATAGCCATTCTGACTGGTGTGAGATGGTATTCATTGTGGTTTTGATTTGCATTTCTCTGATGATAGTGTTGATGAGCCTTTTTAAAATATATTCATTGGCTGCATGTATGTCTTTTGAGAAATGTCTATTCATGCCCTTTGCCAATTTTTTAAGTGGGGTTGTTTTTTCTCTGTTGAATTGTTCTTTATGTTATTAGACCCTTGTCATATGCATAGTTTGTGAATATTTTCTCCCATTCTGGAGGTTGTCTGCTTACTTTGCTGATAGCTCCTTTTGCTGTACAGAAGCTTTTTGGTTTAATTAGGTCTCACTTGTCAATTTTTGGTTTTGTTGCAAGTTCTTTTGTGGTCTTAGTCATAAATTCTTTGCCAAGGCCCATATTCAGAACAGTATGTCCTAGGTTTTCTTCTAGGTTTTTATGTTTTAGGTCTTAGATTTAAGTCTCTAACCTATTTTGAAGCAATTTTTGTATATGGTGAAAGGATTGGTTCCAGTTTCAATCCTGTGCCTATGGCTAGCCAGTTATCCCAGCACCACTTATTGAATAGGGAGTCCTTGCCCTGTTGTGTGTTATTGTTGACTCTGTCAAAGATCTGGTGGTTGTAGGTATGTGGCTTTATTTCTGGGTTCCACTTCCCATTCCATTGGTCTAGGTATCTGTTTTTGTACCAGTATCATGCTGCTTTGGTTACTGTGGCTTTGTAGTCTAGTTTGAAGTCAGGTAGCATGATGCCTCAGGTTTTGTTGTTTTTGTTAAGGATTACATTGGCGATTCAGGCTGTTTTTTGAGTCTATATGAATTTTAGGATAGTTTTTTCTAATTCTGTGAAAAATGATGTTGGTAATTTGATAGGAATAGCATTTAATCTGTAAATTGCTTTGGGCAGTATGGCCATTTTAACAATTGTAATTCTTAGGAGCACAGCATGTTTTTTTCACTTGTTTGTCTAATCTCTGATTTCTTTCAGCAGTGTTTTGTAATTCTTGTTGCAGAGAAAAGATCTTTTACTTTCTTGGGTAGCTGCATTCCTAGGTATTTTATTCTTTCTGTGGCTGTTGTAAATGGGATTGTGTTCTTGATTTGGCTTTCAGTTTGGATGTTATTGGTGTATACAAATGCTACTTATTTTTGTACCTTGACTTTGTATCCTGAAACTTTACTGTAGTCACTTGGCACTTTTAGGAGCCTTTTGGTGGAGTCTATAGGGTTTTTTAGGTGTAGAATCATATAATCTGTGAAGAAAGATAGCTTGACTTCCCCTTTTCCTATTTTTATTTTTTGGTCTTGCCTGATTACTCTGGCTAGGACTTCTAGTACTATGTTGAATAGGAATGGTGAGAGTGGACATCCTTGTCTTATTCCAGTTGTTAAAAAGAATGCTTCTAGCATTTTCCTGTTCAGTATGATGTTGGCTATGGTCCTTACCCATGTTTTAATTGAGCTTTTATTTTTTTAATTGACTTTTTGTTGTTGAGTTATAGGAGTCTTTTAATGTATTCTGGGTATAGAATTCATTCTCCACATATATGATTTTCTTTTTTTGAGATGGAGTCTCGCACTGTCACCCGGGCTGTAGTGCAGTGGTGCAGTCTCGGCTCACGGCAACCTCCGCCTCCCAGGTTCACGCGATTCTCCTGCCTCAGCCTCCTGAGTAGTAATATTTCATGTGCCATTGCTTTGAAATCATATGGAGAAGGTCTTGAAGAAAAAAATATTAATTTCCTTTTTGATTCCATCTTCATTTGCTATTATATTATTTATATAATTATATATAACATGAATATTTTCTTCACATTAAAATAAAAACTCTCATTCTAATGAAAACTGGAAATAATTTGTCATCAATTTTTCCAAACAGTACTGTTTCTGTGTCAGGTTTTCATAGTTAGTTTTATACTGTATGTTTGAGCTATGAAATTTATGTTCACTTCATGCTGCTGTTTTTTAAAAGACTAACCAAACAAAAGAGTATGTGTATATCTAATAATTCAGATCTCATAGCTACACTGGAAGGCCTCCCAAAGTATCCTGCCTTTGAGTATGCTATCTTGTTATGTAAAAGAATTAGTTTAAGAGTCTGAGAACAGATTTTCTCCTATATTTCTAGAGAGTGACAATAAACTCACCAAAACATTATTTTATTTTAATGTTTTTCAGTTTCCTGTTCAGTTTATTAATGCATGGATGAATAAGGGTGGGAAGATACTACAGTTAAAGTTAATGGCAGGACTTTCTATTTCCTGATACACTTTTGAGTTACAAACTCAGTGTCTTCTAGTTTCTGTCACAGAATAAGGTCATTTAGTCATGTCTTATCAGTCCTCTCTCTGAAAAATACAGATGATGATAATTGAAAGGCACATAAGTTTCCCGTAAAAACATTTACCCATCCTTTGTACATATCCTGTCAACCTTTTAGATGTCCTGCAAAGATTGGGAAACAGTAGAGATAAGCAAACTAAGCACATTTTCTGAAAACTCCTTTTCTTTTTTCCCATTTTGCTTCTCTGCTCATTAATTTTTAGAGAAAATTTTTAGAGAAAAGAGTTTCCTAGAAGTATAGACTTTGGAAAGGGATAGAGAAATATAATAACTGTAATATGTTTTGGAGGTGAATTTGTTTCTTTTGCTATATAGCTTCTTTCCATGTAAATAATCAGTTGCTTTTTATTATAGAAACCAAGCCCCTGAGATCAAATATAAGACTCCTCTGTGGGACACAGGAATTAATAAACTTAAAGAATGAATTTGGTTTGTATAATAATATAGTGCACATTGATGAAAAAGTTCCAGAGGTTTGATGCAACATAGAGAATTTAGTGGGAAAAAGTAGATACACCATCTGTTTTCCTAGAAGATGTGGAGACTTCCCTGTTATTTGTACATGTATAAAGCTACACTTAATCTGTGGTTTTTGCCTTATTTTTAGACTTGATTATTTTTAGGACTGCATTTCATATGAAGTAAAAGGAAAACAGAGCTTTAACACAGATTTGAGGCAGTACGTAAAGTAAGTTTTATAATAGGCTATAAAAGTCATAAATCATTTGGCTCAAGTGTTAGGTCAGATTCTTTTAACTGATTATTCTTTTTTTAGGGTTGAAACCAGTGATTTCATAGTGTTGAAGAAATACAAGTTATTCTTTTCCTTCACAACCAGATAAGGGCATATTTCCAGATTTCTTTCTACATCATCATAAATACACTAGATCTGAGATCTTTTCCTTCTGATCAATTACTAGTTAGATTAAACACCAAGTCAAATTTAATCTAAAATTCAAGTGCACGTAAGTTTATGGGACTTTTAGTGAAAATAATTGTGGTCTAAAATATGTTGAAATCTTAGTATCATCACTGACCTCTTAGCTAAGTTTTTCTTTCTATAGCTAAACTCAGACCAAATCCTTTCCCCTCTCTTCCATCTAATCTGCAGTCCTCACTTCTTGTTTATGCAAATATAGTGGAAATATTTTTATTCTTTTATTCTCTCTCCTTTGTTTTTATTGGTCTGTGTCTTGGATTCATTGCTGTGCCTCTTATTTTTGCCTTGACTTCGTGCTTTTCTCTTATGAAGATTTCAAGACATTTGTATTCATTTAAGTGTTCTTTATGCAACGTTGGACCTTGGAGGCTTTTTTTTTTTTTGACGCTGACTTTTTAAATTTTTTTTTTTTAAGAGACAGGTTTTTGCTCTGTCCACCAGACTGGAGTGCAGTGGCGCAGGCACAGCTCACTGCAGCTTCAAACGTATGTTCTTGAGTCATCCTCCCACCTCAGCCTCCTAAAGCTCTGAGATTACAAGTGTGAAGCACCCTGCCCAGGCGGGGCTGATTTTTTATATGAGTCTGTAGCTCATCTTGTTTTCTTGCTTTTTTATTTTACTACAGTCTGTCACCCTTCCTGTCTTCTTAGTATTTTTTTTTCCACAAAGAATAGCTCTTACAATGCTATCTAAGAATTTACTTACTTCAGCTCCTACAGATTTCTTTAATTATAAAGTTTATTTTTCAAGAACCATGTATATACTGTTGATCACATCAGAACTTTAAAATGGTTGACTCTAGCAATCCTTTTCAAATCTCAGGCTTACCAAGGCTTCTGTCTCATATCTTCTTTAGTTTCTCTCTCTCTTTTTTTTTTTGAGATGAAGTCTCACTCTCACTCTGTTGCCCAGGCTGAAGTGCAGTGGCATGATATTGGTTAACTGCAACCTCCGCCTCCCGGGTTCAAGTGATTCTCCTGCCTCAGCCTCCCGAGTAGCTGGGATTATAGGCCCACACCACCACACCCGGCTAATTTTTGTATTTTTAGTAGAGACAGGGTTTTGCCATGTTGGCCAGGCTGGTCTCAAACTCCTGACCTCAGGTGATCCCCCCACCTTGGCCTCCTAAAGTGGTGGGATTACAGGCCTGAGCCACTGCTCCTGGCCCAGTTTCTCTTTAATAATGATATTGCTTTGTCGCCTGCCTCTTTTATGTAGAATATTTTAAATTTAAAATACATTCCAACCTATCAGACTATAAACTTTAGTGTCTGTATTAGTTAGGATTTCATAGAGAAACAGAACCTATAGAGATTTATTGTAAGAAATTGATGTGTGAGATTATGGAGGCTGAGAACTCCCATGATCTGCCATCTGCAAGCTGGAGAGCCAGGAAAGAGGTGGTGTGGTGGTGTAGTTCTAAGAGAAGCCTTGAAGGGCTGAGAACCAATAGAGCCAATAGTATAAGTTCCAGTCTGAGTAAGGAAGACTAATATCCCAGCTCAATAACACATAGAGAAAGCAAATACTGCCTTTCTCCTTTTTGTTCTACTCAGGCCTCCAACTGATTAGATGAAGCCCACCCATATTGAGGAAGGCCATCTGCTTTACTCAATCTACCAGTTCAACTGCTAATCTCATCCAGAAATACCTTCACAAACACCCCTAGAATACTATTTAACCAAATATCTGAGCATCCCACAGCCCAGTCAAGTTGACACATAAAATTAACCATCACAGTGCCTAAAGAGTTAGCAGAATGAAATTTCTAATTTGAAGTGACATTTTCATTAAATGTCATTTCAAATTCCTTGCCTATATAGTGGGAGAATGCTATAAGAGGATCATAAGTATTTGTAATATTATTTGCCATAATTTAATAAATTAATGAAATTACAATGAATTTTAGTGTTACTCATACTTGTAAAATTATAAATATTATACATTGTATAGAATAGTTACTTTAGTAAGTTTCATCAGGGTACTAATAAGCAGGTGGCAATTGCTTACACAGGGAATTTTATAAATTAAATTGTAAAATTACAACCCTTATCTTAGTAAGTTACTTCACAAGTGTACTTTATTGGAAAAAATATGATATGGATGCTTCTCTGTAATACATCGCCATTTCTGGAAAATGTAACTCAAATTTATACCTAGCTAATTGTAAGTCATCATTGTAACTGTTGCAGATGCATATGTATATTAACGCTTAACAATTCTTCATTTTTAAAAATAAATAATGAAATAAGTAAAACTAGTATATAATGAAGAAATCTTATCTAGGCAATTAGCTTAATTTCTTCCCTTATCACATTTAAAAAATCTTTTAGCACTTATACTTTATTTTTATGTCAAAGTGCCAGAAACTTTGTTATCCGTATTTTCCAGCTTCAAAAGAGAATTGAAAGCCTCTTGATAATGTCTAGTTGATAATGTCTACCTAATATATACTTCAAGTCTCAAATACACAGTAGTATATAAAGAAGCAGTTTTGCAGATTGTAGCTAATCACTTAAGTAAAACACCTGTCTATTATTCTAACAAAAAAAGATATCCAACAAATATATGATTTAGACAATAGATTGAATTGGGAGATGCTATTATAATGGGAAGGTTTTGTGGAAGTTTCTTTCTTTTTTTTTTTTTTTTAATTTTCATTTTTTTGAGACAAGGCCTGGCTATGTCACCCAGGCTGGAGTGCAACGGCACAATCTTAGCTTGCTGCAACCTCCGCCTTCCAGGCTCAAACCATCCTCCCACCTCAGCCTCCCAAGTAGCTGGGACTACAGGTGCACACCAGCAGGCTTGGCTAATTTTTTTTGTATTTTTGGTAGAGATGGGGTTTTGCCATGTTGCTCAGGCTGATCTCGAACTCCTGGGCTCAAGCAGTCCTCCCGCCTTGGTCTCCCAAAGTGTTCGGATTACAGGCGTTAGCCACTATGCCTAGCCTTGTGAAAGTTTCTAAGAAAAACCATCTATGGCTGTTATTGAGAACTGAATACTCTTTCCATTTGGAAACTTAATTCAGGACATATTTGGAAAACAACTCATTCTGTACCCCAAATAGTTTGAATAGAGAGTTTGTGCACATTCAGTTATTGCCTTTCTAGTCTTCTTGTGAATATTTTGTTTTGTTTTGTTTTGTTTTGTTTTGATCAAAGTCTCGCTCTATCACCCAGACTAGAGTGCGGTGGTGCGATCTCAGCTCACTGTAGTGTCTGCCTCCCGGATTCAAATGATTTTCATATCTTAGCCATCCGAGTAGCTGGGATTACAGATGTGTGCTACCCCCGCTGGCCAATTTTTGTATTTTTAGTAGCGATGGGGTTTTACCATATTGGCCAGGCTGGTCTTAAACTCCTGGCCTCAAGTGATCTGCCCACCTTGGCCTCCCAAAGTGCTGAGACTATAGGCTTGAGCCACTATGCCTGGCCAACAAGTAAGATTTTTGAATGAGAACAGAACAAATTGGTAATATTACCATATATCAGGGTTGACAAACCTTTTCTGTAAAGTGCCAGATAGAAAATATTTTTAAGCTTTGTGGATCATGCAGTCTTTGTTAAAACTTCTCAACTCTGCTATTATAGTAGAAAAGCAGACAAAGGCAGTACATCAATGTATGAGTGTGGCTGTGTTCCATCTTATCACATTTTTGGTGGGGTTTTTAAAGTCACGTTTACTGAGGTATAATTCATACATAGTAAAATTCAGTCCATTTTGACAAACACATTTGGTAGTAGGGCCAGTACCACAATTGAGATATAGGGCATTTCCATCACCTTGAACAATTCCCTTGTTCCCTTGTGTAGTCCACCCAAACCCAGCCCCTGGCAACCACTGCTTTCTATCCCCATTAGTCTTGCCTTTCCAGAATGTCATATTAATGGGATTATACATTATGTGCCTTTTACATCTGGTTTCTTTCACTTATATAATACATTTGAGAGTCATCTATGTTGTTGCATGTATCAGTAGTTTGTTCCTTTTAATTGCTGACTACCTTATCACATTTTAATTTATGTTTATATCAGTATTTCTCTTTCTTCTACAGTAGCTTTATTTCTTTTTTCTTCTACTTCATATATATATTTATATATAAATATATTTTATATAATATTAATATATATTAATATATATTTATATATTATATATTATATATATATAAATAAATATATATATATTTAAACCCGTGGTGGGCCATTGGGTGGGTACCTTGCTGCCGCCAACAGCCAAGCCATGGGCTACAGTAGCTTTATTTCTGGTGCTCAGCCCTTCTCAATGAATTTGTCAACACTAGCTTTCTAAGCTTTCCACTCATTTCCAGCTTGGGATCTGCCCAATCCATCCTTACAATACTGATTTTTGTTCTTTCTAATTTTCCCCCTATTTCACATTTTTTAATCACGACTCACAGTTTGCAAGATAATATTGAAATTATGCTGTTTAGCACACAGTGCTCTTTTTTATCTGGCCCCTGTAAGACCTCAACTGTGCAACTAACATTTACCTTATAACTCCAGCCTTAAGGGATGACTTGCAGTTTCCCCAACATGACTTGCTGCCTACCACTCCATGCTTTCTTGCACTCTTCATGCTGCCTGAACCACCCCTCAGAGCCTGTAGGCCAATTTGCTAACCTTTAAAACTTAGCTCCACTGCCTGCTCTGAATTTCTGTAAATCTTGAATTTAATTTATATGTACTCCCTCTTTGTTTCAGCATCACTTAATGGCCTTTTTCATGGCACTTATCATTCTGTACTGTAATAACTACTGTATTTCATTAGCTCCAAGAGGCACTCAATTGTAAGATGCACCACTAAGAAAGAAAAAGTACTTCAAATTAAATTACGATATAAGACTTTATCACTTAGAATTTTCATATTTGTCTTAAAGAACTCTTCCAGACTTAATTTAGATTATATTCCTCCTGTGCATGCAGAAAAAGGAAAATATGAATATAATAAATAGGAAAATATATATAAAATAAAAATAAATATAATAAATTTATAAATAAATATAACAATAAAAAATATTTTGAAATATTTTTAAAACTTATGCACCATCATAGTCTGACTCTTCTAAAGCACTTTATGATTCAGTTGCAGATGTTCATGTTGTTTCACGTATATTCTCTGTGTGTTCCTTTGGTTGGTCAGGAACAGAATGCTCTTCTATTGTTTCCCCAATTGTCTTCCAAGCTACTGACAGCCATTCTGCTGGTTTTGATACTGATATTTTTAAAATTTTAACCAAAGGTACTGACAGAAATGTTTTTAGGCAACAACTAGAACTCATATTCTTTTCCCAAATGGAAAAGAGTAATTTGTTGACTAAAACATGGATGGATTACAGTTGTTTCTTTAAGCCACAAGCTAACAAACATACTAACAAACAAGCAGAAACAAGTGCACATATATGTACACAATGGTAACTGACTCTTCAGCAACTGTTGTTAAGATTCTATCAATTGAAGCTGCACCCTGATTTCAGAGATATTAAAATATAAAACATGTATATCTTGGAATTGATGAAACAGCAATTTGTCTCTCCTATCGTTTGTAAGCTCCTTGAAGGCATGGACAACACGCTTTTCAACTCTGTTTCCTTCATGGACAATAGATGTCTAGTTGAAAAAATGAAATAGAATAGAAAACAGAAAAACCACAGAAAAGATCCGTGTAACTAAGAGTTGATTTTTTTGAAAAGATAAAATTTACAGACTTGTAGCTAGATGAATAAGTGAAGAGACAAGATTATAAACAAAAGAACAAACATCACAACTGATAGCACAGAAATACAAAGGCTCATGAGACTACTATACATCAACAAACTGAATAACTTAAAAGAAATTGGTAAATTCCTAGAAATATGTAACCTACCAAGACTGAATCATGAAGAAATGAAAAAATGAGAACAAATCAATAATGAGTTAGGAGATTGAATCGGTAATCAAAAACCTGCCACCAGAGAAAATCCTATTATGTGATGGCTTAACCTGTGAATTGTACCAAACATTTAAAGAAGAACTAAAACCAAACCTTTTCAAACTTTTTAAAAAAATAGAAAAAGAGGGAATACTTTCAGACTCGTTTTGTGAAACCATTATTACCCTGATACCAAAGCCAGACAAGCACACTACAAGAAAAGAAAATTACAGACCAATATCCCTGGTGACCACAGATACAAAACATAATAAAGGCCATATATGACAAGGCCACAGCTAACATTATGCTCAATGGTAAAAAGCTGAAAGCTTTTCCTCTAAGATCTGGAACAAGTCAAGGATGCCCACTGTCACCACTCTATTCAATGTACTATTGAAAGTCCTAGCTAAAGCAATTAGGCAAGAAAAAGAAATAAATGTACCCAAATCACAAAAGATGGAGTAAAACTTTTTTCTGTTTCCAAATGACATGATCTTATATATAGAAAACACTAACGATACCACCCAAAGCAATACAGATTCAATGCAATCAATCTCTACCAAAATTCCAATGACATTTTTCACAGAAATGGAAAAAAAATACTAAAATTCATATGGAACCACAGAATACCTCAAATAGCCAAAGCAATCTTGAGAAACAACATTTGAGGCACCACACTACCTGGTTTCAAAATATTCCACAAAGGAATAGTAATAAAAATAGCATGGCATTAAAAACAAACATATGGATGGATGGAACCAGAATAGAGAGCCCAGAAATAATATACTATTAATGGCTAGTTAGTTTTCAACAAAGGAGCCTAGAACACATATTGGGGAAAGGATAGTCTTTTCAATAAATAGTACTGGGAAAATTGTATATCCACATGCAGAACAATGATATTAGACCTTTATCTCATACCGTATACAAAAATCAACTAAGAATGGATTAAATACATAAATGTAAGACTGAAACTATAAAACTACTAGAAGAAAAGAAGGGGGAAAAGCTTGCAGATATTGGTCTGGGTAACAGTATTTTGGAGATGATACCAAAAGCATAGGCAGCCAAAGCAAAAATAGATAAATGAGATAAATGCAGATAAATGAGATAAATGCATCAAACTTAAAAAGCTTCTGCACAGCAAAGCCAACAATCAACAGAGAAGAGTCAGTCTACAAAATGGGAGAAAATATTTGCAAATGACAGCTGACAAAGAGTTAATTTCTAAACTGTAAAAGGAACTCAACTTAGTAGCAATAAAACAACCCAGTTTTAAAATGGGCAAAGAACCTGAATAGACATTTCTCAGGCATTTTAAAATATACTTGTTGGACATACAAATGGCCAACAGGTACATATAAAAAGTGGTCAACATCACTCATCATCAGATAAATGCAAATTAAAACCACAATTAAATATTGCTTTACACCTGTTAGAGTGGCTAATATCGAAAAGATAAAAGGTAACAAATGTTGGTAAGCATGTGGAGAAGAAATGCTTGTACGTTGTTGGTAGAAAGGTAAATTAGTACATACATTATAGAAAATAGTATGGAGGGTCCTCAAAAATTAAAAACAGAACTACCACATGATCCAGCAATCCCACTTCTGGGTGTATATACAAAGGAAATAAAGTCAGTATCTTGAAGGAATATCTGTGCTCCCATGTTTATTGTGGCATATTCATAATAGCCAAGATAGGTAATTAACATGTTTTCATTGACAAATGAATAAAGAAAATATGCAGTATATACAGAATGAATTATTATTCAGCCTTTAAAAAGCAGAAAATCCCGTCTGTATTAATCCATTTTCACACTGCTGATAAAGACACACCCGAGACTGGGAAGAAAAAGGTTTAATTGAACTTATAGTTCCACATGACTAGGGAGGTCTCAGAATCATGGTGGGAGGCAAAAGTCACTTCTTACATCACTGGAGCAAGAGAAAATGAGGAAGAAGTGAAAGTGGAAACCCCTGATAAATCCATCAGATCTTATGAGACTTATTCACTACCACGAGAACAGCACGAGAAAGACCAGGCTCCATGATTCAATTACTTCCCCCTGGGTCCCTCCCACTACATGTGGGAATTCTGGGAGATACAATTCAAGTTGAGATTTGAAGGGCACATAGCCAAACCATATCACTGTCATTTGCAATAATGTAAATAAACCTGGAGGACATTATGCTAAGTGAAATAAGCCAGCCACTGAAAAGCAAATACTACATTATCTCACTTAAATGTGAAATCTAAAAAATCAAACTCATAGAATCTGGTGGGGTCTTTCATTTGGCTTGCTGCTGGAGTCCTTAGGTGGACTGGCCTGGTGCCTGACTCTGCAGAGAATAGGGTGCTGGTTGTCAGGAACTGGGGAATGGGAAAAAGGGGAAAGTGTTAGTCAAAGGGTACAAAGTTTCAGTTAAGCAGAATGAATAAGTTCTCAAGATCTAATGTACATTATAATGATTATAGGTGATAATACCATATTGTATACTTAAAAATTGCGAAGACAGTAGACCTGAAATGTTCTTACCACAAAAAATATGTAACTATGGTTTCTATCTCTTTGTTGAGCTTTTCACTTTGTTTGTATATTGTTTTCCTGATATCATTTAGTAGCCTGTGTTCTCTTTAGCTCACTGTTCCTTTAAGACCATCATTTTGAATACTTTGTCAGGTAGTTCGTAGGTCTCCATTTATTTAGTGTCAGTTCCTGGTGCTTTATTTTGTTCTTCTGGTGGTTTTGGTTCCCTGATTGTTAGTGATCCTCATGGGCTTGCATTGGTGTCTGTGCATTTGAAGAAGTGGACATCCAGTCTTTATAGACTGGCCTTGATAGGGAAAGCTTTTTACCAGCCAACCCAGCCAGACATTCTGGGCAGACCATCTGGTGGGGTCTTTCATTTGGCTTGCTAATGGAGTCCTTAGGTGGACTGGCCTGGTGCCTGACTCTGCAGGTGAGTGGGCCTATCAACTAAGTCTCTGAGGGTGGCTCTGAAGCCTGAGTTCATGGAGAACAGCCTGAACTTGGGTTGATGGGACCTAACATAGTGCTATGGCAGACCTTGAGGCTGAGTCTTCAGAGTCCAGTGTGGCACTATGGTGGTCCTGGAACCAGGGTACATGGGTATGAGCTGGGTCCTGGTCCCTGAGTCTAGGGGGCTGCCTGATACCAGGGCCTGCTGGGCTGGGCCTGGTGACTGGGTCCACAGGGAACTACATTATAGTATGTACTTGGCTCCTTATTTAATTAAAGTGTACTTTTTTAGTAATGGATAACATCTTTTGTGTTAATAAACTTAATTATCATGAGGTATTTATTAGATTTATAAAGACACACTAGGAGGCCTTTGGGCATGTGTATAAAAATAAACATTACAGTAAAGCCAAATCCATTAGTCCAAGAAAGAAAACAAAGGTAAAATGACCAAGGAATCCCACCAAATAAGGAACTCCTGTCTGAAAGGTATTTCTTTTACTATTCTTGATGATCGGTGAAGTTGAAGAGGGAAGAAACTTCAAATTTGGGAACTCTGCATGGAGTAACTCCAGACATAAGGACATTATGTAATGAAGTCATAGTCCTGCTGGTAGCAACACATTGCTGTGTTTGATCATCTCCATTAGGCAGCACTTCTGTTTTCTTTTTCTTTTCTTTTTTTTTTTTGAGACAGAGTCTCACTCTGTCACCCAGGCTGTAGTACAGTGGCGCGATCTTGGCTCACTGCAACCTCTGCCACCCAGGTTCAAGTGATTCTCCTGCCTCAGCCTCCCAAGTAGCTGGGATTACAGGCACCTGCCATCGTGCCCGGCCACTTTTTGTATTTTTAGTAGAGACAGGGTTTCACCATATCGGTCAGGCTGGTCTTGAACTCCTGACCTCATGATCCACCGGCCTCGGCCTCCCAAAGTGCTGGGATTACAGGCACGAGCCACCGTGCCTGACCTATGCACTTCTGTTTTCAATGTACTTTACAGTAATTTTGATTAGGAGTCTTAGGGAAATCTTTTGAGAGTCCTCAGGATTTTATAGTCATTGAAGACCACTGCAAATGTGAGGAGTTTGCCAGAGGTTAGTGACGTTAGTGATGAAGTTACATATCTTATAGATATATCTATATATCCTTATGATCCATCCTTGTGGGAAATATATTGAAAAAGAAAATAATGAAGGGTATAACTTTGATTTGATTTTAAAATTTACAAATATTTGCAAGTAGAATATATTTTGTGAACATATTTTTTCCCCTGGAAATGAAAAGTAAATATATGCTTTTCAGTTTTATGACCTAGATGCCTTTTATGATTCCTAAATGCTTAGTTTTGTATTCTTCCCCTATTAAAGAAAACCCCAGTTTTTCAGGATCCACATCACTTTCTGAATACGTAGAACTTTATTGCTGATTTTAAAGCCAGTCTCATAGTTAGAAACAAGGCTGTTTGAAGTGGAAGCCATTTGGCAGAACCATAGAGATAGAGCCAAAAATAACAGAGAAGGAAAAGGCAATCTTTTACAGAGCTCAACTCATGCCTCCAGGAATGTGGAGTTGAAGTATCTTGGGATTTGAGTTGGTAGAAGCTGCTAAAATCCTGATTTTACACTCTATTGACTGCTGTTAAAAGGTTAACAATTTAAAGAGGAGCCTTAGCCAGCCTAGCACCTCTGATGCTTCATGTTTATTTCTAGTAGCTCCCTTAAGCTCTCCCAGATTTAGGTAGCTGCAGACAGGGAGCCCCTGCAGGAGAGGAATGATAGTCACTATGCTATCACATAGGTGGGAAGGCTGCCCTGTGTATTAGTCTGTTCTGTCAGTGCTATGAAGAAATACCCAAGACTAGTTAATTTTAAAGGAAAGAGGTTTAATTGACTCACAGATCTACATTGCTGGGGAAGCCTCAGAAAACTTACAATCATGGCAGAAGGCAAAGGAGAAGCAGGCACCTTCACTAGGTGGCAGGAGGGAGTTGAGTGCAAGCAGGGGAAATGCCAGATGCTTATAAAACCATCATATCTCATGAGAACTCACTCACTATCACAAGAACAGCATAGGGGAAACCACCCCCATGATCCAGTCATCTCCACCTGGTTCCGCCCATGACACATGGGGATTATGGGGATTATAATTCGAGGTGAGATTTGGGTGGGGACACAGCCAAGCCATATTACCCTGAGAGTTCAACCAGCACATTTCTTTAATCTTAGCAAGCCTTTTTCTATGTTGCTTCAAGTGAGAGGCTCCTCATTTGTTTTTAGTAACTCTCCCTGAATCCATTGGATTCTTTTCTGTTTCCCAGCTAGTGAACAAATGTTTGGCTTCCTGCTGCACAGTGTCTTCCATGGAGTAGCAATTCAGAAAAGGCAGCTTTAGTTTTGTGAGGAAGGTGCCAAAAGGGATGCATTGTCAATCAAAAGAGTTGTCAAGTACTGGAACATGGCACATTTCTTAGCCTTCTCCCCATCACCCTCACCCCTCATAGCCAGTTGTCAATATTCCATCATTTGTTTTTTGCAGGATCTACTGTAACCATGAACATTTCCAAAAATTCTAACCCACTATCCTTGGGCCCATTATTGAGCCTTTGGTGGAAAATGCATTTGGCATATGGAGTTTTACTTTATAGAGTTTTTAAGAACTCATCAGTTTTGTCATTTGAACATTTGTAGATATGTAGTTAGAGTATGTTGCATTCCATATTCTATTCACTAAAGTTGTAGAGTGATCTCTTAAGAATGTAAATCAGATCTTTTCATTTCCCTGATTAGAATCTGTCAATGGCCTCCCATCATACTTAGAATAAAATAAAGACACTTTACCCTGGCATATGAGTCTTCCATTAACGAGGTTACCCATTAGAACCACTCAAGGATCTTTGAAAAACTTCCAGTGTCCAGGCTCTACCACCAGAGAGTCTAAAGTAATTGGTGGGAGGTGGGACCAGTATTTTTCAATTATAACCAGCAGCCAGGGTTGAGAACCACTGCGCTATGTGACCCAATCCATGCCTACCTCTTCAGCCTTCTCCCTTCCTGCTGGACCCTCTACTGATATGTTTCAGTCTCACTGGGTACTTTTAATCCCTTAAATCTGTCTGGCTTCTTTCTGCTATGGGGCATTTTCACAGGCTGTGTCATCAGACTGGAATATTCTTGCCTGATCTTCACGTGGCCTCTTGACTTTGAAATCTCAACTTAAATATCTGTAGAGAAAGCGTTTTTGATGCACTGAGTCATTTGCCATCATACTATCTGATATTTTCTGTGTAGTACCAACTACTATGTGGTATTTTCTTATTTGTGTCCTTCTATTCCTTTCTTCTCCTCCTGTCTCCTTTCCTTTATCTATTTTTGTTCATTCCCACTGGAGTGTAAGATCCATGTTTATTTTTTTCACTACTGAATTCTCAGCACCTGAAACAGTGATTTGCAAGCAGTAGGCTGGTTCTCTCTCTTTCTCTCTTCATATATATATTCAATATATATTTGAATGAATAAATTGTGGAAATTTTAGATTATTTAATTAATTTTTTGAGACATAATCTTGCTGTGTCATCCAGGCTGGAGTGCAGTGGCATGATCTCGGCTCACTGCAACCTCTGCCTGCAGAGTTCAAGCAATTCTGCTTCAGCCTCCCGAGTAGCTGGGATTACAGGTGTGCACCACCACACCTGGCTAATTTTTAGTAGAGATGGGGTTTCACCATGTTGGCCGGGCTGGTCTTGAACTCCTGGCCTCAGGTGATCCGCCTACCTTGGCCTCCCAAAGTGCTGGGATTACAGGCGTGAGCCACCGTGCCTAGCCTGAAAATTTTAGATTATTTTTAAATGACCTCTGTTGTCAGCTTTTCTTTACTATTTTTACCTGCTTTAATATTAACTTTATTTTAAATTCTAAGATAGGAATTTTCTGTCATTTAATTGTGTGCAGCATTGTCATATCACTTCTATTACTGTCCTGAATTGTGAACTGAGACTTATTGTTATATTAAAATTTGAACATATTTATAGTTTGTTTCTTCACTTGATTCAGATTCAGCTGTCATTTATTAAATAACCATTAGGTGCCAGGCATTATCTCATTTAATTCTAAAGATATTTTACTCATTTCACTCATTTATCACATAATAAGGAAGTTGCAGAAGTGGAATTGAATCCCAGCCTTCCTCACTTTGTAGCCATCCTTTCACATGTGTTACCCCTCATGTGGCTGACTAACAGGGATTTGAGTGGTGTTGAGGGTGGTCAAATGCAGTATCTGCTCCAGGTGTCTTTATTGAATACCAAACGGGTAATTCATAATTACACCAATCTTGATTTCATATTTTGTTACTTGCTTTTAGAAACTAATTTATTATAAGCTGAGCACAGTGGCACACACCTGTATTCCCACCTACTTGGGCGGATGGATCACTAGAGCTCAGGAATTCAACACTGTGGTACACTATTAGTGCTTATGAATAGTTAGCCAGGACAATGTAGGGAGACCTGTCTCTTAAAAAAAAAAAAAAGAACTAAAAAGCTTATTATGAGGCAAATATTATTGCAGATATTTAATTTATTTTTAATTCCAACTTTTATTTTAGATTCAGGAAGTACGTGTGCAGGTTTGTTACATGAGTATATTGTGTTATGCTGTTGGTTTGGGGTATGAATGGTCGTATCACCCAGGTAGCATAGTACCCAACAGTTATTTTTCAGCCCTCACCCTTCACTTCTTCCCTCCCACTCAGTAGTCCCCATTGTCTATTGTTCCCATCTCTATGTCAGTGTGTACTCAATGTTTAGATCCCACTTGAGTGGGTGAGAACATGAGTGAGTGAGAACAAGTGGTATCTGGTTTTCTGTTTCTACGTTAGTTTGCTTATAATGTCTTCCAGCTCCATCCATGTTGCTGCAGAGGATGTGATTTCATTCTATTTTATGGCTGCATATTATTTAATGGTGTATATGTATTACATTTTCTTTATCCAATTCACCATTGATGTGCATCTAGTTTGCTTCCATGTCTTTGCTGTTGTGAATAGTACTGCAGTAAACATACATGTGCATGTGTCTTTTTGGTGGAACTATTTATTTTCCTTTGGGCATATACCCAGTAATAGGATTGCTGGGTCGAATGAAGATAGTTCTAAGTTCTTTGAGAAATCTTCAAACTGCTTTCCACAGTGGCTGAACTAACATTCCCACAAACAGTGTGTAAGTGTTCCCTTTTTTCCACAATCTCGCCAGCATTTGTTATTTTTTGACTTTTTCATAATAGCCATTCTAACTGATGTGAGAGGTAATAGGCATTCTAACTGATGTGAGAGGGTATCTCATTGTTTTGATTGGCATTTCTCTAATGATTAGTGATGTTGAGCATTTTTTCGTATGTTTTTTGGCCACTTGTATGTCTTCTGAGAAGTATCTTTTCATGAAGTCATGTAATGTGATGCCTCTGGCTTTGTTCTTTTTGCTTAGGATTGCTGTGGCTATTTGGGCCTTTTTTGGTTCCATATGAATTTTAAAATAATTTTTTCTATTTGTGTGGCAAATGACATTGAGAGTTTGATAGGAATAGCATTGAATCTGTAAATTGCTTTGGGCAGTATGGTCATTTTAACAATATTTATTCTTCTAATCCATGAGCATGCAATGTTTTTCCGTTAGTTTTTGTCATCCGTGATTTTTTTCAGCAGTGTTTTATAGTTCTCCTTGTAGAGATCTTTCACCTCCTTTTTTACATGTATTCCTAGGTATTTTATTTAACTTTTTTTTTTTGGCAGCTATTGTAAATAGGAATGTGTTCCTGACACATTCAGCTTGAATGTATTGGTGTATACATTAGATGTTGAATGTTATCGGTGTATCCATTCAATGTTGAATGTTACTGGTATGTAGGAATGCTACTGATTTTTGTTCATTGGTTTTGTATACTGAAATTTTACTGACATCTGTTCTAGCAGCATTTTGAGGGAGTCTGTGGGGTTTTCTAGGTATAGAATCATATCATGTGGGAAGAGAAATAGTTTGATTTCCTATCTTCCTATTTGGATGCCTTTTATTTCTTTGTCTTGCCTGATTGCTCTGGCTAGGACTTCTAGTACTATGTTGCATAGGAGTTATGAGAGTGGGCATCCTTGTCTTGTTCAGTTGTTAAGGGGAATGCTTCCAGCTTTTGCCCATTCAGTGTGATGTTGCCTGTGGGTTTGTCATAGCTGGCTCTTATTATATTATTTTGATGTATGTTCCTTCAGTGCCTAGGTTGTTGAGGGTTTTTATCTTAAATGGATGTTGGATTTTATCGGAAGCTTTTTCTGTGTCTACTGAGATGATCAAAATGGCTTTTGCTTTTAATTCTGTTTATGTGGTGATCATATTTATTGATTTGCATATGTTGAATCAACTCTGTGTCCCAGGAATAAAGCCTGCCTGACCATGGTGAATTAACTTTTATTTGCTACTGGATATGTTTTGCTAGTATTTTGTTGAGGATTTTTGTGTCCATGTTCCTCAAGGGTATTGGCCTATATTTAACTTTCTTTGTTATGTCTTTGCCAGATTTTGGTATCAGAATGATGCTAGCTTTGTAGAACGAGTTAGAGAGGAGTCCTTATTCCTCAGTTGTGTTGAATAGTTTCAGTAGAATTGGTACCAGCTCTTTTTTGATGTCTGGTAGAATTCAGCTGTGAATCCATCTCGTCCAGGGTTGTGTTTTTTTGGTAAGTTTTTTATTACTGATTCAATTTCAGAACTTGATATTGGTCTGTTTCGGGTTTCAGTTTCTTCCCAATTCAGTCTTGGGAGGTTGTGTGTTTCCAGGAATTTATCCATTTCCTCTAGATTTTCTAGTTGTGTGCAGAGAGGTGTTCATAGTAGGCATTGATTGATGATCTGTATTTCTGTAGGATCGGTTGTAATGTTACCTTTGTCATTTCTGATTGTGCTGATTTGGATCTTCTCCCTTTTTTTATTAATTTCGCTAGTGGTCTATCTTGTTTATCCTTTCAGATAACCAAATTTTGGGTTAGTTGATCCTTTGTATGGATTTTTCAGTCTCAGTTTTATTCAGTTGTGCTCTGATTTTAGTTATTTCTTTTCTTCTGCTAGCTTTGGAGTTAGGTTATTCTTGTTTTTCTAGTTCCTCTAGCCGTGATGTTAGATTAGATTGTTGATTTGAAGTTTTTCTAACTTCTTGATTTAAGTGTTTAGCTTATTGCAGATACTTAAACTAGAATTTATTGCTACTTTCACACCTGTTTTTCTAAGGGAGTCTAACATTTGTGATAAAATGCAACAAAGTTTGTAGTACTATTTGAATAAAATATGATTCTTTAGTTTGTATATGCTGGGGTTTTAGTCTATTGCATCTCTGCTTCTTGCCTTGTGAAACTCTTCTTGTCCTTCTTAATGTACTTAGTTGTCAACATTTTCTTTACAATCTTTAACAAGTTGATTTACTTTTTAAATATCATCATCCTTAAGTTCTGGCTTTCTGGTAAACAATAGTACTCAGTCTCTAAAATGAAAAGATATTATTTACAGAGTGTTAGCTAATTTACAAAATTTCTGGGAGAAACAGGGAATGCAATTTACATTTTACCCAGTAAGGAATGGTAGTACCAGGAGGAATTTAGCCATTGATGCCCTAGAAGAGCAGTTTTCTTTGTGCTGGCTGCTCCCTTACTCCCATTGTTGACTGCCATTTTCCCAGTCTCTTGTACATGAGAATGCTTGGTGGAACCTGGTTCATGAATAGAACTCTAGCTGCACAGACTTTAAGAAATGATGTTTCTAGTTTTCTAGCCTTTGTAGTATAGGAAGGATAAAATGAGGGTATTTGGTTGTGTATCTTGATGGAGTACATAACTGTATTATCTGCACCTATACTGACCTTACATTTATATTTAATTTTGCATCTTTATTAAGATGTCCTTTAGTTGAATCAGTTGTTAGCAACATAGTGGGTTTGACTTCTGGTTATCTTCAATGAGAGAAATTTATTCTGTGTTCATAGTATAAATCTTTAACTAAAGCAGATCATCTTGAAATAGATTCCAGTGCTTACCACACATACAACTGCAAAATCAACTTTTCCCCATTGACAGCAGAGTAACTGAAATCAACATAGTAGGCTTGTAATGTCAACATCGCATCCTGTACATAAAAGGGAGTTAATTTTATGTGCTACAGGTTAAAAATAGTTCTTTAAAAGAGGAACTTGAGGGAGAAGGATGGAAGAGTTTACAAATAATTTTACAATATATGTAAAATGAGAGGCCTTTTTGAGATCAAACATAAATGACACTGAGGAATGTTGGCAGCATGCCTGCGTTCTGTTCACTGAGCATGCTTAGATTCCAGAAATAATGGCTTCATTTCTATTTCAGGACCTAAAAATTATTAACATTGTATGTTTATACAATATTTATGTAGCATTCTGCTGCCACTAATAGGTGTGGGCATAGTTAATACTGTATTACAAAGTCAATGGCTTATTCTTGGTATATTCTTTTATTCACATAATCCCAGATTTTCTTCTTGTTTATACTACTGGTATGGTATTTTCCTGGTATAATAAGTATTGCTTAATAAGTAAAACTCATTTGAGGTAGACCTGGAAAGCCTACAGAAATTCAGCTAGTTTCCTTTGGAAAACAAAATCATTATTAGTGCTTATTTACCCCAATTGAAAAAATATTAAATGTCTACTGTTTTTATATATATATATATATATATATATATATATATATATATTTTTTTTTTTTTTTTTTTTTTTTTTTTTTTTTTTTTGAGACAGAGTCTCGCTCTGTCGCCCAGGGTGGAGTGCAGTGGCGCGATCTCGGCTCACTGCAAGCTCCGCCTCCTTGGTTCACGCCATTCTCCTGCCTCCCCTCCCGAGTAGCTGGGACTACAGGCGCCCGCCACCACACCCGGCTAATTTTTTGTATTTTTAGTAGAGACGGGGTTTCACCGTGTTAGCCAGGATGGTCTCGATCTCCTGACCTCGTGATCCACCTGCCTCGGCCTCCCAAAGTGCTGGGATTACAGGCGTGAGCCACCGCACCCGGCCTACTGTTTATATTTTTAATTCAGAAATGAGAATGAAGAATCATATCTACTTAGAGATGTACTTACTTTTAACTAAAGCATTTTTATTTCAATCTTTTTTATATGTTTTGAAATAAATTTTAAAACAACAATAAAGACTAGCTGTATTTGGGGTCTGTTTGGGGAGTGGTTAGCATCATAGTCACACTTTTTAACTCTTCTCAAAGAAGATGATTGAGACTTATTAGAAGTTAATTTGTGAAGCTAGCCTGAGAGGTGTGTTATTGGTATATTCCTATATTAACTGCAATCTATTCATGGGTTCATTAATCCAATCCAGCTCTTTCCTTATGGGAATTTCTTTTAGTGAAATTTATTGCTGTGTTCATTGTCATAATATACTTGAGGACAATCTGGCTCCTCTGCCTGCTAGCTGTGTGTCCTTGATTGGGTAAACTGTTTGACCTTCTCATACCTCAGTTTTCTTCTCTGTAAAATGAAGAACATAATTGTACATGGCTCTTCAGGTTATAAGGATTACATGAGTTAACATATGCAAAGTACCTGGCACTTGTTAGGCTTTCCATAAGGATTAGCTGTAATAATTATTATTACTTCTATTTTTAACTCTTTAACATGTTGTTCTCTATAGGATGACCTGACCCATGAAACAAATTTTTCTCAATTTTATTATCAAGAATTGTGGTGCTGCTTCTGATTTGGTGTTGATGTTGTGATCATCATGACTTATGTACCTTTTTTTTTTTTTTGAGACGGTCTCACTTTGTCACCCAGGCTAGAGTGCGGTGGTGCAATCTTGGCTCACTGCAGCCTCCACCTCCTGGCCTCAAGTGATCCTTGTGCCTCAGCTCCCCAAGTAGCTGGGACTACAGGTGTGCACCACCATATCTGGCAAATTTTTTGTAGTTTTTGTAGCGATGGGGTTTTGCCTTGTTGCCCAGGCTGGTCTTGAACTCCTGAGCTCAAGCAATCAGCCCACCTTAGCTTCCCAAAGTGCTAGAATTACAAGCATGAGCTACCACCTGTAACTTTTTTTTTTTTAATACTTTAAGTTCTGGGATACATGTGCAGAACGTGCAGGTTTGTTACATAGGTATACATGTACCATGGTGGTTTGCTGCACCCATCAACCAACCCGTCACCTACGTTAGGTATTTTTCCTAATGCTATCCCTCCTCTAGCCCCGCCATCCCCAGACAGGCCCCAGTGTGTGATGTTCTCCTCCCTGTGTCCATGTGGTCTCATTCAACTCCCCCTTGTGACTGAGAACATGCAGTATTTGGGATACAAAGTCAATGTGCAAAAATCACAAGCATTCCAACACACCAATAATAGACAAACAGCCAAAACATGAGTGAACTCCCATTCACAATTGCTACAAAGATAATAAAATACTTAGGAATACAACTTACAAAGGATGTGAAGGACCTCTTCAAGGAGAGCTACAAACCACTGCTCAAGGAAATCAGAGAGGACATAAGCAAATGGGAAAACATTCCATGCTCATGGATAGGAAAAATCAATATCATGAAAATGGCCATACTGCCCAAAGTAATTTATACATTCAATGCTATCCCCATCAAGCTACCATTGTCTTTCTTCACAGAATTAGAAAAAACTACTTTAAATTTCATGTGGAACCAAAAAAGAGCCCGTATAGCCAAGACAATTCTAAGGAAAAAGAACAAAGCTGGAGGCATCATGCTACCTGACTTCAAACTGTACTACAAGTCTACAGTAACCAAAACAGAGATATAGACCAATGGAACAGAACAGATGCCTCAGATGTAACACCACACATGTACAACCATCTGATCTTTGACAAACCTGACAAAAACAAACAATAGGGAAAGGATTCCCTATTTAATAAATGGTGCTAGGAAAACTAGAAACTAAAACCCTAGAAGAAAACCTCAGTAATACCATTCAGGACATAGGCATGGGCAAAGACTTCATGACTAAAACACCAAAAGGAATGGCAACAAAAGCCAAAATTGACAAATGGGATCTAATTAAACTAAAGAGCTTCTGCACAGCAAAAGAAACTATCATCAGAGTGAGCAGCCAACCTACAAAATGGGAGAAAATTTTTGCAATCTATCCATCTGACAAAGATCTAATATCCAGAATCTACAAGGAACTTAAACAAATTTACAAGAAAAAACCCCATCAAACAGTGGGCGAAGGATATGAACAGTCACTTTTCAAAAGAAGACATTTATGCAGCCAACAGACATATGAAAAAAAGCTCATCATCACCGGTCATTACAGAAATGCAAATCAAAACCACAATGAGATACTATCTCATGCCAGTTAGAATGGTGATCATTAAAAAGTCAGGAAACAACAGATGCTGGAGAGGATGTGGAGAAATGGGAATGCTTTAACACTGTTGGTGGGAGTGTAAATTAGTTCAACCATTGTGGAAGACAGTGTGGCAATTCCTCAAGGATCTAGTACCAGAAATACCATTTGACCCAGCAATCCCATTACTCAGTATATAACCAAAGGATTATAAATCATTCTACTATAAAGACACATGCGCACATATATTTATTGCAGCACTATTCACAATAGCAAAGACTTGGAAGCAACCCAAATGCCCATCAATGATAGACTGGATAAAGAAAATTTGTCACAAAAACACCATGGAATACTCTGCAGCCATAAGAAAGGATGAGTTCATGTCCTTTGCAGGGACATGGATGAAGCTGGAAACCATCATTCTCAGCAAACTAATACAGGAACACCTGTAACTTTTTTTTAGTGTCACTCTTTATGTTGGATATTAGATTAGATTCAAATTTTAGACTGTTCAGATATATTTTGCATATTATTTTTTCCTTAGTTTCATCTTTCCTTGTTTAGTTTTCCTTGTCCACTTATGTTTAATTTTATAATACATTATATTAAGCATATTTTTGCAACTCAACTTAAATACTTTCTGAAACTGTTGGGTTTATATATGTGGTAGAAATGCGTATTTTTTAAACCTGGTTGAAGTCATACTCTATATGTACTTTGATATTCTACTTTTGCTACAAGCAATTTAATTTCCTATAAGACAGTTATATGTGCATTATAATGTAAAATTTTACTTTAGTATCAGTAAGAGAGGTAGCTCAAATTTCTTTACACACTAACAATGTACTATAATATTTTCAGATTTTTTTCTGAATGACATTATGCCTTGGAAAAATAATTCTAATGATATTCTAGATACTGTACACACAACCACTTTGTACAGTTATTTTATTGAGTATTGACTGTATCTGGATTTCTCAAGGGAATTCTCAAAAAAATTAGCTTAGATCATTTAAAGGTACTAAAAACATTTAAAGCATATCATTGCTTTAAGGCTCAAATTTATGTTCTCTGATCCATTTCTTGAGTTGTGCTTCTCATTTTAACAGGATGTTTTTATTTTCAGTAGAGTTTCTCAGTTACAAATCAAAAGAACATAATTCCAATTGACATGGAATCGTAAGAGATACATGGATGTTTTCCAGGGATCTGAATGAAAGTGAGGTGTTCAAGGTTAGACAGTGGTAGACCTAAAGGAATTAAATTTCATGTCCTGTTATTTTAAAAATGTTAAGGAAATGCAGAAAGAGGAAGTGGATCAGGCTCTATGATATCATTAGTGCTATTTTTATTCTCTTAAGTTCAAGAGTTTCAGGATAAGAAAAATATATGCAAAAATAAGGATGTTGATTTTTCTTGATTTTTATTAGGGTGTTTCCCAAATGCCCGTATGGAATAAGCACACTTTTAAAAAGAAATTTGCATTTCTGCTTACTAATAGCAATGTGCATGTAGATGGGAAGAATGAGGAAATGATATATATTTTTCACAACTCCATGATGCAGTGTCTGTTAAAGATATTAAAACAATAATTTCATGGTACTACAAACCAAATATTCTATAGACAGAAACCATTGAAAGTGATGTTACTTTGGTTTAAACATTAGCTTATTACCTGAAATTAGTTCATATCACTTCCCCATTCAGCCTATGCTGAAAAGTTTTATTAATTAGATTTGATTAGATTCAGTTGTTCTGTGAAAGTTTAGTTTTGCTTTGGTGTCCTTGCACTTTCACACAATTGAAAATACCTTCTGATAATAACTAATATTGGGGAAAGTAGGGCCAACTATCTCTTTAAGGAAAAGCTGAAATGTTTGTCTTTCAATAGAAGTTGTTAATTATGAAAACCAATAGCTTATATTAAAGGGAGTGCTTTTCTTTCTCTTAGGAAGGTTTTTATTTTGATGCAAAGGTTTATTAGAAATTGGCAGTGGCTCATACCTGTAATCTTGCCACTTTGGGAGGCTGAAGTGTGAGGATTGCTGGAGGCCAGGAGTTCAAGACCAGACTGGACAACAGAGTGAGAACTTGTCTCTACAAAATATTTTTTAAAAATCTCTATCTATCTATCTATCTATCTATCTATCTATCTATCTATCTATCATCTATCTGCACGTGTGTGTTTATTAAAAATGAAGAATGGCTCTTTCTAATATGATGGTATACAGAGTTTAGGTGATAAAATTTAACTGAGCTAGTCTTCTAAGAAATATCAAGTATTTCCCATGTTCTATCCCTCCGAAGATTGAAAAGAGGAAGAACATTTCTGGTCTATAGCTTTGGTTGGCATTTATAGCGGTGAGCTATATTGATCTGCTGCTGCATATTGTGTAGCAAAAAATAATCATTCATTTTACTTTAGCAAATGTAAGCGAGTCTCCAACTACTAGATTGTAAAAGAAGAGCCCTATGTACTAGTTGTCTTTTTCATCATCTCTGTTAGTATAAATGTTTACTTACTTGAATAAGGTAAGTACTGTACACATCCTGTGAATTAATAAGATAAAAAATACTTTGGAATCATAACCAAATGAAATAGTGCTTTTTTATATCATGCACAGAATGGTGATTCAGATATGTTGGTATAAGAATGAGGAATTCTTTCTATTGAAATTAAAAAAAAAATGTTACCAGTTTTTAGCTTCAGCTTTTTAGGAGTCTGAGCCTCTTATGTCTGCTGAAGTCACGACATTCCTCATCTTTTCCTGGGCCCAAGCAAAAGACTCCTAACCTTAATTGGGCCAGGATATCAGCTGTTTTCAGTCTGAAGCTGTGATTTTCAAAATTAACATCCATCAGTTTCTTTGAAAGTATGATATTAGTTGAATGCCTTCATCCTGCCATCTCCTCTCTGAATTCCAATAGGAATGCTTAAAATAGACAAAGCCTACTCTTTTTTTCTCTTATTTTTAACTTTACTTTTAATTTATGTTATTTTGTTGTGCATTTTGTATATCTTTTGCAATCTCACATCATATTAGAACAAGGAAGGGTATAGATAAGTGAATTTTAATTTAATATCTTTTTAAGCAGTGTTTCCCACGTGGGAGGCATATCAGAATCATCTATGTAATGTTTAATAAAAAACAGATGGTAGGCCCCATGTTGGCCCTGATGAATCAGAATCTTCAGGATAGTGGAGCTTAAGTTTATATATGTTTCAAAAGTTCCCCACCTGTTTCTGATAATGTATCTTTAATTTTGAACCACTGCGCTAAACTGTGTTTTCTGTTTCTTTTTTTACTTTTCCAAGGTAATGTGTGATGTAACTCTATGGCAAATATTTTTCTGGAATGATTCATACCAGGAGTTTTCTTTAAATTTATCTGTTTTTATATTTACTTTAAAAAATTCTGTGTGTTTGTATGTATTTGTATACATACATATATATACAGACACATATATATTTATATGCACATGTATATGCATATGTAATATTTGATTTTTTTTCATAGTTTGACTATAAAAATGACCCACAGACACTTATTTTGATTTTGTCCTGTTCTAGAGAGCGATCCCTTTGGTGTTCTGTAGCATAAGCATGAGTGGGAATGAATCTTTTGCTTGGGCCCAGGAAAAATGAGGAATGTCGTGACTGTCTCAGTAAACACGGATGATGGTGATCAATTTAGTCTTGGTTGTTATAACTGTCATTGGCATCAAGAGAGTGATATTGCTCATATAATTTGCATATAATTTAGAATTCATAGTTGAAGAATTAAATAAAGTTATTTAAAAAGAACAAATTTTGACAATGTGTCAAAACCAGCCTTTTAAGTTTATGGGAAGTTGCTGAGTTTGAATGTTACTGTTTTTCAAAGGTCTTTATGATTCAAAATGAGCCTATTCATACTTCCTAAGTCAGTACTTTCTCTTTTTAAAATTTCCAACTTTTATTTTGAGTTCAGAGGTACATGTGCAGGATGTGCAGGTTTGTTACATGGGTAAACGTGTGCCATGGTGGTTTGCTGCATAGATCATCCCATCACCCAGGTATTAAGCCCATCATCCATTAGCTGTTCTTCCTGATGCTATCCCTCCTCCCTCCTCTCACCCTCTGACAGGCCCCAGTGTGTGTTGTTCCCCACCATGTGTGCATGTGTTCTCATCATTCAACTTCCACTTATAAGTGAGAACACGTGGTATTTGGTTTTCTGTTCCTGGGTTAGTTTGCTAAGAATAATGGCCTCTAGCTGCATCCATGTCCCTGCAAAGGACATGATCTAGTTCCTTTTTATGGCTGCATAGTATTCCACGGTGTGTATGTACCACATTTTCTTTATCCAGTCTATCATTGATGGGCATTTAGGTTGATTCCATGTCTTTGCTCTTGTGAACAGTGCTGCAGTGAACATACGCATGTATGTATCTTTATAATAGAATGATTTATATCCCTTGGGGTATATACTCAGTAATGGGATTGCTGGCTTGAATGGTATTTCTGCCTCTAGGTCTTTGAGGAATTGCCACACTGTCTTCCACAATGGTTGAACTAATTTACACTCCCAACAGTGTAAAAATGTTCCTGTTTCTACAGAACCTTGCCAGCATCTGTTATTTTTTTGAATTTTTAGTAATAGCCATTTAGTCAGTACTTTCTTGATAGTGAGAAGATTGAAACAATTAAGACTTAAATTTTAATCTTGGTTTCAATACAGATTCATTGCCATTATGAATATAAAGCAAATTCATTAGTTTTCTATCTGCTGAAAGTTGGGAGTGTGTAGCCAAGAATTTACAGAAGACTTTAAATATTTGGATAAAAATGACTGTAAATGTGTTTAACTTTTCTTTGCTATAAGTCGCACAAAATGTATCTGAAGGTGATAGAAAAGAAACTATCCACATTAGCACATGTAAGAAAAAATTGTTCATATTATATAGCTCCAGTTTTTTACAGTAGATAAACTTTTATATGCCACAACTATTAATAGTTTGCTTAAGTCTGTTACACTATTTTATTGTTAGCACATTGTGTGTGTGCTTTTAAAAATTGCTTTTAAGTGCTATGCTATTGTTTCCCAATTCCTGTACCTCATCTGATGACTGTCCTCTTCAATTTCCTCCATTATCAAGCCTCTTTAAATAAAATGAGTCATTGTGATGGTCCTAGCATAGCTTTTCAGGAAAACTCATCAACTGCTAGAAAATGCACATTATTGATAAACATCTCTGCATGTTGAGTTTGCATGATCTCTCATTTTAAAATTGAGTCAACACATGGATGGTTAGGTCACCATAAAAGTTGGCATATGAAAACACAGGAATAGAGCTGATTGAGTTAAATTCTGTTATTCAGGTGGAAATTACTGCCATTATGTAAACGAACATTTTAAAAGCGGAAGAAAATGCTAAATATAAAGTAGGGAAAAAAACCTCTCACTCTTACTATATTATGTAATGAGTAATGGAAAAAAATCCTAAAATGACCAAAAAAAAGCTTTCTGAAGAGCTTTCGTTTTAGGAATTGGAGAAGATGACTTCTCTGTTACTATATGGAATGTTAAGTTCAGACGGAGGTGACTCTATAAAGCCATGTAAGCTACCTTGCATGTCTTAAAAATTAATTCGTCATGTTCTTTGTTGGGTGGTGGGGATTTGTTTTAGGATATGACAGCGCGTGATCTGCTACAGCAGAGATACACCCTTCCAAATGGAGACACTGCCTGGCGGTCCTCACCCCTTGTGAATGCTGCTCTGGAAGGCAAGCTGGTCCTGCTGGATGGCATTCACCGGGTGAATGCGGGCACGCTTGCTGTATTGCAAAGGTGGGTATGAGTCACAAAAATCACACACAGACACACACCCCACTCTGACTTAAGCAGTAAAGATGGAACTATCTCATTCTTTTTCTTTTTTTTAAACTGGGTTGTGTAGATCCTGAAAAATCATGATTCTATACCAAGTAGAATGGCACTTTTTTATTGTTATAAACACAATGCAGTAAAACTCCAAATAATGAACATTTTGGGAAAAGCCACTCCTGTAGCAGAATTCCGTGTGTAGGCACTGCAAAAAGAAAGTGCTTCAGTAGTAAGTTTGAAAAACTTTATATATACAGGTCTATATATGCAGCATGTCACATTGCTGAAGTTTCTATAATTTGTCAGAGTCACAGCTTCAGTATTTACACACTCCTTATCAATCATAGATCTTAATTATTGGTTGGTCTTGTTGGAATCTTTTTTTTTTGAGAGAGAGAAAAGTAGTTTTGTTTGTAAAATATATAATAGCTTTAAATTATATTTTATATAGACTAAAAAAGCTCACTTTGTTAATTATAAACTTGAACATTTCTATAACTATTGTTTTCTTATTTTGGTTTAGTTGGGAAAAATTTCCACACATTCCTAAAACTTCTCTAGAATTTAATGTTAAGAGAAGGCTCTTCGTGTGTAACTTTTGTAGAAAATATTCCCATCTTGTATCATTTTAGGAGATTAATGATACTGATATTTTCTGTTTATTTTGGTTCTCTAACTTGTAGACATTTGATTTTTAACTGTGACTCATTAGGAAAGGTTAAATAAGTAGAATAAGCCATTATCCAACTAACCACTTAGAGTTTTTTTTTTCTTGATGTGATGCAGATACTGAATGTAATTAAAAATTCTAAATACGTTATGTTAATCCTGATTAGATTTTAGAACATTTAAAAATAGTCACAAACTTTCAGTGATTTACCATAAACGTTCCATAGATTTACAATATTTTTTTCTCCCAGACCACTGCAGACACGGTAATAGTCCCATTTTATTAGCTATCTCTTGCATGTTTGCAAGTAGTAATAATAGAAGCAGCTACTACCATTAATTGAGTACCTACTCTGTGCATTGTGCTAAGCCAGTGCTTCTCAGGTTCTCAACCTTGGAATCACCTTGCAGGGTGGCAATTAAAAAATACTGATGCCGGCCAGGTGTAGTGGCTCACGCCTATCATCCCAGTGCTTTGGGAGGCCGAGGTGGGCAGATCACGAGGTCAAGAGATTGAGATCATCCTGGCTAAGATGGTGAAACCTTTTCTCTACTAAAAATACAAAAATGGACTGGGAGTGGTGGCATGTGCCTGTAGTCCCAGCTACTCAGGAGGCTGAGGCAGGAGAATTGCTTGAACCCGGGAGGTGGAGGTTGCAGTGAGCCGAGATGGCGCCACTGCACTCCAGCCTGGTGACAGAGCGAGACTCTGTCTCAAAAAAAAAGAAAAAAAAAATGCTGATGCGGGCCAGGTGCAGTAGCTCACACCTGTAGTCCCAGCATTTTGGGAGACCGAGGTGGGCGGATCACCTGAGGTCAGAAGTTTGAGACCAGCCTCGTCAACATGGTGAAACCCCGTCTCTATTAAAAGTACAAAAATTATCTGGGCATGGAGGCATGCACCTGTAATCCCAGCTACTCAGGAGGCTAAGGCAGGAGAATAGCTTGAACCCAGGAGGCGGAGGTTGCAGTGAGCCTAGATCGCGCCACTGCACTGCAGCCTGGGTGACGAGAGGGAGACTCTGTCTCAAAAAAAAAAAAAAAAAAAAAAACTCATGCCTGGGCTTCACCATCAGAATTTTCTGATATAATTGGTCTAGGCCAAGGTCTGAACATTGGCATTTTTAAACACTTCCCAGAAGATTCTAACGTACAGTCAAGATTGAGAACAGCTATAAGCATCCATTTTACATTAGCTGTTTAGTTTTCACATTAATATTGTGAAGTTGTGACTGTTGCCTTAACGTTATGGAAGACGAGAGTTTAGAGAGATAGAGTCGTTCTCCCTCTCCCCACTCATTCAGCTAGTAAGGTGCACAGCTGGAGTTGAACCCAGGTCTGATTGGTTCCACCGGCCATGCTCCTATCCCCTGCATTACACAGCATCCCCTCCCTTCAGTGCTTATAGAATGGAGGCTATGTAGGCTAACTCTATTGTGGGCATTAGGAGACTTAGGGGTTGGTGTGAGATATAGAACAGTGCTTTTCAGCCATTGCAACATCTGGAAGACTATGCTATGTGTGATGTGGATGGTTAGGTCACCTTCAGAGTTGCCATATGTAGAGCAATGTAGTTATTTCATTATAAGATTTTTGTATTTTTAAATCTTGTAATTCCAAAGATAGAAATATTTTTATGCCAACCCTTACAGAGTTACTTTAGACCGAAGAGAGTAAGTGCCACCTGCCTTGTTTATTAATATGTACCTTGTGGTTATCTTGAGATACTCATTCAGCTGTTTCTTTTGCTCTCCTTCCTCCTCCTCTTTTCTTTTTTCCTCCTCCTCCCCCTCTTTCATATCCCTATCAAATATTTATGACTACTGCCCTCCAGTACAGAAACCAACAGTTTTGCGAAGTGTAACAGCAGTAGCCAATTTGAAATTTTGAAAGGTCCATCTAACAAAATTATTAGACTCAATTGCCAGCAATAATAGACTGTTGGCTGACTGATTCTGCCTCTGAAAACTTCAGTGTTCAAAACACATTAATTTATTTTCGGGCTTTTTTCTTATCTTGTTAGGTTAATCCATGATCGAGAGCTAAGCCTCTATGATGGTTCTAGGCTGCTGAGAGAAGACAGGTATATGCGTTTAAAGGAGGAGCTGCAACTGTCTGATGAACAGCTACAGAAGAGGTAATTTGGGGTCCATTACTCCCATTGCTAATTTATTGTTAAGTTAAAAATAATACTTTTTATGATTTTTCTAAACCTAGAATAATGCCAAGATAACTTTGAACAATTTAATAATTTGGTGTCCTGGATATGCCACTACTTTGGCATTTCTTAAAACTTGAGGTTGCTCTCCAAGGTGTAATCTGTACTCTCAGCCTTACTTTTTTTTTTTAAAAAAAAAAACCTAATCAACTGTTTTATTTGCTTTTTTGTTGTTAATATGACAGTGATTTTTTTTTTTTTTTTTGAGACAGAGTCTCGCTCTGTCACCCAGGCTGGAGTGCGGTGGCGCAATCTCGGCTCATTGCAAGCTCCGCCTCCCAGGTCCATGCCATTCTCCTGCCTCAGCCTCCCAAGTAGCCAGGAACACAGGCGCCCGCCACTACACCCAGCTAATTTTTTGTATTTTTTAGTAGAGACAGGGTTTCACCTTGTTAGCCAGGATGGTCTCGATCTCCTGACCTCGTGATCCGCCCGCCTTGGCCTCCCAAAGTGCTGGGATTACAGGCGTGAGCCACTGTGCCCGGCCGACAGTGATTTTTTTAAAAAAATTTTTTATTTCAATAGTTTTTGGGGCACAGATGGTTTGTGGTTACAGGGATAAGTTCTTTAGTGGCGATTTCTGAGATTTTGGTATACCTGTCACCTGAGCAGTGTACCTGATATGTAGTCTTTTATCCCTCACCGCCCCCCACAAGCTTCCCTGCCCCTGAGTTCCAAAAGTCCATTATATCATTCTTATGCTTTGTGTCCTCATAGCTTAGCTCCCACTTGTAAGTGATGACATGCAATATTTGGTTTTCCATTCCTGAGTTACTTCACTTAGAATAATGGCCTCCAGCTCCATCCAAGTTGCTGCAAAAGATATTATTTCATTCCTTTTTATGGCTGAGTAGTATTCCATGGTGTGTGTGTGTGTGCATGTGTGTGTGTGTGTGTGTGTGTGTGTGTGTGTGTGTATCACATTTCCTTTATCCACTCGTTGGTTATAGGCACTTAGGTTGGTTCCATATCTTTGCAATTGTGAATTCTGTTGCTATAAACATGAATGTGCATGTATCTTTTTCATATAATGACATCTTTTTTTGGGGGTAGATACCCAGTAGTGGGATTGCTGGATCAAACAGTAGTTCTACTTTTAGTTCTTTAAGGACTCTCCATACTGTTTTCCATAGTGGTTATACTAATTTACATTGCCACCAGCAGTGTAAAAGTGTTACTTTTTCACCACATGCATGCCAACATGTATTATTTTTTGACTTTTTAATTATGGCCATTCTTGCAGGAGTAAGGTGGTATCTCATTGTGGTTTTTCTTTTCAGCCTTACTTTTAAATAAGCATTTAAATGTTTTATAAGAACATTGGTTTTAAGAAGGTAATCTTTCCTCTGTTGCCCTGTCAATTCAGTTTTGATCTCATATTTTGTATTCTCTCAACAAAACTAAAGCTGGGCCCACAATTAACTGGGCTCATCCTCCAAGGAGGTCATCAGTATTGTTGGAGTATGCCATCTGATATCGGATTACCCATTGTAGCTTATTTAAACATTTCTTGTGGAGATGTAACAACCAAATGCAATGGTGAGACTTGACTGAATCCTGGAGGAGGAAACAAAATAAAAACGGCTATAAAAAAATTAGAAAAGTTTAAATATGGACTATGTTATATGATATTATTGAATTACTAATTTCCTTAAGTATGATAATGATATTGTGGTTATGAAGGAGAATATTCCTATTCTTATGAGATGCATGTTGAGATACTTAAGGGATAAAGTAAAAAAAAGTCTACAACTTCCAAATATTTCAGAAAAAAAGACATGTATGTGTGTGTGTATAAACAGACATTTTCTCTCTCTTTCTCAGAGTGAGAACACAAATGTGGTAAAATCTTAACAGTTAGCAATATCTAGGTGAATGATATATGGATATTTGTAGTCTATTTTTGACATTTTCTGTGAGTTAAAAAAATTTCAAAACAAAAAGTTTGAAGGAAAATACTTCTTTCAGCTGCATACTATATAGAATGAAGTTTGACAAATATGTTATTTTCTATCTTGCTACATTTCCATGGATATTTTAACAGAATTAGAGATTGGCATACAGAGGAACTCCTCATCACTTAATCTCTCTGTTTAATTGAAGCTGTATCACCACTCAAAGGGTTTACTGCCCTATTTAAAACATTTAAATCCCGTAAAAGATAATTAAGTGTATTTATTATTGTTTATATTTTAAGAAGAAATTTGTTAAAAAATTTCTTGGAATTTTTTCCAAGAGGGGAAATGTTAAATTCCTTCCTGTCTCTTTACAAGTCACTAAAAAGTCACTTGATTACACAGCTGCTTTTACTTCCGAGGTATACATTATCAAATTCTTTTAGACTGGTAAATGGTTGGTTGAGTGTTTAGGGAGGCAAGTTAGAGATCCTTCGCATATCATAACTTTGGTTAATAGCAGTCGGCTTTGGCACATTATTTGCATGTGAATCACGGGTCATGGAACAGTTTATATTTTCAGAAGGATGAATCAAAGCAATTTTGCAATAGTTCACAGCATGCCTGCCTGGCAGTTTCTCTTAGGACATCAGAAGCATTCTACTTGTCTCCAAATGTCAAGGAAATGACAACCCTTTTCTATGAAAAGTACCCAAGTTCTCTAATGGTCACAGGCAGTTTTACAAATGAAAATACTTTCAGGAATTTGGCTCAGAGTGGTTAATAGTACTTTCTTCTCAAAGTTTTCCACCTTCATCACTATGGATTTATGTCACTCTCATAAATACAAACTAGGCTTAGCTCTATTTCCAGAGGTCACTGGGAGAAAGTGGAGAGAGATCATAGCAATGCTTTCTTTCCTTCACTTACTTTTTAAAAATTTTCATTTGAAATTTTACCACTGTTAAACATGCACGAAACTAGAGCCAGATAGTTTTTCAAAGTATTTTATGAAAAATACCATCCCCTGTCATAGATTGATCAGTTGACAGTCTCCCATTTCCCACATCTTACTCCCCAGAGGCTACTACTTTCAAACTTCAGGTTTTTCTTTTGGTATTTACTTCTATGTCACTAAACAGTATACTTTCATTGATATTTGATTTATTTTTAGTGTTAGGAATAATCTGTTGATTTCTACATGGAAAATTAATGTTTAGCTCTTTCACCACCTCTTGTCTCATTACACATGCACACTTCTATCCCTTATTCTTCCTAAAGAGTTATATAATAATTTTGTTTAGAACTTTATTCAATGCTTACATTATTATGATAACCTAAGAGCTGTACCCACTTAAGCAGTTTACTATACAACACTCATTTTCCTTTCTTGCATATATCTTGTTTTTTCCTCAAGTTAATAATTACTTACATATGAAGAGAGACAGATATGTAAATAAGTAATTACAATGTAATTTTAAATGTTAGACTAAAGGTCTGTATAATACTGTATGGGAGCATTGAGGAGAAAGTGACTGTTTCTATGTATATATTGCCTTATTTTTAATCCCAAACACTTCCCTTACTGTCTAAATCTCCCCTCAGTACATTCAGGCACACATGATATTTATCAATTCCATCTTCTATCAATTTCTTTTTTTCTTTTTTTATCTTTTTTTGAGATAGGGTCTTGTTCTAGCAACCAGACTGGAGTGCAGTGGCACAATCTCGGCTCACTGCAGCCTTGAACTCCTGAGCTCAAACCATCCTCCCGCCTTAGCCTCCCGAGTAGCTGAGACTACAGTTGCGCATCGCCACACCCGTTTTGTTTTGTTTTTCCCATTTTTTTTTGGAGCAGTCTCACTGTGTTGCTGAGGCATGTCTTAAACTGCTGGCCTCAAGGGATCCTCCTGCCTTGGCCTCCCAAAGTGCTGGCAATATAGGTGTGAGCCACCACTCCTGGCCCTTCTGTCAGTTTCATGTTTCTCCCATGGTATATTCTGATGAACTCTAATCTGGGCTTGTGGCTCTTTATTCTTGTAGCTCCTACATCATCTTAGATCTCTCCACTCCCACTTACTCAGTTTCCTCTGGTCTTTTTTCTTGTACCTTTTATTATTTAGATGTATGTTGAGCCTCCTGGGCTGAACTTCTAATTTTATTTTATTTTCTCTATTATGTTCTGTCAGGATCTTGGTCTGTCCTTAACTTTTCAGAGGTGAGATGTCCTAACAATGATTCTTCTTTGTTGTCTGAATATTTCTAACAGTTGAAAGCCTAATCCCTTTCCTTATCTGTAATTTTTCTTTTTACCTGAGAACCACACCATTTTCTTAATTTTGTTGTTAAACACAGTCATGTTACAGAATCTGCTTCACTCTGATAGTATGGATTGTTGGTAAATTTTTTTACCTTTACTTAGCCTTAATTTAATGTTGTAACTTATTTTTGTCTTTCTGAAAATAAATATGTTCTTTTTTAGGGTTATAATAGGTTAGATTCTTCTCTTAAGCTGCTTGGCAGTACTTCTTTCAGGACTGTGTTTATTGAGTAGAAGACTGACAGCTTGACTAAAAAGACACAGCACAGTGTAAAAGCAGCAAATTTGTACTGAATGAGGAAATTACTTTATTTCATGAGTTGTTCTTATAAGTAATATGACCCATTATCTAGCATGTGTTGATCCTATATGCTGGTCATAGCTAATACATCACTTTTGGCAGTAGCATTTGAACTCCACATTAGAAACTTATGACCCACATTGTCTGTCCTTTCATTTCTGTACTTAATCACAGAACTGAATTTTAGCAAAGTGATTATTTCTAATAGTCTTTAAAGAAACTCAGCTTTTATTTTATTTACTTATATTAAGCTTTTTTGTGGAAGATTTTGAGAGAGAGAAAAAGGTCAAAGGTAGAAAGACAGGGAAGGTTTTTGTTTTGCTTTTTTAAGAGGAAGAGTTCTGGAGGCTGGGGATGGTCGATGCTCGGGGGGTATCACTTGCAGCTGCCTAACAGAAAGAACAGCTTCTACAGTCTTGTACAAATAAATAAATCTACCTCCAGGGAATCAGTACTCCTAGGACAACTTCTACTAATTTGTAGAATAATGCCTCCTGAGAGTTGGCTTTAAAGCTCTTGTTCCAACTGTAGCAATTGGATGGTGTTTTTGAACATGAATGTTATAACGGTAATCCATGGAGTCATTCACTCTCTAGGCTCCCAGAATAGTACCCAGATGATCCTATCTATAGACTGATGATTGGAGATAACTGATTTGGCGAGTATAAGTATTTGTTATTGAGTGTTAGCATTACTTCATTCTTTCCTTCAGGTTAAATGTTTATTGAGGGCCAGCTCTAAGATGACACACTTGTTGCCATCTGTGGTGTACCACACATGAAGACAGATATGTAAATAAATAAACACAATGCAGTTTTTTAGTGTTAGACTGCAGGTCTGTATAAAATGCTGTGGGAACACAGAAGATGAATTGACTAGTAACTGTGCCTTGAGAGGTTGGAAAAGGTTTCAGATATTGTTTAAATTGGTAGCTCCCAGGGTTTTCTCCTTGGCCTTTTCTTTTCCTTGGGCAATGTCAGTCACTCTTATATCCTTATCTGTCATTGATATACTGAGCATTCTCAGTATATCCCCTCCCCTCCCCTCCGGTCCCCTTCCCTCCTCTCCCCTTCCCTTCTTTTCTTTTTTTTTTCTTTTTCTGTTTCTTTTTCTTTTCGATAGGGTCTCATCTTTCACCCAGGCTGAGGTGCAGTAGTGCTATCATAGTTCACTGCAACCTCAAACTCCTGGGCTCAAGCTTTCCTTTTGAATAGCTGGAACTACAGGTGCACACCACCACACTAGACTAATTAAAAATTTATTTTTGTAGAGATGGTGGTCTCTCTATGTTGCCCAGGCTGCTCTTGAACTCCTAGCCTCAAGCAGTCCTCCCTCCTCACCCTCCTAAAATGCTGGGATTACAGGCATGAGACACTGCACCCATCCAATATACTGAGCATTCTTTAAAACCACTTTCCAATCTAGTTTTGTCTCCTAAGTGCCATCTGACTACTAGATATCTCTCCTTAGGTGTCTTAGAGAAACTTTGAACTCATTTCTACAAACCTGCTATTCCTCTTAAGTTACCTTAAGTTAGTGAATGAAACCCCTTCCTCTCCGCACACATAGGCTAGAAGTTTAAAGTGTCTAATCTGTAAATTTGATCACATCACTGTTTAAGTCCTTCAGTGGTTTCCATCGCCTACAGTGTTTAGGGCCAGTATCTACACATGCCTGCCTTGCCAGCCTCATCTTTCACCTCTCAGGACCAGCACAGCAAACTTCTGCTATTCCTTCAAAAGTGATGTCCTCTGTGAAACCTTCTCTGACATTCCTCTAGCCCTTTCCAAGACCAAGACAGATTTAAGAGCTTCTTTGCTTCTAGACCCAGTTGGTAAATTTAGATACCTGTCCTGCTTTCAGAGAGGAAACTCAGGTAAGGGTAACTCTATTAATCCAGTTTTAGTTGACCTTCTGAGCTAGCAGTGTTTCCTTATGTGAACCTAGTAATTAGGAATACTTTGATGCCTTTTAATGACAAAGTCTATTAACTGAGGGTCTCATAATTAACAGCTTCTAGCAGTGGGCTACCAACCCTTTCAACTTTATAGTGTGAAACCCGGTTTCTAAACAATTATATTTGGCTTCTTTGCCAACCTTCATTGTATAGTAATTCTTCACCAAGACTATACATCTCGATGATCTCCGGAGTGCTCTACAGGCTTTTATATTCTCTGCAGGTAATCACATGCCTAACATACCCTTAGAAGGGTTGGAGTCTTCTTTTCTCATATTACAAGACACCAGGAATGCTGTGGACGTGGTGGTTAGAAATAGTGTGATGGCCACATACACCAGATACTATGCCTGTATTTCCCTCAGGAAATAGAGACCAAAATAGAACTCCTTCCTTTGATGAGAAAAACTTCTTTAGGGAAAGGGGGAGTATAAATACTATAGGATGCTAAATATGTCTTTTCCTGCTGTTGGCCAGACCATAAATGAGGGAGTTGAGAGTTTCTGTTATTAACAGTTTATATTGCCAAGAAAGGGCTTCTGGTTATCTTGGGGAAACAATAAAGATTAGTGGCCTAGTCTTAGATGTACTTATATATGCTCCAGTGTTTTTGCATTTTTTATTAAATATTTTATTTATATTTGTTGCTATTGAACACTGAAAACAGTTTATAATCTCTCAATCTTAGCGGTGAACATAACTGGACATTTGAGCACAATCCTTGATCGGTTATATTATCTCAACCCTTTAACTCTTACCCGTATTTGAAGACAGGATCCAAGCACTATCTCCTAGCTTCCTAGAAATCTTGGTATTTCTTTGCAAGCAAATCAGACCATATAAATTTTTTAAAAAAATTCTAGATAGATCCAGGATTTTATGCCCAAGTCTTTGTGTTTGATTTTCAAAACAAAAAGCCTTAAGGAAATTCTGATTTTGAAAATAATTTTTTCTGAACATTTTTATGGTCAAGGAACCATTTGAAACCCTTTGCCTTGTCATCCCCGACTCCTGCCCCTTTTACCCTCCTCTCTCATCCCCAGGGTTCTGCTTCTGGTCATTATATAGAGCTCATATTTTCTAGAGTTTTATATAAATGGAATCACATAGTGTGTGCTCTTTTTTGTCTGGTTTCTTTCACATAGCTTAAGTGTTTTGAGATCATCCATGTTGTTATGTACATTGATAGTTTGTTCCCTTTTACTGGTGAGAAGCATCAGAAAGTACTTTATAAGTGATGTAATCATTTATTATTGTATGTTTTGAGTTTGTCTTTTTGATTCAGAGAGTGTACCTCTTCTTACATATTTATTCAGGACCAAGTTTGACTAGCTTTTGGCTGGGACACCATAAGTTCAGTTCTTATTACTTACCTTTGTTTGTCCTTCCCACCAAAGATCTTCAAAAAGTTAATAGCAATGATGGTCATTAACAATAGCCGTATACACTTACTTATTTAGCGTCTGCTTTCTTCCCCAAGTATTACACTAGACCCTGGGTGATAAAAAGATGCATAAGGAATGTGTTCATGCAGTTTGCTACACTGCATAGGAAAAAGGGGAAATATGGTCTGTGTACAGAACTGTATAACTCTGGGTTCTAAATTGGAACATTAGTATTGTAGTATGGAAAACTAATGATGAAATCTGTTCTAGCTCATGATTGATGTATTTATAGAATCCTTCCATATTATTCTTTCAAGTTCCCCAATGTACAAATTCAATGAAAATGTACCATAGGATTCCCTTTAAAAACTGGAGATTTTTGAAGTCTTTTTTTGTTTTATTAAAAGCTCTGTTGAGGTATGATTGACATATAATAAACTATGCATATTTAAAATGCACAGTTTGATAATTTTTAATATTTATAAATACCCATGAAACCATCACCAATATCAAGATAATGAATCTATCTATAATCCTCAAAGTATCCTCAGACCCGTTGACATCCCCAACTCCTGCACCTTTTACCCTCCTCTCTCATCCCCAGGGCTCTGCTTCTGGTCATTATATAGAGCTCATATTTTCTAGAGTTTTATATAAACGGAATCACACAGTGTGTGCTCTTTTTTGTCTGGCTTCTTTCACATAGCTTAAGTGTTTTGAGATCATCCATGTTGTTACGTACATTGATAGTTTGTTCCTTTTTACTGGTGAGAAGCATCAGAAAGTACTTTATAAAAACTCACACTTATGCCCACAGACAAACATAGTGACTTCAATATTTTTATTTTAAAAATTGTTTTAAATGATCTTTTTGCTCTCTAAATCTGTAATCTTTAGGAAATAATATCTTTTTGTCTGAAATTAAGCCGTATCTGTAGTTTCATTTATTTTTTTCTTGTTGCTAAAATTTTAGTAAAATTAAACCTAACCTTAATTTTAAATTTTAATGGCACTTATCTCATAATTTTTTCATTATCTATCACTTCTTTGGTCTTTGTATTACCCACCAGTTTATCAGATCACCTTAAGTACACAGCAGATCCTCTGCTCTCTAACTTTCTGGCTTGTGGAACCTAGCTAGCATCATCAGGAAATGACTTCCCATGTAACCTATTTGTATGTAAGGAAGCCTTTAGGGAGAACCTAGCAAACAAAAAGGCCCTTCTCATCCTGTTATTCAGTAGTTCGGTGACTGTTTTTATAATCATTATACATTTCTCTGCCTAACATATCAGCTGTCTTAGAAACTGCCTTCTTCAAATTTGGCCAGCTTACTTAAGAACGCTGCTGGAGTCAATACTAAAAAGCAAACTATTGACAATATATGGGCCAGTAAATTATCATCACCTTTAAATGTAAACCATTTAGCATGCTCTCATTTTAGTTGTTCTTTTAGTTCTAATTTTACAGCTCCACTGTGGTACCTGGCTTCCTGATCTACTGGTTTAAGGATATAAATTAGACTTCCCCTTTTGGCTTGCCTGTTGTATTTTGACTTTGTTTATTCCCTGATTTGGTATCCTTCACTATCTTAAGTGAGAAACTACATCTGCAGCTTTAATTTTGGGTAGCCAAACCAGGCTCTTTCTCTCCTACCTTTTTTTGTCCTAACTAGGAGAGAAGAGGATCAAGGATACATCCAACATCTGTTGCTGGGCTTTATGGCAGTTTTCTGGATTATAGCAAACCACTTAGCAGAAGTGGAAAATGGAATAACCTCCCTCTTTGGCTTTCCCTCACAGGATTTTCTGTGTCCAGTTTCTGTCACGTGGCTATCTAATTACTAGCAATCTTAAGTAATTGTGCTATCCTCTGGACTTTCAGGCACTGTCCATGTTGTTATCCTTCCCTCTTTTTCCAGAACAACTCTTGGACAGATCACTCCCCCAGGCCCTGCTAAAACACCTGCAAATAAGTCTTTTTCTTTCTACCTAGAGAAATGAAATGACATCTGGTAGTATTTGTGAATTCATTTCATCTAGGCCTTTCATGTGACCAGTTTCTAAAAATTGGTTTCCCCTTGTTTTCAAATGATGATGTGGCCTTTAAAATTACAGATCATGCCGTCAGGGACTTGGTAGACCTGCCTGTTGTATTGATGGCACTTGGTCTTAACTCTTCAGAGTACTCATCTGATTCTTTCCACTTGTGTCCTACCTCCTGGTATTCTAGTTGCTTAGTCACTTAACTTTTGGGTTGTAATATAATGTTATAGTTAATGGTGAAATGGCAGTTATGTACCTATATTTTTGTTTTTCTGAAGCTCTTGGCAAGTGTTTATGTTTTATCTCTCCTTTCTCTTAGCAAGAACTATATTACCCTCAAAAAGCATATTTCTGCTGGGTTTTTTAGTAGAATTGATAAAAATGGACAATATTATCCACATGATTAAGATTCTGATACAGGGTTTCTAGGTTTTCCAAAAATAATTCAAGTCATTTCACAAACCAAAGGAAGTCTTATCTTACTCCTCTGTGTGTACTAGAAAATTTACATGCTTCCTCAGTTTCCCTACCAGAGAGTTTTAAGAGAGATCACTTTAAAATCATAACATTTCCTATAAGAATGACCAAAGAATGCATTCTATAAAGGTTTTATTTTCTCTGCCTTTTTAAGACTTAAGTGTTCTTATTCCCAATCTAAATTTTAAATTCAATCTAACCCTTTATGTTTCTTACATTTTCTGTACTGTAAAGTCTCCTTATCCTGAATTGTGCCTCTTGGTCTTTTTGATTGACATAGAGTGGGTTCCTTGTGAGACAGGAGATTCTGAGGGGTTTTAAATGAATAAAGATGGTCTATATAATGAATGTGAACTGGATGGGATTTTATTTCAAGACATTATGGAGAAAATATGTTGTAGGCATAACAGTATATCAAAAGCAGTGGTTCGTGTCAGGGCTGGAGTTTCATGAGTGGTTATTGTACAGCATTTACTAGCAGTGGTAGTAGGTGATTGTTTGTTTTGATCTTAGGTTCTTAGAATGTCCTGACTTTGTTTTTTTCAAAGCTAATCCTTTGGATGATAACATTGACATTATTAACAGTATGATAGCCCTAACGTTGCCTAGACTTTAGTTACCATGATCTGATTTCTTACATGAAAGATATGTTATTTTTTTTCATTTTTTTTCCTATTTTAGATCCATTTTTCCTATCCATCCCTCCTTCAGAATCATTGCCTTGGCAGAACCCCCTGTTATTGGAAGCACAGCACACCAGTGGCTGGGACCAGAATTCTTAACCATGTTCTTTTTCCATTACATGAAACCACTTGTGAAAAGTGAAGAAATCCAAGTGATTAAGGAAAAGGTAAGAAGAAAGCCAATCTTAGTCTATTTTCTTAAAAAGCTGATCTCTTTTTAAGGCACTCTGATACATGCCAAAGTAGAGTTAGACATTTTTAGTTTTTTCTTCCCATTTACTCCCAAATTTCTTCATACAGTGGTGAAGGTCAGTGGATCTTAAACTTTCACATTTTTCAGCATCATCTGGAGGACTTGGTAAAACAGGTTTCTGGGCTCCATCTCCATAGTTTTTGAGCTAGTAGATCTGGGATGCTATATTAAAATTTGTATTTCTAACAAGTTCTCAGGTGATACTGATGCTGCTGGTCTGGGAACCACACTCTAAGAACCATGAATGTGGCCTGTCTCTCCTCTTTCCTCAGGTGGAGGCCATTTTCGAATCCTTTTTATTTTTCTGTTTAGTGAAAAGTGACTATTTTAAGTTCCTACTATAAAAGGAGGCCAGACACGTAAATAGTAAGTAGTCCTGGTCTCTCAAGACTGTAACATATCCTGTACTTGCCTGATTAGTCCTTTGATGACAACTAGTGTGTGTGATCCATTGTTTTAATGTGTGCCTTAAGCATTGTGGTTAGCACTTTTGGAGTTTTAGAACTGCACGCTTCAATGCAGTAGCACTAGCCATGTTAAATTATTACTATTATTATTATTATTTGTTTGAAACTAAGTCTTGCTCTATTGCCCACGCTGGAGTGGTGTGATCTCGGCTCACTGAAACTTCTGCTTCCTGGGTTCAAGACTCCTGCCTCAGCCTCTCAAGTAGCTGAGACTACAGGTGCGCACCACCACACCTGGCTAATTTTTCTATTTTTAGTAGAGACGGGGTTTCACCATGTTGGCCAGGCTGGTCTTGAACTCCTGGCCTCAATTGATCCACCCCCCCTTGGCCTCCCAAAGTGCTGGGATTACAGGCATGAGCCACCACACCTGACCATGTTAAATTAATTTTTTAAAAATTCGGCCAGGTGCGGTGGCTCATGCCTGTAATCCCAGCACTTTGGGAGGCCAAGGCGGGCAGATCACCTGAGGTCAGGAGTTCGAGACCAGGCTGGCCAACATGGTGAAACCTCGTCTCTATTAAAATACAAAAAACTAGCTGGGCTTATTGGTGCACACCTGTATTCCCAGCTACTCAGGAGGGTGACACAGGAGAACTGCTTGAACCTGGGAGATGGAGGTTGCAGTGAGCCGAGATCACACCACTGCACTCCAGCCTGAGTGACAGAGTGAGACTCCGTCTCGAAAAAAAAAAAAATTCCGCTTCTCAGTCACTTTTCAAGTACTCAGTATCCACATGGGAGCTTTTGGCTACCACATTAAACAGCATATATACAATGCTCATCATCATAGAAGGTTCTATTGGACAGTACTGTTCTAGATCACTAATTATTAACTTTCTATTTAAATACATTTATTCCCTTTGAAACATCTGAATGAACTTATTAATTGTAGGTCTTGTAAGCATGGTTGTAAATAAAGGCATAGGTTTTAGAGTTTAATGACTTGGCTCTCAATGTGAAATCCACTACTTATTAGCTTCCAGATCTTGAGTAAATTACTCAGTCATAGTTTCCTCATCTAAAAATGGGGATAATACTATTTATTACATCATAGGATTGATTTAAAGAATAAATGAAACAAAGTATATGTGGACTAGGACTTAGCATTTAAAAAAATTCTAATTACTTAAATGACCAATGAAACCCTAAGCAGTATTCTTCTAAAATTGTGACACTGTCCTAGTCATTGTTTTAGTATCTTTTTTTGATCTTTTAAAATTAAAACCTTAAATTTGTTATTGCTTAAACAAAAATTGCTTATAGCTTAATTAAGTACTTAATTGAAGTTTGTTATAGTTAAAAGCAATCGATATGTGTTATTTGGGCAATTGCTCTTCCGAGTTCATTGATATGTTGATCATACCCCTCAAATATGTGTTTTACATGTTTTTGGAAAAATGGACACCTTAAGTATCCATTCTGTAAATAAATGTACCTTATGTCACTTAGATATGTATGTAAGATTGCTGCTAAATAAGGGAACTTGGTTTCAGTAAGACAACACCTAATTAGTACTTAAAATGTCATGCTGAAGCTAACAAAATAGGAAATGATGATACATGAAAAGTTCTTTATGGGTACACTATGGGCCAGTTTTAAATTGAGTTAAAGGCTCCCTTCAGTTTTATCGTGGTGATAGAATTGTATATGGAGAAGAGTGTCTTGGTTTAAGTTACCTGATTCTTAAAGAGAAAGCAGGGGTTTCAGTGTTTCCTAAGAGGTTGAATAAGCAACTTTATCCATAAGTTAAACATTTAGCCAACAATGAATGACTTTTCTAAAAATGTAATTCTAATATTATTTGCTAAGTAGTCATAATTTCTGATTGATTGATCAGATATCCCGATTTATTCCTTCTGTTTGTCCTCAACTCTTTCAAAAAATAGGTCCCAAATGTACCTCAGGAAGCTCTGGATAAGTTATTATCATTTACACACAAACTCAGAGAAACACAGGATCCAACGGTAAGTCTAGGCTTTTTCCACAGGATTTTCTATTGTTGACATGCTGCTGGTTTTCTTTTCTTAGAATTCAGTACTTAAAATCTATTTTTTAAGCTGGTATTTTATTTTTTGGAATCCCTTATGCTATGCCTTTGTTCTATGCATATGGTTTACTCCGATTTCAGTGATTTTAACATCTCTTCCAGCTCCTCCTCGCTGATGTTATAGAAAGAAACTTGTAGCTCCAGAGTACTTCATGTTCATGGGGGTTCTGCTCTGTCCCCTCTGTCTCCTATGCTGAGCAGTGTTATCTATTCTTATGGCTTCAAGTACCTATCACAAGTTAATGCCTACATCTTTATGTTCAGCTTCTAACTTCTCATTTCTGATTGACTTGTATTTCCATTCCCAGATGGCATGTTAGAAAGATAGAGGGCTGTCACTGTTTAACTCTGTAAGTCTCAGTGTTCTCATCTGTAAAATGGGAACGGGAACAGTACCATCTACCGCATAAAATGGTCTCAATGATTAAACATAAAAATGTGTGTAAAGAATCTCCTTCTTAGTAACTGCTTACTAAATGTTAATTTCTTTCACTTTCCCCCTGGATACACCGAGATCATTGTAAATTCACATATCTTGTACAACTAAACTGTCTTTCCATTTTAAATCTGTTCCTATTCTTGATTTAATTTCTTGACTTTGTTGATAATCTAGCTGCCAAATTACCTAAATTAGAAACCTAGACATCATTGTTGATTCCTTGCTTTCCTGCTGTCTTTACTTAATCTGAAAACAAATCTCACCAGTTAAGCATCTTGATGTCTCATCTGTTCTCTTATCTATTGTCAGTAACTGTCCTAGTAGTGGATTTCATAATCTTTCTCCTGGAATATTATATCCTCTTGACTGCCTTCTTTACCAATAATTCATTCATCATATGACTCTCTAGTAATTTCCTGTTGCTATTGTAACAAGTTACCATAAATTGATGGCTTAAGATAATAGAAATTTATTTTTTCTTTGTCTGGACAACAAAAGTCTGAAATCAGTATGACTGAGCCAGAATCAAAGTGTCAGCAAGGCTGCACTCCATCGGAGGCTCCAGGGGAGAATCTATTCCTTGCCCCTTCTGGGTTTTGGTGGCTGCCAGCATTCCTTGACTAGTGGACTCACCATATCAATCCTGCCTTCATCTTTACATTACCTTCTCCCCTGTGTTTGTGTCAAATCTCCCTCTTTCTCCCTCCTACAAGGAGGATTACATTTAGGGTCCACACACATAGTGCAACATAATCTCCACATCTCAAAATCCTTATCTTAATCTTATTTGCAAAGTCAATTTTGCCATAGAAAGTAACATTGACAGTTTCCAGAGATTAGGATGTGGATTTTTGGGAGGATAAGGGTGGTCACTTTCTGGCTGTCACAGGTCCCCTCTGGGGCCTCATTCCAAATACTTAATCCCCCTCTGGGGCCTCATTCCAAATACTTTCTCCTTTACCCATTGTTTTTAGCTACAGTGGTGTCTTTGTTTTTCCTTGAACTTACTAGTGCCTGCCTCAGGGCCTTTGCCACTTGGTGTTTTCCTCTACCTAGATTATTCTTCCCTGGATAGCTGCATGTTTACTCACTTTCCTTTTTGGGATTTGCTCAGGTGGTCACCTTTTCTGTGAGGCCTTCCTGAAGCTCTCTAGAGTCAAATTTCTATTCCATTTTATTTCTATCCCTCTTTCTGCTTTAAGATTCTTTATAGGGCTTCTTACTCTTTGACATAATGTATGTTTTACTCACTAATTTTTTGTTGTCTATCTTCCTTCTCTCGGATTTCAGTTCCAGGATTGCAGGGGTTTTTTCTTTGTTCCCTGTAGTCTCCCCAGCATCTGGAACTTTGCACAGTAGCTATTCCTGATTTGCACAGTGTTCCTACTGTGCAAAGTTGCAAATGTTGGCAATACTACAGAGAACAAAGTTAGAGATTAGTAATGTATTCCACAAGTATCTGTTAAATAAATGGATGGATGAATCTTCCATATTGTCCCTGGAATGATCTTTCCCAAATCCATTTCCTAAGTTCTTCCCCTTGTTTAAAACCGTTAAGGGATTGACTCTCTTTGCCTGTAGACTGAAGACAGCCTGCTAAACATGCCTGCTGAGTTCCCTCTGACCCTAAGCTGCTCATCAGGCCTCAGTTTCTACAAACTCTCTTGAAGCATCCTCAGCTCTTCCCACACTTAGCTTCTTGCTATTTTCTAATACCGCTTATACTCAAATGTCTCTGCCTTAGATAATGCCTAGAATGTGCTTTCCCTACATCCAGTTGTCCCTTAGTTTCTCTCTTCTCTTAAGTCTCTCTCAGCCCCCTTAGGCAGCAGTAACTAATATCTCCAATCTGCTTTCATGACACTTGACATATATTTGCAAGTTGTATTATATATTGTTGACCTATTGCAGTTGTATTATAATTTACTTTTATTTCCCCAGTTGCTATTTGAGCTCCTTGAGACTAAGTCCCATTTCCCAGCCTGCGGCCTGGCACATAATAGACACTTAAATCTTTGGTGAATTAATGAATAAATTGATTAATTAAAATTTTATTAACAGATTGTCCCTAGAGTTTTCTCTCCTTTAGAACATGCTACATTTTCATTCTTTTATAAAAATGAAGAATAGAAAAATAATGTTTAATAATTTCTGATGAGAACCTTTATGTTTTTAAGCTGAAGTATTACTAATCATGTTAATATGAACAACCCCTTCGAGGTGTACTCTTAAACTGTATAACCATGGTAACTAGGGGAATGTGCTTCATATCTTCACCGCCCCCCTTTTTTTTTGCAAGATAAAACTGCAGTTAGAAATTTGATATAAATGTTAAATACATTAGGAATTTTTAAAGTATACTCTCAATTTTTAATTGATAATAATGTGAGAGCAGAGATTACCAAACCCTTTATTCAACACTTAAATGGCTCAACACAAAGCTTATCTCTCATTTTCTCAACCCTGGTTATTACTGCAAAGCATTTTGGTGCTTTCAACTAGAAGAACTGGAGAATTGGTGTTCAAATATATGAGCATTCCTTATTGATGACTGGAATGAAATGTGAAGCCTGAATTCAGTGTCATGCTTAGAATGAGATTAGAATGTTATACCCTATGGTTTAACAGGACTCTTATAAGAATCCTCTGGTTAGAGTCATTTGTCAAATATTTTTTATGATTAAAATATGAATTTTTCATGGTCCTAGGTATTAAAAATGGGAATTTCTGAGTTATATTTGACTTTTGATATCAGTCACATTGCCTGAATTTTATCCTCAATACATGTTTCTTTCTCATAGCAAGTCAGTTGCCAAGTTTGTTGTATCCTACCTCTCCATTCTTGTTGCCATAACCTTACTGTAGGACTTTTTCCTTTTATAGGCAGATTATTGAAGTAGCTTTCTGTTTCCTGTCTCAGTTCTCTCTGTCCTTCATCCACTTTCTATGCTGCTGCTGATTTAAATTAGGAAGTAGGCTAGTAATAACCTGATTTGAAAATCATGTTACGACTTTACACATAGCAGAATCCTAGTGCCTTTAAGAATAAAGCCAAACCCGTCAGAGTGTCATTCATAGGTCTTTGTTGTTTGAGAGCAAGCCTTCCAGCAGGACCTTCTAGTAAAGCTGGTCTCATTTCCTCATGTTCTACTTGTGGTTCCATTACTTTTGCTTTCATGCCTTTGATGAGAGGATTTCTCATGCCCATTTGAATATTTTAACTGCCTATAACAGCTGTCTACTGTTCCACTTATTTTAGCATTGAAGTATATACTATTTTGAATTGTAATTTATGATTTATTATATTTGAATATTGTCTCCATATCTGGAATGCAAATTAATTGAAAACAAGAATGGACCAATGTCTGCTTGTAATTGAGTTCTTTGAAACTTAGAATGTGTTTTTTAATAGAAGAAAGGATATGTGGTGGTCATGCTTCCAACCTAATTCCCAAAGGAAATATAATACTAATGTTGTAGCTGAGATAGAATACTAACAGCAAACCAATATCTTATGGAGATGTGAAATACACAAGGAAGGATAAATAAATTATTTTTTTCTTCTTTGGGACATACGGAGATGACCTTAGGTGGAACATTAAAACAAGCAAATGTGCAGTGTGTCTTTGACATTCTCCCCTCATCCATTCTGAACCCTTTGTTAATTTCATAGAGTCCTCTTTTCTAGGCCCTTGAGTTCTCAGGGCCACTTTACTGCCCTTATCACCCTCTGTGACATTTCATACTGACCTGCCTTGCCCTCCCAAAGGTCCAGTTGCTTCAAAAGTGCTTCTGTCCTGTGGTTTTCAGTGATAATCACTGTCTTCTAATGCTGCTGATCTAAGTTAGGAATTAGGCCAGTAATAATCTCATTTACTAAATATATGCTAATATGTAGGTCCCATCACCTTTCTCTGCTGGGTTTTTTGTTTTCATTTTGAAGAGGCTGATTTTTAAATAACAGTTGTTGCCATTCGTTGAGCACCCATATGTGTGTGACATGTGCTAAGCACTTTAGAATCATTTTCTAATTTAACCTTCATAACAACCTTAAAGGTGAGGGCATTACTATTGCCATTTTAAAGTTGAGGGAACTGAGCCTTGGAAAGGTTAAGTAATTTGCCAAGGTAACACAGCTAATAAATAGGATACCGACTTATCTGATTCAAAAGCCTATAAACTTTACCATTATGTTATGCTGCCTGCCAAAAGAATTTCAACAAATATTTATTGAGTACTGACCATGTCCTGAGTTCTGTACTAGCAACTCTATTCGTGGAATTTTGGGAAATGTAATATAGCAAAGTGAAAGTATTCTGACAGCATAGGGGAAGGATTCAAAACAGCAAGCTGCAGCACAAGTGACAAATTGGTTGACACCTCTGTGGCCAACAGCCTAAATTGTTTACAACTCTTTTTGGCTATTTTAGAAACCACCGATTTGCTTAAAGCTTTAAACATTTCCGTGGTATCTTAACACCTTGGCTTTGTGTAAGGAGAAAAAGTGAACAGTCAATCATACAGCCTAAGTCCAGTGTGACCTTTGTTATGTAACATCCTTCCCCCATTGCCCCTCCCATCTCCAACTTAGCACAATTAAAATACATTAATTAAATTTAATTGATAAATACTTTAGATTTTTTAAAAACTATCTTCAAGGATGTTTTAAGTGTAAATTGGTTTCTGTTTATTTTGATTTGTAATTAATTAACAGCACATACTTTAAGTTTGGCCTTACCCCTTCAGTAATAATGAATTCTGCTGTGATATCCATCTAAAGGGACTTTAGCAAGTTGAAACAAGACTCTTAACACAATGTATTTGTCTTTTGATAGGCACAATCATTAGCGGCATCACTTTCTACCAGACAACTGTTGCGAATTTCTCGTCGGCTGTCACAGTATCCTAATGAAAATCTTCACAGTGCTGTTACTAAAGCCTGCCTTTCCAGGTAAACATATTCTTTCTCACTGCGTGTAAGTTTCTGGATCTTCACTAAAACTATAAGATAAGTTTAACTGATGGTGCATATTCCCAATTCTTCAAAATATATTGGTCTGAATGTAGAGCTATTTCAGCCTTGCCTTCACTGATTAGAACTTATTTAATACAACATATTATCTTTTAAAATTAATTTTTGGTCCCAGCATCACCAGAAGCAGATGTTGGTACTATGCTTCCTGTACAGCCTGCAGAACCATGAGCCAAAATAAAACCTCTTTTATTTATTAAAAATAAAATAAAATAAAATAAATTTTTATCCTTAATTTGTATGGGTACATGGTCAGTATATATTTATGGGGTACATGAGATACTTTGATACAGGCATAGAATATGTAATAATCACAACAGGGTGAATGCCATATCTATCACCCTAAGCATTTATCATTTCTTTGCATTATGAACGTTCCAATTATACTTTTAGTTACTTAAAAATGAACAATAAATTGTTGACTATAGTCACCTTGTTATGCTATCAAATACTAGATCTTCATTCTATCTATGTTTTTGTACCCATTAACCATTCCCTTCCCCAATTCTCACTACCCTTCCCACCTCTGGTAACCATCCTTCTAGTCTCTCTTTGTGAATTCTATTGTTTTAATTTTTAGCTTTTAGAAATGAGTGAAAACATGTGAAGTTTGTCTTTCTATGCATGGCTTATTTCAGTTTAAATAATGTGCTGTAGTTCCATCCATGTTGTTGCAAATGACAGAACTTCATTCATTCTTTTTTATGGCTGAACAGTACTCTATTGTGTGTGTGTACAACATTATCCATTTGTCTGTTGATGAACACTTAGGTTGCCTCCGAATCTTAGCTATTGTGAATAGTGCTTCAATAAACATGGTAGCACAGACCTCTCTTCAATATATGGATTTTCTTTCTGTTGGGCATATACCGGGCATATACCTAGCCTATACCTAGGATTGGTGTGTCATATGGTTGTTCTAGTTATTTTTTTTTCTTCTTTTTTTGAGGAACTCCATATAGTTCTCTATAGTGGTTATACTAATTTACATTTCCACCCACAGTGTACAAGGGTTCCCTTTTCTTCACTTACTTGCTGGTATTTGTTATTGCCTATCTTTTGGATAAAAGCCATTTTAATTGGGGTGAGGTGATACCTCATTATAGTTTTGATTTGCATTTCTCTAGTCATCAGTGATGTTGAGTACCTTTTCATATACCTGTGTGCCATTTGTATCTCTTCTTTTGAGAAATTTCTATTCAGATCTTTCATGCATTGTATAATCAGATTATTAGGCTTTTTCCTACTGAGTTGTTTAAATTCATATATTTTATCAATCCCTTGTCAGATGGATGATTTGCAAATATTTTTTCCCATTCTGTGGGTTGTCTCTTCACTTCATTGACAATTTCCTTTGCTGCCCAAGAAGCTTTTTAACTCAATGTGATCCTATTTGTCCCATTTTTGCTTTGGTTGCCTATGCTTGTGGGGAATTACTTAAGAAATATTTGTCCTGACCAATGTCTTGGAGAGTTTTTCCAATGCTTTCTTTTAGTAGTTTCATAGTTTGAGGTCTTAGATTTAATTCTTAATCCATTTTGATTTGATTTTTGTATATGGCAAGAGATAGGGTCTACTTTCATTCTTCTGCTTATGGATATCCAGTTTTCCCAGCACCATTTATTGAAGAAACTCTCCTTTCCCCAATGTATGGTCTTGACACATTTGTCAAGAATGAGTTCACTGTAGGTGTATGGATTTGTTTCTGGGTTCTCTATTCTGTTCCATTGGTCTATGTATCTGTTATGCTAGTACTATGCTGTTTTGGTTACATAGCTCTATAGTATAATTTGAAGTCAGGTAATATGATTGGTTCAGTTTTGTTCTTTTTGCTCAAGATGGCTTTGGCTATTCTGGGTCTTTGTGGTTTCATATAAATTTTAGGATTATTTTTCTATTTCTGTAAAGAATGTCATTAATATTTTGATAGGGATTGCATTTAATCTGTAGATTGTTTGTGGTAGTATGGACATTTTAACAGCATTGATTGTTCCAATCCATAAATATGGAATATCTTTCCATTTTTTAGCATCCTCTTCAATTTCCTCCATCAGTGTTTTATAGTTTTCATTGTAGGGGTCTTTCCCTTCTTTGGTTAAGTTTATTCTTATATATATTATTTTATTTGTAGCTGTTGTAAATTGGATTACTTTTTTTATTTCTTTTTCACATTGTTCACTTTTGACATACAGAAGCGCTACTGATTTTTGTATGTTGATTTTGTGTCCTGCAACTTTAATGAATTTGTTGATCAATTCTAATAGGTTTCTGTTGGAGTCTTTAGGTTTTTTTTTCAAGTATAAGCTCATATCATCTGCAAACAAGGATAATGTAATTTTTTCCTTTCCAGTTTGAGTACTTTTCATTTCTCTCTTGTATCCAGTTGCTCTAGGTAGGTTTTCCACTACTGTGTTGGATAACAGAGGTGAAAGTGTGTATCCTTGCCTTGTTTCAGATCTTAGAGGAAAGGCTTCCAGTTTTTCCGATTCAGTATTGATATGGGTTGGATCTGTGTCCCTGCCCAAATCTTGTGTCTAATTCTAATCCCCAGTGTTGGAGGTGGGGCCTGGTGGGAGATGACTGGATCATGGGGGTGGATTTCCCCTTGGTGATGGTCTCATGACAGTGAGTGAGTTCTCATGAGATCTGGTTGTTTAAAAGTTTGTGGTACCTCCCTGCCTCTCTCTCTTTCTCCTGCTCTGACAATGTGAAGTGCTTGTTCCCCCGTTGCCTTCTGCCATGATTTTAAGTTTCCTAAAGCCTCCCCATAAGACAAGAAAATGCCAGCGTCATGTGTCCTGTACAGCACCATGAGCCAATTAAAGTTCTTTTCTTTATGAATTACTCAGTCTCAGATATTTCTTTATAGTCGTACAAAAACGGACTAACACAAGTATGATACTAGCTGTAGGTCTGTCATATATGGCTTTCATTGTGTTGAGGTATGTTCCTTCTATACTCAGTGTTTTTTTAAAAAAGTTTATTTTTATTTTGTTAGTGATTTTAAATATGGAGTCTCACTTTGTTGCCAGGCTGTATAGTTTTTGTCTTGAAGTCTATTTTGTCTGATATAAGTATAGTGACTCCTGTTTTTTGTTTGTTGGTTTGTTTCATTTGACATGGAATATTTTTTTCTGTCCCTTTATTTTCAGTCTATGTATCATCATATGTGAAGTGTGCTTGTTGTAGACAACGGATCGTAGTGCAGTGGCTATTCACAGGCGCGATCTCCCTGCTGATCGACACAGGAGTTTTGACTGGCTCTTTTTCTGACCTGAGCCAGTTCACTCTTCCTTAGGCAACCTGGTGGTTCCCCGCTCCTGGGAGATTACCATATTGATGCTGAACTTAGTGCAGATACCCAGTCAGTATAGTGCATTACAACCCAGAACGCCTGGGCTCGAGCCATTCTCTTGCCTCAGTGTCCTGAGTAGCTGGGACTACAGGCATGCACCACTGTGCCCAGCTATCCTCATCATTTGGAGGGTTTTCATCATGAAGGGATGTTGAATTTTATAAAATTCTTTTTCAGCATCAATTGAAGTGATCACATGGTTTTTGTTTTACCTTCTGTTGATATGATGCATCACATTGACTGATATGCATGTGTTTAACCATGCTGGCATCCCTGGCATAAATCCCGCTTGGTCATGATGAATGATCTTTATAATGTGTTGTTGAGTTTGGCTTGCTACTATTTTATTGAGGATTTTTGCATCAACATTTGTCAAGGATATTGGCCTGTAGTTTTCTTTTTTTTTGATGTGTCTTCTCTGGTTTTGGTATCAGGGTAATAGTGGCCTTGTAGAACAAGTTTGGAAATATTCCCTCCTCCTCTATTTTTCAGAATGGTTTCAGTAGGATTGGTATTAGTTCTTCTATAAATGTTTGGTCAAATTCAGCAGGCAAGCGATCAGGGCCCAGGCTTTTCTTTGCTGAAGACTTTTTGTTATGGTGTCAATCTCGTTACTTGTTATTGGTTTGTTCACATTTTCTATTTCTTCGTAGTTCAATCTTGAGAGGTTGTGTGTGTTTAAGAATTTCTCCGTTTCTTCTTGGTGTTCCGATGTGTTGGCATATAGTTTCTCATGGTAGCTTCTAATGATCCTTTGTATTTCTGTGGTAACAGTTCTAACGTCTCCTTTTTCATCTCTGATTTTATTTATTTGAATCTTCCTTTTTCTTAGTTGGAGTAAAGGTTTGTCAATTTTATCTTTGCAAAAAACTAACTTTTCATTTCATTAATCTTTTCCTTTTTTTTTTTTTTGAGATGGAGTCTCACTCTGTTGCCAGACTGGAGTGCAGTGGCACGACCTCAGCTCACTGCAATCTCCCCTTCCAGGGATCAAGCAATTCTCCTGCCTCTGCCTCCTGAGTAGCTGGGATTTCAGGCATGTGCCACCACACTCAGCTAATTTTTGTAGTTTTTTTTCTTTTTTTTGAGACAGAGGCTTGCTCTGTTGCCCAGGCTGGAGTGCAGTGGCATGATCTTGGCTCACTGCAACCTCTGCCTCCCAGATTTAAGCTGTTCTTCTGCCTCAGCCTCCCAAGCAGCTGGGACTACAGGCACGTGCCACCATGCCCAGCTAATTTTTTGCATTTTTAGTAGAGATGGGGTTTCACCATATTGGCCAGGATGGTCTCGATCTCCTGACCTTGTGATCCGCTGGCCTCAGCCTCCCAAAGTGCTGGGATTACAGGCGTGAGCCACTGCGCCCAGCCTATCCTTTGCATGTTTAATTTAAATTTTATTTGTTTCTGCTCTGATGTTTATTATCTCTTTTCTTGTACTAATTTTGGGTTTGGTTTGCTCCTGCATTTCTAGTTTTCCAAGATACATTGTTAGGTTATTTGAAGTTTTTCTACTTTTTTGATGTAGGCTTTTATGGCTATAGACTTTTCTTTTATTATACTGTTTTCGCTATATCCTATAGGATTGGTGTGTTTCCATTTTCATTTGTTTCAATAAATTTTTCAGTTTTCTTCTTAATTTCTTCATTGACTCACTGGTCATTCAGGAGCCTATTGTTTAGTTTCCATGTATTTGTGTAGTTTCCAAAATTCCTCCAGTTACTGATTTCTAGTTTTATTCCATTGTGGTCACAGAAGATACTTGACATCATTTCTTTTTTTTTTTTTTTTATTTTTGAATTTTTTAAGACTTGTTTTGTGGCCTAATATATGGTCTCTCCTTGAGAATGATCCATGTGCTGAGAAGAATGTGTATTCTGCAGCCGTTGGATCACATGTTCTGTAAATACCGGCAGGTCAGTTTGGTCTGTAGTGCAGATTAAGTCCAACATTTCTTTTTTTCTTTTTCTTTTTTTTTGAGATGAAGTTTTGCTCTTATTACCTAGGCTGGAGTGCAATGGCGCAATCTTGGCTCACTGCAACCTCCGCCTCCCAGGTTCAAGCGATTCTCCTGCCTCAGCCTCCCAAGTAGTTGGGATTACAGGCGTGCACCACCATGACCAGCTAATTTTTGTATTTTTAGTAGAGATGGGGTTTCTCCATGTTGGTCAGACTAGTTTCAAACTCCCAACCTCAGGTGATCTGCCCATCTCAGCCTCCCAAAGTGCTGGGATTACAGGCATGAGCCACCGCACCCAGCCATGTCCAATATTTCTTCGTTGATTTTCTGTCTGGGTGATCTGTCCAATGTTGAAGTCTCCAGCTATTATTGTATTGGGGTTTATCTCTCTCTTTTGCTCAAAAATATTTGCTTTTATATATTTGGGTGCTCTAGTATTGGGTGCATATATATTTAAAATTGTTATATGCTCTTGCTGAATTGACCCTTTTATCATTGTATAGCAGTCTTCTTAGTCTCTTCTTATAGTTTTTGTCTTGAAGTCTATTTTGTCTGATATAATTATAGTGACTCCTGGTTTTTCTTTTGTTTGTTTGTTTCATTTGGCATGGAATATTTTTTTCTGTCCCTTTATTTTCAGTCTGTGTATCTTCATATGTGAAGTGTGTTTCTTGAAGACAACAGATCATTGAGTCTCATTTTTAAAAATCCATTTTGCTACTCTGTCTTTTGACTGGAAAGTTTAGTCCATTTACATTCCATGTTATTGATGAGTAAGGAATTATTCTTGCCATTTTGTTGTTTGTTTTTAGGTTGCTTTATGGTCTTCTCTTTCTTCTTGCCTTACTTTCTGTCTTCCTTTAGTGAAAGTGATTTTCTCAGGTGGTGTGTTTTAATTTCTTGCTTTTCATTTGCTGTATATTTGGATTTTTTGGTTCGAGGTTACCATGAGGCTTGCATATAATGCCTTATAACTCGTTATTTTAAACTGATGACAACTTAATACTGATTGTGTAAATAAAGAGAAAACTAATAAAAACTCTACACTCTAACTTTGTCCACCCACTTTTTCACTTTTTGTTGTTACTGCTTATATCTTATTGTACTATCTATGTCTTGAGAAGCTGTTGTAGTTATTATTTTTGTTCAGTCATCTTTAATCTTTATACTCAAGTTATAAGTAGTTTACATACTACAAATAAATGTTATGACATTCTGTCTTTTTCTGTATACTTACTATTACCAGTGAATTTTGAGGCTTCAGATATTTCTTACTGCTCATTAATTTTTTTTTAATTTTTAAATTAATTTTTTAATTCCTTTTTTTTTCCCTTGTAGGACAAGTGTGACATTTATTAAATCCGTCCACTTTTGTTTGTCTGGGAAAGTCTATATTTCTCCTTCATGTTTGAAGGATATTTTTGCTGGTTATTCTATTTTAGGATAAAAGCTTTTTCCTTCAGCACTTTAAATGTATCATGCTACTCTCTACTGGCCTGTAAAGTTTCCACTCAGAAGTCAGCTGCCAAACCTAGTGAAGCTCCATTATATGTTGTTTGTTTCTTTTCTCTTCCTGCTTTTAGGTACCTCAGATATCTTGAGGTTGTCTTTTTTGAGTTAAATTTGCCTGGTGTTCTATAACCTTGTTGTACTGGAATATTGATGTCTTTCTCTAGGTTTGGGAAGTTCTCTGTTATTATGCCTTTGAATAAGTCTTCTACCCTGATCTCTCTCTACCTCCTCTTTAAGGCCATTTACTATTAGATTTGCCCTTTTTAGGCCATTTTCTAGATCTTGTAGTCATGTTTTATTCTTTTTGATTGTTTTATTCTTTTGTCTCCTCTGACTGTGTGTTTTCAAATAGCCTGTCTTCAAGCTTACTAATTGTTTCTTTTGCTTGATCAATTTTGCTGTTGACAGACTGATGTATTCTTCAGTATTTCAATTGAATTTTTCAGCTCCAGAATTTTTACTTGATTTTTAAAAATTATTTCAATTTCTTTGTTACATTTATCTGATAGAATTCTGAATTCCTTCTCTGTGTTATCTTGAATTTCATTGAGCTTCCTCAAAATAGCTATTTTCCATTCTTTCTTTAAGGTCACTGATGTGGTTTGGCTGTGTCCCCACCCAAATCTCATCTTGAATTGTAGCTCCCATAATTCCCACAAATTGTGGGAGAGACCTGGTAGGAGATAATTAATCACGGGGGCGGATCTTTCCCATGCAATTCTTGTAATAGTGAATAAGTCTCATGAGAACTGGTGGTTTTATAAAGGGGAGTTTCCCTGCACAAGTTCTCTTCTTTTGTCTGCTGCCATGTGAGACGTGCTTTCACTTTCTGCCATGATTGTGAGGCCTCCCCACCCACATGGAACTGTGAGTCCATTAAACCTCTTTCTTTTGTAAATTTCCCAGTCTCAGGTATGTCTTTATCAACAGTGTGAAAATGGACTAATACAGTCATATATCTCTGTCTCTCTGAGATTGGTCACCGGTGCCTTATTTGATTGTTTGGTAAGGTCATGTTTTCCTGGATGGTCTTGATGCCTGTGGATGTTCATTGTTGTCTGGGCATTGAAGAGTTGAGTATTTATTGTAGTCTTCCTTGCCTGGGCTTGTTTGTACATGTCCTTCTTGGGAAAGATTTCCAAGTATTCAAAGAGAATTGAGTGTGTGATCTAATTCTGGTCACTGCAGCCATACCTGCATTAGGGAACACTCCATGCCCTGTAATGCTGTGATTCTTGCAGACTCATAGAGATACCACATTGGTGGTCTTGGGTAACCAGGAGAATTCCTTGGACTGCTAGACAGAGACTCTTGCTCTCTTCACTTACTTTCCCTCAAACAAATGGAATCTCTCTCTCCATGCTCAGCTGTCTGGAGTTGGGAGAGGGATGGCCATCACCACTGGGATTGTGCTGGGTCAGACTTGAAACCAGCACAATACAGGGTCTTGCCCAAGGCTTGTGGTGAGTATTGTCTGGCTACCACTTATGTTTATTCATGGCCCAACTATTCTTTAGTCAGGTTGTGATTCATCCTGCTAGGCCTGGGAATCTCCCTTCAGGGCAGTGGGTTCCCTTCTGGCCCAGGGTGGGTGTCAAAATGTCATCCAGGAGCTAAGTCCTGGAATTGGGGACTTTAGCAATTTGTTTAGTGCTTTATTTTACTTTGGCTGAGCTGGTACCCAAATTGTAAGACAAAGTCCTCTTTGCTCTCCCCTCTCCTTTCCTTCAGTGGAAGGAATCTCTGCCAGAGCTGCAAGCTGTGCTGCCTGGAGTTGAGGAAGGGACAGTGCAAGCACTGCCTTGGCTGTCCGCACTGGTGTCTGACTGGGTCACATGCACTCCAACTCTACCGACTCAGCATAGCACCAGGACTTGCCCAGGAATTGTATTCCTGTGGCCTAGACAGCCTTTCAAGTTTATTTAGAACACAGAGCACTTTAGCCTGTGGTGGTGGGGCTAGTTAGAATTCAGGTTCTGACCCCTGGGATGAATGATTATTCCCCTCTAGCTAGGGCTGATCAAAATGCTACCCTGTTGCTCTCCACTGTGACAGGGTAGCACTGAATTCCAATGCAAAATACCACAATCAATATGCTCTTTCTCTCCCAAGCACACAGATTCTTTCTCCAAGCTATGTAGCACCACTAGGGGATGGGGAAGAGGTGGTGTAGGCAATTCAAGACTGTCTTTCCTACTCCCTTCAGTGCCTCCTTCCTTCATATGATGTTGAAACCAGGTACTGTGATTGCTCACCTGGTTTTTGGTTCTTATGAAGGTGCTTTCTTATGTGGATAGTTGTTAATTTGGTGTTCCTGTGGAGGGGAGGACAATTACTGGAGGGTTCTATTCAGCCATCTTGGTCTACTTTCATTCCATTAATATATTATCTTATTTAGACATTCAATAATTTTCAGAGGTATTTTATAAATGAGAAAATTGTTTAAGTCACTCAAGTCACATAATTATAAAAAGTGGGTTTGGGATTTGAATACTGGTTCATATGTCTTCTGAGCTAGGGCTCTTTAGCACTATTACACTTATTGCCTCTAAAATTTGCATTGGAACTTTTCATTTTTGACAGCACTGCTCAATATCTAAATTCGACAAAACTAACATTTTTTCAGTCTGTACTAATTGTTTTCATACCAGTTGGTTAGTGATTATAAAACATTGGCTTGTAGAATTTTCTTACAGAATTAAATTTACATGAAGCTATTTTAAAGAATAGTAAGAAAAGATTAAGAACAATTTCCAGTAAGCCCAAAGATTTCGTCTCTTTTCATATGATCTAGTAATTATTTTTATGGTGACTATGCTTGTTGTCCATTCATTTCTTGATAAAAGGAATTAAAGGAGAATCTATTTTCAGTTTAGCAGAATCTTTATTACCCTCTATAACCTCTCAGTTTAGTGGACAGTTTTTCTTGTAGTTAAATTAAGCTCCTTGTGTTGCAACTTGAATTTGTTCTTGTGTGTATCCAGCTAAAATGAAATTCCTCTTTAGTGTCTTCAGAGTAATTATTTGAAGAATGAATAAGTATAGGAAATAAGAATATTGATTCTTTTATTAAATATAAAAATTTTGGACTTTCAAAGCATTCTGCAGACTGTTAGATATGCCCTGGTAGTTGAATCAACTTTTAATTTCCTTTATTAAAAAAATAAATAAAAATAAATTGAAAAACTAAAAATAAATAATAAGAGTTGATCTAAGAAATTAAAAATACCAAAGTTTGGAGAAATATAAAGCATATGAGAATATTGAAAGCTAGCAGTGTTTATTACCAATTCAGTTACAATTTATTACTAATTCAGTCTACAAAGAAAACATGAGAACATTTTTAATAAAGGTCAGAAAAATTAAGGGACGCATTTCTGTCATATATTTTATTATCTCCCTAGGATAGATTTTTAAGACAATATTGACAAGAAATAATTTTTGTGTGATTTTATATTTCCTCTGCTATTTGGAGTGGGAAATTTAATGGATCTCTTCTAAAACACGGTGTTTTTTTTTTTTTTTTTGGAGATGGAGTCTCGCTCTGTCACCCAGACTGGAGTGCAGTGGCGCCATCTCAGCTCACTACAAGCTCTGCCTCCCAGGTTCATGCCATTCTCCTGCCTCAGCCTCCCGAGTAGCTGGGACTACAGGCACCCATCACCACACCCGGCTGATTTTTTTTTTTGTATTTTTAGTAGAGACGGTGTTTCACTGTGTTAGCCAGGATGGTTTCAATCTCCTGACTTCATGATCCTCCTGCCTCAGCCTCCCAAAGTGCTAGAATTACAGGTGTGAGCCAGCATGCCTGGCCACAAATATTTTTTAAATGTGTGAAAATAAAGGCCATAGAAAAGCTAGTGATATACATGAACAAAATAGAATGAGCTAGATGTCCTCCCCATACACTACTCAACCTGGAAATTCTGAATAAAATATAATAAGTAATTGTTAACTCTTATCCAAACTCAAAAGGAAGAGCATATCAGAGGTATCAGAAATGAAACAGGACTAGGGTTACAGTTCCACTCCTAGGAATCTATCCAAGAGAAACAAAAACAGGTCCACACAAAAACTTCTACATGAATGTTCATAGCAATAATATTCATAATAGTGAAAAACTGGAAACAAATGACTATCAACTGCTCAACAGATAAAGTGTGTTTTATCCATACAATGAAATGTTAGCAACAAAAAGAAATGAAGTATTGATACATGTTATAACGTGGATGAACCCTGAAAATATGTTAAGTGAAAGAAGCCAGATACATAGGACCACATATTGTTTGGCTCTATTTACATGAAATATCCAGAATAGAGCAAATCCATAGAGACAGAAAGTAGATTGGTAGTAGCCTGAAGCCAGGTAGACTTGGGGGTAGAAAGGGAGGGTGACTGCTAGTGGGTACGGGGGATCTTTTTTAGGTAAGAAAAATGTTCTAAAATTGCTTGTGGTGATGGTTGCACAGCTCTGTGAATATACTAGAAACCATTGAATTGTATACTTTAAATAGGTGAATTGTGTGATATCTGAATTATATCTCAATAGAGCTAATACTTAAAAAGAAGAAGAAATGAAGTAAAAAGCAATACCAGAATAAGGAGAATAATAATGATATCATGGCTGCCAAAGAGGCTTTCAAATAGGAATAGGGCTAAGTGGTCTAATGCTGGATTTTAATATCTGTTTGGGGACAACGGACGTGGCTGCAGGCATATGTGAGGTGGAGAGGTTTTAATTAAGATTCCTGCATGAAGAATAGAGTCTGGAAGTGCTCCCTGTTCCCATAGACTAAAAAATGTTTGCCCACAAGCCCAGAGAAATGATGAGAAAGCTTACTGTCTCCCTGGAGCTTGGGGTGGGAAAGAAACTGTCACCATGAGGAATCAAATGCCCCACATTGCTCAGGTGCAGGTGTGAGGGTCCATGTTGATGCCGTCTGTAAAGGTAGTAACCAAAAAGTACTAAGTTAACATGAAAAACTTATCCGGGATCATTTAGTTACTTGGAGGCTTAGTAGAAAACACCAACCTTGAAAACCAATCTGTGGCAAATACTTTTACAAGATCAGTACACTAAATATCCTATCTGAATATTTGGTCATTGTAAAAAGTAATAAACCATATCTAGGGGGAAAAAACCATAAGAGATTTGGCAGATACAACATTTAGAAGAAATAGAACTTCAAGAACTAAAAATAATAGAACAATTTGAGACTATCAAATAAGTATGTTTAAGGTTATTAAAACTTACGAGGAATTAAAAACTGGATGACTGTGATAGAGGAGAAAATGAACTGATAGATCTGAAAGAAAAATCAAACAAACAGAACTTTTTCAATTGAAGAATATAGTCATTGAAAGAAAACAAACAAATGGGCAAACCATCAAACAAAATTCAATAAGCACTTAATTAGTAAATTAGACTATTGAAAAGAGAATGAAGTGGAGGGAAAATAGCCTGGGATGCAGCACAGCAAAGTGAAGAGATAGGAAACCTGAAAGGGTTGTTAATAGACATGTAGAATAAGATAAGAAAATCCAACATATGTCTAATAGGAATTTAAGAGGAGAGAATAAAGAGACTGAGGGAGAATAATTGTTCAAAGAGGCAATGGTTAGGAGAATTCCAGAACAGAAAGCAGAAAGACATGAGTCTACAGATTGAAGAAATATATCAGTTCCCAAGTAGGACAAATAAAAACAAATCAACACCTACATACATTGTGATGATACTGCACAGCATTAAAGACAAAGAGAAAAACTTATAACGGAAAAAGATACAAGAGAAAAAATATCAAGCCGACAACTTTACATCAGCAATAGTAGATTCCAGGATTGGATAGTATCCTGAAAGTGTTGAGAGAAAATAACTATCAATGCCAGAAGTCTTTGCCTAGCGGAATACATTTTCAGCTAAAGACTGAGCTTACTACGTTTAGTAGTTTTTTCAGCACTACTTAAAGAACTACTAAAGGATATATTTCAGTAAGCAGGAGACTGAATGCAGAGAAAAAGACTGGCATGCAGGAAACTACGGTGAGAAAGGAAATAGGCAAATATATTGTTAAATTTAAATGTATTGTGAAAAACAAAGCAATAAAAATGAATACCAATATAGGGAAGTATTTAACAACAGGGTGAAGCTAAAAACTTATAGAAACTGGAAAAAGAGATTAATGCATTCTTAGGTTCTGTTGTTTAAGAAGAGAATAGAAGTATTGAATAATTTTAGACTTCATTAGTTCAAGTATGTGTGTGTAAATTTTGAGTAACCACAAATAAAAAAGGAAATAAATCAATAAATCCAGTGGTGGTAGAGATAAGCAAATAGGAATGTTATACCTGTCAGCACAACATAGGTGGAAATGAAAGAAAAAATAAAGAGTAAACATGAAATAATGTTAGAAGTGAGCACAAATATTACACAAGATTAAACTTTCCAGATAACAGTTAGAGATTCTGATTAAGATTTTAAAAGACAAAAACCAATTATATGTTGCTACAAGAGTCACATTTAAAAGATAATATAGAAAGATCAGAGGTGAAGGTGTAAAAAGAAGAACAGGCAAATACTAACCAAAAGGGAAGAAATATATTACTATTAATATACTTCAAGGCCAAAAGCATGATTGGGGATGAAGAAGATGAACAAAAAATTCATTTAGTAGATTTAATACTCCTTAGCCATTTATACCTAAGAAGGAACACTGTATGACAGAAACAATCAGAATTGAAGACAGGAGAAATTGACAAATCAACAGTTATAATGAGAGTTTTCAAAACTCACTTTTTTCAGAAACTGACAGATCATATATTCTAAGAGTTAGTAAAGATAGAGATTTACCAAAACCATTAACAAACTTGATATAATGGACTTTATACCCAGTGGACAATGAATATGCATTCTTTTCAAGCACACATGAGACATTTGTACCATGTATCAAAAACTGACCATAAACTAGATAAAAAATCAGTTTTGTCCAGGTGTGGTGGCTTATGCCTGTAATCCCAGCACTTTGGGAGGCCGAGGTGGGTGGATCATGAGGTCAGAAGTTCAAGACCAGCTTGGCCAAGACGGTGAAACCCTGTGTCTACTAAAAATACCAAAAAAAAAAAAAAAATACTTGGGTGTGGTGGCACGTGCCTGTAATCCCAGCTGCCTGGGAGGCTGATGCAGGAGAATCACTTGAACCCGGGCAGTGGAGGTTGCAGTGAGCCAAGATCACACCATTACACTCTAGCCTGGATGACAGAGCAAGACTCTGTCTCAAAAAAGAAAAAAAGAAAAAAATCGGTTTTTCAGTAAATAGCAAAGAATATTTGTCATGAAGATCACATTCTCCAACCAAGAAGCAACAGAATTCATAGCAATAACAAAAAATACACTTAAAAGCCTATTTAGTTGGAAAATTTAAATCAGACATCAAAAGAAGAAATTAGAATGAAAATTGTGAAATATTAACAACTCTATGACCAAAACTGAATTTCAGTACTTTAATGATACACCTAAGGTAACTTTTTTTTTTTTTTAAGTTTTAAACTCACACACTTGAAAATAATAGAGAAAGAAAATTTGTGAGCCAGGCATTCAACTTAAGTTAGTAAAAAGTTACAGACTAAACCCAAAGAAAGTAGATGGAATGGAATAATGAAGTTAACGGCATAAATTCATGAACTAACAAACAAAATAATCATAGAAAAGATTAGTCCAACCAAAAGGTAGTTCTTTGAAAATATTAATAGATAAAGCCTTGGTAAATTTAATTAGTGTAAAAGAGAGGAAGAACAAATAAGTAATTTAATTTTGGAAAGGAAAAAGCATAACTGAAAATAAAGTCAATATTTATGAAAACTGTACTAAAAAAGACAATTTTCTGGAATCATGTGTATTACCTAAATTGGTCAAGAATGAATAGAAAATTCAAATCGACCCATAACCATTAAAGGAATAAAGTTGGTAGTTAAAAAATTTCATTAAAAAAGACCATTCCTGAGTGGTTTTATTGTCAAATTGTACCAAATTGTCAAGAAATTTAGAATCCCTGCCTTAAATAAACTTCCAAAGAATAGAGAAATGGTGAAAACATAGAAATTCACTTTGAGTCTAGTATAACCTAGACACCTAAAGCAGATAAGAATAATTTATGAAAGGAAAATTATAAATTATGCAATTACAAATGCTCATGGAGTGGATGCAAACATTCTGAGTAAAATATTAACAAATCATGAGCAATTATGAGTAATTTCAAATTATGAACAATTTTATAGTAATCATACCTTTTACTATCAAGGTAACATTATTGTGATCCTAGAATGAATCATTTTTAGATGCATTTTATTTATTTTTTTCTTTATTTTTCTTTCCATCAACTTCTGAGTTCTGAGGTACATGTGCAGGAGGTGCAGGTTTGTTACATAGGTGTGCCATGGTGGTTTGCTGCACAGATCAACCCATCACCTAGGTATTAAGCCCAGGATCTATATTAGCTATTCTTCCTGATGCTCTCCCCCTACCCGCCCACCTCAAGAGGCTCCAGTGTGTGTTATTCCCCATTATGTGTCCATGTGTTCTCAACATTCAGCTCCCATTTATAAGTGAGAACATGTGGTGTTTGGATCTCTGTTCCTGTGTTATTTTGTGGAGGATAACGGCTTCCAGTTCCATCCATGTCCCTGCAAAGGACATTATCTCATTCCTTTATGGCTACATAGTATTCTATGGTGTATATGTACCACATTTTGTTTGTCCAGTTTATCATTGATGGGCATTTGGGTTGATTCCATGTCTTTGCTATTGTGAATAGTGCTGCAATGAACATAAGCATGCATATAACTTTATAACAGAATGATTTATATTCCTTTGGGCATGTACCCAATAATGGGATTGCTGGGTAAAATAGCATTTCTGCCTCTAGATCTTTGAGGAATCATCACATTGTCTTCCACAATGGTTGAACTAATTTACACTCTGACCAACAGTGTAAAAGCATTCCTATTTCTCCACAGCCTAGCCAACATATATTGTTTATTGACTTTTTACTAATTGCTATTTTTCTGGCATGAGATGGTACCTCATTGTGGTTTTGATTTGCATTTCTCTAATGATCAGTGATGTTGAGCTTTTTTTCATGTTCGTTGGCTGCCTAAATGTATTCTTTTGAAAAGTGTCTGTTCATGTCCTTTGCTCACTTTTTAATGGGGTGGGTTTTTTTCTTGTAAGTTTGTTTAAGTTTCTTGTGGATTCTGGATATTAGACTTTTGTCAGATGGATAGATTGCAAAATTTTTTTCCCATTCTGGATGTTATCTGTTCACTCCGATGATAGTTTCTTTTGCTGTGCAGAAGCTCTTTAGTTTAATTAGATCTCTTTTGTTAATTTTTTTCTTTTGATGCAATTGCTTTTGGGTTTTCCTCATGAAATCTTTGCCTGTGCCTATGTCCTGAATGGTATTGCCTAGATTCTCTTCCAGGGTTTCTATGGTTTTGGGTTTTACATTTAAGTTGTTAATCCATCTTTAGTTAATTTTTGTATAAGGCATAAGGATGGGGTCCACAGCCAATATCATACTGAATGGGCAAAATCTGGAAGCATTCCCCTTGAAAACTGGCACAAGACAAGGATGTCCTCTTTCACCACTTTTATTCAACACAGTATTGGAAGTTCTGGCCAGGGCAATCAGGCAAGAGAAAGAAATAAAGCACATCCAAATAGGAAGAGAGGAGGTCAAATTATCTTTGTTTACAGATGACATGATCCTATTTCTAGAAAATCCCATTGTCTCAGCCCAAAAGTTTCTTAAGCTGATAAGCAACTTCAGCAAAGTCTCAGGATACAAAATCAATGTGTAAAATCACTAGCATTTCTATACACCAACAACAGGCATGCAGTGAGCCAAATCATGAATGAACTCCCATTCACAATTGCTGCAAAGAGAACAAAACACCTAGGAATACAGCTAACAAGGGAATTGAAGGACCTCTTCAAGGAGAACTACAAACCACTGCTCATGGAAATTAGAGAGGACACAAACAAATGGAAAAACATTCCATACTCATGGATAAGAAGAATTAGTATGAAAATGACCATACTTCCCAAAGTAATTTATAGATTCAATGTTATTCCCATTAAACTACCATTGACTTTCTTCACAGAATTAGGAAAAACTATGTTAAAATTCATAAAAAACTAAAAAAGAGCCTGTATAGCCAAGACAATCTTAAGAAAAAAAAAAGCTGGAGACAACACACTACCTGACTTCAAACTATATTACAAGGCTACAGTAACCAAAACAACACAGTGCTAGTACAAGAACAGACACGTAGACCAATGGAACAGAATAGAGAACTCAGAAATTCTAAGATCACACATCTACAACCACCTGATCTTTGACAAACCTGACGAAAACAATGGGGAAAGGATTCCCTATTTAATAAATGCTGCTGGGAGAACTGGCTAGCCACATGCAGCAAATATTCTTTTCAATTTATTTATTTATTTTTTTTGAGATGGAGTCTTGCTCTGTCGCCAGGCTGCAGTGCAGTGGCACGATCTCGGCTCACTGCAACCTCCACCTCTCAGGTTCAAGCAAGTCTCCTGCCTCAGCCTTCTGAGTAGCTGGAGCTACAGGCGTGCACCACCAGGCCCAGCTAATTGTTTTTTGTATTTTCGGTACAGATGGGGTTTCACCATGTTGGCCAGGATGGTCTCGATCTCTTGACCTCGTGATCCACCCGCCTTGTCCTCCCAAAGTGCTGGGATTACAAGTGTGAGCCACCGTGCCCGACCTAAATTTGTATTTTTAATTGACAATTTTACTATGGGCAAAAGGATTTCAACCTATGAATCTTAGGGAGGACACATTCAATCAGTCAGAAAAAGGTAATGTTTATTTCTGAGATTTCCTCTTTTCACTTCCATCTATTAAAACATATCTTTCTTATTTATCTCAAATGTAGGTATATTATATTTAAAGGTTCATGAGCAATTTGGAATTACCTCAAGAATGTCAAGGTTTGATATTCTGTTTTTTAATTCATCTTCTTATTAGTTGAGGAAAAATTATTCTACTAAATGGAGAAAAAGTGTTTGATAAAATTCAATAGCCAGCCCTAAAAACAAACCAAAGCAAAAACAAATATAACTTAGTAAATCTGGAATATTCTTAGTAAACTACAAGCAGAAAGGAAATTCTTTAATCTCATAAAGAATATCTACCAGAAATTTACAGCAAATATTCTTAAGGCAAAATACTTGTCACATTTTCTTTAGAGTTAGGACCAAAACAAGAATATCTTTCAGCACTTTTAGCAAGTACATTTGCCCTAGGTTATATGATTAGCTACATTAAAAATACAAGAGAAAATACAAATAAATTATTTAGAACAAATAGAGTTTAGTGAGGTTATTTATACTCCCAAATCAATGACATTTCCTATACTCCAGTAACAATCAATAAGGAAATATAATTTTTAAAAATTTCATTCAAAATAATAGTAGAAAGCTTTGCACAACTAAGAATAATCTAATAAATATCATGTAATGCTTTAATGGAGAAAAGTATACATCTTTATTCAAAGTTATAAAAGAAGACAAATAAATGGAAGATTTAGTATTGTAAAACTGTTTCCCTCCAAGTTGATATTTAGATATAATTAGTCAAAATCCCACAAGATTATAGTGAATTTGACAAGCTGGTCTCAAAATTGGCATGGAAGTATAATAGGCTACTAATAGCCAAGAAATTTTGATAAGATTAATGAGGGTATACTTAACCTATTAGATATCAATATTAATTCTAAATCTGTATTCATTATAATAGTATGTGTTGGTACAGGGAAAAACAAATAGACTATTAGAATAGATACAGAGCACAGAAACAAACCTACATATTTGTGAGAACTTAGTATATAAGATGTAGCATTGTAAATCAATGTTGGCTTGTCAATACATGGTTATAAATAAAGATTTTCCAATTTATCCCACACAAAAGGTAAAATCCAGTTATATGACACTATAAACTACTTTATAAGTTATAACCCACAAACTAGGAAAGATGTTTTGGATGATTTTTGATTAAGAAAGCACTGGCATTCAGGGACTATAAAGTAACTACAAATTAATAAGGAAAAAGAATTAACTCCAAATGGGCAAAGAATGAATAGATATTTATGCAAAGTTTAAATAATTCAAATGACCAATAAACATTTGAAAACATGCTCAGCCTCATTAATAATCAGTGAAATGAAATTTAAAATAATAATCAGCTATCATTTTATACTTTAAATTTTTTACTTGTAGTAACATTTTTTATGAATGGAGAGGAATGTAATTTCATCACTGCTGTTGGGATGGAAGTTTCAACAGTTTTTTTTTGCCTAAATATATTATTACTCTATGATTTGACAATTCCACTTCTCGATATCTGCTTTAAAGATAGACTTACATGTGTATATAAGGAGGTATATACAGGAATGTTCACTGTATCATTGTAATAATGAAGAATTGGAAACAGCCCATCTGTCCATCAGTAGGAAATGAATATATAAATTGATATATTTGTATGATAAAATAATTTACAACAGTCAAAATGAAGTAAGTTGCATGCATTTACAGTTATCTATCATAACACCTTAATATTGAGTAAAAAAGTTGCAAAAGGAGATTCAGTATATGATGTGATTTGTACAAAATGTTAAATGTGATAAACAGTACAATATATTTTTTATTCATACACACTTACGTAGCAAAATATAAAAATATGGACAACAAATACACACCAGTTTCAAGGTTAGAGTTCTCTCTAGAGATGGAGAGAGATGAATAGAATGTTTAATAGTCTTCATAATTTTCTATAATCTCTTTAATTTTCTGAAATACTGAAATATTTCATAATTAAAAAAACTGAAAAACAAAAATTGGTTACTTTTCATTCTCATACATATTCACTGAATCAAATAGTTGACTAATTTTTCCAGTGTTATCAACTGACCACAAAAAATTCTTATTTTGTAATCACTCCATGACCCTTTCAACTAGAAATGAATAGAAAACAGCTATTTTGTTTATGCATCATCTGTTGAGTTTAGCAAGGCTGCAGACTCAAAAGCCTTCTTACTAACCTTCTCTTTAGAATAACACAGTGGCAGGAAGGAACCCAAAATTATTGATTCATAAAGTATTTTATTGTTTTTTTAAAAAAAAAACTCATTTTATATTGAATCAGTGAAAAGGAATTGGATTTTGTGGAAAATTTTAAAACAAACATTGATATAACTTATTTTCACAAAGAACTTTATGAAGCAGACAAAAATCAAGATAAATTATCTAACCTAAATTTATTAAACATTGAGTTTATAAATATTAGTTGGGCTTTTTTTTGTTAATGTAATTTTTAAAATATCACTCATATATTTATGCCAATGGCATTAAGATTGCAACAATTTTTATCTGATGAATTCCCTAAGTACCTCATCCTCATACCCTATAAAGTGAACATCAATTCAGAGCTTGATGCATAATTCATTTTCTAGACATTTGTAAACCTGAGGAACTACAGGGAAGAATTTAGAAGATTAGGAAATTCTCAAGTAATTTGCATTCCAAAAATACTTTTATTGTAGAAAAATTAATTAGAGGTCTCTGTAATAAGAGTTCTACTTCACTCAAGTGTTTGGTATTTCATTAATTTATTTACTTCTGGAAAATTTTGAGGTGATCCTCAAAATTCAATTCTATGCTGATCCTTTAGCACAGAAATTTTAGACACAGTTGTAAGAGTTTAATCAGAAATGAAGATTAACTGTTTCTGATATTGAAGTAATGAGGAAATTATTCTATTTGTCAAAAACTCAATTTGCATGCAGTTGTCAGAAATTCCCTTTGGATATAAAATATTTGGGATCAACACCTATGGATAAATAAATAAATAAGCAAAGTGAGTAACATCTATATAAAATTTTCACTGTTTAAGCTGTTAGTAATTAATTTTAAAAATCACAAGTCTGATCGAACTAATCATACACAGTGTTAAAACTAGAAGATTATTGTTGGTGTGAATTTTTTGTTGTCTGGAAGAATCGTTTTGCTTGCAGGAAAGACTATTTGGGGATTTATTTTTGGTTTTAGAAGCTGGCATTCAGTTTTATGGTGTTATAATTTAAAAAATTGAGACCTTCTTTAGGCTTTTCTGTTCATTCATTCAGTTAACTATGTAAGTCTAGCAGATATTAACCATCACTTTGAAAAGCCTTTGAAAAATGTCTGGTTCCATTTATAAAACTCGGCTAAATAAAATACCTTCAAACATTTGAAATGGTTAATAAATTTTATATATTGTTTCCTTTTACATACTTTGGATGTCTCAATGAACAAACAAAACCTTCCTGAGTAATTAAGGCACAAATATAGTCAATTAAATTTATAAATAGGCTGTACCATAAATTATCTTAAATATTCCAATACTATTTGGAAATTTAAGATTTAAAATCACAAGTACAAATTAATTAATCAATTACATTCTGAATAGAAGTCAAAGACTGCCTAGTATCCACAGAACCCCTCAGTCTTTTTCTTTCACTCTTGCAAGTAACACCCCTCCTTCCTAGCGCTGGTGATGTGAGAATACCCCGACCCTTAACAGACTTCTTTGCTACCATCCTGAGAAGTCCTATCTTATTCCTTAATCTAAAGATCCTATCCCACTCCTGTGACAAAGACAGTTATTTGCGTTAGCTTAGTGTAACTACTATACTTCTCTTTTTGACTTTCCCAGAGTGTAGCTGAATCTTTCTTTAGTTTTTCTTATAACCAAAACCTAATGAGACTAGAGCTTTTCCAATTTTTTTTTGTTGGTAAAATGAATAAATATGATAAATGTAATAATTACTTTTAAAAGACACCAGGCTGTTCATAATAGTTATAAGTACACTTGGAAAATTTGCAACAGGGTATGTGCTTGCTTTGGTTTTGGGAAGCTAGGATAGTAAAGAGTAATATTTCATTCATTCATTTATTTGCTTATTTTACCAAGGCCAAGGGAGGAGAGGGAAAAAATAAGTAAAAAATATCAGTGAGCAATGGGAAAGGAAACAGTTAACAAATCCCTTAAAATCCAGGAAAAAAATTAGGATTGGCCTTACACCGCCTGATATGTTCCATTTTCCTCATTTGTTGGATGGGCCAGTATCTTAGAATGTTCTAGATGTAAATATATTTCAACTTCCTTGGTACCTTGATTGATATTGCTGTCTGGGTGCTAGATTGAGAATAATGGTGAAGTGTGTTCAGTCTCAGAAGGAAAGAATGCCCTATTAGCAAGCAATGCCTGCCAATATTGGTGAAGGGAAGGCATCCGTGCCATATTTGCTATTCTCTGCAGGCTTTGGAGTGTAATCTAGAAATGTTTCCACACAGGGCCAACATTAAGATGTGTTGACACGCAGACTATATACGTGTTGGGGAAGCCTGGGAATAGCCAACAAGTCTAAGCCTGAAAATAGTCAATGCCAGTCAGGGTGTTCTGACAGGAAGTAATAGGGATGCAGCTGCAGGGCCTAATGTTACCAAGCCAGCCTCTGGTTTGTGGGATAGTGGTAAGAGGAAGGTTAAGCAGGGTGCCAAGACAAGGGCTCAGGAAACAGGACAAAAGCCAGCTATTGGACTGGGAGATAAGGTGAGGGCTTGGTTTTTGAACGAGGCAGTGATCTAAGAACTATGACGAAAGTTCAGAGATGAGCAGCAAAGTCTGACTTCATGCTGAACTGAGGAGTTACTAGCATAGAGCTATGTAATTTCCTCTATCATAGCCTAGGCCCAAAATGAGGCAGGAGGTAAGAGATAATAATGTCAGATATATGGACTGGAATTTTACAGGGACAGGAAATCTGACAGTTCTTTACATGCTTGTCTATTTGCTGCCTCATGCTCTCCAATCTTTCCACTATTAGAGATTATACTCAAGACTGTAGGAATCACCACCAAAGATTTAGAGCTGTGAAAAACCCAAATTGTTTAAAAGTGGTATGTTCTTAGTATGTTTATTTGGAACGTTATATCACATAGTGGTTAATTTAAAGTGGTATAGTTAAACCATGGGTACCATGGATTAAAAGTCATATCCGTTGGCTCACTTGGGACCATAAATTCTAGCTATAGCTTTATTTGTGTAGGTGGGAAACTATGTTTCATGCCTCAGGCACATGATGCTCATAATCCGTTTGTTTGAAGAATAACTGTCACTCACTAGATGGTTGTTTTGACAACATACACATAGAATAGATAAGCAGATATATTTTTTAATAGGAAGAACGAAGCTAGATAATGTTAAATTCATTCAGAAGCTTATGTTAGAAACTAAAGAAAATCTCATTAATCCATCTCCACTGGTTTGAATTTATGATTGCCAACCTAGAACAGCCAAGTGTTGTTGTTTAATCTACTTAAGAAAATTTGATAAGCCAGTATACTAATTGTACTTAAGAAAGCAAATTTTAAATTTTATTTTGCAAAGTGTTGTACATAAATCAGTACTGCTAATTACAAATAAGTTTTACTTATTAAAGGAGATTCCACAAACATATAATTCACACGTACATTAAGTTTATATTTATTCTAAAATTTTGTTTGATTTAGATTTTACAGATCCAGACTGATCTTCCTTAATTAGTTGTAATTAGTAAGGAGTGTGTGTGTGTGTGTGTGTGTGTGTGTGTATTTAAGAATCGCAGAAAGCTTTGACTTAAGCCATTTCCCCCTTCCTCCCTCTTCATCCTCCAGGTTTTTACCCAGTCTTGCTAGGTCAGCATTAGAAAAAAATCTGGCAGATGCTACAATAGAAATAAATACTGATGACAATTTGGAGCCAGAACTGAAGGATTACAAATGTAAGTATTTGATTTGGCTCTTTTTTTTAAGTGAAATAATAATTAACAAACATTTGATGCTGTTTATTTTAATTCCAGTTAAAATAAACAGTTAAACAGTTTTTGGTTTTCATCTACTTTGTTTTATATATTAGTTTGAAGAAATGAATCTGATTTTTTTAAGTTTGAAAAACACAAGTAAAATCTTAGAATATTTACTTCATTTCAGTACATACTAGATACAATTCCCCTCACCCTTAAGACTCACAATTGATACTAATTGATACTCTGAGAATTCCTGCTGTAAATCAACTTGTCTAATTTTGAGAAATGTACTTTTTCCAAATGTATTTCACCAGTGAATCTAGAATGCTGTTTTCTTTGCATGTTTACATTTTGAGGGTCAGCGATGTCCTATAAGATATGTTGGAGAAACTTTCCTAGGTTGATACAAACTAAAATAATAATCAGAATATGCATGCCCTCTTATTCATTCCATTTCCACCTGTATTGTCTTTTGTGGTACTTTTCTTCTGGATAGCCATAAATATAATTTTCAGTTTCGGGGAGATTTAGTTCTTCATTTAAAAGCTTTCTATTCTTCAATTAGAACACAATGAAAGATTTTCAATTTTTTAAAAATGTAAATACCTATTTTATTGAAGCAGCCAATGTGTGACTACTCTTTAAAAGGGACTGTTGTGGCTTTCTTTGTAGCAGATGCTTTTAATCATTAGGGCTGCACTGAGACAAGAATTTGGTATTGAGGAAATAAGATTTTTTTTAGAGTCAAATTATAAACTCAGCATACTGAGGGATCTGAATACAGATACGCAGAGTCAACTCAAAGAGAAGGAATAATATTGTATTCTCAATATTATTTGAGTGAGTCTATTAAATATCCAAAGAACGACTGTCATTCAGACTGCCGATTGTTTGGTCTTGGTTACTGGCTAGTGTTAGCAGTGCCCATCTAAGCCTCATGTAGGGGATAAGGAGCCTAAGTGAAGAGACTTTTTACTTGTCTGGTTCCATTCATCTTTAAGGCCATCTCTCTTATGAAGAATTCATTTAATTAACTCTCCGTGTTCACACAACAATCTTCTGATGAGGTACTGGCTTTCCATGCAGGTTCCCTTCAATTAATATGCTGGTTATGGCAACCAGTATATCATAGTCCATGTGAAAGTTACAGTTGTCATATAATATTTTGCAATTCTGATTTTACATCATTATATATATAGAGAAACCAGAATATGTATCTTTAATATTCTCCTGAAAGTTAGATTTGCCCTTAGTTGTGATGACAAAATCAGGTTTACAGCCTACTAGGCTGAGAAACTTGACAAATGTACCAAAATAATGCCATTCTGTGGGTTTCTTAGAAGATAGCTAGCCAACTTTCTCCCACAGAAGTGCTAGCATCACCATTCTCTGAGTGCATTTCCCTTTTTGAGGTTGACATTTTAACAATAAACATTGGATGAGTGAATAAACTTGTCCTTAAGCCGTAAATCTGCTGAGTGGATGTATTCCGTAAACTAAACCATAGATAGCATCAGATGCTGTTTGAATCTGAAATTATGTGTGTCATCTCAACATGCAACTAGATAGTAGATTCACTGCCATATCCCTGCTCTTTCTTTCCCTTTACAGTTTTATACTGGGTCTATTTCAGAGACCTAATGGTGGTAAATAAATAGTAAACTCTCAGTGTTACAGCTCATGGTTTTCCTTCCCTGTAGAACTTGTAAACAAAAGGAAAATGGCAAGGATCTATTGAAGGGCGAAGTTACTGTTAAGATCTACTGTGCTGTGTCAAATGTGTAGCACTCCACAGTGATTAAACAGGATGACAATTATTTTTAGCTCAGATTTGTTCACAGCACTCCATAGAAGCAAAAGTTGCTTTTCTCCATTGTCTTCCAAAACGCTTAGCACAAAAGTCGCATTCTAGTGGAGAAACAAACTGTAATTTTCTTACTTGAAGTAGAAAAAAAAAAAGATGGGTGAATTGTTTAAGGCGTTGTATATTTGCTTGCTAAGGTATTTCCACAGGTTGCAATGTTATTTGGAGTCAAAATATTAAATATATCCCATATGGTAGAAAGAATGTCAGACTAGACTAAATTGTTTTAAGCTCTACTCATATTAGCTGGGTGATTTTGAGCAAATTACATAGTGTATGTTCTTAGTATTCTCATTATTCTTTCCTCTTTGAATTGCATGAAGTCATATGAGAAAAAAATGAGGTGAAGCTTTAGCTTGGGATCTGGCACATAGAAGGTCCTTAATAAATGATAGCTTCTATCATTGTAATCATTAGTATTACTAAAATACCTACTACTATTAATGTTATTAATATTATTGAACTTGGAACATGTCAGTGAACATGTCATGCATATCTGGTTACTGTAGGGAATACATAGCAGATATGTTCCCTGATTTCAAGAGCTTTATTACTTAGTTTTCTGGCTTCCAGGAACTAATAATGTATTCTAGGTCAACCTATTTAAAGCAAATAAGGAACAATATAATAATTATTATTACAAAATAATTGCATAAGACAGTTTCCCAATCTGGCTGGGTATGAAAATCACCTGGGTGATTATTTGAAAATATAGGCCTCCTGGACCAACCTCGAAAATAGTAATTTTAAAATATTTATTTTGTTATGTTTTAGTGTGTGTGTGTGTATATATATATATATATATATATATGTGTGTGTATATATATATATATATATATATATATATATATGTATATGTATATGTATAAAGAGAGAGAGAGAGAGAGAGACAAGGTTGCACTCTGTTACCCAGGCTGGAGTACAGTGGTGCAATCATGGCTCACTGTAGCCTCAACCTCCAGGCTCAAGCAATCCTCCTGCCTCAGCCTCCTGAATAGCTGGGACTACAGGCGTATGCCATCAGGCCTGGATAATTTTTAAAATTTTTTGTAGAGACAGGGTCTCTCTGTGTTACCCAGGCTGGTCTTGAACCCCTAGGCTCAAGTGATCCTTCTGCCTTGGCCTCCTGAAATGCTGGTGACAGGCATGTGCCACTGCACTTGGCTGAAAATAGTAATTTAAGAGTTCTGTGGTAGGTTAGTTCATCTGTATTTTTGACTAGAGCTATAGGAGATTATCTTAAGGGGTTTCTAAATTGGTGCACACTAAAAGATAATATTCAAGGTACTTTGGAGCTTTTGAATTTAGGTGTATTTAACTTATGTATGTGTTATAGTTTCTGACCAAACAAGCTTGTGAAGGTGGCTTGACTGTATTCTGGTTTTTTGTTTTGTTTTTTTTTTTAGTTTCTCACAATTATATATATACTGTTTTCTATCTACATTGTTTTAAAGAAAATTTGTTACCTTTTGAAGCATTTTGTATCTAGAGCTGTGGTGTTTTATTACTACTCTCCAGCTTATTTCTTTAGATGTTAAATTAAAATCCACAGATATTACTGAAGCTGTATTGCATTCTGTGTTGGGTGGCTTGGCATCTCTGAGGACAGTGCTATGAATAATTATCCGTCCTGTGTGAAATGTTTAGGTGAAGTAACATCTGGAACTCTGAGGATTGGTGCTGTTAGTGCACCGATCTATAATGCACATGAGAAAATGAAAGTGCCTGATGTTCTTTTCTATGACAACATTCAGGTAAGAGTATTGCTTTGTGTTCTTGGATAAATCACTTAAATTGTGGTAGTACACTCCAATTCAAGTGAAATTGACATGTAATTATTTTTGTGATTTCCTAAATTTAATTTAGATGATGCAAAATGAAGTGTTGAACATCTTTTTTTTTTTTTTTTCTGTGATGCAGTCTCACTTTGTCACTCAGGCTGGAGTGCAGTAGCACGATCTCGGCTCACTGCAACCTCCACCTCCCAGGTTCAAGCGATTCTTCTACCTCAGCCTCCCGAGTAGCTGAGACTAGAGGCATGTGCCACCATGCCTGGCTAATTTTTGTATTTTCAGTAGAGACAGGGTTTCACCATATTGGCCAGGCTGGCCTCAAACTCCTGACCTCGTGATCCACCTGCTTCAGCCTCCCAAAGTGCTAGTATTACAGGCGTGAGCCACCATGTCTGGCCGAACAACTTTTATTAAGACATAAGACAGAAAACAGAAAATTTTTTCCAAAGGTACTTAAAAATTGGAGGAATGGTTGCTATGATTAGGGTAATAAATTTTATATATATTAAGTATATATATAAGTACATATATTAAGTATATTAAGTATATATATAAGTACATATATATAAAATATATACACATACACACATATAATTATATATGTAATTTTATATGCAATTTTTAAATTAAACATTTTAAAAACAAAGCAGAGCTATCATCCTCTTTTACTTGCTTGTTAAAGATTTCAGTAGTTCAGAGGGATATGTCCTATGCATCCTTTTTCTCATACTCTTCTTTTTCCTGCAAGTTTCTAGTATTTTTCTTTTCTTTCCTTTTCCTTTCTTTTTTAAAGGAGGAGGGTAGAGAATTCTCTCCTTGTAAACTAGCCAATAATTATGGACCTTCCACTAAGACATATAAGTTTGTATCTAGAAAGCTTTATTGTAGATGTTTACTTTAATAAGAATTTTTTTAGAGAAAATTACCTATAATATAAAAATGTTTTCTCTTCCAACTTTTCTGTCAAGTGGCTGTGTATTACTTTTATAGTAAAACAACTACTTAAAATTTTCTATAATATATTTTAAGTTATATTAACTTTATAGGTATCTAGACATATTATTCTTAATAAAAATCTTGGTTAAAAATTCTGAAATCTGTCAAAACTATATTTTTTATGTCGTAGAAAAGAGCATAACCTTGATTTGATTTTTATTCATTTTATAGCCAATTAACTAATGTTTTATTTTTCTTCTGGAGCATTAATGCTCTTGCACAATCAGTAAACAAATGAACAGAAAATAAAGCTACTTATAAGACACAAAAGTAGAAAGAAAACTTGCCTGTCAAAGGCAAAAACATGATTATGAGGAAAACATACTATTTCCAAGCACTGATAGTATTACACTCTATTCATATAGTGGAAAGGAACAAAGAGACAAAGAACAAAGAGACAAAGAGACAAAGAACAAAAGACAATTTGAAAAACTCCATGGTGGCAAAGATTGAAAAGACTTCACAGGATATAAGAATGTAGGAAATACAGTAGCAGCAAAGACCATTGTGCCCTTGAACACAATGTCTGTTGCCATGGTGTTTGTGACATGGACATTTAGGACTCAGGGCTGCCATGAACTTTACACAGTGGCCCTGAGGGACTTTTCTTAAGCTGTCTCCAAACGTACCTTCTCTTCTTAAAGCATTATGAATTAGCCATTAATGAAAACTTTTTAGCTGTACCAATTGTACGGACAGTAGCTTGATTAAATTTGCTTCCATTGTGTATATTATTACTTCCTTTTATGCTGTACTTCATCTTTGAAGCCGTAGTCAGTGCCTCTTGCAGATTTAGGTGCTTCTGTATCATCTTGTTGTCCTATGCCCTGTTGTGTCCTTACCACATTGTGTTGAAATGGACTTTTAAAACGTGTTTTCCATATCACTAAGGCACAGCCCTATGTTTTCTTTATTTAATATTTCCAGCAAATAGTAAAGTGCCTGGCACATAGTAACTGCCAAGTAAATATGTGTTTAGTGGATTAATAAAAGAATGAGTAAGATTTTGAATGTTCTTGATAAAGAGTATTACTTCATTAAGCCTTCCATTAAGGAATATTACATTTGCAGCAGTAAGGAGGAGAAGTTGGAGGAAAGAGAAATAATAGCCTCTTAATAAGCCTAAGGAGTTTTAGATGGGTAAGAATTTAAAAATACCCATTATGAGTCTGGCCTTGTCCTAAGGTATTGGGATACAGAGATTAAAATACACACACAAGTATACGCAGCTCTAGGGCTCAAGTTGTTCTTAATCTGCAAGTAAGTACACATAGTTACTACACAGTGTGGTGGAAGTATGTGCAGTTTACTTATGGTGGCATTGATGAGGTCGATTGACCCAGATTGGAATGATCATAGAAAATTGGTCAACCAGACCCAATTAGAAGAGTCTCTCAGGCAACGAGACTAGCATTAGCAGAGACTTAGTTATATGAGACAATAGCTCATTTAGGGAGCTATATATAAATTGTTGTCACTGGTATGAAGCTGAGGTTGCAAGTGGAAGAGTGCCAAGAGAAGAGGCTGGTGAATTAGGAAAGAGTGAGATCTTTTCAGTCTTGGTAGTTAAGGAATTTGGATTCTGTTCAGAAGAATGAGGAAGTTATTGAAAGATTTTAAGCACATTTGTACTTTGGCTAACTTAGCTTTTACTCTTTAGTATTGTCTAGGAGTTAGAACTAAGGCAAAGAGAAACTAGTTAGGTGGTTATTGCGGTAGTCCAGATGAAATTTATGAAGGATCTGAACTAAAGAGGTGACAGTGGGGACAGAGTGGAGAGGACACATTCCAGGGCTATTAAGGAGATCAAGTCAGTGGAACTTTGTGTTAGATGAACAGCAGAGATTCTTTCTCAGGGAGCACAATGTCTGGTGAAAAAGTAAACAGAAGAGTAAACAGAACATTATTCTAAATCGTGCCCATGGTTGGAAACACAGTATAAAAGGAGAGTGGTAGGAGATGAGGCTGAGACTAGATCAAGAATGTAAGCAATGACCTTTGTTCCTAAAGTATTAGGAGTCATTTAAGGAATTTTGAGAAATGAGGTGACAAGATTTTGAACAAAGAAGTGTCAGTACTGTAAGAACACATTGGCTCAAGGAGAGACTGAAGTTAGAGAAGCTAATTAGCTGATACAAATCTAGGCTAGAGATGATAAAAACCTTGAAACTGTGGGGATGGAAAAGAAAGGGTAGATGCAGTTGATTTTTGGTGGCTTAACAATTCAGGTGCTGTTTAGTTGGATGTTGATAAGAGAGGAATAAGGAGGGCAGGGTGATGATAATAGGAGTTTGGTCAGCTGGTAGAAAATGGTGCCATTAACTGGAGAAAAAGATACAGGATAAAGAATGAAGTTCAGGAGAAAGTAATAAGTTGAGTTTTAGATGTGTTGAATTTAGGTGACTGGGGAATAACAAAGTGGTTTGATCACTCAGAAATAGAGGGCTGTAGTTGAGGAGGAGTTTTGCTGTTGAAGATTGGTGTAGAGCTGGTCATTGAAGCCATGAGATAGATGAGAGGATTTAAGGAGAGCAGGGTCAGAAGTGGGTCTTTGAATGCTGACATGTGGGTATCCAACTCTGCACACAGCCCTCCCTCAACCCTCAGGTGGGTGCCTGGGTACAGATAGTCACAACCTGCCCCATACCATGAATACAAGGGGAAGCATGTAAGAAGGTAGAAGGAAGGAATTGCTACAGGAAGATCCAGCTCAGAAAACTATGGGAGAAATTGTTAGGGAGGTAGGAAGGAATCAGGGGAAATGGGTAACTGGGAGAGGAGACTTTTAAGAAATTGTCTGCAGTACTAAGTGGTCAAGAGGCTAAGAAGAGAATTGTATTGGCGGTGACTTTAGCCTTAGCTAAGGTTTGTTGACTTGAATAATCTAGTTAGATATAATGAGGGCATGAAGTAGAAGGACATGAGAATTGTAAAGAAGAACACAGATATAGTTTGGATTATTTTTCGATATTTACATTGCTTTTTTCTTTGGCTATTCAGGTACTTACTCCAACTTTTCAACGTAGATTAGCCCATTTATTACTGGAAGAGCTTAGTGTTTTCTGGAATTGGCACTGACTTTTCATCTTAGTGAAAAGGAAGAGGTCTCCATGCTATATTCCCACCAGAACTCAGCTTAAAATGATGTATATCTTGGTTTGCTTAACATAGTTTCTGCTTATACTTGTTGTCCCAGCATAATTATTAATAGTGTCTCTTTTTATTCTTAAAAGCATACACCTTATATCCATTTAAAAGTATTCAAGAATAGACAATTATATACTCACCTCACTTCAAGCCTTATTAAAACTCTAGCTCCATGGCATATCTGAAAGCATTTTTGAAAATAAAAACGACCAAGATAAACATAGGGAATACTCATTTGTTCCTGAAGGAGATAAAACACTTTCTCAGTTTTTCTTCTAAGGAAGAAACTGAAAGAAAATACTATTAAATTTGACAAGTAAAAAGAAAAATTTCTGTGAGTATGTATATGTATATTTTAATATTTATATCATATATATTTATATATTTTTATATCTATATATTATATATAATTTATATGTATATTATACAATATAGATATAAAGCACCATAAACGAAATTGAAAAAAGAAAGCAGCCAGGTGCGGTGGCTCACGCCTGTAATCCCAGCACTTTGGGAGGCCGAGGCAGGCAGATCACGAGGTCAGGAGATCAAGACCATCCTGGCTAACACGGTGAAACCCTGTCTCTACCAAAAATGCAAAAAATTAGCCGGGCGTGGTGGCAGGCACCTGTAGTCCCAGCTACTCGGGAGGCTGAGGCAAGAGAATGGCGTTAACCCAGGAGGCGGAGCTTGCAGTGAGCCGAGATCGCGCCACTGCACTCCAGCCTGGGCGATAGAGTAAGACTCCGCCTCAAAAAAAAAAAAAAAAAAAAAAAAAAAGTGACGTACTGGAAAAATATCTGCAGCATGTGTTGGATGCAAAAGGTTAATTTGCCTTTTTACAAATAGGGAACGTCAATAACTTTAGTACTTATTTAGCTGCTATTTGATACAGAAAACCAAGAGAAAGTAATAGGAATATTAATTGTGCTGGAGTGTAGATCTCTTCCCAGCCCTAAAGAACCCGCATGACCTACTTACAGGTGTCTTATTTTTCAAGATACAAAAGAGCAATGTAATTTCCTCTGTGGCTATTGTGAACAACCTTAATCTTGTTCTGTTATTATATTGTGTCATAATTCAAATTAAAAAGTGTGGAAGGTAAATAATATATTTTTAATTCTGAAGCTATCCATAGCTTTAAAGGTAATGGTTAAGAACAAGTCAATGTAAAATGTTCCCTAGAAGTGTACAGTTATTTTAGGAAGCCTTTGTATATTTACATTAGCAAGTATCAATTTAAATATTAAATTATAAGCCAACTCTACATAGTATAATAGGTAAAAAAATATTTGAGTTGAATTATTAAAAACTCTGAAATGTTGGTCAGTTGCTTAGTTTTGCTCAGGTGGACTATTTCAAGTTTTCAGTATCAGTGACCTAAATGGTTATATAATTTACTTATAACCACAGATTTAATTTTGGGTTATATCAAATCGATTGATAATTGTTTATTATAATAGATATTTATATTCTATAAAGATATCTTTATAGTTAACTTTCTTATTTAACCTTGATTGTACAAAACAGTTAACCCCTAGTTCCTTTTTCTCTAGCATGTGATAGTGATGGAAGATATGCTGAAAGACTTTCTCCTTGGAGAACACTTATTATTGGTTGGCAACCAGGTGAGTTATGGCTAAAATCTAGGTACCAATGAAAAAATGATAGTAACAATTTAAAAGCAGTAAGTTTCTTCTTGTTGGAATCAGTTATTTTTTCCCCTATTAAATGACTGGTTTAATTAAAGGATGAGACTCTGCTACCTTCTAAACTTCAAAATTACCTCAAGGTTTAAATCATGCTCCATTCTGTCCCTCATCAAGTTATGTACATTCTGTCTTATAAGTATCTACTCTTCTTGTCCACATCTGTCACTCTAGCCCCAGTGATCTTCACCTGTCACCTGGATTGCAGCAGTAGTTTCCTATGATAGCTCCATCCCCACCTTATGCCCATTCTTATCTACTCTCCATTCTGTAGTATCTGTTGTCAGATTGATACTTGTAAAACTAAAATCTGATTGAGCCTCTCTTTTTTGCTGAAATTGGCTCCCCATTTCTGTTAGGTATAGTCTGAGTCTTCAGTACAGTGTACAGGATTCACTCTCTGCCCACCCCTCTATTCCTAAGCCATGGCCCCTTCTTTCTCTCACTGTGTTGGCTTGAGGCACTCTGCAGTTCCTTATCTATTCAGTTACTTATCTCTGCTCTGGTCCTCAGTACATGCTCTTCCTTCTGCAGGGAGAACTTCCTGTCCCCTTCCCATATACCCTCCCTTTAACTCATGGAAGAGAGACCTTCCCTTGTCCCTGGCTGAATAGGTTTTTCCTGCTTCTACTCCCTTTTATCTCCCTTTTGTCATACTAGTCATACCATATGACTGTCTTTGCAACTTGTCTATATGTCCCTTGAGAGCAGGGACTGTGTTTTTCTTATTTATCTCTGTTCTCAGCTCCTAGCATGGTACCTGTTACATAGTAGACACTCAATGTATGTTTATGGAGGAACGTATGAAAATTTTAGGTTTACAGGGTCCTGATAATTTTCCTCTATTGAATTTTCAGGCTCACAGTGAACAGCACTTTTGGTTTTTTAAATTGGTCTTAAATTAAGGGTAACAAAGCTTCTAAAGTTTGGTTTCTATTTTTTCTTCTTTTTTGTATTTATAAAAATAATACATATTCTTTATATATTTAGCCTCTCAAACTTATCATTTTGAAGTACTGATTTAAAAATAAAAGTAAAAATGGGCCAGTTGTGTGCTTTATTGATTTGAGTGCATAGGCTTAGAAATTAGATAACTAGAGGCTCAACAGCAACTCTTCCACATATGGTTGTGTGACTTTGGGCAAATTGCTTATCTTACTAAGGCTCAGTTTCTTGATGTCTAACCTGGGAATAAAAATAGTATGGTCCCTTTGGGCTAACGTAAGGATGTCATGAGATAATGCGTGGGAAGTGCTTCACACAGTGCTCAGTTCTGTCAGCTAAATACCTCTGTATCACTGTATAGTTTAAAAGTAATATTCTCTTGTTTCATTTTTTAAAACAAGAATTAAAACTAGAACAATAAATTATTTATGACCCTTTAATTCCCACTATTTGAAAAGTCCTACCTATTTTTCTTCACTGAACAGTAAAAGATGAACCTATATACCAGAGTGGGAAGATGAAGATCAGTTAACAGTCAGAATTTGGCTCTTGATATTGAAACCCAGGAAGTCACATTCTCATCACACTTTGAAAAACAATGGCTCTGTGGACATTCAGGTTGTATATAGCCCAAAGTACTTTGTAAATTTTTTATAAGAGTTTCACAAACTCTTTATAAGTTAAACCTTGGTGCACTCAGTGTGTCCTTTTCAGAACTTCTGCCATCACCTGAATGGCCAGAGACACAGAGGCTTTTGGCATCCCAGCAGCGGCAGACCAGCATGGAGAAGAGAATAGACCAAGACTATACAGAACTGGGGCTTGAGGAATAATTTTTCTAAGGTGCAGGTTTTTAAAAGGAAGATCCCTAGAGGTCAAGGTATGGAGTCCAAGTGGTTTTGAAATCTCTGTCATGGTATTGCTATCCTGAGGGTTTGGTGGGTTAGATGCAGTTGGTTTCTTGGCAAAGGTAGCACTTGCAATTGAGCAGGTAATAGATTAGAGTTTCAGGAGGGTCTTCTAGTTTAAAAGGTTGAAGTTAATGCCTAGCCAGTAACCAGAGAGACAGGAAGAATGTTTTAACCTCTGGAGGATTGGGGAGAGCTATTCAGAGTGAAGGGTGAAGTAGAACAGAGGTTTGCCTCTGCTTTATGATGAATGAAGCAGAGACTGTGAAAGTGTTTTGGAATTGTCCTAGGGTGCTATACAAACCTTGGCATAAAATCTAATATGCTATCTCTCTTTTGTTTCCAGTCCTAAAGAAAGGAACAAGGCATTAGAGCAAAGAGCTAGGCAGCGGGGTGGAGGGAAGGGCAGCTACAGCTCCATAGGTAGATGGTTGGACTCCAGCATCTGATAAGGATGGTCAAGCCCACTGATTTTCAAGCCTGTCTAGGACTGGTTCAGGATTCAGCTAGATAGAGCCTTCAAGTTGAAGATCCCCACGAAGAGCAAGGCAGGAGCCACGGGTTGGCACAAACTTTCATTTATCAGTTATTTTGCAAAAGCCATCTGTGGTCAGCAGATCACACTGTCTTGCCATCTTGTACTCTTATCCTGCCACTCTCCACTTTGGAGAAAGAAGAAATTACAAAGGGAGATTGTATTCAGTATAATTTGCTATGTTTAGCTGACCCTTTTCATATCAAAAGAGTTTTCTGTTCTTTGATTATAAACCTCTAAGACCATCAGTGTTATATTATAATACCAATGTTGAAGGAATGTTTTTTTGGAAGTAAATTCTGCTACCTATGTTCATTATATTATATAGTGAAAAAGTCTAACTCTCTTAGACTGTCATTTGATGTCCTCCATGATCTAATCCTGCTCTGCTTTCAGCCTGGTGTCTGGTTTCTCCCTGTAAATGCTTTTTTTCCTCAGACAAATTAAATACTCTGTTTCCCAAACATACCTTCTTATCAGTGTTATATTTCAACCTCTAATCTTTGCCAGCATGCTCTCTTCTTTCTCTTACCTTTGCCCATTCACATTCTCTTAACCTCAGAGTGGCAATGTGGCATCATGGAAAAGTAATAAGCTGGGTACCCAAAGACCTTCCTTCCTTTTCAGATTTTTTAACTCTCTGTGATAGTTGAGTAAATTGTTAGTGAGTAAATTGATATGTGTGATATCAACTGATATGTGATACTGAGTAAATAGTTATTCCTTCTAATTAGGGCCTTTTCTTTTTTCTTATCTATAAAATTATAGGCTTGGCATGGATATTTTCTAGGGTCTTTCTGGCTGTAATATTCTAGAATATGCTTCTTTAATAAAGTGCTTGTGAATGCTATGGCTTGAAGGCTTGACTGCACTCTCTGAAGTGTGATAGGTCACTTACAGATTTCTTTTGGGATTTAGTTAGATTTATGTATTTACCCACCATCTCTATGAAAAAGAGATAAAGAGTCTTCATTATTTTTGTGTCTCCCTGATGCCTTGCATACCGTAGACATTCAACAAATACTTGCTGAGTTAATTAGTAGATTTTAAAGGACTATCTGAAATAAATTCCTGGCTGGGTGCAGTGGCTCATGCCTGTAATCCCAGCACTTTGGGAGGCCAAGGTGAGTGGATCAGTTGAGGCCAGGAGTTTGAGACCAGCCTGGCCAACATGGCAAAACCCTGTCTCTACTTTAAAAAATACAAAAATTAGCCAGGTGAAGTGGCATGCGCTTGCAGTCCCATCTACTTCGGAGGCTGAGACAGGAGAATCGCTTGAACCTGGGAGACGGAGGCTGCAGTGAGCTGAGATCGTGCCACTGCACTCCAGCCTGGGAGATAGAGCGAGACTCCATATCAAAAAAATAATAATAAATAAATAAATAAATAAATTCCTAATGAGTAGCCAAAATGATTTAGAAGTAATATGAATTTAAAATTTAGGCTTAGTTGGATTGTTTTCAGGGGGCTATAAGACAAATTGAAATGTCTTTTTCTCTGAGCTTGCAGCTGTTTAAGTGAAGGAGACTAATGAATTAGATAAAATCTAGGGACTACCTACTCAAGAGAGTAAATAGTTAAGTAGCCCATTCAACTGGATATAGTTCTATAATGACAGGATCAGAGACTGGCAGCATTATCACTAAGACAGAATAATGAAATGCTAATTATTTTTAAATTTCTAATAATAAAGTGCTGATTAGTATTTAGCTAATTAAATCATACATAACTTTGCCTGTGCTTGCATTTACCAGGTCAAGGGGTGGAAATTGGACCAAGGCAGCTGGTTAAAATCTAAATAGAACTGTTTGAATCCTTTAGCCAACTTCAATTCCTTTCTAATGTGTTTTCATAAGGTAACATCTGTGCTAAGATCTGGGCAAGATTCTATGGTTAGACTCTTAGCTGCTTCTGTTTGGTGGGTACGAGGGAGTACAGAGCCACCTGTAGTATTCCTTGACTAATGCAGTACCCCACAGAACTGTGCTTTGCTAAGGACTGGCATAGAGTTTGTGTTCTCTTTCTCTGTGCTGTTCTGAGTGCTGATCATCTAGGAGAGTTATATATTTGGGAATGTATATTTTTGCAGTGATAGTAACTCAGGTCCTTCTTCAGTAGTTTTAAAAAATGCCTTGTTTCATTGGTCAATGGTATTTCATGCTTTTCTTCATATTTGATGCACCTGCTCACCTTCACCCTTATTTCCATCTTCTGAAACAAGACAATCAAAGAAGATCAAGACAGGCAAATAAAGGTGCAGATAATAGGTGGAGGACAATTGACTCTCAGCTCTCCTGGGGTAGTGTCACTGGTGTTTTCAGTCAAATGCAAAGTGACAGTCCCCTGTGAAAATGCCTATTTTAATCACATAACTTATTTTTAAAGTAAATGAATCATGTGTAGCAATTGTTCAGTCTCCTTTCTTTCTCCTTCTAAAGCATTGTCTACAGATATATGCAGTCTACACAGCCTTCTGTTTGCAAACCAGAAACTGGCTGAACTCTATGAAAGAAATGTTTCAACACTTGAAATTATATCTAGAGATGTTTTACAAGACTGCTCTGTTACCAGTGGCAACTTTTACAATGAGGAAATTAAAGAAAATGGGTGCTGATTTTGAGGTATCTGAAGGTTTAACATCTTTACTAAACCCAATTTCACCTTTTTCTTGCAGATACTATCTTTTCTAAGAATCTATGATACTAGAAAAGATTTTACATCTGTTGGGAAGCTAAATACAAGCACCACTTGTCATAGTAAAATAAAGTAGCCTGCCCCTTATTTATAATAAAATTGATTTTTAAAAATCCTATTTTCTGTGTGAGATTTTATGACACAGCACATAGTCTTTCCAGTAAGTGCAGCAGAACTGCTGCCTTTCTGCCAAGTGGGATAGAGTACCATGAAAATACACATGTTTGAGGGTCACTTAGGGTATAATGCTGAATATTATAGAACCACTTTAGCATGCATTACTTTCTACCTACTGTAATTATAACATTATATGTACCTTTCATTACTATTAGGAGCTTCATGCTGATTTTTTTTTTGTTTGTTTGTTTTGTTTTGTTTTTTTGTCACAGTATGACTTTCCAATTAACAAAAAGAGAGATGGCTATTTATTTTCTAACCAGTGATATTTTTTCTATGCCAGCTGTAGCTCAAGAATAAGTTTCCTGCCTTCCCCACCTTCCCAGACCTGGTTTTCTTTTGATGTATAGTGTCATATTCAATTTGATATACAAAATATTTATTGTGAAAATTGGGGGCTATAGAATCAGCCATAAGTGCCATATTTCTTTTTGTTTAAAAAAGTCCCTGCCGGAGGCCGGGCGCAGTGGCTCACGCCTGTAATCCCAGCACTTTGGGAGGCCGAGGCGGGCGGATCACCTGAGGTAGGGAGTCCGAGACCAGCCTGACCAACATGGAGAAACCCTGTCTCTACCAAAAATACAAAATTAGCCAGGCGTGGTGGTTCATGCCTGTAATCCCAGCTACTCAGGAGGCTGAGGCGGGAGAATCGCTTGAGCCCAGGAGGCAGAGGTTGCGGTGAGCTGAGATTGCGCCATTGCACTCCACCCTGGGCCAGGAAAGTGAAACTCCATCTCAAAAAAAAAAAAAAAAAAAAAGTCCCTGCTGGGTGCAGTGGCTCATGCCTATAATCCCAGCATTTTGGGAGGCCAAGGTGGGCGGATTGCTTGAGTCCAAGAGTTTGAGACCAGCACGGGCAATATGGCAAAACCCCATCTCCACAAAAAATACAAAAAAAATTAGCCAGGCATGGTGGCATGCACCTGTAGTCCCAGCTACTCAGGGTGCTTAGGCAGAAGGATTGCTTGAGTATGGGAGGCAGAAGTTGCAGTGAACTGAGATTGTTCCATTTCACTCCAGCCTGGGTGACAGAGCAAGACCCTGTCTCAAAAATAAAAATAATAATAAAAAAAAGTCCCTAAGAGTGAGTCTCTGTTTTTGTGTAAGAATACATGTGTTTTGAGAGACAGTTGCTCTTTATCAGATATTTGAAGGCAAAACATATTTTAGGAATGTTGTGTTCTGAAATGTTCAAGTATCCTTACATAAGAATTATTTTTTAGGCTGGGCGAGGTGGCTCACGCCTGTAATCCCAGCCCTTTGGGAGGCCAAGGTGGGCGGATCACCTGAGGTCAGGAGTTTGAGACCAGCCTGGCCAACATGGTGAAACTCTGTCTCTACTAAAAATACAAAAATTAGCTGGATGTGGTGGTACTTGTCTGTAATCCCAGCTACTTAGGAAGCTGAGACAGGAGGAATGTTTGAACCTGGGAGGGGGAGGTTGCAGTGAGCCGAGATCACAGCACTGCACTCTAGCCTGGGCGATAGAGTGAGACTCCATCTCAAAAAAAGAAAGGAATTATTTTTTAAATATTCAGTGTTTTGTTTTTAGAAATAAAAATTTGATCTACATATCATAACATCACTTGGTTTCTGATATTAGACAAAATTTCAAAGTAAGTCATCAAAAGTTAATTTATATTTAATGAGGCATAATTAATAATTCACAATCATTTCTACATGACTATTGTCTAATAAAATCACTTCCCAGGGTTTGTCAGCTTTTTTTTTTTTTTTTTTTTTGTCATTTTAAGCCAGCTTTTTATATCACTTTACAAAATAACAGTCTGGTAAAATTTTTATACTGAAACTTTTCTTGTATTCCCATCCATATTTTTTGCCCTTACTAAAACTCCAATATATTATATATTTCTTATAAAATAAAAAGCCAATTCTGGCTGATTTTCATACAGGATGCCTTCTCTATCCCTGATTTTCATTTTCTTCATGTTTTTACATTACTGAGTCTGTAGGTACTCATTTCAATTCTATGACACCTTCTGATCTATCAGCAGTGAGGGATATCCTAGAAAGAATCTCTTAATGTTATTTATTCTAAAAGGTGAAAGTGGCTCTATCTTGTCTACCAGATAAAATCCCCTTCATAGAGAGACACTCAGAACCACCCACAATCTGGCTCCAAACTCCTTTTATAGTTCTAGTTCTTTCAAACTACAGTTTCTTTTCTTTTTTTTTTTTTTTTTGAAACGGAGTCTCGCTCTGTCGCCCAGGCTGTAGTGCAGTGGCGCGATCTCGGCTCACTGCAAGCTCTGCCTCCCGGGTTCACGCCATTCTCCTGCCTAAGCCTCCCGAGTAGCTGGGACTACAGGCGCCCGCCACCGCGCCTGGCTAATTTTTTTGTATTTTTAGTAATCTGGGGTTTCATCGTGTTAGCCAGGATGGTCTCCTGACCTCATGATCCACACGTCTCGGCCTCCCAAAGTACTGGGATTACAGGCGTGAGCCACCGCGCCCGGCCTCAAACTACAATTTCTTACACTTCCTGAGTGCAATATCCCCTTCCCCATTTTTCATGTTGTTTGCCTCATATGGTGCCTCTTACTCTCATCTTCGCCTGTGAAAATTCTGCCGACTTTCAAGAGTTCAGATGTTTTTCTTCTATGAGGCTTTCTTTGTCTCTCCCAAAAAAGAAGTAATCTTATTTTCTTCTGAACTTTATAGTATTTTCTCACTATGTTGATTCAATCGTCTTTTAAAATTGTTGTGATCCGTGTTTGATTTCATCCATAATTGGTTAAAAGTTTCTTATGAACTAAGATTAAAAATAGTAATATTTGTATGTCTTAGAATTTTCAATGTACTTTTATATAATTTCATTTAGTTCTACATCAACCTTTTGAGGTAAAAATTTTTATTTTCCACCTTTCACGAATAAGCAGACCAGTTCAAAAAGGTAAAAATATTTGCTCAAAATTACATAGCTAGTTAATGTCAGAGTTAGGTATTAGATCTCCAAAGCTCATGCTTTTTTGCATCATAGCACACGAATTCCTGTACTAGGCAGAACAACAACAACAACAATAATATAATAACTAACTTTTGTTAAGTGCTTATAATAGGCCAGAGACTATACTTTACATACTAAGTAAAGGACATTTAAAATGTTTCTGTTATGGGAAATTTTTTATATATTCCACACAACGTAGAGTACGTAATGAACCCCCTTGTATTCATCACCCAGCCTCAATGATTAATAAGCATTTTGTCTATCTTGCTTTATCTATTCTCCCAACACTTTTTTGTATGTCATCTTTTAATATATTGTTCTTTTGCATATCATTTTTCTTATAGATATTTCACCATTTAGCTCTAATGTGACCACAATTTTATTATTACACCTAACAAATTAACAATAATCCCTTCATATGATCTGATGCTGTTTTCAGCTTTCCCCAGTTATCTCCAAAGTGTTACTTTGACTGAGTACAATGGCTCACACCTGTAATCCCAGCACTTCGGGAGTCCGAGGTAGGCGGATGCCTTGATCCCAGAAGCTGCAGACCAGCCTGGGCAATATAGTAAAATACTGTCTCTACGGAAAATACCAAAATTAATTATCTGGGCATGGTGGCATGCACCTGTAGTCCCAGCTACTCAGGAGGCTGAGGTTGGAGGATCACCTGACCGCAGGAGGTGCAGGTTGCGGTGAGCCAAGATTAGGTCACTAACTCCAGCGTGGGCAGTAGAGCAAGATTCTGTCTCAAAAAAAAAAAAAAAAAAGGCATTGTTTTATAGTTGATTTATTCTAGTCAGCATCAAAACAAAGCCTGGTCATTGAATTTAGTTGATGTGCCTCCTAAGTCTCTTTGAAAGAGGAAAGATGTACCCTCCTGTCATCTTTATCCTAAGAAGTATAGACCCATATTTTTGAATATAAACCTTTTATTCAGAATTATACCAATATTGATGAACTTCCATTGAGGAAATATTATAAAAGTAACTTTCACTGGGCCAATTTAATTTCTTGATTAATTTATACAATGAAATTATGCCATTTCAATTTTTTCCAGGCTAGAAATGATTCATTCTTCTCTGCGTTTCATAGCATTTGATTTTTTAACTCTTTTATACAGTCTGAAAATCAATAAACATATGTTTAATGCCAACTAAGCAAGACTCTATGAACATTTTAACTAATTCTTTGTATCTCATTCTATTAATTACAAACTTAATGTGATTAGAGATTCTATTTTTCTCCTGATAGAGGTTTAGTAAATGTTGAATTATTTAATATTGAGACACCATGAATATTTTATTGCTAAAATTAAAGAATGTATGAATTTTGCTAATTAATAATTTGAACTAAGCCCTGGCAGATTGCTACTGTGCACCCTCAGAAATATACCATGTTGCTATGACAGCATAATTGTTTAATATCTGTAGAAGCACTGAACAGTTTGTCCAGAAATTGTCTTGCCTGTGTCCCCCAGCTGGTAGTGGCAGCAGGGAATTTGATAACTTAGTGTCTAATAGCTCCAGCAGCCTGGGGATCCCAAGGCTATGAAATACTTGTTTCATCAAATACAGTGGCACTCATTTTTATTTTAAATTATTTTTTGTTCCTTCTCAAACCCCTTAGTTAATGAAGTTGCCTGAGTTTACAATGTGGAAATTCTTTGGCATTCTGCCACATTCTTTCTGCCAATTTAGTTTGTCTATCCATTGTTTCTTAGTGAATATTTTTTCTTGAATTTATTTTGAATCTGTATTTTGTTCCTGCAGACACATTGATTTTTGCCCCCTGCAATATTTGTCGTGACTGCTTTGGTTATACCTAATAGCTGACCACACTACCCAAAAGTGGATTTTTGCCATTTATAGCAACACAGTATTTCAAAGGGAAAATGCAGGGAGGTAGATATTATTATTTTCATGTGAAAAGGAGGTTATGATTTTGATAGGGAGGTTTATAAGGGTTGTGTTTTAGAGTCATGCAAACTAGTAATGTAATTGAAATGTGTGTTTTCTAATCTGACTTCTGACTACTGTTTGTTGACCGTTACAACGAACCCATTTGTATGACTGTTTAGGATTATTTACTATTCAGTTTTAATAATTTTTTTTCTGATTACAAAAGTAATGTATATGTATTGAGAGAATTTGGAAAATAAGAAATTTCCAGTGATCATTAGCAGTGATCTCTTATTTTGTTATAAGACCAAAGAATATCATTGTAAAATAGTATTTAGAGATTAGCTTGTCTAAGGCCTCTCTATTCAAATGAGCAAATCTAAGCTCAGATGGTGGTAAAAATTCCCACCTGAGAGGGATAGTATAGTGTATTTTTAGGCATTTAAGCAAAGAATTAGAAGGTTCAGCATTAGATGGGATTTTTTTAAAGCAATTGGAATTTATTTCTCTGGATTTACCATAATATTGGTTTATTTTGTTATTTTTTATTGTAATTGGTATTTGTTAATGACATTAATGTGGGGAGTTTTCTAACAAAGAAATTAGCGGCCTATGGAAAGAACATCTCTATTATACAAACTGAACTAACTTTATGAAAATTATTAAAGAATTGGAGGCAACTAAAGGCAGGCCCACAGTAAACAAGTTTCAGAGAACATGCAAGAAAGCTGAATGCTGGCAGTGGCAAATACTCACCTAGAGTCCATTTTTTAAAATTGCTGAAGAAAAGATCTGGATTTGCTTCCTCACTGTTCTCCCTTCTGAACCTTAGATAACATGCAGGGAGCTCCCAGACGTGTTTTATGTGATTTTACAACCTTAAACTGACTGATCTTTGACTCCATGACATTAAGAGACCCGAATAGGGCATGATCCTGGCCTCAAGGAGCAAGCCTGTCTACCTGCCAAGGACCTGGCACATTGCTAGAGTATACTGGTGAGAGAGAGTGGTTTAGGAACCCAAAGGAGGAAATCATTCTGGTGCTGAGAGTTAAAGGAGAGAAAACAACGGGACAGATAGGCAAAGCTTCAGAGAAGTTGGAACATTTTATCAGAAGGCTAGGTGGGGGAGTGGAAGATGACAGACAGATGGGCAAGGATGAGCTATTGTAGTCAAAAGAAACCACATAAGCAAAGATATGGATATGGAAAGGTAATTTTTAGGAGACAGTGGCTGAAAGGAACTTGTTTGAGTGAGAGTCACAGAGGGCTGATGAGCATGCTTGCAAATTTATCTGCTGTTGCAGGGATCCCTCAAGGTCTGTTACAAATCCTTCAGCATTCAAGTCCCAACATTTAGTCCAAATCCCATTCCTAGACTAATTTTCTCTTTGCCTGTTTTCCATTCCCTTTTAGCTTTTTTCTCCTACTCTATTTCTTTCTTTCTCTCCTCCTTTGATGGAACATGGATAGAGTTTTGTACGTTCTGTATTTTTTTCTTGTCCAGGAAGAAAAGCCCCAAAGTCCTTTTGCTGTAAAGAATTTTACTGCTAATCTCTCTGAGGAAACAGGGTAACTAAAATAATAAACCTGAGGAAGTTATAAGAGTCCCAGAAATCCCTCAGAATTCTTAAAGTCATGGTCCCTGAGCTTTTCTCTCAGAAATTAGAAGCATGTTTACTTCCTCTCCTTGGTTTGACTCCTGTCTGTGGGGCTTCACATAATTCCTGCTTCTCCTAACCCGGTAGTGAAAGGGCCGCCCTACTCCTGCTTCTGCGAAAATCCTTCTGGCCAGTACGTCATCATGAAGAGCACAGTCCAGCAGAACAGTAATGATAAATGTTAGCGTCATTCTCATGAGATTATTTTTATTTTTTAGGAGCTCTCATTCCACAAGTTTCTTCTCCTATATCAAATTTCCACTTACTAAATATTATTCTCAATAAGAGTTAATGATATAAAAATTTATCAATTTCATGTTGATTTTTACTAAAGGATACAAATTACATATAAATGGAATTTTTAGTAAGTAAAGATAAATATGTATAGGAACAAAATTAAAATGTTAGCAGATTTTTTAAGCAACTGGACATTGGGTGATTATTGTTTTCTAAGTTTCCCAGTGGGAAAAATAAGCATGTGTAACTTTATAATGGAAAAATAAGACACTATTTATATATTTATTCAATTAAAATAATCCTGAGGATTCTCTATTCTAGGCAAAAACTGTGATTAGAAGGAACAAGTCATTATAACTGTTTCATTTTGCTCAGGATATTTACAGAAATTCTTTCCTAGATGAAGCTTTCAGCATTTCCTCAAAGGAATTATCAGAGCTTCTTAAAATGAAGTAGTAAGCAACTTGATGAGATCTCTATTTTAGAAAAATAACTAAACAAATTGAGGATAGTCTTGTAAATCTGGAGGTGGGAAACCAAACCAAATTAGGCCCTTTCCAGTAGTCTGGGGAGGGGATGAGCTACCCTTGAGTTGAGACAGTGAATTGGAGAGGAAGGAGCAGATATGGGAAGCAGACACTTCAAAGTAAACATATCCAAAATTAAACTGCCTTTTATAACTAGACTTCCCTCCCCCACCCAGCTAATTCAGTTCTCCTCCCCTGTTTCTTCTGTGACCTGCCACTCGATTGCCCAAGACAGAAACTTTGACTTCTTCATCTCCTCATCCTTAACTCCAGGCCCTCATTAAGTCCTGTTGGTTCCTTTTCCTAAATATCTCTTAAATATATTCATTTCTCTCTATCCCGTAGTTTAGACCACCATCATCTCCTGCTTGAATTTTAAAGGAATTTCAAACTGCTTTCCTTTGCTTTCTCTTCTGCTCTCTACCAGACTCCACCGTACCATTCCATCAGAGCAATTTTCTAAAACTGAAAATCTGATCGTATTATTCCTTTACTTCAGTGGCTTCTTGGTGCTTTGAGGAAACAGTTCTAACTCTTTTAAGTGGTTTCCAGGGCTTAGCCAGACTTAAACCCCACCTACCTTTCTAGCCTGGTTTCTTACCACTCCCTTTCTCACTTTTCTCTAGCTTCTGACTTCTTGCATACCTGTCCAGCTCTCCAACTGACTGTTACCCAAGAGTCTTGACACATACTGTTCTACCTGTATCACTCCCCTTTCTCATCTTTCCCTATACCTCTTTAGTTCCTTGATATCTCGATCTAAACATAACTGTGCAGTCGGCCTTCCTGAGCCCTTAGGTTAAATCTTCAAGCATCTTGGATTGTCATATGAGGACACTATCTATTATATGTGTTGTCTGTGTTCCCTACTAGACTATAAGCTGTGAATATGGTGAGAGGCTGTAGCTGTTTCCTTTACCATTATATCCAGCTCAACTAGTACAGTGCTGTAATATTAGGTGCTCAAATAATTGATGAGTTAGGCAAGGAAGTGAGAGAGGGAGAAACGAAGGGAGGGAGGGAGAAAATGTTGGAAGGGAAAGAGGAATGAAGGAGACAAGGAATGGAAGGAAAGAATAAAACTAAAAGTTTTGCAGGTAGGGACTGCAAAGATCCTAATGACGTTTTGCAGAAGGGAAAAAATGAAGCCATCAAAAATCTTCTAGCATTCTTTTATTGAGCAGCTGAGTACTTGGCTGTGCTGTTATATGGGGGTTGAAAAGAGAAAAAAGTAGGTTTGGGTGGAAGGATGATAAGCATCTGTTTCAGAAGTTCAGTTGACGGTTAAGAATAGGGGATATCGAATGAAGCTTAGAAAAGAAGTGTGAGCTGTCTGTGATGACTGAGGTCATGGGAGAGAGAGCATATGGAACAAGACAGCCAAGGTTGGGGTTCTGGAGACTCCAGCATTTAAAGAGACACAGCAAAAGAGCTCCTTAGTGGCAGCTGGGACTCCACATCTCAAACTACATTTATGGGACTTGTGACTCCTAAATCGTGCCTTGCTCAGGAGGAATTTAAATAGGCATGGCTATTTAATAACTTTAGAGGTGGGAAGGGAGGAGGAACTCCCTGATAGCACATTTTCATGACATTTCTTCCAGGAAATCCTTTGTATTTCTGACATTGTAATGCATTTGTGATGTCTGCTTTTCCTAGGATTGCTGAATTTAACAGAACTAATATATTAACACAGACATTTTACTCATCTGAATTTGTCTATTTAAAAATTTATATTTATGGTCACATGCCATTTAAAGTTTACATACCAGTTGTAATTTACATACAGATGTGCAAATGTTATTTTCCTCCTCTGTGCTTCTGTGCTAGGCTTGAAACTATTTTGGGTGAAATCCAATTAGGTACTGAAAAGATTCCTAGAAGATGAAATGATCCATTGTTCTAACTTAAGTGAATTTGTCAATTTGACATTCAGCTCCGATAACCTTAAATCTTTTGTAGGCGAAATAAATCACTTTTAAAATTTATCCCACTTTATCTATCTATCTATCTATCTATCTATCTATCTATCTATCTATTTATTTATTTATTTATTTTTACAGGTGGAGTCTTGCTCCATCACCAGGCTGTAATGTAGTGGTGTGATCATAGCTCACTGCAGCCTCAAATTCCTAGGTTCAAGAGATCCTTCCACCTCAGCCTCCCAAGTAGCTAGGACTACAGGCATGTGCCACCATGCCTGGCTAATTTTTTGTTTGTTTGTTTGTTTGTTTTTTGTTTTTATAGAGATGAGGCCTCACTGTGTTGCCCAGGCTGATCTGGAACTCCTGGGCTCAAGTGATCCTCCCACTTAAGCCACCCAAATCTCTGGGATTACTGGTGTGAGTCATGCGCCTGGCCCGTTCTTCTTTTATAAGTCCATAATTTCAGCATCCTTATTAACATGGTCATCATTTATATTTTACCAGAATCCTCACTCCTTTTCCAGTACTTTCCAAACGCCCTATATTCGTTTATTCACTTGACAAATATTTATTGAACGCACTCTCAGGCACTGTGCTGAGCTCTGGGGATATAGTGATAAGCAAAACAGATGTGGTTTCTACCCCCTGTGGCGCTCAATAAATACCATTTCAATTGATTTGAATTTCTATCCTTGATGCTTGTAGAATGCTTTTCTTCACAAGATGTTTGCGTATGTAGTAAAAATACCAGTAAAAATACCTGCTTCCCTATTGGGCTTCTGCTATTGTTGCTGTATACCATGCATTGCCCCAGTCTACCTAATTATTTCTTTAGGATGGACCTAGAAGTGAGAAAGGAGATAACTTAAGGCCCAGATTACCAAAATCAATTTCAAACTGAAAGAAAGATATTCCATAATGCAGGGACTATAATTATGAGCATCAGAATCATATAGACCTGGATGTGAGTCCTGGTTTCACTAGAATTACCTGGATGTGAGTCCTCGTTTCACTAGAATTACCTGTATGTGACTGTGTGCACAATGCTTACCTCTGAGCCTTGGTTTCTTGATTTGTGAGGTTGAAATAATTTTAATGCCTACCTCATGGGACTGTTGTGATGATGAAATGAAATAACCCATGAAAATACTTACCCTACAGCCTGGCACAGTATGGGTTAAGTGTCCCTTATCTGAAATGCTTGGGACCAGAAGCATTTCACATTTTAGAATATTTGTGTATACATACCAGTTGAGCATCCCTAATCTAAAAATCCAAAATCTGAAGTGCTCCAATGAGCATTTCTGTTGAGCATGACCTTTGCACATCTTGTTGGTGCTCAAAAAGTTTCAGAATTTGCAGCATTTTGGGTTTCAGATTTTTGGATTAGGGATGCTCAACCCATATAAGAATCAGTAAGAGTTATTTTTGCTAGCATGTATGATATGAAGTCAGCTTTTAAACTATAACTCTTTCCACACAACCTGCTTGTTAAAAGATTTACACCCCATTAATTATATTTCACTTCTAAGTGAAAACTTTGAAATAGGGAAATAGCTTGGGGGTGGATTCCATTTTTAACAATCTGTCTTCTACAAAAGGATAGCAACTCTCAGCAGCAGTAAGTGGTAAGGAAATGAGGGCATTTCTAGGAAGAGCACATATAGTTGAGTTTTATTAATACACCTTGGTTTTAAGTTTAGGTTTCCAAGGTTTTAAAGGACTGGAAAATGGGATAAAAGGAGAAGAAATGAGTGTTTGATTCAAATAGAAAAAATACAGTATTATATTTACCTTTCTGTAACTGAAAATCATAATTCTGAAGAACTGATTAGAAAAACCATTGTTTTATACTTACTTGATCACCTTTGATGACATTCTTCAAATCTGAAATAGTTAATACTATAGGCATCTGCTGTGATGCCTAGACTTCAGTGTAAATTTACAGAACAGAAAAGTCAATATGTAGGAGGCTAATTTATGGATTTCCTTTCAAATAAGAATGGCTTAGAACTAGTACGTTTAGAAATAAATTTTTTAAACCCTTATGTCATAGGAGATATTCCATATATGTTTGCCAGTTTGGTTTTCATGAACAATAAACTAAAACAGTAACAAGGTGAGAAAGCAGGTTTTGGTAAAAGATTCTTCTGATTTGGCATAAGCTTATCTCCAGAAAATAGCCTCTTTTTGTTTAATGTTTTCTGTGTAATTACAGGGTGTAGGAAAAAACAAGATTGTTGACAGATTCCTTCACCTGCTCAACAGACCCCGAGAATATATTCAGCTACACAGGTAAGACTATTAGACCCACAACCTCTTAAAAATCTCATTTAATCATTTGTTTCCCTCCTGGTACAATTTAAAAATACTTTCTTAGAGGCCCATTTTATAAACCAGTTTTATTTCTGTTCTTCTTGCTCTTATCTCTTCTCTCCTTTAAAGGTAATAAAACCATGCAAAATTTATTTTTAAAGTGGCTAATGCTTTATAAACATGAATTAATAGATATTCTGTGGACAGAGAGTGATGAACATTACATTCTAGGAACAGATCTCATCAACATAAAGGCTCTTAAGTTAGAAGAAAAACATGTAGGATCTAAGCCTATTCTCTCACAAGCAGCTAAAATAGCTCACAAGGAGAAATAATAAACTATATGAATCTCAGGTATGAGATAAGGAACCCAGAAATCTGGTAGAAGCATGTTATTATTTGTCTCCTTGCCTTCCTTAAAGTTACTTTTTAGATAATTTTGTATGGTTAGAATGCTGGTTCAGCTTTTAATCAAATAGTTTTTCTCAATATGGGTCATTTTTAGCTTTATGAGTGAACCCGTTCTAATTTTTAGAAAATAAAATATAAATGATAGATCCACCAAAAACAAAATAGATAAGTCAAGAAATATATCAAGTAATGAACAACTTAAAGCTAACTTAGATTGTTATTGTTTTAATCCTAGGAAGTAAAAAATATATAGTATAATAGAGCATTGAATTGAGTTATAAGAGTTAGTTTCTGGTCTGGGTCTTTTCACTAAGTGATCAGTTCTTGAGAGAGAATTATAAGAGAATAAAGGGCAGAGTTAGTGGGTCAAAGGAGAAAGAGGAAAGGACTCAGGGAAAGCTGAGATATGGTGAAAAACTGCCTTTTGGGATTTATACCTCTGCCCATGACAGGGTAGTGGTACCAGATTAGCCCTACCACAATAAAAACTATAAAACTGAACAAAATTCACAAACACTAGGAAAAGAAAAACTACTAGGGATCTTTGAGCTGAACAACTACCAGAGTTCCTTCATTAAATAACCCTGGTATTCAGAAGGGTATTTATCTTATAAAGTCTATGTTTAGAAGTAGGACTAATCTATCCCTAAAGTAAGAGTTACTCCATACCTATCTTTACAAATTTTAAAACTAAGCCCTGATAAAGAAGGATGCTTGCTATTTAATATTATTTTGGAAGTTTTGTCTCATACAAAATGGCTTTAAAAATAAAAATAATGGGTATTTGGGGAGGGAGGGAGGAATACCTTGAAAAAATCAGGTGATTCAACAGTAAATTGACTTCATACCTGAACAAAACTTAACACTCAACCAAGAAGACCGCAAAATCCAAACACTCAGCAACATAGCATTCATTGAGTCAAGCATTCAATAGGAAATGACTAGACATACAAAAAAAGCAGGAAAATTGGTCAATAGAAATAGACTAAAAATGACAGGATAATGGAATTAGCAGACAAGGACTATAAAACAGTTGCCATAAATAGATTCAAACATTTAAAGGGAGAAAAATGAACATAATGACGGAATAATTGGAAATTCTTAGTGTAAAAATGACAACCCTAAAAAAGCAGCTTCACATACACACAATTGTAGTCTCAAAAGAGAGGAGAAAAAAATGGGACAGAAAAATATTTTGAAGAGATAATGGTAGGAAAATTCTCAAATTTGATAAAAAAGATAACATCACCAATTCAGGAAGCTCAATGAACTTCAAGCAGAATAAACAAAAAAAACACTACATAGCATATAATCAAATTGCTAAAAACCAAGAGAAAAATCTTTAAAATTACCAGAGGAAAAAAGACGTATTACCTATAGGGGAACAATGATAAAAGTGACTGCTGACTTCTCCTGAGAAATAAATATGAACCACAATTCAATTGAAGTGCTGAAAGAAAAAAAATATCAGTATAGATTAGTATATTTGGCAAAAATATTCTTCAGAAGGCAAAATAATGACATTTTCAGACAAAAACTGAGTTTTTTTATCAGCAGACCTGTGTAATGCAAAAAAATAAAATTACAATTCAGAATTTCCTATGAACATAGATGCAAAAATTTTTAACAAATGTTAACAAATCAAATTCAACAATATATAAAAAGAATAATATGTCATAACCAAGGAGGTTTTATCTCAGGAATGCAAGGCTAGCTTAACATTTAAAAATCAAATTATATAACACATTTACAGAATAAATAAAAAACCATATGATCCTCTAATTGCCACCAGAAAAATCATTTGAGAAAATTCAATATCCATTCCTGATAAAATATCACATAAATTACAAATATCAGGAAACTTCCTCAATCAAGAGGCATCTATAAAAAGCCTATAGCTAAACTTCATATTTAAAAATGAAAGACTAAACATTTTTCTCATGATTAGGAGAAAAGACAAGAATATTAACTACTCATATTATGCTGGAGGTGCCAGCTAGCACAATAAAGCAAGAAAACTTAATAAATGGCATGCATGTTATAGATGACACAATTGCATGAATGTGTATATAAAAAACCTTAAGAAACATATAAAAAAAGCATTAGAACTAATAAGTTAAACAAGGTCATAAGATACAAGGAAAATGTACAAAAATCAATTGTATTCCATATATATATATTCCATATATTCCATATATATGGAATATATATACTGGCATATATATATTCCATATATTCCATATATATGGAATATATATACTAGCGTATATATATATATATATATATATATATATATACTAGCGTATATATATATATATATATATATGCTAGTATCTATAGCAATGGGAAAAAATTTAAAAATACTATTTACAGTAGTATAAAGAATATATTTAGGAATAAATTAATTTAACAGAATATATGCAAATTTTAAATTTGCTATTGTTAATAGTGTGTAACAAGGTCAATAGACACCATTATTTCTTCAAATACTTCTAACTTGCTGATGGCTGTTTGAAATGGAACTGAAGGTTATCTGTTTCATACTTGTGAGATGATGAGCTTCCGTCGTAGTAAATTCTTCCCCTTATCTTCATCTACCTCAACATCCCCCTCAGTATCCTCAGTATCTCTGCTATATAGTGTTCATTCTACATTATCTGGAAATAGAAGGTATTCTTTGTTGTTTACAATACATTTTTAATCCTGATTTTCTGCTACCGTCATTTCTGCCAATATTAGAGAATTGTAATTACAAAGCTAGATCCATGAATTGGCGAAGCTAAATATAATTCTTCTCAATATGTTAGGCATTAAATGTTAAGAATTTGTTCCGTAGAAAGCCCTCTTCTCATTGTCATATTACTTGTCCCCCACATTCCCACTCCCAACTTTCCATGTTTCTTTCTTCTATCACCCATCATTTCATTTCCTAAATTTTATATAGGTCAACCACATATTTCAGAAAATTTCTAGCCTTTTCTAGTGCTTTAAGAACATAGGATCTTACATGTTCTCTCTTATAAGTGGGAGCTAAACATTGAGTATCCATGGACATAAAGATGGCAACAATAGATAGTGGGGACTGCTAAAGGGCAGAGAGAAGGAGGGGAGCAAGGATTGAAAACTAACAATTGGTTACTATGTTTACTGTGTAGATGGCAGGATCAGTCATACCCTAAATCTCAGGATCACACAATATAGCCATGTAACAAACCTGCACATGTACCCCCTAAATCTAAAATAAAGGTTGTAATTATTTTTTGAAAAGAAGACTAATACTGGTTCTTTTACTCCAGCTTCATCCAAATTTTTACCACACTATTTTTATATCTTCTCATGGTTCTTTGTATGAACGATGTATTATATAAACCTAGGACTTTCAACTCAAAAAATTTTTAAGTATTTGTCATATTAAAACTACGAGGCTGTGTATTATAGGAGATATAGGAAGAAATAAGAAACATAATCCTACAGGAGCTGTAATACTGTTCTTACTTGTAATTATTTCAATCTTCTATGTTCCCCTGAATCTGAAACACTCTCTTTTTTTTTCCTCTCCTTTAAGCTATTCAATTAGTTTTTCCTCTCACATGGATAAAGTTGGAAATATAATGAAAGAATCAGAATTTTCAACTAGTTTGCTAGTTCTCACTTGAATAATTTATATTTGTAACATATCATAATTCCAACTTTTGAGTTACAGGGCACATAGCAAGACCAATATTTTATATTTAAGGATGATAAGTGAGAATTGCAGTTCATTCTTAGCAGAGTTTGTGCTGTTTTGATTGCATAGTGTTTACCTCCTGCTGTAGAGTGAGGGTTCCTTTAAAAATATTTTATTACTTGACAGTTTTAATGTATATACAGATGCTGCTTAAGTGTATAGTATCAATTTAGAGCAAAACAAATGAATTTAAATTTAATATTTTAAAATAAGGAAAAAACTTTTTTTCTTAAAGATGGCTTCAAAAGTTGAAAATGTCATTGAAATTTATACTCCAGAAAAGAGGAAGTCACTTTTTATGAGAATCACTTCACCATGGAGATGTATATACAGATGCCATATAAGTATATACTATCAACTTAAAGTGAAAACAAGTGAATTTAAATTTAATATTTAAAAATAAGCCAAAAACCAATTTTTTCCTTAAGGATGGCTTTGGAAATTAAAATCAGCTCTCAAGATAATACCCTAGGAAAAAGAAAGTCATTTTACATGAGAGTTTCTTCATATCATGAGGGCAGTTTCTCCATTCCTTTATTTTGAACAACAAAATATATTTTTAGAAAGATATATTAGGCTGAACTGCCTCAGTCAATTCTAATTTTAGATTATGGTCATAACCAGCGAAAAAGGAGACAATGAAATATAACAAGTATTAGTAATTATTTCTAGGTGTATGTTACCACCATTATCTTTATAAGCAGGCTTTTTAGTCATGGATTCATTATGTTTATTAGCCATGAGAAGCTTTGATAAATGTTGTTTTAGGATCTGTTCCCTCTAATTATTGGCGTAAAGTTATTTAGAATATCATCTTATGATATTTTAATGTCCTTAGTAATGATATTCCCATTTTTATGCCTGGTATTTGCTGTTTGCCTTCTCAATCAGTTTTGTCAGGGGTTTATTAATATTATTGGTCAAAGAACCAACTTTTGGCATTGTTGAAACTCTCTTTTGTATGTTTTGTTTCTATTTCAATAATTTCTGATTTTAATCTTTATTATACCCTTCCTTTTGTTTTCGTTCGATTTCACGTGTTGTTCTTTTAAAAAACTTTTTGATGTGAATGCCTAAATTATTGATTTTCAATCTTTATAGTATGCTCATTTGAAGCTATATATTTTTGAGTCTTTCTTTGGGTCTCAGTTCTTTCATCTCTAAGAGGAGCAGTTGGGGTCATTTATATAATAATATCTTTCTTAGCTCTGTATTTGAATATCTTTCATTGGGCAAAAAGAAGATGGTATTCATGATGCTTTTAAAAGTTTAAAGGATTAGAGATACCATGCCTTACTTTCTGCCTAGGATGTCTTTAATACTAACCATTTGTTACAAAATAACAAATGATCCATAAATTGTAAAGAGTTGCATGCTGCTGATTTATATTCTATAGTAATTCTGAAAGTGGCTAGATAAAAGTATAGATATGTTATCTATGAAAAAAATTACTAAACTGAAAATATAATAAAAATTTCAAAGCTAAATATTTATATTTTATAGTACCCATTACTATATTATTGATTGATAATAGTATTACAAATAAAATATCTATTCATTTTAACAAGGGCCCTAAGTATCTCCAACAATATTGGTTATTTACTATGTAAAGTTGGAAGTGAAAAGTCTCGATTTCTGTTTAAAATATATATATTACCCAGTTAAAATGGCTTGTATCCAAAAGTCAGTCAATAGCAAATGCTGATGAAGATGTGGAGAAAAGGGAACCCTTGTATGCTGTTAGTGGGAATGTAAATTAGTACAACCACTATGGAGAACAGTTTGGAGGTTCCTCAAAAAACTGAAAATTGAGCTACCATAGGATCCAGCAATCCCACTGCTGGGTATATACCCACAAGAAAGAAAATCGGTATATTGAAGGGACATCTGCACTCTTATGTTTATTGCAGCATTATTTACAATAGCCAAGATTTGGAAGAAGCAACCTAAGGGTCCATCAACAGATGAATGGAAAAAGAAAATGTGATATATATACACAATAGAGTACTATTCGGCCATAAAAAAAAGAATGAGATCCTGTCATTTGCAAAAACATGGGTGCAACTGGAGGTCATTATGTTAAGCGACATAAGCCAGGCACAGAAAGACAAACTTGACATGTTTTCACTTATTTGTAAGAGCTAAAAATTAAAACAATTGAACTCGTGGAGATAAGAGAGCAGAAGCGTGGTCACCAGAGGCTAGGAAGAATAGTGGGGTGTTGCGGAAGTAAGTATGGTTAATGAGTACAAAAATATAGTTATATAGAATACATATGATGTAGTATTTGCCCACACAACAGGGTGATTATAGCCAAAAATAATTTAATTGTACATTTAAAAATAACTAGAAGAGTATAATTGGATAGTTTGTAACACAAAGGATAAATGCTTGAGGTAATGGATACCCCATCTACCCTGATGTGATTATTATGCATTGCATGCTTGTATCAAAATATCTCGTGTACACCATAAATATACACACCTACTAATGTACCTGTATTAGTCTGTTTTCATGCTGCTGATAAAGACATACCCAAGACTGGGCAATTTACAGGTTTATTGGACTTACAGTTCCATGTGGCTGGAGAGGCCTCACAATCATGGCAGAAGGCAAACAGCATGTCTCACATGGTGGCAGACAAGAGAAGAGAGCTTGTGCAGGGAAACTCCCCTTTTTAAAACCATCAGATCTCTTGAGACTTACTATCACGAGAATAGCACAGGAAAGACCTGCCACCATGATTCAATTAGCTCCCACTGGGTCCCTCCCGCAACATGTGGGAGTTCAAGATGAGATTTGGATGGGTTCACAGCCAAACAGTATCGGTACCTACAAAAATTCAAAATAAAAAAAAATACATACACTGAAGATTTTTTACTGACTAGACTGACACTCCTACTAATTTCAGTGTGGGGAATTTTTTATTTATTATATACAGTTTTAGGGCTACATTTGCCATAACATTTTACATACAGCTTTAGGGCTACATTTGCTATAACATTTTAGCTCATAAAATTGCCTTAAGAGAAACATATGTCTAAAAGACCTAAAAAAGGCAGTCTATAAAGAATGTTTAAGACTTCTCTAATCTATGGATAATCCACTTAAGATCTTTACTTTGTTTATTTTAGATTCCTTTCAATGGATTTGTGATGTTACCATCTAAATAATCAGTCACACTTAGTTTATGAATGTCATTTGAACAAATTAGTTATAAGGGCCATTCAAAACATAGTATTGATAAGTAAAACTGTCAGCAAACATACACAAAACACAACCAGTGTACTTTTAAATATGGCCATGTTATGTTTTGATGATCAGATTTCATAATGCCAGCAAGCTGGGCAATTCATGGATTTAGTTAAAATCAAGATGTCTGGAGAGAATGATATATGTAATTTAAAAGATTAATGAAAGTAATTACTTTTGAAAGTATACATTTAAAACAGAAGAGAATATATGGCTCCCATTTGTGAAGTGAATCTATTTACTTGTTTTTCTATGATGTTATGTTAATTTGACATTAAGAGGACACTTGAATATGTTAACTTCTGTAGCTGTATTTCCTCCTTGGTTAAAAATACATGTCTAAAATTAAAATTTTAGACAAGATTAAAGTCAGACTTATTTTAGGGCTCTGAAATACTTATACTGCCAGAGTTTTTTTTCATTTGCTATCCTTCATAATTGAAGAGGACAGCACAGGTCCAATCATTAACATGACCTATGCTCTTGGTTATTTTTCTAATAGTGGTGTTTAGATTGGGAGTTCCCAGGTCTCCCAGGGTAGCCCCAACTTTCTCTTTCAGTGAGATTTTCTGCAGATATTCTCAATTTACTCCAGACTATTCAGTGTCCTACTCACAAGTTTTGAATTTGTATGCATGCCTTCTTTATTCCTCCATCTAAAATGTAGCTCCTTTCTCCCCCAACCCTTCAAGGTTTGGTCCACTGTTACTTCTACATAAAACCTTTTGTGATTTTTCTTCATTCTGGGTGTAACTGTTCCCTCCTCTGACACTCCACAGAATTGAATTTGTACCATTGTGATAGAAAGGGCGTGGGTTTTAGAGATCAAATCCAGTCTTCACTAACCTTTCTGAGCCCTGAACTCCTTGAGTCTTAATTTCCCTGCCTATCAAATTGAAATAATAATAGCTTGCAGGGTTGTTGTGAGGAATAAATGAGAGAATGTGTGCAATGGGCCAACCACAGTGTCTGGCACCTTTAGATACCTAAACATTTAGGCAACATAATAAGTGTTAGCTTCTTGCCGTATACCCTACTTTCTTATCAAACATTGGTTTGCACTGTAGTAGTTTCTATGTCTTATTTCCATCCCCTCCTCTTTGCCCAGTCATGCCTCTCCAACTAAATAGGGAACTTTTTGAGGGCAAGAACCTGGTTTATTCACTGTATGTTAATTCATTCGCCTAATATCTATTCATTTTGTTTGGCAGTGTCTGTTTTAGGCACTGGATGACGTATAGATGATGATATCCATCTTGACCTAGTACAGCTTGCTTGTCAGTGGTGAAAATGCATCAACATTTATGGTACAGTTATTGTATATAAGCTATGATAGAGCATGTGCAGGTGTCGTGGGAGCCTTGAGGAGGGACACTGAACTCTCAGAATACATGTCTGTGATATGGTAGAAGGTGATGTGGAGAAGGTAGCACTCAAACTGAGTCTTAAGGGGTAAGTAGGAGTTTTCTAAGTGGAGCACAGAGAAAGCAGCATTATGGTTATTGAAAACAGGCAGGACTTGAATCACAGAAAACACTAGGAGGTGATCCAGATCATACTGTTGGTGCTGAGCAAACATATTGACAATGAGAGTGGAAAGAAGGAACATATTGAAATAGGTTTACAGGGCTAATTTTAGCCTTTATAACTATGTGGAGGGTGGGGGGAAAAGAGAAGTTAACAGTAACTCCTGTGTGTGATCTACCAATCATGAGGCAGGTACTTGGTGTGGTTCTTAATTCACAGTGGATGTCCAGTAAGTATTTGTTTAAATGACTTGATATGTGCTAATTTCATCTGAAACTTCCAGGTCAAGCTCCCCTGTGGTCAGTCATGCTTACCGAGGAGCACTGACGCTTGTTTTAGAATTAAGGTTAATTCTATGTATATAATAGATCTTTAACTGTTATGTAAGTGTTCTAACCAACTGAGGTCATTAAAATATTGCATTTTGGATGGTTATTGTTAAAACACTTACTTTTCCTCTGTCATAGTTTCTTTATGAAACCAAATGAAGTAAACCGTTTAGCAAATTCTGCCCTCTTAAATCAAATATCCTGGAGTGAATGATGACATGCTTTACAAAGCACAACATAATTCAATATATGAGGCTCTCCTCAAGCTGAAGAAAACTGAATGTGACAGTATAAATTTTGAAATTCACAGAGTCCCAGAGAGCACATAGAAATACTGGCAGAAAATAGAAAACGTAAAAGCTTTTCTGAAGTCTCCTGGAAAAAATTATTATTGAGTCATCACAGCATTCTTAGCACTGATAAGAGCACTAGAGAACTGGAGCCCTGTCCAATGTCAGCCGCTGCACAGAACAGCCAGGCTGCTCCCTCTTTCTCATCTTCCCCATTATAAATTTGAAAAGGCTGTTTTGGAAACATTTTTATTAGCAATTGGGCAGTAGTTTCCATATTAATAATGCCTTCTACTGCCCCCCCTTTTTAATTTTTTAAAAAATGAATTATGGCAGTTCCTCTACTTTTCCATGTAGATCTTTAGGTTTGTAATAATTTTTGACTCCTCTAGATGATCTCCAAATTGATTTAAATTTTTGTATTTTTTTTTTATTTAACATTTGCATAGCAGCTACTGTGTGCCAGGCACTGTTCTAAGCTGTTTTCAAACTGTAACTTCTTACTGCTCACTACAGCTCTATGAGATCAATACCATTACTGTCTCTGTCTTGCAATTGAGGCTGCTGAGACACAGAGAGGTTAAACAATTTGGCCAAGGTCACACAGCTAGCTTCATACATTCTGGCTTCAGCCCTGTGTTCTAACCACTGTACTGTACTGTGCTTGAGTTTTTTTTTTTTTTTATCAAATATGTTTATGTAACATTCTACATACTTTGTTGTCATTTCAACAGTGTTCATAAGATTTTCACCTAGAGTGGATTCCATCTCAAGAAACCACTTTCTTTGTTTATTCACAATAAGCAATTCCTCATCTGATGAAGTCTTAGCAATAAGCAGTTCCTCATCTGATGAAGTCTTAGCACAAGGTTGCAGCAATTCACCTGCATCTTCAGGCTTGGTTTCTAATTCTAGTTCTCTTGCTATTTCCAGCATATCTGCAGTGAGCTCTTATACTAAAGTCTTGAACATTTGAAAATATTTTGTGAGAGTTGATTTCAATTTCTCTTAACCGTCTGTTAATGTTGATAATTTGGCCTCCTGTGAATCAAATGTTTTCCTTCCTTCCTTCCTTCCTTTCTTTTTTTCCTTTTTTTTTTGTTTTTGTTTTGTTGTTGTTGTTGTTGTTGTTGTTGTTTTAGATGGAGTCTCGCTCTGTCACCAGGATGGAGTCCAGTGGCATGATCTCGGCTCACTGCATCTTCCACCTCCCGGGTTCAAGCAATTCTTCTGCCTCAGCCTCCCGAGTAGCTGGAACTACAGGCACGCACCACTGTGCCCAGCTAATTTTTGTATTTTTAGTAGAGACAGGGTTTCACCATGTTGGCCAGGATGGTCTCGATCTCTTGACCTTGTGATCTGCCCGCCTCAGCCTCCCAAAGTGCTGGGATTATAGGTGTGAGCCACCATGCCAAGCCAAATGTTCTTAATGGGATCTGGAATGGTGAACCTTTTCCAGAAGATTTTCAATAGACTTTGCCCAGATCCGTAAGAGGAATCAGTATCTATGGCAACCATGGCCTTATAAAATATATTTCTTTTTTTTTAATATACTTTAAGTTTTAGGGTACATGTGCACAACGCGCAGGTTTGTTACATATGTATACATGTGCCATGTTGGTGTGCTGCACCCACTAACTCATCATTTACATTAGGTATATCTCCTAATGCTATCCCTCCTCCCTCCCCCGACCCCACAACAGGCCCCGGAGTGTGATGTTCCCCTTCCTGTGTCCAAGTGTTCTCATTACTCAATTCCCACCACATTGTTCATTTCCCACCTATGAGTGAGAACATGGGGTGTTTGGTTTTTTGTCCTTGCGATAGTTTGCTGAGAATGATGGTTTCGAGCTTCATCCATGTCCCTACGAAGGACATGAACTCATCATTTTTTATGGCTGCATAGTATTCCATGGTGTATATGTGCCACATTTTCTTAATCTAGTCTATCATTGTTGGACATTTGGGTTGGTTCCAAGTCTTTGCTATTGTGAGTGGTGCCGCAGTAAACATACGTGTGCATGTGTCTTTATAACAGCATGATTTATACTACTTTGGGTATATACCCAGTAATGGGATGGCTGGGTCAAAAGGTATTTCTAGTTCTAGATCCCTGAGGAATTGCCACACCGACTTCCACAATGGTTGAACTAGTTTACAGTCCCACCAACAGTGTAAAGTGTTCCTATTTCTCCACATCCTCTCCAGCCCCTATTGTTTCCTGACTTTTTAATGATCACCATTCTAACTGCTGTGAGATGGTATCTCATTGTGGTTTTTGCTTTGCATTTCTCTGATGGCCAGTGATGATGAGCACTTTTTCATGTGTCTTTTGGCTGCATAAATGTCTTCTTTTGAGAAGTGTCTGTTCATATCCTTTGCCCATTTTTTGATGGGGTTGTTTGTTTTTTTCTTGTAAATTTGAGTTCTTTGTAGATTCTGGATATTAGCCCTTTGTCAGATGAGTAGATTGCAAAAATTTTCTTCTATTCTGTAGGTTGCCTGTTCACTCTGATGGTAGTTTCTTTTGCTGTGCAGAAGCTCTTTAGTTTAATTAGATCCCATTTATCAATTCTGGCTTTTGTTGCAGTTGCTTTTGGTGTTTAGACATGAAGTCCTTCCCCATGCCTATGTCCTGAATGATACTGCCTAGATTTTCTTCTAGGGTTTTTATGGTTTTAGGTCTAACATTTAAGTCTTTAATCCATCTTGAATTAATTTTTGTATATGGTGTAAGGAAGGGATCCAGTTTCAGCTTTCTACATATGGCTAGCCAGTTTTCCCAGCACGATTTATTAAATAGGGAATCCTTTCCCCATTTCTTGTTTCTGTCAGGTTTGTCAAAGATCAGATAGTTGTAGATGTGTGGCATTATTTCTGAGGGCTCTGTTCTGTTCCATTGGTCTATATCTCTGTTTTGGTACCAGTACCATCAGAAGGCAAGAAATAACTAAGATCAGAGCAGAACTGAAGGAGATAGAGACACAAAAAAACCCTTCAAAAAATCAGTGGATCTAGGAGCTAGTTTTTTGAAAAGATCAACAAAATTGATAGACCGCTAGCAAGACTAATAAAGAAGAAAAGAGAGAAGAATCAAATAGACGCAATAAAAAATGATAAAGGGGATATCGCCACCAATCCCACAGAAATGCAAACTACCATCAGAGAATACTATAAACACCTCTACGCAAATAAACTAGAAAATCTAGAAGAAATGGATAAATTCCTCGACACATACACCCTCCCAAGACTAAGCCAGGAAAAAGTTGAATCTCTGAATAGACCAATAACAGGATCTGAAATTGAGGCAATAATTAATAGCTTACCAACCAAAAAAAGTTCAGGACCAGATGGATTCACAGCCAAATTCTACCAGAGGTACAAGGAGGAGCTGGTACCATTCCTTCTGAAATGATTCCAATCAATAGAAAAAGAGGGAATCCTCCCTAATTCATTTTATGAGGCCAGCATCATCCTGATACCAAAGCCTGGCAGAGACACAACAAAAACAGAGAATTTTAGACCAATATCCCTGATGAACATTGATGCAAAAATCCTCAATAAAATACTGGCAAACCGAATCCAGCAGCACATCAAAAAGCTTATCCACCATGATCAAGTGGGCTTCACCCCTGGAATGCAAGGCTGGTTCAACATACACAAATCAATAAACGTAATCCAGCATATAAACAGAACCAAAAACAAAAATCACATGATTATCTCAATAGATGCAGAAAAGGCCTTTGACAAAATTCAACAACCCTTCATGCTAAAAACTCTCAATAAATTAGGTATTGATGGGACGTATCTCAAAATAATGAGAGCTATTTATGACAAACCCGCAGCCAATATCATACTGAATGGGTGAAAACTGGAAGCATTCCCTTTGAAAATGGCACAAGACAGGGATGCCCTCTCTCACCACTCCTATTCAACATAGTGTTGGAAGTTCTGGCCAGGGCAATCAGGCAGGAGAAGGAAATAAAGGGTATTCGATTAGGAAAAGAAGAAGTCAAATTGTCCCTGTTTGCAGGTGACATGATTGTATATCTAGAAAACCCCATTGTCTCAGCCCAAAATCTCCTTAAGCTGATGGACAACTTCAGCAAAGTCTCAGGATACAAAATCAATGTGCAAAAATCACAAGCATTCTTATGCACCAATAACAGATAAACACAGAGCCAAATCATGAGAGAACTCCCATTCACAGTTGCTTCAAAGAGAATAAAATACCTAGGAATCCAACTTACAAGGGATGTGAAGGACCTCTTCAAGGAGAACGACAAACCACTGCTCAATGAAATAAAAGAGGATACAAACAAATGGAAGAACATTCCATGCTCATGGATAGGAAGAATCAATATTGTGAAAATGGCCATACTGCCCAAGGTAATTTATAGATCCAATGTCATCCCCATCAAGCTACCAATGACTTTCTTCACAGAACTGGAAAAAACTGCTTTAAAGTTCATATGGAACCAAAAAAGAGCCCGCATTGCCAAGTCAATCCTAAGCCAAAAGAACAAAGCTGGAGGCATCATGCTACCTGACTTCAAACTATATTACAAGGCTACAGTAACCAAAACTGCTGCTTGAGTTTATTGTGCTGAATCCATGGTATTTTAGTGAGGGTAGTACTGCAGTAAGTATGTCACTAAAGTATTATCCATATGATAGGACTATGGGTCAAACCAATTGTTACAATCTACACTTCAGCCTATATATACTATAATACTTGATTTTTAAAATTCTAGCATCATATTCCTAATCCTTGCTCAGCTTGATCCCAAAGTATTTTTCCACATTTTTCAGCCAGTTATTCCATATTAATTCCATTTTTGTCAATAGTGATATCCTTATTAAATTTCACTTCGCTGGAATATTACACTTACTTTGATGCTCAATCACACCTCCTTTGAGGAGTGTCATCAGTAAATTTAATAGCCTTGTTTTCTGTTCCGTCACCTGGACAGTTCATAAAAACGTTTACCAAATTAATTCCTGTGGTCCTTTAGATGATGTTCCTCCCCAGCTGGGTACCTCAGTAATATCCTTTCTTTCAGTGTACCCACCAAGTGGTTACATTATCCTGTCATCTAATTTGTGGGTTATGGATTTGATGAGTCAGAGCTACAGACTCCTGAAACTGGAGATGCCAGCAAGTGGTGTGGTCAGGGCTGTTTTGGAAAAGAATACTGGAGACAAGAGTCTATGGGTTTCTTCATCTTTATTTTCTAGATCACAAGCTTAAGGAGCTTGAGAACCACTGAGATGCAGTGTGTATTTTCTACTTAGTTTTGTTATGTCCCTTGCCACTAGAGAACAGCTACATTCCTTTCAAGTGTTATTTACTTTTTTAGTTTGAGAAAAACGTTAAAAATCCAAAAAATGTAAATACAAATATATAACACATATCCAAATTTATCACCCAGATTTAACAACTGTTCATATTTTTCCAAATTTGATTCTACTCTTCCTTTTGCAGAAATAAAACACTATAATTATAGCTGAGGTCTCCTTTAACCACCACTTCCAATCTGGTCTCCTCTTCCTCAAGTCGATCACTATTATAAATTTAGGTTATAACTTTTTAATCCTTTTTTTTTCACTTGTAAAGCAAAATTTTATTAAGAAAATCATTATTTCTATGATGAAATCAGTGATATTCTGATGGAAGAGGGATTTTTTAAAAATTTAGTCCTTATTTGTAATACAAATAAAAACAACTCTGGGTCAAATGGTATTTCTAGTTCTAGATCCTTGAGGGATTGACACACAGTCTTCCACAATGGTTGAACTAGTTTACACTCCCACCAACAGTGTAAAAGTGTTCCTATTTCTCCACATGCTCTCCAGCACCTGTTGTTTACTGACTTTTTAGTGATCGTCATTCTAACTGGTGAGAGATGGCATCTCATTGTGGTTTTGCTTTGCATTTCTCTGATGATCAGTGATGATAAGCATTTTTTCATGTGTCTGTTGGCCGCATAAATGTCGTCTTTTGAGAAGTGTCTGTTCATATCCTTTGCCCACTTTTTGATAGGGTTGTTTGATTTTTTCTTGTAAATTTGTTTAAGTTCTTTGTAGATTCTGGATATTAGCCCTTTGTCAGATGGGTAAATTGCAAAAATTTTCTCCCATTCTGTACGTGAGCAATGTATCACAAGGACAGAAAACCAAACACCACATGTTCTCACTCATAGGTGGGAATTGAACAATGAAAACGCTTGGACACAGAGCCGGGAACATCACACACTGGGGCCTGTCATGGGGTGGGGGGATGCGGGAGGGATAGCATTAGGAGAAATACCTAATGTAAATGACAAGTTAATGGGTGCAGCACACCAACATGGCACATGTGTACATATGTAACAAACCTGCACATTGTGCACATGTACCCTAGAACTTAAAGTATAATTAAAAAAAAAAATAGGCCAGGTGCAGTGGCTCATGCCTGTAATCCCAGTACTTTGGGAAGCCAAGGCGGGTGGATAATGAGGTCAGGAGATGAGACCATCCTGGCTAACATGGTGAAACCCGTCTCTACTAAAAAAATACCAAAGAAATTAGCCGGTCGTGGTGGTGGGTACCTGTACTCCCAGCTACTCGGGAGGCTGAGGCAGGAGAATGGCGTGAACCCAGGAGGTGGAGCTTGCAGTATGCCGAGATTGCGCCACTGCACTCCAGCCTGGGTGACAGAGCAAGACTCCATCTCAAAAAATAAATAAATAAATAAATAAAAATAAATAAATTAAACAAGTCAGTATTAGAACTGTTTCAATCATATATTATCTTAACATGTTTAACATCATGTCCTAACCACTTAAACCTGCTCTCCTCTCTTTGGACCTTTCTAGTCAGCACCAGCTGCAGGTTTCTTACAGAGTTGTTAGGTAAGCAGACAGAGTGACGAAGATACCTCCCAACTTTCTCCTTATTCAATTAGATTTAAAATGGTGTTTTGTTTTGTTTTGTTTTGTTTTAGTTTTATAAAATGCCATTCCTTATTGCTTTAGCCAGAATCTTCAGATGATGGCAACAGTGACAAATGAGCAGAAAGGGATGGGATGAGGGGCTTAAATTAGTAGTAAGTAGATTTATTTATTTATGGGTTGTTCAGTTCACAACTTCCTTAGCTAATTTCCGTTAACTGAGGTGTATCTATAATGTTTTATGCAGGAAGAATTAAAAGTATTGCTAGAAGATCTAAGAATTATTTATACATTTATCTTCATTCATTCGAACAGTCAACAGATATCTTAGGTTGGGTTCCCTAGCAGCAGAACCAGAGATGGAAATGTTTGTGGAAATGATTTAGAGGGACAGCTTTTAGGTGAAATCTGTAAGGAAGTGAAGGACTCAGGATAAGGCCAGTGAAAAGAGGTGGTTTAGCTGAAGGCTGGCCTCAGCCTCTTCACAGGGAGTTCTGGAGCGTGAATGTTACTACTCAGTTACCCCACCTGGAAGCAAGAGTGCCAGCCTTTTTCACCCTCATATCTCTAAGTCATTGATTAAGGGCTGCCCTGAGGGAGAAAGGGAAGCAGGCACCTGTGACCTCCCAAGCATTTCTGGGTGAGGTAACTCCCATTAGTGGAAGAAAATTCTCTAGAGAAAGGTTTAACTTTGAGCTTTCAGAAGTCACTGCTGCAGTAGCTGGGGTATAGTTGCATTTGGTGGTAAAGGAGATCTATTGCAACAAACTTTTATTGAGTTCCTCTTATGTCCATAGTACTGTTCTTGAGAATACAACAATGAACAGAATGACAGACAAGGTCACTGCTATCATGAAGCTTTCTTTCTAGTGGTGAGAAGATAGGCAATGAACAAATAATTTAATAAACAGGAAAATATTGATGCTATTAATAAAGTGAAAATGATATAAATATTTTTAAAGGGTAATGTGATAAGGAATAAATGGGAGACTACTTGAGGAGAACTCAAACGCTGATATGTTTGGCAGCAATTATTAATTTCATAATTGTAGTTTATTTGTGGTGAGACATTCTGGCATTTCAGCAACTTTGTCTATTCTGGAGAGTTGGTGGATGAATTGACCCAATGCAGATTTGATCTGTAAGCGAAGTAATAGCCAACCTTTCACATTACAGCAATTAGAGGGTTGTAAGAATTTGGTCAAGTGACAGTTTGGAATAGGACTACAGCCAACAGCTAATGGGACCAAGCCAAGTTAAGGTCTCTCACTAGGGGAATAGAATCATTCGTGACAGCATGCTTGTAGCAGTGAGAACCAGTCCATTGCTCATCTTTTCTTGCCTGAACTATTGCAGTAGCCTCCTGGTTAAGAACTCAGCCTCTGATCTCTCCTTTCCATGCCTTACATGTTTCTACTAATAAAGTTGATTACTTGCTCTTCTGCTCAGAACCCTGCAATGACTCCCGTTGCCACTATCTGTTTCACTTGTCTTCCACCAACCTTTCTCTCCCACGTATGCTTAAGCCATATGAGCTGCCTGTGGTTCCCAGGTATCACATACCATATCTATTACTCCCCAACTTGTTCTGTGCAGCTCTTGCTGCCTGGAATTCCCTGTCAAGTCTACCTGGAAAACTCATACTTTATCTTCAAAATGAAAATCAAAGTGTTTTCCTCTAAGAAAATATCTTAGATCCTTTCCTCTTCTTCTCCACAAGCAGATGTTGATTCCTTTCTTTGTGCCACCATAAGCATAAAGTGGGGTGCAAAAGAGCCTTTCTATGTTTGATAAATGAGATTGAAAAATGCATGTTGAACTACAGGGAATGCAGTCAGTATTGCACTTCTTCCATTTGGATCTCATGTGTTTGTGAGTTCTTTTTCAGAGATGCTAGGCATTGAAATAAAGTAGCAAAGTAAACTGAATTTAGGAGGAGACCTTTAAATCACACAAATAATAAAGTGTATCGATTACATTGCTCTTCCCAAAATATCCTTCTTTAATTTTTAATGAGAACAAAAAGGGTTTTGCATTATTAACCAATAAAATCCAAGAGTGTTTTTAAGGTACTGTTTTTCACCTTTAGCTCATTGTTTTTTGTTTCTATTTTTGTATGTTTTAGAATGTGTCTTCTTAAAAACTTTTGTTGATGGTTAAGTTTAGAGCCACTGACCTAGAACAGGCTCTGGTATTGTACCTGTCATTTTTTATCACAATTACATATTCCCATCTCTGTCTCCTTTGCTAAACAGAGAGATCTTCAGGGCAGGGATATATCTTTGAACTTCCTACTTCCAGCATGATGCCTGGAGTATGGTGGATGTTTGATAAACATTTGTTAAACAAATGAATGAATGTGATGTCTCTTCCCTTCCATCCATCTTTGGAACATCCATTTAGAGAATCTTCTCCAATCCTGTCTCTGAAATGGATAGATGATTGGTTCTCCGATGGTTTCATATTTTCCATGAAATGAAAGTCAGACTCCAAAATGGCAACGAGGACTGTACACTCTGGACTTAGCCTGCCTATCTAGCTCTACATCCTTCCATGTGACTATATCCTAGACATGCTGGATAACTAAGTGTAGCCTTAAACTTCTCTTGCATCCCCCAACTTCTATGTGCTTATTCCTCTGCCTAGACATACTTTCTACTCATTCCTGCCAGTTAAAATCAAATTCCATAATCAGGACTCTGTTCTTTTCCATCAGGATTAATTGCCTTCTCTTCTGTGTCCCCACTGCACTTTGTTTTGATTTCTGTTACAGCCCTTGTCATCTTTTGACATGAATTTAATTTAATTGCCTTATATCTATCTCCCTGTGTGTCATGTGAGCTTCCCAGGATTAGGGTCTGTGAACTATTCATTTTATAAACCTTCATGCCTAATAATCTGCTTTGCACATTGGAAATGTATAAATATAATTCGTTTTATAATTAGTATTTAATACATTCATGTGTTTATTCTTTGGCTAACCATTTTTTGCATGCCTACAATGTTGAAGGCATAATGATAGACACTAGGTGTACATAAAAAAATGTTATACCCTTGTCTATAGACAGTATGCCTTGTCAAGGAGATACTCATGTGAACAACTGAAAAGTTTCTTAACTGTAAAGTGCTTTCTATAGAACAATAGTTCAGCTGGGAGGATAACAGTGAGAAATAAGGAATGCTTCTAAGAGGAGGTGAGATTTGAGCTGAGTGTTTAAGGAATGGGCCATAACCATTTATCATAAAAAGTGGCGGAAAGGGAAGAGAAAACTTTGCAGAAAGGAGAAAAGGTGCACACAAATAAACCCGGTGTGTAAGGAATTTATAATAGCTCAGTATGGCCTCATCGTATGTGATTGAAGTATCTGAAATGCGTCCATCTCAGCAAGCATTGAGAACTCCTACTACGTGCTGGTTACTTTTCTAAGTGTGAGTGATAACATCAGTGAACAAGTGCTAAAAAGGCCAGTCTTCATGTTTATCTATAGTTGCTGGTGAGAGGGAGAATGAGATCGTTAAAATACGTAATAAGTATTTTACATAGTGTTAAGTACGTAAAATAGTGATAAGTGTTATGTGGGAAAATAAAGCAGGGAAGGGGGCCAGAGCAGAGATTACAGTTTTAATAGGTTGATCAGGCAGAGCCTCGCTGAGAAGGTTGACATTTGAGTAGCACTGGACAGTAGCCTATTTCCAGTGTTTTGCCTCTGTAAACATGCCTGTTTTTTTCTAATTTGACCCATATATTAAGTATTTTGTTTTGGTGTAGTTTTGAAGATGTTTTGGGTAATCTTAAATAAATTGCAGTGATACCTAAACTCAGATGAGAAAACGGGACAAATGAACCACATCCTCGTGTTCATCCTGAAGTGGTAGATTTCCCAGGAGATGAGAGAACTTTTTGGTCCCACATGACCTAAGCTGTGTGATATCTCTAAAAGGTGCCATTGCTGAAATGCCTACCAGCAGGAGTCAGAAAATGCTGCACATACCTCCTTCTTGGCATCATTCTGGAGGCTCTGGATGGTGATCACTCTGGCACAGTTCATAAAGTAAAAAAACCGATTGCATTTATACCAAGATATAATGAGGTCCAAGATTATAATGTGATTGATACTAGAACAGAAAAATGCATGCGGATGCTGAACTTGCTCTGCAGCGATAGCCGTCTTCAGTTCAACCCAGTTTCCTGAAAGTGTTGGCTCAGGACAACAGCTCCTTGCTGCTATTTTCCTAATGACGGATTAAATATTTTTGTATTGAAAGAAACTAGGTATATTATGGAATAGCTTTCAAAATCTATATCACTATGACATAGGGCTAGAGAGTAAAAGAAGTTTTAAATTTTAAAAAAATCTACATCAAATTTTAAGATAAAACATAAGATGACAAGAAAATATGTTTAGAGAGCTGCTTCAGTCTTCTGTCCTCTGATTCCTCAGAGGTATCTGTTCCTTTTCCTCTGCCATTAAAATGACACTGGGGACTGGGTGTGGTGGCTCACTCCTGTAATCCCAGCATTTTGGGAGGCCGAGGTGGGCAGATCACGAGGTCAGGAGATTGACACCATCCTGGCTAACACAGTGAAACCCCGTCTCTACTAAAAAACACAAAAAATTAGCCGGGCATGGTGGCAGGTGCCTGTAGTCCCAGCAACTCGGGAGGCTGAGGCAGGAGAATGACATGAACCTGGGAGGCGGAGCTTGCAGTGAGCTGAGATTGTGCCACTGCACTCCAGCCTGGGCGACAGAGCAAGACTCTGTCTCAAAAAAAAAAAAAAACAAAAAAAACAAAAAAAACAAAAAAAAAAACAAAAAAACAATGATACTGGAAGATAGGCTGGGGTTGAAATGAATTGTTTAACTCCTGTTGCTAAAAATGCAGAATATATTGTTTTTCCTATGATGCAATTGTGTCTTCCTTTACGAATATCTATCATAAAGACTCAATAAAATAGGTAAATGGTAGAAAACTTAAACACTGATTTTCTTTAAGGTAAGAGTTTTCCAAACATAGTGCTTATTTGTATACTATTTTTTGTTTGACCTGGGTGGTTAAAGTCTGATAAACATAAAGCTAGAGCATTGGGAATTTTTTCTGTTTGATGAACAACCAAAATGAGAATAAAATAATTCATGGATTAGAGTATATCAAATAATATTATGCTATATACAAAATGCAACTTATATAGTAAGTTTTAGATAACATGTATTATGTGAAGATGTATTTTGGGTTATTAACCAAAAGAGACATACCTAACCAACTTCCTAGAGAGCGTGACTCCCCTGGTAGGTTTAAACTGCACCAGACTAGTTTGTTATTTCTCTTGATGATGAAAAATATTCATTTTAACTTTATTTCTTTGAATTGCCTGTGACAAAATGTCTTTTGATATTTAATCTCATGCAAAATTGAGTACTGTACTAAAGATGGTACATTATTAGTATGGTAAGATAAGTTCCCTTAAGTATAGTATGAATTTGAAGTCTTCAAGAAAAGGAATTTTTACCTGTTTTGTTCACAGATACTCCTCCAATCTCTAAAGCAGTACCATTGGTATTCAATAAATATTTGTTGAATAAAAGACCATAGAAAGTCCTAACATGAAAAAGTGGTCACTCACTAATTTTGTCTCTTTATCACACTTTTGTGTTGTTACTCAATTGATAAAGTCTTTTTAAAAAGGTCATATATACCATATTTACTGCTAAAGATTTATGCAGTGGATACAGTGTTCATCAGCCACACATGCTGGTTGCATCTGTGTGTGCATCTTTGTATACTCATTCAACTTTGTATTTTTATCCTTATTTCATTCTTCCATTTTTTTTCAAAAAAATGATTAGAAAATGTGTTTTTCTGTTCAAATAAGGGACCTGCACACTGTCTTTCTTTTTATTCAGGAAAAAGGAAAATGATGTTACTGCAAAGAAATTAGGTCATGTTGAATGCCTAAAATTTACCAAGCTGGAAAGCTAGTTTTCAGAGTGCAGATAAAAGATCCAATTTTCTATATACTATTTTAGTAGATTTGTTTTTATTTATAAACAGTGGACAACTTAGAAAATTTTTAGGTAGTTAAAAGACTTGATTATCAGCATGGCTTTGACTTTTGAAGAATTTCTTTTTAAATAGTATTAACATAGTAGTAGGAGACGTGGTAGAGGTAAGTAGATTTTGTAAACTAAACACATTTTGAAATGTTTAGTTTCCATCAGGTGACTGTTTTGCTGTGGCTTTTTGCTACCAGCAGTTCCCAGCAAGACCCTACCTCTGAAGAGCAAAGTGTTTCATCACAGATGATATTCTATGAATATTATCCCCCTAATGTTTTCCTTCCTTTTATAGTTAGGATTTTTTGCATCTGAGCATGTTAGTGATGAGTGATTGACTACTAAATAAACAGTCCAACAAAATAACTATTTTAAGATATAGAGTCTTTTCAGCAGCTTTGGCAGAAATATTTTACTTATCATACTAAAAGGACTTTTCCCTCAAAGCGTTCAAAATATTCAAAACACTGTATAATAATATTCCTTCTGTCTCTCATTCTTGCTCTTTTGTCTTCCTTACTTTTTACACTATCGTATTTCTTCAGTGTTCTATGTTAATTCCTTCTGTAGAGATGAGTAATGTTGGGCTTCAGGAGGTTAGGAGATTGACCAAACTGGGAAAAGGCCTCAGATTTAGTCTGGTGCTGCTTTTCAACACTGCAGTAGTCATAGCTCATTTTGTCTTCTTTTTTCTTTTTTTTAATTTTACATTGACAGTTTATAACTGTATAAATTTATGGGTTCTGTGAAGAGGGAGTTGTGTGGGGAAAAAAAATGTATAGTCCAAAATGATGTTATACCTTACGAATACAATGCAAAATAATTAAATCAAGCTAATTAACATACCCATCATGTCAAATAGTTAGCATTACTTGTGATGAGAACATTTGAAATTTACTTAGCAATTTTGAAATAGGCAACACTATTATTAACTAGAAATATTCAACATGTTGTACAATAGAAATCAAAAAGAAGAAGAAAACATGTTCTTCCTGTTCAAAATTCTATACCCTCCTATTGTTGTATCGGATAGCAACACTGCTTTTAACAGTGACTGTTTTTGTTTGAGGGGCTAAGGAAGTTTCTTGCCTAATATGGCAAAGTGAATTTGTCTTTTATAGATAGGGCTAGGGTATGGGATGCCACTATTCTGCAGACAGCTCAGACTGTAAACATCAAGTGATTCTTAAACTTGTTTACATCACCTTTTTCTAAGTACCACTCTATTTTATTAGTGATAATTCTTTTTAGTCCTCTTTATCTTTATTTCATTACTCATTTTAAAATAGGTCTTGTGAAAGTTATGTTCTTGATACCAAGAACTCATCTTCACTTGAAAAATATCTTTTGACAGCATTTACTTCTCTCAGTCAATGATGTTAGGCTTATGTCTTACTGGTAAAAATTGCCATTTAATTCTCTTTTCATAATTAAACTTCTGTTTGAAATGTTGAGCAGCTGGGCATGGTGGCTCACGCCTTTAATCCCAGCATTTTGGGAGGCTGAGGTGGGTGGATCACCTGAGGTCGGGAGTTCAAGACCAGCCTGGCCTGGTAGAGATGGTGAATACAAAAATCAGCCAAGTGTGGTGGTGCATGCCTCTAATCCCACCTCTTCTGGAGGCTGAGGCAGGAGAATCACTTGAACCTGGGAAGCGGAGGTTGCAGCGAGCCAAGATCATGCCATTGCGCTCCAGCATAGGTGACAAAGCGAGACTCTGTCAAAAAAAAAAAAAAAAAAAGAAAAGAAAAAATATCGAGCAAACATTTTTTCAGTGCTGTCTTTGTTCCATATTCTGTCTTTCCTTTCTCATGTTTGGCTCGTATTATTGCGTGGACCATTCCTATAGGCATTTCTGTTTTAATGAACTATAAAGACAGAGAAGATTTTCATCAGCTCTTATGAAACTCTTATGTGTCTTCTTTCTTCCTTTACTCTTATGTTTAACTATTATTGTTTTTCTTAAAAAATCTAACTATAAATCAGTTAAGATACAACTTATTAAAATATCATCCTTAAAGTAAACATCGCTATTTTGAGATCTTCTGCTCCTCAATAAATTAGAAGATACTAACTTAATGTACCTTTATAAGCAATATTTCAGAACAGATTGTGCTTGCTCTCTAGAGGCCAGTTTTCTTTCCTTATTTTGATAAAAACTTGGTCTTTACACAATTTAATTGCTTTTATTACATGTGGAATAATTTTAAATTACTATTGAAATATAACTCTAATTTTTAAAAAGACTTTAAAGTGCCAAAGTTAAGAATAGAGTTTAGTACAATATTTCTTTGAGCAGCGCCTTTATTGACACAGGCTTTAGTTGATAGATGCTGTAGTCTGTAAGATAGTAAAAAGTGAGAACAGTGATAACATAAATGTCAACACTTAGCTGAACATTCTAATTAATTCATCAAGTATTACTGATAAATGTCTTGTACTGGAAAGACATCTCTTTTTTAAGCTTTAGGCTAAGAACATGTAACTAAAATGTGTTTTAAGTTTTCTTCTCCCTAGTATTGCTGTGACACTAAATTTTCATTAGCTTACATTTCAAAGGTGTTTTTGAGAGGAACAATTCACAAGAGGATTGAAGTTGCAAGAAATAAAATATTCTCTTAGGGTCATTGTTTATTTGTGTGGAGAATTAATCTTCTTATCCAAGTTGCTCATAAATGCAGAGCAATTATTTTAATCAAGCACCCTCTGAAAAAGAAATACTATATTGTCTTTAAGAGTCAGTTTATGCTACCTGTAACAACAGTAGTCACCTTATTACTTAATAATTTAAAGTTTGTAATTTTATAGTATATCTTGGAAATCAAGCGTTTTTTCTTATTGTATTAAGTCTTATGCAGACAATAGTGGATTATTTCCCACTTACATAATGAGGGTAACTTACTGAAACATAAACCTACTAATTTCTTAAGTTAAATATTATTTTACATATTTTACTAGCCTTTGCTTTTTTTATGTACTAGATGAAGGGGCTAATTATAAGAGCAGAACAAAACCACATTTATCCTATGAATTTCTCTTTCTCACATACTACTCCACTAAAAGCCACGTTTCCCATTTGCATTTATTCTCATTTTAGTCTCCTTTGGAAATCATCTGATTTGTGCTTGTTTTCTCAAACCTGTGATTTTTATTTCTGGCACAGAAGTCTTTTGAGAAATCTAATTTGACAAGTTGTATGCTATCAGAATTCGAGTGTTACAGAGCAACTTCATTTTCTTTTTAAAATTAGAATTCAGGTTTAATTTACTTTTCTTAATCTGCTATGAAGCACAATAATTATTAAGGTAACAACTGAATTTCCTTTCTACTAATAATGATGGAAGAGTTCCTTTTTCTTTTTGGTGCTGGAAGATGACATGTTATTGCCCATTAAATATGTGAAAGCTGAGATGAGAAATTCATTATATTACTATAACAATCTGTGTGAACACATCTATTTCCCTTCCTCATCCACCCCCTTCTCTATTGCTAGAATATTAACAATTAATATAAGTAAGTTTAATTAAACTTTGTTCTTGATTTGTTTAAAACTTTAACAATTAATTTGTTAGCAAAAAAATAACATATGCCCTGCAGTAAGTTTATAAAACCCGTAAATACAGAAAATAGATATATGACAATCCATGTGTTATATAGGGATCGTTTTATTCATACTAAAAGTTTATAATCACCAATAACTTGCCACAATGTATTTTTCACTTTCCCTATCATCCCACAGGGCTTTATCTTTAGACACAATTTAATTTGTTTTTTAGAGAAGATAAACAAAATTAGATTCTTTGTAAAGTGTAGTGCTAGGGCCATAAGAAGCAGTAGATTATGGGGGCAGGTGCCCGGCCCAGGAGAGCCAGGATTATGGTGATGGGAGTTGGTTAGGAATCAGGAACAGCAATAGGTCAGAATCCCAGAGAATTAACTGAAGAAACTGTTTGCTCAAGTTAGAAGGAGAAGCTTTCCAAGTTGGAGGCAAATAAGGCAAATAGTCTACAAATTGTAAATGTCAATAATTGTATTGCCAGCGTACCTGTTCAAGCTCCGTAAATGAGGACTCTGATGGGGAAGGTACGTACTGCAACCATAAGTTCCAATTCAACTCCATCTTGGACATAAACCATCAACTCCTCAGTCCCTTGACTAGTCAACCCCATGCATACCTTCTCAACATGACTGTACTTTCTAATACAGACCTACAGATGCATTCCTTAGAATGCACCATTTGTTTTTTTTTAGACGGAGTCTCGCTCTGTCACCCAGGCTGGACTGCCGTGGTGCTATCTCAGCTCACTGCAACCCCCGCCTCCCAGGTTCAAGTGATTCTCCTGTCTCAGCCTCCTGAGTAGCTGGGATTACAGGCACGTGCCACCACTCCTGGCTAATTTTTGTATTTTTAGTAGAGCTGGAGTTTCACCACGTTGGTCAAGCTGGTCTCGAACTTCTGACCTCGTGATCTGCCTGCCTCAGCCTCACAAAGTGCCGGGATTACAGGCTTCAGCCACTGCACCCGGCCATAATGTACCATTTCTTACCCGTAAGAGAATTAGACTTACTCTGACCCAACATTTACTAGAGTAGGTTCCAGATTCTCTGTTTAAAAACAAAATCCAATGATCTGATAAATTTGAAAGTCCATGTGTTTTATCCTGCACTATAAACTACATCGTTGACTTTTACTTTTTCATATATTTTGTTTATTTCATTCATTCAACAAATATTTATAGAATTCCTCCAGTGAGCCAGACATGTTCTAGGTGGGGGACAGAATGAGGGACAGTGTGGACATGTTCTGTACTCTTAGATCTTACAGTCTGTGTGGGAAGATAGTAAAATAAGTACTTGCAGTATAGTGTGTTAAGGGCCGAATTGGGGGATATATGGGTCACAAGGGGAACACATAGCAGGGGCACCTAAGCTGCTCTACAAAAGGTCAGGGAAGGGATCTTTCAAGAAGCACCATCTCTGCTAAAAAACTGAAGATCAAGTGAAAGGTAGGCAGGCAAGGAACTTTCAGTCACAGCAACAACAATAGTGACAACAAATATCTAAAGCTGGTATGTAATTACACCCCTGCTATCTGCCAGATACGGCGTTATACACTTTCCAAGTGTTCTATCAGCAATCCTTTTGGGTGGGTTTTATTACTTACCCACAATCACATGGCCAATAAGGGGCAAAAACAAGAATTTGAATCCTGATTGATATGACTCCAAGGTCTTCTTTGCACTACTCCACAGCTGCCTCTCAAAGCAATTAGCTGATTTTTATTATATTTCTTCTACTAAAAGCAAAACAGTTATTTGATGACGTTAAGTTTATCTTGTATTTTATTGTCAAGTGCTATTTATTCCTTTTTAAAAAACAGATACACATTTTACAATTTTAATAGATTGTAGTAAAGTTTGGCATTTGGTGTACATTTCACAAGTATAACGTCCAGGTCTGAATATCACTGTCCAGTAGTGTCTTATACATAGTAGATAGTCAAAACAACACAATTGCAACTTTGTGCTTTACTTTGAGTAAGAAGTAGGGTAGTTTGAAAAAATAGCTGAACTCTTCAAAGACGCTACTTATATTTTTAAAGTAGTTCTAATTCTCTATGGGAAATAATCTTAGATAGAAGGCAAAGATACAAAATTGATCCCCTTAAAAATATCTGACCCTACATATCACCTGCAACTTTCTTACACACATTTTGGCAAGAATATCCACACTTGATGTGAATGTTACATCTCATCATGTAAGGAGGTTCTTAACATCAGGATAGCCAACTGTTAATATTTTTGAAGATCCTGATCTAAAGGAGGGTCAAGTAAATAGTAAAAAGTAGATTTAAGAAATATAATGGATTGCCTTAATGCCAGCAGAAATGTTCAAAATCCCATAAAGTAATTCTTGAGTATTCTTGGCAAGCGGTGTGATAGTCTGGCTTTGGCACCTAGTGATGGCAGTTTGGGCCTGAATGTGTAATTACTAGATTTGCTTTAATTGTCCATGTCAGCATGCCAATCATTACCAAACTTGCCATCAAAATTATATTTAAACAACATAAATATTATATAATACATATATATATATATATTTTTTAGTTTCTCGTCTTCACCCTCAGGTGGTAATTTTGAGGTGTGAAGTGGTTACAAGACATATTACCAGAAAGAAAAACAGAAGTAAAGAATCTGGATAATCTATAAGTCTGGATTAATTCTCAAATTCTTTGTAATTTATACTGTATTAAGTCTACAAAGTATTGTTACTCAAATAAATTTCACTTGCTGTTTTTTTTTGGTGGGGGAAGGGGAAGCAGGATGATGAACAAAAATCTTTTAAAAAATGCACCTGTGCTGTATTTTTATCATGATCAATCATCAGCTTATTTCCTTCCTAACTATAAAATGTGTTGGTTTTACTTTAGGGATACCACAGTACAAACTCTTACGCTTCAGCCTTCGGTTAAAGACGGACTTATTGTATATGAAGACTCACCTTTGGTTAGTAACCTAATCATAGAAATATTTTCAAGTGTATTTTTGTATCATAGTTGTATTTCAGTTTTTGGAGGATGGAACTCTCATGGATTACGTATTAGTCTGTTTTCATGCTGCTTATAAAGACATACCTGAGACGGGGTAATTTATAAAGAAAAAGGTTTAATGGACTCACAGTTCTACGTGGCTCTGGAGGCCTCACCATCACGGTGGAAGGTGAGAGGCATGTCTCACATGGCAGCAGGCAAGAGAGAATGAGAACCAAGCAATGGGGTTTCCCCTCGTAAAACCATCAGATCTTGTGAGACTTATTCATTACCACAAGAACAGTATGGGGGAAACTGCCCCCATGATTCAGTTATCTCCCACCGGGTCCCTCCCACTGGGTCCCTCTTTTGAATTATGGGAGCTACAATTCAAGATGAGATTTGGGTGGGGACACAGCCAAACCGTATCAGATTCTAATACGTTTCAGCCTAACTGGAAAGCATTCATTCATGTTCATTTTAGGAGAGGATATATGCAAATTATTGGGAGGATAACATGTTTTCCTATTTTGTTCTTCTCTCTTCAGAGTGAGAGATTTAGAGAATGACAGCAATCCTCTATTGATTTCTATTCCAGATTTTTTTTTAAAGTTTACTATCATTTTCAAATGTATAGAGTTTGAAAATAGGTAAGGTTTCTAGAAAAGTTTTTTTAAATGGTTCTAATTAATAAAATATTAGCCAAGTGTTTTAGACAGCTGGGAAGATCCAGTCCTCAACTTCCTACACAAGACCTAAAGAAATCTCAGCCTGCCAGGCATGTCCCTCTGCGCACATGACACCTTTGCAGTAATGGCACAAATAAGTCATCATGTGAACCTCTGTGGTCCAGACCCCAGGGAGTGGAGTCTTTAGGATCTCCTGCTTGAGTTCTCCCAGGTTGGGCCTGTCTTTCCCTGAACAAAGACAGGGTTGAGGATAGAAGCTACATGTTTTCTTTTTTTAAATTCAGTTTTTTTAATCCTAAAATTTATTTATTTTATTTTATTTTTTTATTTTTTATTTTTTTATGTTTTTATTATTATTATACTTTAAGTTTTAGGGTATATGTGCACAATGTGCAGGTTAGTTTACATATGTATACATGTGCCATGCTGGTGTGCTGTACCCATTAACTCATCATTTAGCATTAGGTATATCTTAAAAAAGAAATTTCTTATAAGTTTTTTAAAAATATGGTTTAAAATAATTGTGGTAGAAGGAATGCCCATTTCTTAATCTGTGTTTTCTTAAAATATACCATCCTATGAGAAAAATTAGGATATGGTCCACTTTACATTATATTTCTTACTATTTTTTTAAAAATCTTGAGATTTTCACTTAAATTCATTGGATATCTTCTTTTATCCACCCCTCAAAAATGTTTTTAAGAGTTTTCTCTAGCTTTCATCTTTCTTTTCATGATGTCACCATCAACCCAGTCACCTTAAACCTAAGACTTATTTTTCCTTTTTCCTCTTCCCACCTAAGCAGTTGCCAAGACTATAGATTCTGTCCCTACAAAACCTTCAAATCAATCTAATGCCTTTTATTTCCATTTTTTCATACCTCCCTCAAATCAGATTCCCAAACCACTTTTTGGCCAAACTATTCCGCATATTGTCACCAGATTAAATGTCCTGAAGTGTAGCTCCAAGCTCCACTTCTGTCATGTGTGAACTCATAACCATTAAATTGCATCCCATTACTTAATGAGGCAGTACCTATTTCTTGGTCTGACAGTTAAACCCTTAGTGGTAGACACCCAGTCTACCCTTCCAGTCACTTTTCTCACATTTAACTTCTAATTCAGCCAGCATAGACTGTTCATAGTCACTCATTTCTAGATATGCCCCAGGATTTCTTGAGTTTGACCATTGATTCTCTTTGTCTTGAGTAACTACCTTTTCTCCACTATCCATTTGGGTCTATTAAAATTGTATACTCTTTTAAGAGCTTTAACAAATTCAGTGTTCTAATATCCACAGTGATTGTGATGTCTCACTCCTCATAACTCCCATGGCACTTTCTCTATTTGTTATGCTTGTTTTACATCTCTCCTACTCTTGGGTGTGAGATGTTGTTGGGTATCACTACCATGGGAATAATTTTAATACTAAAATGAAATAAAAAGATAACTGTAGAGTTGGCAGTTTAGCTACATGAAGCTTTTGGTAGAAATCCCAAAATTTTGTTTCCAGCTCTGCTATAGATGTGTGTGTGTGTGTGTGTGTGTGTGTGTGTGTGTGTGTGTGTGTCTACGTGTATACTTGTAACTTAAATAAAGCCAGCTGTTATAAGTCCAAAGCAGTAAGTAATGAAGTTTTAATAATGGCTGTCTTCATTTAATTGTTTATGATAAATTTTCTGTCGTCAAAGGTTAAAGCAGTAAAGTTGGGTCATATTCTGGTAGTAGATGAGGCTGACAAAGCTCCAACAAATGTCACGTGTATTTTAAAAACTCTAGTAGAAAATGGAGAAATGATTCTAGCAGATGGAAGACGCATTGTTGCAAGTGAGTATTTTAGAAAGCAATGTTTCCTTTAATAAATACAATGTTTATATCTCTGTATCAAATCACAAACTTAGCTGCCTACTTATTTACAATAATAAGCATAAGTTCAATATGACTTAAGTTGCCTGTATTGACAATCATTTATAAAAATTAATACATCTGAATCTAGCTTTGTCAGTTTTACTTTTACCCACCAAGCATCTTTGAAATTTTTAGTAGTAGTATTAGGACAAATCAACTTTGTATTTTTCTACTCTGACATACCAACGTATAACCCTTGTACTCATCTCCCAATTATTTGTGTATGATTTTTTTTTCAATTTGCTCATTATAATAAAAAAAGCTGGACTTTTTATTTTATATGTACACATATATGTGGTGAATACGTGTGTATATATAAAGACATGTATATTACACACACACTCCTACCTTAGGAAGAAGTTATCCTCTGTTTTTTATTGTCTCCTGCCCCCCTCCCACACACACCCTTTTTGTTGTTATTGTTAGGAAAAAAATGAAGATAGATTAATCTTGTCAGTGTATTTAAACTACAAGGAACAATTAAGTTTGATGCAATGTAAGAACATTTTCTAATTTCACATTTAAAATGTTTGTGTCCTGAAAGGACTTGAAAATCTATAACTAGCCATTGAAAATATATAGCCAACCAGAGTAACCAAACAAGTTGAGACTAATAACTAAAATCTTCAATATTCAAAGAGAGTATGTAAGGAGAACCCCATTAAAAAGGTACAAGTGCATCACCACAGAGATGTTCTGCAACAGCATCATTGCAAGATTGCCATTTCTGAGTATGAGCTTAGCACTAATAAAAGCATTCTAATATTTCAGTTTCACAATGAATTTATGTGAAAAATTAGAATTTGAGTTACCCTGAATACTTTCTCTTAAAAAAAAAAAAAGATCATTCAGACCCTCAGAATTCTGCCTGCCCTTATGAGGCATTATGAGGACAGTGAAATGGAAAAGAAGAAAGAATTGCTGAAACACAGTTGTAGTTAAGAAATAATTATCTCCTGGCAACCCTCTACATTCTCTGATATGTTTTTGAGGAATAGTCATTATAATTTTACACTCAAATATGATTGTAGCTGACATTTTGAACAAGAGCACTTGCAGCTCTTTTGAATGTAGTTTCATGAACCATCACTTGTAGGGTTATATTTTTCATTTTCTTTACTTTTTAAATTTTTCATTTTTTATTGTCATTTTTGTTTTGATTAATTGATTAAATTTTGCCTGTAGCCACATACCCTTGTTATTTTCCACTACTAAGATTAATGGGGATCACAGTTAAAACTATTGGTTGTATTGGTGTACATGAATATGTACATGCTGAAAGATTACTTTTTGGTATCATAAAAAAATGAGAGTAGGCTCTTCCAAACTCATCTCAAATAAAGCTGTAGGTACTTCACAACTATCATTTTTTAAAGATGGGCAACTTAAGGGTGGGGTTTAAATAAATTCAGATAGCAAGTGGTTCTTCCTGAAATAACCATAATAAAACTTGTACTATCTTAAATTATTTTCTGGACTTGCAATTCTATCTGAAATGTACACTAGCCAGTAGAAATACCTTTCACATTTACACAAAGAAGCCCCAGTCAACTTAAGATCACTTATTTTAAGAACTATGGTACAATCCCATGACTGGAAATAAATCAACATTGTACTAATGAGTTGACTAGGTTTTTAAGACCTTTATTCTATTAATATGTATTTAGTTTTCAGGGTGCGTGATCTAAACAGGAATAACTCCTTAGCTGCATAATGGCAGGCTCTATGCAAAAGGATGAGGTTACTGATTTGATAAAAACTAAAGAACTTATCCTTTAGCTATTCCTTGGATTCTCCCTTATTATGGATTTCTATTTTTAATTTTTTTAAGGACTAAAAACATCTCAAGCCAGGCTTAAGTACTGTAAGTCTACATTTGGACAAGGTTGCTTTTTTTTAGATGTACTCTGAAGGTATATAAGAGTGCAAGTCCCTGTACAATTTAGTATATGCTTTATCAGTGTTTGGTTCTTGAGCAAATTTTTTCAAGAAAGTTTTTGTTTCTGCAACCAAGTTATCACAGCCAAATATCTTAGAGCTTTTTACAATTGAACAGTATAACTATTTATGTTATCTAAAAGATTGTTGCTTGATATTTTTAAGAATTATTAAATATTGATAAAGAATAAACAAATTTTGTTTTTCAGATTCTGCTAATGTGAATGGAAGAGAAAATGTTGTAGTGATTCATCCTGATTTTAGGATGATTGTTCTGGCAAATAGACCTGGATTTCCTTTCCTAGGCAATGATTTCTTCGGTACCTTAGGTAAAAACAGTAATGATAATAACAATACCAATAGCAGTAATAATAATATTAGTAACACTGCTGTAATGGCTGTCATTGAATGCTTATCATGTGCTGTGCCACCATCATAATCACCTTGTGAGAATATTTATTATCCCCCTTTTAGTGAAGAAAAATATCTGATATTCAGAGAGGTTTTTGTTTTGTTTTGTTTTTTTCCGAGATGGAGTCTCGCTCTGTCACCCAGACTGGAGTGCAGTGGCATGATCTCGGCCCACTACAACTTCCGCCACCCGGGTTCAAGCGATTCTTCTGCTTCAGCCTCCCCAGTAGTAGGGATTACAGGCATGTACCACTGAGCCTGGTTAATTTTTGTATTTTTAGTAGAGATGGGGTTTCACCATGTTGGCCAGGCTGGTCTCGAACTCCTGACCTCATGTGATCCACCTGCCTCGGCTTCCCAAAGTGCTGAGATTGCAGATGTGAGCCACCATGCCCGGCCCAGAGAGATTATTTTTTGATAGTGTCTGGGATAATGAGTGGTGGACTTGGGCTTCATATCTAAGTCTATCTGATCCCAGAGTCTTTTTTCTTAAACCATTACACTATACTTTGTTGTTTAGGACCTCTTGGAATAAAACACAGAATAAAAAATGGTTTTACTTTTGTCACATCCCCCTAACCATGAAAAAGATTGAGGTCAGCTCTGAGGAGACTGATTCACATTGATTGGAGAGGCCCTGGGATAAACTTACTCATCAAAAGTCTTTAAGAAGGACTTCTCTTCTCTATAGCAAGTATATAATTCTGGACTCTCACACTCAATGTGAAGCAGACCCAGTCTCTCAGTGGGATCTTTGATCTAGCAATTACCCAAAAAGGAATTTATCCAAGGAATTTACCTATACAATGTTTAAGTACAAGGATAGGCACTATAGCATTGTTTATAGTAGAAAGAATGGAAACAACCCTAATATCCATCTAAATGGGACTGGATAAAGAAATTTTTTTGTATCCACACAATAGAATGCTATGCAGTTGTTTAAAAAAAGAGAATAAGTTTACTGATGCTGATAGAAAAAAAAAATCAATACTCAAAATAGTAATTGAAACAATAAGTAAGTAAAGTGGGTATAGTAGTTTACCCGTTCATATGTTTTGGAAAAGGCAGGAGGGATGTGTACATGCATATGCTTGTATATGCATAGAATTTCTTCAGAAAGGTCCACAAGAATCTGATAAGGCATTGTTTGCAATGGAAGTTAGGGATGGGAATATAAAATACTCAGTTATACTATTTTTGTAGTTTTTATTATGTGCAGATAATACCTTAAAAGTTACTAACAATTCATAGATTACTGATGCACTTAGAGATGTAATAATGTAAACACACCAAAGAAAAGTTGTTTCTAATTGTAAAGAGGTTTGAGTTCTTTTTATGTTTGTAGGTCACCCCTTATACCCCAAGCCACTCCTTATCACATTTATTTTAATGCCTGTAAGAATACTCACTCCCTGTTCTGTCTCCATCTTCCATCCACCTCCAAATCCTAAAACATATGTGCCATCTGCTCTTGTTTTGTCATCTACCCCTATTCATCCTTGTCACTTCTTATTGATCTTTAGCCCTTTACTCGCTTTCATTCTCTCCAACCCTACTCTTCTTTTGGAGTGATTGCAGTATACACATATGTGACCCTTCCCACTCTCTGGCCTCTTGGCTCCTTGGATATTTTTATTCCAGCAGTCTTATCTTATACCATATCTTAGACATTCATGGCTAGTTTCTACGACTGACACTTCTGTAATTTCCGTTTCATATTCTGTCCTCAATTGTCCTTGGGATTTTTATCTCATCTATGCATTCACCACCTCCAGTCTTTCCAGTTACTCCCTCTACTACACCAAATCCAATAACTCTTCAAATGTATGAGAAGCTTCAATCCATTGATCCTACCACCTTTTCACCTACCCACCTTGATATATTTTCTTCTCCTTTACCCAGCCTTTTTTTTTCTTACCCAGCTTCAATTCCATGATCTTTCACATTTATGACTCCCTTACATATATTATTCTTCAGCTTCCCTTTTCCTCTCTTAGCTTGTCCTATGCACTTGGAACCCCTCTGCCCTTGAGAGGGAGAGAGTTGGTTACTGCCAACTCTCTAACAACATTGAACCTACACATGTGCAGCTGAATGTGGTTAGAAAAAGCCCAAAACTGACCAATCTCATTTCAGATTCTTAACAATGGGCCTCAAGTGTCCCTAAATGCAGTCACACCGTGCTTCGGTAGACCTTTCACTTTCCTGTTCTCCTAGGGTAATTCATATCTTCTCTCTCCTCGCAGCTCCAACACTGCTGCATGAATTTCTTTTTGTTTTAAAATTATACAATACTTGAACATTCACTTACTGCAAGAGATTGAAATATAGAAGGGCTTATGGAGGGGAAAGGGAAATTCTCTTTCATTTTCCCACCAGTCTCATTCCTTCCCCATTGCTAACCAGGATTCAGTTTACTGACTTTCTTTTAGATTTCTGTTATTTTCTCCTGTCTTCCTACTGCACTGAGAAAAACGAAAGCAATTAAAAACAAATGTCCACAGACTCCTACAACCAAGTCTTCCACCTATGATGCCCTGCTTTCCCACTTGTTGCAGGTAAACTGTTCACATTCCCATCTAGAGGGAGTCCCTCCAGATGAGCACCAGATCCCGCCTTTTGAAGGTTGCTGCTCTAGCTGTTCTGCCCTCCCTCTCCTGTATCAGCAGCTTCCCTCTCCTTACATTATTCCCATCTGCAATCAGGCTATTTCCTTCATCTTCAAAACACACACACACACAAACCTCTTAATCTTACTCTTTTTGCGATCTATTGCTACTTTTTTCTTCTCCTTTGTAACAAAATTCCTCACAGTCATTTGTACTCAAAAGAGTTGTCTACACTTGCTATCTCCGTTTCTTCTGTACCATCCTCACTTAATTCCATTCTAATCAGATTTTTGCTCCCATTACTCCACAGAAACTGTTCTTATCTAGGTCATTAGTGACTTTTCTATTGCTAAATCCAGTGGTTGATTCTTAGTCCTCATCGTACTGAATCTACCAGCAGTATTTAATATAGTATATAGTTGATACAGTTAGTCACTCTCTTCTCCTTGATGCATTTTCCTTCACTTGACTTACAATACTTCTTCAAGTATGTTCTTGGTTTCTTACCTTAATAACTATTCCTGCTCAGCCTTATTTGTTGGAGCTTGTTAGAATGTCCCAAGGCTCAGGCCCTGGTTCTCTTACCTATCTATACTCATTCCTTTAATAAAATCAGAATGTGTCATGTTTTAGACTACCAATTATATGCCTGTTATTGCCAAATATTCATCTCCAACCCAGACCTTCCTCCTGAACTTCACACTCATATCCAGCTTCCAGTTCAATAGCTCCTGTATCTCGAATTTAACATGTCCATGATGAACTTTTTTTTCTTAAACCTGATTAATTTATAGTCTTTTGTAAATCTCTGTTAATGACAACTCCAAATTCATTTTTTGTTTCTCTCTTTCTCTTATGCTCTTTTCCAAATATCCTGCAATCTTATTGGCTATACCCTCGAAATATATTCAGAATTATCTTACTTTCCCCATCACTTCCATTTGCCACCATTATGATCTGAGCCACCATCGTCTCTTACCTGGATTACTTCAAATAGTCCCCTAATGGGTCGCCCTGCTTCCAGCCTTATTCTTTGTTATGAACTGTGAAAGATCTAAGAGTTTACTCTACTTTTAAGCTAACAAGTTAGCCTGCCACAGAAGGCTTTCATGGCAGAAGACACTAGACTCCTGAGTCACAGACAAAAGAGGAATGATTATTCAGCAAAAGCAGTAGTCAAAGTACCAGCATTTGTGTTGGTTCCTCAAGCCCCACTTCCCACAGGGCAACAGAAAGAGGGCCAAATGATACCTGCACTTATAGTGAGATGCCTTATAGAAGAGGAACCCAGAGCTTAGGTAACCCAAATTACCTTCTTACAAAGAAAGAAAGAGAGAGAGACAGAGAGAGAGAATATGTTTTCCAAGGCTGCACTGTTTGCTCTTCAGATATTCTTGGAAATACAGTCAATGTGGTCAGTGCCTCTGCTCACAAGATATTTATCTTCCTACACCCTTTTGTGGTGTGTTCACAGCACAGTAGTCCACGCCTCTGCTAAAATCCTCCATGGCTTCCCATTGTATTCTGAGTAGAGGTACAAGTATTTACAACAGTTTGCAGTGTCCTACACAGTATGTCTCCCACATCCTCCTATGTCTGTAACCTCGTGTCCTGTACTGCTTGGTGCTGCTCTATCCACTTCCTCTATTCCATCCACTCTGCTCTCCTGCCTCTTCCTTCCATATGCCAGGTATGCCTGCCTTAAGTTCTTTGGATTAGCTGTACCAGCTGCCTGGAATGCTCTTCCCCCAGGTATCAACATTTGCTCAGATATTACCTTCTCATGAGGTTTACCTGACTGACCTCCCCCAGCATCACCATTTCTACTGTCCTAATTAATCATTATTTGATGAGTAAATGAATGAGGGGTCAATTGTCTTTTTATGTTAGTGATAGGTTTTATTTTCAGCAAAAAAGGCAAAAGCCATTCTTCACCTTTGTATTTGAAAAGCTTTAGTATATGAGATAAAATTTTGAAGATATCATGGCTTTCATTTTATTCAATTGCTTTTAAATACACACATACAAAATAACTGTTCAAATGGTTCCTAAATCAAAGTAAGATCTTATTGCTACCTTACTAGATATCCTCATTTTCTAAAATGAACATATTAAATAATGTAAGTCTATTTACTTTTACTTCATTTGATCCCTGGTCTCTTAGATTATGAATCAATAGAATTATTTTTCTAGTACATTCTCATTTCCCTAAATTACAGATGAAATATTATTATGTTTCTACATTCCTTTTCTTGATTTTAATTCAGACAATGTCTCTACAGGTTTACTCTACCAAAACTAACCTCTAAAGTATATTCTATCAATCTGCACAAGATACAAATTTTTTAGAGAGTGATGCTACTAATTCTCCCTTTTTTAGTACATAAAGAAGCATTTATATGAGATAGATGTATATAATTTTTGAAGATACTCAACATTTGTTGAAGTTAAAAAGGCCGTCTCAGAACCATTTGAAATATATATTCCCATTAATAGAAAAGGAATAAATTATCTAAACTCTGTTTGCATGTATGCATTTTTTTAAAAAAAGTGCTAATACAGGTCTGGAAAAATAAATGCGCTAAACATTAAGACTCAGTGCTTTTTGGGGAGGGAGTGGCATTGGCATAGACTTAAAGGAGAATTTTTTTTCCTCTTTGTATTGGAATATCTCCCGGTGAGCATGTATTCAAGTATTATGTAAGTTTTTTAACAAAAATAAATTCGTGGAGATAAACCATCCATCACCCAGTTTTCTTTTCTTTTGCTTCAGTCTTTTGCTTTCTTCTCTGTACCATCCTATTGTTGGATGGGCTTTCTATGCTTTGATGAGCAACCAGTGGCTCTTTAAACAACCATTCCATTTTTTCCTGTGACATCGTAATGGATTTGTTGCATACTGAATGTGAATCTTTTCTCTCCTTTAGGTGATATTTTTAGCTGCCATGCAGTTGATAACCCCAAACCCCACTCGGAGCTCGAGATGCTCAGACAGTATGGACCAAATGTGCCTGAGCCCATCCTTCAGAAGCTTGTGGCTGCCTTTGGAGAGCTGAGGAGTTTGGCTGACCAAGGGATTATTAACTATCCTTATTCTACCAGAGAAGTTGTCAACATAGTCAAACATTTACAGGTAGGTATGGCACACACCTGTACCTAAGAGCCATCACTCTCTTTTTTATTTTTTCAGACTGTACAGTTTGTACCAGAGTTTTTAATTTCCATAAATACAATAATGAGTCAGATTACATGATTTGAAATGTGTATAATCTAAGTTATAAATATGGTAGGCCAATGAACATTATTATCTGTTCAGCTTTTGAATTAACTTTGGCAAAGTCTGTAATCATTACCAAGGAGTTAGGAAATTTGGTGGGAGGCTGTTAGAGGGCAGGTGAAGCAAGAGAGTGAGTCAGTGGGGAAACCTTCCTGTTCTGTTCTTTGGCTTTTTACAACAAGCATGTGGTATGCAGGTAAAAAATATTTTCATTTTGAAGCAAATCACATGGAGACAACAGTAAACAGAGTAGGAACTAACCGTACTGATTAAATACCTGTAAATACCGCAAGGAAGTTTCACAAGATAGAGTAGGCAGGAGAATGAAATTTCCTGCGACCATGTACAATGTGTACTCCACCTTAGTAAAGAAAACAAACAAATAAAAAATAATATAAATCTTACTTACAGAACAAATAAGGGTCTCCAAGCTAACAGTCACAACCCAACAACTCTTGACCTCTGCCTTATCCCCAACCCTCCAAGAAAACCCTAGAAAGAAAAGTAGAAAGGTGGGGCAGGGAGAATACACACAGGGGAAGATGTTGATCCAAGGATACAAAGTTCCAGTTAGACAGGAGAAATAAGTTTTTGAGATCTATTGCACAGCCTGGTAACTATAGTTAATATCAATGTAATGTATATTTTGAAATTGCTGAGAAAGTAGATTTTAAGTAATGGTTGTACCATAAATAAAGGTGTGTTAAATGATAGATATATTAATTAGTGTGATTTAACCATTCTGTAAGGCATACATACATTGGAATATCACATTGTACCCCATAAATATATACAGTTATTATTTGTCAATTAAAAATATATGGAAAGAAATCAAGATTAAAAATAACAGCTTTGTTCTGCCTATAAAACCGTAAGTCCAATTCAGCCAGCTCAGAACCCATCACCTAAAGAAAATCAAAGCAGACCCAGGAAAGGACTCAGAGGACATGAGCAGTGTAAATTCAGTTGTAGTCATACTTGTTTTCTTGCCCTCTACTGCTCCCTGTTTCTCTGTTGTTTGCACTTTTTATGTTCTTTCCTTCTTTTCTTGTTGCTTTATCTTTTCTTCTTCATTTATTCATAGACTGACTTTTCTGAAAACTTCAGTATAGATATTTAACACGCTCCTTTACATAACTAGCATTTTTAAACTGTTCGATCTGGTACTCATATTAAAGGCAGGAGATTTCAGAAAGCAGTGGCAATCACTGACACCAGGATCTAGGCACTGCTCTAACATTTGAGAGGAGGAACTCTTTCCCCTCAAATTCTGGCATTTATTTAAAAAGGAAAATATTGTTAAGTCATCTGAGCAAACACTGAAAGGGAAAAATGTCTACATTCCTACTACCTGCTTATTTGACAAGGCCAGTAAATTTCTGCTGTAGTTCATTTGATCATTATTGTCCTATCCATTTCATAAATCTTTATAATGTTGTATATTTTATCACATGCATAATAAGGGAATTTTTTTTTAATACAGAAATTTCCGACTGAAGGTCTCTCCAGTGTAGTTCGAAATGTGTTTGACTTTGATTCCTACAACAATGACATGAGGGAGATATTGATTAACACTTTACACAAATACGGGATACCTATCGGAGCAAAGCCTACCAGTGTGCAGCTGGCAAAGGAGTAAGGCAAATTCAGTACTCTTCTGATTCTTAAATGCTGATAGTTCTTGATTTATCATTCCATTCTACAAAACTGAGTTGCTATGGAAATTACTTTCCATGAGTAAGCTTTTCAAATACATGTATATGTTGCTGTTTGCTGGCTGCTTTTCAGTTAAATAGCATTATTTATAGGCCTGTAAATTGAAAATTTTGATTATTATGTATGTCCCATGAGTAGATGTAATAAATAAAGGGAAATATTTGTTTCTTTAACAGTCTCAGTCCTTTTGTTGAATTACTATGCGTATTACTATTTCGTATAATCCAGTGCACATCATTGTACGAGCATGAAAATCACATAGAGATAATGTACATTTAGTTGATATGTTCTTATTTCTGTTACTATATAGTTTTCTTTATGATAATTTTCTAAATTTATGATCATGTTAACTAGAGAGATTTTTGGTTACTTATGTCAGCTTCATAGATGAAAGAGGTAGTAAGAACTAGTGGGTTTATTTCATGTGAGCTAGTTGCCTACCCTTTATTTTATAATCATAGGCTACTACTTAATGTTAGTTAAGAATCTTGCACATATGGTGTTGATCAGAAAAGTAATTGACAGAGTTTTTTAGTAGAGTAATTAAGTCAGCACAAATTCACTAGAAAATAGTTTTCAATATGCCTAACTTATTGATAATGCATCTAATACCATCTTTGTCTATAAAAATAGTTAATTATAAATTCATAGGGGATAATAATCACTTTTAAATTACTGTTCAATTTTAGCCCCAAAAGGAGACACTATCTTTCTGTAGAAAAAAATGTGTTAAATATAAATATAAATCACTGATTATATATTAAATATAAATCAGTGATTAGCAAAAAAAGTTGCATATATATATATATATAATCTCCAAAGTGTATACTCATCCATATTTATTGATTCTTTGAAGTCATTATAAAAACTTGTCAGGATATATGCCAATAGAAATAAATTATTAAAGTATCAGGAATTTCTAAAAGAGAAACAAATATTTCCCTTCTGTGTTAAAAGAATAAGATGGACTTATCTTAGAAATTATATTATCCGTGCATTGGTTTATATTATTAATGAATAAGTAAATTATTTTCCAGAAGAATGACTGGGTGGCAGTTGCAAATGCACACTTTTTTTTGGCACAATGCTATTTTACTGATGGATTAGCAGTCCTTATGGGCATTTGAAACTAGGTCAGTAATTTAATGGGTATAACAAATTGTCTGTATAAGAGAGTTCAAGAGATCCTCTTTAATATGCAAACTTTCTATTATAAATTTTCTTTAATATGCAAACTTAAGTTATTTACTTCGTTTTTGTAAACTCCCTTTATTTTTAGCTGGAAATAAGATGGCTTTTATTACCATTAACAAATTTATATAATTAGAGTACTGGCTTTATGGAAACTAAGCTCATGATTTTAAAACAATTTCTTTTTCTACTCTTGCATGACTATAAATAAAAATTAAAATACATATTAATTGGTAAGGTTAATCATGATAAAATTTTTACTTATAAAGCAATTTTAGTTTCTAAGGAAGAAACTAAAAATGGTTTAACTTATTCATTGTCATCCTCAGTTCTAAACAGAAAAATTATTGCTATGGCAAGTTAATTCTAACTCTAGTACTTTTGAGTAGAAGCAGAAGTACTTTGAGCCTGGAAACAAGTTGGTCACACTCTTGCATTACAAGGGGATAGAAACAACTAGTTGTCCCCCAACCGCATATAGCTAGAAATAGACTTAAGCAGATGTGAAGGAAGAGTGAATTTTCCTTTTAGAAGGAGATCAGAGTAGGCTATAATTTCCACAGTCATTCAGAGCAATTTTTTCCTCATCTGTTAATTGCAATAACTTAGGCTGCTCAAAAGTAGTGTTGTTTTATTGCCCTTCTTGAAATTCACAGGTTCCGTAGCAATTTCTATCAAATTATCAGCCTTGTACTTAGAGAGAGTAGGATGACAAAGTGTAGCAATTTCTATCAAATTATCAGCCTTGTACTTAGAGAGAGTAGGATGACAAAGTGAACAAAGTAATGGCCTGGGAATTTAGCAGTTAGTCATATGTTCACCTGTCTACCTGGATCAGCCATGGAGAAACAGATGACAAGACAGAATCCTGCCCTCAAAGAGCTCACCATTCCATTTTGGTCATTTGAATTTAGAGAAGTTACTTAACTAATTCTCTATTGGTACAGAGGGCCTTTTCTTATACATAGCATATCTATTTGATTTTTAAAAATATTTTAAAATATTTGAATATTTAAATATTCAAATATTTAAAAATATTAAGGAAGTACACTGGGAGAAATTATTTTTAAAAATATTTGATTTACCATCTAAATCAGGACATTTTTGAGAAAGGCAGGGGGAGCTATTGACAATAATTCTGTAAAAAGAGTGTAAAATAAGACTGCCCTGGCCAGGCCAGAATATGCAATTATCTTCATTGTGGATCATCAGTAAGGTTCCTTTCTATTCTAACATCCTTTGAATTTTAATATAATCTTAATGTTTATCTCATCTGCAAAAACAAACATAAAAATATGTGATACTAACACTTTTCATTCCCCCTTTCCACCCCTGCCCCCCAAGTAGTGTACTGTTGATGGTAATCACATAGACCGCCAAAAAGTTAGTCTTCCCCATGCAGTCTTTGATTTCACTTTGACTTTTCTAGACCTTTTGCTAAACCAGTTCTTGTAGGCTGCTTCTACCCAGCTCTGCAGCTACTGTTAGTGGGGAAGATACACATTGGATTTCAGTTCCTAAGGAAGAAGGATAAAATGGTTTAATACTATTAGTATCTTTTTGCCCTGAATGAACAGTTCTTGCTACAACTTAATTTTCATGTTCTCTAATCCAACCGCAGTGCTTATTGATGGGAGTAAAGTTACACTGAAACTAGAACAAGATGATCATACCCACACTCAGGATGGGGATGGAAAGATAATTGGCCACCCACTACATATAGCTAAAAAGAGATATAAGTCAGATGTTTTAGAAGGGGGAATTTTTTTACAAGGGCCAAGATAATGCTAAACCACTATTTGTGTAGCTATCTACAGCACCTTCTTCCTCAACTGAAATCAGAATATACTTGTCTGTTCAGTAGCGGTGATGTTATTTTTGTGTTCTTTGGCAAAATTCCCAAAAGAGAGATGCTGTCACTTTCCCTTTTGTTCTCCTAAAGAGTGCAGTGATGTTATCTATCTCACAGGTTTCTGCACATTTTTTAAAGGCCCAATGTGATGAGGTGAATTTAACTTGTCTTCTTTAATAAACTTTTGCTAAACCTGGTATTTTTAGACTGAGTCTTATTGGGTGGTTATTTTATTTTACTTGATCCTGCCATAATGGAGCTCTTCTTCCTTATCTGCAAATATATTCCCAGACCTTAGTACCAGGATCAGAATTGGCTACCTAGACCCCACCCACCCACTGCATTTGCCCCTTTCCACTAGTACTTCCTGAGATTTGTTATTGCTCCTCTTTTAAGTTTCTAATACATGGGACAGGACATGCCAAGAGAAGGCAAACATAACCAAATAAGGAAGTATACGGGAGAAAGTATTTTTAAAAATATGAATACTATGCTTTATATGGGGGTTGAATTTAATTCTGTGACATTTGTCCTATAGAGAAACAACTGTATGTCATCTATGAATCAAGAAAAGATGATCATCCCCACACTCAAGATGGGGATTTGGCCTATAGAGAAACAAGACAATTGATGCTATATGTGTGTGTTGCATGTACTAATGTCATTTTGTCAGTATTGTAGGGAGAGATAGGAGGATTTATGTTAAAATTGAAACTCTTGAATTTTAAATGTTGTTATTGGAAATATCTTTGTAACATATATATTTTAAGAGAATTAGGTCCAAACATCCAACCAAAGGCATAGATTATCTGCTATACTTCAGTATAGACAACTATAAATATAAACTTTAAAGCAAAGTTTGCCTGTTTTTTCCTCAAGTGAACTTTTATGTCTGAACTTTCTTTTATTTGGGAATAAACATACTGCTAGCACATTAGCACTTCCAAATTAAAAAGTGTGTTTCAGAATAATTTATGAAATCTGCTATACTGGGAAAACATTTGTTTTAAAGAAAGAAAAAAATGCTATCTTTTTCATGAGATTTCCATTTTAAGAAACTTATACACTATTTTATCTTAAATTTATATGTCGCTCTAACTTTCCAGTTCTTAAGATGAGAAAATTGTCATTTCATAGATCAACAATGAAATGTAAATACTTCTAAATATAATTATAACAACAACAATGTTATGATTATATTTCATAATAATGGTAATAATGATGGTAGTACAATAATATTGATGATGGTAATAGAAACATTTATAGATAACTACGTACCAGACATATTTCCAAGCACTTTCTTTACATAAATGTATATAATTCTCCCAACGGACCTATGGCATATATATAATATTATTGCATCTTGTAGATGAGGAATTTGAGGCACAGAGAAGTTATGTAACTTGCTGGAGGTTAGAAAGCAGGGGTACAGCTGGGCTATATGTAATATTAATTCCAATTCTAAGGATGATATAAACAGATTGATATGTAGATTGCAGGGAATTTCTAGATCAGAGTAGTTATTTAGATACTGAAAATTATCAATAGTTTTGGCTTAAAAGGACCTTGGGATTTTAAGTAACCAACTTGGAACTCATCATTGACCGTGATGTCATGTACATACAATATACAAATTCTTATTCTTCAAGGAATTATAACAGATTCAGATGCTTGGATTTTAGCCATAGTTCAAAGTGAAGAGTAACCACGAAGCAGATAAATAGAGACTTTTGGCACAACAGAGATCATTTTGGAGACCTCTTCATTCTCATTTAAGTTTCCTTTTCTTGTGACATATGGAGGATCAAAAAATAAAACACAAGGTGATTCACTTAGAAAAATAAAAACCTTAGAAAACTTTGTATGACTACCTTATATAAGAAGTATACTAGCCATCATTTCTTCTTGATTTGGAACACAAAAGAAATTTATAGACTTCTCAAAGATTGTGGTAATTTTTTAAATAAGCATACAGAGAAATTGTCTCTATCCTCTGAAGTTACCTTCATGTGTTTTTCTCTCCCTGCCTTCTCTAGGAGACACACATTCTATAAAATACTTAAATGTTCATTCTCTCTGCTCCAAGTTCTTTGCCCTTAATTCTGTTGATTTCTTTTTTAATGCTACTTACTTGATGTTAAACTACTTACTTCATATTAAGCTACTTTTCCTCCCAGAGCATTCAATGCCTATTTGTCACTAGCAAACTAGCTATTATTTAACAAACATCCATTTCTATCAGTCAAATAGAAAAAAAAACTAAGGAAATTAAAAAGTTTTTTAGATGTTGGCTTTCTTTATGATGATATTTACTAAATGAAGAATGGCATCCCATTTATTTTTAAAATTAATCAGCAAAAAGAAAATAAAAACTCCTGTAATGTTACCATCCAGAAATAGCCATTGATGATCCTTCTAGACTTTTTCCTGTGACTGTATGTGTTATTTCATGCACTGAAAAATATTTCTTTCTAATTATTTTTATTTTCTTGAGTCTTTCTTTTTGACATAATAGAAGAGATATTCCAGGAGTTCTTCTTAAGACACTTCATTCACAAGCTAATTTGTTGGAAAGAAAGTTATCAAAAATAAATTTATTTAATTATGTCTAACACTTCTTTCCCATCTCTACTTTTTCTCCATTTCCCTCATTCCTTGAAATTGTAAACTTATTTTTTCTAAACATAATGAACAAGATTCATAAAGTATATGAGATGTTCTCATCAGGATTAAAAACATTAGTATCAGTGCTTTGTGTCTTTATGCATAGGTTTAAATGTCATCATCCTTTTCAGACATATAAAAATGCTCTTGCCAGATAAACTGCACATCTAAAAATAACTGTGATATGAGACTGTACTTTAAAAGTGTCCTGTAGCTGGAAAGGATGCCCTAATGAAGTCTTGTAGTTACTCCTCAGATTTCCTGTTGTTATGCATTTTCTTCCTGCCTTCTAATGCTTTAATTAAAATTTTTTACATTTTGTGTTTCAGGCAAAATAAGGTAACTTTGAATTAACACGTTCTAAGACCATAATAGCCAATATTTTTATTAAATATAATAGGTTCACTTTTTAAACTATTTCAGAACACAGGGATAGCTGTTTGTAGTGGTTGTTTTTGAGAGAGGCCCTAGAAAGAGAAAAGGATGCATCACATTTAGTAATATTTTAATTTTCTAACACATGTATTATTTTCTACATTTTATTTGTAAAATGTCTATTGACTCTCCGGACACTGGAATTTTTCATTTTGTCCTCTTATTTAAATGAAAATTTTAAAGGCCTGTGCTGAAATTGCTGTTTCTTAGAACCTTTGCCTCCAGTACAGCAAAGCTTATACCACACAGCAGTGCCTACTCTAATGGCAGAACATTGGCACTTTTGCCAACGGCAAGTGAAAAATCAAGTTAACTAGGCATTTCTATGGCATTTTAACCAGAAGTTAAACCTACCAATGCATAAGTAAGTTTATGCATTGGTAGGTGTCAACATAAACATATCAAGTGAGGGTAGACAACACATTTTTAAAGCAGCAAAAATAAAAATAGTTGACATTTATCAAGTCTTTATTAAGTGCTCTAAGCACTTTACAAATGTTAGCTCATCTAATCTACATTACAATATTGTTTTTTCTATTAAGTAATTTTTTTCTATTATCTATTAGGTTTTGGGGTATGTACATTTGTGTGTTTGAATCTGTTTTACAGATTAAAAAACGGAAATTCAAGAGACCTTAAATAAATTCTACAACCAATAAGTGATAGAACGGGGCATTCAACCACAGATCTCTCTGATTCCAAACATCATCTTTATGTTTAGTCAACTGTTTTCATGGGAAAAGCCATGCAATACAACATTAGATATGGAGATTTCAAAGATAATGGAAGCTTTAGAGTTGTCTTTCAAATTCTATTTTCTACCATTTGGAAACATGGATCAGATATTTGCATTGAGGACTAGGCCTATTCTTTTAATTACAGTTTTCCTCATATTAATGTTATTTGTCATTGATTCCAGGAATTAATAAACACATCCCTTCTATAAAATCTGAGCAGATTATCTTAAATCTTTTTTTATTGATACATAATATTTTACATATTTATGGAGCACATGTGAGTATTTGTTACATGCATGAAATGTATAATGATCAAGTCAGGGTATTTGGGGTATCCATGTCCTTGAATATTTCTCATTTCTATGTGTTGGTGTCATTTCAAGTACTGTTTTCTAGTTACTTTGAAATATACAAAATGTTATTGCTAAGTATAGTCACTCTAGTCTGCTATCAATCATTAGAACATATCTCTTCTACCTAACTGTATTTTAGTACCCATCAACCAACCTCTCTTCATAAGCCCCTCCCACCCACTCAACCTTCCCAACCTCTGGTATCTATCATTCCATTCTCTATGTCCATGAGGTAAGTTTTTTAGCTCCCACATATGAGTGAGAACATGTAGTATTTGTATCCTAAATCTTTTCTCCTGCAATAAGGATTTGCTTTTGCTTTAAAAAAAAAAAAAGTGTTTGCATTAACAAATTCTTCAAAATGAATAGAACAATTCTTTTTAAAATTTCTTTTTTTTTTGTTTGAGACAGAGTCTCGCTCTGTCGCCCAGGCTGGAGTGCAGTGGCATGATCTCGGCTCACTGTAAGCTCCGCCTCCCAGGTTCACACCATTCTCCTGCCTCAGCCTCCCAAGTAGCTGGGACTATAGGCACCCGCCACCACGCCCCGCTAATTTTTTGTATTTTTAGTAGAGACGGGGTTTCACCGTGTTAGCTAGGATGGTCTCGATCTCCTGACCTCGTGATCTGCCCGCCTTGGCCTCCCAAAGTGCTGGGATTACAGGCATGAGCCACCATGCCCGGCCTGAAATTTCTTTTATAAAAATCCTTTACTTAGTACTATGATCTTCAAAATTACGATCATTAATATAATCACTTTAACAGATTAATCATAAATCCCTGTGCATTACCTGTGTACCTGTAAGTTGCTATTAAGTCATTACAACTTAGAGTAGGCTTCCTTTGGGGGGCTAATAGCTCCTATATTCATTCAAAGAAGGAATAGACTACTGAGGACAAAGAGAAGGTGTACTTTCTGTAGATTGGGTTCAAACAGATCTGGACAAACCTTTTTGGGGAGGCACTTGAGAGGATTCAGACTTAGAACAATGAATTAAATAGTCCTTAACGTCCTTCCAACTCATAGCTTCTGTCATCTACTGTCCCTAATTGAATAGGGAAGCCAAATAAGTAGTAACTTCCTTCCCTTATATCAGAGATGTAACCCTTACTTTTGATGCATCAACATATTTTAGTATTACCCCTGATGAAAGTAGCTGAGATTGTGTTTTCATTTGTGTGTACTGCAGTGTGTGTTACAGGATTGTACTTAGTATTTATCTTTTCAGAGCAGTGCCAGATGTGCATATTTGCAGACAGAAAGCTTCATCTCTTTTGAATTTGCCCTTGAAAGGACATCTGCCTAGAATCGGTTTTCTGCTTTAAAAATTTACATAGTTGTGCCATCAATAGCAGCTGCTACTTCTCTAACAAAGAACAACTATGGAGTCTTCAAAGTATCAGAGGCATCAAAAAGAACATCCCCCTGCCAGGGCCTCTCTTTGGAATACGTTTATTAGATTCTCTTTGAAAGTCAGAATGATTATCAGTTTACTGTTTATCCAACTAACATAAAATATTCTTTGTTTAAAGTTTTGTGCCTTTCTTTCATTTTCCCGAATTATTATATGTCATAATTTTCTTTTTGTAGTCATAGTTTTTTCAAATAAGTTCATGGTGTTGATCGTGGAGTTCTAAGGTGTACAATTCCACTCTGAATGACTATTTAATTTCATTTCAGAAAAGAGCTGTTTGTTTCAAAAATGATAAAGTCTACTTAATGACATCTCAAAAGTGCCATAAGCAGAAGAGTGGTGATGAGTTTTATATTGTCATAGTCTTTGCCTTATATTCTCTTGGCATATTATGAAGTAGCTTCACAGCCATTCCATTTGCTTTTAGCTCATTTATGGGGATACAAAACGAATCTACATAGAAATTTTCAAGATCTATGAATCTTCTCTCATGCATGCAGTAGCACAGAATGATTCTGGATCCCTTAAGCATTTAAAAGTGATGTTTTATGAAAGCCTGTCTCCCAGCTGAATAGAAATCACCAATCCCCACCTGTAGCTATCGTTTCTAAATATACCTGCAAAGTAGAGTGCATCATTTGTTGAGTCTTGTAAGTGAAGGAAATGGTTGACATGTAATCAGAATGCAAAGGGAAAATTTACCATAGTAGTTTGCAAATTGCCGTTGAGATGAGAAACAAGTAGGTCAAAATGTTGGCAGTTATAATATAACCAAGCATTCTTTCATTTACCAGACGCTTACTTAGTGGTAAACAACATATAGGGAGTATGAATTATAAAGGTGACGAAGACTCATTATCTGCCTTTGAAGCGATCACAATTAATTGGGAAAGCTGTCAAGTGAAAGACTGACTTGTAGCCAGGAGTGGTGGTGCATGTTTGTAGTCCCAGCTACTCAGGAGGCTGAGGCAGGAGGATTCCTTGAGCCCATAAGTTCAAGGCTGTGGAGCACAATGATTGCACCTGTGAATAGCCATTGCACTCCAGCTGGGCAACATAGCTAGACCCTGTTTCTTAAAAAAAAAAAAAAAAGAGAGAGAGACAGAGAGACAGAGTGACTCATGTGAAGTTAGAGCCACACAAGAGGGAACCAAGACTCAGGATTGCAGCCATCTGCCCTGGGGAAGAGTCAGTGAAGATAGAGAGGCTGAATCATTAAATTATTCTCCAGGCAAATAAAGAAGGGAAGAACACTGGAGACATTTTAAGAAAATATGGTGCATTTTGGAAATTAGAGGCCCTTTGGCAACTAACTCAGGGTTAAATGAGAGCATGCTGAGTGGTGAGGCTGAAAGGAAGAGATCAGAGTTTCAATCAGAGAACAACATGGTTACCTTTCTAATTTAAAAAGACTCCTTTTTGGTTTTCTAAAGGTAATAAACTGAAAGGCGGTGAACCTAAAGGCAGGAAGACCTGTTGCAAAGCAGTTGCAGTAACCCAGGTGATGAAGAATGAGGCCCACATTGTGGCCGTGGCAATGAAAAAGAGGTACAACAGCGAGAGAGGATTAGGTGGCAGAACTGATGGATTCTGAATACTAGAGATCCAAATGAGTAATATGTAAGGCTTACTCTCGATGCATTAACACTCTAGTAAGGAAAACATGTAAAACTACCAACCTTATTATGCAATGTTATATTCAAAGTGCTATATTCATAGTAGAGTTTTCATTCCGTGAGTCCTTGTGAGAAATACAGGAAATTTTTCTCTGGGAAAGTTTTCAACAACTGGGAGAGTTTCAGTCCCAGTTATTCTTGTCGTGGACGATTAGAAAAGGAAAGAACATAAGATTAGAAAATACTAAGATGCAACTGATAAAGCAGATGGCAGAAAGAGAGAAGACTTTTTTTCAGTGAAATGTGAAGAAAGATGAAGGAAAGGAAACCCTGGCCCCAGAACTAGTCTGGCAACTTCTGTGAGGAGGAAGAGAGCCAGAGATGTGTGGAGCAAGCTGACAACATCTGCTTTGGCTCTGAGTGACGCTGGGCAACAGCACTAAACTACAGTGTCATTCTGGGTATCGGGGAGTATATTTGAGAAGTGCCTGCCAAGAATAGCAAATTTCCCAAAATCTTCCATCTCATACATCTAGATTACTCTGCATTTCTGTGATCTCTGCAGGACCTAGGTGGGAGAGGTATACAAGTCTAAGTTATGAAGTGGAAGCCATAATAGCTAAATGCAGAACCAAGCACAGAAAGAGAAAATATGTACAAATACTCAGGTATACATCATTTGCAGCAAAGCCAAATTAATTTACCAACATCCTGTGAGATGGTAGGGAAGCGACATTCTGAAGTTTCTAGCAAATAAAGGAAGATATTACTGGGAATTAATAATGGTATCCATTGTTACTAATTTCAAGTATGTAAAGGGGCATTTGTATTATCTCTCTTTAATGTGCTGGCTTTTTCTTTTAGTACATACAAATTTTTTTTTTTTAAGACCAAATTTCGCTCTTGTTTCCCAGGCTGGAGTGCAGTGGCGCGATCTTGGCTCACTGCAACCTCTGCCTCCCGGGTTCAAGCAATTCTCCTGCCTCAGCCTCCCAAGTAGCTGAGATTACAGGCATGCGCCACCACGCCTGGCTAATTTTTTTTGCATTTGTGGTAGAGACGGGGTTTTTCCATGTTGGTCAGGCTGGTCTCGAACTCCCGACCTCAGGTGATCCGCCCGCCTCGGCCTCCCAAAGTGCTGGGATTACAGACGTGAGCCACTGCACCCGGCCCCATGTAAAAATATTTTAAGGGATTTCTTGGTTTACTTCTGACCTGCTCTCTCTAAAATTTTTTCTCTCTCAGGTCTTTAATGTGAAAATTACAGATTCTATAGAAATTTATTCTAAGAGTTTCTAGGAGTTTTGTATGTATAAATTTATGTGGAAACCCAGAAGTGTAAGGAATTCATTTTTCCCAGAAAGGAATATAGGGGAGTGGGGAGTAATGCAAGGGGGAGTGACATTTGAATTGGCACTTGGGAATAAGAAGGATTTCACCAAGGAGGCCAGAGCAGAAAGGAATTCTAGGCAGAGGTAATGGCCTCCTGGAAGCATGAAAATGCATAGCATATTCAGGAATAGCAACTAATAGTTTGAGGTGGCTGAGACTGAAAGGAAGGGATAAGCACAAAGCCAGAATTATTAGTCAGGGCTATTCCATGAAAGGCTCCAGTGAACTTTGTTGGACAACTCAACTTAATTTTTGCCAGAAATTAGATTTAAAACATCAGGAATGAGTGAGGCCTGCTAAAATTGGAGTTGTTATTTTTCTTCTCAAAGATGGTAGTAATTGTTGAATTTTTGAGAGTTGTTGGAACAGCCCTGAAGGGTTCCATTATTCCCATGAAAATTAGTAGTTCTTGTGGTAAGGAAATGTTTTCGGAATTGTTGATAATAGGTATGTCAACAACTTCCAATTGCATAATGCCCCTAGAAAGATCCAAATCTTTTGCATGTGTTTTCTTTCATATTCCAAAAATAGTATTGGCAAATGTTCAGAGAAGGCAGAAATTTGCCAGAACATACTCTTTAAAACCCAGCTCACCTCTTTATGGAAGCAATCTTAGACAAATCTGTTGCATGTCATTCAGACTATATAGTACTTGGCTTTGGTGTCCATATGCATCATGTTATGAATTGTATGTGTGTTTTTTAAAAAAAGAAAACCTTTTTTGTTCTTTCTGTAACTTGCTCAAATACTATAATTTGACCTGAGTCATAATTATGATACTCACCTTTCTTTTAGTCCAAACTTTTACTTCCAGATCCTTATTATCATTTCCACAAGGGATTAAGAAATGACAAACATAGGAACTGAAATATTTCACTGTTTTAAAAAAACATAAATTCATGAATGACATTGCAGATAAAAAGTAGTGCTATTTATGGGCCTTAAGTTCCTTCTCCTTCCCCATGAAATCAAATCCACACATCTTTCCAGCTAGGACTTTAACAAAGTTAAACAATACAAGTGACAAAGTCTTAAAGCCATGGAAAATGCCATTATTGTTTTAATCAAATCAGATATTAAAACTTAAGTCTGGTCAGAGTTGGATGACATAGTTCACTAAGGGAATAGAGGGCCTTTTGCTAGCTGGTTATTTAGAGTTTCCCCTAAATTAATGTTGATTATGTTTCAAATTCCAAAGCTTGCTCATTTACCGAAATATAATACAATGCTTCCCCTTTCCCCTGACTACTAACTTACCAAGGGAGAGAAAGTTAGTAATGGTCAAATTTTCCCACAGCTTATTCAGAGGTCTTAGTAGTGGAAAATAAATGAGGGTCTTGGGTTTACCTCAGTTTGGCCAGCCTAGAGCCTACAGTAAAAGTCCGGAAACAATAATACCCCATGTTACCAAGGGACAGGATGGAGTCAGTTTGATTGTGTAACTCCAGGACACCCTGTGTTATGTGTCTTTCAGTTTAGTTATTACTGCCAAATAGCATCATGTTATGTGGTTCTGAAATAGATTCTGTATAGGGTACCTGGAGGTCCTTCCCATACCCTGCCAACCAAACAGCCAGTGCTATTTTTATATAGAGCCAGACAACATATAATTTCCATGACTTACTTAGAATGAGTTGGCAAGTTCAAACCAGATTTTATGAACATGCCTGGCATTGTCAGTAAAATCTGAAAGTTGAGCAAAGTTACTTTTTCTCAAATGGATGAAGGTTTTTTATTTTTTTAAAGCATTTATATGATTGTTTGGTACGGTTTATGAAAGAATATATTAGATCAATTTTTTAGGCTAGGTATCAACCAAAGATTGTTTTAATTAATGATCTCCCCTGAATTAAATTAAATTTCAAGATGTGAAACTGTTTCTGTTGTCTTCAAAGAACCAATTTGGGATGTATTCAGAGCTTGTTTTTATATGCTTTAATAAAGCATGTGTATCTATCAGGGGATCTGTTCTGTTGGTAACTATAGATATTTTCATTCTGATTATTTATTTTCACTTCAGAGTATCAAGACAATGCAAGACTATAAAACTTACCAGTGACACTTCTCTCTACTCTCTTCCTTGATCCTCACAGACTCCCCAAGCTGTAAGGAACTTTACAGATCATTCCCTTCATTTCACAAATGAAGAAATTAATATCAAGCAAAGTCAAAAAGACAAAAAAAGAAAAAAAATTAATACTTAGAGAAAACAATGGACTTTCCCCTTCCCGAGTTTATATAGCAGGTTAATAAAAGAACTAGAACTAAAACCCAAATCTCTTGCAGTCTGTTACATTATGTCTTCTATGCTGGCAGAATATTAAGTGTATCTCCTTCTGTTATTTTTCTGTTTCTACATTTGGAGCCCCAATTCTCCTTTGGTGAACTGCTGAAAGCAAATGTAAAATATAGTTTATTCCCTAAACCAAGAGAGAGATCCCAGTCTATGTTTTCAAGATCTGGCCTATTAACACAGAAATGTATTTTTATTACATTCAAAAGAGAGAACACAGTAATTGTAAAACCCTTTATTCCCCTAATTCAGTACCCTCCCCCGACCCCCTGCACACACACATTCTTTCCTGGTAAAAAGATGGAAGTAAGTGGGTCCCCGATTGAGATAATTGTACAGATACTTAAAATATATTTTAGATGATAGATTCAAAAGTGTGTGTGTGCTTTTGAGAGGTTTATGTCATATGACTTAGAAGAATTTCAATGTAAATTTCTTTTTAATTTCGTTCCTCTTGTGATAAACATTAGCATTCAAAAGGGACGAAAAGCATATTCTACTAGAATGTTTGCTTCCATTATTTTATGCAAAAAATATCTTAGCCTTACATGATCTTATTAAGCATATGGAAATATTATGTCAGACTACTTTTTACTTTAAATAAAATAATTTCTAAATATAAACGTGTTCTTTTAATGATCATCAAACTCATTCCAAGGATACATTTCAATTTGTAGCCATGTGCATATTATTTTTAAAGAGCTTTTAACTCTGAATCACTAATTTTCTAATGCATTAAATGACAAATCAATGGTTCCTATTTTAAAGACTCAAATAAAAGATAGTATGATTAAAAAGTGAAGACTTGGCTTACACTTGTAATCCCAGCACTTTCGGAGGCTGAAGCAGGAGGATCACTTCAGTCCAGGAGTTTGAGACCAGCCTGGGCAACACAGCAAGACCCTGCTTCTACTAAAAATAAAAAATAAAAAAATTAGCCAGGCATAGTTTTGCATGCCTGTAGTCCCTGCTACTTAGGAGGATGAGGTGGGAGGATCATGAGTCCAGGAGTTCAAGGATGCAGTGAGCTGTGATTGCCCTACTGCCCTCCAGCCTGGGTGACAGAGTGAGACCCTGTCTCAAAGAAAAAAAAAAAAAAGTGAAGACTTAAAAAAAATTATCTGCTGTTTTATACTTTAGTATTGCCATGTTGGTTTTGGCAAATCACCTTATTTGAAAGTCATTTTAAATAAAAGGGAATCTAAATACAGAATGATTCCATCAGAAATCAGCATTTAGCTCCCTTGGTGGATTAGTGCTGAAAGTGGCCCCACAGGTGCTTCTGGATGCCAGTAATGCTCTACCTCTTTGGGTACTTGTTACACATGTGTGCAGAGCTGACATTTATGTGGACATTTTAGTATGTATTTTATATTTTAATTCAAAGTGAAAAAAATTAAGATGCCAAAATAAAGTCTATGAAACTTGCCCTATACAACATACAAATGTGGGACTAGTAGTATGGTGTACTCTTCATTATTTGATTCCAAATTTAAAAGAATTGTCTGGGCACGGTGGCTCATGCCTGTAATCCCAGCACTTTGGGAGGCCAAGGCGGGCAGATCACCTGAGGTCGAGACCAACCTGAGAAACCCCGTCTCTACTAAAAATACAAAATTAGCCGGGTGTGGTGGCGCATGCCTGTAATCCCAGCTACTCAGGAAGGCTAAAACAAAAGAATTGCTTGAACCCAGGAGGCAGAGGTTGTGGTGAGCCGATATCACACAACTGCACTCCAGTCTGGGCAACAAGAGTGAAACTTCGTCTCAAAAAAAAAAAAAAAAATAGACTGAAAAAATTGATAGATTGCTCCAATTTTAAAGAAAAGTTTTCCTATACTCTACCAGAAATTTAGATGTTCAATTACTGCAATTCAAAGGAGTATGTATGTAAATCAATTGTATTTGTCATTAAGGTAAAAACAGGACCTTGCCTTACCTTCTTAGTTTCTGAAATGCGAGATCTTTTTTGTCTTAAAGTATATTTTAAACATGATTTTATACACTGTCGTTTAATAAAATGATGTATAACTCACTTCTAAGTAAAGCACTCTTCAAATTTATTTGTGTGGTTGATAATAGATGCCGTGTTATTTTTTTCTATGACTTGGGTACAATAAGAAATATTTACTTTGCAAATCATCCTTAACAGGTTGACTCTGCCAGAACAAACGTTCATGGGCTACTGGACAATTGGTCAGGCAAGAAGTGGGATGCAAAAACTCTTGTGTCCAGTGGAAACTCATCATATAGACATAAAGGTTGATATCATCATTATTCTCTCTTAAAATATTGAACCTTATAAATTTTGCTGTATCTTCCCTGGAGATAATTCAAACAATCTCAGAAATGATTTGTTCGGATGTTATTTTAGCTTCTGCTCTAACTTTCAAATCAGGCTGGCCTCTCAGTTGATAATTCCTAAAGGCTAAATAGAATTTCTAAAGAGCTAATTGGATGATGAGAGTCAGGTATGTTACATATTTTCCTAGGAAAGTTGCTCTGTGGTATTTGTCTTGTGCTGATAGGATTAAAACTTTGTGCATTTTGATTTTTGGCCTCTTTTTAGCCACACATTGTTGCCAGGTTCAGTCTTCATGTGAAAGTAAAGTAAAGAACTGTCCGTTACTAGTTGTAATAGAAGTCCCTCTAGGTATTTCAAGCAGAAAGGAATTTACTGTGAGAAAGTAGATGCTTGTAAAATCATTAGAAAGGGCAGCAGGAACAGAAGTTGAGGGGCAACACTGGACTTGTAATTTCAAGATCAGTATTTCTGCTTCTGCTGTCATCCCTGCTGCTGAGGGCAGCACAGTAGAGCAGTGTCAGCAAACATTTTCTCTAAAGGACCACAGAGTCAATATTTTAGGCTTTGTGGCCCTACAGATTCTGTTGCAACCACTCAACTCTGCCGTATAGTGCAAAATCAGCCATGGCAGTACGTAAACAAATGGAAGTGGCTGTGTTTCACCAAAATTTTATTTACAAAAAAAACAGGCTGTGGATCAGACCTGGCCTGGAGGCCATAGTTTGTCAACCCTTACAGTAGGACAAAGTGAAACACACCCAGACATGTGGTAATCCAACTGTTCATTTTTGTCAGAGCCTCCTTGTCTGCTATCACTGCAGGAAGATGGCCACTACCTCTTTTCTGCCTTCCAAATCTCATTCAAGTGCATTTAATTGGCAAAACCTAAATCATTTCCAGAACCCTTTTTAAAGAGAGTATGAGAAATGCAGTTTCTTACTCCCTAGCCCTCAAGATATAGACTAGATAGAAGAGGGGTGGTGGGCGGGGGACATGGATGCCAATATCTAGTCCAAACATTTTTGATTAATTAAGGACTGTAGGGCATGCAAATCACTGGTTTTTGCTTACATTTATAGCATTCTTTCAAGAAGTCATATCTAAGTACCCAGAACTAATATTCTTAACATTATTAAATTAGCTCCTCTGCTTATATTTATATTGAATAATTATCACCATGTGTGAAATACTCTATCCTTCATAAGTCACCACTAGTGGTTATCAGTAAGTTTGGTTTTTTAAAAAATTTCAAATGCCACATGTTTTGCATTTAATTTAAAATACCCAGGTTTAACCATTACATTTCTGTGTAATGACATAAAAATCCTTCTTCACAATGGAAATGCATCAGGCTCTGGCTCATTCATTTGCGAATTATTCTCCTGGTTTGGACAGCTCTGCGTCCTGATACTTGGAGTTCAAAACTGGCTCTCGCCTTAGGAAGGAATGAAGAAATGAGAAATGCTATAGGATTTTACATCTGGTATATTTTGTGAGTAAAAAGAAAAAATGAGAAATTAAATAAGATAGCACATGTGAAAGCATTTATAAGTGCAAGTGTGTGATACTATTACTGTTATGAGTACTAAGCCTGTCAATAAATTGAAAAAAGGTATAGCAGGATATTAAATACTTGAATGTTAAAGTTTATATTTTGGAAGAACTTTAGCTTTTCTACATTTTGGTGACAACCAAAATATCTTAACTGAGATAACTGCTTTATTATAGGGTCCAGCACTTATAAATATACAGGAGTATCCAATAGAAAGACATGAAGAAAGATCCCTAAACTTTACTGAAGAATGTGCCTCATGGAGAATACCATTGGATGAAATTAATATAATCTGTGACATTGCTACATCACATGGTATGTCTGCTTATTCTTTTGATCTTTCCTTCCTGCACATGTTTTTTTAAAAGATGGATTAAAATAATCTCTAGACATCAAAAAGTTTATGATAGACTTGGTGTCTGTCATTCTTGGATTGGATAGCAATTATATGTAATTTAGAACTAATTTCCTCTAACAACCTAAAAAAATGCTATTGTGGAATCCACATAAGCACTCCTGAGTTTGTATGCATATGTCTGTTTCTCATTACAATTGTAGCACAAAGTTAAACACACCCAGGCATGTGCTAAAAATAGAAGGGAAAAATAAAAAGGAGAAACATTGGGTTTTTTGGCTGGGATTCCAGTTTGGTGATTACATGAACCATGAAAGTAGGGCTGGAGTGATTTGCAGTCATTAAACTTCTAATTGTAAAGGATGGCAAATAAAGAATGTGAATTTTTGGCATCCACACTTCTGGACTGTTGCCATTACCTACTGATTCATGCAGTGGACCCTGGGTACATTTTGGCAGAAGTTCCTCAACTGCTGTCAGTTACTAAGGTGATAAAAACAGAAGTGGTGGCTGGGGGAAGGGAGAGAGTCTCTAACTTGATAAGATGAGAATTGTTGAGACAAAAATTGGTATCTTGTCTTTATGCCTATAAGTTCTATTGATGTAGTTTATTCCACAAATCTGCTATTTTAAATAAAAATATGTGCTTTTAAAAATTTACAGTTTTTCTTAAATTGGTAAAAGATAAATATAAATCTTGTATCTGTATGTTTAAGACAAAGACTGAACTGCATTTAATGCCTGCAAAAAGAGAAAACAGTTAAAGAGTTTATTAAGTACATTTCTGTTAACACTTTTACTGTATTCCCAGTGCCCTATATTATGCCATAAATGTTGAATAGAACTTATTTGTGTTGATAATGGAAGCATTATGAAAGATCCATAAATTATAAATTCTGTGGTTCTATCTGATAATTGAAACTAACATCTACAGTTTGCATTGTCTCCTAAAAAAATAGGTCTTTTTCAGTCCTTCTGTTGACTTGTGTTTCTTATCAGTTCACTTATTTATTTAAATTTACTGTATCTTTATATATAATATGTGTGATATGTATAATATATCATTATATATAATAAATAGATATGATGCATACACACACAGACACACATAGTGTTCCAGATTTTCCAGGGTAGTCCCAAATTTAAATGACGTATCTTATTGTCATATCTCATGTCTTAATTTGGGGTTTGGAAAATATGACTGTTGTAAAATAGATACCTGGGTGATAGGTGATGCTGATACCATTCATTATGCAAAAGTAGCTTAATCCCTTGCTTCAGCGGTGCCCACATAAGAGATTATGAGAAACTTAGTCCAGAGCCTGGCTACTCAAAAGGGAGGATCTCAAACCAGCAGCATTAGCCTCTCCTGGGAGTTTGCTGGAAAGGCAGAATCTGAAACCCCACCCCAAACCTCCTGAAGCAGAGTCTGCAGTTTTATTAGATCCCCAGGTGATTCATAGGCACTTGAAATTTGAAGAAGCACTGACTTCTTCAAATGGAAGGAAATGGACTTAGGTACCCAGATTGAAAAGACAGAGATTTTATAGTAAGAAATACTCAAATATGAACAAAAATTTGGAAAATAAGATCCATAGAGCTAAGATTTTTTAAATGGAATTACTTATTTACAGCAAGAAGATCTTAAAGAGCTAGTAACTATCTGGAAAATGCAAGATTAGCAGATAGAAGACATTGACCAACTGGTGTCCATCTGAACCAACAAGAGAACAGACCTTCACTGTAGCACTAAGCACGTTACTGTCATACAAGGAAGAATTTCCTGACATTGAGGATTGTTTAATATTTAATGGTTTTATCACAAGATATTATGACATTCTTTGGGGAACAAATAGATAACCAATTTTTTCAAGTAGGTAGGTGTGACCTTATCTACATTTAGGGTCAAAACTAAGTTGTTTCTCATGGTCTTTTCAGCCTAATCAAGCCATGATACAAATCATCTGCTGAGTTCCAACTCTGTTCCAGCTGTGTATTCATGATTCAGTTTTCACTAGACCTCTTGGCCAATTAGAGAATTGGTTGCCAGCCACAAAATTAACACCTTTTTGTCATTTCAGAAAATGAGCAAAATACTCTCTATGTAGTTACATGCAATCCCGCTTCCCTGTACTTTATGAATATGACTGGGAAAAGTGGCTTCTTTGTGGACTTTTTTGATATCTTCCCAAGAACAGCCAATGGCGTTTGGCACCCTTTTGTGACAGTGGCACCGCTGGGAAGTCCTCTCAAAGGTCAAGTGGTTCTCCATGAGCAGCAGGTAATGCACACCAGGCTACAATTATGTGAGGAATGACTTACATGAAAGGCAAGAGTGATTAGAAACCTATAACTGAAAAGATGTGCTTTCATGATGATCAAGGAGAGGAGCTGGAGGGATGGGTCAGGAGTTGCATTTTATCAGTACTACAAAGGCAGGCTAATATCTTCTTTTCTCTAGAGACTTCAACATGACCTATACCTCTAGAAACAGGTAAGTCAGGGTTTTTCAACCTCGACACTATTGACATCTGAGGTCAGATGATTCTTTGTTATGAAGCTTACACTCATTTTGGGGAGATAGACAAGTAAACCAACAAATGAACATGCCAGTTTCAGGTAATGATAATTGTTACATATAGAAACAGAGTAATGTCCAAGGGAGTGATGTAGATGGGGTAGGAGGAATTGAGGTGAATGGTATTAAAAAGAGTGCTGAGATATTTCCTTTTAGGAGACGACATTTTATCTGAGACCCGAATGACGTTTTTTGGTAGAGACAGTCATGTAAATACACCAAAGGGAATACAGTGAGATCCATCAGTATCTAATGATGCTCAAGTTCTATCCGTCATTTACTATGGATTAGTACACTAAGATTGTACTAGTGACAAGCACAGATGCCCGGAGTCAGGCTAAAAATAATTCCAAACAAAACACATATATCAGAAGACAGATTGTGCTTCAATTAGTGATCATTCTAAAGGTCTAAGTTAATCTATACAATACCAATAGAAAGGAGCCTAATGTTTTTGTATACCTATTATCTATCTAGTATATACCAAGTACTACACTAAGCATATTATTCATTCAACAAATATATATCATGTGCCTCCTATTGGGGATACTGCAGTGACCAAAAATACCCACAAATTCTTGTTCTCAAAAGCTTACATTCTGATCCAGGAAGATAGACAATAAGCAAAATAAATAATTATATCTTAAATTAGAAGGTGAGAAACAAGAGGGAATAAGACTGCAATTTAAAATAAGGCAGGCAGGGATTGTCTAATTGAAAGGGGGATATTTAAACAAAGATTTTAGAGAGGTGAAGAGGAGAACAGGTACCTGGAAGAAGAGAGTTCTAGACAAAAGGAATAGTAGGTTTAAAGGCCCAGAGTCTAGAAACATGCCTCTTCATCTTTAAAGAAGCGTAGTGGGGAAGATTGAATAAGAGGGAAGTAGGAGGAGGTGAGATAAAGAGGTTACACTGTGGGTTGGAGTAGGGGCAAAGTGAAGGGGGTGGTGAGAAGCAGGTTGTGCAGAGCAGGGGTCCCCAACTCCCAGGCCGCAGACCAGTATTGGCTCCTGGCCTGTTAGGAACTGGGCCGCACGGCAGGAGGTAAGTGGTGGGCAAGTAAGCATTGCTGCCTGAGCTCCACCTCCTGTCAGATCAGCCACAGCATTACATTTTCATAGGAGTGTGAACCCTATTGTGAACTGCGCATGCAAGGGATCTAGGTTGTGCGCTCCTTGTAAGAATCTAATGCCTGATGATCTTAGATAGAATAATTTCATCCTGAAACCATCTCACACCCCCACACAGCCCCCACCCCACCTCCCCAGTCAGTGGGAAAATTGTCTTCCACAAAACTGGTCCCTGGTGCCAAAAAGGTTGGGGGCCACTGGTGTAGAGTCTTGTAGGCCGTTGAAGTTTCTGGGTCCTGACTATGAGTAAAAGGGGAAGACATTAGGAGGTTTTGAGCAGGGAGCTAGCATGATTAAAGGATTTCTCTGGGTGCTCTGTGTGAATAGTCTGTAGGTGCTAAGGCACAATGAGGGAAACTAGTTAAGAAATAATGGTGGTTTGGAGGAGGATGGGGCTCATAAGCAATGACAGATTCTAGATATATTTTGAAGGTAGAACCAACAGGATTTCCAAACAATTCCAATATTTGGGGTGAGAGAGAAAGTAAAGGACAACCGTAAAATTTAGGGACTGAGCAACTTGAAGTTGCCAGTGACTAAGATGGGGAAGCAATCAGTTTGGGAGGGAAGCTCAGATGATATTAGATTCAGTTTGAGATGTCTATTAAATATCCACGTAGATGATAAGACTGGAGTTCAATGGAGAGCTCCTACCAGGAAATACAAGCTTGGGATTCATTAACAAATGTTCTTTAAAGCCATGAGACTGAAAGAACTCACCAAGGGAGTGAATGTAAATAGAGAACAGAAGTTCAAACACTAAGCCTTGGGGCAGTAAAATATTAAGAAATCAGGGAGATGAGGAAGAATCAATGATTTGAAAATGAGTTTGAAAGTGAGTGACCAATAGAGTAGATAGATAAGCTGAGGAGTGTGTTATCCAGGAATGCAAGTGATGAATGTCTCAAAGATAAGGATCAATTGTTAAATGCTGATGACATAACATGTAAGAGATTGCTTACATTACTCATGTTATTCTTCCAGCTGCCCAGTGAGGGTAGCTCTCAGCCACATTTACATATGAGAGGACTGAGGCTCAGACTTCAAGTAACTTGTCTGGCAAGTACATAGCAGAACTGAGATTCATAGCATATTGGATTGACCCTACCAGAATTAAACATCACCTACTCTCTCACTCACTACAGATTTGGGGAAAAAGATTAGTTTGAAAATTAAAAAGTACTCATAATAGGAAAATATTTTTTAAATGCAGTGTTGTTACTTATGAATATTTAAAGAGCAAAGTGCTACCAAGAAATAATACTTTCACTAATCAAGAGAAAAGTATTGCATAATATATCAGTAGTTCATTGAGGAAATAAGTCAACTTTAACTTTAGTCCTTGCCACCAGAAATTATCACAAATTCTGAGTTATAAGTATTTTTCTGATTTTGTTTTCACTTTTTTATTTTTACTTTTACTTTCTCCTAGGAGCAGAATTTATAAACATCCAGATATTGTTTATAAAACTTTATCTCCTGAAAATTGGAATGAGGGTTTTACTTTAAAGATTTTCAACAAAGTATTGATGCCATTGAATTTAACTCTATAACCAAAACAATGTGTCATAAAAGGTACATGATATCTTGGTGGTTTGTAATTTAGTAAATCAGTCAAAATTGGATGAGACTACATTTGGAATATTTATTTTAACAGTCCTGCCACATTTTCAGCTGTCAAATTAACTGTCAAATTTACATACACAAATTCTTTAATAAAAGTGCCAGATTTGTAGGTTCTCAGCAAGAGTTTTATTTCCTCAAAAGATCCAATTATTTGGTAACATTGCTGATTAATACCTTATTTAATTTCAATTACTTTCATGAAAGAAAATCTGATTTTCATTGTGAAGCTGTGCTTGACTTCCATAGCCAGCATCTTGCCTCCTCATATACTGCCTTACTTACCCCTTTGGCCACAGTTTCAAGTTTTCCAGGAAACTGCTTCGGAACCCTGAGCAGACCTGCACACCTTATCTGTATACTTCCTCTCTACCTGTCCTCTAAACTGCCTTCTCTTTTCCCGGAGAGAGTATCTTATTTTACAATATACCTCTGTCAAGATGTCAGACCTGTAAAATTCCATGTGAACAGCACACAGCTGTGAAATTTAACAACTGATAAATAATTCTAGTGGAATGAAAAATAAGTAGACTGCCATCAATTCCTTCTTCTTCATTCTACCCTAACTGAAAATGAAGCAAAATATTATAGAGAAGTACTTCCATGAATTCGGCTATTCCTTGCCTTTTTAACATAAAGCTTTGCTCAGATGCATGTCCCTGGTTAGTTTAAGAAGTTGTTCAAAAATTCCTTGCTAAAATAAAATCTTAAGTAAGGAAAGGGAAACTTTGCCATGCCTAAAAATAAAGACCCTCCCCTTCCCCCACTCCCCATGAGATTATTTATTACATCTGTACAAAGTTTAGAATTTCAGATTTAGGGACATTGAGGTCATCCAGAGGTTACTTTTCTCCCAGTTAAATACAAACATAATAAAATTGCTCACTCGCGTCTCCTCCCTGCCCCCCTTAAAGGAGTGCCAAAGCCACAGTTACATGTACTCATGTGTGACGCAAAATTCTATTTTTAAACCCAGACAGAATCTATCATTAGTCATTTACAGAAGGAAACCATTAACATCTAAAAGGATGGAGCAACAGAACTCCTTCATGTTGCCAATTGCTTATAAACTAATTCTAAATACAGCAGTGGCTGGAAATACATGTTTTCTGTCACTTAGAAAGATACAGTTTTTCAGTTCACTTATGCCATGTTATGAATATGTAAGTATTAGACCCTAAAAAGGTAGGAAAATGGAAGACGATACTAACTTCTTTTTCTGCTTGATCATATTTGTTTAATCAACTGCTTATTCTTATGCTTACTCATTTTTGGGCATGAAACATTTTTAGGACTTCCTTTGCTTACAAAGGCTAATATTATCCCAAATTGCTTAAGTGCTAAGAATTCATTTTAACGTTGTACATATTTATTATACAAGAAATATTTTTTCCATCAAAAAGTACTCATTCAAAAAATATTTAATCTAGAATAGAGATTATAAATTTTTAACTTAATTTTATTTTTTTCTTAAGGAAAACTCTAAGATATCATTACCATTTTCAAAACTGTCAAGTAGTGGTGAATGACACTTCTTATATGTTAATTTTTAAAAGAATATTTCTAACACACATTCTTAATGGAGAATTATATCTTATACAGAATGATACATTCTAAGGGTGATGTTTATGAAAGAAATTTAAGCTTGGTTAACATGCTTAGTAAAATTTTTTAATACAAATAAAATTCAGAGTATATGGTGTGAAGTGAGTTATATGGTGCAAATACTATTTTAATTCTTGAACACTTCCACAAAATTAGCTTGTAAAATAAAATTAAACCCACACTGAGATGCTAGATTTGCAGATGAATCATTCATTTTTTTACATTTCTTTTTATTTCTCTAACTAAATTATATGACAGAAGGCAAGGGTCATGATTAATTCATTGTTGTATTCTTTATATATTAAATATAAGCTCCTCAATAAATATTATGGAAAAAATGAACAAACACTTCACATTTTATTGTTTTCTATATTTTTCAAGGTTTTTATTAATTCTTCATGTGCTTTGTGACTTTATTTTCTCCAAAAGAAATTCTTCTTGAAATGAAAAGTTCACAAGAGTTAGGATAACTGGAGGAGCCCCACATTTAAAATAAAATAAAACAAAGAAAGAAAAGACACCCGCATAACAATGAGGTCTGACAAATAACTTGCAGGTACCTTTCTGCAAACCTGTTAGTCTAATCTTCAAAATTCTTTATATTTTAACTAAAAAGCCAACTTCTTTGCATCCCTTTAAAATATTTAATTTTTTCTGGCTTTCTCAATGTTAAGTTTTTATTTCATGTATTTCAGTTCATTTATTTCAACACATAAGGTTTATTTATTTTCTTAAAAAAACGTATCCTAATTACTGAAAGATTACATCATTGCATAGCTGTGATTAATAATGCTGCAGAAATCTGTTGTTTGTACTTTATTACAGCACCAGTTATGAAGGTTCTTCAAGCTTGGTGAATTTCTAAATGAAGGAACATTCATTACTAGCTAGTTTCTTGGAGTCCTTCATATTTCTTGCTTAGTCCTCTTTATATCTATTTTATACCTATTTTCTAAATTGAACCTGGATTTGTGAAAAAGATAAATGAGATTTAATTATGCACAATATAAGAGAGCTTTCAACTGAGCATTCTCTAAGTATAATTTTGTTACAGGTAGATGAATTTCTTAAAATCATCAATCCTTGTAATTTCCTTATAACTAGATAATAAAACAGAATCATGGTTCAACTAGCTTATATTTAAAAGGGAATGGTTTTTACATAAAAATATTTAAAGAGAATACCTTCTGCATCACATATTTAGAAACGTCTTCATAAAACCACCAAAAATTTTAAATTCTTAAATTAAGAAGCACTTAATTCTTTGTGATTCTTAAGAAAAATCACTTAATGTCTTTGTGATATTTCTTAAGTATTACAATATTGTCTTTGTTTTGATTTATCACTATAACCTTCACTGTCAGGTTGCCAAGAGGTTGCTGCTTTAAAAAAAAAAAAAAAAAGAACAAATCTTGAGCTTTTCACTGTTTTTATCATTTGCAGAGTAATGTTATCCTGTTGTTAGATACTACTGGCCGGGCCCTTCATCGTCTCATCCTCCCTTCCGAGAAGTTTACATCTAAGAAACCTTTCTGGTGGAACAAAGAAGAAGCTGTAAGAAACACCACATTTGTCCCACAAATTGCCAAGGATTTCTATAGCTTTCTAACCAGAAAGATGCATGCATGCCCATCCCTTTAAGTGCCTTTTTTGTTGTAATGCACAAGAGAATTTCCTGTTATGCACGTATAGATTTTAACATGATATATATAACCATAGATATGTGTATAATTAAATATCAATAAATTCTTTTTATGACATTATACTTGCATGAAGATTTGCCAGGACTGGACTAACAATAAGAGAAAATTAAAAACTATTTGAATATCGTATTTTTAACAAATTTCTGATCATGGAGTCAATTTAACCTGTTTTCCAGTTATGTAGTTATGTTTTGGATTTATATGATGAAACTGTGAGTATGATACCTAATTTCCTCCATTAGACAAATAAGTGTTTTAGTTTATTAACTAAATTAAACTAGTAAGTAAATAGTTTAGGCCAACACAAGAGAATTTATTCTGCCATTCAGAAAAAAATAATGGATTTAAAATAAGGTTTACCCTCTGCCCTGCAAGTCAACATACTTAGGTCTTAAAAGACTATGAAAAGAGTGATTTTTTTTAATGTCATAAATGTATCCTAATATAAGAAACAAAGTGTTTCCCATGTGTTTATTTTATGGTGTAAATTCCATGGTTAATCATCAGATAGCCTGTTATTTCTTAACAATGTTTGGTGTTGTTTTTAAAAATTTATTCTGAAGAGGCTTTAGTACAAAGTTCACAGTAAATTTTGATATATAGTTTAATCCATTTTACCATAAGAGTCTTAGAGCAGATAAATAGATAGCTTGTTTGAGAATTACATGTTTTACTAGTTGAAGAACTTTATTTTATTTAAGGGGAAGTAGCTAAAGAGGGACATGACTGTATCTGACACATTTAATATGAATATCTTGTTTTGTTTGTCTTTAGGAAACTTATAAAATGTGTAAAGAATTTTCACACAAAAACTGGCTGGTGTTCTACAAAGAAAAAGGGTGAGCTCTTTATTATAGAGGATTTAAACTGGAGTTCTTATTTGGCCCATTCTATTTCCTATTTTGATTATACTTGTTTACTATAAAGTGAATGTAACCAAATTATGAATGTTTTAATATAAAGTAACTTGCCCACATTGCAGAATATTGAGAAACAGATATAAGAAAAGCTAGTGCTCACAATTCCATGACATAGCCACTACTAACATGGCAATGGTTACTACTTTCCATTATTTTTACTTATACACACCCTGACATAGTTTAGAATTTTGCATATCTGTTTTTTTAATTAACATTTTTCTATATTATTACTTAATCTTAAAACATTCTTTTTATGGGTTGCATAATGTATCATGAAATGATTATGCCAGATTACTCAACCATTATCCTCACCATTTCCTTTCAGATACAGTTTTCTTCTTTTCCAGGAACAGCCTGACTGTGCTGGATGTTCTAGAAGGGCGAACTCACACCATCTCACTTCCCATCAACCTCAAGACAGTTTTCCTTGTAGCAGAGGACAAATGGCTTCTGGTGGAGAGCAAAACAAATCAGTGAGTGGCTTTATATAGTGTATCATGGAGTATGTTGTAGCTCAATCTTATTTATGAATTATCCAACATCTTTACTGTTCTGTCTTTCCTGTGTCTGTCCTTTAACAATTTCTGTGTTTGGCAGCATCTCTATATATGAGACTTATAAGAATTGAGGAGGGGAGAAAAAATAAATGTCACTTCTCAGAAAATGACATTGAAATTAACAGTTAAAAAATCATGACTTTTTCATATGATCCATATTTATTTGGGCTTTTTCCTATTTGTACATTGAGAATTCACTGTATTCTTGCTAAACTGGAGACACTTCAAAGTAGATTTTCCCTTCAAAGAGCCACAGTCTCTATCCTAGAGCTGTTGCCTCTTTGTAAATTCACAGAGTTCACACCTTAGAAGTGTCTTTCTCTTTTTATCTTGTGTATTCTGGTTTGGATGTGGTTATGTTTATGTTTATGTTATCTGACCCATTGGACTGTGCAGTTCTTGATGAAAGGCGGTGTCGACTTTGAGCACCTTCCCTCATGCACAACTCCACTAGCTAAGTGCAGACTCTTTCTGCCCCTCTGCTGACAAGCAGAAGTATCTCATTGCAGAGGATTTCTGCCTATATATACATCCATATTTTAGAAATGTTAAAAATAAGTAGATCAAGGAGACTACAGTTGTGAGGGCATCTATCTCCTAGCTGATCACAAATCAGAAGTCATACTCCCCCTTCCTGGCTGATCAAAGAGTTTTATCAAGAGAGGGTTACATGATAATAAGAGTGCACCCCATTAGAGTTGCTTCCCCTCCCCACAACCCTTTCTCTTATAGGAAGCATTGGATTTTTGCCTCACATTCATTACTGTATTGCTGTTGTGCACTGCTCTTTAACACAGTGTTGAGAAGTTATTTGTTAATTCATGATGAAACTCTAAAACTGCAAATTATACTGGAACTATAAAAAAGAGACTGAGGAGAATCTAATTTTTCTTAGTCTGGCCTTATTACTATTAGAAAAAGAAAAATTTCACTTAAGCTAGATGTTTTGTTTGTTTGCAGGAAATATCTTTTAACTAAGCCTGCACACATCGAATCTGAGGGTAGTGGGGTTTGCCAGTTGTATGTGCTGAAAGAGGAGCCGCCCAGCACAGGGTTTGGAGTTACACAAGGTAAATACTATGTCATCTGTGTTTATGGCTGTGTGAGTGCATGCTTGTACATATACTGTCTTCTAGAATCATTTAAGAACAAAACACCAGCCTATGTTAAGTTTACACCAAAAGAAAAAACTTAGTCACTACACCAGAAATAGTAAATAAGAATCTAGTATCTCAAATTGTCATAAGGAAGTTCACTGTTGTAAGCTCTGTCCTTGAATTTTTTTAACTGACAGATCAGTATTTTTATATACATTTAGGTTGCAAGTCTAATTTAGGATAACATCTTTTTTCTGCAGACTATTGGGATTTCTATTTAATTTATCACAGTTTTGGGGGATGAATAGTACTTACGAAAAAAATCTAAAACATACCATTGCCAACCCTTGGTTGGGTCAGTTTTTACATCTTTTCTACAGGGAGCTATTAATTATAATATTTATTCCTAATAAAATTTTGAATTCTGTAAATACTTGAAATCACTTTGGGAAGATGCCTTGATTATAAAAACAGCATTTTTTCAAACAAAAGCCCATGAATGTAATTTAAAATGTTTTCTCTTTTTTAACTTGTTCTTTTCCATTTGACTTGTTGAGAATAAAATCTTGCAAAAAATTAATTCCTGGAGCATTTCAGGAGCATATGGTGTCTAATGTTTGTACTTTTCAGAAACAGAGTTCAGCATACCTCATAAAATTTCCAGTGATCAACTATCATCTGAACATCTAAGTTCAGCTGTGGAACAAAAGATTGCCTCTCCCAACAGAATTCTCTCAGATGAGAAAAATTATGCTACAATAGTTGTTGGTTTTCCAGATCTCATGGTAAGCACCCATTTTTTAAATTATCGGATAAATGTTTCTTTCCCTTAGTTTGACCTATAATCTGTAAGCCTGTTTGAGGGGTAATTAAAAACATAATTTCCTGGTAAACATGTTGGATCAAGTCTTCCTTCCAAATCAGTCAGTAGAAAATATGTTATACCTAAATAGTTTCATTACACTTCAAAAATTAACATTGAAAGCGTAATGCAATGATAGAATTTAGTAGGGGGAAATGAGTATTCTCCATATGTGGGGGTTCATGTAATACAGTTTAAATGCTTAACCTTCTGATGGTAATTTTCTGTCATGTCTTCTATAATTTTTTAAAGTTAATTATTTTTCCATCTACACATTCTATATATTTATTTATTAACTTTTATTTTAGGTTCAAGTGTACGTGTGCAGGTTTGTTATATAGGTAAATTGCATGTCACAGGAGTTTGTTGTACAGATGGTTTGGTCATCCAGATAATAAGCATAGTACCTGATAGGTAGTTTTTTGATCCTCACCCTCCTCCCACTCTCCACCCTCAAGTAGGTGTCAGTATCTGTTGTTCCCTTCTTTGTGTCCGTATGTCCTCGATGTTTCGCTCCCACTTGTGAGAACATGTGATATTTGGTTTTTTGTTCCTGTGTAAAGTTAAATTTGTTGGATTGTCATTATTGTAGATTAAAATTTTCAACAGTCATGAAGATAGATTTATTTTCCATTGAGTTTTGCTCTGATTTATCATATCTTTGCAGCATCCAGGTTATAGTATAATGGCTAATTGTCTCAATTGATTTTCCTCTTAGATGGGCCCTTCTGTTATCTCCTATTACCTATAAAGGAGAAGCTATTTGAATTGACTGTAGGTGAAACTGGGCGACATCTTCCTCTGATGGAAATGTGGGGAAATTAATTATAAAAGTTATTTCAGTCCAAGTTGCCATCTAACAACCTTAGATGTAGCTCCATGTGTTCTGACTAAACATTTAATTTTTATAATTTCCTTTGTAGCTTTTAGATGGGATGATAGAATTATTTAAAGATAAAAATATGGGCTCTGCTTGACGGTACTCCAATTTTGTATGCCTCAACATTTTAATATAGTTAATGAATGCTGGGTACTTCAGGATATAAGATTTGAAATCTAAAACTCAATGGATAATGTGGCTTAGGACTCTGATGTATGTTTTCCTAATTATCAAGTTAAAAGCATCTGCTATCATGTAATTCAAAATGAAACGTTATTGAAATACAGTGTTTATAGCAGCCTTGATATGAAAGAGATGTGTTTTATATGCTTTCTACAATGTTTGCTGCTGTAAAAAAAAAATTGGGACTTTTTCTGGAGATAAAACTATTTTAAAAATTGATCTTCTAATTACCTTCTTCTGATTGAAGAAATCAATATAGAAGTATAATGTTATTATAAAAAGTTAGAAAATAAAAGCTAAGTTAAGGCACTGTTTCTATTAACCTTGTAGAAATTCTTATAGCCTGTAACACTAGTGACCTTGTTAAATTAAAAGCTATATCCCTGCTACTTAGTGTGGTACCTACCACATAGGAGGTATTTAATGAGTATTTGTTAAATAGAAGATTAGAGTCAGCTAGGCAGCCTTTAAGATGACAGTAATACTTTTAGGCCACAACAGAATAGGCAGTGTGCTGCTCTAAGCCCTTTCATACATGATAGTTAATTTTTACAACAATTCTATGAGGTTTTACAAATGAAAAAAATAGAAACAGACAGAGCTTATATCCCCTAGGCCACAAAGATTATAAGCAATGGAATTTGAGCTCAAGTGTGACTAGCCAGCCCTCTAACACACATCCTTTTACCACACCACACTGCCTTCTTGCTTTATGTGAACTTCTTTGGATTATGTATGAAACTATTGACAAATGAGTATGCTACCTCTTATTAACTTTTTCATAGAGTTATCAGTGGCATCTAAATTATTACTTGTATAACTTTTAAAATCTAATACCAAATAGCTATAAGAATCTGTAGCAAATATCATCCTCAATGGTGAAACATCAAAAGTATTTCTTTTCTTTTCTCATTAGAAATAAAACAAGGTTGCCCACTGTTACCATTCTATTAAACATGGTAATAGTGTCTTAGACATGATATATAAAGAGAAAATTGATAAATTGTGCTGCATCAAAATTTAAAATTTGAGCTCTGTTAAAAGACACTGTTAAGAGAATGAAAAGACAATCTACAGGCTGGGAAAAAATATTTGCAAACCACATTTCCAACAAAAACTGGTATCTAGAGTCTATAAAGATTCTTAAAACTTAACAGTCAGAAGGCAAATAGCCTAATTTTACAAATGAGCAAATAGTAGGCCAGTGTGAGTTATCAAAGATCAGAGCCCAAGCAAGGTAAGGACATCTATGGTGGGGAGAGGTAACCACTAGTGATGGACGTTAAGCCCAAACAGGATGAAGATGGCATTCCTGTGAAGGGGCAGCCTGGAATGGGATGTAGGAGCCCAAGTAAGGTGAAGTATGTGTCCCTGTGTGAGTGCAGCCCCTATGGGCTGTCAGAACCCAAGCAGGTAGAGTGGAGCATCTGCCCAGGGAGTAAGGTTAGTGGTGGAGATGGGAGATGGGTCACATACAGTGGACTTGAGCAAGAAAGTAAATATATGAAGGGTAACAAAATACATTAAGGATAATGAAAACAAATTTTTAACTGTTGGAGAGGGGAATTACAGATACTGAAAGGAAGAAAACTAGAATGAACCATGTAGTTATTAGATTGGAATTGGATATATTTTTGTGAACTCATAGATTTCAATGTATTTAGGTAGATATAGAAGTAAAATTAAAGGTAAATGTGAAAAAAAAAATGAGCAAAAGACTTGAACAAACACTTAACCAAAGAGGATAGAGGGATGGCAAATAAGTACATGAAAAGTTATTGGACATCATTAGTCATTAGAGAAATGCAAATTAAAACCATGATGAGATACTAGTACCTACCCGTTAGAATGGCTAAAATAAAAAAAACACTGACAATACCAAGTACTGATAAGGACGCAGAGAGCTAATGCAACTCATTATTGCAAGGGCAAACAATAACCAGAACATCTCTGAAGAAGGACCAGACAGAAGTACTCTTCCTATTAAATTTCAAGGATAATTATAAAACTTCAGTAACTAAGACCATGTATTGGCCTGGGAATAGAAAAATGCACCATAGAACAAAATGCAGTGCCCAGAAACAGATACCTGCATATAAACTGTGTTTTATGATACTGTTGCTATGGGCAAAAGTTAGTGGTATTTGGACAATAAACTATACATGTGAGAAAAGGATGAATGCAGATCCCCACTTCATACCATTCACAAAAATTAATTCCTGATAGGCTAAGGACTTCACTATGAAAGATAAAGCCTTAAAACTTTTAGAAAAAGCATAAGAAATTATCTTTATGATCTTAGGAAGGATAAATACATACGTGGTAAAAATTTAAAGTAAAGCAAGGGAAAAATAACACAAAATTCCAGAAGAGTTAAATCTAGGGGAGAGAGAGAATGACTGGGAAGGGGCCCAATCACTTTTGAAGCCCTCCCAGGGCTTTAAAAATGCTAGTTATGTTCTATTATGTATAGATGTTTACTTTATTTTTTAACTAATTCCTATATTTCTTCTGTTTAGTTGTAATTGATTTCAAGGTAAAAAATTTAACTTGTATATTTTACACTTGTCTGAAAATTATGATTATTGACAAAGCAGCTACCTCCTTCCTGTACCACATCCAAATGACTTTATTTATTTTTTGTTTGTTTAAGACAAGATCTCCTCAGTAGCTGGGAATACAGACATGTGCCACGATGTCTGGCTGATTTTTGTATTTTTTATAGGGACGGGGTTTCACTATGTTGCCCAGGCCAGTCTCAAACTCCTGAACTCAAGTGATCCACCAACCTTGGCCTCCCAAAGTACTGGGATTACAGGCATGAGCCACTGTACCCAGCCAATAATTTGATTTTCTTATACCTGTGAAACATTAGTTTCCCACTAGTATCTGCTTAAAGGGCTGCGTTGTTAAGGTTGTGGTGAATGTAGTATATGGTACTTCAGTACTTTAATCTCTTTCTTTTTTTCAGTCACCCAGTGAAGTTTATTCTTGGAAGAGACCATCATCTTTGCATAAACGAAGTGGCACTGATACATCATTCTATAGAGGAAAGAAGAAAAGGGGGACTCCAAAACAAAGCAATTGTGTGACTCTTTTAGATACGAATCAGGTAGTGAGGATTTTACCCCCAGGAGAAGTCCCTCTAAAAGATATCTACCCAAAAGGTAAGAAGGAACTCACCAATTCCTAATTTACAAAGGTGGTTTAAAGTAGCTTCCTTTTGGTAGAGGATATTTAATTTATCTTTATCATTTCATACTTATAAAAATTGATCATTCCGACAAGTTTAGAAGTAACTAAAAAGACCTCTCCGTATTCAGAAAGTTCTTACTCATTTTCACAGTGTGTGGTTGTGGCCACTGCTGTTAGAGCTCATCTTCATTTATATTATAATATATGCAGTAACTTTACCTAAAAGATGTTTTCACAGAGCCTTTTAAAAAGTCTTAGTATATTAGGCATAGAAACTGAGGCCTGCCTTTTGTCTTAAACTCCTAAGACTGAAAGTCAGGGGCTTATCGTGCAGACTGATTCACTTAACAGCACTCTGAAAGTCAACTTATATTTATTACTGCATAAAATATCCAATTCCTGGGATGATCTCCTTTCCTTGTATAAATTCACTTACTCCTTAAAACCCCATCCTATTGTTAGCATGCTCTCTAATTTATACATGAAGATATTCTGACACAGAACTAAAATAACTGGCCCAGGATCACCCCACCAGTGGACAACAGTGCCCAGATTTGCACCACAATCTTCTAATCCCAAGTTTAGATCTATTCTTATTGAACCACACTGGCATTCATCATAACAGATAACTATGAAAAAGTTTGATCATTGATTAATTGACTTTTTTTTTTTATGTCACAGTGGTAGTGATATATTATCTTGTGTCTATATGCATTGTATTAGTGTGGACTTCACAAATATAATGCTAAATGTATTATAATAATCTGTAACAGGGTTTGAAAAGTTCTGATTATATGATAACATTTGGAATTAGTTTCTTCCCAGCTGAAACTCATGGAAAATAAATCACCATTTCCTTAAAATTTTTTTTGTGGTAGAAGAGGCAGATGAATAAACTGACAATTCTAGTACAGTATAATAAGATAGGAATATTCACAAGGTGATATATAAACACAAAGTAGAAGTTTACAATCCATTCTGGAGACTATGAGTTGACTCTTGAAAGATGAGAGTTAATCAGTTGAAGGATTTGGTCCAGGAAAGGGGTACTCCATGTGAAAGATGCAAGGACTTGGCAGAGCATTCCAGGAATTACAAGAAGTTATGTACCAGAGTTTAGTGCACCTGCATTCACCCAGAAATCTGGGACTCACCTTGATACCTCTTCTCCCTCATCCTCCACATTTCATCCATCATCAATCACCATGTCCTGATATACAGCCTTGCAAATATATCTTGTATCCACCCACTAGTCTCCAATTCTGTTACCAATATCCCATCCAAAGCACCACCATCGTACACTGAAATGTTGCCATAGCCTTCTGATATTGTTACCTCTTCCACTCTTTTCCCCTCCTACTCTTTTACACACATCAGACAGGGTGATGTTTTTAAAGTACAGCATACATTGGTTCTTAAGCTCGGTTTATATACAGTAAAATTCACCATTTCTAGCATATAGTTCTGTGAGTTTGGCAGACACAAACAGTTGGGTAACCACTACCACACTTGATATAGAAGAGTTTCATCACCCCAAAAACTTCCCCCATTCCATTTTGTGTCAGTGCCTGCACTTACCTACAACTTATCACTGACCTGATTTCTTTTCTTATAGATTTGCCTTTACCAGAATATTATATAAATGGAATCATACAGTATGTGGTCTTTTAAGCCTGGCATCTTTCAATTAATACAGTGCATTTGAGAATCATTTATTTATTTATTTTTTATGTTATGTGTGTATCATTAGTTTTTTTTTTTTAATTGCCAAGTGGTTGCCTATTATATAGATGTACCACAGTTTGTTTATCCATTCACAAGGTGACATATTTATTGGTTTTTTCCAGTTTTGGGCAATAAAGAGTAAGGCCACTATGAACATTTGTGGGCAGGTTTTTAAGTGAACATAAGGTTTTGCTTCTTTTGAGTAAATGCCTAGGAATGGCATTTTTGCATCATATGATGAAACTGCCAAACTATTTCCCAAAGTGGAAATACCATTTTGCATTTCTATCAGCAATGAATGGAGGTTTCAGTTGCACTGCATCCCTGTCAGCACTTGGTATTGTCAGTTTCTCACCATTCTAGTGAGTGTAGTGATTTCTCATTATGATTTTAATTTGCGTTTTCCCTAGCACCTAATGATGTTGAGTATTTTGTTTTATGTGTATCTTCTTTAATAAAATATGTTTCAGATCTTTTGCCCATTTTTAAATCGGGTTATTTATTTTCTTATTAATGAGTTTCGAGCATTCCTTTTGTTTGTTTGTTTTGAGACAAGGTCTTGCTCTGTTGCCCAAGCTGGAGTGTGGTGATGCGATTTCAGCTCACTGTAGCCTCTGCCTCCCAGGCTCAAGCAGCACCCAACTCAGGCTACTGAGTAGCTGAGACTACAGGCACATGCCACCACATCTGGCTAATTTTTGTATTTTTTTGTAGAGACAGGGTTTTGCCATGTTGCCCAGGCTGGTCTCAAACTCCTGAACTCTTGAGTGTTCTTTAGTGTAGATACAAGTTCAGTGTCAGAGATGTACTTTGCAAACATTTTCTCTTATTTTGATGAAGGGCAAATCTTCTATGTTTTCTTCTAGAAGTTTTATAGTTCTATATTTTACATTAGATTTATGATCCATTTTGAGTTAATTTTTTACATGGTGTAAGGTATGGACTGAGGCTCTTTATTTTAATTGCATGGGGATATTCAATTGTTCCAGCACCAGCACCATTTGCTGAAAAGACTGTCCTGTCGTTTCTCTTTTGCACTGCCTTTAGACCTCTGCTGAAAATCAGCTGCCCACATGAGTGGGTCTATTTCTGGATTCTCTATTGTGTTCCATTGGTCTATGTGTCTATCCCTTTACTAATACCGTACTCTCTTGATTGCTTTATAGCTTTATATTTTATAGTGAGTCTTGGTTGACCCAGGTAGTATAGATTCTTCCACTTTGTTCTTCATTTTCAAAACTGTTTTAGTCAGAAAGTAATATTTTAAAACACAACTCAGGTCACATTGTCCTTAGGATAAAGTTTAGAAATTTTAACTTGGCTTAAAAGATGCAGCGTGGTTTGTCCATTACATAACTCTCCGACTTCTTTCAGTTAATTTGAATTTACAAAATTCTTCCCAACTTTCTGCTGCACCCCTTCCCCCCAACCCCCAAACTCATTCTCATCTGTCAGTTCTCAGTTTAAATGTCACTTCCTCAGAAGGTCTTGTTCAAATCTATATTAGGTGCCCTTGTCATACTCTCTCATAACACTTCCTATTTGGGGACGGGAAGAGTGTGTTTATGTTTCCATGTGTATTTTAATTTTTCACAAAATATCTCAGGCCTACAAAAGTTTAAAGAAAAATACAAAGAACATCTTTGCACCCACCACCCATATTGGTAAGTCATTACCAGTATGGTCAGAGACCCCTGTGTTCTCATCTCCTTCACTTTTTGACAAACTAGAGGTAATCTCTATTCTGAATGTGAGTTCAGTACTTATCATTCACAAAATAACATATAGCTTTTTTTATGTTTTTAAACTTTGTGTAAATAGTATCATATTGTATTTATTCTTCTGCAACTTGGTCTGTTTTTTTCACCATCATGTTTGTGAGATTTGTTGCTAAAGAAAAAAATCATTCATGACATTTGTTAGAAAATGGGAAGGTAGGCTTTATGCAGGGCCATCTTGATAGGTCTAGGGATGACTGCAAAGAAGTTTTGTAGTAAGGGAAAGAGATGGGGCTCAACTCTGAATATAACAAGGAAAAGTGGAAATAAGTGAAGGAGTAGGGTGGGGGTCAGTGGATGGAAAATTACTGAGAGAAAACATCTAGGATAAGAGGGAATTCTGGCTGAACAAACCTAACAGGATCCCTGCTGAGAGCAGCCGAGAGTGATCTGACATCACCTGGGGGATGGTGGAGAATGGGGAACCCAATCAGATATCAAGGGTTAGGGATTCTGTTTAAACTGACTTAGCAGGATTCTTGTTAGCATTGAACAATGCAGAGATGAACACAGAGGCCCCGGAGTTGGGAACTAGTTGGGAAGAAGATTCAGAAGAGCCTGACTACAGTTCAGTCAAAGAGAGACCTTTGTCATCATCCATACTGATAGTTCTACTTTTATTTTCACTGCTTCACATACAACAATTTATTCATCTGTTATTTGTCAGTGCAAATTTAGGTTCTTTCCAGGTTTTTGCTATTACAAATAATGGTGCTATGAATAGCCTTGCACCAGTCTGCTTGTGTATATGTTGAGTCTGTAGGGAACATATTTAGGAGCAGAATTACCAAAGGTGTTCCAGTAGCATAAAGGGGATCCTGGTCCATCCCATCCTAATCTACTCTTGTAAGGGTCAAACCTTTTATTGTGGTTTCACATTACCTTTTTCTGACTTTTAGTACATTTGAGCATCCTTTCATATGTTGCCATTTGCTCTTCCAAGAACTGCCTATTTAGCCATTTTTCTCTTAGGTTCTAGGAGTTTTATTTCCCTTCTTTTGTTTAAGTAGTGTTACTAAAATATTCCAAACATATATAAAGTGCTTAGGACAATGTCTGGCATGGGGGAAGAATTTTATAAATGTGGGCTGTAAAAAAAGAGAGAAAGAATGAAAATCCCTATGAGCATGGTGAAGGAAGATCCCAGGGTAACAGCCATGCACAGGCCTAAGATTAGAACAGATGACATTTCAGGAGAGATGTCTCTTAGAAATTGAAATTGATAAACCCAATATATATGAACATATTTAGAGATTTTAACAATTAGGGAACCTTGGGAATAAATTTGTACTAAATAAAACTAAACAAACAAAACATGATGCTTATTAGCTCCAATGAAAGCAAAAAGTTATACAGGAAAAAGTAATGATAATATAAGACATAGCAAAGCTGTGATTAGCATTTAGATAATTATAATAATATAAGCACTGGATGTTAATCCAAGCAAAATTATATGAATGTTTGGGGGGATGGGAAAATCGGGAGTGGGGGATTGGGGAATGAAAAAGAGTTAAACTCTCTTCTTGCTTGGGAGGAAGGCAAGAGATAATACCTGAAGCTGAAACATCAAGAGGGCACCATAATGATGAAGGTGAATACCACAGAAATAGCTTAAAAAGTTGAAAGTGTCTCTAGGGGGCAGGAAATGGTGGGGCGGCCGGGGGCGGGTAGGGGGTAAAGCAGGGCTGTTTGTTCTTTAAGCCTTTTTGATACTTAATTCTATGTGCATGTAGATCTCTGATGAAAATTCAAGCTAGAATAATTTTGTAAAGTAAACCAAATCCAACCATCTAATTAGTCTGGAACTAATGTATATCAGCCTTTTATAAAGAAATCAACTGTAAAGACTACTCTCCTGGTGGCTTTCACAATAATGAGGTAGCTTTTATTTAATGCAGATGGGGAGAAATTTATTGCTTTCTTCCAACTGTTTTTCTTCTAGCTAAATGCTAGCTTCTTTTAAACCACAGGTCTGAGCTCTTTAAACACAAAATAATGATTCTTGATTGAAAGCAGTACAATGTTTTTTTGAACTTTGGGTAAAATCAAAAATTTGGTATCAGCACAGTTTGGGGGCACACATCACTCTTTTTATCTGTGAACACAGAAGTGTGTTAAACCCAGTGATTAATAGGTGTACATCAAATTACAGTTCTAGAAGGAGTGACTTTTTAAATAGCATTTCACCTTCCCTCTGAAAATTGTCTTGGTTGTTTTGCCTGACAGTTTTTAATACCTCCTTCTAACCTTGGCACTGTGCATGTAAACTGTCCCCACTATTCATGGGAGCTATGTGATAAACACTGCTGCAATGACTTCCCTTTAATGGTTAGTGAACTAATCCCTAAATACAACTTATACCTATCTTTGAAATCCACCTGGATTATAAATGTAATGGAAATTTACTGAGCCTCCATCCTCACTCCAGTGTTAAAACGTTTAAAATGGATGGATGAGGACTTGGCTAAGTTTGGAGGGAAACCTGGCCACAGTTTTCACTTCCTTAATTCAGTCAAGTATTCTGTTCAAGAATCTTTTTGTAAATATTCTTTTCTTCTGAGCTGACTTATTTTCAAATCAGTAAACATCAATTTTTATTATTTTTAAAGTGCTTACTGCTACTACCACCACTACCACCACCTTTACTATATTTCCCTGAAGTGATCTGTAGCCACAATTACCCTTCTCTGATATATGAAAATAGTTCTTAATACCAGGAGTAAAATTCTTGCTTTCTACTTCTTGAAATAGTAGACACTGTCATTATTGCATTTTCTCACCAAGGAATTAATTAGCAAAGTAAAAGAAAAGAAAGATATGGGAAAAAAAAGATATTTTAAAATAAGTTGGCTTACTTTGCTTTCACAGGCAATCTAAAAGTGCTGATGGCAGTAGCTCAACTTAATACTATTCCTTATTTGTAAAAGTGCCTCTAAGTGGCAAGCCAAAATATGAGTAAGTTAGTTAGCGAGGCAGCTCCACTCATCTCTATAGCTTCAGTAACTGGTCACTCTTGGCAGAGAACCCTGAGCTATAAATAATTCAACCTACTTCAGCTAGGTTCGAGCAGCAGGAATTGTTAAAAATGATATATGATACAAAACTTTATCCAAGATTGACCTTATATCACAGGCAGAATTTCCAATGCAGACTGTGTGTGGCTTACGATAAGCATATTCATTTTGTGCAAATGGCCACTTGAAGACAGCTAATCCAGCTGGGTGGTCAAATTACTATAGTAACTCTATTTTCTTACCCATTCCTCTCCTTGGACATTACCTTTTCTTCCTGCTGAGCTATTTGTCTCTTGGGACAACCCATGCCTAGCTCTGCAGCTCATACCTGGCCTCAGGACTGTGATTCCAACTCTAGAATCCTTTCCAAGTCCCCAGAGGCCCACAATGGTTTAATAAAAAGGAACTTTCCTCATTTTACTGTGAATGCCTCAAAGTCAGAGACCACATCTCTTTTCTGTATCCTCGCTGTTTCATATGATGTCTGGCGCAAAATATGCTCAAACACATTTGTTAAATAAATAGGAGATATGTCGAGTTTTTCAGCTGGCCTATTTAAAAACCTTCAACTACATGCATGAAATAAAAATGTCAAGTTTCTTGTTTTTTGTAAACTACATTTGATAAATTCAAATTTGAATTTATCCAGGACATCCTGGATACTTCATTCCAACCAGAAATTGTAATAAAAGATGGATGGATGGATGGATGGATGGATGGATGAATAGATAAATATATAATTCTAATCAGAAATTGTCATCAAAGATTAGATAGAGAAACAGACAAAAATCTTAAAAAGCTTGGGTTTTGTGTTGGGGAGTTTTTTTTAAGAGAACTTGGTGGCCAAGATTTTATAAAATGGGATATTTTACAAATAGCTATTTCACTAGGGCCAACTCACATAGAAGTTGTGTGGAGTGGTGGCCAGAGCATAGATTTTAGTGCTAAAGAGGCCTGGGTTTGAAGCCATCTCCATCACTCTCCAGCTGTATCACCCCAAATAAGTCATATTGTTACATTACCTCTATAAGCCTCAGTTTCTTCATCTCTCAGACAAGAATTATTAGTCTTTGTTGTTGTCAGTATCAGAAGCACTCTCTGTGAAGACTAAGCAGTGTTTCTGACACACCATGGTGGCAGCTAATGATTTTGAGGATGATGGTTACTCAGGGCTGTGGAATAGAAATCAGTGTAGCACAGGAATTTGCTGGAAAACCAACACTGAGGTATACTAATGACATCACATGAGTATAACAATTATAGAATTAGTTGAGGGCTCTGGACCCCTTATCTCTTTATCTTCCCCCAACTTTTCATATTCTTTACTATCCAGGATCCTGAGAGCTGATCATAATCCCAAAAAACACAATCCCCATGCCATAACCCCAAATGTTGAAATCCCAAAAGAAAGATAAATATTCCTAAAGTCTAAAATTCTGGCACAATCCCAAAAGATGAAAATCTTGAAAATATAATTCTGGAAAAAATAATTTTAAAATTATTTAAAAGATATTTATGTACATTTTTGAAAGAAGATTTTTTTTTGAGAAACATAAAAACAGCAGAACAGGCTGGGGGTGGTGGCTCACACCTGTAATCCCTGCACTTTGGGAGACCGAGGCAGGCAGATCACTTGGGGTCAGGAGTTCAAGACCAGCCTGGCCAACATGGTGAAACCCCGTCTCTACTAAAAATACAAAAATTAGCTGGGTTTGGTGGCGGGTGCCTATAATCCCAGCTACTTGGGAGGCTGAGGCACGAGAACCACTTGAACAGAGGAGGCGGAGGTTGCAGTGAGCCAAGATCGCACCACTGCACTCCAGCCTGGGCAACAAGAGTGAGACTCTGTCTCCAAAAAACAAACAAACAAACAAAAACAGCAGAACACTTCACAAACCACCTTGCACAATAAAATAGGCAATAATAACATACACTTTTTGCAAGCATAAACACTCAGGTACACTAATGACATCACATGAGTATAACAGTTATGAACACATGAGCCATATTCATAAAGCAATTGGTCAAAAGGGAAATGTCATACATGCATATCAGTATGTTTGGCGGTTGAAGAAAAGACTGTTCCAGCTCTCAGAGACCAATTCACCTTCTGTATTTGTCCCCTCTAGGCTCTTGGCTGGTGGGATGATGTCCACCAATATTGAGGGCAGGTCTTCACCACCTGGTTCCCTCAGACTCACATACTAATCTCTTTTCCAGATTACAGATACAACCAAAATAATGCTTTACCAGGTTTCTAGGTATTCCATAATCGGTCCAACTGACACCTAAAATTAAGTCCACAAATACACCCTTTGTCAGCTTGGCACCTATATGCATCTCCTTAAACCATACTTAAATTTCCAAACAAAGACAGTAACAAAGTAATAGCTCCGTATAACATGATGCAATTATACTGTGATTGTGATTTTCAGGATTTTAAACTTTAGGGACTTTTATCTATCTTTTGGGATTTCAACAATCAGAATAATGGCATTCAGGATTGTCTTTTGGGATTATGATCCAAACTCCAGAGTCCTCACCCCACTGCCCCATCCTCACCTCACCTTCCCCTGTCTTGCAGGGCCCTAATAATGACAGATACTGTGTGATGAGCAACCCCTGTCGGTGCTTTGCATTTACTAATTTCATCTAATCCTCAGGATAATGCTTATGATGCTCAGATGCTGTGGTCATCTGAGGTTGTTATCCCCATTTTACAGTGGGGTTGTTATCCCCATTTTACAAATGAAGAAAGCAGGCCTCAGAGAGGTCAATAACTTGACCAACCTAACACAGCTCGGACAGGAGCAGGACTTCCTACCAGGTCAGTCTAATTAGAGAGTGTGCCGATTCCACCACATTTTACTGCATTGTTGTTGCTTCCTAAGAAGGAAAAACAGTTCAGATGATGAAATATTTTTTAAAAAAACTGTAAATGCAAAAACATTGACTCATCTTGGGAAGCTATCAAAGACAATGAAAATAACTTAGGTTGTTTTCTGACAGTAAAGAATCACAGCCCAATATGCTTCCCTGAGGGAAGCATATTTCTCAGAGTCTAGCCATGAGGGTTGACCCAGTACCTTGTCAAGTAGATCCCAGCGTTCTACCCTAGGCTACAGATAACTTGATTCCACTTTTAGCACCATTTTGGTATCTTGCAGTAATTTAATACTTGGCTCATGTCATGACTTGTTTGTAGATGTTACTCCTCCACAAACATCTGGTTATATAGAAGTCACTGATCTTCAATCAAAGAAACTCCGATATATCCCTATTCCCAGGTAATCCATTTCACCTTTGTTCTTAGCTTAGTATGTCATAAAAAATGAGTAAATTCTTGCTAAGTACTCTGAATAAATGAGTACTTTTTTGCTTCTTTAAATAGCAAGCTCTTTTTTTTTCCAGTTACAGTTGGTTTCTATCTTGCTGTTCTTCTGAATGTTTTCCTGGCATTTTTATTTTCATTTTGTAAAAATATTCCAGTGTTACATAGGTATAAGTCAAACAGCCTGCAAGTCTTTGTTCTCTTTTGTTTGATCTGTTCTAATAAGTTTTTCTGTATCTGAATAGCATTTTTAGTATTACAAAAATTATAATACTTATTAACTTTGTGTATGTATTTTCTGAAGTAAATGTGTTCAAAATATCAAAACAATTTAAATAGATTTCTTTAATATTGTTTTGATATATGTTATTATGCATCTGCAGTCAGGGAGGTTGTACAATAGCCAAAGGATCCCAAAGCTTTAGAATAGGACTTATTACTGTTCACCTCCTTCATTATTGTCCCACTATGGAAGCAAAGCATTTAAACTAGGTAAACTGAGGATTTAAAAACAGAAACAATAAAGCTTGATCTGTCCCTTGAAGAACACAGGCATCATCACCTGGAGCCCGTCCCTTTCTGGGTGCATCCATGCCTTATTTCCCTCTTCCAACCTAAGCTTGCACCTGCTTTGGCCTACTTATCCTAGGTTCCTCTTTTTCCCTTTCTTTGCCCTCCATGCCAAAGCCTTCTTCCTCTAATCTTTCTACTCTATTTTGACCTATATTGCAATCACATCTGCTCCTCTCATGTACTCCCTCACATTGCCACTGAGCCCTCACAACACAGCGGTTGAAGTCTTGGCTAGAAGCTCTAGCAGAGTAGCCTGGAGGGCCTGCAGAGGAAGACCAGGGACAACAGAATCTGTCAGTCACCCAAAATGTCACCAGGCTTCCTTTCTTCCCCCTTCTCCAACCCCTAGAAGAAGATAGCTCGGCATGATAGCACAAATAACTCAGAAACACAGCTTCATTTCTTAGGACCCTTTAATCAGATTAAAAAAATATGAAAACAAAATCATTCAAAGAAATAAATATACTTCTTCCAACATATATAAGTATGACTTCTTGGAACATCCTAATGTGTTGGTTTAATGGAAAATGGCTTTTAATCATTTGAGGAAATTGCATATTCCATCTTAATTATATGCTCATTAAAATATACTAATTCAAGTAACAAAAGCAAATAACATCTTTTTTAACATATCTAAAACATTGATAATTTTTTCCAGTATTTATAGTCATTTCTCTCACTAGTTTTTTATTTCAGCGTTTTTCTCTTTTAACTTTCCGTATGAATCACATGTTATACCTGCCATGGAAAGAACATCTGGAAGAGCAGCTGTGTGCACAGCCCAGAGCCAGCTGGCCACCATAATTCATTCAGTTAGGGCTGCACTGTCCAATGGAAATATAATGAAAGCCATATATGTAATTATATATTTCTTGGTAGACACACTAAAATATTGTTTTAAGGTGAAATTAATTTTAATATATTTTATTTAACCCAATGTATCAAAAATATTATTATTTTGACATGTAGTCAATATGAAATTTTTAATGAAATATTTTACATTCCTTTTTTTCCCTAAGTCTCTGAAATTCAGTATGTATTTTACACTTAAAGCACATCTCCATTTGGACTTGCCACATTTCAAGTGTCAAGAGTCTGTTTCATTGTCAGTATGAATTTAGAGTCTGTTTCATTGTCAGTATGTCCTGAGTTTCTCTTAACTACTGCTTTTTTTGACATATGTATAAAATCCAAGGGAACAACCCATCTGGACTTCAGTTTTTTGCTAGTAGCTTAGATTTAGCATTCTGCTAGATATCAGGAATTTTCCATTTGATAGCTAATTTCAAATAATAGAAAATACAATAAAACTGTATGTAGCTTCAGGGCCAAAATGAATACATCACTTTTGCTCTCACATAATTTTCTTCAAAGTTTTATATTATCTGCATTTGTAAAGTAGTACTGCCAAGCTTTCATATGTGGCTGTGTATAAATTTAGGCTTCACTCTACTATAATTCTATGTGTTCATTTAAAACTTTGTTATTATTTATAAGGAAAACATTCTTTAAGTGAAGAAAAGATTTTAGACCTAGTGTGCAAATTGTAGTAAATATGTAATTTCTTCAGTAATTTTTTTTAAATAAATTAAAGAAATTGCCTGTAAATGTAAAGTTTTGCTATGAAGAGTTAAGTAGTGACAATTAGTAGGTACAGTGGTCAATAGAATCATACAGCTTGGGTGTTCTTGGCAGAATTTCAAACAACATAGTTACAAATGGATAAATTTCATTATTCTTGAATAGCCCCTTACTCCATCATCTGTAACTACTAAGTTTTTTCCTGCAGCAAATATTTATTGATAGAGTACCATGTATTGTATCAAATGTTACCTTCTTTGAGCCCTTCTGGGAGTCCTGTAAAGTAGCTCAGAACATATGGTCCCATCCCACTGTTGTTCTCATATGAACATTTTCTAAGTCTTCTGTGTCCAAGAGTGGCCGCCCTTGTCACTCTGTGTTTAGTATCAACTAAGGCAGACTGAAAAAAGGTCAAATTAGTCTTGATTTATCTTTTAGAATATTATAAGAATTTACCTAATATATAATGGTTTTGTGTTTTTCCAAAATCTACAATGATAGCTTGTTATGTTTTTCTTATCAGACCATCTCTTTAGACTATTTATTTCATATAGAAAATATCAGATGCATTTTGCAAGCCAACACTGACAATAGGAATTTATAATCTGTATCACTTTTGTATAATAAGAGCTATACTCAGATAAAGGAGATATGCAGTTGACTCTTACAGACAAATTTGCTTTCCTAGAAATTACTATACATACATATATATATACACACATATACAGATGTCAGAAATATATAATGAAATATGTGTGAAATATGTAAGAAATCTATACATTCCTTGTTATAGAGTCACGTAACTTTCTAAGTCAGAAAAGGCAAAATATCACATACAAATGCAGTCGAAATGCATAAACAAGAAATTGGTTTCAGCACTGACATTAGGCCTCTAAGGAGTGAGTCCAGTACTCACTCATTAGCGTGTGAGGTATGAACTGGTATAGGGTTCCTTTCTTCCTGACAGTGGAAGCTAGTGTCGTCCACTGTCAGGAAATACAGGAAAATGCAGAGAACCAGTAAATTACAGTGTATTTTTGCTTCTTACAGATGGTTCTGTTGATATCTTGTCTTTTAATGTGCTCATTATTAGAGTTCTGTCTTAGATCAGGCTGTTACAGCAGAATACTATAGAGTGGGTAGCTTAAGTGACAAATATTTATTTTCAGTCTGGAGGCTGGGAAAGCCAAAATAAAGGGGCCAGCCAATTCAGTTCCTAGTGAAGGCTGTCTTACAGAGGGCTAACTTCTTGCTGTATCCTAACATGAATGGGGGGGAAGGGAAACAGGCAGAGACCACATGCAAGTGCAAGCTTTCTGGTCTCTTCTCATAAGGGCCCTAATCCCATTCTATAAAAGAGGCTCTACCCTCACAACTTCATCTAAGCCTAACTACCTCCAAAAGTACCCACCTCCTAATACTATCATATTGGGGGTTAGGGCTTCAACATATGAATTTGGCGGGCGGGGGGATGCGGATACAAGCATTTAGTCCATAGCAAATTCTTTATAGCAAGTTTAGAGAACCTAATCAGTTTAAACCAGCTTTGTTTCCTGGCCTACCAATTAGTTATATACTGTGATCACTTATAAAAACATCTTTCTTAAAATAGTCTTTCTGGTTTTTTTTTATATTCATGATTGTCCTGCCTCATGTTTGCTTACGAACCCTGGGCATGTTTGTTTAAGAACTTTTGCTCATAGCGTATCCTCATAACCTGCCTATGTGGTGACAGAGGTAAGAGCAGGTATAAAATAATGAGTAGTGTGAGCATACTTTTTCAACAGTAAAGAACATTACAATGTGCAGTGTCATCCCTCCTGCTTTATTTTTGTGGTCTCTTAGCTTCACTTGGATTCCTTTTTCCAGATCAGAATCTCTCTCGCCGTATACCACATGGCTGTCGACCATTTCAGACACAGATGCACTGCTGGCTGAGTGGGACAAAAGCGGTGTTGTTACTGTTGATATGGGAGGTCACATCAGGCTTTGGGAAACTGGACTTGAACGTCTGCAGCGATCACTCATGGAATGGAGAAACATGATTGGACAAGATGACAGAAATATGCAGGTACCATTTGAATTCACCTTATCTCTTAGAGGTGCACATTCAAGTATAAATTTAGTTCCAGATGCCACAGTCATGAAAATTTCTGGGCCAGTGACTCAAAAATAGTTGCTTAAAGAACTAAAAGAATTTTTAGATACAAAATAAAAAGACAAAAACAAATTCTCCATCTAAATGATGAAAAAGTAAAAATGTGCCTTTTTTTCTGTCAGTGCTTAAATGTGCAGGTTACTGACATCACACCATATGAATACAATCAGCAGCTTTTAGTTTTTTAACCTTAAGCTCTAACCAGTTTCCAGTAGCACCTTTGCATCTGTTCTCACTTTTACCATCTTCAGTGTCAGCATCTCTACATGCTACCTAGGAAACAGAAACATTTAGGAACTAGAATACAGCAGATTATTACAAGGCCAGGACCTCTAAACTAGAGAAGGTGAGCAAAAATATGCATCCAATAGAACGTTTTTTATCAACTTCCTTATTTCCAAGTAATGCAAATTTAGTAGTCAACAATAAGTAGACCCAACCCTGCACTGGAGAAAAATATGGGAACAGGCCACCAAAGTGAAAAGAAACCTGATAACTCCAGAAATGACTCAGTCATCATCTAATCAATCTAGTTGCTGTCTGGAACTAATTTGAAGAATGAGGAAGGCTATATGCCCATATATACTAAAGCATATAATAAAGGGATTTATTTGCTATTCATTTATTTTAATCTTTGGAACAAAACTTCTCCTGTTCACGTTACTTTCTTATCCAACAAAAAGAAAAGTAGGTTCCTCCCAGCCAGGTTGTTCTGCAAAGAGCCGATTAGCAAAATAAGAAATTTCTACAAACTATTTCGTCAATACCTGATTAATAATTCCTATTTTATGTGATTATTTTTGTGATTTTCTTTAAACAGAAATAGATATATTCATGAATGAATAATAATTCTCTTAGATCCTTAAAAGCTTGTAGGAACATTTTGAAAACCTCAAACTCAAATCTTTTTGAAGGGGTATAAATATATTAATTTAATTAAGCTAAAACAAATGTGTGACTCTAAAATAAACATGTGATTAAGTAAGTGCCATGGACTGATTACAGCAACAGACTGAATGTTGGTTACTACTCATAACAATATTTAGAAAGCCAATTAATTATGGTCTGTTTCATTTATTATTCTAAACATTAGTTTCTTCTCTTTTTGAATTAAGCTCTTGTTCTCATTACAGTCATTGGTGCCTAATAGTAAATACTATTGTGTTTGAATTTCTATATTTTATATGTGGTAGAGATCAAAGGTCATGTTTTCCATCTGGTCAAGATTAAATTTATTTTTCACGATAGAACTTTACAAAGGACTTTTACTAATCATTTAATAATTGTGCTTGACTGCTACAAAAATGAATTTGTATTTGTTTTTTAATCATGTAGGCCTTCTCTTCCAGTTACTTCTCTGGCTATATATACATCTTTGTACTCCTAGCTTGTAGCACAATGATTGGTGCAATAAGCAATTAATATGTTTGTTTGTGCTCACACTCCTATATACTAAAATGTACTGGTAATTGAAACTATTTGATAACAAATGGAATTTTTCTTTTAAACTGTCACAAATTATTTGTTTAGATGTAACTGAATAAATATTTATTGAATGAGGATATATAGTTATTAAGTTAGAAATGAACAGAATTATGGATCTAACATCTCAAGAATAATCAAAATATTCAGCTACATTACACAGTGAAATATCTGAACTTTCCCTAAACCAAACATTTTCCAGGACATGTGTAACTTTATGTCTCCAGTTTAAAGTTCAGCTATAAGCTGGGCATGGTGGCACATGCCTGTAATCCCAGCTACTTGGGAGGCTGAGGCACAAGAATTGCTTGAACCTGGGAGGTGGAGGTTGCAGGAGCTGAGATCGAGCCACTGCCCCCCAGCCTGGGCAACAAAACAAGACCCTGTCTCTAAAAAAAAATAAAATAAAGCTCAGCTATTACAGAAATGAGACATATTTAGTAATAAAGTTGTATAATTCAGAATTGAATGATAGTTTCATTTGGAAAATTAGAATAGATGTTATCTGACATTCTCCTTTGATCCCTAAGTTCCCTTGATCCATTTTGGTTGATATTAAAAATGCATACTTATATACATACTCAAACATGAGTCTGTATTCTTATGTTCAAACAGACAAGACTAATTGTCTTAATAATCTATCATTGTTTTAATTTTTTGTCATATCTCTCTTCTTCCCTGCTTGGTAAATAATGAGACAGCTTATTTAATTGTTCTTATTTAGACCAGCTCATCTTATTAATTACAAGTGGTTTATACAACCAAACCTAAATAGAAGTCATTCCAGGGGCAACAGTAATAACAAGCAAATGTTTGTCTTTTACAGTTCCCTTTCTGTTTGATCTTTCAAGCTATTCTTCATTTATATACTCTTTATTCAGCACAGATCTGCTCCTAACTTCAGAGCTTGGAAAATGCCTTTCATAGAAGTATTGAAAAAAGAGAATAGGTTCTCCATACCCTGCTTACTTAACACTTGCTGGCTGCAAGCAGCTTCCCCATCACTGACAGAGTAACCTGATCTCCATCTAGTGGCCAGATGGACTTACTTTTTACATCATGGAAATTAACAGGCCTGCTGGCAATGAAAGGCTTATACACTCTTGTCTTGTATGGTTCCTGTTGAGCAAGATAGGCGCCTTTAGGTCAGCAGTGAGGGCTGGGCAAATAACCTGCCATGCCATCCACCACAAAAGATCCCCATGCCTCCTGATTCCTCTGCATCATAGCAAAGGAACTGTCCATATTGAGATAAACAGTATATTAATAATTAAATGTTTTATCACTACTCTGTTTGTCTTTGCTACATTTCAGCCTTCTGGAGTTATTAGCTTTGCCATTGTTGATTTGAGTTTTTGTTTTTGTTTAATGAATTTGTTGGTATTTTTATTTAATGAGTACAGCTTACAAGAGAGTATTTTTTGAGCTCTACATATAAAATGTGTTCATTAATTTTACATGCTTTGATAGAAACATGTGTTTTTCCTATAATAAATAACCATAACAACAAACTGAAAGGATTAATATAAATGTAGTTTTAAGAGACCATTATTAAGAATGCATATTTATTACTTGTAGATTTCATATTTTCAGAAACATGGGTTAATTATAAGTCAAAATTCTTCTGGCTATATTTAAAGTATATTATTCATACTTAGTTACATTTGTCTTCCTTCCAAGAAAGCTGTTAAAGCTATACCACAGATTTCCTCAGAAATCAGATCATCTTCTCTTGGTGATTATTTTTGTGGGAGCAAAAAGGCTTAAAAGGTTATAGCTTTCAAATGTTATTTTCTAATTAAAAGAAATCACAAAGTAAATCTTCTGTATATTGCTGGTAGGATCTCTCTGCAGCCTTTGAATAGTACTTAAGGAAGTAGTATATTCTTTAACAATGGTTGCAATCTTCTGAAATACAGTGTGAGACTGGAACTTTTTCATCATTATAGTGAAGACAGTGTCTGGTACACAATAAGCACACAACCAGCATTTGAAAATAAAAAGGAGTGAGGCATAGAAAGAAATACATGGAAAAGATAACTAATTTATGTTTAGCACTATTAGTCTATTCCCCCTTTTAAAGAGAATTTTCTAGGACTATGAATAAATGCAGTTTGATGTACTTAGGTAAGTAAGCTTGGCCTTTTCTATAATCTCTAGTCTAGCAGTTTTGATTTTTGAAGATCTCAGTTGGATATTAAGTTCTATTTTCAGTTTTAGAAACCACTGGGTTATTTAACTGGCTGACTATTAGTAAATTTACATGCTAGGTAATCTTCAGATCCTCTATGGGATTATGAAATTCTTTGTTCTTTTTAAGGAGCATAGTTTACTCTTATACATCATTCTTTACTTTGATCAATAACTCTGAAAAAATAGTCTGATTCAGTGGATCATTGTTACAGAACAATCCATATTTTGTAGGATTGTTATATGTACATGTGTCTTTGGGAATCTTTCTTGGCCCAGAAAGGCAATGCTTTTCTGAACTTTTATAATTTCTCACCATCCATGTCTCCTCGCCACGTGTCAGTAGAGCTGGGTTTCAGCAAGATGATCCAGCTGTTTCCCTATATGGTAACACTTGGGCATTGCCTGTAATTATTTTTTTATTGTTTATTCCTATTAGAGAAGTCCCAGCCATGAAAATTCATTTTGAATCTTTAAGATTTTCAGGAGTACTGAGTGAAAATGCAAGATCCCGGTGGCGTGCTAGTAAACTAGTTCTCATGGAGACTGGGGGGTTGTTAAGTTTGCCAGTTTCCATTTTGCAAACACCCCCACCATGATTTCAAGCTACCAAAGGTTAACAATCAGCTTGAAAAATTCCTAAGTATTTAGCAGTTATCTCTCATAGGCTGATATAGTTTAGCTCTATCATGCCACTTGCTTATTTATGGCTTTATCATCTAACTCCCCAAAGAGAATTATGGCAGTTACCTAACAGCAAGGCTTTCAGAAATGAGGCAGTAAGATGGTGATAGGGACAGAAGCAATGAGAGAAAAGGGAGAAAGGTACAGAGAACACAGATAAGATAGTATCATGTTAGCTCAGGAAATGTGGAAGCCTGCAGTTATCCCAGTAACCAATTGGCCATACTCTTCTTGAACCAGAAATTTGGTTTGAGTAAAGAATTGAAGAAAAATCTGCCCTGAAGTAAGATAGCACTCCTGGGTTCATGCATATGGGCCTCCTTTCTTATATAGATTGTGTTTCAGAGAGAAATTGCAAGTTGATTTTTACATTCCTCTAAAAGAAAAGCTTCCATTGGATCACAACATTATCAGTAATTGCTAAATACAATTAAAATTAAATCAGCAGTCACCTCCCTAAGGCAAGCAAATAAACAAGTTTATGATTTTAGGGAGGCTGTGAGGTTTCATTAACTTTTTATGCATATCCAATAAGAATGATACCCCTATAAATTATGAAAATTATAGAATGTTAAACTAATATTTAAAATAGAAATATTATCTTACTTTCACTCTTTAGAAAAGGTCTAACCTCAAAAAATTCCTTTTCAAATCATCAGCAGGACTATTTCAATCTCCTCTCAAGACAGGCCGTAGGATAATTGTGTTACCATATCACTAGTGCATATTGTTCAACAATATGATCAGCAAGTAAAGAGGTAATTTTAACAATATTAAAGTATAAAGAAAACAAATTAATTCTGCAATATACTGGCTATAAACCTGAATGTGAAATGCAATTAATAGGTTGACAGTCAATGACTCTAGAACTGTTACGGTTCTGAGCTCGTTAGGTATACACTTACATTTAAGTACTTACATTAAGTACTTACTTAATGTACTTAATTACTTACATTAAGTACTTACTTAAATGTAAATGTATACCTTACAATCACAATGGCTATAGAAATAAAAGCTTCTTGCTATTATATTTATGATTTTATTCATAAGCAGTACAACTTATTATTTAAGAGCATGAAATTTATAGTGTTCAAACCTAGATTAAAATCCTGGTTCAACTTTGTAGGTGATCTCTGGCAAATTACTTATTCTTTCAAAGCCTCACTTTCTAATCATAATATAAAAATAATTGAACCTTAACAAAGTTGTAAGAATGAAATACAGTAATGCCTGGTACAGAGTAAGTACTCAGTAAACAATAAAAAATAGAAACTTAGAATTTAAGTTAATATTGGGCTACGGAATTCTTCAATGCTTTATGGAGACAAAGCCAAATTTAAATGAAACAGTATTACTCAAATACCTAATATTAACTTATGATCCAATGAGTTACATAATTCATCATCTATACTAGTGTTAAAATGTAAGCTTTGTTTATAATCCTGTTTGGAAAAAATTTTGTCAGATCCAAAAAAGGAATTGTAAAAATGGTCTTTGCCTAAACCTGTCAGCTTGAAGAAAAGCAGGAAATCAATGATAGGACAATTGTCAGCAGAGGATTATAGTGTTTAGCCTTATTTAAAAGACAAATTAGAACAAGACCAAAAAACATGCAGCAAAGTATACATCATTTACTCTGAGTCCTGAGAACAGTAGAAAACAGGAAAACAACAACAACAGCAACAAAAACACAGGGCAAATTGGAATCCTGTCTTTCTAAGCTTTTCATAGCTTTTTCCTCCTCCTATTTTAAGCTTTTGTTAGCAACAGGACTTGAAGATACTGTGTAGTTCTGAAGGTTGTAATGTGGGGTGGCACTGAAATTTGGAAGATTAGTCGAAAGTCTGTCCAGGCCGTTGAGACATCCAGATTTTCTCCTCTATCCTATGCTTCTAGGCAGCTGGCTCTCCTCTGCCCTTACAAAAGGCACCAATTAGGACAGGAGGGAAACCATACAACAAGAAGATAAAGTGAAAGTCTGCTTTTTTTACTTAGACTCAAGGAAGGTAGTAGCATCTATATTTAAGAATTTCACTGAACTAAAGAACCAGATATACAGTATAACAAATGGAACACACACACACACACACACACACACACACACACACACACATCAAAGCATGTCCACTTGAAATTTTAGAACCCCATGGATAAAGAAATAAAGCCGATAACTTCTAATTTTGAGAGAAGTAGGGAACAGGTCATATAAAAGTGGTAGAAATCCTAATGGCACTGGGTTTCTCCAAAGCAGCATTGGAAACTAAAGAGAAAATCAAAGAGGGAAAAGGATTTCCGGCTAGAATTTATATCCAGCCAAGCTATTAATCAAGTAGACTAAAACCATTATTAAATGTGCAAATCTCAAAAACATTACATTATTTCTCAAGAAGCTACTGCATGATGTGCTGTCGCTAAAAAAAGGGAGTAAACCAAGAAAGAGGAAGACATAGGTGGAAAGAGTGGCAAAGGTAATTCCCAGTTGGGCAAAATTATCTAACATAAAAGCCTATTTGATAATAAAGTGCTGAATACCTCATGTAACTTACTGAATACATTATGTCTAGACTGTGACATAATATATTCAGTAAGTTACATGAGCTATTCAGCACTTTATTATCATTACTATACAGACAGTCCCCGACTTAACGACGGTTCAATTTAACAATTTTTCTACATCGTAAAGTAGAAAAATTGTTAAATTGAACCACGATGTAGAAAAATTGTTAAATTGAATCATCGTAAGTCGGGGACTGTATAGTAATGATAAGGTAAACAATATTGATTTGTTTATGATAGCACTTTATTAGGGGGAATGAGGGGAGAAAAAAATGAGTGATGTGTGTTTGAGGTGGGAGAGGAAAAATAATCCTTACCTTTCATAATAGGAAGTCAATAGACAATGTCTGAAATTGAAAAATAAGGAGACATAAGAATATTACTTAGAAATATGGAGGTAAATAGTAAAAGATGTAGTAAGCAGAGTTGAAGTAGTTACCTTTAACCTCTTAATTGCTTGAGGGGGAGACTGTGTCACAAGGGTGCTATTTTAAATTGTTATACATCTTGTAGTACTATTTGACTTATTAAACCGTGTATGCTTATTACTTTGATAAGAATTAAAAATTACTTCAAAATAATAACAAGTCAAAATAATAACAAGTAGGAATTTACCAGATGGAAAAGAGGAATGAGGGTGGGCATGAAACAATTCCTCAGAAGTAGAGATTAAATTTAACTCATCTTTGGATCCTTGAAACTTAAAACAGTACTTTTTTTTTATGTAACTGAATAAGCTGGTTAATTTTCTTTCTTTGACTTTAAAATGACTCAAGGATTCCAGTTCTGAATACAGTGGAACAAGCACTCACCTTGTCTCTCCCACTGAATGCAGCTATAAAACCTGGACAGAATGCATGAGCTACTATTCAAAGTCCCTGAAAAATAAATGATAGCATATGGATTGAGGAAGAAGACCAGAATTTGAACTACCTAAATGGTAATCAGCTATGAGTTTCTCATTTTTCCTCCAGAGTCTTCTGGTTTTGATTCAAGGCAGCTTGGAAATTGAAGTGGTACTCTCAGGAAACTAGGAATAGAAGGAAATTTTCTCAACCCGATAAAGGGCATCTGTAAAATCACCACAGCTGGCACCATATTTTAATGATAAGAGACTGAACGCTTTCCCTGTAATGCTGGGAATAAGGCAATGACCATGCTCACCATTCCTATTCAACATCACATGTATACCTATGTAACAAACCTGCACGTTGTGCACATGTACCCTAAAACTTAAAGTATAATCATAATAAAATAAAAAAATTTAAAAAAGAAAAGGAGCAATAAGAAAAGAAAAATAAATAAAAGATATCCAGATTAGGAAGGAAGAAATAAAACTGTCCCTATTTGCAAACAACATAATTGCCTACCTAGAAAATCCCACAGAATCTATTAAAAAAAAAAAAGACAAAACAAACAAGCAAAAGAAACTACTCTTAGAACTAATAAATGAGTTTATCGAAGCCAAAAATCAATTATATTTCTATATACTAACAATTGATAACTAACAATTAAAATTTAAAAATACATCTACCATTTACAAACAACTTTCTCTAAAAATGAAATTTTTTATTTAGGTATAAATCAATAAGACTTGTGCAGGATGTGTATGCTGAATACTGTAAAACATTAATGAAAGAAATCAAAGACCTAAATAAATGGAGAGATATACTGAGTTCATGGATTAGAAAACTCAACCTAATAATGATGTCAGTTCTCTCCAAATTGGCCTACAGATTTAACACAATTCCAATTCAATCTCTGCAGGATTTTGTTTATAGCTATAAACAAGCCAACTCTAAAATTTATATGGGAAGATAAATGAACTAAATGAACCAAAATAATTTTTAAAAGAAGAATAAAGTTGGAGAAATCATGCTACCTAATTTTAAGATTTACTATAAAACTACAATAATCAAGACAGTGCAATGTTCGCAAAAAAATTAAATCAATGAAACAGAATAGACTGTCCAAAATTAGACCCACAGACATATTGCCAACAGTTTTCAACAAAGATGCCACAACAGTTTAATGGAGAAAGGATAGTCAACAAATGGTGCTTTGACAATTGGACATCCATATGCAAAACAAGCACATGTTTAAAACCTTGTTGATTTTTCAATATGCAAATAAAATTACACAATAGTTACAAGCCCAGGAATAATAATAGGATACAATAGTAATAATAGTATACAATGCCATGTATACAATAATAATAGTATCCAATCCCATGTCATCATTCATTGTTGTAATTACATAGAGACTGTGAAGCTAATTCTTAAAAATAATTTTAAATGAATACTTTAAAACTTCTAAGGTCAAGAAAGCTAATTTGGTCAGAGTGTTAAAGAAAAAAAAAGTCTCAATCTATGGTATCATTTTTGGAGTAAGAAAATGTTCCAGGTATGTTATTTGCAGATGGAGAAACTAAGGCCCAGAGAGGTTACATAACTTGCCCAAGATCACACATCTGGTAAGTGGCAGAGTTAGTAGTTCTACAATGTGTGCTCTTTATCCACCATGCCCTACAGCCCAGGCAGCATTACCAACTTTCACTACCTAGTCAGATATCCAGAGTTTCCAGAATGCCTCCCCCTGCCAAAATCTGAAAATGCCAGTGGAGTTAAAAGCTTGGCATTTGTCTCTATATAACTCCATCAAATTATGTTGGTTCCCATAGAAGTCAGTGTTTCTGAGCAGCCAAATAATTTTCAGCTTCGTGGCAAGCAGTAAGAAAGATCCTTTTAGATGCTCTTTAATTGATAACAGAAAACTGAATTCTTGGCCAGGTGCAGTGGCTCACACTTGTAATCCCAGCACTTTGGGAAGCTGAGGTGGGCGGATCACAAGATCAAGAGATTGAGACCATCCTGGCCAACATGGTGAAACCCCGTCTCTACTAAAAATTCAAAAATTAGCTGGGTGTGGTGGCATGCGCCTGTAGTCCCAGCTACTTGGGAGGCTGAAGCAGGAGAATCGCTTGAACCCGGGATGCAGAGGTTTCAGTGAGCCGAAATCGTGCCAACCTGGCAATAGAGCGAGACTCCGTCTCAAAAAAAAAAAAAAAGAAACCCAATTCTCAGAGATTCTCATGCCATTTCTTAATCCCTAATACTCTTTCCTTTGATGAATAGATAAAATAAGTTAAAGTGTTGCAAAATTTCTATGTTGTTCAAGTGAGCAAGGCAGCAGGATCTGAAGTTGGTTTCCAGAAGAGTGAGTCTGCTGTCAGGAAAGGGGTAAAAACAAGCACAGTTGCAGCAGCGTGATTCAGTGCACAGAAGTGAGTTGATTAGGTATCCCATCACCACCCCTAAACAACGTTAAGGCTGTGTAGTAATAAGCTCATCAGTCTTTCCTTCCCCAGGATGAATGGGACTCTTGGGAGTCCTCAATCTCTCTTTAAGAAATGAGGCATTGAAAGACAGGACCCACACAGGGATACTGCTTCTCCTCAAGAATGTAGTGAAATCACTGTGGAGTGTTTAGAGGAAAGCCAATGCCTCTGGGATTTAAGAAGGGTGATCATCTGGCCAGGCACGGTGGCTCATGCCTGTAATCCCAACACTTTGGGAGGGTGAGGCAGGTGGATCACTTGAGGTCAACAGTTCAAGACCATCCTGGGCAACATGGAGAAACCCCATCTCTACTAAAAATACAAAAACTAGCCAGGCATGGTGGCATGCACCTGTAATTCCAGCTACTCAGGAGGCTGAGGCACAAAGTTCACTTGAACCTGGGAGGCAGAGATTGCAGTGAACCAAGATCATGCCACTGTACTCCAGCCTGGGTGATAGAGTGAGACTCTGTCTCAGAAAAAAAGAAAAAAAAAAGAGTGATCATCAGTTCCATTCACCAGTGGAAATGTAGCAGTGTGATGATTATGGGAAGGCTAGAGCCCAAACTTTTTCCTATATCAATATCATTTTTTAAAGTATTTATGATAAAGCAAAAGAACATGAAAACAGACATCAAGGTGGCATGGAGAAAAGTAGAGAAACCTCATTATTCCTTTTTGACAAATAGCATATGTTAAATCTGTGGTCATTTCATATGCTTGCTTAACCAAAACTAGTCATCAGTTTTCTGAACTGCCTTGGTTCAGTAGGTTGTCCCTTATCTCTATAGGACACGTAACAGTTTCTGATGTATTCTCTTATGAAAGTGTTTCCAGAAGTCACCAATTTGAACATATTTTTGAATTCTAATAAAAAGCTTTGTTGTTGTTGTCTACTTAAGTATTTCTGTATTTATGTTGAGATCAGAATTATGTAACAGCTGGATAGAGACATCAGTAAGATACTCTATTTGAATAGACCTAGGAGCACAGGTCCTGGGAGTAGATAAACAAGAAAGACTAACACCCTGGGAGTTACTCCAGTTGTGAACACTGTTTTCACTAATACTATTCTAATAGCAGTTTTAAAAGAAGGAAGAATAATCCCTAAAATGGTAGTAATAGTAGTAATAGCCAATACTTACATGTGCTAATCATATACCAATGCTGTTCTCAGTGTACAGAGACAAATGGCAGGCTTTTAATTCATTTAATTATTATAAAAACACTATATGAAAGGTACTGTTATTACTGCAATTTACAGATGAGGAAACCGAAGCACAGAGCTGTTAAGACACCAATGCACAGGGAGGTTAAATAACTTTCTTTGTACTGAAGCAATCTGCTTTTAAATGTATCATAACTTACCCATAGCCACGTTCTTACATACTTCTGACTGGAGAGGTAGGAAAAGAACTGCATTTCTGAGCTCCACTGATACAAGGTCATGATGGGTGATGTTGTTACTGATCAGCTTTCTCAGAAATTGTTTCAAACCTTGCTCCTGTCCAGTGATCTTTACCCTCAGTTTAAGGAATATGGATTTTAAAAATAATATAAAAGTTTTCCTTCTTGTTCATCCATTGACATAATTAAACTTTAATTGAACTTTCATACAAATACTTAAGGAGACACAGGCCTAACAGGGTTAAAATGATTTTCTGGAATGAGTTTCATTTAAAGCTCTGCAGGATTTGCTGGTAGGAAGATACAGGTATAAGAATAGGCCTTCTCCCATGTAATATTACTGCTCACTTTCCAGGCAGAGCATAGCCCATGTATTTCCTCCACGACCTATAGCCCAAGAACTGAACCACCAATGCTCTCTGCTTCCACTCAAAAACTGCTAAAAGCATTGGCTGTGTTTAGAAGGGTGGACATGGGAGTGATGTGGTCTGGGAAGGAAGTCCGAGTGAAGCTGGGCAACTGTGAGGCTGAGGTAATGACCAGGTGTGAGTTGTTGGAGACTGGCTGACTATGGGACGTGGAGGCAGACATTACGGATGTTTCTAGTTTGGATGTCTGGCAAAAAGGCAGATCACTGAAGGAACCAGGAAAGTTGGAGAGAAGATAGGGTTCAGGCATTGTAAATATGCTGTGTGAGGTAATCGTGACTGTGTTCAGTCAGAAATTGAAACGGGACAAGAGCTTCAAGCTAGTGAGAGAGATATTTATATAATGATCCTGAGCATGAAGGTTTTAGATGAAACCATAAAAATGGCAAGCTGCCAAGGAAAATGGAGCAATCAAGGAAAATGCTCAGGACAAATAAACTATGTTTTTAGAAACATGCATAGTCAAATGTTTCCTTTTTTTCAGACTGGAATCTCACCATTTTGCCTAGGCTGGCCTCAAACTCCTGAGCGCCATCTATCCTCTCACGTCAGCCTTCCAAGTAGATGGAACTACAGGTGCAAGTGACTGTGCCCAGCTAAACGTTTCTGAAAGTTTGTTCTCTGAACCCTTTTTTCATGAAAATACCATGTTCTAGCTGTTAGGAAACACTGTATAGCTTAGTAGCCTCTTAGAGATGAAATTACAATTGGTAAATATCTGGCTTTGAGAAGTCTCTCTGTAAAGAAACCTCTTTAACTTTGTTTAACCCAATAGACCCCAAATCTATTTTAACCTTTAAAAGATGCGTTAGCAAGTTACCAGTGTCTGTGTTCCTGGTTTTCTTTACTCCAGTAGACGTCTTAGGACAAGACCTTTATGCTCATTCTAATCCTGACTCATGACATTGCCAGGTTGCATGTCATTTATGACCTCAGAAAATAAATCTGCTGTGCTAGGGTTAAGCTGCCACTTAAAAGAATAACTTGGCCGGGCGCGGTGGCTCACGCCTGTAATCCCAGCACTTTGGGAGGCCGAGGCGGGTAGATCATGAGGTCAGGAGATCGAGACCATCCTGGCTAACAAGGTGAAACCCCGTCTCTACTAAAAATACAAAAAATTAGCCGGGCGCGGTGGCGGGCGCCTGTAGTCCCAGCTACTCGGGAGGCTGAGGCGGGAGAATGGCGTGAACCCGGGAAGCGGAGCTTGCAGTGAGCCGAGATTGTGCCACTGCAGTCCGCAGTCCGGCCTGGGCGACAGAGTGAGACTCCGTTTCAAAAAAAAAAAAAAAAAAGAATAACTTTTCTCTGTACCTTTAAAGAGAGGACTTATTATTTATGTGATTCCAGATTTATTATGGAATCAAAAAGTATGTAAAATGATGTTTATTAGGAACATAGAATATGACAAAAATTCAGCTCACAGTAACTTAAACTACAAAAGGAAATTTATTGGCTCAGAAACCTAGAAGTCTCAGGGCCTGGCGCTCAACACATGGCACAGGACCCAGCCTCTCTCCTCTTGGCTCTGCTTTTCTCGGGGGTGGCTTCATTCTCACACAGTCGTTCTCCATCAGGTGGCAAAGATGGTCCTGGTAGCACTGGGTAATACATATGGTTCTTCCAGCTGGCAACCTCAGCCAAAGGGGCATGTCTCTCCGTGTAATTTCAGCAGAAGTCCTCAGGAGTGCTTAAATAGGCTGGTGAGGTCACATGCCCTGAACCCATCACTGTGGCCAAAGGGATGGCATACTTTGATTGGTCAGACCTGGGCCATGTCTCCACCCCTAGAGTTTGGAATGAGAAGGGACTGAATCAGTCACACCTGAAACATGAAGTTAGGAAATAAGGATGGGAGGGGAGCACCCCAGAAGAAATGCTGGATGAACAACACGCATGACCATGTGATTTTTATTTTTATTTTTATTTTTTAGTGGTTTTGACAGCAAGAGCCAGCTCCTTCCAAGTGATAGCTAATGATCTTTCCTCTAAGTTAGGACTTCTTGGAGTCCGGGACTTCAGATTTACTTGAATTGTCAGATTTATTGTTTTGCACTCAACAAGACAATCATGAAGCATGATCCTTACCTAATATATGGTAATTAGGCCAATGGTGATATAGTATCCATTAATTTTATCTTCCATTTAATTCCTTGGATGAATAGCTCAGAAATATATACTTGGTTTTCTAATTATACAGAGAGCAGAAATAAATACTCTCTAGTCCAGTCTAATTCATATGAGACTTTCCAGTTGCTGGGGTTCTGAATGAAATTCGTCAAGTCTTCCTTGACAGTGTTCTGGTAGCATAACAGTGGGAATCCCCTTACCCCCCAAGAAAAAGAGCTCACTCATATTGGATAATTTTTATTATTTTTTTCTTCGGGATGTTTGTTTTAAGAGGGGAATACAAAGCTGTTGAAGGGCCTACATTTCACGTTGCTGGTGAGGGCTGAATAATCCTTTCCATAAAGAACATCTGTAGAACCCTCGTAGGAAAATCTGAAACTTAAATAGGTTTTGCACAAGCCAAAGAGGAAAGTGCTGCATTTGATTGTAAGTCATCATTCCCTCAACTGCTCTGCCTTCATATTTACATATAAGTCATTACTCAGAAAGAGAAAAATCTGACACAATATCGGAAACAAGTTCATGTGTTCCAGTCTGCTTCGGGTTACTCTCAACAATCTGTAAGGACTATTTCACAGCAGTAAATAGTCGCCATTATTGTAATTATGACTCCCTTAGTCTTAAAATAACAATGTTTCTTCTTTTGTAGCCCATAATTATTTCGAAGTTTAAAAATCAGATGTACATCTCTTTTGTGCCTCTGGTTTGATGGTAGGGAAGGCCTCTGACTGCTTTCAAGATAAAACAGGAACATACTTTAAGATTCTGAATATAGCTCCTTCTCACCTAAGCCCAGCTCAAGAAATATTTAGATAGATAGATAGACTATACAAATGTATTTTCAATACTTATTTATATAATATGGCTTCTCTAAAATTGCAATAGCATTTCCTTTACAGGACAGGTCTTGATTCTTCAACCTCTGAGGAAGATATCACTAATATCTTCTAATCTTTGGCGAGTTTAAAAGGAGCATATGTTCACCAAGGGCACTTGCTGATAAAAATAATAGGAAAAAAAACTCATTCCATCACCAGAGTCTTAAATCCAAACTCTATAATTTCTGTCCCCAGATATAATGTAACCATTTTTTCATAAAATATAATTACATTGTTAAAACCTTTTACTTTCTCTCTCTCTCTCTCTCTCTCTCTCTCTGTCTCTCTGTATGTGTGGATATATATTATATATCTACATTATTTTTCGTGAACCACTTAAATGTGAGTTGTAGACATGATGCCCCATTACCTCTAAATACTGGCTGGGCGTGGTGGCTCACGCCTGTAATTCCAGCACTTTGGGAGGCTGAAGTGGGCGGATCAACTGACGTCAGGAGTTTGAGACCAGCCTGGCCAACATGGCGAAACCCCATCTCTCCTAAAATATAAAAATTAGCTGAGCATGGTAGCACATGCCTGTAATCCCAGCTACTAGAGAGGCTGAGGCAGGAGAATTGCTTGAACCCAGGGGGCGGAGGTTGCAGTGAGCCAAGAGCATGCCGCTGCACTCCATCTTGGGCCACGAGCGAGACTCTGTCTCAAAAAAAAAAAAAAAAAATTTCAGTTTTTCCTCACAAGAGCATTCTCCTAACGTAACCAACAACACAGACCTCAAAATCAGGAAGTTAACATTGATATAGCATTAATGTGTAACCCACAGACCTTATTCAAATTTCAGATGTCTCAATAACATCCTTTATAGAAAAAGGAAGCAATTGCAGATCATGTATTACATTTACTTTACATGTCTCTTTGGTGTCTTTCAATCTGAACAGTTCCTCATCTTTCCTTGACTTTCATGACCTTGACATTTTTGAAGACTTATAGGCCAGTGATTTTGTAGAACATCCCTCAGTCTGGGTTCATCTGATGTTTTCTGTTTTTAGATCCAGCTTACGCATCATTGGCAGGAACATCACAATAATGCTGTGTTCTCAATGTGTCCTGTTAGATCAGGAGTCCCCAGTGCCCCAGGCCCACACAGCAAGAAGTGAGGAGCTGGCAGGTGATCATCATCACCAGAGTGCTGTCTCCTGTCAGACCAGCAGCTCGCCAGCAGCAGTAGATTCTCACAGGAGCGTGAACCCTCTTGTGTGAACTGTGCATGCGAGGAATGTAAATTGTGTCCTCCTTATGAGAATCTAATGCCTGATGATCTGACGTGGAACAGTTTTATCCTGAAACCATTCCCTCTACCCTGTCCCTGGAAAAATTGTTCCACGAAACCAGGTCCTGGGGCCAAAAATGTTGGGGACTGCTCTACTAGGTGACACATGATGTCAATTTGTCCCATTGCTGGTGATGTTAACTTTGAACATTTGGTTAGGGTGATGTCTCCACTGTGACATTACTATTTTTTCCTTTATAATGTGTTTTGTGGGCATATATTTGAAGATGATGTGAATCTTGTTTCATCAAACTTTCATCCATTAATTTTATCATCTGTTCATGATTCTTGCTTGAATCAGTTATTATCACTATAGTTGCAAAGTGGTGATTTTTCTGATTCCAGTATTCCTTTGACATTTATTAGTTGGCATTCTAAGGTAACAGAGTGTGTTCTCTTCTCCCTTTGTGTGTGTGTTTGTTTTTATGAGTCAATTTTTGTTTTTGTTGCAATTGCTTTTGGGGACCTAGTCATAAATTCTTTGCCAAGGCTGATGTCCAGAATGGTATTTCCTAGTTTTCTTCTAGGTTGTTATAGTTTTAGGTCTTAGATTTAAGTCTTTAATCCATTTTGAGTTTATTTCTGTATGTAGTAAAAGGAAGAGGTCCAGTTTCAATCTTCTGCATACGGCCAGCTACTTATCCCAGCACCACTTATTGAGTAGAGTTCTTTCCCCATTGCTTGTTTTTGTTGACTTTGTCGAGAATCATATGGCTATAGGTGGGCAACTTTGTTTCTGGGTTCTCTATTCTGTTCCATTGGTCTATGTGTCTGTTTTTGTACCAGTATGGTGCTGTTTTGGTTACTGTAGCCTTGTAGTATAGTTTGAAGTTGGATAATTTGATGCCTCCAGCTTTGTTCTTTTTACTTAGGATTGCTTTGGCTATTCAGGCTCTTTTTTTGGTTCCATATGAATTGTAAAATAGTTTTTTCTAATTCTATGAAGAATGCCAATGGTAGTTTGATAGGAATAGTATTGAATCTATAAATTGCTTTGGGCAGTGTGGCCATTTTAACAATACTGATTCTTCCTATCCATGAGCATAGAATGTTTTTCTATTTGTCTGCGTTATCTCTGATTTCTTTCAGCAGTATTTTGTAGTTCTGTAATTTGTAGAAATCTTTTATCTCGCTGATTAGCTGTATTCTTAGGTATTTTATTCTGTTTGTGGCTATTGTGAATGGGATTGTGTTCTTGATTTGGCCTTCAGCTTGGACGTTACTGGTATATAGAAATACTACTGATTTTTTTACATTAATTTATAACAGGCAGTTTTATTGTGAACAAGCCCTAAGGAAAACATCCATTATAATCTATCAATCTCATTAAAGATTTGGTCAGAGATAGACAAGTAATCTTTGCTCTGTGCAATGGCTAGGACCTAAAATAATGTAATTATAGTGAATTTGTATTATGTTATTTGACATCTATCTATCTTGTTACATTTAACCATTAACTTTAAATAGCTCCAGATTTTTCTTGTTTGTTTGACTGGAATTATTATTTCCACTGACCACAGGAGGGTGTCGGTGAGCTTAGAACAGGAGTATTTCAAATAAATACTGGAACTTCAACAACTAATGACAAATTCTTGTCATTTCACTATATTTGGAAGTTGTAATATAAAAGCATCGTCACTAGGCTAGCCAGAAATCTTGAGTCAATGTCCTTTCTATCAGAAGATCTTTTGGCTATCAAATGAAAGGCTTTTATGAAAGAATTCAGAAATTTTAGTGAGGTATTGTAGCACAGAGAAATTTCCTCTGACTAAAAATTAAGAAACCCAAATCCTCTTTCTGGTTCCATCACTAGTTGGTTTTAAGTAGTCATTTCACCTCTCTGGGCCTTAATTTCTTTTTTTTTATAAAATAAGGTAGATTGTAAGCTCATCCTTCAGGTCCTTCCACAAAAGGCAACAATGAATACAGGGTCTAAAACTAAAAGATACACATCAAAGAACTTCTCCATTGTAGTGATTCTTCTTTTAATTAACTGCTGAGTATGTGCTAGCTGCTTCTGATACATTCTCTCACATGATCATTACAACCACCATTTCAGGTGTATATATTATTGCTCCCATTCTGAGGTTGGGAGTAAGTAATTTGTCCAGGCTCACTCTGCTAACAAAGAACAAAGCTGAGATTTCAGCCTAGGTTTATCTAACTCAGAAGCCCGTGTTTGTATGCCTCTTCCCCATGTGGCTTCCCTAGGACCAAAAGATTAGTTTTAATGGAAGTTGTGCCCTTAGAGAAGAAAACAGATGTCTCTGCTTAGTAGAATTTAGACTAAATGCTTATAGGTGCCAGACAGGCAATGTGGATGGGGACACAGGCCAGGAGGGTCTCAGGTGAACAGGAAGTTGTGCCCCATATAGGAAGGCAGTCACTACCTAGCTGTTGCCATGTGAGAATCTGGCCCCAATTTGGCCTTATCCTCCCATTTTCAAGAGAAGACCAAAATCTAGATTTTTAAGTGAAATCTCATTAATTTGAAATTTTAGCAGCAAATTCAGAATGTTTCACACTGGGAGTAATGACAGTACACACATTTGTGGGATGGCAGGACCTGCTGATATCTCTTTTCTCACACCAGGGTGGAGCAGGATTGAGAAATGAAGCCCCATTCTCTTCCAGGCTTTCCTGTGTTGCTAAATTTGCTTACAAGCTCTAGAAGAGTCCCTTAGGTTCCCTAAGCAATTAAAACAGGGACTGGCAAATTGCACCACCTTTTTCTGTAGGCCCACAAACTAAGATTTTTTTGGAAAAAAAACTTTAACAGTTGGAAAAAATCAGTTGATAAAAATAATTATATTTCATGGCATATGAAAATTTTATGAAATTCAAATTTTGGTGTCCATAAAGTTTTATTGAAACACAGCTACACTCATTCATTTATGTATTGTCTGTGTCTGCTTTTGCACTACAAAGGCACAGTTGAGTAGTTGCAACAAAGACCATATGGCCTGTAAAGCCTAAAATATTTACTACGTGGCTTTTTATAGAAAAGTTTGCCAACTCCTGGTTTGGAATACAAAAGCCAAAAAGATGGGCAGTCTACCTCTGCTTTCTACACTATTATATTCTCACTCTAAGATAATTTTTTTAAATGGAATCTCCTGAAATCAGAGGGAAGGAAAGGGGGAAAATAAAGGAGATACTGTCCAAAGCAATTTACAGATACAATGCTATTCCTGTCAAACTACCAATGTCATTTTTCACAAAATTAGGAAAAGCTATTTTACAATTTGTATGGAACCAAAAGAGAGCCTCAATAGTCAAAGCAATCCTCAATCCTTTCCCCATTGCTTTTTTTTTTGTTGGCTTTGTCAAAGATCAGATGGCTGTAGGTGTGTGGCTTTGTTTCTGGCTTCTCTCACATGTTCCATTGGTCTATGTATCTGTTTTTGTACCAGTACCATGTTGTTTTGGTTTCTGTTTATATTTATTACGCATTTTATGAGTGACAAAGCAAAATCCTCTGGTTGTAAGAATGAGAAGAATGAAGCTAAAGCAGTGTCCACACACCCCTTAAATATGCCTTATCAGACCCCACACCTTCACTCACATTGGCCCCTGCCTGGAATGCCCATACACACTCCTGTGTCTCTTCCTTTAAGGCTGCATGCCAATGTCTCCCTAAGCCCTCCTTGGATGCAGCCTGTCTACCCTCAGCAAAACACATCCCTCCCTCCTCGGCATCCCTATGCCTTGATCATGCTGTGATCTCTGACTTTGACATGTGTCAGAAGGGCAAGTTCCCCCAGAGCAGAGTGTATGTCCCACTTAGGCTGGCACCCCCAGCACCCACCTAGGAGCCTGACACCTGGTCAGATTTCAATAAATTCTTGATGAATCAGTAAATCAGTAAATGGATGTACAATTAATTTGGCTATTTAAAGCTTTTACGAGGTCCCTCAGAGGGATGATAAAACTGGAGAATCCTTTGGAGTTTTCCAGGCTGAGCCTTTTGTATCTGTAAATGAGCTCACTCTTCACTAGTGACTATTGCCTAGGTTGGCAAAGAATCAAATAGGGATCAATCCCACCCTGGTTCATGTTTCTACGCTTGTTAGTTTGTGGCTATGGAATAAACACCTCTGAGCCAGGTAGCCAAAACCAAGTTTGATTCCAAGTTCTATCCAGTGATCTTAGGCTATCATTTAACCTCTCTGAAGCTCCATTTCCCCATCTGTAAAATAGAACTGACTATAGCAGCTACCTCACAGGATTGTTGTAAAACCCAAATGAGATAACATGTTCAAGCATTTTGTGAACTGTAAAGTAGTATATAAGTATACAATATTATTATTTATGATAATAAATCTGTACAATAATAGAAAGATTATAGATTTCTCCTATTATCTATTATAGATTAAAGATTATATGGTGAACTAATTTTAAAATTTATAAAGAGCTACCGAATTAACTTTAAAATTTAGAAAACTTGTTGAGTATGTATAATGACCCTTTGAAGGGGAGGGGCTAATACTAGGTTCATAACTTAACGTAAATTACAATGAACAATCCAAGGAATTAGATTATTTCCCGTCCCAGCCAGCTTTGTAAAGGCACAACACGTGTTGCAGTGATCACTTAAATTTGTACCTAACTTGTGCAAGCTACCCCTGGTGGTGGAATGCTGCCCTTCTCAGAGTGAGGCTGAATGTGGGCCTAAAGTATCCAGCATATTTTCTTCCAACTCTGAAATTCTGTGGCTTAGGTCTTGTTACTAGAAGTGAATTCTGTTTCACCATTACCAGATATTATAAAGTTAGAGGTGCATTTCAGTAGAAAAAAATAACATTCTCCCCTCACCCCCCAGCAATAAACCTTTGGAAATGAAAAAACAATCAACTTGTGATGAATACTAACAGTACTAAACAAAAATGATCAATACTCAAAATACTAATGGAAAAATCTACTCTAATCAAAATGATTCACAAAGAAACACGAAGTAAAACTACCTCACCAGAAATACAGATAATATTATTATCTGCCTGACTATAATTCATATATTATTCATCTAATACAGCAAATAAACCTATTTATTCCTTTGCATTTTACTATAGGACATATTCTTGTCATTAAATAATTACTAGTGTTCATTTTACAATTATTAAAACTAGGAGGTTTGTAAAGAGTAAAACTTTAAAGTAGGAAAAGTTAAATATTTATTTTAGCTAACTGATATCTCATAATTCCTTTTGGTTTAAAATATTAATATTCCTTTTTTGTAATCATAATGAAATCTGTTTAAAGAAATCTACTGCCCTATGTTTTTGTTGTTGTTATTGTTGTTGAGACAGAGTGTCCCCCATCACCCAGGCTGGACTGCAGTGGCGCAATCTCAGCTCACTGCAACTCCGCCTCCCGGGTTCAAGTGATTCTCGTGCCTCAGCCTCCCAAGTAGCTGGGATTACAGGCACCCCCCCACCACGCCCAGCTACTTTTTGGATTTTTAGTAGAGACGAGGTTTCACCATGTTGGCCAAGCTGGTATCGAACTCCTGGCCTCATGTGATCCACCCGCCTTGGCCTCCCAAAATGCTGGGATTACAGGCATGAGCCACCGTACTCAGCCCCTATAAGTTTTAAATTCTTAGGCTAAATGGAAACCATTAGCCTAATATTTTAAACTATCTCTTAAAGCATTTCTTTATTCCTGAAGACTCTAAGCATAAATGATGCTGCTTATAATTTATGACATTAATTGCCTTTAGCAGTACCGTGCTTCTATGTGTTATTGTTGCTATTATGAAGGTAATTATAATTGTATGTCTCCTGAGAAGATGAAAAAGTTTTTGTAGGTCTGTATGTAAAGTATTTGAAGAAAAGATTATTTTACGGCCCCGTCAAAAGTAGCTTCAAGCAAGAGCTATTGTTCAGGACCTTTTATAGACATAGATGAAATTCCTTTTGCCATTTGAACAGTGTTTACATTCGGGAAAGTTCACAGTTAAGTCTTTGACATACTGTGAAAGGATCTTTTGTTCTCTACAAAAACATACTTCCTCATCCTTTGAGTCACCTTGTTTTTATTCCCTTGTTTACTTTTCTGGGGAAATAATGCCCACCTCCCAAGTAATGTCAAGGGAAGAACTATTTCAGAAATCTAAGTTGTTCTGTATGAGGAAAGAGGGCTTGGATTTTGGCAGAAAAAAATCAGAAATATTTTTAAAACCTGAACCAGATAAATAATGTAATCTCAAGCTTCCAAAAATTATTTGGGTAGGGTTTTTTCCAATGCTAAAAAAAGGAAATCTTTTTTTATCATCATTATTACCAGTGATCAGATTCAGGAAGTGTGAGACACTTTACTGAGGGGACTACCGACACCGTCCAAAGGCATTTTTCTATTGTGTTAGGAAAGCTCTCCTCTGCTAACTACGTTGATTCTCCAAGACATGCATCATTTAATATTTTCTCCTAGGTGGTGGGTTTTATGATGAGCTTAGGCTTTAGTCAGTCAGACTTGAATTCTTTTTTTTTTTCCTGAGACAAAGTCTCGCTCCTTCGCCCAGGCTAGAGTGCAGTGGTGCGATCTTGGCTCACTGCAACCTCTGCCTCCCGGGTTTAGGCGATTCTCCTGCTTCAGCCTCCTGAGTAGCTGGGATTACAGGCATGCGTCATGATACCAGCTAATTTTTGTATTTTTAGTAGAGAAAGGGTTTCACCATATTGGCCAATCTGGTCTCAAACTCCTGACCTCAAGTGATCCACCCACCTCGGCCTCCCAAAGTGCTAGGATTACAGGCATGAGCCACTGCACCTGGCCCAGACTTGAATTCTTTTAGCGATGTATATTTATCAGTAAATAATGTGACTGATTCTACTCATGGTTTCAAAGCTGATTTTGAAGGGAAAAAACCATTGCTGTTTTGTGTATCAGCATATGCCCAATGCTAGCACAGTGCCCTGAACTTACTGGACACTCAGTAAGCATTTGTCAAATGAATGAAATAAATATATATGCATTCAGAGTGACAATGTCAAATAACAACCTTTTAAAATTCTTTTTATTTTTTTCAAATAAGTCTTTTAAATGAACACATTCTAATGTATTTAAGAAAATCTTATTTGTTTGTAGATATGCTCTGTGTGTTAATGTAACTGTTCATTTATCCTTACCTAATATGCATAAGTGGAAGATTACTTGTAGTTTAGGGATTATATTCAAACCCTTCTTTAGTCACGCTAAACCTGACACATCCAGAAAATGTCTCCCAAAAGCTTCTGATCCTCATTTATATCCTAAGTTTTACCACAGGCAGGCCATCAAAGTCAGTGATCTTCATGTTCTGGGGCATTTCCATTGGAGCTCTTTTTTTCTGTGTAAATGATAAACAGAGATGTACTTTACTGCTACTGTTAGTAAAGCTGTGTGTGTAATATGTGAGGAAAAGGTAAGGTACTGAAGCCTGCCCATCACTGTTAAGTATTCTACATGTATCTCTCCATTTTCTCTTTGTAGCTTCCTATGTGATAGAATGATGATAGTCCCATTTTATAGATGAAGAAACAGATTTTCAAACAGATTACATAGTACACCCAATGTCCTGTGGCCAGTAAGTGACATTTTCAGACGTGAGCCACTAGGGCAAGCATTGAGTCTGCAGATCATGTTCAGGATTGTCTGGTATGATGCAGTTCAGACCATACATAAATACAGTATTTTACTAACCTTCTGAAAGATATGCTAGCCCTTTAATCTAATGTCTTATTTACTGATGTATACAGTGCTTTCTATAAATCTGATATATATTAAAAAGGAAAAATGCTTGCCTTTCAGGCATATTTCTTGCTTTCCTAAACCATGATATGCTTTATAAAACATTGAATTTTGTACTATCAAGAATACATTCATTGTTTATAGCCAGTGTAATGTAGTAAAAAAAAAATCTGATAAACCTGGGTTTTAGAAGGAGATGGACTGAGATTTCAATCCTGGCTCCTCCAATTAATAACTATGTGATAATGAGTATGTTGCTATACATCTCTAAGCCTTAGTTTCCTGTCCTGCAAAGTAGAAATAATACCTAATATGGAGAATTATGAATATCAGAAGTAGTATATTTAAAATGCCTAGACTGTAAACATCAGGGCACCGGCACGTGGTCGTCACTCATCATCATTACTCACTGAATGAATCCATGAATGAATTAATGATTCAGATTAGGTTCCATTGTTCAACCCTACACATAAAAATCAGGAAAATTTGGCCGGGCGTGGTGGCTCACACCTGTAATCCCAGCACTTTGGTAGGCAGAAGTGGGCAGTTCACTTGAGGTCAGGAGTTCTAGACCAGCCTGACCAACATGGGGAAACCCCTTCTCTACTAAAAATACAAAATTAGCTGGGCGTGGTGGCACATGCCTGCAATCCCAGCTACTCGGGAGGCCGAGGCAGAAGAATCGCTTGAACCCAGGAGGTGGAGGTTGTGGTAAGCCTAGATTGTGCCATTGCACTCCAGCCTGGGCAACAAGAGCAAAACTCCGTCTCAAAAAAAAAAAAAAAAAATCAGGAAAATTTGATAAGAATCTTAAGTGAGAAGAAAAATCATATACATTCTCTTCTTTGCCCTCCTGGAAATACCTTTCTTCTTTCAGATGCACTTAGAAAAATAAAAGTAAGTGAAGAAGTCACATCTGATATTATGTGATTTAAAAAAAAAGATTTTTAATTTCACAAGTGAGCAAGTATAGATTGAAGTGCAAATCCTAAATTGGAGCTAGTAGAGAGAGAACTGCCTTTTCCTTGGCACTTCAGCACATTTATTCTCGTTTTTTTAAGGTATCCATTTCTCTCAAGTCTTTCATGGAACAGTCATGATACTGGAAATGTTTTGAGTCGCTCTCATGCCACCTCTTTTGCAACTGACAGCAAACATGTTTTCAGGAGTTCAGAAGTAATCAAGTCCTAATATCAGCTGCCAGAGCCATAAAAAGGGGCCTGCCGCAATCTGGGCAGAACACTGAGTGAGTTAGGAAACATCAGTTTGGTATTTGTAATATTTGTAGCAAAACTGAACTTCCTGAGTGAGGTCATGAATGAACAGCAGATCATGAGTGTTATTATAAGAATTGGACAGAGTGTAGAATTCTCATACAACCCAAACTTCAGAAAATATCCTTGATGAAAATCCGGAGTTATTTTTTCCCAATGCTAATATTAACATGATACATACCTGGCATATCTCTACTGAAAAATGAATGTTTTGTACTAAGCAGTACCTTTTTCACTCTCCTAAAATAATAGTAATGATAGATAATGCATATTGCATTTAGTATGGCCAGGCACTATCTTAAGTAATAATGTGAATTTAACATTTTTAACCCCCACAATGACCCTATGAGGTAGGTGCCATTACTATCCTTGTTTTACAGATGAAGTGCCTTACACGGTTAATAAGTGTCAAAGACAGAGTTTGAATTCAAGGAAACTGGTTCCAATGTCTGTGCTTTTAACCATGTTTAGAGGAAATTTTTGAGTAGCAGTAATACAGTGAGTCCTCACTTAACATAGTCAACAGGTTCTTGGAAACTATACTATTCTTGGAAACTTTAAATGAAACAATAAATAATGAAACCAGTTTTACCATAGGCTAATTGGGATAAACAAGAGTTAAGTTCCTACAGCATATTTCTGGTTACAAAAACATCACCTAACTTCTAAATAGAGACCCAAAACACTCCTTATAGTAAACACTGAAATCAGTGTAAGCTATATATACATTTAAGAAAGATTAATGAAAACAAGTAAGATAACTGTTTACCAAATTACTCCAGTTCAGGGCTGCAGTTAGCCAGAGCCTATCCTGGTGGCTCAGGGGAACCCACCTTGCACAGGAGGCCATCCCCCGCCTCGTGGGGCACACTAACACACCTGCACTCACTCACACTGGGACCATGTAGACACACCAGTTAACCTAAAGTGCACAGCTTTGGGATGTGGGAGGAAACCAGAGTAGCTAGAGAAAACACACACAGGCATGGGGAAAACGTGCAGACCCCACACAGACAGTGGCCCTGGCCGGGAATCTGTGTTTTTTCTCATTGACTTTATAATGAAATGTCCTTGAACAAAATGTTATTCAAGGACCTGCTCTACATGTATCTGCTAAGACTAGACAAAATATATATTTAATTATCCTAGAGAAGTGCATATGGGCAAGGCAAACTACCTCTCTACACTCTGGTTTTTTTTTTTGGCGGGGGTGGTACAAGATGCCTAGGTCTCACAGGTAGATTAGAGGCTCGTAAGAGGAAAGCCTCTGAAAGAGCCAAGGGTTCTTCCAAGCTAAGAGGGTTCACCTTGCTTCCCTGGGAAAAATTGCTTTAATATAATGGCACAATTAAAAAAAAATCTGGGTAGTCAGCTACCATGCTAAAATTGTTGCCCTTAAATTTCAATGAAGTCTGTCTGTATGAACTTAACAGGAGAAAGATACTGGGTTTTACCTATAATAAGAAAAAAGGAGATAATAGATTCACTCCTTCACAGATGCTTGCTCCTTAAGAGATACACTTGCCAAAAACTCACTTACTATGTTTCCTTGTGGTAATGTTAGCCCTGCTAGGGCCTCTTCCAACACAAATGAGCTACTGTATGAAATTAGAAAAAGGCTCTCCCACCGAGAGGATGGATTGCAAAGTGGGACCTCTCTGGGCAAACCGGTTAGAAAACAGAAAGAGCTGCTTTCTTTTGGCTACCTTCTTTAGAGCCTGGTGTTGGTGATGTGAGCATTGTGTGACTTTCAGCTCCACTCACACTGCCTCAGCTGAGACCTACCCTGTACAGCCCTAGGCAGCTGCCCCATAAGGGACATACCAAGCAACTACACTGGCGTTCATTAAGCTCTGTGGCTGTATTAACTCACCCAAGACTAACATATGCAAACAACGTTAGCTCCCTAAGCCCTGTTAATAGTGGAAAGTGGCAGGGTAGAAGTGGCACTTGGAAGCAAACCAGCTCCAGTCAATGAGAAGGAAGCTTCAGTTCTCATTCATTATTGATTCCTTTGACAACTATTTATTGAGGATCTACTATGCACTAGGCATTGTACTAAGTGACAGCTATTCAGAGATGAAAAGTCCTTGATAGCAAAATGGAGAGTGAGGAGTGTGATGACTGGCAATGGCTGGGAGTCCAGATCGGAAAAGTTCAGGATCACACAAACAGGCCCCTAAATAGAGAAAGGAAAAAGCAAGGAACCAAAATATAGGTTCATGCAGTAGGGAACCAAATTGGGACCCAGTTACTAGAAGGGAAATGCAAGGTGGAGGGCTTATTCCCAAGAGAAAATGCAGTTTAGACAATAAGTGTATGAGAAGACAGTGGACCAACAGCAGAATTAACTTGAGGCTGAGCAGCATTTGGGGCTAAGTGGTCCTAGCTGTCAGGATCACCTTTGCCTAGAGTCTATAGAAGGACCTTAAAAAGCTGAAAATTGTGTGTCATGTGCTAACTTTTAATAAAGAATCACTGTGAAAGCAGATCCAGAAAATTTATCTGTTACTTTTCAAGACAAAATTCAAAAGTTTGGACTTTTTTTTTTGAGTCAGAGTGTTGCTCCATTGCCCAGGCTGGAGTGCAGTGGTGTGATCTCAGCTCACTGCAACCTCCGCCTCCTGGGTTCAAGCATTTCTCCTATCTCAGCCTCCCGAGTAGCTGGGACCACAGGTGCCTGTCACCACGCCTGGCTAATCTTCTTATTTTTAGTAGAGATGGGGTTTCACCTTGTTGGTCAGGCTGGTCTCAAACTCTTGACCTCAGGTGATCCACCCACCTCAGCCTCCCAAAGTGCTGGGATTACGGGTGTGAGCCACCACGCCTGGTCAAAAGTTTGGACTTTTTGTTTCAAAATTCAAAAGATTCTGCATTTTCTTTTTAATTTTTCTTTTTTTCTTTTTTTTTTTTTTTTGTTTGAGACGGAATCCCGCACTGTCACCCAGGCTGGAGTGCAATGGCGCCATCTCGGCTCACTGTAGTCTCCGCCTCCCAGGTTCAAGCGATTCTCTTGCCTCAGCCTCCCGAGTAGCTGGGATTATAGGGGCCTGCCACCATGCCTGGCTAATTTTTTGTGTTTTTAGTAGAGACAGGGTTTCACTATGATGGCCAGGCTGGTCTCGAACTCCTGACCTCGTGATCTGCCTGCCTCAGCATTCCAAAGTGCTGGGACTACAGGCATGAGCCACCGCACCTGGCCTGCATTTTCAAAAGTGCTGTTACCATGGTCTTAAACATTTTATAGGCAAGCATGTATGCTTCTTTCTATCAAATGGTGAGATGTGTGTAACCCACTGTTGCCCTTGGTGATTGCTGCCAAGAAACAGTTTAATTCAATACCTAAATGGTATAATTAACTCCTCCAAGAGGCTGGGTTATGTCTACATGTCCAGTTATTATAGGGTGATCATATAATTCTGCTGATGAGACTGAAAAGAATCATTTTAATAATTATGCTGAGACAACAGGCATTAACCAGAACTATTGTAGGCACAGCAAGACATATGACCGACTGGTTATTCATTTGATTTCCGTTTGTCTTATTTTATTTAGAAGATAGATTTGTAGAATCTCTCTGGTGTTTTAGAAATATAAATGCAGAATATTTTGTCATATAAAACACGTGCATACCAAGGAAAGGTTTTCCACTTCTCCCACATACTGTTTTTTTTTTCCCATAAAAATCTTCTTTGCATTATAAACTTATAATGCATTCAAGAACACCATGCAGTATGAATACAAATGAGCACAGCTGCCTCCCTACCTAAGATCCTCTGGTTGTCAGGGGAGACATCATTCCCATGGTGTCTCTTAATAGATAAGAGCAGAACAGCCGTCTTAAAACTAATAATGAGCACCTCAGCAGTACTGGCCCCTCACCAGTAGTAGACATTATAATAACTCTTTGCCAAAAAGCTGAGCCAGTACACATATGGAGAGTCAGAATTCCAAAGAACTCCAGACATACTATGTATGACCCTAGGCAAGTTACCCATGCATTAAATTTCTGAAGAGATTTCAAAGTGAAATAATCTACCTGACTGGGACTAGCATTGCAATTTTCTGAAAAACCATCAACTCTCTAAATATTTTGGAAACTAATTAGTTGTCATAAAATTAATATTTTAGTTTTAATTGCTTTTGTTTTATTTTTAAGATTTCCTTTTTGCTCTAAGCACCGCAATTCTCGCTCTAGTTGTTTACCCCAGGACATCCTTTCTCCCAGAAAACACTCCCAGCCATGCTATCCATATCTAACACTCCAGCCCTGCTAGCCATATCTTGCCCACAGACAACATAACTATCCTGCCAGTCCTCCTCATTCTTTGTCTTCATTCAGGGTGCGTGCTTGAAGATTTTAAAAGGAGAAGCAAAACAAGGGTAATTTAGAATAGAATGTGTGCTTCACAGTCTTAGCAAGTTCTCATAAGCCCAGTGGTTATCGGAAATCAGGACAGAATAGGAGGACTTCTCAGACTGATTCCACAATCTTCTACCAGTTTTTTTTTTATCTCATCCTCTTCGTTTTTGTGTTATTCTTTTAAAATCAAACAAAACAATGGTCTGGGTACTTTGCTTTAATAAATTGGAAATACCACTTTCCAAAAAAGCCTCTAAGATTTTATTACGATCAGGATGAACAACTGGATTGACTTATTATCTGATAAAGTGCTTTTTTTGTTGTTAATTGCCATCAAACAACAGATGAATCTGTAAAAAATTTCAGACTTTGAAATGTATTGTATGTTCTGTTTTGAACATAAACAAGTCAGAGATTGGATAGAAGCCCCAGTTTTAGCATTAAGCAACTAAATCACTAGGTAAAACTTTTTAGTGTGTTTTAAAATGGGTAAAAAGCTAGAAATGGGCATTTTAACTAGCAAGTACATGATTTTTAAATCACTGAATTTGATCTCTTGTATGTTTCAGCTAATCTACCAACACTCTGAATGATTGCTTTTTCTTGCTAGACTGATTTATTTCCTCTCTTAGTCTTAGTCTAGCCATCTTTGAGGCTTAAAACATTCAGGTTTATTAAGCAAGGAGAATATCCTTAAAAATTTCATTGCATCTTGGTTTATGTAAGTCTACCAGCAGGAGAATTTTATCACTCCCAGGAGGTGCCTATGAGCTATTTGGGTCTGGCTGCCTGTTAAACTGTTTCTTTTTATTTATGGTCTATGTAATGTGAGGGAGAGCAGAAGTTGGCTCCTGTGGGCATTCCCTAAGCCTGGACATTGCTTTGCTCCTGCTAAAAACACTGACGTGAATAGACTGTCACAGACTCAAAGGTCACTTTTCCATTTTGTTCATATTGAGAAATACTCTAGATAATTATCTGTCTTTTGTATCTAAGAAGAATAGGAGCGGGGGAGGGAGTTGTTTCATTTCCTTGAATATACTTGGCTACATAGGGCTCTCTTGAAATCGTAGAGTAGTGATGTGACCCACATAAAGAGCACTTTGCTTCCAAGCGTGGCCCACCCATTTGCTATGCTGATGTTTCTGGAAACACTTTGTTCTTTTTTTTCCCCCTCCAACTTTTATTTTAGGTTCCAGGAGTACATGTGCAGGTGAGTTACATGGGTAAATTGCATGTCACTGGGGTTTGGTGTACATATTATTTTCTCATTATTTTCTCACCCAGGCAGTGAGCATAGTACCCAATAGGTAGTTTTTTGATCCTCACCCTCCTCCCACCGCCGACTCTCAAGTAGGCTCCATCGTCTATCGTTCCCTTCTTTGTGTCCATGGGTACTCAATGAAACCCTTTGTTCTTACAAACATGCCTCACTTTATGCCGTGAGAGTCTTCCTCAGTGTGTATAAAGCCAATTTGTATAAATCAGATAACATTTCTTCTTTGACATAAGATTTATGTAACCATTTCAAAGGTAGCATTTCTTGAAAGACACACTATGTAATTCAGCTATGGACTGTGGCCTTTAGCCTTTAAGGTGCCTACAGGTTAGCAGGTGGAGAAAGCATATGTGGATTGTTAGGACTGATGCAGCACAAAGGACAATATGGAAAGGACGGAGAGCTCTGAGCACCCAGACAAATGAACGCATCTTTTGTTTGGGAAATTCAGGAACAACTTCTGGGAGGTGGTATGTGCAGAATGGCTTTCCTTGTGTTCAAATATTTGCAGTTTGTCCAAAATGTGGCTTTAGGTTTCACTGATTTAGCCTCCTTACTTTTTTTTCACATCTATCTAGCACTTAATAATTTCCAAATAGATGGTTATGCTCCTCAAAACTTTCATTTAAAGGAATGTGTTTAGAAATTTAAAAATTCTTCTGAGCCAAAAAAAAAAAAGTCTTTTAAGCCCAATCTCCATAATGACTTTTTTTGTGCAGTCTTCATTTTCTTCAAACCTCAAACTACTGTCACCTACATTCTCAGACAATATTCCAGTCTTGTGCTTCTCAAAGAAAATGGAAGATACCAGAAGCGAGCTCCTTTGACTTCCCAAGCTCAGTTCTGCAAGCCCATCTGCAGCTGTACCAGCCTCTCCTGTCTCTTGTCAAAGGCCTGTCTTTCCTCCCTCCTGCTCAGGCACTGGCTCCATCCTTTGACACCTTTTTCTCTGGGATCACATTCTCTCTCTCTCACTTATGGATTCCTCCCATCAGCATTTAAACATGCTCTAATATTTTTCTGAACCCCACAGATCTCACCTCCTATCATTCTAATTCATGTAATTCTAATCTTTTATAATAAAGCCTCATAAAGGGATTATCTACATGCACTGACTACTTTCGGACCTCCATTCACTCACCTCTTATTCCAACAGGGCCCTGCCTCCTCCATCTGCAAAATTGTTCCTGCTGAAGTCACAAGTAACTTCCATGTTCTAAATTCAGAGGGCCCTTTCACTCATCATCTTATTTAGCCCTGAGTTGCATTAACTCAGCATGTTCCCTCTTCATTGAAACCCAGTCTTCTCATGGCTTCCATGATAATCCCGATCTCCTCCCAGCTTCCCTCTTGTCTGCTTCTTCTCAGTCTCCTTCACTGATTCATTTCTCCCCTGAGCCCTCTTCACTTTAAATTCTCATTTCAGGCAACTTCATTCACTTCCGTGGTTTCAGGTGGTTGGTAGTTGTAAAGTACATTAACAAATAAAACAGTCATAGATATGGTAGGAGTTTACAAAAATTTATAGTAGAAAAATAGAATGAGTTCTCCATTTCTTCTGTTTTATTTAAAGTAATTCTTTAATGCATCATATGTTTGAATGCTAGTTTACATTTTTTCAAACCGTCTTTACGTAGATATAAACAGGTTTCAAGCTGGAAATGTCATAAGGGGTTATGTCTGCATGCAACTCCCTTCATTCTGTAGATGCAGAAACTGAAATCCAAAGAGATTAAGGATTTTTTTAGAGTCACACACTGGTTTGTTTCTTCTTTGAACCTCACCACTCCATGGGGGCGAATGTACCTATTACCATTTAAGAGAATAGAACACCAAGATTTTGAGTGTTTGAATCTTGTGTGAGGTTTCATAGATCATAAGTGGTAGAACTAGAACTAAAACTCAAGTCACCTGGTTTCCAGCCTGCTGCCATGCATGATACTGCTTCTTTGCAATTTTAGGATTGTTGCAGTTAAATTATTTTTAAAACTGAGATTGTCTTTAAAAAGAGAGAGACAAACACAACAATAACAACAGCTGCATCATGTACTGTTACAACATGGCATGATTGTGGGGGAAGAAGACAGGGAGGAAGAGTTTTACATAATAAAAATTCTAGTCATACTTAAAGATTGAGTTGGATTGTTAATTTGTTTTTTATAAATGTACATACCAATTACTGGTGAATCGGTAACACAATGCTAAACACATTTTAAACACATTTCTTCCTGATGTTCTTTTTTTATTATTTATTTTTTTTTATTTCTTTTTTTTATTATACTTTAAGTTCTAGGGTACATGTGCACAACGTGCAGGTTTGTTACGTATGTATACATGTGCCACGTTGGTGTGCTGCACCCATTAACTCGTCATTTAGCATTAGGTATATCTCCTAATGCTATCCCTCCCCCCTCCCCCCACCCCACAACAGGCCCCAGAGTGTGATGTTCCCCTTCCTGTGTCCACGTGTTCTCATTGTTCAGTTCCCACCTATGAGTGAGAACATGCGGTGTTTGGTTTTTTGTCCTTGCGATGGTTTGCTGAGAATGATGGTTTCCAGCTTCATCCATGTCCCTACAAAGGACATGAACTCATCATTTTTTATGGCTGCATAGTATTCCATGGTATATATGTGCCACATTTTCTTAATCCAGTCTATCGTTGTTGGACATTTGGGTTGGTTCCAAGTCTGCTATTGTGAATAGTGCCGCAATAAACATACCTGTGCATGTGTCTTTATAGCAGCATGATTTATAGTCCTTTGGGTATATACCCAGTAATGGGATGGCTGGGTCAAATGGTATTTCTAGTTCTAGATCCCTGAGGAATCACCACACTGACTTCCACAATGGTTGAACTAGTTTACAGTCCCACCAACAGTGTAAAAGTGTTCCTATTTCTCCACATCCTCTCCAGCACCTGTTGTTTCCTGACTTTTTAATGATTGCCATTCTAACTGGTGTGAGATGGTATCTCATTGTGGTTTTGATTTGCATTTCTCTGATGGCCAGTGATGATGAACATTTTTTCATGTGTCTTTTGGCTGCATAAATGTCTTCTTCTGAAAAGTGTCTGTTCATATCCTTCACCCACTTGTTGATGGGGTTGTTTTTTTCTTGTAAATTTGTTTGAGTTCATTGTAGATTCTGGATATTAGCCCTTTGTCAGATGAGTAGATTGCAAAAATTTTCTCCCATTCTATAGGTTGCCTATAGGTAGTTTCTTTTGCTGTACAGAAGCTTTTTAGTTTAGTTAGATCCCATATGTCAATTTTGGCTTTTGTTGCCATTGCTTTTGGTGTTTTAGACATGAAGTCCTTGCGCATGCCTATGTCCTGAATGGTATTGCCTAGGTTTTCTTCTAGGGTTTTTATGGTTTTAGGTCTAACATTTAAGTCTTTAATCCATCTTGAATTAATTTTTGTACAAGGTGTAAGGAAGGGATCCAGTTTCAGCTTTCTACATATGGCTAGCCAGTTTTCCCACCACCATTTATTAAATAGGGAATCCTTTCCCCATTTCTTGTTTTTGTCAGGTTTGTCAAAGATCAGATAGTTGTAGATATGCAGCATTATTTCTGAGGCCTCTGTTCTGTTCCATTGGTCTATATCTCTGTTTTGGTAGCAGTTTTTGGTTACTGTAGCCTTGTAGTGTAGTTTGAAGTCAGGTAGCATGATGCCTCCAGCTTTGTTCTCCCTGATGTTCTTAATAAGGAAGAATACATTTAGCAGTGATAAGTTCTAACTTCTCTGGTTATTGGAATTTTTCACATAAATCTTTGTGTGCTCTGATTGGTTTATTCGGCTTTGATTTAAGATGAGGTATTTTATGATCATAAACCTCAATGAATATGTATCAGGCACGAAGGTTATTCTGGGTGCTGTAACAAGAACTGTAAGATCACAGACAAGGGGCTCTTTGTGGATTAATAAGCTATCACTTAATCACTTCTAACTCAGCACCCCCCTGCTGTTCCTTCTGCCTGAAATCTCCACCCTCCTGCGCTGTCTAATTCTTACTCGTTCTTCAAGATTCCTCTTGAACATTACTTCTTCCAGGAAAATTTCTCTGACTCTTCTCCTGACCCCTAGCCTCTGGGGTAGGAGCTCTTCTGGTTTGCTCCACTACCATATTGTGCTGACCCCTGGCTGAGGATCCCACCTGCTCTCTGCACTAATTATTGAGTACAGATCCCCTCCCAGTTCTGGCTGAAAACTCCATGAAGTGCAGAACCAGGTCTCATTGGGCTTTGTATCCTCAGCATCTAGCAGAGTGCCTGATTCATAGCCAGGGCTTGTTAAATAAACTACAGGCAGGTGTGCAGACTAACCGGCAAGGAAGAAAGGGAGTCACTTAATGCTTTATCTTAATTACGTATGGACATAGTTTTTAAAATTAAATGTATAAGACTTCTTATGAAAAATAGCTCAGATGCAAACACTTTCAACTCTTTTTGCTGATTTATTTTTTGCCCCCATATCTCTAAATAGCATACTCATGTTTCTTCTATCCATTTTAGGCATTATTTTTTACTTCAACCATAGACATTCAGGATTGAGCACTCTTTCACTTTCCCATCCCTACATATGATACACACTTAATATCTCCCTATTCCTATTCCCTATCCCAATGTCAGATATGCACTTACCCCAGTAAATTCATAGTAGAATTTTAGTTAGAATAGTGTTCAGATTTCACATTATAATAACTAAATAAAATATTATCAATCAGCAGAACCACACAGTGTACTTGAATTGCATTTCTGCCAACTGTCCCCCTCATTTTTTTAGGTGAAGAAAACTAAGAGAAGATAAGTCATTTTGGCCAAAACTACTTCACCAGTTAGTGCCAGAATGAGGATCAAAAGTCAGTCTTCTAATTCCTGATAAAATGTTTCTTCCATGACATCAAGCTGCCTTTCAAAAAAATTTTCTTAACTTCAAAATCTTAGTGAACCAATTTGAAGAAAAGCTAAACTTTAATAAAATCGTATAAAAATATTATTTAAACCTAACTTTCCATTTTATTCAAATTGATCCCTGGCAACTTGTAAACTAAAACTGAAGTAAATTATATAAGAGCCAAAGGAAAAAAATTAGAGCTAGAAATAATTTAGTCTGTTTTTTTTTTCACTTTGAAGATGAAGAAACGAATGTGCAGAAAGCTGAAATGACTTGTCTGGCATCACACAGAGAGTTATAGGCCATGCTAGGCTGAAAAGCAGGCTTCAACTTTCATCCCAGTGCTGTCTCTGCTGTAAACTCCCACACACTCAAACACTGCTGATTCCTCTCAGGCTCTTTCCTTCATTTAAAACGTTTCTCTTACAGATTCCTAACCTCAAACTCTATCTATATTAAACTTCTTCATCCCAAAAAATAATGCTAAGACATGTCAGAATACGTCAAAAATTGGGTATAAAGTGTGTTTCTGAAAACCAGGGTTCTGTTAAGCTACCTCACATGACTACACAACTAGAACATTGCACTGTGTTAGGTCTTGGGGTGCAATCATAAAGTAGAGGGAGACAGACATGAAAAAATTCCTAAGTGTCATGAAGAATTATAATAATGCAATAGAGGATAGTACAGGCTCTGGAGGACACCAAGGAAAGTCTGGTGCCACCCTACTCACCCTAGCTCAGCCCAAGACCCTGGGTTAATCTACAGTCTCTTCACGTAGTGTTCTCTCCTCTCCCCTCTGTATGATTCTCAGCATTGCCTGCTGACCAAGCCACGGCACCCATGGCCAAACATACACAACTTCATGTCTCAAAGTTTGTGCTGCCTAAAGCCCTCAACCTCCCAAGACAGGCACTGCTAAGGGAATTCTCAGATGGGGCACAAAGGGAGATAAGTGGGAGGGGTATAGGGAGAAAGAGGGAGCCACAGGAAGCAGAGGCAGGGGAACTTGTTGGAATGGCATCCAGGACTCTAGTCTTTTTAGGAGTAAGAATTTCAAGGTATAAGTGGGAAACAAACAGATTTACATGGTTAAAGAAAATGGAGAACTAACACAAAGGAGGAAATGACCAACCCGCCTATGTTCGATTGTAGAAACCCCTGATTAATTACAGTCATTATGTGAATTGTTTGTGTGTTTCTGATTACCATGCAGCTCAGTATCAGTGATATATAATGTAAATATATATCAGATCAGCTGTGCCCTAAATTTAATTAGAAAGCTTTACCAACCGATATTTAGTATTCTTAATTTGTCGCTCACATCGTAAGAGCCTTCACAACCTAAAATTAAAAGAATGTTTCAAAAAGTGAATTCCAATGGTATTCTTTTCTCCTACCCCAAAGTTCCTGCTTTCTTTCTAACTTGCCCCCATAAGTTCCAGGAGAGCAGTTATCAGGCTTCCCTATGTTATTGGTGGCTTATATACCACTGCGGTCATTCTGTGGCTTTGACACAGCCGCAGTGGCAATGGCCATGCAGTCATTCATTTAGTCACTAGATATTTCCTGAGCTTCTGTGATGTACCAAGACTGTGCCTGGTGCTGAAGATGTTAGGAAGAATAAGATTCAGTCCCTTCCCTCCAGATGTTTACACCTAGAATCCATACCAGCTTATATATCTAGCCACATCTTCCTACATACCCCATACCACTGATTCATTGCAATGCTATTTATCCCTGAAATATTTCTTCAAAAAATGTATATGTGTGGATGTATATATACATATGCACATACATAAATGTACTATCATAAAAGAGTACATTACGATTACTTCATGTGTCAAGTTTTCCCATGCTCCAAGTGCTGTTTCATACTCTGTATCGGAGCCAGCGCAGCAACCTGGAAGGTTCCCTCACACAGTAAGCCTCAAAGCCCAAAACCACAAATGCCCTTAGCTACGGAGTGATGTGTTACCCGCTCCTGAGTTGTGTGTGTGCAGTGCAGATTGCTTATTTCTCTGTGGCCTTTCCTTATGTTATTATTTTGTATTCTTACAAATAGTTTTGAACCATAGTGACTGTCAAAAAGTATGTAAGTGATAGTGCCCGGCCTGCTGGAAGCAAAGGAAGATTGTTATTATTGGGTGTTCCAACATATGTTTCACAGGAACTCCAGGTGCCTTGAGGAAATGGTTGGAAAAACTCAGGGTAAACATCAGTAGGCAGTGGATTCATAAGCATTATTGTGGCCTAAGATGGTAAACCAACAGTTGTAGGAAGCATCCTGGAAGAAATGATAGGTAACAGTATAATGTGACTTGTAGTAACAAAGAAAATGGAAAAAGCAGCAGCCAAGATTTGATGCTAGAAATACCTCTCCAGAGGGACTATAGCATTGTAACCTGTCCATCACTAATTCAGCTAGCATCCCTGTCTTCAGAAAAGAATTCCTCATGCTAAATTCTTTTGCATGTAGGTGCTTCCAAGAATCTTTAGGATCTGGGTCATATTAAATCCCCCTTTTGCTTCTACCTACAGTCATGGTAATAATGGCTTGTCTACCTACCCTCCCTTTTCCCGGTACCCTTAACACCTCAGAGAATTCTGTTGGGATGGAAAACAGAATAGCTTTTAAAAATGCCAAACAGATTTGATATTTTGAGAAAAGCACAGTGCTTCAGTATGAGATTGAAGTCACCAGGCCAAGAAATGCCATGAGAGATCATTGAGCTTTAATAATGAAGTACGTGGCATTAAATGTCTTTTGCCAGGACCACCTTTTATATACCAAAACCAAAGCATCTGCATACTATTTGCTGTAGTCAAGGTTGTTATGCTTTGCTAACTTCTTCCTTGGCTATGGAGGTCTGATGGCTGGGCTTTAATTTACCATAGTATTGAATGTTAACCTTTTGAAGGCTCTTAAAAGAGGCAAAAATAGAAAGGGTAGACTCTGTGAAGACCTGACAGCTTGCCCTACCCATGCTGTCTCTCAATCTAATTAGCGGTTGTTCTTGTGTGAGTGTTAATACTGAGTGTGAGTCTGTGAGGAGGCAGCAGGAAGGGTGCATTTCCATGCAGTAAACCAGTGCTGTGCCAATTGTTTGCAATTTTTCAACATTTGTTTTTGACACTCACCTACACACAATGATAACATTTGGTTTCCCTTAAAGGTTTGTTTATAAGTATAGCATCTTAATCCGTGAATCATCCTCTTGACTTCATCATTCTGCATTCCATATTCCCAGATTTTCCAAAAATCTTCTTCATCTTTCATTCCTACTTGAATTTAAATAGAAGAGAATGAATAAATAAGGTACTCTAAGTAAAATGAGCAGTTGCTTTGGATGAGTTCTACGAGCCTATAATTTTATTTTGGACAGCCTTTCAAACAACTCTGTTTGGACCAGGAAGTAAGAAGAGAGGTCATCACCTATAGACTCAGAGGCTATGACAGGGAGTCCATGTAAGGCCCAGTGAGGAGCTCGGCCTGAAACTAACTGAGCTGAGACCTTGGTAGGGGTCAAAGTCAAGCTGAGGGTGAAGCAGGATCAGGATTTAAGAATAACCCGGAGCTAACAGGGTTTCCTGCCCCTGTTAGAAGATGGCTCTCTAAGCCAGGCACAGTGACTCATGCCTGTAAGCACAGCACTCTGGGAGGCTTAGGTGGGAGGATCGCTTGAGCCCAAAGGTTCAAGACCAGCCTGGCCAACACGGTGAAACCCCAGCTCTACAAAAAATACAAAAATTAGCTAGGTGTGGTAGCGTGTGCCTGTAATCCCAGCTACTTGGGAAACTGAGGTGGGAGGATCACCTGAGCCTGGGAAGTTGACGCTGCAGTGAGCCATGATCGCACCACTGCACTCCAGCCTGAGTGACAGAGTGAGACTCTGTCTCAAAAAATAAAGAAGAAGATGGCTCTCTGCTGACCAGTGGCCCCACTGTGTGCCAATTATGGGCTGGCAGGCAGAGCTGGAAAGAGTCCCATCAGGCACTCAGATGACACTTTACTGTGGAAAAGATTGTATGCAGATTAAATTCTTAGTTTCCTGTTACTGAGCAGACTCCCATGCTTGCATTCAATACATATTTATTTAGCACCTCTTATGTACAAGGCTATATGTATATGCCACTGTTAACAACTACTACATCAGTTAATAAAAGGTAAAGTAAAATATTAATAAACTTTTTTTTCTCCTTTTATCCCAAGTCTGTAAAATATATAAAGTTTTGCTCATTTTCACTAGACTGGGTGTTTTTGTTGCACGATAATAGCACTTACGGAAGAAGGTCATTCCAGTGAGAAAGTTCTTTGTCAGAGATTTTGTAAACTCAGAAAAATAATAAAGATGCCTATAGGGATGTGTTTCAGAACATCTAGATAGAAGGGGAGGGGGAGTGGCTTTGGTTATAGTTTCAAATGTTTTTAAATGTTTATCAAGCATATCACTTGTGCTAGAAATCAAAATATTCTTAAGCCTCTACGAGTGTTCAAGCAGAAAGAAGAAGGAGGGTGAGACTGATTTGGGTTGGTATAGAGAGATGGAGGGTGAGACTGAGTTGGGTTGGTGTGGAGAGGTGGAGGGTGAGACTGAGTTGGGTTGGTATAGGGAGGTTGGCAAAAGGGTCCAGCTCACAGTCAACAAGGAGGGGCTGATGGTTGATTTGAAAAGGAAAGAAACCCTTTCTATGCCAGAAGACAGGACTTCTGCAAGACAAACCATGGACCATTCATTCTCCTTCTCACCTGTATTATCACAAGTCGCCCTAATAGGCATTTGTCTTTAGGACCAGGGAATAGGCCTCATATGCTCCCAACCCACTACCTCTGCCTCCTTACTGATTCTCAAACTTTCTAACAAAGAAAACAAGGCTTTATTTTTCAGTTACTTATAAAGGCACTTAAAATAGAAATGCCCACTGAGGTTAATTATTTAGTATGAATGAATATCAGCTACAGTATAATTTGTAGCTATGAGTGACCAAAAGTCAGATGCTTTTCTGCTTTTTAAGGGTGTTGAGGGATTAAAGAGGGCAGAGGGTCATTGAGTATTTGAAGGCAAATATTACCACCAAGCCAAGGAAGAACTGAAGATAAATTGCATACTTAATGGCTTTGCCAGAGGTTGAAGTTGAAACACATAGAAGCTACCTGTGCAATAAAGGTATTTTTGTCATGTGTTATCATTGTAGAACATACTGGTTATTAATGAAAACTGGGTGGTGGTCAGCCCTTTTTGTTGTTGTTATTTAGCCAGCTGACTTCATGTGAAAAAACATCATTCCTAGGGAAATATTATGTGACTTTCATTGTATATATCTATGAAAGAAATTTCTTTTTTCAGGCTGCTGTACACTTTTATTACAGTATTGAGAACATAATTATGATTTATTAATGTTAGCATACCAGGTTAGGGCAGTTGTTTTCTTGGCATGTTTAGAACTAGAAAATCAGGAAATAATTTTTATTGATCTCATAACAAGCATAAGAATATAAAGCTGAAAAACTGGCCACTTGTAATTAAGCTGCTCTGTTCCCTCTAATTTTTAGAGCACAATACAATGTTATAGCTCTTTACTTTTTTTTCCTTCCATATTTTATTTTAGGTTCAGAGGGTACATGTGCAGGTTTGTTACATGGGTAAGTTGTATGTCACTGGGATTTGGTGTACAAATGATTTTGTCACCAAGGTAGTGAGCATAGTAGAGATCTTTCACCTCCCTGGTTAATGATATTCCTAGGTATTTTACTCTTTTTGTGGCTATTGTGAATGGGATTGCATAGTAGGTAGTTTTTCAGTCTTCATCTCCTAACCTCCACCCTCAGTTGGCCCTGGTGTTTGTTGTCCCCCCGTTTTTTTGTTTGTTTGTTTGCTTGTTTTTGTTTTTTGTTTTGAGATGGAGTCTCGCTCTGTCGCCAGACTGGAGTGCAGTGGTGCGATCATGGCTCATTGCAACCTCCACCTCCTGGGTTCAAGTGATTCTCCTCCCTCAGCCTCCCGAGTAGCTGGGACTACAGGCGCACACCACCACACCCAGCTAATTTTTGTATTTTTAGTAGAAATGGGATTTCACCATGTTGGCGAGGATGGTCTCGATCTCTTGACCTCATGATCTGCCCACCTTGGCCTCCCAAAGTGCTGGGATTACAGGCGTGAGCCACTGTGCCCGGCCTGTTGTCCCCTTTTTTATGCCCATGTGTATTTAATGTTTAGATCCCACTTATAAGTGAGAACATGCACTATTTGACTTTCTGTTCCTGCATTAATTTGCTTAGGATAATGGCCTCTAGCTGCATTCATGTTGCTGCAAAAAACATGATTTTATTTTTTTTATGGCTGCATAGTATTCCAGGGTGTACAGGTACCACATTTTCTTTATCCAGTCCACTGTTGATGGGAGCCTAGGTTAATTTAATGTCTTTGCCATTGTGGGAAGTGCTACAATAAGCATACATGCACATTTTAAATGTGTATGAATTTATGTGCATAATTTATATGCACTTTATAAATGTGAATATATATACATTGTTCACATAAATGAACAATTTATATTCTTTTGGGTATATACCCAATAATGGGGTTGCTGGATTGAATGGTAGGTAGTTCTGTCTTAAGATCTTTGAGAAATCTCCAAACTGCTTTCCATGGTGGCTGAACTAATTTACCTTCCCATCAGCAGTGTATTAGTGTTCCCTTTTCTCTGCTACCTCTCTGGCATCTGTTATTTTTTTACTTTTTTTGTTTTGTTTTGTTTTTTGGAGGGAATGAAGGGTTTTATTGAAAATGAAAGGACACTCCACAGCATGGGCCTGAGCATAGGAGCTCAAAGGCCCTGTTACAGAGATTTTGTGAGTTTAAATACCTCTACTTGGGGTACACCCTATGTAAATCAAGTGGATGAAGAAAAGTTACAAAGTCATTTACTCGGTGTATGCCCTATGGAGAGGATATTTCCTGTTATAGCTAAAGTGTGAATCGGCCTATGTTCCCTGCTTCCAGACTCTATTTTCCTGCATCATCTCCCCACTTAGAGATGTGATCCTCATAAATCTTTATGGGAAGGAGAGGGACCGATGGTCTTTTTTTCTGTAACTGCTTCATGCTGACCTGGGGCGTAGTCTTTACCTATTGGGGATCACGGAACTCTCACTCTGCTCTATCTAGTGGAGGCAGGGTAGTTTCTTGATGGCCAGTGGTGGTGTCTTCACCTGGAACTGACTGGAGCCTTTGTTGCATGATCATCTGAAGCTTGATGGTCTCTCATGGTTCCAGTGGGTGCACTGTTCCAGTGTGGAGGGGCCCTTCTCAGTTGCAACACCATGAACCCAAAGTTCAAGCTCCCGAAGTTTTGTTGTAGTGTGGATGGCAAGGACAGTCTTTCTCTGATGTTTCCAGAAGATTCAAACCATAAAAAGCTTTTTTTACCCTTTTGCCAGCATGCCAGGCTTCTAGGTTCTCTCTCCCTGAGCGGCCCTAGCGAACCTGCTTGACTCTTCCTCCTGGCTGGTTCACCAAAATATGTTAACGGTGGAGGGTGTCCAAGTTATTGGTGTCTTGAACAAAGAATTGGACAAAACACACAAACAAAGCAAGGAAAGAATTGGGGTTTTATTGAAAATGAAAGTACACATTACAGTCTGGGAGCGGGCCTGAGCATAGGGTCTCAAAGGCCACTTTTTGACTTTTTAATAATGGCCATTCTGACTGGTGTGAGATGTTATCTCATTGTGGTTGTGATTTGCATTTCTCTAATAATTAGTGACATAGAACATTTTTTCATATGCTTTTTGGCCACGTGTACATCTTCTTTTGAGAAGTGTCTCTTTGCCCATTTTTTAATGGGTTGTTTGTTTTTTTTGCTTGTTGATTCATTTAAGTTCCTTATAGATTCTGAATATTAGATCTTTGTTGGATGCATAGTTTGCAAATATTTTCTCCCACTCCATAGGTTGTCTCTTTACCCTGTTGATAGTTTCTTTTGCTGTGCAGAAACTCTTTAGTTTAAGTAGGTTCCACTTACCAATTTTTGTTTTTGCTGCAATTGCTTTTGGAGTCCTTGTCATGAAATCTTTGCCAAGGCCTATGTCCAGAGTGGTATTTCCTAGGTTTTTGTCTAGGGTTTTTTTAGTTTTAGGTTTTATGTTTAAGCCTTTAATCTATCTTGAATTGATTTTTGTATGTGGTGAAAGGTAGGGATCCAGTTTCAATCTTCCACATATGGCTAGCCAGTTATTCCAGCACCATTTATTCAATAGGGAATCCTTTCCCCATTTCTTGTTATAGTTGGCTTTGTCAAATATCAGATGGTTGTAGGTGTGCAGCTTTACTTTGGGGTTCGTTAACCTGCTCCATTAATGTATGTGTCTGTTTTTATACCAACACCATGCTGTTTTGGTTACTATAACCTTGTACTATAGTTTGGAGTCAGGTAGTGTGATGCCTATGGGTTTGTTCTTTTTGCTTAGGATTGTTTTGGCTGTTTGGCTCTTTTTTGGTTCCTTATGAATTTTAAAAGAGCCTTTTCTAATTCTGTGAAAAAATGATATTGGTAGTTTGATAGGAATAGCATTGAATCTGCAAATTACTTTGGGCAGCATAGCCATTTTAACAATGTTGAGTCTTCCTATCCATTAGCATGGAATGTTTTTCCATTTGTTTGTGTCATCTCTGATTTATGAGTGTTTTCTTTTTAATTTTATTATTATACTTTAAGTTTTAGGGTACATGCGCACAATGTGCAGGTTTGTTACATATGTATACATGTGCCATGTTGGTGTGCTGCACCCATTAACTCGTCATTTAGCATTAGGTATATCTCCTAATGCTATCCCTCCCCCCTCCCCCCACCCCACAACAGTCCCCAGAGTGTGATGTTCCCCTTCCTGTGTCCATGTGTTCTCATTGTTCAATTCCCACCTATGAGTGAGAACATGCGGTGTTTGGTTTTTTGTCCTTGCGATAGTTTGCTGAGAATGATGGTTTCCAGCTTCATCCACGTCCCTACAAAGGACATGAAATCATCATTTTTTATGGCTGCATAGTATTCCATGGTGTATATGTGCCACATTTTCTTAATCCAGTCTATCATTGTTGGACATTTGGGTTGGTTCCAAATCTTTGCTATTGTGAATAGTGCCGCAATAAACATACGTGTTCATGTGTCTTTATAGCAGCATGATTTATAATCCTTTGGGCATATACCCAGTAATGGGATGGCTGGGTCAAATGGTATTTCTAGTTCTAGATCCCTGAGGAATCGCCACACTGTCTTCCACAATGGTTGAACTAGTTTACAGTCCCACCAACAGTGTAAAAGTGTTCCTATTTCTCCACATCCTCTCCCGCACCTGTTGTTTCCTGACTTTTTAATGATTGCCATTCTAACTGGTGTGAGATGGTATCTCATTGTGGTTTTGATTTGCGTTTCTCTGACGGCCAGTGATGATGAGCATTTTTTCATATGTTTTTTCGCTGCATAAATGTCTTCTTCTGAGAAGTGTCTGTTCATATCCTTTGCCCACTTTTTGATGGGGTTGTTTGTTTTTTTCTTGTAAATTTGTTTGAGTTCATTGTAGATTCTGGATATTAGCCCTTTGTCAGATGAGTAGGTTGCGAAAATTTTCTCCCATTTTGTAGGTTGCCTGTTCACTCTGATGGTAGTTTCTCTTGCTGTGCAGAAGCTCTTTAGTTTAGTTAGATCCCATATGTCAATTTTGGCTTTTGTTGCCATTACTTTAATTTATGAGTGTTTGATTTGTGTGTGTTTGTGTCATCTTTCAGCAGTGTTTGTAATTCTCATTGTAGAGATCTTTCACCTCCCTGGTTAATGATATTCCTAGGTATTTTACTCTTTTTGTGGCTATTGTGAATGGGATTGCATTCTTGATTTGGCCGTCAGCTTGGACGTTATTGATGTATAGAAATGTTACTGATGTTTGTACATCGATTTTGTATCCTGAAACTTTACTGAAGTTGTTTATCAGTTCTAGGAGCCTTTGGGCAGAGACTACAGGGTTTTATAGGTATAGAATCATATCATTGGAGAAGAGAGATGTTTGCTTTCTGTCTTTCTATTTGGATGCCTTTTACTTCTTCATCTTGTCTGATTGCTCTGGCTAGGACTTCCAGTGCCGCGTGGAATGGGAGTAATGAGAGGGCATCCTTGTCTTGTTTCGATTCTCAAAGAGAATGCTTTCAGCCTTTGCCCATTCAGTATGATGTTGGCTGTGGGTTTGTCATAGATGGCTCTTATTATTTTGAAGTGTGTTTCTTTAATGCCTAGTTTGTTAAGGGTTTTAACATAAAGGGATGTTGAATTTTATTGAAGGCCTTTCCTGCATCTATTGAGATGATCATGTGGTTTTCGTTTTTAGTTCTGTTTATGTGATTAATCATCTTTATTGATTTGTATATGTTGAACCAGCCTTGCATCCCAATATTAAAGCCTACTTGATTGTGATAGATTTGCTTTTTGATGTGCTGCTTGATTTGATTTGCTAGTATTTTGTTGAGGATTTTTGCAGCTATGTTCATCAGGGATATTGGCCTGGAGTTTTCTTTTTTCATTGTGTCTCTACCAGGTTTTGATATCAGAATGATGCTAGCTGCATAGATTGAGTTAGGGAGAAGTTCCTCCTCCTAGATTTTTTGAGAATCATTTCAGTAGGATTAGTTCCAGCTCTTCTTTACACATTTGGCAGAATTCAGCTGTGAATCCATCTGGTCCAGGAATTTTTCTGGTTGGTAGGTTTTTTTATTACTGATTCAATTTCTGAACATGTTATTGGTCTGTTCAGGTATTCAATTTCTTCCTGGTTCAATCTTGTGAGGTTGTATGTTTCTAAGAATTTATCCATTTCTTCTAGATTTTCTAGTTTGTGTGCAGAGAGGTGTTCATAATAGTCTCTGAGGGGTTTTTTTGTATTTCTCTGGAGTTGGTGGTAATGTCACCTTTGTCATTTCTAATTGTGTTTATTTGGATCTTCTCTCTTATTTCTTTATTAATCTAGCTAGCCATCTATCAATCTTATTTTATGCCTATGAAAGAAATTTCTAACCTATGGGTACAATAACCTCAGACAATATTTTGTTTTAGGCAGGTATATTCAGAACCTTATCATAGCCTGTATCATCTTGTGCTGTGACTTTGTTCCCTTTTACACAATATCCTCCTAGAAGTAAAGATCCTGTGTGAGAAATCTCTGTATCCCACGTGAGTACTAGATGCACCACACACATACATAGGAATGTTTGCACAAGAGTATGAGTGAATGAATACATTCAGTTGCCTGTTAATCAATCAAGAAGATAGTGGGCAACTGTAATAATTAGGATTTCTGTGCTGATGCTGTTATGGTAATTTTTAATGTCAGAAAATTCAAAGCATGTCTCGTTAGAAGTAGGACATCCTCAGGAAGATCAAGACAGTAGCTTCTGCCCTGCTGCCTCTCATTCATCCCTTAATACATGAATCAGTTAGTTTGCATGCAGTTGACTCCAAGTAGCAGAAAACCCAAATAACAATGGCTTAACTATAAGGACATGTATTATTTACTTACATAGGAGATTAGAGACAAGTGACTTCAGGGCTGGTTCAGCAGCTCAACAATGTCATTGGGGCATAGACTCTTCCAGCCTTCTAATCTGCCATCCTCTTGTTAACACATGGTCACCATGTGGATGCTACAGCTCTATGCATCATATTCTCACTCAACTGTGTCCCAAGGCAGGAAGTGGGTGTATGTGTATGTGTGTGTGTTGGAGGGGACAAGAGAGCAGTGCATCCAGGACAGTGAGAAGCTCTTCTCACAACCATCTCTTCTTTTACCTGGGAAGGCTTCCTAGAAGCATCCTGACAGACTTTCCCTCACGTCTCAGACCACGTGGCTTCCCCTAGACCAGTCACTGACAAAGGAGAATGGGATTATTGTGCTTAATTCCAGCCAAGCATGATATATCCGACTTCTGTTTAAAAGGAAAAAAGAGGAAATGAACGTGAGGTAGGCTCACATGAGAAATGTCTGCTTTGCCACACTAGTCTCCAGCTGTGTTGTCCAGTCATACCTCCAAAAGCTCACTTTTCTTCCAGGATTATAATCTGGCTATTTATATCATTTTATTGATGGCTTTTAAAAGTCATGAACTCAAGGAGGAGCCTAAAATATATGGGCCTTGCCCAGAATTACAGGGCTTCAGTGAGTCATGTCCCTTCCCTGTGCTGGCTTTACTCTGGAACATTTTTATGAGTTGTAATTTACAAGATCCATGTTTTTTCCATTTTAATTCACATGTAAGGGGATAATGATTCTTACGATTATAGCACACTTACCTAAAAGAAAGCAGATTGTGTCAGCTGTGAGAAATACATCAAGGGGCTCAGCATCGGGTTGCATCAAAAGTTATAAGGGGCCATAATATTTTCTTTTTTGGGGAAATTTTTGATCCCTTTAAGTGAATTCAGTAGTGTTTATGTCAGTAATTGGAATTACTTACTTGAGCTTTTTCTAGATGAAACCAGCTCTCAAAGGAAGTACATTCCAAATGCTTTTCAACACGCACATGAAAGCAAACAGCAGCTTATCAACTTTCTGAATGGCTACTGGCTGTCTACCACATGGCTGTCCCAGGAAACAAAATTCCTCAAATGATAAGCCTCCCTGAGTATGTTCCAGTTTCTTTCTGTCCTGGGTTGGACTGTCCTAGAATTCCTGACTTGCATCTTTTATGAATCATTGTCAATTGATGTAAGAGGTGTCCTAAAATGGCTTTGAAAACTTCTTGACATATGTACTCCTCCCATCCACCTAAAGAACTATATTCCTGTGAGTGAGTGAGTGGCATTCATAAAATGACACAAAATTAGATAAGCTAAGTGCCTTCCTTCTAATTAAACATCCCTGGAATTGTCCCTGGAACATAACAGGTTTTGGCTGATGTTTTTGTCAAGAATTTGTCGATTTTGAAACATCTCTGGGCTCCTATTTGGGGTTGGTGTGAAACTGCCTTGTGTTGGCAATGTGAACAGCCCGATTTCCCAGCAGACGGCCTGGCAAGACACACAGGTGGCAAAGAACATGCCAATTCCTTTCTGCCCAGAAATTTTGTCACCTGTCTTCTGCCTCCCTCATGGCCATTATAGGTTTCTTTGCAACTTCAACAGCGTAATTTTGAAGGTAACTGAGGGAGGCTATTTGAGGGGCCTTTTCTTTTACTTTGTGCCTTCATTTGTAGTACTTATTCTTAAAAGACTGTTCTCTTACAGCAGAATAACTGGATTGTGTGAAATGTCTTAGGGAGATAATATTTGATGAAAGTAAAGTTAGTAGACACATAGGAATTTGCCTTTCATACCTCTTCTGGTTTTTTAAAATTTATTTTTAAATAGTGTACCAGAATACACACACATGCCCCACAAAGTGAGGAATGGTGTTCAGAATGGTTCTTCCAATTGTTTAGACTATTTTTGGAACTTCTCTTTTAGAATTGGCCTACAGAAGAGTCTTAACGCATATAAGCAAACTACAAATGCTCCTTGACTTACAACGGGCTTACATCCCAATAAACCCATCGTAAGTTAGAAATATGGTAAGCTGAAAATGTGTTTAATACACCAGATCTACCAAACTTCATTGCTTAGCCTAGCCTATCTTAAACATGCTCAGAGCACTTACATTAGCCCACAGTTGAACAAAATCATATAACATGAAGCCTATTTTATAATAAAGTGTTGAATATCTCATATAACTTATTAAATATTATACTAAAAGTGAAAAGCAAAATAGTTGTATGGGTAATTGAAGTATGATTTCTATTGAATGTGTGTATTGCTTTCATCCCATTGTAAAGTTGAAAAGTTATGTCAAACCATTGTAAATGAGAAGCTGTCAGTTGTCTCATTATTATATAATTGTACCTGGTTTTAATGAAAACCCTACTTTGATCACCTTATTTACCAGATTTGAAATCATTGAATCAGTCACAGCACATCAAAGCTGGGTGTAATGGTAGAAATAATTCAGTTTAACCTCCTTAGTTTCTGATGTGAAAATGAAGGTCCGGAGAACTTACTTGACTTGCCAAAGTTTACCAGCAAGTTAGCAAATAGCTTCCACCAGAATTCAACTCTAAGTGTCATTTGACTATTTATTAAAAATCAAATCTGTTTTTAAAGAATACATAAATGTCACCATGAAAGATATTAAAAACCAGCCATAGATTCTGAAGATGCTTCTGAAAGCAGCCCAGAAGTCCTTGGGGCTGTGGCAGGACTATTGTAAAAATTGTGTCTTTCATTTAAAGCAGTGTGTAGAGGGAAATTTATAGCACTAAATGCCCACAAGAGAAAGCAGGAAAGATCTAAAATCAACACCCTAAAAACACAATTAAAAGAACTAGAGAAGCAAGAGCAAACAAATTCAAAAGCTAGCAGAAGGCAACAAATAACTAAGATTAGAGGAGAACTGAAGGAGATAGAGACACAAAAAATCCTTCAAAAAATCAATGAATCCAGGAGCTGGTTTTTTGAAAAGATCAACAGAATAGATAGACCGCTGGCAAGACTGATAAAGAAGAAAAGAGAGAAGAATCAAATAAATGCAATAAAAAATGATAAAGGGGATATCACCACCGATCCCACAGAAATACAAACTACCATCAGAGCATACTGTAAACACCTCTGTGCAAATAAACTAGAAAATCTAAAAGAAATGGATAAATTCCTAGATATATACACCCTCCCAAGACTAAACCAGGAAGACGTTGAATCCCTGAATAGACCAATAACAGGCCCTGAAATTGAGGAAATAATTAATAGCCTACCAACCAAAAAAAGTCCAGGACCAGACGGATTCACAGCAAATTCTACTAGAGGTACAAAGAGGACCTGGTACCATTCCTTCTGAAATTATTCCAATCAATAGAAAAAGAGGGAATCCTCCCTAACTCATTTTATGAGGCCAGCATCATCCTGATACCAAAGCCTGGCAGAGACACAACAAAAACAGAGAATTTTAGACCAATATCCCTGATGAACATCGATGCAAAAATCCTCAATAAAATACTGGCAAACTGAATCCAGCAGCATGTCAAAAAGCTTATCCACCAAGATCAAGTTGGCTTCATCCCTGGGATGCAAGGCTGGTTCAACATACGCAAATCAATAAACATAATCCATCACATAAACAGAACCAAAGACAAAAATCACATGATTATCTCAATAGATGCAGAAAAGGCCTTCGACAAAATTCAACACTCCTTCATGCTAAAAACTCTCAATAAACTAGATATTGATGGAACGTATCTCAAAATAATAAGAGCTATGTATGACAAACCCACAGCCAATATCATACTGAATGGGCAAAAACTGGAAGCATTCCCTTTGAAAACTGGCACAAGACAGGGATGCCCTCTCTCACCACTCCTATTCAACATAGTGTTGGAAGTTCTGGCCAGTGCAGTCAGACAAGAGAAGGAAATAAAGGGTATTCAATCAGGAAAAGAGGAAGTCAAATTGTCCCTGTTTGCAGATGACATGATTGTACATTTAGAAAACCCCATTGTCTCAGCCCAAAATCTCCTTAAGCTGATAAACAACTTCAGCAAAGTCTCAGGTTACAAAATCAATGTGCAAAAATCACAAGCATTCCTATACACCAATAGCAGACAAACAGAGAGCCAAATCACGAGTGAACTCCCATTCACAATTACTACAAAGAGAATAAAATACCTGGGAATCCAGCTTACAAGGGATGTGAAGGACCTCTTCAAGGAGAACTACAAACCACTGTTCAATGAAATAGGACACAAACAAATGGAAGAACATTCCATGCTCATGGATAGGAAGAATCAATATTGTGAAAATGGCCATACTGCCCAAGGCAATTTACAGATTCAATGCCATCCCCATCAAGCGACCAATGACTTTCTTCACAGAATTGGAAAAAACTACTTTAAAGTTCATATGGAAACAAAAAAGAGCCCACATTGCCAAGACAATGCTAAGCAAAAAGAACAAAGCTGGAGGCATCACGCTACCTTACTTCAAACTATACTACAAGGCTACAGTAATCAAAACAGCATGGTACTGGTACCAAAACAGAGATATAGACCAATGGAACAGAACAGAGGCCTCAGAAATAACACCACACATCTACAACCATCTGATCTTTGACAAACCTGACAAAAACAAGAAATGGGGAAAGGATTCCCTATTTAATAATGGTGCTGGGAAAACTGGCTAGCCATATGTAGAAAGCTGAAACTGGATCCCTTTCTTACACCTTATACAAAAATTAATTCAAGATGGATTAAAGACTTAAATGTTAGACCTAAAACCATAAAAACCCTAGAAGAAAACCTAGGCAATACCATTCAGGACATAGGCATGAGCAAGGACTCCATGACGAAAACACCGAAAGCAATGGCAACAAAAGCCAAAATAGACAAATGGGATCTAAATAAACTAAAGAGCTTCTGCACAGCAAAAGAAACTACCATCAGAGTGAACAGGCAACCTACAGAATGGGAGAAAATTTTTACAATCTACCCATCTGACAAAGGGCTAATATCCAGAATCTACAATGAACTTAAATTTACAAGAAAAAGTCAAACAACCCCATCAAAAAGTGGGCAAAGGATATGAACAGACGCTTTTCAAAAGAAGACATTTATGCAGCCAAAAGACACATGAAAAAATGCTTATCATCACTGATCATCAGAGAAATGCAAATCAAAACCACAATGGTATACCATCTCACACCAGTTAGAATGGCAATCATTAAAAAGTCAGGAAACAACAGGTGCTGGAGAGGATGTGGAGAAATAGGAACGCTTTTACACTGTTGGTGGGACTGTAAACTAGTTCAACCATTGTGGAAGACAGTGTGGCAGTTCCTCAAGGATCTAGAACTAGAAATACCATTTGACCCAGCCATCCCATTACTGGGTATATACCCAAAGGATTATAAATCATGCTACTATAAAGACACATGCACACGTATGTTTATTGCGGCACTATTCACAATAGCAAAGACTTGGAACCAACCCATAATAGACGGGATAAAGAAAATGTGGCACATATACACCATGGAATACTATGCAGCCATAAAAAATGATGAGTTCATGTCCTTTGTAGGGACATGGATGAAGCTGGAAACCATCATTCTGAGCAAACTGTCATAAAGACAGAAAACCAAACACTGCATGTTCTCACTCATAGGTAGGAATTGAACAATGAGAACACTTGGACACAGGGCGAGGAACATCACACACCAGGGCCTGTCACAGGGCGGGGGGCTGGGGGAGGGATAGTATTAGGAGAAATACCTAATGTAAATGACGAATTAATGACTGCAGCAAACCAACATGGCATGTGTATACTATATGTAACAAACCTGCACGTTGTGCACATGTACCCTAAAACTTAAAGTATAATTAAAAATAAAATAAAAAGTAAAAATAAATTGTGTCTTTATGATTAAAAAATAAAGTATCTTCTTATTATTTAAAAAAAAATGTATCTTGGCACAGTGGCTCATGCCTGTAATCCCAGCACTTTGGGAGGCCAAGGCGGGTGGATCACTTGAGGTCAGGAGTTCAAGACCAGCCTGGCCAACATGGTGAAACCCTGTTTCTACTAAAAATAAAAAAATTAGCTGGGCGTGGTGGCAGGTGCCTGTAATCCCAGCTACTTGGGAGGCTGAGGCCGGAGAATTGTTTGAACCTGGAAGGTGGAGGTTGCGGTGAGCCAAGATTGCACCACTGCACTCCAGCCTGTGTGACAGAGCAAGACTTCATCTCAAAAAGAAAAAAAAAAAATAGTATCTCCATATGTAAGTTCCATTCTGTTTGTTTTAAAAAAATTTAGACTGTAATCATACCTTTCATATAGTTTTTTTGTTTTGTTTTGTTTTTCGCAGTGCTGGGATTGCAGGTGTGAGCCACTGCGCCCAGACTCATATAGATTTATTAAATTAGCAACAGAATAAAACTGTACCAGTTTTGAAATGTTCTTTGTCCTTCTCATTTCTCATGGAGTACATCTAGAGGGTGCTGCAAAGATCTCTAAACAGGATCTCCAGGTCTGAGGCAAGCTTGTGCCTGAGCTGCGCTGTCTGATGAGATGGCCAGTGGCACACATGGCTATTTAAATTTAAATTTTAGTTAGCTAAATAAAATTTAAAATTCAGGTCCTCAGTCGCACAAGCCATATTTCACATGCTCACAGCCATATTGAGCTAATGGCTAGTGACTACCATATTGGTCACCTCAAATATAAACATTTTCATCAACACAGAAAATTTTATTGATTAGTGCTCTTCTGGAATTCTTGTAGCCAGTATATGTATTTTAATTTACTGCTTATCTCTTACATTATTTATAAACGAGTTGAAAAATGGTGGCAAGTTTTTGGGAAAGTATTTTAAATGTTTTTTTTTTCTCTAAATGTTCCTAGCTATCTTGCTTGTTTAAGAAAACAGGAGGAAAAATTATTTTCACCCATTTTTAGAGCATGATTATGTGTGTGGAATTTATATCAATTGTCATGTCTGGCTGCTAAATTTTCTTGGAGTATGCTGAAGTTTTGGCAAAAACTTTGTTGATCCTGCCGAAGCTATTTGCAGAAAAGTCCAGCTAATTAAAATCCCTACGATGTCATAACACTTGAAATGAACCAACTTGGACGTAAGACAGTAGAAGTTGTCTTGATTTTATTCTGAATGGCCATTTTATTTGCAAAGACCTCAAATTACCTACCTAACTGCATTAATCCCAACATCAAGAATGAAAATCCCATATACCAACATGGAATGGTTAACTCTAAAGACTGACTTCAGGCCCATTTATTTGTAAGCTCTCTTGTTCCACTGTAAGCAGTTTGAGGGCAGGAACCAATCGTCAATGGCTTTGTAGGCCCCATGGTACCTCACAGAATGTTCCATCAGTACATTTTCTTTAAGTCTTATTTGAACAAATGAATGAGAATTTGATCTTGTCTTCTGGGAAATCATTGCATCTGAGAGCAGGCTCATGGTGTGCATAAAATGTGAATGCTTTGATTTATTGTGGAGTAGTATCTACTGAACTGACTACTAGGATTGAAATTTCTGTGTGGTTGTCACTCCTTTTGGTGACACTGTACTGAATGAAATAGGAAGCAATGAACTTCAGGCTCTCACAGAGGAAGGCTAAAGTACTTCTTATTCTATTTGAATTGCAGGAATCATAAATCTAGTTTTACAATAAAGATGAATTAGGAAAGCTACAAAATACCATAATAAAAATTGAAGTGGGTCAAAAAAATAAATAAGCAGTTTTTAGTATATAACATAAATCTATCACTAAGGCATACATACATAACTTTTTGTTTTTCTTTTCCATATATTATATGTAAAATGGCATCTCTCAGAGTAATGGGATTTCTTTGAAAACAGAATGGGTAAGTGTGTATATAATGACTCAGCTGGATCAGCTAGGTGGTGATCCTTTTAAACCACTGGCAAAATACCCCTCTCCAGTGAGATCCATTTTCCCTGCATCTGGTAAGTCTCATGCCATGTGTAAATGCTCACAGCTTGGTTTGCACCAGAAAAATTCTGTAGCTATAATGCAGTCCAGCTCCTTTACTTTTCTTTAAGAGTTTTTTAAAAAATTAGTTCTTCTTCCCAACTAGATGGATGTTGGAATCCATCTGATGGAATTTTTGCCAAATACTCACAGCATTTATCAAGTCCAGTGGCCTGAGGTTATGTGATACCTTAAGGACTTAGGAGAAAATAATTTTTTTTTCTGTCATGCAGTCCCTGGTGTTTGTCACAGGATAGTAAAAATGTCTCAATTGTTCATTTTTAGATAACAATCAACAGAGACAGTGGTGAAGATGTAAGCTCCCCCAAACACGGGAAGGAGGACCCAGACAACATGCCTCACGTGGGCGGCAACACTTGGGCTGGCGGAACAGGTTGGTAGCACAGGCATTCTCCTGAGTCAGCCTTCCCCAGGTTTCCCAAGCCCATTAGGCCAGCACATCGCCCCTGAGAAGACTCAGAGACGGGCTTTCCTTCTCAGCCTCCCTCATTACTCAGTTGGATTGTTGTCTTGCCCTCTGCCCCAGCGTGACATCAAGGCATGTGAAGAGCCTGGCATTTGGAGTCCCACAGGCTCTGCCACCCTGTGACCTAAGAACATGCTGACCCTCCTGGAGTTGCTTCATCAGTCAAAGGGGGATAGTGTGAACTACCTTAAATTGTGGTGAGGATTAAATGAGATTACGATTGTTAAGCACTGAGCACAGTGCCTGGCATGAAGAATATTTTCACTAAAGTGTTAATCCCTTCTTTTAAATTCCATGACCTTGGGATCATGCCAGAAATCCACAGTAAATTCTTTCTTCAGCAACTGACTGAAAAGAAATGGTCCTTGTCTTCCACATCTTCGAAGTACGTTGAGGATGCAAGATTTCGAGATAAGGCTGGTTGCAGTCTAAACCGATGGCCGACTCCTTCCTCTTGGCTGCCCAACTAGGGCATTGTTCCCAGGACTGCCGTCTTCCTTTTTCCTCTGCGGCAGCTGGAGCAGACACATCTGCGAGTCCACAGGAATAGGGCCAGACTGTGTGCGCACTGTCTGAGCTTATCTCACCATGAGGAGTGCTGGCAGGAGCTCTGTACTTCACCTTCCTTAGGATGGTCTGTGCCTCTTGGCCTTGACAGCCTCGGGAGGAAATGGGTTTCTCTGCTTAGACAATGTGCTATCAAATAGGCCTGTGGACTTCTTGCCTACTCTGTTTATTCATCAAGCATCAGCTTTAAAGTAAGGCTATTTTTAGAAATGTCCTTTGATCTGGAAGTTAGCGTCAAGCCAACAAGATTTAATCCATATGGAATGCATTGTGGGACGAGCTGGCCAGATGTGGTTTCCCAGCAGTGGACTACTCTGGGGGAGAAATTCCTATTTGTTACCAAACTTGAATTTACTAGCTCACGTATCTGTCCAGATTGAGGCTACATTTGTTTCACCTGGCTTTTAGTTTTCAATTGATCAAGGCTCCTTGGCTTCAATTTCTCTTTTTCTCTCTGCCATTCTTTTCCCTCAGAATTCTTTACTTTGAACTGAGCTCTGGCCCAACAAGTCATTTGATTCCCCTTTCTTCATCAATGCTCCTCCCTTGCCCACCCTCCCCATTATCTTCTGAAGTGGTTTGGAATGTCCAGGCTTATGCCCTGCAGTCTTAGAACCTCTGGTAAGCACTTTCATTTAAATAGTACAAATTAAAGGCTCTGGGAAGTGGAGATCATGAAGAGCACCTCCTGCTCCACCCCAGTGTGACTTTGCCTGGGGCCCTGCGACTCAGGTGGCCAGTCACTCACACCAGCTTCTGATGGTTCCACCACTTTCTCCCTTTCACCAGAATGATAACATCTCAGCACCTAGGAAGCTTTCAGCTCAAATTCATGATCCACCCATACTCAGGATACCCTCCTGTAGGAAAGGAGTTAGATCCCAGAAACACCTTTTCCTCCTATAGCTCATTGTCACTGTCCAGTTACTGTACCCCTCTGCCTATTGGCTGGCCATGAGTAAGAAATGGGAGTCACACACATCCCAGAAGGAATTTTCCACCACCCATTTCTAAATAAAAGTGAAATATGTTCCAATCAAAAGATTAAAGTAGTGTAATTAATAGGCAGTTCTCATGGTATTTCCCAAAAGGAAATGACCTACCTGGACTTTCATAAGGAAAGCAGTTCATATTGAGTTCTTGGTTTTAGTTTTGTTAGACCAGTTAAAGCTCAGTGGTAAGGTGGAGGTGGGGGTGGTGATGGTGAAAGAAAAATGTAACATAATTTACCCAAAGTCTAAAAGCCTTCAAATTTTCCACTTTATAAAACTAGAAATTGCCTAATTCTGTGTAACTAGGCTTTGTTTAATAATAATAGTAAAAGCAGTCCATTATATGGCTTTTATTATGTGCCAGATACTGCTCTAAGCATTTTAGCTTCATGACAATCCCATGAAGTAAATAATATTAGTATCCCCACTTTATAAAGAGGAGCCTGAGACACAGAGAAGTTAAGTAGTTCCCCAAAGATAAATGGCTGGTGGGTTGGAGCCAGGATTCAAACCCAGGCAGTCTGGTTTAACTATATCATAATATACTCTACAATAGCAGTGTATTATACTATACTGCCCCTCCAATATTGGATTCCCTTCTAAGTTCTCAAGTTATACGTGAATGAACAAAAGAAACAGGTTACTAGTATTCTAATCTACCCCTAAATAGGGGTAACAATCTTATAGCCCAAAGGCCAAATCTAGCCAACAGATGTGTTTTTTTCTCTGGTCCATGTAGTGTTTTAAAATAATTTCAATTTTCATGTATTTAGACAAGGTAAATCCTAAGTTAGCCAATGTCCCCACCACTTTTTATCATATGACCTACCTGGCCTTACAGGCATTTACAATATGAACAGTTCATACAATGTTATGTTATAAAACGTAATATGTATATGTAATATGTATTATGTAAACTTGAGTTTCTATTGAAAGACTGTTCTAAAGCTGATGGTGTTTATGTTATATATTGTTCAAACCAGAAGTCAAAGTTGGTGTAATAATTGGCTTCTAATCTTGGCTAAGCCAGTGATACGAGGTCCTGAATATGTCATTTAGCCTCTCTGTGCATTATTTTTATAATTTGCAGAACAGAAAAAAACAGTATTTATAGCTTAACTGTCTAGGTTTTTTAAGGAAAACTAAGGTAATATGTGAGGGAGGGAAACAGTTGTTCATTTAATTAGCAAATATATACTAAGTATCTATGATATTCAAACCACTCTTATAGGTGCGGTAGTGCAAAAGTAAATAAAATATCTCATCCATCATATAGTTGGTGAGAAAAATAAATATGAAAGGATAACAAATAGTACACAAGAGTATGGATCCTTATGAGGTAGCAGCATTAGCTAAGGTGTCATAGAAGCTGGAGTAAGCCTTGATATATAGGTAGTATTTTAATGGATGGGAAAAAGGAAAAGCATCCTAAACAAGAGAATACATCTTTTTCCAGAAGGTAATTTGACTGTTTAATTACTAGTTAAGTACAATTAATATCCTCCACAAGGCTGTCCTAAAACCATGACCCAACTTTTGTTCTGTGGTCAAGTTCAGATTTATCATCTGAATTTCCACGTTTTCCTTCCAGGGGGAAGAGACACGGCAGGCCTGGGTGGCAAAGGAGGCCCTTACCGGCTGGATGCAGGCCATACGGTGTACCAGGTCTCTCAGGCTGAGAAAGATGCAGTTCCCGAAGAGGTCAAGAGAGCTGCTAGAGAGATGGGCCAGAGAGCATTCCAGCAGAGGTCAGTGCTCCCATCACATTTAGACCAGCACTACTGCTATGGTGAAATGTCATGATGGACTGTGGGGAAACCTAGATTTGTGTGTGTTTCCACCTCCACCTCATGCAGCAACTCGGACCTCAAACTGAAATCCACAGCCATCCCCGTCCCTAACGGAAACAGCCAAATAAACAAAATCACCTGTTCTTTCTACTCAGGCTCCTTAAAATCTAAAGCTCAAATCGCCCCATCCATGTCTATCTGTTCCTAGGCAACATAGGGAATTCAGGTAAGTCTACACAATGGTCCCTTCCTGCCCTCAGAAATCTTGCAGATTAGTGCGGAGACAGGACAAGGGAACATACATACACACATGCACAGAGTTAAGTGCTAAAGTCATAGGGTGCGGAGGCTGTCCCCTCCAGCAGTGCAGAGAAAGGCAAGTTTAGTGGGCTGATGTGAGGTGGGGCCAGAGCTCAGCTAGGATTTAGAGATGGGAAGAGAAGAGCTAGGATATTTCAGAAAGGGAAAACTAAATGAGCAGAGGCACCAGGGCAGGATGAGCATAGTGTCTATGGAAGAGAGAGGCAGCTAGCCCACTCAGGATAATGGGTACCAGCTCGGGAGGAGGGACAGTGAGTTTGGATAGGGAGGCCTCATCAGTGAGTAGAGGCCTTAATCTAGGCCAGTGAGCCTGTGGCCCTCGGACATTCCCCAGCTGTTCTGGGCCACTACAATAGGAGCCATTTAAAAAATAAGAAGAATCCACATGATGTTACCCTAGACATCCACATGTGTGCTTCAACTAAAAGTGAAAAATACCAAAGAACCACCAGTATTTCCTTTTAGATTCCAGGACCTGGTAGTAGTTTGGGAAACAGATTTACATTTTTGTGCTGCATGAAAGGAGATGGGCGCAGTTAGAAAAAAGCATGCTAAAATGTATGAGTTATGAAATTCCTCCCACGTAGAACATCTGGTATTACATTACATGCTGTGCTTCCACATCCTGCAAGTAAACAGTACAGGACAATAGAGACAAGAATGCAGGCCCTGCCGCCACACCCTCAGGAAAGCCTGCCAGCTCAGACCCTCGAGGGTTCAGCAGGTAAATAACACACTTGATGCTAGAGGCAAGAGTGTTGCTCTCAGCCCTTCTGCTGGCTTCCCTGGTGACTGTTGACAGTTTATCTGTCCTCTTTGTGCCTGAATTTGCTCTTCTGGAAATAAAATTCACTCTCCCTTTCTCCCAGGGAGGTTATGAGAACAGGTAACTATGTTAGGAATGAAAGTGTTTATGCCTCTCAAAAAAGGGTAGAGAATAGTGTAGTGAACAGTCTTGTTAGAATGAAAGTTCTCTGCATTTCTTATGAATTATAAAGTACCCATTTAGAAAAAGAACTAAACAATTGGAAATGTGTCATTCTCCCCTCCGCAATTAATGAGTTCTGTTGTTGCCACCCTTAAAACCTGCCAAGTAATTGTTCAGTCTAATTTTTTGCCCAAGTGGACAGGTAGATAAGAGTGTTCTGGCACACACATAGTTCACAGGGAGGCAGAAAGGTAACAGTGCCTGGCCACAAGTATGTACGCCCTTCTCCTGTTGCCATAATAGGAGTAAGGAGTGTGGTTCTCTTCAGGACAATTGCCCTACAGGGGAAGAAGTAAGGGGCATCTGTGCCCTTAACGCAAATGAATTTAGCGGATGTAAGAGAGGAAAGAGAGGACATGGGGAAGGGATGAGGAAAATGTACACCTCTAGTAAATGCTGCAGAGAAGAGTCTCAGTTGAAGTAAAAGAGAATACCGTAAGGTGGTTGAAAGACAGAGGAGTTGGCCAAGCGTGTGAGAAAGGAGAGAAAGAAATAGAAACACATGGAGATCCTGAGAAAGATGGGGCACAGCAAAACACCAAGAGAAAGATGTTGCTTTCTACTTTCATGTAGAAATGGGACTTTCATCCCATTTGGTGAATATTTCATTTAATGCTGCTGAAAATTTTTCAACCTTTTACTAGGAACTTTTCAAACATAAAAGTTGAGAGGAACATATAATGAATGCGATGGACCCGACCCCCCAACTTCAAGAGGAAAACTCTGGCTCTACTCCTAGTCTTCTCTGCTGGCTTGTTTTGAAGCTAATCCAAGACTTCTATCATTTCATTGTCAATATTTCCAAGTGTATCTGCATAATATAAAAACAAAAAAATACAAACTCACAATACTATTATTAAGTCTTTAAAAAGTAATAATTCCTCGCTATCATCAAATAATAGGTTTTAAAACGGTTTTGCCACTTAGGCATATGCAGAATGAGGTCGGTTCCCACCATTGATGCTTTTATGGCATCCTGTACCTTTTCTCCACAACTCTTATCACTCTTTCCCGTTATGTGATTTGTGTGAATAATTGGTTGTCTCTCCTCTGACTGTAAGTTCCTGGGGGGCAGGCATCCATCTGTTTTGTGCTCTAGTATAACCCCAGGACCTACACCAAGAACCTGGTATGTAGCAAACCTTCATATGTATTTGTGGAATGAATGACACACACGTGCATACAAGTAATGGAATCATCCTTTAGTACTTAATTCAGAGACTGGCTGAAACTAGGCAGTCCTAGCTGTGAGCCAGAAAGTTTGTGTAGTGCCTTGGAGAGCCTAATGCTGCTAAGTGGGTTCCTGACATCATCAACACAGCATTTTGATAGCATCTGTTTATATCTGGTTTTAAGCTAGATACCAGCCCTTACATATCAAGAATGTATTAACTCAGGCAGACTAACAGAGAGAGACAAGCATAAAACATGAATAAAATAGAACAGAAACATTATACCAGTGAAAAGCAAATGAAATAGACAATGAGGTACATGTACACACTTAGAAAAGCGTCTAGGGTAGGCACCAGCTGTGGAGATTGCATCCACTACCATTTGCAAAACTAATCAGCCTCACACAGTGGATCTAAGCTTATGTTTGTTTTCCTTATAATTGATTCAAAATTATAGTATTTAAGTGTGACCTATAAGAAAAAGTAAAATGAGAACTAAAATTCCCAGACTCTTACGTAACAATAAATATAACCTTTAAAAATATACTGTGCCAACAAAATGCAGTTAGTCCACAAAGATTACTAGGATGTGAAGCAGCTGTGCCCTGCAGTTTTGATCAGGGTTAAAGAAGCAGAAAGATATGTTTCCAGCTAGTTTTGTGGGCCTGAGAGTATTAGCAATGGGTACCTCATTTGATCCAGAGGCTAAAATTTCTTTTCTTTCTACATCCCTTGCTTCAGTCATCATCTTTCAAAATTTATCAGCTTTGATTGCCTTGTAGGTGATCTTTCTGAAAACCGACACAATCTGGAATATGGTTTCCAGATTTCTTCATAATTAAAACAGCATGTGGTGTGTTTTGGGTGCAACATGATCGCACCAGTGGTAGGCCTATAACTGAAGCTAATTCTGATCACTCTGCAAAGATCAGTCTGCTCGAGGTGGCTTACCAAATGGCTAGCTCCTTCCTTGATATGTTTGTGTGTATGTATGTACATATGTGTTTTTATGTGTGTATATAGGTTTGTATTTGTGTATACACCTACAACCCATACCTCCAACATTGCATGTGTGTGTGCGTGCACACACACACACACACAGTAGTTTAGAAGATTGTGTTGTGGTTAGGCTTTTGAGACGTATGTTCATTATTCCCTGTCCTAATATCAGTACCTTTTATATTTATAGAAGTATATGGCATATTACCTAACATATAATGGATGCTGAAAATGAATTGAATGGCTGAAATAAAAATACAACTCAGGATTATTTAAAATGCAGCATCTTAAACTAACTGTAAGTAGAAAGTTCATTTGCTGGGTGACCTCTCTTGGGTTTTACAGAGTCGTATCCATAATGCGCTAATTTAATCACATATTTCTATATATTCTCTCCTCCATCCCCTCCCCACCCCACAGACAGCTGTGTCTACATTTGTTTCTAATCAGTGCTAATCTCACTTATTTGAGAAGAAGCATATTGACATATAAACACACACCGGTTTAGGTATGAAGGGGTAGGTGGCATGTCCTGCATTGTTCATTGTGCCCAGCTTCTGTCAGCCTTGATACTTGAGACATAACTTAATCTAATAAAAAGTCATAGAGAGATTTCAGAGACTGCCAGAAACTAAATACAAGAGGTATTGTCAGGAGGTCAAGTTCTATACACATATTTCTTTTTATTCTTCAGGACTGAGAGTTAATTAGATTTAGAAAGGCACCTTGGCATGTCACCTCAAGATACAACCATTCAGATATTATAGTGGCCTTGTCTGTATTTACCTTTTAATAGTCACTGTTTTCAAAGTGCCATCCAGCAGCACTTATTGAGTGCCACTGTGTGCCAGGCAGGTATTGTGGTAGGTACTGGAAGTTCAGTGGAAAAATAGAACATGGTCCTTCTCCCTGAGGAATAGAATAGAAAACATCAGAGTACATCCCATGTAATAAAAGTATTTTTCATTAAATTTTTGGTTCAGTTATCCTATATACATACATGCATTTGTGTATACAAGATCTCAATGTAAAACATTTCCTACTATGGAAAGAAAAATTTGAAAACACCATAACAGAGGGCAACAGGCCTATCTATTAAAGCAATAAAGTATGCGAGTTTCATGGTAGATGTCTGTATAGGGCACATGAAAAGGGAATGGCCAGCTTTATGCAAGGGCTCAAGCAAGACTTCAAAGGATGTGGACTTTGAGCTAGATCTTGAAACCTAAGTGGGTATTATCCAGTGGGGTGATAGGGCAGGAATGTCAGTCTGCCCCATGGTAGTCTAGGCCTAGCATTACATAATTGTAATAAGCCTCTGGCGCTCTCCCCCATGGTGAATGGATTTTTCCCAGTGCTCAACCTGACAGGGAGGAATACAGAACATTTATTCTCATTCAGTATTTGAGGTTTCTGTTTTAGCTCAAGGTGATAAAAAATACACATTAGATAAGAGTTTCAGCAATACACCTAGGATTCATATCTCCAACATTGCATGCATATACATAACACACTAGTTTAGAAGATTATGCTATGCTTGGGCTTTTGAGATATGCACTTATTATTCCTTGTCCTAATATCAGTACCTTTTATATTTATAGTAATTTATAGAAATGTATTATTAAGTTAATGTATTATGGATACAACACTGTAAAACCCAAGGGAGTTCACTCTGAACTTTCTACTGACGGTTTAAGATGCTGCATTTTAAGTAATGCTGAGTTGTATTTTTATTTCAGTCATTCATTTCTACTTATTTTGAGCACCCATTATATGTTAGGTTCCATGCTAGGCACTGTAAAGATAAAGATGAGAAAGACTCAGCCCTTACCTAAAGGAGTATAGAGCCTAGTTGGGGAGACAGGAGGCAGATAGTTACAGCATGGAGAGCAAATTCTCTGAGGGAGGAATGAAGTGAGATAAGAGCACAGAAGAAAGACCCGGGGATCAGAGCAGACTTCCTGGAGGAGGCAATCATTGACTTGAGTCTTGAAGAGTAAGTGGGAGTTATTAGGCAAAGTCAGGGGAGGGACACTCCAAGTGGGAGAGAAGCACTTGCAGGGCATGTGATGTGTACGGGGAGCTTCTAGTGTGCTGGTGGGGCTTCAGTGAAGCAAATGATAAAAACTGATAAAAAGGAGCAGCATACTGGGAAGATAGAATTTCAAAGCCACAATAATATTAAAATACAATTGTCCTGTTTAAATTACACTGTCAGCAATTTTAGAAAACTCTCACATAGGGATACATAGCAGCACATTAACTTACATTCTTTAGGCTTGAACTGTTATCTTGGTCAACCAAATACATGATCTCGATCTTAAAAAGCAACCCATGGGAACCCTCTTAGGAATCTGCCACATGAACTGATCGGCTGCAAACATCACAATATGGCTTTGGGATATAGCAATGGTGTGTACCACAAAGCCAATTCATACTGGCTCATGAGAGTCAATTGTGCACATTTTTTTCCAACTCACTGTTCATAGCTTGTAACTGATCATGGTGGCAATGTTTACATCATGGAAATCAGCAAACACTACAAATCTAGGACTTTTTTCTTGTCCTAGTTTGTTAACCATTTACTAGCACACTACTGGATGTTACCTCCTTTGAATCTGGAAGCACAGCTGGAGACATCACTTCTTGCCTTTTCTCCTCAACATGAATCTGAGTTTCCAAGGAGTTTGCTAAAGTTCCAGCAGGAGGCGAATGGAAGTAAAAACCCACATATACGTGATTTAAGCTGTTAACTTTTTATACTCTTCTGATTTCAGGCTAAAGGAGATCCAAATGAGTGAATACGATGCTGCAACCTATGAAAGGTTTTCAGGTGCTGTTCGGCGACAGGTGCACTCCCTCCGAATCATCCTGGATAATTTACAGGTAATCTTCTACTTATGGACCAAGAAAATAACCTGGGCCCAAACCTGGACACATTCCTAAAGTCTTGGAGAAAATTATCTGAACCCTAATTAGCCAGTCCGAAAAAATGTCTCAGTGTGAAAATGTCTGCATAAAACTGGACTATCCCATGGCTTTCTTTTTGATCATCCAGTGTATGTATTCTGTATGTCCCCTGTCTCCTCCTCTTTCTGCCCTCCCCTTGCTTTCACATTGCCTGCCCTTTTGCAGTTTCACAAAGCTCTCAATGCTGAGGAACAAGTTGGTACTGCTACTCCTCCTGAAAATATTAAGACACTTCAGTATTTCCTAAGCATGACTATTGTTTGGAGATTTCAAATTAGAAATTGTGCTCTGTGGTCAGTTTGCACAAATAATTTAGGAGGGGCTGAGTGTTCCTTAAAATCAGAAACAAAATCAGATTTTTTGTCTAAAGAGAAAGCAAAGCCTCATTTCAGGACAAAGGAAGAAGGTTGGGAGCCAAGCTGTGCCCTGTTTCTCCATTCTACTCTGGAATCTTGTGTTTCTTTTCCATGAAGTATTTCAAGGTGATTGCCTTTCCCTTTTTGGTTCTTATTTGTAATTGTCCTTCTGGGGGAAGTTTTATTATTTTTGCTAAGTATTGGGGATTAGAACTTCTGTGATGCCGTTTTTAATCCACCATTTTAACCCAAAACTCTGGAAAAGCCTTATTTTTTCAAAAGATCTAATCCGTATCCAGAGATTAATAAAAGTTCTGTCATTTCCAGGAGGAAAGATCTTTATAATAATTAAACAGATGTCTAATTTCAAAATCCAAGAAATGTAAAAATTAAACCATGTACTTTAAAAAAAATCTATATGCAGTTATTTAGGATAAAACAGCATAAGATTTTATATAAACTATATGTGAACAACATGATATTGAATGATTGGATCTTCTTACATAGTCACTCATTTGACAAGTGTTCCTTTCCCTGGACATTGAGAGCACCAGGACACTGCCAGGTTGGCTCTGAGCTTCAGGGTAAGGCAATAGTTGGCTAAGGGCCAAAATGGATGATTCAGAGGAGGTGAGAGTAATGGGAGATGGTGCCTATCCTAAGACTTGAGAATGAGTATGGTTCAGTGATTCACTCACTTCTTAAGTTCTCGATGCACACCAGGCATTAGAGATAGAAAACTAAGATACATCTTCTGCCTTCAAAGAAGGGACTCAAAGTCAACTAAATTTCCTGAGTTCTGTAGAGAATTTTGCACACAATGCTATGAGACGAAATGAGGAAAGGCTTCATGGAGAATGTAATGTTTGAATTTACTCTTGAAAGATGCTAAGGAATTTCCCATGTGCTTAAGGAGTCAGGGCATGTCCAACAGAGGAAGCAGTATGCACAAGTGCACAGAGGTATAGGAGAGCACAGTGAGTTCAGAGAAGGACAGAGTATTTGGTATGGCTGAGAAAAGCACACCCTGGTGGGAGACAGTGGCAAGAGAAGAGGCTGCCAGAGTCGTAGGCACCAGATCCTGAATAGCCCTGGATGCCACAAGAACAGGTAGACAACATTGAGTCCTACCCTGTGGGCAGAAAGAGACCCTTAGAGGATTCACAGTGCTACAAAGGGATATAAGAATACATTTTTAATTGAAGGTATCAGATTCCTCATCTGGTATTAGTTGATGTCTTAATTGGTATTTGTTGAGGACTATGCTATAGTTGCTTTTACAAGCACTATCACATTTAATCCTCAGATCAGTGCTTTAGATAAATGGTATCATGTTTATACAATCAGCCAAAAGATGAAAAGTCAGGTCCACTGCTCTGACTTCTCACAATCACACACAAATGAAGCCTTGGTTAGAATTAGAGTTAGCATCAAGGAATGGCTCTTCCACTAATCACCACAACAGTGAGACCAGTATCGGAAAACAGTGTCCAGTTTTGCTTTCAGCTTTCAAAGAGGAATGAATGAAAACTCTGAAGGTCTCAGGTAAAAGCAACAAGTAAGATTAAATGCATGGAAAACAAAGTAGCACCCATTTTTTAAAAATCCTTAAGGGGGTTGGAGTCAATAACTTACTAAATATCCTCAATGAGAGTAATTATTTCAGGGGAGTTTTTATTATCTTCCTCTGTGGAGATCTAAAAAGAGAAAATAGGCTTAACTAATACCAAGAAAGAGTTTTAAGATATAGGAAAGAAGATAAAAGCAATTTAATCCTTGAATAAGTAGCTAAAATAGATGTAGAACTTCCGTCTTTAGAAATCTTTACAAACAATACCAGCATTATAATAATAGCAAGCATTTACTGAGAATTTACCATGCACCAGGCATTCTACTAGGTGCTTTACATCGTCATTGTCACCAAGATCACCTCCATCATTATTGTCATTCTCTGCAGCCAGACAGCCTGGGTTCTGTAAAATGGGAATGACAGATACCAGTATGTTAGTGAAGAACTCAGATGATATGCTTAAACAATGCCTAGCATGCAGCATTCTCTATAGAAGGATTCACTTCATTGTTACCTTCATTGTACTTGCTAAGATTTATCAGCCTGGATTACAGGCCAGGTACCCAGTCAGGTACTTTACATTCATTGTGCTATTTAACCTCTACAGAAACCAGTATGTATAATTTTCTACATTTGATAGATGAGGAAACATACATTGTGTCAATTCTCATAATCCTGTGAAATATTGGTTCCATTTTTGCCATCTTTTGCCCCCGCTTTATAAATGAGAGACCAGAAGATTAGAAAGATGGTGTAACCTGTCCTGGGCTGTATGGCTAGCGAGGCAGGTGCGGCCCAAAGCTCAGTTCATTATTGTTTGTTAGGGTCTCTTTTCTCTTTTTCCAACTCAACAATTCCATAAAAAGCATATGCTTACATATACTCATAAAACATTTTGCATCATTATCCAAATGCCAACACAGCATTTTTCAAGTGTTTTCCTTATTGAATCTATTTTTAATCCATAGGGGAGTTATTCTCAGGTGGGCCTTCTAGTCCTCCATTTAGGAAGATAGGGCTAGTTTAAAACCTAGCTACTCACCAAGCATGGACACGGCCTTGTGTAGAATATGGAACTTTAGATTGAAAACAAAGCAAGGAACCTTTGATTTGGTCCCATTTTGCCATCTTCTGCCAGTCCTGTGTGGCTCCAGTTGACTAATATCTTCCAGCTGTTTTGAGGTTGCTATGTAATCCAAGTAACCATGGGTGTTTCCTTGGTGAACGGCACAAAGTTTGGCCAGGAACTAGCAAATCATCACTTGAGATGACTTTCCAAAGCACAGCCTCAGGCCCACTCATTGATTCCAGGTGGGATTTGAGGAGCAGGAAATGCTGTTGCCACCCATGTTAATGTCTGCTTTAACATGTGCCTATGTTGCAGTACATGTCTTTCCTCTCGATTAAGATAGCTATCACCGGTGACTTTCCTTGGCTTCTTTGAGTTATTGAACCTTTTCCCTTTTGTGAATCGATTGCATGAATCTTCTCATCAGTCCATAAATACTTCAATTATACTTGGTTCAGAATCTCAATCTCTTATTGCACCATGCATGCTCTAACAAAAGAAAACATCCATTCTTACAAAAAACCACTTGATTTTAATCATATCTTCTCTCCAATGTTTTTCTGATCTATAATCATAATTTCATTCTCAGGCTAAACTAAATTAACCTTTCTCTGATTGCTTTGGCTAGCATGGTATCTCCATGAACAAACAATTATGTTCCTTTTTTCCCCTGTGGTGTTTCAAAATAAGCTTTTGTTCAGATAAATAGTGCTTTGAACACTGATTGTGTAGCACACACTGTGTTTGGCACTGAGGGCACAGAGATTGATAAGATAGTGTCCCTGTACTAAGAAAATTCTGGGCTTGAGGGGCAGAGAAGGCAGACACCTAAAGATCTCATTCCATTTAATATGGTAAGTACCTAGGTAGAGGGAAGCTTAGAATGTGGTGGAGCTCAGAAGAAAAGGATTCAAGGATAGATTTTGAAGGTAAGGGTACATGAGCTGAGTCTTGAGGGACACACAAGTATTAACCAGACAGAGAAGGGTGGAAACAACGCCCCAGAAGAGGGCACAGCACAGACAGATGCATGACACTGTGTGGTCTCAGGCATGAGCTGAGAGCTGGTTCTATCTTCTTTAGGAAGTTTTGTAGCCATGGAGGAGAAAGTTTCAGAGACAAGAGAGGTGGAAGCCAGGAGATTAAATCATGAAACAGTATCAGTTATTCGGGTGAGAAGTGATAGGCACCTGAGCCAGCGTAATTGAAATGAAAATGGAAAGAATGAGACAAATTCAAGAAGCAATTTGGAGGTAGGACAAAAAGACAAGTGACACTGAATGCGAGGGAAGGGAAATGGGAGGTTTTCAAGCCCTGGAGGACAGAAAGAGACACAGGAAGAGGACAGACTTGTGAAGAAAGCAGATGTTTGCTTTGGATGTTATAGTATGTTTTCTCACTATTGGGACACCTATGTAAAAATATCAAGCACGATGTTTAAAGTTTTCAAAACCTGAATTTGGAGTTCAGGAGCAAGGTGAGGACTAGATAGGGTTTCATGTTTATATGGCTATCTGTATATGTATTTTTGTGGTCATCTGAATAGAGGGACAGCCCAAGCCAAAGGAAGATGTGTCAACTAAGGCAAGAGTGCAGAGCAAAGAGAGGGGAAGGGTGAGAACAGCCGAGTCAAGGAACGTCTACATGTCACAGGAGAGCAGCAAAGTGCCAGTTACTCTTTCTTAGCACATCATGAATGGCTCATCACTCAAGACATGGTGTCAGTGTCCAAGAGAGGACAACTTCATCCAGGTGCAGCCTAGAAATATAGTCCTGACTTCTGGGCTGCATGACTATGGGCATCTCTAACTCAGTCTTTGCCAGGTGACCATTAAAATTATTTAAGTAGTCAAAACCTTTACATATTGAAAACCCCACGTCAGGAGAAATTAATGAAGAGCGCTAGTGACACGCAAACAGCTTTGAAGAATTTTTGCTAAATATACTTTGTTGGGACGCCTCTCAAAGACAACTTGAAAACCTTCCTGAGAAATAGCATTATTCATGAGTAACTGCATGAGAGCTAACAGAATGTCACTAACATCCCTTGATTAGAAAGGCAGGAAAAGAAGAAAGAGCCCTAGAACTGGTGAGAAGCAGATCACTTGACCTCCATTTTGTTACTGCCATGCAAAAGCGTTTGAAAGCAGCAGCGCTAGGGAGGCATGGTTGTGGGGGAGGTCTAGGTTTCATGCAGTGGCTACAAGCAGGAAGCTGAAAGGGGAATAGCCCTGGAAAAAGGCCAGACCAGCCCCAACTTATACTTGGCTTGAAGACTAAATCACAAAGGAGCCAAATGCCCAAAGTTGGCCCCATTGCAATGGCTTTTCCAAACAAAATAAGAAATGATGTGGTGATGAAGTTCTCATGCTGGGACTGTCCGCAGTTTCAATTCCTTCCCTGCTGGCATTGTAGATTTAGTTCAACCAGTTTAAAACCTCTCAAGAAGAATTCTAGTAGAAACTAAGTGGAAAGTGAATGCAACCAAGGAGCATCTGTCCAATCTGTTCCTCAACAGTTTTGTATCTCATCATTCGAGAATAAGGACACAGAAAACATAAAATAACATGGGATATATGAAAAGGTTGTGTACTGAGGTGGAATAACAAGCATTTAAGATATAGAAGATGCTGCTGGGATAGAATATTCTTCAGAAAACAAAATTTTTAGAAAACATCTGCTTTGTGTTCTCACAATTCAAAGAAATTTGAAGTATGTGAAATAAGACATAAATTGAAAAGTATCTGGCTAAGAAGCAAGCAGAAATAATAAGGGAATTGAATGCAATAAGGAAAGATAAGAAAACTAAAACTGCACTACCAAAACTCAAATCTACATGAAAAGTAGAAAGAACAGACTCCATCCAGTCTTAAGTCTAAGTAGTAATGTGAACAAAAAAGTTGAAGTTATTCCAGAGGAAATAAAGGGGTAAAAACCATAAGAAAGCTAATTAGTAAAAACAAAGTAGAGAGCTGACATACAGAGCCCTGAGTCGTCCCAACAAATAGAACAGTACATGAAACATGGTAAGTGCTTAGTAAACATATGCTGAATGAACAAATCATATCCCTGTAGAGGAGGCCACTGAAAAATATTCATAAACAATAACCAAAGTAGTAACAAAACCGTACCCAGCTGAAGAAAGGCCTAAGTCTATGGATCAAAAGGACTTTACTAAGTACCATGCAAAATTAACAAAGAGAGAAGCACTCAACACAGCTTCATGGAATTTTAACATTTCAAAAATTAAAAAAAAAAAAATCCTAAAAGCAGAGAAGCAGTTGAAAAACAAGCTATTGTCAGAGAAAGAAAAATTAATTTTACATTAGTTGTCCCTGAAACCTTGAATGCCACAGGATAGTGGAACAAGGTCTGCAGGATTTTGAAGAGACAATTCTTGTGACCCAAGAATTCTGTGCACAGCCAAAGTACAAAGGTGACAGATATTTGCAGATATTCAGAGGCTTAAAATGTCTCTTAAGCACCCTTTTAAAAGATAACTTTGAAATAAATATATATATTTGTATAAATACTCTAGTCAATTAAGAGAGGAATCAAAATTCCTTAAGAATGGGAACCTTGTGATATAAAAGGACCAGCAATGAGCATTAGAAGCAGTTCAACACAAAATCAGGTCTAAATAATTGTGGTAAATATATTTTTTAAAAACTCAAATATCAAGAATCATTCTTTTTAAAGGTATACAATATTAAAAATTATGAATTTAATAAACAGGGCCTAAATTCTCATATTAGTTTTAAAATTAAACAAAAATCAAGATTTTTGATTCTGTTGGTTTTTGGTTAGTTAAATTGGTATAGAGAAGGAATAGAAGAAAGTAAAAGTGTAACAATTTATGTTACATATGGGAGAGGCAAATAGCCTCATTCCTGAAAATCATAAGGGAAATATAAGTTCAATCATGCTTTTTAAAGACTTAAAGTTAACCGTGCTCGTTCTTTCTAATATAGTTCTTACAAATGACAATATATTTTATAAAAATTCCTCTGATTGCTATGTGAAGAAGGAACTGTACAGGAAAAACCTCTTTGGAAAACTGTTTAAAACTGAAGGAAGGAGACCATTTAGGAGGCTGCTGCAGTGCTCTAGGGGAGAGAAAATGAGGACAGGACTAAGGCTAGGCATGGAGATGGTAAGAGATGGTCAAATACTGCTGGGAGTTGAGAGGATTTGCCCTTGGATTGGGTGTGGATGTAAGGGAGTCAAAGATGACTCCTCAGTGTGGGGCCTGAACAACTGGAAGAGTGGGGTTGCCTCTTGCCCTTCACTGAGATGGGGGAGGACTTAGAGAGAACAGGTTTTCTAGGGTGGAATCCAGGGTTGAGTTTTAAACTTGTGAAGTATAAGATGCCTGTTATGTTTGCACACCGAGATGTTCCCAGCTCCTTTTAATTACAAAATATTTAATTCTTGAAGGAAAGACCTGAAATAATTTTAGTTCATAAAAAGTGACTATAGATAGTATAGTGTTACTCAACATAATGATTTAGTTCCACATCACCATCCAAGAATATAAACTCTTCTAATGAGAATCACCATAGATGATTCACCGTTTTCCTTTGCAATGAGATATTACTTCAAGAAACATGAATCCCTTAGAATAAGGTACATATCTCCTCTTTTCTTTCACTATTGAGAGCACCTAGGAACCTAAGCAGATATTTAGTAAAATATTTTTAATGGCTGTACCAATATGTTGAGAACCACAAAATAAAATTTTGTGTTTCCACTGATTAATAGTTTATCTTATAAATTCAATATGAAAGTTTTCCTTAATCCAATAATTATTTGTTTGAGTCATACACATTTGTAGCATAAAAATATATGTTGGTTGAGCATGAAGAGATGTTAAAATAATGGGAGCTAATGTTTAATAAGAGAATCGCTGTTCACAGGTACCCTCTAACATCATTTACAGTTATTCATTCACCCAACAAATATTTCTTGATGATCCTGTAGGCTTTATTCTGTAGAATGTATAAACTCTCTATAACAATTGCTACTTAAGTCTTTTTATTCTCTTCATTAAACAAATTCTGAAGGACTAATATAAAATTGGCTTGATTATAGAGTTTGTAGGTAAAAAAAAAGTCTTGATTAATCATAACCCAAATAAGCAAAGATATAAGATTAATCAGAATGATTTCAGTGCTGAAATCATAAGACAAAGTGTCACAAACCACAAGATGATTGGTTTTTGTCAAGTTTATTTATTCTGTCTTTAGTGCTACAGATGTGTGTGTGTGTGTGTGTGTGTGTGTGTGTGTGTGTGTGTGTGTACTTTCTGGTTAAGCAAGTATTTCCTGGAAAATGAATTAACCAGAATACATCATTCTCTGAGTATTTCAGTGAGTCTAAGTATTCTTTGTGTGAAAGTAATAAAATTATATTTCTTTTTCAGAAAGTCTGTAACATAGACTTTTTACTAATGCAACCTCACTTTATATATAATGAACTCTCATTAGTGTGAATTTATGTATAATACAAAACAGATGGACATATTTACAGGGATACTTTACTTCATGCAATAGGAATATATAACAAAGAACATGTTTGGCCTTTTATTATAAACAAAAGCATATATTTAAATGCAGTAGGAGCTGTTTCAAGAAGTATTTCACTAAGTCTCATAAAATACAGAAGGCTTTATATACACAGTCCAAAACAGTAAATATTTTTATTCAGCCTTCAGTAACTTTCTAAAGAGCTCCCCCTCCAGCCCATTGCCCCCAAGAGCATTCATTCTGACACCTCTTCCTGTTTTAAGTTTCCAAGTATTTGTGGGCTGGCTAGAGGATAGAAAATCAGATTTCTACCCATATTTATCTGCAAGTTACATACTTGAAAACTAATGAACAGTGCTACTATTATAAAAATGTCTTTGTGCCTAATAGTTTTGACTCAAAAGGCTGATACATATGTTTAGTTCTCAAGAACAAAAACTACTGGTTCATGTTCCTAAAAATATCAATGACAAGCAGTACCAAAAGTAATTAATTTATCTGCAAATAAAAATAAAAATGAAGGAGTATACTGTACACCAAAAGAATGGCTAAAAAAATTATTTTAAGCTGTCAATATCAAGTGTTGGTGAGGACAGAAACAAATGAAACCCTTATACTCCGCTCACAGGAATGTAAATTGGGAAAACCACTTTGGAAAACTGTTCATCAGTATACGCTAAAGCTGAACATATCCATACTCTGTGACCCAGCATTTCCACACAACGAAATATGCACATACCTGCTCCAAAAGACATGTTCAGTTATGGTGGCATTATTTTTAATAGCCCCAAACTGAAATCAGCAGAATTGTAGAATGGGTAAATTGTGACAAAGTCATACAATGGAATACCGTTGCAGCACAAAAGAGAATAAAGTTCTGCCACACACAACATGGGTAACTCACAGAGATAATGTTGAGCCACACAAGCCAGAAACAAAAGAGTATATATTGTATGATTTCATATTTATAAAGTTCAGAAACAGGCAAACTTAATTTATAGTAACAGAGGTCAGTATAGGAGTTACCTTTGGCAGGGAGAAGGTAATGTCCAGAACAGGGCACTGGGAGGCTTAGGCGGTGTGGATGATTAAGATTGTGTGTTTACTTTGTAAAAGTACATTCTTAAGATTTGTATACTTTATTACAAGTACTTAAACTTGAAAAGTTAACCCCCAAAAAGAAAGAAAAAGGCAGCAGATTTATTGGAAAAAGTGTTTCCCTCTCCCTTACTCTCACTGCAAATTTTACCAAGTCCTTTTCTTTTATTGGCATATGTAATGGAAACAGTCTTCAAGCTAGAGAGTACCTTAAGGGCAGATAATCATTATGGGAAAAGAAGCAATATCAGCACAAGAAAATTAAGACCTAAAATCCCTGGATTCTTGCATGATGGTGAACAAAACTGAGAGTTACATGTTTTGCTTAATTGCATTACATATCACAGAAAATGTAACAGCTTTCCTTGAATTTTTTGACAGGGCCTAATAGTCCTTCATGGTACTTGAATCAGTCTTCTCAACTTCGTCTAGTTTTAAGCATTCTGTGATCTATTTCATGAAATGTAGCGGTTTCTCCCTCTTTAATTGCATGGCCTGGGACATGCAGTCCTCTAGGAATTTGTCTTCCCAACAAATTTAAACCCAAATTCTTCCCCTTGGGGGAATCTTGCCTTTGTAAATCTTATTGGAAGTGTAGTCATTTCTGCAGCAAAGAATCTTGCTTCGCTTATAGTGTATTTGCATCCTAATGCTCCATTTCTTTGCTCATTATTCTAATTTTCTATATAGTGTAATGTTTTTGAATTGTTTAAGATAATAGTTAGGAATTTTAACCAAAGTTAAAAACAAACCTCAGTTATCAATGGAAATAATTCCGTGAGCTGATGCCTGCTATGCTCCGCCAACATCAGCTGTGTGTCCTCCAGCTACAGCAACCAGGTCACAATTAGTCCCTCTACCCGTCATCTTGACAACTTTTTTTTGCCATCAACTATAAGATATATTCTGGTTTTAGAAACACCAAAATAAAGAGGACAGTAGAATTATTAGTTAGAATTTTAACATTTTTTATTTTCTCTGTGGTAAGATGGTGGGGTTTAAATTTATTTTTACTACAGTTGTGACCTGCATTAGAAATCACAAAAATTAGCTCACACCCATAGTCCCAGCACTTTGGGAGGCTGAGGTGGGAGGATCACCTGAGGCCAGGAGTTTGAGACCAACCTGGGCAATATAGCAAGATCCCCAACTCCACAAAAATTTAAAAATAAAAAATTAACCAGGTGTAGTGGTACATGCCTGTAGTCTCAGCTACTTAGGAGGCTGAGGTGGTAAGATCACTAGAGCCCAGGAGTTCAAAGTTCAAGGGTGCAGTGAGCTATGATCGTACCACTGCACTCCAGCCTGGGTGTCAGAGACCTTGTGTCAAAAAAAAAAAAACAAAAATTACAAAAATGACAATCTATAGCCATTACAGTGGCTCTTTACATGGTAAAAGCATCACTGGTTAATAAAACCATGTAGCAGCTAATGGGATTGGGTAGGGAGTCCTTGGGGTCATTGCCTTCTCAATGTATTTATGAAAACTTGGAAAATCAATGCTTCATGATGACAGTGCCATGGCCAATAAGTAACATGTTATATACAATTTCATTCCAGTTCTAATCCCACATTTCTCTTAAACCCGGCCCAAGAATCCAAGTTCCATGCCACTTTAATGGCTGCTAACCACTGCCACCCTGTTCTCTTTTACTTTCTTCAGTGCTGGTTTTCCCAGTCTAGACTAGTCTGTGAGAGTCTGTCCTCATCTATGAAAGCCATTAGAATCCAGTGCTCTGCAGCTTGGTACCTCCAAGAGTTGTACAATGTGAAGACTGAAGGTACATAAATGGTCATCCACAATAGCATTTCCCAGGATAAATTATCCAGGAAGCCTGAGGATTATCCACACTAGAGAACAGAAATGTTAGGAAAGAAGAGATAAGAGCTAAGTCCCAATCACTGGTGCAGGGAGGGGGCCTGAAAAGGACTGTGCTGTGTGGTCAAGGTTGTCTGTCTGATTCACAGATAGATCAGTAGGAAGAGATTCTAGTAGACTGTGCACATTCCTTCCTCTTGCCACCCGTAGCTGGGTATCTGATCAAGTTTTACATGATAGCTATGCTCCAGAGTGACCCATTTTCCTGAGAGATCATGGGATTCTTGCCAAGAACATAATCTGGAAAGAACATTCTCCCAAGGGTCACATACATGGTAGTTCTTAGAATTAACTGCCCACCAAAATTAATAATCTATATGCTGGTGATGTTTGCATTAATCTATTGGTATTCCAAAATGGTAATTTTGCCCCTGTTTCCAGCAAGGGTATCAGGAACAAGAAAACAATACATACTGTAATACCCAGAATTATATTGTGTGGTGCTTCTTTGTGTAATGGCTGACCTGGCCCTAAAACAGACACCAGCTGCCTGAGGCTTAGTGGCTTTGTATTTCCAACGACAGTGCTATCACATAGCCACCTCCCATGAAACACTGATGGAAGCATGCTTAACTTAAAGTGGACTAAGTTGTCCATATGTGTTTTATCCACTGCAATAAATAATAGTACCAGCTAACACGGCTCACCAGGCTCTTTCTTAGCTGATGCCAAGTAAGATTTTATTAATTTTACAATAGCTTACTAAAGTAGAGACTAGTGTTATCTTCATTTTAGAGATGAAGAAACAAAGATGCCGACAGGTTAAGTAATTTGCTTCAGATCAGATATTGAACAGTGGTGAAAGAACAGTTAGAACCAGGCTGATGCTGGAACACATAATCTTTTTTTTTTTTTTTTTGGAATTAACAGAGAAGGGCTTTTAATAACACTATTATAAATATTTTCAAGGATTTTAGGGAAAATATGAACATAATGAAAAGAGAAATGGAAACTATTGAAAAGAAAAACAAATAGAACTTCCAGAGCTGAAAGCTATAACGTCTTTTTTTTTTTTTCAAAACAAATAAGAGTAAAGATCTTTACTAAATTTATTCATTCCTTGGTGTCAATGCTTCCTGAATTTTTCTTTTTATTTTATTTTATTTTATTTTTTTTATTATTATACTTTAAGTTTTAGGGTACATGTGCACATTGTGCAGGTTAGTTACATATGTATACATGTGCCATGCTGGTGCGCTGCACCCACTAACTCGTCATCTAGCATTAGGTATATCTCCCAAAGCTATCCCCTCCCCCCTCCCCCCACCCCACAACAGTCCCCAGAGTGTGATGTTCCCCTTCCTGTGTCCATGTGATCTCATTGTTCAATTCCCACCTATGAGTGAGAATATGCGGTGTTTGGTTTTTTGTTCTTGCGATAGTTTACTGAGAATGATGATTTCCAATTTCATCCATGTCCCTACAAAGGACATGAACTCATCATTTTTTATGGCTGCATAGTATTCCATGGTGTATATGTGCCACATTTTCTTAATCCAGTCTATCGTTGCTGGACATTTGGGTTGGTTCCAAGACTTTGCTATTGTGAATAGTGCCGCAATAAACATACGTGTGCATGTGTCTTTATAGCAGCATGATTTATAATCCTTTGGGTATATACCCAGTAATGGGATGGCTGGGTCAAATGGTATTTCTAGTTCTAGATCCCTGAGGAATCGCCACACTGACTTCCACAATGGTTGAACTAGTTTACAGTCCCACCAACAGTGTAAAAGTGTTCCTATTTCTCCGCATCCTCTCCAGCACCTGTTGTTTCCTGACTTTTTAATGATTGCCATTCTAACTGGTGTGAGATGGTATCTCATTGTGGTTTTGATTTGCATTTCTCTGATGGCCAGTGATGATGAGCATTTTTTCATGTGTTTTTTGGCTGCATAAATGTCTTCTTTTGAGAAGTGTCTGTTCATGTCCTTTGCCCACTTTTTGATGGGGTTGTTTGTTTTTTTCTTGTAAATTTGTTTAAGTTCATTGTAGATTCTGGATATTAGCCCTTTGTCAGATGAGTAGGTTGCGAAAATTTTCTCCCATTTTGTAGGTTGCCTGGAACACATAATCTTAACTACTACTTTAGTTTGCATGCATAAAAACATCTTAGCTATTCTTCCCACTCATTAATGTAAATATAGTAGTTGGCTGTAATAAGCATATGCCTTGATTGGGATACTATAATTCTTTATCATTTTACTGCCGTAAAATTAGTCTATCTGGCATAATTGTAAGTTATTGTAGCAAAGTATTATGTGAAAAAACTTTTAGAAAAGTAATCCAGAAGATTTCTGAAAATAGATAACCAGAAAGACTTGTGGGGTACAAAATGTTCACATACTATTGTTTTCAGCTATTTCCATTTGCACTCTAAGTCCCAGAGAACTTGAGTAACAAACTCTTTACCAAAAGGTAGAATTCTAAAGGTCACATTTTCTCTGGGCTTACAGACAATGTTAACAAATTCAAGCTGATTATTTTAACTAATAAACTTTTGAGAAGCACCGTGACAGAAAATCTGTAAGAAATGCGCCCCCATTATTATATTTCCAGATACTGGACATCTCTCCAGGGACTCATTTGCATACCATCTTTCATTCATTTTATTGTTCCATATGTTGAAAGAATTAAAACGGACAAAGGGCATTTATTTGTCAGCAGAGCAGAAACCACTTCATTTATATGACTGTGTTCATGCAGAACCATCACTTACTGAAAAGATCCCAGGTGTGTTTCCTGTTATTCATGCACAAAGTATGTCAGAGACTCTGCATAACTAATTAAGGCTTTGTGTGTGTATGTGTGTCTTTTGTAGGCTAAAGGTAAAGAAAGACAATGGCTAAGACATCAAGCTACTGGAGAATTAGATGATGCCAAGATCATTGATGGGCTGACTGGAGAAAAAGCCATCTACAAACGTCGGGGTGAGCTGGAGCCACAAGTAAGTCATGGTGAACTGCTAGCCTCAGCTCTGCATAGTCTAGCCCTCTTTACAGAAACTTGCTTTCGTGAGTTGTGTCAAAATATCACAAATCCTGAATATGGTAACCAAGGAAAGCATTATGTTAAAAAAAAAAAAAAAGAAGAAGAAGAAGAAAAACTCCATAAATATTATACTATTTATTATTCAACTCAAGGTCCCAGCAAGAAACATAAGGCATGCTCAAATTAGGTAATTTAAGAAACAGTCAGTACAAAGACTATTTACAAAAATAAGGGTGGGGTTTAGGAAAATCAAAAATAAACAGTGCAGTAACCCAGGGATAGCAACAGCAGGGATCTAACTCACTCTGAGGCCTAAAAGGGCAGAATGAGACAGCAGTTCCTGGAACCTGGAGAAGGTGGTTGATGGAGTGGTGGCCTTCAGCAGAAGGGGAGCCAACCCATGGGCAACAGCAGAGAGGGGGCCAAGGGAATAAATACTCCACCCTCACCCCCTGACCTCCACCAGTGCCTCCCATGAGCAGAACCCACTGGGAGCCAGCAGCCAAGAGGCCAGCTGATGTGATTGTAGGGGCCAAGGGAAAACTTCCCCTTCGCCCTCTGAAGGTTCTCTGAAAATCACCTCACAAAAGGCACATTAATAGGAGAAGAGGCATACAAATGTATTAATGTGCACCGGGGTGAAACCAAGGGTGAGTCCCCCTCCACACAGTGAAGTACAGATGCTTATGTACCCTTCTTCTTAAGGGAAAAGGAGATGGAGAAGTGTAGATGATTTTACGGGGGTAGTAAATGGTTTTAGGGCAATTCAGTGGACTTGAAGAGCACACAGTGGCCTGGGACAGAGTCTGTTGGGCCCACAAAGCAATGGTTTGTGACCGAAGTCTGTCCAGGTGTGTTGACAGACTTCAGCCTTTCTTCCTGTGATATGAGTTCAGTTGATGAAAACTCAGGGAAGGGCCCAGAGTAATGGTTTTCTTCTTTGGAGCTCTGAACTTTAGACAGTTGAAGAAACTTCAGAGAACAAATTATCCAGTGCTTTGTGGGGAGAGGGAGGAAGGTCAGTGAGACCTTGATGCTGCTTCTTCAGTTCAGCATGTCCAAGCACCATATTTAGAGGGTATCGATTTCTGAGCTCCAACACGGATTGTCCACACAGATCAACTCCCAGGACACAGAGCAGGTGCCCTGGAGGGGAAACTGAAGACACCTGGTGTGTCTATTAAGCCTAGAGAAACCTTCAAGTGAAAACAATAAAACAACCTTAGTGATTTTCTACTGTTCTCTTACTTTAAAGATCAGTGTCCATCATATAACTGAAAAAAAATATAGAAAATAAGAACGTCTCCCTTAAGTAACTATAATTGTAGTATGTAAAGTTTTAGACAGCCATAAATTTAAAATATTTGCAATGTAATAGCAAAACAAAATGATGACAGGATGAAATATTGAGTCTCTTGGTGAGCTCTGTGATCTCCTGTATTCCTGGGTAACCAGAATTGCTGAGTCGCCACTGAGAGCTGGGGGTGCAGTGACTGGTAGGGGGAAGGGAGAGTCACTCCTTTTAAATATTTATTTAGAGAGGATCTGGTGATTTGGGGAGTTCTTATTTCTGTGTCATTGGTATGAGTCAACAACTGCTTTCTTTACTGAATCATTGTGGTCAACAAATGTGTTTGGATACATCTGAAATTGTGAGTAGTCATGGAAGCATATGTATAAGTGTTCTTAATTTGGGCAGACTCAACAAGTTTTTAAGAAATATGTTGAATTTGCCTCAAACCATTACACTCTCAATACCCACCGTGTTTTCTTGAAATTACTAACTCTGCTCATTATTTTTTATATTTAATAACAGCAAATATTTAATAACAGAATAATCTGGAATTTTTCTTCTTCCTTTTTTTTTTTTTTTCTAGAGACAGGGTCTTGCTTGTTGCCCAGGCTTTAGTGCAGTGGCACAATCATAGCTCACTACAGCCTCAAACTATTGGGCTCAAGTGACCCTTTCAGCTTACCCAGCTGAGTAGCTGGGAATATAGGCACATAGCACCACCCTAGCTGATTTGTGTATTTTTTTGTAGAGATGAGTTCTTGCTGTGTTGCCCAGGCTGGTATTGAACCCTTGGCCTCAAGCAGTTCTCCCACCTTGGCCTCCCAAAGCACTGGGATTACAGGCATGAGCCCCTGCACGCAGCCTTCTTCTTTTTTATCGTCAGCAAAACTAACAAACTTTTTCTTAAAATCTGCAAATTGGCAGTCGTGGGTCTAAAATCAAACTTAATCTTGTAATCTTAATTGACAGTTGTTTCTAGAACAATTTGATGTCACTTTTATGCTTTCAAACTGCCAAGAAAAGAAAAGCACTAATTCAGTAATGTGGAAGGAAGAGAAGATGTGCAGCTTAGTAAACACAAAAGTCGTTTTTAAAATCTTTTCTTTAATTTCTTTGCCAGACCCCCATCACATAACTTTGTTTTAGGAATCTGACATTACCTGTGGCCTGTGTGGAGAATAATTTTCAGGTCACTACCCAATACGTACAAGTAAAATTGACATGGGCTTCCCTCCAAAATAACACAAACTCTTGCTAGAGTTACTGACTCTGAGGCATGAAGTGAAAATGACATGTCATTCCAGATTATTATTTTTAAGTCATCATATTATTTTTAAGGCATCAACCTCGGTAAGTCAACTTTACTAGAGTGAGCTTTAAAAGGACTATATTCCAAAGGAAAATATTTTCCATGTGGCCCCAACCATTAGCACAAGTCTGAAATTCTGTTTACTGCAGTACAACCCATAGATGCCTTGCTACCTGCTAGGACAGCCTTGTGCAGGGCTGAGCCTATGGCTGGTCTGCCCATCTCGGGGCTGGCACGCTGGAGCTTCTGTGAGATCCCCAAGACAGCCACCAGGGGAAGTTTGCCAGTTCACAAACGGCTTTTCTGTTATTCCTTCCCTCAGCTTGGCAGCCCACAACAGAAACCCAAGCGTCTGCGCCTGGTGGTAGATGTGTCTGGTAGCATGTACCGTTTCAACAGGATGGATGGCCGGCTTGAGCGCACAATGGAGGCTGTGTGTATGGTCATGGAAGCCTTCGAGAACTATGAGGAGAAGTTCCAGGTAATGACATGAACTAAGAATAATGAGAGGCATCATTGACCATGATGATGGATAGGTGGATTCAAACTCCATCCAGAGTGAATGAAAATCTTCATCCTCTCACCAGCTCATTCATCAGTGCAGAGAAAGTGAAGCTTTTGTTTTATCTGAAGTAGTAATTGTAAAATAACTCCATAATTTAAAAGTCTGATTACTACAGAAGAAATGCTGCAGCCATGATGTTAGAAAAAAATGAGCTGCTTAGAAGCAAAAGTCTGTTCCCAGACTCCTCAGAGCCTCCTGGCCTTATCCCAGTTCCCCATACCCACCCACTCTTGCCCCATCACTAGCCAAGCAGCCTTCCAAAGTTTGAGTCCACCCTGAAAGCTTCAGTATCACGTTCCATTTCCACATGGGCAGGGGTTATACAGTCATTGGTGTCTCCCCAGCTAACAATGATGATGATTATCCCAGGAGAAAAGCAGGTTTCCATTTCAACTGTTTCCATTTTGGTATTCTTAGTTTGCTGCACACCCTCCATTTTAGAAGTCTAGCATGGTGAAGGGACCCCCAATGCTGCTGTGTTACTGCTTGATATGAGCCTATTAATCCTCTCTTAATCAGCCACAGAGAGCACCTGCACTTCTGGCCCTTACCAGAGCAAACAACCTTGAATTCAGTCACATGCCATGTAATTATTATCAAAAGTTCAATCATGAGAAATGCTGTATGCACGTGCAGATATGCATGAAGGACACACAGTCCATAGACAGACTAGATTTTATTACGGATCAAACATGTCCTACAGAAATCAGTGATCTTAGATTGCTATTAGGCTTGACATCCCACATGCACCCCAGGATTGCTTCCCTGAGTTGTGTCTCTGTGTTATGAGGTAGGCAACAAGAAACAGATTGATGAAACCCATCACTTCAGGTACTTTAGGCCTATTATTAAGGATACTGCCCCCCCTGAATTTCCCAGAGCCCCTTGTGTGAAGCTCTACGTGAGGAATTCCTTTTAGAATTAAGTGGAAGAAGAAGGGCAGCTTCAGCTAATGAATGCTATGGGTTGCCGGGCTCTGTCCAAGTACAGGATACAAATACAAATAAGACATGGACTTTCACCGTGGGGAGTAGCTTTGTTTCCCTTGAAGAACTGAAATGTGTTTCCCCTTGTGATTAGTGAAAGCCATGGAGCTGCTTAAGATTCCCTCTTGGTTTTAGTTGCCAGGAAGCTCAGAGCTAAAATCAAAGACCAGCTATGACAACTTTGTTATGTCTCATGGCTTGCAGACCAGTGTTCGACTTTTTCCTTTTCTTCACCCTTGCTCCCTTCAGGTATAAGTTTTCCTTGATTTTTTTTTTTTTATGCTTTATGGGTTTATAGAAAATGTTTATTTTAAAATATTTTAGGTCCTTTCTAGTATGAGATAGATTATAGTTCTTAAATCACTTGGACCATTGATGACTAAAGAATTTTTAGACATCTATTGTATCAGCATAAATACCCATATCCTACCTAATGTATTAAAACCTTTGAGAGTTGCCAATATTTGGATCAGTCCCTTCTCCTGTTTTATGGATCTTGAATTTCAGTGTTCCTCGGCTCTCTTTGAGCTATATGGAGGTTTTTTTTTTCTTTTTCTTTTTCTTTTTTTTTTTTTTTTAAGACGGTGTCTCACTCTGTCGCCCAGGCTGGAGTGCAGTGGTGTGATCTCGGCTCACTGCAACCTCTGCCTCCTGGGTTCAAGCGATTCTCCTGCTTCAGCCTCCTGAGTAGCTGGGATTACAGGTGCCCGCCACCACGCCTGGCTAATTTTTGTATTTTTAGTAGAGATGGGGTTTCACCATGTTGGTCAGGCTGGTCTCGAACTCCTGACCTCGTGATCTGCCCATCTCAGCCTCCCAAAGTGCTGGGATTACAGGCGCAAGCCACCGCACCTGGCCCTATAGGGAGATTTTAACCCAATGTAGACCATAGCAAATGTACTACCATTAAAATTGGCAGATTCATAGTTAGCTTGAATAAAATCTCCTGTTAGAAATAGGATTTCTACGTTTTTGAGGGCAGAGCTGCTCTGACATGTGAAATACTCCCAAGTTTTTAGAAAGAAAATTCATTAGGAATTAACCAACAAATTGGTTGACACAGCTCCCTCCCCAGGACTGGGTAAAGGATGAGACAGGGAAGAAGGTGGCAAAGTTACTAGTGTTCAGGGTGCCATTCCGATGCCTCCAGGGAGGTGGTATGATTGTCACGCAGCAGGCTGAGTATTTCATTGCATCTCACGCAGCCGAGTGTATAGAAAGATCTCCATTTATTCAGTTCTCACTTATAAAAGTCTATAATATGGAAGAACTATTAATGAAACTAGACCTGTCACACACAAAAAAGGAACAATATCAAGGAAATGAGCATTTCACAAGATGTTTCATTTTTTTTTTTTTATTGACAGTTACAAACCAAACTGTTACCATATGACCTGCTTGCTGGATGTCAGTTAAATTCCGCGAAATTACAAACATTACCTGAGCACTTCCTAAGAGTAGAGCACTCTGCTGGGTAGCCCAGTGAGGGAGATGATGAAAACTACTCATTCTGATAGAAGGTTCGGTGAGCAATGTGTGAGCAGAGCTGCTTCTTCACACGTGCCTCTGTGGGTATCATCCCTAAAACAGTATTTTGCTAATACTCTCTTCAGTTGCCACAGTAGTATAAAGAATTTCCTCAGTCTTTATCAGCACAACCACAGATATATTGAGAAGACAACCATAGTTAACATCTGACTGAAAAATCCAAGTGAAATTGTAGCAAGACACCAAGATAAAATAAATTTTTCAGGCCTTGAAGACATTTTTTATGCCATTAAATTCTTAACAAGAAGCACGTTAATGGTTTTAGTCCCATCATATTCACTACAGTTACATTAGAGCTTTATTTAAGACCATAGAAAGTCTTAAGACCCCAGTGTATTAAAATCTTTCCAACCAAAGGAAGAGACCTTAAAACATCACAAAACAAGCTCTTTGAGCCTCTTTCAGAAAAATTGATACCTGGGTGAGTGTCTGGAGGGACAAGGTGGACCCAGCAAGGCATATGAGTCCTGTTCCTGCAAACTCCTCATCGTGTCCACAGACTTTAGAACTGGGGTCACCTCGGAGGCCATTTACTCCACCATCCTCATTCCACAGACAGAAAGCCCAGGCCCAGACACAGGTGGATTTTCCCCAAAGTTGGAAGACTAGTAGGAGATAGTAGCATAGAGCCCAGGACTCTTATTTGTTTTCCCTTTTTTTTGTTTGGTTTCATTTTTAAACTTTCTCCTTTATTTCCCAACTTTTTAATTTGAAAAATTTTAAACCTACAAAAAAAGTTGAAAGAAAAGTAAAACCCATGTGCCCTCACTTAGGTTCACTAATTGTTACCGTTTTGCCTCACTTGCTTTGTTTCTCTCCAAATATTTACAGTACTCTCTCTACCCCCGCCCCCAAATCATTTGAAAGTAAATTATAAGCAGCATAATGCTTTACCTCTAAATACTTCATTATATGTCTCCTAAGAGTAAGGACATTCTCTAAAAAACTTCAATACCATTATCATGCCTAAGAAAATTATCAGTAATCCCATACTGTCTTATAATATCCAACTCAAATTCAATTTTATCAGTTGTCCCAAAAATATCTTTTATAATTGTCCCCTCTCCCTGCTGTCCACCTAGGATCCAAAGTTCACACCTTACTTTGCCTCTTTTAGTCTGGAACAGCCACCTCCCCTACCACTGCATTTTTTTGCTTTTCATGACAGTCACTCTTATGACCCTCTCATGAGGGTCCAGGCCAGTTGTCTTATAGATTCTTTTTTTGTTTGTTTTTTTTTTTTTTTTTTTTGAGATGGAGTCTTGCTCGGTCACCCAGGCTGGAGTGCAGTGGCGTGATCTCGGCTCACTGCAGCCTCCGCCTCCCAGGTTCAAGCGATTCTTCTGTCTCAGCCTCCCGAGTACCTAGGACTACAGGCATGTGCCACCACGCCCGGCTAATTTTTGTATTTTTAGTAGAGACAGTGGTTTCACCATATTGGCCAGGCTGGTCTCAAACTCCTGACCTCATGTTCTGCCCGCTTTGGCCCCCCAAAGTGCTGGGATTACAGGCGTGAGCCACCGCACCTGGCCCTAGGCTGTTTGTTATACTGGATTTTCTGGTTGCTTTCTCATGGTGCCATTTAACTTGTCCCAATATCCCCTGTATTTCCAAAACTCCTAACAGGCCTTCTCTCCATATGGGACTTTGTATCATCTTCCTACCGCCCCTGGCAATGTGTCTGAGATTTAAGTACCCACAAGCCACCCAGTCTCTGCTAGGGCTCCCCAGGCCAATGCGCAGGGCAGGAAGGAGGTAAGATGGAGCTCCTTACATTCTGTAAGAGTTATTTCTACTTATAATTACAGTTGTCCCTTGGTATCTATGAGGGATTGGATCCAGGATCCCTCTCAGATACTAAAACCTGTGGATGCTGAAATCTTCCAGCTGGCCTTCCTCTCCATGGGTTCCACATCTGCATATGCAAAGGGCTGACTATAAATGTTTGGGGGTATATAGGTGATTGGTGCACGCAGCAGAAAGTGTAACAGGTATAAAAGGAGGAAGAGTGAAGAGTAAGCCACTGCCCGCCCCCTCTCAGCTCCCAGCTCCTCTCTCCAGTACAACCACTATTAGTGGAATTATCAGTCTCTTCTCAGAGATATTTGATGCACATACATTCAGTGGCTGTGTACCATGCATTCTGTTCTGTATCATTATGTTATATGATCATATTCAACTGAATACTTTCATTTTCTCATTTGTGAAAGGCATAAAGGGAATAGGAATAACTAACAAAAGGATTTAATTTACTCAGAAAAAAAAATTATGCATGAACAGAAGACAGTTTGAGGAGCTCCTAGAGAAAAATATATATTCCATAGCCCAGAATGGCATCACACATGGGGTCATTAGGAATTCAACAGTGTGATCTGAGACTCCCCAGCCCCAGTTCCAGACAGTTCTTAATGTTGTCTTCCTGCAGTTATCCCTCAGTTGTAAAGGTGTCTGGTCTGTATTTGCTTTGAAACCTTCAGAAGCCGCTGGCCTGGTCTGTGCTCTGGACTCTCCCCATCTCTCTTGGCGTCTGCTTTGTGTTTTGCTTGGCTTGAGTGCAGCTCCTGAGCCGTGGGTCATTACAGTCTAGGTCCCGGAGGCTCATTTGGAGTCAGCCTCTATTTTTTATTCCACATTATCATGACCTGTGCTAAACCACAGGGACCCTAGAGCAAGAATTACTGAGAAGGAAAGGTAATTCAGTGGCAAGACACATCTCTAAGCCATTTGGAGTGTTTAAAGTTTCTCATAATTGCTCCACCAACTGAATTCAGCTATTCCCGGGAATAGCATTCACAGTAGGTCACTGAAGACTAGCGCAACATCATTTGCTTATAATCAGCATAAGCTCCTCTACTCTTGTAGTCAGCATCATTCTTAGTGTTCATGTAGTGCTTCAAATTAAAGTGAAAAGTAGAATAGTACTGTTTTTGTGAACCGTTGTCTTTTCATCAAGAAGCATTTTTTTCCTTAACCTTCATTCCAATTTGTTCCTCATGCTTTCTCCAAGCTCCTGGGAATGTTTTCACTGTAATCTTGAAATACACCTCCTTTTCAAAGGCTCTTAATGGCTTAATTTTTTTTCAAAGTACTCAATAATACCAAAGTTAGGTAACTATTTCTCCACTAAGCACTCAAATAGTGGGACCAGAAAAGAGATTTATTTCATTATTCAGAAGTTGCACTTGGAAAAAAAAAAAGAAACTTAAACGTATTGTTTCTGTGAAGGCATATAAACCATATCCTAGGGCAGTGGTTTTCTAACAGTGTAACAAGAACCTTTGAAGGATGTTTGGCAGTGGAGGGGGGCAGTGAGTAGGCAGCACTTTGTGCCCCATTGCCCTCCATCCCCAATTCAACTACAACAATTTCACATGTATAGATAATGCAGGATGTTTCATAAGCTGGGCTTTTGTGCAGTATTTCATTTGAAGGAAGGGTTCCACTGCTAACAAATTTTTAAAGGAAAGGAAGAATTAGAAAGCCATTGTGTTAGGGATTATGTAATGTACTGGATTATTATTTCTCACAGGCTCTGAGGGCTTTCTTTCTGGAAAAGGTGCCATTGACCCTCTGATTTAGATGACTCACTCTCGGCCGGGCGCGGTGGCTCACGCCTGTAATCCCAGCACTTTGGGAGGCCGAGGCGGGCGGATCACGAGGTCAGGAGATCGAGACCATCCTGGGTAACACGGTGAAACCCCGTCTCTACTAAAAAAATACAAAAAATTAGCCGGGCGAGGTGGCGGGCGCCTGTAGTCCCAGCTACTCCGGAGGCTGAGGCAGGAGAATGGCGTGAACTCCAGGGGGCGGAGCCTGCAGTGAGCCGAGATTGCGCCACTGCACTCCAGCCTGGACGACAGCGAGACTCCGTCTCAAAAAAAAATAAAATAAAATAAAATAAAATAAAATAAAATAGATGACTCACTCTCCCTTGACAGAAGAAAACAAGGCATTAGGTGTTCCTAAAACTAAGAGAAGCAGGCTTTCTCATTACAATTCTTAAACATACCATTAAGTTTATATAGAATTTGGGGGGTAGGAATGGCCTTGGAAATTATTTTCACCAACCTTTTTGTTTTACAGAAGAGAAAACAAAGATTCAAAGAGGTTCAATGCTTTGCCCAAGGTCACACCGTTACAGTGCAAAGCCAGCACTTCTGACTTCCACTTCAGGGCTCTTAGTTGATGTTTCATCCCTGTTTCTTATAGCTGTTTTATCTCTGTTCAATTTGATTTTTTTAAACTGTAATTCAGGAGCAAGTGTATCATTTATGTAAGGTACTCTGTCTTCTCCTACCCTTGGCACCTCACCATCCAAGGGAGGTATAATAGACAAACTTTTCTCAAAGATACCTTGATCAGAAAGGCTGAGTTAACTCCCAGGAGAAAGTGGAAACATATGACTCACAAATCAGCACCTGCCAGGGAAATTTCTTCTATCAAGAAGTTAATTCAGTATCTGCAATTAATCTCTTTCCAGTACCTCAAGAATGTTTCACAGGTTTAGAAATGGAGATCAGTCATCCTATCAGTTTAGGCTGTGAATAAATTCTTATTGCTACATGGAGATTGGACCAAAGGAGGTCGTACATACTTTTCTGAGTCCCTTCAAACAAGAATTCAGAATTGATTCAATTGTGGATGTAGAAATATTGGCCAACCCAACCATTCAAAAACAAGTAGAGATGGGAGGGGAGCGTAGCTGGGGAAGTAGTTATTTCTCTGTAGTAAAAACACTGGGCCGGGCACAGTGGTTCATGCCTATAATTCCAGCACTTTGGGAGGCCAGGGCGGGTTTATTGCTTGAGCCCAGGAGTTCAAAACCAGCATGTGCAATGTAGCAAGACCCTGTCTCTACAAAAAAAAAAAAAATACAAAAATTAGCCAGGTGTGGCGGCGCATGCCTGTGGTCCCAGCTACTCAGGAGGCTGAAATGAGAGGATTACTTGAGCCCAGGAGGTTGAGGCTGCAGTGAGCTGTGATCGTACCAGTGCATTCCAGTCTGGCCAATGAGCAAGACCCTGTCTCAAAAGAAAATCAAAAAATAAAAACAACCAAAATGGATTTAGTGTCAGAAAACCTGGGGTTTAACCAACACCCTTAAGGAAGTCTGTTAGTCTCTCTAAGAATCAATTTCTGCATTTGTGACATAAGGATAACACCCCAAAACTTGTAGAGAAAATCAAAATGAGATGAGATATATGGAAGCCCTTTGTAAACTGTAACAAACTATAAAGTCAGTAAGTGTATTGTCCTATCCTTTCAATGACCCTGGGAGGTGGTAAGACAGATATTACCCCATGTTGTCAGAGAGGTTAAGTGATTAACAAGCATACAGTGTTAGAGACTTTCTAAGCCATCATTGTTTACAAGGTAGAAACAAGGTTTAGAGAGGTTAAGTGATTTTTCTCTAAGTCAAAAAGCTTGTTAACGTCAGAGCCTAGAATCCTTGACCTTTCAGTACATTATTCTTTTCACGTTGACTTACATGATCTGAAGAAAGGTTAGCCAGCTAATGCTATAGGTTATTACGTAACTAACACTAGGGTTCCGCTGGCATTTCTCTTGACTTTTTAAATCACATATTTATCTTCTGATCCTGTGTAGCCCGTAGTTAGTGGCACACAGGAGAATGAGAATGGTGTATTTATATTTCTAGAAGGACATGAGAATTTTACACCTAGTAGTTTTAATAAATAGCCTTAGATGATTGTCTCGTACCTACTTACAATGTGGCCGCATAATAAAGCATAGCATCTCCTAAAGCCAGCAAATGGTTGTCCGTCCTAATAGAAATTTACACATAAATCTTATTCATAAAATTGCTAATAGCACTTTGTCCTATGCATTCTAAACATTATAAATCATTCTTATTTGATGATAAACCACATCTTTGACCAAAATTTCAGCATTTGTTTTTGTTTGTTATACTTTTCTCTAAATGAACAACACTTCCAAAAGAAAATATAGCAAAAGGGCATTTAAACAGATTTCTAAAGCAAAAAAGTATTTAAATTGGTCCTCTGCAGTTGAGGCTTTTCTTTACTACTGTGGCTTAATATTTATGTTAAATGCTAAATGTGAGACTGCACAGGGTTTTCAGGAATGCTCTGAAAAGTGCAGAAATCATGATCATAAAAATTTTGAGCTCAGAAAAAATTCTGATCTAAATGTTAGGCGGTTTGATAATGACAGTGAGGATCTTGTTTATTGACTCCTGTAGCTCCTCCATGGAAGCATGCTCGAGGCCCTGTCAAGTTGGATTTCACGATCATCGTAGAAACCAGATCAGGTGAATGGCAGATTTAGGAGTTAGCAAATGGAAATGAATGAGAGTATGCATCTTTTCCATTAACCCACACAATTTTCAGGATTAGCAAATCACTGTTGGTAAACCATGTTGGAATCCTTGGATAGCAGATACTAGATAATTTTGATGGAGGAGTATTGCTGGTAATGGAAGCTTAATATAATCTGCAGTAACGCCAGGGAATGGTCCACATTTGGATGTACTTTAGATTCCTCCCAAGCGTTTTATTGGCTTTGGTCACAGAATAATCCTCAAACCCATCTGGAAGATGAGAAACCAGGGCCTGCAAACTATTTTATAAGCTCCATCCTGTCACTTAGGTGTCTTTGCAAGCCTTTGCAGTACTCACCAGGCACAGACAAAGGCTGGTCTTTCCTTACCCAAATAAGAGATGAGAAAGAAAAAGGAAGGGAAAAAAAGAAGAAAGAAAGGGAAGAGGGAAGAAGGAAGAAAAAGAAGCATACAGTCCACCTTTCTTTGTCTCATTTGCCTAGAAAAGTATAGTATGTTTTTTTTCTCCTAGGCATATATTTAAATGGTAGATAGATATATCAGTCACACAATCAAATGATAGATGGATGGTTGCTAAAGTATTTCTGAAGGTTTTAATCAGCCAGTATCTTGTTTTACTAAAGACCAGCTAAAAACTGTATTTGTTGACTGCTCTTTGACCAGTTACATTGACCCTGTGACAGACCATATGATCAAAGATTTCTATAGTTTCATTCACTATCATCTAATTAGAAAGAACTCTAGCCATCAGTTAAAAGGGAGGGAAAAGTCAAACACATTCATAGCCCTCTTACCTCAGCCCAATATAAGAAACCTAGTTCCGTGTCAGGGAACTGATCTTATTCCCTCATGTGTAAGATCCTGTTTAGCAGATTACTTCACCAGCCCATAATGAAAGCAACCTGCCTGGCACTTTCTCAGGAGAACTTTCCCCTCTTGACTACAAACAGTTCCTGCCATGACCGTTGTCAAATCAGTCGGGGCCTCCCTGGAGTGTGCTTCCATGGAAGGATTATGCAAGCTCTCTCCACATCTGTGCCAATCCTACCACTGAACCCATGGATGACTTTAGTCAAGCCTATGCCGAAGCCAGAAATTTCCTATCCTGAGCAATTTCTAACAGCTGAGCTCAGCTGCTTTTAGTTTCAGTTTTTATTTGGTACCTTTTCACTCTATTGATAGCAAACTATACTAAGAATAATTTTTTTTTCTTATATGGAATGTGTTACATCATTGGAAATCATTTACTGTCAACCTTTTTAATGCATTGATAAATTTCCTTCGCTATTCTTTTATATTTAAACCAGGCACAGAATAATCTCCCACCATCTCACCCCCACCCATGGCCCCACTCTGGCCCTCCTCTGACCATGACCCTCCCATGAGGTGAGGTGTCTATGGGGCCAAAGGGCCTTTAAAGCCTGTTTTTAGATCATGCTCCTGGTACCTGGGATCCCCAACTATTCTCATCAAATGACCCCAAGCCTGCTTCCAAATCCTGCGTGGGCCTCTTTCCTAAGTCCATCTTCCTAGGACAGACTGGCCAATTGTGTGAGCACCCCAAGGTGCTCAGAGGGTGGGCAGAGGGTAACTGTTGTTTATGATGGAGCGATGGAGTGTGGATGTCAGCACTGGGTGTCCACACACATGCATTTGAGGTACCTCATGGGGTGGGCCAGAGCCAACTATGAAAAGAGAAGGGTATGGGCTATGGGCCAGGGGCCATTACTGTCCATGTGACCATGTTCTAGCACAGAACTTCCAGGAACCCAAGTATTTGAAATTTGGCCCTGGCTTTCCAGGTTATTATAACGTATATTTTATCAAAGTGGGAGGACAGAACATGTTTTATTTAACAGTTGGTAGCCTGATGTATATCTTTTACATATTTAGACATAATATATGGGCCTCCATTTATTCCCTCCTGGGGATAACTGTTAGGTCTTCACCCCTAGCCACATCTCTCCCCCAGGACACAAGTTCAGCATATCTATAATGGGACTCATCTTCCCTAGGAAACCCTTCTTCTCACTTCCTATTTTTGCATAACAATTTCAACCAAATTTTTTCTGTTTCTTTCCATTTAAAACACAGCAGTTTCAGTTATGTTATGGATTGTTGTTTGTCAGCTAGCATGGACTAACCACCATTTATCCCATGATTGTTGAGGGGGAAAAATGCATTCCAGCTTCAAACAGCTTATTTGTAGGAGAATGTAGCCCACATGCAAGGGAAAAGCTTCTTATTGCCCCAACTTGATTGCAAACTCTCTTACAGCATTTGTGCAATAAACATGCTAGGCACTCTCTTAGATTCTAGAAATTCAAAGAGAAATAAGCTGTGGCCTCACCTTCAAATAACTCACCATTTTAAAAGGAACATACATGAAAAGAAATAACTGCATTGCTCTACAACACAAGAGTATGTGTAACTCAAAGTTGGAGGGAACTACCTCACCCCAATTATAGTTTACCTCAGACCCCAGACTTTTTTTCCAGACTCTGTGAAAAGGTTGCACTTGACTCCCAGCTCTAGCCTTTCTCAGTAGACAAGAGTTTCTCATGTACATAGTGAGATTAGAGAATTAAACACACTTCTGTCTCACTGCATTTCTTTATGGCCATATGTTGAGCAACTTTGGACAATAATGGTCCAAAGAGTTGAACATTAAAGATCTAATGACTGTTCTTTTGTGGAGAAAAGTTTATAACTTTCTGGTTCTCTTGCATGTAGTATGACATCGTTGGACACTCTGGAGATGGCTACAACATTGGTCTGGTTCCAATGAACAAAATCCCCAAGGACAATAAGCAAAGACTAGAAATTCTGAAGGTAAATATATTTTATTACCTCTGTATTATGAAAGCTTCTATCAGGTTAGGTAAAGACTAAAAGGATTCATTGAAGCAGCAGCAGATACACAGGAAAGAAAAAGACTGTTTCACACACATTCAAGTATTGAACTGAGAAAACACCCATCATGCCTAAAATCCTTTTCTCCACCATATAAAATTTAAAATTTGTCCCCTACATATTTTTAGGACACTTGGATTTAGATTGGGATTCTACAACCTGGGCCCCCTTGTATGTCCTATATGGCTCTTCTCAGCCCCTACATGTGCAATAGAAGGAAAAGAATGACCCCTTTTAAAATTTTTTTATTTCAATAGTTTTTGGGGTACGAGTGGTTTTTGGTTATATGGATGAGTTCTTTAGTGGTGAATTTTGAGATAGTGTACCCATCACCCGAGCAGTATACGCTGTACCCAGTATGTAGTCTTTTATCCCTCACCCCCCTGAGAACCTTCCCCACCTTAGTCCCCAAAGTCCATTATATCACTCTTATGTCTTTGTGTCCTCATAGCTTAGCTCCCACCTATAAGTGAGAACATACAGTATTTGGTTTTCGATTCCTGAGTTTCTTCCCTTAGAATAATGGCCTCCAGCTCCATCCAAGTTGCAGCAAATGCCATTATTTTATTCAGTTTTATGGCTGAGTAGTATTCCATGGTGTATATATACATTTTCTTTATCACTCATTGGTTGATGATGGACACTTAGGTTGGTTCCATATCATTGCAATTGCTAATTGTGCTTCTATAAACGTGTGTGCATGTTGTCTTTTTCATATTAATATAATGACTTCTTTTCCTTTGGGTAGATACCTATTAATGGGATTACTGGACTGAATGGTAGACCTACTTTAGTTCTTTAAGGACTTTCCATACTGTTTTCCATAGTGGTTGTACTAATTTACATTCCCACCAGCAGTGTAAATGTTCCCTTTTCACCACATCCACATATTTGGCTTTATTTCTGGGTTCTCTATTCTGTCTCATTGGTCTACGTGCCTATTTTTATACCAGTACCATGCTGTTTTGGTAACTATAGCCTTAGTATAATTTAAAGCCCTGTAATGTGATGCCTTCAGATTTGCTGCTTTTGCTTAGTATTGCTTTGGCTATCTGGGCTCTTTTTTGGTTCCACGTGAATTTTAGGATTGTTTTTTCTAGTTCTTTGAAAAATAATGATGGTATTTTGATGGGAATTACACTGAACCTGTTGATTGCTTTGGGCAGTATGGTCATTTTCACAATATTGATTCTCCTCATCTATGAGCATTGGATGTGTTTCCATTTGTTTGTGTCATCTATGATTTCTTTCATCAGTGTTTTGTAGTTTTCCTTGTAGAGCTCTTTCACCTCCTTGGTTAAGTATATTCCTAGGGTTTTGTGTGTGTGCAGCTATTGTAAAAGAGATTGAGTTCTTGATTTGATTCTCAGCTTGGTCATTGTTGGCATATAGCAGTGTTACTGATTTGAGTATATTGATTTTGTAACCTGAGACTTTACTGAATTCATTTATCAGACTTTAGGGTTTTCTTTTTTTTTTTTTTTACAGAAAACTTTTCTTTAATGTTGATTTTTGTTTTGTTTTTATGTTTTCAAGTTTATTTTTAATTTTTGCAGGTGCATAGTAAGTTTATATGCTTGTGGGGCACATAAGATGTTTGATACGGGCATGCAATGCATAATATTCACAGCAGGGTTAAAGGGAAATCCATCACCTCAAGCATTTATCTTTTGTGTTACAAACAATCCAGTTGAACTCTTTTAGTTATTTTAAATGTACAATTAAATTATTTTTTACGGCCAGGCACGGTGGCGCACGCCTGCAATCCCAGCACCCCGGGAGGCCGAGGCGGGCAGACCACCTGAGGCCAGGAGCTCGATACCAGCCCGGCCAACCTGGCGAAATCCCATCTCTACCAAAAATACAAAAAAAAATTAGCTGGGCATGGTGGCGGGCACCCGCAATCCCAGCCACCCGGGAGGCTGAGGCAGGAGAACCGCCCGAACCCGGGAGGCAGAGGCTGCAGCGAACCAAGATCACGCCACTGAGGTCTCCAGCCTGGGCGACAGAGCAACACTCTGTCTCACACACACACACACCATATATATGCGTATATATAGAGGTGTATATATATTTTATATATATACATATATATACGTGTATATATTTTATATATACGTATATATATATACACGTATATATAGAGAGAGGTATATATATATATATATATATTTTTTTTTTTTTAAACTATAGCCACCCTGTTGTGCTAGCTAACACTAGGTCTTATTCTTTGTTTGTTTTGAGATGGAGTCTTGCTCCGTTGCTCAGGCTAGAGTGCAGTGGCACAATCTCGGCCCGCTACGACCTCCTCCTCCCGGGTTCAAGCCAGTCTCCTGCCTCAGCCTCCCAAGTAGCTGGTACCACAGGCACGCACCACCATGCCCGGCCAATTTTTGTTTTGTTTTGTATCTTTAGTAGAGATGGGGCTTCATTATGTTGGCCAGGCTGGTCTTGAGCTCCCAATCTCAGGTGATCTGCCCACCTCAAAGTGCTGGGTCTACAGGCGTCAGCCACCGTGCCTGGCTTGTTTCTTTTTTTTTTTTTTTTTTTGAAACGGTGTCTTGCTCTGTCGCCCAGGCTGGAGTGCAGTGGTACATTCTCAGCTCACTACAACCTGCGCCTCCCACACCCAAGCGACTCTCCTGTCCCAGCCCTCCGAGCAGCTGAGATCACAGGCGCATGTCACCATACCCAGCTAATTTTTTGTATTTTTAGTAGAGACAGGGTTCCACCATGCCGGCCAGGCCGGTCTCGAACTCCCGACCTTGTGATCTGCCAGCCTCGGCCTCCCAAAGTGCTGGGACCACAGACGTGAGCCACCGCGCCCGGCCTGTTTCTTTTTTTTTTTTTTTTTTTTTTTTAGTATTTATTGATCATTCTTGGGTGTTTCTCGGAGAGGGGGATTTGGCAGGGTCATAGGACAATAGTGGAGGGAAGGTCAGCAGATAAACATGTGAACAAGGGTCTCTGGTTTTCCTAGACAGAGGACCCTGCGGCCTTCCTCAGTGTTTGTGTCCCTGGGTACTTGAGATTAGGGAGTGGTGATGACTCTTAAGGAGCATGCTGCCTTCAAGCATCTGTTTAACAAAGCACATCTTGCACCGCCCTTAATCCATTTAACCCTGGGTGGACACAGCACATGTTTCAGAGATCATGGGGTTGGGGGTAAGGTTATAGATTAACAGCATCCCAAGGCAGAAGAATTTTTCTTAATACAGAACAAAATGGAGTCTCCCATGTCTACTTCTTTCTACACCAACACAGTAACAATCTGATCTCTTTTCCCCACATTTCCCCCTTTTCTATTCGACAAAGCCGCCATCGTCATCATGGCCCATTCTCAATGAGCTGTTGGGTACACCTCCCAGACGGGGTGGCAGCCTGGCAGAGGGGCTCCTCACTTCCCAGACGGGGCAGCCGGGCAGAGGCGCCCCCCACCTCCCTCCCAGACGGGGCGGCTGGCGGGGCGGGGGCTGACCCCCCACCTCCCTCCCGGACGGGGCGGCTGCCAGGCGGAGGGGCTCCTCACTTCGCAGACGGGCAGCTGCCGGGCGGAGGGGCTCCTCACTGCTCAGACGGGGCAGCCGATCAGAGACACTCCTCACCTCCCAGATGGGGTGGTGGTCGGGCAGAGACACTCCTCAATTCCCAGACGGGGTCGCCACCGGGCAGAGGCATTCCTCACATCCCAGACTGGGCGGCCGGTCAGAGGGGCTCCTCACATCTCAGACGATGGGCGGCCGGGCAGAGACACTCCTCACTTCCTAGACAGGATGGCGGCCGGGAAGAGGCGCCCCTCACTTCCCAGACTGGGCGGCCAGTCGGAGGGGCTCCTCACATCCCAGACGATGGGCGGCCAGGCAGAGACGCTCCTCACTTCCCAGACGGGGTGGCGGCCGGGTAGAGGCTGCAATCTCGGCACTTTGGGAGGCCAAGGCAGGCGGCTGGGAGGTGGAGGTTGCAGCGAGCCGAGATCACGCCACTGCACTCCAGCCTGGGCAATGTTGAGCACTGAGTGAGCGAGACTCCGTCTGCAATCCCGGCACCTCGGGAGGCGGAGGCAGGTAGATCACTCGCAGTCAGGAGCTGGAGACCAGCCCGGCCAACACGGCGAAACCCCGTCTCCACCAAAAAATGCAAAAACCAGTCAGGTGTGGCGGCGGGCACCTGCAATCCCAGGCACTCTGCAGGCTGAGGCAGGAGAATCAGGCAGGGAGGTTGCAGTGAGCCGAGATGGCGGCAGTACAGTCCAGCCTCGGCTTTGACAACTTTGGTGGCATCAGAGGGAGACCGGGGAGAGGGAGAGGGAGACGGGAGAGGGAGAGGGAGACGGGAGAGGGAGAGGGAGGAGGGAGAGGGAGACGGGAGAGGGAGACGGGAGAGGGACAGGGTTTTCTAGATATACAATCATATCATTGGTAAGCAGAATGACCGCTTTTAGAGTGCTCCCTGTCCCCAATTTTATGTGTAATTCATTTCACACACTTAAGCCTGCAACAGAAAAATGCACATCACAATTTTAAGTCACTTTCCTCCATCGTTATTGACGTGAGTACAATGTTTTTAGTATTATACCTTTGTTTATTGGAAACTCAACTCATTCCTTATTTTCCTCCTGTGTCATCTGCATCCTCCAATGTGATACCAAGTTTTATATTTTCTTATATTTTCTCACTTTAAGTGGAAGTGCAAGCTTCCACTTAAAACTAAGTGCCCACTGTGATAATTTTGGAATGATATCCTATATCTAATGAAATTCTATGCCAGATAACAAATATCACTGTATACTGTTGTCACTCAAATATGCAAATTAAATAGAACTAACTTAGAATGTACTACTCATGGGTAATAATTGGTATGTATGCATGCTCATGGTCAATAGAAAAATAATCGTATTTGTTAAAAAAGAAGTTTCTCAGCCATGGCTTTTGTGCAACTTCTTTTACCTCCAGACAATGCATGCCCACTCTCAGTTCTGCATGAGTGGGGACCACACGTTAGAAGGGACAGAACATGCCATCAAGGAAATTGTCAAAGAAGAAGCTGATGAGTACTTTGTCATAGTCTTGAGTGATGCAAATCTGTCACGATATGGAATACATCCTGCTAAGTTTGCTCAAATCCTCACAAGAGACCCTCAAGTAAATGCTTTTGCCATTTTTATTGGCTCTTTAGGTGATCAAGCAACCAGGTAAGTGTCATCTGAGCATACAGAAAAGGGCAGGTACAGAGATACTGAGTAGCTAACACATGCTGTTTTATAGGCTTAGCACCATGAGGGACAGTGAGGCAGATGGAGGAAAAACAGAAACTAAAGTTACTAGCCTCAAGGGGTTTATAATCTAGTTGAGGGGATATGTTCTAGCTTTTGTTTAGATGAACAATAATAATTTTAAATTAATTATTTTTTAGTTTATATTTAAGCCACTAATAAATCATTGACAAATTGATTTGTCACTAATAAACCGGGTAGTATTTTATACATTTGGCACTTTATGTCAAGCTCCTAAGCTCAGGCTAATCATTTTGTGTTCAAATCATATTAAAAATCGTGAACATCTACTATTTTCCTAGCATAGGAGATAGTGTGTGTGTATGAATGTCTGTACATATTAGACATATATATACACACATATGTATTATATCCCCATAGAGACATCACCTACATATATGCATGCCTGTATATATATATAGACACACTCACATGTATCCCTTCTTATTGCTGGAGAGACAAGGCAGGTGAAACACTTGGCGACAACATAAGATAATATACATATAGTTAGATACTACACTGAATATACTAAATATTCAATAGAGAATCTTATGATCAGACAATAAATACCAGTGGGTATGATCTGAAAGGAGAGATCTGGAAACACTTTCATAACTTGAACACAATAACATTTATCTTTTTGAATTACAAACAGAAAGAGCTCATGGTTTTTCTGTGTTTAAAATACCTGTAAGAAACATAAAACACCAGTGAAAGTAATCTTAAAAAAAAAAAAAAAAATCCCTGCCTAAAGCACAAAGGGCCTACGTTTTTGTTATTCCACCCCTTTTACTTTTCATACTCTGTGACTGGAAATGTTTTAATATCCAAAATGCTAGCAGCTTTTTCTCTTTCTATTCCCTTTGCCTTGCTGTAAGGTTGCAGAGCGAGGTTGAGAACAGACTTAATATCATGTAGTTACAGTCATTTTATGACATGACTTTTCATTCTTCTTAGTTTTTACAAGTTAGCACTTTGCATCTTTTAGAACCTCCACATCCTCAAACACAAACTATGCCTTTTCCACCCAGGTTTTCCTCAGCATCAGCCCAGTATTAGGCAGACAACAAGCTCAACAAATACTAGTTGAGATGAAATGGCTATTTTGTCTTTCTAGTGAACAGATCCTGTTTGAATACTTAAGAAAGCACAATAATACCCTTGTGGTTTCCTAGGGAAATGGTCCAACATCCACTGGCAAAAGATATGTTGCAGAATTAGCTGGCTTACCAGGCATGCCAAATATACGATACTACACAGGATGGTTGAATTTTATTAAATGTCATTCCAAAGCCAGACTTCACTGGCACAGTGAAAGGAGGCGTTCTTTTGAAGAGAACTGTGTCTTACAGTTTTGTTGCCTTCAAAATGGCCTTTTGTTCCAAATTATAAATTAGTATTTAAAAAAGTATCGTAACTTCAATGACATGTTATTTTTAAGGATAATTCAAATCAAAACCCATTATAAGTTTTTTAAAATTCACTTAAAAATGAGTTGGAAAAAATTTCATAAGCCTGTATAACCTCAGTGTCATTGAAGCAGTAATTGGACAATCCAGATCGCATTTCACATTGTGTGATGTGGACCAAAAAAAAGAGAGAGAGGCAAAGAAAGAGAGAAAGAACCACTCAGGGTTTGGCTGCGCAGCGTTTTTAGAGGCCTGTTTTCTAAGGAAGGAAAAGCACTTCGAAATACAGTGTAAGGTCAACATATTTGCTAGACCCGGGAGGTGAGCTGATTCCATATGAATCCCTATGGCTCTGTTATACCAAAAGAATATGAAATACCAAGAAATGGCAGTAAAGAAAGGAAGAAAATTTTTTCTTTTCAAATTCACTGACTTTCTCACTGAAAAGACCTTTCTTTCAGTTCCCTGCTTTTGCTGTGTCTTTCCTTGTTGCTCTTCCAAGCCTTTCATTGTTTAATGACGACTAATTCAATGGTAGGCAGAGAGCAAGGTATTAGAAAGTAAAAACTTCCTTTCCTAAGAAACCATTAGGGGGCTGTGGTTTGCCAGGGCAGGAGGTGGAAGGGAGCCCCATTTACAGTGGTAACTTCCTTTCCCTTTCCATCCTGGCAGGCTTCAGAGAACTTTACCAGCTGGTCGGTCTTTCGTTGCCATGGATACCAAGGATATCCCTCAGATTTTACAACAGATCTTCACCTCCACCATGTTGTCGAGTGTCTAAGAAGTGCCCTTCATCACCCTGATGACACCAGGATTTGAAATAAGACAGGAATAAAGAGTATTCTGAAAAAAAGAAGATATGGATGAAGTGAACCCATGCAGTGACTGGATGATTCCGGCATTCCTGGGTCTTCCTACACTTGCTCCGTAATGAGAATTCAGAGAAGCAGCCAGAAGGAGACTTAAACATGGAAAGATACTCCACTGATGAGTTTAGAAGTGATTAGGGCAAGCTAGTTGACCTGCACTTTATCAAAGGTTGGGGTTAAAGGAAGGTGGTTTTGAGAACTATGTGTTTGGTCTATTTCCAAAAACCTGAGGGGGAGAAAATACTTTGCTTTTGCCTTAACACATCATCTGGTCACGTTAGAAAAGTGACCCCATCAAACTGAGCCTTTGATGTCACATTCTGACACAAGATGCAAGTCTGTGCAAAACCCACCAAAATGCTCCTATCCAACAATTATTTTTATTTTCTCCCTGCTCTGTATTGACCAGAAAACAATGATTTTATAATATTTAACCCACCAAAAAGTCCCTCCAACAGCAATATCTTATGAAAGTCTGGCTGTTCTCAATAATTTCATTTTCTTGGCCAAAGCCAAAAGGAATCAAAAAATCCTTGGAGTGCTTGCCTTTCCACGTGACTTTTAAAAGGCTCTTAAAGAGCAAATGTCCTCTTCTCCTTGCTGCTAGAGTGGGAGGAGAAAGATGTCTTGCCTTAAAAGTTTACTGTTTCTTCTGTTCTTCTAGCATCTCTCAAAAAATTCACAGTACTCCATTTTGGGGTCCAAACTGTAATGCTCAAAATAATAAATGCTTACACGAAAATTATTTATTGAGAATATTCATATAAAAATTACCTAAAGCAAAGTAAAAAAAGTAAAATCAAGGTGGTATATTTGAAGTGAATGGTGATTGGAAATTTTTAGCTGTAACAAAAAGAAAGAAAACAACTTTTTTTAAAGCCTCATTCTCTTTTCTTTCAAAATGTACCTTATTCCCACACACTCTTGGGCTGACCTTTATTTTATCAATAAGCTCAATATTACTTTGTTTAAAATAAGATGCTTCAGCAAAAGTCATTCTCTCTTTAACCATATAATTTAAAAACTCCTCTTCACGATTGATAGCAAAATCAGAAACGTTAGGGCACCAGTGAGTTGAAAAAACTGGTCTTAAGTTGGAAAAACTATTATTAATAATATTATCCTATCCATCCATATCTATTGAAATTGTACAGGTCCATAATTTCATTTTAATTAATTATAGGAAAGAAGAAAAGATAATACCCATTTGTTCTATCACCCCTCTCCCTATCATTAACTATCAAATAAATAAATAAAAGCAATCTGATTTCCAACGTGGTACTACCTGGTGAGTTTGCATGGCTTTCTTGTTCCTCTAGTGAGACACCTGCTCCATGTATTGAACCATTCAATGATGCAAACAATTTCAATCCAACATGTATCTTTAAAAATGTAATTGCATTCCAACGGTCGCCACAACAGCAGCTAGCATTTACTGATGATTTACTGTGAACCAGGTATATGCTAAGTGATTGCATACATTATTTCATTCATCCTTACAACAATGCATGTAACAGGGGTATTTTTTACCTTATTTTGCAGATGATAAAGAAAGTGAGGCTCAGAGAATTTAAGTCACTTTCCCAAGATTCCTGTTACTAGACCTTTCACTAACTATTCATGGTACCATTAACATCCTCATTTTACAAGTAAAGAAACTGAGGCTTAGAGAAGTTCAAGAAAATAGGCCACACTCACAGCCAGGCAGGGGCAAAGCTGGGCCTCCAGCCTCCAGGCCCCTTAATGCCTTTGCGTCCCTCGCAGTCCCACGCCCCTTGCTGCATCTCACAAATGTACATGTCACACTCCTGCTGCCTTTTTCTCTTCCTTCCAGTGTGACTTCTCTTCTTGTACCCTGTCCACATTCACAGGGCTCTCTTCCTCTCCCTTTCCTCAGAAAGTCTATCTATCTGCCCATATTCGAGCACTCAGAGGTGTGGGGACCGAGGACATGGGACACTGTCGGGGGAACACTTCTAACTGCTGCTTCCTTGCTAGGCACAGCAGCAATCTGAGGAAGTGCCCTTCCAAGTGGCAGCTTAACCCCAAGGGATGCCCCTTAGCTAGCGGGTCACTGCCCCTGAAAGCCTTTGGAAGTGGAATCCAAGGGAGATTAAAGGAACAGCCAACCTTTAGCAAATCCTCCCCATGCGTAACTACCTGAGGAGGCAGAAGCCATTTTTTTTGACATGGAAAGAATGTTCTCAAGTAATTTAATTTACCTTTCTCGACCAGCCAGACATCCTCTGCAATTGCTATTTTTAAAAAAGCACAGTACTCCTGGCTTTTCTGATTTGTGAAGGGGAAGGATGATGGGGAAAGGGAATTGAGACTGAGAAGACGAAGAGCTTATTTTCACTTCTTGCAATACCTAAGAAGTATGTGCATTTATTATTAAATGTACTTAATTATAGACCACTCCAAGCTGTTCCCAGGCCCTTCTTAGGGCCAAGACATTATAATAAATGCATTGTGTGCCTCGGGGGGTTCCACTGAAAGGCATCTAACCCCTGTCTCCTTAGTAAGCACATGTAATGCTGAGAAGGTTCATTGTTACCCATGAGCAGCCAGGAGGAATGAATGCCGTGAATAGCTGCAGTATATGATGCATATTCCCCCTAGAATCCTCTGTGTGCCCGACAAAATGACCTCATCACAGATGGGGAGGCTCAGCACAGCCATAAGAAGTGGATCAGAGGGGGAGTACTTGAAGGGAACCCATCAGATGTTTGGAATGAATCACTTAATTCTTTATACTACACTCTTTCCTGTGAACTGTCAGAGGAGAAGAAATCCATCAATGCCAGCAAGATTTTCTCTAAACAAACTCCTGGGCTTTGAAAGCCGTTTGGAAGTGGTTTTCAGTAGACAGCATTGTCATTGTTCCTGAAAGACCAACCTTGGAGGCTTCCAGCCTCCCTCCACCTGGCTCCTTCTTGTGCCTGTCAGATCAGGCAAAATTAAGTTTCTAAGTGAATAAAGCTGGGAGAAACAGACAAGGGGAACAACAGGAATAGTGGCTTATTTGCTGCATTTCGATTTGTTTCCAATGACCACAATTGTAAGATACTCCACAAATTCTAAGCCAGCCTCTCCTGCCTGGACAACTTGTTTCTGGAATTGCATCTAAGGAATAATCAAATGTCGACTTATATTTAATACATCGTACATAGCTTTTTAATCTTATTAAGAAACAAAATGTCCACTTTTATCATTTTTTTCCAACCAGTAACATAAATGGCTTTGAAAAATACTTAAGTCCAATTTCTGGTCAGGATTATATCATAAGGTTCTTTTTCCTTTTTCTTTTTTTTTTTTTTTTTTTGAGATAGGGCCTTGCTCTGTCACTCAGGCTGGAATGCAGTGGCACAATCATAGCTCACTGAAGCCTCAACCTCGTGGGGTCAAGAGATCTTCCTGCCTTAACCTCCTGAGTAGGTGGAACTACTGGTTCATGCCACCATGCCCAGCTAATTTTTTTTTTTTTTTTTTTTGGTAGGGACGGGGTTTCACCATGTTGCTGAGGCTGGTCTCAAACTCCTAGCCTCAAGCAATCCTCCTACCTTGACCTCCCAAAGTGCTGGGATTACAAGTATGAGCCCCTGCACCCAGCCATGAAAACCTATTGCCTTTTCTTTACTCTTGTTCTAAGACTTACTATGGCAAAAGTACTACAGGTAATGGAAAGGAATTCCAATTCTCCAGCTTATCATGGGGAGTAATTGCAAACTTTAGGTAGAATTTGTCTGTGACCCTGCTCAGCTATTAAGTGCCTGTGTAAACTTGGGCTAATCACTTCTGGGTCTCAACTGAATTAAACCTACGATTTAAAGGGATTGGATGTGAAAATCCACTGCTCCATTATCTCAAACAGGAAATTGAGATAATTTACAAGAGCCACACACTTCAGTGCAACTTTTGTCTCCAAAACCCCACACATGCAAAAGATAACCTATCTCCTCAGTACACAGAGGATTTTGGCACCTATATCAACTGCCTTAAAATAATGTTACTGACTGAATATGCATACTAAAATTTATATAAACATCATTAAAATGGAACAAAGGAGGCTTTCCCTCGTCAGCTGAAAGGATTATTTCTGTTTGATAGTTATTTACAAGATTTCTGCCTATTGTCTCATGCTTTGCACTTGGCTGTCTTAAGATAAAATTACATGTCTGCTGATGGGCACATTGAAAATCAAAAAGGATCAGGAATTGGAAAACTACTGCGTGCCAAGAGCTGACCTTTGTTCTGCAGCTGAACAATGAGTAATTGTGTGTGTGTGTGTGTGTGTGTGTGTGTGTGTTTGTGTGTGTAACTGTTAAATCCTGTAAACAAAATTTCCTCCAGAGAGTAAAAAATGCTTGCCAAGCAAACATCTCAAGTTGAGGATGACATGACAACTCTTTTTTGAGACTTAAGCACTGCCTGGGGCTTTTGCCTTCAGAGACCGCATCTGTTCTTGCATGGTGGTGCACGTTGGCTTTGGAATACCAAGACTACATAATTTTAAAATCAAGTGGTGTTTGTGGTATTTGGCCACGCAGAGCAAAGTATAACATTCTTTTAAAGTGGTTTGCATCCTGGGGGTGGGAAGAACGTCATGTTCTGCTGTAAGAAATCTCACCAAGGGGACATGTAAACTCGGAGCGTCAGCTACTTCTCAAGATTCCCCTCTTCTGCAGGTGCCAGAGACTTGGAGTCTTCCCTCTTTTCCAAAGGCTTCAGTGGAAGTACTTTGGGGCTGCTAGCTCCTTCCCTGAAGGAACAACCAGAGTGTGTGAATAAATTCAGACTCCAAAGATGGTGAGTGTGACCACAGAGGAGTTTCAGAATATAAGAATGTATTAATATGAAATGCAGCTCTGAAGCATTAAGTCATGGTAGCTGGGGTTTGACCTGGAAATGGAAGAGAACAGTGTCTCTCTGAACATCCTAAAGCAAGTTTGCTCCTTACGCAGGCCAGAATACGGCAAGAAAATCATGAGCCTGTCAAGAGTACTCTGTGTAATTGGTCTCATGACATCATGGCTGTACATGAAGCCTTACTGATTGAAACTTGAAGAAAAATAAGTATATTTACTCAGAGGGGACATTAAAGTTGGATTTTTCAAGTGCAATGTGTTTATATTAATAAATACTGCTGCTAATTTAACGAGACTGACCGTTTGTTTACTCCAGCACTAATTAAGTCTTTCATCATCAGGACTCCAGAAATAGAGTGAGTCTCGACAAAGCTAGCTGATCCATTTCCTTTTACAAAAGATTTTATGGCCCATATGAAATTCAGGCCTAAAAATGGCCTAGAAAGGAACACTTGCAGCCCCAACAGAAATCAAATAGCAAAGCTGGGGAAGCAGCCTGATTGACTTGCCTCCTAGGGGTGGCTCCTACAGAGCCTGAGGCTGCTGGGGAATCCAAGGGCCTCTGCAACAAGCGGATGCTCAGATCAAGGGTGTTACACACAAAAGAAGAGCAGATGACAGGGGCTACTGGGGAAGGCCAGGGTTGAGTTAATGGATCCATGGGTTGAATAATAAAATTGTCTATTTGGCAGTTGGCAAAGAGAGAATATTTAACTGAAAAGTTTCCTTCAGGGCTCCAGTGTTGGAACAGCTATTTTCAAGGCTGATAGAATATGCATGTCCATCCATTGCAGGCTCAAGTACAAAGATTTGATATTAAATATGTAGTGCCAGAACTGAAGAATCTCTTTTTGCATGACCTTTCGTGGTGACTGGAAGAAACGGGTATACTCTGCAGAGGTGGAAGATTGTAGCAGCTCCACAAAACCGCATGAAAGCAGATATTCAGTCACTTGGCTGGAATGCAGCTCCACACAGCTGGCCTGGCGCCGTGCCCCGCAGCATCTGAAGTCTATCTGTACAGTGGTGTTTCCCTGCAAAAGGGGCTTCTCTTTTCAACTACAAGTTGCCCTGACGGGCTACCATCATGCACCCCTTGGTCCAAATTCTTTCATTCCCATGCTTTCCTCCTAACCCCCACTGGTAGGAAGGTCCTTAGACAGAGGGCCTGTGATGGGTTGAGGAGATAGAATTGGCTGGGGGCATTTGCAGCTTGGAGCATTACTCAAGCAGAGAACCCAGACCTGGGACACAACGTGAGGGCAGGAGATATGGGAACCTTGGGTGACATTCTTGCCTTGGGCATATATTCTGCTGTCAGGCCTCCTGAGAGCACTCACTGAAGGCGGTGTTGGGTTTGGATGGCAGTGCCTTGGTTCTCCTTAGTCTTGTTTTTGCAGAGACACCCAGTTTTCCATTTGTATTTTTGCCTCCATCTTATAGAAGTGCTCTGCCTTTCTGACCTCTGGGTTATGGAGGCAGGCGCAGCATGCATGTTAGGGAGGTAATTTCCTAGCTGTGATGAAAGGCCTCTGGCCCAGAGGAAGGGCAAGGCCTTTGAAATTGGACATCTACTCCACAGCCTCTGGGCCATTATTTGATGATGTGAACAAATCAGCTTTTTTTTTTTTTTATTTCTAATTTGGGTTGCCAAGAAAACTCTTGCCCTGTACTGTGGGCCTTTAGGAAAACAATTTATACCAAGAGGCCACTACAGTTCTTGGGAGCCACTTCTCTTTCCTTGCAGAAACAGGGCCTGGGTCATGCCCCACTGTTCGGCACGACAAGACATGAGGAAGTTCTTGTGGAAAGCGCACTGGAATTCCTGAGCTCCAGCTGGGTAAGGACTTAAATGAGATCAGTGTGTGCCTGTCAAACTCAAAATCGAAATATATCCCTCCTGTTGAGTGTAAGTATTGAGTACATATCAGTGGAGCCTCCTCCACTAAGAAGTTTTCTAAAGTGCCTGTGATTCAGCCTTTAAGAAGAAGCTGTTGTGTAACAGTTTTTAAAAATCCTTGAGTATTATTTCCTTAGCACTAAAAAGACCAAGTGCCTCTGAAAAAATGAACGTGGCCTTCTAAAAACAAAAAATAAAAACAGCTCTTTTTTCTCTTTAAGATGGTTCTCTTCGGGTACAGTGGCTCATGCCTGTAATCCCAACAATTTGGGAGGCCGAGGCGTGAGGAACACTTGAGCCCAGGAGTTCAAGGCCAGCCTGAGCAACACTGGGAGATCCCATCTCAACGAAAAATTTTTAAAAATTAGCTGGGCATGCTGGCCTGTTCCCTCTCCCCAAACCCAGGGAGAACCCTGACTCAGTTAGGCACTCAGCTCCCAAAAGAACTGGTCCCTTTAGTCAGTTCCTTCTCGGGGGAGTCTTAGAGGCTAAGCCTAGGCAGCCATGTTTTGGCATATGCAAGGAGAATAATTAAAAATATTACTATTATTACATAAAATAATAGCAATAGCTAACTCTTACCTAGCACTTCCCATGCGCCAGGCACTTCCTGAACACTTTACATGGATAAACTCATTATATCCTCACAGCTCCTTCAGACAGGGACTGTTCTTATTCCCATTGTATTTGAAAAGCAAAGAAAACCAGTCTACCCAAAAAGAAAAAAGAAAAAGTCAACTTGCTGACTGAAGGAGAGAGAAGTAAATACGGCACCCTGGAACTCTAAGAATGTGACTATGGGTCCTAACTTTCCAACGTCTGGTTGCGGTTCCTTTGGGGGCTTGGATGGACCCCCTTCCTAGATAGAGACCCATAAGATGCCTTGGTGTCCTCCCAGCCACCCCCTTTTCACTTAAGCTAGCTTGGGAACTATGGCAGAGTCATTTACTGCTCACACATCTCCCATATTTCTCTGGGCCCTTGCAGTTAGGTCAGGACGGTGAGACTGGTTCTGGCCACTGGGCTGTGAGCAGAAGTGATGTGTCAATAGTGGGCTAAAGCCTTTAAGAGCTAGTAGGCAACCCTCCAGCTCTCTTTCACAGAATCGGGGTGACGGAGAAAACTATGTGTTTTAGATGGTGTAGCTCTACCTAAGATAGCAAAGCTTCAATGAACCTGGGATCCTGGGTGTTATGGACTGAATATTTATGTTCCCCCAAAATTCCCGTGTTAAATCCTAAATGCTGCTGTGATGGTATCAGGAGGTGGGGACTTTGGTAGGTGATTAAATCATGAGGTGAAGGCCTCATTAATGGGATTGGTGCATTTAAAAGAAGAGACACAAGAGCTCTGTCCCACTCTCCACCATGTGAGGATATAATGGGAAGATTGCTGTCTGTAAAGCAGGAAGCCAGCTCCTACCAGACACTGGACCTGCTGGCACCTTGATCTTGGACTTCCCAGTCTCCAGAACTGTGAGAAATAAATGCTTGTGGTTTAATCCACCCAGTCACCCACAGTAATATGTTATAGCAGCCCAAGCTGACTAAGACACTGGGTGATGGTATGGATCAGAGACCCCCACCAATTTGCACAGCAGCCTAACAAATATAGGAGGTTAGTTAGGTTTGTTGTTTTTCTCATAACCTAATGCTCCCAGATTGAAATAAAGACCAAGAAATCCAGTAAAATTTGGATTGAAGGAAACAGTTCCTTGCTGCTGGACAGCTATTTCATTACTTGGGTCACCACCATGCAAGGCACTCAGAAAATGAGAGAAGACATTTAAGACCCTTCCCTCTAGGTGTTTTCAATCAACTGGGAAAACAGGATGCATCACCAAAAGAGTGTGGAGAAATAACTCAACAGCATTTGACACCAGCTTCTGTGGTCCTGAGGCAGTAAGAATGGCCCTAGGTGCTCACCACACTCTCTCATCATTCTTTCCATATCGGCCTTCCCTATTGTGGGAGGAACAAGAGCAGGGATCAAGTCTTGTTTATCTTTGGCCTGGCCCTGAAAAGTGGTTAATAAATTTTTGCTGAACAAATAGCTGTGGGATGGGGAGGCACCATGGGCCTGGGAGGCAGAACAAGTTCTGGCTCTGAAAAGCAGGCAAGACCCACATGAGCCAAGAAGAGTCAAGGAGCCCCAAAAGAAAGGGAGGGTAAGTGTAGTTCAAGCAAAAGCCTGGATTTGGAATGTCCCAGGGTAGCTGAGCTGGCAGGCCTCAGAGGACTCTTCTCCTCCTCCTCAGCTACCACCATCCAGCCAAGCAGCTCTAGGCAAGGCCAGACCCTGAAAAGCAGCCTTATCCTCACAGCCACTGTGGTGGCCTCTGGGCTGCCCAGCTGTTGACCCCAACCTTGACTGGCCAGGGATAAGGTGGGAGGTTGGCCGGGCAGCCCAGGCCTGCCTGGAGCCCAGGGTAATGATAGGTCAACAGAGCAGGCCTCATTATGTGGAGCAACTTCGTGATGTGGCTGTTTTGTTTTACTTACATTTTTTTTTTCTTCTTGAAAATGAGCTGAGAACCTTCTTTACCCAAGATTACAAGTTGGGTTGGTGATGAAAGGTCTGTCCTGTGCAGAAGGAGCCCTAAGGCAGGAATTTGCAAGTCCTTTTGTTGAAAATGGCTTGTTCTATGGCCTAAACAAAAACAAGAAAAAAGGGAAATCAACAGGGAGCATCAGAATCATCTCAGCCTTTGTGAGGCTGCCTGGGATTCTCCGGCAGATCATCATGGCTGCCAAACATTCCTACCTGCACACAACCCAATAAGACACCTAGATTAATAAATCCCTAGAAGACTTTAGAGAAAATCACTTGGCCCATGTTCCCCAACCCAGGCAAAACTGTGCTTCAGTCAGTCACTTTGCAAAGAGCCCTGAACAACATGGATTAGTCAAATGGAATGAATGCACAATGGACAGACAGAGGGACGGACGGATGGATGAATGCATGGTTGGATGGATGGATGGATGGATGGACAGATAAATGAGTGGGTGGGTGGTGGGTGTATGGATAGGTCAAAGATGAGAAAGTCTACCCTATTTAAAATATCTTAGGGAAAAGAAATTCCCAGGGCTCCTGTTAGTACCCATGATAATAGGGCAGCAGAGGAGGCATCTCAGCTTTAGCCCAAGCAGGAATTTTGCCATATCTGCTAGAGTGGTAGCTTGGCCACCCCTAATCCATCCACATGAGAGATGAGAAAACAACTGGAAACAATTCCAACTCAACGGAAGAGCAAATCAGACACACAAGCTTGACCCTGTAACAAAATCTTAGTAGTGGCAGGGACAAGGATGGCTGTGTGACATTGAACATGAATTTGTGTCTAGATCAGTCCCTGGTGACAAGCAGATACCCAGGAAGCTGTGCCCAGATAGTGGCACATAGTGACACCCAACAGAAACCATTTTTCTCTGGGTACCTGAGACAGTTCCAAGTGACCACATGCTGCCTAGCAAGCCCCAGAGGTATTGGCGCAGATGACCTTAAGTGCATGGACATTGGATTCAAATCATGACCCCATACTAACTAGTTTTCTGTCCTAAAAAATAAAACATTTTTTTATATTTTGTACTGAAAAATACACATAATAAAACTCACCCTTTTAAAGTGTACAATTCAGCGTTTTGGAGTAGATTCACGAAGTTGTGCAAACATCAGCAGTCCCTAATTCTACACCCCATACTTGCTAGTAGTTACTTTGCATCACTCCTCCTGTCTCCTGGCACCACTAGTTTACTTTCTGTCTCTATGCATTTGCCTGTTCTGAACATTTCACACAAATGGATTTATACATTGTGGGACTTTTTTTTGCTTCCTTCACTTACCATAATGTTTTCAAGGGTCATCCATGTTATATCATGAATCACTATTTCATTTTTTTTTACAACCAAATAATATTCAATTACATCAATATACTCTACGTTTTGTTTATCCATTCATCAGCCAATGGATCTTTTGGTGAATATGAATAATGCTGCTATGAACATTCGTGTTCAAGTTTTCGTGCAGACGTCTGTTTTCAGTTCTCTTGAGTATTTAACTAGGAGTGGAATTCCTGGGTTGTAAGATAACTCTACGTTTAATTTTTTGAGGAATTGCCTGATTGTTTTCCAAAGTAGCTATACCATTTTACATTCCCACCAGCAATAAAAGGGTTCCAATTTTTCCACATCCTTGCCAACACTTATTCTCTGTCTTTTTGACCATCGCTGTCCTAGTGGATGGGAAGTAGTAACTTGTGATTTGAATTTGCATTTTTCTAACGACTAATGATATTGAGCAACTTTTTTTTTTTTTAATGGAATCTTGCTCTGTCACCCAGGCTGGAGTGCAGTGGTATGATCTCGGCTCACTGCAACCTCCCCCTCCCAGGCTCAAGCAATTCTCCTGCCTTATCCTCCTGAGTAGCTGGGATTACAGGCGTGTGCCACCACACCCAGCTAATTTTTGTATTTTTTGTAGAGATGGGGTTTTGCCATGTTGCCCAGGCTGGTCTCAAACTCCTGGACTCAAGCAATCTGCCCACCTCAGCATCCCAAAGTGTAGGGATTACAGGGGTGAGCCACCATGCCCAGCCCAATATTGGGCACTTCTGTATGTGTTTATTGGTCATTTGTATATCTTCTTTGGAGAAATGTCTATTCAAATCCTTTGCCCATTTTTAATTGGTTATTGGTCTATTTATTGTTCAGTTGTAAGAATCCTTTATGTATTCCAAATACTAGACCATTATAAGATATATGATTTGCAAATACTTCCCCCATTTTGTGGGTTGTCTTTTCACTTTCTTGATAGTGTCCTTTGAAGCATAAAAGTTTTTAATTTTGATGAAGTTCAATTTATCTATTTGTTTTTGTTTGCTTGCATTTTTGGTGTCATAGCTAAGAAACCATGGCCTAATCCAAGGTCATGAAGGTTTACATGTATGTTTTTTCTTTTAATAATTTTACAGTTTAGCCATTTAGGTCTTTGATCCATTTTGAGTTAATTTTAGTTTATAGTGTGAAGTAGGGGTCCAACTTCATTCTTTTATATGTGAATATCCAATTTTCCCAGCACTACTTGTTGAAAAGACAATTATTTCCCAATTGAATTGTTTTAGTATCCTTGTCCAAACATAATTGACCCACAAATAAATGTATGGGCTTATTTCTGGACTCTCAATTCTATTCCAGTGATTTATGTGTCTATCCTTATGCCACTACTATACAGTCCTGGTTATTGTAGCTTTGTAGTAAGTTTTGAAATTGGAAAGTATAAGTCCTCAAACTTCGTTCTTCTTCTCCAAGGTTATTTTGGCTGTCATGGGTCCCTAGAACTTCCATATAAACTTTAGGATTTGTTTGTCATTTCTGCAAAAAAGCCAGCTGGGATTTTGGTAAAGATTCCGTTGATCTGTAGATCGATTTGGGGAGTCTTGCCATCTAACAATATTAAGTAACTCAATCCATGAACACAGGATGTCTTTCCATTTATTTAGCTCTTCTTTAATTTCTTTCACCAATGTTTTGGAGTTTTCAGTGTATAAGACTTACACTTCTTTTCAAAATTTATTCCTAAGTATTGTATTCTTTTTAATGCTATTGTATATGAAATTATTTTCTTAATTTCATTTTCAGGTTATTCCTTGCTCATGTAAAAAAATACAATTGACTTTTATGTATCGATCTTATGCCCGGAACTTGTTTATTATTTCTAATGGAGCAAGTTAGAACATCACAATGCTTACTGCTCTTACTAAGATTCAGCCATTTTTCTTAAGTAAATGCTACCCAGATTGCTGTAAGTGTTTACTAAATTTCCAGAGTTTCGGAAAAGTTGAATTCTGACCATTTTTGCCAGGATTCATATTGCCTTTATGGAGAAGAGTGTTTTTTGAGGTCCTTATTCCACCATTTTCACTGACATCACCCAGCTTAAGGAAGTTTTCTATGCCTCCATTTCCCCAACTGCACAATGAATTTCTTATCTTTCCATAATTTTTTGGAGATGATTAACCAGGTAATGTGGTAAAGTACCTGACATTACCTGGCACTAATAGGTACACAGGCAACTTGTTGTCACCAGACACAGGAAGGAGCTGGTGATGGATGTTCAGTAGCTGCCTGGCCGTGTTTGTGAGCACACAGCCGTGCAATCCTCGCAAGACTGAGTTTGTACCCAAACAGCCTCCTGGCTGGGCCCCAGCCTGGGTTATAGTCAGTTCCTCAGACTCAAAACCTACCTTTCCCTCCCTGTCTCCCACAGTGCACCACCTCAGTGTCCGCTCCCTACCCCGAACGTGTTACCACTCCTGGAGGGGCTGAATGCAATTATGCTCACAAGGCCAAGTGAGGTCCACAAAGCCCAAAGGCAACAAAAGCCATCTCAGGCCTCAGCCAGGTTGGGGGAGGCAGAAAAATCCATCCCTTTAAACCACACCAGCTCCACTCACCTCCAGAGGTCAGCCCTGGTTAGTAGGACCTTCATGAGTGGTTCTGAGAAACTAAACCTGGAGGCTATGTGGTCTGTGGTATCAAACTGAGAGAGCAATTGAGTCATGCAGTTAACCTGGACGCCCATGCAGTGCCTTCTCCTGGCTGCACAGGGCTCCCAAGCACATCAGCTCAGCCTCAGTAGCTCTGAGGGGGGTTCATGAGCTGGGCGCGCACAGCTCCATCCAGATGCTCCACTCACACCCACACTCCCACCGCTGGCCTGAGCTCCTGACCAACTTGACAGCTGTTTATCCCCTTTTCTGGAAAAGCCTCTCGCTCCACCCCTACATGCTCACCCTCAGTCTTTTAAGGTCTGGTTCACATGACCTCCCAAAAGACCCACCCTGGAATCTTCTTTGCAACTGCTTTTCCTCATACATGTACTCATGCATTCAGCAAATATTTGCTGAGCACTTGCTGTGTTTCAGACACTATCCTGGGTGCTGGAGGCACCACAGTGAACTTGCTCTTAGGGAACACACATTCTAGGGGAAAGAGCCTGCAAGTAAACAAGTAAATGTATAATATGTGGGTGGTGACAGATTCTGAGAATGAAAGGAAAAAGGTGGCTCATACCTGTAATCTCAGCACTTTGGGAGGCTGAGTTGAGAGGATCACTTGAGCCCAGGAGATTGAGACCAGCCCAGGTAAGACAGTGAGACCCCGACTCTACAAAAAAATACAAAAATTAGGCAAGTGTGGTGGTGCATGCCTGTAGTCCCAGCTACTTGGGAGGCTGAGGTGGAAGGATTGCTTGAGCCCAGGAGGTCAGGGCTGCAGTGAGCTGTGATCAGGCTACTGCACTCCAGCCTGGGCAACAGAGTGAGACCTTGCCTCCAAAAAAAATTAAAAAAAAAAAAAAAGCGTTAGAATTCGGTTAGGGGACACTATTTTAAGTAAGGTACACAGGGAGGCCTCTCTGATAAGATAATAACTGAAGACAAACCTGAAGGAAGGAAGGCAGTGAGCTGTGCAAATATCAAGAAGGGTGTTCTACTCAGAGGGAACAGCAAGTGCAAAGGCCTTGCAGTGGGACCGTGGGAATCTTAGAGAACAGCAAGGAGGCTGGGGTGGCCAGATTGGCATAAATGAGGAGGAGAGCAGCAGAAAATGAGCCCAGGAGACAGCAGGCACCAGACCTGGCCAGTCTTAGAGATTACAGTAAAAATTTGGGATGTCCCACGATGTAAGTTTAGAATCCAGTGAAGGTTCTGAACAGAAGGGTGACATACTCCGAATTGCATTTTGAAAGGACTGCTCTGGGTGCCACGATGAGAATAGACTGTGACGGGCCAGGGATGGACTCAGAGGGACCAGTTAGGAGGTGGTTGCGGTAATTCAGACCTGACAAGATGCTAGCAGAGGTGGTGAGCAGCCGTCAGAGTCCGGATATATTTGGAATGTGGAGCCAACAAGATTTGCTGATGGATTAGATGTGAAATGTGAGAGAAAGAGGAATCAAAGATGACCATAAGTCCACTGGCTTGCAATACTGAAAACATGAAGCTGCCATTTATGGAGATGGGGAAGCCAAGCACATGGAGTAGAATGGGTGAGCCTTGACCTTGACCTTCTGCCTCCAAGGTCATGCTCCTCCCTCACAGATGCAGTCCCAGTTATGGCATGACATGACTTTAGCGGTGTCTTCCCGAGCCATTGGCAGCCATCTGCAAGTTTTATCTTTTGATTTGAGGCACCTTGGACTCTCCAACTGAGATCCTCTTTCCTCCGGTCCCGTTGTCCGAATGTACTGGGAAGCAGCAGGGCTTGTCCAGGTCATGGTGGTGACAAGAGGCAGCTGGCTGGACACCCCTGTGAGCACACCCGAGCTGAGGCAAAGTCAGGCTCAATCCAGCAGGGCTGGTAGGAGCGGAGGAGCAGGCATCGGGGCAGGAGGCCTCACCTCGCCTGCACAGTAGAATCACAGGGGAGTTTCTGTCGGGTCCTACTCCAGGCCAATTGCCAGAATGTGGGGGTGGGAGCCAGGCATCCATGATTTTTAAAGTTTCCTAGTATTCGGCCAAGGTCGAGAGCAATTACCTTCGATCAGCAAGTGCATCTTCAGTGCTTCTTGATGTTTGCTGATTCCAACTGTGCTTAGCAAAGGTCTAGGCACTGTGGGGGGGAAGAAACACCCCTGTCCTTACAAATTAAGGTGAAACAGAGAGGGGCTGCAGGACATTCTCCTCCTACTCAGCACTGAAATCAAATCAGACTCTCCAAGAAAACATTGAATCCTCCTGGTCACGCTTTATGCCTCTCCATCTCTAGCCTGGCTTTGAAGGTGAAGCATATTTGAAAGATTATTTTTAAATGCAATCTGGTAAAGCCTTGCCCAGAAAGTCTCCCAAAAGGGCCCACGGTGTGTAGAATGTGGCAGAGAGGTGACAGAGTGTGGGCTGAGCCAGCGATGTCCTGGGTGTTCCTTTCCCAGCCATGGGCACTGGGACAGGCTGGAGTGGTAGCCAGGACCCAGAGGAGAGTGAGAGAATGGCAGTTCCCCCAGGGCACACTGACCTGCAAACAGGTCCAATTTCAATTCCAGATGCAGGAAGCTGAGAGGCAGGCTCCCGCTCCCCACATTCATGCCCATCAGCAAGCCACGCCACATCCAGCAGCCAGCCAGCCATTCACTGCACAGAGGCCCCCACCAGGCCAGCAGCAGCTGTCACCCTTCTTCAGTCATCTGTTCCTCAGACACTTTTGTGGATAGGGCCCAAGTAACTTGATTAAGGTAAGATGAAATGAGAAATGTTTGCTCCTTGAAAATTGCTAACATCTGTCCTGGCTAGCAGAGCCAGCACTCTTTGTAACTGAGGAAAGAGAATCCCTGAGGAGTCTGGGTGTGGGGACGATGGCACTCCCTGTGCACCCATCTCCCACCTGCCTGCCCCTGGGAGCCTGCAGGGAAGACAAGGCATTGCTGTATGAGGACCTGGACTCGAGTCTTGACTCCACCAGGACTCTGTGTGCCCTTGAGGCAGGTTTGCTGGGAGGAGGAGCTAGAGGATGTGAGCAGGTGCAGCAGACATGAGGTGGTGCTCCATTTGCCCCTGCAAAGACCTCCTTCCTTCCTGTGAGCCCAGAAGGGAGTGAAATGACCCAGCACATGGCCACAACCTGACCTTACGGAGGTGGCCTCAGTGGGTGGGGACGGGTCTGGCTTCAGCGTCTGGTCAGGTGAATGAATGACTTCCAAGAACTGTGCACAGGGAGGTGGTTGGCAGGTGGACCCAGGGCTGGCCCCAGAGAGATATCACTGTGATGCCACTTTATAGCTGATGACATGAAGCCAAGAGGCATCTGAAGATGTTACAATGACCCATTGCTTGTTCAAGTCAGCGAGGACACAGAGAAGGAGCCAGGGATAGCGGTTCTGGCATCTCCCGCGTCTACAAGACGGCATCACCTAACACGGCCGCAGCTTCCCCACTTCTGTGCAGGCTCCAGACTGGGTCCCTATGGTGGATTAATGATGGCCACAATTCCTTGTCATTCTCCCATCAAGAATTTACTTCCCTACCCTGGACCTGAGCTGGCCACAACAGCTCAACCAAAGGAAGGAGGAAGAAGTGACACTGGGCCAGCTTCTGGCTAAGTGTTAAGAAGGCTTCTGGTTCTGCACTTTGAGGAGCCCCGAGCCTCCATGTGAGAAGCCCCCAGCTCCCTTCACCAGAAAGTCTGCATGGAGACACTGCATAGAAAGGCCATATAGGGAGCGAAGGCCTTGAGACCACGTAGACAGGCAGCTGTTCTGGGACCCTGGGAGAGCGACCAGAGGACTCCAGCCCAGGCGCATTCTGCCTGCAACCTCCCAAGAGACCCCAAGTGAGACCAGCCAAGAACTGCCCAGCTGAGCCTAGTCAACCTGCGGAAACATGGCAGGGAATATATGCTTGCTGTTACAAGCCATTAAGTTCGGGGTGGTTTATTACACAGCAGTGGATCACTAAAGACCTCTCCATTGCTGTCTTTAGGTAACTTTCTGCTGCCTTCATCTAAAAGCCAGGCCCCAGAAATCGGAAATGCCCCCCACATCAGAGTCCCTGTAGGGCGTCTCCACAGCATCCCTTGTGGTGCACGTGTCTTCAGGTCACTTCCGACTTTCATATGTCACACAATGTGCAAGTGCAGAGGATGCAGGAGGCACCAGACGGACCTCGAATTGTGAAATCCCAGGAGCCCATCTCCTGGTTCTTGTGGACAGGCTTAAAGCACAAACAAGCCCTCCTGATTCCTTTCATCCTCTTCCCTCTCCTGGGACTGACTCTGATTCAGCCCCTCAGAAGTGCCGTCAGCTCTGGCCGCTCAGTGCCCTTCAGGCCTGGCTTGTGCTCAGGCTTTCAGCCTGGGGCCCATCCCCGGCATCAGGGCAGCTTGGTTCTTGCAACCTCTTGAGTGCAGACTCGGCCTCCTCAAACCCCTGCAAGGCCTCCTGCTTCAGGGCAGCTCTGAGGGGATGGCCCGAGCCGCGTCCTCACCAGCACATCCTGATGGACCCAGCCAGCCTCCAGCCTCCCCTAACCACTGGCACTGGGTCCCCTACCCACCCGTGACAGGAGCCCCACTCTTCCAGATCAACAGGGAGATATTAAAAACTCTCATTCCAAACCAAGTAATTCTCTCCAAAAGAGAACCGGGGCCTCTTCACTCACCTTGGCCCCTATACCATGCCTTGGCCTTGGAGGGACAAGTATGGTTTAACAGATATTTTTATGAACAATTTCAAATGCATGCGAAAGCAGAGACAGATGTAGATCAGACCCCCATGGGCCATCCCCAAGGCTCATGGCCATTCTCGTTTCCCATCGCCTAGCCTCTGTCTCTGCACTCCAGGTTACTCTGAAGTAAATCCCGGCTATCACATCATTTCATTGTAAATATTCAGGCGTGGAGCTCTAGAAGCGAGGACTCCCCTCTTCAACTACAGTGCCATCGTCCACACATTCTGAGAATCTCGTCTGTGCTGGGCCCTGCCCCGAATGCCTCCCAAGTAAGGCCCACTGTGGTATACGCCAGAAATGAGAGTGCAGGGCTGGCCCTGAGGTGTCAGCTCCCCAGTTTTGGATGCTCCATAGAACATGGTAGGTCCAGAAGCCAGAGGAGAGTGAGAGAATCACAAACAGACACGCAGGACAAGATTCCAAAACCCGACTGGACTTGGACGCAGCCACGGTGCCGCTCTGTGCACCGACGCCCCCCCTCTCATCACCTTCCCCACTAGAGCTTCCTGGCCTGGTTTTGGTGTCCTTGGGTGGCCTCAGAGCTGCAGACCCCCTGAAGGTAAAATGGCTTAGTCATTCACTGTCACCCCAAGAATAGTGCACATTCCAGTGAACAGCTGAGCCCAGCAAGGGCCATCTGCCCGTGGCCCATGCACCAATGTCCCTGTACTGCCCTTCTTGGCGCTACCCAGAATGCCTCACTCAGAAGCATCGCGGGACTCCTGGCTTTCCCATACATCTCAAACAGGGACCAGAGCAAGGGAAATAAATACGAGAAATTAAAGTCTGTTTTCATTATGTAGCATTTTGAAAACAAGTTAGCTTGCAAATTCCTAAAACGCAGTAATTATGCCTTTATGCCGTTTTGTGTCTCTCATAGTTTCTATACCAGCATTTCTAACCTTGACACTATGGAATTTCAAGCCAGACAATTCTTTGTTGTGGGAGGCCATTCTGAGCATTGTAGACTTCCTAGTCTGTACCGCCGAATGCTAGCGGCAGCCTTTCTTCTCCAAGCTGCGACAATCAAAAATGTCTGCAGACATTGCCAAATGGCCCCTGGGAGGCAAAGCTACCCTTTGGTTGACAGCTGCTGATCTATACAACAGTAAGTATTGAATTCATTTGTATCTTGATTTATTTCTAATTGTCTTCAGTTCCCTCTGAAAGACATGTTTACTGACTGTGCTAGATAAATTAGAAATGAGGGGGCGACTGAGGATTTTCTCTTTAAGAGCCTCACGTTTGCCTGTCTTAAGGGTTTTGATAAAACTTGCCAGCAGTTTTGTGATCACAATGGCTATTAAGACTTCAAATATATATATTATATTTAAACCAGAAGCAGCTCAACAAAATGAAAACTAAGCAAGTAATTGTGGTATACTGAATAATAAGACTAACTCTTCTTGTTTTACAAAATTTTTTTTTTTTACACGAGATGGTCTCTAGGGTTGGAGACAGAAATAAGTCGACCCACTGTGATGTGTTTCCCATAGACTCTGAGAACTAAGATCATAGTTTTACAGGACTTGACCAAAGATTTTTATCCATTTTTTGGATTTTTTTCTCATTCCATTATTTTTCCTTTTTTATTGCACCCCTAAAAGAGGCAAAACACCCTTCACAATGTCCACATTGCAGCAAAAGCTGTGCGATGATTTACATCTAGCTAAAAAGTTAGAAGTTTCTGGAGCGACCAGTCCTGCATTCCCCTCACTTTTGCTGATGATTTCAGTAGATGGTTTGGCCCTGCCCTGCTATCAAGAAGTTCAGATGTCTTCCTTGAGCTCACAGATGCTGGTGCTGGGGGAAAGGTCCCAGGTTATTGATCACCAGGCCAAGGCAGGCTGGCTGAGTAGCTACAGAGATACTCACCATGGGCCTCAGGGCCGAGGCTCCAGGAACTCAGATCTCAGGCCAGTGCTGTGTGGCCACAGTGCCTGCTGAGGGTGCAGCCTCGCGAATCCTCAGCTACAGTGCAAGGGCTTCCTTATAGACGAATTGTCACTTTAGTAAGCAGAGAGCAGGGCCATGAGGTAATGGACTGAGAACAGGTAGGGCTGGTGAAGAAATAGAGCAAGGAACGGGTATCTGCGGCCCCTTGGAAGAGGCAGCAGAGAGCTCCATGGGAGTGGGAGGCCGGAACAGGGAGGCTGATCTGCCTCCCAAAACTGTGCCTGAGACTGAACCTCTCTCCAGCCCGAAAATAGGCCAGGAGGGCTGGGCTGCCTGTCCCCGCAGCCTCTTTAGGGTGGGGGTGGCAAGAATGTTTCTCTCCAGCGACACATCCAAGCCTCTCCCACGCCACGTTGTCAGCTACTCTGCTTTGAGGCTTAGTTCCAACCCCTCCCAGGAAGGAGGAAGAAAAGACTCATGCCTGAGACCAAGTCCCAGCAGGCATCTCCTTAGGACGGAAGATGGAAATGTTAACCTTTTCTGCTTGCTGAGCAGGCAGTGAAAGGAAGGCTGTTGTGAAGAATAGGACCCTGAGCACACTCTGTGCTTGGGGACATGATGTGCCCTTGACCACAGTGCACAGGGCAGAGGGTTGGAAAGCACTGACCCTTCTGCACAGGGGAGGCATTCAGGGCCCTGGGTTCCCACAGGGCTGGCTGGTCAGTGCCTCACGGGTGCCTAGCTGGGCTGGGAGCGGCCCCCTCTCCCACGGTCGTAAACAAGGCTGGCCTCGGGAGGGGCTGCCCAGGCAGCCGGTACACCCAGCAGGCCGGGCCCAGCTCATTCCACTGCAGCCGTGGGGGCCCTGGGGACTTAAACAGAAGCCCGTGTCTGCTAACAGAGGGAACATTGTTTTCTGGAGTGGGCTGCACTTTTTTCTCCTCTCCCTTCAGAGAGGACAGGGCCATGGAGGCGTGTTTATGTTACTGTTATTTTCAGCTTGGCAAAAATGTAAATGTGAGAGTTCACACTGACAGAAAATCGACAACATTTTCCCTGTGGACAGGTGCGGCTGTCACCCACTGCTCAGGTCCAGGAGGGCAGCTCTCCCAGGGAGGCCAAGGGTCTGGGAAGGTGAGTACACACAGAAGTCGGAAGTAAAGAGCCACCAGCAAAGGTGACCCACCTGGACACCTTCACCACAGCAGCACTGGGCTCTCCCGCGCTGTGCTGTGATGCTGCAACCCAGGCCTCATGTGTCTCCCTGGGCCTGCCTCAATGCGGGCTGCCTGTGGCCTGTCCCCTTGCCTTCTCCAGATAAAAAGTCATTCTGTTCCTGGAGCTTTTGTGGCGTCTCATTTAATCTCCATAACAATAAATTCATTCATTCATTCATTCATTTATTCAACCATCTATCCAGCCATATGTATTGACACTGGGTTCTGGGGTCAGAGAAGCGGACGGCACAGATATGGAGAGAGGAGCTTCTGGGGAAGACAGAAAGTAAACTAACAATTGCAAGAGGGATGGATGAATGGCAGCAACAACAGTACTAACCACTAATTCCCAAGACCTTGTGATGCGCTGGGCATATAGAAGCTCACTGGATCTTCCCCATGCTGATTCAAAGGACTCATTCCATCCCTGCTTTACAGAGAGAGCTGAGTCACTCAACCACAGCCACACGGTTGTTAAGTGGCAGAGCGGAGGGACAGCCCCAGGAATGCCCAAAGCCTGCTCCCCCAGAGGCAGCCCTCGGTTTTCTGAGGCCTGTGGGAGTTTGGGGGCAGATACACACTGAACATCCATCTTGGGGTCGGGGCTGTTTGCAGAACCCCAGCCTGCTGTGCAGGGTCAAAGGCTGGTCCTCTCCAAGTGTAAGCCAGGCCTTAGGGAGAGGCAAACACCACTAACTTGTTCCTGCCCTCCCAATGCTTCGGTCACGCTGGGCCCTCTAACCCCATCCTGCTGGGGAAGAGTCCTAAGGTCCAGGTAGACAGGAAGGACCAGTCTAACCCAGTGCTTCAAGAAGTGACTTAGGCAGCATCACCCATGTGTGGCCAGCTAGTGCCCCAGATCTTTGCCTAAGAGGAGAGGAGGAAAGAGCTTGGCCTGGGAGTTAAACAGCCTTCCCCTGGATCCTCCACCAATAAAGCTGATGAAGCTACTTGCTGCCACTGGCTCAATGGTGCAGGGAGCCGAGGGGGAAGCCAAGGCCTCCAGCCTGGAGTGTGGAGCCTGGCGAACAGAGGCAGGGAACACTGGCAGTCAGGGAGCGTGTGGTCAGAGGAAGTGGGGTCAGTGATTCGGGCTGGAGCTCCCCACGTGGGAGGGAAACTGCATGTCAGAGGGGCAGAGTGTGCATTGAATAGACGTCCCATTTGAACCCAGAAGGAGAAGGTCTTTGTTTGGATCTTCTTGTTAGACAAGTGAGATTAAGAGACTGACCCCACATCTCAAAAAACCAACCATCCAGGGGCACAACCAAAAAAACATAGTCCAACACATCAATCATGGTCAACAGCTGAAAAAAGATGGACGTGTGAAGGGACCAGAAAGGGAGCATGGGGGTTGCTGCTGCGGCCACTGATCCCCAGCCCTCCTGACACTCACCTGGGAAGAGCACGAGGCACTGCTTGGTCCCCATGGCTTGCAGGGCCACCCCCTCCTCCATGTGAAGATGAGATGCAGAGAGGGGCCTTGGCCCAGTGTCCTTTGGAGACTTTGGTGAGAACTTTTTCCTGTGTGTCACTATCTCCACCTTTACCTGACAGACAAAACTAAACCATAAACCACGGCTTTCTCCATTATTAGGCGCCACATGAATCATTCCCACAAACCACATTGGAATCCAAGTGCTGGGAGGATGGGCCCCTGGGCAGGAAAGTACTCAATAATGAGAGAGTCTAGTGGGAAAATATCCTCAGAATCAGGGCTCCTGTTGAACAACTGCTCTAAGAAAGTCATGTGGCGAGGCAGGCAGGGGCACACTGCCCTGTATCCCTGGCATACCAGTACATGTGGCCCAGGGGAGGTTGCAGATGTAGGTATGAGCCTTCAGCCCTCCTCACCTTGCCAGCCTGCTGCTTCTCTCGCATGTTCCTCTCCCATCCCCTTCTGCCGCAGCAGCTGCCCTTGGCCCCACTGGATCTAGGGTGCACACACCAACAATGAGGAGTTCCCTTCAGGACAAGCCCAGGAGAGAAGCCCATGCAAGCTCTGGAAGCAGGCTCAGGGCCCCCCCGAGCACAGTGTTTCAGGACCCCAATGCCCAGAATGTGGCCTAGCAGGGCAAGCATGGTTTCCTATGAGTGCATCTCCTTGGCCCTTCAGCTTCCTCATAATGTGGTTTAGGGCACAGTCAAAGGAGAGACGGAGCACCTTTCTCAAAAAGGGAACCCAGGCAAGGGTCCTATTGCCTGACTTTAATGGTGATGCCATCTGTGTGGACAGGTGTGTGTGTGTGTGTGTGTGTGTGTGTGTGTGTGTGTGTGTGTCTAGTTCTCTCCGTCTCTCATGCATACATGCATAGTCTGAGACCCAGTTAAGAACCAAGAAGCAAACAAGTCTTCATTCAACAGAACTTTGCTTAAGCAAAAACTATACCATGGCAGGATAGGTTATTCCATCCTCACTCAAGTTTTGCTTTTTATATCTCACCTCTGGTGGGAAAGGGGACTTTTTATCATTATTATTATTATGTGACATCAAAGTTATGCCAAGAATGATTCACATTTGTGAGAATCTGTTTGCTGCCACATCTCCACTATGGTGACATAACCACCATCACCTTCCCAGGAAGCGGGAGGATCAAGTTGCCCAGCACAGGACACAAATCATGAATGGGTCACTCATCAACCTGGGGCTGGAGAAAGAGAAAAGGACACCCAAGGGGAACAGGTATGAGCCCGAGGCAAACAGCGAAGATGTTTTCAGCCTCCCTGCTCTGTCCTTTCAAGCAATGGTCAGGTCAGGTACAGCCACAAGAGGAGATGCAAGAGAGGCGCAGGACAATGAAGTCCATTACACTCACAGGCTCCAGAAAGGGGGTCACCACATACCAAGCAGGACCACAGGGGAAGCACCAGTGTTGGTCAGGAGGCAGAACGCAGGGGTGCAGGATGAGCTTGGACCACGGCCTTTGTTGGAGTCTCCTTGGGATAGCCAGGGTGGGGTGAGCAGCTTAAGATGGGCTAGAGTAGATAATTTTGAAGGGTTTTGGGCTGTCAGGGCGGTCTCCAGCTGCCTGGCACCTGGCCCTGGGGTGATTAGGCAGAGGAACATAGCCTCCTGGGGTATGCGGGCCAGATGGATGAGGTATGCCCTGGGTTGGGTAGTTTGCATATCAAAGGCATGCCCTCTTGCTGTCTCTAAGGATTGACTAGCTCCAAAGAGCCAGTGTCTCCCCAGCCAGAAAGGGTTTTTTAAGATGTCAAAATATAATAAACTGTGTGCGATGGTGCGTGCCTGGAATCCCAGGTATTCAGAAGGATAAGGCAAGAGGATTGTTTGAGCCTAGGAGTTCCAGGTTGTAGTGCACTATGTTTGTGCCTGCAAATAACCACTGCACTCCAGTCTGACCAATAAAGCAAGATCCCATCTCTAAATAACAAAATCAGTTCCCTTGACTCCAAGCATCTTTGCGATCAGCTCCAAAAAAGCAGTCTCTTTCTGGAACTGGACAGCTCCTGAGGCTCCTCCCGGTGGCATGGAACTGTGGCAGGGTTAACAACCTCAGGCCGACCCTCCTGAAATTGTGTCCAGAGTTGGTTCCTTCTGGTGGGTTCGTGGTCTCGCTGACTTCAGGAATGAAGCCGCGGACCCTTGCAGTGAGTGTTACAGCTCTTAAAGGTGGCTTGTCCAGAGTTTGTACTTTCTGGTGGGTTCATGATTCTTGCTGACTTCAGGAATGAAGCTGCAGACCCTCATGATGAGTGTTACAGCTCATAAAGGTAGTGCAGACCCAAAGAGTGAGCAGCTGCAAGATTTATTATGACGTGTGAAAGAACAAAGCTTCCACACCATGAAAGAGGACCCCAGTGGGTTGCTGCTGCTGGCTCAGGTGGCCAGCTTTTATTCCCTTATTTGGCCCCTCCCATGTCCTGCTGATTGGTCCATTTTACAGAGTGCTGATTGGTCCATTCTACAGAGTGCTGATTGGTCCATTTTTACAGAATGCTGATTGGTGCATTTACAATCCTCTAGCTAGACACAGAGCACTGATTGGTGCGTTTTTACAGAGTGCTGATTGGTGCATTTACAATCCTTTAGCTAGACACAGAGCGCTGATTGGTGTGTTTTTACAGAGTGCTGATTGGTGCATTTACAATCCTCTAACTAGACGGAAAAGTTCTCCAAGTCCCCACTGGACCCAAGAAGTCCAGCTGGCTTCACCTCTCAAAATCACTGGCAGAACTCAGAACTGAACCAACACTAAACACAGGCACCTGATGCCCTCCTTCCCACTTGCTCTTCAAGTTGAGGTGCTTACGCCAAGTGAGCCTGACGTTATGACTCCAGACAGTGTCAAAACCATGTCAGCAGTTTTGTGGGACAGAAAAAGATGGTTGCTCTCTCTTTGCCTGTGGCCCAGCGAGTCCTCAGAGACTGTAACAAAGACAACAACACCACGAGGCTCAAGGGGCACCGCATCTCCTGCATCTGCCAGGCCGAGAGCAGCTGGAGGAAGCCTTTTCCCAGCCTGTCACCGGCCACCATGGAGAGAGACCACAGTGACGCATCTCGCTGGTGGACCAGGGGAGGGGAGCCAGCCCCACCTGCCTACCAGCAGCAGGAAAGAACACATCCGACAAGGAGGGGCAGCAGGGCTGCTTGCAGAAGACACTCTTGTGTATTCAGTGGGTTGTCCCCCAAGGCCAAGTAGGCACCGTCAACACGGATCTGGAGGCATTGCTCAGGACAACCCCAGGAGAGTTGACCTGCATTGAATGGAAGTCGAATGATGAGAAACCAGCCAGTCCTGCTGGCCATCCCTTCTTCACAACCATACCTGCCACCTGCTCTTCCAGCTTGCATGTGACAAGGCCCTGTGGTGAAGACTGGGAAACACACCTGCTGTGGCACAACTGTTGTATTAGTTTCAAGCAGATTACCTTCAACATCCCCACATACAATGAAATCATCTTCGGTCATAATGAAATGAAATGAATACTAATGGCCAGAGAAATTAGTAGCAGGATTGAACTTTGTATATATAATTTTGCCTGTAAAAACTTTTTAATAAAAGCAAAATAAATATTACAATACAAAAATTAAAAAGTCATGGATTAATCATTACCCTAATGTGTTTTTTTTTAAGTGGGGGCATGCACGAAGAAACACTTCCAAAAGAGTGAACTCCAAAGCTTTAGAGACTGGCTCGCACCCAGACAGACAGAACTGAAGTGAATCCAGTTCACCGAGCTAGCCTCATTCATTTCCACCCTACTCATTCAACACAGGAATACGGCGTAGATCCGGAGTACAAGGAACCAACTGCCCCAGAAGTGAGCGCCAACAATTCTGAATTGTCACCCTTGCAAACTGACTCTTGGAACCAGCCTGCAACTGACTCTGCTTATATCCTGTGTAATTGGAGGTGTTCCAAATTAACTTCCATGTAGAAGGCAATTAAACATACTTATTAAAACATAAGTAATAAAATGTGCACTCTTTAAGCCTGGACATATATCACTAAAAGACAACACTAATAGCAGCAACTGTTTAGGACTTAGACTAATAAATGGTTTGGGGGGAAGGAGTAAGTACTTCATCACGGACATTGCTTAGAATAACCAGCATATAGTGATAATAAAAAGCTGACCAACGTGTAGTCAGTTTTATTACTGTTTTTAATGATGCTACACACAAGGCACTCCTTTATTGCCTGCATGCAGGGTAGGCTGTTCCCACCACCTACCCTTGGTATGCCACTGTGTCCTTGCCCCCAAATTTCATCAAATCAGATGAAGTGCATTGACACTTACTGTTAGGAACTATATCATTATTGTTGCCTGACTTGCAGAGAAGTCAGTCATTTTCAGAAAGAGTCTACTGCAAGAAGCTCTTTCCTCTGGAATGGCCCTACAAAAGGAATAGGGGAAATATGTTTAAAAGGAAATAGCAACAGGTTTCATGATCACTTAAGAACTGGAGGTTTCTGCAAGACAAAATACAGCAACAACCAAATTTTAACTCAGGCAAGTTAGGAAAATTATTTTCCATATATATGACAGGCCAAGTGTACTTGTATTGAATGCACTCATGCCAAGTGACCAACAACAGCAAAATCCATTGATGTCCCAATAGGTGTATGACAAAGGACATGGACAGAAAATTCACAGATGAGAACATGTGTGCAAGATGGCCGAATAGGAACAGCTCGAGTCTACGGCTCCCAGCGTGAGCGATGCAGAAGACGGGTGATTTCTGCATTTCCAACTGAGGTACCAGGCCATCTTACTGGGGTGTGCCAGACAGTGGGTGCAGCGCACCGTGCGTGAGCCAAAGCAGGGTGAGGCATCGCCTCACCCTGGAAGTGAAAGGGGTCAGGGAATTCCCTCTCCTAGTCAAAGAAAGGGGTGACAGATGGCACCTAGAAAATCGGGTCACTCCCACCCTAATACTGCGCTTTCCCAATGGGCTTAAAAAACGGCACACGAGGAGATTATATCCCGCACATGGCTCAGAGGGTCCTACGCCCACGGAGCCTCGCTCATTGCTAGCACGGCAGTCTGAGATCAAACTGCAAGGTGGCAGCAAGGCTGGGGGAGGGGCGCCCGCCGTTGCCCAGACTTGATTAGGTAAACAAAGCAGCTGGGAAGCTCGAACAGGGTGGAGTGCACCACAGCTCAAGGAGGCCTGCCTGCCTCTGTAGGCTCCACCTCTGGGGGCAGGGCACAGACAAACAAAAAGACAGCAGTAACCTCTGCAGACTTAAATGTCCCTGTCTGACAGCTTTGAAGAGAGCAGTGGTTCTCCCAGCATGCAGCTTCAGATCTGAGAACGGGCAGACTGCCTCCTCAAGTGGGTCCCTGACCCCCGAGTAGCCTAACTGGGAGGCACCCCCTAGTAGGAGCAGACTGACACCTCACATGGCCGGGTACTCCTCTGAGACAAAACTTCCAGAGGAACAATCAGGCAGCAGCATTTGCAGTTCACCAATATCCGTTGTTCTGCAGCCACTGCTCCGGATACCCAGGCAAACAGGGTCTGGAGTGGACCTCTAGCAAACTCCAACAGACCTGCAGCTGAGGGTCCTGTCTGTTAGAAGGAAAACTAACAAACAGGAAGGACATCCACGCCAAAAACCCATCTGTACGTCACCATCATCAAAGACCAAAGGTAGATAAAACCACAAAGATGGGGAAAAAACAGAGCAGAAAAACTGGAAACTCTAAAAATCAGAGCACCTCTCCTCCTCCAAAGGAATGCAGCTCCTCACCAGCAACGGATCAGAGCTGGACAGAGAATAGCTTTGACGAGTTGAGAGAAGAAGGCTTCAGATGATCAAACTACTCCGAGCTACAGGAGGAGATTCGAACCAATGGCAAAGAAGTTAAAAACTTTGAAAAAAAATTAGACAAATGGATAACTAGAATAACCAATGCAGAGAAGTCCTTAAAGGACCTGATGGAACTGAAAACCAAGGCACGAGAACTATGTGATGAATGCAGAAGCCTCAGTAGCCGATGCGATCAACTGGAAGAAAGGGTATCAGTGATGGAAGATGAAATGCATGAAATGAAGCAAGAAGAGAAGTTTAGAGAAAAAAGAATAAAAAGAAACGAACAAAGCCTCCAAGAAATATGGGACTATGTGAAAAGACCAAATCTACGTCTGATTGGTGTACCTGAAAGTGACGGGGAGAATGGAACCAAATTAGAAAATACTCTGCAGGATATCATCCAGGAGAACTTCCCCAATCTAGCAAGGCAGGCCAACATTCAAATTCAGGAAATACAGAGAATGCCACAAAGGTACTCCTCGAGAAGAGCAACTCCAAGACACATAATTGTCAGATTCACCAAAGTTGAAATGAAGGAAAAAATGTTAAGGGCAGCCAGAGAGAAAGGTCGGGTTACCCACAAAGGGAAGCCCATCAGACTAACAGTGGATCTTTCAGCAGAAACTCTACAAGCCAGAGGAGAGTGGGGGCCAATATTCAACATTCTTAAAGAAAAGAATTTTCAACCCAGAATTTCATATCCAGCCAGGCTAAGCTTAGTAAGTGAAGGAGAAATAAAATACTTTACAGACAAGCAAATGCTGAGAGATTTTGTCGCCACCAGGCCTGCCCTAAAAGAGCTCCTGAAGGAAGCACTAAACATGGAAAGGAACAATGGGTACCAGCCACTGCAAAAACATGCCAAATTGTAAAGACCTTTAAGGCTAGGAAGAAACTGCATCAACTAACGAGCAAAATAGCCAGCTGACATCATAATGACAGGATCAAATTCACACATAACGATATTAACTTTGAATGTAAATGGGCTAAATGCTCCAATTAAAAGACACAGACTGGCAAATTGGATAAAGAGTCAAGACCTATCAGTGTGCTGTATTCAGGAAACCCATCTCATGTGCAGAGACACACATAGGCTCAAAATAAAGGGATGGAGGAAGATCTACCAAGCAAATGGAAAACAGAAAAAGGCAGGGGTTGCAATCCTAGTCTCTGATAAAACAGACTTTAAACCAACAATGATCAAAAGAGACAAAGAAGGCCATTACATAATGGTAAAGGGATCAATTCAACAAGAGCTAACTATCCTAAATATATATGCACCCAATACAGGAGCACCCAGATTCATAAAACAAGTCCTTAGAGACCTACAAAGAGACTTAGACTCCCACACAATAATAATGGGAGACTTTAACACCCCACTCTCAACATTAGACAGATCAACGAGACAGAAAGTTAACAAGGATACCCAGGAATTGAACTCAGCTCTGCACCAAGCAGACCTAATAGACATCTACAGAACTCTCCACCCCAAATCAACAGAATATACATTCTTTTCAGCACCACGCCTCACCTATTCCCAAATTGACCACATAGTTGGAAGTAAAGCACTCCTCAGCAAATGTAAAAGAACAGAAATTATAACAAACTGTCTCTCAGACCACAGTGCAATCAAACTAGAACTCAGGATTAACAAACTCACTCAAAACCACCCAACTACATGGAAACTGAACAACCTGCTTCTGAATGATTACTGGGTACATAAAGAAATGAAGGCAGAAATAAAGATGTTCTTTGAAACCAATGAGAACAAAGACACAACATACCAGAATCTCTGGGACACATTCAAAGCAGTGTGTAGAGGGAAATTTATAGCACTAAATGCTCACAAGAGAAAGCAGGAAAGATCTAAAATTGACACCCTAACATCACAATTAAAAGAACTAGAAAACCAAGAGCAAACACATTCAAAAGCTAGCAGAAGGTAAGAAATAACTAAGATCAGAGCAGAACTGAAGGAAATAGAGACACAAAAAACCTTTCAAAAAATTAATGAATCCAGGAGCTGGTTTTTTGAAAAGATCAACAAAATTGATAGACCTCTAGCAAGACTAATGAAGAAAAGAGAGAAGAATCAAATAAATGCAATAAAAAAATGATAAAGGGGATACACCACCGATCCCACAGAAATACAAACTACCATCAGAGAATACTATAAACACCTCTACGCAAATAAACTAGAAAATCTAGAAGAAATGGATAAATTCCTTGACACATACATCCTCCCAAGACTAAACCAGGAAGAAGTTGAATCTCTGAATAGACCAATAACAGGCTCTGAAATTGAGGCAATAATCAATAGCTTACCCACCAAAAAAAGTCCAGGACCAGATGGATTCACAGCCGAATTCTACCAGAGGTACAAGGAGGAGCTGGTACCATTCCTTCTGAAACTATTCCAATCAATAGAAAAAGAGGGAATCCTCCCTAACTCATTTTATGAGGCCAGCATCATCCTGATACCAAAGCCTGGCAGAGACACAACAAAAACAGAGAATTTTAGACCAATATCCTTGAGGAACATCAATGCAAAAATCCTCAATAAAATACTGGCAAACTGAATCCAGCAGCACATCAAAAAGCTTATCCACCATGATCAAGTGAGCTTCATCCCTGGGATGCAAGGCTGGTTCAACATACGCAAATCAATAAATGTAATCCAGCATATAAACAGAACCAAAGACAAAAGCCACATGATTATCTCAATAGATGCAGAAAAGGCCTTTGACAAAATTCAACAACCCTTCATGCTAAAAACTCTCAATAAATTAGGTATTGATGGGACGTATCTCAAAATAATAAGAGCTATCTATGACAAACCTACAGCCAATATCATACTGAATGGGCAAAAACTGGAAGCATTCCCTTTGAAAACTGGCACAAAACAGGGATGCCCTCTCTCACCACTCCTATTCAACATAGTGTTGGAAGTTCCGGCCAGAGCAATTAGGCAGGAGAAGGAAATAAAGGGTATTCAATTAGGAAAAGAGGAAGTCAAATTGTCCCTGTTTGCAGACGACATGATTGTATATCTAGAAAACCCCATTGTCTCAGCCCAAAATCTCCTTAAGCTGATAAGCAACTTCAGCAAAGTCTCAGGATACAAAATCAATGTACAAAAATCACAAGCATTCTTATACACCAACAACAGACAGAGAGCCAAATCATGAGTGAACTCCCATTCACAATTGCTTCAAAGAGAATAAAATACCTAGGAATCCACCTTACAAGGGATGTGAAGGACCTCTTCAAGGAGAACTACAAACCACTGCTCAATGAAATAAAAAAGGATACAAACAAATGGAAGAACATTCCATGCTCATGGGTAGGAAGAATCAATATCGTGAAAATGGCCATACTACCCAAGGTAATTTATAGATTCAATGCCATCCCCATCAAGCTACCAATGACTTTCTTCACGGAATTGGAAAAAACTACTTCAAAGTCCCTATGGAACCAAAAAAGAGCCTGCATCGCCAAGTCAATCCTAAGCCGAAAGAACAAAGCTGGAGGCATCACGCTACCTGACTTCAAACTATACTACAAGGCTACAGTAACCAAAACAGCATAGTACTGGTACCAAAACAGAGATATAGACCAATGGAACAGAACAGAGCCCTCAGAAATAATGCCGCATATCTACAACTATCTGATCTTTGACAAACCTGACAAAAACAAGAAATGGGGAAAGGATTCCCTATTTAATAAATGGTGGTGGGAAAACTGGCTAGCCATAGATGTAGAAAGCTGAAACTGGATCCCTTCCTTACACCTTATACAAAAATTAATTCAAGATGGATTAAAGACTTAAATGTTAGACCTAAAACCATAAAAACCTTAGAATAAAACCTAGGCAATACCATTCAGGACATAGGCATGGGCAAGGACTTCATGTCTAAAACACCAAAAGCAATGGCAACAAAAGCCAAAATTGACAAATGGGATCTAACTAAACTAAAGAGCTTCTGCACAGCAAAAGAAACTACCATCAGAGTGAACAGGCAACCTACAGAATGGGAGAAAATTTTTGCAGTCTACTCATCTGACAAAGGGCTAATATCCAGAATCTACGATGAACTCAAACAAATTTACAAGAAAAAAACAAACAACCCCATCAAAAAGTGGGCAAAGGATATGAACAGACACTTCTCAGAAGAAGACATTTATGCAGCCAAAAAACACATGAAAAAATGCTCATCATCACTGATCATCAGAGAAATGCAAATCAAAACCGCAATGAGATATCATCTCACACCAGTTAGAAGGGCGATCATTAAAAAGTCAGGAAACAACAGGTGCTAGAGAGGATGTGGAGAAATAGGAACGCTTTTACACTGTTGGTGGGACTGTAAACTAGTTCAACCATTGTGGAAGTCAGTGTGGCGATTCCTCAGGGATCTAGAACTAGAAATACCATTTGACCCAGCCATCCCATTACTGGGTATATATCCAAAGGATTATAAATCATGCTGCTATAAAGACACATGCACACGTATGTTTATTGCAGCACTATTCACAATAGCAAAGACTTGGAACCAACCCAAATGTCCAACAACGATACACTGGATTAAGAAAATGTGGCACATATACACCATGGAATACTATGCAGCCATAAAAAATGATGAGTTCATGTCCTTTGTAGGGACATGGATGAAACTGGAAACCATCATTCTCAGCAAACTATCGCAAGGACAAAAAACCAAACACTGCATGTTCTCACTCATAGGTGGGAACTGAACAATGAGAACACATGGACACAGGAAGGGTAACATCACACACCGGGGCCTGTTGTGGGGTGGGGGGAGGGGGGAGGGATAGCATTAGGAGATATACCTAATGTAAATGACGAGTTAATGGGTGCAGCACACCAACATGGCACATGTATACATATGTAACAAACCTGCACGTTGTGCACATGTACCCTAAAACTTAAACTATAATAATAATAAAATTAAAAAAAAGAAAAGAAAATTCACAGATGACAGAAAATTCATGATTTATAAAGGAACAATCATTTCCTCATAGCCAGACTGTGAAACAAACACAAAACAAAAAGGAACAATCATAAGGAAAAAATGTTTTCTTCTCAGGCACTCAACCAATGGCACTTAAAAGTAGGATATCAGTCAGGCACGGTGGCTCACACCTGTAATCCCAGCACATGAGGAGACCGAAACAGGCAGATCATGAGGTCAGGAGTTAGAGACCAGCCGGGCCAACATGGTGAAACCCGTCTCTCCTAAGAATACAAAAATTAGCCTAGTGTGGTGATGGGCACCTGTAATCCCAGCTACTCGGGAGGCTGAGGCAGGAGAATTGCTTGAACCCAGGAGGCGGAGGTTGCAGTGAGCCGAGATCACGCCACTGCACTGCAGCCTGGGTGATAGAGCAAGACTTTGTGTCGAAAAAAAGCGGAATGTCATTTTTTATGTCTTGTAGTTCCAGTAATACGAGAGTGTAGTGAGATGAGCCCCTCACACTCCGTTGCCAGAAGAATAAATATCGGAATAATATTCATCCTCCATCAGTTATATCTAGTTTGCTCTTTCACGTTTGATGTTGTTTATAGCATTGGGCCACTGCATTCTGAGGATTTAGACATCTTCTCCAAAGGAAATTGAGCCCCCTCCCTGAAGCTGCAACAAGAGCATCCTGAGCTCCAGCCTGAGCAGGGCTGAGAGTGTTTGTATGGGTTTGAGATAGAAGGATCTTCCAGAACAAGCCTTTCCTGTGTTCCGCCAACCATTGGCAAGAGAGCTCTGTCCCGTGGGGTGTGGATAACGTGCATATCAGAAGCATCCTCGCCTGATTCCAAGTCTTCTGGTAGCTCCGTTTTGCCAGACAGGCAGGGCGTTTTCTTGGAAACTTGTAAGTGTCACATTTTGTGTAAACAGGGAGTTCCACTAGAGTCTTTCATCATCACAACACATAAAAGATACATTAAGAAATTCCTGAAATTGCAGCCTTAAGACAGAGGACCCAGCTCTATGCCACAGGCTCACACATTCTTCGGGTGGTCGATTGCATCTTACATTTTAAAATCTCTCAGCAGTGATGATAGAGTAGGTAAAGAAAGTACCTTGGAAAATCCTACAAAACCATCAGGTGTTTTGGTCTACAAGAAGGAGTAGGGAAGTAAGAAACACTATTGTGAGGGTTCAGGGCCCCACGATGGGCAGCACAGCTCACTTCTGTTCAAAGTAGTTTCATTTTACCTGCTCCCGGATACACAGAAACCTCACTACAAGATTCCAAAGGAGCAGACTGGGGAGGATTATCACCTTCCAAACCCAGAGCTGACCTCCCTCTCACTGCGGCTTCAGCAATTCTTTCTGCAGGTGGGACATCGGCTAAAGGGCCTCTATTCCCACAGAACCCAGCCAAACGTAGGTGGGCAAGAGGAACACGGTAGGACCAGAGGCTCCTGAAAATTGCCGGTGGCTGCATCTTTTGGGAGAAACCATTTGCAATATGAATTGAAAGTCTCTGCTCTCTCAGAGCTTTTAAGATTTTTTCTACATGTCATTGTCATTATAAAATTGTAAGAGGATATATTTAGATTTGAATCTTTTTTTTTTCATTGTTCATGCTCAACACTCAACAGACTCTTTTATTCTAAAGATGTATTGGCTTTCTTCAGTTTGGGAATATTTTTTCTATTATTTTTTAGGTAAGAGACTGGGAGTGGTGGCTCATGCCTGTCATCCCAGCACTTTGGGAGGCTGAAGTGGGAGGATCAGTTGAGGGCAACAGTTCCAGACCAGCTTGGTCAACACAGTGAGACCCCATCTCTATAAAAAAAATTTTTAAAGATTAGTGTCAAATTATGACAATAATTAACAGTAAAAATAAATTCCTTTACATTAGGTAAATGACGAGTTAATGGGTGCAGCACACCAACATGGCACATGCATACATATGTAACAAACCTACACATTGTGCACACATACCCTAGAACTTAAAGTATAATAAAAAAATAAATTCCTTAAATAATAATTTTTAAAGCCCTTTACATGTAAAGCTAAAGCCCACCATTCCCAATCCCTCTCCATGCCCAACCTTACCTAAAGGAACCACTATTATGAGTTTGAAATATAAATGCACAGTGTACGCACGCACACACACACAAACACATTTAAGAGATATATATATTACTTTGAAGAGTTTTCATCCTTTCTTTTCTTTCGTCCTTCTTTCCTTCTTCTTTTTTTTAGGAATGGGTTCTTGCCATGTTGTCCAGGATGGACTCAAACTCCTGGGTTCAAGAGATCCTCCTGCCTCAGCCTCAGAATAGCTAGGACTTCAGGTGCCACCTCACCCAGCTTTTTGTGGGGTGGGAAGGGAGGGCTTTTTCTGTCTTTTAAGGACTTCCCTACCCCAAAGTCAAAACGACATATTTCTTCTATGTTTCTTTAAAATATTTTGTGGTTTTGTTTTGGACATTTAGGCCTTTAAACAAGTGGGAATTTACATTCGTGCATAATGCAAGGTGGGGATTCAACACCTTTTTCTTCTCTATGAATAACCAATTAGACCAACTGTGCTTACTGACCCATCTATCCCCACATACTGGAGTGCCATTTTGTCACACACCAAATGCCCATGTGTATATTGGTCTGTTCCATGGTCTGAGTGTTGATGTCCCCCAGAATTCATACATTGAAACATAATCCCCAATGTCATGGTATTAGAAGGCACGGTGCTTGGGAGGTGACTAGGCCGTGAGAGTGGAGCCCTTAAGAATGGAATAAGTGCCCTTATAAAAGGGACTCCAGAGAGCTCCCTTTTCTCTTCTGCCATGTGAGGACACAGTGAGAAGGCACCATCTATGAATCAGGGAATGTGAGCCCTCAGCCAGCACTGAACCTGCTGACGCCTCAGTCTTGGACTTCCTGGCCTCTAGAACTGTGAGAAACAATTCTTATAAACAGTTCTTCTAAACTGTTATTTATATGCCACCCAGGCTATGGTATTTTGTTATAGCAGCCCAAACAGACTAACACAGTCTAGTTCTTGAGTTTATTCTGTCCTACTAATCTACTTGCCTATTCTATAGCAATGTCACAATTTCCATTTCTATAACTTTAAAATATATCCTATTAGGTTGAGAAAAAAGCCCCTCTTCTGATTCTTTTGGCTATTTCTTTTTTAAAAGATGGGTAATACATGCCTAGAGTACAAAATTCACAAAGCATGGTATAAAGTCACCCTCTTTCTTTCACTGCTGTTCCCCAGCTATACAGTTTTCCTCCCCAGAGGAAATCTCTTCCATTTTTTTCCAGGAATATCCTAGGCATATATCAGCATACAATTATGGAAGTATTCAGTATGTATTTTGTAAATCCTTCCTATCAGTATATATAAAACTGTCTCATTCTTCTACATTCCACTGTATGAAAACCATGTTATTTATCCAGCCTCCCATTGCAGACAGTAAGCTTGCTTCTGAGATTTTACTTTTCAAAATAATGTTTCAGGAAGTATGCATGCATATACATTCTACACATGTGAACATATCTGTCCAATAAATCCTTAGACGTGTGACTATAGTCAAAGAGCACTGACACGTGTTTTTAATTCTGATAACAATGCTAGAGGTTCCATCTGTTTATATTCTTATCTTAGATATGTTGACATACTTCCCTGCACATCCCCGCCAACACAACATGCTATCAAACTTTTGGGTTTGATACCAGATAGATGAAAAATGGCATCTCATTGTCCATATTTGCATTTACTTTATTATGAGTGGGTCAGTCATCTTCTCATATGTTTAAGAACCATTCGTACTTCCTTTTCTTGTTCTTTGCTCTTTTTCTTTGATGGTGGTTCTTTTTCTTATTGACTTGAGAGAGCACATTGTTATATTAAATAACTTAATTTCTGTGGCAAATATTGTCCCCATCGTTTCCCCATCAAAACATCATTTCTCTTTTGACTCTGTTTATAGTGGGATTTTTGTCTGATTGCCATGCAGAATTATTTTATTTGTATTATTAAATTTGTTAATCTTTTCTATGGCTTCTGAGTTTTGTGCAACACTTAAAAAGACCTCTCTTAGTTATTTTTAAATTGTCTTAAATTTTATGCTTTCCTAATTTCATTTTATAAAGTTAAATCTTGGATCCAATTGCCATTTGTTCATATAAGAAGTGAAGCAGGGGTCCAGTTTTCTGTCTTGATCAGCTTGGGCTGCTGTAACAGAATACCATAGAGTGAGTGGCTTAAACAATAACCATTTATTTCTCACGGGGCTGGAGTCTGGGCAGGCCAAGACCAAGGTGCCCGCAGATTCTATGTCTGGAAAAGGTCCTCTTTCTGGCTTGCAGATTACCATCTTCTTACTGTATTCTCACAGGGAGAAAAGAGCAAAGGGAGAGAGGGGGAGGAAGCAGACTCTCTCCTGTCTCTTCTTATAAGGACACTAACTCCATCTGTGAGGGCCCTACCCTCATGACCTAATCACCTCCCAAGGGTCTCACCTCTAATTGCACATTGGGGGATTAAGATTTCAACATGTGAATTTGGGGAGGACAGACGCAAACATTCAGTCCATAGCACTTTCCCAGATGGCTCTCTGGAGTATAAACATTATTTTTAACAGCCTACCTTCCTTCATTAATATGCAATGCTATCTTATCATATATTTGTATATGTGTTTGTGTCTATTTCTGGAGTCTCCATTCTGATCCATTGATTTGTAGGTTTCTTCATACCCAGTACAATATTGCTTCAATTGCTGTGGCTTTAAAGATGGGTTTCAGTTCTGGTAGAGCTATTCCCTAAGGCCCCACCCCACTCCCCAGCCCCATCAGGTGGCTCCATCTTTTTCAGAAAACTCCTGGCTGTGTTTGCATGTCTACTTTTCTGTAGACTTTTAGTCACAAACATTTCTTATTGATATATTTTATTAGGGTTTTATTAGATTTATGGATTCACTTATGGAGAATTGCCATCTTCATGATATTTAATCATCCCTAGACAGAAATAGACTATGTATTTACATGTTTTCCAAGCCTTTTTTTTGGTTTACCTCAGCATTTTAAAGTCCTCTTCATTTAGATCTTGTGTGTCTTGTCATTTACTCTTGAGTATTTTGTCACTGTGTCATAAACAGGATATTTTCTTCCATTATAACTGGTTACTATTCGTATATAGAAAGGCAAGTTATTTTGCATATTGATTTTGTATTCACCAACTTTATGAATTTCCTTTGTCATTAGAAATTACTCTTCAGCTTATTTTCTTGGGTTTTCCAGATATAAAATCATATAACAATAATTATAAATGTCTCTCTCTCTTTACAGTTTATTCTTTTGTCTACATGCATGATTTGATACTTCCAGAATAACATAAAACAATAGAAACTTCCTCCTATTTCTGACTGTAAGAAAATTTCTCATTTTCTCCTACTTTGAGCATAATGGCAACTTTGAAATACGTATATTTCTTTTATTTACCATGTTTAAAATTATTTACCTATTCCTAGTTTATAAAACATTTTTGGTCAAATATGTATATTAGATTTTGCCAAATGCCTTATCAGCAACTATGAAGGTAATCGTGAAAATCTATGCTCATCATTTTCTAATATTGAAATATCCTTCCATTGTTGGCATAAAGTCCTCCTGACCATAGTGATTTATTTTTCCAACATATTGTTGGACCCCATTAGCTAATAATTGAAACTTTGCACCAATATTAATAAGTAAAATTACAATTTTATCTCTTTTTTTGCTCCTTTTATGATATTTTAGCATCAGTGTTTTTGTTGAATTGGATGTGTTTTCTTCTTTTTCTATGGACACTGCATATATCTTCCTTCAAAGTTTTGATAGAATTCTGCTGTGAAGCCATCTTTGGTCAGGTGTCTTGTTGGGGTGGAGGGGGTATGGTGGGAAGGTGAGAGGTTGGGAGTAGAAAGGACAGAAACAAGAAATATGTTGTTTTCTCCCCACTCAAAAGAGGTTGGCAACTACAGGGGTTCTTATCATTCAGTCCCTGTCTTCCATCTGCCTCATCCTCAGAATGTCTCCTGCAGAGATAGTTTACCTAAGATTCTGTCTTTCAGCACAGCCTCTCCTAGAGGAAATAGGTCTAGGGAAGTTATTGCCCTTGGTCCTGGTACCCTGTTCTCATGGTTTCAATGCAGGGTAGGTTCTTGGCTTCACCCAGGGAGGAATTCAAGAGCTACCCGGTGGTATAGGGCAGTTTTATCAAGGCAAGCAGGGTTACAGCTCCATGAGTGCTCCTTCAGAGCAGGGAGGCAGTGTGCTGAGAGTAGCAGCCAGGGCAGCAGTTAGACCCACTTTCATAATATGCTAATTAAGGGGCAGGCTATTCAGAATTAGCTAGAAAATGGGTGGTAAGTTCCAAGTGTTGACAGTGGCAAGGGGTGGTAATTTCTGGGTGTCGCCATGGCGATGGTAAACTGGCATGGCACTGGTGGGTGTGTCTTAAAGACCCATGCTTTTGGCACCTTTTCCCAGCTTTGTCCAGTCTTCAACCTGGGTCGGGGTCCTGCCTCCCTCCTACCTCAGTTTCAGGTAAGTTCTTGCTGGTTTGGGACCCAGTGAACCTCTCACTTTGCAGAAGCACTCTCTGCTGAATGGAGCAGATTGCTGCAGCCACAGCATCTTCAGCATCCTCACTCCACATTGTTGACCTTCTCTTCACTGGGCAGCCCTTCCTCAAATGTGGTGCTGGGCCTCAGATGTTTCCTAGTTTAATCAAAGATTGAGTTTACATTTCTGTTTCTTATTCTCCTTGTTGTCTGGGGGCTCATACTGAGAAGAAAGTTTCAACAGAACCTCTACTCTGACATCTGAGAACTGGAAACTAGCCTCCCTTTGACTTCAAATATTCTTATACACTCTCTTTTCCTTAGGAAGTCAAGGGTCTGTTTTACAAATAGCATGAAAAAATTCTGTTGGTGTCAGGATATATATTGGATCTCCTATGGGTATAGAAAGTTCTAAATCTGTCAAACAGATCCCTCAACTATATATTTTATTTTTCCTTTTGCCTCTCCTTCTGGGAAACCTCTTTTACTCAAACTTGAGAGAGCTTTAAAAACTGATGTTGTCTGGACCCACCCCCAGAAAGTCTGATTAATTTATATAGTATGCAACCTAGACACTGGGAGCTTTAAAATCTCCCCAGGTGATTCCAATATGCAACAAAATTTGAAAAGCACTCCTCCAGCCCACTAATTCAATCTTCAGCTCTGTCCATTTAGCTCATTAACGTTTTTAACAAAATTGAATTCCAGAAGAGAACTTGCTTACAAATTAGTTGAGGGTCTGAGGGAAAGGGAGGACTCAGGGATGACACCCAGGTCTCTGGCTTGAGCCACTGGGTGGATGATGATGACTTCCCAGGATGGGAAAGACTAAGGTCAGGAGGGAGATTAGTTTGGGGTGGGAAATCAAGAGTTCTGCTCTGGACAGGTTAGGTTTGAATTGTCCGTGAGACAGCCAAGAGAAGACGAAAATGCAATCTCAGCACCTAATAAGTACAGTACAAAGTTACTAACCATTAAAGGAGAAAGTCATGAGCCCATACTGATAATCAATAGATGAGAAAGTACATGGGTAGGGAAAAGGAAGGTCTTACTTCCAGCACAATCCAGAGGGTTGACAGGTCAGTGTTGGGGGAGTGATGGTTGGAGTCGGAAAAGCACCATGTTCCAACCATCCTAGTAAAGGTTGGGTCAGGGACAAATCATCAGTAGATGCTAAATTTAGAGGTAAATTTTGATGAGGAACAGGATATTTGTCTGGTCTTAAAGTGTCTCCCCACAGACCATATGTTATTTACAAGGAAGAGAGAGGGAAGAACCAGTGATTATACAGGGGAGAAATCAAACAGCACTTTGACAAGGTGATCAAAATTACCATCGCCAATGAGGCATGGGCGGATGCTGTGTGCCTCCAGCTGTGATGGCCTGAGAAGCACACACCTAACCAAGTCCTATTCCAGCAGGGCACAAACAACCTGAACCTAATCTTGAGAAAACATCAGGCAAAACCAAAATGAAGTCCTATTTTAAATTTTTTTTAAATGAGAGGGAACTGTATTTTTCAAAAATGTTAATGTACAGTGTAATATACAGTAAAAACATTAGTAAGGGTATTTTTGTGTTATGAAGGTACTGAAAGTAAGCAGCTCTAAGATAGTCAAGTTGATGGGTATAGATTCCAACAGCACAGGTTTGAATCCTAGCTCTGAACTTTACTAATTGTGATGTCAGGCAAGTTTCTTACTCTCTGTATGTTTCAGTTTCCCTGCATGTACAATGAGAATAATAATAGTTCTGACCTCATGGGGTGGGGGCAGGGACTATAAGGATTCAATAAAATTGTGCTCAGTTTTTTAAAAGATGTCAATGTCATAAATGACAAAGAAAGGCTGTGGAAGTGCTCCAGATTAGAGGCCAAAGAGACATCACAATTAAATGCAATATCTGACTCTAGTCTAGATCCTGTACTATAGTTTTTTAAATAAGCCATAAAGGATATTTTTGGGTTAACTGACAAAAATTGCAATGTGAATGGTAGACAAGATAAAGCATGGCTCAGAAACCACCGCTGAAGAATGCATCCATGTAACCAAACACCACCTGTTCCCCGAACACCTACGGAAATAAAAAATTAAAATTATAAAAATTTAAAATTAAAAAAATTAAAAGTTCAACCAAAAAAAGATAAAGCATGGTAGCAATGTTAAATTTTCGGAAGTTGATAACTGCACTGTGGTTAGGTAAGAGAAAACCTTTTATCCCTAAGAAAACTGAAGTGTTTAGAAGTAAAGGGCTATGCCTTCAAATGGTTCCAGGAAAAAAAATACACACATACACACACACACATATGCATAACATTACATATTATATATGTGTGTGTTATAGATATACATACACATAGAGGAACACACAGTAAGAAAAAAATAAGGCAAATGGAGTGAATGTTAATTTTGGGTAAATCTGGGTAAAGCGTATGCAGGTGTTTTTTGTGCTATTTTTATTTTTGTAAGCTTTGTATAAGTTTGAAAAAAAAAATATTTTAAAAAAGGTTGTTGTTGTTTTTGTTTTTGTTTTCTGAGACAGTGTTTTACTATGTTGCCCAGGCTGGTCTTGAACTCCTGGGCTTAATCAGTCCTCCTGCCTTGGCCTCCTGAGTAGCTGGGACCACAGACATGGGCCACTACATCCAGCTCAAAAGTTTTGTTGTTGTTTTGCTTTTAATGCAGTTGAGTATACAAGTCTAGAGCTCCAAGGAGAGAACTAGACTAGAGACAGAACTGCAGGAGCCATCGAGACATAGTGTTGAAAGCTGTGAGAATGGAGGAGCTCATCAAGAATATTGAAGATGATGAAAAAGGGGCCAGGACCAGGGAACAGGGATGTTCAGAGATCAGCCAGAGAGAGCAAAGCCAGCCAAGAAGACAGCAGGAGCCACCACTGAGGTGGAAGGAAACCAGAGGGCTGAGGTGTCATGGAAATGAAGAAAAGACAAGGTTTCGAGAAGTGGAAAACTATCACAAATATTGCTAACAGGTTGCCTAAGATACTGACAGTGATATGACCTCCGGATGCTGGACTTAGCAAGGGGGAGGTCATGAGACACTTTCATAAGAACGGTTTCAATGGAATCATGGTAGAAAAAGCCAGATTGTAGTGGTTCCCAGAGTCAACACAGGGCGAAGAAGTACAAATCTGAATAACCCACAAGAAATATGGCGATGAAAGGAAATGAGAAACAGAGTCCACTTTCTATACCACTCCAGTACCATCCTCAATCCATCCTTCAGTAACTTCCTCAATTCTGGGGTCTGATGTTCTTCCAGCAGTTATGACTTTTTTTTTTTTTTTTTTTTTTTAATAAAACAAGGTCTTGCTCTGTTGACCAGGTTTGTCTCAAATTTCTAGGCTGAAGTACTCCTCACACCTTAGCTTCCTGAGTGGCTGGGACCACAGAAATGTGCCACCATGCCTGGTAAATTATGGATTTATTGTTGTTATTATTTAATTTATAAAGAAAAGAGGTTTAATTGACTCAGTTCCGCATGGCTGGGCAGACCTCAGGAAACCTACAATCATGGCAGAAGGCATCTCTTCACAGGGCAGCAGGAGAGAGAATGAGTGCCTTATTATTTTTTTAACAGCTTGTCTGTAATTTCTGTGGCATCCTGGGCGGAAGGAGAAGTAAACAAGTGTCTTCAGTCTACATCTTGAACCACAAATCTACATGACTTTATGTCCACTATTGTCATTTAATCCTCACCACAATCTTTTGTTTTCAGTTAAATCAAAAAGTGACATTCTTTTTGTATCAAGCCTTCTTAAACATTGAAATGCATTCATTTTTATGCTCATGTTCTTTGGAATATTATTTCTTCCATTTTGCCCCTCATTTCCTAAATTGTTTTAATGGGTTCATCTCTAACATGAAGATTGTTTTATTTTCTTAATGCTACCTACCTTTTATCATCCCAATATTAAGGCCAACCTAGATTTTTTTTTTTGTCTTTTACGTGTGAAATGGATGTCAAAAATGGAGAATTCACCAGCGCATTTTAAGATAACATGAAAGCAAGCATTTCAAAGCAATAACATGCCATTACATTTTTGAAAAATAAGTATCATTGGTACTTAAAAGCAGTACTGAATTCCAGAAGCATATTCTTATATTGGATATTATTCATAATGGCAAATAAAGTTCATTTCCACAGTAATGATTTCCAATAAGCAGTTTTCTTTTTTTTTTTTTTTGAGGGTTCATTTTGACTGTTTCAGACTTAAATCTTGAATATCAGTGACTCAATCTTTAACATAACAATCAACAGTAGACTTGAAAATTGAATTGTTTCAAAAGGCAATGATAGCAAGAAAAAGCTCTTGGCATTTGAAGAGAAGTACATATACATAGAAAGAAAGTCAATCAAAATACTTAACTTTATACATGTTAGAAATATCCAGTATGCCACCAACACAATCGCCCTGAAAGAAAAAAAAAAAAAAAAAGCCCTCACCACAATCTTCTGGTGAAAACGTTATCATCCGTGTCTGAAAGCTGAGAAGCCTGAGGTCGGGAAGGGTCCAGTGGCCAACACACAGCTAATCACTGATAGCTTTAGGTTTCACACTCACATTTGTTTGCTTTCAATGCTCACACCCTTTCATCCCACCATCCTAGACAGATTATGGAACACAATGTGCTAAATGGGATGGGTAAGCAATAGAAATGTAAGGTTAAAAAAAAACTATGCCTCATACTCTTGAGTAATTTTATTATCTCCTATTTTTTCGATTTCTCTTACTTTGGTAAAGTTTCTCTTGAATACTTCAGCTTTGTTCAGCTATACTCAGAAAACAAGAAACTGGATTTATCTTGGAAAGATTATGGAGTCAAACAAACCTGGGTTTGAGTCCCAGCTCTAGTGGGGCCCTGAGAAAGACCCTGGTATTTCCACCTGTAAAGTGGAGTTAAGGTTACTCTGGGCATTAGTGCTAATATGTGGAAAGCCCTTGGCATTTGGGAGATACTCTTCAAATCAAGACCTTCCCCACAAAACATCTTCCTGATTAACATCCCCATTGCAGGATGCCACTTGGTTTTTAATATCCAAATTTCAGGGAACATACGTATCTCTCTCAATGCCATTTTTTGGCCAGAATTTATCTAAGGTAAATGTAAATTTATATCCCTAAAACATAACACCCTACATTTTAAACAAATATATCTATAAAGTCTTGAGAAACATTACAATTACACTTAACAGAATGCCAGAACTGCATGTAGAAGGTTGTATAAAGCATGGTGAACCTCAGCAAAGGGGATGAGGTTTTCCCAAGTTGTTGGCACTGACAGGCATCACGGTGTCACTTCTTACAAAGTAGGCCTTAACAACTATAGTGTTTTAAGCTATGTTTTAAGTATTTTACATCCCCTTTTTTTTTTTTTTTTTGACAGAGTCTCACTCTATCGCCCAGGCTGGAGTGCAGTGGCTCAATCTTGGCTCACTGCAACCTCTGTCTCCTGGGTTCAAGCGATTCTCCTGCCTCAGCCTCCCAAGTAGCTGGGAGACAGGCGTGCACCACCACGCCTGGCTAATTTTTGTATTTTTGGTAGTGATGGGATTTCACCATGTTGGCCAGGCTGGTCTCGAACTCCTGACCTCAAGTGACCTGCCTGCCTCAACCTCCCAAAGTGCTGGAATTATAGGCATGAGCTAAGCTGCCCAGCCTAGTATTTTACATCCTAATGTGGTAGTTTATTACCTATATAGATGTTTCAACACATCTAATCACATTTGGGAAGTTGATTGGTGGATGTGTGCCTTATAACCTTTTCCATTTATAATAACAGGAAACTATACTAACAGGAACATCAGATCCCAATGCACAGCAAGTATTATTAACTATAGAGTTAATAATACAAAACACCAGTATTATTAACTCTATAGTTAATAATACTGTAATTCTTTACTTGAAATTTGCTGAGTAGACCTTAAATGTTTTCACCACACACACACACACACACACACACACACACACACACAGAGTAACTAAGGTGATGAATGAGTTAACTGATTTGATTGTGGCTATCATTTCACAATGTATATGTACATCAAATCATCACATTGTACACCCTGAATTTTATTGTATAGATTCAATTTTTTATATTGAATCTATAATCTAAACAATTATACTTCGATAAAGCTGAAAAAATAAAACTTAAATGCAGGAATTGTTTACTGGTTGGCATTTTTACACAGAACATCTGATATTCAGGAACAGATGACTGAGCTTAAGTGTCCACCACCCTCAGCAGAGGTGAGGCTGGTACACTAGCATCAAAAGAAGGCCATTTCCAAGGAGGAGCAGAGTCAGATGCCCTGTAGTCAGTTCCTATAACCTAATGCCTTGTAGGGGACAACTGTCATCTGTTTAGTCACCAAAAACCTGTATTGCCTTCTATGTTTGTGCCCCCACAGTGAGACCCACCCATCACTATAGAAATCAAAAGTGCCAGACACTGGCTTCTCCAGCCCCTGTGGCAGGTAGACAAGGTAAGTGGCGTGGCTCTGTCCCTTACAAGAAGCAGCAGGTCTCCCTGCACAACTTGTGTTCTGGTGATGGGCAGTGATGATCTTGGTGGCAGAACATCCAGTTTCTAGGTACAGGGGCTCTGTTCCAGCCAGCACCCAGGGTTGGGGCGTTGACAGTGGGCCCTGTAGCAAAGCAAATATGTCTTTCCCAGATGGGTTCAGTGGCAGAAGTTAGGGTGCTCTACCTGGCTGTGCGACTTCCAATCCACGTGCCCCAGGGCTCAAGGGACACTATGAGCTGCCCACTGTTGTTAATAAAATGTCTCTGCTTCACCAGCCAGGGGCAGTTGCTTTTGCTTGCAGCTATAAACCCTGACTGATAAAAGGATCTTGCATTTTCTTGGCTAACGAGGGGATTCCTTTATGCCATCTTACCCCCAATGTCTGCTTCTCTTGGCTATATCAAGTACCCAGTAGCCCTGGCCAATGGCCAGTGTGGGCAGAATGGCCTCCCAGTAGTCACACTCTGAACCCTGATACCTTTCAGATCTCAAGAAATTGGCCACCTTTCTAGCTAGTAACTGGAACATCCCCATGAGGATGTGCGTGCCTGCTCCCCACTGTATCCTGGCTCCGTAGAAAACCATCTCTGCCTCACCACCACCCCGCTTCCCCAGGGACTGCTTGGAGCCTGTGGGCTGCCTTGCTGCTGAGTATGGGAAAGGAGACAAAGAGCTTAGGAGGAGCACATGCTGAGAAGTTCCCCAAAGCCATCTAGGAGAGGCTTGTCTCTCGTTAACACTGGTTTGCAATTCTCTGCCCCAAATCGGACCAATCTGTCATCGCCCTGGGCTGACACAGGATGAATCAGACCCCGCAGATCTGGGGACTCCTCGATGGGCCCCCCAGCCACCCTTGGCACAGACACCCAAAACCGCTGAGCAGACAAGCCCAGGAGGGATTTCTAACCACGACCCTGACAAATGCCCAAACCCAATGCCAAGAGCCTCCTCCTCCATCCCCTGGGCCTCCAGATTGTGGGTCTTTTCCTTCACGTATGGCTATGTCTGAGAAGCCTGGTGCCTTCCCAGAAGCCTCCCTATGCTAATTACACATGTGGTCTGCTGAGGAGACTCATGCTGACTTTGGAGGTCAGAGGCAGCAAGAGCTACACAGCAATAGACTGCTTCACCTACTCCTGTGAGCACTGGGTTCTCAGATCCGCCATCTTTTCCAAGGAGCCCTCTAGTCCGGCGTCTTATCCCATGGATGTAACACAACTTCCTTCAGGTAAGTACATAGGTTTTGTAATCTCCCTAGGAAAAGTGAGGCCAAGCGAGGGCAAGAGGGACTCCCAATGTGGCAGAAGAATTCACATGAAGCCAGATTGTGCCAACTCAGGGCTGCTGGTGCCAGTGCTGGTGACACGTCCACATTGGCCGTTGATGTCATCATCCACACTGCTTACTCTTTAGAGGACAAAGGCCCCCATTTCCTCCTTTCAGTTCTTCCTCTTTCAACCCATTAAACAAAGCATTCTTTGGAAGTTTACAGTTCTCTAAGGACTCATCAAGGGGAAGAGTGAGAAGTTATCATCCCTAGAATCTAGACAACAAAAGGATGTCTTAGCTCTGCTTTCTAAGGAGTGGCTTACTCTCCAAACAAGATTTGTGTTGCTCTGTTTATCATCTCTTGCATCACGGATTGGCTTCTCCTGATGGGGCTGGCCTGCTCCAAAGCTAGGACGTCTTCCCACCCATGGGAACAGATGGCAGGGGTGATGGGGTGGGAGCAAGTTGGAGCCATCATGAGGTGCTCTGATGCCTCAGAGGCCAGAACAACACATCCTAGGCCAGGCTGTGGGAGATGGTCACCCAAAGCCAACTCAGTCCACTATCTCCACCACAACCCTTTCTGGAGTTGGGGATGATGATGAAAGCCCCAAGAATGCTCTGTCCTCATTGTTTTTGACACCAAAAATTTCTCTTCAATGTCCCATACACAAGCTGTAATGTTGGAGAGCTGCAGGGCTTTAGAGCCTGGCCCCAACCCCTCCTTCTACAGTCAAGGTGACCCTACTTCACATCCAATGCAAAGGCAGAACGCGGAAGGTCACACAGAGATGCGGTCTGTGGTGTGCAGAATGCATCCAGGTTCCATATATGGGCCTCTTTGGCCCAGCCTGAAGCCCAGCATGTGGCATAAAGGAGAAAAGTGGCTGGAAAGCTCCCAAAAGCTGACCCTGCAACTCTGAATTCTACCCACACAAATCTAGCCAATGTCCAGAATGGAGGAGAGACAGATCAGTGGCCTATTGGTTTTCAAGTCCAACTCTGATCCTCATATGCCCTGATAGATGCACCCAGATCTAGTCAGAGTTGCAGGGACTCTGATGTTGAGGAGGATCCCCAAAGCAGTGAGTACATAAGGACACACTGAACTTCACTGAAACCATCTGGTAGACCTCTGACATCTTTTTCAGCTTCGCTGCTATTGAGAAAACACAAGGCCACTATTTCTCTCCACTTTGAAGTAGCTACAGTTCATTCTGTATCCACAGTCTCTCTCTCTCTCTCTCTCCCCCCCTTTCCCCAGGCTCTCCTCTCCCACGAGGAATAGACACTAGGCCCAAGCAGAGCCTCCATAGTTGATTGGTGGGAAACACTAGGTGGGCTGTCAGGCTGGGGTCCATGCAAGTGGTGCCATGGAGAGGAAGCCACAGGAACCACCAGCCTCCAAAGAACCAGGAGAGGGACACATGGATCACTTTGGGTGAGGGAGGCTGTTAGGCTGAATAATTCCCTCCCTCAGATATCCATACCCTAATCCCTAGAACCTGTGAATATGCTGCCTTACACGGTAAAGGGGACTTTGCAGATGGGATTGTGTTACGGATCTTGAGATAAGAAGATGATCCTAGATGATCTAGGTGAGCCCAGTGGAATCACAAGGGTCCTTACAAGAGGGGAAAAGAATGGTGGGGGGCTCTAGAAGCTGGAATAGACAAGAAACAGGATTCTCCAGAAGACTTCAGAAGGAACGTGGCCTTGCCAACACCTTGATTTTAAACTTCTGACCTCCAGAATGGTAAAAGAATAAATTTGCATTGGTTTAAACCACTAAATTATTGGCAGATTAACAGGGAACTAATCCAGAGATCTCAGGCATGAATTCACAGGACCAAGAGGGAGAACTGGGACAGCCTCATGGGGTGCAGTCCCTCAGGTCACAGATCTGGTAGTGGGTGATTCCATGATCTCAAGTTACAAGAAAAGCCTACATCAACTGGCTTACACACAACAAGAAGTCCAAAGGCAGCAGGCTCCAAGCTTGGTTTTTTTGGGTGACTCAGTGACATGGAGAGGACCTTGGTTCTTCCCATCATTCCCTTCTGCTCATCTCACTGCTCTCTCAGTCACAAGATGGCTACCAACGTTCCAGGTGTCACATCTGGGCATACCATTGCCAAGACTCAGGAAAAGGAGCCATTTCATCTTTGTGTCGCTTGTTGAGAGTGAGGAAACCTTTCTCAGAACACCTATCCCTCTCTCCTGCCCCCTACACACTAGGGGACTTCCCCTCACATCTGGCTTGTTGGCCAGAATTATACACATGTCCATGCTTAAAGCAACTACTGGCAGGCAGTATCAGAGCTCTTTGATGAGTTTGCACACCAACTGGCACTTGCCCCTCAAAGCCAGCCTTCCTGAAGCATTTGGCTGTTGGGCAAAGGGTAGAGACCAGAACTAAATCAGGGCTGTGCTGGCAAAGAAGGGGATAAATCCATGGTGGGTAGGTGCGAAATTGTCTGCTCCACTGGTGCATGGAGTGGGCTTCAGAGAGACCCAGGAGTGTCTCTTCCTGGTACTGCAGATAGTCCCGGAGCTTACACAGCCTGCCCTTCATGTAGGGAGAGCTAGGATTGACTGGCTTGTTTCCATCACCATGGGGCACCTCTGAGCAGCAGTCTTGCCAAGCCACCCTGGTGCCTGAGTGCCCCCTCACCTGGCCCATTGCCTTGACCCACATTGTGACGCCTGATGGAACCATCTGGGTCTCAGGTAGCAGGGCTGGGTTCTGCTAACATGCTAAGGTACTGACACTAACAAACCCCACCTGCACCTGTGATTGAGATGGCGAACAATTGGGGCTACTTTCCTCAGAAAGCAGCTGTAGACATGGCAGGCCCCTCAAGCTTCATGGATTTCTCCACCAGCCCATTTAGTTACCCACCAGATGCAGAGTCTGCTCTCTCAGCCAGTTGGCCTGTAGCCTCCTCAGCCTGCTCATGACTGGTGATGGTGTCCCGAACTCCCTCTCCATCTGGCCACAATGCGGGCTTCTCCCTGCAGCCACCACTCACCTCATAGAAGGCATCACGGTGTCTGTCCTGGTGCAGAGGATTCCTGTGCTCACCTCACCGTCCCCCTCACCTTGCTCTCCAGGCCTCAGACACGAAGTACGAGAGGAGGAAGCTAAAACAACAACAACCAAACAGACTGAGGGTAAAAGGAATACGGAAGGAAAAAGAAAAGCAAGCTAACTGCAATGTGATATCCTGGATTTGTTCCTGGAACAGAAAAAGGACAGAGTGGAAAAACTGAATAAAGCACACTCTGAATAAAGTCTGTGGAGAGTTAACCATACTGGGCCAGTGTTAATTTCTTAGCTTTGACAAATGCGCTCTGGTTGTGTGAGACGTTAACATTAGGGGGAGCTGGATGAAGGTACAGAGAACTCTCTGGGCTATCTCCACAACTTCCCCATAAATTAATGACTATTCCAAAATCAAAAGTTTATTCTCTTAAAAAAGAAAAATAAAATAGCATGAGGCCCGGCCAGGTTCCTATGCTATGTTCCTTCATCAATCCCTGTGGCTGGGGAGAATCCTCTGCCACAGCCCCCACCCTAAGACCAATCCCAAAGAGAGAAAGAAGGACTTCTGAGAGATTTGAAACCCAAACGTTTCTAGCGTATATAGTTCCCAGGTATTTGGAAAAGGGGGAAAGGTCGGTATGAGAATCACTGGGATTAAAGAGGTGTCTTAACAGCAGGAGTTCTCAAAACTACTAATACGGTCGATGCTTTCTAACTCTCCAAGAAGGGGCTATGTCATGAGGCATTTCTCAACATTCATTTTGCTTCTCACTTAAGCACCTTGCAGAACCATCTCCACCCACCCCTGGGGGACCCCTGCGCCAGCCTGACTCTCAGGTCCTCTGCGACAGCTTCTGCTGCCTTTTCAGCCCCACCTTGAGGCCTAGTTCTGACCTTAGAACTTTCCAGATGCAAGCCACGCCCAGCATCTTAGTCTGAGAACTGGGTCTTCATCATATTATATTGAGTTGGCAACCTGCCTGGAGCCCAGGCCCTTGAGATTCTCATCACCTCATCCACATCATAAGCCCAAGCATGTGGGGAAGGACAGGGCCATCCTTTTTGACAGACAAGGAAACTGAGGCCCAAGGAGATTAAGTCCTTTGCCCAAGGTCACCCAGCAGACTGCTGCCTAGGCTGTGCCTTAGCCACCTAGCCCACTTTCCCCACTACTGGCCAGCCCCTCACCTGCTCCCAGAGGAAGTCCCCATGGGTGTCCCTGCCTGGGCATTTGTACACATTACCTGACCCACCGTGGCATTCCTGCCAGCCCCCGCCCCATCCACCTGGCCAGGACTTGCTGCCACTTCGTGGTTTGGCTGACTACTGCTGCTCCCTGCCTTTGTCCTTTCTGTTCCCACACCAGACCTGTTCTACCCTAGCGTCCCCAGCTCCTCCTGGCTGGGTACCCTGGCTGCAGTTATCCTGCCCTCCCCGCACTGTTGGCCATCGCCAGAGTTACGGCAAAAGGAAGGAGGGGAGGCTCGGAAAGAACACACCTGCGACAGGCCCAGGGGAGAGTGAAAGCATGACTAGGAACCCGTGTCCACCTGGCATCCCAGGGTGCAGTGCACTGACCCCTCCACCCCGTCACTGGGGCCTGGCACAGGCAGGTGGTCACCGCACTTGGCCACTGAAACTTCCTTACTTCCTGCTCCCCTTCAAGGGACCCAGCTGCTAACCGTGAGTTATGTCAGAACCAACCTTGTCCCGTAGACTTTTAAGCTCTTAGGGCTTGTGGGTGGGGTCCAGGGGTGACACTCCACAATCGAATAGGTCAGTCTAGGAGCCAGCGGCACTGGTCTCATAAAACTCCTGAAGTGCTGGCTGGGCACGGTGGCTCACGCCTGTAATCCCAGCACTGTGGGAGGCCTAAGTGGGCGGATCACCAGAGGTCAGGAGTTGAACTCAAGCTCCAATTTATAGCCCATTTGTCAAAAGGTCACCACCTGGGACTAGTAATTGGCATCTGAAGTGGGGGCAGTCCGTGGGACTGAGTCTTCAAGCTGCAGGATCTGACACCATCTCCAGAATTGAATTATAGGACACCCCCCAGCTGTGTCCACTGGAGAATCAGGTGCCGATCACCTGAGGTCCGGCCTGGCCAATCTGGTAAAACCCAGTCTCTACTGAAAATACAAAAAACAGCTGGGCTTGGTGGTGGGCACCTGTAGTCTCAGTTGCTTGGGAGGCTGAGTCAGGAGAATCGCTTGAACCTGGGAAGTGGAGGTTGCAGTGAGCCGTGATTGCGCCACTGCACTCTAGCCTGGGCAACAGAGCCAGACTCTGTCTCAAACAAAAAAAAAGAAAAGAAACCTCCCAAAGTGCTTTTATGCTCCACTTGTTTACTTTGAAAAGAGAGGTCTCATGCGAAGGCACTGACCTTTCTCTGATGTTACTTTGAATTGCATTCAAATTGTGACATTTTCCCTTTCCATTCACAGTCCATTCCAGAAAGATGTTTATCCTCAGTCAAAATCAGCACAGGGAAGTTTGTAATGCAAACGCTGTGAGTCTTTGTTCCTAAGGGATCTCTTTTCAGGTGTAAGTAGTAACACGTTTAATATTAAATGCAAAATGAAGAGCCAAACTAAAAACCTGGTATCACTGGACAAATAGGGAAAATTTTTAAAATAATGCTCCTTTATTTATTAAACATTAAACTCTAGGACTGCCTTAATTTTGGGGTGGCTGCTCCATCTCTAAGAAATAAAAACTGGGTGGATGATGACTTCTGGCGTGCTGACCTCACAGCATCTACCGAGACAAGGAAACAGTCCTTGAGATGCAATCTTTCTGCATGGCCCACGCTTAGGTCCTGTCAATTCATTCTCTTCCTGCGACCTCCAAGCCACTTAAATTCATTCCAATTCTCCTTGTTACTCTCTGTCACATTTCTGTTTTAATTTTTCCATACCACTTGTTGCTCTCTGAAATTATTTTTTAACTATCTTTTTTTTTTTTAACCTGTCTCTCCACTAGAACATAAGCCCATGAAAGCAGGGCCTTTGCTGGTCTTGTTCACTGGTGAATCTCAGGAACCCAGAACAATACCTGGCCTGAGTAGGACCTGGAGCACAATCAATGCTGCACAGGTTAATGCCATCATCAGCTTCCACCCTCATGGAGAGGTAGAATAGTATCAGACAACTTACTTTCAAATCCCAGCTCTACTGCTACGTAGCTTTGTGCTAGGTAAGTTACTTGACCTTTCTGGGCCTCAGTTTTTCCCATGAGTTAATATATGTGAAGCTGTTAGGATTGATTGTAGCGCAATCAATAAGCACTCGTTATTATTATCTAGTCAGAGCCAGCCCCAGGCAAACCCTTGCTCAGCTTCATGGTCGCTGGCCTGGTCTCTTTCCAGGGCCATGCACCCAGAGCTTCCGGTTCCAACGCCCTCTCATTGTCCGTCCACGTAAACGTCTCCATCCCATTGCCCGGTGGCTAACAAATCTGATCAGACAAATTGCACCAAAGTATGTGAACAAACCTGCTGTCTCCCTGGACTAAATCTGGATCGCCAGGGTCAGCAGTGGAGTGAGAAGCTCACCATGCGTGGTTGGCTGAAGGCCCAGCCCCATGTGCTTAAGAACTTTTCCCTCTGGGCATCTCCCCATAATGACCGCAGCCTCACTCATGACCTCAAACAGGTTGGCTGAAGTGCAGGCACAGGAGTGCTCCTCACTGCCCCCACAAGACAGCTGAGGACAGGTTGGAACAGTTACCAACTTTCCTGAGGCTCAGAGATGACAAGCGTCTTGGTTACCAGGTGCCGTCCTCATGCTGTGTCCTCAGCTGGAATACTCTCCCCTCTGCCTTCTCCTGGCTACATGTGCTCATCCATTAAATCTCTGTGGACATGCCACTTCCTCCAGGAAGCCCTTCCTGACCCTACCAGTCTGGGTGAGTTCCCTCTCTGTGCCTCTGAGCAGGCCCCTATTCACATAGAGTCACTTGAGTCCCAGAGAGCAGGGCCACTTCAGTCTTACCTAAGTCACTATCCCCAACACCTAGCACAGGGCCTGGCACGGAGTGGGCCTCCAGTCACTGTTTATGACCCCCAGAATTTATATGTTGAAGTCCTTGCCATCAATAGGATAGTAGTAGGAAATGGGGACTCTGAGGGGTGATTAGGTCATGAGGGTGGAGCCCTCATGAATGGGATTAGTGCCTTATAAAAGGGACCTCAGACAGGATTCCAGTCTGCAACCTGCAAAGGGGCCTTCCCCAGGAGCCGATCCTGCAGGCACCTTGATCTCAGACTTTCGGCCCCCAGAACGGTGAGAAGTACATTTCTATTGTTGTAAGCCACCCAGCACTGTGTTATGTCTAGGGTAGTGGGTTACAGCAGCTCAAAAGGACTAGGAGAGATACTATTTGTTGAACTGCTAACCTAAAATTTATTTTAATTTCAACTTTCAGATGATGGGTTTCCTTGCTTCTGGTTGGAAATTCAGCTACTGCTATATTATTGGAAAACAGATTTCTGTAAAAGATGATAAAGTGAAGCGCTTACGGGAAAAACAAGATTTCCCCCTGTCATGCCACCAGGGGCTCCCAGGCAGCGCCCCCACCTCTCCTCCACAGCCAGTAGCTGCCCTGAGAAACTTCTAGGAGGTGAAACTAACACGCAGCGGGAGGGGCTGACCTGTTCCGGATGGGGTAGGCTGGAACCACCTCGTGCTGTGGAAGGCTGAGGTTTGGTGGCCATTTCCTAGCCTTAGGTTAAATCCTGTCTTAGATTAGGGTATGGTGAAGACTCCCCTCAGAGGAATTCCTCTCACTCTCATGCCAACACACCCAGCATATGGTGATACCAACCGGACCGTGAGCAGTGTGGGGTTCCGTGCGCTGCGCTCCGTGCTCAGCAGATTCTTGCTCTTGCCTGGTCCTCTCCCTCCTTTCCCACTGGGAAAGCCATCGAAATTCACCCAAGGGAGCCCAAGAAAGGGCAAAAGAGCCTCTTAAGCTGCAGCCGTGAGGACACTGAGGAATCAGAACATGTCTGGATTAAAGGTGCTCTTTCTGAGAACAGACAAAAGAAAGGTTATGTATCTTTTCAATGGAAATGAATTTATTTTTATGCACACTATAAAAAAATTAAACAGTACAACAGGAATCTAGGGAGAACAAGTCCTTTCCCAGCTGGGATCCTGTAAGACTCCAGTCCTCTCCTGTTCCAAACTTTTTCAAATATGGAATCTTAGCTAATTTTAAATTTTATTTTTAATGGACTGTTTAATTACATTTTAATTTTAATTAAATGTTAATTAAACAAATAAAATAGTCATTCTTATTTAGTGTTAAAAATATTCTTAATATTCTTGAAAAATATTAAAACACGATAAAGATGTTTAAAATAAAACTGACAAAGACTGAAATAAAATGGAAAAGCAACAAAATGTTAACAGTCAGTGATGGGGCTATCTGTGATTTTTTATCTCTATATACCTTTCTATTTAAAAACATTTATATCATAAATATGTATTATTGTTACATTATTAAGAAATCACTCTTTAAAGCTGATATATTGAGATATAGTTGACATACAATAAACTGCACTTAGGTGTATAATTTGCTAAGTTTTAGTATGTATGTACACCAGTGTATCACCATAATCAAGACAAAGAACATATCTCCACAACTTCACACCATATACAAAAATTAACTTAAAATAGAGCTGGAACTATAAAACTCACAGAGAAAACACAGATGCAAATCTTCATGACTTTGGATTAGGTAATGATTTCTTAGATGTGACACCAAAGGTGCAAAAAAACAAAAGAAAAAAGGTAAACTGGGCTTCATCAAAATTTAAAACTTTTGCACTTCAAAGGACATCATCAAGAAAATGAAAAGACGACAGACAGAATGGGAGAAAATATTTGCAAATCATATATCTTATAAGGAGTTTGTATCCAGAATATATGAAGAACATTTACATCTCAACAATAGGACAAGCCAGTTGAAAAATGGGCAAAGGATTTGAGAAGACATTTCTCCAAAGAAGATTTACAAATGGCCAATAAGCACATGAAAATATGTTCCACACAATTAGCGATCAGGGAAATGATACTACTTTATACACACTAGGATGGCTAAAACAAAAAGACAGACAATAACGCTTGTTGACAAGGATGAGGGAAAGAAGACATTGACTTGCAGCCAGGTTTTTACCATTGCAAATAAAGCTATGAGTATTTTTGTGTACAAATCTCTCCTAGCTATCTCTTTCAAATGCAGAAGTTTTTAATTTTGATGAAGGCCAATTTATCCATTTTTTCTTTTAAAGATCTTGCTTGCAGTGTTTTATCTGAGAAATCTTTGCCTGACTGAAGATCATAAAGATCCTGTGTTTTCTTCTAGATGTTTTGCAGTTTTACATTCAGGTCTATCTTTGTACCCATGGATACCAATTGTTCCAGCACCATTTGTTGGAAAGACTCTCCCTCTAGTCCTTCAGGTGGGTCTTTCCCCATCCTTGGCTTAGTTTCCTCACATATATTCTTCAGTGCTCACCATAATGCTCACGAGACCCCTCTGCAGACTTCCAGAGTTCTTTCTCTGGGCAACTTTGTCTCCTCTTGGGCTCCCCTAGATAGCTCCAGGGTGGAGGATGGTCACCAGAAAGGCCAAGCAGGATTAGAGGGTTGGAGCTTTCATCCCCACCCCCTCCCCCAACCTCCAGGGAGAAGAGAGGGGCTGAAGGTCAAGTTGATCACCAAGGGCCAATGATATCATCAATCATGTATATGTAATAAGGCCTCCATAAAAACACAAAATGCCAAGGGTGCAGATGAGCTTCCAGATGGCCGAACACCTGGAGGTTCCCAGAGGGTGGCGCATCCAGAGAGGGTATGGAAGCTCCGTGCCCCTTCCCATACCTAGCCCTGTGCATCTCCTCCCTCTGGCTGTCCATCTGTATCCTTGGTAATGTCCTTTATAATAAATGGCTAAACAGAAGTAAAGTGTTTTCCTGAGTTCTGAGGGCCACTCTGGCAAACTAATCAAACCCAAGGAGGCGGTCATGGGAACTCCAATTTATAGCCCATTGGTCAAAAGTTCAGGTCACCACCTGGGACTTGGCATCTGAAGTGGGGGTGGTCCGGTGGGACTGAGTCTTCAACCTGCAGGATCTGACAGCATCTCCAGAATTGAATTATAGGACACCTCCCAGCTGTGTCCACTGGAGAATCTGGTGTCAGGGGAGTCATGTTGAGTGTGTGTCAGAGCAGGCAAAACCGTTTGGTTTTTCTTACCCTGTAAGACAGGCCCACAGGAGGGTAATTCCTGCCTCTCTTAGTCTACTTTGGCAAGAAGTGGAAGTTCAAATGAGTTGTTTAATTGACTAGTGGATTTTGAGAACAAATAAAAGGCGGCCAAATTCTTCTGAAAGCTCAATTTCCTAATTAAGTTCCAAGTCTTTAATTTTGGAGGGGAATAGTCACCCCAGCCATTGAAGGCCATGTCATCTCTACTGTCCAGAAACACAAAGCAGAGATGTTTCACACTGTATGTCTAATGAATGTTGTAAAATTGCCTTCTTGGCGGTCCTAAAACCTTCCAGTGATCGCTTTTCTTTTCAAAATCCTCTCAAAGTCCAAGGAAAGGGGCCTTTCTTAAACTTGTAGATGTCAAGCGGACTAACCATCACCTACCCAAACCTTAGCCTAACACCTGCCATGTTTCCCACGGAAATAATGCACACACATAGAATAAAACTCATTAAGATGTTCATTTTAAGTGGTGTGCCCTAAGCCAATAGTCATGGCATTTTGTCTAATTTCACATCAGAGACAACTTTTGTGTCTGGTTTCTCAGCTCTTGTTCTGTTTCCTCATTTGTCTCTCCCTTGCTTTCTTCTTGGTTCTTCCTTCTCTCCTGCCTGGTCCTCAGAGGACCCTGAGTTCATTCATAGGAATTATTTTACCCCAGCTAGGGGTTGCTAGACAGCTTTTGACTCCACCTTAGAAGCCAAAATAAAAAGCAAAGAACATTAAAACTCACCTTTATCTGGATTCCTGATGTTTTTACTTTTAATACAGTAGTACATTTGGCTGCTTATTTTGGATCAGATGGAAAATCAACCCTTAGCAGAGACAAAGGTAAACGGCCTTTGTGGATGGATTATTATGTGCTGATCTTTTACAAATAATAGATACGTAGAATGAGCAATCCTCGTGGAGCAAAATCATAAACGAACCTCCCCTTATAACCGTCCTGTTGGGCTAGTTCTTCAACCTGAGGTCAGGTTGACCTCAGGATTTTCCTGTCCACTGGCTTGACCTCAGATCATGGTCTAGAATACCAAGTAGCCTCGACATATGGCCCAAGCTGGTCTCGAACTCCTGCCTCAGCCTCCCAAAGTGGTGGGATTACAGGCGTGAGCCTCCACACTCAGCCAAAATGAATATTCTTAAGACTCAGGGTATAATTTCTGAAGCAAATTGTGCCAATTTATACTCTTACCAGCTATGTGTGAGGGTTTCTGTTTTAGTTCTCCTTGGTATTCTTTGAGGATACTTTAAAAATCTTTGCTGTAAGTCCAATTAAACCTTTTTCTTTTGTAAATTGTCCAGTCTTGGGTATGTCTTTATCAGCAGCGTGAAAACGAACTAATACAGTAAATTGGTACCAGCAGAGTGGGGCGTTGTTGAAAAGACACCCAAAAATGTGGAAGCGACTTTGGAATTGGGTAATAGGCAGAAGTTGGAGCCATTTGGAGGGCTCAGAAGAGGACAAAAAAATGTGGGAAACTCCAACTTTCTAGAGACTTGAATGGCTTTGACAAAAGTGCTGCTAGTGATACGGACAATAAGGTCCAGGCTGAGGTGGTCTCAGATGGAGATGAGGAACTTGTTGGGAACTGGGGAAAAGATGACTCTTGCTATGTTTTAGCAAAGAGAGTGGCGGCATTTTGCCCTGCCCTAGAGATTTGTGGAACTTTGAACTTGAGAGAGATGATTTAGGGTATCTGGCAGAAATTTCTAAGCAGCAAAGCATTCAAGAGGTGCTATTAAAGGTGCTGTTAAAGGCATTCAGTTTCCTGGGCCAGGCTCAGGGCTCCCGTGCTCTGTGCAGCCTAGAAACTTGGTGCCCTGGGTCCCAGCCACTCCAGCTGTGGCTGAAAGGGGCCAATGTAGAACTCAGGCCGTGGCTTCAGAGGGTGCAAGGCCCAAGCCTTGGCAGCTTCCATGTGGTGTTGAGCCTGCGAGTGCACAAAAGTCAAGAACTGGGGTTTGGGAACCTCCACCTAGATTTCAGAAGATGTATGGAAACACCTGGATATCCAGGCAGAGCTTTGCTTCAGGGGTGGGTGCTCATGGAGAACCTCTGCTAGGGCAGTGCAGAAGGGAAATGTGGGGTCAGAGCCCCCACACAGAGTCCCTATGGGGGCACTGCCTAGTGGAGTTGTGAGAAGAGGGCCACTGTCTTCCAGACCCCAGAGTGGTAGATCCACCAACAGCTTGCACCATGCACCTGGAAAAGACGCAGACACTCAATTCCAGCCTGTGAAGGCAGCCAGGATGGGGGCTGTACCCTGCAAAGCCACAGGGGTGGAGCTGCCCAAGACCATGGGAATCCACCTCTTGCATCAGCATGACCTGGATGTGAGACATGGAGTCAAAGGAGATCATTTTGGAGCTTTATTTGACTGCCCTGCTGGATTTCAGACTTGCATGGGGCCTGTGGCCTTTTCGTTTTGGCCAATTTCCCCCATTTGGAATGGCTGTATTTATCCAATGCCTGTACTCCTATTGTACCCATGGAGGAAACTAACTTACATTCGATTTGACATGCTTATAGGTAGAAGGGACTTGCCTTGTCTCAGATGACACTTTGGACTGTGGACTTTTGAGTTAATGCTGAAATGAGTTGAGACTTTGGGGGACTGTTGGGAAGGCATGATTGGTTTTGAAATGTGAAGATATGAGACTTGGGAGGAGCCAGGGGCAGAATGATATGGTTTGGCTCTGTGTCCCCACCCAAATCTCATCCTGTGGCTCCCATAATTCCCATGTGTTGTGAGAGGGACCTGGTGGGATATGATTGAACCATGGGGGCGGGTCTTTCCCATGCTGTTCTCATGAGAGTGAATGGGTCTCATGAGATCTGATGGTTTTAAAAATGGGAATTTCTCTGCACAAGCTCTCTCTTTGCTTGCTGCCATCCACATAATATGTGACTTGCTCCTCCTTGCCTTCTGCCATGATTGTGAGGCCTCCCCAGCCATGTGAAACTGTAAGTCCAATAAACCTCTTTCTTTTGTAAATTGCCCAGTCTCCCAGTCTTGGGTATGTTTTTATCAGAAGCATGAAAACAGACTAACACACACATATATATGTGTGTGTGTGTGTGTGTGTGTGTGTGTGTGTGTTCCTTTTATACATTTAGTAATCTGTTCTAAGATAACAATAAAAACTAACAGGCCAGGGCCAGGTGCAGTGGCTCAAACCTCGAATCCCAGCACATTGGGAGCTAAGATGGGAGGAGCTTGAGCTCGGGAGTTTGAGACCAGCTTGGGCAACATAGTGAGACCTCATCTTTACTAAAAATAGATATAAAAAATTAGCCAAGCTTGGTGGTGCAGACTTGTAGTCCCAGCTACTAGGAAGGCTGAGGTGGAAGGATCACTTGAGCCTGGGAGGTCAAGGATACAGTGAGCTGTGATTGCACCACTGCACTCCAGCCTGGGTGACAGAACAAGAACTTGTCTTAAAAATAAATAAGTAACAAAAATGTGTGTAAAAATGCTTATTTAAGCATTATTTACCCTTGTGAAAAATTGAAAATAACTAAATTCCTAACATTAGGGAATTGGTAACACAAATAACAGGAAAACCATCTCCGAAATAGTATCATTCCTTGAAACTAATGTTTACAAAGAGTCTTTAACAACATGAAAGAATTCTTCAGATATAATGCTATGCATTTTTTAAAAGGCAGGATAAAAGGCATTTTTTTGTAAACTCAGAAAATTTCAAATGCCAATCGTAATCATCTTTGGGTAGTAGAATTGTAGATTGTTTTCATTTTCTTTATTATTTTCTGTACTTTCCAAAATGTGTATGTATTTTTGTCATAGTCAGAACAAAAATACTATGTGTAAAAATACAGTCCTTCCTGGAAGCAGGAGAATGGGCATCATTCTTTCTAGTCTCGTGGTTCACATAGAGCCTCCATGGTCTTCATTTCAGATTGCACAAATTCCAGGCAGATCCAAAAATTCTCTCCCAAGCAGCCTCAGTTTATCTCATCAGAGCTGAACATTCTACAGTTTTGACCTAAAGATAAAATGGAAGCATTCATTTTACAACAAACTTTTCAAAGCGTAAGAACAGATTCTTATTCCAGGTTGATTAGCATTTCCTAAATCCTCTTTCTTTCTTTCTAGACTTGCTGCAGCCCTCCCCAGGATTTGGAGATGGCCTCCTGGACTTAGGAGCATCTAGATTCCAGCAGATACCCTAACCAAAGTTTGGGAAATACTTTTACTTATAAATTCAGCAAAGAGAACATTGGAGTGCGTCAAAAGGAACTTTAACTAATTTATCAGTCAGCCATAGCAACATAACATACAACCACAAAATCTCAGTGACACATCCTAACAAGCATGCATTTTGCTCATGCATCTGTTTATTGGCTGGAGGGCCATCTGATACAGGCTGAGCTTGGCTGAATAGCTCTAAGCTGCAAATTGAGATCAGATCTTATCCACACATCCCTTATTCTCCTTGGACCAGTGGGCAAGCTTGGCATGTTTTTCTCATGATGGTGGCAAAGGCCTGAAAAAATAAGCCTAACCATGCAAACACATATTAAGTCCTGCTCACATATCTGTTAACAGCCCATTGACCAAGCCAGTCACAGGGTGAGCCCAAAGCTGAGGAACAAGTAAGATCTGCCTCTAGTGGGTGGAACTGCCAAGTCACATGGGTAGAGGTGTGAACACGGGAAAGAGTGAAGAATCAGGGCCAATAAATCAATCTATCACAACCAATAAGGAAGGAAAAACAAATCAAAATGCAAACATGGAAGGTGAAAGTTAATTTACCAAGAGCAGATTCCTCAGCCAAAATCTTTTTTTTTTTTTTTAATTTCCATAGGTTATTGGGGAACAGGTAGTTTTTGGTTACACGAGTGAGTTCTTTAGTGGTGATTTGTGAGATTTTATGCATCCATCTCCCAATGCAGTATACACTGCACCTTATTTGTAGTCTTTTATCCCTCATTCCCCTTCCCATCCTTTTCCCCTGAGTCCCCAAAGTCCCATGTGTCATTCTTATGCCTTTGTATTCTCATAGCTTATCTCACACTTATGAGTGAGAACATTTTTCCATTCCTGAGTGGCTTCACTTAGAATAATAGTCTCCAATCCCATCCAGGTCACTGCAAATGCCATTAACTCATTCCTTTTTATGGCTGAGTAGTATTCCATTGTATATATATACCACAGGTTCTTTATCCACTTGTTGATTGATGGGCATTTGGGTTGGTTCCATGTTTTTGCAATTATGAATTGTGCTGCTATAAACATGTGTGCAAGTATCTTTTTCATATAATGACTTCTTTTCTTCTGGGTAGATACCCAGTAGTAAGATTGTTGGATCAAATTGTAGTTCTACTTTTAGTTCTTTAAGAAATGTCCACACTGTTTTCCATAGTGGTTCAACCAAAATCTAATGGACAGCTCCTGTTCCTAGTTACCTTCTCAACAGCTCTGTTGCAACCCAGCCCCCAGATCCCCAGAACTTCAAGCATTTCTTCTACCCATCTCCTCCAGAGGAGAGACTGCAGCCGGAGATCACCTTGATAGGTTATCAGATAATGGACATCATCCTAGGGAGAAGATGGAATCCTTGGCTTTACTCTACAGAGGAACACCAGAGGCTGGCACCTCTCCCAGCCTTCTAACCCAGTCCAGAAAGGGCCTTGATATGATTTGGCTGTGTCCCCACCCAAATCTCATCTTGAATTGTAGCTCCCATAATCCCCACGTGTCATGGGAGGGATCTGGTGGGAAGTAATTGAATCATGGGGGAGGGTTTTTCCCATGCTGTTCTCATGATAGTGAATAAGTCTCACGAGAGCTGATGGTTTTTTAAAAGGCAATTTCCCTACACATGCTCTCTTGCCTGCCACTATGTAAGGTGTGCCTTTGCTCCTCCTTTGCCTTCCGCCATGATTGTGAGGCCTCCTTAGCCATGTGAAACTGTGAGCCCATTAAACCTCTTTTTCTTTATAAATTACCTAGTCTCAGGTATTTCTTCACAGCAGTATGAAAATGGACTAATACAGGCCTCAAGGCCATCGGTCTGCCTGCACCCCTAAGCCCATTTGTAGTGATAAGGAAACAGGTCTGGAGGGTCATCTCTCCAATCTTTCCTGGAGGCAGAAGCCTCAACTACATGTTGTTAGGTTCCTTCTAAATGGGAGACTGGTGGATTCTATCATCACTGAAGGGGCCACCATTCATCTGAAACACAAAAAAGAGCATTCACTAATTGCCTTAGAATATGCTAAATACAGCCTAAAAGCAACTTACTTCTCCTCCTCTTCCTCCCCTTCCTCTTCATCCTCCTTTTCAAGCCATCTGCGAAGCAGACCTGAACCTTCAACAAAGGCCCTGAACCAAACCAGCCATACTGCTGGGGGCCCAGGGATGCACCAGAGTAATGATTTGCATTCCAACTTTATACTTGTGTCACTCATAAAAGTCAGGTGTTCCACCTGCTGAGAAACACGGGGGTTCAGAGTGCAGATCTTTGGAGTCTGATAGACCTGGAAGCCTGTCTTCCAATTTTTACTTACCAAGTGACCTTAGACAAATGGATTAACTCCTCAGGTTCCTCCTTGGTAAAATAGGGACAACAATAGTAGCTACCTCCTAGGACAGTTGCGTGGATATTGTGAGATAAAATCTCAAAGTGCTTAGGACAGTGCCTGCCACATCGTAATGCTCAATAAAGTTTGGCTATAATGATGAGGGGCCGTGGCAGGAGGATTGCTTGAGTCCAAGAGTTCGAGGCTGCAATGAGTTATGATTGCACCACTGCAATCCAGCCTGGGTGACACAGCGAGACCCTGTCTCTAAAAAAAAATGATAAAAGAATAATAATAGTAACGACAACTTGATGGGAAAACTATTATCTCCAAGCTGGAAGATACCCAATCCTTGTGAACTCTAAGGAGCAGGCACCCTGCATCACACGTCTCATGTCTACAGAATTTAAAACGCTTAAAAGACTGGACTCACCTTGAAGATGGAAGGACGGTGTTTGGGTCAGTTTGGAGTTATCCACTCCAGGGTACTCAAACGTTATAATAAAGATTTTTGTGGTCTGAGCAGGAATATGCAAAATCGCAGGTGTTGGTGGCCCGTGAACTTAAATGCGAAACCACAATCACCTAGCGATAAGCCAGGAACACCTGTTGGTATCTGTTAGATGCCACCACGTGGTGCAAAGCAGCTCTTTCCTTCTGCATCCTTGGTTGAATCAACTTAAAATCTTTCATGCAACTGAATAAGATGCTAGTTGCCATCACAACTCCACCTTAAATTGTGCCTTCTTTTGGTACATTCAATGTGTTTCCAATATATTTCCAAAGCCCCTTGGTTGCATTTGATAAGGATGTGTTGACTGTTTATACTGTGGCAGATGTTTTGGGCATGTAAAAGACAGAAAGAAAGAATGAAAATAGGCATTTTTTGAGTTCCTGCTAGGATAAACAACCTTATGGTTATTTATAACGCCCTTGCTCTACTTTGTTTAAGGGTGGATTCAGAGAAAGTTAATTTGTGTAACTAGGATTAAGGGGGTAAAATGGAAATACTGATGCTTTGTATATGAAAAAAGGAGGGAGAGACCCAAAAGAGGGGGTCCCACACTGGGCAGAGGCAACTTCCTGAAGAGGCATGAGGCCGAGATGAACAGGTGGGACCAGGGAAGGGGAGGGGAGGAGGGAATAAAGAGGAGGCAAAGAGGCTGTGAGGAGAGAATTTGAGCAGAGCAGAGCCAATTAAGGTGAGAGTGGGGACGCTGTGCTCTCGAGTGAGATGTAACCCCCTCCCGTGTCTCCACCTGGGATCTTCTTTTCCTGCTCAGCAAGTTGAACATGCGCAATGTGCAGAGATGAGCTTCAAGGAGAGAACAGCAGGCCTGGGGCACAGGCCATGTTTTCATTTACCTAGAGCTCTGCTATCACAGGGTTTGAGAGCTCATTTCCAAAACTCTGGTGTAGAAAATATGTCTCGGCCTGCAGACAGTTACATGAGTAAATTGTATATGTTTAGGTGAGGAGACTTGGGAACTGGTGGGAGGGGGTCATTACTATAAAAGGCAGAAACCCCATTTCTCTCCCCTTCCCAAAAATCCATGCTTCCTCTCGTTTGACTGGATCTGCTGAGGGTACCTTGAGAATTTTTTTTTTGAGACAGGGTGTCACTGTGTTGCCCAGGCTGGAGTACAGTGATGCCATCATGGCTCACTGCAGCCTCGACCTCCTGAGTTCAAGGAATTCTCTCATCTCAGCCTTCCCAGTAGCTGGGCTACAGATGTGCACTACCACATCTGGCTAATGTTTGTATTTTTGTATTTTCTGGTAGAGACAGGGTTTTGCCATGTTGCTCAGGCCAGTCTTGAACTCCTGAGCTCAAGCAATCTGCCAGCCTCGACCTCCCAAAGTGCTGGGATTAGAGACGTGAGCCACCGCACCGGGCTTGGGAATATTTTTGACAGGTGGAAAATTTTTCAGGGTTGACTTAGCAGACCCTCACACAAAAGGCACCAAAGCAGGAAGCAAGTAAAAGTTCACATCCTCTTTTCTGCTCCAGAAAAGATGAACTATGTCTGACTACCTGATGGAAAAATCCTTTCATTTTTAATTGTATGAGGGAAACACTAACTGCCTTCAGAAAGGAACTCAACACTTCAGTGGCCCAAGACAATAGGAGTTGGATCCTCATCCTCCATCAGCCTGATGTGGTGCTCCTGGTGAGCATATGGGTGGCTTCCATGTGGTGATTCAGGCACTCAGGCTCCTGCCATCCTGCAGACCTGCCATTCCTAGTGCCTCAAAGTCCCCTGCACCCAAACTGCAGAATAGAAGAGAGAGTATGGCAAAAACCCACCCACTTCTTAAAAGCCCAATCCCAGAAGTGACACACATCTCTCTACTTCCATCCCACTAACAAGAATTCATGACGTGGTCACATCCAGATAGAAAGAAGGCTGGAAAATAGAAACCTTATTCCTGTTGGGATAGCAACAATTCCACACTGTGGAAAGGGAAGCTTAAATTTTTGGTAAACAGTTGGGTGCATAACATGTATGCCTGTTAATACATACTTTTATTTCTTTTTACCTATTTCACTTCTCTCCAACAAGAGTTCCACAAGAGCAGGGATTTTGTTTTGTTCACTGGAGAATTCCCTGTTAGTGGTGATGCCTGAACTGAGCTTTGAAGGAGTTATCCAGGTGCAGAGGCTGGAGAGAGGCAGGCCATGCAGAGGGGGTGGATGGCAGGAAGTGTCGGGTGTGGTATGTTCTGAGTGTTGCAGTCATCTGCTCTGGCAAGACAGGAGTGGAGTCTGGGCCAGGGCGTGGCAGGCTCTGAATGGGCAGGGCCCTGGCCTCACAGTAAGGCGTTGAAATGGATCCTTAAACACCATAAGATACCCAGAAACTCCACTCCTAGTTAGTTACACAAAACAAACGAAAACGTAGGCCCCCACAAAAACCTGTACACAAGTGTTCATGGCAGAACTATTCATAATCACCAAAAAGCAGAAACAACCAAAATGTTCATCAGCTGATGAATGGATAAACAAAATGTGGCATAGCAACACCATCAAATGCCAATTAGCCATGAAAAGGAATAAAATACGGATACATGTTATAGCCCAGACCAGCCTTGAAAACATTGTGCTAAATGAAAGAAACCAGACACAAAAGACTGCATATTGTGTGATTCCACTAATATAAAATATGCAGAATAAGCAAACCCGTAGAGGGAGAAGTAGATTCGTGGTTGTCTGGGGCTGGGGGGAAGGCAGATTGGGGAGTGAGTGCTAATGGATGAAGGGTTTCTTTTTTGACGTGGTGAAAACGTGGAGTTAGCTAGTGATGACGATTATACAACCAAGTGACTACACTAAAGACAACAGAATTGTATACTTTTCTTTTTGAGACAGGGTCTCTCTCTCTCTGTCACCCAGGCTGGAGTACAGTGGTGTGATCTCAGCTTACAATGGCCTAGACTCCCAAGTTCATGCCATCCTCCCACCTCAGCCACCTGAGTAGCTGGGACTACATGCGTGCATGACCACGCCCGGCTAACTTTTGTATTTTTTGTAGAGACGGGGTTTCCCCATGTTGCCAAGGCTGGTCTCGAATTCCTGGACTCACGCAATCCACCCACCTAGGCTTCCCAAAGTGCTGGGATTACAGGCGTGAGCCACCATACCCGGCCTGAATTGTACTTTTCAAGAGTGGACTCTGTGATATTTGAATTATATATTAATGAAGATATTCAGTGAAGCTGTTGTTTTAAAATCTATCTTTAAGCCCATGGGAAAGCATGGAATGGTTTTAAGCAGGTGATGGTGAGGCCATCAGGTGTCACACTGGTGGTGATGTCATCAGCGGATTCAGCAGTGAGAAGAACAGAGACTGGTGACCCAGGTGAGACTTAACCCGGAGCTGAGCTAAGGCAGGGGTGGCTGGGATGGAGAGAACACGTGGACTTGAGACAGGACAGGAAGGTGGAAGCAAGGGGAGATGGTGATGGACTTGGTGACAGCTCCACATTTTTACCAATGGGGCTGAGCTGGGCTAGTGAGTAGCTGGGGGAGGGGAAATCTCCTAGAGTTAATGCTGGGTCAAAGGTGGAAAAAACAGAGAAGGCACAGAACCAGCTTGGCCGCTCTCCCTGTAAAACCCCATCTACCAAGCTGGCCAAGCAAAACCTGCATAGGACATAAGAAGTGCCAGGCCTGCTTCCTGTCCAATTGTGTGCAGCTGAGGAGTCGCTGGGTCAGTCATGCTGCTGGCTCAGGGATCCACCTCCTGGGTGTTTGTCTTTTCAGCAACAGAACATGAAGACAGTTTTCAAGGTTCTTGCCTCAACTGTCCCAGCAGCAGTGCCACTCCTAGCAACCTGGGTTGTGCAATGTTGGCTGCTGGCTTTGGGGCTCCTTGACATTTTGTCATTTAAAAAAATTAATAAATAATTGCACACATTTAAAAGCTATTTTTGTATCCTTGGGATGTCTCCCACTGAAGGAGAGGGTGATATTTTGCAAGTTAGTTTCCCCAGTTGCAAGAACCTTGGAAACTTTCTCCATGTTTTGGTGCTGAAAAGGCAAACTCCCTAGAGGTTAATTCTTTTTTATTTCATTTCTTTATAGAAATGGAGTGTTGTTATGTTGCCCAGGCTAGTCGTGAACTCCTGGCCTCAAGTGTTGCTCCCACCTCAGTCTCCCAAATTATTGGGATTACAGGCACGAGCCACTGAGCTCAGCTAAGAAGGTGAATTCGTTACCTGATTAGTGATTTGGGTAATGAATTTGGTACCTGCCAAATTTGATATCCTGTCCTATACCAAACTCTACAACTCAGGTGGGTTACGCAAACACCTGCTCTGCGGCAGGGATCAAGGAATGTAGAATGGATAGAACATGATCCATGTCCTCAGGAAGCTCACAGGCTGGTGGGAGAGAATGACTCTGAGGCAGATGGGTGTGAAGTTATGGAAATGTGGTAACAGAGGCCTGTGAGGTACATCCAGCCTGAGAGGCGGGGAGTGGCTTCCAGCCTTGGGCTCCTCCACGGTCTGTGGGCCCTGAGGCTGGCCTCGTGGCCATCATCTCACGGTGTAACCTCTCTTGAGTGGGAGAACCCAGGGGGCATTGCAGAACTGGAAGGCAGGGGAGGAGGAGCTGGGATGTTGGGGAAACCCCAAACAAAGAGGTTTCAGGTAAAATCCCAAATGCAAGAACAGGAAAGTCAAATCTAGGGTTACTTTTGGGGGATATTGACTATGAAGGGCCCCAAAATGAGCCTCTGATGGTACTAATATTCTATATTTTGATTTAGGTAGTTACAGGTGTGTGTGTGTGTGTGTGTGTGTGTGTGTGTGTGTGTGTGTGTGTGTCTTGAGGGCTATGTCATAAAATGAGACAAAACAAAACTCTAGAACTGCTAAGACAACTGGATTATTCATTATATTTTTTCCACAACACAAAAAATTATTCACCTTGTATTTCCCGTTTACAAGTGTTTTCATCTTTGTGATCTCATTCATTTCTCTTAAAACTCAGATTAACTAGGACTCATATTTGATGCCAGAAACTCAAGTTGAAATAGGTTAGATAACTTGCCCAAATCTTAGAAAGTAGCAAACCCAGGATTTGAGGGAGTTGTGCTAGGTCCTACTCCAGCTTTATTCTCATTATTCCAAGCTAGTTTAAAAACCTGGAGTCATTAATTTCATATTCTAACCACAGGAATTTAAGATCAAAGTTTGTGCAAAGAGGGAAGAAGCACCTCTTACCTGCTTCTAACACAAACTCCTTTCAACTCAGTTCATCCAAGCCTCTATCTACCACGTGTTCCTGGCAACATGGTGTGGGCACACCAGCCACACCTTTCAACACCTCATGGTCTAACGGAGGAGACAGGTTGTGTGCTAGTCTGGGCGTGGTGGAAGCAGGGTATGACACAGGTGCTATGTAGGAGATACGAGGGGCGATGTGAAGACAAATGAGGCAGCCATGGCTTCAGCTGGCATTAATCTTATTCCCAGGATACTCAACTATCTAGAGGACCAAGCTGGGTGGCTGCCACACCAGCTATCCCTGTGGCTCAGCTCCTGAGGAAACTGGTTCTATGCATTTCCCGTGGCCCAGCCTGGGAAACTGAGGGAGCCCTGGTGCTTTACCCAGCTCCTTTTTTGGAAGGCATGTGTTAACTGTGGTGACGTTGACCCTGGTTCCTTCTGAGGTTGTCGGGCATTGGCTAGAAGATGAAGGAAAACACTGGATTTCATTGACAAAGTACAAGGCTCTGAGACTTCTGCCTGATCATAGTCCCAAAGAGGCCAACCTTTGAGCCTGAATGGCAGGAGATCAGCTGACCCAGATCTTTCCATGGGGGCTGCTAGTATGAAAGAAAGAGCATGTGCATAACTGCAGTGAAACTAGGTGCAGGCTGGCTCTGCCATTCACCACCACTGTGACCCAAGTCTTCCTCTCCTCATCTGTTGCCTGGGGATAATAATGCCTGCCTCACAGGGCTCCTCTGAGAATGAAATGAGAGCTCCCACGTGAAATACCTCGTGCATGGTGCTGTTACCCATTGGTATTGCATTCCCACCATGAGGAGATGGTCAGAGCTTCTCTAAAAGCTGGAGTGGATTCCTTTGGCATCACATTCACATAAACATCCCTCTTTAGGCCGCCCTCTTTGAAAATGACCTCATGCTCCTTAAATGCTAGACTTGTCTATTTAAATCCCAGGACAGGATGTCTTTGCCCTCAGAAACTTGTGTGAGCTCTGAGGTGATCTTGCTGCCCAGAAAAGGGTACATTTCACTGACAGTCACCTTGTTCCACTGCATTGATGAGATGGAGCTGAAACGGCAACGTTAGGTGATCCCAGGCCACATTCTCTTTTTAGCCTGCCCTGCAGCCTCTGGGCATAGAGGCGCCAGCTCACGCAGTTCCACCGTGGAAGTGGCATTTGGTTCCTTAAAGTAGAAGAGCTCAAGAGGGGGGCAGTGAAGAACAGAGACCTGGAGGGAGCAGCCACGGGACAGGAAAAGCTTACAGGCTCCAGGCCCACCCTCTGCCTTCAGAAAGGGACTTCCCTACACCCATTAGAGCAAATGATAATCTATCCTTTTGAAATGAAAAAGCCACAGGAGAAAGCAAACCCCAACACTCCCACACACTCCCCACCAGATAAGTGTGTCCAACTTAAATGTCCTGTGCTGTCCCTTAACCCTGGGGTCCCTTGCTTGGTATGAAAAGCAGGTGACCTTATTTTTTTTATTGAGATGGGGAGCCCGTTGCCCAGGTTGGAGTGCAGTGACACCACCATGGCTCATTGTAGCCTCGAACTCCTGGGCTGAAGCAATCCTCCTGCCTCAGCCTCCTGAGTAGCTGGGGCTACAGGTGCACACCACCACACCTAGCTAATTTTTTAATTTTTTTTGTAGGGACGGGTTCTCACTTTGTTTCCCAGACTACCCTCAAACTCCTGGTCTCAAGCAATCCTGTCACCTCAGCCCCCTCAAAGTGCCAGGATTACAGACATGAGCCACTGCACCCTGCCAGGTGACCTTTTTTGAGTAGCATTAAATTGCCATTCAGTCTTTTGTTCTCCAGCCTGCAAAACCCCAGTCCTCTTTGAAATAAGAGGTCTTATTACCCAACCCCTCTATCTCCACATTTTCCATGTCTCTCTTGGATTGTGCAGCCAGTAAGAGACTCAGAAAACAAGTGTCTAATCTCCGAGGGAAGAAACATAAGCCAGGTGTCTATCATCTTAGGAGAAATAAGGTAGTGATTGTCTAGTGCGGAATCTTAATTATCAGGAGAAAATGCTAATCTGGCCTTTCAGATCATGTTAATGCATCTATCTCTTTTTTTTTTCCAGGAGAAAAAAACAGTTTGCCTTTAAAAACAGGATTTAATACAGCAGGAGCTGAATTCTGGACCTAAAGATGAGGTGGGATTAAAAAAGGAAAATTCACATGCAGGAAAATTAACTAATTTGGTATCTCAGGATCACAAATTACTAACAATTGTGTGCAGTCTGGCTCAGCTTGAAAAACCTCCAGTGAGCAGCCTGCCAGAGAGGAGCAATCTCTTCACTTTCTCAATCCAGATTTTAAAGTGTTTAAAGGTTCCAGATTTTGTTTTCCCGTGTGCCTTAGGGCCCACAGGGCCGTGACCCTGATTTGTTTTGTAACCTCTGTGAGGGCCAGCTCTAATCTTAGCACAATGGGCTTCCTCGGATCAAGGTGACCTCCCTGCACTAATGTTTTTCTTGTCTGCATGCTCCTGGCTCCCTGGCCTCCCATCTTATATAACCTCTCTTATCTGTGCACACGTGCTTGGTAAGGGAACAGCCTTCTGGACACAACTAATCTCTCAATCGGTCCTAGGTCCCCTTGAGATTATGGTGGCAGATTATATTTTGGGTTTGTGGAGCTATTTTCCCCATGGCACATTCACATCTCTGATTTCACCTTCCTGAAACGTTTTTGTTTGAGAGATGCAATGTTTCATCACTTAATCCTTTGGCCCCAGCCTCAGTTTTCTTGTCTCTGAAATGAGGCAGCTTAACTAGAGTGAGCTTTTTTGGATCAGCCCATTGGAGGCAGCATTGGTATCAGACACCAACAGCTCTCATCTTTGGAAGATGTGCTGCCAACTTACCTTCCAGGATCCTGAACTCCATTCTGCTTTAAGTTTGCTTTCCTTCAAGTCTACTTACCTCCCAGAAAACTCCCAAAAAACCCATCCTGTTTCCCAAATTCCTCTCTACTGCCCAAGTTATCCCAGGAACTTACTCTACACTCGTGCTTTCCTAAGAAGCAGGAGGCCCTCCCTCAGAATCCCCTCTGACAGTGGGTAATTCTGCTGCGCCCTTCCCCACCTAGGGCTCTCAGGGCCTCCTTCCTGTAGCTCCAGGCCTCACCTTCAAGATACCCTCAAGGGAAGGGTCACATTCTGGTCCTGCCCCTCCCAGACCTGATCTTGGCTGGGTGGGGGCTTCCTTTGGCTCCGAAGCCACAGCCAAGCCCTGACTCTTCTGGTTCCAGAACAGGCTTTGGCTCTGGGCCTAAGACAGCAGGTCACACACCTCCCAGGAGCCCAAGGGAATGGGCCCTTCCCATGTGCTGCATGAAACCCCAGTTAGGAACATAATCCTGTTCTGTAATGTCGACAAGCAAGGGCGAGCTTCCAGAGGCCGTCGTGCTGTTGCCAGCAGGACAGTCTGGTGAGTTGTTCAACACGAGATCATCTGGGGGCCCTGCCTTCTCCTATAGGTCTGCCAATCAAGACCAATGTCTTTGTCTTCTGTTCCCTCTAATTCATCACACACACACACACACAGGCACACGTGTGCACACACAGACACACACACACATGCATGTGCCCACAGTGTGCTAGCACAATGCCCTCAATGCGGCTTGGAAGACGGGGCTGACTTAGAGTCTTTGAGTTCCAAGAAAAGGTATTGATACAGTGTTAAGATCAGGGTTAGCCTTTTCCTCTACTGCCATTTGGGGTACCTGAAGTTCCACCATTAGATACTCATTCCTTTTGGCCTCAAAGTTCTCGCAGTCTTCAGAGGCCCCTGCTCCCCAAGTTAGTTATAAGTAGCTGCGGAAGGGGCTGTCATGGGCCTCCGGCACCAGTGTTGGCTCTGGATTAATTTATCAGATGCTTTGGTAGAGTGGAAACAAAGTCCTGGAGAATGGAAAGCAAAAAAGGCCTGCATGACGAGGCTGACCAGGCGAGGGGACAAGGCCAAGATGTATCCCACAGACACTGTGTCGTGGCCAGCCTACCTGGGCTGTGGAAGGGGTGGGAGTTTTCTCATTCATTCAATGGACATGGACTGAGTGCTTACTATGTACCAGGCACCATGCTCGCTGCCAGAGATGTGGTGGCAAGCCACAAGGCTCCTGTCTTTGTGGGGCTTATGGTCCAGTTACAGGAGGGTAGGGAGACATTAACCAAAACATCACACTACTGAACATGCCATTGCAAACCAAGATGAGTGCACTGAAGGAAGGTTCTACAAGAACACAGCACCAACAAACAATCTAGACGGATCTGGAAGACTCTGAGAAAGTGATGCTTGAGCTGATCCTAAAGAAGTAGAATTAACTAGAAAAACCGAGCAGAGTGGACATTCCAGGCAGAGGGAACTGAGTGTGCAAAGGCCCTGCAATGGAGCCACCTAACGCTGCCATTGTGGATAGTCATACTCCTTAACCTTCAGTAGACCCTGAACTTGAAGGAAAATGTTCCCTTCTAAAAATGTGTTTCCCTTTCCCTTTCCCTTCCATTCACCCCAGCACTTGATACCAAGCCATGAAGAGAAGGTGAGTTGTGCAGGAGAAAGCCTTAAAAAAAAACAAAACTTGCAGACAGCAGCTATGACAGCCGTTTCCTGTTTGGTGTCTGTCACTGCAAACCTTCTTAGTCAAATAAATTAACACAGGAAGGCATTTTGGAGAAGTACGTGCTTCTTGCACATACTGAAAATTCAAGAAAAATTCCATCTATTTTTCAGAGAAGAGCTGGCAGTCTGAGGATAAGGCCAGAGCCCACCAACTGTATGAACTGAACAGACCCCAGGCCATTTAGTCCGATTAACTTGGAGGAATCTGAGGCCCAGAGAGGGGAAGGGATCCAGTTCACAGCAGGACTGGGGCTTTCACCCTCTCTCCTGCCCCTTTGCCCAGTGTTTTTTCTCTGCCTTCCTCGCTGTGATTGCATTAGGCCAGATTTGCCACTTTCTTCTATCAGACAAGGAATAATGGGGCTAGAACTGCCCTCTGCAGCCACTGTAGGCAAAGCTTAATTTTACCTTGGGTACAGGAGCCCAATGTCCTTGTGGTATGAAAAGGAGGAGGAGGAGTGCCAGACACTTTTTCTTTTCTATATTTGATCATTGCAATGACCCTAGGAGACAGTGACTCACACCTACACTTTACAAATGAGGAAACAGAGCCTCTGAGAGGTTAAAGAGCTTGCTCAAGGTCACCCAGCTACTACAAGGCAGAGCTGGGATTTGAACCCTGTCTAGCCTGAAAGCTCATACTTTCTCCTCCTTTCCTCAGCCCAGACCCAGGGGGATGTTCCCATGGAGAAGCCTCCTCAGGATTCCCAACCTTGACTAATTGCCAATGGCCGCCCTTCTACTGCTCCTCATTTCAGACATGCCTCTCACATGTGGAACATGCAATGTAGCCTACCTCTGTCATGATCCCCCAGGGAAAAGGTATTCATTGGTTCTTCTGTCCCATTCTGGAGGCTGGCTGGTGTATAAATATTTGGGCTGGCACTAGAGCCTCTTACTCTTGGGTGTGTGCAGTATTTGTCATTTTGTTTTGCTCTAACTGTTCCTCCCTGAAATTAGAACAGAGAATTTCCAAACTCAAAAACATACCAGCTTTGCATGCACAATATTCTACCAGCTTCCCATATACAATATCCAGTCTCGTTCTGTTCCAGAAAAGCCCACTAGCTGACACTCTCCAAATAATAATCAGGCAGTTTGCAAGGCCATGGTCTCAGCACTCAGATCTTGGAGGAAGGGGAGTGCAATAGACCCCGCTGACTTGAGGTTACCTATAAAAGCATTTCCCAAGGCATGTTCCAAGGAACACTAATGACTCTGGATTATTGGTAGCTTTTTCATCAACAAACAAAACAAAAACCAAAAACAGACCAAATCTCTTAGCTGCAGGATTTCTCAAAGCCTTCAATATGCTGTGGCAGAGATAACTAGTTGTTCTCCAATAGTCATTCTCTTCCTCTTTCTTTAATAATAAAACTCTTAAATTTTAGCTGAACACATATATGCCAGCTAGATGCTTTTTCCTGGCCTCCCTTTCAGCTGGGAATGAGGATGTAAGATCTGAATAAGGGGATGTGAGCAGAAGTGAGGTGTCTCTTCTAGTCATGTTGTTTAAAGAAATAAGCCTATGTTTGACTTGCCATTTCTCCTTTCTGCTGGCTGGGATGTAAATGTGATGACAAGAGCAGGAGCAGCCACTTTGGACCAGAAAGCCACCTACTCAGCCTTGTACTAATCATCTCTGGATTGTTAGAAAGAAACTTCCATCTTGTTTGAGCCACTGTATCTTGGGGTCTTTGATCCAGAACTTAGACTGGCCCCTAAGTAATATAAGCACTAATATGCATAATGAATCTCCAAGTGGAGCCTATAGCATGCAGCATTTCTCAAGCACATATGACCTTAACAGCAATTTTTGCAAAACGAGTTAGGACTGTTCTCCTTGAAACATATCTTGGGAAACTCTGAAAATACTTTTTTCAACATTCCCAGAACTCCAAACTGTGACTGAGTCCACAGCCCATTTGCCCTTAAGTCATTATCCAAAAGAAGCTTATGGAGTACAAACTACCCGCGCCCCCTCCCCCACTCCACACACACACACACACACACACACACACACACACACACACACTCTCTCTCTCTCTCTCTCTCTCTCACACACACACACTTATGTAAAGAGATCCATTTCTTTTCCCAAAACCACTGACTTTCTCTTCACAACAAGCCACAAAGCTTCACACCTTACACTTCTGACTTGGGGAGTCCAGATCCCAGGAGCTCGTGAAGAAACAGCAGCCAAACACAGTTAGATCTTCCATTCCAGAAGAGACTAATAATAAAAGTTACAGTGAAAATGAACAGCTGCTGGTGCCATGATGAAAAAAAAATTGCCCAAAGCAGATACAGGTTCCCAAGCATGAATAAGAACCAGATCCAGGTAATGGAAAAATTAAGTTTTGAAAACAAGTCAAGAGCTTATTTGGCTAACAAAGAAAATATTCCCACAACTAACATATTTGATGGTGAAAGTCTGAAAGTTTTTCCTCTAAGATCAGGAACAGAATGAGGATGTGTCACCTCACCACTTCTTTTTAATACTGTACTGGAAGTTCTAACTAGGTTAAGAAGGGAAGAGGAAGAAATAAAAGGCATTCAGACTGTAAAAGAAGAAGTAAAATTATTCCTATTCACAAATAATATGATGTGTATAGAATCCACACATCCACCCTCGCAAAAAAAAAACTTATTAGAATTAATATCGAATTAATAAATATGTACAGCAAGGGTACAGAATACAACATCAGTATACAAAAATAAATGGTATTTCTATGCTAGCAATGAAAAATCTGAAAATAAAGTTAAGAAAACTCTTCCATTTAAAATAGCATCAAAAAAGGAATGAATTTAACCAAAAGTATGCAAAAATTATACTGTGAAAACTACAAAACATAGTTGAAAAAAATTAAAGACCAAAATTAATTTAAAGACCTAAATAAATTTCTTGCTCATGAATTGCAAGGAAGACTTAATATTGTTAAGATGGCAATACTCACAAAACTGATCTATAAATTCAATGCAATCTCTGTGAAAAATCCTATCTACCTTTTTTGCATAAATTAATAAACTGATACTGAAATTAATATGGAGGCCAGGTGTGGCAGCTCATGCCTTTAATCCCAACACTTCGGGAGGCCAAGGTGGGAGGCTCGCTCAAGGCCAGGAGTTTGAGACCAGCCTGGGCAACAAAGCAAGACCCCCATCTCTACGAAAATCAAATAAAATAAATAAGTTAAGTAAAATGTATATGGAAATGCAGGGACCCAGAACAGTCAAAATAATCTGGCAAAAGAAGAATAAAGTTGAAAGACTCACACTTCCAATTTCAACCTTGCTATAAAACTATGGAAATCAAGACTGTGGTATTGGAATAAGGATAGACATGTGGATCAATAGAATAGAATTAAGAATCCATAAATAAACCTATGAATAGTCTATTGATTTTCAACAAAGGTACCAATACAGTTCAGTGGGGAAAATTGTCTTTTTAACAAATAGTTCTATGATAACTGGATATTCACACGCAAAAGAACCAAGTTAGACCTCATCTCACACCATATATAAAAATTAACACAAAGTGCATCAATGACCTAATATAAAAGCTAAAACTATAAAACTCATAAAATATAGGAGTGGCCAGGCGCGGTGGCTCACGCCTGTAATCCCAGCACTTTGGGAGGCCGAGGCGGGTGGATCACAAGGTCAGGAGATCGAGACCATCCTGGCTAACGTGGTGAAACCCCATCTCTACTAAAAATACAAAAATTAGCTGGGCGTTGTGGCAGGCGCCTGTAGTACCAGCTACTTGGGAGGCTGAGACCGGAGACTGGCGTGAACCCGGGAGGCGGAGCTTGCAGTGAGCCGAGTTTGTGCCACTGCACTCCAGCCTGGGCGACAGAGGGAGACTCTGTCTCAAAAAAAAAAAAAAACATAGAAGTAACTCTTTGTGACCTTGGATCAGGTAATGGTTTCTTAGGTATGATACCAAAAGCACAAGCAACAAAATAAAAAATAAATTAGTCTTCATCAAAATTTAAAACTTTTATCTTTCAAAGAACAAAAAAGTGATGAAAACCAACAAAATACAAGAAAATATTTGCAAATTCTATATCTGGTAAGGAACTTGTATCCAGAATACATTGTAAACTCCTACGACTTAGCCAGGAACAGTGGCTCATGCCTGTAATACTAGCACTTTGGGAGGCTGAGGCAAGTGGATTGCTTGCATCCAGGAGTTAGAGACCAGCCTGGGCAACACGGCAAAATTTCATCTCTACAAAAAAATACAAAAATTAGGCGGGTGTGGTGGCATGCACCTGTAATTCCAGCTACTCATTAGGCTGAGGTGGGAGGATCACTTGAGCCTAGGAGTTTGAGGCTGCAGTGAGCCGTGATGGCACTACTGCACTCCAACCTGGGTGACAGAGTGACACCATCTCAAAAGAAAAAAAGAAAAGAAAGCTCCTACAACTAAACAGAAAGAAGACAACCTAGGGAGAGGTGGAGCAAGATGGAATAGAAAGCTCCACAGATCATCACCTCCCACAAGGACACCAATTTAACAACAATTAAACAATTTAAAAGCACCTTTCCTTTGCTTTAAAAGCAACTATTAACAATTTAAAAGCACCTTTGTAAGACCCAAAAATCAAGTGAATTCTCACAGTACCTGGTTTTAACTTCATATCTCTGAGAGAGGCACTGAAACCAGCAATTGTGAGGCATTGAATTCAGTGCTACCCTTGTTATAAGAGAAAGCAAAACCAGACCAAACTAAGCTGACACATGCCCACAGAGGAAACATTTAAACCCTAGACAGAGGGGAATCTCTGATCCCAGCAGTACGAACTTCAGTTCCCGCAAGCCTCATCACCTTGGACTAAAGTACTCTGGAGCCCCAGATACACTTGAAAGGCAGTCTAGGCCACAAGGATTGTAACACCTAGGCAATTCCTGGGATGAACTGGGCCCAGAAACAGTGGACTAGGGGAAGCACGTGACCTACTGAGACACCAGTTGGGGTGTCTAAGGGAGTGCTGGCATCACCCCCCACCCACCCCGGGTTGCATAGCTCATGGCTCCAAAAGTGACCCCTTCCTTTTGCTTCAGGAGAGGAGATGGAAGAGTTAGGAGGACTTTGTCTTTCATCTTGGATACCAGCTCAGCCACAGCAGGATAGGGCACTGGTGAGAGTCATGGGGCCCCCATTCCAGGCCCTAGCCCCTGGACATTTCTAGCCACACCTTGGCCCAGAAGAGAATCTGCAGCCTTGAAGGAAAAGACCCAGTCCTAGCAAGATTCATCACCTGCTAACTAAAGAGCCCTTAGGTCCTGAATACCAGCAGCAATACCCAGGTACTAGGTTGAGGGTCTTGGGTGAGACACTGAGTCTTGCTGGATTCAGGTGAGACTCAGCACTTTCCCAGCTCTGGTGGCTATGGGGCAAGACTCCTGCTTGAGACAGTGGAGCAAAAAGTAAAGGGAACTTTGTCTTGCAACTTAGATATCAGCTCAGCCACAGTGGGGTAGAGAACCAAGTATTCTCTTGGGGTTCCCTATTCCAGGACTTGGCTGTTGGATGGCATTTCTAGACCTGTGTAGAGGGTCCACTCCTCTGAAAGGTGAGTCCCAGGCCAGGCAGCATTCACCACGAGCTGACTCAGGTGGCCTTGAACCTTAAGGGAACATCAGTGGTAGTCTGGCAGTACTCCATGTGGGCCTGAGGTGACAGTGGTCATGGAGTGAGGCTCCTCTACCTCTGGAATGGAGAGGGAAGAGTGGGAAGGACTGTGTCTTATGGTGTGAGCGCCAGCTGAGTGACAGGAAAATAGAACACCAGGCAGACTTCTAAGGTTTTTGCCTCTAGTCTCTGACTCCAAGAAGGTACCTCTGGACCCACCCAATGCCTGGGGGAATTTGCTGCCCTGAAGGGAAGGACACAGGCCTGGCTGGCTTTGCCACCTGCTGATTGTAAAACCCCCAGGCTTTGAACTAACATAGGCAGTAGAAAGGGAGTGGTTACAGCAGGCCTCAGACAAGACCCAGTGCTGTGCTAGCTTCAGGTCTGACCCAGAGCAGTCCTAGGGTTGGTGGCCACAAGGGTGCTTGTGTCACTCCACTCCTAGCTCCAGGTGGCTCAGAACAAAGAGAGAGAGAGAGAGAGAGAGCACCCATTTGTTTGGGAAACAATAAGAGAAGAGAACAAGAGTCTCTGCCTGGAAACCCAGATAATTCTTCCAGATCTTGTCCGAGACTATCAAGGTGGTACTTCTATGAGTCTGGAAGAACCACCACATTACTGGGCTTGGGGTCTTCCCTAAAGCAGATACAGCTTAGATTATAACACTCAAGTCCTTTTGAATATCTGGAAAACCTTGCCAAAAAGGATAGGTACAAACAGGCCCAGACCATAAAGACTACAATAAATACCTACCTCTTCAATGCCCAGAAACAGACGAACTTCTACAACTATTAATACAATCTAGGAAAACATGACCTCACCAAATGAACCAAATAAGGCACTGGGGACCAATCCTGGAGAAACAGAGATATGTGACCTTTCAGACAGAGAATTCATAATAGCTGTTTTGAGCAAACTCAAAGAAATTCAAGATGACACAGAGAAGGAATTCAGAACTCTATCAGATAAATTTAACAAGAGATTGAAATAATTAAAAAGAATCAAGCAGAAATTCTGGAGTTGAAAAATGCAACTGGCATACTGAATAATGCATCAGAGTCTTTTAGTAGCAGAACTGATCAAGCAGAAAAAAGAGCTAGTGAACTTGAAGACAGGCTATTTGAAAATGTACAGTCAGAGGAGACAGAATAAAAAAGAATGAAACAAGCTATTTGAAAATGCAGTCAGAGGAGACAAAATAAAAAAGAATGAAAAAGAATGAAGCATGCCTACAGGATCTAGAAAATAGCCTCTAAAGAGCAAATCTAAGAGGTATTGGCCTTAAAGAGGAGATAGAAAGAGGAGAAGAAAGTCTATTCAAAATGATAATAACAGAGAATTTCCAACACCTAGAGAAAGATATCAATATCCAAGTACAAGAAGGTTATAGAGCACCAAACAGATATAACCCAAAGAAGACTATCTCAAGGCATTTAACAATCAAACTCCCAAAGGTCAAGGATAAAGAAAGGATGCCAAAAGCAGCAAAAGAAAAGAAAAAAATAACACACAATGGAGTTCCAACATGTCTGGCAGCAGATTTTTCAGTGGAAACTTTATAGACCAGGAGAGAGTGCAATGATGTATTTAAAATGCTGAAGGAAAAAACTTTTACCCTAGAATAGTATATCCAGCAAAATTATCCTTCAAACCTGAAAGGGAAATAAAAGACTTTCCCAGACAAACAAAAGCTGAGGGATTTCATCAACCCCAGAAATGTCCTACAAGAAATGCTAAAGGGAGGACTTCAATCAGAAATAAAAGGACATTAATGAGCAATAAGGAATCATCCGAAGGTACAAAACTCACTGGTAATAGTAAGTACACAGAAAAACACAGATTATTATAACACTGTAACTATGATGTGTAAGCTACTCTTAAGTAGAAAGACTAAACAATGAACCAATCAAAAATAATAATTACGACAACTTTTCAAGACATAGATAATACAATAAGATATAAACAGCAACAACGAAGTTTAAAAGTGGAGGGACAAATTTAAGGCATAGCATCTTTGTTAGTTTTCTTTTTGCTTGCTTGTTTGCTTATGCAAACAGTTTTAAGTTGTTATCCACTTAAAATAATGGGTTATAAGATAGTGTTTGCAAGCCTCAAGGTAACCTCAAACTAAAATCCATACAACATAAGCACAAAATATAAAAAGCAAGAAACTAAATCACATCACCAGAGAAAATTACCTTCACTAAAATGAAGACAGGTAGGAAAGAAAGGACAGAGAGGAAGGCCACAGAACAATCAGAAAACAACTGACAAAATGGCAGAAGTCCTCACTTATCAGTAGTAACACTGATTGTTGGCCAGGTGTGGTGGCTCACACCTGTAATCCCAGCATTTTGGGAGGCCAAGGCGGGTGGATCACCTGAGATCAGGAGTTCGAGACCAGCCTGGCTAACATGGTGAAAACCCATCTCTACTAAAAATAGAAAAAAAAGTAGCCAGCTGTGGTAGTGGGTGCCTGTAATCCCAGCTACTTAGGAGGCTGAGGCTGGAGAATCACTTGAACACAGGAGGTGGAGGTTGCAGTGAGCCAAGATCACACCATTGCATTCCAGCCTGGGTGACAAGAGCAAAACTCTGCCTCAAAAAAAAAACAAAATAGTAACCTTGATTGTAAATGAACTAAACTCTCCAATCAAAAGACATAGACTGGTTGAATGGATGAAAAACCAAGAGCCATTTATCTGTTGCCTGCAAGAAACACACTTCACATATAAAGACACACATAGACTGAAAATAAAGGGATGGAAAAAGATATTCCATGCCCATGGAAACCAAAACAAAAAAAAACCAGAAGGAGTAGCTATACTAATATCAGTCAAATTGATTTCAAGACAAAAACTATAAAAAGAGACAAAGAATGCCACAATATAATGATAAAGGGGTCAATTCAGCAAGAAGATATACCAATTTTAAATATATATGCACCCAACACTGGAGCACCCAGATATATAAGGCAAAAATTATTAAAGCTGAAGAGAGAGATAGACTTCAATACAATAATAGCTGGAGACTTCAACACCCCCACTTTCAGCATTGGACAGATCTTGCAGATAGAAAATTAATAAAGAAACATTGGACTTAATCTGCACTATACAAGAAATGGATCTAATAGATAGTTACAGAACATTTCATCCAATGGCTACAGAATACACATTCTTTTCCTCAGCACATGGATCATTCTCAAGGACAGGCCATATGTTAGGTCACAAAACAAGTCTTAAAACATTTAAAAAATTGAAATAACATCAACCATCTTCTCTGACCACAATAGAATAAAACTAGAAATCAATAACAAGAGAATTTTGAAAACTACACAAATACATGGAAATTAAACAATATGTCCTGAATGACCAGTGGGTTAATGAAGAAATTAAGAAGGAAATTGAAAATTTTCTTGAAACAAATGATAATGGAAACATAACATACCAAAACCTATGGGATACAGCAAAAGCAGTACTAAGAAGGAATTTTATAGCTGTAAGTGCCTACATCGAAAAAGAGGAAAAACCAAAAAAGTAATCTAACAATGCATCTTTTTTTCTTTTTTTTTTTTTTTGAGACGGAGTTTTGCTCTTGTTGCCCAGGCTGGAGTGCAATGGCACGATCTCAGCTCACTGCAACCTCCGCCTCCCGGGTTCAAGCGTTTCTCCTGCCTCAGCCTCCCAAGTAGCTGGGATTACAGGCACCCTCCACCACACCCTGCTAATTTTTTGTATTTTTAGTAGAGATAGAGTGTCGCCATGTTGGACAGGCTGGTCTCCAACTCCTGACTTCAGGTGATCCACCCACCTCGGCCTCCCAAAGTGCTGGGATTACAGGTGTGAGCCACCGCACCCATCCACAGTGCATCTTAAAGAACAAAAAAAGCAAGAACAACCCAAACCCAAAATTAGTAGAAGAAAAGAAATAATAAAGACCAGAGGAGAAATAAATAAAATTGAAATGAAGAAAGCAATACAAAAGATCAATGAAATGAAAAGTTGGTTTTTTGAAAAGTTAAACAAAATACACCTTCAGCTAGAGTAACTAATTAAAAAAGAGAGAAGATCCAAATAAATAAAATCAGAGAATGAAAAAGGAGACATTACAACTGATATTGCAGAAATTCAAAGGATCATTAGTGGCTACTATGAGCAAATACATACCAATAAATTGGAAAATATAGAAGAAATGGACAAATTCCTAGACATATACAGCCTACAAAGATTGAACCATGAAGAAATCCAAAATGCAAACAGACCAATAACAAGTAACCATATCAAAGCTATAATAAAAAAGTCTCTCAGTAAAGAAAAGACCAGGACCCAATGGCTTCACTGCTGAACTCTACCAACCATTTTAAGAAGATCTAATACCAATCCTACTCAAACTATTCTGAAAAATAGAGGAGGAGGGAACTCTTCCAAACTCATTCTATGAGGCCAGTATGACCCTGATGCCAAAACCAGACAAAGACACATAAACAAAAAAGAAAACTACCAATATCTCTGATGAAAATTGATGCAAAAACCCTCAACAAAATACTAGCAAACTGAATTCAACAATACATTAGAAAGATCATTTATCACATCTCTTGTAAGTTGTATTCCTAGGTATTTTATTCTCTTTGTAGCAATTGTGAATGGGAGTTCATTCCTGATTTGGCTCTCTGTTTGTCTATTATTGGTGGATAGGATGGCTTGTGATTTTTGCACATTGATTTTGTATCCTGAGACTTTGCTGAAGTTGCTTATCAGCTTAAGGAGATTTTGGGCTGAGATGATGGGGTTTTCTAAATATATAATCATGTCATCTGCAAACAGAGACAATTTGACTTCCTCTCTTCCTATTTGAATACGCTTTATTTCTTTCCCTTGCCTGATTGCCCCGGCCAGAACTTCCAATACTATGTTCAATAGGAGTGGTGAGAGACGGCGTCCTTGTCTTGTGCTGGTTTTCAAAGGGAATGTTTCCAGCTTTTGCCCATTCAGTATGATATTGACTGTGGGTTTGTCATAAATAGCTCTTATTATTTTGAGATACATTTCATCAATACCTAGTTTATTGAGAGTTTTTAGCATGAAGGGGTGATGAATTTTATCGAAGGCCTTTTCTGCAACTATTGAGATAATCATGTGGTTTTTGACATTGGTTCTGTTTATGTAATGGATTACATTTATTGATTTGCATATGTTGAACCAGCCTTGCATTCCAGGTATGAAGCCAACTTGACCATGGTGGATAAGCTTATTGATGTGCTGCTGGATTCAGTTTGATTATAAATCATTCTACTATAAAGACACAAGCACACGTATATTTACTGCAGCACTGTTCACAATAGCAAAGACTTGGTACCAACCCAAATGTCCATCAATAATAGACTGGATAAAGAAAACGTGGCACATATACTCTCTGGAATACTATGCAGCCATAAAAAAGGATGAGTTCATGTCCTTTGCAGGGACATGGATGAAGCTGGAAACCATCATTCTCAGCAACCTAACACAAGAACAGAAAATCAAACACTGCATGTTCTCACTCATAAGTGGGAGTTGAAAAATGAGAAGATATGGACACAGGGAGGGGGACGTCACACACTGGGGCCTGTTGGGGTTGGGGGTTAGAGGAGGGATAACATTAGGAGAAATACCTAATGTAGATGAGGGTTGATGGGCGCAGCAAACCACCATGGCATGCATATATCTATGTAACAAATCTGCACATTCTGCACATGTACCCCAGAACTTGAAGTATAATAATAATTTAAAAAAGAAAGATCATTCATCATAACCAAATGGATTTATCCCAGGGATGCAAGAATGGTTCAATATACATAAATCAATCAATGTAGTACATTATATCACAGATCAAAGGACAAAAACCATAAGATCATTTCATTTGATGTTGAAAAGTCATTTGATAAAATCAACAGCCCTTCATGATAAAAACCCTCAAAAACCTGGGTATAAAAGGTACATACCTCAACATAATAAAAGCCATATATGACAGACCCACAGCTAATATCATACTAACTGAGGAAAAACTGAAAGCCTTTCCCCTAAGATCTGGAACATGACAAAAATGCCCACTTTCACCAGTGTTATTCATCATAGTACTGGAAGTTCTAGCTAGAGCAACAAGAGAAAGACAGAAACAGCATCCAATTGGAAAGGAAGAAGTCAAGTTATCCTTGTTTGCAGATGATATCTTATATTTGAAAAACCTAAAGACTCCACCAAAAAACTATTATAACTGATAAACAAATTCAGTAAAGTTGCAGGATACAAAATCAACATATAAAAATCAGTAGCATTTCTATATGCCAATAGGGAACAATCTGAAAAAGAAATAAAAAAGTAATCCTGTTTGTAATAGCCACAAATAAAATTAAATACCCAGGGATTAACCAAAGTGAAAGAACTGTATAACAAAAACTATAATCACCAATGAAAGAAATTGAAGAGGACACCAAAAAAATGGAAAAATATTCCATGTTCATAGATTGAAAGAATCAATATTGTTAAAATGTCTGTACTACCCAAAGCAATCTACAGATTCAATGCAATCGCTATCAAAATACCAATGATACTCTTTACAGAAATAGAAAAATAATCTTAAAATTTCTTTGGAACCACCAAAGACCCAGAACAGTCAAAGCTATCCTGAGCAAAATGAACAAAACTGGGAATAGCGCTGGCAAGATGACCGAATAGGAACAGCTCCGGTCTGCAGCTCCCAGCGAGATCGATGCAGGCGGGTGAATTCTGCATTTCCAACTGAGGTACCCGGTTCATCTCATTGGTACTGGTTGGACAGTGGGTGCAGCCCACAGAGAGCGAGCTGAAGCAGGGTGGGGCGTCATCACACCCAGGAAGTGCAAGGGGTTGGGGAATTTTCTCCCCCACCCAAGGGAAGCCGTGAGGGACTGAGTCTGCTCCTGCTTGTCCCACGGTTTTCACAACCCACAGACCAGGAGATTCCCTCCGGTGCCTACCCCACCAGGACCCTGGGTTTCAAGCACAAAACTGGGCAGCCATTTGGTCAGACACCAAACTAGCTGCAGGAGTTCTTGTTTTCCATACCCCAATGGTGCCTGGAATGCCAGCGAGACAGAACCGTTCACTCCCCTGGAAAGGGGTGCTGAAGCCAGGGAGCCAAGGGGTCTGGCTCGGTGGGTCCCACCCCCATAGAGCCCAGCAAACTAAGATCCACTGGCTTGAAATTCTCACTGCCAGCACAGCAGCAGTCTGAGATGGACCCAGGATGCTCGAGCTTGGAGTGGGGAGGGACATCCACCATTGCTGAGGCTTGAGTAGGTGGTTTTACACTCACAGTGTAAACAAAGCCACTGGGAAATTCGAACTGGGCAGAGCCCACTGCAGCTCAGCAAGGCTGCTGAGGCCAGACTGCCAGATTTCCCTTCTCTGGGCAGGACATCACTGAAAAAAAGGCAGCAGCCCCAGTCAGGCACTTATAAATAAAACCCCCATCTTCCTAGGACAGAGCACCTGGGGAAAGGGGCAGCTTTGGGCACAGCTTCAGCAGACTTAAATGTCCCTGCCTGATGTCTCTGAAGAGAGCAGTGGACCACCCAGCACAGTGATCGGGCTCTGCTAAGGGTCAGACTGCCTCCTCAAGCAGATCCCTGACCCCATGTATCCTGACTGAGAGACACCTCCCAGTAGGGGCCAACAGACACCTCATACAGGAGAGCTCTGGCTGGCATCTGGCAGGTGCCCCTCTGGGATGAAGCTTCCAGAGGAAATATCAGAAAGCAATCTTTGCTGTTCTGCAACCTCTGCTGGTGATACCCAGACAAATAGGGTCGCAAGTGGACCTCCAGCAAACTCCAGCAGACCAGCAGCAGAGGGGCCTGACTGTCAGAAGGAAAACTAACAGAAAGGAATAGCACATCCACTCAAAGACCCCATCCGAAGGTCACCAGCATCAAAGACCAAAGGTAGATAAATCCACAAAGATGGGGAGAAACCAGTGCAAAAAGGCTGAAAATTCCAAAAACCAGAATGCCTCTTCTCTTCCAAAGGATCACAACTCCTCACCAGCAAGGGAACAAAACTGGACAGAGAATGAGTTTGACTAATTGACAGAAGTAAGCTTCAGAAGGTGGGTAATAATAAACTCCTCTGACCTAAAGGAGCATGTTCTAACCCAATGCAAGGAAGCTAAGAACCTTGAAAACAGGTTAGATGAATTGCTAACTAGAATAACTAGTGTAGAGAAGAATATAAATGACCTGATGGAGCTGAACAATACAGCACGAAAACTTCGTGAAGGATACACAAGTATCCATAGCCAAATCGATCAAGCAGAAGAAAGGGTATCAGTGATTGAAGATCAGCTTAAGGAAATAAAGAGAGAAAACAAGATTAGAGAAAAAAGAGTGAAAAGGAATGAACAAATCCTTCAAGAAATATGGGACTATGTGAAAAGACCAAATCTATGTTTGATTGGTGTACCTGAAAGTGCCGAGGAGAACGGAACCAAGTTAGAAAACACTCTTCAGGATATTATCCAGGAGAACTTCCCCCACCTAGGAAGACAGGCCAACATTCAAATTCAGGAAACACAAAGAACATCACAAAGATACTCCTCGAGAAGAGCAACCCCAAGACACATAATCATCAGCTTCACCAAGGTTGAAATGAAGGAAAAAATGTTAAGGGCAGCCACAAAGAAAGGTCGGGTTACCCACAAAGGGAAGCCCATCAGACTAACAGTAGATCTCTCTGCAGAAACCCTACAAGCCAGAAGAGAATGGGGCCAATATTCAACATTCTTAAAGAAAAGAATTTTCAACCCAGAATTTCATATCCAGCCAAACTAAGCTTCATAAGTGAAGGAGAAATAAAATCCTATACAGTTAAGCAAATGCTAAGAGATTTTGTCACCACCAGGCCTGCCTTACAAAAGCTCCTGAAGGAAGCACTAAACATGGAAAGGAACAACTGGTACCAACCACTGCAAAAACATACCAAATTGTAAAGAACATCAACACTATGAAGAAACTGCACCAACTAATGGGCAAAACAACCAGCCAGCATCATAATGACAGGATCAAATTCACACATAACAATAGTAACCTTAAATGTAAATGGGCTAAATGCCCAATTAAAAGACCCAGACTGGCAAATTGGGTGTGCTGTATTCAGGAGACCCATCTCACATGCAAAGACACACATAGGCTCAAAATAAAGGATGGAAGAATATTTACCAAGCAAATGGAAGGCAAAAAAAAGCAGGAGTTGCAATCCTAATCTCGGATAAAACAAACTGTAAACCAACAAATATCAAAAGAGACAACAAAGGGTATTACATAATGGTAAGGGGATCAATGCAGCAAGAAGAGCTAACTATCCTAAATATATATGCACCCAATACAAGAGCACTCAGATTCATAAAGCAAGTTCTTAGAGACCTACAAAGAGACTTAAGACTCCCAGACTTTGACTCCCACACATAATAGTGGGAGACTTTAACATCCCACTGTCAATATTAGGCAGATCAACGAGACAGAAAATTAACAAGAATATTCCAGGCTTTAACTCAGCTCTGGAATAAGCAGACCTAACAGACATCTACAGAACTCTTCACCCCAAATCAACAGAATATACATTCTTCTCAGCAGCTCATCGCACTTATTCTAAAATTGACCACATAATTGGAAGTAAAACACTCCTCAGCAAATGCAAAAGAATGGAAATCATAACAAACAGTCTCTCGGACCACAGTACAATCAAACTAGAACTCAGGTTTAAGAAACTCACTCAAAACTGCACAACTACATGGAAACTGAATGACCTACTCCTAAATGACTACTGGGCAAATAACAAAATGAAAGCAGAAATAAAGATGTTCTTTGAAACCAATAAGAACGAAGACACAATGTATGAGAATCTCTGGGACACATTTAAAGCAGTGTGTAGAGGGAAATTTCTAGCACTAAATGCCCACACGAGAAAGCAGGAAAGATCTAAAATTGACACCCTAACATCAAAATTAAAAGAACTAGAGAGGCAACAGCAAACAAATTCAAAATCTAGCAGAAGACTAAGATCAGAGCAGAACTGAAGGGGGTAGAGACACAAAAAGCCCTTCAAAAAAATCAATGAATCCAGGAGCTGTTTTTTTAAAAAAGATCAGCAAAATGGACCACTAGCCAGACTAATAAAGAAGCAAAGAGAGAAGAATCAAATAGACGCAATAAAAAATTATACAGGGGATATCGCCACCGATCCCACAGAAATACAAACTACCATGAGAGAATACTATAAACACCTCTATACAAATAAACTAGAAAATCTAGAAGAAATGGATAAATTCCTGGACACATACACCCTTCCCAAGTCTAAATCAGGAAGAAGTCTAATGTCTGAATAAACTAATAACAAGTTCTGAAATTGAGGCAGTAATTAATAGCCTATCAACCAAAAAAAGTCCAGGACCAGATGGATTCACATCCTAACTCTACCAAAGGTACAAAGAGGAGCTGGTACCATTCCTTCTGAAACTATTTCAAACAATAGAAAAAGAGGGAATCCTCCCTAACTCATTTTATGAGGCCAGCATCATCCTGATACCAAAACCTGGCAGAGACACGACAAAAAAATAAAATTTCAGGCCAATATCCCTGATGAACATCGATATGAAAATCCTCAAAAAGATACTGGCAAATCAAATCCAGCAGCACATCAAAAAGCATATCCGCCACGATCAAGTCAGCTTCATACCTGGGATGCAAGGCTGGTTCAACATATGCAAAACGATAAACAGAATCCATCACATAAACAGAACCAATGACAAAAACCACATGATTATCTCAATAGATGCAGAAAAGACCTTCGACAAAATTCAACACCCCTTCATGCTAAAAACTCTCAATAAACTGGGTATCGATGGAACATATCTCAAAATAGTCAGAGCTATTTACGGCAAACCCACAGTCAATATCATACTGAATGGGCAAAAGCTGGAAACATTCCCTTTGAAAACCAGCACAAGACAAGGACGCCCTCTCGCACCACTCTTATTCAACATAGTATTGGAAGTTCTGGCTGGGGCAATCAGCCAAGAGAAAGAAATAAAGCGTATTCAAATAGGAAGAGAGGAAGTCAAATTGTCTCTGTTTGCAGATGACATGATTGTCTATTTAGAAAACCCCATCATCTCAGCCCAAAATCTCCTTAAGCTGATAAGCAACTTCAGCAAAGTCTCAGGATACAAAATCAATGTGCAAAAATCACAAGCCATCCTATCCACCAATAATAGACAAACAGAGCCAAATCATGAGTGAACTCCCATTCACAATTGCTACAAAGAGAATAAAATACTTAGGAATACAACTTACAAGGGATGTGAAGGACCTCTTCAAGGAGAACTACAAACCACTGCTCAAGGAAATAAGAGAGGACACAAACAAATGGAAAAACGTTCCATGCTCATGGATAGGAAGAATCAATATCATGAAAATGGCCATACTGCCCAAAGTAATTTATAGATTTAATGCTATCCCCATCAAGCTACCACTGACTTTCTTCACAGAATTGGAAAAAACTACTTTAAACTTCGTATGGAACCAAAAAAGGGCCTGCATAGACAAGACAATCCTTGGCAAGAAGAACAAAGCTGGAGGCATCATGCTACCTGGCTTCAAACTATACTACAAGGCTACAGTAACCAAAGCAGCATGGTACTGGTACCAAAACAGATATATAGACCAATGGAACAGAACAGAGTCCTCAGAAATAACACCACACATCTACAACCATCTGATCTTTGACAAACTTGACACAAAAAAGCAATTTGGAAAATGTTCCTATTTAATAAATGTTGTTGGGAAAACTGGCTAGCCATATTCTGAAAACTGGAACTGGACTCTTTCCTTACCCCTTATACAAAAATCAAGATGGATCAAAGACTTAAACATAAGACCTAGGACTATAAAAATCCTAGAAGAAAACCTAGACAATACCATTCAGGACACAAGCATGGGCAAAGACTTCATGTCTAAAACACCAAAAGCAATGGCAACAAAAGCCAAAATAGACAAATGGGATCTAATTAAACTAAAGGGCTTCTGCACAGCAAAAGAAACTATCATCAGAGTGAACAGGCAACCTATAGAATGGGAAAAAAGTTTTGCAATCTATCCATCTGACAAAGGGCTAATATCCAGAATCTACAAAGAACTTAAACAAATTTACAAGAAAAAAACAACCCCATCAAAAATTGGGCAAAGGATATAAACAGACACTTCTCAAAAGAAGACATTTATGTAGCCAACAGACATGAAAAAATGCTCATCATCACTGGTCATGATAGAAATGCAATCAAAACCACAATGAGATACCATCTCTCACCAGTTAGAATGGCAATCATTAAAAAGTCAGTAAACAACAGGTGCTGGAGAGCATGTGGAGAAATAGGAACACTTTTACACTGTTGGTGGGTGTGTAAATTAGTTCAACCATTGTGGAAGACAGTGTGGCAATTCCTCAAGGATCTAGAACTAGAAATATCATTTGACCCAGCAATCCCATTACTGGGTATATACCCAAAGGATTATAAATCATTCTACTATAAAGACACAAGCACACGTATGTTTATTGCAGCTTTATTCACAATAGCAAAGACTTGGAACCAACCCAAATGTCCATCAATAATAGACTGGATAAAGAAAATGTGGCACATATACACCATGGAATACTATGCAGCCATAAAAAAGGATGAGTTCATGTCCTTTGCAGGGACATGGATGAAGCTGGAAACCATCATTCTCAGCAAACTATCACAAGAACAGAAAACCGAGCACCGCGTGTTCTCACTCATAAATGGGAGTTGAACAATGAGAACACATGGACATAGGGAGGGGAACATCACACACCGGGGCCTATTGGGGGTTGGGGGAGGGTAGGGGAAGGATAACATTAGGAGAAATACATAATGTAGGTGACGAGTTGATGGGTGCAGCAAACCACCGTGGCACATGTATACCTATGTAACAAAACTTCGTGTTCTGCACATGTACCCCAGAATTTAAAGTATAATAAAAAAAAATTTTAAAAAGGACAAAACTGGAGGAATCACATTACCTGACTTCAAATTATACTACAGAGCTATAATAACCAAAACAGCATGGTCCTGGCATAACAACAGACACATAGACCAATGGAACAGAACAGAGAACCTAGAAACAAATCCACATGCCTACAGTAAACTCATTTTTAACAAAGGTGGCAAGAACATACACTGGGGAAAGGACAGTCTCTTCAATAAATGATGCTGGGAAAACTGGATATCCATATGCAAAGAAAGAAACTAGACCTCCTTCTCTCACTATATACAAAAATCAAATCAAAATGGATTTAACACTTAAATCTAAGACCTCAAACTATGAAACTACAAAAAGAAAACATTGGAGAAGCTCTCCAAGACATCAGTCTGGGCAAAGATTTCTTGAGTAATACCCCACAAGCACAGGAAACTAAAGCAAAAATGGACTAGATGGGGTAACATCAAGTTAAAAAGCTTCTGCACAGCAAATGAAACAATCAATAAAGTGAAGAGACAACCCACAGAATGGGAGAAAATATTTGCAAATTACCCATCTGACAATGGATTAATAGTCAGAATATATAAAGAGCTAAAACAACTCTATAGGAAAAAAAATCTAATAATCTGATTTAAAAATGGGCAAAAGATTGGAATAGACATTTCTCAAAAGAACACAAACAGATGGCAGACATATGAAAAGGTGCTCTACGTTATTGATTAGAGAAATGCAAATCAAAACTACAATGAGATATCATCCCACCCCAGTTAAAATGGCTTTTATCCAAAAGACAGGCAATGACAGATGTTGGCAAGGATGTAGAGAAAAGGGAATCCTTGTACACTGTTGGTGGGAATGTAAATTACTACAGCCACTATGAAGAGCAGTTTGGAGATTCCACAGAAAACTAAAAATAGAGCCTACCATATGATCCAGCAATCCCACTGCTGGGTATATGTCCCCCAAAAAAGGAAATCAGTATATCAAAGAGATATCTGCACTCCCATATTTGTTGCAGCTCTATTCACAATAGCCAAGATTTGGAAGCAACCTAAGTGTCCATCAACAGATGCATGGATGAAGAAAACATGGTACTTACGCAAACTGGAGTACTATTTAGTCGTAAGAATGAGATTTAGTCATTTGCAACAACATGGATTGAACTGGAGGTCATTATGTTAAGTGAAATAAGCCTGGCACAGAAAGACAAACATCGCATGTTCTCACTTATTTGTGGGATCCAAAAGTCAACAGTTAAACCCATGGAATTATAGAGTAGAAGGTTGGTTACCAGAGGCTGGGAAGGGTAGGCATGGTTAATGGGCACAAAGTATAGTTGGAATGAATGAATAAGGCCTAGTATTTGATAGCATGACAGGGTGACTATAGTCAATAATAATTTAACTGTACATTCAAAAATAACTAAAATGGTATAATTGGATTGTGACACAGGATAAATGCTTGAGGGAGTGGACACCCCATTTTCCATGATGTGATTATCACACATTACATGCCCATATCAAAACAATTTATGTGCCCCATAAATACATACACCTACTATGTACCCACAAAAACTAAAATTAAAAAAAGTTAAAAAGACAACCTAATTTTAAAATGGGCCAAGGATTTGAATAGACATTTCTCCAAAGAAGATATACAAATGGCCAGTAAGCACATGAAAAGACATCATTAGTCACAGAGAAATGCAAAATAGGCCGGGCGTGGTGGCTCACACCTGTAATCTCAGCATTTTGGGAGGCCGAGGAGGGCCGCTCACGAGGCCAGGAGATTGAGACCATCCTGGCTAACATGGTGAAACTCTGTCTCTACTAAAAATACAAAAAATTAGCCGGGCGTGGTGGCGGGCGCCTGTAGTCCAGCTACTCGGGAGGCTGAAGCAGGAGAATGGCGTGAACCCGGGAGGCAGAGCTTGCAGTGAGCCGAGATCCCGCCACTAGCACCCATCCTGGGCGACAGAGCAAGATTCCATCTCAAAAAAAAAAAAAAAAAAGAAATGTAAAATAAAACCACAATGTGATACCACTTCCCACCTGCTAGAATGACAAGGCAGACAATAACAAGTTGGCAAGGATTTAGAGAAACTGGAATCCTCATACATTGCTAGTGGGAATGTAAAATGGTTTTTCCAAACTGCTTTGGAAAAGTTTGACAGTTTCTCAAAAAGTTAAACAGAATTAACATACGACCCAGGAATTCCACTCCTAGTTATACACCCAAGAGAAATGAAAACATATGTCCACACAAAAACTAATACATGGGTATTCATAACAATATTATTTGTTAGCTAAAAAGTGGAAACAACCCAAATCTTCACCAACCAATGAACAGATAAACAACTGTGGCATATCCACACAGTGGATTATGATTTGGCCGTGAAAAGAAATGAAGTACTGATTCATGCTACTCATGGATGAACTTTGAAAATACTATGCTAAGTGAAAGAAGCCAGACACAAAAGATTACATATTCGTTATATGAAAGATCCAGAATAGACACGTTCGTGGAGACAGAGAAGTAGATAGACAGTGGTGATGGCTGCAGTACCTGTGGATATGCTAAAAACCGCTGAACTGGGTGCTGTAGTATGTGAATTAGATCTCAATTTTTAAAAAAGAAATAAAGAAAATATTTGAGTTCAACCCAAAAGTTTTCCTGGAAGCTGAGGAAAAGAAAAAAGTTAAAGAAAAGCAATTTAGTTTCCCGATTCCCTAAAAAACACATCAAATATAGTAGTTAGCTTTTGAAGATACAAGTAAAATTATAAGTAGTTATGTTTTGGATTTATGTCCTTTAGGAATATAGGGATTCAAGTTTTAAAATAACTTTATTCTGATTATGAAAGTAATGCCTGGTTATTTTAGAGGAGGTTTTAAAGACAGAAAAGCATAGATACGAAAATTATGAGCTTTCTTATTTTTATGCCTCTCTCCAGCCCCCACAAAGGCAAGTGGGAGAAGTGGTCAGTGGCTTCTATGTGCAAAGCCCACCCGTCAAACTCTTCACACCAGAGGTTTGCTGGACATTCCATGAAAACCAGCACCATCAATCTTCCTCCACACAGATCTTAGAAAAGCACCATCATTTTCAAGTCTTCCAGCTATCTCAACTTTCCCTCGTATTTAAGTCCTGGATTGTAAGAACTGGTACTTCCCTTAATTCAAAGAAAGAGTCCATGCCACCTGCAATGGTGCCAAGATATGAGAAGGAGGGCAGAGACAGAATAGAAACCTAACTTCCAATGAAATCACAATCCTGAAATTAAAATTTCCCAGCAGCCGTCTGCCAGCATTTCCTTCCAGAGCACTGAATGAGCTAAAGGAACACTTTAAGTTTACTGTCCTCTTGTCTAGTGCAATCAGACAGCACCCAGGGGCCTTGCTAAGGAAACAAGAGGCATGTTACTCCCACTAGAATATTATTTGAATGGAAATATATTTTAAAAAATAAAGAAAAAGAAAAGGAAGCAGACTTCAGTTCAAATTTTATTTGTATACAAAAATATATTATAATGGGAAAGCTTACTGCTATTTCCAACTATATATAATTAATTACAAATATTTTCATAAAAGCACTTTAAATTACAGGAAAGCTATGTTTTAAGAGAAAATACAATATTAGCATGGATCGTCTGTTCTAATATGCTGCAAGCAGGTAAACAAAGTCAGTTTCACTGTCTAAATTGCCCAGAAATGGGATCAAGGGCTGATTTTAAGGTGAGCCTGAGAGTGGCCTGGTAGAAGGTTGAGTGCACGTCTTTGTCCCCTCTGGCAGCAGATTCTAGTAGCTGATTTTAGCAGGTCCTCGGAACTTTCTGAAGCTTCTCCCTTATGATGAAAGGACCCAGAACTTCTTGTTTCACATACCTGTAAATGAGAGATAGGTAAGGTTATCCACTCAGAGGCTCACAATTCCTATGCTTAACCACATCACACTGTCTCAGACGTGCATCAAAGCACCAAACTCAATGCTGGGCTTCCCACACGATGAGTGTCTGATTAACTGGAATGACTGGGCAACCCACTGCAATTTCCATGAAGTAGACAGGCTTGTTACATGGGTCTAATACAAATTATGCTGCAATTATAATAATCCCTGTCAAAACAAGCCCTGGTCTTCTGATGTAAGATGGTGCAGTACATAAGAAAAGAGGCAATAAAATCTTCAATTTTCAAATAGAAATGATACAAGGACTTTCTATCTGATATTTAGGTTTGTCTGCAAGAGTGTTAAGAACATAGTTATTTTTAAATAACCAGCTTTGGATTTAATTTTTCAGAGTTTACCCGGCTCTTTAGCAAAGAATAGCATTAAATACTTCTCACAGAAAATCAACCCTTACCCTGGAAAATTAAGGGGCTGGGACAAAATTTTCCTAGCCCACTCTGTGACTAAACAGGACCCCCCGTAGTAGAGTTGCTGAACCTTCCATCCCAGAAGCTGGAGTTGGTCCTCCTGGCTCTTGCAATCTTATCCTTTGGAAATAGAGTGTGTAGATAGATTGTGAGGGTCCCTTCTTCTGGGCCCCTATACTGCAGTTATAATTTGATGTCTTCAGTTCTCAACATTTTTGGTCACACAAAACAGGTAACCATTAGTGTAATTCCCAAATAAGAGGCTTGCAAGTATGCATACCTAATCCAGGTCATTCAGTCACTGGCATGGGTCTCTGGTGAAAGGCCCCACAAGCCAATTCTCTCTTTTGGCACCCACATCTTAAAGTTAAATTTCACCCAAACCCTGGATCTAACCTGGGAAAATTACCCTGGCCCATGGGATGGAAGACTTTTGGCTTGTTGGAATAATGCACTTGTGGTTAATCAGTTCATTTCTTCTCTGAAAAGCCTGACAGGCCATCATGATGGTAATGCTCCAGTCTTGCTCGCTCTCCATTTCTCAAACAAAATGCCATTGTTTGCTAGTGACCTGTTCTCACTGTTTGGAAACGCACATGGTCTACTTTAACACAAGCTTATCCCAGAATTTCATTCCTAGCCACTAGAGTCCTGTTTCTTCTTCTTCTTCTTCTTCTTCTTCTTCTTCTTCTTATTATTATTATTATTATTATTATTATTATTACTATTTTGACGGAGTCTTGCTCTGTCACCAGGCTGGAGTACAGTGGCGCAATCTCGGCTCACTGCAACCTCTGCCTCCCGGGTTCAAGTGATTCTCCTACCTCAGCCTCCCAAGAAGCTGGGACTACAGGTGTGCGCCACCATGCCCAGCTAATTTTTGTATTTTTTAGTAGAGATTGGGTTTCACCATGTTGGCCAGGCTGGACTTGAATTCCTGACCTCAGGTAATCCACCCACCTCAGCCTTCCAAAGTGCTGGGATTACAGGCGTGAGCCACTGCCCCGGCCTAGGGTCCTGTTTCTAAACCTATAGAAGGCTTAGGATGAAACTTTCTGCCCCAGGGCAAGCTGGTTAACATTACAACACTTTATCAGAAGTGTCTGTTAGTTTTTTGTTTTTTTGTTTTTAATATCAGACATGTACTTACTTGCTAAAGTTTTGTCAAGATCAGCAATGAAGGCTTCTAGCTCTTTTGTGTCTCCTAATTTAGCTGTGAAACAGGAGAGGGAGAGAGAGAGAGAGAGAGAGTTCAGTTTCCATAACAAAGACAGCTGATGACTCCATATTGAGTTTTCCAGGAAGTTGGAACTTCCAGAGTTATAGAATGGATTATTTCTATTTTACATCTACCTCCTTATCTTCAGAGACTTTTATTGAAGAGTGTCCTGGGCCAACCCTAAGTGTGTGCTCCAGTGTTTTGATACAGTAAACTCAGAAACTGATTCTGAAGACTAGCCTAAGTGTTTCTTTATTTTTTAGTTCATCACCACCCTCTCCAAACATCCCACCCCACTTCTCCCTCACCTAGAAGAGGAATCTTCCTTCACTGTCTTAAATGTTTGCAGGAGAGTGAGGAGCAGGAAGGGAAGATAAAAGGAGTCTGGTTTTTGTATTGTGTAGAATATGAGTTATTAGTCAAAAAATTCAGTAAGCATAGCACTGTGCAGAGCAGACACCTAGATTGTGTCATTCCTGCGGCACTAGCCTTCTGATGCATTCTTGCTTGTGCTGTCCCCCCAGGGCAACGCTGCAGCCCTCAGAGTTCCTCCAATATGAAATGAATGAAGAGTTCACTGTTTCTTATCAAAATGGTACAGGGAAGGTGCCATGAGTCTTCTGGGCCCAGGACAGCCTCATCCCCTCCAGGTGCCCACACAAGGAAACGAGTCCTCATTCTGATTTGGTTCTCTCTAGAGCCTGAGATGTAGAGATTTTTTTCATATAGCTGACTTTATTTTTGTAGAGTTCATCACATCATTCATGCCTTCCCTGAAATGCAGTACTGGACAGTTTTATTAATTAACACCTGCTGGCTACAAATGGCTAATTGTTCTTAGCCTTTTAAGTCAATTTGCCACTAGGGGCTTTTTTTCCCTCTTTAATTCCTACCTCTTGAGGATCAGGTAACAAATCTGAGCACGTTTTAAGCCACTTTTTAGACTGCTCTGTCTCTGAATTCAACTGATTCATTACAGACTGAGGGCTGGATAGTGGCAGAATTCCCAGTGGGTGCTAACGTTGCTATGTTGAGAAGGGAACTTTCAAATGCCTCTTCTGAAAAAAGAGTGAAGTCCTGTCTTATTGCCAAAGTGAAAAGAGTGATGGAATTGTCATTTCTTTTTAACTATGTTCCATTTTTATTGCATTCTGCAACTATTTTCAGCAAGTATAACTTTTCTTAAGAAAAAAAGCTCCTTTTGTTTTCAAAAAGGCACTTGTCCAATGTAACAGAACATTCAACTCTCTAGCTGGAGACATTTTACCAGTTCCAAAAAATAAGAAACTGCTCATGCATCTTTAAAGACATTTTAGGTCTATTAATACCACAGTAGAGACAGGCTGGAGCTGCTATTTTAAATCATGTTAGATCATAGCTTATCTAATAATGACAACCCCATTTAATTGCTAAATTGGTCATCTGAAAGCATTGGTTAAATAATTAATGCAATAAAAAGAATCCCACTATCTGCAAAGGCAAACTGCTGAGTTTTAAATTCTAGAACCAACAAGTCTGGGAGGAGACTCCTAAGAAACACTGTCATTTGCACAGTCTTGATTACATCACATGAGAGAGAACAGTCTAGTCTCCAAATTTTCTTTCTCCCTGTGACTTCAGGTTTTCTGCCCCAAATTATCTGATTTCATGTTCACACTGATTAAAATCCTGAGAAATAAAAAATTCCACTGTATACTCTACAGTATTAAGACATTAGTCTTACCTATTTGTTTTGTACATTTGAGAAAGATTGTTTAGGGATAAAAGGGACAGAGAAGGGATTGAGAAGGAGAGAGGAATAAAAAAGCAAAAAACTCAAATTCCAACTAATGACCTTACCTTTCTGAGGAGTGACAGTGGCAGAGAGAAGAGCTGGGGTAGAGTCTGTTGGAGAATTCAGTTTTTCATCACTGAAGCTGAAGCTGTTCCTATAAAGTGAATCTGCACCTTTCAGGAAGGAAAATATACTCATTAGAAATAGTACTCATGAGATTATAGACTTAGCACTTTATAGTCTATTGATAACCAACAATTTGTCTTCAAAATAAGCCAAAGCTGCAACTCTATAGTAAAGAAAACAGCCAGGCATGGGGTGGCTCACGGCTGTAATCTCAGCACTTTGGGAAGCTGAAGCAGGTGGATCACCAGAGATGAGGAGTTCAAGACCAGCCTGGCCAACATGGTGAAACCCCATCTCTACTAAAAATACAAAAATTAGCCAGGCATAGTGGTGTGTGTCTGTAGCCCCAGCTACTTGGGAGGCTGAGGCAGGAGACTCGCTTGAATCTGGGAGGTGGAGTTTGCAGTGAGCCAAGATCACACCACTGCACTCCAGCCTGGGTGACAGAGTGAGACTCTGTCTCAAAAAAAAAGATTAGAAAACAGGTTGATTTCCAGGTTTTATGTTTATGCCCCCAAAATGATTCGAGACAGGGGAGAGAGGGAGTGTGTGTGTGTGAGAGAGAAAGTGTGTGTGTGTGTTTGTGTGAAAGTGTGTGTGTGTGCATGAGTGTGTGAGTGTGGGTGTGTGTGAGAATATGTGTGTGTGAGAAAGTGTGTGAGTGTATGAGTGTGTGTGAGTGTGTGTGTGAGAAAGTGTGTGAGAGTGTGTGCGTGTGTGAGTGTGGAGTGTGTGTGAGAAAATGAGAGTGTGTGTGTGAGAGCATGTGAGTGTGAGAGTGTGAGTGAGAAGTGAGAGAGTGTGTGTGTGTCAAATCAAGTATACCAAAGGCCCTTGCTTCCCCAATACAGGAAGGGGGTGATAGGATCATCATGACCAGTGCTTGGTTGATGGTGGGAGTGTGGGGGTAAGGATTTTAGGCAAAAGGAATCATCTCAAGTGAAATATGTCCCTTCTGCCCTCTGAGCCTCCTAAAATACAAACATCCAGTATCCCATGACTTAAGCCTCTTTCCCTGCTCAAGAGAGATCTTTGCTCTCTTGCTGTCCTATAATTTAATAATCCTCTCTTTTACTTAAGAGAGGTTTTCCTAAGAGTCTGTACTCTTCAGATAAGCCAGAAGGTCAAAGATAAAGACATCTTCTCCTGGAAGTTCATCTATTAGACACTTGGAGTGACATCATGGCTCCCTCTATTCTCATACCTCCAAAGACTTGAACCACAGCAAGATGAGGCCCCAGAAGTTCAAGGCTGAACTGGGAGTCAAGGGGACCATCCAGTCAACTACTAAGTACTAGGGTGCCTTTGAGCTAGTACATCTCTGGGCCTAGCTTACTTATCAATAGAATGGGAAGGCGGACTAAATAATCCTTAAAGGCACTTCTAGCTCTAAAGTTCTGAGATTCTCTAAGTCCTGCTAAGGGGAAGGAAACCAACGCACGGTTGGCCCAGCTGTGTGGCTGTGACTCAGAAAGGGGCTGCTGGCTGAGCAGCACTGACTCAAAGGGTGCAAAGGCAAGGCAGGCAGCAGAAGCAGGATGTGGCCCCTGAGGTCACGGGGAACAGCCTTCCTGGTTAAAACAAAACACAAAGCCAGCCACAGTTGGAGCAGAGAAGTGGCTCTTCAGGTGTGAGAGGGCAGCTGAATGATGGGGGCCTTACCAGGTCCCCGCCTCCTCGGGATTCTTCCACTTTAAGCCAACTACCTCCAGCTTAGGGGGAGGCAAAAACATCTCTCTTTGGTCCCATTAACTGAAAAGGAATTTGCCTAAGTGACAAGAGATAGGCCCAGTACAAAAAGTATCAGAGTTTTCGGAAGAAGAGGTTTCTAGTCTCAGGGAAATTCAGCTTTGTCCCTAAGAGGCTGCCACAACTTCTCAGGTGCCTCACCTGGCTCCCTTTCCCCCCACCCTCTCCTGCCCAGGGGCCCACCTGCCCCCTGCTCTTTTTCGCTGACACCGCCATCTTGTCCACTTTTCCAAACATGCCCAGAAGACCCTTGAGAGCAACCCTCACAATCTTTGCTTCCTTCAGAGGTCCAGCCCAGCTCACCTGAAATGACCACCATCACTGGGCTTTGAGGATGAACATGGACTGAGATCCAAAATCCTGGACCTGATACCTACACTTCCCCAAAAATACATTCCTCAGAGTGCTGGTCCTCCGAGGGCTGTGTGATCAGGTACACCTGAGAAACACCAAACAGCCTTGCTCATTCCCATGGGTATGCCCACTTCCAACATCCTGAAAAGACTTGCGGTTAAACAAAACCAGCCCCATTTCCCCAGTGTACCTGACCACGGGACACTTCTTTGTGGTGCTCCTGCTACTACTTCTCAGGACCCTTGGACTCCGTGGAACCTTACTTGGGAAGCCCTCCTGCTGGCTCCCTCAACCGAGCCCACCTCCAAAGGTGGGCTCTCCAATTCTCCCAAGGGAAGCCCTTTCCCCTACACACAGGAAGCTGGCCACACCCACTGCAGACCTGCAAGGAAGCCTTACTGTTGTCACCATGCAGTCACCAGGAGAATCGCCACAAATACAGCCTGAGAAACTCATGGGGAGAAGATAAGGCAAAATTTAGGGGCAAGAAAACCACAGAGGGTCCTGAGGAGGCAGGCCTCATGCCTAGACTCTGAGCCAGAAAATACCAGGCCCTTGGCACATTATCCGTGGCTATGAAGGATACCTGAGAGCTTCGCCCCCATCCCTGGGCCCAGAGGCTGGCTGGCCCAGATCGCAGGGACCACACCTCCGCTCTCTATCTCCCACAAGCAGCTGGCCTGGGAGAGCAACTTTCCACACCACTGCTCACTCCACCCACCCGGCATGCACCACAGGCCCTACCCTGACTTTGAACTTCAGCTCTCTTCTGCCCCTACTCTCCAGCAAGTTTCCATCCACGTACACTCCTCTGCAGGGGAGAAAGACACCACAATTTGTTCACCTCACAGGCAAGGAGGCCAAACGCTATTGAATGTTGGAAGAAGGAACAATCTAGATATGGAAAGGCCATTACAAAAGAGGATGTTAGCAGGGGAAAAAAGGAATCCAGCAAAGATTCAGGAAAGACTCAGCATAACTCATGGGGCCTGGAGAGAATCTGTAGAGAATGAGCCGTAGATCCAGAATATTGCCAGGACTGTCCTCTGATCCTTTAGGTTCACAGGCTAAATGCCTTCTTGATGTGAGAATTTTTCCCAAACTGAGAAAATATACAGACAAACTGACAGCCACTCCCACAGTGAGGGAGGAAGAGGAGGAAAAATACTAGTTACAATATCTATTTATATAGAAACACACGCAAACAGAGGCATGGCAGCACAGCTACACTCACTTCCTCCTGCCCGCCCCCGCCCTGCCCACCACACACACACACACACACACACACACACACACAGATACACATTAGCTCACGCCCCAGCTCGTTGCCACACCATGACTTCACTCCCTTTCCGTGAGGTGTACAATCTGGGACAGACCCAACTCCAAGTTTTGAACTGTTCAACCTTCGACCACCAAGAAGAAGCCGACCGCCAGCATCCTTGAGCCAAACCTGCTGCAGCTGAGGCGCACCCTGTGATGATATCTACACATCGTGTATGGCACAGATGAAAAGAGAGCCCTCAAGGCCCCAAAGCTACACCACTGGCGAGTGGGCATCTAGCATCTATGCCACTGTCGAGTGGGTGTCTAGAGGCCACGTGAAAACTGCATGACCCTGTAGAGTCACTCTGTTTCTTCCTTGTTAGAAGAAGAACAATAACCTAGGTGCTCTGTGTATAATGCCTGTGGTTTTAATGATTTAACTCTAAAGTTCCTAGCAAAGTGCAGAATAGCACTCCTGAGAGAGAAAAGGTAATCACAGAGAATAAACAGAATCAAGATCCTCCCTCTTCTTGAGAGAGAGCAGCAACATTCTTAAGAGAACTTTCTCTTCAGTGGCATCCTAGAACAAACCTCCCAAGAACAAACTCTCAACATAGAGGTACCCCAAGCTCTAGACCTCTCTTTACCCTTAACCAATAAAATTTCTTTCCATAGAGTTTTATTAAGAACATACAATGGGCAAAATCTCACGCAAGACAGATTTCAAGGTAGGCAAAGCCGGACATCCTGTTCTTTTCCCTCCCCTGGAACTCTATTCCTTGCAAAAGTAATAGCCAGTTAGTCTGATTAAATGACAGCAATGTGTTGCTGGCTGATCACATATTCATGTATTATTGCCCCGCGTGGGTATCAGGTGCTGCTATTAATAGGGGCTCGAAGGACCTAGAACAGTGATAATTTGGGGAACCCTGGCAGGTGGTAAGGCTGGATATTTGAGGGCCTTACAATATCGGCTTCAATCAGCTCTAAAGCACCATCTCACATGTATCTCAAATTCCCATTAGAAACATCCCTGGCAAGTCTAGTTAGTGTACTGAAGTCAGGAACCTCAAATTCTGGGACCGTGTTTTCTAAGGCACCATCAAAAGAAAGAAAAGCATATGAAATATACAACTAACAGAGTCTGAGAAACACTGCTGCAAAATAGAGGCTTGTTTAAAAGGTAGGTGTGTTTTTTTAGCTAGGGGGGTTGGGAGAAAGGTAATTTAGGGTTAGCGCATGTCAACGTGCTGCTCCAGGGGGAAGTAAAACCACAGACAGTAAACCTTACCCAAGGCTCCTGTAAATATAGAACGATCCCACACGTTTAAAGCAAGCAAACTATAGTAATTAACCAAGAAAAAGAAAGCTTTGGACCTACCTCCCTTTTGCCACAGGGAATGGCTGGGGGTGTGGGTTGACTTCTCCTCCTGAAAATCTAAATTCTGATAGCCTCGCCAAAGGGGGGCAAAATAAGAAAGAGCATCTTTCCTCAACTTCTCCACTGTTGTCCCAGCTCCCTTTCTGGGATCGCACTGTCCCTCTATATGCCTTGCCAAGCATCACAAGATCCATTACCCATGCAGAATTGCTAACACAGTACCAGGGAACCCTGAAGGCTCCTCATTGGCCTTATTCTCTCATGGCTTGAACAAGTTCAGGTTCTACCTCAGTGGCTTCTAAGCCACATAAGCCATCTGTCATGCTGGTTCTCCAGGGCCCACAAGGTCCCCTCTCCCAGGGCCAGGCCAGAATAGCCTAAGCAAAGATATGCAGGTGTTCTAAGTCTTGCTGATGCTAAAGAAGCCAGTTCCTCATTTCCTAAATGGTCCTACAATATCATAATAACCCTAGCATACACAGTAGACTTCAGACCTTTTCTGTTGAGCAGCAAAACACTCCCCCGTCAAAGGAAAAATTATGTGAAACCCCAATACCTTAAAGGTATAAGTGCATACCACCTTTTAAAGTTTAAGTTAATATTATAAACTTCTTATAAAGTCAACACACTGGTTAAAACTTGAAACATAATGAGTTAAAATTCCATTTAACACATTTGAGAAAACATGGTTTACCTTTTACAGTTTTAAAAATACTGAAAAGAAGATATATTTCTAAAAATAAATTCAAACCAAAGGTAGTCAATTTCTAAAGCACCTCTGAGGATGAAGTTTGAGAAACACTACCCTAACTCTTAATTGCATTGCCCTTTCACTACTGAAGTTAAAATCACTCCCACTAAAGTGCCTGATTTTTTTACATGTTGGAATCAAGTCTAAACGAAAGTAACAACACTATTTTGATCAACCACATTTGAACTCCACACCCCCCACCCCACCATGTGAAGTTATACTGCAATTGTTATTTTGGTCCTCTTCATGTCTTAAGAGGCCTCCCTGAAAGTGGGAACAGGAAGGAATATTTCCTTATTAAATATCTGTTCTTCTTTCCTATCTGAGTAACTTGTTTCTTTCAGTACGAGGAATGGCTATTTTTTGCCTTTGGGTGCAAGCAACCTAAATTTTTTTTAATGATAATAAAGAAGTATTCTTCAAAGAACAGGCTTGCTGTTTGATCTTCCTTGTAAGGTTGGTGCACCTTCAGACAGAGCTGTAAAAACTAGAGCAAAAAACAAAGGTAACATTGGTTTACATATTCATCCAAAATATTTTCATGCGAGACACTGGCTCCAATGTATCTATATGGTATAGCACAGCATGTACATTGTAATGATATTTTGAAAGTATTCAACAGAGCAAATATTTTCTCCCTAATAGCACTATTAAATAGCATCCTTTCAATTTCACAGCTAGAGAAACTAAATCCCACTCATCACCCAGGGCCTTGACAAGGCTCAATCTAAGCTCTACTGACCCTGCCAGATGACCACCACCTCAAAGAGACACCTTCATAAACAGCCATCATTGACAAACAGGCATGTGATCTGGGCTCAAAAGGACTTCAGTCTATTCGTGAAGACATGGTTCCCATTCCAGCTAATAAATCATCATCATCATCATAACAAGCGTTTGCTAAAAGTGAGCTGCTGTTATTATCCTTATCCTGGTGTGTCTCCCTCTTGATGAGCTAAATTTCAGTAGTATCTACCTCTCTTAAGCATTCTCTCCCATAGAAAAGCATTAAACAGACAAACGAGGATAACAAATGTCTGTACTCAATTCTTGGCAGCAATTAAGATATACATATTATGCTTCCTTAAGAAATTACTATTTAGATACACACAGCTTCTGCCAACAATATTTCTGACTAGCCTTGTGAGAGAAAAACTACACATTTAAAGCAAAGACAAATGTCATCTGAGCTTTCTTTATGTTCTTCCCATCACTTCTCTAACCACCAAACTAAGGGTTAGTCCGTTAACAACAAAAGCAGAAAACAGACACATATAACCTAAGCAAAACTACAAACTATCCCAACTATCTCCCCTGAAACTGTTAAGAATGTGTTTCTATGTCTTCTCTTTAAGGCATCTGAAAACAGATTCTAGATCTGAAATCCCACCCAGTGGAAGTTGCAATCAGCCATGAATGGGCGCGCTCAGACCTATTCTAGTAGAGTGAGGCTGTTGCTTAGAAAGGAGCTGTTCTTTGCCACAGAGCAGCAGCGACACACTATCCTAGCTTTCTTTTCCATGCGAGAATCTGTATTTGATGAATAACTTGCTCCATGCCCCAGTAGGAGGAGACATATTTAAGTTTGGCCTTTAGAATTGAGACAAATTTCAAAAATGTTAACACTTTGCTTTGAAATTGAAAATGAACCTATTCATTAAGAACAAAGTCCAAAAATTCTAAGTGGAAAAGTAACAGTACTTTCTTCCATCCCCTTTCACCTCAAAAGCTGCAGCTTGGTCTAACTCTTTGGCAGTGCTGCCAAGGAAACAAGCTGGAACTCAGCTTCCTGAGTCAAACCCTGACCAGGGTGGTGAGCGCATTTATCCCTTTGCAGAAGGGCAGCTCATGTTCATGTCTAGCCCCGAATCTTAGCCCAGGAACAAGGAAGAGCTCCAGGTTTCAAAATAAGAGAATCACACGGAAAGGCCATTACTTTCACGTCCTGAGTCAAGGGCAGCAAAAGGAGTGACATTCATGCCTGTAACCCATCTAAGGATTAAAGGCTGAAGAATAACACAGAAGAGTTTAAAATTGACTTTGCCCTTTGAAAAACAATAAGCAATTCTGGATTTGAAACCAACAATCATGTAATATTAAAAAGGCACCTAATTTGCTGTTTGAGGTACCTGTAATCCTCCCAGGACATGTGAGTTCCTGGAAAAAGCTGTCTCTTTTGTTGTTTTTGTTGTTGTTGCTGTTGTTGACAAAGTTGTTCAGGACAAAGAGACCCTGGGGTAGTCTCCATTGTGAGAAAGATCACCAGGAACCACCTTCATGCCCATGTGCTCTCTGGCTCCCCCTCCAGCCTGGTGGAGGACCTGGCTGAAAAATACTTGAACTCAGCAGTGCCAAAGATTTTCATAACTGCATGCAATGGAGCAACAAGTCTGAGAGCTAAGGGCCAGAAGACAATGCAAGCAGTTATTTCATAAATCCCAAGAACAGCAGTTTGGGCTTATGAAACCTTTCCTGGTTTCATGAATATTTCCGTTCTGCGCCCTCCCATGTCCCCACTGTGCCCCCTCATTCCACTGGCACTTGTTCCACATCTGCAAAGTTACAGCTGAGAGGGGAGAGGCACGGAAAGGAGAAGAGGAGGGAAACTGCGGAAAGGCCTGGTGCAGGTCCAGGGAGTCCTGTCTGGCTGAGTCGGGACAAGCTGCTTAAACTCGCCTGCCTGGTGACACACCCGTGGGCGGCAAGTGAACCAACCTGCCCTCCAGCGACCTTTCCCGTGATTATCGTCAGGGGCCCCGCCACCACTCGGCCTACTGCGTTGAGCTTCAGGAAACCATTCCTCAGTTTACTGATAAGAAAACTGAGGCCGCAGCCTTCGCGGGGCAGGTCCTGGGAGCTGGGAGATCCCGGCGCCATCCTAGCGGGGGCCGCACTTACTCTCCGAGTCGCTGAAGCCGCTGCTGTCGCTGACACTGGCGCTGCTGCGCCGCTTCATGCGCTCCAGGTGCTCCTCGTAGTGGAAGTGGCGCTCGTGGAAGGGCGACGCGAAGTCGGCCAGCACCGCGTCAAACTCGCACAGCGCGTCCGACAGGTCCTCCGCGGCCGCCGAGTCCAGGGCCGGGGCTGCGGGCAGGGCCAGGGGCTCAGTGCACGGAAGTCAGGGGGGCAGCGGGACCACCTCCCAGGGCCAGGAGGGGCCGCCACGGTTCCCGAAGATAACTGACACTTGGCGCCTCTGCCAAGTGACAGCCACGCAGTCGCTGTTACCTTGTAATCTTCTCCACCACCCCCGAAGTGCGTTCTATTACCAAGTCCGTTTTACAGACAAGAAAACTGAGCCTTCGCCAGGCCCAGGGTCACCCAGCGACTTGGCGCGGCCAGATTCCTCCCCAGGCGCTGCCGGTTACCTGTCCCCGCCGCTCCCCCCAACCCCGGGCGCGCGCGGAGCTGGTGGTGGAGGGAAGGTGGGACATGGGGGCCAGCCCGGGCCGGAAAGGAGGCTGCAGCCGCCCGCGCGGGAAGACCGGGGACAGGTTCCCGCCGGGGAGGATGGAAGGGTGGGGGGTGTGAAGGGACGACACGGGGCCCCTCCTTTCTCACCCGCCATCTGCAGAGCCGAGACTTTAAGGGGACCCCGGACCCCGCACTCACCTGCGGCCGCGGCGGCCGCGGGGCTGCCCTGCGCCGCGGGCGGCTTCATGAGGCGGCTCAGCTGGGCCCGGCGCGCGTGGCCTTGGGTCCTGCGAGGTGGCAGCCGGGGCTATTCGGGGGCTTGCTGTCCCGCACACTTCAGCCCTGCCAGTCCCTTCGGCGCTGCGCTCCAGCCGCGCCGCTCCCAGCACGGTCCGCGCCCGCCCTACCACCGGCTCGGGTTCCTAGATCTTATAGCCTTCGGCGGCCGGAGCGGAGGCGGGGCCGGGGCGGGGCTGCGGAGCCGGGGCGACGGGTCTGTCCCCGCCGCCCTCCGAGGAGGCCCCTGCCCCCAGGCACCGCCCTCGCCACGCGCCCGCCCTGGAACCGCGGTGACGAGGAGTCGCCGAAGCCCCGGTTACAGCCCCAAATATTTACCCGCCTCTCGCCCCCGCGCCCTGACAACCCGGCCCACGCGGTGTCCTCGGCGTCACCAGAGCTGACTGCTGGGCGCGAGCTCTGCTGCTTCCCGCCGCGTGCCAGGCACCTCCGCGAGCCGCAGCTTCCTCGGCTGTGAAGTGGACGTGGGCATGCAGAGCCTCCCTGGCTGGCGGTGAGGGACGAAGGAGCCCGCGGCCGTGTCCCAGTCGGGTGTCGGGGACGCGGAGGTCCCCTACGCATTGTCCCAAGGGGACTTCCGAGATGGTGGGCGGGCGGAGTGGAGAGGGTCGGGGCGAGAGGGGCAGGAGTTGGGGGAGTCCTGAACTGTTCCCACCGCGGAGCGCGGGGGCCTGAACTACGGTCCAGGGCGCTCCCGCCAGCCTGACTTTATCTAGAAGGGGTTTATTATGGGAAGAAACTACTGCGTCGACGCAGCGCGAACAGGGCGCCTTGCAGTGTCCACGGAGTAACGAGCCACCCTGCCCCGCGGCCTGCGGGGGCGAACGCCCTGGACTGTGCGCTGAGCTAGGCGCTAGCCTCTCGCCTCTCACCACAGACGGCTAATTAAATGTAGAGCAATTAACATGTAACGGAGTGAAACATTCAGCCTCCACTCCCAGCTAGTTTTTGTATTTTTAGCAGAGACGGGGTTTGTCCATGTTGGCCAGGCTGGTCTCGAACTCCCGACCTCAGGTGATCTGCCCACCTCAGCCTCCCAAAGTGCTGGGATTACAGGCGTGAGCCACCGCACCCAGCCAGGATTTGTTTTCAGAATATAGAAAGACCCATCTACAAAGTAATCACAAATAGACAACCTGGTAAAAATTAAAAATGAGCAAAACATTGAAACATACACCTCACAAAGGAGTATATGTTAATGACCACTAATCATATGAATAGTCCTCCTCTCTTGTCTACTCTGGGTGGCCTAGGGATATGCTTGTCTTGTGGAGGCACAAGCACTGTGGGCTCAAGAGTGGGGAGCCTCTTTCCCTGTTAAGGGGAGGACACCACTGGGATCTCTGGTGCCATCTCCTGCAATGGATCCTCTGATGTGGGGTCGAACAGAACTTCAGGAGTTGATTTCCCTGGGTGAGTGGAGCGGGATCCTTCCTTAGCTATCTGTCCCTTTGCTACTAGTATTGCTGCTGCATGCCCTCAGCCACTGTGGGGGTTCTAGCACCAGCTGTCACCAAGTGTCTATGTATGGGAACTGGTCTAGGTATCTTTACCAGTTACCTTGTGCCACGCCTTAGAAACAAGGGACCTGTCCAGGCTTCCTTCTGATGGCCAACCCACTTCTAATGGTGCGCAATCTATTTCCCACAAGGTTCTAAGTTCCCCTGGTGGTCTAGTGCTTAGGATTCGGTGCTCTCACCGCTGCTGCCTGCGTTCGATTCCCGGTCAGGGAACAAAGAAATGGAGCATGGATGAGCAGCGGACAAAACCCCTCAGACAGCGGATTAAAGAAGGAAGAGTTTTTTTTATTCCGCTGGGAGCTTCGGCAGACTCGCGTCTTAAGAGCCGAGCTCCCGGAAGGAAGACAGAGTTCCTGGCCCGTTTAAGGGCTTACAGCTTTAAGGGGTTCCACGTGAAAGGGTCTTGATGGATTGAGAGCACATGTACTTAGAGTCACGGGGGTTGATTGTTTCACCTCAGGCCGGCTCCTCATTGCCACCGGCTGGTCTTGACACTGACTTCATTCCTGTTGTTTTCCAACTTTTACTTCCTCCTCCTCTTCAGAGACAGGAGACAGTAGCGAAATGGCTTCTCTCCTCAGGGCGACAGGATGATATTACTCCCAATATCACAGGGGGTGTACACACCCCTATGAAACTCTTCCTACTATCCAGAGGGAGAGAGGATGATATTACTCCCAATAGCGCAGGGGGTGTACACAGCCCTGTAATACTCTTCCTAAAATCCACAGGGAGAGAGAATGATATTACTCCCAATATCGCAGGGGGAGTACACAACCCTGTGATATTGTTCCTAATATCCAGAGCGAAAGAGGATGATATGACTCTCAGTATTGCAGGGGGTGTACACCCTCCTGTAATATTTTTCTTAATACCCTGGGAGGGAGAGGATAAGATTACATTGAATATCACAGGGAATGTACACTCTCCCCCCTCTGATACCCTTCCTAATATCCAGGGGAAGAGAGGATAATTTTCCTCCCAATATCGCCGAGGCAGTACACCCCCTCCCCATGATATTGTTCCTAATATCTAAGGGAGGAGAGGATGATGCTTCTCCCAATAAAGCAGTGGGTGTACATTACCCCTGTGTTATTGTCTGTAATATCCGGGGCGCGGGGGGTGCAGGGGAGAGGATAAGATTCCCTCAAATTTGGCAGGTGGTTTGACACCCCATGTGGTATTGTTTTTAATATCCAGTGGGGAAGACAATAATACTACTCTCAATATCACAAGAAATGTACATCCCCCTGTGATATTGCTACTAATATCCAGGGATAGAGAGAATGATGTTACTCCCAATATCGTCAAAGTGTCCACCCCCCCCTTTGATATTGTTCTTAATATATGGAAGGCAAGTATGATATGACTCCCAATAAGAAAGGGGGAATACACGCCCCTGTGATATTGTTCCCAGTATGCTGTGGAGGAGAGAATGATATTACCCCCAATATCGCAGGATGTGTACACCCCCCTGTGATCTTGTTCATAAGGTTCAATAGAAAAGATAATCTTACTGGAAATATCGTAAATACACTGTGTGTCCACAGTGGCTGCTAACATGCAGGGAGGGACGGAGGTTGATATTACTCTGCGCATCAGCGGGGGCTGTCCACACGCCTTCGATGTGGCTCCTAATATCCATGGGGAAGGGGGGGTAGATATTACTCCCCGCATCACTGGGGGTGTCCATCCCCTGCCATGTGGCTTGTAATGTCAGGAGGGGCTGATATTTCTCCCCGCGTCGCGAGCGTCGCCCGCCCCCCTGCGATGTGTATCGTAATAGCCAGGGAAGGAGAGGGGCGTGATATTACTCCCCGCATCGTGGCGGAGTCTATCACCGGTCGGGATACTATACACCCCCTGGGATATTGGGAGTACACCCCCTATGATATTGGGAGTAATATCATACTCTTACCCCCGAGTATTAGGAACAATATCATGGAGGGAGTGTTCACCCCCTGCCATACTGTGAGTTATGTCATTTTCTCTACCCGTGGACATTAGAAACAATATCACAGGGGTGGTGTCCAACCCCTGCGAAATTGGGTGATATATCTTCCTCTCCACCTTTGGATATTAGGGACAATATCACAGGGGAGGTCTACACCTTCTGGATTATTGGGATTAATACCATCCTCTCCCAGCCTGGATATTAGCAACAAGATCACAGAAGGAATGTACACCCAGTGCGATATTTGGAGTAATGCCATCGTCTACCCCTGACTATTCGGAACAACATCACAGAGGGGTGTACATTTTCTGCGATATTGTGAGGAATGTCGCAATATTACTTATCGCAATTAATAACATCAATTATTGATTGATATTAATAACATCAATTATTGATTGATATTAAAACATCAATTATTGATTGATATTAATAATATCAATATTAATAACTGATATTTTTAAATCAATACCGATAATCATAATTTCTATTACATAGTTCTACCAATGATAAAAATAAATTATTAATATTAATTATTAATAACACCTGATATTAATAACTGATACTGATCTTATTCATTAGAAAACAGTAATATTAGCTCCTAATAATATTAATATTAATAATCTGAAAACTTTTTATTAGCAATTATTTCTTAATATTAATATTGGTAATTCATATTCATGTTAATAATCAAGGTGTAATAATTCATACTAATATTACTCCTAATACCGCAGTGGGTGTACACCCACCTGTGATACTGTTCCTAATGTCCACGGAAAGGAGAGAGCATGATATTACTTTCAATATCACAGTAGGTGTACACCCACCCGGTTATATTGATCCGAATATAACATCCAGGGGGTGGAGTATGACGTTACTCCCAATATAGCAGTGGGTGTACATCCACCCGGTGATATTGCTCCTAATATTCACGGAAGAAGAGAATGCTATTACTCGCAGTATCGCAGGAAATATACAACCCTTCTGTGATATTGTTCCTAATATCCGGAGGGGGAGAGGGTGATATGAGTCCCAATATCGCAGGCTGTGGACACCCACCCTGTGATATTGTTCCTAATTGCCAGGATGGGGGAGGACGATATGACTCCCCATACAGCAGGAGGTGTACACCCACCCTGGGATATTATTCCCAATATCCATGGAGATGAGAGGCTGATATGACTCCCAATATCTGAGTGGGTGTACATCCATTCTGTGATATTGTTCTTCATAGTCAAAGGCGGAGATGTTGATATTACTCCCAATATCACAGAAAGTGTACAAACCCATGTGATACTGTTCCTACTATCCAGAAGATGAAAAGATGATATTACCTCCCATATCGCAGGAGTTGTACACCTACTCTGTGACATTTTTCCTAATATGCAGGGCAGGACAGGATAATATTCTTCTTAATAGCACAGGGTGTGTACAGCCACCCTGTGATATTGCCCTTAAGACTGCAAGTCAGAGAGGATGATATTACTCACAAAACCGCAGAAAGTGTACACCACCCCAGTAATATTTTTTCCATGATCCAGGACAGAAGAGGATGACATTACTTTCAATATCACATGGGGTGGACAAGCCCCCAGTGATGTTGTTCCTAATTTCAAAGTGGGAGAGGATGATACTACACCCAATGGCGCTGGGGGTAGAAACACTCCTGTGATTTTGTTCTTCCTATCCAGGGGGAAGAGGATGTTATTACTACCAATAGTGCAGAAGATGTACACCCTTCTGAGATATGGTTGGTAATTTCCAGAGGCGGAGGAGATATTACTCACAATAAAGTAAAGAGGCTGTGTGACCACCGTAGCTCGTAATATCCAGGGGGGGAGAGGGGGGTGATATTACTCCCCGCATCGCGGGGGGCGCCCGCCCCCCTGCGATGTGGCTCCTAATATCCGGGGGGGAGAGGGGGGTGATATTACTGCCTGCATGTGCACACCTCCTGTGTCATTAAAAGTAGAATTGCCCTAAGATATTACGAAATATAACACAGGGAGTACACCCCGTGTGACATTATAAGATATTAGTTACTCCTAGGATATTTTCTCTCCTGGCACACTTGGTTATCACCGTGGGACATTATTTTTGATATTCTAGGATCATGCCACTACTAAAGTCACATGGGGGGTGTGCACCCAGCGATATAATTCGTAATATTGTAGGGGAATGTTAATGCTGATGTCACAGGACTCTACACACTGTGATATTATTCACTATAATATAGCGGGACATTAATAATAATGTCACAATATTTGTACACCTTCTTAATCTCCTAAGGGGAGGTTACTTTTGTGGTCACACGGGGTGTATTCCCTTTGATATTATTTGTAACATCCTAGAGGGATGTCACTCCTTATGTCACAGGGTTTGTACGCCTTATCAAATTACTCGTATTATCCTCATAAGATGTCAGTCCTCATATCAAGAGGGTGTACGCTCTGTGATATTATCGTCATATTATAGGGAAATGTTACTTTTAATGTCACAGAGGGTGTACACCTTGTGAAATTATTCATTATAGGTTTGTGGGATGTTACTCCTAATGTCACCCGGGGTGTACACACCGTGATATTACGTGTAATATTCTATAGAAATGTTACTCGTGAATCACAGGTCCTGTACACCCTTTAATATTCTCCGTAATATTCTAGGAAAACGTTACTACTAATGTCACCGGTCCTGTAGACCGGTGTCATAAAATTCGTAATATCCTAGCGGGAGTTCACTACTCATTTCATAATACGTGTACACCCTTTGACATTATTCGTATTATCCTGAAGAGATGTTACTGCTGATGTCCCAATGCGGGTACATTCTCTGATATTCTTCGTTATATCCTTGGGGGATGTTACTTCTGATGTCACACGGGGTGTACTTCCTGTGTTCTATTTCGTAGTGTCCTAGGGCAATTTTACTTTTAATGACACGGGGTGTACACATTGTGATATTATTCGCGATATTTTAGAAAGACGTTACTCCTAATGTCACAAGGGTGTACACCCTGTGATAGTATTCATAATTTCCCAGGGGTCTATACTCCTGATGTCACAGAAGATAACACCCAGTGACATTATTCATAATATTCTAGCAAGATGATGCTCCTAATGTCACAGGAGGTGTACACCCTGTGATATTATTCTTCCTATTCTAGGGGGATGTGACTCTTAATGTCACAGGTGTGTTCCTTCTGTGATATTATTGAAAATATGCTAGCAGGATATTACTGCTAATGTCACAATGCGTGTACACCTTGTGATATTATTAGTAATATTCTGGGGGGATGTTACTCCTAACGTTACAGGGGTCTACACCGTGTGATATTGTTCTCAATATTGTAGGGGGATGTTACTCCTAATGTCACAGGGGGTGTACACCCTTCGATATTATTTGTAATCTTATAGAGAGATATTACTTTAAATACCACAGTGGGTGTACACACATGGGGTACACCCACTGGGATATTATTGGTAATATCTTAGAGAGATATAACTCCTAATATCATAGTGGGTGTACCCCATGTGTGTACACCCTGTGATATTATTTGTAATATCCATGGTAAACATTACTTCTAGTATCCCACAGTGGGTACACCCTGTGGTATTTTTCATAATATTATAGAGAGATATTGCTTCTAATAACACAGTGGGTGTACACCATGTGTGTACACTCTGTGATATGATAGCTTATATCCTAGGGAGATATTCCTTCTAATATCACAGTGAGTGTACACCCTGTGATATCATTCGTAATATCCTAGAAAGATGTTGCTGCTAATATCACAGAGGGTGTGCCCCCAGTGACATTATTCATAATATCCTAGGGAGACGTTACTCCTAATGTTACAGGGGGTGTACACCCTGTTATATTATTCGTAATATTCTAGGGGGGTGTTACTTTTAAAATCACAGGGGTGTACACTCTGTGATGTTATTTGTAATATCCTAGGAAGAGGTTACTCCTAATATCACACTCCTAATATCACACCCTGTGATAGCATTCGGAATATCCAAAAGGGACATTACTTTTAATGTCACATGGGGTGCACACCCTTTGATATTATTCATAAGATCCCAGGGACATATGACTTCAGATATCACATTGGGTGTACACACACGGTGTACACATTATGTGTGAACACCTACTGTGATATTATTCATAATATCCTAGGAAAATGGGACTCCTAATATCACAGTGAGTGCACACACTGTGATATTATTTGTAATATCCTAGGGCAATATGACTCCTAAACCAAAGGCGTGAGTACCCCTATGATATTATTCGTAATACTCTAGGGAGATGTTACTCCTAATGTAATATCACAGGCGTGTACACCCTGTGATATTATTCACAGTATATGCGAGGGATATTAGCACTGAAGTCACAATGTGTGTACACCTTGTGATATTATTTATAATATCCTACGGGGATGTTACTCCTATTGTCACAAGGGGTGTGTTCACTGTGATAGTATTCGCAGTCTCCTAGACGAAGGTTACACCTAATATCACAGTGTGTGTACATCTTGTTATATTATTCGTGATATCCTAAAAAGACATTACTCCTCATGTCACAGGGTCTGTATACCCTGTGATATTATTCGTAATATCCTAGCGAGATGTTACTTTTAATGTCACAGAGGGTGTACACCTTTTGAAATTATTCGTCACAGTTTCGTGGGATGTTACTCCTAATGTCACACGGGGTGCACACCGAATATTACTTGTAATATTCTATAGAAATGTTACTCATAAATCACAGGTGTTCTATACCATGTCATGTTATTGGTCATATTCTAGGGGAATGTTACAGAAATTAATGTCACCCGGGGTGTACCCCTTCTGGTATTGTTCATAATATCCTAGGGAGATGTTACTACTTATGTCACAATACGTGTACACCCTCTGATATTATTCATTATATCCTCACGGGTTATTACTCCTATGTCACACGGGGTGTACTCCCTGTGATATTATTCGGAATATCTTAGGGGGATTTTACTTTTAATGTCACAGGGGGTGTACACATTGTGATATTACTTGTGATGTTCTAGAAAGATGTTACTCCTAATGTCACAGGGGCTGTACACCCTGTGATATTACACAGGCTAACCCCCTGTGACATTATTCGTAATATTTTAGCGGGATGATACTCCTAAAGTCACAGGAGGTGTACACTCTGTGATATTATGTGGAATATTCCAGGGGGATGTTACTCCTAATGTCACAGGTGTGTATACCCTGTGATATTATTCACAATATACTAGTGGGATATTACTACTAATGTCAACATGTGTGTACACCTTCTGATATTATTCGTAATATCCTGGAAGGATGTTACTCCTAATGTCGCAGGGGTGTACACCCTGTGTTATTATTAGTAATATTCTAGAGGGATTTTACTTTTAAAATCACAGGGGATGTCAACCCTGGGATCTTATTCGTAATATCCTCGGAAGATGTTACTTGTAATGTCACATGGGGTGTACACCCTGGGATATTATTTCGAATATCCTAAAGGGGTGTTATCTTAATGTCATAGGGTGTGTACACCCCTTGATATTATTCGTAATATCCTAAGGAGATATTACTTTAAAAATCACAATAGGTGTGCACACGTGGTGTACACCCTGTGATATTATTCACAATATCTGAGGGAGGTATAACTTTTCATATCACAGTGGGTGTACACACTGTGATATTATTCATCATATCCTAGAAGTATATTATTCCTATTGTCACAGGGGTTTAACATCCTGTGAAATTATTTGTAGTTATCCACGGGGATGATTATCCTAAAGTCGCAGGATGTGTACACCCTGTGATATTATTCGTAATATTCTAGGGAGATGTTACTCCTAATATCGCAAATGTGTACACGCTGTGATATTATTCACAATATACTATCTGGATATTGTTACTAATGTCACAATGCTTGTACAGCTTGTGATATTATTCATAATATCCTAAGGGGATGTGACTCCTATTGTCACGGGGGTGTGCTTTCTGTGCTATGATTCGTAGTATCCCAGGGGGATGTTACTCCCACCATACACATTGTGTCCACTTTGTTATATTATTCATAATATCCTAGAGTGATGTTACTCCTCATGTCACGGGGGTGTACATCCTGTGATGTTATTCTTCACATTCTAGGAAGATGTTGACTCCTAATATCACAGAGGGTGTACAATCTGTGAAGTTATTCATAATAGTTTGGGGGGATGTTACTCCTAATGTCACACGTGGTGTACAAACAGTGATATTATTTGTACAGTTTTTTGGATATGTTACTCCTAATATCACAGGGGCTGTACACCCTGTCATATTATTCGTAATATCCTAAAGAAATGTTACCACTAATGTCACAGGCGGTGTACATCGTGTGGTATTATTCCCAATATTATAGGGTGATGTTACTCCTAATGTCACAGAAGGTGTTCACGCTCTGAAAATATTCGTAAAAATCAGTAGTAAGGGATGTTACTACTGATGTCACAATGCAGGTACACAGTCTGATATTATTTCTTATAGCCTAGGGTGATGTTACTTCTAATGTCACAGGGGGTGTACATTTTGCGATTTGATTCGTAATATTTTAGAAAGATGTTACTCCTAATGTCACAGAGGGTGTACACCCTGTGAAGTTATTCATAATAGTTTTGGGGGCTGTTACTCCTAATGTCACCCGTGGTGTGCAAACAGTGATATTATTCGTAATATTTTATGGAAATGTTACTCCTATTATCCCAGGGGCTGTACACCTTGTAATATTATTCATAATATCCTAACAAAATGTTACATCTAATGTCACAGGGGGTGTACACCGTATGATATGGTTCCCAATATTGTAGGGGAATGTTACTCCTAATATCACAGGGGGTGTTCACACTGTGATAATATTCGTAATATCCTAAATGGATGTTACTGCTAATGTCACGACACGTGTACATCCTCTGTATTTGTTCGTTATATCCTCGGGGGAGGTTACTCCTACTGTCACACGGGGTGTACTCCCTGTGATATTATTCCTAATATCCTAGGTGGATGTTACTCCTCGTGTCACAGGGGCTGTGCGTTTTGTGATATTATTCACAATATCCTAGAAAGATGTTACTCCTCAGGTCACAGGGGATGTACACCCTGTGATATTATTCGTACTATCCTAGGGGACTTTACTCCAAATGTCACAGAAGGTGCACTCTCTCTGATATTACTCGTAATGTGTCAGGGAAATGTACTCCTAATGTCACAGGGCTTGTGCACCATGTGTGCACAACCCCTGTGATGTTATTTGTAATATTCTCGAGGGATGTTAATCCTAATATTCCATATGCTGTTAACCATGTGTGAACACCTTTGTGATATTATTCCTAACATACTAGAAAGATGTAACTCCTAACATCACATGGGGTATCCGCCATGTGTGTACACATTCTGTGATATTATTCATAACATCGTAGGGAGATGCTACTCCTAATTTTACAAGGTGCGTACATTATGTGTGTACACCCCCTCTGAGGTTATTCGTAATATTCTAGGGGAATGTTGCTGCTAATGTCACAGGGAGAGTACACCATGTGTATGCAACCCTGGTAATATTATTTCTAATATCTTGGGGGGATGTTGCTCCTAATGTCACCTGGAGTGTACACCATGTGTGTACACCTTCTGTGATATTATTCGTAAATCACAGAAAAAGATTATGCCTAATGTAACAGGATGTGTATACCATGTGCGTCAACTGCCTTTGATATTATTCATAATATACTAGGGGGATGTGACTTTTAATGTCACAAAGTGTGTACAAAATGTCACAAGGTGTGTATGCCTTATGGTATTATTCCTGATATCCAGAAGGGTGTTACTCCTAAGGTTACAGGGGGTGTACACCCTTTGATAATATTTGTAGTCTTATAGGGAGATATTGCTGTAAATCTCACAGTGGGTGTACACACATAGTGTACACCCACTGTGATATTATTTGTAATATCTTAGAGATATTACAGAGTCATAGCTCTCTGTGTAATATTAGAGAGTTATATCTCTCTAAGACAGTACAAATAATACCACAGTGGGCGTACCTCATGTGTGTACACCCTGTGATATTATTTGTAATATCCATGGTAAACATTACATCTAATATCACAGAGAGTGTACTCCGTTTGATATTTCTCATACTATCATAGGGAGATATTGCTTCTAATATCACAGTGGGTGTACACCATGTGTGTATATTCTGTGATATGATACCTTATATCCCATTGAGTTATCTCTCCGAATATCACAGTGTGTGTACACCTTGTGATATTATTCATAATACCCTAGAAAGATGTTACTCCTAATATGACAGAGGGTGTACACCCAGTGATATTCTTCATAATATCCTAGGGAAATGTTACTCCTAATGTCACATGGGGTGTACACCCATGATGTTATTCATAATATTCTAGGGGGATGATACTTTTAAAGTCACAGGGGTCGTACACCCTGTGATGTTGTTCATAATATCCTAAGAAGATGTTACTCTTAATGTCACACAGGGTGTACACCCTGTGATATTACTCAGTATATCTTATGGGGATGCTACTCCTAATGTCACAGGCTGTGTACACCCTGTGATATTATTCGGAATATCCACAGAGATGTTACTTTTGATGTCACAGACGGGGTCCACCCTTTGATATTTTTTCTCATATCTTAGGGAGATATTACTTCAAATATCACAGTGGGTGTACCCTCACTGTGATGTTATTCACAATACCCTAGGGAGATATAACTTTTAATATCACAGTAGGTGTACAAACTATTTGTGTACACCTACTGTGATATTACTCCTAATATCGTAAAAATAAATAGGACTCCTAATATCACAGTTGGTGTACACACTGTGATATTATTCATAATATTCCAGCGGAATGTTACTCCTCAGGTCCCAGGGGATTAATAACCTGGGACAGTATTCCTCATATTCCAGGGCGGTGATAATCCTGAAGTCACAGGGTGTGTACCCCCTGTGATATTATTTGTTATATTCTAGGGGGATGTTACTCCTAGTGTCACAGGGATGTACACCCTGTGATATTATTCATAGTATACGAGAGGGATATTAGTATTAATGTCACAATGCATGTACACTTTGTGATATTATTCATAATATCCTAATGACACAGGGGGTGTGTTCCGTGTGATATTATTCCTAATATCCTGGACGGATTTTGCTCCTAACATCACAGGGTGTGTATACCTTGTCATACCATTCATAATATCCTAAAACTAGGTTATTCCTCATGTCGCAGGGGGAGTTCACCCTGTGATATTATTTGTAATAGTTTTGTGGGATGTTACTCCTAATGTCCCATGGGATGTACACAGAGTCACACAGTGATATGAGTTGTAATATTCTATAGACATGTTACTCGTAAATCACAGGGGCTGTACCTCCTGTGATATGATTCGTAATATTCTAGGGGAATGTTGCTACTATTGTCACAGGGGTGTACACCCTGTGATATGACTCGTCATAACCCAGCGGGATGTTACTCCTAATGTCACAATGCGTGTACACCCTGTGATATTATTTGTAATATCCTAAAGAGATGTTACTACTAAGGTCACAATGCATGTACACCCTCTGATATTATCCGTTATATCCTCAGGGGATGTTACTCCTAATGTCACAGAGGGTGTACTCCCTGTCATATTATTCATAATATCCTAGGGGGATGTTACTTTTAATATCACCGGGGGTGTATATCATGCATATTCAACACCTGTGATACTATTCCTAATATCCTAGGGGCATGTTCCTCCTAATGTCACATGGGGTGTACACCATGTGTGTACACCTGCTGTGATATTATTCATAATATCCTAGGGGAATGGTACTCCTGATGGCACAGGCAGTGTACACCATGTGTGTAAGCCGCCTGTGTCATTATTCGTAATATCCTAAGGGGATGTTTCTTTTAATGTCACAAACGGTGTACAAAATGTCACAGAAGATGTATACCTTGTGACGTCATCTGTAATACCCTAGAAGGACGTTACTCCTAATATGTCACTGGGGTGTATACCCTTTGATAATCTTTGTAATCTCATAAAGAGATATTACTTCAAATATCACAGTGGATGTACACACATAGTGTATACCCTGTGATATTATTTGTAATATCCTAGGGAGATACAACTCCTGATATCACAGTGTGTGTACCCCGTGTGTGTACACCCTTGATATTAGTCATAATATCCAGGGTAAATATTACTCCTCATATCACACAGTATGCACACCCTGTGATATTTTTCCTCATACTTTAGGGAGATATTGCTTCTACTATCACAGTGGGTGTACCCCATGTGTGTATACTCCGTCACGGTATTTTTTATATCCCAGGGAGGTATTACTCCTAATATCACAGTGGGTGTTCACCTGTGATATCATTCTTATTTGACCTTTCTGCCTTTTTTAACCCACACTACAAAAGGAATGGAACAGATAAGAAGATATTGAGATTAGACTGTGCTGCCGTGCGGCCGCCGCAGGACACTTTTAATATCCCTGTTTCTCAGGCTGTAGATGAAGGGGTTCGGCATGGGGGTGACCACCGTGTACATCACTGAGGCCACTGCACCATTTCTGGGGGAAGATGACACATCATCTGAACTGAGGTAACCTCCAACGCCTGTTCCATAAACTCAGCAAACAACTGACAGGTGAGACCCACAGGTGGAGAAGGCTTTATACTTCCCACCTGATGATGAAACCCTCAGAATGGAGGAAACAATTTTAGAGTAAGAGAAAAGGGTCCCTGAGATGGGAAGAAAACCAAATATGGCAGCAGGGAAATACATGATTATCTTATTGGTGAAGGTGTCACAACATGCAAGATGGGGGAGTTGAGAAGGGTCACAGAAGAAATTAGGAATTTCCACATCCTTGAAGCAGGTCACTTGTAAGGCAATCAAGTTGTGCAGCTGGGAGTCTAAAAGACTGAGGACAGAAAAAAAAAGACAACAAAACTAGGAAGCCACAGAAACACGGGTTCATGATGGCTGAATGATATAGAGGGTGACAGATGGCTACAAACCGGTCATAGGCCATCACACTCAGGAGCATGTCTCTCTTCCATGCCTCCAAAAATGGCAAAGAGAGACATCTGAGTCAGGCAGCCTGCATAGGAGATGACTCTGCTGTGAGACTGGATGTCCACAATCATCTTGGGGACCGTGGTGGAGGTGAAACCGATGTCAGGCAAGGACAGGTTGGAGAGGAAGAAGTACATGGGGATGTGGAGGTGGGAGTCAGGGCTGATGGCCAGGATGATGAGCAGGTTCCCCAGCACCATGACCAGGCACATGGACAGGAACAGCCCAGTGAGGACCGGCTGCCGTTCTGGATCCTCTGTAGTTCTAGGAGGAGGAATACAGAGACATCTGTTAGATTCTGTGGGTCTGTAGAGATTGGACACCTTTTGCCTAGAAAAGAGGTTGAGAAATCGGAAACAAGTAAACCAACACCCAGCATTGTGTCTGCATTTTGGATATAAGCAATTCACAAGGCATGTTTTCAGATTTCAGAGCAATCCACACTCAGCAATAATTTGCAGTTCTGACAATACAATATTGTAACTGATGTTATTGGTAATATCCCAGGGAGATATTACCCTTAATGTCACCGTGGGTGTACACCATGTGTGTATGAACTGAGATGTTACTCGTGACATCCTAGGGAGAAATTACATGGGTGATGTTATTGGTAATATCCCAGTGTACACCCACTGTGATACTGGGAGCAATATCTCTCTAGGATAGTACAAGTAATATCACAGAGTGTACACACACTGTGATATCAGGAGAAATATCTCTCTGGGATATCACGAATGATATCACAGAGTGTACACACGTGGTGTACATCCACTTTGATATTAGGAGTAATATCTTCCCAGGACATTACAAATAACCTCACAGAGTGTACACCCACCGTAATAGTAGGAATCGTATCACCCTAGGGGATCACCAATAATATCACAGGGTGTACACCCACTGTGATATTAGGAGTAATATCTTCCTAGGGTATTATGAATAATTTCACAGTCTGTACACACATGGTGTACACTCACTGTGATATTAGGATTAATATCTACCTAGTAGATAACAAATAACATCACAGGGTGTACACCCACTTTGATATTAGCTGTAATATTTTTCTAAGTTGTTACAAATAAGATCACAGGGTGTGCAAACATGGTGTACACTCACTGTGATATCAGGAGTCATATCTCCGTAATATATTATGAATAATACCATAGGGTGTACACCCACTGTATTATTAGGAGTAATATCTCTGTAGGATATTACAATTAATATCACAGGACAGGGTGTACAGCCACTGTGATATTAGGAGCAATATCTTTCTAGGATATTACAAATAATATCACAGGGTGTACGCCCACTCTGCTGTCAGGAGCAATATCTCCCTAGGATATCAAAAATCCTATCACAGGGTGTCCAATGTCTGCCTTCCAGGTTCTAAGGGATTCTCCTGCTTCAGCCTCCCGAGTAGCTAGGGTTACCCGCCACCATGCCCGGCTAATTTCTTTTTATTTTCACTGGAGAAGCGGTTTCACCACGTTGGCCAAGCTGGTCTGGAACTCCTGACCTCAGGTGATCCATCAGCCTCGGCCGCCCAAAGTGCTGGGATTACAGGTGTGTGCCATGGCGCTCGGCCAGGAGTTATATATTCAATTCATTTGGAAACACAGCTCCCATATTTGAGTGTGCATGTACTTTTATGAAGAAATGATGTCAGGAAACCTAAGGATGATAATAAATATGAAAAGTAACTGGCATGTGAAAAGGTCTTCCAATGAAGAACTCTTAAGTTTCGAGTTCATTTTTAGATAATGCGGTCCTAGCTCTTGTATCATCCTTCTACATATTCCACATCAAAGGAATTTGTAGCACGGTGTCAGAATAAAATAGAGTGTATTTCACGGCTTCTTAATTTCTTCCAATTAGACTGAGATCTTTTTCTTCAAGAGAAGAACATTTTCATTGCATTCTATTTTTTCTGAAAAGAGTGGGCCGTATTTTACTGAGATCACGGATTTGTTATATATGATGTTTTGGTCTTCTAACCTTCTTCAGTGGATTTTCTCTAAAGTAGTATGTACAGAAAGAGTTGAATAGCAAAAAAGTAAAACATGTAACAATTCTGAGATTTTTGGATTTGTCACAACTGAGAAACATTGCTGGCGGTGTATGGTCTGCAAGTGTGAAAATGTTCCTTGTGAATTGCTTGCATTCAGCATGAAGGGCTGCTTTTTGTCTTTTATTTTTCCAATCTTCTTTCCTTCTCAAGGTGTCCAAGTCACACAGAGCCACGGAGTCTCACAGGTGTCTGAGAATTCCTCCTCCTGGGACTCTCAGGGGATCCAGAACTGCAGCCGGTCCTTGCTTTGCTGTCCCTGTCCCTGTCCATGTATCTGGTCACGGTGCTGAGGAACCTGCTCATCATCCTGGCTGTCAACCCTGACTCCCACCTCCACACCCCCATGTACTTCTTCCTCTCCAACCTGTGCTGGGCTAACCTCAGTTTCACCTCGGCCACGGTTCCCAAGATGACTGTGGACATGCAGTTGCATAGCAGAGTCATCTCTCATGCGGGCTGCCTGACACAGATGTCTTTCTTGGTCCTTTTTGCATGTATAGAAGACATGCTCCTGACCATGATGGCCTATGACTGCTTTGTAGCCATCTGTCGCCCTCTGCACTACCCAGTCATTGTGAATCCTCACCCTCTGTGTCTTCTTCATTTGGTGTCCTTTTTCCTTAGCCTGTTGGATTCCCAGCTGCACAGTTGGATTGTGTTACAATTCACCATCTTCAAGAATGTGGAAATCTCTACTTTTGTCTGTGAGCCATCTCAACTTCTCAACCTTGCCTGTTCTGACAGTGTCATCAATAGAATATTCATGTATTTCGATAGTACTATGTTTGGTTTTCTTCCCATTTCAGGGTTCCTTTTGTCTTTCTATAAAATTGTCCCCTCCATTCTAAGGATGTCATCATCAGATGGGAAGTATAAAGCCCTTGCCACCTGTGGCTCTCACCTGGCAGTTGTTTGCTTATTTTATGGAACAGGCATTGGCGTGCACCTGACTTCAGCTGTGGCACCACCCCCCAGGAATGGTGTGGTGGCGTCAGTGATGTACGCTGTGGTCACCCCCATGCTGAACCCTTTCATCTACAGCCTGAGAAACAGGGACATTCAAAGTGCCCTGCAGAGGCTGCGCAGCACAACAGTCGAATCTCATGATCTGTTCCATCCTTTTTCTTGTGTGGGTGAGAAAGGGCAACCACATTAAATCTCTAAGTCTGCAAATCCTACCCCTTAGTCACATTCTTTTTGTGACTTGATGGCTTTTATTCCTTTCTGCATTTCCTTTGTGAACATTGCTTTCTTCGTTATGCCTTTAACTGGAATGGGTGAGTATTCTGGGATCCTTTGTTTAGCAGAAACCTCATGACAGAATCCTCTGTGCCTAGGCAGCCTCCTTTAGTTTCTGAGCAATGACCTTGTCATCCAGGTGGAATCACAACCATCTTTTTATAAACACGAAGTCCTCACTTCATTTTGGAATTCCCTGAAAATTGACTTTATGGAAACAATGTACAGCAGGTCCTCCAACACCATTGGTGTGTTCAAAGTTGTGTAGTTATACTGTGGATTAGGAATAAGTGGTTTCACTGTACATCATTTTGCTTCGAGGTGAAGTTTCCAAGAGACTTTCAAAGATGTTAAGTGAGGACATACTGTACATCAAATTCATATCCTCTTCCGGAATTCATGTGGAATTTCTTTATGAACTGCTTCTAGAGAATCTATTTAGGCAGGTTATGTGTAGAGATCCATGTCACCGTTCCTCAGTCTTGGCTTTGAGTCCCATCCCCTGGGGAGCTTACAAATGATGAGGCCTGGGTCTCAATACCTGAGATTCTGATTTACTTGCACCTGTGTGAGTATGCGGATTTTTTTTTTTTCTTTTACAGCACCAGAGGTGGTTCCAATGACGAAGTTTTTTGTTTTTTTTTTTTTTTTTGAGGCAGAGTCTCGCTCTGCCGACCAGGCTGGAGTGCAGTGGCGCCATCTTGGCTCACTGCAAGCTCCGCCTCCCAGGTTCACGCCATTCTCCTGCCTCAGCCTCCCGAGTAGCTGGGACTACAGGCGCCCGCCACCACGCCCGGCTAATTTTTTTGTATTTTTTAGTAGAGGCGGGGTTTCACCGTGTTAGCCAGGATGGTCTCAATCTCCTGACCTTGTGATCCGCCCGCCTCGGCCTCCCAAAGTGCTGGGATTACAGGCGTGAGCCACCGCGCCCGGCCTCCAATGACGAAGTTTTTAGAGGCATCAAGCTCCAATGAGTAAGAAGAGAAATTAATCGTAATATGATTTCTTCAAATATTATCTTCAAATGCATTGTCCATCAACACCATAAAAATGTCTATTAGGCTGTTTTTTCTTACCATTTCACATTTTCTATTTCTTTCTTTTCCTTTTTTTTTTTTTTTTTTTTTGAGGCAGAGTTTCACTCTTGTTGCCCAGGCTGGAGTTCAATGGCACGATCTCGGCTCACTGCAACCTCTGCCTCCCGTATTCAAGCGATTCTCCTGTCTCAGCCTTCCAAGTAGTTGGGATTACAGGCATGCGCTACCATGCCCGGCTAATTTTTTTTTTTTTTTTTTTTTTGTATTTTTATTAGAGACAGTGTTTCTCCATTTTGGTCAGGCTGGTCTTGAGCTCCCGACCTCAGGTGATCTGCCCGATTCCGCCTCCCAAAGTGCTGGGATTACAGGCCTGAGCGACCCCGCCCAGCCACCACTTAGCATTTACATGTTACGTTTGTTGAAGTTATAGATTTATGCACACGTTGATTGCTGCTTTGTTATACACTTGCATATACATAAGATGGGAAATAGAAAAGAATAAAATGGGCACAGTATCCCTGAAGTTTCACATTCCGAGACATTTTAAAAATATTTGCTCTTTAGAAATTTGTTTCAATTAAGAAACTGTGGTATACACACCCAATGAAGTATTATTCAGCCTAACAAGGAAGAAAATCCTCTCCGCTGCAGACAAAATGGATGAGATTGCAGGTCTGTATATTAAATGAAATAAGCCAGGCACAGAATGACAAATATTTCATGTCCTCACTTCTATGTAGGAAAAACGGAAACCTTGGCCAGGTGTGGTGGCTCAGGCCTGTGATCCCAGCACTTTGGGAGGCCGAGTCACACGGATCACTTGAGTCCAGGAGTTGGAGACCCGCCTGGCCAACATGCTTTTTCTTTTGTTTTGTTTTTCAGATGGAGTCTCGCTCTGTTGCCCAGGCTGGAGTGCAGTGGTGCGATCTCGGCTCACTGCAAGCTCTGCCTCCTGGGTTCATGCCATTCTCCTGCCTCAGCCTCCCAAGTAGCTGGGACTACAGGCACCCACCACCACACCTGGCTAATTTTTTGTATTTTAGGTAGAGACGGGGTTTCATCGTCTTAGCCAGGATGGTCTCGATCTCCTGACCTCGTGATCCACCCGCCTCGGCCTCTCAAAGTGCTGGGATTACAGGAGTGAGCCACCGCACCCGGCCCATGCTGTATCCTTATCTGTTGTCTCTTGTTGTTTGTTTGTTTTTGAGCCCAGAAATAACTTCTCACCTATATGTTCAAATGATTTTTCACATGAGTGCTAAGAAAGCTCATTGGTGGAAAAGCAGCCTTTTCAAGAAATGGTGTCAGAGGAACTTGATTTCCACATGCAGAAGAATGAAGGTGGACCCTATGTCACACCAGGTGCAAAAATTAACACAAACTGGATCAAAGACCTAACCCCAAGTGCTAAAAGTATCATAGGCCTAAAAGAAAACATTGGCCACACTTTCATGACATTGGATTGGGCAATGCTTTCTGGGATACGACCCCAAAAGCATAGGCAACGAAAGAAAATTAGATTCCTTGGATTACATCTAAATGACAGACACTTCTGTGCAGCAAAAAACACTGTGACCTGAGTGAAAAGATAACCCATGGATTAGGAAAAATATTTGCAAATCATCTATCTGAAAAGAGGCTAATATCCATCATACATCAAGAACAGCTAGAACTAAACAACAAGAAACCCAAAGCATCCCATTAACAATGGTCAGGAGACTCGAGTAGACGTGTCCCTAAACAAGATATAGCAATGGCCAATAAGCATCTAAGATGATGTTCAAAATCACTCATCATAGGGAAGCGCAAATCACCCAAGAATGTGATACCACACGTTAGGATGGATATGATAAACAAACAAGCATTGGTGAGACTAGAGGGAAGTAGGAATGCTCGAATATGATTGGAGGGAATGTAAAACCGTGAAGGAACAGGGAAAATACTATGGCATGTACTGAAAAAATTAGAAACAGAATGATCAGATGTTCCCGCAGTTGCATTTGTGGGTACCTACCAAAAAGAATTAGAAGGCAGGAGTGGAAGAGAGATTTGTGCACCCATATTCATAGCAGCATTATTCACAACAGCCAAAATGTGGAAGCAACCCGAGGGTTCGTGGACAGATGAACGAAAAAGCACACTGCAGTGCATTCATACAATGGAAGACTATTCAGCCTTCAAAAGGCAGGCACTTCTGGCCGGTGCGGTGGCTCATGCCTGTAATCCCAGCATCTTGGAAGATCGAGGTGGGCGGATCACCTGAGGTCAGGAGTTCAAGACCAGCCTGGACATCTTGGTGAAACCCTGTCTCTACTGAAAATGCAAAAAATTAGCCGAGCGTGGTGGCGCTTGCCTATAGTCCCGGCTACTCGGGAGGCTGAGGCACAAGAATCGCTTGAACCCGGGAGGCGGAGGTTGCAGTGAACCCAGATTGCGCCACTGCACTCCAGCCTGTGTGACAGAGTGAGACTCCATGTAAACACAAAACAAAACAAAATGAAACAAAAACAAACAAAACAAAAAACCAGACAGGCACTTCTGACACAGGCTGCAACATGGATGAAACTTGAAGACATTATCGTCAGTGAAATAAATAAATCCCAAAAGGATAAACACGACCAGGCTCAGTGGCTCGCACCTGTAACCCCAGCACTTTGGGAGGCTGAGGCAGGCAGATCACTTAAGGTTAGGAGTTCAAGAGCAGCCTGGCCAATATGGTGAAAGCTCTTCTCTATTAAAAATACAAAAACTAGCTGGGCGTGGTGGCGCACGCCTGTAACCCCAGCTACTCGGGAGACTGAGACAAAAGAATCGCTTGAACCCACGAGGTGGAGGTCGCAGTGAGCCGAGATCACGCCACTGCACTCCAGCCTGGGCGACAGAGAACAACTCTGTCTCAAAAAAAAAAAAAAAAAAAAAAAAAAAAATTCACCACGGTATGATTCCACTTCTATCAAGTGTCTAGAGTAGTTAAACTCATAGAGTTGCAAATTAGAATGGTGGCCCCCGGGGTGGGCGAGAGAGAGGAATGGAGAGTTTGGTGAATGGGTGCAATTTCCATTTTGAAAGATAAAACTGCTCTGGAGATGATGGCGGTGATGGTTGCTAAACAATGTGAATGTACTTAATGTCATTCAACTGTCAACTGAAAAATAGTGGAAATTGTCAATGTTTATACTGGCCATTCTAGATGAAATCATATAGATTTATAACTTTTAGTATTGATACGTGGTCTATTTTCCCATAGTAAAAGATGAAAATGAAAGCAGTTGGATCTTTAAAAAGAAAAGAAAGAGGGGAATAATACACACAAGCTTCCTCCTGATGACAGGAAGAGCCCCAAAGCTTCTATGGACACTCCCTTTTCTCTTCTTCTTCCTGCATTCTTATGAGGAAATCTGTAGAGATTGGGGAACTTGGGTGACTTTGGCTAATGAGGAGCTCTGTGCCTTGAGCACCCCAGGCCATAGAATAGTCAATACTCAGTCTGTGCCTCCAGCCCTGCAGTGTGAGGTTCCAGTCCTGTGGGCTCCACACCCGTCACCTGTATCAGGAGGCTCATGTCTCACCCTGTCTTCTTGCCAGCCTTGAGGGCAGAGTCTGAGCCTCCGTCATGCAACACGCAGAGAGGAGGGAGGACAGTGGACCTGTTCTCCGTGGTCATGGCCCAGCAGAGGGGAAGGGCAGTTCAGTGAGTCCTGAGGGACAGACAGAGGCTTGCTTTGTTTCCTCATCCTCAGGACAAACAGGACAGTACGGTGGGGAGATGGGAGGAGACCAAGGTGCAAACTGTCAGCTCAGCAGACTGTGGAGATTCTGTTCTTGCTTGTGGTGGGGGGTCTCAGAAATCTTATTCAAAATTTTGCCTTCCTCTCCCACTGGTTGTCCTTTTCATAGACACCTCACCCATCATAGCAGGGAATGAGTCCCTCTAAACTATTCCCTGAGAACAACAAAAAGATGGTGAAGGTGATGATGAGGATAAAGAGGATGATGACAGACACCAGGGCATCATGAACCCTTACTGAGGTCTTCCTAAAGGCCAGGCTCTGAGCTCTGTGGTCTATGCTGCTTGCTTCATTTCATCTGCGTAGTCACCCAGTTATTAGTGCACATTTCATGATGATTTTACAGACTAGAAAAGGAGCAACGCATTTTCATATAACTTGTACCAGATCATGAAGTCAAAAAGGGTGAAGCCCAATTTGAACCAGGCAGTCTAAGTCCGGACACATGGCATTTGGCCAGTCCCCTCCCTGCATCCAACCTGCCCTCTCCAATCCTTGTCCCTCAGGCCGATGCCCCTGCTCACTGTGCCCTTCCCTTTGGGGGTTCCTTGTAGACCACAGCTAGACCAGTGGGTGCCACAATCACTGTGTCAAGTATGGAAATGGCATCTGAGATCACATCAAAGATTCCAGAAAGAATTGGCACAGGATCATTTGGGATGCATCTCTCCCTTGCCCCTGTTCCTGGCTTTCCTTACAGCTCTCGACTTCCTCCAAGGAGTCATCAGTTCGGGGTTTGGCTTCCATTCCTATTGAGGAAGCTGGAAACCATTTCAAAAATGCTCCTCAGATGTGCCTGTGGTTAAGACCTCTGAGCTCTGTTGAAAACTTTTGGAAGCTGGGCGCGGTGGCTCACGCCTGTAATCCCAGCACTTTGGGAGGCTGAGGCAGGCAAATCACAAGGTCAGGTGTTCGAGACCAGCCTGGCCAACATGGTGAAACCCCGTCTCTCCTAAAAAGAGAAAAAAAAAATGAGCCGGGCATAGTGGCGGGCGCCTGTAATCTCAGCTACTCAGCAGGCTGAGGCAAGAGAATAGCTTGAACCTGGGATGCGGAGGTTGCAGTGAGCCGAGATCACTCCAGTGCACTCCAGCCTGGGCAACAGAATGAGACTCCATCTCAAAACAAAAACAAAAAAGAACCCACAACATTTTGAGGGTTGGGAGACCATCAGGTATAGTGCCCGGGACTTAGAGTCTGGCCATTAATTTTCAATACCACCCTTTCTACTTATCTGTATGGCAAGGGGTGAGACGTCCATCCTCTGACACTCAGCACTCTCATCTGAGTTGATTTCTAGTTGACCCAATGGAAGTGAGCAATGATGAAACCGATCGTGGGTGCCCGCTGCGGGATCTCTATGTGATGGATGCGTAAAGTCAAGGCAAAGTGAATTTTAGATACATTTGTTAATATTATAAGCTTAAACTCCATACGGTTCAACGGAAATATCCCTGACCTGAAGTTCTGGTTTCCTTGCATTCCAGACAGGACATTTTCTTTTGTCCTTATCTCTGTAAGTACTGAGTATTGTGAGAGGAACAAGTGAGTCTCTGTTGTTTCTGATTCCCCAGAGCCTATATCTTGCTTGGCACATAGGAGAAAGCAAAAGTAAACATCTATGTGAATTATTGAATTGACACTTCCTTGGTTCACAAAAATTGGCTGTCATCAGTGTGACGTCAGTGTGACAGAGCGTGTGTTTTTGGTTTTTTGTTTTTTGAGACGGAGTTTTGCTCTTGTTGCCCAGGCTGGAGTGCAGTGGTGTGATCTCGGCTCACTGTAGCCTCTGCCTCCCAGATTCAAGCCATTCTCCTGCCTCAGCCTCCCGAGTAGCTGGGACTACAGGAGCGCGCCGCCATACTGGGCGAAGTTTTTGTATTTTCAGTAGAGGCGGGGTTTCACCATGTTGGCCGGGATGGTCTTGATCTCCTGACCTCATGATACGCCCTCCTCGGCCTCCCAAAGTGCTGGGATCACAGGCGTGAGCCACCGCATCCGGCCAAATGTTTTGATGAAAAGTCTAAGTCCACCGAAGCTAAGGACGGGAGTTATAGCTTACATGAATTTTAAAACAAGACCCACCGATTTGAGTAAGTAATTGCTCTCTTGAGAAGGAGAAAAGTCAGAAAACATAATGATGAAATCACTAGGACCCAACTGGCCTGTGGAACTATTTTCTGCTTATGAACTATCAACTTTAATTTCATTTCCAGATGGCATGGTCTCAGCAGTTATACAGTGTTTACAGATGTTCTAAATCAAGGGAATTTGTATCAATCTATTGGAATAAAATAAAATATTTGAGTTCTTAATTTCCTTTAATTAGGATAACCTTTTTCTTAAAGTGAAGAGAATGGTTTTATTACATAGTTTCCTTCAGTAAAGATAGGCTGTATTTTCTAGCAATTACGAATTTGTTATATATGATGATCTGGTTCTTGGAACATTCTTGAATCTAGTTTCTCTGAGACAGGTGTGTACAACAAGAAGTGAATAACACAGAAATCAATGATGAAAGCATTAGAAGACAATTGAGTTTGTCAGAACTGCAAAATATTGCTGAGTGTGGATTGCTCTGAAACCTGAAAACATTACTTGTGAATTGCTTCTATCCAAAATGCAGACACGATGCTGGGTGTTGGTTTACTTGTTTCCGATTTCTCAACCTCTTTTCTAGGCAAAAGGTGTTCAATCTCTACAGACCCACAGAATCTAACAGATGTCTCTGTATTCCTCCTCCTAGAACTACAGAGGATCCAGAACGGCAGCCGGTCCTCACTGGGCTGTTCCTGTCCATGTGCCTGGTCACGGTGCTGGGGAACCTGCTCATCATCCTGGCCATCAGCCCTGACTCCCACCTCCACATCCCCATGTACTTCTTCCTCTCCAACCTGTCCTTGCCTGACATCGGTTTCACCTCCACCACGGTCCCCAAGATGATTGTGGACATCCAGTCTCACAGCAGAGTCATCTCCTATGCAGGCTGCCTGACTCAGATGTCTCTCTTTGCCATTTTTGGAGGCATGGAAGAGAGACATGCTCCTGAGTGTGATGGCCTATGACCGGTTTGTAGCCATCTGTCACCCTCTATATCATTCAGCCATCATGAACCCGTGTTTCTGTGGCTTCCTAGTTTTGTTGTCTTTTTTTTTTCTGTCCTCAGTCTTTTAGACTCCCAGCTGCACAACTTGATTGCCTTACAAGTGACCTGCTTCAAGGATGTGGAAATTCCTAATTTCTTCTGTGACCCTTCTCAACTCCCCCATCTTGCATGTTGTGACACCTTCACCAATAAGATAATCATGTATTTCCCTGCTGCCATATTTGGTTTTCTTCCCATCTCAGGGACCCTTTTCTCTTACTCTAAAATTGTTTCCTCCATTCTGAGGGTTTCATCATCAGGTGGGAAGTATAAAGCCTTCTCCACCTGTGGGTCTCACCTGTCAGTTGTTTGCTGAGTTTATGGAACAGGCGTTGGAGGTTACCTCAGTTCAGATGATGTGTCATCTTCCCCCAGAAAGGGTGCAGTGGCCTCAGTGATGTACACGGTGGTCACCCCCATGCTGAACCCCTTCATCTACAGCCTGAGAAACAGGGATATTAAAGGTGTCCTGCGGCGGCCGCACGGCAGCACAGTCTAATCTCAATATCTTATCTGTTCCATTCCTTTGTAGTGTGGGTTAAAAAAGGCAGCAAAGTCAAATAAGAGTGATAACACAGGGCGAACACCCACTGTGATATTAGGAGTAATACCTCCCTGGGATATAAAAAATACCGTGACGGAGTATACACACATGGGGTACACCCACTGTGATATTAGAAGCAATATCTCCCTAAAGTAGGATGAAAAATATCACAGGGTGTGCATACTGTGTGATATGAGGAGTAATATTTACCCTGGATAGTATGACTAATATCAAGGGTGTACACACACGGGCTACACGCACTGTGATATCAGGAGTTGTATCTCCCTAGGATATTATGAATGCTATCACAGGGTATACACTATGTGTGTACATCCACTGTGATATTTGAAGTAATATCTCTCTATGAGATGATAAATAACATCAAAGCGTGTACACTCCTGTGACATATTAGGAGTAACGTCCTTCTAGGGTATTACAGATAACGTCACAACATGTACACCTCCTGTGAGGTTTTGTACTCTCTTTGTGACATTAAAAGAAACATCCCCCTAGGATATTATGAATAATAACACAGGCGGCCATGTGTGTACCCCTCCATAATATCCTAGGGGAATGTTACGCCTGATGACACAGGTGGTGTACACCATGTGTGTACCCCTCCTGTGTTACACGGTGTACACCCCATGTGTACATTCGGAAGAGCATGCCCCTAGGATATTAGCAATAGTATCACAGGCGTTGAATACGCATTTTTAATGCGTAATGTCACCCCCGGTGACATTAAAAATAACATCCCCCTTGGATATTACGAATAATATGACAGGGAGTACACCCCGTGTGACATTAGGAGTAACATCCCCCGAGGATATAACGAATACTATCAGAGGGTCTACATGCATTGTGGCCTTAGTACTAACATCTCTTTAGGATATTACGAATAATATCACAGGGTGTACAGGCATTGTGACATTAGTAGTAACATCCCGCTGGGATATGACGAGTCATATCACAGGGTGTACACCCCCGTGACAATAGTAGCAACATTCCCCTAGAATATTAGGAATCATATCACAGGAGGTACAGCCCCTGTGATTTATGAGTAACATGTCTATAGAATATTACAAGTCATATCACTGTGTGACTCTGTGTACACCCCGTGTGACTTTAGGAGTAACATCCCACAAAACTATGATGAAAAATATCACAGGGTGAACACCCCCTGTGACCTGAGGAATAACGTAGTTTCAGGATATTGTGAATGATGTGACAAGGTGTACACACCCTGTGACGTTAGGAGCAATATCCGTCGGGGATGTTAGGAAGAATATCACACGGAACACACCCCCTGTGACATTAGGATATGACAAATAATATCACAAGGTGTACATGCATCGTGACATTAGTGCTAATATTCCTCTGGTACACTATGAATAATATCACAGGGTGTACATCCCTGTGACATTAGGAGTAACATCCCCCTAGAATAGTAAGAATAATAACACGGGGTGTACACCCCCTGTGACATGAGGAGTATCATCTCGCTAGAATATTACAAATAATGTCACAGGGTGTTATCGTCTCTGCCAATAGGAGTAGAGACCCCTGGGAAATTGTGAATACTATCACAGGGTGCACAGCCCTGTGACATTAGGAGTAACATCTTTCTAGAATATCACAAATAATATCACAATGTGTACACCCCCTGTGTCATTAAAAGTAAAATTGCCCTAGGATATTAGGAAATAGAACACAGGGAGTACACCCCGTGTGACATTAGAAGTAACATCCCCCCAGGATATAGCGAATAACATCAGAGAATGTACCTGCGTTGGGACATGAGTAGTAACATCTCTTCAGGAAAATACGAATAATATCAAAGGGTGTACACGCTTTGTGAAATGAGCAGTAAACTCCTGCTACAATATTAGGAATTTTATGACAGGGTCTACACGCCCTGTGACATTAGCAGTAACGTTTTCCTAGAAGATTACAAAGAATATTAAAGGGTGTACATGACCTGTGAATTACGAGCAACATTTCCATAGCATGTTGCACGTAACATCACTGTGTGTACACGCCGTGTGACATTAGGGGTAACACCCCACAAAATTATAACGAATAATTTCACAAGGTGTGCACCCTCTGTGACATTAAAAGTAACATTTCCCTGGAATATGACGACAATATCACAAAGTGTACACCCTCTGTGTTATGAGGAGTGACATCTTATGAGCATAATACGAATAATTTGACAAGGTGTACAAACCCTGTGACATAAGGGGTGACATCCCTCTAGGACATTATGAATACTATGAAAAGGAACATACCCCGTGTCACAATAAAAGCAACCTCCACTTAGGAGAATAAGAATAACACCACAAGGTGTACACACAATGTGACATTATTATTAAGGTGAAGCTAGGATATTGGGAATAACTTCACAGGGTACAGAGTCCTGTGACGTCAGGTTTAACATTCCCCTACAAAATTACGAACAATATTGAAGGGTGTGTACCCCAGCGACTGTAGCAGCCGCATCTTGCTACAAGATGGAAGATAATGTCCCAGGGTGTGAACCGAGGATGGCAGTACAGAAAGAATCCTAGGACAAATCGGGGAGTAATATCACCCCCCTCTCACCCCCTGGATATTACGATCTACATCGCAGGGGGTCGGGAGCTCCCCTCGATGCGGGCAGGAATATCACCCCCCTCTTCCCCCTGGAAACGAGGATCCACACGGTATGGGGGCGGGAGCCTCCACGATTCGGGGAGTAATATCACCCCCCACTAACCCCATCGATATGACGATCCACATGGGAGGGGGGCTGGCGCTCCCCCGTATTCGGGGAGTAATATCACCCCCACACCCCCCGGACACGACGATCCACATCGCAGGGCGGAGGGCGACCCCACCAGGCGGGTAGTAATAGCACACTATCTCCCACCCTAGATACGACGGTCCTCATTGCAAGGGGGCGGGTGCCCCCCGCGACGCGGGGAGTAATACCACACCCGTCTCTCACCCTGGATATGACGATCCAAATTGGAGGGGAAGGGGCGCCCCCCGCGACGCGGGGAGTCATATCACCCCCCTCTCGAACACTGGATATAGCGATCCACATCGCACCGGGGGGCGAGGCGCCCCCCGCGATGCGGGGAGTAAGAGCCAGCCCCTCTTGCCCCCCTGGCTCTTTTAGGACCCCCATCGCAGGGGGGCGAGGCGCCCCCCGCGATGCGGGGAGTAAGAGCCAGCCCCTCTTGCCCCCCTGGCTCTTAGGATCCGCGGTGGACTCACAGCCTCTTTACCAGATTATGAGTAATATCATCTCCCCCTCTGGAGATTGTGAACTGTTTCCCAGACGGGTGGACACCCTCGGTGTACCGAGGGTGTCCACCCGTGTGTATTGGGGGTAATATCATCCTCTTCCTCCGTGGATATTAAGAACAGTATCACACAGGGGTTTCTACTCCCTGGGATATCGCGTGTCAGAACCTCCTCTCCCACGTGGCAGTTAGAAACAATATCAGTGAGGGCGTGTCCACCTTCTGTGATATTGAAAGTAATATCATCTTCTTCCCTCCAGGATCATGGGAACAATATCCCTGGGGTGTGTCCACTTTCTGCCATATATGTAGTCCTATCACCCCCTCCGCCTTGGAATATTATTAAGGACCATCTCACACGGTGGTGTACACTTCCTGCGATATTGGCAGTAATATCAACCTCTCGGCCTCTGAATATTAGGAAGAATATCACAGGGTGGGTGTGCACCTCCTGCTCTATTATGGAGAGTCATATCTATCTATTATGGGGAGTAATATCATCCTCTCCCTTTCAGGATATTAATAACAATTTCAAAGGCTGGGTGAACACAGCCTGCGATGCTGGAATTATTATCATCCTCTCCCCTCGGGATACCAGGGGCAATATCACAGAAGAGGTGTGCACTCCCTGCGATATTGGGAGTAATATCATACGCTTCTTCCGTGAATATTAGGAGCGATATCACCGAGTGGCTGTACCTTGATTGCTATGTTGGCAGTCATGTCATACTCTACCCACTTGGTATTAGGATCGGTGTCACAGGGTGAGTGTACACCTACTGCGATATGAAAACTAATATCATGCTCTCCATCCCTGGATATTAGGAACACTATCACAGGTAGGTGTACACCCCCTGCTGTATTAGCAGTAATAATACTATGAATTATTAAACATCAGTCTTCTTAATAATTATCAATAGTAATATTAATTAATAGTATAACGTTATTAATCGTTAATGATTATTTTCAAGACATGATTATGCATGATTAAAATTAATTATTAATATTAATGTCACTCTTAATATTAGTTATTAATCTTAATATTAATTATTGTTTTATTACCAACATCACTTATGATTGATTGAAGTAACATTAATTACTGATATCATTATTTTATTATTAATAGTGATATTGCTATTAATTATTAATAGTAACCGTTAATATTTTTCATCCCTACTAAGTTTTACTGTCTCTACTGTAATTATCGATGATTACTATTAATTGTTATTATATTTATTAATATTAATAATTAATATAACTTTTCCCGATATCCCTGGGGGAGAGGTTATTACTCCCAATATCGCAGAAAGTGTACACCCCTCTATGATGTTACTCCTAATAGCCAGGGGGTAGAGGATGACATTATTGAAAATAGGGCAGTGGGTATACATCCCTTCGGTCATCTTGTTCCTAATACCCTGGGTGGGAGCCGATGATATGACTCCCAATATCGCAGGGGGCGGAGACCTCCCCCGTGATACTGTCCCTAACATCCAAAGGTGGAGAGGATGATATAACACACCTCCTGCGATACGGGGAGTAAGAGCCAGCCCTTCTCCCCTCCTGGCTCTTAGGAGCCCCATCGCAGGCGGGTGAGGCCCCCTACCGCGGTACGGGGAGTAAGAGCCAGCCCCTACCCTCCCCTGGCTCTTAGGACCCCCATCGCAAGGGGGTGAGGTCCCCGCGATGCGGGGAGCCATATCACCCCCCTCTCCCCCCCTGGATATGAGGATTCACATCGCAGGGGGGCGGGCGCCACCGGCGTTGCGGGGAGTCATATCACCCCCCCTCCCCCCCTGGATACGACGATCCACGATGGTCACACAGCGTGTTCACGTTATTGCCAGTAATATCTTCTCTGCCTCTGGAAATTACCAACTATGTCACAGACGGGCACACATCCTCTGCACTCTTTGGAGTAATAGCATCCTCTTTCCCCTTGATATTAAGAACAATATCACAGGAGTGTTTTTACCCCTGGGGGCATTCCGTGTAGTATCATCCTCTCCCACGTTGAAATTAGGAACAATATCACTGGGGGCGTGTCCACCCCTTGCGATATTGAAAGTAACATCATCCTCTTCTCTCCAGGATTATGGGAACCATATCACTGGGGTGGTGTACACTTTCTGCGGTATTGGGAGTAAGATCATCCTCTCCGCCTTGGAATATTAAGGACCATATCACAGTGGGGCTGTACACACCCTGTGCTATTAAGAAGAATATTATCCTCCCTTGCCCTGCACATTGGAAAAAATATCACAGAGTGGGTGTACACGTCCTGCGATGGGGGGATGATATCATCTTCTCTTCTTCGGGATAATAGCAACAATAGTACACGGGTTTGTACACTTTCTGTGATATTGGGAGTAATATCAACCTCTCCGCCTTTGAATATTAAGAACAATATCACAGACTGGATGTACACCCCCTGCCATATTGGGAGTATTATCAGCCTCTCCTCTCCGTGGATATTAGGAATAATATCCCAGGATGGGTGTACACCTCCTGCTGTGTGGGGAGTCATATCGTCCTCTCCCTTCCTGGCTGCTAGGAACAATATCAGAGGGTGGGTGTACACAGCCTGCGATATTGCGAGTAATATCACCCTCTCCCCCTCCGGATATTAGGAACAATGTCACAGAAGGGGTGTACACTTCCTGAGATACTGCGAGTAATAGCATTCTCTTCTTCCGTGAATATTAGGAGCAAAATCACCGGGTGGATGCACACCCAGTGCTATATTGGGAGTAACGTCGTACTCCACCCCCTGGAGATTATATTCGGATCAATATCACCGGCCGGGTGTACACCTACTGCGATATTGAACGTAATATCATGCTGTCTCCCTCCCTGGACATTAGGAGCAATATCACAGGTGGGTGTACACCCACTGAGGTATTAGGCGTAATAGTAGTATGAATTATTCCTCATTTATTATTAACATGAATATGAATGACCGATATTAACATTAATATTAAGAAATATTAAAGGCTAATAAATATTAAGGCTAATAAAGTTTTCAGATTATTAATATTAATGTTAATTATTAGGAGCTAATATGACTGTTTTCTAATGAATAAGATCAATATCAGTTATTAATATCGGGCGTCATTAATCATTAATATTAATCATTTATTGTTGTGAGTGTAACTATTTAATATTAATTATCGTTATTATCGGTATTGATTTTAAAAATTATATGATCAGTTATTAATATTGATAATTATTAGTGTCAATTAATAATTGAGATGATTAATTGTGGTAAGTCACATTGCGCCACTCCACCCCTCCCTCGGCAGCTCGTTTACGACCCAAAACGGGGATCCAAATGCCCCTGAGAGAGCAGCGGTATACTGGGATAGATGAGGATGGTCACGTGGTGGAGAGGCGTGTTTTTGGGTACCAGCCCTTCACCTCCGTCCACCTTCTCAACTGGAAAAACAATACACCGCCCTATACCGAAGAGCCACAAGCCCTAATTGATTTGCTCCAAACTGTTATCCAGACCCACAACCACACCTGGGCTGATTGGCACCGGTTGCTCATGTTCCTCTTTAACAGCGAAGAAAGGCGGAGAGCGCTCCAAGCAGCAACTAAGTGGCTAGAGGAACATGCACCAGCTGATTATCAAAACCCCCAAGAGTATGGAAGGACCCAGTTGCCAGGAACCAACCCCCAGTTGGACCCACATGAAAGAGAGGATATGCAAAGGCTAAACCGAGACACAGAAGCTCTCTTGGAAGGATTAATGAGGGGAGCTCAGAAGGCCACAAATGTTAACAAGGTCTCTGAGGTCATTCAGGGAAAAGAGGAAAGTCCAGCACAATTCTAGGAGAGACTGTGTGAGGCCTATCGTATGTATACTCCCTTTGATCCCGATAGCCCTGAAATCAGCGCGTGATTAACATGGCTTTAGTCCGTCAAAGCGCAGAAGACATGAGAAGAAAACTGCAGAAACAGGCTGGGCTTGCAGGGATGAATACATCACAATTACTAGCAATAGCTAGCCAGGTGTTTGTAAACAGGGATGCAGTAAGCCGTAAGGAAAACGGTAAAGAGGATGGAGGTCAGGCCCGGTGAAAAGCTGACCTGTTTGTTAGCTGCAGCAATCAGAGGGGCCCCCCCAAAGAGGCAAGGGAAGGGGGGCCCTGGGAAAGAAACTCAGCTTGGCTGTCAGAGTTTGCAGCGTAACCAGTGTGCTTATTGTAATGAAATAGGACAGTGGAAGAACAAATGCTCTCAGCTCAAAAGAAAACAAGGTGACTCGCTCAACCTGGTGGAGGGGTTATTGCACTGATGGAGACCGGGCTCAATCATCCCCAAAGAGCCTCTGGTCAGATTGACAGTCGGGGGGTAGAGACATTGACTTTCTTGTAGATAGTGGTGCTGAACATTCGCTGGTAACCGCCCCGGTCGCCCTCTTATCCAAAAAGACTATTGACGTCATCGGAGCCACGGGGGCTTCAGCAAAGCAAGCTTTCTGCTTGCCTCGGACTTGTACTGTAGGAGGACATAAAGTCATTCATCAGTTTTGGTACATGCCTGACTGTCCCTTGCCCTTTTCGGGAAGGGACTTGCTCAGCAAGCTGAGAGCCACTATCTCTTTGACAGAGCATGGCTCTTTGCTGCTAAAGTTACCCGGAACGGGAGTCATTATGACCCTTATGGTCCCCCGAGAGGAGGAACGCAGACTTTTCTGAACTGAGCCAGGCCAAGAGAGAAGACCAGCTCTGGCTAAGCGGTGGCCAAGAGTACGGGCAGGAGACAAGCCTCCGGGATTGGCCGGTTAAGACTGGGGCCCAGCCGGTTAGGCAAAAACAGGACCCGGTCCCCAGAGAAGCTCTTCAAGGTATCCAGGTCCGTCTCAAGCACCTAAGAACTTTTGGAATTATTGTTCCTTGCCAGTCTCCATGGAACACTCCCCTCCTGCCTGTTCCCAAGCCACGGACCAAGGACTACAGGCTGGTACCGGATTTGCGCTTGCTTAATCAAGCTACCTTGACTTTCCATCCAACAGTACCTAACCCGTCCACATTGTTGGGGTTGCTGCCAGCTGAGGACAGCTGGTTCACCTGCTTGGACCTGAAAGACGCTTTCTTTCCTATCAGATTAGCCCCTGAGAGGCAGAAGCTGTTTGCCTTTCAGTGGGAAGATCCGGAGTCAGGTGTCACTACTCAATACACTTGGACCGGGCTTCCCCAAGGGTTCAAGAACTCCCCCCACCATCTTCGGGGAGGCGTTGGCTCGAGACCTCCAGAAGTTTCCCACCAGAGACCTAGGCTGCGTGTTGCTCCAGTAGGTTGATGACCTTCTGCTGGGACACCCCAAGGCAGTCAGGTGTGCCAAGGGAACAGATGCCCTACACCGGCACCTGGAGGACTGTGGGTATAAGGTGTCCAAGAAGAAAGCTCAGATCTGCCGACAGCAGCTACGTTACTTGGGATTTACTATCCGACAGGGTTGGAACGCAGCCCGGGATCAGAAAGAAAGCAGGTCATTTGCAATCTAGCGGAGCCTAAGAGCAGAAGGCAAGTGAGGGAATTCTTAGGAGCTGTGGGGTTTTGTAGACTGTGGATCCCAAACTTTGCAGTATTAGCCAAGCCTTTCTATGAGGCCACAAAGGGGGTGGGGACCGCGAACCTTTGGAATGCGGATCCCAACAACAGCAAGTCTTTCACGAGTTAAAGGAAAAACTTCTGGCAGCACCAGCCCTGGGGCTACCCGATCTGACAAAGCCTTTTCCATTGTATGCATCAGAGAGAGAAAAGATGGCAGCTGGACTTTGAACCCAAACTGTGGGGCCCTGGCCAAGGCCGGTGGCCTACCTTTCTAAACAACTAGACGGGGTTTCTAAAGGATGGCCCCCCCTGTTTGAGGGCCTTGGCAGCAACTGCCCTGCTAGTACAAGAAGCAAATAAGCTGACTCTTGGGCAAAACCTGAACATAAAGGCCTCCCATGCTGTGGTGACTTTAATGGATACCAAAGGACATCATTGGCTAACGAATGCCAGACTCACCAAGTACCAAACTTTGCTCTGTGAAAATCCCTGTATAACCATTGAAGTTTGTAACACCCTACACCCTGCCACCTTGCTCCCGGTATCAGAGAGCCCTGTCGAGCCTGATTGTGTAGAAGTGTTGGACTCAGTTGACTCTAGCAGACCTGACCTCCGGGACCAGCCTTGGGCATCGGTAGACTGGGAACTATCCGTGGATGGGAGCAGCTTCTTCAACCCCCAAGGAGAGAGAGGTGCAGGGTATGCAGTGGTAACCCTGGACACTGTTGTTGAAGCCAGATCGTTGCCCCAGGCCACTTCAGCCCAGAAAGCTGAACTCATTGCTTTCATTCAGGCCTTGGAACTCAGTGAGGGTGAGACCGTAAACATTTACACTGATTCTCGGTATGTCTTTTTAACCCTTCAAGTGCATGGAGCGTGATAGAAAGAAAAGGGCCTATTGAACTCTGGGGGAAAAGACAGAAAATATCAACAAGAAATCTTGCAATTATTAGAAACAGTATGGAAACTCCTAATGTCACAGGGGGTGTACACCCTTCGATATTATTTGTAATCTTATGGAGAGATATTGCTTTAAATACCACAGTGGGTGTACACACATGGGGTACATCCACTGGGATATTATTTGTAATATCTTCGAAAGATACAGCTCCTAGTATCACAGTGGGTGTACCCCATGTGTGTACACCCTGTGATATTATTTGTAATATCCATGGTAAACATTACTTCTAGTAACCCACAGAGAGTACACCCTGTGATATTTTTCATAATATCATAGGGAGATATTGCTGCTAATAACACAGTGGGTGTACACCATGTGTGTACACTCTGCGATATGATAGCTTATATCCTAGGGAGATATTCCTTCTAATATCACAGTGAGTGTACACCCTGTGATATCATTCATAATATCCTAGAAAGATGTTGCTGCTAATATCACAGAGGGTGTGCCCCCAGTGACATTATTCGTAATATCCTAGAGAGATGTTACTCCTAATGTCACAGGGGGTGTACACTCTGTTATATTATTCATAATATTCTAGGGATGTGTTAGTTTTAAAGCTCTGAGTTCCTGCAAGGTGGATAGCTGGGAAGCCAGGAGGAGGAGGAAATAAAGCAGAGAACCCAGGTCCTGGAAGCAACACGGCAAGTCATCTGCAGCTTTCATTTTGTCTTTTCCTTCCCTTCTTCTTTATCGCCTTTTACATTCTTTTTTTCTCTCTCTCCATCCCTCATTCTCTTCGACCTGTCGCTGGCACCCACTGGTGATGCCCTGAGCTAACAGACCAGCAGCCAATCTGGGAGCTGAAGCCATGAGGCTACCTTCAAATGCAGCTCTCCCTCTGGCCAGAGCTGGGGTGCAGGGAAGTAGATATCCAACCCAGCTCTTGCATGATGGCTCAGGGTCCCTGTCAGCTAAACAATCAGTCGAGCTGATCTTCAGAGGAGCCTACAAAACAGTCCCATCTTTAACAACCGCTATAATTTACCAAACAAATGAAGAAGCTCTTTACCCAGGAGAGATTGGTTGGCTGCTGTCAGCTGCACCCCACTGTAAGGGAACCTGCCCACACACTGGGGAGATGGCTGGGCAAGGGGCCCGGACTCAAATGGAGTGTCACCAGCTCTAGGATGAGTGTCACTTTGATTCCAAAGGACTAGTACCCTCTCTCTTTCCTAATTATAAATATATTTTAATATATAGGAAAACGTAGAGATTGAGTAATATTGTGTGTACCCACCACCAAGAATTAACATATGTTAACAATTTGTCATGCTTGCTTCCGATATTTTTGAGACCTAACTTAAACATACAATAAAGTACACAAATCCTGAGTGTAGAGTTTAATAAATGTTTACTTGTGTAGACACCTGTGTAGTTACCATTCAGATGAAGATGTAATAGATCATCATCACCTCAGAAGGGTCTCTATGCTATTTTCTAATCAGTAGCACCCCATAATGAACCCTTATTCTGAATCCTGTCACTAGGAATTAGTTTTGCCTATTGTAGAGCTCCTTAAAACAAAGTTACATTGCATGTAATCATTTATGCCTGGCTTCTTCTGCTTAACATAATGTCTATAAGATTCATCTGTGTTATTGCAGTATTAATGCATCCTCCTGAGGGTGGACATTTGAGTTGTTATTTTGATGTTGTTGTTGTTGCTGCTGTTGTAAATAGTGTTGCAATGAATCTTCTTGCACCTGTGTTCTTGGGTACATGATTAAGACTATCTAACATCTACATCTAGAAGTAGAATAACCAAATTGGTTTGATTAGTCACTGGCTAATATAAATAAAGCTGCAATGAACATCCTTGTACATTTATTTTGGTGCACATGTGTACTCACTTCTCTTGGGTATCTATCTAGGGGCAGAATTTCAGAATCACGGGATAGGCATATGTTTCACTTTCATAGATACTGCCAAACCATTTTCCAAAGTGCTTGAATGAATATACACTCCCACCAAAGTCTAAGAGTTCCAGCTGCTCCATATTTGTGCCAACATATGATGTGTTAGACTCATTAATATTAGCCATTCTGGTGAGTGTGTACTGGTATCTTACTAGGATTTTTCTTCTCTTCCTCCTTCTCCTCCTTCCCCTCCTCCTTACTGTGGCTTTAATTTACATTTCCCTAATAAGTAACAAATTAGCCACCTTTTCACATGCTTTGAATATTTTTGAATAAGAGAAAAGAGCAGTACAGATAAAGTTGAAACCCCCTGATCACCCTTCCCAGTCCAAGTCACCTTCCTCCCCAAAGACAGCCACTACCATGAATTTGGTAAATACTCTCCCATCCATATTTTTATACCTAAACTATATTTATGTTTCCATAAAAAACCTACAGAATTTCTTTCTGTGGTTTTTCTAGTTTACGTAACTGCTTTCATGCTGCAACATGCTTTATTTTCATTCAATATTGCTTTTGCACATATTGAGATACACACAGATCTAGTTTATTCATTATCTGCCAAATAGAAGTCTATTGAATGCCTACAGCATGATTTATTCATCTACTCTCCAGTTGATAGGCACTTGGGTTATTTCCAGTGTTTCTCTCTCACAGATAATGCTACAGTTACCATCCTTGTACATATCTCCTGTGCAAGCGAGTCCCCTTCTGTATGCATCTTGATTCCTTCCCTAGAAGCAGATAAAAGGCAAAGCTTAAACTCAGCCCCTTTTCTGTCCCAGGGCCTCCTCTGGTCCTCAGCCACCTGACCATAGTGACAGAGATGATGAGTGACCATCTCATCCCTCACTGAGAAGGGACATGGAGCTGTGTCTTTCATCAGCCCTCAGCCTAAATCTTTTATTAATTTTTATTTATAATTAACATAATAATTGTATATATGTATGGGTTACAGTGTGATGTTTCAATATATCTTTACATTGTATAATGATCAAATCAGGATAGTTATCATAGCCATCACTTTAAACATTTATCATTTCTTTGTTGTGACATTCAAAACCTTCTCTTCTAGGTTCTTGAAATGTGTACTGCGTTGTTATTTACTATAGTCACCCAGCTGTGTGATAAAACACCAGAACTCACTCTTCCTGTCTAACTGTAACTTTGTACCCGTTGACCAGCCTCTCCCTGTTCTCCCCTCCTCCCTACCCTCCCAGCCTCTGGTAACCACTATTCCACTCTACTTCTATGAAATCAGCTTTTTTAGATTCCACATATGAGTGAGACCATGTGGTGTTTGTCTTTCTGTGTCTGGCCCTAGGCCCAAATTAACCGTCACATCCTTATAGTGGGATTTACACACATTCCAAGTTCCAGAAGGTCATTCGGTCACACAGATCTCCTTCCAGAAAAAGACGAGTTAGCCTTTGATTTGAAACAGGACAACCACAGCTTCTTGTGTTTTTAAAGACCGGTTCTTTTTCTTAATTGGCATCTGTCTTAGTCCACTTGTGCTGCTATAACAAAATACTGCAAACTGGGTAATTTATAAAGAACACAAATGTCCCTGGGTGTGGTGGCTGATGCCTGTAATCCCCACACTTTGAGAGGCAGAGGCAGGAGGATCATTTGAGGCCAGGAGTTCGAGATTAGCCTGGACAATATAGCAAGATGCCATCTCTACCAAAAATTTTTTTAAGAAAATAAATTTAAAAAAAGAAATGTATTTCTCACAGTTCTGGAGGCTGGGAAATCCAAGAGCAAGGCACCAGCATCCAGTGTCTGGTGAGGGCCTTCTTGCTTTGTTCTCACATGGTAGAACGGACAGAAGGGAATGAACCCTCCCCCTAAGGCTATTACACTGGCAATTAAGTTTCAGCATAAGAATTTTGGAGGACAGTGGAGACAATAGCAGCATCTCTTCCCCCGCACACTCCTGACTACTCTCTCCTTGAAACCTGTCCTAAGTATCCAGCTCCTGGCCTTATCATTCTTCTCGGGCCCCTGCTGAGTCCTCCTTCTTTGAGTGATCATTAATGTCAGTGGTTCCCTACTTGACCTTTTCTTCCCACTCTACACTCTCTTCAGGCCATCTCCTCCCCTCTCAAAATCTTACCTAACATGGGAGAGCTTTGAAATCTTTATTTCCAGAACTGACTTTTTTTTAACTCTCAAGTCTCTTATACCCAATCACCTGATGTTCCTCCACAGACACTCTGTGGAAAAACTTCTAGTTGTTTCCTAATATCAGGTCTCCCCATCCTGTTTAGTAATGAATAGGTGGACCCATGAATTCCTGAAATAAAGACTATATTCCCAGCCTGTTTTGCAGTTAGGTGTGGTAATGTGACTAAATTTTGGACAACAGGCTGTAAGCAGAAGTATCCTGTGAAACCTCTGGAATGCCTCCTTACGGGAAGGGGACAGGCACCCTCATCCTTGCTTCTTCTTGTTCCATGAAAGACAGACCTGAAGCTAGATTTCACATCATGGGATGGAAGCTGCTTATTGAGGATGGCAACAAAACGTGAGAGAATATTGGATCCCTGATGCCATGAAGCTGCTGTACCCACTGTCCCTGGATTACCAACAAGAGAAAGGTAAAATAAAATGTCCACCTTGTGGGCTGGGCACGGTGGCTCACACCTATAATCCCAGCACTTTGGGAGGCTGAGGCAGGCAGATCACCTGAAGTCAGGAGTTCGAGACCAGCCTGGCCAACATGGTGAAACCGTGTTGCTACTAAAAATACAAAAAATTAGCCAGGCATGGTGGGGTGTGCCTGTAATCCCAGCTACTTGGGAGGCTGAGGCGGGAGAATTGCTTGAATCCTGGAGGCGGAGATTGCAGTGAGCCGAGATCATGCCATTGCACTCCAGCTTGGGCAACAAGAGTGAAACTCTGTCTTAAAAAAAAAAGTCCATCTTGTGTAAGCCACTATTTAGGGGATTTCTGATCTTTACAACTGAATCTAACCCTGATACCAAATGCCTCAAACAAATCCCATCTGGAATCTCTCAACCCTGGAATTGTGAGTTTAATAGACAGTCATTTCCTTATGGCTTAAGCAAGGATGAGTCCTGTTTCAGTGACTGTATTCTTTTGCTAGGGCTGCCATAGCAAAGAGTCACAAACTGGGTAGCTTAAAACAATAGAAAGGTTTTCTGTTACCAACTTTTGAAGGTTAGAAGTTCAAAATCTAGGTGTTGGCAGGGTTGGTTCCCACTGAAATCTCTAAGGGAGAATCTGTTCCAGGCCTCTCTGATATGGTTTGGCTGTGTCCCCACCCAAATCTCATCTTGAATCGTAGCTCCCATAATTCCCACATGTTGTGGGAGGGACCCACTGGGAGATAACTGAATCATGGGGGCAGTTTCCCCCATACCATTCTCGTGGTAGTGAGTAAGTCTCATGAGATCTGATGGTTTTATAAGGGGAAACTCCTTTCACTTGGCTCTCATTCTCTCTCTTTTCTGCTGCCATGTAAGACAGGCTTTTGCCTTCCACCATGATTTGAGGCCTCCCCAGCCACATGGAACTGTGAGTCCATTAAACCTCTTTTTCTTTATAAATTACCCAGTCTCGGGTATGTCTTTATCAGCAGCATGAGAACAGACTAACACACTTTCCTAGCTCCTGGTGGTCTGCTGGCAATCTTTGGCATTCCTTGGCTTGCAGATGCATCACTGCCATCTCTGCCTCCAGCTTCACATGGTGTTCCCCATGTGTCTTTAGCTGTGTCTTTTCTCCTTATTTTAGGAGGACGCCAATCATATTATATTAGGCCCACCCTAATTCAGTATGACCTCATCCTAACTTGATTACATCTGAAAAGACACTATTTCCAAGTAAGGTCACATTCACAAGTACAGGGGTTAGGATTTGAACATATCTTGTGGAGTGGAACACAATTTATTCACAAAAGTGAAATAAACCCCAAATTGGCCTATAGTAACTAAAATCATATTAAAGAAGGATAAAGTTACCCTATGTGGTTTCACGACATACTATAAATTTACAATAATTAAAACAGTGTGGTATTTGCCAAGGACTGGCAAATGGACCATTGGAACAGAATAAAGTCCAAAAATAGTTATATACATATTTGATTAATTGATAAATAAAACTGTCCATGAAATTCAATGAAGAAAGAAAAGTGTTTTTAAAAAGTGGTGCTGGAATAACTGGCCATCTGTACAGAAAACATTTTACTGTAACATCTACTATATACCCCCCACAAAAATTAATTTAAAATAGATCATAGACCTAAATGTGAAAGCTAAAACTATAAAACTTTCAAAATAAAACAGAAGAATATCTTCATGACCTTGATGTAGTAAAAGATTTTTTTAGACAGGTTACAAAAAGCACTAATTATTTTTTAAAATTTGAGAAACTAGACCTTATCAATATTAAAAACTTTCATTGATCCAAGACGCCATTAGAAAAAGAAAAGCCACAGACTGGAAGAAAATATTGTAATACACATATCTGACAAATTATTCATTTATTTATTTGTTTTGAGACAGAGTCTCACTCTGTTGCCCAGGTTAGAGTGTAGTGACACGATCTTGGCTCACTGCAACCTCTACCTCCCAGGTTCAAGTGATTCTTATGCCTCAGCCATCCAAGTAGCTGGGATTACAGGCATGAGCCACCACTCCCAGTTAGTTTTTGTATTTTTAGCAGAGACGGGGTTTCTCCATGTTGACCAGGCTGGTCTCGAACTCCCGACCTCAGGTGATCTGCCCACCTCAGCCTCCCAAAGTGCTGGGATTACAGGCGTGAGCCACCACACCCAGCCAGGATTTGTTTTCAGAATTTAGAAAGACCCATCTACAAAGTAATCACAAATAGACAAACTGGTAAAAATTAAAAATGGCAAAACATTGAAACATACAACTCACAAAAGAGTATATGTTAATGACCAAGAATCATATGAATAGTCAAATATACAATTACCCTATAAGCTAGCAATTCTCCTACATATTTATCCTAAAAGAAATGAAAAACAATGTAAAAAGGAATATTTATTCATAATAGCCAAAAGCTGGTAACAACACAAATGTTCATCAAAGGAAGAATGAACTCACAACTGTGGTATATTCATGCAATGGAATACTGCTCGGCAATAGAACGAACTACTAACACACACATGGATAAATCTTAGAAACAGTATGTTTGCAAGAGTGCTGCAGTAGGTGGAATAATGACCCCTCAAAGATGACCATCCTAATCGCTGCAATCAGTATGTTACCTTACCTGGCAAAAGAGACTTCATATGATGAAGATTAAGGATCTTGAAATAGGACGATATGCCTGGGTTATCCACGTGGGCCCAGTCTAATCACATGAGTTCTTAGAAGTAGAAAACCTTTCCTGGCTGTGGTCGGAGAGAGAGATGGCTACAGAGGAATTGTAGAGATGCAACATTGCTGGCTTTAAAGACAGAGGAAGGGGCCATAGGCCAAGAAATGCAGGTGGCCTCTAAAAGCTTGAAAAGACAAGAAAATAAATTCTCCCCTAGAGCCTCCAGAAAAGGACATAGATCGGCAGATACCTTGACTGTGGTCCAGCAAAGTCCAACTCTGTTGGACTTCTAATATAAAAAAACTTTATTGTTTATTAAATAATATGTATTTAAATTTGTGTTATTTTAAGCCACTAAATTAGTGCTAATTTGTTACAGCAACAACTAGAAAACTAACAGAAGTACATACTATATAGTTCCACTTATATGGATCCTAAGTCCAGATCTGTAAAACTGATCTGTGGAGCTATGTGTCAGATCAACGGCTGCTTCCAGGGAGAGGTGCTCCCCAGTGGAAAGGTTCACAAGGGAAATTTCAGAAGCCCCACCTTGATTTGGGTGATCGTTACATGGCGGTGTGCCTTTGTCAGGACCCATTGAACTGTACACTTAAGATTTATTATGCACTTAACTGTAGATAAATATACCTCAGTAATACTTTTTTTTTAAAGAGGGGCAGCTATGCAGTTTGCCTTCCCTGATTATCAGGATTTTGTACCCATAAGCTCTATTCTGTTTCCCCTTTCAAAAGCAAGCGCATGTGCTTCTTTGCATCCAGACCCATGAAATCACCATCTTTAAGCCAAAATGCCACTGCTCCAACCATCCTAAAAAGTCCCAGAAAAGCCTAAGATTTCTCTGGCAAATGGGTGTCCCTGGCACAGTCTGTAGGAAGGAGAAGCCACCCTGGCACCGGACACATATCAGACCCTTCACATTCACCCTCTGTCCTCCTGATGAACCCATGATGTCAGTATTAGGATCTCCACTTTACAGGGAAGAAAATTGAGTTATATTTCAAAAATAGCTAGAAGAGAGGACTTAAAATGTTCCCAACACATAGAAACAAATACACAAGGTGACAGATACCCTGAATCCCCTGACTTGATCATTACACATCCTATGCACGTAACAAAATATCACATGTACCCATAAATCTGTATAACTACTATGTATCAATTAAAACTTTTTCAATTACAAAAAAATGAAGAAAACTGAGGTTCAAACAGCAAAGAACCCACCTGACATGACCCAGCTAATGGGATACCATGCTTTGCACCCCATCTGTCTGACTCCTTAGTTGACCTCTTTCCATGACCCCAAGTGACCTTCCTCCCACACTGCCTCCCTAACTCCTGCTAACTGCCTGCTTCCTAGCAGGGACCACCAGTGATTTATAATAAATGAGGGACAAATGTAAGCAGAATGTTCCAGAGGTAAGAGCCCTCCTTAAAGAAAGCCTAACATGGCTGAGAAGATGGGACTTTTTAGAGAATGAAAAATATCTGTAATTTTTTTTATAGATTTCTGTGAATATAACTGACTACAACAAACATAATTGGGTACATTCACAAGGTAGTGAACATAACCAACTCCCCACTCTAATCCCTTCTCACTCTTTCCTTTCCCCTCCCCATTCCCAGGCAACCGATGAGCCATTCTCTGTCACTATGGATTGATTTGCAATTTTTAGAATTTTATATAAATGGAATCATGCAGTATGTACTCTTTCTATAATTAGTGTTTGAGATTTCTCCATGTTGCTGTATATATCAACAGTTCACTCCTTTTTTATTGCAGAATAATATTCCATTGAATGAATATATCACAATTTGTTTATCTACTCACCTGCTGATGGACATTTGGGCTGTTTCGACTTTGAGCTATTACAAATACAAGGACAGGCAGATGCTATTGTTTGCTCCTGGGTAAATACTTAAGAGTGGAAAGGCTGGTCGACTTCTTAACGCTTAGAGAAATAAAAGCACTTTATTATTATTTTTTTTAGATGGAGTCTCACTCTATCGCACCCAGGCTGAAGTGCAGTGGTGTGATCTCGGCTCACTGCAACCTCTGCCTCCGGGGTTCAAGCGATTCTTCTGCCTCAGCCTCCCAAGTAGCTGGGACTACAGGCATGTGCCACCATGCCCAGCTAATTTTTTTGTATTTTTAGTAGAGATGGGGTTTCACCATGTTCACCAGACTTGTCTCAAACTCCTGACCTCAGGTAACTCAGGTATCTCAAACTCCTGACCTCGGCTTCCCAAAGTGCTGGGATTATAGGCGTGAGCCACCACGCCCAGCCTAAGAAAAGCACTTTAATGTGATTTTAAGCCAAAACAACCACAGCACTTCTTGAACAGCCTCAAAACAGGAGTTTCCCCACAGCTGGGTTTTACAATTCTCTGCTGCCACCATCTGGGAATCAAAAAGACAAGTGGTGTCCTCAGGATCCACTCCCCGGGCCCAAGGTCTACCCTGCCCTCTCTGCTCTGTCCAGCAATGCTGCCCCCACCCCACCACACCACACCCACAGCCTGCAACCCATTCAAAGACCATTGAACTCACTTGGTTACCGGTGATGAATTTCTGAGTGGTTCAGCCACACCCATAATCAATGGGAAGAAGGAGAATAGGACTTAAACCTTTTTAGTCCTAATGTGACAGAGGAAAAAAAAAAGTATTTCAAATGTTAGAAATAAGCTAGCACTCCCTTTGCAACCCAAACCAGTTTGGCAAATTGTGATCTGTGTCACTGGTGTTTTTGTACCCTGGTGCCTGCCACTTGGTAAGTATTTAATTTACATTTGTTGAACGGATGAATGAGTGAATGATCACCACACACATTTCTCTAATTAGCAACAGTAAAGGTGCAGTTGGTTCCTAGTAAGAGCACTCTGAACTAAGGGTCAGAAGACCTGGACTCTGATATTTGCCCGGCCCATAAACTAGCTGTGTGCCAGGATGGGCAACCTTTCTGAGCCTCGGCTTCCTCACGTATAAAATTAGAAAACAACCTGGTGACTTTAGCTTTGGGGAACATTTAAATAAGAGCCACATGCAAAAATCCTTTATTAACTATCAGTGTGTCACAAATGTACAATATCAACGTTTACAAATGTATTTACAAATGTATTCACAAATAAAAATAACTATACAATATGCCTTTTTACATCGTCTTCCAAAAACACAAATCTGTCTCATACATTTAGGGCTGTGTTGTTCATGAGTTAAGGAAGAGCAAATTTATGCCACCCCTAGTAAACCAAGACACGGATGCAGAGAGGTTAATTGAGTCTCTGAAGATCACCCAGGGAATCATTTTTTGGGCAAATTTGACTCTGTCTCTCCCTTCTGAAGTTACACATTCCTCTTTCTCTCCACATTTCCAGTAGCATTTCTCTGTACTAATGTCTCTGACACTCCTAAATGTGGAGATAGACTTTGTAAGACTAAGTGGAAAGCAAATGCGAATTTCTTCCTCGCACCAATGAGGATGGTTCATTTGTGTGCTTGGTTATTTTATAAATGGTGTTAATTAAACTTTCTCAGATAAAGACCACCTAGCTCCAATGCATAGTCCAACACTATTAGAATACAATAAAGCTAACAGACTGTCAGGCCTCTGAGCCCAAGCTAAACCATCATATCCCCAGTGACCTGCAAGTATACATGCACATGACCTGAAGCAACTGAAGACCCACAAAAGAAGTGAAAATAGCCTTAACTGATGACATTCCACCATTGTGATTTGTTTCTGCCCCACCCTAACTGATCAGTGTACTTTGTAATCTCCCCCACCCATCTCCACTACCCTTAAGAAGGTTCTTTGTGATTCTCTCCACCCTTGAGAATGTACTTTGTGAGATCCACCCCCTGCCCCCAAAACATTGCTCTTAACTCCACCGCCTATTCCAAAACCTGTAAGAACTAATGAGAATCCCACCACCCTTTGCTGACTCTCTTTTTGGACTCAGCCTGACTACACCCAGGTGAAATAAGCAGCCATGTTGCTCACACAAAGCCTGTTTGGTGGTCTCTTCACACGGACATGTGAGACACAGACTATTAATGCAAGAGATTATTTTCACCACTGTCAGGAAAAAAAAAATTATATACAGAAATCTGAAATTCTTCAGAATGGGCCAAATTCTCACCTGGCCCTTATTTGTCCTCGTCTGCTCCCACCTCCACACTGCCCATCTGCTCTACCCACAGCTTATTTTAGATGAACATCTGCTTTGGTTTGGAGTTGAGGCTGGGAATGGAGCAGTAAATCATGACTTTGTAAGGACCAGGCAGTGGAGTCTCCATCTTCTACTATCCCACAGCCCTGTTTTGTACATTCCAGTGTGATTACTTTACTCTTCCCTGTGTTCTAACACAGGTGCTCATGGGGTAGAAATGATTAAATGAACACACACATAAACTAGGCTGACACACTGCCAGCATCGTGTGAGTGGGGAGAAGTAGAAGAATGCAATATTCCTTGCTAGGTAGCATCTTTTTCCAGATTCTTCTGGTAGAGAAAACTTCAAGATGATCACACTAATTACAATGAAATATGAATAGCGTAATGATCATGTTTTCAATAAGAAACAGACCAGCTACAGGGGGTCCCAGGGCTGTGGAAGCAGCACTCCTCATGACCCCATCCTGTCACGCTTAGAGTGGGGGAGAGGAACCCACTCATTCTACAGCTAGCCTCATGGCTTCCTGAATGAGCTGTTTATCCTCTTGATTTGCTCTTCAGAAAGATGACTTTTTGAGAAGGAAACATAGTTAACTTACTAACTTCTTAAACGTTTAGAGTTTGGGTAACTTTGCATGAAAAAGAAACAATGAAATATTAAGCTCTATGTTGTCAAGGTAGTAGAAAATCTTAGCATTCAATAAAATCTACCATAAGTAAAGTTGAATATGGTAACTTATGTTAAATGCAGGGGGGAGGTCCGTGTGAGTACAGAACCTTTAAGCTCTCATTAAATGTGGCCCAACATCAGCAGCTGTTCTTTGGATCATCCCTAATACATGTGAGCATCACTAGCACCAGGAATTTGTTCTCTAATTTCACTAAAAGGAAAAAAGACTCCTTGGAGAGTAGCAGCTGATTGAATGTCTTAGAGAAGGAAAAAAGATTATTTTGAAACTGGAATATCCTATTGTTTCCAGAAAGCAAAGATGTTTTTTGAAAATGTCTGGAGTACAGCAACTTGGGGTAGGCTCCATCTGCCATGTAATGACAATTTAAGTATCATCATCTTTATATGCAGTGGAAATCAGTGATTCTCAAACCTGAGAGAGTGTCAGAATCCCCTGGAGGGGTTAAAACATACACATGGCTGGGTCCACTACCGGTTTCTGATTCTGTGGGTCTGGAGTGGGGCCCAGGAATCTGCATTTCTAACATGTTCCCAGGTGAAGCTGCAGCTGCTGATCCAGGGTCCACATTTTGAGAACTGGTATCCTAATGGAATTGAATGAGTATAAAGTATCCTAATTGAACTGAATGAGTTTGTGAGCACCTGTAAGTTCATTATGATACTCAAAAGAGAAGAGTCTATATAAAAGTTACAGAAAGGTAGTTATAAAAACATTATTACATATGTTAATATATTTGGAGGTTTGTGTCTCCTCTTAAGTACATGTTGGCTTATAAAGCATAGTTCTTCTGGAATCTGTGTAAGCAATAAGTGAACACACACACACACATATAAATCCACAAGTTAATGAAACAATTCCAGGAAAAGCAGAAACTGTACCAAAAACAGAGAAATCTAATCAGCACCAGCTGTACACTCATAACAAGGTAGAAAGGGATCCAGTTGTCAATCAACACATATTGCATAATAACCAATCAAAATCTTTGTATTCCAAAATGATTAACCAGCCAAATGGCCCAAAGAAGAGAGTTAACTTGGTTCCTCTTCTCCTGGAAAAGAAAACCTCCAAATGATTCATTGTAATGAGATACTCATAAGGCAGTAATGTGTTTTCAATTAAAACATCAAACAAGGTGAATATATCATAATGGCAGAACAATGAGTTTGTCAAAGTCAGCCATTTGAAACCTAAACCAATATAATTTCTGAGAAATATACCAAATTTCAACAAACCAAAATCTGTGAGAAAGTCGACTTAAAATTCCCATTGATTAAATTTTAAATTTTAAATAAAAGTCCCATTGATTAAATTTTAAGGTGCAACTTACGTGTAAAAGGCACTTGGCTAATGACTCAGGTTTTGCCTTACACTGGACTATGAAATCAAATTGAGGTCTCAACCAAGAACCTCACAGATCTTGAAACTGCAGAAGATCTAATTTTTGTTTTGTTTTATTTTTACCTTTATAATCTGATAAGATTATTGCAACTTTAGGGGGAAAAACAGAAATAAAATTGGATCAAATTGCTGTAATTTCAAATATGTAACTGAGAAGGCATAAGGATAAGAATAAGAACAGAGTAAGAATAAAAGCCTGTATATCTGCACAAAGCTAGCTAGCACATGAATGCCGACAGTCGCTATTTATAATAACCAAAAATTGGAAACTACCCAAATATTCAACAAGTGAATGAATAAGAAACTTGTGGTATATCTATAGCATGGAATACCAATGAGCAATAAAAAGGAATGAAGTGTTGATACATGCAGAAACACAGATGAATCACAAAAATATAATAAGCAAAAGAAGCTAGACATAAAAGAGTATTGTAAGATCTTTGTGCTATTTAGTATCTGGTTAAGTCGCTTTTTAGGTGTTTAAAACATTTATGAGAAGTTTGTCTACTGGACTGATGACTTAATCAAATATTTAGAAACATTTATAAGATGACTTTTAGTCAATATTGATAAGTATGAGGGATTATAATTGGTAAAAATTCAAACATTTTTATTTATTATTGTGGAAGTCCTATACACATATGTAAGGGAGTATACACTTTAATGAATAGAGGAATGCTAATTGTTTAAAATGTTTATAGGAATATGCATTGTTACATTAAATAAGGCATAATAGAAGAGAGTGGTCCTCGCTTGCACAAAAGCCTCTTACACATTCAATAATGCATCGACATACATCAGTACAATTCACCCCCCATCTTTGTCAGTATAGGCACATGAATATGGCAGGGCTGTAATCAGTGTTTATAGACCATCTGTGGTGTGTTGTGTCCACTTAATGATTTTTCACATATGTAATTTGACCTGTAGCAATAGCCCGCAGCATTGTCAATTTTTGAGATATTGATAAAGCATGCCTAGTATACCACAGTTTGACAGGTTTTTTTCTCCATCGTGGGCCTTAAGTTCAAAAGCATGGAAGATTTTTGTTACCAACCGTTTCTTTTCTTGCATCGTACACTAGTGATAGCCAGATCCAGCTCAGAATCCCAGCTTCACCCTGTCATAGCCATGTGACCTTGCCCACCTGGCCTTTCCCAGCTTCACTTATCCTACGGTTATGGAGAGGATTACAGAGGCGCTGCAGCGCCGGGCACATAGTAGCCAGATGTGTTGAACCCTAGACCTAACACATAGTTTTCAGATGTTCTTCACTCTCACTAAATATGCTCTTAAGGGCAGCCAAGCCTTTCAATTTGAGTGTGATATTAACAGAGCTTCTGCATAGGTTGCTTTTTATATTCTAGACGTAATCTGCTTTTCTTCTTTGAGAGTTCATTCAAGCTTACATTTTTCATTCCTCAAACCAGTATTCTCCCCACTTTTTTGTTTTTGTTTTTGTTTCTTCACTCCTATGCTTGCCATCTCTGCTACTCCTTCCTGTGGACCTTCTAATCATTTGTGCTGTCTTTTCTATTGGGTACATATATTTTCAATGTTTTCTTTAGGCATAGATTGGTGCATGTATTTTAAACAGAGTTGTATTTTATATACTGTTTATAACCTGTAACCATATGATCAGTTTCCATGTCTTTAAATATTATTTCTCATCATTTTAATAGGTATGTGGATAAACTGCAATTTAATCAGCTCCCCACTTTTTAACATTTAGATTTTTACTTTTTCACTATCGTAGATACACTCTGATAAATATTCTAAGAGCTATATTTTTAGACTCATCTATGATTGTTTCCTTAGAATAAATTTATAGATATTAAATTGCTGGGTCAGAGAAATATATGAAATTCTAAGTCTTTGAGTGTGTATTTTCACATTACCTACAGAAAGATTATACCAAATTATGTTATAGCTGTCTGCAGAAAACATAAGGCAATCTTACCATGTTGATGAATTTTGTGTGGACGCTTTTGTACTGATCAATCTTTAGAAATATTAATATTTTCAGTAAAATATTAACATTATTTCCTGAATATAAATAAAATGCTGAGCTCACATTTTACCAATCTGATACAAAAAGAAGTGAATACTCTCTGAAATGTCACCTTTATTAAACCAGTGCTCTGTAAGGGCACCTTACAATGTGGTACCTGGTGTTTGTTTTTTTAACTTTTTTAATTGATACATAATATTTGCACATATTTATGGGGAGACTTGTTTCATAAAAGCTCATTCAGTTTATTCGGAGATCAGTGTGTGCAGTGACCTGGGGGCATTCCTATCCCCTTGTTGCTCTGATTTGCCTGAGCAATGCCGACTAAGCACTTTGTTTCAACCACAAGGGTCTGGGCTCTGCATAGCTATACCATGCCTTTTAGATTAAATCTGATTTCTTCCTCCAAGTGAATGCTTTACTCTTATAGCCAACAGGGCACAGAGTTCAGAGAAAGAAGATCATGTTCTATAGTGTATTAACACCTTAAAAGCATGTACCCATCTGTTTCCAGTTTGAAAGAAATCAAAGTTAGGCTTATAGAAAATCAGGCACTGTGAATCAATCAATTAATTATTGTTGAGTGTTGACAATGTGCAATAACAAAATTCTTGTTATTACATAAACAAAATCAGAGAGTAAACTTAAAATACATTGGTAAATATTCTACTTTCTTTTAGGTTTAGTTACTTTTTCTGGAATATTGGATGAATGCTGGTTGAATTTTTTTTCCTAGATGCTTATTTTCCCTTAACCTGGAATAAGAAGACCATAAAATATCCTGTTTTTCCTCAAAAGATGCTTTTTAAAATGATGAAATTAAGTGTCTCATCATATAAGTATTGGCCTTATGTGTTTATTCTGTGAAATACCAATTTATGTATTTTGTGTATTTTCCTGTTGAGTTGTGTTCTCTTCTTATTGATTTATAGGAGTTCTTAGAATTATTTTGATATAGAATTTTTGTTAAATGTGATACATCCTCTCTGTTTGTAGCTTATCTTTTGACCTTATTTAACACGTTGTTGATGAACACAAGTTTTTAATTGTTATGTAATGAAATTCATCACACTTCCATTCTATAGTGGGCTTTTTTTGTGTCCAATGTTTAAGAAAGCCTTCCCTACCCTCAAGATCTAAAGATATTCACCACTTTTTCCTTCTGAAAGTTTTAATTGCTTTTGATATTTGAATGGTTAATCCATCCAGAGTTGATTTGCATGTCTGATGTAAGATAGAAATCTAATTTACTCTTCATATGGATAGTAAGTTTCTCCAGTGCCATTTATTGAAGTCCTCATAAATAACTCTGGAAATGCAAATCAAGACCATAAAAAGACACCAATTTACATCCATTTGATTGGCAAAAATTAAGTCTGGCAACACCAAATACTAAAGTGGATAGATGAATAAGATAGCTTAAACATTGCTGGCAAGAGTATAAATTGCTACAACCGCTTTGGAAAACAGTCTGGCATTATCTTGTGAAGTTGACATTCACACACCCTACTACTAACCCAGCATTTCATTCTTTGGTAGAAACCAAGGAAGACGCCGGCATGTGTGCACAAGGAGAGAGAGCCCCTTATGAGAATGTTCACTACAGTGATGTTGATTACAGCAACACATGGTAAAGCCTACACTCTGGAGTCAAGAAGGCCAGATTAATAAATTATGGCATATTCACACTGTGGAATACTATGTAGCAGTGAAGATGAATGAATCACAGCTAACCACAACAATATGAATGACACTTCGTAATAAAAAAAAAAATAAGTGGGGAAAAAGTCCCAGAAGATTATATATGGCATGATATCTGCAATGGACTAAATTTTTGTGCTTCCCCCGCTGCACCAAGAATTCATATGTTGAAACCCTAATCCCAATGTGGGCCTGTGGGAGATAATCAGGTCATGAAGGTAGAGCCCTCTTGGATGGGATTAGTGCCCTTATAAGAAGAGGCCTGAGAGCCAGATAGTGCTCCTTTCACCTTTTGAGGATACAACAGGAAGATGGCAATCTGCAACTCAGAAGAGGGTCCTCCCCAGGGCCCCACCAGGCTGGCACTCTGATCTTGGGCTTCCAGCCTCCAGAACTGTAAGAAATAAATTTCTATTGTTTATAAGCCACTCAGTCTACAGTACTTTGTTATATCAGCCCACACTGACTTTAAAAAAATCTTTTTTATAAAAGTCAAAAGCAATTAAAATTAATCATTATGTTATTGACATGCCTATATGTGTGCTAGAAATATATTTTAAATCAGCAAGGAATAAAACCACAAAACTCAGAATACACTATGTCAGGTGGGCAGAGGTGGAAGGAGCCCAGAACTTGGGGCTCCCAAGCAAGGGCTGTGACGTGCTATAACACTCTCTTTGGGGCTCTGCAAGCTTTCAGGCACCACTGCTTTCCACCTTGCCCAGACACTAGTCTGGATACAAGCAGAAGCCGCTTGTAGTATGTCTGGTCCAGCCGTAGCCTCGCACAAAGGCACTGCCTGTGCCAGTGCCTGGAGCTGCCCACCCTGCTGCAGCTGGCACACCTGGCTGTGCACAGTGGCCAGACCCTGTGATTGCTCATTCACACACTCCCTGCCTCTCTGTGCCTGGCTTGACTTTGGCAGGAGTGGGATCCAGGCTGGTAGCACAAGCCAAGTGCAGCCTGACGGGCCGAGTCGGCAGAACAAACCCAGTGGGTGCAAGCAAAACTCAAGCAGAGGTGCCACTGGCCACAGAGGTTTCCGGCTGGTGAAGCGACATCCTAAGGATCCTGTGACAATCCCAGGAGGCACCAGAGGGGAGCCGGAAGTGACTGTGAAGAGAAGGAAGCTGGTACAGAGTGCCTTACTGAGCACATTACCACTGTGAGAGGCTGGGCCTGAGCTCAGGTAGGAGACTCTGGGAGCTGCTGTGGAGCACTCAAGGCTATCCCACCTGACAGGCTGGGAAGCTGGGGTGTTTATTCTCCAGATCTCCTTTGTCATCCACCTAGGGCTGGTCCCAGGGCATTACCTCCCTGCCCCTCGTCTCCCTCACACTCAGGCAAAGGGGAAGCTCTCCCGGGGACAGACATGTGTATTTACAGTCAGACACCCAACAGCATGTCCTGATATGAGCACTGCCGATAGGAGGTGGGTGGGACACTGAAGCCTCGGCTACCAGGCAAGTCAGGACACGTCCACTTCATTGCTTCTGTCAAAATTGAAGAAGGCGCTACTCAAGTTGTCCACAGATAGACTTTTTAATAAAAGGCGTTTGATGGACATCACTCCATAATTTTTGGCATAAAATTGAGAAAAGTTTTAAATTATTGAATGATATTGATATACAAATTACTTCTAATCTTCTCTGCCTTTTTATTGATTGATTTTTAATATATACTTAAAAATTGTTTTACTGCAGATATTTAAGGTTGACAACATGGGATGTTTTAATATAATGAAGTGGTTACCACAGTCAAGTAAATTAACATAGTCATCATCTCATGTAGTTACCTTTTTTGCATATTTATTGGAATTAAGTTAATTAATATGTATTGATTACAGCTATATCTCTGTAAAAATAGGGATAATAGGAATAAGTGATAGTCATCAGTATGTAATATTTAATCATTGGATACATGAACTAAAAGTTTAAAAGGCCAATAAAATTTTACTTTTACGTTGAATATTTATGAAAATATGTAGTATATTTAACTTGTTTTTAACATGCTTAGAGTCTTATGGCCACTGAAAAAATTTAAATTTCTAATTTCAGTTTACATGAGAATTTTCATTCTGGAGAACCATGTAATTGTGATCAATTAAACAAACGGAGAATTTGGAGTGGAACTATAGGTTTAAGGAGAAAAAATAATGTGACATGTCCTATTGTAATTCAAAAAAACTGAAATCATACCAACCACATTCTCAGATCACAGCACAGTAAAAATAGAAATCAATACTAAGAAAATAACTCAAAACCATACAATTACATGTGTGTAACCAAGCTGTTAATAAAGTGCTTGGTTTTTTTTTTTTTTTAAGGATGATGAATGGGTGGATTTAATGGATGAATTGAGACTCCACTGGATATGGATAAAGAGTGATGTAATTATTTTATTTTAAAATGTAAGTATATGTGGAACCCAGGAAATCACCTCTTTTGCTATTAATCCTATATGCTTAAAATGAAGAAGTTTAAAAGTCACCCCAAAAATATTTTAGGGAATCCACTACTTTAATTCCCAGTCCCAAATTCCTGGAAAGAGGATCTGATTGGCCTAATGTGGACTAGAGAGCTCCCCCTGGTGCAATCAGTTGCGGCCAGGGAGGTGGTGTCACCAGGCTTGCTGCCCATCATAATGAGTCGAGAGTGCATGATCCAAACAGTGCCCAAAGACGAGGCAGGTAGTCCCAGGCAGGCACCCCAAGAAGGCTTCCTACTTAATATGCTAGCGTTTCTTATACATACAACTCCAGTGTACTGATTTTTGTGCTGAAACCATTCTTTTAATATATATAATATATTTTATATATTATATATTTATATATATTTTATATTTATTATTACATTATATATAATATATAATATAATATAATATAATATATATTTATTATTATATATTAAAATATCTATTATATAAATATATTTATATATCAATATAAATATATTTATATATCAATATAAATATATATATAAATATAAATTTATATACAAATATAAATATATATAAATATAAATATATATTAATATAAATATATTTAAGTATATATATAAATATAAATATATATTTATATAAATAAATATATTTATATAAATATATATTTATATATATTTATATAAAAATATATTTATATATATAGATATATATAAATATATTTATATAAATATAAATATATATTTATATATATAAATATATTTATATATAAATATGTATATATATATAAATAATATTAAATATATTTATATATAAGTATGTATATATATAAATAATATTAAATATATTTATATATAAATATAAATATATAAATATAAAAATATAAATATATAAATATATGTATATATGTACATATATAAATATATGTATATATAAATATGTTATATATAAATATGAATATATTTATATAAATATAAATATATTTATATATAAATATGTATACATATAAATAATATTAAATATATTTATATATAAATATAAATATATATAAATATAAATATATAAATATATGTATATATAAATATATTCATATATAAAAATATATTCATATATATAAATATAATCATATATAAATATAAATATATTCATATATAAATATAAATATATTTATATAAATATAGAAATATATATAAATATATATATTTAAATATATAATATTATATATTATAATATATATATTATAAGTATACAATATTTTATATTATAAATATATATATTATACATATTATATATTATATATATTATAAATATATAATATATATTATATATTATAAAAATATAATATTATATAAATATTATATATTATATATATTATGAATATAATAGTATATATTATATATATATTATAAATATATTCATATATAAATATATTCATATATAAAAATATATTCATATATATAAATATAATCATATATAAATATAAATATATTCATATATAAATATAAATATATTTATATAAATATAGAAATATATATAAATATATATATTTAAATATATAATATTATATATTATAATATATATATTATAAGTATACAATATTTTATATTATAAATATATATATTATACATATTATATATTATATATATTATAAATATATAATATATATTATATATTATAAAAATATAATATTATATAAATATTATATATTATATATATTATGAATATAATAGTATATATTATATATATATTATAAATATATAATATTATATATTATAAATATATAATATTATGTATTATAAATATATAATATTATGTATTATAAATATATAATATTATGTATTATAAATATATAATATGTATTATAAATATATGTTATAAATATATATTACGTATTATAAATATATATTATAAATATAAATAAATATGATATATTTATATTATAAATATAATATATTATATATTATATAATATATTAAATATATAGTATATATTATATAATATATTAAATATATATTATATTATAAATATAATATAATAAATATAATATATTATATTATGTTATATTAATATATAATATAATATATTATATTATGTTATATTAATATATAATATAATTATATATTATAAATATATATAATAAATATATATTATATATTATAAATATAATATATATTTTATATATTATATATTATATACTTTATATATTAATATTATATTTTATATATTAATATTATATATAATATTATATATTAATATTATATATAATATTGAATATCATATATTACATTATATATTATTATAGATGTTATATTATATATTATATATCTATTAATATATAATATATGATAATATATTATGTATAACATATTATATATAAATATATAATATTGAATATAATATATAATATTAAATATAACATAATATATATTATATATAATATATAATTACATGTAATATATATTATATATAATATAGTCACAAGCCTGATCAACATGGTGAAACCCAGTCTCTACTAAAAATACAAAAATTAGCCCGCCGTGGTGGAGTGCACCTGTAATCCCAGCTACTCAGGAGGCTGAGACAGGAAAATTGCTTGAACCTGGGAGGTGGAGGCTGCAGTGAGCCGAGTTCATGCCACTGCACTCTAGCCTGGACAACAGAGTGAGACTTCCTCTCAAGAAAAATAAAAAACAACTCTCTTAGGCACATTGATTTGCAGAGATACTTGAGGGTGCCAGCCATGAGGCCAGCCCCTACTGCTTCTGTTTTTCTCTGCACACAGTGAGAAGCAGATCGGGCTCTGTATTTACAGATGGGAACACTCGGAGCGTGAAGTGGCACATGAACCTCTCTCATGACATAAATTTCCTCCTTCCATTCAGGCACTGGCCCAGCGTGTATTTTAGATTCCTTCTTTTGCATCCATCAGCACCTCTACCACTCATTTCATAAGCCAACCTATATTTTGCTCTTATATTTTTAATCTGATTGAGTAATACAGCTACCAGTCTAGGCCAAAATTGGATTGATTTACTTGTGACTATGAGTAACACAACAGAGAATAGAAAGGAAACACATACAGACAGTTTGTCTCCAGAGAGGTACACGAGATGCCCTGAGGAATGTCACGCTCCAATTCAGAGTTTCCCAGCATTTTGGGCACTGCTGTACTCTCTTTATGAGCTTCCTTATATCTGCTTAGTACTTTTATTTTAACAGCTGTATTAAGATAGAACTCACTCATTTAAAGTGCACAATTCAAGGTTTTTTAGCATATTCACAGAGTTCTGCAACCATCACCATAATCTAGTTTTATTTTATTTTATTTTATTTATTTTTGAGACAGGGTATTGCTCTGTCACCTAGCCTGGAGTACAGTGGCACCGTCACAACTTACTACAGCCTTGACCTCCCGGGCTCAAACGATTCTTCCACCTCAGCCTCCTGAGTAGCTGGGACTACAGGCGTGCACCATCATGCCAGGCTGATATTTATATTTTTTGTAGAAACAGGGTTTTGCCACATTGCCCAAGCTGGTCTTGAACTCCTGGACTCAAGCAATCCACCCGACTCGGCCTCCCAAAGTGCTGGGATTACAGGGGTGAACCACCTTGCCCAGCCCATAATCTAATTTTAGAACATTTTTATTCCCCACAGAAGAAAGTTCGGATCTCTTAGCAGCTGCTCCCGATTCTTCACACCCGGTTCTATACACACACCCCTCAACTCTGAGGAGTGATTAATCCACTTTTGTCTCCACAGATTTGCCTATTGCAGATATTTCATACAAATGATTCATATGATTTGTAACAGGCTTCTTTCACTTAAATAATGTTCTCAAGGTTCATCCATATTTTAGCATGTATCAGTACTTCAATCCTATTTATTGCCAAATAATATTCTATTATATGGATATATCACATTTTATTTATCTATCCATCAGGTGTTGGAAACTTGTGTTATTTCCACTATGCAGTTATTATGAATAATGCTGCTATAAACATTTGTGTTCAAGTTTTTGTGTGGACGTTATGTTTCATTTCACTAGGAGTGCATTTACTAGGTTAAATGATCACTCTTTGACTAACATTTTGTGGAACTGCCAAACTGTTTGTCAAAGTGGCTGCACCATTTTACATTCCCACCGGCAATGTATAAGGGTTCCAGTTCCTCCACAGCTTTGCCAATACTTATTATTTGTCTTTTCTATTATAGCCATCCCAGTTGTTGTGAGGTGGCATCTCATTTTGGTTTTCATTTATTTCCCTGAAGATTGGTGACATCAAGCATCTTTTAATATGATTATTAATTAGCCTTTTGTATATCTATCTTCTTTGGAGAAACATCTATTCAGATCCTTTGTCCATTTGGTTTTTTTGTTGTTGTTGTTGCTGTTGTTTGTTTGTTTGTCTGTCTGTTTTTTGAGATGGAGTCTCGCTCCGTCACCCAGGCTGGAGTGCAATGGCGCTATCTTGGCTCACTGCAACCTCCGCTTCCCGGGTTCAAGCGATTCTCCTGCCTCAACCTCCCGAGTAGCTGGGATTACCGGTGCACGCCACCATGCCCAGCTAATTTTTTGTATTTTTAGTGGAGACGGGGTTTCACCATGTCGGCCAGGCTGGTTTCGAACTCCTGACCACGTGATCCACCCACCTCGGCCTCCCAAAGTGCTGGGATTACAGGCATGAGCCACCGTGCCTGGCCTTTGCCCATTTGTTAATTGAGTTATTTTTCTTTTTATGATTGAGTTGTAAGAATTATTTATATATTTGGAGTACAGGTCCCATATTAGATACATAGCTTGCAAATATTTTATCCCATCTTATGGGTTGTCTTTTCATTTTCTTGATGGCATCTGATAAGGTTTGCCTCTGTGTCTCCACCCAAATCTCATCTTAATTTGTAATCCCCATGTGTCAGGAGAGGGACCTGGTGGGAAGTGATTGGATCATGGTAGTGGTTTCCCCCATGCTGTTCTCATGATAATGAATGGGTTCTCGCAAGATCTGATGGTTTAAAAGTGTATGGCAGTTCCCTCCTTGCTTTCTCTCTTTCTCTCTCTCTCCTGTTGCCACGTAAGATGTGCCTTGCTTCTCCTTTGCCTTCCATTATGATTGTAAGTTTCCTGAGGCCTCCCCAGCTCTGCGGAACTGTGAGTCAATTAAACTGATTTTCCTATATAAATTACCCAGTCTCAGGTAGTTCTTTATAGCAGTATAAGAATGGACTAAAACAGGATCATTTGCACCACAAAAGTCTTACTTTTATTTATTTATTTATTTATTTATTTATTTATTTATTTATTTATTTTGAAACAGAGTCTCGCTCTGCTGCCCAGGCTGGAGTGCAGTGGTGCGATCTCCGCTCACTGCAAGCTCCGCCTTCCGAGTTCATGCCATTCTCCTGTCTCAGCCTCCCAAGTAGCCGGGACTACAGGTGCCTGCCACCACGCCTGGCTAATTTTTTGTATTTTTAGTAGAGACGGGGTTTCACTGTGTTAGCCAGGATGGAAAAGTCTTACTTTTGATGAAATCCAATGTATACATTTTTGTTGCTTGTGCTTCATATATAAGAAACTGTTGCCTAACCCAAGGTCTCAAAATTTACTCCTATGTTTTCTTCTATGAGTCCTAATAGTTTTAGCTCATATATTTGGATCTAATTTTGAGTTAATTTTTATTTGTGATACGAGGAAAGAATCTAACTTCATTCCTTTACATGTGGTTGTCTAGTTAACCCAGTACTATTGGTTGAACTTATACTTTTATTTACCTAATTTTTCCTTAATTCAACTAATCTTTTTCATGTAAAAAATATTTTGAAGAAAACTTTATAGCACTACTATGAATGTAAAATGAATATAATATGCCATAAAAAGAAGAGAATATAAATACTAAAAAACAACACTGTGGCCGGGGGTGGTGGTTCATGCCTGTAATCCCAGCACTTTGGGAGGCCAAGGTGGGCAGATAACTTGAGCCCAGGAGTTCAAGACCAGCCTGGGCAACATGGCAAAACCCTGTCTCTACCAACGAAATACAAAAATTAGCCAGGCGTCATGGCGTGTGCCTGTGGTCCCAGCTACTTGGGAGGTCGAAATGGGAGGATTGCTTGAGCCTGGGAGGTGCAGGTTGCAGTGAGAAGAACAAAAAAAACCACTGTAAGATTTTAGTTAGAGCTGCAAATGACTATGGAAGGCATTAGGGATGCCTAATCCCTAACAGTTAGGGAGGCATTAGGGATACACTATCACCAAACTATTTCCAGTGAGAAGGATTGAAAGCGGGAATTAGAAAGGATGCTTGTCTCACTAAATGATTTCATGTGAATTAGGGCCAGGTCCCCACGGCACTAAGCATGGGTCCCTCCTTTTGGGAAACAATTCTCTGTAACACTGGCATGTGCACTAAAGGAAAGAGCCTGGGCTGGAGAGGCGGCCCAGCATGGGTTTGAATCTCAGGCTCGCCACTTATTGTCTGAATCTGGGCAAGTTTCTCAGCCTCATTGAACCTTGTTTGCTCAGCAGAGACAATCTTTTCCTAATGGGTGGTTTGAGGATTCTGTGCTACAGTAGACAGAAGGCAGGCCAACATGGGGTAAGCATATGGAAAAGTCAGTGTCCTCTGGGTGCTCTTGCTACTTCAAGAGAATCTGATGCACAAGCAGTGCTCCCCAGAATATGGATGGAGGCCTGAGCCACATAAGAATACCCTGGGGGAGATATCCCCCATCCAATTTGGTGACTGCGCTGCACACAGTTTGGCAACCACTCCCATACACCTGCTGTGGGTCTCAATGGCTGTCCTGACAGATCAGCCTTGGCAAATTTTCCCAGCAGAATCTGAATCCATTCCACTCCTGAAGACACAACCTCTGACAACCACTTCCAAGTTTCTCTCAAAGCTTGGAGAATTTGGTTTTATCCATAATAGGAGAAAAAACCTAAAAGCACAGAGAATCCAAACCAAAAAGCTGAAAGCATGGAAATCCAAACACATCACCAAATGATCAGCCTTCCCAGAGGCAGTATGGTGGCTTCAGCCTGTCCCACTGTCTTCCCCTCCCCAGCCTCTACTGGTAGATACTTTCTGCAACCAAGGCCATCCTGGGCTGCAGAAAGGAGGGAATGGAAAACCCTCACCAAGAGTAATCTCCCTGAAAAACCACAAGCCCACTCATGCCATGAAGAACTACTGAGTCCCTCCCATGGCCACAGTGAGGATGTTGAGGGGTATAGATGCATGAGGGGATCTAAGAACCTGCATCTAGAACCTCACTGCCTGGCAAGGGAGAGGAAGCACACATCAAGCTAAGCATTTCGTAAGAGAGGCTTCCTGAGGCATGACATCTGATATGGTTTGACTCTGTGTCCCCACCCAAATCTCATCTTCAATTGTACTCACATAATTTACATGTGTTGTAGGAGGAGCCCAGTGGGAGATAATTTGAATCATGTGGGTGGTTTCCTCCATACTGTTCTTGTGGTAGTGAGCAAATCTCATGAGATCTTATGGTATTGTAAGGGGTTTCTTCTTTTGTATCTTCCTCATTTTTCTCTTGCTGCTACCATGAAAGAAGTGCCCTTCACCTTCCATCATGATTCTGAGGCCTCCCCGGCCATGTGGAACTGTAAATCCAATTAAACATCTTTTTCTTCCCAGTTGTTATATATAAAGTTTCAGTGCCCCAAAGAAATAGCACTCGAGTATAAAATTTTCTTTTAATTCTCAGCAAGGCAAGGTACTTCTATAGAAGAATGCGCCCTTACAGATGGAGCAATGGTGAGTACACACCTGGACAAGGGAGGGAAAGGGGTTCTTATCCCTGAGGCACATGGGCCCTGCTGCCGTGCCGTTCCTCTATCGGCCAGGGTTAGACCGCACAGGCTAAACTAATTCCAATTGGCTAATTTAAAGAGAATGACGGGGTGAGTGCTTTGGCGGGAGTCAGGGCAGAGCAGGTAGCAACTGGAATGAGTTAGGGTGGAGCAGGTGATCGGAATGAGTTAGGGTGGGACAGGTGATCAGAATGAGTTAGGTTGGAGCAGTTAATCAAAAAAGATTGTTTTACGAGGAAGTAGAGATGGTAAAACCCCATCTCTACTAAAAATACAAAAATTAGCTTGTAGTCCCAGCTACTCGGGAGGCTGAGGCACAAGAATTGCTTGAACCTGGGAGGCGGAGGTTGCAGGGAGCTGAGCTCGCACCACTGCACTCCAGCCTGGGTGACAGAGTGAGACTGTCTCAAAAAAAAAAAAAAAAAAAAAAAAAAAAAAAAAGACAGGAATGGCTCCATAGCCCATCACCAAAGTCCCCAACCCTCTAGTTTCAAATATCTCAAATGTGGGTGTTCACATTATAAGTATTCTGTACTGTTCCTTCCCACCCTGACCCCTTTTCCTTTGGGAAATTAAGAGATCTCTCATGCGTTCAGCCAAGAGTCAACATACCCATTTGTTGCTGGCAGCTGGAAATTGGCCGGATGTGCAGTATTTTTAGCACAAAACCAGCAAATTCTCCCTAGCAGGGCTTTCTCCCCTCCTATCCCCTACACACCCCCAGAGTCAGTTATTAAACATTTACCAGGTCGGGCATGGTGGCTCATGCCTGTAATCCCAACACTTTAGGAGGCTGGGGCAGGAGGATTGCTTGAGCCCAGGAGTTTGAGATAAGCCTGGACAACATAGCAAGACCCCATCTCTACAAAAAAAAATTTTTTTAATTAGCTGAGAGTGGTGGTATGCACCTGTAGTCTCAGCTACTCTGTAGGCTGAGGCAGGAAGATCGCTTGAGTCCAGGAGGTTGAGGCTGCAGTGAGCTAGGATCACGCCACTGTGCTCCAGCCTGGGTGACAGAGCAAGACAGTGTCACAAAAAAAAATTAAAAATTACCAGCGTGTGAAACTAGATCCCTTCCTTACACCTTATACAAAAATTAATTCAGGATGGATTAAAGACTTAAATGTTAGACCAAAAACCATAAAAACCCTAGAAGAAAACCTAGGCAATACCATTCAGGACATAGGCATGGGCAAGGACTTCATGACTAAAACACCAAAAGCAATGGCAACAAAAGCGAAAATTGACAAATGGGATCGAATTAAACTAAAGAGCTTCTGCATGGCAAAAAGAAACTAACATCAGAGTGAACAGGCAACCTACAGAATGGGAGAAAATTTTTGCAACCTACCCATCTGACAAAGGGCTAACATCCAGAATCTATGAAGAACTTAAACAAATTTACAAGAAAAAAACAAACAACCCCATCAAAAAATGGGCAAAGGATATGAACAGACACTTTTCAAAAGAAGACATTTATGCAGCCAAAAGACACATGAAAAAATGCTCATCATCACTGGTCATCAGAGAAATGCAAATCAAAACCACGATGAGATACCATCTCACACCAGTTAGAATGGCGATCATTAAAAAGTCAGGAAACAACAGATGCTGGAGAGGATGTGGAGTAATAGGAATGCTTTTACACTGTTGGTGGGAGTGTAAATTAGTTCAATCATTGTGGAAGACAGTGTGGCGATTCCTCAAGGATCTAGAATGAGAAATACCATTTGACCCAGTGATCCCATTACTGGGTGTATACCCAAAGGATTATAAATCAGGCTACACTAAAGACACATGCACACGTATGTTTGTTGCGGCACTATTCACAATAGCAAAGACTTGGAACCAACACAAATGTCCATCAATGATAGACTGGATTAAGAAAATGTGGCACATGTATACCATGGAATACTATGCAGTCATAAGAAAGGATGAGTTCATGTCCTTTACAGGGACATGGATGCAGCTGGAAACCATCATTCTGAGCAAATTATCACAAGGACAGAAAACCAAACACCGCATGTTCTCACTCATAAGTGGGAACTGAACAACGAGAACACTTGGACACAGAATGGGGAACATCACACACAGGGGCTGTTGGGGGGTGGGGGCCTGGGGGAGGGATAGCATTAGGAGAAATACCTAATGTGGGTGACGGGTTGAGGGGTGCGGCAAACCAACATGGCACATGTATACCTATGTAACAAACCTGCACATTGTGCACATGTACCCTAGAACTTAAAGTATAATAATAAAAAAAATTACCAGCATATATTTCTTCTTGTATATACTTCTCTACGTTTTTTCTCTACGCTGCCCTTTACCATGAACATTTTACTCATGAGAAATGCCAAGCAAAAGACACTAAGTGATTATACAAGACTGAGTGTAAGTCACAGCCTCACTCTTGTGACTTCTTTCCTCTACACCACATGCCCTGACTTAAGCCACCTCCTCCCACCCACACCCCCAGGTGTGATCGACACTCCTACACTACTTCTCACCTTTTCCCTTCACCTCTTCCAACTAGATTATTTTACTCTTTTAAAAAAAAATTTAATTTTTAATTATTATGAGTACATAATAGTTGTATGTACTTATGGGGTACATGTGATGTTTTGATACAGGCATACAATGTGTAACTAGATTTTAAGGGCAAGAAAGCATGGCACAAGAGATGAGGTAGGTACAGCTACCTACAGCTACAGCTGGCTACCTCATCTTTTGTGCCATGCTTTCTTGCCCTTAAAATCTAGTTAGACATTGTATGCCTGTATCACTGCAGCAGTGGAAGTGGAGCTAGCTACACCATTTTAAAAATATTCTTTTTAAAAAGTAGAGAGCAAAAGTAGCCTATCCCCTGCGTAGCCATACTTGTAATGGTCCCCATTATGAATCAGGACCCTCCAAGCTCATTTTGAGGATTTCATAGTATGTACTGAACAGGGTGAATTTGGAGAGTGGTAATGACAACTCTGAAGACCAGTAGGAAATGAGGAATGAGCCTGAGCGCAGTGGCTCCTGCCTGTAATCCCAGCACTTTGGGAGGCCAAGGCGGGTGGATCCCTTGAGCCCAGCCTGGGCAACACAGCAAAACCCCGTCTCTGCAAAAAATGAGCCAAGCATGGTGGCGTGCACCTGTGGTCTCAGCTCCTTGAGAGGCTGAGGCAGAAGGACTGCTTCAGTCCGGGAGGTCGAGGCTATAGTGAGCTGTGATTGTGCCACTGCACTGCAGCCTGGGTGGCAGAAGGAGACCCTGTCTCAAATAAATAAATAAATAAATAAATGAGAAAGGAAAGAAGTATTATAATAGCAATAGATCATTTATATTTCATATTTCAAACAATAGAGACTATAGGTATGAGAGAGCAACAGACTAGATTTTTACCTATTTCCCCATATCTCTGAATCTGATTTCTTTTTTTTTATTTTCTGAGCACCTAAGTGCTATGAGAAATCTAAAGATACAAAAGCTTAGAATGCCTGGCTTGAAGTTTCCAGACTGGCTCTAGTTTTAGATGATCAAATTTTGTATCAAAATATGAAATATGCACATCTTTGCATTAAAATAAAATTATGGTCAGGCGCAGTGGCTCACACCTGTAATCTCAGCACTTTGGGGGGCTGAGGTGGGTGGATCACTTGAGACCATGAGTTTGAGACCAGCCTGGGCAACATAGTGAAACCTCATCTCTACTAAAAATACAAAAAATTAGCTGGGTGTGGTGGTGCGTGTCTGTAGTCCCAGCTACTCCGGAGGCTGAGACAGGAGGATCACCTGAGCCCGGGAAGTTGAGGCTGCAGTGAGCCGCGATCGTGCCGCTGCACTCTGGCCTGGGCTACAGGAGTGAGATCCTGTCTAAAAAAGAAAGAAAGAAAGAAAAATTATGAAATGTTACCTAAAGCCATTGAATTTTTATCTTTATCTTTTTATATACACATTCACAATTTTTTTTTAGAGATGGAGGTCTTGCTATGTTGCCCATGCTGGCCTTGAACTCTTGAGATCAAGGCTTCCTCCCACCTCAGTTTCCTGAATAGCTGGGACTACAGGTACACACCACCGCACCCAGCTTAAACATTCATGATTTTTCATATGCTTTTTGAGGTTTAGTCTGGCTCTTTGGTCTTTGGTTCAGGAAACACTGTCAGGGGCCTTTGGGGCTGTGGGAGGACCCATCTGGAGCCTCTGATTGCAACATCCAGCCCATAAACAAATTGCTTTTAAGATGCAATTGCCTCCTTGGGCTCAGAAGGTTCTAACCAGCTACCTTTCAAATAAATAAATAAATAAAAATTTTAAAAAAGAGGCTCAAATCCTTACTAAACTAAGGATAACAGCTCCTAAGTACAGAATGCTGCCAGATGGACTACAATCAGACCAAATTCTAACTGCATCACCCAGGAGACACAGTGGATAAATGACTTGCCCAAAGTTATCCAACTTGAAGGGCAGCACCAAACCCATCTTACTCCAAAACCTGTGTTCTTTCCTCCATGCCCTAGTCTCAGATCATGTGCTGGGAAGAGATTCAAGAACTAGGAAGATGCTGCTTTCAAATACAGCAGTGAATGGTCTCCCTTGATCCTCCTGCTACTAACCCCCAACCCAACACAGCCTCTTCACCCTCTGCAAGCTCTTCATCTCCTATCTTGTCACCTCCCAGAGAAGAGAGTCTCAGTCCCAGCTGCACATTAGAACCCCGGAGGAGCTTTTAAAAACAAACTACACCCAGGTCCCACCCTGGTCAGATCAATTGAATCAGAATATCTGGAGGGAGAGTCCTGAGCATGATGTATATTTTTTAACTCACTTCAAGAGATTAGAATGTGCAGCCAGCATGGAGAATCACTGTCCCAGAGCCAAACACTGGTTCTCTGCCAGGGCCACACTGGTTTTTAAAAGAAATGTCATTGCCCAGCTTCTATCCCAGGCCAAGTAAATCCAAACCTCTGATCATCATCTTTTAGAGTATTTCTCTCTACAGTTTAATGTAGGGTGTTGGTAGAATTGCTAGACTTTGTAAACCTGTTTTCTTTAGTTGGCTTATGGAATATAGTTAGACCATTACTACACACTGATAATTAAGAAAAAAAATAATCTCTGTGAAGGGCCCGGTTATGGGTTTCTTAAACTCCCGGAGATGTTCTCACAGCGTTCAGTTTCCTTCTGGGTATTAGAGCACTAGAGGCCTCAGAGGTCCCAGGAGAGGGGCTAGCCACAGAGTTCCTATTGTCTAAAAAAATAATAATAACTCAAGGCACAATGGAAATCCACCTTGATCTGTAGAATCCATTAGGATCCCAAGTCCTTGTAGGATGCCAGAGCCCTGGCAAGGTGAGGTGGAGATACAAAAAGAATAATAACAATGATGATGGCAATTGAAGTGCTTTACATACGTTTAGTCCTCACTGCAGTCCTATGAAGAAGGTATACCAGTGCCCTATTTTGTAGATAAGGAAACTGAGGCATAGAGATGTTAGAGGCGTTTGAACCAGAGTGACTCTATCTTGAGCAGGGGCTGGGTAAAATAAAGCTGAGACCTGCTGGGCTGCATTCCCAGCCAGTTTGGCATTCTGAGTGACAGGATGAGATTGGAGGTTGGCACAAGGTACAAGTCATAAAGACCTTGCTGATAAAACAGGTTGCAGTAAAGAAACCAGCTAAGACCCACCAAAACTAAGATGGTGACGAGACTGACCTCTGGTCATCCTCACTGCTACACTCCCACCAGCACCATGACAATTTACAAATGCCATGGCAACATCAGGAAGTTACCCTATATAGTCTGAAAAGGGGAGGCATGAATAATTCACCCCTTGTTTAGCATATAATCAAGAAATAACTATAAAAATGGGCAACCAGGAGCTCTCAGGGCTGCTCTATCTATGGAGTAGCCATTCCCTATTTCTTTACTTTCTTAATAAACTTGCTTTCACTTTACTCTGTGGACTTTCCTCAAATTCTTTCTTGTGGAAGATCCAAGAACCCTCTCTTGGGGTCTGGATCCGGAACCCTTTCCAGTAACAGAGAGATTCACTAACATGCCAAAGATAACACCTCTGTTAAGTGGCAGAAAAGGAATCCAAAGCCAGGCAGTGTCGCTCACCCTGGCTCAAGGAGCTTACAGTCCAGTCACAGTGATAAGACATGAATCCAGATAACGCCCCAGCAAGTTAGTGTGCCAGAAATGAGGTATATAAGTGCTGTAAGGTAGCTCAACACATATGTGAAGCAGATTAACTCCATCAGAGGCAGCAGACCAGCCTTAAAGGTTTAATGCAGTGGTCCTCAATCTCTGCTCCTGGAGGGTCTGGGAAGGTTTTCAGCTAGATACAAACGTTTGCCAATGAAATGGAATAATGGCAGCCTTACTCTATTGGTGGGAAATAAGCAACTAATGATGTTTTTTTCCATTTCAACTTTTTCTGCCGCAAAATATTCCTGAAGCTTTTATTCCTGCTACAATGTATGTGCTCATAAATGAGGGGAGAAAAAAGTACAAATTAATATTACTGGAAGTCACCAACAGACAATCTTGCTTAGTTCTCTTATTTTGTTTGTTGTCAATGGTTGCCATTTCACATTATGTAGATAAGGTAGTTATCATTTTTTCTTTTTTAAAAAAATTCTTTTTTATTTCCCTGTTTGGAAAATACAGTTATCATTTCTGCTAACAAAATGACTCCTCTTGTAAGTAGAGATAAACAGATCAGAATCTTATGATGCTCTCAAAGTATACTCTGACTCCAGGTGCCTCTCCCCAACTCAGGTGAGACCCTCACCAAAGTGGTACAACATGCTCCTAATTAAACCTCTCCCCCAGCTGTGATGATGGAGGAAGATAAGAGTGGCTAAGAACTCACCGAATGAGTTACTCAGCTATCCTGGCAAACTGGCGGATGATCATCACTTTTGGGAGAGGCTGGGTCAGGTTCACATGACTCTCAGATCCCCCAGCGACTGAAGCTGAGGATGGGCAGTTGTGCTGAGACACATTCCTCAGAACCTGCAGACAGATAGATGCCTTGCAGCAAAGCCAAGAGGTAGACCTGGGGATGCAAGGGGGAACTCAGAACCCCCATGTGCAGGATAACTGTTGGAAGCTAAATTCGCATGTACAGGGTTGCCATATTCTTCTATGTGGAACAAGTCACACTGCTGCATTAAAAAGCTTGGTTCACTTTTGTCCCATATTCAAAACTCCCATTGTCTAAACACAGCAGCCCAGGATGAGGGCTGAGTTGACTAAACGGTGCACAGAACCATGATTGGTCATCCTACTCCTTCAATTAGGAGATGGCTGCTCAGGCATAACTCTTGGAGATTGTGATTTTGTGAAATATAAATAGTCGTTCTTTGTTCCGTTTCCTGGCACACAGTTCCCAAAACTCTTGAAATCTCTAAAGTGTTGTGTCAATGTCTTCTTTATGCTAATGAGACATCTGGTGGGCGGGGAACGCTGGTTACCAGCCACATGATTAGAGGGGTGGAACTTTCAGCCAGCCTCCACCTCCAGGGATCTGGGAGGACTGAAGGTTGAGTTAATCACTAATGCCAAGGATGTGATCAATCATGCCTAGTAAAGAAGCCTCCATAAAAACCTAAAATGACAGGGTTTGGAGAGCTCTCAGGTTGCTGAACACTTGGAAGTGTTGAGCGAGGCACCCGGAGATGACAGGGAAACTCATGCCCCTTCCCACACAATTCACTCTGTGCATCTCTTCATCTGTGTCTTTTGTAATATCCTTTATGATAAATGGGAAATATAACTATTTCCCTGAGTTCTGTAAGCCATTCAAGCAAATGATGGAACCCAAAGAAGGAGTCATGGGAAGCCGTGATTTATAGCTGGTCGGTCAGAAGGAGCAGAGGCCTGGACTTGCGATCTGCATCTGAAGAGGGGATGGTCTTGTGGGACTGAGCCCTTCACCTGCGGGGTCGGATGCTGACTTCAGGTAAACAGTGTCAGGATTCAGTTGAATTGTAGGACACTCAGCTGGTGTTGGAGAATTGGTTCATGTGTGGAAAAGAGCTGCACATCTGGTCACAGGATTGTTCTGTCTTGAGGGCTCAGTGAACTGTGGCAGGGTGGGGACTTGTGGGGTAATCAAAATGGGTCTGACACAGTCTTTGACTCTCAGAGCCTTCTGGTTTGTGGGCCCAGAATCATGGGATGCTGTTACCTAGATAACCCTCCTCACGCTACAGGCGAGGAATAAGGGGCCAGGGAGGGTGTGACTTGCCTGCGACCAGTCCCCATTCTTTCCGCTCTTGTATCAGGGCCCTCTCCCACACAAAACTGCACTCAGACACATTGGCCAGGTCATGGGCTTTACACATAGCAAAGGCTGTATCTGGGATTTTTAACCTCTGCAGAAGGCAATGATCAGGATGTATTGGATCAGAAATCTATATATTATACAAGGAGGAAATACAGACACTTCCAACACACAGCAACAATCTCATTTCCCTGAGACAATTAAAACAACAACTCTGGTCAACATACGGTCCTTCTTTTCATTCTCAAGGAATCAGAAAAGTAAAATTTGAGTTGGAAAGCTTGCCCTCCAGTGGAGAAATAATGAACTAACCACGCACTTCAAAGTTTCAGAAAAACAATTACCATATGCTAACCAAGTGTTAACTGGAAAATAAAAAAAGTATAAATAAAAGCCTAGGAAAGAATATGAGTACCTGCTGTGAGCTTAGCCTGGACCCTGCCTTTAGAGAACCTCTTTTTGAGAACATGATGGCTGCCTGTGACCCCCGCCACGGCCGATACCTCACCGTGGCTGCTGTCTTCCATGGTCGGATATCCATGAAGGAGGTCGATGAGCAGATGCTTAACGTGCAGAACAAGAACAGCAGCTACTTTGTGGAATGGATCCCCAACAACGTCAAGACAGCTGTCTGTGACATCCCACCTCGTGGCCTCAAGATGGCAGTCACCTTCATTGGCAATAGCTCGGCCATCCAGGAGCTCTTCAAGCGCATCTTGGAGCAGTTCACTGCCATGTTCGGCAGGAAGGCCTTCCTCCACTGGTACACAGGCGAGGGCATGGACTAGATGGAGTTCACCGAGGCTGAGAGCAACGTGAACGACCTCGTCTCTGAGTATCAGAGTACCAGGATGCCACCGCAGAAGAGGAGGAGGATTTTGTTGAGGAGGCCGAAGACGAGGCCTATGACAGAGCCCCCATCACCTCAGGCTTTTCAGTTCCCTTAGCCATCTTACTCAACTGCCCCTTTCCTCTCCCTCAGAATTTGTGTTTGCTGCCTCTATCTTGTTTTTTGTTTTTTCTTCTGGGGAGGTCTAGAACAGTGCCTGGCACATAGTAGGCACTCAATAAATACTTGTTTGTTGAATGTCTCCTCTCTCTTTCCACTCTGGGAAACCTAGGTTTCTGCCATTCTGGGTGACCCTGTATTTCCTTCTGGTGCCCATTCCTTCCATCTGTCCAGTTAATATTTCTCTCTTAAAAATCTCCAAGAAGCTGGGTCTCATCCAGATGCCATTTAGAACCAACCAGGTGCTGAAAACCCATGTAGATAATGGCCACCATCCTAAGCCCAAAGTAGAAGATGGTAGAAGGCAGTGGGTAGAAGTCACTATATAAGGAAGGGGATGGGATTTTCCATTCTAAAAGTTTTGGAGAGGGAAATCCAGGCTATTAAAGTCACTAATTTCTAAGTATGTCCATTTCCCATCTCAGCTTCAAGAGAGGTGTCAGCAGTATTATCTCCACTTTCAATCTCCCTCTAAGCTCTACTCTTTGGAGGTGTCTGTCCCACTCTGTCAAGTGGAATCCTTTCCTTTCCAACTCTACCTCCCTCACTCGAGCTCCTTTCCCCTGATCAGAGAAAGGGATCAAGGAGTGGGGGAAAGAGTCCAGCCTTGGTCCCTAAGCCTCCAGAAATGTCCTCTTAATCCCCACTTTTTCTTACCCCCTAAAAAGAAGGAACATCCCTGACTGTGGAATGGTGTATACTGCCACATCAGTGTTTGAGTCAATCCTCAGAGGAGAGGGGAACCCTCCTCCATCTTTTTCACAACATCTCATTTCTTCCTTTTGCTGTTGCTTCCCCCCCCCCACACACTTGGTTTTGTTCTATCCTACATTTGAGATTTCTATTTTGTGTTGAACTTGCTGCTTTTTTTCATACTGAAAAGATGACATCGCCCCAAGAGCCAAAAATAAATGGGAATTGAAAAAAAAAAAAAAGAGAACCTCTTGTCGAGGAAACAAGACTTTAAACACACACAAGGCCAGGAAAATGAGTAAGACACGGCATGATTACTGAGCATCTGACAGAGAGGAAGGAACACTCAATTCAAAATTAGAAGGAGTGGGTTTGGATCCTGCTTTGTACTAAGAAACTGTGGCCCTGAGAGAAGCTTACATCCTATCAGCTGACTGTCATGGAAAATGGGGATGATAATATGACCTCTTTCACAGGGCAGTGGTGAAGGCAAATCAGAGATCAGAGAAAATACTTAGTGACTGTGAGTGTTCATCAATGACATTTATGAATATTTATTTTGCGCTGAGCTCTGTGATTTATACTCAAGACAGACATGGTTGGAGACCTTACAGAACTTACAATCAAGCTAAATAAGTGGTCATCACAGGGCACCCAAATAGCAGGCAACTGCTAGCCCACATATGTCCTTGCAAGATTTGAAAACAAACTGCAAAACGATGCCCTTTCTGAACATGCTTAAAATGCTCATGGAAAGAAACCAGTAGAGAGGCAGAGACAAATGGTACAGGATGTGATCAAGCCAAGTAAGTACCCTAAGACCTGAGGGAAAGAAATTCAGAACACAGGGAAAATTACCCTTTTGGGGAAGAAAAATGTGACAAGATGAAAGGAGGAAAAAATTCTGCAATCAGAAATAAGTTTATAGATTTAGTACAGGGAAGATTAAGAATTTGTATCTGATGGCTTCTATTTTTTGTTTAAATGGGAAGTGAGGTTATAATTTCCTTATCAATTACCCAGTCTGTGGTATTCCATTACAGCAACAGAAAACAGACTAAAACAGATGGAGATGAAAAGTATTGATACCAGGGAGATCAAGAAACTGAGAGGCCAGAGTGTTGAGTGGGTGCACCAAATAGATGCTGAAACCACCTGGAATTTCAGCACGATTGGAGAGAAGGGAAAGTCTGTGAGTCAGAGAAGTGTATAAATGACAGCAACAAAGAGATGTCAAGAGTACAGCCCAATAGCATTATCCTCAAAGGAGCATGGATTTGTTTGTACAATGTTGGAAGAGTGATGGGCTAGAAATGGTGGAGAGTGAAATGCTCTGAATGCTCTTTCCAGGGAGATGGTGAGAGAATAAACAGTCTCCACTTGAAAGGGCTGCATAATGGATAGAGATCCGTTACGATTTTCAGTTAAAATTAAAAGATAAGCGGAAATGGTGAAGGCAGAGAAAGAAGATGTATGGAACTGTGAAAACGTAGATTTAGTACAAGGAAGATTAAGAATTTGCATCTGGCAAAGCCATGCAGTTGAATATTTTTAGAGGGTAAATTGCAAAGAACACAAGGAAAGAGTATAGAGAGGGGCTGACCTAAGGAAGAGAAAACAACAGATGGGGATGAGAGGATGGGAGAGGAAAGAGAACCAGAGAGCGCTTACGCCTTGAGTGGAACTCAGAGATGGTCACAGGTCTGCCAGAAGTATGAGTCCCTACAGATCCCTGGTGGATTAGGAGTAGGGGGTGGAGGATAAGGGATAGGGGAGTAGTCCTGAATAAGCTACAGGGTAGGTTGATCATATGGCCGTAGGTTCACAGGCTCCCAGAGGCTGGGATTGAGCCGAAGCCAATATATGATCCCGTTCAGGGGCTATGAAGCCACTTTAGCTACTTTAAGATAAAGAACTTTCACTTATCACAATGGCTATCCTAAAGATGTAAAGTCACAAAGTGCTGCTAAAATATTAACAGACACCTGTGTTCTAGAACTAACATCTACACATTCTGGGAAAGAAGAAAGGGCTAGTCGGCTTTTCCTACCATCAGGGATTAAAGTAATTTTCTTTAACAAGCTGTTAACCAAATCTATTAATGAGACTATCCTCAATAGAAAAACTCAGATCTCATGACTATCCTCTCAGAGAACAGGAGCCAGGAGGCACTGAAATCCGTTGTAATTCTTATACTAAGCTTCTTAGTTACTTAAATTTACTGTCCAAATGTTTTCATTCTACTGCCTATTAAGGAACTTAAAAAGACACACTGCAGGCCGGGCGTGGTGGCTCATGCCTGTAAGCCCAGCACTTTGGGAGGCCCAGGAGGGAGGATCATGAGGTCAGGAGATCGAGACCATCCTGGCTAACACGGTGAAACCCCATCTCTGCTAAAAAATACAAAAAAATTAGCCAGGCGTGGTGGTGGGTGCCTGTAGTCCCAGCTACTCGGGAGGCTGAGGCAGGAGAATGGCGTGAACCTTGGAGGTGGAGCTTGCAGTGAGCTGAGATCGTGCCACTGCACTCCAGCCTGGGCGACAGAGCAAGACTCCATCACAGAAAAAAAAGACACACTGCGATAGTAGATATGGAAACAACCCAAGTGTGCATCAACAGATAAATGAAGAATATGTGGCATATATATCAATGGAATATCAGCCTTAAAAGAGTGAAATCCTGCCATTTATGCCAACATGGATGAATATGGAGGACATTATTCTAAGTGAAATAAGCCAGTCACAGGACAAATTCTACATAATTCCACTTACATGATGTTATCTGTAATAGTCAAGCTCATAGAAGCAGAGAATACAATGGTTGCCAGGGGTTGGGAGTGGGGGAAGTGGGGAGTTGTTCAATGGGTTAAAGTTTCATTTATGCTATAGACGAATAAATTTGAGAGATCTGCTGAACAACATAGTGCCTACAGTGAACAATATTATATTATGCACTTCAAATTTTTTAAGTGTTAAGAACACTTCATGTTGTGTTGTTACCACAACAAAAAGGACACGAGGGAACTTTGGGAGGTGCTGCATGTGTCTATTTCTTTGATTGTGGTGATGGCATCACAGTGTTTGCAAATGTCCAAACTTAACAAATTGCATACATTTAATATGTGCAGTTATTTGAATATGAATTATACCTCAATAAAGCTGTAAAAAAAAGTGACACATTGCCACCAGGTCACCTATTCTCACCTCAAGACCTTTGCCCCTCCTAGTCCTTCTGGAACACTCTTCCCCTAAATATCTGATCTGCAAAGCTGGCTTCATTTAGGTATCTGTTCAAATTTCATTTCATTAGACAGGCCTTCTTGGACCATCCTACTGAAAAACAGTAAATTATTTTAATCACTCTATTTTGTGTAGAGGTTTTATTATTTTATTATTTTTATTTTTAGTTATGATTAAACAGATGGGGTCTTGTTAGATTTGAACTGTTGGGGCTCAAGCGATCCTCCCCCATCAGCCTCCTGAGTAGCTGGGACTCCAGGTGCGTGTGCCCACATCCAGCTTGTGTAGACTTCTGTATAAATACTAGCTCAAGCTAATTGTACTGTTTTCAGTAACTCTCCTCTCTGCTTTGTTGTTGTCTGCTTTATCTTCCAGTTGAGAGGGAAAGGGGCGTATTAAGATCCTCAACTACATTGTTGGCATTTCTATTTTTGTTTCAGCTGTCTGTTTTTGCTTGATATACTTAACTTTGTGAAACATGGTCTCATTCTGTCACCCAGGTTGGAGTGCAGTGGCACGATCACAATTCACTGCAATTTCAACCTTGTGAGCTCAAGTGATCCTCCAATCTCAGTCTCCCAAGTAGCTGGGATTACAGGCATGAGCTACCATGCTCAGCTAATTTTTATTTTTTGTAGAGACAAGATCTTAGTATGTTGCCAAGGCTGGTGCTTGATATACTTTGAGGCTGCAAGTGCATGTAAGTTAATGATGGTTTGTATCTTTTCGTTTTTGTTGTATTTTTTAAAACCAATGTATAATGTGTCATATTTTGCATTAAATTCTATTTGGACTATTACCTCAGCTTTATTCTAGTTCATAACGGCCTTGTGTTGCCACCCTTTTATTTCAATTTTTGCTTTCAAGTATGCATCTTGTAAAGAATTTTTAATACAGCTTGAGAATCTGAGTCTTAATTGGCTAATGTCTAATTAACATTTATTGTAACTAGTGCTACATCAGAATTTTTGCCATCTTATTTTCTAATTGTTGTATTTAACATTGTTCCAAAAGTATTTTCGATGAAGATCTTGGTTATGTCAAATCTTCTAAGACTTACCTGCATAAGAGTATTTTTAATGTGCTCACAGTCTAAAGCTAATTTAATTGGATTTAAATCTTAAACTCAGTTATTTTTCTTCAATGCTTTTTAAAAACCTTCCATTTTCTTTTTTTTTTTTTTTTTTTTTTTTTTTTTTTTGAGATATATTTTCACTCTTGTTGCCCAGGCCGAGTGCAGTAGTGCAATCTCGGCTCACTGCAACCTCCGCCTTCCGGGTTCAAGCGATTTTCCTGCCTCAGCCTCCCGAGTAGCTGGAATTACAGGCATGTGCCACCATGCCTGGCTAATTTTTTGTATTTTCAGTAGAAATGGGGTTTCTCCATGTTGGTCAGGCTGGTCTCGAACTCCCAACCTCAGGTGATCTGCTGGCCTCAGCCTCCCAAAGTGCTGGGATTACAAGTGTGAGCCACCGCTCCCAGCCTGAAACCTTCCATTTCCTTACGTTCAATGCTTTAGATAAATCTGATGTCACTGATTCTCTTAGAGAGTAATCTTCTGTTACATTTTAGATGGTTGATATTCTTGAATTTCACTATAACCACATTACTATCTATACTCATACTCTGCTTATCTTCACAGAAATGATTACTGCTTGATATTATATATTTGTTTCCCTCTCACCCAACTGGAATATAAACCCCAGGAGAATAAGGGCCTAATTTTGTTCATTACTGTATCTGTCATACCTAGAACAATGTCTGAAATATAAGTACTCAACAAATACAGACTGAGTGAATGATTCTTTCCTTATCACAATTTAATAGAATGTGAGCAATTCCAGTGATTTTGTCTAATTTTTCACTGTTATCCTCGACATATAGGAAACCGCCTGGCATGTAAAAGGCACTCAGCGAAACAACTGTAATCCTTATCATACAGAAACGTACCTGGCACATGAAAGACACTTTGTTAGGATGAACATACTGAATAAAAGGAGAGTTCTATAACCTAGCAAAAGTGTCAAGATGCTTGGATTAAAATATATACATAAAATTCATCCTGGCTTTAGGCAGGAAAAAAATGGAACTCACAGGTTATTTCTAGTATTTCACTTTGCACAAACTTTTGTAGCTTTAGGGCCCACAAACTACAGCCTAGCCTGAAAGTCAAATCTGGCCCATACCTTATGTTTCTAAATGAAATTTTATTGGTAAACAGTCATACCCATTAGTTCTGGCTAGGCTGCTTTTACAACAGCAGAGTTGAATTGTGACAGAGACCAGTATGAGAACTTCAAAGCCTACATATTTACTGCCTGGTCCCTTACTCAAAGTCTGCTGGCCCCTGTTCTAGCTAACAACTCAATCCAAGATCTACTATGGTTCTTGGCTCTGTAGACTCTTACCCATTAAATTCATTCAGTTCCTCAAGAAACAAATCACAGGAAACCTGAAGCCAAATTCTTAAATTATCACCCTATGCCTGGAATCTTTGTGCCTTCTCCTATCTGTTCTGGTAAACTTGACTGGATCACCTGGAACAAACTTTTGTTTTTCTCGTGAGACTAAAGACTTCTCCAAGTGTCTGGCTTTCAGATGCTTCTCCTTTGGGGCTGGCCTATTCTCCTTTAACTTTCTGGAGACTAAAAAGGCCTCTCCCAAGGTTGGGGGAATGGTAAAGGTACAGGGTGGAGAGACACGACACACCCTGCCTTCCTTTTCCTAACGAAGATTCCTGCCCACGTCCCAGGTCTATGATGTTTATTTTATACTCGAAGTGGAACGCAGACAGGAAGGAGAATGGAACCAGTATATACTGACCAATACACTACTGTTTTCACTAATTTCAGTGTCCCTTTACCTTGCCTCCCATACATGTACCTCAAATTTTACTACTCACATCTCAACTGCATCTGCCCCAGAACTCTCAAACTCTAAATGACTCCAATAAAATACTTTTTAAAAGGCTGTTGCTGAAAGCACAATTTCCACATTATGAGTGGCATATTTTATGCAAACGTCATTTTGCTGAAAGTAACATGAATTATGTATGTGTCCGGATACTTCATGACAAAGATGAACGACAGATGTTCCTCGACTTATGCTAGGGTTATGTCTCAATAAACCTTTTGTGAGTTGACAATTTCATAAATCAAAAATGCATTTAATATACCTAACCTGCTGAACATCATAGCTTAGCCTCGCCTACCTTAAATGTGATTAGAACACTTACATTAGCCTACAATTGGGCAAAATCATCTAACACAAAGCCTATTTTATAATAAAATATTGAGTATCTTATGTAAAAGTACTGTATTGTACATCATAGCCCAGGAAAAGACCAAAATTCAAAACTCGAAGTACAGTTTCTACTGAAGCATATCACTTTCACACCATGGTAGAGTTGAAAAATCTTAGCTCAAACCATCCTAAGCCAGTGATCATCTGTAGTTACAAAATTATTAAAATACTAAAAGACAAGCTACTGCAGCACAAAAATATACTTTGTAGATGGTTACTGAGAATTACATTTTTTTATAAAACTTGAAAAGATTAAGGTGATTAAGTTTTTACTTCCTCAAAGAACATTTTGCAGAAAATACTGGTAGTGTAAAAGAATAACAAAACACAAACATAAATAAGCAACTGTGTACAAAATAATTTATTATAGCATTATCTAGGTTGGCATTATTTTACAGCGAGTTTTTCCCGTCTCAATAAGTATGAATCTAAATAGATTAGGGTGAAAAGAAAATGTGTGTCTAAATAAAATCTCCCTTTTTGAATGTATATTTGTCTTAATAAAGGGAAGCATTAATATTACAGACATATTTACAAGGTTCTGAACATGAGTGATTCCATTACTGTTTTCTGTACAAGATAGAACAAAAAGCTATCCACCCGCCCCCAAAAAATACTGTTTAACAACACTATGTTTTAAGAGTTAAACTAATGAGTTTCAAATCTCATTTTGCCGAGATATTAAAATGCATTTAATGGTCAATGCATGGCTATAACAACAACATTTCATTTTAATTTGTTTTCTGCCCTATAATGCTCCCTTGAAGCACACCTCAGTATAAGCTACTTGTTAATACTCAAAGTAACTTAGTTAAGAAAGCATTAATTCTTGCCTGTGGGCTTTTAAGACTGGGAGAGAGAAATATTCAACAATTTTACCAGTGAATTTCCATGACTGACAGGCAAACCAGCCTTCACATTCTGAAATCATCTACATAAAACTAGAGTACCCTTATTCAACCAGAAAATACCATTTTCATGAATACTAAAAGGAAATAGTAAACCATGAAATATTACAATGAAAAAAGGACGAATTAAATTTTCAAATAAACTTCAATATCTGCCAAGAGGAATTCCTTTTTTTCGAGATGGAGTCTTGCTCTGTTGCCCAGGCTGGAGTGCAGTGGCATGATCTCGGCTCACTGCAACCTCCACCTCCCAGGTTCAAGCGATTCTCCGGCCTCAGCTCCTGGGCAGCTTGGATTACAGGTATGTGCCATCACGTCTGGCTAATTTTTGTATTTTCAGTAGAGAAGGGGTTTCACCATGTTGGCCAGGCTGATCTCGATCTCCTGACCTCAGGTGATCCGCCAGTCTGGGCCTCCCAAAGTGCTGGGATTACAGGTGTGAGCCACCACGCCCAGCCTCCATATTGTTAACATATAGTTAACACTTTAAAACTGATGTGCTTTAATTAAAAAGCAAGCAAATATACGATAAAACAGACAAGGAATCAAAGCACAGATCCTGAAATCAGAATCTAAAGAAAATAATACAGTGGGGTTGTATACAACTTAGCTTAGTAAGAAATTATAATTATACAGAAGCGATCGGAGCTACCACAAAACTGTGTAAGAATAAACAGGTAATTTTAACAGATGGTTATGTAAATTGGCAGGTCGGGTAAAGAACAAAATAAGCTTACAGAATATGCCATTTAAAAATCCTAACCAAATATTTCATTTCATACGTATATTAAAATGCACCCTGGAAAAGAAACCCTGATCTCAATTCAGCTTTGAGTCTATAGGAGTCTACTTTCTAGAAGATTTCAAATTTCATTTGCCAAGACATCATAATTAGCTGTATGGTTCAGTGCCACATTAGGATTGTCGACTTCATTCACAGCAGGCAAGAAGGCAGATGTAAAAGGAAGCAGGTTATGACAGGCCATCCTATATTCTTCATATTGGGAACTACAGTTCCCAAAGCTGCCATCAAGCAGTGCTTCAGAAACCTTTATTAATGTCTAGTGAAACAAAAGGAAAACACAAATTATTTAAAAATAATAAGCTCGCAGTTAATAACCACTTTAATCAAAAGATGCAATGTGTTAAATTGAGAAAGCTGCCTCAGTCTAAAATAATGCCTTACAATCTACACAGTAAGCAATCACCTCAAAAAAGGCACATTAAAAATTCAACCCCGAAAAAGGCAGTAAAATTCTAATAACTGCAAAAGAGAACATTTTAAAACTGTGATCACTAAAAATCAAAGTGTCCTTTACTAACAAAAATAGCCCACATTTACTGAGTACTTAACAACGTGCCAGGCACTAAGGACTTCACGTTTTATTATTTCAGTTAACTCTCACATGGATTCTGTGACAGCACTAGTATTTTCACCCTCATCTTAAAAATGAGGAAAAAGAAGCTAAGAGACATAACCTGCCTAAAGTTACGCATCTCATAATTGATAGAGCTGGGATTAACATCCAGGCATAATTCTGAAGGCCTACTCAAGAATTATGCTGTAAAGACACGTTTTGTTAGATCACTGTGTAAGCATAAATCAGCCAAAGAAAAAAAACTTACCTTTACATCTTTATCTTTTATAGTTTCATCTAGTCTAGTGGCTATAGCAATTGCTTTCTCCTGCCTTGACTTGTCCAGAAAATACATCATTTTAGCACCTGAAATACCAAGGCATTTCAAAATGAATAAACACCTATACTTTACATTTTATGTGATATCAACTGGCCAGTGACTTCAAATATGGTTTTAAGTGTTTAATCAGTGGTAAGCTGGAGCTGGCTCCTACCAGCTCAAGAGAGCCAAGTGTGACATTTCTTCCCTACCTCCTATTCAGTAGCATCCCATTGATAGGCCATGATCAGAGTATTTATATCATGAAAATACACTACAAATCAGAGCTTCTTCCTTCACAAAATGATGGTTATTAAACATTTATCAGATGGACAGTGACTCAACAACTTCCTCCCCTTAGAAATAAAATTGAGAATGTAAATATGGACTGCCCTGTGGCATCAATCAGTATTTCAGCCAAAACTATGAAAAAAGATATTCTAAAATAAAACATCTAAGGAATAAATTACTGTCACAGAGGAGGAGAGTAGGGGCGGGGAAAACAGGAAAATGTTTGCATATTCAAAAAGAAAGTAAAATTTTAAAAAATGAAACACAGTTTATATTTCTCCTATAAATTAGAAGAAAAAACATACTCCAGCCTGGGCGACAGAGTGAGGCTCCATTTCAAAGAAAAAAAAAAAAAAGAAAAATAATTTATAACCACACACCCCAAATCAACATTAAAGCTTTCGTAGACACTTCCTTTCAGCCTTTTTCCCATGCATAGTTGAGATTATATTGTATGTTCAATCCCGCACATTTATTATAAAAGTATTTGCCCGTTATCACAAACCCTTTGAATAAACATCACTTTAAATCTGGTATTACATCCTGTGAATCCATCCCTGTTTCCCCTATTATTGAACATAACTTAAATTTGTCCACATTTCTCTCCCCATACTTACACACAGTACTGTTCATTTGCTTTACATTTTGGGGGTGTCAAAGCTTTCTCTTTGTTCGCTTTTTCCATAAGTATTTTAACCCTGGGGGCTACAAACAAACCTGAAAGTAGATGCTGAAGAGAGGTAGCGTTACGTTTCAGAAAATCCTCATTAAAACTTTCCAAATCCTTTTTGACAAATATTTTCTGCATTTCTTGAGATAGAACTTTGCTCACAATGTCTGGAAGATTACTATGATTAGACACTATAAAAACAAAAACATTTGGATTTTTTGTTTTTGATCTGTCCTTTGAAAAAAAAAAAACCTACTGAAAACCCTTTATGGCTGGGCGCGGTGGCTCACGCCTGTAATCCCAGCACTTTGGGAGGCTGAGGCAGGCAGATCACTTGAGGTCAGGAGTTTGAGACCAGCCTGGCCAACATGGTGAAACCCCGTCTCTACTAAAAATACAAAAATTAGCCGGGCATGGTGGTACACAACTGTAGTCCCAGCTACTCAAGAGGCTGAGTCAGGAGAATCACTTGAACCCGGGAGGTGGAGGTTGCAGTGAGCCAAGATCGTGCTACTGCACTCCAGCCTAGACAACAGAGCAAGACTGTCTCAAAAAAAAAAACAAAAAACACAACAACAACAAAAAACCTTTATTATTAAACTTGATTTTACATAGTATAATTATTATTCTTCCTTTGGAATATAAATACATCCTAGCCTAAAAATGCACTAATTTCTACCATCTCTTGGCTAACAGGTTTATTTTATAGACACGTTCATTTAACTATGTAAATTATTATTATTTTGCTTTACGTTATTGCAAATCTCTTTAATGTCCACCAGCTTAATGTAAGACAACTTATATTTGCTTCTCTCAGTGGCATCCCACTGACAGCTTGGGCCATGATCAGAGGATTTGTATCATGAAAATACAAATCAGGGCTTTTTACTTCACAAAGAGAGGGTTATTAAATATTTATCAGATCAACAGAGATTTAACAACCTCCTCCCCTTAGAAATAATTCACAAATGTAAATATGGTCCTTTTTTATACTTACCAGATTTAGAAAATCTAATTAAACATTCATGTAACCATGGGTTATTACTGTTAATGGCAAAAGCTCGTTTGACAGACTGCAGCATTAACAGAAACTTTCCTGTGTCAGAAAAAATACAAAAGTAATAGCATTAATACTTACACAGTATTTTCCTCACTTTATTTCAGTCTCACTTAAGTTCAACAACAAAATGCTACCTTTTTTATAACACTCGTAAGCAAAATTAAAGTTGACTCTGGCTATCAAAGTCAACTATGGCTTTCTAAAGAAAAGCTTGAAAAATCATAAAAATTGCTTCAGGTAGACAATTTGTATGGTTGTTCAAACTATTCTTACACTGGATTTGATAGTACTATTCTAATTTATTACCCACCTAAGTTTCGAGTAGCCAAGGAAAAGAGCCTTTGTAGAAGGCTAAAATGAAAATCTAAGAAACAAAAATAGATCTGACAAAGATTACACTGAATATGGTCACAAATATAATTAAAGATTAAAAACTGAACTCAAACTATTTATTACCTTTTCTAAAATATATTTCAAATGCTAACAGATGAGTGTCAATGTTATCAGCAACAAGGTTCTTAAGAGGTATAAGGAACTTAACGGCTTCCTCTAATGGATTTTCTACCTATTTTGAAACAGAAAGGAAAATTATTTAAAAAACATCAGAACAAGTCAAATTTCCCCTAAAATTTTATATTAACATATGTCTAAAGTAATTTAGACAGCTTTCTTTATAAAACCAAATAACAAGAAAACATTTAAAAATCATCTGTAAATAAATTCAAAGTACACAATCAATACTTTTCAAAACAGAAATAGCTTTTTTTCTGGTTACAAAATCAAGATCATTTTATTAAAAACAAAAAAATACATAAAGTTATTCCACAGACTTAAAGAGATGGTACATCATGTAATGACAATCCCCTATCTGCTATAAACATTTAAAGTAAGGAGACAAAAAAAATGGCATCAAATAGTAAGGAGATGGTAATAAAATTTAAAATGCTTATAATACAGTTGACCCATGAACAACATGAGCATTAGGGGAGCTGACCCACCCCCAGTGCAGTTGAAAATCTATGTGTAACTTCTGACTCTCCCAACTTCACTACTAATAGCCTACTGTTGACTGGAAGCCTTACCAATAACATGAACAGCTGATTAACACATATTGTGTATGTTACATGTATTGTATACTGTATTCTTATAATAAAGTAAGCTATAGAAAATAAAATACTAAGAAAGTCATAAGGAAGAGAAAATATATTTGCTACTCATTAAGTGGAAGTGGATCATCATCCTTATCTTCATGTTGGGTAGGCTGAAGGGTGAAGGGCTAGTTTTGCTACCTCAAGGATGGCAGGGGTGAAGGAGGTGGAAAGGGAGGCAGAAGAGGCAGGCACATTCCATCTAACTTTATGTAAGTACAATTTTTTTGCTTTTTCATTTATTTAAAAATGTTTCTGTCCAGTACCAATCTTTCCACTGTTTGCTTTGGTTTCAATGCCTGTATCATAGAAGGGTCCATGTCATAAAAGTCAAAAAACAGTCTTGAATAATCAGAACCCTTCTGCCAGAATGTCTAATGTCCATCTGTTTTCTGGCACTACTGCTTCTATGTCTTCTTCCTCATCATCTGGCAATGGTTTGGAAGCACTCATCTCCATCAAGTTGCCTTCTATTAATTCCTCTGGTGTGGCATCTATTAGCTCTTGAATTTCTCCAGGTTCCCTAATCTTGAAGCCCTTTACCGCCATTCTCCACTTTTTGTTTGCCATATCCACAATCTCTTTTATGATTTCCTTGATTGGCTCTGTCATAAATCCTGTGAAGTTGTACACAACATCTGGACACCAGCAGGGATTTATTGTTTCAGGCTTGATGGCTTTCAAGGCTTTTTCTGTTAACAATGATGGCATCCTTGATGATGTAATCCTTCCAGACTTTCATAATGTTCTACTGGGGTTCTCTTCCACAGCGTTGAAAATCCTTTCCATAGAGTACCAGGCATAATGAGCCTTAAAGGTCCTTATGACCCCTGATCTAATCTAGTGGTTGAATTAAAGACATGTTTGGGGTCAGGTAGGCCACTTCTACACTTTTGGAGTTGAACTCATGAGGTTCCGGATGGCCAGGGGTTCTGTCCAGTATCAAAAGAACTTTAAAAGGCAGTCCCTTACTGGCAAGGTACTTCCTCACTTCAGAGACAAAGCATGGATGGAACCAATCCAGAAAAAGGTTTCTCACTGTCCAAGCCTTCTTGTTGTAAAACCGAAAGACTGGCAGCTGTTATTTTTTCCCTTCAAGGCTCAGGGGTTAGTAGCTTTATAGATAAAAGGCAGCCATGGTCATAATCCCAACTGCATTTGCACAAAATGGTACAGTTAGCCTATCCCTTCCTGCCTTAAATCCTGGTGTTCGCTTATTTTCCTTACTAATAGATGTCCTTTGTGGCTTTTATTTTTTCCTGTGATAGAGCACTTTTTTTCTACATTAAAAACCTGTTCAGGCAGATACCTCTTCTCCTCAATGATTTTCTCAATGGCATCTGGAACTTCTCTGCCAGCTCTTGGTGAGAAGTTAATTCTTCTGTTATCTGGACATTTTTTAACCCAAACATCTTTCTAAAATTATCAAACCATCCTTTGCTGGACCCTCAAAATTCAAACCTATGTTGTTCAAAGGCCAACTGTACTAGACTTACAGTGAATAAACCAGAAAACTAAATATTTCCTTAAATCTGATCCCAAAACAACTATTAACACTTGAGAAAATCCTGGAGGTGCTATCTCTTTGTAGCTACAACATTTCTAGTAAGACATATAAGGTAAAATGATTCCATATGTAATGGACAATTGTATTGCTGCTGTAACAAATTACCAAATATTTATTGACTTAAAACAACACACTTATTATGTTATAGTTCTTATAGGTTAAAAGCCCAACACAGTCTCACTGGGCTTACAATCAAGGTGTCAGCAGGACTGCATTTCCTTTGGAGATTCGAAGGGGGAATCCGTTCAATGCCTTTTTCAGCCTCTCTAGACTGCCCACACTCCTTAGCTTGGGGCACCCTCCTTCCATCTTCAAAGCCAGCAACAGCAGGTTGAGTCCTCCTCACATTGCATCATTCTGACCTCTGCTGCTGGCATCCTCAACTTTTAAGGCCCCTTTTGACGATATTAGGACCACATGGACAATCCAGGCTAATCTATCTTGAGGTCAATTCATTACAACCATAAATTCCATCTCCCACCTTAATTCTCCCTTGCCATGTAAGGTTACATATTCACAGGCTGGGGGGACCAGAACACAGACACCTTTGCAGGGCCATTACTCTGCCTACCACAATTGCAATTCTATGTATAACTTGCATTAGCCAAAATTTGTATACTGTCACTCAAAGATAATTGACGGCTATTATAAAAACCTTGAAATATTTCAAATGGCTTCTTACAGATTTAAATAAATCATGTTAACTGTCAGAACGGAACCAAATAGCATAAATTTTACCAAATAACAAAGATAGTAAAACCCATCTCACCCTTTCTAATTTTTCAGGTATAAGTTCTTCCTTAAGGCCACTGGCTTCTTCTTCTTCTTCATCTCTTTTTTTCTTTTGATTTTTCTGTTGACGTTCTCTTTCTGCATGCTTTCTTTCTTCTTCTAGTTTAGCCTTTTTCTGAGCTCTTCTCTGCTTGCTAAGCATTTTCTTCAATTCTTTGGCTGACAAGTTTTCTATAAATATCCAAATGAACAAAATTCTGAGCCAATGTTTGCATTTTCTTCATATTCTTCTGTAATACATACTGTTAGTATGGTTGTCCCTTGGTATCAGTGGGGGATTGGTTCATGACCCCCACCCCCACAAAGTCCACTGATACTCAAGCCTGTGATATAAAATGACACAGTATTTCCATACAACCTATGTACATCCTCCTGTATACTTTTAATTAGATCAGCTTTAAATCTTTCACCTTCCTTTTGCTTTAAGTTGCATATAATGACTTCACTTTTTCATAAATTATATTATGGTCTATAGGTATGCCTAAAATAATGTAAATGCTATGTAAATAGTTGTTACACTGCATTGTTCAGGAAATACTAATAATGACAAGAAAAAAAGTCTGGACATGTTCAGTACAGATGCAATTTAAAAAAACATATTTATGATTTGTTCCACCCATGTGGAACCCACAAAAATGGAGGGCCAGCTGTATACTTTTTTTTTCTGTTTTTTGTCTGGGCAAGGAGGGATGCAGAGGCAACCCATATAAAAGCTTTTAGAAAGTGTATCCCCAGTGACTAGAACAAAATTGGGCACACAAAGGACAGCCAGTAAATGTTGCATTAACTAAAATTGACCAATAGTAGCCCAGTTCTGCCTCCTACACAATATATGACTCCAGGCAAATCACTTTGTCCTTCTCAGTATCAAGTCTTTCAAGAATAAGTGAGATAATACATATAAACACCTGTGATCTCTAAATACTATATAAATATTAGAAATGAACAGCTACCTAGGAATATCTGAGATAGTTACCTAGGCTCATTTCATGCTAACTATTTCTCAAATATTCCTAGATATTAACATTCTAGTGAATAAAAAACTGTACAGATATTCTCACTGATATTCTTATTTTTAATAAAGTAGGAACTAGAAATTTTAAGATTATATATTTTTTCCTAAGGAGCTCAAAGCTATTTTCAGTTACAATTTTTTAAAAAAGAAAGAAAAAAACTAGTCCACAGACATTTCTATGTTTCCTAAACTCGTCTTTTTAAAATTTTTGTAGCGACAGGGGTCATGCTATGTTGCCCAGACTGGTCTTGAACTCCTGGCCTCAAATGATCTGCCTGCCTTGGCCTCCCAAAATGCTGTGATTACAGGCGTGAACCACCATACCCAGTTCTTAAATTGGTCTTTCTGAAGACAAAAATAAAAAAAATTCTAAGTTGTTCCATTAAAGTAATTTAGAACCATCAGCTACAGAATATCATCCCACTTTTTTTAACTCTCTCTGCAACATTTTTGTTTTTTGGCATATGAGTTATCTAATGTTTGTCTTCAACTCCAACAGACAATATATTAATATTTTTCTAGGTATTGTTTACGCTAATGGCATTCTGAAATTTAGTGTCCTTTTAAAATCTTTTAAGTTCCTATTCAGTTACCTGAGTTTATTTCTTGTTGTTTGCTTTCATTGGTTAAGGGATTATCATACAATTTCAAGTATATTTCAATCGCTGATCTAGCAGCCTTGAAATAAAAGGCATGTCTTCTGAGTATATCTTCTAATCTCAAAAGGTCAACATAGGCACGAAGGGTCATCTTTCTCATGCAGTATGTATGGAAGTCGAATTGGTCATCAGTTATCTCAAAAAAATGCTTAAAAACAAAAATCACAAAATTAACCTTTACATTTATGTCAATAATGTCTACCTTTAGAAAAAAAAAATTGTAAAAAGCCCAAAAAACAATTTAAACAGTCACAATTTTCACTTAGCTGCCCTCTCCAATGTTTTACACTATAAAGGATATGAATTATTTTTGGCATTCAACTTGAACTTTCTCTTCCTACAAACCATGCCCATTCCCTACAAATCATGTTTTGTGATGATACTCAACTTCTATATAAGTCAAAAGATCAGGTTATTTTTTAAACCTGAAAGTTAGTATATATTAATATTTTAGTTTTAATGAAATACTCTTCCTCCATATTCCCTAAAAACCAGCATGGCACAGTTAAACAGAGCTCTGAATGAAGACTAAATATGTGTAGGTTCACACTAAATATTTACAAATCTGACTGCTCTACTCAACTCTACCATTTTCAAGGGCAATCCTTACCCACCGCCTGCCACAGGGCCTAATACATAGCAGACATTCAGTAAGCACAGTATTTGCCCACTCAAGAGATAAGCTTCTTATTAGGGATGCGACCCTGAATAAGCCTTTTAATTTCCTAGACAATTATTTAATCTAAGTTAAGAATAAAGAAATCCATACAGCCAATTTCTTAAGGTTGTTAAAGGATCAAATAATGTATTTTAAAGTTCATTTTCAACAGTAAACTGTTATATAAATACAGAACTTTATTGTTTTCTCTTACTCTACCTACATTCCATTTTAGCAGAAGTTCTGAAACTGGAGTCTATGTATAAACAAGCATAAAAACTTCTTCCTAAGGAGAGAGCTCAAAGCTTTCATCCAATTTTCAATGGATCCATGGCCAAAAGAGGTTAAGAACTAATCCCTTCCATGAAAGGTGAACACTAACCCTCTGCCCCTCCCCCAACAAAACAATCTTATACTTATACTGTTCCCCTGCATGCATTTCCATCTCCAACTTCTTTTTTCATACGTTAGTTTTTCTAAAATCATATAGAAAAATGAGTGATTCAATACACCAATATAGATCAAGCTTTCCTACTAGTTCATGTTCCCTCTGTCCTGGGGATAGTTAAGTCACTCCGCAGAGGACATATTAGTAATTGTCCATAATCATCTGATAATTGCTTGGTAATTAGAAACACACTATATACAGAATTATATTAAGTACCTGAGACTTTAAGACAAAAATTATAATAAAAGTACATAGTATGGAGGGTAAGAAACAGGAAAAGTGAACATTTCACATTAGTTTATGACTAAAAAGCCATGCTTTAATGATGTTGTAATTGAAAACTGCATCTTTCCCACCAATAAAATCAAATCGTAAATATTAACATGAACTTTTTTTTTAAATCAAAGGATTACATATTTCATAAAGTTGTTAGTGGTTTCTCTTAATGTAAATCAAGTTATAACTAGCACAAGAATATTTTAAAAATTCAATACAGTTAACTAAGGAAAAATGGTGGCGCTAAAAGTCCTGGAACACATAATCAGATGAAAACATCTAAGAGATTACAGGACATTCTTTTAGGTTGAGAAACATCTGAAAAAAGGCAGATGACAAACTTCAAGAGATATTCCTAGCAGCATTAATAGACAGAGATTTTAAGTCAAGTCTTGGAGGGGGCCATATGTAACCACAAATATTTAAGCCACCTCTTTATCAGTAACAGCCCATAGGCTGCCTCTCTCCAGTTAATGTCTTCCATAAATTGGGTGACCAACTTATCCTAGTTTGCCAGAGGCTCTCTCAGTTTTTCCACTGAAAGCACTGTGTCTTGCGAACCCACTCAGCCTCAAGCAAACCTGGCTTGTTAATCACTCCATAATAAACTAATGGTGATAGACAGAATATGGCTAAATTAAAAACAAGTGGGATACTGCAGCTACAGCTGATTGTAATATTTGCTTTTGGAAAAAACAGTGTATTGCAGAATACTATATAGAAACAACTAAATAATCTCGGGTTGAATTTTTTTTTAACTTTTTGTTTTGGGTTATAGATACAGAGGAAGTAGCAAAGGTCCTGTATACCCTTCCCTCAGTTTCCCCCGAAGGTTACAGCCTACATAACTACAATACAGTATCAAAACCAAGAAACTGACATTGGTACAATGTGTATATAGTTCTATGTGATTTATCATTTGTAGATTCATGTAACCACTACCCTAAGAAACACAGAACTACTCCATCACCAAGAAGCTCCCCCTTGGGTTGATTTTTTAGTCTCTAAATTTGTAAAACACAAAAATATGCTACACAACACCAACAGATAAAGTTAGTTTCCCTGTACCTTTTGGCCAAACATGAAGAGCATGACAAAAATCACTTAGCTCACTGCAGAAAAGTACGTATTCAAATCTTAACATACAGCTCATGCCCTTAACTCTCTCCCCCTAAGCAAGAATTAAGAAAAGCCGTTCACAGCTTTAGAGTGTAGTGTTTTTATTTTTTTAAGGAACTCCTTATTAGGCCCTCTCTTCTAGACCAGATTCTCCTTCCCACTACCTCTCAGAGTTCCCGGATGTGACTAGTAAGAGCTTATACAGAGAAAGGCAACAAAAACCTCTGGATTTAAAAAATAATAACTAGGTCAACTAGGAAAATTAGCAACTCAATTTACTTAATAGAGAATCTGTTGTTATAAAGCATGTTATCAATTTGATAAAGATTAAGATACAATAGAAGATAAAGTTATGATCTTCCTATAGTTTGTATCTATCAGAAGTCCTAGGTCTTATCAAAGAGTTAGAAATATATGTATCGTTGCCCTGTTTCATATCTAAGTCAGTATTCTAAAATAATGATAATCCAATCACCAGCAGTCTAATAGTAAAAGAAAAAAATGGAAAGAAAGAAAACTCAATTCTTGAAAGATAAAATAGATTAAAATGTTATTCTGAACACAAGTTTAAATCTAATATTTTGAAGAAGGTTGTTCTGTTTGTTTTAATAAAAGTCAAGTTTCAAACATCAGATTGGGTTGGACTACAAAACCTTAAAATATAAACCCTAAAATCTTATGGGGGGGGGATGAAAACAGAAAAGATACTACACTAGCTTATTCTAGAATTCTAATTTTTCAAATCCAATTACTAAGAGCTCAAAGCAGTATGTATCCTGACTGAAACTGCCTTCAACAAAAGAACTCTTGAATGACTTCTTCAAAGCAGAATAAAGACCTAACCCTTATTTGAACTTATTTCGCAATTCACTAACCTTCTATTTAGAAGGTAAACTGCAAAGTTTTATTTCTGAGAGGTGTCCGTGTCCTTATTAAAATATTTAAGACACAGGCATAAGGTAACTCATGTAGATACCTATTATAATAAATCTGAAGCTTGTAATTACTCCTAAATCCTTCCAATGATATCATTAAGAATTTTAGATTAGAAAATTTAGATATTAAAAATTAAGAAGCATTAATCATTCCATCAACCTAGTCACCCTATTTATACGAAACACATTTCTACATATAACCACACATGTAGAATATACATAATAACTATAAAAGAGTTGTCTTATTTGCTTTTAGTATAGATATATTCACTGAAGACTAGCTTACAACTGGTATAAGAGTAGGTTCTTTTCTTGTTTATGTTTCTACTTCTTTCTAATCTCAAATGTTAATAGTAAACCCTAAAGTTTCTAGCGATAATAATTATGTAACATGACCAGAGGGTGATGATTTCTGCCATTTTAATCTGTGACAACCAATGATTTTCCTGTAGTTTCTTTCTTCAAAAATGCTTTTTACCAATTAATTTCTTGAACTATGTCAGTAGATTTTCTGACATTACAGAATTTTTTTCCATGCAACTCAGCCAAAATCACTAAAAATTTAAGGGAAAGTATAATCTAAATGAAACTCAGTAATGGAAGATCCACTTATCATATTCTAAAAATTCTCAAAATTTTAAAAAACAAAGCAATATAGTCATCAATGTTAGAAGAAATGGAATTTAAGTTCAAGAAGTTCAGAACTATAATGATCCTTAGGATATTCAAATTTCATTTAAACAGAAAATTTGGTAAGTTTCTAGTTATGGTCTTGCTGAAATTACTAATTCGTAAGTGCCTAGCAGCCTCTTCATAAGGGAAACAATTTACCTCTCACTGAGAATGTCCTAGTTAATAAAAATGTATCTTTCCTTAATAACAAGCAGAATGCTCTTAAAATAATGGTCCTCTAGGGAGTGTAACAAGCTAGTGATCTGTGGTTTTATGAAGGAAACAAGAGCCTGATTTAAACTAGAATGCTTGGGTATTTCACCTATCATCCCAAGGGCTTTATATTTTTCAAGGAGAAGATGAGGAGGATTTTCCCCAGAGATACAGCCATCAAGCCCAGGCTTAAAAGGGCATGAAAAACAAACAAACAAAAAACAAAAACAGAGCAAAAATTAGGTTATTTCTAAAAATGCTTGGGTATAATTCTAGTTCCAGTCCCCATCAAAAGCCACCCCCTAAAATTTAGCCTTCCTTGTGGGTAATCTCAGAAATTTCACGTGGGAAAAAGGCCAAAGTGACTGCCACGGTGCAGACATCAGGCTCACCTGACTACGATGCCTGTGGTTCTATACTGCGTCAGGATGGGAACAGTGGTGCCGATTGCCCCCACAACTGAGGGCTGCTGAGGACTGCCTCAGGGGTGCATTTGCGGCTCTTTTCCTCCTGTGGTCCATGTGGAAGGAGAGTGCTTCAGAGATGACAAAGAACAGGAAAACAAAAATTCACACAAAGGAAAAGAAAAGTCCCCTCACTAAGGCACATCACACAAATAATCCTAAAAGCAAGCAATAAAATAAGCCTGCAAACTGGCCATAGATTGTTATACAGAATACTGAATGTGAGAGCAAATATCCTGGGAAGACAAACTGGAGAGAGGCTGACTGCGGACCAGATCCTGATGTTTTAAAGGGGAAAGAGGTTGCCATCAGCTGTGTGTCCTCTTAGGGTGGTGATGAATATCAAAATAATGGCCTAATTAGGGAACATAAATTTTGAATTTATGTTAATAGCAATAATTGTTTACTAACAATCTTTTTCCTTCAGACAAAAATATATAGACATGTCAAAAGCATAATCACTTGAGGATCAGTAAAGCAATCCATTGTTTACAACTTCTGAATGTAAAGGTTAAAGATCAAGAATTTTTTTCACAATGAAGCTCCCAGAGAAGTTAGAAGAGGCAGATGATCCTGTGTAGAAATCTACCTGCTTTTTATCACCTTACAGTGAAAACTGAAGTCGAAATTCTAACAACTTACCCTTTCTACTTCATGACATTTTTTCAAGGCATCCCCGTATCTCCCCAGACGCTGATAAGCTGAAATGCATTCTGTCTGAAACCACATACACTGCATTTCATTTAGATTTTCCATGGCAGATGTTCCTTCCTGAAATGGAAGCATTCAAAACTATAGAGAGCAAACAATGAAAGAGATCCTAAAAATCATTTCCTCTTTACAACTAGGGCTACAGTACTATTATGACAATAGCAGCAATTAGCAAATATATCAGTATGTTTCCAAACATGGTTTTATACTACAATAGTCTCTCCTTATCCAAGGTTTCACCTTCCATGGTTTCAGTTACCCACAGTCGACCATGGTCTAAAGATATTAAAGGGAAAATTGCAGAAATAAACAATTCATACGTTTTCAACTGCATGCCATTCTGAATACTGTGATAAAATCTTGCACCATCCCACTCTATCCCACCCGGAACGTGAATCATCCCTTTGTCTAGTACATCCACACTGTCTGCTACCTAACTGTCACTTAGGAGCCATCTCAGTTATCAGATGGAAAACCCACATATACATAACGTCTTATTTACCCAGCTCTGCTGGGGTAGTCAACACTCTTCATAAAAAAGACTCCAAATTACTAAATCTTAGTTTTTAAACACCAAAGTTTTTATTTCAACTATTTAAGAAAGCAGTCATATGAAGTACTGCCTATCTTCTGCCTTTCAAGCAAAAGCTATTTCAGCCTTCCTTGCTGACTCGGGGTCACTGTTACGTATATTCAGCATTTATCAAATCTGTTAGTAATAGCTGCAGGCCTGTTTTTTGGTTTCCCAGTGTCCCTCCTCCATTGTCACTTTCTTTGTGCCCATGTGTCTGCTTCTATCAGCATCACCTGTTTCATGACAACTCTTCTACTTTAATATTTCTCCTTTGCAGTGGGCTGACAAAACCAAATAACTGAATTTGTTAATTCAGGCTCAATAAAAATTCTGAGGGGAGTGTGAGACATAAATTAACGAATTTTAAGTGCAAGGATACTCAAGTTTTGTCACAGTTTAGAAGAGACATTTAAAATATATTTTATATGACCCCAGGAAAGGATGCAAAGATACACTTATATAAATGATTTCAGTCTACAGTTTTTCCTCACATTTTGTGTATCAGTTCAATTTTCAGAACACATTAAACGTCTAAAAACTAGTTATCTCTGGGTGAACAGAATTATTGATGTATTTTCTGTCTTCATTATGGTTGTGTTATATTTTCCATTTTGTTAATGGTCACATATTTTTATAAGAGGAAATCTATATTACTTTTCATTTCAAAAAGTTTATCAACTAGAACTATCCAACATGTATCAGCAACTTTGTACAAAAGTTCTAAACTGAAAAATCTGCGAGAAGGAAATATGCGCCCTTCACTCATTTATTAGTAAGCAGATATATCCTGATTATTCAGGGTCATTTGCAGTTTTCTTCCCCTGCCTCATTATGTTGTTCACCACATATTATGGATTTGCCTGGCCAACAAACTAGTGTGCATAAAGTGAACAAGCTTGCCATACAGCATGGCAACTTGTCAAAAGTGGATGATCAGAGGCAGTTATGATGAGCAAGCTGAGCCACAGATTTTGGTGACTATTCTCCTTAAATAACCAACTCCTCTCACCTTCTTTCTCATTCTCCTGTGCCTTTAAAGACGCATCCCAGTGTCACTGGGCTTTCTGTTTCTTAAAAATCACTGAACTTCTTTAAGTTTTGCATAGATTTAGTATCGCTTATCAGAATTGTCTGGAACCAGAAATGTTGCAAACCTTCTCAATTTTGGAATATTTGCATTATACTTAGTGGTTGAGCGATCCCAAACCCAAAAATCCAAAATCCAAAATGCTCCAATGAGCATTTCCTTTGACCATCATACCAGTGCTCAAAAAGTTTCAAGTTTTGGAGCATTTTGGAATTTGAATTTTAGATTTGGGATGCTCAACCTGTATACTTCATATTTAATTGCATTTTACTTCCTATCGCTACCTTGGCCTTCCATGTGGTACTTTTCTCTGAAAACATAATTGGTTTTATGTTTATTCCTTGTACTCTCTTCTTAATTTCAAACCTGTGATATAGTGGAAAGGGCATTGAAGACTTTGAACCTAGTGCTATTTACTATGTGGTAGCTGGGACTATAGGCACATGCCACCATGCCCACCTCAGTTTTTCTTTTATGCTTTATGCTTTTGGTGTCAAGAAATGCTTCCTACCTCAAGCATAAAGAATGCTTCTTTATCCTGAAGATAAACTCCTATATATTTTCTTCTATAAGTGTAAGGTTTGCTTTCCATATTTGATCTTTAATCCACTTGGAACTGATTCGTGTACAGTGAAATTTTCTATTATATTAGATTATATTATAATTAGTTTATCCTAAGCTCCTTTATATTTTCTTGTATAAGTGTGAAAGGTTTGCTTTCCATATCTGATCTTTAATCCACCTGGAACTGATTCGTGTACAGTGACAGAGAGGGATATTGGAGGCTTTTTCCCCAACAGGAGTAACTAATTGTCCCAGCAATATATTTTCATCTCTGATTTTTACAGTATCTCTGGGTATATCCCATTTTCCAAATATGTGTGAAATCTGTTTCTGAGCTTTCTACCCTGTTCCATTAGTCTACTTATATTTTTAACCATAAACATGTATTATAACAGAAAGTTTATGTGGAAAAGGATATAAAGGGATGGTGAAGGAGGGAAAAGGGATGGATGTGTAGCCCATCTCAGGAAACTTAAATTCTTGAATGTCACAGAGACTAGTTCAGAGCAATTAGTTCTACAAAGAAAGAACTCTATGAGCAAGTTAAAAGTAAGACAGAATTAAAAAGCAGTCACAAATTACTAGGGGGACAAAGGATTTGAGATATAAATCAAATTTTACACGTAAGTGCTAAAGTATAGCATACTCTTTATATATGTACCAAGATATTTTGCTCTTGCTATTGTTTTTTAACCATCCCCTGCCAGAAACATATACACAGATACACAACCACAGTAAGAAACCATTCTTAGGATATGGGTTAAATGGGATTTTAAAAAACAATAATAAAAATGAATTTTTATGAACTTCCACTGAAGTTCTTCACAAACTGTCTTAATTTAGACAAACTTCACAAACTGTCTTAATTTAGACAATTACATGCTCATGCATGCTATTTCCTACCCTTGTGAACTTGGAGCACATTTCCTCTGCTTCTTTTATCATATTTGCTCGAAGCATGTATTTTGCACATTTGGAATTGATGAATCTATCAGCTGTGTCCAAAGACTGTGCTTCATCCATCCACTTTGCAGCTTCTTTGAGATTACCTATATGCTATAAAAGATAATTAAAGGAACCACAATTTATAATCAAGAGAATATGAGTACAATAAAATGGAAAATAATTTACACAGACAAAAAAGAAATCTGTCACCATTTCTGTCAAATTTATTTAGAAATCAAAATTACAGTTCACATTTACTAAGAGCTCAAATGATTACACATCTAATTACACATTGATTATACAATTAATATAACATGAAACTACACAGGATTATTAGAAAAAGATTATCAGGGTGCCCTAGAACTTGTTTCCACAAAGAAAAAACTCCAAGGATTCTTAAAGTAGCTGAATTCTTCAACTACTCAAAAAACAGGATTCAGATTTTACCTTGTAAATTTTTGCTTTCATATAGAATAATTCTATTAGAGTTGGAGTACTAGCAATTGCAGCATTAATATAATCCAAAGCCAAAGAATACTGTCCAAGTTTATCAAAGTGCTGTGCCAGGAAATACTGAACCCAGAGTAGTGTTGTCGGGGGTTCCTTCTCCCCATTCTCTGCAATCAAACAAATATTAAATTATTATAGAAAGAATGTAAAGCAAATCACATATTTTCTCTCTCCTAATTCATAATGAAATGACTATTGCAATAATAATAAGCAAGAAAGACTCAGCAAAAACTACTAATTTCAAAAGAAAGAGGTATGACTTCATAAAGTTCAAAAAGTGGCAGCCATGTAGAGAAATAAGATTGTACTTTGACAGGCTTCTAACCCCAATCTCACTCCAAAGAAACAATGCTGGGGAAAAGATATACGTCAAACTAATTCTGTGAACTCTCAGCCTGAAAGCAAAAGGGCAGCAAGACCAGGAAAAGTCAAGGAAAAAAACTTGGCAAAGAGATTTCCTAACTACCACTGCAAGATTTCAGCAGAGGCAAGAACTGCCAAACTGCCATGGCTTACCATTTTCCAGGCCTCAATACTAAATCAGGGATACCCAAAGTTGAAGACTATGACCTATAGGAAGAAGATACACCTGACAAAGTAGAAACAACCCTACCATCTGACAAAAACCTAAGTAGAAAAAACACAGCCCAGTCCTCTTAAAAAAGCAGTCACATATATACACTTACCTGAGTTCTATCCTGTTCCCCATCCTGTACCCTCTAACTACAGAGGAGCAGAAAAGAAATATCAAGCTCTCAAAATGGATTTCAGAAGGGAAGACATACTTGTGTAAAAATGAGGAGGAAAGAGTGAATATACCCACACTACATCAAAACAAACAGGTTTCCTAGCATAGCTGATCAAATGACATGCAAACATACTATAGCACACATTAAAACACAAATAATAAAATAAAGGCAATGAGTTAAGCTTCTACTCTGTTCCTCTTATATAAACTATATTTCAAGGGAACCAAGTATTTGATGAAGGAAAGTTCTTTATAAGAAAAATTCCAGCTAACGAATGCAGAAATTATTAGAATCAACAAGGGATCTAGGCAATGATCTTCAATTGCTGAGAGGCCAATGAGGAATTTTTGTCTTGTTCTATCACCAACACTGGAGTGCAGTGGCATGATCATAACTAACTGTAGCCTGGAACTCCTAGGCTCCAGTGATCCTCATGCCTCAGCTTCACAAGTAGCTGGGACTACAGGTGAGAACCACCGAACGTGGCTAATATTTTAATTTTTTGTAGGGACAGGGTCTCACTTTGTTGCCCAGGCTGGCCTCCAAATCCTGGCTTCAAGAGATCTTTCTGCCTCAGCATCCCCAAAAGTGTTGGGATCACAGGTGTGGAGCCACCGTGCCCCCACGCCGTCATGGACCTTTTTAATGAGTATAACAGGCTGACAACATCTGAATCTTTATCAATCTTAACATCAAAAAAGAGAGAAAACCAGAATGTCTCAAGCTTCCTGACATGACACAACAGGAAGCACAAAGCACCACCCGTATTTAAACAGAACCTGAATCTAATCCAGCAAGTAAACCTAACTATAACTTACAAGTATGAATGACAGTGAAATACAGCAAATGATACCATGAGAAAGGCAATCAACCAAATCTAGAATATGGGATATGTAAGACAAATGACCTTTCAACAAATGACTGTTTTTTTGAAAGGGAGGGGAGAGTTATTGTTCTAGATTAAAATAATGAGACATAACCATCAACTTATGGAGATATAACAACCAATTATTTGGTGTGAACCTTAACTGGATCTATACTCAAATAAACCAAACACAAAGACTTCTTTTGGATAATGGGGGAAATGTGAATGCGGACTGGGTATCAGATATTATGTTATGAGGTTTTGTGTGACATGGCACTGCGATGACTTCTTCTGTTTACGTGTTTTAAATAGAGATGCACACTAAGATTGGGTATCAGATATTATGTTATGAGGTTTTGTGTGACATGGCACTGCGATGACTTCTTCTGTTTACGTGTTTTAAATAGAGATGCACACTAAGATATTTACAGATGAAACAGTAAGTCTGGAATGTGCCTTAAAAAAACTCATAGAGGGTGTGGCAGCTCACACCTGTAATCCCAGCACTTTCGGAGGCTGAGACAGGCAGATTGCTAGAGCTCAGGAGTTCAAGATCAGCCTGGACAACATGGCAAAATCCCACCTCTAGAAACCTCCCCCAAACCCCCGCGTGTGCGCGCGTATGCACACACACACACACGCACACAAAATCAGCTAGGCATGGTGGCACACGCCTGTAGTCCTTGCCACTCAGCAGGCTGAGGTGGGAGGATCACTTGAGCCCAGAAGTTCAGCTTGCGCAACACAGTGAGATCCCCTCTCTTAAAAAACATCAGAAAAATACTCAGAGTAATGACATGTAAGAGACACATAAGGAACCCGGAAGTTACTTTGTGCATGACTGAAAACATTCTAGTGTTTTCTAAAGTAACTTGCCTTGATTTATATATGCTCCTACAAATATAGAAACAAAGGACCAAACTAAAGAGGATTAAAAGTAATAAGAGGGTAGAAAAAGCAGAGAATTTAGGGATTCAGGAAAAACAGGTTCCAATATAAACTAACTACATGGTCTTAGGCAAGCCATTCAACCTCTCAAGTATGTTTCCTCATGTTAAAACAAGGTTAAGCCCAGGTGTGGTGGCTCACGCCTGTAATCCCAGCACTTTGGGAGGCTGAGGCGGGTGGATCACGAGGTCAGGTATTCGAGACCAGCCTGGCCAACATGGTGAAACCCCATCTCTACTAAAAATACAACACTTAGGCAGGAGTGGTGGCAGGCGCCTGTAATCCCAGCTACTCAGAAGGCTAAGGCAGGAGCATCAGTTGAACCCAGGAGGCGGAGGTTGCAGTGAGCCAAGACTGTGCCATTGTACTCCAGCCTGGGTGACAGGATGAGACTCCGTCTCAAAAAACAAACAAACAAACAAAAAAACCGCACAAGGTTAACTCCCATCTCATAGGATTATGGAAAATTTAAATTAAGTAAGATTGAAAGTGCTCTCATTTCATTCACCAATTTGAAAGCCATTTATTAAGTAGCCATTAGGTAGCACACACATAATATACATAAAAGAGCATTACTGTGATTAAAAATGAAATGAGTAATCAAATTCCAATTCAATCTAATTTAAACTTACCATATGGGCTAAAAAAGTCACACGTTTTAAGAGAGGCTTCATAATTAGTAACAAGTTCCTGGATTATAGAAACCTGTTAAAGAAACATATTTTTAAAATTTAAAAATATCTTCTTGAAGGTATTTTTACCTATTATGGTTTAAATTACATTTGGAAAATATACAGCTTATTTCAGAACTATAAATTAATTAAAAGACTAGGGTATCTGCTTTGTCCCCATTCCTAACATGAGTATTTCCCCGCTTTGGAGAAGGGGTGGAAAAAAACACAAAATAATGGACATTGCTATATATATGGACCACTCACAAGACAAAAAAAAAAAAAAAAAAATGGACCACTCCTATAAGGGACACATTATATAAATATTCAGATTTTCTAAAATGTCATGCATTGCAAAAAAGTGAAATGATTCAAGGTTTGAAAATAAGTGAAATTAAAAATGACTCTTTTGCTTATTATTGTTAGCAATCCTACAATATAATAATTGTATTGTACTTACTATAATTACGGGGTTTCTTAACCAATTTACTTATCTACCTACTACAAAATAAGGTCTGGTGCTCACTTCAGCAGCACGTATACCAAAATTGGAACAGTAAGAGATTGGCATGGCGCCTGTGAAAGGATGACACACACATTCATGAAGCGTTCTATATTTTAAAAGGAATATTTCTTCATTGTTTTGTGAAAACTGGGGCTTTGACATCTTTATTTTCAGAAAAACAATTATATTTCTCTTATTTCCCTACGCCTCTTTACAAACTAACCAAAATTCACTATGGTTCCCCTCACACTGAAGTGGTCATGTGTCACAAACTCAACAGATTTTTGCATATATGGCTACAAAAGAAACCTCTTCACGCATACCATTTAATATAAGAAGGTATAATTTAATTAGCTTTATTTTGAATCCGGATTACTCCTCATGCCACAAAGACACAGGACAGTGTCCATGAAACCACTGATCATCCTAGACACTAGTCAAAACACAAGGCCAAACTGTAACACTTTTCAGGCCTACATGATAGCTTTCTCACATGATGCTGCAGTATACGGCAGGATCTCTAGTAAAGTTCAATGGACAATGTGGAAATAAGGTAGGACTATACATTAACAGTAAGGAACATGTGTAAATAAGAGAAAAAGCAGAATGTGAAAAAAATTTACACATACTATGACTTCACTAAAACATGTATGTACAGACACCACATACTCAATGAAAATATGACCAGACATTAGGGTAGTAGAAAATGGGTACATTCTTTGTGTTTTCTTTTTTAAAAAACAAAGATTGTTTAATTTAAAAACAATGGTTCTGAAAGTGTTATCTTCAGATCATTAATAATACTGTTAAACATTAGTGTCACCATCATGTGGCAATTTGTTAGAAATATTCTGTACAATCTGTTTTGGGGTGTGTGTGTGTGTGTGTGTGTGTGTGTGTGTGTAAGAGACAGGGTCGCCCTCTGTCACCTAGGCTGGAGTGCAGTGGTGTGATAGTCGCTCACTGTAGCCTTGAACTCCTGTGCTCAAGCAATTGTCCCACCTCAGCCTCCCAAGCAACTAAGACTACAGGCATGTATTACCATGCCCTGATAATTTTTTTTTTTTTTTTTAAGAGACAAAGTCTCACTACATTGCCTAGGCTTGTCTGGAACTCCTGGGCTCAAGCAATCCTCCCGCCTCCACCTACCAAAGTGCTGGGATTACAGGTGTGAGCCACCATGCCTGGCCTGTACAGTCTGTTTTTAACAAGCCGTCTGTAAATTCTGATACACAATTAAGAGTTTGAGAACCACTGATAAAAAAAAAAATTGCAAAGACTTTTTTTTAAGCAAAATTAAAGTTAACAGACATTTTTAATCCACCATAACCTCTCCACCAATCTCACCTAGAATATCTGTAACTTAAAAACCTTTTTTACAAACTTAGAAATTTAGTACTCAAGTTGTTAAACTTATAAAGGCAAATAATTTTTTTTCAGGAACTTGCGCCATCTACTGGTAGTTGCTAAAACTGCAACCAGAGGTGGCTTTTAAAAGGGCGGACGTTTATGCATCTCTAGGGTGAAACCTATGTTTTGTTTTGTTTTGTTTTGTTTTGAGATGGAGTCTCGCTCTGTCACCAGGCTGGAATGCAGTGGCGCGATCTCTGCTCACCGCAACCTCCGCCTCTTGGGTTCAAGCAATTCTCTGCCTTAGCCTCCTGAGCAGCTGGGATTACAGGCACCCGCCACCACACCCGGCTAATTTTTCTATTTTTAGTAGAGATGAAGGGGTGAAACCTATTTTTAAAGAAGTCAGTTTTAACAATAAAGGGTACCACAAAACATACACTGAAGTTACATATAATCCTTCATAAAAGAATATAAATACTTCTGAATAAAACAGATCTCCAGATTCAGAACTTCAAAACAAGATCTGATTACGGGGGAAAAAAGGTAATGGAAAATTCATAGGATATCTCCTACATTTAAAAAAACAACAAAGGGGACTGACCGTTGCGGTTCATTAGGCATACTTCTTGAATATATTTTATATATACATAAATTTTTGTTTTTTTGAGACCAAGTCTCACTCTGTTGCCTAGGCTGGAGTACAGTGGTGTGATCTCAGCTCACTGCAACCTCTGCCTCCCAGGTTCAAGCAATTCTCCTGCCTCAGCCTCCTGAGTAGCTGGAACTAAAGGTGTGCACCACCATGCCTGGCTAATTTTTGTATTTTTAGTAGGGAGGGGGTTTCGTCATGTTGGCCAGGCTGGTCTCCAACTCCTGACCTCAGGTGACCCGCCCACCTAGGCCTCCCAAAGTGCTGAGATTACAGGCATGAGCCACTGTGCCAAGCCAAAATTTATAGTTACTTTATTTTTATTTTTTGAGACGGGGTCTCACTCTCTCACCCAAGCTGGAGTGCAGTGGTGTGAACTCGGCTGCCTGCAACCTCCACCTCCCAGGCTCAAGCCATCCTCCTGCCTCAGCCTCCTGAGTAGCTGGGACTACAGGCATGCACCACCACACCTGGCTAATTTTTGTATTTTTTGTAGAGACGGGGTTTTGCCCTGTTGCCCGGGCTGGTCTCAAACTCCTGAGCGCAAGCGATCTGCCCACCTTAGCCTCCTAAAGTGCTAGGATTACACGCATGAGCCACCAGCCCTGGCCTTATGGTTACTTCTCATTCAGTAATTAAGTGAACAATTTTCTAAATTTTCTATGAAAGTTAATCTAAGAAGTTTTACTCAAGTATAAGACTTATTTCGCTCAAGTTTACTTACCATTTATATTTAATTAGGTAGTGTGTAATATGACAAATTAATATGTAATAGCTATTCTTCTTTAAAATGGTGTTTTGCCTCCATTATTTTAAAGTCAAGAAAGCCAATCCACTTAAGTATCTGAGATCGCAACAAAAACATAAATGGCCACCTTAAATTTTATGGCCCCACATTTTTCTTACAATGTGAAAAATTTTCCAAGTTCAGCCACCTTCTCCTGGTTTACTTTCTTCTAACAGCTACATTAGATCAAGATGGAAGAAGCTTTTTATCTTTGTTAATAAAATCTAACCTAAGATAATACCATAACTGTTATAATTTCCTAAAGTATGTCCTTGGTGACCAGCTTTTCTTATGTAAGAGTTAAAAGAACTCTTCATTAACCTTAAAGACAAAGTCCCACAACATCATAACCGATACACATTTTTTTCGCAATGAAGAGACAAATCACAGGTTTAAAATGTCACTGCAATATGAAAGTTACTAAATTAAGTACACTACTTTACCAGCAAGGACCAAAATTGCTGAATTAGGTTCTGATATAAGCACAATTACTAGTGATAATTTTGGTGCTGAAGGGGCTAGTTACAGAGGTAAACTGTCCAAGAACAATGACAATAAAATAAAAGTAACTACAGAGATGAGGTGTGAGAAGGGTGGGACTTACCATCTAATTTAGAGAGTAAGGGAAAATTACCATTTCTTGAACATATTCAAACCAAGTACTTTACAAACTTTATTATTTAATTAAAACACACACCAATGCTTTACGTATTATTTTCCCCAACTTTATGAAAATACAAATATTCATATTCAAAGCACACGAGCACTGATGTCCAACTTCAATGGAATCAAAGTGTACCAGCCTAGGCAAACCTGGATGTTGACTCATTGAACGTCTTCACTTAAGAGCCTGACACTCACAAACTAATGGCTAAAAAACAAGTACTTTCTAACAGTGAATATGGAAGTCCCAAATCAATGTACACCTCTTCTTAGAGCCTTCAAACATTTTGGGGCTGGGTGCAGTGGCTCATGCCTATAATAATCCCACAGCACTTTCGGGGGCTGAGGCAGGCAGATCACTTAAGCCCAGGAGCCCAAGACCAGCCTGGGCAACATGGTAAAACCCCATCTCTACAAAAAAATACAACAAAAGTTAGCTGGGTGTAGTGGCCCGTGCCTGGAGTCCCAGCTACTTGGGAGGCTAAGGCAGGAGAATCGCTTGAGCCCAGGAGGTGGAGATTGCAGTGAACCAAGATTGCGCCATTGTGCTCCAGCCTGGGCAACGGGAGTGAAACTCTTATCTTAAAAAAAACAAACAAACAAAAAAAAAAAACAAAAAAAAACTGGCAGGGCGCGGTGGCTCAAGCCTGTAATCCCAGCACTTTGGGAGGCCGAGGCGGGTGGATCATGAGGTCAGGAGATCGAGACCATCCTGGCTAACACGGTGAAACCCCATCTCTACTAAAAAATACAAAAAAACTTAGCCAGGTATGGTGGCGGGCGCCTGTAGTCCCAGCTACTCCGGAGGCTGAAGCAGGAGAATGGCGTGAACCCGGGAGGTGGAGCTTGCAGTGAGCCGAGATCACACCACTGCACTCCAGCCTGGGGGACAGAGCGAGACTCCGTCTCAAAAAAAAAAAAAACAAAACTGATTTCCTTTTTTGGCCAGGGAAGTGGGGAGACAGGGTCTCGCTGTGTTACCCAGGCTGGAGTGCAGTGATGCAGTCTAAGTTCACTGCAGCCTTCAACCTTCCAGGCTCAAGTGGTTCTCCCACCTCAGCCTTCCAAGTATCTAGAATGCGCCACTGTACTTGGCTGATTTTTGTATTTTTTTGTAGAGACACTGCCTCACTACATTGCCCAGGCTGAGCTCAAGCAATCCTCCTGCCTTGGACTCCCAAAGTGCTGGGATAAAAGACGTGAGCCACCACGGTGGCCTGGCACATTTTGGTTTCATGTTTGACTTTTTTTTTTTTTTTTGAGACGGAGTCTCGCTCTGTCACCCAGGCTGGAATGCAATGGTGCGATCTCAGCTCACTGCAACTGCCCCCTCCCGGGTTCAAGCGATTCTCCTGCCTCAGCCTCCCAAGTAGCTGGGATTATTCCACCACGCCCAGCTAACTTTTTTTTGTATTTTTAGTAGATTTAGGGTTTCACCATGTTGGTCAGGCTGGTCATGAACTCCTGACCTCAGGTAATCTACCCACCTCGGCCTCCCCAAGGGTTGGTATTACAGGCGTGAGCCACCACACCCGGCCACGTATGACATTTTAAAAAGTATACAGACTGTTACCTTTAGTTGAACAAAAATTAAACCAAATTAAACTAATTTTACTAATTATCTTTTGGAATAAATACAGATTTTTATCCTTCAAGAAAACCTGTTTTTCCTCACTAAATCAGCAAAATAAAAGACAAACATATGTAACACATAGCACACATAAGAAAAAAAAAGAAAGGACCAGGCACAGTGGCTCGTGCCCATAATCCCAGCACTTTGGGATGCCTAAGTGAGAGGATCACTTAGGCCATGAGTTTGAGACCAGCCTGGGCAACACAGCAAGATCCATCTTTACAAAATAAACAACTTAGCCAGGCATGGTGGTACATGCCTGTAGTCCCAGCTACTTGGGAGGCTGAGGTAGTAGGATCACTTGAGCCCAAGGGTTTGATGCTACAATGAGTTACAATCTCACCACTACACTCCAGCCTGGGTGATAGAGCAAGACCCAGTCTCTAAACAAAGATTTAAAAAAGAAAAAGAAAAAAAAATTAGAAAAAAGACCAAATTAAACCTAAAACAAGCAAAAGGACACAATAAAGTGAAAATTAATGAAATAGAGGAGGAAAGTCAACAAACCCAAAACCTGGCTCTTTAGATCAAGAAAATTGGCAAACCTTTAGCTAGACTGACAAAGTAAAAAATAGAGAACACTCAAAATATTAAAACCAAAAACAGTAAGAGGGGATATTACCACTGACTTTATAGAAATAACAGACTATGACACGCATATGCCAATGCTGTATAACATAGACGAAATAGACAAATATCTAAAACCATGAATTTCCAAAAGCCAGTCAAGAAGAAATAGAAAATCTGAATAAACCAGTAATGAAGAGTTTGAATACATAATAAAAAACTACCCACAAAGAAAAGTCCAGGCCCATATGACTTCACTGGTAAATGGTAAGTTCTACCACACATTTAAAGAAATAATAATACCAATTCTTCACAAACTCTTCCCGCCCCCCCAAAAAAAGAGGAGAGAACATTTCCCAATTCATTATGAGGCCAGTATCACCCTGATAGCAAAATCTGATAAAGACATGAAAAGAAAACTAGACCTTTATCTCTTAGGAATATAAATGCAATATCCTAAACAAAACACTAGCAAATCGAACCCATCAATATGGAAAAAGAATTACCCACCATGACCAAGTAGGCTTTCACCCAGCAATGCAAGACTGGTTTAACATCAGCCAGGAGTGGTGGCTCACACCTGTAATCCCAGCACTTTGAAAGGTGGGTGCATCACCTGAGGTCAGGAGTTCAAGACCAGCCTGTGCAACATAGTGAAATCCCGTTTCTACTAAAAAATAGAAGAACTGGCTGGGTATGGTGGTGCACGCCGGTAGTCCCAGCTACTTGGGAGACCGAGGCAGGAGAATAGCTTGAACCCGCGAGGTGGAGGTTGCAGTGAGCCGAGATTGTGCCACTGCACTCCAGCCCGGGTGACAGAGTGAGATTGCATCTTGAAAAAAAAAATAAAAATTGGTTTAACATCTGAAATCAATTAATGTAAATATACCATATATCAATAGATTTTTTTTAAAAAAAAACCTACATAATCATCTTAACACAGAAAAAGCATGTGACAGAACTCAGTAACAGACTTTCGTGATAAAAATGCACAATAAACTAGGAGTTGAAGGGAACTTCCTTGACATTACAAAGGACATATATGAAAAACCCACAGCTAACACAGTACTTAATGGTGAAAAATCTAGATGCTTTTCCTCTAAGAGCAGGAACAAGACAAAGAACTCTCACCACTTCCAGTCAATATTGTACTGAAGGTACCCAGGGCAATTAGTCAAGAAAATGAAATAAAAAGGGTATGGATTGGAAAGAAAGAAGTAAAACGATCTATTTGCAGATGACATGATGTTGCACATAGAAAATCCTAAGGAATCTATTAAAACATCTATAGCAACGAATAAACAAGTTCAGCAAGGTTTCAGAAGACAAAATCAACATACAAAAATCAACTGTATTTCCATATACTAGCAAAGAATAATCCAAAAATGAAATTATAAAAACAATTTCATCTAGACTACCATCAAAAAGAATGGCATGCTTAGGAACAAATTTAACATAAGATGCACAAGACTTGTACAATAATTACAAAACATTGGTTGAAAGAAATCAAAGACCTAAATACAAAGAAAGACATCCCATGTTCGAAGATTGACTTAATATTGTTAAGTTGAGGATACTTCCAAAATGATCTGCAGATTCAACAAAATCCCTATCAAAATCCCAGATGGCTGCTTTGCAGAAATAGAAAAGCCAATCCTAAAATTCAAATGGAAATAAAAGGAACCCTGAATAACCAAAATAGTCTTGAAAAACAAACATAATAAAAAAATAGTCTTGAAGAACAAAGTAGGAGGAGTCACACTTCCTGATTTCTTTTTTTGTTTTTGTTTTTGTTTTTTTTTTTTTGAGACGGAGTCTCGCTCTGTCGCCACGCTGGAGTGTAGTGGCTCAATCTCGGCTCACTGCAAACTCCGCCTCCTGGGTTCAAGTGATTCTCCTGCCTCAGCCTCCCGAGCAGCTGGGAGTGTAGATGCCTGCCACCACGCCAGCTAATTTTTGTATTTTTAGTAGAGATGGGGTTTCACCATGTTGGCCAGGATGGTCTTGATCTCTTGACCTCGTGATCCACCCACCTCAGCCTCCCAAAGTGCTGGGATTACAGGCGTGAGCCACCGCGCCCGGCTCACACTTCCTAATTTCAAAACTTACCACACTGCTACAGTAAGCAAGACAGTATGGCACTGGCACAGATGGACTTTTAGCTTTTCTTGTATACTGATGTTTAACATGTTAAAGAACCTTTCTAGCTATTTGAGAAACTGTCCCTCCAAGGTCTAGCCAATTCTTAAAGATAACAAAGGGCCCAGCTAGGAGTATGTCTTTAATATGCAAGCTATTCAAAATCCAGAGCCATATCTCCTCTATCTGGCCCTTATACCCCAAGAGGCACTACTCCTCTACCTAATCATCCCAGAGCCAGGTGCCAGGCAACGAGACCACCCCGCCAGTCTAAAGTATGCCAAAATTATTCAAACTAAACTGTTCGCCCTGCCCTACCCTAAGGAAACCTCGATGAAGGCAGTAGCCTAATCCTTCCCCTCCCTCCTAACCACCCTAGCGTCTTCCCCAAGTGGCCCAGCATGGCATGGCACAGCATGCCTCGTCTCTAGGACCTGTGTGATAAACTGTGTTTTTTCCTGAGCCTCTCCAGTGTCTCCTATTGTGGCTGCACCTGAATAACAATCTCATAAAAGAATAATAGAAAACAATAAAGACAGTCATACACATCAGTGGAACAGACTTGAGAGTCCAGAGGTGAACCCTCGCATTTATGGTTAATCTTTTTTAGACAAGGCTGCCAAGATCGTTCAACAGGGAAAGAAGAGTCTCTTCAACGAATGGTGCTGGAAAACTGGATAGTCACACACAAAAGAATGAATCTGGACTCCTACCACACCATATACAAAATGAACTCAGAGTGAATGCCTCAATGCAAACTCTTACAAGTAAACATGTTTATAAATCTTCATGACGTTGGACTTGGAAATGGTTTTTAGATAAGACCAGAAAGCATGAGTAACAAAAGGAAAAAAAAGATAAGCTGGACTTCATCCAAATTAAAAATTTTTAGTGCATCAAATGACACCATTAAGAAAATGAAAAGACAACCCGTAGCAGAACAGAAAATATTTTCACATAATGTATCTGATGAGAGACTTGTATCTAGAATATATTTTTAAAACTTCTGGCCCGGCGTGCTGGCTCACGCCTGTAATCCCAACACTTTGGAAGGGTGAGGCGAACAGATTGCTTGAGTCCAGGAATTTAAGACCAGCCTGGGCAAATGGTGAAACCCTGTCTCTATAAAAAATGAGCCAGGCACGGTAGCGCATGCCTGTAGTCCCAGATACTCAGGAAGTGGAGGTGGGAGGATCACCTGAGCCCAGGAGGTCAAGGTTGCAGTGAGGTGAGATCGCACCACTGTACTCCAGCCTGGGTGACAAGAGTGAGACCTTGCCTCAAAAACACAAACAACGAAAAAACCTAAAAAAACCCCACAAAAACAAAACTTCCTTAAACTGAACAATAAAAAGAGAAATAACCCAATCTAAAAATGGGCAAAGAAAATTAATGACATTTCCCCAAAGAACATATACAAAGGCCAATAAGCACATAAAAGATAATACCAACGGTAATCAGGAAATGCAAAGCAAAACCTCAAGAAATTACCATTTCACACCCACTATGATGGCTATCATCAATAATAACAAGTGTTAATGAGGATGTGCAGAAATCAGAACCCTCATATACTGCTTGTGAGAATGTAAAATGGTGGAGGAACTTTGGAAAAAGAGTCTGACAGTTCCTTAAAAGTTTAAACATAGAGTTACCATTTGACTCAGCAATTCCATTCCCAGATACACACCTAAGAGAAATGGAAGCATGTCTACACAAAAACTTGTACACCAAAGTTCACAGCAGCATTATTCAAAATAACCAAAAGGTAGAAACAATCAATGTGGTATATCCATAAAATGGAATGTTACATGGTCATAAAAGGGAATGAAGTACTGATTCATGCTACAATTGCGGATAAAAATATTAAGTAAAAGAAGCCAGACCCAAAAAGACTATATATTAGATAAGTCCATTTATATAAAAGGTCCAGACTGGGAAATCCATAGACAGAAAGTAGGCTAATGGTTGCCTATAGCTGAGAGGGACGTGAAGGTTGTGAGAGAATTACAGCTAAAGGATATGGAGTCTCTTTGGGGGATGACAAAACATTACATTGCAGTGATGATTGCACAACTCTGTGAATATACATTGAACTGTATACTTTTAATAGGTAAATTTTATGATATATTAATTATATCTCAATAAAGCTGTTACCAAAACAAAAATAGGTGGGGAAGCTACTGACATCTCGATGGTAGAGGCCAGGGAGTTTGCTAAACATCCTACAATGCATAGGACAGCCCTACATTACAAAGAATTATCTAGCCCAACACGTCAACAGTAGAATCCTTTGTTAGGAAGGCTGTCCTGTACCTTGTGGAATGTTTAGCAGCATCCCTGGCCTCCACACACTGGATGCCAGTAGCACACCTCACCTCACTGCAGCGACAATCAAAAACCTCTCCAGACATCGTAAAATGTCCCAAGGGGAAAAAATCCACTCCCCAACACCCTCATTAAGAAGTACTGCTCTAAAGAGGACTTTCCAAGATGGTTTTAAAACAACAGATGAACTTCCACAACAGAAATAAAAATCACCAAATCTGGTTCCACTAAATTTTTAACATTTCCATGTGAAAACAAAAACAGAAAAACAAACACAAGACAGGAAATATTTCAGGCACACTGCTAGTGGCAATACAAATTGATGTTTACAACCTTGTGAAAAACGAATTTATCTGTGTTTATCAAGAACCACAAAAATGTTCATATCCTTTACCCACTGAATGACTCTGAGAGAAGAAAATATGAGAAGAAAATAATCCTAAGCAAAGCTAGTATAAAGATATTTAATAATAACTTGAAAAACCAAACAATGGAGGGATGGTTCTAAAAGGTTATGTAATAACTAAAAAGGATAATGAAGATTATATAACAACACAGTAAAAGCTTATGAAACTGCTGGGGCAGGGAGGTGGGTGTAGGTTCACACCTACAATCTCAGCACTTTGGGAGGCCAAGGCAGGCAAATCTCTCGAGTCCAAGATTTTGAGACCAGCCTGGGCAACAGTGAGACCCCACCTCTATAAAAAAAATTTCTAGGCCGGGTGCAGTGGCTCACGCCTGTAATCCTAGCACTTTGGGAGGCCAAGGCGGGCAGACTGCCTGAGCTCAGGAGTTCGAGACCAGCCTGGGCAACATGGTAAAACCCCGTCTCTACTAAAATACAAAAAAATAAAATAAAATTAGCCGGGTGTGGCGGTGTGCGCCTGTAGTCCCAGCTACTCGGGAGGCTGAGGCAGGAGAATCACTTGAACCCAGAGGTGGAGGCTGCAGTGAGCCGAGATGGTGCCACTGCACTCCAGCCTGGTGACAGAGCGAGACTCCAAACAAAAAAACCAAAAACAAAAACAAATTTTTAAAAAGAAACTGCTAGGGGGAAAACAAAGAACAAAATTTATGGTCAAAATGACTACAGCTGCATAGATACATCACAATTAAATTCACAGTAAAAAAAAACTGTGAAAGGAATTACATTTAAAATGCTCTTAGAGCTAGGCGTGGTGGCTCACACCTGTAATCGCAGTGCACTGGGATTCTAAGGCAGGAGAATCACTTGAGCCCAGAAGTTTGAGATCAGCGTGAACAATACAGCAAGACCCCATCTCTACAAATTAAAAAATTAACTAGGCATCGTGGCACGCGTCTACTCAAGAGGCTGAGACGGAAGGATCACTTGAACCCAGGAAGTCAAGGCTACAGTGAGCTACGATTGGGCCATTCATTGCTCTCCAGCCTGAGAGACAGATCAAGATGCTATTTCACTTATTTATAAAATAAATAAATAAATGTGTAAATGCTCTTAAATTGTATAGTCATGTGGCAGTTTATAATTGGATTTTGTTTGGGCTTCCCTCCCATTTTTTAAGATCTTTCCTCTGTTTTCCAAATTTTCTATATTGTAATTATAGCACTTTTTTGATGAAAAATTACTTCTAAACTTTTGTGCCAAGTTACTCAGCACTTTTACTATTTGAGAACACGGAAACTGATGGAAGAGTGCTACAAACTTACACAAATGCCAACAGAAAAGTGAGGAGATAAGATTCCTTATAAATATCATCAATGTGAAATGGTAATACACAACACACATTAGTTGTGTACCATATGAAATGGCTGGTCAAACATCTCACTCACTGTCCCACTGGACAACTTATCTATGGGCGTTACAGAAATAATTTGTTGGCATTATGACTCAGACCACCAGCAGACTATGGTACATATAAAATCTTCTCATTAAGCTGCTACAGATGTTGTGAATACTATGTTAGTTGTTTGTTTCTAGTTTTGATTTTTTATTATTGCTGTTATGCCAACTCGGGAACAGAAGGATTGAGACCCAATCAAAAAGATTACTAGGCAAGGTTCTTTATTCACACTTAGAAGAAATGGACACTATTTTATAGAGCCAGTAAGCAATTATTCATAATAAAAGTTTGGTCTGGGCCAGGCGCGATGGTTCACGTCTGTAACCCTGGAACTTTGGGAGGCCAAGGATGGCGGATTGCTTGCGCTCAGGAGTTCGAGACCAGCCTGGGCAACACGAGGAAACCCTGTCTCTACTAAACTACAAAAAATTAGCCAGGCATGGCAGTGTGCGCCTGTAGTCCCAGCTACTCGGGAGGCTGAGGCAGGAGGCTCGCTTGAACCTGGGAGGCGGAAGTTGCAGTGAGCCGAGAGCGTGCCACTGCACTCCAGCCTGGGCGGCAGAGCAAGACTCTGTCTCAAAAAAAAAAAAGAGAGAGAGAGAGGCCCGGTGCGGTGGCTCACGCCTGTAATCCCTGCACTTTGGGAGGCCGAGGCGGGCGGATCACGAGGTCAGGAGATCGAGACCATCCTGGCGAACACAGTGAAACCCCGTCTCTACTAAAAGTACAAAAAAATTAGCCGGGCATGGTAGCGGGCGCCTGTAGTCCCAGCTACTCGGGAGGCTGAGGCAGGAGAATGGCGCGAACCCAGGAGGTGGAGCTTGCAGTGAGCAGAGATTGCGCCACTGCACTCCAGCCTGGGCGACAGAGTGAGACTCCGTCTCAAAAAAAAAAAAAGGTTTGGTCTGATATAATATGTGAAAGACTACAATACAAAGTGACAGATGAAAACATCTGTGCACTTCAAGTACTTAACAGTTATTCTCTAAAAGTAGGAGATGTTCTTATTTTTTTCTTAGATAGGGTCTCAAGTCTGTGGCACAGGCTGGAGTGCAGTGGCCTGATCACAGGTCACTGCAACCTTGACCTCCAAAGCTCAAGAGATCCTCCCACCTCAGCCTTCCAAGTAGCTGGGAGTGCAGGTACATGCCACTATGACCAACTAATTGTCTTCATTTTTTGTAGAGACGGAGTCCTGTTATGTTGCCAGGCTTGTCTTGAACTCCTGATCTCAAGCGATCCTCCCACCTCAGCCTCCCAAAGTGCTGGATTACAGGCATGAGCCACCACGGCTGGCAAGTTGTCCCCTTTTTCTTGTAATCACTTGTAAGAAGAAAACAGTACATATTACCAGAACATTTAAAGTTGGTTATTACCTATAAATACACAACTGATATTTTCAATGAGATGATATCCACAAAAAATTAAGTTAGAAATATTCTTATCATTATCTTCAGTAAAAATGATACTATTTCAGTAAAGCATGAAAGATACTGAAATCTCTATGCTATATACAGCAACCTAAATATCCAGGACTTGAACTCATCGCTGTACCAAGCAGACCTAATAGACATCTACAGAACTCCCCACCCCAAATCAACAGAATATACACTCTTCTCAGCACCACATCGCACTTATTCTAAAATTGACCGCATAACTGGAAGTAAAGCACTCTTCAGCATTTCGTAAAAGAAAACATATCACAACAAACTGTCTCTCAGACCACAGTGCAATCAAATTAGAACTCAGGATTAAGAAACTCACTCAAGCTGGGCGCGGTGGCTCACGCCTGTAATCCCAGCACTTTGGGAGGCCGAGGCGGGTGTATCACGAGGTCAGGAGATCGAGACCACGGTGAAACCCCATCTCTACTAAAAAATACAAAAAAAATTAGCCGGGCACGGTGGCAGGCGCCTGCAGTCCCGGCTGATCTGGAGACTGAGGCAGGAGAATGGCGTGAACCCGGGAGGCGGAGCTTGCAGTGAGCCGAGATCGCACCACTGCACTCCAGCCTGGGCGCAATGAGAGAGACTCCGTCTCGGAAAAAAAAAAAAAAAAAAAAAAAAAAAAAAAAAAAAAAAAAAAACTCACTCAAAACCGCACAACTATATGGAAACTGAACAACCTGCTCCTGAATGACTACTGGGTAAATAACAAAATGAAGGCAGAAATAAAGATGTTCTTTGAAACCAACGAGAACAAAGACAAAACATACCACGATCTCTGGGACACATTTAAAGCAGTGTGTAGAGGGAAATTTATAGCACTAAATACCCACAAGAAAAGCAGGAAAGATCTAAAATCGACACCTTAACATCGCAATTAAAAGAACTAGAGAAGCAAGGGCAAACAAATTCAAAAGCTAGCAGAAGGCAATAACTAACTAAGATCAGAGGAGAACTGAAGGAAATACAGACACAAAAAACCCTTCAAAAAAATCAATGAATCCAAGAGCTGGTTTTTTGAAAAGATCAACAAAATGGAGAGACCCCAAAGCCTCACTCAAAGACTGGCAATTTTTTTTAAGTACTTTTCAAAACAAGTAAGCAAATGTATATCATCTCAGCAAGTTATCTGTTATGGACAGGACACCTATATAATGGATAATAAGAAACAAAACAATATTAACTTTAACAAAATCTAACTTAAAAGGGATATAAATATATTTTTAGTAATATTTTATTCTTATTTATAAAAGACAAGAACACCTTGATATCAGAGTTTATAGAAGATTCTATTTCAACATTAAAGAAAGCTGGGAAAATGAGAATTTCTCCTTTTCTTCACCAAAGATTTCTCCAAAACCTCACTGACAAAAGTAAAATGAGTGCCATTTCAAATACCTACCTATGTTTTTAAAAACCTTATGCAACTTAGTCGGGCACAGTGGCTCACACCTGTAATCCCAGCACTTTAGGAGGCCAAAGTGGGTGAATCACTTAAGGCCAGAGTTTGAGACCACCCTGGTCAACATCATGAAACCCTGTCTCTACTAAAAATACAAAAAATTAGCTGGGCATGGTGACAGGCACCTGTATTCCCAAGCTACTTGGGAGACTGAGGCAGGAGAATCGTTTGAACCCGGAAGGCGGAGGTTGCAGTGAGCCGAGATTGCACCACTGCACTCTAGCCTGGGCGACAGAGTGGGACTCCATCTCAAAAAAACAAAAACAAAACAAACAAACAAAAAAAAGTTATGGAATTTGTCTGACAACCACTCATTGCCTTCCACTCTACCCAAACTCTAGTTTGCCAAAAAAATTTAAATGCTGGAGACATTTAAGAAATACATTTCGGCCAGGCGCGGTGGCTCACGCCTGTAATCCCAGCACTTTGGGAGGCCGAGGTGGGCAGATCACCTGAGGTCAGGAGTTCAAGACCAACCTGACCAACGTGGAGAAACCTCGTCTTTACTAAAAATACAAAATTAGCCGGGCGTGGTGGCACATGCCTGTAATCCCAGCTACTCGGGAGGCTGAGGCAGGAGATTTGCTTGAATTGGGAGGCAGAGGTTTCGGTGAGGCGAGATTATGCCATTGCACTCCAGCCTGGGCAACAAGAGCGAAACTCTGACTCAAAAACAAACAAACAAACAAACAAACAACAACAACAAAAACAAGAAATACATTTCTTGCAACTGTACTACATTCTAAACTAACTTCAAAAGACAATTTCATTTTCATGATACCAACATGAATTACTCTTTAATATTTGGAAACTTACAAACAATAGCTGTTTGTCATACTTCACCTCCTTGAAATCCTTCCTCGAAAGTTAAAAATCCAGCTAACTACTAAAAACAGGTCTTACTGCTGCTTAGAAATGTGCAGTTTTTAAAATGGCTTCCTGGGGTGCAGTGCACACTGCTCAGGCGATGGGTGTACCAAAAATCTCAGAAATCACCACTAAAGAACTTATCTGTGTAACCAAACACCACCTACTCCCCAAAATCTATTGAAATAATTTTTTTGAAACTACAAAAAAAGTCAAACACAAAACTTACAAAATTTAATTGAAAAATAAATATTAAAAAATAAAATAAATAAAATGGTCTCATGAGTAAATCACAGATACATGTGGCCAAAATTATTTGAGAAACAGTTCTTAGACTTGCAAATTTTTTCTCACTATACTAAATTCAGATAACTGGAGCTCAATTTTCTGCAGTTTAATTCATTTTGCAAACACACTTGGTGTTCTGGCATTTCTAATAATATAGCATTCCTGTTGCTTGCTTTAAAATTAACACTAAAGAGATGGTTCCTGTATGAATTAGTGTATTCTCAGTGCCTTATTCAAAAACATAATTTTCATGCTTTATATAAAATACCAAAAAAAAAGTTTAGCATTTTTGTAATGGCAACTTTGGATCAATATTAGAAGAATTTTTAAAAAGTAAAAAGCCTATGCCTATGAACAACACCCTGTGAAAGCCCCGTGATAGCTTAAGAGAAACAAATCCTTTAATGTCCACTGTAGTCAGTAGCTGCTGCAATACTGTTATAAAAGAAGTACTCTAATTCACATACATAAGATTTCTTTTTATTTCTGGCATTTCATCTAACCTTTCTTCTCTGTCACCCTCACCAAAAAGAACAAAAGAATTTTACCCAATGTTAAATAATCTAGAGAAATTATTGGCAGGCACCGGGTACATGTTTACACAGAAATCAATCACTATCTCTCAAAAAACTGACAACAGAAACACTGCAGTCAAATAGACCATACAACAGACATTAAGGAATTGTAAGGGTTTTTTGGGTTTTTTTGTTTTTTTTAACATAAATGATGTTTTTTTCTAACTGGGTACTAGATATCATCAGTTGTTTCTTTTGTTTATGAAACCTGCTGCCACAGGTAGGAAAATGCCAATCAGCTATATCTATAACTGATGTTTCCAACATTGTATTATTCACAATTACTGCAAATTTACAAATTATTATGAATCAAAGCTAAATAAATATGACAGAAGCTTAACTAAAATTTTTTTGGCATTTCTAATAAAATCTTTTCCTTATCCAGTAGTAACTTTAAAAAACTGACTATAGAAAAGACAACAAGATTTTAGACTTTAATAAGAAGCAACACTTGGAAATAAAAGTATAACTTGCTTTCTATTAACTTTTAATTATCTTTCTAATTTAAGACCAAGATTTAAGTGCCTATTTTCGAAATTTTTTTTTTTTTTTTTGAGACGGAGTCTCGCTCTGTCACTCAGGCTGGAGTGCAGTGGCGCGATCTCGGCTCACTTCAAGCTCTGCCTCCCAGGTTCACACCATTCTCCTGCCTCAAGCTTCCGGGTAGCTGGGACTACAGGCGCCCACCACCACGCCCGGCTAATTTTTTGTATTCTTACTAGAGATGGGGTTTCACCGTGTTCGCCAGGATAGTCTCAATTTCCTGACCTCGCGATCTGCCTACCTCAGCCTCCCAAAGTGCTAGGATTACAGGCATGAGCCACCACACCTGGCCTATTTTCTAATTTTAAAAAGCAGAAAGACAATTCTTTATTCAAGAACTAGCTAAACCTGTATTTATTAAAATGTAGCCTACTGATTAAACCTAGTAATTTGTACCAGTAATTTGACCAAATTGCATTTTACTGTTGCACTAACTCAATTATCCAAGCTCTAACTTTAAAAGCATGCATAACTAATTTAAAAATCCATAACTGTACCATAAAATAATAATCACAAAATAAATATATACCTTTGGTAACAATGTCAAATTTAAAATCCTACTAAAAAAAAGTATACCTATTAAAAATAAACAACCTTTATAATCTTAGTGCTTTCATAAACCCTTTACTTTGATATTACTTATACTACAGGCATGTAATTTCAGTACATGACTGAAAGTAAGGTAACATTACTGAAACAAAGAAAATGATTAAGTAATAGCACATTATTTACATGGACATCTTTCTACAGTTTAGTAAAAAAGACTATAGCAAATCTGAATAAATACCAAATTTTACCTTTTCTGTATTGTAATATAAAGATTTCAAAGTAGTAAACAAGGGTGGGCAGCCTTTACTGAAGTTAACCCTCAGGAACTTATCCATTAGTTCTCTAAATCTTTCACCTAGAAACAAAAGCGTACTTTGTTATTCTTTGGTTCACGCAAACAATTCTTAAAATGATTTTCTAAATAAAAATAAAGCTCCCTCAGAAGCAATTATGCTCCTATCCAATTTATAAACCCAAAAAGTCATAGTTTTAAGTAAAAGTTATCAACTATCCATTCTGAATTTAGCACAATATCAAATATCTTTCCTAATCTCTCACTGACTAGCACACTCAGTCTACAGCTCAAAACCCTGCAGATATGCATAAAGCACTCTGCAGCAGACTACCAGCACTATATTCAAGTGATAGCCAAAAGATCTTTTTAAACACTAAGCTGGTGTTTACAAATGTTTTCCCAAATCAACTTGTCATTTACTTCAACACTCATTCATTCATTCATTCATTCCACAATAATGTGTCAAGCACTTACTACATGCCAGGTACTGTTCTAGGTATTGAGGATATAGCAGTGATTAAAATTTAAAAAAAAAAAATTTTTTTTTAAATAGAACTTAACATCTCAGTGAGTGAGACCAACAATAAAAGTAAAGTAAATTTATGTTAGACATTAGACTGAGCCATGGGCATTCTAACATTACAACTAAATAAATACCCTATTTGCAACATCAAGTCAATAATTCTTTCATTGCTAAACCCCAGAAATGATTTTTGTCATCACCTTTTGAAAGCAGAGAATATTCAAAGAATTTTAATTTTAAATACAAAGATACAAGAATTTTTTGACAGTATGGACTAATACATAAGGACATGGATTTACCTAATCATTTGGGGGAAAAAAAAAAAAACACATGTATGTCATGAATGATTTAGCCTCAAGTAAGATGACTGAAATGACCTCCTATGGTTTCTTAATGAATCACAACACTGCACAACAAAATCTAACAACCCAAAATGGTTATTTTTATTTGTTGTGACTATGTTGAACAAAACATGCATGCATACTCAATATAATTAGATGTCATAAAAAAATTTAACTCCATTAACTATAAAGATTGTATTCAGATAATCTCTAATCTCTTATTAGATCATACACAAAATACTGGTCTTTTGAAAAATCACAGATTACGAAGACAACATAAAACTTCATCCTGGGTTAAATTATACACCACTGCTTCTTTAAAAATCAAAAATAGTTTCAGAGACCGAACCTTTCCAGTAATTCCTCTGGTATACAACGAAATTAACAATATTGTGGTAGACAATAAGAGACGCTGTTTCTTAGAGGAATGCAGACTTCTCCACGTATTTGTGTGCAACCTTGGGCAAATAACTTGTCCATTAAAAACCTTAGTTTTATCACTGTAAAATGAAGGCAATACCATCACTGACCTCAAGAGTACATTTGTATGGCTCAAACGAGATAAGAATATAACAGTAAACAATGTCTTGCACGTAGTAATCACTCAATAAATGTCTCTTCTCTGATATCTGACAGTTTTTATATTTTCGAGTTAATATTTTGTTTTCTATTCTTGCAATCACCCGCTGAGGAAACAAGCCTTTTATCTTCATGGCAGAAGCCACTCTGAACTCCTCCTTGGTCAACTTTCTCAGTCTATTCAGATCATATTGACAAATTTGATTAGATTGTGCAGGTATGAAAAAGAATGGGGAAGCTCTTGAAGTGCTGATCCAGGACTAATCTCCAAATACGAGGTTAAGTGAAAAGAAAACCCAGGTGCGCAGCAATCCATCAATCCATGTTACTGCACTTTTGCAAAAAGCACAGTGGGGGGGGTGACCTTAAACAAATCTCCCACACATATTTTGGCTCACACATGCACAATGTATTTGTAGAAGAATACACCATCAGCTGATCACAATGGATGTCTTCAGGAAAGTAAACTTAGTTGCCAGGGGACAGACAAGAAAAAGACTTCACTTATAAACTCTTTTTACCTAATTTGCAACTGTGTGAATACATCACCTAAACAAGAAGCCTACACAGCTACCCAACTGCTCAGTCACATACCATATCCCCAGATTACTTATTATTTATCCATCTCATTTTTTCCATCAATTATTATGTGCCTGTTTAGTATTACTGCTCACAAAACAGGTTACCTGAATAATTCTCATCTAGATACATTAGCATGATGTCCCCAAAACATGATGTCCATATTTACATGAATTCCTAAAATAATCAGTGTAAACAGCAAGAATAGACTGTTTCTTATTCACTGGAAATCCGTTCTAAATAATGGAGCAAAATATAATTAGTATTCTATGTTTAATACTCTGGATTATTTCCTTCCCTCTCTCTACCCTTCAGCCAGTGCATAATGGAACATGATGAACTGATTATTTTGAAAAGCAGCTTTATCCCTTCATTATTTTTAGAGTGCTTAATATTTTCAGGTGTTAGAAAATTTCCTTATTGTTCTGTAGGTATGAAGCCCTTTTACCTAAAAAGTGGAAAGGCTTTTTCAAAACTTTCACCTTGCATTCTCAAGATGCATCATGTTTCTTGAGGAAGATCTTACTGCTTTTGATAATGCCAAGACGGCTTTCTAATTGCACATAAAAGCACTTCTAGACAGGCAAAAAAATCATGAAATATTCGGCTTTGCACAGAGAAAATTAAGTATTTGCATAATTTTATATATATTCACTGGAGCTTTGTAAATACACATTTGTCAGAACCTCAAAGCGATGATGACCTTGAAAGCCTATGCCATCAGACCCCTCCACTGAGACCTGTTTTGTAAAAAGATTTTTATGGCATTTCAAAGACAGCATGTCCTAGAGAGTCTAGGATGGTTCCACTTTAACCTAAATCACACTTTACAATAAAAAAAAAAACTCTAAGCTCTTCCAGTAAAAATATATTTCCTACCCTATACTGCCACATATTGAGGGCTTTTAGTAAACTTATATTGTCTATGGAAATAAATTTAGGCAGTATAAACCTGAAGCCCCATGTTCCAAATGAGAAAAAGAGAACAAAGAAGTCTTGTTCGTAATCTTAAAGCTAAGCGAGGTTTCTTTCTTTCCTAAGAAGCATATGAATGTATTTTAAAGCTCCTAAGGAAATATCCCCCCCACACACAATATATTGTGAAACACAAAATATACCTTGAGACCAATAAAAGGAGGAGAAGTCAGAAACTAAAGACCACATATGGTATGATTCCATTTATTTCAAATGTCCAAAAACAGACAAATCCATAGGTACAGAAAGTAGATTTGTGGTTGCCAGGTGCTGTGGTTGAGGGGTGACAGGGAGTGAAATAGGTATGGGGTTTCTTTTTGGGGTCATGAAAAATTTCTGAAAGCAGACAGAGATGATGGTTGCACAACATGATTAATATACTAAAACACTGAATTGCACACACTTTTTAAAAGTGAGTTTTACGGTATATGGATTATATTTCAAAAAGCTATTATTTTTTAAAACAAAGAGGAGAAGGAAGAAATACAGAAATGTAAGCCTAAGCATCTTCCACAAGACACTTTTATTAGGGAAAATACTCCTCACTACGCATATACTCCCATCTTTGAAATTCACAAAGTGTATATTAAAAGCTCTGAGAAGTCCTATAGAAACCTGATAGCTGTGTCTAACCCAGTTTCCCAAACTTACTTGGCTGAAGAACAGCAAAAGCACACTAACACCCTCCCCACCAAGCCTATTAATATCCACTTGGACTTAATGTTCCCTGGAAAACATTAGAGAAATCTGCTCTCTGTATTCTACAAAAACAAAACCAAAAAAATGGAGGATCAGAAGAACACTACTCTTCATATGTGGAATTGAAATGCAATAGTATAAAATGAATTTTTAAAATCAATTTCTATCTACTGTCTAATCAAATACATTTCTAAAAGGTATTTCACAAGTCAGTCAACTAAAAATTTTTAATTTTCATCAATATTTTGGTAAAAATAAACTTATAACCCAAGTATTTAAACAAATATTTGCCACTATGAGAATAGAAAATAAACTCCTCGCCTCTCCAGAATACTTTTAAGTTGTATTAGCTTTCTAGACTCTGACTTGTGTCAAAAGAAATACCAGAAGTCCCAATATACAATTCATAATCTATAGCACTTACAACTAAAAATAAAGACTTCAACAAAAACACATAATTTTTTAAAAACTCAACAAAGATATTAGCTACCTGAAGAGCTAATATACTGTCTACGTCCTATGTAGCTCAAAAGTAAATGAGTTCAGCTACATACAATAACTCGACTCAAGGTCATGAATATACTATTGTACAATAAAAGCAAATCACAGAATATATACCGGAGTACTCCTATTTATATAAAGTACAAAAGCTGTTTTTGTTTTCAGGAATACAAAATACATGGAGCTCTAAAAATAAAAGTAATGGCAAAAGAAAAAGCAAAACTCGGGAAAGTGGTTAACTCTGAGGGAATGATGATGTTCTGTTCTTAAAACACCATAGTGGGTGCAAACAGCTCACAACTATTTCTTTGAATTTATGCTCAAAAAAGAAGACAAAAACTTCAAAACTATAGCTTGAGCCCAGGGGTTTGAGGCTACAGTGATTGCGCCACTGCACTCCAGCTCCAGCCTGGTAACAGAGCAAGATCTTGTCTCGGAAACAAAAACAAAAACACAAAAACTTCAAAACTTTTACCACTCAAATCATGATACCACATATAATTTGTCACTAATTATAGGGAATTTACCTTCTAAATACGGTGCTTTTTAAAAAGTCACATTAAGAAAAGCAGTTTTTCTACCAATACATATTATTTATATATATTTAGGCAGTACATGATATTTTGTTACATACAGAGAACGTGTAACGATCAAGTCAGGGTATTTAGGGTACCTATCGCCTCGATTACTTATCATTTCTATGTGCTGCGAACATTTCAAGTCCTCTCTTTTGCTATCCTGAAATATACAGTATATTGTTGTTAACTACAGTCCCCTTACTCTGCAAACACTGAAACTTATTCCTTCTATCTAACTGTATGTTTGTACCCATTAACCAACCTCTCTTCATCTCTCCCCCACACTCCCCTTGCCAGCTCTGATATCTATCATTCTTTCTACCTCTATGAGATCAACTTAAGAAAAGCAGTTTTATATTTATATAGATAACTTCAAATATTAAAATCAACATTTAACTACACATTGAAGTATCACACTCTTAACATATAAACTCATAACTGTTCACTCCCAACTCCAAGACTGCTGTAAACATAAACTCTATACCAGAAACACGTTTCTAAAATATAAATAACATTGAGTAATTCTGACAAATAATTAATATTATAAAAGACATCTTAATATTACCTGGGACAAGAGTCAAAGGTAATCTTCTGGGTGTAATTGCTTTGGGGTGCTGCTTACTAATTTCTTCATAAATTTGAAGCCTCTCTTCTAAAGTGCCTATTATCAGTAAATATGGGTGAGATTCATAGCATCAAAACTTTTATCTATGGTAAAATGCTAACAAACTTCTAAAATTTTGTTATAAATAAAACTGCATTAACAATATTAAAGCTGCTTTCAATTTTGGTAAAAATGACATTTAAAACTCTGTGGTGGCAAAATACTATAATCAGTTAAGTCACTGTTTTAAACTCATCTCCAGAAAAATCCAAAACTTCTCTCATTGCAAGATTCTAAATACAACCCAAATCACATATACAAGCCATCACAGACTCAAGATATGCTGCACTTCTCTATATTCCTTTAGCATACAACTCATGGAAAAGAAAATCTTTTTATAACGTAGGTCTAATAACATAACCTACGTAAACACGCTGAATCAAAGAAACCTACATATATCCCCATAAAAGCCTCAAAGGAGCAACAGTTTTAGGATTACGATTGCAAATGTTTAAAATATAAGAAGATAAACTAAACTTCCATGTTAACTTTAACACTTAAAATCTTCAATGAAACTCCATTATCCTTCCAAAAGATATAAATTACACTTCTAACAGAAAGTTGTATCTTCCCACCCAAGAGACACCTAATTTTATAGTACCACATAAAGGATGTATCTATACATAAACTACATGTTACTCTGAAACAACAATAAGCAAGCAAATAGGATCTGGGTATAGTTTATCTTTCTAAAATAATATCCTGCATAATTCACAAAGAGATTTATAAGCAATAAGATAATTTATAGTGGAATTTTAAGAAAAAGCAAACAAACCTGTTTTTGAACTATAAAGTTTTAAGTAGATTTTAATCCAAATTCTGTGGTCTAAACCACAGAAAAATAACTATCCTAAGAATAACCCTGGGTGCTAGCAGACAAGGTATCTCTGTAGTAAATGTAGTTTATAAGTATTGATATTCAAGATTAATATCAAGCATCAAGATTGTAAACACCACATTTGAAGAGGTGTGATCTCGTTTAGACGCATTCCTTCCCCCAGTAATATGTTTTGGAGCTCCAATGTGGTTGGATTTTAAGACCAAGGATATGTGTGGGGGGTAAAAAAACAAAAACAAAAAAACAAAAAAAAACCTCGCTCTCTGTTAATGATTTGGAGACTTCACAAAATATTAAAGACCCTTATACTAACACATAAATGAACTGCATATAAGTATTTTAAAAATACTCTCATGTTCGTGCCTAATCGTAGAGAACAACAAGCGCCAAGTATGAAAAAAAAAAATTATCCACTACCCTAGATATAACAAGCCGTATAAATCCTACTTAAAGTCACAAGTTGGAGCTCCAGAACTTACCACGGGGAAGGAAAGGTCATAAGTTACCTAAAACAATAGTGTAATTAGTTTTGTAATCAATACATTTTATAGTAACCAAGAATCCTGACATATGGAACATATTATTCATTTTAGTAAAACATGAAAATATTTTTATAAATCGTAATGTTACTAGTTTAAAGAAAAATCGTAGTTAACCCATGTTTTCAGCCTTCACACATATGAGCTTTGCTGTTTTCTTCAGATTATTACTTTAATCAATATTGTGATTTTAATCATTTTCTTAAACTAAATTTTTAACAATTTGTAGTGTTAAATTTTAAACATAAAAAGAACACCAGAATTAATACCAGTGAGGATACAACAATTAAACTTTTCTTGTAGCTTATACTACTATAAATGAATGTGGGTAGCTACCTATTTACCAAACTTTTTAAATTTAAAAATTCTAAAAAAAAAAAAAAAAAATTCTGCTGTTTCAACATCTTTGAGCCAACTTCATAATTATTTCAGGAATATATTTATTCATGAGTAAATATGATTTTAGGAATATTAACAGTTCCTGCCAACACTTAATTATGAAAATATTACAAAAATCTTGGACTGACACTAGAGTTCTGAAAAGGGTCAAAGTTACCAAATTTCAAAGGAAGATATGTAACATTTTGCTCTACACAAATTAGCCTAGTTTGAAATCAAAGCAAATATCCTCAACAATAATTATTTGGCCCAATTCTTATATTTAGAGGTTGAGGGTAATGAATCTCTAATGATTTTAAAATATTAAATAGTTACAACACTTCCCAGAAAGGGAATGCTCATTTTCTTTCCCATGTCCCTACTCTAAATTGGTATGGTTTTTTTTGTTTTGGTTTGGCTTTGTTTTATTTTTGCCTCACCTTCCAATACTATCACAGGTAAGGGTCAAGGAACCTAACATATCTGCAATCACTTACACTTAAGTGTAACTATTTGAATTCATTTTTACTCCCATGTTTAACCTATAATTTTACTAAATGGAAAAATGAGTACTAATGCTAAAATTATTTGTTCCCAAGTATTATTACAACTTTACATTTTATTATACTTCAATCAGTAGTTATGAGAAAGAGGAGAAAAATCATTACATACTAATTTGTAGAGCTTTTTCCAAGCCTTCATAATAACACCAATTTTCTGCATTTCGATCAATCAAGTTTTTGAACACTTCACTGGCTTCTTTTAATCTTCCCAATTTCAACAGTATTTCCCCTGAAATTAAGTTTAAAGACATATTCATTTTAAACATTAAATATCTATCTGACCCCAGGGACTTCACTAAACATTATCAGTGAACAGATGGTTAAAAAGACAGAACTCTGTATGCTTCCCCTTTGGGCATGTTGCAGTTCATGTAACTAAGCATAGCTTGCCTTCAGAAGTGAACCTTCATTTGTACCTTTATTTTTGGCTCCCTCTTACACTCCAAACAAATACATAGGACATTAATTTGTTAGTAAAAAAACTTTTGCATTACACACATCTTATACTCTTTGAAATAAGTAAAGACACACACAAACACATCAAAATTAGATTGGCAAATAATGCTAGTGAAACATTCCTATCTTCCTACTACAAGATTTAAATATATCTTTCCTATCAGTTCATATATTAATTCTCCACTCAATTCTCATTGTTTCAAGGTCACTAAAACTGGAGAAGTTTAACTCAGTGAAATTATAACACTAAACACCACTTTGTAACAGGAAACCACACAAGCCATGTTCATGTACAGGTCAGCTCAGCGGGTTGGTAAAAGGTCAAATCCTTTTACTAAGCCACACAAATTAAGAGGTGGTGTGGAAAATGAGGTCCCAGACCTCTCAAATACGATGGAAACACACCTAATCCAAGATAAAGGGGAGATTCTCAAAAAAGAACATACCTCAGCTTCCTGCCCTCAAGATTACCCATTCCCCAAACAATCTATTTCAAATAACCCTTTAAAATGTCTTCAAGTCATACTATTTCTGCTTTCATCATGTTGGAGGAGGCAGTATATTATAGCAGGTCTTATGTACTATTTTTTTTACTATTTTTATATCATATATCACTCAAACTCTAGAATAAGACTGAACTAGGAATAATTACCAACTCCACCACTAACTAGTTTTGTGACGTGGAGAAAGTGCCTTTGTGACAGCACACTGCCTGTCACAAAATGAATACATATAAATGTCTGCTACTTAAAACTTTAAACATGCCCCATTCCTCCATGATTATCTTCTGGCCAATTTTTACCCTGCTTATCCCAGATATAATAGACAACAGCGTATTTTTCATTTCAAAAAACATCTGTTATCTGCTACTACCATGAAGCAAAGGTTATTACTAGAGGAATGCATTCACGGTGTATACTAACTTGAATTAATTTCACTGTACCATATTTACTTTTCAAAAACTGCATTCCCTATTTGCTTTTATTTTGAAGATTAAATAATCTAACCTAACTGCATTCCCTATTTGTTTTTTTTTTTAAGATTAAATAATCTCACATATGGATTATATTGAATGCATTTCCTATTGATGCTACAGGACAAATACCAAAAAAGAGAAACAGCAACCTGAGTTAAGATTTAATCAGGAAATGACAATAATATTTCAGAAAGGAAAATAATTGCCTTTTTTCCTCTTTGCTACCATCAATAAGTAACAGAACAAGATAGAAACCAGAATATTTAATTATTTACCCATATTTTATCAATAACTTTTAAAAGTGTCATTAATATGAATTACAATAAAAACTAAATCACTCATGTACTATACATTAACCAGAAAGAGTATAGTAGTTAAAAGTAAGACGCTCATGAAAAGGTATGGGAAAAAAAACATACACTACTAAGTGAAAAAAGCCAATCTTTCTCAGGCAAGAGATGATTTGGCAAAAATAAAGCCAATCTGAAAAGGCTACATACCGTATGATTCCAACTATATGATATTTTGGAAATGGCAAAACTATGTAGAGGGTAAAAAGATCAGTGGTTGCCAGGGGTTTGCAGGAGTGAGGGATGGAAAGGTGAAACAAAGGATGTTTAGGGCAGTGAAACTACTTTGTATAATACTACAGTGGTGAATACATGTCATTATACATTTGTCAAAACCCATAGAGCATGACAGTGGGAAAGGCTGTGGGTATACAGGGATATATGGGAACTCTCTGCACCTTTTTCTAGATTTTACTGTGAACCTAAAACTGTCCTGAAAATGTCTATTTTTTAGAAAAAAGTAAGGGCTCTGAAGTCAGGGAATGTGTTGATGTGCTTGGAAACTATAACTCTACCACTTAAAAAGCTGGATGACTTTGGGCAAGTCCTTAACCTCTCTAAGCCTCAGTCTCTTCCACTATAAAATGGGGTTAATAAATAGCATCCATCTTAAAAGTGCTAAAAAATTAAATGAAATAAAGCAATTTAAGCAATTACCATACTCAAATAGAAGAAGAGTTTTAAAATCTATATTAGCTATTATTTTTATTAAGAGCTTCAGACTTCAGAGGTTCTACAATTGTATGGAACTTTAGTTCTAAACTATTATTTTAGCTGGACATTCAATTTAATACATTATTGCTCAGGGAAAGGGAATTAATGAGCAAAGCTCTGTGAAAATTTTTGTTTGACCCCTTGTTGATGAATGCTGTTAAAACTATAGGGATCCTGTCTTCATAATTAGCCCATAATGAAAATAAATGACCTTTGTGTTCATGATGATCCCAGTATCATCAGTTATGGTTCTCACTGTATTTAATTAACTATATATGGATATACAGAGATACATATTCAATATGAAGGCAGTGTAATATACTGCTTAAGGGAATGAAATCTGGATTCAAATCCAGCACTCTCCAGTTTACTAAACTGTATGATTTGGGGCTACTCAATCTCTCAGTTCCCCCATCTCCAAAATAGATATAATAACTACAACATAGGGTTGTTATGAGGATTAAACTAGTTAATAATGGCTTAATAATCGTGTTTGGAACCTTGCCAGATACATAACAACTGTTACGTAAGACTTAGGAGAGAATAAAATATATAGTTTTTTTGTTTTCTGTTTGAGGCTATTAAAAAAAGGCAAGCCAACTTACCTTTAATTTCTTCCACCAAAAGTTTATCACATATTTGTTTCTCATACATTTCTATATGTTCCAAAGATTCCTGCAACAGATCTGCCTCTCTCATCACTTGATTCTGGTATAATATCAATTCACTATATTCATAATCTATTTTGTTTGGAGGAACCTGAAAAAAAATGACCAAATTACTTTATTTGTATAATTATATAAAGCAGTTACAGACCTTTAATTAAACTGCCTTCTCAGGAGAGTCATTCACATAAACAAGAAAGCAACCCACAAGCAGATACAAACAGAAGAGTGATTAATAACACAAAAAATGAATGCATTATTTAAAACAAATAATAGGGTGGGACTTCTGTCTATTCCCAAGTGACACAGGTCAAGAAATCCTACATACAAATATAAAAATGGTTGAAATACTATAGAATCTACAAAAAAAAAACTACTAGAGTTAATAAAAGTGTTTACCAAAGTCACAGAATAAAATATCAATGAAGACAAATCAATTACAGGTATACCTTGGAGATATTGTGGGTTTGGTTCCAGACCACCACAATAAAGTGAGTGACACAATTTTATGGTTTCCCAGTGCATGTAAGTTCCGTTGGCCAGGCACGGTGGCGCACATCTGTAACCCCAGGTCTTTGGGAGGCTGAGGTGGGTGGATTACCTGAGGTCAGGAATTCAAAACAACCTGTCCAACATGGTGAAACCCCGTCTCTACTAAAATACAAAATTAGCCTGGCGTGGTGGCACATGCCTGTAATCCCAGCTACTCAGGAAGCTGAGGCAGAAGAATCGCTTAAGCCCGGAAGTGGAGGTTGCAGTGAGCTAAGATTGCGCCACTGCACTCCAGCCTGAGCAACAAGAGTGAAACTCAGTCTCAAAAAAAAAAAAAAAAAACTAAACTAAAAAAGTTATATTAACACTACACTATAGTCTATTAACCATGCAGCAGCATTATGTCTTAAAAAAAAAAAACACAACATTGTCAGGCACAGTGGTATACCTGTAGTCCCAGCTAGCCTCCTGCCTCAGTCTCTGGAGCAGTCCTAGCTAGGAGTTCAAGTCCTAGTCGTAGCCTAAGAGTTCAAGACTGTAGTGCATAGCCACAGCACTTCTGCCTGGGCAACACAGTCAGATCCTGTCTCTAGAAAAAAAGTAAAGGAAAAAAAAAAACAGAAATTGGCCGGGCACGGTGGCTCACACCTGTAATCCCAGCACTTTGGGAGGCAGAGGCACGTGGATCACAAGGTCAGGAGTTTGAGACCAGCCTGGCCAACATGATGAAACCCCGTCTCTACTAAAAATACAAAACTTAGCCAGACCCAGTGGTGGGGGCCTGTAATCCCAGCTACTCGGGAAGCTGAGGCAGGGTAATTGCTTGAACCTGGTAGGCGGAGGTTGCAGTGAGCCGAGATTGCACCACTGAACTCTAGCCTGGGCGACAGATCAAGACTCTGTCTCAAAAAAAAAAAAAAAAAAAAAAAAAAAAAAGAAAGAAAGAAATTGCAAACACCTAAATCTAACCATCAAAATGTCATAATTTTGTGTTCAAAGGAAAGTTTTTTATCAAGTCCACCAAATGTGATACAGTACTATCTTTTGGTCAGAACTTGATTCTTGGATAAAAACAAAGAACCAGTCTAATCAATTCTCTGGTGTGACGTAAAAAGCTAAAAACCTAAGTAAAGACGGTGGCCTTACTACAAAGTTTATTTCCTCCCTTAAGAGAGTAAAAATAGCAGATTAAAAAATATAAAAACCCATAAATAGAAGATACTATTTAAGATTTCAACAAATTTCTAGAAAACAGAATGCAAAGGAGGAGTAAGTGAAATAGGATGGAAGAAGCTCAAGTCTAGAGTATCCATAAAGAGGAAATTACTACAGAGAATGCCTATCTGTCCTGGAAAACTCCAGACAGGGTCAAGATTATGAAATGACAGATAAACAGAGGAGTGGAAAAGAGACTCAAGGTTGGTGGATTAACTCTAAGTGAAGTGACTCAATCCACACCATCTCCATCAACTTGCAGCTGAATCCACATGTAGAATATTCTCCATTGAAACGTGGAGGCAGGCGTGGTGGCTCATGCCTGTAATCCCAGCACTTTAGGAAGACGAGGCAGGATGATCATTTGAGCCCAGGAGTTCGAGACCAGCCTGGACAACATCGCAAGACCCCGTCTCTTAAAAAAAAAAAAAATGGCCGGGCGCGGTGGCTCACGCCTGTAATCCCAGCACTTTGGGAGGCCGAGGTGGGCGGATCACGAGGTCGGAAGATCGAGACCATCCTGGCTAACACGGTGAAACCCTGTCTCTACTTAAAAAATAGAAAAAATTAGCCGGGCGTGGTGGCGAGTGCCTGTAGTCCCAGCTACTCTGGAGGCTGAGGCAGGAGAATGGCTTGAACCCGGGAGGCAGAGCTTGCAGCAAGCCGAGATCGTGCCACTGCACTCCAGCCTGGGGGACAGAGCGAGACTCCGTCTCGGAAAAAAAAAAAAAGAGAGAGAAAAATAATCCTACATTTTAACTGTTTCCAATTACGTCAAAAAGTTTTCCCGTTTTCCATAGGTTTCAAATACTTTAATTCACATTTGAGAGCAGGGACAATTTAGAAGTCAACTACTCCATTTATGAAGGTAGAAGGAAACATTAAAATTCTTACTTGCTGAGTTTGTCTAAATTCTTCCAACAGTTTTAGGGCCATATCATAATCTTTCAGCAAATGGTATGCAATAGCATATCCAATCCAGGAGGCACGCTGTGTGGGGCGCAACTGAAGAAGCTGGTATCTTGTCTCCTAAAAAAAAAGTTTTAACTTGCTAAATATTCTCTAAAACATTATTTCATCAGTTTTAAGAAAACAATCTAACCTTTAACACATTTCTAATGAACTATATCAACAAAGATCAGTTTCAGAATAAAATAGAAGTACTTTTTATGTTTCCTACCTAAAATACTAAAGTTCTACAATACCCTGTAATACTCACTGTGAGGCTGTCATTGAAACATCTTTGGGGCCCATGCCTTTGGACTGCCTTATTAAATTACATTTAAATAATGAGAATTTTTTTTTTTTGGTAACTAAATATTCTGTAAGAAGACTAAGATGGTTTTTTATTAAACTACATTTTGCTACTTATAAAACTATTATATGAATTACATGTATTTACAGTGTAAATACATTGTAATAATTGGCCAGACACAGGACAGACACAGCCAGGCGAAACACCCAAACATCTAATTATCCCTTATTTTTACTGTTGCTTCTCTGTCATTCCCAAATCCTTTATTAAAGTCTAGGTCAGTATTATTTTCTCTGCCAACTCTTGGCGTTACCCTGGGCAAATGCAACACTAACGTGTATCACCCATCCCACAACCTATCCTCTAAATCCCAAGATTTTCTAATCTTTAATGATTTTCTCCTCCACCCCATTCAGAGGCCCACTCCCACAGCCACACCCTAGAAGTTACTGCCACCCAGAAATCATAAATTTAGGTATCTCACTCTCTACCCACAGCTCCCATGCTGCCAACACTATCATTTGATGACACTCCTACCCTTGTTCTTTGACCACCAGTGTCTGTACTTCCTGGGTCCTTCACACTTTCACCACCAGCTCTCCTTTTTTTCTTTAGAGACAGAGTCTCCCTATGTTGCCCAGGCTGGACTAAACTCCTGGGCTCAAGCAATCCTTCTACATCAGCCTCTCAAGTAGCCAGGACTAAGACACGTAATACCAAGCCTAGCTCTCTTTTAACTTAATTTACTTCACAATCCACTTTAGCAGCCATTGTTTTGCCAATATTCTTAATTTCTATGCCTCATTCCTAAAGATAACTGATTTTAACTCCAACCACATCTAAGCTGCTAAACACAGCTGAAGAAAAAAATACACGCTTTGAAGAGTGGTGCCATTATTATTATAGTAAGTTCAGCAGAGCCCTTAAAGTGGCTGCAAAAATCTAGGCATGGGGTATGAGGGCTTATATGGCAGTAGAGGGCAAAAGTAAGAAGTATATAAATAATGTATTTAAAGAAAACTGTTAGAACCTAGTGGCCTCCTTCTCATAAGTAAGTAAGAGAATTCCATGTTGGACATACTGATTCTAGGATACGAAGTGGACTAAGCACATGGAGATGTCCAGGAGAGAGTTGAAGATGCAAATCTGAAGAGGTCTCAACTACAGAAAGACTGATTTATGGCAACCCTTCTCACGTTTTTAAAATATTTACTAACCAATAATTTTTAAAAGCTACTTTTATGTTTAGGTTTCCATTATAAAAGCCTTATTAGTTTATCAAATTTGTAAATATCAAACCCACAAATAATCTAGTACAGCAGCTGCACATAGATATTCCAGTTAAACAGTTATGGCCAGGCGTAGTGGCTCATGCCTGTAATCCCAGAACTTTGGGAGGGTGAGGTGGGAAGATCACTGGAGCCTAGGAGTTCAAGACTAGCCTTGGTAACATAGCAAGACCTTGTCTCTAATTTTTAAATAATTAATGAATTAAGAATGTTTTAAAAACCAGTTTTTTTTGTTTTGTTTTTTGAGAAAAAGTCTTGCTCTCTTGCCCAGGCTGGAGTGCAGTAGCATAATCATGGCTCACTGCAGCCTCAACTCTTAGGTTCAAGGGATCCTCCTGCCTCAACATCCTGGATAGCTGGGACTGCAGGTGTAAACTACCATACCGGGCTAATTTTCTTATTTGTAGAGACGGAGTCTGGCCTATGTTGCCCAGGCTGGTTTCTAACTCCCAGCCTCAAGCGATCCTCCCATCTCAACCTCCCAAACTGCTGGGATTACAGGCGTGGGCCACCACACCCCACCAGTTATTCTTTTTGAATACTCAAGTACAAAGTGCCACAACTATGACTGAGAAGGAAGGTCCCAAGCGACATACACCTTCTAATGAACAATCAAATCTACTTGATTTTGGCTTATGCTCACCTCATTCTGAAATGACACGCTCTTAAATTTTGTCTACTGTAAAATCATGTACATTTAAGAATGAAGTACTTACTCGGTAACCTTCAAGGTCTCTCATTTGGATCTGCAACAGTGAGAGATCCCTCAAAATTTGCAGGTTATCTTTATCTAATTTGAGGGCATTTCGGTAACATTTTATAGCTTCATCATATTTTTTATCAGAACGCTGCAAGAGTCCATATACATGCCAACCTATTAAGTTAAGGAAACAAAGACATACACAGACACTAGAATATTCTATGATACATATCTAATATAAAAGTTACATTAAGGAAATGGTATTTTGCCTGGGATTTGTTCAGAATGATCTGGAGTCTGGGGGAGGGGAATGGTGAGGGGAAGTTAAAGACGAAACCAGAGCAGGCTGGGTTGATAATTGTCAAATTGCTGAACCTGGGTAATGGCCACATGGGAAAGGGGTCATTATTCTGTTCTCTCTACTTGTGTACATGTTTGAAATTTTCTGTAATATTTTAAGTAACCTTAAAGAATTCTTAGCAAAAATTCTTCACATTTTCTACCCTCTATCCCATCACTTTCCTACCCCAGCAACTTCAACATTCACCTATTCTTCATCATGATGTCTTGAAACAGAATATATACAAAAACTGCAACTACTTTTTGAAACAAATTTAGTCAACCAATTCTAAAGTAATGTGTAACTATCACCTACTTCCCTAGTTATATTAAAGGCCACAAAAAATAAGTTGTATTTCTTATAAATTAAAGTATTAGCATATCTTGGAGCCAAAAGCCCCACAAAACTATCATACTTACATGCCCTTCTCTTCACTCTGGGGTAAGCACTGGGATAAAGAAATAAGTATTTAGTAATTTGAGAAAACTCTAAGCTAAATATGTGAAAACACTACTAAGATTATTCGTGTTCAATACCAGTACGTGGCTAAGTGAATTACATGTTAACAAACTAAAATGCAAGGGCAATATGTGAAAAAAAATGCAGATAAACATACAGATAAGCAAAAAAAAAAAAATGAAAATCAATTTCAATGCTCCACCCTTTAAAAAAAAATTTTTTTTTGGCCAGGCATGGTGGCTCACACCTGTAATCCCAGCACTTTGGGAGGCCGAGGAGGGTGGATCACCTGAGGTCAGGAGTTCGAGATCAGCCTGACCAACATGGCGAAACTCCATCTCTACTGAAAGTACAAAAAGTAGCCAGGCATGGTGGCACACACCTGTAGTCCCAGCTACCTGGGAGGCTGAGGTGGGAGAATCGCTTAAACCCAAGAGGTGGAGGTTGCAGTAAGCCTAGATCATGCCACTGCACTCTAGCCTGGGTGACAGAGTGAGACTCCCTCCCCCCAAAAAACAAAAAAAAATTTTTTTTTACACACTGGGATATTACCCAAAGAAAAACACAATTATAAAGATCAAATTAAGTAACAGCTATGTCTCTGTGTTAACAGAAACCAAGCTCAAGAACCAATATCATACTTATATATTAAGTAAAATCTGTTTTAAAATAAGTTTAAGTTTTTCTTCTCAAATGTCTAAAAGAAAGTTTAAGACACACAAATTTTAACATATGATTAACTAAAAGTCAGTATTTGGAATAACAGGAAAGTATTACCCAGTTAATTATGTTTAAGAAAAAAATGGGTTTCAAGTCACAATTACCAAAGTAACTTTTCTCCAACACTAAGCACAACAGAAGTAAGCACATTTTATAGAGATTTCCTTTAAAATATTCCAATAAATAAACACGGGGTAGGGAACAAATGAAACTAATATAGGAGGAGGGGCACAAGCAAAAAAGAAACTAGTATTACAAAATGTTGATAATGATTATAGTTGAGTAATGGATACACAGAGTTCATTAAATTCTCTCTTCTACGTAGGTTTGGAATTTTCATAGTACAAATTTAATTTGAATTAGGAAAAAACTAGCTAAAACATAAACTATTTAACTACTGCAAAAGGATACAGACATGACTCTTGACATCATTACGAAGTCCTTTACGAACAAACTCATAAGCTTCTTCTTTTTTTCCTAAACAGTTCAGTGTTAATCCTTTCATAGCCAAAGTCTCTGAAAAATAATTTTTAAACTCTATTTACAAATGACACAAAATTATTCTCTTATTCTCTTAATAGTACTTTAATAGTTGAGATCTGAAGGATTACTATGGCTCCAATTCATCTTTTTAATCTCACAGTTTGAACTTCTCTCCAAGTAGAAAAAGTAAAACTACATTTAAATATTTACTTAAAGCTTAGCAGCCCAAGTCCTTTTCTGAAATTCCTTAGTTTCAGAGTTGCTAAAATGGTTTCTGCCCTTCACAAGACTCTGTAAAAGTGGTTGATATTATTCTGCTGAAAAAATTAACAAAGCAGGCCAGGTGCAATGGCTCACGCCTGTAATCCCAGCACTCAGGGAGGCTGAGGCGGGTGGATCATCTGAGGTCAAGAGTTCGAGACCAGCCTGGCCAACACAGCAAAACCCCGTCTCTACTAAACAAAAATTAGCTAGGCATGGTGGCATGTGCCTGTAATCCCAGCTACTTGGAAGGCTGAGGCAGGAGCACTGCTTGAACCCAGGAGGCAGAGGTTGCAGTGAGCCAAGATTGTGCCACTGTACTCCAGCCTGGGCAACAAGAGCGAGACTCTGTCTTAAAAAAAAAAAAAAAAATTACAAAGCAGACATGAGTCTTAATGGAATTAAATCTACCATAGCAGTTCCACAGCTCTTACCTAAGGTCAATTCTAATCAATCATCAATCTGATTTACAACCACACAAAAACACTCAATCTACCTTAATAAAGACAAATACATAATTTAAAAATCACTAATCACTTTATTCAATATTGGAACAGACTTCATTTTTGATAGCAAGTTTATTCCAACAAATTATACTTAGGCTAATTAACATCAGTTCACATTTCAACAGCACAACACTGGATGATGGTAGTGGCAACAAAAAACATGTAAGGAAGTTAATAAAAGATGGTTTAGGATGAAATAATTCTCTGAATTATCCACAAGAAGGGAATTACACAAGAAGAATGATTTTCAAACTCTATGGTATTCAGAACATGGTGATCCTGTGGCCCAAACCCCGCTCCAACACCTTTTATCTGTTTTACATATTGAACTTTCCCACAGGCACCATTTGGATAAAGCTTCCACAGCTAAAAAGCTTGAAAACAAGCTTTAAAATTAATTCTATGAAATGAAGATTTCTTTCCATTTCCTTCAAAGAATCTTTTAAATGTTGTTGGAAAAGTGAGCAAGGTCAGCCTATTTTCCCAATAAGATGATCTCAACCATTATCCAAGTCTGATACTGAGTAATCTCAACCAGCTTTGCTATGCTACAGGATCATTATTTTCATGTCTATCCTGATCCACCCTTCTAACACTGGCTGTTACTGAAAAAGGACACAACCAGAAAATACAAACTTTATTAACACCAGTGTTAGAAAACAACTCAAAATATACAATCTAATGGTAAATTAGTAATATCATATGTAAACGTCAGCACATACTAAAAAAAAACAAAACAAAACACATCTACCAAAGAATAAAGTGCAGGTGACCATATCTTCATACTTCTATATTGCAAATTTTGTCCTAATTTTACACACAGGAAACCAAGGTATAAACTTTAAATTCTATTCAAAGTAATAAAGGAAATCAGGTCCATAAAAATACTGATACATACTTTCTCCAATTTTTTCCCCAATAGATAAACGAACCATCCTAATCTTATCCTTAAGTATACATACTTAAGGATAATACAGGTAATCTAGAAGACTCATATAAAGCATTAAAAAAATGCTGAACATTTATGCACTCTAATAGAGAACTGCAAGGCCCTGGAATCGGGGAAATACTCTTCTTTCACTGTTAATGCCTGGTTTTAGAATTTGATTTCCCTAAAGCAATCTCTCACATGAGACAATACCTCCATGTTCAGCAAATTTTGGGTTCGACAGAATCATCTTGCAAAACTTGAGGCCATTTTTGTACTGCTTCTGTTCATAACATTTCTGTAAAGAAATATGAACAAAAGTTATTTTATCAAATGAATACATAATGGAGCAACTTCTCACAGCATCATATATTCTAAACTCAAGATCCAAAATTAGGTCTAAAATGTGATAGAAAGGATATCACTTACAAACATGCAGTGTACTTTTGTTACCTATTCTTGTCAAATTGTTCTAAAATCTACATATTTTCATTTTTATAAAAGACCATGAAAAAAGACATTTAAAAAACAGGAAATGTGGCTCAGCAAGGTGGCTCACGCTTGTAATTCCAGCACTTTGGGAGGCAAAGGTGGGCGGATCGCTTGAGCTCAGGAGTTCGAGACCAACCTGGCCAACATGGTGAAACCGTCTCTACTAAAAATACAAAAATTAGCTGGGTGTGGTGGTGCGTGCCTGTAATCCCAGCTACTCAGGAGGCTTAGGCAGGAGAATCGCTTGAACGCAGGAGGCAGAGGTTGCAGTGAGCAGAGATCACACCACTGCACTCCAGCCTGGGAAACAGAGCGAGACTCTGTCTCAAAAAAAAAAAAAAAAAAATTACAAAAATTAGCCAGACGTGGTGGCGCATGCCTGTAATCCCAGCTACTTGGGTGGCTGAGGCAGGAGAATCACCTGAACCCAGGAGCTGGAAGCTGCAGTGAGCCGAGATCATGCCACTGCACTCCAGCCTGGGCGACTGAATGAGACCCTGTCTCAAAACAAACAAACAGAAAAAAATGACAATTCACCAATCAATACTGCCACAGAATTTTTTATTTTGTTTCCCTTTCCTAGTACACAGAATTTTTTAATTCAAAATAATTCCAATGCTTTGGGAGGCCAAGGCGAGAGGACTGCTTGAGCCCAGAAGTTCAAGACCAGCCTGGGGAATAAAGCAAGATCTCATCTCTACAAAAAAATTAAAAATTCCTCAGGCGTGGTGGTGCACATCTGTGGTCCTAACTGCTTGGGAGGCTGAGGTGGGAGGATCACTTGAGCCCACGAGGCTGAGGCTGCAGTAAGGCATGACTGTGCCACTGCACTCAGCCTGGGCAGTAGAGCAAGACACCATCTCAAAAAAAAAATTTAAGCAAAAACATATGTGGCAACAGAAAAATACCAGAAACTGCACTAAAAGCCTTTGCTACCGCAAGAATGAAACCAAAGTGCATGGGTGTGTGCACGCATACACACACACACACAAATACTACCACTTATTGAGCAGCTATGATATGTCTGTAAAAAATTTGTAATCTCTTACTTAATACCAATTCTTTAATGTAGGTGTCATTACTTCCACTTCAGAGATGTGGAAACTGAAACTCCAGAGGTTCAAAAACTTGTTTATAAGCTGCTCAGCTTAGCTGCAAACTCTGATCTTACTCCAAAGACCATCATTAGTCCAATGCAAGGATAAGCAACATCTTTATTTCCGAATGCCACCAGCCAGGGTACACAATTAACATCTCTCCCTGGCAGCCACTGATGCGAAGAACACCCCATTGCTTTCCACTCTTCCCTGGCTTACATTGTTCAGTCACACTGGGTGTTAAATTACTCAACATGCCAAGCTTATCCCCACCTCAGGCCTCCTACACTTGTGTTCCTTCTGCCTGAATTGCTTTCCTAGATCTTCCCATGGATGGTTCCTCATTATCCAAGTCTCACATGTCCCCTACTTGCCCACTTTATCAAATACTCCCATCCTCCTTCCTTCCCCAACATATTCTCTACCATGTTACTCTATTTTCCACACAGTGCTATCATTTCCTGAAATCTTATTTATGCTATTATTTAGTGTCTGTCTTCCCCACCATCATATAATGGATCCTTAGAACAATGATCTCACCTATCTTTCTTATTTATTTTTTAGAGACAGTCTCACTCTGTTGCCCAAGCTGGTGTGCAGTGACACAATCACCATAACCTCAAACTGCTGAGCTCAAGTGATCTTCCCACCTTAGCCTCCTGAGTGGATAGGAAGGACTACAGGTGTGTGCCATCATGCCTGGCTAAATTTTTTTTTATTTTTTTATTTTTGGTAGAGATGAAGTCTCACTATGTTGGTCTTTTGCTCCTGGGCTCAAGTGATCCTAGCTCCCACCTCAGCCTCCCAAAGTGCTGGGATTACAGGCATGAGCCACTGCGCCGGCCTTAGCCTATTTTACATACTGCTGCATTGCCATGGCTAAACAAATAAGAAACTGCTCCATAAATACAGCCTACTAAGTTCAAAGCAAAATGCCACTAGCAATGGATGAGACCATCTTTAAGCCTTGCAGCAGGGGCTGGATGTGGAAGGAATTAGAAAAGTCTTCATGGAAAAAAAGTTTATATTGAGGCCTCTTGACAGCCTCTGGGGAAGGGAACTAGGTGATTCTGCGATAAGGATAGGAGAGAAACCTAAATTTTGAACCATGTGAATATACTGCCTATTCCAAAAATATTTTAAAATAAAAAATGACAATCTGAGTTTGACTACAAGTCTGTCTCACAAATGACAAGAAAAAAACAAGAGAAAGGAACTACTGAGAAAGACAAATAGAAATACTAGTTTTTCTGACTTACCAGGTTATCTGAAAATAATAATAATCATACTGCCAATAACAGTAATAATAGTTAACACCTATTGGAAGCATTTACTATACGTCCAGACACTGTTATTTTTTTCCTTCATCCCATGACAGCTTATTTACTCTTTATTTAAATCCCAGGAAAGCCTATGAGATGCATGATATCCCCATTTAGATAGAGAAACTGAGGCATAGTTATAGAGTTTATATAACTATTAAGTGCCAGAGCCACAACTCTTAACCAGGTAGTCTGTCCCCAGAGTCCAAGTACTCGGGTAAAGACAAGTCAACCTGTAATCTCAGCTACTCAGGAGGCTGAGGCACGAGAATCGCTTGAATCTGGGAGGCAGAGGTTGCAGTGAGATCTTGCCACTGCACTCCAGCCTGGGCGACAAAGCGATACACTCTCGCAAAAAAAAAAAAAAGACAAATCTACATTCACTCAGGAACCATTATATACTAAGCAGAAATGATAGATTCTAGTCTCAACTTTGCTACTAACCAGACAGAGAACCTTAGCCACTTGGTCATTTACCATCTTTAGGTTTGTCTCTTTCTAAAAGAGGGCATGGAATACCTCCAAAATTCAACAAACTGTAATGCTAATTAATATCCAGTCTGGGGAATAAGACATGCAGATACAAGCCACGTGGAACACGTAAAAAACCAGCTGGTCAGTTTGTGTGGATGTGTTTGAATTTTTTCAATAGAAAAAATTTTACTGTTGGTGGCAAAGCACTTTAATCCACTAAACTTTAAAGATAATTTTATTACAGAGACTTCTGTTTGCTATGGAATTTGTTGTAGCCAAATTTTACCCACATTTATTGCAATTGTGAAATGATAAAATCATTCGTTTATGCAGAATCCTCCTAAATTCACGCAACCTTGTCAGAAACATTACATACCTAGATTTAAAAATGTTTAGCTTGGCTGAGCACAGTAGCTCACATCTGTAATCCCAGCAATTTGGGAGGCTGAGGTGGGAAGATCGCTTCAAGCCAGGAATTCGACAGTAGCCTGGCCAACAAACCGAGACTTCCATCTCAAAATAATTGATTTTTTTTTAGTGGTTACCATTTCCCAATTTATTTGGGGATAAACCCTACCTTTTTTGTAATTTAAGAATAATAATGTAACTTTTTCCTTATGACACTGATCCATGATTTGAACTACAAAAAACTCGTATAAAGAGAAAAGAAGTGCTGTCATCTTTAAAGTATGATGCCAAATGTCCTGAAATCCAACTAGCGATTTATAAATGATATTATCATTAATGTTTCAGATTCCCAGGGCAAAAAAAAATTAAAAATAAAAATAAATAAATTACTTCTCCAATTCCATGCTGTGTAAAATAAAAGGGCATGAGAAGTAAAATAAAAAAATACAAAGCCCAATGAAGCAACCTGCCACGTGCTTTAATTATTCGTATTTTTAATGTTCTCACATTTGTATCTTATTATTGGTTCAAAACTAAGCACCACATAATATTTAAAATTTTTATCCCATCTACTATGTATCCTAATCTGAAGACTAAGTGTGAAGTTTCTATCGTCTTGAAACAGAACAGCTACTATGAATTATCTGCCGCTGTTCATACTTAAAATTACTCTAAAATTAGTATTTTATTTATAGTAAAGTTAAGCAACAACTAACAGCCATATAGCCAACCCAGCTTTCAATAAATTCACCTTTAAACCTAAATGCATGTTTAGCAAATAAAAGCTTTTTTTCAGGTGAAAAGATAAACTAGAAAAGACAGTTACCTACTAACAATATTAGTTTAAAACCTAGGGTAGCCAGAGGATACTGAGGAAAGCAAAGGAATGCTGCCTCTTCTCCTTGGAAGAACAGAACCTGGAAAGCTACCAGGGACGCTGGCACACAGCCCACAGAAAACTGCCCACCCGGCTCCGCAGCGGTCATCACTACGGGGCCATTATTCAGGCTTCTGCTCCGCGATAAAGTAAAAATGCTCCCCTCAAATGCAAAACCAGCCAGTCCACGCGGCTTTAATTACTCAAGCAAGGCCTGTGCGACTAAAAAGCAAACAGCTGTTTTGAAGTTGGTGACAACTCAGAAACGCACTTCAAGTCAAATATTCACTTCCAAAGAGGTAAATAAGGTACATTACAAACAGGCAAACTTTTTCCCAAAGGGAGGTGGTGCCAGGCCTGGCTTCCTAAAGTTGCCGGTTTTATTTCCTCGTAACCAGGAAAAATTCCACCATCGCATCGATCCCGCTTTAATAGGTATGCGGGTGTGCTGTGCAATCTAACTAAACGCAAAGCAGAGAATGCAGAACGCAAAACACCTAGCCGAGGAGAGACTGGCAAAATAAACCACCGGGGGAGGATCCCTGAGGGGCTGCTGCGAGCCCGGCGCGGCAGAGAGCACGGCAGCCACTACCGGCCGAGGCGGCTGTGCCCGGGCACTGCGGAGAGCGGCGTGAAGTTTCTGGAAAGAGCGCGGCGGGGGTGAGGCGAGCCGCAGAAGACCGCGGAAAGGAAGCGCACGGAGGAGCGGCTCGGCAGCCCCCGTGGGCCGGCCGGAGCGGGAAAGTGGGGTCCCGCGACCTCCGAGGTAAACAAAGAGCGGTGGGCAGCGGAGGCCAAGCCTGGCCCGCGCCGGCCGCCGCCAGACCGCTTGCCCTTAAGGCCCGAGGACCCGGGGACCGGGGGGCGGCAGCGCGGCCTACGGCCACTCACCAAGATGCGTTTGAAGAGGTTGCTCTCCTTGGGCGGCAGCAGCACGTTCGGCATCGTGGCCGGCAGGGAGGCTAGGTGGCCGGCAGGGAGGCTAGGTGCCCGGGCGCTCCGCTTCGCGGGGGTGGGCACCGGGACGAACCGCTGCTGAGAGTCGGGCTGCGGGCGATGGATTAGTTCATTGGTCTACAGTTGCAATTGGGCAGCCTGGCTGTTCGGCACGGGTGGCAATGGAGAAGGAAGGCGGTCTGAGCAGGACACGCTTCCCCTGGGCTCCGCTTTTTGGCCAGCGGCGGCGGCGGCGGTTCCCGCGCACTGCAAGATGGCAGCCAGGGTCCGCCTCCCGAGCCGGATCCTGTGCGCATGCGCGGAGCGCCCTTTGGCGAGGGGCTGCGGGTGACTACGGGGGCGTAGCGGGGACCAACCGCGTGGATTTGCCTTGTGCTGCGGCTCTCCTCGCCGCAATCTCGGCACCCCCTGGGGCTCAGGCGAGCTGTCACCAAAACCTTGGAGTCCCATGGGGTGGTGAGTCACCACCCTCATTCACCATTGCTCCTATGCATCAGAACGCCTCATAAGACTCCTACTTATTGTCTGCTTCTCCTTGCAATAAAGTAATAAATAAAAACGAGAATTTTCTTTTAAGTAGAAAAGAGAAGACACTGACTTGTATTGCACTCTTGATAAGCTTGTGGCGCAAGATAATGTTAGTTATGACTCTGAAGAGTCAGAGTTTTTTGCATTTCTCCCCATTTAGGAATTTAAGTGTCCGATGCAAAGTAGACTTTTGATGAAAGATGAACTTGTTTTCTTTCCTTTTCCTCCTTGATTCAGACTCTAAGTAGAAGCCTTCTCTTTCCAGGGCAAACCAAACAAACATTTACAATCTTTGTTTTTGTTTGGTTGGTTGGTTTTGAGATGGAGTATCGCTCTTGTCGCCCAGGCTGCAGTGCAGTGGCGCTATCTGGGCTCACTGCAACCTCCGCCTCCTGAGTTCAAAGGATTCTCCTGCCTCAGCCTCCCGAGTGGCTGGGATTACAGGCATGCGCCACCACACCCGGCTAATTTTGTATTTTTAGTAGAGACAGGCTTTCACCATGTTGGCCAGGATGGTCTTGATCTCTTGACCTCGTGATCCGCCCCCGCGTCAACCTCCGAAAGTGCTGGGATTACAGGCGTGAGCCACCACACCTGGCCGGAATTACGGTTTTATAAGGCCACTGGTCTTCTGAGTCTACCTACCCTTTCTCTTCAGATGGTTCCCCTTCCTGAAAGCCATATAATAATGGGAGAAACAGGCTTCAAATTCAGGATCTTCCAACTCTGGGATACTCTCTACAACAAATAAAAGGCAGCATATTGATGGTAATGTGTGAGTCTAGAAAGATACAACAGTGGCAAGAATAAACCATACATTCAGTGTAGGGTTAGTAGTAAGGTGTGTGTAAACATTAGGTACATAAGTTTATTTATACATGTGCTGAATCTTAATGGGTGCATATTTCTGAGACTATAAAGTAATTGATGAGTAACTGCATTTAGTCGGCTGTAATCAGAACTGGGCTGCCCTTTTTTATTTTCCTTTTTTTGAGACGATGTTTTGTTCTTGTTGCCGAGGCTGGAATGCAATGGCGCTATCTCAGCTCCCTGTAACCTCCGCCTCCCAGGTTCAAGCGATTCTCCTGCCTCAGCCTCCCAAGTAGCAGGGATGACAGGCATGCACCACCACACCTGGCTAATTTAGTATTTTTAGTAGAGACGGGGTTTCTCCATGTTGGTCAGGCTGGTCTCAAACTCCCGACCTCAGGTGATCTGCCCACCTCGGCCTTCCAAAGTGCTGGGATTACAGGTGTGAGCCACAGTGCCTGCCTATTTGATTTTCCTTCTTTCTAGCCTAAGTTGGTTGGACATGAAAGAATCATAGGAGTCTTTTTTTTTCTTTCAATCTCCTACGTTTCACACATGATTTTAAAGCATCATAGGAGTCCTTTAAAATAGGGAAAGTACTGTCATTAAAATTGGGGGTCCACAGCAATCCCATTGCTGGGTATATACCCAAAAGAATATAAATTGTTCTACCGTAAAGACACATGCACAGCCAGGTGCAGTGACTCACGCCTGTAATCCCAGCACTTTGGGCGGCTGAGGCAGGCGGATCACCCTGAGCTCAGGAGTTGGAGACCAGCCGGGGCAACATGGCAAACACACACACACACACACACACACACACACACACACACACACTAGCTGGGCATAGTGGCGAGTGCCTGTAGTCCCAGCTACTTGGGATGCTGAGGTGCGAGGATCAATTGAGCCTGGGAGACAGGTTGCAGTGAGCCAAGATCATGCCACTGCACTCCAGCCTGGGCAACAAACTGCCTCAAAAAAAAAAAGGACACATGCACGTGTATGTTCATCGCAGCACTATTCACAATAAAAAGACATGGAAGTAACCTAGATGCCCATCGGTGGACTGGATAAAGAAAATGTGGTACACCATGGAATACTACACAGCCACAAAAAAGAATGAGACCATGTCCTTTGCAGCAACACAGGTAGAGCTGGAGGCCATTATCCAAAATGAATTAATGCAGGAACAGAAAATCAAATACCACATGTTTTCACTTACAGGTGGAATTATAAACACTGAGTACCCATGGACACAAATAAGGGAACAGTAGACACTGAGGCCTACTTGAGGGTGGAGAGTAGGAGGAGGGTGAAGATTAAAAAACTACCTATAGGGTATTATGCTGATTACCTGGGTGACAAGACTGTCTGTACACCAAACCCCCACAACATGCAATTTACCTGTGTAATAAACCTGAACATTTACCCCTTGAGTCTAAAATAAAAAATGGAAAGAAAAAAATAAAAGTGGGGGTTCAAGGGCCTATGTGTACTCTGCAGAGCTCCCAAGCTGCCCAAGCTGTTAGGAAGTAGGCAAGTATAGATGCTTTAGGAGCTTGCCTTAGTCGCACCTGTACTAGTGGCAGTCCCCCACCCGGAGAACTGAGCAAGCACACAGAAGTGCCTCCTCTCAGCACCCTCATACTCAACCACTGCCATAATTGCTAGCCACAGTTTGCTTACCACGGCATTACTAATTCCTGAAAACCTTTGGCTCCCAATTTATCTACATTGTCATTTATCTACATCATCAGAAGTGAAGGGTTACTCACGAAAAGAGCCAAACCTTCAGTGCGTCAGTCAAGCCCTCACTTGACCCTCATAGGACATGGACTTTTCTAGACCTATTTCAAAATGACAAATTAGATTTTTAAAAGAAATATACAAGAGAAGGGAAGAAAAGCATAGTACCAACTGTAAATATTTTGAAGACAAGGAACGATTATCTTTTATGAAAGTTTCCTGTGGGCCTCTTCCAGCCTTATTTACTACAAATCATTAACTATCTTCACTCTCTGTGGTAGCAGCTAAATCATCACCCTCATTCACCATTGCTCTCCCCAACCCCTAAATCAGCAGCCCAGGAAGGTTCTTCACGTGCACTCTGCAGCCTCCGACCCACTGCCAACTTCCACTTCCCAGGACACACAGTTCCGTGCCAGCATCTCCCAGGGAAGCGCAGTCACGCAAAGAAAATCTGCAATCCCAAATACTAGAAAGCAGCACTAGTTTGCTACTAGTTATAAACTATAGTTATATATAGTTATAAATACTCATATTTAATATCTTCTTCATCTGTCTTTCACACACCATACACACATACCTTTTGTATTAGTCTGTTCTCACATTGCTATAAAAAATTACCTGAGACTGGGTAATTTATAAAGAAAAGAAGTTTAATTGGCTCACAGTTCCACAGGCTATACAGGAAGCATGGCTGGGGAGGCCTCAGGAAACTTACAATCATGGTGGAAGGCAAACGGGAAGCAGGCACATCCTACATGGCTGGAGCAGGAGGAATAGAGTGAAAGAGGAGGTGCTACACACTTTTTTTTTTTTTGAGATGGAGCCTCATCTGCCACCCAGGCTGGAGTGCACTGGCATGATCTCAGTCACTGCAACCTCCTGGGTTCAAGCAATCCTCCTGCCTCAGCCTCCTGAGTAGCTGGGACCACAGGCATGCACCGCCATGCCCAGCTAATTTTTGTATTTTTAGTAGAGATGGGGTTTCACCATGTTGGCCAGGCTGGTTTTGAACTCTTGACCTTGTGATCCACCCGCCTCAGCCTCCCAAAGTGCTGGGATTACAGGCATGAGCCACAATGCCCAGCGGTGCTACACACTTTTAAACAACTAGATCGTGAGAACTCACTCACTATCATGAGAACAGCAAGGGGAAAATCTGTCCCCATGATCCAGTCACCTCCTACCAGGCCCCTCCTCCAACACTGGGGGTTACGATTCAAGATGAGATTGGGGTGGGGGGGGCACAAATCCAAACCATATCACCTTGGTTGTCTACACTAGTGTGGGGGTGAGGGGAGAGGGAGGGAATAGAAAAGAACACCAATCACGGTGCTGGTAGTTGTCATCCTGAACCTTATGTGTATAAAAGATGTAATGTATGCACAATCAGAAAGCCTAGATTAACCAGTAACTATAATCTTATTACTGACTTCCTGTTTAGTCTGGAACAGATCTTATTTCTACCTTTCAACAGAAAATGGGGTTATAATAACATGATAATGTGTTTCACAGCAGGGTTATGTGAATTTAATGCTTAGTCATTTCAAAGCCTGTGATAAAAAACAAATACTGTGTAAATCTGAACTCACTGTTTCTCAGGAAAAATGCTGAAGTCCTTTTGGGGCCATCATGGACATCCACCCAGATGCTCCTTCCTGGCACTTCAGACGGTGCATACCTCCTTTAGAATCATGCATAAAGTAAAATAACAGTAACCACATCTGTAAAGACCTTTGCAATTCCCAAAGCCCTTTTTACATATGTAATATGGGCCACTGATTCTTCTCGTTCAGCCTAGTAAAGACAAGGAGAGAAGAATCTGGAAAAGGATTTTCTCCACCCCATATACGTGCATGTCTTCCAGAGCCAGCTGGCAACCTAAAATCAAATAGTTTGCTGCTATTCCCACAGCCAATTTAACTATGTAATTAAAAGCTGATGGGAAAATAACTTATCAGGTTATACAACGTGTTCCACCCCAGACTCCCTGATGTTTCTGCTCTCTTCCATGTTCTTGGCTCTTCTTTCTTTCCTTTTTTTTTTTTTGAGACGGAGTCTCACTCCGTGTCCCAGGCTGGAGTGCAGTGGCGCGATCTCGGCTCATTGCAAGCTCCGCCTCCCGGGTTCACGCCGTTCTCCTGTCTCAGCCTCCGGAGTAGCTGGGACTACAGGCGCCCGCCACCACGCCCGGCTAATTTTTTTTGTATTTTTAGTAGAGACGGGGTTTCACCGTGTTAGCCAGGATGGTCTCGATCTCCTGACCTCGTAATCTGCCCACCTCGGCCTCCCAAAGTGCTGGGATTACAGGCGTGAGCCACCGCGCCCAGCCGGCTCTTTTTTCCGAGAAAGAAAGGTACTCTTATTCCTCCCTTTGAGTTCTTCATCTCATCCCTTTTTGCTTTTCCTCAAATTTTATTCATCAGTTACTCTCCTCCCAGTTTGCATGTTCTCTCTCTTTACATAGTTTATATCCTAGTGGGAGGAGACAGATTATAAACACATAAACAAATAGATAAGGTAATTCCAAACTGTATGAAGTCCTATGAGGGACTTAAAGCAAGTCCTATGAGGGACACAAAGCAAGGTCATTTGAGAGCAATGGGGGCTGAGGGAAGGACTACTTTAAACCAAGTACACAGGAATGAGAACCCTTTGGGGAGGTGATAATGACAATTGAACAGAAACCTGAGGATGAGAAGCAAGTTTGGCTGGGAGATCCTGGTGGGGGACCACATGTCGTGGGATGGCATATTCTAAACAAAGGGAACCACAGGCAAATGCCCTAATGCAGGAAGAAGATTGGTATGACGAAGGAATAGAAGGGAAAGGTGAGAACTTGTCTCTCCTCTCTGGTTAAAGGACGTGGCTGGAGTGTAGCGCAGGAGAAGTAAAGTGGTATGCAGTACAGTTGAAAATATAGACCAGGCTGTGCAGAGTTCACGGTCTCAGGCAGTGTGGGTTTTTTTGTTTGTCTGTTTGTTTGTTTAATCTTAAATTCAATGGGAATCCACTGAAACATTTTCAGAAGGCAAGTTACATGATCTGATGATTTAATTTTTTAAAAGTCATTCTGGCCAGGCACAATGGCTAACACCCATAATCCCAACTCTTTGGGAGGCCAAGGCAGGAGGATCACTTGAGCTTGGGAGTTCAAAACCAACCTGGACAACATAGTGAGACCCCGTCTCTACAAAAAATTTTAAAAATTAGCCAGACATAGTGGCATATGCCTGTAGTCCCAGCTACCTAAGAGGCTGAGGTGGGATAATAGCTTGAGCCTGGGAGGTCGACGCTGCAGTGAGCCATTATCACACAACTGCATTAAATCACTCTGACTACATGGGGAAAACAGATGAGAAATAGCTGGATATTTTTTAGGAAAGTGGCAACTCTATTGAATACTTAAGATTTGGCTTCTGTGCCCAACAGTTTTCTGAAAGTGTTTTCTGAAATATCACCAGTTCATTTGTTCTGCGTTGTGAAACCTGAAAAAGCCAGTCCTTCAAGATAAATCCTTAGTGTCTAACTGGGCCTGAATTGAAAATAGAGCCAATGGGCCATTTGCTGATTAGAGATCACACATGTACTCTGAGTTCCTTACAGGCTTTTCCTTAACTTTGCAACTTTCATAGCTGCCTGTTCCTGTTTAGGCACCTGAACCAACCAATAAGCTGTAACCTATGTCAACCAATCAAAACTCAGCAAACATCAGGCAATCAGATCTAAGCAAGTTTGCATCCTTCATCTACATAAATGGAGGAGCATGGGAACCTGGGTAGGTACTTTCTATATAAAAACAATCCCTCCCTTTGTTCTCTGGCATGTACCTTCCTTTTGTACCAAAGGCTGTGTCTCCCCTATTTGCAAACTGTTCATTGGAATAGTTTCTTTCTTCTAAATTCCTTTTCAGAGAATTTTTGTTCACAGTATTTATTGTTGAGTACCTACGATGTTATAGGCAGTCTTCTAACAGTCAAAAATATCTGCTCTCAGCGGAAGCCCAGGCACACGTCTGTAGTTCCAGCTACTTGTGAGGCTGAGACAAGAGCATCACTTGAGCCTAGGGATTTGAGGCTGCAGTGCACTGTGATTGTGCCTGTGAATAGCCACTGCCCTCCAATCTGGGCAATAAGTAAGATCCTGCCTCTGAAAAAACATCTGCCCTCATGGAGCTTGTATTTTGAAGAATTGGCCAATTCCAAAAAGTTTCTCAGTCCACAAGGTCCTTAATCTCTCATTGGCATTTCACACAGTAGACCACCCTCTCCTTCATGAATTTCTCTTTCTTTTCTTATGTTACCAGAAAGAGCTCCTGATCCAGACCCCAAGAGAGGGTTCTTGGATCTCACCGAAGAAAGAATTTGGGGCAAGTCCACAGTGCAAAGCAAAAGCAAATTTATTAAGGAAGTAAAGTGGTGAAGGAATAGCTACTCTATAGACAGAGTAGGGCGTTCCTGAAAGTAAGAGGAGGAACGCGCCTACCCCTAGGTACAATGCTTATTTATATATAGGATAACAAAAAAATGGGGAGATTTGCTCTACTACAAAGGTTTGTGATTTAAACAATTAGTTTTCTTAATTACTATATTTTGCAAGGATCGATATTTATCTTTAAAGCAAAATTAGGAGTGCTTTTGTTTTTAAGACATCAGGATATCAGGACATTCCTGAGTCTGGGTCTGTTAGTAAACGTTATTAATCTGTTCCGTTAACCTAGAGGCTAGGAATACTTACCCTCCTGGGAATGCAGCCCAGCAAGTCCCAGCCTCAGTTTTCTTAGCCCTCACTCAAGATGGAGTAGCTCTGGTTCAAATGGCTCTGACACTTGCATCGCCAAGACCCTGCAGAATTCTGGGTTTTCTCCTGTACCTCTTCTTGGTCATCCTTTGGGTCCTCAATCAAGTCTTCATTCTTCTCCTAAATGTAGATTATCTAGATAATTCTGTTTTCTTTTTAAACAACAACAATAAAACATGTTCATTGAACACCTGCTATGTGCAAGACCAGCACGTACAGAATACACTAGCAATACAAAATTAATAAATTCTCTTGCTCCCATAGCATCATTATTAACACCAAGTAGATTATTTCAAATCTCTCTCCAGTTTCAAGTCCCCTTTGGATCTCCTGGCCTTCATTCTCATTGTTTAATATCTCCATCTGGATGTCTTATAAGCATTTCCTACTTTAACAGTTGAAATAAAATGTATTATCTTCCATCAAAGTAGTCCAAAAAAATAGAGAAAACTACTTATCTGTTTTTGTTATTGACACCACTCTTGCAGTTAGCATCAAATATATATACATATAAAATAAAAATAAATCAAAAATAAATAAATAAATAAATAAGAAAGGCTCTTTCTGGAATTTCTTATCTGGAATGTATGTATTCCAGCCTCTTGAGTAGCTAGAATGTATGTATTCCAGCCTCTTGAGTAGCTGGAATTACAGGTTCCACCTACTCAAGGTGCTCTCTTGAATAGCTGGAATTACAGTTTCCGACTACTCAGGTGCCACCACACCCAGCTTGCCTCAAAATTTTATAATCAACTTTGACTGCTCTTTCTTATTCTCAAGTTGCCAAGTGCTTTAGATTCTAGATCTAGGCCAGGCGCAGTGGCTCACGCCTGTAATCCCAAAACTTTGGAGGCCAAAGCAGGAGGAACACTTGAGCCCAGGAGTTTGAGACCAGCATGGGCAACATAAGGAGGCCCCATCTCTACAAAAAGTAGTTTAGCCAGGCGTGGTGGTGCACACCTGTGGTCTCAGCTACTTGGGAGGCTGAAGTGGGAGGATCACTTGAGCCCAGGAGGTCAAGGTTGCAGTGAGCCATGATTGTGTCACTGCACTCCAGCCTGGGTGACAAAGCAAGACCCCATCTCAAAAAAAAAAATTTAAAAAAAAATCCAGATCTAGTGTGTTTCTCCCTTTTCTTCCCTGTATTGGGGCACAGAAATGATTCCCCAAATATAGCCACGCTGAGTGCTTTTGAAAATCCTCAAAAATAAGCCTGAGAACAAAGGTCTCTCTCTCTCTGCCACTTCTCCCACCTTCCTGTCTCTCTGATCCTGTTTCCAGAAGCACCCTAAGAAAGATTCTTGGCCAGGCACGGTGGCTCGCACCTGTAATCCCAGCACTTTGGAAGGCCGAGGCGGGTGGCTCACCTGAGATCAGGAGTTCGAGACCAGCCTGGCTAATATGGTGAAACCCTGTCTCTACTAAAAATACCAAAATTAGCCAGACATGGTGGTGGTGGGTACCTGTAATCCCAGCTACTCGGGAGTCTGAGGCAGGAGAATCGCTTGAACCCAGGAGAGGGAGATTGCAATGAGCCAAGATCGTGCCACTGCACTCCAGCCTAGGCAACAGAGGGAGACTCCATCTCAAAAATAAATAAATAAATAAATAAGAAAGACTCCTTCTGGAATTTCTTATCTGAAGAAGAAAGTTTAAATACAATTGTCTTAAGACTCCCTCCCTAGGAATCTCATCAAATAGCCAGGAAAGATCAACCACCAGAGAAGAGAAGAGACTGGGAGTCATCCCCACACCCAGACAGACTTTTCATCTGTTCATCTGAGAGCAGCACTGAGAGATTTTATCTACATAAAATCTTTATCTACATAATAAGACAGACTTTGTTTCTGTGCAGCTCTGGTCCTTGCCTTTCTTTTTTTTTTTTGAGACGGAGTCTCACTCTGTTGCCCAGGCTGGAGTGCAGTGGTGAGATCTGGGCTCACTGCAACCTCCACCTCCTGGGTTCAAGTGATTCTCTTGCCTCAGCCTCCCAAGTAGCTGGGATTATAGATGCCCACCACCACATCCGGCTAATTCTTGCATTTTTAGTAGAGTCAGGGTTTTACCCTGTTGGCCAGGTGGATCTCAAACTCCTGACTTCAGGTGATCCGTCCACCTCAGCCTCCCGAAGTGCTGACATTACAGGTATGAGCCACCGCACCCAACCTGTCCTTTGCCTTTCTATATCATCTGCCTCCCACCTCCCAAGTCAATACATCTCTCCCCTCTGAAAACAGGTACATAAGCTTCTGTATAATAGTGCGTTGTTGGGTCACCATTCTGCGATTCCCCCAGGCTAGCCACGTGAAAATAAAATTGTGTATGCCTTTTCTCCTATTAATCTGCCTTTTGTCAGTTTTCAGAGAACCTTCAAAGGGTGAAGGGAAAAGTTTCCTATCCCCTGGTGAATGCAGAGTTAATTCCACTACCTGCGCTTAGGAGGGATACATCTTTGCCTTCTTAGGGAACTTTACTCCTCTCTCCTATCTCTCCTTTCTCTTCTCAATTACTGTAATCATTTCATCATAACTGTTATTGAACACTTACTCTGTACTAGACACTATATGCAATTTGCTATTTCTTATTTAATCTTTATGAAAACCCTATGAGAAAAATACTATTATCCATGAGAAAAAGAGAAATAGCTCAGAGCAATCTGATCTACGTGAGGTATGCAAAATATATCAGGCCCAGAGAGACATGAATATGGAGCTTCAGTCATGCCCCCTGCACCCAGGCAATTGTTTAAAGGCATTTTGTTCTTGACTAGCTGCCTCGCCCATTATCTTCATGTTCCTGAAATTTGTGATACAAAGAACAATGTGTAGCCAATCAATAACTTATGTCATTTTAATGTAAAATCTTGGTAAACAATTTAGGAATTGCCTCTTTTTTATTTTTTTGCTTTAAAAACCACTGGTAAGGCCAGGTGCAGTGGCTCATGCCTACAATCCCAACACTCAGGGAAGCTGAGGCAGGAGGATTGCTTGAGGCCAGGAGTTCAGGCCCAGCAAGACCCTGTCTCTAATTTTTTTTTTTTTTTTTTTGAGACGGAGTCTTGCTGTGTCGCCCAGGCTGGAGTGCAGTGGCCGGATCTCAGCTCACTGCAAGCTCCGCCTCCTGGGTTTAGGCCATTCTCCTGCCTCAGCCTCCCGAGTAGCTGGGACTACAGGCGCCCACCACCATGCCTGGCTAATTTTTTGTATTTTTAGTAGAGACGGGGTTTCACCATGTTGGCCAGGATGGTCTCGATTTCCTGACCTTGTGATCCGCCCGCCTCGGCCTCCCAAAGTGCTGGGATTACTAGCGTGAGCCACGGCTCCCAGCCTCTAATTATTTTTTAGAAATGTTTAAACCACTTGTAATTACAGCAAACAGAAGTGTGTATTCAGGGAAACTCAAATCTATGCTTTTGGGTGGCCATCTTCAATCTTTGAGCTCAAATAAACTCTATGCTTAATCATATTTTCTGCATCTCATTCTTAAGGTTGACATTTTGGTGACCCAAACGGGACCTAAAGCAGACCTCCAGTGATCACTGTCACTTCACTGACAACTAGAGAACTGGTGCCAGTAGTTTATCCAACCTTGCTGGAGTCAACAACGATCTCTGGAAAGGCTCCTCTCAAGTCTGAATCTTTCTGGCTTTCTTGAGGATTGAGACATTATTTGAGCTACACACATTCCTAAATTGAAAGGGCTGAAATTGAAACTCTACTGTTCGGTAGGAGTTTCATTTGTTATTCTTTAGTGATTTTTCTGACCACAGATTTGTAAGTTTCACTTTTTCTCTGATATTAAGGTCTTATTTGAATTATGCCTTAGAGCTTTTCAAACATTTCTCTCATTCAGAAGTTTGGTCAGGGAGATATCAGTTTATCACTGAAAAAAAAAAAAAGTCTTTAAAACTGGCCAGATTGTGAAGCTCAGTTCAATTGACAAATTTAAACTTTTCTTCTTGAGTGATCGAAATTCTTCCTGCTAGGTCTTTTTGGCCATTCAAAAGGAAAGTCTTAATTATGGGCAATCTTACTTCTATAACTGAGTCTTCCTCCTTAAGTAGAGATCCACCACTAGAAACACCAGCTGGATTCCTGTTTAGTATTCACAGCACCTCCTCATGCAAATATCTAGAAAAAAATTGATCTCATATTACTCAAGATGACCCCAAGTTACAATGGCCAAAATGAGGTAACTTTGAAATACCTAAGCTAGTTTATCTGCCTGATCCATTAGTAAAAGCCGGCTCTAAAAGAAAAGAAAATAACTGGGAGCTATTTTCAATGGTACTTAGCCTCTAAAAGAGGTTGTGATAAAGCCAATTCTCTGCAAGAGTAGGACAAAAGTACAAAACAATTTCTGAATTTAAAAAATACTACCAAAATTTCTCCCCCTTCTTCAGCTCCTCTTTCTCTCTCTCTCTCTTTTTTTTTTCTTTTTTAGATAGAGTCTCACTCTGTCACCCAGGCTGGAGTGCAGTGGCATGATCTCGGCTCACTACAACCTGCACACACACACACACACACACCCAGGTTGAAGTGATTCACCTGCCTCAGCCTCCTGAGTAGCTGGATTTACAGGCGTGCGTCACGCCCAGCTAATTTTTGTATTTTTTAGTAGAAACGGGGTTTTGCCATGTTGGCCAGGCTGGTCTCAAACTCCTGACCTCAAGTGATCCGCCTGCTTTGGCCTCCCAAAGTGCTGGGATTACAGGTGTGAGCCTCCTCACCTGGCCTCCTCCTTCTCTTTTGACAGAACTTCTTGTCCAGATTTACCTCCCTTTCCTCCTCTTCCTCCTTCTTCCGCTGTTCTGGCTCCATTTTGGAAATACCTTGTGTTCATTAGAGGAGAACCTGACTTGATATATCAACCATGGTTCAAAAGTAGAACTTAAAGACATAATTTAAAAATTCCCAGATCCTCTTCAGGACCCCATTGAATTTGCTAGAAAATGTGATTCAAATGTTTGAGCTTATAATCCCAGATTCTCTGGTTTATACCAAGTGATTCGCATATTAGTGTCAGAAAGTAAAGCCAAAGATTAGATAGCAAAGGCAAATTGGAGAAATTGTTTAAAGGACTTCCAATTCTGAAGCAGATCATGAATGGGCCTACAATACTGCCAAAGCTTTGCTAAATCCTATCCCCTTCGTTTTCGAAAAGTAGTTAATTGGAACAAAATATAACAATGCAAACAAAATCTTGATAAGCCTGTAATGTTACACTATGAGAGTGTAACTTCGTAATAGTGCTAACTTACCAAAATGATGCTCTCCTTAACTAAAACTTCGTAAATGGATAAGACGAAGAACTGGCATGTGTAACAAAGGGACAGTGCCCCAGTTGGACTGCCTTTCAAACTCATGAGCTAGTTAATTTTGCTGATCAAATATCCCATACCCTACCTAAGGAAGAAAAAGAAAAGAAAGCCAAACAGAGGGGAAAAGCAAAAAAGATCATGAGTTTGCAACTAAAGCAATTGTCTAACCTAATAAGTTCCAAAACCAATCTAATCCTCTGCTTTGCAATTACTGCAAAAATCCTGGACATTACAAAAAGGATTGTAGATTATATAATATTCACAGCTCCTTCTCTCAAAAAAAAAGGGAAAATGTATTTAGAATTAAAAGATAAGATTGAATTATTAGGTTCAAGAATGTTTTTGAAATCCGATTCTATTAATTTATAAATTGCAGTTTATATTGTCATAGAGGAAATCAAATTGTTAAATAGTGAACAGTTTTAAGAGGAATTAAAGACCTGGCATGGTGGCTCACACCTGTAATCCCAGCACTTTGGGAAGTTGAGGCGGGCACATCACTGGAGGTAAGGGGTTTAAGACAGCCTGGCCAACATGGTGAAACCCCATCTCTACTAAAAATAAAAAAAATTAGCTGGGTGTAGTGGCATACACCTGTAATCCCAGCCACTCGGGACGCTGAGGCAGGAGAACCACTTGAACCCGGAAGGCAGAGGTTGTGGTGAGCCAAGATAGTGCCACTGCACTCCAGCCTAGGTAAAAAAGCAAGACCCGGTCTCAGAAAAAAAAAAAAAAGCAATTAAAAGTAGTACCTGATCTCTTTGGCTTTTGGAGTACCAGGGATTACTTTGTATTGTGGGAGAGAACCTGACTTTTGTATGTGTAATGGCAAGTTACTGGCAAAATCTACAGTTACTGGCAAAAGCTGCAGTTTTGGAAGTGGCAGCCAGTGGTTGCAGTGAGTGGTTGTTACTTCAGGGGGCTTAGATAAAAAGGAAGTTTTGAAACCTTGGAGATTGTAAGAACACTCAACACCAAAAGATAGAACTATGGTGGGCTAATCAGAGTGGGCTGATTGGCATTGGGTCGCCCACTAGCCTTGGGGAATGTCTTTGTAGGGAGATGTACTGTGGAAGTGTTGACTTTGGAAAACAAAATACAAAAAGAATCAGCAGTATTTCAAACAAGAATTTATGTAATCATTTTAGTGCTCCATCAGTTCAGTCCCTTGTAATTCTTTTTCTGCTTGATGTTGACTTAACGATCCTCATGAATGAGTCAGTCTTTTATTAGAATTCTGGGAGTTTTTATTTAGTCCATTTATCTTAAAGTTATCAGAAATCAGTGTTTAAGAGTACTTGTTAGTCTTTTCCATGAAAAGCAATTTTGGACTAAAGCTGATTGCAAATGTGTTTAGAGAAGAATTCAAAACAACAGCTGTGGATGATAAAAACTTAGAATAGCCATGATTAAAATCTGATGAAAGTTCCAATTGACCAGGAAATTTAGTTATTGCTATTACGTGCAGCATTTAAAATATCTAGTAGATGCAACCAGAATTATGACTGATAATGTCACATCAGGACCATCAGAATTTTATAACTTTTATATAATTTTTAGAATATTTAAATTAATAACATATTCATACAAATATAACTTTAACATAGCAATCAAAAATCATAATAAAATTATGACTGACAAAATATTATATTTTTATTAATTTGTATGATTTTGGAAACACATATCAATAACATACCCATAAATGTAACTGAGAGAAGATCTAATATTATTGTTATTTGACAATGCCTACCGTACAATTTACCAAATAATTTAATATCTCTACAAAATGAGAGATACATTCTTTGATGTTTCCAGGGGCCCAACTAGAATATCCCAAAGTTAATTTTAAGCCAACAAAAAGTAATTTAGAATTTTGATCTTAGTGAAATCTGCCAAAGATGTCAAAAGGTTTGAAACATTTGATCAAAAGAGAATCATGGGCTGGGTACAGTGGCTCAGGACAGCAATCCCAGTGCTTTGGGAGGCTGAGGTGGGAGGATTGCTTGAGGCCGGGAGTTTAAGACCAGCCTGGGCTACATTAGCAAGATCTCATCTTCATGAAAAGTTTTTACAGCATGGTGGCTCATACCTTTAGTCCCAGCACATTGAGAGGTCAAGGCAGAATGATTGCTTGAGGCCAGAAGTTCAAGGCCAGATTGGGCAACATAGGGAGACCTGGTATCTACAAATAAAAATGAAAAATTAACTGGGCATGGTGACACACTACTGTAGTCCTAGCTACTCAGGAGACCAAGGATTGCTTGAGCCCCAGAGTTCAAAATTACAGCAAGTTGTGATTGTACCACTTGACTCCAGTTTGGGCAACAGAGCAAGACCTTATCTCTAAAACAAAAAATGAAAAAAAAATTTAATTAGCTGGATGTTCTGGCATGCATCAGTAGTCCCAGCTATTCAGGAGGCTGAGGTGGGAGGATCACTTGAGCCTAGTTTTATAGTGAACTACGATCACACAACTGTACTCCAGCCTGGGCAGCAAAGCAAGATCCTATCTCAAAACAAAAACAAAAATGAAAACAAAAATCCGAAAAACAAAACAGAATCACAGGTCACTGTTAAATAATAGTTATTCATTTAACCAGAGTGATAATCATAAAACTTCAAAAGCTATATAGAAGTTACATGGTTGTGGAAACCTTAACCCATTTAAAACTCAGTTTTCCTAAGTAACCAAAATCCTAATAAAGACAACACAAGGATTATCTCGATAAAATGTAAAATCTTTTTTTTTTCAGACCTGTTACCAAAAAGGAAAAGAAAAACCTTCTGTAGTGTAATTGCTTTTCCTCATGAGAAGCCCATTTAGTTAACCTGGAAGTCAAACCTGATGAAAAAGGTACTTGAATTTAAGCAGACAGAGGAAGAGTTTGTCCAGGATTATGATGTACAATTTATTATGGAGAAATGTAAACAAGAAAACTAGTACCTTGTGTAGGGACACAAAGTAGGGACTCTTAGTAACAACATGGATGTTTCCTGGTTATACTGAACAATGCAGACCTATAAAGAAAACCCAAGAGTACAGAATCAAGTTATACTGAAGGAAAACATTGCTTTTCTACACCTTCAAGATAAAACATTTCAGTGTCAGGCCACAACATCAGTGTTAGAACCAGAACAAAAGTTACAGGAATTGATAAAAACATTGAAGGACAGAGTTACCATCCCAGCCAAGCAAAAAGATGTACCTTTCCCAGGGATTAAAAAACAGAAGGCAATCACATGTGACCTGCAAATCACATGCAGCAAGGTACAGTAAAAGTTGAACTTCCGAGATATAAGTCTGAGAAGTTTTAAAAGATACAGATTTCAGAATTAAAAATTCAGAACCTCTGAATTTTACTAAAAGCAAATTGATAGTTGATGAAAAACTTGCTTTATTCTAACATAGGGAACCAAAATTTTAGTTTTGTATTAGTATAATTTAATATCAAAGCTCAATCTTTAGAAAGACTTATAAGTAATTTCCTTTAATTATAGCCAACCTGATCACATGCAAATTTCCTTTCATAAATTTTCTTTTCACAAACCTTATCACAACGTACTCTGACAATATGTACCATAGACAATATGCTTGAAATTTCTGCTTTATCCTATACTTTTGCTCTCTTAAATTTTACCTTAGGACACAAATTTACCATATAAAGTTTTTTCTCATATAACATTATTATCTTTTCTTTTTAACCTTTCTTACCAAAAATACGTTTTCATATCTATACTTTCTTCACATATCACTCTCCTACTTACCGGTTCTTTCCTATCTGTTCTATATTTTGAAACAATGTTTAATTAACCTCCAAAATAGACAAAAAATTTTTTTCATAATAAAGAACACAACTTTATCCGTTTCTTTCTTTCTTTCTTTTTTTTTTTTTTTTGAGATGGAGTCTCACTCTGTTGCCAGGCTGGAGGGCAGTGGCACAATCTTGGCTTACTGCAACCTCTGCCTCCTGGGTTCAAGCAATTCTCCTGCCTCAGCCTCCCTAGTAGCTGGAATTACAGGCACGTACCACCACGCCCAGCTAATTTTTGTATTTTTAGTAGAGACGGGGTTTCACCATGTTGGCCAGGATGGTCTCAATCTCTTGACCTCGTGATCTGCCTGCCTTGGCCTCCCAAAGTGCTGGGATTACAGGTATAAGCCACAGTGCCCAGCCACTTTGTGACTTTCTTATAATTTTTTTCTATCAAAAATACATTTTGTGTATATATATGTACTCTTTATATACAGAATTCTATATATTGATTACAATTTTTAACTCTTAAATTTAATGAAACCTAGGAAGCAAGATCTTGAATTGTCTGTCACATATCAGTATTTTACTTTTAATTTGTTTTCTTTTTTTACCTACCTGGTTCATTTTCAATATATCAATATTTATCATGAGAATCATTTTGTAATTTTTAGAAACATGTTTCCCTATAACACAATTTTAAAATTTTATTTGATAATGACCCAGATTTAATTAGTATCTATTAATTTAACACAACTTTAAGATATCAAATTACATTAAAAGTTCATTTATGGAAATTTATTTAATTTACCTAATTTATTTATTTTAGCAGATAACCTAGATTATTTCTGAAAACTGAGGTATTAGACAAAGTTAGTCATGGTATCAAATTATTTCCTTGTTATCCATTTTTATAGCCTGTGACTATCAGGTGTTCACTTAAATAAGAGCCTTAAAGTGAAGTATATTGGTATTTTGCTGATAAGCCAGAAGATACGGCTGTAACATTAAATTAGTCTTATCACAAAATTACTCAAAGATCATTCTGTTTTAGGCTGAGTTTATACTTTTATAACCTTTGTGTTAAACCATGACAGCTTCAGATATCTAGCAGAGAAAGATATAAAACTGTCTGACCAGTAAACCCAGGCAAAGTGTATGCTGACAATTCTGAAGACATTTCTATTTTTGTTTTACCAATAATTTTAAAATCATCTTATTTATTAATGCTTTACTCATTTAACAAAAACTAAAAGCCATTAGGATTAATTACTATATATTTTATATGAGCACTAATTTATCCTTAAGAGATTTCTGGTCAACTATGCCAGATTTTACCATGTAGACACAGCATATAATACATGTATATATGTATAAATACATCTAAACACACACACACACACACACAAAGATTTCACAGCTTTCATTTTAGAATTTTAGTCATGAGATAGTAATAAAAACTCACTGGTTCATAAAAGACAATTGGATCCAAATTATATTTCTGACTAAATTGGAATGTGTTCACATGGCTAAAATTTAATTGCCCTTACAGATAATCTAATGAAGACTGTGGACCAAAATTTCAGGCAAATAAGTTTTTGTGGCAGTTTGATTTTAGTTTTTTGGTGATAGTGTCTCACTCTGGCACCCAGACTGGAGTGCTGTGGCATAATCATAGTTCACTGCAGCCCTGAACTACTTGGCTCAACCAGTCCTCCCACCTCAGCCTCCTCCCAAGTACCTAGGGCTACAGGTGCATGCCACCACCTAGCTAATTTATTTTTATTTTTATTTTTATTTTCATTGAGATGAGGGTCTCACTATTGTTACCCTGACTTGTCTTGAACTCCCTGCCTCAAATGATCCTCATGCCTTTGCTTCACAAAGTGCTAGAGCAGTTTGATTTTTGTAAAATCAATTTTACCCTTCTTTTCAGTTTCAAATGAGTTTGTTTAAATTTTTTTTTTTTTTTTTTTTTTTGAGACAGAATCTCCCTCTGTCGCCCAGGCTGGAGTGCAGTGGCGTGATCTCTGCTCACTGCAAGCTCCGCCTCCCAGGTTCATGCCATTCTCCTGCCTCAGCCTCCCAAGTAGCTGGGATTACAGGCACCCACCACGCCCAGCTAATTTTTTGTATTTTTAGTAGAGACGGGGTTTCACCGTATTAGCCAGGATGGTCTCGATCTCCTGACCTCATGATCCTCTCACCTTGGTCTCCCAAAGTGCTGGGATTACAAGCGTGAGCCACCATGCCCAGCCAAGGTCAAATTTTTAATGTTTACATTTTGGCTAGGACTGGCTGAATTGAATAAGAAAAATAAAATCCCCAATTATCCTTGAATTAGTAACAAATCTATCTTTTGTTTACCAGTCTGGTTTGCTTGATTAACAAATGTGGACAGGAAAGATTAGAGCAGTTTCTCTCTCGCTCTCTCTCTCTTCTTTCAGCTTTTTGTTTTTGTTTGTTTTTTGTTTTTGTTTTTGTTTTTGTTTTGTTGGTCTCTGCATAGCAGAAAAAGTAAAACTTTTGTATTGAACAGAGATTCCTTATATTATTGCTCCAAGCTCAAGATTTTGATCTGTTTGATCTAAGAGCCTAACTTTTATAAACACTTATATAGTTCTTTCTCTTTTAGATTTCTAATTTTTCAATTAAGTGTTCCATTTTAATGGGGGCAGCTGAATATATTTTACCAATGACAGTGGAAGACTAAGATCACAAAAGGTCCAGGAATGCTTGCAGTAAATCATAAGTGGCATTTATCAGTCCCAGTTTAGAAAAAATTTGTTGGATCTGTATTTTAACAATCTCAGTAGTTTTATTCTTGTTCTGTAGCTGTTCTGTTTGCTTATCTGTTCTACATTTAAATACCTTTCCCTCTTTTGAGAGAAAGAAATGTATGCATTGTGAAATTCCAAAAGTCTCTACCTAGGAGATATATGAGAGCTAGAGGTACAAGCAGAAAGGAATGAGTTCAAATAAGGGAGTAGGGGTGGGGAAGGAGCCAGAAGGATAGGGAGAAGCAGTTGGAGGTGAAAGGGAGAAAGTCGCTAAATCTTTTTCAATTTAGAAATAGTTTCAGGCTGACCAGGTGCGGCAGCTCACCTGTAATCCCAGCACTTTAGGAGGCTGTGGCGGGTAGATCGCTTGAGCCTGGGAGTTCAAGATATCCCTAGGCAACGTGGCAAAACCCCGTCTCTTCTAAAAATACAAAAATTAGCCAGGAGTGGTGGGGTGTGCCTATAGTCCCAGCTACTCGGGAGGCTGAGGTGGGAAGATCACTTGGGCCTGGGAGGGCAAGATGACAGTGAGCTGTAATCATGACATTGCACTCCAGCCTGGACAACAGAGCAAGACCCTATCTCAAAGAAAAGGAAAAGAAAAATAGTTTCTGGTATCCTTTTATTTACCTGTTGAATAGAGGCAACTTTTTTCAAAATTTCTTTTTTCTGTTTTTTTTTTTTGAGACGGAGTTTTGCTCTTGTTGCCCAGGCTGGAGTGCAATGGCGTGATCTCGGCTCACTGCAACCTCCGCCTCCCACGTTCAAACAATTCTCCTGCCTCAGCCTCCCGAGTAGCTGGGATTACAGGCATGCACCATCACGCCTGGCTAATTTTTTTTGTATTTTTAGTAGAGACGGGGTTTCTCCATGTTGGTCAGGCTGGTCTCGAACTCCTGACCTCAGGTGATCCACCCACCTCGGCCTCCCAAAGTGCTGGGATTACAGGCATGAGCCACTGCGTCCAGCCTCTACAAAATTTCTTTTATAGGTTGGTGCAAAAGTAATTGCAGTTTTAGAGGGTGAATTTTAAATCATTATAACTAGATTCAAATATATCTTTATTAATCAAAATAAGAACCATTACAGGCCAAGCACAGTGGCTCACAGCTGTAATCCCAGCACTTTGGGAGGCCGAGGTGGGCGGATCATGAGGTCAGGAGTTCGAGACCAGCCTGGCCAACATGGTGAAACCCCATCTCTACTAAAAATACAAAAATTAGCTGGGCACTGGGGCATAGGCCTGTAGTCCCAGCTACTTGGGAGGCTGAGGCAGGAGAATCGCTTAGGACCCAGGAAGCAGAGGTTGCAGTGAGCCGAGATTGTGCCACTGCACTCCAGCCTGGGTGACAGAGCAAAACTCCGTATCAGAAAAAAAAAAAGGCTGGGTGTGGTGGCTCACGCCTGTAATCCCAGCACTTTGGGAGGCCAAGGCAGGCAGATCACGAGGTCAGGAGTTCAAGACCATCCTGGCTAACATGGTGAAACCCCGTCTCTACTAAAAATACAAAAAAATTAGCCGGACGTAGGTGGTGCACGCCTGTAGTCCCACCTACTCGGGAGGCTGAGGCAGGAGAATGGCGTAAAACCCGGGAGGCGGAGGTTGCAGTGAGCCGAGATTGCACCACTGCACTCCAGCCTGGGAGACAGAGCGAGACTCCATCTCAAAAAAAAAAAAAAAAAAAAAAAAAGAACTATTACAATCAACACATTTTTGCCAATGAGAAATAAGTTTGTTTCTTCCTGTAGCATAAAAGTCCGTGCTTCGGGATTCAACAAACTCTTGGAAAGCATTTTCTGCATCCTGCTAGTTGTGGAAGCGTTTTCCCTGCAAAAAGTTGTTGAGATACTTGAAGAAGAGATAGTCAGTTGGCGGGAGGTCAGGTGAATATGTTGGATGAGGCAAAAATTCATAGCCCAATTTGTTCAACTTTTGAAGCGTTGGTTGTGCAATGTGTGGTTGGGTGTTGTCATGGAGAAGAATTGGGCCCTATTTGTTGACCAATGCCGGCTGCAGGCTTTGCGGTTTTCAGTGGATCTCTTTGATTTGCTGAGCATACTTGTCAGATGTGATAGTTTTGCAGGGATTCAGAAAGCTGTCGTGGATCAGATCGGCAGCAGACCATCAAACAGTGACCATGACCTTTGTCTGGTGCAAGTTTGACTTTGAGAAGTGCTTTGGAGCTTGTTCTCGGTCCAACCACTGAGCTGACTGTCACCAGTTGTCATATAAAATCCACTTTTCGGCTGGGCACGGCGGCTCACGCCTGTAATCCTAGCACTTTGAGAGGCCAAGGTGGGTGGATCCCCTGAGCAGGAGTTCGAGACCAGCCTGGCCAATATGGCAAAACCCCATCTCTACTAAAAATACAAAAATTAGCCAGGCATTGTGGCACATACCTATAACCCCAGCTACCTGGGAGGCTGAGGCAGGAGAATCACTTGAACCCAGGAGGCAGAGGGTGCAGTGAGCTGAGATTGCACCACCACTGCACTCCAGCCTGGGTGACAGAGCGAGACTCCATCTCAGAAAAAAAAAAAAAAAAAATTTAAATCCACTTTTCACTGCACAAATCCAATCAAGAAATAGTTCGTTGTTGTTGCGTAGAATAAGAGAAGACAACACTTCAAAAAAATTATTTTTTTTTAAATTTTTGCTTAACTCATGAGGCACTCACTCATCGAGCTTTTTCACCTTTCCAATTTGCTTCAAATGCCAAATGACCATAGAATGGTCAACGTTGAGTTCTTTAGCAACGTCTTGTGTAGTTGTAAGAGGGTCAGCTTTGATGATTGCTATCAATTGGTCATTGTCAACTTCTGATGGCTGGCCACTATGCTCCCTATCTTCAAGGCTCTTGTCTCCTTTTCAAAACTTCTTGAACCATCACTGCACCGTATGTTCATTAGCAGTTCCTGAACCAAATGCATTATTGACACTGCGAGTTGTCTCCGCTGCTTTACGACCCATTTTGAACTCGAATAACAAAATTGCATGAATTTGCTTTTTGTCTAACATCATTTCCATAGTCTAAAATAAACAAAAAAAATCGAGTAATGTCATTACAAAAGAAATAAAGTGAAAAATACTCACTAAAATGATGTATATCATAACCACATTATTTAAGAGTGTATTCCAATACCAAATGGCAAATTCCAACAATGCAAAAACTGCAATTACTTTTGCACTCACCTAAATAGAAGCTTCTAAGTGCTGGTGACAGTAAGCCTCCCACTCAGTTTGTCTAATCCCATCTTTTTCCAATTGTCCATGTGAATTAATTATTTTAGCATTTTCAAAAGATTCCCATTTTGGGCTAAGGGTGAGGTGGCATGGACAACGACCTTGGCACCCCATCCCCTGCCACCTGCAGCCATGCACCTGCCTACCATGCTTCTATCCCACCACTTCTTGCCTTAGTGCCTAACCACCACTGCCAGGGCCCAGCGAGTGACCCAGGTGCAAGCCATCAAGTGTGTGGTGGTTGGAGATGGAGCTACAAGTAAAACTTGCCTACTAATCAGTGTTACACCCAATGCATTTCCCAATGCATTATCACTATTGTCTTTGACAATTATTCTGCTGCCAATGTTAAGGTAGATGGAAAGCCAGTGAATCTGGGCTTATGGGATACATCTGGACAAGAAGATTATGACAGATTATGCCCCCATTCTATCTGTAAACAGACATATTTTTAATATGCTTCTCCCTTGTGAGTCTTGCATCATTTGAAAATGTCTGTGCAGAGTGGCATCCTGAAATGCAGCACCATTTTCCCAACACTCCCATCATTCTTGTGGGAAGTAAACTTGATCTTAATGTTGTTAAAGACACGATTGAGAAACTGAAGGAGAAGAAGCTGACTCCCATCACCTATCTGCAGTTTTTAGCCAGGAATAAGGAGATTGGCGCTTTAAAATACCTGAAGTGCTTGGCTCTCACATAGCGAGGGTTCAAAACGGTGTTTGACAAAGCTATCTGAGCAGTTCTCTGCCCACCTCCTGTGAAGAAGAGGAAGAGAAAATGCCTGCTGTTGTAAATGTCTGAGCCTCTCATTCTTAGCCCTGCCCTTTAAAACTGTTGTACATTTTGCTTAAAAAATGGTAGCGCCTTCTCACTCAATGCCAAATTTTAGTTACAGATTAATTTTCCATAAAACCGTTTTGAACCACTCAGTCACTTTAAGATTTTGTTTGTTCTATAGATAAAAGTTGAGACTCACATTCTTTAAAATTTAGCTCTAAAATGACAAGACTTCTTAAAGCCTTATTTTTTTAGATCCCCTTAATATCGTTTGATATGTGTCCCCTCCAAATCTTATGTTGAAATGTAGTCTCCAGTGTGGATCATGGGGGCAGATCCCTCATGAATGGCTTGGCACCATCCCCTTAGTGATAAGTGAGCTCTCGCTCTGAGTTCACACGAGATCTGGTTGTTTAAAAGTGTGTTGCACCTACTCCATCCTCCTTACTCCTGCTCTGGCCATGTGAGGTGCCTGCTCTGTCTTTACCTTCCGCCATGAATGAAAGCTCCCTGAGGCCTCCCCAGAAGCCACACAGTTGCTGGAGCCATGCTTGCACACTGCAAAACCGTGAGCCAATTAAACCTCTTTTCTTTATAAATAACTGAGCCACGTGGTTGTTCTTTATAGCAATGCAAGAATGGCCTAACACACCCCTATTCTTACTTAGATTAAGAGTTGACAAAATACCTTCTGAACTAAGTTGCATTGTTATGTTAAGAACACTAAGCATTAAACTATTTAAAGACCTTTGTCTTTGGGAAAACTGTAGTTTCTAAAATAGGAAATGCAGACATTTTCTAAGTAATTTTCCGATAGGTAAAGCAGAACAGCCTCCTTAATGAAACATTGCCATTTAACGCACCAATAATTTATCAACCCATGTTCATTACATAACATCGTACTGTATATCATAATGAAATGAGTATAACAAACTCAGCTCTTTGGATCAGTCTGTTTTATTTTATACTGAATTTTTGTTAAAAAAAATTGACCAGCTTTGGCTAAGATTTCGAACAGAACTCTGATTCACATGTTTCCTGTAATGAAGTATTCTGCTCTTAGTTGTGGGTGTACTGGAGTGGAGTGTGTGAAACACTCGATGTGATCAAAGGATGAAGATCGTATTTTGATAAGATATGAAGTAGAGATTAATTTACACTCATTTCACAAGGAATAATCAAACTGAATAAAAATGTCATGGGTAAAACAATTGTTTTTAAATCCCCATTTTGCCAATGCTGCTTATGACTATCCTGGGTTAGCAGGTTCACTTATCTAAGCACTTGCAAGTAGAAGAACCGTAAGTATTATACATAAAATCATCCGGTGTTGACAGAGATGGTGCACCTTCAGTCTTAGAAGACCTATTTTCTATCTTGGTTTTGAGCAAGACAAACTATGTAGTGGATCAAGTGTTCTGGCTAGAATCTTTCTTCCTATATATTTCACCCAACAGGCTGAAAAGATCCTTTTATGTATCTTGGATTCCCAAATCACTTCCAAAGAAGTGGCAGGATGCTCACTGGCAAGAGATGATCAGTCTTTAGAAAGCCTGTCAACTAAGCAAAAAGTTGTGTGAGGATTCTCCTATAAGATTGCTACATATTTTGGGTAGTATGTCTGACACCTCTGCTAGTTTCAGTTTTCCCTTTTTTTTTTTTTTTTTTGTTGTTGTTGTTGTTTGTTTTTTTTGAGACAGAGTCTTGCTCTGTCACCCAGGCTGGAGTGCAGTGGCTCGATCTCGGCTCACTGCAACATCCGCCTCCTGGGTTCAAGTGATTCTCCTGCCTCAGCCTCCCAAGTAGCTGGGATTACAGGCTCATGCCACCACTCCTGGCTAATTTTTGTATTTTTAGTAGAGACGGGGTTTCACCATGTTGGCCAGGCTGTTCTCAAACTCTTGACCTCAGGCAATCTGCAGGGTTGGGATTACAGGCATGAGCCACCACGCCCGGCCCAGTTTTCCCATTGGGCTGGAGGCAGTGAGTGTCTCAACTTCATGCAATCAAAAAGGAGAAAGGAAAAGGTTGTCTCTCCCCAAAATTCCAGAATAACAATTCACAGATCTCCTATTTTACCCTGCCCTAGAATTCTACCCTTACCTTGAACTCATAGCAGTAACTCTCTGTCTGAAAGAGTCTTTGTACCTCCTAGCCAAGGAGGATACCAGCTTCAATAAACCAGAACTTTGATCAAGATGGGAAGTTTATTGATTCTGAAGGAACTCGTCTGTAGCATCCAGCAGGGCCATCAAGTTCAGTAATGCAATGGGTTTGTTGCCAGTACCTGCAGAGGGTCAGAAGCCATGCTGGGTGATCCAGGGAAATCACTCTGAATTCCTGCCAGCTACACCAAAAATGTCAGCCAAAATTAAGGCTGTTGGGACAGAAATAATTTGATAAAAGTTTACTGGAAGACAAATGTGAAGATCAACCCAGGAAGACACGCCAACCAAGTTGGGAGTTTTCCAGAGTCTGTTACAAGTTGGAAGGCTTTTATAGGAGAGTTTAGAAGAAGGGAAGAGGACTCCTCATACCAGAGTTGTCCTTTTTCATTAGAGGATACCATCATTGACTACAGATTGCAACATATAAGCTAAAATGTCCACATGCCAGACAATAAGTAAAACTTCATGATTCAGAAATAAATCAGCATCCTTTTCATTTCAGTATCAGTAGATCATACGTTAATCAGTAAGTCAACAATTCGAGGAACTCACAATAAGATTATTTACTCAGGGAGATGATGTTGCCATGAATCATAATACCTCCTCAAGGGGAGTAAACTTAAAAGCCTGTTGACAGGCCGGGCACAGTGGCTCATGCCTGTAATCCTAGCACTTAGGGAGGCAAAGTTGGTTGGTCACCCGAGGTCAGGAGTTCAAGACCAGCCGGGCCAACATGGTGAAATCCCGTCTCTACTAAAAATACAAAAGTTAGCCAGTTGTGGTGGCGGGTGCCAGCAATCCCAGCTACTCGGGAGGCTGAGGCACAAGAATCACTTGAACTTGGGAGGCAGAGGTTGCAGTGAGTTGATATCACGCCACTGCACTCCAGCGTCGATATCACGCCACTGCACTCCAGCCTGGTGATAGAGGGAGACTTTGTCTCAAAATTAATTAATTAATTTAGAGCCTGTTGACTATTAAAGTAAACTGCCAAATGTATCCTGTAGATTATCAGAGAAATTTTTTTTCCTTTTTTTTTTTTTTTGAGACACGGTCTCACTGTGTCACCCAGGCTGGAGTGCAGTGGCCTAATCACTAATTTCTTTTTTTTTTTGAGACAGAGTGTCATTCTGTCACCCAAGCTAGAGTGCAATCTCTGCTTACTGCAGCCTCTGCTTCCCAGGTTCAAGTGATTCTCCTGCCTGAGCCTCCCGAGTAGCTGGGATTACAGGCCTGGCTAATTTTTGCATTTTTTTTTTTTTTTCAGTAGAGATGGAGTTTTGCCATGTTGGCCAGGCTGGTCTCAAACTCCTGACCTCAGGTGATCCTCCCACCTCAGCCTCCCAAAGTGCTGGGATTACAGTCATGAGCCACCGTGCTAGGCCTAATCAGCTAACTTTTAATTTTTTTGTAGAGATGGTGTCTCCCCATGTTGCCCAGGCTGGTCTTGAACTCATGGGCTGTAAAGTTCTAATGGAGGCTACAGATAGGAAAGTGTTGATAGAATTAAGGTAAAGGTTTATAGAAAAGTTAGTGTGTTTGAACACAATGTAATGTGGTTGCGTCTTACCTGATTGTGTTATGGGGATGGACATTGTACCCAACTGGGGAATGTTTCCCCCACCTAGTGCTGTAAAACAGGAGGCATGTCAATCTGCCCTTTAAGCAATATTATTTGAACATGCTAAACGGGAACAAATAAGATTGTCAGAGGCCGGGCGCGGTGGCTCACGCCTGTAATCCCAGCACTTTGGGAGGCCGAGGCGGGTGGATCACGAGGTCAGGAGATCGAGACCAAGGTGAAACCCCGTCTCTACTAAAAATACAAAAAGTTAGCCGGGCGTAGTGGCGGGCGCCTGTGGTCCCAGCTACTCGGGAGGCTGAGGCAGGAGAATGGCGTGAACCCGGGAGGCGGAGCTTGCAGTGAGCCGAGATCGCGCCACTGCACTCCAGCCTGGGTGACAGAGCGAGACTCCGTCTCAAAAAAAAAAAAAAAAAAAAAAGATTGTCAGAGCTCACACAGAATGTAGAGTAGAAGCTGGAGTCCTGGTATGAACAAATTCTCTATTTGTTAGCCCTATGTGGAATGTAAACTGGAGCTTAAGGTAAAAGTCTGTGAGCACCTCTCAGTGACAATTAACTGGAACATTGGACTAAAGAATTTCCAATGAAGGGGCATTTGCTACCTTGATATGGGACATTAATTGAAGCTACCCCCATGACTGAAGGACACAAATGATCTTGAAACTTGATGTCTTGGTCGGTGTCAGAGAGACACTCTAATGGGGACAGCAGCGCCCAGAGGAGTTCCATGATAAAATGGAAATGGTTTATACAGGATCAACCACCTGAGGAATACAAGGAAGGGATAAACAGAGAAAACTTTTCCCCCTAAGATTAAGTCTGGAACTGTGTGAAGAGCTGCTAGATTCTATCATCGCATGGATAGTGCCCAATGAACAGCTCTCAAATGACTGACAAAGATCTGCTTAGCTTGTGAATGGCAGTTTCAAGGTGAATGGACATCATCCTATTTGGGAGGATACCACCCCAATCAAAGAAAGTAAAAACAAATCAGCTTGGTGGGCAGAATTGTGTGCTATTTTCCTAGCAGTGATGGAAGAATTGAACAGTGGTAAAAAAGTCCTTATGTTTGGGTTTTTACTGACCCAAGGGCAGTCGCCAATGACCTGGCCACACAGTCAGGCAGGAGGGCAATGGAATCCAATTAAAGGGAAGCCCATATGGGGCATAGCCCTATCAAAATTTGAGGCATTCATTAAGTAGGACATGGCAATGCCCATCAAAAGATACCCCTTCCAGATTTGGCAGGTGATAAGAATTATCAAACAAATATCCCCATATGCTCTCTTGAGATTGTAACTAAACTCAGGTCCAGCCACTCATTGCTTGAAAGCCAAAAACTTAAGGAACAAGTTTTGGTGAAAGGGAAGTTAACTTTATTCAAGAAGCTAGCAACGTAGGGAAGGTAGTCAACTAGCATTCAAAGACTACCTTTCCAAGTTGGGCTTCCAGATCTGGGGCTTTTAAGGGAAATTAGGGAAATGATGATCAAAACATTCTTGTGAAATGTGCACAGTTTCAGACAGGCAGTTAATTATTACTTCTCTTTTTCTGAGACAGGGTTCTGCTCTGTCGCCCAGGCTAGAATGCAGTGGTGCCATCTCACTGCAGCCTCAATCTACCAGGCTCAAGCAATCCTCCTGCCTCGGCTTCACAAGTAGCTGGAAGTATAGGCACATGCCACCATGCCCAGATTATTTCATTGATTTTCAGAAGAGATAAGGTCTTGTTCCGTTGCCCAGGCTGAATCATTGCTTTCTTGTCAATGTTTTGTGACCTTCTGCAATCGCCATTAGCCTATTCTTACCAGCTGGTCAGCCTATTCCCAGAGCTGTTAGTCAGAGTATTTTCTTTTTTTTTTTTTTTTGAGACGGAGTCTTGCTCTGTCGCCCAGGCTGGAGTGCAGTGACACAGTCTCAGCTCACTGCAAGCTCCGCCTCCCGGGTTCAAGTGATTCTCCTGCCTCAGCCTCCTGAGTAGCTGGGATTACAGGTGCCCGCCACCACGCCTGGCTAATTTTTTTTGTATTTTTAGTAGAGACGGGGTTTCACCATGTTAGCCAGGATGGTCTCGATCTCCTGACCTCGTGATCTGCCCACCTCGGCCTCCCAAAGTGCTGGGATTACAGGCATGAGCCACCGTGCCCGGCCTGGGCAGAGTATTTTCTTTTACCTTCGTTGAAGATCCTGTTTTCCTGAGGCTGTTTTTAGTAAATAATCTACAAATTCAAGCAAAGCAATAATTCCATTCTAGCAAACAAGCTTTTCTCTAACATGGAGTCAGTACTGTTACAAAGTGGCCACCTGGGTCCATGGAATGGGCGGATATGGGGATACTGCAACAATGCAGAGATGGGCTAAATCTAAACACGTTCTTTTTCACCCTCTCAGGCACATAATGCCAGTAAAAACTGTTGTGTCTATCAGCATAAGATATAGATACTGCCAGTGACTATGGGCAGATTCCCTGGTGGCAAGGCCCTGAACATGGTTGGCAAGTGAGTCTGATACTGGTAGCACTCGGGACTACAAATGGGCCTTCACAGGAATAGACATTGACTCTGGACCTGGCTTTGCTTACCCAGTGGAAAATACAAATTCTCAAAGTGCTATTTAAAAAAAAAAACAAAAACTAACAAACAAACAAACAAAACAAACCAGAAGATATTGCATGGATTTGGATGGCTGACCACAATTTCCTCAGACCAAGGAACACACTGTACAGCCCATAATGTCTAACAGTGAGCGGGAAAATCTCCTCCTCAGAGTAATAGTTTGATAGAGGAGTGAAACTGGCAATTAAAACATTGGTTGTCTAAAACAGAGAAAGATAAATGCATGAAGGGCTGGCTTACACGCCTTCCTGAGTGTGTGCTCACACTCGACATGAGGGGTATCCACACTGGATTCTCCTGTTACTCTGGTTGGTCTGGGAAAGAGGAGGTGGGGACAATGCTGGTATGATATACAATTCTTACCAAGGGAGGTGTATACTGCTATAATGATTGTAGTTTCTTTTCTTTCTTCCCCACGTCACCTCAACTTTTTCTCCGCTACCTGATGCAAGAGTCCTAGGATCAGGGATGCAAATACAAATGCTAGAAGCAAGAATGATTCCTAAGCAAGAAACTGCCACAATGTGTTTAAACCTTATGCCAGGATTCCTAGGGACCTGATGGAGATGGGTTGTACCTTCACCCCATCTGGCAAAATTGAGGTGTCAATAAAAAGAGTCAAGCTCTGTAAAATATTTGAAGAGATTTATTCTGAGGCAAATATGAGTGACCAGTGGCGTGTAACACAGCCCTCAGGAGATCCTAAGAACATATGCCCAGGGTGGTCAGGGTACAGCTTGGTTTTACACATTTTAGGGAGACATAAGACATCAATCAATACATGTAAGATATACATTGGTCCAGAAAGGTGTGGCAATGAAAAGAGTCAAAATCTGTAAAATATTTTAAGAGATTTATTCTGAGCCAAATATTAGTGACCACAGCCCGTGACACAGCCCTCAGGAGGTCCTGAGAACCTGTGCCCAAAGTGGTTGGGGTGCAGCTTGGTTTTATATATTTTTAGGGAGGCATGAGACATCAATCAAATACATTTAAGAAATACACTGGTTTGGTTCAGAAAGGCAGGACAACTCTAAGCCGGGGGGCTTCCAAGCTATAGATAAATTTAAACATTTTCTGGTTGACAATTGGCTGAGTTTATCTGAAGACCTGGGATCAATGGAAAGGAAAGTTTAGGTTAAGATAAAGGATTGTGGGCCGGGCGCGGTGGCTCACGCCTGTAATCCCAGCACTTTGGGAAGCCAGGGTGGGCGGATCACAAGGTCAGGAGTTCAAGACCAGCCTGGCCAACACAGTGAACCCCATCTCTACAAAAAATACAAAAATTAGACAAGCATGGTGTCACACGCCTGTAGTCCCTGCTACTTGGGAGGCTGAGGCAGGGGAATCACTTGAACCTGGGAGACGGAGGTTGTGGTGAGCTGAGATCGGGCCACTGTCCTCCAGCCTGGGCAACAGAGCAAAACTCTGTCTCAAAATAAAATAAAATAAAGGATTGTGGAGACCAAATTTTACTTTGCAGAGAAATCTCTCAGATACCAGTCCTCAGAGAGAGAGCAGATTGTAAAATGTTTCTTATCAGACCTAAAAGGGTGCCTCTTAGTTGATTATATCCTAGATCTGGAAGAAAGGAAGGAAAACAAAGGGGAAAGGGGATTTTCTATAGAATGTGGATTTTTCCCATGAGAGACCTTGCAGGGCAATTTCAAGGTATGGCAAGGAAATATATATTTTGGGGTTAAATATTTTTTTCCGTGTCTCATAATATTATGCCAGAGTCAGGTTGAAAAGTAAGTCATGATATATAGGGTCAAATAAAACCCATCTGATGAGAATTTATGGTTTGTAGGGCATGACTCCCTACACCCCTTAGGTAATAATTTGGGCAAGATAAAAAATCAGAGCTTAGTCCTCAGGAACTAGAAGGGAGGCTTCCAGGTTATAGGCAGATTCAAATATTTTCTGATTGGCAATTGGTTGAAAGAGTTATTATCTAAGGACCTGGAATCAACAGAAAGGAACGTTTGGGTTACGGTTAAGAGGCTGTGGGGGCCAAGGTTTTATCATGCAGATGATGCCTCCAGGTAGCAGGCTTCAAAGACAGAATCATTGTAAATGTTTCTTCCAAGACTTAAGAGTTGGCTGGGCACAGTGGCTCATGCCTGCAATCCCAGTACTTTGGGAGGCTGAGGCAGGTGAATCACCTGAGGTCAAGAGTTCAAGACCAGCCTGGCCAACATAGTGAAACCCCATCTCTACTAAAAATACAAAAAATTAGCTGGGCATGGTGGCAGGTGCCTGTAATCCCAGCTACTCAGGAGGCTGAGGCAGGAGAATTGCTTAAACCCGGGAGAAAGAGGTTGCAGTGAGCTGAGATTGTGCCACTGCACTTCAGCCTGGGCAGCAAGAACAAAACTTCATCTCAAAAAAAATAAAAAATAAAATAAAATAAAAAATAGTTTGTTTTATCAGTAATTCCGAAAAGGAGGAAGGGAAGGAGGGTATAACAAGGCATGTTCAGCTCCCCCTTCCCATCATGGCCTGAAACTAGTCTTTCAGGCTAACTCTGGAATGCTCTTGGCAGAGGAGGGGTCCATTCAGATGGCTGGAAGGCCTTAGAATTTTATTTTTTATTTACAGGGACTAAGAGTCAATGTAGCTATATTGCCTGTTGGTAAAGATGGCTTATTAGTTCTTCATCTATGTTCTTATCCTATCTGAATGAGAATGGACTGAGGGGAAGTAACTTGCTAGACTTGCCTGCAATCTAGACCAATGCAGTGGCTGATACTAATGTCTCTTGCAAAGGTGGAAAAGTTTGGATATTAGTGGAGAGAAGAAGGAATAGTGAGGCAGGGTTTGGAGGCAGGGAACATAAGGCCAATTCACACTTCAGCTATAACAGGAAATAACCTCTGCATAGAGCATAGGCCGTAAATGACTTTGTAACTTTACTTCATCCTCTCCGTTTACATAGGGCATATCCCAAGTAACCAATGGAATCCTAGGGGGTATTTAAACTCACAAAAACTCTGTAACAGGGCCTTTGAGCCCCTATGCTTGGGCCCACTCCCACACTGTGAAGTGTACTTTCATTTTTAATAAAACCCTATATTCCTCCCTTGCTTTGTTTGTGCATTTTGTCCATTTCTTTGTTCGAGACGCCAAGAACCTGGACACCCTCCACCATTAACAATAGTAGAGAAGGAGATTAAAGGAATGAATAAATGAGTTATACCTTGAGGGAAATCTAAAATTGCATTAACACCTTGAAAGAGGCTTGGAGCATCTCAGGAACCTGACAAGATGGAATGGAAGCTTGCAGACCTGAGTGGCCTCACTCTGGCAGATATTCACCAATATAATGAACTGGACTGATTATTAATGATTAAATGGGATCCTAGTAATATAGCAGTATCTTTTGAGTTGTATATCCCTTTGACGTAAGAGATTTGTGAGTGGACTGTAGTACAGTGAAATATACATTTGGTCTTTGACCCAGTGTCCTGTCATATAACTCCTAAAATCCCCAAAGTGATATCTGTTGTATGCTAAGGAGTTGACTGATGGCTGGCAGCCCCTAGGTAACTTTAGGATGGCAGCTGGTCACCAGAAAGACCAAGGTAGGATTAGAGGGTTGGGACTTTTAGCCCCGCTCCCTAACATTCAGGGAGGGGAGAGGGGCTGAAGGCTAATTTGGTCACCAATGGCCAAAAGTTAAATCAGTCATGCCTATGTAATGAAGCCTCCATAAAACCCCAAAAGGACAGAGTTTGGATAGATTTTGAAGAGCTAAGCATGTGGAGGTTTCTGGAGGGTGGTGCTCCTGAAGAGGACATAAAAGCTTCACACATCTTCCCCATACCTTGCCCTATGCATCTCCTCTTCTATATCCTTTGTAATATCCTTTATAATAAACTGGAAATGTAACCACCTGATGGGTTCTTCCTGCCTGCTGCACGAATAAAGACCATGGCATTGCAGTAAAGAAAGAGTTTGGCAGGACATGGTGACTCATGCCTGTAATCCCAGCACTTTTGGAGGCTCAGGTAGGCGGATCATCTGAGCTCAGGAGTTCGAGACCAGTCTGGGCAACATGGTGAAACTCCATCTCTACTAAAAATAAAAAAAATAGCTGGGTGTGGTGGCATGCACCTGTAGTCCCAACTACTCAGGAGGCTGAGGTGGGAGGATCGCTTGAGCCTGGGGGCAGAGGCCACAGTGAGCCAAAAATTGCACCACTGCACTCCAGCCTGGGTGACAGATAGAAGGAGACCCTGTCTCAAAAAAAAAAAAAAAAGTTTAATTGATGTGAGGCCAGCCACAACACCTGAGAGACAGAGTTATTACTCAAATCAATCTCATCAAAGGCTCATAGGTTAAGGGTTTTTCAAAGTTAGTTAGAGGGAAGGGATGGGGGTGGTTATGCAATAAGTGCTTGCTGCTGATTGGTTGGGGCAGAGATGAAATCATAGGGAGTTGAAGCTGTCCTCTTGCACTGAGTAGCTTCTGGGTGGGTCCAGGTGGAGCTATGGGTGTCAGATATGCAAAAAGCCTGAAAAGATATCTCAAAAGGACAATAGGTTCTACAATAGTGATGTTATCTGTAGGACCTTTGGAATAATGGCTGGCAATCATTTATGTCTACTCCTTAGCAGAATTCAGGCTCCTCTCCTCCCCCAGCCTGGAGGTCTCTCATTGCTTTACAAAGGCAGTTGAGTTTGGGGGAAGGCTCATTATCATTTAAACTATAAACTAAATGTCTTCCAAAGCTAGCTTGAAAGCTAAAGGCAAGAGAGGGGTTGGCTAGATCAGATCACCTCCACTGCCATAATTTTCTCACTGTTATAATTTTTGGAAAGGTGATTTCAGTAAGTATAAAAAAAAATAACTAAAAGATGACCCCAGCACTTAGCAGAGTGCTTGGCACATGGTAGGTATTTAATAAGAGCTGATTTGGCCAGGTGTGGTGGCTCATGCCTCTAATCCCAGCACTTTAGGAGGCCAAGGCAGGCGGATCACTTGAGGTCAGGAGTTCAAGACCAGCCTGGCCAACATGGTGAACCCTCATCTCTACTAAAAGTACAAAAATTAGCCAGGTGTGGTGGCACATACCTGTAATCCCAGCTACTCGGGAGACTGAGGCACAAGAATCACTTGAACCCAAGAGATGGAGGTTGCAGTGAGCCGAGATCAATGCCATTGCACTCCAGCCTGAGCAACAGAGTGAAACACTGTCTAAAAAAAAAAAAGGAACTGATTAGATGAAGAGAATTTTAGTGACTTGCAATCTAGGCAGAGGAATTAGTAATGTGAAAATTGTTAAAGACTTTGAAATGGGTGAAAGATTATGGGGTGTCCTGTTATGTAAACTGCCTTTAAGCCATTTTACAACTCCTATAAGTTGTAGAAAACTGATAATAATGCAAATGATTATTGTCCCTAGAAATGCAAATTGCGTACAATGGAGGGGCAAGTGATTATGGCCTTGCAGTTGTTCATCTTTTAACCCTTTTCCCATTTAGGAAAAAAAAAGTGCAATTAACGCTTGCTTAATTTGACATAAATATGCTCTTTGAGCCTGGAGCAAATCTGACTGATTTTCAATGTGAAAATAAAATATAAAAACTGTTCTTAGGCTGGGCACAGTGGTTCACGCCTGTAATCCCAGCACTTTGGGAGGCTGAGGTTAGCAGATCACCTGAGGTCAGGAGTTCAAGACCAGCCTGGCCAACATGGTGAAACCCTGTCTCTACTAAAAATACAAAAATTAGCCAGGCATGGTGATGCATACCTGTAATCCCAGCTACTCAGGAGGCTGAGGATGGAGGATCATTTGAACCCGGGAGACAGAGGTTGCAGTGAGCCAAGATCACGCTGCTGCACTCCAGCCTGGGCAACAGAGCAAAAACTCTGTCTCAAAAAAAAAAAGCCGGGCACGGTGGCACATGCCTGTAATCCCAGCACTTTGGGAGGCCGAGGCGGGCAGATCACGAGGTCAGGGGATGGAGGCCATCCTGGCTAACATGGTGAAACCCCATCTCTACTAAAAATACAACAAATTAGCCGGGCATGGTGGCGGGTGCATGTAGTCCCAGCTACTTGGGAGACTGAGGCAAAAGAATGGCATGAACCCGGGAGGCGGAGCTTGCAGCGAGCTGAGATCGCGCCACAGCACTCCAGCCTGGGCAACAGAGCGAGACTCTGTTTAAAAAAAAAAAAAAGTTATTGGAGTTATTTCTAAACAGAACTAACATCAGAATTGTCTGAATCATCAGAATCAACTAAATTTGGAAAAACCTGATTCATCAAATGAATCTTCAGCCAACAACTGTTCGAGAACGATGTTAACATCATGCATAGGAATGCTAGGTTTTCTAGGATTTGACATTTTCAGTAATCAAGAATTACTATGTTTTGTAAATGGAAGTACCGCAACTAAAAACAGAATGCTATAATAAAATGATGTCTTTCGTTTCTAAAGTCGGTACACTAGAGTGATATGAAAATAATAATAGGCCGGGCACGGAGGCTCATGTCTGTAATCCCAGCACTTTGGGAGGCCAAGGGGGGTGAATCACTTGAGGTCAAAATGGTGAAACCCTGTCTCTACTAATAATACAAAAATTAGCCGGGTGTGGTGGAGCGTGCCTGTAATCCCAGCTACTTGGGAGGGTGAGGCACAAGAATCACTTGAAAACAGGCAGCAGAGTGAAACTGTGTCTCAAAAAATAATATTATTATTATTATTATTATATATTTATTATTGATAATAAAATCAAGATATTTCATGTCAAAGTTATCGTGGAGTAAACATTCCAGCCGCAAGCACTGCCAGCAAGTATTCTAGGGCAAACAGGAAAGGGGTTCAACAAATTTGTTTCAGCATTCCTTATGGTGTACTTATATGTCTGGGCATTTTCTTTAACCAGTTATAACATCTACCGGTTTTCTGATTTATTAATAAATTAATCATTTTGGCACATGTTCAACTTCATATTTGTACAAGGGTCATAACTTTACCTTTTAAAAATATGCTTTAGCAGTATGAACAAAAAAATAAGTTTGAAAGTGTGTTTTCAGGAAATAAGTCATCCTCGAGCTGAAACATGAGGATCTTGGAGGATGTCATTAAAGTCACCTCACAGTGCTAACAAGAATTCTGGACAGAAATATAGTTATAATTAATCATTAATCCAGTAGCACCTTAGCCTACTTCCTTGTAACCAAAAGTCACATAGCACCAGATAGAGAAGGTTTGTGTGTATTCCCATTGTTCCTGTGAAAGTAAAATAAATCTTGGGGCCCCCAAATCACTAAGCTAAAGGGAAAAGTCAAGCTGGGAACTACTTAGGGCAAAACCTGCCTCCCATTCTATTCAAAGTCACCCCTGGTCTCACTAAGACTAATGGATATCTGATTGCCTCCTTTGCAGAGGCTAATCAGAAACTGAAGGAATGCAATCATTTGTCTTTTATCTACCTATGACCTGAAAGCTCCTTCCCAGCTTGGAGTTGTCCCACCTTTGCTTTGAGTCGCCCCACCTTACCAGACCAAATCAGTGTTCAGCTTACATTTTTTTTGTTGTTGTTGAGACGGAGTTTCACTCTTATTGCCCAGGCTGGAGTGCAATGGTGCGATCTTGGCTCACTGCAACCTCCGCCTCCCAGGTTCAAGCGATTCTCCTGCCTCAGCCTCCCGAGTAGCTGGGATTGCAGGTGTGCACCACCACGCTCAGCTAATTTTGTATTTTTAGTAGAGACGGGGTTTCTCCATGTTGATCATGCTGGTCTCAAACTCCTGACCTCAGGTGATCCACCTGCCTCAGCCTCCCAAAGTGCTGGGATTACACCCAGCTCATCTTACATAAGTTGATTGATGTCTCATGTCTCCCTAAAACATGTAAAACCAAACTATGCTCTGATCACCTTGGGCACTTGTTGTCAGGACCTCCTGAGGCTGTGTCACAGGTGCGTGTCCTCAATCTTGGCAAAATAAGCTTTCTAAATTAACCGAGACCTGTCTCAGATATTTGGGGTTCACATTTTGGTAACCATGGAGGGCTTCCAAGTGAAGATGCCTCTAAACTTTTTTTTTTTTTTTTGAGACGGAGTCTCGCTCTGTAGCCCAGGCTGGAGTGCAGTGGCGCGATCTCGGCTCACTGCAACCTCCGCCACCCGGGTTCATGCCATTCTCCTGCCTCGGGCTCCCGAGCAACTGGGACTACAGGCGCCCACCACCACGCCCAGCTAATTTTTTGTATTTTTAGTAGAGACGGGGTTTCACTGTGTTAGCTAGGATGGTCTCGATCTCCTGACCTCGTGATCCACCCGCCTCGGCCTCCCAAAGTCCTGGGATTACAGACGTGAGCCACCATGCCCAGCCATAGATGCTTCTAACCTTTGACAAATTTCCTGTTGGTGCTTGGTAACAGCATGAGCTAATTTTATGGCTCAAATCCATGGGACAATTTGCTGAGGTCTGGGAGCACCCCTCCAGAAAATCCCTGATCTCCCAAAATTTGGTCAAGATCTAAAGTTTATTTTGCTGTGCAACTACCCACCCCCTGCCCCCGCCTGCCTTTTTTTGGCATTTTACTTGCTTCCAACAAAGAAGGCAAAATTTTCTGCTTCCATGACGATGGAAGGTAAGTAAATCCTTTATGTAGTTTGAACTCGCACCCAGCAGGGAAGATGAGTTCAAGTGTTTTTCTTGCTTCTAGGATGGTAGAAGGCAGTCTTTAGCCTGAGACCCATCGCTAGGTAAGTTGCTGAATTGGGATTTTGTCTTGACTGGTTTAACAATAAGCTGGTCTTAATTTCTCCTTACCATTAGAGTGCTCAGTGATGTGATCATATTGTTGGGTTTCGTTGTTGTTGTTACAGTCTTTCTCTCATCAGATTTGACCAACTCTACCTCAGTTGGTCTAATCTGAGTGAGAATTCCAAGATATGGGTAATAAAGCCTCTCTAATTTGGCTAAAATTCCTCACAGCTGCAAAAGAGGAAAAACAAAAACCAAAAAATCATGCACTTGGTTTCTATGTTTGCTTCCCATCTTTAAAACAAACAAACAACAAACAATGTTCTTTCATTTACTTTTCTTCCACCCTATACCTCCTTCCCCTTTGCCATCTGCGGTACCAAAAAATCTAAAGAAGGCTTTTAATGACTTGAATCCCTGTAAAGAATTCAGAACAAAGGCACCACTGACACTTTTTGTGGTGTTCTGTTTTCTTTGTAAAGTTTCAAGAGTCATGAGCAGATTGTTCTTAGGTCTCAAGCTCTGTTTTTCAAGGTCTGTTTTACATGACCTGATCTCTTTGGTTTTGGGGGTACCAGAGATTACTTTGTACTGTGAGAGGATTTGACTGTGGCATGTGTAATGGCAGATGAGAGCTACAAAGTTAGGGGTGGCTGAGCACAGTTTACAGGAAGTGGTCTTGGCTGTGTTTTTTGTTTTTTTCTCCTAGGAAGTTGTTGTTTAAGGATCCTGATTCTAGTTCAGAGCTGCTTTCTAAAGGGTCTTCTCTATTCCTTTTTCTCCTCAAGTTGATCTCAATTCAGCTTGTCTGTGTGCATTTGCATGAGGAAATGAACGGTTGTTTTCACAGGTTAACAGGAGACTGAGTTTTCTCAGTTCCAAAGAAAAAGGGCTTTTGCTCCTCCCAGCAGAATGGCACCCCTGGGTGACCAGGGGCCTTGTGAGAGTGTCTTGTGGGTTGACCCCTGTGATGTGCAGCGGCCCTACTGGAAAATCCCAAACAAAAATTAATTTTTAAACAGGCTCATCCAGGAAATGCACATAAGGGCTGATCACCAGGTGTTTTAAGCCCTCTCGGAGATCTTAGACCTCTGGAGAGAGAAACTAAAACATGAAAGACGATGGAAACGACTCAATGGTGGCACACTGTGTTGTCATGCCCACAAGCAGCACACATCGATCCACTACACAAAAACCCTAGGCCACAGCTCAGTTCCTCCTTTTAAGAAAAAAAGTGGGAAACAAATACTCTAAGAATGAGGAGAAAGCAAGGAGAATGACCCCCTTTTGAGCATTCTGTAGGTTTCATGGCTTCTATACTTGCCAGAGTTTATGTAAAATGGAAGTAGTATGGTCTTTGTGCACATTTACATTAAGGGAAAAGAGCCCTAAGGTCAACCTGCAAACTCTAGAGTTCCTAAGTTCTCTTTTCTATTTTCTTTTCTGCCTGCTTTGAATCTGCTGTTATTTGTCTATTAAAATAAAAACCACTGTTTGGATCCAACAGGTTTTTTGCAAGCCAGTGAATTTGTATTTATCTCATATCTAAAGCTTTGAAGTAAAAGCTATATGGGGTGTGTGTGTGTGTGTGTGTGTGTGTGTGTGTGTGTGTATTTAAAAGGCCTTTGGGCTGGCAGCAGTGGCTCACACCTAGAATCCCAGCACTTTGGGAGGCCAAAGCGGGTGGATGACCTGAGGTCAGGAGTTCGAGACCAGCCTGGCCGACATGGTGAAACCCCATCTCTACTAAAAATCCAAAAAATTAGCCGGGCATGGTGGCGCATGCCTGTAATCCCAGCTACTTGAGAGGCTGAGGCAGAATAGCTTGAACCAGGGAGGCAGAGGTTACAGTGAGCTGAGATCACACCATTGCACTCCAACCTGGGCAACGAGAGTGAAATTTCGTCTCAAAAAAAAATTAAATTAAAAAATAAAAAATAATAAAAAGCCTTTATAATTTATATAGTTTTATGTTTAATTAGCAATTACATTCATTTTAATTTTTCTCTAGCATGTCAGACTTTTTCTCTCTGTACCTTATCATGTAAATTTTGCTGTTTGATTTTCACCTAAGTTGTTTCCTTCAATATGCAAATTTAAAGCTATTTAGCTAACAACTGCCTAGGGTAGTGAGACAGGTTATCAAGAATTTGAAAGTATAAGAGAAAAAAAGCTGTTCATGAATCTGTAAGATGTACTTCTATCAGCATCCCTAATATGTCTATGTATTTATGTGTTATGTACACAATGTTTCACTACTGAAAATGTCTAAAAGAGCTCTAATTAATTAACTGAAGAAAATAAAAATATGTGAATCAAATATTTTAATCAGGAAAAAAGACTAGTTAAATGCTTTTTCAAGTTTACATAACTTAAGTAAAATCTTTAATAAATAAGCTAGTTTTAAAATTATTGGTAATGTTAGAAATGTCATAAAAATTGCCAACATAAATTTTTGTTTGCATTTATTAATCAAGAAATTTCATAATTATCCTAACCAAATACTATAAAGTTTCAAAATTTTGCATAGGGGTTACAAAACTATAAACCCAGCCCAAGATAGAATAAACTTTGCTTATGTAATTTTTAATAAACAAGACATTGATATTGGTTTAATGGAAATAGCTACATCTTAAATTTAGTAAGATTACTATAATTTCTAATCTTGTGGCTTTAGGCAGTCTAGTCCACAGGCAGTAAAGTTTGTTTTGGGAAAGGACTGTTATCTTTGTTTCAAAGCTAAACTATAAACTAAGTTCCTCCCAAAGTTAGTTTGGCCTACGCTCAGGAATGAACAAGGACAGCCTGGAGGTTAGAAGCAAGATGGAGTCAGTTAGGTCAGATCTTTTTCACTGTCCCAGTTATAATTTTGCAATGGCAGTTTCATAACTTTAAATCATGACTATCATAGTTTTCATAACTAAAATAGGTAAATGATTAAAATAAAATAATTAGGTAAATGTAATGGGATAAATGTAGAAAAACTCATAATTTAGAATATAAAATTATATTAAATTAAATAATAGATATTTTGTTATTTGGGTATTTTCTAACAAAAATATATTGTAGGAAAACATTCTAATAATAAAGTGTGTCCTTTTTAAAAAAGTGAACAATTTTTGTCTAATTGAAAGCTTATTTAAAGGTTTTGTACAAAATAAGGTAAAAGGGCTGGGCGTGGTTGCTCATTCCTGTAATCCCAGTACTTTGGGAAGCCAAGGCAGGCAGATCACATGGTCAGGAATTCAAGACCAGCCTGGCCAACATGGTGAAACCCTGTCTCTACTAAAAATACAAAAATTACCTGGGTGTGGTGGCGCACACCTGTAATCCCAGCTACTTGGGAAGCTGAGGCAGGAAAATTGCTTGAACTCGAGAGGCAGAGGTTGCAGTGAGCCGAGATCAAGCCATTGCACTCCAGTCTAGGTGAAAAGAGTAAAACTCCATCTCAAAAAAAAAAAAAAAAACCAAAAAAAAAAAACAAGGTAAAAGGAACCAGGAAATAAGAGAGATGTAAAGGAAGTTATAAAAATAAAGAGGTTTTGTTTTTGGTAAGAAAGCTTAAAGAGAAATAATTTTATATAAGAAACAATCTTGTATGGTAAATTTAGTTCTAGACTAAAATGACTGGTTTTAAAAAAAAAAAAAAAGGGATGGTCACGTCAAACCAGAAAGTCCAAGCATGTCATGAATGGTCTGTGTAAGTCACAAGAATAGGATTTATAAGAAAAAAACTGAAAACTTTTATATGATCAAGTTATCTAAAATTAATGAGAAATTATAATGGTCTCTCCAGGGATTGGGCTTGATGTAAAAAAAGAAAACACTTATACACTAAATAATTAGAACAATAATATTAATTTTCTTAAGGGATTGATTTACTCAATAAATTACAGGAGATTATAGTTTTCTTAACAGAAAGTTCAACTTTTATTGCATCTTGTTTTTGGTTTTCTCTCCCCTTTTAAAGGACGTGAAATAGGAACACTCTTCTTCAATTCATTTTCAGCTCATATAAGTTTTGTTTCCCCTTGAGTTCTGTTTGTTGTAGCCTGATGCTAAAATGTTTTCTTAAAGGTCTAAAGGAAATGTTTTCTTTTTCTTTTCTTTCATTTTTTTTTGAGACAGAGTCTTGCTCTGTCACCCAGGCTAGAGTGCAGTGACGTGATCTCAGCTTGCTGCAATCTTCACCTCCCAGGTTCAAGTAATTCTCCTTCCTCAGCCTCCCGAGAATGACTTACGATGATCTGTGATATCAAATGTTTTTAAACCTTCGATATTTGACAAACTTTCTAAAATCAAATTATAAATTAAGTCTTTTTTTGATCTAATTAATCCTTTAAGATATTGGTTTCCCTAAAGTCCAAAAATGACATAATTTGGCTTATTTGGTATAAAAATTACACAGGAAGCATTGTCAAATATGAAATGGTGTGTGGTTACTCCCATACCATTACTATCTGCCTAAGTGATTTCTTCTTAATTCCTGAATCAATAGCATTTCTGATGTTAGAATTATAAGGCTTTTGTTTAAGGATTAATTTACATCCCCATTGCTCTTATAGATAGGATCTCTGATGTTAGAATAATAAGAAATTTGTTTAAGAATTGCTTAATATGGTTTTCAGAGCCTGAATTTCAGTGGAATAGCTGATGCCAACCGGTTTGAAGATGCTGGGCAACATGATGAAACCCCTTCTTTACAAAAATACAAATAATAATAATAAGATTAAAATAAAAATTAGAAATCCTAGAAATTGTTCAGAAAGCAAGCTTTTTAATTTGATCGCCATTTTTTTTTTTCAACAGTTTCTCACTCTGTCACCCAGGCTGGAATGCAGTGGTGAATCACAGCTCAGTACAACCTTGACCTCCCAGGCTGAAGTGGTCTTCCCATTTCAGCCTCCAAAGTAGCTGGGACCAGAGGCACACAGAACCACACCTGGCTAATTTTTTTATTTGTAGAGGTGAGGTCTTGCCATGTTGCCTAGGCTGGTCTCAAACTCCTGAGTTCAAGCAATCTTCCCACCTTGGCTCCCTAAAGTGCTGGGATTACAGGTGTGAGCCACAGCGCCTGGCTTTTTATCACTTTTTTACTTTAGAAAAGTTTTTATTTTTCCTTTTAAAAATGACAAAGCAAAGACAATCAATAGCTGAGAGGTTCTAGCTAATCAATGAAGAATGAGTAATAAAATATCACCATTTTGCCACACCTAGTGAAAAAATGGATCTAGGCAATGAAGAGCTTCTAATATTTTAAAAGACATAACTTTTAAGAGACTCCCATAAGCAAAGTACACATAACCACAGAGCATAACCACAGCTATGAAGTAGTTTTGCCAAAAACAATTTAAACCTGAATTTGATCAAGTTTCTAGACCAGTTTACAGGAGATACAGGGAACAAAGGACACATTATATACCACAAGTCTAGAAAAATCTTAACTGTGTGAAACTCCTCAGGGCTAAGGATCCAGTTTCTTCAACAAATACATTGCAAGGAAAAAAAAAGAAGAAAAGGAGAATCTAAAGATTAAAATAAACCAACAATATAACAACCAATTGCAATCTATGTACTTTATTTGAATCCTGATATTAACAAACAAAATGCCACAAAAAAGAGAAAAAAAATCTGACACAGGGAAATTTGTTTTTTTTTTTTTTTTTTTTTGAGACAGAGTCTCGCTCTGTTGGCCAGGCTGGAGTGCAGTGGCCCCTGATCTCAGCTCACTGCAAACTCTGCCTCCCAGGTTCACACCATTCTCCTGCCTCAGCCTCCCAAGTAGCTGGGACTACAGGCGCCTGCCACCACGCCCGGCTAATTTTTTTGTATTTTTTTAGAAGAGATGGGGTTTCACCGTGTTAGCCAGGATGGTCTCGATCTCCTGACCTCGTGATCCACCCACCTCGGCTCCCAAAGTGATGGGATTACAGGCGTGAGCCACTGCGCCCGGCATCACAGGGAAATTTGAACACTGACTGGACATTAGATAATATTAAAAAGCTGTAATTTTCTTAAGAGATAAAGTCTCACTGTTTTTTGTTTTGTTTTTGTTTTTGAGATAGCATGTTGCTCTGTCACCCAGGCTGGGGTGAGGTGGCACCATAGCTCACTGCAGCCTCTACTTCCCAGGTTCAAGTGAGTCTCATGTCTCAGCCTCCTGAGTAGCTGGGATTACAGGTGCGTGCCACTGTGCTTGGCTAATTTTTGCATTTTTAGCAGAGATAGGGTTTCACCGTGTTGACTAGGGTGGTCTCAAACTCCTGGCCTCAAGTGATCCACCCGCCTTGGCCTCCCAAGGTGCTGGGGTTACAGGCGTGAGCCACCACGCCCAGCCCGAGTTCTAAATGTCTAAGTTGTTCTGCATAGTCAGAATAACTTGGCTGCCATAACAAAAAACCATAGACTGGGCCAGGTGCAGTAGCTCACACCTGTAATCCCAGGATTTTAGGAGGCTGGGAGTTTGAGACCAGCCTAGTCAACATAGTGAGACCCCCATCTCTATTTAAAAAAAAATAAAAGCCAGGTGTGGTGGCTCATGCCTGTAATCCCAGGACTTTGGGAGGCTGAGGTGGGCAGATCACAAGGTCAAGAGATTGAGACCATCTGGCCAACATGGTGAAACCCCATCTCTACTAAAAATACAAAAATTAGCTGGGCGTGGTGGTGTGCACCTGTAGTCCCAGCTACTTGGGAGGATGAGGCAGGAGAATTGCTTGAATCCGGGAGACAGAAGTTGCAGTGAGCCAAGATCAGGCCACTGCACTCCAGCCTGGTGACAGAGCGAGACTCCACCTCAAAAAACAAAAAAACAAAAAAACAAAAAACCACCAGCTGGGTGGCCTAAACAACAGAAATTTGTTTCTTAGCCTCTTGCGAGATTGGGAAGTCTAACATCAAGGTGGCAGCAATGTAGGTTTCAGTCTGATACCTCTTCTCTTGGCTTGTAGGTGGCCACCATCTCACAGTGTACTCACGTAACCTCTTCTTTGTTTGGGCAGGGACAGTGAGCAAGATCTCTGGTGCCTTTTTAGAAAGGCACTAATCCTATTATGTCAGGGCTCTACTCTTACGACCTCATCTGACCTTAATCACCTTAAAGGCCCTATCTCCAATACAGACACATGTATTGGAGGGGTTAGGGCTTCAATATATGAATTTTAAAAATAAATATTAGTAATATGCACATGATTATGAATATAAACAATTCAGTCCATAGCAGTAAGACTACTTTTTTTTTTTTTTGAGACGGAGTTTCACTCTTGTTGCCCAGGCTGGAGTGCAATGGTGCAATCTTGGCTCACTGCCACCTCTGTCTCCTGGGTTCAAGCGATTCTCCTGCCTCAGCCTCCGAGTAGCTAGGATTACAAGCATGAGCCACCACGCCCAGCTAATTTTGTATTTTTAGTAGAGATGGGGTTTCTCCATGTTGGTCAGGCTGGTTTCGAACTCCTGACCTCAGGTGATCCACCTGGCTCGGCCTCCCAAAGTGCTAGGATTACAGGCGTGAACCACCACGCCCGACTAAGACTAATTTTTTAAGGAGAATAAAGCTTTATATATAATACTCAAGTTATATAGCTGAAAGCACAAATCAGAATAAATAATTAAAGAACTTTTTGGATAACTTAGGAGAATGACTTTATGTAGACCCTTTGAAACTTTTCCCCTACTGGAACATAAGCTCCATGTGGGCAAAGGTTTTTGTCTTTTCTGTTCATTGCTAAATCCTCATGACTAGAATAGTGAATAGCACATAACTGGTGTTCACTATTTATTGAATACATGATTGAAGGTTTTTTCTTTTTTGGAGCAGGGTGGCCCTATATCAGAGCTTAGGAGCCACAGATCATTAAAGCCATTGCCTTAATTGAGTCTTGGCTCTATCACTTACTGTTTTTTACCTTGGAGTAGTTACTTTAGCTCTGTGTGCCTTAATTTTCTCCTCTGCAAAATAAGTATTTTAAGGTTGTAAAAATTAAATGAATTAATAGGGTAAAACCATTTAGAACAGTATTTAGTACATAGTACATAGAAGTAGGTACCTTGAAGTTGGCTATAAACGTTAGATATTATTTTGCATATATAGCTAATTCTCCTATCTATGTATGTGATTATAATCTAAGAAAATACTCTGTAAAGTCAGTAATATGGTACATTTTTTGCCTTTTCTTTCAGGAAGAAAAATTGAGGCATGGAGATAGAAAGACTGTAAATTGCGATAGCCAAGGGCTGGATCCCACTGGATTAGTCAAAGTAGGACAATATGCTTGCATTTTCCTGCAATTGTTTATTAACTGGAGTTTTCATTCTTCACTTAATCAGTGGTTCATAAGCTATGAATCTAGGTTGAGCCCCTACATTCCCATGTGCAAAGAACATTATAAAATCACTAACATGTGGAAATACACGGTCTCCTAACTTTTGGGGCTGTTACTACTTTTAAAATATAAATTTATTTGTATTATCCTTTAGTCATTAGGTATTTTCTGAAGCAATGGAAGCTGAAAGTATAGAAATTACACGCAGAATCTTCTACATTTGTGGATGATGTAAAAGGAGTCTTTATTTTTTTTAAATATTGGAAAACAGTGCTTTACGGGCTTCTAATACATAAGGAAATTATTGTAATTTCACATGCAATGTGTTCTAAATCTTGATCTCTTAATCAGAATCGTAAAGAATCTCTCTTCTAGGTTTGCAGTTAACGGTGAAAACCAAAAACTCCACATTTGGCTGGATAGTGAGTGGAGGGGGTTGGAGGCTGCCGCAAGGTAAACTACAACTCCCAGGATTCTTTGGTGGGCGCTCTGGGAGTTGTAGTTTAGTCCCACCTTGGCCCCTCCCTCCCTCCCTCCCTCCCACCATCTCCATCCCCGCTCTGGGCTCACGCTCTGGATAAGGACGGCGCGGGGGCGGTTGTCTGATGACAATTTCATTCTCGTTTTGTCATTTTTCTCATTTAGCTCATTTTTGTCATTTTAGTCCATTGTTAGGCATGCTCGAGGACAACTCCTCCGGAGAGCGGTAGTGGCGGAGGAGGGGCCGGGAGCGTGCGTTAACCCGGAAGAAGTGAACCAGGAAGTGAACGTGATCTCGGGTTTGTCGGGCTGAAATGTGGCGGGTCTCGGAAGGTTCCGACCTCAGTAAAGAGAGCTAACGTGTATTCTTCTTTTTCTTAGGTACTCACAGTTCTTTCCTGATCTTCCCCGCCGCCTCCTGTATTGCCTCTTTATGGAATCACTCCATATACTGAGTTACACAGCATGGTTTGCCCGTGCTGCTGCCCCGCGGGCTGTCGCTTCTGACCTGCCTACACTCAGAACTTTCCCCAAAGCATCAGAGTAATACTGTTACTGTGATGGGTAATGGAGAAGTCGTGCTGTTCTCAGGTGTAGTTAACCTTGGAGAGTAAACATCTTGTTTTGTTTTGTTTTCCTTAATGTTGAGATTCATGACCTTGAAAATTATGCATTCTACTACTGTTCCTAAAATGGAAATTTTAGCAATAAGTATTCGTACAAACATATATTTGTCATCCTTTTATTCTGTCTGTTAGCAAATGGATACACTTTCTCTAACGTGCTTGAAATACGGGGGTGGTGGAGTGTAACGTTTGTGACAGCTGGCCATTGGTGCTTTCTTCAACAGTTCTTTTAATAATGTGATGCAGTATCCTAAAATCTATCAGTAGAACTCTGGAAACTGAATATTTTAAAGACCATTCTGACTATTTTATTTCCTAGGTGATAATGCTAAGTTAACAGACTTATAGTGAACAAATGAGCTAATATATCAATGCACCTCCTAGCATAGTAGGATCACTGGAGACAGTAAAGTTTGATTTTGATAAATGTTGATCCTTCTTTTTTTGAGTTGAGTCTCACTGTGTTGCCCAGGCTGGCCTTGAACTCCTTGGCTCAAGTGATCCTCCTGCCTCAGTCTCCTGGGTAGCTGGGACAATAGGTGCATGCTACTGTGCGTGGCTTGACCCTTATTTCAACTTTGAACCTTAGAGTTTTCTTAGAACACTTTATATTCTCCCTTTCTTACTCAGTAAGACCATTGTGTACTTTTGTTAGCTCTTGATTATCTCTGTTGGAGGGGAGGAGAACAGAAAATTATTGTACACAGCCAATTTCACCTAACCTGTAATTTTTTAAACTAATCTTTTTTTATGATTAGGAAAGTATTCCATGCTACATGTGCAAGAAACTTGGAAAACACTGAAAAGTAGAAAAAATAGCAAGCAAAAGGTATTCATAATCTCACAACTAGAGATCATTTTATTAACATTTTGGTATGTTTCTTTTTTTTTTTTTTTTTTTGAGACAGCGTGTTGCTTTGTCGCCCACGCTGGTTGCAGTGGTGCGATCTCAGTTCACTGCAACCTTCGCCTCCCAGGTTCAAGCGATTATCCTGCCTCAGCTTCCCGAGCAGCTAGGACTACAGGTGTGTGCCATCACGCTCAGCTAATTTTTTTGGTATTTTTAGTAGAGATGGGGTTTTCCCATGTTGGCCAGGCTGGTCTCGAACTCCTGACCTCAGATGATCTGCCCGCCTCGGCCTCCCAAAGTGGTAGGATTACAGGCGTGAGCCACTGTGCTCGGCACATTTTGGTATGTTTCTTATTTAACTTTCTTTTTAAAAAATACTCTATGTGCTTTTTTTTTTTTACATGTATACCTTATATTGTAGAATATTTTTTAAATGTAATTGAGATTCTATTTTGTTCCTTGCCTTTCTTGCTTAATATAATTGTCACCATTTAATATAACTGTAGAGCTTTTCACCAGCCCTACTTTCTTGGTCTATTAATACTTGAACTTTTCTTCCTTTAGGATCTCAGCTAAACGGGAAGCATTTTTGAAAAGTGATTGCACAATTGAGAGTGAAAATTACTGAGTCCTGAACAGGCAACTTACATTCTAATACCAGCTCTGTCTCCATCCAGCCGACTGAATAGTCGTGATTAAGTTACTTGACTTCCTTGGATATCTAGATCCTTAAAGTTAAAGAATTATACAAGATAATAATATTTTCTTCAAACTTTAGAAAATGACTTTATGAACCGCCTTAAGTTTGTATGTTTTCATAGCTTTCAAGAGCTTGTTTACACACTCAATTCTAGATTCTAGATACTTTCTAGAAAATAACTGACTTAACTCATTCAATTGATATATTTGTTAGTTGTACTCCTACTCATATGCTTCAGTTAATTATATATGTTGAACAGGTAGGAAGCAGTGCTGTTTTTATTTATTTTAATATGTTATTCATACATTTGAAGAATTATGTTCTTTCTGTAGGCAGCTGAATTTTTTTTTTTTTTGAGACGAAGTCTTGGTATTGTCCCCCTTGCTGGAGTGCAATGGCATGATCTCGGCTCACTGCAACCTCTGCCTCCTGGGTTCAGGCAATTCTCCTGCCTCAGACTCCTGAGTAGCTGGGATTACAGGCGCCTGCCACCACGCCCGGATAATTTTTGTATTTTTAGTAGAGACAGTGTTTCACTATGTTGGCTGGGCTGGTCTCGAACTCCTGCCCTCAGGTGATCCGCCTGCCTCAGCCTCCCAAAGTGCTGGGATTACTGGCGTGAGCCACTGCTGCCAGCCGGCAGTTGAATTTTAAGACTGTGGAGCTGGCTGAGGCAGTAGATGAAACAAGATTTCTTGATGTTCCTTCCAGGTTTATTATGCATGTATCTTTAGAGATGATTTTTTTTTAAAGACTGTGTTTATTGTATTTCAGATGCTGAGATGAATCGTCACCTGTGTGTTTGGCTTTTTAGACATCCATCTCTTAATGGTTACCTCCAGTGTCACATCCAGCTCCATTCTCATCAATTTAGACAGATACATCTTGATACAAGGCTGCAAGTTTTTAGACAAAACAGGAATTGCATTCTTCATCTGTTAAGTAAGAATTGGTCCAGGAGATATTGCCATCAAGACACCAAGATGCTCTGGAAGCATAAAGCACTACAGAAATATATGGAGAACCTGAGTAAGGAGTACCAAACACTTGAGCAATGTCTGCAGCATATCCCTGTGAATGAGGAAAACCGAAGGTCCTTGAACAGAAGGCATGCTGAGTTGGCACCTCTTGCAGCCATTTACCAAGAAATTCAGGAGACTGAACAAGCAATTGAAGAATTAGAATCAATGTGTAAAAGTAGGTAAAAGATACTTATGTGTCCTGCATAAGGGCTATGAAAAAAAAAACCACACACTTATATGCGTGTGTGTAAGTACAGATTTGATTTTCTAAGTTAAAGCTTTATTGAACTTAGTCTTTGTTTTTTTTTTCCCACAGAAGCAGGTTCTCACTTGTTGCCCAGGCAGGAGTGCAGTGACTCAATCGTAGCTCACTGTAACCTGTAAGTCCTGGCCCCCCACTTCAGCATCCTGAGTAGCTAGGACTATTGTGCCAGGGCTTTCCAAAGCGATATGATTATAGCCACCGAGCCACTGAGGCTGGCCTGAACTCAGTCTTTTAAAAAAACCTACAAGTAATAAGCTCAACACTTGGAAAGAACAGGACTCTGTACCCAGAGTATTTGACACACTTTAGCTACTAAAGATCAATGTACTAAGTAAACAGGCTCCTCGTGGTACTTCCCGTGGTCTCAAGGTCTGGGAGACAAAATGTTGGTCTTTTCAGAAGCTTTATTTTATTGAGCAGACCTTTATTGAACACTGTACCTACATACTAGGGCTACACATACAGTTCCTACCCCATCAGTGGGCTTCTATGGTCCAGTGAGAGAAACTTATTTAAGTATTGTTTATAATGTGAGACCTGCTCTACTAGAGGGAGGCACAGTTTCATGGGAGCAAAGAGGAGAGGGCACTCAAACCAGCCTGGATTGATTGGGTAAATCTTCCTGGAGGGGACTGCGCATTAGTGGAACCAGGAAGGAAGCTTTTATTTTTTATTTTTATGTTTTTTTTTTTTTTTTTTTTGAGACGGAGTCTCGCTCTGTCGCCCAGGCTGGAGTGCAGTGGCGGGATCTCGGCTCACTGCAAGCTCCGCCTCCCGGGTTCACGCCATTCTCCTGCCTCAGCCTCCCAAGTAGCTGGGACTACAGGCCCCTGCCACCATGCCCAGCTAATTTTTTTTGTATTTCAGTAGAGACGGGGTTTCACCATGTTGGCCAGGCTGGTCTCAAACTCCTGATCTCAAGTGATCCACCCACCTTGGCCTCCCAATGTGCTGGGATTACAGGCATGAGCCACCATGCCCAGCCAGTACTTTATTTCTTTTCATTACTGAATTATATTCCATTGTATGGATATACCACATTTTATTTATCCATTCATCAGTTGATGAACATTGAGTTGTTTCCACTTTTTGGTTATTATAAATAACGATACTGTGAACTTTTGTGTACAAGTTGTTTTGTGGACATAGATTGCTGGTTCATGTGGTAACTCTATGTTTAACCTTTTGAGGAAGTGCTAGACTGTTTTCCAAAGTGACTATAACGATTTTACAGCTCTACACACAGTGTATGAGGGTTCATATTTCTCCACGTACTTGCCAACACTTATTATCCGCCCTTTCAATTATTGCCATCCTATGAATGTGAAGTGGTGTGTTATTGTGGTTTTGATTTGCATTTTCCTGAAGATTAATGATGTTGAGCATCTTTTCTGGTGCTTATTTGGCCATTTGTGTATCATCTTGGGAGAAATCACTGTTCAGATCCTTTGCCAGTTTTTAAATTTAATTGTCTTTTCATTATTGAGTTGTGAGTGGTCTTTATCTTCTAGGTAAAAGTCCATGATCAGATATATGATTTGCAAAAATTTCCCATTCTGTGGTTTTCTCTTCACTTTTTTGATACTGTCTTTTGAAGCATGATATTTTTAAATTTTGATGATGTCCAATTTATCTTTTTTTCTCTTGTTGCTTGAGTTTTGGGAGTCGTATCTAAGAAAATTGCCTAATCTAAGGGCACAAAGGTTTACATCTGTGTTTTCTTACAAGACTGACGTATTTTTTATTTTTATCCCATGCATTTAGGTCTTTGATCTATTTTAGTTATTTTTGTATATGGTGTATTTATTTTTTATGTTTTTTTTTTTTGTTTTTTTTTTTAAGAGATGGTCCCTCACTCAAACTCCGGGGCTCAAACAATCCTCCTGCCTCAGCCTTCTGAGTAGCTGGGACTACCGGCTATTTTTTATCTTAGTTTTTTATTTTAGTATTTCTCAATACTGCTATTGCCTCTACATTTTTTCTCTTATGAAAATTTTCGAAAATTTTTATACAGAAGTTGAGAGAAAAGTTTAATGAACTAACCTATGATTCAACATTTATCCAGATTTGGCTATTAACTTTTAGTTTCTAGATTTTCTTCTGTGCTTCATTTTGTTTCATTTAGCCTTAGCAGTATTATGTGATACACAGGCCAGTCACTGTTATACCTGTAAAGTCCTGGATTTTTGAAGCCTTCCATTTTTCTGCCTTCTATTGATGGTACCACAAGTCTCTTACGTACGTTTAATGGAGATATTTTTTACTCTTTTGCATAATGCCACACAGATTTGTAGTTAATTAGTTTTGAGAAGGTTGCTTGTGTATAGTAGAAGTTTATGAAATGCATTCTAATTAAATTGGCATAACTTCTTTCAGCCTTGGTTGTATCATGTATAATATTAGATTGGATTACATCATTTCTAAAGGCTCTACTACCTCTACAATTTTTCTATAATAATAGTAATAATAGCTACATTTACAAAGTCCTCTTATGTGCTAGGCACTAAGCTCAGTGCTTTACAAATATTATCTCATTTGAATGCTCAGGTAACCTTATGAGGTAGGATATATGATTATTCCCCCTCCCCCTTTTTGTTTCTTTTAAGAGACAGAGTCTTGCTCTGTGGCCCAGGCTGGAATGCAGTAGTGTAATCATAGCTCACTTTAACCTTGAACTCCTGGACTCAAGCAATCCTCCAACCTCAGCCTCCCAAGTAGCTGGGACTACAGGTGTGTGCAACCATTCCCAGCTATTTTTTTTATTTTTAGTAAAGATGAGGTCTCACTGTGTTGCCCAGCCTGTGTTTTCCCTCATTTTATACATTTTATAGATGAGGACATTGAAAGGTTAAATTTGCAAAGATCACTCAGCCAGCGAGGGGAGAAGCAAGGATTTGAACCCAAGCAATGAGATTCCAAAGCCTCTGCTCTTATCCACTGCTTGATGGATGATTCAAAGTCCAGCAGGGTCTACCTTTGTGATGTAGCTTGCATGAGTCCTGTTCTATTCCTTCCACTAATTTATATCTTCATTACATCTCTGACTTAGCTGATTGCAATCAATTCCTAACTTGTAGCCCTACCTCTAGGCGTTCTAGTTCAAGTACAATCTTATTCATGTTACTCACCTGTTCCCATTGTCTATAAGTAGAGATTTCTTGGTTTGGTATTTAAAAGCCCCTGCAGATTAACCCCAGCCTCTCCATGTACTATGTTAATTCTCTTTGCATATTCTGCCTTCCAACCAAAATAGACAACTTGCCATTCTCTGGATATATTCGTGCTGTCCCATGTCTGTATCTTTGCCCACGTTGTTAACATGCCTGGTTCACCTTGTTAAAAGCCAGTCCTCTTACAAAGCTTGGCTGAGATGTCATACTTTGGCTTCAGTACCCTTTGCAAAACAAGTGTGGTTACCTTTCTCTGTTTTGTATTATAATCCTTTATGTAACTGTCTTAACCTCAGCCCCTAACCCCATTGTCTGTTCTTCAAGGTCAGGTCCTGTGTCTTACTCATTTTTCTATCTTCTGCAGCATGAAACATGGGACATAATAGGTTCTCAAATCTTTGTTGATATAATAAAATTGAATTAGACGGATTCTACAGGTTTACAGCAAATAATAAGAGAACACAAAAATAATTTTATATGATTGCAAATCAGAAGGTTTTTCTGATACCTTTGAATCAGCAGATCTCTATTAAGTAATGTCAGCCTGGTTTCCATTTGTGGCATATGTGCACAATGTGGTACTAGTGGTGACATTAAAATTCTACAACAGGCCGGGTGCGGTGGCTCATGCCTGTAATCCCAGTACTTTGGGAGGCCGGGGCGGGTGGATCAGGAGGTCAGGAGATGAAGACCAGCCTGCCAACATGGTGAAACCCCGTCTCTACTAAAAATACAAAAATTAGCTGGGTGTGGTGGTGCGCGCCTGTAATCTCAACTACTCGGGAGGCTGAGGCAGGAGAATTGCTTGAACCCAGGAGGCGGAGGTTGCAATGAGTCGAGATCACACCACTGCACTCCAGCCTGGGCAACAGAGCAAGACTCCATCTCAAAAAAAAAAAAAAAATTCTACAACAGATGGTCTGTAATTAGAATTAGTTCTGATGACACCTTAGCCAGGAAGCTCTCATTAACTGCTAAAGTCTGGTTTAGTCCCCTTCATTTATGCCCCTATGGCACACTGGCACTCCCCCATCTCATATTGTAATCATGTGTATGTGTTTGCCACCAGACTGGGCCACTTGAGGCCTGAAGCCATGTTTTTTTCTTCGTTGTCTCCCCAGCAACTAGCAGAGTGTCTAGCAAAATGTTAAATGTTGAAAGCTTGAATGAGGCACAGAATCCCACCAGAGCTTAATGACTTCCATGACTAGAGAATAATTTAAAAGAGTCTTCTCTTCTTTATAATTGTGATTCTTCATTTCTATTTTCTTTATTATTAAGGGTCGGAATTTTTTACCTCAATTTGCAGCAATGGCCACTGACAAATAAAGTCTCCAAGCCTCTAAAGCAGTGGAGTCAAAGGTCATGAGGTCTACCATCCTTGGTCAATAACTAGATCATTGTTATCTTGTTTTGCTAGAGTTCCATGATTTAACTTTCTCCTTTGGAAATAACAGAAAAAGGCCCATTTTCTCCATACAGGACAGGTTACAAAAATGTATGTTTTGTCTGACACACGTGATATGTATTTTATTTTTTTAAAGACAGAGTCTTTCTCTGTCACCCAGGCTGGAGTGCAGTGGCATGACCTTGGCTCACCGCAACCTCTACCTCCTGGGTTCAAGCAATTCTCCTGCCTCAGCCTCCCGAGTAGCTAGGGGTACACGCGTGCACCACCATGCCTGTATAATTTTTGCATTTTTAGTAGAGATGGGATTTCACCACTTTGGCCAGGCTGGTCTCGAACTTCTGACCTCAAGTGATCCGCCTGCCTTGGCCTCCCAAAGTGCTGGGATTACAGGCATTAGTCACCGCACCTGGCCATGATATGTATTTTAAAGTACCGTACTAAGCCAGGCACAGTGGCACGCACCTGTAATCTCAGCTACCTGGGAGGCTGAAGCAGGAAGATCGCTTGAGTCCAGGAGTTTGAGGCTGTAGTGTACCATGATCACATCTGAGAATAGCTACTCCAGCCTGGGCAACATAGTGAGTCCTCATCTCTCTTAAAAAAAAAACAATGTGAACTGAGTATGAATGTATCAAGAGATTTTAAGAATTCTTATTTCTGACTTCTCTTGGATAATATGGAAGTTGTAGCTGTGCTGGACCATGTCACAGTATGCTGAGTTACAGCTGCTACCTTTGGACAGGAAATGCTCACTCCAGTTTGCTCCAAATCTTATCTTATTTGGGTTTATATTTAATTAGCTAGTAGCTTTTTAAACCTGTTTGATTAATCACCAATTTATATAATTATAGACATTCAAATAACGAGCTTTGTAAATGTGGGTTTCTATATTAAGCATATTTTTGTTACTACTGTTAATAGATTGATTAGAGATGAAATGTTTTAAGCTATTTTACCTTTAAAAAAAAAAACACAAGGTTTTGGGAAGCACGATTATATTGCTTTTCACATTGAGTTTTTTGGAAATGCTTAGCAAATACTTGTTAATTGACATTCTCCAAATATTCTAAATGTTCCTTTGTATAATCCCTTGCCTTTGCAACTGAAATAAAACTTAGTAGCCAAAGAGGAACATGGCTACTTAGGAGTTTCTCTGTAAGTATTTAAAAACTTTATCATTATTTCTGTTTCTGGCTTTTAGGCCTAAATAAACAAGATGAAAAGCAGTTACAAGAACTTGCACTGGAAGAAAGGCAAACCATTGATCAAAAAATCAACATGTTGTACAATGAGGTAGGTTTTCAGAGGTCGACTAGTTTCAATAGTGCTGTATAAAGGAATGCTGTTTTTGCTAGACTCTGCTTCGGTGCTCATAGTGGTTTCCAAACACTGTTTTAAGTGTTCTCTTATGATAAGTGATCAAGCTGGTCTCCTGTAATTTGCTGCAGAATGAGAATGAAGAAATTACGATGTCAAATAATAAAGACTCCCAGGGTAAAAAAAAAAAAATTCAAAGTTGAGTCTGTTAACTTGTTAAGCAAGAGAATACGTGCTGGTAAAGAAATTTAGTTCACCACAGGGAAGAGTCAGAGGATTTTAAGAGTGAGAAGAGGAGGAGGAGTTCATGGTGGCTGTTAATTAAGGATTGGAAATTTGCACTCTGGATAGAATGGAATGAATCCAAAGGTGTAAAAATAGTTGGTTAACACACATCTTTAGTTAGGTCTAGTAAGGGTGTGGCATACTGGAGCTTCTCAGGGTTGATGATACTGTATCAGCATCAGCTGATATCTCCTAGACATGGAAATGGAAGATTTCCCTTCCATAGTGGTCTCTTTTCATTCTTGCTTAATGGATGGTTTGTCTACAAAGACAATGAAGAACACACTACTGTATACCATGTTTCCCTCTGTCACGTTTGCCGTCCTCCTACCTTCAGTGTTTCTTACTCTGGGAATCCAATAGAGGGGCTTTTTGAAAAGTTAAGGGGGAGGTTACATGGGATATCAGTTATTTTTATTACAAATTGAACCAGTTAATCAAAGGCAGAAGATGTCTGACTCTCAGTCTGTCTCATATTCTCTCCCATAGACTATATCATTTCTAGCAGAGATGGAGTATTTCAGAAATTGGCAGTAGGGACAGTCATGACACATAGGTACTTTTACTTTGATTTGAAAAACCTTTTAGTAATAATGAAATTACTTCCCTTTTCTTCCTAAGAGGAATGTCGGTTACTTTCTTTATTAGGAAGCCCTTTTTCTTTCTGGTCACAGCTGAGAAACTCATTTTGAGCCTTATCTTGGGAGCCCTCAACATAGTCTTTAATTAGAGCGTCTCTGCTGAGAAGGCACAGCATGGCTGGTGTCTGCTGTCAGTTATAGCAGAAGATAATATGAAATCATTTCTCAAAGTGAAGACTTTCAAAGCCTTGCTTCATTCATTAGATGAAAGAAGCTACTGTTCAGAACTAATTATAAGCGCCAAAATCTGAAGAAAATTGAATGGAACACCCTGGACTTTGATCTGAACTTCTGCATTCTAGAAAATTAAGATAATCTGATAACAGTGCAGAAAATATACTGACAAGTAACTCCATTGTTAACATGAATTGATCACCTATTTTAGGTCTAATTAGTTCTACTTATTATAGCATTTTTGGAATACCCTGTTTGGGATACTATATGATTTTGCCAATTATTGATTTTTTTCAATGTTTTTCGGGCCTTTATTTAATTCAGTAATAGTGTACCGGGGAAAATATACACACAAATGCTGATTTTTATTCCAGCTTTTCCAGAGCCTTGTGCCAAAGGAGAAATATGACAAAAATGATGTTATTTTAGAGGTGACAGCTGGAAGGACTACTGGAGGTCAGTAAACTTACTTTATTATTTAAATGATCTAAAAAGTCCTTGAATTTTACCTTATTTGATAACACTAACTTTAAAAGTCCATTAAATGTATTTAAATTTGGAAATAGTTATTCTTTATTTCCTAAAGGACTTAGTCTTAAGGGTGGCTTTCCGAAATTTGTCCTGACTAAATATTTTTCGTATTTTGTTTTAGGTGACATCTGCCAACAATTTACCCGAGAAATATTTGACATGTACCAGAATTATTCGTGCTATAAACACTGGCAATTTGAACTTCTGAATTATACACCAGCAGATTATGGTAGGCATATTGAGGAATTTGCCTGTAGGAGATACTGAAAATTATTTTACCTCTGATCTTGATTAGAACCATATTGTCCCATTTTTTTTTGAAACTTTTGGTGTATATCTACTAAACACTGTGGCATAGGCTCATCAATCACAGTGGCTTACTATTATAGCAGAGTTGTTAGCTAGGAGAAGACAGTAGAAAGGAGGGAAGCATTTGCTTAGGGAGAAATATGTGAATTAGAGAAAATTCCCCTGAGGAACTTAGATACGTATCTTGCCTCAAAATCATTTTTCTCTATTATTGAAAGCAAAGGTATATTAAGGTTTTTACTTTAAATAACTTTATAAAATAATATAAGTATTACTAATTAGACTAAGTGGCTAATGTGTTTGATTTTTATGAGAATGCGGAAAAAGTTAATCATTTGTCTTTATTTTCAAGAAACTTCTCTTTTGGCTGATAAAAATTTATAATGGCTGGGCACTATGGTTCACGCCTGTAATCCCAGCACTCTGGGAGGCCAAGATGGGTGGATCACCTGAGGTCAGGAGTTTGAGACCAGCCTGGCCAACATGGCAAAACCCTGACTGTACTAAAAATACAAAAATTAACTGGGCATGGTGGCACGTGCCTGTAGTCCCAAATACTCGAGAGGCTGAGGCAGGAGAATCGCTTGAACCCGGGATGGGGAGGTTGCAGTGAGCCAAGATCACACCAGTACACTCCAGCCTGGGCAACAAAGTGAGACTGTCTCAAAAAAAAAAAATGATACAACATAGACAAACAGTGCAGTTCTTTACCTTTAAATACTCAAGTATATTGATTGAAAACATGATAATAATTCTCTCATTTGTCTCATTCTTTTAATCCATCTGAAAGTTTTCCTCTGCTTGGTTACACAGTGATACATTGTAGTAGACAGAGGAGTCATCAGTAATAAACCACAAACTATCAAAGTGGGGAGAGAGGATTCATGTAAGTTGAGCAGTAAAGGGAAATAAGAACCAGCCTACAGCATAAGGAAGTTGTACCTGGTACAGATTTCAGATACAACCAGTGGTCAGGAAAGGGGATTATCCATGAGAGCAGAGAGAAGAAACAACCTGAGCAGCAGCATGCTGGTGGGAGAGGTCTTGGTGTGTGGGGAAGGGAGTGGTGGGGAGGCCAGTTTACCCATAGCTTGTCAGGGAAGTAATCGCTGAAGTAGGTTTGAGTGGATAGATTTTGAACAGCTTTGATTGATGGGCAATAGGAAGCTGTTGAAAATTGCATTAATAAGAATATGATTTGATAAGATATATATTTTAAGGAGATTATTTTGACAATAGTGATGGATGGATGGATGGATGGATGGAAAGGCTAGATTTAGTGCAGACTGCAAAGAGGTTATTAGAGTAATCCAGATATGACTAAGAGTTAGAATGGGGAGTAGAATTATCTGTCAGAGACCTGCAAAGGATGAATAGGCATAATTTGCTAAGTAACTAGATGTGAGAGGGGCTGTTGTTTATCCAGTATGTCTTGTGTGCACAACTTCACACCCTTGTGAAATAGATATTACTAATCTCATTTTACAGATGAGGATCTAGGCTCAGAGAGTAAGTAACTAATCCAAGACCACACAATAAGTAATGGCAATCCTGGGATTACATTTTAGTCTGTTTGATCCAGAGCTGCACTATATCCCATTATTCTATTCTGACACAAAGGAGATGAGCCACAGGGAGTCTAATCTTTCTAGCTGAGAAGACTGTGATACTCATTCATGCCATTGAATGGAATAGAAGTTGGAAGGCAGAAACCATTTGGAAAGAATAATGATGAATGGTTTTTGAATCATTAAGTTTGAGGTTATAGTGAGCATCCACTTAGAAATAGTCAGTAAATAGGCTGGGCACAGTGGCTCACGCCTATAATCCCAGCACTTCGGGAGACAGTTCGAGACCAGCCTGACCAACATGGTAAAACCCCGTCTGTACTAACAATACAAAAATTAGCTGGGTGTGGTGGTGCACACCTGTAATCTCAGCTACTCGGGAGGCTGAGGCACGAGAATCATTTGAACCCAGGAGGCACGGGTTGCAGTGAGTCGAGATCACACCACTGCACTCAGCCTGGGCGATAGAGTAAGACTCAGTCTCAAAAAAAAAAAAAAATTTGGAGTAAATATTGAAATTGAGTAACCAGATCTTTGGTGAGACAACAGAACTCAGGCAAGCTATTTGATACCTGTCAGCTCAGAGATAATGTCTGATACTGAGAGAATAAGTGAGGGAGAGTCTATAGAGAGAGAGCATTCAGGGCAACAAGCTTTGGAGAATGGCCATGTTTAGAAGGATAGACCAGTTAGCAAAATAAAAAGAGGATTCAAGATAATCAGAAAAAGGATGAGGACAGTAAAATATTATGGAAGCAAAAGAGGAGAGAGTTTCAAGGAGAATGTAAGAAGAAACAGCAGCATTATGAAAAGGAGAGTAGTAGAAAATATCCTGAGTGAACTCTGATAGGTGTATTTCGAATGAGACTTTCAAGAATAAAAGGGAGATAACCTCAATAACAGGAAGAGAGATTCTGTTCCAGGTTTGTATAGCAGCCTAAACAATGATTGGGAAACCTTTCCTTTAGACACACTAAGTCACTGGCAAAATAAAATAAAAATATTTTGAAAAGCTAAAAGCCCTCTTTAAAAAAAAAACATTACAAATATTTTACTCATATATCTTTAAAGTTAAAGACTAAGGGCTGGGTGTGGTGGCTCATGCCTGTAATCTCAGCACTCTGGGAGACCAAGGCGGGTGGATCATTTGAGGCCAGGAGTTTGAGGCCAGCCTGGCCACCATGTCTACTACAAATACAAAAATTGGCCAGGCGTGGCAGTGCGTACTTGTAATCCCAGCTTCTTGGGAGGCTGAGGCATGGGAATCACTTGAACCCAGGAGGCAGAGGTTGCAGTGGGCCAAGATCATGCCACTGCACTCCAGCCTGGGCGACAGAATGACTCCCATCTCCAAAAAAAAAAAAAAAAAAAAAAAAAGAAAAAAAAATCAAAGACTAAGAATAAACCTTTATTCATTGAAATTATAATTTCTAAAAAATTGATTTCTTTCTTTTTTGAGGCAGAGTTTCACTCTGTCACCTAGGCTGGAGTGCAGTGGCGTGATATCAGCTCACTGCAAGCTCCGCCTCCCAGGTTCACACCATTCTCCTGCCTCAGCCTCCTGAGTAGCTGGGACTACAGGCACCCGCCACTACGCCCGGCTAATTTTTTGTATTTTTAGTAGAGACGGGGTTTCACTGTGTTAGCCAGGATGGTCTCCATCTCCTGATCTTGTGATCCACCCACCTCGGCCTCCCAAAGTACTGGGATTACAGGCGTGAGCCACCGCGCCCGGCCTAAAAAATTGATTTCTTTATTAGAAGCAGTTAGGAGAAGAAAAGGGTGTGGATAAAGAAAGGGCAAAAAGCACCTACCTTATAATATATACATGTTAAATTACATATATGTGCACACAAATTTTTTTTTAATGTTTAATTGAAATGGAGAGGAACTCATAGATAAGCACAGAGATTCACATAGCACTAAAAGCTAAAGTTGAAAAGAAACAGTTTCATGTACAAATTCATACATTAAGTGACTTTCAAAGTCATGTCATTTTGTGGCAATAGGTACAGATAGAGACAATATTTAACCATTTCAGAAATAGTTCAAACTAAATGATAACAAGATAGTCTATGGAAGCAGTGGAGGGTAATGGCTCTAGATATGTAGTGTAAGTCTGACACTATTGATCTGTAAACCTGGTATCAAATGAATTGAAATATTTTCCACATTAAAGGGATTCTATGAAATATATTGCATTATCTCCCCAGCCCTCGACTGATGAATGTTTATAATTATGTTTTGTTATTCTCTACTCACGAGTTAATTTGGGGTGGGGTGACTTACGGTAATGTAATTGTGAATTTTATGTGTCCACATGACTCACCTTTCACCACAACTGCGAGAAACATATTTGTCGGGAAGCCCCAGCATCCTTCAAGAGCTCTGTGATCACTCTTCTCTGTAGGTCAGACCATACAGTGGGAACTTTGGTCACTGAATTGGGAAACCTAAATGTAGTAGGAGTAATTCGATCCCAGGGTGGCAGGGGCCAACTGGTGGTACCCCACTGCCAAACACCAAGTAGTAGGCAGAGTTACCATCAGACAGCAGAGTCAAAATAGAAAGCAGAGGCTGGGCGTAGTGGCTTACGCCTGTAATCACAGCACTTTGGGAGACTGAGGCAGGTGGATCACCTGAGGTCAGGAGGTCGAGACCATCTTGGCCAACATGGCAAAACCCCGTTTCTACTAAAAATACAAAAATTAGCTGAGTGTGGTGGTGCGTGGCTGTAACCTCAGTTACTCAGGAGGCTGAGATAGGAGAATCACTTGAACCCGGGAGGTGGAGGTTGCAGTGAGTCAACATCGCACCAGTTTCCAGACTTGAGCCAATTTCCAGACCCACAGTACCTCGAGTGAAGGGGAGTGTGTAGGTCCCCTTGAGGAGACACCCCAGGATACCGCCAGAACTTTCCCCCAGCCTCCGCAAAGGGACTTACAGCCTTTTAATACGGTAACTATGCTTTGGAGAAAAGAAAATAATCAGAACTTTTGAGGACTTCTAGTCACTGTCTGTAAGCCAACACTAATTCTAGGACATTCAAAAATGTCACTGTGATCTACTAGTCAGGATAGGGGCTTGTGTGGAGGTCAGATGATCAATGAGTTTTAGCTCATGCCCATCTCACAGTGGGCCCAATGTGAAAATAACCAATTCTGTGGTTATTTTGTGGTTTTTTCCCCAGTTCCAGAATGCAAAATTGGAGTAGACATACTCAGCAGCTGGTAGAATCCCCACACTGGTTCCCTGACCTATGGAGCAAAGGCTATTATGGTGGGAAAGACCAAGCGGAAGCCACCAGAACTGCCTCTAGGAAAAATAGCAAACTGAAAGCAATACTGCAGTTCTGGAGGGATTGTGGAGATTAGTGCTACCACCAAGGACCTGAAAAATGCAGGAGTGGTGATTCCCGCCACATCCCCATTTAGCTCTCCTATTTCGCCTGTACAGAAGACAGGTGGATCCTGGAGAAATGATGGATTATCGAAAGCTTAACCAGGCAGTGAATCCAATTGCAGCTGCTATACCAGATGTGGTTTCATCAGTTGAGCAAATTAACATAATCCCTGGTACCTGGTATACAGCTGTTGATGTGGCAAATGCCTTTTTCTCCATCCCTGTCAATGAAAGCCAGCAGAAGCAGTTTGCTTTCATCCAGCAAGGCCACAATACACCTTCATTGTCCTCCGTTAGGGTATATCAGCTCTCTAGCCCTTTGTCACAGTTTAGCTCATAGGGAGCTTGACAGCCTTTGTCTTCCACAAGATTTCACACCGATCCAGGAAAGCCAATGGCATAGTTCCAGTTACTACTGATACCTCTCGACAGCTGCATGTCAACACTGTACGAAATGTTCTGCATGTATTTATCTCAGTTATTCCTCACAAAAACCCTTGGAGAGTAGATTGAATTTCAAGGCTGTGTTGTATGCCTGCATATGCCTTGAGGCACTACTCATATACTCTTCAGTGTGAATGTTTCTCCCTTCAGGTGTGCGGTGCTGTAGCCCTAGTTATATACTATTATTATTTACACATAAGGAAACCAAAGCGTGGAACTAACTTGCCTGTGGACAGACAGCTAGGAAGAAGAGAAGCTTGAAATTTGAACTCAGATAGCCTAAGACTGGCTGTTTTAATCTATGCCAAATAAGTCACAGTCTTCTCTTATAATATTCAAGTATTTGCACATGACATGAAGTAAAGGGGATGGAGGGGTAATTTTGAAGTACAGTGTGAGTATGAGATGGGGAATTTAAATTTGTGGCATCACTCTGTTTTAGTTCCTGAATAATCTTTCATAGTATGTCCGTCCTACCACACTGAGTATGAATGTTAAACCATTTGATTTTTCATATCATCTGTGCCCTAAATGCATGTCAGCTTCTTTATTTGGTATGAAGATTATTATCCAGTAATATGTTTTATTGCTGGAGGAAGATCAGCTATGTTGGACTTATTAAGAGACAGTATGCCAGTCTCTCATAAGACACCTTCCTAAGGCATTTTCAAGGGTAATCTAAAACTATACTCAATTTTTGTCTAACATGCTGACTTTAGAAACCAAATGGTTATATCTTCATTAGAAATGCATTAGGAAGATGGCAGCTGCAGTAGCAGCATAGTTTTCAGTCTCTCTGAATCCCCATGCAAAAACACATATAGCAACTAGATATCAAAACCAAAAACCCATGGATAGCATTGACAGCATTCAGTTGCAGGGTATACCCACAAAACCCCAAAACAAACCACCAATTGCCATAGAACCTGCATGGTCTAAGCATCTGTGCAGGAGGAAGAAGGAAGCAATGGGGTGGCATCTGCCGGATCTGAAAACTGGAGAACCCTCTCATAACTCATGGTTATTCTCTGGAATTTGGGAGCCAGTTATGAACATGAGCTGGAGCTGGGAGGAGGTTTACGCTCTCCAATAATGAGTAAAGTGTTCGGGCTGTAGGTAAGGAGATTTAAAGAGGCCAGAGCAGTCTAGCCTGCATGACCTCTCAAAACAGATCCACTAGGGCGCCCTTCCAAAACAGGCCCCCACACTGAGGAAGGACTGCTGGGAGGAGAATCAAAGTTGAGCAGGACAGGGATAAAGAGGGAGGAAGGGAAAAGAAGATCTAATCCAAAGCCAGGGAGAACAGCCAGGAAGTCCCAGAAAGCAGGTTGCTATTTATTTGAACATTACACAAAGCCACAGAAAAGAGAACTCTGTGAAGTTAGAAAAGCCTTCCTGGACTCATTCTAAAATATATGGAAAAGTAATCTCACAGAAAAATAAACCATAGAAAAGTATTAAGGTTAAATTCCATACAAAGTTTTATGAGACACAAGAGAGTAAAGAGTAGAATAAGATCCCTACAGACAATGAAAGCACATTAGAAAGATATGACTACAAAATAGGTCAAAACTATCATCTGCTATTTCAAAATAAGTAATTAAGAGGCTGAGCATGGTGGCTCACACCTATATTCCCCAGCACTTTGGGAGGCCAAAGTGGGAGGATCGCTTGAGCCCAGGAGTTTGAGACCAGCCTGGGTCCCACATGGTGAGATCTTGTCTCTACAAAAAATTTTAAAAATTAGCTGAGCATGGTGGCACACGTCTGTAGTCCCAGCTGCTCCAGTGGCTGAGGTGGGATGGCTTGAGCCCAGGAGGTCAAGGCTGAAGTGAGCCAAGATTGTGACACTGCACTCCAGCCTAGAGGACAGAGTGAGACCATGTCTTCAAAAAAAAAAAGCAATATGAAGTGTCAAAGAATCTGATAAATCAGGATTAGAAATGAAATGACAGACTCAGGAAATAATTAGAAAGCAAAGAAAAATCATTTTAGAAATGAATAAATCAGAAGGAACATATGAGCAGATAAACAGAACATTTAATGCCTTAAGAAAGTAGTAGTTAAAAAGGAAAATTTTTTTGAAATCAAGAAGAAATGAAGAAAGATAATAAAGGAGTGAAGAAAATGACAAATATTGTTGATAGGCAAAAAGATTGATTAGATGATAAAAGTCAGAGCAGATACTATATTTGTTATTTATTGCTGTGTAACAAATTACCCAAAGCTTAGCAATTTTAAAGAACAAACATTTTTTATCTCACAATTTATGAGGGTCAGGAATCAGCTGCTTTTTTGAGTGGCACAGGGTGTCTCATGAGGTTGCAGTTAAGCTGTTGGGTGGGGTTGTTGTCATCTCAACACATGACTGGGGTGTCAGGGCCTGCTTGCAAGCTCACTCATGTAGTTGTAAGCAGATACCAGCTTTTCACCACGAGGGCCTCTCCACAGGGCTATTCCCAACATAGCGACCTGTTTCTCCCAAGTAAGTGATGCAAGATGGAGGCCATGGTTCTTTATAATCTAACCTCGGAAGGTGACATAGTATCACCTCTGTCATACCATATGCTATTGATCATACAGACCAGCTGGGAGGGAACTGTAAGGGTATGAATACCAGCAGGCAGGGATCCTGGGGGGCCACCCTTGAGGCTGCCTGTGACAAATACTAACATCTATATTTCCAGAGAACTCTTCTGAAATAGAAATAAAAGATTTGAAACCATGTGCACATCTGAAAATACCCAGCTAGAACGACCAACACTAAGACATAGGCTAATAAAATGTTTGGACTTACAAAAAAGGGAAAAGACCCATTAGGCACGTAGAAACAAAGACCTTGAGACTTATAAGGCAAGGATTAGATTTCCTTCAGACTTTTCAGTAACAACACTTTGTGCCAGAGAGAGAGTTCACTGAAAGAAAGAAAGTTGAGTTAAGGATTTTATAATAAGCAAAACTGACTTATAAATGTGAAGGGAACAATTTGTTATCATTATGCAAGAATTCAAGAAATACTCTTCCCATGATCCCTTTCTGAGGAATCTACTAGAAAACAAGCTTCAGACAACTGAAATGAGAGATAGCAAAATAAGGAGTAGGGGTGAACATTAAATATGCAGTTACCTGAAGAACTGGGACTAATTGAGGGCTAAGGGGAATAAATTTGTTACATAAGGACTGTATGATCTGACAGTATAGATATAGTACAATCATTTGAAAAATGGGAGGCAAATGGCAAGAGCATATGCAAAAAAGTTTTAATGTTTTTAGTAATTGTATTGGTAGAACTAGTATTAGTATTCTGAGACTGTTAGGTGTGTAGTGTAATATAAAAACAGATAAGTAATTTTGGGATATTTTAATTCTAATGCCCTCTCTTTGAGAACCAAGATTCTTGGTATGGGAAGAAATACAATAAAAGTGTGGTAGAAAAGAGGTTGAAGTTGAATTTAAATTGGAAGTGTCAGTTGTAAAAACTCTGAAAGGTCTGAGATTTTACCCTACTTGCAAGCTAACAAGTTAGCCTGCTGCTGTTTCATGGGTCAGCAGTGAAGGACAGTTTATTACTCAGGGTTATAGCAGTAGCCAGAGTATTAGCATTTTTGTGCCAGTTCCCTGAGCCCAGAGTCCCACAGGGCAACAACTAAGAAGACCAGATGATACCTGCCCACACAGTAGGTTGCATTATAGGAGAAGAGCACTGAACTTAAGGAAATTGAGTCTTTTTTTTTTTTTTTTTTTTTGAGACAGGGTCTCACTCTGTCTCCCAGGCTGGAGGGCAATGGCACCATCACAGCTCGCTGCAGCCTCAACTGGGCTCAAGCCATCTTCTCATGTCAGCCTCCCAAGTAGCTGGGACTACAGACACGTGCCACCACACCTGGCTAATTTTTTTATTTTTATTTTTTTTAATTTTATTTATTTATTTTGAGATGGAGTCTTGCTCTGTCATCCAGGCTGGAGTGCAGTGGCACGATCTTGGCTCACTGCGACCTCCGCCTCTCAGGTTCAAGCGATTCTTCTGCCTCAGCATCCTAAGTAGCTGGGATGACAGGTGCGCGCCACCACGCCCAGCTAATTATTGTATTTTTAGTAGAGACATGGTTTCATCATATTGGTCAGGCTGGTCTCGAACTCCTGACCTTGTGATCTGCCCGCCTCGGCCTCCCAAAGTGCTGGGACTACAGGTGTGAGCCACAGCGCCTGACCATAATTTTTGTATTTTTTGTAGAGATGGAGTTTGACTGTGTTGCCCAGGATGGTCTTGAACTCCTGGGCTCCCGCTGTCTGCCCCCCTCAGCTTTGCACAGTGCCAGGATTACAGGCATGAACCACTGCGCCCAGCCATTTTTTTTAATGCGCAGTAAGCATGCTGCACATTGCTCTAGAAAGAGACACTATCTCTGTCTTCCAAGGCTGTGGAAACTTGTCCTTTGCTCTGGAGGGACACATTATTTCCAAGGCTGTTCACTACACAAACCGCCTTTAAAAGATATTTTAGAGCGAAATAGCCAGCAATGCTTCATTTGTAAGATGTGCAGGAACACAGGAGACCCATGGAAAATTGGGTCTCAACATCATATGAACTCATGAGGTATTTCCTATTTCTGGCCACTGAAAAGGCTTAGAAATTATAACCAAATCCAGTAGTAGTGGACAACCCTAGCCCCCAAATTGTGATTTTCAAATACTATTTTTCTCTTGAACCAGGGCTTTTTGGAGACATGGCTGATTCCAGGTCTAGGGTAAAAAATGTTCAAGATAATCCTGGAATATCTTGTTATGCCATACAAATGGGGCATGTCCCATACAAATGGGGCATGTCAGAAGAATTCAGAAGTCAATTTGAAGAGGCTCTATGGGCCAACGATGGGACTAGTTGAGCTTTAATAATAATTGTGCTTGATTTAAACGTGCTAGATGTGTTTCAATCCTTGAGTTCATAATGATAATTTAAACTTTTAATTGGTCATCTTCAGAGGATTAAAATGAACCAGTTCAGTATATTACAAAAAAAAAACGTTGGTATCTTGGTAGAACTGATAAAAGGGACAGAATCAAACATTTATCTTGCTTTTCCTATGTAATTGTATCACCATGTAATCAAATGGTAGACAAGGGGAAGTGTCTCTTTATTAGTGTATTTTAACTAATAAGTGAGAAAGGAATGATAGAATTAGACTTATCACCATTTTGTAACCCCAGTGATGCATTCAGTGTCAAAGCCTGTCAAGACTGTAAAAAGAGAGACATCCAGACACCGTATACCTCCTGTCGTCTTGCCAAAGGGCTCGAGCTGGTGTCTGATCCAGTGTCTGCATCCAGCTGCCTAATTGCTGCCGATACAGAGGGCAGCAGAACAGGGTGACTTGCACCAAGAATATGCAGTCTGCAAAAACAGACTGTTGGAAATTCTACAGGTCAGCAGCCCAAGTTCTTCACCAGATCATTTGTAGGAAATGAAAGCAATGGATGATGAGCATGTGGACTAATAGACTAAAAAGATACATCAAACATTTTTAAATGGGCAGGACTAAACTGTAGCGCCTAGGGCTACACGTTTAGGTAATGAAGTTATGATAAAGAAAGGAATAAAAGTCAGGATAATGATTACTCATAGGGAAGAGAGAGGATTATGTCTGGAAATGGCATTTGGGAGGGCTTATGAAGTGACTAGCACCGTTCTTTTTCTTGACCTGAGTGGTGGACTCTAAACCACATATTTGATTTGTGTGTTTTTCTGTCTTTCATATATTATTGTATCATAAAAAAGATTTTTAAAAAAACATTAGATAAGAACAAGTGGCCGGGCATGGTGGCTCACGCTTGTAATCCCAGCACTTTGGGACCCCAACGCAGGCAGATCATGAGGTCAGGAGTTCGAGGCCATCCTGGCCAACATAGTGAAACCCCGCCTCTACTAAAAATACAAAAAATTAGCCGGACGTGGTGGTGGGTGCCTGTAATCCTAGCCACTCAAGAGAACGAGGCAGGAGAATCACTTGAACCCAGGAGGCAGAGGTTGTAGCGAGCCGAGATTGCACCACTGCACACCAGCCCCAGTGACAGTGCAAGACTCTGTCTCAACAACAACAAAAAAAGAACAAGCTAGCCTAGGTGTTAAGATTCTTTGTGATACTCTTCCCACTCCATAGATAAGCAAGAGCTGACTTTCAATAAATTCTTGAAAATTTGGGAGGATCTGTAGAGTTATTCAACAGTATGAAATTATTCTCCTATTGAGCATTCTTTTATATATGATACCCTATTAGCCTAAGACTACACAGGGTAGTTCAATACAGAAAACATCCCAGTATTATTTTTTTGTTCTAATAGTAGTTTTCCCTTATTATAAAAATAAAACTTGTTCATTATAGAAAATTTGGAAATAAAAAAAGTATTATTCTATTCCCCAGACATAACGAAATAATATTTTGGTATGTTTCCTATTGTTGCATCACTAGCTCCTATAATTAATTACATTTTGGTATGTTTCCTTTTGTATTTTAATACATTTACATTGGAAAACTGTAGTTTTGTGCATACTTTATGTCCTCTTTTCTTCTTCTTCTTCAGAGGCCCTCGTTCTCCCATGCTTTATGTTCTCATCTTAGGCTCTGTACTCAACATTCAGGCCTTAGATTAAGGACATTTAGGATCCTGATCTGTTTCAAAGGATAATTCATTACTATTTCTGGATTGTTGTTCCCCTAGGTGGACTACATCATGCAGCCGCCCGAATTTCCGGTGACGGTGTCTATAAGCATTTGAAGTATGAGGGTGGGATTCACCGAGTTCAGCGCATCCCCGAGGTGGGCCTGTCCTCAAGGATGCAGCGCATTCACACAGGAACGATGTCGGTTATTGTCCTTCCTCAGCCAGATGAGGTAACCTCAGGAGGAGGCAAGGGAAACTCACTCCATGTCAACGGGTATTGTGCTGGAAGCCTTAGCTTCTAGGAAAATCTGTCCTTTTTTTTTTTTTTGAGACAGAGTCTCGCTCTGTCGCCCAGGTTGGAGTACAGTGGCGCGATCTCTGCTCACTGCAACCTCCACCTCCCTGGTTCAAACAATTCTCCTGCCTCAGCCTGCTGAGTAGCTGCAATTACAGGTACACGCCACCATGCCTGGCTAATTTTTTTGTATTTTTAGTAGAGACAGGTTTTCACCATGTTGGCCAGACTGGTCTCGAACTCCTGACCTCGGGCAGTCCGCCTGTCTCGCCCTTCCAAAGTGGTGGGATTACAGGTGTGAGCCACCGCACCCAGCCGAAATCTGTTCTTTTCATGGCTACAGATTGGACTTTATAGTCTCTAATGGGAAATGTTTAACTCTCCCCTAGGCAAAGTTGCCCCTCTTATCATTGACCAAGATGTTTTGTTTGCTTTTAAATAGAAGTCACTTATTTTCAAAAAAAAGTTCATTTAATGTTGCTGCCTAAATTTTATCTTAAGAAAGAAAATGAATTCCAGAGATAATATTTCAAGGTCAGTTGTATAATATCAGTATGGGGACCATGTATCTATCTTTTTAGTTGAATACAGCCATCTGCTCTATATTTTTCTTTTCCCTAACCTTTTTTTTTTAAACATACAGAAAATTTAAAGGATACCACAATGAAAATTTTATAACCTTCACCTGAGGTCAGTTGTTTACATTTTCTCACATTTGCTTGATTCCTATATATATGTGTATACATTTATTTAAATGAACTATAAAGGATACAGCAGACACCATGAGACCTTACCTTCCAAATCTTTCACATAGATCTCTTAGGGCATTCTCCGATGTAAGCACACTACCATTACCTATGAAAACTAAACATAATTGTATAATATCTAATATCTAGTACATTTAACAGTTTCCCTAATCAGCCCCCAATTTTTTAATAGCTATTTATTTATCTACTTTTGGAGGCAAGGTCTCGCTGTGTTGCTCAGGCTGAACTTGAACTCCTGGGCTCAAGGTGATCCTCCTGCCTTAACCTCCTGAGTAGCTAGGACTACAGGCATGCCACTATACCTGGGTATAGTGATTTTTTTTTTTTATCCAGGATCCTGTCAAGTTTCACACATTACAATTAGTTGCTATGTTTCTTTAAGTTTAGAACAGTCTCCCAACTTTTTTTTTTAGTGATAATGACTTCTTGAAAAGTCTAGACCATTTGTCTTGAAGAATGTCCCACATTCTGGATTCCTCTGACTGTTCCTTGTGGTACTCTTTAACTTGTTCCTTTATCCTCTGTATTATGTTGAAAGTTATATCTACATGTTCCATTCTGTGCAGGTTACACATTTTGAGCGAGAATACTTCATAGGTGCAGTTATAGTCATGTTGCATCTTATCAGAAGACACATAATGCTAGATTGTCTCACTTTTAGTGTACCTTAGTTTTAGTAGTTAGTGAAGATGGTGACCACAGAAATATCTCCATTGTAAAAGTATATTTCTCCCTTTGCAATTACTAAGTAATTTCTAGGGTACATATATCCTGTTCCTAATTACCTTTCATCCATAGTTTTAACATCCATTGGTGATCCTTGCCTGAATCAGTTCTTTACTTTGGAGTTGCAAGATGGTGATTTTCTAATTCCGCCATTCCTTCCACATTTATTAACTGGCATTCTTCTGTAAAGAACTTTCCTCCCTACTACCTTCTCACCTCCTACCCCACACTTGCATTCTTTTTCTAGTATATGATTTCATTATAAACTCATGTATCAAGTTTCACGTATTAACCTCATTATAGACTCATGGATTCATGTTTTAATTCACTTATTTATAGTTACTATTCTTCTTTACCTTCAAATAGTCCCAGATTTGGTCTATAGTAGCCTTTTAGGGTACCTCTTTTGTCCTTTTGAAATGATACCATCATTTGAGTGCATCTATGCTTTCTGACACAGTTAGATTCCCAGGCCCATTTTGTACTATCCTGCCTCAGACTTAGAGTCAGCCTGGTTCATTTTAGTGGGGAATGTATCCAGAAATCAAGATCTAGATAGTAGGTCTGTTCATTATCATTAGTGTCGTTACTTCTAGACTCTTTCAGTGGCTATAGCCAGGAAATACATGTTTTGAAATCAAAGTTTCATATTATTACTACCAATTCAAATTTAACATTACAGAAATTTTTGTCACCCCTCAACTTCTTGCATTTTGTGTTTACATCTCTCCGTTAATATAAAAAATCTTGTTTCATAATCACTTTAATATGTTTATTTGGTTTATTATATACTATATATAAAATAGTTTCAAAATTATAATATCGACATTACTAACAGTAAACTACTGAGTAATGTTTAAGATTTTTCCCCTTAGAATATATTCTACCAAGAATGTATAGTCAGGCTGGGTGTGGTGGCTCACGCCTGTAATCCCAGCACTTTGGGAGGCCAAAGCAGACGGGATCATTTGAGGTCAGGAGTTCAAGACCAGCCTGGCCAACATGGTGAAACCCTGTCTCTACTAAAAATACGAAAAAATTAGCCAGGTGTGGTGGCGCGTGCCTGTAGTCCCAGCTACTCAGGAGGCTGAGGCAGGAGAATTGCTTGAGCCCATGAGGCGGAGGTTGCAGTGAGCTGAGATCATGCCATTGTATTCCAGCCTGGGCGACAGAGTGAGACTCTGTTTCAAAAAAAAAAGAATGCATAGTGTGAGCACTATGCTCAGAGATCATCTGAAATGATTTTTTTCTGTGTGGTTATGTTATTATGATAAATATTTTGGTTCATTTATTTCTGTTTTTATTTCATTTTAGGATTTGATTTTTCTTTTCTCTTTTACTTAATTATATTTTTATATATTAAACATTTACATGGTTAAAAAAGCAAAACCATAGAGTTATCTTGCTTCAATCCTTATTTCTTCTACCCCATTCCCACTTACCCTGTTTTTATTGTCATATTCTTTTTTTTTTTTTTTTTTTTTGAGACAGATTCTCACTCTGTCACCCAGGCTAGAGTGCAGTGGCCCCATCTTGGCTTACTGCAACCTCTGCCTCCCAGGCTCAAGTGATTCTCCCACCTCAACCTTTTGAATAGCTGGGACTACAGGTGTGTGCCACAATGCCTGGCTAATTTTTATATTTTTTGTAGCGACGAGGTTTCGCCATGTTGCTCAGGCTGGTCTTGAACCTCCTGAGCTCAAGTGATCTGCCTGCCTTGGCCACCCGAAGTGCTGAGATTACAGGCGTGAGCCACAGTGCCGGGCCTGTTTTTATATTCTTGAAAATTAAACTCATTCAGTGGCATTTCACTATTCTAAAAGTACAAGGTTATGTTCTCTTAACTGACATTTAAAATGCTTTATCTGCCCTAAGTCACCATTTCTGTATCCAGAGTTCCCCAAAAGTCATTAGATCATTTCTGTAACATTTGGGAGAATGTGACATATGATATCCACACATTTTCTATGTAACTACTTAATATACTATAGCCACATGAAATGGTAAGTCACTCTTATCTCTTCAGTATTTATTGATGTCTTAAGGCAGCCAACTCTAACATATATTAACAAAAGCTGTATAATCATTTTCTTCACTGTGTTGCAGTCATTTGAGAGGAAACATACAAAAGAACAATCAGCTAAACAGTGTATTAGATTCCAGCCTTGACCCAGTTACTAGTTACTTTTCAAAGAGAAAAGTCACATCTGCTTTCTGTCATTCACACTAATAAATGATGAATGTGGAACAAAATGTTAGCTCTCCCCTAAAAAATAGCATATTTGTTGTAGGCCGGGCACAGTGGCTCATGCCTGTAATCCAGCACTTTGGGAGGCCAAGGTGGATGGATCACAAGATCAGGAGTTCGAGACCAGCCTGGCCAACACGGTGAAACTCCATCTCTACTAAAAATACAAAAAGTAGCTGGTAGTGATGGCACACACCTATAATCCCAGCTACCCGGGAGTCTGAGGCAGGAGAATCTCTTGAACCTGGGAGTCAGAGGTTGCAGTGAATTCTGAGGTCACGCCACTGCACTCCAGCCTGAGCAATAAAGCAAGACTCTTGTCTCCAAAAAAAAACCAAAAAAAACAAAAACAAAACAAAACAAAAATATTTGTTAACTGTGTGTGTGTGTGCGTGTGTCTGTGTGTGTGTGTCTGTCTGTCTGTGTCTGTGTATAAGTTTCCAAACTCTTGAACCTGGGAGTCAGAGGTTGCAGTGAATTCTGAGATCACGCCACTGCATTCCAGCCTGGGCAACAAAGCAAGACTCTGTCTCAAAAAAAAAAACAAAAAACAAACAAAATAAAAACATATTCGTTAACTATTTGTGTGTGTGTGTTTCTGTGTGTGTGTGTGTCTGTGTCTGTGTATAAGTTTCCAAAGGCTGCTGTAACAAATTACCACAAACTTAGTGGCTTCAAATAGCAGTAACTTATTATTTCACAGTTCTAGCAGCCAGAAGTCCAAAATCAAGGTGTCAGCAGAGTTGTGCCTCTCTGAAGGCTCTGGGGAGAATCCTCCCTTGCATCTTCCAGCTTCTGGTTGCTCCAGGTGTTCCTCGGCTTGAAACGATAACACTCTTCAAATTCACATGGTCTTCTCCTTTACTGTCTTTAGTTGTTTGTTATAAGGACACTTGTCATTGGATTTAGGGCCTATCCTGATAATCCAGGATAATTTCATCTTAATTACATCTGCAAAGAACCTTTTTCCGAATAAGGTTCCATGAATTAGAATATGAACATATCTTTTTGGGAGCCACCTTTCAATCACTAATAAACACACACATGCACGAATGAAGTTGATTTTCATTATTCCCAGTAGTTATGTTCTGTAAAGTTGCAGCAAACACTAATTTAGTAGATTCTGAACCACTTGGCAGTAATGGTTCAGTATTTGTTAAATCAGTGTTAGGAACAATGGTTCAATATTAGCTAAATCCAGCTGAGCGTGGTGGCACACACCTGTGGTCCCAGCTACTCAGGAGGTTGAGGCAGGAAGATTGCTTAAGTCCAGGAGTTCAAGGTGGCAGTGAGCTATGATTGCACCATTGCACTCCAGCCTGGGGAACAGAGTGAGACCCTGTCTCAAAAAAAAAAAAAAAATTAGCTAAATTCATACACACACACAAACACACACTGAGCTCACATAGATTATAATCTTAAATTCTAAAAATAACCCATCCTGGTAGATTCTCTATACTTTACAAAAGAGAAAACGAGGCTCAGGAGTGTCAGGTGACTTGCCTGATGCTGCTCCACTAAAAGGTGCTAGAGTTCAGATTCAAACCCAGTCCAAATTGGCCCCAGAACCAGAGCACTGCTCTGCTCTGCCCCCTACACCTCCATTCTCTGGTCATCTCTGTAGGAGAGCTGCCACAAGAAGGCAGAGTGTTACCTTGTCCTACTTCAGCTGGCAATGGGCAAATGTGGAGCAACTCATATTTTTCACTGCCCTATGCATGTCTGCAAATGACTGTGGAAGTGCCTCGGGTGTTGATTTGTGGATACAAATAAATTTTAGTGAGTAGGCAAATTTGCAAATAGACATTCTGACAATAATGAGAATCAACAATATATAGTATATATGTGTGTATTTTATATATTTTTGGGGTTTTCTTACATGTAACTTTGGGATGATGAATGATGAAACTTTTGAAAGATTGAAAACTCAGTGATCTCATAACATCCTAAATCAGTGCTTAAAAATGGAATCCCAGGGCCAGGTGTGGTGGCTCATGTCTGTAATCTCAGCATTCAGGAAGTCCAAGGTGGGAGGATCGCTTGAGGCCAGGAGTTCAAGACCAGCCTGGGCAAAATAGCAAGACCCCATCTGTACAAGAAATTTTTAAAATTAACATGGCACGGTAGTGCGCACCAGTAGTCCTAGCTACTCAGCAGGCTGAGGCAGGAGGATCACTTAAGCCCAGGAGTTTGAGGTTACAGTGAGCTATGATTGTGCCACTATACTCCAGCCTAGGCAACAGAGGGAGACCCTGTCTCAAACAAACAAAAAATAGCATCCCATTGGAATGGGGAGTTTATTGCTCTTTCTTTGGTATAAGTTACTTCTCTTAGTCTAAAGGCTATAATTTATCTTAAAACAATACAGTTTATTTGAAAAATCTTGGAATCGATTTTATATTAAAGTATTCACGGAGTGTAGAATTATGCCATGCCTTCTGTTCTAGGTGGATGTGAAATTGGACCCCAAGGATTTGCGAATAGATACATTTCGAGCCAAAGGAGCAGGAGGGCAGCATGTTAATAAAACTGATAGTGCCGTCAGACTTGTCCACATCCCCACAGGTAAGCAAGCCCCTTGGCTTTGTACTTTTAACCCTTTTTCCATCTTACTCAGCATTTGGAAGGAAATAGTCCTATATGAGTGTCTGGTTCCTTGCACAGCTCTTTAAAAATGTCACTGGGGTTGTGGATCAGGATGGCTATTGTGTTCATATTTCCCTTCTGTTTGGAAAGATTCCTTTCTGAAAAGATGCAGACGGTGAGCAGACCTATTCAGGGAAGCTTCCCAGGTATGCTGGATGGGAGTGAGCAAACAGAGGTGCCCCAGCCTAAATACAGATGAAACACAGAAGCAGCCTTGCACAGGCCACCACCGTGGATATTCTGTCACCTTGTAGCATGACAGCTAACTCCATTAGGCTTTGCTGCACTAATGCTTTTATTTTGAATATTGGTAATTTTGGTATACTCTGAGGTAGTTTTGCTGTCCGTAATGTGATTTTAAATATTCCTACCGTTTTTCAAATTAAAATTTTATTTAACTCCTTAATTTTTTTAAATTAATTTTTACATTTCATGTATATGGTTTTAAAAGTCTAATGGCAAAGTCCTATAACAAAAAAACCAACAGCTCTCTGGACTTGTTCCCACCCTCTTCCTACTTCCTCTACTCTCAGTTCCCATTTCCTAAAGACAACCACTTTAAATTCTTTTTACTCACTTCTCTAGCTGCAAAAAACAAACAAATGAACCTCTTTTAGCTATTTCTTCTGGTAATTACCTCAGTATTTCTAAATAATAGGCAAATATTGCTCTTCTGACCAACTATAAAGATTATATATTTACATCTTAATGTGGTAGATGAGAATTTTGCCCTTCTTATATACCTTTTCTTCTTCCAAATATTTATCTTTTGGCAAAATTAATTTTCACTGTGTTCATATAATGAACAGATAGTGTTAGACGCTGAGCCCATTAGTATACAGTCCTGTGATTTCATTTCCTAGAGTTAATAATTACCTCATTGATTTTTCATTTGCCTACTTTTCTTTGACTCTGAGTCTGCTTACATCTTCCAAAAGTTGTGTAAAATGAAGTCACTCCAGTGCTCTCTGGAGACTCCATGACAGAGCACTCCATCATCTTGCTTCAGTGTGGACCAGCTGCTCCCCAGGACATTGCACAGGGGTTGTCCTGGTCATCAGCAGTTGGGGAGTTCCTTTCATCTCTGTTCTGTGTTGGATCCTCCCGTTTCTTGGGTTCTATATCATCTTTTCTCTTTGCTACTCTGTCATTTTAACAAAGCTCATCTTTAAGTGGCTTCCTGAGAAAAGATTTGTGACATGTAAATATTTCAAGGCTTTGTAGATCTGAAAATAGCTTTATTCTAACTTCACACTTCATCGATCATTTCATGGAAATAATTTCCCCTTAGAACATTGAAAGTCTTTTTCATTCCTTGTATTTGTTGCTTTCAGTTTAGAGACTCATGCCTTTCAGCTCTGAAATACTTTCTTCAATACTTTCTTGCATAACATTTTATTTATTCTTCCTGGGATTTCTATTAGTTAGATATTAGACCTCTTGAATTTGTTTTTTCCTCATATTGTCTGTCACTTTGTTTTTTAGTTCTTTTTCCTACCCTTTTTTCTGATTGTAAAAAAATTATTTTTTTAACTTTTGAGAGCTCTTTCTTGTTCTCAGAATTGTTTTCTCATAGCATCCTTTTCTTATTTTGTTGATACTTATTTCTTTTTTTTATTACTGAAGGATATTAATTTTAGTTTCCCTGAAGTTCTCTTCTGCTTTCTGCAGTGTCTCTGTTTCTTCTGAGTTTATTTTTGTTTCATTCTTGCTTTACTTTTCTTTTTTTTCTTTTTGAGACAAGGCCTTGGCCTGTTGCCCAGGCTGGAGTACAGTGGTGTGATCACAGCTCACTGCAGCTGTGACTTTCCCAGGCTCAGGTGACCCTCCCACCTCAGCACCACTCCCCCGTCCCAGCTTCCTGGTAGCTGGAACTATAGGCGCTTGCCACCATGCCTGGCTAATTTTTGCTTTTTTTTTTTTTTTTTTTGGTAGACACCAGGTTTCTCCACATTGCCCAAGCTGGTCTCCAACTCCTCGGCTCAAGTGATCTGCCTGCCTCAGCATCCCAAAGTGTTGGGATAACAGACATGAGCCACTACACTCAGCCCATTCTTACTTTCATGTTGGAAATTTCTAGGAATTCTTGGCTGTCTGTACATATTTAAGAGCCAGATTCTGAAGCTCTGAGTGCACTTATCCACATACCCATTAGTGAGTTCCACTGTGGAGCAGTTAGAGGATTAATCAGCTTTTTTATTAGGGACCCCCAGATGTCTATATCTGTAGACCTTTTCTCTTGTGAGTTTGTTTTCTCCTGAGAAGGATCTTCCAGGATACAGCTGAGAGTAAAGTCAAGGTCTCACCTTTCAATAGCAGTTGTTTACTTAATCCTCTTGTCTTCCCGCCCATACTCCATACTTGCCCTCCCTTATAACTAGTCCCAGGTCTGGAATTTTCCTGATTTAATTATCCAGAAATATACCTCCTGCCTTCTGCAGATTGAGGAAGGAGACTTGAGGATCTATTTGTTATTATAGGCTTTCTGTATTTAGCCCTAGCTCCTCAAGCCTGACTTCTGAAATACCTGGTGTCTCTATTTCTGAGCCTTTCTGGCACTTAGCAGGGCAAAGTGGCCAGTTTCTGGTCAGCATCTCCCTCTACAGGGAATTAAGTCTCACCTTCCTTCCAGCTGCTAAGTCATTTACCATTCTTCCATCCACTTTCTGTCTTTAATAGATCATGTTTGGGGATTATATATATCACCTAGTTTTATTTCAGATGGAGTTTGTGTTTCTGTTCTTTGTTCTTGTTGTAGTGTGATTTAAAAAAAGCGGGGTGGGGGCCAGGTGCAGTGGCTCACGCCTGTAATCCCAGCACTTTGGGAGGCTGATGCAGGCAGATCACCTGAGGGTCAGGAGTTTGAGACTAGCCTGGCCAAAATGGTGAAACCCTGTCTCTACTAAAAATACAAAAAAATTAGCTGGGTGTAGTAGTGTATGCCTGTAGTCCCAGCTACTGGGGAGGCTGAGGCAGGAGAATCAGTTGAACCCAGGAAGCAGAGGTTGCAGTGAGCCGAGATCATGCCATTGCACTTCAGCCTGGGCAACAAGAGCAAAACTCAGTCTCAAAAAAAAAAAAAGGGAAACCATCTTGAAGTCAGACATGATTATGATTGCTTGTATTGTTTGTTGTATGAAAAGTTAAAACAACCTAAATATCCAAAATAGGATAATTTCATACTTTCTCTTGTTTCCTTTATTGATTTTTATTCCATAGGAAACTGTTAAAAAAAAAAAAAAAAAGGCCCGGTGCAGTGGCTCACGCCTGTAATCCCAGCACTTTGGGAGGCCAAGGCAGACAGATCACCTGAGGTCGGGAGTTCAAGACCAGCCTGACCAACATGGAGAAACCCCAGCTCTACTAAAAATACAAAATTAGCTGGGCCTGGTGGCGCATGCATGTAATCCCAGCTCCTCGGGAGGCTGAGGCAGGAGAATTGCTTGAACCTGGGAGGCAGAGGTTGCAGTGAACTGAGATCACGCCATTGCACTCCAGCCTGGGCAACAAGAGTGAAACTCCGTCTCAAAAAAAAAAAAGAAAAGAATATATGCATGAGCAAAAGAACATAAAACATCCGTAATAATAACCCAGTAACCATTGTTGGCATATATCTTTGGTATACATCCTTTCAAATTCTTTTCTGTACATATAAAAATATGCCATTTTTTCCCCAAAAATGAAGTTATACTTTTTTTTTTTTCTTAGATGGAGTCTAGCTCTGTCACTCAGGCTGGCATGCAGTGGCCAGTGAACCTTGGTTCACTGCAACCTCTGCCTCCAGTGTTCAAGCTATTCTCCTGCATCAGCCTCCCAGGTAGCTGGGACTATGGGTGTGCACCACCACACCTGGCTAATTTTTGTATTTTTAGTAGAGACGTAGTTTCACCATGTTGGCCAGGCTGGTCTCGAACTCCTGACCTAGAGTGATCTGCCCACCTCGGCCTCCCAAAGTGCTGGGATTACAGGCATGAGCCACCATGCCCGTCCTGAGGTTATACTTTTTGTAACTTGCCATAATTTATTTCAACAGTCCATAAATTGTTGAATACTTAATGTGTTTCACCTAAACCCTGTATTGTTGGATATCATTCTATATTATACACAGTCCAGAACAGTAATAATTAGCTTAAGATGAATTAAAAATTAAAATGGGTAAAAAATTGGGTAAAAGGTGATCAAAACTCTGACAAACCAGAATACTTTAAAACTTACAAGTTGTAAAACCACCCTATGTAGCCATAAATTGCTGACTTTACAAAAAGTGACTTACAGAGAGTAGAACTGTGGTTATTAGAGACTAGGAAGGGTAAGGGGGAGAGGAGGATAGAGAGAGGTTGGGTAAAGGATACAGAATTACAGCTGGATAGGAGGAATTAGTCCTGGTGTTCTGTAGCACTATAGCATGAATATGGTTAATATAGATTTATTTATTGCATATTTTCAGAAAGCTAGAAGAGAAGATTTTGAATGTTCACAACACAAATAAATGATAAATAAATTTTGAGGTGATGGATGTGCTAATTACCCTGATTTGATCATTCCACATTGTATCGAAATACCACTCTATATCCCATAAATATGTACAATTATTACATGTCAACTAACAATAAAGGGAAAAGAAAGTGACTTATCATTGTGCTGCCAGACTTACCTTGGGCCAATTATTTTTTAGCCACTTAGATCTGAGTCTTTGGTTTCAAAGAGGCCTGAAGGCCTACCCTCAAACCTTCCCTTTAGGCAAGCAAGGCATGTCAAGACCTAACCCTTATGAAGCCATGCAGTTATGACCAAGTGATTTCTTCAGCCTACTTCTTCCATATTTTGAGGATTGCCATGGTTTCAGCATCTGCTTCAAGGAAAACTCAGCCTTTCTTCCATTTCTCCCATTCTTTCTTCCATACTAAGACCTTAGACTAGGAACCGTCCCTGCTAGAATTCAAAGTGAGAACTATATAGCTCATTCTTCTATTTTCTCCATGTCATGGAAGAATCGTATTTTTTTTCTAACCACTGCTTCTAGATAATTTCATTTTCCACCATTGGAAGAGTTATTCATAGGGGTATGGTTAAATGTTTATACAGGGGAATATTACCTTTCTTGGGAAAATTTATCCCAAGATAAGGATGAAGACAAATGAATATTTTGTGCATTAAAGTGGGCTTTTTTTAGTTTATTACCAGTTGGTGAGTAAAAGATGGCCTCTGTAATTCTTTGTTTTTCTTTCTTTCTTTCTTTTGAGACTGGGTCTTGCTCTGTTGTCCAGGCTAGAGTGCAGTGGCATGATCATAGCTCACTGACTGTAACCTCGAACTCTTGGCTCAAGTCATCCTCCTACCTCAGCCCCCTGAGTAGCTGGGACTATAGGTGCAGCTACCACGCTGGCTAGTTTTTGTATTTTTAGTAGAGACGAAATCTTGCTGTGTTGTCCAGGCTGGTCTCAGAACTTCTGGCCTCAAATAATCCACCCGCCTTTGCCTCCCAAAGTGCTGGGGTTGCCGGTGTGAGCCATCGTGCCCAGCCCCCTTCTATTATTCAGTACACCTTCCCTCCCTCTACATCTTCTATTCTTAAGGGAGTACTCATTATTAAATACTCCTCTATAGAAAGTACATTATAATAAAATACATAATAAAGTGATTCCCTTAGGAATTACTGAGCTGGAAAGTAATAGTTTTGATCTAAAAGTTCTAACCTGAGTGAGTAGATAGGAATAATACAGGTGCTTAGGCAAAAATCAGTACAGATCAGCTGACAAGAAGAGGAATGTGGAGGAGAGCTCATGAAAGCCTGGCCGTCTTAAAATGGAAATGTTCATATTCTTTTGGGTAGTACAAAAAGGATACGAGAGTCAAGAAAACTCCAGACAAATACCTGGAAGATGGGGGCCAGCCAGTGCCCCCAGTCCAACCAGATGGCTGCAGTAAAGCAGTCAGGAAGTGATTAAACTAGTAGAGGTGAAACCTCAGTGCCCTACTAAAAGTATTAGCAGGTAGTGACTGTAGCTTATTTAGACAGGGAGAAAACATAGTTCAGAGAATAGAACTTTATAGAAATTCTTTACATCTCCAGCAAAATATTTACCACTGTATCGGTGCAGATAGGCTAAGCTAATGGGGCTTTTGGTTTTTAGTTTCTGTGATTCAGAAAGAAAATCCCTTTCTCCTCTAATGTACTGAGGAGCAGGATTTGACACGGACCTCAGAGTGGTAGCTGCAAAGTTAAGAACAACACAGCCTCAAGAAGTGATCGTTTCAGAGCTGGATTTGGACCAGGAACTGGACTACACAGTGGGCCAAACCCACCCAAATGCAGAAGCTGGCTAGCCAAAACTTGTGTGAGGTTAGATGTATTGATTAGCTGGACCCCAGCTAACTTAGACTACGCAGAACAACTTAGAAATTTAGAACTCAGAAAACTCAGAAACATTCACTATAAATTCTTCTTTTTAAAGACTCTGAGTAGCGTCTTTTCATTGGCTTTTTTCTATAAAGTTTTTTTTTTTTTGGTTTTTGTTGTTGTGTTTGTTTTTGTTTTTAACGGAGTCTCGCTCTGTCACCAGGCATAATCTCGGCTGACTGCAACCTCCGCCTCCCAGGTTCAAGCGATTCTCCTGCCTCAGCCTCCCAAGTAGCTGGGACTACAGGCACATGCCACCACGCCTGGCTAATTTTTTGTATTTTTAGAGATGGGGTTTCACTGTGTTATCCAGTATGGTCGTGATCTCCTGACCTTGTGATCCACCCGCCTTGCCTTCCCAAAATCCTCGGATTACAGGTGTGAGCCACTGCGCCCAGCCATTATAAAGGTATTTTTAAAACCTCAGCTCTGTGTATATTTGTGACTGAAAGGGGAAAAGGCAAGTTCTTCTTGAGTTGGACAGAGAATGGAGCAGCGCAGTATAGGGAGTAGCAGTAGTTTGCTGTTTGTTGAGCTGCAGAAATGCCCGGATGAGCTAGGAGGAAGAGGCCAAGCTCGGGGACTGAAAGGACAGGTAATCATCTGTGGATGCTGCTGCTTTCTGGGTGCTCATACGGAGTTCTCATTTACATATCAGAATCTAAAGAGCCAACTACAGCTATAATCATAACCCAGCTAGTTTCTGAAGTGTGCTAAACCTAAAATGTTTGTATCTTTTGTGATCTTTTCCTGATTAACCTGTCTCATTTAACTGTTCCTTGGTTCTATCTTAATTTGGTGGAAGCTACAGTTTACCTTCTGATCCCTGTTATTTTTCAGGGCTAGTAGTAGAATGCCAACAAGAAAGATCACAGATAAAAAATAAAGAAATAGCCTTTCGTGTGTTGAGAGCTAGACTCTACCAGCAGATTATTGAGAAAGACAAGCGTCAGCAACAAAGTGCTAGAAAACTGCAGGTAAGATTTACTTGGTATAATAATTTAGTGACTGTTTAAAGAAAAGTCATTTTCTGTAGAGAATGCAGTGTTTGTTCTTGCTTAAATGGGAATGTTTTAGAGCATAGAGAAATGTGCTCCTTTGTAAATAAGCAGTAACTCAGTACAAATGAACTGATGGGTTATGGCTAAACTTGGGCATACCAGTTTGCAAGTTAGTAAATGTAAGATGTATAAACTAAAAATTATTTCCTAGTTGTTTCCCTCTTGTGTTTATATCATTACTGTCTTAAGAAGAAAACGGTTTAAAAGACAAATAATTCTTTGAGAATTAAGAACGTTTTTTATTTCTAAAAATTAAAACCTATGCTTGTACTATAACTCTATGTGAGATCAAATACAAATGGCACTGCAAAAAACTGGGAACAGTGAATACTACTGATGGAGACTAGGGACAAGGGGTAGAAAGGAAATTTATTTTTCATTATGTACCATTTGGTACTTTTTGAATTTTGTACAATATATATGATATAGTGTTACTTTTTCAAATAGATAAATAGATGAATTCTAAGCAAAATGAATAAATGTCATTATTTTAAGTAAACCTAATATATAATTTAAATTCTTTTTTTTTTTTTTTTTTTAATGACAGAGTCTCGCTCTGTCACCAGGCTGGAGTGCAGTGGCGTAATCTTGGCTCACTGCAGCCTCTACCTCCCTGGTTCAAGCGATTCTCCTGCCTCAGCCTCCTGAGTAGCTGGGATTACAGGCACGTGCCACTACACCTGGCTATGCTACAGTAATTTAAATTTGGAAGATTTTGTGGCCTTTTAGGATAATGAATTGTCTAAACCTAAGCATTAGTTATACTTTTCATCTAGATGTATCCTAGCTTTTTCACACTTTCACGTTTCTAGCTTTCTTTACCTACACGCTAACTTGCAGGTAATAAAAGTGACAGGATAAATAATATTAACACTATTAGTGGTAATCCCAGATTGTAGTGCATCATCAGTGTATACACTTGCAGATAGGAATGCTCATTTACAAACCATAACTTATTTTTGCTTTTAACAAGCAAACAATATACCCTGGGTACACACCATCACTTCTTGGCAAATAAGTGATAACCACAGACACTATGAACTCTGCCACATTTGAATTTTAAAAAGACATTTGGATTTACTTGCCGTTTAACATTTTGGCACCAGGCGTTGCACAAAGTTTTTTTTTTTTTTTTTTTGAGACAGATTCTCTCTGTCACCCAGGCTAGAGTGCAGTGGCACGATCTTGGCTCACTGCAACCTCTGCCTCCCGGGTTCAAGCGATTCTTGTGCCTCAGCTTCCCGAGTGGCTGGGATTACAGACATGCACCACCATGCCTGGCTCATTTTTGTATTTTTTACAGAGATGGGTTTTTGTCATGTTGGCCAGGCTGGTGTCGAACTCCTGGCCTCATGTGATCTGCCCGCCTGAGCCTCCTAAAGTGCTGGGATTACAGGTGTGAGCCACTGCACCCAGCCCACAAAGTAATTTTTAAAATAGGTATTCAAGATTGGCTTTATGCAAATTGTTCATGTGTCTTCTTCAGTAGTCTGATTGACAAGCCAAAAAAGACGTCACTGCCTCTTGAATAACTTATCCACCTACCTGAAATGTTTTAATAGGGATTTCTAAGGCTTAGAAGTTTTTTTCTTCAACCAAGATATACACTTGGCTTTTATACAGAAGGCATTATGCCACATTCCCAATCCTGGTTCCACTGATCACCTAACAAGCTTTCGTAGATGCCCAGGCCCCACCCCAGAGATTCTGATGTAACTGATCTGGAGTGAGGTCCTGGCCATTAATATGGTGCTTTGGGACAGTGGTTTCCAAACTTGGCTGATTGTCAGAAGAGATGATCTGGGATGTTCTCAAAATACATAATTCTGATCCATTATATCTGAGGTTGGGCTTAGGAATCCATAATTTAAAAAAATTCTTCTAATGGTCAGGAGTTTAGTTTCATATCACTTGCCTTAGGGTTTAAGACAATAAGTTATAGAAATATCTTATTTTAAAAAGTGACAGCAATTGACACAGGGTGCTGTGTATATCGGGTGTTGGGGAGGTGGAGGAGATGAGCAGACTAAGAAGAATGCAAATAACTGTAGCATGAGACAAACTGTGGTGTGCCATGAAGAACATTCCAAGTACAGTGGATTTCAGGGAAGAAGAGAATGTATTTCAATTGCTGGGGCCAGAAAGGCAGAAATGGTAGGAGAGTATTAGAGAAGGGCATCCCTTGAGATGATGTTTTATAGCAGAGATAACCGACACACACATAATAATGACATAGTATTATTAGTGGCATTATGGAGATTAACGTAATTTTCAGAAATAACACTGGGAAGATTGGCCACGTTACAAAGTACCTTGAATGCTGAGTTGAGTTGTGTCTGCTCAGTAGACAAGAAGGAACCAAAGAAAATTTATCAGAAAACTGTACTGTAGGAAGAGTAAGCAGGGCAGCACAATGTGAGCAAAAAAATTGGAGATTAATCAGGAGATTTTTGCAGAATTGTAGGTGAAAGTAATGAGTCCATGAGTGAGAGGAGAAATGGAAAGGGCAGGATATAATAAGAGACCCATGAAACCAATTGGAAATGGGCAGTTGGAGAATGGGATGAACTGAAGATGGTCTCTCCCGCCGTGTGCATCTTTGTCAAAGCCTGGCATAGTAAACTCAGACCCACAAAATGTTTGATAAATTGCAGAATGTCAGAATTTTCTACTTGGATAAAAGAGAATACATGGTACTGTCATTTATAGAAACCAGGAGGGGGAACTGATTGGAGTGGAAAGATGATTAATTTGATTTTAAGGATTTGGAGTTTGAAATATCAAAGAAACATTCCTTCTTATTCTATAACCGAGCTCTACAAACCTGTAGTATTAAACATTAAGTTCTGCCCATTCTTTTTCTTTGTCATTTTGTATATATGTCTTTTAGAAAGTATCTAAATTGTTGAAATGGTCATTTGCCAAGTGCTTTTTCCATTGTAATGAAGACATTTATAAAGGTAAAATATAAATTGCTTTTTGTTATGGCACAGGTGGGAACAAGAGCCCAGTCAGAGCGAATTCGGACATATAATTTCACCCAGGATAGAGTCAGTGACCACAGGATAGCATATGAAGTTCGTGATATTAAGGTAATACTACTGAGTATGCTTTGCCTACCTTTGATTTCAGAAGAAAATATAGTCAAATTCTAGAACATATATGTAGATATTACCAAGTATATCTAAAATATTACCAAGTAATTTAAATCATTAAGCCACCCTAAAATTTACAAACACTTTTATTAGTTTGCTGGTTAAAAAAATAATGATCTTTATGCCATTTTGAAACAATGGTCTTTTCTAAATTCCAAATTCTTCGTTATGCAATCACAATGCATGAACGTATATTCAGTCTGCATATATACATGGGTATTGGTTTTCTATTGACAGGTAACAAATTACCACGAATATAGCAACTTAAAGCAGTACCCATGATTAAAGTATTATCTCATGATTTCTGTAGGTCAGAAATCTAGGGACAACTGAGCTTAGTTATCTTCTCAGGATCTCACAAGGCTGAAATCAAGGCATGGCCAGGCTCCATACTCTTCTGGAGCTTGGGGTCCTCTTCCAAGTTTATGTGGTTGCCAGCAGAATGCCATTGCCTTCGATTGTAGGACTGAAGCCCCCATTCCCTTGCTGACAGTCAGCTGGAGGCTGCTTTTCAGCGCGTAAATACTGTTGGAAGTTGTTTCCCAGTGGCTACCTCCAGAGACTCTCTCCCACTTTGAATCTCTTCTTGCAGGAATGACTCGGGCCTTTTTAAGGGCTCACCTGTTTAGGTCAAGCTCACCTGGATAATGTTCCTTTTGATTAACTCAAAGTCAGCTGCTTAGTCACCTAGGCACTAGAATGATACTCCATCATTTTCACAGGTCCTGTCTGCACTGAGAGGGAGTTATTCACAGTGTGTACACCAGGGGGCATCTTAGAATTCTCCCTACCACAATGTGTCTTCATTAGATTGAGGTGTTACAGTTAGGCTGTTGGGGAAAAGACTCGGTCAAGATTGTTTGAACATTAACCTATCTAAATCGCATCCAGCAAAGACCACTGACATAAATATATAAATATATTAATGATGAAGCACAGAAAAATGTCTTTTTTGTTGCCACTGAAGGAGAAAGTGAACTGGTCCCATAAAGGACTATGTGGAAAAGGCAGCAGACAGAAATCTTTGATGTTTTTCCTTGGTGCCATGTGATACCTAAGGCTTCTTTCACTTGACTCTGTCCCATCCTATTCTCAAAATTAAAGTCCTAGTTTTACAAGGGAAATATACCTTGTAAAAAAGTCCTAGTTATACAAGGTTAATATGTTTGTCAATTTCTGTATGTCTTATGCCACATCCTCTGTCTCCTCAGCAGGATAAGGCTATCTTGCTTAGGAACATAGCCATGTTGAAAAGGAGGAAAATATTTGCTAATTTCCCTTTCCTCCGGAAACACACAGTATTAACGAAACGTGTTTGGCCATATTGTTCTAATTACACTATGTTCTTTCAGTTGTTTTTCTAGTAGTGACAATTTTTTCGGAGACAGCCACATTCTTATGACCAGTAATATCTTTTAGATGGGACCATAGGTGCATAGTATAGTATTCGGTTGTGAAACAAAGGGAAGGTAACTAACTGGCTTCTGTAGTTATAAAATATCTGACTTTGGCCTAAATAATAATATATCACTAACCAAACTAGCATGCCAGACTCAGAAGTAATAAGGAAAATAACACTGGTAAGCTCTAATAATCACTAACTAGTCTACTGGAAGAAGACATTCCATAGTAGTGAAAGGAACAAAGTTTGAAAACAGCATGAAAAAAGGTAGCTGTAGTAAAACATTAAAATCTGTGTGAAGGACAGTAAAGAGACTAGTAAGAGTGAATAATTGGCTGGGCACGGTGGCTCACGCCTGTAATCCCCGCACTTTGGGAGGCCGAGGTGGGCAGATCACGAGGTCAGGAATCGAGACCATCCTGGCTAACACGGTGAAACCCCATCTCTACTAAAAATACAAAAAAAAATTAGCCGGGCATGGTGGTGGGCACCTGTAGTCCCAGCTACTGGGGAGGTTGAGGCAGGAGAATGGCATGAACCCGGGAGGTGGAACTTGTAGTGAGCCAAGATCGCACCACCGCACTCCAGCCTGGGCGACAGAGCAAGACTCTGTCTCAGAAAAAAAAAAAAAAAAGAGTGAATAACTTAGGAACCAAATCATAGATGAAGCTGGAAAAGTGATAAGGATCTTAACCCCAGGGCAACAGCTGTTGGACAAATGGAAGGGGTAGATAGGAAAGAATGTGAGCGTTTTTGGAACTTTTTGCCTAGCTTTCCTCCCTTATTCTAGAACTTGCCCTTCGTACCACATCCACAGTTTCTGACAGAGCTGCTGCATTCTTACATGATCGTGATCCTGACCCAGGACAAAAGTGGATTTGTTTGGAGTGGACACCCAAATAAGTCCTAGCCAGTGAGTTTCTTCCCAGGATTTTAAGATCAGAGATGGAGAGGATTATTCTCTCTCTTGGTGGCTGAAACTGCAATATATAAAGCATGTAAGAGGTTAGAGGCCACATTTTCAGCCACCAAGAGAAAGCATCTTCAGTGAGAAGAGAATGAAATTGATACACAGAGAAAAGCAAAAATGAGAAATAGACAGAAAGAACCCTGATGATATGAGTCCCTACATTTATTTATTCCCAAGGCTCAGTCTCATTCCACGGGTGGTAGTCGTGACCCTGCACATTCCACATTCCTATCCTTGGATTCTGTGAGATCACCTGGTATTCTCATTATGACTTCTTCTGTTAGGTAACTTTCTTACTTTTATTTATCGAGCTAATAAGCACAGACTACCATATAATGTATTGTTTCACATTTTTATTGTTTCTCAATGTCCTTGTGCAGATTTCTTGACATCAGCCTTATCTCCTGCTCTATATTCCAGTTACACTGGAAATTTCCCCTGGCCTTAGAGATTTAAATGTACTTTGTTTTCCTGTTTTTTTTTTTTTTTTTTTTTTCCGAGACAGATTCTCACTCTGTTGCCCAGACTGGAGTGCAGTGGTGGAATCTCTGCAGCCTCTGCTTCCTGGGTTCAAGTGATTCTCCTGCCTCAGCCTCCTGAGTAGCTGGGATTACAGGTGTGTACCACCATGCCTGGCTAATTTTTCTGTGTTTTTAATAGAGAAGGAGTTTCACCATGTTGGCCAGGCTAGTCTCGAACTCCTGGCCTCAAGTGATCCACCCACCTTGGCCTCCCAAAGTGCTGGGTTTATAGCCTGAGCCACCGCGCCCCCAGCAGTTTTCCTGTCCTAATACTCATTCTTTTTTTTTTTTTTTTTTTTTTGAGACAGAGGTTTGCTCTTGTTGCCCAGGCTGGAGTGCAATGGTGTGATCTCAGCTCGCTACAACCTCCACCTGCTGGGTTCAAGCGATTCTCCTGCCTCAGCCTCTGGAATAGCTGGGATTACAGGCATGCACCACCATGCCCAGCTAATTTTGTATTTTTAGTAGAAACGGGGTTTCCCCATGTTGGTCAGGCTGTTCTTGAATTCCCGACCTCAAGTGATCTGCCTGTCTTGGCCTCCCAAAGTGCTGAGATTAGAGGCGTGAGCCACCACACCCAGCCTCTAATACTCCTTCTTTTGATGGAAATGCCCAGCTCATTTCTATTCGGGAAAATACTATTCTCTTTGTAAAACCAAATTCAAAACTTTCTGGCTTCCTGAATCTTTCCCTGATGCCACCTTTCTTCAAAATTCATGGTTCCTTACAATCCTTCCTTTCTTCTCCTTCATTTTTTAATTTATTATATTGTTTTGTGATGCTTATGTATTTGTCTAGCTGTTCTACTTAGACTGTTAGCCTCTGAAAGTTAGGAACTATGACTCATTCATCTTTGACCTTTGTATCTCCTGCACTCTGGTTAATCCAGTTGAATCTAATGTGTTTGACTCCCAGTAGAGGGATAATCCTTTTACATCAATTCCAAAGATGATTACCTTGGCAATACTATAATAATTTGAGTACCAGGTACATTTTTTTTTTTTTTTTTGAGACAGAGTCTTGCTCTGTTGCCCAGGCTGGAGTGCAGCGGCGCAATCTCGGCTCACTGCAACCTCTGCCTCCCGGGTTCAAGCAATTCTCCAGCCTCAGCCTCCTGAGTAGCTGGGACTACAGGCACACACCACCACGCCTGGCTAATTTTTGTATTTTTAGTAGAGACGGGGTTTCACCATGTTGGCCAGGCTGGTCTCAATCTCCTGACCTCAGGTGATCTGCCCGCGTCAGCCTTGCGAAATGCTGGGATTACAGGCATGAGCCACTGCTCCTGGCCTAGTCACACTGATTTTAAAAGCAATTTCATATTTTGCTCAAAGTGATATAAACCTTAATTTTAAAGTTATATCATAGTGTTTTTGCTTTCTGTTTAATTTCAGAGTTTGAGGTTTTACTATATGCTGGTACTTTGGGGAATACAGAAATAGTAAGATATATCCTTTACCTTAATTTGAGAGATGTGTGTGTACACTTCCTAAAGTTCAACTTTAAGACCATTCAAGAAAGACTTAACTATAAGATTAGTTCATAACTATATCAAAACTAAATGTTTTGTGTTCCAGATGCCAACATTAAAGTATTTTCATTAAGCCAGTGTCTAAATTTCAAGCATTTCTAAAATGGCAATGTACAAATTCATTAATCCCAACAACTTTACTACACAGAATTTCTGTTATACAGGAAAAGTTCTTGAAGTCATTAATTTAGTCATTTTTCAGAGAACTGTAGACGAGACTTCAGGGAAGTCAACTCAAAACAGTTTTCACCCAGTGGAGTTATTTAGTGGTAAACATGAAAATTTTTTTTCTCAACTTTTTATTTCAAACTTTTTCAAGTTTACATAATGTTTAAAGATTGGGTCAGCTGGGCACAGTGGCTCACACCTGTAATCCCAGCACTTTGAGAGGCAGAGGTGGGAGGATCGCTTGAGCTCAGGAGACCATCCTGGGCAGCATGGCAAAATCCTATCTCTACAAAAAAAAAAAAAAAAAAAAAAAAAAAAATTAGCTGGGTGTGTAGCATGTGCCTGTAGTCCCAGCTACTCGGGAAGCTAAGGTGGGAGGATTGCTTGAGCCCAGGAGGCAGAGGTTGCAGTGAGCCGAGATCACACCACTATACTCCAGCCTGGGCGACAGAGCAAGAGCCAGTCTCAAAAAAAAAGATTAGTCAATCAGCACAATATAGACTATACCTAGATTCAACAGTTGTTAATATTTTACTGTATTTTCCTTCTCTTTCCCCCCACCATTTCCTCTGTCTCTCTATAAACCTGTGTTGCTCTTGAACCATTTGAAAGCAAATTGCAGACCTCAAAGACACTTCACCCCTAAATATTTCAACAAAAATATTTTTCAGTTACACAGGACTTCTAGATCATCATGTTTTCGGTTTAAAAATAAAAAACTATCATAAACCACTTACAGATGAAATAATCTAAACTTTGAGGATTAGCAGAAGGGTGAGCTTGAATGGTCGGGGGAGGCTTCCTCTCAGTCAGATCCAGAGGAGTTGGCAAGGAGCAGTATGTGCATTAATGCACAAAATGCTTGTGGAACAAATTGCTTGTGGAATTGAGACCTTTCAGTCTTTTTCCTCTGGGAAATAACATAATGTGAGTGAAAAGGGTAGAATTTTCAGGACAAGAATAAAAGCATTTTTTTTTTAGGGTACAATAAGAGAAAATCCAGCAAACCCGTTCTCCTAAAGATGGTTTGAGAGCCTAGAATGGTGTTGTCATAAAAGCCAATCAGTGGAATTTTAAAGGGAGGGAGGTGGTCAGTTTCAAAAGTCCATCTAGATCTCTTTGTTTTGTTGTCTCTGGAGTTGTTAGGAAAATCCAAATCTCAGAAGATTTATTTTAAAATAAAATGCTAACTGAATTCTTCTACAGAGTGGGGATCTTCCCAAGTTAGCGATTGTGTTCATTGTATTACAGAACATTAGTAATCCTTTATTGTTATTAAATAATGACTGCAAAGAAATTAAATAAATAAACACTAAAGTCTTTGCTTATATTTCTAATCATTAGGTTTCATAATAGCTCTCTCTTTTACCAGGAATTTTTATGTGGTGGGAAGGGCCTGGATCAGCTAATTCAGAGACTGCTTCAATCAGCAGATGAAGAAGCCATTGCTGAACTTTTGGATGAACACCTTAAATCAGCAAAATAAATACTAACTTATTATTATTTATGATTATATAAATGAAATGGACCTATATCAAGAGGCAGACTGAAGCTTGGAAATCATTATGAATATTTGTAAATTACAGCTTTAAGAACACATTACACATAAATATATGTTTTGTAATTAATCGAAGTCACATTTCCTGACCTAAGAATTTATTTTAGGTTTCCTGTAAAGTACAATCCAACTCATCAAGTAGAAAATAAGCATGCATCATTGAAAAGAGAAAGTATTGAGAATTGATTGTGTCATTTAGGACAAGTCACTTGTTCTCTTTATATGCCTTTTTTCCCCAGCCATCTATGAATTAATTTAAATATATTTTTAATCTACTACTTCAGGAAAATATGGTAAAATTTAGTAAAATATGAATTTTAGACTTCCTTATAAACCTTTTATTTAAATACAAAGTACCTTGGCCTATAGTGGATGCTTATGCCTGTAATCCCAGTGCTTTGAAGGGCCAAAGGGGGAAGATCTCTTGAGGTAAGAATTTGAGACCAGCCTGGGCAAAATAGACCCCATGTCTACAAAAAAACTCAAAACATAAAGAAAAACCATAATACTGTTAATCATGTTAAAGTTAAGACTTAGACTGCAACTTTTAAATAAAAATTATGAAGAATATGAGTCATTCAATAACAATGAGCATCTGGGTACAGACAGTAAAGCCCTTTGATTGCTGTATGAATTCCACACTATATAAACAATAAGCTGATATTTTAAATAGACTCTTTGTTTGACTTCTATTTCTTTTTTTTTTTTTTTTTTTTTTACTCCTGGCAAGCTGGAGTAAAAAAGTTATTGTTTGCTGGCTTAACTTAATGAGCATCAATAGATGTGTAATATGAGTAATACACTGAGATCAGTTTTGTGCAGCATTATATAAAACCCAGTCCTTACCTTAAAGAGCTTGCAGTTGACTGAAGGATTTAAACATGTAAATCACCAAGTAATACAGAGTGGCATGATGTATTTAGTAATTGTTCCGAAGACGTTTCAAGTTAAAAAGAGAGGAATGGCTGGGCACAATGGCTCATGCCTGTAATCCCAGCACTTTGGGAGGCCGAGGCGGGCAGATCACTGAGGTCAGGAGTTCAAGACCAGCCTGGTCAACATGGTGAAGCCCCATCTCTACGAAAATACAAAAACTAGCCGGGCATGATGGTGGATGCCTGCAATCCCAGCTACTCAGGAGGCTGAAGCAGGAGAATCGCTTGAACCCAGGAGGCGGAGGTTACAGTGAGCTGAAATCGCGCCACTGCCCTCCAGCCTGGGTGACAGACCAAGACTCCATCTCAAAAAATTAAAAAAAAAAAAAAAAAAAGAAAGGATTATTATTTTAGTTACTCCTCAGAGAAGAGTTTATGTGCCAAGAAAGACTAGTTAAGAGTTTTAAGGCCAATGGAATTGTTTGTATGTAAACATTAAAGAGGAATGTTTTCCCTAATTTTTATTTTGAAAATATTCAAGCATAATGAAAAAGTCTAAAATAAATTATTTATTTATTTATTTTTGAGATAGAGTCTCGCTCTGTCACCCAGGCTGGAGGGCAGTGGCGTGATCTCGGCTCACTGCAACCTCTGCCTCCTGGGTTTAAGAAATTCTCTGCCTCAGCCTCCCAAATAGCTGGGATTACAGGTGTGTGCCACCACGCCCAGTTAATTTTCTTGTATTTTTAGTAGAGATGAGGTTTCACCATCTTGGCCAGGCTGGTCTTGAACTCTTGACCTCATGATCCACCCACCTCAGCCTCCCAAAGTGCTGGGATTACAGGTGTGAGCCACTGCGCCCAGCCAAATTATTTTTTTAGAGACAAGGTGTCACTCTTGCCCAGGCTGGAGTGCAGTGGCATGATCATAGCTCACTGTAACCTTGAACTCCTGAGCTCAAGCAATCCTCCCACCTTAGCCTCCCAAGTAGCTGGGACTACAGGCATGCATCACCATACCCAGATAATTTTTTTATTGTTGTAGAGATGGGGTCTTGCTATGTTACGCAGGCTGGTCTTGAACTCCTGGCCTTAAGTGATCATCCTGCCTCAGCCTTTCAAAGTGCTGGGATTACACATGTGAGCCTTTGTGCCCAGCCACAATAATTTTTAAGAAATAGTTCAATCAGGAGAGGTCTGAGCAAGATGGCTGAATGTAGAAACCTTTACCAATTGTCCCCCAATGCAGCAACACTGATTTAACAACTATTTACACATACAAAAAGCACCTTCATGAGAACCAAAAATCAGGTTAGCAATCACAGTACCTGATTTTAACTTCATATCACTGCAAGAAGGTAGGAAAGATAGTTTTGAATTGGTAACGCTGCTCCTTCCCCGTTCCCCTAGCAGCAGCAGGTGCTGTGCCCTTGAGAGAGGGAAAGCACAGCAATTTTGGGACCCTGTGTTGAACTCAGTGCTGCCTGGTCACAGCAGAAAGCAAAACTGAGTTAAACTCAGCAGATGCCCATCCACAGAGGGAGCATCTAGACCAGCCCTAGCCAGAGGGGAATTGCCCATCCCAGCGGTCAGAACCTGAGTTTCAGCAAGCCTCAACACTGTGGGCTAAAGTGTTCTAAGGTCCTAAATAAACTTGAAAGGCAGTCTAGGCCACAAGGACTGTAGTTGCTAGGTAAATCCTTGTTCTGTGCTGAGTGCAGAGCCAGTGGACATGGGACACCAGTTGGGTGGCTAAGGAAGGGCTTGTGCCACCCCTCCCCCAACCCCAGGCAGTGCAGCTCACAGCAATAAAAGTGACTCCCTTCTGCTTGAGGAGAGGAGAGGGAAGAGTAAGGACTTTGTCTTGCATCTTGGATACCAGCTCAACCACAATAGGACAGGGCACCTGACAGAATTGTGAGGCCCCCATCCTAGGCCCTAGCTCCCAGACAACATTTCTAGACACACCCTGGGCCAGAAGGGAACCCTCTGCCTTGAAGGGAAGTACTCAGTCTTGCAGGTTTCATCACCTGCTGACTAAAGAGCCCATGGGCCCTGAGTAACCAACAGCGATGCACAGGCAGTATGCTGTGGACCTTGAGTGAGACTCGGACATGCCAGCCTCAGGTATCAGCTTGGCCATGGTGTAGAGCACCAACGGGCTCTTGGGGTCCCCAGGTCCAGGCTCTTGGATAGCATTTCTGGACCTGCACTGTGCCAGAGGGGATTTCACTACCCTGAGGGGTGAGTTCCAGGCCTGGCAACATTTGTCACAGCTGACTGAAGAGCCCTTGGGCCTTAAGTGAACACTAGTGGTGGTCTGACAGAATTCGCCATGGGTCAGTGGTGGCAGAGGCCATAGGGAGAGGCCCCTCTGCTTGTGGAAAGGGGAGGGAAGAGTGTGAAGGATTTTGTCTTGTGGTTTGGGTGCCAGCCTAGTCACAGTAGAATAAGACACAAGGTAGACTTCTTGTAAGGTTTTTACTGCAATCCCTGGCTCCCAGACAGCATCTCTGGACCTGCCTGGGGCCTGGGAGAACTCACCATCCTGAAGAGACGGACACAAGCTTGGCTGGCTTCACCACCTGCTTATTGTAGAGCCTTACGGCCTGTGCAAACATAGGCAGTAGCCAGGTGGTGGTTACAATGGGCTTTGGGCAAGACCCAGTACTATGCTGGTTTCAGGTCTGCCTCAGGGCAATTACACTGGTGGTGGCCACATGGGTGTTTGCATCACCTCACCCCCAGTTCCAGGCGGCTCAGCACAGAGAGACTCTGTTTGGGAGAAAATAAGGAAGAAAACAAGAGTTTCTGCCTGGTAATCCAGAGAATTCTTCATAATCTTATCCAAGACCACCAAGGTGGGACTTCTATGAGTCTGCAAGAACCATAGCATTACTGAGCTTGGGGCCCTAGTCCCTCTGTATACCAGGAAAGCCTTCTCAAGAAGGGCAGGCACAGATTGCAAAGCCCAGATTGCAAAGACTATAATAAATTCCTAACTCTTTATTGCCCAGACAAACATCTACAAGCATCAGCACCAGCCAGGAAAACATGATCTCACCAAATGAACTAAATAAGGCACCAAGGACCAATCCCAAAGAAAAAGAGATGTGACCTTTGAGACAGAGAATTCAAAATAGCTGTTTTGAGGAAACTCAAAGAAATTTGAGATGACACAGAGAAGGATTTCAGAATTCCATGAGGTAAACTTAACAAAGAGATTGAAATAATTAAAAAGAATCAAGCAGAAATTCTAGAGTCAAAAATGCAACTGACATACTGAAGAATGCATCAGAGTCCAGTCCCTTAATAGCAGAATTGAACAAACAGACGAATTAGTGAGATTGATAACAGTCTATTTGAAAATACACAGAGGAGGCAGGGCACTGTAGCCCATGCCTGTAATCCCAGCACTTTGGGAGGCCGAGGTGGGTGGGTCACATGCAGTCAGGAGTTCAAGACCAGACTGACCAACTTAGTGAAACCCTGTCTCTCCTAAAAATACAAAAATTAGCTGAGTGTAGTGGCGCATGCCTGTAATCCCAGCTACTTGGGAGGCTGAGGCAGGAGAATCACTTGAACCCGGAAGGCGGAGTTTGCAGTGAGCCAAGATCACACCACTGCACTCCAGCCTGGGCAACAAGAGCGAAACTCTGTCACACACACACACACATACACACACAATACACAGAGGAGAGGAAAAAAGAATCAGAAAGAGTGAAGCACAACTACAAGATCCAGAAAATAGCCTGAAAATGGCAAATCTAAGAGTGGCCTTAAGGAGGAGGTAGAGAAAGAGATGGAGGTACAAAGTTTCTTGAAAGCGAAAATATCACAGAACTTCCCAAACCTAGAGGAAGATACTGATATTCAATACAAAAAGGCTATAGAACACCACGCCAATCTAACCCAAAGATGACTACCTCAAAGCATTTAATAACCAAACTTCCAAAGCTCAAAGATAAAGAAAGGATCTTAAAAGCAGCAAGAGAAAAGAAACAACATACAGTGGAGCTCCAGTATGTCTGGCAGCAAACTTTTCAGTGGAAACTTTACAGACCAGAGAGAGAGTGGCATGACATATATAAAGTGCTGAAGGAAAAAACTTTTATTCTAGAATAGTATATCCAGCAAAAATATCCTTCAAGCATGAAGGAAAAATAAAGACAGAAAAACAAAAGCCAAGAGATTTCATCAACACCAGACCTGTCCTAAAAAAAAAAGCTAAAGGGAGTCCTTCAATCTGAAATAAAAGGAGGTTAATGAGCAACAAGAAATCATCTGGGGCTGGGCACGGTGGCTCATACCTATAATCCCAGCACTTTGGGAGGCCAAGATGGGCAGATCACCTGAGGTCAGGAGTTCAAGACCAGCCTGATCAACATGGAGAAACCCTGAATCTACTAAAAATAATACAAAATTAGGCATGGTAGCCCATGCCTATAATCCCAGCTATTTGGGAGGCTGAGGCAGGGGAATCACTTGAACCCAGGAGGCAGAGGTTGTGGTGAGCCAAGATTATGCCATTGCACTACCGCCTGGGCAACAAGAATGAAATGTCGTCTCAAAAAAAAAAAAAAATCTGCAGGTATAAATCTCACTGGCAATAGTAAACACATCAGAAAACACAGAATATTATAATACTGTATTTGTGGGGTGTAAATTACTCTTCAGTAGAAAGACTAAATGATGAAGCAGTCAAAAATAATAACTACAACAACATTTCAAGACATAGTGCAATAAGACATAAAGAGAAACAAAAAAAAGTTAAAAAGTGAAAGAAGATAGGAAGGAAGGAAAGAAAGAAGGGAAGACCACAAAACACCAGAAAACAAATCACAAAATAGCAGAAGTCAGTCCTTACTTATTAATAATAACATTAAATGTAAATGGCCTAAACTCTCCAACAAAAAGACGTAGAGTGGCTAAATGTATGAAAAAATAAGACTCAATCATCTGTTGCCTACAAGAAGCACTTTTCACCTATAAAGATACATATAAACTGAAAATAAATGGATGGAAAAAGATATTTCATACCAATTGAAACAAAAAAGAACATGAATAGGCCAGGCGCAGTGGCTCATGCCTGTAATCCCAGCACTTTGGGAGGCTGAGGCAGGCAGATCACAAGGCCAGGAGATTGAGACCATCTTGGCTAACATGGTGAAACCCCATCTACTAAAAATACAAAAAATTAGCCAGGCATGATGGCAGGTGCCTGTAGTCCCAGCTACTCAGGAGGCTAAGTCAGGAGAATGGTGTGAACCCAGGAGGCGGAGCTTGCAGTGAGCCGAGATCGTGCCACTGCACTCCAGCCTGGGCGACAGAGTGAGACTCTGTCTCAAAAAAAAAAAAAAAAAAAAAAAAAAAAAAAAAACAGCATGAATAGTTATATCAGACAAAATAGATTTCAAGAAAAAAACTATAAGAAGAGACAAAGAAGGTTATATAATGATAAAGAAAGGGGTCAATTCAGCAAGAGGACATGATGATTGTAAATCTATATGCATCCAACACTGGAGCACCCAGACATATAAAGCAAATATTATTGGAGCTAAAACAAGAGATAGGGGCTGGACATGGTGGCTCACACCTGTAATCCTAGCACTTTGGGAGACCAAGGCAGGAGGATCACTTGAGCCCAGGATTTCAAGAACAGCCTGGGCAATATAGCAAGACCCTGTCTCTACAAAGAAAAAAAAATTTTAAGAGAGATAGACATCAATACAATAATAGCTGGGGACTTTAACACCCCACTTTAAGCATTAGACAAATCTTCCACACAGAAAACCAACAAACATTAGACATAATGCTTCAGTATGTCAGTTGCATTTTTCAACTCTAGAATTTCTTCTTGATTCATTTAGAAATAAATGGAACTAATAGATATTTACAGAGCCTTTCATATAATGGCTGAAGAATAGACATTCTTTTCCTCAGCACATGGATCATTCTCAAGGATAGACTGTGTATGTTAGGTCACAAAACAAGTCCTAAAACATTCAAAAAAAGAAGTGAAATAAAATCAAGCATCTTACCTCAATGGAATAAAACTGGAAATCAATAATGAGGAATTTTGGAAACTATACAAATGCATGGAAATTAATATACTCCTGAATGACCAATGAGTCAATGAAGAAATTAAGAAAGTAATTGAAAAATATCTTGAAACAGATGATAATGGAAACATAGCATACCAAATTCTATGGGATACAGTGAAAACAGTACTAAGAGGGAAAGTTATAGCTACAAGTACCTACACCATAAAAAAAGAAAAACTTCAAATAAATAACCTAGCGGGGCATCTTAAAGAACTAGAAAAGCAAGAGCAAACCAAACCCAAAATTAGTAGAAGAAAAGAAATAATAAAAATTAGAGCACAAATAAATGAAATTGAAATGAAGAAAATGATACAAAAGATCAATGAAATGAAACGGTGGTTTCTTGAAAAGATAAAATTGGACAAACCTTTAGCCAGACTAACTAAGACAAAAGAGAGAAGACCCAGGTAAATAAAATCAGAGATTAAAACGGTCACATTACAACTGATACTGCAGAAATTCAAAGGTTCATTACTGGCTACTATAAGCAACTATATGCCAGTAAGTTGGAAAATTTAGAGGAAATGGATAAATTCTTAAACACATACAACCTACCAAGATTGAACTATGAAGAAATCCAAAACCTGAACAGACCAATAACAAGTAACAAGATCAAAGCTGTAAAAAAAAAAAGAGAAAAAAAAAAGTCTCCCAGTAAAGAAAAGCCTGGGGCCTGATGGCTTCACTGCTGAATTCTACGAAACATTTAAAGAATGGACACCAATCCTATTCAAACAATTCTGAAAAACAGAGGAGGTGGGAATACTTCCAAACTCATTCTCTGGGGCCAGTATTACCCTGATAACAAAATCAGACAAAGACACATTAAAAAAAAAAAAAAAAACACACAGGCCAATATCCCTGATGAATATTGATGCAAGCATCCTCAACAAAATACTAACAAACTGGATTCAGCAACACATTTTAAAACATCATTCATCATGACCAAGTGAGACTTGTCCCAAGGATTCAAGGATAGTTCAACATATGCAAATCAATCAATATGATACATCATATTAACAGAATGGAGGACAAAAATCATATGATCATTTCAATTAGTGCTGAAAAAGCATGAATAAAATTAATAAAATTCAACATCCCTTCATGTTAAAAAAAAAAACCTCAGAAAACTGGGTACAGAAGGAATATATCTCAACATAATAAAAGCCATGTATGACAGACCCATAGCTAGTATCATACTCAATGGGGAAAAACTGAAAGTCTTTCCTCTAAGATCTGGAGCACAACAAGGATGTCCACTGTCACCACTGTTATTCAACATAGTACTGGAAGTCCTGGCTAGAGCGGTCAGACAAGAGAAAGAAATAAAAGGCATCCAAATTAGAAAGGGAGAAGTCAAATTATCCTTGTTTGCAGATATGATTTTATATATGGAAAAATGTAAAGACTTCACCAAAAAACTATTAGAACTGATAAAAAAAAATTCCGTAAAGTTGCAGGATACAAAATCAGTAGCATTTGTTTTTTCTGTTTCTGTGAAGAATACCACAAGTGAACAATCTGAAAAAGAAATCAAGAAAGTAATCCAATTTATAATGTCTACAGATAAAATATCTTGGAATTAACCAAAGCAGTAAAAGATCTCTATAATGAGAACTATAAAACACTGATGAAAGAAATTGAAGAGGACACCAAAAAAATGGAAACATATTCCATGTTCATAGATTGAAAGAATGAATATTGTTAAAATGGCCATACTACCCAAAGCAATCTACGTATTCAATGCAATCCCTATCACAATACCAGTGACATTCTTCACAGAAATAGAGAAAGCAATTCTAAACATTATATAGAACTACAAAAGCCCATAATAGCCAAAGCTATCCTGAGCCAAATGAACAAGACTGGAGGAATCATATTACCTGGCTTCAAATTATATTATAGAGCTATAGTAACCAAAACAGCATGGTACTGGCATAAAAGCAGACACATAGACCAATGGAACAGAATAGAGAACCCAGAAACAAATCCATACATCTATAGTGAACTTATTTTTGGCAATGGTGCCAAGAACATGCACTGGGGAAAAGACAGTCTCTTCGATAAACAGTGCTGGGAAAATTGGATATCCATGTGCAGAAGAATGAAACTAGACTCCTACCTCTCATCATGTACAAAAATCAGATCAAAATGGATTAAAGGCTTAAACCTAAGACCTCAAGCTATGAAACTAGAAAAAGAAAACTTTGGGGAAACTCTCCAGGACATAGGAGTGGGCAAAGATTTATTGAGTAATACCCCATAAGCACAGGCAACCAAATCAAAAACTGATAAATGGGATTATATCAAGTTAAAAAGCTTCTGCAAAGCAAAGGAAACAATCAACAAAGTGAAGAGACAACCCACAGAGTGGGAGAAAATATTTGCAAAATACCCATCTGACAAGGGATTAATAACCAGAATATATAAGGAGCTCACACAACTCTATACAAAAAAAATGAATAGTCTAATTTAAAAATGGGCAAAAGATCTGAATAGACTTTTCTCAAAAGAAGACCTATAAGTGGCAAACAGGTATATGACAAAGCGCTCAACATCATTGATCATCAGATAAATACAAAACAAAACCACAGTGAAATATCTCACCCCAGTTAAAATGGCTTTTATTCAAAAGACAGGCAATAACAAATGCTGGTGAGAGTATGGAGAAAAGGGAACCCTTGTACACTGTTGGTGGGAATGTAAATTAGTACAACCACTATGGAGAACAGTGTCCAAAGTGTCCATCAACAGCTGAATGGACGAAGAAAATGTGGTACATATACACAATGGTGTATTCACCCATAAAAAAGAATGAGATTCAGTCACTTGCAACGACATGGATGGAACTGGAGATCATTATTTTAAGTGAAATAAGCCAGGCACAGAGGTAAACTTATGTTCTCACTTACTTATGGGAGTTAAAAATTAAAACAATTGAACTCATGGAGATAGAAGAAGGATAATTACCTGGGAAGGGTAGTGGGGGTTAGGTGAGGGGAGTGGGGATGGTTAATGGGTACAAAAAATAGAGAGAATGAATAAGAAAAAGTATTTGATAGCAAAACAGAGTGACTATAGTCAATAATAACTGTAAATTTAAAAATAACTACAATAGTATAATTGGATTGTAACATGAAGGATAAGTGCTTGAGGCGATGGATATCCCATTTACCCTGATGTGATTATTATCCATTGCCTGTGTGTATCAAAATGTCATGTGCCCCATAAATATATATACCTACTATGTACCCACAAAAATTAAAAATTAATATTTCAATCAACACTGTGTACTCTAGATTCAACTACTATTCCCATTTTGCTGCATTTGGCTTTTTTCTGTCTGCACACACACACACTTCTGTGGTGGTGGTTGGATGATTGAAGAGTTAATTGCAGACCTCAGCAAAATATTTCAGAATGCATCTCCTAAGAATAAGGACATTCTCCTACAAAACCAACACCATTATCACACCTAATAAAATTAACAATCATATAACAGACCTAATAGCTCTTATATATTAAAATTTCTTCAGTTTTTCCCCAATATGTCTTTTTTAGCTGTTTTTGTTTTGTCTAATTCAGGATCCAACTAAGATTCACACATTGCATTTGAATGTCTGTTTAGATTCTAGATTAATACCCTTAGTCTGTTTTCTATTACTATAACAGACTATCTGAGAATGAGTAATTTATGAAAACACATTATTTGTTATAGTTCTGCAGGCTGGAAAGTTGAAGGGACTGGCACTGGCATCTGGTGAGGGCCTTCCTGCTGTGTCACAACATGGTGGAAGGCATCACATAGAGAACAAGAGCGTATAGCTCAGGTCTCTCTTCCTCTTCATATAAAGCCACCAGTCCCATCATGGGGATCCCAACCTGATAACCTTATCTAATCCCAATTACCCCTCAAACACCCTACCTCCAAATGCAATCAACAGATGAATTTGGGAATTAGGTTTCCAACACATGAAATTTGGGGGACACATTCGAAGCATAACATCCCCGTACCTTTTTTTCCCACATGACATTGACTTTTTCGAGTCCAACAAAGTTGTTTTGTAGAATGACCTATATTCTGGATTTGTCTGGCTATTTCCTTATGATATTGGTAACTTTCATCCATCCACTTAATTTAATGTATTTGGTTAAATCAATATACTTGTATTAGGCTGTTTTTGCATTGCTATAAGGAAATGCCTGAGGCTGAGTAATTTATAAAGAAAAGATGTTTAACTAGCTCACAGATCTGCAGGCTATAAAAGGATGCCACTGGCATCTGCTTTTCTTCTTGGGAGGCCTCAGGGAGCTTTTTACTCATGGCAGAGGTGAAGCAGAAACAGGGACATCTGAAGAGCAAGAAGCAGGGGAAGGGGTGCCACATAGTTTTAAACAACTAGATCTCCTGAGAACTCACTGTCGCAAAGACAGCACCAAGTTGGCTGGGTGTGGTAGCTCACACCTGTAATCCCAGCACTTTGAGAGGCCGAGGCGGGCGGATCATTACTGAGGTCAGGTGTTCGAGACCAGCCTGACCAACATGGAGAAACCCCATCTCTACTAAAAATACAAAATTAGCCGGGTGTGGTGGCTCATGCCTGTAATCCCAGCTACTCAGGAGGCTGAGGCAGGAGAACCGCTTGAACCCGGGAGGCGGAAGTTGTGGTGAGCCGAGATTATGCCATTGCATTCCAGCCTGGGCAACAAGAGCAAAACTCCATCTCAAAAAAAAAAAAAAAAAAAAAAAGCACCAAGCCATGCAGGATTTGCCTCCATGACCCAAGCACCTCCCACCAGGCTCCACCTTTAACACTGGGGATTACATTTCAACATGAGATTTGTGGGGACAAATATCCAAACTACATCAGTCCTATAAAGTAAAATTAAGTTTAAAACTAATGAAATTCAGATTAAACACACCTGGCAAGACTATCTTTTAGGTGATGTGATATTCAAATTGCATCACATGAAGAGGTTCCACTATTAGTAATACTAAGTTTTGAGAACTGCAGAACTCTTGGTACATGACAACTGCATACAAACCTCTGCACTAAGAGACTTGACCAAACTCTAGCACGGAACCTAGCAGCATGAGGCTGTGTCCCTAGGATGACCCCCAGCCCCCTCGTAAAATGCCTGCCTGAGAAAGCTCAACGTTGCCAGGAAAATGTACTATTTGTTCTAGCCAACACACATTTGACAATAGGCCCATGACCTCCATTTCTTAGAGGATTTGTTATAAAGGGTTTGCAATTGTTATTGTGTATCTCTTGCAACTCAGAAGCATCTCTCTCAAGGACCTGAAAGTTAGTCCTTTGAAATACAATCACCAGGAAGGATAGGCCCTCTATCTCCCCGTCTCTGGGAATCCTATCTTAGATAACTAGCAGCTAGTAGACTCAGCTGGCCTAAGCACATCACATTGACCAACCCTTTGTACTATTTCACTTCTCTGACTCTGCTGAGTCCCTGCACTCTCCGCTCTCTCATCCTCCCTTTAAAACACCCAAATCACTGCTGTAAAAATCAGAAAGGAGCTACGCTCTTTCTGCTACTGTCAGATCACTAAATAAAATCTGTTTTCACCACTTTAACTAATGGTCCAGCTGTGTTTATCTTTGACAGTATGGTCACTAATATAATGATACTAGTACATGTTCTCCTTAATAATTAGTATGAAATCTGTAGGGTAATACTTTGGCATCATATAAACATTGGTTCCTCATTGGGCTAGGCAGCTTCTGAGAGGACCCCAGTGATGCCCACTGCTGGCATTCATCTGCTGCTGTAATCTCCCCTTGAATGTGGACCAGATCTATCAACTCTTCTAACAAGTAGAATACAACAGAAGTGGTGGGATTGTCACTTCCAATATTAGGTTATAAAAATACTGTTGTTTCTGGCTCGGCCTGTGTTTCTCCTTCTCACACTTGTGCTGGTGGAAGCAAGATTGATGTACCTCTATGGAGCGGTCTACATAGTGTAGCAAATCTGAGGCCCTTAGTCCAAAAGCCCTCAGAGAACTGAGGCCTGCCAAGAAGCACAAGTGAACTTGGAAGCAAATCACTCCGCTCCAGTCATGTTTTGCAGCGACTTTGGCCCCGGCCAACAGTTTAACTATAATTTCATGGGGAGAGACCTTGAGCCAGCAGTAATTCCCTAAGCTGCTCCACGATAACCTGGACCCTTGGAAACTATGAGTTGATTAATGTTTGTTGTTTCCAGTTGCTAAATAGTTAGGCCACAATACATAACTGTTGCACTTAATGAACTTTTATATCATGGATTTAACATCAATTAATGATTCTTGCTTTGCCTGAGTCAGCTGTTGTATTGGGAGTTACAAAATGGTGATGTTCTTGGCTGGGTGTGGTGGCTCATGCCAATAATCCCAACACTTTGGGAGGCCAAGGTGGGCGAATCACCTGAGATCAGGAGTTTGAGGCCAGTCTGGGCAACATAGTGAGACTCCATCTCCACAAAAAAATTTAAAAACCAGCTGGGTGTGGTGGTGTGTCCCAGCTACTTGAGAGGCTGAGGTGGGAAGACCACTTGAGCCCAGAAGGTTGAGGCTGCAGTGAGCTATGATGGCACCACTGCACTCCAGCTTGAGTGACAAAGCGAGACTCTATAAAAAAAAAAAAAAGGGATGGGCACGGTGGCTCATGCCTGTAATCCGAACACTTTGGGAGGCTGAGGCAGGTGGATCACGAGGTCAGGAGTTCAAGACCAGCCTGGCCAACATGATGAAACCCCATCTCTACTAAAAATACAAAAATTAGCCAGATGTGGTGGCACACGCCTGTAATCCTAGCTACTCAGGAGGCTGAGGCAGGAGACTCGCTCAAACCCGGGAGGCGGAGGTTGCAGTGAGCTGAGATCATGCCATTGCAGCACTCCAGTCTGGGTGACAGAGCGAGACTTTGTCTCAAAAAAACAAAAAAAGAAAGAAGCAGAAAGAGAAAGAGATCTGGGGCCTGGCTGGGGCCTGTGATTCTGCATTTCTAACAAGTGGAAACTGCTGACCCACAAACAACACTTGGAGTAGCAAGAATCCAGGACATCTATTACTCAATTAGTAAGTATTTTAATTGTTCTACACATGATTTTCATACAGTGAAATTTAATTAAACTCGTAATCCTGCTTCACTAAGATAACCTATTAGTCTCCCAAAGTATGGAAATCAACTTGACATCTTTTAACTGTTAATAGAAAAATGTTAGGAAATGAAGATAGAAGCCAAAACTATGTCAGGATTCTTGTTAAAAATCTGAAAAGCCAAAATTTATTGTCTCATATGCATAACATCTTTAGAATATCAAGGAATAACAAACTTTATATCAAAGTATACTTTAGATATATTTTAAATTGAATATGAAATTGAGTCAAGCAACTTAGGATCAACAAACTACTACTGACAGTCAAAAAATAAAAGAAATTATTTTTTAAAGTGTGACTCATTTTGTGATGCACAATGGCAATTAGGGGCACTTGGGCTGGAGTTGGGGAAGTGGAGCCTCTGGGATGCTGATAATGTTCTATTTCTGACCTGAGTGGAGGTTACACAGGTGTATTTATTTTGTGATAATTCATTGCATTTACAATTTTTATTTGTCCCATTTTCTGTATATGTATGTATGCTATACTTCACCTTTTTTTTTTTTTTCCTGAGACAGGGTCTTGCTTTGTTGCCCAGGCTGAAGTGCAGTGGCATGATCCCAACTCACTGCAACCTCCATCTCTCAGGCTCAAGCAATCCTCCCACCTCAGCCTCCTGAGTAGCTGAGACTAGAGGCCTGTGCCACCATGTCCAGATAGTGTATGCTATACTTCAATACAAGTTTTTAAATAATAAAATTAAAAGTTAAGAGGCTGAGGTGGGATAATCACTTGAGTTCAGGAATTTGAGACCAGCCTGGGGAACATAATAAGACCCTATCTCTTAAAAAAGAAAAAAAAAAGATAGGCTGGGTGCAGTGGCTTACTCCCATAATCCCAGCACTTTGGGAGGCTGAGGTGGGCAGATCACGAGGTCAGGAGATGGAGACCATCCTGGCTAACACGGTGAAACGCTGTCTCTACTAAAAATACAAAAAAAAAAGAGAAAAAACTAGCTGGGCGTGGCGACAGGCACCTGTGGTCCCAGCTACTTGGGAGGCTGAGGCAGGAGAATGGCGTGAACCCGGGAGGCGGAGCTTGCACTGCACTACAGCCTGGGTGACAGAGCGAGACTCTGTCTCAAAAAAACAAACAAACAAACAAAAATGGTGTATAACAGGTCTGAAACAAGTTAGCTGCTATGAAATAAATGTGGAACGGAAGTCACGCCCCAAGGCAGCCCCCTCACTAGGTACCCTCCAACTGAGGTAGGGGAGGGTGGACCCATAAAAACTCTCCTGGCAGCCAATGACTAAAGGCAGTGGAGTTGTATTAGTCCATTTTGTGTTGCACATACCAGAATACCTGTAACTGGGTAACTTATAAAGAAAAGGAATTTGGCCAGGCGCGGTGGCTCACGCCTGTAATCCCAGTACTTTGGGAGGCCGAGACGGGCAGATCACTTGAGGCCAGGAGTTCGAGACCAGCCTGGTCAATATTGCCACATCTCTACTAAAAATACAAAAAATTAGCCGGGTGTGGTGGTGCACCCCTGTAATCCCAGCTACTCAGGAGGCTGAGACAGGACAATCACTTGAACCCTCAAGGTGGAGGTTGCAGTGAGCCAAGATCACACCACTACACTCCAGCCTGGGCGACAGAGCAAGGCTGTCTCAAAACAACAACAACAAGAAAAGGAATTTATTTCTTACCGTTCTGTAAGCTGAGAAATCAAGGTCAAGGGGTCATGTTTGGTGAGGGCCTTCTTGCTAGTGGGTAATTTGCAAAGTCCCGAGGCAGTACAAGGTATCACATGAGAGGGAGAGTTGAGCCTGCTAGCTCAGGTCTCTCCTCTTATAAAGCCACCAGTTCCTTTCCCCTGATAACTCATTAATCCATTAACCCATTATTCCATTAATCCATTAACCTGATAACCCATTAATCCATGGGTGGATTAATCTATTCATGAGGGCAGAGCCCTGTGATTCAATCACCCACTAAAGGACCCACCTCTCAATACTGCCACATTGGGGATTATGTTTCAACATCAGTTTTGGAGGGGACAATCCATAGCAGAAATCATTTTGAATACAGAAATAAAGGCGTTAACAGTTTGTAGACTCTACTTAAAAATCAAAGTAAAAACAATACTGAGGGGCCCAGGCTGTACAGCTGGCAGTGCCTGACAGCCTACCTGACGCTGAATTGGATGGGATACAGCATAGGGAGCAGTAGCTGGGTGAGGTAGGAGAAGGGAGTCGGGGTTATCACTTACAAATGGTACTGAAGCCTAAACTCTGAAGTGAGTAGGTGCTGTGCTTTTATGGGCCTCTTTATGAAGCAAATTATGTAAAAGTTGCCATCGAGGACAAACAAGTGAAATACTTTACACATTACGGTGGATTGGATGAAAATTGGAATGAATGGGCTCCAAAAAGTAGAGTACTCAGGTACATGAACACCAATCTGTAGAAACCGGGAGAACTTCGAGAAGCAAATCAGGAACAAAATTCATGGGGGAAGAGGAGAGAGGCTGCCCCAGCAAAGAAGACATCTGGTCTGCAAGGGAAAAATGTTGAAATCATGTGGAAATGGAAATGGAGCAGTACCAATGAGATACCTCAGCCTCCTCAGAAGAGCCCCAGTAGATGCCGCTGTTGAAAACATTCATGAAGAGAGTTGAAGTTAAAGATTTCTGAAGAATTAAAACCATGTTTTGTTGATGAGTGAGACATAATGACCAAACAAAAACAGCTTTATCTTCGTGCCAGGAAAAATGTGGATTCTATTGTAGAGAATTATGTAAATTACAAGAAAACTTGAGGGACCACAGATAATAAGGAGTATGTTTTTAATATGGTTGTGGCAAAAATGGAAAATATTTGAATATAATGTTAGGCACTCAGATACTTTACAAATCTGAAAGACTCCAGCATGCTGAAATCCTTGAAGATTACCCAGAGGCACTCAAGTTCCAGGGGTATGGAAGACCACATCTGTTGATATAATTTGTATGAATTGGACCAATGTTGACCCAAACACCTCTAGAGGAGAAGAACCTTGCTTTATGACTGAACTATCTTCATAATGACTTCCTGGTAAAGAATTCTGCAATTTTATTTAAAGCCAACAATTATGAAGTGGCTGTTCCTGAGAGGATAATTACAGTACGCAAAATGCACAGATGTGAAGAGTACAGTTTATTGAGTTTAGCAATTGCATTCACCCATGTAACCACCAGCCCGGTCTAGAAGAAAACATTTGCATCAGCCCTAGACATTTCCTCATGTTCCTTTCTAGTCAGTCTAGCAATTTGCCACCTCCCCACTACCCCTTACACAAGAGAGGAAGCCTCTATTATGATTTTTATTCATCAAAGCTTATTTTCAGTGTTCTGGAACTTCACACAAATGGTCATACAGTGTCTACTCTTGTGTATCTGGCTTCTTTTGCTCAACATAAAATTTTTGAGAACCATTCACATTATTATATATCAGAGGTTGTTTCTTTCTTACTTCTGAGTACTTTTACACTGTAGGAATATGCTGATGTGGTTTGGCTGTGTCCTCACCCAAATCTCATCTTGAATTGTAGCTCCCATAATTCCCACGTGTTATAGGAGGTACCCGGTGGGAGATAATTGAATCATGGGGCAGTTTCCTCCATACTATTCTTGTGGTAGTGAAAAAGTTTCACGAGATCTGATGGTTTTATAAGGGGTTTTCCCTTTTTGCTTGGCCCAATATTTCTTCTCATTCTCTCTTGCCGGCTGCCACGTAAGATATGCCTTTCAACTTCTGCCATGATTGTGAGGCCTCCCTAGCCACATTTAACTGCAGGTCCATTAAACCTCTTTTTCTCTATAAATTATCCAGTCTTGGGTATGTCTTTATCAGCCGCATGAAAACGAACTAATACATATACTACAATTTTTTTCATTCTCCTGTTGATGTATATTTGGATTGTTTCTACTTCTGGATACTATGGATAAAGCTACTGTTACGCAGCATAATGCTTAGTGACCTAAGTGAATTTCTACTCTACCTTAACTCTGCTTATGCCTGAGATCAGAAGTTCCCCATTGTGACCAAACTGGCAGAGACTGGTGGACAAAATATCAGCTCACTTGACCTCTGAAGAACTTCTAACTTCATTATGATCTAATCTCTATGTTAAATGACACTCCTGCCAGCTGCATGACAGTTGACAATCACCATGACAATGATCAGAAGAAACCATAAAAGGACAAAAAGTAATGTGGCACTCTGGTTTCCGAGTTCTTCACACATGCCAAGAAAACACACGAATATTCCTCCGTTTGCTTTTTCTTTTTTGAGAAGGAGTCTTGCTCTGTTGCCCAGGCTGGAGTCCAGTGGTGTGATCTGGGCTCACTGCAACCTCTGCCTCCCAGATTCAAGTGATTCTCCTGCCTCAGCCTCCTGAGTAGCTGGGATTACAGGTGTCCGTCACCACATCCAGCTAATTTTTGTATTTTAGTAGAGACGGGGTTTCACCATGTTCCCCAGGCTGATCTGGAACTCCTGGGCTCAAGTGATCTGCCCGCCTTGGCCTCCCAAAGTGCTGGAATTACAGGTGTGAGCCACTGTGCCCAGCCCCACCCCTTGCTTTTAATACCCATCCCCTTCATTAAAGATGCCCTATATCTATGACTTCCCGGCTCTCAGAAGCTGAGAAATTGATTTGTGAGCCATGCTCCTGCTTCTCAAATCCATGGCCATGGAATAAAACCTGCACTGCTTGATGCTCACTTTCAGTTTCGCATCTTGGCTTCATGACATAGAACAGGGAAAAATCTCATCTTCACAGGACCAGCTTTGTCATTAACACTATTATGAAGATACTTATACAAGTGTTTTTGTGGATATATGTTTTCATTTCCCTGAGGCAACTGCCTGGGAGTGAAATTACACGGCGTTTAACATTAAAAGAAACTACAAAAGAATTTTCTAATGTGGTTATACCAATTTATATTCCTATTATTAGCATATGAGAGTTCCAACGGCTCCATATCTCCACTAATATATAGTATCATTGATGTTTTTAAGTTAAGGCATTCTAGTGGGTATTCAGTGTTTTCTTATTGTGAATTTAATGTGCATTGGCCACCGGGTATACATGTTACCAATATTTTTTCCCAGTCTGTGGTTTATCTTTTGTTGTTTTCACTGCCTTTCCATAGGCAGCAGCTTGTAATTTTGTTGAAATTCACTTTTGAAATTCACTTTGTCTTTTTTTTATGATCTGTGTTTTTGGTGTCCCAAGAAAACTTTGCCAACCGCAAAGCTATAGTCTTCTATGTTTTCTTTTCTTTTCTTTTTTTTTTTTTTCTGAGACGGAGTCTCGCTCTGTCGCCCAGGCTGGAGTGCAGTGGCGCAATCTTGGCTCACTGCAAGTTACGCCTCCTGGATTCATGCCATTCTCCTGCCTCAGTCTCCTGAGTAGCTGGGCCTACAGGTGTCTGCCACCATGCCCAGCTAATTTTTTGTATTTTTAGTAGAGACAGGGTTTCACCGTGTTAGCCAGGATGGTCTCAATCTCCTGACCTCATGATCCGCCTGCCTCAGCCTCCCAAAGTGCTGGGATTACAGGTGTGAGCCACTGCACCCGGCCCTATGTTTTCTTTTTGAAGCTTTATAGTTTCCACTTTTCCATTTAGTATTAGGAGAAATTTTGAATTAATTTTTTGCTTATGGTGTAAGGTAGGGGCAAGGGCAACTTTCTGTCTTACATTCTTGATCCAGTTGTTCCAATAACATTTGTTGAAAAGAATTTTCTTTCTTCATTGAATTGCATTGGTATCATGCTGTATTTCTAAAATTTTAAATTTAATTCCTCAGTTGCACTAGCCACATTTCACGTACCCAAGAGCTACATGTGGCTTCTGGCTACTGTATCAGCCAGCACAAATATAAAATATTCCCAAGTTTTATGGGACAGCACATAGCTCTAGATCTTAGGGAATAGTGCCTAATAGATATCTTCAATTGTGTGACAGGTAACCTAAACCAAATAACACAGTAAGAGCAGATATAAGGAAGGTAAAAATCAGTCACTGCCTATATGAGGTACCTAGAGTAGTCAAAAGTCATAGAGACAAAGAGTAGAATGGCAGTTGCCAGAAGTGGGGGCTAGAGAGTTATTGTTTAAATGGGTACAGAGCTTCAGTTTTGTGATAGTGGCAAAACCGTGTGAATATATTTAATGCTAAAGAACTATACACTGAAAATGTTTAAATGGTAAATTTAGTGTTATGTATATTTTACCAATATTTTAAGAAGTTTTTTAAAATGGCCATTCCTGCGCTGGGCATGTGGCTCATGCCTGTAATTGCAGCAACTCAGAGGCTCAGGCAGGAAGAGTGCTTGACACCAAGATTTCCAGACCAGGCTGGCAACACAGTGAGACCCTGTCTATAATTTTTTTTTAATTAACTGGGTGTGGTGGTATGCATCTATAGCTCTAGTTACTTGGGAGGCTGAGGGCAAAGTATTGCTTGAGCACTGGAGTTTGAGGCAGCAGTGAGCTATTATGGTGCCACTGCACTCCAACCTGGGTGACAGGGCAAGACCCCATCTCAAAAAAAAAAAAAAAAAAGAAAAAAAAAAGGCTTTTTTCCCCAGCTGGTATTCACTGCAAGTCAGGAAACAATCATTGTTACTGATAATGACTGACTTGATTCTCTCTGGTGTATCTGAGGGATATCTAACATCTCTTTTTATTTACAGAGGAGTTATTAGAGCCCAGAGGCTGACTTAATTTAATGTGTCTACCCTAGAGTATTTCCAGTGGACTTCAGCTGATAAGTTGAAGTTATCTTCAGCTGATAAGAGAAAAACAATTTGAAAGTTATTCTCTTGTAATGTGTTATCCATACATGCATGTAACACTGATGATTTTCTTTATTAGGTTATGGTAACATAACAAACTAGCAGCAGGAGCAGTCATGGTTTTGTAATAAAAGTTATCTGAAAAAGTCTGTTACTGGTGGAGGGTGTCCAGGTTCTTGGCGTTTTGGACAAAAAATTGGACAAAACACATAAACAAAGCAAGGAAACAATGAAACAACAAAAGCAGAGATTTACTGAAAATGAAAGTACACTCCACAGTGGGGAGCGGGCCTGAGCATAGGGGCTCAAGGGCCCTGTTACAGAATTTCTGAAGGTTTAAATACCCTCTAGAGGATTCCACTGGTTACTTGGTGTACACCCTATGTAAATGAAGAGAATGAAGTAAAGTTACAAACTCATTTACTCAGCATACACCCTATGGAGAGGATCTTTCCTGTTATAGCTAAAGTGTGAATCAGCCTTATGTTCCCTGCCTCCAGACCCTATTTTCCTGCCTCAAATCTCTAATACTTGATTTTGATGATTTAACTGTTGATCCCAATGCAAATATAAAAGACTTTGTAAAGCATAGACTATACTATATATTAATTCAAGGAATGTCAGGGCATGTACTGATGTTGAATTCTGAGAATCATGTGCTTTTGTACAGAACAAAGTCTGTTTGTTGAAATATTTTGAGTTAAAATACTCCCTAAAACTCCTTAATAAAGGGAATTACATAATCTGTTAATTGATTTGTGGAACGGCAGTGAAAGAGGCTGTATTAGACGACTTGAAAACACTCATATTTGGAGCTTAACGAAAATACTCCTGCTCTCCAGAGATGAAATGTTAGTGAGAGCAGCAAATAATTTATTTTTATATGCTGGATTTGCGTATTTGAGACCATCTATTAATACTGTTCTTTAGGACCTCAACCTAGTCGTCTAAGACATCCTTATTAAACGAGACCAATAGATATCATTTAATATTGAAAATATTGTTAATGCCCTTCAAAATCTTTCGAAGGAATAAACATTAAAAACTAGAAATTCTTTGTAAAATTTTGCGGTTTAAAATAATACTCGGTTTCAAATTAGTGGGTGCCTCATTTATCATAAATTATAAAAGAGAATCTAACAGTTATTGGCTACATTCTAGGCACGGGGTAACGCTTTACTATTCTTCTAACCAAAAACATACATGTATCTAAGTATCCCATGTAAGGTATCATTGAACCACACAAAACCCTATGAAATACTGGCAGGGGGCGGTGGCTCACGCCTGTAATCCCAGCACATTGAGAGGCCGAGGCAGGAGGATAATTTGAGCCCTCAGGAGTTCAAGACCAGCCTGGGCAACAGTCTCTTCACCATCAAATCCAGGAGAATTAATTTCTACTGTTAGAGCAGTCAACTAAAGGACAGCTCGCGATATTACACAAACTACTACTCCCAACATGCAAAGCGGTTTCTTTCCCTCTGTCCCCGCCCGGCCGTCCGAGAGCCCCAGCAGGCCTCGGGGCGCGAAAGGCAACCTGGGAGCAGTAGTTCTCCCGGGCGCCTAGCGGGATCGCCAGCGCGGCAGTGGGGGCTTCCGCGGCTGCAAGCCAGCGGGTCCTGTGAGGGCGAGCGGAGGCGGAGAAAGGGCGCGGGAGTGAGAGAGGGTGAGTCAGCCACTGTCTATGCAATAAAGGGAGGCCTCACCGCGGGATAGGGCTGAATTCAGAAGTGCGGCCCGTGCCGCAGTCTGTTCCAGGACGCGGCTTGTCTTAGCGTCAGCGAGGGAAGGTTGAGGAGGAGCCAGAGCCTGGTCCTGCAGCCTTTCTCGCCGTCAGCGCCCGTCGCCATCTCCACCATGCAGTCCCGGGAAGACGTCCCGCGCTCTCGCCGCCTCGCCAGTCCCCGTGGTGGGAGGCGGCCCAAGAGGATTTCCAAGCCCTCGGTTTCGGCCTTTTTCACGGGTCCAGAGGAGTTAAAGGACACGGCCCATTCTGCAGCCCTGCTGGCACAGCTCAAGTCCTTCTACGACGCGCGGCTGCTGTGTGATGTGACCATCGAGGTGGTGACGCCTGGCAGCGGGCCTGGCACGGGTCGCCTCTTTTCCTGCAATCGCAACGTGCTAGCAGCTGCGTGTCCCTACTTCAAGAGCATGTTCACAGGTGGCATGTACGAGAGCCAGCAGGCCAGCGTGACCATGCACGATGTGGACGCCGAGTCCTTCGAGGTGTTGGTCGACTACTGCTACACGGGTCGTGTGTCTCTCAGTGAGGCCAATGTGCAGCGCCTGTACGCGGCCTCCGACATGCTACAGCTGGAATATGTGCGGGAAGCCTGTGCCTCCTTCTTAGCCCGACGTCTTGACCTGACCAACTGCACCGCCATCCTCAAGTTTGCAGACGCCTTCGACCATCACAAGCTTCGATCTCAGGCCCAGTCCTACATAGCTCACAACTTCAAGCAGCTCAGCCGAATGGGTTCAATTCGGGAGGAGACTCTAGCAGATCTAACCCTGGCCCAGCTGCTGGCTGTCCTACGCCTGGATAGTCTGGACATAGAGAGTGAGCGGACTGTATGCCATGTAGCTGTGCAGTGGCTGGAGGCTGCTGCCAAAGAGCGGGGTCCCAGTGCTGCAGAAGTCTTCAAGTGCGTGCGCTGGATGCACTTCACTGAAGAAGATCAGGACTACTTAGAAGGGCTGCTGACCAAGCCCATCGTGAAGAAGTACTGCCTGGACGTTATTGAAGGGGCCCTGCAGATGCGCTATGGTGACCTGTTGTACAAGTCTCTGGTGCCAGTGCCAAACAGCAGCAGCAGCAGTAGCAGCAGCAACTCTCTTGTATCTGCAGCAGAAAATCCACCCCAGAGACTGGGTATGTGTGCCAAGGAGATGGTGATCTTCTTTGGACATCCTAGAGATCCCTTTCTCTGCTATGACCCTTACTCGGGGGACATTTACACAATGCCATCCCCTTTGACCAGCTTTGCTCACACTAAGACTGTCACCTCCTCAGCTGTCTGTGTGTCCCCAGACCATGACATCTATCTAGCTGCTCAGCCCAGGAAAGACCTCTGGGTGTATAAACCAGCTCAGAATAGTTGGCAGCAACTTGCAGATCGCTTGCTGTGTCGTGAGGGCATGGATGTGGCATATCTCAATGGCTACATCTACATTTTGGGGGGACGAGACCCTATTACTGGAGTTAAGTTGAAGGAAGTGGAATGCTACAGTGTTCAGAGAAACCAGTGGGCATTGGTGGCTCCTGTCCCTCATTCCTTCTATTCCTTTGAACTCATAGTGGTTCAGAACTATCTTTATGCTGTCAACAGTAAGCGCATGCTTTGCTATGATCCTAGCCACAATATGTGGCTGAACTGTGCTTCTCTTAAACGTAGTGACTTTCAGGAAGCATGTGTCTTCAATGATGAAATCTATTGTATCTGTGACATCCCAGTCATGAAGGTCTACAACCCAGCTAGGGGAGAATGGAGGCGGATTAGTAATATTCCTTTGGATTCAGAGACCCACAACTACCAGATTGTCAATCATGACCAAAAGTTGCTTCTCATCACTTCTACAACCCCACAATGGAAAAAGAACCGAGTGACAGTGTATGAGTATGATACTAGGGAAGATCAGTGGATTAATATAGGTACCATGTTAGGCCTTTTGCAGTTTGACTCTGGCTTTATTTGCCTTTGTGCTCGTGTTTATCCTTCCTGCCTTGAACCTGGTCAGAGTTTTATTACTGAGGAAGATGATGCACGGAGTGAGTCTAGTACTGAATGGGACTTAGATGGATTCAGTGAGCTGGACTCTGAGTCAGGAAGTTCAAGTTCTTTTTCAGATGATGAAGTCTGGGTGCAAGTAGCACCTCAGCGAAATGCACAGGATCAGCAGGGTTCTTTGTAAATAGTATTTTGAGACACTAAGATGTTTCTACTGCTACGGAATGTATTTTAAACACATATCGTTTCTTTTTCTTGGAAAAAAAGTTGATTAGGACCACAGATTTGGTTTAGAAAGGGTAATATTTTGAAATACTACAAGGTTTAGACAGTCCATGAAATCGACCTGTTTAATAATTTACCATCCTGAAAGTCCAGAATTAAAATATGGAAGCAAGAACTATATAATTGATTAGGATGCTTGGTAGGTTTTTTTCATTGTTCAAATATTCATTGCACAGTGGATTGTTTTGATTAGTTAGTATGCTTTTTTTTTAATTAATTCAGTCTTCTGTTAATTTTTAAGTTTTGGTTAGTGCCACAAGGAATTTAACTTTTTGATTTGTATAATAGAAAACTGAACTAGGAATTGTTAGCGGGGTTTTGAAGGATGTGTACTTTCCTTCAAAATAAAGTGGTAGATTTTCAAAATTTTACACTAGTCAGTTCTTTATATTCTAAGTTAAATGTAGTTTGTAAAATTATTTTGGTTTTCTTCTACAAAGGAAAAAATTGGATTTATATATATAAGGTTACTGCATAATGATTTCATTTTGATAATGTGCAGAATGGCCTCATAAGCTCACAGAAAGTAAAAAAAAAAAAAAAAAAAAAGAAAAAATCAGGATTCCACTGTTTTAAAAGAAATCTCAGTTTTTATTTTGGAATATAAAATGTGTATTTGGTATATGTGACCAATTTTCTATCCCAAAAAACACCCATTCTTAGTAATGTCATGAATTAAACACCCTTCTAAACCAAAAAAAAAAAAAAAAACGGTAACTTGCTTTTTATGTTTGTGTTTTTAATTTATGCCCAATACATGCTTTACTGACTCAGAGGAACAATTCCTGGACATATAATTGGGTAATGCAAATTTTTATCCACTGGTCATGATTTGTCTTAAAATGTTTACTTGCCTCCCTAAAATATTTTGGCTGTGTAGGTTTGGTGTTTGTCCTAGAGGATTCTTCAACAGAAAGTGATTTATTCTTTACTGTTTTGTGAGGTAATATGGTTTAGAACATATGTATAAGCTAAAAACAGTATTTTACTCAGATCAGTAGTTATCGTGTCTATCAGCTATAAAAAAAATCAACTGCCAGCCAAGAACTTTAAAACTTTAAGCTGTGTATTATAGAACCGTTTTGTGTAGCATTGGAATATTGTCCATTTTGTAAGTCATTGTGAATGTTCTTAATTATCAGCTTGAAGGTATTTTTGTATTAAAAGTTGACATTGAAGAACCTAAGTGGATGATGGGATTTGGGGCCAGTAGTGAAAGTATGTTTCCTCTAAAATATTTCCCTAAACAGTGGTATACATGGTTATTTTATTATGAGATTTGTATATGTTCTGTGTTTCTCTGTGAACAATGTTTCAGTCTCTCTGTCACCATATGTAAGGGGAAGTCCACAAATATAGACTACATTGCACAAAACTAAAATTGTTAATTACAAGAAAATATAGGTGCTTACCTTTTGAAGGTTTATTAATACATATGGTTGTCACAATACGTATATATGATAAATGGTGTACATATACAGATGTTTATGGTGTATAAATTTTTCTATACCCAATTAGAATTATCTTCCTGATTCTTTATTCAATAACATGCTAATTCCTCTTCTATGTTCTATAGTGACAGAATGCTAACTTTTCTTATACCCTGGCAGAGGACAGAGGAGTCTGGTCTAGGATGGGGAACTGAATTTTTGAACGAAAAGGAAAGAGAAAGGATGAAAAAACAAACAAACAAAAAAACACACGATAATGTTTCTTAGTCATTTTGATTGGCCATTTGAACAGTCTACAAGTTTAACGTTATTTCCAGTGAAGTAGGATGGCTGACCTAGCAATACATGTTTCTTCAAAAGGGTAAACATGCTTTAGTGACCTAAAGCTAAATTTTGTACATTTGACATCAGGGATGTTATAAGTACTGCACTTAATACAAAGCTATTTCTCAATTGTGTTATTTTTGAGACAAATTTTTCTTCACCATTAACTTCTTGTTGGTAGCTTTTTGTTTTGTAAAAATTGAGAGATGGCAATGCTTATCTCAACCAGATTATCCATCTGCAGAATTAAGGTATGCAACTGGTAAATAAAAGACAAATGCTCCAGTTTGTCTTTCTCAACCTTTGAGTTCTTAACCTTTGAGTTAAAACCTAGTCTAAATAGTGGGAATGTCTTGGTTTACAGTAAGGTTTTCTTGGGAAGGATCTTGGTTTTGTGATCTATTTGTGAATTAAGGAGTAGATGTTAACCATTATTTTATAGATAAGTGATTTGTACATGGTTAGTTATAAATAAAACTGGTACTAGAACCCAGGTTTCCTGACTTTCTAATTCAATGGTTCTGCTAAATGTACAAAATTCTTGCTGTGCAGTGAACTAGCAGTGTTGAAATATCTTCATGACAAGAACCCTTTTCTAAGTTTTCCAATTAATCAGCACATCGTTTAGCAAATGCTTTCTATAATGTCATTTGTAGGACTGCCATTGGTAAGATTTAGTTTTATTTCATGTTTTTAAATTCAACAGTAAGTAATACTGGTGTTTTCAAAAAGGTAAAATAGAAGACTAATTTAGCAAATAACTTGTTTAAATTTAGTTTTAGGATTAAGTTATAATAGCCCCTCATATCTCCTCTAGTTGAGCAGTGTTGTTCTGTTTTGGTGCCTGGATCTTAATAGAGAATATGATGAAAACTTTTGACCCATTCTTCAGGAAAATTCATATGTTCATAATTTCATAATTTTAAGGGTATAATGACATTTCTGAAGTTCATCCACACACCCAGGGTAAAAACTCTTGTGACAAGGTCTCAAGAACATATCTACAAAAAGAAATTTGCATTTTTCACAAGACACATAGCTCAAATGTTTGTAGGGTGAAAGAGTAATTCCCAAAATAGGGCGAAAGAAATAATATACGTCCAGGCGTGGTGGCTCACGCCTGTAATCCCAGCACTTTGGGAGGCCAAGGTGGGCAGATCACGAGGTCAAGAGATCAAGACCATCCTGGCCAACATGGTGAAACCCCGTCTCTACTAAAAATACAAAAATTAGCAGGGCATGGTGGCGTGCGCCCATAGTCCCAGCTACTCGGGAGGCTAAGGCAGGAGAATCGCTTGAACCCGGGAGGCAGAGGTTGCAGTGAGCCGAGATCGTGCCACTGCACTCCAGCCTGGCGACAGAGCGAGACTCCATCTCCAAAAAAAAAAACAAAAAAAACACAAATAAAAAAAGAAATAATATACATTCACCATCAGAAAGAAATGTGAAAAATTAGTACCTCAGAATGAAGGCAAAGTTGACATTTCTGAAATTCTAATTTCCTCATGATGAGTAATGCAAGAATGAGTAACGAAATGTAAACTATTCAAAGGATAAAGTGCACTAGTGTATATGAAAGCTTTGAAACTTACGTGTTATACAAATGTAAGTGATAACGATTATTGTCCAAGAAGGCTATGTATATATTAGGATTTAAAGCAAAATACGTGGTTCAGATGTTTCAAACTACTGGCACCATGGCTCATTACTAGAAATATATCTTAGTAGCAAAAGTTCATTGTCTCTTCATAAATAGGAAAACAAATGGTTGGAAAAGTGCATCTACCTGAAAGGGATCTATAGTAAATGTAGTCAAAAAATATAATCAATTTTTTAAACCCTGCTCATTAAACCAGGAACCAGTGCTTTGCCTGATGTTATTTTTACCAATTTGTGCTGAAGTGAAAAACTATAAAACACAATGAATGAGCTGTAAGATAAAAATTATTCTATTTGTTTTATTGTTCATAAATTGGAAATGTAAAAATGTTTCAGCCTTATATCAGTCCCCTAAACACTAAAAGAAAATTGACTGGTCTTTGAAATCCAAAAATCTGATCACCAGAATGTAAATATCCTTTCATCAAATCTCTACTTCCCATATCTATTTGAAACTTCAACACTGTTTCATCTTTACAACTAATTTTAAAAGAATATTTGTTACAGCAAATATAATAAAGCAGAAAGTATTAGGAGGCAAAATTATAGAAAAGGTGACTAGCAATCCCAAGAGAATTAATTGATAATCTATTTGAGAACCATAGAGTTGATTAGATACAAGACAGTTTTTAAATGAAAAATAACAACAAAAAGGTACCATTCAGAGAAGTTGCCAAATTTTAGAGGAGTACCTTATAGGCAATAGGTTTTATGCCCTTTTCTTAACTCTGGGCTATTTTGTCACCTAGACCTTTGCCAACAGCTTCTGTTTCTCACTTTACCCTTGTGGATTCAACATGGTCCAAGGCACAGGGCAGGCAGGGAACAGATATTGTTGCATATTATTCCTCCATATCTGAGACATTTTCTCCTACTCTGTGGGGAGTCTCTCCAATGGAGAGATGGGGTTTCACCGTGTTAGCCAGGCTGGTCTCGAACTCCTAACCTCGTAATCCATCCACCTTGGCCTCCCAAAGTGCTGGGATTACAGGTGTGAGCCACCGCACCCAGCCAGACCCACCATATTTTAAGAATATTCTTTTAGGGACAAATTATTCGTTAATTTTGGGGAACCTAGCAAATAGCAATGGTTCTCACCTCAAGGCACAGCCTGATCCAGAGTGTCAATGTCTTCAAGGCTTTATTAGTACAGAGAATATGTCATAGGATGAGGTTTTCTCTCACTTTATACATTAGTTAGCACATAAGTTGGTTGTATGCAAGAGAGACCTTATAGATCTTTAAAAGGATTTCTCATATAACAGTCCAATCTTTTATGTGGATCCTGAGCTACAAAGTTATCTGAGACCCAGGCTTGTTGTCTTCCTGTTCTACTGCCCTTGGGGTGTTACCCTGTTTCACATGGTCCAAGGTGGTTCACCCTCATGTCCATATTCCAGCCATCAGGATGGGATGTTGGAAGGGCATGACCCTGTTCTGTAAGGGAAATTGTACATATCACTTCTGGTCACATGACATTGGCCAAATCTTAACTACATGGCCACACCTAGCTGCAAGGAAAAGGTAGTCTTTATTCTGTCAACATGTATCCAGTTAAAATTCAGTGGTTCCTTCTTGAAGAACGCTGAGAAAGAACATTGGGATACAAACAGCAATCTCTACTACATCATCTGTCAGGCTAGATTTTTATCACCTGACAGCTAAAATGACTGCCAGGAGTCCCAAGAACTGCAGTGTACCAACTTAGAAACCCCATTGGTATGCTTCTCTCTTTATATTAGTAATTTAGATAGTAATAACTTTTTTAAAAATCCAGTGGAAAGTGGCAATATTTTATGTATTCTCTGGCAGAAAATTCCCTGTGGGTTCTAGGACTCTGATCGCTTGTAAGAGATAAAGTTGGGAAATGTTGAGGAAAACCAATAGGTAAGCAAATAACCTCAATAAAGGTTATAGTTCCTATTGTGGCAGATTCTACAGAGACTGCAGAGTTGCAAAGGTGGGAATGTTCAGAGTACAGCATGTATTTTGATGTAACCTGATCCTAGGATGGAAGGGGAAGCTTGGCATAAGAACAAGCTGGAAAAGTTGGTAGGCATCAGCTCTTGAAGGTCTTATATGCCGTCAAGGAGTTTGGACTTTTTGATTTTTTTTGCATACAATGTGAATTCATTGAGAATTTTAAAATAGGGATTTGACAAAATCGGATTTGTTTTATTGAGACCCTTCTGGATGTACTGACAGTGCAAGATTGTGGCAGCAAGAAGAACATTTAAAGGGATGTGTTGTTGTAGTCCAGACAGTGACATAATGTGGTTCTCAACAGGGGGAGTAGTTATGGAATTGATGAGGAAGGAACAGATAAGTCAGTTAAATTGATCTGGACCTAAAATTGTATGTTTGGAGATGAGGGAGCTGTAGGGAGTATGACTAAAGTGATTTCCCGTTTCTTGCTTGGATGTTGTGTTAGAGTACAGGCCAAACTTCCATATCAAAGAGGCCCTGGAATGTAAGGTAGAAACCATTTTGTATATACATTCAGTCCAGAAGTGAACAGCCAGGCATTGCAGACTAGTTCTGCCCCATGGGGTTGTTCACAGGCCCAGGTTCTTTTATCGTTTATCCTCCCAACCCCCAGTGAGTTGTCTGTCCTCATGAGCAAAGCACATTCACCAGAATTGTATCTGTGTTTTCAGCCTGTGAAAAAGGGGAAAGAGGAAATGGAAGGCAAAAAATCTTTTCATTTTAAAGGACGTTTACATCACTTTTGCCATTTTTTTTATTGGGGAGAACTTAATCATATCACCATGCCCAGTTGCAAGATGAACTGGGAAATATTGTCACTAAATGGATGTGCCTTGCTAAAACTCACGGAGCTCTATTAATAAATAGTGTTAATAAATGAATATATTTTAATATAAACATGTTCGGTTTTCTGTATTCAGATTCAGGTGGTTCACAATGTCATGCAGGCATTATTGTTATCATGGTCATTTCAGATATCCCTACAATTATCCTTCCACAATAAATTCACAGCCAAAAGTTAAATTTCATATCATGCTGAATAATGATTTTTTAATAAACAAATGGGCCCCTGCATACCTTTAACACAGAGAGACACAAACTTGCCTCATATTTTTGCTATTAGGTCTAGTATTCCTAGGAGTGGCAGAAATTAAGCCTCCAAGGTGCCCAGGGTTCTCTCCCTTAATCCCTAAACTTTTTCCAATCCCCTTGCCTTCTCCTCTGGGAACTTACTGGCTTAGCCTTCTCACTTATCCCATATCCCAAAAGCTCTATTACTAAAAGGAAGGAGAATGGATGAGGGCACAATTAGCAATCTCCATCACAGTTGACTAAATGGATGGTGCTGCTGTTTAATGGATTTGGGAACACGGGAGTCTTGATTTGGAGACATTAGTAGATGTATTTGGTGTCCCATATCACAGGCCTTTGGCCCACCTCTGATTAAGCTACAGCTATGGCAGAAGGGAAAGGTTGATATAGATGGAGATGAATTTCTGGGTATGGCTTTGGACATCAGGTAGCTTATACCTCTAATGTTTTCTTTCTTTGAATTAGAATGCAAGAATTTCTGCTGAAAGGGGACCCCCATGGGCAAGGGTGCTTGAAGAGAGGGTGAACCTACTAACTGGTAAGCTTCCTGAGATCAGGGGATAAGGTTTATTTCATCTTTATAGCCCTCATAACACTAATCAAAGAGCCTTGAACACAGTTGAAAAAACATTTAATATTGGAAGTGTTACTGTAAAATAGAACCGCTCATATTCTAGATCTTAACAATGTAAGATATATATAATATAAATTTATGTTTTTACATAATCCTTTAGTGGCCTGAATTTCTGTATATTGTTCTTCATCATAAGTTGATTCTTAATTTTTTGTCAGTTAGAATCATGAATATTAGAGCCCAATTTTCTTTTTTTATTTTTTAATTGAGACAGGGTCTCACTCTGTTGCCCAGGCTGGTGTCTAGTGGTGTGATCACAGCTCACTGAAGCCTCAACCTCCCTGGTAGAGCCCAGTTTTCTTATATAAACCCAAGGAACTTTAAATAATTTACCAAGGCTTGTACTGCTAGTTATTCATAAAACTGGAATTAGAACTGTGTTTCCTATCTCTTAAAGCACTTTCTAGTACACACTCTTGCCTGCTGAATAGCACTACCTCAAACAGGACTCAGAAAGTAAAATCACTATTGTTCTTTTTTTTTTTTTGTATTTTTTGTAGAGACAGGATTTTACCATGTTGCTCAGGCTGGTCTTGAACTCCTAAGCTCAAGGGATCAGCCTGCCTTGGCCTCCCAAAGTGCTGGGATTACAGGTGTGAGCCACCACACCTGGACTATTGCTCTGCTTGAGATTTATTTGGTCCTCCAGTCTAGTCCTGATGCACCTTAGGGCACGTGGTCTGGAATTTCTGACTCTTTACTCAGAACTCTGAATCAAGAGACGGCCCAACTAAAAGTCATCTTAGAACAATGGAGAAGGAGTGTGAAAAATTGGCTTTAACTGAAAACAAAACCCAATCAAACCCTTCAGTGATGATAAGTTTTAAAGTATTAAAACACAGTATTATTTTTAGTGTTATATTATGCTTATATTTTAGTATTCTATTTAGTATTTATATTTTTTTGTATTTTATTTTGACCATGTCAGTTCAGATAATCTCAATGAGAGCATTTAGCTAATTTAATAAATATTAAATTATTTTTATATTTAAATTCACAGTTATGATATAATTATATCAAGGTAATAATAAGATGTACCTTCCCAAATACTACCTATGTTCTGTGTATTCCCTGAATAAGAATTGAATGAATGCTTAAGGAGCAATAAAATCATTTCTAAATCTAAACAATTTGCACAGTATTACAGTAAAAATTTAAAGATATCACATCATATTTATTTCAAAATGCAATCTAAACTTTTCAAAAGCCTTTGTGCGTTTACTATCATGAGATATTTAATTATACCTGGAATCAACCTTAAAGTTACCATGCTGATAATAATGCTTGAGATATCTGAAATACCAAGGACTCTTAATAGCTGTGTATCCAGTTCACAATGTTCTAAGAACTTTGTGTCTTTTTCTCATGTCAGCTCTGTTTGTTAATGTTAAAGAAGGGAGAAATGTTGGGAGGCCAAGGTGGGTGGATTGCCTGGGGTCAGGAGTTCGAGACCAGCCTGGGCAACACAATGAAACCCCATCTCCACTAAAATACAAAAAATTAGCCGGGTGTGGTGGTGTGCGCCTGTAGTCCTTGCTACTCGGGAGGCTGAGACAGGAGAATTGCTTGAACCGGGGAGGAGGAGGTTGCAGTGAGCCAAGATCACGCCACTGCACTCCAGCCTGGGCGATAGAGTGAGACTCCATCTCCAAAAAAAAAAAAGAAGGGAGAAATGACAGAAAACTAGAATCAGCCAACTGTACAACTTGTCAGGAAACCTAGAAGATTTGGAGAAAGGGGAGGCATACCCTAGTGTTTAAAATGAGATCTGTGGAGGTGGGGCTTTAACGGATTTCACATCTTTTTGATGAAGACATACTAATAATATATCTAAAACAAGAATTCCTCTAAATATGTAAAGTCCTCAAATCTTACCATATATAAAACATTTTATCAACATAGAAGGGTTCCATTTTGCCTTGAAAGTAAATATGACAAAATTAAGTTGAAGTCTTTGGAATAATAGGATGCTGGGGACACATTTTATGAGTGGTACCTTGAAATTTCTTCAGATTAGATATTAGACACCAGAATATGCCATTTTTAGGCTGAGCATGGTGGCTTATGCCTGTAATCCCAGCACTTTGGGAGGCCTAGGCAGGATTGCTTGAGGCCAGGCATTCACGATAAGCCTCAGCAACATAGTGAGACCCTGCCTCTACAAAATAAAAATTAAAAAAAAAAAATTAGGTGTGGTTGTGCATGCCTGTTGTCCTAGCTACTTGGGAGGCTGAGGAGAGATGATCACTTGAGCCCATGAGTTTGAGGCTGCAATGAGCTATGATCACGCCATTGCATTCCCGCCTGAGTGACAGAGTGAGACCCTGTCTCTAAAAAATATATATATATGTATATATACATATATATATTTATGAATGTTTTTTAGTTATATGAGGGATAAGAAATATACCATATTCAGTTTTAACTCAGTTCTAGCATGTTCCAAGCATCTTGGTGGAGCTTTGTCTTGTTTAGCTTATTACAGAATCATTCATGCCTATACTTGTTGAAACACCTATGATTCTGCAATTCTATTTTAAATGAATCACATATATGAATGTTTTAGGAAGGGGTACCTCACAAAAGTTAGGCTACAGAGCATTTTCTGTGCCTGAATCATTTTTGCAGTGGTATATGGAGTAATGTACTTATCTGCCCTTCTATTGAAGCCCACCTCATTAGCCATAATCATCTATTCAGAACTTAGTTGCTCACTCAGTTCTTGTGCTATCTTAATCAGGGAATCCTAGTATTAATATATTCAATATATATTTACAGTATCATTTTGTGTTTATAAAAACCTCAAAACAGCTGCCAGAGAATATTTTGAATTGCTTCTCTCAATTATGTAATATAATTTTCCTTATATAATTTCTATTATGAGCTATGATACTCCTTTTTGTTTTACAAACAAAAATTTGAGATTATTGTAAATTCACATGCAGTTGTGAGAAATAATACAGAGAGATCCTGTATATCCTTCACTTGTTTTTCCCAATGGTAACACTTTGCACAACTATAGTAAAATATCACAACCAAGAAAATGACATTGATACAAATCATTAAAATTCACATTTTACCACTTTTACATGCATGCGTTTGGTGTGTGTATATTTAAATCTATGAAGTTTATTAACATGTAGATTCATGAGAACATCAACACAGTCAAGATATAAAATAGTTCTATTACAAATATCCTTTGTGCCATGCTTTTTTTTTTTTTTTTTTTTTTTTTTTTAAGACAGAGTTTTGCTCTTGTTGCCCAGGCTGGAGTGCAATGGGGCGATCTCGGCTCACCACAACCTCCACCTCCCAGGTTCAAGTGATTCTCCTTGCCTCAGCCTCCCAAGTAGCTGGGATCACAGGCATGCTCCACCACGCCCAGCTAATTTTGTATTTTCAGTAGAGACAGAGTTTCTCCGTGTTGGTCAGGCTGGTCTCGAACTTCCGACCTCAGGTGATCCGCCCACCTTGGCCTCCCAAAGTGCTGGGATTATAGGCGTGAGCCACTGTGCCCAGCCAGTGCCTTGCTTTTATAGCCACAGGCTTTTCCCTCCTCATCTCCCTAGTCAACCCCTAATCTGTAATTCATCTCTGTAATTTTGTCATTTTAAATTTGTTATATAGGGTGGGCATGGTGACTTATGCCTGTAATCCCAGTGCTTTGGAAGGTTGAGGCAGCAGGATCATGTGTGGTCAGGAGTTTCAAACCAGCCTGGGCAACATAGCAAGACCACATCTCTACAAAAAAATTTTTTAATTAGCCAGGTGTGGTGGCTGTAATTCTAGCTACTCGGGAGGTCGAGACAGAAGGATCACTTGAGCCCAGGAGTTTGAGGTTACAGTGAGCTATGACTGTGCTGCTGCACTGCAGCCTGGGCGACAGAGCAAGACCCTATCTCAAAGAAAAAAAAGTTATATAAATGGAATCATACTGTATTTAATCTTTTGAGATCATGTTTTCACTCAGCATAATTCTCTTGAGATTTATCCAAGTTATCGTGTATATCAGTAGACATTCCAAATGGTACAGTAATGTCACACCGAGAATCTGCTCCTCCATAAAAGCAATGAGGACATTAGCAAAAGCTGTTGACATAAACTTATTAGAATTGTGGAAATTAACAAAAGCTTGCCACATTCCAAGGAATGTTTACCTAAGAAAAACAGCTGAATCTCAGTAAGAACGGAAAGCCTATAGTGTTTTAACTTGCTCTAATCCTATACACCTCTCCCCAGTTCCATGGAAGCCTTGAAACTCAATAGCTTCACATTTATAGTAGTTGTGGAAAGTAGAGCTTAGCAGCCACTGGAGAGAAAAGAACAGATTTGAAGCCCAAAAAGGCTCATTCCCAGAGAATTAACCACGAGTTGACCTAACAGCTCACTGAAAATCTCCATAATCAGGACTTCTTTTAATTCGACCTATTTCAGAGTACACTCTGTATACAGCTTGATGTACAGGGCATTTATTTCTTAAAAAACAATCAGTAGTTCAACAAAAGAAATTAGACTTAACCAAAATGAAACTTTTGTGCTTCAAATCATAACATCAACATACATAATGTGAGTGAAAAAAAAGTAAAAAAACAACTCACACACCGGGAGAAAATATTTGCAAATCATATATCTGATAAGGGACATGTGTCTAGAATATGTAAAGAACTGATACAATTCAACAATAAAAAGACAAATAACCCAACTGAAAAATTGAGAAAAGATTTGAACAGACATTGCTTCAAACAAGATAGACAAATGACCAACAAGCACATGAAAAGATACTCAACACATTAGGGAAATACAAATGAAACCACAAGGAAATACCACTTTACACCTACTTGGATGGCTATAATAAAAAGCAAAAGCAGATCCTTTTGTAGTTTATAAGCGTGATGACTGGGGTTTCACGTGCATGTGTGAAATGTGCCTTCCCCAAGCCTTGTTATGACCTCATTGGAACATTACCCCTTTGACATGAAAATTCAAAAAAAGACAAAAGCAAGGATGGCAAGGATGTGGAAAAACTGAAATCCTCATACCTGCTGGTAGGAGTGTAAAATGGTACAATGGCTTTGGAAAACAGTTTTCTGTTCCTCAGAAAGTTAACAGAGATACCATATGACTCAGCAATTCCACTCCTAGGTACATAACCAAGAGAACTGGAAACATATGTACAGAAAAAACTGGTACACTAATGTTCATAGCAGCATTATTCATAACCGACAAAAAGGAGGAAAAACCCGAATGCTCATCAACTGACAAATAGATGAGCAAAAGGTCAATATCAGTGCAATGGAATCTTATTTATCCATAAAAAAATAGAGTTCTGATGCATGCTATAACAGAGATGACTCTTGAGCATATTAAGCTAAAGAAGCCAGAAACAGAAGGAAACATATTGTGTGATTCCATTTATATGAGAGATTCAGAATCAGCAAATCCATAGAGACAGAGAATAGATTAAGGATTGCTTAGGTCTGGGGCGTGAACATATGGACAATAAGGTGGAAATGGGGAGTAATGCTAATAGATATGGTAATGCTAATAGATATGGAGATTCTTTTGGGAGTAATGACAGTGTTTTGGAATTACTGGTGATTTTTGCACAATTATCTAAGTAGTGTTTGTATTGTCAGTGTTCTAAAAACAACTGAACTTTAAACTTTAAAAAGATGAACTTTATGGTATGTGAATTATATCTCAATAAAGCTTTTATTCTTAAAAAAAAGTTCATTTCCTTTTTATTGCCAGAGTATTCCATGGTATGTATATAACACAGTTTGTTTAATCATTCATCCACTGAAGGACATTTGGTTTTATTTGCTTGTTTCCAGTTTTTGGCTATTATGAGTAAAGCTGAAATAAAACAATACTTTTTTTTTTTTCTGTCACCCAGGCTGGAGTGCAGTGACGCAATCTCGGCTCACTGCAACCTCTGCCTCCTGGGTTAAAGCGATTGCCCCGCCTCAGCCCCCCGAGTAGCTGGGACTACAGTCATGTGCCACCACGCTCGACTAATTTTTGTATTTTTAGTAGAGATGGGGTTTCACCATGTTGGCCAGGCTGGTCTCGGACTCTTGACCTCAGGTGATCCACTTGCCTTGGCCTCCCGGCCTCCCAAAGTGTTGGGATTATAGGTGTGAGCCACCGCGCCTGGCCCAAAACAATACTGTTTTAAAACACACAAATAACTCTTATTTTAATGTTGAATCCTCCTAATTCAAGAATTCTGGGAATTTACGTGTTAAACCCTTCTAGTAAAAAATGATCATGCTTCAGTTAGCAGTTTCTTCCCTTAAATTATTTTTACTAATAAAGACTGTAAGACTCCATTCTTTTTTTCCTTCACTTTACTAGAGCTCATATAGCCTTAAAGGCAAGATTTATGATATGACCAGGTGCTTCTCCATGTCCCATACTGGAGCAACCCTTCTCTGCTTGTCCAGTATCAGAGAACAATGCTTTCTCTACCAAAGGGCCTTAAACATGCTGAAATTATTCCATTTATCTTTTTTTTTAAACTGTTTATTATCGGTCTTCTCCATTAGATTGTTCACTCCATCACAGGAGGGACCACGTCTATTTCACCAGTTCCTAGCATAGTGCCAGGCATGGAGTCAGTGCTCATGAAAGAAATAAATGAATGTATTTGGTTCTTGTTTGAATTCATATGACAAACGCTTGCATCTGTAGCTCTCGTCATTTAGTGAGTTCTCCAGCTTTCAGGGAGAGGTGTTATTACACCATTGTTTTTCTGGTTGTTATAGCAACCCACTGGCCTCTAAAACTACAAGTTAATTCTGATGCGCTCATTTTCCCAGACAACGAAACAATACTTTCAATTATGAAATAATGTTATTATAAATCATGTTTCTCACACTATAGAGGGACGCTGAGAGGTTTTCTTATCTTTTATGAAGATAGCAGAGAGTCAGCAAAGCAACAAATCTATTTGAACCAATAAATGCTAGGAAACAAAACCGAAGCAGTAAGACACACATATTCACTCCCAACTCTTTTTTATTTCTTTCAAATTCTCTAACCTTTCCACAAGCATCTGTAAATTCGACTGGGTTTGTCTGTCCAAGTTGTTAGGGAAGTTTTGAAAGGTGATTGTTGCAAAACAAAGAACTCTGAAGAGCTCTGTTACAGTCTAAGTATTTCCTCATTGCTGGTTGCTTAAATTTCATGTCAAATTAGCAAATGATAATAGTACAAAAATTGAGAGTTCTACAGAAAAGGTCCAGTATAAGGTACTTTCCAAACTTTTCCCACCTCCCATCCCCTCACATTGTAGGTACAGAAACAGAGAAGAGTTTTATCCAACTGGATTAGTCATTCTAAGGGTTACTTCTATATTACACTGCATTTTCTCTTCTGTAGGTTTTGGTCACAAGCACTACTAAGAGTCACGTTCCTGGCCAGGCGTGGTGGGTCACACCTGTAATCCCAACACTTTGGGAGGCTGAGGCGGGTGGATCACGAGGTCAGGAGTTCAAGACCAGCCTGGCCAAGATGGTGGAACCCTGTCTCTACTAAAAATACAAAAATTAGCCAGGCATGGTGGCAGGTGCCTGTAATCCCAGCTACTCTGTAGGCTGAGGCAGAAAAGTGCTTGAACCCGGGAGGTGGAAGTTGCAGTGAGCCGAGATCATGCCACTCCATTCCAGCCTGGGTGACAGGGCAAGACTCCATCTCAAAAAAAAGAGTCATATTCCATGGCCTATCTTGGAATATGCCAGCTCCAAGATATATCCTATAATAAATATTTCACTACACCTTCCCCTATGCAGTTCTGAATGCTTTTCTCATAAACAGGGTTGTGATACCCACCAGTTAACAGTCCCATAACCTTATGGTTATGGCTTTGACATTATAATGGCTTTGACGTTATAAAAGCAGTATCTACTTCAATACATTCAGCCATCTTCACAAATATACAGTGGGGATACTGTCAAGAGAACAATAAGGAAGGGCATTATAGAGTGCAGTGTCAATACTGCAGATTTTCAGATGGGCATGGTGGTGTGCATCCATAATTCCAGCTACTCAAGAGGCTGAGGTGGGAGGATCACATGAGCCCAGAAGTTCAAGTCCAGTCTGGGCAACATAGCGAGACCCTGTCTCTAAAAATAAGACTGAAGATTTTGCTGTCATAACTCCTGCTGCATTTTGATTTAAGTATTTGTAAGAACTTCATTTTAATCTTATAAAAGTCTCCAAGCTTATTTATGTATGTATGTATTTTTGCTTATTGTGAACCTGTCTTTGGACTTTTCTATTCTTTTAAATAAACACTGAATAATATACAACCCTAAGTCATATATCAAACCTTTGAGACAGTTAAACTTAGATATCTGCCTACTGTTAAAAATTGAAAATGAAAAAAATATTGATGATGACCGAATGAAATAGAAGATTTGCCAGGGGAGAATCAGGTGTCCAGCCACACAGGTCTGGTAACAATTTCTTGGTAGAGTGACCATGTTCCAGGTTTATTTCTCTGCTTTAGAAGTTTAGATATTCAGGTATTGCTACCCTTGATGTGATGGGGTTTGGGTACGGAATCAGGTTAACCTGTTGCGGGAAGTCAGGGACCCCGAATGGAGGGACAGGCTGAAGCCATGGCAGAAGAACATAAATTGTGAAGATTTCATGGACATTTATTAGTTCCCCAAATTAATACTTTTATAATTTCTTATGCCTGTCTTTACTGCAATATCTGAACATAAATTGTGAAGATTTCATAGACATTTATCACTTCCCTAATCAATACTCTTATGATTTCCTATGCCTGTCTTTTATCTCTTAATCCTGTCATTTTTGTAAGCTGAGGATGTATGTCGCCTCAGGACCCTGTGATGATTGCGTTAACTGCACAAATTGTTCGTAAAGCATGTGTGTTTAAACAATATGAAATCTGGGCACCTTGAAAAAAGAACAGGATAACAGTGATGTTCAGGGAACAAGGGAGATAACCATTAGGTCTGACGGCCTGAGAGCTGGGTGGAACAGAGCCATATTTCTCTTCTTACAAAAGCAAATAGGAGAAATATCGCTGAATTCTTTTTCTCAGCAAGGAACAGCCCTGAGAAAGAGAATGCATTCCCAGGGGTAGGTCTCTAAAATGGCCACTCTGGGAGTGTCTGTCTTAGACGGTTGCAGATAAGGGATGAAATAAGCCCCGGTCTCCCGTAGCACTCCCAGGCCTATTAGGATGAGGAAATTCCTGCCTAGTAAATTTTAGTCAGACCGGTTTTCTGCTCTCAAACCCTGTCTCCTGGTAAGATGTTATCAATGACAATGCGTGCTCAAAACTTCATTAGCAATTTTAATTTTGCCCTGGTCCTGTGATCTCGCTCTGCCCCCATTTGCCTTGTGATATTTTATTGCCTTGTGAAGCATGTGATCTCTGTGACCCATACACTCCCTCCCCTTTGAAAATCACTAATAAAAACTTGCTGGTTTTGTGGCTTGAGGGGCATCACGGAACCTGCTGACATATGATGTCTCCCCCGGACACCCAGCTTTAAAATTTCTCTCTTTCGTACTCTTTCCCTTTATTTCTCAATCTGGCCAACACCTAGGGAAAACAGAAAAGAACTTACATTGAATTATCAGGGGCTGGTTCCCCCGATATTAACCAAATCAATAAGAATCAAATATACAAAAAATATGATACTGATATATTAATTTACAATTATAAAATATAACTTTCATATCAATTAGCTAGATACTGGTGATCCCTGATTAGCACATATTCTTGTGGCCTAATTTTCATGAGAGATGAATTACTGTCAGAAGCTTGCTTGGTGGACATGGACATAGAATTCACAGAGCAATTTGGATGATCTTAATGACCACTGTCAAGGTGGTGTGAGAAGCTGGTTCATTTGTCTTCACTGTAGGGGGAGACCCGAATGGACAGTTTTTCTGGACAGAGCCAGATCTAAAGGTCCATAATTGCATGGCCAAGTCTTTCCTAGGCTTCTGTGCTGGAGCTCCTCCTACCCTCCTCTGGTTGCTACATACTTTCTTGTACCCTTTTCTCCTTTGCATTATTTCTGTGGTTATATCATTTCTTCAATCAGATTAATATAAAGTGGAACCCATTTTTCCTTTTCAAGATTACATATCTCAGCTAGGCACAGTGGCTCATGCCTGCAATCCCAGCATTTTAGGAGCCCAAGGCAGGAGGATCACATGAGGGTAGGAGTGCAAGACCAGCCTAGGCAATACAGCAAGACCCCATGTCTATAACAAAACTTAAAATTAGCCGGGCATGGTGGTGCATGCCTGTAGTCCCAACTAGTCTGGAGGCTGAGGTGGAAGGATCTCTTGATCCCAGGAGGTAGAGATTACACTGAGCTATGATTCCATCACTGCATTCCAGTTTGGGCAACAGAGCAAGACCCTGTCTCTAGAAGAAAAAAAAAGATTACATATCTGCTCTGATTTGTATTTATTTTCTTTGGAAATGAATTTTTTAAAGGCTGTCATACATATTCCAATGTTTAATTTTGTGTGTATTTGGTGGGGATCTGCATGTGCCTCTGGCCTCCATGTACTACTGTGTCTTTATTTATTTATTTATTTTGAGACAGAGTTTCACTCTTGTTGCCCAGGCTGGTGTGCAGTGGCATGATCTCAGCTCACCGCAACGTCTGCCTCCTGGGTTCAAGCGATTCTCCTGCCTGAGCCTCCCGAGTAGCTGGGATTATAGGCATGCACCACCATGCCCGGCTAATTTTGTATTTTTAGTAGAGACAGGTTTTCTCCATGTTGGTCAGGCTGATCTCGAACTCCCGACCTCAGGTGATCCTCTCACCTTGGCCTCCCAAAGTGCTGGGATTATAGGCGTGAGCCACCATGCCCAGCCCTACTGTGTCTTTAAACTGTCAGCATATCATTAACTATGTATCACTGGTGTGGACGTCTAAGTATTGTTCATTTTTATGAAATGACAATGTGCAGAGAGCACAGAAAAGACATTTATGATGTGTTTATGATGAATTTCATAGATTTGAGGATGATCAACTATGTTATTTTTATTATAAATGTAATGAAATATTGAACATAATTTCTACTATAATATCATATATTACTTTCCAAATTTCATTTTGCTCAGTATTTCTCAAAGGCTCTTAAGTTTCACATGAGGATATTTTATTCAAAAAAGAACTCAAGGAAAACAGATATGTGAGCCATTGCACCAAGTCGAACAATTCAGTAATGGATTCTGTCCTATACTTCTCATGCTTGGAACATGTAATTATTGAATGATTAACTAATATGCTCAGTTCTATATTAAATGGAAATCCTAAAACACACTGTTGGTAGAAAAGTGTAAACCAAAAATTATTATTTTTGTAGAAATGCAGTAATTGTGCAAATCTCAGCAAAATATATTTTCAGAGATCTTAGTTTCATTAAAATAATGTAAGATAGCACATAATACAATGTTTAGCATAAACTAGATGATCAAAAAATATTACTGTCTCCTAATATTACAAAGAAAATGTCCAACATATAATATAAAGTATCAGTCATACCAAGAACCAAGAAAGTCACAACTTGAATGAGAAAAAGGCAATCAACTGATACCAATACAGATGAATCAGGTATTGGAATTATTTGGCAAGCACTTCAAAACAGCCTTCATAAAAATGCTTTAATAGCCTATTAAAAATTCTCTAAAAACGATGGGAAAAAAAGCGAAAAATCTCAGCAAATAAATTGAAATAATAAAAAAGAACTAAGTGGAACCTATAACGCTGAAAAATAGAGCTGGGTGTGGTGGCATGCACCTGTGTCCTAGCTATTCAGGAGGCTGATGCAGGAGGATCATTTTAACCCAGGAGTTTGAAGCTGTAGTGTACTATAATCATGCCTGTGAATAGCCACTACACTCCAGCCTGGGCAACATAGTGAGACCTCATCTCTAAAACAAAACCAAAACCAAAAGATAAACTAACAGAAATAAAACAGCAATAGTAGAATGGACAAAACAGAGGATAGCATCAGAGTCTTTCAGGACAATCAGTGGAATTCACTCAAATTGAACAACAGAGAGAAAAACAGGAAAAAATGAACAGAGGCTCAGAGACTTGTAGGATAATAACAAAATAGCCAACATTTGCATCACCAAAGTTCCATGAGAGTGGTGGTGGAAGAGAGTGAAACTGAAGGAGTACTTGAAAAAATAATTGCTGAAACTTCCCAAATTTGTTGAAAAACAGAAAACTACAGATTCAAGAATCTGAGCAAATCCCAACAGGTTAAGCCCAAAGAAATCCATTCCAAGACACATCAAAATTAACTTCTTTGCCAGGAGCAGTGGCTCACGCCTGTAATCCCAACACTTTGGGAGGCCAAGGCGGGCAGATCACGAGGTCAGGAGATCAAGACCATCCTGGCTAACATGGTGAAACCCCGTCTCTACTAAAAATACAAAAAATTAGCCGGGCATGGGTGGCGGGCACCTGTAGTCCCAGCTACTTGGGAGGCTGAGGCAGGAGAATGGTATGAACCCAGGAGGCGGAGCTTGCAGTGGAGCCGAGATCCCGCCACCACATTCCAGCCTTGGTGACAGAGCAAGACTCCATCTCAAAAAAAAAAAAAAAAAAAAAAAAAATTACTTCTTAAAAACTAAGTGCAAATTTAATCAGTTAAACTTCTTAAAGAAAAGATCTTAAAAACCAAAGAAAAATGACACATTATCTATAGGGTAATATCTATTTGAATGACAATTTCTCATCTGAAACCATGGAGACCAGAAGGAAGTGGCACAGCTATTTTTTTTTTTTAAACAAAGTGGGTCTCACCCTGTCACCCAGGCTGGAGTGAAGTGGCTCAATCATGCCTCACTGCAGCCTCCAACTTCTGGGCTCAAGTGATCCTCCCACCTCAGCTTCCTGAGTAGCTGGGACTACAGGTGAGCACCACCATGCCCAACTAAGTTTCCCTCTCCCCCTCCCTGAGACGGGATCTTGCTATGTTGCACAGGCTGGCCTCAAACTCCTGGCCTTAAATGATTTTCCCACCTTGGACTGTGGAGTCACTGGGATTACAGGCCTGAGCCACCTCGTCCAGCTGGTACAGCATTTTTTAATTGCTAAAAGAAAATAACTTTCTACTGAAAAGTTCACATTTACCAAAATTATTCTCTAGGAATGAATTCTCAGATGAATGAAAAATAAAAGAATTTGTTGCTTGCAGACTTATCCTTAAAGATTGGCTACAGAAAGTTCTTTAAATAGAAAATAAATGATCAAATATCTCAGAGGATTAGGAAGGAAAAAGGAACAACAGAAAGAGCAGAAATACAAACATATACAAAAGCATGTTTTATAAATCATACAATGGTATGTTTCATAAACCATGAATTTTATAAATCATATTTGATTATTGAAACAAAAATTATAGGCCAGGCACGGTGGCTCACGCCTATAATCCCAGCACTTTGGGAGGCTGAGGCAGGTGGATTACCTGAGGTCAGGGTTCGAGACCAACTTGACCAACCTGGTGAAACCCCATCTCTACTAAAAAAATACAAAATTAGCCTGGCATGATGGCACATGCCTGTAATCCCAGCTACTTGGGGAGGCTGAAGCAGGAGAATTGCTTGAACCTGAGAGGCAGAGATTGCAGTGAGCTGAGATTGCACCACTGCACTCCAGCCTGTGCAACAAGAGCAAAACTCCGACTCAAAAAAAATAATGTATAGGAATTAGTCCGAGTGGAGCGAGCGAGTGAGCAAGCTGAGTGGCTGCGTGGTCACATCTCAGAAACTGGTAGCGCTTGCAGCATGGCTGACCAACTGACTGAAAGGCAGACTGCAGAATTCAAAGAAGCTTTTTCACTATTTAACAAAGATGGTGATGGAACTATAACAACAAGGAATCAGGAACTGTAATGAGGTCTCTTGGGCAGAATCCCACAGAAGCAGAGTTACAGGACATGATTAATGAAGTAGATGCTGATGGTAATGGCACAGTTGACTTCCCTGAATTTCTAACAATGATGGCAAGAAAAATGAAAGACACAGACAGTGAAGAAGAAATTAGAGATGCATTCTGTGTGTTTGATAAGGATGGCAATGGCTATATTAGTGCAACAGAACTTCACCATGTGATGACAAACCTTGGAGAGAATTTAACAGATGACGAGGTTGATGAAATGATCAGGTAACCACATATTGATGGTGATGGTCAAATGATCTATGAAGAGTTTGTACAAATGATGACAGCAAAGTGAACAACTTGTACAGAATGTGTTAAATTTCTTGTACAAAATTGTTTATTTGCCTTTTCTTTGTTTGTAACTTATCTGTAAAAGGTTTCTCCCTACTGTCTAAAAAATATGCATGGGGTGGGGCTCGGTGGCTCACGCCTGTAATCCCAGCACTTTGGGAGGCTGAGGTGGGCGGATCACGAGGTCAGGAGTTCGAGACCAGCCTGGCCAATATGGTGAAAGCCCATCTCTACTAAAAATACAAAAACTAGCCGGGCATGGTAGTGGGCACCTGTAGTCCCAGCTACTCAGGAGGCTGAGACAGGAGAATCGCTTGAACCCAGGAGGCGGAGGTTGCAATGAGCCGAGATCACACCACTGCACTCCAGCCTAGGAAACAGAGCAAGACTCCATCTCAAAAAAAAATTTAAAAATAGATAAATAAATAAATAAAAGCAAAAAAAAAAAACCTACTAGGGTAGAGATGACAGAGAGAGATAATACATGTTAATGAAAAATTCAATTGACAAGGAAAACTTAATGATCTCAAATGTGTATAAACCAAAAAACAGTCTTAAAATACATGAAGCAAAACTGATAGACTTAAAAGGAAAAACAGACAACTCCACAATTATTATTGGAAAATGCAACATGATCTTTCAGCAAGTGACAAAGCTACTGACAGTAAATTAGCGAGAATATAGAAGATCTGACTAATATAATCAACCAATCATGGAGTGACACATCACTCCACCCAATAAGCAGAGTACACTTTTTTTTCAATTGTTCATGGAAGATTCATCAAGATAGACCATGTCCTGAGCCATACAACAACTTCAACAAATGCAAAATAAATGAAAGTATACGTAGCATGTTTCCTGACAATATTGGAATCAAACAGATAATCAATAACGAAGACAACAGGAAACTCTCTAAACACAGAGAAATTGAACAACATAAATTTTAAATCATTGCTGGGACAAAGAGGAAAATCTCAAGTTAAAAATGAAACTTAAGGAATATGAAAATACAACATACCAAAACATGTTGGATACAGCTAAAGGATTTTTGAGAGCAAAACTGTAGCATTAAATGTTTACATTAAACATGAGAAAAGGACTCAAGTCAATCTAAGCTCCTACCATAAGGCACTAGAGAAAGCAGAGGAAAATAAACCCAAAGCAATCAAGAAGAAGGAGGTCAGGCTTGGTGGCTCACACCTATTATCCCAGCACTTAGGAAAGCCAAGGCAGGGAGGATCACTTGAGCCAGGATTTCAAGACCAGCTTGGGCAGCATAGCGAGACCTCATTTCTACAAAACATTTTAAAAATTAGGCATGGTGGTGTGTCCTGTAGTCCCAGCTACTCTGAGATAGGAGAACTGCTTGAGCCCAGGAGTTCAAGACTGCAGTGAGCTATGATCGCACCACTGCACTCCGGCCTGGGTGACAGAGTGAGAGTCTCTCTTTCTTAAAAAAAAGGAAGGAAATAATATAGAGATCAGAACAATAATTAATAAAATTAGAAATAAGAAATAGCAGAGAAGAAAATTTAATGAAGTAAAAGACGATTTCTTTCTTTTTTTTCTTTTCTTTTTTTTTTTTGAGACGGAGTCTCACTGTGTCGCCCAGACTGGAATGGAGTGGCACGATCTTGGCTCACTGCAAGCTCCGCCTCCCAGGGTCACACCATTCTCCTGCCTCAGCCTCCCGAGTAGCTGGGACTACAGGCGCCCGCCACCATGCCTGGCTAATTTTTTGTATTTTTAGTAGAGACGGGGTTTCACCGTGTTAGCCAGGATGGTCTTGATCTCCTGACCTCGTTATCTGCCTGCCTCGGCCTCCCAAAGTGCTGGAATTACAGGCATGAGCCACCGCACCCGGCCTGTTTCTTTTTTAAATCAATAAAATGTACAAACTTCTTTCAAGAGTCACAAAAATTAAGAGAAAACAGATATCACCAATATGAGGAATAAAACAGGGGATGTCACTTCATATCCTGTAGCCACTAAGATAATAAGAAAATATTACACAAAGTTTTATACTCTAAAACAGTTTTTTTACTGAAAACTTAGAAGTAATGAAGCCTTTTGAGGAACCACAAACTACCAAACACAACCAAGATGAAATAGATAATTTAGGTAGCCCTATATTAACCATTAAAGAAACTGAATTTATTTTAAAAAATCTCCTAAAAAATCCCAGGCCCAGATGGTTTCACTGCAGAATTCTACAAAACATTCAAAGAGATAACAATGCATTTTCACAATCTTTTCCAGAAAGAAAGAACAGTCCCCAACTCACTGTGAGGCTAGTATCACCCAAATATCAAAACCAGTACAAAAAAATAAAAACAACAACAAAAAAACAAAAAACTACATACCAATAGCTTTCATGAACATAGATTCAAAGGTCCTCCACAAAATATTAGCAAACTGAATAAAATAACAAAACATTACGCACTGTGACTATCTTAATTCAGGCTGCTGTACAAGAATATCAAATGTTGGGTGGCATAAAGAACAAACATTTATTTCTCATAGTTCTGGAGGTTGGGAAATTCAAGATCAAAGTGTTAGAAGTTCCAGTGTCTGGGGAGGGCACTCTTCTGGGTTTACAGATCACCCTCTTCTCACTGTATCCTCTCATGGCTGAAAGAGATATAAACTCTCTCATGTTTTGTCTTATAAGGGCACTATTCCCATTCATGAGGGCTCCACCCTCATGACCTCCCAAAGGTCCTACCTCCTAACACCGGGGAGTTAGAGTTTCGCATATAAATTTTGAGGGGACACAAACATGCAGTTCATAGCCTTGACCAATAGGGATTTATTCCAGGCATCCAAGGCTAGTTCAACATTTGAGAAATCTATGTAATCCACCAGATCAACAAGCTAAAAAGTCATATGATCATATCAATTGACACAGATAAAGCATGTAACAAATTCCAACACACATTCATGGTTTTTAAAAAAGGGCGGGGTGCTGGCTGGGTGCAGTGGCTCACGCCTGTAATCCCAGAACTTTGGGAGGCCGAGGCGGGTGGATCACTTGAGGTCAGGAGTTTGAGACCAGCCTGGCCAACATGGTAAAACCCCATCTCTACTAAAAATACAAAAATTAGCTGGGTGTGGTGGTGTATGCCTGTAGTCCCAGCTACTCGGGAGGTTGAGGCAGAAGAATCGCTTGAACCCAGGAGGCAGAGGTTGCAGTCAGCCGAGATCACACCACTGCACTCCAGCCTGGGAAACAGAGCAAGACTTTGTCAAAAAAAAAAAAAAAAGAAAGAAAGAAAGAAAGAAAGAAAAGGGTGTGGTGGGGGGTGGGCATGGTGGCTCATGCCTGCAGTGGCCCAATCTCGGCTCTCTGCAGCCTCTGACCGCCAGGTTTCAGCAATTCTCCTGCCTCGGCCTCCCGAGTAGCTGGGATTACAGGCACGTGCCACCACACCCATCTAATTTTTTTATTTTTAGTAGAGATGGGGTTTCACCATGTTGGCCAGGCTGGTCTCAAACTCCTGACCTCATGATCTGCCCGCCTCGGCCTCTCAAAGTGCTGGGATTACAGGCGTGAGCCACTGAGTCCGGCCTCCTATATCTTTATTTTCTAATTTCTTCTTTTTTTTTTAGACAGGTTCTCAATCTGTCAGCCAGGCCAGAGTGCAGTAGCACAATCACAGCTCACTGCAGCCTCAAACCCCTGGGCTCAAGTGATCCTCTGACCTCAGCCTCCCAAGTAGCTGGGACTACAGGTACACACAACCATGTTCTGCTAATTTTTTTTTTTTTTTGTAGAAATGGGGGTGTTGCTATGTTGCCCAGGCTGGACTTGAACTCCTGGCCTCAAGTGATCCTCCTGCTTTGGCCTCCCAAATTACTGGGATTGCAGTTGTGAGCCCAGTCTGTACCCTATTGCTTCCTATGTTCTTTGAGAGACAAATGTAGAAAACAGTAATTATAAAGTATGCTAATGGGTACACAATGTATAAAAGATGCAATTTGTGACAATAACAAAGCTGTATAGGAATAGATTTTGTGTATGCTACTAAAACTTAGTTGATACCAACTCAAACTGTATTTTTATATATTTAGGGTGTTTTTTGTAATCACCAGAGTACTCACAAAAAAATAATTAAAATATATACAGAAAAGACACTGAGGAAGGAATCAGAATGGTACACTTTAAAAAACACGAAAGACACAAACACAAAAGACAGTATTTGGGGAGCAAAAAGTATATGAAACTTGTAGAAAACAATAGCAAATGATAGAAATAATTGCTTTCTTATCAGTCATCACTTTAAATGTTAAAAAATTAAACTCACCATTAAAAGGCAGAGATTGGCAGAATGGATTCAAAAAATACATTTTGAGTTCAAAGAGACAAATATGTTGAAAGTAAAATATATTGAAATAAAATATATTGAAAGTAAAATAATGGAAAAAGATATTCCATACAAATGGTAACAAAAGGAGAACTGGGGTGGCTATGCTAATATCAGTCCAAATAGACTTTAAAATGAGGGATATTATTATATATTCATAAAAGGGTCAATTCACTACCAAGATGTAACAATTATAAATATATATTCACCAAACAGCAGAGCCCCATAATATGTGAAGAAAACGTTAACAGAAATAAAGGAGAACTAGTTCTACAATAATTATTGGAGATTTTAATAACCCACTTTCAATAATAGATAGAACAAAACAAAAAAAAGAGAAAAATAAAAATAACAGAACATCTAAATAGCACATGAATAAGTAAGTAGAGGACTTGAACACTGTAAATCAACTAGACCTACTAGACACATATAGAACACTCTACCAGCAGAGCAGAGTCCTCACTGTTCTCATACATGGAACATTCTACAGAATAGATCATACTTTAGGCCACAAAATAACGATAAATACATTTAAAATACTTAAATCATAGAAAGTATCTTCTCTGACCACGATGAAGGGAAGCTAGAAATCAATAACCAAAGGAAAATGGAAAATTCACAAATGTATGGAAATTAAACAACACACTCTTAAACAACCAATGGATCAAAGAAAAAAATCAACAAGGGAAATATGAAAGTACTATATAAATTAAATGCAAAACACAACCTACCAAAACTTACAGGATGCAGCAAAAGTAGTGCTCATAGGGAAATCATAGTTGCAACTGCCTACATTAAAAAAGAAGAAAGAGCACAAATCAATAACCTAACCCTATTCCTTAAAGAACAGGGGAAAAAGAAGAGTAAACTAAGGACAAAACTGGTAGAAAGAACAGTCTCTTCAATAAAAGGTACAGGACAACTGGATATGCACATGCAAAAGAATGGAATTAGACCCCCATCTCATACCATATACAAAAATTAAGTTGCAATGATTGGCCAATGACCTAAATATAAGAACTAAAACTATAAACTCTCAGAAGAGTTAGGGGTAAATCTTCATAACTTTGAATTTGGCCATGGAGTCTTAGATGTGACACTGAAAACACAAGCAACAAAATAAAAAATAAACTGGACTTTCTCAAAATTAAAAACTTCTGTTTGTCAAAGGATATTCTCAAGAAAGTAAAAAGACAACAACAGAATGGAAGAACATATTTGCAAATTATATATCTCATAAGGGTCTAACATCCAGAATATGTAAAGAATTCTTACAACTCAACAACAAAAAGACAACCCAACTTAAAAATGGGCAAAGGACTTAGACATTTTTCCAAAGATGATAAACAAATGGACAACAAGTACATGAAAAGATGCTCAAGATCATTAGTCATTGGGGAAATGCAAATCAAAACCACAATGAAATACAGCTTCATACCCACTAGAAATGGGTATAATTATACAACTATGGCTACTAAAAAGGATGAGATGGGGAAATAGCAAGTGTTGGTGAAGATGTCGAGAAATTCAAACCTTTGTACATTCCTGGTGGGAACGTAAAATGGTTCAGCCTCTAAGGAAAACAATTTGTTAATTCCTCAGTAAATTACATATAGAATTACCATATAACCCAGCAATGTCACTTCTAAGTATATATCCCAAAGAATTGGCAACAGGTATTTTAACAAATACTTGTACACGAATTAATGTTCATAGCAGCCCTATTTGCAATAGCCAAAAGGAGGTGGAAACATCCCAAGTGTCCATCAATTGATGAGTGAAAAAAACCAAAATGTGGCATATTTATTCAATAGAATATTATTCAGCCATAAAAAGGAATGAAGTACTGATACACTCTACAACAAGGATTAACCTCAAAGGCAAATAAAATGTTCACTTCAAAATTGTTAATTTTACATTATGTGAAATTCACCTCAATCACCAATTCCACACAGTGGAATTTCACAGTGAGCAAGCCTATGCAAACCAACCACTAAATTCCAAGGAAGCGGAGAATTCAAAGAAAGAGGCTTACATATCCAGTTTCTCAGGAAGAAACTTTCCTTCCTTCCTTCCTTCCTCCCTTCCTTCCTTTTCTTTTTCTCCTTCTCCTTCTCCTTCTTCTCTCTCTCTCTCTCTTTCTTGTTTTTTGAGACAGAGTCTCACTCTGTCACCAGGCTGGAGTGCAGTGGCATGATCTCAGCTCACTGCAACCTCCAATTCCCTAGTTCAAGCAATTCTCCTGCCTCAGCCTCCTGAGTAGCTGGGATTACAGGCATGCGCCACCACGCCCCGCTAATTTTTGTATTTTTTGTAGAGACAGGGTTGCACCATGTTGGCCAGGATGGTCTCGATCTCCTGACCTCGTGATCCGCCCGCCTCGGCCTCCCAAAGTGCTGGGATTACAGGCGTGAGCCACCATGCTCGGCCTCTTCTCTTGTCTTGTCTTCTCTTCTCTCTCTCTTTCTCTCTCTCTTTCCCTCTTTCTTTCCCTCCCTCCCTCCCTTCCTTCCCTCCTTCCTTCCCTCCTTCCTTCCTCTCTCTCTTTCCTTTCTCTCTCTCTTTCCTTCCAGACAGGCTCTCACTGTGTCACCTAGGCTGAAGTGCAGTGGCATGATCACAGCTCACTGCACCCTTGAACTCCTGGCTCAAGCAATCCTCATGCCTCAGCCTCTGTAGCTAGGACTAGAGACATGTGTCTCCATGCCCAGCTAACTTTTTTGTGTTTTGTAAAGGGAGGAGGGGGGTCTCACTATGTTGCTCAGGCTGGTCTTGAACTCTTGGCCTCAAGTGTTCCTCCTACTTTGCCTCCCAAAGTGCTGGGATTATAGGTGTGAGCCACTGCACCTGACAGAAACATTTAATAGTGACTTATGAATAGAAACCATGTCTGTGTCTCAGGTAGTGTGGAGACAGGTTGGTGGATCCCCACGCCATTACACCCAGAACCAAGGCCTATATACCATGGGGAAAGGGTATATGTGATACAGAAGTGATGTGTAGGAAAATTATTCAAGGGCAGGACTTAAGGTAAGTACATGATCTTACACAAGGAACAGTAAGCAAAATAAATAATTAAAAAAAAACCTTAGAGGCCTTTTTGGAAATGGGGTTAATCAGAACTCAATATGGCAGATCAACATCCAAGATGGAGTTGCTTTAGCCCCCACACTCCATCCCTCTTAATCTCACACACCCTCCTCTTCTGGGCCTTTAGGGAAAGTGCTTGACATTGCACAACTTTAGCAGCAGTGGGTTGGCAGGGAAAACAGATCAGACCCAGTAGCATTCCAAATTAGGGAGATTCACAGGCTTTGGTTTGTCATCTCTAGTCATTGGAATACCGTGACTTTGGTTTTCTTGGAAGAAGTAAAAGTAGAGATATATAACATTAATAATTTGAATAGTAGAAATATAATGCACACAAGGATTATAATAAAAAAGGGCATGAAGACAATTAAATCTCGGTTTTTCTTTAGAAATTTGTAGCCAGGAAATAATTCAGGATTCAGTTTGAATTATAGGCAAATAATAAAACTCAGAAACAATCATTAAGGCTACAGTCTAATAATGAGCATACTATAGTTTTCTTCTGAAACATAGTTTTTCTCAACAGTTTTCCCATTTCTACTAAGGATAAATCAAAGTAGGGCCAATTTACTTGTGAAATAAATTTAGTCTCATTAACTTGACCTGACTATTTGCATAAAGTGCAGGGATTGGCCATATTGGCTCCTTTTAAGATGGCTTCACTGGGACACTTTTCATAAGGAATCTCAGATTAGACTTCTATAAGCCCTGAGGCTAACCAAGTCAAGGATTCGCTATCCGATTGTGCCTGTCATACCTGTATGAATGGGTGTATTCCTCTCTTCTTGAGGCCCAAAAATAACTTGAGGTTCCTGGGCCTGCCAGAAAGTGACATTTTTTACTTACCAGAGGTAGGCTGGCCTTTCTGTGGGGGTTTTATCAGCTCTGCAACATCAGCCTCATTTCCTCAAAGCAATGTGGTCATATCTGAAAATATGCCATTCCAGTCAAGGCCTTGATAGAAGAACCTGTGTCTCCAATTGTGTCCTGTTACAAAAGAAAACAGATTCTTACTGAACTTATGCAAATAACTGTATTCCCATGTCATACGAATATATGAATAGTTTCCAGTTTTGGAGATATCAGGTAGAGAGACAGGTAAATTTTGTTCACAATAGTATACTTTACAATTAGAGTAGCAGCCTTCCAAACAGGATATTGTCCTTTCACCTTGGAACTGCCATCCACAAACCAAGCAGCTCTTTGTCAGTCAGGTGAGAGCTGTTTATTGGGCACTGTAGAATCCAGCAGCCCCTCACACAGTTTCAGAGTGACTCCTAGGGAAAAAGAGACTCCCTGCTCCTATCTCCTCCTTGCATCCTTCAAATAGCAGGATACTACACAAATCATTCCCATTTTATTGGTGGGACCCTTTTGGGTGCTGCTATCCTCATTAGAGTGTTTCTCTGACATTCAGACATTACTATTTCAGGTGTCAAGGCCATTTTATGCCCTTCAATCATAGCAGTAGCTTCAGCTAACATCCAATTACAAGGCAGCAAATACCCCCAAATGAAAATTCTCTAGTGAAGGTGCTCATAGACTTTTGCCATAAGCCCCAATAAAAATTCTACAAGGAGCTATCCAGTGGATAATTTGTTCCCTACCAGCACTTCAGCTTCTACTCTATACTTTGTGGGCTTGGTCAGTCTTACTGGTTCCCACTGAGCATGTCCAATTAGTATTGCTCAAAGGGAAGATTTACATGCTTTCTAGTTCACAGTACTAGGAAGGGGAATCATCCTCCAGTCATATACAATGTCCATTCCCAGAAAACATTTAGGTAAAGGAGACACAGCTACTTTACATAAAGCCTGTTCAAACATTTTAACTCTTAAAATCCTATTGACCCTTACATTTTATGTTGTAGTCCCAGGAAACTTTTTCTCCACCCTAGACCATTTTACCCTTTCTTGTGAAAAAGGATCTGAGTTCCCAACAGGGAGCTGAGCCAAGGCACTTGGGCTCATTGGTCAATCCTTATCTTGATTAACTGCCTCAACATTGCCCCAATTTTTGGTCAGCTTTCTCACTGTAATCTTTACCTTCTGATTTTTTTTCTTAAATTTCACAAATCTGGGGCAAATACAGAAAACTGATTTGGGCTCTATAATGTTTGTAGACAGGCAGGGCTCCCTCTTTGATAGTGTTGTATTAAGACCTTTGTTTTAACCCCATCAATTTGTTTTATTTATCCCATTTTTAATAACTATTTAAACATGTTTACCCTGCTGGGATGAGTCCCATGACTCTCCCCTTTCTTTTTCCTTTTAGTTTCACCCTTATCAATGCTCTCTGTATTCTTTTTTTTTTTTTTTTTTCTGACATGGAGTCTTGCTCTTGTCACCCAGGCTGGAGTGCAATGACGTGATCTTGGCTCGCTGCAACCTCCACCGCCCGGGTTCAAGCGATTCTCCTGCCTCAGCCTCCTGAGTAGCTGGGATTACAGGCGCCTGTCACCACGCCCAGCTAATTTTTGTATTTTTGTAGAGACATGGTTTCGCCATGTTGGCCAGGCTGGTCTCTAACTCCTGACCTCGTGATCCACCTGCCTCAGCCTCCCAAAGTGCTGGGATTACAGGCGTGAGCCACTGTGCCCAGACTATTCATCTTATTTCTTAATAAACATTTAAAAATTTACACCCTTCTGGGAGGAGTCTTTTGACTCTCTGCTCTAACCTTCACCATGTTCTTGTTAATTAACCTAACTTTTAAAATTAATACCTGTAAGACCCATCAAGGAAAGCTGAGACAACAAGTTTGATAAGGCTTCTAGGACTCTTGTTCCATTTTTCAGGAGTGATGTCATTACATGTGGTACCTTTCATGCGTGTCCGTGTGAAGAGACCACCAAACAGGCTTTGTGTGAGCAACATGGCTGTTTATTTCACCTGGGTGCAGGCGGGCTGAGTCCGAAAAGAGAGTCATCGAAGGGAGATAAGGGTGGGGCCGTTTTATAGGATTTGGGTAGGTAAAGGAAAATTACAGTCAAAGGGGGTTTGTTGTCTGGCGGGTAGGAGTGGGGTTCGCAAGGTGCTCAGTGGGCAGGAGTGGGGGTCGCAAGGTGCTCAGTGGGGGTGCTTTTTGAGCCAGGATGAGCCAGGAAAAGGACTTTCACAAGGTAATGTCATCAGTTAAGGCAAGGACCGGCCATTTACACTTCTTTTGTGGTGGAATGTCATCAGTTAAGGTGGGGCAAGGCATATTCACTTCTTTTGTGATTCTTCAGTTACTTCAGGCCATCTGGGCGTATACATGCAAGTCACAGGGGATGCGATGGCTTGGCTTGGGCTCAGAGGCCTGACAGTACCCGTGTAGAAGGGGTCCCCTTAACCACAGCATTTACCATAACCTGGGTAACAGGCATATTCAGTGGGTGAATATACTGGTCCTCATAAAGCCAATCCCACATGGCTTGCACATGCTTCATCTGAATTACCCAACTTGGTATTTACAGGGGGAGTTGAACAGACCCCCTTTTCGGGGTAAAAAGATCTTACAGTGGCTTTTATCCAGTCCACCAGCCCAGTTCTTCTCTCAGGAATAACCTATGTGTCTGGATCATATATATGAATCTGCAATTGTTCTATAGTGACCTGTGGGTCCTGCATCACCCAAACATGTTTTTCCACTGTGCAGCATTTCAAACCAAAGCCACTGCTTCCAAATTAGTTACTCTCATAATCCATTTTGGTAAAAGTTCCTCAGGGAGCTGCTGATACTGTTGTACAAAATGGAATGATTCCTTCATACTATACCCTATGGTTTCAACTGTTGCTTGCTTTTGCCCTTCTGCCACATTGACTACCCACAAGTATCAAAGGTACTTTCTGTTGTGCTGGCATACTTTTTCTCCCTTGTGGGTAGATTTGAGGCTAAGAATCTGAGCTCAGACAGACCCATATCTGAGGTTGGTCCAGGCTCAAGCCCCAACCAGGCACTCTCTTTTACTTTCATTTTAGCTTTTATAGATAACAATAACTAAAAGGAAAATAAAATCTTAAGTCCCCCAAATCACAATGCCAAAGGTAAACATAAAGCTTGGGAACAGATTCATGCAAAAATGGCCTTCCTTTTGTTCCTAAACAGAAAGCTGCAATGATAGAAGGCCACATCTCTCTCCAGGTAGCCTCCCTCACAAATTTCTCTCAAGGAAATTCCTTGTGGGCCCCCAAATCTGTCAGAATAAATATCCCTTCAATAACCCTAAAACCCTCAATGCCACACGAAGCACCTAAAAAAAAAGTATCAAGTATCATAGGATAGAACATGGGCCTAGAACCCCTATATGCTCACTGTTCAAGCTGGCCCTGCAGACTGGTCAGTTCTGCAGTTCGGACTATACCAAGTACCTGTTAAGACAAATTTTGCTGTGGGCCCCTGAAATAAAATTGGATGAGGTTTCCTTCTCATTTTGTTTTATGTCCTTGAAAGCTTGACTTTCTTACCAAGTGGGAGTACTCTCTTAGTCTCCACTATCTGGAGGGCAGGAATTTTCAGGTTCACATCAGGAAGCCAGTCTGCAAAGACTGGGAATCCAAGACATCTAATATTTTAAGCAGTACACTTTTTGTTCCAAATGTGTCAACTTCTTAGGGAAGTTTTTTCTTAAAAGATCTCATCCCTATGGGGTTTTTGTCATCTTTTGCTATCTTAAATCTATTTCTAAGAGTGAATTTTTAGGGATCATGGGGACTGCCTCCCTTCTGCCCTCTCCAGGAATGTAAAAACTTTTTCTAAACCTAGAAAATTATGACCTGGGCTTTACAGAGAGATTTTTGGATTGAGTTGCTAGGGAAAACCAAATTTTAAAAAGGACACATAATAGTGTAATGGCTAGTCTTGAGAATTCGGTTGAGCAAAATCTAACATAAAAAAAGCTTAAAATCTTTGAAAGCTCAAAATTGCTTTAGATTCCCTCTAGGAAAAACAATGGACACCACCCCATGATGTAGTTCAGTAGCTAAGGTTCTTCCCTTTTCACCTTGGTGACCTGGGTTTGTTTTCCGGCCAGAGAATGAGTCCTTTCTGGTTTGATATTTGTATGACTTTTCAAATACCAGCTGTTTGTTATGGCAAAAATCTGGTGATAAGAGTTTCAAAGTTGTGTTTTTTTGTTTGTTTGTTTTTTGTTTTTTTAAAAAGAGCTCAATAGTCAAAAGTAGACTTAACTAAAACTGATATCTAGGGTATATATGTATACACACACACACACACACACACACACACACACACACACACACTAGTTTTAAGCCTCTGTTCTCTCTTTGTAAAAACTTTTTGTCAGCTAAATTGTTTCTCCGTTTACTTCTGCCTGTCCCTCCTTTCTCTTGCCACCCTCAATGCCATACGAAGCACCTAAAAAAAAAAAAAAAAAAGAAGAAAAAAAGGAATTTCTGACAGCCTGGGATCCACTGGGGAGACAGAAAAGGCACCAAAGACTTCTCTGTTTGAAAGAAATCTGTTTTTCTTCATGTCATCCCAGGAGTTGTAAGCAGACCAATTAACTCATATCTAATAAAACTCTATTCTCTTTTGCATTGTGTTACCTGATTTTGTTTTACTTTTGGGGGGACTTAAATTACTTTGCATCATGAGAAAATAACTTTGGTGTATACAATAGGTAGATAAGAAATACACTTTTAGAAATGGCTGATGGCAGAGGCTTACAGTGAGTAGTTATGACCACATTGTTTTACTCATTTCCTTGTGCATGTGTATGAGAAAAGTGAGCTTTGGGGCATGTAGAAGCTATGGAAACATCCCCACTCCTGACTGAGAGACAAGTCTCCTGTGGGGGATGAGATGATCACAGAATCGGCTGATTGGCATTGGGTCGCCCACCATCCTTGGGAGAACAGAATATCCTTGCAGCGAGGAACACTGTAAAAGCTTTGAACTATCTTGTCTCATGGTGTTCCCCTCTCTTTGGGAACCACAGATGGAGTGTAAAAATGTTATCCTTGGTTTTGGAGGATCTGTTCTGCCTTCCAGCTATGCTTGCTTCACACGTATGTAAATATCAGGCCATAAAAACTGCTTATTTTCCTTCTCATATTCATTAAAGGGCTCCACCCTAAAGCCAATAATCTAATTGAGAACAAGTTAAGTTTAAAAAGCCAAAATACAACTTTCAGGCATGTAGGTGGCTATCTGAAAACTCTTTCATAAAGTAAATTTACATCTTCAAGGAAATTTGTATTTGTAATGGTATCTCCCTATGTACATTAGAAACTCTTCCCATTGCTTTAAATTCACAAGTCATACCTTTGTTTAAAGTACTTTTCCTGGCCATCTTAACTAAAATTTACTTACACCATTGTTTTTCCCTTGGCTTGAGCAAATGATGGTACAATATTTAGGCCTACTGTGTTAGCTCTGTGCTTTGAAAATGCAAATTGTCTATTTTGCTTCGCCTAAGAGTTGTCTGTTTAGAAATGCAAATTTTGAGCTGTCCAGCTGACAATTGCCCAGGGCAATGAAACAGATTATCAAGAGAATTGATAATCTAACGTGGGGGAGAGATATTTTGAAAGCTGACAAATGAACAATCATATAAATCTATAAGATCTGCTTCTGTCTATGCCTGCATGTCTATGTGTTTACACAAGTCATGTGTATGTGATGTTTCACTACCAAAATATATAACCGAGCTCTAATTAATTGGCCTAAAGAAAAAAGTAAGTGCTTAAATAAAATTTTTCATCAGAAAAATAGAAACTTTAACTCAAATGCCTTTTAGTTCATGTAACTTTAGCAATATTTGGTAAATAAAACTAGTTTTTAAGTTATTGATAAAAACATCTCCAGAATTTAATTTAGACTTTCGATCTAAACTAGTTAGGCAGGTTAAACACTGTGCTAAATGCTTAAAGACATAAAACTTTGCTTCTACTTGTCTATAAACTTATGAACCTCCTAGGTTTTTCACCAAAAATAAGAGTTACTAAGAGGTAACATTATAATTAATGTATTTAATTAAAACTACTAGATACATACAAAGTGTATTTTAAAAGCAGAATGTGTTTCAGTTAAAAATATGGTTTATAAGAAGGCATGGGAATGTGGATTTTTTTAAGGGAACATAATTTCTGTCTAGAAGTTCTAAGGAGGAATTTGTTTATAAGATTTTATTAAAAGTAGCTTTTGCATTAATAATATCGAATGCAAAGGTAAAATTTGGTTTTCTCTTTTGAATAAGATTTTCATGTAATATTAAGATATAATGGGCTGGGAGCAGTGGCTTACACCTGTAATCCCAGCACTTTGGAAGGCCGGCACAGGCGGATCACCTGAGGTCGGGAGTTCGAGACCAGCCTGACCAACGTGAAGAAACCCCGTCTCTACTAAAAATACAAAGTTAGCCGGATGTGGTGGCACATGCCTGTAATCCCAGCTACTCGGGAGCTGAGGCAGGAGAATAGTTTGAACCTAGGAGGTGGAGGTTGCGGTGAGCCGAGATCATGCCATTGTACTCCAGCCTGGGCAACAAGAGCAAAACTCCGTCTCAAAAAAAAGAAAAAAAAAAAAGATACAGTAAAATATTTTTGTTTGCCTTTTGAATTAACTGCAAAAGAAAAAAGAGAGGGAGAGGAGAGCTAGATTCAGTTGGCCTTATGCTGACTTTACTAGGTCTTATTGTTTGAGAAACTGAGTCTCCTCTCTATCAAAGAGTAAAGGTTTTTGCTTTTTAAAAATCTTTGAATTATCATTTTGGCTAAATGAATGACTTATTTTATAGTAACCTGACAACCGGATTTGTGACATCATGTGTTTTTTTTGTTTTTTTTGGTTTTTTTGAGATGGAGTCTTGCTCTGTCACCCAGGCTGCAGTGCAGTGGCACGATCTCGGCTTACTGCAACCTCCACCTCCGAGATTCAAGCAATTCTCCTGCCTCAGCCTCCTGAGTAGCTGGGATTACAGGCATGTGCCACCACGCCTGGCTAATTTTTTTGTATTTTTAGTAGAGATGGGGTTTCACCATATTGGCCAGGCTGGTCTCGAACTCCTGACCTTGTGATCCACCTGCCTCGACCTCCCAAAGTGCTGGGATTACAGGCGTGAGCCACCACACCCAGCCCTGACATTATGTGTTTTAAACCTTTGATATTTGACAAACTTTCCAAAATCAAGTTTCAAATTCAGTCATTAAACCTCATTATCTTTTTAGACATTAGGTCCCCTGCAGTCCAAAAGAGACATATCTGGCTTATTTGATATGCTCAATCATACAAGAACCATTGTCAAATATAAAGTGGTGTTTAATTTTCTTTGGGTTATGTTTATATAAATGTGTTATTAGTAAATGTTCCAAAAGTGTATGAGATTCCTATAATTCTGATATGTTTTAGTACATATTATCAATAATAATAATAATCATTATGTGTAATTGTTTTATGCCACAGAACTAACCAAATATCTTGGTCAGTTGTATCTTTAACCATGGCTGTTCTAAGACTTTTGTCATCCACAATTATTTGTTTTACCTTGATTCTTCTCAAAAAGTGGTTTCTAAAAAGCAACAATCTAAAATTTGCTTCTTGGCCTGGTGTAGTGACTCATGCCTATAATCCTAGCACTTTGGGAGGCCAAGGCAGGTGGATCACTTGAGGCCAGGAGTTAGAGACCAGCCTGGCAAACACGGCAAACCCTGTCTCTACTGAAAATACAAAAATTAGGCACAGCGGCGTGCACCTGTAGTCCCAGACACTCGGGAGGCTGAGGCACCAGAATCATTTGAACCCAAGTGACAGAAGTTGCCATGAGTCAAGATTGTGCCACTGCACTCCAGCCTGGGTGACACAGCGAGACTCTGTTTTAGGGAAAAAAAAAAAAAAAAAAAAGGTCATAAAACTTGCTTCTTTAAGGGAATTCATGGAAAGGACTCTGATGGGTGCTCTTAAATGGAGGTTTCAGATAACCTTGGAGACTGTGTCATTGTACTAAAGAATAAAAAACTTCCAGGACTCTCATTAAAAAGAGCTAATATGTTCACAAGGATTGCTGACTCAGTACCAAGCAGGACAGGGGTTAACTGCATGGACTGAACTAATGGAAGGCTGAAATAATTTTTCAATGATTTTTTTGTTTGAAACATTGCTGATTTTTTTTTTATCAGAATCAAGAAAACTTTTTTTCTTTTGAGCTATTTACAGCTTTTAACAATTGAGTAAAGTACAGTCTTATAAGCAAAATTTGAAGCATATTTCTTTCTCTCTCCCTGATTTCTAAAAAAATTTGGAAGCTACCTGTGAATATTCTTAATTTGTGGCAGTGCAGTTATTTGCATAAATTCAATGAGAATCTGTTTTCTCTTGTAACAGGACACAAACCACTCACCTTGTTCACCCTTCCCCACTTTTCCCCTCCTTCCTCTGCTGCTTGCTCTTTTTCCTTTAAATATTGAAGTGCTCAAGACTTTGGAAAAAGCACAGGCCACAGATCCTACTGTGACTTGTGTCTTTTTTTTCCCTTGTGTGTCCTCAACATTTGCAAAATAAAGTTCTAAATTGATTGAGGTCTTTCTCAGACACTTTTTGGTTTACAATAACCAAGGGATTTAATATTTCACATTTTGGTTATTAGTGTGCATTTCCTTATGTATCCATTGGCCCAACTCTCTAGGAGTTGAATTCATCTGTAAATTCCACTGGTAACTTTTACATTTAGTAACTGAATGCAGTGCAGCAGCTCTATGCCGTGGGTGATCACATGGGCACCCGGGAATCAAAGGTTCCTCATTCCTCACCTGTTTATCCTTTTCCTTTTTATGCATTAACTTTTATCTACATCATTTATTTCCTTCATTTTGAAACATTTAACCTCTAGACAAAATTAGTTCTCCTTTACCAAAACTGTATCTTCACGTCTTTTTAAAATAAACTTCCTGACCAAAACCACATATTTTTTATACACTCTGTATATAGAATTATTTTTCTTGGATCTAGTAGTTTTATTATTTTTTATTTTCATTTATATTTTTAAAACAGGGTCTCACTCTGTCACCCAGACTGGAGTGCAGTGGTGCAATCATGGCTCACTGCAACCTCAATCTCCCAGACTTAAGCAATCCTTCCACCTCAGCCTCTTGAGTAGCTGGAACTACAGGCATAAGCCACCATACCCAGCTAATAGTAGTTTTTAATATTACATATATTAACAACTATTCTAACTCTTAGTAACCCTAATTTCAGTGAAAAACCTAGGATTACTTAATTTAACATAATATGACTTCAAGATTTTAAATTACTGAAGAGAATTTTGAAATTGAAACCACTTTTATGAAATTTTAAAAGGTCACAAGATTAAAATTATGGTAGGGGGATGAATTTTCTTAAGATATTTATCTTTCTCTCAGATCTCTTCCTCCTCCATGCATGATTGCTTGCATATAGTCACTTCAATAGACACTAATAATTTATTACCTCCTTGTCTTACCCCAGGCAGGCTGCCCACAAGATTAATGAAGTTTTTTCTTTAAAGACTAATGATCCTTAGATTATGCAGATCCTCCCTATGGCTTCCAGAAGTTGGACTGACCAGAGAGAAGGCTGAGCAGCTTTGACCACCAGGGATTTCACCTCATGCAAACTTTTCTACTAAGCTATAGTCATGGTTATATAATAACCCACCATTGTTTCCCAGCTTGCTTTTCCATAGTAACCAGCAGTCACAAACACTATTGTGAAACCTAAGACTGGTCTTTGAGATATTTTTCAGACTTTGCCTCTAACAGCCTGGACCAACTGATGCCAACTGTACCTGTGGCCCATGAGGGTAACTAAGGAACTGACTTGACTTGTATTATGACTTCTCCATGGCCCAATAACTGATTTAGCACATGAAGACAGCTCTGACACCCCTATGGTTTCATCCCAGACCAAATTAGCAACACCCATCCCTTAACCTTCTTCCCACCAAATTATCCTTAAAACCCTAGCCTCTGAATTCTCAGGGAGGCAGCTTTGAGAAATCTCCCATTCTCCTTCCGCAGTTCCCTTGTGATAATTAAAGTCTTTCTTTACTACCACACCTGCTGTCTCAGTGTTTGGCTCTATCTGGGCAGTGGATAAGAACCTGGTTAAATGGTAACAAAACTAGTTTTATTTATCAATGATTACTAAAGTCATGTGAACTAAAAGTCATTTGAGTCTAGTGGCCAACGCCATTTGGCCCTTTGGAGGTTCATCGAAAAATCACTGACATGAGGTATATGAATGGGAGAAAAGGCATATACATTTATTTAACATGTATACACAGGATCCTTCAGAATGAAGGCCCAACTCCCCAGTGAGTTTTACAAGCTTACATACCATCCTGGCAAAAACAAGTTATGGAAGGGGAGAGAAAACAAATGCTGTTGAGAGGATTACTAGGGAGAATGATTTACTTGTAAATAGTTCTTTTTGACAGTGGAAAGATCTGTTCAGGTGTGGTTGCATTCTTTGTCTTACAGGGAGGGATGAAAAAAAATTTTTTTTACCATCATGCTTTATGTCCATGTAAAGAAAAAACAATTTTTTTCTCTGCTGGGTCTGGACTTTAGGCAGATAAAGGAACTTCAGCTTCTTTGAGAGAGACCTTGGGTGGTGGGGAGGTCAGAGAGGCCTTGATCAAGGCTTCTTCAGTTCAGCATGGCAATGCACCATATTTTGGGTATTTGTTTCTGAGCCCCAACATGAGCTGGCTTTTATTTTTCTGACAAAGTATTTTATTTAAGCACTTACTTTTCTATAAGCCAATTGATTAAAGCACTTTCATATATTTTGGTAGTGTAATATCTCATACAAGTGATACATACATATAGACATAAAGACACACACAGGCAGATCTTATAGATTTATAAGATTCTTCACTCATCAATTTTCAAATCGTTTCTTTCCCACTTTTAGACTATCAGTCATTCTTGAAGACATGACTCAGGTGAAACAAGGTAGAAAATTTACATATCAAAGACCCAGAACTTAGACTTAAACACCATTATCTGAAGACAAGATTTTGAGGGAAAGTGTCTTTTCAACTTAGCTTGTTTCTTAACTAGATTACTGACTTGAGGTTGGAGCCCTTTAATGAATAGGGCAAAGAAAGCATGCAGTTTTTAGGGCCTAAACCTTGCTTTTCTCAAATGCCCAAAGAAATGAGTAGGCCCCTGTAGTAATAACCAGTTACTATAAGGAACTGTCTCTCAGCTACCTCTAACGCTGTAACTCTCACCTGTGACTCACCAGTCATTACACTTGGCAAGATCAAGTCCTCAAACTTACAAAGTAATTTCTTGTATCCTCAAAATCCAAAGAGATCAAGTAATGCAATACAAAAGAGAACAGGGTTTTATACCTGAGAGGAATCTGTCTGCTTACAATTCTCGGGGTTCCATAAGAAAAAAACAGAGGTTCAACCCCAAAAAGAAGTCTTTGATACCTTTTCTGTTTTCCTTAAGTGATCCCAGATTGTTAGAAATCCTTTTAAGATCTACTCATGTGGCATAAAGGATGGCAAGAAGGAGGGACAGACCGAAGTAAATGGACAAACACCGAGAAATCAGTCAACTGAGTTGTTTTACAAAGTGAGAGCAGAAGCCTTAAAACAATACATATGCATACACACATTGCCCAAATATCAGGTTTAACCAATTTGACTATAGAGTCTTTGACTTTTGACTATAGAGGTCTTTTAAAAAATATATCTCTCCTAATGGTAATTCCTCCTCAAGCTGTTTTATTTTGCTTCTGCTGCTGAGAGAGGAGGAAGGAAGAAACTGGTCAGGCAGACAGTTAGGGTGGCTCCTTGGTAAAACTCCTTCAAAGAACAGCCTGAAAATCACTGCAGGCCCCACATCCTTGAATGGAAATGTCTACTCTGAAACAAGATGAACAAATTCCACTCGTTTTTTGGCTCTGACTTTTCACCTACTTTACATATGCCTACCTTTCTGTGATTGGCCACAGGCCAAGTCTTCATTTACATATGGTGAATCATCACTTCAGCCCCTGATTGGTCCTGGGCCAAGCCTTCACCTCTACCTCCAACTGGTTCTCCAAGACAGCCTACAGATCAGTCAGCACATTCCTCCCCTTCCAGTCCATAAAAACCTGGGACTCAGTCTCATAGCTGGCAACCCTCTCAGGTCCCGCTCTCCACTGTGGAGAGCTTTCTTCTTTGGCTTTTTAAACTTCTGCTCCAACCTCATCATTGGTGTCCACACTCCTTAATTTTATTGGTCATGAGACAAAGAACTCCGGGTAGTACCTCAGACGAAATGACTGCAACACTGCTAGGTGGGCTCCCATCACCAAACAGGCAGCCTGTAGAAGCAGACATCTTACTACAGTGGCTACTCACCACCCTTCCTTACAGCAGTATGGTAGATGGTTATCAGTTAACAATTGCTCTAAACCCACCAGCATTTTCAGGGCATCCTCATTCTCATGCAGTGGTCCACAAATGTCTAAAAGGTGATCCACACCACTCCACATGGAATGGATGGCCATGCTGGGAGTTCCCCCATGGATGCTACATACCCTTTTCCCATTTATTGATCTCTCAGCTTCTGGCCTGGCTCACCACATGTTCCATGGTGGGCAGGTCTGTATAAACCTGCCCCCAATAGTCTAAGGACACTGAGAGGCTGAAGAAAAAGGCTAAGATATCAATTTTCTCAGAAAGAAACATTTAATAGGAACTTAGGAAAAGAAGTCATGTCTGTGCCTCAGGCAGCAGAAAAACAAGATGGTGGGGCCCTGAACCATTACCCCCCATACTGCTAGGTTATATATCATAGGCAAAGGGTATATGTGATTCAAAAGGGATGTGTAGGACAATTGCTTAAGGGCAGGACTTATGGTAAGTACAATAATATCAAGATTCTTTTGATCTAATGGCAGGATTTATGATAAATACATGCTGTTACACAAGGAGTAGTAGACAAAATAGAAATCTTGGCAGCATTCCAGGGAGTGGGTTTAATTAGAAGTCAACAAGGCAGATTAAGCATCCAAGATGAAGTGGCTTTTCCCTCCACACTCAATTTTTTTAATGCAAAAGAAAAAGAAGAAAATGTTTAGCAAACTAGGATTAGAAGGGAATTATCTCAACTAGATGAATTTGATAAAGAGCATCTACAACAAAATCCTACAGCTAACATTAGACTCAATGACAAAAGACCAAATGCTTTTCCTCTATGATCCTGAACAAGGCAGGGATGTTCTCTTTACTATCTTTCATCTTTTTTCTTTTTGAGATGGGGTCTCACTCTATTACCCAGGCTGGAGTGCAGTGGTGAAAACACCACACACTGTAGCCTTGACTGTTGTGGGAATCAGGAGACTGGAGAGACCGATAGGTGGAACAGGAGGATTTTTTTTAGTGCACTCAGACCCAGTGGATTTACATCCAAAATTCGGGCCCAGAACAAAGACAGCACTTGACTTTTACACACACTTCTAAAAGAGGGTGGGCTAGCTTGAAACAAGCTTACAGTGGCATGAAGCATAGTGGCATGAAAGCAAGGATACAGAGGCAGAACAAAGGCAGTTAATCAAATTGTGACAGGTGCATAACTCAGGATTACATGCAACTCTTGCTACGTGGCCCAGATGGCTGTTATCTAGGCTTGCTCTAGTGCCTTGCATGGGCTTATCTCATAACTCTCACTATGGTGCCTAGATGGCTGCAGCCCAGGCCTGCTGAGGCATGTCTTATAACCTTCAATGTGCTGCTCAGATAAAAACAGAACACTTGAAGTTATTAGTTACAGAAAACAGGAATCTATAACATTATAAAACTTGCAGAGCAAGGTACAATCACATGGAGGGGGTTAGGATTCAAGGGGGAAGTTTCCTTATACTAAATGAGAGAGGAAAATGTATTTTCCTTATCCTTATGTTGAGAGAGTGCTGAGAGAGTCTCCAGATCACATTCTTTTGAGCTCTGGCTTCTTAGATAATGTTATTGAGACTTCACCTGGGTCCAGGCTTTGCCTGTTACTGCCTTTAGGATGAGTCAGCCTAATATAGAAAGCTTGTTTTTCTCTTTTTAATTTTATTTTTCTTTCTTTAATTTCCTGCCTCATGACCTCCTGGGCTCAAGCAAACCTTCTGTCTCAGCCTCTCAAGTAGCTGAGACCACAGGGGTGCATCAAAACACCTGGCTAGTTTTTTTAATTTTTATTTTTTGTAGAGATGGGGTCTCGCCTCAACACAGTACTGGAAGTTCTAACTACTGTAACAAATCAAGAAAAATAAATAAGGCATAAAGTTTGAAGTGCAGAAAATAAAACTATTTCCAGATGACATAATTATCTACATACAAAATCTCTAGGAATCTTTAAAAATTTCCTAGAAGTAATAAATGAATTTAGCAAAGTCACACACAAAAATCAATCACATTTCTATCTACTAACAATGGACAGGCAGAATCAAAATAAAAAACACAAAACTGTTATCCTAATAGGTATATTGCAAGATGCACACAGCAAGTCAATACACAAAGACACCGGGTGGCTTCTGAGAAAGAGGTTTAATCCTAGGGCTGCCAAATGAGAAGATGAGAGGAAATCTCAAATCCGTCTCTCTGGGGCATATGGGGATAGGGTTCCTAAGGGTTTTGGAGTGGGATAAAGTGTAGAGATTGAAGAGTGCAGGGTGATGTCATGGGACAGAGAGATGAAGAAACTGTGTTTTCATGCTGATTAGTTTCCTTTCTGGGGGTCTTCAAACTGGTTGGCATCAGCTGTTTTGCTGGAGTTTAGAATGTGAAAAACATCTTAAGCAACCCTTAAACAAAAGCTTTATGATTCTAGGGTCAGAAATCCTATCTATAGGAACAATGGGGATGCAAATGGTCAGTGTCTAGTGACTTTCAGTTACAAGGAAGTGGGTCAAAGTGCAGAGTGATTAATGCTTAATTATAACTATATTTCTGTCCAGAATTCTTGGTAATCCTGGACAGGCGCAGTGGTTCACGCCTGTAATCCCAGCACTTTTGGAGGCTGAGGTGGGCGGATCACAAGGTCAGAAGTTTGAGACCAGCCTGGGCAACATGGTGAAACCCCGTCTCTACTAAAAATACAAAAATTAGCCGGGCGTGGTGGTGCACGCCTGTAACCTCAGCTACTCAGGAGGCTGAGGCAGGAGAATAGCTTGAACCCAGAAGGCGGAGGTTGCAGTGAGCCGAGATGGCACCACTGCACTCCAGCCTGGGTGACAGTACAAGACTCCATTTCAAAAAAAAAAAAGAATTCTTGGTAATCCTGTGAAGATGGCTTCAAAGCCATTTACAATCGCTCCAAACAAAATAAAATACTTAAGTATAAGCTTAATAAAATATTTTAACTATGCTGAAAAGTACAAAATGGTAATGAAATGAATTAAAGAAGACCAAAATTAAATGGAAGGACATGCTGTGCTCATAGATTGGAAGACAATGTATTAAAGATTTTAATTCTCCCCAAGTTAATCTATAGTTTTAATGCAATGCCTATCAAAATGTGAGCAAGATTTTTTGCAGACATAAACAACCTTTATTCTAAAATTTGTATGGAAAGTCACATGCACTAAAATAGCTAAAACAATCTTGACAATGAAGAATAAAGTGGGAAGAATTACTCTGTTTGATTTTAAGGTTTATTTCATTGCTATGGTAGTCAACCCAGTGTAGTACTGGCAAAGGAACAGACACATAGATCAATGGAACGGAAGAGAGATCCACAGAATAGAAACACATCCACACCAATATACTCAACTGGTTTTTGACAAAGCTTCAAATGCAACTGAGTAGAAGAATGATGGTCTTTTCACCAGTTGGTGCTGGAGCAATTGGATACCTATCAGGAGAAAAAAAAAATGGATCTCAATCTAATCTTCACATCTTATGCAAGGATTAATTTGAAAATAATCAAAGACTTAAATGTAAAATGTAAAACTGTAATGATTTTAGCAAAAATAGGTAAAAACCTTTAGCATCTAGGGCTAGTGGTATAATTCTTAGCCCTAACATGGAAAACACATGTCAAAAATGCAAAAATTGATAAATTTGACCTTATCAAAATTTAAAACTTTACTCTGTGAAAGCTCATGTGAAGAGAATTAAAAGACAAGTTATAGATGGGGGAAATATTTTAAAATCACATATCTGACAAAGGACTAATATCTAAAATATATAAAGAACTCTCAAGACTCAACGAGTCAAACAATCCAACTGATGCAGAATTTTTGTTCCTTAGTTCAGCTAAAACTGTGTTCTTGTCATATGACAGGAAAGATTAAGCACATGGACACACTGAAAGGTGAGGGGAGCAGAAAGTATTGGGCGAAAAGGAAAAAAGAAAAAAAAATACTCAGCAAAGTGAGAGGAAGTCTTGTCAATAGGCTCCCACCTCACAGATTGGATACCAGGCCACCTCACAGACTGGATACCAGGCCACCTCACAGATTGGATACCAGGCCACCACATATGAGCTCAAGAGGCCAGGTTCCTCCTCACTGCACAGGGCACAAACTTCCTATGGCTCCACCCCATCTTCCCAGTGCACAGGCGAGTACAGACCATTGCAGGCATGCCCAGACAAAACGCTAGTCAGGTTCTCTCATCTGCACAAAAGCATCTGGTGTAAACACTTGTGGGGCAAGTGGGAGGGTCTCCCAGGACCTCCCTTATCTGTCTCCTGCATCTATGACAATTAGAAATGGGCAAAACATATGAAGAGACATTTCACCAGAGGTGATATACAGATGAAAATATCTTCAACATCATTAGCCAGCAGGGGAATGCAAATAGATATCACTATACATCTATCTGAATGGCTAAAATTTCAAAAGTGACAACATCAAATTTTGGCAAAGACGTGCAGAAACTGCATTACTTATACGATGCTGGTGGAATGTAAAATGATGTAGCCACTCTGAAAAAATGTTTGGAATTTTATTACAAAACTAAACATGTAATTACCATATAACCCAGCAGATGTACTACTCTTGGTTATTTATCCCAGAGAAATAAAAACTTAAGTTCACATTAAAAATTTGTACATGAATGTTATTTCATAACAACTTTTTGAGACAGAGTCAGGCTGGAATGCAGTGGTGTGATCTCAGCTCACTGCAACCTCCACCTCCTGGGTTCAAGCAATTCTTGTGCCTCAGCCTCCCAAGTAGCTGGGACTACAGACATGTGCCACCACACACAGCTAATTTTTGTATTTTCAGTAGAGATGGGTGTCACCATGTTGTCCAGGCTGGTCTTGAACTCCTGGACTCAAGTGATCCACAGGTCTTGGCCTCCCAAAGGATTACAGGTGTGAGCCACTGCACCCAGCCTGCAATTTTAAAATAATAGCTGAAAACTGGAACTAACTAGCCCAGATACCTTCAACAGCTGCTACTCATTCTCTGTTGGTCTCTGGTCTCTGTAGATAGATAAAACTAGTTTTTTAAAAAAGCATTTCTCAATTCATTGCGCATGACCTGTGCACTGGATTACAACCAGCTGTCCATCAAACTCCATTGCCTCACCAAACGAAAATGAAGCTAGATCCACTTGTGAAAAAGGTACCAGGCAGGAGTAACTTTGGCAGAGAAGAGTGTTTTGTTGGACAAGTTCTTAGAGACAGACTGCAATTTTTCAACCACATAGAAATGATCCAGTCCTCCTCTAGTGTTCTGTTGACACCAAGCAATAGATGAAGGTCTCTTTTATGTAAAGTCATGATCCCAGGGAGGTTATCTGTACTCTGTGTGTGCTACTCCTGGAAGACACAAAAAGCTGGGGTGATACTACCAGTAAAAGTACTGGCCAGGTGTGATGGCTCACACCTGTAATCCCAGCACTTTGGGAGGCTGAGGTGGGCAGATCACCTGAGATCAGGAGTTCAAGACCAGCCTGGCCAACATGGTGAAACCCCATCTTTACTAAAAATACAAAAATGTGCTGGGCATGGTGGCTCGCACCTGTAATCCCCAGCTACTTGGGAGGCTGAGGCAGAAGAATCACTTGAACCCGGGAGGCAGAGGTTACAGTGAGCCAAGATTGTGCCACTGCACTCCAGCCTGGGCAACAAGAGCAAATCTCCGCCTCAAAAAAAAAAAAAGTCAAGTGTCGGCATAAACAATATACTGACTATATATGTAATTATATATAATAATAAATATATAGTACATCAATATAGCAATACATTGTATATCAATGTTTTTATATCATTCTATTCTATTTATATTATATATTATATAATACATATAATTATATAAATTTATGATTTATATTATATTGTATAATACTATATAATATTCTATTGCACAATATTATTTATTATATATACAATGTATTCATATGATAGATTGGTCACACTATAATTAAATACATAATACTGAGTGATATATGAAGGATCTGGTATTAATAGTTGGGAGGTTTACTGTTTAGTCAGGTTTTTTGAGCCCCTCCTGTGTACTGTGTATTATAGGAACTATCATTTCTGCTTTGGGTTTATAGTCAAGTTGGAATTCCACCAGGTTTGGGTAATCAAACTACAAAAAACTGATTTAAAAAACAGACTGCTAATTTAAACAATTTAAGAAAGGGTATGATTTCATTTGTTGTTTTTGACCTTTTTATTTTGTATAAAGAGGCTCTACAAACAGAGAATCCTTCCCAAATTATCAGTTGTGTTCATTATATTAAAAACCCACATTATTATTAATCCTTTGTGGCTATTAAGTAGTAGCAGTTAAACAAATGAAATAAATATACACTTGTTTTTTTAATAGCTCTTTTGTCAGGAATTTTTTTTTTGTGGTGAGAAGCCACAAGGATCTGCTAGTTCAGAGACTTCTTCAATCAGCAGACAGAAGCAGCCATCAGTGAACTTCTAAATGACAGCCTTAAATCCATGAAACAAAGCAAAGGAAATGGGCCTATACTAAGACTGAGGCATGGCAATCCTTACGAATTTCGATAAAGTGCAGCTAAAGGTAATAGGACTAGCAAGTATATTTTTTTGATGAATCAAACCACATTTCTTGACCTGAACAGTTTATATTAGGTTTCCTGTAAAGGATAGTTCAACTCTCCAAACAGAAAATAAGCACATCCCATTGGAAAGAGAAATACAGTACTGACGATTGAGTTAGGACTGGTCACTTGATCCTTCTATGAGCCTTTTTAAAAAACCATACACAAATTAAGTTAAACACTTTTTTTTTTGGCCAGGCGCGGTGGCTCACGCCTGTAATGCCAGCACTTTGGGAGCCTGAGACAGGCAGATCACCTGAGGTCAGGAGTTCAAGACCAGCCTGGCCAACATGGTGAAACCCCATCTCTACTAAAAATACAAAAATTTGCCGGGCATGGTGGCAGGCGCCTGTAATCCCAGCTGCTTGGGAGGCTGAGGCAGGAGAATAGCTTGAATCCGGGAAACAGAGGTTGCAGTGAGCCAAGATTGCACCATTGCACTCCAACCTGGGGGACAAGAGCGAGACTTCGTCTCAAAAAAAAAAAAAAAAAAAGTTAAACATTTTTTTCATCTACTACTTCAGAAAAATTGTAGTAAAATTGAGTGATGTAAGACTTATAAATGACTTTAATATCCCTTGTTTAAAAACAAAGTATTATTAACCATGTGAAAGTTAGGACTGTGGGTGCTTTTATTTTTAAGCAAATGTGAATATTAAACTTTGTGCAAAACAGCGAAAAATGAAGACAGTCTATTTCTCATAGTATGTCAAGAATAAGAACATATGTCATTGAAACAATTTTACCTTTCAAAAAGAAAGGTAGATCAAAAATCTCAAACAGTGAGACAGTTTTTCTCAAACTTTAGTATACATAGGAATCACCAGGAGCTCTTTTTAAAATGCAGATTTTGACTCAGTATTTCTGGGGCCATTTCTTTTAACTAGCTCCTAGGCAATGCCAGATGCTGCTGGTCCAGAGACCACACTTAAGTAGCAAGAATCTCAGACATCTATTATTCAACTAATTAAGTGATTTCATATGTTATACTCTTTGATACAGTGAGATTCAATGAAACCACATCATTCAGCTAGACCTATTAGTCTCCCAAAGTACAAAGATAAATTTTACAGCTTTTAAATGTTAATGGAAAAATGTTAAGAAATGGACATATAAACTGAAAATATTTCAGGGTTTTTATAAAACTTCTGGAAAACCCAAGTTTATTACCTCATATACACAAAATCTTTAGAATAACAATGAAGAAAAAACTTTATTTCAAAAATATAATTTAGATTTAAAAAATTAAATTGAAATTGAGAGCACTATAGGATCAATAAAGTACTAACAGTCAAAAACAATTAAAAGGAATTATGAAAATAAATTATTTTCAAAACTCTATGACAGGTTTTAAACAGGTGAGCTGCCACTAAATAATATGGAAAAGATGTCATTCAGCAGGCAGGCTCACTCACTAGGCACTCCAGCTGAGGGACAGAGGACCCATAAAAACTCTTGTGGTAGCCAATAAGTAAAGTGCAGACTATGGTGGGGATACTCACTTTGGCTATAGAGAAAGAGGACTGTCCAGTTTCAAGACCTGATTTAAAAATCAGATTATTGTAATCAAGACATCTTTCATATTTTGAAAGCTTCAGATGCTCATACTTACATGAGGTGTTTAGTATACTCAGTGAGATAGTCTGGATGTTTGTCCCTCCAAATCTCATGTTGAAATGTGATTCCCAATGCTGAAGGTGGGGCCTGGTGGGATGTGATTGGATCATGGGAGTGGATCCCTCATGAATGGCTTAGCACCATCTCCTTGGTGATGAGTGAGTTCTTGCTCAGTTAGCCCACAGGAGAGATGGTTGTTTAAAAGAGTCGGGCCCTCCCCATCATTCTCTTGCTCCCACTCTAGCCATGTGACATGCTGGCTCCCCTTCATGTTCCACCATAATTGTAAGCTTCCTGAGCCCCTCACCAGGAGCCAAGCAGATGTTGGCACAATGCTTCTCATACAGCCTGCAGAACTGTGCGCCAATTAAAACTCTTTTCTTTATAAATTACCCAGCCTCAGGTCTTCCTTTATAGTGATGCAAAAATGGCCTAATATGCATGTGTTCATGTCTCTAGTTTACATGTTGTTTGCTCCAAACCAATGGTCTCACATATATCCATTAGTGTACTACCAATGAATAAAGTTTTATCATCAATGTAGAATTTTGTAAATTGGCATTTTTCATTTTTTCAGATATGTTCTTAACATATAAAATCATATTTTTAATTATCTATGTTATCTAAAATAGAACACTGAAATGAGAAAAACTTTACTATACATTATGTATGGTTGTTATCACCATACTGTGGATATCCATGTCTACAGAAACAATGACACAAATGAATTCATCTAACCCTCTTTAAAAATATATAGTTTTCCATTTTAATACCACTAACTGTGGTACAGGATTTAGTTTACAGTGTTTGTAGGTCTGGGGAGGTATTAGGACTCCACACTCAGATAATCAAACAGACTATTCAATTTAGATGGGACTTTGTATACCATCTCTAGATTATATACAGCCCTTGCTCTAAAACATATTAGGACAGAATGACATGCTTATTTCTATTCCTAGACCAGAGTTTCATTTTTAAATGCAGAAAAGAAGAGGGAATTCAGAGTTTAAAAATTTGAGAGGTAGAGGGTAAGATCTAAACCAAAGTACTCGAATACCTTAGGCAGCAGATCAGTCAATAAGGCTTCTTGGGTGCACTTGTTTATTTCAGAGAAAATAGAACAGGTAGTATATATAGTTAATTTTGACCATATGTGTAATCATAAAGGAAATAATTTACTAAAAACTTATTGTATGCCAGGCACTACTCTAAATAATTTCTATTTATTTCATTTAACCCTTTAATCATCCTGTGCACTAGGAATTGCTGTCATTTGCTATATGAAGAACAATGTTGGCTTTAAATTCCTAATCACCCTAACAATATATATATTATAAACTATTAAGAAAAATAATAAAATTTACACTAAGAACAATTTTTGCAAATTGATGTTGTATTCTTTTGAGGTATAATCTACAGTAAATAAAATGCATAGATATGAAGAATACATTTCAGTTGGTTTGGCAATTGTATACACTATGTAACTGCCAGCCCAATTAAGAAAAGAACATTCCCATCACTTCTGAAAGTTTCCTCATGTTCCCTTCCGGTCGATCCAGCAATCCATCCCCCTACTTGCTGCCCCAATAGTGACAGACTCTATTATTATTTTTATTTACCGTACCTTATTTTCCCTGTTCTGAAATTTCACATACATAGAGTAAGTACTCTTGTATATCTGGCTTCTTTTGCTTTGCATAAAATGTTTGAAGCTCATTTACATTTCGTGTGAGTCGAAAGTTCTTTCATTTTCTTTCTTAATAGTATTGTACTGCATGAATATACCACAATTTATTTATTCATTCTTCTGTTTATGGGTATTTAATAGTTTCCAGTTTCTGGCTATCATGAATAAAGCTACTGTGAACATTCTTGTATGAGTCATTTTATGGACATATATTTTTATTTTCTTTGGGCAAATCCTAAGGTTGAAATTGTTGACTAATTAACTGTAAAAGAACTGCCAGGACATTTTCTATTGTGAACATGCCAATTATACTCTGACTATTAATGTACAAGAATTCCCGTTGCTTCACATAATCAAGTATTATTCACATAATCAAGTAGTATTGTTAGTCTTTAAAATTTTCCCCATTCTAGTGAGAGTGAAATGGTATTTCATTGTGATTTGAATTAGCTTTCCCCTGATGACTAACAATGTTGAGACCTTTTCATGTTTTTTAGCAGTGCATATATCTTCTTTGAGGAAATGTCTTTTCAAGTCTTTTGCCCATTTCACATGACAAATGGCTATTTGGAATACATATTTTAAAGTATATTTAAAATATATATTATATTCTTTGAGGTAAAATATTTCAAAATATATATTCCAGATAGTCATTTGTCATGTGCATATATAGAGTAAAAATTTTTCCCAGTCTGTCATTTATGTTCTCCTTTTGTATCAGTGTCTTTTGATAGAAGACTTTACTTCTGATGAAATTCAGTTTATCAAATTTTTTTCTCTTATGATTAGTGGTTTGTTGGTTTGTTTCCTACAGAATCTCTGCTTACCCTGAAGTCACTGAAATAGTTTTCTGTGTTATCTTTTAGAAGCTTCACAGTTTTAGCTTTTCTGTTCAGTAGTTCTTTTGGGAAAACCCTCAAACCATGTTTTTCCTCTGCTCACATACCACAACGACAATCATCAACACAGAAGAAAACATCTGTGACCAAATGTGTGGAGGTTTTCCCCCACACACCAAGCAGCACACACCAGCTGGGTGTCCTCCAATTCAATTCTGACACTGTCTACCTGGAGATAGTGTCACATCCCACAGGTTGAGGATCAGTCCTCAAGAATGCCCACTGCCAGCCCCTGCGACCTTCACTCCTGCCGCAAGTTCAGGCCTCTGGAACTTCTTTTTAATTAATTTATTTTTTTGAGACAGAGTCTCGCTCTGTCACCCAGGCTGGAGTGCAGTGGCGTGATCTTGGCTCACTGCAACCCTCACCTCCCAGGTTCCAGTGATTCTCATGCCTCAGCCTGGGATTACTCAGTAGCTGGGATTACTGACATGCACTACCACGCCCCGCTAATTTTTTGTTTTTTTTAGTAGAGATGGGGTTTCGCTATGTTGGCCAGGCTGGTCTCAAACTCCTGGCCTCAAGTGACCTGCCCGCTTCGGCCTCCCAAAGTGCTGGGATTACAGGCGTGAGCCACTGTACCCGGCCTGGAACAGATCAGCTTCAAGTTGGGGTTCCCACAACTCTCTCTTTGGGTTCGGTTAATTTGCTGGAGCAGTTCACAAAACTCAGATAAACACATTTACTGGTTCATTATAAATGATATTACAAAGGATACAGATGAAGAGACATGCAGAGCAAGGTACAAGGGAAGGGGCGCGGAGCTTCCATGCCCTCTCTAGGCAGGACACCCTCTAGGAAATTCCATGAGTTCAGCTATCTGGAAGCTCTCTGAACCCAGTCCTCTTGGGTTTTTATGGAAGCCTCATGACATCAGCATTTCTTCCCCCAGAGTACAAGGCAGGATTCTCTCTGGAATGAAGGTCTTATGACTCACAATCAGAAAGTTGAGGGAAAATTAGAGTCCTGCCTTGGGGCAGGTGAAAGGAAAGTTAGAGAAAGTCAGAGAGATTCTGTCTCCTGAGGCCTGCCCCTGAGGCCTAACACACTCAAGATTATAACAAAATCTGTAACAAGGGCTATAGAAGTTATGAACCAGGACCATGGATGAAAACATATATATGTATAATAACACCACAGTACTGATATTCACCTTGAATTAATTTTTGCATATGGTATAAAGTTTGCATATGGTATAAAGTTTTGGCATTATCAACCAAACAAGCAAATAAATTGATTTTATTCAGGCTATTGCAATAGGGAGAGCACCCCACATTCAAAGATTAGAGTGCTTGGCAAGATGCTTTGACCTTATAGTTTATAGGGAGGAGTAGACTTGTTTTAAATTGAATGATTTCTAGTTGGGATTGTTTTTGTAAACAGGGGACATCTCAGTCAGCTGCACAGAAAATGTTTATCTCTCTGTGTAGCTAGTTTGGGGTTGAGGGGGGCATGTGGTGGACTAATAGCTCTAACTTCAGCTAATGATTCATGATATAAATGACAGGAAGTGGGAGACTCGTGTCTGGTCTTGCCAGCAGGTTCAGGCAAAAATGAAAAGGCTGTGTTTGGCCTTTTCACAGGTAAACAAGGTAGGGAGGTCATCAGTGAGTCTTATGGTAGGCATGAGAAAAAGTAGACAGAAAGTCATCTACGTCATACAGGAAGGATGGTTCACTGTGTAAGCCATTTCCCAGAGCACAAAAGAGTTGGGAGATTTAGGAAAACAAAACTTTGTGGAATTTCTTAATTCCATGATCTTGATCTCCACGGGTAAAATTGTCAGTTCAGATTGAAATTCTGTCTGGGAAGTCAGTTGGAAGCAGAGTCACCCTTTGGTCTACCAGATCATGATACATTGTTGAATAATAATTTGTGAAGACAAATAGCTGTGTAGTAGTATTTAAGACTAGGCATGATGTACTGCCCAACTGCAAGGTATAAGACTACAAACAGGAAAATAATTAGTGTATTAGGCCATTCTTTCATTGCTATAAAGAAATACCCGAGACTGGGTAATTTATAAAGAAAAGAGGTTTAATTGGCTCACGGTTCTGCAGGCTTTACAGGAAGCATGGTACTGGTACCTGCTCAGTTTCTAGGGAAGCCTCAGGAAGCTTACAATCATGGTGGAAGGTGAAGAGGAAGCAGGCATGTCACATGGTGAAAGCGGAAGCAAGAGAGGGAAGAAGAGAGAGAGAGAGAGAGAGAGAGAATGGGTGGAGGAGGTACCACATATTTTTAAACGATCAGATCTTGCGGGAACTCAAAGCGGGAGCTCACTTATCACCAAGTGGACAGACAGCACAAGTCATTCATGAGGGATCCGCCCCCGTGATCCAAACACCTCCCACCAGGCCCCACCTCCAACACTGGGGATCACACTTCAACATGAGATTTGAGCGAGGACAAATATCCAAACTATGTCAATTAGTAATGTTTGTAATACAGCTCAAAACCGGGTCTTCTATTTCTAAATCTTGCCCAGGGGAACATGCCTCAGGCTATTTGAATTTACCTTAGAAAGCCAACTAGCCTTTTCCTTGAGTTTAGTAACTAAGCATTCACTTGTCCTGTTGTGTTTATTCAAGTGCAAAAAGAGATTTTGGCTATGGCACAGATATCTCCTTGTCTAGCTAGAAGGAAGTTGAAAGTTGTAGGATTGGCCATAACAATTTGGACCTGTGCGTTTAAACTTATTTTCTGTACTTCTAGGGCCAAAGTGGTATAATTTTCTTCTACAAAGGTTAAGGAGAGGCTTGAACTACCTTTTCTTTTTTTTTTGAACTATCCTTTTTAACTGTATTAATGCCATAGTGGGTGTCAAGGGCCCTCATGGTGCATATGAAAAGAGAATCATTGATATCCCTGGGAGGTTTTCCCCAATTCCCTGTAGTTGCCTCAATTTGGAGGTAATTCCAGAAGGACACACCATTGACAGGTGGGATAGCAGCTTTAAATATTTTGAAGTCCCAGACAATCAGTCCAAATGCCCTTGGGGAAGGCATGAAAAGTGGTATCCTATGGGGAAACAGGTGGGGTCTGAGGTATAGTAATTATTAACAATTACTGGGATTAACAACTGGGTAGATCCCTCAGAAGAGCAGAGTCTTTGTGTGGAACTGAACGCAGTTTGTAAGGCTGGTTGGGAAGTGGTGGAAGAGAAAATGGTTATTATTAGGGATAAAAGTGCTCCTACATTTTTTCCTACACTTGATCCTGAAAAAGTGGAGTCATTGAGTTTGGAGATTTCAAGAGACTCATTAATCATGTTAAGAATTAAGTTTCATTTAGTACATGCTGAGAAATTGGGGATAATAGAAGAGTCAAGGGCCATTAGGCATGAGACTCTGGGCAGGTTGAGTTCCTTAAAGAGTTTGGCTAGTTTGAATATAACGGTACCACTGGCCTGCTTGTTTCATTTTCCAGAGGACTGGTAAGGAGACTGCAGTTTTTGTAACATTGGAAGTACTTGTTGAAGATCCTGAATAACCTTACTACTGAAGTGAGTTCCTCCACTGTTATTAAAAAAAACAGAGATCCCTAGGAGGGGAAAATTCTTTCTGGTATCAGGTTAACTTCAGTGGTGATAGTAGCTTGTTTACAGAGAAAAGCTTTTAACCATGCTGAAAACATGCCAACTATGGTTAAAACATATTTGTACCCATAAGACTTTGAGAGTTGATATATTTTCCAATGAAAACAAGGACTAGAGAGAGTTGACTCTCATGCTTGTCCCACTTTACATGTTGACTAGGATTGTGTTTCTGGCAGATGGGGCAAGTTGAAGTTAACTGCTCAGTATTAGGGCATCCCCAACAATATTTGCGGAGAAAGATTTTCTTTGCCATAATGTGTAATCTCATGGAGGCTGCAGAATAAATTTTGGGTGAGGGACCAAGAGAAATCAATGATGTCTAGGTGTCTCCAAAGCCCATCTGAGTAGAAAAAACATCCAGCTTGTTGCTTTTTTGCTTTTTCAGCCTCAGGTGCTAGCAGCTGTTATATCTTAAGTTTCTTAAGAGTTTCTGTCTTTAGAGTAGGTTGAGCAAGGAGAAGTATACACGTGATTCAGGAGGTGTTTTCTTGGGAAGCAGCAACCTTAGCATATTTTCAGCCAGTTAAGTTTCCTTTAGCTTTGTTAGTCCAGCCACTAGTGTGAGCTTTGATTTTTGAGAATGGCTAATTTCTGGATAGCTGTAAGGACTTAAACAGGGGGGCTGGGCGCGGTGGCTCACGCTTGTAATCCCAGCACTTTGGGAGGCCGAGGCGGGTGGATTACCTGAGGTCAGGATTTTGAGACCAGCCTGGCCAACGTGGCGAAACCCCATCTCAACTAAAAGTAAAAAAAAAAAAAAAAAAATTAGCCGGTCATGGTGGTGGGTGTCTGTAATCCTAGCTACTCAGGAGGCTGAGGCAGGAGAATCGCTTGAACCCGGGAGGCGGAGGTTGCAGTGAGCCAAGACCGCGCCACTGCAACTCCAGCCTGGGTGACAAGAGCGAGACTCCATCTCAAAAAAAAAAAAAAAAGACTTAAATAAGTTAGTGAGTTGGGTTCTGAGTGGTACTCCTCAGTTGTCATAAACCTCTTTCTTTCCATAGCATACCAAAATAACGTGCAATTCCAAAAGTAAACTGGCTGTCTCTATAAATGTTAGTTCCCTTATCTTGTGCTAACATGCAAGTTTGGGTGAGTGCTTAAGAATTCAATGATTTGGGCCATGTTAACTTAAGTGGAGATTTCAACTTAATAGGCTGTTGAAAATCTGCAATAGTGTATCCTGCTTAAAATTCCCCATTTGTACTCCTGAGGTAAGAACCATCTACAAAGGTGATATCAAGGTCTCTGAGAGGAGTTCTGGTGATGTCAGAGTGAGGAAATGTGAATGACTGTGTGACGGTGATTCAGTCACAAGGTTGTCCTTCAGAGGGAATGGGAAGAAGAGTGGCTTGATTGTTTTGACTACGGTGGACAGTGATGAGAGAGGAAGACAGTGGCAGGGTTTCACAGGAGGTGAGTCCGAAGCGGAAACGTGTTAGGTGTTCTCAGTGACTTCTAATGTCTGAACTGCACGGGGTAAGTAAAGGTTGAGTGAATGACTAGAAATAAAGTCAGCTCTGATGGAGAGGCAACTTCATACAAGCAAGGGGAGAAATGCTTGAGCCACTGGGTCTAAAAGGATGCTAAATTACCAACCAGGCCTCTGGCTTCCATTGTGTTTTGGGGTGAGGACCCCCTAAAGCATGTCTCTTCTTTTGTGTAAAAAAGGGAAAGGGGTACTGAATATTGGAGAGACCAAGTGGGAGAAGTGGCTACAGAGGACTTCAGGTTTTGAAATGCAGATATGGAAGGAAAGTCTCAAAGTCAGGTGACTGGAGGTGGTCTCCTTTTAGTCATGGCAAATAAGGACAGGCAATTGTGAAAAAGCCAGGGATCTAATTCCAGCGATAGCCAACCAATCCTACAAACCCTGAGTTATCTTTTGGTACCAGGGAGAGGCATAGTGAGTAAAAAAAAAAAAAAAAAAAAAATCACTTCTAATGGATACATACACTAATACAAGATGTTAATAATAAGGGAACTGTGAAGTGGGGAGAGATATATGGAAGTTCCCTGTCCCTGCTGCTCAATTTTTCCGTAAACCTAAAAATAAAATCTAATTTACACACACACACACACACGCCCCTAAAAAGGGATCTCTGCTGGAACTTGCAAGGTTTTCTGTTTTGGGGGGTTTTTTGTTTTCCTACAGGCTCATAATTTCAAATTAGTGGTGCTTCCTTTTTTTTTTTTTAATAAAGGCTGGAAGAAAACTTATCGAACCTTTATAATTCTAAGAACTGAGTAATTATTCTACAAACCAACAAATATTTATTAACAGCGTCCTATAACCAACTCATGTAATCTTCACACAATCCTATGAAATACTACTGTTCACGTCTTACAAAAGAAGAAACAGTTCAAAGAGACAAGTCAAACAATACATACTAGAACGAGGCGACTACTCTGGATTCCAAAACCACAGTTCCAAACCACAAAATCGAATCTAGGAAAATTGGCGCTCTCGAGTGTCGTCAGCTAAAACAAGGAACACCAGAGAAGGATCGCGATATTACACAAACTACTACTCCCGACATGCAAAGCGGATTCTTTCCCTCGGTCTCGGCCCGGGAGTCCGAGAGTCCCAGCAGCCCTCGGGGCGCGAAAGGCAACCTGGGAGCGGTAGTTCTCCTGGGCGCCTAGCATTGTCGCCCACGCTGCAGTAGCGGCTTCTGCGGCTCCAAGCCAGCGGGTCCTGTGAAGGCGAGCAGACGCGGAGAAAGGACGCGGGAGTGAGAGAGGGTGAGTCAGCCACTGTCTAAACGATAACGGGAGGCGGTTCTGCGGGGTAGGGTTGAATTCAGTAAATGGGCTCGTGCTGCTGTCTCTTCGGAGACGCTGCTATCTTAGCGTCAGCGAGGGAAGGTTGAGGAGGAGCCAGAGCCGGGTCCTGCAGCGTTTCTCGCCATCAGCGCCCGTCGCCATCTCCACCATGCAGTCCCGGGAAGACGCCCCGCGCTCTCGCCGCCTAGCCAGTCCCCGTGGTGGGAAGCGGCCCAAGAAGATTCACAAACCCACAGTTTCGGCCTTTTTCACGGGTCCAGAGGAATTAAAGGACACGGCCCATTCTGCAGCCCTGCTGGCACAGCTCAAGTCCTTCTACGATGCGCGGCTGCTGTGTGATGTGACCATCGAGGTGGTGACGCCTGGCAGCGGGCCTGGCACGGGTCGCCTGTTCCCCTGCAACCGCAATGTGCTGGCCGCGGCATGTCCCTACTTCAAGAGCATGTTCACAGGTGGCATGTACGAGAGCCAGCAGGCCAGCGTGACCATGCACGATGTGGACGCCGAGTCCTTCGAGGTGTTGGTCGACTACTGCTACACGGGTCGTGTGTCTCTCAGTGAGGCCAACGTGGAGCGCCTGTACGCGGCCTCCGACATGCTACAGCTGGAATATGTGCGGGAAGCCTGTGCCTCCTTCTTAGCCCGACGTCTTGACCTGACCAACTGCACCGCCATCCTCAAGTTTGCAGATGCCTTTGGCCATCGCAAGCTGCGATCCCAGGCCCAGTCCTATATAGCTCAGAACTTCAAGCAACTCAGCCACATGGGTTCAATTCGGGAGGAGACTCTAGCAGATCTGACCCTGGCCCAGCTGCTGGCTGTCCTGCGCTTGGATAGTCTGGACGTGGAGAGTGAGCAGACAGTGTGCCATGTGGCAGTGCAGTGGCTGGAGGCTGCTCCCAAAGAGCGGGGTCCCAGTGCTGCAGAAGTCTTCAAGTGCGTGCGCTGGATGCACTTCACTGAAGAAGATCAGGACTACTTAGAAGGGCTGCTGACCAAGCCCATCGTGAAGAAGTACTGCCTGGACGTTATTGAAGGGGCCCTGCAGATGCGCTATGGTGACCTGTTGTACAAGTCTCTGGTGCCAGTGCCAAACAGCAGCAGCAGCAGTAGCAGCAGCAACTCTCTTGTATCTGCAGCAGAAAATCCACCCCAGAGACTGGGTATGTGTGCCAAGGAGATGGTGATCTTCTTTGGACACCCCAGAGATCCCTTTCTCTGCTGTGATCCATACTCGGGGGACCTTTACAAAGTGCCGTCACCTTTGACCTGTCTGGCTCACACTAGGACTGTCACCACTTTAGCTGTCTGTATCTCTCCTGACCATGACATCTATCTAGCTGCTCAGCCCAGGACAGACCTCTGGGTGTATAAACCAGCTCAGAATAGTTGGCAGCAACTTGCAGATCGCTTGCTGTGTCGTGAGGGCATGGATGTGGCATATCTCAATGGCTATATCTACATTTTGGGGGGGCGAGACCCTATTACTGGAGTTAAGTTGAAGGAAGTGGAATGCTACAATGTTAAGAGAAACCAGTGGGCATTGGTGGCTCCACTGCCCCATTCTTTTTTATCCTTTGACCTAATGGTAATTCGAGACTATCTCTATGCTCTCAACAGTAAGCGCATGTTCTGTTATGATCCTAGCCACAATATGTGGCTGAAGTGCGTTTCTCTGAAGCGCAATGACTTTCAGGAAGCCTGCGTCTTCAATGAGGAGATCTATTGTATCTGTGATATCCCAGTCATGAAGGTCTACAACCCAGTTAGGGCAGAATGGAGGCAAATGAATAATATTCCCTTGGTCTCAGAGACCAACAACTACAGAATTATCAAGCATGGCCAAAAATTGTTGCTCATCACCTCTCGCACCCCACAGTGGAAAAAGAACCGGGTGACTGTGTATGAATATGATATTAGGGGAGACCAATGGATTAATATAGGTACCACATTAGGCCTCTTGCAGTTTGATTCTAACTTTTTTTGCCTCTCTGCTCGTGTTTATCCTTCCTGCCTTGAACCTGGTCAGAGTTTCCTCACTGAAGAAGAAGAAATACCAAGTGAGTCTAGCACTGAATGGGACTTAGGTGGATTCAGTGAGCCAGACTCTGAGTCAGGAAGTTCAAGTTCTCTTTCTGATGATGATTTTTGGGTGCGTGTAGCGCCTCAGTGAAATGCACAGGATCAACAGGGTTTGTTGTAACTAGATTGAAACACTAAGTTGTTTTTACTGTTTTGGAAAATATCTTAAATATCCTTTTTGTTCCTAAAGGAGAGGAAAAGTTGATTAACTTCTGGTTTGGTTTAGAAAAAGTAATGTTTGAAATACGAAGGTAATTTAATGTTACAAATTTTAACACTCAAATCAACCTTTTAATAATTTTCTGTGCTAAGGGTCCAGTATTTATTTGATTATTTAGTATGTTTATGTTTCATGACACTAATTTAGTCTTTTGATACATTTTACATTCTGTTTACTGCCACAAGCACTGTGGCAATAACTTTTGAATTTTAATTTTTATAATAGAAAAATGATTAGGAATTGCTAGATAGTGTTTTGAAAGCATATCTTTTTCTTCAGAACAATGTAGACTTCCAAAATGGTTAACCTAAGGGGTCTTTACAAAATGTGTTATAAGTTAAACATAATTTGGGAAGTTTTACTTTTGTTTTCTTCTATGAAGAAAAAAATGCAGGCTGGGCGCGGTGGCTCACGCCTGTAATCCTAGCACTTTGGGAGGCCGAGGCAGGTGGATCACCTGAGGTCAGTTCAAGACCAGCCTGGCCAACATGGTGAAACCCCGTCTCTACTAAAAATACAAAAATTAGCTGGGCGTGGTGGCATGCGCCTGTAATCCCAGCTACCCAGGAGGCTGAGGCAGGAGAATTGCTGAAACCCGGGAGTCAGAGGCTGCAGAGAGCCGAGACTGGGCCACTGCACTCCAGCCTGGATGACAGAGTGAGACTCCGTCTCAAAAAAAAAAAAAAAAAAAAAAGGAAAAAAAAAAAAGAAAAAAAACCATATGTGTATTAGGGTGACTGAGTGGTGACTTCATTTATAATAATACAGAGAATAGCTATAAGCTCATTGACAGTAAAAACAACAAACCAGGATTCTACTGTTTGAAAAGAAGTTTCGTTTTAATTTTGGAATTTAGAATGTGTATTTGCAAAGTCACCAATTTTCATCTAAAAGGTTATATTCTAGTTGTGTCACCAAATCATCAAAAAACCTTAAAAAAGAAGTAACTTGCTTTGTAGGTTTGTATTGTTGATCTAAACCTGATACATGCTTCATTTAATCAGGAATAATCCTTTTTTTTCTGCTGGACATGTATAAATTTCACTGGATTGTATAAATTTTTATCTATTGCCTTAAACATTTACATGATTCTCAATATGTTTTAGCTGTACAGTTTTGGTGTTCATCTTAGAGGATTCTTCAGCAGAAGTGATATTTCTTTACTGTTTTGTGAGGTAATACTGATTTTGAAAATATATATAAGCTAAAAACAGTATTTCGTTGATATCAGTAGTCATTGTGTTAACTATAAAGTCAAGTGCCAGCAAAGAACTTTAAAACTGTAAAGCTGTGTATAGAACTGTTTTGTGTAGCATGGAAATATTCTGTCAGCTTTTTAAAGTCACTAAATGTTCTTGATTATCAGCTTGAAGGTATTTTTGTATTACAAGTTGACAGTTGCTGGGTGTAGTGGCTCATGCCTGTAATCCTAGCAACTCGGGGCTGAGGTGGGAGGATTGCTTCAGCCCAGGAGTTTGAGACCAGCCTGGGCAACATAGCAAAACCCCATCTCTACAAAAATAAAAAATATGTCTGGGCATGGTGGCCCAAGTCTGAGTCCCAGTTACTTGGGAGGATCACTTGAATGTAGGATCACTTGAGTCTAGGAGTTCGGGGCTGCAGCTATCATCTGCAGCTATAATCATAGCTCACTGCAGCTATGATCATGTCTCAGCACTCCAGCTTTGGCAACAGAACGAGATCCCATCTCTTAGAAAAACAAAGTTGATAGTTAAAGAACATAAGTGGATGATGGCATTTGAGGCCACTAGTGAAAGTATGTTTTCTCTAAAATATTTCTCTAATAGTGATATAAATGGCTATTTTATTATGATGTTTGTATGTGTTTTGTATTTCTCTGTAAACCATGCTCCAGTCTTTGTTTTTCTGTTACCATAATGTAAGAGAAGGTCCTGGAACAGAGACTAAATCCCACGAAACTGACATTGTTAAACACACTAAAACAGAAGTACTTACCTCTTGAAGATTTAATATATAATGGTTGACATGATACATGTACATGATGAATGACCAGATGCTTATGGTCTACATTTTCCTTTATCCTGTTAGTATTACCTTCCTTAATCTTTGTTCATTAACATGCTAATTCCTCTTCAGTGTTTATTTTCTAGTGACAGAATGCTAACATTTCTTACACCCTGGCAGAAGGGAGAGAAATGTGTTTTGGGGTGGGTAACTAAATTTTTGAGTGAAATATCATAAGATGAGAATGGAAAGAGGGAGACACAAAGAGTTATAACAAAAAAACAATGGTTTTTTTAGCCATTTGACTGGCTCTTTAAATAGTCTACAAGACATTCACGTTTAACATCACTTTTAGTGAAATAAAATGTGCCATACTAGTATGTGCTTCAAAAGGGCAAATGTGCTTTAGTGCCCTAAGGCTAAATTTTGGTCATTTGACATCAGAGATGTTGTAAGTATTGCACTTAATACGCACCTATTTCTCAATAGTGTTATTTTTTGGCTAGCATTTTCTTTACCACTATCTTGTTGATAGCTTTTTGTTCTCTAAGGTTGAAACATGACAGTGCTTATCTCAAACAGATTACCCATCTGCAGAACTAAGGAAAGCAATTTATGTATGAAAGAAATTCTTGAATTCGTCATTCTCAACCTTTGAATTAAAGCTTAGACTAAATAGTAATATATCGTGGGAAGGATTTTGGTTTTGTGATATTTCTGTGAATTAAGGAATAGATGTTAACCATTATTTTGTAGAAAAGTGATTTGTATGTGGTTAATTATAAATAAAACTGGTACCAGAACTTATGCTTCCTGACTTTTTACTTCAGTGATTCCACTAAATGTATAAAACTTTTGCGTGTGCAGTTAATCAGGAGTCCCCAGCCCCCAGGCTGCAGACCTGTACCAGTCTGTGGCCTGTTTGGAACTGGGCTCACACAGTGAGCTGCAGGCAAGCAAGCATTAGCTCTGCCTCCTATTAGATCAGCAGTGGCACTAGGTTCTCATAGGAGTGTAAACTCTATTGTGAACTGCGTGTGCAAGGGATCTATGTTACATGTTCCTAATGAGAATCTAATTAATGCTTGATGATCTGAGGTGGGACAGTTTCATCCTGAAACTATCCCCTTACCCCTAGTCGTGGAAACTGGTCCCTGGTGCCAAAAAGGTTGGGGATCACTGCAGTGAATGATACAACTAGCAGTGCTGAAATCTCTTCACGACAAGAAAATGTAACTGTCTAATTTTCCAATTAAGCCACACATATTTTAGCAAATGCTTAATATAATGTCATTTGTCGGACTACCATCTGTAAGATTTAGAATGACATTAATTATCTTTTGTATTTTTGTCCCTGTAGTCTGAAAAGCTGAGAACCCAAATTATTGCAAATTCTTTTAAATGCAAACGATAGGTAGTATTAGAGTTTTCAAAAGGATAAAATAGAAACAAATTTAGCCACTAACTTGTCTAAATATGGATTAAAGATTGAAATTAAGTTGTAATAGCTCTTTTTCATCATTTTTAATTGAGCAGGGATTTATTTTTCAATTTTTATATCTTGTTGAGAATCTGAGGAAAGCTTTTGATCCATTCCCAAGCAAAAGGCACATAATTTATAATATCAAGGATGTTTCACATTTCTGAAGCTCATCAGACCCAAGGTAAGAGCACTTGTAATAGGATCTCTTTTGCCATACCTGCTTAAAAATTTCAACACCCCTTTTATTATTCTAAATAACCTGATTTGTTTTGTTTTTAAATAGAGATAGGGTCTGTATTAGTCTGTTTTCATGCTGCTAATAAAGACATACCAGAGACTGGGTAATTTATAAGGAAAAGGAGGTTTAATGGACTCACAGTTCACGTGGCTGGGGAGGCCTCACAATCATGGTGGAAGGCAAAGGAGGAGCAAAGTCACGTCTTACAGGCCAAGCAAGGTGGCTCACACCTGTAATCCCAGCACTCTGGGAGGCCAAGGTGGGCAGGATCACATGAGAGCAGTTCAAGACCAGCCTGGCCAACATGCAAAACCCTGTCTCTACTTAAAAAATACAAAAATTAGCTGGGCGTGATGACAGGCACCTATAGTCCCAACTACTGTGGAGGCTGAGGCAGGAGAATTACTTGAACCCAGGAGGCAGAGGTTGCAATGAGCTGAGATCATGCCACTGCACTCCAGCCTGGGCAACAGAGTGAGACTCCATTTCAGAAAAAAAAAAAAAAAAAGGGGTCACACCTTACATGGCGGCAAGCAAGAGAGCAAGTGCAGGGGAGCTTGCTTTATAAAACCATCAGATTTCATGAGACTTATTCACTATCAGGAGAACAACACAGAAAAGACTCACCCTCGTGATTCAATTACCTCCCACCGGGTCCCTCCCATGATGTGGGAATTATGGGAGCTACAATTCGAGATTGGGTGGGGACACAGACAAACCATATTAGAGTCGTATTATTTTGCCTAGGCTGGAGTGCAGTGGCACAATCATAGCTCACTGTAAACTTGAACTCCTGGACTCAAGCCATCCTCCCACCTTAGCCTCCTGAGTAGCTAGGACTACAGGCACACACCACCATTACCAGCTAATTTTTTAAATTTTTTGTTGAAATAATAAACTCCTGGCCTCAAATTTTATCCTCCAGCCTCATCCTCCCAGAGTGCTGGGATTACACATATAAGCCACGATGTCCAGCCTTATTTATTTTTATTTTTATTTTTATTTTTATTGAGACAGAGTCTTGGTCTGTCTCCCAGGCTGGAATGCAGTGGTGCAATCTCAGCTCACTGCACCCTTCCCATCCCGGGTTCAAGCAATTCTCCTGCTTCAGCCTCCTGAGTAGCTGGGATTATAGGCACCTGCCACTACACCCAGCTAATTTTTGTATTTTTAGTAGAGACGGTGTTTCACCATGTCGGCCAGGCTGGTCTCTTTTAACCATGTAAGGTCTTCCACAGCTGCATCCCAAGTCTGCATTAAGATTTCAGATGCCCAGGTTGGTCTCAAAATCCTGGGCTCAAGCCATTCACCCGCCTCTGCCTCCCAAACTGCTGGGATTACAGACATGAGCCACTGCGCCCAGGACCTTTAAGTTTATCGGAGATAAGTAGAAATGAAATATAGAATGGAGTCACGTACTTGACAGAAGTAGTTATCCAAAATGTTTTCTGAAAGCTGTTTTGAAGTTTTCACAAACCAAAAAAAAATGACACCATATGTATATATTGACTAAAGCACAATTTACCTGAAATTAGTACAAGAAATGGGCAAGAAACTAAGTTCTGAATAAACTATTGTGGCTAATGGTTTGAACTTCAACAAAGGGGGAAATAAGTAGATTACATTCACACAGCACTGCAAAGATGATTCAGGCACAGAAAATGCTGTAATGTTGCTAGATAGCCTAGTTAGCTCTAAGAAATTTCCAGTTTTTGGCCGGGTGCGGTGGCTCACGCCTGTAATTCCAGCACTTTGGGAGGCCAAGGCAGGCAGATTATGAGGTCAGGAGTTCAAGACCAGCCTGGCTAACAGTGAAACCCCATCTCTACTAAAAATACAAGAATTAGCCGAGCATGGTGGCATGCACCTGTAGTCCCAGCTGCTCGGGAGGCTGAGGCAGGAGAATCACTTGAACCCAGGAGGTGGAGGTTGTGGTGAGCCGAGATTGCACCACTGCACTCCAGCCTGGGCAACAGAGTGAGACTCCATCTCAAAAAAATAAAAGATAAAAATAAATAATAATAAAAATGGCCTTTCTCCCCTATCCTACAAGGAGCAATGGCTAAATTCTAACTAGATACATGTTGATCCAGAATAGAGACTACCTCTCCCAGGCATCCCTGCAGCTAGATGTGGCCATGTAGTTAAGATCTGGCCAATTTCATGCGACCCGAAGCAATATGCCCAACTTCTCTTACAGGGACAGTAGTGCCCTCCCCTTCCCTTTCTTTCTCGATGGCTGGGATGTGGGTGGACATGAGGATGAACCACCTTGGACCATGTTGGTCAGGGCAACACCCTAAGTAAGGATAGCAGAACAGGAAGACAGAAATGCCTGGGTCTCAGATGACTTTGTAGATTAGGATCCACATAACAGAGTGGACTTTTATATAAGGAACTTATTTAAAGAACTAGGGAGTCTCAGCCTGGGCAACATAGTGAGACCTTATCTCTACTCAAAAGAAAAAAAAAAAAGGCTAGGCACGGTGGCTCACGCCTGTAATCCTGGCACTTTGGGAGGCTGAGGCAGGCGGATCACCTGAGGTCAGGAGTTCGAGACCAGCCTGACCAACATGGTGAAACCCTGTCTCAACTAAAAATACAAAAATACAAAAAGTAGGTGTGTGGTGCGCACCTGTAGTCCCAGTTCAGTTTAGTTTAAACTTAAAAGTTTTAATTTACACTTAAAAGTTTTTAACTTAAAAGTAAAAACTTAAAAACAATTATTTTTTTTGAGATGGAGTTCTGCTGTTGTCGCCTAGACTGGAATACAGTGTCGCGACCTCAGCTCACTGCAACCTCCGCCTCCCGGGTTCAAGCGATTCTCCTGCCTCAGCCTTCCAAGTTGCTGGGATTACAGATGCCCGCCACCACGCCGGCAAATTTTTGTATTTTTAGTAGAGATGGTGTTTCCCATCATGGCCAGGCTGGTCTCCAACTCCTGACCTCAGGTGGTCCACTTGCCTCTACCTCCCAAAGTGCTGGGATTACAGGTGTGAGTCACGGTGAAGACAAGATTTTTCATATATGCTATGACTGGAGTCTTCTCCATATTTTACACTAGTTAGTACTTGTTTGGTATCATGATCGCATTGCTTGCTTTATGGTAGGGCTCTTCTCATGCTGCAAGCATTCAGTTTATCGATCTGTTCATTCTTTATTATGTGTCTCCTCCATTAGAATATATATGAGGCTGGGTGCAGTGGCTTATGCCTGTAAATCCCAGCACTTTGGGAGGCCAAGGCATTGGATGGCTTGAGTCCAGGAGTTCGAGACCAGCCTGGACAACATGGCAAAACCCTGTATCTACTAAAAATCCAAAAATTAGCCAGGCATGTGGTGTGCACCTGTTGTCACCAAAAAAGAAGAATGTATATGCCGTCATGGCATGGACCATATTTATCTTTTTCGAAGTTCCTAGCAATAGGACCAGGTGCGGCATTGGCACTCAATGAATATTTGTTGAAGAAATAAATGTGTTTGGTACTTGTTCACATTTATATGACAAACACCTGCATTTATAGCTCTCATCTTTTTGTCAGTTTTCCAGCTTTGCGGTAGAGCTGTTATTAAACTGTTTTGTCTGGTTGTTATAGCAACCCAGAGGCTTCCAGAACTACAGGTTGTTTCTGATGTGCATATTCTACCAGACAACCAAACACACACAGTGTTTTTAATCATGAAATAAAGATGTTACTATAAATCACATTTCTCTCACACTATATGTTTTTCTCTTTTATGAACATGGTGGAGAATTAGAATGGAAACCCAAATCTGTTTAAACCAATAAAAGCTAGGGGGAAAAACAAAGCAATGTGACACACACCTCCACTCCCAACACATTGTTCCCGCTAGTTTCTCCACCTTTCCACGAGCACGCATGAATTTAGTCAGGTTTTCTGTCCAAGTTGTTAAAGGAGTTTTGAAAGGTAATTGCTGCAGAACAAACTCTGAAAAGCTCTGTTACAGCCTAAACATTTCCTCTTTTTCTCTTAGTTGCCTATTGCTTAAATGTCATGTTAAATTAGCAAAATGGTAATAGTTTTCTAAAATTGAGACTTGCTCTGAAAAAGACCCCAAATCACGTACTTGCCCACCCCCATCCCTCCACTCACATTTTAGGGGCAGGAACTAAGAAGAATTTTTTAGAAATTTTTTTAAATTAATTAAAAAAATTTTTTTAGAGACAGAATCTCACTCTGTTGCCCAGGCTGTAGTGCAGTAGCACAATCGTAGCTCACTGCAGGCTTGAACTCCTGGACTCAGGGGATCCTCTCACCTCAGCCTCCCAAATAACTGGATCTACAGGTGCAGCCCACCATAGTCAGCTAACTTTGTTGGTTTTTTTTTTTGGTAGAGACAGGGTCTCACTATGTTGCCCAGGCTGGTCTCAAACTACTGTCTCAGCTTCCCAAAGTACTGGGATCACATGTATGAGCTATCACGCTGAGCCTAATTGTTTTAAATTATTTTTTTTTAAGAGACAGGGTCTCGTGTTGCCTAGGCTGGAGTGCAGTGGCTATTCACAGGTGTGATTCCACTACTGATCAGCATGGGAGGTTTGACTTGCTCCATTTCCGTGCTGGGCCAGTTCACTCCTCCTTAGGCAACCTGGTGGTCTCCTGCTCTTGCAAGATCACCATATTGATGCCTAACTTAGTGCAGACACCCAATCAGCATAGTGCACTACAGCCCAGAACTCCTGGACTCAAGCGATCCTCCTGCCTCAACCTCCCAAGTAGCTGGGACTACAGGTGCATGTCACCATGCTTAGCCAGAAGGGTTTATTAAACTAGGTTAGGTTATCATAGAACACTCATCATTAGTTCAATTAACAAGATTTATCTGAGCCAGTGCATCAACCATGTATATAGTTTTTAAAAGTCAGAGTTTATTTTGTAATGGTAGATACCCTACAGGGAGTTTATGGAGTTTACATGAATTTTCTTTTCTGTAGGTTTGGGTCATACATACTAAAGAAAGTTAGGCAGGCTGGGCGCGGTGGCTCACACCTGTAATCCCAGCACTTTGGGAGGCTGAGGCAGGCGGATCACAAGGTCAGCAGATCAAGACCAGCCTGGCCAATATGGTGAAACCCCGTCTCTACTAAAAATACAAAAATTAGCCGGGCGTGGTGGCGGGTGCCTGTAGTCCCAGCTACACAGGAGGCTGAGGCAAGAGAATAGCTTAAACCCGGGAGGCAGAGGTTGCAGTAAGCTGAGATTGTGCCACTGCACTCCAACCTGGGTGACAGAGCGAGACTCCGTCTCAAAAAAAAGAAAGTCAGGCACAACCCAGATTCAATACTCACCAGTGAACAGTCCCATAACCTTATCTAAAAGAAGTTATATTGCAATTAGCTTACTTGCTGGACAGTTTTGGCATTATAAAACTAGTATCCACTTCAATACATCCAACCATCTTCAATAATACACTGGGGGCACTCTCAAGAGGACAAAGTGAAAGATAAGAAGGGGCAATATAAAGAGTGGTATCAAGATTTCAGATTTCAATGTCAGAACCCCTGGCTATTTTGAGTTGTATATGTGTAAGAACTTCATTTTAGTCTTCTGGAAAACTCCATGCCTTTTTATTCTTTTAAATAAGCACTGAATGCTACACAACACTAGGTCAGAAATCAAACTTTTGAGACAGCTAAATCTAGATATCTGCTCACTGTTAGAGATTGAAAGTGGTCCAGGGAAATGGAAGGTTTGCCAGAGGAAGATCAGGTGTCTAGCCCATAGATCTTGGAAAGATTACCTGTCAGAGAGCCACTGTATCTCAGGTCTAGTTCTCTTCTTTAGAAGTTTGGATATCCAATTGCTACTACACCTTGATGTGGTTGGGTTCAAGTACCGAATCATATAAACCAAACCATCAAGAATCAAAAATATAAAAGCCATAATACTGATATATTAATTTACAGTTACAAAATACAACTTTTGGCCAGGCGGTGGCTCATGTCTGTAATCCCAGCACTTTGGGAGGCCGAGGTGGGTGGATCACTTCAGAGCAGGAGTCGAGACCAACCTGGCCAACATGGTGAAATCTGTCTCTACTAAAAATACAAAAATTACTAGGGCATGGTGGCGCATGCTGTAATCCCAGCTACTTGGGAGGCTGAGGCACAAGAATCATTTGAACCCAAGAGGCAGAGGTTGCAGTGAGCCAAGATCACACCACTGCACTCTAGCCCCAGGAGTAAATAAAATAAAACTTTTCTTTTCTTTTTTTTTGAGACGGAGTCTCGCTCTGTCGTCCAGGCTGGAGTGCAGTGACGCGGTCTCAGCTTACTGCAACCTCCGACTCCCAGGTTCAAGCAATTCTCCTGCCTCAAACTCTTGAGTATCTGGGATTACAGGCACACGCCACCACGCCCGGCTAATTTTTTTTTTTTTTTTTGTATTTTTAGTAGAGACAGTGTTTCACAGCGTTCGTCAGGCTGGTCTCGAACTCTTGACCTCATGATCCGCCCACCTCAGCCTCCCAAAGTGCTGGGATTACAGGCCTGAGCCACTGTGCCCAGCCAAAATAAAACTTTCAAACAGACTAAATACATGCTGGTTTTCCCTGATCATCACATATTCTTGTTGCCCAGTCTTCATGAAAGACAAAATCTCACATTTCCTGATATTAAAACTTATTACAAAACTATAGTAATCCAGATATTGTAGTACTAGCATAACCTCTTACTGTCATAAGAGGTTTCATGTAGACCAATAAACTAGAACTGTTAGTCCAGAAATAAACCCATAGATTTGTGGCCAGTTGATTTTGGTAAGAGCACCAGGGCATTCAATGGGGAAAAAATAGTCTCTTCAGCAGATGGTGCTGGGATAACTGCACGTTCACATGCAAAAGAATGCAGGTGGGCCAGGCACGGTGGCTTATGCTTGTAATCTCAGCTTTGGGAGGCCGAGGCAGGTGGATCACCTGAGGTCAGGAGTTCAAGACCAGCCTGACCAACATGGTGAAAACCCATCTCTACTAAATACAAAAAATTAGCTAGGGGTGGTGGCACTTTCCTGTAATCCCAGCTACTTGGGAGGCTGAGGCAGGAGAGTCGCTTGAATCCAGGAGATGGAGGTTGCAGTGAGCCGAGATCAAGCCACTGCACTCCAGCCTGGGCAACAAGAGTGAAACCCCATCTCAAAAAAGAAAAGAAAAGAAAAAAAAGAGAATAAAGGTGGAGGCCGGGCACAGTGGCTCATGCCTGTAATCCCAACAGTTTAGGAAGCTGAGGCAGGTGGATCACTTGAGGTCAGGAGTTTGAGACCAGCCTGGCCAACATGGTGAAACCCTGTTTCTACTAAAAATACAAAAAAATTAGCTGGGCATGGTGGTACGCACCTGTAATCCCAGCTATTCAGGAGGCTGAAGCAGGAGAATCGCTTGAACCCTGGAGGCAGAGGTTGAGGTGAGCCGAGATCATGACACTGAATTCCATTCTGGGCGATAGAGCGAGACTCCATCTCAAAAAAAAAAAAAAAAAAAAAGAATGAAGGTGGAAACAATAACACTGGACACTGATTTAATAGTCTGTTTCTCCAAAGAAGATAAACAAATGGCCAAGAAACACATGAAAAGATGCCCAACTCATCATTAGTCATTAGGGAAATGCAAATCAAAACCACAGTGAAATACCACTTTGTACCTACTAAGATCGCAGTAATAATAATAATAATAAAAGGAAAAGAGCATGTGTTGGTGAGGAATTAGAACCCTCATACGTTGTTGGGGGGAATGTAAAACAGTGCAGCTGCAGTGGCAAACAGTTTGGCAGATTGTATAAAAGCTAAACGTAATATTACCATATGTTAATATGGCAACTCCACTTCTAAGTATATGCCCAAAATAATTGAAAACAGGGACTCAGATACTAGTACTCCAATGCCCATTTCAGCAAATCACAATAGCCAAAAGATGGAAACTACCCCGTGTCCATCAAATGGTGAACAGCTAAAGAAAATGTGGTGCAGTAATCCCAGCACTCTGGGAAGCCGAGGCAGGCGGATCACATGACGTCAGGAGTTTGAGACCAGCCTGCCCGACATGGTGAAACCTTGTCTCTACCAAAAAATACAAAAATTAGCAGGGCATGGTAGCACATGCCTGTAGTCCCAGCTACTCAGGAGGCTGAGGTGGGAAGATCGCTTGAACGCAGGAGGTGGAAGGTGCAGTGAGCCAAGATCGCGCCACTCACTGCACTCCAGCCTGGGTGACAGAGTAAGACTCTGTCTCAAAAAAAAATAAAAATAAAAATAAATAAATAAATAAAAATAAAGAAAACATGGTATATGTTCACAATGGACTATTATTCAGCTATAAAAAGAAATGAGGTACTGATACATGCTAAAACATGGGTGAACTTTTTTGTGAGGGCTAAAGCAACTCCATCTTGAATGCTAATCCACCACGCGGACTTTTGATTAAACCCAATTCCTGCAGTGCCTCTAAGATTTCTATTTTATCTACTGTTCCTTGTGTTAACAGCATGTACTTACCATAAATCCTGCTGTTAGGCCGACAACCTTGATGTTATTATACTTACTATAAATTCTGCCCACAGGCAATTTTCTTACACATCCCTTCTGAGTCACCTATACCCTTTCCCTACCATAAGCCCTGGGTCTGGCGAGTAATGGCTCAGGGATCCACCATCTTGTCTTGCTGCCCTTAGAGACTATGGCTTCTGTTTTTAAGTCCCTATTAAATGTTTCTTTCTGAGGAGCTGGTTATATCAGCCTCCTTGGCCTCTCAGCTTTCTCAGACTTTGGGGGTAGGTTTGCTTAGCCCTGCCCACTGCAGAACACTTGTAATCATCATGCTGGGTGAAATAAGCCAGACACAAAACGATAAATACTGTATGATTCCACTTGTATGAAATGGAGTCATATGACTATTGTTATGAATTATATGAATATCTAGAATAGGCAAATTCATAAAGACAAAGTAGATTAGAGGTTTTCAGGGGCTGGGGATAGGGAGGAATGGAAAGTTACTCCTCAAATGGTTACAGATCTTCTGTTTGCGGTAACAAAGATGTTTTGGAAATAGTAGTGATTGTTGTATAACACTGTAAATATAATTAATGCCACTAAATTTTAGGGTATATGCCCTTAAAATTATTAAAATGGTCAATTTTATTGTTGGGTGCAGTGTGGTCCCAGCTACTCATGAGGCTGAGGTGAGAGGATTGCTTGAGCCTGGGAGTTCGAGTTCAGTCTAGGCAACATAGCAAGACCCCCATTTCTAAGACAAATAAATAAATGAATAAATACAAATTTTATTAAAAATGGTAAATTTTATGTTATTTATATTTTACCACAATAAAAATAAATAATTTGTCAAGTGGTAATTTTTAAATGAAGACTTTTTGTGTTTTTTAAAAGTCAGAGATGAAATAAGATAAAATAGCTTCTTGGAATCAGTAATAGAGTGCAATTTTTTGTTTTTTTAATTGAGACAGAGTCTCACTCTGTCATGTCACTGGAGTACAGCGAGGCGATCTCAGCTCACTTCAGCTTCCACCTCCTGAGCTCAAGTGTTCCTTCCACCTCAGCCTCCTGAGAACCTGGGACCACAGGTGCACACCACCACGCCCGGCTAATTTTTTTGTATTTTTGGTGGAGATGGGGTTTCGCCATGTTGCCCAGGCTGGTCTCCAACTCCCTAGCTCAAGTAATCTGCCCTCCTCAGCCTTCCAAAGTGCTGGAATTACAGGCATGAGCCACCGCGCCTGGCCTATTTTTAAATTTTAGTTTTAAGCTTGTTAAGTATAACAGCACACATTATAAAAGTGCACATCATATGATCCCAAAGCACAGTATGTTACAAACTACGTGTATAAAACAACTGTATAATTTTGTAGGTGAGCCCTGCATCTGTCTGGTGCTAGGAATCAACTCTCCTGGCTTTCCTCCTTCTTCTCTGATTCTGCTCCATCTCCAACATCTATTCTGCCTTCTAGTCAATCTTCTCTTCCCTTGAACGTTTCTGACCCTCTAGCTCCTGCTTTGGCCATCTTCTTTCTCTATATTTCTCCTTCTCTCTGTGCCACTGCATTCAAGCGTGGTTAATGTTGATGTCTCCCAAATCCGTATCTCTAGTTCATCTTTTCTTCTGAGCTCCAGAACCATATATTCAGTTATCTTGTTCCACAGCTCTGCCTGTAATAAGCATATTCCAAACAGATCTCTTTTTCTTCACCTAGTCTCACTTCCCAGAAGCTGCTTCTCTTTCCATGCTTCCTGTTTTGATGGAAGTCCACTCAGATACATGGCAGGAGCCCAGACATCATCTTTCCCTCCATCTGCCTCACCATCCACATCCATTCAATCACTAAACTCTACTTACTTGGCTCCCAAAATACAGCTACATGCTCCCCACTTTTCCCTATCCCCGCTGTCTTCACACTAGCCCACATATATGCTGGCTTGGGCTTCTATAATAACCTTCTATCTGGTTTCTTCTTTAATTCAGGGTTTATTACATGGAGTGTGAAGACCCCCCCCCCCCACACCAAAGTATGTAGGTAGAATTCAGAGGGCTCATGAACTTTGTTGAGAAAAAATATATATTTATTTTCACTAATCTATAACTAAAACTTAGTATTTCCTTTTTATGAATGTAAGCAATAAGCCACAATAATATTAGCACTACCTGTAACTTTACTAACAATAGAAATTATAAATATTTCAAGTCTGGGCACAGTGGCTCACACCTGTAATCCCAGCACTGTGGGAGGCCGAGGCAGGCGGATCACTTGAGGTCAGGAGTTCAAGACAAGCCTGGCCAACATGGTGAAACCACATCTCCACTAAAAATACAAAAATTAGCTGGGTGTGGTGGCAGGTGCCTGTAGCACCCCACCCTACTTGGGGAGCTGAGGCAGGATAATTGTTTGAATCTGGGAGGTGGAGGCAGAGGCTGTAGTGAGCCAAGATCAAGCCACTGCACTCCAGCCTGGGTGAGAGTACGACTCCATCTCAAAAAAAAGAAAGAAATTGTAAATATTTTATATCATGTTGCAGTTGTTGCAAATATCTCAAATTATCATTTATATTCATTGGTTCTCTGAAATATGGTAGTTATTGATAAGACCTACTGCTAGATCTAGATCTTCTTATGTATAAAGAAGCACATATAATATTATCTTTTTTTTTTTTTTTGGGACAGAGTTTCGCTCTTGTTGCCCAGGCTGGAGTGCAATGACGCGATCTTGGCTCATTGCAACCTCCACCTCCCAGGTTCAAGCGATTCTCCTGGCTCAGCCTCCCTAGTAGCTGGGATTACAAGCGCCCACCACAACGTCCAGCTAATATTTTGTATTTTTAGTACAGATGGGGTTTCACCACGTTGGCCAGGCTGGTCTCGAACTCCTGACCTCAGGTGATCCACCCGCCTCAGCCTCCCAAAGTGCTGGGATTACAGGCATGTAATCCCATGAGCCACCACGCCTGGCTCAATACTATCTTATGCTTTTAAAATATTTTAGGCTTGGCGCAGTGGCTCATGTCTATAATCCCAGCACTTTGGGAGGCTGAGGTGGGCAGATCAACTGAGGTCAGGAGTTCGAGACCAGCTTGGCCAACATGGTGAAACCCCATCTCTACTAAAAAAAAAATATTAAAAAAATTAGCCAGGCCTGGTGGCTGGCACCTATAATCCCAGCTACTCGGGAGGCTGAGGCAGGAGAATTGCTTGGAGGCAGAGGTTGCAGTGAGCCCAGATCGCGCCATTGCACTCCAGCCAGGGCAACAGAGTGAGACTCCATCTCAAAAAAAAAACTTCTTTTTTGAAAACTGTATTTTAAAATAATTGGATTTGTTTGTAATCCTATGTATTTTTAATAGCTTTATTGAGATACAATTGACATATCATGGCTGGACGCGGTGGCTCATGCCTGTAATCCCAGCACTTTGGGAGGCCGAGGCGGGCAGATCACGAGGTCAGGAGATCAAGACCATCCTGGCTAACACAGTGAAACCTCGTCTCTACTAAAAATACAAAAAAATTAGCTGTGCGTGGTGGCGTGCCTCTGTAGTCCCAGCTACTTGGGAGGCTGAGGCAGGACAATGGCGTGAACCCGGGAGGCAGAACTTGCAGTGAGCCAAGATCGCACCACTGCACTCCAGCCTGGGCGACAGAGCGAGACTCCGTCTCAAAAAAAAAAAAAAAAAAAAAATTGACTTATCATATAATTCCCTATTTAAAGTATATAGTTTAATGTTTCGTATATTCACAGAGTTGTACAATCATTATGACAATTAAACATTATTTTTCATCACTCCCAAAGAAACCCTGTATGCATTAGCAGTCACCTCCCATTTCTTCTCAGCTTCACCCCCTCCCTCAGACTGAGGCAACCACTAATCTACTCTGTCTCTATAGATATTTTATATAAACTGAATTATAGAATATGATACAATATATGATCTTTCGTATCTGGCTTCTTTTACTTAGCATAATATTTTCAAGGTTCATCTATGCTTTGGCATGTATCAATATTTCATTCCTTTGTATGGTCTAATATTCCATTGCATGGATATACCATATTTAACTTACACATCTTCGTTTGGTGGAAATGAAGGAAACCCTAACCCCAGTACAAATGTGACTGTATTAGGAGATACTTTTAAGGAGGTAATTAAGTTAAAATGAAGCCAGTAGGGTGTCTTTATAAGAAGAGGAGGCCCGGTCATGGTGGCTCACGCCTGTAATCCCAGCACTTTGGGAGGAGTTCAAGACCAACTGGCCAACATGGTGAAACCCCATCTCTACTAAAAACACAAAAATTAGCTGGGTGTGTTGGTGGGCGCCTGTAATCCCAGCTACTCAGGAAGCTGAGGCAGAATTGCTTGAACTGGCGGAGCAGCGGTTGCAGTGAGCAGTGCGCCGCTTCACTCCAGCCTGGGCGAAAGAGGGAGACCCCGTTTCAAAAAAAAAAAAAGAAAAAAAGTAGAGGAGATTAGGACACACAAGAAACACCAGGAATGCACTGGCACAGAGGAAAGGCCATGTGAGGACACAGAGAGAAGGTGGCCATCTGCAAGCCAAGGAGAAAGGCCTCAGAGGAAAACACACCTGCTGGTACCTTGGTCTTGGTATTCCAGCTTCCAGAACTGTGAGGAAATAACTTTCTGTTATTTAGGCCATCCAGTCTGTGACGTTTTGTTATGGCAGGTCCAGCTGACTAATACACCGTGCATTTTTACTTTCTTTATTGTGTTCTTTGAAGCACAAACGTTTTTTATTTTGATGAAGTCCAATATATTTTGCTTTCATTGTTTGTGCTTTTGGTGTCATGCCTCTCCTTTTTAAATTTTAATTTTTTTTCTTTTTTATGAGACAATGTCTTGCTCTGCCACCCAGGCTAGAGTGCAGTGGCACAATCATAGATCACTGTAACTCCAGACTCCTGGGCTACTGTGATCCTCCTGCCTCAGCCTCCCAAGTAGCTAGGTCTACAGTCATGCACCACCACACAAGGCTAATTAAAAAAAAAATTTGTAGACACAAGCTCACCATGTAGCTAAAGCTAGTCTCAAACTCCTGGCATCAAGCAATCATCCTGCTTTGGCCTCCCAATGCACTGGGATTACAGGCAGGAGATACAACACACAGCCCATTGTCATGTCTTTCCCTAACATAGGTCATGGACATTTTCTCCTACAACTTCTCTGTGTGTTCTAGTTTTACCTCTTACATTTAGGTCTATGATTCATTTTGAGTTAATTTCTGTGTATGGTGTTATGAAGGAGTCAAACTTCATTTCTTTTGCATGTGGATATCTACTTGTTCCAGGACCATTTGTTGAAAAGACTATTCTTTCCCCCGTTGAATGGTCTTGGCACCCTTGTTAAAATTCAATTGACCATAAAAAGAAAAGTTTATTTCTGGAGTCTCAGTTCTATTCCATTAATTTATGTGTCTACTCTTATCCCAAGCACCACAATGTCTTGATTACTGTAACTTTGTAAAAGTTTGAAATCAGGAACTTCTCTAAATTTGTGCTTCTATTTCAGGATTATTGTGACTTATTCTTCATCCCTTGCATTTCTACATGAATTTTAGGATCAAGTAGGATTTTGATCATGATTGTTTTGAATGTAGATCGATTTGGGGAATATTTCCATTTTAACAACATTGTCTTCCAATCCATGAACATGGTCTATTCTTCATTAATTTAGGTATTCCTTAATTTCTTTCAACAATAATTTGTAATTTTCAGGGTACTAATTTTATTTTATTTATTTATTTGAGACAAGGTCTCACTCTGTCACCTAGGCTGGAGTGCAGTGGCACGATCTTGGCTCACTGCAGCATTAACCTCCTGGGCTTAGGCAATCCTCCTGCCTCAGCCTCCTGAGTAGCTGGGACTACAGGTGCACACCACTATACCTGACTAATTTTTTTGTTTGTTTTTTTGGTAGAGACAAGGTCCCGCTATGTTGCCCAGGCTGGCCTCAAGCACCTGGGCTCAATCGGTCCTCCCAGTTGGCCTCCCAAATTGCTGGGATTACAGGCATGAACAACCATGTCCAGCCAAGAGTATGAATTTTATACTTCTTTTATTCCCAAGTATTTTCTTCTTTTTGAGGCTATTGTGAATGAAATTATTTTGCTAATTTCATTTTTTGTGTGTATTCCTACACATTTTATTTTAGGCATTTAAATAATTATTCAAGATGGGATCTGTAGGCTTTACCAGACCACCAACTATGTCCAAAGAACAAAAATAAAAATATTTTAGACCCTGCTTTATGTTGCAGCCAGAGTGATCTTGATAAAATACAAATCTGATCATGTCTCTTCACTGATTAAAATCTTTAATTGGCTGGCCATAGCAATCAGGTACAAGTCCAATTTACTTAAAATAGCTTATAAATTTCTTTATACATTTTCACTGCTTGCCTTTCTGGCTCATCTTTATACCTCTGACTCATCCTCACAATTTTTTTTTTTTTAACAGGATCCCAGCTCTGTTGCCGAGGCTGGAGTGCAGTGGCGCAATCTCGGCTCGCTGCGACCTCCCCATTTCAGGCTCAAGCAATCCTCCCGGCTCAGCTCCCTGAGTATCTGGGACTACAGGTGTGTGCCTCCATGCCCAGCTAATTCTTTTTTTTTTTGAGACAGAGTCTTGTTCTGTCACCCAGGCTGGAGTGAAGTGGCATGGTCTCGGCTCACTGCAACCTCTGTCTCCCGGTTTCAAGTGATTCTCCTGCCTCAGCCTCCTGAGTAGCTGGGATTACAGGCACGTGCTACTGCGCCCAGCTAATTTTTGTATTTTTAGTAGAGATGGGGTTTCACCATGTTGGCCAAGCTGGTCTCGAACTTCTGACCTCAGGCAATCCACCCACCTTGGCCTTCCAAAGTGCTGGGATTACAGGCATGAGCCACCATGCCCGGCTGCCCAGCTAATTCTTTATGTATTTATTGTAGAGATGGGGTTTCAACATGTTGCTCAGGCTGGTCTCAAATTCCTGGACTCAGGGGATCCACCTGCCTCAGCCTTCATCCTCACACTTGATATATTAATATAGAACATGCTGTAAGATCAGAAGCAGTTTATATAGTATGCTGTCATTTTGTAAAAATAAATAAATAAATAAATAAATAAATAAAAACAGAAGAAGGAGAAAGACATGCATACTTCAGTCATAGCAAATTACTTTCAGATTCTGGAAAATACATTGTCTCTTCTTCCCTGTCAGACCTTTTCTCATTGCACCTTGTGGCCTCACTAATGCCCACTCTGCAGGTTCCAGATTAGCTATCACTTTCTCCAGGAAGCCTTCCCTTATACTGACATCTGGTTGGTGCTCCTTGGATGGGCTCCCATGGTTCCCAGAGCTTCCACTGACAATGTGTGTGCTATAATTGCCTGTCTACTTGTTTGTATCCTCACTAGATTATAATCTTGATGAGAGCAGGGTCTCTGTCTTGTTTTCTCGGGTTTCTCTGCAGGCAGGAAAAGAACTTGGTCTGAAAGACATTTTTGTTTTTTTACTTACAGCTGTGTTGCTCAGGCTGTAGTGCAGTGGCACAATCATAATTCACTACAGCCTTGAAATCCTGGATTCAAGCAATCCTCCCCCCACAGCCTCCTGAGTAGCTAGGACTACAGGTGCGTTCCACCACACCTGGCTAATTTTTAAATTTTTTGTAGAGATGGACTCTCACTGTGTTGCCCAGGCTGGTCTTTTTTTTTTTTTTGAGACAGAGTCTCGCTCTGTCACCCAGGCTGGAGTGCAATGGAGTGATCTCGGCTCACTGCAACCTCTGCCTCCCAGGTTCAAGTGATTCTCCTGCCTCAGCCTCCTGAGTAGCTGGGATTACAGGCACGTGCCACCATGCCCGGCTAATTTTTGTATTTTTAGTAGAGACGGGGTTTCACCATGTTGGTCATGCTGGTCTTGAACTCCTGACCTCGTGATCTGCCCACCTCGGCCTCCCAAAGTGCTGGGATTACAGGCGTGAGCCACCGCGCCCGGCCCACCCAGGCTAGTCTTAAACTCCCGGCCTCAAGCAATTCTTCCACCTTGGCCTTCCAAACCCCTGAGATTCGAGGGGTGAGCTACCATGCTTGGCCCATTGTATTAGTCCATTTTCACACTGTTATAAAGAATATCTGAGACTGGAAAATTTATAAAGAAAAGAGATTTGACTCACAGTTCTGAATGGCTGGGGAGTCCTCAGGAAACGTAAAATCATGGTGGAAGGTCAAGGGGAAGCAGGGCATACATTACATGGCGGTGGTGGTGGAGGAACTGCCAAACACTTTTAAACCATCAGATCTCGTGAGAACTCGCTACTGTGAGAACAGTGGAAACTGTGAGAACATGGGGGGAAAACACCCCCATGATCTAATCACTTCCCGCCAGGTCCCTCCCTCAATACATGGGGATTACAATTTGAGATGAGATTTCGGTGGGGACACAAAACCAAAGCATATCACCCATGGAAAGACATTTCTAACTCTGATGTGTTTTAGGTCTGCTTCAGGGTCCAGATTATTCTCTAGTTTTTGGGATTTCCTCGTTTTAATATATAGCCATGCACCACATGTTTCAGTTAACAATGGACTGCATATATGATAGTGTTCAGAGCAACGGGCTATACAGTATAGCCTAGGGGTGTAGTAGGCTGTACTATATAGATTTGTGTAAGTAAAATCTATGATGTTCACACAATGATGAAATAACCTAATGATGCATTTCTCAAAATGTATTTCTGTCAATAAGTGACATGTGGTTGTATAACACCAAGCTTACTCCACACTTTAGTCTAAAAAATTGAGATTTTTTTTTTTTTTTTAAATTTTGAAACAGGGTCTCACTCTGTCGCCCAGGCTGGAGTATAGTGATGCGATCTTGGCTCACTGCAAACCTCCACCTCCTGGGTTCAAGTGATTCTCCTGCCTCAGCCTCCTGAGTAGCTGGGACTACAGGCGCATGCTACCACGCTTGGCTAATTTTTGTATTTTTAGTAGAAACGGGGTTTCACCATGTTGGCCAGGCTGGTCTTGAACTCCTGACGTCAGGTGATCCGCCCGCCTCAGCCCCCCAAAGTGTTGGGATTACAGGCGTGAGCCACTGCACCTGGCAAAAATTAGGATTTTCATGTTTATTTTACTTTATCACTTAGTTGCAGTTAGTCGTCAAGGTAAATTGAATTTTTTTCCATATTTTATTTCAAGTTATTGTCTGGCTCTACTTGTCGACACCCAGAATGACAGAATTGGAAATTACCTAAAAATCAAACAACCAGTTTTGCCAGTTACACGGCATTTTTGACAAATGGCCATTCATATTCTGCTTGAATAAAGAATCGAGTTCTTTATTTTACGCTTCCAAATTTGCTGCATATTGCTCAGATTAGAAAGGGAAAAATGATTTTTTAAGTTGAACAAGGAGGTCTCAAAAAAAAAAAGAAAGAAAAAGGAGATGGAGTCTAGGATTTAGGATACCACTGTTATGGGATCTCTGGGTTATCAACTTTTTTGGCTGGAAACCTCTGTGGCCATGGCGCCTTTGCCTGAGTTCTTGTCCTGTATCCAGGAAGAATGAGGTATGCAGACAAGTGAAAGGTAAAGAAGAGTTTTGTTTTTTGTTGTTGTTTTTTTTGAGATGGAGTCTAGCACTGTTGCCCAGGCTGGACTGCAGTGGCGCGATCTCGGCTCACTGCAACATCCGCCTCCCGGACTCAAGTGATTCTCCTGTCTCAGCCTCCAAAGTAGCTGGGATTACAGGCAGGTGCCACCACGCCTGACTAATTTTTGTATTTTTAGCAAAGATGGCGTTTCCCTATGTGGGTCAGGCTGGTCTTGAACTCCTCACCTCGTGATCCACCCGCCTTGTCCTCCCAAAGTGCTGGGATTACAGGCATGAGCCACTGTGCCTGGTCAAAGAAGAAGAGTTATATTTAGTGTTAGAACAGGTCAGAGGAGTGGGTAGCTCCTCTCTGTAGGCAGGTTGTCCTGTGGAGTGTTCAGCTCTCAGCAGAGAGGAGGCCCTGGAGAGGGTGCCTCCTCTCTGCAGGCAAGTAATTTGGACGTCTCCGCAGGTCTCTGAAGCTCTTAGCAGAGAGGGTAGCTCCTCTCTGCCGGCAGGTCGTCTCTGCAGCTCTCAATGGAGAAGGTAGTACTCTTTGCAGCTAGTTGCTCCCTCTCTGCATCCTCTATGTCACCTGGCCATCGTCTGCCCTGCTCTTGCTGAGCCCAGGGCTTTTATGGACCTCAGTGGGGAGGAGGTGCATGCTGATTGGTCCATGGGCAGCCATGGGCGGGCCTAGAAGAGTCACCACGAATTCCCACTCCCGCCAGAGAAAATGGCAGCACAGCCCCCAGCCTTCAGGTGCTCCCTGGCCTGAGGGCGAGGCCTTACTGGGGACCCTGCCCCCTTCCGCCCAGGACTCTATCTTCCTCCTGCTGCCATTCATGGTCCTGGGGCTTGGTTCCAACCCTGCTCCGAGATCAGAGTGGGTGTGGGGAGTGGAGAGAGGCCAGGCAGTGAGAGCAGACACCCCTGAGCCTGCAGGGACAGGTGGTGGGGGTTGGTGGGGGGTAGGGATGTGTCGGGTGGGGCTCCCGCTTGTCCCTGGCTCCTGCCTGTTCCTGGAGCCGGAGGCCCAGACCTGCAGCTGCGGGTGCTGCAGCTGCAGCTACACCTGGAAGGGCAGATCCTACTTGTTCCCAGCTCTCCCAAGAGTACAGGGAGGCTCGGATCCATTGCTGCATTTTGGGCGGCTGCAGCCCTGCCCAGGAGGGTGGGGCTTCTGCCTGCTCGGTGGAGTAGAGCAGGAGGCCTGGATCTGCAGGTGCGTTTTCGGCAGCTGCAGCTGCACAGGGAGCTCCCATCCCAACTTAGAAGGGGCCGGGCTCCCCCTTGCTCCATGGAGTGTGCAACCCCAGCTGCACTTCCCTGCTGCAGCCGGCGTGATGGTAGCAGCCCCTGCCATCACCACCGTACACATGAGGTCATTGACCCGTCTGGATTTAGGTTTACCATCTGTTACTTGCGGAATTTCAGACTATGCTCCAATCCACCTACCTTTTCATTATTTGTTTTACACAAGGGATACTGTTGATGTCCTCTACTAGAAAATATGCAGATATGAGCCACACCATCTATTGGAAAAATCAGGTTAGCAAAGATTTCATGAAACAGTTGCATTTGATATTGCTTTTTCAATTTTAAGACTTCCTTTGTTTGTATTTTAAACAGTAGAACAATGATAAGCCTTAACGTAAATAAAAACACGATAATACTGATAGGCTATTTGTGATAATTCAGCATTCAGGTTAGGCCCAGGTCTAGCACAGGAGGCAATAAAGTAGTAAAAATATTGTGCTTTGCAATAAAACAAATATTGTTGCATCAGAACAAGTTAGAATAATTAAGAATTTTATATAACAGTTCGTTTATTTGTTTTTGTTTTTGTTTTTTTGGATGGAGTCTTGCTCTGTCACCCAGGCTGGAGTTCAGTGGCAGGATCTCAGCTCACTGCAAGCTCCACCTCCCGGGTTCATGCCATTCTCCTGCCTCAGCCTCCCGAGTAGCTGGGATTACAGGCGCCCACCACCATGCCCGGCTAATTTTTGTATTTTCTTTAGTAGAGATGGGGTTTCACCCTGTCAGCCAGGATGGTCTGGATCTCCTGACCTCGTGATCCGGCTGCCTCGGCCTCCCAAAGTGCTGGGATTACAGGCGTGAGCCACCGCACCCAGCCTGTTTTGTTTTGTTTTTTTTTGAAATGGAGTTTCGCTCTTGTTGCCCAGGCTCGAGTGCAATGGCATAGTCTTGGCTCACTGCAACCTCCGCCTCCTGAGTTCAAGCAATTCTCCTGCCTCAGCCTCCCAAGTAGCTGGGATTACAGGCATGTGCCACCACACCCAGCTAATTTTGTTTTTTTAGTAGAGACGGGGTTTCTCCATGTTGGTCAGGCTGGTCTCAAACTCCCAACCTCAGGTGATCCACCTGCCACCCAAAGTTTTGGGATTACAGGCATAAGCCACCGCACCCGGCCTATATAACAGTTTTCAACTTATTTTTTAATGCTGTACTTGAGGGAAAGATGGGTTTAATTTCAAGAGAATGAAAAGGTCTTGTAATTTAGAAATATATAAATTCTTCTTGGAGTAACAAGTTATAATATACTTTTAAATTTTAGCCATGGTTAGGATTTTTTTATTTTGTTTTATTTATTTATTTATTTTGAGACGGACTCTCATCTGTCAAGTCACCCAGGCTGGAGTGCAGTGGCGTGATCTCTGCTCACTGCAACCTCTGCCTCCAAGGTTTAAGCGATTCTCCTGCCTCAGGCTCCCAAGTAGCTGGGATTATAGGTGCTCGCCACTACGCCAACCTAATTTTTTGTATTTTTTTTTTTTTAGTAGAGAGGGGGTTTCACCATGTTGGCCAGGCTGGTCTTGAACCCCTAACCTCATGATTCACCCACCTCAGCCTCCCAAAGTGCTGGGATTACAGGCGTGAGCCACTGCCCCTGGCCGATTAGGATTATTTTTATGTATAGTAGGAAAATACTCAAAGACAATAAAGCTTTATCTCTCAAAGCAAAATGTTCTTTCATATAAACAAATATCTAGTAAACAAACATTTATACTACAGAATCTTATGCTGCCATTAAAAAGAATGAGATGGATCTGTGTGTATTTATATAAAAAGATGTTCCCACAGAATTTGTTGTTATATGGATTGTGTGGCATCTGAAATCCCTTTGTATGCTTGGACAACCTTGTATTGGGCGTGTCTCCTTGTGACCAGGGATTATCTGCAGAAGGAAAAGCAGGCACTCCTGGCAGAGAGGCTGTGGAAATGAGTTGTGAACACGTGTGGTCTTTTCCAGGATTTTGAATCTCAACAAGTGACACAAAGAAGCAAGGTATTTAGAATTCATTCTGGTGGTGGCAGCAGTAGTAACATCCATGTTCTGGAGCTGCATTAGAAGTGTATTAACAAATTAACAATAATTTTTTTTTTTTTTTTTTTTTGGAGACAGAGTCTCACTCTGTTGCCCAGGCTATAGTGCAGTGGCACAATCTCAGCTCACTACAACCTACACCTCCCAGGTTCAAGCGATTCTCCTGCCTCAGCGCCCCTAGTAGCTGAGATTACAGGCATGTGCCACCACACCCAACTAGATTTTGTATTTTTAGTATAGATGGGGTTTCACCATGTTGGCCAGGCTGGTCTCGAACCACTGACCTCAAGTGATCATCCACACACCTTGGCCTCCCAAAGTGCTGGGATTATAGGCGTGAACCACCATGCCTGGCCAATTAACAAGAATCTTTAATGTGACTTTTTACTGATGTTTCAAATTGGTATTAAAGTTGGTTCAAAATCCAAAGCATATAAAGAATATACAGTAAAAGGTCTCTCCTGTCCATCTTATCCCTGTTTTTCCTTTTTTTTTTTAGACGGAGTCTCACTCTGTTGTCCAGGCTGGAGTACAGTGGCGTGATCTCAGCTCACTGCAACCTCTACCTCCCTGGTTCAAGCGACTCTTCTGCCTCAGCCTCCTGAGTAGCTGGGACTACAGGCACACACCATCACACCCAGCTACTTTTTCTATTTTTAGTAGAGATGGGGTTTCTGGCCAGGCTGGTCTCAAACTCCTGACCTCGTGATCCACCTGCCTCGGCCTCCCAAAGTGCTGGGATTACAGGTGTGAGCCACCGTGCCTGGTCCCCCGTTTCTTAAACACCTTATGATAGTTAATATTACGCATCAGCTTAATTGAATTAAGGAATACCTAGAGTACTGGTAAAGCATTATTTCTGGGTGTTTCCAGAGGAGATTGGCAGCTAAATCTGATTGAATTGGAAGATCTCCCCTCAATGTGGGCAGACACAGTCCAATTAGCCAGATGGGAAAAAAAGGCAGAAGAAGGGCAATTTCCGCTCTCTGCTAAAGCTGAGATGCTCTGCTCTGGTCCTTGGACATCAGAACTCCAGGCTCTTTGGACTCCAGGACTGATGCAGGCAGTCCCCTGCCTTCTCAGGCTGAGAGTTGAGTTACACCATCAGTTCCCCTGGTTTGAGACATTTAGACTTGGACTGAGCCACATGACCAGGATCCCAGACTTTCCAGCTGCAGTGGGACTTCACAGCCTCCATAATCTCATGAGCCAGTTCCCCTAATAAGGGGAGTTCCCTAATAAGCCAGTTCCACTCATCTATCTATCTATCTATCTATCTATCTATCTATCTATCTATCCATCCATCAATCATCTGTGTGTCTATCTACCTATCCATCTATCCAGCCATCTTATTGGTTCTGTCTCTCTGGAAGTCCTTGATGAATATACTCCTAGTTTTCTTTTCCAGTGTTATCAATTTTGTGTGTATCCTTTCAGGCTTATTTTATGCATATATATGACAGTACACATATCTTTTCTGCCCATGTTTTGTTTTACTAAAATTGCAGCATACTATATGTCAACAGAAAAAACCACTGGGTGCAGTGGCTCACACCTGTAATCCCAGCACTTTGGGAGGCCGAGATGGTCGAATTGCTTGAGCTCATGAGTTCAAGACCAGCCTGGGCAACATGGAGAAACCCCATCTCTACAAAAAAATACTAAAATTAGCCTGGCATGGTGGCACGTGCCTGTAGTCCCAGCTACTTGGGAGGCTGAGGTGGGAGGATGGCCTGCACCTAGGAGGCAGAGGTTGCAGTGAGCCAAGATGGCACCACTGCACTCCAGCCTGGGGTATAAAGCCAGACCTAAAATCAAACAAACAAACTGTAAAATATTGTATTTTATTTTTGGGAGTCAGAATCTCACTGTCACCCAGGCTGGAGTACAGTGGCATGATCATGGCTCACTGCAGCCTCAGACTGTCAGACTCCTGGGCTCACATGACCCTCCCACCTCAGCCTCCTGTAGCTGGGACTACTGACACACACCACCACACCAGCCTAATTTTTAATTTTTTTTTTTTTTTTTTTTTTTTAGACAGAGTGTCACTCTGTCACCCAGGCTGGAGTACAGTGGTGTGATCTTGGCTCACTGCAACCTCTGCCTCCTGGGTTCAAGCGATTCTTCTGCCTCGGCCTCCCGAGTAGCTGGGACTACAGGCATGTGCCACCACACCCAGCTTATTTTTATATTTTTAGTAGAGACGGGGTTTCACCATATTGGCCAGGCTGGTCTTGAACTCTGACCTTGTGATCTGCCCACTTCAGCCTCCCAAAGTGCTGGGATTACAGGCATGAGCCACCGTGCCTGGCTTATGTGTGTGTGTGTGTGTATATATATATAATGTGTATATATATATTATATATATATTTATATATATATATATAAAATATATATATAATGTGTATATATATATTTTATATATATATATAAATATATATATAATATATATATACACATTATATATATATACACACACACACTAAAATATATATATATATATATTTTTTTTAAGAGATGGAGTCTCACTATGTTGCCTAGGCTGGTCTCAAATTCCTGGGCTCAAGCAATTCCCCCACCTTGGCCTCCCAAAGTGCTGGGATCATAGGCTTGATCCACCATGCCTGGCCCTGTGAAGTATTTTAAGGTTTATTCTGAGCCAGTATGAGTGATGGAGGCCCAGGGAAAACACAAACCCAAGAAGCCTTGAGTAAGTGGTCCTGAGGCAGTCAGAATGTAACTTTGTCTATGGCGGTGAGTGGTGGCTCAAGCCTATACTCCCAGCGCTATGGGAGGCCTAGGGAGGCGGATCACTTGAGATCAGGAGTTCAAGAATGTAACTTTGTTTTATACATTTTAGGGAAGCAAAAGTTACAGCCAAAACCGTAAATCAATACATGGAGGTTATACACTAGTTTAGCCCGAAAACATGAGATATCTTGAAGCAGGGGCTTACAGGTCACAGTGGGTTCAGAGATTTTTTAAATTTGCAGTGGGTTAAAGGAACAAAGCTTTGTCTAAAAACTTGGAGTTAGCAGAAAGGAATGTTGAAATTGGGATAAGGATGCTGTGTCAGAGTCCGGTTGTGAGAGCAAGCTTCAATATACTGGGTCAAAATGACCTACTTATCAAGACAGATGGCCTGCAGGTGTGACCTAACCCTTGCCTTGCATGGCTTTAGGTCCTGTTTATAATTTGGTATTTTATTGCCACAGAGTTTGTTCTGTCAGTCTTTTGATTTCTATTGTAACATTATTGCTAGTCAGTTGTGCCTAAATTCCAAAAGGGAGGGGATGTCTTGAGGCCTTTCTGACCTCCTTTCCTGTCATGGCCAGGAACTAATTTTTAAGATTTCTCTGGTGTCTTCTTGGCTAAGAGGGGGTCCATTTAGTCATTTGAGGGCTTATAGTTTTGTTTTTCATTTACATGTGTGTATTTTTGTACGTATGTAAAATACATATATATTTTACGTATATAAACTGCTTCTAATGCTATGTAGCATGTCCCATATGAGTACATCAAGGACCTGCTCACTCTTTTTTTTTTATCTTCAGAGTAGACATTGTAAAAATGTATCATAATCCACTAAGTTTCCATTGGTGGACATTTAAGTGACTTATAATCTTTTGCCATTACAAACAGTGCTGTTGTGAATACTCTTCTACTTACATTATTTCACTTCTATGCCAAAATATTTTTAGAAGCAATTTCTCAAAAGGTGTGTACATTTGGCATTTGGAATTTTGACAAGGTATTACAGAAGTGCCTTCTGGAGAAGTTATGCCCATTTATGCTACACCAGCAATATATAATGGTGCCATTTCACCCATCCCTCCTAGAAATGTGTTATCAGACTTATTGATATTTGCACTGACTTGAGTTTTGCTTTAGTTCTGGCTGCCAGAGAAATATTTGTTCTTTCACATTTTCTGAACTGGTTGTTTGCCCTTCCAATCAATTTTGCATGTGGCGTCCTTTCAACAAATTCTTTTTTTTTTTTTTTTAGAAATAGGGTCTCTCACAGAGAAACACACATACGAACTAATGTGTAAATGTTTTTGTTCCTCCTCATTGATGACAAAATGATGGAATAATGCTTAAAGATCATGAGTTCTACAGTCAGACAGCCTGAGTTGGAGGCTCATCTTCACTTCTTGCTGTGTGACCCTGGGCCAGTGACTTAACTTCTCTATGCCATTTTCTTATCTGCAAAAGGAGGGTAATACTAGTATCTGTCTCATAGGGTTGTAGTAAATTGATTATTAATTGCTATATGAATATTCATGGAAAACTTATAAATAGTTCATATTTCTTTTAGCAGACAGTTTTGACATGGACATATGTTTTTGACATGGACATATGTTCTCATGATTCTCATATTGTGTACATATAATGTAGTCTTGTGAATTAAGCAGATGTTTCTCAAGGGACACCATAACACTTAGAGGCTCTGTCATTTGAATAAATTTGAGCCCACCAATGTAAAACATGCAGAAAATCTTGAGTCGTATGTTCAGTCTCTGTTCTGTATCTTGCCACGTTTTGACCTCATGCAAGTTGCCTAATATTTCAATCTCAAATTTTTAATCTGTAAAATGAGTTACTTATATTTATGTAACTTCTAGAATTTTTCAGTGCTCAAATAAAATATTACAAAATATGAAGCCAAAAAAAGAGGGAAAGAAACAGGGTCTCATTCTGTCTCTGAGGCTGAAGTGCAGTGGCACGATCATAGCTCACTGCAGTCTCCAACACCTGGGGTCAAGCAATCCTCCTGCCTCAGCCTTCCAGTAGCCAGGACCACAAGCACACACTGCCACATCTAGCTAATTTTTTTTTTGTAGTGACAAGGTATCAATATTTTGCCCAGGGTGGCATCAAACTCCTGGCCTCAAGCAGTCCTCTTATTAGGGAAGCAGGAGCCTAGGAGAGCCAGTGACACCATTGAAAAATCAACCCCATCTTAAAACTAGCAAGGCACATTCCTTGCCAGTGACAACCCATGGTCCTGATATGTTTACAATTAAGAAAGCAGCTTGATAATGCCTGTAAGGACAAACTCCTACAACAACAGAAAGTCCAGATGTCCTGATCCCCATAACAATGTATCCTTTCACATAATTATAGTTATGCTTTAATGTACTTACACACCAAAAGGTCAAGCATAGTTTTCATTAAATCAGTAAAATAATAAATTTTGTCATGCTGTCTGCCCGTCTGCACATAGATACAACTGAGCTTAGTCTTTACATTGACAAGAACCCTATATAAGAAAAACGTGGCTGGATGGCCAGGCGTGGTGGCTCATGATTGTAATCCCAGCACTTTGGGAGGCCAAGGAGGGTGGATCACTAGATGTCAGGGGTTCCAGGCCACCCTGGCCAACATGGTGAAACCCCTTCTCTACTAAAAAAATACAAAAAAGGCTGGGCACGGTGGTTCACGCCTATAATCCCAGCACTTTGGGAGGCCAAGGTGGGCAGATCACGAGGTCAGGAGATCGAGACCATCCTGGCTAACACGGTGAAACCCCGTCTCTACTAAAAATATAAAAAAAAAAATTAGCCGGGTGTAGTGGCAGGCGCCTGTAGTCCCAGCTACTCGGGAGGCTGAGACAGGAGAATGGCGTGAACCTGAGAGACGGAGCTGGTAGTGTGCCGAGATCGCGCCACTGCACTCCAGCCTGGGCGACAGAGCAAGACTCCGTCTCAAAAACAACAAAAAATATATATATATACATATATATATATGTATATATATGCATGTGTTTGTATATATATATTTGTGTATATATATATATATATACACAAAAAAATTAGCTGGGCGTTGTGGTGCACTCTTATAGTCCCAGCTCCTCGTGAGGCAGAGGCAAGAGAATTGCTTGAGCTTGGGAGGCGGAGTTTGCAGTGAGCCAAGATCATGCCACTGCACTCCAGCCTGGGCGTCAGGGCAGGACTCTGTGTGAAAACAAAACAAAACAAAACTTGTGACTCTGTGTAAAAAAAAAAGCAAAAAACAAAAAAAAAACAAAAACTTGTGATTCCAGCACTTTGGTAGGCCTCCACCCACCTAACAATTGTTTGGGACACCCAACAGTTCTGGATTAACTTCATTTATCCAAATTGCACTAATTCCATTAGCATATTATGGCAACAGCATTCCTGGAGACATCAGAATTGGCCACCCAAAAGACTAGAATGCAACCTCATTGGAAAAATTGAAGCTGCGCTAGGTATACTGGGGCAAGGTGAGTTTATAGCTAATGTAATGTAGGAATGTAGAGAGGCATTCCTTAGAGAAAAATTCCATGTAAAAAATAGGCCACATAAAAGGAATGCTATTCCAAGACAAGGGAAAAGGATGGGAAGTTGCCTTAAAAGATAATCTAGTACTCATCAAATGGATAGAAGAAACCAGACCAAACATGAAAACTTACTCCTAAATGCAAAGGTGGGAACAATCATGTACTCTAACCCAAAAGGGCTCATGTCTATGTTTTTACAAGTGGAATCTTAGGTAGCTATGAATCAGTGACCTGCAATCCTCAGTGCTAAGGCACAATCCAAACACCTATAGAGAGTATGTGGTCCCTCAAATGTATGGAAATTTTTGGATGGTAAATGTGACCTCAAATACTACATTCTCAAAGCACAGGCACCAAAGTTGAATGAGGCTCAAAAGTATTCTGTTGTCTAAGTGGCAGGCATTGGGACTGTTGTAAACAATACAAGACTACTCCTCATGGGAAACAGGTGGACTATTTTAGCTAACGATAATGTTACTGGTTGGTATCTGAGTTATCAGCAGTAAATCCCTATGCGGCTACAGCAACCTCAATCTTACCTCCTCAGAAGAAAGCATTCAACTGAGAGGCATAAGGCAGAAAAAGAGACAGGCAAGTTTCAGAGCAGGAGTGGAAGTTTATTTTAAAAGGCTTTAGAAGGTGAAAGCATTCCCTTTGAAAACCAGCACAAGACAAGGATGCCCTCTCTTACCACTCCTATTCAACATAGTATTAGAAGTCATGGCCAGGGCAATCATGCAAGAGGAATAAATAAAGGGTATTCAAATAGGAAGAGAGGAAGTCAAATTATCTTTGTTTGCAGATGACATGATCTTATATCTAGAAAGCCCCATAGTCTCAGCCCAAAAGCTTCTTAAGCTGCTAAACAACTTCAACAAAGTCTCAGGATATAAAATTAATGTACAAAAATCACTAGCATTCCTACACGCCAACAACAGGCAAGCAGAGAGCCAAATCATGAATGAACTCCCATTCGCAATTGCTACAAAAAGAATAAAATACCTAGGAATACAGCTAACAAGGAAGTGAAGAACCTCTTTGAGGAGAACTACAAACCACTGCTCAGATAAATCAGAGGGAATAAAAACAAATGGAGAAAAATTCCATGCTCATGGATAGGAAGAATCAATATGAAAATGGCCATAAGCTCCAAGTAATTTATAGATTCAATGCTATTCCCATTAAACTACCATTGACATTCTTCACAGAATTAGAAAAAACTATTTTAAAATTCATATGGAACCAAAAAAAAAAAAGCCTGAATAACCAAGCCAATCCTAAGCAAAAAGAACAAAGCTGGAGCATTATGCTACCTGATTTCAAACTATGCTACAAGGCTACAGTAACCAAAGCAGCATGGTACTGGTACAAGAACAGACAGGTCAATGGAACAGAATAGAGAACCCAGAAATAAGACCACACACCTACAGCAATCTGATCTTCAACAATCCTGACCAAAACAAGCAATGGGAAAGGATTCCCTATTTAATAAATGGTACTGGGAGAACTGGCTAGCCATATGCAGAAAATTGAAACTGGAACCCTTCCTTACACCATATACAAAAATTAACTCACGACAGATTAAAGACTTAAATGTAAAACCCAAAACTATAAAAACCCTAGAAAAAAATCTAGGCAACATCATTCAGGATATAGGCATGGGAAAAGATTTCATTACAAAAACAAAAATCATTGTAACAAAAGGAAAAAATGACAAATGAGATCTAGTTAAACTAAAGAGCTTCTGCATAGCAAAAGAAAGGATCACCAGAGTGAACAGACAACCTACAGAATGAGAGAAAATTTTTTGCAATCTATCCATCTGATAAAGGTCTAATATCCAGAGTCTACAAGGGACTTAAACAAATTTACAAGAAAAAAAAATCCCATTAAAAAGTGGACAAACGGCCAGGTGCGGTGGCTCATGCCTGTAATCCCAACACTTTGGGAGGCTGAGGTGGGCAGATCACCTGAGGTCAGGAGTTTGAGACCACCCTGGCCAACATGACAAAACCCCATCCCTACTAAAAATACAAAAATTAGCTGGGCATGGTGGCGCATGCCTGTAATCCCAGCTACTTGGGAGGCTGAGGCAGGAGAATTGCTTGAACCCAGGAGGCGGAGGTTGCAGTGAGCCAAGATCACACCACTGCACTCCAGCCTGGTAACAGATTGAGACTCCATCCCAAAAAAAAAAAAAAAAAAAAAAGAAAGAAAAAAAAAGGATGGCTGGGTGTGGTGGCTCACGCCTGTAATCCCAGCACTTTGGGAGGCTGAGGCAGGTGGATCACGGGTCAGGAGATTGAGACCATCCTGACTAACACGGTGAAACCCCATCTCTACTAAAAATACAAAAAATCAGCTGGGCATGGTGGCGGGTGCCTGTAGTCCCAGCTAATTGGGAGGCTGAGGCAGGAGAATGTTGTGAACCCAGGAGGCGAAGCTTGCAGTGAGCCAAGATCGCGCCACTGCACTCCAGCCTGGGTGACAGAGTGAGACTCAGTCTCAAAAAAAAAAAGGAGGGGGGCAAAGGACATGAAATGACACTTCTGAAAAGAAGACATCCATGCAGCCAACAAACATGAGGAAAAGCTGAACGTCACTGATCATTAGAGAAATGCAAATCAAAACCACAATGAGATACCATCTCACACCAGTCAGAATGGTGATTATTAAAAAGTCAAGAAACAACAGATGCTGGCAAGGCTGTAGAGAAATAGGAACACTTTTACACTGTTGATGGGAATATAAATTAATTCAACTATTGTGGAAGACAGTGTGGCAATTCCTCAAAGACCTAGAGGCAGAAATACCATTTGACCCAGCAACCCCATTACTGGGTATATACCCAAAGGAATACAAATCATTCTATTACAAAGATACATGCACATGTATGTTCATTGCAGCACTATTTACAATAACAAAGTCATGGAATCAACCCAAATGCCCATCAATGATAGAATGGCTAAAGAAAATGTGGTACATATACACCATGGAATACTATGCAGCCATAAAAAGGAATGAGATCATGTTCTTTGCAGGGACATGGATGGAGTTGGAAGCCATTATTCTCAGCAAACTAAACAGGAACAGAAAACCAAACACCACATATTCTCACTTGTAAGTGGGAGCTGATTGATGAGAACACACGGACACATGGGGGAAACAACACACACTGGGCACCCGTTGGGGAGGATTGTGGGGAGGGAGATCATCAGGATGTTGGGCTTAATACCTGGGTTATGGTGGCTGGGCACGGTGGCTCACGCCTGTAATCCCTGCACTTTGGGAGGCCAAGGCGGGCGGATCACGAGGTCACGAGATCAAGACCATTCTGGCCAATATGGTGAAACCCTGTCTCTACTAAAAATACAAAAATTAGCTGGGCATGATAGCGCGTGCCTGTAATCCCAGCTACTCGGGAGGCTGAGGCAGGAGAATCGCTTGAACCAGGGACTAGGAGGTTGCAGTGAGCCGAGATTGTGCCACTGCACTCCGGCCTGGCAAAAGAGTGAGACTCCATCTCAAAAACAAAGACAAAAACAAAAAACCCTAGGTTATGGGACGATATGTGCAGTAAATCACCATGGCACATGTTTAACTATGCAACAAAACTTCACATCCTGCACATGTACTCCTGAAGTTAAAATAAAAGTTGAAAGAAAAAAAAAAAGAGAGAGAAAAGAGAAAGGCTTTAGAACAGGAAATAAAGTACACATAGAAGAGACCCAAGCAGGCAACTTGAAGGACAAGTGTGGCGTTTAACCATGATCCTAGGACTCTTTAGCATGGCCCACTTACCATGATTCTTCCCTTAGGGTGGGCTGCACACATGCGCAGTGCCCTCTTTACCCTTGGGAAGTGAGCACGTGCAGTGTATTTAGGAAGTTGTATGTATGCCCATCTGAGGCTTTCTTCCCTTTTCTGGTGGAGGGTCCCTAAAGGTCATACTCCACAATTTTGTCTCTTAATGTGCATGACTGGGAAGTTGCCTCTCCCTGGCACCTGCATTCAATTAACACTTTACCGTGGCAGCTGTGGAACATCAGGAGGTTGTCTCTCCCTGGTGCCAGCTGCCAAATTATCAGTTTAGAGAGGGAATGTGATAATTTTCAAGCCATCACTGATGATCACCTGACATTCCTCCTGAGTGGAGGAGATCCCTTTCCTGCCCCACTCATGCCTGTCTCTAACTACCTGTAACAGTAACACATGGCATCACAGCTCCCTCTCAGATTGTGAGAACAGAAAAAAAGAGTGCCTTCAAACCACTTGAAACCTTGATTTTTCCCAAACTTCACCACTAATATCCATCTCCGTGGGACATAACATTTGGTATATGGAAAGAGCCATTTTTGTCGAGAGGAACAACAAAATGACACCATAGAATTATATGACTTCTCCTGTAACAAAACCTCCTTTTGTCTCCCAAATACCAATGGGGCAATACAAAAGTGGTGGGAGAAACCAATTTGTCTATTAACAAGTCTTATGACAATTTAGACATTAAGGACCAGATGTTTCTCAAATTTGATTTATACTCTCCTCAGGATGTTATACCTATGGAGACTGTATTAGTCCATTCTCACACTGCTATAAAGAAATACCTGGCTGGGCATGGTGGCTCACACTTGTAGTCCCAGAACTTTGGGAGGCCAAGGCAGGTGGATCATTTGAGCTCAGGAGTTCAAGGCCAGCCTGGCCGATATGGTGAAACCCCGTCTCTACTAAAAATACAAAAATTAGCTGGGCATGGTGGTGGGTGCCTGTAATCCCAGCTACTCAGGAGGCTGAGGCAGGAGAATTGCTCGAACCCAGGAGGCAGAGATTTCAGTGAGCCAAGATCGTGCCATTGCATTCCAGCCTGGGCAACAAAGCAAGACTCTGTCTCAAAAAATAAATAAATACATACCTGAGACTGGGTAATTTATTTAAAAAAAAAAAAAAAAGGAGGTTTAGGCCAGGCGCAGTGGCTTACACGTGTAATCTCAGCACTTTGGGAGGCCGAGGTGGGTGGATCACCAGAGGTCAGGAATTCGATACCAGCCTGGCCAACATAGTGAAACCCCATCTCTACTAAAAATACAAAAATTAACCAAGCATGGTGGCGTGCGCCTGAAATCTCAACTACTCAAGAGGCTGAGGCAGGAGAATCGCTTGAACCCGGGAGACAGAGGTTGCAGTGAGCCGAGATCATGCCACTGCACTTCAGCCTGGGCAACAAGAGCGAAACTCTGTCTCTAAATAAATAAATAAATACAATTAAAAAAATAAAGAAAGGAGGTTTAATTGACTCACTGTTCCACAGGCTGTACAGGAAGCATGGCTGGGGAAGCCTCGGGAAATTTACAATCATTGTGGAAGGCAAAAGGGAAGCAGGCACATCTTACATGGTTAGAGCAGGAGGAAGAGATAGAAGAGGAGGTGCTACATACTTCTAAACAAGCAGATCCTATGGCAACTCACTCACTAGCACAAGAACAGCAATAAAGGGGAAATCCACCCCCGTTACCTAATCAACTCCCAGCATGCCCCAACTCCAACACTGGGGATCATAATTTGACATGAGATTTGGGTGGAGACACATACCTAAACTATATCAGAGACCAGTTGGCCAGAAGAGAAATTAAATCTATTGGGTTATGATTTGATGTTGGTCCTATGGTCCTCAAATAAGATTTATCATAAGGTTTAAGTGGCCCTTGATAAGAAGGGTAAAGACATTGTCAGTCTGATCAAAAAGCATGATGATGCATGCAGGAGATTTTTGGCTGGTTAGGTTGTTTACAGCCCTATGATTGTAACTATAACTCTCTTGGATGACTAATCTTCACCATTTTTATGATGCTTGTTGCTATATTATCTTTTTTTTTTTTTTTTGAGACGGAGTCTCGCTCTGTCGCCCAGGCTGGAGTGCAGTGGCGCGATCTCGGCTCACTGCCAGCTCCGCCTCCCGGGTTCACGCCATTCTCCTGCCTCAGCCTCCCGAGTAGCTGGGACTACAGATGCCCGCCACCATGCCTGGCAAATTTTTTTTTTTGTATTTTTAGTAGAGACGGGGTTTCACTGTGTTAGCCAGGATGTCCTCGATCTCCTGACCTCGTGATCTGCCCGCCTCGGCCTCCCAAAGTGCTGGGATTACAGGAGTGAGCCACAGCGTCCGGCCATCTTCACAATTCTTAACCCAGACAGTCCCTTCTATTGGTTCTAGGTCTTTAGGCAATAACTTAACTCTTTCAACCAATTGCTAATCAGAACATTCTTAAATCCACATATGACCTGGAAGCTCCACGTATGACCTGGGAGGTGGAGGCTGCAGTGAGCAGATTGCGCCACTGTACTCCAGCAGGGACAGAGCAAGACTCTGTCTCAAAAAAAAAAAAAAAAAAAAAAAAGTTAAATATCTCCACAGATAGTTATTCTATGTTCACCTTATCTCATGTAAAGTGCCGATTTACTGAGCGTGTGATGAATAATACATAATTGACTATTCCCCTACCTGCTCCTTTTCTCTTGCAACATGTGGATTCAGTAATGTGATCACACCCTCCTTCTTTCTCCTCCAGCCTGCTTTTCCCCTTTAAATACTGAAGCCCTCAAAATCATCTTTGGAGAAAGGCACAGACCACAGACTGTTTCTGTGGTTCCGTGTTTGTTTCTTCCAGGCACATTCTTAACCTTGGCAAAATAAACTTCTAAGCTAATTGAGACCTGTCTCAGATACTTTTTGGTTTACAGTGTCTTGCAGAATTATCCTTCAAAAGTGAAGGAGAGGCCAGGCATGGTGGCTTATTCCTGTAATTCCAGCATTTTGGGAGGCCAAGGTGGGGGGATCACTTGAACCCTGGAGTTCGAGACCTTGTCTCTATTGAAAATCAAAAAAATTAGCTGGGCATGGTGGCACGGACCTGTAGTGCCAACTACTTGGGAAGCTGAGGTGGGAGGATCTCTTGAGCCCTGGAGGTCCAGGCTGCAGTGAGCCATGATGGCACCACTGCACTCCAGCCTTGGTGACAGAATGACCTTGTCTCTAAAATAAATAAAGTGAAGTATTTTCTTAGACAAACACTGAGGGAATTTCTCACAGTAGACCTGCCTTACAAGAAATGTTTAAAAGAAGTTCTTCAGAGAGAGGAAAAATGGCCGGGCGCAGTGGCTCATGCCTGTAATCCCAGCACTTTGGGAGGCCAAGGTGGGTGGATCACGAGGTCAGGAGTTTGAGACCAGCCTGGCCAATATGTTGAAACCCTGTCTCTACTAAAAATACAAAAATTAGCTGGGCGTGGTGGCATGTGCCTGTACTCCCAGCTACTCGGGAGGCTGAGGCAGAAGAATTGCTTGAACCCAGGAGGCAGGGTTGCAGTGAGCAGAGATCATGCCACTGTACTCCAGCCTGGGCGACAGAACGAGACTCCGTCTCAAAAAAAAAAAAAAGAGGAAAAATGATATAGGTCAGGAACTTGGATGTACATAAAGATAGGAAGAATATGAGAGAAGGAATAAATGTAAAATACATTTTTAAATTTTTTTTTTCAATGGTTTTTTTGGGGAACAGGTGGTTTGGTTACATGGAGAGCTCTTCAGTGGTGATTTCAGAGATTTTGGTGCACCCATCAACCAAGCAGTGCACTGTACCCAATGTGTAGTCTGTTATCCCTCACCCCCCTCCTACCCTTCCCCACTGAATCCCCAAAGTCCATTATATCATTCTTATGCCTTTGTGTCCTCATAGCTTAGCTCCCACTTATAAGTGAGAACACACGGTATGGTATTTGGTTTTCCATTCCTGAGTTACTTCACTTAGAATAGTGGACTCCAGCTCCATCCAGGTTACTGCAAATGCCATTATTTTGTTCCTTTAAAATTAATTAATTAATTAATTAATTAATTTTTTTGAGACAGAGTCTCACTCTGTCACCCAGGCTGGAATACAGTGGCGCGATCTTGGCTCGCTGCAACCTCCGCCTCCCAGGGTCAAACGATTCTGCTGCCTCAGCCTCCTGAGTAGCTGAGTAGGACTTTCACTCTGATGCCCAGGTTGTTGTTGATCTCCTGGGCTGAAGAAATCCTTCTGCCTCAGCTTCCCAAGTAACTGGGACTACCAGTGGGGACCAGTGCACCTGGCAAACTATTTTGATTATTCTTAATTGATATAGCAGACAAATGTTCACAGTAATAATTGCAACAATGTAATGGGTGATTTTAGTGTATGGATAAGTAAAATCAATGGCAACAATGTTCTAAGAGATGGGAGGAATTGTGAAGTGGTATAGGTATTTGAAAAAGGACTTAGATTTGCTGATTTAGATTGAAAACTCTAGGGTAACCACTAAAGAAATTTTAAGACCGGGCGTGGTAGCTCACACCTGTAATCCCAGCACTTTGGGAGGCCAAGGCGGGTGGATCATCTGAGGTCAGGAGTTCGAGACCAGCCTGGCCAACATGGTGAAACCGTCTCTACTAAAAAATACAAAAATTAGCTGGGTGTGGTGGCAGGTGCCTTAATCCCAGCTACTTGAGAGGCAGAGGCAGGAGAATCATTTGAACCCAGGAGGCGGAGGTTGCAGTGAGCCAAGATAAAGCCATGGCACTCAAACCTGGGGGACAAGAGTGACACTTCTCTCAAAGAAAAAAAAAAGGCCGGGCACCGTGGCTCACGCCTGTAATCCCAGCACTTTGGGAGGCCGAGGCGGGCGGATCACGAGGTCAGGAGATCGAGACCATCCTGGCTAACACGGTGAAAACCCATCTCTACTAAAAATACAAAAAGTTAGCCGGGCGTGGTGGCAGGCGCCTGTAGTCCCAGCTACTCGGGAGGCTGAGGCAGGAGAATGGCGTGAACCTGGGAGGTGGAGCTTGCAGTGAGCCAAGACTGCGCCACTGCACTCCAGCCTGGGCAACGAGCAAGACTCCGTCTCAAAAAAAAAAAAAAAAGAAATTTTAAAATGAGGCACAATTGATATGCTAAGAGAGGAGAGCAAATGGACTCATATAAAATACACTTCAATACTCTCTAATCAGTAATTGACAGATCCAACAGGCAGAAAGTCATAAGAACATAGTTAAACTGAATAGCACCATCAGTTAACTGGATCTAATTGATACTTTAAAGTACTTCATCTAACAACAGCAGAATACACATTCTTCTCAGATTCACGTTGGACATTTATCAAAATATGCCACATTCTGGGCTATGAAACACACCTTAACAAATTTCAAAGAATAGAAATCATATAAAGCATGCTTTCAGATCACAATGGAATTACATTAGAAATCCTAACAGAAAGCTGAAAATTCCCAAATATTTGGGAACTTCTAAATAACGCGTAGGTAAAAAAAGAAGTCTCAAGAAATTTTAAAATGTTCTGGATCAAACAAAAATGAAAATACAACTTAAGACTCGTGGGATGCAGTGAAAGCAGTCCTTAAAGGGAAATTTAAAGCATTGAATGAATGTGCTAGAAAAAAAGGAAAGACGTAAAATCAATCATTTAAACTTCTAACTTAGGAACTAGAGAAACAATAGAAACCTAAAACAAGCAGAAGAATAGAAAAAATTAGAGCAGAAATCAATGAAATTAAAAATAGGAAATCAAGAGCATGTCTACAAAACCAAAGCTTGTTCTTTGTAAAATTCAATCAAACTGATAAACCTCATGCAAGCTAACCATAAAAAAGAAACAAATTACTAATATTTTGTTAGCAATAAAAGAGAGGTCGTCAGTACTACCCATGGACATTAAAAGGACAATAAAGGAGTATTATAAACAACTCTATGCACACAAACTTGATAACTTAGATGAAATGGACCAATTCTTTGAGGCACCAATTACCAAAACTTATATGCGAAATAGATCCTCTGAATAGGTCTATATCTATTAATGAAATTGAATCAATAATTAGTAATCTTCCAAAAAAAAAAAAAAAGCACCAGACCATATGCTCCCCTGATGAATTTTACCAGTTAATGGGGATATATGATTCCCATTTATGTCACCCTTCTTTTAAAAAAAATTTTCATCATCCTTCTTTTAAAAAGATATTTTCTAAAGTTTGCTATAATTAGAATGTAATGTTTTCAGAGGTCAGGAGTTTGAGAACAGCCTAGCCAACATGGTGAAACCCTGTCTCCACTAAAAATACAAAAATTAGCCAAGCATGATGGTGCGTGCCTGTAGTCCCAGCTGCTTGGGAGGCTGGGGCAGGAGAATTGCTTGAACCCGGGAGGCTGAGGTTGCAGTGAGCTGAGATCATGCCACTGCACTCCAGCCTGGGGAAGAGTGAGACTTTCTCTCAAAAAACAAACAAACAAACAAACAAACAAAAAAGAATGTAATGTTTTCAATGTAGAAATAACCAATTAAAAGACAGATAAGTAGCCTGTTTTGAAAAATGAGATGCAAGTCTTAAATGCTAATAGATTTGATATATTGAGATTAGTGGAGAAGGGAAATTTGCGGAGGTTTACCATGGAAGATTATTCTGTTGGTTCTGTGAAGGATGAGCTAGAATAGCAAAAATTGGGAGTGCAGTAGTATTCTAGGCTTGAAGTGAAGATGGCTTAAACTAGGCTAGTGAGTTTACCATTAAAAAAAAAAGAGTACCAGGCTGGGCGCAGTGGCTCATGCATATAATCCCAGCATTTTTGGAGGCTGAGGCAGGAGGATCGCTTTAGCTCAGAAGTTCGAGACCAGCCTGGGCAACATAATGAGACACTCGTCTCTACAGACAAAAAAAAAAAAGAAGAAGAACCAGCCAGGTGTGGTGGCATGCCTGTTTGCCTGTAGTCCCAGTTACTTAGGAGGTGGAGGGAGGAAAATCACTTGAGCTCAGCAGGTCGAGGTTGCAGGGAGCTCTGATCACGCCTCTATACTCTGGCCTGGGTGAGAGTAAGATCCTGTCTCAAAAACAAAAAATATTGAATAAATACAGGAGGTTGGCAGAAATAAGTTTCTACAAACTCTTTTACGATTTTGTAAGGCAGAAGTGATGTTTATGATACAACGTGAAATTGAATGCTTTTTTTTTTGGTGGTAAAATATACATCAAATTAACTATATATATGCATACACATACATGCATATAAATATATATGTATGTGTAAAAATATAAAAATATATTTAATATAGATTTAATATCAATATATCTATCAATTTAATATTAACATTAATTTTAAATTTTTAATTTTAATATTATCAATATATATATATAATATAAATTATATATAATATATAAATATATATTATATATATTTATGTATTAAAACTATATATATATGTATTTTTTTTTGGTAGAGACAGGGTCTTGCTCTGTTGCCCAGGCTGGTCGTGAACTCCTAAGCTAAAGTGATCCTCCCACCTCAGCCTTCCCAAATGCTGGGATTACAGGCATGAGCCACTGTGCCTGGCCTTAACAATTTTTAAGTGTACTGTCGAGTGACATTAAGTACATTCACACTGTTGTATAACCATCACATCATCCATCTCTAATGAATTAATTTTACGCTATTTTAGCCTGAAAATCAAAAATCAAGAGCTTTGTTTGATTTACAAAAGAAACCACACAGAATATATCAAGCCATTTAGAGAATATCTAAATTGCAATAATTGGCCTTTGGAGTTGTGTAAGATCAGAGTATTGGGAAGAGAAAAAGGAATGAGTCACGGTGCTAATGGCTAGAAATTAGATGCTGTTTAGTGTTTTTATTTTACATTGTCTATTTTTACATAAATGATACTAAGATTTTGAGTTGTTGCTATGTTACAATGCCTGTCACATAGCAACAACTCAAAATCTTAGCTAGTATCATTATAAACCAGTGCTTTAAATACACATTAAGTCATTCACTCCTTAAAACAAAGCTGGGAGGTAGGTACACTTACTGTTTTACAAATAAGAAAAGGAAGACATACAGAGATGGAATAACTTGCCCAATCTTACAAGCTATTAGGTAGCAAAAGAGAGAATGGCAATGATTGGTACTAGAACTTCTGTTTTAACCAATGCACAATTTTTACTTTTCTGGATTTTGCTTCTCTGACCTAACAAAGTATCCTGGAGATCAATCCATGTAAGCACATATAAAGTTCCTTTCTTTTAACAGCTGTACACCATTGCACTGACTAGATGTAGCATAATTAATGTAACCAGTTTTGCACTGATAGCCCTTAAGGTTGTTTCCAATTTGATTTAGAAATAATGTCACATTTATTAGTCTTACATATCATCTCTTACATGTGTGAGAGTATCTATAGGAAATATTTCTCCAAGTGGTATTGCAAGGTCAACAGATAGGTGCTTTTAAATTTTGATCTATTGAAAAATTGCTCTCTAAAGAGGTTATATCAATTTATACTGTTCTAAAAATGTAAATGTTGGATATGGTATGGTAAAGTCAGTTTGGCCACCGAAGGAGATGATATTGAGGCTTGGAAAGAGGAAGTTTATTATACTTACAGGTCCTAAAGAAGGGGTCATCATGTGCCATGCAGGGCCTCAGAGGAAGCACCAGGTTTTGGTTAGGTAGTTTAAGATAGGATAGAGGGGAAAGTCTAGCCCAGAGCCTTCATTGTGGTTTCCATGGGAAAGTCAAAGCAGGGCAAAGTAAACTGTTTAGGATTGGCTAATATAATTCTGGCAGGCTTTGGGCTGGCTATAGGAATGGTCACTAGTTGCCTGGTATCTGGCCCTGGGATGATTTAGGGCAGAAGAAACACTGGCCTGATGTGTGAATTAGACCAGGTGGGTGTGGCTACAGATTAGGGATTAGCTGGTTTGCATAAGAAAGAGTGCTCTAGGGAGCCCTCAGTTATCTAAGAAGGGGCTAGCCCCGGGAGAGGCATCCACTTCCTGGCCAACAAGCTTTTTAAGATGTCAAAACATCAAAGTACAGGAAATTAAGTGAACAAAACAAAACTCTTGCCCTCAGGGAGCTCTTTTTTGTTTGTTTGAGATGGAGTCTGGCTCTGTCACCCAGGTCAGTCAGTGGCATGATCTCGGCTCACTGCAACCTCCGCCTCCTGGGTTCAAGTGATTTTCCTGCTTCAGCCTCCTGAGTAGCTGGGACTACAGGCACGCACCACCATGCCTGGCTAATTTTTGTATTTTTAGTAGAGATGGGGTTTCACCATATTGGATAGGCTGGTCTCGAACTCCTGACCTCGTGATCCACCACCTCAGCCTCCCAAAGTGTTGGGATTACAGGTGTGAGCCACTGCGCCTGGCCCTGGGAGCTTACATTTCAAGTAATGTGCAGGGCCCATATGGAGAAAACTACATAACTTCAGAAAGACATGAAAGAACTGACTAAATGAAAAGACACACATGCTGATAGATAAGAAGAATGAATGTCAGAAAGATGGCAATTATTATCAACTCAATTAAGTGTAGCACAAAATCACAAGGAGTTCTTTTGAGGGGAGTAGGGAAGACAACTTGACAAAAAGTTATTTGATATAATGAGTGGATATTTCTATGAATATCTTGAAAAAGTAGTTCAAAGTATGAAGTAACATAAGGATATGTGCTGTACCAGAAGTTAAAACAGACTATAAAAACACAGTAATTAAATGAGTATGGTACTGGCACAATAAAAGAAATCCAGAAACAAACTCTAGTTTATATATAATATACATAAATGTGGCAAGTATTTTATTTTTAAGACAAGAGTCTCCCTCTTGCTGCCCAGGCTGGAGTGCAGTGGCATGTTCATGACTTACTGTAGCCTTGACTTCTTGGGACCAGGTGATTCTCCCTTAGTCTCCTGAGTAGCTGGGACCACAGGCGCATGCCACCATGTCCAGCTAACTTTTTCTATTTTTCGTAGTAGAGATGGGGTTTTGCCCTATTGCCCAGGCTGGTCTCGAACTCCTGGACTCAAGCAATCTGCCTGCCTTGGTCTTCCAAAGTTCTGGGATTACAGGCACGAGCCACCATTCCTGTCCTTTACTGTATCTTATAGATTTTTAATTCATAAATATCTGGTAGGGTTGATTCCCCTAGTACAGTTCTTGGAATGTATTAAAAACTGCATTAAAAAAACAAAAACTACTTTTGGTTGTTTGGATCATGTTTCTTTGAATATGGTTTCATTCAGATAGTGGACCTCATAGGTCCAGATGTCATAAGGGTTACCCATATATACCCAGTGTTAACATGTTGAGAAAAACGGAAAACCCCATAGTGGTCATGGAGAGGGGATGACAGATTACTGAGATTTTCTAAAAACTTATTTCTCTATTATTTGGATTTTTATATTTATTAAAAAATTACTTTCATTATCTATCTATCGATCGATCGAAAAGTAATAGTGGAAATGATATCAAACACTTATGAAAACATCCAAGTAAGTTAAAAGCTGTTATGTTCTCTATCCCTCCAAAGCAGATGGAATATTACTATTTTTCATGACTTGATTTACTAAAATATTGGTGTTTGTTATTATCAAGTCTTTTCTGAGCAATCTTTATAACCATACTGTTTACGGAGATTTACCTTGCTTTCAGTTTTTGAGAATACTACTTTCAAAAGTAAAGGAGATTGTTTTAAAAATCATCAAAGAGAAACTTTACATGAGGTCTAATCTTAAAAATGCCTTCAATTTTGTATTTTTTAAGAGCTAAATGTGGGTAAAGTATAGGACCACTGCATTTACAGTCCATTATTTTTTCCACCTGAGAAGAGTAAAGCACCAGAATGCACTGCTCACCTAGATGATGAATGGGCTATCAAGAATTATTAAGTATCTCTTCCTAATGAAGGGGAAAGTTTAGGCTTTCACATTCATAAAATACCCAAAAAGTAGACTGAAAAAATGCAAAGACAAATCTCCAAATACTATCTCACCAATGCTAAGGTGATTCTGACTGGAATTAGAATAACAATATTTAACTTATTCTTTGATCAAGTTTTTAATAAGCTTTTTTCTTACATGTACAGTCATCTTAAAAAGACAAATATTAACTATTATAAGTTAAATACTATACAATTTATGAGAAATGTAATTTTGTGAATTTGAAAAGTAAAAGGGAGGTAACTACTAAACGGATTAAAGAAGAAAATTCTACTTTTTAAGACATTTTAACCAGACAGAAAGTGAGAAATTACTAATTTAAGTAAACACTAAAAACTTTTACTGAAGCTGGAGACCTTATACTATTTTAGATCAAGCCTTCATCTACACAGCTTTAAATAAACTTTAAAAAATCTTTTCTAGTACATATAAGACTGCTAAAAAGAGTGCATGACTGGGGGAAAAAAGGCATATGCTAGAATGTGAACTCCTGAAGAACAGAAATACATTTCATTCATCTTTATCCCTGGATTCCTAACACAATGCCTGGTTCAAACTAAAATGCTTAAACAACGTTTGCTGCTTTGAAGTGAACTGGGGCAAATACATCTTTCCACCTCTGGTCCAGTTTTCACTCCATATTAAGCACATCTGAAGTACCTGAGCTGCTCCTGGCTGTTGGCTTTTGACTTTAAATTGAGTAAGGTAAGCCAATATGCATACATTTTTTACATCAGCTTTCTCACATCAGCCTCAGAACCAAATCATCACTGGGCTGGGAATATTCTCACGTACTCCGATACTTATTTGTTGGACAACAGTTAATATCAATGTGCAAAAGTAATGCATTTTCAATGCAGGATAAATATGCTCTTATGAATATGAATGGAATAAAGGCCCTGTTTCTCCATGTTTTAAATAACAGATACATAGCATCTTAAATTATGACTTAATTAGCAGTTTTTAGACACTGAACATAATACACTGTATTACAATGCAATGTGGTAGGCTTCCATTTTAGGAACCAAAATAAATTTCACATGAAAAAATATTTATTTTAATTCACATCAAATACATTTAGAATAAATCTAAATTTTTAGCATCATAATACTTACAAACAAACACAGATAAACTTTGGGTGTATAAGTCTCCATTCTGTCCTAAAAGCATGTACAAAAAGCTCTCCTGCAACTATTGATCATCACCTCGTTGCCTTAAATTTCTAGATTTTCCATTTTCAGTTCTTCTCTTTTTGAAGACTGGGGCCACTCCATCTGCCATAACTCCAAGAGAAGTGACTGTTTTTTCTTTAAATACCACTTTGGGTTCTCCGCCACCATCAGCTTCTGAAGTTGATACATACTCATTTTCAGTGCTTGGAAGTTCCAAATCTACCTCCTCACTGGAAATAGAGTTAAAGTAAAACTCTATTTGACAGGGTAAGACAAACGTTTTCATATAACCAATGCCCCAAGATCAGCTTTCTAATGACATTAGAAGTTGCTCATTTTGGAGTAGGAACTACTTTAAAATACTGACTTTACAATATTATTTAAGATACTGAACACTTATTCAGGTGGATAAATGCTGGGAGAAGTTCTATGTATTAATTTATTCCTGTTGCACAAAGGATGCATTATCTAAGAAAATGCTTGGGCTTATATATAAGCAGTACAAGTAAAGGGATAAGGGGGTTGGGTGCGGTGGCTCAATCTTGTAATCCCAGCACTTTGAGAGGCCGAGGCAGGAGGATCACTTGAGCTCAGGAGTTTCGAGATGCGCCTGGGTAACATGGCAAAACCCCATTGCTACAAAAAATACAAAAATTATCTGGGCATGGTGTCATGTGCCTACAGTCCCAGCTACTCGAGAGGCTGAGGTGAGAGGATCACTTCAGCCTGGGAGGCAGAGGTTGCAGCGAGTCGAGATCTCATTTTCCTATTGTAGAAGACTGAATGGAGCTGTATGCCTAGCACTCCTTTGCTAAGAACTAGCCCTTCAACCATCCACATGATTAATTATAAATAATCAGTTGAGTGGTCCTGATATCAGCACCTGATTAAAAAGAGCCTATCACAGTACCGTACTCCCTAGATAGTCAACTGGTCTGTGAAAGAGTAAATTAGTCACATCACACCCATCAGTCCCATCTATGAGACTCTGGAAAATGGACCGGAAAGATCGTTATGTTTAAGTAGCTGAGAGCGTAAAACCTGTTGAAAAACACACATCATCCTATTTGGAGAATGGAGCTCTGCAGAAGGCAATCTATTCCAAGGATTTTTTCTTTTTAGGACAGAGTCTTGCTCTGTCTCCCAGGCTGGAGTGAAGTGGTGCCATCATAGCTCAAAGCAGCCTCCAACTCCTGGGCTCAAGTGAACCTCCTGCCTTAGCCTCCCAAGGTACTGGGCTTATAGGCGTGGGCCACTGCACCTGCCTGGCCAGCAAGGACCTTCTTTGCTATCAGTTATCATAGGCTGTTTTAAGTTATAAAACTAAATAGCAACACTGAATCCTATAGAAATGTACTTTGCTGAGTAATACTTGAGTTGCTGCAATATTTGCTTATCTATTTAGTTTTTACATTTTTTTTTTTTTTTTTTTTTTGGAGACAAGGTCCTACTCTGTTGCCCAGGCTGGAGTGAAGTGGTGTGAACATGGCTCACTGCAGTCTCAACCTCCTGGGCTCAAGTAATCCTCCCACCTCAGCCTCTCAAGTAGCTGGGAACATGATGTGTGCCACTATTCCCTGCTAAGTTTTTTTTTTTTGGTAGAGAGAAAGTTTTGCCATGTTGGCCAGGCTGGTCTCGAACTCCTGACCTCAGTTGATCTGCCTGCCTTGGCCTCCTGAAGTGCTGGGATTACAGGCGTGAGCCACCTCACCCAGCCAAGCTATACTTTTTCTTTTTCGAGATGGAGTCTTGCTCTGCTGCTAGGCTGGAGTCCAGTGGCGCGATTTCAGCTCACTGCAACCTCCACCTCCTGGGTTCAAGCGATTCTCCTGCCTCCACCTCCTGAGTAGCTGGGATCACAGCTACATGCCACCACACCCAGCTAATTTTTGTATTTTTAGTAGAGACAGGGTTTCACCATGTTGGCCAGGATGGTCTCATCTCTTGACCTCGTGATCCGCCCACCTCAGCCTCCCAAAGTGCTGGGATTACAGGGGTGCATCTGGCCTCAAGCTATACTTTTAATAAGCACAGCATCCTTGAAATTACTTACTGCAATTTAGGGAAGTACTGGGATGTAAAATCACTTGTAATAACAGTGGGATTAAAGCTCCAGGTACTTACTGAGACTCAACCTCTTGTTTAATTTCTTGCCATTCTCCATATGGGTTTGATTTCTTAAGAGTTTTCGATTTTTCTTCATTTGAACCTAATGAATTCTGTTTCTGAATACTTTTTTCTTTCTGTGTTTCTGGGTCACTTCCTCCATCACTATTTTTATTTTTTTCCTGAAATGTAAAAGCCAAGAAATAATACAGTTCAAGCAAAACTACCAAGACAAAAATAAAATTTAAGGCTTTTAAAGGTATTGTTATAGATTTATAAACAATAATTCACTAACTCAAATCTGCACATAACACAATAAATATACATAGAACTTTACTGCTTGATTAGGTTTTCCATGTCTGAAATGTTGATATACCATGACAAAGGCTCCCTAAATCACCACCTTAATGTCTTAAGTTCTACAATTAAGGACATATAAACAGGGCTCTCTTAACTTCTCTCTTCTGCTTTCTTGCTTTACTTGCATACCCAACAGTGACTCCCTTTATAATTGTGGCTCTGTTGAATTCTTCTGGGAGGCGGCAAGATTATAGGGAGTTTGTCCTTGTTTACCTGTATTTTGTAATTTTTTTCCTTTTCCTATAATTTATCTTTTAAAAAATAACTTAGGGGGCACAAATGCGTATTTCTTACATGTATATATTATGTCATGGTGAAGTACGGGCTTTTAGTGTACCTATAACCTGAACAGTGAACAAACCCAATAGACACATGTTCAACTCACCTCCCTCCCACCCTCCCACCTTTTATGGTCTCCACTGTCTATTAGTCCATTCTGTATGTCCATGTGTGCCCACTGTTTAGCTCCCACTTATAAGTGAGAACATGTAGTATTTGACTTTGAGTTATTTCACTTAGGTTAATGGCCTCCAGTTCCATTCACATAGCTGCAAAAGCTATCATTTCATTTTTTATGGCTGAGTAGTATTCCATGGTGTGTGTGCGTGTGTATATATACCGCATTTTTTTTATCCAATCCTCCGTTGACGGACACTTAGGTTGATTTACTTTTTGCTATTGTGAACAATGCTGCTACAAATATATGAGTGCAAGTATCTTTTCTGTTTAATGATTTCTTTTCCTTTGGGTAGATACTCAGAAGTGGGACTGCTGGATTGAATAACAGTTCTGCTTTTAGTTCTCTGAGAAATGTTTTCTATAAAGGTTATACCAACATACATTCTCAGTAAGTGTATAAGTGTTTCCCTTTCTCTGCATCCTTGCCAGTATCTGTTGTTTTCTGATTTTTTTTTTTTTTTTTTTTTGAGACGGAGTCTTGCTCTGTCACCCAGGCTGGAGGGCAGTGGCATGATCTTGGCTTACTGCAACCTCTGCCTCCCAGGTTCAAGCAATTCTCCTGCATGCGCCACCATGCTCGGCTAATTTCTTTTGCATTTTTAGTAGAGATGGGGTTTCACCATGTTGGTTAGGCTGGTCTTGAACTCCTGACCTCAAGTATCTGCCAGCCTCAGCCTCCCAAAGTGTTGGGATTACAGGTGTGAGCCACTGCATCCAGCCATTTTCTGACTTTTTAATTACAGCCTTCTGACTGGTGTAAGATGGTATCTCCTTGTGATTTTCATTTGCATTTCTCTGATGATCAGTGATGTTGAGCATTATTCATGTGTTTTGGCCACCTGTGTGTCTTTTGAAAAATGCCTGTTCATGTCCTTTTCCCCCTTTTCAATGGAGTTGTTTTTTTCTTGTTGAGTCCCTTGCGGATTCTGGATATTAGTCCTGTGTTGGATGCATAGTTTGCAAACAGTTTTTCCCAATATGTGGGCTGTTTATTTACCCTGTTAATTGTTTCTTTTGCTGTGCATAAGCTTTTTAATTAAGTCCCTCCCATTTGTCTATTTTTATTTTTGTGTTTACTTTTGAAGACTTTGTCGTAAATTCTTTGCTTACGTCAATGACCAGATGAGTTTTTCCTAGATTTCCTTCTAGGATTTTTTTTTTCTTTTCCTTTTTCTTTTTTTGAGACAGAGTTTCACTCTTGTCGCCCAGGCTGGAATGCAACGGCACGATCTTAGCTCACTGCAACCTCCGCCTCCCAGGTTCAAGCGATTCTCCTGCCTCAGCCTCCCAAGTAGCTGGGATTACAGGCATGCGCCAGGACACCCAGCTAATTTTCTATTTTTAGTAGAGATGGGGTTTCTCTATGTTGGTCAGGCTGGTCTTTAACTCTCGACCTCAGGTGATCCGCCCACCTCGGCCTCCCAAAGTGCAGGGATTACAGGTGTGAGCCACCATGCCTGGCCTCCTTCTAGGGTTTTTATAGTTTCAGATCTTTAAACATTTAAGTCTTTAATCCATCTTAACTTTTGTACATGGTTAGAGGTAGGGGTCCAGTTTCATTCTTCTGCATACAGCTAGCCAGTTTTCCCAGGATCATTTATTGAATGGGGTATCCCTTCCCCAGTGTATATTTTTGTTGATTTTGTTGAAGATCAGTTGGTTGTAGGTATGTGGCTTTATTTCTGGGTTCTCTATTCTGTTCCATCAATCTATGTGCCTATCTTTATGCCAGTACTGTGCTGTTTTGGTTATGACAGCCTTGGAATATAGTCTGAGGCCAAGTAATGGGATGCCTCCACCTTTGTTCTTTTTGCTTAGGACTGCTATGGTTATTGAGGCTCTTTTTTGGTTTCACATAAATTTCAGAATTGGCTTTTCTAATTCTGTAAAAAATGAAGTTGGTAATTTGATAGGGATTGTGTTGAATCTGTAGATTGGTGTGGCCAGTATGTCATTTTAGTGATATTGATTCTTCCAATCCAGAAGCATGAGATGTTTTTTCATTTGTGTGTATCATCTATGATTTCTTTAATCAGTGTTTTGTAGTTCATTTTGTAGGGATCTTTCACTTCCTTGGTTAAATGTATTCCGAGATTTTTTTTTTGTAGTTACCACAAATGGGATTGAGTTTTTTATTTGGTTCTCGGTTTTACCATTATTATATAGATATAGGTATACAGAAATGCTACTGATTTTTGTACAGTGATTTTGTATCCTGAAACATGACTGAAGTCACTTATCAAATCCACGTGTGTTTTGGAGGGGTCTTTAGGGTTTTCTAGGTAGTAAGATCATTTAATCAGCAAACAGAGATAGTTTGACTTCCTCTTTTTCAATTTGGATGCCTTTTACTTCTTTCTCTTGCCTGACTGCTCAGGCTAGCACTTCCAATATTATGTTGAAAAGGAGTGGTTGAAGTGAGCATCCTTGCTTTCTTAGGGAGAATACTTTCAGTGCTTCCCCATTCAGTATAACGTTGGCTGTGTGTTTCTCATACATGGCTCTTCTTTTTTTTTTGAGACAGAGTCTTGGTCTGTCATCCAGCATGGAGTGCAGTGGCACTATCTCAGCTCACTGCAAACTCTGCCTCCCAGGTTCAATCGATTCTCCTGCCTCAGCCTCCCAAAGTGCTGAGATTACAGGCATGAGGCACCGCACTCGGCCTCATATATGGCTTTTATTATTTTATTATTATGAGGTATGTTTCTTCTGTGCCTAGTTTGCTGAAGGTTTTTATCATGAAAGGATGCTGAATTTTAACAAATGCTTTTTATCTATTGAGCTGATTATATGGTTGTTTTTAATTGTTTATGTGGTGAATCACATTTATTGATTTGCATACTTTGAACCATCCTTTCATCCCTGGAATAAAGCATCCCTTTATCATGGTGTATTAATCTTTCTGATGTACTGCTGGATTCAGTTTGCCAGTATTTTGTTGAAGGTTTTTGCATCTATGTTCAGCAGGGTTATTGGCCTGTATTTTTTTGTTGTTGTTGTTGGAACACATTCATTTTGACGAAAATAAATTAATCATTTCTATCCTAAGTTGGATACTGGATTACCTAAATCTGGCTGGCTATAATCATTGTGAGATGGCAATTACAACGAAGGCTTTGCTGCTGCTCCTCTGTAAACTGCACATAACCCTTACTCTAAGTTCCATCAAGATTTGTGAAGTTGGTAGAGAAACTGCAGGCAATGACAAGATCCTAGGTGTAACTAGGTATTTAGGAACTCTGATTTTCCTACATTTCTCAGGCCAACAATCGCAACCATTGCTCAATGCTAATAATGTGTCTCCTCTGCTTTGACTCATGGGCTCCTGAGTGTTCCCGGTTTTATTTATCCAGTTGCCAAAATATGTCTTAATTTCTATGTTCTATCAGAAGACTTAAGGTCTGTAGAGCTTTTCAAAAATTGATGTCAGCTGGGCGTGGTGACGCACGCCTGTAATCCCAGCACTTTGGGACGCCGAGGCAAGTAGATCACGAGGTCAGGAGATCAAGACCATCCTGGTTATTAACATGGTAAAACCCTGTCTCTACTAACAATAAAAAAAATTAGCCGGGTTTGGTGGCACACACCTGTAGTCCCAGCTACTCGGGAGGCTGAGGCAGGAGAATTGCTTGAACCCGGAAGGTGGAGGTTACAGTGAGCCAAGACAGTGCCACTGTACTCCAGCCTGGGGACAGAACAAGACTCCATCTCAAAAAAAAAAAAAAAAAAAAAAAAAAAATTTGATGTGAAGAGTAAAATTTAAAAACCTACCTTAAACTTTATTTTTGGCTTTTCTGTCTCTGTAGAGACCCCTCCTTCTTCTGCTTCCTGTTCCCCATCAGAATCACTATGCGAATCTGATGATTTGGATTCATCTAGGGTGCCAAGTGAATTTTCATTGACCTTACTAGAAGGCAGATCACTAGTGTGTGGAATGAAATCATCAGGTTTCTCCCATCTGGATTCTGCTCAACACATTTTAAAGTCATGTTATTTAGTTATTAATTCTATTCAGATGTAATTTCAACATAACATTTATCACTTACAATTATTAAATGACAATACTGTATGTATTTCATACTATCTCTTGATCAAGAAGATAACAGAGTTCTCAAACCTCTTGCTCTTGTATCTTTCAGAAATTGATTTCAAACAGCCCGGATTTACTAGATGTGTAAACTATAACTCCAATGGAATGAGAGACCTAAGAACTGGGTGATATTTCTAACGGTTCACAATTTATCTGACACCAATTTCAGGAAACGTATTGATAATGAGCAAACAAGAGATTTCCTGAAACTTGCTTATCACAGAGATTTCCTTTCCTGGCCCCAGTGTGCTGGCTTATGCTTGTAATTCCAACACTTTGAAAAGGCGAGGTAGGAGGATTGCTTGAACTCAGGAGTGTGAGACCAGCCCGGGCAACATAGCGAGAACCTGTCTCTACAAACAATTAAAAAGTTAGCAGGCATCATGCCATATTCCTGCAGTACCCACTACTCAGGAGGCTGAGGCGGGAAGACTGCTTGAGCCCAGGAAATAGAGGCTGCAGTGAATCATGATTGTGCCACTGCACTCCAGTCTGGGGGACAGAGCAAGACCTTGTCTCAATTTAAAAAAAGAAAAAATTCCTAAGATTTTCATGGAGTGAAATTACATTGTGAAGCACTAAGTGAATATTAAATTCTCATTTTTATTATGGTGGTTTGGTGGGTGGGGGGGCAGCAATGGGAATCTCAATTGACTGAACTCTACTGCCATCCAGTGGTTCATTGGGCTTTTAGTAAAACAATAATATTTCTAATTACCTTGTAATTAATTCCCTACTTTCAACTGGGAGAGTTTTAAGAGTGAAAGGGGCTGCCGTTAGTAATTATTCTGGTCCAGGAATAAACCAAAATCATTCAAGGCAAACCAATATATACAGCACCTTAATTAATACAGAGTTCTTGGCAGGATTAATGAAAAAACATTACTTTTCCTAATCCACATTTCACACAAGTTAACAATAGAACTTTCAAGAATTTATTTATTTTATTTTTATTTATTTATTTGGCGTGATCTCAGCTCACTGTAACCTCCACCTCCCCGGTTCAAGCGATTCTCCTGCTTCAGCCTCCCGAGTAACTGGGACCACAGGCAAGCGCCACCACGCCCAGCTAGGTTTTGTATTTTTAGTAGAGACAGGATTTCACCACGTTGCCCAGGCTGGTCACGAGCTCCTGACCTCAAGTGATCCGCCTGCCTCAACTTCCCAAAGTTCTAGGACTACAGGTGTGAACCACCACGCCAGTTCAGGGAGTAATTTATTTAGCACCTACTATGTGCCAAGCACTGTTATTGGAACTTTATGACATATGACATTCATGACCTTACAGAGCATGCATGTTTATTCTATTTCACTGAAGAGTGACTATAGGCTCAGTAACACCCACAGTCACATTGCTGGTAAGGAAAGAAGCTGTGCATTGAACTCAGATCTGTCTAACTCTAAAGCTATATTATATCACTATACTATTTTATATGTATAAAAATCCCAACCTTCAATTGTACTGGAATATAAACATTGCTATAACTGGGCAGGCTAAATATCTACTTGGAGGTTAAAAGGGCCTTTTCTTCCTAAAAGATTTAATGCTATGCAATGAGCTAATGATAACAGGAATTAAAAAAACAAAAACAAGCCTCTCCTAAAGTTACATTAATGTTATAGCTGTTCTGATAAATTCAACTGTTTATGATGTTAAATTAGATGAAACATTAATTTGAAAGTTTTAGGGCCGGGCGCGGTGGCTCACGCCTGTAATCCCAGCACTTTGGGAGGCCGAGGCGGGCGGATCACGAGGTCAGGAGATCGAGACCATCCTGACTAACATGGTGAAACCCCGTCTCTACTAAAAATACAAAAAATTAGCCTGGCGAAGTGGCTGGTGCCTGTAGTCCCAGCTACTTGGGAGGCTGAGGCAGGAGAATGGCATGAACCCCAGGGGGCAGAGCCTGCAGTGAGCCGAGATTGTGCCACTGCACTCCAGCCTGGACGATAGCAAGACTCCGTCTCAAAAAAAAAAAAAAAGTTTTAGATAACAATTAGTATTTATGCATGCTTCGTAAGTATTTATGCAACTGAAACATTGTTAAATTTTCACTTTTACTAATTTGTTAGACACTACTAAATAGCTTCAGTTTTATTTTTTATTTTATTTTGAGACAGTCTTGCTCTGTCGCCCAGACTGGAGTGCAGTGGTGCGATCTTGGCTCACTGCAACCTCTACCTCCTGGGTTCAAGTGATTCTCTGCCTCAGCCTCCTGAGTAGCTGGGACTACAGGTGCCCACCACCACGCCCGGGTAATTTTTTAGTAGAGAAGGGGTTTCACCATGTTGGTCAGGCTGGTCTCGAACTCCTGACCTCAGATGATCTGCCCGCCTTGGCCTTCCAAACTGCTGAGATTACAGGCGTGAGCCACCGCGCCTAGCCTACTTTTTTTTTTTTTTTTGAGACAGAGTTTTGCTCTTGTTGCCCAGGCTGGAGTGCAATGGCACGATCTCGGGTCACTGCAACCTCCGCCTCCCAGGTACAAGATTCTCCTGTCTCAGCCTCCCAAGTAGCTTGGATTACAGGCATGTGCCACCACACCCGGCTAATTTGTTTGTATTTAACAGAGACAGGGTTTCACCATGTTGGTCAGGTTGGTCGCTTAACTCCTGACCTCAGGTGATCCACCTGTCTTGGCCTCCCAAACTGCTGGGATTACAGGCATGTGCCACTGTGCCCGGCCACAGTTTTATTTTTAAAAAGGAAAAGGCAAGTTGAGCCAGATGATCTCTAAGCTACCTTCCAAGGTAATGACTATATTTCTAAAATAATTATAAAAATAGTAATGTCAGAGAAAGCTAAAATGATTCTATTTTTAAGTTTGTGAATGCAATATCAACTGAGAATAACATTGGTGAACAGCACAACATAATACGAATATAAATCTTTTTGCTTTTCCACTGTATTGTTTTTAAATTACAAAAAATAATTCATGTTTACTACACAAATATGTTTATTGTATACTAAAATTTCCAAGTTCAGATGATTAATCAGCAGGCCAATAAGCAGTTCCAGGTACAATTTTAAACAGTTAAGATAATCAAAGGTAATACTTACCTCCTGTTTCTGTATTATAGTAATAGGTAAAACCATCTTCACTTAAACCTTCTACCCAAACGGTCTTCACTGCTGTCTAATAGGAGGAAAAAAACCCAGCATAAACTAAGGATAACCATGATTTTCTATTGAATAACTCAGACAGTCAGCCACCCTTGCCTCTCCTCCTGACACCTGGTGATATCATCTCGATCTGCATCCCCACCCAAATCTCATGTAGACTTGTAATCCTCCAAGTTGGAGATGGGGCCTTGTGGGAGGTGACTGCATCACAGGGGTGGTTTCTCATGGTTTCAACACCATCCACCTTTGGTGCTGTTGTTGAAATAGTGAGCAAGCTACCCTGAGATCTGGTCATTGAAAAGTGTGTGGCACCTCCCTTTGCTCCTGGTCTGGCCATGTAAGATGTGACTGTTTTCCCTTGGCCTTCTGCTATGATTGTAAGTTTCCTGAAGCCTCTCCAGAAGCTCATGCCACCATGCTTCCTGTACAGCCTGCATAACTGTGAGTCAATTAAACCTCTTTTCTTGATAAATTACCTAGTTTCAGAAGTATTTCTTTATAGCAATGCAAGAACTGACTAATACACCTGGGTATTAGGGGTGGTAGTACTAATCATGGCCAGGAAGCTTGGTTTTTGCTAATAAAGAACCAACTTTCAAGCAGTGGATGTCTCACCTTTGAAAGCCAGGAACAATTCCTTCCAAATGGACAGGAACATGTGAATGGCAACTGACGGCAAACCAACTAATATTTGCCCTGAATGCAGTTTTTGGATAGATATCAGTACTTTTTTTTTTTTTTTTTTTTTTGAGACGGAGTCTTACTTTGTTATCCAGGCTGGAGTGCGGTGGTGCAATCTCGGCTCACTGTTAACCTCTGCCGCCCCAGGTCCCAGTGATTCCCCTGACTCAGCCTCCTGAGTAGCTGGGATTACAGGCAACTGCGACTGCGCCTGGCTAATTTTTTTGTAGTTTTTAGGAGAGATAGGGTTTCACCATCTTGGCCAGGCTGGTCTTTAACTCCTGACCTTGTGATCCACATGCCTCAGCCTCCCAAAGTGCTGGGATTACAGGCATGAGCCACTGCACCCAGCCAGATATCACTATTTCATCTCCATCCAGCCTTCTAACAAAAGCATTATGGGAAAAAAAAGGACACAGTTTGGGGGTGGAGGGAGTGGAGTATTTGTAAATAAAGTTGCTTAGCAAAACTCTACAAAAACCTAAGAAACGAATCACTGTAAAGAATAAAACAAAAACACTATTAATATGCTTCAATTACCTTTTTTAAGTCTCCTTGAAATCCTTCAGGTTTCTCCCACTGAGATGCTTAAAGCAAAATATATTGCATTTATAAAATCTTTTTGCTTTAAAAAAATACTTTCCAAAAAATTTGGACAAAATTTACAGTCATTATGTACAAAACACTACAGGTCTACAATTTAAAACATATTTGAAAAATAAAACAGAACATACATCCCAGTACTGTGCAGACAATATATGTGAATGCTACGTAACCAAGAAGAAAGGACAGAACGAGGGATTAGAAGTTACTGGAACTTCCACAGGAATTTTAGAGCCAGGCAGGGCTTCTCATAAAGGTTTCACAGAATTCAGGTCTGATAAGTTTCAAAGGCCTTTTGATATCTTGGGGCAAGGGAGAGTGAGAGATAAACTGAATAAGAACTCAGAAGAGGAACAACTAGTATGCAGAAATTAAAAACATGTATCATGGAGAGGAAGAGTATATAAAGTAGGATGCTGAAAAAGAGAGGCAAGCAATAAGCATTGGAAGGGAGAAATGAAATAACAGTTTATAAGTAAATTTGAGAAAGACTTCTAATTGCTAGTACATAATCATTTATGATATCTTCATTGCTAAACTACAATATGCATGTCACTTAAAGCTCAGTGCAAACTCTAACGGATTAATATTTCTACATAGTCCAAAGGTAATTATGATCCTAATGATAATAGTCATTACAGTAAGATTGTTAGCCCAAGGATTTCTTCATGATTAACTCTCTGATCTTATTTCCTACCTTCCTAGCATTCTTAACCTTCTTTTGCTGGCTTTTCTTCTATCCATTCCTTTAATATATGTAACACTCACCTTCTTTACTTCTTGCTCTATTCTCTCTGCTTGCGATCTCATATACTCCTAAAGGCTAACATATTATCTACATCCCCAGACTCAATTTTGCTCAGCTCCACACTGTAACCATCAATTAGCTACCAAAAGCTGTCATATGAATATTCTGTAGGTACCTCATATTCAACGTATCTAATTCATTATTGTCCCCATTAAACTTATTTTCAGTTCCTTATCTCGTATCTAAGTAAATGGCACCATCATTCTCTCAGCCCTCCATAAGATGGCTCCAATCTACCTTCCAGTCTAACTCTACTAAGACGTCTTCAAAGAACTGCATGTTTTACCTCGACCACTATTTCCCAATACTTTCAAACCTTTTTTGGGGTTCATATTGTTCTGTGTGGATTCTGTACCTCTTAATTATCTACTGAAGTCTTCTTTAATCAAAACACAGAGTGTCTACACTGTGCTAGGCACTATGTTAGGCGCCAGGAATACAATGGTGAGTAAGGCATCATTCCTGATGTCCCTATCTTAATTTAGAGATCAGCTCAAAAGTAATTCCTATGGTAATCTCTCAAAGCTACATAATCACAATGAATTCAACATTATTATGAGTTCCCATATAATCTTAATTACACTTCTATTATAGCACTTTAAAATTCCTCCTTTTATCAAGCTTATTTATTTGTCGCTAAATTTTATGACTCTGGAGAGTAAGATGCTACATAAATGTAGAATAAATGTATTAATTTATTCCAAAATGTATACGGAGTAAAAACCCCAAATACATTTAGTTTTTAGGAAAAACAAAAAAAGATGTTTTTGATATTGTTACTGTAAAACGACACTGTGTATTTTTTTTTTCTTTTTTTTTTTTTTGAGATGGACTTTCGCTCTTGTTGCCCAGGCAGGAGTGAAATGGCGCGATCTGGGCTCACTGCAAACTCCATCTCCTGGGTTCAATTGATTCTCCTGCCTCAGCCTCCCAGGTAGCTGGGATTACAGGCATGAGCCACCTCGCTTGGCTACTTTTTTTTTTTTTTTTTTTTTTTGAGGCAGAGTCTCGCTCTGTCGCCCAGGCTGGAGTACAGTGGCCCAATCTACGCTCACCGCAAGCTCCGCTTCCTGGGTTCAGTGGCCCAATCTCGGCTCACTGCAAGCTCCGCCTCCTGGGTTCACGCCATTCTCCTGCCTCAGCCTCCCAAGTAGCTGGGACTACAGGTGCCCACCATCATGCCTGGCTAATTTTTTGTTTTTTCAGTAGAGACGGGGTTTCACCATGTTAGCTAGGATGGTTTTGATCTCCTGACCTTGTGATCTGCCCATCTCAGCCTCCCAAAGTGCTGGGATTACAGGTGTGAGCCACCGCGCCTAGCCTAATTTTGTATTTTTAGTACAGATGGGGTTTCACCATGTTGGTCAGGCTGGTCTTGAACTCCTGACCTCAAGTGATCTACCCTCCTCGGCCCCTCAAAAGTGCTAGGATTACAGGCATGAGCCACTGCATCTGGCCATGGCACTGTGTATTTTTCTGTTGGGTATCAGTTTCCAGTAAAATACACAATGTCATTTTTCAGTAACAATATCAAATCAATCAAGGCAGCTACAGAAAAAAGAAATCAGTTACTGGCTCCCAGAAGAAAATCTCTACTGTAGAATATTTTATTTCAAGTACCCCTACAATTTGTGAAGTGGATTTGAAATTCCTTATTTCTATGCAAAATTCTTTATTTCCATGTAGTTTATACTTACAGAAGTTTCTATTGAGAAAATATAAAGCTATAGTTTATTTGTAAGAAAGTCATTATCAAAGGCTTTGACTAAGTATGACACTTAGTCACTATGAGAAGGGTACCTTTTTAAAGGGCACACAGTTTTCTTACCTTTGGGGCAAAAATGAAAAACCGGTCTTTCACTATTTAAAGTGCTCCAACATTAGATAAAAATCCTAACATAAAATAAATTGTTCTATTCTACTAGTGACACTGTTCTTTACCAGTTTTATGCCTAAATGACTTACCTCCTGAGATAAGATCATAATAGTAATGGTAACCCTCAGAGGTTATGCCTTCTACCCATCTGCCCTTTGAAGGATCTTTTTTTCTTTTCTTCTTTTCTTTCTTTTCTTTCTGTTGATTTGATGTCGAGGTAGGTGGGATAGTGCTGGTTACTGGTGTTATGCTTGGCTCCAAAATTTCTAAAGAGATGAGAGAAGGGTAAAGCAGCTATAGTAACTACTATTTTTTATGGTTGCTGGCATAAAACATTAATGTTATTCCAATCAAAAACCTGATAAGGTTCTTTTGAGAACTTAACACATTATTATAAAGTTCATTCGGAAAAATAAACATGTAAGGGAAGGAAAACTGTAATAAAAAGAAAAAGGAGAATTTAGTTCTACCAGGTGTTAAAACTTATTCTAAAACTATGGGTTAAAAAAACAGCCAGCAGTGTGGAACTGACATAGAAATAGGCAAGCATATAATTGAAACAAAATAGTCCAGATACAGAGCCAACTTCAGGTTGGCTGGTATTTCATATCAGAGGATAAAAGACAGATCATTAAAAAAAGAGGTTTTCAAATTACCTACTGGGTACAACGTTCACTATTTGGGCAATGGGTATACTAAAAGTCCAGATTCCATCACTATGCAATATATGCATATGAGAAATCTGCACTTGTACCCCCTACATCTATATATATATTAAAAAAAGGAAATAAAGAAAGCATGCTTAAAAAGAAAGTTTTTAGATTAACTGATTAATTATTTGGGAAAAAAGTAAAGCTGTTCCCCACTACCTGCTCCCTTCCCCCCTTTTTATTAAATACTAGGTCAAAGATAGTTACAAAAAGAACACAAAGTAAAATAATGTTAAATTTGACTACATAAAAATTAAGATATTCTGTATGACAAAAATAAAAAGAAAAAACATATATAAGACAAATGAAAAAATATTTACAATAAATATGGCAAAGGGTTAATATTCCTAACAAAGATCCTTTACAAATCAAACATTCTAATAGAAAAATGGACAACAATTACAAAGACAATTCAGATAATTAACATTTACTTTTTTTTCTCTTATGTTGTCCAGGCTGGAGTGCAGTGGTGCAATCATAGCCCACATTAGTAGCCTTGAACTTCTCAGCTCAAGCAATCCTCCCACTTTAGCATCCCAAGTAGCTGGGACTACAGGTGCGCACCACCAAGCCCAGTTAATTTTTTATTTTTATATTGTAGTAGAGGTGGGGTCTCACCATCTTGCTAGGTTGGTCTTGAACTCCTGGGCTCAAACAATCCTCCCACTCCGGCCTCCTAAACTGCTGGGATTACAGGCATGAGCCACGGCACCTGGCCAATTAACATTTACTTTTGCTAATATTCAAAGAAATGTTTTGTTGTTGTTTTGCAGAAGATCAATAAGTAGTGAAAAGAATGACCAAATCCAGTATTAGTTTGATAGATCAGGTATTTACATTGCTTTGAAAAAATGGGTAGTTTTGGTGGGGGACAGTGGCTCACGCTTGTAATCCCAGCACTTTGGGAAGCCCAGGCAGGTGGATTGCTTGAGGCCAGGAGTTCCAGATCAGCCTGGGCAACATGGCAAGACCCCGTCTCTACCAAAAAATCGCTGGGACTGGTGACGAGCTGAGGTGGGAGGATCACTGGAGCCCGGGAGGTCGAGGCTACAGTGAGCCATGATTTTGCCACTGCACTCCAACCAGGTGACAGAGCGAGACCTGTCTTCAAAAAAAGAGAAAAATAGTTTTTATGGCTTTACTTTCCAAAGGATTGGCTAGTTACTCCTAAAACGGGTTAATAAACTTATTTTTGTTCTAATGAAAATGTACATCAGTCCATTTCTGGAGACAATGTGGTATTAGCTATCAATATAAAATATATTCACACTTTTATACTGTAACTTCCAGAAACTGAACCTACAGAGAAAAATAAGTGTAAAAAGATACATGCATAAAGATGCTTAATGCCGCACTCTTTACGACAGTGAAAAATGCTAAGCAACCTAAATGTTAACCAGGAAAAGATTAAATAAATTATAGTACAGAGACAAAATAACAGTGGCTACCATTTATTCACCATTTGTTATGTGTGGTCACGTAATAAGCAATTTATACCATAATGTTACTTAGTTTTAATAAAAATCAAAAGTCATAACTAGCAAGAGGAAATTCTGCTTGACTCCAAAGTCTGCTCCTACCATATAAAAATGATACATCTCCCTAATTAAAAGAAAAGATACATTTGATATATCACTGAGGGAAAAAATAAAACAACCGGCAAATAGACCGCAGCACAAAATATGTAATTTAAAAAAAGATCTAAAGAAGAGGTCTGCAAAAAATCTTAACAGTTAGTGAGTTTTTAAAAACTCTTTTCTTTGTACTGCATTGTTGTATGTTTGAATATGTATCCTATTTGGAAAAACAAGGCTATGGTAATATTTAATAGGAAAAATCCATTTAAATATAAAATGGTAAAATTTATTTGCTCAAAGGGCAGCATAATGGAATGTCTCAATGCATATAATTGATAATAGTTGGACTCTCATCTATTCCTAATTCTCCAGGAATGCCTAAATCCTTTTTCCTTTCAAGATGAACATATGGCTTTATCCTCAAGGAACCAAACAACTTTCCCACCTTTTAATTACCAATGTCCAGGATAACAAAGTCTGGCTACAACTGTTCTTATTTAATGAACACAATGCCAATTAACTTAACTGGTACTCTGCTTAAAACCTTAATTGAAAGCTGTTTTTATTAGAGGAATACCATCACATGTTGATGACTGCAACCACTAGGTAAGATCAACAACTGAGATCTGCTATATGCCTGGTTTAAGGAAAACGGATTTGATATGGAAGAATTATTCACAAAACCTTCCCAGTTTAAAGCCTAAATTCAATGACAAGATAGATGCAGTCTAGTTAAATAAGGTCTTTCATCTGGAACTTCCTTCTAGTAGTAAATATCTGCCTTCTACTAGTAAAATCTGCTAATTGTCCACAAAAGGCTAATTCACTACATATTCACCCATATAAATATACAAGACTCATAATTTTCACCATATGGACACAGTGAATTGCAATTATAATGCAAGGCCTATTTTTAAATGAATAGTGTCTCTTAGCCAAATAACTAGAATACCTAAAAAACTCAAAGTGTCTCTGAAATGAACCATTTACCTAGGATAGAACTAGGATTAGGTGACCACAAAAGTAGTATGGCTGCTATGAATGAAGGTGTTAAAAGATAAAACATTAAAAGTACAACAAAAGGGCATAAGCAAACTTCCATAGTCTAAACAGGGCTATGATGCATAATAAAAGCACTGAGAGTACACTGAGTTTATAACCTCTTTATGGAAGCAATCAAAGCTTACTTAGCTTGACCTCTGATGTTACTTTTAAAACATGCTGGCTGCTTTTTTTTTTTTTTTTTTTTTACCTGACTCTAAGCCAAGTCTTTTCAAATCCTCTTGGTATGCTTTCAGGGCAGCTGCCTCCATTGCAGCAAACTCCTTTGATGCCTTTTCTTCTTCCTTTGCCTTATCCAGGCTTTTCTGTTTAATCTATGTAAGACATACATAACAGTGAAAGTGAGATAAAGGACTGACATTTGCATAGAAAAATTAGCAAATAAACAATCTAAATTACCTCACTGATCCTTTTTGCCACATTTTCCTTATGATTCTTTCCTCTTTCATGAAATTCAACACTCTTGAAAATGAAAAGAGAAAATAACAAAAGAAAACTACATAAACATCATAAAATTCATAGTAAACATAATTTTCTCATAAACATGAGAAAATTAAAATTAAAATGAATGGCAGAAAAGATGAAAACATTAATTTAATGCAAATTGGCCCTTTTAATCAAATGATGCTAGGGAACTACATTGTTTATTATTATGTCCTCTGACTAGGTTTCCTTTGGTTCTTAAAATAAACCATGATGACCTTATTAATGGAGAAAAATACAAGGTACCCTTGATGACTAATCTAGTGACTATGATTGTAATGAGGACTCAAACGTGACATGAAGCCAAAAGACTGGGGAAAAAAATCTTAAACAACTTTCAACATCAAAAGCCTTTAGAATTTTATTGCTCTATTTGTCACAAGGAGGGACATAGAGAACAATGATTTTATTGCTTTATTCCTTAAATTTAGGAGAAAAGTATGTATTTTAAGATTCCTCGTAAATTATAAGCAAACACTTTTATACAATGTGGTAATGGTTCAAAATGTACAACTTCTATGGAGGATAATTTGGCAATATCTATCAAGACTACAAATACATTTACCCTTTGACACAGCAATTTCATTTCTGGTAATTTATTCTATAGATATACCTGCACATGTACAAAATCATGATATACACAAGCTTACTGACTGCAGCACTGTTTGCAATAACAATACGGTATCCATCTCTAAGGGACTGACTGGTTAAACTATGGTACATTCTCATAGTCTACTGTAACAGAGAGAAAGAAGCTCTTTATGTATGGATACAAAGGGAGCTCCAGTTACATACTGTTAAATTTTTTAAAACTAGTGCAGAATAATATATACAGTACATTACCTTTTATGTATGCTGGAATAAGAACTTGTGTCTACATGCATGTAGAAACAATGGAAGGATAGGCAAGAAAATGAAAAAAAAAAATGATAACCTATGGGGAGTGATGGCCACTAGATGACTGGGGACAGGGGCTGGTGAGTGAGCGCAATTATCTATTTAAACAATCAGAAATGCTCCCTAAATTACAAGTTTCTAGTTAAATGCAGTAAGAAATTCCTCACAAGCTCTGCAAAATAAGTTCTGTCAATCAAATCTTACATGATGCATTAACTGAGCTATTTTAAAATACTACCATGAATTCATCTTTAAAGTGTGACTTTGTAAAGCAGATAATCCTCCTGTTTTTCATACATTGCGTTTCCTAAAGTTGATTACACTACACAAAGAATACAATATTAAAGGACCATTCAAAATTAAATTAATTTTGTTTCTAATTAAAGGTTAAATCAATGTGTATTACCAACTCAAGAAGATAAAGACAGACTACACTGGAAGGGATTACTTACTCTAGATAACTCACAAAATTCATTTTACAGCCTAGGTACCTCCAAGAAAGAGAGACTTTAAGTGACCTGTGTGGTTTTAAAAATTCATGGTATTTATTTATAAGGATAGCCTAGGTAAAATAGTGAAGAACTTTAGCAACTATCCAAAAAGACCAAAACATCAAAAAAAAATCCAAATCCTAAACACCTTGCAGGTAACAGGAAATAAATGTCTACAGAAGAAATCCACAGCATTGTTAAAATATGAGACTACTATTCTTTGTGCATCCAACTTTGCCAAGTAAAAACGGTATCAACATAAAATATATTTAACAGATACCCTAGTGTTTATGTGGTATGTACATAGTATTTTGACATGCAAGAGGGGAGAAAAATCAGCGGTGTGCTTTTTGCTTTACATCTTCAAAACTGGATCTCAACTATGAGACAGACTAACAACATACCTAACAGAGTTGTTACTTTGTTTCATGAGAAAGGAAATAATGGTGTTCTTTCAAATTTAAGCATCTAAAGATACACAGCTCTGCATTAAATACACTTGATTATTTCTAGACCACAAAATATACAAGAAAAACTAAACATGTTGCTTTTATTTTTTAAGGGCTTTCCACAATTCTTTGGGTATGACAGTATTATGAACACCACCATTATAATATAGGTGCTTCATAACATGAATGATATGACCAACTCATTGCCCATTTCCCAAAAGGCCACAGAGAAATAATTTAATATATAATCAAAGTCAGGTTGATGAAAAGGAAGAAGGCTCACAGCTTTCATAGGGGACTGAGAAGACAGAAATCTTCTGATGTTTTGAAAATGCAAGAGCAATGTACATAAAAGTGCTTTGTAAACTGAGTTTACATCAAAAAGGAGCACTTCATTCAACACAATTATTATTAGAATCTCTAACAGCGGAATTATCATACAGGCCTATTGTCTGCTATCCAGCACTTGCAGTAATCACAGAATTTCTTTGGCTGTGACTTCCAGTAGTCCGCCCTGAAAAAGAGAGACAACAAGGCTAAGCTCATGTAAAACTTAAAAAAGGTTAAATTCTGCATGCTTTACAGTTTTTAAAGTTTGAAATATATGCCCCTGCTACTGAATCTTGTCTTGTTATGTATAGTCGTTTTATTATTTATCTGGTTGGAGCACAGTCAATTGAAATTCTGTTGCCAGCGGAGTAGAAAAAGTCTGTATCTGATTCATTACAAAACTCCCTTCAATAAAATGGCTTTCAAAAATTCCTCACTTGTTATCGTCATCGTTATGAAAAACTAAGGAACATCTTAGAAGAACATTTATCCTTTCTGGCTTTGGGGGAGGTTGCTGTAATGGAAACCTGAAGAAACTCATAAAGTTTGCCTTAAATCAAGTTATTCCCACCAAGAGAACAACGTACAAGACTACTCTGGGGAAAACTGTAGTTCCTCCCAGACTCTCAGTTAAAACAAACTGTTCTTGAGCCTCAAGGCAAGAGAGAACTGGAAAAGCCATGGGACTTCGTAGACGGCCGACAAAAAAAAAAAAAAAAAAAAAAAAAAAACCATTACGCTATCCAGGGCTGGCCGCTTCCAGTGGGCGGGGGAGGCCGCAGCCCAGCCCTAGTTTCACAATACCCTAGGGTTCAGGGGCTTCGGAAACCCAAGGGGTGCATGCGACCCCCGACAGCGTCGTAGAGAGAGCACTGCGTCGCTTCACCCGCGGCCGTCCAACCAGCCCCCTGAACCGGCCGCCGGCCTCCCCCTAGAGCCCGTGCCCCATACCCCAGGGCGTTCAGCGGGGTAACATTTCTACCCCGCCCTGAGAACCGGCCCTGCAGGTCTGGGGCCGGTCCCGAGCGAGTTAAGAACGCGTCTGTCACGCCCCCGGCCGAAGGGCGGGAGGAGAGGAGGGGAAGACCCGGGCGAGAAAGGGCGGCCCAGAGAAACAACACCTCGTTGTTCAGGGCCTGAGACCCAACTCACATGACTGCGCCAGCCGCTCTGCAAGTCGTCCAGGGTTCCACTCAGACTCGCGCTTTCCCAGCGGGACGAGTCGAGCTCTTCCAGCCGCCCGATGCCCACCCGAACCTCCCTCCGATCCAGACACCTTACTCAGTCCCCGGGACCAGCGTTCCGCTGTTCCCAACTACGGGTGCCCAGACGATCCAATCCGCGTTCGAAATCGCCTCCTCTCCCCTCCCCCTACAGGGGCGGTACTCCCGGCTCCAAAGAGGTGGGGTCGGTATAAAGGGGTTGAGGTCACCGGGAAGGGGTAAAAGCGCGACGGGACCTGAGCTGAAGGACGGGATCTCAAGCCTCAAGTCCCTGCGCCATCCCGCCGTCTCTGTGTCCTCCCCTGGGGCCCAAAACCTCCATCCTCCTTCTAGGCTCGCTGGCTCAAGGCCAAGGAGCTCAGCGCGCCGCCTCCGCCCGGAACGCAAACAGCTGTTCCCAGAGACGTCTCCGCTCTCAACTTTGCCAACTACTCCGCACGCACTTTGACCAGCGGAGCAACCGGGACCTGTGGGTCGGGGTCCTCTGGCGGAGTTAAAAAAAAAAGAGGTGAAACTGCGGGACCGGCGCTGCGAGTCGCTAGGCTTCGCCTCAAACTTTGCTGTTGCAGCGGAGCGGCCCCGCCCCTCCTCTCCCCTACGACGCCCACGCGCTCGGATGGGGCTTGTTCCCTAGCTCGGGAGCGTGTGGGCAGCAGCAGCGGCGGCGGCGGCGGCGGCGGCGGCGGCGGCAGCAGCAGCTTCAGTAGCGCAGAGGCGGCGGTGGCGAGAGGTGCGGCGAAGGAGGCAGAGGCACTTATGCTTGTCAGGTGGGTCACGGCAGTTTCTCATAGCACTTCCCATATGGTCTAGCGGTTAGGATTCCTGGTTTTCACCCAGGTGGCCCGGGTTCGACTCCCGGTATGGGAACGCTTCCTTATTTTTCTTTTTTTTTGCAACTATCGGTTTGGAGGGCTGACTTTTTAAATCTTGTGTTCTGGCTCCTTTCTTGTCCCCGTCTGGGTGAGTTTGTAGAAAATAAGCATTACTGTAGTTAGTGGCGCCAGGAGCTGGGCTGCGGCTTTTGGAGCCTCGAGTGCCACGCCGTGCCTGCTGGAGAAGCGAATGCGCTTCCGATCCTTCTCCCTCCCGCCTCCGGCTCACGGGGCTGGTGGGCCCTGAGGGAGTTTCACTTTCCCCTGGGCTGCTCCCCCGCCCCTCCGGCCCGTAGTTTTCCAGACGCCCGGGAGGTGATGATTAACTCCGGCCTTGCGTTATCTCCTCCCAGCGCCCCCGTCCGGCCCACACCCTCTTCAGCCGCTCTTGCGACTCTTCCTATGCAGGACGGGCTGACCCCCCTGCCCTGGGCGCCCCAGAGCCCGCGCCCGGACCAGTAGCTCTAGTGGTTCTCTGGCCGCAGGGTATTTACGAGGCCCCACGGAACACAGTGTGCCTTCCGCGCCCTCCCGGGGGGACGCGCTTTCCCGGCCGCGCAGCCGCCCGGCGCCCCTTTCCGCCGCGTGTGCGCTCGCGTCTCCACCCGCGGCGCCTGAGCAAGCGCGAGGCCGGCCTGCGAGGTCTTCCCAACTTGACTTAAGGGGCGCTGGTCGCAGTCACGGAAAGTACCCTCGAAAAAAGGCCTTTGGGAACGAGAATCTTTTTTCTTTCCCTTTAAAAATACACACCACGAGCTATGGAGGAGAAAAATACCACTCTGATGAGATGGCTTTAAATAAGTATATCGACTTTCCAAAGGGTCTAACATTTTGAGCGCGGTTGATTTAAAGAAAAAAATTGATTAAAACAACGGCAAAACATCCTGGGGTGGAGGTGGGGCTTGGGAAAGAGAAAATTGGCTGGAGACTGGGGAGGGGACGTTAAAACAAAGTTTCACTGTATTTTTAAATATAGAAGCCCTGTGTTTATTACAAAGAAGGGACAGCTGTGTCAGCAGCATGTGAGCTGTAAATGAAACAAAAGCGTTATCTTAAATGCAAGCTGAAATTAGAAAATAGGGTCGGCTATAATGTTTATTGGGCCTCTGGGAACAAACGAAGAAGGAAAAAGTGACTCTTGTAGATGGGTTTCTGGTCAGTGCCATTACTGAAAGCAGATGTTTTGGTTGTTAGTATGTGTGTTCCCAGACTATTTTGTAGCTTTAACTGCACAGTAAATTTGTTAATGTGATCTGCGTGATTAAGGATTAATTAGGCTTACCTTGTTAAAAAGAAAGAAAAAGCCTAAGTATTTTAAATCGTCTTCATTAATTCAAATATTTGTGTGTTTGCTACACACCAAGCACCACCACATGCTTTTGAAGTTACTGATGTTTGTATTCTTTATGTTAGCTAGTGGATAGAATACTGAATGGAATAATATTTTGGTCTTTGTGATTAGCTGTGTGATGAGACTTTTCACCTTCTCTGTTCTCTGGCTTTAGAGCCATACATTTTTGATAACACGTATCACTCACAAATTTTAAATAGAGTTACAAGAATTGTTGAGCGATTCCTGAATAGATAATGAAAGTGGAATTTTCATTTAAATAAGTAATAGTGTGTCATTATTAAGAAGCAGTTACTAAAGAATTACAGTAGTTGAAAATTTGGAAAGAAGGAAAGATAACTCGGATAACTCTGCCTTAATTGTCCCCAGAGAGGGCTTAACTTTTGACTTTTTCTTCTTTTTTTTGTTGAGACGGAGTCTCGCTCTGTTAACCCAGGCTGGAGGGCATTGGCGCGATCTCAGCTCACTGCAACCTCCGCCTCCCGGATTCAAGCTATTCTCGTGCCTCAGCCTCCCAAGTAGCTGGGACTACAGACACCCGCCACCACGCGTGGCCAATTTTTGTATTTTGAGTAAAGACAATGTTTCACCATGTTGGCCAGGCTGGTCTCGAACCCCTGACCTCAGGTGATCCACCCACCTCGGCCTCCCAAAGTGCTAGGATTACAGGCATGAGCCACCACGCCAGGCCTTGACCTTGTATTTTGTAATGAGTTTACAACATTGTACCAAATGGTGCTAAAATGGATGTTATTTTCAACTGTGCACTCAGTAATTGCAAATAGTTGTACTATATACCTGGGGGTGAACACAAAGGAAGTAGTTGCATCATCTCTGTATAAAACACAGATTTATCTTTCGTGTAGTTGTGCATTACGTAGAATATGGTAAGGCAACATCTGAGTTGTAGAAGTGCTACTGGAGTAACAGAGGTGAGGAATCGGTTCTGCTCAAGGGAGAGGACTGGAGAAGAGACCTAGAGGGGAGAGTGGACCTTGAAGAACTGATTGGATTTCTCCTGTTGGGGAATGTGAATCATAAAGCTGAGGTAGGGGGAACAAGTATGAGGCTGGCAAGTAGTCGGTTTGGCAGGAGCACAGAGTGCCTGCAGGGAGGGCCATGGGAGATCAAGCTGGGAATGTAGAAAGGAATTTTAACTTGATAAATTTTGACTAGGTAACAGGTTCTTTTATCAAGGAGTGACATTTTATGTCACAAAAATTTTTAAACCATTTCTGTCTCTTGGAAAACCCAAAGGTAGCAGTGGCATGTGAAAAATTCTTGTTTTAAAAGATTCAAACAATAAAGAAACATGTAGAATATTTTGTGTCCGTACATTTTATGTTTAGGAGTTGAATATTAATTTGTAATTAATAGAATGGAGAAAAGCAATCAGTTAATTAGAATTCACTTTATAGGAATGAAATCTAGGCTTAAAGTGTGAGAATAATCTGTCTTGCTTTGTTGAAAGTGACCTTGGTATTCGAAGACAGAGCTGCTCACTACTGTCAGTAAGACGTATATCTTAAATTGATTAAGGCTAGGTAATCAGTTTGTGAGGATTCATTCTTAACGCTTGTGCCATTGGCAGGCATATTTTAGGTGCTGTCTCTTGGGCCATAAATTAGTGACACTGAGTGCTGTGGATTTACCCAAATAACCTCTTTAATATTTGCTACTGTTAGGTGTAATTAGAAGATACATGAAAGAGGCAGGGTGTGGTGGCTTATGCTTGTAATCCTAGCACTTTGGGAGGCTGAGGCAGGTGGATCAACATGGCGAAATCCCATCTCTACCAAAAATACAAAAAATTAGCCAGGCGTGGTGGCACCCGCTGCACCTGTATCAGCTATTCAGGAGGCCAAGGTGGGAGGATCACTTGAGCCCTGGAGGCAGAGATTGCAGTAAGCCAGGATCTCAGGATCGTGCCACTGCACTCCAGCCTTGGAGACAGAGAGAGACTCCATCTCGGGGTGGGGGGAAAAAAAAGAGAAAAAGTGAGAGAGCCTGGACAACATAACAAGAGCCTGTCTCTACAAAAATAAAATTAAAAAAAAATTAGCCAGGTGTGATGCCACATGCCTGTAGTCCTAGCTACTTGCAAGCCTAAGGTGGGAGGATCCATTGAGCCCAGGAGTTCAAGGCTGCAGTGAGCTGTGATGTTGCCGCTACACTCCAGGTGACAGAGCAAGACCCTAAGACCTTATCTCTTAAAAAAAAAAAAAAAAAAGACGTGAAAGTTCAGTAAATGTTTGCAGAGATGAACGCTGGTATTTAAAGAAGTAGAAGGGATTTTAAAGCAATTACTGCATTTCAGCTAAAATCCGAAGACCTTATCATGGTCTCATAGGTCCAACATTATCTGGACTTTACCCATCTAACCTCAGGTCCTACCTTATCTACCACTTCACTGTATCTTGGCTACGTAGGCTTCCTTTTTGCCATGCCAAACTTATCCTTGTCTCGGAGTTTTGTTTCTTGCCTTTTTCCTTTGCCTGGAATATTCCCCCTGTAGCTCTGCACATCTCAGGTCAACATTACCTTCTCAGATCTTTTCTGACCACTTTAGCTTGAGACTTCCTCTTCCTTGGTTACTTTCTGGTTACTTTATGACATTTTTTTCATTTTCTTAGTATCTGAAATTAACCTGTTTATTTGTTTCTGTTTATTTCTTGTCTTAGTCTGTCAATATAAGTTCCCTGAAGGCAAGGATATCATATGAGATCGTTCTTGTTCTGTATGTAGTAAAGATTCAAACAATAGTAAAGAAGTTGGAACCCTTATACAGTGCTGCTGGAAATGTATAATGGTGCAGTTGCTTTGGAAAACAGTTTGGCAGTTCCTCAAAATGTTAAACAGTTACCATATGATCCAGTATTTCCACTCCTAGGTGTGTACCCAGTAGAAATGAAAACATGCCCACACCAAACCTTGTATACAAATGTTTATAGCAGCATTATTCATAAGCAAAAAGTAGAAACAACCTGAATGTCCCTCAACTGATGAGTGAATAGGTAAAATGTAGTGTATCCACACAGTGGAATATTTGGGAATAAAAAGGGATGAGGTACTCAATCACAAGAACATTACACTAAGGAGTCAGGCATGAAAGACCACATTTTTATTCCATTTATATGAAATATCCAAAATAGGCAAATCTATAGAGAAAGAGGGAAAATTAGTGGTTGCCTTGGATTAGAGGGGATAGGGAGGTTTGGGGTGAGGTGACTGCCAATGTGGATAGTAAATTTAGGGTGATTGAAAGTCCTGAAATAGATTACAGTGATAGTTCTATAACTCTATAAATGCACTAAATAATGTTGAAGTGTACACTTTAAATAGATAAACTTCATGATATGTAAGTTTTATCTCGACTAAACTCTTAAAAGGGATTGAAGCAATAAAAAGCATATAGAATATTTTCTCTCTTGATTTTACATTTATCATTTGGATATTACCTGTTTTAAAATAATAGCAGCCTGGGCAACATGGTGAAACTTCATCTCTACCAAAGAAAAAAAAAAACAAAAATTAGCTGGTGTGGTGGTGCGTTCCTGTAGTCCCAGCTCCTCAGGAGGCTGAGGTGGTAGGATTGCTTGAACCTGGGGGGTTGAGGCTGCAGTGAGCTATGATCGCACCACTGAACTCCAGCCTGGGCAACAGGGTGAGACCCTCTCTCTAGAAAATAAAAATTAAAATAATAATGGAATAATTTAATGGGGAAACTTCAGCTCCTAGTTAGTTCCACAAATGTGGTAAGTGCTTATTAAATAACTGATGGAGGAGGTTAGGTAAGTATACAGATAATTATGATACAATACATAGTTTGATAAATGCTCAGAGGGGACTAAGCCAGGGGTCATAAGTGTTTGATAGTGTTCAAAATCCATATCTGAGTTTGTGTGAGGGGAATGAGGAAAGGCCTCCTGTAGGAGGCAGCATTCGAGATAAGCTTTGAAGGCTGGTTAGGCTTTTGCTGGTAGAGACAGGGATGGGGACAAGGCATTGAGAGGAAGCAAGCAGGAGCAGAGGCATGTCAACAGTTACTAGCACATTTTAATGGAGCTGAGGGTGCAGGTAGGATAGGAATGGGAAATAAGGCTGCGAAAATAGATTAGGGTCTGTAGTGGACAATGTGTTTTTACTATCCTCCTGATGCCTAGTGTGCCTCCAATGGCTCATACTTAGGAAGAACGATACCTCTTACCTGCAGAGAGCTGGAAGTGTCTGGGGACATATCCTCCTCCCGCTCACAGACCACTGTCAGGAGTGTAACTTTGGAGCAGGGGCTTTGACTTGTTTCCCTCTGTATCATCAGACTTGAAGCAGGGCTTGGCACCTGGTAAACATTCAGAAAACATTTGAATGAATGAATGAAAATCAAGAAGTGGCAAGCAAGGTCTATTTAAAGCAAAGCAAAGTTTATTTTACGAAGCCCCTTGACAAGGAGATTTTGGAAGCCTCTTGGATTTGGAGCTAAGGAGTTTAGTTAGGAAAAGAGATTTCTGGTAATACGAGGAATGTTTTAATGAAATGAATTTGGTAGTAACGTGCAGGTTGAACTGGTGGATGGAAGGATTATGTCTGTGCTCCCCATCTCCACTGTCCCTTTCCTGTTCCCACTCCATTAGGCCTTGACAAAGGTCAAGGACTTCCCGCAGTCCAATAATAATCTCCTAACATCTCTCCTTGCTTCTACTCTCTCCCTAAATAGGGTGGTGGCAGCAGAATAGAAAGGATCAGATACAACAGATAACACTGAAGGAAAAAATCTACGACTTCAGAAAGTAAATATTTCTAAAAGAAATAGAGAAGTTATGAAGCACAGATTTTATTGCAGCGGACTGGCAGTTTTTACTCTTAGGGTTGGCCAGCTAGTAAATTTATTGCATACCTGCGTGTGTCTGTGGCTTTCGAACTCTGAAATTGTGCATTGACTCCATGAACAAGTTAATACTGTGAGACTGCCACCCTGTGGACAAAATATCAGGACTAAAACCATCAAGAATTAAAGTTTCATTCATTTGCGATTTACTGTTTTAGAACTGGCTTTGGTTCTTCCACGTTGGTGCATGCAGTGATGCTCATTAAATAGAAAGCTTGAAATTAATTTTTTCTCTGAATTTTTTCTGAGGCTTTTAAATAAAGGGAATCTAAAATGGAACCAGTAGTTTTAAAAAGCTGCAATGATTCAAGAGTGGTTTTTAGATGGTACTTCTTTGCTCTAGAAATTTCATATGGAAGGGTTGGTTTTTTAAAATATTGTGGCATGTAGGCCTGTTGTGAAATGGTCATTTATCCCTTTTGTTGTACTGATTTTTTTCATCCCATTTTATAAGACATATGGTATTATCCTTGAGAGTTATATTTTTTGAGAAATATATCAAACATCCCCCCACACCCTTTTTTGGCTAAGTGAAAGTGGCCTTCTTGCCTCGTTTTTTTGTGGATTTGGTTGTAGTTGTTAAAAGTTCTCTACGTTTTGGATGGATTGCCTTAATTGTATTTATACAAATGAGTTTGGTTTATATTACGCTACTTATTTAGAAGGACACTCTGCTCACAAATTATACTAGTTTGGTAGTTTCATAAACTAGCTTGAATCAAAATAAAATGGTGATTGTGAAATACTTATTTGCTCACTGCAACTCAGGAAATGTTTCAGTTTTGGACTCACGACCAAATAAAACTTTCCTAAGAGATGAGCTGTTTACAGCCAATAATGTTATAAATATCTTACACACTTGAATTCCCAGAGGTGTCAGAAGGGGTGGGGTAGCCATTTAGGGCTTGAAATTTGTGTCACCAGTAAAGCAGAAGTGGGTTGAAGCAGCCATCTGGGGTCAGCAATTGTGCCTTATTTAAGAAGGTGATATCCACACTGAGGAGAATGGATGAATCATTGATTGACCCCCTTGCCACTGATACTTCACCATAGAGACCTGGTACTTTACCATAAGGACCTTACGTTTTGGTAATGTACTAATGGTCAAATATAATGTTAATGATCTTAATTTTTTTTTTTTTTGAGACGGAGTCTCAGTCTGTCACCCAGGCTGGAGTGCAGTAGCATGATCTCGGCTCACTACAAGCTCTGCCTCCCGGGTTCAAGCAATTCTCATGCCTCAGCCTCATGAGTAGCTGGGATTCCAGGCGTGCACCACCATACCCGGCTAATTTTTGTATTTTTAGTAGAGATGGAATTTCACTGTATTGGCCAGGCTGGTCTGGAACTCTTGACCTCAAGTGATCCTCCTGCCTCAGCCTCCCAAAGTGCTGAGATTACAGGCGTGAGCCACAGTGCCTGGTGATTTTAATTATTTAAATATTTCTCTGAGTCAGTTCTGAAAAATGTAGTGTGACAAATGCAATAAACTTTAAGTGTTCGGTTTTATTTAACTTTTTCAAAGTAAATATATGGAGTTGTGGGTAACTTTTCAAAATTATTTTTTGCTAACACATATGTCTCACATTCTACAAACAGTGCTGTGTAATTGTAAGTGAAGTAGACTATGATGAAAGTGCACGTTTATGTAGGTTTACAAGGTAAATTGCCATATAATGTAGATCATTTAGATTAGGTTAGTATTATTTAGATACAGTTTAAGAAAAGTAGCTTACTTTCTTAAATTTATTTTTAAGTATTTACTCATTTATTTATTTATTGAGACAGGGAGTCTCTCTGTCTCCCAGGCTGGAGTGCTGTGTCATGATCATGGCTCACTGCAACCTCTAAATGCTGGGTTCAGGTGATCTTCCCGCCTTGGCTTTCTAAAGTGCTGGGATTACAGGCGTGAGCGACTGTGCCTGGCCAAGGAAGGTAACTTTCAAAATACTTGGTGATCTATTTACTCTTCACCTAGGTATTGAATGAAGAGTCAATAAACTTAAAGATATATTTGTTTTCTAGTCTTCTTTAATGGTTTTGCTATGATATCCTTTTTAAAATTGTAAATGACAATGAACTTACATAAATTTTTAGTTTAACATTTCACCAGCACTTAAGAGACTTTATCACACAATATCTTTCTACATTTTTATGCTATAATGGTTACTATTTCAGGATTAATGGAAGTGTTCACTCCTGAGTTCATTTCACAAATTTAAATACTAAAACATTTTGTTCTTTGAAAAGTAATTCTGGCCAGGCGCAGTGTCTCACGCCTATAATCCCAGCACTTGGGGAGGCTGAGGTGGGCAGATCACTTGAGGTCAGGAGTTCAAGACCAGCCTGGCCAATGTGATGAAACCTCGTCTCTACTAAAAATACAAAAATTAGCTGGGCATGGTGGTGCACACCTGTAATCTCAGCTACTTGAAGGGTGTGTCAGGAGAATCACTTGAACCTGGGAAGTGGAGGTTGCAGTGAGTCGATATCATGCCATTGCACTCTAGCCTGGGCGACAGACTGAGTGAGACTCTGTCTCAAAAAAAAAAAAAAAAAAAAGAGAAAAAGAAAGAAAGAAAAGTGATTCTAATATAGACGACTTGAACTTTGAAAAAGCAATAACTATTCTATAAATTTTGTGTGTATGCAAACTTTAAAACATCTTTTATTTTTGAATGCACACTAATCACTATTGAATACACACCTTTGACTTAAAACATTTTTGTGCTTTATTTTAAATTTGTGGGAAGGTGCCTAGCCTAGTGACTTTTTGATCCAGAGAGTCATTCTAGATTGTCGTAAATCTTTATTTGCAGTTTAATCTTATTACTTAAAGTTTTTTGAATTTAGAGTCCAGAGACCAAGATACATTTCTGATTTAGAATGTGTTGATATATTGCTCTATATGAAACTTTTTTATCCGTTTTCAGGTGTGTGTGTGTGTGTTTTTCATTTTCAGTTTTAATCAAACATTTAATTCAACTTTTCAAGGTTGTAATGGGATTCATTTTACCTCAGCTGTTCAAACGTCTGTGTTTATCATCGATACCCTCTAATGCCAAGGTGCACAGAGCTGAAATAGAAAGGAAGGGTACAGCCACAGGCAAAGAGAATGGGATAAGGTGTCCCAGCGCATGAATTGGGGGCAGTAGTGAAGGAGGAGTATCCTGAAGGGAGGCAAAACATAAGCTTAAGGAATTTGGAGCTCCAAGCAGGCAGGTGGCATCAGAGAATTTCAGATATGAGTGGGAATGCCTTTCATTTGTTTTTTTTTCCCTTTGTTTTTATGCCATTTCACATGAACTACAATATTACTGTCCCTTAAAGTGCTACTTTTAAAAACTTTTTTCTTTTGCATTGCCATTACCTTCTAGAAGGTTGTTTGTTTATGAAACATATTTTTAGATGGCTTTTTGCCACAAATGTGTGGGAAATGAAGGCACATAAAGTTTATATGAAAGCAGTCACAACCTGATACTCATTAGGATGGGTCCTATTAAAACAAAACAAAGCAGAATATAACAGGTATTGGCAAGGATGTGAAGAAACTGAAACTCTTGTACAAGAATTCCTGTGTTGGTGGGGATGTAAAATGTTCTGGCCACAATGGAAAACAGGATGGCACTTTCTAAAAAATCTGAAAGAGGCCGGGTGTGGTGGCTCATGCCTGTAGTCCCAGCACTTTGGGAGGCTTAGGCAAGTGGATCACGAGGTAAGGAGTTCGAGACCAGCCTGGCAAATATGGTGAAATCCTGTCTCTACTAAAAATACAAAAATTAGCTGGGCGTGGTGGCAGGTGCCTGTAGTCCCAGCTACTTGGGAGGCTGAAGCAGAAGAATCCCTTGAACCTGGGAGGTTGCAGCGATCCGAGATTGTGCCACTGCACTCCAGACTGGGTGACAGAGCGAGACTCCATCTCAAAAAAAATTTTTTTTGAAAGAGAATTATCATAATCCAGCAATTCTGCTTCTTGATATATACTCAAAATAATTGAAAGCAAGGTCTCAGAGATATTTGTATGTTCTTAGCAGCGTTACAATAATAAATATTTATTATGTTACCAAAAGGTGGAAGCAACCCAAAGATCAGTCAGTGGATGAATGGTTAAAGTGTGGTGTGTACATACAGTGAAATGTGATTCAGCCTTAAAAAGGAAGGAAATTCTGACAACATGCTACATAACCTTGAGGACATTATGCTAAGTGAAATAAGCCAGTCACAAAGAAGATATACTGCATGATTCACCTTATATGAGGTACCTAGAATAGTCTCATAGAGACTTAAGTAGAATGGTGGTTGCCAGGAACTGGGGGTAAGGGAGAAAGGGGGGTTATTGCTTAATGGATATAGAGTTTCAGCTTTGAAAGATGAAAAGAGTTTTGTTGCACCACAATGTGAATGTACTAAAGACTATTGAACTGTATACTTAAAAAGGATTAAGATAATACGTTTTGTTCTACTTTACCCCAATTAAATAATTTTAAAAAGCAAATTTCAGTTTGTATGTGGATACTCTATGCACATTATTTATGAATGTAAACAGCATCTGTAATGATGCAGTTTCTTATTTCACCAATATGTGAGTGTTAGATGCTGGGATAAAACAATGATAAAAGCTGACAAGATCCTCATGAAGCTTGCAGTTTAGTGGGAGAGACGGACATGGATTGAACAAGTAAAAAGTGTGCTTAAGTGTACACGCATGGCAGGGAGACCCCTAACATAGTGTAGGGAAGGGCTGGATTGAGAAGGCTTCCCTAAGGACATGACGTTTCTGTAGAGATCCAAAGGATGACTAAGCCTTATGTAAGAGAAAGGGAGAAAAGGGAAGAGAGAGTAGATTGAGGGAGTAGCATTTTGCAAATGGTCTGCAAGGAGGAAAGAGTGTATTTTGGGAAATGAAAGGCCTGGTGGGCTGTCATGTAGAAAGTGAGATGCAATGGGAGATGAGGCTGCAAGGTATCAAATCATATAAGACATTCTAGGCCATGTTAGATATTTTGAATTTTATCTTCAGCAGAGTGGGCAGATATTGATGGGTTTTAAATGAGGGATTATGGAGGTGGAATGGCATAGGAGCAAGAAAAATGATGTACTTTTTTGTACACTTGGTCTTTAACTGTAAACTACCTGTTTAGTATGGTGCTTGAATGTTGGAGGGGATTGTATATTGGCCACCATTGTGAGCTGTTCATATGGTAAAGTGTACTTAAAGGGTGAACTTAAGAGAATTGTCAAGGGTAATTGAGGATAAGTGATTTTCACCTTGATACTGTGATTTGGTAGTTTGAAGCCCTAGAAATTGATACTTGACTTGGGAGAGTCTGGAGTAAGAAGAAGACTTTGAGCTTTTAGGACCTCTAGTGGTAAGTGGTGAGGAGGTGGGGCAGAGAAAACTGAGAAAGAGTAGTCCAGAATTGGGGCAAAATCAGGAGAGTGTTATCACAGAAGCCAAAGAAGTGTTTAAAGTGATAGGTCTAACACAACAAGTTCTGAAAGTGTTCATTGGATTTAGCCCTGGGAGGTCATTAACTTTAGTTAGATTTAGTGGCATAATAGGGGCAGAATTAAGTTAGATTAGGCTGGTTGAAGAATGAGCGGGAGATGAAGAAATGAGTAGGTGAGGACAGTATATACACATCTTTTGAGGAAGTTTGGCTGTGAAAAGCAGGGAGTGAGAATGAATAGTAGTTGTAGTTGGGGTTGCGGTGTGTGACAGGGTGCCAATTCAGGTTCTTTTTTTTTTTTTAAAGGAAAAACTTGAATTAAAAAAATACCTTCGGCTAGGCGTAGTAGCTCACAACTGTAATCCCAGCACTTTAGCAGGCTGAGGTGGGCGGATTGCTTGAGCCTAGAATTTTAGACTAGCTGGGGTAACATACTGGTATCCTGTCACTATAAAATATTAAAAAATTAGCTGGGCTTGGTGGTGTGCCCATAATCCCAGCTACTCGGGAGGCTGAGGTGAGATCACTCGAGCCCTGGAGGTCAAGGCTGCAGTAAGCTGTGTTTGTACCACTGCACTCCAGCCTGAGTGACAGATGGAGACCTTGTCTCAAAGAAAAGACTGTAGGCAGTTCCAAGATGGCCAAATAAGAACAGCTCCAGTCTACAGCTCTCAGCGTGAGTGACGCAGAAGACGGGTGATTTCTGCATTTCCAACTGAGGTACCGGGTTCATCTCACTGGGGCTTGTCGGACAGTGTGTGCAAGACAGTGGGTGCAGGCCACCGAGCGTGAGCCGAAGCAGGGCGAGGCATCGCCTCACCTGGAAGCGCAAGGGGTCAGGGAATTCCCTTTCCTAGCCAAGAGAAGCTGTGACAGAAGGCACCTAGAAAATCGGGTCACTCCCACCCTAATACTGTGCTTTTCCAACGGTCTTAGCAAATGGCACACCAGGAGATTATATCCTGTACCTGGCTTGGAGGGCCTCATGCCCACAGACCCTCGCTCATTGCTAACACAGCAGTCTGAGATCGAACTGCAAGGTGGCAGTGAGGCTGGGGAAGGGGCACCCGCCATTGCTGAGGCTTGAGTAGGTAAACAAAGTGGCCTGAAGCTCGAACTGGGTGGAGCCCATTGCAGCTCAAGGAGGCCTGCCTGCCTCTGTAGACTCCACCTCTGGGGGCAGGGCATAGCCAAACAAAAGGCAGCAGAAACCTCTGCAGACTTAAATGTCCCTGTCTGACAGCTTTGAAGAGAGTAGTGGTTTTCCCAGCACAGAGTTTGAGATCTGAGAACAGTCAGACTGCCTCCTCAAGTGGGTCCCTGACCCCCAAGTAGCCTAACTGGGAGGCACCCCTAGTAGGGGCAGACTGACACCTCACACGGCCAGGTACCCCTCTGAGATGAAGCTTCCAGAGGAATGATCAGGCAGCAACATTTGCTGTTCAGCAATATTCTCTGTTCTGCAGCCTCTGCTGCTGATACCCGGGCACACAGGGTCTGGAATGGACCTCCAGCAAACTCCAACAGACCTGCAGCCTGAGGGTCCTGACCCTTAGAAGGAAAACTAACAAACAGAAAGGACATCCACACCAAAAGCCCATCTGTACGTCACCATCATCAAAGACCAAAGGTAGATAAAACCACAAAGATGGGGAAAAAACAGAGCAGAAAAACCAAGAATTCTAAAAATCAGAGCACTTCTCCCCCTCCAAAGGAATGCAGCTCCTCGCCAGCAACGGAACAAAGCTGGACGGAGAATGACTTTGACGAGTTGAGAGAAGAAGGCTTCAGACGATCAAACTTCTCTGAGCTAAAGCAGGAAGTTTGAACCCATGGCAAAGAAGCTAAAAACCTTGAAAAAAGATTAGACAAATGGCTACCTAGAATAACCAGTGTAGAGAAGTCCTTAAACGACCTGATGGAGCTGAAAACCATGGCAGGAGAACTACGTGACGAATGCACAAGCTTCAGTAGCCGATTTGATCAACTGGAAGAAAGGGTATCAGTGATTGAAGATCAAATAAATGAAGCGAGAAGAGAAGTTTAGAGAAAAAAGTAAAAAGAAACGAACAAAGCCTCCAAGAAATGTGGGACTATGTGAAAAGACCAAATCTGCGTCTCATTGGTGTACCTGAAAGTGACGGGGAGAATGGAACCAAGTTGGAAAACACTCTTCAGGATATAATCCAGGAGAACTCCCCCAATCTGGCAAGGCAGGCCAACATTCAAATTTGGGAAATACAGAGAACACCACAAAGATACTCCTTGAGAAGAGCAACTCTAAGACACATAATCGTCAGATTCACCAAAGTTGAAATGAAGGAAAAACTGTTAAGGGCAGCCAGAGAAAAAGGTCGGGTTACCCACAGAGGGAAGCCCATCAGACTAACAGCAGATCTCTCAGCAGAAACTCTACAAGCCAGAAGAGAGTGGGGGCCGATATTCAACATTATTAAAGAAAAGAGTTTTCAACCCAGAATTTCATATCCAGCCAAACTAAGCTTCATAAGTGAAGGAGAAATAAAATCCTTTACAGACAAGCAAATGCTGAGAGATTTTGTCACCACCAGGCCTGCGCTGCAAGAGCTCCTGAAGGAAGCACTAAACATGGAAAGGAACAACTGGTACCAGCCACTGCAAAAACATGCCAAATTGTAGAGACCATTGATGCTAGGAAGAAACTGCATCAACTAACAAGCAAAATAACCAACTAACATAGTAATGACAGGATCAAATTCACACATAACAATATTAACCTTAAATGTAAATGGGCTAAATGCTCCAATTAAAAGACACAGATTGGCAAATTGGGTAAAGAGTCAAGACCCATCAGTGTGCTGTATTCAGGAGACCCATCTCATGTGCAGAGACACACATAGGCTCAAAATAAAGGGATGGAGGAAGATCTACTAAGCAAATGGAAAACAAAAAAAGGTAGGGGTTGTAATCCTAGTCTCTGATAGAACAGACTTTAAACCAGCAAAGATCAAAAGAGACAAAGAAGGCCATTACATAATGGTAAAGGGATCAATTCAACAAGAAGAGCTAACTATCCTAAATATATATGCACCCAATACAGGAGCCCCCAGATTCATGAAGCAAGTCCTTAGAGACCTATAGAGAGACTTAGACTCCCACACAATAATAATGGGAGACTTTAGCACCCCACTGTCAACATTAGACAGATCAATGAGTCAGAAAGTTAATAAGGAAGGATATCCAGGAATTGAACTCAGCTCTGCACCAAGTGGACCTAATAGACATCTACAGAACTCTCCACCCCAAATCAACAGAATATACATTCTTCTCAGCACCATATCGCACTTATTCCAAAATTGACCACATAGTTGGAAGTAAAGCTCTCCTCAGCAAATGTAAAAGAACAGAAATTATAACAAACTGTCTCTCAGACCACAGTGCAATCAATAGAACTCAGGATTAAGAAACTCACTCAAAACTACATGGAAACTGAACAACCTGCTCCTGAATGACTGCTGGGTACATAACGAAATGAAGGCAGAAATAAACATGTTCTTTGAAACCAATGAGAACAAAGACACAACATACCAGAATCTCTGGGACACATTTAAAGCAGCGTGTAGAGGGAAATTTGTGGTACTAAATGCCCACAAGAGAAAGCGGGAAAGATCTAAAATTGACACCCTAACATCACAATTAAAAGAACTAGAGAAGCAAGAGCAAACAAATTCAAAAGCTAGCAGAAGGCAAGAAATAAGTAAGAGCAGAACTGAAGGAGATGGAGACATAAAAAACCCTTCAAAAAATCAGTGAATCCATGAGCTGTTTTTTTTTTTTAAAGATCAACAAAATTGATAGACCACTAGCAAGACTAATGAAGAAAAGAGAGAAGAATCAAATAGATGCAATAAAAAATGATAAAGGGGATATCACAACTGATACCACAGAAATGAAAACTACCATCAGAGAATACTATAAATACCTCTATGCAAATAAACTAGAAAATCTAGAAGAAATGGATAAATTCCTTGACACATACCCCCTCCCAAGACTAAACCAGGAAGAAGTTGAATCCCTGAATAGACCAATAACAGGCTCTGAAATTGAGGAAATAATTAATAGCCTACCAACCAAAAAAAGTCCAGGACCAGATGGAGTCACAGCCGAATTCTACCAGAGGTACAAGGAGGAGCTGGTACCATTCCTTCTGAAACTATTCCAGTCAATAGGAAAAGAGGGAATCTTCCCTAACTCATTTTATGAGGCCAGCATCATCCTGATACCAAAGCCGGGCAGAGACACAACAAAAAAAGAGAATTTTAGATCAATATCCCTGATGAACATCGATGCAAAAATCCTCAGTAAAATACTGGCAAACTGAATCCAGCAGCACATCAAAAAGCTTATCCACCATGATCAAGTGGGCTTCATCCGGGGGAATGCAAGGCTGGTTCAACATAAGCAAATCAATAAACGTAATCCATCATATAAACAGAGCCAAAGACAAAAACCACATGATTATCTCAATAGATGCAGAGAAGGCCTTTGACAAAATTCAACAGCGCTTCATGCTAAAAACTCTTAATAAATTCTGTATTGATGGGACGTATCTCAAAATAGTAAGAGCTATTTATGACAAACCCACAGCCAATATCATAATGGGCAAAAACTGGAAGCATTCCCTTTGAAAACTGGCACAAGACAGGGATGCCCTCTCTCACCACTCCTATTCCACATAGTGTTGGAAGTTCTGGCCAGGGCAATTAGGCAGGAGAAAGAAATAAAGGGTATTCAATTAGGAAAAGAGGAAATCAAATTGGCCCTCTTTGCAGATGACATGATTGTATGTCTAGAAAACCCCATTGTCTCAGCCCAAAATCTCCTTAAGCTGATAAGCAACTTTAGCAAAGTCTCAGGATACAAAATCAATGTGCAAAAATCACAAGCATTCTTATACACCAATAACAGACAAACAGAGAACCAAATAATGAGTGAACTCCCATTCACAATTGCTTCAAAGAGAATAAAATACCTAGGAATCCAACTTAAGGGATGTGAAGGACCTCTTCAAGGAGAACTACAAACCACTGCTCAATGAAATAAAAGAGGACACAAACAAATGGAAGAACATTCCATGCTCATGGATAGGCAGAATCAATATTGCAAAAATGGCCATACTGCCCAAGATAATTTATAGATTCAGTGCCATCACCATCAAGCTACCAATGACTTCACAGAATTGGAAAAAACTACTTTAAAGTTCATATGGTACCAAAAAAGAGCCCACATTGCCAAGTCAATCCTAAGCCAAAAGAACAAAGCTGGAGGCATCACGCTACCTGACTTCAAACTATACTACAAGGCTACAGTAAGCAAAACAGCATGGTATTGCTACCAAAACAGATATAGACCAATGGAACAGAACAGAGCCCTCAGAAATAACACCACACATCTACAACCATCTGATCTTTGAAAAACCTGACAAAAACAAGCAATGGGGAAAGGATTCCCTATTTAATAAATGGTGCTGGGAAAACTGGCTAGACATATGTAGAAAGCTGAAACTGGATCCCTTCCTTATACCTTACAAAAAATTAATTAAAGATGGATTAAAGACTTAAATGTTAGACCTAAAACCATAAAAACCCTAGAAGAAAACCTAGGCTTTACCATTCAGGACATAGGCATGGGCAAGGACTTCATGTCTAAAACACCAAAAGCAATGGCAACAAAAGCCAAAATTGACAAATGGGATCTAATTAAACTAAAGAGCTTCTTCACAGCAAAAGAAACTACCATCAGAGTGAACAGGCAACCTATAGAATGGGAGAATATTTTTGCAATCTACTCATCTGACAAAGGGCTAATATCCAGAATCTACAAAGAACTCAAACAAATTTACAAGAAAAAAACAAACAACCCCATCAAAAAGTGGGCGAAGGATATGAGCAGACACTTCTCAAAAGAAGACATTTTTGCAGCCAACAGATACATGAAAAAATGCTCATCATCACTGGCCATCAGAGAAATGCAAATCAAAACCACAATGAGATACCATCTTACACCAGTTAGAATGGCAATCATTAAAAAGTCAGGAAAGAACAGGCTGGAGAGGATGTGGAGAAATAGGAACACTTTTACACTGTTGGTGGTACTGTAAACTAGTTCAACCATTGTGGAAGATGTGGCGATCCCTCAATGATCTAGAACTAGAAATGCCATTTGACCCAGCCATCCCATTACAGGGTATATTTTCAAAGGATTATAAATCATGCTGCTCTAAAGACACATGCACATGTATGTTTATTGTGGCATTATTCACAATAGCAAAGACTTGGAACCAAGCCAAATGTCCATCAATGATAGACTGGATTAAGAAAATGTGGCACATATACACCATGGAATACTATGCAGCCATAAAAAAGGATGAGTTCATGTCCTTTGTAGGGACATGGATGAAGCTGGAAACCATCATTCTCAGCAAACTATCGCAAGGACAAAAAACCAAACACCGCATGTTCTCACTCATAGGTAGGAATTGAACAATGAGAACACTCGGACACAGGAAGGGAAACATCACACACTGGGGCCTATTGTGGGGTCGGGGGAGTGGGGAGGGATAGCATTAGGACATATGCCAAATATAAATGACGAGTTAATGGATGCAGCATACCAACATGGCACATGTATACATATGTGACAAACCTGCACGTTGTGCACATGTATGCTTGAACTTAAAGTATAATAATAATAAAAAAAAAAAGAAAAAGAAAAAGCTGTAACCCCAGCACTTTGGGAGGCCCAGGCAGGCGAATTACTTGAGGTCAGGAGTTAAAACTGTGCAAAGTGAAACTTTGCCTTTACTAAAAATACAAAAATTAGCCGGGTGTGGTGGCATGCAGCTGTAATCCTAGGTACTCAGGAGGCTCAGGTAGGAGGATCCCTTGAACCTGGGAGGCAGAGGTTGCAGTGAGCTTAGATCGTGCCACTGCACTCCAGCCTGTGTGACAGAACAAGACTGTCTGAAAAAATATAAATACATAAGTAAATAAATAATATCTCCTATAGAGTTTAGGAAATATTTGAAAAATATACACTTTGCTTAAACAGGATCTACTGAATACAAATATGACCTTCCCACTGACTTAGTCTAAATATGGTATTCCGGGATTGTGTACACACAGGTATTGAGATGTGAAGGTCTGTATGTTACTATACTAACTTCTGATCATCTGGAAAGTAAAAAATAGAGAATCTTGAGTCCACCTAAGACTTACAGTTGAATCTTTAGGTGTAGGACTCAGGAGTGTGTGCATCTTTAGATGATTCTGGTGCATCTGATCTATGGACTGGCTTTTTGAAGTCTTCTGGATGCCCTTTTTTTTTCCCCCTGGAAAAAGGGTCTCACTCTGTTGCTCAGGCTGGAGTGCAGTGGCGCAATAATGGCTCACTGCACCCTCTGCCTCCTTAGCTCAAGTGATCCTTTCTTCTTAACCTCTGAAGTAGGTGGGACTACAGGTGCGCGTCACCACACCCGGCTAATCTTTCTGTGTTGTTTGTAGAGACAAGGTTTCTCCATGTTGCCCAGGCTGGTCTCCTCAGCTCCAGTGATTTTCCTGCCTCAGCCTCCCAAAGTGCTGGGGTTACAGTCATGAACCACTGCACCTGGCTCTGGATGATTTTTAATAGTTCTGTCTTGAGGATTAAATGAGATGTGTATGTCAAGGACTTAGCAAAGAAAGACTTTGAAAATGTCGTCTGCTTATACAGTTCGGATGGTGTAATAGGTTTTTTTTTTTTTTTTTTTGATGAAACCAGCTTGATCCTTTTTTTCTTACTGTAAAAGTGCTTCATGCTCTGTATAGGTTCTTCTCTAGCTGCTTTTTGTACTTCTTCCCTCTCCTCTCTGCATTCTAGCCATGATGCTTCCTCCTACCCCACTGCCTTTGTTTGTGCCTATAATTTTCTCTCCTGATGGTATGCTTCCTCAGCCTCTTTACATGACTGGCTGCTTAACATTCAGGTTTCATATCCACGGTCACCTTTTCAGAAAGGCCATCCCCAATCACTCTATCTAAAATAGGTTTTCCTGGTCATTCTTTGTCACTTGTTGATTTCCTTCAAATGGGGACAGGGACCATGTTTGAATTGTTTACCTTAGTCTGCGGAACAGTGCTTGGCTCATAGTAACTACTTAAATACCGAGTAACAAATATGAGTCATAGAAATCTTACTAGCCAGAGTAAGTACTGTTAACTCTTTGTGCAGGGATCCCCAGCCCCCTCAGGCCTGCAGACTTGTACCCATCCGTGGCCTGTTAGGAACCAGGCGGCACAGCAAGAGATGAGCAGCAGATGAGCGAGCATTACTGTCTGAGCTCCACCTCCTGTCAGATCAGCAGCAGCATTAGATTCTCATAGGAATATGAACCGTATTGTGAACTGTACATGTGAGGGATCTAGGTTGCCTGCTTCCTAAGAGAATCTAATGCCTGATGATCTGAGGAGGAACAGTTTCATCCCAAAACCATCCTCCCCAACCCCTGCCCCCCATCCGTGAAAAAATTGTCTTCCACAAAACTGTCCCTGGTACCGAAATGGTTGGGCACTGCTGTTTTAGTTGACCATCATTGCATATACTGAAATGTAGATCATGCATATATAAGTATTATGTGATCACATACTGTTTTGTAACTTTTATATTTCACTTAAATATGTCCTGGAGATTTTTCCATACCTGTACCATTTTATTTAGACAATAGCAGTATGGTACATTCCATATAATGGGATATAGTTTCTGTGACGTTTCCCGATTTACATAATAGTTTGTTTCTAGTTTCTTACTACTTTGAACAATATCGTGCTGAATATATATCTACATCTTTGCACGTGTATTTATTTTGTTAGAATAAATCCCAAGGACTGAAACTGCTAGATAAAAAGATAGAGGCATTAAAGTCTTTTGGTTGTGAAGTTGCCTTCTGGAATGATACTCTTTGGACTCTCATAAATAAAATATGAAAACATTTTTTTCCATGTACCCTCTCTAATCATTTGAATCTTTGCTAATTTAATTTAGTAGGTGAAAAATGGCATTGTTTTTCTGCTCTGAGGTTATGAGAATGAACATCTTTTCCTGTATGACTACATTTCTTTTGTGAAGTGCCTATTCATGCCTTATGCCTGTTTTTCTATTAGGGTATTTGTTTCAATTAACAATAGCTTTTTCCCTCCATATTTTATTATGAAAGTTTTAAAACACACAGCAAAGTTGAAATTTTATAATGAGTACTCATACACCCACTACCTAAGTTTTTATTAAATTGCAGATATTAGTACATTTTCACTTAAATATTTTAGCATGCATGTCATTGAGCAGTGTTTCAGTATTTTAGTTTTTTTCTTTTGAGATAAAAAACTGTCTTAGAACTAAATACATATATCTCTTTACCTTAAACACTTTATTTTAACTTAAAACCTAGAATTGGATGTTAATTGGTCAATCTTTTGATGAAGGGTCCAAGACCATTTTCTTTGAGAGTGAGCCCACTGTCACAGTTCTGTATTGTATCGTCTTAACTGCACATCCACAATATATTGCCTAAGATTTCTAGTTTTCGTTTTTTAAGTGAAGCAAGAGATTTATTTTGGAAAGCATTTGCTGAGTTTTGACAAATGTATTTGCTTGTGTAAGCTAAACTTAAGAATAGGTTTTTTTTTTTTTTTTTTTTTAAAAAAAGGACTTTTTGTCATATTTTTCCCTAGTTTGTTCCTAGCCTTAGCTTTGGTTATGGTAATTTTAAAAATTATTTATTTACTTACTTATTTATTTTTTAAGATGGGGTATTGCCGTGTTACCCAGGCTGGTCTCAATCTCTTGGGCTCAAGCGATCCACCTACCTCGGCCTTCCAAAGTGCTGGGATTACAGATGTGAGCCACTGTACCTGGCCTAGGTTATAGTGCATTTACATTTTTATGTACTAAAATGTCATCCTTTTCCTTTACTTTTTTTTCCTGCCCTTTTGTCATACATAGAAAGTCTTTTTTTTTTTTTTTTTTTTGACAAAGTCTCTGTCACCCAGACTGGAGTGCAGTGGTGCAATCTGGGTTCACTGCAACCTCCACCTCCTAGGTTCAGGCGATTCTGCCTCAGCCTCCCAAGTAGCTGGGATTACAGGTGTCTACCACCACGTCTGGCTTATTTTTGCATTTTTAGTAGAGACAGGGTTTCACCATGTTGGCCAGGCTGGTTTTGAACTCCTGACCACAAGTGATCCACTGCCTCCGCCTCCCAAAATGCTGAGATTACAGGTGTGAGCCACTGCGCCTGGCCAGAAAGTCATTCTTTATCAATTAGTGTATAAATGTTTATCCATATTTTATTCCATACTTTTACATTTAAATGTCTAATTGGAATAATGTGATATAGGGACTTAAAAATTTTTGGCAGTGCTTTTAAATTGTTAGCTAATGCCATTTGATGAACAAACTTTTTTGCTTTGAATTTTTTCAGACAAGATAGAATCTAATGTTTTTATAGATACCTTTTCTTTGAGACGGGGTCTCGCTGTCACCCAGACTGGAGAGCAGTGGTGCCATCTCAGCTCATTGCAACCTCGATCTCCTGGGCTCAAGCAGTCCTCCTGCCTCAGCCTCCCCAGTAGCTGGGACCATAGGCTTGAGCCACCATGCATGGTTAATTTTTGTATTTTTTGTAGAGATGGGGTTTCAACATATTTCCAGGTTGGTCTCTAACTCCTGGGCTCATGTTGTCTGTCCACCTTGGTGGCCTGATACCATTTTTATTATCATCACTGCCCAAAGTGCTGGGATTACAGACATGAGCCACCTCACCTGGCCTGATTCCATTTTTATTATCTAAGTTTATATGTAATATCAGATCTTTTTATTTTACATCCTGTCCTATTTATTCCTGTACTTAGCTGCTTGAGGTAATTTGTGGCATATTCCTCCTCACTATTCCTTTTTTTTTTTTTTTTTAAGGTTTCTTCACTTTGCTAACATAGTCTTTCTTTGGGTGAACTTTAGCAGATCCTTGAGGGATGGGGAGAAAAAATATAGTGGGGAGACAGTAGCAAGAGTGAAAGTAGAGAGGTTGGTAAACTCTGGAGATTTACCTCAATAACTTGTAATTGAATTCTTAGTCTGTGTAGCACATTATACATGCATATTTTTGTATCCTTAAATTTGGGAAATGTCTGTTGAGGATGTTCAAACTAATTTCTTTTTTCTTTTTTTTCTTTTTTTTTTTGAGACGGAGTCTCGCTTAGTCGCCCAGGCTGGAGTGCAGTGGTGTGATCTCGGCTCACTGCAACCTCCACCTCCCAGGTTCCAGCAATTCTCCTGCCTCAGCCTCCCTAGTAGCTGGGACTACAGGCATGCGCCACCATGCCCGGCTAATTTTTGTATTTTTTAGTAGAGATGAGGTTTCACCATATTGGCCAGGCTGGTCTCAAACTCCTGACCTCATGATCCATCCGCCTCGGTCTCCCAAAGTGCTGGGATTACAGGCATGAGCCACCGTGCCCAGCCTCAAACTAATTTCTAAAGTTCAAAATATTTTTGAGGTTTGAGGTTTGGGATGTTATAGAAAGGGCATAGGATTCTGGAGTGAAAATGGATTTAAATGTTGGCTTTAAGTTTACTAACCATGTGGCCACAGGCAAGTTGTAATTTTTGACCAAATGTATGTATCACAGATATTATTTCTCATTATTCTGTTACTTGACTGGGTGATTCTTGAGATCTAGGCTGACCCATCTTGGCCTAAAGGCTTAATCGCCTTCAGGAGAGAGACTTGGAGATAGAAACTTGAGAACATTAAAAACGCTTAGCACATTGTATATGACACTTAGCACATTGTATGTGCCCAAGAAACATTTCCTAAAATGAATCTAAGTCTAAAATACTTTTAAGGTTTTTTTTAATATATATATATATTTTATTATACTTTAAGTTCTAGGGTACATGTGTACAACGTGCAGGTTTGTTACATATGTATACATGTGCCATGTTGGTGTGCTGCACCCATTAACTCGTCATTTACATTAGGTATATCTCCTAATGCTATCCCTCCCCACTCCCCCCACCCCACAACAGGCCCCAGTGTGTGATGTTCCCCTTCCTGTGTCCAAGTGTTCTCATTGTTCAATTCCCACCTATGAGTGAGAACATGCGGTGTTTGGTTTCTTGTCCTTGCAATAGTTTGCTGAGAATGATGGTTTCCAGTTTCATCCATATCTGTACAAAGGACATGAACTCATCATTTTTTATGGCTGCATAGTATTCCATGGTGTATATGTGCCACATTTTCTTAATCCAGTCTATCATTGTTGGACATTTGGGTTGGTTCCAAGTCTTTGCTATCGTGAATAGTGCCGCAATAAGCATACGTATGCATGCGTCTTCATAGCAGCATGATTTATAATCCTTTGGGTATATACCCAGTAATGGGATGGCTGGGTCAAATGGTATTTCTAGTTCTGGATCCCTGAGGAATTGCCACACTGTCTTCCACAATGGTTGAACTAGTTTACAGTCCCACCAACAGTGTAACAGTGTTCCTATTTCTCCACTTTTAAGTTTTAAAGTGTCATTTGTGTCAATGATTTGACTTCAAGTGTGGAGGGAGAGAAGCAGAGTAGTTTAGCTATAGCCAAAACGTTTCATTTGTCATGATAGTAAAACATGAGTTCAAAGAAAGTATTAATTGTTCATCTATATGGCATTAAGAAATATGAATAAATAAAGCCAGAGTCTAAAATCTTATTTGAACATTCCTTTTTGCTGAAACTTAGCTGCCTGCTTCTAATTAGAAAAAAATTTTTTTTTGGCCGGCTGTGGTGGCTCATGCCTGTAATCCCAGCCCTTTGGGAGGCCGAGACGGGTGGATCACGGGATCAGGAGTTCAAAACCATCCTGGCTAACACGGTGAAATCCTGTCTCTACTAAAAATACAACAACAACAAAAAAAAATTAGCCGGGCGTGGTGGCGGGCACCTGTGGTCCCAGCTACTTGGGAGGCTGAGGCAGGAGAATGGCGTGAACCCGGAAAGTGGAGCTTGCAGTGAGCCGAGATTGCGCCACTGCACTGTACTTCAGCCTGGGTGACAGAGCAAGACTCCATCTCAAAAAAAAAAAAGAAAAAAAGAAAAGGTTTTTTGTTGTCGTCAATTTTTGTTGTTGTTGTTGTTGTTGTTGTTTTTTTTTTAACAAGAAGTTGTGTTAAGTAAAGGCCTGAAAGGGACAGAAGACAAAAAGTCGAATGGAAGGGCCACTTTACCCTAATCTTTTGGGAGTTTTCCTTTTTTTTTTTTTTTCTTTTTGTTCTTTTCCTCATCTCTGTATCTCTTTCTCTCTAAAGTATTATTTTTCACCTATTAATGTATATGGGGGTGTTGAGGTATAGACCCTGGGTCAAATCCAGAAGCTATTCTCTCTTTACAGATGCAGAGCTTTACTGCTGTAGACTTGATTCCTAAACAGGGCTACCATACCCATCCTAACCCAGCTGTTCAGAGAATTTAGATTAAGTCAGGAAAGTGAGAAAGTGGCCTTGGCTTTTTGTGTACTTTAGACCTATACAGTGGTCTAAATGACCTGAGAATGGTTCAATTGGGTGGAAAAGGGAAAAAAAAAAGGTTTATCATTGAGCCAATAATTAGTTCAATTTCTGAATGTTTCATTTAGCAGATATTTATTAAATAACTACTGTGGGACAGGCATGCTATCATGCTGAAATAAATGACCAATGAGGCGTGTAAACAAATGATACGGAATGTAATGTTCTTTACCAGGTATTCTAGCAGAGTAGGAAGAGTATTCCAGTAGGAAGAGTTCTGAAGGAAATCTATTCATCCTTGAGTGCTCAAAATGCAAAGAGTGCTTTGCGCATAGCAGTAACCATAAGTGTGTGTACGAATGAATAAACATGATTCAAACAATGTGATTAGATCATTTACAAAATACTGTGAGAGCACAAAGGAGGAAGTGACCAATTCTTCCTTTTAATGACACAGTGAGGAGAGAAAGGCTCTTGGGAGATTCAGTAGGTGGAGAAGGCCTGAAAAGGTAGAGTGAAAAAGCATGACAATGCTCTGAACTAACAAGTTCAGATGTAGAGTATATGCTGGGGGCGTAGAATGCCGAGGTAAGGCATGATAAGGTAGACAGAAGTCAAGATGGATAAATGTTTTGTATTGGAATTTATTCTGTGGGTGCTGATAGGCCAGTGAAGGTTTTTTTTTTTTTTTTTTTAATAGGAATATTAAGGGGTAGAATTTGAGACATTCCTTTAAAAATAAATTATTCTTGAATTGGGAAATCAAATGATAGAATTGTAAAAATTATAAGCATATATGTTGGCAATGATTATGGCTAATAAGTCGTATAATATATGGTGGAATCTGTTTTATCCCTTTCAGATAACATATAATCTTAGTACAGATAAAACCATTTTAATCAAAATATGCATGATGTCATCAGTTTGTTTTTGAAAGAGATTTATTTTTACTTTATGGAATTATTACAGACTGTATTCTTTCTTAAAGATTCTGGCATTTTTTTAAAACTTATTTTGAAATGATCTTAAGTTTAGAAAAGAGTTTCTTAAATAGCGCAAAGAAGTCGTGTATATTTTTTATCCAGTGTCCACTGATGTTAACGTCTTATGCAGTCATAGTATAGTGATGAAAACTAAGAAACTAACATTGGTACAGTGCTATTAACTGTAGACTTTATTAGGATTTTCCCAGCTTTTCCACTAATGTCCTTTTTCTGTTCCAGGATCTAGTCCAAGATATACCACACTGCACTTAATGGTTATCTCTCTCATCCCCCCAAATCTCTTTTTTGACCTTGACCCTTTGGAAGAGTACCAGTCAGGTATTTTGTAGAATGTCCCTCAATTTGATTATATCTCTTGTTTTCTTGTGATTACGGCCTGAAGTAATGAGTTTTGGGGCTCTTGGAGGTTTTTTAAAATTTCATTTTATTTTTCAAATTATCATAAAGTTGACTTTTTTGTGGACAGCTCTGTGAATTTTGACATGTCTAAGTTTGTGTAACCATCACCATAATCAGGATATAGAACAATTCATCACTTCCCCAAATCCTCATGCTCTCTCAATAGTCACACCCTCCCCAAAATCTGTATCCCTGGCAACCACTGATCTGTTCTCCATCAATGTAGTTTTGTCTCTTCAAGAAATGTTATATAAATGGAATCATATAGTATTCAGTGGTCCCTAACCTTTTTGGCACCAGTGACCAGTTTCATGGAACACAATTTTTCCACAGAAGTTGGTGGGATGGTTTCAGGATGAAACTGTTCCACCTCAAATCATTGGGCGTTAGATTCTCATAAGGAGCACGTAACCTAGATAGTTTGCATGCACAGTTCACAATAGGGTTTCCTCTCCTATGAGAATCTAATTCTCTGGCTGCTCTGACAGGAGGCAGAACTCAGGTGGTGATGCTCGCCTGCCTTGGGGTTGAGGACCCCTGCAGTATGTAACCCTTTGACACTGGCTTCTTTCACTCAGCATAATGCTTTTGATTGTCATCTAAGTTGTATTTATCAATAGTTAGCTCCATTTTATTGCTAAGTATGGATGTACTGCAGCTTGTTCATCTGCCTCTTTTCGTTATGTATTTGAGAACATACTATGTGTCCTGGCACTATAACAAGTAATTTAAGTGAATTATTATGTGAAATAAGGATTATAACTGTCCCTTTCACAGATGTGAAAACAGAGGCTTAGAGAGTTTAAGTAGCTTTAAGTTAAAAACTAGTCAATAGTAGAGTTAGGACTCAGCCTGGGTCACCCACTCCAAACCCCATGTTCTTAATCATGAGGCTACACAGCTAGTTGCTAATGTTGGTTTCCTCATTTCTCTGTTTTGACCAGAAGTGTAACTAAGAGAAGTTAAAGTTCACATTTCTTTAACGTGTCCTAAAATTCCCTTTCTTTTCTCTTTTATCAAAGAGCAAAAATAATAATAGCAGGGGTAATTTTTTAAAAAATCATTTTGGGGGCTAAGAGTTCTGTGATTCAGGCCTAAAGCAAAAGGTTAAGCCAAGTCAGTCATCAGTCCGTAGGACATTATGACTTAACATTTAACATTGAGTGGTTCTGTTTATGAGCATTGTAACCATAGTACTAAGTTTTTTCTTTGGTTTGTTTTTTTTTTTTTTTTAGAAACAAGGTCTTGCTCTGTCACCCAGGGTGAGTGCAGTGGTACAACTGTAGCTCACTGTGACCTCAAACTCCTGGGCTCAGGAGAATCTTCTGCTTTGGTCTCCTAAGTAGCTGGGACTACAGGCTTGCACCACCATACCAGGCTAATTGTTTTATTTTTTGTAGAGACAGGGTCTCACTGTGTTGCCCAGGCTGGTCTTGAACTCCTTGCCTCAAGTGATACTTTCACCTCAGTGCTGGGATTATAGGCATGAGACACTGTGCCCGGCCCTGTTTTTTCTTAATCTCCTTATAAATAGAATATTTGTTTTACAGATAATTAATAAATATCGCTGGGCGCAGGGGCTCACGCCTGTAATCCCAGCACTTTGGGAGGCTGAGGCAGGAGGATCACCTGAGGTCAGGAGTTCAAGACCAGCCTGGCCAACATGGTAAAACCCTGTCGCTACTAAAAATACAAAAATTAGCTGGGCATGGTGGTGCATGCCTGTAATCCCAGCTACTCAGGAGGCTGAGGCAGGAGAATCACTTGAACCCGGGAGGCAGAGGTTGCAGTGAGCCGAGATCGCACCATTGCACTCCAGCCTGGGCAACGAGAGCAAAACTCCATCTCAAAAAAAAAAAAAAGTAAATAAATAAATATTAAATAAAAATGGAGAGGCATTCTAAATCAGCCTGGTTTAAAATAAGAGGGTTGCCTTCTATGATATTGCTTTAAATTTTACTAATGACAAAGGTAGTTGTCTTTTAAGAACTGAAATTTTGGTGTATTTAAGATGACCCTTTTTGAACTTGTGTGCTAACAGCCCATTTGCTGAAATATTCTACTGCTATAAGATAAAAAGAATGTTTCTAGAATGTTAGTGTAGTATTTCTACATTTTATTAGTGAAGTATGATATGTATAATTACATTTTCATGGATTTTATAAAACTTCTATGTTATTCTGGGTATCTGGTAACTTTATGTGTTACCTTAGCAAATTATATAACAATTTGATGAGGAGACTTTTTTTTTTTTTTTTTTTTTTGACACGGAGTCTTGCTCTGTTGCCCAGGCTGGAGTGCAGTGGCACGATCTTGGCTCACAGCAACCTCTGCCTCCCGGGTTCAAGCAATTCTCTGTCTCAGCCTCCCTAGTAGATGGGATTACAGGCGCCCACCAACACCCCTGGCTAATTTTTTTGTATTTTTAGTAAAGACGGGGTTTCACCATCTTGGCCAGGCTGGTTTTGAACTCCCAACCTCGTGATCCACCCACCTCAGCCTCCCAAAGTGCTGGGATTACAGTCATGAGCCACTGCGCCTGGCCAAGGAGACTTGTTTTAAGTGTAGCCTCAGTTTGATTTTTTGTTCTCAGTTCTGTAGATACTATTCTGAGAACCTGGAGAGGCTATAAAATCAAATGTCAGAATTGGAATGGATCTTCAAAATTATCAGCTCTCTAGATTGTCCCAATATTTTACAAAAAAGGAAACTGAAATTCCATAGTAGTGTGAAATAACTTGTCCACACTTACAGTTAGTTGTAGAAGCTGTACGATACAGTTCCTGCTCTCAGGTACATTACTGGTTAATCAGTGTAGAAACAGACTTGTACAAAATTGACAGTAATACAAAATAGAATGTTCTAGATAGTAAAGGTACTGCTTTTCTTTTCTTTTTTTCTTTCTTTCTTTCTTTTTTTTTTTTTTAATAGGGTCTCACTCTTTCACCCAGGCTGTAGAGCAATGATGCCATTATGGCTTACTGCAGCCTCAACCTCTTGGCTTCAATCCTCCCACCTTAGCCACTTGAGTAGCTGGGACCCCAGGCACGCACCACCATGCCTGGCTCATTTCTTTTATTTTTTTGTAGAAATGGGGTTTCATCATGTTGCCCAGGCTACTGTTGAACTCCTAGGCTCAAGTGATTCACCTGCTTCAGTTCCCTGAAGTGCTAGGATTATAGGCGTGAGCCACCATGCCTGGCCAGATACAACTTTTCTTAAACAGTCTCGTCACCTCCCCACTGCACCCCCCACCCCCCAAAAAAAACAACCCAAATCAAAAAAGCTTTCTCTTGACCCTTTCACAACAAAATTACTTTCTTTTTATGTGTGTGAGACAGAATCTCACTCCTACCCAGGCTGGAGTAAAGTGGCATGATCACGGTTCACTGCAGCCTCAATCTCCTGGGCTCAAGCAGTCTTCCCACCTCAGCCTCCCCAGTAGCTGGGACCACAGGCACACACCACCAAGTCTGGCTAATTTTTATTTATTTTTATTTTTTGTAGAGACAGGTTCTCACTGTGTTGCCCAGGCTGGTCTTAAACTTCTGGGCTCAAGTGATCCTCCTACCTTAGTCTCCCAAAATGTTGAGTTTACAGATGTGAGCCACCACACCTGACCCAAAATTACTTCTGTTTTCGGTTTTTCATCTCTTATTCTCTCTTAAACTTTACCTAATCAGGGTTTTTTGTTTGTTTTTACCTTTGCTGTACCATGAAAACTTTCCTTTCAAAACCAACAGTGACCTCCATGTTGCCAAATTCAACTGTCATTTTTTTCTCAGACCTTATCTAACTTGATCTGCCATCAGCATTTGGCACAGTTGCTCATTCCTTATTCTTGGAAACACACATGCCTTTTTTTCTTCCTACATTTCTGAGTATTCCTTTTAGCCTTCTTTGTTGTTATGCCTCATCTTTTCTACTTCTAAATGATGGAGTGTCCCAAGAGTCTGTCATTGTTGCTTTTCTAACCTATAGCTTTAATATTATATACATGTTAATGTAATATAAATATAAATATATATATATGGTAATTATTCCCAAGTTTATGATCTCTAGCCCATACCTTTAACCTGGGCTTTAGGACTGTATATTCAACTCCAGGACTGCATATCTAATTTGGTGTCTCTAGTCTGATAACTAATGAGCATCTGAAGCTTAATGTGTTCAGAACTGAACTCTGATATTCCTCTACCTCAAACCATTGCCATTTGTCATCTTTCCTGTCTCAGTTTTGGTAACTGCAGTCTTTCCAGTTGCTGGAGAAGGAGGGCGCCCCAGCTCCAAGAAAGAGAGAATTCACCTTTCTATCCAGGTCCTTAGCCAATTGATGGTGCCCACCCACATTGGATGAGGGCAGATCTTCCTTATGGAGTCCACTGATTGAAATGCTTATCTCCCTGGGCACTTTGGCTCACGCCTGTAATCCTTGCACTTTGGGAGGCTGAGGCGGGTGGATCACTTGAGCCCAGGAGTTCAGGACCAGCCTGGGCAACATGGCAAAACCTCGTCTCTCCAGAAAACATAAAAATTAGCCAGGCATGGTGGTGCATGCCTGTAGTCCCAGCTACTCGGGAGGCTGAGGTGAGAGGATCACCTGAGCCTGGGAGGTTGAGGCTGTGATCAGGCCACTGCAGTCAGGCCTGGGCAAGAGATCAGGACTGTTTCAAAAAAAATAAAAAAGAAATGCCAGTCTCTCTGGAAACACCCTCATCCTCACAGACATACCCAAAAATAATACTATACCAGTTATCTGGGTACCTCTTAATTCAGTTAAGTTGACACCTGAAATTAACCATCACAGTTCCACCCCTTGTCAACTTGGCACCCATGTGGCACCCATGTGCACCTACTTAAACCATATTTAATCTCCGAATAGAGACAATTACGAAATTGTAGCTCTGCCTAAAATGATACAACTACCCTGCATACAATTGAAAATGCACTGATTTATCCTCAGAAGAGGAGGTAAAGCTCTTGAATGTTGTTCTCTTATGTCCCACAATTTAATTATATGATGTAAAATTAACAATACTTGGCCGGGCATGGTGGCTCACACCTGTAATCCCAGCACTTTGGGAGGCCGAGGCAGGCAGATTACGAGGTCAGGAGTTTGAGACCAGCCTGGCCAATATGGTGAAACCCCGTCTCTAAAAATACAATAATAAAAATGGAAAAATTAGCCGGGCATGGTGGTGTGCACTTGTAGTCCCAGCTACTCGGGAGGCTGAGGCTTAAGAATCGCTTGAACCTGGGAGGCAGAGGTTGCAGTGAACCAAGATTGCGCCACTTCACTCCAGCCTGGGCAACAGAGTGAGACTCTGTCTCAAAAAGATAAAAAATAAATTAGCAATACTTAAATACTGATATAAAGTAAATACATCTTATATTACATAGTAAAGGAATAAGAGGAAAGAACACAAAGATATTTGCTTTGTTATATCTATGTATATATACACACAAATGTATTCTGAACAAAATAGGGAGAATATAGTCATGACAGTTAAAATCCTCATTTCCCTAACTGGTCAGGTGGTTATAGCTGGCATTGATTACTGCCTTCTTGTACTACATATTCTGTATTCTGTTTGCCTTCAGCAAACGCCTTAGCTGGTCGTGGTTCTTTATTTGGTGGGGTGACCCAAAGCTTCATTCTTAAAGGGTCTGGGCTATTAGTAGACCTTCCTGGATTGGGTTGTTGTAGTTTCCCGTTGACTTATTTAAAGGGCATGATAATACAAAGAGATGCCCCAAGGGATCTCCTGTATTCCAGACATACTCTTCTTTATCTGCACTGTGAGTTAGTAGTCCAGCTTCCCATTCCTAGTTTAGATTAATCACCCCCAGCTATGTTGACTCAGAGGCATGAGGAGCCCAAAGTGGCTGGATGGTAGTTTTGACTCCAGTTCCATGGAATCATTATTGTGTTTCCTGGTGGAAGTATTCCTCTCTCTCTGGAACTAAGACTTCTAGGCCAAAAGAGCATAAAGTTACGGGAACAGGAAGTAAAAATTTTGCTTGTGGGTAATGGTGAGTAGTGCCATTCCTATTTGTATTCCTTAGTTCAGGAAACAAGGAATATTGACTCCTGGCTGTGGGAAAAACAGTACCATGTAGTGGATGCTAACTCAGAATGTGTACAGCCTTCTGGAGAACCTAGTGCTAGACCTGCAAGGTATTATCACCTAGCTGGCACTGTAACTGAATCTTCTAAGGGCCATTTCACCATCCTGTCAAGCTAGCTGCTTCAGGATGGCAGGGAACATGGTAAGACCAATGAATTCCATGAGCTTGAGCCCATTACCCCACTTTTGTGACTGAGATAAGTTCCATGGTCAGAAGCAATGCTGTGTAGAATGCCATGATGGTAGATAAGGCATTCTGTGAGTTCATGGATGGTAGTTTTGGGAGAAGCATTGTGTGCAGGAAAGGCAAATTTGTATCTAGAGTGTCTATTGCAGTAAGAACAAACTGCTGCCCCTTCTGTGATGGAAGCAGCCACCAGGTAGCTGGCGGATCACCCCAGGGAATGGTGCCATACTGGGGGCTCATTGCTGGTCTCTGCTGCTAGCAGATTGGGCACTCAGCAGTGGCCATACCCAGGTGAGCTGTAGTGAGTGGAAATCCATGTTGCTAAGCCCGTGAATAACCTCCATCCCTGCCACCATGTCCAGGATGAGCCCCCTGGGCAATGACAGGTGGCTGGGGAAAATGGCTGACTGGTATCCATAAAACAGGTCATGCTATCCACTTGATTATTAAAGCCCTCCTCTGCTGAGGTCACCCTTTGGTGAGCATTCACATAAGACAAATATCTTCACATCCTTTGCCCAGTTAGGAGAGATCTGTTCTGCCCCAAATTTCTTTGTCACCAATTTTCTGGTTATGTTCCTTCGAAGTCCCTGAGCATCCTGTGAAACCATTATCTATTGCCTATGCATTGACGTATAATCACACATCTGGCCATTTCTCCTTCACAGCAAAGTGCGTAACTGGGTGTGCTGCCCTAAGTTCTGCCTACTGGGAAGATTTCGTGACTGGGAAGATTTCATGACTGGATGTTCCAGAAAAAGGGCTGTAGCACTGCAGCTGTCCGCTTTTGGGTGGTGCTCGCATGTCGTGCAGAACCATCTGTAAACAAGGCTCTGTCAGCTGATTGTAGAATATTCCTCATGAGGCCAGAGGTACAATCTGGGTGAGAAAAGACAGTGTAGCACCAGGAACCATGGGCATTTGGGCCATTTCATGTAACTTGTGCCTTTAGGACCTACGCAGGCCCAATCACATATATGTTACCTCCACTTGATGATTTTAATGGTGCTATGCACGCCCAGCTTTGTGGCTTGGAGTGGGTCAGGTAACACCCACTTCCAAGTAGATTGCATGATAACTTGGTGGCCCGTGGTGAATGTTCAGTTTCTACTAAGGTCCAGTAGCAGGTCAAGAGCTGTCTCTCAAAAGGGAAGTATTATCTGCAGTTGATGGCAAGGTCTTGCTCCAAAATCCTACAGGCCTGTGCTGTGATTTACCTATAGAGAGAGGCCTGCCAACTGCTGATACCTCAAGTACCATTGGATCTGCTGGGTCATATGGCCCAAGTGGCAGAGCAGCTTGCAGAGCAGATTTGTTACAGATTTGTTACAGAGCCTTCTATTCTGGGCCCCCCTCAAAACTAGCAGCTTTTCTGGTCACTTGGTAATTGGGCCGGAGTAACACTCAAATGAGGAATGTGTTGCCTCCAAAATCTAAATAAAGGAGTTAAGTGTTGTGCCTTTTTCTTGGTAGTAGGAGGAGCCAGATGCAACAATTTATCCTTTACCCTAGAAGAGATACCATGACATGCCTCACACCAGTAGACCCCTAGACATTACACTGAAGTAGAAGGCCCTTGAATTTTAGTCAGATTTATTTCCCAACCTCTGACATGCTATGTGTTATCATTAAGCCTAGAGTAGTTGCTACTCGTTGCTCATTAGGTCCAATAAGCATAATGTCATTGATATAATGGACTAATATGTTACCTTGAGGGGAAAGGTGATCAAGATCCCTGTGAACATAGGTCTAGGGGGTTGATATATCCCTGAGTTAGGACAGTGAAGGTATTTTTGGCCTTGCCATTTGAAAGGAAACTGCTTCTGGTGGGCCTCATGGACAGGTATGGGGGAAAAAGGCATTTGCCAGATTGATAGCTGTATGTAACAGATACCAGGAGATCTGTTGAGGGTAAAGAATGAGCTCACATCTGGTACAGCAGCTGCAATCGGAGTCACCACTTGGTTAAGCTTATGATAATCCACCGTGATTCTCCTAGATTCATCTGTCTTCTGCACAGGCCGAATAGGGTTTATTTATCAGCAGTATGTCTCTTTTGTTTGCTGTCTAGCAAGGGGCTAGAACAGTACCTGGCACATAGTAAGTGCTGAGTAAATATTTGTTAAATGAATGACAAAGAGTCCCTCAAATCAGTCACTAACTTGACATTGGGAAGTCACTTTGTACAGACCTCTTATCTCTATTTTTAAAATGAGACTGGATTGGATTCGTGTTTTAAGCTGTCCTACAGTGAAGACTTAAATGTATGGAGTGTCAAGGTTCCTTGAAGCCTTTATAAAAATTCAGCTGCTTAAGTAAAAAGTTTAGAAACCACTGGACTGGATAAAGTGTCTCTAAGGTCTCTTTCAGTTCTGCGATAACCAGTTCTCACAGTAATTGTAAGTGGGGCTGTTGAGGAGATCCTTCTGTAGAGGAGGCATTGAAATTGAGACTTGATGGATGGATGTTCATAGGCAGAGGTCGGGCATAGGATAGGAAATAAGGTAAGTGCTTTTCAGGCCCAGGGAACAGTGATAAGGAAGTGAGACAAATAGGAATGGAGCAATTCAGGAAATTTCCGTACAGCTGTCAGGGGCTAGGGAGTGAGGGAGAGTCAGGAAGATAGGGCTGGAAAAGTTAGGGAAATTAAAGTCAGATTGTGAAAGCCTTGAACGCCATAATAGTCTGGCTTTTAATTTTGCCTCTAAGAAATCAGTTATTTTATTTCTTTTTGTTTTTTGGGCCATAAGTGATAATCATTTCACTCTCAGAGTTGTTCTTTAGGAAGACTTCTCTAATAGCAGAGTGATGGGTGAATTTAAAGTAGGCAGTTGGTGGTAGAGAAAGATTCTGTCAGTTAGGAGGAGACTGTGATGTTACTTTTCCTGTGATATGATGAGTACTTTTTTACCTGAAGAGTAGCAAAGGAGGAGCTTAAGTTTCACTTTAAACTCAGTATAAAAATTAGATTTCCTCTCTGCAACATTTAGAGATTATTGAATAGTAGGTTAACAAATGTCTTTGAGTGGCTGCTGTGTGAAGAGCAGTAACTACAGTAGATGCTAGGGCTACATAGAAACACAGCAATGGTGGCCATGTGTGGTTGTTCATGCCTGTAATCCAAGCACATTGGGAGGCCGAGGCAGGCGGATCGCTTGAGCTCAGGAGTTTGAGACCAGCCTTGGCAACATGGCAAAACCCTGCCTCTACAAAAAAATACAAAAATTAGCCAGACATACAAAATACAAAATTAGCCAGAAATACAAAAAAATACAAAAAATAACCACATTGTGGTGCATGCCTGTAGTCCCAGCTACTCAGGAGGCTGAGGTGGGAGGATCGCCTGGGAGGCAGAAATTGCTTTACGCTGAGGTGCCAAGGTCCTGCCACTGCACTCCAGCCTGGGTGACAGAGCAAAACTCTGTCTCAAAAAACAAAAACAGCCACCCCCCCCAAAACAAACAAACAAACAAACAAAAACAGCAGTGGTTCTCATAAGCCTGACCTCCACCTGCACTACTGAATCCATTTCCAGGAGTTGGCATGTGTCTTCATAAAGCTCCTTCAGGGGTACATTCCTGGTTACAGGCTACTGAAGTAAAAGATACATTATTTTTAATATTGAATTTAAAATTTAATTATGAGAGATAAAATATGTCTATACAAACAACTTGAGATTGCAGTCAGCATATTACCTGGGAGCTTTATAAAGAATATAATCATACCATCAATTCTTGGTTATTTTTAATATCAGAGGAAACAGTAATACCCAGAATAATACCTGCAATAGAACCTTGAATTTGTCTATATCAAGTCATAGGGGCCAAGTCATGTCTTTAAAGATATTTCAATGTTTACGAAAATCCTGATATGCTACATTTTTCCCCTCAGTGAGCAGTTTTAGGAAAGTCACTCATTCATGTCTCTGAATTTCTGCTGAGTTTTGGGCCTTGTCCTAGGTGATGGGAATATAGTGCAGACAAAAGCCATGGCCCCTTTTGCCTTTGATAAGCCCCTGAAAATACATAGACTGTTGCCTAAGAGGCCTGCTTTTTGTGGGTGGTAAAAAGTACCACCTAGTTACCTGTCCGTGCAGAAGTGGGAAAGAGGATTTGGTTTAACAAAGCTAGTGATAGAGCATAGAAAATTAACTGTGTTTTACGTTTAAGCTCACATGTAGAAATTCTACACAATTCTTGGAACCTGGGATTATATTTTTGAGAGGCATTAACATCAACAAAATAAATTCTGCATGATTGAAAGATTCATAACACTCAATCTCAGTCTTCTGAATTTTATTTTTCTATTTAAATAGTGGGGAACATTGATTTTGGTCATTTGCCATTTTAATGGTGTGATCTTTTCTTTTTCCATCTCTGATAGTCATAGCATGTTAGCTCCCGACCTATGGGGCGGATTCAAACAAAGCTTTTTTTAGCCTAAGTTTCCTAGATATGGAAATTAGAGTATTCTGTATTTTTGTACTAGAAGTTTTGAGATTTGAGTTCAAAGGGAAGAGGTAACAGTAAAAAGGAAAAATGAGCCCTAGCACAATAAATTCTTTTTATAAATTCTGTTTTGGTGGAGGAAATAAATAGTATCTGAAATTTAGTTGGCATTTAAATTCATTCAGTTGACTCAATCTCTCTCAGCTAATAGTTCAAATATACATGTTGACAATTCCATGAGCAGCCATGAAAGCTTTATATAAGGTATATACTGACTTGATCCATATCTAATTTTATAAATAAACATACCCACAGTATGTACATTTCATATACCTAAACTAGATTTATTTCTTCCTTCCTCCCTTCCTCCCTTCCTTTCTTTCTTTCTGTTCTGGGGTACATGTGCAGAACTTGGATATTTGTTACAAAATGTGGAGGTCTGACACAGAGTCTTGCTTGGTCACCCAGGCTGGAGTGCAGTGGTGCAACCTCGGCTCACTGCAACCTCCACCTCCCAGGTTCAAGCGATTCTCCTGCCTCAGCCTCCTGAGTAGCTGAGATTACAGGTGTCTGCCACCACACCTGGCTAATATCCGTATTTTTAGTAGAGACGGTTTCACCATGTTGGCCAGCCTGGTCTCGAACTCCTGAACTTCAGTGATCCACCTGCCTTGGCCTCCCAAAGTGCTGGGATTACAAGCGTGAGCCAACGTGCCTGGCCTAGATTTCTTTTTGTTAAAATCAGTTTTATTGAGGTATGGTTTATATGCAGTACAATTTGCCCTATTTAGTTTTATAGCTCTATGAATTTTGACAATGTACATAAGTCATATACCGGTACCACAGTCAAGATACAGAATATTTCTGTCACCCTCAACAGTTCCTTGTCTTCCTTTGTAGTCAACCCCCTCCCCTCATTTCCAGCCCCTAGAACTGATAGGATTTCTGTGCCTTCTGTTTTGCCTTTTCCATTATGTCACATATAAATGGAATCATACAGAGTCATGGAGTCAGTCTTATTTTGTTCAGCCTAATGCTTTTAGGTTCATCCATGTTGTCACATATATCAGAAATTCAGACCTTTTTTGTTGCTGAGTAGCATTCCATTATATGGATATACTATACCATTCCATTACATGGATTTATCCATTCACACATTGATGGACATTATTTGGGTTTTCAATATTTGGTGAATGATAAAACTGCTATATATATTTGCATAGAAGTTTTAAAATAGACACATATCTTCATTTCTCTTGGGTAAATGCCTAGGAATGGGATTACTGGATCATGTGATAAGTGTATGTTTATAGAAACTGCTAAACTATCTTCCGAAGTGGCTAAACTTTTGCATTCCCACCAGCAATATATGAGAGTTGTAGTCGCTCCATGTTCTCATCAACACTTGGTATTATTGGTGGTTTTTGTTTTGTTTTGTTGTGGTGGTGTCACATTAATTTGCATTTCCCTATTGAGTATTGATGTTGAGATATTTTCATGTACTTTTTTTGCCATCTGTATGACTTCTTTAGTGAAGTGTCTATTCAGATTTGACCATTTAAAAAACTGGATTGTTTTCCTATTTTTGAGTTGTGAAAGTGCTTTATGTAGTCTGGATAGCAGTGTGTGGACTTATTTTAATCCTCATAATCTGTGTGGTAGATACTATTAGGCTAAATGATAGATAAATAAGTTATGATGCAGGATTGTTAAGTAATTGCCCAAGATTACATAGCTAATAGGTAGCAGAGCTGGGATTGAAACCCAAGTAGATTGACTAGAACCTGTGTCAAACTGTTTGCCTTTTTTTTTCTCTTTGATCCTCTCATATGCAGAGATTGACTTATTGGGGCTGTAAATAGAACAAGGATCCAGTTCCTGTAGGTGATAGAATAATGCTAATAGGGATACCCCTGGGCAGAGGGATAATATATTGTAATGGCAGCTCTGGAGTCATCTCCTTAGGAACAGCTAAGATATTTGTTTCTGTTGAAGAGGTGTAATTATTTTCCCTTTAATTCTCTTCACATTACTGGTGGCCAGAGTACTTCCTTTAAATTATGTTTGGAATATTTGCCATTATTAAGTAATGAGGTGCATTATATAAATGGATTTTCTCAATAGCAGAAGCTTATCCTTTTAGATACCTGTTCTACATAAAACATCTCACACACTTGATGTTACACACTTTGGCTTTCGAAGGCCTGTCTTAAACTAATGCTGACTTGGAGACACTTAGTGTATGGTAATATACTTAGGGAATATTACAACTTACTGACCTTATATAATGGCTTCATATCTGAATACTTTTAAAGTTATGTTTATTTTTAGTTTTGTAAGGTGGGTTTTTTTAATGTCATTATCAGCTATTTCACTTTTTCTGACATCCTTTTATAATACTGTTGCCCTCTTTTACCTGTTACAGTTTTTATTTCTAATTAGCCAAAAGAAGATAATCAAATTGTTAGGTTTACATTCATGTTATCTAAAATAAATTTCAGATATGGAAAATTACCTGGGGGGAACTTTCCAGGGAACAAGTGAATCTCCCGTGACTGCTCAGCGGACCTTGTTTCTTGGTGCATGGGCTCTGAATAGTCATTTTGTGTAAGTGAACTAAAGTAAGCTAAATATGACATTTGACAGGAGAAAACATGGTCTATATTTCTTTTTAATAAATTTTTAATTAACAGTTTGTAAAACCATGGAGATTATTTTTCAGTAAAAGGATAAACCAAGCAATCTTCAGTGTAAGGAATAAATAGACAGCAGGCAGAAAGTTGGTTCACAATCATTGCTGTTTTGCAGCATTTTGTAAAGTTCCTAAGTCAGTGACAGCTTGTGCTCTCAACTATGCCTCTGGTAAGCCAGAATAAACTCCCAACTAATTAACTAAAGGGAGAAAACCTTGCTAAATCCTATTTACTTTTTGTAAGATACCAGGACGAAGGCTATCTATTGAGTTGCATTTATCATTTCAAGCGCTTTGGAAGTACTTAGTGCTTTCAAGCCATTTTGATTAATTTAAGCTCTTAGAATAAATTAATAAGTATTCACCCAGAGGCCAGAATAAGTAGGTGTAGTAATATTTCAGTGGCTTGGGCACTTTGTCAGATGTATTCTGACTTGGAAGGCAGAGCTTCACTGGCCACAGTTGTCCCCTTAGGTTGGCCTTGCCACAATTGCAGTGGAGCTGTAGCAGGGTGCCTGGCACAAGAGGCTTGAAATACATGTAGAAAATTTTGCTTGAAAGGTAAGTCAAACTGTAGCTATCATTTGGAAGTAGTAGAGTTATGAACTATGATCGTACCAATACTTTTTTAAAAGGGTTTTATCAAGCTTGCAGTTTATTTAAAATCATTTTGCTTTGTTGGACTTTAAATTCCTAACATTGGAGTGTGGGTTTTTAAAAATTCTGTAAACCAGTTTAATTCACACTTATTTTTCCACTGAACTTTGAATTTTCTAGTGGATTTTATCTGTTTAGTGAACTTACAGATCTGCATCTGGCTTTGTAGTTTGCTAGCCTTTCCAGACTACATAGCAATATATCTCTTTCATATGAGGGTTAATGAGTAGCCAGATTACACTCACCAGTCCATTGTTACATTAAGAGCCACAGAGTTTGCTATCTCCCTTCCATCCCCTTTCATACTTTTTTCCTTTCACAGTTTTATTTGATATAGTAAAGCAACTTTTAAAAATTGAGATTTTTATATTTTAAAACAATATATAGTTTTTAATTTTGCTCCCTTGTAGGTTCTTACTCTATTTTATTGTTAGTTTTAAATTATGGCAATTAATATGAGCTTAGTAATGGTCTAATCAAGGTAGATCTTGCTCCTTGCCTCTTCATCCCCACTTTCCTATACCGTTTTTACCTGCAGATTTGCATGTTTGACCTAGCAGAATAATTGGGTCCACAGCAACATGGGCGTGCCTCCCTTAGAAACACTTGGTTTCATGTATGACTCATAAGCTGAAGCACAGACACCACTTCCCCAATCTACAGGAGCCATTTTAACAGCTAAAACTTGTCGGATTGCTTTTTATTTTCAAGCTCAAAAGACGATAGAGAAAGAATACTTGAAGGTAACTTGTTACAATTTTGTATGTTTGCTTCTGGCTTTTTCTTGAGCTGATAAACAGAGGGTGGTTCTTACCTGTTGAAGAACATGGCTGAATGTGTTCTTTAACCCTCTGATAAAATGTGTGTGGTCAGTCACATGCCTGATTGAACTTAATTGCTAGGGGGAAACAAAGCACTGAAATTCTGGAAAGTTTTAGATCTTCTTGCTAAAGCATTTTGTATGTCTTTGTGATTTTTTTTCTATGTAATTTAAGAATAAAAGAGGTTTTTTGTTTGTTTATTTGTTTTTAAGTACCACAAAGCAAACTAAGGTCAAATTTTAATTTAAAAAACCTAATTGTATTTTTTGGGGTAGTTGAAGTTACAGTTAAGTAAACCGTATTATTCCTGTGTGATATAGATGTTAAATATCCAGGGGCAGTGGCTTTGTTTTGGCATTTTAGCTAAGGGTGAAGTTTTGGGACAACTCAGCCATAGGTGTTGCTCATTGACTGTTATTTATTTATTTTTTTCTCCCTCTCTGTTTTTTAAAGTTAATGAAATTATATTAAATGTTTCATTTTGGAAACCCAATGGAAATTTAAATGAATTGTTATTTAGATAATAAGTAAAAATGAATATTAGATTATTTAGATAACAAGTAAAAGTGAATATTAAATAGAGGAAGAAAGACTAGAATGATTCATTTACTATTAGAAAAAAATGAAGTTTTATAATTCACACTGAAAACTTGTTCTGAGTAACAACCTTAGAAGTAAAGCTGTCTTCTAAGGAAACGTAGTTATTTCAATTTTGTGTAAAAAGAAAAAGTGATGAGTATTGGCCTTCCTTTTGTATTACTGTTCTTAAAATTTGCCTGCCTTGAATTAAAAACCTTCTGTAAATGAAAAGATTGCTCAGTCTTTTCCTGAAGTACTTGTCATTGTAGTTATGAGATTTTGGCTGGCAAGTATACATCCTACTGTGCCTTAAAGTTCTAGGTGCTCTGTAAAGATGAGTGCAGTAGTATTTTATTTCTGAAACATATTTATGAAGATAAAATTGGAATATGCAGTGATTCCAAAAAATAAAGTTTTTGGATATAAAACTTGCCAAATCATTTCTTGTTGACCAAAATGATATTTAGCTAGTTCTTTGAGAATTTGCTATGCACTTACTAAGTGCTTGAAGGCCTGTCAGATTAAAGGGAAGAGACAAAGGCAATCAGTTATTATTTCTTACTCTTTTGTAAGGATTGTTGATATTAACAGATCTCAATTTTGCGGTCTTACAAGAAAGACACAGCGGACATTTTACCAATTCAGCTGAGCCATTTGCTATCATCTTTGTTTGCATATTGCTGGTTTAGTCAGCCTTTGAGTAAGCAAAAGCTGTATTTACTTCTAGTCTGGTCTGTGTGAAAAATCTAATGAAGACTTTTCTATTTTTTTTTTTAACTTTTTTAAGGTGGTGATCCATAAGAGAAAAATCAAGAGGCACACAAATAAGCGGCATAATTAAGATCTTATTTATTAAAGAGAAGTAGAGGAATTTGGTTTCTTAAATTTAAGAAGCTGGTACAGTTAAAGTAGTATAGATATTGTTTATGTATTTTCTTACGTGATAGAGACTGAAGTGGAGTTTCAAGGAGAAGGGAGAAGGGGGGGTAAAAAGAAGAGAACCAAGAAAAGACCAGAACAATTTATTAAGTATTTCCCTCTCCACGTTTTTCCTTCCATAAGATTGAATGTAAGTTTGAACTGACCCATCAGAATTAAATTTAGAATTAGTGATTTATAGAACTTTAGTGCTGAAAGTGACTGAAGATTGTCCAACTGCCTCACTTTTATAGATGAAGAAACAGTGGCCCACAGAGGTCCTGTGATTTGCTTGAGGTCATGCAGTACCTAATGGCAGGGCTTCGCAGTCTGGAACTGCTTGTGCCAGTCACAAGTGATGCTTTGTTTGAAATGCTCTATATTTCCTTAAGAGTAAATAAAACCTTAATTAAGATGTTTGGTGATAATCTTGGTGATAAGTTGCAACCAAATGGATCAACCAATGATTTTGAAAATGTAGTTTTCTTTTTCATCAGAAAGATGATGCATTCATTTTATTTCTACAACAACTTTTTGTTTTTCACTGTTAGAATTTTTTTGTTCATGACTGCTTATTTTAAGATGGCTTTAGATGGAAATATGAAGAGGTGGGAATTAAATTTGAGCTTCTAGATACAAAGACAGTTTTATTTCTGCTTTAGTTTTAGCTCATATATATATATATATATATATATATATATATATTTTTTTTTTTTTTTTTTTTTTTTTTTTTTTTTTGAGACGGAGTTTCACTCTTGTTGCCCATGCTGGAGTGCAATGGTGCAATCTCGGCTCACTGCAACTTCCGTCTCCCGGGTTCAAGCAATTCTCCTGCCTCAGCCTCCCAAGTAGCTGGGATTACAGGCATGCGCCACCACGCCCAGCTAATTTTGTATTTTTAGTAGAGACAGGGTTTCTCCATGTTGGTTAGGCTGGTCCTGAACTCCCGACCTTGGGTGATCCGCTCACCTCGGCCTCCCAAAGTCCTGTGATTACAGGCACAAGCCACCGTGCCCATCCTTGCCTCATATTCTTTTAGGAGGGCAAATATTGTTTAATGTGATACCTTGTTATACTAAAATATGTGTATGTGTAAAACTTTGCATGTGACTTTACAAAATCCAGAGGTGTCTAAGCTTTAACATTACACTTATCTTAAATTTGACCTTATTATAAGATAGTAATCTCATTTTATTTATCTTTGTCACATCTTCTCCTCCTCCTTTGAAATAAGAGAATTGTTTGGTATATACAAAATCTTTTGTCTGTTAACTTTTTGGTGTGTTTTATTGGGGTGGTTGGAAATTCTCTAGGTCTGAAATTCAGATTTTTAATGGTTTATGCATAACTGCTGAATCTCCTAAATTTCTGAGTGCCCTAACTCAATTCGGTGCGAAATCGTCCACAGTGTGGCCATCATTGTCCTAAAAAACAAAAAGCACAAAAGGCTAGGAACATGGGCTTTATCTTCATAAACTTAAATTCCTGTTGGGAAAACAGGGCTTGTTAACAAGTGAAGTAAAGAACAGAACCAACCACTGACTAGGTAAATTCAGATTCAGATTGCCTAGAGATAAAAGATGACTGAAAGAATACTCAGGAGAGTTTATCTTGAAGGAATGATGAATGCTGAACGTTGAATAGCATTTACCTATGTTAAGAAGAGTGTCTTCGTCAATAAGAATAAGAATATACGCTGTTTGAGAGGAGAAAGGTTTTATTCTGTTTTTCTGTCTTTTTCAACCTTTGACAAAGTACCAAGCACATATGAGTAGACAGGTATTATTTGTTGTATTAAACCTTTGGCTACTCTTTTTTGCCATCTTACGTGACAAATTCAGTTGGCCATCTTGCTGAAGTTAAAGATGGCACATCTTTAAAAAGCATGTGGCCCTCAGCTTAATCTCTGACTGGTGTCTGCATGTTGTAGGTAATACTATGATAGTATTACCTTTAAAGCTGTAATTGTCAACCTTTGGTGTAACAAAGAATCACCCAGTTTTAACTCAGAAATTCTGATTCATTAGGCGTAGGATTTGCTTAAACAATCAGCATTTTTTACTGTGTACCCTAAATGATTATGACATAGGTGCTTATATGCCACATTTTCAGAAAGAGAGTTTACAGGTTTAAGGCTATGAAGAGGAATTAGCTATTTTGCCTTTAAATATTTGAAGTTTTAGGCAGCAATGCTATTTTGAAGCCCATAGCCTCTAGTAAGGAAGGAAAGCAACTAGAGTACTTTATTATCAGTATTAGAACCCATTTGGGCTCCTTTCCCATCCCAGTTATCCCTTTCTCTAGTCTGTTTTTTTTTGCTGTGCTATATGTTGTTCAACTATGTGGCTATCCGTCTTTCCTTTTCTCTGATCCACCCCCGAAACCTACTGCCATATTGGCCATAATAAATAATCTTTGTTTTTTAATGTAATTAACCTATTTTTTATTTCTCAGTGAACTCTTCCAGTGTTAGTTGTTTTGGTTCCAATTGTTGCTTCTTGGTTTCCCTCTCCATACTCTTACTCCTGGGGCTTTAGGAAAAACACCCCCTTACTGATTTAGGGTGGCATTTACAGCCTTTTGAAAGCTCTTCTCTCTTGAGAAATACACTATTATTATTTGTAATATTTTTGTTTTCTTTCTTTTTTTGGGGGGAGGGCAGGGGTGACTTAAAGACTAGCACAATAGTATGTACTTGTTTGAGTCTGGGAGGAAGTAACTTTTTTTTTAACCCTGTAATGCTTGGATATGATTTTTGAAGCTTCTTCAGATATTTAACTGCATCTTTGATTGCATATTTGTAGGTTTTGCCTAACATTACATCTCATCTAATGGGACATTGTTAGGTATTCACTGACTTGGATAAATGAGAAGAAAATTCCCCTCATTTGAATTGTTTGAAGATAATCATTGCTTCCATAAATTAGCCAGACTATTTTGCTCCTTTACTTAGGAGCTGCTTCATATAAATGGTTGAAATTAAGTTAGTACCATTATTGAGTCAACTCCAATGATTAGGACAGTTTCCAACTATCTGAACAATCTTCCTTCCATTAGTATGGAGAACCTACAAAAGAGTTTTTTGTGTCTTGTCAAATGAGCTGTATACTATAATAAAAGTGGCTGTTGAGCAGTACTACAAATGTCTTTTCTGGTCATGGTTCTAAGCACCTTAAGTTATTATATGAGGAAAATAACTCATTGTGTGCTATTTGCTTTGTTGACAGAGAGGGAGAAATTATGCAGCTGAGCTTTGGATATACAAATTTCTATGCAGAAATGTTTTGATTCCTTCTCTTCCAGGTATTAACATCATCCTCATTGTCAGAGCCCTCTTGCCTTCTATAGTTTGTATGAAGATTGGTTTAACAATTTTTATATTAAAAGCTATCAAAGTGATATATGCACACCATTCAAAATTTAATTCATAGGTCTATAATGAAAAGGAGCCTGCCTCCTCTGCCCCTTCTGACTCTCAGTCCTGCTGTCCAAAGGTAACCACTTAGAGAAGTTGTTTTTATTTTTTAAGTTTGTGTTTTCATGTGATTTGTCCTCGTCCTGTGTTCTACTCTATATATTAGAAGCTCTTCAAAGTAGCAGGCACCAGTATGACTTTACATGCTGCAGTATCTACGTGATAGATGCCCAGTCATATAGTGATCATTATGTCTGGGCTGTTACATGGTACAATTTTAAAAATATAAATATAATTAAAGAAAATTAGTTTCTGGGTTTAGAAAACAATCCCATAAATAGTAAAACTATAAAATTTTATAATAAAACTATTAAAATGAAGTGTAACAATTTATGTACATCTTATTTTTTATATCAAAATACTAAATGGAAGTTTAGTATTGTAATGGGGCAATTCATTATTTTTTCTTTAAAAATGAAATGTGCATGTAGGAAAATATATATAAAACATAGAGTTTAAATAAAATTATAAAGTGTTACAACATGGGTAAATATTTTGTATTTTATTTAAACAGTTTTGCCTCATATTTATAAGTATCTTGAGAAACAACCCATGTTAAGAAATATAGAGTATGTCTATTACCCTAGAAGGCCCCCACTCCTATTCATGTTTGTTTCCTTTAAAAAATAACTACTATGCTGACTTTTGCGATAATCTTTTCTTTATAGTTTTACCTCTTTGAACTTTATACACATGAATCACACCATATATTCTGTAGTGACTTTGCTTCTTTCATTCAGCTTTGTGACTTATGTTACTTTTCGTTGCAATATAGTATTCCATTGTTTGTCTGTACCAGAATGTATTTATTCTCTCTTGTTGATGGCATTAGATTATTTTGAGCTTGGGAACACTTGTACATGGTTCCCCGGGACATAAATGTAGAAGTTCTGTAGAGCAGTATCTTCACATTGAGGGATGTGAAGGCTTTGCAGAGTATAGATAGTTTAATGTAATTTAGAGTTCTTCATTATCTTTCCTAGGATCAGATATCTGCCGATGATGACTTCTAACCCATTCAGAATCTTTCTATGGTATATTGCCCTGGGGTGTAAAATCCTCCAGGACCCTAAACAGATGGACAGTTGATGCATTTCAGGGTAAGCTGTAGACAACAATATATTTGACCCCTGAAACAATTCAGTATGCTTGTCATTTGTTAACTAGAGTTATTTCAAACATAATTTTGAATAAAAAATAAATTTTAATAAATACATGTTCCCAATTATGCATATAAAAGCAATCCTACTATCTTGATATATATGTAGTAAAGTTATAAAAATATATAACAGAGAAGATACCAATTTTAGAATAGTTGACAAGTGGGCACTGTAGCTTATGCCTATAATTTGAGCACTTTGGAAAGCCTAAGTGGGAGGATCACTTGAGGCCAGAAATTCGAGACCAGCCTGGGCAACATAGCAAGACCCTGTCTCTACAAGTAGAAAAAAAAAATTTTTTTTTAAGTTAGCCAGGTGTGGTGTCACACTCCTGTAGCTCCAGCTACTCGAGAAGCTGAGGCAGGAGGATTGCTTGAGCCCAGGAGTTAATGCTACAGTGAAATATGATTGCACCACTGCACTTCAGCCTGAGTGACAAAACAAGAATCTGTCTCTTAAAAAAAAAAAAAAAGAAAAGAAAAGAAAAAAAAATCAAACTTAGAATAGTCAAAGAAGGAATAAAATGAGACTGGAGAGGGATATTAGAGGAAGCTTTAACTGTAGATGACCTTTTTTTCTTAAAAACAAAACAGAAAAACAAAAACAAACAAACTATGGTAAAATATAAAGCTAGGTGGTAGATAGATGAATCCTCTTTGGTTTAACTGTTTCATAATACTCTTTTTTTTTTTTTTTTTTTTTTTTGAGACAGAGTCTTGCTCTGTCGCTCAGGCTGGAGTGGAGTGGCACAATCTCGGCTCTCTGCAACCTCTGGCTCCTGGGTTCAAGTGATTCTGCTGCCTCGGCCTCCGAAGTAGCTGAGATTACAGGTGCCCACCATGGCGCCTAGCTAATTTATCTTTGTATTTTTTTAGTAGAGATGAGGTTTTGCCATGTTGGCCAGGCTGGTCTTGAATTCCTGACCTGAAGTGATCCGCCTACCTTAGCCTCCCAAAGTCCTGGGATTACAGGTGGGAGCTACTGCACCTGGCCTCATAATACATTTTTATCTGTAAGCTATAGTTTATTTTTGCCCCACATTTATAAGTATCTTGAGGAATAATGTTTAATTTGACCGGTAGTAAAAGCTGACTTGAAAGAATGTGGCAATAAACTTTGCATCAGAGCCAGGGGCACTGAGATGCACCTGTAGTCCCAGCCACTTGGGAACTTGAGGTTGAAGGAATGCATGACCCCAGGAGTTTGAGACCTGGGCAACATAGTGAGACCCTCCTATTTCAAAAAAATGAAAACTCTGCATCAGTTAAAAATGGGATCAGGCACGGTGGCTCAAGCCTGTAATCCCAGCACTTTGGGAGGCCAAGGCAGGTGGATCACTTGGGCCCAGGAGTTTGAGACCAGCCTGCAAAATACGATGAAACCCCTTCTCTACTAAAAATACAAAAATAAGCCAGGCATGATGGTGAGTGACTGTAGTCCCAGCCACTTGGGGAGCTGAGGTGGGAGGATCACTTGAGCCCAGGAGGTCAAGGCTTCACTGAGGCATGTTCGTGCCACTATACTCCAACCTGGGCAACAAAGTAAGACCTTGTCTCAAAAAAAAAGTTAACTGCCTATTTCAGCAAGAGGGATTGGGTAGATTCAGATGTAAGTGTTATAAGACTGTGTGTCTGTCCCAAATAACTAAGAAGATCTAGGCATACTTCTAGATGAATAAATAGTAATTTCCAGTTGAGATCCATTAACAAATTGGAGCTTTAGTTACCTAGAAGTAATTTAGTTAGGTTTCATCTTCAGAATTATCCCACATTCAAATACTTCTCAAAAACACATTTCAAAACAAAAACATTCATAAAATAATTAGTATAGTATTAACATCCATGAACTTTTAAGTAGCTAATAGATTGTTGAATCTAACCAGATTTACTGGTATATTCAGTGTTTCATCTTGCTTCCTGATCAGTGTTTCATGTAGCTTCCTTAGAATTCTTACTGTAATGGTAGCAATTTCTGAATCTTTAGTGATTTTTGTTGTTGTCATTATAAACTAGATATACATTCTTCAGGTAAAGCTTTCAAAATTTAACAATGTAAATGTGGAAACTGCTATAGAAAGTGAAAACATAGATCTTAACCCAGGTTTTTACTTTCATCATCCCTTGGCTCTCTTTCCTGAAATACTTCCCATAGTGTATGTATAAGCAGTGGCATGGACAAAGAACAAATGGAAATAGAAGTCATAAGATTTCATTGTCTGAGGGTTCCTATAAAGTCATGTAATTAGAGGTCTCTTAAATTTTTATTATATACCTTTTGATCTATATTATTATTGATTCATTCAGCAATTATTGCCTGTTACATATTATTCTTGATGTTGGGATATAGCAATGAACAAAAAATAAAAACTATTCATAAATTATATGCATATATTTTACTAATTAACCTCCATTTAAAATGTATTATAATTATATAAAGATTAGAGAAACATAGATAAACTAGATTAGTTTTCGATGTGCTACATGTGATCTAAGGCAAGGAAAGTGTGCACACACACACACACACATACACCTCATACCTATATGTATTTTTTTGGGGGGGTGGGGGGGAGATAGGGGTGTAGCCCTCTCGCCTAGGCTAGAGTACAGTGGTACAATCATAGCTTGCTGCAGCCTCAAACTCCTGGGCTCAAGCAATCCTCCACCTCAGCCTCCCATGTAGAATTACAAGTGCATACCACTATGACGTGCAAATTTCTTTTCTGTGTTTTTTTTTTTTTTCCTTTCTTTCTTTCTTTTTTATTTTATTTTTTTATTGGTGGGTATGCGGTCTGGCTATGTTGTCCAGGCTGGTCTTAAACTCCTGGGCTCAATCGATCCTCTTATCTTGGCCTCCCAAAATATTGGGATTACAGGCATGAGCCACCATGCTTGGCCCAAAGCATGTATATTTAACAGCATTATTTTTAATCAAGGAAAAAAAAAATCCCAGGGAGTTTTTTTTTTTTTCAATATGCTATTCTGAGAAAAGACTCCTTTAAAGGGCATATAATAAGTAATAATATCCTGTAAGTAAAAAACATATATTGATAAATATGACCTAGGAAAACAAAGGCTCTTTGTGGTCCTCAATACATTTTAAGAATATAAAGGGATCTTGACACCAAAAAGTTTGAGAACTGCTGCACTATTGCAACTAGTAATTTAAATATCATTCTTAGAGTTTTACATTATTAAATTGAAGTTTAAAAAAATGCAAGCTTTCTAAACCAGAACTAGAGTAAAAACATTAATTCGAAGTTTTTTTTCCCAATGAGAAAAATCATAGACTGTCACCTTTACCATTTATTTACTTGTGTCTCCTAGCCCTTTCCACGAAGAATAACCAATTCTTTAAAATTGGGAAGTATATTAAAGTATTACATTTAAAATTAAAATATATTAAACTTTCTAGCAAAGGAATGCAAATTAAAGTCAAATAGCCCCCCTGTGTTTTTATCCATCATATTGGCAGTAGTTCAAGCATTGTGGGTTGTTGCAAATGATGTTAAATGTCCATGCAGGTATTCTGTTGCTAACAGTATAAACTGAAAAAATCTTCTGCAGGGCAGTTGGCATTATGATATCAAATGCTTTGAAAGTCTATGTGCCTTTCAGTTCTTGGTGTAGGTATCCTAAAGAAAATTTAAGGATGGGACCAAAGATTCAGTTGTAAGGATATTTGAATCGTTCGTTGTGATTGTGTAGCAGTTCTCAAACCTTATACTTTTTTTTTTCAAGCTTTATGATCTTTGCATCGTCTTTATACTATTAAAATTGAGGCTCCCAAAGAGCTTTGGTTCATGTGGGTTACATTTACCAATATTAACCAATGTTAGAAATTAAAACAAACTTGAAAAATATTAATATATTTATTTAAAAATAATACGCCCATTACATTTTAACATAATTATTTTTATAAAGGACAAGTTTGAGCCAGGTATGGTGACCCAAGCCTATAGTCCAGCTACTTGAGAACCTGAGGCAGGAGGATTGCTTGAGCCCAGGAGTTCAAGTCCAACCCAGGCAACATAGCAGGACCCTGTTTTTTTTAAAAAAAAAAGTGCAAAAAAGACAAATATGTTTCCCAAAACAAAAGCTGTACTGAGAAGAGTGTAAATCTTTTAGCTTTGACTTCACAGAAGACAGCTATATTCTCATATTTGCTTTTGCATGAAATCTGTTGGAATATGTTGCTTTTGTTGAAGAATATGAAGAAAATTCAGCCTCACACAGATGTCTAGTCACAAAAAGTAGATGTATTTTAATGGCCACTTCAGATAATTGTGGATATTCTTTGATACTACACCAAAGCTCATCAACAAATGCTAGTTTTTTAAAAGTTAGAACAATGAGATTCTGAAAACCTATGAATGAACTTTTTGTCCCCTGTAACATTAAAATCCATAGGTCTGTCTTGTACTTTGAATGGATTGATTTTTTTTTTTTTAACCTAAGCAAGATTTTGTAACATCATGCGTGAGTCATTTGGGTATTGCAAATGTTGACATAGTATCAAAATCACACCAGTCTCATCAGAAAAGCCTTTTAAGTGTATTGAGAAGCCAACAGAGTCAAAGCGGTAGATACATACAAGTTTTCCAAAATTCTGATTTTCAGTTGAAAGCTTGCATTTTATAATTGGTGACAATTGCTGTTAGTTGTTTTCCTTGAAGTGATGGGCATGCTTTATTAATTTTTGGAAAAATTTCTGCCAGATATCCAATTCTGAATAATAATTAGTTCTTTTAAGTAAAAATTACATTTCATGAAAGCAGCAGCTAGTTTGGCTCACAGGTCGAAGAATAATAGCATAAATGCTTTTTCTCAAGACAACAATGCTATTTCTGTTTATGCCAGAAGTAGTACTTTATTTGTACCTCCAATTTTATCACTCAGAATATTAAAAACATATGTATTTAATGGTTGAGATTCAAGAAAATAGTTTTTACTCTTCTTCAAAGACATTCTTAAGTGAAGTCGCCTTTTTAAAATGTGAGTGCCCAGTGGTAAGGAGTAGACTCATGGCTTGAGGGTGCAGCCTTGGTCAGGGCAGAGGCACTCGCAGTTTCATCCTGCTTTGCTTTTGCATCATCAGGGCAAGTGTCAACACAGTGGAAAAGCCAAATAATACCTTGCCATTATTATGAAAAGAGTTGTGATCTCAGGAGCCCCCTGAAAGGGTCTCTGGATCCTTTGTGGGTCTGAGGATTACATTTTGTGAATCGCTGTGAATAATGCAGCATTAGAAATAATACAAATGTCTAAAAATTAGGGGTTGATTAAATAAATGTTATATGGAAGAAATATACTTTTATTAAAGTTTATGTTAAATACAAGCTTATAACACAGTATTTTTCTGTTTTTGGCACCTCTCTAATGAGGAAATCAACATTCGTCAAAGAAAGTGAAGGCGTTGGTTCTGAGTCTCAGTGCTTCCATTTAGTTGATGCCTTTGTGATTAAGAAAAGGGAAGTTGAATAGCAGGAGGGGGCAGTTACTGGCTTCTCCAGTAGGCTAAGGGATGTTTGTATAGCAACCTTATTTTTACAGCAAAAGGAATTGGCAGTGGTATCAATCATTTTTTGATACTTAATAATAATATGTGGAATGTGCCTTCAAATGAAGTTCCTCCAGTAGACTCAATTTATATTTAGGCATTTTCTGATTTACATTTTCCCGTTGTGTTCTTCTTAATTGAAAGAGCTTTCAGTTGCTGCATATTATTTAACTTCAGACTGAATTAAAGAAATGAGTTATAAGCAGGTTAGAAGGATACTGTTGAGTTGAGCCCCTTGGGCTTCCTGCTAAGACCTCCACACAGGGCGTTTCTGAGGTGTATTATCTGTACTCTGCAGCAGGGAGGAACACTTTTTGTGAGCGGCATCATTGAAGATAGGATGCTTTGTGCATCCGAGATATTTCTCTGTTATAGTGGAAGCCTAATAATAATCATGACTTGTCTTGAGTAAGGTTTAATATTTTCCTAAGCACCAAGTTCTAAGGAGGGTTTGATGTTTAAAGTTCCTTTCCAAATAGCCATTGTGTTTATTCAAAATTTTATGTTTTAGATAAACTTGGGTAAAGTATGCTGGAAGAATATATACAGCATGCTATGTACATAAAGTTTTAAAATATACTATACAAAATGTACGTATGTACTAAATTATAAGGAAAAATACCATTAAGATTTTAGATTTAAGTTTGAATAATTAATTCGAATTAATGTTACATGTGTTTTAGTTTGAAGGGCAACTTAAAAAGTTTGTATTTAGACATAAGGTATATTGTGTAAATTATTTTATTCAAAATGTTTTCATGGTATGAACGTTGCAAACTAGACATCGTGCCTGATCCTTTGATCTGTAGATCAGAGAAAAACTTGCATATTGTTATAGGATAATTTACAACCTGTTAGTCTTAAGAATAAACTGAAAGGAAGATGTAATACTTATCTGCCCTTGGTAGAACAGAACAGTTACACATCGTTAACTGTGTTTGATTGTTGGGTAGGTGATGGACACTAGGTTCTCTGCAGCTGCTCTGAGACTCCCCAACTCACTCCCCATCCTGCCCCCCAGTTAGGGTTATTTCACTAAGCATCAGAGCCAGAGGATAGGGGAGGGGAGCTAATGTGTAAGGAAATGGGTGATGTTCTTCTTCCTTCATTCTTCCTTCATGGTTTGGGGAACACTTACTCCTTATTCCCTAGATATTGGGGACAATTTAGCCAATACATTTACAAGTGAGAGCAGAGATATACTAAAGATATGCTAGGAAGGCACTAATAATTCTTAGACTCCTATAAAGAATGAGCAAGATCCTTCTGGTTGAAAAATACTGGGTAAAAATGAAATCGTTTTTCAAAGCCATTCATTTAAGAAATGTTACTTCAGGAGCCTACTACCATGCTTACAGCTGATTATTAGGTATATGTTAAGTTCTCTTTAGGAAAGAGAGGTCACAGGAAGCTGAAGATGGACTTCTGTGAAGTAAAATATGAAGAGTGGTTTTGGACATTGACCTAGAATGGAATAGCACTAAACTCTGGTGGAATTGTAATTGTGGCAACTTATGCTTATTATAGCCTAGGTAAATATTGACCAATATGAATGGATAAGATAGCTGCATTTTGCCCAAGTTTATGATACAGAATATGAATCATATGAGTAATGAATTGAATTCATTCTTAAGGATTGATTATTAGTTTGGGAGGCAGCTTGGCATGGTGAAAGGTGAGCACACCTTAGTTATAATTAACTGGAAGGTTGGTTAACATGACTTGAAGCAGGCAGGATTCACCTATGGAGAACAGAGTTCTATTTGGTTGTATATAGTTGAATATATATGAGTAAATAACATGAGCCAAGTTTGGGATATACAGGAAGTGAGAAGGGAGTAGAGATAGTTTGGTTGGGGGATATAAATTGTAGTACAGGAGAGTGCTGATAAGAAGCCATGGTAAAAATGACCAAAGATCAAAGATGCAAGTTATCAGTCCTGCTTTGTTGATAGTCAGTTGCTTAAAGGTTGTTTTTTTTTTGTGGTAGGTTTTTTTTTTTTTTTTTTTTGGATAGGTATAGCAGAGGTTGGGGGGAGGGTCACATATCAAGGTGGTCAAGTGTTACTTATGTAAACAGTTGGGTAAAATAGTTTGAGGGCCTGTTCTGTTGTTTAGACACTTGGTTTTTTACTCAGTCATTGTGGTTTTCAAATCTTAATTTGTGTGGTGTTTGCTCCTAAGAATACTTCTTCAAAAGACTATAAATGAGTCTTTGCGTGCATATTGAATCTTAGATCCCAAGACCAAAATACTTTTTTATTGGCTCTGTTTGCATAAACACTCTTCACCATTTATATGTTTGTGCTACTGTACTTTCATATATTTTCACACAAACTATTGGACTATTTATAAAACAAGACATAAAGATGTAACAGAGAAGGCAGGAAATACTTGACATTTGTGTGCCATATCTTACTCTGTGCTTCCTGTCAGTTAAACCACGATGAGAGGAACAGAGACACAGATGTACAATTGCTGCTTTAATTTGCCACTGGGGAGACCAGTTAAGCATAAAGCTAGTTTTATTAAACTTTTGTCACTTGTTGATTCGAGGGACGTTGTAGGCTTGTTTGGTATTATATGGATTGTATGCATCATGTGGTGGCAATTAGATGTTTGCTACAGCACCTAATAGGAACATATATCTTTTACATATTTAAAAGGTATTTACTTTTGTGACATTTTTTAGGCCATAAAAAAATTGGCATTTGAATTCATATATTTGATATAAATTCACTATGAAATATTAGGCTAATATTTTGATCTTGAAATTTTAGTATCTAATTATTAACTTTTATGTATTAGTATATCAGGATTCTGTAAAACTTTCAAAGCATTTTGTAGTTTACCAAGTAAATTCTTACTTGGTACAACTTCAAGATGAAAGATGAAATGGAAAGTTATAGAGGTTGACTTATCTAAGAAAATACAGTTAGTAAATGATGTTCAACTACAACTTGAATGCAGGTGTTCTGATGGTAGATCCTGTATCCCTAATGTTAGGGAAAAGGTTTGTTTTCATTAAATTCCTATTCTACCTGTTTCTCAGTGATTTTAACTTTTAGGGTCACCTTTGCTTATTCTTCCCAGAATATCCCCCACCCCCTTTCCTTTCATGTTCTCTCTCCTTGGAAAAAAACAGATGTGGGCTATTTCTTTAGAAATAAGTAACATGTTACTTCCTTATGAAGTTTTTTCAGGTTCTCACAGGTATTTACCCCTCTCTATTCATTCTGTCATCTTTTGGTTGACTTGTTTATTTACATTGTTTTGTAATTATCTGTTTACATTGTTTCTTTTTAGATGTTGAACCACTTTGGGACAAGGATCATATCTTATTTATCTTTATTTTTGTATACCCAGTAAATGGCATATAGTAGATTTCATAAATACTTGTTGGGGGAATAAATACATGCCTGATATTTATTTTCTTTTTTCTAGAATCATAAACTGGTTAAAGAACTATAATGTGAATCTTTTCTACAGGTTGCCTTTATGGTTTATTTCTAAGAAATAATTTTATTGTAAAAGTTATTTTGTACTTCAGCTCCACCCACCCCCAGTTTGTTTTTGCTGTTTATGGAAATGAGATATCTTAGTGAAATTATTAGTGTTTTCATCCTAGTTAAAAGTGGAGATAACATATTGGTCCATTAAAAAATGTAGCTGAAGAGCTTAATTATTTTAGCTCGCTAAGCATCAAAAATCTCTTACTTTTGGCTTCAATCTGGAAAAAATGTCTAGCCATTCATTGTGGTCCTGATATCTCCACTGAATAAATGGAAATAATAATTCTCTTTATTACTTTTTGCTTCTCCCTGTATTATTTTCTGTTGTCACCAAGTTTTTTGTGCCTCAGTGATTGGAGGGTTATAAATTGCAGTCGTCTTGTCAACAGAGCAATAATTTTCACAAATAGGACTTTAGCTTAGATCTGGCCATTCTAGGAATGTCTTATAAAGTTTATATATTAACAGTTTTTCCAGCCAAAAATTGATAGAAGTTACTATGTCTTTTTAAACAATAAATCTAAATGATCAAAGTCAAATTTAAGGATTTAATTTTTAAGATTGAAGGAAAAATTATGAAGCTATATGAATTTAATTTTTAAGGAGTTTTAGAAGAACCAAATAGTTATTTTGTTTATTAAAACTTAGGTAGACATGTGGAAAATAGTTTATAGGGTTTTTGAGTGTCCTTTTACATGTCAGACCTCCCTTTTTTGTGCTCTTTGTTGGGGGGTGTTGATGTATTTCTGAGTTTGGATCAGAAAAATACATATATGTACGTCACTTTGACAATAGTCAGTGAAGCTTAGCTTACCACCAGTTGGTTCTGGGAAGCAAGTACATGCATCATGTGAAATTCTATAGAATGCTAAAACAAACATATGAAAACACTAATCTTTTACTGTTTAATGAAGAATTTTAGTAAGTAAATATTAAGAAAATAAAAGGTCCTTTGATCTTGACCTAGTTTGACTTTTTAATATACACTTTACTTAATATTCTTTTAAACTGTGTTTATTAATATATAGAAAAATTTATTATATGTCTTTTGTTTTCAAGTAGCTTATAATCTTAAGAGATGGGACATAGTAAATAATTACTGAATTACATGGGAGAATGAACTTTGCCCACTTCTGCTATAGCATACATATTACTATGATTTGCATTTGCCTTAGTTGATAGATTGTAAGCGCCTGTAGGGAAAGTCTTCTTAGCTACTTGTTGCTTTCCTACCCTTCTCCCTTACCCACAAGTGTCTGGCAGATAGGTCCCTAAAGAGTGCTTGTCCAAAAGAATATAGACGACACTGATTTATTTATTTATTTATTTTTTTGAGATGGGACTTGCCTTTTTTTTTTTTTTTTTAAGGTAAGGTCTTGCTCTGTGGAGTGCAAGTGGCTCTAACCTCAGCCTCCGAAGTAGCTGGGACCACCAGCTCATGCCACCATGCCCATCTAATTTTTAATTTGTGTTGAGATGGGTTCTCGCCATGTTGCTCAGGCTGGTCTCGAATTCTTGGCCTCAAATGATCCACCCACTCTGGCCTCCCAAAGTGCTGGGATTACAGGCATGAGCCACTGCACCTCGCCCTGATATGATTTCTGCAGGCCATCTACTATTAAAATATAGGAAAAGACAATATAGGAAGAATTATTTCTTCTTCTCCAGGTATTTCTATTTATAAAGGGGATGTTTTTAAAAATCCCAGTACACAGTGTCACATTTCAGTTGGCTCAAAGTCAAAATTAAATCAAAATGAAGGCGTTGAGGTTACCCCTAAGTAAATCAGCTTTACCTGGAACAGCCTCCTTTTGGATTTATCTGTACCTATTTCCCCCCCAGATTTTCCCTTCCCCTCACCTTATATACTCACAGATCGTCTCTGAAAGGTAAAAAAACTTCTCCCCACAACTCTTAGTCCCCCATTTACTGTAGGAGACGTCACATTCTCTGTGTCCAGTTGTCAGGGGTTGGATTGTAACTAGGAGTTAGATATTGAACGAGAGAGACAGAAGTTTCTTTCATGGGTTTTAAGATAACAGCCTATGTTGCCTGACAATCCCCATTTTTTTTTTTCTTTGAAGCAAGGTCTTGCTGTTTTGCCCTGCTTGGAGTAAGTGGCTGTCTATAGTTGTGATCACAGTGCACGGCAACCTTGAACTGTTGGGCTGGAGTGATCTTCCTGCTTCAGCCCCCTGCTATGGGAGCGTGCCACTGCATCTGGCTTTACATTTTTAAAGCAGAATATTTTGAGGGGAAACAGAATGTTGTGATTAAGATCACTAGATTCTAAGCCCTATGAGGGCACAAATTTTGGTCGGTTTGTTCACTGCTGTATTCCCAGCACTTAGAACAGGGTCTCTCACGTTGTATGTCTGTTCTTATGCCAACCACGCTATTTTGGTTATTATAGCTTTATATTCTATTTTGAAGACTTGTAGTGTGGTGCTTCCAGCTTTGTTATTTGCTATTTGAGATCTTTTGTGGTTCCACAAAATATGGATGTGGTTCTCTTTTTAAAAAAAAGATAGATGGAGTCTTGCTATGTTGCCTGGGTTGGTCTCAAACTCCTGGGCTCAAGTGATCCTCCCATCTTGGCATCTCAAGGTGTTGGGATTACAAGCATGAGCCACCATGCCCAGCCTTCATATAAATAATAATTAAAAAAAAATGTTGGCCAGGCACAGTGGCTCACGCCTGTAATCCCAGCACTTTGGGAGGCCGAGGCAGGTGGATCATGAGATCATGAGTTCAAGACCAGCCTGGCCAACATGGTGAAACCCCATCTCTACTAAAAATACAAAAATTAGACAGGCGTGGTGGTGGGCACCTGTAATCCCAGCTAGTTGGGAGGCTGAGGCAGGAGAATCGCTTGAACCCGGGAGGTGGAGGTTGCAGTGAGCCGAGACTACACCATTGCACTCTGGCCTGGGCGACAGAGTGAGACTCTGTCTCAGAAAAAAAAAAAAAAGTGTTTTTCCTATTTCTGTGAAGAATGTCATTGGTATGTTGATACAGATTGCATTGAATCTGTAGATTTCTTTGCGTTGTATCTAATTATTTATTTTATGATTTATTTTTATCATCTTTCCTAATCTCCTTGAGGACGTGTCAGATTTTTGTATCTATGCAGAGATATCAGTAGTTATTAGAGATGTTTAAGGATTAAATAAAAAGCAGTATACTGTACATGTTTTACTTTGTAAACCATAAAGAACTTATTAGACATTAGGTATTGCTAGTAAATAATAATATAAATAAACCTTATTGTGATATTGTACAATTCCTGGATGTGTCTTTATAGTAAAGTATTTTTTTAAATCTAGTAAGTGCCCATTACATCTACTGAGACAACTTTGAATTCTTGAACTTTCCAAGAGTACAACAAAGCGATAAAGCAGAAAACACCTCTGATAAAGACCCAGGTTCGGCCCAGTGTGGTGGCTCACGCCTGTAATCCCAGCAATTTGGGAGGCCGAGCAAGCGGATCAATTAAGGTCAGGAGTTCAAGACCAGCCTGGCCAATGTGGCGAAACCCCGTCTCTGCTAAAAATACAAAAATTAGCCCGGTGTGGTGGCGTGCCTGTAGTTCCAGCTACTCCAGAGGCTGAGGCAGCGGGAGAATTGCTGGAGATAATGACACTGTGCTTTAGCCTGCCAAACAGAGTGAGACTCTGTCTCAAAAAAAAAAAAAAAAAAAAAAAAAAAAAAAGCCAGGTTCAATGCAGCCTCATTTGGTCAACTAATTATTTTTACAAAAGCATCTTCTGAATGTCACCTTGTAAGAAAATGAAGATTTTGTGAATGCTGGTGATAGCAGTCTGTATTTCAGTGACGAAGAAAGGTGGTTCTGTTATTTATATCACATATTTCTTCATTGGATAACTAAGTCAGCATCATCTATTCAAAATATTTAATACTGAGAAGATATAGTCATCCAAAGATGCAACAGTTCATATATTTCAAAGTTACACTGGTGTTCAAGTGAATGATGGGCAGTTTTGATGTTCAGTTGAATAATAAGAAGGATTATGTGGTAATTAGTCATACGTTTTCGAAAATCTTATTTTCCTATTTCTCCCCTCTTCCAATTCTTAGGTGAAGAACAAAAACATGGAGTAAATTAGGTGATTTAAAGAGTTTTGCCACACCCTGAGCAGAATAAAAAGCACTGTTGAGAATCTCTATTTTAAGTAATTAATGAAGAATTTAAGGAGGGCAGTATACACATTGGTGATGCGAAGTTTTCAATGTAGCAGTCAAGCTGTGGAATGTCTTTTTAAACTGTCCTCATCGTTTTTGGATGGTGGTTGCCACATCCCACTTACATGACTTGCATTGGGCTTTATAGTCATCGACCACCATCTATTGTTGCAACCCAGTTTGATAACCTCCAGCAACTTTTTTTACTTCTTCTCAAATCATGCCTAAATTCTACTGCCTGACTTTCTATTTCCCATTGTGAACTCTTAGCTCTTATCAGGCTGTTAACTATCTCTAAACTTTGGTCATTTTTGAGTCTCTGCATTCTTTTGTGTCGGCATTCACGTACGCATACACGCACAGACACAATATATTTTTACTATCTTTTCCTTTCCCCTTTAGTCTCTCCAACTCCTACCTTCCTTCTGAGGTTCAGTTTAGTTCCCACATTATCTGTGAAGTGTTTTCTTTACCTGTTTGACCATCTCGTCTTCTAAAATACTGCATTTATGCATTTAGTTGCTTCTCTCGGTCTTGTTGCAAAAAACAAGTTTCATGGGAACAAGGGCCATGCATTATCTTTATATTTTCCACAGTGCTGAGCCTAAGGGAAATTCAATAAATACTTAACAACATTTTACCACGAACTCCATCAATAATAGCACAGGTGCCTCTAAAATTAGATATTTGGGATCTTTTGATTAGTTCTGGATGCATCAAATAAGCATAACTAAACTATTCTTTTTTTGTTTGTTTTTGAGACGGAGTCTTGCTCAGTCGCCCGGGCTGAAGTGCCTCAGCTTTCTGAGTACCTGTGACTACATGTGTGCACCACCATGCCCAGCTAATTTTTGTATTTTTTAGTAGAGATAGGATTTCATCACGTTGGCCAGGCTGGTCTTGAACTCCTGGTCTCAAGTGATCTGCCTGCCTTGGCCTCCATAAAACAGTTTCCTATTAGAGAAAACCTAATGCCAGGATATTTGATGCACTTTAGTTAATAGTAACTGAAATGGATTCAACTGATTTAAAAATTGATTGAGAAATTATATTATGAAAGATGAAAGTCTAAATCTTTAATTGTTCTGTATATGTTTTACTTATTAATGGTATTTAAAGTTTGCTTCTATCTAAGATTTGTACAATAGTAAAATATAAAGTTAATGTATAATTTATAAATACCACATACAGGCATACATCAGTTAATGACTGGGATACATTCTGAGAAATGGATCATTAGGTGATTTCATCCTTTTGCAAAAAATCACAGAATGTACCTACACAAACCTAGATGGTATAGCCTACTACACACCTAGGCTATATGGTATAGCCTGTTCTCCTAGGCCACAAACCTGTACAGTATGTTACTGTACTGAATAGTATAGGTAATTTTAACACAATGGCAAGTATTTGTGTGTTTAAACAAACATAGAAAAGGTGCAGTAAAAACATGGGGACTACTGTTGTATATCTGCTTCATTGTTCACCAGAATGTTGTTATGTGGCAAATGACTGTATATATCTTACAGTACTAAGCCCATGGCCTTCCATATTTTCATTTCTCATCTTGTGGTTTTGCTGCTTCTTTTGTTTTGTTTTTTTGAGACAGGGTCTCTCTGTCTTCCAGGCTGGAGTACAGTGATGCTATCTCAGCTAACTGCAACCTCCACCTTTTGGGCTGAAGTGATCCTCCCGCCTCAACCTCACGGGTAAGCTGAGACTGCAGGCTCCACCACACCCAGCGAATTTTTTTATTTTTGTAGAGATGAGGTTTCACCTTTTTGCCCAGGCTGGTCTCAAACTCCTGGCCTCAAGTGATCTGACCACCTCGGCCTCCCAAAGTGCTGGGATTATGTGCATGAGCCACTGCGCCTGGCCTGCTTCTTGTTTTTTGGGTTCATTTGAGTTTAGAAGCTTAGATGATTGCCAGACAGTTACAAAGATGATTGTAGGAAGAATCTCATTTTAAAGATCCTGACATGAAACATCAGAACTCTTTGATGATATCCAAGCTGACTTAGAATCGTTTTATGTAATTTAAAGAAGAAAAGAGGATATTGAGTGTGGTGGCTCACACCTGTAATCCCAGCACTTGGGAGGCCAAGGTGGGAGGAATGCTTGAGCCTGGGAATTTGAGACCAGCCTGGGCAACATATCAAGACTCCATCTCTTAAAAAAAAAGAAAAAAGATGGCCGGGTGCAGTGGCTCACACCTGTAATTCCAGCACTTTGGGAGGCCAAGGTGGGTGGATCACAAGGTAAGGAGTTTGAGACCAGCCTGGCCAATATTGTGAAACCCTGTCTGTACTAAAAATACAAAAATTAGCCTGGCGTGGTGGCGGGTGCCTGTAGTCCCAGCTACTCGGGAGGCAGAGGCAGAAGAATCGCTTGAACCTAGGAGGTGGAGGTTGCAGTGAGCCGAGATTGCACCACTGCACTCCAGCCTGGGCAACAGAGTGAGACTCCGTCTCAAAAGAAAAAAAAAGATTAAAATAATAAATGAAGAAGAAAAGAGGTAGACTGTGAAAACAGATCATTCAGGGTTTTTTTTCACTCACACAGGGAGCAGGAAGTTTTGTGCACAAGGAATCATAAAGTCTTTCAAATGTGTTGGTAACTTGGGAAAAGATGGAAATGTTTATTTCCCTGGAGATTATGTCCTTAAACCTGGTTGCACTGTGACTTGAAAGAGGATCCTAAAATGTCACAGGAACAAAAGGTTGTGATTGTCAGAGAGTAGTTGGAAAGGTCTGGATTCGGTGGCAGTGAGTACAGACAGAAGGCCTGGAAAGAGGTAGTATATATTGGGTTCTTGGTGAGATTAAGGCAGGGCTGACTTCGGCTTCTTCAATAGTGGGATGGGGAAGTTGGGGAACTATAAAATGCAGAACTGCTGGATTGTTGTTTTTGAGATGATAGTGAAGAGTATTAAGATTGTGTTGGAGCTATAGTTTAAAAAAAAAAAAGACTTTATTTTTTAGAGCCATTTTAGATTCACAGTAAAATTGAGAGGAAAGTACAGATTTCCCATATACCTCCTGCCCCTGCACATGCATAGCCTCCCCGTTATCAGCCTCTCGCTAATCACCTGCACCAGAGCGGTGCACTTGTTACAGTTGATGAACCTACACTGACACTTTGTCACTTGAAGTTCATAGTTTACATTAGGGTTCACTTATGGTGGTGTACATTTTATGGGTTTGGGCAAATGTCACTTAGTAATAAGCATTTAAGTTTCCACATGTCTTTTTGTGGCTTGATAGCTTATTTCTCTTTAGTGCTGAATAATATTTCATTATGTGGATGCACTACAGTTTATTCACCTACTGAAGGACATCTTCGTTGCTTACAAGTTTTGGCAATTATGAATAAAGCTGCTGTAAACATCCATGTGCAGGTTTTGTGTGGACATAAGTTTTTACTTCCTTTGGGTAAATACCAAGGAGCACAGCTCTATGGTGTAAGAGTATGTTTAGTTTTGTAAGAAACTGCCAAACTGTCTTCCAAAGTGTACCATTTTGCATTCCTACCAGCAGTGAATGAGAATTCCTATTGTTCCACATCCTTGCCTGCTTTTGGTGTTGTCAGTGTTCTGGATTTTGGCCATTCTAATAGGTTTGTAGTGACACCTCATTGTCATTTTAGTTTGCATTTCCCCAGTGACATATGGTGTGGGGCTTCTTTTCATATGCTAATCTGTATATCTTCTTTGCTGAGGTGTCTGTTAAGGTCTTTGGCCCATTTTAAAATCAGGCTATTTTCTCTGAGTTTTGAGAGGTCCTTGCATATTTTAGATAACAGTCCTTTAATCTGTGGTTTGTCTTTTCATTCTCTTGACATTGTCTTTCACAGAGCAAAATTTTTAATTTTAATGAAGTCCAGCTTATCAATTCTTCCTTTGATAAATCCTGCATTTGGTATCTATAAAAAGTCATCACCAAACCCACATGCATCTAGATTTTTCTCCTATGCTATGTTCTAGGAGTTTTATTGTTTCCTATTTTCCATTTAGGTTTGCGATCCATTTTGAGTTAATATCTGGGAAGGGTATAAGGTCTGTGTCTAGATTCTTTTTTTTTTTTTTAATGTGGATATCCAGTTTTTCTACCACTGTTGGTTGAAAAAACTCTTTTCTTTATTGTATTGCCTTTGTCCTTGACAAAGATGGTTGACTATATTTATGTGGTGCCATTAACCGTGCTCTCTATTCTGTTCCATTGATCTATTTTGTTCTTTCACCAGTACCTCACTGTCTTGATTACTATAGGTTATAGGTGTATTTTTAAGCTCAATCCATAGAATATTTCCGTTCACTTCTCCAGTCTAGGTATTCAGACATCCTGTCTTACAAATCTGACTACCATTTCCTCACACCTTCCACATCATGAGGAGCTATTTTAGCCTTGTTAATACATTTGGAGTTTTGCCTGTAGGTGATGGAAGCCATTAATTGTCAGAGAAGTAAGTTGATCATATTTTCACTTTTGGTAAATGACTCCTACTCCAGGCTTAAGAGCCACTGGAGTGGGGCTAGAATAGAGGTAGTAAGGGCCGATCAAATAAATATATGAAAGAGCATTTCACCTAATAATGAGCATGAAGTGATTTAGATGACCTTTAAATCTTGCTTTCAGTTGTTGGTGTGCCTCCGTGTAAGAGTGAAACTTCTTATAACAGAATACAGTTTCTACCAGAAGAGAGTTATGCTGTGTGGGAATTGGAGGTGGGGGAGGCGTGTCATGTAGCAAAATCTCCTGGGGAACTTTGAAACAACATATCCCTGGCTTTTCACCCCCAATCAGTGCCAGCATGAAACAGTTACTAATGGGAATCTGCTGTATTCTCAGATGGGGGAACCATTGCACTAGGGCATGTCTTTTCTAAGAAAATGGAAGTATTAACTGGGAGAATAAAGGGTCACAGAAATGAAACAGTTTACTTGCAAGTTAAATCTTGTTTGTTGGAGAGAGAAATTTTTTTAACTGCCTGAACAGGTTTTGCTGATAAAGACGTTTTAGCATGTTTATGTTTTCTTTTTAATGAACAGAATTAAAACAGTATCTCATAACTGTTAGATATTTCGCTTGTTTATTTCTTTCTTTTTGAGACTGAGTCTTGCTCTGTTGCCCAGGCTGGAGGGCAGTGGTGCGATCTCAGCTTACTGCAATTTCCACCTCCTGGGTTCAAGTGATTCTCGTGCCTCGGCCTCCAAGTACCTGGGATTACAGGCACCCCCCCACCATGCCTAGGTAATTTTTGTATTTTTAGTAGAGACGAGGTTTCACCATGTAGGCCAGGCTGGTCTTGAACTCCTGACCTCAAGTGATCTGCCCTCTTGGGCTTCCCAGAGTCCTGGGATTACAGGCATGAGCCACTGCACCTGGCTGATATTTCTCTTTTGATTTTGAATTCTCTTTGTTTTCAGAACATGCTCAAAAAAAGAGTTAAACTTGAGACCACAGGTATGGACAGGTCTAGGTATTCAGTCTGTTTGGCTGTTCTGCAGGGTGCTATAAATGCTACCCTGGTATCAGTGTATTCTGATACCAGGTTAGTCCAAGTGGCCAATGATGGGAAGTGAAGAACTATGTGAAAGAACTGGAATTTCAGGTTTGGGTAGTGAGTAATTGTGGCCCTGCCTTCAGAGTCCTGGAACTTTTCACCTGGTTGTCAGCAAAAAGGCAAACACATAGAAAAGTCAGTCTGTTTAGTTTGATCATATTGATTTTTTTTTTTTATTATTAGCATGGTTGAAGCTAAGGTGACCTTGATCAAGTTGCCAAAACCTGTTTCAGGTTTGCTTAAGTCACCAGAAGTTTGATTGAGACATCCTATACAAAAAAAAAATCGATTTGTGCTTTATTTACATAAAAATAAAACTATACTTTTGATAACGTCCTGGGCACTTCCCTCTGCTTACTCCCCCTCAATTAAAAAATGCCTAATTTAAATTAAAGAACCCGGCCAGGTGCAGTGTTTCATGCCTATAATCCCAGCACTTTGGGAGGCCTAGACGGGAGGATTGCTTGAGCTCAGAAGTTTGAGATCAGCCTCAACAAGATGATGAGACCCCTTCTCTACAAAAGAAATTATAAAAAATTAGTCAGGTGTGGTAGTACACACCTATAGCCCCAGCTACTCAGGAGGCTGAAGCGGGAGGATCACTTGAGGCCAGGAGTTTGAGGCCATAGTGAGCAAGGATCATGCCACTGCCCTCCAGCCTGGGCAACAACGAGACCCTGTCTCTAAAAAATAAATAAAAACTAGTTCCTCGCCCGCTGGGTGCTTAAGTTGGGCGGATAGTAGCAAACGGGCTCCGCTAGAGGACAGAGCCGCCCAGCCCCGCTCCCCCCAGACCCATCGGTGCACTGCCCACACCTGCAGGCAACTGGCTAATTGGGTCTTGTAGCTGAAATGTGAAAAAGGCAGCAGTCCCAAAATGAAGGAACACCTGCTGTGTCTCAAGCGCCTGGAAACCAGAGGCCCAACAACATCTGTTGCTTTTGTTGGTGCTGTTGTTGCAGCTGCTCCTGCCTCACTGTTAGGAATGAAGAAAGGGGAAAATGCAGGAAGAACCACACACACTACAAAAATGGAGAGTATCCAGGTCCTAGAGGAATGCCAAAACCCCACTGCAGAGGAAGTCTTGCCCTGGTCTCAAAATTTTGACAAGATGATGAAGGCCCCAGCAGGAAGAAACCTTTTCAGAGAGTTCCTCTGAACAGAATACAACAAAGAGAACCTACTTTTCTGGATTGCCTGTGAAGACTTAAAGAAAGAACAGAACAAAAAAGTAATCAAAGAAAAGAGAAAAGGCTAGAATGATATATGAAGATTACATTTCTGTACTATCACCAAAAGAGGTCAGTCTTGATTCTCGAGCTAGAGAATTCTTGAGTTAGAGAGGTGATCAACAGAAATTTGTTGGCTCCTAATCCTCACATGTATAGTTCTCTCCAGCCCCAAGTAACATCTTTTCAGATGAATTCCAGGGGATGTTCAAGACTTTGACTCTAATGAAAACACTACAAAAGGAAAATGTTGCCCTAACTGATAGAAGGTCCCAGTTTGGGAATTGATTTTATTCCTATGATAAAAGCTCTAAGATGAGTAGGGAAAAGGAACACTATCAAGCATTGATGACAATAACCAAATGTAATATTTTTAAATATGTCATATGTGCAATGTGAAATTCATTCTTCCTTCATTATTTCTCATATTAAATCTCATTTCAGAAATTTTAGAATTTTAAAACTGTTGACTTATACCTAACTGCTATCACTGCATAACAGCTTTTAAACAGTTAGAAATAAACATTTTAGAATAATAAACAGATTGTGTTTCTATCCTAAGCTTGGATACATTTCCTTTCTAAAGATCTAGCTCTTATTGCTGTATTAAAAGAATGCCACATACAATGCTTACTAATGGAAATGTGTGTTCACAGATGCACTTAGGGAGCGTAGTGTAAAAACATCAGGAACTTAAAATTACAAATTTGATTTCAAGTTACATTTCTGTCTCATGCGACTTTGGGCAAATCGTTTATCTTCTCTGAGTTCATTTTCTCATCTGCAAATGACAAATAAAATAATTATCAGGATGGCTATGAGCATTAAATAAACGTGGAAAGAATAAAATGTGACATTATTTTATCAGAGTTCTTCAACACAATAATTGTTATTTTATGCTTGTATTAAATGTCATTTTAATGCACTTTCCCCTATTTTTTTCCAAAACATACAATAAACATCTGATTTAGCTATTCATCAGAACATACAATCATATTTTAAGATGGAACACTATATCAATGTTATTGCTTTGCTCAATAATGTGATCCCAAATCACTACTTGCAGTTCACCATCACCTCAAATCTATAGAAATGTTTCTTTCAATGACATACATAGATAGATAGATATACAATTGTAGGTTAAAATTAAAGTTTAAATAAGAGAAGTCATTTGAAAATTTTATTTCCAAAGGAAATAAAACAACATTCCCAAGGACAGAAATAATATCAAGTTATTTGCTAAATATATAAATGAGTTATAGGCCTAAGACTAAGATATAAGAGATTGACAATTAGAAAACACTTTTCAATATTAAGGTAGTATGATTTTCTTTAACAATTTTACAATGAAAATAAAAACTTAATAAAAGGTGGTAACGGGCCAGGCATGGTGGCTCACACCTGTAACCCCAGCACTTTGGGAGACTAAGGCGAGAGAATCACTTGAGCCCAGGAGTTCCAGATCTGTCTTTGCAACAAAGTGAGACCCTGACTCTAAGAAAAAATAAAAATGTTTACAATAAAAGTAAAATTTAAAATAGTAATGTGTCCATGAAAACTTTAATTTTAGAGTAGTTTTATATTTACAGAAAAACTGTAAATAGAAAGGTCCCTTACAGACCTATGGGACATCTGTCAAAATTAATAAACCAGTATTGGTCATTAAGTTCATACTTTATTCAGATTTCCTTAGTTTTTAACCTGATGTCCCTTTCCTGTCCCAGGATCCCACCACATTACATTTAGTTGTCATGTTTCCTTAGGCTTCTCTTAGTTGTGACAGTTCTGAAAGCTTCCTTGTTTTTGATGACAGTTTTGAGAAATAAACTGGTATTTCGTGGAATGTCCCTCTGTGGAGATTTGTCTGATGTTTTCCTCATGACTAGACATGGGTTTTTGGTTTTTGGAAGAACACAAAGGTAAAGTGCCATGCTTATCACATGATATCAAAGGTATATGCCATCATCAGGACTCTTCTTAGTTGTGACAGTCTCTCAAACTTTAGGCTTCTCTTAGCTGTTGATGTTAACCTTGATCACTTAGCTGAGTTAGCATCTATTATGTTTCTCCACTGTAAAGTAACACATTTTTTTTTTTTTTTTTTTGAGACAGAGTCTCGCTCTGTCACCAGGCTGGAGTGCAGTGGTGCGATCTCAGCTCACTGCACCCTCCGTCTCCCGGGTTCAAGCAATTCTGCCCCAGCCTCCCGAGTAGCTGGGACTACAGGCACACACCACCAAGCCCGGCTAATTTTTGTATTTTTAGTAGAGACGGGATTTCACTATGTTGCCCAGGCTGGTCTTGAACTCCTGAGCTCAGGCATTCCACCTACCTCAGCCTCCAAAGTGCTGGGATTACAGGTGTGAGCCACTGCACCTGGCCAAAGTAATATATTTTTAAAGAGATTATATTGAAGGTAAAATTTCTGGACATTTACACTGAGCTAAACAAATTCTGAGCAGATTCTTCAACCCTGATATTAGGTTCCATTAAGTGATTACTAATACATGCTATAAAGAAAATACAGTAAAGTAGAAAAATAAAAGTCCAAAAGTCTTATCCTGAATATTCACCTAATAGAGGCGAAAGTGAATTTTTCCCTTGAACTATCTGGGTAAATAATTACAATAATCCTCCATATACTTTCAATATTAAATATCTTAGTCTTACTCATTGTCATAAGAGGTAACTTAAACTGGTAGTTTTGCTTAGTGCATTTCTATATTGCCCTCCACTAGTCAATGAACACTGAATATTGAAATAATGTAAAAGACCTGATGTATTTCCTACCAGCTTTAACCAATTTGTCATAAATATGTTTCTTGTGTATGATTTTTGAATGTTTGCTAAATAATGTGTTTGGTTTTGTAAAATTATGTATCGAATGTGTATAAATTTTTACTACCATGTTCATCATACTTAATCTATAACCATATATTGTACTCCACCAATGTTTATTAGTGGACAATAAAGAAGTTTTAAATGCATGAATACAACTTAAGAGACACCACACTTGGTTATTTTGCAATGCCAGAATAACAGTGGATACTCAATAAATTGAATAGTTAATCCAGATTATGTTTCCTCCAATTTAAGCTTTTCTGGTTTTTTAAATTCCCCCTTCCTAGAATCAGTTTTATCATTTTACCTATGTACAATAATATATTTCTGGAAAATGCTAGAATTTTCACCATGTAGTAGAATTTGAGCACGACAATAATGTAAAAAAATTCAGAAGTCTCAAACTAGGTAGCTTTCTTTGAGTTTTCAAAGTAAATCAAGATAGAGCTGTTTTCATTTTACTATATTGTGGAAATCTATGGATGTTAGTGTAAAATGCATGTGCATTACACTGACTTAAAATGTTTTGAATTAATAAAGAATTCAACAATAAAAAAATTAATTAAAAAATAAAAGAATGCTTAATTTTAAGTAGCTATCTTGCATACCTACCTAAAATATATTCATAGTAAATACATGGTACCTGTTTAGATTGCAAAAACATAGTTTTAAACTTTCTCTCAACTTTCTTAAATTCGTTGAATATTTGAAAAAATTTAAATGAACAGTTGGGGTATAGAAACATTTTCTTTTTCAATTATGAGAACACTGAGTGCAATGAAATGATTTGTTTGCCTTGTGACATTAACTTGTGTTTTTTCCCTTCAACTTTGTGTGTAGAGTACCTGGTTTAGAGAAAGCAGGAGCTGAGAAAGTATGACTATTCTTTTTTGGGAAAGTTCAAATCTGGTTTCTTAACTATACCTACATTTTGGGATGTTTCTTTATTGTTTTTTCCATATTCGCATATTTTAATGTAAATTCTAGCAATAATACTGTATTTAAAATAGCTAGAAAGGCTAGGCGTAGTGGCTCATGCCTGTAATCCCAGCACTTTGGGAGGCTCAGGTGGGCAGATCACTTGAGCTCAGGAGTTCGAGGCCACCTTGGGCAACATAGTGAGACACTGTCTCTACTGAAATTACAAAAATCAGTCAGACGTGGTGGTGCACACCTGTAGTCCCAGCTACTTGGGAGGCTGAGGCATGAGAATCACTTGAACCCAGGCGGAGGTTGCAGTGAGCTGAGATCGTGCCACTGCACTCCAGCCTAAGCGATAGAGCAAGACTCTGTCTCAAAAAGAAAAAAAAGAACTAGAGAGAAAAATATCAGTACAAATCTATTTTGAAGTATTTTAATGAGTTACTAAATTGTGGTAGCCTTCTAAAAAGGCTTATACATGTTTCCTTTTTACTTTTTAGGCTGAGTGAAAATGTAAGGCAAGATGATATGATATAGTAAACTTGGGAGATAATAATAGTAAAACTCTAAGACTTAAAGTAGTAAATAGGGAAATCTACAAACCCTCTGCACCAGTTGTTTCAGTTAAAAATATGGTTGAAAATGATTTATCCCAAATATCAAGAGATTGCATAATATATAAAAGCATTTTAATTGACAGTTGTACTGGGGTATGGTAAGGTACTTTTGCTAGGTATTTGTCTAGGGGATTTCTTATTTTTCCAGATATTCTGCTAAGGAAAAAATATTAATGAAGTTCTGTTAATATAGATATAAAGGTACCAGTAGGAAATCTGGGCTTTTCTTGCTTTCTTTGCCACTAACTGGCTGTGTGTCCTTGGACACATCAGAATGCTCTAGGCCTAAATTCTTTTTTCTTTTCAGTGAATATGTTGTCCTAGGTAATCCTTAGATCTTTTTCAGCTCTAATATCCTGTGATTTCACACTTTTAGATTGAGAATGGGCAAACTTTGGAAGACTGTGTGCAGTTTATCTTCATACCACTGACTTCATTTCTGCTGGGAGCTAATATAGAGCCTTCTACCATGTTATAATAGAAAACAGATTTTTTAAAAGACCAAACTATGGTCAATCACACAGGAATTCAGTCATTACAGATTATGGGTTTATTGCTTGCTTCTCATTTCTACTTGGTATAACTTCACTTCTTTTCTCTCACTTTCTTACTCTGTTTTCTTTCATTTCTGTTATATTTTTTCAATGGTTTTTCCGAATATTGCATTTCTTACCATGACTATCTGTATATACTGAAAAGAGCCCTTTTATTAGGTTACCACATCTTGTGAAAGTTCTTTCTGTTCAGTTACTTGGTGTCTAGAGTTACTGTAGCATTCCAGTTTTTTAGATACTGCCAACCTACAAACATGCCATATGTACATAAACAGACACAGTCTGAATTACATACTTCATTAGAGAAGTCATTCAACCACGTCATTGCTTTAAGCTGGTATATTTCACCTTCTTTATCCCAGAATTGTCTGATCTAAAACCTTTTTGTTTGATTGATTCTCTTTATTAATTTTCTTTCTTTTTTTTTTTTTTTTTTTTGAGACAGAGTCTTGCTCTGTTGCCCAGGCTAGAGTATAGTGGCGTGCCTCGGCTTACCACAGCTTCTGCCTCCTGGGTTCAAGCAATTCTCCTGCCTCAGTCTCCCAAGTAGCTGGGATTACAGGCACTCACCACCATGCCCAGCTAATTTTTTTTTTGTGTTTTTGGTAGGGACGGGGTTTCACCATGTTGGTCAGGCTGGTCTCGAACTCCTGACCTCAGGTAATCTACCCGCCTCGGCCTCCCAAAGTGCTGGGATACAGGCGTGAGCCACGGCACCGGACTATTTATTAATTTTCACCATAAACAGTTGGTACCATAGTAACTTAAAAGGAGAGCAGTGATTTTCGGCCGGGTGCTGTGGCTCACGCCTGTAATCCCAGCATTTTGGGAGGCCGAGGCGGGTGGATCACAAGGTCAGGAGATCGAGACCATCCTGGCTAACACGGTGAAAGCCCGTCTCTACTAAAAAATACAAAAAATTAGCCGGGCGTGGTGGCGGGCGCCTGTAGTCCCAGCTACTCAGGAGGCTGAGGCAGGAGAATGGCGTGAACCCGGGAGGCGGAGCTTGCAATGAGCCGAGATGGCGCCACTGCACTCCAGCCTGGGCGACAGTGAGACTCCCACTCAAAAAAAAAAAAAAAAAAGAGCAATGATTTTCTAAAAATATATTTATGAATTCGTGGGTTTAATATCCTTGTGTCTAAAAACCTTTCTGAAGGAATCTTAAATTTACATTCAATCAGTGATCAATTTTGACTATCATATTTTTTTTAGTACCTGAAATCTTCTATAATAAATTAAACAAGTAGCCATTTGAAGTGGTTGTAGTAGCTAGTAGTGTGGCTGAGGGTTTTGTGTTTACCATCAGTGAAGTCATTTTGTTTGGAATGAGGCATAATGGGACTCTGTGTTAGGGAAGCTTGCCAGAGTGAAGTCCTCGCCTTGAAGCAGCAGGATTTGTTAAAAAGACGCCAAACCTTGAAGCACTGGAATAGAATTACAGTTTTGTTGACAATGGGCTATAATGTTCTTTTTCTGGAGTCTAGCAAATAGCTATGGTAATAGAGACTTCCAGGGAGTACAGAAATGACCCTTAAGGAATTATTAGTTACCTAGCATGCACCTGTTACATATTTCTTGCATATACTTACAGCGCTAAAGAAGCTAATGTTAATTCAGTGCATGTTATGTGCCAAGTATTCTGCACATGCATTTTTGCATCTACACAACAGCTCTAGGTTTTGGTATTACTTTACCCGTTTTACAGAAGGAAGAGACTTGAGACTGACACCTATTTTATGGAAAGAGGGGACTGAGACACCAAGCAAGTAACTTGTCCAGTCTTCTGTCACACTGCAGAAGATTGGCACCCAATCGGTCTGACTCCAGAGCCTGTTCTCTGAACTGCTTTGTGTTACTATTTTACTTTAACTCCAAAGCTTATTTTGGGGATGACAGGTTAGGAACCTTGTTGCTAAGTATTCCTGTGGCATGTCTCCTTGGAGAATAAGAATATGGTCCTCACCCAATTAAGAGACATCTGAGCCAGCCTAAGATTTTTTTATTATCTGGTAGATGTCTGCCTGGATGCCCTCTGAAAACTGTGCAAATAAGTTGACCGCTTATGTCTGTGTGATGAAGAAGTAGTTTCACTTATGTTTTTCCTTGTTACTTTATAAAGACTGACACTTTGAAAAAAACATGTTTGAGAACTATTAATACAGCAGAGTGCTTCCTGACTATAATAGATAATTAAGGATGGGTAAATTTAAACAAGTTTTAAATTTACTGAGGACCTTTCAATTTGTTAGGTTAGAACAGAAGCCTTTTTTCTAATCCGAGTGCCCATATTTTTTTTCCATCTAAGACCGTATTTGAGGAATTAGATGATGCATTTAGTTTTGGACATGTTTTTTACACACTGACTTCAAGGGGCACTGATGTAGACTTGTCTTATAGTTTAGTGACTGGATTTGGAGCTCAGAAGCTGAACCTAGAGATGGAGATTTTAAAAATTTTTTACATATGCGTTTACTTAATCTGTGTTATAAACTGTTATAGCAGAAAGGACTTTGGTGGATTTTAGAGGCCCAGCTGTATATTACAGTTTTAGAGAGAGTCCTGATTTAGGAAACAAGAATTCTAGTTTTAGTTCTGTTTTGCTTGTAGACCGTGAGAACTTGACCACCCCAATTTACTAATTAAAAATGGAATCATTGATTTAGATCTTCAGTCTTGTCTGTTACTGAAAAAATTGTAAGATACCTGGGCTTTGTAATCAAAGATTATAAGAATCTTTGATATCTACAGGTGCTCCCTCTGGATCAGGTATCAGAAAATGTATTCTCAAGAATCACCTTGATGCAGAAGAGTATATAAGTACACAGGGGAGAGGAAGAGGAGCAGGAAAGATGACAGAGAATCAAAGACATGATTGAGCCAGTAAAATGCTTTTCTTTGCTTACACATTTTCAGTTTGTGGACTTCTCTATAGAAATAAGCAAAAGCTACATGCCAGAGCAAAAGTGTCTTTTTCTGCTGCAATAAGTGGCTTAGTGATTGTGGGGAGCCATTTCAGTTTTGATTTATTACTGTTAGTTGTTAGTATGTATAAGGTGTGGGTATGTTGGTTGCTTATCCTGATTTTTTAGATTTCTGAAAGACAACTGTTAAAGCACAGTAGCAGTGTGGAAGTGCTGGTACGAAAAGGTACATGACAGCAGTGGAAAAGAAAGTGAAACTTAAATTTACCTAGACGTATTCACACTGGCCATTGGCACAATGTCATTTTGCATTTATGAACAAATGGGTTTTGAAATAGCCTTCTGGAACCTAATCTTTTACAGAGAAACTTCTGTATCAGCAAACATCCCTTGATTCTGGTTATGTTTTCTTACTCTCGTTTTTCAAGCTTGTGATAATAGTTTCCTCTTTATCAGAAGTATATCAGTTATTCTTTTTTAAATAAAGGATATTTGTAGAAATAGCTTAAATATCTAATGATATTTATTTATTGAACACAGAGTCTCATTCTGTAATGCAAGCTGGAGTACAGTGGCAATCATGGCTCACTACGGCCTTGAACTCCTGGGCTCAAGTGATCCTCCTGCCTCAGCCTCCTGAGTAGCTAGGATCACAAATGCACACACACCAACACAGCCAACTAATTTTTTATTTTTTGTAAAGACGAGGTCTTGCTATGTTGCCCCGGTTGGTCTTGAATGTGTAGTCTCAAGTGACTCCTTCCCCACCAGCCTGCTAAAATGCTGGTGTTACAGGTGTAAGCCACCATGCCTGGCCTGATAAGATATTTAAAACAGTATTTGTCATCAATATAATCCTTTTTGTCATCACTGTGGGCACACAGGTTTGGGAGGTACAGAAGAAATTTTAGACAATGGTTATTTCCCCAGAAGAGGTTTTGCTTCAGTTGTCTTGGTGCCTGGCACATTGCCTTGCAAATAATTGGTACTCAAACATGTATTCAGTTGAATTAAGGGGACACAGTTTTCAAATGTAAGACAATGTACTACAATTCATGCTAAATTGGTTGTACGGGCAGTAATTGCTGTGTTTTTGAAGGGAGCAGTCCTTGTAGTTTGAGGCATAGATGTTGGGAGGCTTTGTGAAATAAATGGGGCTTGAGCATTGAATGGAAAAGATGGGATTGAATGCTGGCAAGTAGAAGATGGGTGTGTTGCAGGCATAGGAAATAACAGAAGTTGAGAAAAGAGGCAAGACTGAATAGTTTGTGTGGAGGAACATAAGGCAGGTCTACTACAGAGGAATTGGGTTGGATAATAATTTAAGGAAAAAGGTATTATAAATAATAATAAGTACAAGGCCAAATGTATCTATCTGTGATCAATTTAAATCAAAACACTTTTTTTTTCCCTCTTCTAGATATGGTACATTGCTCAAAAACCACCTGAATGTGCTAAAAATACTTTCCCAGTGTTGGAGTTAAACTTCCTGTTAAAAGGGAGTGGATGAGAGTGGGAAATTTGCTGGGTTGGAATTTAGTGTAGTGAGTAGAAATATCATCTGAATTGGATTCTTAATTCTTATTTTATTTTGAGTTCTTGCTAGGAAAATCACAGTCATCCATGATGACCCCTAAAGCCCAGGACACATAGGGACTTGGCTTTACAGAAATTAGGAAACCGATTAAGTGATTTGGCTGACACATACTAGCTGGATTTACGTTTTCAGGGAAACTGATTCACTAGATCAGCTTCATCCCCAGACTTGTCTCTTTAAAATTATTAGGAAATTACTGGCCATCCTTTCCTTGGAGTCAACTTCTTTTTTAAAGTGTTTGTAATAAAACTGTAAATGCTAATTCAAAGAACTAATGTTATTTAATGTGATTATTTTTGTATCTTTCTTTTCAGGCCATAATCATTTGATGAAAATGTAGTAAGATTGTGATAAACACCTAAAGAATTTTTTCCTTTTGTTAGTATTGATAACTTTTTTTTTAAATAGGCAAACATCTTTGGCAGACATTTTAAAAGCCTTTGTCCCTTCGCTGTGAAATTGTTTTCACTACTAAGTTGCGTTTCTGTTTTTCTACTATTGTAAAGTGCAGTTCTTTGCATGTTCTAATTTGCCATGACGTGGTCAAGTGCTGTTTCCTTCCTGTTGCTTGCAAGCCTATACTAGAGATAAGGATACATTTCAGTGCATTAAAAAAGAAGCCACTGAAGACAGGCTTAAGCATGGTAATTTTTAAAACATTTTACTTATCAGAAGCCTTTTTAAAGAACAGAAAGAGTGGGCTTTAATTTCTGCTTATTTTTAAAAGATTTAAAAATACTTCTTACTAAACTTTAAATGTATTTGATTTTAAATCCTTATATAAATCCTCTTAAAGGTGAAAATATATACGTTGTGAAATTACTCATTGGGTAGCAGTTTCTATGTATGTGCTTTGCTGAGTTGGTGAAAAGAAGGAAATTGTTTATATATCCTTTATTGCGATTACAACCCTCATTATTGCTGGGGTTTTTTGACCTTTTTTTTTTTTTTAATATTGAGTACTTTTAACAGTAGTTTAACTGGAGAGTGGGGGAGAGAGGCATAATTTTCAGTAGTGACAGATGATCTTAGCAGGAGCAAACTGTTCAAATAAAATATGTAACTTTTAAAAAAGAGCGTATGTGCATTAGTCGTGTCGATTTTATTTAAAAACGTTAATAATAAAAAAATGCTTTAGCGATACTGCCCTCTGTATCAGTTATTATATCCTAAGTGGGTGATTGCTTTTTCATAACTAATCTGAGCTTTTGTTTTTTAGGCCAAGAAGCTTGAGAGAAGAAAAATTTCAGAAAAATTGTCTCAATTTGACTAGAATATCAATGAACCAGGAAAACTGAAGCACCTTCCCTAAAGAAAACTTGGGTATACAATTACTCCACAGACAGAGCTGAGGGTTTTTTACCCAAATCAGTCACTGGATTTTGCTGCCTGATACGTGAATCTTCTTGGAATTTTTCTCATGTGGATCTAAGGGGAATGCTTTATTATGGCTGCTGTTGTCCAACAGAACGACCTAGTATTTGAATTTGCTAGTAACGTCATGGAGGATGAACGACAGGTATGAGATTCAGAGAAAATTTCATTTTAATGACTTTATTATGATTTTTCTATTCATATCAGAAAATTATTTCCTTTAAAAGACAATGAGAGAAACTTTATTGAAAGTAAAAATTTATAGATGAAATATTTGGAGGAAATATTATACTATGTTTTAAGCACCAGTTAATTCATGAAGAATAAGTCTTATCCTTAGCTTTGATATGGTAACAAGGAAGTAATACCTTTGGGATTCAGCTTGTTTTTTTGTAAAATGAGACTTAACACTAAATGCCTTAAGTAATTATTTTTAAGTACTTTGAAAAGTTCTAGAGAATATACTGCCTTTTAATGTATGTGGTTAATTAATGTTTGTAATCATGGGCTACTTCTTCAAGTAGATGAGACAACGTTAGCGGTCCCATAATCATACATCATTTCAGTCCAAAGCATGTGACTCTGAGGAAGTTACTTAACTTCTCTAGATCTAGATTTCATCATCTGCAGAATGAGGGGATTGAACTGAAGAATTTCTAAATCGGCTTTCAGTGAATTTATATAAGATGTGCAAATTACTGTTTTCAGTACATAAAAAAGATCTAGGAGATACTGAGTAAAGGATCTAAGATTAATTTTAGTCTCCTTCCCCCCTCCCCACAACACACACACACACAAAAGAACTGGAACGAGGCTAGAGTTTCTTGGGACTTTACAATTAACTTCATTTTAAACAAGTTATATAGGGAATGTAAGACATGATATGGGAGAAATAGTGTACGTGTTGGAGAGACTCAGACAGGGTACTAGGAAAAATATTTTGAGAACCAACCTAAAGTTGATTTATCACTGAAATAAGCCTAATGCTCAACACCTAATTTTAATAGGCCAATTATAATATGTAATGCCTTTATTCTGGAAACATAGTTACTACAAATAATAAAATTCTTACTTTTGGCAGAGTGAATTTAATGATTTTTATAAAATTAAAATTTTTTTAGCTGTGTTGTCCATTGAAGTGACAGAACAAAAAGTTTATAAATAAACCTACAAAAGGTGAGGATTTGGATTAAGTTGCCTTAACAGCAGGATGAGCTTTGACTAGGGAGGATAACAGGTTCAGGGAGAGAATTGCTTAGTCTTGATTAAAAATATATTAATAGTGATATGGATTTAATCTAGAGACAATACAAAATATATTTTAGGAAGAAAGGTGTTTTGAATTTGGTTTAAGACAGGATGTTTGTGTGTATATTAAGGTTTGAAACAGTGTGTTTACTATGCAGCCCTCTTAAATGAAAGATGCTGTATATAGATGCTAGGCTTGATGTGGTGAGGTTTGATCTCAGGATGTAGCAGCAGAGGACAAAGCCCTAAGCCACTCACTAATATGCTCTAGTTATAGTGGATTTGACACTCTTTGGAACATGAGAGAAGTGAATTTTACATTATGGTACCATATTCATACATGTGTCTACATAGCCTAAAAAGAGTTTTGCAAAACAACACTTATACACTTACTATGTATGATATACTTAGTTTGTTTTGCAGAGGTTATTTATGTTTTTGGAAAGGGAGATGGTACTGTTAGCTTAACATCAGCATGTACATATATGTATTTTCTTAAGTTATTTGTTTTTGTCTAACAAAATGAATCTATATTTTGTGCAGGTGTTATAAGGATTTTATAAGTATTAACCATGTAAGGTAAATACTGATCCCCATTTTATAATGAGGAAATTGAGATATCAAGAGGTTAAGTCACTTTCCTGGAATCATACAGCCAGTAAATAGTAGAGCCACAATTTGAACTCAGCCAGTTTGATTCTCACTAATGATGTTTTATATATTCTTGCAATAATGTGTGACAATCTTACTGTGTTATAATCAGCATCAAAATGTTTACAACTCTTGGTGAGTTTTGGCGTCTTCAGTCTGTGGCCATCAGCATAGCAAATGTAACTGCTTTGCAGGAGGGTAGATCCAGTGCTGTTGGTGATATTAGCATCTTACCTAACCTGGGGCTCTACCTCCCTGTTTGCTTATTAGGTTAATTTGTTTTTAATGGAAAAGCAATAACGTGCCATTTGTATTAATAAAAGAAGTCACCTAATAAAAAGATACATAAAATAACTAGTGAAAAATCTCTCTTCACCCTTAGTCCTAATCTTGTTTTCCTTCCCAGAAGAAACTAGTATTAAGTATTAATATTTTGTGTGTAATTTTTTTAGAAAAATGTCTGAACAAATGAACATACATATATACAAAACTGCATACAGAGGTTGCTTTTAAGACACAAATGAAGTTATGCTAAATCTTTTTTGTGTCTCATTTGTTTCCACTTTATTATAAATATTTGTGTGTATGTTGATTCTACATCATTTATATTTTACATCATGAGCAGCCCATTATTTATTTTACAGTTCCTGACATGGCTGTTACCAGCATTTTGCTATGATGTACAATATTGCAGTGAACATCCTTGTTTGGAAGGCAGTAGATCTACCTAGTAGTAGCGGTGGTTAAGAGCTCAGGTACTGAAGTTGAAATGCCTGGGTTGAATCTTGGCTCCGCTGCTTATTATCTCTGTGACTTTGGGCAAGTTACTCAACCTTTCTGTTCCTTGGTTTCCTCATCTGCAAAATGGGGATGAAAATAATAGAACCTAAGTTATAGGATTGCTGTGAGAATTAAATGAGTTGATGTTTCTAAAGCTTTTAGAACTATGTCTGGCTCATAGCTAATATTTACGGAGCACTATAATTTTGTCATTATGTGTGTGTGTGTGTAGTGTATCTTTGTACACTTATGTGATTATATCTGTAGGGTTATTAAAAACAGAATTACTGAGCTTACTAAAAATATAAATACAAATATTCTTTTAAAAGGCTGTGTTACGTGGACATAAAGATGGACAAGTCTGTGTTACGTGGACATAAAGAGGGACTACTAGATGGGGGAAGGAAGGAAGCAGGCAAGGGTTGAAAAACTAACTATTGGGTGCTGTGCCCACTGCCTGGGTGATAGGATCAATCATACCTCAAATCTCAGCCTCACCTATGTAACAAGCAATATACTCATGTAACAAACCTGCACATGTACCCCCTGAATCTAAAATAAAAGTTGCGGGGGGTAAGAGGAGCTGTATTAATTTCTACTACTACTAATAGTGTATTTCCCAAACCATTATCAACAGAAGTCCTTTTTTTTTTTTTGGCCAGTCTTTAGGGTGGAAATGACATTTTACTATTTTAATTTGTATTTCCTTGACTACTAGTGGTGAAGTGGTTTATTTGTAAATTTTATTTATTTTCAATTAGAGTTTTCTTTGATTTACTTATTAATATATCCTTTTGCCCAGTGGGAATTTTTTAAGTATTATGGTCACTACATTAGAATCATTGACATTTTCTCCCAGTCTAGTGTTGTCTTTTAACAATGTGATATCTTGTGCGCTATAGAAATTTTAAATGTTTTTAATAAAATATGTCAATATTACAAATTAATAATATTAGTTTTGGGGGCTTTTCTTGCCTTCTGCTTAGGAAAGCTTTATTCTCTTCACTCCTGTCACTCCTAAAATTAGTATATACTCTCTTTACATTTTCTTTTCTTTTTTGTTTTTTTTTTGAGACTGAGTCTTGCCTCGTCACCCAGGCTGGAGTGCCGTGGTGTGATCTTGACTCACTGCAACCTCCACCTCCCAGGTTCAAGCAATTCTTCTGCCTCAGCTTCCCAAGTAGCTGGGACTACAGACACGCACCACCACGCCCAGCTAATTTTTGTATTTTTAGTAAAGACAGGCTTTCACCATGTTGCCCAGGATGGTCTCCATCTCTTGACCTCGGGATCTGCCTGCCTCGGCCTCCCAAAGTGCTGGGATTTCAGGCATGAGCCACCGCCCCCGGCCTACATTTTCTTCTAGTATCTTTCATATGTTTGGCTCCTCAGTCCATCTGCAGTTTATTTTTGTATGATGTGAGGTATTCATGATTTGAAGATTCTTCCCCCACTCCCACAAATAGTGGTGTTAGCCCTTCACCATTTATTGAATGTTTTATGTTTTTCACACTTAAACTGCCACCTTTGTTAATACTAAATTACCATGTGTACAGGCTTCAGTTTTGAACTTCCTAGTGTATTCTCCTTCGTTGAACTGTTTTTATATTGTGCCAGTATCACATTGTTTTCATTAGAATCATTTTATAGATTTGATATCCGATAGGATATCCTCCTCCCCCCAAATTGGAATAGGATTTTGAATGAATTTTAGAGTTAGCTTGTTAAGCTACATGAAAACCCTGTTGGGATTTTTAACTTTTTAAAGTTAAAAAGTATTTATGACTTTTAAAATAATGTATTCTGTTTTGGCTGTTTATAAAATCACTGAAGGCACCAGATTAGAATATATTTTTTGTTTTCAGTTATGGTCTAGGTTATAAATATATATTAGTCTAAAGAAACTGACACTATTAATAGGGTTGCCAGCATTTTGATCATCTTCCCTTATTCAGTTCATATTTTCCAGAATTGCTTGGCACTCTTGAGTGGAGATGGCAGGGGTCATGGCGGGGGTGTTGGAAAGGAAATATCAATGCTGTTGATGCTGACAATTTAAAACTCTGTTGTTGCTGTCTGTTCTAAACTGGGAATATTTGTAGCTGAGAATGAAGCACTTCTATGGGAGAGCAACCCCATCAGTATTGAATGCAATATCCCTTTATGCAATGGTGCTTTGGTTTGATCTTAACAAGCGTGTTAGCATGGTGAATGTATGAGAAGAAGAAGCAAGCAGAAGTCTATGGATACAAGTTTCTAAAGAGAAGGAAACCTATTTACTTAAATGTTCCAGGAGTTAATTTAATGAAGAACAGCCGGCATAGTTTAATGCTTTTTATAATTTTGATATATTATATGAAAAAAACACTGTATTTTTTTTTCAGTCATTGGTTTTAAAAGTAGAATTTCTGGCAAATCATATTTGTGTTTAATAGACTTAAGTCACTAGAGAGAAGTTTGGTGACATGGAAAAAATGAACATGTGGAACAACAAATTTTTATAGAATCTCATCACAATATAAGAAGGTAGTCTTAGCACTTTCCTCTCTAGGGTGTAAATTGGCTTCCTCCGACTGCTAATTCCTGGAGGTTAAAGAGTAACAGTGCCGGGTGCAGTGGCTCATGCCTGTAATCCCAGCACTTTGGGAGGCCAAAGCGGGTGGTGTATATCACATGAGAGCAGGAGTTCGAGACCAGCCTGACCAACATGGAGAAACCCCATCTCTACTAAAAATACAAAATTAGCAGGCGTGATGGTGCATGCCTGTAATCCCAGCTATTCAGGAGGCTGAGGCAAGAGAATTGCTTGAACCCGGTAGGTGGAGGTTGCAGTGAGCTGAGATCGCACCATTGCACTCCAGCCTGGGCAACAAGAGTGAAACTCCGTCTAAAACAAAACAAAACAAAAAGAATAACAGTGCCTTGCTGTCTTTTATACAAGCTGCCCAGTGATTTTTTCATGCAGTGTTTGGGAAACACTATTCAATGTAACACAGATAAATGCAAAGTGCTGTGGATACTGAGAATGGAGCCATTGACTGCACTGCAACTTTGGGAATGCTTCACCATGGAAGTTGAACTGGATCTCAAAGGAGGATCTAGTTTATCTGACAGATGAAGAAGAGGAGGTGTTCTAGAGCAGTAGAGTGTACCAAAACTTTTAACAGATTCTCTTGACTTCATTATCAGTCCAAACATCTTAATTTATGGTTAGAAACTTTTCACAGTGTGCCTGTTTCACACTATGTAATTTTCCAGAATGCTTTCCTGCTTCCCCACTGTTTGCTCAGAAATGATCTCCAACATTCATACCTGTTGCATATTTAAGTCTAATAATCTTTCAAGATTTTAGAACAAAGCATACTTTTTCCAGGAACTCATCCTAAAATAATTCCTTCAAGAATTAACAACTTTATTCTGTTATTTCTATGTTGCTTATTATCAGTCTCACGTTTGCCATCTTAAATTTTCATATACACATTACTAATTTTTTCAAATGTGTTAAATTATTTGAAGTAAGACATTGTCTTTTTTCCCCTTAATATTACCAAAGCCTTTAATATCACTGAGTCCTCTTAAAGATTTTTTTTCTTTTTAAAATCTGTTGAATAAGTGATCTCTTCTATAAAATAGGTAAAACTTACCTGTTGCTAGATGATCTGGGATATATAAGTGTTCAGTTATGGTTCTTATCATATCAGAGCATCTCTGAATAATGAGAGGGTGATACCTTGCCCACAGCTGTCTTGACCACAGAATACATTTTCCCAGGACCTATTGTCCACATTCTCATTTGGTGCAGGGACAATGTAGCCATGTCACTACAGTTCTAAGACCAGAAACAGATGCTCATGGAATCTTTTTTCTGAAGTATTTGGAACTGATCTGTTGTACATTTAGTGGAAAACACTTCAAATAACTTTTAAAGATTGTCATTGAAATTGTAAATAAATAAAATGTGTTAAATGACAGTTGTTCACATTTATTAAATCTGGTTGTAGGCATGTGGATGCTTTTGTTTTTCCCTCTACTCTGTTGTATATTAAAATTGTTTTTCAAAAAAAAAATCAGAGAAACTAACATTCATATAGAACTTTCCTTTTTCCTTATATGCTATTTCCTGTATGTAAGAGGATAAGTCACACCAACCTGCCATTTTTCAACTGGAATGGCAAGATTCTGTTAGGTCAGAGATTAGGTGTACCTCATAAAGTAAGGTAGAAGGAATGAGTTGATAGTGTTTAATGTGTAACTTATTCAGCGCCAGTGATGAGAAGGGCAGGAAGCTGGAGTGTTGCTACTGATCTGTACGTGGACTTAGTGGATCCTCTGTTATTTACCTTAAAATTCCAGGTTCTATCTGCTTTGGTTGCCTTCTTTTTAAATCTTGTCATATCAAACTTAAGAAATCCATTAAAAGCTTGGCCATTTGTGAAACTAATATACAGAGGTTGCTTGTTTATTTTTGGTACACTTGGAAAAGTCTTTATCAAAGGAGTTATGTCTTAGAGTCCCCAGCTACAAGCCTGATTGCCTTCTGGGGGAGATCTGACTTTGCATAAAGGCTGAGGCCCTCTTCAGGTTAAGTGAAGGAACAACCCTGCCTGTGGTCTAACATTTGGCTTATCTCTTTGCCCATTCTTGGCAGCAAGGAGGCTGATAGTTGTTATGAAAGAGGAGTCAGTGTGGAGAGTAGGAACTTATTACTCTTTTTTGCAAAATCTTCCTTTAACTGCCCCCTAGCCATCCCACAGAGGCCCAGGGATAACGTCCTGAAAATGAATAAGATGAGATCATTGTATAGGGTAGAACATGGACTAGATGGGCTTCAGAAACTTTCAGTGGTGAATTTTAGTAGCTAGTGTTTAGTGAGCATCTTGCCCCATGCACTGTGCTTTATAGGGATTATCCTATTTAATTCTTACAACAATCCTAAGAAGTAGGTGCTCCTAATTCTCACTACAAAAGAGTCAAGTGAGGCTCAGCGAAGGGAAGCAACTTGCCTGTAATTTCATAGCTACTAAGTGATAAAGCTAGGAATTGTAACCCAGCCTGTGCCTTTAACCACTAATTGAATAATACTAGCCACTGCAACATGTAAGTGGTGAAAAGTAGTTTAAAATATGGAAGAATTATTATATCCTGCATTTATGATTTTGGCAAAAAAGTGTTACTAATTTTAGCTAATTAGTATAATTACAGGTAGATGGTTCTTATGCCTGGCATACCTGTATATGTACCTTTTAAAAAAAACAGCTTTATTGCAATGTAATTCACATACCATATAATCCATCTACTTAAAGTGTACAAATCAATGGTTTTAAGTTTATACAGAATTGTATGTCTGTCTCCATAATCAATTTTAGGACATGTTTATCACCCCAAAGGGAAATCTGTACCTGTTAGCAGTCATGACCTATTCTTCCCCACTCTTCCTAGCTCCTGGGAACTACTAATCTACTTTCTGTCTCTGTATGTTTGCCTATTCTGGACAATTCAGTTATAGTAAATGGAATCATAGAATATGTGCTGTCTTGCGACTGGCTTCTTTTACTTTGGCATCCTGTTATCAAGGTTCATCTGTGTTGTGCCATGTATCATTACTCCATTCTTTTTATTACTGAATAATATTGTATCATATGGATATACCACATTTTATTTATCCATTCTGTACACATTTTCAAAGAACACTTTTTAAAATGAGGTTTGTGTTGGTCAGTTTCTTGTCAGAAATAGAGTTGGCAACGTCTTCTCCCAGAAAATACTCAATCACCTAGAATAGCCTTCCTGGGTAAAAAAAAAAAAAGGAAATTAGCACCTCTGTTGCTTCTAAAAATAACTTAAAAAAATTTCCCCTAACATTTGACACCTTTGATGTGTCTTAGTTTTGCTATGTGATCTTGAAAATTTTTGTCTCCTTTCCATTTCAGTGAACACATAGCACATAAAAGATAGGCAGTTATATAAACAGTTAGTGTAACTGGCCTTTTTTAAAAAAGAGGGTCATTTTCAACATATTTAGAGAGTACTGATGAAAATAATTGTTTGTGTGTGTTTTAGAAATAGTAACCAAAATTCTCAATATTAGAGCAATTCTTCTTTTGGAAAATTGCCAAGGAATTGTTGTTAGAAATGCTACATTATAATATTTTGACTGGTAAAACATTTGTAAGCTGACCCATTTAACCTGTTCCCACTAAATGTGATGTTGAAAGTACTGAAGATACGAGACCAGGAAACTTATCAGCAGGATGATGCGAAGATTAAAGTTAGGAAAGAAGCTTCCCTCCTAAAAGGTGATCTTTTAGGTGACAGTTTAATGATTTATTATATTTTATGGTTTTACATGATTTCTGCATTTGCCCTATTCTACTTTATTTTGTGGCATATGCAAAATAAAAACAAGAACTTTTAGAACAAAATTCCATTGTTCTGTTGGAAAGGAGCTACTGGGAAGCCCAGCTATCTGTAATCTCCTCCCTCCCCTTTCCTACCTCAACACACACATTCGGAAATAATGTATTATTTAAAGACTTAGGTGGGAGATGATTTTTTAAACAGTGATTGATTAGTGTGTGTTCAGTCCACTGCCCACAACTTTGACATAACATTTAATCATGAAAACTGATGTTTGTCAATCAAGAGTCTGTGTGATATGGCATTAAAAAAACATCAATTTGGGAGCCTGGCTCTAGCTGTGTAACTTTAGACAAGTTTTTACATATCATTGAGCTTTATTTCTTTCACAAAAATAACAGAATTACCTCCCAAGGTTATGAGCATTAAATGCTTATGCAATGCATTTACCTATAGCATGGTACATGGAACAGTCCTCATATTAATGACCTGAGATAAATCAAGAAAAAGCTTTAATAGCTCTTGTCTTACACTGGATAATCTCTATTATCCAACTGGGTAAGTGAGGTGATGAAAGTGATTTTTGTGACTTGCATACCAGTTATACAAATTCATTCAGATCGTTTTGTTTTGTTCTGTTGTCACATTTTTCCTTTGATAATCCAGAATGGCTGTCTTGATTCTAGAATAAGCCAATAAACTTGTGACTCAGGATTTTAAAAATCTGGTGGACTTATGCCGTAAGGGAGCATTTTCCTTTAACATTTGTTTCGACATAGTTTGCCCTGGCGTTGTTCAGTTTTTTTGGAGTACCACTAATTTCTCCCATACCTATGAGCAGGTAGTATGAATTTTCCATTCTGGGAGAGACTCTATTGTAGCTAAACTGCCTGTATTCAAGGATGCCTTACCTCATTTTATTCTTTGCTGTGTACATATTGTATAAGATTCTTGTCAAAGTCCATCTTTTCATAGCAGAAATTGCCCTTTATGATTTTTTAAAATTCTTTGAGTTATATGGAATCTGCATGTTTAAAACACTTACCTGTCTGGTAGTGACTACTCTGATATTTATTAATCTACTTAGTTTGTAAGTAAAGTAAACATTTACATCTGGTTAAAATTTACTATACCCCCCCCCAAAAAAAAACTACCTGTTTGTTTACCTCATAACTGATTCTGTTTACATATACCCACACATACACAACCCACCAATACTATTAAGCTTTTAATGTGGACATTCCAATAAGAAAACAGATCATTCTCATTGACTCTTACTTTTTGAGATGTATGGCCAAATTGTAATTTATCCTGGCTACAAAAAGAAGAATCTAGGCAAAGACTAAAGAAAGCCAATTGTCATGACACAGTTACACTAGGATTAGACTTTGTTAAAAAATAACTCCACAAGGATTTGCAATGGAATTTCAAACATTATCTTGGGGAATTCTGGAGAAAAGACCATTTTACTTAGACCTTTATGTTTTTGATGGTGCTGTGCAAGAGAGAAGCCAGGATTTTTTCAGAAACACTCAAATACTGGCCAGACGCAGTGGCGCATGCCTGCAATCACAACACTCTGGGAAGCCAAGGCAGAAAGATCGCTTGAGCCCAGGAGTTTGAGACTAGCCTGGGCAACATAGGGAGACCCCGTTTCTATTAAAAAAATAGCTGGGTGTTGTGGTGCCTGCCTGTGGTCCCATCTACTCAGGAGGCTGAGTTGGGAAGATCACTTGAGCCTGGGAGGTGGGGGCTGCAGTGAGTTGTGATCTTGCCACTGCACTGTAGCCTGGGTGACAGAGTAAGACCCTGTCTCAAAAAAAAAGAAAAAGAAAACAAACTTGTTTCAGCTGTAGGTCTAATACAGTGATCATTTAGAAGATAACTATCAATCTATATATAATATACATTTTTTATCCAAGCGTTAATTGAAATGAGACTTTCATTATGACTTAGTAATAAATTCTAAGTAGTTTATCTATAGGATCCTGTACTGGTAGTGGTTAAACTTGTGGACTCTAGAGTCAGATTGCTTGGGTTCAGATTTCAGCTTTTTCTGGCTGGGTGACTAGTATGTGTCAATAATATATAGCCTAGTGTTGTGGGGATTGAGTGGATAAAGCCATATGACGTCCTTAACATAGTAGCTGCTTCCGTCATCACTACATTAGGGGTACCACTGTATTCTATTTTATAGTTTATTATATTGAAAGACTCCCAAAGACAGAGACTAGAGAACACTTTTTACACAGCGCTGTAGTGAGTTTTTTTAGTTGAAAGTACATTGACCAGACACTTGAATCCTTTTTTCCCCTTAATTAAACCACATGTTTATCTATGTGACATTTATAGCAGGTACATAATCCATAAAAATGAGGATATTAGAGAACAAACGCCATTGGGAAGTGTAAGGAGGCTAATAGAGACAAGTATGTTTTCTTGGCACGGAGGTTAACATCCAAACATACTTGGCACGAAGATTAACATCCAAAGCAGCATCTTTGCATGTTAACCTCCATGCCAAGAAAACATTACTTGCCTTAGTCTTGAATACAATGTAAAGATAACACTGCCTAACATCTTGTACAGCTCTTTGTAGTTTACAGTCTTTTCTGTATACACTTGGATTCTTACAAGTCACTGTATGATAGAGATCGTATTTTTCCCGTTTTCTATAGTATAATGTTATCTTGAATTTATTACTAAGTGACTAGGAGACCTGTATTAGAATCTTTCACCTGTGATAGATTTGTAGGGCAAGCTTACAAAGGCATCCAGAGTAATTACTGTTCAAAGTAACCTAGCTGAATTACTAAATAAGTCTAGATTCCAGTTCTGATTTAGTAACACTCTTTTAGAGTATCAACTAGAGGATAATTTGTCTTTTAGCTGTTCGTTAATTTCCTCATTAATCTTGACGACACTTGATTTGTTTGTTTATATTTTAAGGGATGATGGGATAATGCAGAACAGTATAAGGATTTGCTATATCATTTGAGCTAATGCATTGAAATATTTTAAGTTTTTGGAATGGTAATAATGTAGATTTTTTTTTCTTTGAAAATGTGCCAGTAACAATGAAAGAAACTGAGGAAATTGCCAGGGAACAATCCCCACATGCACAAAACCTGTAGGCCCAGATAGTTTCGTGAGTGAGTGATTTTCAACTTTACCAGCCCGGGCAACATAGTAAGACTCTATCTCTACAAAAAATTTAAAAATTAGCATGATGTGGCAGCCTGTACCTCTGATCTCAGCTGCTTGGGAAGCGGAAGTGGGAGGATCTCAAGCCTAGGAGGTAGAGGCTACAGTGAGCCATGATTGTGCCACTGCACTCTAGCCTGGAGTCTCACTGACAGAGACCCTGTCTTAAAAATTTAATGAACTAATTTAAACAGTTTCGGTTCAGAGAGAGTTTCCTAATTCAGTTTTACAAAACTGACATAACACTGATACCAAAACCTGGCAGAATTTGCATACACACATATAAACACTAGGCTAATCTAAAAATTTATGTGCTGTTTAATAATTAATGAACACTTATTGTCTCTTACCCTTGCCAGGCCCTGCACGTGATATGCATTTTATATTTTCATCTTTAAAAGCCTGTATGGTGTGACAACTCTTGTTATCCCCATTTTACAAGTAAGGAAAACATGTATAATGAGGAATCTCAAAGAGGTTGAAGGAATGCATGTTACCCAGAAACACACAACTGTAAAGTGCCACTTGTATTGAAATTGACTGACCTGAGAGAGCCCAAACTCTTAACCATTATGCTAGGGTATAAGAGAGAAAAAGAACCATAAAGGAAAAAGAGAATATGGAAGACTATTAAGTAAATTGTCTTTTATACTGATTATATCTAGGATTAGTGCGATTTTTTACTTTTTCCCAAATACATTTATGTATAACATTTTTAAGAACTAGACTCATGTACTACACCTGTAGTCAGTAAAACTATGATGTTCTTATAATTTAGACCAATGTGTTGAGCAGTGGGTACTACAACTACATAAACTTTTCTGCCTGGTTGCTAAAACTGCTTTTTATTTTATAATAAGGAATAGGTCCCTGGGCGCAATGGCTCATGTCTGTAATCCCAGCACTTTGGGAGGCTGAGGCAGATGGACTGCTTAAGCCCAGGAGTTTGAGACCAGCCTGGGCAACATGACAAAACCCCATCTCTACAAAAAACACAAAAATTAGCTGGGTGTGGTGGCACATGCCTGTTCTCCCAGCTATTCATGTCGCTGAGGTGGAAAGATTGCTTGAGCCCCAGAGGTCAAGGCTGCAATGAGCTGTGATTGTGCCACTGTACTACAGCCTGGGCAACGGAGCAAGACCCTGTCTAAAAAAAAAAAAAAAAAGAATATAGAAAGTGTTTACAGGGAGCTTGAGTTAATCAACAGAAATATTTGGAGCTGTTTTAGTGGCATATTTTTTTAAAGTATGTGGAGAATTTGGCTATGAAGAATTCTTCACAGAAAACTTTGTACTGGGCTTTGGAAATCTATTGTACAATCCTAGCTTGCTTTGTGTAATACATCAATTCCTGAAATCATTTAAAATACACTTTGGAATTTAGAAATAGTAGAAACCATTGAGGAGGGGCACTATATGGAAAGGAAGCAATGATGTTTCATACTCTTGGAATATAAATATGTTCTGTATTATTTATTCCCAAAGATAATTATTAAAAATGTGCCATGGGGATTTGTTGAAAGGATTTCAACTTTTCACTTTGTTCACCAGTCACCCTAATTTTTTGTGTGTGTTTATCCATGTAGATGTACTGTGTGTAGCGATTTCCTTTAATTTTATCATGGTTTATATGAGGTAATGAAGGAATACCATCATAGTATTTTGAAGATGTTTTGAAGTTTTGTTTCTCCCATCAGATGGACCTCTGCTTTTTAAACTTCTTATTGAAGTGTAGCATTAATATAAAAATGTATGTCGGTAATAAGCATGCAGTTTATGAATTTTCACAAAGTGAACACACATATGTATCAACATTTGCTTTTAGTTGAAGCTAAATGTTGTTGCTAAGTGTGGATGGTTAAGGTTTGTTCACCTATGTTTTGAAAAGACTATTCTCATTAAAAATAAAACAAAATCAAATCCCAACAAAGCTTAAAGGTTAAAGAAAGCAAAAGAAATAATAAATAAAGCAAAAAATAATTAATAAACAAAAAGGACAAGGCATGGTGGCTCACACCTATAATCCCAGCACTTTGGGAGGCCGAGGCAGGAGAGGATTGCTTGAGCCTAGGAGTTTGCGACCAGCCTGGGCAACATAGAGAGACCTCATCTCTACAAAAAAAAAAAAATTAGCCAGACATGGTGGCATACGCCTATAGTCCCAGCTACTTGGGAGACTGAGGCAGGAGGATTGCATGAGCCCAGGAGTTCACAGATGCAGTGAGCTGTGATCACGCCACTGCACTCCAGCGAGGCGACAGAGCAAGACCCTGTCTCAAAAAAATAAAAACAAAACCATGCCTGTCCATGTGAGATTGTAGTAAGTCAGTTTTTGAGAGTGTTTATTTCTATCCGTATCAAATATTGAAGGGCTTTAATCATCAAAACATTTTATTTATTGCTTACTATATGCCATGCATTATCACAAATGATTTATTTACACATTATTCTTACAACAATTCCAGAAGATACTATTATTCTTATTTTGAATAGATGTAGGAACTAAAGCTTAGAGAGGCTGGATAACTTGCATGAGTTCAAATACCCAGGCCATGGTGGAGTCCTACCTTAAATAAGAACCTGAGTTTTTACTGTTACACCCTGTTCACCATGTGTGTATGTAGTGCATTTGCTGCATGGTAAGGTACTGTCAGATCGTGTTGTAATAGAGTAAGGTGCTGGGTTTTTGTTTTTTAAATCAAATGTAAAAGGAAGTGATTTCAAGAATAATTCAGAAGTCCTCAAAGCAGTGTCTTCATAGGATAAGGCTTTGGGGCCTCAGTCTGATTTGAAGGCTGGGCACAGGGATTTGTCTCAAAGATGTGTTTTCATAGCAAGTGCAGTGTTTAATTTGTGTGCTTATTGGACAGGCTTTGGAGTCAGGGGAGCTGTTGAAGACTGTGGGAGGAGTAAGGCACCAGACCCCTCTTGGTGTTTTCTTGCCTTGATGCAAAGATGTTGCGTGAACTACTCGAAGGTGTGCTCATTTTGCACCTGTCTTTAAAAAGTAGTGTCTGCTTTGGAAAAATGCTAGAGACTAAATTTAACTTGCTTTTTGTTTTGGGAAAATATTTTGTAGGTATTTCATTTTAAGCTATTTTAGAGAGGATTTTGATGGGATGTTTCACAATCACCATATACCAGATTGAGTTCTGCTATTAGAGAAACTTGGTAAACAAGTTATATGAAAGTTCTTGTGCTTTTTGATACCCAAAAACTTGATGAACAAAATTATTAATGAAGTTGGAATAATGATTCATGGTTTCTGAAATATCCACATAGGACCTTGGATTGTGGTATGTGGAACAAGCAAGCCTAGTTAGGGGAGTCACATAATGTCCTGCTTACATTGGTCGCTTTCCTTCTCTTTTTAACTTGATGGTATTGCCACATACGTGATCAACCACAAGTGGAAACTATATCGTGGACAATGTTGAAATTTGGGGAACTGTGACTCTCTTCTGCTAAAACTTGGTTTGAATTTTATTATTGCTCCAAAAATGTTTGCTGAAATTTTGCTTTCAACATATATCCTAAATTTATCTATAATTAATAGAAAGGGGAAATCTCTTTGGAGCTGTTAAGACCTTCAAGAAAGTTATGAAACAATTGAAAATTACTTTATCACTGCAGTAATTTGCTTCTAGATATTGAAGCTTTGGAAACCCTGATCTTTGATAGATTTTAGTTCCAGGAGATCTTCCCTCTCTTGTTCCCATGGTTTGTGGTTTATTTTGGTTCTGTTCAAAAACCAAAGGGGAAAATAATCTGCAAGTGACAAATAGCAAAAGATCTAATAATATAAAAATGTAATTGTTTGAATTACTAATATCCCAGATCTTAGCAAGAATAATTAGAGCTGACTCAACTTAGGGAATGCAGTTTTGAATGTTGTCATTCTTCAGAGCGGTGGTCCTGAAGCCTGGATGCAAATTGGACCCACCTGGGGAGCTTTAATATTAGGCTCTGGTCACACCCCCAGATAGTCTGATTTATTTTATCCCATGTGGGGTCAAATATTGATATTCTTAAATGTTTCCCACTGTACAGCGAAAATTGATAAGCACCAGTAGAATTTAATTAGATTTCATGATGCAAATAAAAGAAAAGATGCTTAATCTAATTATTTAAATGATGAGAGTTTTTAGAAGTGTTTGGAAGGTTTGGAAGGTCATTTTTTAAAGTAGCAGCCAGTCAAATGGAATGTAATGTTTTTGTTAAGGCATCAAAGAAGCATTGAAACCTTCATTTCTTTTTTTTTTTCTTTGAGATGAAATCTTGCTCTATCACCCAGGTTGGAGTGCAGTGGCATAATCTGGGCTCATTGCAGCCTCTGCCTACCAGATTCAAGCTTCTCATGCCTCAGGCTCCTGAGTAGCTAGGATTACAGGTGCACACCACCACACCCAGCTAATTTTTTTATTTTTTAGTAGAGATGAGGTTTCTTCATGTTGGCCAGGCTGGTCTCGAACTCCTGACCTCAGGTGATCCACCCGCTTCGGCCTCCCAAAGTGCTGGGGTTACAGGTGTGAGCCACTGCACCCGGCCAACACCTTCATTTCTTAAAAGTAGGTAACATCTTATTGCTTACTATTAGGAGTGTGGCTATTTTATGAATATCTGCTATCTTCCTGAAGCCCATCTTTTAAATAAATCTTGGGAAAGGGTCTGTTTGAAATGGTGTGGAAAAAATTGAGGTGGGTAAGATTTGATGATCTTCAGCAAAGAAACCTGAAGAGTAATATCCAATCTCAATTTAGAAACAATGAAAAGACTAGTTTATACAAGTTATTTCGGGCAGAGGGAACAAATTGTTAAATGACAGACTTAAAACCAAATTAAATTAAGTCCTATTATTGGTTGAATTGTGCCTGCGTGCACACCCACACACCAATTCATATATTGAAGTTCTAACCTCTAGTACCTCAGAGTGTAACCTTATTTGGTTGTTGGAAATAGGGTCATGGCAGATGTAATTAGTAAAGAAGTTACACTACAGGAGAGGGGAGCCCTTACTCCACTACCTGGTGTCCTTATAAAAAGGGGAAATTTGGGCTGGGTGCGGTGGCTCACACCTGTAATCCCAACACTATGGGAGGCCGAGTTGGGTGGATCGCTTGAGCTCAGGAGTTCGAGACCAGCCTGGGGAACATGGAGAAACCCCATCTGTGCAAAAGATCCAAAAATTAGCCAGGCGTAATGGTGCATGCCTGTAGTCGCAGCTACTTGAGAGGCTGAGGTGAGAGGATCGCTTGAGCCCGGGAGGCAGAGGTTATGGTGAGCTGAGATTGCACCACTGCACTCCAGCCTAGGTGACAGAGGGAGAGCTGAGATCACGCCACTGCACTCCATCCTGTCTCAATTAAAAAAAGTCGGGGGGTGAGTGGAGTTGGATTTGGACACAGAGCCCATGTAAACATGAAGACCAGCCATCTATAAGTCAAAGAGAGAGACCTGGAACAGTTCCTTCCCCCACAGTCTGCAAAAGGAGCCAGCCCTGCCAACACCTTGATTTCAGACTTTTAGCCTCCAGAACTGTGAGAAAATAAATTTCTGCTGAGGGACCCAGTTTGTAGTACTTTGTTGCAGCAGCCGTAGCAAACTAATATAAGTCCCAATATTTTATTTGTTTTGAAAATCTAAACCTAGGAAAATTCAGCATTTGAAATTTTACTATTTCTTTAAAAGGTAGGGAAGCAGTTCTCTAGAAGGAATTGTAGAATGTGTGGTTCTAGAGTTCTTAGGTTCTTGATGACTCATACTTTAGCCAGTTACTGGTCAATCCAGTTTACAAAGCAGTTCATCATGAGCCCAGATCAGCAGCTGGAGTTTCAGGAGTGTGCATTTTTTTTCTATTTATGGTAGTAGAGTGGGAAGAATCTTTCTAGTCACCTGAGAGGTGTTTCCTAAATGTATTTTGTATATACAGATTCAAGCCTCTTACCTGACTTATTCATAGTCTTTCTTTTTTTTTTTCTTTTTGAGACGGAGTCTTGCTCCGTCACCCAAGTTGGAGTGCAGTGGTGCGATCTTGGCTCACTGCAACCTCTGCCTCCTGGGTTAAGTGATTCTCCTGCCTCATCCTCCTGAGTAGCTGGGACTATAGGCTCATGCCACCATGCCCAGCTAATTTTTGTATTTTTAGTAGAGGCAGGGTTTTACCATGTTGGCCAGGATGTTCTCAATCTCTTGACCTCGTGATCCGCCCGCCTCGGCCTCCCAAAGTGCTGGGATTACAGGCGTGAGCCACTGCGCCCAGCACCTAACTATTCATATTCTTATGAAAATCTGAAGTTGGTCTCTTTCTTATATATGGATTAATAGCATCCTGGGGAAACGAGAGATGAACAACTTTGAATATACATCCCATGTCAGTGGACTAGAAAAGAATGGACCATGCCTTTCATGATAAAAGCAAGTACCTCAGAAGGAGAAGGCTGTAGGACTAAATTAGGAGTGATCCTGGGAAGTGCCCTGCTGACCAAGAAGAACTGGCTATTCCCATGAGAAATTTTGTTATAGACTCTGATTGGTGAAGCCTTGGAAATAATAGTGAAACTCATACCTCCACCTCAAACACAGCTCCTTAATTATTCTGGTTTTCTAAACAGAGCCAAGTAAGTATGCCAGCAGAACAAATCTACTATGTTTAAAGCTGACTACAATAGTGTATAAGTAAAGGACATGGACCCTGGAGTCAGTTCAAGTTAGGTTTATGACTTGGAGTAGATTATTTCCCTTGCCTCTGTTTTCTCATGTGTAAAATGGATAGTCCAGTGTGTCTCCATCATAGCATTTTGTGATGATTAAATAGAGTGATAATTCACGTAAAGCAATGTGCAAAATGTCTCGTGCATATTAAATGTTGGTTAATAGCAATGGCAGCAGCTATGTGGCCACAGTGCATGCTACTCTCCCATTTTAGTGTGTAAGAGTGAATAATCTCTTCTCGTGAAATGTTATAAGCTCAGACAGTAGAATCCATGAATTCAAAATATTAACAAAGCAAAACCTGGAAGGGCCTGTAGGATCAACTGGTGCTCTTCATTCATTTAAAGGTTCAGAAAATAAGGTCATGAAATCAGGGTTGGAGAAGGCCCTAGGTCTCCTGGTTCCCAGTTTTTCTTTTCTGCTACATGTGGCTGCCTTCTAAATCACAGAACCATGTGTCTCTTTTCATTCTTCTTCTTCTTTTTTTTTTTTTTTTTGAGACAGTCTTCTTCACTCAGGCCAGAGTGCAGTGGTGCGACCTTGGTTCACTGCAACCTCCGCCTCCCAGGTTCAAGCCATTCCCCTGCCTCACCCTCCTAAGTAGCTGGGATTGCAGGTGCCCGTCACCATGACTGGCTCATTTTTTGTATTTTTTTAGTAAAGACAAGGTTTCACCGTGTTGGCCAGGCTGATCTCGAACTCCTGACCTCAAGTGATCCACCCACCTTGCCCTCCCAAAGTGCTGGGATTGCAGACATGAGCCACCACTCCTGGCCACTCTCTTTTTTTAATCCCAAAGACTTCAAAACTACTTTTCATTCTTAATAAACCTTTTGCTTCAAAGGAAACGTTTTTTTCTCTTGACGTTTGTGTGTTTGAAATTTTCCTTATTAAATAGTTTAAAAATTATTAAATTTAAACTGAATTTAATTATGATTGTTTAAAGCAATTTGGAGTATGCCTGACTGTACATTTACTGTCTGTACAGTAACAGAACAAAGAAATTGGTAGCAGTGATTGCCTCTGGGAAGGGCACTGTGGTAGAAGTGACATTGATTATAAAGGAGAATTCTGGAGAATAGAGTAACTACTGGTTAGTAGAACAGGACAAGGAATAAAGTAGTAACAAGTATCTGTGGTTAACCAAAACTCAAGAACTGTATAGACTCAAAAATTTGGAAGTATCCCTTGTTATGTACACATTAGCACTCTCTACCCAAGCTACAGGAGCCAAATAGATTTGGTTAGGGAGGAATACTTTGGTTTCATTTGGGTGAGAACTGCTCCTGTGAATTGCATTTTACACGCCTGTCTCTGACTTATCAGTGGATGAAGTGATGAGCTCTGTTCCTACCTTGTACATGGGTTTTTGCAGCATAAAAGTGCTTAATTCTGGACTAAGCCTTGTTAGAAGACCAGGAGCTTAATTGAGCTTTTAGAAGAGAAGAAAAGGAAAAGTGTTTTAACAAGTCCATGTTTATGCTAGGTGGGATTGCATGTCTACAATTTACCTGTCAAAAAAGGGAAAGGGAAGGCTAGCTACACTTTTCTTTAAGGTGTGTGAAGTGTATTTATGTGAGTTACGGTATAATTTTTTTCTTTCTTTTTTTTTCAGTGACAGGGTTTTGCTGTGTTGCCCAGGCTGAAGTACAGTAGGTATTCACAGATGGGATTGTAGCACAGGACAGCCTTGAACTCCTGGGCTCAAGCCATCCTCCTGTTTCAGCCTTCCAGGTAGCTGGGACTACAGGCACATACCACCAGGCCTGGCTTCTATAGTATAATTTTTGAGCCTCCTAGTTTCTGTTTTAAAATTTGTTTTACTATTTGAAGAGCCAGTTACTTTTCTAGCTAGCTTCCTCTTTTCTAAAACAGGAAGAAAGATTTTGAAATAAAACGATCCAAATGTGTTTTAGGATTATTAACCATAAATTTCAGAACATAGCATTCTCGAAGGCAAGGATATTATCTGTTTAGCACCTACAATGTGTATTTAATTTAGGTAATTAAATTATTATGACAGAAGTAATGTCTAACCTCAGTGTGTAGTTTTGTAAACATTAATTTTAAAAGATTGAGGCTGCTTAGTTGCAATGAAACCATAAATAATATTTTGAATATAGCAGACTTACTTAAGGAAAATAGCAAGGTGCCTGGCATTATTATCTATGAGCAGGAACTTTTTCTTACATTTAAGAAGATGGCTTGAACCTGGGAGGCGGAGGTTGCAGTGAGTCAAGATCGCCACACTGCACTCTAGCTTGGGCGGCAAAGCAAGACTCCATCTCAAAGAAAAAGAGAAGATTCTTTATAGAGAAGTGTTTAGTTAAGAAACATAAAATTTACATAGTTTTGAGTTAACTTCCCACAAGATACATATTAGTAACTTGATAATAGAGAAACCTGGTAGATACTACCTTAACTAAGTGATCAAAATTAATCTAGGCATGGAGGCATGCACTTGTAGTCCCAGCTATTTGGGAGGCAGATGCGGGAGGATCACTTGAACCCAGGAGTTCGAGTCCAGCCTGGGCAACAGAGCAAGACCCTGTCTCAATAGTATGAACATAAATATATATTAAAAATTAATATCCCCAGCAATGGGGGGACAAATAGGTATTTTGGACCCCCTGACATGATATATTTGAAAGAACATAACATTATTTCTTTGGTATTCCTACCAAAAATGCAAACTGAATCTAATCATAAGGAAATATACAAACCCAAATTGGTAGACATTCTACAAAACAGATGACCTGTACTCTTCAAAAGTGTCAAGATTGTGAAAGACAAAGAGCAAAGAACTTCTCAGATTAAAGGAAAAGAAATTGTTCCAGGTTAAAGGAGTTATTAAGAAACATGATATTTACTAAAGGAAACCTATAACCAAAAAAGATTTTTTTTTAACTTTTTAAAAGGACATTAGTGGGACAATTAGAAATTTGGATAATGTCTAAAGATTAGATAATAGTATTGTATTAATGTTATTTTCCTAGTTTTGATAATTATGCTGTCTTTATATTAGATAGTATTTTTATATTTAGGAAATTAACACAAAGTAGGATTAAGAAGCAATATGTCTAACACTTTCAAACACATCAGAAAACAATATAGGTAGAGAATGATAAATAGATGTGGTTAAATGTTAGAACTGAGGGAATATGGGTGAAGGTTGTATGGGAATTATTTGTGCTGTTTTTGCAACTTTTATAAGTCTGCGATTATCTCAAAATGATAAAGGAAGTAGTATCTTAATGAGGTTTGCCGCTAATTAACTGAGTTTTTAGTAGGTTGTTAAAAACCCTCTCTGGGTCAGTTTCCTCATCTATAAAATGAGGTAGCTGACTTACATTAAATTGTATGGGTCCTTTCCATTCTAAAATTCTGTGATATTATAACTAGACATTAGGAGTAATAGTTTATACTCTTAATATAGCCATACTTGAAAAGAACAATAATAGAAAATGAGGGTTAATTTTCCCACTTAAGTCAAAAGCTGTTGTTAAAACACAGCCTTTGTGCCAAGCGACAGTGTAATATTAAGCTCACAGATTTTTTTGTTTTGCCAAAAAACTTTTATTGAGATTTGATTTAATTAACATTTTATTTGTATGTCACTTCTTGGTTCATGCTTATGCATTAATGGCATCTTATTATTATTATTTATTTTATTTATTTTTTGAGAAGGAGCCTCACTCTGTCACCCAGGCTGGAGTGCAGTGGTGCGATCTCGGCTCACTGCAACCTCCGCCTCCCAGGTTCAAGTGATTCTCCTGCCTCAGCCTCCCTAGTAGCTGAGACTACAGGTGCATGCCACCGTGCCCAGCTAATTTTTGTATTTTTAGTAGAGATGGGGTTTCACCATGTTAGCCAGGATGGTCTTGATTTCCTGACCCTCGTGATCTGCCTGCCTCGGCCTCCCAGAGTGCTGGGATTACAGGTGTGAGTCACCGCGCCCAGCCTTCATTTTTAAATTTTAATGCCATTATTTGGTTGTAATAGATACAAATTACCTAATGCCTAGAAAGATTATAGAGATACAGCCTGATGATCTAAAAATTAAATTGATGGCTAGTATAAAATAGTTTTGAGCATTATTTAACAAAAGCAAAACTGTGTTAATCCTTTGTTTTCATTTTCCTCTCCCTAACCCTTCCCAGCTTGGTGATCCAGCTATTTTTCCTGCCGTAATTGTGGAACATGTTCCTGGTGCTGATATTCTCAATAGTTATGCCGGTCTAGCCTGTGTGGAAGAGCCCAATGACATGATTACTGAGAGTTCACTGGATGTTGCTGAAGAAGAAATCATAGACGATGATGATGATGACATCACCCTTACAGGTGCGTGTGTCTCCATCCAGTAGGACCTTGCTGCAGCACAGCTTTAGGCAGTGTCCTAATCCTGAGGATGTGGGGGCATAAAACGCCCCTAACTTGGTTTTAAACTGTATTACCTTCAGAAACTACAGCCCTACATGGAGAAGAAAATTACATTTTCTGTTTCATCTGCTGGATTTAGTACTGTTTTGTCATCTCCCATTTCTCCTTTCCTAAATATATTGAGATGAATGTGACAAAATAAGAGGCATTTAAAAGGAACCAAACCTCAATTCATCAAGTCTTCACTGAGCAGTTTTTTTTTTTTTTAAGAGATGGAGTCTTACTGTATTGCCCAGCCTAGACTTGGACTCCTGGGCTCAAGTGATCCTCCTGCCTTAGCCTCCTGAGTAACTGGGACAACAGTCATGCACCACCCCACCCAGCTCACTGAGTACTTTCTTATATGCCTTCCTCCGTATTCCTGTGAACAAAATGAGTTGTTTTGTAGGGAAAGAGAGAGGAATGTTCTTTTCTTACCACTGCCACAGGAAGCAAAATGGTGGGCCATGACCCAAATGTACGATAAGGTCCTGGGATTTATAGATTTCTTTTCTGGTTCAGTCAGAACTAGTAAGATATTTTAAACTTGAAGATTAGGCTACATAAATGTGAGATTGTAGTAATAATACTTTCATCACTTAGAAATTGGTACATGCTTTCTCTTTTTGTTCATTTACAGTCATATATCTTGGCCAGGGATGTTGTGGATATTTGAGAAAACTGTTTGGAAGCAAATATTTGCATCTTTATTCGTAAAAGAAAGTTTATCAGAAATAGGCAAGATGAGGTATATCTGTAGATTTCATAGTGGCAAGTACTGGGGCTGCCTTGTTCTCAGCTTTACCTTAGCATGTAGCACAATGCCTTAGAACTGAATAGTAAGTCTAAAGGCGGGTTCTGATCTATTTAGGAAGTTAACATATGATACAGTAATGTTTTAAATCGGGGAAAGGTAGAATGACTGTATCCATCTGGTGGGGGAGAGGCCCCACTGTTAACATTGGTTGTCAATACCTCATCTTTGTGTTGTCCTCTGTTTTAGTCACTTCTCACATTGCTATAAAGAACTACCTGAGACTGGGTAATACTTATAAAGAAAAGAAGTTTAATTGGCTCATGGTTCTGCAGGCTGTACAGGAAGCATGGCTGGGGAGACCTCAGGAAACTTACAATCATGGTGGAAGGCGAAGGGGAAGCAGGCACATCCTACATGGCTGGAGCAGGAGGAACAGAAGGCAGGGTGGTAGGGGGTGCTACACACTTTCTTTTTTTTCTTTTTTTTTTTTTTAAATGCACAAATTTATTTTTTCTCAACAAACACACATCTTAATGCCTTTACAACTTTTATCTCCCCAAATATATCTTGCTTTTCTTTATACATGCTGTATACAGAGTTGTTTTCCTTATATTTAGTAGTTATTGCTTTTTTGTGCCCTTTTGGGTCCTGAATTTACACATCAGGCATAGATCTTGGGACAGGAAAGAGCTGTGAAGCAAATTCCTGGAAGATCAAACCCCTTCCAGCATGGCCAGGTAGCACAGCTGAGCCAGGGATGATGGGGCCATATTGGGTTTGGCTCTGCCTTGCAGCTGGCAGTCCAAACACTGAGGACATGCATATTTCTGCAGGCCTCACTATGGTCATCTGTCCAAACCCCAGAATCCAGAGACTCAAAACGAAATACAGTCATACAGTAAGATATGTGCAAGGTTTCAGGGAGCCCAGCAGCCAGACCTTACACAAATCAAGCAAGTTTAAGAAATATTCCAGAAGTAGCAGTTTTATGACCTTAAAACATGTAATAGGCTGGGCACAGTGGCCCATGCCTGTAATCCCAGCACTTTGGGAGGCCAAGGTGGGCAGATCACTTGAGGTCAGGAGTTCGAGACCAGCCTGGCCAACATGGTGAAATCCTGTTTCTACTACAAATACAAAAATTAGCCAAGTATGGTGGCATACACGTGTAGTTTAGCTATTCGGAAGGCTGAGGCAGGAGAATCACTTGAACCTGGGAGACGGAAGTTGTGGTGAGCTGAGATCTCACCACTGCACTCCAGCCTGGGCAATGAGAGCAAAACTCCAGCTCAAAAACAAAAAACAAATTAAAAAAAAAAAAGTAATAGAGACGATGTAAACCTGTCAGTAGACCCAGGCAAAAACAATTATATTTAACTGACAATCCTGAAGCCTTTCCAACTTTCTTTTTTTTTTTTTTTTTTTTTTTGATCATTCTTGGGTGTTTCTCGCAGAGGGGGATTTGGCAGGGTCACAGGACAATAGTGGAGGGAAGGTCAGCAGATAAGTGCAGATAAGTGAACAAAGGTCTTTGGTTTTCCTAGGCAGAGGACCCTGCGGCCTTCCACAGTGTTTGTGTCCCTGGGTACTTGAGATTAGGGAGTGGTGATGACTCTTAACGAGCATGCTGCCTTCAAATATCTGTTTAACAAAGCCATCTTGCACCACCCTTAATCCATTCAACCCTGAGTGGACACAGCACATGTTTCAGAGAGCACAGGGTTGGGGGTAAGGTCACAGATCAACAGGATCCCAAGGCAGAAGAATTTTTCTTAGTACAGAACAAAATGAAAAGTCTCCCACGTCTACCTCTTTCTACACAGACACGGCAACCATCCGATTTCTCAGTCTTTTCCCCACCTTTCCCCCCTTTCTATTCCACAAAACCGCCATTGTCATCATGGCCCGTTCTCAATGAGCTGTTGAGTACACCTCCCAGACGGGGTGGTGGCCGGGCAGAGGGGCTCCTCACTTCCCAGTAGGGGCGGCCAGGCAGAGGCGCCCCTCACCTCCTGGACGGGGCGGCTGGCCGGGCGGGGGGCTGACCCCCCCGCCTCCCTCCCGGACGGGGCGGCTGGCCGGGCGGGGGGCTGACCTCCCCGCCTCCCTCCTGGATGGGGTGGCTGGCCGGGCGGAGGGGCTCCTCTCTTCCCAGTAGGGGTGGCCGGGCAGAGGCGCCCCTCACCTCCCGGACGGGGCGGCTGGCCGGGCGGGGGGCTGACCCCCCCGCCTCCCTCCCGGACGGGGCGGCTGGCCGGGCGGGGGGCTGACCTCCCCGCCTCCCTCCCGGATGGGGCGGCTGGCCAGGCCGGGGGCTGACTCCCCCACCTCCCTCCCGGACGGGGCGGCTGGCCGGGCAGAGGGGCTCCTCTCTTCCCAGTAGGGGCGGCCAGGCAGAGGTGCCCCTCACCTCCCGGACGGGGCGGCTGGCCGGGTGGGGGGCTGACCCCCCCACCTACTTCCCGGACGGGGCGGCTGGCCGGGCAGAGGGACTCCTCACTTCCCAGTAGGGGCGGCCGGGCAGAGGCGCCCCTCACCTCCCGGACGGGGCGGCTGGCCGGGCGGGGGGCTGACCCCCCCACCTCCTTCCCGGATGGGCAGCTGGCCGGGCAGGGGGATGACCCCCCCATCTCCCTCCCGGATGGGGCGGCTGGCCGGGTGGGGGGCTAACCCCCCCACCTCCCTTCCGGACGGGGCGGCTGGCCGGGCGGGGGGCTGACCCCCACCTCCCTCCCAGACGGGGTGGCTGCCAGGCGGAGATGCTCCTCACTTCCCAGACGGAGTGGCTGCCGGGCGGAGGGGCTCCTCACTTCTCAGAGGGTGTGGCTGCCGGGCGGAGGGGCTCCTCACTTCTCAGACGCGGCGGTTGCCAGGCAGAGGGTCTCCTCACTTCTCAGACGGGGCAGCCGGGCAGAGACGCTCCTCACATCCCAGACAGGGCGGCAGGGCAGAGGCGCTCCCCACATCTCAGACGATGGGCAGCCTGGCAGAGACGCTCCTCACTTCCTAGATGGGATGGCGGCCGGGCAGAGACGCTCCTCACTTTCCAGACTGGGCAGCCAGGCAGAGAGGCTCCTCACATCCCAGACGATGGGCCGCCAGGCAGAGACGCTCCTCACTTCCCAGACGGGGTGGCGGCCGGGCAGAGGCTGCAATCTCGGCACTTTGCGGGGCCAAGGCAGGCAGCTGGGAAGTGGAGGTTGTAGCGAGCCGAGATCACGCCACTGCACTCCAGCCTGGGCACCATTGAGCACTGAGTGAACGCGACTCCGTCTGCCATCCCGGCACCTCGGGAGGCCGAGGCTGGCGGATCACTCGCGGTTAGGAGCTGGAGACCAGCCCGGCCAACACAGCAAAACCCCGCCTCCACCAAAAAAATACGAAAACCAGTCAGGCGTGGCGGCGCGCGCCTGCAATCGCAGGCACTCGGCAGGCTGAGGCAGGAGAATCAGGCAGGGAGGTTGCAGTGAGCCGAGATGGCAGCAGTACAGTCCAGCTTTGGCTCGGCATCAGGGGGAGACCGTGGAAAGAGAGGGAGAGGGAGACCGTGGGGAGAGGGAGACCGTGGGGAGAGGGAGAGCTACACACTTTCAAACCACTAGATCTCATGAGAACTCATTCACTGTCACAAGAACAGTAAGGGGAAAATCCATCTCCACGATCCGGTCACCTCCCACCAGGCCCCTCCTCCAACATTGGGGTTTACAATTCAACATGAGATTTGGAGCGGGGACAAATCCAAGCCATATCACTCCCTTTTTTTTAACAAAGCATTTTTTGCATGTATTCACATTTTTTGTTCAGAGCAAACCAATAAAAGTTTTTTGTTGAATCTAGAGTTACTTTTCCCTTACCAGTGAGGGAATTGGACTAATCAGGTTAGAAGTTTCTATTCATTGCTGTCTGATCTGTATGTGTAACAGAATAAACACCACTATGCATGTATCTGGGCTTGTAGTTAGTGGGGGTTTAGCAGTGTATCCTGATATAACTTTTAAAGCCTTAGGGTAAGGCTACAGTCTTTGTAAGTTGAGGACCAATGTCTTTCCGGAAGGAGTGTTTCTTCCTAGTTCTAGTCATCAGGGAAGGCATTAGTTCTCAGAGAGGAAACCAGATTCTCTGTTTGTGTTTTTTCTTCCCTTTGCCTTACCTCCCAACTTACCAAAGCTTTGTTTAACTCTTCCATCCTTTTCTGAGCAATGTCATGAAAAAGGGAAGAACCTTGTAATCTTCGTTATTCCACAGTGGGGGTGACGGGGAGCCTTTGAGAAGCTCTAGGGGAAGAAAGAGATAAGGATAGGACATTTTTGTTCTTACACGTGTTAGGTGGCGCTTCAGATGATGTGTTAGTTTGCTAGGACTGCCATAAGAAAGTACCACAGACTGAGTGGCTCAAATGAGAAATTTATTTTCTCACAGTTCTGGAAGCTAGAAGTCTGAGATCAAGATATTGGTAGAGTTAATTCCTTCTGAGGCTTCTTTCTGGACTTATAGGTGACTTGTCTTCCAGTGTCTTCACATGGTCTTATGTTTTGTACCTGCCAGTGTTCATATTTCATCTTAGAGGGACACTAACCATATTGGATTAGGGCCTACACTAATAACCTCATTTTAACTCAGTTATCTCTTTAAAGACATTCTGAGGTACTGGGGGTTAGCATGTCAACATAGAATTTTGGGGGATACCATTCAGCCTATAATAGATGATATTAAAGAATTACTGTAGGCCGGGCACGGTGGCTGACACTTGTAATCCCAGCACTTTGGGAGGCCGAGGCGGGCAGATCACCTGAGGTCGGGAGTTCAAGACCAGCCTGACCAACATGGAGAAATCCCGTCTCTACTGAAAATACAGAATTAGCTGGGCATGGTGGCACATGCCTGTATTCCCAGCTACTCAAGAGGCTGAGGCAGGAGAATCGCTTGAATCTGGGAGGCAGAGGTTGCGGTGAGCCAAGATCACACCATTGCACTCCAGCCTGGGCAACAAGATTGAAACTTTGTCTCAAAAAAAAAAAAAAAGATTTATTGTTAGTATATTTAAGATATGATAGTAGTATTGTGTTAGACATCTTTTAGATACACATGCTAAAGTATTTAGAGATAAAATATGGTATTTTAGATTCCTTCAAAATAATCCTGTACAGAGGGTAAGGACTTGAGGGCAGTGAGTGGGGTATGGATGAAAGAAGATTGGCCATTTGGTGATAATAGTTGAAGCTAGGAATGGGCACATGGGGATTCATTATATATACTATACTCCACAATTTTTATTTTGTTTAAAATTTTCATAATAAAAATATTTGAACAGATGCAGCGGCTCACACCTGTAATCCCAGAACTTTGGGAGGCCAAGGAGGGAGGATCACCTGAGCCCAGGAATTCAAGGCCTGGCTTGAGGAATTCAGGCCTGGCTTGAGGAATTCAAGTGAGCAACATAGCGGGACCCTGTCTCTAAAAAAATTTTAAAAATTAGCTGGGCATGGTGGCCTGAGACTGTAGTCCTGTCTACTCGGGAGGCTGAGGTGGTAGGATTGCTTGAGCCTAGGAGTTTATGGTTGCAGTGAGCTATAATTGAGCCACTGCACTCTAGCCTGGGAGACAGGGTAAGACCTTGTCTCAAAAAAAAAAAGCAAAACCAAAAAGATTTAATGATTTTATGAAATTTGAGGCTTAGATTATATTTTGAGCTGTCATCAAAATACATAAATTTTTTTTTAGTCTTGCCAAAAAAAATTAAAGTTGAATTTCATCAAGCCTCCAGATATGACTACTCAGTTAGAGGGGGTATAGAAAAACATGTTAAGCTACACAATAGGAATATAGTTGGCAAAATCCAAACTATGGGAAATTCTACATGAATAAACAGCCTGAGTTCTTCAACAAATAAATTGCAAAGTAAAAAAAGCTAGACAGATGAATGGCAACTCAGAAATGTAAAGAAAGTTAAGAAATGTATCAGTCAATTGCAATATGCAGACTTAATTTGATTTAAGCAAAAAACTGTCTTGTCTTTCCTTGCACTGCCACCATTTATGATTTTTTAACACAATTGAACATTTGAATGCTGGTTGGCTATTTAATATTAAGGAAATATTGATTTTTTAATGTAATAGTTTCTGTTTTTTTTTTTTAAGACAGAGTCTCACTCTGTCACCCAGACTGGAGTGCAGTGGTTTAGTCTCAGCTCATTGAAACCTCCACCTTCTGGGTTCAAACGATTCTCCTATCTCACTCTCCTGAGTAGCTGGGACTACAGGTGCGTGCCACCACGCCCAGCTAATTTTTTGTATTTTTAGTAGAAACAGGGTTTCTCCATGTTGGCCAGTCTCAGACTCCTGACCTCAAGCAATCTGCTTGCCTCGGCTTCCCAAAGTGCGGGATTACAGGAATGAGCCACTGCGCCAGCCAGGTTTGGTATGATTTTGTGTGTTTATAGTTTATATATATATATAAACTAAAATATTAAATGATGTATTCTGGTTCTAGAGATAAGCGGTGTATGACTTTCAGAGTAACAGATGTCTCGTAGTTAATTTAATTTTCTCTTTAAATGTGTTGCAGTTGAAGCTTCTTGTCATGACGGGGATGAAACAATTGAAACTATTGAGGCTGCTGAGGCACTCCTCAATATGGATTCCCCTGGCCCTATGCTGGATGAAAAACGAATAAGTGAGTGATTATGATTGTTTATGTTTATGTACTTTGTTAAGTTACTCTTGCCATCTTTCTTTATTAGTAAAATCAAGAGATTAGAAATGATGTTATATATTTTTTGTTACAATCACATTTTAAGGTATAGTAGGAATTGAGGTGCCTTTGCAAAAACGTAGAGTTAAAGATGACATTTTAATTTGAGAATGAAGCCTTTGGGAACAAAAAAATGTAATTTATTACTTACCAAATAGAAGATCATGCAGAATTTCTTCTCTTAACATATTGATGAGAGTATTAGGGTATCAAGGGCCCAAATGATTATAATTTAGTCATCTCTGTAGTTATCAGCAAATAGGCAACAATCTATTGAAAATTTTACTGACACATCATGGCATAAAATTCACTGCCACATTATTGATCTGCTTTAAAATTCCTGTTCTCCTTTGGGCTTTTCTGACAAGCAATCAAATTCATAAAGTAAATTATTGCTAAATCAGTCTAAAATGTTTATTCAATATTTGCTATATTCACAGCAGCAATAATTAGGCAATAACATGAGATACAAATGAGCAGATACTGTTCCTTTCCTCAAGCTTACAGTTTAATTTTGAAGACAGTTACTTATGTAAATAACTACAAAGCCAAGAATAAAGGCCACAAGAGTGATAGCGAATTGCTCTAGTAGCAGTGGGTATTCTAGCTGAGAATATCAGAGACTGGCTTCATTGAAGGAGTATTCTGACCTGGGCTGTAAATGACAAGCTTTTAATAGGTAGAAGAGACATGAAAGGTCATTCAAGCTGGAGGGAATGGAGTTAAAGATACAAGACACAGATCTGTTAAAAAAAAAATGAATGAAATCTTTGAGATCAAGATGTTTTGGTGTGGTTGAAGTGTAAGCTTCATGGTGGGTGGGAAATGAGATTGGAAAGGTAGGTTTGGAACTAGATTACAGAAGCTTTGTAAGGCATGCTATAGAGATGGGTTGTGATTATTTTTTTGTTTGTTTTTTGTTTTTCCTATGAACTATGGAAAGGTATGTCAGTTTTGTTTTTTATTCCCCTAATTTTATGGTCAGGTCAGACTTAGGTTTCAGAAAATAACTCTCACAGCAATGTGAATAATCAAGAGGAGAGATGAGACAGACTGGTGATAGGAAGTCAAGTAAGAAAGACATTGAAATAGCTCGCCGTGCCTGGACTGGTTTAGGGTATTTGATTTTGGGAAGGGGAACTTAAACGCAGGAATAGATTTCAAGATTTTATTTCTACTTTAATCTTCTAGTCATAATAGAAACAAGAAATTTTCTCAATCGTTTTTTAACTTATAATACACAGTGGACTATAATTAGTTGATTTTATTTTCATTAGATAATAATATATTTAGTTCACCTGAAGATGACATGGTTGTTGCCCCAGTCACCCATGTGTCCGTCACATTAGATGGGATTCCTGAAGTGATGGAAACACAGCAGGTGCAAGAAAAATATGCAGACTCACCGGGAGCCTCATCACCAGAACAGCCTAAGAGGAAAAAAGGTAGGTGGGTTACTTTGTTTAGGGCGCATAGTCAAGTCTTGGTGTGAAATCTAGATATCACTTTTATTCTACATAGTTCTTTCCTGCTGCAGTTAAAACTTATGTAAGAAAAACATTGAAGGCACAAAATGGAAATTATGAGTTATTTCTTGGCCAGGCACGGAGATTCATGCCTGTAATCCCAGCACTTTAGGAGGCCGAGGCAGGAAGATTGTTTGAGGCCAGGAGTTTGAGACCAGCCTGGGCAACAAAGCAAGACCTCATCTCTACAAAAAATTTTAAGAATTAGCTGGGCACGGTAGGCACCTGTAGTCCTAGATACTTGGGAGGCCAAGGTGGAGGATCCCTTGAGCTCAGGAGTTACAGGTTTCAGCGAGCTAAGGTCATGCCACTGCACTCCAGCCTGGGCAACAGACTGAGACCCTATCTCTAAGAAATAAAATAAAATAAAAATAAATAAATAAGAAAAAGAGGTATTTCTTCATAGTAGAATCATTTCTTTTAAAAAATTAAAGTATTGGGCCAGGTGCGGTGGCTCATGCCTTTAATCCCAGCACTTTGGGAGGTGGGGGTGGGTGGATAACCTGAGGTCAGGGGTTTGAGACCAGCCTGGCCAATAAGGTGAAACCCCGTCTCTACTAAAAATATGAAAATTAGCCGGGCATGTTGACAGGTGCCTGTAATCCCAGCTACTTGGGAAGCTGAGGCAGGAGAATCACTTGAACCCAGGAAGTGGAGGTTACAGTGAGCTGAGACCACAACATTGAACTCTAGCCTGGGCAACAAGAGTGAAACTCCATCTCAAAAAAATAATGATAATAATTAAATTATTTTATACTTTTAAAAAGTTTGGTCTATCTTACAGAAAAGGGATTTTCCAACTTTTTAAAGCCTCAAATTTTTATCTAAACCCTTTTGTCCTTGGGTAAGGTCTAGTCAGCTTCCTTCCCAGGGGTTATTGTTTGAAAGCCTCCAGTCTGTACCGGTGATTCCAGTATAAGACTCCAGTTGGAAAAATACAATGGGTTGGAAATCAGCAGGTAAGTAACTGAAGAGGAGTATTTTAGGATGTGTTGAGTGGGAATTTTTAACTTTTTGCCAATTAGGACCACACTTGCATTCTAAAGTCTGACACCTTTTCCATTTTATTGCCTTCTGATTCTACTCATGCTTGCTTAGTATTTTGAGTATAATGTCTTGATTAATAGCATCACCACCCACCCAGTAACCTAAGTTCATGTGAAAGTCAGGGAAATTCCAAGAGCTGAAAATGAAGAGGAAAATAAAAATAGTAAACATGAGCCGACACTGCAGCAGCTCAGAAGGGCTGAGAAGGATATGCCGAGGGGCTCTGGTTTTATTGTCCGTGTTGAGGCAGAAGCTTAGGTCTTGGGCTACGCAAGATGGGGTATCGGACAGAGACCTCAGCATGTAACTGGGACCCTTGAAGGGATATACCCTCTTGGGGGAAAGAAATCCACCCATTGGCACAGACAGATGTCAAGGAAGCTTGGGTCCCATTCAGCCAGGCCTCTGAGTGGAGAAATTCTGGTTTAATTTCTTTTGGGTAAATACTTAGTAGTGGAATGGCTGGATCACATGTTAAGTGTACATTAAATATTTTTCAGAAACACAAACTGCTTTCCAAAAAATTTTTTCTCCATGTATTAAGGTGGGGCAGTCATAGGACTTGCCTCATTTATTTCCTGTCTCTCAGGGATCACTGGCTTTTGTTGACCGATGTCCAATTTCTTCAGTACCATTGTTTCATACCTTTTTTTCTGTGTTTTTAATTGTTTCAGGTGGGAAGATAAATCCATGTTCTGTTATTCCATCTTGACTAGAAGAGGAAGTTCCCACCTAGTCTTTTTTAATAGCCTTATTCTTCGACCATGTTTTTGTTCTTTTGCTTTAAAACCTCTAATCATACTATGTAAAGTTTCTATTTAATAATTCTGTTATGTGTGATTCTTAGAGAACTAATCCTAGGGTTTCCTAGTCTACTGCTTCTCACTCAGAAAGTGTCTTCCTCATGTATTCTGTGATACCAAAATGTGAGTTCAGCTTCAACGGGGCTTTATCTGAGGAAATCTTGTATGGCCTAGGTTGAATGTATAACCCACCTGAGCAATTCTATAAGAGCTTCTGCCTGGTGCCCCATAGTTATTACAGTCCTGGGGCTACATCTGTGTTAATTACTTGGCTGGCAATTCCTAATGTTAGTGGTAGTTTAAAATCTAGTTGTAAACCCAGGTTAAGACAGGCCCAGGATTAACTATGTTTATAGAAAAATTTGTACATAAATGGCTGATCTCAACTCATTGCATCCTCCACCTCTTGGGTTCAGGTGATTCTCCTGCCTCTGCCTCCCAGGTAGCTGGGATTAAAGGCATGTGCCACCACACCTGGCTGATTTTTGTATTTTTAGTAGAGATGAGGTTTCACCATGTTGGCCAGGCTGGTCTTGAACTCCTGACCTCAAGTGGTCCACCGCCTCGACCTCCCAAGTGCTGGGATTACATGGATGAGCCACCCTGCCTGGCCATTTATGTACAAATTTTTCTTAAATATGTAGTATTTGTTTACCCAGTCAGCAGTTAATGGGATTTGGGTTGTTTGTAGTTTGGGGCAACTGCAAATAATGCTGCTAAGAACATTTGTGTATCTTTTTTTTTTTTTTTGAGATGGAGTCTCGTTCTCTCACCCAGGCTGGAGTGCAGTGGCACTTTTATCAACACAGTAAAAATACCACTCAACAATAAAACAATATACGATTGGTACATTCAACAAAAATGGATGAATCTCTCAAAATAATTGTGCTAAAAGAGGGAAGCCAGAAGAAAAAATATGTTTCTACAGTTTACCCCCAAACAATGTGGGGGTTAGGGCCGTCAGCCTCTGCAGCCAAAAATCCATGTAAAACTACAGGCGAGCCCCACCATACCCAGCTAATTTTTAATTTTTATTTTTGTAGAGGTGGGTCTCACTATGTTGCCTAGCTTGGTCTTAAACTTCTAGGCTCAAGCATTCCTCCTGGTTTGGCCTTCCCAAATGCTGAGATTACAGGTGTGAGCCACCATGCCTGGCCAAAGGTCTTCATGCTTGTTGTGTTTATGTTGGCTAGGCTGAGGAGGGAGGAGGAAGAAAAGGGTTTGGTCTTGCTGTCTCAGGAGTAGCAGAGGTGGAAGAGATGGAGGAAGTGGAAGGGGAGGCAGGAGACACAGGCACACTTGATGTAACTTTATTGAAAAAAGATCCCTATATAAGTGGGCCTGTGCAGTTCAAAGCTGTGTTTTGTTTGAGGGTCAGTTTTATTTTTATATAAAGCTCTAGAAACTACCAACTAATCTATAATGACAGGAAACAGATGAGTGGTTGCCTGTGGATTGGGCAGGGTGAGGAAGGGCGAGATGTAAGGATTACAAAGGGGCACAAAGTACTTTTGGGGTGATGAATATATTCATTGTTTTGAATGTAGTGGTGGTGTTAGTATACATAGTCAAAACTTGTCAAATTGTAAACATCAAACATACGTAGTTTATTATATGTCAGTTATACCTCAATAAAGCTGCTTAAAAAATAAAAGGCTAATATCCTACTTAATGTTGAAAAACTATTGGTATGATAAAGAACCAAATGGAATTTATAGAAATAAGAAATGAAATTGGGCCATGCTCAGTGGCTCATGCTTGTAATCCCAGCACTTTGGGAGTCTGAGGCGGGCAGACATCCTGAGGTCGGAAATTCGAGAGCAACATGGTGAAACGCAATCTCTGCTAAAAATATGGAAAAAAATTAGCCAGGCATGGTGGTACGTGCCTGTAATCCCAGCTACTTGGGAGGCTGAGGCACGAGAATCGCTTGAACCCAGGAGGCAGAGGTTGCAGTGAGCCAAGATCGCACCATTGCATTCCAGCCTGAGCGACAGAGTGAGACTGTGTCTCAAAAACAAAAAAATGAAATGAAATTGAAAACATCATGTGTGGATTAAAACATAGACTAGTCACTGCTTAAGAAAGAATTAGTAAACTCCAGTAAATTTAGTGTGGATTAAAAAATATGAAACAGTTACAGACATGGAGAATTAAATGAAAAGGTCTACATGTTTAATCAAAGTTCCAGAAACAGAATATAAAAAGTGAGGAAGAGACAATATTCAAGAGATAGTGACTAAGAATTTTCCAGAATCACATTAATCCTCAGCATTGTGAATCCTGAGTAGTTCAGCTACAATAAATCTAGGCCTAAATGCATTGTTGGTAAAAATGCAGAACACCAAAGACCTCTCTTCAAGTTCTCCCCACTCAAAAAAAAGAAGCCGACCGGGGAGAAACTACATTACTTCAAGAGGATTGATTTTTTTTTTAGATTGGCAGTTTAGAAGCTCTCAGGAGAGGCTGGAAGAATTAGACATCTTCAAAGGGCTGAGAAGAAACCACTGCCAAACAAAAATTCTATATCTAACCAAGCTGTAATTCACCTGAAGCTTTGTACATTACCACCTTGAATGATTAGGAAGATGTTGGAGAGGATGGATACTGGGTTGGGAGTTTTTACTGGCAGCATCTGTTGTGACTAAAGCTAGTGGAGGAAAGTAGTGGAAATAAAGACGATATCTATTTTTTTTAAGCTGGTATATATTAATAGCATAAAATAAGGTGGAGGTTACTGAAGTGTTGGCTTCTAATACTGGTTGTCATGAACACAGCCAGAAGAATCTGTCTCATGAAGGGTTCTCTGCAGATGTCTCCAGTGATGAAAGTCGAGATACTTGGCTGACTAGCATACATTTGGCAGTCTTAGAGACTGAAGAGCGGGCTTTTTGACACTTTTCTCCCTTCCTTTCATTCACCCAAATGACTTCAGAAATGTTTTCCTATTCCATTTCTGGGGATAAATTGTCACTGACCTTGTGATTTTTTTTTTTAGCTGTAAAATTCTGCTTTTCTAAGTTATTGCCCTGCCCTGTGTTATATTTACCTGTAATTCACCACAGTAATCTAAACCAGAGCGGCAGCCTCAAGGATGTTTGGGTAGGAGGTAGTAACTCTTCATTGTTTCTCACATATAGAATGGTAGTATGTTCAGACAGCATGATCATGATCTCAACCTAAATACAAGGCAGTGGCGCTGCTAGGCCATGGTTCTAGATACTTGGCAAAAGAAGATCACAAATACGGCTTTAGAATAGTTTATCGACCCCACTCTGAGGCTATTGGGATGGACTTATTTAGACATTGATGGTGGGTAAGGTAACTATGAAGTTTGTTGTGAATTGAAAGGTACAGAAAAACGAGATGTTTTTAGAAATACACAGGAGGATAGCATTTAACTATGTGGTTCACCAAAATTTTGCCTCACATATTTTCTGTATTTCTAGAGTTTGGGAAGTTTCTTATACTTGAGAACTAACTGTATACAGAAATTATTTAATAGAGAAAAAAGCTAAAAATCCACTTCTCCTACCTTAAAAAGCTTGTATAATTAATAGGCAGACAAAACTGTATGGCTTATTTTTGGAGCCCACGTTCTACCAATGTCAAGAGCATTCTCCAAAAGTTTAAGAAAGCACTACCAGTATGGGTACTTCAAAGGCAAGCTATAGTAATTTAAATTAACTTCATTTTTACAGATATAAACTGAGGTGTCAAAGGTATCATTTCTTACATAAGTGTGTTTATGGTTTAACCTGCATTAATGTCCAAGTTTTATTAAAGTTGTTTTCCTTTTAGTAAACAGCATTTTAAGAGACCTGTATATGTGACCCATGTATAAAAACATTTGGCACTTGAAATTTAGGGTAAACGACAAAATAGCTGAATTGTCCATTTTCTCTCACTTTTGAAGGCAAATATTTATGCAGAGCTGTTTTTATTTCAGGAAGAAAAACTAAACCACCACGACCAGATTCCCCAGCCACTACGCCAAATATATCTGTGAAGAAGAAAAACAAAGATGGAAAGGGTACTACTGTGTAATACTTATAGGTCAAATAACACTCAGATTGCTTTATAGTGCCTACCTATTATAACTAGAAACCACCAGCTTTCTTGATATACTGCAGTGGATCTTATTGCTGCCACATGCTTATTAGATACATTTGCCAAATTCTTAAAACTGATAGTAAAGTAGACCAAGAAACTCGTTTGAGTGATTTTCACTTACCTGTCAAAATAATCTATTCTTTTCATTTAATAAAGAGACTCTTGGAAGAATTTAACCAGGTTAGATTTTCAGTTCATAGACCCTTTAATATGTTGTCTTGAAATTCAAGCATTTGTATAACTGTTGCCCAAATTTGAAGAAAACTGTTATGGCCGACCTGCTGGCTCTAATCTAAAGAGAACTACTGTTGAGAGAGTTCACAAAGAGACAGAAAAAAATTATCTCAAAGTACTTTCTCCTAAATCATCACAAATCTTATGACAAGATTGCTTTGTTCACATATTTTATATGGGACTCATAAAAAGATCTTTATTAGATGCTAAAAATTATGACCATTATATCACCCATACTAACTAAATTATGTCACCAATACTAACTGAATTATGTAATATTTTTGTATAAATATAAATGGCACTTCTAAGACTTTTAGTTGTCTTTTTTGAGGTTCTTTTAAATGAAATTTTGGTCATTTAGAAAGAAATTGTTTTTGTTTCAGGAAACACAATTTATCTTTGGGAGTTTTTACTGGCACTGCTCCAGGACAAGGCTACTTGTCCTAAATACATCAAGTGGACCCAGCGAGAGAAAGGCATTTTTAAATTGGTGGATTCTAAAGCAGTGTCCAGGTTGTGGGGGAAGCACAAAAACAAACCTGATATGAATTATGAGACCATGGGAAGAGCACTCAGGTATGCGAAGTTTTGGTATTTTATTGTGTTAAGAATATCATTTTCTAAATTGTAAAAAAAAATACTAAGCTTAAGTTCAGCAAAGCACCAATAGTGGTAATGCAAATACATAATAAGAGGGTACATTTTCAGTCAGGTGCGGTGGCTCATGCCTGTAATCCCAACACTTTGGGAGGCTGAGGCCGGTGGATTGCTTGAGTCCAGGAGTTTAAGACCAGCCTGGGCAACATGGCAAAACCCTGTCTCTACTAAAAATACAAAAAATTAGCCAGGCGTGGTGGTATGCACCTGTGGTCCCAGCTACTCGGCAGGCTGAGGTGGGAGAATCACCTGAGCCCGGGAGGTTGAGGCTGCAGTGATCCAGATTGTACTACTGAACTCCAGCTTGGGCAACTGGAGTGAGACCCTGTCTCAAAAAAAAAGAGGGTGCATTCTCAAACATGAATTGCAAGTATGATATGTTAGTTATTATAGTAGAATAAATCAGTGCTTCAGGAGTACTACTAGAAATCATGAGAATTTTGAACAAGAGTAACATTCTTAAGCTCACTTTTAGTTCGTTTTTCGGTGATTCTGTCATTTATCCTTCAAGATACGCATGTATTTGAGAAAGATGTATTGGAAATAAGAACGATCTGAATGACTTTTAGGGGATAGACAGATATAGATATAAAATTTAGCAGTCTTAAACTAAAACTCTTTAATTACAGTTTTTGGGTTTTTTTAACATACACTTTTTAAGTTCTTGATTTTGTTAAAATAGATGACAAAAGTTGGATCACTGCTATTGCATATGGTTAAATTTTATACACAAAAGTCAATCAAATTTACTGAATCAAATTTAAACTGATACATTTGCCAATTTAAATTTATTGAATCAAATTTAAACTGATAAAATTTGCCTAGTAGGAACATTTCTAGAAAGCCGTGGAGGAGAAACAATTTCTTGAGGCTTTTGGTAGTTTTGATTATCCTGGCAAGTTGGCAGAGGGGGGCTGAGTGTGGTGGCTCGCTTCTATAATCCCAGCATTTTGGGAGCCTGAGAAGGAAGGATCGTTTCAGCCTGGGAGTTCCAGATCAGCCTGGGCAACATGGCAAAACCCAGTCTCTGCCAAAAAATGCAAAAATTAGCCACGTGTGGTAGCATGCGCCTGTGGTCCCAGCTACTGAGGAGGCTGACGTGGAAAGATTGCTTAAGGCCAGGAGTTCAAGGCTGCAGTGAGCTGTGATCATGCCACTGCACTCCAGCCTGGGCAACAGAGCAAGACTCTGTCTCCAAATAAATAAGTAAATAAGTTAGCAGAAAGAGGAAGAAAAGTGAAAGACCAGAGGATTCCACATAGTTTATCAACAGTCCCCCAATCAGCATTAGTTTTAGATTTAGTTGGTAATAAGAACTTATCTCTATCTGTGCATAAATGTATGTTTATCTCATATAAAATAACAGCCCTTTATTTAGAAATTCTTTTCTCATTAGTTTGATTCCAACTTTAAAGTTTTGTTTATGATTAGGGAAATTTGATTTTGTTGAATATTTTAATTGATGTTTGATTGATTGATGAAATTGTCTGCTTTGAATAGGTACTATTACCAAAGGGGTATTCTGGCAAAAGTGGAAGGTCAGCGCTTGGTGTATCAGTTTAAAGAAATGCCAAAAGATCTTATATATATAAATGATGAGGATCCAAGTTCCAGCATAGAGTCTTCAGATCCATCGCTATCTTCATCAGCCACTTCAAATAGGAATCAAACCAGCCGGTCGAGAGTATCTTCAAGTCCAGGGGTAAAAGGAGGAGCCACTACAGTTCTAAAACCAGGGAATTCTAAAGCTGCAAAACCCAAAGATCCTGTGGAAGTTGCACAACCATCAGAAGTTTTGAGGACAGTGCAGCCCACGCAGTCTCCATATCCTACCCAGCTCTTCCGGACTGTTCATGTAGTACAGCCAGTACAGGCTGTCCCAGAGGGAGAAGCAGCTAGAACCAGTACCATGCAGGATGAAACATTAAATTCTTCCGTTCAGAGTATTAGGTGAGAAAACCAAACTACTGATGCTTATCACTTCAATATGTTTCTGACCAGAGACATTATTTGTTAAGTGGGTCAAGATTCAGAAATGAAAATAAAAGTATAAAGGTTTCAAGCTAGAATTCTTGGTTACCAGATTTTTCAGGAGCAGTTACTATTATGTCAGTCCTCTGATTATGCCACTGGTCCCTTTATTTACATTTTGACATTACTGGCATTATTCTGTCAAATACTACACCTTTGTATAACTGGATTGATACATATAAGAAATTATCTAGATGGGAGAAAATCCAGGGTTTCAAATCTTTATTCAGGCCAAGTCAGAAGCTTCAAAAATTCAACATAAATTGACATATTAGGACATTGAGAGTGCATAGAGTTCCAAGCAATAAATGTTATTCCTTGGAAGATCCTATCTTCGAACAATTCTAAAGTTCAAATAGGAAGGGAGGCCAAGAATCTAAGGTCCTCTTTTAGAGTGGCAGAAGTTGAAAAAGTAGGTTTGTTTTTTTTTTTTTTTTTTTTTTTTTTTTTTTTCAGTTAAATCAGATTTGCCTCAGAGCCCCAGGATGAGATGCTAAACAACAAATTGACTGAGAGGATCTGTCTGCCTTAGACTGATCTGCAGAAATTTGGGACTAGTCTCAGCTGACTTAGAATGGGAGTATGGGAGGAAGGCAGAAAATTATATGGATATTTGTAGCATTTTTCTGTTTATACTGTCATGAATTTCTAGAACATGAACCATAATAAAATCTAGCAGCCCTTTCAAAGCCAATAAAAATTATTATTTGATTACTTTTATTAGCAAACTTCAGTCTTACATTTTTATATTCCAGAATATAAATGTGGAGGTTTTGCTCAGTTGATCTTGGAGTAAGGTAACATTACCTAGAATCAAGGCAGACTTAGAAGATTCAGTCTTCTTTGTATAGACAATTTAAAATGTTTGACCTTGTGAAAATATTCTCTTAAATCTTCACTTGATTTGCAAGGAGTACAAAGATGACCTTTACATTTTTAATTGGATGCTACATCTTTTAACTGTTATTAAAGGAGTATATCTTGAGTAGCCCTTATCCAAAATGCCTGGGACCAGAAATATTTTGGATTTAGAATTGTTTCGGATTTTGAATCGTTGCATTATACTTACCCGGCACAGCATCCCAAATCCAAAAATCTGAGATCCACAATGCTCCCGTGAGCATTTCCTTTGAGCATCTTATTGGTGCTCAAAAAGTTTCATATTTTAGATTTCAGATTTTCGGATTTGGGATGCTCAGTGGGTGCTTATTTAACTCTTACTGTCCGTATTCTCCCCTTAATGTTTTATATTTCCCTAGGCCCTGTGGGTTACAGGTGATGACTGGGTGTCTGGTTGGGAGTGTGTGGTTCCTCCCATTGGTTTCTAGGCTGTTTGTTGTTTGTATTTGTGTTGATAGGAGACCTACAGTGGCCACAGCTGATTCCATGGAATTTTTTTAGCATCTGTATTCAAAATATTCTTTTTAGACTGTGAGAATAAAACCAAAACAAAAAACTCTAGCTTTGAAAGATACTAAATTGTAGATATTATAGAGTAGGTTTTTGTTTTGTTTTGTTTTTTTGAGACAAAGTCTAGCTAGCTTTGTTGCCTAGGCTGGAGTGTAATGACACCATCATAGCTCACTGCATCCTACTTCCAGGACTCAAGCAGTCCTCTCACCTCAGCCTTCCTCATAGCTGGGACTACAGGCATGTCCAGCTAATTTTTTAATTTTTTGTAGAAATGGGGTTTTACTTTGTTGGTCTTGAACCAAGACCAACCAAGCAATCCTACCACCTTGGCCTCCTGAAGTGCTGGGATTATAAGTGTGAGCCACTGCATCTGGCCTAGAATGGTTTTTTATTAGGACAAGTTCTGGTTTTGTTATTTCTTATATTTTTTGTTTGCATTTTTGTAATTACCCAACCTTTTACTATGGAAAATTTCAAAGTATGGAAAAATTCAGCTAGTACTATGAACACTTATTTACTATCCACCTAAATTCACAAATTGATAGCATTTTGCATTATTTGTTTTCTCTATTTATTTATACCTTTTTTTCTCTTTGACTATATCTTTCTTGATTTTTGATGACTTATTAATAAAATCAGAGGCTTTTAACTTTTTTCCCTGTGGTTGAGAGAAGATGGAATGTATATGATTATATATATAATTAGATAAATTATTAATATAACAACAAGAGCTGACACAGAGCACTCTTTGTACTTCATACACTTTACATATAGTGAGGCATAGAATCCTCATAGCTCAATGAGAATAGATAATATCCCCGTTTTATAGATGTGGAAACTGAAGCAAGGAGAGACCAGGGAACTTGGTCACATGTAGCAGATGGTGGAGATAGTATTTTAATGCTAGCTGTTTAGCTGCAAGCATTGAAGTTAATGACTTGCTACACTGCCTACCGATTTACATAAATCACAGGAATTGTCAGTTATTTACAGTAAAACAGCAACATCTTAATTTTGTCCTTCACTCATTTCTTTTTATTTCATGTGATTGCATGTATCTATGTTGATTCAGTTAAGCTTTTCTTAATTGGTGTACAGTATATATGCTCAGTTTTTACAAATTTACAAAAAGAAGCCAGTTTGATTCTGGCTTCATGGTAGTCAAAGAAACAACAACAGAAATAAACTGCTGGTAAACTATTTTCTGAAAATTGCCCCTTGGTAAACATTGGAGACCATTTTACCTAGCATAACTTTTATTTATCCAAGCATTAATAATTTTTCTTAGGATCTTTTAAATAAATTATCCTGGCCAGGTGCAGTGCCTCACACCTGTAATTCCAACACTTTGGGAGGCCGAGGCGGGTGGATCACCTGAGGTCGGGAGTTTGAAACCAGCCTGGCCAATATGGCAAAACCCCGTCTCTACTAAAAATACAAAAATTAGCTGGGTATGGTGGCAGGCACCTGTAATCCTAGCTACTCAGGAGGCTGAGGCAGGAGAATAACTTGAACTCAGGAGGGGCAGAGGTTGCAGTGAGCCAAGATTGCATCACTGCACTCCAGCTGGGGCTACAGAGTGAGACCCCGTCTCAAGTAAATAAATAAACAAACCTGTGAAAATGTATAATGTGTAGGTTATCCTAAAAGCATATAGAAGCTGGGCGCGGTGGCTCATGCCTGTAATCCCAGCACTGTGGGAGGCCGAGGCGGGTGAATCACGAGGTCAGGAGTTCGAGACCAGCCTTCCCAACATGGTGAAAACCCGACTCTACTAAAAATACAAAAAATTAGCTAGGCGTAGTGGCGGGCGCCTGTAATCCCAGCTACTTGGGAGGCTGAGGCAGAAGAATCGCTTGAACCTGGGAGGCAGAGGTTGCAGTGAGCTGAGATGGCGCCACTGCACTCCAGCCCAAGTGACAGGGTGAGACTCTGTCTCAAAAAAAATTTTCAGCTCTTCAGCCTTGCTAATTATTAGATGTGAAATTGAATCACGTTAATTATTTTGAGTCTGTTTCCTTATCTGTAAAGCACAGATGATAATATTTAACCTTCCACTTGGCTGTGACAATTAAATGACACCTGACACCTGAGTAGATCCTCAACAAATGCTAAATGTTATATGGTCTGTGTTAGTTTCAGAAATTTTGATAAATTGTAAATTAGCAATATTTTTCCAGTTGTTTACAAGCAGCTTAGGAGATTTTTAAAAAGTAGTCAGCTGTAATAGAATCTGTATTACATAATACAACCAGACGCAACTGACAGTTTAATCATTAACTAAGAAGAAAGTAATTCTGTGGTTGGCAAAGACTTAATAATATTTTATTTAATCTCTGAATTTGTATTATTGAAAATTGTTTTAGAATTTGTTCCAATAAGCCAATATATTTGCATCGTAGATGGTATAGATAAGTGTATGCATTTTCTGACAGATGGCAGTCAGGTGTCTCAAGAAAAGGACTTTTTTTTTGAGACTGAGTCTCCCTCTGTAGCCCAGGCTGGAGTGCAGTGGCACGATCTCACTCACACTGCTCCCTTCACCTCCCAGCTCCTGGTTCAAGCAGTTCTCCTGCCTCAGCCTCCCGAGTTGCTGGGATTATAGGCACGCGCCACCATGCCCAGCTAATTTTTTTTTTCTTTTTTTTCTTTTTTTTTTTTTTTTTGAGACGGAGTCTTGCTCTGTCAACCAGGCTGGAGTGCAGTGGCGCGATCTCGGCTCACTGCAAGCTCCGCCTCCCAGGTTCACGCCATTCTCCTGCCTCAGCCTCCCCAGCAGCTGGGACTACAGGCGCCCGCCACCACACCCGACTATGCCCAGCTAATTTTTGTATTTTTAATAGAGATGGGGTTTCACCATGTTGACCAGGCCGTCTTGAACTCTGTACCTTGTGATCCACCCACCTTGGACTCCCAAAGTGCTAGGATTACAGGCATGAGCCACCGTGCCCGGCCAAGAAAAGGACATCTTTTTCTAATTTAAACAGAAGCAGCGAAGTCCTAGTGGTAGCCCTGATTAGCAATATGGAAAATTTCCAAGTACATTATTGCTTGTGTCATACCTTACAGAAGGAAAGAAGAATGAGAGAGGCATATATTAGAGAGTTGTAACTGCCTATTGTTTAAGGATAGAATAATAAATACTCATCTTTAGTATTTACTAAAGATGAAGTTGCTCAGGACTTAAGTGGCGGCAGTCTGTTGTAATGGTAAGGCGGCACATCGGCTCTGCAGTCAGATGGCCTCTCTTCTTCTCTAACTGGTCACCTTATGCAAGCTGTTGCAACCTGTTTGTGCATCAGTGTTTTCGTATGTAAGATGGGGATAATATTTGTAGGGTGGCAAGGTTATACATATTATAAGGTTATGCATATTGATGTAATCTGTGTGCTAACTATATGCCAAGTACTATTTTATCTATGTGTATGTTATGTAAACTCTTGTCATGGGAAGCCCTTAGGCCTTTTTTATTTAAAAATGGTATCTGGGCTGGGCACGGTGGCTCACGTGATGCCAATGATGTCAGGAGTTCAAGAACAGCCTGGCCAACGTGGTGAAACCCTGTTCCTACTAAAAATACAAAAAAATTAGCTGGGCATGGTGGCGGGTGCCTATAATCCCAGCTACTCGGGAGGCTGAGGCAGAGAATTGCTTGAACCTGGAAGGTGGAGGTTGCAGTGAGCTGAGATCACACCACTGCACTCCAGCCTGGGCAACAGAGCGAGACTCCATCTCAAAAAAAAAAAAAAAATGGTATCTGGCTATAGCGTCAGGTACTGTACCCAGGCTCCCATCTCACCCCAGATTTCCCTGAATCAAATGGGCAAGAGAACTTGGGTGGCCATCTAAGTTTGGTAATCTGTATCCTGCGTGAATGGGCGGGCTCTAGTCATCCTGTGTCTTTATTCCCACTTCTTTTGAACGTGTCCTGAATTGCTCTGGGTCTTTGTTTCATCTTTCCACCAAGCCAATTTGTTTTTCTCCTCCACTATTTTATTTCTCATATGTGAGAAACAGACTGCATAACTAACTTTCAAAATGTAGCTTTAATAATCTAGTGGTAATATTTAACGCTTGGTTTATGGAGACTAGTCTAGCTGTCAGCTGTTTGAAATAGCAAGTATCTTTCATTAAATAACTTTACAGAATTCAAAGGAAACAGTTGACATCCAGATACTGAGATTTTTCAACACCATTTGTTTTATACTATATTAACAATAACCTTAACTATAAATTTCAGAGCTGTGAACTTTTTAAATTAGATTGACTCATAATATCATTTATGTAACTTTCTCTTCAATGAGTGGGATTAACAACCTACATAAACTAGATTTTGCATTAAAGGATTTTATGTTAAACTGTAGCTTTATGACCAAAATTTGTGAAAATTATTTGAACCTGGAAAACTGCTAAAACATGCTTCTATGTATTTTTCCAAAGCTTAGCCATATTTTCTCTACCAGTCCAAGAGCCCTGACAGGTTAATTATAATCATGGCTTGTTTCATCTAAATATGACATGAAATGTGAGCTATTAAAATTCTAAGAATTCTGTCATATGGTTAAGACTGAGGTAGGTTTTTTGTTTAGGTTAATTAAGCACTTCTCCCTTTATATGTAAAAACAGGTTGAATACAATTATATGAATTTTGGTAATTATTGTGGATGAGCATGTTGGTAACATTATCTCTCAAATATTAAAATAGCAGGCCGGGCACAGTGGCTCATGCCTATAATCCCAGCACTTTGGGAGGCCGAGGCGGGTGGATCACCTGAGGTCAGGACTTTGAGACCAGCCTGACCAACATAGAAAACCCCATCTCAATTAAAACTACAAAAATTAGCCGGGCGTGGTGGCACGTGACTATAATCCCAGCTACTCGGGAGGCTGACAGGAGAATGGCTTGAACCCAGGAGGCAGAAGCTACAGTGAGCCAAGATCACGCCACTGTACTCCAGCCTGAGCAACAAGAGTGAAACTCCATCTAAAAAAAAAAAAAAAAAAAAAAAAGCAGGAATGAATCAAACAGATTTGCTTTTAAATTCCTAATTTTAAGAAGCTCATGCAAACTTCTTGCTAAGCATTTTAACATCCTCCTCCTTCCCCAACAAAATTAGCTCCTCATTTGTGTTAATGTGGCCCTATGTACAGACCTTTCTTCCATAGCACTCAGCAGATGGTATCATAGTTAATGGCCTGAGAGTTTTGTGTTAGGCATCTCTGTATGTAGTGTTTAATACAAAGTCTGGCATGATATTGGTCATGCTCTGTTGAAAATATGGGAAGCAGCATTTTGAAACACATAACTGGTATTTTGTAAAATGACTTGTCAAGTGTTAAAGTTTTAAATGATGTAGAATATGCTAATTGTCTCACTTTAATTTCATCATCTCAATAGGACTATACAGGCTCCAACCCAAGTTCCAGTGGTTGTGTCTCCTAGGAATCAGCAGTTGCATACAGTAACACTCCAAACAGTGCCACTCACAACAGTTATAGCCAGCACAGATCCATCAGCAGGTACTGGATCTCAGAAGTTTATTTTACAAGCCATTCCATCATCACAGCCCATGACAGTACTGAAAGAAAATGTCATGCTGCAGTCACAAAAGGCGGGCTCTCCTCCTTCAATTGTCTTGGGCCCTGCCCAGGTTCAGCAGGTCCTTACTAGCAATGTTCAGACCATTTGCAATGGAACCGTCAGTGTGGCTTCCTCTCCATCCTTCAGTGCTACTGCACCTGTGGTGACCTTTTCTCCTCGCAGTTCACAGCTGGTTGCTCACCCACCTGGCACTGTAATCACTTCAGTTATCAAAACTCAAGAAACAAAAACTCTTACACAGGAAGTAGAGAAAAAGGAATCTGAAGATCATTTGAAAGAGAACACTGAGAAAACGGAGCAGCAGCCACAGCCTTATGTGATGGTAGTGTCCAGTTCCAATGGATTTACTTCTCAGGTAGCTATGAAACAAAACGAACTGCTGGAACCCAACTCTTTTTAGTTAATATACCAAAGCTTATGAATAATTGTTTGTTAATTGAACATTTTCAATTATATGCAGACTGACTGATTCTAAGATAAATTCTAAGGAGGTTTCTAATTTTGTAATTGTTAAAAATAGAGTTAATTTTGACTTTGTTAGATGAGGGAGGAAAACTCAACTGTTTCTCTTTGTTATCTAAATGTTTCAGAATTCAATCGTGAAGGAACAGGCATTTTACACTATGAAGACATTCTTTTGAGATTTTTATTTCAGTTGCTATATCATAAGCATTTTTAAAGTTTCTTTTCTAATTTTACATTGTATTAGATTTTCTGATTCTTTTGTAAATACAGAACTTAAATAGAAGGCAACAGGAAATTTATATAGGAACTATTTTCATTCCACTTGTGTAAGTTAAGTCTTGACTCTTTCAAATGCAAAAAACCTATTTTATGCTTTGTTAAAATTATGGTGTCACTTAGATTGACTTTAGTTGACTGCACTATATAATATAGAACTATGAATATGTAGAATAACATGAAAAATTGGAGGTGCTGGTGGTATGGCTGACCCTGTTTCAGAAGCAGGATAGTATAAAAGCATCAGCCTAAGAATGGCACTCCCACTAACTAGCTATGTAATCTTGACCTCTTTGGGCTTTAGTTCCTCTCATAAAAGGAAGAGATGTATTGGATTAGACTAGATGATCACCACTTTCTCTTCTAGTTCTAATTTTTTTAATTCTAATACCTATATTTTCAAGTTATGTCAATTAAATCATTATCAGGTTATTTCCTAATGTAAGAATAGCTAAAATGTTGCAGAGAAATAAGTGACCCAACAAAATTTATTCATCTGTTATGGGTAAGATCTGCCATAAATTCTTCCTAAATAATTTGTTTACTAACTCTTTAGGCCACTGTGCTTTGCGGTCCATTAGTAAACTTGTGTTGCTAAGTGCTAAACAGAATACTGCTATTTTGAGAGAGTCAAGACTCTTTCTTAAGGGCCAAGAAAGCAACTTGAGCCTTGGGCTAATCTGGCTGAGTAGTCAGTTATAAAAGCATAATTGCTTTATATTTTGGATCATTTTTTACTGGGGGCGGACTTGGGGGGGGTTGCATACAAAGATAACATATATATCCAACTTTCTGAAATGAAATGTTTTTAGATTACTTTTTCAACTGTAAATAATGTACATTTAATGTCACAAGAAAAAAATGTCTTCTGCAAATTTTCTAGTATAACAGAAATTTTTGTAGATGAAAAAAATCATTATGTTTAGAGGTCTAATGCTATGTTTTCATATTACAGAGTGAATTTGTATTTAAACAAAAATTTAAATTTTGGAATCCTCTAAACATTTTTGTATCTTTAATTGGTTTATTATTAAATAAATCATATAAAAATTCTCAGTGTCTGTTTTCAGGCAAAAGTTTCTTAAAGAATAAGTGTGCAGAGAATATTACTAGAACATCAGCATTACTTAATGTTTATAAATAAATTTCATTAGTCAGAATTGCAGAATATCATCCTTTCACTTTTCCTTTCTAGCAGGCCAAATGGCAATTTCTAAACATCACACAATGGATTACCAAGTTGTAAAAATTAGACAACAATAAAATATTCCCAGCAATAATATTAAACACACTTTTGTTTTGTTTTGTTTTTGAGACAGAGTCTTAGCTCTGTCACCCAGGCTGCAGTAAAGTGGCGTGACCTTGGCTCACTGCAACCTCCACCTCCCAGGTTCAAGCTATTCTCCTGCCTCAGCCTCTCAAGTAGCTGGGATTACAGGTGCCCACCACCACATCCAGCTAATTTTTTGTATTTTTAGTAGAGACAGGGTTTCACCATGTTGGCCAGGCTGGTCTTGAACTCCTGATCTCTGGTGATCCACTCGCTTCGGCCTCCCAGAGTGCTGGGATTACAGGCGTAAGCCACCATGCCCCACCTAAGCACTCTTTTGAAAACAAGTTTTCTAGTTAGAAACTAGGTCAGTTAGTAGTTAAACTTGGAAAACATAGAAAAATTTTCTTATGAAAATTAAAATCTCTGTAATCCAATACCCCATATCCAGAAGTAACTTTCACTTACTCATTTTTTCATGTTTGTGAATATTCTTCCAAAATGTGATTTTAAAGGCTGTGTAATACTATATTAGTATACCAAAATCTAGTTAAATAAAACCTTTTTAACTAGATAAGTTAGTTTTATGGTTTTTTCACCACATAGATAGTGAATATCAGTGTCTTAGTTCATTTTCTTTGTTGCTGCTATAACAGAATACCTGAGACTGGGTAATTTATAATGAACAGAAATTGATTTGCCCACAGTTCTGGAGTCTGGGAAGTCCGATATCAATGCACCAGCAGGTTTGACGGTTCTCATTCCAAACAGTGCCTGAACACCGTGTCCTCTGGAGGGGAAGAAGGCTTCATCTTCAAATGGCGAAGACAGAAAAGCAAAGACAGCCCACTTCCACTTCCAAAAGACTTTTTATTTATTTATTTATTTATTTTTTTGAGACAGATTTTTGCTCTTGATGCCCAGGCTGGAGTGCAATGGCGTGATCTCAGCTCACCTCAACTTCCGTCTCCCAGGTTCAAGTGATTCTTCTACCTCAGCCTCCCAAGTAGCTGGGATTACAGGCATGTGCCACCACGCCCGGCTAATTTTCTATTTTTAGTAAAGGTGGGGTTTCTCCATGTTGGTCAAGCTGGTCTCGAACTCCCAACCTCAGGTGATCCGTCCGCCTCAGCCTCCCAAAGTGCTGGGATTACAGGCATGAGCCACTGCACCCAGCCAAGCCTTTTTATGAAGGCATTAAACCCATCCATGAAGGTGGAGCCCTCCTGGTCTAATCACTGCTTAAAGGCCTCACCTCCCAATACCTTTACTTTGGCAATTAAATTTCAACATGAGTTTTGGAGGGAACAAACATTCCAGCCATAGCATACAGTACATAATGGTTTTTTAAAAATTAAGGATCTTGCATTATTTTTGAGTCAGTTATCCTTATAGGAGATACCAGATAAACTCTATTTATAATAGTAACACCATTTAAATTGTGTATGGGTTTTTTTTACTTTAAGAAGTATAGTATAAGAATTTTTAGAGACACTGTTATTTAAGGTTATTGGAATAGTGTACAATTACCATGAATACTGAAATTTTAAAGATGGGAAAAGAAGTCCGGGTGCAGTGTCTGTCGCCTGTCATCTCAGCACTTTGGGAGGCCGAGGTGGGAGGATCACTTGAGCCCAGGAGTTTAAGACCAGCCTGGGCAACATAGTGAGATGTCATCTTTACAAAAATTCAAAAAATTAGCCAGGTGTAGTGATGCATTCCTGTGGTCCCAGCTACTTGGGAGGCCAAGGCAGGAGGATCACTTGAGGCAGGGAGATGGAGGCTGCAGTGAGCCATGATCATGCCACCACACTCCAGCCTAGGTGACAGAGGGAGACCCTGTATTCAAAAAAAAAAAAAAAGGGAGAAGAAAGTCATATAGTAAGAACCTTAGGACTTCAAAAGCTTAGTCTTTTGGTTTTAACTAAGTACCAGCTACTGAGGAACCTGTTTTTCCCCCATTAGAATATCTTATGTATCCATATATTCCTTTTTTATATCTATAGCTATCATCCTAGTTGTAGTCTTTTCTATGTTATTCTTGCCACCGTTTATTCACTTAAACCATATATGAGTGTGTATTTTGTGGCAGGCAGTATTCTCTGTGCTGGAGGTAGGTCAGTGAACAAAACAGACAATAGCCTCCCAAGTGACTTCCTGCTTGTGAACTCTTAGTTTATCAATATGAACTGTTTTTACTCACACTTCTGACACTAAAAGCTTGGGATTTTTTCACACCCACACCCAGTTCTGACACCAACTGGGTGTCTTTGTCCTACAATTCAGTTCAATTCTGACCCTAACCACTTGGAGTTAGCACAGACCCCACAGGTTAAGGGGCTTAGTCTCTCAAAACTGCCCCTCCTTCAGATGCCCATTGCAAGTCCCAGGTTTCCACTTGTACTTCTGACCAGCTAGCTATAAATCAGGGGTTCCCATGACCCCCACCCACTTAGGTTGGATAATTTGCTAAAAGAGCACACAAAACTCAGGGAACCAATTTACTGGTTTACATTTATGTCAATTTATTATAAAGAATAGAGCTCATGAACAGCCAAATGAAAAATGCATAAAGCAATGAATGGGAGGAAGTGAACAGAGCTGCTCTGCCGTCTCACGATGTGCCACCCACCTAGCACCTCAAAGTGTTTACCAGCCTAGATGTTCTCCAGACACCATCATTTTACGAGTTTTTAAATGAAGCTTTTATTACATAGGCATGCCTGATTAAATCATTGGCCATTGGTGATTGAACTCAATCTCTACACCCTCTCCTCTCCTTGGGGATGGGACTGAAAGTTCCAATTCTAATTACATGGTTGGTTTCTCTGGAAATCATTTCCCATCCTGAAACTATCTGGGGACCCATGAAGTGTCCACCTTATTAGCATAAACTCAGGTATGGTTGAAAGGAGCTTGTTACGAATAACAAAAGATGCTCTTCCCTTCTAAATGCCAAAGGTTTCAGAAGCTAGGGTGTCAGGAACCTAGGGATAAAAGCCAAATAAAATGTTTTTATTGTATCACAATCATGCACCTATTTACAGAATAGTCTTTCTAAAATATCCCTTGGCAGTTTGGGCAACATAGTGAGACCCCATCTCCAGAAAAAGTAAAAATATCACAGTGCATGGTGGCAAGAGCCTGTAGTCCCAGCTATTCAGGAGGCTGAAGTGGGAGATCTGTTGAGCCTGGGAGGTTGAGGCTGCAGTGAGCTGTGATTACAGCACTGCACTCCAGCCTGGGTGACAGAATGAGACCCTGTCTCAAAAAAATCAAATAAAAATATCCCTTGGGAATACATAATGTTCATATATGGAAACCCTCAATACCTTTCTACTTGTAGGATAAAGTCCAAAATCCTTAGCTTACCATTCAAATTCCTCCATCAAACTGGGTTCCTAGGCCAACTATTTCAGTGTTATCCTTTTTTTTTTTTCTTTGAGACAGTTTCTCGCTCTGTTACTAAGTCTGGAGTGCAGTGGCACAATCTTGGCTTACTGCAACCACCGCCTCCTGGGGCTCAAGAGTTCCTCAGCCTCCTGAGTAGCTGGGACCACAGGTGTGTACTGTGCCTGGCTAATTTTTTTTTTTTGTATTTTTGTAGAAAGGGGTTTTTGCCATGTTGCCTAGGCTGGTCTCCAGCTCCTGGGCTCAAGAGATCCGCCCCCGCTTAGCCTCCCAAAGTGCTGAGATTACAGGAGTGAGCCCTTGTACCCTGCCGATGTTTTTCTTAAAATGCAAATTTTTTGGTTCCACCCCATACTTACTGAATTTGCATCTCATGGGAAAGCTGTACAATTTGCTTTTTTTTTTTTTTCCTCCCGAGACAGAGTCTCGTTCTGTCGCCCAGGCTGGAGTGTAGTGTCACGATCTCGGCTCACTGCAACCTCCGCCTCCCGGGTTCAAGCAATTTTCCTGTCTCAGCCTCCCAAGTAGCTGGGATTACAGGCGCCTGCCACCACGCCCGGCTAATTTTGGTATTTTTAGTAGAGACGGGGTTTTGCCATGTTGCCCAGGCTGGTCTCGAACTCCTGACCTCAGGTGATACGCCCACGTCGGCCTCTCAAAATGCTGAGATTACAGGCATGAGCCATCGTGCCCGGCCTCTACTTGAATTTTACAATCAGTTTGTCAACTTCTAAAAGGGAAAAGCCTCTGGGATTTTTAGTTTTATTTTATTTCAGAGATGGGGTCTTGTTATATTGCCTAGGCTGGTCTCGGACTCCTGGCCTCAAGCGAACTTCTGGCCTCCTGTCTCAGGCCCCAGTAGCTGAGATTACAGCCCCACTTGGGATTTTGATTGGGATCATGTTGAGTCTATAGGTCAGTCTCGGAAGATCTCAACAATATTGAGTCTTTGACTCATCAATTTGGAGGAGCTCTCCATTTTTCAGTCTTCTTTAATTTTTTTTTTTTTTTTTTGAAATGGAGTCTCGCTCTCTCGCCCAGGCTGGAGTGCAGTGGCGCAATCTCGGCTCACTGCAAGCTCCGCCTCCCGGGTTCACCCATTCTCCTCCCTCAGCCTCCCGAGTGGCTGGGACTACGGGCGCCCGCCACCACGCCCGGCTAGTTTTTTTGTATTTCTTTAGTAGAGACGGGGTTTCACCGTGTTAGCCAGGATGGTCTCCATATCCTGACCTCGTGATCCGCCCGCCTCGCCCTCCCAAAGTGCTGGGATTACAGGCGTGAGCCCCCGCGCCTGGCCAATTTCTTTTCTTTTCTTTTTTTCTTTTTCTTTTCTTTTCCTTTCTTTTCTTTTCTTTTTTTTTTTCTTTTTGAGACGGAGTTTCACTCTTGTTGCCCAGGCTGGAGTGCAGTGGCGCAATCTTGGTTCACCGCAACCTCCGCCTGCTGGGTTCAAGTGATTCTCCTGCCTCAGCCTCCCGCGGAGCTGGGATTACAGGCATGTGCCACCATGACCGACTAATTTTGTATTTTTAATAGAGGCGGGGTTTCTCCATGTTGTTCAGGCTGGTCTTGAGCTCCCGACCTCAGGCGATCCACCCATCTCGGCCTCCCGAGTCTTCTTTAATTTCTTTCAGCAATGTTTTATAGTTTCCAGTGCACATGTCTTGCATATCTCTTGTCAGATTTACTTTTTAGTATTTAATATTTTTTATGTTACTGTAAATGTCATGGCTTTTTACATTTTAAATTTTGATTATTAGTGATTTTGCTTTAAATCTTTTTTCTATTTTATTAAAGTATAACTTTGTAAAGTGCACAAATCCGTATATAAAACTTTGTAAAGTGCACAAATTCATAAACCTCTCTTTGGGAAAGCTTTATTGTGAAAAAGATACAAATAAGATAGTCTTGTTAGATTCAGTTCGAAAGGAAATTATCAAGTGTAACACGCTTACTTAAGGATGGCCTCGACATTAGATTGGGAAGATTTTCTCTTTCAAATGAATGAAAATGATCCCTTTCATAGGAAGATGTTAGGTAACACAGGATAAGTGACTAAATATTTTCACTCTTCGAGTTGAAGACCAACTATCCTTCAAGAAATGTCCCCTAATCCAGCATGGTTATTCTTCACCTTCTTTAAATTAACCAAGCGAAGTACATTGGCATATTTAGTTGTGTCATTTGAATATGAAAACATATTTTATCAATGACTTCTTAAGTATTTGTCTGTCCTTCCTCCCAAGGTTTCAATAAACTGATGCCAAGAATTTATGGAGAAAATTATAAAAGTTTACTAAAAGATATGAGAAACGGAATGAATGAAGCAAGCAATTGTGTTCATGGACAGGAAAAGGCAATACAAGGGAAAGATATCATTTCTCCCCAAGCTAGTCTGCAAAATAAATAAAGTGAAACATTTTTGTTGTTGTTGTTGTTGCTGTTGTTTTTTTAAAGACAAAGAGGCTCGCACTGTTGCCCAGGCTGGAGTGCAGTGGCATGATCATAGCCTCAACTTCTTGGGCTCAAGCGATCCTCCTGACTCAGCCTCCCAAATAGCTGAGGCACATGCCACCATGCTTGGCTAATGCTTTCTATTTATTTATTTTTTGTACAGACAAGTTCTCCCCATCTTGCCCAGGCTGGTCTTGAACTCTTGGGCTCAAGCAATTTTTCTGCCTTGGCCTCCCAAAGTGCTGAGATTACAGGCATGAGCTACTGCACCCAGGCTGCACAAATCTTGTGTATAACTTGATACAATTTTATGTCTCAATACACTTCTGTGATTACCAGCCAGATCAAGATATGTAACATTTCCTGCATCCAAGAAGGTTTCTTCATGCCCCTGCTCCCCACCCTCCCTGACAACCAGGAGATTCCCTTATGATACCTCTCACTACAGTTTTTTATCTTCATATAAATGAAATCAATCATGATATACTCTGTCTGGCTTCTTTACCTCAACTTATGTATATAGGATTCATCCATATTGTTTGGTATAGTAGTAGTACATTCTTATTCATTGCTATGTAATTTTTTTATCCAATTTGAGGACATTTAGATTATTTCCAGTTTTTGCTACTGTGGATAATGCTGCGATGAATATTCTTGTATATGATCATAAATACTCAGGTATATGCCCAGTGGTACAATTATTGGGCAGTATGTTATGTGTATAACTAGCTTTAGTAGATAGTGTCTGATATAGTTTGGGTATGTGCCCTCACCCAAACCTCATGTCAAATTATAATACCCAATGTTGGAGGTTGGGCCTGACGGGAGGTAATTGGATCATGGGAGTGGGTTTCTTATGAATGATTAAGTACCATCCCCCTTGGTACTGTCCTCGCAACAGTGAATGAGTTCTTGGGAAAGCTGGTTGTTTAAAAGTGTGTGGCACCTCCCCCCACCCTACTTGCTCTTGCTCCTGCCACGTAAGATGCCGGCTCTACCTTTGCCTTCTGCTATGATTGGAAGCTTCCTGAGGGCTCCCCAAAAGCAGAAGCTGCTATGCTTCTTGTGCAGTCTGCAGAACCATGAGCCAATTAAACATTTTTTCTTTATAAATTACCCAGTCTCAGGTATTTCTTTATAGCAATGCAAGAACAGACTAATACCGTGTCACACAGTTTTCCAAAATGATCAACTAATTTAAACTCTCATCAACAATATATGAAACATATAGTTGCTCCATATTCTTGTCAATGCTTGGTATTGGAAGTCCTTTAATTTAAGCCATTCTGGTGGTAGTTTTGGAATCTCATAATTTCAATGTCCATGATACAGCTATTTTTTTTTTTTTGAGACAGTCTGACTCTATTGCCCAGGCTGTAGTGCAGTGGTGCCACCTTGCTCACTGCAACCTCCGCCTCCCAGGTTCGAGCAATTTTGTGCCTCAGCCTCCCTAGTAGCTGGGATTACAGGTGCTCACCACCACGCCCAGTTAATTTTTGTATTTTTAGTAGAGATGGGGTTTTGTCATGCTGCCCAGGCTGGTCTCCAACTCCTGGCCTCAAGGGAGCCACCCACCTCAAGCTCCCAAAATGTTGGAATTACAGGCGTGAGCCACTGCGCCTGGCCATGACATAGCTATTAATATAGAACTTTTCATGTTGGACCTATAGGTCAATCTTGGAATTTGCCCTTTCAGAGGCTATTCATATTTATATGCATATTGGTGCATGGCAGGGGCTGGTGTACACACCTTGGTGTATGGCTGAGCCATAACTGGAGCATACTGAGAATAACCCTATTCTAAGTGTGTTTGGAGTCCTAGGCTAAGGAAGCCAGGAGTAGCCAACACTAAGATTCACTCCTTATCTATGAAAGACATCCACACCCCTGCTCCATCTCTTAGAACACAGGCTGTACAGTGGAGCAAGGCCCTTTGTTTTGGGTTAAATGGAGGTTGCTAGAAGGAGGGTGCTAAGTGAAAATGCTATATAGACTACATGCTTTTTTTTATGAACAGTAGTGGTTCTCCAGGCCACCCCACCACCACTGGACCACCCCTGTATGTAAGTCCTGAATAAACCTTATATCTCCTTAGCTGGCTCTGCCTCTCCTATAGTACCATCCCAATCGGAATCAATGGGGATCTGGAAGGACAACTGGCCATTTAGATAACAAGTGAAAATTAACCAATGTAATTGGTTACATTGTAACATTATTATTAAAAATATTTTTAAAATTACTATATAACATATTATTATTAAAAAATACATATGAACATTTCAATAAAGGCAGAAAAAGCACTTGATATTGAATGCTTTCCTCTTGATGTTACAACCAAGACAAGGAAGTCCATTATCACTATTTCTATTCAATAGTGGACATACTAGCCAGCAACAAAACTAAAACGTATAAAGATTACAGAGAAGTTAAACCATCTTTATTCACGATTGCAAGATTGTCATCACATAAATTCCAAAAGACTCTACACAGTATTACAAATAATAAGGGAACTTAGCAAGATGCTTGAATGTAACATCAATATGTAAAAATCAATAGCGTTTCTATAGTCTTACAACAAACGAGAATATTTAAAAAATGCTATTTAACATCGCATTCAAAACACTATTCAAAAAGAAATCTAATGAAAGATATGTTTGATCTCTATACTGCAGTCTATCCAAACACAGCTGCATTAAAGTATAAATATGTGTATAATCTACAAAACATTGCCAGGAGAAATTAGAGGCCACTTAAATAAACGGCCACTTAAATGGATTGAAGGACTTAATATTGTTAATATACTAGTTATCCCCAAACAGATCTATAGATCCAATGCAAGCCCAGTACAAGTCCCAGCAGTTTTGTTTTTTTTAAAACTGACAAGCTAATTCCAAAATCACCTAGAAATACAATGGCCTTAGAATAAGCCAAAGCAATCTTGGGAGAATAAAGGACTTCAAGACTTATTATAAAGCTACGTTAATTAACACAGTTTGGTAGTGGTATAAAGTCAGATAAAGACCACTCCCTCCAGCTCCTCAATCTGACCCCACCCCTGGAACGCGCTGGCAGCTTTCCCCATGGGATGTGCATGGGTCAAAGGGCGCTGAGGGAGGACCTGAACGACTGGGTTGGGAAACAAAGCGGCCCTGAGATCACTTCAGGCCACCTTCCGCCCCTCAGTGCTTTCGTATAGAAAAGGTTTTCCTTCTTGATCTGGGAAGCCCACTAAGAAGAAAGCCTGGGCTGTGGAGTTATGAGGAAGGGAATGAATAGTACGCGGGCGCCGGGCGCGTCTCCCCGGGCACCAGAAGGCTTTTAGCCGCTGCTAGGTCAGAACGACTTCTAGCGAGTCCCAGCCCTTTTCCATTCCCAGCGCAATGATCGCGGGAATCCAGGCGCCATCCAGGCCCCTCTGTTCACTGAAAAGACCACGCAGCCGCCAGTGACATCACGGAGACGAAAGCCATGATAAAACCCAGGGAAAACGGAGCTCGAAGTAGCTTGTGTTTTATATATATATATATATATATATATATATATTTTTTTTTTTTTTTTTTTTTTTTTTTTTTTTTGAGACGGAGTCTTGCTCTGTCGCCCAGGCTGGAGTACAGTGGTCCGATCTCGGCTTACTGCAACCTCTGCCGCCCGGGTTCAAGGGATTCTCCTGCCTCATCCTCCCGAGTAGCTGGGATTACAGGCGCGTGCCACCACGCCCGGCTAGTTTTTATATTTTTAGTAGACGGGGTTTCAGCATCTTGGCCAGGCTGGTCTTGAATTCCTGACCTCGTGATCCACCCGTCTCGGCCTCCCAAAGTGCTGGGATTACAGGTGTGAGCCACCACGCTCGGCCTGTAGCTTGTGTTATTAACGGACAAGGAAACGCCCCTGCGCGTACACGTTCTTGAGGGATAACAGTATGTTACAAAAGTGCTTCTGAGCTACTACTCCTGGAGGCTCGGTCGGAGTGCCCGCGGACGTGGGCGCGGTGGAAAAGAGGGAGAACCTGTAGGCCCAGGCCTCCGTAAACATGGCTACGATGGGCGGGGACTGGGAGCGCAGGTCCCGGGCCGGGTTGCGGGCTGGGAGGACTCGGTCCTCCACTGTCCCAGCCGGCCACGCGCCCGCGTGTCGCCTCCCGTCCCGCTAGCAGCACGCTGCGTGGCTGCTCGTTGGCTGCTTAAGACGGAAGCTCGGTTGATGTTTCTGCAGAAGTTTTCCCCCTTGGTCGGTGGCGGAGCTGCTGAGCGCGATAGTAGCAGCTCCGGCGGCAGCAACATTGACTACGAGGAATGGCGGCGGCTGCCGCAGGACCTGCAGCATCCCAGAGGTGCGTGTTTTTCCTTCCCTTTGCTATTTATTTTATACCCCTTTCCTTGGTTAGTGGGCCCTGCTGAAGTCGTTGTTTTCCTGACAGGTTTTTCCAGAGCTTCTCAGATGCTCTAATCGACCAGGACCCCCAGGCGGCGTTAGAGGTGGGAGAGCCTTTTCTGCTTCCTCCACTCCCGGCTGACCCGCCTCCTTCCAGCACCGCCTGATTAGGACTCAGGCTCTAGTGATGCTGCGTCTCAGCCCCAGTATTGAGATTCTCGGTCTCCTTTCTCTCTCTCACGGTAGCCGCGTTACCTCAGACTCCTGTCTTGCCCTTTCCACTTCCAGACTCTTGCATTCCTGAAGCTTCTGAGAAAAACTTCCTCTATTTATTGGGAGCATGGTTGGCATCTGCAGTTGGGCTGAAAGGATTTTTTTTTTTAATGACTAGAAGAGAAAAGTGGACTCTGGGCTCGATGAAAATTAATTTTTTCTTTTGACAATCATTGTTGCCATTCTTATGTAAAAGTGTCGGTATGAAGTCAGTCTACTGGAACAAAAACCTCTTCCCTCACGTCCCGGAAACTTTCCAGATGTCTTGTCATAGTTCATTATTCACTCATTTGTTTATTTATCAAAAAATTTTTTAGGAGTTGCTGTGTGCAAAGGCGCTCATTGCTATGGGTTAGTCTTAGTTATATACTTAGCTAACCTAGAGATCACTGCTTGTAGGTGTGCAGTGAAGACAAACTATAAAGCTGTAAAGGAATGTAAAAGAGCAAGAGTTGATAAGAGTTGAAGAAGAGACTAAGCTAAAGATAAATGATGCTGTGGGTCACAGAATTTTAACAGGAGATCTTTTTTGTTTTTTGTTTTGTTTGTTTCTTTTTGCTTTAAAGCACAGAAAAAAAGGAAACCCTGTTTTGTTGTTATGATCTAACATAAGTAAGGTTAACAATTTGAGGCAAGACAGCGTCTTTTCTAGCTATGGCTTTTATAAGAAATGTGCCACAGGGTACTAGAGGCTCTGTTAAGGTGATATTTGAGCAGAGACCTGAAGGAACAAGAGAATTAGCTTGGAACCTCTGGGGAAAGAGCATTCCAGTCAGGACCAAGAGCCAGTGCAGAGATCCTGAAGTAGGAATGAAGTGGGCCTGTGTATGGAGCAGCAAAAAGGCCCTTTTTTATTAGAGGGCCCATTTGATTAGGAGGTAAGGTTGGACAGGAAACTAGGAGCCAGGTCCTGTAAGGCCTTTTGGGGTCCAGGTATGTTTTTTGAATCTAAATATATAGACCTTTAGATACCAGCAATAAGTCTTCTGGGATCAGTTTTGGGATAATGTTACAGGAAGCAGTGAGAATTTTTCTCCATAATTCCTTATATTAGATAGCTATTACTTTGAATTTACATTTCTTAATTGTCATGTTAGGCCTAGTGCTTCCTTTGGAAATCTAGTTTATATAAAAGTTGCTTTTAGGCTGGGCGCAGTGGCTCATGTCTGTAATCCCAGCACTTTGGGAGGCCAAGTGGGGCGGATCGCTTGAGGTTAGGAGTTGGAGAGCAGCCTGGCCAACATGTTGAAACGCTGTTTGTACTAAAAATACAAAAAAAGAATTAGCCAGGTGTAGTGGTATGCACCTGTTGTCCCAGCTACTCGGGAGGCTGAGGCAGGAGAATCTCTTGAACCTGGGAAGCGGAGGTTGCGGTGAGCTGAGATCATGACACTGCACTCCAGCCTGGGTGACAGAGAGAGACTCTGTCTCAAAAAAAAAAAAAAAAGTTGCTTTTAAAGAATATTAATATAATGAACTTCATTATCATTTTCCATCTTATTTTACTTATTATTATTATTATTTTTGAGACGGGGTCTCACTCTGTCACCCAGGCTGGAGTGCAATGGCACAATCTCGGCTCACCTCTGCCTCCCAGGTTCAAGTGATTCTCCTGCCTCAGCCTCCCAAGTAGCTGGAATTACAGGTGCACACCACCACATCCGGCTAATTTTTGTACTTTTTAGTAGAGATGGGGTTTCGCCATGTTGGCCAGGCTGGTCTCAAACTCCTGATCTCAGGTGATCCGCCCACCTCAGCCTCCCAAAGTGCTAGGATTACAGGTATGACCGTGCCCAGCCTTAAATTTTTTATTGAGACATATATGATAATATGTAAATAACACAAATTTTAACTCTACAGTTTGATGAGTTTTTACGTATATGTACACCACCCAGATCAAGATATAGAGCATCTCCATTTATAAAGTTCCTTCATGCTCCTTCCCAGCCAGCAATTCTTCTTACTGTCCTGCTGACTCCTGTTTTCACCTTCATCACCATCAGCTCATTTTGCTTGTTCTTGACTCATAAACAGAATCATATAGTAGGTGGTTCGTTCAATGTAGGCAGTCTGTTTTTGCTTTAATCATTACATGAGTATACATCCATATTGTGTGAAGCAGTAGTTCTTTTGCATTGCTGTGTAATATTCCATTGTATAATTGTATAAATATATGTTGTATAAATGTAAGTATAGCACAATTTATTCTTATTGGACATCTTGTTTATTTCTAGTTGTTAGCTAGTATAAATAAAGCTTCTGTGAGTACTCTTGTGTGTATTTTGGTGAACACATGCATTTCTTTCTTTTGATTGTATATACCTAGGAGTAGAATTGCATAGAATAGTCATGTGGATAGCACTAATGGATAGCACTAGTACCTTGGTTTTTAATGTGTGGCTCTTGGACCAGCAGTATCAGGATTACCTGCAATTCATCAGAAGTGCAAATTCTTACTGAAAGTCCTTATGGGCCAGGCTTGGTGGCTTACGCCTGTAATCCCAGCACTTTGGGAGTCCGAGGCAGGTGGATCACCTGAGGTCAGGAGTTTGAGACCAGCCTGGCCAACGTAGTGAAACCCCGTCTCTATTAAAAATACAAAAAATTAGCTGGGCCATGGTGGCAGGTGCATGAAATCCCAGCTACTTGGGAGGCTGAGGCAGGAGAATCGCTTGAACCCGGGAGGCAGAGGTTGCAGTGTGCCGAGATCACACCATTGCACTCCAGCCTGGGTGAGAGAGTGAGATTCCGCCTCAAAAAAAAAAAAAGTCCTTATGACTCATGTAGTCCAGTACTTCTTACTCTTCCTTTTCACAGTGTACATAAGAAAGCAGACCTGGCTGAGTGTGGTGGCTCATGCCTGTAATCCTACCACTTTGGGAGGCGGAGGTGGGAGGATCACGAGACTGGGAGTTTGAGATCAGGAGTTCAAGACCAGCCTAGGCAACATAAAGAGACCCCATTTCTTAAAAAGAAAACTGAGACCCAAGTAAATCCAAGTGATCTGTCATAGAGACACACCAGTTACACGCAGAAGGGGGACCTCAGGACACAGGTTTCCCAAATTTTAGTCTAGTGCTATAGAACAGTGGTCCTTAAAGATGTGGGCTTCAGATGAGCTGCAGCATCAACATATTAGAAATGCAAATTATTTATTTATTTGAGACGGAGTGTCGCTCTGTCACCCAGGCTGGAATGCAGTGGCGCAATCTCAGCTCACTGCAACCTCCGCCTCCCAGGTTCAAGCAATTCTCCTGCGTCTGCCTCCCAATTAGCTGGGATTACAGACACGTGTAACCACATCCAGCTGATTTTTGTATTTTTAGTAGAGATGGGGTTTCACCATGTTGGCCAGGCTGGTCTGAAACTCTTGGCCTCAAATGATCCACTCCCCTCAGCCTCCCAAAGTGCTGGGATTATAGGCGTGAGCCACCGTGCCTGGCCCTAGAAATGCAAATTCTCAGGACCCACCACAGACCCCTAATCAGAAACCTTGGGTGTGGGGAGGATGATCATGATAAGAACCAGCTGTGTTAAGAAGAAATGTTCTTTTTAAACTGTGAGATGACCTTACAAAGATGAACAGATCAATGTAAATTATTAAATAATTGGTAATGATAAGTAGGGCTGAATCCTTGATGATGAATGTGAGGGTATTTCTCCTGGATTTTCCCAAGGGCTACTTTAACGCCATTTGGGATTCAGGTTACTTGGAATCTTGTGAGTTAAAATGTGTATATTTTATATAAGGTCATCCAATTAGGAATAAAGGGGAAATGTTCTTATCACATATGCTATTTCACATTTTTCATTCGTTGAACAAAGAATGAACATTAAGTGGTGAATGTTGTACTGGAAATCAGGAATCTAAGGATGAAAAAACTTCAGTAAGTGAGTTTTCAGTCTAGTGGAAAGACAAACAAGGTACTGTAATGGGGTTGTGTATAAAAGAGCATAGCAGAATAGAATCTGACTGAGGGACTTAAAAACTTTACAGAGGAGGTTGCAAAATTCAGTAGGGAGAGAAAACGTGTGAATTTTGAGAATCGTTCAAGGCGCAGTATGTGTGGTGGTTAAGAGTCCAGGCTCTGGAGTCAGAGACTCTTGGGTCAAAATTCTGGTTTCATGATAACTGTGTAACTTCAGTAAGGTTCCTGTCATCACTCCAGAGCAGACTTCTCATCTGTCAAATGGGAACAAATAGGACCTACTTGAAAGTGTTATTATGAGGATAAGTGAGGTACCCTGTATTATATGCTTAGTACAATGCCAGGCACATGGTAAAGACTACATAACTGTTCTGTTTTGGGAATAATACAAGTTGTTCAGTAGTATTAGAACATAAAATATGAGGAGGCAAGTGCTAGGAGATAAAGGCTAAACAAGTGGAGAGAGGCCAGGCCATCAAAGGCATTAAATCTCAGCAGATGGTTTTCGGTTTTATCATATGATCATGGAGATCTGTGAAGAATTTAGAGGAAGGAAACGAAATTTTCTGAATTACAAAACCTACTTTAAAAGCAGAGTAGATAATGAGTTGGAGGAGGTACAAGGGATAGTGGATCGCAGGAAGATGGTGATGCAGACCAGGTCAAAGATGAATATCTGCATGTAGGGCAGTGATTGAGGGCATGGAGGGGAGCTGTTTTATGTAAAATTCACTGGACTTGATGATTGGAATATAAGGGATGACTCCTGAGTTTCTGGCTGGGAGAATGTAGTAGGATTTGGTGCCTTTCACTTAAATAGCACCTAGGATAATAGCACTTAGAAGATTGCGTTCAGCATGGGGGAATAGGTTTGCAGAGAGGAAGTAGTTTTAGATTTTGAATATTTGTATGTGAATTGCCTCTGGGACATTTCGGGTGAACTCTAGAGAAAACTATGCTGATATTGCACAGGAGCACTGTCTAGGCTCTTAAGATAGACTTGAGTCATCAGGATGATTCAAGACATATGTGAAGCCCCAACACCACTTAAAGAGTCGAAGAATGTTTCTAAAAGGGAGGAAGTCTAAGTACTAAGCCCAAGGAAAACATTAGATTTTTAATTTTTATTTATTTATTTATTTTTATTTTTTGAGACAGAGTTTTGCTCTTGTCACCTAGGCTGGAGTGCAACGGCACGATCTCAGCTCACTGCAACCTCCACCTCCTGGGTTCAAGCGATTCTCCTGCCTCAGCCTCCCAAGTAGCTGTGATTACAGGCATGCACCCACCATGCCTGGCTTATTTTTGTATTTTTTGTAGAGATGTGGTTTCACTATGTTGGCCAGGCTGGTCTCGAACTTCTGACCTCAGGTGATCCACCTGCCACGGCCTCCCAAAGTGCTGGGATTACAGGTGTGAGCTACCTCGCCTAGCCCGGAAAACATTAGTTTTTAAGAAGCAACAGAATGGTAAGCTGAAAGGCCTTATCTTTCAGCTTGTTGGATTTGATAAGGGGTTACTAGTGGCTTTGAGAAGATTAAGACTGGAGAGGCAAACGTTTTTATATTTTGTGGCAAAGGAGATGCAGTCAAATTAGAGACCGGGGGAAAGGCGGAAAAATGTCTGCAAGGAGAGAAATCAATACTTTTCACTGAGTGCTTACTGGGTGCCAGGTATAGATCTAAGTAAGCCCAAAACCCTGGAGTAATCTTCAATTTATCTTATCCCACATTGGCAAGTCTTGCTGGTTCTAATATATTCCAGCTCATTGTATTTCTCATCACCTCTGTGGCTAACATCCTTTTCTAGCCTAGACTTAATGTAGAAGTTTCCTAAGAAGTCTCTGTTTCCAGTCCTGATTTGTTATAATGTATTCACCATACAGCAACCAGAAAGACATTTAAAAAGGGTAAACTGGACCATGTCACTCTCCTACTAACAATGAACTTTCCATGGCTTTCCATCACACCTAAGATCCAAATTTCTTATGACAGCCTGCAAGGTACAATGTGAGGCCCTTGAAGTAGCATCTTAGTTTCTTTGCTGTCTTAGTTTGAGCCACACTTTCTTTCTGTTGATTGAATGTGACCCCAGGTGAGTTGAAGGGCATCTGTATTCATTGCTTTGTGATAATTATGCTACTAGGTTAAAGCAAAGTCAGTGACACATGTGGCTATTGAAATAATTTTACCATTTAAGAAAACTACCAAATCCCTAGAGTTTGTAGGCAGTTGGCAGAAAATAAAAGTGTTCCTGCACTTGTCCTTGATCTCCCTAATTGTGTAATCTCTTACATCATTATTTTTATAGCTGCCACACCTATATGTTGTGACTGCACAGGGTGAAAAAGTTTTAATCTGTCTAATGTTAACTCTTGATCAGTTACTATAGCCATCTATTAGATTGTATCTGGGCTTTGAACAGAATGTTTAATTGCATTTTATTAGAGTTGTGTGTTATTGATAGAGGTTAAGAGAGGGCCAGGTAAGCTTGATGGTGTATGTATTGATTGTCTTAACCTCCCTGAGCTCTAGATTTAACTTTTAGTCTTTTTTTATTGGACAGCTATTGGACAGCTTCACATTTTCTAGGAAACTCAAATTCTATATGATGTCTGAATCTTCTCCAAATTAGAAGGACAAAATCTGTAATGGTCAATATGTATCAATTAAACTCTTCAGAATATGTGAGGTGATAATAATTACCATTTATTGAGTTCCATAGGCCAGGAACTAAATGCTATTTTTGTTGTTGTTTTTTTGAGATGGAGTATCACTCTTATCACCCAGGCTGGAGTGCAGTGGCATGTTCTCGGCTCACTGCAACCTCCGCCTCCCAGGTTCAAGCGATTCTCCTGCCTTAGCCTCCCAAGTAGCTGGGATTGCAGGCGTGCGCCACCATGCCTGGCTAATTTTTGTATTTTTAGTAGAGACAGGGTTTCACCATGTTGGCCAGGCTGGTCTTGAACTCCTGACCTCAGGTGATCCACCTGCCTCAGCCTCCCAAAGTGCTGGGGTTACAGGTGTGAGCCACTGTGCTCAGCCCCTAAATGCTTTACAGTACAGAGATGCTATATTAGATTGTCTACTTTTGGGAGGAAGGGCAGGAGAAGGGGAGATCCTCTTATGAGGAAACACTCCAAGATTACATCCCTGTTATCTTTCCTCCAAATAGTTTCTGATAAGTTATTTGTTTAAAAATTATGTTTTAATTAGAATTTGATGGCTTTTTAAAAACTTTTACTGACACCCAACATGTTTGTTTTTGTAGGAGCTGACTAAGGCTTTGGAACAGAAACCAGATGATACACAATATTATTGTCAAAGAGCTTATTGTCACATTCTTCTTGGGAATTACTGTGGTAGTTTTTCTTATAAAGTATATTGTCCCTTTTTAATAAGTTACTTATACATTTTACCCATGGCCAATTAATCAAATAAAATAAAGGTTGTCTTTGAGGATTTTTAAATTGGTCTTTCATACAAGGTAAAGTAGCTCAAGTGTGACAGACATGTTGAACAACACCTATTTAAATTTTATGGATGTCTCTTTTTCCTCAGTGGGTGGATAATGTATATAGATTTCATTCGTAGTTATTGGGTAGGCTGATAAAGAATTAGTATCATATTTACTATTTGACAGAGTATTAAAATGAAATGCTCTTCTTTGTATTTTTTTTTTTATAAAAAAGAATGTGGCCAGGCATGGTGGCTCACTCCTATAATCCCAGCACTTTGGGAGGCCAAAGCAGGAGGATCATATGAACCCAGGAGTTCGAGTCCAGCCTGGACAACAGAGCAAGACCCTATCTATACTAAAAAAAAAATGTATTTCTGTATTGTGTAACTTTAAAAATTATTCTGATGAAGAATCTGGATAGGGAAAAACTGAAGACTTTTTTTTTTAGACGAATTTTTGCTCTTGTTGCCTAGGCTGGAGTGCAGTGGCATGATCTCAGCTCACTGCACTCTCTGCCTTCCAGGTTCAAGCGATTCTCCTGCCTCAGCCTCCCAGGTAGCTGGGACTACAAGCACATGCCACCATGCCCGGCTAATTCTGTATTTTTAGCAGAGACGGGGTTTCACCATGTTGGCCAGGCTGGTCTCAAACTCCTGACCACAGGTGATCTGCCCACCTTGGCCTCCCAGAGTGCTGGGATTACAGGTGTGAGCCACTGCACCTGGCCAAATTACATAGATGATGCTAATGAGAAAAGGAGATGAATTTTGTGACACAGTTGTATTCATTGACTGAAGAGCTTTAGGAAGGAAGCTAAATGTTCAGCCAAAAGGAAGGTACAAGAGTAACATTTATTTGAATTCTGTCTTGGATTAGCTTTTCCAAATTTAAAACCATCTGGCATTTCTACCAACTTGAAAACTTAGAAATCTAAAACTGATCCATATTCTGTTTGTATTTGCTAGAATCTGTAAATAACTGATGAAAAACCCATCTTTTTCTTTCTTTCTTTTTTTTTTTTTTGAGACGGAGTCTTGCTCTGTCACCCAGACTGGAGTGCAGTGGCACAATCTTGGCTCACTGCAACCTCTGCCTCCCAGGTTCAAGTAATTCTCCTGCCTCAGCCTCCTGAGTAGCTGGGACTACAGGCGCGTGCCACCATGCCCGGCTAATTTTTTGTATTTTTTTTTTAGTAGAGACGGGGTTTCACCATGTTAGCCAGACTAGTCTCGATCTGCTGACCTCGTGATCCACCTGCCTTGGCCTCCCAAAGTGCTGGGATTACAGGCATGAGCCACCATGCCTGGCCAAAAACCCATCTTTTTCTACATAGTTGCTGTTGCTGATGTAAAGAAGTCTCGTGAACTCAATCCAAATAATTCCACTGCTGTGCTGAGAAAAGGGTATGCAATAGCTACTCTTTTTGTTGAGCTTGGACTGTAAATAATAGATGTTTAATTTGTTGAATGAGTTCATTGTAAGCTTTATAAGTAGTAAAATTATTTATACATATTATAGCAGAGATATGATTCAATTTTAAATATAAAGTTATAGTTCTATTATTTTGTTAACCATAATATGTGATAGGAGATCTATACTTAATATATTTTAAAATAGTGATGATTGAAATAACTGCAGGGTATAGATGAAACTGATGCATTTCACATTCCTTTTTTGTTTATCATTTGGAATTTACTCTATTTAACTGACTGGTGAACATCCTATTATTCAACCAAGCTGAATAGGCTACATTTAATGCTATGAAAGCTCTGTATCTATGTGCTTTATATCCCATCTTGTTTCTGTTGATAAGTGTAACTTTATTCTTTAAGTAAGAAACTGCTTTAATTCCTTTGTATAATTATATTTTGGAATAAGCAAGTATGTATAATTAAAGTGAAATTCCTTCTGAAGTAAGTTCTAAAATTGAATTTTACTGGAAATTATACTAGATGTTAACAGTATTTTAGAAAGTCTCTTGGCTTACTAACATATGCTTAAAATAAATTTTTTCTTTCAACAATAGAAAATACTAAATGTTTTTATTTAGAAAGAAGGCTATTTTCCAGATCTTGTGTGTGTGTTAATTTGTTTTAAATATGTTCATGCAGGATATGTGAATACCATTAAAAAAAACTATGCTGCTTCTCTAGAAACTTTTATAGAAGGACAAAAATTAGATAGTAAGAATTAAATTGTAGTTTTATAAACTTATCCATTTCTGTCTGAAATACCAAAGCTGAATTTTGTTAATGTTAATCTCAAGTTAATTACAGAAACCCAATACCTATTTTTCTCATCTTAATTACACTTCATATTGATTGCAGATATGGGATCACTTAAAATTGGTTAAATCAGCCTTTTAGCATTTAAACCACAGATAAACTTACCATTAGAAGTAAAAAGCCATATGGAAACACTTAACATGCTCTCTCTATTTAGTCTGGCTTTGTTTTTTTCTAATGGAGAAATGAAAATTTAATTTGCTTTCTTGGTCAGAAGTCTGTTCATTTTAAGTTATTCAGAATGCTGAGATGGGAAATCTTAACACTTATAGAGAAGTGAAGTGTATAGTTTGATAAATTATGAGAGGGTACAGAAGAAACACAGAGTTTTGAGAGTATTGTGAGTTTTTAATGTTATATTTTTTAGGGGAATATATGAAGATTATCACAGCAGTGTAGATATCTAGACATATATAGAAATTGTGAGAGCAAGAATTTTAAAATTGGAAAAATACTAAGATAGAGGTTGTGAGTAATCCCAGAAAATTGTAGACTACATAATCCTACTTGTACTATTATTTTATCTTTATGTTATGATAGAATTTTATCACAATTCTCTAAAGCAGTGGTTCTTAACTGGAAACAATTTTGTTTCCCAGGAAACTTTAGGCAATGTTTGAAAGATTTTTGGTTATCATGAATGTTGGATAGGGGATGAGCTACTGACATGTAATGAATATAAACCAGGGGTGCTACTAAATATCCTATAATGCCCAGGACAGTGCTGCCCAACAGAGAAGTATCTAGTTCAAAGTGTCAGTAGTGCTGAGTTAAGAAACTCTGCTCTTACATATTATCTGTTAAATTCTTACTCTGTACTGCTTTAAAGGTTTGCTTTTCTGCTGTATACCTGTTCAAAAAAGGATTTTAGGCCTCATTACACAAATGGAAGCTACAAATTAGGAAAGGAAAGGTCTGGGTGATAGGACTTATTCTCAAATTTGCTTATCCCAGTTTCAGTTTTGGCATGTGAATAATAGGGCTATTCAGTCAGCAAGACAGCATATCTACACTCTTAGCAAATTCTAGAGTCAGGTTATCTAGTGCCTTGATACATATTTGAAAACCCTGAAAAAACATGAGTCATACCATTCTCTACATTTTCTTTTTTCTTTTTCTTTTTTTTGAGACAAGGTGTCACTCTTGCCCAGGCTGGAGTACAATAGTGCGAACTTGGGTCATTGCAACCTCCTCCTCCTGGGTTCAGGTGATCCACCCACCCCAGCCTCCCAAGTAACTGGGGCTACAGGCACGTGCCACCACATCTGACTAATTTTTGCTTTTTTTTTTTTTTTTTTTTTTTTGCAGAGACAGGGTTTTGCCATGTTGTAAAGCCTGGTCTTGAACTCCTGGGCTCAAGCGATCTGCCTGCCTCGGCCTCCCAAAGTGTTGGAGTTACAGGCGTGAGCCATTGTGCCTGGCCTCATCCTCTGCATGTCTAGGCCCTACTACTTTTAAGAGCAATAGAAAAGTTTCCTGCCTAAATTCCTTTCTTTTTTTTCTTTTTTTGGGGGCTGGGGGCACAGAGTCTTGCTCTGTCACCCAGGCTTGAGTGCAATGGCACCATCATAGTTCACTGCAGCCTTGAATTCCAGGGCTCAAGCCATCCTTCTGCCTCTGCCTCCTGAGTAGCTGGGACTACAGGCATGTGTCACCACACTGAGCTAATTCGTTAAATATTTTTTTGTAGAGATGAGGTCTTGCTACATTACCCAGACTGGTCTCTGAACTCCTGGCCTCAAGTGATCCTACTGCCTTGGCCTCCCAAAATGCTGGCATTACAGACAGGAGCCACTGCATCTGGCCCCTAAATGCTTTTCTTGAATGAATAATTTCTTTTTCTTTCTTTCTTTCTTTCTTTTCTTCCTTCCTTCCTTCCTTCCTTCCTTCCTTCCTTCCTTCCTTTCTTTCTTTCTTGTCTTTCTCTCTTTCTCTCTCTCTCTCTTTCTCTCTCCTTCCTTCCTTCCCTTTCTCTTTCTTTTTTCTTTATTTCTTTCCACGGAGTCTCGCCCAGCCTGGAGTGCAATGGTGCGATCTCAGCTCACTGCAACCTCTGCCTCCTGGGTTCAAGTGATTCTCCTGCCTCAGCCTCCCAAGTAGCTGGGATTACAGGTGCATGCCACCACACCCGGCTAATTTTTTATATCTTTAGTAGAGACAGGGTTTCACCACATTGGTCAGGCTGGTCTTGAACTCCTGACCTTGTGATCCGCCCGCCTCAGCCTTCCAAAGTGCTGAGATTACAGACATGAGCCACTGTGCCCACCCGAATAATATCTTAATATCATGCCATTGACATTTATTCTCTAATTATTTCAGAGGTGGCCTTCAGAAGAAGGCCTCCTTGGTAAAATTGCTATTAAGGATATTTCACTGAAAAACAAATTTATCTATAAATTTAAATCCAGGAAAAATTTAAGTTAAACTTTTATGCTTCTATTTTTATCAGACAGGGTAAAACATTTATAACTCAGAATATTACCTTTTCCCCTCTCTGTGTGATAGATTGCTTGGTTTTAGTTACTGATTATTTAAAATAATAAGTTATTCAAAGCTAGGATTTTGATGTAATAGTTCTTCTCTAGAATATGGTGTGTGTGAGAGTGTATTTACATTTTTTATTAAGGCCCATGTAGTTATATTTCTTTTATAAATTAGTAAATTAGAAAATTTTGTTTTAAGAAATTTTTAATTTAAAATTTCCAGATTGCTCTTGCCTGCAGTTACATATTTTACTATGCACTGTGTTTAAATGTAGTCATTGTTCTGTGTCCCCAGAAATGAAAAATTTGTTTATGGATACATTTACACTATTATCTGTAAGCATAAAATTTATCACCTGTAGCCTCTCAACTGCCCTGTAACTTGGAGATATGACAAAACTTCACAGAATTTAAAGATGCTTCTCGGTGTTGGTAGGAAAGGCATGGTAACAGATAAAGCCACTGAGAGAATAGTAGACTGAATAGGTAGCTGCATTGAAGAGCAAGCTGGGGCTGGGAAAGGCTTAGGGACCTCAACTCAGCTCTCAGTTACCAAGCCTCCTCCCCAACCTAACTAATGGCATATTGGGAGTCTGATTTAGTTCTGACTTTGTTGTGTGTATGAGGAAGCTTCTCTAAGGGCAAAGGGGTTGAGGGAAATTTGCATTATTTATATCTGTGAAATTAGTAAGGTTGACTATAGTTAAAATTAATTTAAAAAAATCAAAATGTTTCAGGATGAACAACTAAATGTTAAACTGTTGGTATATTCATAGCTATAACAGAGTTTGCAATTAAGTTCTGTTAAGACAGGTTTTATTCACTGCTGACTCCCCAGTGCCAAGAACAGTGCCTGGGATGCAGTAGGTATTTAATAATTATTTGTTGATTAATAGGTTGTGCAGATGAGTGATGTGATAGTTTTTTTCTTTCTAGGTGCAGATTTTAATTTCAGTGACTGAATTAAAAGGTGTCAAGAAGCTCAGAATGGTATGTAGGTCTCCCATGGTATTTCAATTTAAAAAGAAGTAAGCACTTGAAATTTTTTGGTTTAAGCAAATTTGTTTTTACCTTTATAATTTATTTTAAATAATACATGTTTCCTTAAATATAGACTTCCAAAAATACACTGGTTTTGCCTAGCTTCTTATGTTGAAAAGGAGATTTGGGTGGATTTGCTTGTATGGCATATCAGTAAGAAATTACTAAGGAGTCTAGGCTGGGCATGGTGGCTCACACCTGTAATCCCAGCACTTTGGGAGGCTAAGGTGGGCGGATCACGAGGTCAGGAGATCAAGACCATCCTGGCCAACATGGTGAAACCCCATCTCTACTAAAAAAATAGGTGGGCGTGGTGGTGCATGCCTGTAGTCCCAGGTACATGGGAGGCTGAGGCAGGAGAATGGCTTGAACCCAGGAGGCGGAGGTTGCAGTGAGCCGAGATCATGCCACTGCACTCCAGCCTGGGTGACAGAATGAGACTCCGGCACAAAAAAAGAAATCACTAAGGAGTCTAAAATGAATGCAGGAGGCAAAATGAAACCACTTTTCTTTAGTTGAAAGGTATGGAGAATTGGCTTGCTTAATCAGTATGTTTGTGCAATAAAAATCATATAAATACCTTTGCCTATAAATGTATTGTTACCTGAAAATGCTTCCTTTTTATGTTTTAGTAGGCCCAGAATCTGAGATGTTAAGTCCAGAGTTTTCATTCTTCATGTTTTTATTTACTTATATTAAATTTCAAGTACCAAATCAGGACTCAGGAAGAGCTCTCTGTCAGTTAAATATTAAGCAATTCCATTTAAGTACTGGTTCCTCTAGGAAGTGAAATAAAATCATTTTTTGATAAATATAGAAGTTTCTAGTCATGAAACTTATTGGGCTATTTCAATGAATTGTGTGGTTAAAATTGATTTGGTATGTTTTAGTATGAACAAAATGATTATTTATCTGTTCCTTACTAAAACCTAAATAAATTACATTTATTTAGGTCCAACAGTTTGAGTCACTTGTAGGGCTTTTTATGATAGGCTAAGACAAAAGTTAAGGAAAATTGGAAATGTTTATCCCTAATTCAGTGTAATGTTTATTGTTTTGGACATGAAGACCTTTGAGTCTGTTCAATTATTAAAAATTATGGTAGAATTGAATAAAAGTAACTTTTAATTTTTTTTTTTAAGACATGGTCTTGCTTTGTTACACAGGCTAGAGTGCAGTGGTGCCATCATAGCTCACTGCAGCCTCAAACTCCTGGACTCAAGCAGTCTTCCTACCTCAGCCTCCCAAGTAGCTGGGACTACAGGTGCATGTCACCCCACCAAGCCTGCTAATATATATTCTATTTCTTTAAAACACTTTTTAGGCTGGGTGCAGTGACTTACACCTGTAATCCCAACACTTTGGGAGGCTGACACAGGTGGATCAGTTGAGGTCAGGAGTTCAAGACCAGCCTGGCCAATATAGTGAAAACCCTGTCTCTACTAAAAATACAAAAATTAGCCAGGTGTGGTGGTGGGTGCCTGTAATCCCAGCTACTCAGGAAGTTGAGGTGGGAGAATCCCTGAAGCCTGGGAAGTGGAGGTTGCAGTGATCTAAAATCATGCCACTGCACTCTAGTCTGGGCAACAGAGCAAGACTCCATCTCAAAAAAAAAAAAAAAGTACAAACTACTATAAAGACAAATCTGCTTTTTTTGTTTTGTTTTTTAATTAAGCTGAATTTTATGTTACTTTATTATGAGGGAACAATGAATAATTTAAATTACAGTTTAAGTAAGTTTTAGATTCCTTTATATTTTCAAAATGAAATAAAAGATATACAATAGAATTAATATTCAGATAATATTTAACTATCACTCAAAATATGTAGATAATAGCCAGGCACAGTGGCTCATGCCTGTAATCCCAGCACTTTGGGAGACCGAGTTGGGTGGATCACCTGAGGTCAGGAGTTAGAGACCAGCCTACCCAACATGGTGAAACCCCATCTCTACTAAAAATATAAGAATTAGCTGGGCGTGGTGGTGTGTACCTGTAATCCCAGCTACTCGGGAGGCTGAAGCAGAAGAATCACTTGAGCCCGGGAGACAGAGGTTGCAGTGAGCCGAGATCATGCCAGTGCACTCCAGCCTGGGTAACAGAGTGAGACTCTGCCTCAATTAAAAAAAAAATGTAGATAATAGTTTAGTAAGAAAAGTAGTGAACTGAAAACCAAGAAATCTGACTCTGGATCTTTGCTTGCCCCGTGAATTTAGTCTAGGCACAAAATGACTATGACTAAATTTTCAGTACCTTTGAAAGGAAGTCCGTGGACCAAATGAGCTCTGGAGTCCTTTCAGCTGTAAAATTATATGAAGGTATAATGATAAATCAGTTAATGAGAATAAATGGTATAGGTAGGCTTTTTCCATTACTACTCCTTTTTTGTGTTTTATTTATTTATTTATTTTTGAGACAGAGTCTTGCTCTGTTGTCCAGGCTGGAGTACAGTGGTGCAACCCCAGCTCACTGCAACCTCTACCTCCTGGGATCAAGAAATTCTCCTGCCTCAGCCTTCTGAGTAGCTGGGGCTACAGGAGCCCACCACCATGCCCGGCTGATTTATATATTTTTAGCAGAGATGGGATTTCACCATTGTTGGCCAGGCTGGTCTCAAACTCCTGACCTAAAGTGATCCACTTGCCTTGGCCTCCCAAAGCGCTGGGATTACAGGTGTGGACCACGGCGCTTGGCCAGTACTCCTTCTTTATACAAAGTCATGTAGCATACTGTGTTACTATTTATTAACTTGAAGTTCTAAGGACATGTGAAATTTCCTATTGTGGAATAGGATCAGGTTGGTCTGTGTCATGGAGAATGGTAACTGGGCCTTCAGAAAGGAGACAGGTTCAGAGGGTTGGAGCAGGAAGTGCAAAGTGAAGTAGTTTTTTGCATCTAGCTAAAAAGGATCTGCCTATTTATTTATTTAAAGATTGTCAATAACAGAGCTGGTTAATTATGAGGCAGATTTATGAACTAGCTCTTGGGACAATAGAAAGTGAGAAAAGAGATGAAATCTTATCAAGATTTTTTTTTTTTTTTTGAGACAGAGTTTTGTTCTTGTTGCCCAGGCTGGAGTACAGTGGCACGATCTCAGCTCACTGCAACCTCCACCTCCCGGGTTCAAGCAGTTCTCCTGCCTCAGCCTCCTGAGTAGCTGGGGTTATGGGCACATGCCACCACGCCTGGCTAATTTTTGTATTTTTAGTAGAGATGGGGTTTCACCATGTTGGCCAGGCTGGTCTCAAACTCCTGACCTTAGGTGATCCACCCACCTTGGCCTCCCAAAGTGCTGAAATTATAGGCATGAGCCACGATGCTCGGCCCTTATCAGGATTTTGGTCTGTCCCTGGTCCTATCCACATAGTGTAGAATTTGCTTAATAAAATAATTTTGAGTAATTAAGCACAAAACTCTAGGTAGATTTGAAAGGGATATAGTTCTGAAAGTTATGAATTTGATTTTTTTGGTTTATGTCTATCAAGAGATTGCTAATGCAGGTCCATTTGAAGTAAATTACATTGTGAATAAATGATAAATGACTTAAGAACTTGTATTACTGAGCCATCTCATATACTGGTGGAAGAATAGCATGTGTGGTAAATACATAGATCTGTGTGGCTAGAGTTGAGGATGTAATTAAGCACTCTCATCTCTCATTCTTTTTTCTGTTTTGAATTTGCATTTGTTGATTTTAACCATTCTTCAATCCTACTTACTATGTTCTCAATTTGCCTTTTCTTCCCCTTTCCTCTTTAATGTAAGTAACTACTTTTCTTCCTTGTATAGTAGCTCGTTTATATATACATTTCATATCCCTCGTGCCTATGTAAGTCTTTGAGGATAAGAAGCATGTCTTATTTGTATTTTTGTATGTGCCTCAGTTAGGGTTCCCAGATAAAGTACAACATGCTCAATTAAGTTTGTATTTCTGATAAACAATGAATTTTTTATTTTTATTTTTTTTGAGATAGAGTCTCACTCTGTTGCCCAGGCTGGAGTGCAGTGGCCCGTTCTCGGCTCACTGCAACCTCTGCCTGTCTGGTTCAAGCAATTCTCCTGTCTCAGCCTCCTGAGTAGCTGGGATTACAGGCACATGCCACCACGCCTGGCTAATTTTTGTATTTTTAGTAGAGACGGGGATTTCACTATGTTGGCCAGGCTGGACTCGAACTCCTGACCTAAAGTGATCTGCCCGCTTTGGCCTCCCAAAGTGTTGGGATTATGGGCGTGAGCCATTGCACCTGGCCTAATTTTTTATTATATAAGTATGTTCTGTATTGTATTTTTGTTTGCTAAACTTGGCAGCCCTTGCTGTGTGTATTGTGCAGTGGGTGCTTAATTCAGTGAATGAATCAAAATTGGGTTCTAGTTTTAGTTCTGTGACATTGGCAGAGTATTTTTATTTTTAGTTTTGCAGGTGGAAAAAAATCTGAAGTTAATGGACTCTAAATCTTTCCCCAAGTTTACCTAGTTAACTAAATTGCTCAGCCTGGCCCAGGAGACATACATAACATTTCTGACTCCCAACCAAGCTAGTGCGTCTTTGCTTAGCTTTTTCTAAATTTTGAATTGAAGAACTTGGATTCTAAGGATTTGTTCTAAAGGATGATTATTTTTCTTGTCCTGACCCTGGAATCTCCATATTTTATGTATTTTATGTATATATATATGTACATATTTAGGTATTTTATGTGTATATATATATATATATATATATATATATATATATATACACACACACACAAATATATTCTTGTTAGATTATGAACTCTAAAAACTATTTGGGGGAAAACAAATTGAAAGAAATTTTCTTAATTATGTCTTAAGGGAAATAAATGATAAAAATCTTTCAATTTCCTTTTTATACAGTAGAGGGAGACAGTATTAGAATACTGAAAATAAAATCTGTGAGTTACTGAGGCTTACTTTGTGGACACTAAGAGAGAACAGTACTAAAATAATTTGCTTTTCATATATTCAGATATCTTGATTGTATTTCACTGTTCAGATATCTTGAACCTTTGTAAATTGAGAAAAGATGCATTTTCTGGGGAGAATCTGCTCAGTATTAGAGATTCTGTGAAATTTGCAGCTTTTAAGATGCAAGGGTCTTTAATCCATCTTGAATTGATTTTTGTATAAGGTGTAAGGAAGGGATCCAGTTTCAGCTTTCTACATATGGCTAGCCAGTTTTCCCAGCACCATTTATTAAATAGGGAATCCTTTCCCCATTGCTTGTTTTTCTCAGGTTTGTCAAAGATCAGATAGTTGTAGATATGTGGCATTATTTCTGAGGGCTCTGTTCTGTTCCATTGATCTATATCTCTGTTTTGGTACCAGTACCATGCTGTTTTGGTTACTGTAGCCTTGTAGTATAGTTTGAAGTCAGGTAGTGTGATGCCTCCAGCTTTGTTCTTTTGGCTTAGGATTGACTTGGCGATGCGGGCTCTTTTTTGGTTCCATATGAACTTTAAAGTCGTTTTTTCCAATTCTGTGAAGAAAGTCATTGGTAGCTTGATGGGGATGGCATTGAATCTGTAAATTACCTTGGGCAGTATGACCATTTTCACGATATTGATTCTTCCTACCCATGAGCATGGAATGTTCTTCCATTTGACCCAGCCATCTCATTACTGGGTATATACCCAAAGGACTATAAATCATGCTGCTATAAAGACAAATGCACACGTATGTTTATTGCGGCATTATTCACAATAGCAAAGACTTGGAACCAACTGAAATGTCCAACAATGATAGACTGGATTAAGAAAATGTGGCACATATACACCATGGAATACTATGCAGCCATAAAAAATGATGAGTTCATGTCCTTTGTAGGGACATGGATGAAATTGGAAATCATCATTCTCAGTAAACTATCACGAGAACAAAAAACCAAACACCGCATATTCTCACTCATAGGTGGGAATTGAACAATGAGATCACATGGACACAGGAAGGGGAATATCACACTCTGGGGACTGTTGTGGGGTGGGGGGAGGGGGGAGGGATAGCATCGGGAGATATACCTAATGCTAGATGATGAGTTAGTGGGTGCAGTGCACCAGCATGGCACATGTATACATATGTAACTAACCTGCACAATGTGCACATGTATCCTAAACCTTAAAGTATAAAAAAAAAAAGATGCAAGGGTAATTAAGGGTGATTTCTATGCTTTTATTTATTTATTTTTATTTATTTTTTTTTTTTATTGATCATTCTTGGGTGTTTCTCGCAGAGGGGGATTTGGCAGGGTCACAGGACAATAGTGGAGGGAAGGTCAGCAGATAAACAAGTGAACAAAGGTCTCTGGTTTTCCTAGGCAGAGGACCCTGTGGCCTTCCGCAGTGTTTGTGTCCCTGGGTACTTGAGATTAGGGAGTGGTGATGACTCTTAAAGAGCATGCTGCCTTCAAGCCTCTGTTTAACAAAGCACATCTTGCACCGCCCTTAATCCATTTAACCCTGAGTGGACACAGCACATGTTTCAGAGAGCACAGGGTTGGGGGCAAGGTCACAGATCAACAGGATCCCAAGGCAGAAGAATTTTTCTTAGTACAGAACAAAATGAAAAGTCTCCCATGTCTACCTCTTTCTACACAGACACGGCAACCATCCGATTTCTCAATCTTTTCCCCACCTTTCCCCCCTTTCTATTCCACAAAACTGCCATTGTCATCATGGCCCGTTCTAAATGAGCTGTTGGGTACACCTCCCAGACGGGGTGGTGGCCGTGCAGAGGGGCTCCTCACTTCCCAGTAGGGGCGGCCAGGCAGAGGGTTCCTCACCTCCCCGACGGGGCGACTGGCCGGGCGGGGGGCTGACCCCCCCACCTCCCTCCTGGACGGGGCGGTTGGCCGGGCAGAGTGGCTCCTCACTTCCCAGTAGGGGCGGCCGGGCAGAGGCGCTCCCCACCTCCCGGACGGGGTGGCTGGCCGGGCGGGGGGCTGACCCCCCCACCTCCCTCCCGGACGGGGCGGCTGGCCGGGCGGGGGGTGACCCCCCCACCTCCCTCCCGGACGGGGCGGCTGGCCGGGCGGGGGGCTGACCCCCCCACTTCCCTCCCGGACGGGGCGGCTGGCCGGGCAGAGGGGCTCCTCACTTCCCAGTAGGGGCGGCCGGGCAGAGGCGCCCCTCACCTCCCGGATGGGGCGGCTGGCCCGGCGGGGGGCTGACGCCCCCCCTCCCTCCCGGATGGGGCGGCTGGCCGGGCGGGGGGCTGACCCCCCCCACCTCCCTCCTGGACGGGGTGGCTGGCCAGGCAGAGGGGCTCCTCACTTCCCAGTAGGGGCGGCCAGGCAGAGGCGCCCCTCACCTCCCGGATGGGGTGGCTGGCCCGGCGGGGGGCTGACCCCCCCACCTCCCTCCCGGATGGGGCAGCTGGCCGGGCAGAGGGGCTCCTCACTTCCCAGTAGGGATGGCCGGGCAGAGGCGCCCCTCACCTCCCGGACGGGGCGGCTGGCCGGGCGGGGGGCTGACCCCCCCACCTCCCTCCCGGACGGGGCGGCTGGCCGGGCAGAGGGGCTCCTCACTTCCCAGACGGGGTGGCTGCCGGGCAGAGGGGCTCCTCACTTCTCAGACAGGGCGGCTGCTGGGCGGAGGGGCTCCTCACTTCTCAGACAGGGCGGTTGCCAGGCAGAGGGTCTCCTCACTTCTCAGACGGGGCGGCCGGGCAGAGACGCTCCTCACATCCCGGACGGGGCGACAGGGCAGAGGCGCTCCCCACATCTCAGACGATGGGTGGCCGGGCAGAGACGCTCCTCACTTCCTAGATGGGATGGCGGCCGGGAAGAGGCGCTCCTCACTTCCTAGATGGGATGGCGGCTGGGCAGAGACGCTCCTCACTTTCCAGACTGGGCAGCCAGGCAGAGGGGCTCCTCACATCCCAGACGATGGGCGGCCAGGCAGAGACGCTCCTCACTTCCCAGACGGGGTGGCGGCTGGGCAGAGGCTGCAGTCTCGGCACTTTGGGAGGCCAAGGCAGGCTGCTGGGAGGTGGATGTTGTAGCGAGCCAAGATCACGCCACTGCACTCCAGCCTGGGCACCATTGAGCACTGAGTGAAGGAGACTCTGTCTGCAATCCCGGCACCTCGGGAGGCCGAGGCTGGCGGATCACTCGCGGTTAGGAGCTGGAGACCAGCCCCGCCAACACAGCGAAACCCCGTCTCCTCCCAAAAAATACGAAAACCAGTCAGGCGTGGCGGCGCGCGCCTGCAATCGCAGGCACTCGGCAGGTTGAGGCAGGAGAATCAGGCAGGGAGGTTGCAGTGAGCCGAGATGGCAGCAGTACAGTCCAGCTTCGGCTCGGCATCAGAGGGAGACCGTGGAAAGAGGGGAGAGGGAGAGGGAGAGGGAGAGGGAGAGCGATTTCTATGCTTTTGAGAATTCTCTTTTCTTTCCCACCTTCAAGGCTGAATGAATGTTGCATATCCATGTGTAGTCAGTGGTTAACTGTTATTAATTTGAGTGATATATAATTTGCAATGAAAGTAGGAAGAGAAAGAGGTAAAACCCTGAAATTAATGAAATAGCATTTCTTAACTATTTTACAATATAATATTTAATATGTTTTTTCCAAGCCAGGATTCATATTTTTTCAGTATCTCTGATAATTATTTCTACCTTTTACTGAATATCACCTTTCATGTTAGCCTATTAATTTTTTAGAAATTAAGAAACTATAATTTTTTTATTTCATTTTGTTTATTTAATGACACTATTCTCTGGTCACAGTCTCAGAATTGTGACTTTAGTGTCACCTATATTGTGAAATATTCATTTTAAAAATTAATTTTTTTTTGAGACAGAGTCTCACTCTGTTTCCCAGGCTGGAGTGCATCGGTGTGATCTCAACTCACTGCAAGCTCCGCCTGCCAGGTTCAAGCAATTCTCCTGCCTCAGCCTCCTGAGTAGCTGGGACTACAGGTGCACGCCACCATGCCCGGCTAATTTTTTATATTTTTAGTAGAGATGGGGTTTCACCATGCTGGCCAGGCTGGTCTCGAACTCCTGACCTCATGATCCACCTGCGTCAGCCTCCCAGAATTTTGGGATTACAGGTGTGAGCCACTGCGTGTGGCATTAATTTTTATTCCCTTTAAGAATTAGAATTCTCAGTCTTTTGGGGTGAATTTGCCCTTGTGGAAATGTTGTTGTATTCCTATTTTTAGTCAGAATAATTTTTCTGTATTAAACAATACAAAATGTGAAAGCCTGGAATTGTGGGAAATAAAAATGTATGTCTTAGAAACAAAATAGCCTCCTTTTCTCTTACTTTGAAGTTTGAAAGTGAATCCCTTTTTTTAATGTTCAGAGAAGAATATATATATGTTAGAGAATCCTGGTGATAATGGAATGGAATGGAATGGGGTATGTGGGCATGATACTCCTGCTTGTCTGAATACATTGATATGGAAATTTTAAAATTGTTTTTGTTTTTTTTTTTTGAGATGGAGTCTCACTCTCGCCCAGGCTCGAGTGCAGTGGCGCGATCTCGGCTCACTGCAAGCTCTGCCTCCCGGGTTTATGCCATTCTCCCACCTCAGCCTCCCAAGTAGCTGGGACTACAGGCGCCCGCCACCATGCCCTGCTAATTTTTTGTATTTTTAGTAGAGACAGGGTTTCACTGTGTTAGCCAGGATGGTCTTGATCTCCTGACCTCGTGATCCACCCACCTCGGCCTCCCAAAGTGCTGGGATTACAGGCATGAGCCACTGCGCCCAGCCAAAATTGTTGTTTTAATGTCTTGCTTCATACAGTGGTGGTGGTAACAGTGAGAATTGTTTAATTTTTTTTTAACTGGGTTAGTTAAAAAAAAAAGATCCACAAATTGTAGATCTTGGAATGTATTATTGTTACTTTTCTTATATTTTGTAATGTATATTCATATATTTTTAAAACAAGAATTTTACTCTACATAATTTTTAAACAGCTATACATTGTCGATATTTTTATCATGTCCTTACATATTCAACAGCAAAGTATTTCATCATATGCATGTACTGTACCTTATTTAGCCAGCCCCATTTTGTTTGGCTTGTGGAGAATTACAATAGCTGTTTTGACTGTTGTATCACATGCCAGGCACTGTACTGTGTATTATCTCATGTAATTCTCATAGTTACTGCATGGTGTAGGTATTTTTATCCCCAGTTTACAGGTAGAGAAACTGAACCCAGAGATGTTAAATAATTTGCCCAAGTTTTTTGGCTGACTATACTGATGAAGATACTGATACTAGCATTCTGTTGTCAGTTATTTGCCAGACAGAATTCTTTATTTTTTAATACATAATATCATTTACTCTTGAGAACCCTAAATGAGTTAGGGCCTACTAAATCATTTACAATACAATACAGTAGGAGAAACTGAGGCTCGCTGAGATTAAGTTGCTTGCTTATGGTTATACATCCAACAAATGACACCTATTTCCAACTCTTTCTGTTTACACAGCTGATTGTTTTTGTCTCAACACCTGCTTATTTCTGAGGAAATAAGTAAAAATTCTAGCTGAAAAGACATTTCCAGCAAATTATTTCATATTTTGGCTCCCTCCTCTCTAAAATATGGATAATGGTCTTTTTTTAAATAGGGTGATTCTATTAAGTGAGATAATGTATGTGAAGCATGTAGCACACAGGGTATATAATAAAAGTCAATAAATGTTACTAGTACTATTCCTATTATTTTATTTTGGTTATTTAGATTTTTATTCAGGCTGTAAAAGCAGTAAATGCATATTATAACATATCATAGAAAATCTGGAAAAGATAAAGGAGCTTAGGAAGTAATCACTCAGACTCATCACTGGTGACATTTTAGCATGTTTCCCTCAGGATAACTCATTATTTCCTGACACATAGGTCAATCATTACACATGACACATACTGGAATCTTTTTACTTATGGGAATGTCTTTTCTGATTAATTACTTTAAAAAGAACAGAGGCTGTGTCCTTATGTACTAGCACTGTTTCTGGCTCAGAGTAGGTGCTCAGCAAATATTTGAAATGAGCTGTTAGAAGCTTGAGAGAAGACCTTTGAGGTCTTCTCCATTCCTTGCCATTTTTTGCATTTAAAAAATGATTATAAAAAGATTTTAGTTTAAAAATAAAGAAGGTAGATGTATTCGTTTGAGCTCAGGAAGACTGAGCTATTATCAGACAAAGGAATTTGATGTAACAATTAAATGTGCAAAGAGCTCAGTAAGAGTATGTTGGGAAGGTTGCATTCTGAAGATCAGGGAAGCAATTATTTAATGAGTATAGTCTTGAAGTATATGGTTCTCAAAAGTTTGCCAATAAATTGCCCCAGCTCTTTAGTCTCTGGGAAAGATCCCTTCATGTTAACCTGTGGTGGTAAGTGGGATCTTACTTACCACTTAAGATGGTGGTGTCTGGATATCATGATTGCTTAAGAGTAATGATATCTCTTTAATTTTGAAGTTTCTTTCATTGGAAAAAAGTAAACTCTGTGCTATGCAGAGGAGACTTTAGAGGTGGATGGTAATACATATAATGTTGAGAACTAATGATCCAGCACAGTAGGGATTCTTATTGACAACCTGTGAATACTCTTTTGGGATATTAACACCTTGAGATCCTTCCTGGTACATGTGAGAACAACATTCAAGCAAACTGTCAAAGTTTTAAGTTAACTTTTAAAGTATTTTTGACTTAAATGAAAATAGAATGGTTTCTTAATGGTTGCAATAAACACCTCTGAAATTGGACTAGTGCTAATTCTAGAACTATCTGCCAGAATCAAGACTTAAGACTTCATTTTTAAAAACATTGAAACATTTGAAAGTACAAGCATTGAAAGTGAATTAAGTGTAAAAGGGAATTCATAGAAAATTAGCCCCTACCTTCTTTTCCCTTTTTTTTTTTTTTTTTGCTGGGGGAGACAGGGTCTCACTCTGTTGCCTATGCTGGAATGCAGTGGCACTATCATGGCTCACTGCCGTCTCAACTACCTGAGCTCAAGTGATCCTTCCTCTTCAGCCTCCCAAAGTGCCAGGATTACAGGTGTGAGCCACTGCACCCAACCCCCTTTACCTTTTTTTTAAAAAGCTGCTTTAAGTGGTTTATTATATGCAGCTATTTTGGTGAATGATTAAGTATAATTTCAGAAGCGGAGGTCAGCTTGTCTCAGCTGAAACAGGTTGTTACTAAGAGCTTTGCCTTTGGCTTTATAAAGGCCTCTTTGTTCATGCTGCACAATTACATAGGTCATGATGGCTTTCAGTAGATATGAATGCTAGTCTGTGTTGCTTTTCAGGTGAAACAAGGAACTTTTTATAGACAATGTGTAAATAGTTACAGGAACATGAAGTGTGAATATAGGGTGCCTTGTGGCCAGGTTTAGTGTGGTGATAAACACAGTACTTTTCAGGCCCTCATTTTTCAGATGAGTTGAAAATTAAAGGAGCAAGATGTAATTTTAATCTTTCAGATAATATTAACAGTTCTTTTCAGTAACTGTTGCTGTGTCATTGCCAGCTATTGGATTTCTGTCTCCTTTTGATAAATATACCAGAAGTGACACCTTAAAGTAACCAGAGTACTATCACTTAATACCGTGTATGAGAAAATATTGGTGGTATATTATTTTATAAAAAAATAGCTGGGCACAGTGGCTCATGCCTGTAATTCTAGCTACTCAGGAGGCTGGCAGGAGAATCACTTGAACCCGGAGGGCAGAGGTTGAAGTGAGCCGAGTTCACACCACTGCACTCCAGCCTGGGTGACAGAAACTCTGTCTCAAAAAAAAAAAAAAAAGAAATCATAGTTTACTTTAGGGAATTCTAGAGATTCTTATGAAATATTTGTTTTTATGTATGTAGAGTTTAAACATGTAAATTACATTAAAGATAGTATACTCCACCCTTATCCCAGTGAAATGATTTCATATTTTTCTTATTATGGAAACAATTATTACATTTCTTTGCTCCTAAAGAAAATAAACACTTGAGACCACATACCCCACATACATATACCATCACTTGATGTCTGATTAAAAATGTTGGCAGTTTTCCCTATGTTACCACTTTGTTAGAGTATTTTAAGGTGCAAATTTTGAAGGTTTTTTGCTAAAGGCAGATGGTATAATCATCTGATAAAAAGAAGTCAAAGAACCTAGGGGTGAATGGGCTTCTCTTTTTGTTAAGTCTGCCTTTTGATTTTTAAATTCTTTTTGCAAAACTAACGATCCTTTTCATAGAAAAAATTAGAATATAACATTCTAATTCAATTCTTCATTTAAACTGTTTTATATAATGTTATGGTGCTTACTTTAATATTTGCATTAAAAATGCTGATTTTAGCCACTTAAAAATAGAGGTGAGAGCATTATTTGAATAAAGAAAACAAAAAGTAGATATAAATGCTATGTGATTGTGTGTTTAAGGGTAAGGATAGACTCAGGGGACTAACCTTGATTAGAGAGTAAAAGATGCTATTAGGATACTATTAATTTTTAATTTTAATAAGTGAACTTACTCCAGCATTCAGAAGTTGTTAACTTCTGCTTCTTTTTGTGTGTGTGTGTGTGTGTGTGTGTGTGTGTGTGTGTGTGTGTGTGTATGAGACAAGAGTTTTGCTCTTTTTGCCCAGGCTGGAGTGCAATGGCACGATCTCGGCTCACTGGAACCTCTGCCTCCCGGGTTCAAGTGATTCTCCTGCCTCAGCCTCCCAAGTAGCTGGGATTACAGGTGTTTGCCACCATGCCTGGCTAATTTTTTGTATTTTTAGTACAGACGGGAATTCACCATGTTGGCCAGGATGGTCTTGATCTCTTGACCTCATGATCCACCTACCTCGGCCTCCCAAAGTGCTGGGATTACAGGCATGAGCCACTGTGCCCGGCCTTTTTTTTTTTTTTTTTTTTTTTTTTTTTGAGATGGTGTTTTGCTCTTGTTGCCCCAGTCTGGAGTGCAATGGCACGATCTTGGCTCACCACAACTTCTGCCTCCCAGGTTCAAGCGATTCTCCTGCCTCAGCCTCCTGAGTATCTGGGATTACAGGCATGCACCACCACACCCAGCTAATTTTGTATTTTTAGTAGAGACAGGGTTTCTCCATGTTGGTCAGGCTGGTCTCGAATTCCCTACCTCAGGTGATCAGCCTGCCTCAGCCTCCCAAAGTGTTGGGATTACAGGCATAAGCCACCATGCACAGCTCTGCTTCTTTTTTATCTGTATTTTTCACTGCTCTGATTTTTTTTCAAGTCAAGTCCTGGACTTGAGGCAAATTGGGCTTCTCCATACCCCTCTATGCAGTGTCTTTTCACACCCCAGTGCTCCAGTTAGGCCACTCCCTGTGCCTCTGGAGACCCACCCCTTCACTCTTGCGAATGCTTCTACCGTCCAAAGCCCTTAGGGGTGTATAAAGCCTTTCCTCTTCACAGTCAGGTGTGGTCTCTCCTGAGCTTTTAGCACATTTATTTATTTAGAACTTTAGTAACTTTCTTAAAGTATCTCACATACTTCCAAGTGGTCGAGGATGTGTCTTTAATATTTTAAAAATCCAGCTGGGTGTGGTGGCTCATGCCTGTAATCCTAGCACTTTGGGTGGCTGAGGTAGGAGAATGGCTTGAGGCCAGGAGTTTCAGACCAGCCTGGGCAACATAGTGAGACCCTGTCTCTACAAAAAAACAGAAAAATTAGCTGAGAGTGGTGGCACATGTCTATAGTTCCAGCTACTAGGGAAGCTGAGACCGGAGGATCACTTGAGCCTAGAAGTTCAAGGCTGCAGTGAACTATGATCCTTCCACTGCACTCCAGCCTGGGAGACAGAGCAAGCCCCTTTTCTCTACAAATAAAATAAAAATCCCCCACAGTCTTGAGGACTATACTATCTTATAATAGGTGTTTAGTAATTATTTGTTGAATGAATGAATACAAAAATGTTAGCATTCATTGTATTATGTTTATACAGTGAAATGTTTCTCCACTGTAAAACAGATGAATGCACATATAAACGCAGTAATTATTTTAGAATCGGATTTCTTTTATTATTATACTTTAAGTTCTAGGGTACATGTGCACAATATGCAGGTTTGTTACATATGTATACACGTGCCATGTTGGTGTGCTGCACCCATTAACTCGTCATTTACATTAGGTATATCTCCTAATGGTATCCCTCCCCACTCCCCCCACCCCACGACAGGCCCCGGTGTGTGGTGTTCCCCACCCTGTATCCAAGTGTTCTTATTGTTCAATTCCCACCTATTATTGAGAGCATGCAGTGTTTGGTTTTTTGTCCTTGCGATAGTTTGCTGAGAATGATGGTTTCCAGCTTCATCCATGTCCCTACAAAGGACATGAACTCATCCTTTTTTATGGCTGCATAGTATTCCATGGTGTATATGTGCCACGTTTTCTTAATCCAATCTATCATTGATGGACATTTGGGTTGGTTCCAAGTCTTTGCTATTGTGAATAGTGCTGCAATAAACATACATGTGCATGTGTCTTTATAGCAGCATGATTTATACTCCTTTGGGTATATGCCCACTAATGGGATGGCTGGGTCAAATGGTATTTCTAGTTCTAGATCCTTGAGGAATCGCCACACTGTCTTCCACAATGGCTGAACTAGTTTACAGTCCCACCAACAGTGTAAAAGTGTTCCTATTTCTCCACATCCTCTCCAGCACCTGTTGTTTCCTGACTTTTTAATGATCGCCATTCTAACTGGTATGAGATGGTATCTCATTGTGGTTTTGATTTGCATTTCTCTGATGACCAGTGATGATGAGCATTTTTTCAAGTGTCTGTTGGCTGCATAAATGTCTTCTTTTGAGAAGTGTCTGTTCATATCCTTTGCCCACTTTTTGATGGGGTTGTTTGATTTTTTCTTGTAAATTTGTTTAAGTTCTTAATAAATTCTAGATGTCAGCCCTTTGTGAGATGGATAGATTGCAAAAATTTTCTCCCATTCTGTAGGTTGCCTGTTCACTCTGATGGTAATTTCTTTTGCTGTGCAGAAGCTCTTTAGTTTAATTAGATCCCATTTGTCAATTTTGGCTTTTGTTGCCATTGCTTTTGGTGTTTTAGACATGAAGTCCTTGCCCATGCCTATGTCCTGAATGGTATTGCCTAGGTTTTCTTCTAGGGTTTTTATGGTTTCAGATCTGACATTTAAGTCTTTAATCCATCTTGAATTAAATTTTGTATAAGGTGTAAGGAAGGGATCCAGTTTCAGCTTTCTACATATGGCCAGTTTTCCCAGCACCATTTATTAAATAGGGAATCCTTTCCCCATTTCTTGTTTTTCTCAGGTTTGTCAAAGATCAGATGGTTGTAGATGTGTGGTATTATTTCTGAGGGCTCTGTTCTGTTCCATTGGTCTATATCTCTGTTTTGGTACCAGTACCATACTGTTTTGGTTACCGTACCCTTGTAGTATAGTTTGAAGTCAAGTAGCATGATGCCTCCAGCTTTGTTCTTTTGGCTTAGGATTGACTTGGTGATGTGGGCTCTTTTTTGGTTCCATATGAACTTGAAAGTCGTTTTTTCCAATTCTGTGAAGAAAGTCATTGGTAGCTTGATGGGGATGGCATTGAATCTATAAATTACCTTGGGCAGTATGGCCATTTTCATGATACTGATTCTTCCTACCCATGAGCATGGAATGTTCTTCCATTTGTTTGTGTCCTCTTTTATTTCGTTGAGCAGTGGTTTGTAATTCTCCTTGAACAAGTCCTTCACATCCCTTGTAAGTTGGATTCCTAGGTATTTTATTCTCTTTGAAGCAATTGTGAATGGGAGTTCACTCATGATTTGGCTCTCTGTTTGTCTGTTATTGTTGTATGGGAATGCTTGTGATTTTTGCACATTGATTTTGTATCCTGAGACTTTGCTGAAGTTGCTTATCAGCTTAAGGAGATTTTGGGCTGAGACAATGGGGTTTTCTAAATATACAATCATGTCATCTGCAAACAGGGCCAATTTGACTTCCTCTTTTCCTAATTGAATACCCTTTATTTCTTTCTCCTGCCTGATTGCCCTGGCCAGAACTTCCAACACTATGTGGAATAGGAGTGGTGAGAGAGGGCATCCCTGTCTTGTGCCAGTTTTCAAAGGGAATGCTTCCAGTTTTTGCCCATTCAGTATGATATTGGCTGTGGGTTTGTCATAAATAGCTCTTATTATTTTGAGATACATCCCATCAATACCTAATTTATTGAGAGTTGTTAGCATGAAGTGTTGTTGAATTTTGTCAAAGGCCTTTTCTGCATCTATTGAGATAATCATGTGGTTTTTGTCTTTGGATCTGTTTATATGCTGGATTACATTTATTGATTTGCATATGTTCAACCAGCCTTGCATTCCTGGGATGAAGCCCACTTGATCATGGTGGATAAGCTTTTTGATGTGCTGCTGGATTCGGTTTGTCAGTATTTTATTGAGGATTTTTGTGTTGATGTTCATCAGGGATATTGGTCTAAAATTCTTTTTTTTTGTTGTGTCTCTGCCAGGCTTTGGTATCAGGATGATGCTGGCCTCATAAAATGAGTTAGGGAGGACTCCCTCTTTTTCTATTGATTGGAATAGTTTCAGAAGGAATGGTACCAGCTCCTCTTTGTACCTCTGGTAGAATTCAGCTGTGAATCCGTCTGGTCCTGGACTTTTTTTGGTTGGTAGGGTATTAATTATTGCCTCAATTTTAAAGCCTGTTATTGGTGTATTCAGGGATTCAACTTCTTCCTGGTTTAGTCTTGGGAGGGTGTATGTGTCCAGGAATTTATCAATTTCTTCTAGATTTTCTAGTTCATTTGCATAGAGTTGTGTAGAGTATTCTCTGATGGTAGTTTGTATTTCTGTGGGATCGGTTGTGATATCCCCTTTATCATTTTTTATTGCATCTATTTGATTCTACTCTCTTGTCTTCTTTGTTAATCTTGCTAGCAGTCTATCAATTTTGTTGATCTTTTCAAAAAACCAGCTTCTGGATTCATTGATTTTTTGAAGGGTTTTTTGTGTCTCTGTCTCCTTCACTTCAGTTATTTCTTGGCTTCTGCTAGCTTTTGAAGTGTTTGCTCTTGCTTCTCTAGTTCTTTTAATTGTGATGTTATGGTGTCAATTTTAGATCTTTCCTGCTTGCTCTTGTGGGCATTTAGTACTATAAATTTCTGTCTACACACTGCTTTAAATGTGTCCCAGAGATTCTGGTATGTTGTGTCTTTGTTCTCATTGATTTAAAAGAACGTCTTTATTTCTGCCTTTATTTCGTTATGTACCCAAGTAGTCATTCAGGAGCAGGTTGTTCAGTTTCCATGTAGTTGAGCAGTTTTGAGTGAGTTTCTTAATCCTGAGTTCTGGTTTGATTGCACTGTGGTCTGAGACACAGTTTGTTATAATTTCTGTTCTTTTACATTTGCTGAGGAGTGCTTTACTTCCAACTATGTAGTCAATTTTGGAATAAGTGTGGTGTGGTGCTGAGAAGAATGTATATTCTGTTGATTTGGGGTGGAGAGTTCTGTAGATGTCTATTAGGTCCACTTGGTGCGGAGCTGAGTTCAATTCCTGGATATCCTTGTTAACTTTCTGTCTTGTGGATCTGTCTAATATTGACAGTGGCATGTTAAAGTCTCCCATTATTATTGTGTGGGAGTCTAAGTCTCTTTGTAGGTCTCTAAGGACTTGCTTATGAATCTGGGTGCTCCTGTTTTGGGTTTATATATATTTAGGATAGTTAACTTTTCTTGTTGAATTGATCCCTTTACCATTATGTAATGGCCTTCTTTGTCTCTTCTGATCTTTGTTGGTTTAAAGTCTGTTTTATCAGAGACTAGGATTGCAACCCCTGCTTTTTTTGTTTTCCATTTGCTTGGTAGATCTTCCTCCATCCATTTATTTTGAGCCTATGTGTGTCTCTGCACGTGAGATGGGTTTCCTGAATACAGCACACTGATGGGTCTTGACTCTATCCAATTTGCCAGTTTGTGTCTTTTAATTGGAGCATTTAGTCCATTTACATTTAAGGTTAATATTGTTATGTGTGAATTTGATCCTGTCATTATGATGTTAGCTGGTTATTTTGCTTGTTAGTTGATGCAGTTTCTTCCTAGCCTCTATGGTCTTTACAATTTGGTATGTTTTTGCAGTGGCTGGTACCAGTTGTTCCTTTCCATGTTTAGTGCTTCCTTCAGGAGCTCTTGTAAGGCAGACCTGGTGGTGACAAAATCTCTCAGCATTCACTTGTCTGTAAAGAATTTTATTTCTCCTTCACTTATGAAGCTTAATTTGGCTGGATATGAAATTCTGGGTTGAAAATTCTTTTCTTTAAGAATGTTGAATATTGGCCCCCACTCTCTTCTGGCTTGTAGAGTTTCTGCCGAGAGATCCACTGTTAGTCTGATGGGCTTCCCTTTGTGGGTAGCCCGATCTTTCTCTCTGGCTGCCCTTAACATTTTTTCCTTCATTTCAATGTTGGTGAATCTCACAATTATGAGTCTTGGGGTTGCTCTTCTCGAGGAGTATTTTTGTGGCATTCTCCGTATTTCCTGAATTTAAATGTTGGCCTGCCTTGCTAGGTTGGGGAAGTTCTCCTGGATTATATCCTGAAGAGTGTTTTCCAACTTGGTTGCATTCTCCCCGTCACTTTCAGGTACACCAATCAGACGTAGATTTGGTCTTTTCACGTAGTCCCATATTTCTTGGAGGCTTTGTTCATTTCTTTTTACTCTTTTTTCTCTAAACTTCTCTTCTTACTTCATTTCATTCATTTGATCTCAATCACTGATACCCTTTCTTCCAGTTGATCAATTCGGCTACTGAAGCTTGTGCATGTGTCTTGTAGTTCTTGTTCCAATGTTTTTCAGCTCCATCAGGTCATTTAAGGTATTCTCTATGCTGTTTATTCTAGTTAGCCAGTCGTCAAATCTTTTTTCAAGGTTTTTAGCTTCTTTGCAATTGATTTGAACATCGTCCGTTAGCTCAGAGAAGTTAGTTATTATCAATCTTCTGAAGCCTTCTTCTCTCAACTTATCAAAGTTAATCTCCATCCAGCTTTGTTCCGTTGCTGGTGAGGAGCTACATTCCTTTGGAGGAGAAGAGGCACTCTGATTTTTAGAATTTTCAGCCTTTCTGCTCTGGTTTCTCCCCATCTTTGTGGTTTTATCTACCTTTGGTCTTTGATGATGGTGACGTACAGATGGAGTTTTGATGTGGATGTCCTTTCTGTTTGTTAGGTTTCCTTCTAACAGTCAGGACCCTCAGCTGCTCATCTGTTGGAGTTTGCTGGAGGTCCACTCCAGACGCTGTTTGCCTGGGTGTCACCAGCAGAGGCTGCAGAACTGCAAATATTGCAGAACAGCAAATGTTGCTGCCTGATTGTTCCTCTGGAAGCTTCGTCTCAGAGGGGTACCTGGCCTTGTGAAGTGTCAGTCTGCCCCTACTTGGGGGTGCCTCCCAGTTAGGCTACACAGGGGTCAGGGACCCACTTGAGGAGGCAGTCTGTCATTCTCAGATCTCATACTCCATGCTGGGAGAACTACTACTCTCTTCAAAGGTCAGTTGGAAATGCAGAAATCACCCGTCTTCTGCGTCACTCATGCTGGGAGCTGTAGACTGGAGCTGTTCCTATTCGGCCATCTTGGAACCTTTTTTCAGAATCGGATTTCTTAATAGTGGCATTATTGACATTTTGGGGGATTGCTGTGTATATTGTAGGATGTTTAGTAGCAACTGTGGTCTCTACTCACTAGATGCCATTACCACATCTCCCCTCAACTCCAGTTGTGACAACTCACAATGTCTCCGGACACTGCCATATATCTTTTTGGGTATTCCAGAGAAGCTGAACAAAAGTAGATCTCTCCATATTAACTATATGATAATAGTTAACATCTGTGTGGTACTTTGACTGCATATAAAGTGTTTTCACATATATCACTCATTGATTAATTTGTTAAGCATTTACTGAGCTCTGCTATGTACTATGTCTCTACTGGACACCAGAGTATAATATACTGGTGAAGTACTCCTTGACCTCGAGGTGTCATCAAAAATGTGACTTCCCAAGAAAAGCCTTCTCCCAGTTTGTTAAATCACTCTGCCCTTCTTATTGTCTAATGCTGCACTCTGTCTCCTTTACAATATTTTCTATGCTGCTTTCCTTAAGGGTAGGTGTTATGTCAGTTTCTGTCACCTCTGTTGACAGAAGACTTGAATGCAAGACCTAGCATATTGCTAGGCCCAAAATAGGCACTCAATAAAACCATTTGAGTGAGTGGAAGAATGGATGAAGGCAACATGCTCATAGGAAAGAGACAGGCCAAGGCAGGCCATTGCTACACAATGTGATGGGTACCAAGGCAGAGAGGTGGGGTGAGGACATTGTGTTAGTCTGTTTTGAGCTGCTATAACAGAATACCACAGACTGGGTAATTTATAAAGAACAGGAATTTGTTTCCTCACAGGTCTGGAAGTCAGGAAATCCAAGATGAAGGCACTGGCAGGTTCAGTTATCTGGTGAAGGTCTGGTCTTTTTGCTTCCAAGATGGCAGTTTGACTGTTGCGTATTGAGGAGCGGGGGAAGAATGCTGTGTGCTCATATAACAGAAGGCAGAAGGACAAAAAGGGATGACTCCCTCTTTGAAGCCCTTTTATAAGGGCATCTAATCCCATTCACAAGACAGGAGCCCTTGTGGCCTAATCACCTTTTAAAGGCCCTACCTCTTAATACTGTCACATTAGCAACACCTAAGTTTTGGAGGAGACACATTCAAACCATAGCAGGTGTAAAAGACAAGCATTTAATCAGACTGTTTGTCAGTCGATAATTTTTCCTTCCCTGCAGGAGACATGTCTATGAGTGGCTGGGAGACCTGTTTAATTCTGGGATATAGAATTAAGATGGCCATCTGCCTGCAAGTAGAGATAAGCTGCATTCTCCGAAATCAACTTTGTTCATGATAAAAGTAACATTCTGGCCTCCATATGCCATATTCTTTATTGTTAATTTCTTAAACAGTTAACAAATTGGTTAGAGAAGAGGCAGGCTATCTATTGCCCCATCCTCTACTTTTTTTTTTTTTTAAAACTAAATACCTAATCGTTATATTGTTATTCTTTTGACTATTATTGCTCTCCTTAACACATATAAAAATAGACCAAACTGACATGATCATATTTTATAAAAATACGATTTTCTTTTCTTGAAAAGGAAACAGAAAAAAGGATAAATGGCTTAAATTGTCTACTTATCATAACTAGAATTAGAAATCCCAGTCTTTGTGGCTGCCAAAAAAAAAAAAAAAGAATAAATGACCAAAAAATGAAGTCAAATGCAAGTCTTTCATGACTCTCTCCCTGTGACTGTTAGTATGAGGAAACTTAATAGTTCTGAAAATAAAGATGTAAATTTCTGCAGAATGTAAAACAGGATAAAGTAACAATAGCCAAAATGTGGAAACAACCCAAATGTTCATCCATAGATGAATGGATAAACAAAATGAGGTATATATGTACAATGGACTATGATTTAGCCTAAAAAGAAGTGCAATTCTTATATATGCTACAACATAGATGAACCTTGAGAACATTATACTAAGTGAAATAAGCCAGTCACAGAAGCACAAATATATGATTCTATGTATGTGAAGAACCTAGAATAGGTAAATTCATGGAGACAGAAAGTAGTTTCCAGGGGCTGGTGGTAGGGGAGAATAGAGAGTTAGTGTTTAATGGGTATAGACTTTCTGTTTGGGATGACTTTTTTAAAAGTTCAGGGGATGGATAGTAGTGATGGCTACATAACAATGTGAATGTACTTCACACCACTGAATTGCACACTTAAACATGGTTAGGATGGTACATTTTTGTGTATTTTAACATAAGAAAAAAAATTTAGGGCTGGGCAAGGTGGCTTACATCTGTAATCTCAATACATTGAGAGGCCTAGGCGGGAGGATCACTTGAGCCCAGGAGTTTGAGACCAGCCTGGGCAACATAGTGAGACTCCATCTCTTAAAAAAAAAAAAAAATTAGCCAGACCTGGTGGTGTGCACCTAAAGTCCCAGCTACTCAGAAGGCTGAGGCAGGAGGATCACTTGAGCCCATGAGTTCAAGGCTGCAGTGATCTGTGATCATGCCACTACATTCCAGCCTGAACCACAGAGTGAGACCCTGCCTCAAAAAAAAAAAAAAAATTAGTATGATAAAGCATAGACCGTATATATAATAAAGATACTTCAACCCTTTGAAGGATTGTTCAGTTCTCAAGCCAAATAGAGAAACACATACTCTCCTAGAAAAAAGCACAGTTAGCAAAGGATCCAGGGAAGCTAGAAGGGCTGGTGTTTTGTGGCTGAGGTCAGTAGAGGTGACTGCTGTGTTCATGGCATCCCATGGGTACTTATCATCTTCATAGCCACGACCGGCAGGGTCCTTCTCAACAGACTGACCTTGTGCTGTGTATATCACATACATTATCACTGAATTTTTGAAACACCTTATAAAGTAGGCATTATTCCCATTTATGAGAATTTAATACCTTTTTGAAATTTCCTAAGTAAGTGGTGCAGCCAGCACTTAAACCCTACATCATCAGACACCAAAAGTCAAGTACTTTCCTTAGTACATCCCAAGAATAGCTTTCAAGAAGAATTATATGGATAATCTGGAGTAAAAGGAATAGGAATTTCTTCATTTAGGTCAGCGAGATGTGCTGACAAGATGACCACAAATGCAGGAATGTTGGAGTGGTTAATATGTAGATGAGAAATCATGAAAGAGTGGAATAGCAATGCAAGTTTCTGGGGCTACTTCAGTAGGGCTATTTGGGACTGATTGAGGGGGCAAAAATTAAAGCCAGAAAGTTCAGTGGAGCAAATGTCCTAGTGGCCACAGAGAAACAAAGATTTCCAAAGTGAGATGCTAAGTGAGAAACAGCAACTGAGGAGAGAAGTGATGTTTCCAGGATCACAATGGGCATAAGGAGAATTGTTCTTTTAGACTCTAGGTGAGCTTGTAGTAATCCAAGGACTGGTGATTTAGGCCACTGAGTTCTGGCTTTGAGTACATCTCTAATTCCTAAACCTTCACTAAGAGGGAGGTGAAGGGAGTCAGGTGTGCCACATGTCTGCTACTGAAAAATGCCTAGATGGGAAAGGAGTTTGAAATATTGTCCTAAAATGAAGTTTCTGAGTTAGATGGACCGAATTTCACCATGTGTTCACTGTTATTACTGTGTAAAATCAAGAGATTTAAATGAGATTACGATTATTAATTAGCTTTCTGAGATATTGAAACCTAAGAACCTGGCCGGGTGCGGTGGCTCACGCCTGTAATCTCAGCACTTTGGGAGGCTGAGGTGAGCGGATCACCTGAGGTCAGGAGTTCGAGACCAGCCTGGCTAACATGGTGAAACTCTGTCTCTACCAAAAATATAAAAATTAGCCAGGCGTCGTGGCGCAGGCCTGTAATCCTGGCTACTTGGGAGGCTGAGGCAGGAGAATCGCTTGAACCCGGGAGGTGGAGGTTGCAGTGACCCAAGATCATGCCACTGCACTCCAGCCTGGGTGACAGAGTGAGACTATGTCTCAAAAAGAAAAAAGGAAAACAAAAAAGAAAACTAAGAACCCAATTACCTCTGCCACATACATGGGCTGTCTTTGGTTAATGTGATGACATACTAAGCCCCAAACTGGTATATATAATCTCTGGTCACTTCTACACCAAAGCTGTTAACTTAACTTGGCAATGAAGGCCAAGCTAAGAAGAGTTGAGAATTATGAAGCATGAAGCATAGAATTTCAAAACTGAGAAAGAGGCCGGGCATGGTGGCTCACACCTGTAATCCCAGCAGTTTAGGAGGCTGAGGTGGGCGGATCACAAGGTCAGGAGATCGAGAACATCCTGGCTAACACAGTGAAACCCTGTGTCTACAAAAACTACCAAAAACTTAGCTGGGCGTGATGGCGGACACCTGTAGTCCCAGCTACTCAGGAGGCTGAGGCAGGAGAATGGCGTGAACCCGGGAGGCAGAGCTTGCGGTGAGCTGGAGATTGCACCACTGCACTCCAGACTGGGTGACAGAGTAAGACTCCATCTCAAAAAAAAACAAAAACAAAAAAAGAGAAAGAATAGTATCTTTTTTTCCTAACTCTTTCATTTTATAGGTATGGAAAATCGAGGACCAGGGAGAGTACCTTGCCAGCAATTTTGTAGTTATGATTTTCGATGAAGAGCTGCACAGTAATAGGGGAAATTCTGAATGGTATTCAAGTCCTCCAGCCAGCAGCAGCAGGATGTGGTTTTCAATGTGCACTATGCAAGTAGCGCTTCAGATGGAGCTTATTCTTATTTTTAATTTATTTTTTATTTTATTAATTCATTTGTTTTTATATATTTTAAGATTTATTGACATAAAAATTATATATGGTGTACAATTTGATGGTTGATATGCACATGCGTTGTGAAATGATCATCAAAATCAAGATAATTAACACATTATCACCTCTCCGTAGTTACTATTTTGTGGATGCATGTGTTTTTATTTTATTTCTGAAATAATTTTAGACTTACAGAAAATTTGAAGAAATAGTACAGAGTTCACATATTTCTACCACTTTGCTTCCCTGATGTTAAAAACTTATATAACTGTAGTTCAGTAATCAAAATGAGGAAATTAACTTTGATACAATACTATGAATTAAACTATAGCCCTTTGATTTTCACCATCTCCTCCCACCCCTACCATGCCTTTTTAATATTCCAGGATATAATCTAAGATGCCACGTTGCATTCATTCGTGTCCCCTCAGTTTCCTCCAATCTGTGACAGTTGTTCCGTATTTCCTTGTCTTTCATGGACTCTTGATGAGTACTGGCCAGCTTTTTTGTAGAATGATCCTCAGTTTGGTTTTGTCCACGTTTTCCTCATGATTAGACTAAGGTGATGTGTTTGGGGGAAGAAGATCACAAGGTGAAATGCCCTTGTTATTTCCTATCGGGGTACAGGATGCCAACGTGGCTTATTAGTGATATTTACCACGATCACTTGGTTAAGGTGGAATCTCCCAGGTTTCATTACTGTAAGTTACTTTTCTCCCTTTGTAAATGATAAACATCTTGGAGAGATGCTTTAGACTGTGCTAGCATCCTGTTTCTTCTCAAACTTTTGCCTGCTGGTTTTCTCATTCATTGGTGGATCTTGTCAACAGTTACTACTGTGGTGGTCTAGTGGGGATTTTGTATTTTACTCATTCCTTCTACATTGATTAATTGGAATTCTGTAAGGAAGAAGTGTCTCTTCTCTCATACATTTATTTATTGAATTATTTATTTATGTCCCTATGGATTTATGGATATTTATTTTGTCCTATGGGATTATGTTATTTCTTGCCTTGCTGTAAAGGAATACCTGACACTGGGTAATTCCTAAAGAAAAGAGGGCCAGGCATGGTGGCTCACTCCTGTAATCCCAGCACTTTGGGAGGCCAAAGCGGGCCAATCGCTTGAGGTCAGGAGTTCAAGACCAGCCTGGCCAACATGGTCAAACCCCATCTCTACCACAAATACAAAAATTAGCAGGGCATAGTAGCACATGCCTGTAGTCCCAGCTACTCGTGAGGCGGAGGCAGGAGAATTGCTTGAACCTGGGAGGTGGAGGGTGCTGTGAGCTGAGATTGTTCCACTGCACTCCAGCCTGGGTGACAGAGTGAGACTCCATCAGAAAAAAAAAAGAAAAATTTATTTTGGCTCATGGTTCTGCAGGCTGTACAGGAAGTGCTTTTTTAACTCCTCAAGCTGCAACATTAAATGCAGAGTCCCTACTTAGTGGGCCCAAGTCAATAAATTCAGCCTGATCTAAGGAAGGAGACCACCTCTCTTATTGTCTCATACCTCAGAAAAAGAATGAGGAAGTAAAAGTTAAAGAAAGGCAAAAATGAGATCAATAGACAGCCCAGCACTGCACTTCAGGCCTGGTCTGGTAGTTAAAAATCAACCCCTGACCTAACCACTTGTATTAGCTATAGATTCCAGACATTGTATGAGGAAGCATTGTGAAACTTTCTGCTCTGTTCTGTTCTGTCTTGATTACCGATGCATGCAGCCCCAGCCACGTACCCCATGTTTGCTCAATCGATCACGACCTTTTCATGTGGACCTCCTTGGAATTGTAAGCCCTTAAAAGGGGCAGGAATTTCTCTCTCAGGGAGCTTGGTTTTTGAGACACAAGTCTGCTGATGCTCCTGGCCGAATAAAGCTACTTCCTTTCTCAACCTGGTGTCTGAGGGGTTTTGTCCACAGCTTGTCCTGCTACATTTCTTGGTTCTCTGACTGGGAAGCGAGGTGATTAGCAGACAGTCAAGGCAGCCCCTTAGGTGGCTCAGGCCTGCCCTGTGGAGCATCCCTGCAGGGGACTCCGGCCAGCTTGAGTGACACGGATCCTGAGAGCACTCCTGGGTAGGCATTTGCCCCGGTGGAACGCCTCAACAGAGGAGTGCATGGCAGGCCCCTGCGGAGGATCAACGCAGTGGCAGAACACCAGAAAGGAACTGGCACTTGGAGTCCGGACATCTGGAATATGGTAAGACTGGTCTTGGGGACTTGCCCACTCCATTTGAGTGGAAGCGTGACCTGATCACCCATGGTGTGCCTTTATTGGCACTTTGGTTTTGGTTTTGATTTTGACTTGGCTTGAAATGCTTGATTTAGTGTGAATTAGATGAGTGAGTGATCTTTACCCTTTCCTTCTTGTAGTGTGAACATTGTCTCGAGAGAAAAATGGGTCAGACACAAAGTAAACCCACTCCACTAGGAACTATGTTAAAAAATTTTAAGTAGGGATTTAAGGGAGACTATGGAGTTACTATGACACCAGGAAAACTTAGAACTTTGTGTAAGATAGACTGGCCAGTATTTGAGGTGGGTTGGCCATCAGAAGAAGCCTGGATAGGGCCCTTGTTTCAAAGGTATGTCATAAGATAACCTGTAAGCCAGGGCACCCAGACCAGTTCCCATGCATAGACACTTGGTTACAGCTGGTTTTAGAACCCCCCACCGTGGTTAAGAGGACAGGGAGCCACAGTGTTAGTGGTGAAAGGACAGATAGTTAAGGAAGGATCCCGCTCCACCTGCCAAGGGAAGTCGGCCCCTAAAGTTCTGTCCAATCCAATATCAGGAGACTTATGGCAGGAAATGGCACCAGCGATGCCCCCCGCTTACTGAGAAGAGAGACTCCCCACTTCTGAGCCCACAGCACCTGTGCCTCCACAGGACACACACACCACTAGACCACCCAGAGTAGACAAGAGAGGATGTGAAGCTGTGGGAGAAACCCCTCCCCTGGTGGCTCATTTATGGCCTAAGACTGGAATACAAATGCCCCTGAGGGAGCAGCGATATACTGGGGTAGACGAGGATGGGCATATGGTAGAAAGGAGTGCCTTTGTGTATCAACCCTTCACCTCTGCTGATCTCCTCAACTGGAAGAACAATACCCCATCTTATAGTGAAAAGCCTCAAGCATTAGTTGATTTGCTCCAAACTATTATCCAGATTCATAACCCTACTTGGGCTGATGGCCACCAGCTGCTCATGTACCTCTTTAACACAGATGAAAAGCGAAGGGTGCTCCAGGCAGCAACTAAGTGGCTAGAGGAACATGCTCTGGCCAGTTACCAAAACCCCCAGGAGTATGTGAGAGTCCAATTACCAGGAACAGACCCCCAGTGGGACCCAAATGAAGGGCCAGACATGGAGAGACTAAAACAGTATAGAGAGGCCCTCCTGGAAGGGTTAAAAAAGGGAGCTCAGAAGGCCACAGATGTTAACAAAGTCTCTGAGGTCATTCAAGGAAAAGAAGAGAGTCCAGCACAATTTTACAAGGGACTATGTGAGGCCTATCGTATGTATACTCCCTTTGATCCCAATAGCCCTGAAAATCAGCGCATGATTAACATGGCTTTAGTTAGTCAAAGCACCAAAGATATTAGAAGAAAGCTTCAGAAACAGGCTGGGTTTGTGAGTATGAATACTTCACAGTTATTAAAAATAGCCAGTCAGATGTTTGTGAGTAGAGATGTGGCAGGCCGTAGAGAGAGCCGCAAAGAAAGCAAGTGCCAAGCCCGGCAAAACACCTATCTGCTAGCTGCAGCTATTAGAGGAGTTCCCCCGAAGGGCCGAGGAAGGGGGGACCCTGGGAAAAACACTCAGTCTGACCAACCATGCCTGCAGCATAACCAGTGTGCATACTGTAAAGAAACAGCGCATTGGAAAGACAAGTGCCCCTAGTTAAAAGAGAAACAAAATGGCTCTGAGCCAGAGGTTTCAGGCAAGGATGAAGGGGCCTTGTTTAATCTAGCAGAAGGGTTACTGGACTGAGGGGGACCGGGCTCAGGTGCCCCCAATGAGCCCATGGTCAAGATGACAGTCAGGAGCAAGGACATTGAGTTTCCTGTCAATACTTATCCTGAACATTCAGTAGTAACCACCCCAGTCACCCCCTTATCCAAAAAGACTATTGATATAATCAAAGCCACAGGAGTCTTGAAAAAACAAGCTTTCTACTTGCCCCGGACTTGTACTGTAGGGAGACATGAAGTGATTCACCAGTTCTTGTACATGCCTGACTGCCCCTTGCCCTTGCTGGGAAGGGACTTGCTTAGCAAGCTGAGGGCCACCATCTCTTTTACAAAGCACAGCTCTTTACCGCTAAAGTTACCTGGAATGGGAGTCATTATGGCCCTTACAGTCCCCTGGGAGGAAGAATGGACTTTTCTTAACTGAGCCAGGCCAAGAGATAGGACCAGCTTTGGCTAAACAGTGGCTAAGGGTGTGGGCAGAAGATAATCCTCTGGGGCTAGCAGTAAACGAAGCCCCCGTAACCAGAGAAGCTCTTGAAGGTATCCAGATCCATCTCCAGTGCCTGAAGGCCTTTGGAATTATAGCCCCCTGTCAGTCTGCCTGGAACACAGCCCTGCTGCCTGTTCCCAATCCAGGAACCAAGGTTTACAGACCAGTATAGGACTTGCGCTTGGTTAACCAAGCTACAGTGACTTTGCACCCAATGGTACCTAACCCGTACATGTTCTTAGGGTTACTGCCAGCTGAGGACAGCTGCTTCACCTCCTGGACTTGAAGGACACTTTCTTTAGCACCAGACTAGCTCCTGAGAGCCAGAAACTGTTTGCTTTCCAGTGGGAAGATCCAGGCTTAGGTGTCACCACTCAGTACACTTGGACCCGGCGTCCCCAAGGGTTCAGAAACTCCCTCACTATCTTCAGGGAGGCCCTGGCTCAAGACCTGCGAAAGTTTCCCGCCAGAGACCTAGGCTGTGTGTTGCTCCAGTATGTCAACGACCTCCTGCTGGGACACCCCACAGCAATTGGGTGCGCCAAAGGAACAGACGCCCTGCTCTGACACCTGGAGGACTGTGAGTATAAGGTGTCCAAGAAGAAAGCTCAGATCTGCAGACAGCAGGTACGCTACCTAGGATTTACAATCCGACAGGGGGAACGCAGCCTAGGATCAGAAAGAAAGCAGGTCATTTGCAACCTACCAGAGCCTAAGACCAGAAGGCAGGTGAGAGAATTCTTAGGAGCTGTTCTTAGGGTTCTGCAGGTTATGGATCCCAAATTTTGCAGTACTGGCCAAACCTCTGTACCAAGTTACAAAGAGGGGTGACATGGAACCTTTCGAATGGGGGTCCCAACAGCAACAGGATTTTCATGAGTTAAAAGAAAACTTCATGTCAGCCCCAGCCCTGGGTCTGCCTGACCTGACAAAGCCATTTACACTATATGTGTCAGAGAGAGAAAAAATGGCAGTTAGGGTTTTGACCAAGACTGTGGGGCCCTGGTTGAGGCCGGTGGCTACCTCTCTAAACAACTAGACAGGGTTTCCAAAGGTTGGCCCCCGGGTTTGAGGGCCTTAGCAGCAACTGCCCTGCTAGCACAAGAAGCAGATAAACTAACCCTTGGGCAAAACCTGAACATAAAGGGGCCCCCCATGCTATGGTGACTTTAATGAATACCAAAGGACATCATTGGCTAACGAATGCTAGACTAACCAAGTACCAAAGCTTGCTCTGTGAAAATCCCCGCATAACCATTGAAATTTGTAAAACCCTGAACCCCGCCACCTTGCTCCCGGTATCAGAGAGCCCTGTCGAGCCTAACTGTGTAGAGGTGTTAGACCCAGTTTACTCTAGCAGACTTGACCTCCGGGACCAACCTTGGGCATCAGTGGACTGGGAGCTGTGCATGGACAGGAGCAGCTTTGTCAACCCACAAGGAGAGAGGTGTGCGGGATATGCAGTGGTAACCGTGGACACTGTAATTGAGGCCAAATCATTGCACCAAGGTACCTCAGCCCAGAAAGCTGAGCTCATTGCTTTAATTTGGGCCTTAGAACTCAGTGAAGGTAAGGCTGTAAACATTTACACTGACTCCAGGTATGCCTTTTTAACCCTCCAAGTGCATGGAGCATTATATAAAGAAAAGGGCCTGTTGAACTCTGGGGTAAAGGACTAAAATATCAGCAAGAAATCTTGCAATTATTAGAAAAAGTATGGAAACCCCAAAAGGTGGCAGTCATGCACTGCGGAGTCCACCAGCGAGCTTCCACCTCAGTTGCCTTGGACAACTCCCAAGCTGACTCAGAGGCTCGAAAAGCAGCATCTGCCCCCTACCAGGCATCAGTCACAGCCCCCCTGCTCCCTCAAGCACCTGACCTTGTACCTACTTATTTTAAAGAAGAAAAAAGGACTTTCTACAGGCAGAGGGAGGACAGGTGATGGAAGAAGGATGGATCCAGTTACCAGATAGGAAAGTAGCTTTGCCACAGCTGCTGGGAGCCGCAGTCGTACTGACTGTGCATGAAACCACCCATCTAGGTCAGGGGTCACTTGAAAAGTTGTTAGGCCAGTATTTCTACATCTCGCATTTGTCAGCCCTTGCCAAAATACTGGTGCAGTGGTGTGTAACCTGCCGACAGCACAATGCGAGGCAGGGTCCAGCTGTTCTGCTCAGCATACAAGTTTATGGAGCAGCTCCCTTTGAAGATCTCCAGGTGGACTTAACATAAATGCCCAAGTGTGGAGATAACAAGTATTTACTAGTTCTCATGTATACCTACTCTGGGTGAGTGGAGGCTTATCAAACACGAACTGAGAAAGCTCGTGAAGTAACCCGTGCACTTCTTCGAGATCGTATTCCTAGATTTGGACTGCTCTTACGAATTGGCTCAGATAATGGGTTGGCATTTGTGGCTGACTTGGTACAGAAGACAGCAAAGGTATTAGGGATCACATGGAAACTGCATGCTGCCTCCTGACCTCAAAGTTCAGGAAAGGTGGAGCAAATGAATCAGACTATCAAGAATAGCTTAGGGAAAGTGTGTCAGGAAACAAGATTAAAATAGATACAGGCTCTCCTGATGGTATTGTTTAAAATAAGATGTACCCCTTCTAAAAGAACAGGATATTCCCCTTATAAAATATTGTACCATAGACCCCCTCCCATACTATGGGGACTCCCAGGCACTCCACAAGAGCTAGGTGAAATTGAGTTAAAATGACAGCTATAGGCCATAGGAAAAATTGCTCAAACAATTTCAGCCTGGGTAAATGAGAGGTGCCCCATTAGCTTATTCTACCCAGTTCACCCTTTCTCTCCAGGTGATCAAGTGTGGATCAAGGATTGGAATGTAGTCCCCTTGTGACCACGGTGGAAAGACCCCAGACCGTCATCTTGACCACCCCCACAGCTGTAAAGGTTGAAGGAATCCAAGCCTGGATCCACCACAGCCATGTGAAACCTGCAGCCTCTGAGACCTGGAAGGTGAGACCAAGCCCAGACAACCCCTGCAAAGTGACTCTGAGAAGGACGACAAGCCCTGCTGCAGTCACACCCAGAAGCTGACTCATCTATGCACAGCCAAAGCATGAGGAAACTCATCGTGGGACTTATTCTCCTTAAAATTTGGACTTATGTAATAAGGACTTCCACTGATTTTCCCCACATGGAGGACTGTTCCCAATGTATTCATCAGGTCACTGAGTAGGGCAACAAGTTAAAACAGTTTCTGTTTTATAGTTATTATTGTTGCGGGACAATCAAAGATGGGAGAGACCAAACAAAGTGAGTTCAGGAAAGGTCTTTATTAAAAGATGATCACTTGGCTCAGTAGGATTAGTGTACAGGAAAGTCTGAGCCCTGGACAAAGAAAGCAGCCACCTTTTAAGCAGTCAGTGGCTGGGAGCTACGTGATGCAGGAAGCACACTTAGAGAAGCAAGAACAAAGGCAGTTGATCAGTCTTTTACATTTATCTATATTACATGTTCCAAATCCTTGGGAAACCATGTTTCTGTATAAACCTTGTAACTTTGCAGCTGCACGGGGGAGGTGAAGCAGAAACTCGCTGAGCCTCAAGGAATGTGAAACTAGCAAGTACAGATAAGGCTCAAATGTATTACATGAATCATTATCAATCTGTCTTGCAGGAAGACCTAGGTAGTGAAGATGAAAGTGAGAACTCCCACTAATAAGTGAGATTCTCAAAGGGGGGGAATGAGGAAGGAGACCACCTCTCTTATTGTTTCATACCTCAGAAAAAGAAGGAAGAAATAAGTTAAAGAAGGCAAAAATGAGATAAATAGTCAGGCAGCCTGGCCCCGCACCCCAGGCCTGGTCTGCTAATTAAATATCAACCCCTGACTAACTGCTTGTACTATCTATAGATTCCAGACATTGTATGAGGAAGCATTGTGAAACTTTCTGTTCTGTTCTGTCTTAACTACCAATGCATGGGGCCCCAGCCATGTACCCCATGCTTGCTCAATTGATCACAACCCTTTCACGTGGACCCCCTTAGAACTGTAAGCCCTTAAAAGGGGCAGGAATTTCCCTCTTGGGGAGCTCAGTTTTTGAGATGCAGGTCTGCTGACGTTCCTGGCCAAATAAAGCTACCTCTTCCCTCAACCCAGTGTCTGAGGGGTTTTGGCCATGGCTTATCCTGCTACAGATCCAACTCTGTGTTCCTTCCACCATTATCCCATAACCTTAATATCCATTCCCATGCCTGTTCTCCAGATTGCTGTTTATATAAATCAGAGAACTCCAACAGTTCAAGTATAGTGCACTTCCTCATGGGTCACACTCTCAACCTCATCCTTAGGGGGCCACCAGGACTTTAGTTATAGGTTTAGAAGCAAACAGGTGTTGGGGGTGGCCTCTGAGGAGACTCAACATTATCTTGCCTGGCAACTGGCTCAGGGGAGGACATCACTGTTGCTGCAGGCAGCATAGGGTTTTTCTCCTTGGACAAAGGTGGAAAGACTGATAACAGCATAGGTCAGGGAGGGGATGTTGCCACTACTGGGGATGGGGAAGCTGTTTCTTCTGGCAAAAAAGGTTCACCGGAGTTTACAAACTCAGTGTCCTCAGCTTCATCAGGGTCCTCCCACATGTCCCCATTCCAAGTTGCCAGGTCGCATGCTTTTCCAACAAATGCCCTCACTTTAACAGTAGACACCTGGTGAGGCTGTGCATGCATCTTTCATTGCTGGTCAGCCACTCGTGTAAGAGCTTGGGTCTGTTTTTCCACAGTTTCAGCTCGTTTTCTACAGGAGATAAGACTCTCATTCAGGGCAGTCTTAGCAGATTTGAGGCTCCATATCTGCTTCTGAACCTGGGAGACAGAATACTTGAGTTCATCATTTTCTTTCATCACTTTGTCCACTGAACTTAGGAGCAACCAACCAGCTTCATTATGTTCCTTGATTCTCCACATATGGTCAAAGGTATTATGTATAGAGTCACTAAACTCCTTGCCTCTCAAGAGTGGTGAATCAGGAGTCTCAATTGCATTTACTTTGTATAACTCTCTACACAGTTTCCACCAAAAACTATCAGTGTTCTCCATACTATTAGAAGTAGAGACCTTAGCATTTTTGGGTCTAATCATATTAATCAGCCAACTCCAGAGACTCCCAAACCAATGAAAGAACTCCATCCTTTATATTCTATTCCTCTAGAACCACACTCCCAGTACCAAAATCTAATCTGTATTAGGGTTCTCTTAGAGGGACAGAACTAATAGGAGAATATATATATATATATATATATATATATATATATATATATATAAAGGGGAGTTTATTAAGTATTAACTTACACAATCACAAGGTCCCATAATAGGCTGTCTGCAAGCTGAGGAGCAAGGAGAACCAGTCCAAGTCCCAAAACTGAAGAACTTGGAGTCTAATGTTCGAGGGGAGGAAGCATCCAGCATGGGAGAAAGATGTAGGCTGGGATGCTAGGCTAATCTCCTCTTTTTCATGTTTTTCTGCCTTCTTTCTATTCACTGGAAGCTGATTAGATTGTGCCCACAAGATTAAGGGTGGATCTGACTTTGCCAGCCCACTGACTCAAATGTTAATCTCTTTTGGCAACACTCACACAAACACACCCAGGATTAATACTTTGTATCCCTCAACCCAATCAAGTTGACAGTCAGTATTAACCATGACAGGATTCCTTTGACTCCATGCCCCTTCCAGATGGGCCATTGCCCTACCCTGCTTTTCTTCATTTTATGTGGGTCAAGCCATCCCCCTAGTCACTCCCAATGTAAGAACCCAGATATTTCGGTTGAAGATGCTGAATTCACTCACCATTTTCATTCTTTTCCATGAGAGCCATTGACGGCAGCGGCTCTGAATCAGCCATCTTTGCCTCTCTCCCTTCTTCTGTTTTTTAAGATAGGGTCTTGTTCTGTCACTTAGGCTGGAGTGCAGTAGTCTGATCACAACTTACTGCAGCCTTGAATTCCTGTACTCACACAATTATCCTGCCCTAGCTTCCTGAGTAGCTGGGACTACAGGAACATGCTACCATGCCTGGCTAATTTTTAAATTTTTTTGTAGGGTCTGGGTCTCATTTTTTGTAGAGCTGGTCTTGAACTCCTGGTCCCTTTTTTTTTAGAGCTGGTCTTGAACTCCTCCTGCCTCAGCCTCCCAAAATGCCAGGATTAGCTGTGTGAGCCATGCTTATACCACTGGGCGTGATGGTGTTGTTTTTATTGATCACAATGTGCTTCAAGGTAAATACTACTTCAGCATGATACCCATTTTTTAAAGCTTAAAAATAAATATGGCAAAATAATATATTTTTAGATATATCTATATTTATACCTACACCTGCCCTCTCTATACATAGATATATATGTAGACTATAAAGAAAAGCACAGGGATTATGGACATAACCTTCAGAAGAGTGGTCATCTCTGTGATGAAGCAAGGGGACTGGATCAGAGAAGAAATTCCAGCAGTCCTGTAGCTTCCACAGGACTAGAAATATTTCATTCTGCATGAAGTGATGGGTGTATGGATGTTATTTAATTGTTATGCTTCATAACTTAGATTCACATCCCACTTTGAGAATATCTCCTATAGAAACAAAGGACTTGTATTTAAGAATGTGTAAGAAGAGTCACCACGGAGCTGACATGGAGGCTGGTGGCACCTGGGCGCAACGCCGTATGCCAACTAGCCTACCGCGTGGATCACGGAGCTCACTGACGAGAATGTCAAGTTCATCATATATATATATGTAGATGTGACTTAATATTTCAATGAGAAACACTGAAATAAAAAAAAACCAAAAAGCATTTCCACCATCCATCAGTTGCTAAGTAGCCATGTGCCCCACCTAATGTAATCTAATTTATCATGTAATTTTGGTTTAAGCTGGACATTAAGACTTGCAAAGAAATGGCTTTTGCCTAAGATTAATAGTAACTACTAATATTCTTTTTCTTCAATCTGCAAAGGTAATGTTAATGAAACTTGCATGTTAAAATTCTGTAATTATAAGTAAAGTGTTTTACTAAGTACCTTAACATCTAGAATTACTCTTTAATTCTGGAAACAATTTACTTAGACTCTCCTCTAAATAAGAGTAAGATTTCATACTATGATATAGATTTATGCAATATAATTGTTTCATTTTGAATTAATCATATTTTAATTTGAGCTGCAAGTTTTTAAAAAAGTACTTTGAAGACTAATTCATCTTTATAGATTAGGCAAATAGTATAATCAACTTATGGGGAATGTATTTAGAATATGTAACAGCAAGAGTCAGGAGCTAATTTAGAGTTCAATACTATAAATATTTATGGAATTGAATTCTTTCTCATGTGCCCATCACTGTGCTAGAAGCACCCACAAATATGTAATCATGTACTTGTTGAAAATGTCACTGACGAAAAGCCTTGGTCTTTTAAGAGCTTATGTCACTCATGCTTTCATTTGGTTTCTATTAATGAATTCTTTAGGATTATACAAATTAATGAGGTTTTATTTTTTATGAGAAATTGATATAAACTTCTCAAATTTTAAGAAGAGTTTACAGACACAGGTAATTTTAATTCAGTTTTACTTTTCTCTCTTGAAGTGTTGGTCTGATGTGTCTTCTATAAAAGGGCATGATGACATCTTGTGAAGTGGTTTGGTGGGAACTGTATTTATTAAGAACTGCTTCTAGGAGGAGGAGCCAAGATGGCCGAATAGGAACAGCTCTGGTCTACAGCTCCCAGCCTGAGCGACGCAGAAGACGAGTGATTTCTGCATTTCCATCTGAGGTACCGGGTTCATCTCACTAGGGAGTGCCAGACAGTGGGCGCAGGTCAGTGGGTGCGCGCACCATGCATGAGCCAAAGCAGAGCGAGGCATTGCCTCACTCGGGAAGCACAAGGGGTCAGGGAGTTCCCTTTCCTAGTCAAAGAAAGGGGTGACAGACGGCACCTGGAAAATCGGGTCACTCCCACCCGAATACTGTGCTTTTCCGACGGGCTTAAAAAACGGCGCACCAGGAGATTATATCCTGCACCTGGCTCAGAGGGTCCTACGCCCACGGAGTCTCGCTGATTGCTAGCCCAGCGGTCTGAGATCAGACTGCAAGGTGGCAGCGACGCTGGGGGAGGGGCGCCCGCCATTGCCCAGGCTTGCTTAGGTAAACAAAGCAGCCGGGAAGCTCGAACTGGGTGGAGCCCACCACAGCTCAAGGAGGCCTGCCTGCCTCTGTAGGCTCCACCTCTGGGGGCAGGGCACAGACAAAAAGACAGCAGTAACCTCTGCAGACTTAAATGTCCCTGTCTGACAGCTTTGAAGAGAGCAGTGGTTCTCCTAGCACACAGCTGGAGATCTGAGAATGGGCAGACTGCCTCCTCAAGTGGGTCCCTGACCCCTGACCCCCAAGCAGCCTAACTGGGAGGCACCCCCCAGCAGGGGCAGACTGACATCTCACACGGCTGGGTACTCCAACAGACCTGCAGCTGAGGGTCCTGTCTGTTAGAAGGAAAACTAACAAACAGAAAGGACATCCACACCAAAAACCCATCTGTACATCACCATCATCAAAGACCAAAAGGAGATAAAACCACAAAGATGGGGAAAAAACAGAACAGAAAAACTGGAAACTCTAAAAAGCAGAGCACCTCTCCTCCTCCAAAGGAACGCAGTTCCTCACCAGCAACGGAACAAAGCTGGATGGAGAATGACTTTGACGAGCTGAGAGAAGAAGGCTTCTGACGATCAAATTACTCTGAGCTATGGGAGAACATTCAAACCAAAGGCAAAGAAGTTGAAAACTTTGAAAAAAATTTAGAAGAATGTATAACTAGAATAACCAATACAGAGAAGTGCTTAAAGTAGCTGATGGAGCTGAAAAACAAGGCTCGAGAACTACGTGAAGAATGCAGAAGCCTCAGGAGCCGATGCGATCAACTGGAAGAAAGGGTATCAGCAATGGAAGATAAAATGAATGAAATGAAGCGAGAAGGGAAGTTTAGAGAAAAAGGAATAAAAAGAAATGAGCAAAGCCTCCAAGAAATATGGGACTATGTGAAAAGACCAAATCTACGTCTGATTGGTGTACCTGAAAGTGACGGGGAGAATGGAACCAAGTTGGAAAACACTCTGTAGGATATTATCCAGGAGAACTTCCCCAATCTAGCAAGGCAGGCCAACATTCAGATTCAGGAAATACAGAGAATGCCACAAAGATACTCCTCAAGAAGAGCAACTCCAAGACACATAATTGTCAGATTCACCAAAGTTGAAATAAAGGAAAAAATGTTAAGGGCAGCCAGAGAGAAAGGTCAGGTTGCCCTCAAAGGGAAGCCCATCAGACTAACAGTGGATCTCTCGGCAGAAACTCTACAGGCCAGAAGAGAGTGGGGGCCAATATTGAACATTCTTAAAGAAAAGAATTTTCAACCCAGAATTTCATATCCAGTCAAACTAAGCTTCATAAGTGAAGGAGAAATAAAATACTTTACAGACAAGCAAATGCTGAGAGATTTTGTCACCACCAGGCCTGCCCTAAAAGAGCTCCTGAAGGAAGCGCTAAACATGGAAAGGAACAACTGGTACCAGCCGCTGCAAAATCATGTCAAAATGTAAAGACCATCAAGACTAGGAAGAAACTGCATCAACTAACGAACAAAATAACCAGCTAACATCATAATGACAGGATCAAATTCACACATAACACGATTAACTTTCAATGTAAATGGACTAAATGCTCCAATTAAAAGACACAGACTGGCAAATTGGATAAAGAGTCAAGACCCATCAGTGTGCTGTATTCAGGAAACCCATCTCATGTGCAGACACACACATAGGCTCAAAATAAATGGATGGAGGAAGGTCTACCAAGCAAATGGAAAACAAAAAAAGCAGGGGTTGCAATCCTAGTCTCTGATAAAACAGACTTTAAACCAACAAAGATCAGAAGAGACAAAGAAGGCCATTACATAATGGTAAAGGGATCAATTCAACAAGAAGAGCTAACTATCCTAAATGTATATGCACCCAATACAGGAGCACCCAGATTCATAAGCAAGTCCTGAGTGACCTACAAAGAGACTTAGACTCCCACACATTAATAATGGGAGACTTTAACACCCCACTGTCAACATTAGACAGATCAATGAGACAGAAAGTCAACAAGGATACCCAGGAATTGAACTCAGCTCTGCACCAAGCAGACCTAATAGACATCTACAGAACTCTCCACCCCAAATCAACAGAATATACATTTTTTCAGCACCACACCACACCTATTACAAAATTGACCACATACTTGGAAGTAAAGCTCTCCTCAGCAAATGTAAAAGAACAGAAATTATAAAAAACTATCTCTCAGACCACAGTGCAATCAAACTAGAACTCAGCATTAAGAATCTAACTCAAAACTGCTCAACTACATGGAAACTGAACAACCTGCTCCTGGATGACTACTGGGTACATAACGAAATGAAGGCAGAAATAAAGAGGTTCTTTGATACCAACGAGAACAAAGACACAACATACCAGAATCTCTGGGACACATTCAAAGCAGTGTGTAGAGGGAAATTTATAGCGCTAAATGCCCACAAGAGAAAGCAGGAAAGATCCAAAATTGACACCCTAACATCACAATTAAAAGAACTAGAAAAGCAAGAGCAAGCACATTCAAAAGCTAGCAGGAGGCAAGAAATAACTAAAATCAGAGCAGAACTGAAGGAAATAGAGACACAAAAAACCCTTCAAAAAAATTAATGAATCCAGGAGCTAGTTTTTTGAAAGGATCAACAAAATTGATAAACCGCTAGCAAGACTAAATAAAGAAAAAAAGAGAGAAGAATCAAATAGACGCAATAAAAAATGATAAAGGGGATATCACCACTGATCCCACAGAAATACAAACTACCATCAGAGAATACTAAAAACACCTCTACGCAAATAAACTAGAAAATCTAGAAGAAATGGATAAATTCCTCGACACATACACTCTCCCAAGACTAAACCAGGAAGAAGTTGAATCTCTGAATAGACCAATAACGGATCTGAAATTGTGGCAATAATCAATAGCTTACCAACCAAAAAGAGTCCAGGACCAGATGGATTCACAGCCGAATTCTACCAGAGGTACAAGGAGGAACTGGTACCATTCCTTCTGAAACTATTCCAATCAATAGAAAAAGAGGGAATCCTCCCTAACTCATTTTATGAGGCCAGCATCATCCTGATACCAAAGCCAGGCAGAGACACAACCAAAAAAGAGAATTTTAGACCAATATCCTTGATAAACATTGATGCAAAAATCCTCAATAAAATGCTGGCAAACCGAATCCAGCAGCACGTCAAAAAGCTTATCCACCATAATCAAGTGGGCTTCATCTCTGGGATGCAAGGCTGGTTCAATATACACAAATCAATAAATGTAAACCAGCATATAAACAGAACCAAAGACAAAAACCACATGATTATCTCAATAGATGCAGAAAAGGCCTTTGACAAAATTCAACAACCCTTCATGCTAAAAACTCTCAATAAATTAGGTATTGATGGGACATATTTCAAAATAGTAAGAGCTATCTATGACAAACCCACAGCCAATATCATACTGAATGGGCAAAAACTGGAAGCATTCCCTTTGAAAACTGGCACAAGACAGGGATGCCCTCTCTCACCACTCCTATTCAACATAGTGTTGGAAGTTCTGGCCAGGGCAGTCAGGCAGGAGAAGGAAATAAAGGGTATTCAATTAGGAAAAGAGGAAGTCAAATTGTCCCTGTTTGCAGATGACATGATTGTATATCTAGAAAACCCCATTGTCTCAGCCCAAAATCTCCTTAAGCTGATAAGCAACTTCAGCAAACTCTCAGGATACAAAATCAATGTACAAAAATCACAAGCATTCTTAAACACCAACAACAGACAAACAGAGAGCCAAATCATGAGTGAACTCCCATTCACAATTGCTTCAAAGAGAATAAAATACCTAGGAATCCAACTTACAAGGGATGTGAAGGACCTCTTCAAGGAGAACTACAAACCACTGCTCAAGGAAATGAAAGAGGATACAAACAAATGGAAGACCATTCCATGCTCATGGGTAGGAAGAATCAATATCGTGAAAATGGTCATACTGCCCAAGGTAATTTACAGATTCAATGCCATCCCCATCAAGCTACCAATGACTTTCTTCACAGAATTGGAAAAAACGACTTTAAAGTTCATATGGAACCAAAAAAGAGCCCACATCGCCAAGTCAATCCTAAGCCAAAAGAACAAAGCTGGAGGCATCACACTACCTGACTTCAAACTATACTACAAGGCTACAGTAACCAAAACAGCATGGTACTGGTACCAAAACAGAGATATAGATCAATGGAACAGAACAGAGCCCTCAGAAATAATGCCGCATATCTACAACTATCTGATCTTTGACAAACCTGAGAAAAACAAGCAATGGGGAAAGGATTCCCTATTTAATAAATGGTGCTGGGAAAACTGGCTAGCCATATGTAGAAAGCTGAAACTGGATCCCTTCCTTACACCTTATACAAAAATCAATTCAAGATGGATTAAAGACTTAAACATTAGACCTAAAACCATAAACACCCTAGAAGAAAACCTAGGCTTTACCATTCAGGACATAGGCATGGGCAAGGACTTCATGTCTAAAACACCAAAAGCAATGGCAACAAAAGCCAAAATTGACAAATGGGATCTAATTAAACTAAAGAGCTTCTGCACAGCAAAAGAAACTACCATCAGAGTGAACAGGCAACCTACAAAATGGGAGAAAATTTTCGCAACCTACTCATCTGACAAAGGGCTAATATCCAGAATCTACAATGAATTCAAACAAATTTACAAGAAAGAAACAAACAACCCCATCAAAAAGTGGGTGAAGGACATGAACAGACACTTCTCAAAAGAAGACATTTATGCAGCCAAAAAACACATGAAAAAATGCTCACCATCACTGGCCATCAGAGAAATGCAAATCAAAACCACAATGAGATACCATCTCACACCAGTTAGAATGGCGATCATTAAAAAGTCAGGAAACAACAGGTGCTGGAGAGGATGTGGAGAAATAGGAACACTTTTACACTGTTGGTGGGACTGTAAACTAGTTCAGTCATTGTGGAAGTCAGTGTGGCGATTCCTCAGGGATCTAGAACTAGAAATACCATTTGACCCAGCCATCCCATTACTGGGTATATACCCAAAGGACTATAAATCATGCTGCTATAAAGACACATGCACACGTATGTTTACTGCGGCATTATTCACAATAGCAAAGACTTGGAACCAACCGAAATGTCCAACAATGATAGACTGGATTAAGAAAATGTGGCACATATACACCATGGAATATTATGCAGCCATAAAAAATGATGAGTTCATGTCCTTCATAGGGACATGGATGAAATTGGAAATCATCATTCTCAGTAAACTCTTGCAAGAACAAAAAACCAAACACCGCATATTCTCACTCATAGGTGGGAGTTGAACAATGAGAACACATGGACACAGGAAGGGGAACATCACACTCTGGGGACTGTTGTGGGGTGGGGGTAGTGGGGAGGGATAGCACTGGGAGATACACCTAATGCTAGATGACGAGTTAATGGGTGCAGCGCACCAGCATGGCACATGTATACATATGTAACTAACCTGCACATTGTGCACATGTACCCTCAAACTTAAAGTATAATAAAAAAAAAGAAAAGTCATACTTAAAAAAAAAAAAAGAACTGCTTCTATTGGGTGAAAACAGTGATTTTTCTGAGATTCTAAGGCATTACAGTTTTTCCTGCCACTGAGCAGTTTAATACTAGATAATTGCATTTTGGTATGCAATCATTGGCCTAAATATAGTATAACTATAGGGAAAAAAAGCCCCTTTATCTTTGCTATTATTTACTTATTTATTTATTTATTGTAGAATATTTGGAGTTTTTTTTATCTTATTGGATGTGGCTCTCATCCTTGCTAACCTAATTTTCACTGATAGCAAAGTTTATATTCCTTTGGATTATCATTCTATTTTTTCTAGCTATTGCCTTATTTTTTCTCATGAATGGTCTTCTTCGAGTATTTGTAGAAGGGTAAGTTTGATTATTTTCATAATGCATAAAGCTATTTTGTACTTTTATAAGAAGCACTTTGTGAGACTGAGGCAGGAGGATCAGGAGGTCAGGAGTTCAAGACCACTGCACCCAGCCTAAATCATTGTCTTATAAAGATACATGCATGCATGCATAGACATGGAATCAATCTAAATGCCATCAATGATAGATTGGATAATGAAAATGTGGTACATAGAGAGAATGGGACATCTGGCTTCCGAGCAGAAACCTTTGTAGTGCCAGCGATGAAAGAGATAATTAAATACGGGTGATGTTGAGAAAGGCAAGAAGATTTTTGTTCAGAAGTGTGCCCAGTGCCACACCGTGGAAAGGGAGGCAAGCACAAGACTGGGCCTAATCTCCATGGTCTCTTCAGGCAGGAGACAGGTCAGGCCATTGGATTCTCTTACACAGATGCCAATAAGAACAAAGGCATCACCTGGGGGGAGGATACACTGATGGAGTATGTGGAGAATCCCAAGAAGTACATCCCTGGAACAAAAATGATCTTTGCCGGCATTAAGAAGGCAGAAAGGCAGACTTGATAGCTTATCTCAAAAAAGCTATTAGTGGGTAACAATTTTCCACTGCCTTATTTATTAAAAAACAGAAATGTCTCCTGACTTTTTTGTGTGTACCATAATTTAATAGATCTCATACACCAGACTTCAGATCATGAATGACTGAGAGCATATTTTGTTGGACAGTCCTGATTTAAAACTAAGACTGGCTTGTGATTAAATGAATAAGTTTGGTAGTTTGGTTTTTGAATTTTAATAAGTAATTTTAATTCAGTAAATGCTATCACTGTTTACCCCTTCTAAAGATATGATTAGACTTTGTTAATAATGTTCAACTTTTCACAAAGATGGTGAGTGCCATCTTAAAACTTATTGGAGAGTGGTTTTATATTTAGATTTATATAACTGGTTATGTGAATATATTTAAATACTGGGGAAATTCCTTCACTGTCTCAAAACCATGCAAGATTCACATATATTTTGTGTTTATTTGCTTCTTAAAGGCCAGGGTTGAAGATAAGGTAGCAATGTTTACTTTATATTTTTGGCCTTAACTATGCCAATCTAATTAGAATTCCCTGTATTTAAAATGGTTCCTTTTACTTATTGAATGGTATTTTAGTGTGGTTTATGTGTAATATCAAATAAAGATTATTTAACACTTAAAAAAATAAAAAAATAAAATGTGGTACATAAACACCATGGAAAACTATGCAGCCATAAAAAGGAACGAGATTACATCCTTTGCAGGGACATGGATGGAGCTGGAAGCTGTCATCCTCAGCAAACTAACACAGGAACAGAAAACCAAACACTGCATGTTCTCACTTGTATGTGGGAGTTGACGATGAGAACACATGGCCACATGGTGGGGAACAACACACACTGGGGCCTGTTGGGAGGGCAGGGGTGGGGGAAGGAGAGCATCAGGAAGAATAGCTAATGGATGCTGGGGTTAATACCTAGGGATGGGATGATCTGTGCAGCAAACCACCATGGCACACATTTCCCTATGTAACAAACCTGCACATCCTGCACATGAACCCCTGAATCTAAAAGTTGAAGTAAAAAGATATATGAAATTATCTGTATGTATGTATGCCTAGATGTAAGTATACATATGTATATGCATGCATATCATCACATTTTTATTGAGGTATAACACATATGGTTAAGTTGCACTAATCAAGTGTATATCTTGATGATATTATACATAAGTATATATGCATGTAACCAAGACCTCTATATTGGTCTATGACTGATCTCCAATTAATTGTTGTAAAGATATAAAGCATCAAGGTTCATGTTTTTCATATAGCTATCAATCCCCCCTCTACCATTTATTGTAAAGAGCATAATTTCTCCCAGTGAATGGCAGAGGTATGTTTAGTGCAAATCAAGTGAACATATATGTATAGGTCTGTTTCTGGGCTTTTTGTCCTTTCATTATGACGTGTCTATACTTAAGTCCAGACCACAGTTTTAATTATTATGGCTTTATAGTGAGTCTTGAAAACTTGGGTATAAGTCCTCCAACTTTGTACTTCCTTGTTTAAAAACTATCTTGGCTCTCCTAGATTTTTTGAATTTCCGTATAAATTTTAGAATCATCTTGGCAATTTACATACACACCCAAACTCACACACACACACACACACACACACACACACAGACAGTATTTTGACCTAGGGATTGACTATGTAACTTAATTTGGAGACAATTGACATATAAAAATATTGAGATTTCCAACTCATGAACATAATATATCTCTCTACTTATGTCGTGTTTGATTTCTTTTAGCAATGTTTGCAGTGTACAGGTTTTACACCTTTTGTTAGTTTTATTTCTAAGTATTTGATAAGTTTTTATGCTATTTTAAATGATATTTGAAAATCTTCATTTTCTAATTATTTGCTATTGGTATATAGGAACATAACTAATTTTTGTATATTGACTTTTGTTTATTTGTCTTAAGACAGGGCATTGCTCTGTCACCACAGGCTGGAGTGCAGTGGCACCTGGGCTCAAGCAATTCTCCCACCTCTGTCTCCCATGTAGCTGGGACTACAAGCAGGCATCACTACACTTGGCTAATTTTTTAAATTAATTTTTGTAGAGAAGGAGTCTCACTGGTCTCACTGGCCCAGGCTGGTCTTGAACTCCTGGGTTCAAGCAATCCTCCCACCTCAGCTTCCCAAAGTGCTGGGATTACAGGTGTGAGCCACTACACCCAGCCTTGTATATTGTCTTTATATCTAGCATCCTTCATAAGTTCACACATTCATTTTAATAATTAATGTGTAGATTTCCTGATGTATACAATCATATAAAGTTACTACTTTCTTCCCACTTTTTATGCGTTTTTTCTTTATTTATTATCTAGGACTTTCACTGTAATATTGAATAGAAATGGTAAGAGGAGGCAGCCTTGCCTTGTTCCCAAACTCAAGAAGAGTTTTATGCTTCACTATTTGAAACGATGTTTGCTATAGGGTTTTGTAATCATTCTTTAGCAGATTAAGACAGTCCATTTTATTTCTAGTTTGCTAAAAGTTTTGAATCAGGAATTGGTGTTGAATATATCAGATATTTTTTCTGCATCTGTCAAGGTAATCAAAATGTTTTTCTGTTATTCCATTAATGAGATTTTCAAAGTTAAACCAACATTTTTTTATTTTTGAATAAACTCCCTTTGGTCTTAATGTATTATCTTTTTTATCTATCACTAGATTCTATTTGCTAATATTTTGTTTAGAACTTTTCATCTATGTTCATGAGTGATATAAAATTTTGTTTCTTTGAAATGTCTTTATCAGTTGGTCTACAATTACCTTAGTTTAGGTGTCTTGGGTAACTCCTATCTGCTCAACTTATCTTCATCCTCCCTCAGGATGAATATGATGGATATGTTTCAAGGTAATGGCAAAAGGAAAGGGCTAGACTGGAATCTTACAAGTGCTTTTGCAAGCCTCTCCTTTGTGGCATTCCAGTGACCAAATCAACTCACATAACGGAATACAAAGTTAGAGTGAAAGGGCGCTACAAGGTGAAATGTGAGGGCATGGATTCAGGAAAAGATGAAGAATTGAGACCATTGATGGAATCATTCTACCTTATTCTCAGGCAGGGGAGCATTTTTATACATGCAGATAGTTTACAAGAAATAACTGTTACGTAGTCAGAGACTCAAGACTTCAGCAATTGTATAAAAATGTATTTGTAAATACCCAAAGACCTTGAAGAGAAGGGTCTGACCCACATCTCACCCAGGTTATGGTGTTTATGGCTAAGACATGATTCTACCACTCCCTTAGCCAATTTTGAAAATTGTTTCAAACTATTCATTTGAGGTGGAATTAATTTTTCTCTCCCCTAATGGGAGTAGTCATGGAGTAATGTGACCAGGGCCCACTGGATGGGCCATGCCACTTGAGGGCAGCCATCCCAAAATTTCCAGATTCCATCCTTATGGGTAAAACATCTCTTGATTGCTAACATTGTTTTTTAAAGCAGGTTAAGCTAATAACTGTGAGTTAATTATAGCATGTCTAAATTGAGCTAGTTTTTATAGGAACATAACTCATTTTTGTATATTGACTTTTGTTTATTTGTTTGTCTTAAGACAGGGCATTGCTCTGCCACCACAGGCTGGAGGGCAGTGGCACCTGGGTTCAGGCAATTCTCCCATCTCAGTCTCCCGCATAGCTGGGTCTGCAACCAGGCGTCACTACACTTGGCTAATTTTTTTAATTAATTTTTTTAGAGAAGGAGTCTCACTGGTCTCACTGGCCCAGGCTGGTCTTGAACTCCTGGGTTCAAGCAATCCTCCCACCTCCCAATTTGGCAACACTTAATATTAGCTGGGGTGTTTTTAAAAAACCAAAAAACTTCACTTAGCATGTAAATCAACACAAAGACATTACTATTTCCTTCTGGGATGATCACTAGACTGTTGGTTTCTATCAGTTATTAAACTGTTATCTCCTTGGGGCATTGACAAAGTACTAATAAGTCATTGATTCCTTTACCATTTTTAATCAGAGTATCCAAAAAGGAGGTAATAAATAATGTGTTTTAATAAATTCCACAAATTATGAGTCACCCAAAAAGCAAATCTACTGTCCATATTAATATTTAATCTTTCATCTTTGCCAGAGTGCAGCCCCAAAGCTAAGCTGCTAGTTCAGCTACCTGGGGAGGCCAGGAATCAGGCCATGGAGCACTTCAGTGATGGCATGTTCAATGATAACAGCATATCCTGCACTGGGAATGTCTTTGTCATATTTGAGAACCATCTACAAAGTATATTAAATCAAGGTTGACTAAAAGGCAGAAGATTCAAATCCAGGTATACTTAATTCCTGAGAGGATGCTAAACAGTCATATGATTCCCCTTTATTCTTAAAAGGGAATAAAGTTGCAGGGTTACATTTTGAACAACATTGAATATGCAAAGCAGACATTACAATTTCATAAGTGGTAAATTTACTGGAGGAGAAATGTCAGATGCTGCCTTGAAGTAGCAAAAACTTTATAGAGATGCAGGGACCCATAGAGTTAGTGGAGAAACAAGCACTATTATGGAAGCATCAACAAGTTTGGCCACTGCTACCACCTCATGCAAGTAGAGAAGGTTTACCTTTGCCTCCAAATCAAGGAATGTACTAAGATAGGCAGAGAGAAGAGTTTGGCAGATTTAGGAAAACCCGAAGGTGGAGGTCGTTGCAAGAAGTCTTTCAAAGAGTAGACAGCATTTTCTACTTTTGCATCACAAGGAAGAGTTTCAGGAATTATAAACTTTGTAAGCCCATGCAAAGGCTGAGCTATTGAGAAAAATCAGATATACAATTACCTACAGTCCTAAAATCTTCTTAGCCATCTTTTAATTTCTGTTCTTGGTAGATGGAATGCTCCTTATTCTGGTTGAAAACAGAAACTGTCCATCTGGTGACAGATGGTGACCAGAAAAATGTAGATTCTTGGCAGAGTTGAACTTTTTCCTAGATTCTTTATGTCCCTTTTCACCTAATTTGGATAAGAGAGATTTGGAGTCTTCAGTAAACTACTTAGATCAGAAAACACAGCAGTAAATCATTTAAATATTGAGTCTCTCTCTATATATATATGATTATAGAAATTATATATATGTGTATATATATATAATTTTTAGACACTGAGAGAACTAGGAAGGGGATTCAGAAAAATCCCTAAAGCTTAACGCTCCAGATATACTTGTTTTCCCATGAAAAAGCAAATATTGACTGTTTTTCTATATATGTATACTAAGGAAGGCTGCATGTAAATTACCACCGTGAGATATTTACTTGTTGAGAGAATGAAGGACAGGGCCGGGTGCGATGGCTCACGCCTGTAATCCCAGCACTTTGGGAGGTCAAGGCAGGTGGATCACCTGAGGTCAGGAGTTCGAAACCAGCCTGGCCAACATGGTGAAACCCCATCTCTACTAAAAATACAAAAAATTAGCCAGGCGTGGTGGCTCATGCCTGTAACTCCAGCTACTTGGGAGGCTGAGGCAGAGGAATTTTTTGAACCTGGGAGGCGGAGGTTGCAGTGAGCTGAGATCGCGTCATTGCACTCTAACCTGGGCAACAAGAGTGAAACTCTGTCTCAAAAAAATAAAAATAAAATAAAAATATGAAGGGTAGGCTGGGCGCAGTGGCTCACGCCTATAATCCCAGCACTTTGGGAGGCCGAGGCGGGCAGATCACGAGGTCAGGAGATCGAGACCATTCTGGCTAACACGGTGAAACCTTGTCTCTACTAAAAATACAAAAAAATTAGCTGGGCATGGTGGTGGGCGCCTGTAGTCCCAGCTACTCGGTAGGCTGATGCGGGAGAATGGCGTGAACCTGGGAGGCGGAGCTTGCAGTGAGCCGAGATCCTGCCACTGCGCTCCAGCCTGGGCGACAGAGGGAGACTCCGTCTCAAAAAAAAAAAAAAAAAAAAAAAATATATATATATATATATATATAGATAGATAGATAGATAGATACACACACATATATATATATATACACACACATATATATATACACACACACATATATATATAAAGGCCAGGACAGTATTCTAATGGTTGCATGATATTTCATTAGTGCTGTGATTAACCTCTAATGTTGGACATTATGTGTCACTATTATCAATAATACAGCAACAAACATCTTTGAGCAAAAGGCTTTTTCTGTATAGATTGCTAGGAGTGAAATTACCTAAAGAGTATGAATATTTTTGAGGTTCTTTATATATATTGCCAAATCCAAGAGCAATTGTATTATTGTATCAATAATAAATCAAAGTTTTTAATTTCTCACCTTATTTGGCCAGCATTGGATTTTCTCGTTAAAAGAGAAAGGGCTAATTTCATGGGTGCAAATGGCATGCCATTTGCTGTTTTAACTTCTTTATTGGCGACACTGAATATTTATCTATGTAGGTTGTTAATCAGTTAGATTTTCTCTTTTATGGATTGTTTATGTCCTTGGCCCATTTATCTATAAGGTGAGGGAGTAATATTTAAGTTATTGTTAGTGAATTACTAATTTATTATACTAGGCATAGTCCCCATTCAAGTTTCCTCAAAAATCTTTTCCTCTGTTATTCATTATAGCATTTTAAAACAGAAATTTCAGATTTTTATGAAGTCAGACCTAAGCCCATTGATCTTCCATTGATTCCACACTTTTAGTTCTTCCTTATCCAAATAATTGACTAAAATTTGCTTAAATTTCTCATAGATATTTGCAGTTTTTATATGTGATTTCTAAACCCATATGGATTTTATGTAAGAAATTCCATGAATTCTGAAGTATATAAAACTTCTTATCCTTGCGCCCCCACTATGCAGATTCAGTGTTCATTTTTGACTTATTATTTCCTCCTAACAGAGATAACCAGTTTAATAAATGGATGACTTTGATACCTTAAGTTTATTTTTCTCAATATTAAGCCAGTAAACATTGCTCTGAAGGTACCATACTAATCAGTTTTAAAATTTTGTGTCATTTTTGTTGTTGCACAGAGATATATATATGTGTGTGTGTGTGTATGTCTCAGAAAGATATATTTCCTGAAAGTTGGATCCATATAGTGGTATTAACTGTATTTTAAATGATAACTACTATTTGTTTTTTATTTTAAAGGTTATACATATATATGCATATATATATATGTGTATACACATTCATAGGTACACATATATCTTCATTTAAAAAATAAGAGAACAGTTGAGCCTCTTATTGTTTGACACCTGTTTGACAACAGTTGAGCCTCTTATTGTCAAAAGTCTCCATATTGTTACCAGTTATTTAAAATTTCATATAATATGTTTATCTTTTTCTATCATGCATACACACAATCATACTATATACTTTTTGCATTTATTTGTTTACATGGTGCTTAGGTAGACTGTAATATGCAGATCACTATCTAAAGACATATCTAGTCAGAATTAAATTTAAATAAGAACTAATATGAATTAGATTTAAATAAAAACCACATTAACTGTGAATTAATGATTTGGAACAAATTTACTTAAAGTTAGTTAACCAGCTAATTTACTTATCTGATAGCTTTAAACAGTGTGTATTTACAATAGGGACTAATCTGAGTAGCCAAATACACTTTGTGGACTATTTGAAAAACCGCAGTAGATTAGCACTTGAAATTGGCATACCCTTGTATTCCCTGAATTGCCCCTAGAAGATGCCAGTGAGAAACAAATTGATAGAAAATAATGACTATTTTAGGTTCTCCCTAGGAAATAGCTTATGTTGGTGCCATGTGGATATGTAAGGTATGTGTTTGTCTTTTTTAGGAAGTCGTGCAGTTTCTAGACAAGAAGCATCCAAACCACTATCAAGTCTACAATCTATGCAGTATGTACATTACTCTGTATTTTGCTACTGTAGATAGAAAACAGATTACTGCATGTAAGAAGGTGATTTTGTTTTTTATATTGCATTTAATCATAAGTGTGTAGTGGTGGTGAGGAATGAATTTAAAACCCCATCTTGGACTGGCCCCATTTGGTAGAAGGAGTTAACCCAGCAGCACAAAGTACCCTATGAAGGAGGCAGCTCTGGCAGGACCAATGATGCTAGAGTGGAGGCAAACCATTTTAGGGAAGATCTGTTCTAGTGATATTAGGTTTAGGAAAATCTTTCTGTTTTTCCTGCCAGATTGGGTTATGAGGACATAGATAATTTAACAAATGAGTCCTCTGATCCATCAGCAGTGGGTTGTGATGAGAGCAGGGCCCTAGATGGGAAAAAAAGCAAAAAACTCTGTAGAAAATAGGTTGTAACCCAGCTTACCACTGTCTGTCTTGATTTTTTTCCTCTACCTGTATACTCAATAGACATTTTCAGGGGGGCAATCATTTTGGTCAGCTACATTTGCCTCTTGTGTGGGTTCTAACTACCCTGCAATAATATAATGAATAGTCTGCTAGAAAGTTAAAAATTATACCTATTAAACAAAAATAAGTTGAGTTTAGGTTACATGAGATGGATAAACCACTACTATCCTTACGTTTTTGAGACCCTTACCTTTATTTTAGAGCAGCAGGAGCAACTTGGAAAGCTCTCTTTGAAGATGGATAAGGAATTTCTAATAAGATATGTTAACTTATTCATAACTTCATTATTTACTGTGTTATTACCTGTAGAGATATAACATACATATTATTTATTTTAGGTGAAAGAGCTTATGATCCTAAGCACTTCCATATTAGGGTCAGTAGAATCATGATTGATGATCATTATGTCCCCACTCTACAGTAAGTTTTATGCTAAGTTGACTATCAGAAGAGGGCTAAATATATTGGGCTTGGTTTTCTGAAAATATTTTAATTTAACTAAAAATATTAAACTTGAAATCAGTAAGATGGTGGTATTCTCCAAGGAAGTAAATGAGTGGATGACTCAAGATCCTGAAAACATCATAGTGATTCACTGTAAAGGAGGCAAAGGTAATAACATTTTCCTTTTTATTTCTCCCTTTCTAAAGACATGTAAATATGGATAAAGTACAAGAACAAGATACATATTGCTATTAATAAGTATTAATAATTGTTAGCATTTTAAAATATTAGCTCCAAGACTAGAAGAAGGGAAGGAGAAAGGAAAGAGGAGAGGAGGAAGGGTAGGAGATAGGGAGAGGATAAGGAAGGGAAGAAAGTAGGAAAAAAGAACTAAGGAAGGTTGAGCATATTTTTCCTTGTTTTTCTACTATTTGGATTTCTTTATTCTTGTTTTGCCAGTTTATATCTCTCAAAATAGTCTTTAATTTTAGAATGTCAGAGTACTTTTATTTTATTTAAGGCTACTCTTTTTTATTTTTAAATTAACAAATAAAAAATCAATATATTTATGGTGTACAACATGATGTTTTGATATATGTAAACATTGTGAAATGGCTAAATCAAGCTAATTAACATATGCACTACTCCACATACTTTTTTGTGGTGAGAACATTTAAAATCTACTCTCTCAGCAATTTTCAAGTATACATTATTATTAACTATGGTCACTATGTTGTACAGTAAATTTCCTGAACTTACTCTTCCTGTCTAACTGAAATTTTGTATCCTTTAACCAACATCTCAGGCCGGGCATGGTGGCTTACACCCATAATCCCAGCACTTTGAAAGGCCGAGGTAGGTGGATCACCTGAGGTCAGGAGTTTGAGACCAGCCTGGCCAACATGGTGAAACCCCGTCTCTACTAAAAATACAAAAAATTAGCCAGGTGTGGTGGGTACCTGTAATCCCAGCTACTCAGGAGACTGAGGCAGGAGAATCGCTTGAATGCGTAAGGTGGAGGTTGTAGTGAGCTGAGATCGCGCCACTGCACTCCAGCCTAGGCAACAAGAATGAAACTCCATCTCAAAACAAATAAAATAAAATAAAAACCAACATCTCCACAATCCCCCCACTTTTGTCCCCCCAGCCCCTGGTAACTACCATTCTACTCTCTGCTTCTATGAATTTGACTTTCTTAGATTCCACAAATAAGTGAGACACAGTATTTGTCTTTCTATGCCTGGCTTATTTCACTTAGCATAACATCAGGTTCATCCATATTACCTCAAGTGACAGGATATCTAAGGCTGAGTAGTGTGTCCTTATGTATATATACCACATATTCTTTATCCATTCATCCATTGATAGCATTTAGATTGACTCCATAGCTTGGCTATTATGAATAATGCTGCAGTGAACATGGCAGTGCAAATTTCATTTCCTTTGGATATATACCCAGCAGAGGAATCTCCAAATCATATGGTAGTTTTATTTCTAGTTTTTTGAGGACCCTCCATGCTGTTTTCCATAATAACTACTAATTTACATTCACATCAACAGTGTATAAGAGGGTTCTCTTTTCTCTACATCCTCACCAACTCTTTTGTCTTTTTGTTAATGACCATCTGAACAGGTGTGAGGATATCTCTTTGTGGTTTTAATTTGCTTTTCCCTGATGATTAATGATGTTTAGCATTTTTTCTTATACCTCTTGGCCATTTGTATGTCTTCTTTTGGGGAATTTCAGGTTCTTTGCCCATTTTCTAGAGAAGTAACTTGTTCTCTTGCTATTGTGTTGTTTGAGTTCCTTTAAAAAAAATTAACCTTTTATTGAATGTATGCTTTGAAGATATTTTCTCCCATTCTGTAGGTTGTCTCTTTACTCTATATTTGTTTCCTTTGCTCTGCAAAAGCTTTTTAGTTTGATACAGTATCATTTGTCTATTTTTTATTTTGTTGCCTATGTTTGTCAGTCACATTAAAAAAAATCTTGACCCAGACCAATGTCAAGAACATTTTCCCCTATGTTTTCTTCTAGTAGTTTTCCAGTTTCAGGTTTCACAGTTAAGTGTTTACTTTGAGTTCATTTTTGTATATTGGGTGAGATAGGGTGCAATTTCATTCTTCTACAAGTGGATATCCAGTTTCCCCAGTATCACTTATTGAAGAGACTGTCCTTTCGCCATCGTGGATTCTTGGCACCTTTGTCAAAAATCAGCTGACTATAAATGCATGGATTTATTTTGGGCTTTCTATTCTGTTCCATTGGTCTATATGTCCATTTTTGTTCCAGTATTATTTAAGGTTGTTCTTAAACTTTGTGAGACTCTTTTAGATTAAGGGAGCCAACGGAGATGCTATTTCAAAAATTATACTGGAATTTTTATAGTGTGATGATACAAAGAAGTTGACATTGGTGAGGTTAAAATGGGGGGAAAAAGCCATTTGTAAATCCAACCAATTTAAGTTCAGTTAGATTTTCTCTCATTCAGGTTTGGGTTTTGAATAATCATCTAAGCATATTTCACAATTTTTGACAAACATAAAGAATTACATTTTTGGTGGGCTCTAAATCAATTTTTATATCAAATTCCAGGAAAACATAACACTGTAAACTGACTTATATAATTCAGTAAAATCAAGTTTTAGTCTTATTGACTAATTTCAAGTCTTATTGACTAGTTTCAAGCCCATTGCTTAATATACACGTTCTGTGTTTAGCTGTATATTAGTTAATATACAGGTTCTGTGTTTAGCTCTACAGGTTGGAATATTGTGTATAAACTGGCAATTTATAATACCATAGTTAAATTAAAAATATAGAGGTTGAATCATTTGAAATTGCCAGTTTTTAACCATCTTTTGCTTTAAAAATGGCCATTTCACATTGTCCAACCTAAAATGTTATTATTCAAGCAGTTCGCAGCAGTTTTCTATTAGCTAATGCTAATTCCTTTCTTGAAGGAAAACATTCCTTGCTTGAAGGAAAGCATTCATTTCAAATTTGACTTTTTACTTTTTTGCTGAGAGGGGGTTTACATTATTCTGTGTTCACATAATATTTTGTTGATTTTTTTAAAGGTTGTTTAGAGGGCTAATATTCAGCTGGTATGTACCAGAGCAGCCTCTTTTTTTAAGTGTTCATTCATATTAGTCTTGCTGTCTTCTAGTTGGTTGCTGCCTGCAGGTTACCAGTAGTATCATGATAGTAAAAATATTTTATATTGATTTATAGGAGTTCTTCAAAGAATCTCACCGCCAATTTTTCTTAGTATTATAAGTATATTCTCCCAATGTGTTGCCTTTTAAATTTGATTGTGATTTATTTTGTTGTGCAAAAGTTTGTAAATTTTTGTTTTGTTTTGAGACATGGTCTCGCTCTGTCACCCAGGCTGGAGTGCAGTGGCACAATCTCAGCTCATTGCAGCTTTAACCTTCTGGGACTCAAGTGATCCTCCCACCTCGGGCCCTCTGCGTAGGTAGGACTACATGCAAGCACCACCATGCCTGGCTAATTTTTGTATTTTTTGTAGAGACAGGGTCTTGCTGTGTTGCCCAGACTGGTCTTGAACTCCTGGACTCAAATGATCCACCCACCTCAGCTTCTCAAAGTGCTGGGATTACAGGCATGAGCCATTGTGCTCAGAGAGAAGTTTGTAATTTTGAATGTAGTAAAATGTGTTCATCTATGTATGTGTATGTATTTCATGCCTTTCTATCATGTTTAAGAAATTCACCCCTATACTGATTTAGTAAAGATATTCCACATTTCTTCAAAAATATTCAAGTTTCATTTTTAATATTTGAGTCTTTAATCTAATTGGAAGTTGGGGGAAGTTTTTTTTTCATATGGATAGCCAATTGTGCTAACACCATCAATTGCATGCTATTTGGTTCTCCATTAATTTGTAATCCCTCTCAGTCACATACCAAGTTTCTGTAAGTATTCAAAACTGTTTCTAAGTTCTCTATACCACTTTTGTAATTATTGTGGCCTTATAATATAGTTTGATAAAGGCAGAATTGTCTTGCTCTTCTTGGAACTTTATTATTACATTCAATTTTAAAATCATTTTTTCAAGTGCCATAATAAAACACATTTAGGATTTTTATTGGAACTACATTGAATTTATAGATTAACTTGAGAGAACTGACAACTTTGCAATATTGAGTTGTACATGTGAATCATCTTGTTCATTCTTTAATAATATTTTATACTTTTCTTCATCATGTGTTTGCACATCTTTTCAAAAATTCATTCCTACACAAACTGTGACTGCAAATGGAATCTCTTTTTTTCTATTACATTTGGGTTGTTTCCAATTTTTACTGTGATAAATAATGCTGATTTTTTTTTTTTTTTTGAGATAAAGTCTCACTCTGTCACACAGGCTGGAGTGCAGTGGCACGATCTCAGTTCATTGCAACCTCTGCCTCCTGGGTTCAAGCAATTCTCGTGCCTGAGCCTCCCAAGTAGCTGGGATTACAGGCGCCCACCAACACACCCAGCTAGTTTTTGTATTTTTAATAGAGATGGGGTTTCATCATGTTGGCCAGGCTGGTCTTGAACTCCTGACCTCAAGTGATCTGTCTGCCTCGGCCTCCCAAACTGCTGGGATTACAGGTATGAGCCACTGCACCCAGCCCAATAATGCTGCTTTTAAAAATACACGTTTCTTGTTGCACATGTGGCCATATTTTTGTTGAGTATGTACCTTGGACTAAAATTGTTCTGTCTTAGGGTAATGAGTCTTGAACTTTACTTGATAATGTTACCTGTTTTCTAAAACAGTTGTACCAATTTTTACTCCACTTGTACACTCCAGGCGTTCTATATCTTCCCCAATACTTGCAATTCTGAGTATTTTTATTTTTAGCCATTGGGTGTTTGTGTGATGGCATTTTATGGTGGTGATCATTTGCATTTCTATAATTACTAATAAGATTGAGGATGTTTTCTTAAGATTATTAAGTATTTGGATATCCTTTTTTGCAAAGTAACTTTTTAATTTTCTTACCCATTTTTCTCCTGGATTATTCGTCTTTTTTCTCTTGATTTGTAGGAGTTCTTTATGTATTCTGATTTCAATTTCTGTTATTGGCCATATATGTATTTCAAGAAAGCTTTTCTGCTCTATAATTTGCCTTTTTTCTCTCTTAGGAGTATCTTTTGGTTAACAGAAGTTCTTAGTTGTATTACCATCATGTGTATCATGCTTTCCCTTTATAAAGTTTGTGTTTTTGTGTCCTGATTCAGAAAATTTTCCTTGAGTTTAAAGGATATTTTACTACTATATTTTCTTCTAGAAGGTTCATTCCTGTTAAAATTGGTTTATGTGTGTGGTGTGAGGAAGGCGTCAGGTTTAATCTTTTTCCATATATGGCTATCCAATTATTCCAGCACACTAGTTGAGAATATTTTCATTTCTTTACTACCCTGCAGAACATGAATCTGTTTCTAACCTTTCTATTCTGTGCATTGATTTTTCATCTGTGTGCCAATAGCACAACTATCTTACTGTGGCTTTCTAACAAGTCCTCATTTCCAGTCATGTGAGCACAATCATCTTTTTCTTCACAGTTGTTAGGGTATTTTAGGCCATCTACATTTCCATATAAATTTGGGAATCAACTAGTCAAGTTACACACAACTGATAGAAATTTGTTTGGGATTGCGTTGAATTTATAGATTGGGGAGAATTGAATCTTCACAATATTGACTCATCCAACCCATGAACAGAAGTATTCTCTCATTTAGTTAGGTCCTCTTCAATTTCTCTTTACAATGCTTTCTCATTTTCTGTATAGAAAGCTTGCATATTTTTGGTGATATTTATTCCTAGATATTTGATATTTTGTGGTTATTTAAATTATATACTTTTAAAATGTTTATTATCTAAATGTTTTTTTGTTGTTTTAAATGCAGTTCACTTTATTTATTAATCTTGCAATTAGCAACTTTACTAAACTCACTCTTTTTTTTTGAGGCAGGGTCTCATTCTGTCACCCAGGCTGGAGTGCAGTGGCATGATCATGGCTCACTGCAGCCTCAACCTCCCTGGGCTCAGGCGATCCTCCCATATCAGCCTCTCAAGTAACTAAGACTGCAGGCAGGTGCCATCATGCCCAGCTAATTTCTTGACCTTTTTGTAGAGACGGGGTTTTGCCCTGTTGCCCAGGTTGGTCTCAAAACTCCTGGGCTCAAGTGATCTGCCAGCCTCAGCCTCCACCTCCCAAAGTGCTAGGACTACAGGCCTGAGCCACCGTGCCTACCCTAAACTCACTTATTAGTTCTATGAATTTATCAATAGATTATTTTGGATTTTATGTTACATGATTATATCATATAAAAATAACAAATTGTATTTTCTCCATTTCAGTCATTTCTCTCCTTTAGCAGTGGCTAGAACATTCAGTACAGTGTAGAATTAGAAGTGGCAATAGCAACCATCAACGTACAGTTCCATTCTCAAAGGAAAAGCTTTCCATGTCTCTCCAATTGCTTTACGAGTGTGTGTGTGTGTGTGTGTGTGTGTGTGTGTGTGTTACCTACCATTTATCAGATTAAGAAATTCCTCGGCTGGGCGCCATGGCTTAGACCTGTAATCCCAGCACTTTGGGAGGCCCAGGGGTGCAGATCACTTGAGGCTAGGAGGTCAAGATCAGCCTGGGCAACATGGTGAAACCCCGTCTCTACTAAAAATACAAAAATTTGCCGGGTGTGGTGACACATGCCTGTAATCCCAACTACTCCAGCTGAGGCACGAGAATCGCTTGAACCCAGGAGGCAGAGGTCGCAGTGAGCCAAGATTGCACTGCTGTTCTCCAGCCTGGATGACAGAGTGAGACTGTCTCAAAAAACAAAACAAAAAAAAAAAAAAAAGGAAGAAAGAAAAAAGAAAATCATTTAGTTTGCTAAGAGTTTTTTTTTTTTCAATCATGAATGTGTTGAATTTTTTCAGATTTTTCTGAATCTTTGAGATGATAATTTTTCTCCTTTATCCTATAAATAAATGTGGTTAATTACATTGATTGATTAAGTGGTAAACCAACTTATTTCTGGAACAAATGTAATTCAGTTGTACTATATTATTTTATGAAATAATTATTAAATTATTTTATTATTAAATTGCGGGATTCTGTTTGTTAATATTTAGGATTTTCAAATTCATGTCATCAGGGCAATTGGTTATAATTTTCCTTTCTCATAGTTTTTTCAAATCTTGGCTTTGTAAAATGAGTTAGATTTCATTTTCTCTTTTTTTATTCTCTGGGTGAATTTATGCATGTTGATTTTTTTTCTTCTTAAGTGTAAAGTGAAATTCACCGGTGAAGCCACATTGGCCTAGAGTTTTCTCTGGAGAGAAGTTTTTAAATTATGACTCAATTCCATATATAGAATTTTTTATAATTTTATTTCTTTTGCCCATTTTGGTAGGTTATAGTTTTCCCAGTGATTTTCCATTTAATCTAACTTTCCAAATGTCCTGACATCAAATTGTTCACCATATCATTTAAACATTTTGATGTCTACAGAGGTGTTCCCTTTTTTATTTCTTACATTGCTTACTTGGTACCTTCTCCCCTTTTTTCTTTTGATTAGTCTCACCAGGGATTTATCAATTTTACTAGTTTTTCAAAAGTAACAAATTTTGGGCCTTATTGGTGTTCTCTATTTTTTATTTCATCAATTATTATTATATTTAGTGTTTTCTTCTGTACTCCTTGGGTTAATTTGTTCTTTTCCTGACTTCTTGAGATGGGTAATTCTTAGAGTGTTGGCCGTTCTCTTTTCTATTTAGCATTTAAGGCTATAAATTTTCCTCTAAGAATTGCTTTAGCTTCATCCCATAAATTTTTATTTGTAGTGTTTTCATTTTACTTAGTTCAAACTATTTTCCAACTTTGACTATGCTTGTTTTTTTTTTTGACCCATGAGTTATGTACAAGTATACTTCCTTATTTCCAAACATATGAGAATTTTGTATTGATCTTTAAGTTTTTGATTTCTGGTTATGCTGTATTGTGGACACAGAACATATGTATTTTTTTCACTTCTTTGAAATTTGTTTAGACTTGCTTTTTGGCCCAGAATTTGGTCGATGTTTGGTCAAATTTTTTCTGTACATTTGTAAAGAACATGTATTATGCATTGTTGAGAACAGTGTTCTATGTATATCTATTTGTTAATTATTTTATTTAACTCTTCTATATTCTTACTGACTTTCATTTTGGTTTGATTGAATTTTAATAATATAATTCTTTCCTTCTCACCTTCTGTCATTACCTTGAAAGTCATGTACTCCTTTTCTATGTTTTTAGCGATTACTGTAAAGATTTCAACTTGCCTCCTTGATTTAGCTATTAATTTTTGTTTATGTTGAGCCTGCATCTAGAAATCTTCCTAAACTCTCTCATTAGACTAAGGAGTTATTCTACAGATTTACTTACTACACTGACTACACTGGTTAGGCTCTGCAGTATATTGTTAAATGGAAGCAATGAACCGAAGGCATTTTTGTTTAATTCCAGGCTTTAAAGAAAATGCTATCAATATTACATCATTAATATGATGTTCCTGGTAGGTATTTTGCTAGATTTTCTTTGTTGAGTTAAGGAAGTTTCCTAGTTTTTGTTAATTTTTAAAGTCACAGGTGTAGGCTGAATTTTAGTGAATGCTTTTTCCTGCATTAATTGAGATAATTGTAAGGTATGTCTTCTTTAATCTATGAATATGATAAATTATATTAGTATAGATTTCTGATATAGGATGATTCTCATATTCTTTATTTACTTGTTTTTTTAATGGGCAGAAGACATCTTTTTCTTTTTGAGCTTAGTTTTTTTGGTATAATTTAACTTTTATTTTAGACTTGGAAGTACATATGCAGGTTTATTACCTGGATATATTGTGTGATGCTGAGGTTTGGGGTATGATTGATTGCATCACCCAGGTACTGAGCTTAGGACCCAATAGTTGGTTTTTCAGCCTGTGCCCTTTTCTGCTGTGCCCCCTCTAGAATTCCCCAGTGTCCATTATTGCCACCTTGATGTCCATGAGCACCTATTGTTTAGCTTTCACTTATGAGTGAGAACAAATGGTATTTGGTTTTTTGTTCCTGCATTAATTTGCTTAGGATAATGACTTCCAGCTGCATACATGATGCTGCATAGGGCATAATTTTGTTTTTGTTTTTTTTTTGAGACAGAGTTTCACTCTTGTTGCCCAGGCTGGAGTGCAATGGTGTGATCTTGGCTCACTGCAACCTCTGCCTCCCAAGTTCAAGAGATTCTCCTGCCTAAGCCTCCCGAGTAGCTGTGATTACAGGCACCTGCCACCACATCCGGCTAATTTTTGTATTTTTAGTAGGGACGGGGTTTTGCCATGTTGGCCAGACTGGTTTCAAACTCCTGACCTCAGGTGATCCACCCGCCTCGGCCTCCCAAAGTGCTGGGATTACAGGTGTGAGCCACTGCGCCCGGGCATGATTTTATTTTATTTTTTATGAATATGTAGTATTCCATGGTGTATATGTACCACTGCGCCCAGGCATGATTTTATTTTATTTTTTATGAAAATGTAGTATTCCATGGTGTATATGTACCACTGCACCCAGCCATGATTTTATTTTTTTTATGAATGTGTAGTATTCCATGGTGTATATGTATCACATTTTATTTATCCAGTCCACCATTGATGGGCACCTAGGTTGATTCTATGTCTTTCCTATTGTCAGTGTTGCTGAGAAGCGCATATCAGTGCATGTCTTTTTGGTAGCATTTATTTTCCTTTGGATGTATGCCCAGTAATGGGATTGCAATGTCAAATGGTAGTTCTATGTTCTCATATGTTTGTTGGCCACTCATATGTCTTCTTTTGAGAGGTGTATGTTTATATCTTTTGCCCATTTTTAATGGGGCTTTTTGGTTTTTGCCTAAATAATTGTTTGAGTTTCTTACAGATTCTGAATATAAAACCTTTGTCAGATGCATAGTGTGCAAATATTTTCTGCCATTCTATAGGTTGTCTGTTTACTCTGTTGATAGTTTCTTTGCTGTGCAGAAGCTCTATAGTTTAATTAGCTTCCACTTGTCAGTTTTTGTTGCAATTGCTTTTGAAAACTTAGTCATAAATTCTTCTCCAAGGCCAATATCCAGAATGTTGTTTTCTAGGTTTTCTCCTGGTATTCTTATAATTTGAGGTCTTACAATTAAGTCTTTAATCTATCTTGAGTTAATTTTTGTATATGGTGAAAGGCATAGGTACAGATCATTCTTTTGCATATGGCTAGCCCACTATCCTAGCTAGCCATTCTTTTGCATATGGCTAGCCCACTATCCATTTATTAAATAGGAAGTCATTTCCCTATTGCTTATTTTTGTTGACTTTGTCAAAGATCAGATGGCTTTCTGTGTTTGGCTTTATTTCTGTGTTTGGCTTTATTTCTGAGTTCTTCTTCTGTTCCTTTGGTCTATTTGTCTTTTTTTTTTCCCCCAGTATGACACTATTTTGGTTACTGTGGCCTTATGGTATAGTTTGAAGTTGGGTAATGTGATGCTTTTAGCTTTGTTCTTTTTGTTTAGGATTGCTTTGGCTATTCAGGCTCTTTTTTGGTTCCACATGAATTTTGGAATAGTTTTTTCTAGTTCTGTAAAAAAAATGATATTAGTAGCTTGACTGGAAAAATGTTGATCCTATAGATTGCTTCAGTAGCATGGCCATTTTAATGATATTGATTCTTCCAGTCCATTAGCATGGAATGTTTTTCCATTTGTTTGTGTCATCTATGATTTCTTTCAGCAGTGTTTTGTAGTTCTCCTTGTAGAGATCTTTCACCTCCTTGGTTAGCTGTATAACTAGGTATTGTATTTTTTGTGGCTGTTGTAAAGGGGATTATGTTCTTGATTTGGCTGTCAGCTTGGACATTATTGGTGTATAGAAATGCTACTGATTTTTGTACATTGATTTTGTATCCTAAAACTTTACTGAAGTCATTTATCAGTTCCAAGTGCCTTTTGGTGGAGTTCTTTGGATTGTGTAGATATAGAATCATACAGTTGATGAAGAGAGATAGTCTGACTTTTTCTTTTCCTATTTGGATGCCTTTTTTTTCTTTCTTTTGCCTGATTGCTCTGGCAAAAGACTTTAACTACTATGTTAAATAGGAGTGGTGGGACTAGGCATTCTTGTCTTCTTCCAGTTCACATAGAGAAGCTTCCAGCTTTTGCCTGTTATGATGTTGGCTGTGGGTTTGCCATAGATGTCTCTATTTTTGTTTTCTTCTTCTTGAGATGGAGTCTCGCTCTATCACCCAGGCTGGAGTGCAGTGGCATGATCTCGGCTTACTACAACCTCCGCCTCCCAGGTTCAAACGATTCTGCTGCCTCAGCCTCCTGAGTGTCTGGGATTACAGCCGTGTGCAACCATGCCTGGCTAATTTTTGTATTTTTAGTAGAGATGGGGTTTCACTATGTTGGCCACGCTGGTCTTGAACTTCTGATCTCAAGTGATCCGCCCGCCTTGGCCTCCCAAAGTGCGGGAATTACAGACGAGCCACCGCCCCCAGCCGATGACTCTATTTTGAAGTATGTTCCTTTGATTCCTAGTTTCTTGAGTGTTTTTTTTATCAAGAAGGATGTTGAATTTTATCAAAAGCTTTTTTTTTTTTTGCATCTATTGAGATGATCATATGATTTCTGTTTAATTCTGTTTGTGTGGTGAATCACATTTATTGATTTGCGTATGCTGAATCTTGTATCCTTGGAATGAAGCTTACTGGATCATGGCGAGTTAACTTTTTAATGTGCTGTTGGATTTGGTTTCCTAGTATTTTGTTCAAGATTTTTGTAGCTATCTTCATCATTGAGATTAGCCTTTAGTTTTCTTTTTCTTTTTATTTTTTTAATTGTGTCTTTGCCAGGTTTTGGTTTCAGGGTAATGCTGGCTTCATAGAATGAATTAGGGATGAGTCCCTCCTCAATTTTTTGGAACAGTTTCAATAGAACTGGTACCAGTTCTTCTTTTTTATATTTGATAGAATTCAGCTGTGAATACATCTGATCTAGGGCTTTTTTGGTTTATAAGTTTATTTTATTTTTTTTTTTTTGAGATGGAGTCTTGTTCTGTCACCCAGGCTGGAGTGCAGTGGCAGAATCTCCGCTCACTGCAACCTCTGCCTCCCAGGTTCAAGCGATTCTCCTGCCACAGCCTCCTGAGTAGCTAGAATTACAGGTACCGTTCACCATGCCCGGCTAATTTTTGTATTTTTAGTAGAGACAGGGTTTCACCATATTGGCCAGGCTGGTCTTGAACTACTGACCTTGTGATCTGCCCGCCTTGGCCTCCCAAAGTGCTGGGATTACAGGCATGGGCCATTGCGCCCTGCTGGTTCATAGGTTTTTTAAATTATGGACTCAATTTTGGAGCTTGGTATTGGTCAGGTCAGGGTTTCAGTTTCTTTTTGATCCAATCTTGGGAGATTCTATGTTTCCAAGAATTTATTAATTTCCTCTACATTATCCAGTGTGTGTGCACAGAGGTGTTCATAATAGTCTCTGAGGACATTTTGTATTTCTGTGAGATTGGTTGTAATGTCACCTTGTCATTTCTGATTATGCTTATTTGGATCTTCTTTCTTTATCTTTGTTAATCTAGCTAGCAGTCTATCAATTTTGTTTATCTTTTCAAAGAACCAACTTTTTGTTTCTTTGACTCTTTGTTTTGATTTAGGGGTCTCAATTTTACTCAGTTTTGCTCTGATTTTATTTTTTTTCTTCTGCTAGGTTTGGGGTTCTTGTTTTTCTAATTTCTCTAGGTGTGATGTTATATCATTAATTCAAGATTTTACTAGCTTATTGTGGTACACATTTAGCACTATAAACTTTCCTGTCCACACACTGCTTTTGCTGCATCTCAGAGATTTTGGTATGTTGTGTTTCTGTTTTCATTTTTTTCAAAGAATTTTTTTTATTATACTTTAAGTTCTAGGGTACATGTGCACAATGTGTAGGTTTGTTACATAGGTATACATGTGCCGTGTTGGTTTGCTGCACCCATTAAATCATCATTTACATTAGGTATTTCTCCTAATGCTATCCCTCCCCCATCCCCCCACCTCAAAACAGGCCCCAGTGTGTGATGTTCCATGCCCTGTGTCCAAGTGTTCTCATTGTTCAGTTCCCACCTATGAGTGAGAACATGCGGTGTTTGGTTTTCTGTCCTTGCGATAGTTTGCTGAGAATTATGGTTTCCAGCTTCATCCATGTCCCTACAAAGGACATTAACTCATCCTTTTTTATGGCTGCATAGTATTCCATGGTGTATATGTGCCACATTTTCTTAATCCAATCTATCATTGATGGACATTTGGGTTGGTTCCAAGTCTTTGCTATTGTGAATAGTGTTGCAATAAACATACACGTGCATGTGTCTTTATAGCAGCATGATTTATAATCCTTTGGGTATATACCCAGTAATGGGATTGCTGGGTCAAATGGTATTTTTAGTTCTAGATCCTTGAGGAACTGCCACACTGTCTTCCACAATGGTTGAACTAGTTTACAGTCCCACCAACAGTGTAAAAGCATTCCTGTTTCTCCACATCCTCTCCAGCACCTGTTTCCTGACTTTTTAGTGATCACCATTCTAACAGTGAGATGGTATCTCATTGTGATTTTGATTTGCATTTCTCTGATGATGAGCAATGATCAGCACTTTTTCATGTGCCTGTTGGCTGCATAAATGTCTTCTTTTGAAAAGTGTCTGTTCATATCCTTTGCCCGCTTTTTGAAGGGGTTGTTTGATTTTTTCTTGTAAATTTGTTTAAGTTCGTTGTGATTCTGGATATTAGCCCTTTGTCAGATGGGTAGATTGCAAAAATTTTCTCCCATTCTGTAAGTTGCCTGTTCACTCTGATGGTAATTTCTTTTGCTGTGCAGAAGCTCTTTAGTTTAATTAAATCCCATTTGTCTATTTTGGCTTTTGTTGCCATTTCTTTTGGTGTTTTAGTCATGAATACCTTGCCCATGCCTATGTCCTGAATGGTATTGGCTAGCTTTTCTTCTAGGGTTTTTATGGTTTTAGGTCTGACATTTAAGTCTTTAATCCATTTTGAATTTTTGTATAAGATGTAAGGAAGGGATCCAGTTTCAGCTTTCTACATATGGCTAGCCAGTTTTCCCAGCACCATTTATTAAATAGGGAATCCTTTCCCCATTTCTTGTTTTTCTCAGGTTTGTCAAAGATCAGATGGTTGTAGATGTATGGTGTTATTTCTGAGTCCTCTGTTCTGTACCATTGGTCTATATCTCTGTTTTGGTACCAGTACCATGCTGTTTGGTTACTGTAGCCTTGTAGTTTAGTTTGAAGTCAGGTAGCATGATGCCTCCAGCTTTGTTCTTTTGGCTTAGGACTGTCTTGGCAATGCAGGCTCTTTTTTGGTTCCATATGAACTTTAAAGTAGTTTTTTTCCAATTCTGTGAAGAAAATCATTGGTAGCTTGATGGGGATGGCATTGAATCTATAAATTACCTTGGGCAGTAAGGCCATTTTCACAATATTGATTCTTCCTATCTATAAGCATGGAATGTTTTTCCATTTGTTTATGTCCTCCTTTATTTCATTGAGCAGTGGTTTGTAGTTCTCCTTGAAGAGGTCCTTTACATCCCTTGTAAGTTGGATTCCTAGGTATTTTATTCTCTTTGAAGCAATTGTGAATGGGAGTTCACTCATGATTTGGCTCTCTGTTTGTCTGTTGTTGGTGTATAGGAATGCTTGTGATTTTTGCACATTGATTTTGTATCCTGAGACTTTGCTGAAGTTGCCTATCAGCTTAAGGAGATTTTGGGCTGAGACAATGGGGTTTCCTAAATATATAATCATGTCATTTGCAAACAGGAACAGTTTGACTTCCTCTTTTCCTAATTGAATACGCTTTATTTCTTCCTCTTTACTGATTGCCCTGGCCAGAACTTCCAACACTATGTTGAATAGGAGTGGTGAGAGAGGGCATCCCTGTCTTGTGCCAGTTTTCAAAGGGAATGCTTCCAGTTTTTGCCCATTCAGTATGATACTGGCTGCGGGTTTGTCATAAATAGCTCTTATTATTTTGAGATACGTCCCATCAATACCTAGTTTATTGAGAGTTTTTAGCATGAAGTGTTGTTGAATTTTGTCAAAGGCCTTTTCTGCATCTATTGAGATAATCGTGTGGTTTTGTCTTTTGTTCTGTTTATGTGATGGATTACGTTTATTGATTTGTGTATGTTGAATCAGCCTTGCAGCCCAGGGATGAAGCCAACTTGATCTTGGTGGGTAAGCTTTCTGATGTACTGCTGGATTCGGTTTGCCAGCATTTTATTGAGGATTTTTGCATTGATGTTCATCAGGGATATTGGTCTAAAATTGTCTTTTTTTGTTGCGTCTCTGCCAGGCTTTGGTATCAGAATGATGCTGGCCTCATAAAATGAGTTAGGAAGGATTCCCTGTTTTTCTGTTGATTGGAATAGTTTCAGAAGGAATGGTACCAGCTCTTCTTTGTACCTCTAGAGAATTCGGCTGTGAATCCATCTGGTCCTGGACTTTTTTTGGTTGGTATCCTATTAATTATTGCCTCAATTTCAGAGCCTGTTATTGGTCTATTCAGGGATTTTATGTCTTCCTGGTTTAGTCTTGGGAGGGTGTATGTGTCCAGGAATTTATCCATTTCTTCTAGATTTTCTAGTTTATTTGCATAGAGGTGTTTATAATATTCTATGATGGTAGTTTGTATTTCTGTGGGATCGGTGGTGATATCCCCTTTATCCTTTTTTATTGCATCTATGTGATTCTCCTCTCTTTTCTTCTTTATTAGTCTTGCTAGTGGTCTATCAATTTTGTTGCTCTTTTCAAAAAACCAGCTCCTGGATTCATTGATTTTTTGAAGGGTTTTTTGTGTCTCTATCTCCCTCAGTTTTGCTCTGATCTTAGTTATTTCTTGCCTTCTGCTAGCTTTTGAATTTGTTTGCTCTTGCTTCTCTAGTTCTTTTAATTGTGATGTTAGGGTGTCGATTTTAGATCTTTCCTGCTTTCTCTTGTGGGCATTTAGTGCTATAAATTTCCCTCTACATACTGCTTTAAATGTGTCCCAGAGATTCTGGTACATTGTGTCTTTGTTCTCATTGGTTTCAAAGAACATCTGTATTTCTGCCTTCATTTCATTATGTGCCCGGTAGTCATTCAGGAGCAGGTTGTTCAGTGTCCATGTAGTTGTGCGGTTTTGAGTGAGTTTCTTAATCCTGAGTTCTAATTTGATTGCACTGTGGTCTGAGAGACAGTTTGTTGTGATTTCTGTTCTTTTACATTTGCTGAGGAGTGCTTTACTTCCAACTATGTGGTCAATTTTGGAATAAGTGCAATGTGGTGCTGAGAAGAATGTATATTCTGTTGATTTGGGGTGGAGAGTTCTGTAGATGTCTATTAGGTCTGCTGCTGCAGAGCTGGGTTCAAGTCCTGGATATCCTTGTTAACCTGTCTCGTTGATCTGTCTAATATTGACGGTGGGGTGTTAAAGTCTCCCATTATTATTGTGTGGGAGTCTGAGTCTCTTTGTAGGTCTCTAAGGACTTGCTTTATGAATCTGGGTGCTCCTGTATTGGGTGCATATATATTTAGGATAGTTAGCTCTTCTGGTTGAATTGATCCCTTTACCATTATGTAATGGCCTTCTTTGTCTCTTCTGATCTTTGTTAGTTTAAAGTCTGTTTTATCAGAGACTAGGATTGCAATCCTGCTTTTTTTTTGTTTTCCATTTCCTTGGTAGATCTTCCTCCACCCCTTTATTTTGAGCCTATATGTGTCTCTGAATGTGAGATGGGTCTCCTGAATACAGCACGCTGATGGGTCCTGACTCTTTATCCAGTTTGCCAATCTGTGTCTTTTAATTGGGGCATTTATCCCATTTACATTTAAGGTTAATATTGTTATGTGTGAATTTGATCCTGTCATTATGATGTTAGCTGGTTATTTTGCTCGTTAGTTGTGGCAGTTTCTTCCTAGCATCGATGGTCTTTACAGTTTGGCATGTTTTTGCAGTGGCTGGTACCGATTGTTCCTTTCCAAAATTAAACGAGAAGAAAACAAACAGCATACAAGATGAGCAATCAAGAATAATTAATACACTAGCTATTAAAATATTTGTTTTAATTATCTACCTTTAATTTTGTGCATATTTAATTAAAATTAATGTAGAATTGAGAGAAAAGCAATAAAAAATTAATTGGCTGAGAAATCAAGTCTTTGAGGAAATGCTAAAGGAAGTGAGTTGTTTGAATTGAAAAAAAGGGGCAAAAGAGCCTTTGTCCGTAAATATATGCTGAACACCACGGGAATTTTTGGATATAACTATCCTATATTTTTATACAGATTGCATCAGGAACTAGACTTAAACTAGGGCCAAAGTAGTTTAGACTACCGTATTTATTATTAAGAATCATTATGATTATAAGTCTGAAGAAAGCAACATATTAGCAAAAAAGGTTGCAAGTCACCTCTAAATTTTTCCTTTTTTTTTTTTTTTTTTTTTTTTTTGAGACAGGGTCTTGCTCTGTCATTTAGGCTGGAGTGCAGTAGTGTGGTCTTGGTTCACTGCAACCTCCGCCTCCTGGGTTCAAGCGATTCTCCTATTTCAGCCTCCTAAGTAGCTGGGATTACAGGCACGTGCCACCACGCCCAGCTAATTTTTGCATTTTTAGTAGAGATGGGGTTTCACCATGTTGACCAGGTTGGTCTCAAACTCCTGACCTCAATTAATCAATCCACCTTGACCTCCCAAAGTGCTGGGATTATCGTGGCGTGAGCCACCATGCCCAGCCCACCTTCCCTAAATATTTTTTCTGGAAAGATAAAGTGATGGTATTCTAAGTCTTTAAAGCTGAACTATATGTATTTTTTTTTCTACCCTCTAGTCTTATAAAATCTGCTTTAGGAGACAGAACTGGGCTTGAAGCCTTGTCTTTCAAAGACAAAATCCATGCAAGACCAAGTAAGTAACTACTGATACATTGTTAGCTTGGATAACTTTTTCTCTTTTTCATCCGTGATGTTAATTGGTGAGATATTTTGATCTTCGTGCTAACCAACCTAACTTTTAAATTTCATTTAGGTGTTGGAGCAGGCGATGGATATGATCTAAAAGTCAAAATAGTGATGGAGAAAAAGGTTGTCTTTTCCTGTACTTACTTAAGAAATTGTTAGGTAAGAGAAAACACGTGAATTGAAAAAAATCTGATGTTTGTTTTAAGGCTGAATGTCAAAGCAGCAACGTTCACCTCCCTAAATGATCACTCACCATAGAGAGTCCATAACGCTTTCTGGTTACCATTCAACTTGGTGTCACTGGGTTTGGATGCAAACCAGAGATAAATTAACCTCTTTGTTCAAAACAGTTTTTTCAGGGTCCTTTCCAGAATTTATTTCTGTTCAGTGTTGCTTTGCCTTTCACTTTTCCACAAATGCTGAGCATGTTACCAGGAATGTATTAAGGATTTTAATTTACATATCTGGTCATTTTTAGCCATATTCTCTTGTTGTTCATTTTATCTTTTATTATATAGTACTGATTCTAAAATTTTAGTGAGCATGAAAACTACTGAGGAGCTTGTAAAGATTTACATGCTTAGGTTGTACCCCCAAAGTATGATTTGGGAAATCTGGAATGGGGGCCAGGAATCTACAGACTTAGCAATGTCCCAAGTGATTCTAAGTCAGACGTTCTGTGAGATGACCCTATGAGAAATAATGCAAGAGTGAATGAACTGGGGAGGAATCTCTTTATCCAAAGCAAAAGGGACCTGGTAGTCAATGTTTTGCTGCAATGAAGAAATGCCTAAAACTATATACCTTTTCTGAAACAATAAGAAAGCTTCCTTCATGGGTCTAATAACCATAAACTTTTCCTACCCAGGCCTTTGTCTCAGATTCTCTTGTTACTAACCCTATTCCTTCCCTCTCTGCATAGCCCCCCGCCCCTTTTTTTGGCCTCTCTCAACTGAGGGCATTCACCCAGGCCTGACCCTTGGCTTTCTGTTCTTAGCAAATGCTTTATTCTTGGTTGAAGAATGACCCATTCCTCTTAAACTATTATTTGTTCATGTACTGGACAGATGTTTATGAGAACCCACTGAGTTGTAGATGCAGAAGCTACAACATGAACAGTTTCCACTCCAACTCAAATGCATTAGCCAGTCTGAATTATCAATGAGCTTTCTCTGCTTCTGTAAATGGCACCAGCATTCTCCGACTCAGGCCCTGTGCTTTGATTCTCTTTGCCTTGGCTCCCTAAATCCAGTTAGTTATCAATCCCTGTTGATTATTCCTTTGAAATTTTTCTGTGTTCTCCTTCCTTTCTGTTCTCACTGCCACTAACTGTCCAGAACCTCATTTGCTCATGCTTAGATTTCTACAATGGTCTCGTTACCTTTTCTTTCTCCTTATATAATGCAATGTATAGAATCCTGAAATATGCATCCTGAAATATTGCTCTCATTGTGAAAAGTTGTAGGTAGAGCAGCAGAAGACACACTGTGTGCCCATGGTCAGAGCCAGTTAACACCTTTGGCTCAACACCTTTATCTGTAAAATAAATATCACATCTCAAGTGTTATGGGAATTAAACTAGATAATATATATAAAGTTTCTTTGTAAACTATAAATCACTAAATAAGTGTTATATGTGATAATTATCAGGCATCTCTGTCACATAGGAAATGCCCCACCATATTCTTCAACAACTTCACTCTTATTTCTTTGGCTTTTGAGCTCTTAAGATGTAATAGCCCTAATGTAGTACCTGAGCTTATTTCCATCAGTAGCTTGACCAACAGACTTCATTCCAAATAAACTGGGTCATCCCCTTTGGCTCTTGGAATACAACTCTAATTTATTTAGTTAGTTACTTGGTTATTTCTTTCTTTCCTTCCTTTCCTTTTTCTTTTCTTTTATTTATTTATTTATTTACTTTTTATTATTATACTTTAAGTTTTAGGGTACATGTGCACATTGTGCAGGTTAGTTACATACGTATACATGTGCCATGCTGGTGTGCTGCACCCACTAACTCGTCATCTAGCATTAGGTATATCTCCCAATGCTATCCCTCCCCCCTCCCCCCACCCCACCACAGTCCCCAGAGTGTGATATTCCCCTTCCTGTGTCCATGTGATCTCATTGTTCAATTCCCACCTATGACTGAGAATATGCGGTGTTTGGTTTTTTGTTCTTGCGATAGTTTACTGAGAATGATGATTTCCAATTTCATCCATGTCCCTACAAAGGACATGAACTCATCATTTTTTATGGCTGCATAGTATTCCATGGTGTATATGTGCCACATTTTCTTAATCCAGTCTATCATTGTTGGACATTTGGGTTGGTTCCAAGTCTTTGCTATTGTGAATAATGCCGCAGTAAACATACGTGTGCATGTGTCTTTATAGCAGCATGATTTATAGTCCTATGGGTATACGCCCAGTAATGGGATGGCTGGGTCAAATGGTATTTCTAGTTCTAGATCCCTGAGGAATCGCCACACTGACTTCCACAATGGTTAAACTAGTTTACAGTCCCACCAACAGTGTAAAAGTGTTCCTATTTCTCCACATCCTCTCCAGCACCTGTTGTTTCCTGACTTTTTAATGATTGCCATTCTAACTGGTGTGAGATGGTATCTCATTGTGGTTTTGATTTGCATTTCTCTGATGGCCAGTGATGATGAGCATTTTTTCATGTGTTTTTTGGCTGCATAAATGTCTTCTTTTGAGAAGTGTCTGTTCATGTCCTTCACCCACTTTTTGATGGGGTTTTTTTTTCTTATAAATTTGCTTGAGTTCATTGTAGATTCTGGATATTAGCCCTTTGTCAGATGAGTAGGTTGCGAAAATTTTCTCCCATTTTGTAGGTTGCCTGTTCACTCTGATGGTAGTTTCTTTTGCTGTGCAGAAGCTCTTTAGTTTAATTAGATCCCATTTGTCAATTTTGGCTTTTGTTGCCATTGCTTTTGGTGTTTTAGACATGAAGTCCTTGCCCATGCCTATGTCCTGAATGGTAATGCCTAGGTTTTCTTCTAGGGTTTTTATGGTTTTAGGTCTAACGTTTAAGTCTTTAATCCATCTTGAATTGATTTTTGTATAAGGTGTAAGGAAGGGATCCAGTTTCAGCTTTCTACATATGGCTAGCCAGTTTTCCCAGCACCATTTATTAAATAGGGAATCCTTTCCCCATTGCTTGTTTTTCTCAGGTTTGTCAAAGATCAGATAGTTGTAGATATGCGGCATTATTTCTGAGGGCTCTGTTCTGTTCCATTGATCTATATCTCTGTTTTGGTACCAGTACCATGCTGTTTTGGTTACTGTAGCCTTGTAGTATAGTTTGAAGTCAGGTAGTGTGATGCCTCCAGCTTTGTTCTTTTGGCTTAGGATTGACTTGGCGATGCGGGCTCTTTTTTGGTTCCATATGAACTTTAAAGTAGTTTTTTCCAATTCTGTGAAGAAAGTCATTGGTAGCTTGATGGGGATGGCATTGAATCTGTAAATTACCTTGGGCAGTATGGCCATTTTCACGATATTGATTCTTCCTACCCATGAGCATGGAATGGTCTTCCATTTGTTTGTATCCTCTTTTATTTCCTTGAGCAGCAGTTTGTAGTTCTCCTTGAAGAGGTCCTTCACATCCCTTGTAAGTTGGATTCCTAGGTATTTTATTCTCTTTGAAGCAATTGTGAATGGGAGTTCACTCATGATTTGGCTCTCTGTTTGTCTGTTGTTGGTGTATAGGAATGCTTGTGATTTTTGCACATTGATTTTGTATCCTGAGAGTTTGCTGAAGTTGCTTATCAGCTTAAGGAGATTTTGGGCTGAGACAATGGGGTTTTCTAGACATACAATCATGTCATTTGCAAACAGGGACAATTTGACTTCCTCTTTTCCTAATTGAATACCCTTTATTTCTTTCTCCTGCCTAATTGCCCTGGCCAGAACTTCCAACACTACGTTGAATAGGAGTGGTGAGAGAGGGCATCCCTGTCTTGTGCCAGTTTTCAAAGGGAATGCTTCCAGTTTTTGCCCATTCAGTATGATATTGGCTGTGGGTTTGTCATAGATAGCTCTTATTATTTTGAAATATGTCCCATCAATACCTAATTTATTGAGAGTTTTTAGCATGAAGGGTTGTTGAATTTTGTCAAAGGCCTTTTCTGCATCTATTAAGATAATCATGTGGTTTTTGTCTTTGGCTCTGTTTATATGCTGGATTACATTTATTGATTTGTGTGTATTGAACCAGCCTTGCATCCCAGGGATGAAGCCCACTTGATCATGGTGGATAAGCTTTTTGATGTGCTGCTGGATTCGGTTTGCCAGTATTTTATTGAGGATTTTTGCATCAATGTTCATCAAGGATATTGGTCTAAAATTCTCTTTTTTGGTTGTGTCTCTGCCTGGCTTTGGTATCAGAATGATGCTGGCCTCATAAAATGAGTTAGGGAGGATTCCCTCTTTTTCTATTGATTGGAATAGTTTCAGAAGGAATGGTACCAGTTCCTCCTTGTACCTCTGGTAGAATTCGGCTGTGAATCCATCTGGTCCTGGACTCTTTTTGGTTGGTAAGCTATTGATTATTGCCACAATTTCAGATCCTGTTATTGGTCTATTCAGAGATTCAACTTCTTCCTGGTTTAGTCTTGGGAGAGTGTATGTGTCGAGGAATGTATCCATTTCTTCTAGATTTTCTAGTTTATTTGCGTAGAGGTGTTTTTAGTATTTTCTGATGGTAGTTTGTATTTCTGTGGGATTGGTGGTGATATCCCCTTTATCATTTTTTATTGCGTCTATTTGATTCTTCTTTTTTTCTTTATTGGTGTTGCTAGCGGTCTATCAATTTTGTTGATCCTTTCAAAAAACCAGCTCCTGGATTCATTAATTTTTTGAAGGGTTTTTTGTGTCTCTATTTCCTTCAGTTGTGCTCTGATTTTAGTTATTTCTTGCCTTCTGCTAGCTTTTGAATGTGTTTGCTCTTGCTTTTCTAGTTCTTTTAATTGTGATGTTAGGGTGTCAATTTTGGATCTTTCCTGCTTTCTCTTGTGGGCATTTAGTGCTATAAATTTCCCTCTACACACTGCTTTGAATGCGTCCCAGAGATTCTGGTATGTTGTGTCTTTGTTCTCGTTGGTTTCAAAGAACATCTTTATTTCTGCCTTCATTTCGTTATGTACCCAGTAGTCATTCAGGAGCAGGTTGTTCAGCTTCCATGTAGTTGAGCGGTTTTGAGTGAGATTCTTAATCCTGAGTTCTAATTTGATTGCACTGTGGTCTGAGAGATAGTTTGTTATAATGTCTGTTCTTTTACATTTGCTGAGGAGAGCTTTACTTCCAAGTATGTGGTCAATTTTGGAATAGGTGTGGTGTGGTGCTGAAAAAAATGTATATTCTGTTGATTTGGGGTGGAGAGTTCTGTAGATGTCTATTAGGTCCGCTTGGTGCAGAGCTGAGTTCAATTCCTGGGTATCCTTGTTGACTTTCTGTCTCGTTGATCTGTCTAATATTGACAGTGGGGTGTTAAAGTCTCCCATTATTAATGTGTGGGAGTCTAAGTCTCTTTGTAGGTCACTCAGGACTTGCTTTATGAATCTGGGTGCTCCTGTATTGGGTGCATATATATTTAGGATAGTGAGCTCTTCTTGTTGAATTGATCCCTTTACCATTATGTAATGACCTTCTTTGTCTCTTTTGATCTTTGTTGGTTTAAAGTCTGTTTTATCAGAGACTAGGATTGCAACCCCTGCCTTTTTTTGTTTTCCATTTGCTTGGTAGATCTTCCTCCATCCTTTTATTTTGAGCCTATGTGTGTCTCTGCACGTGAGATGGGTTTCCTGAATACAGCACACTGATGGGTCTTGACTCTTTATCCAATTTGCCCGTCTGTGTCTTTTAATTGGAGCATTTAGTCCATTTACATTTAAAGTTAATAGTGTTATGTGTGAATTTGATCCTGTCATTATGATGTTAGCTGGTTATTTTGCTAGTTAGTTGATGCAGTTTCTTCCTAGTCTCGATGGTCGTTACATTTTGGCATGATTTTGCAGCGGCTGGTACCGGTTGTTCCTTTCCATGTTTAGCGCTTCCTTCAGGAGCTCTTTTAGGGCAGGCCTGGTGGTGACAAAATCTCTCAGCATTTGCTTGTCTGTAAAGTATTTTATTTCTCCTTCACTTATGAAGCTTAGTTTGGCTACATATGAAATTCTGGGTTGAAAATTCTTTTCTTTAAGAATGTTCAATATTGGCCCCCACTCTCTTCTGGCTTGTAGGGTTTCTGCCGAGAGATCTGCTGTTAGTCTGATGGGCTTCCCTTTGAGGGTAACCCGACCTTTCTCTCTGGCTGCCCTTAACATTTTTTCCTTCATTTCAACTTTGGTGAATCTGACAATTATGTGTCTTGGAGTTGCTCTTCTCGAGGAGTATCTTTGTGGCGTTCTCTGTATTTCCTGAATCTGAACGTTGGCCTGCCTTGCTAGATTGGGGAAATTCTCCTGGATAATATTCTGCAGAGTGTTTTCCAACTTGGTTCCATTCTCCCCATCACTTTCAGGTACACCAATCAGACGTAGATTTGGTCTTTTCACATAGTCCCATATTTCTTGGAGCTTTGCTTGTTTCTTTTTATTCTTTTTTCCCTAAACTTTCCTTCCCACTTCATTTCATTCATTTCATCTTCCATCGCTGATACCCTTTCTTCCAGTTGATCGCATCGGCTCCTGAGGCTTCTGCATTCTTCACGTAGTTCTCGAGCCTTGGTTTTCAGCTCCATCAGCTCCTTTAAGCACTTCTCTGTATTGGTTATTTTAGTTATACATTCTTCTAAATTTTTTTCAAAGTTTTCAACTTCTTTGCCTTTGGTTTGAATGTCCTCCCGTAGCTCAGAGTAATTTGATCGTCTGAAGCCTTCTTCTCTCAGCTCGTCAAAGTCATTCTCCATCCAGCTTTGTTCCGTTGCTGGTGAGGAACTGCGTTCCTTTGGAGGAGGAGAGGCGCTCTGCTTTTTAGAGTTTCCAGTTTTTCTGTTCTGTTTTTTCCCCATCTTTGTGGTTTTATCTCCTTTTGGTCTTTGATGATGGTGATGTACAGATGGGTTTTTGGTGTGGATGTCCTTTCTGTTTGTTAGTTTTCCTTCTAACAGACAGGACCCTCAGCTGCAGGTCTGCTGGAGTACCCTGCAGTGTGAGGTGTCAGTGTGCCCCTGTTGGAGGGTGCCTCCCAGTTAGGCTGCCTGGGGGTCAGGGGTCAGGGACCCACTTGAGGAGGGAGTCTGCCCGTTCTCAGATCTCCAGCTGCATACTGGGAGAACCACTGCTCTCTTCACAGCTCTCAGACAGGGACATTTAAGTCTGCAGAGGTTACTGCTGTCTTTTTGTTTGTCTGTGCCCTGCCCCCAGAGGTGGAGCCTACAGAGGCAGGCAGGCCTCCTTGAGCTGTGGTGGGCTCCACCCAGTTCGAGCTTCCCGGCTGCTTTGTTTACCCAAGCAAGCCTGGGCAATGGTGGGCGCCCCTCCCCCAGCCTCACTGCCGCCTTGCAGTTTGATCTCAGACTGCTGTGCTAGCAATCAGCGAGACTCCGTGGGGTAGGACCCTCCGAGCCAGGTGTGGGATATAATCTCCTGGTGCGCCGTTTTTTAAGCCCGTCAGAAAAGCACAGTATTCGGGTGGGAGTGACCCGATTCTCCAGGTGCCGTCTGTCACCCCTTTCTTTGATTAGGAAAGGTAACTCCCTGACCCCTTGCGCTTCCCGAGCAAGGCAATGCCTCGCCCTGCTTCGGCTCGCGCATGATGCGTGCACCCACTGACCTGTGCCCACTGTCTGGCACTCCCTAGTGATATGAACCCGGTACCTCAGATGGAAATGCAGAAATCACCCGTCTTCTGCGTCGCTCAGGCTGGGAGCTGTAGACCGGAGCTGTTCCTATTCCGCCATCTTGGCTCCTCCCACCCTCCTTTTTCTTTTCTTGAGTCAGGGTCTCATTCTGTCACGCAGGCTGTAGCACAGTTGTGTGATCATGGCTTACTGCAGCCTTGACCTCCTGAGCTCAAGCAATCCCCCAATTTTTTTAATTTTTTGTAGAGACTGGATCTTGCTATGTTGCCCAGGCTGGTCTCAAACTCCTGGGCTCAAGCAACCTTTACACCTCAGCTTCGCAACCTGCCAAGATTATAGGCATGAGCCACACTGCCTGACCTTCTTTGTTGCTGTTTTTCTAATTTCTTTTCTTCTTTCTTTTTTTTTTTTTTGAGATGAAGTTTCACTCTTGTTGCCCAGGCTGGAGTACAATGGTGCGACCTCGGCTCACTGCAACCTTTGCCTCCCGGGTTCAAGTGATTCTCCTGCCTCAGCCTCCCAAGTAGCTGGGATTACAGGCATGCACCACCACCCCGGCTAATTTTTGTATTTTTAGTAGAGATGGGGTTTCTCCATGTTGGTCAGGCTGATCTCGAACTGCCAGCCACAGGTGATCTGCCCGTCTTGGCCTCCCAAACTGTTGGGATTACAGGCATGAGCCACCATGCCCGGCCTATTTTTCTAATTTCTACTTTGCATTATTGCTGGTCTTTTTCCCTCTGTATGAAGTAGATTCTATTTTCAGAGCCCTTCTTCCTTTATCTAAACTGTTTCATGTCCAATTCAATTTTTACCTCCTCAATGAAATTTTTGCATTCTGCACCTCCTGTTAACTAGCCCCCAACAGTGCATAACAGCACACCCAGTCTTCATTATACAGATTGAGTTATATACCATTCTACTTTTGTTTCTGATGTGTACAGCTCCCTGAAGGGACCGACTGAGTCTGTACCTCCTTTTGTGTTTTTCACAGGACCTAGACCTTTCTTATTGTGGGTGCCATTATTTATAGGAGAGTGAGTCAAAGAAATTGTATAGCTTCAAAGTCATTCATTCCAAAACTTGACCTATCTTTGGTCACTTCATCCAGCAGGCTGCAATGGTCAAGTCCAAAGATCCCATTGACAAACACGAGAGTTCTGATAAAACATGATGAGCAGGGGAACCCCACTCTCCCCCTCCCTCGGGAGGAGCAGGTGGGCCCACCGCCCAAGTGTTACAGGCCCCTGTTGTTATTTTTTAAATTTAGAAAATAAAAAACCTTGGTGAGTTACACATTGCTTTTTGAATGTCAATGCTAGCTTTAAAATTGAGCTTCTTAATGTATTCTCAAAAGAGGCCCTAACGCATGAAAATCAAATGACACACATTAAATAATAATATTTAATTGATTAATAGAAAATTCAATACTTTTTAAAAGTGAGGCATTTTTTTAAAGTGCCTCATGGCCGAGCATGGTGGCTTATGCCTCTAATCCCAGCATTTTGGGAGGACAAGACGGTCAGATCACAAGGTCAAGAGATCGAGACCATGCTGGCCAACATGGTGAAACCTGGTCTCTACTAAAAATACAAAAAGTAGTTGGGTGTGGTGGTGCACGCCTGTAGTCCCAGCTACTCGGGAGGCGGAGGCAGGAGAATGGCTTGAACCCAGGAGGCGGAGGTTGCAGTGAGCCGAGATCCCACCACTGCACTTCAGCATGGTGACAGAGTGAGACTCCATCTCAAAAAAAAAAAAAAAAGAAAGAAAGAAAAGAACAGTGCCTCATGATAACCCTCAAACATGTTGGCCTTTAAAAAACGTGAACAACAGGACCGGTGCTGTGGCTCACACCTGTAATTTCAACACTTTGGGAGGCCCAGGTGGGCAAATCACTTGAGGCCAGGAGTTTGAGACCAGCCTGGCCAGTATAGTGAAACCCCATGTCTACTAAAAATACAAAAAGTAGCCGGGTGTGGTGGCATGTGCCTATAGTCCCAGCTACTCAGGAGGCTGAGGCACAGGAATCACTCCAACCTGGGAGGCAGAGGTTGCAGGGAGCTGAGATCATGCCCCTGTACTTCAGCCTGGGTGACAGTGAGACTGTCTCAAAAACACACACACACACACACACACACACACACACACACACACACATACATACATACAACAGTATTGCAAATAGAAAAGGTTATTAATAATTATTTATACATGTAGTGATTGGGCTGTGAGACCAAAAGTACTTGATAAATATTGGAAGTCATGATAAGTGAAAAGGAACTTCATTGTTATCATTAGTTAGGTTTATAGTTCTAAATTCCATGTGTTCATTCACAGGTATTTCATGACACTGAAACAGAGCAATAATTGATGTATTCAACAGTCCACCTCTGTATGATGATGTGAAAGTGCAATTTTTCTCTTTGGTGAGTAATCAAGAAACAGCCTCTGCCATTGTTCTTGTCTGGTCTTTTGAATGATTTTATTTAAGATTTGCTTTACTACACTTCCCAACAAGGGAGATGACAGATGTCATCCCACAGAGGGAGGGTGAGAAAAACAATAAATCAGATTTATAACAGATTTTTTTAAAATAACATATGTAATTTGAATAATTTTTGTTCATTTGTTTTTTCTAAATTGTAAATTTTCTAATTTTTTCTAAATTTACATATATTAGTTATCAAATACAAAAAATACAAAATAAACACAAAAAATAAAAGCCAAGATGCTAAAAAAACCAAAGTTATGTTTTACTGCATAGCAATGATTACATTTTGTTTTGCATCTTTTTTTTAAATTAAAAAATTAATCATGCCTATAATCCCAGCACTTTGGGAGGCTGAGGCGGGTGGATCACATGAGGTTGGGGGTTCAAGACCAGGCTGACCAACATGGAGAAACCCCGTCTCTACTAAAGGTACAAAATTAGCTGGGCGTGGTGGCAAGCACCTGTAATCCCAGCTACTCGGGAGGCAGAGGCAGGAGAATCACTTGCACCCGAGAGGCAGAGGTTGCAGTGAGCCGAGATTGCACCACTGCACTCCAGCCTGGGCGACAAGAGCGAGACCCAGTCAAAAAAAAAAAAAATTGAGACAGGGTCTCACTGTATCATCCAGGCTGGAGTGCAGTGGCGTGATCATAGCTAACTGCAGCTTCAACCTCCTGGGCTCAAGCAATCCTCCCACTTCAGCCTCCCAAGTAGCTGGAAGCACTGACTGGGAAGAGTTAGGTTTGGGTGACTCAGTTGGGTGAAACACAGAGAAGGCAGCACAGTACAACACATGAAATAACCGAAGCAGTTTTTTTATTAATTCCAGAGAGAAGAGGGCAGCACACTTTGCAGGGCTAACTGGAAGGGAGAGCCATCAAGAAGACCTGTGCTTGACTGATGGTTGGGGAGCAATAGCGAGAGAGAGGGAGGGACCTGGGAGTGGAAGCCTTTATTGGGATGTAAGGTGCTATCTGAGCAGGTTTCCTACAGGGAGGTCCACTTTGGTTTAATGCAAGCAGCCGTGAGTGTCTGCTGTGACTGAGAGGTGGTCACTGATATATTCACATGGTTCATGCGGAGTATGGGGGTCTGTGGGGTGAGTCAAGTAGGTTATATCTAGCTGTCCCATAATGAAGTGGTCCCCAGGAGAAGGCTGAATAAGGTAGATACCAGGATCAGTCACATTGAGAAACTGGGAGGAGGTGAACTGGAAACTGCTGAGGGTGACTGAACCCCACTTTTGATATCAGAAAGTCCAATTTATATTTAAAAGGGATGCTGAGGCAACAAAAAAATTGTAAGAATTCACTATAATATACTTGGGTATATATAGGCATAGGTCCTTAGTAGATTCTGTTTAGCACTATCTAAACCAGATTCAAATATCAGCATTTAAATTAAATATCTAGCATGGAAAAAATACTATTCCTTGAAAATTTTGATAGAAACAGCAAGAGAATGCAATAGTATTTTCTTAAGCCTCCTCCTTTGTGTCTTGAGTTTATTGTTACAGACTGCAGAGTGCTATGTATTTAATGGTTATAATTGTTTGATAAATATATAAAGGAATAAAGGAATGAACTTTAATTTCTTTGGAATGATTAGTTCTTGGTATCAGTTTTATTTTGAAATTTTTTTTTTCTTTTTAGGATCTTCCTAAATACTATGACAATTGTCCTTTTTTCTTCTGGTTTAACACACCTTTTATACAAAATAACAGATATAGATATAATATAAACCTATAGAAACAGCCTAATCTTCAGTGTCTGTGTATAAGATATAATGGCAAGTCTTTTCCTGGTTGTCATGAACTTTATAGAAAGCAAAAAATCCTCGAGCCACCATTGACCATTGCCATACTCCTCTTAATTTGGTTATTTTAAAAATACAGTTGTTCTTGAGACCCACTGTTGCAGTATCCTCAAGGTCCATGCCATAGGACTGTGTTATGAGTTCAAAAATATTATAACCAGATCTTAAGTGTGGTAGTAAATTCTTCCCAGAGAAGTTCAGTATGAGTCTGCTCAGTACCTTCAATATGTCAGGTCCTCAGTAGGCACTGATTTACCAATGACAAACCACCACCAAAGTTTGTGCTAAAATAAGGCAGGACCTAGGGAGGCTTCAGCTAGCTGAAAAGCTGACTGACACACTTATATCTACGAGAAGTTATAAGACACAGTTAAGTATGAAGGAGTACAGCTAAAAAATATCATTAAGTAATAGCCTCCCATTTAAATGTGGCTTTCTAATAACTGAATGGGGAAAACTTTCTGAAAAATTATTAATTGGATTTGAAGATTATTGTTCCAAAAAAACCTTCTGCCATATTTGGAAACTCATTTTTCAATCTAGAAGTTCTCCACTATAAGTAGCATTTGTTCTGTGGTGGTGAAAAATTGAGACTTTTTCTAATCAACCATACTCTTCAATACAAAAGGAGAAAATATTTTTTAAATGATTTAGGTGAGAGTTGGAGAAGTGGCTATGATTACATGTAGCATGAATTGATAGTTATTGTTACATCCAGTCCTAATCTTTTCTTCAGATGTGGACTCAATCTAATAACTCCTTAAGTCAAGCAAGGCAACGGTAAATTAAACCTGTGGTCTACACACTTGTAATGCATATACATTTAATGGATTTTGATAGAGTGAACTTTGGATTTGATGGAAATTTTTACAATTTTTTTTCTTGGATGCATAAAAACAATAAGCTTTTTCTTCTAACATGAGCAAAGTCCCTCAAATAGTGAGAGCTGGGTGGAGCTTCATTTGATGCTGTTCCTCAAAAGTGGTTCTTGCTAAAGGATACAGTTTTTTCCTTTAAAATACCATATTCATTTTGAAGAAGCAATAAGTTAGATCACTTTTATTCTCAGTTGTATATAAATTTCTAAAGAATTCTGTAACATTTAAATTTATATACTACTTGGTATAGCTGTTTTTGTTATGAGATTGTTGTTTAGCCAAAAATGCCAACTTCTATCATTTAGAACATTAGGCATAAATGGGTTAACAAATTTATGCCTAGTGTTCCATTATTGGAACGCTAAGCATGTGGGAGTTATATGCTACTGCTCAAGGTCCTCTCCAAGGTCTGATCGTAAAAATTCAAAAAATTGCAACCTCACGCATAAATTTAAAGGGATATAGTATTTTATTACTGGGGTTTCATTCATACCTAGCCTGACTGATTTCTGAAATTTAGATATTTTATTAAACCTGAATGTCATTAATTCCATAAAAAGCAGTGTTAAAAGAATCAGCGGCTGGGCGGCTGAACGCAGTGGCTCACACCTGTAATCCCAGCACTTTGGGAGGCCGAGGCGGGCGGATCACGAGGTCAGGAGATCGAGACCATCCTGGCTAACACGGTAAAACCCAGTTTCTACTAAAAATACAAATACAAAAATTAGCCGGGCGTGGTGGCGGGCGCCTGTAGTCCCAGCTACTCGGGAGGCTGAGGCAGGAGAATGGCGTGAACCTGGGAGGTGGAGCTTTCAGTGAGCCGAGATCGTGCCACTGCACTCCAGCCTGGGCGACAGAGCAAGGCTCCATCTCAAAAAAAAAAAAAAAAAAAAAAATCAGTGGCTGGGCATGGTGGCTCATGCCTGTAATCCCAGCACTTTGGGAGACTGAGGCAAGCAGATCATGAGGTCAGGAGATGGAAACCATCCTGGCCAACATGGTGAAATCCCGTCTCTGCTAAAAATACAAAAATTAGCCGGGCGTGGTGGCGAGTGCCTGTAATCCCAGCTACTCAGGAGGCTGAGGCAGGAGAATCGCTTGAACCAGGGAGTCGGAGATTGCAGTGAGCCAAGATCACTGCACTCCAGCCTGGCAAGAGAGCAAGACTCGGTCTCAAAAAAAAAAAAAAAAGAATCAGTATGAGTTAGTGATGTGTTGCTGGAGCCAACTGAGACACAAAAAAAGGGGCTGAGGTTCTATTCATGGTAAGGTTCTTTTTTTGTTTCTTCAAGCTCTAACAAGGGTACCCAACTGCATGGCTTTTCAGTTAGCCCCAATATAAAAATGCAATAATTTTTTTTTCTATTCTTAGGCTTAAACCACAAAGAAATGAATTGGATAATCCACATAAACAAAAGACATGGAAAATTTACGCACCAGAATTTGCAGTAGAGATTTTTTTTTTATTAGAAATGACTTACAGTTACGTTGTGGCTGGTATCTGATTAAGTATAGTTCCCCCTTCCCCTTCCGGGAAAGAATTATGTTGTTTCCAACCCCTGCCACATAGTTATATGTTCTAAATCTTCCTTGATGATATATCTATATTTATATATGTTTACATATATATAAAACATGTTTACATATGTTTACATATGTTCTTGATAAATCTATTAAGTAGATATAGATAAAATGTCAGGATTTTTTTTTCTTTTTTGAAGGCATATGCTTCATAGTTTCCATCTTGTATTTATATAAATTTGGAACACAGTATGCAGGAACATTAGGCATCATTTTGAAGAACTTTGAAATAGAACTTTCATATCAAAATAATTGAGGTATTTAAAAATTGTGATTCCCCAACACCCACTTACTTACATACTTTTGGTCAAGTATTTATTCCCTGCTTTGTTTCACATATGTAATTTCAGATTTATTAGAAAGCTAATTTATATTTTTTTCTTCTACTTCATTTACAAACTGTTAACAGATTGGCAGCAAAGACTAAGTTTTAAACCCAGAAGAGAGAAATGTTTCACACGAGCAGTCCCCCAATTCCCAACGCACACTCTTCTCTCATTCCAAGCACTAAATGGGTAGCTTACTTAACAAGCTTCCTTTAATTACACACAGACATGGGTGTTGGGGTAAGAAGACCGTGGTAAATATGGAGGATAAATAATCTTCAGTAACTTCTGCTTTTGCATAAAATTGTAAGTGAATCAAAAGAAATATTTATTCTTAGAGTAATCTAGGTGTATTATTTTGAAATCCGCTACTCCTGCTCACAACCAACTTCACCTAAGCCTGGGGGAACTCTGAAGGGAGGTAATCTTTTCATTATAAACACTGGTTAGCCTTATGTCTATGGGAAATCATTATTATTTCCTCTTTGGTGCTGGGTGCTAGTTTTTTAAAACAAATTTTTTATTTTATTTTTTTTTTTTTTGAGACAGGGTCTCACTCTGGTTGTCGAGACTGGAGTGCAGTGGTGTGATGTTGGTTCACTGCAGCCTCGACCTCCCAGGCTGAGGTGATTCTCCCACCTCCAGCCTCCCGAGTAGCTGGGACTATAGGCGCACGCCACCACACCTGGATAATTTTTTTGTATTTTTAGAGATGAAGTTTTGACATGTTGCCCAGGTTGGTCTCGAATTCCTGAACTCAAGCAATCTGCCTGCCTCAGCCTCCCAAAGTGTTGGGGTTACAGGCATGAACCACCATGCCCAGCCCGTGGGTGTTACTTTATTCAAAGTACCTTCATTGCCACTGTATCTTCAGGCCATGATTGTCCTTGAAAAATGTTATATTTTGGCTTCATAGAAATTATTCTTATTCGAATGATTTTCCTTTTATTGGCAAGGCTCTCAACAATCTAAACCAAGATGAATTCATCAGGAAATGAAAGGTAGCAACTAATAAGACAAGGGTAACTGCTAAAACACGATATACTATTCCTGAAAAACCTTGCACTCTACAGAAAACACTAAAAAAAGAAGCGGTTCATGAAAATATAGGGTTTGAGAGTTCAAGACAAACCACTCCAGCATAACAACTTTGTAACCAACACACTAACCACTCGGACCACCCACATCAGCAGCTCAATGTCTGGAGGTTGCCATAGGAGCTTTTTTATTTTTGAGTGGAAATAGAATACTTTATGTAAGAGCTGCGGGTACCAGAGTGGCACAGATGAGAGTAGAGCCCCGAGCCATGGTGGGCATGGAAGGCAGCAACCTGCCAGGAGCGAAGAGCTCCATGAGGCTGGTGAGCAGCCTAGCTGCAGGTGATTTTTTCTCCTCTAAATATTCCAAAAAAGGTTCCAACTGCCTGTGCAGCAGCCCAACTAAAGGCTTTTGTTTTTTACTACCGCTAATCTGGTTCCCCCTTTGAAAAAAAGATCATACAACATGCTTTCAAATTCCCTTCATGTTATGATTATTAATATTATACCCTGCCATCCATATTACAGAAACATGTATAGGCACAACATAGGACTATTTCGTTTAAAATTCACACAGCAGTAATCTACAGAGGGCAGATTATGTCCTGGGTTTAGGTGAATAGGGAGGAAAATACTTAGCTGGCTCAGGGAAGAGTAAGATCTGTCTTTTTCAATACTAGCAATACAGGAAGGAAGGAAACCCCCTTTTTCATTTTAAGAATTTCACTTTTTGAAATAAGGAGGTTACCATTAATGTTTCTCTTCCCCAAACCTCCAAGACCCACCAAAATTTCTGGAAATTATGAGTTGTTACACTATTCTGCTTTTGCTTATTCAAAGAAAACTTGTTTAAGACCTCTTTGGGCATTGCTTTCTCAGAATGCAAAATGAATGATTATTTGAACAACTCAAGAAACTTATATCAGAATGATACTCATGTTTTAAAACTAACTTCAATTTTAAATATGGGGGTATGTGTGCAAGTTTGTCACATCAGTATATTGCACCCTGGTAGTAAGCATAGTACCCAATAGGTAGTTTTTCAACCTGCACCCCTCTCCCTCCATCCCCCTCTAGTAGTCCACAATGTCTGTTGTTCACATCTTTATGTCCAAGAGTACCTGTTGTTTAGCTCTCATAAGTGAGAACACGTGGTATTTGGTTTTCTGTCCCTTTATTAATTTGCTTAGGATAATGGCCTCCAGCTCCATCTGTGTTGCTGCAAAAGACATGATTTCACACATTTTTATGGCTGCATAGAATTCCATCGTTTGTATGTACCATTTTCTCTATCCAGCCCACCACTGATGGGCACCTAGGTTGATTCCATATCTTTGCTATTGTGAATAGCACAGCTCCCATATCTTTGCTATTGTAAATAGCACATTGTGCGTGTCTTTTGGTAGAATGATCTTTTTTCCATTGGGCATATACCCAATAATGGGATTACTGGGTCAAATAGTAGCTCTGTTTTAAGTTATTTGAGAAATCTCCAGACTGCTTTCCACAGTGGCTGAACTAATTTACATGCCCACCAACAGTGTATAAACATTCCCTTTTCTCTGCAGCCTTGCCAGCATCTGTCGTTTTTGACTTTTTATTAATAGCCATTCTGACTAGGTGAGAGGGTATCTCATTGTGGTTTTGATTTGCGCTTCTCTGACCATTAGTGATGTGAAGCATTTTTTCATATGTTCATTGGTCACTTGCATGTCTTCTTTTCGGAAGTGTGTGTTCAGGTACTTTCCCCATTTTTTAATGGGGTTATTTGGTTTCTGCGTGTTGATTTTCTGTAAATTCCTTATAGATTCTGGATATTAGACCTTTGATGCATAGTTTGCAAATGTTTTCTCCTGTTCCGTAGGTTGTCTGTTTACTCTGTCAATCATTGCTCTTGCTGTGCAGAAACTCTTTAAGTTTTTTTAGGTCCCACTTGTCAATCTTTGTTTTTATTGCAATTGCTTTTGGGGACTTAGTTAAAAATTCTTTGCCAAGGCCAATGTCAAGAAGGGTATTTTTGAGGTTTTCTTCTAGGATTTTTATCATTTGAGGTCTTAAATTTAAATCTTTAATCTATCTCCAGTTAATTTTTGTATATGATGAAAGGTATGGGTCCAGTATCATTATTCTGCATATAGCTAGCCAGTTACTCCAGCACCATTTATTGAATAGGGAGTCCTTCCCCCATTGCTTGTTTTTGTCAGCCTTGTCAAAGATCATATGGTTGTAAGTGTAAGGCTTTATTCTGGGTTTTCTATTCTGTTCCATTGGTCTGTGTGTCTGCTTTTGTACCAGTACCATGCTGTTTTGGCTACTATAGCATTTTAGTTTGAAGCCTCTGGCTTTGCCCTTTTTGCTCAGATCTACTTTGGCTATTCAGGCTCTCTTTTGGTTTCATATGAATTTTAGAATACATTTTGCTAATTCTGTGAAGAATGGCATTGGTAGTTTGATAGAAATAGCACTGAATCTGTAAACTGCTTTGGGTAGTATGGCCATTTGAATGATACTGATTCTTCCAATCCATGAGCATGGAATGTTTTTCTATTTAATTGTGTTATCTCTGATTTCTTTCAGCAGTGTTTTGTGGTTCTTGTAGAGATCCTTCACATCCTTTGTTAGCTGTACTCCTAGGTATTACATTTTCTTTACGGCTATTGTAAATGGGATTCTGTTCTTGATCTGACTTTCAACCTGGACATTATTGGTGTACAGAAATGCTGTTTTTGTACATTGATTTTTTATCCTGAAACTCTGCTAAAGTTGTTTATCAGTTCTAGTAGCCTTTTGGCAGAGTCTTCAGGGTTTTCTGGATATAGAATCATATCATCAGCAAAGAGAGATAGTTAGACTCTTTCTTTTTCCTATTTGGATGCCTTTCTTTCTTTCTCCTGCCTGAGTGCTCTGGGTAGGACTTCCAGTACTATGCTGAATAGGATTGGGGAGAGAGGGCATGATTGCCTTGTTCCATGTCTCATGGGATTGGTTCCAGCTTTTGCCCATGCAGTAGTTTGGTGGCTGTGGGTTTGTCATAGATGGCTCTTATTATTTTGAGGTATGTTCCTTTGATACCTAATCTGTTGAGGTGTTTAATGTGAAGGGATATTGGATTTTATCAAAAGCTGTTTCTGCATCTATCGAGATGATCATATGGTTTTTGCTTTTAGTTCTGTTTATGTGGTGAATCACATTTATTGATTTGCGTATGTTGAACCAGCCTTGCATCCTTGGACTGAAGCCTTCTTGATTGCGGTGTATTAACTTATTGATGTGCTGCTGGATTCTGTTTCCTAGTATTTTATATAGAATTTTTGTGTCTATGTTCATCAGAGTAATTGGCCTGAAGTTTTCTTTTTGTGTGTGTCTCTGCCAGATTTTGGTATTAGGCTGATGATGGCTTCATAGAATGAGTTAGGGAGGCGCCCCTCATCCTCAATTCTTTGGAATAGTTTCACTAGAACCAGTACCAGTTCTTTGTACATCTGGTAGAATTCAGCTGTGGCTCCATCTGGTCCAGGGCTTTTCCTTGTTGGTAGATTTTTTATTAATGATTTGATTTCAGAAATCAATATTTGTCTATTCAAGGTTTCAATCTCTTTCTGATTCAATCTTGGGAGATTTTATGTTTCCAGGAATTTATCCATTTACTTTTTTTTTTTTTTTTTCGAGATGGAGTCTCACACTGTCACCCAGGCTGGAGTGCAGTGGCGTGATCTCAGCTCACTGCAACCTTTGCCTCCTGGGTAAAAGTGATTCTGCCTCAGCCTCCCAAGTAGCTGGTATTACAGGCGCCCGCCACCACGCCCAGCTAATTTTTCATATTTTTAGTAGAGACGGGGTTTCACTATGTTGGCCAGGCGGGTCTTGAACCCCTGGCCTCGTGATCCACCCACCTAGGGCTCCCAAAGTGCTAGGATTGCAGGCGTGAGCCACCATGCCTGGCCTATCCATTTCCTCTAGATGATCTAATCTGTGTACATAGAGTTGTTTATACTGTTCTCTGAGGATCTTTTGTATTTCTGTGGGATTGATTGTAATGTCATATTTGTTATTTATGACTGTACTTATTTGGCTCTTTGTTTAGCTATCAGCCTATCAATCTTATTTTTTGAAAAACTAATTATTGGTTTCATTGATCTTTTGTGTAGATTTTTGCATCTAGACTCAAAAACAAAACAGCACCTCAAAAAGCACTTCATTTAGTGGTTCTCTAATTTCTCTTCTGCCAGCTTTGGGGTTCATTTATTCTTTTTTTTCTAGTTCCCTTAAATGCAAAGTAGGGATGTTAATTTGAGATATTTCTAACTTCTTGATGAAGGCATTTAGTGCTATAAACTTTCCTCTTAACACTGCTTTAGCTGTATCCCAGAGATTCTGATATGTTGTGTCCCTACTTTCATTAATTTGAATTTTTTTATTTCTGCCTTAATTTAAATGTTCACCCCAGGAGTTATTCAGAAGCAAATTATTTAATTTCCATGTATTTATGTATTTTTGAAAGATCTTCTTGATACTGATTTCTATTTTTGTCGCACTGTGGTCAGTGTGTGTGGTTGGTGTCATATCAAACTTTTTGAATTTAATGAGGCTTGCTTTATGGCCAAACATGGTTGATCTTAGAATATGTTCTGTGTGCACATGAGAATGTTATCTTCTGTGTTTATTGGATAAAGTGTTCTGTAGGTGCCTATCAAGTCCAATTGGTCAACTGTCAAGTGTAAGTACAGAGTTTGTTAGTTTTCTACCTCAGTGATCTGTCTATTGCTGTCCGTGGGGTGTTGAAGTCTCCTGCTATTATTGTGTGGTTCTCTAAATCTTTTTGTAGGCCGAGAAAAACTTGTTTTATGAATTTGGGTGCTCCAGTATTGGGTGTGTACATATTTAGGCTAGGTCTTCTGATTGGACTGTGTCCTTTAACATTCTATAATGCCCTTCTTTGTCCTTAATTTTTATTGGTTAAAAATGTTTCATCTAACATAAGAATAGTGACTCCTGCTCTTTTTTGTTTTCCATTTGCATGATAGATCTTTCTTCATCCCTTTACTTTCAGCCTGTGGATGTCATTAGGAGTGAGGTGGGTTTCTTGAAGACAGCAGATGATTGAGTCTTGTCTTTTGATCCAGCCTGTCACTTTTTGCCTTTTAAGTGGGGAGTTTAGCCCATTTACATTCAGGGTTAGTACTGACATGTGATTTTCATCCTGTCATCATGTTGTTAGCTGGTTGTTTTATCGACTTGTTTGTGTGGTTGCTCTGTGTTGCCTATGAGCTATGTGCTTAAATGTGTTTTTGTGGTAGCAGGTTCTTTCAATTCCACGTTTAGCACTTTCTAAAGGATCTCTTATAAGGCTGGTCTAGTTGAAATGAATTCCCTCAGTGTTTGTTTCTCTGAGCATTTTATTTCTTCATCACTTATGAAGCTTTTTGGTGGGATATGAAATTCTTAATTGGAATTTATTTTCTTTAAGGAGACTGAAAGCAGATTCCCCAATCTCTTCTGGCTTGTAAGGTTTCTGCTGAAAAGTCTGCTGCTAGCCTGATGGGCTTCCCCATGTACATAACCTGGCTCTTCTCTTCTGCTTCTTTTAAGATTTTTTCCTTTTCCATTGACCTTGGTGAATCTGATGACTATGTGCCTTGAAGATGACCATCTTATATAGTACCTATCTTGGGTTCTCTGTATTTCCTGGATTTGCATGTCAACCTTTCTAACAAGATTAGAGAAAGTTACATAAACTGTATCCTCAAATATATTTTCCAAGTTGTTTATTCTCTCTTCTTTTCTCTCAGGAATGCCAATGAGTCATAGACTTGGTCTCTTTACATAATCCACTATTTCTCAGAAGTTTTGCTCATTTTTTTAAATTCTTTTTTTATTTTTGTCTGAGTTGTTTAGAAGAGCGCTGAGATTCTTTCCTCAGCTTGGTCTGTTCTGCTGTTAATACTTCCAATTGTATTATAAAATTCTTATAGTGAATTTTTCAGCTATCGAAGTTCAGTTTGGTTCTTTCTTAAAATGGCTATTTCATCTTTCAGCTCTTGGATCACTTTACTGGAATCCTTGGATTAGTTTTCAGCTTTCTTCTGAATATTGATGAGCCTCCTTGGCATCCAGATCCTGTATTCTACATCTGTCATTTCAGCCATTTCCAACTGGTTAAGAACCACTGCTAGGGAGCTAGTGGACTCATTTGGAGGTAAGGGGACACTCTGGCTCTTTGAATTGCCAGAGTTCTTGTGCTGATTCTTTCTCATCTGAGGGTTGGTATTCTTTTAACTGTGGTGTAAGTTGAGTACAGTCAGTTGGCTGAATTTCTTCATGTTTTCTGAGGGCCAAGGCTCTGTGCATTTGTGGTTGAATTCTTACCTTGGTTTTACAGGAAGGTATATTAGCAAACTATTTTTGTAGTTTGCTACATCTACTGAATTCCAGTAGATGGCGCTTAGGAGTAATGGTCGGTAGACAGATCTTAGCCACTTTGCTCCTTTGGATTTCCTGGTGTTTCTGGCTGTGCTCTGTGGTGCGGTGGGAAGAGAGGTGACCACCTCATCAGGTCCGCTCCTGGGCCCTGGGGGAGCCCCTTCCAACCAATGGCACTGTGCCCGTGTTTCTTTTGTCAGGTGCACTCCCTCAGGCAGAGGCTGAGGTAGGGAGATAGGCCATCCCTTTTCCAGACAGCTGGCCCTGCATAGGGAGGCATGCCCACTGCTGTGGTAGCCCACAGGTTCATGTAACTCAGCACTCTCAGTACTCTGAGAGTGTGGGCTCCTCTCCTGCTCTAGTGCCTGCTACAGATCTCGCCTTGGCACTTCCAAGCTGCCACACTGCAGCCCCAGTGCAAGCTCAGGCTTTTTGTTCCCTCCTCAGCTTAGGGTTGGGGCAGCTGTGCTGCTGGGCCCAAGCTGGGGGCCCTGCCTGAAGAGCAGGGAGGTCAGGCAACTCAACCCGGAAGACAGTCTGGCCTCCTCTCTGTAGAATGCTGACAAAGTAATCAGGCCCTTTGTTCCCTCCCTAGCCTGGGGGAAGCAAGGGCAGGTACTGTGGTGGCAGCAATGGCAGAGGCCTGTCAGTTGTTTCTGGGACCTCCATCCCAGAGAAACACAGAGCCACCACCAACTGATCAGGCAGGAGCTGTGCTGGGGGCCCAAGCCAGGAGGCACCCTGCCCAGTGAGCAGCAGGGCCAGGGACTCGTGGAAAACAGTCTGGGCTGCCTTTCCATATGTCAGCTATAGCAGGCTGGAGGCCCATGACCGCTATTGGGCTTTTTGCTCCCTCTCCAGCCTGAGGGCAGCAGGGGCACAGGCTACGGCAGGGCAGAGGGCCTGTTGGTTACTTCTGGGAGCTCCATCCCAGAGAAATGAGGGCTGTGACTAGCTGGAGTGCTCAGGTAGTGGGTAGCATGGCTGCGATGGAGGCCCAGGCCAGTGGGCCTTGCCTGGCAAGGTGCAGTGGAAGTGAGGCCTGCAATCTGTCCGCTCCTCAGCACCATGGATATGGCCCCTATCCTAGGGGCACACGAGAGAGCCTGGCCTACCTTGTTGGCCGGACTATGGCAGCCGGGGCCATAGCAGCTCAGGGATCCACATTGGCTTGAGCAGTGGCTCTGCCCAGACTCCAAGCAGCTCTCTGTGTCAGTCTAGAACCCCAGGGTGTGTGTGTGTGTGGGTGGGGGGGGGGGGGGGGGAGGGCAGGTGGAGTCATGGAGGATCTCCTGTGCCTGGGGATTGCCAAGGTCCATGGCAGAAGTGTGAGTCCCCAGGAGCCTTCACTCACTCACACTTTCCCTGCTGTAGGGAGCCTCCCCTTGCTCTGCACCAATCCCAGGTGGACAGCTGTCCTTCCTTACTCCCCTATGCTCTCCATGACTCACCACAGCTTCCCTGATGAATCCCAACACAGCCTGCTGGATGATCAACCTGAAGAGCTTGTGTTCACTCACCACTCTGTCTCCTCTTGTGAAGGCTGCGCACACTAGCTGCTTCTAGTCAGCCATCTTGGCACTTCAGATACTTGTTTTCTTAAGTAGAATTTAGTAACTTGGAATGGAATCATCCAAAACTTAAAAGCAGACAGTTTAACTATTTTTTAAAATAGAGGGAAAGAGGTGGAGGGAGAAAGTAATTCTAGTGAGCCAAGTTCCATAACTTCAGAGCATAGAAATATTTTTGTCACCTTACCTATGGTGAAATTATTTTACATGAGGTGTCTTGCTGACAGAAAACAATGCTTGTTGCAATAAAACCACTGCCTTGAAACACTACTATACATAACTCTTTAACATTCCTGACAGTTGTTTCCCAACATGGATGTAAAGAACTTCAATGAAATTCATCAGACTCAAATATTAAGTAAATAATTTAATGATAGAACACTGAAATTTCTTTAGACACAGTATTTTCAAGTTATATTTCTGCCTGGAGTACAGATATGAAATAGCACAAACTGTACTCTGAATTAAGCAAACAGAATGAATAAAAAAAAAATATTCTCCCAACCTAAGTTTCCGTTCCTCATTTCCACTTGCCTCAGACTCTTTCTATTGAACATATCTAGTTAAATCTCTAATGGACGGCCTGTGGGAAGATTTACTGCCAACAGGGATGACTGACTTCTTTCCGGACACTGAGCAGGGGACTGTGGGCTCTGAAGCAGTTTACTTCCTGTGGAAAGCCAGTCCCATTTCTATTTTACTTCGATCCAGGCCTATTCAGATAAAGCACCACTCAGTAGCTACTGACCATTTAAGTATGGAGAGAAAAGCAAAGTAGAAAAATGGTTTTCACTTAAAGAAAAAGCAAATGGAAGACCAGCCATAATAGCTCCATGGCACAAGAGACATGACAGGGATCTCCTCCCCAGATGTCCCCTGATGTTTGTCAGCCTCTCATATCCCTGGCCCTCTGGCTTCTGGCTCTGTGATTACAGTTGCCACAGAGGATTCATGGACAGCAAAAAGCTTAAGGAACCTGGAGGTTTTGTACAACATGTACATTCTGCTGACAGAAACACATACATGGTATGGACTATTATTAAAATTGATAGCCTGCTTGCACTCAGTATACAGGCTGCTTAGGAACACTTTATTGGGAGATACCCTGCTGGTGTTGGAGCAGCACAAAATGATGAGGCTAACTTAAGTAGTGACAAGAATGATCCTCTTATACCATATGGCCAAAGAACAGCTGTCCATCCCCAAGTCTATGGGGGATCAGATGAAGTGTGGAGTTTGGTTGGTTGGTCAGTGAATTTTTGGTCAGTGAATACATACATATGGCATAGTGAAGTACAATTGCTTTTCTTTTCTTTTTTTTTTTGAGATGAAGTCTCGCTGTGTCACCCAGTCTGGAGTGCAGTGGCACAATCTCAGTTCACTGCAACCTCTGCCTCCCGGGTTCAAGCGATTCTCCTGCCTCAGCCTCCTGAGTAGCTGGGATTACAGGCACGTGCCACCACGCCCAGCTAATTTTTGTATTTTTAGTAGAGATGGGGTTTCACCATGTTGGTCAGGCTGTTCTCGAACTCCTGACCTTGTGACCCGCCCGCCTCAGCCTCCCAAAGTGCTGGGATTATAGGCGTGAGCCACTGCGCCTGGCCTACAATTGCTTTTCTTATGTTCCATTGCTTTATAAACTCATATCACATATACAGTCATCATTAAGACTTACTGACTGCAAGTACCAAATGTAGAAGCCTCCAACACTGTAAAAGCATGGCAAGACAGGCTTCAGGATGGGTCAGACCTGACATTACTCACTGTGGAGTACAAGCACTGAGTTCTTTCTAGTTCTCTCTGAGAGAGGTTCACCCACTGTCACACAATCACCAAACAGGGAAGAAGGCTTCTCTTGGCTTTGGCTCTCACTGTTCCTTGGAAGGGTTTCTGATTGGTGGAGGCAGAGCAGACAGTGAGTGGCCCAAAGTGGATTGATGGCCCCAGGCCAGGACCCAGAGACAAAAGGTAAGCGCTGTTGCTAGCCACATGGGTCTTCATCAGAGCACAGCAGCACCGCCTACCACTCAGCCCCTTCCTCAATCTAAAGCCCAAGAAGGGAAGTTCTTTGGGAGAGAAGGGAAGCTGGTAAAGGCCATGCTATTTCCCAAAGGCCTGACCCTCTGGGCCACCCCTAGCAATATAGTCAGCGTGGAATATGATCCCACCTAGAAAATGAATGGCACTATTTTAAGAGTAGAGCATCTTGGGGAAATCTAGGATACCTACTCTGAAGCTTTTACTCAAGTGTGGAAGCCACACCAGTATGCAGGTATACTGTCTTACAAATCTAGAAGGATATTTTAGTTTTCAAGCACCCCATGAACACTTTTTAAAAAATTCAACCACTGGCTGGGCATGGTGGCTCACACCAGTAATCCCAGCACTTTGGGAGGCCGAGGTGGGCGGATCACTTGAGGTCAGGAGTTCGAGACCAACCTGGACAACATGGTGAAACCTCGTCTCTACAAAAAATACCAAAAAAAATTAGCTGGACATGGTGGCGCGTACCTGTAATCCCAGCTACTCAGGAGGCTGAGGTGAGAGAATCGCTTGAACCCAGGAGGCGGAGGTTGCAGTGAGCCGAGATCGTGCCACTGCACTCCAGTCTGGGTGACAGAGTGAGACTCTGTATCAAAAAAATAAAAAATAATCAACCACTTAGAAAAGTACACACATTAAGCAGACCCTACATCTAGAATGGGTTAAGCAACCATTTATAAGCATCTTCATGAGAAATGATCACCTCTGGGTTTTTCTGATATTTGAAATAAACAAGGTACCAAACTGTATTTCCCTCAACACATAACTGTCCAAATTGCATGTACAAGTGGAGGTTTACGTAAAAGCCCTGACAGAACTATATTCCACCTTTTGAATTAGGTGCATAAGGCTACTGACCACTCTATATTTTACCAAGAGCAAGAGCGGTCACTTTTCTATTTCAGTACAATTATGGACAGAAATGATATGATGCAAAATAGAGGTTCTTCCATAAAGTTTAAGATGTAGGGTAGAAGGGAAGACAAAAAGCAAAATTCCCAAGAAATCAGAATAACTTCACACTGGTCTTGTACTCCAAGAAACCCTGAGATGAACTGTAGTCCTCAAACACCTGTGCTTGGCTCAGGCCCACCAAGACACTTCAGTATGCTTCCAACTGGTTCATCATCAACTTCCTGCTATATTCGTAGGCCAAAAAGAGTGCTCCATTGGCAGGGAATGCTCGAATCATAGTAGGTTTCAGTCCAGAATATAAGGCCGTTATTCCTAGCAAATAAAAGGGCGGTCAAAGACTGCAACAATCCCTCCTTTGGGGATACCCACGCAGCTGCATAGCATAGGTATATTTACACATGCAAACCCAGACAACAGTGCTAAAAACCAACAAGTCATAGAAGGATGCATTCCCAGCTTTTCCTAAATAGACTAATGGAAACAAGGACAAGTATCAGGTCTCCTGGCAAAACTGACTGATGCTCAGGTAACATACCCCAATTCCACGCTTGGTTAACTCTTAGTATATGGATGGGGCAGAGCTGAGGCCTGAGATGGCCAGACAGAGGCAACCATGGAGATAGAGGTGGCAGCAGCTTTGCAGCTTCACCTGGGCAGTGGCAGGAACACCAACCTTGAAGTTGGAGACCTGTGTATAGTATTAGTACTGCCCAGGGTGGTTATGAAGATTGAATTAGATAAGGGAGGTGTAAGTACTTTGTAAAACTTTACATGTTATACAAATGTAAGGGAGGATTACTATGAGTAACAGACAAGGTATCTGTCCTCTATTTGGGACACAAAGTTTCTGTGTTACTGTCCTCTTTCTTTTTACAATCAAAACAGAGTTCATATCTCAGATTTTTTTTTTTTTTTTTTTTTTGAGACAGAGTCTCGCTGTTGCCCAGGCTGGAGTGCAGTGGTGCAATCTCAGCTCACTGCAAGCTCCGCCTCCCAGGTTGACGCCATTCTCCTGTCTCAGCCTCCCGAGTAGCTGGGACTACAGGTGCCTGCCACCACGCCTGGCTGATTTTTTTGGTATTTTTAGTAGAGACGGGGTTTCACCGTGTTAGCCAGGATGGTCTCGATCTCCTGACCTCATGATCCACCTGCCTCAGCCTCCCAAAGTGCTGGGATCACAGGCATGAGCCACCACGCCCGGCCCGTATCTCAGATTTTAAGATGTATATAGATGCTTGAAAAACAGGTATTTACTCACCTTCATTTTTCACAACATTTATAAAGGTTCTGATAAATCCTGCCTGTTTTCCAGACATGGAAAGAACTTGAATTCTGGATTTGATACAATCCACTGGGTATACCGCAAGCCAGAGGCAAATCCCACCAACTCCACCACTTAACATCAAAGGTACAGGGCCTAGAGAAAAAAAAAATAGCAAATGGTATTTTGTCTCAAGAACAGCTGATGTGACATTTCCAGAGGTCAATGTAGTAATGGCTGCAGGTAGATGAAAATAAAAATGCTAATGCTACAGAATACAATTCTTTGAGGAAAACTGTCAAAGCTCTTGTTCCCAAGCTCTAAGAACACAGGGTTTTGTTTGGTAGCCCAGGTCTACTCCTGGGTCTTGCCAAGTACAAGAAGCCTTAGTGAGGGTTATATTTCGCTTGGTCACTGAGGTGTCAAGGGCTGGCCCACACGAACCAGCAGGCCTCCAGCTGAGTGGCAACCCCCTACAGTGGGGAGAAGACAGGCCAAACACAATCTATGTCTTTTTTCAACTTTCTCACTCTTAAGTATTTTAATAGCCCTGATTCTTCATTTATCATTAAAAGCCAAAATTGTTTTTATTAAACATAGCAATTAAGTCTGGGAGCTTGACTAACCACAGAATAGATTCAACACACACTGAGGGAGATGGTAAGAAAAACTCACTTATGTGAGCCAAACATTGCATGTAGTTGTACCAACCAGCTAAACACGATAAGCTACAAAGAACTATGGTTTTCACTGCTCTCAAAACACTATTAAGATTTCCAAGTTTTAACCTTATTTCAAGATTATTTATAGGTGATTCCCCAATTGGGAAAGTAATTTCTGGATTTCTTCTCCCCTAAAATAGATCCAGAAAAATTAAAAAACTTTATTCCAGTAAGAAAGTTTGGGATGTACTGCTTCAGGCCCTGTCCTAAGGAAATTATCAGGCCTGGAGGGTGGGTGCTATCAACTGCCTGCCACCATGTTACCTTCAGGCATCCAGAAGCTTCCCTGTGCCAGATGGAGCCACCAATGTGGGGAGGAGAGCACAAAGGGCAGAGAATCCACAGAAACCATACCTGCAGGGAGCAAACACCATCACACCCCACTGCTGTCAATGCAAACACATTTACCTAATTCATCTTTTGATCTCCCTGATGCAAAAAAGGACCGGCTCAGTTCATAGCCACCGAAGAAGAAGAAATAGCCTGGTACTTCTCGAAGTAAAGTGCTTGAGAGTCCATGGTAGAACCCCAAGGGGCCATCTTTCCTAAGAATACTTTTGATGACAGACCACACTGTACTGGGAGGAGACACAGAGAGATAGCACGGTTACAGCAGGTGGGAAGGAAGAAAAGACAAGGGCATTTGCAACCAATTAACAGATCTGATCAAGCACTAGTAAGGAAGAAGCTGATTTTGTAAATGAAGAGCCAGGAATTAAGACTCAACGGCATCCTTCTGTGGGAAGGAAATTTATTTACAGTAAGGAATTATCTAAACTCAGCAAACATAAAATGGCATTGTATTGCCCAGTCCCTTATCGCTGTGATTCCTATTTCCTCAATCTTTCTGGTGTGTTTTTGGGAAATTTGTTCAGGTGTTTACAGGATCTGTTTTTAGTGCAGAGAAATGAGTGAAGGAGTAAATGTTGTCTGAAGACAAGACAAATTCTGAGAACAAGTTATATAGCTCCTGTTATGCAGAAGCACCAAGAATTTATTTCTCAGAGCACCAGGGATGCGGGAGAATTTCTTCTAAGCAGCCCTGCTCCTGTAGCAGCCAGAACACAGGACACTCTTTGTCTGACTCCCCTTCATGATTGAGGGCAACCAGGGCAGGTTTATCCCTGCTAAGAACAGGCCAAGAAATCACATACTCAGTGCAACTTAGTGAATCCCTCTCTCCTCACTTTGTTCTCAGCAAGAAGGAGACTTGGCTTGGACAGATGAAGGATCAAGTCCCAAGGTAATAAAGGCCACAGACATTTAAAAACTATTTTCCTTCTGAGAGCTTCAGAAGACACTGTCAGGTATTCCCCATCAGCCAGCCCTTCCTGCAGCACTGCTACATGGAATGTAACAAAGTAATCCAGCTCAACACAATTAACCTCCCTTCCAATCCGAGTCTTAGCCCCAAGCTACCATACCATGCCTTGTGTGAACACTGCTAGACCTCAAATACAAAGTCAACTGATAATTCAAGGTGTTGATCTGCCTAAGTCCTTTGGATATAACTATTACTATCTTTTAATTACCTTGAATTACTTCCAAGGAACATGAGGGCAGCTTTCTGGGTGTTGTTAATGTTCTATTTGTTAATCTGGACACAGGTTACAAAGGCACATAAATTGTGTCACTATTTATAGAGCTGCATACTGTGACTTCAATGTGCATTCATGATACTATGTGTATTATTTCAATAAAAAGTTTTAAAGACTTACACTCTTGGACTTCTAGGCAATGAATATTAGATTCAAGTTGGCTGTAATGAATCTCAAGGGTGCAGAAAATAGGGCACTTTTCCAAACCCCATTCTCACTGAGTGGGGACTGATCCTTGAAAATGGTCAATTTATCTACTGCTTTTTCCCAGCAGATTTATAGGCTTTGAGTTAACCACAGCAATATCCTTGGTCAGAACTCAGCCAGATGTCAAGATAAGTAAGCAAGTTTTGCAATTAATAAGGATAATAAATTGCTTTCCAATTCAAGTAAATCAAATTGTGTATGAAACAGTACTCTCAAAGGATAATGAGAATGTGTTTTCAAGAGTGAGCTAGAGAGTGATTTAATCACTGAAGAGTAGCTATGCTTATAAAAGTATTGATTAATGTTCTCAGAACTTGGGCCATCTGCAGGTACACTTGAAGGACTGGGGATAAGTGGGGTAAGAATAGTTACCTCTAGGATCTGGGTCAATCAGCCTGAATACCCATACGAAACCTGAAGTGGGGATCAAATATTCATCTCAGAATCCAAATTGGCACTTATGAAGGCTCAGGTCTAAGGCAAAGTTCAAAAGCCACCCATTATGTACCTCCAAAAATGGCTGAAGATCATGCCTTATGTTTCCAAGAGGCCAAAAAGGGTGTTAAGCTCCTGGCTTCTCCAGTTCTGGGGTATTAAATATCTGTCTAAGACTTTTTATGCAGTGGGTGGTGGGTCCCATCACAGCCAATCCTTTCAGAAAATCTCTGATAGGGGAAAGCATTCTAGAAACAATATTTTGGAGTAGATAAATTGGCTTCCACATCTGCCACTTTAGTACAATGTAAAATGAAAAATCATCCAATACACTAGGGCAATAGAGACCTGACGTTTGTGCCCAAGTGGTGCTTACTTCTGGCTCTTGGCTATCTTCCCTGATGTCTCCATCTCATACATGGTCTGCAGCCGGCACTTCACGAGCTCCGTGGGGCAGAGCACCAGTGCAGCAAAGGCAGAGGCGAAGGAACCGGCGGCTGCATTCTGCAGATCACTGAAAGCACACAAGCAGACAGTTACCCCTCAGTTTCTTCATTCCTTTGGCACTCACCACACAGACAGCACTTTGGTGATAAAGCAGGGTAAGGAGCCGGGCGTGAGGGCATGAACCTGTGATTACAGCTACTTAGGAGACTGAGGTGGGAGGATCACTTGAGCCCATGTGTTCTAGGCTACAGTGCTATGACTGCATCTGTGAACAGCCACTGCATTCCAGCTTGGGAAACAAAGAGAGACCTCCATGTCTAAAAAAATGATGAAAGGGCCGGGCGCCGTGGCTCACAACTGTAATCCCAGCACTCTGGGAGGCCGAGGCGGGCGGATCACGAAGTCAGGAGATCGAGACCATCCTGGCTAACATGGTGAAACCCTGTCTCTACTAAAAATACAAAAAAAAAAAAAAATTAGCCGGGCGTAGTGGTGGGTGCCTGTAGTCCCAGCTACTCAGGAGGCTGAGGCAGGAGAATGGCGTGAACCCAGGAGGCAGAGCTTGCAGTGACCTGAGATTGTGCCACTGTACTCTAGCCTGGGCAACAGAGTGAGACTCCGTCTCAAAAAAAAAAAAAAAATGATGAAAGGAAGGAAACTTGCATGTGCTGTTTCATCTAAGGATCCCACAACCCTATGAAGCAGACAGCAGCACCCCAGTTCCCTATGGGAAGTGACACTTAGAGATGACATAATGTGGCCAGTCACACAGCTACTAAGTGGCAGTGCTAGGATGTGAACCCAGGTCTTCCTGACTGCAACAACCATATTCTTTTGATTACACACAGCGCTATGGACTGAATTTTATCCCCCCAAGGTGATGGTGTTAGGAGATGGGGCCTTTGGGAGTAATCAGGTGTAGATGAGGTCATGAGGATAGGGCCATTGTGATGGGATTAGTCCCTTAGAAGAAGAGGCCAGAGAGCTCGCTCACTCTCTGCCATATGAGGACACAGTGAGAAGACGGCTATGTTCAAATTAAGAACAAGCCCTCATCAGACACCAGATCTGCTGGAACCTTGATATTAGACTTTTCAGACCATAGAACTGTGAGAAATGTTTGTTTAAGCCACTCAATCTGTAGTATTCTGTTACAACAGCCAAAGCCAAGATACATCGTGACATGACAAAATAAAACGCCACAAAAAAACCTAAAGGAAAGGAGGAAAATATTGCCCATAGTCCCCCACTGAAAAACATGCACTATTAATACTTCAGTGTGTCTGCCCTAAGTTTTAAATAAATCTAGGTTCTAAGCCTATCCCCACATGCCCACAATCCAACCTGGAGCAACCAGATGTGCAATGTAACTGCCACAGATGAAAACCCAGAAAAAACGTTTAACCAAAAGTTGCTGCATCACAAAAAGATTTTCCAGTTCAACTGGTGACCTACCACCTCAGCAACACAGACGAGGGTAAAATGGTGCCACAGGAGTGGGTGAAGCCAGTACAAGTCTGCAAGCTCAATGGTATTAGGTGAAATTGCTAAACTGGAAATCTAAACTAGGCAGAGGGATGAATGCACAAATACAAAACAGAAGCATTCACCTCATGTATGGATTTAGTACCAGCAGCCAAATGTCACCAGCAGGGTTGTGAAACTGGAATCCAGTAAGAGTTCAAGAATATGGGGAGGCCAGGCGTGGTGGCTCATACCTGTAATTCCAGCACTTTGGGAGGCCAAGGCAGGCAGATCAGTTGAGGCCTGGCCAACATGGCAAAACCCCGTCTCTACTAAAAATTAGCCATGCCTGGTGGTGCACGCCTGTAATCCCAGCTACTCTGGTGGCTGAGGCACAAGAAGCGCTTGAACCAGGGAGGCAGAGGTTGCAGTGAGCCAAGATCATGCCACTGCACTCCAGCCTGGGTGACACAGTGAGACTCTTTCAAAAAAAAAAAAACGAATACGGGGAAAAGTCTGAGAAGTGTTTCAGAAGAAAGGCTTCTCTGCGAGTTCCTGGTTCATGGGAGTTGGGATAGAAGATCCCTTCCAGCCCTAGAAGAGTGTTGTGTCATGGGATCATGACTGGCATTTGGGGGTAGGACAATCCTTCATTGGGCAGGAAGGACTGAACTGGTTCCCTGACACCCATTCAATGCCAGCATCATGCTCTCACTGGACAGCCAAGATCACCCTCAGAGATTTCCAAAAACCCCTAAGGGTGGGTGGGAATCTCCTCAGCTAACTACTCAGGTAGAGATATAATCCCCTAACAATTTTTCTCCAAACTGTGAGCAAAAGCACAGATGGGGCAGGGCACGGTGGCTCACACCTGTAATCCCAGCACTTTGGGAGGCCGAGGTGGGCAGATCACGAGGTCAAGAGATCAAGACCATCCTGGCCAACATGGTGAAACCCCATCTCTACTAAAATACAAAAATTAGCTGGGCATGGTGGTGGGCGCCTGTAGTCCCAGCTACTCGGGAGGCTGAGGCAGGAGAATTGCTTGAACTGGGGAGGCGAGGTTGCAATGAGTTAAGATTGCGCCACTGCACTCCAGCCTGGGCGACAGAGTGAGACTCCGTCTCAAAAAAAAAAAAAAAGCACAGATGGACTTACCATATTCAGGGGTACTCAAGTTTTTCCAGTGTTAAAGATTAGTATAAAATCAAGGTGGCACCAGTCTTGGCCCTGGTTTGCTAGTCCCTGGTGGTCTAGCTTCTGTACCATGGCCAGAGGCAACTCTTTCAGAAGACTTGGCTTAGAGTGGAGCTTTCTTTCAGTAGGAAGACACTGTTTGCAGTAAGGACTTCCTTTTGATGTTAGAGAATTAAGCCTAAAACCATTAGCAAAGGAGAACCAGGTACACAAATGTACTTGCACACGCTTTTATGGGGTGTGGAAACCATCCAATGCTGTTCAGTCCACTCCTTTCCCCCACTTCACTCCTTAGCAGCTTGTTAGAACTGAAGCTTAAAATGGTTTCTGTTGTCTTGCAGCCAGCCTGCAGATCCACAGTTGGCCTCCCTCAGGGACTCTCTGTTAACCTGTTGACAGGCAATAGTCAATTAGGAGCATTAACCAGGATCTGCCAAGTTTGCCAGGACAAAGGTGGCAGTCAATAAATGTAGAAGTCTATTGAGTTTAAGATATAATAATGGCTCAGACATCTGAATGAACACCAAGCACATTATTATAGTGCAAGGACACAGTCAAATCAGATATGCAGTGGACTTTGGCTTTCCAATAAATACTTTCATTGACCAGTGCACAGAAGGAGGTGCATGGGCCCCTGGTTCTGCATGTAGTATGAATGTGTAGAACTGGAATTGAAACAGTAATAGGTATAGGATGGGATTTTGTAAGAATCATCCATTTGTCATATGTTCAACAAACATGTACCTGAGCACTCCTGCTATGTAAGACCCTGTCCAGCCAAACGTCAAACTAGAACATTCTGGGTCATGTTGAAACCGGGAACAGACAAATATTTACAATGTGATTGCAGAAATTCACCACAGGCTCTCACAAGCAGTTCTTTCCTTTCACTGCTCCTGATTAATCTTCTCTCTAGAACTGACCCTTATAAAATATTCCAGACCCCCAACTGTGGTCTGATGGAAAGGAGACTGGGCAGGAGCTCAGAGGACACAATTTCAAGTCCTTAGCGGGGTGACCTTGAGCAGGTCAACATCGGCACCTCAGTTTTCCATCCCTAAGAGAGGTAACATCTGCCTTGCTCTTCTCACAGGATCACGGTGAGGGCTATAGAGACATGATATACATGTCAGAGCTTTGTAGACTCTAAGAGAGCATTTCCCCAACAGGTAAGAGGCAAACACTGTTCCTCAGGATGGAAAAAAAAAACGGGCCCAAGCTCAAAAAAGATGAGTGCTGGATTAGACAAGGTTAATCAGGATGGTTTCTTTTCTTTTCTTTTTTTTTTTTTTTTGAGAGACACAGTCTCGCTCTGTTGCCCAGGCTGGAGTGCAGTGGCATCATCTCACTGCAACCTCTGCCTCCTGAGCTCAAGCAATCCTCCCACCTCAGCCTCCCTGGTAGCTGGGACCACAGACATGTGCTACCACACTCAGCTAAGTTTTGTATTTTTTGTAGTGACGGGGTTTTGCCATGTTGCTCAGGTTGGTCTCAAACTCCTGGGCTCAAGTAATCTGCCCACCTCAGCCTCTCAAAGTGCTGGGACTACAGGCGTGAGCCACTGTGCCCAGCCTTACGCATCTTTAATGAACTAAATAACACATACACTATATGAAATAAATGTACCCAGAGTGATTCTTCACGAGAGAGACACTGTGACGTAATTTCCCAACCCTTTCTTAAGGACACCCAGCAATTCAATGTTCTGAAAGCAGTGTGGGAAAATGCAGCTGTAAGGTATTAGATTGTTCTCAGCAGAAAAGCAATATGCTCTTACCTGTCCTTCACTTTGTTCACAGGCTAAGGAAGCAAGAAAGTGGAGGGGCGGGCAGAGCCAGATCCAGTGGTTTCACTCATGCAAGACAGAAGTCACTGTCTATCCTGTGGCTGGAGGGGCTACTTTGCTCAGAAGACACAGGTCTTCCCCAGAATCTCACGTGGCTGCTTACTGTTTCCCTGTCTTCTCTCCCCATTTTGTCCTTTGCTAAGGAAACTGAACTGAATTCCAGGTCTTCTCTAATAGAGTGTCTCTCCTTCAACAGGGAACAAAACTACAGTTGCCTGTAGTTTTTGCTTCTGTTCAGTCTCCATCATGGCATGCCATACTCTCCTGGTTTGTGCCCTGCTTGTTTCTTTACTGCCTTCCTGCCTGCCCTTTCTGTGCTGGAGGCTCATCCCATTCATGCTCAGCCCTCCTCGCTGTCTACACTGTCTTCTTGGGCAATCGTATCTAGTCCCAAGCCTTTTTAAAAAACAAGCTCTACCCATCATGGTGGAATTCCTGTCTATAAAAGGGCACACCTTCAGACCTCCAGGCACCTCCAGAGAACAGTGCTGTGCACAAGAAACCGAATTCAGTTGTGTGGGACCTGCAGCTGCAATCAGGTTTCAAACTCCTACTGAAATAACTAAGACTGCCCTTTGCAATCTTGAAGCTTATATAATAATTTTAAGTGGTATAAAATAAATCAACATTCAAAGCAGGGATAGCTAAACATCCCAGTGGTTTCCAAATTCTGTTTAGTCTCTATATAATAAATACCCAAGGCAAGACCAACAAAGAGGCAAAGTCTGATGTTTTGGGAAGATTTGGACAGAGAAAGGTGGGTTCCCTTGCATCTTCGCAGACATTTCCGACCCTTCCTAAAACTCCTCAAGTTCATCTGGCTCAGACAACCTCTTCCAATACTCTGCTTTTTGCTAATGAAAGAAAAGCTAAATCTTGGATCATAAGCAGCATCTACAGTTTCAGTGCAGCATGTCTGCTGACGAGAGGTAGCACTGCCAGCTGCATCTGAACAGCATTCTCCTGGAGAAAACTGAAACAGAAGGGCGGTTCATTCTCAGTGGTGGATGATGAGCAGGTCTCCTCTGTGGTGTGCATATGTGGTTTCTAAGTTTTATATGATGACAATGTATAACTTCATAAATAAAAGGAAAGCAGTTATTTTTAAAAAAGGAAATGTTCTTCCACATAAGGCACCAGTAAAATTGTGACCATACAACAGTAGATTTTTTTTAATTTTTATTTTTTTGTAGAGATGAGGATCTTGCTGTGTTGCCCAGGCTGGTTTTGAACTCTCAGCCTCAAGCCATTTTCCTGCCTTTGCCTCCCAAAGTGCTGGGATTACAGGCATGAGCCACCATGTCTTGCCAGTTTTGTGGGGTTTTTTTAAACAAATAAAAAAAGTGTGTGTCCTTGACTCACCTCAGCTTTGCCTGCTTGTCCAATCCAGCCACTTTCCGCACCACCTGCTGGCAGAAGCCGTAGCACATGAAGAGGACTGAGTTCTCAGCGATGTTGGCGATTAGTGCTGGACTGGTACCCTTGTAGAAGCCACGGAAGCCCACCTGGGAGTAAGTCTTCAGGCAGCAGTCGGTGAGGCCCCGGTACAGGTCAGGGAACGTCTGCATCTTCACTTTCATTGTGTCAAAGGGCTGCCCGGTCAGTACACATGCTGTACCTCCTGCAATCAGGACAGATGACTGCTCTAGTACGAGGCTACAGTTCCATTATCCATGGAAGGAAGGCACAGGCAGCCTACCCCAGAACTTACCCCTGCTTCGGTTCATTTCAACCTCTTTTCCTCCAAAACCTTCCAGCCATGTCCAGTAAACAATTTAGAGCAGGTCCTTGATGTGCCTGGCATCTAAGTCCCACCCTGAAGGAGCTCATGCCAGGCAGGGGAGAGAGACAGACATGTGTTCAACAGCGGCAAACAGTGCAGTGAATATGTAGGAGCCTGGGCAATAGGGTCAGAGGGACTATGGCTTTGCTGTGAGATCCTGGACAAGCCATGTAACTTCTGAGCCTCAGCTCCTCATCCATGCCACCTCACAGGGTTAGCGTGAGGATTAAATAAAAATGGAGGAGACAGGCTTGGCACAGCACCGGCTACGTAATCAGTAAACAGCAGCTACTGTGTGCACAAGAAACGGAAACCACAGAAAGGGAGGGGAGACCTGGGAAGACTTCATCGCTCACTTTGCCTAATGCCCAGTGGGACTGATCAGACCCGGCACCACGGAAAGGAAACAAGGAGTCTGGCTAATTAATCCCCAAAGAGCTAAATATTTCATTCTATAGAAAAACCTCTTTAATTTGAGCTCTACCGATTAATAACGTGTATGTAAATAGAGAATGAACTGAAATTTATTTATGCTTAAATCCTTTATTTATATACTTCTATAAGATTAAATACAGCAGAGTCTACATTGCACAAAATAATTTTTTTTTTTTTTTTGAGATGGTGTCTTGCTCTGTCACCCAGGCTGGAGTGCAGTGGTGCAATCTCAGCTCACTGCAAACTCCACCTCCCAGGTTCAAGGAATTCCTGTGCCTCAGCTTCCCAAGTAGCTGGGATTACAGGCACCCACCACCACGCCTGGCTAATTTTTGTACTTTTCATAGAGATGGGGTTTCACCATGTTGGCCAGGGTGGTCTCTAACTCCTGGCCTCAAATGATCCTCCTGCCTTGGCCTCCCAAAATGCTGGGAGGCATAAGCCACCATGCCCAGCCACGTGAAATCATTTTAGTAAAAATTCTAAACAGAAGAGAAGAATGAACTGTAACCACCCTACAACATCCCCACACCCTGTAGTAGGGTTGGCGTCGTGGGAACTGCCAGTGGTTAGTGTTTACCGTCTCCTTCTGGACCTGAGAGGAGCTCTTAAAGCTTCATCAAAATGCAAAAGAAGGCTTACAGAAAATATTTAAGAAATGCAACTTCCTGAATTTGATGTTATACACAGTTATTCCATCTAAACTCTGGAAAGTGGAGTTGGGGGAAGGGACATTAAGAATAATTCTCAATTATTTATTGGCAAATAAGCCAACAATTCCAGAGTCTGAAAACTGCTTGATCTCTTTTTTAAGCAACAAGCAATATGATCTCTGTGAGCCCATCATTACTGTTCATTTCTTACAGGAGAGGAATGACACACTTCCGCCTTTAATTGCCAAATTATCCCCAATTCTGAATTAGTGGAATATAATTTAATATGATTTTATTATGATTAATCCTGAGTCATTCTCTCCCAGGTAATGCTGGGCTAGGATAAAAAGAAATCTGAATTACATTAAAATAATTTAATTATTCCAAGAGAAAAGGTGACAGAATGTTTTAAGTGGGTGCGTAATTCAGAGAGCCTAGATGCAGATAAGCTGAATAAAGCATTTAATTCAGCACATTCATATTTTAACTTGATCATCTTGAACAGTTCAGGCATCACAGGTTACTAGAATACACATTTGCTGTGTAGCTGGGACAGTTACATTTCCAACAGGGAGAAGGGGGAGGCTAATGAATGTACAAATGCTAGCAACAACTGTCTCCCGTCCTCTGCAAGGGTAAGCTAACTTCCCGTGTAATTTACCACAAATGATATGGTCACGGCGCTCACTGTGCCCTCAAGTGAGAGAAGACTGTTCTGAACACCAGTACCAACCACAGAGACTGACACCTAGTAGGTTCTCAAAGATCGATCAAGTCCATAAAGCCATGAATAAATATTATATTTCTCCACTTGCCTAGAAATCAGACTTCTGATCTTATTCTCCTTAAAAGACAAATAACAACATTCTTTCGGCGATATGGTGGCCAGCCAAGCATCTTATTCCGCAGGAAAGGCACTCAGATTATGTCATACCTAACACTTTACTAAGGGTGGTGGTTTGGATTTTCAGTCCTTGACATAGAGTCAGTAAATCACGAGATACAGAGGAAATCTATCAGGGCAGGGACAGTGTCTCAGGGAAGGGACAGCTCTGAAGAAGGCAGAGAGGTGAGGAGAGAGAAGCAGACTCACACCACAGGACCAGGCCCACCAAGCAGAGGTGAGACCCTCAAACCCCTCTGGAGGCCATCGTAAAGGTTTAACAGGGCAGGGAAGAATATCATTTTCAAGAAACTCCAATCAAAAAAGGTTTGGGGTTGTTTTTAATTTTGGCATTTGAGAAGATAAACTTCAATGATCTGAAATGCCACATTCTCCAACTATGCTAAACAAGGTAAACTGCAACAGTAGTCAAAGTAGTGACTGCATTGTTTTAGAGTTGCTGAATGACTATTAAAGTGGTACCAAGTTTCTCTTTAAGGCTATTTAACTTTTGGGATCCACGCACCCCCATTTCAATAATTACCTAATCACCTAAGTTCTTGAAATCCTCCTTTATCCTAGCTGTTTAGGGATCTAGATGTCTTACAGCCATTGCAGATAGGGAAATGGGAACTTCCCAGCACTTTAGAGTAGATAAGCTGGCTAAAAACCTGTGTGGTGGGGAAAACGTTGTTTAAAGGAAAAGAAGAGACACACACAACACCACATTTAAGCTCCATCCACATCACCTCGGGCTGCAGCTGGCTCTGTGCTTACAGATGGATCGCTTCCGTGGGTGACCTCTGCCACAAAACACAACAGGTCCTCTGCTCCTATCAATGGCTGGCAGAAAATTCCCAAAGCCCAGCAAGTTCCACATCCAGAAAGGCAGGGCCCAAAGGCTCCAAACTAACCCTCCCCTCCAGTGTGCTGCAGATGCATTACGGAGTACTAAAGCAGAGACAGCAACGACACCAGACAAGGGACCCAGGGATCACAGTCCTGCCCTGTCTTCACACCATCTTGCTGTGTAACCTTGAACAAATCTACTGCTCCTCTGTGGGCCTTTTTCTACATATCCAACGAGCATTGGAGCCAACAATGTCTAAAGGTCTCTCTAGCTCCAGCACTCCAAGACTCCAAGATCCTCAAAAGTGGGTTCCATTTGCATTCCATAGGCCTCACAGCAGAACAGAGGTTTCTGTGTCACTGCTAGGCACCTCCTCTGCCCAGCCCCCAACCTATAGACCATGTCTCGCTCCCCCTCCCTATCCTGTCCCCCCAGGAATGGGCTTCGTTGTCCTCAGAAGTTAAGACTACCCACAGCATCTCTACCTCGGTGAGGGGCGTCCCTGTGTCGCCAGCACAGGGGGAAATACCTGTCCAACAGTGATGGGGACAGTGTGTCAGTATACATAAGGGATCAATACATGTTCAAAACATGCCCACCAGCAAATGCCTTACATACCAGGCTCCCAACCATACTGTTGCAATTTCTATCTTTCAAACTAACTTGTAAATTATAAATGTGGTACCCAAATACCTGTATGCACATAAATAGGAAAAGGTAAACTTTTAAATTCTATCACCATAGGTTCTAGATCTTTGACAGATTGACTGAAAGACATAAAATGTCAAAAGCTGAGACTATATGTGGCTAAACACCCTCCTTCTGCAGAAACAGAACTGAGCCCAAGAGCATTCACTCGCTGGTGAGAGGCGGCCTGGGGCAGGCAGATGTTTGCACCATTCTCAGGGTCAGCGTCCTCCCCAGTGTGGCATGGGGGAGGGGAGGGGGAAAGGGGCTTGGGAGGCTGTAGCCTAAAGGCACGCAGTGGGCAAGAGACTACTGGGCAGACCCCCACTGGCCTTCCGTTCCCTGGGCATCTGGGGCTGGGACGCTCCTTGTGGGTTCTGCCCTGGGAGAAGTGCCCTTGCCCAGTGCTCCTCATTAGGCTCGGTGACGGTGACGCGCTCTCTCCAGTCTTCCTCATTAGCATACCCTGGCTGACCTTTGGCTCATGGAAAAACACTTTGCTCTTCTCTGAACAATTTCTTTTTCACAATTGAGCAAATGACTGATGAGGTGACCATATTCATGACCATACTCATCTGCTGGTGGTGGGGGTGGGGGGTGTGCTGGATAAGGACAGCACTGGGCAACACCCCCGCTGGCCTCCCCACTCCAGGGAGCTGCAACTACTATGAGAATCCTGCGGGAGCCCAGGGTAGTCCAGGGTTTTCCTTTGGGCAATCAGTATTCCAGCCACTCCTCCTACTTCTGGACTCTGGAGAACCAAATTACCACCATGCACTTCCCATTCCGCCCTGTTTCCCAGCCTGAGGGTCCTGCTCTTCCTGCATGTTCAAGCTGATCTTTCTAAGGAGTAGCCTGCATGGTGCCAGCACTACCCCTTATCACAGGTAGCACCTCCCTGTGCTGGGGGAGCCTCAGGCTCTTGGGCTCAGGCCCCTAGGCTCAGGTTAGCTGACATTCCCAGCAAATCCTACAACTTTCACGGCTCTAAGACACAGTCCATTATCAGTCTCATTTTCAGAGACATGTCTTTTTTTTTTTTTTTTGAGACAGAGTTTCACTGTTGTTGCCCAGGCTGGAGTGCAATGGCGCGATCTTGGCTCACCACAACCTCCGCCTCCGGGGTTCAAGCGATTCTCCTGCCTCAGCCTCCCAAGTAGCTAAGATTACAGGCATGCACCACCACGCCTGGATAATTTTGTATTTTTAGAAGAGACGGGGTTTCTCCATGTTGGTCAAGCTGGTCTTGAACTCCTCACCTCAGGTGATCTGCCCGCCTTGGCCTCCTAAAGTGCTGGGATTACAGGCGTGAGCCACTGCGCCCAGCCTTTTAAAGACATTTCTAAGAGTGTCCTCCTTTCTTTCCCAACACTAGCAGGGACAGTAAGTGGTGTTTCCCAGGAGATGCTATGGTGTTATTTTTGCACAACAAGGGCTCTGAAGACTGCCAGGCTTGAAGTGAAGAACCACATCACCTGCATATCCCAGCCAGGTGACAATGGACACGTGGCTTCACCTCTGAGCTGTTTTCCAGCTGTACTGGGCACCTTCCACCCATCACCCTGACTGACAAGGTGTTAACAATAACGGACACTCCTCTAGCTTCTGCTACTCTCTGAACAATACTAAACTTCCATCAAATGGATTAATCCCAAAGGTAAAGTACTGGAGGGAGAAAGGTAGTATTTTCATACCACTTTCATTTGATCTCATTTAGAGAGTAGTTGAGGAATAGAGAGAACTGGGTTTTCTCTGGGATTATAGTTAGGCATTGCTTAATGACTGGGACATGTTCTGAAATACATGTCATTACACAATTTCGTCATTGTGCTATCATAGAGCATACACACCTGACCCTAGATGGCGTAGCCTACTCCACACCTAGGCTATTCGGTATGGCCTATTGCTCCTAGGCTATACACCTGTACAGGATGTTACTGTACTGGATGTTGCAGGCAACTATAACACAGTGGTATTTATGTATCTAAATGTATCTAAACACAGAAAAGGTACAGTAAAAATATGGTAGTATAATCTCATGGGACCACCATCAGATACACCATCCATCAACGACAGAAACATGGTGATGAGGCACATGACTGTACCTGCAGCCCCCGCTGTGAGGTCAATGGCAGCCTGGATAGCAGGATTGGATTTCATGTTTGCCCACTCTTCTGCTGGTCTTGTGGAAGGCAGCTCTCTGGAGCTTATGACAGGCACCACATATCCCTGGGGGGAGGCAAGAGTTCACCATTAGTCCAAGTCTGCAGCATCCTGTTCTCTAGGCCTGCAGCCAAATTACAGAACCTAAACTTCTGGGAGCCATGACCTGGGGTCCACACTGTTCCAAAGGAAAGGGGCTCAAGGTATCAGTGCAGCTTAGCAACTGCCTCCTAGAAAGCTCACAGATCAAAAACCTCCCCTGTGTATCAATGCTACAGCCACCAGCAGCACTTCAACTGACCTTTCTGAAAACTGAAAAAACGAACACCAAATAAGTAAGCCAACCACAGGTGTACCAAACCGCATCAGACTTGTTTTTTTAGAGGCCTATGTTGAGCCATCAATTGAACAGGCTCAGTTCTAAATTCAGACAGCAGCCTGTGCTGGGTGCCTAAGGGGATCTCACAAGACAGTAGGTCTGGAAAAGAGCACCCAGGCAGCCAAGGGTGGGAGCTGCACCCTGGGATCACACACGCCTTGGTGAATGCCTGCTCTACCTGCAGTGTGGCTCCTTCAGCCTCTACAGCTGGGAGTCCTCATCTGTACAAGGTGAATAATAAAAATATTATAAAACAAACACAGTCACAAATAGCCACATCAGACTGATGGGACGCCACACCGTGCACAAGCATCATGTGTTCTTAGAACAAGGCCCTGCGCAAGCATCTTCCTGTCACACACATCTTCCCGTCACCACAGACCACCAGCCCTTCAAATGTAAACGTGTGCAGGAGTAGCCTGGGGGCCTTGCTAAATAAAATGCGGCCTCTGATTCAGTAGCCTTGGACAGGACCAGAGGTTCTGCCTGTTCTGATGAGTTCCCAAGTGAGGCGGACAGTGCCAGTCCACAGACTCACACTTTGAGATACAACACCTGGGCCGTTGTGTCCAAATCCACTTGATAACCTGGAGCACTTATTAAATATCCAAATTGCCAGGACTTTCCTCTGGAAATCTGGATTCAGTATGTTTTGGTTGGAGCCTTGGGCATTTGGGAAAACTAGAATTTCTTTCTCTCTCTTTAGACAAAAGTCAACTACTGTTGAGGCATGGGCTTAATAAATGTTGACTAAAATATCCAACTCAACGACCAATCCTGTACAGTTTTCAAACGGTGTTAGTAACTTATTTGCAAATAATAAGGAACAACTTATTCCTCATCACACTGAGGAGCCGTGTGACCCATCGTGCTGGATCAGAGATGAACACCAAGCACGCTCCTAACACCAATGTCACCCTGAACGTCAACAGGAAACATTGGCCGTGGAGAAGTTGTTTAAACCTCTTGAAGCATCTTGCCAACGACGAGACTTCAATAATCCTCCTTTATTCACAAAAAATTTAAAACCAGTGGCAACAACGGCACATTACTTAATAAAGCAACTAAGTTAGAAGTGCAAGACACTGATTTATATGCTGTTGATAGGTCTGGAGAGACAGGACCATTCACTAGGCTGAAAAGGTGGTGGCCATCTGGTATCTTCCTAAAAAAGTTTATCAGGGTCCTGGCCAGGCGCGGTGGCTCACGCCTGTAATCCCAGCACTTTGGGCCGGCTGAGGTGGGAGGATCACGAGGTCAGGAGTTTGAGACCAGCTTGACGAATATGGTGTAACCCTGTCTCTACTTAAAATACAAAAATGACCCCAGCGTGGTGATGCACACCTGTAGTCCCAGCTACTCAGGAGGCTGAGGCAGAAGATTCACTTGAACCCGGGAGGTGGAGGTTGCAGTGAGCCGAGATTGTGCCACTGGACTCCAGCCTGGGCAACAAAGTGAGACTCTGTCTCAAAAAAAAAAATAATAATAATAATAGAAAATAAAAAATAAAATAAATAAATAAATAAATAAATAAATAAATAAAAAGTTTATCAGGGTCCTAATCCTTTCCCAGAAGGCAAACTAAAGCCTGGAGCAAGACAAGGTCTTCTCCAAGGCCACACAACTGTCAGTGACAGAGGATTCAGTTCAAAGTCCTGTCTTTTCAGGCCTGTGCCTACAAACCAACCGTTAATCTGAGTATTTCAACCTGGCCAAAGGCAACACAAAACACCCAACCCTATATTTTTGGGAAAGAAAAAAACGGGGGCAACTGAGCAGACAGACAGAGGCAAGTACAATGTGGCCTCCTAGATAAACCTCAATGCGCTTATTTCTTTTGGCACAGACACTTCCTTCTTAATTTTGAAGGAAAGTCACATCACATTACATTCTATCTGTCCCTAAGAATTAAACCCTGTTAGGTGAGCCAAACTTAAACACATTAAATTCTACAAATAGGCCAGGCACAGTGGCTCACGCCTGTAATCCCAGCACTTTGGGAGGCCAAGGCGGGCGGATCACCTGAGGTCGGGAGTTCGAGACCAGCCTGACCAACATGAGAAACCCCCGTCTCTATTAAAAATACAAAATTAGCCTGGCGTGGTGGGCCATGCTTGTAATCCCAGCTACTCGGGAGGCTGAGGGAGGAGAATAGCTTGAACCCAGGAGGCGGAGGTTGCGGTGAGCCGAGATCGCCCCATTGCACTCCAGCCTGGGCAACAAGAGCGAAACTCCGTCTCAAAAAAATAAACAAACAAATAAATTCTACAAATAGCCATTAGAATTATTAGGATAGAAAACGATGATGGGTACTAACAGATTCACTCAGAAGGAGTGGGCAGCTAATTCACATTATGTGTAGCTCTGGCTTGGAGAAGACACAGGGCTTGGAGGAGGCAAGACTGTTCAGCATGAATTAAAATTGATTTATGAGCTTGCTGTAGCACTTGGAATAGAAAAAAGAATCTTTTCAGCGCCTTTGACCCCTCTCTCAAATTACACCAGGGTGCAACTGAGGAACAACAGTGCCGACCACCCACTTTTCTCGACCCTTGGGGAAAATAACTTTTTTTTGGAAGGGAGAGTCAGTAGATGAGGCTGCATTTTCCACCAGGGAACACGAACTGCTGCGGGAAGATCCCAGCTTCTGGCTAAAGGAGCCGCAGGCCAGCTCGCCATCCAGTCCCCAGAGCCCGGGCTTTAGGTAAAGCGTGGAGATGCAAATCAGTTTCGCCGCCAAGGACCGGCCAGGCGCGTCTCCTCCCGGGCCTCGCAAGGAACAGGTCAGGGAGACGACTTCCAACTTTCTTGGCCGGACCCTAAACGTTCACCGCCCCTGCCCAGCCGCCCACTCCTGGGCAGCCAGCAAGTCTCCATTCACAAGCGGCTCCATGCTGCCCAGCACTGGCGCCCCTGAGGCGCGGAGCCCCGCAGCCAAATGACAGGACTTGGGGGCAAACAAGGACAAAAGTTCCCACCAGGTGGGCACTGCAGGAAGGAGGCCGACAACCCCGAGATTCTCCGAGTCCCGCGGCACGTGCGCTGCGACGCTGGCCGCTTCCCCCGCCGCTCGGGAAGGTCACGCCGCCCGCACACCGAGGCCCGCCCCGCGCCCCGCTCCCCGCTCCCTCTGCCTGGCGCGCTCCCCGCAGCTGCAGGCGCCAGACCGGGCTGCGCTCACCGCCGCGCCGGCGTGGCCGCGTCCAGCTCAGGCTCCGCCGCCCGCTCTCGGCTCCGGGTCGCCGGCTGGGGCGGCCACTTAACACCCACGTCGGCAACGGCCGGCCCTTCGCCCCTCCCTTCGCGCAGGCATCCCGGACTGCGGCCCCGCGAAGCTCAGGAGCGCCCCTGCGGCTGGCGGGCGGCCTGCCCAGGGCCGTGCCCGAGCCGAGACCGGGAGCCGCCACCGCCCACCGGCCCTGCCACCGCCCCCAGCACGGGAAGCGGAAGTGGGCGTGGGGCCGCGGCGCGCACAGCCAGCCCGCGACCCGGCGTGGTGCTGCCGCCGACCCTGGTGAAGGTGGAGAGCGGGGCCTGCGCCTCCGGAGACTTTCCCACCTCTGGGATCCCCGAGACCCTCTCTGAGGCCGGACCCTTGTTAGCCCGCTGGGCTGGGACTGGGGGCTGGGGGCTGGTAATGTCAGTGGTTGGGAGGACTTACTTTTTAGCTACTTTGACCTTGTTGGGAGGCTAAGGCCTTATTTATAAATTATATTTGAGTACAAAATTATACTCGGGATCCAAGGCCCTAATAGGAAATACAACTAAGTATGAAAATACAGGAATTAGCCGGGCATGGTGGCTCACGCCTGTAATCCCAGCACTGTGGGAGGCCGAGGTAGGCGGATCACCTGAGGTCAGGAGTCCAAGACCAGCCTGGCCAACATGGTGAAACCCCGTGTACTAAAATTACAAAAATTTATCCAGCGTGGTGGTGCGTGTCTGTAACCCCAGCTACTAGGGAGGCTGAGGCAGGAGAATCGCTTGAATCTGGGAGGTGAAGGTTGCAGTGAGCCAAGATTGCATCACTACACTCCAGCCTGGGCTACACAGCGAGACTCCGTTTCATAAAAACAAACAAACAACGACAAAAAAAAAAAGGTGTGGTGACACATGCCTCTATTCTTAGCTATTTGGGAGGCCAAGGCGGGAGGATCGCTTGAGGCCAGGAATTGGAGGCCGCAGTGAGCTATGATGGCACTGTTGCACTCCAGCCTGGATGACAGAGACCTCATCTCTCTCTCTCTCTCTCTCTCACCCACACACACACACACACACACACACACACACCCTCCACACAGTGTAATTTTATTTTACAACTTTAAGCCTTGTTTAGATGTGCTGTTGGATTATTATTTTTTTCTTTTTTTTTCTTTTTTTTTTTGAGACAGAGTCTCACTCTGTCACCCGAGCTGGAGTGCAATGGTGCAATCTCAGCTCACTGCAACCTCCCCCTCCTGGGTTCAAGCGATTCTCCTGCCTTAGCTTCCCAAGTAGCTGGGATTACAGGCATGCGCCACCACACCCAGCTAATTTTGTATTTTTTAGTAGAGACAGGGTTTCACCACCTTGGCCGGGCTGGTCTCGAACTCCTGACCTCAGGTGATCTGCCTGCCTCGGCCTCTCAAAGTGCTGGGATTACACGTGTGAGCCACCACGTCTGGATGTGCTATTGGATAATTACCTACGTTATTTAAGTGATTTAATTGGTGTTAGTGCTTAACATGAATGCACACTTGAGTAGACCTCCCAGGCTGTAGTAGATGCTATGATGGGATCAGAGTGCCTGGTACATGGACACTCATCAGAATCAGCACTTTAGAACTTGGGCTTCTGGACTGTAATCGAGTTACAAAAACAAGCCAGGGAGTTGGGATGACTTGTCCAAAGTGATGGGGAACATAACTAACTGAAAGCAGATCCAGCAGCTGAAACTACAGTTACAGCAGCTTAAAGGGGTTGGCAATGTCACCTGGTCCAATAGCTTTTGCAGCTTCAGAAAATGAGACCCAAAGGAACCCTGATTAAGGACAGACTTGGCTGGGTGTGGTGGCTCATGCCTGTAATCCCAACATGTTGGGAGGCTGAGGCAGGAGGATTGCTTGAGCCCAGGAGTTCGAGTTGAACCTGGGCAACACAGTGATGTAACTGCCCAATGGGTTCTTCTCGCCCGCTGCCTCAACTGAGCCAATTTATCAAGATGGGGGAATTGCAATAGAGAAACAGTTTAATTCACGCAGAACCAGCTGTGCAGGAGACCAGAGTTTTATTATTACTCAAATCAATCTCCCCAAGAATTCGGGGTTTGGAGTTTTTAGGGATAATTTGGTGGGTAGGGGGCCAGTGAGTGGGAGTACTGATTGGTCATGTTGGAGATGAAATCATAGGGAGTCTAAACTGTCCTCTTACGCTGAGTCGGTTCCTGGGTGGGGGCCACAAAACCAGATGAGGCAGTTTATCAATCTGGGTAGTGCCAGCTGATCAATCCATCAAGTACAGGCTCTGCAAAAATATCTCAATCTTATCTGTGATCTTAGGTTTTACAATAGTGATGTCATCCTGAGGAGCTATTTGGGGAGGTTTAGAATCTTGCAGTCTCCAGCTGCATGACTCCTAAACCATAATTTGTAAACTTGTGGCTAATTTGTTAGTCCTACAAGGCGGCCTAGTCCCCAGGCAGGAAGGGGGTTTGTTTTGGGAAAGGGCTGTTGTCGTCTTTGTTTCAACGCTAAACTATAATCTAAGCTCCTCCCAGAGTTAGTTGGGCCTACACCCAGAACAAGGACAGTTTGGAGGTTAGAAGCAAGATAGAGTCAGTTAGGTCAGATCTCTTTGACCATCATAATTTTCTTGGTTATAATTTTTGCAATGACAGTATCAGTGAGCCCCTGTCTTTACTAAAAATCAAAACAAAAAAAAATTTTTTTAAACCTGGTGTGGTGGCGCATGCCTGTAGTCCCAGCTACTGGGGAAGCTGTGGCAAGAGCTCTTGAGCTGTGTTCATGCCACTGCAGTCCAGCCTGGGCGACTGAGCAAGACCCTGTCAAAAAAAAAAAAAAAGGAAAGACCCTGTTATAGATTAGAAAGAGCACTGGACTTGGGGCCAGGATGTTTGTGTAAATGTCCCTGTGTGACCTTTAGTGAGTCACTTAGCCTTTTGTAAACCCCAGCCACAGCATGACTGCATCACTGGTTCCTTTGAACCCCCTGTGTTCCATCAGCCTGCTGGAACAGTCCACCATGCAGGGCGCTTGGTACTCTCCTCGAGCCATTGGGCCCTAGCCTAGTGCTTTCTCTTGTCTTCCTTGAGCCCCTTCCTCTCCTATCCTGACAAGGGCTGTTCCAAACTCTCATCACTCCCAAGCCTTCCACATTTCTCCTCTCCATGCCTCCCAATTTGTTCTATAAGAAACTATCGGAATTTTGCTCAGATTTTTAATCCATAGTCTACAAAGTTACCTTTTTTGGGTTTTTTGCACAAACTCTCATTTATTTGTCTTCTGTCCAACTTAGTTGCTGTGTCCCCTTGCCTAGCCCAATGGCTGGTGAGAATGAGGTTGGAGAAGAAACCAAGGTGTTGGGAGGCCACATTACACAGGCGCTAAGAGAAAAGCAGGGACTCAGCAAAGTTCTGTCCAACTCCAAAGGTCAGGCGCTCAGCTGGTACACTGTGCAGTGCTCCCTCCCAGAGGCTTTTTTTCTTTCTTTCTTTGAGACGGAGTCTTGCTCTGTCGCCTAGGCTGGAGAGCAATGGCGCGATCTCGGCTCACTGCAACCTCTGCCTCCCGGGTTCAAGCAATTATCCTGCCTCAGCCTCCCGAGTAGCTGGGATTGCAGGCGCCCGCCACCATGCCTGGCTAATTTTTTTGTATTTTTAGTAGAGATGGCGTTTCACCATGTTTGCCAGGCTAGTCTTGAACTCCTGACCTCAAGCGATCCGCCTGCCTCGGCCTCCCAAAGTGCTGGGATTACAGGCATGAGCCACTGAGCCCAGCCGAGGCTTCTTATTAAAAGCAAGAGGTGCCAGATGTGGTGGCTCACGCCTGTAATCCCAGTGCTTTGGGAGGCTGAGGCGGGTGGATCACAAGGTCAGGAGTTCAAGACCAGCCTGGTCAATATGGTGAAACCCCGTCTCCACTAAAAATTCAAAAATTTAGCCATGCATGGTGGCAGGTGCCTGTAATCCCAGCTACTTGGGAGGTTGAGGCAGAGAATTGCTTGAACCCAGAAGGTGGAGGTTGCAGTGAGCCGAGATTGGGCCACTGCACTCTGGCCTGGGTGACAGAGCGAGACTCTGTCTCAAAAAAAAGGCAAAAGGGCTGCAGGAACTGGAAGTTCTTTCTTCTGAAATACATCTCCTTCTATAATATTTTATAAAAGTCACCTCCACAGCTTAAAATCCCCCACAACAGTGGCTCTTTCTGCTATCTTTATTTTAGGAAGAAAGAAATAAATATATAGATGTTAAAAATGCTTCCTATCTCTCAGATGCTCAGAGAAGTGATTGTAAAATCATCTGATTGGCACTAAATTAAGAAAGTGTCCATGCAAACTTTGTTCTGAGTGTAATTTCCTAGGAATCCTGGCCGGGTGTGGTGGCTCATGCCTGTAATCCTAGCATCTTTGGAGGCTAATGGGGGTGGATCACCTGAGGTCAGGAGTTTGAGACCAGCGTGACCAACATGGTAAAACCCTGTCTCTACTAAAAATACAGAAATTAGCCGGGCTTGGTGGCACGTGCCTGTAATCCCAGCTACTCGGGAGGCTGAGGCAGGAGAATCGCTTGAACCTGGGAGGCGGAGGTTGCAGTGAGCCAAGATTGTGCGACTGCACTCCAGCCTGGGTGGCAGAGTGAGACTCCATCTCAAAAAAAAAAAAATTCCTAGGAATCCTATGGCCTCTTGAGAACAACATTTTAGAGACATGGATCACTGCTGTCTATAGAGGTAGCTCAATTCAATGGTATTTCAGACCTAGGTTCCAAACAGGAAACACGTCAACACACTGACCTCTCTGCTCCAGGTAACCGTTTGCTGTACTTGGAATTGCACGATTCAGAGATTTCAAAGCAGCTGGCTTTGTGATGGGTGGCAAGTGTGACGCAGGTCAGAGGTGAGAGGACAGACTTGGAATGTCTGCATGGAAAAGCAAGCATTTGCTATTTCAACAAAATTTCACAATGCACTGGTTAATGACACTAAAAGGAGAAATAATTTCACAAAATGTATCCCTGGTTCTTATACCACATGGGGCATGTTTTCACAAAGTGAGTTAATTGGAGTTGCAAGCAGATCAACAGCATAAAACATCTCTGACTCAAATATATTTATAGTTAATAAGAAAGAAAATGGGAGGCTGAGGCCAGCAGATCACCTGAGGTCAGGAGTTTGAGACCAGCCTGGCCAACATGGAGAAACCCCATCTCTACTAAAAATACAAAAATTACCTGGCCATGGTGGCGGGTGCCTGTAATCCCAGCTACTCAGGAGGCTGAGGCAAGCAAATCGCTTGAACCCAGGAGGCGGAGGTTGCAGTGCAGTGAGCTGAGATCGCACCATTGCACTCCAGCCTGGGTGACAGAGCGAGACTCTGTCTCAAAAAAAAAAAAAAAAAAAGAAGAAGAAGAAAACTTGCTTTTGATTATGCAATTTTAGTACCCATTAAATATTCTTGGCTTGCTGATGTAACTTTTATTGAAAACTCCCACAAGTCTTTTTTGGAGTCAGGTAGAATTTATGTTATTTTATTTGTTCCTTTTATTTCTAGTTGACATATAATAATTGTACATATTTGTTGGGTAGAGAGTGATATATTAATACATGTACACAATGTGTAATGGTCAAATCAGGGCAATTAGCATAGGCCTCACCTCAAACATTTCTCATTCTTTGTGTTGGGAACATTCAAAATCTCTTTTCCAGCTCTTGGAACATACACAATAAATTATTGTTAACTATATTCATCCTACAGTGCTAGAATTTGTTCCTCTTATCTAGCTTAAATTTCATCTCTGTTGACCAATCTCTCCCTATCTTTTCCTCCCTCTGCCTTTCCCAGCCTCTAATAACCATAATGGAATTTATATTTTAAATAAATAAACATGGATTTGGATTTCTGTCAGTCTACGTAGAATAAGAGGGCGATCTGCATCCAGTAAAAGACTTGTTAGAACAGTGTTTTGGGGTGGGCAATTTTTATAATTTGTCTTTTCCTTGGCAACGTTTTAATGGTACAGGGAAAGAAATGGCGAGCGGAAGAGGGAGCAGAAGGAAGCAGAAGAGGGAGAGGGAGAAGGCACGAGCTGAGGCACATATTTTATGAGCCTTAAATTTGTTTTTATTTTATTTTATTTCTCTATGTTCCCTCTGACAGTTAATAAGCCTTAAATTTGAATTTGTAAGATATATATTTTTTAAAATATGAAACTTATAATAGCAAATAAGGGAAAATGCTCATAAATGGTTAAAATTTTATGGTTCATCAATAAGAGGAAATACTCTTCTCACATCATATGCTTTAGGACAAGTTGGCCACAATTAACAGAATGCCCAACTATCAGTTTATTTGTTTGTTTAGAGACAGGGTCTTGCTCTGTTGCCCAGGCTGCAGTAGTGGCGTGATCATAGCTCACTGAAGCCTTGAACTCCTGGGTTCAAGCCATCCTCCCACCTCTGCCTCCCCAGTAACTAGGACTATAGGTGTGTGCCACTATGCCCAGCTAATTTTTTTTTTTTTTTAGAGACAGGGGTCTCACTATATTGCCCAGGCTGGTCTCAAACTGCTGGGCTCAAGTGATCTTCCTACCTCAGCTTCCCAAAGTCTTGGGATTACAGGATGAGCCAATGTGCCCAGCCTAGTGTATTTATTTTGAATGTTAAAAAAAATCCTAGAAGTAGGAGGTTCCAGAGCTGGTTAATTTAACAGCTCAATAATATCTGGGGCAGCTTCTCTATGATTCTCCTAGCTTTTCCCTCATGACTACAAGATGGCTGCCACAGCTCTGCCTGTCACATCCTCACAGGCAACATCCAAAGGCAAAAAGGAAGCACGCTCACGTATCTCCCTCTCATCAGGGAAAACAATATTTCCCAGCAGCCCTCTGTCAGGCTTCCTTTTGTATTTCATTGGCCGAGAAATAGGTCTCATGCTCCTCCCAAATATCAACACTTGGAGGAGATTGGTATTAGCATGATTGCTTGAGAACAGGATGAGCAAGCTTCTTCTGAAGAGAACCAGCCAGTAAATATGTCAGGCTTTGCAGGGCGTGCGGTCCCTGTCACATATATTCAGCTCTGCTGTTGTACAGCCAAAGCAGCTAGAGATACCGGAAACAAATACGTATGCCTGTGTTCCAGTGTCTCTGTGGACATTGAAACTTGAATTTTATATATATTTTTACCTGTCGCAAATAATTTTTTTCCCCCAACCATTTAAAACTATAAAAAGCATTTTGTATGGTGTGAGGCCATACAAAAACAGGTGGCAGGCCAGATTTGGCTAGCAGGCTGTAGTTGGTCAACCCCTGGTTTGGAGCAATGAGGACTCATCCCATTGGGGCTGTGGGAGGGTCCACCTTCCTGGAGACATCATCACCCAAACCAGAAAAAAAGAAGGGCAAGGAAAGGGTTGTTGGACAACTGAGAATGTCCCATACAGCATATTAAGGATACAGGAAAATGCTGAGGGATATAGTAATTTTCAAAAAGCGGATTACATGTCATATGCAGGATGATCCCCACCAATTCCGCCTGTTGAAATCCCTGCCATTCACCGAGATCTATGTTAGACGCAGTCACCTCATAGCACCTGTTTCTGATTCCTGGTTCTCGGAAAGCAAATTGGAGCATTCCTTCCTATCAGTAACAAACTTCCCTTTAGTACCTATCCTGTGTTGGATGGTGTCAACCCAAACTAACTGCTGGAAATGCAGAAGTGAAAGAGTCAACGGCTAGCTTGAAAGAAATCATGGCCCAAGCGGAGGAGGAAGAAACAAGCAATTATAATCCAGGGGGGCATGCGGCGAGAGGCGTGTGGGTAGCGAGGGCATCCCAGGGGGGCATAGATGAGGGATGGAATAGAAGGTTTCAGGGGAGGCCCACAGGAGACTTCCACGCCAACATGGATTTTGCAAAGCAAGTGGCCTTTCATTAAGAGGATTAATGTAGGTTGGTGTATCACCTACCACAGGGGCTGGAAGACTTGCAATTAGGCCAGGCTCTTAGTTGTAATCAAGAAAAGCACAAAAAGGATTGATTAAAAGGATTACAAGGATATAGAGTGACTCTTCTGCTTGATGGATGGGGAGGTAAAGTGCTGTGAAGAGCGTCCCGAAACAAGGCCCTACACCCACTGCAGACCTGGGCTGCAGTGGAAGCCACTGCCACTGCCCCTTTAGAGCTCTGGATGTGATGGTTTGTGACGCTGCCCCTTCTTGTGCCAGGGCCACAGCCTGGTAACTATTGCTCCTCCAAAGCCTGGTGCCTGCGTTACCAGCATTGCCTGATACATCACTTCCACACCGCGTCCACTGCCTTGAGTTGCTCATCTCTAAGTTGGTATCTCGTGTAGACGAAGCTGATGGAGGGAGGCTCAGTCATGTGCCTGTACCCTGCTCTGCAAAGAAGCCTGGCCGAGTGAGATCTCTGGCATCTGGCAGGACTCATTCGTGTGTTAGGAAATTCCCAGAACATAGGCAGGGTTTTCAAACCCTGCTAAGCAGCCAGAAAACATGACGCATGTCCACTCTGCATGGACCGAGCATTCCAGTCCGAGGAAACATGCAAAGGCATAGAGGTATGAACCAGCAGAGCACGTTTGGGGAACGGTAGGCAGTTTGGTTCTGCAGGAGAGTAGAGCAGGGAGTGCTGGGAGAGTGGCTTGGAGCAGCCGGCAGGAGTCCCTGCTGAACTCATGCCCCCTGTGGCTTCAACCACAAGTGCAAGTAACTATTTTTTTTTGTTGTTGGGGGGTGGGGGCGAACAGGGCCTTGCTCTGTCACCCAGGCTGGAGTGCAGTGGCATGATCACAGCTCACCGCAGCCTCGAACTCCTGGGCTCAGGCAATCCTCCCACCTCAGTCTCCTGAGTACTACAGGTGTGCACCGCCACCCCCAGATAATTTTTATATTTTTCTGTAAAGATGGGGTTTTGCCATGTCACCCAGGCTGGTCTTGAACTCCTGGTCTCAAGTGATCCTCCTGCCTTGGCCTCCCAAAGTACTAGGATTACAGGTGTGAACTACTCCACCCAGGAAGGGCAAGTGCTTGTATCTTAGCGTTCCCTGCTGAGGCCTAGGAGCTGTGACTTCTCCTTGACTGGCCCAGGGCTCTGCCCCTGGTGAGTTTTAGTATCTGTCTAAAGGGATCATTGTCATAAATCTGTTGAATTGTATCATTGTTGTGAAGTAGCAAGTGTACACAGCTTCTCTCTCTCTCTCTCTCTCCCCTCTCTCTCTCGTGTGTACATATCTGCAATGTACTATTTTATAATTACATTAATAATGGTTCCCCCAGTAAAAATAATCTGAATTTAGACCCTTTGTATCTAAATATTTATATGGCACCCATCACTAGATACTTAGCTGTTTATAAACATTTTTAAAGTGCTTTCATTAAATTAATTATTCTGGTCAAACGTAGGCAGATACAACCATTGAAAGGACACACAAATAAAGGCCCAGCACAGTTGAGACACCACCTTAGGACTTAGCATGAAGGCTCTGGGTCAGACACCTGAAGGGAAAATCCTAGCCTCTCTGCTTCCAGCTGGATGAGTCAGAAAAGTCTCTTGGGGTGGGAATAAGAGGAAAGATCAGGTTCTGCCAGGTGACGCTCTAAGTACTCCCTGCTCCATGCCGCTGCTTCTCAGCTTCATGTGATTGCACCTTTGAGGACTTCCATGGGCCACATTCTAACCTTCTTATTTTATTTTATTAATTAATTTATTTCTAGAGACAAGGTCTCGCTCTCTTGCCCAGGCTGGAGTGCAGTGGCTTGATCATAGCTCACTGCAGCCTCGAGCTCTCAGGTTCAAATGATCCTCCTGCCTCAGCCTCCTAAGTAGCTGAAACTATAGGCATGTGCCACCACACCTGGCCAATTTTTAAATTATTTTGTTGGTGTGTTTGTTTGTAGAGAAGGGGGGGGGGTCCTCATTTTGTTGACCAGGCCGGTCTCGAACTCCTGGCCTCAAATGATCCTCCCATCTCAGCCTCCCAAAGTGCTGAGATTACAGGTATGAGCCACTGTGCCCAGCCCTAACCCTCTTATTTACAATAGTATTCTTTTCGTCACTGTGCCTAAAGTTGTAAAACATGGCCAACTCCCAAATGCACCATCATTCAAAGTATTTTGCCAACCTCTCTGTTCCAATTAAGCACTGGAAATTTGGAGATGAAAAGCCACACCTCATTCCATTCACTAAGAATCACAGAGCCAGGCACAAGGAGCTGGGAGCAGCAGTGCATGGGCACCCAGAGCACCAGGAAAGGGTCTGGAGGGGGCAAGAGCTGAGCCTTGAAGCAGGAGGAGGAGTTAGGCAGGGCAGAAGGAGGGAACACACCATAAGATTGCAAGGAGGTGGGGAAGCCATGACCATGTCCCGTGTCCGGGAGCTACAGGGGCTCTGGTCAGGGTAGGAGGAGAAGTAACAGGAAGGAGACTAGCAAAGGAGGTGGGGCTGATCTCGTGGGGTCTCACAGGCCCTGCTAAGAGAGTGTAGAGTTTCTTTAGAAGATGGTAGAGGGAGCTGCTGAGTGATGCAGACATCATGATGTGAACGTGGCTGTGTGGTGGAGGTTGACAGCATGGACTCTGGGTCGACTGACCAGTCCCCAAAAGCTGGCTCTCCCACCTGATGACTTTGCGATGGTAAGAAGCTCCTGTAAGCCTCAAATTTCTCATCTTAAAAAGAGAAGAATGGGCCGGATGCAATGGCTCACACCTGTAATCCCAGCACTTTGGGAGGCTGAGGCAGGTGGATCTCTTGAGGTCAGGAGTACGAGACCAGCCTGGCCAATATGGTGAAACCCCCGTCTCTACTAAAAATACAAAAAAAAATTAGCCGGGTGTGGTGGCGCACACCTATAGTACCAGCTACTCTGGAGGCTGAGGCAGAAGAATCGCTTGAACCCAGGAGGTCGAGGTTGCAGTGAGCCGAGATTGTGCCACTGCCCTCCAACCTGGGCAAAAGAGTCAGACTCCGTCTTAAAAAAAAAAAAAAAAAAAAGGGAGAATGGTGTTACTTGCCTCAGAAAAATTTGTGAAGATGAGACAATACATATAAAGCACTTATAGCCTCTAGTACTTAGTAAGTGGTCAACAAATGCTAACTATTGTTGTTACTGATCATTTGAATAATAATGATGTATATAATTTGCCTCATTTTTTATAGTTGTGATAATGGAATGAATTAACTTTGTCACGGCAAAAGAAGTTTAAAATGTTAGTTGTGTATCCTGATAGAAAATATAAACTTAAAAATCAATTTTTTTTAGAGATGGGAGTCTTGCTATGTTGCTCAGGCTGGTGTTGAACTCCTGGCATCAAGGTATCCTCTTGCTACAGCCATTGTGCCTGGCTAATATAAACATTTGTTTATTCATTCCACAAATATTGATTGACCATGAAGGATGTACCAGTCACAGTTCTAGGCTCTTGGGATAAAGTAGTGAACAAGGCTGACAGAGGTCCCTGCTCTCCCAGAGCTTACATTCTAGCCGGGAGGCTGATGATGAAAAAGGAAACCATGTAATTCACAAGGCCTGTAAATTCCACTAGGATAGAGAACGTGTTGTATTTGTACCTTGATCTATCTCAACTGCATAAGACAGGGCATATGATCAGGCACTCAAGGAATGTGTTGAATGAATGGAAGATTATTTCAGATAGTGCTGCATGCAGGAAGACAAGGAAACAGCATGACATGACAGAGTGGGAAGGTTGGCTTGGCTAGATGTGGTGCACTCCTGAGAAAGCCCTGCTGAGCTAAAGTGGATGATGTGAAGGAACCAATCGTGGGACAGTCTTTAGAATGGCTATTCCAGGCCAAAGAAGATTCCGTGCCTAAGCTGAAGGCCCGGAGGCAGGGCTGTGCTAGACCTGCACAAAGAAAGATGGAAAGGAATGAATGGACCCCACAGCACAGGGACCAATCATTTGTGGGTGTTTGGCAGACCTGTCTTTTATCTAATAGGAGACTGTTTTTGCCTCCAGAGGGCACTTGAACATAACAAATACATCTAAGGGCCAGCTTGGGTTAGCCCTTAGAGAAGCAGTTTCCCGAAGGCATAACTTGAGAGGGCCAGGAATGCAAAAAGAAAATAATCTCAGACGAAGCCTTTGCTTATTGAAATTTGCAAGCACCTCTTTTAAAAATTAAATTTTCTTGAGATAGTTAGTACAATAAGCTAGCAATGTGGGTTTTCGTACATTAGTGTTAGTTGAATAATATAGCCCTCCCCCTGGTGGACAGATGACAGAGAAGTTTGGCAGGTAGGAGAGGGGACGAAAGGCTAATATAGAGAGGTCTTGGCAAGGGTGTCAGGCCTGGGTGAGACCCAAAGCAAGGAGGCTCTGAGAAGCTAAAAGGCAACATAGAGACAGGCCAAGGGACAGGAGAGAATGAGTACAAGAAGTCAAGAGGATGGGCGGGGGGAACCAGAGTACTTTGATGTACTTTAGAAATTGACCTGAGGACAGTTCTGCCTGGTCATATCTCTGTCATCTCCAAAAATTATGTGCTAAGCACAGTTTCAGCATAGTTCTATGTCATATGCTGTGCCATACACATTAGTGTGACATGATCCTGGTCTTCCATGCACTTAAAATCCAAAGCAACTTTAAACATGAATATACTAAGAATGAGTCATCTTACGTAGAGGGGAAAGACAAGTATCTAGACAATCTAATTTGAAGGGCACGCAACCACTTCCTCTTCCGTCCCATCTCCCGTAAGTTCTGCTGCTGCGGGCCTCTCCGTGCCCCTCCCCCTTACTTTGTCCTTCGGTTTTGGGCACTAAAGACCTTGTGAAGGAGGTAATGGGCTCTAGGAGACTCATCCATCTGGGTGCAACCTCTCTGGGCCCCCACAGCCCAGGCACCTGTTGCATTACATATCTTGTTCTATTACCTGCTCCACATCTGTGATCCCTGCTGGATCAGCAGCCCCTTGAAGCAGGGAGCAAGTCATACTCATCTGTGTATTCCAAGGGGACTAAAGCTACATTTTTCACACAATGTTATACATTTACACTAATATCATCTATCTATATATTATATAAACATGCATGCATGTTCATCTATTGCTTTTTTTTTTTTTTCGAGACAGGATCTTGCTCTGTCACCCAGGCCCGAGTGCAGTGATATGATCACAACTCACTGCAGCCTCCGCCTCCTGGGTGCAAGCAATCCTCCCACCTCAGCCTCCCAAGTAGTTACGACTGCAAGTGCACGCCACCATACCCAGCTAACTTTTTTTGGTATGTTTCGTGGAGATGGGGTTTCCCCATGTTGCCCAGCTGGTCTCTAACTCCTGGGCTCAAGCAATCCACTTGCCTCAGCCTCTTAAAATGTTGTTTTAGGCTGTGTTTGATACTGTAGTTCGATCTGGTTTTTAAGATAGACCAGCTGGAGATATGTATATATATGTGTGTTCCAGAAAGAAAGAAAAAAAGTCTCAACTTGGAAGATGCAGAGACAAAAAAGCTCTTAATCCACCTAGGAAAAAAGATGGGAAATACCACATCCAGTGTAGTACCACACACATCATCCATCACCCAAATCAGGAAGCCTCATGATGAGTTACGTCCCCAGTGAGCCCATCCAGCCTCATTTTCTCCTTCTTTTTGTGACTTCAGCTAGTACACCGCCTTTGGAAAGATGTTCATAATCCGTTAATACTTTTGCTAGTGGAGCCACAAGTAAATTGAAGTAGGTAGCTGAAACTGCTGGACAACTGGGTTTATTCTGCAGGCTTATTTCACAAAGAGCAAACCTCAGAAGACTGGGGCCATTGCTGACCTGGCTAGTTGGATTTTCAAATATTGACCATTCCTGGACTCCTTGCTACAGGGTTTCATACATCTGCTGTGACATCGGACTGATCTTGTTGGATAATTCTGATGTCAATGAGAAAATTAAATGAGATAAGAATGTAAATGGTTTAGTATGCAACGATGGCAGTTAGTGGTATTATTATTCTCATTACCATATTGGGCATGTTTATGCTGCCTCCTGATTTTATTGGAAAAAGTCTTACATGCATTTTTACACAGAGGCATTGAAAGTTAATTCAGAGTTGATTTTAGGGAAAAGGATTACTTTGGACATAAAATATACAGATTTATAGACATATTCATTGGGAAATGAAGTTACATATATGGGCAATTCTAGTGACTGAAAAGCAATTAATAGAATCAATTACATTTGATTGCCTATCAAGTGCATAGACTAAGTATGATGGAAAATGGCATAAAACAAACAGCAGAATATGATACATCTTACTGCACAAGCAAAGTAGCCACAGAGCCTGTAAACCTCACTTGTGCTATGACATTCGTGTTCTGCCATCCTGCCACTTGGGAGAAGGGGCTCATTGTTTTTACCCTTTTGTGACCCACTAGCATGAACTAGTGGCTAGTTTATGCAGATTGGTAGAATAGTTTAAATTGTTCTGAATCTTTCTAGATGTATTATTTACTCACTTAGATCTTTCCAAGACGTATTATTTACTAGCTTTAAAGTGTTTCTAAGAATTAGTATAGTAATTAAGCTTAGAAATGAATCTGGGATACATTAAATATTATGGGAAAGAAGTTCATTGCGATGAAGTGAAATTGCTTGTACCATTAACTAACCTGCTACTTCAATATCTTCGCTGTGATTTTGCAACTTTGTAAGAGTTAGCCTGCTTTAGGCCGGGCACTGTGTGGAGAGAGGCCCAGCCAGCCCCTGTTTCTTCCAGCTATTCCAGCTGAGGTATCAGATGTGTGGGTGAAGAAACCATCCCGGACATTCAGTCTTATCTGATGGCAACCACATGAGGGATCAAAGTAGGGACCACCCAGCTGAGCTGCCCCGTCCACCACAGAACCAGGATAGATAACAAATTGTTGTTTTAAGATACTAAGCGTTAGGATGGTTTGTTGTGCAGCAATGGATAACTGGAATATAGGGTGATTTTGTTTCTTCATTTTCTTGTAAGGCTTGTTGAGTTAATTCGTATAGAATTTTATGAGATAGCTAGGACAAAGTCACCACTCTATATCAGGAGCAATTTCAGTTGATTTTCTATTTCTTGCCTTGTTTCTAAAAAGTGCATTTCCAGGGGTCCCTGGGAAGAAAATGACTGGTGAATCAAATACCATAATAGAAAGTTAGAGGAGGAAAAAATTTTCTACTTTCGGCTTTCTTTTTGTCACTCTCATAAATGATTGCTCTGGAAAAAAAATTACACAAGTCATATTAGTTTTTCAAAGGACAGACTTTTGAAGTTTGGGGGGAATTTATTGAAATTCTCTTCATGATTTAATTTATGGCCAAGTAGAACTATCCTATTAATTCTCTTTTTTTTTAAGTCAAATTTATTTATTTATTTAGAGAGAGGGTTTTGCCCTGTCATCTAGGCTGGAGTGCAGTGGCTCAATCACTGCTCACTGTAGCCTCCACCTTCTGGGCTCAAGCAATCCTCCCACTTCAGCCTCCCAAGTAGCTGAGACCACAGGGGCACCATGCCCAGCTAATTTTTTTATTTTTTGGTAGAGACAGTGTCATGAGTTCAGCTAAAATTCCAGAAGAAGAGAATGGCTATAGGTGGACAACAGCAATCCGTGCCAGAGTGCGACTGGATGGGGCAGGAGACTACATTAACCACGGTGGTCAAAGAAAGCCTCTATTGTAAGAAAGTGATAGTGGAAGGAACCAAATGGTAGAGAAGACTAAATTTCAATTCTGGCTTGTGACCCTCAGCCAGGCACTTTCACATAGTCACGGCCTATCTACCCTTACGGAGCAGGGAGGTAATTTACTGTGTCTGCACTACCTTAGAGTAGATTAAGAACAGGGTAGCTGGGACAAGGTCTTCCCCCAGAGAAACTGAAATTGAGATGGAAGTTTTCATCTTCTTTGTTAAGAGATTTTAGGGTTTTAAAAAACCCATTTGAAGGATATTATAAGAAATCGAAAAAAGATGAGGTAACTATTAAATGTGATCCACATGGACTGCTTATTATACTCAAGAATGGATTTTCCACTGGGTATCAAGTGATATCAAGGAAAGTATGCTGTACTGCTAATATTCTATTTCTTGATCCAGGTGGAGGTTTATATGGGTGAATTAACTCTGTGATCATTCCTTAAACACATTTTTGGTCAGGCACGGTGGCTAATGCTTGTAATCCCAGCACTTTGGGAGGCCAAGATGGGAAGATCACCTGAAATCAAGAGTTCGAGACTAGCCTGGCCAACATAGTGAAATCTGTCTCTGCTAAAAATGCCAAAATTAGCTGGGGGTGGTGGTGCACGCCTGTACTCCCAGCTACTCGGGAGGCTAGGGCAGGAGGATTGCTTGAACCTGGGAGGTGGAGGTTGCAGTGAGCTGAGATAGCACCACTGCACTCCAGCCTCGGTGACAGAGCAAGACTCCATCTCAACAATAACAAAGATACATTTTCATCAACATATTTATAATTCATACACTTTTCTGTATTGAAGTTGCTAAAGTTTATAGGAGGCCGTAGTTTTGGACAAGCTTCCTGTACTAGCCCCCAGCACACCAGAGCAAACCAGAATAGTCACTTGTGCTAAGTGCCAAGTAATCAAACTGAACTTTGAAATCAGGGCCAGTTTTCCAAAAGCAGGAGATTCACAGCACCAATCAGAGGGGCCCTAGTTTACCTGAGCCAGCATGACAAGGAATCCCTCTGTTTTAACCCTATAAGGAAGGTAACTTTGAAATGACCAATCTGATTTTTGTTCCCTGTTTCTATTTTCTTCAACTCTTTTGTGCTTGTAAAGCCAAACCCCTCTGCTCAACTCACTGGAACACTATTCTAGAATCACAAATAAAAACCAATTATGCTAAATTTGCCATAATTTTGTTTTTTGACAAAGTTATGCTTTAATTTTTGTTTGTTTTTTTACAAATCAGACAAAGTAAGCATCCCCAAGTGTACTGTGTAGAGCATTCAGTCACAAAGGTTCTGTTAGTGTTAGTGGATCTCAGGAAGATCTGCTCAATGTAAGCTGTGTTTTAGTATCACAAAAACTCACCTCCCCACCTTGATTATTTTTTGAGAGGACAGGGAAAATGTTGATGTAAACTTTGGAATGCCTTTATGGAATTTTAGGCTAGTGGTTCCCATGTGTCCTATTAGCCAACATTTCCCACCAGATTTATTCTCATCCCCTTCCAAGTTTGGGAACCCCACATCTCTTCTGGGGTCACAGTTCCCTGTTTCATGAGGGACAGGTAAAAGCCAAGTCTCTCTCTTGCATCTTTTCATCCTTTTTTTTTTTTGAGACGGGGTCTCACTCTGTTGCCCAGGCTGGAGTGCAGTGGCACAATCTTGGCTCACTGCAGCTTCCGCCTCCCGGGTTCAAGCTATTCTCCTGCCTCAGCCTCCCGAGTAGCTGGGATTATAGGCACTCGCCACCACGCCAGGTTAATTTTTGCATTTTTAGTAGAGTCAGGGTTTCACTATGTTGACCAGGCTGGTCTTCACCCCTGGCCTCAAGTGATCTGCCCGCCTCGGCTTCCGTAAGTACTGGGATTACAGGTATGAGCCACTGTGCCCCCGGCGTAAATCTTTTTTTCTTTTCTTTTTTGTTTTTTTGAGACAAAGAATCTCGCCCTGTAGCCCAAGCTGGAGTGCAATGGCGCGATCTCGGCTCACTGCAGCCCCCACCTCCCGAGTTCAAGCGCTTCTCCTGCCTCAGCCTCCCCAGTAGCTGGGATTACAGGCGCCCGCCACCACGGCCGGCTAATTGTGTGTGTGTGTGTGTGTGTGTGTTTGTATTTTTTTTTTTTTTTTTTTTTTTTAGTAGAGATGGGGTTTCACCATGTTGGCCAGGCTGGTCTCGCACCCGTGACCTCAAGTGACCCACCCGCCTCGGCCTCCCAAAGTGCTGGGATTACAGGCGTGAGCCACCGTGCCCGGCCATAAAGCTATTTTTGAAAAATGAAACCTATGTCTCATTTTGACTCTACATCAAAAATAAAGACTGAAAGGAAACGCTAATTCATAGGGCAGCAGGTCTTTTAGTAATTTTTTTTAAACCTCTTTGGTGGCCATGGCGCATTTTGAGAACGTGGTGAACGCTGTAGACCCTTCCCCTCCAAACATCGCAAAATATTGTCTGTTAAAGAAGAGACTGATCTCACTGGCACCATCTGTAGTTTTTGCACAACTGGTCACGCCCTCCACTGTCGGGTTCGCCGGTCTGGGACCCGCCTCGGCCAGCGAACCTTTGCTGAACTCTGGCGAGGACTCCGCCTCTAGGACTACAATCGCGGGGTGGGTCGGGTCGCTTGGAGGCAACTGGCTCCGCCCGGCCGCGGGCGAGTCCGGAACACAGTTACCCGCCCCTGTAGCCCACCGGAGCGCAAAGGGGGAGGAAGGCGCCAGGCCGGAAGCGGAAGAGAGGGCGGGGACGTGTTTGGCAGCGGGACGCACCATTTCAGTTGTGTTCTTGGTTCATTTCGTGTCTCGGCGATGTTTCCTAGAGTCTCGACGTTCCTACCTCTTCGCCCCCTTTCCCGCCACCCTTTGTCCTCTGGAAGCCCGGAGACATCAGCGGCTGCGATTATGCTACTCACTGTTCGGCACGGAACAGTCAGGTACCGCAGTTCAGCGCTGTTGGCCCGGTAGGTCCTCAGGCAACCCCGTGCCCCGTCCTGTACATCCTCCGACTTCCTGGGGTCGATGTTACCACCTGCTGGGTCTTAGAAGCTATTGCTTTAAATCTGAGGAAAGAGAAATCCCAGAAAGAAAAGATGACTTGCCCAAGGTCATAGTGTGCGTGAAAACAGAGCTACGATTACAAACCTGGTCGCTGTGCTCTACTACACGCCGCGCCTCATTCCTCTTGTCATCATCTCCTGTCAGTTTACCCAGGTTTTTATCTTTTGCCTCCCAAGATTTATTTGATAGTCTCATTTGTTTTCCTTCATTTATTCTTTAGTTCATTACTGAAAAACTCGAAAAACAGCGTGCCAGTACTGGTTGTAAACCCCAAGTGAGACAGTCCTGCCATCACGGAGCGTGTAGTTCCAGAAAGTAGACAATTCAAGTGCTATGTAGTGAAGTAATAGCTGAGATAGTGTAGGTAAACAGAGTACACTATTCAGCCAACATGAATGAGTACTTGCTGGGATAGCAAATAGGGACACCTAACCATTATAGGGGAGACTCAGGATATCGTTTCTGGAAAAGTCTGACGAAATCTGAAGGAGGACCACTGGTTGAAGTTAGCCAGGAAAAAAGGGAATTGTGGCATACTTGGTTTTGGTATTTATCCTCCGAGAACTTTATTATGAAAACCTAATTCCGCTGCATAAATTCCATGCGTAACACTCAGAAGGCAGTTTGGTTAAGTACAGTGCTGAAGCAGGTTAGTAGCAGTGAAGATGGGAAGGACCAGCTGAATGGAGGAGAAAAATTGCACAGGTAGAATTAAAGGGATGTGACGTCATGGGATAATGGTAGGGTAGTCAGAGATAGCAAAAATTTCAACTGGCTGCGTTGGAGTATTAGGGTATCCTTAATGTTAACAGAAGAATGCGGAGCCAGGCTTGAGAAAGATTTTTCCATATATTATAATTTTTAGAAAACAACAAATACCTGTTTATGTTAGGGGGCCTTTTAATATAGAAAGTGTGAAAAATGGAAAGTCAGTCTGAAAGAGGAGTCTTGAATGTGGTGTTGAAGGTGTTGCATTTGAAGTACTGATGAGCTGCTGTCAGTGGAAACAAACTCAGGTGGGAGGTTAGGTCGAGAGGTTTATTATTTTTAGTGCTAGGGAGTTACTTAGACGTGATTTTCCTATAATGTAGATTGTTTTCTGTGGTATGATAGCAGTCTTGAAAGAAAACATTGTAGTAAAGATTACATGTGAGATTCATTCCCCTGATTACCACTTTTCTATTAAAATACCTTGAATAGTAACTTTAAATGTAAAATAATGACCATTTTCTTAAATAGATTGTACCATATATTGAATATTATAATGAGAGTCCTGTGTACTGATTATGAGGATACTAGTTATGCAGTTGGTTTTTTATTCTAATTTTTAAGTGCCTGATTTGATAGCCTCTGACGTTTTCATAAGCAGATCAAATAGTTTCAGCATTTTTTGAAATTGCCATTTTCTCTTTCATGTAAGTATCCTTAACCTGCGGCTGCCATTTTCTGGCTTTGAGAACTTGATAATATATATATATATATATATATATATATATATATATATATATATATATGGACAGAGTCTTGCTCTGTCGCTTAGGCTGGAGTGCAGTGTGTGATCTCGGCTCACTGCAACCTCTGCTCCCTGGGTTCAAGCGATTCTTCTGCCTCAGCCTCCCAAGTAGCTGGGACTACAGGCACCCACCACCACACCTGGCTAATTTTTGTATTTTTAGTAGAGACTGGATTTCACCATATTGGCCAGGCTGGTCTTGAACTCCTGACCTCATGATCCGCCCACCTCCGCCTCCCAAACTGCTGGAATTACAGGCGTGCACCACCATGCCCAGCTGAACTTGATACAATATTTAACCCAGGGTCTGATACAGGCTCTTGAGCTCACCTGCATGGGAATCACCTGGGGTTTAGTTAAAATGTTAAATTCCAAACTAAGAATTGTGTTTTAAGTCAGCTCCCTATGTGATTTGTATAACCTGTAGAGATTCATAACCACTACTTTAACTTCTGTGGGCAACAGTTTGTACTGTAAAGTGAGAATAATGAAACCTGTTCTGTTAAAGTGTAAGGATTAAGTAACATACATAGCTACTGTAACGTGGTCCTCTGACCAGCAGCGTTAGCGTCACCTGGGAGTTTGTTAGAAATGCAAATTCTCAAGTGTCTCCTGGACAAAGCTGTTGAATCAGAATTCTTTGGTGGGACCAAAGTATGTTTTAGCAAGGAGCATAGATAATTTCTGTGGGCCAGGTGTGGTGGCTCACACCTGTAATCCCAGCACTTTGGGAGGCGGGCAGATCGCTTGAGCCTAGGAATTCAAGCCTGGGCAACATGGCGAAACCCTGTCTCTACAAAAAATTAGTCCCAGTTAGGAGGCTGAGGTGGGAGGATCACCTGAGCTCAGGGAGGTCAAGGCTGCAGTGAGCTGAGATCACACCACTGCACTCCAGCCTGTCTGACAGAGTGAGGCCCTGTCTCAAAAAAAAAAAATTTTTATGCATATTAAAGACTTCCAGGGGATTTAGCGGGGTGATGCCTGTTGGAGGTCAGTGCCCTCCTAGTTGGGGGGTGGGGGCTAAGCTTAAAGTTTGAGAAGCAGTGCTGTAGCACGTCAGCTTCATAAAGGCAGGGACCATGAAATTCTTATTTACTAATATATTGTCAGTACCTAGTATAGTGCCCACCACAGAGTAGATATTCACTATATTTAGCAAATAATTTTTTAATATACCCTCTTACTGAAACTAACACATTCAGAGTTTTGAAAATTCTTCAGTAGTCAAATACCAAAACAAATTTTTAACCCCACAGAATAAAATTGGATATTTGGATTACTTAGAATTAGGAAATCTTTTTGCATGAGTCTAATATAGATGTAATCATTTGTGTTGTTCTTTTTCATAAATGTATCTAGTGAAGAAAGCACAAATGACATTTCTAGCCATTGATTATTCTCTTTTCTGTTCCATTCTAGCTTTCCTTACAAATGGTTATGGGTTAAGTAGCATGTAGCTCGATGACAATGTTGATCAGATTAGATAACACCCACTCAGAAAGTTTTTTTGAAATAATCTTTTTTATTGATAGAAATTTATTTTTGTATTGTTTAATGATAACTTTTAAAGAGGTATTGTGTTAAGAGCAAGGACTTGCAGTCAGTCACATTTGGGTTTGAGAATAATAAATTGTCATTTATTAACCATGTCAGTGTTTTTCTACCCAACCCTGGGGTAAATGGAGGGAGGGAACAGACTTGGGAGCACCAGCACCCCCAGACCTCCCCTGGCCACCCCAAGGACCAAGTGATCAATATCTCAGCACACCTCTACTTATTTGTGGCACACAGTGTGTTTTAGTTCTTAGTGAGCTGTGAGCTACATGACTTTGGGACTTCTCTGATTTTCAGTTTCCTTATCTGCAAAATAGAGACCTTAGGGAGTTAATGTGGGTATGAGAAATGTAAATAAAGTATATTTCACAAGATGAGACATGTAGTATATGCTAATAAATGGTAAGTTGCTGCTGTTATGGTTGTTAACAATAATTATAAAAAGAGACCAGCCTGGCCAACATGGGGAAACCCCATCTTTGCTAAAAATACAAAATTAGCTGGGCATGGTGGCACATGCCTACAATCCTAGCTGCTCGGGAGGTTGAGGCAGGAGAATTGCTTGAACCCTGGAGGCGGGGTTTGCGGTGAGCCAAGATCGCGCCATTGCACTCCAGCCTGGGCAACAAGAGCGAAACTCCGTCTCAAAAAAAAAAAAGCAACGGAAAGGGCTTGAATTGAAAAAAAATCTTAGATACATAGTTTTTTACTTTATTGTAAGTAAGTTTTTTACTTTATTGTAGACTGCATTGTATTTTTCATTTTTTTCTTTAATGCATCTTTCCAGGACAAAAAATAACATCCAAAGATATTTTGGCACTAACAGTGTGATCTGTAGCAAGAAAGATAAGCAGTCTGTTCGAACTGAGGAGACTTCCAAGGAGACTTCAGAGAGCCAAGACAGTGAAAAGGAAAATACGAAAAAAGACTTGTTAGGCATTATTAAGGGCATGAAAGTTGAATTAAGCACAGTAAATGTACGAACAACAAAGCCCCCCAAAAGAAGACCACTTAAAAGTTTGGAAGCTACACTTGGCAGGCTTCGAAGAGCTACAGAATATGCTCCAAAGAAGAGGTAAATTTAATTGTAATTCAGATGTTGTTTGAAACTCCAGTAAGCTTTTTGTTTTGGTAAAAAATATTTTTAATACAAGTACTTGGGAAATGTTGAATTAATGAAGAATAAATATCAGCTTGTAAACACAGGGACTCTAATAATTACTCGAGGCTGGGCATGGTGGCTCACACCTGTAATCCCAGCACTTTGGGAGGACGAGGCGGGCGGATCACTTGAGGTCAGGAGTTTGGAGACCAGCCTGGCCAACATGGTGAAACCCCGTCTCTACTAAAACTACAAAAGTCAGCTGGGCATGGTGGTGCGTGCTTGTAATCCCAGCAACTTGGGAGGCTGAGGCAGGAGGACTGTTTGAACCCAGGAGGCAGAGGTTGCAGTGAGCCAAGAATTGTGCCACTGCACTCCAGCCTGGGGGATCAAGCGAGACTCTGTCTCAAACAACAACAACAACAAAATAATAATTACTTGAGAAATGCTGTTATTGTATTATATTTAAATAACAAGAGGATATCTGTACACAATCCAGAGAAAGGAAAGGAGAAATGATCTCATTGAGAATTTCACACACTTACATATTTATCAGTGTTATTAACTGCCATGTAATTGCCTCTTTAAGCTGTTAATTAACAATATCATTTACATCTTGATTTGAAGGTAGCTTAATGTCTGTAAAGGACTTGCTTATTTAAAATTTTCCATTTTAAAGATTTCTGGAATAAAGTTTTAGCATGTTGATTACAATTGCTTTATATGACTTCCCTTGATCAATACCTATCAGTGCTTTCAGCTTTCTTGGTAGTTTCCTCAGAGTATTAAAATTATTTGTGTTTGTCAAAAGAGTATTATATTTAATTCTAAATGCAATCAGTGATACTTGGCATTGTGTGGTAGGTTAAATGGCAGTATTTTTTTTAGTGCTATGTAATGATGTATTTCAATGATGTCATTAATTCAAGTAGTAAGCTATGTGGCTTTAGGATACTCATCACTGACTTCTGTTACCAGAACAAACAGATTTTAATAGTCTTCTGTTTCCCAAACTGATTTAACATTTTAATGGAACTTCTTGGTTTCTACGTTATATCAAAAATACCTCTAGAAAGTATGATTGGGTAGTAGAGTAAGCTAATTCAGACTATCAGTACCCATAATAGGTACTTCCTCCTCCTCCTCCTGCTTTTAGAAACAAAATGGTTATATATAAGTATATGGAAATAAATAATACAAACATATATAAATACTTTTCAAGAATGGCATTTTTAAAGCTCCTAGACCTGTTTATGATCCATCATGCTCTTTATTATAATTATAATTGAATTAACGATTACAGAAATGGTAAAGTGAGTTGAATGCTTTGGAAAGAGTCAGTAAAGGTCATTTAAAATTTTTCTTTCCAATTAGGTATGAGTGAGGCAAACATACATGTGTGGGAAGATCATACACTTAGATTGCTTTGTAAGCTTTCTTACATTCTTGCTCCACTTTTCCACTTAAACTGAAATTGAAAATACTGGAGGATGGGTGTGATGTATATAAAAGATGTGTCTTAGAACCTCTATTAGTGGTCCTATGTTCAAAGAAGAGGCTTTGGTCCCACATCAAAAGACTGGTGAATGAGGTACATTTGTTTTGAGTTTTAAAAAGGTGTCTTTTAATGATTTTTTCCTCCCCTCCCTCTTTTTCAAGGACTCCAAGGTGCACGGGATTAGGTTAGTCATGATCTTTGCTTCATGAGACACTGTCATCATTGCTTCATACATAGACTGCTTTTCTTTGTTTGTATTAAATATTGAACCTTCATTGATATGGTTACCATGGCTACACTACCTCCCAAACTTAGTGGCATAAAACATTCATTCATTATGCTCACAGATTCTGTGGGTTAGCGATTTGACTAGAACACAGTGGGGGAAGGCCAATCTGTGCTCTGTGATGTCTGGGGCCTCAGTTGGAAGACTTAGAAGTCTGAGGCTGGAATTGTCTGAAGTTTGCTCACTCATAGGTCTGGCAGTTGCTGCTGGCTGTCAGCTGAGACCTTATTAGCAGAAACACCTACATGTGGCTTTCTTTGTGGGCTGGGCTTTATCCCTGCATGGTGGCTGGGTTCCAGGGCGGGTGTCTCAAGAGAAAGTGAGCCAAGAGAAAGTTGTATTTTCTTTTTAATGACCTAGCCTTGTAATAAGATTGGACATTACCGTGTTTACCCTTGTTCCACATTGATTTTCCTGGGATATTTGTTTTTATCACAACCACTCCTGAGAAACAATCTTGACAAAGATATAATGTCATTGATAGGAATGGAGCAATATACAGTTGGTCCTCTGTATGTGCAGGTTCTGTATCCACAGATTCAACCAATTTCTGATTGAAAATATTAAAAAAAAATACAATATAACTACTTACATAATTAGGTATTATAAGTAATCTAGAGATAATTTAAAAGTATTCGGAGGATGTGCATTACTTATATGCAGGTACTCTGCCATTTTATGTAAGGGGCTTGTGCATCCATCCTGGTGGGGGCCAGAGCTGTTCCTGGAAACAATGCCTGTATCCCACGGCCCCACCTCCCCCCAACCCCTGCAGATATGAAGGGACTGCTGTAATGTTACTGTGAACTGCCTAATTTACATCATTATTGACATGGTTGTATTTTCCTGTGCTGCCCCAGAGTACCTTAGGACACAGTTTGGGAGCCAGGGTCCCAGGTGGAGAGCTTGTGTCTTCTCTACTCATCTTTAGCTAAGCTAGATTCCGGGCTGGGATCTGGAATCGTCTGAGGGCCCTTTTCCAGTAGTTGATACTGGCTGTTGGCTGAGGCTTTAGCTAGGGCTCTTGGCCAGTACACTTACCCATGGCCTTTCCATGTGGCCTGGGTTTCTTGCCTGGTAGCTGGGTTCCGCAGACAAATGTCTTGAGAGATGGAAGTGAAAGCTGTATCACATTATTTGATCTAGCCTCAGAAGTTGCAGTGTGTTACCTCTATCTTGTTCTGTTCATCAAGGCAGTCACAAAGTTTCCCCTGGTTTTCAGGGAGGGAAGATAGATCTCCCTTTTGATGGATATATGGCAATGTGTTGGAAGAGCATGTGGAACCAGAAGTAATGCTGTCACTATTTTCTGAAAGTATAATCTGCTTATCAGGTACATCTGGTACCTGATAACTGTAGAATTTCAGCTATACTATAGGCAACATTGTCATGACAAAATTGACCCCTAATTCATAGATTGCATCTGGCCTGGGAGAACTACGGGTACCTGATGGGGATACCATATTTAGGACTTAAATGCAGTGATTCTTCTTACTGCACGTCTTTTGCAGGGACCCTGGAAACTGCATGTGGCCCTGTTACAAGAGATACTGGCTGCTGTGGGGCAGTAAGCCAGGCAGCTTGCAGATCTCATATCCTTACTCTAAGATGATTGACTGTGTGAAGTGTCACCTGCATGAACACTACAATAACTCCCACTGAGAAGGAGACCCAAGGCTGCCCTGCCAGCCTGCTGTGGTTCTGTCTTTCATCTTCCCGAATGGACTGGGCCAGGTGTCACCTGTAGTGGTCCTTTGGGTCTGAATGTTTAGTGGAACCTAAGAATATCCCTGGTGATGCAGCAGTAACCAAAATTTCTAGCATCTGCTTTAACTTCCTCTTAACCTGATTCATTTGGAAGGCATCAGCTAACTATTACTCACTTAATTGATCCCTGCTGGAAATTTAGATTATCTCTGGTGTTTCACTAGTATGAAATGATGCTATGTTTGTTTATTCATTCAGCAACTTTCCCTTGCCATTATATTTCACACACCATCCAAAGTGCTAGAGATTGGACATTGAACAAAACAAAGTCTCTGCTTCCTACATTAAAATGGGGGGAGGGATGTAGGAGAGGAGATATATGTACAACACACACACACACACACACACACACACACACACACACACACACACACACACACACACAATGTCTATACTATGTCAGGTGGTGAAACATGAAGAAAAATAAGAGTGATGGAGTTGGGCCAGGCACAGCCTGTAATCCCAGCACTTTGGGAGGCTGAGGCAGGAGGATTGCTTGAGTCTAGGAGTTTAAGACCAGCCCTGCCAACATAGTGAGACCCAGTCTCTACAAAAAATGAAAAAAAAATAGCTGGGTGTGATGGCATGCACCTGTAGTCCCAGCTACTCAGGAAGCTGAGGCAGGAGGATTACTTGAGCTGAGGAGGTTGAGGCTGCAGTGAGCTGTGGTTGTGTCACTGTACTCCAGCCTGGGTGGGAAAAAAAAAAAAAAGAATGAGGGGGCTGGAGAGGTGCTATTTTTAAGAATAATTAGGGAAGAACTCTGATAAGGTAACATTTGAGCAAAGATTAGAATCAAATTAGGGATAAAGCCATGTAGATATCTGAAAGATGAATTCCTTTTCAGGCATAGAGGATAGAACTGCTTAGGCCTTGAGGTTGGAGTATGCAGTATCCTTCAAATTCCACAAATTTGTTTCTTTTCTTTCATTTTTTGATACAGAGTCTTGCTCTATTCCCCAGGCTTGAGTGCAGTGGCACAATCGCCTCTACCTCTGGGCTCAAGCAATCCTCCCACCGCAGCCTCCCGAGTAGCTAGGACTACAGACATGCACCATCACATCTGGCTAGTTTTTTTTTTTTCTTTTTGTAGAGACGATGTTTCACTATGTTGTCCAGGCTGGTCATGAACTCCTGGACTCAAGTAATCTGCCCACCTTGGCCTCCCAAAGTGCTGGGATAACAGGCGTGAGCCACCATGCCCAGCTGTTTATTTTTTCTTTCTTTCTTTCTTTTTTTTTTTTTTCTGTTTATTTTCTTTAAACACATATTCTTAGAAGTGGAATTGCTAGGTCAAGAGATGTGCATATATATATTTTTTGCCTTTGATATATGGCACCAAGTTGCCTGCCAAAAGCGGTGCCAATTTAAGTATCCACTCAGTTTCTTTCCCTCATCAGAATTCTTTTCTGAAATTGTATGTCATACAGTTTATTTTAAAGAAATTTAAAAAGTACAGAATGTTATGAAGGGGAAAAGTTTGTATTAATGAAATGGTTTTAATTACAGGATAGAATAGATTGTTAAAAGATACTTTAACAAGTTCTCCTTACATTGTTAAAATATATGAAGAAAGATCCCTGTATGTAAAAATTATTCAATGACAGAGGCTCCCCCACAATTTTTTATTAATTAGAACATTTCAAATTATAAAGCCAGAGAGTATAACTACATAGGAAACCATTGTTATGAAATGTATGATTCTAGAAAATGAATATTCATCTATGTTCTGTGTATACTTTGATCAAATATATTAAAATTTGAAAATGAAGTTCACAAGTAGTTTATGAAAGAAATACAATGACTTTGGAACAAGGTTAAAGCTTTATTCACAGATAAGTTTTAAAAGCACATTTTATTTTAACTTATATTTCTCTATTTTTCTTTTCTTTTTTTTTTTGGAGACAGACTCTCACTCTGTGCCTCAGGCTGTAGTGCAGTGGAAAAATCATGGCTCACTGCAGCCTCTACCTCCTGTGCTCAAGTGATCCTCCCACTCAGCCTCACCAGTAGCTGGGACTATAGGCACATGCCACCACACCTGGCTAATTTTTTTTTTTCTTTTCTTTTTTTCTCTATCCCAGGCTGGTCTCAAACTCCTGGGCTCAAGCGATCCTCCCGCCTCAGCCTCCCAAAGTGCTGGAATTATACAGGAATGAGCCACCGTGCCCGACCCCTTGTTTAATTCTTCTCTTTTTCTTCTATTCCTATCAGATTTTAGATCTTTCATAACTTAGTTAAGTCCTTAAAATCTTTCTCCAAGAACTTCAGGAATTTGGGAAGTTTAACTTTCGTATTAGGTAACGTATCATAATATAGAAAGCCAGGTATAGTAAAACATTAATTTGGATCCCACTCATTGAGATGTCAGTTCTCAGTGAGTTAAAAAATGTTGCAAATAGCCAAGCATGGTGGCAGTTGGCTATAGTCACAGCTACTCAGGAGGATGAAATGGGAGGATTGCTTGAACCCAGGACTTTGAAGCCAGACTTGACGACATATTGAGACCCCTGTCTCTTAAAAAAAAAAAAAAAAAGGAAAAAATGTTGTAAATAGTTTATTTTCTTTTTATAATAGAATGTTTTTCTATTAACTTGCTCTAATTTAGGAAGCTTTTAAAAGCTTTTTCTTATGAAAAATTTAAAACATATGCAAAGAACACAAAATGGTATAACGCCTTTCTACTGTTGCCCAGCTTCAACAGTGATCAACATTTTGCCATTCTTGTATGTCCTATGCCTTCACCCACTTTCCATCTCCTACTTGATGATGATTTATGGCTCTTTTTTTCAGGTAAAATTTACATGTATTAAAGTATACAAATCTTAGCTGTAGGATTTTGAGAAACAGGTAAGTCCCTGTGACCCACACACTTAGCAAAACACTACATTTTTCATTTTTACCTTCCCAGTCAGTAGCCATCAGTCCTGAGGCAATTGCTGTTTTGATTTTTTTTTCACCTCAGATTAGTGTTCCCTGTTCTGGAACTTGATATAAATGGAATCATACAGTTTTTTTTTTTTTTTTTTTTTTGACAGAGTCTAGTTCTGACACCCAGGCTGGAGTGCAGTGGCGCAATCCTGGCTCACTGCAACCTCCACCTCCCAGGTTCAAACGATTCTCATGTCTCAGCCTCCAGAGTAGCTAGGATTTTACAAGCATGTGCTGCCATGCCTGGCTAATTTTTATATTTTATATTCTTTGTGTCCAACTTCTTTCACTTGATCTAATGCCTGTGAAAGTCATTCATGTTGTCATGAGCTGAGTACTCTTCCATTGTATGGATATATCACAATTTGTTTTTCTGTTCTGATGATAGACTTTTAGGTTGGTTCCAGTAAAGTTTCTGCGAACTGGTTAACCTGCCTTTATATTTGCTTACAATATATATTGTTTCTGAAATACAATAACATCTAATTAAAAATTCCACTAATTTATAATTTTTGAGGCTGATCTGTCCCTCACCCCTCCACCTTAATATATTGTTCTGAGTTAGTGTTGTGCTTCAGCAAATATCCATTAATTTTAACATTTAACATTTCAAAGTTTATATAAAACCGGTACCTAATAGTTGAGAATTCTTGCCTTTGTCAGAAATTGAATTGAATACTTTTTTGAACACCAAAGTTTTCTCCAAAAATCATTTCACTTTTCACTAAACTAATGGTGTAATAAGCAATCTCTCTTTTTTGTTTTTTGTTTTTTTTGTTTGTTTTGGTTTGGTTTTTTTGAGACAGAGTCTCGCTCTGTCTCCCAGGCTAGAGTGCAGTGGCGTGATCTTGGTTCACTGCAGCCTCCACCTCCTGGCTTTAAGCAATTCTCTTGCCTCAGCCTCCCGAGTAGCCGGCACTTACAGGCGTGCGCCACCACGCCCAACTAATTTTTGTATTTTTAGTAGAAATGGGGTTTCACCATGTTGGCCAGGCTGGTCTCGAACTCCTGACTCAAGTGATCTGTCTGCCTCGGCTTCCCAAAGTGCTGGAATTACAGGCATGAGCCACCGCACCTGGCCAATCTCTCTTTTTTTTTCTTTCTCATTTGTTTTTCATTTTCTTTTTCAGAATTGAGCCCCTGAGTCCTGAGTTGGTGGCAGCTGCATCTGCTGTGGCAGATTCTCTCCCTTTTGATAAGCAAACAACCAAGTCAGAGCTGCTGAGCCAGCTCCAGCAGCATGAGGAAGAGTCAAGGGCACAGAGAGATGCAAAGCGACCTAAAATTAGGTGAGTGAATCAAACCCTTAAGTCAGTAATGTTTATATCTCAAAATGGGCCATTTTCATATGGCTAGTGAGTAATACACATAATATATACCACGTAAGTGGAATTTGTATATAAAATATACCACATAATTTTAGCAATTCAACTTTTTAAAAAACTTATGTCTTAAGTATGATTATAGTTTTTAAAAAAACAATTGAATAAAGTTTCCTTTTAGGAAGTTACAGTTTCTTGTCCATGAAAAAATAAATGGTAAATTCAATAATGTTATTAAAAATAAATAACAGAATAAAGTAGCTTCTCTGAGAAAAGTAATTTTTTTCAGTTAAATACCTTGCTGGTTTTATGCACAGGATGATAATCTTCAGGTCTGTTGCCTTCTCTTTTTCCTCTTCTGTATTTCATCTGACATCATTCCACTTACTCTCTTCATCTCTCATTATTTTATACCATGTTATACTACTTGCTGCCTATGTTATATTAAGTAGTAAGTATAGTAAGCAGTAACACTGCCTCATTTTGGAGAGTGATCTAAATCAGTTGTTCTCAATGAACGTGTATACCAGATTTATTTCAAGAAATTAAAAGAAATGGCCATGTGTGCTGGCTCATGCCCATGATCCCAGCACTTTGGGAGGCTAAGACAAGAGGAACACTTGAGGCCAGGAATTTGAGACCAGCCTGGGCAGAAAAGCAAGACCCCATCTCTACAAAACATAAAAAAAGTAGCTGAGCATGGTGGCGTGTGCCTGAAGTCTAGCTACTTTGGATGCTGAGGCAGGAGGATCACTTTTTTTTTTTTTTTTTTGAGACGGAGTCTCGCTCTGTCGCCCAGGTTGGAGTGCAGTGGCGCGATCTCGGCTCACTGCAGGCTCCGCCTCCCCGGTTCACGCCATTCTCCTGCCTCAGCCTCCCGAGTAGCTGGGACTACAGGTGCCCGCCACCATGCCCGGCTAATTTTTTTGTATTTTTAGTAGAGACAGTGTTTCACTGTGTTAGCCAGGATGGTCTGGATCTCCTGACCTTGTGATCTGCCCACCACAGCCTCCCAAAGTGCTGGGATTACAGGCGTGAGCCACTGCACCCGGCCTTGGGAGGATCACTTAAGTCCAGGGTTTGAAGTTGCATTGAGCTGTGATCTCACAACAGCACTCCAGCCTGGGCAATAGTGTGAGACAAGAAACTGTAATTAAAAAAAAAAAAAAAAAGCCAGGCGCACTGGCTCACGCCTGTAATCCCAGCACTGTGAGAGGCTGAGGCAAGCGGATCACCACGTCAGGAGATCAAGACCATCCTGGCTAACACAGTGAAACCCTGTCTCTACTAAAAACACAAAAAATTAGCCTGGCATGGTGGCACACGCCTGTAGTCTCAGCTACTCGGAAGGCTGAGGCAGGAGAATTGCTTGAACCCGGGAGGCAGAGGTTGCAGTGAGCCGAGATTGCGCCACTGCACTCCAACCTGGGCAACAGAGTGAAACTCCATCTCAAAAAAAAAAAAAAAAAAAAAAGGAAGACATAGATATCTGGACTGTCAGTTCAGTGACTCATTTTATTTGTATTTGAACAAATAAAAAGCAACAAATAAATATGGCTAACTCTTGGTTTTAATTTAGTTATTGGATGTAGGTGATAGGTATAACAGATACTGATTTTACTTTCCTATCATTTTCTCTGAATAATTTTTCATGAGACACTTACGTTTTAAATGAAGATTTCTGAAGTACATCTTTAAAAGATGAAAGTAAACATAAATTGTAATGTTCTGTGTTATGTGAATGTTAATAGGCGACATTTTTTATTTAAACATTTTATGCTGTGTAATTAGTGCATAAAAATGAAATAAGAATTAAATGATCTCAAGTCTCCTGTTAAAGGAAGTTTATTACTGTTCTGTAGCTAAGATTTCTAATACACTTGACCTTTTTATTATTTCAGTTTCAGTAACATAATATCAGATATGAAAGTTGCCAGATCTGCTACAGCTAGAGTTCGTTCAAGACCAGAGCTTCGGATTCAGTTTGATGAAGGCTATGACAATTATCCTGGCCAGGAGAAGACGGATGATCTTAAAAAAAGGTATCAGGCTTTGTAATCTGCTGGGTTTTGTTTGTGTAGTTTGTTTTTACCTTAACTGTAGATTTACCTTATTGTGTGTGTGTGTATTATTGCTGTTGGATATCTGAACATTATGAATACATTTACATCTGTGTTCTTACTCTCTGTATACCACTTCCTAGAGAGGGAACCATGTGCTGGATTTAGCCAGTCCTGTAGTTTTCCATACCTGAAATCAAAACGGGCCATGCTTCACATCTACCCACGATGAATAGGGGTCCTTTCATTTAGAGTAAGCGGAGCTGACTGAATTCTGAGCAAATAAGTATTTTGTGAGAAACATTATTTTTCATTTTAAAAATAAGTGTCTAATACTGTGTATTCATATAGCCTTTATATCTCAATACGTGCTTATCTGTTGGTATACCTTAGAGAAATAACCCACCATCAATGAGAAGAAGGAAAGGCAGGAGGAAAAAAGTTTATATAACACTTTAAAATGGTAGATTATTTGTGGCCATTTGAATTTACTGATTTGAAGTTCTTAAAGATGCTGAGCCATGCCTTACATAGTTATTTTAGAATCTAAAGTTGTTCTGTATTTGCATAACGTTTCTGTTCTTTTTCTTCTTTAAACCCTGAAAGTGATAGATGGGAAGGAGGAACCAGATATTTGGCATGGTCTGACAAAAATTAACTTGTCTTTGTAGCAGGATATGCTCACAACTGGAGTGTTTTCAATGCATTGTATATTCCATGGATTTGTTTTAAGTAAAATCAGAAACTTGAGTTAACTCTTTCTGGGTGTTAAATTAATGATTTATACAGGAAAGTTGGAAAAGGTGGTCAGCAGTTAACACCGGAAGTTCAAGAGGTTATGGTGACTTTGGAAGATTATTTGAATTACTAATTTAAAGTGATTTAGCATCTGTTACATATTATTGAATAAAGGAGAAGGTGTACTTGGAGTTTTACTTAAGAATATTTAACTGAATCAGTTAATCCTCGAGAATATTTAACTGAATCATTCATCTTGGACATGATTCTGTGCAACTACATTAGGATGGTATATTATAATTTGATTTTTAATATTAGATTTGATATTTAATATTTAAAAAATTAGAAGCAAGTAGGAAAGGGTTTTCTGTGCTTTCAATGTGTTAAAAAGCCAGCCAGAGGTGAGTAAGGGGAAGCAATGGTGAGACGCCAAGTTTTTCACCCTGCTATGACTGGGGCAGGATCTGGGATATCAACCCCAGACAACCCAGGCCTGGATTGATTTTTTCTGTTGGAGATTGACAGTTCACACTGGCCTGCCTCAGAATGTTGGCACTGCCACTGACTAATTCTGTGACTGGGGCACCTTTTATAGCCTCCATCAGGCTGTTTCCCCAGCTATAAAATGCTGAAAGTGAAACCTAGCTTAAATGGCTTTCTTAAGGAATAGAAAAGAAACACGTGTAAACTATCTGGTACATAGTAGGTGCTCAGCAAATGTCCATTCCCTCTCTTTGTAGTACGTTCCTCTTTTGAAATTCAATACTTTATCAAGGCATTTGCCCTCTGCTGTGACTTGCTTTAATCCACCATCCTGTTTATCAGACGTGCGGTTGAGGGAGAAGAATGCAAGGCACTGAAGAGAGTTATGGAGCGTAAAAGCCTTTGTTTACAAATAACTTGGAACCTGTTAGAGGGAAGATTATATGATTTGAGATCACATTATTTAACGTTCATATGGTATTTGCATTTTTCCAGTTATTTCTATTTAGTAGAGAGAAGTAATTTAGTTTATAAAAAAACAAGAATTCAAAATTATTTTTAAAACTAACCCTCCAGTTTATTATTTTTTATTTTTCTTCGAGACGGAGTCTCGCTCTTATCGCCCAGCCTGGAGTGTAGTGGCACAATGTCGGCTCACTGCAACTTCTGCTTCCTGGGTTCAAGGGATTCTCCTGCCTTAGCCTCTCAAGTAGCAGAGATTACAGGCACCTGCCATCACACCTGGCTAATTTTTTTTGTGTGTTTTTAGTAGAGACGGGGTTTCACCATGTTGGCCAGGCTGGTCTCAAACTCCTGACCTCAGGTAATCTACCTGCCTTGGCCTCCCAAAGTGCTGGGATTACAGGCGTGAGCCACCTCGCCTGGCCAGCCATCCAGTTTATAAACTGGATTTTAATCTGCCAGTAAATGTATTCAAGTAAATATGTGAATTGATGCATAAAGCAGTTGATTATCAAGTGTGTAAGAAAATGTTACCTATTAACTCTCTGATATTAATTTCAATAGTTAATTAAAAATAGTCACGTAAAGAAAGTTAATAATTATTTTAAAATACAGAATGATTGCCTTATGAAAGGGAATGTTGTGATTTACCAATGCAATCTTTTATAATTATAATTTGTAATTAAACATTGCAGTGTTTTCTGCCCTTAAAGACAAATGTTGAGTTTAACAGCTTCTATTTTGGCATGGTTATAGTTTTTCACAACATGGAGTTTTTAAAACCTTAATATAAACGTGAAAAAATAAAAATTATGGCAAATTAAGCTAATCTTTTCAATTAGGTATTTTGGAAATTGCTGTAATTGATTTGTTGTATTATGAAGCAAAACTTCAAGTGCACATTTCTGTTTTTTGTTTATCAGTCCTAAAAATGTGGCAATTTAGCTAATATTTTTGATGTGGGTCAGTGGAATTTTTAATTTCTACATAGAATATTTCACTTAAGATATTTTCTCATAGTTTTTGTTGACAGTTTAAAATATATTCATTAAAATGTTATTTTCTTTTTTTGGACTTAGGAAAAATATATTCACAGGGAAAAGACTTAATATTTTTGACATGATGGCAGTTACTAAAGAAGCACCTGAAACAGGTTTGTTAAGAATAACACTCTTTCTCAGGTGGAGAAACATTCCATCGTTCCAGGATGTCCTTAGTGTTCTAATAGTTTGGATATTTTAATATTCCATTCTGTCATTGGCCTGGATCCTGCTTATGAATGTGGCGGTTGTTACAAGGAAAACTTGGGACTGTAATGTCCGCCTAAACTGGGAAGGCGTCAAGAGACCAAAGAATAATTTGGGCAAGTCCAGCTTGATGAATAGATGAGTTTACTAGAACTTACATTACATACTGGACATTCCTGAGCAGCTCTAGAGTCACCCTGCCTCCCATCTCTAAGCAGCCTTTCAGCTAATGTTTTGTTTGCCTACTCTGTGTGCGCGATGACTGTTACCTGATATGTTCCCAGGTATGCCCTGGGATGTTTGGGTTCTCAGGGACACCTGCTCCTCAGCTAGGCACCATGGCCTTGGCTCCCTGCTCAGCCTTCAGGATCCAAGCAACACACATACACTCTTAAGTAACCTGGTGGGGGTTACTACAGTTGTCAACATTGCTAGTTTCGGTCAGGCTTCCCCCTTGAAATGTTGCATTCTGTGAGACAGCGGGAGGTAAGTACTACCGATTACCGAATCCAGAGGTCCAGATTAGCTACTAATTTGAGTTAGAACAATAATAATCAACTACCATTTACAGTGTATCTCTATGCTATTACATAAAGATATACTGGTTCCTGCCCTTAGGCAGCTTAGAAGAGGAGACAGCATTTACAAAATAACTTACTGAAGTGACTTAGTGATTGTTTAGGAGATGGGAAGAACATTCAAGGAATATATTTAACAGACTTGTAGTGTTTTCTTTGGGTAAGAAATTTGCCATTTTAAGTCTAAAAGAGAAATAAGAGTGTCCTCTTGCTTGACATTAAATTTAGTTTACTAGTAAAATAAATGAAGAAACTTAATACAAATGGTCTCTAGTGTATAAGTGATGAGCATTTCTAAAGAAAATAAGTTAGTTTTTTGGATATTGGTAGAAACAATGTTGTATGTGGACTTGGGAGGCTGAGACAACATGATGGCTTGCGACTAGGAGTTCAAGACCAGCCTGGGCAACATAGCCCCTTTCTCTAAAAAATAGAAAAAAATTATCCAGGCATGGTGGTGCATGCCTGTAATCCTAGTGACTTGGGAAGTTGAAGTGGCAGGATCACTGGAGCCCAGAATTTGAGGCTGCTGTGAGCTATGATTGTGCTATAACACTCCATCCTAAGAATCAAAGTGAGACTCCATCTCGAAGGGGAAAAAAAAAAAGAATGTTGTATATGATAGATAAGTTCCTAGGCGGGCCTCCAAAGGCTCATTTAATCTTTCTACAGTTACTTATACGAACTTTTGATTTTCCCTCTATTTAATAGACTATTAGGGGCTATATCTCATTCATGTAGCACCTACTCATGTGGCTTACAGATCATAGGAACTAGGTGTCTTAAATCTTAAATTCTTTTTTGAACAAACTGTACTGTAAAATATATATCTGTAGAGGAAAGAAGTTAATTCAGTGTTTGTTCATTTGAATTGAAGGTGAAGCTAAAAGAACAACCCCCTTCTTATATTACAAAAACTGCATTCTCTTGTGTATGATGAGAAGGAAGTGCAAAATGCGTAGGGACAAGGAATCGCCTCTTCCCTGCTCAAATGGTTAAGCGTGCATCAGAAAGGAATTTCTTGGCCGGGCACGGTGGCTCATGCCTGTAATCCCAGCACTTTCGGAGGCTGAGGTGGGTGGATCACTTGAGGTCAGGAGTTTGAGACCAGCCTGGCCAACATGGTGAAACCCTGTCTCTACCAAAAATACAAAAATTAGCTGGGCATGGTGGCGGGTGCCTGTAATCCCAGCTACTCGGAAGGTTGAGGCAGGAGAATCACTTGCACCCAGGAGGCGGAGGTTGCAGTGAGCCAAGATTGTACCATTACACTCCAGCCTAAGTGACGAGCAAAACTGTCTCAAAAAAAAAAAGAAAGAAAGAAATTGGTTGTCAGGGCAGCTGCTGTTGTCCAGCCAAAAGAGGCACTTGAAGATTCTTGAGAGTCTTGAAGGAACCATCTTACTTTTTAAAATAAAAAAATCTTATTTCTAAAACTGAAGTTAGTTGGCAAGGAAGCATTGAAGTTTTATATATTTTATAAAACAGTATCAAATTATTATACTCTAGTTAGGAAAATAGCACACAACTTTAATAATTTAATGAAGGTACTGTTTAAATATGCTATACTTGCATGAGTCTAAAGAATGGTTTTTGTTCCCAATTAAATACAAGAATAGCAAAATGTGGAAACGTAAATTTAGCAATTGTTCACTGTTGTTTTCCCACCACCTGAAATAATGCTGGAAATACAGTTGGCATTCAGTAATTTTTTTATTGACTGATTGAATGAGTTATTCTGTTCCATGATTCCCATGTCTTGTTCCCCACTAAGTTCTTACCACTGCTACAAAGGATATACTCATAGGCCCTACTGGTTATCCTAGAGTCGACAGGCAGTATAGCTTAACAGAAAGAGTGTTGGTGTTGTGTAGAACTGGATTCAAATTCAGATTCTGCCACACTAACTTTTCCCCACCTATAAAATGAGGGCTACTACATACATCTCAAAGATTAAGTGAGGTAATATGAGAAAAGTGTCAGGCACAGTGCCTGGAACATAGTACATATTTAACAAATGCTTACAAATATTAGCAAGTGTAAAAATATAGTGATGATCCTAATGATGATGGAAAAGACATAGGTGGGTCAGTGACCACCAAGTAAAAGATAACTGAGACAATTAAGTTATTTTTGATGTGATTGCTCTGTAAATGTGGCTAGTTAAGGCTAACAACTGATTGTTTCCCAGTATCAGATGATCTAGGCCAAATATCTAGCAGTCAGTGTGTGGCTAGATACATTTCTGCACATAAAGGCTCATAGAAATAGATTCAGAAAAAGCAAAATAGATAAAATAAGGCTTACCCAGGTAGAAGAGTAATTGAGCTATTTGTTGATATGCTTTAGTGGGGGCTTGGCAAAAGTGGGTAAAGAGGTAAGCTGGAGGATAGGTCATATGCAATCTATGCCTCTAACCCGGAAACTGTTCCTAGGAATTTGTTCTAAGGAAATATTACAGATACGCGCTAAAGTGTAACTACAAGGATATTTGTCACTATAGTATTTAAAAGAGAAAATATATAAATGATCAAAATATTGAATAGTAAGGGATTGTGATACATATATATGTAATATATATATATATATATATATATATATATAAAATGGGATACTAATGCAAGCATTCAGTGAAAAAAGTAGATTACCAAACTATACGATCCTCATTTATTTTAAAAAGTGATATCACCCAGAAAAAAATAAGAAAGATAAAAGATGTTGGTAAAATAACTAAAGAATAAAAATATAGGGGAAAAGGTAGCCAAGGGATAGATATTGATATTCATTTTCTTTTTACAACTTTATTAAGTTGTAATTTGTGTGCAACAGATTGCATATATTTGAAGTATATAACTTGACTAATTTTGACAAATATATACACCCATGAAACTACCAGTTATAATTTTAAACATTTTCATGACCCTCCAAAGTTTCCTTGTGTCCTTTTGCAATACACGCAAACACACACACCCCACACACAGTATGTAGGCAACCATTGATCTGCCTTCTGTTACAATAGGTTAGTTTGCATCTTTTAGAACTGTACATAACTGAAATCACATAGTATATACTCCTTTGCATCTGGCTTCTTTGACTCAGCATAATGATTTGAGATTCATCCATATGCTGTTACATGTACTAGTAACGCATTTTTATTACTGAGTAGTATACAATTGCATGGCTGTATCACATTTTTGTACCTATTCACCTGTTAGTGGACATTTGGGTTGTTTCCCAAATTACAACCCACATTTGGCTATTACAAAGAAAGCTGCCATTAACTTTTGTGTACAAGTCTTTGTATGGACATGTATTATCTCTTGGGTGAATATATCCAGGGATGAAACGACTATGTTGAATAATAGATATATTTTAACTTTTTAAGAAGCTATCAAACTGTTTTCCAAGGTGGTTGTACCATTTTATGTTCCCAGCAGCAGTAACTGGTGAGAATATGGCTCATTTTCAAAAGATGATCTGAAGTTTCAAAAGTAAATAAGTTATTGAAACATGTAATTTGATAGTGGTAATTAGCCAACATGATAATACGTTACTCATAGGGTTTGTTGTGAGGATTACATGCACTAATGCATAAAATGCATTTAAGCGCAGAGGAAGTACTCAGTATTCATTAGCAGTTTTATTGTTATTCTGTTAATTTAACTTCTTTGGTTGTTAACAGTAGTACATTTGTGACTAATTTCGATAGACTAAAAATAAAGATAAACAGGCTAGACTTTAAAAATGAAAGTCACATATTCTACAAAAAACATTCACATTCATAAAAATACCCTTAAACAAAATACAAATTTATTTTTTTCTTTCCAGTAGAGGGGGCAGTGATTACCTGGCATTGTTGCAAAACAAAAGTTAAGCTTGCCATTATTGTAGTTACAATTTTTAATATAATTTTTGCAGTTATCTCTCAGTAACTTTTTATTATATACTATTTAATTATGAATGTCAGGGTCTGAAAAATACATGGTCAATTCAGGATTGGTTGTAACTTTTAAAAAAAGATACTTACATTGACTTGTTGTTATCTAAAATGTCTTTATTATGTAGACACATCACCTTCACTTTGGGATGTGGAATTTGCTAAGCAGTTAGCCACAGTAAATGAACAACCCCTTCAGAATGGATTTGAAGAGCTGATCCAGTGGACAAAAGAGGGGAAACTATGGGAGTTCCCAATTAACAATGAAGCAGGTAAGTGTTAATTTCAGGGGATTATAAAACGTATTGATTGAGATTATTTCTGCCAGATATTTACTTTTAGAGTATAGATACTTACATGAATTTCAAAACCTTTTGTGGATATCTTCATGGTGTCCTAAAATAAATCTGACAAGGTTTTTTAAAAAAGATGTTGGAATTTCACTTATTTTTAGATATTCGATAAGGAAAAATGAAGAAGTAAAACTATATGGCAAAAATCCATCATGAATTTCTATGACGTAAAAGGACTGAGAACTGCAAATGATACCAGTTTTCTAATCGCTAAACAGGATATTACTTGGTGAATCTTCAATAAATTAAATAAGGTGTATAAGATTATACTTAAATTTTGGAGAACATTACAACTCTTAAAAGTCTCACGCTGGTGTCCTTTAGTCATAAAACCATTGCATTAATGAGGTGCAAGGAACTTGTATGAGCCAGTGAAAGTAAAAACAGTATGCTTTGGAAATCTTTGCCTGCATAATATAGGTGCTTTGAACTGGCAACAGAATATCATCTACTTTACTGGATATTTTTTGGAGATGTTACCTCTTCCTAAATCAGAAGAAAAACAGTATTACTATGCTATTTATTTTTTATGATACCCATGTTGTCATCAGCTAAACATTTTAATTGAATTTATAGATGTATTTTGAATTAGAAAAGATTTATGGCTGGGTGCGGCTCACGCCTGTTATCCCAACACTTTGGGAGGCTGAGGCGGGCGGATCGCCTGAGTTCAGGAGTTCGAGACCAGCCTGACCAACATGGTGAAACACCGTCTCTACTAAAAATACAAAATTAGCCAGGCATAATGGTGCATGCCTGTAATCCCAGCTATTCAGGAGGTTGAGGCAGGAGAATCGTTTGAACCCGGGAGGCAGAAGTTGCAGTGAGCCGAGATCACGCTATTGCACTCCAGCCTGGGCAACAAGAGTGAAACTCCATTTCAAAAAACAAACAAACAAACAAAAAAAGATTCATTTACTTTTAGGGTAAGATTAGCTAGAAGTTGGAAAAGCCTAAATAAGTCTTAGGAAAATGTAGTCTGTATTTTAACCTTCATAATGTTATGGTATCATTGTAATATCTTAATTTTTGATAATCTTTTATTTGTTGGATTAATAGTTGGAATGGAAGCTTAAGTATCAGAAATATTTAGTCTTATATGTAAATAATATAATTAACATAAAGTGTTACTTTTTATAGGAAAACTTCAGAGACTTAGAGATTCTTTTAGCAAATTCTTAATATTTTGTATATTCGTATTGTTTTTGTTTTTTGAGATGGAGCCTCGCTGTGTCATCCAGGCTGGAGTGCAGTGGTGCTATCTTGGCTCACTGCAACCTCCTCCTCCCGGGTTCAAGCAATTCTCATGCCTCAGCCTCCCGAGCTAATTTTTGTATTTTTAGTAGAGATGGGGTTTTGCAGTGTTGGCCAGGCTGGTCTCAAACTCCAGACCTCGGGTGATCCACCCGCCTTGGCCTCCCAAAGTGCTGGGATTACAGGCTTGAGCCACCGCACCTGGCCTGTATATTCATATAGTACCTGCAATAATATAGCATACTGTGTTTCATGTATTACATAAACTGTATATTGCTTAAAGTATGGTTTCTGTGTTCTGGAAGGTATCAGGGTAACGTAAAAAGACCAACGCCTTTTTAGTCGTACAAACCTGAGTAGCAGCCCTGTCCATTTTAGCCATTTGCCTTTGAGGAAATTATTTAAGCTCCTGGGTATCAGTATCCTCTCTGTAAAATAATATCTGATATTAAGGAAAGATTTGGTTTACTCTGAAAACATGTTTGGATTTCATTATTTGAAGAAACTTGGGTGTTCCAAATCCTCATGGTTAAAAACCTGATTTAAAAACCCAGTATTAGGCCGGGCACAGTGGCTCATGCCTGTAATCCTAGCTACTTTGGAGGCTGAGGCAGGAGAATCACTTGAACCCAGGAGGTAGAGGTTGCAGTGAGCCAAGATCGTGCCACAGCACTCCAGCCTGGGTGACAGAGCGAAACTGTGCCTCAAAAAAAAAGAAAGAAAGAAAGAAAAAAAAACAGTATTGAGGTATAATAATGTGACTTTATTCAGGAGAGTCGGTGAAGCATAGTGGTTTTAGAAGTTCCAGATCCTGAGTAAGTTACAGACTTGATCTCTCCAAGCCTTACTTCCTTCATCTCTAAAATGTTGGGAATAATAATAGGACTCATTATACAAGATTGGTGTGAGAATTAAGTGAGGTTAAACAAGTAAAGCATCATCACCATCACCATCCCTGTTTCTACAGCAACAACATTGTGAAGGGGTTTGCTTCTGTAACTGTTTTCCATTGTATACTGTAACATTTTATTTTTCAAAATTTTACTTTATACTGGAACATTTTAAATCTTAAAATATTAGCAAGGATAGTATGTATTATCTGGGAACCACCAAATAGGGTGTTAGGAAAGCACGAACTCATGGTATGTTGTCATCAGCAGTCAAACACTTAAGTGCATCAAAATCTTGAGTGATCAAATTCCAACGGAATTTATCTTAAATTTGACCTGGTTTCTGAGAAAATTTAATTTCTAAAAAAGGAGAGAAACATGTTTTTTTGGTCAGGTTGGGGAGATAAATGTGACAGCTATCCACATGACACTGCATATTATTGATATTTCAGAGTTGGAAAAGAGGTGATCAGTAACTCATTTTCAGCTCCTTAAGGCAGTTGTTACCTGAAGTAAAAACAGGAAAGGACTATGGAAACTCTTACTTTGATCGCTGCCCTGGGTACACATTTAGAAACTTGTACTTTGAGAAACTGGCATTGTAACCTGAAGCCTCAACAATTCAATAACTTTCTTTTATATTTCTTATACTTAAATGTTGAAATGAATGAAATACCTTTCTTTCCCTACTAATAATTAGCTTTATGAAGATTTATTTGGATTCTTTTGGGGAAAGATGTTTTGTTTTGTTTTTAGTAGTATTGGAACATAATATTGAAAATGACAAAGTGACATATCGTGTTTACAATTTAGTTCGCAGTATGGTGTTTTTCCATTATATAAAAAATTAAGGTTTGTTGTTTTGCCACTTAATGCATATAAATTATTTTTCCAATTGAGAATAGCTTTTTTTCTGTTTCCGTTTCAAGGACTTGTTAGTCCCTTCCCTTGTGCTTTGCCTGCATGGAGATTTACAAGCGCTATTAGGTGGAATTGTTCTCACTTAGACTTGGCACTAGTTTTATATGTTGGATTGTTAATGATACATTTTTATTTTAGCCTCTACTTTGATTTTAACTAAATTTAATCACATTTATGCCTACCCAGTAACAGAGTGTTTCTAAGGTTGGTTTTTATGGGGGTGGAGGATTTGTTGGGGGGTTGGCTTCTTTAATACAACATAAAAACATGATCCGTGAAAGAAGAAAGTGGTAATTTGAACTATATTAAAAATAAGACATTTGCACTGTGAAAGACACTGTTAAAATATAAAAAGACAAGCCACAGTGTAGGAGAAAATATTTGCAAAACATCTATCTGTGATAAAAGACAGGTATACAAAATACATATTAAAAATTCTTGGCTGGGCGTGGTGGCTCACACCTGTAATCCCAGAACTTTGGGAGACTGAGGCAGGTATATCACCTGAGGTCACGAGTTCAAGACCAGCCTGGCCAACATGGTGAAACCCCATCTCTACTAAAAATACAAAATTAGCCGGGCTTGGTGGCACATGCCTGTAATCCCAGCTACTCGGGAGGCTGAGGCAGGAGAATGGCTTGAAGCTGGGAGGCAGAGGTTGTGGTGAGCCGAGATTGTGCCATTGTACTCCAGCCTGGGCAACAAGAGTGAAACTCCGTCTCAAAATAAATAAAATAAGATAAAGTAAAATAAAATAAAATGCAAAATATGGCCGGGCGCAGTGGCTCATGCCTATAATCCCAGCACTTTAGGAGGCCGAGGTGGGTGGATCAGTTGAGGTTAGGAGTTTGAGACCAGACTGGTCAACATGATGAAACCCCAACTCCTCTAAAAATACAAAAATTAGCCAGGCTTGGTGGTGCATGCCTGTAATTCCAGCTACTCAGGAGGCTGAGGCATGAGAATCTCTTGAACTCAGGACAGGGAGGTTGCAGTGAGCTGAGATCTCGCCACTGCACTCCAGTCTAGGTGACAGAGCAAGACTCCATCTCAAAAATAAATAAATAAAAATAAAATGGGCTGGGTGCAGTGGCTCATGCCTGTAATCCCAGCACTTTGGGAGGCCGAGGTGGGCGGATCACCTCAGGTAAAGAGTTTGAGACCAGCCTGGCCAACATGGCGAAACCCCGCCTCTACTAAAAATGCAAAAATTAGCCAGGTGTGATGGCGGGGCCTGTAATCCCAGCTACTCAGGAGGCTGAGGCACACGAATTGCTTGAACCTGAGAGGTGGAGTGTATAATGTCTTTGCTATTGTGAATAGTGCTGCAGTGAACATACATTGCTTGAACCTGGGAGGCAGAGGTCGCGCCACTGCACTCCAGCCTGGGCTACAGAGCGCGACTCTATCTCAAAAATAAATAAATAATAAAAAGAAAATGGCAAAATATCTGTTCAGATACCTTACCAAAGAACATATAAGGATGGTATATGAAAACATCATATGTTGTTAGGGAATTGGAAATTATTTTTTTCAAATAGCTAAATGTTTACTTTTTAATTTATGTCTCCTTTTTAAAACTCTCATTTATTTGTGTCTCTAATTTGTGTTTTCTTCCTATTTTTTTATTTCCAACTTTAATTTTAGGTTCAGGGGTACATGTGCAAGTTTGTTACATGGGTAAGTGGAGTGTCAGGGAGTTTGGTGTACAGATAATTTTGTCACCCAGGTAATCAGCGTAATACCTGATAGGTGGTTTCCCAATCTTCATTCTCCTCCCACCCTCCACCCTCAAATAGGCCCCAGTGTCTGTCATTCCCTTCTTTGTGTCTATATGTACTCAGTGTTTAGCTTCCACTTATAAGTGAGGACATGCAGTATTTGGTTTTCTGTTTCTGCATTAATTCACTTAGGATAATGGCCCCCAGCTCCATCTATGTTGCAGCAAAGGCCATGACCTCATGATTTTTATAGCTGCATAGTATCCCATGGTGTGTATGTACCCCATTTTCTTTATCCAGTCCACCATTCATGTGCACCTAGGTTGATTCCATGTCTTTGCTATTGTGAATAGTGCTGCAATGAACATACATATGCATGTATCTTTATGGTAGAATAATGTATATTCCTTTGGGCATATACCCAGTAATTGGATTGCTAAGTTGAATGGTAGTTCTGTTTTAAGTTATTTGAGAAATCTCCAGACTGCTTTCCACAGTGGCTAAACTAATTTACATTCCCACCAACAGTTTATAAGCATTCCCTTTCCTCTGCAACCTTAGGAGCATCTGTTGTTTTCAGCATTTTAATAGTAGCTATTCAGACTGGTGTGAGATGGTATCTCATTGTGGTTTTGATTTGCATTGCCCGGATGATCCGTGATAATGAGCATTTTTCATATGTTTGCTGGCCATGTGTATGTCTTCTTTTGAGAAGTGTCTGTTCATCTCCTTTGCCCACCTTTTAATAGGGTTGATTGTTTTTTGCTTCTTCAATTGTTTGAGTTCCTTATAGATTCTGGATATTAGACCTTTATTGGATACATAGTTTGCAGATATTTTCTGTCATTCTGTAGGTTTTCTGTTTATTGAAATTTCTTTTTGCTGTGCAGAAGCTCTTTAATGAGGTCCCACTTCTCAATTTTTGTTTGTGTTACAGTTGCTTTTTTTTTTTTTGAGACAGAGTTTTCGCTCTTGTTGCCCAGGCTGGAGTGCATTGGCGTGATCTCAGCTCACTGTAACCTCTGCTTCTTGGGTTCAAGTGATTCTCCTGCCTCAGCCTTCCAGTTAGTTGGAATGACAGGCGCCTGCCACCATGCCCAGCTAATTCTTTTTGTATTTTTAGAAGAGGCAGGGTTTTACCATGTTGGCCAGGCTGGTCTTGAACTCCTGACCTCAGGTGATCTGCCTGCCTCAGCTTCCCAAAGTGCTGTGATTACAGGGGTGAGTCACTGCGCCTTGCCTACAGTTGCTTTTTGACTTTGTCGTGAAGTCCTTGCCTGGGCTGTTGTCTAGGATGGTATTTCCTAGATCTTCTTGTAGGGTTTTTATAGTTTGAGATTTCACATTTAAGCCTTTAATCCACCTTGAGTTGATTTTTGTACATGGTCAAAGGTAGGGGTCCAGTTTCAGTCTTCTGCATGTGGCTAGTCTAAGGCTAATTTTTGATATGCTTTCCTAGAGTAATTCTCAATTTAGAGGCTTCAGTGGGCAAAGAAGGTCAGGATGAATGTTAATCACACTTTTGTTTCTATTCTTTAGTTGGTTTAAACTTTTTCACTTCTTATGTGTCCTCTAGGGTATCTGAAATATGTGCTGTAATATGATCCAACAAGAACAGTGAGAAAAGTTCAAATTACCATAAAACCCTAAAGAAGGGCTCTGTTATTTGGGCAAGTATAGTGTGGAGAAAATTAGGGGAAGCGTAAAGAGTATTAGGTATGTGCTAACTGACAGGTAGCAGGATCTGTTTGTTGTTTTTGATGAGATTATGGCCTGTGAACAGGAGCCTTAAAGTACTGACAGGAAAATAAATAATAGTTTTGATAATACATAGAAGTGGAAACAGCAATTCAAAGTGAAAATGACTGAGTTTGGTTCAGTGCTCTACTATGGCCTTCTCAAAAATAATTGGTCATTGCTATTAACTGGATTTCACCCTTTATTTGTTGTACCATATTTTAAAAGTGTATTCAATACTTAAAGCAGAATTAGACACAATTAACCTGTCACCTTATTTGATTGTGCATCATATAGGATTTCCTCCTTATGTTTAATGTTTCACTGTCTCTTATGTTTTCTTTACTGTATTGTGCTTCTTTGGTTTATTAAAAATATTTTAAATTACATAAATAATAATGAAAGTTTATTTGCAAAAGAGTCAAATCGTGTGAAAGAATACTGTACTTTACCCCTCAGTTCTCTTCTTTTTTTCCTGAAATAACCATCGTCAATAGTTTGATATATGTCCTCTCACTCGACATTAAATGGCAGTTACAGATTTATCTGCTGTTTTATTTGACTTGTATGGGAGCATACCATACATATATTGTCCTGCAGTGTGTGTGTGTGTGTGTGTGTGTGTGTGTGTGTGTGTGTGTGTGTATTTTGTTACTTAGCAATATATCTTGAAAGCATTTCCTTGTCAGTACATAGAGATAGACCTTATTCATTTTATAGTTCTATATGTCCCATTGTTATGAATGCAGACTATAATTTCTTTTACCATTTTCCTTTTGAATGATGGAGCTATAGTAGATCCTTTTACACATGTTCTTGTGTACATGTTTGAGTACAATTCAGAATAGGTATATTTTCAATGGCAATAAATACTTACAAAGTCTCTTCTGAAATGATAGCCAGTCAACCAACTATGTAAAAATTCTGTTTCTCTGCAGCCTAACTGATACTGGATATTGTTAACCTTTCAAATGTTCTGGGTAAAAAATGATATCAGTGGTGTTTTTATTTGCATTTCCCTGATTGATAACCAGATTACAAATCTTTTCATATGTTTATTGGCTATTTGTACTTCCTCTGTGACTTAGGTTTTTACATCCTTTGACTGTTTCTGTTGGGCTCTTTGTTAATAGTGTTTGTAGGAACTCAATATATTATGCACTTTCATTCTTAAACTCTTACATGTGTTGGAAATATGTTTCCCAGTTTGTCTCTTTGCCTTCTTTTAAAATAATTTGACTTTAAAAATCATAGTAAACATTTAGTTTAATATAAGTTTAATATAAAAGGTAATAATATAAAGCACAAGGCTTATAAAGCAGTTCTTTTTATCACCTATTAAGCCTGTTCTCAGAGCCAACAGTTTTTAATCTTTTAGCTGTGTTTTATTTTTTATATTTCTAAATTATATGCTTACCTCTATTTTAGATGTCATCTAGTATATATATCTTCTCCTCATCCTTCCAATGTAGATATATTACAATTTTTTGTAAGACATGAATTCATTGTTTACACTAATATGACTATGGACAATTGTGTGGGGTGTTGTTTTGTTATTTGGGGTTTTCTTTGTTGTTTTTTTTTTTAATTTTTTTTTATTATACTTTAAGTTTTAGGGTACATGTGCACATTGTGCAGGTTAGTTACATACGTATACATGTGCCATGCTGGTGTGCTGCACCCACTAACTCGTCATCTAGCATTAGGTATATCTCCCAGTGCTATCCCTCCCCCCTCCCCCCACCCCACCACAGTCCCCAGAGTGTGATGTTCCCCTTCCTGTGTCCATGTGATCTCACTGTTCAATTCCCACCTATGAGTGAGAATATGCGGTGTTTGGTTTTTTGTTCTTGCGATAGTTTACTGAGAATGATGATTTCCAATTTCATCCATGTCCCTACAAAGGACATGAACTCATCATTTTTTATGGCTGCATAGTATTCCATGGTGTATATGTGCCACATTTTCTTAATCCAGTCTATCATTGTTGGACATTTGGGTTGGTTCCAAGCCTTTGCTATTGTGAATAATGCCGCAATAAACATACGTGTGCATTTGTCTTTATAGCAGCATGATGTATAGTCCTTTGGGTATATACCCAGTAATGGGATGGCTGGGTCAAATGGTATTTCTAGTTCTAGATCCCTGAGGAATCGCCACACTGACTTCCACAATGGTTGAACTAGTTTACAGTCCCACCAACAGTGTAAAAGTGTTCCTATTTCTCCACATCCTCTCCAGCACCTGTTGTTTCCTGACTTTTTAATGATTGCCATTCTAACTGGTGTGAGATGGTATCTCATTGTGGTTTTGATTTGCATTTCTCTGATGGCCAGTGATGGTGAGCATTTTTTCATGTGTTTTTTGGCTGCATAAATGTCTTCTTTTGAGAAGTGTCTGTTCATGTCCTTCGCCCACTTTTTGATGGGGTTGTTTTTTTCTTGTAAATTTGCTTGAGTTCATTGTAGATTCTGGATATTAGCCCTTTGTCAGATGAGTAGGTTGCGAAAATTTTCTCCCATTTTGTAGGTTGCCTGTTCACTCTGATGGTAGTTTCTTTTGCTGTGCAGAAGCTCTTTAGTTTAATTAGATCCCATTTGTCAATTTTGTCTTTTGTTGCCATTGCTTTTGGTGTTTTAGTCATGAAGTCCTTGCCCATGCCTGTGTCCTGAATGGTAATGCCTAGGTTTTCTTCTAGGGTTTTTATGGTTTTAGGTCTAACGTTTAAGTCTTTAATCCATCTTGAATTGATTTTTGTATAAGGTGTAAGGAAGGGATCCAGTTTCAGCTTTCTACATATGGCTAGCCCGTTTTCCCAGCACCGTTTATTAAATAGGGAATCCTTTCCCCATTGCTTGTTTTTCTCAGGTTTGTCAAAGATCAGATAGTTGTAGATATACGGCGTTACTTCTGAGGGCTCTGTTCTGTTCCATTGATCTATGTCTCTGTTTTGGTACCAGTACCATGCTGTTTTGGTTACTGTAGCCTTGTAGTATAGTTTGAAGTCAGGTAGTGTGATGCCTCCAGCTTTGTTCTTTTGGCTTAGAATTGACTTGGCGATGTGGGCTCTTTTTTGGTTCCATATGAACTTTAAAGTATTTTTTTCCAATTCTGTGAAGAAAGTCATTGGTAGCTTGATGGGGATGGCATTGAATCTGTAAATTACCTTGGGCAGTATGGCCATTTTCACGATATTGATTCTTCCTATCTATAAGCATGGAATGTTCTTCCATTTGTTTATGTCCTCCTTTATTTCATTGAGCAGTGGTTTGTAGTTCTCCTTGAAGAGGTCCTTTACATCCCTTGTAAGTTGGATTCCTAGGTATTTTATTCTCTTTGAAGCAATTGTGAATGGGAGTTCACTCATGATTTGGCTCTCTGTTTGTCTGTTGTTGGTGTATAGGAATGCTTGTGATTTTTGCACATTGATTTTGTATCCTGAGACTTTACTGAAGTTGCTTATCAGCTTAAGGAGATATTGGGCTGAGACAATGGGGTTTTCTAGATATACAATCATGTCATCTGCAAACAGGGACAATTTGACTTCCTCTTTTCCTAATTGAATACCCTTTATTTCTTTCTACTGCCTAATTGTCCTGGCCAGAACTTGCAACACTATGTTGAATAGGAGTGGTGAGAGAGGGCATCCCTGTCTTGTGCCAGTTTTCAAAGGGAATGCTTCCAGTTTTTGCCCATTCAGTATGATATTGGCTGTGGGTTTGTCATAGATATCTCTTATTATTTTGAAATATGTCCCATCAATACCTAATTTATTGAGAGTTTTTAGCATGAAGGTTGTTGAATTTTGTCAAAGGCCTTTTCTGCATCTATTGAGATAATCATGTAGTTTTTGTCTTTGGCTCTGTTTATGTGCTGGATTACATTTATTGATTTGCGTATATTGAACCAGCCTTGCATCCCAGGGATGAAGCCCACTTGATCATGATGGATAAGCTTTTTGATGTGCTGCTGGATTCGGTTTGCCAGTATTTTATTGAGGATTTTTGCATCAATGTTCATCAAGGATATTGGTCTAAAATTCTCTTTTTTGGTTGTGTCTCTGCCTGGCTTTGGTATCAGAATGATGCTGGCCTCATAAAATGAGTTAGGGAGGATTCCCTCTTTTTCTATTGATTGGAATAATTTCAGAAGGAATGGTACCAGTTCCTCCTTGTACCTCTGGTAGAATTCAGCTGTGAATCCATCTGGTCCTGGACTCTTTTTGGTTGGTAAGCTATTGATCATTGCCACAATTTCAGATCCTGTTATTGGTCTATTCAGAGATTCAACTTCTTCCTGGTTTAGTCTTGGGAGAGTGTATGTGTCAAGGAATTTATCCATTTCTTCTAGATTTTCTAGTTTATTTGCGTAGAGGTGTTTGTAGTATTCTCTGATGGTAGTTTGTATTTCTGTGGGATTGGTGGTGATATCCCCTTTATCGTTTTTTATTGCATCTATTTGATTCTTCTCTCTTTTTTTCTTTATTAGTCTTGCTAGTGGTCTATCAATTTTGTTGATCCTTTCAAAAAACCAGCTCCTGGATTCATTAATTTTTTGAAGGGTTTTTTGTGTCTCTATTTCCTTCAGTTGTGCTCTGATTTTAGTTATTTCTTGCCTTCTGCTAGCTTTTGAATGTATTTGCTCTTGCTTTTCTAGTTCTTTTAATTGTGATGTTAGGGTGTCAATTTTGGATCTTTCCTGCTTTCTCTTGTGGGCATTTAGTGCTATAAATTTCCCTCTACACACTGCTTTGAATGTGTCCCAGAGATTCTGGTTTGTTGTGTCTTTGTTCTCGTTGGTTTCAAAGAACATCTTTATTTCTGCCTTCATTTCGTTATGTACCCAGTAGTCATTGAAGAGCAGGTTGTTCAGTTTCCATGTAGTTGAGCAGTTTTGAGTGAGATTCTTAATCCTGAGTTCTAGTTTGATTGCACTGTGGTCTGACAGATAGATAGTTTGTTATAATGTCTGTTCTTTTACATTTGCTGAGGAGAGCTTTACTTCCAAGTATGTGGTCAATTTTGGAATAGGTGTGGTGTGGTGCTGAAAAAAATGTATATTCTGTTGATTTGGGGTGGAGAGTTTTGTAGATGTCTATTAGGTCTGCTTGGTGCAGAGCTGAGTTCAATTCCTGGGTATCCTTGTTGACTTTCTGTCTCATTGATCTGTCTAATGTTGACAGTGGGGTGTTAAAGTCTCCCATTATTAATGTGTGGGAGTCTTAAGTCTCTTTGTAGGTCACTCAGGACTTGCTTTATGAATCTGGGTGCTCCTGTATTGGGTGCATATATATTTAGGATAGTGAGCTCTTCTTGTTGAATTGATCCCTTTACCATTATGTAATGGCCTTCTTTGTCTCTTTTGATCTTTGTTGGTTTAAAGTCTGTTTTATCAGAGACTAGGATTGCAACCCCTGCCTTTTTTTGTTTTCCATTTGCTTGGTAGATCTTCCTCCATCCCTTTATTTTGAGCCTATGTGTGTGTCTGCACGTGAGATGGGTTTCCTGAATACAGCACACTGATGGGTCTTGACTCTTTATCCAATTTGCCAGTCTGTGTCTTTTAATTGGAGCATTTAGTCCATTTACATTTAAGGTTAATATTGTTATGTGTGAATTTGATCCTGTCATTATGATGTTAGCTGGTTATTTTGCTCGTTAGTTGATGCAGTTTCTTCCTAGTCTTGATGGTCTTTACATTTTGGCATGATTTTGCAGCGGCTGGTACCGGTTGTTCCTTTCCATGTTTAGCGCTTCCTTCAGGAGCTCTTTTAGGGCAGGCCTGGTGGTGACAAAATCTCTCAGCATTTGCTTGTCTGTAAAGTATTTTATTTCTCCTTCACTTATGAAGCTTAGTTTGACTGGATATGAAATTCTGGGTTGAAAATTCTTTTCTTTAAGAATGTTCAATATTGGTCCCCACTCTCTTCTGGCTTGTAGGGTTTCTGCCGAGAGATCCGCTGTTAGTCTGATGGGCTTCCCTTTGAGGGTAACCCTACCTTTCTCTCTGGCTGCCCTTAACATTTTTTCCTTCATTTCAACTTTGGTGAATCTGACAATTATGTGTCTTGGAGTTGCTTTTCTCGAGGAGTATCTTTGTGGCGTTCTCTGTATTTCCTGAATCTGAACGTTGGCCTGCCTTGCTAGATTGGGTAAATTCTCCTGGATAATATCCTGCAGAGTGTTTTCCAACTTGGTTCCATTCTCCCCATCACTTTCAGGTACACCAATCAGACGTAGATTCGGTCTTTTCACATAGTCCCATATTTCTTGGAGGCTTTGCTCGTTTCTTTTTATTCTCTTTTCTCTAAACTTTCCTTCCTGCTTCATTTCATTCATTTCATCTTCCATTGCTGATACCCTTTCTTCCAGTTGATCGCATCGGCTCCTGAGGCTTCTGCATTCTTCACGTAGTTCTCGAGCCTTGGTTTTCAGCTCCATCAGCTCCTTTAAGCACTTCTCTGTATTGGTTATTCTAGTTATACATTCTTCTAAATTTTTTTCAAAGTTTTCAACTTCTTTGCCTTTGGTTTGAATGTCCTCCCGTAGCTCAGAGTAATTTGATCGTCTGAAGCCTTCTTCTCTCAGCTCGTCAAAGTCATTCTCCATCCAGCTTTGTTCCGTTGCTGGTGAGGAGCTGCGTTCCTTTGGAGGAGGAGAGGCGCTCTGCTTTTTAGAGTTTCCAGTTTTTCTGTTCTGTTTTTTCCCCATCTTTGTGGTTTTATCTCCTTTTGGTCTTTGATGATGGTGATGTACAGATGGGTTTTTGGTGTGGATGTCCTTTCTGTTTGTTAGTTTTCCTTCTAACAGACAGGACCCTCAGCTGCAGGTCTGTTGGAGTACCCTGCAGTGTGAGGTGTCAGTCTGCCCCTGCTGGTGGGTGCCTCCCAGTTAGGCTGCTCGGGGGTCAGGGGTCAGGGACCCACTTGAGGAGGCAGTCTGCCCGTTCTCAGATCTCCAGCTGCGTGCTGGGAGAACCACTGCTCTCTTCAAAGCTGTCAGACAGGGACATTTAAGTCTGCAGAGGTTACTGCTGTCTTTTTGTTTGTCTGCGCCCTGCCCCCAGAGGTGGAGCCTACAGAGGCAGGCAGGCCTCCTTGAGCTGTGGTGGGCTCCACCCAGTTCGAGCTTCCTGGCTGCTTTGTTTACCTAAGCAAGCCTGGGCAATGGTGGGCGCCCCTCCCGCAGCCTCACTGCCGCCTTGCAGTTTGATCTCAGACTGCTGTGCTAGCAATCAGCGAGACTCCGTGGGCGTAGGACCCTCTGAGCCAGGTGCGGGATATAATCTGGTGCGCCGTTTTTTAAGCCCGTTGGAAAAGCGCAGTATTCGGGTGGGAGTGACCCGATTTTCCAGGTGCCGTCCGTCACCCCTTTCTTTGATTAGGAAAGGTAACTCCCTGACCCCTTGCGCTTCCCGAGTGAGGCAATGCCTCACCCTCTTTCGGCTCGCGCAAGGTGCGCGCACCCACTGACCTGCGCCCACTGTCTGGCACTCCCTAGTGAGATGAACCCGGTACCTCAGATGGAAATGCAGAAATCACCCGTCTTCTGCGTCGCTCAGGCTGGGAGCTGTAGACTGGAGCTGTTGCTATTCGGCCATCTTGGCTCCTCCCCCGCCTAGCGTTATTTGGGGTTTTTTGAGACAGGGTCTCACTCCGTCACCCAGACTGGAGTGCAGTGGCAGGATCATGGCTCACTGCAACCTCGAATTCCTGGGCTCAAGTGATCCTCCCATCTCAGCCTTTCTAGTGAGGAGAGGACCACAGGCACACCACCATGCCTGGCTAATTTTTTTTTCTAAAGACGAGGTCTCACTATGTTGCCCAGGCTGGCCTCAAACTGCTGGGCTGAAGTGATCCTCCTGGCTTGGCCTCCCAAAGTGCTGGGATTACAGGTGTAAGCCACTGTTCCCAGCCTGGAAAACTGTTTAATGGTAAGACAAAAAATTACTATATATTCTTTCCTGTTCCCACTGAAAGTTAACAATTGCTTTATTTTTCTTCCTATTTGCTTTGTTTTTCCTTGAGTCTCTAGCTAAGTTTTCCTACATTTCATACAGCCTCTCAAATTCACATGCACAAAAATATTGAATTTCCTGTTAATTTTGTTTTTTGTCCATGGGTACCTGGAGCTGTCTGTCTGTAGCTGTCATCTATACCTAGGTCTTCTGGCACAACTGTCTTCCTATCATTTTGCCCTCCTCCTGGGACTTCTGTCCCTTCTATGTTGGATACCCTTTCTTTTTGGACCACATATTTTCTACTCTATCTCATTTTGTTGAAGCACATGCTTTGAGACCCTTGATATATAAAATATCTTTCCTCTGTCTTGGTACTTTTTTAATGGTTTACTTGAGGATAAAAATCAAGATTGGAAATAGTTTTATTTCACAATAAGCCTTTGCTCCATTGTCTTTCTTGCTTTGTCACCCAGGCTGTAGTGCATTGGCATGATCTTAGCTCACTGCAACCTCCACCTCTCAGGTTCAAGCTATTCTCCTGCCTCAGCCTCCCTAATAGCTGGGATTACAGACATGAGCCGCTGCACCTGGCCTTTTTTTTTTTTTTTTTTTTTTGAGTCAGAGTCTCACTCTGATTGTCCAGGCTAGAGTGCAGTGGCACATTCTTGGCTCACTGAAGCCTTGACCTCCCAGGCTCAGGTTATTTCCCACCTCGGCCTCCCATACAGGCGCCCACCACCATGCCTGGCTAATTTTTTATATTTTTATTAGGGACGGGGTTTTACTATGTTACCCAGGCTGGTCGTGAACTCCTGCACTTAATAAGCAATCCACTCGCCTCATCCTCCCAGAGTGCTGGGCTTACAGCCATGATCCACGTGCCCAGCCACTCCACTGTCTTATGTTGTTGAGAATGCTTTTGCCATTTTTTCCATTCTTATCCTAGATTCATTGTATGTGATCTCTTTTATTTATTTTTTGGTAACTTTTAGCATCTTCTCTTCATAATATTCATAAGTTTCAGGAGGGTTATCCTTGGAAAGGGATTTTGTTTACAATCATTGTTCTAGACATTATTAGATAATTTTAATCCAGTAACTTCATTTTTCAATTCTGGGTAAATTTTCTTGTATCATTTGATAATTTCGGCCTCCCAATCTTTTTCTTTTTCTCCTTTTGTTCTATGCTCCGGGGACATTCTTTAACTATTATCTTACAATCTCTCCATTGGATTTTTGTTGCCATATTTTTAACTTCCAAATGCTTCATTGGGCTGGGCGCGGTGGCTCACACCTGTGATCCCAGCACTTTGGGAGGCCGAAGCAGGCGGATCACCTGAGGTCAGGAGTTTGAGACCAGCCTGGCCAACATGGTGAAACCCCATCTCTACTGAAAATACAAAAATTAGCTGGGCATGGTGGTGAGTGCCTGTAATCCCAGCTACTCAGGAGGCTGAGGCAAGAGAATTGCTCGAACCCAGGAGGCAGAGGTTGCAGTGAGCTGAGATTGCACCATTGCACTCCAGCTGGGCAACAAGAGTGAAACTCCCTCTCAAAAAAAAAAAAAAAAAAAAAAAAAAACCAAATGCATTGTTGCTGTTCTTCTTCTTTTTAGTGTTAGATTTTTTTTCCCCAAAGTGTTGAGATTACAGGCGTGAGCCACTGTGCCTGGCCCAGTTTCATTCTCTTGAAGGCTCTGGGCTGTAAATGTCACACATCACTTCTGTTTAGGTTCTGCTGGTAATAATTTAAACATATGCTCATGCCTAACCCAGAAGGGGCTGGGAAATGTAATGTTGCTCAACAGCCATGTACAGGTTTTTTTTTTCTTCTTTTAAGAGGTGTAGTGTCACTCTGTCACTCAGGCTGGAGTGCAGTGGTGTGATCACAGCTTACTGCAGCCTCAAACTCCTGGGCTCAAGTGATTGATCCTTCTGCCCCCAGCGTTCCAGGTACTAGGACTACAGGTGCACACCACCACACCTGGCTAATTTTCAAATGTTTTGTAGAGATGGGGTCTCACTTTGTTGCTCAGGCTGGTCTTAAACTCCTGGCTTCAAGCTATCCTCCTGCCTCGGCCTCCCAAAGTGCTGAGATTATAGACATGAGCCACCATCCCCTGCCCATGCACATGTTTAGTTCTTTTACCAAGATAAAAAGCCAGAATGGATTTGAGAGATAGGTATCAGTTCCTGCCAAGGTGTCTGTCACTTACGCTAGACACTTTCTTAAAATGTCTACTGTTCTTTGAATGTTTGTTTATACTTGAGAGGAAGGCCATGAAAAGCTGTTTGTTAAATGCATGTGAATGGATGGGACTAGTTAACTGGTGGCTTCATTTGAGAGGAATTGGGAAGGAACGTCTTCATTTAAGGACCTCTGTAACTCCATATTTATAATTCTTACTGAGTTTCTCCAATGAGAAATCTTCCAACCGCTTGACTTGAGGCTACAGGCCTTGGCTGTAAGATAATTTAGAATGTTTAGAATGTCTTTAGCAAATAGAGGTTTAATTTGTACATAGCTCTGTAGCCTTTTTCTATTTATCTAGAACTTATTTTTGTATATAGTATACCCTCTTTATTGCTCTCTTTTTTTTTCCTTTGCATTATATGTGCCAGTACCACTTGGCTGTCATTCATTCATTGATTCATTCATGAAAGATCTATTCATTCTGCCCTCCTGGAGCATTCTAAGTTAAAAAGACTGTTGATCTACTTTATCTGATATTCATACAGCCAGTTATACTTTGAAAAAAATTAATGTACCAAGATAACATTAACCGTCCTTTTTACTTTCAATCTACCTATGTGGTGTTTAAGGTGAATTTCTTATGAACAGCATATAGTTGGTTTATGTTTTTATATCCACTGTGCCAGTCTCTGTCTTTTAATTTGTATACTTAGATTATTTACATTTAAAGTATTATTTTCTGTTCATTTTCTCTATCTCTCTTTCCTCTGTCTTTTCTTTTTTCTTTTTCTTTTTTTTTTTTGGACAGAGTCTCACTTTGTTGCCCAGGCTGGAGTGCAGTGACGCAATCTCAGCTCACTGCAACCTCTGCCTGCCAGGTTCAAGCAGTTCTCCTGCCTCAGCCTCCCGAGTAGCTGGGACTACAGGCACATGCCACCGTGCCCAGCTAATTTTTGTATTTTTAGTAGAGACGGGGTTTCACCACGTTGGCCAGGCTGGTCTTGAACTCCTGACCTTGTGACCTGCCCCCCTACCTGCCACCCCCAGCCTCCCACAGTGTTGGGATTACAGGCATGAGCCACCACACCCGGCCTCCTCTGTCTTTTCTTGGCTTTTTTTTTTTTTTTTTTGAGACAGGGTCTCACTCTGTCGCCCAGGCTAGAGTGCATGGTATGATCACAGCTCACTACAGCCTCGACCTCCCAGGCTCAGGTGATCCTCCCACCTCAGCCTTTCAAGTAGCTGGGACTACAGGCATGTGCCACCACACCTGGCTAATTTTTTGTAGAGACAGGGTTTTACCATGTTTCCCAGTCTGGTCTTGAACTCCTGGGCTCAAGCAATCCCCCTGCCTCAGCCTCCCAAAGTGCTGGGATTATAGGTGTGAGCCACGGCACCTGGCCTCTTAGCTTCTTGTGAGCTGCCTGAACATTTTTCACAATTCCATCTTATTTATGTATTTTAAAATATAATTTTTATAGTGTTCTTGATGGTTGCCGTTATTTATGAAAATATTCCTTAGCGGCCGGACGCAGTAGTTCACACCTGTAATCCCAGCACTTTGGGAGGCCGAGGCAGGTGGATCACCTGAGGTCAGGAGTTCAAGCCAGCCTGACCAACATGGTGAAACCCCATCTCTACTAAAAATACAAAAATCAGCTGGGCGTGGTGGCAGGCGCCTGTAATCACAGCTACTGGGGAGGCCGAGGCAGGAGAATCACTTGAACCTGGGAGGTGGAGGTTGCAGAGAGCCGAGATTGCACCATTGCACTCCAGCCTGGGCGACAAGAGTGAAACTCTATCTCAAAAGAAAAAAATAATCATTGGCAATAATTGCTATCCTATTGATTGATTGATTGATTCAGAGTGTCACTCTGTTGTTCAGGCTGGAGTGTAGTGGCTTGATCTTGGCTCCCTACAACCTTTGCCTCTTGGGTTCAAACAATTCTTATACCTCAGCCTCCCAAGTAGCTGGGATTACAGGCACATGCCATCACGCCTGGCTAATTTTTTTGGTATTTTTAGTGGAGATAGGGTTTCACCATGTTGGCCAGGCTTGTCTTGAACTCCTGACCTTGAGTGAGCCGCCTGCCTCGCCTCCCAAAGTGCTGGGATTATAGGCGTGAGCCACCACGCCTGGTCTTGCCACCACATTTTTAACATTTACAGCATGCTAGGCATTGTAAATGAACTTTATATATAGTTTGTGTCTGTTTGATCTTTACAAAAATGCCAGCAAGGTGCTATTTTAGTTCTCATTATTATGCTTGAGGAATCTGCTGCTCAGAGAAGTTAATTAATTAGTCCAAAGTCACTGTTGTTAAATTGGTGGGCAAAGTTAGATCTAACTCCGGGCCAGGCGTGGTGGCTCACTCCTGTAATCCCAACACTTTGGGAGGCCGAGGCGGGCAGATAACTTGAGGTCAGGAGTTCGAGACCAGCCTGGCCAACATGGCGAAACCCTGTCTCTACTAAAAATAAAAAAATTAGCTGGGCGTGGTGGTACATGCCTGTAGTCCCAGCTACTCGGGAGGCTGAGGCAGGAGAATCGCATGAAACCCAGAAGGCAGAGGTTGCAGTGAGCTGAGATCGTGCCACTCCACTTCAACCTGAGCAACAGAGCAAGACTCCATCTCAAAAAAAAAAAAAAAATGCAACCTAGGTCTAACTCCAAAGTTCATGCCTTAAACTGTAATATTATATTACCTCATTAATATTATTTTTATGATGTAGGTTTTGTATTTAAAATTATAATGTAATGTATTTGGTCTCATTTCCTAGGTTTTGATGATGATGGTTCAGAATTTCATGAACATATATTTCTGGAGAAACACCTGGAGAGCTTTCCAAAACAAGGACCAATTCGCCACTTCATGGAGCTGGTGACTTGTGGCCTTTCCAAAAACCCATATCTTAGTGTTAAACAGAAGGTTGAACACATAGAGTGGTTTAGAAATTATTTTAATGAAAAAAAGGATATTCTAAAAGAAAGTAACATACAGTTCAATTAAGACCATGGAAATTTTTATTTCAAACAATTAGAGATGGATATTACAACTAAATAAAATAATTTTACTAGAGTTTGTATATGTTATGTTGATTATTACATTTGATTTGGCTGGTATAAATGTTACATTGTTTTCAAAAATATGATGGTAACTGAAAAATATTCTTGCATGGAGAAAAATCATCAGTATTCATAGGTTCAAAAGAATATCTGGGAATTAGTAATACATTTAAGACAACAACTCCTAACCTTTTTCTTTTCACTCGGTGACCATACTTCTTTGAAATACAATACAATTACTGGATGATATCACAGTACTATGTTATAAGAGTTGAGATGATTTATAGACAGATATATATGTACATACGTTTATTTGTTTACATTTATACATATATTTTACACTAAATTAACTACCCTCACCTAAGTCTGGGTCACTATAGAGAAATTAATCTTGTAGAAATAAAGGGTTTATTCTAATCCATTCTAGTACTTTAGGTCTTCATGCCAAAGTTAGAATTATTTCTTTTCCATTATGCTGCTGAGCAGCGTGACTCAACTTTCATACAATTCAAAGGATTGAGGGCTGGGCACAGTGGCTCATGCATATAATCCCAGCACTTTGAGAGGCCGAGGCAGGAAGATCACTTAAACCAACGAGTTTGAGACCAGCGTGGGCAACATAGGGAGACCCTGTCTCTACAAAAAATTAAAAAATTAGCCGGGCGTGGTAGCATGCACCTGTAGTCACAGCTCTTCAGGGGCCTGAGGTGGGAGCATCCCCTGATCCTAGGAGGTTAAGGCTTCAGTGAGCTCTGATTACACCACTATGGTCTAGCCTGAGTGATAGAGCAACTCTGTCTCAAGAAAAAAAATTTTTTTTTTTTATTCTTTTTTAGCAGAGCCTTGCTCTGTCACCCAGGCTGGAGTGTAGCGGCGTGATCTCGGCTCACTGCAACCTCCACCTCCAGGGTTCAAGCAATTCTCCTGCTTCAGCCCCTCAAGTAGCTGGTATTACAGGTGCCCACCACCACACCCAGCTAATTTTTTTGTATTTTCAGTAGAGACGGGGTTTCACCATGTTAGCCAGGCTGGTTTTGAACTCCTGACCTCAAGTGATCTGCCTGCCTTGGCCTCCCAAAGCTCTAGGATTACAGATGTGAGCCATGGCACCTGGCCTAAATTTTTTTTAAGGTTCAAGGATTCTAAAAAAACTCAAAACAAGATTTAGTTGACAGTGGTCCCAAGCTAATAGTGTTCCAGGTCAACAGGAACCGTGTGAAGGAATCCACCATAACAACAGCCTTCAAATGACAAAACACACAAGGAAGCAAAACCATGAATGTGTACCAGCAGAAACGAGAACAGAATCAGACTCATAAAGCCTCTGAATATTGGGCTTATCAGAGTCAGAATATAAAATATGTGTAAGATAGAATGAATATTGAGCAGGATGCTTTAAAAGTGACCAAGCAGATTTGAAAAACATTAAAAATGTTGGCCTTCTCGTCCCAGTTCTTCCCAAAGTTGAGAAAAGCTGGGTTGAGAGGATGAAAAGAAAAAAAAAGAAAAATTTAGTGGAGTTTAACAGCAGTAAAGAAGTATCCATATGCAGCAGAGAGAAGCAAAGAGGAAAGAAATAGGAAAGGAAAGTAAAAGAGTAACATTTGTACAATCGTATTGCCAATAGGAAAGAAAAGAGAAAATAGGTCAGAGGCTAACTCTAAATAATTGTTTTTTTTTTTTCATTTTTTTAATTGAGACAGAGCCTCGCTCTGTTGCCCAGGCTGGAGTGCAGTGGCATGATCTCAGCTCACTGCAACCTCCGCCTCCCAGGTTCAAGCGATCCTCTTGCCTCAGCACCCCCTAGTAGCTGGGATTACAGGCACGTGCCAACATGCCTCGCTCATTTTTTTTTTTTTTTCTGAGATGGAGTCTCACTCTGTTGCCCAGGCTGGAGTGCAGTGGCGCAATCTGGGCTCACTGCAAGCTCCGCCTCCTGGGTTCACACCATTCTCCTGCCTCAGCCTCCCGAGTAGCTGGGACTGCAGGCGCCCACCACCACGCCTGGCTAATTTTTTTGTATTTTTAGTAGAGACAGGGTTTCACCGTGTTAGCCAGGATGGTCTCAATCTCCTGACCTCATGATCCGCCCCCCTCGGCCTCCCAAAGTGCCGGGATTACAGGCATGAGCCACTGCGCCCGGCCATGCCTGGCTAATTTTTGTATTTTTAGTCGAGACGGGGTTTCGCCATGTTGGCCAGGCTGGTCTTGAACTCCTGACCTCAGATGATCCACCCACCTCAGTCTCCCAAAGTGCTGGATTACAGGTGTGAGCCACCGTGCCTAGCCTCTAAATAGTTAATGGGTGAGAGTTTTTTACAATTCATGAAAGATACTAATTCACAGTTAATCAACAATCCCTTGGCCAGGTGTGGTGGCTCATGCCTGTAATCCCAGCATTTTGGGAGGCAAAGGTGGGCAGATCACTTGAGGCCAGGAGTTTGAGACCAGCCTGGCCAACATGGCGAAGCCCCATGCCCGGCTAAAAATATAAAATGTAGCCGGGCATGGCGGTACATGCCTATAGTCCCAGCTACTTGGGAGGCTGAGGCATGAGAATTGCTTGAACCCAGGAGGTGAAGGGTGCAGTGAGCCAAGATCACCCCACTGCACACCAGCCTGGGTGACAGAGTGAGACTCTGTCTCAGAAAGAAAAAGGCAAAAACAACAATCTGTTGGTCATGTATAGAAACTGCTCCCAATAACAGCAGAATACATTTTTTTTTCCAGTACACATGAGACACTGAAAATTTTTTATTTTTATTTGGGTGTTTAGTTTGTTTATATTTACCACAGTTACTGATATATTTGGAATGTCTTTCAGAAATGAGGGCTAAATGCATTTGTCAAACAAAAACAGTTGGCTACCAGCAAACTTTCATTAAAAGACTCCTAAAGTTGTACGTCAGGCAGAAGAGAAATGATTTTAAATTTAAGGCCTGAGATGCAAGAAGAAAATGGCAGATGAATAAAGCAGTGAGTATGCTGCTGGCTCACTCTCTTTCAGCAGTGTGCTCTGCCTCAGTGTTCAGAGTATGTCTTTATAAACTCTCTGCTCTCTATTGCCCTTCAATAAGCTGTCTGCTATTAAAAAAAAAAGTAGTGAATATATATTTTAATTCTAAGCACTAATAAAACAGTCATACCATATGGAATTAATTAAAATACATGACAGTAGAATATGTCCAAGTGGATTATTTATTTATTTATTTATATTTTTATTTATTTATTGAGACAGCTTCGCTCTTTTTGCCCAGGCCAGAGTGCAGTGACACGATCTAGGCTCATCACAACCTCCGCCTCCCAGGTTCCAGCAATTCTTCTGCCTCAGCCTCCCGAGTAGTTGGGATTACAGGCACACACCACCACGCCTGGCTAATTTTTTATTTTTATTAGAGAAGGGATTTCACCTTGTTGGCCAGGCTGGTCATGAACTCCTGACCTCCAGTAATCCACCTGCCTCGGCCTCCCAAAGTGCTGGAATTACAGGTGTGAGCCACTGCACCTGGCTGGGTTTTTTTAAATGTCAAGTGATAACACTATTTACTGGAGTTATATGTAAAGCAAGAATACAGAAAGGTTGAAAGTAAAAGGTAAGCTGGTATAGCTATATTAATATCAGGAAAAAAATAGTCTGAAAGACATTAGAAACTTAAAAAAATTCTGTTTATCAGAAAAATACAAAGTTGTACATACCTAATAACATGACTCAAAATATACAAGGCAAAAGCTGATAGAAATACAAATAAATATACCATTATGATAAAATATTTTAACGTAATAATTGATGAACTCAGCAGACAAACAGAAGCTTTGCTATACCTAATTATCTTGACCTAATGGAAATTTGTAGACCATTACACAGTGATCTAAATAGCTGCAAATACATTTATTTCAAGCACACATGTTGATAAATCAATCATAAACTTAGTCATAAAGCATATCTAGACACATTTCAATGGAATGTAGAACATGTTTTCCAATTACATTGCAAGTAAGTTAGAGACCAGTAACTGAACGCTAATCAGGAAAACTCCCTATGTTGAGAAATTTTAAAACCCTTTTAACTTATTCATAGGCCAGTGAAAAAAATATTCAGGCCAGGCGCGGTGGCTCACGCCTGTAATCCCAGCACTTTGGAAGGCCGAGGCAGGCAGATCACCTGAAATCAGGAGTTCAAGACCAGCCTGGCCAACATGGTGAAACTTTGTCCCTACTAAAAAATACAAAAATTACCCGGGTGTGGTGGCACATGCCTGTAGTCCCAGCTACTTGGGAGGCTGAGGCAGGACAATCGCTTGAACCTGGGAGGTGGAAGTTGCAGTGAGCCGAGATTGCGTCACTGCACTCCAGCCTGGGCGACAGAATGAGACTCCATCTCAAAAAGAAAAAAAGAATGAAAATCAATGAAGTAAGGTTATAATCTTAAGATATAAGAAAAGGAACAAGTGGTGTTTTTTTTTTTTTTTTTAAATCTGTTCTGTTGTTGTTGGTGGTGGTTTTTTTTTGAGACAGAGTCTTGCCCAGGCTGGAGTGCAGTGGCACATGGCTCACTGCCGCCTTGACCTGGGCTCAAGTGATCCTCCCACTGCAGCCTCCCATGTAGTTGGGACCACAGGCTCACACCACCATGCATAGCTAATAATGTTTTCGTTTGTAGTCTCACCATGTTGTCCAGGCTGGCCTTGAGCTCCTGGGCTCAAGCTATCCTCCTGCTCAGCCCCACAAAGTGTTGAGATTACAGGTGTGAGCCACCATGCCTGGCCTACATGAAATATATGCTTATTTGGTTTTGATTTTTACACTTTTATGATGTCAAGATGAACTCCCATTAACCCCCCAAAAAGGAACATCCTACTAGCTTCACATTACAAATGGAATATTAACACAATATAAACAGAAAACTGAGATGGGGTGATTAGGAGATCTAATAAGAGTAAATCTTAAAGGGAAATAGAATGAAATGTCTAAGGTAAAGGCAGAAGTTAATAGAAATAGTATAATAGGATCCATAAAGTCAAACACGGATTCATTTTTAAAAAAACAAATGCATTTCTGTCCAGATTTATTTTTTAAAAAAGCTGGGTACAGTTGCTCACATTGTAATCCTTGTGACTTGGGAGGGAAATGGAAGGATTGCCTAAGCCTAGGAGTTGGAGGCTGCAGTGAGCTATGATCGTGCCACTGTACCCCATCCTGAGTGACAGAGCAAGACCCCGTATCTGAGGAAATCATTTTTTAAAAAAAACTTTAAAATGTGAATAACTATTGATGTAAAAATTAAGATTTATTTTTCAAGAAGCTATTATGAACAATTTCGTGGCAATAAATTTCAAAATTTCATGGGCAAATTACTCAAAACTATGTTAGCAAAAATAATTTTAAAGGAAAAATGGAACAATCATTAAAGAAATTTGATGGATATTTTAAAATCTTCCCAGAAAACAAACACTAAACCCAGAGAAGTTTTCAGGAACGTTCTACTGAACATCCAGGAAAAAAATAATTCCAATTTTATATAAATTATTCCAAAACATAGAAAAAGAGGAAGCACTCTACAATTAATCATGAAGACAAATTTGAAAAATCCAAAGGAAGATAGTAAAGCAAATTCAGCAATGACTAGAAATCATTATCAAGCTGAGTTTGTTCCAGAATATCAGGGCAGTTTAACAATGGAGGAAAAAGATCATATCTCAAAAGATGCAGGAAAAAAGGTTTGGTAAACCTTGGCAGCCATTGATAATTTTTTTAAAATAAATTTTAGAAAGCTTGGAGTAGAGAACTTTTTTAACCTAATAAGTGGCATTTACAAAAAGCCTACAACAAATATCTTACTTTATGCTGAATTACGAAATGATTTCCTTTAAGATTATAAACAAGAACAGGATAATCACTATCATGATTTCAGCATTGTACTGGGGGCCTAGCCTATGCAGAATAGCAAGAAAAAAGGTGATTAGGATTGGAAATCCACCCTATAGTAACCCCAAGTAAATCACAACCTCTCTTTGAGTGTGGATGAGACCTGAGACTTGCTTTCAACGATAGAATATGGCTAAGGTGATGGGGTAGTCACTCCTTTGACTGGTTCATATTATATGGCAAAAGTAATGGAATAGTTACTCTTGTGATTATGTGATGTTACAGAAGACTCCTTGTTAGCGGACTAGAGTGCACTATCATGTTGTAAAAAGGCCTGTGAATGAGCCACCTGTCAAGAAACCTTGGGGACCACTAGGAGCTGATGGAAACCCCCAGCTGACAGCCAGAACAATGCAGGGACTCCATCCTACAGCCTCAGATAGCTGAATCCTGCCAACAACCACCTGAACTTAGAAGAGGACACTACATTTTAAAAAGGACCACAGTCTGGCTGTCACCTTGATTACAGCCTTGTGAGACCCTGAGCAGGAGACCAACAGAAACTGTGAGTTAATAAGTACATGTTTTAAGCCACTAAGTGTGAGGTAATTCATTATACACCAGTAGATAGCTAATAAAGGAAGAAAGAGACAAACCTAATTAGAGACTAGATTACATAGAAAACAAAAGAATATCTATAGCTAAATCATAAGAATTAACAATTTATTTGGCACTTCTGCAGTTGCATTTCTGTATGCCAGCAACAAACAGGTAAAAATGTAATTTATAAAAAGTTAACATTTACAGTAGTATCAAAAATATAAATAAATAAAATCTTAATAAAATATATGCAAGAACAGGCTGGGTGCAGTGGCTCACACCTGTAATCCCAGCACTTTGGGAGGCCGAGGTGGGCGGATCATGAGGGCAAGAGATTGAGACCATCCTCGCCAACATGGTGAAATCCTGTCCCTACTAAAATACAAAAAATTAGCCGGGCGTGGTGGCATGTGCCTGTAGTCCCAGCTACTCGGAAGGCTAAGGCAGGGGAATCGCTTGAATCCGGGAGGCGGAGGTTGCAGTGAACCGAGATGGTGCCACTGCACTCCAGCCTGGCAACAGAGCAAGACTCCATCTAAAAAAAAATATATATATATACACATATATATGTATATGTGTGTGTGTATATGTATATGTGTGTGTGTGTGTGTGTGTGTATATATATACACACAAGAACATTATGAAGAAGTTTTAAAACTTTAATGAAACAGGTTAGTAATAAAAATAAATAAAGAGATTTAGGCTGGGCACGGTGGCTCAAGCCTGTAATCCCAACACTTTGGGAAGCCGAGGCCGGCAGATCACCTGAGGTCAGGAGTTCAAGACCAGACGGGTTAACATGGCAAAACCCCATCTCTACTAAAAATAACAAAAGTTAGTTGGGCATGGTGGCACATGCCTGTAGTCCCAGCTACTTGAGAGGCTGAGCTGGGAGGATTACTTGAACCTGGGAGGTTGAGGTTGCAGTGAGCTGAGATTACGCCACTGTGCTGCAGCCTGGGTGACAGGACGACTCTGTCTCAAAAATTAATAATAATAAAGAGATTTAATTGGGTAAATAAGTTCTAGAATAGAGGCTCAATATCATGAAGATGTTACTTTTTTCCATATTAATCTCTAGATTTAATGCAGTTCCATACAAAATTCCAACAGGATGTTTTTTCTTTTTTGAGATGGCGTTTTGCTCTTGTTGCCCAGGCTGGAGTGCAATAGCACAAGCTCGTCTCACTGCAACCTCCGCCTCCTGAGTTGAAGTGATTCTCCTGCCTCAGCCTCCCAAGTAGCTGGATTACAGGTACGTGCCACCATGCCTGGCTAATTTTGTACTATTAGTAGAGGCAGGGTTTCACCATGTTGGTCAGGCTGGTCTTGAACTCCTGATCTCAGGTGATCCATCCGCCTCGGCTTCCCAAAGTGCTGGGATTACAGGCGTGAGCCACCACACCCAGCACCAATAGGATTTGTCATGGAATGTCATAAATGTATTGTAAAATCATAGGGAGAAGCAAAGAACCAAGAAGAACCAAAATACTCTCGAAAAAGAGGACAAGGTGAGGGAGTTGCCCTAACTTGTAAGCTATCAAGACTTATTATAAAGCTATAATAATTAGACATGATACACACAGATAGTTAAATGGACTGATGGAACAGAATAGAGAACACAGAAATAGAACATTATTATATGGAAATTTGATATGTGACAAAATCAGTGCTATGGGTTTGTATTAGTCCATTTTCATACTGCTCTGAAGAAATATCCAAGACTGGGTAATTTATAAAGAAAAAGAGGTTTAATGGACTCACAGTTCCACATGGCTGGGGAGGCCTCACAATCATGGCGGAAGATGAAGGAGAAGCAAAGGCACATCTTACATGGTAGCAGGCAAGAGAGTGTGTGCAGGGAACTGCCCTTTATAAAACCATCAGATCTCGTAAGTCTTATTCACTGTCACAAGAATAGCATGGGAAAAACCCACCCCCATGATTCAGTTACCTCCCATCGGGTCCCTCACATGACATGTGGAGATTATGGGAGCTACAATTCAAGATGAGATTTGGATGGGGACACAGCCAAACCATATCAGGTTTGAACGTGCCCTCCAAAACTCGTGTTGACCCTTAATCCCCAATGTGGCAGCATTGAGAGGTGGGGCCTTTAAGAGTTGATTGAATCATGAGGGCTCTGCCCTCAATGTATTAATCCACTCATGGATTAATGAATTAATGGACTGTCATGGGAGGGCACCAGTGGCTTTATAAGAGGGAGAATCTTTAGCATAGCATGTGAGCACGCTCAGCTACTTCAGAACTTGGTAGAGAGTCCCCACCAGCAAGGAGGCTCCCACCAGACATGGCCCTTTGACCTTGACATCTCAGCTTCTATAACTAAGAAATAAATTCTTTTTCTTTATAAATTACCCAGTTTCGGGTATTCTGTTATAAGCAACAGAAAATGGACTAAGATAGGTGGCATTGTAGATCAATGGGAAAAGGGTGGCTATTCAATAAATGGTGCAAAGACAATTGGTTATCCATACGGAGGAGGAAAAAATGGATTCTCTGCTTCATACCATACATACAAAAAAATCCAATTCCGTTGGATTTATGATTTAAATGAGAAACAAAATTTAAAATATTTGAAGCAGGCTGAGTGCAGTGGCTCATGCCTGTAATCCCAGCACTTTGGGAGGCCAAGGTGGGCGGATCATTTGAGGTCAGGAGTTCAAGACCAGCCTAGCCAACATGGTGAAACCCTGTCTCTACTAAAAATACAAAAAATTAGCCAGACATGGTAGTGTGCACCTGTAATCCCAGTTATTCAGGAGGCTGAGGCAGGAGAATCACTTGAACCTGGGAGGTGGAGGTTGCAGTGAGCCAAGATCACACCACTGCACTCCAGCCTGGGCAGCAGAGGGAGAAACTCTATCTCAAAAAAAAAAAAAAAAAGCTTGAAGCAAAATATAGGAGAATATCTTTATGGCTCTGGTGTAGGCAAGGATTTAAGATATCAAAAGCACAATCTCTAAAGAAAAGATGAATAAATTTGACTACGTTAAAATTTAGAACTTTTAATCAGAAAGGCAAAACCAGGAGTGAAAAGATAAGCATCAAACTTGGAGAAGAGAAATGTTCACATATAATCACTAAATGGTTAGTATACAGAAAATATAAAGAACTCCTGTAGCCAAAAGTACCATTTATAAATCTATGGATGGATGTTTTCTGAAGGTCCTTTGCCTGGAGAAAAAAATAGTGCATTAAAAAGCTTCTGTCCAAAACAAACAAACAAACTCCTAAAAATCAAGTAGAAGGGCTGGGTGCGGTGGCTCATGCCTGTAATCCCAGCACTTTGGGAGGCTGAGGTGACAAGAGCAAAACTCCATCTCAAAAAAAAAAAAAAAATCAAGTAGAAGACAAACAACCCAAAAACATAGTGGGCAAATGCCATAGCATTTCATACATTTCATAGAAGAAAAATAAAAAATTAGCTGGGCATGGTGGCGCGCACCTGTAGTCTCAGCTACTCGGGAGGATGAGGAGAATCTCTTGAACCTGGGAGGCAGAAGTTGCAGTGAGCTGAGATTGCGCCACTGCACTCCAGCCTGGTGACAGAGCAAGACTCTGGCTCAGAAAAATAAACAAGCAAACCAAAAACAAAACAAAACAAAACAAAAAAACATTCTACAGTGGCCTTCCTGTATTTTTATCTGCTTTTTTTCTGTTCTCTTCTCTGCTTTGGAGTCAGAAACTTCAGTTCAAATCCCTGCCATGTCAACATAACAATCTTTCAGCTTGTTTCCTCCTTCGTAAATGATGGGCATAATTTCCATCTCACAGGATTTCTAAGTGTTAGAATTGAATGAGGTAATGTATTAATACATACTACATGCTTCAGAAATACTATCCGTCTCATTCCACATGCTTGTCAGAACTCCAATGCCACAATGGATACAAAGTGAGCCATTTTCTTCACTGTCCACTATCAATTTGGGAATGGCAGCTTGCTGCTTTTACATTTTCAGATCTAGTTAACATTACCTTCCATCAGTGAAATAGAATACTTAATCTTTATTATGTATTTCCCTCATTTTCCAATATCTTTAAAGTCATTGTATCACTATTTTAAAATTCAATTTTGTGAACTCTTGCTTTTGCATGGAGGAAAATGGGATTGGTCAAACATTGAAATGGGATGATTGGTTCTCTGATTTCTCTGTATTCAGTCCTACACCTAATAGCTTCAAGCACTCTCCTAGGAAGACAGGACTCTGGGTATGTCCAAATAAGTAGACACTCTTAATGAGTTTTCTCTGTTGTATGCTGTAATATCTTTTTGAGTGTTCCAGAGAACTGAATAAAAGTAGATCTCTCCATATTAACTAAATGATGATAGCTAACATCTGTGTGGTACTTCGACTGCATATAAAGTGTTTTCACATATATCACTCATTCATTAATTTGTTAAGCATTTACTGAGCTCTGTTACGTGCTATGCCTCTACTAGACACCAGAGTATAGTATACTGAAGTACTCGTTGACCTTGAGGTGTCATCAAAAATGTGATTTCCCAAGAAAGTCTTCTCCTCCTGCTTTGTTAAGTCACTCTGCCCTTGTTATTGTCTAATACTACACTCTGTCTCCTTTACGGTATTTTCTGTGCTGATCTCCTTAAGGGTTGAGGTTGTGTGAGTTTCTGTCCCTTCTTGAGGTCCTGAATGTAAGACCTAGCTATTGCTAGGCCCAAAATAGGCACTCAGTAAAACCAGTTGAGTGAGTGGAAGAATGGATGAAGGCAACATACTCATAGGGAAGAGACAGGCCAAGATTTGTTGCTACACAGTGTGATGGGTGCCAAGGCAGAGAGGTGGGTTGAGGGCATTGTGTTAGTCTGTTTTAAGCTGCTATAACAGAATACCACAGACTGGGTAATTTATAAAGAATGGGAATTTGTTTCCTCACAAGTCTGGAAGTCAGGAAATCCAAGATGAAGGCACTAGCAGGTTCAGTTATCTGGTGAGGGTCTGGTCTCTCTGCTTCCAAGTTGGCGGCTTGACTGTTGCATCTTGAGGAGTGGGGGAGGAATGCTGTGTCCTCATGGAACAGAAGGCAGAAGGACAGAAGGGGATGAAATCTCACTGTCAAGCCGTTTTATGGCACCTAATCCCATTCACAAGACAGGAGCCCTTGTGGCCTAACCACCTTTTAAAGGCCCCACCTCTTAATACCATCAATCACATTAGCAACACCTAAGTTTTGGAGGAGACACACTCAAACAATAGCAGGTATAAAAGACAAGCATTTAATCAGACTATATGTCAGTTGATAATTTTCCTTCCCTGCAGGAGACCTGTCTATGAGTGGCTGAAGAACTGTTTAATTCTGGGGTATAGAATTAAGATGGCCGTCTGCCTGCAAGTAGAGATAAGCTGCATTCTCCCAAATCAGCTTTGTTCATAATAAAAGTAATATTCTGGCCTCCTTATACCATACTCTTTATTTATTTATTTATTTATTTTTAATTTTATTTATTTATTTTTTTGAGATGGAGTCTTGTCTGTGGCTCCAGGCTGGAGGGCAAAGGCGTGATCTCAGTTCATTGCAACATCTGCCTCCTGGTTTCAAGTGACTCTCCTACCTCAGCCTCCCGAGTAGCTGGGACTACAGGCATGTACGACCACGCCCAGCTAATTTCTGTATTTTTAGTAGAGGCTGGGTCTCACCATGTTGGCCAGGCTGGTCTCCAACTCCTAACCTCAGGTGATCCGCCTGCCTTGGCATCCCAAAGTGCTGGGATTACAGGCGTGAGCCACCGCGCCCAGCCTATTATCTATTTCTTAAACAGTTCACAACTTGGTTCAAGAAGAGGTAGGCTATCTATTGCCCCATCCTCTACTTTTTTTTGTTTTATTTTGTTTTGTTTTGAGACAGAGTCTCACTCTGTATCCCAGGCTGGAGTGAAGTGGCACTGTCTCGGCTCACTGCAACCTCCGCCTCCTGGGTTCAAGTGATTCTCCTGCCTCAGCCTCCTGAGTAGCTGGGATTACAGGCATCTGCCACCATGTTTTTTGTATTTTTTTGTATTTTTAATAGAGGTACAATTTTTTGTATTTTTAATAGAGGTGGGGTCTCACCATGTTGGCCAGGCTGGTCTTGAACTCCTGACCTCAGGTGATCCACCCGCCTCGGCCTCCCAAAGTACTCAGATTACAAGCGTGAGCCACCGTGCCTGGCTGACTTCTTTTTTTTAACTAAATACCTAATTGTTATGTTATTCTTTTGTCTGTTATTGCTCTCCTTAACACATATAAAATAGACCAAACTGACATGATCATATTTTAGAAAAATAAATTTTCTTTTTTGGAAAAGGAAATGGAAAAAAAGATAAATGGCTTAAATTAAGAAAAAAAAATTAAAAATGGCTTAAATTGTCCACTTATCATAGCATAGAATTAGAAATCCCAGTCTTTGTGGCTGCCAAAAAAAAAAAAAGAATAAATGGCCAAAAAATGAAATGAAATCAAATCAAAGTCTTTCATGACTCTCTTCCTAATATTATTAGTATGAGAAAACTTAATAATTCTGAAAATAAAGATGTAAATTGCTGCAGAATGTACAATAGGATAAAGTCATAATAGCCAAAATGTGGAAACAACCCAAATGTTCATCCATGGATGAATGGATAAACAAAATGAGGTATATATGTACAATGGAGTATGATTCAGCCTTAAAAAGAAGTGCAATTCATGGCGGGGCATAGTGCCTCAAGCCTGTAATCCCAGCATTTTGGGAGGCTGAGGTAGGTGGATTATGAGGTCAGGAGTTCAAGACCAGCCTGGCCAATATGGTGAAACCCCGCCTCGACTAAAAATACAAAAATTAGCTGGGCGTGGTGGCGCACACCTGTAGTCCCAGCTGCTGGGGAGGCTGAGGCAGGAGAATTGCTTAACACCTGGGAGGCAGAGGTTGCAGTGAGCCAAAATCATGCTACTATACTCCAGCCTGGTGACAGAGTGAGACTTCATCTCAAAAAAAAAAAAAAAAAGAAAAAGAAGTGCAATTCTTATATATGCTACAACATAGATGAACCTTGAGGAAGGACATTATACTAAGTGAAATAAGCCAGTTGCAGAAGGACAAATATGTTTCCACTTATGTGAGGAACCTAGAATAGGCAAATTCATAGAGACAGAAAGTAGTTTCCAGGGGCTGGGGGTAGGGGAGAATAGAGAGTTAGTGTTTAATGGGTATAGACTTTCTGTTGGGATTATTTTTTTAAAAGTTCAGGGGATGGATAGTAGTGATGGCTACATAACAATGTAAATGTACTTCACACCACTGAATCACACACTTAAACATGATTAGGATGGTACATTTTTGTGTATTTTACCATAAGAAAAAACATTTAGGGCTGGGCAAGGTGGCTCACACCTGTAATCCCAACACATTGGAAGGCCGAGGTGGGAGGATCATTTGAGCCCAGGAGTTTGAGACCAGCCTGGGCAACATAGTCAGACCCCACCTCTACAAATTTTTAAAAATTAGCCAGCCCTAGCAGTGTGTGCCTGTGGTCCCAGCTACTCAGGAGGCTGAGGTGAGAGGATTGCTTTAGCCTGGGAGTTCAAGGCTGCAGTGAGCTGTGATCATGCCACTGCACTCCAGCCTGGACAACAGAGCGAGACCCTGTCTTGAAACAAAGAAAATTAGTATGATAAAGCACAGACCATGTATATAATAAAGATACTTCAACCATCTGAAGGAGTGTTCTGTTCTCAAGCCACATAGAGAACTACATACTGTCCCAGAAAAAAGCACAGGATCCAGGAAAGCTGGAAGGGCTAGCGTTTGGTGGCTGAGGTCAGCAAAGGTGACTGCTGTGTTCATGGCATCCCATGGGTACTTATCATCTTCATAGCCACGACCGGCAGGGTCCTTCTCAACAGACTGACCTTGTGCTGTGTATATCACATACATTATCACTGAATTTTTGAAACACCTTATAAAGTAGGCATTATTCCCATTTATAAGAATTTAATACCTTTTTGAAATTTCCTAAGTAAGTAGTGCAGCCAGCACTTAAACCCTACATCATCAGACACCAAAAGTCAAGTACTTTCCTTAGTACATCCCAAGAATAGCTTTCAAGAAGAATTATATGGATAATCTGGAGTAAAAGGAATAGGAATTTCTTCATTTAGGTCAGCGAGATGTGCTGACAAGATGACCACAAATGCAGGAATGTTGGAGTGGTTAATATGTAGATGAGAAATCATGAAAGAGTGGAATAGCAATGCAAGTTTCTGGGGCTACTTCAGTAGGGCTATTTGGGACTGATTGAGGGGGCAAAAATTAAAGCCAGAAAGTTCAGTGGAGTAAATGTCCTAGTGGCCACAGAGAAACAAAGATTTCCAAAATGAGATGCTAAGTGAGAAACAGCAACTGAGGAGAGAAGTAATGTTTCCAGGATCACAATGGGCATAAGGAGAATTGTTCTTTTAGACTCTAGGTGAGCTTGTAGTAATCCAAGGACTGGTGATTTAGGCCACTGAGTTCTGGCTTTGAGTACATCTCTAATCCCTAAACCTTCACTAAGAGGGAGGTGAAGGGAGTCAGGTGTGCCACATGTCTGCTACTGAAAAATGCCTAGATGGGAAAGGAGTTTGAAATATTGTCCTAAAATGAAGTTTCTGAGTTAGATGGGCCGAATTTCACCATGTGTTCACTGTTATTACTCTGTATAAAATCAAGAGATTTAAATGAGATTAAGATCTTCGATTAGCTTGCTGAAATATTGAAAACTAAAACCAGGGCCGGGCGTGGTGGATCACACCTGTAATTCCAGCACTTTGGGAGGCCGAGGTTGGTGGATCACTTGAGGTCAGGAGTTTGAGACCAGCCTGGCCAACATGGTGAAATCCTGTCTCTACTAAAAATTCAAAAAAATTAGCTGGGCTTGATAGCAGATGCCTGTAATCCCAGCTACTCAGGAGGCTGAGGCAGGAGAATTGCTTGAACCTGCGAGGTGGAGGTTGCAGTGAGCCGAGACCATGCCACTGCACTCCAGCCTGGGTGACAGAGTGAGACTCCATCTCAAAAAAAAAAAAAAAAAAAAAAAAGAAAAGAAAAAAGAAAAGAAAACTAAGAACCAATTACCTCTAAGGCATACATTGACTTTGGTTAATGTGCTGACATACTGAGCCCCAAACTGGCATGTATAATCTCTGGTCACTTCTACACCAAAGCTATTACCCTAACTTGGCAGTGAAGGCCAAGATAAGAAGAGTCCGGAATTATGAAGCATGAAGCATAGAATTTCAAAACTGAGAAAGAAAAATATCTTTTTCCCAAACACTTTCATTTTATAGGTGTGGAAATTTGAGGCCCAGGGAGAGTACCTTGCCAGCAATTCTGTAGTTAATTCATGGCAGAACTGAGATGGGACCCCAGATCTCAGATCAGAGCCCTTCCATTTTATCATATTGCTCTTTGCATAAACCAGTAGCTTAAGCAAGTAAGAATTATTCTCTGAATGAACAACAGTGAATTCAGTTAACACGTAATATAAAAGAAGAAGGGGGTGGCTGGCAAGGTGGCTGAATAGGAGCAGTTCTGATCTGCAGCTCCCAGCAAGATCAATGCAGAAGGCAGGTGATTTCTGCATTTCCAACTGAGGTACCCGGCTCATCTCATTGGGACTGGTTAGACAGTGGGTACAGCCCATGGAGGGTGAGCAGAAGCAGGATGGGGAGTCACCTCACCCAGAAAGTGCAAGGGGTCAGGGAACTCCCTCCCCTAGCCAAGGGAAGCTGTGAGGGACTGTGCCATGAGCAATGGTGCACTCCAGGCTAGATAGTATGCTTTTCCCACGGTCTTCACAACCTTCAGACCAGGAGATTCCCTTGGGTGTCTATACCACCAGGGCTCTGGGTTTCAAGCACAAAACTAGGTGGCCGTTTGGGCAGACACTGAGCTAGCTGCAGGAGTTTTTTTTCCATACCCCAGTGGCTCCTGGAATGCCAGCAAGACAGAACTGTTCACTCTCTGGAAAGGGGGCTGAAGCCAGGGAGCCATGTGCTCTAGCTCAGCAGAGCCCAGCAAGCTAAGATCCACTGGCTTGAAATTCTTGCTGCCAGCACAGCAGTCCGAAGTTGACCTGGTATGCTCCAGCTTGGTGGGGGAAGGGGTGTCCGCCATTACTGAGGCTTGAGTAGGCAGTTTTCCCCTCACAGTGTAAACAAAGCCACTGGGAAGTTCAAACTGGGTGGAGCCCACTGCGGTGCCACAAAGCCACTGTAGCCAGACTGCCTCTCTAGACTCCTCCTCTCTGGGCAGGGCATCTCTGAAAGAAAGGCAGCAGCCCCGGTAAGGGGCTTATAGATAAAACTCCCATCTCCCTGGGACAGAGCACCTGGGGGAAGGGGCAGCTGTGGGCGCAGCTTCAGCAGACTTAAATGTTCCTGCCTGCCAGCTCTGAAGAGAGCAGCAGATCTCCTAGCACAGCGCTGTAGCTCTGCTAAGAGACAGACTGCATCCTCAAGTGGGTCCCAGACCCCCGTGCCTCCTGACTGGGAGACATCTCCTAGCAGGGGTCGACAGAACACCTCATACAGGAGAGCTCTGGCTGGCATCTGGAGTGTGCCCCTCTGGGATGAAGCTTCCAGAGGAAGGAAGGCAGCAATCTTTGCTATTCTGCACCCTCCACTGGTGATATCCAAGCAAACAGGGTTTGGAGTGGAAGTCGGCAAACTCCAGCAGACCTGCAGCAGAGGGGTCTGACTATTAGAAGGAAAACTAACAAACAGAAAAGAATAGCATCAACATCAACAAAATGGACGTCCACACAAAAACCCCATCTGAAGGTCACCAACATCAAAGATCAAAGGTAGATAAATCCACGAAGATGAAAAACCAGCATAAAAAGGCTAAAAATTCCAAAAACCAGAATGCTTCTTCTCTTCCAAAGGATCAAAACTCCTCGTCAGCAAGGGAACAAAACTGGACGGAGATTGAGTTTGACAAATTGACAGAAGTAGGCTTCAGAAGGAGGGTAATAACAAACTCCCCCGAGCTAAAGGAGCATGTTCTAACCCAATGCAAGGAAGGTAAGAACCTTGAAAAAAGGTTAGAGGAATTGCTAACTAGAATAACTAGTTTAGAGAAGAACATAAATGACCTGATGGAGCTGAAAAACACAGCATGAGAACTTCATGAAAAATACACAAGTATCAATAGCCGAATCAATCAAGCAGAAGAAAGGATATCAGAGATTGAAGATCAACTTAATGAAATAAAGTGTGAAGACAAGATTAGAGAAAAAAGAATGAAAGGAAATGAACAAAGCCTCCACGAATTATGGGACTATGTGAAAAGACCAAACCTACGTTTGATTGGTGTACCTGAAAGTGACAAGGAGAATAGAACCAAGTTGGAAAACACTCTTCAGGATATTATCCAGGAGAACTTCACCAACCTAGCAAGACAGGCCAACATTCAAATTCAGGAAATACAGAGAACACCACAAAGATACTCCTCAAGAAGAGCAACCCTAAGACACACATCGTCAGATTCACCAAGGTTGAAATGAAGAAAAAAATGTTAAAGGCAGCCAGAGAGAAAGGTCAGGTTACCCACAAAGGGAACCCCATCAGACTAACAGTGGATCTCTCTGCAGTAACCCTACAAGCCAGAAGGGAGTGGGGGCCAATATTCAATAAACATTCTTAAAGAAAAGAATTTTCTTTTTTCTTTTCTTTTTTTCTTTCTTTTTTTTTTTTTTTCTTTTTGAGACGGAGTCTTGCTCTGTAGCCCAGGCTGGAGTGCAGTGGTGCAATCTCGGCTCACTGCAACCTCCGCCTCCTGGGTCCTGGTTCTAGCAATTCTCCTGCCTCAGCCTCCCGAGTACCTGGGATTAAAGGAACGCGCCACCATGCCCAGCTAATTTTTGTATTTTTAGTAGAGACAGGGTTTCACCATGTTGGCCAGGCTGGTCTTGAACTCCTGGCCTTGTGATCTGCCCACCTTGGCCTCCCAAAGTGCTGGGATTTCAGGCGTGAACCACCACGTCCCACCTCAAGAAAAGAATTTTCAACCCAGAATTTCATATTCAGCCAAACTAAACTTCATAAGCAAAAAAGAAATAAAATCCTTTACAGAAAAGCAAATGCTGAGAGACTCTATCACCACCAGCCCTGCCTTACAAGAGCTCCTGAGGGAAGCACTAAATATGGAAAGGAAAAACTGATACTAGCCACTGCAAAAACATACCAAATTGTAAAGACCATTGACACCATGAAGAAACTGCATCAACTAATGGGAAAAATAACCAGCTAGCATCAAAATGACAGGATCAAATTCACACATGACAATATTAACCTTAAATGTAAACAGACTCATAAGCTCAAAATAAAGGGACAGAGGGATACCAAGCAAATGGAAAGCAAAAAAAGAAGCAGGGGTTGCAATCCTAGTCTCTGATAAAACAGACTTTAAACCGACAAAGATCAAAAAAGACAAGGGCATTACATAACGGTAAAGGTATCAATACAACAAGGAGAGCTAACTATCCTAAATATATATCCACCCAATACAGGAGCACCCAGATTCATAAAGCAAGTTCTTAGGGACCTACAAAGAAACTTAGATTCCCACACAATAATAGTAGAAGACTTTAACACCCCACTGTCAGTATTAGACAAATCAACGAGACAGAAAAGTAACAAAGATATTCAGGACTTGAACTCAGCTCTGGACCAAGTGGACCTAATAGACATCTACAGAACTCTCCACCCCAAATCAACAGAATATACATTCATCTCAGCACCACATTGCACTTATTCTAAGATTGACCACGTGATTGGTAGTAAAGCACTCCTCAGCAAATGCAAAAGAATGGAAATCATAACAAACAGTCTGTCAGACCACGGTGCAATCAAATTAGAACTCAGGATTAAGAAACTTACTCAAAACCATACAACTACATGGAAACTGAACAACCTGCTCCTGAACGACTACTGGGTAAATAACGAAATCAAGGCAGAAATAACAGGAGAAAGTGGGAAAGATCTAAAATCAACACCTAACACCACAGTTAAAGAACTAGAGAAGCAAGAGTAATCAAATTCAAAAGCTAGCAGAAGACAAGAAATAACTAAGATCAGAGCAGAACTGAAGGAGATAGAGACATGAAAAACCCTTCAAAACATCAATGAATCCAGGAGCTGGGTTTTTGAAAAGATTAACAAAATAGATAGATCACTAGCCAGATTAATAAAGAAGAAAGAGAAGAATCAAATAGACACAATAAAAAATGATAAAGGGGATATCACCACTGATCCCACAGAAATACAAACTGCCATCATAGAATACTATAAACACCTCTATGCAAATAAACTAGAAAATCTAGAAGGATAAATTCCTGGACACATACACCCTCCCAAGACTAAACCAGGAAGACGTCAAATCCCTCAATAGACCAATAACAACTTCTGAAATTGAGGCAGTAATTAATAGCCTACCAACCAAAAAAAGCCCAGGACCAGACAGTTTCACAGCCGAATTCTACCAGAGGTACAAGGAGGAGCTGGTACCATTCCTTCTGAAACTATTACAAACAACAGAAAAAGAGGAACTCCTCCCTAACTCATTTTATGAGGCCAGCATCATCCTGATACCAAAACCTGGCAGAGACAAAACAAAAAAAAGAATATTTCAGGCAAGTATCCTTGATCAACATCGATGTGAAAATCCTCAATAAAATACTGGCAAACCAAATCCAGCAGCACATCAAAAAGCTTATCCACTACGATCAAGTCAGCTTCATTCCTGGGATGCAAGGCTGGTTCAACATATGCAAATCAATAAATGTAACCCATCACATAAACAGAACCAATGACAAAAACCACATGATTATCTCAGTAGATGCAGAAAAGGCCTTTGATAAAATTCAACACCGCTTCATGCTAAAAACTCTCAATAAACTAAGTATTGATGGAATGTATCTCAAAATAATAAGAGCTATTTATGACAAACCCACAGACAATGTCATACTGAATGGGCAAAAGCTGGAAGCATTCCCTTTGAAAACCGGCACACGACAAGGATGCCCTCTCACCACTCCTATTCAACATAGTATGGGAAGTTCTGGCCAGGACAATCAGGGAAGAGAAGGAAATAAAGGATATTCAAATCGAAAGAGAGGAAGTCAAATTGTCTGTTTGCAGATGACATGATTGTATATTTAGTAAACCCCATTGTCTCAGGCCCAAATCACCTTAAGCTGATAAGCAACTTCAGCAAAGTCTCAGGATACAAAATCAGTGTGCAAAAATCACAAGCATTCCTATCCACCAATAATAGACAAACAGAGAGCCAAATCATGAATGAACTCCCATTCATAATTGCTACAAAGAGAATAAAATACCTAGGAATACAACTTACAAGGGATGTGAAGGACCTCTTCAAGGAGAACTACAAACCACCGCTCAAGGAAGTAAGAGAGGACACAAATAAATGGAAAAACATTCCATGATCATGAATAGGAAGAATCAATATCATGAAAATGGCCATACTGCCTACAGTAATTTATAGATTCAATACTATCCCTATCAAGCTACCATTGACTTTCTTCACAGAATTAGAAAAAAACTACTTTAAATTTCAGATGGAACCAAAAAAGAGCTCGTATAGCCAAGACAATCCTAAGCAAAAAGAACAAAGCTGGAGGCATCATGCTACCTGACTTCAAACTATATTACAAGGTTACAGTAACCAAAACAGCATGGTACTGGTACCAAAACAGATGGATAGACCAATGGAACAGAATAGAGGCCTCAGAAATAATGCCACACATCTACAACCATTTGATCTTTGACAAACCTGACAAAAACAAGCAATGGGAAAAGGATTCCCTATTTAATAAATAATGTTGGGAAAACTGACTAGCCATATGCAGAAAACTGAAATTAAACCCCTTCCTTACACCTTATACAAAAATCAACTCGAGATGGATTAAAGACTTAAATGTAAGACCTAAAACCATAAAAACCCTAGAAGAAAACCTAGCCAATACCATTCAGGACATTGGCATGGGCAAAGACTTCACGACTAAAACACCAAAAGCAATGGCAACAAAAGCCAAAATTGACAAATGGCTAATTAAACTAAAGAGCTTCTGCACAGCAAAAGAAACTATCATCAGAGTGAACAGTCAACCGACAGAATAGGAGAAAATTTTTGCAATCTATCCATCTGACAAAGAGCTAATATCCAGAATCTACAAGAAACTTAAACAAATTTACAGGAAAAAAAAACCCCATCAAAAAAGTGGGCAAAGGATGTGAACAGACACTTCTCAGAAGAAGACATTTATGTGGGCAAGAAACATATGAAAATAAGCTCATCATCACTGGTCTTTAGAGAAATGCACATCAAAACTACAATGAGATACCATCTCATGCCAGTTAGAATGGCAATCATTAAAATGTCAGGAAACAACATGCTGGAGAGGACGTGGAGAAATAGGAACACTTTTACACTGTTAGTGGGAGTGTTAAATTAGTTCAACAATAGTGGAAGACAGTATGATGATCCTCAAGGATCTAGAACCAGAAATACCATTAGACCCAGCAATCCCATTACTAGGTATATACCCAAAGGATTATAAGTCATTCTACTATAAAGACACATGCACACGTCTGTTTATTGGAGCACTACTGACAATAGCAAAGTCTTGGAACCAACCCAAATGCCCATCAATGATAGACTGGATAAAGAAAATGTGGCACATGTACACCATGGAATACTACGCAGCCATAAAAAAGAATGAGTTCATGTCCTTTGCAGGGACATGAATGAAGCTGGAAACCATCATTCTCAGCAAACTAACACAGGAACAGAAAACCAAACACCGCATTTTCTCACTCATAAGTGGGAGTTGAACAATGAGAACACATGGACACAGGGAGGGGAACATCACACACCAGGGCCTGTGGGGGATGGGGTCTAGGGGGGAACAGTATTAGGAGAAATACCTAATGTAGATTACTGGTTGATGGGTGCAGCAAACCACCATGGCACATGTATACCTGTGTAACAAACCTGCATGTTCTACACATGTACTCCAGAACTTAAAGAATAATAATAAAGAAGAAGAAAAGTGGAATGTACATTGTTTTTAAAAAGTTTCAGCATTTTGCAAAAACACATGGTTCTGGATGAAGAGCTGCACAGTGCTAGGGGAAATTCTGAACGGTGTTCAAGTCCTCAGCACAGCCAGCAGCAGCAGGATGTGGTTTTTAATGCTCGCTATGAAAGTAGTGCTTCAGATGGTGCTTATTCTTATTTTTAATTTATTTTTGTATTGGATTAATTTATTTTTATATATTTTAATTGACAAAAATTATATATATGGTGTACAACTTGATGGTTGATACACATATACATTGTGAAATGAGCATCACAGTCAAGCTAATTAACATTATCACTTCTCCATAGTTACCATTTTGTAGATGCACATGTATTTATTTTATTTCTGAAATAATTTTATACTTACAGAAAAGTTGCAGAAATAGTACAGAGTTCACATACACCTACCACTTTGCTTCCCCTAATGTTAAAAACTTATATAACCATAAGCTGGGCATGGTGGCTCACGCCTGTAATCCCAACACTTTGGGAGGCTGAGGTGGGCAGATCACTTGAGGTCAGGAGACCACCTGGCCAACATGGTGAAACACCATCTCTACTAAAAATACAAAAATTAGCAGGACATGGTGACACGTGCCTGTAATCCCAGCTATTCTGGAGGCTGAAGCATGAGAATTGCTTGAACCTGGGAGGCGGGGGTTGCAGTGAGCAGAGATCGCACCACTGCACTCCAGCCTTGGCGACAGAGACTCCATCTCAAAACAACAACAACAAAACTTATATAACCATAGTTCAATAATCAAGATGAGGAAATTAACTTTGATACAATACGGTGAATTAAACTACAGCCCTTTGATTTTTCACCATCTCCTCCCACCCCCTACCATCTATGTCGCCTCAGTTTCCTCCAATCTGTGACAGTTGTTCCGTATTTCCTTGTCTTTCATGGACTCTTGATGAGTACTGGCCAGCTGTTTTGTAGAATGATCCTCAGTTTGGTTTTGTCCACGTTCTCCTTATGATTAGACTAAGGTGATGGGTTTGGGGGAAGAAAATCACAAGGTGAAATGCTCTTGTTATTTCCTATCGGGGTACAGGATGCCAACGTGGCTTATTAGTGATATTTACCACGATCACTTGATTAAGGTGGAATCTCCCAGGTTTCATTACTGTAAGTTACTTCTCTCCCTTTTTAAATGATAAACATCTTGGATAGATGCTTTGAGACCGTGCTAGCATCCTGTTTCTTCTCAAACTTTTGCCTGCTGATTTTCACATTCATTGGTGGATCTAGTCAACAGTTACTACTGTGGTGTTCTAGTGGGGATTTTGTATGTTACTCATTCCTTCTACATTGATTATTGGAATTCTATAAGGAAGAGTTGTCCCTTCTCTTAGACATTTATTTGTTGAATTATTTATTTATATCCATATGGATTTATGGGTTTTAGTCCTATGGGATTGTGTTAGTCAGTTCTTGCCTTGCTATAAAGGAATACCTGACACTGTAATTTATGAAGAAAAGAGATTGGCCAGGCGCAGTGGCTCACGCCTGTAATCCCAGCACTTTGGGAGGCCAAGGCGGGTGGATCATTTGAGGTCAGAAGTTCGAGACCAGCCTGGCCAACATGGTGAAACCCCGTCTCTACTAAAAATACAAAAATTAGCAGGGTGTGGTGGTACACACCTGTAATCCCAGCTACTGGGGAGGCTGAGGCAGGAGAATTGCTTGAACCTGGGAGGTGGAGGCTGCAGTGAGCCAAGATCATACCACTGCACTCCAGCCTGGGCAACAGAGTGAGACTCCATCTCAAAAAAAAAAAAAAAAAAGAAAAGAGATTTATTTTGGCTCATGGTTCTGCAGGCTGTACAGGAAGTGTGATGCCAGCATATGCTTCTGATGAGGCCTCAAGAAGCTTCCAATCATGGTGAAAGGTGAAGGGGAGCCAGAGAGTCACATGGCAAGAGAGGGAGCAAGAGTCAGGGGAGGTCCCAGACTCCTTTAAACAACCAGATCTCCCATGAACTGAGCAAGAACTCACTCATCACCAAACAATGATCCAATTGCCTCCCATGATCCAATCGCCTCCCACCAGGCCCCACCTTCAACAATGGGAATTACATTTCAACATGAGATTTGGAGGGGACAAACATCCAAACCATATCATTCTGCCTCTGGCCCCCCAAATCTCATGTCCTCAATTTCAAAATACAATTATGGGCTGAGTGCAGTGGTACATGCCTGTGATCCTAGCACTTTGGGAGGCCGAGGCAGGTGGATCACCTGAGATCAAGAGTTCGAGACCAGCCTGGCCAAATGGTGAAACCTCATCTCTACTAAAAATACAAAAAAATTAGCTGGACGTGGTGGCGAGCATCTGTAATCCCAGCTACTTGGGAGGCTAAGGCAGGAGAATCGCTTGAACCTGGGAGACAGAGGTTGCGGTGAGCCGAGATTGCGTCATTGCACTCCAGCGTGGGCAATAGAGCAAAAACTCGTCTTGGCCGGGCACAGTGGCTCATGCCTGTAATCTCAGCACTTTGGGAGGCCGAGTTGGGCAGATCACCTGAGGTCAGGAGTTCGAGATCAGCCTGACCAACATGGCGAAACCCCATCTCTACTAAAAATACAAAAATTAGCTGGGCATGATGGTGGGTGCCTATAATCCCAACTACTTTGGAGGCTGAGGCAGGAGAATCGCTTGAACCTGGGAGGCGGAGGTTGCAGTCAGCCGAGATTGCACCATTGCACTCCAGCCTGGGCGACAGAGCAAAACTCCGTCTCCAAAAAAAAAAAAAAAAAAAAAAAAATCATGCCTTTGCACTAGTTCCTCAAAGCTTTAACTCCAGCATTAACTCGAAAGTCCCAAGTCCAAAGTCCAAAGTCTCGTTTGGAGATGAGTCCCTTTCACCCATGAACCTGTGAGATCAAAAACAAGTTATTTACTCCCAAGATAAAATGGTGGTACAGGCAACTGGGTAGACATTCTCATTCCAAAGGGGAGAAATTAGCCAAAAGCAGCAGGCAATAGGCCCCACACAAGTCTGAAATCCAGCAAAGCAGTCATTAAATCTAAAAGCTCCAAACTAAGCTCCTTTGACTCCATGTCTGCCATCCAGGGCACACAGGGCTCCAAGCGCCTTGGGCACCTCCTCCCTTTGGCTTTGCTGGATGTAGCCCACACGGCTGCTCTGATGGACTGGAATCCAGTGCCTGCGGCTTTTCTGGGCTCAGGATGCAAGCTGCTGCTGGTTCTACCATTCTTGGATCAAGAGGGCGGCAGTCCCCTTCTCACAGCTCTACTAGGTGATATAATCTAGTATTATCATTATTTTCTTGCTCAAGTTGTTCCAGGTTTGGCCATTGAGAGCTTTTTCGTGGTGGTTCCTGTGACCTTTTGACATGTCCCCATCTTTTTGGAGCACTTTCCTATTGTCTGGTGCCACAAGACAGTCCAGGCCCTTCTTTTTGTTTGTTTGTTTGTTTGTTTGTTCTGGAGACAGAGTCTCACTCTGTTACCCAGGCTGGAGTGCAATGGCGTGGTCTTGGCTCACTGCAACCTCCGCCTCCTGGGTTCAAGCAATTCTCCTGCCTCAGCCTCTCAAGTAGCTGGGACTACAGGCATGTGCCACCACACCCAGCTACTTTTTGTATTTTTAGTAGAAACAGGGTTTCACTTTGTTGGCCAGGCTGGTCTCAAACTCCTGACCTTGTGATCCTCCCACCGCAGCCTCCCAAAGTGTTGGAATTACAGGTGTGAGCCATCGTGTGTTGCCAGCTCCAGGCCCTTTTTGTCCCTACTCCAGTCCTGGAATGAATCACTTCTCTGGGAAAACTTGGATTTTTTTTTTTTTTTTTGAGATGGAGTCTTGCTCTGCTGCCCAGGCTGGAGTGCAGTGGTGTGATCTCAGCTCACTGCAACCTCTGCCTCCCAGGTTCAAGTGATTCTCCTGCCTCAGCCGCCTGGGTAGCTGGGATTACAGGTGCCCGACAACATGCCTGGCTAATTTTTATATTTTAATTAATTAATTTTTTTTTTTTGAGACAGAGTCTCACTCTGTTGCCCAGGCTGGAGTGCAATGACGCCATCTTGGCTCACTGCAACCTCTGCCTCCCTGCAGCCTCCACCTCCTGGGTTCAAGTGATTCTTCTGCCTCAGCCTCCCGAGTAATTGGGATTACATGCACCCACCACCATGCCCAGCTAATTTTTGTATTTTTAGTAGAGAAGGGGTTTTGCCATGTTGGTCAGGCTGATCTCGAACTCCTGACCTCTGCCCACCTCGGCCTCCCAAAGTGCTGGGATCAGAGACATGAGCCACCACGGCCCTCACAATTTTTGTATTTTTAGTAGAGATGAGGTTTGACTATATCAGTCAGGCTGGTCTCGAACTCCTGACCTCAAGTGATCCCCCTACCTCAGCCTCCCAAAGTGCCGGGATTACAGGTGTGAGCCACTGCACCTGGCCCCTTAGTTTTGTTTTTTGTTTTTTGTTTTTTTGTTTTTGAGATAGAGTCTCGCTCTGTCACCCAGCTGGAGTGCAGTGGTGCAATCTCGGCTCACTGCAACCTCCACCTCCCAGGTTCAAGCAATTCTCCTGTCTCAGCATCCTAGGTAGCTGGGACTGCAGGCACCCACCACCACACCTGGCTAATTTTTATATTTTTAGTAGGAGTGGGGTTTTGCCATATTGGCCAGGCTGGTCTCAAACTCCTGACCCCAGGTGATCCACCCACGTTGGCCTCCTAAAGTGCTGGGATTACAGGCATGAGCCACCGCGTCCAGCCTAGATTTTTTTGTTGTTGCTGGAGAATAACATTTAGAAACCAAGATATGGGTACTGGGTGAAAGCTTATTCTTTGATGATTATAAAGCTTATATATCAGAAGATTTACCAATATAGGATGATGCAGCATCTTCAGTAATAATCTGAAGCAAAACAGCCAATATATATGGTTAGCTTTAAGCATGGTTTAAAATGTTTTGTTTACTCCAAAAAATGCTTTAGGTACAAATGCCATTTATATCAAAGTGCTTTCCTTCCTAAAATGCTCCTTTATTTTTAAGCAGGAATATTAATTTTGTTTTATTTTCCATCTCACATTCTTCTATCCATAATGTCAAAATAATTACGTCTTATATTTTAAATAATAGAATTACAAAATGTTCAATCTCATTGATAATCAAAAATCTTGGCCGGGCACAGTGGTTCATGCCTATAATCCCAGCATTTTGGGAGGCCAAGGCCGGTGGACCACGAGGTCAGGAGATCGAGACCATCCTGGCTAACACGGTGAAACCCTGTCTCTACTAAAAATACAAAAAATTAGCTGGGCTTGGTGGCATGTACCTGTAGTCCCAGCTACTCAGGAAGCTGAGGCAGGAGAATCGCTTGAACCCAGGAGGCGGAGGTTGCAGTGAGCCAAGATCGCACCACTGCACTCCAGCCTGAGTGACAGAGTGAGACTCTGTCTCAAAACAAACAAACAAACAAACAAAAAACAAAAAAGAGAAAAAAGTAAACTTAACAATGAGATTGTTGCCATCTTATGAAAATATTAACAAATGTTTAAAAGATTGATAATATTGTTAAGAGTAAGCTGGGCACAGTGGCTCAAACCTATAATCCCAGAACTTTGGAAGGCCAAGGTGGGTGGATCATTTGAGACCAGGAGTTCGAAACCAGCCTGGCCAACATGGTGAAATCTTGTCTCTACTAAAAATATGAAAATTAGCTGGGAGTGGTGGTGAACGCCTATAATCCCAGCTACTTGGGAGGCTGAGGCAGGAGAATCACTTGAACCCAGGAGGCAGAGATTACAGTGAGCCAAGATCACAGCCACTGCACTGCAGCCTGGGTGACACAGCGAGACTCTGTCTCACAAAAAAAAAAAAAAAAAAATTAAGAGTGTGAGAAAGCAGATCCTCTATAGCACCTATTTGAGAGCAATTGGTAGTATTGATGGACATGCAAAATGTGCATTTATTTTGTCTTAACAATTCCACTTCTAAAAAGTTTCCATCAGAAATAGAAGTACAAGTATACAATGGTGTGGGTGTGTGTGTGTGTGTGTGTGTCTATGTGTGACTGCATTGCTGGTAATGATTAAAAACTGGAGATAATTGAAGTGTCCATCAAGAAGGACTAGTTAAGTGCTTTGAACCACTGTATCACGCAGTTGGGGGAGAGTTGTGGAAGTCTTCCTAGAAGAAGTGATGTTTAAGTTGTGAACTAACTAAAAGATGAGTAGGAACAAGCTCTGTGAATTGTGTATGTGTGTTGGGGTGAGGAGAGGACATCCAAGGCAAGCTATGGCACATAGGATGGCCCTGAGGCAAGAAGATGGTGTGTTCAAGACTTGGATATTAGGAAAGAGGGAGAGGAAGAGGAGCTTAAGAAGGAAGAGGAGCTTAAGATGCTCCTTAAGAAGGAGCATCTATTTATGTGCTGGTCTCCCTAACTTCACCATGAGCTCCTTGCAGCTTATTTATTCTCGTTTCTCCATGTCTAGCCCAGGTTGACATTCAAAACATAGTTGTTAAATGAATGAAGTAATTTGACCGACTAACCCTGGAACAGAAATCTTAACCTGGGGTTGAAGGTCCCATGATGTTTGGGGGGTTGGGAGGTGGTTGGTGAACTTGAATAGGAAAAAAAAATGCTTTCTTATTTCCATTCACCTCTAACTGAAAATTAGCACTTCCTTCCATTATGAAGTCACACAACAAAACACAGTAGTATTAGCAGTACCTATGACTTTGTCACCCATAGAAGTCACAGTTATTTTCATCTCACATTAGAGTTGTTGCACGTATCTCAAAATATAATTTATGCTCATTACTACTTCAAAATTATAGTAATTATTACACCTGCCACTAGATCTTGTTATTTAATGTGTCAATCAAAGAATAATATTTATTATTGTATCACATGTTAAACTATTTTGATAACTGTATTTCAACATAATTGGCATCCTTTGTAATCCTATGTATTTTATTTTATGCATTTAAGAACACTGTTCTGAGAGGGAGTCCACAGGTTTCTCCCAACTACCGAGGGAGTCCATGTGCAAGGGGCTAAGAACCCTGCCCAAGAGTGTAACATACAACCCTTTCTACCACACTCTCTGTGATGAAGGAGGTAATGTTTTTGTTGTGTTGTTGTTTTTGAGGCGGAGTTTTGCTCTTGTTGCCCAGGCTTGAGTGCAGTGGGGCGATCTCGGTTCACTGCAACCTCAGCCTCCTGGGTTCAAGTGATTCTCCTGCCTCAGCCTCCAGAGTAGCTGGGATTAGAGGCTTGCGCCACCATGCCCGGCTAATTTCGTATTTTTAGTAGAGATGGGGTTTCTCCATGTTGATCAGGCTGGTCTCGAACTCCCGACCTCAGGTGATCCACCCACCTCGGCCTCCCAAAGTGCTGGGATTACAGGCATGAGCCACGGTGCCCGGCCTGATATAGGAGGTAATGTAAATTGTAGGTGTCATGGCCCAACTCCCCCCTTTTTTTTTTTTTTTTTTTGAGACGGAGTCTCGCTCTGTCGCCCAGGCTGGAGTGCAGTGGCGCGATCTCGGCTCACTGCAAGCTCCGCCTCCCGGGTTCACGCCATTCTCCTGCCTCAGCCTCCCTAGTAGCTGGGACTACAGGCGCCCGCCACCGCGCCCAGCTAATTCTTTTTGTATTTTTAGTAGAGACCGGGTTTCACCGTGGTCTCGATCTCCTGACCTCGTGATCCGCCCGCCTCGGCCTCCCAAAGTGCTGGGATTACAGGCGTGAGCCACCGCGCCCGGCCCCAACTCCCTTTCTGTCAGATAAACGGCACCTTTTCCTCTCCCCAACGTAAATAAACTCTGGTTATTCTGTTCTTTTCCCACTCTCAGTTGGAGAAACCACTTCTGCTCCTGCTTCAATTCTTATTTCCATAAGAATGACTCTTACATGCGAACACTCAGCCTGACCTCTCTCTGAGCCCCAGTCATGTATTCATAATGGTCTGTTTCTTGTTGTGTCCAACATTATCTCAAGGTCTTCATCTTTCTTCACAAATTACCTCTTTTTCCTGATAGCTCCCTTCCCCCATTCTCGCAAGAGCAAAACAAAATCATCAACCCCGAGCGCCGTGTCTCTCAAGCTTCTGCTACTCAGACAAGACCCACTAATTCTCCTCTACCTTTGAGTTTCACAGTGGTAGATTGTCTGTATGGCGATTTCCTTTAAAGTACTTTAGAATTACCAGTGTAATGTATGTGTGTGTAGATTAACTTTAATCTATACTCTAGATGCTATTCACATTTGGAGTGCCCTAATTAGAAACCCACATTCTAGGGAAGATTACTTAGTATCTGAAGTACCCTAATTAGAAATTCATTTCCTAGAGGGAGCTACATAAGCACTCCAAATCTATTATTGTTTTACAAATGAAATGACATGATGTTTGGGATTTGTTTCAAAATAATCCAGGAGGAGGGGCAAATGGGAAGGAATATGGATGAAACAAGATTGCCCATGAGTTGGTAATTGCTAAAGCTGGGTGGTGGGTAATGTGTGTGTGTTGGGGGGAGAGTTTCATGAACATTCTCTGTATTTTGTTTATATTTGAAATTTTCCATAATAAAATGTTTTGACATATGTCATTATTGCAATCTACACCAGACAGAAGATAACAGATTGAACACATGCCATCTACTTTCCTTCCTGAAGCCTCAGTAAAATAACAATAAAATGATTTTTTTTTCTAACAGAATCTTGCTTTGTCACCCAGGCTTGAGTGCAGTGGTGCGATCTTGGCTCACTGCATCTCCGCCTTCTGGGTTCACAACCTCCTGAGTAGCTGGGACCACAGGTGTGCGCTACCACGCCTGGCTAAGTTTTGTATTTTTAGTAGAGATGGGGTTTCACCACGTTAGCCAAGCTGGTCTTGTACTCCTGACCTCAAGTGATCCACTGGCCTCAGCCTCCCAAAGTGTTGGAATTACAGGCTTGAGCCATGGTGTTGGCTATGCCCTTTTATAAAAATTCCTTTTGGCTGGGTGCAGTGGCTCATGCCTGTAATCCTAGCACTTCGTGAGGCTGAGGCAGGAGGACTGCTTGAGTTTATGAGCTTGAGACCAGCTTGAGCAACACAGGGAGACCCCATCTCAACAACAACAACAACAACAACAACAAACAACAACAACAAATTAGCCAGTCACGGTGGTATGTGCCTGTACTTCCAGCTATTTGGGAAGCTGAGGCAGGAGGATCACTTGAGCCCAGGAGGTTGAGGCTGCAGTGAGCCATGTTTGAGCCACTGCACTCCAGCCTGGGCAACAGAGCAAGACCTTGTCTCAAAAAATAAAAAATAAAAAGGCATAAATGCCATATTTTTAGAGTGAAGTCACAGGTGAAGTATAGAAGAGACATCCAAAAGGCTTGTCTTGAGCTTTACTGTTCAGTAAAGTAAGCATATAATAAGTGCCTTATTTTTTTTTTTTTTTTTTGAGACGGAGTCTCGCTCTGTCGCCCAGGCTGGAGTGCAGTGGCGCGATCTCGGCTCACTGCAAGCTCCGCCTCCCGGGTTCACGCCATTCTCCTGCCTCAGCCTCCCGAGTAGCTGGGACTACAGGCGCCCGCTACCACGCCCAGCTAATTTTTTGTATTTTTAGTAGAGACGGGGTTTCACCGTGTTAGCCAGGATGGTCTCGATCTCCTGACCTCGTGATCCGCCCGCCTCGGCCTCCCAAAGTGCTGGGATTACAGGCGTGAGCCACCGCGCCCGGCCAATAAGTGCCTTATTATACACATCTGAGAATTAGAGAAAAGGTTCCTGGGAAGTTTCTCAGGAATTTGAAGGGCAAATGTAGAGTGTGAGGTTAACCTCGTCTACCTGCTCTTTGAACTTAGAGGTGAGTGTGATCCTTTCATTAACAACCCCTTTGGCTCTCAGGATGATTTGTGTCAGGGTTCCTAATCTCCTCCTCCTAGTAACAAAGCCTTTGCCTTGTAAAATGTATCATCTACAATACAACATCTCACAGTGTAAAAGGGGAGAGGGGGGAATGTTGGCTCTATAGCCTCAAATGGGTATGATTTGAAAATTAATTAGGCCAGGCGAGGTGGCTCACGCCTGTAATCCCAGCACTTTGGGAGGCCGAGGCGGGCGGATCACGAGGTCAGGAGATCGAGACCACGGTGAAACCCGGTCTCTACTAAAAATACAAAAAGAATTAGCTGGGCGTGGTGGGGGGCGCCTGTAGTCCCAGCTACTCGGGAGGCTGAGGCAGGAGAATGGCGTGAACCTGGGAGGCGGAGCTTGCAGTGAGCCGAGATGGCGCCACTGCACTCCAGCCTGGGCCACAGAGCAAGAGTCCGTCTCAAAAAAAAAAAAAAGAAAAGAAAATTAATTAGGTCAGGCACGGTGGCTCACGCCTGTAATCCCAGCACTTTGGGAGGCCGAGGCGGGCGGATCACGAGGTCAGGAGCTCGAGACCATCCTGGCTAACATGGTGAAACCCGGTCTCTACTAAAAAAATACAAAAAATTAGCCGGGTGTGGTGGTGGGCGCCTGTAGTCCCGGCTACTCAGGAGGCTGAGGCAGGAGAATGGCGTGAACCCAGGAGGCGGAGCTTGCAGTGAGCCGAGATCGTGCCACTGCACTCCAGCCTGGGCGACAGAGCAAGACTCTGTCTCAAAAAAAAAAAAAAAAAAAAAAACACGAAAATTATTTGTGCACAACACAAGTTTGAAAGTCCTCCAATATTATAAAGATCCTGCCATATAAGTGGATGTACTTTGTTTCAAGGCAGCATAGTGTCATGAATGCAGTTGTCGACTTTTTGTCCAACAAGCTGTGTTTCTGGTCTGTTCTACTCACCTCTCACATTACTCTCACAATATCCATCCATCCACCCATCTCAGATAGAGAGAGAGAGTAAGGATGGATTTGTGTGTGTGTGTGTGTGTGTCTGTGTGTGTGAGAGAGAGAGAGAATGAGAGATCATATTGGAGAAATTCCAATTGCTTTTTTTTTTTTTTTTTTTAGATAGGGTCTCAGGCTCTTATTCTGTCACTAGGCTAGAGCGCAGTGGCATGATCATAGCTTGCTGCAACCTCAAACTCCAGGTTCAGCCTCCCAAGTAGCTGGGAATACAGGTGTATGCCACCACGCCGAACTAATTTTTTTAATTTTTAGTAGAGATGAGGTCTCACTATGTAGCCCAGGCTGGTCTTGAACTCCTGGGCTCAGGTGATCCTCCTGCCTCAGCCTCCCAAAGTGCTGGGATTACAGGCATGAGCCACTGTACCCGGCCTCTAATTGTTTTTATCGCTGCTTCTGTCTTGCATTTACTGTGGCTTCTCAAGTCTACATCACAACCTCTCAGCTCGAAGGGCCACCATCAGCTCATAATTATGTTGTTGTCTCGTAGTTTAAATTCTTGAAAAAGTCAAAATGTAATTGGCCAATCTTGTCTCCATTGGGGCAGAACCTCTCTCCTAATCCACATCCTGGGTCACTGCTCACCCTGCGGATTGGTCCCCTTGGGTGAGGTGCCCTCTCTCAACCTAATTAGCTATTGTGGGAGCATGTGTGGAGTAAAGGGTAATTGGCATGCTAGGCTGCCCCTTTGGAAGCTGTGATGGGACAGTTAAATTAAAAGTTGAGTGTGACAGAAAAATTACCAGACATATTCAATTCACAGCCCTAACTTCCACACCTTCTACCCAAGAGACTTTGTATGTCACTCAATATTGTTCAGCTTCAGGCTGGGCATGGTGGCTCACGCCGGTAATCCTAGCACTTTGGGAGGCCAAGGCGGGCAGATCACTTGAGGTCAGGAGTTCGAGACCAGCCTGGCCAAAATGGCGAGACCCCCGTCTCTACTAAAAATACAAAAATTAGCCAGACATGGTAGCACGTGCCTGTAGTCCCAGCTACAGGGGAGACTGAGGCAGGAGAATCGCCTGAACCCATGAGGTGGAGATTATGGTGAGCCGAGATTGTGTCTATGCACTTCAGCCTGGGCAACAGAGCGAGACTCTGTCTCAGAAAAAAAAAAAAAATCTTCAGTTCCCTTATCTGTAAAAAGGGTGTGCAAATCCTCATGGCAGTTTGCTGTGAGGAGAAAAGGAGTGAGCAGAACATTGAGCCTGCACATGGCAGGTGCTCAGTGAAGAAAAGCAACTACAGTTAACATTCAGACAGAAAGCTGAGTGCTTCATTTACATTTTATCATCTCAATTCTCCAAGCAAGAGTTCCACTATGTTTCTGAAATCTGAATTTCCTGTTGATCAAAAAGCTTATATATGAGGAACGAAGTAGAGTTTTGTCTTTAAATACACCATACTTACTCATTTTTATAAAATAATCTCAACTTATTTTAGGTTAAGAGGGTACATGTGCAGGTTTGTTACCTGGCTATATTGCATGATGCTGAGGTTTAAGGTATGATTTATCTCGTTACCCAGGTACTGAATATAGCGCCTAATATAGTTCATTTTTCAACCCTTGCCCCACCCCAGTAGTCTCCAGTGTCTATTGTTGCCATCTTTATGTCCATAAGCACCCAACATTTAGCTCCCATTTATAAGTGAGAACATGCAGTATTTGGTTTTCTGTTTCTGCATTAATTTGCTTAGGATACTGGTCTCTAGCTGCATCCACGTTGCTGCAAATGACATGCTTTCATTCCTTTTTTTTTTTTTGACAGAGTTTCACTCTCGTTGCCCAGGCTGGAGTGCAATGGTGCAATCTTGTCTCACTGCAACCTCCGCCTCCTGGGTTCAGGCGATTCTCCTGCCTCAGCCTCCTGAGTAGCTGGGATTACAGGCATGCTCCACCATGCCCGGCTAATTTTTGTATTTTCAGTAGCGACAGGGTTTCTCCATACTGGTCAGGCTGGTCTTGAACTCCTGACCTCAGATGATCCACCCTCCTCAGCCTCCCAAAGTGGTGAGATTACAAGTATGAGACACTGCACTCAGCCATTTCATTCCTTTTAATGGCTGTGTAGTATTCTGTGGTGTATACGTACCACGTTTTCTTTATCTGCTCCATTGTTGATGGGAACCTAGGTTGATTCTATGACTTTGCTATTGTGAATCGCACTGCGATGAACATATGAATGAATGTGTTTTTTTGGTAGAACAATTTATTTTATCTATTTATTTATTTTGAGATGAAGTTTTCACTCTTGTTGCCCAGACTGGAGTGCAATGGTGTGATCTCAGCTCACCGCAACCTCTGCCTCCCAGATTCAAGCGATTCTCCTGCCTCAGTCTCTTGAGTAGCTGAGATTACAGGCATGCGCCACCATGCCCGGCTAATTTTGTATTTTTAGTAGAGACAGGGTTTCTCCATGTTGGTCAGGCTGGTCTCGAACTCCCAAACTCAGGTGATCTGCCTGCCTTGGCCTCCCAAAGTGCTGGGATTACAGGCATGAGCCACTGTGCCCAGCCTATTTTTTTTTTTAATATATACCCAGTAGTGGGATTGCTGAGTTGAACAGTAGTTCTAAGTTCTTTGAGAAATCTGCAGACTGTTTTCTACAGTGGTTGAACTAATTTACATTCCCACCAACAGTGTATAAATGTTAGTGGGAATGTAAATTAGTTCTCTGCAGCCTCGCCAGCATCTGTTATTTTTTGACTTGTAATTGATAGCCATTCAGACTGGTGTGAGATGGTATCTCATTGTGGTTTTGATTTGCATTTTTCTGATGATTAATATGATAGGCATTTTTTCATATTTTTTTTTGGCCACTTGTATGTCTTCTTTTGAGAAGTGACTGTTCATATCTTTTGTCCACTTTTTTTTTTTTTGACACGGAGTCTTGTTTTGTTGCCCAGGCTGAAGTGCAGTGGCACAATCTCAGCTCACTGCAACCTCTGCCTCTCAGGTTCAAACAATTCTCCTGTCTCAGCCACTTAAGTAGCTGGGATTACAGGCATGCGCCACCACGTCCCACTAATGTTTGTATTTTTAGTAGAGATGGGGTTTCACCATGTTGGCCAGGCTGGTCTCGAACTCCTGACCTTGTGATTCACCCGCCTCGGCCTCCCAACGTGCTGGGATTATAGGCATGATCCACTGTGTCTGGACTTTTGTCCACTTTTTAATGGGGTTGTTTGTCTGATGCATACTTTGCAAATATTTTCTCCCATTCTATAGGTTGTCCGCATGCTCTTGATAGGTTTTTTTTTTTTGAGACGGAATTTCTCTCTTGTTTCCCAGGCTGGAGTGCAATGGCGCGATCTCGGCTCACTGCAACCTCCGCCTCCCAGGTTCAAGCGATTCTCCTGTCTCAGCTTCCTGAGTAGTTGGGATTACAGGCATGCACCATCACGTCTGGCTAATTTTGTATTTTTAGTAGAGACGGGATTTCTCCATGTTGGTCAGGTTGGTCTCAAACTACTAGCATGATCATGGCTCACTGCAGCCTTGACCTCCTGGGCTCAAGTGATCCTCCCACCTCAGCCTCTTGAGTAGCGGGACCACAGGCATGTGCCACTATACCCAGCTAATTTTAAAAATGTTTTTATAGAGATGGAGTATCCCTATGTTGCCCCAGCTTATACTTCTCAGCTTAAGCAATCCTCCCACCTTGGCATCCCAAAGTGCTGGGATTATAGGCATGAGCCACTGCACCCAGGCTGCAATTGCTGTTGAGAACTTAGTCATAAATTGTTTCCGAAGGGTGATGTACAGAATAGTGTTTCCTAGCCTTCCTTCCTCTCCCCTCCCCTCCCCTTTCCTTCCCTTCTTTTTTTCAGACAGGGTCTTTCTCTGTCACCTACGCTGGAGTGCAGTGGTGTGATTTGGGCTCACTGCAGCCTTGACCTCCTGGGCTCAAGTGATCCTCCCATCTCAGCCTCACAAATAGCTGAGACTATAGGTGCATGCCACCACATCTGGCTAATTAAAAAAAATTGTTTTTTTTGTAGAGACAAGGTCTTATGTTGCCCAGGCTGGTCTCAACCTCCTGGGCTCAAGTTATCCTCCTGCTTTAGTCTCCCAAAGTACTGGGATTACAGGCGTGACTTACTGCACCCAGCCTGGTCTGGGATTCTTATAGTTTGAGGTCTTACATTTAGATCTTTAATCCATCTTCAGTTAATTTTTTTATGTGGTGAAATATAGGGGTTCAGTTTCATTCTTCTGCATATGGCTAGCCAGCTATTACATCCAGCACCATTTATTGAATAGGGAGTCCTTTCCCCATTGCTTAATTTTGTCAACTTTATCAAAGATCAGATGTAGGTGTGCAGCTTTATTTCTCGGTTCTTCACTTTGTTCCTTTGGTCTATATGTCTGTTTTTGTACCAGTACCATGCTGTTTTGGCTACTGTAGCCATATAGTATAGTTTAAAGTCAGGTAATGTGATGCCTATAACTTTGTTCTTTTTACTTAGAATTACTTTGGCTATTTGGGCTCTTTTTCGGTTTTATATAAATTTTAGGATAGTTTTTTTTTTTCTAATTCTGTGAAAAATGGCATTGGTAGTTTGATAAGAATAGCATTGAATCTGTAAATTGCTTTGGGCAATATGGCCATCTTAACGATATTGATTCTTCCAATCCATGAACATGGGATGTTTTTCCATTTGTTTGTGTCATCTGTGATTTCTTTCAGCAGTGTTTTGTAGTTTTCCTTGTAGAAGTCTTTCACCTCCTTGGTTAGATGTATTCCTAAGTATTTTACTTATTTATTTTTTGTGGCTATTGTAAATGAAATTACATGCTTGATTTGGCTTTCAGCTTGAACATTATTGGTGTAGAAAAATGTTACTGATTTTTGTACATTGATTTTGTGTCCTGAAACATTGCTGAAGTCATTTATCAGTCCCAGGAGCCTTTTGGCAGTCTTTCTAATTCAATAAACATTTATAGAAGACCCACTACATGCAAAGCTTAAAGAACATGAGGCCGGGCATGGTGGCTCACGCCTGTAATCCCAGCACTTTGAAAGGCTGAGGCGGTGGATCACCTGAGGTCAGGAGTTCGAGACCAGCCTAGCCAACATGGCGAAATCCCATCTCTACAAAAATACAAAAACTAGCCAGATGTGGTGGTGCGTGCCTGTAATCTCAGCTACTTGGGAGGCTGAGGCAGGAGAATTGCTTGAACCTTGGAGACGGACGTTGCAGTGAGCTGAGATTGTGCCACTGCACTCCAGCCTGGGTGACAGAGCGAGACTAAAAAAAAAAAAAAAAAAATCACCTTAGCCACTCAGAGTGCAAAGTGAAGAGAAAGTGCCTGAAATTTTAGAGCTTACAGGAGATGTGACAGTGTCTAATGCAATCGGTAATAATTTGGAAAGAGTTCAATAAAGTATTTTTATCAAATGCAGAGTTGCCAAAAATCTGCCTTCTGCAAACCCATCCTCCACACTGTTTCTGGAATGGTTGCTAGGTGCTAGTTATATCAAAAACAAAGACTCACTCACTCAAACCTTTTTAAGAGAAAAAGGGTTTGTGGCAAGTTCACATGGACTGGACCTGGATCTAAGGCTGGTCTAGGGCCAGTTCTTCTGTCTGGATCTCGTGGTCTTCATGCTCCCACTATAGTAGCCTGGCCTCCTCCCTTTACCCAATGGACAGTGTTGTCTTTCTTTCTTTCTTTTTTTGAAACAGTCTCACTCCTGTTGCTTGGAGACTGGAGAGGCTGGAGAGCGTGGTGCAATCACAGCTCACTGCAGCCTGGACCTCCTGGGTTTAAGTGATCCTCCCATCTCAGCCTCCCAAGTATCTGGGACCAAAGGCATGTGCCACCATGCCTGGCCCAATGTTGTCTCATCCTTGTAAACTTCAACATGGAAGGAGCCAGGCTGGCTGGCTTTGTAATGACCATAGTCCCTATTGACCAGAACCATCCTTTCAGGCCACCTCAAGGTCCTGCCCTGGATCAGATCCTCTGGTCCCTCTTCTCTGATTATGGTCAACCATGTCCAGCTCAGTCCAGGGCAGCTTCCCAGAGCAGGGGCTGTGGGCAGGTTGGCTTCATGTAGAAGGGGAAGTTGGTGTCTAAAGTCCTGTATCCACCTGACAGACAGGTTCAAGATATATTTTTTAAGACAGAAATTATGTCATGGGGCCAGGCGTGGTGGCTCATGCCTGTAATCCCAGCACTTTGGGAGGCCGAGGCAGGTGGATCACTTGAGGTCAGGAGTTCAAGACCAGCCTGGCCAATATAGCAAATCCTTGCCTCTACTAAAAATGCAAAAATTAGCTGGGCATGGTGGCTCATGCCTATAGTCCCAGCTACTCAGGAGGCTGAGGCAGGAGACTCACTTAAGCCTGGGAGGCAGAGGTTGCGGTGAGCCGAGATTGTGCCATTGCACTCCAGCCTGGGCGACAGAGCGAGACTCTGTCTCAAAAAAAAAAAAAAAAAAAAAAGAGAGAAATGAATAAATAAATAAATTATGTCACGGTACCTCTTTCTCATCATCCTTTGTTTTTTCTTTTTCTGGGTTTTTCACCCATCACCTATGGTTATAGTTTCCAATCAACGATACTTGGGGTGATGCTTTTTGACTCCACCAAATCAGTGGCCTGAAGAATAGAACCAAGAGCTTGCTTCCTTTTATTTTTAAAGCAGAGGTCCCAAAGTCTTAAAATGCATCTTATTCATTTTCAGTGGCTAGCATGCTGGCTGGCAGAGCTGACAGCCAGTAAATGTTTGATGAAAACAGAACAAAACAATAAGGCTTTATTAATCTATCATAACATGATAGACTAAGTAGGTGAAAACCTCCGTCTGCTTCCTTGTTCTGAAAAAATCTTCCTCATTTCCATTCTGTTTTCTTTAATTCTCCACTTGAGGGCCACTGATAGCTCAGCCCGGGGCTGCCCAGGCCGTTTTCCTCATCTTGCCCTCAGCACAGGTAGAGATACAGAAGGGATCAAAGCCCAGATCCTTCTCTGTCCTCACACCTGCACATACCTGCTCAACACACTCAAGTCTGTAAAATCATCCTACATCTATTAGCCTACAGCCAGCAAAATCCAGAATTGGGGTAAGTGGGCTCCCTAATGGAAACATAACTTACTGGAGCGTGGTTCTACAGGAAGATAATGTGGAGCACTTTGCATCTCCTTCCGAAGCATCACCTTCGTATCTTCCCCAAGAATAGTGGGGATGAAAGAACCCAACAGAAATCAGTTTCTCCAGAGTGATCTGTGAAAATACAGTGTCGATAATGATAACCTTTTATTTACAAAGTCTTTCAGGGCCAGGCATAGTGGCTCATGCCTCTAATCCCAGCGCTTAGAGAGGCTGATGCAGGAGGATGGTTTGAGCGCAGGACATCAAGGTTACAATGAGCTATGATTATGCCACTGCACTCCAGCCTGGGCAACAGAGGGAAACCATATTTCAAAAAAAGAAAAAAGAGGCCGGGCGCGGTGGCTCACGCCTGTAATCCCAGCACTTTGGGAGGCCGAGGCGGGCGGATCACGAGGTCAGGAGATCGAGACCATCCCGGCTAAAATGGTGAAACCCCGTCTCTACTAAAAATACAAAAAGTTAGCCGGGCGTAGTGGCGGGCGCCTGTAGTCCCAGCTACTTGGGAGGCTGAGGCAGGAGAATGGCGTGAACCCGGGAGGCGGAGCTTGCAGTGAGCCGAGATCCCGCCACTGCACTCCAGCCTGGGCGACAGAGCGAGACTCCGTCTCAAAAAAAAAAAAAAAAAAGAAAAAAAAAGGCTTTGGTGGCCCTGCATTGATTAAATGGCAAACTTCACAGCTCTGTACCTTTCCACGTGCTAGAGTACCACCTTCCTTCTCTAACTGGGAAACTTGTTACCATCCTGTCCTCCTGTCCTCCAAGACTAAGCTGGCTGTTCTGGGCTTCCCTCCTAGGCTCTCCAGGAAGGACTGGCCCTGGTGTTCCTTTTGTTGTTGCTGTTTTTAATTGAGATGGGGTCTCACCATGTTGCCCAGGCTCGTCTCAAACTCCTGGGCTCAAACGATCCACCCACTTCAGCCTCCCAAAGTGCTGAGATTACAGGTATGAGCCATTGCACCCAGCCCATGGTGTTCCTTTTGTACCCGCGGGCACAGCATCAGCCACAGGGCCCTACTGTTAGATCAGCAAGATGGCAGGTCTGGTCCCATGGCTGACTTGCTGTGTTACTGTGCATAAATTATTTAACACCTCTGTGCCTTGGTTGCCTTATTTGATAGCGACGTAGAACTTCTGATATGTTGGATAATATGAATGAAATACTTAGAATGGTGCCTGGCACACGGTAAGCATGGACTAAATGGTAGCTCTCATTCGAGTATCTACCATAGTTTTTAACATGGGATAAGAAAGCATCAGTGAATTTCTTCTGGAATAACTGTGTAATCATAGGTTTTCTCTAAGTAAGTTAGTGGTGGAACTCAGAAAACAAAAACAGAAACAAACCCAGGGCAACTGCTTTTTAAATCAGGGTTTCCAACTTTTCCCACCTGTAGGAGTTGTGCTTTTAGCACAAGGAGACCCTACCTTCCGTTCAACAAGACGGCAAAGGCCCTAATGCGGTTGCTTATAGGTGTCAGGCTCTCGTTATTCTTTTTTTGAGACAGGTATTTTAGTAAAACTATGGGATGCAGTAGGAATGATTTGCATTTTAATAGGCTTGGTCATAAAAAGTATTCTTCTGGCTGGGCGTGGTGGCTCACGCCTGTAATCCCAGAACTTTGGGAGGCCAAGGTGAGCAGATCACCTGAGGTCAGGAACTCGAGACTAGCCTGGCCAACATGGTGAAACCCCATCTCTACTAAAAATACAAAAATTAGCTGGGCGTGATGGTATGTGCCAGGAATCCTAGCCTACTGGGGAGTCTGAGGCAGTAGAATCGCTTGAACCTGGGAGGCGGAGGTTGCAGTGAGCCGAGATCATGTCATTGCACTCCAGCCTGGGCAACAAGAGTGAAACCCCATCTCAAAGAAAAAGAAAAGAAGTATTCTTCTTCCTGTGCCTTCCCTTTCCCTAGAACACAAGCTGAGATTTGAAGTTAGTCAAATTTTCACTGTCCTTCTGACCTTAGGAGAAATAAACCATGGAGATGAGCTCAGTTTTCAAGTTGTCTAGTTCCTGTGAAATTATAATGGGTAGGTTTGGCTCTAGAAGAACTGTCAGTTGAGGCATCCTTTTTTTTTTTTTTCCTACAGTATGGCTAATAATGGCAGTTTTTAAAATTGAAGCTAAAACACCTAGAATTAAGATTTTGGCAGAACACACTGAGACATTCCATGGTTTTGGACATTTTAACTATATGCCTTGATAAAATGTTCACTTCTCACTTAACAGATTTTAAAAGCAAGAGGTGGAAATAAATGGTAGAAATCAAAGTTATATGACAAGTGTACTTCAAATGCTTCTCCTCCAATTAATTTTAAAAGCAAAATTAGGATTAAAAAAAAGGATGAGGCTGGCATGGTGGCTCATGCCTGTAATCCCAGCACTTTGGGAAGTCGAGGCAGGTGGATCACCTGAGGTCAGGAGTTTGAGACCAGCCTGGCTAACATGGTGAAACCCCATCTCTACCAAAAATACAAAAATTAGCCAGTCTCAGAACCTGGTCTCAAATAAATAAATAAATATTTAAAAATTAAATACAATTTAAAAAGTGTTACTATGTGCAAATTGATGTTGAAAATTATACTGCTGCTTAAAGCAGTGGTTGCTTTATTTGGGACAATTTTTGTTTCCATTTAATCCATAATCATTCTAGTCCCAGTTCTTACACTCCTCCTTACCACTGGCCCTGCTTGCCTTAGTTCCCTTCCATCCACTGATCTCATGTGGCATGATATGTTTGTCTGTTATCCTTATAGAAAACTTGGGTTTTATCATAATAGCTATTCATCAGTCACCTTCTATTGTTATTCTAATTGTTCATGGAAATTCAAAGCATAATATTTCTTTAAAGATTGATCCATTCCCAGTGCCTACTTCTTTCCTTTATCTCAAGTGAAACAAAGATTCTAGTTTTAGACTAATAAGAAAAATGCGCCAGGTGCGGTGGCTCACATCTGTAAGCCCAGCACTTTGGGAGACTGAGGCAGGTGGATCATGAGGTCAAGAGATCGAGACCATCCTGGCCAACATGGTGAAACCCTGTCTCTACTAAAAATACAAAAATTAGGTCTGGGCGCGGTGGCTCACGTCTGTAATCCCAGCATTTTGGGAGGCCAAGGCGGGCGGATCACGAGATCAGGAGATCGAGACCATCCTGGCTACATGGTGAAACCCCGTCTCCACTAAAAAAAAAAAAACACACACACACAAAAAATTAGCTGGGTGTGGTGGCAGGCGCTTGTAGTCCCAGCTACTCGGGAGGCTGAGGCAGGAGAATGGCTTGAACCATTGCAAATGGCAGGGTTTGCAGTGAGCCGAGATCGCGACACTGCACTCCAGCCTGGGCAACAGAGTGAGACTCCGTCTCAAAAAAAAAAAAAAAAAAAAAAATTAGCCAGTCGTGGTGGCGCGTGCCTGTAGTCCCAGCTACTCGCGTGCCTGAGGCAGAAGAATTGCTTGAACCCAGGAGGAAAAAAAAAAAAAAGATAGCTTTAGGCCAGGCATGGTGGCTCAAGCTTATAATCCCAGCACTTTGGGAGGCCGAGGCAGGTGGATCATGAGGTCAGGAGTTCGAGACCAGCCTGGCCAACATGGTGAAACCCGGTCTCTACTAAAAATACAAAAATTAGCTGGGCATGGTGGCAGGAGCCTGTAATCCCAGCTACTCGGGAGGCTGAGGCAGGAGAATCATTTGAACTTGGGAGGCAGAGGTTGCAGTGAGCCGAGATCACACCATTGCACTCCATTCTGGGCAACAGGGCGGGATTCTGTCAAAGAAAAGAAAAGAAAAGACAGAAAGAAAGGAAGGAAGGGAGGGAAAGAAGCAAGCAAGCAAGCAAGCAAGCAAGCAAGCAAGCAAGCAAGCTTCAACCAGCCCAGGAAGTTTTAAAAAAATTAGCCCGGCATGGTGCAACACACCTGTAGTCCCAGCTACTTGGGAGGCGGAGGTGGGAGGGTCACTTGAGACCGGGAGGTCAAGGTAGCAGTTAGCCTGATTTTGCCACTGCACTCCAGCCTGGGCGACAGAGCGAGACTCCGTCTCAAAAAAAAAAAAAAAAAAAAAAAAATTAATTAATTAATTAATTAATTAAAAGAAAGATGCTTCAGAGAGAGTGAGAATATCTAAGAGAAATTCTCTCTTAATAAGTATCTTTAGAAAGTTTCCCCAAATTATGCAACTGATAAACTTTTTTTCCCCCAGCAAAGCTCAATATTAGAACAAAAGATGCAGACAAGTCAGATACCTAATGTTAAAAGATGCCTGTATAATGAACAATAATGAAAATAGTGGCCAGGCACAGTGGCTCACTCCTGTAATCCTGGCACCTTGGGAGGCAGAGGCAGGCAGATCACTTGAGACCGGGAGTTCGAGACCAGCCTGGCCAACATGGTGAAACCCCATCTCTACTAAAAATATTAAAATAAATAAAAATTTTAAAAAACAAAGCAAATGGCTGGGTGCAGTGGCTCATGCCTGTAATCCCAGGACTTTGGAAGGCCAAAGTGGGTGGATCACCTAAGGCCAAGAGTTCGAGACCAGCCTGACCAATATGGTGAAACCCCGTCTCTACTAAAAATACAAAAATTAAAATTAGCTGGGTGTGATGGCAGGCGCCTATAGTCCCAGCTACTTGGGAGGCTGAGACAGGAGAATTGCTTGATCACGGGAGGTAAAGGTTGCAGTGAGCCAAGATCACGCCACTGTTCTCCAGCCTGGGCAAGAGAGAGACCCCGTCTCAAAAAAAAAAAAAAAAAAAAGGTAAAGTATTTATGTTACCTTAAGATATTATAAAAATGAAACTGCAGGGCACGGTGGCTCACGCCTGTAATCCCAGCACTTTGGGAGGCCGAGGCGGGAGGACTGCCTGAGCTCAGGAGTTCGAGACCAGCCTGGGCAACACGGTGAAACCCCATCTCTACTAAAGTACAAAAAATTAGTCAGGCGTAGCAGTGTGCGCCTGTAATCCCAGCTACTCAGGAGGCTGAGGCAAGACAATTGCTTGAACCTGGGAGGTGGAGGTTGCAGTGAGACGAGATCACGCCACTGCACTCCAGCCTGGGCGACAGAGCGAGACTGCATCTCAAAAAAAAAAAAAAGAAAGAAAAAGAAAAAAATTTTGGCTGGGCGAAGTGGCTCACCTCTGTAATCCCACCACTTTGGGAGGCCAAGGCAGGTGGATTACGAGGTCAGAAGTTCAAGACCAGCCCGGCCAACATGGTGAAACCCCATCTCTACTAAAAATACAAAAATTAGCTGGGTGTGGTGGCACGTGCCTGTGATCCCAGGTACTTGGGAGGCTGAGGCAGAATTGCTTGAACCTGGGAGGTAGAGGTTGCGGTGAGCCAAGGTCATGCCACTGCACTCCAGCCTGGGCTACAGAGCGAGACTCCATCTCAAAAAAATAAAAATAAAAATAAGACAAATGTTAAAGGCACATAAAAGGCTCTTTTTTTTTTTGACTTTTCTGAATTTTATTACCTTTTCTCTAAAAGTTAACTTTTTTGCAAATGGCTATTAATGTCATATACCAGTAGAGGGCGATAAAACATTACTTTTTAGTATTATCTTAAAACTACTTTTACCAGAGTGGAAAAAGAATTTTTGGATAACTTTTCTTTTGCCCCTTCACAAAAGAAAACGATCGAAGACACTAGCAAGATGGAGAAACATAGTTCAATGGGAAGATCAAAAGTAACAGACAGATTACCATGACCTAAATTTGCAGAAGGGAGAATCATCATCTGTGTAAAAACTATAGTGACAGCTCTGTTTAGATTGGTTTATGTCTCAGGGAGACCGCCTTTTGTGCTAGCTCTCTGACACTGCATAACAACTGTGGGCAATTACGTATGGAAATCCTTCAAGCTGAAACAAATTGCAAAACTTAAGTGCACTTAGTCTGTTGTACCTTTTGTGGATCTAGAATACGTAACTTTAAAAATCTAGATTGTAATAGCTTCTAGATAGATGACAGTTTGGGCGTGAACCATTTAGCCATCCACTTGTGGTATGGCAGGAGTATATGGTGAGGAGTGGCCAGCTAACATTCTCAGGGGTCGGGGTGCCATGTTTACGTGGGCAGGCTTGATTCCTGGAAGCCGAGCTCATTTACCAGAAGAGCAGCCAATACCATGAATAAATCTGGTCCTGAAAAAGTAAATGCTCTGTTTCTTGGATTATTTATTTATATCAGATGGAGGGGGACAAGAAAGCTTATGCCTTTCCCTGTGGCCATGCAGCGCATGTGAGAATGTGCACTATGGCCGGCGCGGTGGCTCACGCCTGTAATCCCAGCACTTTGGGAGGCCGAGGCAGGTGGATCACCTGAGGTCAGGGGTTTGAGACCAGCCTGGCCAACATGGTGAAACCACATCTCTACTAAAAATACAAAAAAAAAATTAGCCAGGCATGGTTGGGGGCGGGTGCCTGTAATCCCAGCTACTTGGGAGACTGAGGCAGGAGAATTGCTTGAACTCGGGAGATGGAGGTTGCAGTGAGCCCAGATCATGCCATTACACTCCAGCCTGGGCGACAAAAGTGAAACTCTGTCTCAAAAAAATGTAAAAAAAAAAAAAAAAGAGAGAGAGATAGAATGTGCACTGTATTTAGCCTAGCCTGTGGCATTTTGTTTTGCAAATTTTAGTAGTATGGAAGTAAACTATCAGCATAAGAAAAAAGAAAATTCCTATGGCTCTGAATATGTTAGGATTTCTATCAAACACAGGGCCCAGCCCAGCCAGTTCCCAGTGGGGTAGGCTCGGCCCTTGGTCCCTACCAACACATTGACTGCTCTCCCCACAAGGTGATTTCACTGCACTGGACACAAGATGAGATGGTTTAGATGCTGGCACTGGAGCAGCTGCAGTAATGTGAGCTGAAAGGAATGCAGTTGTATGTCGAGAGTGCCAATTTCCAAAGCAGGTTCTTGAAAGGCTGTTTCTCTTCGTATGGTGAGGGACCTGTGCTGTTATCAAGACTAGGAAGGAAGGAGATTCATTAAATGTCATCATCAGCCTGAACAGGTGGTTGGCAAAGGAACGGAAAGCACGGAGATGAAGTTTTAGAGATCGGGGTGATTGCTGGCAACTAACATTATCAACTGTGATTCCAAGAGGCCCCAACTGTGGGAGGCCTGGAGGAAGCCACAGAGGTTATCTGGAGGGCCAGAGCTTACAATCTGGTTGGACTGGATCCAGCTGAATCCATCTGAGGCCAGCTCCAGGAAAGGCAGGTCTGGTATCAAGATGTACAGCAGACCATGGTGGGTGGGGAGCTCAAATTGTACTTACGGGCAACTGGGTGTGGGGAGGAGGGTTGTATGGCTCTGCAAGCATAGACCAGATCCTATGGCTATCCCCACATGAGATAGCGGGAGGATATCCTATGGGAGTTAGCCATAGGATCTGGTCTAAGCTTAACTTGAATTTCAATAGGCTGCCTTTTCTTTTCAATGAGCCCTCCTCACGAATACTTTGCATCCAAAAACTTTCTCCTTCTAATGTTCTAAGGGCTGCCAGCTGCCTCGGGCAGGCTCTCCAGAAGCCTAGGGAAGAGATACAGGGGTCAGGGAAGCATGAGTTGGGACCTCTTTTTTCTCCTATTCTTACCTGTGTTCAGCCTGGTTTACTGAAAGCAAGAGGTAATGAGCCTTTGTGGATGGGTGTGGCTGAATCATTGTGCGTTACCGATACAAGATGATCTGGAAGAAGCCCCTGATGGAACCTAAGGCCCTGGTGGAGTTTCTTTGAATATCATCAGAGGGAACTTGAGACCCGAGATACAGAGGGGACTGCAAACAGGCCTGCAGTGCCTGGGGCTGATTCCACAGGCAAGCACCTGTATCATTATCTCAGGCGACCCCCACAGCAGGAAGATATTATTATGCCAAGTACTCAGATAATGAAACTGCCTGGAGGAATAAGGAGTAGAGCCTGAATTTGAATTTACCACTTTGTCCTGCTGAGTGGTTGGTGAGGGAGGGGTAATAAGCATTAGAGCTATTAACTAAGGAAGCAGCATGGATTACTGGTTAGAAGCAAAGCCGTGGCTCTAGCCTGCCTGGGTTTGTATCCCAGCTGTGCAAGTAACCAACCTCCCTGTGCCTCAATTTCCAATCACACCTGCCCAGTAGGGTCTTGTGAAGATTAAATGAGTTTATATAGAAAAGTGCTTAGAGGCTGGGTGCGGTAGCTCACGCCTATAATCTCAGCACTTTGGGAGGCCAAGGCTGGCAGATCACTTGAGGTCAGGAGTTTGAGACCAGCCCGGCCAACATGGTGAAACCCTGTCTCTACTAAAAATACAAAAGTTAGCTGGGCGTGGTGGCATGTGCCTGTAATCCCAGCTACTCGGGAGGCTGAGGCAGGAGAATTGCTTGAACCCGGGAGGTGGAGGTTGCAGTGAGTCGAGAGTCGAGATCGCGCCACTGCACTCCAGACTGGGCGACAGAGCAAGACTCCATCTCATTAATAAATAAATAAATAAATGAATAAATAAATAAATAAATAAATAAATAAGCTTAGAACAATACCTGGCACATAGTAAGTCAGTTTTCCTGTATGGTGCTGACTGTGCCGCTTTGTTAAACAACTACGCATTAGAAGAGTGGGTTTGGTTGAGACTGCCTCTAAAATTAGTGCTTTATTTGCTTAACTGCCTCCCTGAATTAGGGTCCTTTCATTCCTCATTTGAATGTTAAAAACCTAACCTATGTTTGGAAAAACATAATTGATCATACAGTCATTGTAATTTGCGAGGGCTGCCCTAACAAAATACTACAGACTGTGTGGCTTAAACAACAGAAATTTATTTTCTCACAGTCTGGAGTCCAAGATCAAAGTGCCAGCAGGTTTGCTTTCTCCTGAGGCCTTGCTCCTTGGTTTGCTGACGGCTGCCTTCTCCCTGTTCTCACATGGTCTTTCCCCTGTGCAGGCATCCTTGGCGTCTGTGCATCCAAATCACCCTTTCTTATGAGGACAGAGGTTTGACTGGTAAGGCCTAGCCTAACGGTCTCATTTTAACTTAGTCACCTTTCTAAAGGGCCTGTCTCCAAATATAGTCATATTCTGCCGTAGTGGGAGTTAGACATTTAGCATATGAACTTGGGGAGGAAGAACACAATTCAGACCAGAATAATCAGGTTCCTTGAGGGAAAAAAAAGAATTTAGATGTGCTAACATCAGTCAAAGAATGACGAGTATCATTGAAAGGAAGAATTTGAGTGCCTGGGAGCAGCCTGGTCACTGGTGGGTATCAGAGCTCATGATCATGTGTATGTTTGAGAACCGCAGCACGCTTCGGGTTTTCAGTTGAGTAAGAAATAATTATTTAAAAAATTTCCCTAGCTTTTTTCTCTTGTTCTTTTTCTCAGCCAGCTAAGAGAAGAGGGAATGTGGCACAGGGCTCGTGGAGGGAGGTAAGTTAAGTGTCTACTCTGATCCAGCCCAAGAAAGGCCCTTGAATAGCTCCAGGAAACAAAAGAAAGTACTTTATCCATTATGACCATTTTAATAAAATCTCCATCGCGACCCATTTAAAAATAATTTTTCATCCAGGCACAGTGGCTCATGCCTGTGATCTCAGTATTTTGGAAGGCCGAGGTAGGAGGATCACTTGAGGCTAGGAGTTTTAGACCAGCCTGGGCAGTACAGTGAGACCTCATATCTATAAAAACATTAAAAAATTAGCCCAGTGGCCAGGCGCGGTGGCTCACACCTGTAATCCCAACACTTTGGGAGTCCAAAGCGGGCAGATCACGAGATCAGGAGCTCGAGACCAGCCTGGTCAACATGGTGAAACCCTGTCTCTACTAAAAACACAAAAATTAGCTGCGTGTGGTGGCGTGCACCTGTAGTCCCAGCTACTCGGGAGGCTGAGGCGAGAGAATCACTTGAACCCAGGAGGTGGAGGTTGCAGTGAGCCGAGATCACACCACTGCACTCTAGCCTGGGAGACAGAGCAAGACTCCGTCTCAAAATAAATAAATAAATAAACAAACAAACAAATAAAAATAAATAAAATAAAAAATAGGCTGGGCACAGTGGCTCATGCCTGTAATTCCAGAACTTTGGGAGGCAGCAGCATGAGAATCATTTGAGGTAAGGAGCTCGAGACCAGCCTGGCCTAGATGGCGAAACCCAGTCTCTATTAACAATACAAAATTGGCCGGGCGTGGTGGCTCATGCCTGTCATCCCAGCACTTTGGGAGGCCAAGGCGGGCAGATCACCTGAGGTCAGGAGTTCTAGACCAGCCTGACCAACATGGTGAAACCCCATCTCTACTAAAAACAAAAAATTAGCTGGTTGTGGTGGCACGCACCTATAGTCCCAGCTACTTGGGAGGCTGAGGCAGGAGAATCGCTTGAACCCAGAGGCAGAGGTTGCAGTGAGCAGAGATCGCGCCACCACACACTCCAGCCTGGGCAACAGAGCGAAATGCATCTCAAAAAAAATTTTTTTAATAAAAAAATAAAAAATAGGCCAGGCTTGGTGGCTCGTGCCTATAATCCCAGCACTTTGGGAGGCCGAGGTGTGTGGATCACTTGAGGTCAGGAGTTTGAGACCAGCATGGCCAACATAGTGAAACCTCGTCTCTACTAAAAATACAAAAAAATAGCCGGGCGTGGTGGCTCACGCCTGTAATCCCAGCACTTTGGGAGGCCGAGGCGGGTGGATCATGAGGTCAGGAGATCAAGACCATCCTGGCTGACACGGTGAAACCCCGTCTCTACTAAAAAAATACAAAAAATTAGCCAGGCATGGTGGCGGGCGCCTGTAGTCCCAGCTACTCAGGAGGCTGAGGCAGGAGAATGGCGTGAACCCGGGAGGCGGAGCTTGCATTGAGCCGAGATCGTGCCACTGCACTCCAGCCTGGGCGACAGAGCAAGACTCTGTCTCAAAAAAAAAAATAATAATAATTAGCTGGGCGTGGAGGCAGGCGCCTGTAATCCCAGCTACTCCGGAGGCTGAGGCAGGAGAATCGCTTGAACTCAGGAGGCAGAGGTTGCAGTGAGTGGAGATCACGCCATTGCACTCTGGCCTTGGCAACGAGAGTGAAACTCAGTCTCAAAAAAATAAATAAATAAAAATAAAAAATAATGCTTTCATTATGACCTGTTTAAGAATTGATCATCAAAGGTAGAACTAAGAATGTCCTTGCTAATTAAGAAAAAAACAAAACCCTTTCACACCTTTAAATGTTTTTTGGTAACATTTACAATATAAATTTTTATCCTGACTGTGTAATTTTAGCAGCTTCTTTTTTTTTAAATTTCAGGTTTTCCTGGTTTCTAATTTAAGATGTTTCCATGGTTCTCATCAATTTTTGTTTATTAGTGACTAAATTTGTTGTATATTTTAATTGGGCTGTGAAAATAAGGTGGCATTTATGATATCTTTTAATAGAATCATCGTGTGTACACACAGTTGACACGTGGTTTTACAGTACAACTGCCAAGAATAACTAATCTAGGAATAACTGCAGAATCTGCCTTGTTAGAAATAATTCGTCTACATGAAAAGACATGAGTACTTTTTAATTTTAAAAGTGAACATTAAAATTAGGCTATTGCCTTCTTCCTAAGTAAGAATTTAACTAGTCTTAAAAAAAGAAATCACAGCTAGGCGTAGTGGCTCATGCCTGTATCCCCAGCACTTTGGGAGGCTGAGGCGGGTGGATCACCTGAGGCTAGGAGTTCAAGACCAGCCTGGCCATCATGGCAAAACCCTGTCTCTACTAAACATACAAAAAATTCACAGCGCGTGGTGGCAGGTGCCTGTAATCCCAGCTACTCAGGAGGCTAAGGCAGGAGAACTGCTTGAACCCGGGAGGTGGAGGTTGCAGTGACCCGAGATAGCGCCATTGCACTCCAGCCTGGGCAACAAGAGCAAAACTCCGTCCCAAAAAAAAAAAGATATCAAACCCAGAAAAACAGATCCCAGACTTAGAAGCCATTATATTCCAATTCCCTTCAAGTCATCTACTTTTTGTTGTTATTGCCGTTCTATATGTTTTGCTTTTCTGAGTTAATTTTGTAAGATTTTAAAATTTTTATGAGACAGTCACTTGTCTCCAAATTTTGTTTCTTCTTCTTCTTCTTCTTCTTTTTTTTTTTTTAAAGAGACAGGGTCTCACTATGTTGCCCAGGCTGGACTCGAACTCCCAAGCTTCAACAATCCTCCCACCCCAGCCTCCCAAAGTGCTGGGATTACAGGCATGAGCCACCACGCCCGGCCCCAGGTTTTGTATTTCTTAAAGCAACATCTAACTCTTACAAAATACGTTGGGGTGTCTGAGTGGGTTCAGTTTTTGAGAATTTTGTCCAAAAGAAGAGACACAGAAAACCAAAGGATACATTGTATAAATTCTCTTTTGCAATTATTTTAGAGAAATTTGCATGATTGTTAAAGTTGTTGTGCTGCTTTCTATGATAATATTATCTGTCAAGCCGAAGCTACCAGTACCATTGTCAGCTAAACTCCTGAAATGAGTCAGCTAATTTTATTTTTAACTGCTTTTTAATTGCCTGCTGAGACTATCAAGAATAATATGAGGATTTTTAAAGCTTTTCTAGCAACATTTTGGTATATCAGATCGTATAAAAAGATAGATCAAAGATTCAAAATTCTCAACTTACTTCCATGTAAAACTCATAGCAGCTAGGTGCAATGGCTCACACCTGTAATCCCAGTATTTTGGGAGGCTGAGATGGGAGGATTGCTTAAGGCCAGGAGTTCCAGACCAGCCTGGGCAACATAGGGAGATCCCATCTCTACAGAAAATTTAAAAATTAGTTGGGCGTGGTGGCAAGCATCTGTAGTCTTAACACCTAGGGAGGCTGAGGTGGGAGGATCACTTGAGCCCAGGAGTTCGAGGCTGTAGTGAGCTATGATCGCACCACTGCAACTCCAGCCTGTATTACAGAGCAAGACCTTGTCTCTAAAAAAAAAAAAACCAAAAAACCAACCATAACAACAATAACAAAAACCCTCAAAGCTGTAGAGCATGAATAGGTAGTAACAATCCCTGAAATTAGAGGCCTTCCTAAACTCTTGCTATGATGTGCCATGATTATACATATTATCTCTAAATTCACAAAGGACCAGTTGGATTTGGCAACCAATGTGCCTAACACGTGAATGTGGAGGAGCTATGGTACAATTTAGAACAAATATCAATGATTTAGAAATCACGTATTTACCAGAGTTAAAGTAATTTGTATACTAACAAAAACCTACCCACGAGGTTGTACCAATGTCAGAGAACAAACATTTTATCCCTGTTTCAAAGTGCTTTAAGACATTATTTTAATCCTTACAATACCTCTTTGAGGTATGTAGGTGGCAAGTCATACCAAAATAAAAATTCAAAATACAAAATAAATGGAACACTACTTAGGGAATAAAAGAGGTTCTAGTTGATCATGCGTTGTTGATTTTCTGCTTTTCTTGGAAGATCTGTTTGTGATTTCACTTTATCATATTTTGCATAGAGGACCAACATCATGGCAAACTTGATGAGGGGTTGTTATGATCTGTAAAGAGCCTCTGTGTTCCCATTGCCTTCTCCTCACCCCAGTCATGGCTGGAGATGACCGAGGGACTCTGGGTGTGCTGTCATGTCCAGAGGACAGCAGGGAGGGAGAGGGGGAAGCATTCTTTTCCTTCTCCACCCTACTTCCCCAGACCTCTGCCAGGCTCCTAATTTGACTGTGTGTACAATGAAAAGGGAAAATCAAATAATGAGTCAAATATATAGATACTAAAGAAGAGAGAGAATGTATTGAGATGCTTAACTGATTTTGTTTTACTGGGTTATCATACAATGGTTGGCATTAATCTTCAGCATCTACTGATGCCAACATCAGTGGATGCACAGGCCAATGGCCAATGGACCATTAAAACTGGCACATATCCTGGAGATGGAAAAACACCAAGGAGTGATTTTCATTTTGTGATTTAGTGGCAATTTAAACTGTTCCCACCTGAAAGGAAAGTAGCTGTAGATAAGCTCTTCTAACTAGGGCTAGCCTCTTGTCTGTGATTGATGGGGGCTTTCCATGCTTCTCTGTGATGTGACGCTGAAGGAAAGAGAATACAACCTCAAATCTTAGCTGAAGGAAGTTTTATTTATGCTTTTCATGAAAGCTGGGGACACTGACACCTGATTCCACCCCATTTCTTTTGAGACAAATTCTCACTCTCTTGCCCAGGCTGGAGTGCAGTGGTGCGATCCTGGCTCACTGCCTCTCAGGTTCAAGCAATTCTCCTGTCTCAGCCTCCCGAGTAGTTGGGATTAGGCGCGTGGCTAATTTTTGTACTTTTAGTAGAGACTGGGTTTCACCAATTGGCCAGGCTGGTCTTGAACCCCTGACCTCTAGTGATCCTCCTGCCCCGGCCTCCCAAAGGGCTGGGATTAGAGGCATGAGCCACCTCACCCAGCCTCCAGCCAAGTTTTTCTTTTTTGAGACAAGGTCTTGGTATGTCGAACTTATGGACTCAAGCCATCCTCCTGCCTCAGCCTCCTGAGTAGCTGGGACTACAGGCGCACACTACCATGTCTGATGCAGTAACTTTTTCTAAAGGTGCTTTAAAAATATTTCTGATATTTTATGCCCACTTGGTGGGAGAGAGGGACATGCTGCAATTCAACTTTGAAGCCAACTTCAAAATAGAGAGGAACACAAGGGCTTTGTTTGTTTTGGTTTAGTTTATCGCCTCATGAAAGTAAACCTTATGGCTCTGCTGAATTCCCCAGTAGGTCCAGGCAGTAGGGGTGGGTTACATATTACCGGAATAAGGCCCACCATCTGAACTGTAAAACACATGTTCATTTGTTCTAATCTAACACCAAGCTTCTGAAACTCAGCTGAGGACAGGCTTTTTGATAAATATCCAATGCTAGTCCCTTTTCTTGATGGGGATAGAGCTCAATATGGCTGTTGAAATTGGTTTGATGTGCCTTTATTCAGGATAAGGAGAGATTTGGAGAGAGTTCCACTTAAACCAACCATTCTGGAAGAGCTGGCTGCTCTTATTGTATATGGTTTTAGGCTGGCTGTTTAAATAAGCAAGTGCTAATGGCTTGAAATCCCCTACATGGTTTGTCTTATACACATGCAAACATCAGCATTATTATTGTTATTTATGTTCTGTCCCTGGGCTTCTACCATTAACATAAACTGAATTGGCTTTAGGCAGAGATGATTGCTGACATAGATTACCCCCCAAAAAGTCCAAATGTCAATTTTCTGGGAAAAAAATTGAAACCTTAAATTAACCTCTCATTAATTTCTTGTCCTCTAGAAAAACCCAACATTTTATAGAGGCAGAAAGTGTCATGTTAAACAGGAGATGAGCTCTGAATTTGGATAACAGTAGGTTCAAGTCCGATTGTAATTAGATAAACTTCTAAGATAAGACCTCAGGTAAGATTCTTAGCTCTTTGTACCTTAGTTTCAATTTCTGTAAAATGTGAGTCATAATAACTCTTGTATTATTGGGTGGCTTGGAGGACTGATTCAGATAATAGCTGTAAAGTGCTTGGTCCATAGTTATCGTTGAAAAAAAAAAGCAGTTTTTATTAACACTGGAGCATAAAGAAAACTTTCATGTGTATATTCTCATTCTGGGTAAAAAATGATTTACAGTTTATAACTGAAAACATCTTGAAAGTAGACTTATATGTATATTTATTGACTTACAGCTCATCTTGTGTCAGATGATCTGTAAATCTGAAAAATGAGGAAGAGAGCTTCCGGAGCCTAGTCTTGGATTATAGAAAGAATTTTTCCAGGTTGGAATGCTCTAGAGCTCAGGCATGCAACATAGCCATCAAATGTTCTGTTTTCAGTTTGTTGTTGAAACACAAAATTATTTAAAGTACACATGGCATCACACGAGACAAATTAATCTTTCCTCCAGCACTATATCAGTAATTAGCTAATTAGGAATTCCATTTTTAAATGTTAAACCTTAGAATATAGAATATTTCAGTGTGTTTTAAAGGCTGTATTCACCACAAAGTAGAAACCTGATATCCCAGGGAAATCACTATTCATCTGTGTTGACTCTCTGCCAGAATAGACTTTGCATATGGGTGGGCCCTGTGAGTCAGCCAAACCTGAAATTTGATAAACTCTTGCCTCCTGTTTTTACACCCTGGCTGACAGTCAGTGACTGTATTATCATATGGAAAACACATGTACTCTAACTACACAGTTATTACCTCTTGTTATTGATTTTTATCAACAAATGACAAACAACTTGGTTAGTTACTATAAAATGCTAACAGTTTCTTCCTTCATTCCTATCCTGGATTCTCTTAGTCAGTAGTTTGTTTACAATCACACTTGACTCCCTTTCTCTGCTATCATGGTATGGAAATAGGGCGATTAGATTGGAAAAACTGATTATTGTAAAACAGCAATTAATTTCTTACTGCTTTACTTGAACATTCATGCTTATTAGTTTTCCAAGTAAATAAGTTAAATGCCTTGTTAAACTTCCTTTCTGCCAGAAATGTTGTACCATCTGTGTTCAACATGGCAGCATTTTCTTATTTAATGCATATGTCCCCCCTTTTTTGGAAGTGTGTTAAGAGCTTTAATATGACAAGAAACAGAAATAAAATAGTGAAAACACATTGTGTTTCAAACATGAATGTAAGATTCAGATTTGTGACATTCAGAGAATTTGGAATTTCATGTACCATCATTAATTTTATGGCAATTATATGAGTTCTCAATGTTAGAAAGAATTTTAATTCTAATGTGAATCCCCTTTTGGCTTGGGAAAGCTATTTTATTTTATTGTCGTCCAAGCTGGAGTGCAGTGGCATGATCTCAGCTCACTGCAACCTCTGTCTCCTGGGTTCAAGTGATCCTCCCACCTCAGCCTCTCTAGTAACTGGGACTACAGGCTTGCGCCACCGTGCCTGGCTAATTTTTGTATTTTGAGTAGAACAGGGTTTCAGGGTTTCACCACGTTGGCCAGGCTGGTCTGGAACTCCTGACTTCAAGTGATCTGCCTGCCTCAGCCTCCCAAAGTGCTGAGATTACAGGTGTGGGCCACTATGCCCGGCCCAAAGATTTTATTTTAAATGGCTGTGTGAAATGCCACCTTATAGATATGCCATTATTTATTTAACCATTCTCTATAGTTGGTCATTTAGGTTATCTACAAATATGTGTTAGTATTCCTGCAGAGACCCACAAGTAGTCTCTCACTAATACCTAAAGTGAAGGAATAGTTTATTGAAGTTGACAAACACTGGCCCTTCACAACAGAATTGACAAAAGAAGTGGTTCACTGCTTCCCTTCTGTTACAGGTTAGTAGACAGATAACCAGAGGTAGTCTCCGTCTTTTGTCCATTTGTAATAAGATCATCCCAACCATGAGGCTTAGTGGTCGGAACTCATACTCCCAGTGCCTGTGGATGGTGCATTTTTAAATCTTTTCCACTTCATATCATTATTTTCCTCCAAAATGGTGACTATATTTCAATTTTTCCAGCCTTAGCATTTCTTTTACCTATCAAAAACATTTTTGTGTAATTCCTCCAAATAAATATTGTCACTATGCATTGCTGATTAGAAAAGAACAGCGTTCTTAACTCTGATAGCAAATATCGTATCAGGGAAAATAAACCATTTTGGAGCTCAAGGAATTTAGCATCAAAACAATGGACTCTAAGATGCACAGCACCTGACATATATGTAGGAGGTGCTCTGTAGATATTTGTGGAATTAGTGACAAAACCCCAAGGAAATTATCCCTTAAGAGAAACGAATGGTTACTTCTAATCTTACTACAGCTACCAGTTAATATGCCAGCCTTCAGGACATTGGTTTAAAGACCTGAGGCTATATATATTTTTTTCAGATTATTACTTTCTATGGGCTAAGTGAAGAAAGGCTGTTTCAGGTTGACAGCAGTACCTCCTAATAATTCAGACAAAGTTTTGGAAACGGACAGTTGTTGGGGAAAGGGAATGTGAAATACGAAGTGAAGTGCCCTGACTGAAAAATCAGCATCCAAGTTTTTCACTTACTCATTAAATGGAACTTAAATTATCTATTTTGACAAGTAAAAATTTAAATTTAAACCCGAGATCTATCATGTGTTGGTGAGGGGTAAATGTAGAAATTTCTGCCTGGGCATTGATCAAAGGGAACCATCCCTCAGTCTTCCTGTTAAGGATGAGGCAATAGTTACCCTGAAAACCAGGCACAGAAAAGAACATCACATAGTTTTGTGAGATGGACTTTGTAAGGATAAATTTCCTTTTTCATTTTAATTGTCCTTACTTGACATGAGACATTTTTCTTCCCTATTTCTTCCCAGTTCAGACACATGCAGCAACTAAGTGATAATCAGTAGAAAATACCTTCAAAGCAAGCTGCAACCACAAAACACAAGGAAGGAGAAAAGAACTTTTTCCCTTAAGCAGAACCAGGGATGACCTAAATACTATGTCACCCTTCAGAGATGGCAACATTTACATTTTTGACTAAAAAAAAAACAAAAAAAAAAAACAGAAAAACTTCTTTTGTAATCTCTTCTTTCATTATCTTATTACCACTATCATTGTTTTATGTCTGTTTTCTTGATCTTTTATTTTATTTTATTTTTTTTTAATTTTTAAATTTTTTTGAGATACAGTCTCATTCTGTCGCCTAGGCTGGAGCAGTGGTGTGATCTCGACTCACTGAAACCTCCACCTCCGGGGTACAAGGGATTCTTCTGCCTCAGCCTCCTGAGTAGCTGGGATTACAGGCACCTGCTACCACGCCCAGCTAATTTTTGTATTTTTAGTAGAGATGGGGTTTCACCATGTTGGCCAGGCTGGTCTGGAACTCCTGACCCCAGGTGATCCACCTGCCTCGGCCTCCCAAGCTGTTGGAGTTACAGGCATGAGCCACTGTGCCCGGCCTATTTGTTCTTTTAATTCAAACCTTTATTTGGTTCAGTGGAGTTCACCTAACTATGATTACTAAGATCTGCGGGTTGACTGGAAGGAAATACACTACGAAGTTATAATGGTTATTGCTATAGTGGGATTACAGGATATTTATAATTTTCCATCTGTGTTTTGAGAAGGTTACTAATGGGAAAGCAAAAAATTAGAGCTACAGCCCTGGCATCACCACTTTTATTATGTGCGCTGGGGCAAATCAGCATCTCTGCACCTCTCTTTTTCTAAGTTAAAGGGGGTCACCAAGGTGATCTCCGAGTTTACTTTCAAGTTTAACGTTCTGTGGGTCTAATGGAAAAGACAGTTTAGCTTGATATAACCCTTGTGGAGCACAATTTGGCTGTGCCTTTCAAAACTACGAATGGGTATACCTGCTGACCCAGTGACTCCCATTTCTGGAAATTGCTCCTATATATATACTTGTACAGATATGAAATTAAAGTTATGCAAGGTTATTTCTTTTTTTTTTTTCTTTTGAGACGGAGTCTCGCTCTGTTGCTCAGGCTGGAGTGCAGTGGGGCGATCTTGGCTCCGCTTCCCGGGTTCACGCCATTCTCCTGCCTCAGCCTCCTGAGTAGCTGGGACTACAGGCGACCGCCACCACGCCCGGCTAATTTTTTGTATTTTTAGTAGAGACGGGTTTCACCGTGTTAGCCAGGATGGTCTCTATCTCCTGACCTCATGATCCGCCCGCCTCGGCCTCCCTGCAAGGTTATTTCTTACAGAATAGTCTATGATAGCTAAAGACTGGAAACAAGTGAAATATTCACCAACATCCTGGGGTTCAGTAAATTGATATTTAGATACAACAGTGTGGTGGTTAGCTGTAAAAACCCTTCAATATATATTTTTAATTTTTTGGACCTATGTGTCAGGGACATTGGTGTTATAGGTTCTCTGTGCCTGCCTCGTCAATTTTTTTAAAGAAAGACCAAATAAAAGTAAACTATGACATTTGAAGAAACAATTGGGCAGGAGAGCCTCAAAGATTTCAAGGATTTGGGGAAAGTCTGTAGGAAGACTCCTTTAACCAAATAAATATTCTCTGACGCCCTGAAAAACCGGAATAGAAATGAAGGCAAGGCCAAATTTGAAGCTGGCTTCCTTTGCCAAGAATGATCCAGTAGGGCACCGCCTATTTTTAGGGTGCGGCTGTCTGGATCGGGGGCTGCTTCTGCAGAGTGTAATTGGAAAGGTGGGGGGAAGCAACAGCTGTACTTTGGGGGCCTGCCTTTGAGCTCATCATCTGAGTTACTGAGGTCCCCTAGCGGCTGTCAGAGGAGGCCCAGACTGTCCAAATTTGATAGTAAACGTGAAGAGACCACAAGACCAGGGTGGGAACCAGTCCCCGCCCGTCCCCAATCCATCCGGCTCACGCTCCCCACCCCACCCATGCCTAGTATCAGCAAGAAGCTGTTGTGATAAATAGATTATGAAGAAACAGGAGCCCGGACTAGAGAGACGATAGTGAGAATATAAAAGAAGAAAGATAATCTCTCTCAATCTTTTTAACTTTTGTAAGAGGCCTAATTTTTCCTTTTTTCCCCTCTTTTCTCTTTTATTTTTTCAACAACCTCTTGTCCAACTGACTAATTTTCTCTAGATGCCACTTTTTCCATTGCAGAATTACTTGTAAGAAAGAAAGGGATTAAAAAACAAGAGTTGGAAGCTGTCCTTTTGGACAAGATATTTAAAACCCTACTGTCCATCTTCCATCCTAAGTGGTCCCATCTTTCTAAAAGGAAATGCCTTCCATATTCTTCCTAAAAAAGCAAAAGCATAACAAAACAAAACTGGAAAACTGTTTCTTCTGCTTGAGACACAAGGGCCATTATCTTCCCACCTTTGGCCCCACTGATCCTTGACAGGATGTCCTGGACCTGCAGCCCAGATGAGGAAAGGTGGGGTGTGGGTGGGGGGTTGACTGACACACACAGCAAGTAGCCTCAAGGAATTTGGGGGTGGGGCAGGCTGCGCCCCAAGGCTTTGGTCCTATCTCCCGCCCCCCTTGCGTTTTTACTTAACACCCGATCACTTCCGTTGCAAATAAAAAAGAAGTAACAAACAGCTAAATTTAATTAGGGATAAGTAATAAAATGACCTGGTTCTCTCTAACTGCGCTCCTGAGCCCTTCGCTGCCGGCCCTGGACTTAGTGGACGGAGCGGGAGATTCCCGCCCAGGGGAAGAGGTTCCCACGGAGGGCATGCGGTCGCGGGTGCCTTTGGATTCGTGTGTTCAGGGAGGCCAGATAATCTCCTCCCCGCGCCGGAGCCCCTGTTCCTCATTTCTAGCATTTTAAAAAAGGTCAAGAATACAGTGAATCCGGCTGGGGGCTGCCGGCTGGGTGACGCGCCTCTGGCTAGACCGAATGGCACAGGCTGAGCCCGGGGGTGCGGACCGGTGGGCACGGAGAAGGGTCCCTCGGCGCGGACTCGACTGCAGGAGCCGCGGCGCCGGGGGTGGGGGGCGTGTGCCGCTCGCGAGGGGGCCGGAGGACTTGACAGATCGCAGCGAAAGAAAACATTAAACCAAAACAAAACCCACCGATTCCCCACGTCGTTCAGCAAAGACATCGTGGGTGGAGCCAGGAGGGAGCGATTGAGTAGAATTCCTCGCGGCCGCCTCCGCCCGCCCACCCCGCGCCCCCGGCCCTCGGCCCCCTGCCCTGCCAGCCCGCCGGGCTCGGCCCGCAGCGGAGGTCAGGGAGCAGCGAGCGCCTCCTCCCACCCGGGCTTCCCGAGTACTCGGCTCTGCTGCTCCGTAGTAAACAAAGTGTCGCCGGCGCCTCCACGCTGGTTTGCTTCCTAGCAATCAAAACACTGAGAAGGCGAGAGAATCACAGAAACACTCGAGAATTACCAGAAAATAATAGAGATCCAAAAAAAAAAAAAGGAGGTGAGTGTGTGAAAGAGAAAAACACCCCACTACCCCCCACCAGCCCACCGCCGCCTCCCCGTGGAAAACCGGGCCCCACCCAGCCCGGCGCCCACTGGCTGCCCGGGCGGCGGTGCCGCATGCCCATTGGCCGCGCGGGCTGTCGGTCAGGGGCGGGCCGGCGCGCGCGCCGCCGCGGGCGGGGGGCGGCGGCAGATCCCGTAAGTCGGGCGGCCTGGTAGTCGCAGCAGCCGCTGCCGCAGCCGCCACATTCAACAGGCAGCAGCGCAGCGGGCGCGCCGCTGGGGAGAGCAAGCGGCCCGCGGCGTCCGTCCGTCCTTCCGTCCGCGGCCCTGTCAGCTGGAGCGCGGCGCAGGCTCTGCCCCGGCCCGGCGGCTCTGGCCGGCCGTCCAGTCCGTGCGGCGGACCCCGAGGAGCCTCGATGTGGATGGCCCCGCGAAGTTAAGTTCTGGGCTCGCGCTTCCACTCCGCCGCGCCTTCCTCCCAGTTTCCGTCCGCTCGCCGCACCGGCTTCGTTCCCCCAAATCTCGGACCGTCCCTTCGCGCCCCCTCCCCGTCCGCCCCCAGTGCTGCGTTCTCCCCCTCTTGGCTCTCCTGCGGCTGGGGGAGGGGCGGGGGTCACCATGGCCGAGGCGCCTCAGGTGGTGGAGATCGACCCGGACTTCGAGCCGCTGCCCCGGCCGCGCTCGTGCACCTGGCCGCTGCCCAGGCCGGAGTTTAGCCAGTCCAACTCGGCCACCTCCAGCCCGGCGCCGTCGGGCAGCGCGGCTGCCAACCCCGACGCCGCGGCGGGCCTGCCCTCGGCCTCGGCTGCCGCTGTCAGCGCCGACTTCATGAGCAACCTGAGCTTGCTGGAGGAGAGCGAGGACTTCCCGCAGGCGCCCGGCTCCGTGGCGGCGGCGGTGGCGGCGGCGGCCGCCGCGGCCGCCACCGGGGGGCTGTGCGGGGACTTCCAGGGCCCGGAGGCGGGCTGCCTGCACCCAGCGCCACCGCAGCCCCCGCCGCCCGGGCCGCTGTCGCAGCACCCGCCGGTGCCCCCCGCCGCCGCTGGGCCGCTCGCGGGGCAGCCGCGCAAGAGCAGCTCGTCCCGCCGCAACGCGTGGGGCAACCTGTCCTACGCCGACCTCATCACCAAGGCCATCGAGAGCTCGGCGGAGAAGCGGCTCACGCTGTCGCAGATCTACGAGTGGATGGTCAAGAGCGTGCCCTACTTCAAGGATAAGGGTGACAGCAACAGCTCGGCGGGCTGGAAGGTGAGTGGACTCGGCGCGCGGCCGGACCTTGGGGGCGCGGTGGGTCAGGCGAGGGCGCAGCTGTGCAGGTTTGCTCGGCCTGAAGGTGCGGAGCAGGAGGGCAGCGCGTTCCCAGGAGGGCGGGCGAGAAGCGGTGGTCGCGGTGGCCTCGCCCGGGTCCGGTCGGGGACGGCAGTAGGTGTGCGTGCGCGCCAGTCAGGAGTTCGCGTGGGACGCGGTAAGGGGCTCGTTGGGGAACTAAGTAAAGAAAGTGCGCCAAGAAGTGGACGTCAGAGCGAGGCCGAAAAGTTTGCCAGTGAAAGGAGAAAGGGGTTCGCTGGGAGCGGCAACCCCCGGCCCGCGCCGACTGCTTCGGCTGCCCCTTCCCTCCCGGACCTCCGCGGGGGGAGGGCGGGTTCTCTCCGGCCGCGCCGCGGAGCTGTTTCCGCCGGGCGCGGCGGGGGAGGGCGCGGCGAGGGGCCCCGGAGCCTCGCTGCCCCGGGACCGGGCTGCAGGTGGAGGGGACAGGCAGGGCGCGACCGGCCGGGGACGGTGCAGGGCCTGCCGGGCAGTTTCTGGAGGCGGTGCGCATTTTGCTTTGTTTTGGTTTTCTCCGGAGTGGCCTCGAGTGCCGGGGGCCCGGCGTCCCGAGCCCGAGGTGGTGCCTCCGACACGTGCGAAGGGGCGGCCACCGCCTGCGGAGCGCCGGCGCCTGGCCGCGCGGGGCGAGCTAAAGTTCAAGTGTGACCCTCGGCGGGGGCGGGCGCGGGCGGTGGCGGTGGCGGTGGCGGTGGCGTGGGAGGGGCCCCGGGCGCAGGAAGCCCGCGCCTTTAAAGGGCCAGCGCGTCGGGGCCGGGCGCCGTGGGGCCAGCGTTTCTCCATGCGGGGAAGCGCCCGAACTTGGTCTTGCCCCTGGTAGGAGGCTTTTAGTTAGAAACACAGAGGCTGCCCTGAGGGGCCGGGGGCTGGGATGTGTGAGTCTTTTCCTGCCTTGCCACCCTATTCTTGAGCATGGAGGACCAGGCGGGGGGGCTTTGCGACCAATGTTTTGAGGGAGTCGGAGTGGCGGTGCGCGTCGAGGGAGCGGTGCCTTGAAGGAGGATTTTTGCCATTTTTGCCTTTCAGAGCGTGGCCAGGAGAGACTTAGCGTGGGGGCAGGCACTTCCCGACTCCGAGGAGAAGGCCCGGGGGCCCTCGGCTCCGGGGAGGCTTCCCGGGGGCGGGGTCCAGTCGTGGCGCGGCCTCCCCAAGCTGACAGTTTCTCACTGTCACCGGTGGCGGAATTGCTGTAAAGGCTGTCTAGTTGAGCTAAACACCTCCCTCCCCTCCTCCGAGACGGAGTCTCGCTCTGTCGCCAGGCTGGAGTACCGTGGCGCGATCTCGGCTCACTGCAACCTCCGACTCTCTGGTTCAAGCGATTCTCCTGTCTCAGCCTCCCGAGTAGCTGGGATTACAGGCACGAGCCACCACGTCGAGCTAATTTTTGTGTTTTTAGTAGAGACCGGGTTTCACCATGTTGGCCAGGATGTTCTGGATCTCCTGACCTCGTGATCGGCCCGCCTCGGCCTCCCAAAGTGCTGGGATTACAGGCGTGAGCCACCGTTCCCGGCCGAGCTAAACACCTTTTTAAAACATACCTTTCTTCGCCTCTCATATTGGACTCCACGGCATAATAAAGATTGGTCTTTGCTGCGCAGTTGTTAACACCAAGGTTATTTTACACACAGTGTCATCCCTGTGGTTAATGCGTGTCAAAAGGGTTAAGTTACTCACACCTTATTGAAGTTCCTTTAGAAGGAATTCAAGATTCATTTTATTTTTTCCAAAGTGTGTTTTAGAGTAAAGGTATCACTTATCGCTTCATTACCAGGCATTACATGCAATTTTACCAAGTGTTTCAAAAAAGTAAAGTGCCTTCTTACCGTTAAGTTCAGCATATATTCTATTAAGTCACAAAATCGAAATTGTCTGCCAAATCTTGTTTTACTTAACATTTGAATTTAAGTACTTGACTTACTTGCTCATCTATCAATTCCACTTCAGCTGTTACAGAGTATTAGCCATTTAAAAAAAAAATCCTCCCCCCTTTTTTTGCATTCAAAGTACAGTGTGTACTTACACCATTCTTTAGTCCTTGGAAATGGATACAACCTACTTCAACTTGCTGGAGTGCCTTTCTTTAAAGATAAAGGAAGTGTTTTGGGATATTTTTAGTTTTGCGTCTCAAATGGCATTGTCAGAGTGTTAGTCTTAAACTAGGAATATGCTTACACTTTTTAAGATTTAGGTTTTTAAAAAATAGATTCTGATGTTAAATCATCTTTACAACCATTTTTATCAGGTTCTTGTTCTGATTTTTTTAAAAATGCAAGAATAATTTAGTTTTTTTTTAAATTTATTTGCCAGAGCTAGGAGACCTGTTAAGTTATCTGTCTGGAATTGGAGGCCCTTGGGCAGCTCCCAGTGGGAGCCTAATGGGGCTTTGCTTTGGAGTAGGCTGCCTTTCTCAAATGAGTAAGTGTTTCAGGTGTAATGTCAGTTGGTTTAAGTCTGATTGCAGCAAGTACATTTTCAGTTTGAGTAAAAGGGTATTTTAAGAAGAAAAGAAACAACCTGAGCTGTTCTAACTCATAACTAGTCTTTTGGTTAGTTTCATAAAAATGAGTTACTTGTTAAAACCAAGTTTCACTCTCAGATCTGAAAGACTCCTGTTCTAAGAGTCATAAAAGAGAAATTTTACTATGAATTTTAACTTAAATCCAGTTTTTAAATGCAAAGCAACCAAAACTTAACTGTTTTAGGACCGAGGAGAGGTTGCTTTGGCACAAAATATTTCCTGTGATTTACTACTGGGAATTAGGCTGAATCTTTAATTAAATAGTTTCTTGTGTGCTGCTTCCTGGGGCCTGCCTGAAAGTTTGAGTCATTTGCATAGGACAAACTAGTTGGAAAACTGTTAATGAATTCAAAAACTTTTAATGTCATTCTTTAGATAGTTAAGTGCTGGTTATATTTGAAGGATATGCATTTTGTGTTTGTGGGGATGGTATGTTAAATGTCTTACACTTGTTGTAATATTGGCTAGAATTGCTATAAGGTCACACACAAAGTGGAACCTAAGACTTTTGGAAAACCCGGGATCTTCTAAATCTAGTGCAGTATTTATAAATAATGAAACTTCATTTCCATGACCTGTTTTTTCACATAGAAAGCCTTCTAAAGCTTGGGAAGTGGTAGTTTGAACTCTGATTTTTTTTAATAAATGGCAGTTTTGAGTTGACTCTTTTGATATTATTAGGAACACTTTAGGTTAAAAGAATGACTTTGACTATACCACTTAACTCTTGTTAAATAAATTTTTAGATTGTTTTATTAGAGGTATCCTCTTTGATTTAAAGATAAATATCTTTTTTTTTTTTTTTTTTTTTTTTTTGAGTCAGAGTCTCACTCTGTTGCCCAGGCTGGAGTGCAGTGGCGCAATCTCGGCTTGCTGCAACCTCCGCCTCCCAGGTTCAAGCAATTCTTCTGCCTCAGCCTCCCGAGTAGCTGGGACTACTGGCACGTGCCACCATGCTTGGCTAATTTTTGTATTTTTAGTAGAGAGGGGGTTTCACATATTGGCTTGGCTGGCCTCGAACTCCTGACCTCGTGATCTGCCTGCCTTGATCTCCTAAAGTGCAGAGATTACATGCGTAAGCCACCGTGCCTGGCCCCAAAGCTTTTTATTTTTAAGATAAATCTTTAATTGGGAGTGATGTTTCTTATTTGGCCTATGAACTGACAGTGGATTTCCTTATGTTTTGAAATAAATATTCTGTAATTTGGGTATAATCTATAGGTGAGTAATTGAACCAGCCACAGAGATCCCGTTAGAAAGATGGCTGCTTTTTTGTTGCATGGTCACATTTGACTTAGAGAATCCTGGTGAGACCGAGTGGTTAGAGGATCTGAGACATCTTTCCTACTTCTGGATTGTCACTGAAATTACCTTAAAGAAAGCCTTGATAGGCTGGGCGTGGTGGCGCACACCTGTAATCCCAGCACTTTGGGAGGCTAAGGTGGGCGGATTGCCTGAGCTCAGGAGTTCAAGACCACCCTGGGCAACATGGTGAAACCTCATCTCTACTAAAATACAAAAAATTAGCCGGGTGTGGTGGCAGGTGCCTGTAGTCCCAGCTATCGTGCCAATAATCCCAACTACTCGGGAGGCTGAGGCAGGAGAATCGCTTGAACCTAGAAGGCGGAGGTTGCAGTGAGCCGAGATCACGTCACTGACCTCCAACCTGGGCAACAGAGGGAGACCCTGTCTCCAAAAAAAAAAAGAAGAAAGCCTTGATAATCCTGTATATGTACTTGGGGAAGCGATAATGAAGAAATAATTTAAAATGGATGAGGGGGTTATGCAGCTAAATGTAGCATCTTATTAAGGGCTGAAAGTTACCTGAATCTATTTGAGAGCTAAAACATTTTGTTCAGAAATTCCAAAATAGATGCCAAATTGGAATACTTCATTTCAGACTCCCAAGAGCTTTACTTTTTACGCATGGTTTTGTGGCATGTCCTTGGTTGAGGGGATGGCGAGAAGAGTGGCCTCTTTTTGAATGATTCTCATTTTTGTTGTTGTTGTTGTTGTTGTTGTTGTTGTTGTTGTTGTTTTTCTGAGCCAGGGTCTCACTCTGTTGCCCAGGCTGGAGTGTAGTGGCTTGATCTCAGCTCACTGCAACCTCTGCCTGCCCCTGGCTCAAGTGATCCTCCCACCTCAGCCTCCCGAATAGTTGGGATTATCGGCACGAGCCACTGCTCATGGACTAGTTTTTTTTAAGTGACAAACACTTGACTATTGAAAATAAGGCATTTTAATTCTCATGTAAACTTGAAAAAAGTTAAAGGTCTTCAAGATCCCAAAATTGCTGAAAAGGTATCACATTAGCAGCAGACACATAGATTTCATGCTCCGCACACACAAGGAATCTTCTCCGAGGCGATACGAAATGGGATGAGGGGGAAGAATATTCAGTGGCAAGTTAGAATGCCTTGCAGACTGTAAACATGTTGCCTGTCCTTGTGCTTCTAGCCCCTTCATCCAAGCATCTAAACTGCAGTTTTGTGTTAGGCTTTCTAAGATAGCAGCTGTATTTGGCTGGAATTTCTCTGGGGAAGCCTGAATGATTTGCATTTTTCTGGAACACTCTGCCCTTGGAAACTACCCAGTTCCCTGGCATCATGGGAATTTACCCAGCCATTTTTTTGGCCTATATGTGCTGTAGCTTTGGGGCTTTTTGGGGATCCTCTTGGAAAGGCAGTGTAAATACCACATAGTGATTGGGGAAGGCAGAATTTTCAATTGTGTGGGAGTTGGTCTGCTTCCCTGCAGTTCAAGATTTGCCTTTGCCTTTGTAGCAACAACTTGCAGAGACTTGCCCAGCCCCCCCAGGATCTCCCTGGGGTCATATAACCAAGCACCTTTTCTTGGTACATAAAGAATTCTGATGCTTCTGGTGGTGTTCCTCAGCTGTGAAACAGAAGACCACATGTACTTGAAAAAGTATGTATTTTGATGCCTAAGGGATATGCTGTGTACAAATACTTAGAGTGTGGAAGACATCTTCCTCTTTGCCAGTTGCTGATGAGGATGAACAAAAATCAAGTCAGTGGCACAGAAATTCTTTTGTAGGTATTACTACTTGTTATTTGTAGTCTTCTAAGGAACATAGGAAACATGAAAAACACATTTTTGTACGTTGGCTATTTTATATGGTTCAGCCTTTTTAAAAACTTGCTTTATTCATTAGCATCCCAGTTTACTCTATTCCGTCTTCTCCCTGTGGTTTATCAACTTGTAGGTTAAGCACCGCCAATAGTTGAATCTAGGGTTGACTTATTCTTGCTACTTGGCAGGCATTTGGGCTACTTTTTTTTTCTTTCATCCATTTTTGTATAGTTTTGATAAAAACTAAAAAGGAAAACAAAAAAGCAAGTTAGTTTTGATATTAAGTCAAATACTACTAAAAAGGTAAATCTGCAGCTCCTCATCATACAATTTAGTGAATTTTTACCTTCACTTATTACTTTAATAAGGACATAAGTTCAAAATGTGTCCTTTATTTCAAGCCATATTCATTACAGGAAAAAAAAAAAATCAAGGGAGAGCTGTTTAGGGAATTAGCCTGTGTAGCCCCCAATTCTGGTTTTTGTTCTGATGATCCCTGAAGCTACACTCTTTATGAGAGTTGGGCGTGTGTGTGTCTAAGTCTTCCTTTTCTTTTCTTTTCTTTTTTTTTTTTTTTTTGAGACGGAGTCTTGCTCTGTCACCCAGGCTGGAGTGCAGTGGCGTGATCTCAGCCCCCTGCAACCTCTGCCTCCCAGGTTCAGGTGATTCTCCTGCCTCAGCCTCCCGAGTAGCTGGGATTACAGGCACATGCCACCACACCTGGATAATTTTTGTATTTTTAGTAGAGACAGGGTTTCACCATGTTGGTCAGGCTGGTCTCGAACTCCTAACCTCGTGATCTGCCCACCTAAAGTGCTGGGATTACAGGCGTGAGCCACTGGGCCCAGCCTAAGTCTTCCTTTTCTTTTCTTTTTCTTTTTTGAGATGGAGTCTTGCTCAGTCATCCAGGCTGGAGTGCAGTGGTGCAATCTTGGCTCACTGCAAGCTCCGCCTCCCGGGTTCACGCTATTCTCCTGCCTCAGCCTCCTGAGTAGCTGAGACTACAGGCGCCCACCACCACGCCCGGCTAATTTTTTTTTGTATTTTTAGTAGAGACGGGATTTCACCGTGTTAGCCAGGATGGTCTCCATCTCCTGACCTTGTGATCCACCCGCCTCGGCCTCCCAAAGTGCTAGGATTACAGGCGTAAGCCACTGCGCCCGGCCACGTCTTCCTTTTCTTAGCTTTGCTTTGAGAAATCGTTTCTTATCTTGGATTCCATTACAATGGTCCTCCTGCCATCTGGCTTCTCCAGTTGGTTCGCTTATTTTTCCTTCTCCTATCCTCATTCATAAGTATACCTCAGGACTAGTTGTGGACTTTTTCTCTGGTATTTTCTTAGGTAACTTACTCTCTGTTGCCTTGTGTATCCAGTTACCTAAAGGCTCTGGAGGTCCCACTTTTATCTCAAATCCAGCATGTCTAAAACTGAACATACTGTATTTCCCCCTGCCCTCAGATGGCTCATTTCAAGGTCCCCAGTTGGGTTAATGGTCTAGTTAGTTCTTTCCCTAGTTTTCAAACCTTGGTGTCTTCTTGAGCACTCTCCTGGTGTTTAGTGTTCCCAAGTCTGTTAACTCTTCTTTCTCAGGGTCTGTTGAGACTTTCCGTTCCTACCCGCTAACCATTCCCCTCGTTTAGCTTTTAGTATTTCAGGCCTAGACGCTCCTGTCCCCAGAGCTTAGATCATCTTGAGCCCTGAAATTCAGCAGATCTTGCTCAGTGTGCAAGGTTCAAGTCAGTTCACCAACTTCCAATCTTGGCTCCTACCCAGAGGAATTTTTGTCCTCTGAGTGAATATCTGGTAATCTTTTAATTCATGCTGCTGTGTATTATATATAATTTAACTTTAATGTCTGTATGTCTTGGCTTCTCAGTTACATTGTAAATATGTTGTTAGGAAAAAAATTCTTTCTTGATACATGGGTCTTTTATATTTCAGCTTCCTGTGTGTTGAGAATATCACAGTCTGTATCATGTGAGAATAATTTAAGAAGTAGTATAACTAAAGAACAGTGATTATTTTGTTTTCAACAGATTGTCAGAGTCCTTTTTTTTCCATTTATTTGTTGAATAATTACTGTGTACAAGATGTGCTAGGTGTTTTTGAGTGGTAGCAATGACTCAAAACATAGATCCAGTAGGAAGACTAGATGCAATGTGTAAGTAACTATGATATACAGTGGGAAGAGTTAAGTGTCTTAGAGAAAAATGAAGTTCTGTATTGGCCGTTGAACCAGGCTTTGAAAATGGGAGATTGGGCCTGGCACAGTGGGTCATGCCTGTAATCCCAGCACTTTGGGAGGCCAAGGTGGGCAGATCATTTGAGGTCAGGAGTTAGAAACCAGCTTGGCCAACATGGCAACACCCTGTCACTGCTAAAAATAGAAGAGATTAAGTGAGTGTGGTGGCATGCATCTGTAGTCCCAGCTACTTGTGAGGCTGAGGCAGGAGAATTGCTTGAACTTGGGGCAGGGGGTTGGAGGGGTGGAGGTTGCGGTTAGCCGAGATCACGCCACTGTAGTCCAGCCTGGGCGACACAGCAAGACTCCCATCTCAAAAAAAAAAAAAAAAGAAAAAAAAGGATGGGAGATTGTTCCCTTACGATTTCGCTATGAAAATTTTCAAGCATTCAGCAAAATTGGAAGAATTTCTACTACCTTTTCTACTAATGACATTTCATTATGCTTGCTTGATCATATATCTGTGTAAATGCACATCTTTCTGTCCATTAGTTCATCTTATTTTCAAGATATATTTTTGGGATGGTGGACTGGCATTCATAAAGGCCTGAAAATATGGGAAGCATCAGTTTCTCTGAGTGCGAAGTCAGGAGATTGAGACCATCCTGGCTAACACGGTGAAATCCCGTCTCTACTAAAAAGACAGAAAAAAATTAGCCAAGTGTGGTGGCGGGTGCCTGTAGTCACAGCTACTCGGGAGGCTGAGGCGGGAGAATGGTGTGAATCCAGGAGGCGGAGCTTACAGTGAGCCTGGATCGTGCCACTGCACTCCAGCCTGGGCGACAGAGAGAGACTCGGTCTCAAAAAAAAAAAAAAATTTCTCAGAGTGATAGGCATGTGAAATACACAAACAGTTTGAAAAGTATAGGTAGAAAGGACATATTATGAAAATAATGCTGTGTTATGGACCAAATTTATCAAATGATATCTTTGTTTTTGCCAAATAAGAAATTATGAAAATATGATTACATTAAACAATTTTAAAATGCAACTACTTAGGAACACACTTGTGTAAATATGGAGACCTATGGAATGCAATTTATAGCCAGTGTACTGCAGTTGATTTTGAAACTGACATACGGAATTTGGCAATACATAGAACAGATTATGTAATTGACTTAATGTGAATAGTTGGCATTTACAATGTATTTAGCTTTTTGCTTGATCTGTTCTTTAAAATTAACTTCAGTGAGGCCCAGTGTCCTGGTAGCAGAGTGATTCAAAGAAAGAAAGATTACTATTAAATTAAGTCTTGCTTTTTTGAAAAATGAGAAATTCTGAATTGAAGTCAGCAATTTCAAAATATACTTAAGGCAATTATGAGGGAAGGTTATATTGGCTTGAAAAGATACTTCAAAATGTAAATGTCAGTTCTAATATTGCCTTAGCTAAATATTAGATATCCTTGATGGCTTTCTTATTGCAATAATTATCTTCCCACTAACCCAAATGCAAGAATGAAGATTATAATGGGATATTTCAATAGATCCAGAGGAGGTTAAATTTGGATAGGCCAAATGCAAAACTGACACCATTACAGTCCAATAGGACTGAATGTATTAACTGTTAAGTGTACTTGGAGTGAGTCTGACTAGCTCATGTTGAACCAAAAGGTTTATGCAGTAAAAATGGCATTGTGGCACATCAGAAGGCACAGTTGTAGATTAAATAACACTCATCAGCCATTTAGAAATGGCAAGTGTTGAGGAGAGCTGTCCGGGCGCGGTGGCTCACACCTGTAATCCCAGCACTTTGGGAGGTTGAGGTGGGTAGATCACTGGAAGCCAGGAGTTGGCCTGGCCAATATAGTGAAATCCCATCTCTACTAAAAATACAAAAAATTAGCCAGTGGTGATGGTGCATGCCTGTGGTCCCTGCTACTTGGGAGACTGAGGCACGAAAATGCCTCAGACCTGTGAGGTGGAGGCTGTAGTGAGCTGAGATTATGCCACGACACTCCGGCCTGAGCCTGGGCGACAGCAAGACTCTGCCAAAAAAAAAAAAAAAAAAAAAGAAGTGTAGAAAACTATTTTACTAATATATTTATCCCTATAGAAGCAGACATTTTATTTAAAAGGTACATTGCTGATGAGGGGTGGGGGACAGTTAAATAAATGAAAAAGCCCACTACCGTGAGGTTTTATTAAATGTCTAAGTTACCTTCCACGTGGAGAAAATAGCTTTCAGACGCACCAGGATCTCACACTTGCATGATTGTTAATGATGTCAGGCAAAACTAGTCAAAACCAACTAGGAAACAATATGGAACTGGCCAGTCTAATTTTTTTTTTTTTTTTTTTTTGAGATGGGGTCTAACTCTGTCACCAAGCTGGAGTGCGGTGGCCCAATCTTGGCTCACTGCAACCTCTGCCTCCCAGGTTCAAGCGATTCTCCTGCCTCACCCTCCCAAATAGCTGGGATTACAGGCACACCTGTAATAGTAGAGACCACCACACCTAGCTAATTTTTGTATTTTTAGTAGGGACGGGGTTTCACCATGTTGGCCAGACTGGTCTCGAAATCCTGACCTCAACTGATCCACCCACCTTGGCCTCCCAAAGTGCTGGGATCACTGGCATGAGCCCCCACGCCCTGCCGACCACTATTGATGTTTGTAGATCCAGTGAAGTTCAGAATTACAGCACATCTTTGGTCTTTTAATTTTTGTAAGTAAAGATATTATATAAAACATCTTCATCCTTCAACTTCATTCTCATCTTGGTTCTAATTTTGAAGGGAGGGTTCCCTGAGGGTTCTTATCTCCCTCAGGGAAGGGAGGTAGATCATTTCTTTCAAGATAGCCTATCTCTGCTGACCTTAAGTCATAGGAGTTCTTTAATTCTTAGAGACCTCTGCCTTCTCAGAGGCCAGTACCACCTCTAAAGTGTCGTGGCCCCTTGGTCTACACTGCAGCACCCCTCATCTGGGAAGTGCTGTTATCTCCAGTAAGCCCCACTGTATTCTTTATACATCTCTGGCCAGCCACATATAGAAATTTCCAGGCTGTCAACTTTTTCAGTGTGACTTGGTTCCAGCATCTTGTATACAGATCTTCGAGACCTAAAAAGAAAATCTTTTTTTTCTGCGTTGATGTATTTTTCTCCCTAGATGATGTTTGTCTTTTTCTTTTTCTTCTTTTTTTTTTTTTTTGTGACAGAGTCTCGCTCTGTCGCCCAGGCTGGAGTGCAGTGACACCATCTCGGTTCACTGCAACCTCCGCCTCCAGAGTTCAAGTAGTTCTCCGTCTCAGCCTCCTGAGTAGCTGGGATTACAGGCGGCCACCACCACGCCTGGCTAATTTTTTTTTTTTTTTTTTTTTTTTTTTTTTAGTATTTTTAGTAGAGATGAGGTTTCACTGTCTTGGCTAGGCTGGTCTTGAACTCCTGACCTTGTGACCTGCCCACCTCAGCCTCCCAAAGTGCTGAGATTACAGGCATGAGCCACCGAGCCTGGTCAGATGATGTTTGTCTTAATAAAGATGTCATTCATTCTTTGAGCAGTTCCAGTTACAGAGCTGGTCCTAATGATATACCCCATGAGCTTAACAGCCCTGGAACCCCTACCTGTCTTATCTGATAAGGGCAAAACTGTGATGAGAAAGAGGGTGGAAGAGAGGGCTTCCCTTGTATGCTTTTGTTCTTTTTTGTTTCATTAAAGATATTTCTTGGATAAACAGTTTTTCTCAATTGCTGTTCTAACAGTCTGGAAAATATAGGTCATGGTTTTGTGACTCTCTACTCTTACTATGTTAGAGATATGATAAAGCATCCATGTTGAGGGAAAATATGTGTTTCTGTTTAAAACCGTGGTTTCCCCATCTTGAAGGTGTTATAGTACTGCCTTTGTAAGTACTGGTGAGTACTTACAAAGTACTTACTGGTGAGGGGCTGGGTTTTTGCTCAGTTAAAAATCTGAAAGTAGCCAAGTGAACCTGGCATCAGGAAAGGGAGGGAACCTCTGTGGTTGTATTTTGTAACTGCAGTAAAAAAGCCAATGCGCATGATTAATCCTCCTAAGTCTTATTTGGGCCTAATGAGGAAAGGAGGAAGAGGGAAACCAGTTTGCATTATGTGGGAAGATAAAGATTTCTTCAATGGTTTGGTATTCTGAAGAGTTAGCTGAGGCCGGGAGGCACTGGGCTTTGTCTCCTCAGTGTTTCGGCCCTCTCCTTTCATATTGGTTTTCCTTTTTTAATTAAAAAATTAGTGCATTTCCTCTGCGGGTACCAGGCTCAGAAGCCTGCCATGCAAGTGGCTGAGCGAAAACCCCTCTTTGAGTGAGGAATCCCCAGCACAGAATGAGAGGGTCTTCATCTTGCAGCAGTGGCAAGGGTGAGAGTGAAAAGGCACCCTGCATTCTGTACCTGAAAAGAAATGCATTTAGAGGCTGGGCGTGGTGGCTCGTGCCTGTAATGTCAGCAATTTGGGAGGCTGAAGCGGGTGGATCATGAGGTTAGGAGTTCGAGACAAGCCTGGCAACATGGTGAAACCCTGCCTCTACTAAAAACACAAAAATTAGCCAGGCGTGGTGGTGCGTGTCTGTAATCCCAGCTACTCGGGAGGCTGAGGCAGGAGAATGGCTTGAACCCAGGAGGTGGAGGTTACAGTGAGCCGAGATTGTGCCACTGCACTCCAGCCTGGGCGACAGAGCAATACTCTTGTCTTGAAGAAAAAAAAAAAGAGAAATGCACTTAGATTTCAAATTTAGTTTGGAAAGAGAAATTATAATTGAATCACCTAATTCCCAGGCTTGTAAATGTTGTGTCCTTCAAAGCTTGAAAGCAAAATAACCACATAAATATTTGGGAGTGGTTCATACAAGTAAACGTCAAATACTTGAGACATTTTGGTTGCTTGGAAGCAAGGTCAAAGGAAATGGTTTGCATATGGTTTAGCTAGAAGCTCTTATTTTGGCAGATTCTTGAGGTAGTAACGGTCACAATGTGGATTTTATTGTTCTATTTTGACATGAAAAAGGTTTTTTCTCTTCTCTAACCTTCAGGATAGAGTTGCATAAGTAACATCAAGATAGGCATGTTCAGTCACCATAATTTTGTATCAGAGATGATGTGCCTTCATGAGCTGTGAGGTTTAATTTGCAGAATCATCAGTTTGGGCCGGCACGGTGGCTCACGCCTGTAATCCCAGTACTTTGGGAGGCCTAGGCGGGTGGATAACCTGAGGTTAGGAGTTCGATACCAGCCTGGGCCACATGGCGAAACCTCGTGTTTACTAAAAATGCAAAAATTAGCCAGGCGTGTTGGCGGACCCTGGGGAGCCAGAGGTTGCAGTGAGCGGAGATCTTGCCGCTACACTCCAGCCTGGGCGACAGAGACTCCAACTCAAAAAAAAAAAAAAAAAAGAATCACCAGTTTGTTACACCAGTAGGTTTCAGCCTGCCATCATTCATACTATACTGTGATTTGAATACAGGAGAAAGTGGGCTCTCTTGAATTACAGTTACCTCATCTGTTTGCAGCAGAACTCTCTCTCTGCAGGGCTACCTCCTAAACGGGGAGTGGGGAGGGAGGAGAGGGGAACTTGCAAAACTTGTAAATATCGATTGGGGTTGTTTGTGTACTTGGCACCAAGCTGGTTGCATTGGAAACTTTTCTCTCTGGATGGGTAGGTATGTAGGCCATCATGAAATTTACATGTGGTGAATGGGAAAGCTTCCTGTGGATCATCCTACCCTGAGAGTTCTTCAATCTGTATGACTGAATTGGTCTCTCCCCTTCAACCTTTTAGGATTTAATTTTCTCTTCAGTGGCCCATTATGACATTTACATACGTTGAATTTGAAAGATTCCCATACTCCCAGTCTCTTCTGTTACCGGTGTGCCTGGAGCAGTTTGTTGAATTTGTGAAATTTTGAGATAGAATGAATTTTGTAGGACCTGAATTTATTTATAATCTTATATTTATATTATAAATATGATGTATATTTAGATGTATATTTATGTTATAAATATAATGTATATTTAGATGTATATTTGTATGTCATGTATTTGTATTAACATGAAGTCTTTCTGATGATGATAAAACACTATTTTTAAACATTTAGCAGTTGATGACTACATTTTAGAGGTCATCAAAATGTTTTATTTTTTCCTCTCTTGAAGTTATTTGGTATAATTAAAAAAATTCATACTAAGGAAATTTATCAGGGTTAAAGATTCCTGTAATTAGGCATGTTTTGATGTTATTGATATCCTCTTTTCTGGTTTTGGAGTGGATACTTTCCCTGCTGTGACCTCTGTGCTCTGTAGTGGTTCTCCTAGGGAATTATATTCCAGTAATTCTGGGTATTTCTTTAAGGTGCTTTGTATTTCTTGAAGTGCCATTTTGATACTTTCAGTGTTCTGAACTGTACCTAGAACGTACTTTTTATAAAAAGGAAGCAGAGTCCATCCAGGCAGAGAGAGTACTGTGTGCCTGTAGTCTTGTCTATTCGCAAGGCTGAGGCCAGAGGATCCCTTGAGCCCAGGAGTTCAAGTCCAGGCTGGGCAACACACTGGGACCATGTTTCTTAAAAAAAAACAAAAACAAAAAACAAAAAACAAAAAACCAAAAAAACTAGGCAGTGCGTGGTGGCTCACACCTGTAACCCCAGCACTTTGGGAGGCTGAGGTTGGCGGATCACTTGAAGTCAGCAGATCACTTGAGGTTAGGAGTTTGAGATCAGCCTGGCTAACGTGGTGAAACCCAGTCTCTACTAAAAATACACAAATTAGCTGGGCATGGTGGTGCATGCCTGTAGTCCCAGCTACTCGGGAGGCTGAGGCAGGACAATTGCTTGAATCCAGGAGGCAGAGGTTGCAGTGAGCCAAGATTGCGCCACTGCACTCCAGCCTGGGTAACAGAGTGAGACTCCATCTCAAAAAACAACAACAATTAACAACAACAAAAACCAAAGCTAAACAAGAGCAGAATCCAGATTATTAAAATAACAATTTAAAAAGCATGATTGTCACAGGCTTCAATAATTACCTGCCTGCTCTTGAGTGTTTAGGTTGGTCTTGGAATCGGCCTGTCCCTGTGCTTGAGGAGTGGACCCTCAGGGTGTCACTGCCCTTCTTTGTGATCTCTTTTTAGCCTACTGTCCTTCCTTTGGTGCCTAACTCAGAAATAAACATTCTTAATCTGTTCAGCTTAATTGAGATTCAAACCTCTTAAAAAGTAGTTTTGTCAAGAGGCGTGTGAACCAGAGCAACTCCATTTTGAATAGGAGCTGGGTAAAATGAGGCTGAGACCTACTGGGCTGCATTCCCAGACGGTTAAGGCATTCTAACTCACTGGATGAGATAGTTGGTCAGCACAAGATACAGGTCATAAAGACCTTGCTGGTAAAACAGGTTGCAGTAAAGAAGCCAGCTAAAACCCACCAAAACAAAGATGGCCACGAGAGTGACCTCTGGTTGTTCTCACTGCCACACTCCCACAAGCCCCATGACAGTTTACAAGTGCTGTGGCAAAGTCAGGAAGTTACTCTATATATATAGTCTAAAAAGGGGAGGCATGAATAATCCACCCCTCGTTTAGCATATCATCAAGAAATAGCCATAAAAATGGGCAATCAGCAGCCCTTGGGCTGCTTTGTCTACGGAGTAGCCATTCTTTTATTACTTTACTTTCCTAATAAACTTGCTTTCACTTTACTCTAGGGACTCGTCCAGAATTCTTCCTTGTGGGAGATCCAAGAACTGTCATTTGAGGTCTGGATTGGGACCCCTTTCCTGTAATAGTTTGAATGTTAAAGTTTGTGCCATTGCATTCTTTGGTGTGATTGCTTTATTCTGAACTAGAGGTGAAGAATGTGGGGAATGTGGAATAAAATGAAGGGAATATATCAGTACAGATGGAGCTCATAATTTATGGTGAATTTCTCATTCCTCACAATTGGAGGGTATATGTTTGAAGTGAGTCAATTTCTGAATTTATTACCTAATTTGATTGTATGCCTTATACATTATATTTTTAAGAAAAAAATTAAAATAATTATTGTGCTCTGTGATCTCATTGAACGATGTAAATGATCTTGGGTCATGTAAAATGCTGAACATATAGGAGGACCCTACTTAATAATTTCCTTTGCGATGAAAATAGGGACACATTTTAATCAAAGACAAACTGTTGATGGTTATGTTTCTTAGACTAACCATGACTTCCGCCTGTGTTTATGGCAAGAAGGGAAAAGGAAAACACTTTCATCCACAGAAGTCATCAATTCTGTCATGATTGACAACTTGGGGGCCTCCAATTAAGCCTCATTTATACTCCCCACCCCCCATTTTTTTAGAGAATTGATTTTAAAGGGTATTGGGAGGAAGAAGTAATTAAGTCAGAGAGATAAAATGAGAACTTAAAACACTTCAGATTGTAGAGTAATGCATCAGAGGGATTCTTTTCAAGACAGAATTGTCTGTGATCCTTAACTGTGTGAATACACTCCTTGGATTTGAAATGAAGACAACCCCTTTCCACTTAGTCATGTGCCCTATGAGGCTTGTTTCTGTGTGGCTTGCTGAGACTCACTTAAAATGACATTGACTTTTATTAAACCTTAAGGTTTGTGATGGGCTTTTTGCACAAAAGCCTACTTCTCCAGGGGACGTCCCTGCTCTCTCAGGTTGCTATCTTGTTACTCTGGCCTGAAACAAGTTAGCAGCCACTTTCCCGCAGACCTGCACAAGGCACATCACATCAACGGCTGTTGATTAGAGCATAATGACTTGTTAGATCATGTTTATTGTGCAAATGAACCTGAATGTTACTAGGACAGCATATCCATGTAGGCTTAGAAAACTTAATTTTTAATGCCCCTTCTATCTTTCATCAGGCTAAAGCTTTTGGATTTATGGTTATTCATTCTAGCTATAAATATATTAATAGTATTTTGGGCTGGTCAGATATGGGGCATGACCTTTGACATCCTGCTTGGCTATGCCTGGGAATTTGACATCCTTCAATTTAGGTGGAATTCCCTTGTTTTGTTTCCTGTGATAGTGTGGGGAAATACACATTTTGGCTCCTTCGGCAGAGGAAGACAGGAAAAAAGTAAAATTGGAATGCACTAAGAAAGTATTAATGATTTTATTTCTGCTGTGTATAGTTGAATGCACATGCTTTTTATGGAAGCCTGAGCCTATGAAAATAGTGCACAATAATAAGAAAATGCTAACAATCATATTTAGTTTTTGCATTTTTTAATTTGGATTTATTTTTTGACTAGTTTGACATTTTTGGGTTTTTGAACTGTTTTGCATCTAAGTATACATGGTGGAAAGAACTTTTTGTGATGCCTTTACTAGTATTATCAGTACAGAGTATCAACAGTTGGGAAGAGCTACAAAAGGGAACTCTTAGCCGGTGTGTATTTTGACCTGAGGAAGGGAGTGTTCTGTTGCTACCAACTAAAAGTTTATGAGTGTGCTTCTGTTTCCTGAATGTAATCAGCACCTCCATCAATAATTATCCCTGTAGGGGAACACAATATGGCTTTCCTCTACTGTAGGTTCTTTGACTGAGCCAATAATTAAATTGACATAAGGCAGACTAACAAGATAAAAAAAAAATTGTATTTTCTTATGCACTGGTGACTCGAAGAAGAGTCAGATGATTGAAACTTATAGAGCATCCTCAGCTATAAGTTAATGGGGATTATACAGATAAAGGGGAAAAGACAAAGAGACTCTTACCACTCTTGCTTTGACCAGACTCTGCAGGCATAGATGTGGGAGCCCAATGTGGTAAAAAGTCTTAGCTACAGCTGGCGTTTTGTCAGGGTCTCAGGATCCTGCAGCTGGAACAGTCCTGGAGCTAGTAGTGTTCCAGCCAGTGAAGGATGCTCCACATTGGGCACCAGAAGCTATATAGCAGGGAAAAATGGCTTCCCCCCATCCTTCTAGGTTCTTTGGGCTGGGCCATGATTTAAATTGACACTAGATAGCTGGGCGCGGTGGCTCATGCCTGTGATCCTAGCACTCTGGGACGCTGAGGCTGGTGGCTCACTTGAGCTCAGGAGTTGGAGTGCAGCCTGACCAACATGGTGAAACTCCATCTCCACTAAAAATACAAAAACTAGCCAGATGTGGTGGTGCACGGCTGTAATCCCAGCTATTTGGGAGGCTAAGGCATGAGAATTGCTTGAACCCAGGAAGTGGAGGCTGCAGTGAGCTGAGATCACGCCACTGCACTCCCGCCTAGGTGACAGAGCAAGATTCCATCTCTGGGCAGGGGAGGGGAAGAAATAAATAAATTGACACATGGTAGACTCTAACAGGAGAAAATGTCATTTTATTTATACTTATGTTTGCACAAGAGTCCCACAAAATGTAATGCAGGTTGCATGATTGAAGCTTATATTGTATACTGAGCTAAGAAAAGAATTAGGGTTTGAGGTTTTTGGTGGGGTGGTGGCCACACAAGTTAAAGGAGGATGAGGGGAAGAATTATATGGTGAATAAAGATTGTCTTGCTCTTGGGGATAAAGTCTCTCAGGTAATAAAAGTTGTCTGGAGCAGTCCTAATCCTAGTACAGATACTTTACTAATGTAGACTTCCTTTATGGATGCAAATTTCTTTTACAAAAGGACAGCTTTTCTTGTCTACTCTGGTGTCTGCAGTTTCACAGAATAACCAGCTCAAAATATGCCAAGGAAGTATATTTTGGGGTGGCATATTCTGATCTCCTACAGTCATATTTTGGGGTAGTGTGTCCTGGGCCCCAACATCCCTTTTGAATTGTTACGAAGTTCAGGCCGGGCGCGGTGGCTCACGCCTGTAATCCCAGCATTTTGGGAGGCTGAGGCAGGTGGATCACTTGAGGTCAGGAGATCGAGACCACCCTGGCCGACATGGTGAAACCCTGTCTTTACTAAAATACAAAAAATTAGCTGGGCGTGGTGGCACATGTCTGTAATCCCGGCTACTTGGGAGGCTGAAGCAGGGGAATCTCATTAACCCGGGAGGCGGTGGTTGTAGTGAGCTGAGATTGCGCCACTGCACTCCACCCTGGAGACAGAGCCAGACTCCGTCTCAAAACAAAACGAAACAAAACAAAAATGAATTGTTATGAAGTTCAAATGTCCAAAATTCGATGAAGCGGAGGGAAATTGGTTAAGCTAGAATTTTATAATATTCACCTTTTAGAAGTCACAGTAGTTGGCTGGGCGCAGCTCACGGCACCAACACTTGTAATCCCAGCACTTTGGGAGGCTGAGGTGGGCAGATCACAAAGTCAGGAGTTTGAGACCAGCCTGGCCAATATGGTGAAACCCCATCTCTAGTAAAAATACAAAAATTAGCACTCCAGCCTGGATGACAGAGCGAGACTCCATCTCAAAAAAAAAAAAAAAAAGGTCACAGAAGTCAACTTTTGCTTTAAAAAAGAAAACCACAATTCCTTCACACCCCTCAAATAATCAATTAATAGGCTTGCTTTTTGTTCATTAATTTTTTTATTTCCCATCTAAGGCTGATATCCATCATAGACTAATTAAAATTGTAGATTGTGGGGAGTCTATCTGTTCTGTTCTCAATTATTCACTAAATGGAGAGTGCCATGACTTTTTTTTTTTTTTTTGAGACGGAGTTTCCCTCTTGTTGCCCAGGCTAGAGTGCAGTGGCGTGATCTAGGCTCATCACAACCTCTGCCTCTTGGGTTCAAGCAATTCTCCTGCCTCAGCCTCACCGGAGTAGCTGGGATTACAGCAAGCGCCACCATGCCCGGCTAGTTTTGTATTTTTAGTAGAGACAGGATTTCTCCATGTTTGTCAGGCTGGTCTCAAACTCCAGCTGCCTTGGCCTCCCAAAGTGCTGGGATTACAGGTGTCAGCCACTGCACCCGGCCAGTGCCATGACTTTTGAGGGTGCACATCTAAATGGCTGATATTAAAAATGAGTACTTTTTGATCACTTCCTACTCCCCTTCCCTAGTTTTTCATCTCTTCTTTGCTTTCCTTCTCATTTTCGGCCCCCTCATTTAAAATATTTGACTTGAATAAATTTCTCTAACTTTAATTAGATGAAAAGTTTCTTTAAAGGTCATTGCTGGTTGCTGGTGTGAGTTTTAAGTTTGCTACAACAACCCTGTTTTACTTATTACTGCCTTTAGAAATAGTCATTGTTATTAATAGAACTGATCCCATTTAGAAATATTTGCAGGTGGTGATGATACACTTCACCCTGGGCGTGAACATGATGCAAGTCACCTTAAGGCCTGTAAAGAGGAAATCCACAAGGAGAATGACTTAGGGGAGTGAGCTAAATGGAAGTTACCTCTGTGTACTTTCACCTTTTAAACTGAAAATATGTAAGTATGTGTTTGTCTTACCATAGTTTTACTACCTTCATAGTGTTCTGGTAAATAGGACCTTTAAAATGAGCAGGGAAGGGGAGGGAAACAGTTTTTCTGGCAGCTGATAGTCTGGATATATAGATGTAAATTTCCACTGAAACTGCACCTACCCAATCCTTTTCCTACTGTGACATGTCATTAACTCATATTTGACTTTTGGGAGGAGAGAACTACAAACTCATGCAGAAATACCAAGGTGTGAGGTAAGAAGTCATAGCCATTTCAGTATTCTAGATGTGCATGTCACCAGCTGTTGTCATTGAGCTAAATGCCTTTGTGTTTTCAGTGTTGTCTCGACTCTGTCGCCAGCAGTAGTCTGGTTTAGTCTGGTTTAGCAAATTCTGCAGCCTTCCTGCCTCATCTGTGTTGAATGCTAAGATTAGTAACTTTGAGATGAGTAGTGTTGGCTGCCTTCACATTCTGAAGTTCTTAATTTTAACTTCTGGCTTAGAGAATATGAGACCATGGACTGGATGGAGAAGTCTCTTAACATTAGTAAAAGGAGTTAAATTCTCAGGGTGGTTTCGCTTTTGTGCTTGAATGAGGATGGGAGAGAATACTGCCATTCTCTGTGTTTTGGGTGAATAATCCCAAAGACATTTTATATGTTGAGAGTTTAGAGGTTTGACCCAATCAAACCGGGAATTGTATAACTGGGATGTCCAATACCAAGGCCTCTAAGCTCCTGAAAAACACTTTAGAAGTTCCTGAGCCATCATTGTATGTGTGACCTGGTATATCCCACCGGACTCACGTGCAGGTCTTAACATTGTGATTTTTTTTCTCTGGCTCTGGTTAGATTTGGCTTTTACTCTATCTCTGGCTTCTAATCGGTCCTCCTTTCATTCTCCCACCCTACTTTTCTCTCCTAGTAAATTTTTCCTTTCTGTTAGAGGCAGTAAAGTCCTCACTCTCCTTGTCAGTCCACATGGAAGCTTTGCCTACTTGGCTCCCCTTGGGGTGCGGTGAGGTGAGAGGAGGAGTCTAGTCCTGTGCTAATCGCAGATTGTTGGGGACATGTGTTTCAATTTCCTTTGTCTCAGTTTTCCCACCTGTAATTTTGGAGCATGATAATGGGCCATCCAGTGCTAGTGTCTGCAAAACTTGCTTCGAGATCACTGGACAAAAGGTGCTGGTTAGATATATTTACTGGCATGCCCTGGGAGGATGTCTTTAGATCACTACAGTATTCCAAAACTCACGTTGGGGTCACGTCAGAATGATCAGAATTCCCTCTAGCATTTGCTCTTTATAATGCACTCATGAGCCTAACTTAGATCTGTAATTTTGCAGTAAATATTAGGAGTTTTTGGTTCTGTTTCTGCATTGGTAACCAGATAATTCCTATTTAGACAAGTCACATCACTGCGGTACTAGCATCGTCATCTGTAAAATGGGGATAATGATACTGCTGGGAAGTACTTGTAGGACAAGTTGAGGTGCTCAAAGGAAGGAGCTGTGTAATTATGCTGTATTATACAGCAATAGCATTAGCCAAAATACTTGGACTTAAAGCTTAGCACACCTGAGATTCTGGGGTTTTCTTTTTCTTTTTTTTTTAAATTACGGACATTAGGATTATATGGAATATTTTTACATAAAAACATAAGATCAGAACCAAAGAAAGAATCAAAACCTTTAGACCTATCTTTCCTAGCATTCCTAGTAATTGTGTAGCAAGTTTGATAAGGGTGCTCTGGCAGACTTATATTGTTTTTGTGCTTTGGAAGAACTTCTGATGGGATGGGGAAATAACCTGGCAGCATGAGAAAGTGGAATATAAAATTGTATATCAACTGATTTCAATTATGTGAAGTATCTTAGGCTCTACTGTATAGCTGTACTCGGGAGGAAATACACCCAGAGTTTGCAGTGGGTTGTATTTGGAGTGTATAAATACGGGTAAGTTATACATATGTATCTTCTTTTCTTTTTTTTTTTTTTTTCTTTTTGAGACGGAGTCTCACTTTGTCACCCAGGCTGGAGTACAGTGGAGCGATCTTGACTCACTGCATCATCTGCCTCCCGGGTTCAAGCAATTCTCCCACCTCAGTGTCCTGAGTAGCTGGGATTACAGGTGCCTGCCATCACACCTGGCTAATTTTTGTATTTTTAGTAGAGACGGGGTTTCACCATGTTGGCCAGGCTGGTCTCAAACTCCTGACCTCAAATGATCCACCTGCTTTGGCCTCCCAAAGTGCTAGGATTATAGGCATGAGCCACCACGCCCGGTCCTGTATTACATTTTAAGTAACAAACACTTTTAATAGAAACATTAACAATTTTGAAATGAAAATGCTGTTTGTGGTTTTCAGGCTCTCCTCCTTGAGAGAATTTTGGATTCAAGCAAGTCAAACTTGAGATTATTTGTATTTTTTATTTTTGGGAGAGGATCTCACTCTGTCTCATCCAGGTTGAAGTGTAGTGGCACAGTCTCGGCTTCACCTTCTAGGCTCAAGCAGTCCTCCCACTTCAGCCTCTGAAGTAGCTCGGACACAGGTGCACGCCACCATGGTAGACTACTTTTTTGTATTTTTGGTAGAGACGGTGTTTTGCCATGTTGCCCAGGCTGGTTTCGAACTCCTGAGCTCAGGCAATCTACCTGCCTTGGCCTTCCAGAGTCCTGGGATTACAGGCATGAGCCACCCTGCCCAGCCTATTTATGCTGTTAAAGGGAAGAACAGAGGGCTGGAATTAAACTTTAGAGGGTCTTTTATGGGATAGGCAGTGAGACAGGACTGAGCTGATCATGTTAGGATTCCAAAGGGTAAGTTTGCCAAGCTTATATCTGTCATCTGATAGTCTGGATGTATAGATGTAAATTTCCACTGAAACTGAAATTTACATTTATATGTGGTGACAGGCATGAGAGATACCTTTTTGGAGTATAGTTGCCGGTGCAAAAGTGAAGACAGACTGATTGAGGGAAGTACACTGGTTGAGGGAATGCCCATTTTTTGAGAGGACATTCGCTGACTGTATGTCTAGATTGGGGTTTGGTTGCATCTGCTACATATCCTAGCACTTCTTAAGAATGTGAAAAAAATCTATAGAATTAGACCTGTTTTTCAAAGCAGTGAAGTTACACTAGCTACAAAAAAGAAGCTGATATTTATTGTGTGCTTACTGTGGCAGGCACTGCTATAAATGCCTTTTATTTTAGTCTCATAAACATATAATGTAGATATTCCCACTATCCCCAATTTGTATATGAGGAAACTGAGACACGAAGTTGAGTAATTTCTTGAATGTTACACAGTAAATGGACTCAAGATGCCAATGTGTATTTATTTATTTATTTATTTTTTGAGATGGAGTATTGCTGTGTCTCCCAGGCTGGAGTGCAATGGTGTGATCTTGGTTCACTGCAACCTCTGCCTCCTAGGTTCAAGTGGTCCTCTCACCTCAGCCTCCCAAGTAGCTGGGATTACAAGTATGCGCCACCATGCCCTGCTAATTTTTACATTTTTAGTGGAGATAGGGTTTTACCATGTTGGCCAGGCTGGTCTTGAACTCCTGACCTCAAGTGATCTGCCTGCTTCGGCCTCCCAAAGTTGCTGGGATTACAGGTGTGAGCCACCGCACCCAGCTGTCAGTGGGTTTTTAACCTAGGTCTGTGACTCTTAATCACTTCAGTTTGCTACAGCAAAGAGAATAATTATCTTTGGAATTTTGGAGAAAAAAACTAGGACTTAAATTTGAAACTGGAAATACTAAAGTAAAATAAAATTAACGGCTAAATAATCAGTTAATTAACAGAATCTAAACAATTAATGCACATACTGACAATCCTATGGTAGAAGTCTTACTGGCTCATCCAGCTAGTTAACTAGACTCTTAAAGATGAAAAATATATAATGATATATATATATATGATATATATAATGAGATATAATGAGATTTATGTCAAAGTATTAGTGAATTGTTCTCTAAGGAGAATAATTCAGGTGTGTTTGTGGTGATGATTAATGAGCGGTTGGGAGGAGTTGACCAAGTAACCCTGTCGTGGCTCAGGGTGTGGTGAAGAGGAGTTGCCTGTGGTTTCCTCACCAGATGGATAGGAAGGCTCTATTTAGTTGGCTTCACTGTTGGCTCTGTCACCCCCTACACATACTGCCTAGAAGACGGAGGAAAAGAACCTCCTTTTACGGGGAATGGAAACTTGTCCTTGTTGTTGCTGTGGGGTTGGCACATAGAAATAACAAACACTGGCCGGGCACGATGGCTCACGCCTGTAATCCTAGCACTTTGGAGGGCCAAGGCGGGTGGATCACTTGAGGTCAAGAGTTTGAGACCAGCCTGGCCAACATGGTGAAATCTTGTCTCTACTAAAAATACAAAAATCAGCCGGGTATGGTGGCAGGTGCCTGTAATCGCAGCTACTTGGGAGGCTGAGGCAGGAGAATGGCTTGAACCCAGGAGGCAGAGGTTGCAGTAAGCCGAGATTGTGCCATTGCACTCCAGCCTGGGAAACAGAGCAAAAACTCTGTCTCAAACAACAACAACAACAACAACAACAACAACAACAACAACAAAAGAAATAACAAACACTGACCTGTTTGGACAGAAAATACTTTGTTCTTGGGGTGAGCTTAAGCTTCAGGAAGGCTACTGATACTTTAGTTAAGGGACGAGGACAAAAAGAAATCCTTAAGCTTTCATCCACATTTTACTAAGAACAGGTCAGTCCTTCCCATTAGGTACTGTCTCTATTGCATGCACAGGAAACTGAGGTGAAGAGAAGCGAAGTGACCTGCTCCAGACTGAGGTCCTGAGACTCAGGGCTTGGGGGATGCTAAAGCCGCCCTTCTAACTGGATCATCAGATGAGCAGAATAGCGCCCAGGAGCGCCCTCATTGAGAAAGTCTTTTGGTTTTGCTTTGGACGATACTTAGAGAGAGAGAGTGTAGTGTAGTTCAGAGGCAGTGGTAACCAGGGCTACCTTCAGAGCCAGACATTGCTTGGCTTAGGACTCTGCTTCCAAATAATGTTCATCGTCCCTCCCTTTCCCTTTCCTTATCCTTTAAAAGAAATCACAGTGACCTAAAGCAATTCTTTTAATTCCCTTTACATATGATGCTTGCATGAAGTGTGTGGCCCTTTAGCTTTTTCTTGAGTAATTGGTTCCTAATAGATGGACAGGATTTGTGCTATTTTAGTGTAGGATTATCTAGAGTTTTTAATGTTTGTTTTATTCAAGGAGTGGAATCTATGGCCCTGTGGGGGCAGAGGTTCTGTAGTGTTTAGAACCTTGAGTATTGTCACAAATCCGTTCAAGCTTGTTTAACTTAACCTTGGACAAATTAACATTTAAGGATAGGTTTTCTCACATGTATAATGAGGATAGCACTTGCTAAGATTGTCGTGAGGATTGAGGGATTGGGTTTGCCACATAAGGCAAAGGTTGCTCTCTCCCGTTCTCAGTCGTTTTATTTTCGAAGATTTTTCAGATAGAAGGGAGAAAGGAAAAAACTTCTAATTAGGTCTAAATTCTTCCTCTGCTAAAGACTGGGCTAGTGGTTCTCAGCTGGTCCCTCTGACATTTGGCAATTCAAGAAACATCTTTTGTTGTCACAGCTTGGGTGGGGATGTGTTGCTACTGGCATCTAGTGATTAGAGATCAGGGGTGCTGCTAAACACCGTGCAAAGCACAGGACCGACCTCCCATAACAGAGAATTATCTGACCAGTAGTGCTGGCCACTATGTGTGTCAGTAGTGCTGAAGTTGTGAAACCCTCCCTGCTCTAGACAAAATTAGTTTATTTTTTTCCTGCATGAAAATGCCTTTGTTGCTTAGTGAGTGATTTTGAACTATTGGAATAAAAAACTGAGAGAATTCCTAACTTAGTTACTAGTGTTTTTATTTACTGCACCTAAAACTAGAAGAATGACGTGTAGGGCTCTGGACTACTGACAGGCGACCCTGTGGTAGGGCCAAGCAGGGTTAGACTGTCAGAGGGTCTGACCTCCTATTCCATCAGCCCTGAGGCTTGTGACCTCTGAAGAGATGAGTCACTCTGCTGGCTCTTGAACCTTCTCCATATCCCTGCTTCCCTTTTCATTGTCTTAGTAACTGTTGTTGTTTTTTTTTTTAAAGACAGAGTTTCCCTCTTGTTGCCCAGGCTGGAGTGCAGTGGCACTATCTGATCTCAGCTCACTGCAACCCCCTGCTCCCGGGTTCAAGCGATTCTCCTGCCTCAGCCTCCCAAGTAGCTGGGATTACAGGCACGCACCACCACACCTGGCTAATTTTTGTATTTTTAGTAGAGACGGGGTTTTACCATGTTGGTCAGGCTGGTCTCGAACTCCTGACGTCAGGTGATCCACCCGCATTGGCCTCCCAAAGTGCTTGGATTATAGGCGTGAGCCACCGTGCCTGGCCTTAGTGACTGTTCTGGAGTTACAGAGGTGGTGCGCTGCCCTGCCCCCCTTCCTTCCATTTCAGAACTTCCAGTGATGGTCTGAAGTTTCTACTGCCTTCAGTGCCTCATCACAGTATGAATACAGTGCCCATCCTTCTGATGACCACTTCTCACCACTGTCGTGAGTGGGCATGTATTTTCCTAGGACCATTGCCACCTTCTGAAACCTTAGGCCCCCTCCTCCTCCTCCCAGACTGCCTATTTTGCTGCCTTTTTTGTGAAGCTTGTTGTCTTGATTTCCTCCCCAATTGAATGGGATTTCTCTGTTTCCTTTGATTCCCCCCTTAACAGGTGTGCTCTCTCTTGGAACTTTTTGTGAGTTAGTCTCTCGCCCCCAAATCTCATTGGACTGTAAGCTTTTAAGGGCAGAATTCTATTTACTTTTCCTTTCTGGTCCCAGGAAACATCTTAATATTTAGTTTCTCACACACAATGGGAATGAAACAGACATTTAAAAATGACAAATTTTAGCTTTTTTTTTTGTTGGAGAAGCAAAAATGTATTCTTTCATATAATGTCTTCCTTACATCACTTCAACGTTCCTCTATAAGTTATCTCCTTATGGTGATGATGGTGATGCCAGAGGTTCTCATCTGGCTTGACATGTTTTTCTAGTGCATCCTTTTAAATTACTAGGTCCTTAAATTAAATGATCTGGTTCACTGCTGTCATTGTACTAAACTGACCCTAAACCAATCCTTGCTGTTCCTAAATTTAGAAACAGAAAGAACCTTCACAGCATTCCAGCCTTTCTGCCACTGAAGTCTACTGACAGAAAAACCAAATTTCAAGAATTTTTTAAAATACAAAAACTTTTAAGTGGGTAGACATATCACTGTTAACTCAGTAGTGGACTGTTGGCAGTAAAATGTGTACTACAGCTTGCAAATGACCCTAAGTGTGGTGCCTCCAGTATCTTAGTCTCATCTGTAATACAGATAAACATGAACTTTTTCTGCAGTTCTGTATAGTATTGCTTATCTAAATAACCAGTTATTCCCATAAAGTGAGTAGTTGCTGAGGAAGTCAGTATAGTAGAGTGCGTAAGTGCTTCGGTTTGCCGGTCACACTGCCTGGGTGGAGTTCTGCCTTCAGTGCTTACCAACTTTATCACTTGGGCAGTTGACCTCCTGTGCTGCTCTTTACTCGTGTGAAGAATGTAAATAGTAACTCTTATAGGTTGTTGTGAGAATTGAACAAAACATAAAATGTGTTCTAGAGTAGCGTTTGCTGTGTAGGAAGTGTTTTATAAATGGTAGCTATTATTATCATTACTTTGGTGAAGTACAGATTATATATAGAAAGCAGAAAATAGAAGGCTGACATTTTTTGAGTTGGTTAAAATTTGATAGCTAGGAAGACGTAAGGTTGAGGGTGAAATCCCAGCAGGACCTATTGTAACCTTTTTTTTTTTTTTTTTTTTTTTTTGTGATGGAGTCTCACTCTGTTGCCCAGGCTGGAGTGCAGTGGCACGATCTTGGCTCACTGCAACCTCCGCCTCCCGGGTTCAAGCTATTCTCCTGCCTCAGCCTCCTGAGTAGCTGGGACTACAGGCACGTGTCACCATGCCCGGCTAATTTTTTGTATTTTTAGTAGAGACGGGGTTTCACCGTGTTAGCCAGGATGGCCTCAATCTCCTGACCTCCTGATCCGCCTGCCTTGGCACTCCCAAAGTGCTGAGATTACAGACGTGAGCCACCGCGCTCGGCCATAAGCTTTTTACATGGGATCAATTGCCACTGCCACCAGAAAGGCTGTCACAGTGTTGAGTTGGGGTATCTTTCTGTCAAGTTTGAATCCAACCTTCCTCCACTTGTGAATGAAGTTCTTAATCTTCATGCCTCAGTTTCCTCATTTGTAAGTTGGTGCAATAATGATCAAGGGTTGTTATGAGAGCTACATAAATTAATAATACATGGTAAGGTGCCTAAAGAACAGTACCTAGCGCATAGTATTCAGGAAAAGTCACTGTTTATAATTACAGTAGTTTATTCAGCCTAGCACTTGTACTCCACCAGGTATTGTGCTAGGCTTCTTGTTATTTCCTTCTTTTAAAACAATATTATTATTATTTTTTGGCCAGGTGTGGTGGCTCACGCCTGTAATCCCAGCACTTTGGGAGTCCAAGGCGGGTGAATCACCTGAGGTCAGGAGTTTGAGACCAGCTACTAAAAATACAAAAGTCAGCTGGGTGTGGTGGTGCATGCCTGTAATCTCAGCTACTTGGGAGGCTGAGACGGGAGAATCATTTGAACCCAGGAGGTGGAGGTTGCAGTGAGCTGGGATTGTGCCACTGCACTCCAGCCTGGGCAACAAAGAGTGAAACTCTGTCTCAAAAAAAAAAAAAAAAAAAAGTTTTTGAAAAATAGAAATGGGATCTTGCTATATCGACCAGGCTGGTATTGAACTCCTGGCCTCAAGCAGTCCTCTCATATTGGCCTCCCAGAGTGCTGAGATTACAGGCATGAGCCACTGGGCCCAGCCCATTATTTTATTCTTACAGTAGCCTTTCATGGTGTAAGTATCATCAACATTTTACAGGTCAGGAAATGGAGACCCAGAGAGGTAGAGGACCCTACCTTGTTTGAGGTTGTACAGCTTGTGTGGCAAATGTTTAACAGACCCCACCATTTTGTTTTTTGTTTTTTGTTTTTTTTTTGATGGAATCTCGCTCTGTGGCCCAGGTTGGAGTAGGGTGGTGAGATCTGAGTTCACTGCAACCTCCGCCTCCCAGGTTCAAGCGATTCTCCTGCCTCCGCCTCCCAAGTAGTTGGGACTACAGGTGTACCGCACCATGCCACGCCTGGCTAATATTTGTATTTTTAGTACAGACAGGGTTTCATCATGTTGGCCAGGCTAGTTTCGAACTCCCGACCTCAGGTGATCCGCCTGCCTCAGCCTCCCAAAGGGCTGGGATTACAGGGTGAGCCACAGTGCTGGCTCCCACTGGTTTTTACAGATGGGCGCCACTGTGGGTCTGTCACATGCATGCATCTGGTCCCCAGGGAGGGGCAGCAGGTAGAGTACAGCTCATCCTGATGGCTGGGACCTCTGTCACGTCCCCAGAAGTGGGCAGGGCAGGCCCTCAGTGGAGGGGAGAGGACTCACTCTCCTCAGTGGTGTGCCTGACCATCCAGAGGCCTTTCCTGCACAAGGCATCAGCCTTATTGACTGTAGAGGGCAGTGATTAGAGGTGAGAAATTTAGCTTAAGGGATTGCCCAGACATGACATCTCAATTTTCCTCTGTAAAAATACTCTTCCAGACTCGTGGTAATGAAAATATTTTCATTGTAGTCTTAGCAGGTTATTTGTTTGACAAGCAGATTATAAAGCTGAGTAAAAGCAAAACTGACCAGGATGATGATATTTTGAAAACTGACTCAGTGATGTAAACAGTGCTTCTACCTGGTCCCCATGGATGCAGTATTAAACTGGAAATTAAGTCCTTAAAAGTCCTTAACCTTCGTGGGTTAAAGTGTTCTTTATCAGGAACAGTTTTTTTTTCCCCTAAATGTTAAGCTTGTAATGATTCTGTGATGCTGCAGAATTACAGCATTACTTGTAGACTTAGTAGCATATAGCAAAAAATTTATCTTAAATTTACTCCTGTGTTTCTTCGTAGGAGGAATAAACAGTGAATGGGAACCAGTATTTTTCAAAAATTTTTTTGGTTAATGAAGAACTAGGTATTACGATTTCTTTGTCTGATATCTAATACTTTGTTTCAGGCAATAAAGAACAATGCCATATGCCTTACCAGGTAGATTTTTATATAAATGATTGCTTATGAATTGTAAATGATATGAGTTGGGTTTAGAGGTTTAGATTTTAATGAATGATGCTAAATTGATGTTGAAATTGTAGAGGGTTGTTTGTTTTGTTTTTAAAAATTGGGGCTGGACACGGTGGCTCATGTCTGTAATCCCAGCACTTTGGGAGGCTGAGGTGGGTGGATCCATGAGGTCAGGAGTTCGAGACCAGCCTGGCCAACATGGTGAAACCCTATCTCTACTAAAAATACAAAAATTAGCTGGGCGGGGTGGTGGGCACCTGTAATCCCAGCTACTCGGGGCTGAGGAAGGAGAATTGCTTGAGCCCAGGAGGTGGAGGTTGCAGTAAGCTGAGATTGCGCCACTGCGCTCCAGCCTGGGCGACAGAGCAAGACTCCGTCTAAAAAAAAAAAAAAAGTACTAAAGCCACCTTTGTTGCTTTCTTTTTTTGTTGTTGTCGAGACAGGGTCTTGCCCTGCTGCCCAGGCTGGAATGCAGTGGCATGATGATGGCTCACTACAGCCTTGGCCTCCCAGGCTGAAGTGATTGCCCTGCCTTAAGCCTCCCAGGTGCTTATTTTTAAATTTTTTTTGTAGAAATGGGGTCTGTGTTGCCCTAGCTCACTTTTCTTACTAATACACTTGGAGTGACTTAAATTGTGTGTATTCTGCAGCTTCTTAGGTTTGTGTTTAGTTTATTGAATGTGGGAGTGTTCATTTGTTAATGCCTAAGTGAGATTTGATACTGTCTATACAGCAAGGTGTAATAATTACATTTTCTTGTATGCAGTTGTGTGGATATGAACCAGTTAAATTGTTGAGTTCTCTATTGCAGATTAGTCCAACACAAAGCAAGGCTTTTTGGTATCATTGGGAAAAACTAAAGGGAATTTGTCGTGGGCAGTTTTATTAGCAAAGGGAAACTTCTTTACATTTTACTGTAAAATCACACAGTCCTGGTACCCTGTCATATACCTGTCATGTGGGCTAACAGTTTGATGTTGAAGAACTGTTGTCAGTTACTAGATTGTAAAGTGCCTCATCCAGAGAATAGGTATGAAACTTCCCATAATTCAGTTTCCAACCCTGATAGTGAGTGCTTTACTAGGTACAGTAATTCATAAGTTTATTTTGATGAACCTGGGTGCTTGGCAAAATAGGAATAGCATGCATTTCTACTGATGTGTGCCTTTGGTGAGGAAAGTTGAGTTTCTATACTTGAGCATAAGGAGTCTTGGGAATTCTTTCCTTGGCCATTTATAAAGTTACTGTGACTATGTATCTTTTAGTATGAAATGGATAAAGAAATCTACATTCTATTTTTAATAATAGCTTTATTGAGATCTAATTCACATAACAGTTTACCCACTTAAAGAGTACAATTCAATAGTTTTTAGTGTATTTGCAAGAGTTTGGGCAACTATCACCACAATTTTCATTTTTATCATCCCTAAAGAAATCTACTACCAGTCACTCCCCATTCTTCCCATATCTCCCTAACCTGCATTTACTCTCTGTGTTTATGGATTTGCCTGTTGTGAACATTTTGTATAAATGGTATCATTTTACAATATGTGATCTCCTTTGACTGGCTTCTTTGACTTAGCATAACATTTTCGAGGTTTATTCCCGTGGTAGCATGTATCAGTATCATTCCTTTTTATTACCAATTAATATGCCATTGTATGGAAATAGTATATTTTATCCATTTATCAGTTGATTTTAAATAATTTCAAAACCTCCCCACATTTCAAAATTATTGCTGTTATTAATAATGTTTTGATTATTCATGTATAGTTTTTTTATGTGCATATATGTATGTTTCATTTCTCTTGGTTTGGGTATATACCTAGGAATGAAATGGCTTGGGCCATAAGAACTGTTTGTTCGACCTTTTGAGGAACTGTCAAACTGCTGAAAAGTGGCTGCACCATTTTACATTCCTACCATGAAAGGTATGAGTATTCTCATCTCTCTACAACCTTGATGACACTTGTTATTGTCTTGTTTATTTTAGCCGTTCTAGTGGGTGTGAAGTGGTATCACTGTAATTTTGTTTTCCATTTTTCTGATGCTAAATAATGTTAAGCATCTTTTTATATGCTTATTGGCTATTTGTATATCTTCTTTGGAGAGATATCTACTCAGATCCTTCGCCCTTTTTTTTTCTTTTCCTTTTTTTTTTTTTTTGAGATGGAGTTTCACTCTTTTGCAATGGCACAACTTCAGCTCGGATTCAAGTGATTCTCCTGCCTCAGCCTCCCAAGTAGCTGGGATTACAGGCATGCACCACTATGCCCAGCTAATTTTTTTTTATTTTTAGTAGAGACAGGGTTTCACCATGTTGGCCAGGCTGGTCTTGAACTCCTGACATCAGGTAGTCTGCCTGCCTCAGCCTCCCAAAGTGCTGGGATTACAGGCATGAGCCACTGTGCCCGGCTCTTTTTTTTTCTTTTCTTTTTTTGAAATGGAGTCTTGCTCTGTCGCTCAGGCTGTAGTACAATGGCACTATCTCAGCTCACTGCAACCTCCGCCTCCCGGGCTCAAGAGATATTCGTGCCTCAGCCTCCCAAGTAGCTAGGATTACGGGTGCCCACCACCACCCCTGGCTAATTTTTGTGTTTTTAGTGGAGATGGGGTTTTGCCATGTTGTCCAGGCTGGTCTCGAACTCCGGGGCTCAAGTGGTCCCTTTGCCCATTGTTAAATTGTGTTATTTGTCCTTTTAGTACTGAGTTTTAAGAATTCTTCATATATTCTAGGTACTAATCCCTTATATATATGATTTACAAATAATTGCTCCCATTCTGTGGGGTTTTTGTGTTTTGTTTTTGAGACGGAGTCTCGCTGTGTCACCCAGGCTGGAGTGCAGTGGCGTGATACTGGCTCACTGCTACCTCTGCCTCCCAGGTTCAAGCTATTCTCCTGTCTCAGCCTCCTGAGTAGCTGGGACTACAGGCATGTGCCACCACACCTGGCTAATTTTTTGTATTTTTAGTAGAGATGGGGTTTCACTGTGTTAGCCAGGATGGTCTCCATCTCCTGACCTCGTGATCCACCTGCCATGGCCTCCCAAAGTGCTGGGATTACAGTCATGAGCCACCATGCCCTGCTGGGTTTTTTCATTTTTTTTGGAGGTAGTGTCCTATTTTTTTAAAATTTGTGGTAAAATATACATAAAATACACTATCTTAACCGTTTTAAAACGTACTGTTCCGTGACATTAAGTACTTTCATTTTGTTATGCCAACCCATTGTAATCACCATCCATCTTCAGAACTCTTTTCATCTTGCAAAACTGTAACTTTGTGTCTGTTAAACAATAACTTCGCATTTCCTCCTTCTTCAGGCTTTTGACAGCCACCATTCTACTTTCTGTCTCTATGAATTTGACTACTTTAGGTCCTTTATAGGAGTGGAATCCTATTTTGTGACTGGTTTATTTCACTTAGCACAATGTCTTCAAGGTCCATCCATGTTGTAACTTGTGTCCTACTCTATTCTATGTATATATCACATTTTGTTTATCCATTCATCCCTCAATGGACACCTTTTGGGTGTTGTGAATAGTACTGCTGTGAATATGGATGTACAAACGGTGGTGTCCTTTGAAGCAAAAATGTTCTTAATTTTGATGAAGTCCAAAGTATCTATTTTTTTTTCTTTTGTAGCTTGTGCTTTTGGTGTCATGTCTAAGAAACCATTGCCTAATCCAAGATCGGAAAGATTTATCCCTATGTTTTCTTCTAAGAGTTTAATGTATTAGTTCTTACATTTAGGTCTTTGATTCTTTTGAGTTGATTTTGGTATATGCCATGAGGTCACAGTCATAGTTTATGGAATGCGGCCCTAAACTTAAGCTCTAGTTGTTGGTCTGCTTTGGTTATGCTGAAAAGTTGCAGCATAAATACTTTTCGCAGGGATCCCTCCTCCACAATGCTGCCACTCCACCCTGCAGGACTCTAAGTCCAGCCTCTCTTGGCCCTGAATGATTGAGAACTCTGGAACAAAGACCTTGGCAATAATGTTTTTATATCCATTTCATTTTTCCTCATTGGTCATAACGGCTTTATTCTTTCTCACTTATCCACCCCACAACATAATTTATGTTAGGTGGAAAATTGCCCCTAACTTTAGTAAGCCTCTTTGGGGTGGGAAAATCCTCACCTGTATGGAGGCATTGCCCCTTGATTCTTGGTTTCTGAACCACATTCCTGCAGAGTGGTGCCCTGCGGGAATCTTGGTATTATACTTTAAGGCAACTTCCTTCCCATTTAAGAAATTAAAAAGATTTAGACAAAGAAAAATGACAGAGTGGTGTTGAGGAGTGGTGTTGGCAAAGCTTGTAGTCTTCACAGTATGGGAAGGGAAAAATAGTTTTAGGCTCTTTCCCTATTTGCCAGGCCAGTCATTAAGTGACAAGCTTTTCCTGGTTTTTCCTTTTTTTTTTTTGAGAAGTTTTGCTCCCACGCCCAGTCTGGAGTGCAGTGGCGCGATCTCGGCCCACCCCAACCTCCACCTCTTGGGTTCAAGCAATTATCCTGCCTCAGCCTTCCGAGTAGCTGGGATTACAGGCGCGCGCCACTGCACCTGGCTACATTTTTGTATTTTTAGTGGACACGGGGTTTCACCATGTTGGCCAGGCTGGTCTTCAACTCCTGACCTCAGGTAATCTGCCACCTTGGCCTCCCAGCATGCTAGGATTACAGGCGTGAGCTACTGCACCAGGCTGGTTTTTCCATGTTGACAAATGATTTTTGCTTTTCAGTGGGAACAAAAAGAAGAACAAAAGCAAACAGCCCCAGACTGTTTAGAAGGATCCCCTTGGCTTGCCCTGTGTGTAAACGACACCGAGATTTTCTGTATAATCAGAGATTCTCAAGAGTTTCAGTTCCCCTTGCTGTTTAAATTAGCAGGACTTGAATTCCTAGAACAAATATGCCTAGCATTGTGGCAGGACTGGAGTTCCTGGTTTAGCTACTTATATTTTAAACCTCCTTCCCTTATTTTTTGGACATAGAAAGGTAGAAGATATAATACTATCAATTTTTTTGAAGTGGTGGGCATTATTTTGTAAATTAAAAATGTTAGATGTAATGTAGTTAAAGGTTCTTATCACTTGACTGCTGAGCACAAGAAAAGCCCAAACCAGGCTACTTGTTGTAGGTCCTCTGGTTTCAGAATGATTTATGCTCACTTTACTAGCACATATTTAGTTGCCTTGAACCTTCTCAACTGTAGCTTCCTCTTACAGAACACAGTGCCCCACAAGGAGACTTTGAATCTGTGATCTCCTCCCAGGTTTTAGCCGAAGCCCACAACCCACTGAGCATGTGAAGCAAGGGCCATTGGTGGATGGGTCTTATGTCCATATGCAGGTTGAATATTCCTAATCTGAAAATCTAAAATCCTAAATGCTCCAAAATCTGAAACTTCTTGAGTGGCAACATGATGCTCAAAGGAAATGCTCAGTGGAGGGTTTTGGATTTTTGGATTAGGGATGCTTAACTGGTAAGTTTAATGCAAATGTTCCAAAATCTGAAAAAATCCAAAGTCCAAAATGCTTCTGGTTCCAATCATTTTGGATAAGGGATAGTCAGTCTGCACTTGATATACCTCTAGAGGCTGTGAAATCTTAGGCAGTTCAAAAGTCATGTTGTTTGGCTGGGTGCAGTGGCTCACGCCTGTAATCCCAGCACCTTGGGAGGCCGAGGCGGGCAGATCACCTGAGGTTGGGAGTTCGAGACCAGCCTGACCAACATGGAGAAACCCCATCTCTACTAAAAATACAAAATTAGCTGGGCGTGGTGGCGCATGCCTGTAATCCCAGCTACTCGGGAGGCTGAGGCAGGAGAATAGCTTGAACCCGGGAGGCGGAGGTTGCAGTGGGCCGAGATTGCACCACTGCACTCCAGCCTGGGCAACAAGAGTGAAACTCTGTCTGAAAAAAAAAAAAAAAGTCATGTTGTTTTAACTATTCATTGCCATTTGTTGGTTGGGCCTCTTCAACCATTGTGATCCAATCCTAGTTCAATCCCTTGTTGAATTCAAGTATTGAGGTCTTAGGATGAATGAACAAGGCTTTGGGCTGGCACATAAAGGTGGGACACCCACAGGTCCTGCTCTTTGGGAGTTTGGGTAAGTGTATTTTATTCCCGAGATGCACTTGTAAAAATATACATGGTAGGCCATAGGTGGTCTCACAGTTTGTCTGTAGTAGTACAGTTACTGTTTGATTCAGGGGAGTGAGAGGTGAGTCTGTTTCAGAGCAGGTGCCTGGGGGACAACCTGGAGAGGAAGGTTGAGCCTGCAGGGCTTTGGATGTGTGAAGGTAATGATTCCCAGTAGTGTTTTGTATTATTTCAAAGTACTTCTATACCATTGTTACCTCCCACCAGGTCTCATCTGCTTCTGTCAGTAGGTTGGCCATGTCCCCATTTCACAGATGAGGAAACTTGGCTTTGAGAGTGTGGCTTGGTGCAACTGAGATTTGGGTCTAGATCGTATGAGTCGATTCCACTATACATTTTCTAGGAAGTGGTAGTAGCGTGAACAAAAAAGCTGAAGAGGACGGACTCAGGTAGCATGGTGAGTTCTTTGGGACTGGGGAGGGGAAGGGTGAAAAGTGCAGAAAGGGATGAGGGGGTTGTACAGTGACAAGGTTTGTCCAGACAAGTTGCGAGAGTGCCCGGGAAGACTGAAACCCTCACGGGGTGTGTGTGTGTGTGTGTGTGTGTGTGTGTGTGTAAACAGCTCTTTTGAGGAATAGCTGATGTATAATCTGCACATATTTAGAATGTACAGTTTGGTAAGTTTTGACATGGGTATGCTTGTGAAACATCACCACGCTCGAGAACGAACATTATTCATCACCCTGAAAAGTTTACTCCTGCCCCCAAGAAGGGCTTTTTAAAAAAAATTTTTTATTTTGAAATTTTTTCAAGTGGTAAGTTTGAAGAATAAAAAAAAACTTTTATGTACCCGTTACCCAGATTCACCAGTTTTTGACATTTTGATAATTTGCTTGCATCCTTTATGTATGTATATATGTATACATGTGTATATGTCTGTATTTGTAGGTACATAGATTTGTGCACACACACACGGTTCCCCTGCCAACCCAGTCAAGGGTAGCTTTTATGAGTGATGCTGCTGTATTCCTTAATGCTTCAATGTGTATTTCCAGAGAACAAGAATAGTCTATTATGGATCTGTAGTACAGCATTCACATTCAGGAAAGTTACTGTTGTTTGTTTGTTTTTTTTTTTTTTTAGCCGGAGTATCACTCTGTTGCCCAGGCTGGAGTGCAATGGCGCGATCTTGGCTCACTGCAACCTCTGCCTCCCGGGTTCAAGCGATTCTCCTGTCTCAGCTTCCCGAGTAGCTGGGATTACAGACGCCTGCCACCATGCCTGGCTAATTTTGGTGTTTTTAGTAGAGATGGGGTTTCACCATGCTGGCCAGGCTGGTCTCGAACTCCCGACCTCAGATGACCTGCCCACCTTGGCTTCCCAAAGTGCTGGGATTACAGGCATGAGCCACCACGCTTGGCCAGGAAAGTTATTGTTAATACAGTATTTTTTATTTCATGTTCCAGTTTTGTCAGTCTCCTAATAATCTCCTTAGTAGCAAGGACATTTTTCTCCTCATACAGAATCCAGTACAGGGTTATACAGTGCATTTGAGCATTACCTTTCTTGAGTTACCTTTGCTTTGAACATTTCCTCAGCATTTCTCAGTCTTTCATGCCATTGACACCTTGGAAGAAGCCAGACCAACTATTTTTAAAGTGTCCAAGGGTTTTGAGGTTTTAGCAGGTGTGTGAATGTGATCTATCTGGGTTTGGGAAAAATGAACAGTTGTGAGTGAGGTGGATACAGGTGGTGGGGAGGAAGTTGGAGGCAGTGGACTTTGTGCTCTGATTCCCACAGGCTTAGGTTGGTGGAAGCCGTGGTTGGGGGAATTGTTGGTAAAATTGCTTGGATAGGGATGGACCTGGAAAAGAAGCAAAGGTGATTGCAGTGTTCTAATGCTTGTGTTCTGGAAAATTAAATAAAGAGCAGGGAGGTTTAAAGATAAAACTGGGAAAGGGCTGTTGTATGTCCAGGAATTGTTATGCATACATTTCTTCTTTCTGCACACTGTGATAGCCCTGATGGTAACTACTTAGAAAAAGGTTGTGAAATTTTAGGAGTTTGGGACCCAGTGGCCAGACTGAAATTCAGTGCATGTAGGGCAGTTGCCAATAAAGTCACCCTTGGGTACTTGTTCATAGCTTTAGATGGAGGAATGTTTGTTCTCTAGCTTTAAGGAATTGAGACTGGTATCATCGGGGCAGTGTCTGATGGACCTAGTTTAGGGAAGTTCATGGGCCAGTGTCTTTGCAAGTGAAACTAGGCATCTTTCCCCAATGAGAGAGCATATGGAGACGTTCACTTTAAGGACGGGTTTTGAAAGGGGAGGTATTGGTGGAACTTACCAACTTTGTTATGTAGCCTAGTTATCATTTCTGTAGGTGTGTAACAGTTTATCAAGTGCAAGGAGTTACCTCTGAATCTTCTATATAGGAAAGAAAATTTAGGCATGTTTAGTAACATGCAGTAACCTCTGGAATGCAAAAATGCATCTATACTTTCTTTTATGAAGTCTGACTAGAGAACATTTCAGTGTGGGGCATGAGCTGTCTCACCAGCAGGACAGCTTTAGAGGTCATTAGGCTTTCAGTGTTGTAAACTGTTTATCACTTATTTTAAAACATCACAACTGCCTGAGACCAGTGCCTTACTTGGTTGCTTTGTCAGGAGACTTGTGAATATTGAATCCTTTTAAGCTTTTACAATGTTTTGAGAAGTGGAATTAGTTAAAAATATATCCTCTTATCAGAATGTCTGCTGGCTAGGATTTGTTATTCTGTTGTTCTATTTAAATAGAATATGTCATATATTAGATGTTTTCTTAAATAGCCTTAGGTTTTAAATAAAAAGTAAGGCTGGGCATGGTGGTTCACACCTGTAATCCCAGCACTTTGGGAGGCTGAGGTGGGAGGTTGGCTTGATCCAGGAGTTCATGACCAGCCTGGGCAACATAGCAAGACCTTGACTCAAAAAATAAATAAAATAAGATAAAATAAAATGTAGTGAAGACAAAGATGACTTTATCCTGGTCCCTGGTCAGGGACCTGGTTCATAATTTAAAACTCTTTTGTTTGAATTTAAGAATCTATAAAGTAGGATTGATAAACTATACTGCCTTGGATTGCTTTTGAAAATGTGTGTGCCAAGGCCTGCTTTCACATGGTAAGAGGAAAGTCATTACCTATCATATGCCATGTTTTCCTCTGACTTATACCTAAAATATTTTAGAGTGCTTATTGCCTTATGTAAAATTACAAGATCATATAATCACATTCCCACCCTGTGGAAAATTAAACTTTTTTTTTTTTTTTAAAGTGAAAGCAAGTTTATTAAAATAAAGGAATAAAGAATGACTACTCCAAAGGCAGAGCAGCCTAGACTCTCTTTGTAATTGAGTCTAAGCTAATAACGGATTATTGTAAAAAAAACCTCTGTTTTATAGCAGAATTTTCTACCGGGCCACATACGAATTTTCTGCTCTTGCTGTCTTCAGTGTTAACAGTGGGAAATTGTGGACACTTAAACTGAGCAGTACTTAGAATTTGCTGGATATGCTGAAAAGTAATCCATCAGCATTGGAGACCACAAGCAGTATAAAATTGTTGATACCCATATTTATTTTTATTTTCTTTAGGTGGAGAAAGAGACCCTTGAGTTAGAGTTTTTGGATGATGAATTTAGTACTCAATCATTAGTATATTTGTGCATGTCATATTCTAGGTCACAATAAATTATCAACATGCCACATTTGTGGTAGTTAGATAATGCTTTTATTTCCTCTTTTTTCCCCACGTTGAATCCAGATTAACATAATATGTTAATTTGTGTTTTTCTCAACTGAGTGTGGTAATTCCATTGCATTAAAGTGTTAGGGACTTTTGTCTTCACTAATAATCCACTTAATCTCTCACAATAAAAAGTACTTTCATTTCTACTGACTTACATTTATCCAATCAAAACTTTTTATATTACTAGACTTTTTGTTACTTTTACCTAGCATCCAAAACCATGTTTTATGATTGGTTGGCAAAGAGCTGTAGAAAACAGATTTTAATATTGCAATGTATATTGTTAAATTTTCTATCTGATGGATTTCCAGAAATATTCTGTGTTATATACATAAAAAACTATATGCATAATTCCCAGTGAGACAGTTATTTTCATTACTCGAAATACTCTCCTTGAAAATTGTAATTCCATGTTCCATTACATGCTTACCAAAAATGATTCCAGGTTGGGGGAGTGGTTGATTCCATATACTCTCAAAATTTCCAAAAAAATAATTTGAGTGGACTTGATAAACTTTAAAAAGTATTAAATTCCTATGCAGTGTCATCTGTCACCTCCCCCCGCCAAGTTGCCTGGCTAGCTACCATTTAGTTTATGATGAGATGAGTGCTCTGGCCCTGGGGTTCCCACCCCACCCCCTTTAGTCAGAGTGCTGTTCTTATCATGTGGTATGAATCAGAACTGATCACTTACAACACATGTTATAAGTGATTGGATGAGATAGGCAAGCACAATTTTTAGATGTTATAAAGCAAAGCATTGCTGCAATTTCTGGGTAAGTTTTCATGAAACTCCTGTAGTAACATATTTCTCTTTGCTCTTAGGAATGTCCTGAGTGATCTTTTTTTTTTTTTTTTTTTTTTAAGCAGTATTAGTTTTTAAGAGCTTTGATCACATTCCTGGCCTGTTTTCTGTTGGTGGTACTATCAGGCTATGAGATGATAATAGTCCCCAGGTGCATGAAATCTTAGAATTGGGATTAGGCCACATATCTCCTTTTGGCTTCTTCTGCAGAGGGTCGTCTAGGCTTTGTTTATCTCCAGAGATTAGGAGTCTTTTATTTCTTATTTTTATTTATTGAGACAATCTCATGCTGTCACCCAGGCTGAAGAGCAGTGGTTTGATCACAGCTCATTACAGCCTCAAACTCCTGGGCTCAAGCCATCCTCCCACCTCAGCTTCCCAAGTAGCTGGGACTACAGGCGTGCGCCACCGTGCCTGGCTAATTAAAAAAAAAAAAAATTTTTTTTTTTTTTTTTAAGAGATGGTGTCTCACTTTGTTGCCCAGGCTGGTCTCAAACTCCTCCTGCCTCAGCTTCCCAAAGTGTTGGGATTACAGGCGTGAGCCACCATGCCTGGCCTGGGGAACTTCTTGACCATGGTCCCCAGAACTGGACCCCTTTCTCATTATGGGATGCGCTCTGATTTATCAATGTCCTTCTTAAAGTGTGTTAATAAAGAACTCATCTAGTTCTCCAGATATAGTGTGGCCAGTTTTGAGTGTAGTGAGACTTTAATTTCCTGTGATCTGGAAATTGTACATTTGTTAATGCAGCCTAAGACTACCACACCTTTTTGTCACTTACAGTGGTTCATATGACACAGTCAGCAAACATTTCTGTGCCTGCCTCCAAACACATTTCCCCATTAAAAAGAAAAAAAACTGTTGAACTTCCAATTTTATGTTGATTTTCAAACCCAGCATTCTAACTTGTCAGTGTAATTTAATTCTGTTGTTGATTTTATTGCTTATTTTATTTCTTGTTGTTGGCAAGTTTACCGATCTGTCTTCTGGGTTGTCGTGTGATACACACAGACGTAAATGCAGAGGAAAAAAGTTGATTTTCATAATAGTCAGCAACAGTAATAACTAATGCCCCACACGGACCCCCGTGTCACTTTTGGAAAAAAAAAGCCTGTGTTCATAGAGCAGCCTTACCAAGGGATAAATGTTTTATGGCCTGGAGCGAAATGCATCTCAATATAATGGCTGTGTTATTTTTTAGAAGCCAGTTTTGTTTTTCTTTCCCCTTTAACTGTATTCCTTTTTTTTTTTTAAACATTCCCATTGGATAACTTAGAGAAAGGTGAATAAATGCAAATCAGGTGGTTTTGTTTTGATTTAATAGTACCTTTGATAAAAGGAATTGATTCTGCTGAGAATTTGGCTGTATAAGTGTGTTGCCATAGCAGACTTGCAGTCATGAAATGATTGGCATGGGCTTAAACCTTTGAATCACACCCTGGAAGCAGATAATACCTTAAGGAATCTCTTGTCTGGAGTTGTTTCTTACTTACAGAGCAGGACACTCTTCTTCTTCCACGCTTACTTATAGTGATCCTTAGGGAATGAGCAAAATAGGAGTAAACTTGGAAAATAATTTTTAGGGGATTGGAATCTGAGGAATAATGATAAAAAATAGTTTAACTTTGAAAAACCATTTTATGCCAGGCATAGAGCTGTGTGTTTTCTGTGTACTATCTCATCATGACAAGCCTGAAGCAAGTCATTATTGGCCCCATTTTGCACAGGCTCAGGCAATGGTGGAATTATGTCAAGCAGGCAGGAGGCTTGGTGATTTTTGTTTGGATTTTCTTTGGCTTGGGAAAGACAGATTTGCCTTTTGCTAGAAAAGAAACTCCTTCAGTGAGCTATCATTTCAAAGTTGATGTCTCAGAATGTTGTGGAGATGCAGCCAGTTCACCTGAAGGTAGTGGTGGTGGTTAAATAAACATCTCTGTAAGTCTAGCTCTTCCTACAGTTGTGAAATCTGAGATTTTTTGGTTTGTTTGTTTTAATGTTTATTGGTAGAAATAGATCATCAATGCATACTTTGTATTTATATAAACTGCATTCTCTTAAAGGTTTTTGTTTTCATTGGAAATATTTAGCCTCCAAGTGAACTTAAAGTATTATCTATGCAATCGATTCTTTATAGACTTTTTTTAGATTTTAACACTAAATTTGAGAAACCATGCATATTGTATACCTTATTTAATAATCCAAAGAATTGTTTGCACTTTCAAAAAAGTTACAGAAAGGCTGAACACAAGTTAAATAACCTGTATGTCCTAAATTTTCCATTACTGAATAAATACTTGTTCAGTATTATATATTGCTTGCTTTCTAATAAGTCAGATTGTCAGAGATGTTTCAGTAAATTATCTCTATATTAAAATTATATCCGAATCCCTTTTCTCTCTGAGATGATCTTGCCAGTATTAAACATTGTGCCATACGCAGTATTAGCCCAAAAGCTTAAATAAGAACCAAACTTGTACACTGAATATTTTAACCTTAGAATTATATAACTATACATATATGATATGCTGTATATTAAATTTAACATTTCAAATAACATGTATAGCACACATTCAGCCACATACTCTCATGAAAAGGTATTATTCGTAAAAAGTTAATGAAAAGCTTATTTAGATAGAAATGTCTAGACATAAATACTAAGCCTATGAAACTTGAAAGTAAAGTCTGCTGTGCTATTAAGGAAAAGAAGATTGGTTTTTAACCTATTGAATTGTGCAGATACAAAAGTGCTTAGCATGAGAAAATTACCAAAATAAAAACATTTTAGAGGTTATTTGGTTCTAGCAATGTTAATTATTTTGTGTTTCTGGATAATTTAATGTTTGTATTTTAAATGTTATATAAATTTCCTCTTTATAACAAGTTTTAAAAAGCACGCAAAAATAGTTCAAACTATATATAATCTGTTATTTTTCATCCTAGTTAGCTCATCACAAGTAACTCAGCAAAACAATGCTTGAACATTCAGTTCTACTAAAATACAATATTTGAGTAGATCCCATCACTTTTACCCATTGTTTGCTATGTTGGACCCTAAAACAGGCTGCTGACAGATCGGACAAGTGAAATTCTCTGAGAGCCATCGGTCAGTACAATGAATATGAAATTCATGCCTGCAAGGTAATTGCCTGAGCTTGTTTCCAGTTATGTGGTCACTGATACAAACACTACAGATTTTACCTGGTTCACTATCAATACTGTTATGCTCTAGCGCTGGGTGGAAAGATTGTCAGTCTGCTCTTTGGTTAAATCATGTATTCAGGCGGGCGTGGTGGCTCTTGCCTGTAATCCTAGCACTTTGGGAGGCCGAGGCAGGCGGATCACCTGAGGTCAGGAGTTGAAGACCAGCCTGGCCAACATGGTGAAACCCCATGTCTACTAAAATACAAAAATCAGCCAGGCATGATGGCGGGTTCCTGTAATCCCAGCTACTCGGGAGGCTGAGATGGGAGAATAGCTTGAACCCGGGAGACGGTGATTGCAGTGAGCCAAGATCGCACCACTGCACTCCAGCCTGGGTGGCTGAGTGAGACTCCATCTCAAAAAAAAAAAAAAAAAGCAAGGGGAAGAATAGTAGTTTTCCAGTTTGACTAAATCATTTGAATTTTGCAACTACATGCTACCCCTATTGTCACTGTTTCAGGTATGAGGCTGGGTGGTCTCATTTACACCATGCATTTCAGTGCTGTCTCCTTGGGCCTGCCTGTCCCGTTCCCTGTGCTGGCTGCTGTCAGTAACTGTACCTAAGGTTACTCAGTTCTCAATGCATCTCTGGTAAATGCTGACCATTTCTCTGAAGCTCTGACTTGGAGAACCAGAGCTTCTCTCTAGTGGTTGAACCCTCCCTTAGAGTACTAGATTCTCCAGACCCAGTCATAATCTGCCTTAAGATTGACCGAAGAGCCACTGATGATGGCTCAACAAGCTCGTTCTCAGAAATCCTAGGAAGAATTATGGTACTAACATAGGTTTGAATACGTGACCGCTCTAAACGAGAAATGATTCGGCAGAAGCCCCCACTATTGCTTTGAATAGTGACTGTATGTTCTGTTAGCCCTACTCTGGATGAGTTCTGTTTGCAATACTGTCCTGATCTCTATTTTCTCCGGGATGGATCCTTCTCACTTGAAGGTCCAGTGTGATTGTTGGATGTCGTAGTACAGCAGTTGAGGATCTGCTGGATTCTTCTTCTACTGTTATTCTTGACATAAGTCTTGAATTAGAGAATGGGGTATATGCAGTACCTCTGTGTTCTCTATCTTGCTCTAAAAAGACTTGAGTTATACCTCTCCTCCTGACAGATCTTCTAGTGGTTTGCTGTACTGGTCTACTTTCCCTTTGTGAATTATGACAAACAGTGCCACTGTGTCTCTGAATTGGTGAACAGCTTCGGCTACTTATAGTAGATCTTATTGGCCCTAATCTTTGGTTTGTATTTCTCACTGTAACATTATATCTAGCCCCATTTTCCCAAACATGTGCTGCTTTAAACTGTTGTGCCTCCCTTTGCCTGAGTTAGCTGCCACCCGACTGGTTTGTGTGACTACTGAAATTAGTGCGTGAAGCACTAGCTCTGGGAATGCCAGCTGATCCCCCAGTTCCATTTTTTAATCTTCCTACTGTTGAGAAAGATCCTTCAGCTGAATTTTTCCCCCTTGAAGCAAGCCTAGTCCTTAGAATGTTGGAACTACCACCATTGAAATTCACTGAGGTTTGGCTTCTTGTTCGCCTAGCCACAGGACTAGATGACCTTTGTTGCCTATTTGTAATATGATCTCTGTTACTATCTGAAAGTGGAATGTTTGTATAATCTCCATGAATTTCAGATCCTCTATTTTCATGATTTATGTGGATTTCCAAACTAAACCGAAACTCTCCACTGTTCGAGTTTGTTCGACTCACAGCTCTCCAATTTTGATTCCCATTTTGTCCACTTTGAGTTGCATTTCCTGTGCCCCGAAAGGTGTTCAACTATGCTAGAAGAGAATATTCATTTGAACTTTCTCTGGGGACTTCTGAGTCTCTGTAATTTGTTCCATTTCTTTATTTCATTTTATTTTTTTGAGATGGAGTTTCACTCTTGCTGCCTAGGCTGGAGTGCAATGGCATGATCTCGGCTCACTGCAAACTCCGCCTCCCAGATTCAAGCGATTCTCCTGCCTCAGCCTCCTGAGTAGCTGGGATTAGGTATTACAGGCATGTGCCACCACACCCGGCTAATTTTTTATATCTGTTTAGTAGAGATGGGGTTTCACCATGTTGGCCAGGCTGGTCTTGAACTCCAGACCTCGTGATCCACCCACTCAGCCTCCCAAAGTGCTGGGATTACAGGCATGAGTCACGGTGTCCGGCCAGTTTGTTCCATTTCTCGAGTCAGGCTGAGATGCTAGTTGTTTGTTGACCCCATCTAACCACTGTTGCAGTTCTTCTGATGTTATTTCTCTAGGGGAGCCTAAAAGATTATGGTCCTCTCATAAGCCGATAATCTTCATCGAGTTCTCAGGCCTCTTCTCTGTGGAGATGCTCTTGCTGCCATCTTCTCCCATTTTCACAAATGATTACGGTCTTGAGATAAGGTTTCGTCACCACCACCATCTGATCTAGATCTAGACTGATTCATCCTGAGATTCCTGGCTTTCTTATTTTCCTTTCAATATGCTTTTAACATATGCCATGGTATCCATCCTTCAATTGTTTGTGCCTTTTTGGAGAGCTGTCCATCTCTTCCCAACTCAAATCCAGGCCTGTTGGTCTTCAGGGTTCTTAGTTTTAACTACTGTACTGTTCTTGGTTTCATAACTCTGCTGTTCAGTAAAATAACAATTATTGTCCTCTCTGCCCTCATCACTCGGCTTAGCCAAATCATCCACCAGAATACAATCCCGTTCTGTGGAACAGCTCTTGGGAGCTTGGAAGAAGAAAGATGAGTGGGTATTTTAGTATGAATTGGTGGTATTCTACATGTATATTTAAAGTTTTCAGGGCCAGGTGTCATGGCTCATGCCTATAATCCCAGCTCTTGGAGGGGAGTGTAGGGTGAGATGGGTGGATCTCTTGAGTCCAGGAGTTTGAAACCATCCTGGGCAACATGGTGAAACCCCTTCTCTACAAAAATTAGCAGGGTGTGTGGCGTATGCCTGTTGTCCCAGCTACTCTGGATGCTGAGGTGGGAGGATCACTTGAGCCTGGGAGGCGGGGTTGCAGTGAGCTGAGATTGCGCCACTGCACTCCAGCCTGGGTGACAGAGCTGGGACCGTGTCTCACCAAAAAAAAATAAAAAGTTTTCAGGTCTTGCAGTACGCTGGAAGAAATATCTAGAACGGCAGATGATGTGATTTTGGCAAGCGTGTCACATGTTGATTTCTGTTTTGCCGGTGAATGCATCAGGCCTGAGGTATGTGTGGGATCTGGACTTCTCCATTTCTTGTTTCTGATCACCTGAGGCTTGCACTCTGGAGCTTTTCCTTCCTTGTCTTCAGAGAATTTCCAGTGTGATACATCTCATTTGTTGTATTACAAACAATGTACAGAACACTTAATGCTTTCATTGGTTAGGAATCTCTGAAATTAAAAAGGAAATATCATGTTAGTTTTTGCCTTCTTATTTATTGTTCAACATTGTTACTTACATCTTTTTTCCTATTTTCAGGTCATTTTTTTTCCCCCCAACATGTTTGGTATTCCTTCTGTCCACCTGTTCCTTCACCCAAATATAGTTAGGAGAGGAGTGCTGACCTATTAAGGCGTGTGTACTGTGGCTCTGTGTCTCTATTAGATGAGACTGAGTTCCTTTTCTGGCTCCTAGATGCTGGGGACGTATTACCTGGTCACAAGAATGTGGGTTCTGATATGATTTCCCACCCTTCTCTCTTTTAGTAGTAAACATTCTTAGTAACCTTTCACCTTTCTTTTTTTTTTTTTTGAGACGGAGTTTTGCTCTTGTTGCCCAGGCTGGAGTGCAGTGGCGTGACCACAACCTCCGCCTCCTGGGTTCAAGTGATTCTCCTGCCTCAGCCTCCCAGGTAGCTGGGATTACAGGCATGTGCCACCACGTCCGGCTAATTTTGTATTTTTAGTAGAGGCGAGTCTTCTCCATGTTGGTCAGGCTGGTCTCGAACTCCTGACCTCAGGTGATCTGTCCGCCTTGGCCTCCCAAAGTGCTGGGATTACAGGCGTGAGCCACTGTGCCTGGCCTTTCACCTTTGTTATTGGTCAAGGATAGATTGTTCCCTAAACTGTCATTTCTCTTCTGTTATCCCATTAGAAATTCATGCAGAAATTAATACTTTGGTATCGTATTTAAACATATCTGTTCAGTTATTTCTATTTCGAGTGACTTGGATCCAGTAGGGCGGGTGTGGGCAGGTTTTGTATGTATTCACATGTTAGCATAAAGATTCTAAAGCATGAGGGCTTTCCATTGAAAAAGGAGCCCCGAGAAGCTCACTGGAAGTGAGTTGCAATAGAACGTTGTTTCCTGGTTCCTTGCTCCTTTCTCCATCTGTCCCTTTTGCTCTGGCTCCGGATCTAGACTGCCATGTAGTGTCAGTTTTTCTTTTCATTCCTTGGTCTACTTCAGGTCTTAATTTTATTCTGCCTTCTTCCCTCCACACCCCTTGCATGCAGCCTCACAGATCAACTCTGTCCTAAGCAGAGAAACACAACTTCGTCTCCCTCTTGTATTTCAGTCTTATTCTGCCCTATAGTAGCTTCCGATACCTCCAGCAATAAATAAAATCCCTCATGATGGCCTTTTCAGGCCACTCCCGCTGCTGCTACCTGTGAGTTTACCAATGGGCTTCTCATTCTTCTCCACATGCGTTTGGCCCTCCATGGTCCCTCTTCTTCTGAAATCCTTTTTCCTGTCTTGTTCATTAGATGAGCATCGTCTCATCCTTCAGACTCATTTCCTTTACAGAACTTTTCAGAGTACCTGTTTTAGTTCTTGTCTTTCAAATTTTTTCTCTGTCCTTCATACATCTTTAAACATTAGTCCCTTTGCAGCGCTCTCTGACTTAATTTTTTGTTGTGTGCCAGGGTGTGCAGTGTTCTTTTTTTGCGTTTTAATTTTTTTTTTCATTTAAAAAGAAATCCTCCTTACTATCATTCCCAGATATTCTTGTCTCAGCTAAAGATACTTGTTTTTCATTTTGAGTAAATATTCCAAGTAACTAAAGCTCTTTCAGATTTAGGAAGAAGGCGTTTTTCCTTTCCCTTCCTATCCCACATCCGGTTTATCAGCAGTGCTGTCATCTTTATCTTCAAAATATATCCAGGTTCCTTTACTTCTTACCCCTTCCACTTCCGTGTCTGGTTCAAGCCCCTGTAGTTTCTCTGCAGGTTGGTTGCTCTGTCTCCTAACTGCTTTTCTTACTTCTGTCCTTTCTTCTCTTGCAGCCTGTACTCAGCAAGGCCAGACGGATCCTCTGCTCCAAACTTGCCCTGGCTGCCTACCTCCCTCAGCATGAAAGCTGAGGTTCTCGCAGCAGACTGCAAGGCTCTTTATTACAGCCGAGCCCTCCTGACGTCATTTTCCTCTCTTTCATGTCTCTCTGGTCACTTGGCCTCCTTTCACGCCATGCATCCTTCTGCCTCGGGGCTTTGGCACCATCCCTTGCCTCTCTTTGGAACACTCTTCCCCAGATGTCTGTCTGGCTACTTCCTTCACCTCACCTCGCTCACTCAGATGTCACCTTTTCAAAGCAGTCTTCCTTGACCTCATTGTTGATAATCACAGCCTCCTCACATGCCCGGTATATGCCATGCACCATCCCTTCTGCTGTATGTATGTATGTATGTATGTATGTATGTATGTATGTATGTATGTATTTGAGATGGAGTCTCACTCTGTCACCCAGAGTGCAGTGGTGCGATCTTGGCTCACTGCAACCTCCACCTCCTGGGTTCAAGCAGTTCTGCCTCAGCTTCCCAAGTAGCTGGGATTATAGGCGCGCACCCCCATGCCCGGTTAAATTGTATTTTTAGTAGAGATGGGGTTTCACCATGTTGGCCAGTCTGGTCTCCAACTCCTGACCTCAGGTGATCCGCCTGCCTCGGCCTCCCAGAGTGCTAGGGTTACAGGCGTGAGCCACTGCGTCTGGCCCCCTCTGCTTTATTTCTCATAGCACTTGTTGCCACCTACCCCCAGTGTGTATTCTTGTCCATCTCCCCCACCATAGAGCAGAGGCTCCACAAGGACAAGCATCCTCTGTTTTGTTCATTATCTTGAACCCACACGGTGGTAGGTGCTCAGCGGTTGTTTGCTGCATGAATGTGCATTTTATCTACCTCTGCATTCACTGTGTGCTTTTCTGCCTTACTGGAGTGATGGGAGTGATCATTGGGAACTTCGGGTTTTTTGCATACCCACCTATGCCATGTCTTCTGGAGCTTGGCAAAGACTTCCTCTTACTGTGTACATTGATTTGCCTCCTAGCTACTTCAGCATGGTTTTCAAGATAGGAAGGGATGAGCCTTTCAGGAGAAACTTTATAACAAAGTGTGTTAAGTAACTGGCCTTATTTTATACACAGTTTAAATCCAGCGGGCCCTGGATGAGGATTTGAGAGGATCTCTGTGCTCTGTAGTTCTGTGGATTAGCACTTGGCTTTCATTGTTTTCTTTTAGCCCTGACTTTCTGGTTCACATTTGTTTAAATAGTCTAAGTGTTTCAGAGGCCGAGGGGTTGGAAGGCTGGCCACCAGATAAGGGGAGCATCACTATCCTTGTGCTTTCTTCTCTGCAGGGCCAAGAGATCTTCCACTGTGCACTGTGAGAAAGTTGCTGGCGTTGTTCTCAGTAACAAAATCTTCTACGTGAAGATTTGCTGTCCCCTCAGTTCCTTAGTTTTCCTCTTTACAAAATGAAACGTCATTGACCATGTTTTCAGGCTGCTTGCAACTCCAGTGACCTTGAGTCCTGTAGGTCCCTCTTGCTAAGTAGAATGTTCAGATGAATTAAATATGGTGCCATTGTGTTGCAGAATCACACTTTGAAAAGAGGTCCTATTCCCTGCAGTGCTCTTGACTTTCTGAAGAGGACTGAGCTCATGGTCAGCATGTTTCCTGGTGGTTAAACATATCTAGCTTTAAAATTTCCAGCTGCTAGAGGAGACGAAGACGATGAGAAGCAAGCACACAGCAAACTGTTTGGCTTTTAGATGCATCCTGGCCTGGCCGGGTGGACTTGCACAGAACTGCTGGTGCCAGGTTAGTTCCCTGGGACTTTTCCAACATTTGTCTCTGTATTGAGTTTTGTCCTTATTCCTGAAATAGAGTAGCCACTGAAATCAGGAACCAGAACTTCTGGAAAATACCTTTGGAAACCACTGTGTTGCATGGTAGAAGAAAGGCAACTGCCAGTAGTTAAAATACCGGGTTGAGTGCTAGTTTTTTCACCCTTTATTTTTTCTTTTTAAGGAGAGGTCTGATTTACTTTCTTCTGTCTGTTAAAGCTCTTCACAGGTTCTTAGAAAAACAAGCCATTTAATGGTACCAGCCGTGAGGATCCAACTTCAGTTCCATGAAAGCTGCCTGGTAGTTCTGGTCACAGGGTCCTGATGGGAGACCGTGTAACTGCTGCTAGGCAGTCAGCTGGAGGGCTCTGGTGTGGCTCACGCTTGTGTTTGTTCAAGTGACCTGAATGTGCTTCCTCTTTGGGGACCTGTTTCAAATGCACATGCTGACGCCGTAATCATCCACTAAACCAAGTGAGAGTCAGGAAATTCAAATTCGTAGTGCCTGTGACTTGGCCACACTCCCTGTACACATAAAACAAGGTCTTAAATCAGAGAAACTACCATCTAGATTAACACTCAAACTGCAGATGGGGACCGGAGCTGCTCTTGGTGTGGGAACTGCAACTTTGAAGTTCCAGACTTTGATGTGATTAACATTTCAGACTTAAAGTCCTTTCTGTGTGGTAACTTTTTTTTTTTTAAACACCAAACTGAAAATAAAAATTGATTAGATTAGGGGTGTCGGAGAAGCAGATTGTAAAGGGAGGAGCCCTCTTGCAAACCACATGTAACTATGTCACATCCTTATGTGCCTCAGGAAGAGAGAGATGACAGACTAGTGACCTTTCACCATATCTCTTTTACTTATAGCTGTTCTTACAGAGACCCTGCCCTCCAACACACACACCACCTCCAAAAAGAGGACACTTTTGACTTTGCTATCTCTTATTGACCAAGTGATAATCCTGATGGAGAGATGGGGTTTACAGGCATGAGGTGTTCTTTTTTACCCAGATTTCAAGGTTCAAATACTGGAGATCATCTTACAGCCTTCTTCAAATTGTGGCTGATTAAAGTTTAATTCTTCACCTCTGTCTTGCTGGTGAAAGGAATACGAGGGCAGGGAAAGTGGAGTTTGTGGGTCATTCCTCTTTTAAAACGTTGCCATTAAAATTGTAGATAAACCGATACACAGTAGTCCTCCTTTATAGGAGGGAGATAGTTCCAGGACCCACAGTGAGTGCCTGAAACTGGATAGTATCAGACCCTGTGTATACTACGTTTTTCCCTATACCTACATACCTATGATAGTTATACATTAGGCAGAGTAAGAGATTAACAACAATAACTAATAATAAAACAGACCAATAATAACAGTATAATGTAATAAAAGATAGATGAATGTGGTTTCTCTCTCTCTCAAAATATCTTACTGTGTTGTACTGCAGGTAACTCAAAAAGGTGGAAAGTGAAAGCTCAGGGAAGGACTACTGTACATGGAATTGACATCAAGCAAACAAGAAATGTTGTGCCTGGGATGATAAAATTTCTTGGCCACTGAAATTGTTGGGCCAGCCTTCTTTTTGAAAGAAATCTCCTTAGGCATGCTTGCGAACGCACGTGTGTGTATACGTACATATGTGTAACACACACACAAGTCTCTTCTGTTTTCTTAGGTTAAAAACCTGAGGTGTCATCCTGATAATTTCATGGAGACCCTGTAACATTTTTGCCATCATACATGGCACTTTATCTTCGTAGCTGTGTCTGTGATATACTGTCTGCCTGCTGTGCTCTGTCCATTTGAGCTTTCTAGAACCCTGTAGGAGAGGTGGGGAAGCCTGGATTTTGTTGGGGAGATCCAAGGTCTCTATGGCATGACAGCTGATAAATGGAAGATGGATAACTGTAACCCTTGAGTCATTGTGTTTTCTGCTGGCCCTTTCAGTCTACTGACCTTGTTTTCAGTAGGCCTGTAAAAAGGCAGGGCAAAACCTAGCCCTCTAGTAGAGTTTTTATTTTTATTTTTATTTGTTTGTTTATTTATTTATTGAGACAGGGTCTCACTGTGTCTCCCACGCTGGAGTGCAGTGGCGTGATCTTGGCTCAACCCCCGCCTCCTGGGCTCAAACAAACCTCCCACCTCAGCCTCCTCAGTGGCTGAGACTAAAGGCATGCACCACCACACATGGCTCATTTTTTGTATTTTCAGTAGAGACGGGGTTTTGCCATGTTGCCCAGGGTAGTTTTGAACTCCTGGGCTCAAGTGATCCACTCAACTTGGCCTCCCACTGTGCTGGGATTTACAGGCGTGAGCCACTGTGCCCAGCCTAGGTTTTAGGGTTTTTACATTTTACTGTTGACAGTACTGTAGCTGTGATGGGAGGAGGGAAATAACAGGGCTCGTGAGAGAGTGCTGAGCACCGTCCTCTCTCCCAAACACAGCTTCCGTGTGTTTTAGATGTGTTCTTTCCCTATCATGCCATCCATGTTTAGGGGCACAAGAAGAGTCAGGTGAGGAGGGAATGGGCATTTAAGTCCACGTGAACCCCTCTAGCAGGGTTCCCCTCTGCATCACTGTTTCAAGGAGATGGGATAGAATTATGGCGTAACTGTTTTAATGTACGAAATCAGCAGAAGCGATGAATATTTTTATCTTCAAATTTGTATTACACACTGAGGACCTTATATATGATTCTAAATTTATTGGTCATATCCTGAAATACACACTGTGTGTACCTAGTAACCTTGTATTGGTTACAGTGGTGCTGTCTTAAGTTTGTTTATTTGTTTGTTTGTTTTAAATAATGTCTGAACCCACCATAGGGGTAGCACTCTAGCACAGTTTTGGGTAACAAATAAGATTGCATTCTGACATGGTGTCATAAATCATATCTAAAAGCCGTGAGGTCACATAGAACTTGTTTATGTAACAGGGTAGAACAAAACTCATTGTTCTGAGAATATATTGCTCACTCATTTTATCCTCAGTCACGATGAGTTTTACAGCCTATGTGCAGTATTGATGCCACTGAATAAGCATTTATTTTTGATGAAGATACAACTTTTCTCCTCACGTTCAGTTGAGAGTTTGCAACAAGTAAGACTTTGCATTCTGGAATTTATGTAGATGTATGTGTATAGATACATGTGGTTTTTAAGGCCTGGCAACCTTAATGAATACTGGTAGAAGATTTTGGCTGTCTTTTAACAGCATTACCATGTGGTTGACCATTTAAATAAGCAGCAGTTTATCTTGATGTAGTGAATGCATTTAATTGGTTATCCTGGCAAAGCAGGGTATTCGTTGGTTACAAGCATAATTTTCTGAGTTTATATTATTTTTCCTTCTAGATATTTGTGAGCTATTGTTTTTATAGCCTATATTGAAACATGCTTTTTCTTTTTAAAATGGATTGTAGTATAGAGCTTTGTTAATAAAAAAATTTAAAATAAAAATGGTAAGGCAGAATGACTTAGTTATTTTTATATTTTCCTGTAAAAACAGCCTCAGTTAAGTGAGCCACAATGAGCCATGATGTATTTCCTCCATCAGGATGGAAAATAAGCCATTTATTATTTCAGGTCTGACTCACAGTGAACCTGCTGACACTGGGATGTTTTAAAATCATAATCATAAGGAACAGGTTAGGGCAGAAACTTGGACGCTGGGCCTAGGATTACCTGCTTATTACAATGTTTTACAACTTGGATGCTTTAGGTTTTCTGGCACAATGTCCTAAACCTCACACACTAAACACCCCCTTGTTGTACAATTATTGCTTGCTGGTTTTAGATGGTGCCAAATAGACAGATGCCTCATCATAATTACCATTTTTTAAAATTTCACTGTTATAGACATATATAAATAGGTTGTTATCTCCTCTCCCTTCCCTCAGTACAGTATGCTCATGCTTCCACAAAAAGCACCCCGGATGTCCTTAGTTAATAAAAACGGGCAGCTGAGGAGTGAGGGTGTGGCAGGTGGATGCAGCGTGTCCTCAGTGTCGCAGGGTACATAATATTAAATTACATGTGATTGCAAAGGAAAGCAGTTACGTCGAATACAGTTGTGAAAATTGTCGTAGGGTAATAGATGTGCTTCTTTATCAATACATTAAATAATATTTAGTGGCGGGTCACCATAATTTTGAGGTGGAGATGAATAAACAATATTTTGAGTTTTTGACAGCAACTGTAATGTGAAGGCATCCGATTTCTATTGGTGTCAAAGTCACAGGTACTGCCAATACTGTGATGTGTTGCCTACATTCGTAATTGGAAAAAATGCTGAATTTTAATGAGCGGCTCATAAAAATGTGTTTTTTCCTATCCAAGGTCATGAATCCCTTGAGTTCTGTCCATGGGCTCCAGGTTAAAATCCTGGGCCTTGAGGAATTTTTTTCCCCCCCACCCTGAAGAATTTCTTTAGGCGTGAGTTTGAATATATGCAAATAAAGTTTTCCTTGAAGACAGTGCTATTCTACTGGCCTTGGTTCAAAAATAGGAAGACATGTTTAACTCTTGTTTTTATAGTCAATCCTAATTATCTACAGTCCAGAATTGAAGAAATTAGCCTTCATTTTCCTGAGAAAATCACATACTCCTTTGACATCAAAAGAAGGATGCACTGAAACCTGTATTTTCTATGGTTTTGAGTAAACAGACTTACATTTACAAATACTCATGCATAATTCTATACACATTCTAGGCATATTAATACAGTGTAGACTGATATAAAAAATTACATCCTTTCCAAAGTAAGTGTATGCCTCTCCTTTGTAAAACAGAAGGAAGAATAAAGAAAGCAAACAAATTAACCTTGTCATGGCAAGCAGAAGAAAAAAGAAGCAGTAGGCTCCCAGTTTGGTATTCTACCCTCCAGATGACTTTATTGCATAATATGTTTTGTCATCCAAACGTAATTTTATTTCAGGTCTACTGAGCTTCAAAAATTACAAATGATAACGATAATTAATTAAATTTGAGTAGTTTTAATGACATTGAGCTGTGTGCTGGAATGGGAAAATGGCACAATTGAAGGACATTTACATTGAATGTCATTGTTTAAAGTTACCCTGATTTGGAGGCCCATTAAAAATACCAAAAGTCATTGTATTTTAACATTTATTTCAGCTGAAGGTTTTAAAACAGCTTTTAAAAATCTTTAGTACCTGCAGTGAAGATACACGTACCCCCTTCCCACCTATCTCTAGGATCCATCATATGAGCTGAAAATTATCTTTAATAAATTAACCATGATCATGACAAATCTTACTTTACTGCTTTGAAGGAAAAAGGAGGCATTTTGTGACGTGACACTGAAAGGATAACATTTGTTGCCACCCTCTTATATAATACCTACCTTAAGAATCAGGAAAAGCCTTGGAGATGACACTTCAATTTGTAGACAATGTTCTTTTCTGAAGAGAATCTGAAAAAAAGATAGCCTGGAGAAATCAATAAAATGTAAAATAGAAAAAGAATAAGGTGATTGCTACTTTAACAACAAGCTAATACTCTGAGGGGTTACATTAGTGACAGACAAGGAGAAATATGCATTTTTGACTTGAAGGATAACACATTGTATCAGTTAGCTTTTGCTCCATAACAAATAACCCCAAAAGTCTCAGTGGCATGCAACTGTATGTATTTATTTCTTGCTCACATGTATGAGATTCCCTGCAGCAGCCTACTCCATGTGTCTCACTTTGAGGCCTTGGCTGGAAGGTGAGCGACTAGGGTAAGTTCTTCTCATGGTAGTGTCATGTGCAAGAGGGCAAGCCTGACTGTATGAGTATGTTTCAAGTCTCTGCCAGCATCAGATTCCCTAGCATCCCATTAGCCATAGCATCTCTTGAATCAAGAAGGAGAAAAGTGTACTTTACCGACAAGAGGCCATAGAAATACAATTACCAGGGAGTGAAGAATTGGGACCAATAATTCTGTCCTACCACAAATGCTAAAAATGTTAGCAGCTGAGGGTAGCTTTTGGTTATGAGATTATATGGTGGTGTCTTATTGCCTTTGGCTTTTGTCATTTCCTCTGCCCCAAGAAACACTAGTTCAGTTTTTCATATGGATGTTGGACCGAATGTAACACACCATGAGAGACATGTTACTAACAGCTGGGTAAGGGACAAGAAAGAGGGTACGTGAATTGAGGTAAGACTTAAGAGATCTGGGTTCAAAATCTGTTTCAGCAGTGTACCAATTGGGGGAACCCCAGGCAATTCATGTAACCTGTTTCTGTCATGGGCCCCTTGTTCTGTAAAATGAAGATACTGGGCTAGCCCGTCTCCTTAGTTCTTTCTACCACTAGAATTGAGGTTTGATTTCTTATCTGTAGATAACAGGTTTCATTTATTGGCACCTCCATTCTCACCTTTGTGTTGGTGTAGGCTCAAGGCAACAGAATGACTTTAGTAGGCAAATGGGGTTAAGTAAAAACATTGAGTGTATAGAGATGTATTACCTATGTGTACAATACTAAATAGTGTGGAGTAATGACTGTCGAATGCTGTGTTTGGGGTTATAGAATCTCCCCTATAGGCTTTAAGCTCCCTGATAACTTTATTTCCCTCCCTCCCTCCCACCCATCTAGTACAGTGCCTGACTTATAGTAAAGCACTCTAGGAACAAATGGTTGAAGGAAGAAACCCCAAGTGGGAAATTAGTAGGGGAACAATTCCCTAGCCTGAAAGTGTATCCAAGAAGAATGATGTTTTTCTGGTGCTTATATTTATTGCCTAGGATGGACAGCTTTCTGCTTCAGAGGATTGGGAGTGTTCATCCAAGCAAGATTGACATAGACATTTGATGCTGTGTCCCCAGCATTTTGCTAGGCGCTCCGGGTGTAGCACGAGGAAGCATGGTTGCAACGCCCTCCGGTTTTTGTCTGGAAGACAGATGTGTAAACAGAATTGCACTGTGCCTTCTGTACCAGAGGCCCAACCAAGGCATAGAAGAGCCACGTGGGAGACATAGGGAGATCTCACTTGGAAGAAACCTGGGTCTGGTCTTGATTGAGGAGTGGGGAGAAGTTGGGCAGATGTGCGGGCTTATAGAGAGCTTTCTGGGAAGGGTGAAGTGGCACAATATTTTTTGGGGGCCTAACTACAAAGTCTGAAGGGAAAGGCAAAGTGAGACAAAGCTTCAGAGGCAGACAGGGTTAGATCTGAGAGCATTGCATGATATGACTTTGGTCTTTACCTGATAGAAAAAGGAAGTTACTGAGGAATTTAAAGCAGGGTCAGGGATGTGATGAGATAGGAATGGCAATGAGGAAGTTGGATGTGGGAGTTGCAGGGACCTGCAGGCTGCACTATGACTTGGGGAGGATGGAGGGACAGCAGAGGGGCATGAGATGGGCTGACATCTGGCAAGTAGTGTCTAGTATGGACAATCACTCTTACAGCCCTCCTCAGTCGCTTTTGGCACCCTGCCTCTCCCCCAGCCCCACCATAGAAAATAACATGCTGTGCTGTCACTTAAAACCCCCTTTTCATGGCCGGGCGCGGTGGCTTACACCTGGAATCCTGGCATTTTGGGAGGCCGAGGCGGGCGGATCACTTGAGGTCAGGAGTTTGAGGCCAGCCTGGCCAACATGGTGAAACCCCATCTCTACTAAAAATACAAAAATTAGCCAGGTGTGGTGGTGGCACGTGCCTGTAATCCCAGCTACTCAGGAGGCTGAGACAGGAGAATCACTTGAATCTAGGAGGCAGAGGTTGCAGTGAGCTAAGATTGCGCCACTGCACTCCAGCCTGGGTGACAGAGTGAGACTCCATCTCTAAAGAAAAGAAGAAAGAAAGAAAAAGAAAGAAAGAAACCAACCAACCATGTTGCTGGTCCCTGAAGTAGTCCGTTTTAGGCTATATAGCTCTGGGTGATGAGAGAGATATGGTGTAGTCTGTGTTGAAGAGTGATAGAAACTCAGTTTGGAAAACTGTCAACTTGATAGGTTTAAAACCACCTTGGTCACTAAAGTGGTGGAGGTTATTTTGAGCTTCAATTTTTACATTTGCTTTATCTTGCTAGATAACATTTGGAAAAATTGTTATTCTACAGTATTTTGGTTAAGTAGAACAAGCCTTTCAGTAAATTCCACTACATTATTGTTATAATTTTTTTTTTGTCATCCCAGATTAGTTGATATTTGCATTATTACTTGGTCGATGTACGTTTTCTAGATTATTAGGCTCATACCTACTACTTTTCAATACTTGTCAGCTGATAAGAGGTATCTCTTAGTGGTTAGTGTCAGCAGCATTACTGGTATAATTTGTGGCCTTCTTTCACACACTAGTTTTCCACACCTCCAAGCAGGTTCAGGGCTTACGTAGCTACTGATTCATACGTACTGCTGGCAACTGACTAGAGAGGTGGAAAAGGGAGTACCTTGGGGGTTTAGGGGCTAGAAAAGGTCACCATTGGGTTGGAACCAGGAAAAAACAGAGTGCACGCCTATGATGAGCACTGTAGTTTAGGTAGAATTTCAACAGGCTGAGGCTGTATTTTTGGGCCAGATTGAGAGGAGATTCAGGGGGAGGAGCAGCCTGGACAAAGGGGAGGAATTGAGAAGTACAGTGTGGTTGGATTCGTGTGATTGGAGTTAAGGCTGGAGAATTGGGAGCCATGTCCCCATCATTTCTTTTTGAGAGTAGGGAGCTATCGAGTAGGAAATGTGTGTGTGTAATGCTGACGGTAATACTGTTAGGTTAAAGTTTTAAGCACCAACTGTGAGCGCTGGGGTGCTTAGTGTTGTAACAGAGCATCTCCAGGTACTCTGGAATTCTCTCAAAATATCCTGGAATTTTCCTTGATCAGGAAAAAAAATGATATGGTCGAGCAGTGAATTTTAAGAATTTTATTTTTCTATTTATTTACTTCTATAAACATTTGTTAGTAACTGTGTTTTATTATAGAGTTGCCCACGCAGTGTGTGGTTTTGGTGACTAAAAATGAGGATTGGATGACCATTGACTAAAAATATATATTTATATGTATTTTATATATATCAACATATACATATATATGATATATTCAGGTTTTTAAAAGTAAATGATAAAGAACATCACTAATTTTATTTTATTTTTAGTAAATCAGTAAATCAAATATGTACCAGTTTTTAAATTCTGGAAACAAAGATTCCAGGTTTCTATAGCGTTTAACAAATTATTATTCATAGCAAAATCTGCATTCCTGAGGCTGGGAACTAGAGGAAAGGGTTTGTGTCTAATAGGAACCAATTGAATTTTAGAAAGGATGTTAACATATAGCTGTTTTACTGTCTATAATGTTAAATGAATACACTTTTGGCCTCTGTCTAGAAAAAAATAACATCTTAATCTAGTGTGTGATTCTTATACATAAGACTTTTTAGGGATGACAGTAATATTTACAAATAGGTAAAAAAATATAGAGTTGTCTGGTTTAGACTCCTGTTGTCATGGCATGTTTAAAGAAGAAAGCTTCCAGCCGAGAAAGGCTTGTGATGAAGTAGCATCACCTTTCAGTTAGTTCTCTGTAGTATAGATTATGTGTATGTGTCTGCCTGGTCATAGATGCTGGTAGCTAGGTGTCCTTGCCTGATGCCAATATGATTCTGGGCTGAATGCATATGAATCCATTCTAATATAAGTGTAAATAGCACATGGGAAGATAAACCTACCAAGAGAACCACATACAGATCATATGGTTTATTCCAGAGGCAAGAATGATAAAAAAAAAAAAAGATCTGACACCAGACTAATTATGAGATAGTTGAGTGCACTCAGTCATATGTATGCTTTAAATAACATGTAGGTACATGCACATACATATACAGTATCACTATCTAGATTTTTCAAAAGATTGACTTGTAAGAACAAGTGACACACATTTAAAGTGTTAATAGTGCTTCTAGGTGGCATGTCTTGTCTTCTTTTTTTTTTTTCCTTAGTGGAAATTGCAAAATTTAGGCTAATTCTGTCACATTCAATATAAATCACACAGTTAAAAAGCCACTCTGTAGTTTTCCCAGTCTTTGCCCCATTTTGGCACATAATTGTTCGGGATAAATTTCTGTGGCGACACCATCATCTGCTCCAGCTTTCTCACCTGATCTTTGCTTCCCCAGCACACCACATCAACCCCAGTTCTTAATTCCCTTGACAAAACACACTTCATGATTGTATATGGCACTCTGACTGCTAAAGCTAAGCTCTAGTACAGTAGTTGAGTTATAGTTTTCTTGAAACTCAGTTGTGCTTTTTCAGATGTGTTTGTGCAGTAGTAATTGTTTTCCTAAGAAAAAGTTAGTTATTAAATATGAATGTGAAAATAATTATCTTTAGGAAAAACTAAGTTGAACCCCTTGAAAGACTTAAGCTGCTGATAAATTAGTTGCAGTCAGACCCTGTAAGATTAGGGGAAACCATGAAGAACTCTGTAGTTGGATTGATATGAAAGGGGTTCAGTTGGATTCCTCTTACACTTGAAAGAAACCCAAATTGTAAATCTGTGGTGACAATATACTGTGGGTTTAGGGTTTATAAGAAAGAATGGAAGCCTAGCCAGAGTATCTTGGTTCAAAGGTTTGCTGTACCTCAAGCACAGTTTCCTGTATATTTTTAAGGCAAATGTTTAAGGAATACATATATATGTACACACACACATGTACAGACACACACACATATATAAGGTATACATACTTTTTATTTATAATATATGTATATATTTAAAATCCTGTGCTTTAACTCAACCTTTTTTTTTTTTTTTTTTTTTGGATTCATCTGCCAACTAGGGTCTCCATCTGGTTTGGATTGGATTGAGATTGGATAACACCTTTCCACCTAATAGCAGCATTAAGAGCATTGACTGCCAAAAGCCATAGCTAACCTACTTTCTTTAGGATACATATTGTTTCTCCTCATTACCCTGTAATAAAATAAGATTTATCTTAAGCATGTCCTGAGAGAAGCCTAAAATGGAAATACACGGTACAGGCATCGTAAGCTGGGAGAGACCTGAAGGACCATTGGCAGCCCCCTGAATTGTAACTGAGGAAATGGCTCTGTCAGATTGAGATCTGCATTAGTGGCCTAGTTGTGGAGTGACGTAGGGAGTGAGTGTATGAGCAGAGCATGTGTGGTGTTCATTCCCATCCATCCATCACTCATCCTACATGAAGTTGCCTCTGGATTGGGACCTTGAACTCTACTAATTTTATGGTAGTGTAACTTGCAGAAGACTTACCAGGTAGGTGAGCTTGGTAGTATGTTTTGTTTTGTTTTGCATTTGGGACCATCTTCACATGTGTCAACTAAGAAGGATTTGCTGCTAACCTATACCTAAATCTCTGACACAAATCCTGGAAAAGCCTTAAATGATTGGCAGGTAGTGTTGAAAGGTGCTGTATCAGGGTTTTGTAAATCATGCCATCTAGATAGAATGCATTGTGTTGGAATGAAATTAAAACAACCATTTTAAAAAATGTAAATGACCTTGGGTAGAAAAACACGAGCATTAAGCTGTATTAGCAGGTGAAGATAAATCTCTCCCCCTTCATGTTTGAAATAATCTTTTACATTGTTTATGTGAATTTCTTTCTTTTTTTCGGGTACATTGATTATGTATCTTCCCCCACCCTCCACATTTAATCCCCTAAGGGATCGGTATTAATGAGTTTTATGCTTTGAATTTTAAAATTTTCTTGTCCTCAAAAGTGAGACTGGGGAAAAAGAGAAAAGACTTTAAACATTTTCTTTGAAAGCTTTTAGTTATCTCATATACCTATTCCTTTTGAAAATTTCTCTGTGGATAGCCGGCTTAGTTTCTTGCAAATGACTAATTTAAATGCCATAGAACATGTTTAGATTCACTGTCACATGGTTGTTCTTGCTACATTTCTTTTGCTCAGATTCATCTTCAGAAAGTGAGGGAGGGGGAAAGCATATTAAGCATATTATTCCTGCAATTAAGGCATAGATTGGCTACTTAATTTGTAGTTAGTAAAAAACTACTGTGATGGAACTCAAAATATTAATAAATTGAGAAAACCAGAATGCTTGTCTTTTGCTTTAGTGATGGGACTAAGGTTTACATGAATCTTTCTATGTCATGTAGTTTCAGCTAGTGCCTCTTGGCTCTGAAAGCTATGCATATGTAATTTCATTATTATTGATAACATAGTACCTCTCTAGAGAGTTCTAGTTACTGTATTTTTAAAATGCAAACATTTGAAAATGTAGATACAATTCTATTTTTTAAAATTAATAGGTCTGAACTGGGATCTTTGGTGATATTTCCATTTCAAAGTATTTATCAAATCAAGACATTAGTGGTAAAACAGTACTAGTACAAAGATGCTTAGGTATTGCTCTATATTTTTCAAAAGAATAACAAAGCAAGAACAACATCTTTTAGAAACGTGTCTAAAAAGGTGCCAATGTGACCAAAAAACCCATTTAATCACTGAGAATTTTAACAGAAATTTTTTAAAGTATTATATTGCAGGATCAATATTTAGTATATTGGACAATTCAGAAGATTTATTCAGGTTTGCTTGGGGATTGAGAACAAATACGTGTTTAAATCTGTATGTATAATTTAAAAATATTAGAGAAAATTTGAAAAATAGGGAAGAGTCAGCCATATTGTTTTAATTAAACAAAATGACTGCTTCTGTTTTAGCAGTGCTTCCACTTTGTTTTCTATGCGTTATCTTTTTGAAGCCACTGGTTAATGTATGTATAAAGCTTGCCAGCTTGTTTTTGATTAACAAAGTTCAGTCAGTGAATAATGTAAAATACTATTAACAGCATAACTGGAAAGTGACTTGAGCACATAAAAATCACCTTTAAGTCCAAAGTTAAATTCTTGTTTTTATGTTATTTATTGTTTTTATTTAGAGAAGAGATACGTGCCTCATCTTAGGAATTCTCATTTAATATCCTTCAAAGACTGGGCTTTAATGAACAAATTTGTCATGTGGCAGAAGTTACTGTAGTCTGATGAAAGGGAAGATGGCTGCAAAGAAGAGAAAACGGGTGGTGGGGGGCATTGAGGTATAATAATCTGTGGCTGTGGGATGGTTTTCGACAGACCAGTCATAGCCCAGACTCATGTTTCCAAACATACATTAACTGCAAACCCTGATCTCAGGTTTTATGTTTTTCCATCACTTTTTAGCTTTAATTTGTAGTAGATTGCTTGAGGAAAGACCCCTGTTGATTGGTTGTAATCATCTAAGATTTATGATGATTAGGAAGTCTAAATAAAAGTCTGTTAGATCCAATTTGGACATAAATTTTGAATGCCCAGTTTATTGGATTGCCTTGAAATTCTAATTGGTAATATGCAAATCGAGTTAGAGTCTTGACTATCAAAATCACCTTAGGACTAAATTAGACAGTTTGGAAGCTCCATTAACTCTTTCAGAGTACTGAACTACTATTTAGTCTACCCAAACAGTAATTTACTAAGTTTAGCATACCCAGACAGTAATTTGCAAAGTAATACTTTGAAGATGCTGGAAGGAGTTAATGAAGCTTCTGAAATATTGTGTTTTTTGGGAGAATCTGACTCAGCATTTGCAGTAGTTGGAGTTGAGAAAGGGCGTCTTTAAATTTTGGATGCCTAATTGGCAGGAATTGTTGCTAATGCTACAGTCTTTGATTTTTATCATACTCCTACGCTCTTCCTGTCATGTTGCAGACTCCTTTTACTAATCTATGTGAGTGCCCCCCAAGGTAAAGCCCCTGTGCACTTCCGTGGTGATGCCTTCTGACTGGTTCAGCCTGTCACCTTGACACACACACAGATGGTTTCTGGAGGCCGATTTAATTCCAGCTATCTTGTTCTTCACCTCTCGTGTCCATTTCTCTCCATCTTTTCTCCTGAGCTTTGGTCTAATTTGTCAACTCAGTGGGGACCAGTTGGCTGGCTGTTGCCTTGAACTTGTCTTCCTCTTTGAAATGGGTTTCTCCTCCTGAAGTCATCAGGTTTTGAATAGCACTTACCATAATTTTTTAGGTGAGGATAGTTTTCAGCGCTGGGTCAGTGGGAAAAACTCCAGTTCAACTCTGTTGCCTCCACAGTAGAGCATGGAGTTGAAGCTTCTTGGAGTTTTCCTCTTTCTCTTCCCCTGGTTGGCTGGAACCATTTCATCATTTCATACTTGGGTCACTACACTGGTCTTTTCATCGGCTTGCTGCCTCCAGTTTCCTCCTTCACTCTGCTGTGGGCAAGATGACACATCACTTTAATTATAACATTTCACCTCCTGAAGCATCTTCAGACACTCTGCTACTTTGAGGATAAAATCTAAATCCTTTTGCTGGGCATCAAGACCACTCACCATCTGAAAGGCCCATCTTTCCAGCTTCCTTTCCTACAGATTCCTCTACCACCCCTCCGAGGCCGGAGGAGGGGCACTCCCTCCCTTTGAGGTATTTTACACTTTTCTGTGCTCCTAGCAGGGCATCCCTTTTCCGTACCCACCCTATCTAGAACCACTCAATGAAAAAAGCCAGGCTCACAAAGACACATGCCACACGATTCCATTTGTATAAATTTCAATAAACAAAACGAACATAAGTGCTAGTAAGTGACAGTACCTGTGAGTGGTGGTTTCACAGGGTCCACGTACAAAACTTCGTCCAGCTGTACACAGCCCATTTGAGCCTTTGGCTGTGTGTAAATTAGACCTCAGTAAAACAGTGCCAATCGTGTAAGGCTGTGGTGAGGCTTAAATTATATAGTGTAGTATATAAAATGCTGAGGGCAAGGCCTGGCATGTGGGGGAAATCCCATCTCTTTTAGACAGAAGCAGTCGCTCTCATTCTGAATTGTATAGTAGATAAATTCTTCCCTGACAAGACTAACTCTGCAAACAGACCTTGGAAGCTTTTTTTTTTTTTCAGCGTGTTTTTCACTTGACTTTTATTGCCATGTTTTGTTCAGTTGGTATCTTTGGTTTAATGTGGATATACTTGTTTTTTTTTTTTCTTGTTTATAGTGTAAATTTTTGATCAATAGAAATAATGGCAGTAGGGTGTGTTGTAGAAAGCTCTTAATGGAATAAGCAATTCTCCCTTCCCCCAAAACATTGTACATATCAAAAAGAACTTTATCTTAAAAGTGTTTCATACAACAAACAAGATTTATTTTCCCAAGTCATCTAGTTACCAGAGAAGCATCCATAAATGGTACTTAGTAGGAAGACATATGACTAAGGAAGACTTTCTTAATTGAGCTGTGAAAATGAAATAATAAACCATTTTGCGAGATGGCAAACTTCAGTGTATATATTAATCACCTGGGGATCTTGTCAGTTCTGATTTAGTAGGTCTGGGCTGAAGCCCAAGGTCCTGCATTTGTAACCAGCTCCTAGTGATGCCAGTGCTGCTGGCCTCAGAACCACACTGGGAGTAGAGCAGAGCTGGGGGTGTATTCAGGTTCAGAGATGGGACATTAGGAAGGGCAAAACAAGAACTTAGCTCATAAAAACCACCCCACAAATTTGGGTGGGTAGTGACCTTGTGAACCACATATATGTAAATATTCCTGAAAGAATCTATTCAAGAAAGTATCAACTTGTGTTTTAAAGTTTTGATGTTGTGTGATTTTTTTTTTGTGCTAGTGGAAAAGACTGGTTGATTTCATTAGTTTGTTTTTGTTCATTCGTTTGTTTTTGTTCCCTCTTGCAAATAATATATCAGAAATGGTCATGAATTCAATCAGAATTTTAGGGAAAGAAATTTATTTGTGTGAATGCCCCTTCTTTAAAGAAACAGTAACAACATCAACAGAAAAGCCCCAAAAACTGAACTAAAAACTACCATCCTGCCCATTTGTTACTGTATTTAATGCATCATACTTGACAAAGTTGCTACCCTGTGCCATATTCCACCTGAAGAGCCAGTTTCGCCGGTGTTCTGTCTGCTCACTTAACCATGAGTAGATTTCCATTTCCCTCCTCTGAACTGGGGCCTCTTTCATTCGCTTGTTCCGTTTTGCCTATCACAGTCTTGACTTGGTAGAGGATTTTATTCCCTGTCAGTCTTCAACCTCTGTTAGCCTATGATTTGAAACTGAGAAAAGTCCAAGTTGGAAATTGAAAACGAGAGCCCGATTCTCTGAGGCTGGGAAAGCCTCTGAGGACTTGGCCCGAGCACCGCCCGCCACCATAACAGGTTAACAGGAAGAATGTGGCTCTGCCTGCCGGCTCCTGGGCACATTCCTTTCTGTTTGGGGACTGAAGTACTGGACACACACATTATTAAATTACTTAATGAAGATTTTGAAGCACACCTCTAATCCCTTTGAAAAGGCCCTTTGAGCTGGAGAAGGGTGTGTGGGCAGTGAGAGAGAGGCGCCTTCACCCTGGTGAACAGGGCCCCTTAGAAGCTCCCAGGGTGCGAGTCAGCAGCGTTCCAAGGCTGACCATTACTTTCTGCCCTGAATTGGCAGAAGAGACTTAGGGGAAAGTTCTTTCTAGGGCAGGACCCTTCACCGGGGGAAGATGTAGGGTTTAGGCTCCAACCTTGACTCAGCATTGCCATTTACCATTTTGGCACAGGACCTTGTTGAAGCCATGACTAAGGGCCTCCAGGTGGTGGGCTGTCCTTTACAGGTCCTGATCACAGTTAGGGATGCAGCTCGGACTGATAAAAAAGGGCCTTGGGCTCTGTCAGAAATGTGTGTAGTTGAATTACATAGGTGATTCTGATAATAAAGATGTTTTTGTGTTCCCACTACCCTCTTATTGGGAAGATGTCTGCCTTAGAAAATAAGAGAACAGGCTCCAAGGCTGGGTGACCAGGAACTCATCTCTGGCAACAAACTCCAATAGCCTTTGTCTTTATCTGTGGTAATAATAATTATAATAGTCCTAATACATTCTGGGGTTATGGTGGTGATTGATTGAGAATGTATAAGGAAAGACTAGATATTAAAGCATTAATCACGTGTAACTGTCTGTAAACAGCGGTTTTGTAGTTTTTTGCTTTTAGTAAATAGGCTCCCCCGTGTGATCAATACTAAACTGACAGCAAAAGAGCAGTCCATTCTTATTAGACCATGCTTGGGGAGATAAGTTGCTGCTGGCTCATGAAGGACACATTCTTCTTGATGTAGGGAGGTGGAATGAGGATTTAGGCGCTGTCTTCCTCCCCTTTGGGGTAGGGTACCTTGCTGTCTTTTGACAGAATGAGGATGAGAGGAGGTGGTAGGAAGGCGGGGGAGGATCAGTGATGAGATGGCACTGGGGACAGTGGAGAGAATGGTTGTGCATATGATTTACGGTCTTTCTTTTCAGTATACTACAGTGCTTAGATGTGTATGCAGAAATCAAGAGTTATCAGTGATGTTTGAAAATTAGATGTTGCTGGCATGGAACTTCCGTTTTCATTGAGAACAGAGCGTGCTTAGTGACGTGTATATTTAGTACAGTAAGACAGTTGCAGAAGGATGGCCCTGATGGTGACAGTGATAATCCTAACCCTAGATGCTCACTGGCTGGGCACAAGTACAGGATCTCACTGGAACCTCACTAGGTATCTGTTGTCCTCCTTTTATAGTTGAGAAAGAGAAAGCTTAAGTAATTTGCCCAAGATCATGTAACTAATAACTGGCAGGGATTTGAGTCAGGATCTCCAAAGCTACATCTCTTCCTAAAGCTAGTTTTAAAATTTCATTTCTCATATATGGAGTAGCCCACAAAGGCTGTATGCAAGGTAGTCTTCAGAAAGCTTACATCTTCACCAAGGCACATGAAACTGCAGAAAGAAGCAATGTTAGGCGTTCCTGATAATAATTATCTGCCTGGATGACAGCAGTCCTGCTTTATGGTCACAGACCCCAGCTTTCTGCCAGAACATGGCTCAGGACTCCTGAAAATCATCCCATTCGGGAGCAAGTGGGTTTAATTTCCTTTTCATGAAAGGAAAGATTAGCTTTCATGCAAACACTTGGTCCATTTGGCCATTTAATAAGAAGACTGAAGTCTCATGTTCCATAACTTTATCAGCCTAAAAGTCCCTTTGTTGTATCATAAACACATAGGCTGAAACCCCTGTCCTTCCAACTCAGAGCAAATTCTGTTGTATTAAATAACCATGCCATGTACTGAATGTTTTTACACTTATTTATTGGACTTGACTCCTACCTCCTTCCCGCAAAAAAAAAAAAAAAAAAAATTAGCTGACATTTCTACAGGGCCTACGACTAACCAGAGGGAAAGAGACTCACATGTCACTGTTTGTAGCCAGCAGTCCAAATTGTGAAATAAACATACTTTGAAATGTGGTCATAAAATACCTCCTGTATTTTATGGCCCACAGAGAAATGACAAATGTTTGAGGTGATATGCTCAGAAGAGCATAGAAGTGATCAGGGTGGGTCATTTTGTTAACCGTTCAAGGATGGAGATTCTGTGTTCAAGGAATCAGAGGAAATTGTGAATTTATTTGAATTTCTGTTACTGTTCACTTGATAATTTTATAGTTGTCTTAGTGGCCCTTCTAACAGAATATGCCCCTTTATGAAATATTACCACCCCTGCCCCGTTTTACCCTGATTTGATCATTATACACTGTATACATGTATCATAGTGTTACTCAGTACTCCATAATTATGTTTAATTATCATGTGTCAGTTTAGATAAAATTGTAGCATGGACCATTGACATCAGTATCACCAGGAAATCTCAGGCCCACCCCCAGACAATACTGAACGAGGATCTGCGTTTTGACAGGATAGATAGATCCCTGATGATCCCTTGTATGTTCAAGTATGAGAAGCACTGATTTTTATGGTACTCAGTCCCCCTCCAACTTACTGGTTAGGCTTATAGAATGGAGGCTTTATTCTTTACAAAGTGTGTCAAGCTCTTTTAAAGCTAGGCTTTAGAGAACAAAAGTCCAAGTGTACCTGTTTAGCATCAGGGCTGTTTTGCATTTCTAGCAAAGTCTGACTTATTAAACCTCCTAATCGCTCCATCTCAGTTTTTTCTGTTTACGTTGTATTTCATTTGCAATGTGAAGCTATTAGGATGTTCCTTTTGTGAGGGAAAAGGAGGGATAGATTCCATCTTAGTTCTCATAAAAGTATAAAAATCAAAACCAAATAAGCATATATAAAGTCTACTGTATGCTGGTGCGGTGGCTCATACCTATAATCTCAGCACTTTGGGAGGTCAAAGTAGGAGGGTCGCTTGAGCCCAGAAGTTTGAGACTAGTCTGGGCAACATAGTGAGACCTTGTCTCTAGAAAAAATAAAAGAAATTAGCTGGCTTGGTGGCTTGCACCTGTAGTCCTAGCTACTTGGGAGGCTGAGGCAAGAGGATAGCTTGAGCCTAGGAGTTGGAAGCTGCAAGTGAGCCATGATTGTACCACTGCATTCCAGCCTGGGTGTCAGAGCAAGACCCTGTCTCTAAAACAGAATCTCCTGTAGATGGCATGGAGGAGAGAAGCCCGTGTGTATTATCCAGAACCCTCGCTCCCTGACGCCTTCTCCCCTGCCTTCATCTTGTGCTCTTTATTGGAGAAAAGTGTGAGGTGAACGCACAGAAAGGTGCTCCCCACTGTGGCAGGTTGAACGTTTGTTTTTGTTAATTAATGTCCATGCATTCTGCTCTTTCAGTAACTAGATTTAGGTAACCTGGGCCTGTTTCCCATCACTTCCTGGCCTTGTGACTGGGCAAATAACTTTGTCTCCCTGGGCCTCAGTTTCCTTAACCCTGAAATGAAGGGGTTAGATTCCAGCGCTTTGCATTCTCTGGCCAGCTCTTGAGCACCTGCGACTCCTTCCTGCTCTTCAGTTCTTCCTCCATCCTGGCTGACTTTTGCTTGGCTCCCGCTGCCCCCATTGGCCCCCTTAAACTCCAGAAGAGCATAGAAGTGATCAGGTGGGTCTTTTTGTTCACTATCCATTAACTTTTCAAGGAGGGAGATGCTGTGTTCAAGGAGTCAGAGGTGAAATTGTGAGTTTATCTGATTTTCTGTTCACTTGATAATTATATAGTTGACTTGGAAGTGTTTCAAACTGAAGATATTCCTTAATGAAATATGACCTCCCCACTGCCCCATCTTTAGGGAATGGCATTCACCAAATCCTTTCAAATTCAGAGAAATTAGAAAACCTTGGATCATTTTAGTATTAAATTTAGTCTTAAAATTGTGGGTGGTTGTCAAATCAGACCTCGTCTAAGGGGACCTCATTAGGCAGTTCTCTATAATGGTGACAGGGTGGCTTAAAATGTCTTAACTAAATGCAAATTATCTCAGAGCCAAAAGTTGAGCACTTGAAAGCCAATGAAATATCTATTTAAGGAGCACAGAAGGATGTCAGAGAAGGATCCAAAGTCCTGATTTTTTTGTTACATTATATTGGGGTAGATTTACTGCAAGCCAGAGGATTCTTTACGTAATTAACTCCCATTTGAAAAAATAGCAAACAATAAAACTATTTTTTTTCCCTTTACCTTTGGTATAAATAGAACTAAGCCATAGGTTGGTATGTTTAGTAAGTAATAGGTATTAAGTAAGTAATATGTATTACTTACATTTTACCATAGTTGAAGTGTGAACTTGAAATATTTTTAAAGCACAGTCTACAGTGGTAAGAACTTTTCTTTGCTGCAGTTTTAGATTACCTAGGAAGAAGACAGTGACATCCTGGAATGATTGTAAATTGGTGCTTGAAACCCTGGAAGTGAACTGTTTTCCAGTGGCAGGATGATGTGAGGTTCAATACTTCTCCCCTTTGAGTCTTAGATTTTAAATAGTCTAATTCCAAAATATTTCCTTAGGCTGGACACGGTGGCTCATGCCTGTAATTCTAGCACTTTGTGAGGCCATTGTGGGCGGATCACTTGATCCCAGGAGTTCGAGACCAGCCTGGGCAACATAGGGAGACCCTGTCTCTATAAAAAAAACCAACAAAAATTAGCCAGGCGTGGTGACATGTGCCTATGGTCCCAGCTATTCGGGAGGCTGAGGTGGGGCCATCACCTGAGCCTGGGAGTTTGAGGCTGCAGTAAGCAATGATCACGCCACTGCACTCCAATGTGGGTGACAGAGTGAGACCCTGTCTCAGAAACAAAACAAAACAAAAAAGCCCCCAAAACAAAATGCTTCCCTTTATTCTTGAGGCATAGTTGATGTTTTAATGGTGTTATAAACATAATTATTATCTTATATAGGCTGTGAAGTGATTGCTTATTGGTTTGGTACTAGAAACCATATACCTTTAATTATGTTTGATCATGTGAGACCCAGAAATGCCTCCTGTACACGCCTTTACCATTTCTTGGGAAGACAATAGGGGCCTGCCATCACTGTGAAGCAATAAAGTGTAAAGGATTGGAAAATAGGGATTGGGATTATTGAAACTGGAAAAAGTGAGGGAGTAATTTAAATTCTGTTTTAGTTATTAAAAGTCTGGTTTCCTGACTGTGCTAAGTATTGCAGAAAGACAAAGTGTGAGACAAAATATTTAGATCTTCAGGAGCTTACATTCAAGACAAGGTTAACCTGATGCTGTAGTTCTGGTTGTGTTCCTCCAAGAGGCAGGAGAGGAGAATTGGAGATATTCAGAACATGTTTGGGAGGAATGTAGTAATCAGGGCACCCTTCTGGTTTAAGTTGTCTTTTCTGCTTCGCTGCTATTCAGAAAGTGAAAAGCTTTGTTCTGGAACTTTGAGATATAGATGGGTCTTTTGCTTTTAATAATTTAAGGTAACTCCTTCAAAGATATTGCAGGTCTAGTTCACAAAACAAATTGTACAGTGAGCTGAGAGCAACTTTCTCTGTCCTGAGTTTTGATGAAGTTGTTTTTTTTAAATCATGATCAGGATACAGGTCCTCAATTAGTTTGTCTGGAATTTAGTAAGCGGAGTGCTGGAGATTGGAGATCAGAGTAGCATGAAGATTGAATAAGATGGGGATTGCACATTCTGGTTTACCCAGTTTGGAAGAGTAATGCATAGGTAATATACAGGTTGTGTTGATGGGTGAGGATACAGATGTCACAGTTTGTGAGAATTCAAGTGTAGTGATTTATTTCATTTAATCTACTGGCAGAGCTCTAATTTACTTATGGAGCTGTAGAAACAAAAAATTTCTAATAGGGCTGAGTGCGGTGGCTCACGTCTGTAATCTCAGCACTTTGGGAGGTCAAGGCGGGTGGATCACTTGAGGCCCGGAACTCGAGACCAGCCTGACCAACATCATGAGACCCTGTCTCTACTAAGAATGCAAAAATTAGCCTGGCGTGGTGGCACACAGCTGTAAAAATATCTCAGCTACTCAGGAGGCTGAGGTATGAGAATTGCTTGGACCTGGGAGGTGGAGGTTGCAGTGAGCCAAGATCGAGCCACCTCACTCTAGCCTGGGCGATAGAGTGAGACTCTGTCTCAAAAAATATATATATTTTTAGTAGTTTTTGCTATAGTTTTATGAAAGTAACAAGACTAGTAAAATTATAAAACAATTGGCCTTTATGGTCTAAAGCGTTCTTATTTATAGCCACCCAGAATGTATCATCTGCTAGTCTCCACTCTGCTGTCTGTCCTTTCCATCATCCCTCTTGGGCGCCCTACCTGGCTGGCCTGCCCAGTAAGTATGGCACCAGGTTTCCTGTTCTGGGCCTCTGGCTGCTTTGTACTTCTCCATTCCTGGAGGTCTCTGGACCTTCAGCTGCTCAAAATTCAATTGCACCAACTTTGACTGAAGTGCACTGCTGATGATCCTTCTCTTTGTGAGCCTTGCCTCTTCCCTATGAGCTACTTTCTGCCTAGACCTCCTCATGGTGCCGTGTCCAGAACGTGGGAGCCACCCGGCTAGGAAACTCAACACTGCTGCCCTCCTAGCAGTAGCAGCAAGCTACAGCTTGCCCCCTTTCAAGGTGTTTGACCCTGTTGGATTTCTCATTGCTCCCCTTCTTGCTTTGTATTTTTTTTGGCAGGAAGAGTCTCTTTTATTTCTGAGCTGATTTGCAGATCAGAAACGATGGACCTCTGTTGAACTCTGAAGCAGTCCTCCCTCTCCACTTGGGACTGCTAGTCCTCTTGCCTTTGGTATAAAGGGGTCCTCCATCTGTCCCCAGGCCCCATCCTCCGAGAGGCCTTCCAGAACCTGAGCATTGTGTTTTTCTTTTTCAATACTTTAGTACCTTAGAAACCAGAAAGTGATAAATGAGGAGAGTAGGTATGAAGTAGAAGAGGATTTTGATGGCCAGCTCGTAAAGTGTAGCGTTAAGTGAAACATTGTGATGTGAACAATTTGGTATTTTTGAAAGTCCTAATGCTACTTGTACCAGGTGAAATGTTTAAATCTCTCTCAAGCCCCTAGCATTTTGATATTCTTAAAAAAGAAAAAAAAAGCCACACAGAAGGCATTAGTCCAGCGTGGTATGTTATTGAAACTGGAACGATATTGCAGCATATCTCCACATCTCCCGTTGACGGCAAAGCTGAGCCAGTGAAACAGGTGTGAGCCTTTGAGACTGCTGGGATAACCCATGCTGTGGAGATGGAAAACTAAACTTTTGAGTGAGTTTTCTGGTTTATTGGGATTCATCCTTGGTATATCAGCAGTTGTGGTTTCAAGGTTCCATATTTTAGTTCTTGTTCCACTTGATGGAACACTTGACATCTATCCTCTTCTGTAACTCCGCAAGAGGGGCATTTGGTTAATGGTCATTTTGGAAAGAAAGCTATTTTGGGGACAGTAATTGCCTGGAGTCTTTATGTAAGAAGAGACCGAAGAGTCTTAGCAAGGAGAAGGTTTCTGTTTGCGGCATTTGGCCCATAGTATAGTACACATTCCTGTTGTGTTGTTTTGTTTGCATCATTGGGCTTAGATGTTATTAGATATTACTAGTCTAATCCAATTCCTTGTTCTTGGAGAATAGGTTTCTTGTTTATCTGAATGGCTTTTCTTTGCGTCACTATGCCAGAATAGTCATTCTTGGACAGAAATGATGGTTTTAAAATCTCTCTTACATTTTAAGACCTGCTCTAGGGGTTGTAAAATAGTACTGCTGTTATTGGGAGGAGTTGGGTAGGGGCCACAGCAGCAGGGAGAGAGAGGCTCCCATCGTACAAACTTGCAGACTTTTATTAAAACGTATTTATTGATTGCAAATTATGTCAACAGAGTGAGGCTTTGGTAACTCTTCAAGTTACTAGTGTTTCCTTCTTTGCATAGTTGTTTCCCATCACCCTTTAAACATCTGCTGCTTCTGGTCTTGTCCAGTCATGCTTGAGTGATCAGCCCCAGAAGTCTGACAGCTCTTCCTGTCTTGACTCAGGACAGTCCAGGACAGCTGAGCTCCCTGCACTGAAACAATGGGACTCCTGAAAACTGCTCTGCTGTTGACATGAGAAGCACATTTCCTCTTTCTTAACTTCCAGAAAGTTACTGTGGTGGCTTTGAAATTTGTTCTGAAACAATAAGCTCAAAGGATTCTGTTAATCTATTCTGATTAATTTAGGAGGCAGCAGCATTCATTATTTGACTTATGTTAGTGGTTAATTAACCAAAGTAGAACATGTTCACTTTTTATAAATTAAATGCTGATAGAGTAACAAAGACGAAATATTTTACAACACAGATCCTTGAATTTGACTCTGAAATATTCTGTTATTTTGCAGCAGTTTCCGGTTTTAGTGACACTTACATACTGTTTCTATTATTAGCAAGTTTTGAATTTAAGTAACTTGAAATGGATATGAAAGTTGTTTCTATAAATAATACAGACTGTACTCATGTGAGAGTTTTTTTTCTTTAATTTCATTGTTGGCCTTGATTGGGGAGAAGATTTATATTTTATGCCAGTCTTTTCTTGTTTAGAATTGGCAAGAATTGGATTGAGTTGTATTAAACTGTTTATGTGAATAGATAGTTACTTTTGAGATGTCTTTGAATGTAGAATATTCTTGCAGCCATTTCTTGATGGTCTGCCTTGACTGTCTTATGGACAGTTGGCATCAGTGACACTTTCATTTATTTACTTATTTATTTTTTTTTAGACAGAGTCTCGCTCTGTCGCCCAGGCTGGAATGCAGTCGTTCGATCTCAGGCTCACTGCAACCTCTGCCTGCTGGATTCAAGTGATTCTTGTGCCTCAGCCTCCAAAGTAGCCGGGATTACAGGCATGCACCACTATGCCTGGCTAATTTTTGCATTTTTAATAGAGATGGGGTTTTACCATGTTGGCCAGGCTGGTCTTGAACTCCTGACTTCCAGCAATCTGCCCACCTCGGCCTCCCAAAGTGCTGGGATTACAGGAGTGAGTCATCACTCCTGGTCAATCAGTGACACTTTTAAATCACTTGTGTCCTTGACTCTTTTTATGTTGTCTTTATGAGGGACAGGCCCTTTATTCTACCAAGGAGACCTCCATAGTTGCTCATTCTGAATTCTTTCAGGAAGATTTGGTTGAGGGTTGTTCATTAGGCTGGGGCCTCTGCCGGGGTGGGTTGAGATTAGATGGATAACAGGAAAATAATCATAGTGCTTCCCAGCCCCTGTAAGTGAGGGGTCTTCTTAGGATAACTTTTTGGCTTGGAGTAAATGTCCCCCCCAAAATCTTAAACTCAGTTTAAGGGTGAAAACTTAAATATAATTTGTTCCTGGACTTTGGGATTCTGTGAACATTTGTTTGCTTCTGTTAGTGATGGTTATGGAGGGTTTAACCGCCCACATTTTCACTACCTTTTTAGCCCAATAAATGGAAAAAGAAAAGGTAGGCAGGGAATTTTGTTCCACTTAAAACATCAGTTGGCCTGTTCGGATTCAGGTGACTCAAGGTTTGGTAATGAAGCTAGAGAAGTCTTGTGCAGATACACTCAAACTTCCTGACTGTGCAGTTCAGGGAATTGTAAGTAGAGCCTGAGCAAGGAACACCTTGATTGTTGGAGAGGAAAGGTGGAAGATGAGCACTCCCTAATCCTCCTCTACTCAGTTTCTTTAGGGTTAAATGGGCATTTATTTAAATGTAGGATTCTGCTTGCCTGAACTCCCAAGGTTCTGTTAATTGAATTGAATCCTTTCTATCCTGGGCTTCCTCCCGCACCATAGCAGATGTGAGGATATGGAGCATAATGCAGTAGTGCTCTGTACTCTGTGTTATGCAATTTGAAAAGTGCCGTTCTAGCCCGAAAATGTTAGTGCATTGACTCTCTTTCACATGAAAGGCCTTAAAGTTTACCCCTGGAAGTCAACCTAGGGTGGCACAGAGGCAGAGACCCATTACCACCATCAACCCTCTGGCCCTTTTAAAAGGTGGGGAGAGGCTACTGTGAACACTGAAGACAGCACTTTAGTTGGATGGACTTCATAATTAATGTCTCATTAAGTGAAGACTTCCGTTTCATTTGGCTTTCCAGACCATTCGGTAGAAATGCAGAGGAATGGAGGGAGAACAGTGCATCTCAGTTGGCAGGCAGGAAGAGCAGATGTGGAAGAAGCAACAAAGATTTTCTCCAAGCACTTGAGCCGTGCTTTAGGTATAGATGGACTGTCTTTGGGGCCATCCTAGTAATCAACATGGTTAATGGCAGCTTCTCTCTCTGTCCTTGAGTCTTTTAGCAAAAATAAGTTTTTATTTGACTCCTCAAGCAAGGGTACCCAGCCTTGGAGAGGAGATGAAATTAAGATAAATCTTTATTTTTTCTTATTTGTATTTGAAGGGGAAGTTTAAAACTAGTCATGTAAATAGCTGTTTGGCTTATCTGGACTTTCCAGTCATTTTTGTTTTCCTTCCTTTCACGGATAATCAATCTTTCACTATCTGTTCGTATTTGCTTCTTATTGTGGTCTCCTGCTCCGCCCTGCCCACTCCCACTTTTTTTTTTTTTTTTTTTACTTTGTTCTGAGCCCTTCTCAGGCAGAGGAGGTCAGGCAGGTACACGTGCCTTTGGGAAGAAGGTGGTGGAAAAATATGGAATAATGAGCCCTTCTGACTTTGGATTCAGCAATTTAACATTGGTGCAGTAGGTGGAGTTATTCTTGGAGTCCCAGTTTGAAGATTGCTGTGCAGAAACCCATCTGTGCTGCTGGTTGCCAACATTTCTGGTACAAATATTGTCATTTGCTCTTGAGGCAATCTGCTATTTCAGTCCTAGATGCAGTTTTGTAATATGCTGGGTAAAATAGCAGACAAAAAATATCTTAAGTGGTGGTATAATCTTCAGTTTAAAAACACTTTAGCAATGTTTCCAGTAGAGGATTGTTCAACGTGTCTCCTTTCCTTGGCTGTAAACATAATCTAAATTCATTTTTCCTCGTTTGCCTGAGCCACGGTTCCCTTGTGCTGACTTTGCATGTCAGTAACTTCCGTACCCATCAGAGAGGAAAGACAGAGGGGCAGTCTTGTGCAGGTAAAAGGTTTAAGTAGTAACATTTCCTTAAGATTGCACCCTGTAGAGGTTTAGCATTCCATGATCATTCTGTTGATAAGCAAATGAGAAATGAGTAACTTGCTCAAAAGTTACTTGGTTACAAAAATTGTCAAAACTGATACTACACACTATTTCCCATTTGGTACCTTTTATCCCTACACACTATTTCCCATTTGGTGCCTTTTATTCCAGACTGCAAGAGTCATATCTTCTGTGCAGGCTGCTGAACAGCTTCACAAGGGGGTGCCTCTGTTGCCTGTGAGGAGTAGGTGTTCTTGATGGGATTGGGGTCTCCCTGGAAACCCGGGGATGGGACTGTGCCACCATTTTATTGGGCTTTTGTTATTAAGCCCTTCTTAGAGAGAGAAAGCATATCCTGTAGGAAGTAGTATGTTTCCTTCTGTTTCTGTGGCTTTCTCAGTTTCTTCCCATCTTGATGCATAGTGAGAAATCCATTTTACAGTATGACTCAGTGCACATATGCACACAATGATAGAAGAGTTTTACAAAATAGTACTGTGCTTAGCCATTTATGTAAGACTGTTTTGTTATTATTTACAGAAATGCTAGCCACAATCCTCTCAATTGGTTTCACTATTTTATGGATTGTGATCCAGAGTTTTAGCCTGAGGGCTTTCCCACATTCTTTCAAGACCTTTGTGTCATGGCAGCAGCCTTGAAGTTAGGGGAAACAGGTAGATGAATCCATATATGGAGAATTGGCCATATATGGGAAATGAGGAGGGAGTTCACAGGTCAGTCACTTGAACACACAATGATTTGGGCTGAGCCAGTTTTTAAGTAGCCCCTCTCTGGATTGGTCTCAAACATGGAACTAGTTAAACTTACGTACTAAATCAAACAGACCCAAAAGACACCGTTTGTTTTTTAAGTCTTGCTGGCACAGACTAGCTAGGATAGGGTTTTTCATCCATCTGGACATCTTGTCGTTTAGCTTTTGTATACAACCCTTGAAAATGGGCAGCTGCTGGGTCCACTTTCCTGGATGAGGTTTCTTGCTTCTTTCTTTTGAGATTAACCTGAGTAGGGCTCACCTGAATCAATTATTTCCGCAGAAGCTTTCATCTCATGAAAGCGCATTCCACTTTTCATGTCTTCAGGGCAAATACGAATTGCACTTCCACCCTGAAGTCAGAACTGTAAAGGAATTTTAGGTGTTATCAATGTTTGATAAGAAGTGATTACCCTTTCTCTGCAGAGCTGGAACAGCTGAAGCTGGTGTGATCTGGCTGGGAGAAGGCTGTGCTCTGGAATAGTGTCCTTTCCACTGAGTCCCTGACTTGCCTGTTGGCATATGGAGCAGTAATCTTTTCAAAACTCCATTGTGAAGTTGGCTGTGTGTGTGTGTGTGTGTGTGTGTGTGTGCGCGCGCGCAGAGGAAATACTTACATACTAAAGGGGAAAGCGGGGGAGGAAAATTCCAGGAAATTGCAAGGTGAGGTTGACATTCCTTATTCTCTTAACTCTTGCTTCTGTTTTTCTTTCTGAAAAACAATGATGACTTAAAATTTGATCCCAGAACCAACTGGCTTTTTATCCGTAAGATTACAGTTGTGTTTTTTAGACATCCTTTCATAAATATCTAATGAATTGCCTTTTATTATTTGGTGTTAATGACCAAAAGTACCACTAACATAGTGTTTCTCATACTTGCCTGTCATATAAGATACTTGTTAAGAATATTCTGGGACTTCATCTTCCTCTTGTTAAATCAGAATCTACCTGGAATAACATAGTTACCTTATTTTCTTAGAATAGTAGAACTGAAAAGAATCTTACACATGAAAGTAGTTCAGGTGTTCCCAAACCTGGCTCCAGTACCATGACTGCTTTAATAGATTGCCAAGCTGCGCTTCATACCTAGTGAATCATAACATCCGAAGCTTCCTAGAAGAGTCGGACCATTAGACTGGAGGGATAACTACTCGCTTATTCGGTTGCCTTCAGGAAAGGGGAATTTATGTGCTTGGTTATTGGGCTGATTAATAGCAGGACAAGAAATCTTATTGTCTCTGTAGATTCATCCAAATAATATCCAAATATATATATAATGTTTGTTTGAGATGGGGTCTCACTTTGCCCCCCTGGCTGGAGTGCAGTGGCACAATCACAGCTCACTGCAGCCTCAACCTACCCGGGCTCAGGTGATCCTCCTACCTCAGCCTCCTGAATAGCTAGGACTATAGACACGTGCCACTGCATCTGGCTTTTTTTTTTTTTTTTTTTTTTTTTTTTTTTTGCATTTTTTGTGGAGATAGAATTTCTCCATGTTGCCCAGGCTGGTCTTGAACTCCTGGGCTCAAGCCATATGCCTACCTTGACCTCCCAAAGTGCTAGGATTACAGGTGTGAGCCACCATGCCCAGCCCCAAATAATATTTACATTTCAGGTACTGACTAGGTAGGTGAGTGGGGGCAGTTTTGAGATGGGTGAGCAAGGTCTCTCTGCCTTGGAGGTATATGTGGATTGTTATTCAGCCTTTCTCAAGGGATGAGTTTTAGAGAGTGGAATTAGACTCACTTGAGGAGCTTTTTATTAAAAAAAATTCTAATACCCATATAAGACTGCAAACTTAACTGATAAATGTTTGTTCTCACTGCTCCACCAACCTGCCATTCCCCATCTGTCTCCCCCTCTTCAGGGTTCCCTATCCCTGAGACAAAACAATATTGAGATTAGGCCATTAAAACCCCCACAATGGCTTCTACATGTTCAAATAAAAGGAAGAGTCACACCATCTGATCTCACTCACTGTAAATCAAAGGCTAGAAATGATTCAGCTTAGTGAGGAAGGCATGTATAAAGCCCAGATTGTCCAAAAGCTAGGCCTCTTATGCCAGTCAGCCAAGTTGTGAATGCAAAGGGAAAGTTCTTGAAGGAAATTAAAAATGCCATTCCAGTGAACACAAATTATAAGAAAGCAAAACAGCCTTATTGCTGATCTGGAGAAAGTTTTAGTGGTTTGTATAGAAGATCAAAACAGTCACAACATTCCTTTAAGCCAAAGCCATGTTCAGAGCAAGGCCGTAACTCTTAAATTCTGTGAAGGTTGAGGGAGGTGAGGAAGCTGCAGAAGAAAAGTTTGAAACTAGCAGAGGTTGTTGGTTCATGAGGTGTAAGGAAAGAAGCCATCTCCATAACATGAAAGTACAAAGTGAAGGAGCAGCAAGTTATCCAGAAGATGTAGATAAGACCATTGATGAAGGTGGCCACACTAAACAACAGATTTTCAATGTAGATGAAGTGGCATTCTATTGGAAGAAGATGCCATCTAGGACTTTCATAGCTAGAGAGGAGAAGTTAATGCCAAGCTTCAAAGAACAGGTTGTGATTCTCTTATTAGGGGGGTAATGCAGCTGGTGGCTTGAAGTTGAAGCCAATGCTCATGGACCATTCAGAAAATTCTAGTGCCCTTAAGAAGTATGCTAAATCAACTCTATCTGTGCTCTGTAAATGGAACAACAAAGCCTGAGCGACAGCACATCTGTTTACAGCATGGCTTACTGAATATTTTAAGCCCACAGTTGAGACCTACTGCTCAGGATGAAAGATTCAAAATATTAAACTGCTCAATGATAATGTACCTCCTCACACAAGAGCTTTGATGGAGATGTACAAGCAGATTAGTGGTGTTTTCTTGTCTGCTAACACAACATCTGTTCTGCAGCCCATGGGTCAAGAAATAATTTTGACTTTCAAGTCTTATTATTTAAGAAATATATTTTATTAAGGCCCAAGTTGCCATAGTGATTCCTCTGATGGATCTGGGCAAAGTAAAATTAAAAATCTTCAAGAAAGGATTTAGCATTGTAGATGCCATTAAGAAATTTGTGGTTCATGGGAGGAGGTCATAATAGCAATATTAATAGAAATTTGGAAGAAGCTGATTCCAGTCTTCATGGATGACCTGGGAGGGGTTCAAGATTTCAGAAGAGGAAGTAGATGCAGATGTGGTGAAAACATCAAAAGAACTAGAATTAGAAGTGGAGCCTGAAGATGTGATTGAATTGCAGCAATCTCATGATAAAACTTGAACTCATGAGGACTTGCTTCTTACGGATGAGCAAAGAGAGTGGTTTCTTGAGATGGAATCTACTTCTGGTGAAGATGCTGTGAATGAACATGGTTGAAATGACAGTAAAGGCTTTAGAATATTACATAAAGCGGTGGCAGGGTTTGAGAGGATTGACTCTAATTTTGAAAGAAGTTCTGCTGTGAGTAAAATGCTATCAAACAGCATCACATGCTACAGAGAAATTTTTCGTGAAAGAAAGAGTCAATCAATCAGGCAAATTTAATTGTGTTGTTTTAAGAAATTACCAAAGCGATCCCAGCTTTTAGCTACCACCACCCTGATCAGACTGCAGTAATTAACATTGAGGCAAAGGCCCTCCAGCAACCGATCACAACTCGTTGAAGGCTCAGATGATTATTAGCATATTTTAACAATAAAAGTTTTTAATTAAGATGTGTACATTATTTTTTTAAAATATGGCTATTGCACACTTAATAGGCTACAATATAATGCATACCTTTTATGCACAGGGAAACAAAAATTTGTTTTTACTTTATTGTGATATTTGCTTTATTGTGGTATTCTGGAAGTGAACTTGAGGTATCTCTAAGGTAGGCCTGTATTTCATACATGAAGAAAGGCATAGAGACCAATATAATTAGTACCCATATTCTACCTCTCTGTTTTAGCTATAAATATAATTCTTCCCCTCCTTGTCCCAGAGGTAGCCACTAATTCCAGAGTTTGTGTGTTGAAGGGCACCTTTCCTGCCAGAAGCCCGTACCCTGGCTGTGCTGATAGATGGGGTCCACAAATTCTTTGTAGGATCCCCTTTTTAAAAAAAGCTTTACATAAATGTTATCATTTAAGGTAAACACCATTCTGTAACTTGATTTTCTTTAATAAAAGTCAGCATGATATTTTTGAGATGTATTGTTCTTACATGACCAGATATGGCCCCATACTTAATAGTTAAATCAGGAAATTGAAGCCAGACAGCTTGAAAACCTTCTTAATGGAAAAAAATGCAAGAAGTGGGTGGGATAGAGTTTCTGTTGAATTTTTGTATAGAACATTGTCATTTGTGGGAAACTAGTTGATTTGAATTCTGTGTTATTTTGAATAGCCTAATAACAGCTTAATGAGGATTAATTGCATGTTGTATGGAAAGTTAATTGTTTTAATTTACTATGGGTGTAGTTACTGCAGTTTGGTTCAAACAGGTGAAAGTTAAGATTTGTAGCATAAAACAGGAAGCAGATGGGGGCTAATTAAAGTTCTGTTGATGATAAAAGGATGACTGATCAAGGAGCGAGCAGCTGGTTTCTCAATTTAAACACAATTTGTACTATTGTATGAAGACAGCCCTCTGCAAGTTCTCATGAGTATCTTTCAAAGGTGAAGGCATGTGTTCCAGCAACAAGTGTGAAGGCTGTTGTGGCCCTGTTTGTGCTCGCTCCCCTTTTTTGCCTTCAAGCAGTGTCACTTCAGGTTTTTCCAAAAAAGGGGGTTAAGGGATCACAAAACCTGGCCAGATTTTCAGTGATGCTCTCTGGACACCTGTTGTGTCCCAGAAAAGTCTAAAGCTCTTTCTGTCTCCAAGAAAAGTGCCCAAGCATTTCATTTCCTTTTGTAGTTTTTCTTACTTATCTCAACTCCGTCTCTTGGCAGGCTTTCCAATGTTGTTGCCCTGACCATAACCCAAGAAGGCCCACATCTAGCTAGCGGAAGCGCCGGGTATTTAAGTGTGTAGGCGAAGGCTAAGCAGTGCTGTAGATACTTTCCTGGAGCCTCACCTTGTTCTTCAGGGTCTTTGAGCTTCTGGCCATGAGATGTTAGGGACTTGAACTTATTTTGCTTGATTGTGTCCTGGATGACTTTCACCTTCAAATGACAGCATCTTTTGTTGCTACTGCTAATAGTGATTGCGTAAACATTGAGGACAAGTGTCCTCTATGTGTTTTGCTTAAGGAACATGCCAGCACTGGGTTTTCTTTGAATGTGTGCAGGGAGGTGACATGAGGTCAGATGAGGTGTGCCTTGCTTGGAGCCAGGGGCTAGACATTTGCTTGAGATTTTGTGCCCATAATATCTAATATTTATAAGTGCTTTGTAGGATTATCTCATTTTAGTCCTTACAAAAATGCTTTGGAATGGAAGTTGTTTATCCCCATTTTGTAGATGAGGAGATTGAAGCCTGGAGAGGTAAAGTGACTCAGCCAAGGTCTCACATTTGCTAAGTGCCAGTACTGGATGTAGATTCCAGGTTTGTGTGACAGCAAGCCCACGCTCCTCAGCCACTAGTTTTGTGTAAAATTGTTGTTCTCTTTCCCCGTCTCCTGCTTAAGGAAAGATATATTGTTTCCTGGAAAAACAAAAATGTTAGCATATAGTTTGCAAACTACAACTTATTATTTGGTTATGCAGGTGTGTGTGTGTTGTATAAACATTATATATATTTCACTTGGATATATTCCACTTGATAGGAACTGCTTTGTTTTTGAATGAATATATGAGAAAGGAAAATGCCTGGGTTTTTGTTTGTTACCCCAATGTAGCAACATTATGAAAGGTAAAATGCTCTTTCTTTAACAGCAGCAGCAAAAAAGACAACATGCAAAGGTAATCTACAAAGTAAAAAGCCCCATTATATTCACCACCTGGAAGCAACATTATTGTATTCATCAAAATTGTCTTGTAAAAGAAGTAATTGACCATACAGAGCTCGTATAATTGGTAATAAAGAGCACCCTGTATTTTAGTTGCAAATAGTGTGCAATAGGTTTCAGGGGTGTCATGATTGATGTTCACTGTCAGGTGTTGTAAATAAACTTTCCAATCCCAGATGGTGTTTTTGCCTAGTTAGGTTCTACACTGATCCCACCACATATTACACTAATGGGGAAACCTTGTGTACAGGTTCCTCATCTTCCAAGCTCTATTGTGGTGACCCTAGAAACTGCCTATGTGCTCACATCATGGCTCCTAACAGCATGAGGAGGAGTGTCACAGCCAAGGCTAGAGTGTTTTCCTGGCCTGGGAGAAGTCTTAGGATTGTACCGCCCCCGCCCCCTTTTTTTTTCATTCTGCTGCCTTCTCAGCAGTCAACTTCAGAATCACTCTTCTCCTGTCTTCTTTCCCCCTTCTTTGCTTGTTCCTTCCTATACCTTGCTTGTCTTTTTACAGAAGCATTTAAGGAGATGGAAAAGATTTGGCCCATTCTTCTCCTGTCATAACTCTGCCTGTGTATTTCTGAAGATGATGTTGACTGTTGGGGAATGGGATGTAGGAGAAAGAGGTCTACTGTGGGTCTTGCTTCGCACGGAGTAATCCGACCTGGCGTGGATTGTCTGGTCTCCTCCTTCATCCATCAAAGAGTAAGGCATGGTTCAATTACTTCTAGCAGCAAGTCCCACAGAACACCTGGGCTTTCTGAGCTACCTAGGGCAGGTGTGTTATTTGGTAGGAAGTTTGGGCAGCACTGGGGCTTTCAGTGAGAGCCCCTCCTTCTACCTTGGCATAATCATAAAATCTCACCAATACGTAGCCCTTTATGCTTTTTGAAGCACTTATACCCATTACAATTCTGTGGGGCATTTAGGACAGACATTGTTTTCCTACTTTATAGACAAGAAAGCTTAGACATAAAGGATGTAAAAATGTGTCCAGTCAGAAAGATAGAGCCAGACTTAGATTTTCTTCCTCATTACCACCGTCTTGCCATTAGATCAGCATTTTCCAAAATGTGTGCTGCTGAACATCAGTTTCATGGTATAGTCTGTCAAGAAGCGCGGGCAAAGAAATGTGTATGTGCGTGGAGGGGTGTGCATGTGCATGCATGTGATCCCACCAACAAAACAAAACAAAGTCTAAGGGAACAGTTTTGCTCTTGTTTGTTTTGTGTTGTTTTGTGTACTCAAGGCTCTAAAAAACTGTACAGTTAGGAATCCTGTTTAATTCTGTGTGGCCAGAGTGTCCCAAAGGTATTTTTTCAGTGAATTCAAATCACCCTAAAAGGAACCATTATTTTGTAGAGCACATGCCGAAGAATGCTTTAGTAGGCCATAGTGTGCTGCTTTGTCCTGAAGCTACTTTGGAGGTGCTACAGGAGACCTCAATGGTTAGAGGAAAATCTGATCTTCAGGGAACTTGCAGGGAAGAGTCCAGAGGATGCTGATACACAGTCAGTGGCTGGGGATGCTTTGGGAATAAAGACTGTCCCGAAGGTGGAGTGGGATGGGAGGCTGGCTGCAGGGAATCTTTGTCATAATGTCACTATAAGCACCATGCCTCCAGGATTTCATACCGAGTAGGAATTTAACCAGAATGCACAAAAGTTCTCAATCTACAGGATCAGCATTCTAGGACCAGTTGTCAGCTTTGTTAGGTAAAGCTCCATGAACTGTAGCCTGAGTGACAGCTGCAGAGTTTATTGGCTTAGGGATGGACTTAAGAAATTTGGACCCAGTACAGCCAGCATGCTGCTGCATCTTGGCCTGAAGTTTGACAAGGCACATTCCCTGAGTGAGGCCATCTGCATCAACCCCCGCTCCACTGCCCTTTCTTTAGTACTTAATGTTCAACTTTGCGTGCAATTTTGCTTTTACTAGATGGCAATTGAGGGAAGGGTGGAAGAGAAGTTGGTGGTAAAGGTGCCAGTCAGTGGGCACATTCTGCATCCATGTTCTTAATCAGCTCTTCTGTCTTTTAGCAGAAATAGAACTTGATAAAACTCTTTTATTTTGAAGTAAGTTTGTTCCAGCCAAGCAGAAAGGATAAATTATTTTGCATTGATATCTGAAACTAAGGAAGCAAGTCTAACCTCCTAAGAACTGGTCATGGATATCACCCTTGATCTATCTTTTCTCCTCTTCTGTTCATTCTGTTTCATTCTGTTATGTTCTGCTTGGCTCTGTTCTGTTCTAGGCATTGAGTATAGATCAAAAAGTTCATGTATAATATTTTTAAATCCCGACGACAAAAACTTTAGATTAATGGAGGTGATTAGTTTACTTAGTTTGGGCTGGTGAGGAGAATAAAATGATCCTAGTAGGAGGAGTGGCTGGAAGAAGTGCTATGAAATAGGAAAAGTTAATAACCTAAGGTGTGGTGTTCCTGTCTGCAGGTATCTGTTAGCTATCCTCCATAAAGTGGTTTTATGTTCTTCTAAAGTGGACAGAGTATTAGACTCTGTGACCCATTCTACAAAATATTTGAACTGTCTGCTAAGGTTTCTTTGTTTGCTAGTAACTGTGAGTTTTAGACCCTGTCTTAAGTTGCATGGCACACACTTGGTTTGTAACAGGAAGGAAAGGAAGCAGTTAGAGGTCAGGGCATCTGGCTGGTGGAAGAAGAAAGGAGGATGGGATCTGTTGAGGGTAAGGTTAACATCACATAAAATGTTTATAATCGAATTCTGTTGTGGGGAGTGCTCATCAACCTTTTAAAAGTTTTCAAGAATTGGACCACTTGTCTTCTAGTATGCATGTGGGCGGGGGGTAATCATGCCTTTCACATTGAGGAGGAGGGGTGGGTGGGTGGGGGGAGTCTGATGCCACTGCAGCTTATCCTCATGCCCCTGCAGTACCCCACAGCCTTGGCCCTGAATCTCCTGTGCATCCACCAGGGTACTGACTAATGCATGAGTATTTTGTTGCAGCTTTATCCATGTTTGTGTGGAACAATCCATGGTTACATTGTAGGCCATTATTTCCTTTAATTTCCTTTTAGCTGTTCAAAACAACCTGAAAGATGTTATAGTTGAGCCTAGACAATGACATCAAGGAACAAAAATAAACCTTCAAAATGTAAGAACCAAATTTTTATGCCAAATCTTGTGAATGATGGATAAAATGTATGAAAGCAGTCAGCTTCATGGAGGGAGACTTTTAAAATCTGTTTTCAAAACAAATGGTCCTGGCCCCAGCATCCTGCCCTCCTTTGGCTATGAAAATATCAGATTATGCCGTAAGTTTGAAAACAATCAAGTATCCTTCAAGTCATGAGACAGAAGCCAAAGCTTGAATCGAAAACCCTGTCATTTTCAGCGAGGGAGACAGGGAGGAGGGCCTGAAGGTAACTTGTTTCTGGAGGCCCTTCTCTCAGCACTAGCTGCAGCAGCTTCCTGTTAGGTGGGAGAAGCACCACAGCCAAGGACAGCAGCTCCTGGAGATGCTTTTACTTATCAAGAGCAATGTAGATGTATGCAAAAATACAGACACCCACTCACAGTTACATTTGTGGATAATCAGAAATATCTTTCTGCTTTCCCAGCAGAGCCCAAACTCTCCTCCTATCATCCAGGTGGGAAGACAGGTTTGGCGCTTTGCTCTAGGTTCTGCATTATAACTTTACTCTGTTGTCCTCTGATCTTCCACTGGCTGTCCTGTGAGTTGCATGTAGGGTAAAAAACATGCTGCTGTGTTAAGGCCCCACCCACCGTACCTCCTCTCTCTCTCTCCTCCCTTTCTGTGTCTAAACTCATACATGGCCATACTGACCTCTTCTCTTTTCTCCAGACATACCTTACTAGTGTTTTTAAAAAAGTTTCCTCACAAACACTAATAGCTCATATTTATCGGACATTCTGCACAGTGGTCAGTAAGTACTGTTAGTATTTCCTTCTTGCAGACAAGGGAACCAAGCCCAAAGATCGCAAGCCATTTATCCAAGAGCACTCAGGCCGTAACTGGGTTTGAACTGGGCCAGTCTGGTTCTAGCACACATGTTCTGCACCACCACATAGTTTGTCTGTCAACATTGGTTCATGCTCTGCCCTACCTCAAGAATTCCCATCCCGTTTTATCTAGCAATCCAAGTCGTCCTTTGCTTCACGTCCCAATTCCAGCGTAGGGCCTTTCCTTTCTTGTTTTGCGTGTGCTGCACCTTAACGTTTCTGTGTTGTCAGCCTTCCGTACATATGTGTAAGACCATGGGAGGCAGGGAGAGCCTTGAGCCTTAATGCCTACTTGTTATTTCCACAGTATACAGTAGGGGCTTAGTAAATAATTGTTCATTGAAAATTACATTGATCGGTATTGATTTGACCAAATCAAAAGATCCTAATTTATGTTATTGAAATGTGAATGGAAATAAATTAACTTCTGAAATTGTCAGTTGATTGAAATACTTTACATTAGGTAGGCCCACAGATTTTCCAGTGACAAAAATGAAGATAAAAATTGATCTTTGGTTTGTATTCCCAATAAAAATAACTGACACAGGGTCCTTTGAGACCCTTCCTCCTTGGTGCCCTTCACTCCACCTACCCCCACCCCTGGCAAGTGCTCTAACACTGACTTGGGCAGGATGAACTGGACATGTTCAGTTCCAGTCCTGATTCTCTGAATGGTCCCTTATTTATTTATTTTTGTCACCCAGGCTAGAGTGCATTGTTGTGAACTTGGCTCATTCCAGGCTCAACTTCCTGGGCTCAAGCTATCCTCCTGCCTCTGCCTTCTGTGTTGCTGGGACTACAAATGTGCAACACCACACCTAACTTTTTGATTTTTTTTTTTTTAATGTAGAGACAGGATGGTCTCATTGTGTTGCCCAGGCTGGTCTTAAACTCCTGTGCTCAAGCAATCCTCCCTCCTTTGCCTCCGAAAGTGCTGGGATTACCGGTGTGAGCCAACATGCCTGGCCCAAATGGTCCTTTTAAAGTCTATCATATATTTCTGTCAGAGACTTCATGAAGATAGACCTCAATATATTGGATAACCATTTTAGTCTTCAAAGTAGCTATAAATTAAGCTAGGAATAGCAAGCAATTTTCGAACAAAATATTTCTTTAAAAGAGTTTTCTAGGTTTGGCTATTTATTATGTGTGATAGATTTTTTAAATGATTAAAATGTGAAACTTTTCTTTTTGGGGGTGGTAGGGTACCACTGAAGAATGATTGTTTTACACTTTGTTCAGTCAACAGCAGTTCTAAGTCATCCATTGCAATCTTAACTAGGCTGTCAGAATTTAGCTAAATTAGTTTTCTCAGTAATCAAAATGAAAATAAATTGAAATACCAGAGACTACATGTTGGTTCAGAGAAAAGTGATCTTTGAGAGTTGAAATGCTGAAGTAATCTGTTAGACTGACCTTACTGCTCATCTCTTTGTTATATAAGTATCTGTGACAGTAGAGCCAATAATTTCTAATAAAAACCTTGCATTTTGTTCTAGAATATCATGAGTTTATAGAATAATTCTCGAATATGCTTGAAATTGGTAGCATTCTTCACATGTATAATCTGTTTTATGTTTTCCAAACATGTTCTCATTTAATCTTCACAATGCACCATTCAGTTATTTGGTACGGAGACACCAGGGCATCATACAGCTCAGATTCACACGCGCAGTAATGATCTAACTTGGACACAGACATACACGCCCTGACTTCTAGTACTCTTCCTACTGGACCATATTGGCAACTTCGTAGTTTTAAGAGAAGTAGAGAAAAGGCATCTCCAAATGTGCTAATACATACATTGTGGTGGAAAACTAACAGCAGGTCAGAGTATCCTTTTTAAAAATTTTTTATTTTACTTTAAGTCCTGGGATACATGTGCAGAGTATCCTTGAATAGTAGCTTGGAAGAGATAAAAAAACGTTTGTACTTGTGTGCAAGATTCTAGCCACAATAGTTGATATTCAGTTCCCTTTTGGAGGAAATTGAAAGTGAAAACGCTGAAACAATGAGGACTAAAATTCCAAAGAGGAGTTTAAGGTGTACCATCGCAAATTATTGGCTTGTGTGGGAGATTCTAATTTTCTGTTGGTTTGAGTCATCCTAAAAAATGGTTCATTTAATCATTCATTCCTTCTGCCTTTGCTAGTTTGCCCGAAGTTATTAAGATTATCTTTGTGTTTTCATCCTCAAACACAAATGTGTATTGCGCATAGCCAGTGTGTTTTAAAAGATCAAGACTTTTCTTAAAATGATGTCGATAACTTCCAAAGGCAACTGTGAGGTTTTTTTGTTTTGTTTGTTTGTTTGTCGTTTTCTTTTGTTTTGGTCTTTGGAGGTTTATAAAGATAGTCTTGTCTTAACGTATGACAACAATATCATCCATGTTTCCAAAAAAGACATGATTCGAACTGCAGCATTAGAATAAAACATTTAATATTTAATACAAGGAACACTGTCCATATGGTAAGGTTTGCTTAGTCATTCAAGTGGGGACCCTCAGGTGGTTCAGGGATCCCTTTTTTCCTACCTGACATTCTCCCTTCTCTCTGGAGCCCAAAGAATTCCTAGTGGGATGTCCTCAAGTCATCTAAATGTGGTTCCAGGGCAGACTCAACTTGGAGCCTTCCAGAATTCCTTTAGCCCAGGAGTGATCTTGGGGAAGCACATTCTTCCTGGGCTGGCTTGCTTTGACCTGAGACTGCATTTAAGCTGAAAGTCCTGGTGGGCACCTCTGACACAGATGTGCCCACATCTGGTGGAGTGCCAGTGACTGCGCAGTGGTGAAAGCTGCTCTGCAGGCTTCTTTTCTGCTCAGTGGGTGCTGAGTTTTCAAACAGACATGAACATGCAGCTCTCAGCACAGGTGCTTCCACTGGGGTGGAAATTTGGCCTTACAAATAAGCAAAATGTAGGCTTCATTCATGTTAGGTGTGTGCTGATGGGGATGTGTGGCTTTAGTGTGGGCACATTGAGGAGGGCCAGGAGGAGTCATGGAGGCTTTTTAGGTATGTTAATGAAAGCAGCATTACTGAAACATTTATGTGAGCTGCTTTTGGAGTCCCCAAACACGCCTGGGCTTCTGGTGATGCTGAGGGAGCAGCAGTTTGTGAGGGGGACCATGTCTTTTGTATTACTTAGAAGGAAGGTGTGGACAGCAGGGCTGTTGCGCAGCAGACCTACTGTGTCTTAGAGTGTAATTGTGCTCTGCCTCCTCAGGTGGATCCCTGATGTCTGTGGGAAGCTGGGCCACAGCCCTGACTTGGGCTCAATCTCTGTGATGGTGGGAGTTTCTCTTTAGCATAAACCTGGGCCCAAATAGTTTTGCTATTATTGGGTCAACCCATTTGGGAAGCTATTTGATTTGAGACAACCTTTGAATAATATTTGGGTGGTATATAAACAAACATATATATTCGGCAGTCTCGAGTCGTTGTTGCATTAGGCTTCCTAGACAGAGTAATGGGCAAGCTGGTGTCAAGATTCTACGTAAACCCTACAGGAAAACCCAACATTGCAGGTAGTGTAATTCAGAGTGTTACACTTTATTGCAGTTTGCTGTTGTTTTTGTAATCTGGATTATCATATCTAGGTCCCAAAATAGAAAAAACACATAAATCTAGACTTGGTACTCTGTTTACTAAGAATTCTTAGTAAACAGACTATGCGAAAAAACACATAAATCTAGACTTTGTACTCTGTTTACTAAGAATTCTTAGTAAACAGACTATGTATCCAATAGATAAATTCTTCCCTAGATTTTCCAGATAGCAAACATATTTAGGATAAAAACAGTTCTACGTAGTACATGCTATGGGTGGGATATTGTCCTAGGGATTTTAATCTGTCAAAGTTTCAGTGTTCTTGCTTCTGAATTTATATCCATAAAGTTTTTCACTGGCTTCTGTAAACAATTCGGGAACATACCTTGAATATACATTTACCTAGCATGAACAGGATTAACAGGCTCATCAATGTAATGCTGACAAAATACTTTAAAATTCACTTTAGTCCTTTAAAATTTTAGAAAGCTTTAAAATGGATCAAAGTATTGGTATGGCTATGCTTTATTTTATGCCTAATTTAAATTCTTCATCAGAAGAGAGTAGATCCTAATGCGTTCTTTGTTTTTGGTTTTAACTTTGTTGTGCCTTAGTCTTCTGGTAGCCAAATAGATAAGGTAGTTAATTGCGTTATAATGCTGTGCGTTTATAGGACCACTGCAGATTAGAAAAATTGTATGGCCTATAAAACAGACAAAGATTTTCATTAGGAACAGCAGAATTACTTCAGCGTCAAATGAGTTTCCTCTTAATATTCTCCTGTGGTGGGGCCTTTTGCATCTGAGACAGCCATTAGGCGGAAGCAGCAAAAAGCATGGGTATTCCAGTAGTTAATTCAGTCGAAGTTTCAGGAAGGCCCCTTTAGGTCACTGATGGGCAAGATGGGGGAGTTGTGGCTGTCTGCTGTGGATTTGGCAGTACCTGGCCTCTGTGCCTCCCTGGGGAGGAGCTGGTGAGTGGGTTAAAGGGTCCCCAGGGGTAACTGCAGGCTGCATCAAAACTAAATCAATCCTAGGGGAAACAAGCTCCACTTTGAAATCCTTGGTAGCCTACAGATCTCTTTTTTTATTTACTTTTTTTATAGTACTTTAAGTTCTAGGGTACATGTGCACAATGTGCAGGCTTGTTACATAGGTATACATGTGCCATGTTAGTGTGCTGCACCCATTTACTCGTCATTTACATTAGGTATATCTCCTAATGCTATCCCTCCCCCTTCCCCCCACCCCATGACAGGCCCCGGTGTGTGATGTTCCCCTTCCGCCTACAGATCTCTTCAAACAAGGCATTTAGAAGAATTTTAGCTAGATGAAATTTAGTCTCTGGATATCCACCACAGGGACCTTATTAGCTAGGGTTGATGACATTCATTTGAGAGCTGGCCTTGTTTGGGTTGTGTGGTATCATTAAACCCAAGCGTATGACAGTGTGAGATAGTTTCTGTTTTCCAGGCTTTGCTTAAATAGGGGTCCACATTAGCACCTGATACAGAGGGGTTATAGAAGGAAAGTGATTAAGATGAATGCCTTGTGATCTGGAGCTGGTGTCTAAGGGGATTGCTCGTTTCTGCCTCACCTGGATTGTTTTGGGATTTGTCTTTTTGGGGTAGTTTGTTTCTGATAGTGCATAGAGCCCATAGTATTGAATGGTACAGGAGACTTCCATTTCACTTCCTGAAAATTAAAGGGCTTTGCCCTTCCTTTCACAAAACTGTAGATTCCTTTAATACAGGGTTCTCATGTGGGACACAGTGAAATTTTGTAGTGCTGCTTTTTAATTACTACCTTCTGAAATGCAAAAGCTTTGGTATGGTGTAATATCATTAAGTACATTTTCTGTTCTGTCCCTGAAGGGGTTTTCTTCAATCCTAAATGTATGAGGTTATTGGCTGAAATGTTACTCTGAAATATTTAGACCTTTGGCTAATAAAGATCAGACAAACCAGAGAACATCCTCCGTTGTAAAGCTTTCTGCCCCCGGTCTTGTGGGCTAGTGGTGGCCCCCTTCTTCCTTCTTTGTTCCTCAATACCGTAGTCCCATTTACTTGTAACGCACCTCTTTTGTCCTGTAGTACGTTCTTACACTCCTTGACCTCCTCACCTCTTAGGGGTCTTTTTTTTATTTTATTTTATTTTTTTTTTTGGAGACAGAGTCTTGCTCTGTTGCCGGGCTGGAGTGCAGTGGCGCGATCTTGGCTTACTGCAACCTCCGCCTCCCGAGTTCAAGCAATTTTCTTGCCTCAGCCTCCCAAGTAGCTGGGATTACAGGCACGTGCCACCACACCCGGCCAATTTTTGTATTTTTAGTAGAGGGGGTTTCACCATGTTGGCCAGGATGGTCTCCATCTCTTCACCCTCGTGATCTGCCTGCCTCGGCCTCCCAAAGTGCTGTGATTACAGGCATGAGCCACTGCGCCTGGCCTAGGGGCTCTTTTAGAGTTTGTTTTCCATAAAGTAAATAGTCATGGGTGACTAGTGTTTGTGAAGAGATGAGAAAGAACATCATTCTAATAATCACCATCCTGGATATAATTTGTCATCAGTCCAGGTGCAGTGGTGCAGGCCTGTAATCCCAGCACTTTGGGAGGCTGAGGTGGGAGGATCAGTTGAGGCCAGGAGTTGGAGACCAGCATGGGCAGCATAGCAAAACCCAATCTATTTAAAAAATTGTTTAAATGTAAAAATTAATCTATTATCAGACAACTGCTGTATCTCCCTTAACTTGAACAACATCCTGGACACACGTGTTCTGACATAGGTCACCTCAAAAACCGACAGAATATGCTAGTTAAATGCTCAAATTCTTTCATTTAAAATTTTCTTAACAGGGAGAAAACACAATTTTTCTGTAAATGACGGATTGCAGCTCGGTTGTGAGGACATTGGAAATAAGCCTGAGGAAGGCTGGCTGCCTTTAAACAGGAAGTTTGTGATGAGTGACTTTTAATCAAGTTACAACCATTCATAATGGCTTAAAAAATTGTTGTTTATGTATTCTTTCACTTCCTAAAACAAAATAGCCAGTGTTTATTGTCATTGTGTCAGGTGATGCACCAGGCAACTTCATGTATATCATGTATATCATGCCATCCGTACATGTAACTGTTTTACAGATGTGAAAACAGGCTTAGTGATGAGATCCAGGACCTACTCAGAAGGGCCCAGCAGTAACTCTGCCTCCAGAGCCGGCACCTCCGGTTCTGCCTCACAGTGTACTTCCCAAGTCCATGAAGCTTCTCCTGACACCTATGAGTTCTTCCATTTGTCTTTTTAGTACTATTTGACATGCAAGCATAATCTCCTACATTCCTTTTGCAGTGGATAGTCATATTTTCCCTTCCTTTGGAATGACTGACTAGAGTTAGAGATAAAGCTGTGTAACTAAATTTGTGTCTATAGCGGTTTGAGACCATAGGTAAGGATTGGCTTGGCTAGGGGAGGAATATTGCATGTTCTTGGTACTTGTTTTACATTTCTTCCAGTACTAAAGCTCCATGTGGTTCTATTTTTTGTAAATGAACACCCATAAGTTTCCCATCTGCGTTGTAATCTCTCTGAACTTTGTTTCCCTAACATAAAACAAGAGCGTTAGACCAGATGACCTTCGAAGTACCTTCCGGTTTTACCAGGCCGCCAGTCTCTGTCCACAGCCCTGGGATCAGTGGAGATGCTTTAAGACCTCTGCACAGTGGGGGTAGCAGTGGGGGGTATAGTGGTCTTTGAGGATATTCGGGCAAGAAGGAAACGATTCTGGGAAATGAACCAGCCTTATGGAAGGATCTAGGGTGTAAGCATGTAGATTAGCTATTCTCAGCAGATCTTGTGTTAAACACTTTCTAACATTGATTTACATACTGTCTATTGCTAACGTGTGTCTACTGACAACTCTTGTAAAAAAAGGGTTGGCAAAAGGTCATGTTTTCCTTCTGTTTGCAAACAAAATGGATTATTTTTAAAAGTTGTTGTTTTATTAGTAACTCTTAATGGGAACTCTGTTGAATAGATTTTCCTAGTTCAGTTTGTTTTCACTTGTGGAAGTGCAGGAAGAGCTGGTGTAAAAGAGAGGAAGGAGGAGGGAGGGAATAAAGGCCATGCCGGGAGCCTGCATAACAATCGCACACATTGAGAAAGTTCACAGAAATTAGATTAAATGCTTTGGGAAAATGTAGTTTGTCTAGCATTTTGAAAGAATTTCTAGAATTTCTGGGACAATGAGTTCATTTAATCATATGTTCCAGTTTCTGAGTGTGAAGTTCTTTTTGTTGGATTTGGTGGCTGTTGCTCACACCTTCACGCAGGGTGGTGGGCAGTTCTAGGTAGCTGGGGGTCTCTGGGGACCTTTCCGCTTTCCCTGTGAGTCCCCACAGGTTTTCCCTAGGATGATGCTCACATCTGAAATGCACGCTTCAGCTGCTATGGATTCCTGCCATAAAGAAGAACCCACTAGAATAAGAGCAAATCACATTGTGTAAATTTTTTTTTTTTAAGACGGAGTCTTGCTCTGTTGCCCAGTCTAGAGTGCAGTGGTGCGATCTCGGCTCACTGCAACCTCTGCCTCCCAGGTTCAAGTGATTCTCCTGCCTCAGTCTCCCGAGTACCTGGGACTACAGGTGCCCACCACCATGCCCAGCTAATTTTTGTATCTTTAGTAGAGATGGGGTTTCACCATATTGCCCAGGCTGGTCTCGAACTCCTGATCTTGTGATCTGCCCTCCTCAGCCTCCCAAAGTGCCAGGATTACAGGTGTGAGCCACCACGCCCGCCCACATTGTGTAAATTTATCACCTGTTAAGGCAGAAAATGAGCTTTGTAAACTAGTAAGCAGAATTATTTCTGCTCCCTCAAGGTGCACACAAGTAACCTCAGCCTTAAGTATGTTCCTTTGATTCTTCTTAACAGTGGTGAAGGCAAGGGGATAGTTTTTTCAGCCAGCAGTGGGGTTGCAGGTAGAATCACAGAGCTTTGCTTTGAACCCTAACTGGACAGATCATTTTCTGAGTCTTAATTTTTCCTTTTCCATTTCTAAAGTGAAGCCAGTAATACCTGCCTTATAGGGCTGTTGCAAGGATGGAATGAGATGTATTGACAGCAGTAAACTATAAAATACATAGTTTATATAATAAACTATGAAATAAATACAAAAATATAAAACACGGGGTATGAAGGCCATCTAAGGGTTTCATGAGCAAGGTGTATTCAGCCTTAAGTTGAGGTTTTGCATTATTTTTGGTTAAATATAAAGACCAGGGTAATCATAGAACTGCCAAGCAGAAAGAAATGTAGAATGTAGCAGTGGTGTGGAGACCCGTGGCTGACAGGTGGTGGTCTTCATATAGGCTGAGGGACAGGCTAGATGCATGTCAAGTGGCAGCTCAGGTTGGAAGACAGGAGTTGGGGATGTGAGAGTCCAGGCCAGGGTGAAGAGAAGTGGCTGGGAAGGCAGCCAGGCTCAGCTCTTAGGAGGCAGAGAGCTGCAAGCAGAGGGTGGGACCAGGTCTCTTTTTTCAACCCAGTCTTGAGGGATGGGGGCAAAGTCAACCTAGACTTGATTTAGAGCTAGTTCTGTTCACTTGATCATCTTTATTGGGCCTTCAGGCTCCTAGAAGACTACCGTGATAGACTGACTAGTGGTCTGTAAATGGTTTTTATTAAAAAAATCACATACCCTTTTTGATAAAACATGTATTTGTTTATACACTTTAAATATATTGTGTAATTATATAATACATTCACAAATAAGAATTTTAAAAGAATGAGATAAAAAATTTAAAGTAGGCCAGGCGCAGTGGCTCACGCCTGTAATCCCAGCGCTTTGTGGAGACTGAGGCAGGCAGATCACGAGGTCAGGAGTTCGAGACCAGCCTGGCCAACATGGTGAAACCCCGCCTGTACTAAAAATACAAATAATTAGCCAGGCGTGGTGACAGGTGACTGTAATCCCAGCTACTCAGGAGGCTGAGGCAGGAGAATCGCTTGAACCTGGGAGGCAGAGGTTGCAGTGAGCCAAGATCAAGCCACTGCACTCCAGCCTGGGCAACAGAGTGAGACTCTGTCTTTAAAAAAAAAAAAAAAATGAAAGTCAATGAAAGTTGTAAAGATTTCATCCTGCACTTCAGTGGCTGATGATTGCCTTAGACAGTGGGTCTGGGAGCATCCTGGGGAGGGCATGTGTCCTCAGGGGTCTCTGGGGACCAGCCTCAGCACCTCACTTCTTCCAGCCACAGAGACAGAACATCAGAACCATCCTTCATGGAGCTTCCCAACTGGCCTGTTGAGGTCCCTGCTCTGCCAACCCCTGCTGCTGCTCTGCACATGCTGGCTGTGTCCAGAGCTCGGAGGCCCCTGGCCCCAGCAATGTGTGATGCCTGCACATGTGGCTTGGCTGCAGCACCTTGAGAAGACTTAAATATTCTAGTGACATTGGCTGACCAGGGCACTGACAGCCTCACCTTAGTATTTGAATCAGTTCTGAGGCAATATCTAGTGTCAAGAGAAAAATGAACTGTTTTTCCCAAACCAGTCAATCTTTCCAGTAATTAACATATAAAAAAGCCTCATGTTAAGTGAGAGCAGTGCAGTGTGTGGTTATAAAGAAATAAGACTAATGTTTATGACATACATAGGTCTGTAAAACACAGACATATGTTATTTTATGGATGCTATTATGCCAGTAGTGATAACAGTAACATTAGCTAATAGAGATTAAGGTAAGCCTTTCCACGCATACTATCTCATTTAATCTTTGCACCAACTTTGTAAATGTAGGAAATACTAATCTGTTCAACAGATACTTGAGTGCCCCTATGGTGTTGGTGCTGTGAGGATACAGTGTACAAGAAGACAGACAAAGGTCCCTGTGCTCACTTGAGCAGCTCACAGTGTAGTGGGAAGTCAGGCATGCCCCCCCACCGCCCCAGGGATCAGACATAGTGGAATCATAAAGAGGGGTGAGTAAGTAAGGTCCCATGTTAGAGCTGCAGGATGGGATGAGGTCATCAAGAAATGCTTCTGGAGGGGCCAGTTGGGCTGAGACAGAAGCTGGGGCATGGAGGGCAGGGTGGCAGCCTTTGGAGAGAAAAGGTCCGTGTTCCTGGACAGTCTATGGGTTGTGTCATCCTATTAAGTGGCTCTTTACGTGTACTTATTTTCTCCCCAGGTAGATCAAAAGCTTCTGGAGGGCATGTTCTGTGTCTCATTCCTTCATGTCTTTCGCTACTCCTTCCACAAAATAGTTTCCAGTAAATGTTAGTTGACATGAATTGGTACTCAAATGGATGGTTAAAAGATGTGTATTGTGTAAGACACCATATCTTCCTTGTAATTTTTTTGGGGGTCAAGCAACAAACAGTTATTGAGGCTATGATATTAGAAATTAAAGACAAGCTTTAGCCCATTTGCTCTTTAAGGAACTCAGAATCTGAACATAGAACAGCCAGCAGAGCAGGTTGAACAAGCAAGTACACCATGTCGGGGTTCCCCGACTACACCATGTCGGGGTTCCCCGACTCCCCCATCTGTGGAGCTCATTGGGTCAGGCTTCCCAGGAAGCACATGCTGCACTGCTTGGGGTGGCCAGGCATGCAGATGGCAGATGGGGTGTGTGCAGAGGCTTGTGAGTGGGGCTGCAGAGAAACAAGCTAGTGGAGAGGAGATTGGCTGGCTTGTGTTTCTCTAGTGCCGTCATGTAGAAACGCTGGATTTGGGCAAGTGATTGACAGGGCATGAACCTCTGTCCTGACATCCTGCCTCTGTCCTCAGGTAATATTTGTTGAGAGTTCAAGGGCATAATATTTCAGAGCCCAGCAGTCTCACGCGGCTCTGCTGCGAAGTCCTTCTGGTGAACTGCTCTTCCATCCAGCCTCTCCTGTGGCCAGTAGGGGAGTGCAGACACAACGTCGTTAATAGCAACACATTTTTACAAAATTTACCTTTTCAAACCCCACCCCCTAGAAACCGTAGCTTCTTTAATGTCCCGCTGGCTGTGTGAAAAACAGGAATTTATGTAACAAGTCCTGCACAGCAAACCTTTTCCTGTTCGGAAAAAATTTTAATTGTTGGCAAAGTTAGGAAACAGCTCTGTTACTCAAAGAGCGACCTGAAATGTCCTCTTAGAAAAATATGTAATATGATGTTTTGATAAGTAGGAGACTGCTGTGGCTTTTTTTTTTTTAAAGTCTAAATTAGTATATGTCCCACCTGAGTTAGTGAACGCTTCTTGAATGTTTTAAAGATTTCCTTATTATGTCTCCTGCAGTCTTTTTAAAAATGACCCCCAGCTGGGCTTGCCAGTGATCTGACAGGCTTATCATGAATGTTAGAGAGCTTCACCCCCTCTCCCCAAGTCAATGCAACAACCAGGAAGCTTCTATCTGGGAAGATCTTTCTTCCCCCTTTATCATTAACTAAATGTGACAGGGACAGGAGTCAAGCTTCCTCTCCTCCAGAGATTTCATCGGAGCTTATCTGTGTGTCTATTGTGTTCAAAGAACAAAACTGTCATGATGGAATATTGTGCAAATGCCTGGACTTCCAGTGTATAGAAAATGTCAGGGTCAGACTGCAGGGCTGCATTCCAGTGCTACCCCAAGTGCGGGCCTGCTGATCTTAAGGAGGAATTAAGAACTCGGTTCGGCTGGGGTTGGTGGGTACAGCAGACAAGGCTGTGGCTCTGTGAGCATACATGTGTGTGTGTGGCGCCTTCCCATAGGAATTTGGGGATCTTAGGGGAATGCAATAGGATGGGAGGGAAATGTACTCCCTGGCCTCTTTTAGGGATTCTTGTACCTACTCTAAGCCCCTGGCCCTCCTCACAGCGTGTCTCGAGGTGAGGGTAGATCTTGGGTGTGGAGGAAGGTGGGGATTCTTGGGAACAGGAGACAGTCACTGCCATCACCACACACCTGCTCCGTTCCAGCCGGGAATCTGGGGCTCCGGTGGTGTCTTCCCCGCTCTCACACTTCACTGTATGCTCTGGCAGGAGGGCTTGTCACGTAGCTGCTGTGTTGAAATCTTTAGGCGGAATGCAGTACAGAGAGTCAGAGGGCGTTTTGAAATGTGGATTTCTCAGCCCTGACTGCTGGGCCTTACCCTGACTTTTGCATCTCCCTTTAGAAAGTGAGACCCCTCCATTTTCTCTCTTCTACCACCTTTTAATGAGAGAAGACTTCTCTCCCAGTTTGTGTTGGAGCCAGGCCTCATCCTGCTGTGCAGAGGCTCTGCTCAGGCGCAGTGGTTGGCACTCGGGCCCGGGCGTCCCATGTCAATGGCATGAGGATGTGGGCGCTGTGGCTGCACCCCTGGGTGACCACAAATCCAGCCAGAGCCTTTTTGTGGTTGAGAAGAGGGGCCGCAGAGATGCAGGGGGCATGGTCAGCTGAGCCTTGCATCCAGTTGGCAGAGGAGGCCAAGAAAGCTGGGAGACTGTGCACATTCCAGGGTCTTAGGGCACCCAGAATCCCACTCCTTGGGAGCAGACCTCTGAGGAAAGAGGCTGCTGAATGAACAAGGTGTAGTGGCTGTGTGCCCTGTACTGTGCTGGGGGCCAGAAGCTATAAGACAAGGCCCTTCCTTCTGGGGAGCTCACAGCGTTTCCCTCGTCTCCTTTTCCACGTGTCCCACGGACTCCCCTGAACACCATCTTACTCTGTGTTGTAGAGGAGGTGAATCAAACCATGGCTTTCTCATCTGCAGCCTGGCTCTGGTGTTTCTGCTGAAACTTGGAGAGACCACCTCTGGCCCCTTTCACCATATATTTGCAGTTGTGGGTTTGTATCTGTACTACTTCTAAGCTCCTATACATACCACACTGAATAGGAATAGAGAAGCAGGACTTTGGGGCGCAGGATACCACTATTCTAAGTTGGGGTCTAATATTCCCTTCATGGTGACTGCTTACATGCCAGGCACCGCTGAGCATTTTTATGTATCTCATTTAGTACATGTAACAACCCTGATAAGGCTCTGTAATTTAGCCCTGCTTTACAGGTGAGGAAACTTAAGACACATTAGGGGCTAGGCAGCTTCCCAAGGTCACCTAGGTAAGTAAGTAGCAGAGCCACCCAGGAAGTACTCAAAAGAAAGATTGTTGGTTTTTCTTCCCTAGTTGGCCTAGGGATGATAAACATGGCATGATTAGTTATGAAGCTGCGGTAGCTTGAGAGTTAGAGCTCTTTGCGTTCTCTGTCATTTCTTCCCATCCCAGGTTGTCTGTTTGGACAGTGTAGCCCCTGGCTACGTGGAGGTGTGTCATGGAGTTAGTTGGTGCATCCTGCTCATACTACTGGTCATTGGTAGAACTGGAGGGTAGGGGCACTACTTGAATTAAAAAAAAATTTCTTTTGGCAGGTCAGCTTTCTCAAATACAAAAGCAATGACTCTGTTTTCCTTACATTCACTTGTATTTGCTTAATGGGCTTTAAAGGTGTGAATGAATCCAAGTCTTATTAATTTGGGGGCCTTTAATTCTTGATCAGCTCTATATTTCTATATTCTTTTTTTTTTTTTTTTTTTGGCGACAGAGTGTTTAACTCTTGTTGCCCAGGCTGGAGTGATCTCAGCTCACCGCAGTCTCCTTCTCCTGCCTCAGCCTGCCAAGTAGCTGGGATTACTGGCGCCTGCCACCACACCCGACTAATTTTTGTATTTTTAGTAGAGATGGGGTTTCACCATGTTGGCTAGGCTGGTCTTGAACTCCTGACCTCAGGTGATCTGCCTGCCTTGGCCTCCTACAGTGCTGGGATTATAGGTGTGAACCACCATGCCTGGCCTATATTCTATATTCTATATATTCTATATTCTTTTGTCTTTTTTGTTTCTGTAAGTATGTGGGCCCAGTAATATAAAACTTCTTTATGTAAATGGCACAGGTTCAAACTGAAGAGAATTGGCAGTAGTTTTAAGGATAGTAGAATGGAAGGGGTTTTTGATAGCACTTTGATACAGAGTACTATTGTAGCTAAGCAAAATTTAAGCGGTTATTAAAACCAATTCCTTTGATTTTTCCATAAAATGTAGCTGTATAAAAGAAGGTATTTACAATACTCTTTATTAAATTTTGTCCCTTCATTAAATTAAGATATAGAATTTTTTTTTTTTTTTTTTTGAGATCGAGTCTCACTCTGTCTCCCAGGCTGGAGTGCAGTGGCACGATCTCGCCTCACTGCAAGCTCCGCCTCCCAGGTTCACGCCATTCTCCTGCCCCAGCCTCCCGAGTAGCTGGGACTACAGGTTTGCACCACCATGCCTGGCTAATTTTTTGTATTTTTAGTAGAGATGGGGTTTCACTGTGTTAGCCAGGATGCTCTTGATCTCCTGATCTCATGATCCGCTTGCCTGGGCCTCGCAAAGTGCTAGGATTACAGGCGTGAGCCACCGCACCCAGCCACAGATATTGTTTTTAAGATAAGATACTATTTATTCCTGTGCTATTTGAGATCTTTTGTAGTGGCTTCAGAGCCATTAGGACTGTTCAGATGGAAATCTGTAGCACACACTCTTAAGATTTTTTACTTGTTTTCCATGTAATACATGTAGAATAGGAAGTTTTGCAAGCAGAGAAGTATTGTACTTCTAATAAGATGTTTTGCCTTACAGAATTCAATTCGTCATAATCTGTCCCTACACAGCAAGTTCATTCGTGTGCAGAATGAAGGAACTGGAAAAAGTTCTTGGTGGATGCTCAATCCAGAGGGTGGCAAGAGCGGGAAATCTCCTAGGAGAAGAGCTGCATCCATGGACAACAACAGTAAATTTGCTAAGAGCCGAAGCCGAGCTGCCAAGAAGAAAGCATCTCTCCAGTCTGGCCAGGAGGGTGCTGGGGACAGCCCTGGATCACAGTTTTCCAAATGGCCTGCAAGCCCTGGCTCTCACAGCAATGATGACTTTGATAACTGGAGTACATTTCGCCCTCGAACTAGCTCAAATGCTAGTACTATTAGTGGGAGACTCTCACCCATTATGACCGAACAGGATGATCTTGGAGAAGGGGATGTGCATTCTATGGTGTACCCGCCATCTGCCGCAAAGATGGCCTCTACTTTACCCAGTCTGTCTGAGATAAGCAATCCCGAAAACATGGAAAATCTTTTGGATAATCTCAACCTTCTCTCATCACCAACATCATTAACTGTTTCGACCCAGTCCTCACCTGGCACCATGATGCAGCAGACGCCGTGCTACTCGTTTGCGCCACCAAACACCAGTTTGAATTCACCCAGCCCAAACTACCAAAAATATACATATGGCCAATCCAGCATGAGCCCTTTGCCCCAGATGCCTATACAAACACTTCAGGACAATAAGTCGAGTTATGGAGGTATGAGTCAGTATAACTGTGCGCCTGGACTCTTGAAGGAGTTGCTGACTTCTGACTCTCCTCCCCATAATGACATTATGACACCAGTTGATCCTGGGGTAGCCCAGCCCAACAGCCGGGTTCTGGGCCAGAACGTCATGATGGGCCCTAATTCGGTCATGTCAACCTATGGCAGCCAGGCATCTCATAACAAAATGATGAATCCCAGCTCCCATACCCACCCTGGACATGCTCAGCAGACATCTGCAGTTAACGGGCGTCCCCTGCCCCACACGGTAAGCACCATGCCCCACACCTCGGGTATGAACCGCCTGACCCAAGTGAAGACACCTGTACAAGTGCCTCTGCCCCACCCCATGCAGATGAGTGCCCTGGGGGGCTACTCCTCCGTGAGCAGCTGCAATGGCTATGGCAGAATGGGCCTTCTCCACCAGGAGAAGCTCCCAAGTGACTTGGATGGCATGTTCATTGAGCGCTTAGACTGTGACATGGAATCCATCATTCGGAATGACCTCATGGATGGAGATACATTGGATTTTAACTTTGACAATGTGTTGCCCAACCAAAGCTTCCCACACAGTGTCAAGACAACGACACATAGCTGGGTGTCAGGCTGAGGGTTAGTGAGCAGGTAAGTTCACCCCAATATCAAAAGACCTTTTGAAAAATAGAACTTAAAAGCGAGGAACACAGTAACTTGCCATGGTTAGCACATCTTTGATGTCAACTGACTGTCCCTTGCAGAGAGGGATCTTTTATCATTCATTCTCTGTCCTTTTTGCAGCTTACAGTTTTCCTTCTGAGCTTACACAGAAGGAAGCTTCCTTTAACTGCTTTAAAGATTTCTTTTTGACAGTTCGATGGCTGCATCTTTTTAGTAGCTCTTCAATAAATGAATACATTTGATATAAATCAAATGCTGAAGGGTTTTTTGTAAAGTAGAATTTTCCCCATTGAATGATTTTAGAGCTGTTTGAGAAAGCTCTAGCTTTTTGCCCCTAAGTATGTCTGTCACTCTTAACATGTTAAGTTGAATTGATTTTAATTTGGCTATATTTTCATTGTGTGTGTATGTGTGTGTGCGTATGTATGTGTTTTTTCCTAGGTTACACTTAAAAGTACTTCAGATTGTCTGACAGCAGGAACTGAGAGAAGCAGTCCAAAGATGTCTTTCACCAACTCCCTTTTAGTTTTCTTGGTTAAAAAAAAAAACAAAAAAAAAAACCCTCCTTTTTTCCTTTCGTCAGACTTGGCAGCAAAGACATTTTTCCTGTACAGGATGTTTGCCCAATGTGTGCAGGTTATGTGCTGCTGTAGATAAGGACTGTGCCATTGGAAATTTCATTACAATGAAGTGCCAAACTCACTACACCATATAATTGCAGAAAAGATTTTCAGATCCTGGTGTGCTTTCAAGTTTTGTATATAAGCAGTAGATACAGATTGTATTTGTGTGTGTTTTTGGTTTTTCTAAATATCCAATTGGTCCAAGGAAAGTTTATACTCTTTTTGTAATACTGTGATGGGCCTCATGTCTTGATAAGTTAAACTTTTGTTTGTACTACCTGTTTTCTGCGGAACTGACGGATCACAAAGAACTGAATCTCCATTCTGCATCTCCATTGAACAGCCTTGGACCTGTTCACGTTGCCACAGAATTCACATGAGAACCAAGTAGCCTGTTATCAATCTGCTAAATTAATGGACTTGTTAAACTTTTGGAAAAAAAAAGATTAAATGCCAGCTTTGTACAGGTCTTTTCTATTTTTTTTTGTTTATTTTGTTATTTGCAAATTTGTACAAACATTTAAATGGTTCTAATTTCCAGATAAATGATTTTTGATGTTATTGTTGGGACTTAAGAACATTTTTGGAATAGATATTGAACTGTAATAATGTTTTCTTAAAACTAGAGTCTACTTTGTTACATAGTCAGCTTGTAAATTTTGTGGAACCACAGGTATTTGGGGCAGCATTCATAATTTTCATTTTGTATTCTAACTGGATTAGTACTAATTTTATACATGCTTAACTGGTTTGTACACTTTGGGATGCTACTTAGTGATGTTTCTGACTAATCTTAAATCATTGTAATTAGTACTTGCATATTCAACGTTTCAGGCCCTGGTTGGGCAGGAAAGTGATGTATAGTTATGGACACTTTGCGTTTCTTATTTAGGATAACTTAATATGTTTTTATGTATGTATTTTAAAGAAATTTCATCTGCTTCTACTGAACTATGCGTACTGCATAGCATCAAGTCTTCTCTAGAGACCTCTGTAGTCCTGGGAGGCCTCATAATGTTTGTAGATCAGAAAAGGGAGATCTGCATCTAAAGCAATGGTCCTTTGTCAAACGAGGGATTTTGATCCACTTCACCATTTTGAGTTGAGCTTTAGCAAAAGTTTCCCCTCATAATTCTTTGCTCTTGTTTCAGTCCAGGTGGAGGTTGGTTTTGTAGTTCTGCCTTGAGGAATTATGTCAACACTCATACTTCATCTCATTCTCCCTTCTGCCCTGCAGATTAGATTACTTAGCACACTGTGGAAGTTTAAGTGGAAGGAGGGAATTTAAAAATGGGACTTGAGTGGTTTGTAGAATTTGTGTTCATAAGTTCAGATGGGTAGCAAATGGAATAGAACTTACTTAAAAATTGGGGAGATTTATTTGAAAACCAGCTGTAAGTTGTGCATTGAGATTATGTTAAAAGCCTTGGCTTAAGAATTTGAAAATTTCTTTAGCCTGTAGCAACCTAAACTGTAATTCCTATCATTATGTTTTATTACTTTCCAATTACCTGTAACTGACAGACCAAATTAATTGGCTTTGTGTCCTATTTAGTCCATCAGTATTTTCAAGTCATGTGGAAAGCCCAAAGTCATCACAATGAAGAGAACAGGTGCACAGCACTGTTCCTCTTGTGTTCTTGAGAAGGATCTAATTTTTCTGTATATAGCCCACATCACACTTGCTTTGTCTTGTATGTTAATTGCATCTTCATTGGCTTGGTATTTCCTAAATGTTTAACAAGAACACAAGTGTTCCTGATAAGATTTCCTACAGTAAGCCAGCTCTATTGTAAGCTTCCCACTGTGATGATCATTTTTTTGAAGATTCATTGAACAGCCACCACTCTATCATCCTCATTTTGGGGCAGTCCAAGACATAGCTGGTTTTAGAAACCCAAGTTCCTCTAAGCACAGCCTCCCGGGTATGTAACTGAACTTGGTGCCAAAGTACTTGTGTACTAATTTCTATTACTACGTACTGTCACTTTCCTCCCGTGCCATTACTGCATCATAATACAAGGAACCTCAGAGCCCCCATTTGTTCATTAAAGAGGCAACTACAGCCAAAATCACTGTTAAAATCTTACTACTTCATGGAGTAGCTCTTAGGAAAATATATCTTCCTCCTGAGTCTGGGTAATTATACCTCTCCCAAGCCCCCATTGTGTGTTGAAATCCTGTCATGAATCCTTGGTAGCTCTCTGAGAACAGTGAAGTCCAGGGAAAGGCATCTGGTCTGTCTGGAAAGCAAACATTATGTGGCCTCTGGTAGTTTTTTTCCTGTAAGAATACTGACTTTCTGGAGTAATGAGTATATATCAGTTATTGTACATGATTGCTTTGTGAAATGTGCAAATGATATCACCTATGCAGCCTTGTTTGATTTATTTTCTCTGGTTTGTACTGTTATTAAAAGCATATTGTATTATAGAGCTATTCAGATATTTTAAATATAAAGATGTATTGTTTCCGTAATATAGACGTATGGAATATATTTAGGTAATAGATGTATTACTTGGAAAGTTCTGCTTTGACAAACTGACAAAGTCTAAATGAGCACATGTATCCCAGTGAGCAGTAAATCAATGGAACATCCCAAGAAGAGGATAAGGATGCTTAAAATGGAAATCATTCTCCAACGATATACAAATTGGACTTGTTCAACTGCTGGATATATGCTACCAATAACCCCAGCCCCAACTTAAAATTCTTACATTCAAGCTCCTAAGAGTTCTTAATTTATAACTAATTTTAAAAGAGAAGTTTCTTTTCTGGTTTTAGTTTGGGAATAATCATTCATTAAAAAAAATGTATTGTGGTTTATGCGAACAGACCAACCTGGCATTACAGTTGGCCTCTCCTTGAGGTGGGCACAGCCTGGCAGTGTGGCCAGGGGTGGCCATGTAAGTCCCATCAGGACGTAGTCATGCCTCCTGCATTTCGCTACCCGAGTTTAGTAACAGTGCAGATTCCACGTTCTTGTTCCGATACTCTGAGAAGTGCCTGATGTTGATGTACTTACAGACACAAGAACAATCTTTGCTATAATTGTATAAAGCCATAAATGTACATAAATTATGTTTAAATGGCTTGGTGTCTTTCTTTTCTAATTATGCAGAATAAGCTCTTTATTAGGAATTTTTTGTGAAGCTATTAAATACTTGAGTTAAGTCTTGTCAGCCACAATGTTGTCATTGGTTCAAATCTGGTATTTCCTTTGGAGGAAAAGGGGAACAGCCCCTCTGGGACCAAACTATAGTCCCCTGAGATGGGGAACAAGTACAATCCTTGATAACAATCCTGGAATACTTCATCTTTGGAATGTCTGAAAGTACATCCGGTTCAGTAATTACTAGGCATATTAAGTCTTATGTTAGAACAGACTCTGCTAAAGGTAAAAACACCTTGAGGGCAAGTTAGGAGGGTCTGGCTAGGAGGTCACAGAGCAGATGCGGTGGATGGAGTGGCAGAACCCCATGGCTAAGGTCATAAGTGCTCCTCCAGTCACTACTGCACACCTTGCTGAAGGGGGAGGATCAGCCCTCCTTTAAGTGGCTGTAGGTGGGAAGTTTATGTTTGCTCTTTTCAGAAGATGTCTGAGGAATGAGCCAGGATTAGATTAAGATGGTTAAGATGCATTTTAAAATCATTGTGAAGCCCACTTTCTCCTAACTTCTGACTTTCTGACCAGACAAGTGAATGAGCTGGAGAAGCAAGGAAAAAGATTATTCTGTTTATCTGTGTAGACACTGAGGGTCCATCCCACTTTCAGAGTATTTTAAAATTTACCCACTTTTGGAAGTGGAAACCCTTTCTTTAAAAGACGTGATAGCCAGAAGCCCAATGTATAGAAGAGATGAAAGTATCTACCCCCATCCCCTGGGGCTCATGCACAGTTCAGTGTGAAAACTGTAGATGTAGTCCAAATGAGGAAAAACCCCTTGCTTATACCCTGGAACTCTAACCAGCTAGCCTTTCATAACTCTGCACATATATACAAAACTGCACATCCAATGTCATTACTTGAGGCCAGTTTCCAAGTTTTACATTAATTGATAAGCAACATATAGCAGGAAGGTTTCCCTGGGAGACCTCATAGGAGGAGCTCAGTGTTAGACTTTGTAGCCGGACAGGCTTCCTTCCTTGGACAGTTATCTAGGCCCTTGATGTGACCAGAGCTGATAGTAGAATCAGGATGTGTACCTAGGCTTGTTTCTTGATCTGTGAATCGGCCACACTGGAAGACCTTTGCCTTGGCTATTGTTTCTCCATGTTTCAGGTGACCTATAACAATGACACTACACTGGTTGGTGGGTTAGGTAAGGTAGGTGGAGGGCTGTTCCGCTGGATACACCATGTTTAAAAGTGGCAGTCTCTGAAGCAGACATCATCACGTACACATCAAACCTTGTATCATCTAGTGGTGCTCATTCTGGGCCCAGGTGTATGAAGGTATATTCCTGGTAGGTTTCCTTATTACAGTTTGTTGTTTTGGTATAAAAGTTGCTTTGGTGAGAAATAGTTTAACACTTAAATTATACCAGTTACATTTATTGAGAAAATTATTGGGAAAAAGCGGATTGGGGTACAAGTCCACTTTTCAAATCATAGACTCTGGGGTGTTTTTTAGTTTAACTAGAAAAAAATGGAATTTCCAGTGGACTGGAAAGGGAGGTAACTATATGCAGGGATAAAGGAGAAGAACAAGTAGTCCTGGGTGGTGGTGGGTAATACATCAGGAAACCAGACGTGAAGTGGAGCCGTAGGCCTTGGGAGGAAGCTATGGAGTGTCGTGGGGGCATCCGAAAGCTAGAGAGCTTTTGAAGCCAACGGGGAGAGGGGGCTTTCTGTTCAAGTGCTTGGCTTTGGTGATGTGGCTGTGAGAGGAGGGAACTCTGTACTGAGAAGGCATTCACCTGTTAGAAGAAGCAGAGTAAAACAGTTGGGGCCAGCTTTTCTTCCTTGACTGGTGGCAGGACACTTTTCCACCCCTAGGCCCTGGCCCCCATATTTCCACGAACTCCAAGGCTGAAGGAAATTTCTTGCCTTTAGTACCTTACTTATGCCATATCTCCCCAAAGTGACTCTTGTTTTCTTGGAAGCCACTGGTGGAAAGTAGAGATTTACATCCTTCAGGAAGAAGGTCGCTTGTTATTTGTCCTTTACATATTAACTTCTGTGAGCTTAAATCCCCGAACAAGCAACTTTGAGAAAGAATTCCTACAAAAACATATTGCAGATGGCAGCATAGGAGCCCTGCTGTGTTCTTGTAGTTGCTAGAGTTTCTGCAAACATACTTGGCTTGTAAAGTACTAAAATTGCTGCCCAAGTCGGATGACCTTAGATGAGACAGCTGCTTAGAATAAGGCTCACATTTTAAACCAGATTTTTCTCCCCTGATGAATTGGGATAGAGAGGAGGTCCATTTGCAGTTTAGCACTTGGTCCCAGAATAAGCCAGAGATGCCCACTTCTTAGTCTGTGCTGGTGTCAGGGACACTTGCAGTGTTTGCAGAGTGGGAAGCTCTGATGCTTGGGCAGCAATTTCCCCACAGGTAAATTGAGGATACCTTCTGTTACCTGTCTCACAGGTTTGATAGGAGATTAGAGCGATGAGGTAATGTCTGCGAATGGTTTCCTGTGTCAGGGAGAAAGCCTGCACAGCTGAGTGGTGTCACCTTAGGTAATAGTAGGCCTTGGGATGTTTCCGTAGTGGGGCTTCTGACAGCATCTCCCTGCAGGATAAGTGAGAGAACTATTTGGTTCATCCCCAATGTTTTTCTGTTTTTTGTTTGTTTTGTTTTGTTTTGTTTGAGACAAAGTCTCACTCTGTCACCCGGGCTGGAATGCAGTGGTGCAATCTCCACTCACTGCAACCTCCACCTCCATGGTTTGGTTGATTGTCATGCTCCAGCCTCCCGAGTAGCTGGGACTACAGGCATGCACCACCACGCCAGGCTAATTTTTGTATTTTTAGTAGTGATGGTGTTTCACCATGTTGGCCAGGATGGTCTCAAACTCCTGCCTGCCTTGGCCTCCCAAGTGATCTGCGTGCCTTGGCCTCCCAAGTGATCTGCCTGCCTTGGCCTCCCAAAGTGCTGGGATTACAGGCATGAGCCTCCGTGCCCGGCCGCCAGTGTTTTTCTGCTTTCGTATTTGCTGTGTTTCGTTTCTTAAGCAGGAGAGTGTAGACAGTTTACAGGGCCATTTCCAAGAGTGAATAGGCCTGTTTTTCTTCAGCAACTCTAAAGTATTATCAGTAGTAAAACTGTAAACCTATATCTGCCCAATAAAAACTAGTATTGATATTTATTCCCCAAGAAGTTCCCCAACATGGACCCGTACTAAGGAAATTTACAGACATTTAAGCTTTCTTGACCTTGACCTCATCCCAGTCTAGAATAGACTCTGTGGGACTCCATCTGTAAGATAGGGAGAGAGGAGAGGAGAGGAAAAGCCTGAGGTCGATGGGGCCACAGTAGTGTGTGTTGCAGCCCAGTCACCTGGTCCACAAAAATGAATGGTTAAACTTGCAGAAGTTTTGTGAGCCAATTTTAAATACCTTCATTATCAACAAGTCAGATAAACTATTATATTTAAAAACAAAGATAGTAAGTCCTCAAAACTCTTCACTTTGTAATTATTGTATTCATGTTAGTCTTGTCCACCATCGAGGTTGTTGGCAGCGACTGTGTTGCATGGTGAGGATGCTGTGTAATGGTGTGCTACCATAACTGACCCCAGGTGTGTCTGCTCACTGCTTGAAAGCCAGATTCGAGAGACAAGTGTTGGTGGGAGGAAAAGCAGGATTAATTGGAAAGCCAGGAAACCGAGAAGATGGGGAACTAGCCTTCTAAAGTACCATCTTCAGACAGTACAAATTTTAGGCTCTTTTTATGTTAAGGGCAGAAGGAAGGGGAGGGGATTGAGATCAAGAGGTAACAGATAACCACCGACATCTGGGTGCCAGCAAGTGTTCAAGGAACTTCTTTGTCCTTGGTCAGGTCACAACGCTCCTATAAATCTTTAACAAAAACATAGTTGTTTACATACTTCTCCTTTAATCCCAGAGTTAGTTTTTAAAACTACATGATTGCTGTTTTTGCATATTAATAGTACTCTAAAATTATCCTTGCCTATGTGCAGAAATGGGTAAGGGCCACTTAAACCAAAATGGAGTTAGTTATGTTAGCTCTTGTGCTGTTTCACTGTTACACTGCTGCTGTGCTGACACTAAGCAGAGTTTCAGCTTCACTAATATAATTTGGGTGAGAGTGAGAAATGGTTTAACAGTTAAATCACATCAGTTGATTGAGAAAGTAAATCTGAGAAAAAAAATGCATTGGGATGCGAGTCCATTTGTCAAGTCCTGGTTGGATTGCCACCATATGTTGGCTACGGATAAAAGTTGACCATAAAAATCAGTGAAAGAATTCTGTGAGAATCAATTGACCTAATATAATTTACAATAGAGAGTATTGTATGTTTTATTATTTGTAAATTGTTACTCATCTTTTATATCAGTAAATTCTTAATTTATGTACGTAAATACAGGCACACGTTATTTCCCCACAGAGCAGGTTGTTAAACATTGGCCAACACATCACCAACTGGGTGTATGAAGGCATTAAAGGACTAATGATTTTGGTGACAATAACAGGCAGAATGGGAGTAAGGGAAAGATAGAATAGGAGGTTGAGGGAGGGTCTGGGGTGAGGTCATGGCAGCAGGTGTCTGAGAAGCTGTGAAGGCCAGGGCCCTAGAGTAGAAGAGGTTAGGGGATGATAGGGCCTCAAGATTGAATGTAGCATGCAAATTAGATTTCAGAGCTAACCAAGGGACTTGGGGTGGAGAGGAGTCACATTTAAGTGCCAGTGCCTTTAATTTGGGGGAGAAATGCAGAGCCAGTAGCTGCTAGATGTCAGTGACTGGGAAGGGCACACAGCAGGTTAGGCTGATGCTGTAAGCATGGATACAGCTTTTAACATGAGGGTGCAAGAGGAAGATTCTGGAACTGGAAAAGGAATGCAGAGGATGCCAGTTCTGCTTTTTAGACTCATTTTTGATGGGAGGAATTATACCTGCATACTGGGGTTACTGTGGAAATTAAATAACCTGAGTTAACCCCCTATGGTAGTGCTTGGCATATAGAAAGGGCTCACAAAATGAGAGCAATCAAATGTTCTGATTTGCTTAGGAAAAGATGTTGTCCCAGCACAGTTATGGTTAAGTTCCTCTTGTTACTCAAAGTGTTCAGGTTTGGGTGATTAATTATATGTTCACCCTATTAACAAATGACTGCTTTTTAATTACTTCCTGGAACCCTCACCTCACAGTGGACATACCAAGAGCACCCAGTGGGTGAGAGGACTCAGAGGCCCCCTGGAAGAATCTTTCACAGGCTGGAGGGTTATTCTTCTAAAGGAATGTTAGCCTGGTGTCTCAGCATAAACTTGAATCTATGACACATACTACCATCTGAATGTTTGTGTACCTCTACCGCCCCATTTAAATGTTGCAAATGTTGAAATCCTGACCCTTGTGGTGATGGGGTTAGGAGGTGGGGCCTTTGGGAGGTAATTCGGTCATGAGAGTGGAGCCCTCATGAATGGGATTAGTGCCCTCACAAAAGAAACCCAAAAGAGGTACCTAGCTCTAGGTACCTCTTCCTAGAAAGTGCCATCTGTGAACCAGGAAAGGGAGAGGCCTTGGTCTTGGATTTCCCAGCCTCTAAAACAGGGAAATAAATTTCTGTGGTTTCTAAGCCACCTGGATTATGGTATTTTATTATAGCAGCCTGAAGGTACTCAGACAGCATGCAAGGTCCTTCCCAACCAACCTTTGCCTTTGCATCTCCACCATATGCACCAGTCACACTCCATTCCCTTTTATGCTTCCAGCCTTTTTGCATGCTGGAAGGTCTGTTTATCCAGAATGTCTGTTTATCTGGAATGTCTTTCTCCTCCCTTCCTTATCAAAGTCCAGCTCAAAGCCTTCCCCTATCATTAAAGTCCACCCCAACCCCTAGTGTCAGAGTAGTTACACAGGTGAACTGGAAGCATTTAAGACTCCTTTCCCAAATATAGCCTTGTGGCTGTGTTTAGCCCTGGCTAAATACTAACAATTCTCCTGAGGCAGCCCTGTAGCCATCCTAACAAGAAGTTTGGAGCCAGGCCTGCCTGACTTTGGGTCATCAACAGCCTTCCACTGAGCCTGAAGCAACTGGCCAGTGCAGTTGACCACTGGACACAGCCAAAGACATTCTTCTTTGGTGAGCCAGCCCACATCTGCCAACATTCCACCAAATTAAAAGCAGACCAAGAACCCCCAAGTATTTTGACAAGTCTGGAGCTGCTATTACTTCAACCGAGGCAAGTACAATGGCAAGAGAGAAAGGTATGGGCAATGATGAAATGTCTAAAAGGGATCATTGGCCTGCCCTCCAGCCAGCCATCTCCAGGGCTGCAGAATCCTTTCTTTACATATAGATTTTTCTCTGGGCTCCAGGGACAGAGTCAGCCCTTTCACTTAGCTCCTACTTCCAAAATTGCCATTAACAAGACTGAAATGCCAGTTTATCTACTTTCCCCCAGAAAGTGTTGCATGTCTATAGACACAGCTAGGATGTGCTCATCTTGGGACAGTTATAGTCTCTGAGTTTGTTCGTTTATTTTTTAACAAGACAACTGGCCACCCTTAATTAAATAGATATGTGATTTGTTTTCAAGCCACCTCATCTGAGAAGGACACCGCAGTGTTATTTGTAGTTTTTGCCTCGGTTGTGTGATGGGGGTGTGTCTCCATCTCTCCCCAGCCTAATGGGATTGGATAAAGTATGTGGATTTCATGTTCTGACTTTTAAAAAAAATTTAATTTGAAACACTTGAAATATTCAAATATTTTTGAAATATTTTAGAATTAAATATTATTTTGAAAGGAAAATAATTAATTCTCCTTTGCAAGACAGAAAAGTTTTTCCTGTTTTATTTCCCTACACCTACCAAAACAATGTCTTGGTGAAAAGGAGGACCTCCTGAGGTCAAGCAATTCTGTTTAGAAATAATTGGAAGTCGTGATAAAACATACCCTGAATTGGTTGGGCACAGTGGCTCACGCCTGTAGTCCCAGCACTTTGGGAGGCAGAGGCAGGCGGATCACTTGAGGTCAGGAGTTCCAGACCAGGCTGGCCAACACGGCAAAACCCCGTCTCTACCAAAAATATGAAAATTAGCCAGGCGTGGTGGTGCATGCCTATAATCCTAGCTACTCGGGAGGCTGAAGCAGGAGAATTGCTTGAACTCGGGAGGCAGAGGTTGTAGTGAGCTGAGATCGCACCACTGTACTCCAGCCTCGGCATCAGAGCGAGACTCCATCTCAAAACAAAAACAAAAACAAACAAAAAACCTCCCAAAAAACCTGAATAGAAAACTTCATGTGTACTTGTAAACACATCTTCTGAGACTCAAAAGTTCTTAGAGCCCTATGAGCTATATTTTTTAAATCAATATTATCTGTAAGTTTCTAGTTCCCCTCTGACTCCATTTTTCTGTCTTCAATAATTGTTATTCCATTAAAAACATGGCTATAATTTTCAAAATCCTGGATAGGACTGGCTGGAAGCATTTAACAGCTGTATGGAATCTCATCTAACCATCATGTGCCTTTTTTTTGGAAACAACAATCTGAGCAATTGTCCTTGTCTTTTGTAAGAAAATCACATGATTAAAAAAATAGATGACTAGCAATATTGTTGTCACTTGGTTACTGGCAGGAGTAGGGAGAGGGAGGAAGACATAGGAAAAATGCTTTCTTGGATCCCTCAGCCACACCAATCTGCAAACCTTTCTGGAGTAAATAATTTCCTTTGTCATTTCTGAATAACTAAAAAAAGACTTCAGAATGTTTCCAGGCCTGGGCATTCTATCATGTAATACTTCCAGCATTTGAGTTACCTTTCCTTGCTTAAAGAGTTGGCTCAAAACTCAGCCATGTTCCCCACTGCTGGATCTGAGTGTTGGGGAGACTGCTATGAATTGTATGAATGAAAGTTCTGTGTTCGTTACGGACAATAATGGCCCCTCTGGGATTAGAAGACATTTGAATCAGCTCCCAAAGGTGCTGCTTTGACCTTAGTAAGCATTCTGAAACCAAGCTTCCCACTGCCTCCAATGTGTCATCCAGAAAGAGAGCTGCAGGCTTACCCCTGACAGGGAGGTGCCTGTCATCTTGTAGACTATAGAGAATAGAGGCCCCATATATGAAATGTTTGGAAGCAGCAAGGCTGGACATTGACCAGCATAAAGCAAGTGTTGGAATTTGTTGTTTCTCTGCAAAATAAGCTGATTTTTTTTTTCCAGGGTACTTCTAAGACTTGTAGAAGAAAAACTATGATTAAGAAAAGTGGATGGATTATTAAGAAAGGCTTTTTATTCAAAAGGTTTTGTGATTTTAATAGCGCTTTGCATTTATAATACCTTCCATCCAAGGATACCAGCCACCTCTGCCAACGCTAATTCCTCAGCCTCTCCTTGAATTTAAAAGAGTAGAGCAAACCTATTCGCCGTGGACCATGCAGAAGTGAAAAGTGAGTCCCCTGGGCGGGGGGAGTTTAGTTACCCAAGACCCTGAGGGAACCTGTTGTAAGGGAACTTCAGAGATAAGACTTTCTCAAAATGTGAGCTACTAACTGTTGGCAACAGAATTACTTGGAAAGATTTGTAAAAAATGCAAATTCCAGAACCTCTGAGAAGGAGAAACAGAATCTTGGATCGGGGTGTGATGGTGGAGAAATCTATATTTTAATTATTCCGGGTGATTTTTATGAACACTGAAATTTGAGAACTGCTCTTAGACTACAGAAATGCTGTAATATTTTCTGCCATTCATTCATTCAATAATTACATTTACCTACTGAGTATCCGCTGTGTAGCAGGCCCTATGCAAGATGCTGGGGACATCCTATGTGGTGATCGGGACAGACGCGCTGTCTTTCCTCATGAGGCTTGCAGTCTTCTGCTGCTCTTTAGTGTGTAGTGTGGGTTAGCAGAAAGATGTCATGAAGTATTCTGTAAAAATAGGCTCCTTGGATCAAATAAATACTGGGCTGATAGCAGGCCATGAAACTGAAAATCTCATCATTCATCAGAGGCTTTTCCCTGCCTGACCTACTGTGGGTGCTGCATAAGTGAGTTGGACAGCCTGGCCTCCTGCTCCAGGAGCTTGCGCATCTGGGCCTGCTTTGGCCTCTCCTCTGGTCTTGCCAGCACAAGGATCAATCCCTGAATAACACTGTGGAGTGGCATTGAAACCGTTTGAGCGAAAGGCAGATCTGGAAACCGGCTTATTTGATCCGGGGGGACCACATGGCTGAGTTAAATGCATCCAGGTCTGAGGAAAATAACAACCCAGCCCCCGCGGAGGGTCTGTTTTCCATTGGAAATGGGCCTCTCTTTTCTTAAAGCTGCGAAAGAGAAGCAACTCCTCTTGCAAGATCTTTGAGGGAGCATAAGCTAGACCCAGTTGTTGGTGCTGGGATGAGTTTCCCATACTCCAGGCTGGGCAGACACCACCTTGCTCCAGGCCAACTCCAGGGCAGAGGCAGCTCCAGGGCAACTTCCAAACCCCTGGTGAGGGAGCAGCAGCCGAGGTGGGAGCCGCCTGGGGCAGGGCCAGACACTCCATGATGATAACACTTTGACACTTCATTTGGGTGGTGTCCTCAGGCCGAGCTCTGTTTCATGCTACAAACGCTGAGGAACACTTGAAGGAGGATGCCTGGATTTTTTGTATGTTGTTTGTAAAATGTCCCCCAAAGTGGACATAAATCAATCTCTGTTGCAAAAAGAATCAAGGATCATATCCAATACAATCTGACCTTTCCTGATGCCTCAGGGGCGTCATTAGGAACATCTGTGATGGCGCAGAGTTGGTGTTCAGCGATGTCCTCAGGGCTGTGGAGGTCGCTCCTGTTTTTGGACTCTGTCCTACCCCCTTCCCTTGCCTTCTCTCTCTCCTCTCCCCCCTTCCTTCCCTCCCTTTCTGCCTTCCTTCCTCTCTTCCTCCCTCAATCCTTCCAACTCCCTACTCTCTCTCTGTCTCTCACTTATTCTTTATCATGGAAAATTTGAAACATAAAAAAAAGGTAGAAAGAATTAAAAATATAATAAAGCCCCATGAGTTCTTCTTCTTTTTTTTTTTTTTTGAGACAGAGTTTCGCTCTTGTTGCCGAGGCTGGAGTGCAGTGGTGTGATCTTGGCTCACTGCAACCTCCGCCTCCCTGGTTCAAGCGATTCTCCTGCCTCAGCCTCCTGAGTAGCTGGGATTACAGGCATGCGCCACCACACCTGGCTAATTTTTTGTATTTTTAATAGAGACAGGGTTTCTCCATATTGGTTAGGCTGGTCTTGAACTCCTGACCTCAGGTGATCCGCCTGCCTTGGCCTCCCAAAGTGCTGGGAGTTCTCCTTACTTGGGTTGAATAATTATCAGCTCATGGCTAAACTTGCTTCATACACAGTCAAGCGTCGCTTAACAACAGGGATGTGTTCTGAGAAATGTATGGTTAAGCAATTCTGTTGTTACGTGGACATCGTAGAGTGCACTTGGACAAATCTAGATGGTATAGCCTACTACACACCTGGGGTATAATGGTACAGCCTGTGGCTCCTAGGCTACACACCTGTACAGCATATTACTGTACTGAATACTGTAGGCAACTATAGCACAGTGGTATTTGTTATCTAAACATATCTAAACATAGCATAGAAAAGGTACAGTAAAAATATGGTATAAAAGACAAAAATGGTACACCTCTATAGGGCACTTAACATGCATGGAGCTTGCAGGACCGGCAGTTGCTCTGGTGAGTGAGTGAGTGAGTGGTGAGTGAATGTGAAGGCCCGGGATATTACTGTATACTTCTGGAGACTTGATAGATGCTGTGCACTTAGGCTACGCTACGTTTGTACCAGATAGTTTCCCTCTTCAATAATAAATTAACCTTAGCTTACTGTACCTTTATTAACTTGAAATTTTTTTTGGCTTTTTGACTCTTTTAACAACACTTAATGCATACATTGTATAGCTGTCTAAAATACTTTCTTTGTATCCTTATTCTATAAGGTTTTTTCTATTCTTAAATTGTTTAATTTTTTTACTTTTTTTTTGGGTGGAGACAAGTTCTCACTACATTACCCAAGTTGGTCTTGAACTCCTGGCCTCAAGCAATCCTCCTGTCTTGGCCTCCTAAGGTGTTGGGATTACAAGTGTGAGCCACTGTACCTGGCCTATATTTTTACTTTTTAAATGTTTTTGTTAAAAACGAAGACACAAACACACACATTAGCCTAGGCCTTCACAGGGTCAGGATCATCAATATCACTGTCTTTCGTCTCCACATCTTGTCCCACTGGAAGGTCTGCAGGGGCAATTACATGCATAGAGCTGTCATCTCCTATTATGATAACAAGGCCTTCTTCTGGATACCTCCTGCAGGACCTGCCTGAGGCTGTCTTACAGTTAACATTTAAAATATATATATATGTAGAAGGAGTACACTCTAAACCATAAAAAACAGTAACATGGTCATTTATTATCATTATCAAGGATTATGTATTGTACATAATTGTATGTGCTGTACTTTTGTATGACTGGCAGTGCGGTAGGTTGGTTCATACAAGCATCACCACAAACACACAAGTATGCATTGCTCTAGGGCAGTACAACAGCTACCATGTTACCAGGTGATAGACAATGTTCAGCTCTATTATCTTGTAAGATCACTGTCATGTGTGGTCCATCTCTGACCAAAACGTTATGCAGTACGTGACTGTATCCTCATCCTCAATAATCCTTGGTTATTATTCTAGAATTTGAAATAAATGGAATCATATCATTTACTATGTACATTTTTTTGCTCCTGGCTTCTTTTACTTGCGTATTATTTTTGAAATTCGTTCATGTTGTTGCTTGTATCAATAATTTGGTCCTTTTTATTTATTTTTATTATTATTGTTTTGAGATGAAGTCTCATTCTGTTGCCCAGCTTGGGTACAAGGGTGCGAACTCAGCTCACTGCAAGCTCCGCCCCCCGGGTTCAAGGGATTCTCCTGCCTCAGCCTCCCAAGTAGCTGGGATTACAGGCATGCACCACCACACCCAGCTAATTTTCTTATTTTTAGTATAGACTAAAATTTTTCTTATTTTTAGTCTATACTAAAAATTTTCTTATTTTTAGTATAGACTATGTTGGCCAGGCTGGTCTCAAACTCCTGACCTCAAGTGATCCACTCACCTCAGCCTCCCAAAGTGCTGGGATTACAGGCGTGAGCCACCACGCCCAGCTAGGTCCTTTTTATTTTTAAGTAGTATTGCAATGTGTAGATATACCAGTTGGTTTATCCATTCTTCTGTTGATAGACATCTGGGCTATTTCCAATTTTTGACTATTATGGATAAAGGTGCTATACACACTTTTGTACACATTTTTTTTGTGGGCATTATATTTTCATTTCTCTTGAGTGGGATACTTAGGAATGTGATTGCAGGATCATAGGTATATTCAATTTTTTAAGAAAATGCCAAATGGTTTTCCAAAGTGGCTGTACCAGTTTACACTCCCACCAGCAATGCATGAGAGTTCTGGTTGTTCCATGTCCTCTCCAAAATCTGGTATTTTTCATCTTGTTAATTTTAGCTATTTTAGTGTTTGTAGTGGTATCTTATTATGATTTTAACTTGCATTTCCCTGATGATTATGATGGTGAATGCTTTTTCATGTGCTTATTGACCATTTGTATGTCTTGTGAAGTGTCTATTCAAGTATTTTATCCATGTTTAAATTGCATTGTCTTTTTATTATTTTATTATTTTTTGTTTTTTTATTGAGTTGTAGGAGGTCTGTATATATTCTGCATATAAGCTATAGGAATGTATGTGTATATAAGTATGTAATATCTTTGTACATGATATAGATTAGATATAATATATATTCAGACACAGGTGTTGCACATATTTTCTCCTAATGTTACCTATTTTCTTGAGTGCCTTTTGATGAACAATTTTAAATTTTGATGAAGTTCAATTTATTACTTTTTTTCTTTTGTGATTTGTGCTTTCTGTGTCTTCATCAAGAAATCTTTACTTTCCCCTGTATTCTCTTATGTTTTCTTCTAATGACATTGTGTTTATATATGTGCACAGAAACTAAAAAAAGCAACAACAAGAAAAGCATAACCACAAAACGCAGCATAATACATAAAGAATAAAATTTCTTAATATTATCAAATACCCAGTTAGCACAATGTTCACATTTTCTCACTTACTTTTTAGGTTTTTCTTATGATTTGTTAATACAAATTAGAATCCAGATAACATCCATATTATAATACATTGCTTTTTTTTTTTTTTCTGAGACAGAGTCTTATTCTGTCATCCAGGCTGGAGTGCAGTGGTACAATCTCGGCTCACTGCAACCTCCGCCTTCCAGGTTCAAGCAATTCTCCTGCCTTAGCCTCCCGAGTAGCTGGGATTACAGGTGCACGCCTGGCTAATTTTTTTGTATTTTTAGTAGAGACAGGGTTTCACCATGTTGGCCAGGCTGGTCTTGAACTCCTGACCTCGTGATCTGCCTGCCTCGGCCTCCCAAAGTGCTGGGATTACAGGCGTGAGCCATTATGCCTGGCAATACATTGCTTTTTTTGATATGTATTCTAAGAGTTTTTCTTAGTGTACAGGTCACCCCCATTTTTTTTTTTGGTACTGTTTTTAAGAAACTGTGTCATTTGTAGCGTGTCTCATAGTTTGGACTTTGCTGATTTTATCCTCATGGTGCCATTAGTATATTTCTCTGCCCCTGTGTAACCTGAAAACTAGATCTAGAGGCTTGGTCATATTTAGGTCCAGTCTTTTTTTTCTTTTTTTTTTTCTTTCTTTTTTGGAGATGGAGTCTTGCTCTTGTCACCCAGGCTGGAGTGCAATGGTAAGCTCTCAGCTCACTGCAACCTCCGCCTCCCAGGTTCAAGCGATTCTCCTGCCTCAGCCTCCTGAGTAGCTGGGATTACAGGCACCTGCCACTACACCCAGCTAATTGATGTATTTTTAGTAGAGACAGGGTTTCGCCATGTTGGTCAGGCTGGTCTCGAACTCCTGACTTCAGGTGATCCACCCACCTTGGCCTCCCAAGTGCTGGGATTACAGGCGTGAGCCACTGCGCCTAGCCTAGGTCCAGTCTTTGTCAAGAATACTTTATAGTATTCTGCGACTAGACAGGGTGGGAAGCACATGATGTCCACTTGCCTTTTGTATGATATTAGCAGCCATTGATGACCATTGTTATTGTCATTATTTCATGAAGATTACAAAATGGTGATATTCTAATTCTACCATTTCTTCTTCCTTTTTTTTTGTTTGAGACAGAGTCTTGGTCTGTCTCCCAGGCTGGAGAGCACTGGCGTGATCTCAGCTCACTGCAACCTCTGCCTCCTGGGTTCCAGCTTCAAGTGATTCTCGTGCCTCAGCCTCCCAAGTAGCTGGGACTACAGGCACATGCCAGCACACCCAGCTAATTTTTGTATTTTGAATAGAGATGGGTGTCCGCCATGTTGGCCAGGCTGGTCTTGAACTCCTGACCTCAGGTGATCCGCCTGCCTCAGTCAAAGTGCTGGGATTACAGGCATGAGCCACCATGCCTGGCCCAGTTCTACCATTTCTTCTAAATTCATTAGCTGAAAACTCTTGTGGTTATAATTCCTTGAAATGACTATTTGGATGCCCTATCCTCTATCTTGAATAGCTCCAGGAATGCCCGGAATAATTTCTAGAGTTATTTATCTGCTTTGTATCACTAGTTTTTAAGTTTTCCGCACAGTGTTAGGCTACAGTTGTTGCTTATTAATATTTACAACAACAAGAAAAATAATCATTATGTTCTGAGCACTCTGGGGGCAGGGTCTAACTGAAGCACTCATCAGATCCTCTGAGCTGGAAATTATTATTCATAGACACTATGGCTTTCCACATAAGGTGACAGATTTATCAAACAATCTCTGATCTTCCGTACGGGTTTCTTCCACGCCATTGTCTCCAGTATGGATATGTGGAAGATTTTCCTCTCCTTTAACTTTTTAGGTTTGAAAATATTTCTACCATTAAATGCCTTTCGCTGTGTGAAATAATATGAACCCAGGATAAACATTCAAATAATAGGATGTTGACTATTCCCATTAAAGTTGAAAGAGGAGGCCCATAGCTACAGCATGAGTCATCCCTACTCTGGCCGCTTACTGTGTCAAGTCAGGAATTTAAACAGATCCTTTGCCCCTCACAAAGGCTCCGTTTCCTCCTCAGTAGAATGGGAAAAAATAATACTGGGTCATGACTTTGTGCCAAAGAGGTGTTTCCCACTATAGACCAACTGGAGACAGCTTGGGCAGATGCTGGGGTCTGAAACCTTTTCCAAATAAATATAGGAGAACACCATCAGAGGGAACACGCCCTCCCTGGTGAGATTCCCCATTTTACCTTCTTCGTGGCTTAGTGTCTTCTAAAAGGAAATGATCTAAGTGACTAGATGTGTGAAGGAAATTATTAAACAGAATACTCAAAATTGGCCTTGATATGAGAGAAGAAAGTGTTTAGGGTTTGAAAGACTAATGAGTTTATGCGACATACTAGTCCCTTTCGCAGGAACAGATACTTTTCAGCTGGTTCATAGGCAGGTTTGCATTCTCTCTTGATTGGACGAGGGGGATTATTTCTTGTATATTAGGCTGCTTATGGCTTCTGCTTCCTAGCCCTTGATTCTCTTTCACAATTATCTTCCACAAGCCAGCAGTTTCTATTCCTTTGCACATTTAACTCAGCTATAAGATGATCTGTTTCCCCTCAAAACCCCACCAAAGATTGCTGTTGATTTTCTCGAAGATACAGATACTTTCAGTAAATGTTGACCCGTCTCTGTTGTTTTGAGCTGGAGAGTCAATTTTACACATAGAGTGACTGTGCATCCCAGTTTTCCCAGGACAAACTTACGCTTGTTGCCATACTGTAGTTATTAACAGTACCCTCTTTCACTTTCAAAAGTGTCCTGGTTTGAATGACAAATCACGTGGACACCCTGTTTATACACAATAGTTACCCGTTACTTTTCTTCTATTGCATAAGAGGGAAATGGAAGATCACCCTTAAAATATCACAGTAATAATTGCCTTAGAAAGATCTACTGATGAATGGTAAGTTAGAGGGCAAAAGGGAGAAATAGGATATCTACATAATCAAAGCATCTCCAAATCTACAAAGCATCTCCCCTCAAATATTTTCTAATTATAAAGGGGGAAAAGAATGAGATTACAGTGGAAAAACCTGGAAGATACCACTTTTGCCAAATGATCAAGATTATCATCACCAGTGGTAAGATAAATCGACATCATGTACTTTTTTTTTGAGACAGGGTCTCACTCTGTTGCCCAGGCTGGAGTGCAGTGGTGCCATCTCAGCTCACTGCAACCTCCACCTCCCAGGCTCAAGTGATTCTCGTGCCTCAGCCTCCCTAGTAGCTGGGATTACAGGCACATGCCACCACGCCTGGCTAATTTTTGTATTTTTAGTAGAGACAGGGTTTCACCATGTTGGACAGGCTGGTCTTGAACTCCTGGCCTCAAATGATCCACCCTACTTGGCCTCCCAAAGTGTTGGGATTACAGGCGTGAGCCACCGCGCCTGGCCTGTATATCCATATTGTACCTGCAATAATATAGCACACTGTGTTTCATGTATTACATAACCTGTATATTGCTTAAAGTATGGTTTCTACATTCTGGAAGTTAGGGAAAGGTAAAAAGACCAACGCCTTTTTAGTTGTGCAAACTTGAGTACCAGCTCTGTCCATTATTAGCCATTTGCCTTTGAGGAAATTATTTAAGCTCTTGGGCCTCAGTTTCCTCATATACTTTCTTATATGATGCACTGAAAAGGGCACGTCACCTCTGTGGGAATCTTGCCAGAAATGTATAACCTGTTTAATGGTGAGAAAACACATCAGACAAACCCAAGTTAAGGGATATCCTACAAAATATCTGACTAGGACTCTTACAAATTGTCAAGGTCCTGAAGGACAAGAAAACACAGAGGAACTGTCTCAGCTTGCAGAGCACATGAGGATAAATGCAGCAAAGGATCCTGGATTGGATCTTGAAACAGAAAAAGAAGACATTAGTGGAGAATCTGGTGAAATCCAAGTATAGGTAACAGTATCATACCAGAGTTAATTTCTTGGTTTTGATTATTGTACTATCAGTATGTAAGTCATTAACAGTAGGAGAAGCTGGATGAAGGGTATGTAAAAACTCTCTTTCCTACTTTTTTTTTCCCCAAGACAGAGTCTCACTCTGTTGCCCCAGCTGGAGTTCAGTGTCACTGTCATGGCTCACTGCAGACTCAAACTCCTGCACTCAATGGATTCTCCTGCCCCAGCCTCCCAAGTGTCTGGCATTACAGGTACGCACCACCACACCCAATAATCTTTTTTTTTTTTTTGAGAGGGAGTCTCGCTCTGTTGCCCAGGCTGGAATGCAGTGGCGTGATCTCAACTCGCTGCAATCTCTGCCTCCTGGGTTCAAGCAATTCTCCTGCCTCAGCCTCCCAAGTAGCTGGGACTACAGGAGCCCACCACCACACTTGGATGATTTTTGTATTTTTAGTAGAAATGGGGTTTCACCATGTTGGCCAGGCTTGTCTCGAACTCCTGACCTCAGATGATCTGCCTGCCTCAGCTTCCCAAAGTGCTGGGATTACAGGCATGAATCACCACGTCTGGCCCCAATAATCTTTTATATATATATTATTATTATTATTATTATACTTTAAGTTCTAGGGTACATGTGCACAATGTGTGGGTTTGTTACATATGTATACATGTGCCATATTGGTATGCTGCACCCACCCAATAATCTTTCTATTTTAATTGTTTTGCAGAGATGGGAGTCTCTCTATGTTGGCCAGGCTGGTCTCGAACTCCTGGGCTCAAGAGATCCTCTGGTCTTGGCCTCCCAAAGTGCCAGGATTACAAGCATGAGCCCCCGTGCCAGCTCTTTTAAAAATCAGGAAAGCACAGGAAAAGAGTGAGTGGGTACGCTTGGCTGGAAGTCAAGGGCCTGGCACGGGGTTGTGGAGCCAGGCTCTTCCTGGCGGCGGGGCTGTGGGGAGCTGGATGGCTGGACTGAGGTTACTGAGAGCCCTCCTCAGCCGAGCAGCAGGGGATTTACCCATCAAAGTAATCAGGGACAGAGTCTGAACCTGTCCCCATTGGCTCAAGATAATTAAAAGGGGATGGAAAAAATGTTATCTTTTAAAGGGCTTTGGGAGGTTGAGGCCTTCGCAGGAGAATGGCCAGGAGACTAGTGTGTGCAAAGAGGCAGGCGGATGATCCCCATCCTACAGGGGCATTTATTTTGTGGACACCGGGGTCACCTGGGAAGCAGGTCTGGCCTCAGTTCTCCGGCCTGGGGCACTGTTTGTTCTGTGTCTCGCTTGTGGAATAAAGAGGATTCCTGTTTCAGTGAGGAACCACACCTGCTCAGAGGGAAAATACTCTGCTTGTCAGAATCTTTCACTTTCTGTGAACCAGCTCCTTGGCCTGATAGGGTCACAGGGCCCAGGAGTGGTCAAGGAAGCTTCTGTGAATGTATTGAACGTCAAGAGTGTCCAGGGGGATGTGTGGTGTTTGGCCCGATTCCTGTCATTGCCAGTGGAAATGCCATCTCTGGAGTTTGCCCCAGGTGTTTGTGAAGCAGGTTGGGATTCGGAGCTGAACGCTCCTCTAAAGATATGTGCTGGCTTCTTATGTCATGGCTAGACAGCCCCTGCTGGGCCTGTTTGCTGTCCCTTTCTCTTTGCCCCTGAGTTGTGTCAGGAGATTTGAGGAACTTCTGACTCATCCTAGCAAGTGGCTATGGCCTTTTTGCAAAAAGCTGTGTCCCAAGGGAAGAGGCAAATGTGACCCAGGTAGGTGCCAGCAGTCACATGGCTTGCAGGGATGACAAGCTCAAACAGGACTTGATGGCTGGGTGTGATGGAAACCATAACACATGATTCTTGGGAGCAGGTCCGTGCTGGCTGGCAGGATATTTGGCTCTGTTTGTGTTTGAACAGTCTGACAACAGCCATAAAGCCTAGCAGCTGTGAGGTATTTCAGGTACCGGAGGACTTCTGGACTTCGGTTAACCTTGGGGTCTTGGGAGTAGAACTTTAGCTTTGAATAATTTAAGGGCTTGGCCTGTAACCTCACGCCTGTAACCCCAGCGCTTTGGGAGGCCAAGGTGGGCGGATCACTTGAGGTCAGGAATTAGAGACCAGCCTGGGAAACATAGCGAAACCCCCTCTCTACAAAAAAAAAAAAAAAAAAAAAAAAAAAAAAAAAAAAGAAAGAAAGAAAGAAAAAAAAAAAGAGCCAGGTGTGGGGGCACGTGCCTGTAGTCTTAGCTACTTGGGAGCTGAGGAAGGAGGATTGTGTGAGCCCAGGAGGTCCAGGATACAGTGAGCCATGATTGTGCCACTGCACTCCGGCCTGGGTGGCAAAGCAAGACCCTGTCTCACAAAAATAAAAAATAAAAAAAAAAAAAAAATAAAAAAAGGAAGCAGTGAGACAGCTCTTACTTAGAAAAGGAACCCTTAAGCCCTCTGCATATTCAGTTCTGGAGACTCTGCTAAGAGCAGCCCTTCCATTCATTAATTTCCTGAAGAAATGGATTTAGATATATTGCTGTATTTTTTTCTTCCAGAAGTTGATCCCTAGATGCCAGATAAACATCCCCTTGATCTTCTGGGAGCCTAAGGTTTTTACTTGGTCCCATGGGATGCAATAGGGCTAAGGCCTTCATGGAAAGTTGGAAGTCAAACTCGGGAGGGAGATTAGCCCAGCCTCAGCGACCCCTCCTCTTTGGACCTGTGATAGAGATTAATGAAATCCGGGGATTAGTACCGAAGATATCGTGTGCTGGCATGAGCGCGGGCTCTGGGCCTTTCTGGGTCCCAGGCTGGGAGCTGGCTGAGGCGCTGGAGAGGAGCAGTAAGGAAGGTTGGCATCTGGGTGGACCCGATGTCAGGCCTGGCCCGCGCACCCACCAGTTATGTAACCTTGGGCAAATGTCCTCCCTGAGCTGAGCCTTTCTTTCCTCATGGACTAAACAGGGTAAGACGACCTTGTTTTCCAGATGGTGTGGGGCCGGAACAGCACAGGGAGTGTCGGCACCCGCTTGGCGCTGGCGTTAGCGTCCGCAGCTCTGCGGCTGGGCTTTCTGCTCATCTCCTCGAAGGAGATCTTAGGGTCTTCATTTTGAAAAGGGGAGATGGAGTGGAGCTGCTGGGCCCGGCTGCGGAGGTGGTGGTTTCGTGCGTGGGCGCGAGGACGGCTTTGGCAGCCCTTTCCGTGCCCTTTCCATGGTGCCAGGCCGGTTCTGGAGGTGACAGGGCTGACCGGTCTGTGTGGGCTCGAGACACGGCCGCAGCCCTTTGAAGCTCTTTTAAACTTCTTCATCATTTCAGAATCATCACTGGAAAATTCTTTTCGTCAGATGTGTGCCCTGCCAGGTCATCTGGCAGCTCAAGTGCTCTATTTTTTTATTTTTATTTTTAATATTTTTTGAGACGAAGTCTCGCTCTGTCACCCAGGCTGGAGTGCAGTGGCACCATCTCGGCTCACTGCAACCTCCGCCTCCCGGGTTCAAGCGATTCTCCTGCCTCAGCCTCCTGAGTAGCTGGGATTACAGGCATGTGCCACCACGCCTGCTAATTTTTGTATTTTTAGTAGAGATGGGATTTCACCATTTTGGTCAAGCTGGTCTTGAACTCCTGACTTCGTGATCTGCCCACCTTGGCCTCCCAAAGTGCTGGGATTACAGGCATGAGGCACCGTGCCCGGCCTATTTTTAATTTTTTTTGGCCAGTGAAACACGCTGCAAGTCCCCCTTTTGTTCAGTCTCCTTGTGCAAGCCTTGGTGTTAGAAGCCATCATAGCCACTGGTTTGGGTTGAAATCTTAGATGCCAAACTTTACTGCATTACCTCATTTAATCCCTGCATCTGTCCTGCAAGGAAGGTGTTTTTATTCCTGTTTTCCTGAAGAGGAGTCTGGGATTGGAAAGGTTAAGCATTTACTTAAGCTTGCTGAACACAGCCCATCTGTCCAACCCCGAAGGCCACGTTCTTTACCACCATGCTATGTTGCGTCACTCAGATAAATCCAGAGAATGTGTTCAGCATTTTCTTTGGCTCTGTGTCCAGAGCAAGCGACTGATATCCACACTCAGATATGAAAAAACCTGTTACTCACCTGACAGGTGTCACTTTCAATTTTTAGGAAGTGCCTTTTTTGTTTAACAGCTTCATTGAAGTATAATTTACATATCATAAATTCACCCATTTTTAGTGTAAACTTAAATAACATTACTCGTGAATATGTAAGCTTTGATGTTCATGCAACCATTTATTTATTTATTTATTTTTGAGACGGAGTCTCGTTCTGTTGCCCAGGCTGAAGTGCAGTGGCGCGATCTCGGCTCGCTGCAACCTTGACCTCCTGGGTTCAAGCAATTCTTCTGCCTCAGCCTCTTGAGCAGCTGAGACTACAGGCACACGCCACCACACCTGGCTAATTTTTTGTATTTTTAGTAGAGACGGAGTTTCACCATGTTGGCCAGGTTGGTCTCGAACTCCTGGCCTCAAGTGATCCACCTGCCTCGGCCTCCCAAAGTGTTGGGATTACAGGTGTGAGCCACCTCGCCCAGCCGTGTGCAGCAATGTAAAGTATTTTCTTTAAAAATAAGCTGTTTAATGGATCTGATTTCACTGGGTTGACTGTTATAAATGGTGGTGGGATGCCAAGGCACAGGCTGTGTGCAGCACCACAGTGGTCACAAACCATGACTAAAACACCTCCAGATCCCTGCTCAGCACGTCCTCTCCCATGTGTGGGTCATATCCTTGTGTTGGTGGTTGGTTTCCATTTCCTTTGCAACATCCCAGGGATGGGAGGCAGCAGTTCCACGCTCTGTATGGGTTTGAAGACGCGGGACGTAAGTTATGGTTATTTGGTTTTTATATTATTATAAAAATTTATTTATTATTATTTATATGCCATCTATTTCCACACATCAATTGTGTTAATAGCAAAGGTAGAAAGCTGAGAGCTAAATAATTAAGAGAGAGCAAAGTAATTAATTAAAAGCCTTTCTCTCTTCCTTACTGTTTCTCTTTTCTTGTTTTCAAATTGTCTTTTAATGCTCTACTATTATTTATTTATTTTTTTATTTTTGAGAAGGAGTTTTGCTCTGTCACCCAGGCTGCAGTGCGGCGAAGCAATTCTTCTGCCTCAGCCTCCCGAGTAGCTGGGACCACAGGCCGTGCCACCACGCCTGGCTAATTTTTGTATTTTTATTAGAGACAGGGTTTCACCGTGTTGGCCAGGCTGGTCTTGAACTCCTGACCTCAGATGTTCTGCATGCCTTGGCCTCCCAAAGTGCTGGAATTACAGCTGTGAGCCACCGCGCCCAGCCGCTCCACTTTTTATTAGGGAACATTTCGAATGTGCACAAATGTAGAATAGTGTAATAATGCCTGTGTGCTCATTACCTTTTGTCCCCATCGCCTCCACACCAGAATGTTTGGAAACAAATGCTTTGAATTATCTGCAAATATTTGTAAATACTTCAGTATTTGTCTTTAAAAGATAAGAAGTATTTTAAAAAAAACCACAATATGATAATGCCTTAAAAATCAACAATAATTCCTTATTGTTCATTAGTCTTCATATTTCCCTGATAGCCTGACACAGTTTTATTGAGGTATAATTTACAAGCTGTAAACTTCACCCATTGTAAATATACCGTTTGATTGTTAGTAATTTTTTTTTCTTTGAGACATAATCTTGCTCTGTCTCCAGGCTGGAGTGCAGTGGTGCAATCTCGGCTAACTGTAACCTCTGCCTCCCGGGTTCAAGCCATTCTCCTGCCTCAGCCTCCCCAGTAGCTGGGACTACAAGTGTGCGCCACCATGCCCAGCTAATTTTTCTATTTTTAGTAGAGATGGGATTTCACCATGCTGGCCAGGATGGTCTCCATCTCTTGACCTTGTGATCCACCTGCCTCGGCCTCCCAAAGTGTTGGGATTACAGGCGTGAGCCACCACGCCGGCCTATTGTTAGTAAATTTAAACAGTTGTGCAAACATCGCCACAATCCAGGTTTAGAGCATTTATGTATTTTAAATGGTTTGTTTGCATCAGAATTTTATTAGGGCTCGTGGGCTGTGATTGGTTGTCTTTTCAGTCTCTTTTAATCTATTGGTTTGCCCTCTCATTTTTCCACGCTTTTTTTTCAGTGTAGAAATGTGTCTTTGTCTTTAGAATTTCCAAAAGTCTAGATTTTGTCAACTGCATCATTGTAGTGCTATTTAACATGTCCCTCTGCCCCTTATTTCCTGTAAATTGGGTTTGGAGGCCCGATCAGATTGAGGTTAAATTTTTTTTTAGCACATACATCATAGAGGGTGTTGTGTACTTCAGATAGGATGCCATGTTGTGTGATTATTTCTCTCTTCTGGATGTTAGCAGTCTTTGATAATTATTGCACAAATTCATTATTTCATTAGGGTTGTAAAATTGTAAAATGGTGATCTTCTTTTCTTTTTCTTTCTTTTTTTTTTTTTTTTTTTTTGAGATGGAGTCTCGCCCTGTTGCCCAGGCTGCAGTGCAGTGGTACGATCTCAGCTCACTGCAATCTCCACTTCCTGGCTTCAAGTGATTCTCCTGCCTCAGCCTCCCAAGTAGCCACCACGCCTGCCTAGTTTTTGTTTTTTGTGTTTAGTAGAGACGGGGTTTTGCCATGTTGGCCAGGCTGGTTTTGAATTCCTGACCTCGTGATCCACCGGCCTCGGCCTCCCAAAGTGCTAAGATTACAGGCGTGAGCCACCACGCCCAGCCCAAAATGGTGATTTTCTAATTTCACCTTTCCTTCTTGCTTTATTACCTGGATCATTTCTCTAAAGATAAACTTCTCCTTTTAAACCATTCAGTTATTCTAACATTTAATTTGAATATGTAAGGCAAGATGAATGTTTAATTCTACCATTTTTCAAAATAATGAGTTGATTTCCCAGCATCGTTCCAAGGCAACCAGTGGGTTTTGTTTTGTTTTTTAGTGTCATTATAAAGCCGGAGACTTAAGCATACTGAAAGTGTTTCAGTCGATTGCGGTTATTATTCTTTTTGATGCTTACTTAGTTGTTCCATCTTTGACCAGTGGGAATCTAGTCAAGTTGGTGGCACCTCAGTTCTTTTGGACATGACGCTAGTAGTTTTTGGTAGTTTCTTTTCTTTGTGGTTAGACAAACATTTCATGACTTATCTGGTACATTTTGTATCACAGATCTAGAATCGATCACTTCTTCAAGAAGCATTGGTTCTTTTCAGTGGAAAATCGTATTAGAGACCACAGTTTGGGTGCTAGGGGGCTCATAAATACTGGGTAGGTCATTTTTCACTAGGACTTTTAGTAGACAAAGTTGAAAAAATGTTTAAGATAAAATACATCAGTTGTTTATACTGTTACTTTCGATTCCAATTCAGGACCATAAGTTTTTATTTAGCCCAGTTGATCTTACATTTGTATCCTAGTCCTCCACTTTGAGTGTTCTCATTTTCAACCACACCAATATGATCACTTATTTACTTGATCAGCACACACAGAAGTCTTAGAAAAACTATACCAGTACTACTACAAACAATATGCTTACTGAAAACAGTTTAAGCTTTTTAAAGGTTTTTGTTGTTGTTGTTGTTGTTTCCCAGGATCTTCTACTAGGGAGTGTACAGAAAGTTTTTTGTGTTTGTTTTTTAAATTTAGACATGGGGGGTCTCACTGTTGCCCAGGCTGGACTTAAACTCCTGGGCTTAAGGGATCTTCCTGCCTCAGCCTGAAGTAGCTGAGACTACAGGCACGTGCCACCATGCCCAGCAACAACGCTGAGTTTTAGATCATTAAAGATAAATGTTTCAGTGTTTGCTTTGGTTCACTTTCAACTTTTAGGAAGTGCCTTTTTTGTTTAACAGCTTTATTGTGGCATAATTTATACATCATAAATTCCCCCATTTTAAGTTTAAGTTAAATAACTATTAATAAACTTAATAGAGTGGTACAACCATCACCAGAATTAGATTTTGAACATTTCCATTGCCCCCAAAAGCACCCAGCACCATTTGTTGAAAAGGCCATCTTTTTCCAATGGAATTGCCTTGGTGTTTTTGTTGAAAATTAATTGAACATGAGCATAGGATTTCTTGACTCTTAATTTACCTTCATTCATGTTTAGTCCTATTTTTACACCAACCTGTCTTGGTTACTACAGTTTCATAATAAGTTTTGAAAATGGGAGATGTAAGTCTTCAACTTTGTTATTTTTCAGTGTTGTTTTGGGTACTCCAGATCCTTTGCATTTCCATATAAGTTTTAAAATCAGCTTGACAATTTCTGCAAAAGTGTCTGCTGGGATTTCTGCTAGGGTTTGCATTGAATCTGAGATGACTAGGTAGTGTTGCCATCTTAACAATATTGAGTCTTCCTATCCATTAGCATGTAATGCCTCTCCATTTATTTAGACCTTCTTTGATTTCTCTCAGCAATATTTCATAGTTTTAGTGTACACATCTTGAACTTTCTTGCTAAATTTATTCCTATTTTATTCATTTTTCATGCTAGTGTGAATATAACAGTTTTTTTAGTTTTATTTTCAGATGGTTCCTAGTATGTAGAAATACAACTGACTTTTGTATATTGATCATATTCTGTGACCTTGGTGAACTTGTTTATTAAATCTAGTAGGGGTGTGTGTGTGTGTGTGTGTGTGTGTGTGTATTCCTTAGAATTCTATACAGGCTGTATTGACTATAAAAAACAGTTTTACCTCTTCCTCCCCAGCGTACATGCCTTTAATTTCTTTCCTTCTGTACCCTTCTCGGCTGCCCTTCTCTCCTCCTCCCTCCTTCTCTATCTCTTTGCCTCATTACACTGGTTAGAACCTCTAGTGCAAAGTTGAGAAGACAGTACAGAGAGCTTCCATATACCCCACACCCTGTTTTCCCTGTTATTAACACCTTACATTCGCGTAGCACATTTGTTATAATTAGTGAACTAATATTGGTATACTATTAGTATCATTAGCTGAAGTCCAAACTTTATTCAGATTTTGTTAGTTTTTACCTAAAGTACATTTTCTGTTCCAGGATCCCATTCAGCATATCATATGACCTATATTTGTTTTTATTTATTTATTTTTTTTGAGATGGAGTTTCGCTCTTGTTGCCCAGGCTGGAGTGCAATGGCTTGATCTTGGCTCACCGCAACCTCTGTCTCCCCGGTTCAAGCAATTCTCCTGCCTCAGCCTCCCGAGTAGCTGGGATTACAGGCATATGCCACCACACCCGGCTAATTTTGTATTTTTAGTAGAGACAGGGTTTCTCCATGTTGGTCCGGCTGGTCTCAAACTCCCGACCTCAGGTGATCCGCCCGCCTCGGCCTCCCAAAGTGCTGAGATTACAGCCATGAGCCACTGTGCCCGGCCTCATACGACCTTTAGTTGCCATGTTCCCTTAGCCTCCTCTTGACCGCGACAGTTTCTCAGACTTTCTTTGTTTTTAAGACGTTGACAGCTTTGAAGAGTACGAGTAAGGTTGTAAAATGTTATTCACTTGGGAGTTGTCTGATGTTTTTCTCATGTTTAGACTGGGATTATGGGATTATGGGTTTGGAGAGGAAAACCACAGAAGTGCCATTCTCATCACATCATATCAAGGGTATGTACTAGCAACAGGAATTATCACTGTTGATTTTGACCTTGGTGACCTAACTGAGATAGTGTTTGTCAGGCTTTTCCACAGTAAAGCTACTCTTCCTACCCCCCCTGTTTTCTATACTGTGTTCTTTAGAAGGAGGTCACTCTGTACAGTCCACACATAAGGAGTGGAGAGTGATGCTCCATGTCTTTAAGGGTGGAATATCTACATAAGTTATTATTAAATTATTCTGCATAGGAGATTTCTCTCTTCTCTCCATTTATTCATTTAGTCATTTATCTATATTAGAATGGACTGATAGATATTTCTTTTATACTTTGGATTATAATCAGTACTATTTTATTTATTTTGTTGCTCAAATTATTTCAGCTTTGGCTGTTGGGAGCTCTTTCACTTGGCTTCTATGTCCCTTTGACATACCCCAGTCATTTTTTTAAAAGCGCTTCCTTACTCAATGGCACTATAAAATGTCCAGGTTCATCTCATCTATTTCCTGCTCCAGTTCTACAATCAGCCATTTTTCTAAGAAACACTGGTTCTATTTATTGGAGAATGGTATTAGAAACCAATACCTAGGCAATAGGTGTGCTTACTGATTCTGGTGTGTTATTACTTTTCTCAGCTGACAAAGCAAGGAAATACATGTGTACACTAACCAGTGTATATAAGAACATCTATTAAATAATTCTTTATGTAACCACGTGTTCATTTTAAGCTAAACATGGATTCATACACACCTCTCCAACTCTAGCCATTACCACACACACAGATCATTCCAGCATCCTCCTGTTGCTTGTCTGTAATCTCCCACTACACCAGCCATCCATTTGCTTATTCATTTCCAGTATACATGCATAGCACTATCAGAATTGTTAACCAGCATGCATGTGGGAAGCAACTTTATCAGCCAGAATACAGTGCTTATGTGTAGTTTCTTTGCTGTTAGTCTTACAGATTCCACTCATTTCCAAAGTTTTTTAGGACAACAACTTTTTCCCACATCTACTTCAGTGAGGTCATTTGATGCATTTTTAATACAGTTAGATTCTTTTGTCACTTACTGCATTCCATCCAAGAATTCCCCAGGCTCCTAAATGATATTTTAAAAATTTCATACCTTAAGGCTTATTCTTTGTGCTGTTAAGTTCAGTGGGTCTTGATAAATGAGGTCATGTATCCACAATTACAGTGTCATACAGAGTAGTTTCACCACTCTTAAAAAAAATCTCCTGTGCAACACCTATTAATCCCTCCTTTCCTACACTAAACCTCTGGAAACCACTGATCTTTTTTTTTCTTTTTCTTTTTTTTTTTGGAGACGGACGGAGTTTTGCTCTTGCTGCCCAGGCTGGGGGGCAATGGTGCAATCTTGGCTCACTGCAACCTCCACTTCCTGAGTTCAAGCGATTCTCCTGCCTCAGCGGCTCAAGTAGCTGGGATTACAGGGGTGTGCCACCATGCCTGGCTAATTTTTCTAATATTAGTAGAGATGGGGTTTCACCATGTTGGCCAGCTGGTCTCGAACTCCTGACCTCAGGTGATCCATCCACCTCTGCTTCCCAAAGTGCTGGGATTGCAGGCATGAGCCACCACGCTCAGCCAACCACTAATCTTTTTATTGCATTTATAGATTTGCCTTTTCCAAACTAGCTTCTTTCACTTGACAATATGCACTTAAGATTTGTCCATGTCTTTTTGTAGCTTGATATCTCATTTCTTTTCAGCGCTGAATAATATTCCATTGCATGGATATGCAAAAGTTTGTTTATGCACTCACTATTCAAAGACATACTGGATGCTTCCCGTTTATGGTGATTATGAATAAAGCTGCTATAAACATTCACATGCACATTTTTGTGTGGATATAAGTTGTCTTTATTTTTTTTGAGACAGCGTCTCACTGTCACCCAGGCTGGAGTGCAGTGGTGTGATCTCAGCTCACTACAACCTCCACCTCCTGGGTTCAAGTGATTCTCATTCCTCAGCCTCCCGAGTAGCTGAGACTACAGGCATGTGCCACCACGCCTGGCTAATTTTTGTGTTTTTAGTAGAGATGGGGTTTCACCATGTTAGCCAGGCTGGCCTTGAACTCCTGGGCTCAGACGATCCACCCACCTCTGCCTCCCAAATTGCTGGGACTACAGGTGTGGGCCATTGTGTGAATATAAGTTTCCAAATCAGTTTGGTAACTGTCTAGAAGTGCAGTTGCTGGATTGTTGGGTGAGACTATGTTTGGATTTTTAAGAACTTGCCCAACTATCTTTGAAAGTGTCTGTTCCATTTTGCATTCCTAGCAGCAATGAATGAGAGTGCCTATTGCTCACATGCTCATCAACAATTAGTTCAGTTTTTTTTCTAATTTTAGCTATTCTAATAAGTATGTAGTAGTATCTCGTTTTAATTTCCAATGCCCTTATGACAAATGATGTTTATAATGTTTTCACTTGCTTATTTTTCATGTATATATTTACTTTAGTGGGGAGTCTGTTCAGATTTTTTGCCATTTTAAAAATTGGGCTGTTTATTTTCTTATTGTTCAGTTTTTAGAGTTCTTTGTATGTTTGCATGTAAGACTGTTATCAGATATGTGTTTTACAAATATTTTTTCCTAGTCTGTGGCATGGCTTTCACTTGTCTTAACAGTGTCTTTTGAAGAACAGAAGTTTTTTGTTTTTGTTTTTGTTTTTCAGACAGAGTCTCAGTCTGTTGGCCAGGCTAGACTGCAGTGGTGTGATCTCGGTTCACTGCAACCTCCACATCCCAGGTTCAAGCGATTCTCCTGCCTCAGCCTCCCAAGTAGCTGGGATTACAGGCACACGCCACCATGCCCAACTAATTTTTGTATTTTTAGTAGAGACGGGGTTTCACCACGTTCGCCAGGATGGTCTCGAACACCTGACCTCGTGATCTGCCCGCCTCGGCCTCCCAAAGTGCTGGGATTACAGGCTTGAGCCACTGTGCCGGCCTAGAACAGAAGTTTTTAACTTTAAAAATGTCTAATTTATTATTTTTTCCCCATGGATCATGCTTTTAGTGTTGTATCTAAAAACTCATTGCCAAAATCAAGATCACCTAGACTATTTCTATGTTTCCTTCTAGATTTTTTTTAGTTTCATTTTAGATACAGGTCTCTAATTGATTTTGAGTTAATTTTCATGAAAGGTATTAGATCTAGGTCCATGTTTTTGCATATGGATGTTCATTTTTTTCCAGCACCATTTGGCAAAAAGACTATCCTTTCTCTACTGAACTGCCTTTGCTCCTTTGTCAAAGATCAGTTGGTTATGTTTGTGTTAATCTATTTCTGGGCTCTCTATTCTGTTCTATTGATCTATGTTTCTGCTCTTTTGCCAATACCATGCTGTCTTCATTACTGTAGCTTTAAAGTAATGTTGAAATCAGGTTGTGTGAGTTTTCCCAATTAGTCTTCCTTCTAGGTTTTTGCCTTTTTTAAATGTATTTTATTTTACTTTGAGACAAAGTCTCACTCTGTCACCCAGGCTGGAGTGCAGTGGCATGATCTCGGCTCACTGCAACCTCTGCCTCCCGGGCTTAAGCAATCCTCCTACTTCAGCCCCTCGTGTAGCTGGGACCACAGGTGCATGCCATCACGCCTGGCTAATTTTTTGTATTTTTGGTAGAGAAGGGGTTTCACCATGTTGCCCATGCTGGTCTTGAGCTCCTGAGCTCAAGTGATTCACCTGCCTTGGCTTCCTAAAGTGGTGGGATTACAGGCATAAGCCACCCACTTTGCCCAGCCAGGTCTTTGCCTTTCCATATAAACTTTGGAATCATTATGTCAACATCTACAAAGTAGCTTACTGGGAATTTTTGATTGGGATTGCATTAAATCTATAGATCATGTTTGGAAGAATTGACATCTTAACAATATTGAGTCTTCCAATCTGTGAACATGGAATCTCTCCATTTATTTTTCTCTTTGATTTCTTTCATCACAGTTTTATAGTTTTCTGCATATAGACTATGTACATATTTTGTCAGAGTTATACATAAATTTTCTTTTTTTTAGTGCTATTGTAAATTATATTGTTTTTTTCAACTTCAAATTATGATTTTTTAATTGCTGGTATAGAAAAACAATGGACTGTTCTATAGTAAGTCTGCAAACTTGCTATATTAGCTTGTTAGTCCTAAGAGATTTTTAGTGATTCTTTGGGATTTTCTGTATAGACAATTATGTCATCTGTGAACAAAGACAGTTTTATTTCCTCCTTCATATTCTACATACCTTTTCTTTCCTTTGCCTGTCTTATTGCACTAGCTAAGTCTTCTAGTACAATGCTGATTATGAGTAATGAGAAAGGACACCCTTACCTTGTTCCCAAGGTACTTAGAGGAAAGTGTCTAGTTTTTCATCATTAAATATAATAGCTGCAGGATTTTTGAGGGTTTTTTTTTATTTATCAAGTTGAGGTAGTTTCTCTCTGTTCCCAGTTTGCTGAGAGTTTTAAAAATCATAAGTGAGTGTTGGGTTTTGTCAAATGACTTTTATCCATCAATTAATAAAATCTTATGATTTTTCTTCTTTAGTCTGTTAATATGGTAAATTACATTGATTGAGTTTTGAATGTTGAACCAGCCTTGCATATCTGGAGGAAGAAGTCCCACTTGGCCATGGTTTATAATCCTTTTTATACATTGTCGAATTCAATTTACTAATGTTTTATTGAGGATTTTTGCATCTGTGTTCATGAGAGATACTGGTCTGTATCTGGTAATCTGTATTCCTTTCTGGTAATATATTTTTTTCATTAAATTTTTTTATTGACAATAATAATTATACATATTTATGGGCTACATATTGAAGTTGCAATACATATAATATATAATGATCAGATCAGGGTAATTAGCATTCCATTATCTCAAAGATCATTTCCTTGTATTGGGAACCTTCAATATCCTCCTTCTAGCTATTTTAAACTATATATTATTGTTAACTATAGTCATCCTACAGTGTTAGAGAATACTAGAACTTATTCCTCCTTAAGGTAATGTTGACTTTTTAGAATGAGTTAGGAAGTGTTCTCTCTGCTTCAGTTTTTCTGGAAGAGATTGTGGAGAATTAATATCATTTCTTCCTGACATGTTTGGTAGAATTCACCATCTGGGCCTAGTGCTTTCGTTGTAGAAGGTTATTAATTATTTATTCAATTTATCTTATAGATATAAATGTATTCAGATTATCTGTTTCTCCTTTGTGAAATATGATAGTTTGTGTCTTTAAGGAATTGGTACATTTCATCTAAGTTATCAAGTTTGTGGGCATAAAATTTTTCATAACATTCCTTTATTGTCCTTTTAATTTCCATGGCATTAATAGTGACAATTCTTACCATTTTTAAATGGACTTCTAAATTTTATCATTAGTAGTTGTAAAGAATTAACTTTCTATATATTGTAAAATGTATTGCTTTTGCTGAAAAATTAAATGATTATATATTTTCTTAAAATGTATCTAATGGGCCAGGCGCGGTGGCTCACGTCTGTAATCCCAGCACTTTTGGAGGCCAGGGCGGGCAGGTCACAAGGTCAGGAGATCTAGACCATCCTGGCCAATGGTGAAACCCCGTGTCTACTAAAAATACAAAAATTAGCTAGGCGTGGTGGCATGTGCCTGTAGTCCCAGCTACTCAGGAGGCTGAGGCAAGAGAATCCCTTGAACCCATGAGGTGGAGGTTGCAGTGAGCTGAGATCGCACCACTGCACTCCAGCCTAGTGACAAAGCGAGACTCCTTCTCAAAAAAAAAAAAAAAAAGTATCTAATGGAATCTAAATGTCATATTAATTTAATATCTACCATCATCTATTTATCTATTTATTTAAAAAGCTCATAAAAAAGGTCGTCTTTATTGGAAATATTACATCAGTTTTCTTTTATTTTACTTTAAATTGATAAATAAAATTATATCTGGTTATCGTGTACAACATGATTTGAAACGTATACATTGTGGAATGGCTCAGTTGAGCTAATTAAAATATGCATTATCTCACATACTTACCATTTTTAGTGGTGAGAACACCTAACATCATCCCATTTTCTCTCCGAACTTGTATTTCCATTTTACTCCTCCCCCAGATTTTTATCTTAATATATCTTATTTTTATGCTTAGAAACCTTAATAATTTCTTGTAACATAAAAAGCACAATTTCATGGGAAATGCATCTTGTTATGAAATAGTCTAGGTCTCCCTTTTAAATCATAATTAGTTCATATACCCATGGCTGAGTATGACTTACTGCTTGAATGATACAAGGCTCAACACCAATTATATTACTATCTTGGTTTTTGTAGATGGAAGTCCTAAAGAAATCTTGTCTGCATCCCTAAGAAGATAAGCATGGAAAGTTTCTGTTAGAGCAGTGTTACTCAAGTCTCTGAATTCCTTCTGAGTTAAACGCCAGAAATCACTTGGTGATCTTTCATCAAAATTATTTTTAGGTATCTATCATGAATAACTCTATTAGAGACTCCTTTCATTTTGTTGAAAGTAATGAGTTAGAAACTACTTGAATTGCAAAAAGATATTTTATTAGTCATCAGAGTCATTGCACTTTCTCAAAAACAACCTCAACATTCAAATAAACCTTTGCCAGTCACCCTGGAGGTTTTGCATAGACAATGCATCATTATAAGATTTGAAATGAGGGTCAAGTAAATATTTCTTTTGTAAGGTGGGAAAAGGATCTCTTATGAAAGCAGGGGTGAGAAATGGCTTGACCGTAGTGATACTCAAATTTAGGAATGAATGCAGGCAGAGCTTGAGGCTCATGAAAATTATTTCCCTTAAACTACCTAAGTGCCCAGGTACTCCTTGGAAAGATTTTGTGAACCGAGGAGCAAGCACCTTATTTTGAAGACCCATCTATGGAAAAGGCAGGAAGGCATCCTTGATAAGATGGCATTTGATAATAGACCTGAAGGAAATGCAGGTGAAACCATGTGGCTACTGGGGGAAGAGAAATCCAGGCAGAAGAAACCTCAAGGGCAAAAACACTGAGGCAGGAGTGGTCTTGGAATGTTCTGGAAACAGCGAGAAGACCAGTGTTGGTTGTAGCAGACTGAATAAGGGAAAGAGTGGTAGAATATGAGGTCAGAGAGATAAGCAGCAGCATGTTAGGTTTTGGAGTCCAAGGTAGAAATTTGGGATTATATTATGAGTGAGATGAGAAGAACGACTTTCCACTGGAGGGTTTTGAGTTTGGGGGTGACATGACCTGGCTTTAATTTTAAAAGGCTCACTCTGGCTGCTGTGTTACTTAGTACATGGAAATATTGTTGCCTTTATCATTTCTGGGTAGTTTTGCTGACATTCTTTTTCTGGGTTCACAACTGTGATGGCAGTTTTAGCTGTGCAGGATTATGAAAATGATCTGACCCCTGAGGAATTTGGGATATCAGTTTGGCCTGGGTGTGGTTCTCTTCTGCTTTGTGGGCTCAGAACTCTTGTATTCCAAAGGAAGCCATCTTCTTTCTGGCCGTCAGCCCATTGCACTTGAGCCATAAATGTTGGGGTTTGGGCACCAGATAAATGTAGTAGGGTCTCGGCTGATGACCTGCAGAAGCAGATCATGGAATTATAGAAGCTATTGTAGGTCAGTTCCCAGGAAACAGACTGAAACTCAGATTTGTGTGTGAGAAGTTTATTGGGGAGTGCTCTTTTGAACATTACCTGTAAGGAGTAAGGAAAGCAGTAGTGCGCAGAGGGGAGTACTGGACTCTGATACAGTTGCAGCAGAGGCCCTGACCATCCTAAAGAGGGATGGCCTTTTAGAATTGTCTCAAATGAAGCATGAGGCCTGGGCCTTAACACCTTCCACATCAACTAGTCAATGGTTGTGGGTGGGCCCTGGAAAAGGGATGTGCTTGGGCCAAGAGTCATTCTTGGGGAGAAACTTAACTGTGAGCCATCAGCTGCCAAGACTCCAGGCAACCTGGGAAATGAGTGTCTCAGTCTTGAAGGGGTGTCTGGGTGGCACACCATGGTAATTCACTACTGATGATTAACTGGAAGATCCCTTTAAAGATCATCACCAACACCTCGACACCAGACACCACCATTTCGAAGCTAAAGAAACTGAGGCCTGGGAGTGTACAAATATTGTTTATCCTTGCATCATCTTCTCATGTGTTAATTACAAAACACAAAAATGACGTCAACACGTATGCCTTATTTTCTAAAGGAGGGAGAGTATAAAACTGATTGTTAATTTTTTAAAGTATTTGCAAATATCAACTGATTGCCATTATTGTTGGTGCTGCATATACTGTTTTTATTTTTTAAGAAACAGTTCTTTTACTTCAGAACAACTGCATGGACTGTTAAGGTGATCACCAAGTTCACTTCACATCCGTTCCATGCACATTCTGTTTCCCTCGTTGGTGCACACAGTCTTCATTATAAGGAAAATCCACTCTGTGCCTACCGCAAGAATAGGAATCAATTCTTAATGCTGAAATAATTTCAACTAACATGAAGTACACTGCTTGGATACTGTAGTTTGATTTGCTTGGGTGGTTCTGTCTTCCTACATTCATTGTGAAAGAAATCTCTTAGACCACCCAGCAATCATGTTCCCGTATTTACAAAATATTTTTTACATAAAAGAAATTGCACAGGACTAAAACAACCAAATTTTGTAATATGTGGACCAGATTCAAACCAACTATAAGAAGACATTTTGGAGACAACTGGGGAAAAATCAAACACATTAAGGAATTATTACTTTTCTTAAGAGTGATAGTGGACTTGCGGTCATGTTAAATTTAAGTCATTATGTATTAGGGTCAATACTGAAATGTTTATAGGTGAAATGATTTGAGGTCTGGGATTACCTAAAATATTCCAGAAAATAGGAGGAATAGATGAAACAAGAATGGTAAAATGCTGATGGTAGTTGAAGGTGGGTTATGGCACAGGGGGGATAACTTTTACCATTCTCTTAACTTTGGTGTGTATTTGAAAATTTCCATAATAAAAAGTTAAAAAAACCCACATTTTTTCATGTCTGGTTTTAAAACTTTTATTTTACTGGATGGAAGCTAAGAAAATGGGTTGTCTAGCCTAATTTTGAACTTCTGGCAGTATAACTGTCCCAGATTAGGGAAGAGGCACAGCCCAGCCTGCAAAAATGCCCGGCTGGACCTCATGTGATCACACCCATTCGCCACGGCAGGCAGTGTCACCTCCTCTGGGTCTCATGGTGAATAACCGCAGCACGGCTGAGAAGGGTGAGCTGACAGAACAGGTAGGCCTTGGTTCAAACCTGGAGCCCACCTTTCTTTAGCCTCTGTGATCTTACACTTCATGTGAGCTCTCTCAATCTCATTTATAAACTGGGACTTGTTTGAGGGTTAGAAGTGATGCAGAGAAGGTATCTAGTGCATAGTTGATATCCAACACAATGGTAGTCATTATTGATAAAAAGCTGTTTGTTCTCCTCTCCTGGGAAATAGTCCTGCTTTGTCTCCAGGTTGTAGAAGTTTTCCCTGGGAGTTTATCTTGGTCCGGGAGGAACAAGTCCCTATCTCTAGATTTCATTCATGGGGTCCCATGTCACCCTGAACCTTCTACCTTTTAATGCTTGTCTGCAAGTTTATTTATAGTCCATCTTTTGGACTTGGGCTAAGAATTTGTAATATATGTAAAACACGAGGATTTGAGAGGAAGCCTAAAATGTCTCTAAGAAATCTTTTCATTGTTGGGCAGCTCTGGTATTTTTTATTCCTTTGTGATTTGGTGCCCTGAAGCAAACATGGCTAATCAAATAAGAGTCACCTACAGATCCTGATTCCTTGGCCAGGCCTCCATCCCCTAAAATGGGGAAATTGCTCCCTGGTGCTAAGTGGAGGCAAATTAATAATAATAAATTGCATTAATACTTTTCAATAGCATTTTAATTAAACTTTTTTAGTAACAGTATGAAAATCTGCCTTATTCTTTTATATACTATTTTATTAATCTACTCCATGAGCACTTTTTCAGTTTTCAAATGTATGTATTTATCATTTCATTTGATTTATTCTAACAACATGCCTGTGAACTAGAGAGGTGGAAACAGAGAAGGCCAAGGTGAAGGACTTCATTCCAAACATAGGATCTCACTTCCACCCAGAGTGCTGTCCCTTAATTAGACCCAGGTTTTTCTGTGGGCAGATTACAATCTACCCATTGATCTTAAAGTCACGCCAGGTTAATTTCCCAGTTGACAACTGCCACCTGCTCCCTCCCTATGGGAATTTCCCAAGGGGAACGTGGCCAGCCCTGACTCAGCCAGCCCACACCTCGCCTAGACTTCCAGCAGCCACCCTTCACCCACCTTGATCACACTTGAAGGAAATCAAAAGTAACACCTTCTTGGGAAAGGGCTGGGGCCTCTCTCCGGAGATGGTGCTGCCTCCCACTCAGCAGCTGCTGTCTTGTCCATTTAGACTCACAGATGGGGTTGAGTCTCAGAAGCCTCTATGTGGATCAGAACTGGGGTGGGGGAATCTGAGGGAAGAGGCTCATTTCCTGGTGCTCTGTGGGAGTGACAGACTTTGAGTCTTGCAACAATCCTTCACTTCTTTGTTTGAGGATAGCAACAAAGAAAGAAGACAGCACTTGTTCTTCTTCCATGGAGTCCACAATAGGTTTCCGAAGGCAGACATTTTAGCAGATACCCTTTCGTTGTCTAGCAATGCTTCCTTGTCATTACCAGTTTGAGCTGGATATTCATAAGAGCTACCATTTACTGAGCAGAAGCCATGCGCCGGGCACCATGCTGAACGAGACAGTCTGAGCCCCAGGGAATACAGTTGTGAATAAAGCTTTCCTGAAGCTTACAATTTACTGGGTTATGGCTACTGAACAACTGCTTAAGTTGAATGATTAGAAGGGGATGCAGGGTTTAGAAGGGGAAGTCCAGGGTGCTTCAGGAGTCTATAGCTGACATTATTTGATTTAATCCTGACAGTAGCTCTGGGAAGTAGTATCACTATTTCTCATTTTTCAGACAAGACAACCGAGGCTGAGAAGTTTAAGTACATTTCTCATTGAAAGGAAAGTGCTGGGATTTGACTTGGTGAGCTTCTACTCTGTACTCAATGCTCATACACAGAAACAAAACTACTCACCAATGTTGGAACTGTACCTCTTCTGTAAGTTTAAATTTGGACAGATCATTGTTCGATTAGAAGATCAAAGGTTCTTACCTCTATGGAGAGGCTTCAGGGGGTTGTGAAACCCCTGAAACTGTATGCAAATTTCAGTGAGTATCTGCATGTGTCTCCTGGGGAGAAAGTCCCTAGGTCACACCATGTTCTTTGAGGATCAATGACACCAAAATGTTAATAACCACTGCATTGGCTCATGTATTCATGACTGCAGCTGACTTTGTTCTCAGCCCACTCAGCAGGCAGCTGAACAAGCCCAGTGCAAAAAGAGGTTAGTGGGTGTTTGTTGGTCCCCACATTTTTACAAGTTGTCGATGGTGATGGCTGAGGGTCTGTTCACCTCTCAGCCTTGCTCCTTCCCCTCACCTGCCAAGCCGTCTGGTTGGGATAGGTAGGACAGGTGGTGTGGGTCTCTTGTGGGGCACCAAGAGCCTTCTCCCAATATACCTCTCTGAAGGGTCCAGTTGTGCCATAGAAGCCAGTATTTCAGATTTTTAGACATTATATTAGTTTCCTGGGCTGCTGTAACAAAGTACAACAAACTGGGTGGCTTAAAACAACAGAAATGCATTCTCTCACAGTTCTGGAGGCCAGAAGTCTGAAATCAAAGTGTCTAAAGGCTCTAGGGAAGAATCCTTTCTTGCCTGTCCCTAGCTTCTGGTGTTGCAGGCAATCCTTAGTATTCCTCAGCTGCGTCACTCCAATTTCCATCTCTTCGTGCAGCTGTCTTTTCTCTGTCTCTGTGTCTTTCATGATCTTTTTATAAAGATACCAGTCATTGGACTTAGGGTCCCCCCAGTCCAGTATGATCCCATCTTAACTAACATCTGCAAAGGCCCTCTTTCCAAATAAGGTCACCTTCTGAGGTTGGGGGGAAGCAAATTTTGGGACTACGCTATTCAATCCAATACTGATATAGTCTTCCACCTTGTCTTCTGTTAACAAAATAAGTGCTTCTCAGTAAAAGAACAGTAACCTCAGAAGCCTTGTCAGTGGTTTATGTAGGAGTGTAAATGAATTTATCAGGTATTTTTCCAAAGGCAGGTTCTGCTTGGGCAAGTAGATATGCAGTTCCTAGGTAGCTGGATGGGAAGAGGTAAACTCCTAGCAGGGGAGGGCAACTGGCTAGGAGGCTGGAGACACTAAAGACAAATTTTCTTCACTTTATAGTGTTCCTAGGTTGGCTCTTGATGTAGAATTCATTCATTATTTTGACGTAAAATTCATTCATTTAGTGACCCATTCATTCATTCTAAAAATATAGAATGTTTGATGTGTTAAGACATTTTTTTTTTTGATGGAGTTTTGCTCTTACCGCCCTGGCTGGAGTACAATGGCGTGATCTCGGCTCACTGCAACCTCCGCCTCCCAGGTTCAAGGGATTCTCCTGCCTCAACCTCCCAAGTAGCTGGGATTACAGGCATGTGCCACCATGCCCGGCTAATTTCGTATTTTTAGTAGAGACGGGGTTTCTCCATGTTGGTCAGGCTGGTCTCGAACTCCCAACCTCAGGTGATCCACCCCCCTTGGCCTCCCAAAATGCTGGGATTACGGGCATGAGCCACCATGCCCTGCCTGATGTGTTAAGAAATTTTAAGGGCAAACAAAATGAATCAGTTACGGCCCCTGCCCTAAATGAACCTGCAATCTCACCGGGGAAAGGAACGGGCATGGACTACCTGTATGCAGGTCAGAAAGTGAGGAGTGTTCCCTGTCCATAACACTTAGAGCCCTGCTGGCGAGAAGCAGTGAGAATGCTGTGCATATATCTACCCTAGGGTAGATCAGAAAAGGTCTCATGAAAGTGGAGATACTGGAACTGGGTTTTCAAGGATGGATATGATGGAAACATGGAGAAGTAGGAGAGAGACAAGTGGAATCACAGAACAAAGACACTTGTGTGGGAGATCAGGAGACATGAATGGGAAATGGCATAGCTTGGCTGGAGTGTCATGAACAGGAAGCATCTGGATTGTGGGGGCTTTGACTGCCAGGCTAAGGAAGTCAGGCTCTAGATTATTATTATTATTATTATTTTTTTTTTTGAGAAAGAGTCTCACTGTTCCCCAGGCTGGAGTATAGTGGCATGATACAGGTTCACTGTCTCTTGGGTTCAAGCAATTCTCCTGCCTCAGACTCCTGAGTAGCTGGGACTACAGGCACGCACCACCATGCCCAGCTAATTTTTTGTATTTTTAATAGAGATGGGGTTTCTGCCATGTTGGCCAGGCTGGTCTCAAACTCCTGGCCTCAAGTTATCTGCCCGCTTCGGCCTCCCAAAGTGCTGGGATTACAGGGATGAGCCACTGTGCCCAGCCTGGGCTCTAGATTTTAATGCTGGGGCCATGAGGGGCTCTGAAAGAGACTGAGCTGTGAAAGGCAGGATTAGAATGGTGTTTAAGAAAGCTAACTGGGTGGGGTTGTGGTGGCTTATGCCTATAATCACAGCACTTTGGGAGATGGAGGTGAGAGGATCCCTTGAGCCTAGGAGTTCGAGTCTAGCCTGGGCAACAAAATGAGAACTCTGTCTCTATAAAATTTTTTAAAAATTTAGCTGGGTATGGTGGTGCACACCTGTGGTCCCAGCTACATGGGAGGCTGAGGTGGGAGGATCCTTGAGCCCAGGAGGTTGAGGCTGCAATGAGCAATAATGGCACCACTGCACTTCAGCCTGATTGACAGAGCAAGACCCTGTCTCAAAAAGAAAAAAAAAAAAAAAAAAAGAAGGCTAAGAAGGCTAACTGGACAGCAGAACATGTCATGGGAAGAAGAAATGGGTACAGGAAACCAGTTAGGCCACAGCAAGAGGGGACCAGCACTGGAAGTTGGATAGAGCCACGTGATTGGGGCAAGAATGGAGAAGTCAGCACGAAACAAAATATATAGTGAGGGCAGGGCAGGGCAACTCATTGGATGGGGCCAAGTGGTTCTTGTTTTTTTTTTTTTTTAAGTTAGAAATGTTTATTAACCTAACATTTATTTTTAGTCATTTTTTTGCTATGCAATATTTTATACACACAAAGGAACATAGGTAATGTATATGTAAGTTAGGAAGTGTAATAGTCAAATGAGCACCCTCGAACTTAGCATTCACTACCTGTGGGCCTGACCTCATCTGCTGCCCTACACTGAATTTCTTATTGATCATTCTCTTGCTTTTTTCTCATAATTTTACCATATATGTTTGTATCCCTAAAACATAGGGAGGGAGATATCACCTCCTGTGGATGACACCTGGGAGGTATTTCAGAGGCACTAGATTAACCTTCTTCTCTCTGTTCCAGCCCTGTCCGAAGAGCAGCTGCTGCCTGACAGTGACTTGGGGGCAGGCCCCATAGTAACACATTCTGTGGCAGGAGGTTCTGTCAGACGATGGTGACTTACAGATTAGAGACTTTTTAAGGAGTGATGGAGGAGCTGAAGATTTATACTTCAGAGAAGAGCTTACTTTCTCCCGGCCTAGGGGAGGACACTCTTCCAGTCATATGGCTCTGTAATATTCACTCCAAAACGTGGTGGCTTAAAAACATTTATTTTGCTCACAAATCTTCAGTCTGGGCAAGGATAGCTTGTTGCTATTCCACTTAGTATTGAATAGGGTGGCTTGAAGGCTGAAGTTGGAGTCCTCTGAAGGCTCACTCACTCATATGTCTGGTGACTGGGCTGGGAAGACACAAAGAGTTGGGGGCTGGAACAGCTGGGGCTCCTTGGCACTCTCTATGTGCTGTCTCCATATTGTCTCTCCCTCATAGTAGCTTTGAGGGCCAAATGTCTTACATGGTGGCTAATGAATACAAGTTCATATGTCCCAAGAGAAGGAGATCCAAATGGAAGCTGTATTACCTTTGATATCCTAACCTCAGAGATCACATAGCCATACTTTATTGGTAGAGGAGTCACGTCCAAAGGGAGGGAACATAGACCCCATTTCTTGATGCCAAACTTACACACACAAAATTTTAGTAGGTTCTTAGGAGGAATCTGCGGTAATACTATGTGTAGACAATGTTTTTCACATGGTAAGAATGGATCCACAAAAATGTGGCTATCTTTGGAAAATACAGTCTGACCCAGTCTCTGACTTAGAAGAATGAAATGCTTTGATCTGTTTTCACAGGATTAGCCTTGGAAAGAATAGGAATACACATATGAACAGGTAACAGCTTGGAAAATAACCAGTCAAACATAAGGGCTAGGGTCTAAGGTACATCCCTCAGAGGACTTCTGCTTCAAAACCCAAGGAAATGGCATCAACCCACAGAAATTGGTCTCGAGCTCTGTAACTGATGATCACTGTGCTGTAGCATTTAACTCAAACAAGAGTAATTATTTTTGAGCTCCCATTTCATGTGAGGTGCCACGGTAGGTATCAGCATACAGAGACAGAGAGACACACATTTTCTGAGATGCTCACAAGCTGCTTACTGAAACATCTTGTGACCAGACATGACAGAGCGAGGTGATTGCAGGCCAGAAAAGGGAAAGAGAGGCAAAGGAAGAAAGAAGACATGAAACCCAAGAAAGAAAGGAGTAATAGAAAGTGAGAAAGAAGATTTAAAAAAATTTTCCATTTCTATTTGAGTCTCTTATCTTTTCTGCTCTAATATTGTGCTCTTTTCCTGCAACCTCACACACACAAAATTTTAACTAGTAGGTTCTTAGGAGGAATCTGCAGTAATACTATGAGTAGACAATGTTTTACACAAAGCCTTGGGACTCCTTTTTGAGGTAAGCTTCAAATACCCCAGCAGAGATCTTCACAGTTTGCACACTGTTGACCAGTGGCTCACTGCTAGTTTCCTCACCTTCAACTCCCTTGGGATGCCATCCTCCAAAGCACAGTCTACCTCGTGGCGCTCTCCTGCGGATTCTTACAGGTAGATGGGATTCATGGGATGGAGCTTGAGCAAGGAAGATGAATGACTACTTGTGGTGTGACCAGTTCTATTTTACTGGGGGAAAGAGGGCTGGGTGCTCAGTTTATCTGCATCTCCATACTTCATTCACCCGTGAAACTGAACAACCTTTCACCCATGAAACTGAAGAAGGGAAAGGGTGCAGGGAACTTGCACACATTCAGCAACTGGTCTGGAATCTCTCCCAGGTTCTCTCCACCTCGGGGGCCTTCCGGACAGTCCCATTGTCAGCCCCTACTGCTTATGCTGGGATATGGCCTGGGCCCATCTGAAGGTCTACAGAATTGATCCTCCAAGCTGAAGAGGCTTCCGATAATTTCCATTGTTAATTTTTTATTTATAACAGCTTTTTAATTTTTTTGTCTTTTAAAAAATATTAATTTTATTTTATTTTAAGTTCCTGGATACATGTGCAGGCCGTGCAAGATTGTTACATAGGTAAATGTGTGCCATGGTGGTTTGCTGCACCTACCAACCCATCACCTAGGTATTCAGCCCAGCATCCATTAGCTATCCTTCCTGATGTTCTCCTTCCCCCTGCCCCCGGACAGGCCCCAGTGTGTAATGTTCCCCTCCCTGTGTCCATGTATTCTCATTGTTCAACTCCCACTTATAAGTGAGAACATGTGTGGTGTTTGGTTTTCTGTCCCTGTGTTACTTTGCTGAGGTTAATGGCTTCCAGCTTCATCCATGTCCCTGCAAAGGACATGATCTCGTTCCTTTTTATGGCTGTACAGTATTCCACGGTGTATTTGTACCATATTTTCTTTATCCAGTCTATCACTGATGGGCATTTGGGTTGAATCTATGTCTTTGCTATTGTGAATAGTGTTGCAATGAACATACATGTGCATGTATATTTATAATAGAATGATTTATATTCCTTTATGGACCAGTGGAACAGAATAGAGATCTCAGAAATAAGACTGCACATCTACAACCATCTGATCTTCAACAAACCTGACAATAACAAGCAATGGGGAAAGGATTCCCTATTTAATAAATGGTGCTGGGAAAACTGGCTAGCCATACACAGGAAATGGAAACTGGACCCCTTCCTTACACCTTATGCAAAAATTAACTTTATATGGATTAAAGACTTAAATGTAAAACCCCAAACTATAAAAACCCTAGAAGAAAATCTAGGCAGTACCATTCAGGATATAGGCATGGGCAAAGATTTCATGATGAAAACTTCAAAAGCAATTGCAACAAAAGCCAAAATTGACAAATGGTATCTAATTAAAGAGCTTCTGCATAGCAAAAAAAAAAAAAAAAAGTATCATCAGAGTAAACAGACAACCTACAGAATGGGAGAAAATTTTTGCAATCTATCCATCTGACAAAGGGCTAATATTCAGAATCTACAAGAAGCTTAAACAAATTTATAAGAAAAAAAAAACAACCCCATTAAACAGTGAGCAAAGGACATGAACAGACACTTCTCAAAATAAGACATTTATGCGGCCAACAAACATGAAAAAAATCTCAACATCACCGATCGTTAGAGAAATGCAAATCAAACCACAATGAGATATCATCTCACACCAGTCGGAATGGCAATTATTAAAAAGCCAAGAAACAACAGATGCTGGCGAGGCTGTGGAGAAATAGGAACGCTTTTACACTGTTGGTGGGAGTGTAAATTAGCTCAACCATTGTGGAAAACAGTTGGTGATTCCTCAGAAACCTAGAACCAGAAATATCATTTGACCCAGCAATCCCATTACTGGGTATAACAGCTTTTAAAAGATAATTCGCGTGCCATACAATTCACTCATTTAAAGTGTACAATTCAGTGGTTGTTAGTATATTCACAATTGTGTAGTCATTGCCACGATCAGTTTTAGAGCATTTTCGTCACTCCAGAAGGAAACCCTGTACCTATCAGCAGTCATTCCCCATTTCCCATAATCAGTATCCCCCATACCCCCACCTCTAGGAAACAACTGATTTACTTCCTCCTGCTGATGGACTTGCCTATCCTGATGGATTGTATGATTTCGTGGAATCATACAATTTGTGTGGTCTTTTGTGACTGGCTTCTTTCAAGATTTTCAAGTTTCAGTCATACTGCAGCATTTATTAGCATTTCATTCCTTTTTATTGTTGAATACTATTCCATTTTCTGGATATAGTACATTTATTCATCAGTTGGTGGAAATTTTAGTTGTTTACACTTTTTGATAATTATGAATAATGCTGCTAAGAGGATTTGTGTACAATATTTGTATGGACATGTTTTTAGTTCTCTTGGGTATGTAACTAGGGCTTGAATTGCTGGATCATATGGTAACTCTATGTTTAACTTTTTGAGGAACTGTCAAGACTGTTTTCCAAACAAATGGCTGCATCATTTTTTTATTCCCATTAGCAATGTAAATGAGTGTTCCAATTTCTCCACATTCTCACCAACACTTGTTATTTCTGTCTTTTTTATTATATTCATCCTGGTGGTATGAAGTGATATCACTGTGGCTTTGATTTGCCTTTCCCTAAGAGCTAATGATGTTGAGAATCTAGTCATGTGCTTATTAACCATTAATATATCTCCTTTGGAGAAATATCTAGTCAGATCCTTTGCCCGTTTATTAATTGGGTAATTTGTGTTTTTATTAAGGAGTTGTAAAAGTTATTTATATGTGCTGGATACAAGTCCCTTATCAGATATATGATTTGCTAATATTTTCTCCCATTCTGTAGGTTTTTTTTTTTTAACCTTCTTGATGCTGTCCTCTGAAGGGCAAAAGTTGTAATTTTGATCATGTCCAATTTATGTATTTTTTTGTGGTTGTTATTTGTGCTTTTGGCATAATAGCTAAGACACTATTGCTTAATCCAAGGCCACAAAGACTTATGCCTATGTTTCTTCTAAGAGTTTAATAGTTTAGCTTTCACATTTAGGTCTTTGACTCATTTTGAGGTAATTTTTGTATAAGTGTGAGGAAAGGGTCCAACTTCATTCTTTTGCATGTGGTTATCCAATTTTCCCAGCATTATTTGTTGAAAAGACTATTTTTTCCCTCATTGAAATGTCGTGATAGCCGATGTTTTCCTTTTCCAATGTAAATATGTTGTAGTAAAATATATATAACATAAAATTTACCATCTTAACCATTTATTGTTTGGGTTTTTTTGTTTGTTGGTTTGTTTGTTTTTGAGACAAGGTCTCACTCTGTTGCCTAGGCTGGAGTGCGGTGGCATGATCATGGCTCACTGCAGCCTTGACCTACTGGGCTCAGGTGATTCTCCCACCTCAGCCTCCCAAGTAGCTGGGACTACAGGTGTACACCACCAAGCCCAGGTAATTTTTAAATTTTTTGTAGAGAAAGGGTTTCACTTTGTTGCCCAGGCTGCTCTCGAACTCCTGGGCTCTAGCGATCCTCCCACCAAGATTACAGGCATGAGGCACCGTGACTGGCTCATTGTTAGTTTTTATGGCATGGAAAAGCAGTGAGAAACTATTAATAGGGAAATTGCAGAGAAATTTCTTGATGAATCCTGGACAGTAGAGATTTGTGACAGCTATGTTCTGCTGTGCATTTCACAAGCATTATCTCATTTAATCCTCACAACTCTATGAGGTATTATATGATTATTCCCATCTTATTGATGAAAAACCGAGACTTAGAGGGAGGTTAAGAAGCTTGCACAGAGGTCAACTGCTAATAACCAGTGGTGCTGGGCTTTGAATCCAGGCCCATCTGACTCTAGCACTGGTATTAACAATTATGGGCTCATGCTGAAATAACGACAGCTGCTAACTATGTGTCAGCCACTCTTCTAAGCATATTACTAACTCATTTCATTCCTACAGTAATCATACTCACATACAGATGGATAAATGGAGATGCAGAGTTTCAATAGCACCCCAACCAATCAGTGGTAAAGACAGAATTTGAACCCAGAGTCTTTGATTTTAATGTTTTTAGCCACCACACTATATTCTTCAAAGCTTTGTTGCTGTGGTTTTTAGGTTTCATCTGCAGCTTCTTTTGTCAGATTTTTTTTTTTTTTAAGTCTACTCACTTGTGATTTCTACAAACAAGTTGCTTTAATTTTGCCTGGTCTCTTTGATTCCAAGGTTGCTCGCTGTAATAGCCTTAAAGAAATTTCTAGGAGATATTTTTGTCTTAATGAGATGAGCTGTTCTCATAATGCTGAGCTTCTGCTTTTCTAAGCCAGGAGAGTTACTTGTAATAACTGGGGCATCAACAGCTTATGGGAACCCAACCAATCCCACTGTGGATTTTATTTAAGGCAAGATGGGCGACTTTCACCCTTTAGGCCTGTGGATCACTGTTCATGGCTCTTAAATGAATGCTGCCGTTCAAAAAGATGACTGGCACGATGCTCCCAGTTTTTACTATTTCTTTTGAAACATGAAATGTCAGAGCTTATTAATTCTACTTGTTCTTTCTGCAGATGAAAAAAACTCTGACCGCCCCAAAGGTTATGAGACTTGCCCAGGACTTCTGATCCTAGTCCAGGGAATTTCCTGGCCTCTAGGCTGCCTCTTGGCGATGTCGGTATATTTGTTTTTTTGTGTTTTGGGGGGTGAACAGTCCCAGGGTATCTGCTGCTCATGTCTTCATAGTGGAATGCAGGATGATATAATGCTTTTCAGCTGTTTCATTGTGAATTTACTCCAGATAGTTTTTGTTTAATCACAACAATATTTCCTGGGTTGCCAGGCAACATGGTGATGAAGTTTCAGTCTTTATTGCCAGCCAATGAAATGGAAAGGGTTCTATCTTTTGTTTCCAGATGAAGTTCTCTCTCTCTCTTTCTAGATTTGTGTTCGCTTTGTGTTGAGATGAAAAAATCAAAAAGGCATAAGGAGAAAAAGCTAATTAAAGAGGGAATGGGCTGGGCGCAGTGGCTCACGCCTGGAATCTCAGCACTTTGGGAGGCCGAGGCAGGTGGATCACAAGTTCAAGAGATTGAGACCATCCTGGCCAACACGATGAAACCCTGTCTCTACTAAAAATACCAAAAATTAGCTGGGCGTGGTGGTGCATGCTTGTAATCCCAGCTACTCGGGAGGCTGAGGCAGGAGAATCGCTTGAACCCGGGAGGTGGAAGTTGCAGTGAGCCGAGATTGCACAATTGCACTCCAGCCTGGTGACAGAATGAGACTCTGTCTCAAAAAAAAAAAAAAAAAAAAAAGGGAATGAACATCCTTCCTTCTGGTTCTTTTACTTGAATAAGTGGAAGGTGTGGACATTTGTGTGTGACAGTAGGTTGGGGGAATGTTGGCACCTTGGAGAGTTACCTTAAAACTCAACATAGACCTGGCTAATTGGGAAAGGAAACACGTTTAATTAAGACAAAATTAGAAAGTCACAACTCCAGGGTAATTCACATAGATAAAATATGCATCCATCTGAGGAAGAACTACTGGGTGCATGTAAGCTACAAATTCATAATGAAATGTGTGTGCGTGCTCCTCCCTCGCTGCTTTCAGGTCTGGTTCTAACCCAACGAACACTTTTGTTAAGTTGAGGAATCCTCAATGGAAATGGGAGGATGGCAATCCCGGAAGACACTAAAGAAAATTAATGAATGATTTGTGGTTAGAGGAAAGACGAAAAGAACCCGTGTTGTGTTGATGAGTTGGCGGAGGCAGAATCCTGCTTGCCACCCACCAGGACCTTCTGGTGCATTCTCATTCCACTGTTGCCATCTGTGGGTGCTGCATGTTGCTTCCCCTCCCGTTACCTGGTGCCTCTGATGCCTCCCTTCTGATGTCTCTCTGATGGTGTCGCTCATTTTTACCAGGAAGCTCATTTGCTTGTGCTGGTGTTGTGGCCCGTGAGGTAAGCATTTCCCTACAGGAGACCAAGGTCCAGGACCCTGCATCATACAAGCCCACTAAGTCACCAGCTTCAGGAAGGTCTTTTGTCATCATCTAGACACATCCCTGTTCTGCCTCTTGCACCCCGCCTCCAGCTCTCTTCTTCTTTTCTTTGGGTCCCAGCCTCTCTTTTTGGATACCTTCTTTTATAAAATAAAACCCAGATATTTGGCCCTGTTCAGAACTGCAGTTCCTGTCCCCCTCACTCCCTATATCCTGTAGCATGCATCCACAATGAGTTTCCTTCATAAACAACATGCTTCCGGAATTTCTCTGATCTGATTTCCTCTGCATCACCTTTGCCAGAATCACACTTGCCAAGGTTTCCAGTGACTCCTAATCATCAACAATCCTAACCGTCAACAAAACAGACCATTCTCCATGTTTTGTCATTCATTCATTCATTCATTCATTTGATAAAGCTGATTGCACATGTACCATGCTGGACACATGAGATGAAGGATGCAGGTCCTGCTGTCAACACACGTGCATTCCAGTAGAGGAGAAACCAACACACAGACACCAATGTCTGGCTCCTGACCTGATCTGAGGGCAGGAAATGCTTCCTAGGACTCTCGGTGGCTTGGTTGGTTGGCTCATCAGTTGACTGCTTAATACCTTCCTTTACCTGATCTACATGTTTTGCCCTTTAATCCAAGCTATTCTTACATCCTCCTTTGGAGATAGATATGTTCTGTAATCCTGTCTTTATAAAGCCCCTTAGTATACACCACATATTTAAAAATACCTACTGTGCACAGATCAAGGCTTCAATAACATAAAAATGCAAGAGGTTGAGACCACAGCAAATGAGCATTTAAAGGAAGGCAAGAAGGAACTGTTTAATGAAAGAAAAAAAATGGCAAAACAACTTGAAACGACTTAGAGTGAGAACCTAACCTTTATTCATAAACACCTACAGATGCTTATGACTGTCAGTAGTCAACATTCAGGGATGCTTGGATTTTGCCCTTTCATCCAAGCTATTCTTACACCCTCCTTTGTAGAGAGATATATTCTGTGATCCCAGAAAGCCCCTTAATACATACCACATATTTAAAAATGCCTAAATGTACAGATCAAGGCTGCAATAACATATAATGAAAGAAAAGGATGGCAAAACAGAACTTAAAACAAGTTAGAGTGAGAACCTAGTGTTTAGTCATAAACACGTACAGATGTTTATGAACGTTAGCAGTCAACATTCAGGGATGCTTGTTCAGCCAGTAGGTGCCGGGTAATGGAGCTGATTGCTCATCAGCTACATCTGTTCTGATTGACAGAGTGGATTTCCAATAAAGATAATCAAAGCCTCGGCTCAGGCTCCTTCACCTTCACAGCCATGTGAGGGTCCAGTAAACTGTTCACATGCTTATAGGTTTTTGTAAAATTTATACAAGTAAGATAAATGATCTATAATTGGTTAAGACCACAGTCTCTTTCTAGTGCGATTTCCTCTCCAATATACTCCCTTCTTGAATTGGTGACTGCAGGCATTTTTGGGATCAGAATAAGGGAAGCGGAGTCAAGCAGACATTTAGTTTGGATTAGAGGTATATATTTATGAGGTTCACAGTTGCTTCTGTGTATAGTTAACTATTTGTAGCCACTCGTGTGAGTAGTTTACAGAAATGCTTCTAATGCCGATTGTGCTGACTCAACCAGTTCCATGACTGAGCTGAGGTGAACAGGCATTTAAGGACCTGGCACCAGAAGTGTGTGGGTAATAGAAGATGATCAAGGTTTGACATGGAAGGGGCCAGAAGCTATTCTGTGACAAATTCTTCCCATCATCAGATATGTAAAATTTTAAGCTGAAGATTCAACTGTCATCAATGCCTTGTCAAAATATAAGCTGTCTCTTGTCCAGTATATACTTGATAATGCAGCCTACGAAACTGTAAATGCACCGCAGAAAGAATTATTTTCATATCTTTCCATAGGAAATCCATAGAAATATTCAGATATTAACAAGTAATCTGTAACAAAAAATTCAATCATAAAAGCAGTAACAGATAAAGAAGATAAAATCTTTGAAAAGAAGTAATGGATACACTCTTGAATTCTTGGCAATCAAATTAATGAAGAGGTATGAATCTAGTCACCCCAGAACCCCAGCGAAATGGGCCCCAGTCCTGAGTCTGTGCTCTAGGGGACCCAGTTATAGCTTTCCTCCTTGTTCCATTCCAAGGGTGCGGAGTCCCTGGGGAGTGAGGAGACACTTGCCTGTCAGTGGTGTTAGCCTTTGGCAGTTTTGACAAGAAGTCTACACCTGTTTCTCCACACTGGAGCCTCGTATCTGGAAAGCACATTCGGGAAAGAAATTTGTAAATCACACTGGAGAGAGAGTAGCAAACCAGAACATATAGCCAGTGTATTGGAGAAGGCCAGATGGTAGAAAACCAAGTGCAATTTTGTGACATGTAAAAAGTAGCCACCCACTTAGGCTACCCCACAGGAACAAGGGAGAGCCAAGTGCCTCAGAATAATAGGTTGAAGAGGAAGTTGGCTGGAGAGAGAGGCCCTTGGAAAGAAGAATGCTGTTGAGATGGGTGGATCTTGGCTGGCAAGGCCCTGAGGGTGACAGGCCATGGCTCTGCCTTCCAGAGCCAGCAGGAATGTGTGGTGACCCTTGTATCCTGCCCGCCTGCCTGGCTGAGGCTGCAGCCAGACTACGAACTAAAATGAAAATATCCTTCTAAGGGTATTTCAGGTTCAAAATCCAGTTGGCTAGTGGGAGGAAAAGGATATTATCTGATGACAGATAGTGGTAGCCAGTGTCTGATGGTTACTCATAGAATCAACATAGGCTGGGAATTCCAGGGAGGTGCATTCCAGAAAGCCTGCATCCTAGTACTTGACTCTGGTTTAGGGAAACAATGGGGTGTCATGGAGGGAGTGTGTGTGTGTGTGTGTGTGTATCTGTGTGTTCCTGTGTGTGCTGAACATTCATCTCTAGTCATGATGTGACTGGAGTTAGAAGGTCATTCCTCCATTCTTCAAAAGCTTGGGGATTCCTGAGAACACTAAGCTCAGGAGGATGATGTTTGCTTTTCCTCAACTCATGTTGCAAATATCTATGGTGAGCTTGCTCTATACCAGCCATTTGTGCTAAGAACTGGAATGTAAAGATAGAGGAGATAGGCTCCCTCCCTTTAGGATTCTGAAAATTTAACAGGGGGCTTACAGAATTATGTTCTGATAAAGAATGATCTAGCAGAAACTAGCAGCTACTCGTTAATTCTCTGGACGTCGGCATTGGCTGAGTTATGTTGGATGACTTTTGGACTGGGAGCAAAGATGGATGTTTGCAGTAAGTTAATTTTGGGCTATAAGACCTTCTGTCTCATAACAGATCTATTTCCATTTCGCTCTACTTTTCAGCACATCAGTTTCGGCTACTCACAGCCTCGTAGGTCCCTGGATGAGTATAAGTACAAAGAGCATTCAGTAAGGTCACTACTCTCTGTTGCTCCTCTTGTAACTGTCTTCTAAGTATAAAGCTGACCAGTGGCTCCTTCCAAATTGGTCCATTGCTGTATGGGTGGTAAGGATGGCTCATCTACAGTAATGGCCCTTAATCTGGGGACTGAAGCACTAGCTGTTGGGAGCCAGAGTCCATTGTGTGCATTGGTTGACCCTGAGAGCTAACCTGCTGGTTCTGCTGTAGAAACCTATGCTCTTCACTCAAGGAAGCCATTTGGGCCAAAACAGTAGAATGTTTTCAGGGCTGTAATGTGAGTAAGTTATGAAACAAATGGCAGTGAAGTCAGTGCTTTGTCTTCTTCCAAAGAAGAAGAAACATGAAAGCTATTCTATGCTTTAAAGTTTAATGGTTTGCAGCAATAGCACAGAACATTCCTACATTACGAGGTATGAGCCATTCTGTATGATAATAAACAAGAGTAGCTGACATGACTCCATGTTTGGTGAAAAAGGGAGGATATCCCAGAACAAAGAACCAGAGAAGTGGATAAAATTCCATAGAAAGTTGCCATTGAGGGTGATGGTGACGTGGGATGTCATAGAGGGGAGGGTGTGTGTGTGTGTGTGTGTGTGTGTGTGTGTGTGTAGTTGAGCATTCATCTCTAGTCCTGATATTTAGCTATAGTGTTGCCCCTAGGAACTTGGAAATTAAAGGAGCAGAAGTAAGACTATGATGGTTGTAAGCTTCTCATCCAATGGGACTGTGGCCAGCCCCTAAGAAACAACTAACTTAAGCATAGGAGCAACCAGCGAACAAATGTCCAGGCAAATGGATGCTTCCTTGTGCCTCCTTGCTTTCTAAACTAGTTAGTTTGCATTATTTGTATAGTTAAAAGATAATGCTTATGTTATGCAATTTGCTTGTAGTTTAGAAAAGTGATTATACTGATAGTTTTTCCTGGATATCTTTAAATCCATTGTTATACTTGACAAATACCTCTCAAATCTCTCAAACATTCTTCCTAAAAAGAACTGTGAACATCTCTCAGTGCCTTGGGCAGGTCTTTGAATGTAGCAGGCGATTGGAAGTTTGCGGTTGTTGATGGCTGATGATGATGATGATGATAATGTTTTATATGCTCACTATGCACGAGGTTCTTTATCCTGCACTTGGCTTTCATGAAGTCATTTCATTGCCAACACTCTGAGTCAGGTGTTGGCAATAAGAGGATAAGTAACTAGTCTGTGTCCACATGGTGCATGAGTGGCTGAACTGGGAAAGGGACCCTAGTGTTTCAGACTCTAAAGTCTAAGCTCTTAATTGCTCCACTGTACTGATTCCATGATACTCATGAGCACTGACTACCTGCTACTCCTCTCCTTACCAGATATAAGTCAAACCATATAAATAAACCAGATGTTTTTTCCCTAGACAAAGATGCTATTATTGCTCGAGAAGATGAATATCAGAGATTTTTATAAAAGCAAAATTGGGAATCCGGTTTTCTTTCAATGGGATATTTGCTGCCAGGTCCTGGGAGAATATATTTTTTCTTTTCATTTTATTTTTAGTTGACACATAATAATTGTACATATTTCTGTGGTACAGGTGATATTTCAACATATGGTGTGCAATACTCAAATCAGAATAGTTAGCGTTTCCATCACCTCAAACATTTATCATTTCTTTGTGTTGTGAACATTCAAAATCCTTTCTTCTAGCTTTTGAAAATAACACTAAATTATTGTTAACCGTATTCACCCTACCCAGTGCTACAGAACACTAGAATTTATTCCTCCCATCTGGCTGTAACTTTGTGTCCATTAGCCAACCTCTCCCTATCCTCCCTTCCCCACTACCATTCCCACCCTAATCTCCACAACTCTACTCTCTGCTTCTCTAAGCTCAATCTTTTTTTTTTTAAATATGGAATTTATTTTTCTGTGCCTAACTTATTTTACTTAAAATTATGTCCTCCAGGCTTATTCACATTGCTGCCAATGACAAGATTTCATTCTTTTTTTTTATGACTGAATACTATTCCATTGTGTATATATACCCTGTTTTCTTTATCCACTCATCTGTTGGTGGACACTTAGGTTGCTTCCAAATCTTGGCTATTGTGAATAGTGCTGCAGTAAACATGGGGGTGTAGGTATCTCTTCGGTATATCAATTTCCTTTCTTTAGGATAAATGCCCTGGGGAGTATCTTAAAGATGGTGTTCACTTTGTTATTAACAGATATGTTCCCTGCCATCTTCTTAGCTACTGAAAAAAAGTGGATGCCTGGTCCAGTGGACTAAGCAGGTCTGGCATGGAGCTTCTAGTTCTAGCCTGACCACCCTCACTCACAGGCTGTGGGATTAAATCCAAGATACTTGATGATCCATTGTATTAGTCTGTTCTCACGCTGCTAGTAAAGACATACCCAAGACTGGGTAATTTGTAAAAAGAGATTTAATTGACTCACAGTTCTGCAGGGCTGGGGAGGCCTCAGGAAACTTACAATTATGATGGAAGGGAAAGCAAATACGTCCTTCTTCACATGGCCGCAGCAAGGAGAAGTGCCAAGCAAAGGGGGAAAAGTCTCTTATAAAAACATCAGATCTTGTGAGAAGTCACTCACTACCATGAGAACAGCATGGAGGTAATCGCCTCCATGATTCAATTACTTCCCACTGGGTCCCTCCCACAACACATGGGGATTATGGGAACTACAATTCAAGATGAGATGTGGGTGAGGACACAGCCAAACCATATCATCCATGGTGCAGAAGACTCATGCATTTGAGACAATTTGCCTCCTACCTAGCAGGGATGTAATGGGATTTAATATAGGTGAAAGTGATTTTTAGTCTCTCTATTGGAAGATGTAAGCCAATAGATGATGTGGCTCTTTATGTCCTAAAACTTGTTAAGAAAATAATTCTCCAGATTGGGCAATCAAATGCTTCTTTAAAATGATTTTTGAGATACCCCTCCCTAAAAAATAATATGACAAAGTACAAACAAAAACATGTATGTTTAGGAAAGAGTATGTAGTTTTAGGCTCCCGTTCAGCTGGTGATTTTTGCCTGTTAGTGTAAAAAGTCAGTGCCGTCCGGGGTTGATACCTGAAGGAGGGATGGGCAGAAAGCACTGAAGCTTGGGAATCAGTCCTGCCTGATGAGGATGGAGGACAGCATTTGGAGGGCAGCCTGCAGGGAAGGGAGAATCCACACAAGGATGGCTGAACTCACAGGGACAGGGCAGCGACTGCAAGGGATAGGGGAATGGCTGCTACTGGCACATTATTAGTAATCCTAACCCCTCTGCCGCTTGTTATCTCGGTGACTTTAGTCTTTTATTTTAATTTAATTTTATTTTTTTGAGATGGAGTCTCGCTCTGTCGCCCAGGCTGGAGTACAGTGGCCCAATCTCGGCTCACTTCAAGCTCCGCCTCCTGGGTTCATGCCATTCCCCTGCCTCAGTCTCCCGAGTAGCTGGGACTACAGGCGTCTGCCACCACGCCCAGCTAATTTTTTGTATTTTTAGTAGAGACGGGGTTTCACTGTGTTAGCCAGGATGGTCTCGATCTCCTGACCTCGCGATGTGCCCGCCTCGGCCTCCCAAAGTGCTGGGATTACAGGCGCGAGCCACTGCGCCCGGCCTAGCCTTTTACTTTTTAAAGCAAGTGTACATATGTTGTCTTTTTTCCCCCTTTTACTGGAAAGCTGTGGGGGGTGCAGAGATGATCTCATTACAGTCAAAGCAGTGGAGGTTCAACGAGTGCCATTGACTTGCTGAGAGAGTTACTTTACTGTGTGGATTGGGATTTGAGGCTCCTTGGCTGTGAGTTTGCTGCTTGTCTACATCTTCAGTGTCACAATAGTGCCCGGATGGCTAACATTGTTTCTAAAACATTGGCTCTTGGAGAGTTATAGTGAAAGAAACGGTTTTCGAATTGAATGATTTAAAATGCATTTGGGCATAGAGTCCTACAAATGTGCAATTTGTTCCTGCTAGTGAGCCTAGAGATTAAGGGATTTGGGTTTTTTTTTTTTTTTTTTTTTTTTTTTAGATAGAGTTTCACTCTCGTTGCCCAGGCTGGAGTGCAATGGCGTGATCTTAGCTCACTGCAGCCTCTGCCAGATTCAAGCGATTCTCCTGCCTCAGCCTCCTAAGTAGCTGGGATTACAGGCCTGTGCCACCACACCTGACTAATTTTGTATCCTTAGTAGAGATGGGGTTTCGCTATGTTGGTCAGGCTGGTCTCGAACTCTGACCTCTGTTGATCTACCCGCCTCAGCCTCCCAAAGTGCCAAGATTACAGGTGTGAGCCACCAGGCCTGGCCCTACTTTTTTTTTTTTAATCTATTTGGAGATTTAAAAAAAAGTCACCAGGAAGCCTATTATTTTTCCATGTTTCTCCCACAATGAAAATAGATTTCTGGTTTTTTTTTTATTTTTTTGAATGTGTGAGACATTCTCATTACATAAAATTTAAATAATATAAAAAAAAATAAAGAAGACAGTACAGGCATCCCAAGGTAATCACATTCAGTTTGAAGATTGGCATTTGCAGGCATGTACTCTTTGTGACTGCTTGGAGTTTCCTTGTTAAAGAAACCAAGGCTAGCAGCCTTTTATAAAGAGCAACAATCACCCTTACTTTTTTTTTTTTTTTAACAATGCAGACTTTTCCTAACACCAGTTTTACTTAATGTGCAGCACAACTGTGCTGAATACTCACCTTGTGAAGTAGAGAAAATGGGCACATATGGGGCAAGCCAGAATTCTGAAGGGGAAGGAGGTAGAGAGTTGAGGACATGCAGAAAATAGCTGGTGTGGATGCTGAAGAGGCAGTTCGGTCTGTTCAGGTCAACAAGCTTAACTTGAGTTCCTATACTGTGCCAGGCATGAGGGACACAGAAAAAGAAAAGATGCTCTCCTGCCTGCAGGGGCATGGCAGGGCAGTGATGGCAGACACTTCCGAATAATAAGGGGTGTGGTAAAGGCAAGTCTGAGTGCTGTGGAAACCAGGCTGCGGGCAGGAAGTTGCTGTAGTCCAGCTTCTGTTGGCAAGCAAGTCTTCCTGAAGGAGAAAACACCTTAATTGGATCTTGAAGGAGTTAACCTGGTGTAGGAAAGATAAGCCACGTCAGATGGAAGGAACTTTGTGGGGAATGGCATGGAGGTAGGAGTAATGTGGTGGATGAGGAAAAACCAAGCACAGTTCAGCATCATCAGAATGATGTGTGCATGTGGCATGTGCATGTGTGCACAGGTCTGTGCGTGTGTGCATGCATGTGTGCATGTGTGTGTGTGCATATGTGTATAATTGTGGGGAGGGGCTATCAAGAAAAGAAGCCAGGCTAGGGGAGGGATAGCATTAGGAGAGATACCTAATGTAGATCATGGGTCGATGGGTGTGGCAAACTACCATGGCACATGCATACCTGTGTAACAAACCTACACATTCTGCACATGTATCCTAGAACTTAAAAAAAAAAAAAGAAAAGAAGCTGAAGAGGTCAGCACGGCCAGATCAAGAGAGTCTTGAATGTGAGGGTAAAGAATGTGACTCTCATCGTGGAAACAATGGGTGAACCAGGCACATGGGAGGTTTGCATCTAGAAAAATCTCTAGGGCAGCAGGAGGGGCGCAGGGTGGATTTGTGGGGGCAAGACTGGGGATGGTGGGATGCTGTGGCCATGGTCCGGGTGAAGGGCAAGAAGGGCATAGGCAGGAACAGAGGGTTGGAAAGGAGAGGGGGATGGAGAGAGAAGGCCAGAGGCACCAGGAAGAGGGCAGCTGGAGCAGACAGGAAGAGGCTCACCCCAGGCTCTAGCGGCAGAACTCACCCCCAGGGCACCTTTCCAGAGGTCACAGCTCTGAAGATCCAGGGAAACAATTTTCCTGATTTGTTCTCAGGTAAGTAGAGGCAGTGGAGAGAAAGCTTGTTATCTTTATTGAGAAAGAGGAAAGAATGAATTGAAAAATGAATACTGGGATCTTTAGAAGAAGAATGTAGGAAAAATGTACAAAATTGACTTGACTTCTCCTTGGACCCAATTTAGAGGTTTTATAAGATAGAAGAGCTACAGAAAGAAAACTGGAGTTAAGCCTAATGGATGCCGGAGTGCACTGCCCAATTCCCCAGCTGCGGGGCGGCAGACAGCTCTCAGCTGAGTCCCTCCCTGGGATTCGCGTGGGCCAAGGTCAGATCTGCTTCCTGGGGCAGTCTGCACCCAGTGCCTGGTTGGTGTGGGGTACAAAGGCACGGTCTCCTTGACTTAACTTGGGCCATTTTCAGTGTTCCCATTGGGTACGCTGAGGCTTGAACTCTGACTGCACTGAAGTTCAACATCCCCCTGCACCCAGTCCTTTCTTTACTCCCCCACTGGTTGTGATCCACACATCACTCCTTAGGAACTGTCCTGGACCCAAGTCTGTATCTGAAGTCGGCTTCCTGAGAGCTTGATTTGCAGTGTTAGAGGAGTGAAATTAAGTGAACCCTCTAAGAGGAGGACCAAACTGGGTTCTTCTTTTCTAGGAAGATCGGTGATAAGCATTTGTCTTATCAGGGAGGTGGGCGAAGGTCTTTTCTGGGACTTTGGGGCTGGAAAAGTGGTCTGGCCAAGTCCCCAGAGAATGGGCTCTGATGTCAGAGAGACCTGAGTTTGAATTCCTGCTCCAATTGATCAACTCTGGGATTTTGAGGTCCTATCAGCTTTCTGCCCCTCAGGTGCTTCTGTAAAACAGGAATGATAGTCATACTTACGTTGCAGTCATATTTATTTTCCCAAACATCGTGGGGCCAAACAAAATGGTGCTCTTGCTGTAATTCCCAGTGCTTGGTGCGTAGTACAGTCCTCAGTGTCAAAGGAATGGCCGGTGAGCAACGTTGATAGGAGGAGTCGTTCAGGCGGCGTTGCCAGTAATCCAGGTGAAGAATGATTGGAAAATGTATTGTGGTGGAATGAGGAGGTTATTGCTGCCAGGACCTAGCTGAGCAGACTGATCCAACCCACACATATCCAATTCCTGAAATAGATCCTAGCAAGTCAGCTCAATCGAGAATGTTTTGAGTCATCCACTACAGATGAGATGCTGGCAGTGGGGACCCAGCATGTTGGCCATTTTCTGGAGAACCCTAATTTACGACTCTGTTAGTGGCTGAGTTAGAGAATTTATTTTGTGAGTTAAAGAATTTTAATTTATGTCATCATTAAGTACAGTCATGGCATAGAACAGGTGCTCAGAAGATATTTACTGAATGAAATATGTTATATAAGACACTTCAAGTGCTTTAGGGCCAGTAGAATTTATCTCATACCAAGAGTGAGATATTTAAAAAACAAAGATGATATGTCCCAGAAGTTAGCCAGATGAAAAAAAGGAATTCACTGAGACAGAATGAAGTATGTAACCCAGGAGCATTCTGAAGTCTCCCTGGGATCAGTGAGAGATAGGATGGGTAAAAGATAAGGCACAGAGAGTTCTCAATGGACTTGACCCTGCTTATCTATGCTCACAAAATGAGCTACCAGAAGGCAGAACACAAAGCACAGGTGCTCCCTAAGGAATTTCCATATTTATGTTTGAGTGGCTTTTGGTGCTATCTATCTATTATCCTGTTTATATTGGTTCCAGTTTTGCATTTCCTGAGTACACACCAGCTAATAATAAGGGGCCAGAGCCGGTTATATATTGGGGAAGCTGTCCTCCCTGGGATTAAAACTGTGGCCATGAATAATCCACAGAGAGGAGAGACTGAAAGCTCTACCCTGAGAGGAAGCGAGTCATTGTGGATATCTTTTGGATTCAGATAGTTTTCCCATCCTAGGTGAGACACCACCCTGGGGATTGGAAGTTCAAATGTCCACGGGGCAAGGCAGGTCAGATAAATGAGGAAACCGTCTGGGAAAAAAGCAAAAAAGAACGGTGCCTGTGTCCTCCAGTGGGTGGCTGGGTAAACAAACCACCGTGGACTATTACTGGCCAGTAAAAGCAACGCACTATTGATACCTGCAACAAGATGGATCAATCTACGGGGAATTACGATGAGTGAAAAAACCAACCCCAAAGGCCACATACTGCATGATTTCATTTCGATAACATTCTCCATTTGACAAAATTATAGAATTGAAGAAGAGATTAGTGTTTGCCTTTGCCTGGGGCTGAGGAGGAGCAGGATAAGGATGGGTGTGCCTATCCCGCGGGATCCTGCTGGTGACTAAACTGTCTGTGTCTTGACTGTCCTTGTCAATATCCTGGTTGTGATCTTGTATTAGAGTTCTGCAAGATGTTACAATTAGGGGGAGACTGGGTAAAAAGAACATGGGATCTCTCTGAATTATCTTGTACAATTGCATGTGAACCTACCATTATCTTAAAACAAAAATTCAATATGAAGAAGGAAGGGTGGGGACTGTGGTAAACTAGACAGCACATGACTCTTTTAAAGGGCAACTGTGTTTTTTTAGAAAACCAACATATAGTACAAACCCAAAATAACAAGCACCTCCCCGTCGACTAACCAATCAACCAACCAACAAAGAAATAAAAATATCTGTCTACCCACTTAAGCTCTCAAACTTTTTTTCTAGAGTAACCATTTTAGACGTAAATCCTTAAAAAATGTAGCACATATTCCTCCACCTTTTTAAATGTCATCTACTGAATGTAGCAAATCTTCTCAGCTGCTCATTGAATCAAGATTTCTTCATCTGCAAATCATTGATAACCTTGCTGGAAATGGCTTAACCACCAAGAGAAGGCTATTTGTATAATAAAAAGTTGGGATAGAGGATGAAGATGTTTAGGGCTGTTTGAACATTATTCTATGAAGCCCTGCTGCCGTGCTTTGTAAGTTTTAGAATTGATTTTAGGGTTTTTCTGTCTCCTCTTTTACTGCCAGGCTCATAGTAATGTTTTCTTGATACTGTCAGCATGCTTGCATGCAGCGAACTATCATTTCCTTCTCACTTACTGGGAGCTTGAAAGTGGATAACAAAACTCTCTCTCTCTCTCTCTCTCTCTCTGTGTGTGTGTGTGTGTGTAAGTAAGAGAGAGAGGAAGGGAGGGAGAGACAGAAGGAGGGAGATAGAGAGAGATTGAGTAAATAGGCATTGAGTGGGAATCGGAGGGACTGAATATTCACGCTTTTGTGTATAGTCTTTGTAACATCCCTTTTGACTACTCAAAGGCCTTATTGATTTCAAATAGTCAAGACTTCTGAGACACTGCATTTTGAGAAGGTAAAATGAAACTTAAAAGTGGAAATTGCATGTTGCTTATTTCAGACTGGCCAGAATAATACTTTTGAGAGGCAGCTTGTGAGAGGGTTAAAAACCTAGGCTCTGGAGCCAGACTGTCTGGGTTTAAATCCTGGCCCTACTTCATGCAAGCTGTGTGACTTCTTCAGGCAAGTTACCTAACCTCTCTGTGCCTCGGTTTCTTTACCTATAAACTAGAGTTGATGATAATAATACCTATCTCATAGTGTTGTTGGAATTAAATGAACTGATAGATGTAAAACATGTAGAAGGGAATCTAACACATAGGAAATGCTACATATGTTTGTAAATATGAAGCGGTAGATGTTGCCAGCCACTACTCTCCATCTTCCTGTAACTTTCTCTCCCAGCAGGTCTGGCAGATTTTTGACCATAGGTGAGGACACATGAAGCAGTTTTCTTTAGGTTCCTGGATTATTATCATTTGGCCGTATGGGAGACCCCAGCCTTCCTCTAGACCGTGTCTCCTTGGGACCCATGAATTTAGGATGTGGAAGGGAGAGTGGGAGATGCAGAAGGCTTCATGTGATTTTCCTGTGCCTGAACCTGCCATTCCTCTGTTCTCACGATGGCTCTGGATGCCCCTTCTATCCCTTCTGTCATCTGTCCCTCTAGGTGCAAGTTTTAGATTCCCTGGAGAGACCATCTGACTGGCCCAGCTTGGCCAGGCGTGGGCATCAGTTCGAGCCTGGGGAGTCTCAAGTGGTATAAGCAGTGTAAGGGGCTCACGATAGAAGGCATGGGGCAGGGATGAAGTCACTGTCCTGAGCTGGGCAGGTGCTCAGAAACGGCTCATTACATTCATGCATCAGACTAGATACTGCACTAGGGAGACCTGGGGCTGCAGTTAGCTGCTTACTAGCGGGGTGTCTTTAGGGAATCCATTTTACCACCTTATCCTTCAGTCTCCTCATTGGAAATGGGGAAGTTGGTGATACCTGTATTTCTTACCTCACCAGTCTAGGACCAGCTACATAGTTTGCCGGTTCCAGTACAAAATGAAAACATGGGACACTTTTTTCCAGCATGATTATTAAGACAGCAACAGCAGAGCATTAAACCAAGTGTGGGGTCCTTTTAAATGTAAAGTCCTAGGGAGGTTGCACACCCAAGAAGCTGCCCTGCACAAGATGGTGATAATGATCTCATGCAAAGCCATATAGCACAAGCATCATACATCTTCCGCTTGTGTGTTTCGTCATTTAATCTTAAAATGTTCTTTATTTTTATTTATTTACTTATTTTTGAGACGGAGTCTCTCGCTCTTTCACCCAGGCTGGAGTGCAGCGGCACGATCTCGGCTCACTGCAACCTCCGCCTCCCGGGTTCAAGCAATTCTCGTGCCTCAGCCTCTGGAGTAGCTGGGATTACAGGCGCTGCCACCATGCCTGGCTAATTTTTGTGTTTTTAGTAGAAGCGGGGTTTTGCCATGTTGGCCAGGCTGGTCTCAAACTCCTGATCTTAGGGGATCTGCCTGCCTCGGCCTCCCAAATTGTTGGGATTACAGGCGTGAGCCACTGGGTCCAGCCAAAATGTTCTTTAAAAGAAGGAAACTTGGCTGACACTCCGTGGAGAGGTGATATTCAGCCGATGTGCCCTGGGACAGGCTGGCCTATTGTCACATCCCTCGGAGTTGGCCGGCACCCATGCTGTTGAGATTGTGAAGCAGTTTCCAGCATCAGCCCCATGCAACACTCATCAGAGTGAAAGACAAGGGTTTCTGCTGCCTCTTGTTCTGTTCTGGCCTTCACCATGCTCAGAGGGAAGCTCCATGAGGGGACCCTGCAGGAAGTTCAAGAACGTGGCTGGGACCACAGCCTTGCGAGGTCCGTGCCTGACTGCCACCTGCCCCCACAGGCTCACCCGGCAGCCCTCCCTGGGGACCAGCATCTGGGAGGGGCTCTCCAGTGGCACCACTTGGCTCTCAGGGAAGGGAATCTGTGTTGGTCCATTTGTGTTGCTATAAAGGAATACCTGAGACTGGGTAATTTATAAAGAAAACAGATTTATTTGGCTCATGGTTCTGCAGGCTGTACATAAAGCCTGGTACCAGCATCTGCTTCTGGTGGGGGCCTCAGGAAGCTTCTGCTCATGGCAGACGGTGAAGGGGGAGCAGGCCCATGACATGGCAAGAGCAAGAGCAAGAGCAAGGGAGGGAGGAGGCGGCAGTCTCCTTTACCCAGCTAGATCTCACATGAACTCATAGCGAGAACTCACTCAATCCTGTGAGGACGGCGCCAAGCCATTCATGAAGGATCCGCCCCTACTATCCTAACACCTCTCACCAGGCCCATCCCCAACACTGGAGGTCATGTTTCAACAGGAGATTTGTAGGAGACACACATCCGAGCTATATAAGAATTCATTCCCCTGCAGAAGGGAGGGTGGCCTTTTCATCTTGAATACAAAACAAATCATTTCTACTCTACCTTCTTTTCTCACTTGAGCCCATCCAAAACTCATGATTAGGTCATCTCATTGTCCACTCGCCTAGTCCACTGCTGGACTAAGCACTGTCCTTTTCACAGGCTTCTGTCTCAGTGACAGTCTGTGACCCCCAGGGGCTGCTGTATCAATTTCTTGATCAGAAGGGGCTCTGGAAGTTCCCTTGCTTCTAGATCTTCTCTCTCCTTGCTTCTCCTTCTTATGCTCCTGGCGTCGAGGACTTATGCCAGGTTGTCTGGAGGCCCCATCTTGCTCCTGTTCCTTCTTGCCTCCCTGCAAACATATTTTGGAGTCTGGAAAAGTGTTCTTCAGTACCACAGAGCCAGTCATACCCCTACCCAACTCCCACCAACTCCCCACTTTCTGGTAAAGCTTCTCCCTAACTTTCTTCTGAGAAGTCCCTGTTAGCCACCAATGGTCTATTAGCTGACAGAATGGCCTGTAGAAGGGGAAGGAGGAAGAAGGGAGAGAAGGAGGAAAGGAACACCACCTATCCAAGGAAATTCAAGATAACTGCATTCCTCCCCTCTGAAATAATGAAGGGAGCATGTGTCTCATAATTCAGGGCAGTTCCTTCTCTTATGAGTGGCCGGCATTCCAGATCCTAAGGCAGCCGCTTGGAAATCAATACACTTTGCAAAGAAATGTTATTATGCCTCATGCTTCTCAACCCAGCCCACAGAAGCATTTTTACGATGTGGACCTGAAGCACTCCACCAATCAACCAGGTTCACAACCCCCAAACCCCTGTAACGCGGTCTCTGTGATATACTGATGAAAGCTGTGTTACATTTTGGGGTACTGGTGACAGCTAGCAGAGGGGATACCATCCTCCAGGGTGTAGCAGTTTGCATACCTAAAGATGCTTCTACCTTCTGGAAGATGCCTCCCCAGCTATGAACATCCTCATAAAGACAGTGCCTTTTTGGGGGCATACACATCCCAACGGGCAAAATATGCCCAGTGGAGGTGAAGGCTGGACTCCAAACCCAGGCTCTCCTGTGGCCCTTTGCTCACAAGAGTGTTAGAGCATCATTATTATATATATATATTTTTTTCTCAGAGAGCCCATTTTGTATGCATTCTCTGCAGCTGCAGACCTCAAGGACTTGACTGTTTTTATAATGATGATGAATAAAAGCAAAGTCTTTGAAGAAAAAAGTTCATTTTGATTTTTCAAGACAAGTCAGCAGCAGCCCCAGAGACTTTGTAGTCCTTTTTGCCCTGTGCTGCCTGCTTGGAGCTTCACATTCATGTGTTGTTTGCTGTAACTGAAAAATGCCTCAGTCTCTGGAAAGCTAAGTGGATGCAAATGGATTTGGAATTGTCAGCTTGAAACAGTCTCCAGTGGCCGGGAGCCCCAAGACAACTTTGATGGCCCTGACAGAGCCGCCCTTGTAGCTCCTCAGGAAAGCCGGCTGCCTGGCATGCTTCTTGCCATCTGTAGCTATCTGGGACCTAGCTCTCTATTTATGAGGCTGCAGGAGATGAAAGCAGAAACCACGTTAATTATTGCAAAGTGCTTTTTACTTTCAAAAGTGCTGCACTAGCGTTAATTAGTTATTCCGACTTACAACACTCTGGTGAGGTAGGTCAGATTATTACCCCTTTCTACCTTGGAGGAAATGAAGACACAGAAATTTAATGACTCCCCAGGGGACCTGGAAGAAGTTGGTCTCCTAGACAGAGTTAGGTTTTCAACGTGGTGTATCTGGCTTCCTGCCAGGGTCTGTGCCTGTTGCCACACCTTGCTGCTACAACCAGTATCCTCAGAGCTTCTTAGGCAGGGACAACTTCTGTCTACCATTATCAGAAGAAATGGGATTTTCCAGAGGCTCTGGTGGGTGGAAATAAAGGGGAAAGATTGCTGTTCCTTTTCCAGTCCACACCAAGGCAAGGAAGCTTCTTTCTTGGTCCTTCACCCCTCCGAAGAAGGCAAGGTTTGGGATGAAGGTTGCTCCTGGTCAGATGCCCCATGAGGTGGTGGAGACGGGGAGGGAGAGAGAGCATGGGGATGAGGACTGTTAGTAGTGCTTTTGTGCCAGGCATGTGCTTTCTAGATGATTTCCCATCTGCATGGATCAGAAAGCAGAGATACTGATGCAGCTGCCTTTCATTATTGGGCAGAGAGAGATTAAGTGTTGGAAAAAAATCCTTCCTTATGGCTGGGTGGCAGGGAGAGGAGACGTGGGCTTTGGAATCAGACAGCTCCCGGTTCTCATGCTGGCTGTTCAGCTCCTAGCCTCCCTCCTCATCTGTAAAATGGTGGTGATGAAGGAATTCGTAGACTTGAAGTGTCTGGCACAGACGCTGTCATCACCTTCCCCACATCCAGGATGAGTTCATTTTGGTCTTTTCACTTCAGACCCCCTACTTTCCAACAGAAATCTTTGGATGACCTTGGATTATCAGACATCCTCCAGAACTGCTATCCGCGTGCCCTCCTTATTTCTGCACAGAATTTCTGAACCTCTGGGCTGGCATGGTCCAGGTGGGGCTCACATAGACAGTGGGTTGTAAAGGAAGAACAGGCACAGGCTAAGAAAAGAGGTGGAGGAGGAAGTCGCGGTTCCACGATGGGGGAGGAGAAGAAGAGGCAGCTTTTGAAGGAGCTCCATCGCCCACCCCCAGCATCGACCCCCGACGGGGCCCCTGTGCCTCTCTTAGGGGTGGATTGTGGAGAGGAGAGAGGCGGCTGGTTCAGTTTGGGATCCCCGATACTCTAGGACAGCCCCCATCTTCCCTCGCTTCCGTGAACACAGCTCCCAAGGCGGTCTCTGCATTTGGCCACAGCGTTGCGTCTTCTAAGCTGCTGCGCCCTCTGGGAGCCGGTGGTGTTCAGTCCCACAGTGGCCAGACTGTCCTCCGTGGAGGGAGGTGAGACAAGACAGTAGGTGTTTTTGTGACCCCTGGTGCAGTGAGAGGCACCTTTCTTCTGACACAACCTGCCCGCAAGAGCCCTCACGTGGCAACTTGCCTTCCCCTTGAGGCGCCCCGGGCCACTTGTGTGCTGGGCCCCTCCCCTGTGTTAGCAGAGAAATCTCTAGTCCTTGTGGGCCGCTCACCGTGGCTCACGCCTGTAATTCCAGCACTTTGGGAGGCCGAGGCGAGTGGATCACCTGAGGTCAGGAGTTTGAGAGCAGCCTGGCCAACATGGTGAAACCCATCTCTACTAAAAATACAAAAATTGGCCAGGCGTGGTGGTGCGCACCTGTAGTCCCAGCTACTCGGGAGTCTGAGGCAGGAGAACAGCGTGAACCCGGGAGGCGGAGCTTGCAGTGAGCCGAGAACGCGCCACTGCACTCCAGCCTGGGTGACAGAGCCAGACTCCGTCTCAAAAAAAAAAAAAAAAAAAGAAAGAAATCTCTAGTCCTTGACTTGCAAAGCTTCTGTCCAGAACTGCTGGGGTTCACAACCCATGTGTCCATTAACTAGCTAGGGGATCTTGGGTACATTCCTTCATGGCTGGGTGTCTTGTTTTTAATCCACAAAATGGGAGAATAATGATATCAGTCTTGCTAGGAGGATCAAATGAGTTAAGACAGTCAAAGCACTTCAAACAGAGCTACGTTAGCTATTATGAGTATTATTGTTAACTTTAGTGTGCTGTGAGAGGGTGGACCCTGCCTGGGTTACAGGGCAGCAGGAAGCAATTTGGTTCAATTCTCTTGAATGTGGGAGAGCCAGGGGGTGGTGGGCACGCTTCTACTGCAATCTCCCTCCTTCCTTGAAAGATTTGTGTGGGTCAGTGGACAGGAAACAGATAATTCTAATAAAGGAATGGCCTCCTTGCTACTTTCTGAATAAATTCCAAATCCCTTAGCATGGCATTGAAGGCCTGCCCGGGATCTGGCCTGGACTCATCGCAATAGCTCTGGCGCACGCAGTGGGCATGGAATATGTATGTGTCTCCTGAGTATGGACCCGTGAAAGCCTTTTCTACCCTCCTCCCCCAGAGGCCACCAGCTCTGGTTTATTCTCACTGCTCCTAACACCTTGAAACTTCATGCCTCCATGCATTATTCTCTCCAAATTTCTCCTCCTAACAGGACCCATTTCCTAAGTTGCCTTTACCCTAAAGCCTTTTTTGGAGTCTTCCCCTCTTTCACCTTCAAATTAAATCACATCTTCTCTGTACTGCATTGTTTACCCCACTACCAAAGAAGTTCGAGCCTGGGCACGAGGGCTCACACCTATAATCCCAGCACTTTGGGAGGCTGAAGTGGGAGGATCATTCGAGGCCAGGAGTTTGAGACCAGCTTAGCAACACAGCCCGACCTTGTCTCTACAAAAAATAATAAAAAATAAATTAGCTGGGTGTGGTGGCGGGCACCTGTAGTCCCAGCTACTCAGGAGGCTGAGGTGGGAGGATCACTTTAGCGCAGGAGTCGAGGCTGCAGTGAGCTATGATGGCGTCACTGCACTCCAGTCTGGGTGACAGAGGGAGACCCTGTCTCAAATAAATGAATAAATAAATAAATAGATAAATTTTAAAAAAGAAGTTTGCGTGTGCGTATGTGTGCGTTCATGCATTTGGATGCATCCCAGCCACCTGTCTTTCTCCCAGCCCATCTGCCAAACAGCGCTAGAGGGATAATTCTAAAAGCACCAGTTGAGCCCTCCCCTCTGTGTTTTAACTGGCTGCTGTAATTAATGCCAGCACGTGACATTTGTTATTTTACATAACCCTCACGATCTATGAGGTGGGTATTATTATGCCCATTTTACAGATGAGAGGATGGAGGTTTAGAAAGATTCAGTATTTCTCCCAAGATTGCACCATTAGTACAAGCAGGGATTCCATTTGAGTGTGGCTGACCTCCCAAATCAAGGCCTCTGACCCTTAGCTATACAGCCTGTACTGCACTCCACGGGTCAAAAACCCAAAATGAGAAACAGCCACGCTCCTCAGCAGACGCTGAAGCCTCGGACCTGGTTTCCAGCACTGCCCTATGTGCATCATGGTCCAGCCTCATGGGTCCGTGTGTGTTACCTAGCCAGCCCATCTCTCTGGGCCTGGGCCATGGAGTTTCCTACTGCCTCTGCCTGGAATGTCCAGCTGCCCAACCACTGTGAAAACAGTGAGTTGGGTCAAGTGTTAGCTCCTTTGGGAAGCCTGCTCTGCCTCTCCCTCTCTAATCTTCGGGAATAATTAGGGGCTCCCTTCCTGTGCCCCCTCCGGTCTTCCCCAGCCCTTCCTGCGGGCAGCTGTGTGCTCACATGCCATTCCAACCCCTGGACAGTCTGTCCCCAGAGGTCGTGGGCTTTGCTGTGTTTGTCCTTGTATCTTCGAGCCTGGCTTTGGCCCTGACCACACATGTGTGGCACTGTAAATGCTGCTGAAGTAATAGAGAGTTGGGTAAATGACGATCGCTTTTCTGCCTTGCTGGCTGCAAATCCCACCTTCACAGAGCAGGCCCAGAACATTCCCATGGTGCTGGGCCACCAGGGAGCCGTTTGGGGAAACCAAGCTAATATTCTTCTAATGTTTAGGAAAAATAGGCGGTTTCACTGCAGGTTTCATCGCAGGTCACCTGACTGGCCTCGAGGGCAGTTCAAGTCTCTACTTAAACACCTGAGAATGGATGCTGGGCCACTCCCTGGGGATCATTTTGCCCCATGCAGTAATTCTACCAATCTGGGTAGCAGAAAGGTTAAGTGACTTGCTCAAGGACCCACAGAACTAAGGGAGAGAGCTTGGGATGGGAAGCAGTGGCCTCTGTGCTTTCTGCTCTGGGACCCATTTCTCAGCCCTTGGGAGGGCCCACTGAGGGTGGGGTGCGGTTTGGGCTGGCTTTGAAATCCTTGGGATCGTCTGGCGAAGTTGAGAACAGGGCAGCAGCCTTGCTTCAGAAGTCTTGGGGCTGCTCTGGGTACCTGAGCTGCTGCCCCGGCAGCAGGAAGTAATACTTTTAGAGCTTTAGCCCCAAAACCTCAGAAACTTTTTGATGATGCATTAAATGTCAAGTATATTGTTGAGAGGTGAAAAAAAAAAAAACCCAGGTATCAGCCTTTGTTACTGAGATGACAGGAGATAGTAATATTACAGGAAGTCATACTGTCAAAATAATAGAGAGGGTAGTGTCTAGGGGGCCACACCTTATAATAACTGTACTTAGTACAAAGGAGATTTCGTGTGCACCTCCGCATCTGTGCACTCTGAGGTGGAGCCCGGAGAGGAGGTGTAGAGAGAAGAAGGTGGAGTCTGCTCTGCGGGTATCTTTGCTTTGACATACAAAGCAGAGTTTAACTCAAAGACTGCTTTGTCTGGGGACAGACTACTCAGGCTTCAGGCCAATTACCATGAAAATTCACGTTAAAAAAAAATGCGTAATTGAAGCAAAAGGATTTTTAAATCTTTTTTTTTTTTTTTGCCTAAATGATTTGTCTACTTAGATGATAATTTCCAGATAATTGCAGCATTTTGGAACTGGAAGGGACTCTAAGGGGTCATTTTTCCCCACTGATGAGGGCTTCACAGCCTGCAGATGGACTTGGTTCAGGTCCTCAGCTAGGTGATGGCTCAGCAAGTCTGGCCCCTAGGCACCCTGGCCCCATGCCTGCCACTTCCTGCGGCCACACCCTGCCCACCCTCCCATCTCCTTTCCAAATGAGGTAACTCCCTGGGCAAGCCTTCTGTTCTGTAGGACAAGTTATCTAGCCTAGCCCCTGGCATGGTATAAGTCCTGGACACATGTTTGCTGAGAGAATAAACATGAGTTGGGCAGGAACTGGGCCAGGCTCCTCCACATGTTGTATGTGAAGCCTGTAGGTAGAGCTGGTTCACAGCCTGGCTGTTTAAACATGCAGGGACTTAGGCTGCAAGCGGGTGTGGACCGCATGGTGTGTTTGGAAGCAAAGCAACATTCACACGCTGTAGCGAAAGACATCTCCCTTCCGACTCCAGACGGGAGCTATTCTCTCCCTTATTTCTGTCTCTAGACCTGACCCTCCTTCAAGCCTATCTCTCCAGCTGCCTGCCTGGCACCTCCACTAGGATGTGCAGCTGGCATCTCACACTTGACATGGCCAAACCAGTCTTCTTCCATCTTCTGCTCGGTTACAGCATTTATCTACTCATTAAATCTAAAGAGTCGCCCTTAGTTCTTCTGTTTCCCACTCCTCCAAGCACACTCAATCTACCAGCAAGTCCCATTGGCTTTGCAGTAAAGAATATACGTCAGATTGGGCCACTTGTCAACCCTCTACCTCTACTCCCCTCATTCAAGCCACCACCGTCTCCCTGAGCTCTGGGTCCCGCAGCTACTCCTATTCCGGGCAGACCCATGCTTGCTCCCATCCCTGGTCTTGGCGCCACTGTGCCATCTTCCTGCACGCGCCTCCTGCCTCTCGGATGGCTGCCTCCTCCTTGGCATCAGCCTCCTCTTGGCTCGGACATGACCCATTACAGAGGTCCTCCCCGACTCCCATCTGAGAAAGTCCCCCTGCTCCCCATTACTCATCACTTTACTGTTTTGGTTTTGTGTTCAGGACACTTATTACCATCAAACACTCTCTTACTTACTGATTTGTCTGCTGTCACCTCCCCATGCTAAAGGGTTAATCTCCAGGAGGGCAGGGACTGTGTCAGCCTCACGGCAGGAGCTCAGTCAGTGCTGCCTGCAGTGAGCAACACACTGGCATCTACACAAGTCTCTGCCCCCTCTTCCTCTCTGTCATTCGCCTGTATATGCCAAACAGCTGCTGAAAAGCCAGAAGAGGAGTTCAAGGACACTCACACAATCTTTGAAAAGACATGGGTTTTATTTCCTCTCCTTACCACCATGGCAGTGCGAGGGGCAGCGTTTCTGCTCTGCGCACCTCCATGGAGGCACGCACACAACCTTGCTGTGGTCAGCACACCCTCATCCTCACTCCGCTAGTGAGAAGACCCAAAGCTCTGCAGGGCTCGGGAGCACAGGTGTGTAGGCAGGATCCGTGCCGCGGCTCTTGCTAGCTCTGCTGCGAAGTGGTCCCACGAGGACAGTCATTCATTCATCATAGGGAGACTAGGAAAGGCTTGCAGCTTGGTTCTCCCATCTGCCTGGGTGCTCAGTGCTTACTGGCAGGGCCGCTGCGGCCTGGGCGTGTGGCTTTCTTGCCTGACTGCACATGCGTCTGCCAGTGGCTCTCGAGCACCCATAGAGAGCTTCCTTGTCCAGGCTTCTTGCCAGGACCCAGGGCTGGGGACAAATGTGCAAATGACAGGGACCAGCTCTGTAAGGAAGCAACAACTGCCCACATCTCCATCTGCTTCACCTGATGCTCGCCATCGTCTCTGGGTAATCCTGCCCCAACTATGCTGGCTACGGTTGCAGATAAATGTTTCCCATCTCACATGGATTGAGAGCTTGCTGTGTACCACCGATTCTGTGTTTTATGTTCCCTTACGGTTTAATCCTTGCAAACAATCCTATGAAGACAGCCTTTCAAACCTCGTTTTTAGAGTGCAGGAACTGAATGAAACTCAGAGAAATTAAGTGGCCCACATCTAGTAAGTGGCAGTCCAGGAGTCAGCTGGAAGTCTTCCAAACCCAAACTCATATTCTCATATTCTCATAGTCCATGACCTGGACCCACAGTGACCATCTGTCCCAAGTTGCCCAGGATGTGGGAATTTTACTGCTAAAACTAGAAGAGTCCCAGACAACCTAGGATGGTTGGTGGCTTCACCTGTGCAGGTGAGGAGGTGATCATAGTCGGTCCAGTTGAGTTTAGGCCTAATCTAGGTTTCTGATAAAAGGAAAATATATCCTTTTTCTTCCCCATTTCCTTCTTTGGCCTTTTGCTAGTCAGCTTTTAAGATGCATGTGTTCATCTTTTGTCATTGTTCCTAAATGACACGTATTATTAAACACCAATATTTGAAGTTTGGTAGGAGCTGGCCCTTGACTCCAAGCTTGTTTGGGTTGGGACATTACTTTTTAATGATAGGTAGGTGACATGGTTTGGCTCTCTGTCTCCACCCAAATCATGTGAAATTGTAATTCCCACTGTTGGGGGAGGGGCCTGGTGGGAGGTGATAGGATCATGGTGGGAGATATCCCCCTTGCTGTTCTTGTGACAGTGAGTTCTCATGAGATCTGGTATTTTAAAAGCATGTAGCACTCCCCCCTTCTCTCGCTCCCTCCTGCTGCCATGTGAAGACGTGCCTGCTTCTCCTTTGCCTGTCACCAGGATTGTAAGTTTCCTAAGGCCTCCCCAGCCACGCCTCCTGTACAGCCTGTGGACCTGTGAGCCAATTAAACCTCTTTTCTTTCTAAATTACCCAGTCTCAGGTTGTTCTTTATAGCAGTGTGAGAAGGGACAAAAAAGTAGGAGTTTTGGGTTTACTTTATATTCACCTTCTTCCATTTTTAAGTTGTGCCTTTGTTGTCCTTCATGAGATAATTTAGCAAGTCTTGGTCAACTTGGAAGTGATTCTACACAGGTTGTGCAGATTGTGGGGTCAATGTTCACAGCAGGACAGCCTGAGGAGGAGCCTATGGGGAGCCTTGTCTGAGGGTGGACCTGCTGAGGCTGGTGGAAAGCCGGTGTCCTCCTTTCCTGGGGATGAGGGACCAACTCCAGGGCTCCCTGATGTCCGCTTTGATGACTTCACATACAACGTGTGGCTCTAGTGACTCCACAACCACTAAGCCGTTTCACCAACAATGCCCAGACGGACCATTCTTAGCCATTCCCCCCTACTGTCTCTTGTCTCTGTTTCTCCCTCTTCTCTTACCTCCCACAAAATAGCCTTTGCCATCTTAGTTTCTCCCGAGGCTAATTTCACCGAACTTTTTGCTGGCCAGTGAGAATTAACTTCAGTTAATCAGTTAAAGAGATTATTCAGCTAAAAGGTAAACAGGGGAGGGTATTTCTAGTTAATTAGTGAGAAAGAAGTTAAAAAGTTTAAAGGACTCCTTGATTTGTAGTATGTTGTAACTGGGGAGCTGGAATCGGTGTTACTTCTGTAGGTGCTGACACAAAATCAGTGGGGGTGAGGCCGAGGTACCTGGATTGTCAGTGGCCTCCCACACCGCCCTGTGATTCTGATGCACCCCAAAGTCTGAGAACTGTTGCCCTGACCCAATTACTCCCACAGCCCCAGAGCACGGCAGGGGTCCTTGTACAGGGCCCTAGTTCCCTTGCAATCTCTTTGCCTTTTAGTTTTAAAACTAGCTATTCATCGCTGGTTAGTTAACTGTTATGCATTTCTACAGGACTGCATTGTTAGGAGCCTCGACTTGGCTTCTCCACAACCACATTCAACATTGGCCTTCCAAACCCACTCCACTCCTGTGCTGTCTATTGCAGGCCTGTGCCCTCACCATGCGCCCGGTCCGGTCTGGAAACCCGAGTCTCTGTGTTTCCGTCCCCTCTGGCTTGGTCCTCAAGCCTCTGCATCTTCCCTGGGTCATTCAAGTCTTCCAGGTGATGCCTATATTGTTAGTCTCTACAGTCTGGCCTTACAGCATCGTCAGAGCTGCCCTAAGGCCCAGGTGGAGTTGTGGGTCCTCTCTCCGCTGCCTCCCTGAGTTCTGACTCTTGGTGTGTTCAGGGACTTCCTGCCTCCGCACCTCCCACCCCATGCTTTGGCCACAGCACAGACTCTTCTGATTCCGTAGCTATGCTTCTGCTTTTCCCTCCACCTGGCTGCTCTGGTCATAGAAATTCTACCCCTCACTTAAGAACACCCCCAGAAGTCACCTCTGTGAAGCCTTCTTTGGTTCTTCTAAAATAAGTGAGTTGCTCCATCCTCTGTGTCTGCCAGCACTTTCTCTGCTCCTCTGGACTTCATTGGTCGGGGGTGGGGGGTGCTACTGTTGGTCTTGCAGCCACCCTGGATTGTGACCTCGCAGAGGTCAAGGGCTGTGCTGACGCCCCCCATGTCTGCGTGTTGACAGCAGACTTACTGGGGACACGCTGTAGAGCTCCGATGATGGCTGTTGGCCGAATGGATGAATGGCTTCATTAACTTCACTGCAACACGCAGGAGTCCTTGATCTCCCCCCTTGAAAGGTATTGGGGGTTTCCCTAGACACTGCCACTTCAAAGCCATACAGAAAAAATTAGAGCTAAAAGAGGCAACATTGTTTATTTCTCAAGAAGATGCTTTGGTGTTCCTTCCTGCAGCTGTGAGAGGCCTCCTGTTTGACCTTGACGTTTCCCTGTCAGGCTACACAGCGGTTAAAGGCAGGGCCCCGGAGGGTGTGCCACGGTGCCCAGAGAGGGAGGGGTAGTGGGCGCTGCCCTCCAGACTGCGTCCCCAGTCTGGGAGAAAGGGGCACTCGTCCTGACTGGATTGCCCAGACGGGCACCCCTTTCCTAACTTGCCTGCCCAGAAAGACATGTGTAATTCCTCCACCCGGAGGGAATGATTTCTGCTAACTCACAGAGAGGCTTTGACTTGTCACTCTGCCTTCTAGAAGTGACCACATGTTTTTTTTGCTCTCGGCAAGGGGGTGCCCTTGGCTGCTCTCCGGTGTGGGAGTCTTCCCCTTAATCCTTGCTCCTGGACGTTTGCATTTTCACAACGACCCTTTGTGGCAGGTGGGTCCCTGCCTTCTTCAGATGACCTTGAATAACACTGTCCTCTGCACTTCTGGCCGCCACGGAAGAGGCATGACTGCTGTGAGTCTGGGGCCTTGGAACCATTTTAGACCAAGGCAGGAAAAATAAACAGATGGGCGAGGTAGGTGGCTGCCCTTGAATTCTCACTCTCATTATGCACCCATTACTGGTGGCCAGTTGAGTAAGCATTTAGGACTTGGCTTTGCCATTTGTCAGCTGATTAAACAATAGAGCTTTACTGAGCAGCTCCCATGGGCTCGTGTCACTATACCTATTTTACAGAGGGAGAAACTGAGTTTCAACAAAGAAATTGCACCGAACCCAGAACTAAACAGGACCGGGCTGCCAGAGGGTGCTTTTCTGTGCTGAATCATGGGACCTTCTTGCTGACCAGAGCAGAGAAGAAAAGTCTCCTGTGGTCGGTGGAGTTTTTACTTTTTGGATTTTCTCCCCTATGACTGATCTCAGTCCTTGCCTGGCCACTCCTGCCTGTCCTACAAACACCGAAAACCACTGTCCTTTTCTCAGCCGTCATTTAGCAGTCGGGAAGCGTGTGTCCTGACGTATGGGCTGCAGTCAAGGCGGGGGCCCTGACAAACAGGATTCATTCACCAGGCCCTGGCCTGCCAGCTCCCTCACGGGCGTCACATGGGGCCGAATGAAAAGAGCAGGGGGTGCCCGCCAGGGAGGCCTATCCAGGGGCTTTCTTCCCCGCGGCGCCGTTCCCTGGGCCTGCCAAGTCCCACGAGCCAGCACACTGGAGAAGCGTTTTCAAAGCGAGGCCTTTGCCCTCCTTGACAGGCTCCTCAAAGCCTGCCTCGCTCTGGCAGTGCCTGGGAGATCCTGTGAAAGGCGCTTTTTGTTCACCCTCCTCATTGGGGACATCTTTGGGGAGCCACTGCTTGAGAAGCACAGTGTGAGCTGGAGGACACTTGAGGCAGGGCCACTTCGGTGGGCAGCGGGAGGAGCAGAGTCCGGGGAGCCGGGCAGGCAGGGAAGGCGCTGGAAAACGCGGAGACTGCTCCTGGGAAGCGTACATTTCATAACTGAGAAACACTGCCCAGAAGTTTCTTTTAGAAGTGGGAGGCAAAGAGCGCTTAACCTTTATTTTTATTTTTATTTCTTTAGTTGCACGGCTGTGTTTGGTGTACAAATAACACCTGGGGTCTGTGGTGATGGGTCCTTAGGAATAGAGAGAAAGAGAAATGGCCTTGGAATTTAGTGGCCTGAAGACATAGTTTAAAAATTCATTTCCGGACCTCAACCTACGGCCTTTGACAGAAAGATGGGTTTGTTGTCTGCTGTGAAATAAAAGCCATCTGAGGCTTGTGGGAGCATGATGAGCACCAGAGTCCGGCTTAGAAATCACGCTGATGGCCCAGAAAACTCAGCCAACCACAGATACCATTGCTGCTTCTAGAAGCCCAGGACACTGGCACTGTGAGGCAATGCTGGAGATTCGTCCTATCCCTGGTCTCTTGCAAACATTTTAAATTGAAACCTTTAATAGTCAGCATGAGAGCACTCGGATTCAATTATATTCATCTCTGAAGATGTCCTGATATCGCCTACTTGTTTATAAAAATTAATCATAAAATATTGAACTAGTGGAGGGTTTGTATGTTTTCTATAAAGTCTAAAAAATGAATTCCATTTGGATCCAGTGAAAGGTGAATTAACGAATTATTCCCTCAGTAGGACAAGAATGTTGAAGAAAAAAACTGAATGATTTTTCTTTTGAACAATTCTTAGCCAATACAAACAAAAAAAATCAACAAACGAAAGCAAGCCAAACAACCAAACACCTCTCCAGTATTGCGTTTAGACCAGTTTGTACAAAGTTGGTACTGGTTTTATGACCTAACTTTTTCCCCCACTGTTTAAATAGATTTGGACATTATCTTTCAAATATGCCATTTCCAAGGAAGGTCTGAGTGGGCTTGCTTTTGCAGTGCATTTACAAAGCAAGCTATCGAACTGGCTCACAAGCCAAACAGAGGCCCCTGAAAAGACAATATCCCTTCCTTCCTGAGGCAGATATTTCAGGATTGGGGAAGCAGAGTTTCCTGTGTTCTCACAAGGGGCTGAGATAAAGAAACCCAGGGCAGTTTTGGAAAGAATTCAGCCTGCCACAAGCACGAGGCTGTTGTTTTTGTGTGCAGGGCCCCATTTCACAATGAGAGGCCTGCCTGGCCAGAGTGACCGTGGGGACAGGACGTGATGTGGACAGGGCTTTGGAGCTGGAAGAGTCCTCTCAAAGTGTGATGTTGAGAAGCAGTGATGCAGAGGACTCCCTGGAATGGTCAGCACTTCTCTCCCTCGTCCCACCTCTTGCGCCAACCCACCCACCATCCTCACCTTTGATTATCCACACACGTGTGTCTTACTGCTCCTCTTCCGTACCATGAGAGCGTCAGAAATCTTAGTGCCCTCTGCGAATGTTTATTTAGTTTCCATTATGTTTTCCCCTTGTTTCTATGATCAACAAAAGGCAAAACAGAGAAGTAGGTATTCGCCTTCAATGTATTTCCCCATCTGTCATCCGATTTCCTTTTTTATGTTTTCTCCACCCCCAGCCTATTTACTGTCCTGCATCCTGTAGGAGCCTCTACTGCAATGAATGAAAGTAATCTGACAGCCTGGGCAACATGTGAAAACCCGTCTCTACCAAAAAATACAAAAAATTAGCAGGGCATGGTGGCACGCGCCTGTAGTCCCAGCTACTCAGGAAGCTGAGCTGGGGGGATCCCTTGAACCCGGCAGGGAGGCAGAGGCTGCAGTGAGCTGAGATGGCACCACTGCACTCCAGCCTGGGCGACAGAGTGAGACTCTGTCTCAAAAAAAAAAGTAACTTGAGTATTTAATTCATGCAGAGATATTGATGTACGATAACTGTAGCCTCTAGCCAGAGTTTTATTGCATTTAAAAGAAGTCCATGAAAGAAAAAAAAATTTTACCAAATGTAAAAGTAATAACAATAATGATAATAATACAGCCATAAGGAAGAAAAAAAATTCAACAACATAATAACAAGTGTCTGTTGATAGGGATTAAGGCGTAGGTGGAAAGGAAATGGGAGGAAATAGAAAATCATTAATTTTCTCACCTTTTGTATTTGGGAGATAATAGATACTATTTGATTTCTGATTAATTGATAATAGAAAATTAAGCATCTTATTTAAAATCGAGGAGGTAACCACTATTAGGACTAAAATTCAGATTACACAGAAAACAGAGGAAACAATAAATAAAAGAAATTATTTAAGATGATAGAATTGTGACAAATGTATTATAATAATAAATGTAATGAGATCAACTCATTTATTAAAATAAATAAACTCACAAAAATGGGTAAAAAAATCTAAATACAACATTGTACTGTCTTTAAAAAAGTAACTGAAGCCAAGTGACTCAGAATCGGAGATAGTGCTTCAACTCCCAGAAATATCCCTCTAACAGTGGAATTCCAGGCACTGTGGCATTTGGGAGGGGTAGATATTTTTGGACTAAGCTTTCCTAGCCTCTAAAATCAGACCATATGGTTGCCAGCTCATAAGACCAACCCTGTGTGCCTCAGTGTTTGTTCTAGATTGCTGAGCTTCCAAAGGGCAGGGGCTGTGCCTGCTTTGTTTAATTCCAGGCATTTCAGAGAAGTTCCATGTGCAGACACGTGTTTTGGTGTGGAAGAGTTAGAGAAGGGCAGGATTAGGGACATTTGTGCTTCCCAGTCCGTTAGGTGGAGTGTCTCTGGTAGAGAAGCCTCTCAGGAAGTTATGGTGGCTACTCAGGGCCTCGAGTGTGCTGTTTGATGTCTCCAAGCATTTGCATTCAATGGATCAGCACTTGATTTATCAGGGTTCACCTATGGGTTATGGTTTCTGAGAGGCAGAATCAAACAGACCTGGGTTAGAATACCAGCTCTTCCACTTACCAGCTGTATGATCTTGGGAGAATTACTTAAACTCTGTGGCCCTCAGTCAACTCATCTGTACTATGCTTCATTCATTCATTCATTCATTCATTCATAATTCAATAATTACTCATTGAAATCTTACTATGTGGTGGTCTCTATTCTGGATTCTGGATATTCAAAATCTCTGCTTTCAAGGAGCTTATATTCTAATGGACTAAGGCAGAAAATAAATAAAAACAACAACAATCAACAAATACATTCATAATATACCACACGAGATAAATGATATTAAAAAAGGCCAAGTGGGGTGACAGAATAGATTGATGGTGGGATGTGTGAGTTGTGTGTGTGAGTATGGTGAGGGTGTGTGAGTGTGTGTGTGCACATCCCAGTTGCTACTGTAGATAGGGTGGTCAAGGAGAGTCTGCCTGAATGAACTGAATGAGCTGTCTGGAGACTTGAGAAAGGACTCTTCCTTGCAGAAGGAACACCAAGTATGAAGGCTTTGTGGCAGCAGAGAAGAGGCTGCAGTGCAGTGAGCTGGGAGGGCAGCAGGATTCGAGGGCAGAGCTATCTGAGAGCTACACAGAGTATTCCAGGCCATGGTTAAGGACTTTGGATTCTTCCTGGAGGTAGCTCAGAAACCACTGGAGGAGTTTGAGCAGAGCAGGGATGTGATCTGCATTATATTTAAAAAGGATGACGCTGGCTTCTGAGTTGAGAATAGACTGACTCTGCAGACATGGCAGCCACAAGATGAGTTAGGACAGATGACGGAGTCTGGACCAGAATGTTGCAGAGGAGGTGACAAAATGGTTGACTGTGGATCAGGTTTTTTTTTTTTTTTTTTTTTTTTTCTGGAGACGGAGTCTCGCTCTGTTGACCAGGCTGGAGTGCAGTGACACAATCTTGGCTCAGTGTAACCTCTGCCTCCCAGGTTCAAGTGATTTTCCTGCCTCAGCCTCCCTAGTAGCTGGGATTACAGGCGCCCGCCACCACGCCCAGCTAATTTTTGTATTTTTAGTACAGACAGGGTTTCACCATGTTGGCCAGGCTGGTCTCGAACTCCTGACCTCAGGTGATCTGACCACCTCGGCCTCCCAAACTGCTGGGATTACGGGCACGAGCCACTGTGCTCGGCTGGATTGGTTTTAAAGACAGAGTTGACCAGATTTCTGGGTTGGATATAGGATGAGAAAGAAAGGAAGGAATCAAGGATGATGCAAGTTTTTTGGTCTGAGCTACTGCAAGAATGGAACTGCTGTAGACTGAGCTGGGGAAGACATGGATGGAAGGGTGGTAGCAAAAGTTCCATTTTGACCACATGAAATGCCTGTTAGATAGAGAAATGGAGACGTTAAGTTGGAAGTTGGAACTAAAAGATTGGGATTCAGGGAGTGAAGTCAGGAAGGAGATATAAATTTGGACAAAGCAATTACAACCTTTTTAGACTGGACAGCATTGCATATGGGGTGCCTGTGGATAGAGAAGAGACCTGAGCCTGGGTCCTGCCAACATTTGGGGGTCAGGGAGATGAAGAGGAGCTAGCACAAGAGTAAACAGCCAGTTGGGTGGGAGGAAGAACAAGGAAGGTGGTATTTGGGAAGCCAAGTGATGAAAGAGTTTAAGGAGGATGGAGTCTTCAGCTGTGCTAAGGGTTGTTGGTGGTCAAATGAAGTGAGGGCCATGGAATAAAATAACATTTGTAAAGCACTTAGCACACAAAGCAAATGCCCAACAAATGGTAGCACTAGTAAAGGCTGGTCAGTACTTAAAGTTCCATAGTTAGAGATGCCTTCATTTGGGTGAAGATGCCCGGGAGGGATCCTCGTTCTGATGAGGGGTAGGGTGAGAGATGAATACACTGTATGTGAATAGGGACAAAGATTCTCTGCTTGGCCAAGCTGTAGTCCAACTCCTCAACGTTTTCCTAGGCCATCTGTGCACTTCCTTGTAAAATCCGTTTTAACAAAGAGCCCTAATCAGTGAGTTTATCAAGAGCTCCCATCCTCCATATCTGTTCACCCTTGTATCTAATCAGGCTCATCATCTTCCTCCATCCCTAGGTGATGTCTGGTCACCCTGGGCTATATTCAGGAAGAATCCTGTTAGGTCGGTTTAGCCACAGTCCCCCTTATCCCTGATGTTTCCTCTTAGTAATTTTCCATTCATCGACCCCCACTCTGCTCCTTGGCTGTAAATTCCCATTTGTCCATGCTGTATTTGGAGTTGAGCCTAAGTTCTCCCCCACCACCAGGCCCCACTGCAGTGGTCCTCATACCTATCATGATGGTTCTGATAATGTCTGCCTTATCATGCTCTTTTTTTTTTTTTTCTCTGTGGCCCAGGCTGGAGCACAGTGGCATGATCTCGGCTAACTGCAACCTCTGCCTGCCTCCCAGGTTCAAGCAATTCTCCTGCCTCAGCCTCCCAAGTAGCTGGGATTACAGGTACCCACCACTACTCCCGTCTGATTTTTATTAGAGACAGGGTTTCGCCATGTTGGCCAGGCTGGTCTCGAACTCCTGACTTCAGGCGTTCTGCCCGCCTTGGCCTCCCAAAGTGCTGGGATTACAGGTGTGGGCCACTGTGCCCGGGCCTGCCTTACCATGCTTTAACAAGTACCATTGAATCATTTTTCTTTAACAGTAGTAAGAGAGATTACCACAGAAGAGAGAAGGAGCATAGGAAGTGGGGAAGGTTCCTGAAGTAAGTTTCTGTGTTATAGCTTCCCTGAGCCCTGCTGCTGGTGTTACAGTCCACACTGAAATATGTTAATCAAACCCCAATTGTTTGCTCATCTTTGTACACCTGTATACTGTCTGGGTCCTCTCTCGAAGGTTCTGTACCTGTACTAGATTTGACAGAGCCTTTTAGGTGTCCTGGGCTCGCACAGTAAGCCAGCACATCTGACTGCCCTGTGTCCTGATTGAGCTTCAGTGTGATCACAAACATTGACCTTAAGGACATTCTTCTGGATGGATCAAGACATTCTTTTCTGAGCTGGGATACAGCTCAAAACAGGTCTTGAGGAAGGCCCTGACTGCTGATCACAGGAGTAAGCAAGATGCAGGCAGGCAGGCACAGCGGTGATGAGCATGGTCAGATTGCCTGGGCTCAGATTCGGGTTCTGCCATTTGCTACCCAGGTGGCCTTGGGTGAGTTACTTACCCTTTCTGTGTCTCAGTTTCCTCATTTGAAAAGCAGGGATGATGATAGAATTTAGCTCACAGGGTTGCTGTCCTAATATATGGAAATCACTTAGGATAGTCTCTATGTACAGTAAGTGCTCCACACATAGTAGCTGCAATTTTAATCCGGCATGAGGTTTCTTATCAGGTAGTATAGCCTCCCAGGTACTGTGATTGGGAAATTTTGAAGGCACAGTCCTCACATTGATTGTTTAAATCATCACTGAAGTTAATCTTTAATGAGAGGAGGTAGCGGGGAAGGTGACCCTCTGGTGGGGGATTCAGGCATCTAGGTACTTTTCAAATTAATCTAGATGGCTACGATTCTCTCTCTCTGCCTCTTCAGGCTCATCATTGGTCAAGCTCTTCTGCTTTTGCAGAGCAGTACCAGTTGTTAAACCTGGAGCTTCAGGCTAGGAAAAGCTGTGGCAATCTTTGGGCTCAGCCATTTCACCCACAGGTGTCCTGGAAGCGTGGGGGCCACTCAGCCCGTGTGTCTCCAGGATGATGGTGGTGGAGCCACTGCTTTGGTGGAGTCACTGCTTCTCTCCCTCCCCCTGGGACTGTGGTCAACCACTGGGCCCCACCACCTCCCGCCTGGTGATTCAGAAGCACCAACCAACTGTACCCCAAGTGAGAGTGCAGCTCAGCTAAGTCCATCCTGGCTGTCAGTGGGCACGTGATGCTCACGTGCTCCCCCAACACTGCAACTTAAAGAGGCTGATGTTGCAGATTTTGGGGAAATAAAAGGTGTCATTGGGTTGGCAGCATGGAGTGTTGGTTAAGCACTCTGGAGCCAAAGGCCCTGGGTTGAAATGCTGCCTGTCACTTTCTAGCTAGATCACATTGGATATATTACATTACTTCAGCGGTCCCCAGTCTTTCTGGCACCAGGGACTGGTTTTATAGAAGACAATTTTTCCATAGACTGGGGTTGGGGTGGCAGTGGGGGGATGGTTTTGGGATGAAACTGTTTTACCTCAGATCGTCAGGCATTAGATTCTCATAAGGAGCGTGAAACCTAGATCCCTCCCACGCACAGTTCACAATAGGATTTTGCGCGCCTATGAGAATCAAATGCCGCTGCTGATCTGACAGAAGGCGGAGCTCAGGTGGTCACGCTCTCACACTTCCTGCTGTGCGGCCCATTCCTAACAGGCCACATACTGGTACCTGGCCACAGCCTGGGGGGTTGGGGACCCTGTATTACTTAATTCCTTTGAGTCTCTGATATTTAAAAGGTGTAATGGAACCAGTCACTGTGTTAACCTTCCTGAGCAATTCAGGGATAGAAGGCATACGTGCTTGTGTGGTGTGCAGCAAAGTGCTGGCACTCAGCAGATGCTCAATGAATGTTCATTCGCTGGTGGCAAAATAGTGGGGTGGGTGCTGTGTGTCCCTTGCCACCTGGATGGATAACACGCATCTCAACCTCCACGAGTGCAAAATACCTTTTGTATGGATCTTGACCCTGGCAGGGTCCTCTGTCTCCCTGTTTTTGGTCAATGGCATCCCCTCTGCCCAGGCCCCAGTCCCACATGGCTTCTTTGTTCCTCTTCCTCTCTCCCCCATATCCATTTGTTTAGCAGGTCGCACTGGTTCTACCCTGGTGGTCTTGCTCAAGTAGAGCCCCAGGTGGGACTCCCACCGTTGCCACCCTAATCCACAGCTTCTTCACCTCCCACCTCGTTTCACCTAAAACACAGACAGACACAGACACATCCACCCAAACCCCTCACCTGGAGTGTCAAGCCCCCAGCCCTCATCTCATGCCCTCTGGCTTCATTCCCTCCCTCTGCTTGAGCTCCTCTGGCCTTGCTGTTCTAGAGTGTCATGCTTTCCTGGCTCAGGGTGTTCACTCTTTTGGTTTCCTCCATTTGGAATATCTTGTCTCCACATCCTGTCGTGACCAGCTCCATCTGGTTTTGCAGCAGAGAGATGGAGTAATGGAGTAAGATCACACTGACCCCCCTGAGCCGTTTGGAATGGCTTCAGGCCACCTGGCCCTCCCTCTCTTCTCCCACCACTTTAGGGCCTGTGAGAGAAATTGGAGGGAATGCTTAGGCACGTGTGGCTTGGTCCTAATCCTCACGTTTCATTTGCCCCCCAATTCTAAGACCAAGAATTTTGACTTGATCGGAATTGAGTTGGGAGAGTTGGTGTATCACACAGACTTCCAAGTATGATTTTAGTAAAGGGGAAGTTTTCTCTTCGGGGCAGCTACATCTTGGCTTTGGGTTGTTGGTGCTGCTGAGTTCTGAGTTGGAGTGAATTTTTTGTGAGCTAAATATGGTCTTGTGACCAACTCTCCTTTCATCCAAGGCGAGGAGGGTTTATGCCAGTGAGCAGGCCACGGATTCAGTTCTATTTGGAAAGCTAGTTCACGATCCTCACATATGAAGTCACAGTTGGCCTCTGGTTCAGAATAGCTCCTCTGACAACAACCTTCCTTCCTGGATTTCAGAAAGATGTGGAATAGTTCCTGAAGGCTGGATGGCTCCCTTGACACATCTAGCCTCATGCTCAAAATTTCTTTCTTCAGTAGAGCTAAAAATGGAGCTTTTTGCTTGACAGATGTGAGGCCCAGTGAAGTGGATTGACCTGGCCAAGGTCATGTGGTTGATCAGCACTGATGCTGGGTTCTCCATCTCCATTCTTTCAGCTGGGCTCGGCTTCACAGTCACCTGCCTTCCTTGGGCTTTGGTCTATAGCATGTCCATCTACTGTGAGAGCTCAGCTGTCTGAAGGAACAGGGCCCAGCCCATCTGGGACCCCCACGGGCCTCCGTTAGGGCATGGGGAGCTGGAAGCACAACATGGGGTGAGGAAGAAAAGGGAGAGAGAAAGAGGAAGGAAGGAGAGCACCAGAAGGGGAGAGATGGGAGAAAGATGCTAGAAGAGAAGGGCTGTGGGGGTAGAGGCAGGAGTGGGGACACAGACGGAGGTCTGGGGAGATCGGGGCTCGAATGTGCCCTTGAATGGCAAACACTTTGGCAGGAGTCTAGCTGGTGAAGATGGAAGATAGTAACTGCCTGCTCTCTTAGCATTTTGGACTAAGTTCTTCTACTCTCTTATCTTCTTAATTTCACAGCAAACAATGGACTATTGACTAAGCTTTCAGAGCTGTGGGTGTTCTCAGAGGGAGGCCAGCCAGAACACCAGCATCTCCGGCTTTTCTTCCAACTCCCAAGTTGGAGCTCCATCTATCAGAAATATGAAACCCTGGAATCTTCCTCCTCCTCACTTCTCTGCCTTAAGGTGCGGGCAGCTGGGGAAGAGAACATTGTGCCCAGGGAGAGTATATTGTGTGAGTGTGTGCACTTATTCATGAGTGTGTGCATGTGTATGAGTGTGCACAAATGAGCGTATACATGCGTGTATGAGTACATGTGTGCATGCCTGGGAGTGTGTGTGCTGGCAGTGGTGGTGTGGTAGAGGGTGACAAGGTGCATCTATACCTGGCCAGTGATGTCAGCACTTCCCTTGTGCCCACCTTTCCTAGGGAGGGGCTGCACTGAATTGAAACAGTGCCAGCTGGGAAATGAGAAGGCTTATCAACAAGTCTTTCCTTGGAGGGGCAAGAAAGAGCTCGAGGGCCGGGCGTGGTGGCCACGCCTGTCATCCTAGCACTTTGGGAGGCCGAAGCTGGCCAATCGTTTGAGCTCAGGAGTTCGAGACCAGCCTGGGAAACATAGTGAGACCTCGTCTCTAAATAAAAAAAGAAAAAAGAAAAAGCTCCAGGGTCCTTTTCTTCCCTTGATGTTGGTTAGCTAAGAAACTACCCCCCAAAGTTCTCATGCCCCTGTGTCTACTTAGCAAAGACACGGACCTCGCCATTCTGGGGGACTCACCTCAAAGTCTGTATAGGTGTTACATCATGCTAATAGCAGCTGGCATCTTGCTAGGAACCTGCTGAGGAGTGGTGTCCTGAAGCACTTCAGAGAGGGACCTTGAGCCTTGGCTGGACAGCTCAGCTTTTTGCTAAAAATGGAGAAAACCTCAACTTGTTTTGAAATGTTTTGGGACTCATTTATAGAGTGGGCAAATAAGATGGGGAACTCCTGTCAAGTTCTCCTGAGTCAAGCACAGTGCCTGCCACATATAGGTGTTGTACATGTTGATGTCCTCCCTTCCCTTTCCACGGTAATCCTCTGCCTCCTCTAAGACGGTATACAGCAGAAGTCACTCGTGTGATGTGCAGATGATCTGGTGGAGTGTGGGGAGAAAGAAAATATTTCAACTTCTATTTGAACTTATTTTTTTATCTCATTATTTTCCAACTTGTACTGCATATTTTATGGTGTTCATAATATATAAGCACATGCATATACAATCTATAAATAATTATAAATAATATATGTGTATCTGTATATATTTTACACAAAACATTGAGGTTGAGCATGCACACATTTTTTTAATTGCTATAGAATGAAGAGCTGGAGAACTGTGTTCTCTTGTCCAGTTAGGGCAGCTACCTGGAAATCTTGGAGAAAGACATGAGACAGGTAAAGAGCTATGTTAGTCAGGATTCCCCAGAGAAACAGAACAAATAGGATGGATGGATAGATAGATAGATAGATAGATAGATAGATAGATAGATAGACAGACAGATAGATACAAATAGGATGGATGGATGATAGATGGATGGATGGATGGACAGATGGATGGACAGATGGATGGAGAGATGGATGGAGGGACGGATGCATGGATGGATAGATGGATGGATGGATAGATAGATAGATAGATAGATAGATAGATAGATAGATAGATGCAGAGATGGATGGATGGATGGATAGATAAATAGATGGATTTATCCTTGCCCTGCTCGATGGATTGATGGATGGATGGATAAATGGATGGATGGATGGATAGATAGTTGGATGGATGGATGAAGAGATGGATGGATGAATAGACAGATAGATTAGATAGATAGATAGATAGATAGATTATAGATAGATAGACAGATGCAGAGATAAATGGATAGATGGATGGATAAATGGATGGATGGATAGATGGATGAATGGATAAATGGATGAATGGATAAATGGATGGATGGATGGATGGATGGATGGATAAATAGATGACTAGATACATAGATAGATAGATGGATAGATAAATGGGAATTGGCTCATGTGATCATGGAGTCTGAGAGGACCCACCATTTGCCACTTGAAGGCCTGAGAGTGGGGGTGGTAGGATGATGGAGGTATGGGAGCGGGGGTGCTGATGGAAGTCCCTGAGTCTGAATGCTGGGGAATCAAGAGCTTTGATGTTGGGCCCTCAGCAGATTGGATGATGCCTGCCCACACTGGTGAGGGCAGATCTTCTTTACTCAGTTACTGATTCAAATTCTAATCTTGTCTGGAAACATCCTCACAGACACACCTAGAAATAATATTTTACCAGCTATCTGGGTATCCCTTAGACCAATGAAGTTGACACATAAAATTAACCATCACGAGAGCCTTTGTCGTCACTCTTCACACACAGACTTTTCCAAATATGCTAAGAAACTAGCTTGGACCAGGTTGCAACAGAACAGAGGAGAAAAACAAGGTTCATAGAAAATAAGTGACCTTCCTCATGTCTCCAGAAAATTCCAGAAAGGAAGCTGGGTAGGAGAAGCCTGCCAGGAATCTGGGCCTTCTCAGAATGTTTCCTCCTCTTTGCTGTCACTTCCGATGGATTCCTGTGCTCACAGCGTTGTTCTGCGCACCATGGGAGAGATGTGAAGGGAAGAGGGTCACGATCCTTGAAATATGATCTCTGCATACCCATTGCTGTGGAAGTTGTGAGGTGCAAATTGGCTCGATGAATGCTGCAGAGAGTAAGTGAAGGAATGATCAGAGGACCTACCTCCTTATCCTGCAGACTTGTTTTAAATGCTCCTAGAAGCTTAAAAGCTCATCAGATTAAGATGTTTCACCCTAACAGTGATGCCAATTATTGAGAATTAACTATACACTATACTTAATATTAAAAGTTGAGCATACACCATCTCTTTTATTCCTCACGATACTATAATGATGCATGTTTATTTTACACCGGAGGAAACAGGAACATAGAGAGGTGAAATCACTTGCTCCAGGCCACAGTACTAATAAATGACTGGATTCCAGTCCCATTCTGCCTTCAAAGGGCTGAGCAGTTTTCTCCACTGGTGTGGGGACTGTGGATAGTTTCCTTGTAATGAAAATGATTCAGGAGGCCAAATTCAAATAAGGAAAAAGTGCTTCGGGCAAAGTGAGCAGATTTCCTTTGGGTGTCTTCAGAAGGTAAATCTAGAACTGGTAAGTAGAGCTCATTGAAAGGCAGGACCTTCTCACCAGTGGGTGGCCTGACTGTGACGGGTTTAATAAATATTAACTGCGTTATGTTATGTTATGTTATGTTATGTTATGTTATGTTATGTTATGTTATGTTATGTTATGTTATGTTATTGAGATTCAGGGCTCAGCTGCCCTCACCTAAGCCTATCTCTGGAATGCATTTTCTGCCTATCTTCTAACTGCCTGCTTCTGCATCGGTCTTCCCAACCAGATGATGATGGTGTCTTATTCATTTCTGCATCTCCAGATCCTAGTCCACTGCCTGGAACATGGAAGATGCTCCATAATTGTTTGCTGAAGGAACGAGTGATAACCAGAGAAGCCAGCTCCTGCTTCCTGATTAAGGCATGCAGTCAGGCCAGTGGGGAAATGGGCCTCATGGTGGAGCTTGCCTCTGCTGGAAGACTGACGGAGCCAGGTGCCCACACTTACATAAGGCCCTTTAGCTTACGCTCCCTGCCAGTCTCTGACAGGGAACCTGGGCATCACACGTAGTCTGTGAGAGGAGTATCTATACCAAGCTTGTCCAACCACAGCCTGCGGGCCGCATGCAGCCCAGGATGGCTTTGAATGTGGCCCAACACAGATTTGTGAACTTTCTTAAAACATTATGAGATATTTTTGGCAATTTTTAAATTTAGCTCATCAGCTCTCATTAGTGTTAGTGTATTTTATGTGTGGCCCAAGACAATTCTTCTTCTTCCAATGTGGCCCAGGGAAGCCAAAAGATTGGACAGCCCTGATCCACACTCTGGTGAAGACATCTCATTCAAGGACATTTTCAGTCCTCAGTTCCATGAAACTGTGGGGCATCCCGAGCAATGGCCCCAGTGAGAAAGAGAGTAATAAGCCCCGAATTTACCTTGACTCCAAAGCCCAAAGTTCCATCTTGAATGAATTCCTCTCCAAGGAGATGAGGCCATTGGCAGTCATCTCAAATTGCAATAGAAACACTTAGCGCAGTTCCCAAAGATCAAACAGTTTGATGATCAGAGCTCCCTTGTCCTGTTCCCCTGATATTTGCTGCTCTGTGGTGAAATATCTGACAGTCCACGGGTGGCTCTTGCTTCTGCCTGCTTATGGGGTGACAGGGGTATTTGTATCACTGGGAAAACAAGAGAAAAAGGCAAATAGATCACTGTGTCACTTATGTCTAGATCCTGGGGACAGAAACAATTTGGGAATGCTTAGGGGGTGGTGTGCACTTGTTAGCCTTCCCATCCAGGCCACAAAGCAGTCTCTCTCTGCACTTTTCTCCTCGAAGCATGGATTTGGATGGGTAGCATCATATCCCAACCAGGGCAGGCTGGGCGCGGTGGCTCACGTCTGTAATTCTAGCACTTTGGGAGGCCAAGGAGGGTGGATCACTTGAGGTCAGGAATTCGAGACCAGCCTGGCCAACATGGTGAAACCCCATCTCTACTAAAAATGCAAAAATTAGCCAGAAATCACTTGAATCTGGGGGTCAGAGCTTGCAGTGAGGTGAGATCGCACCACTGCACTCCAGCCTGGTTGACAGAGCGAGACTCTGTCTCAAGAATATACCAGGGCAGATTTCTGCTTTCTCCCAAGACGGAGAAACAGAGACCAGGTTCACTGTCTTACCTAAAACTGCCCACACACTGAGCAAGAGATATCAGCAAGACACTGGACTCCAGGCAATGAAAAACAGTGATCCTTGTGAGATGAGAAGCATGTGAGGTGAGCCTGGGCTTGCCCTGGCCTGCTGACTTGAGTTTGCTGACCACAGTGGAGGAGCGGGAAACTCAGGTAGAGCCCAGTACACTTCCTTAGCTGGGGAAATGGAGCTGGATGTCCAGGGAGAACAAGTTCTCAGGGCTAGCACAGGGCAGAGGGCTGGCGAGGAGAGCACTGACCACAGAGAAAAATTTGGTGGTCTGCAGCAGAGTTAGTAGAGTACTAATCAGCACTTGTGTGTGAAGAATCTGCACAAGGCCAGGGAAAGAACCACACGAAAGGATGAAAGGAAGAGTGCCCGGCACTCACACAGGGCTGGGAATAGTGCCTGCTTCCATAAGCCAAACTGGAAAATCTCATCATAGACAGGGCATTGGGTAGAGCACTCAGAAGGCTCTTGTCCTGGACATCATCCAAATTAATAGCTTCTGCTCTTTGAAAGACACTGTTCAGAGGATGAAAAGACAGCCTGCAGATTTGGAGAAAATATTTGCACAGCTTATATTTAATAAAGGACTTGTATCCAGAATATATAAAGAACTCTCAAACTCAATATTAAGAAAACAAACAACCGCATTGAAAAGTGGACACACGATTTTCACAGACACTTCACTAAAGAGATGCTCAACATCATTAGTCATGCAGTTAATGCAAATAAAACCGCAACGAGGCGCCGCTACACTCCCGTTAGGAGGGCGACAATTATAAAGACTCATCATGCCAGGTGTTGGCAAAGATGTAGACAAATGCGAACGCTCATGCCCTGCTGCTGGGAATGGAGAATGGTACAACAACTTTGGCAAATACTTGGGCAGTTTCTTAAACAGTTAAGCATGTGCTTACCATATGATCCAGCTTTTCCACTCCTAGGTATTAACCCAAGAAAAATGAAAGCGTGCATCCGTCTGTGTTACATTCCCAGGGCCGCCATGAAAAAGTGCCACAAGCTGGGTGGCTTAAAACAACAGAAATACATTGTCTCCCTTTTTTGGAAGCCAAAAGTGTGTGATCAAGATGTCAGCAGGGCCATGCTCCCTGTGAAACCTGTAAGGGAGACGCCTGCCTTGCCTTCTCGCAGCTTCTGGTGGTGGCTGGCAATCTTTGGCATTCTTTGTGTTGCAGCTGCATTAGTCCAGCCTCTGCCTTTGCTGTCATATGGTCCCTGCGTGTCCCCTGTCTTCACATAGTTGCCTTCTTATAAGGACATGTCTTATAATCATGTTGCATTAGGAGCCCTTCTACTCTGGTATGACCTCATCTAAACTAATTATATCTGCAAAGAACTTTCCAAATAAGGTCACATTAAGAGGTACTAGGGATTAGGACTTTCAGCATACCCTTTATTGGGGGGCACAATTCAACCCATAACACCATCCAAAGACCTGAGAATGCATATTTATAGCAGCTTTATTTATAATAGCTAAAAGGAGAAAAGAACCCAAATGGTCATCAACAAGTGAATGGATGAACCGACTGTAGTATATGTAGTCACGCACCACATAACCATGTTTCAGTCAACAATGGATCCCATGTACAATGGTGGTCCCATGAGCTTGTAATGGAGCCGAAAGATTCTGATTGTCTAGCCACCTAGCTGTTGTGACATCGTAGTGCAACATGTTACTCCCAAGTTTGTGGTAATGCTGGCGTAAACAAACCTACTATGCTGCCAGTCACGTAAAAGTATATCACATGCTGAATTAACCACATTTGCAGCAACCCGGATGAGATTGGAGACTATTATTCTAAGTGAAGTAACTCAGGAGTGGAAAACCAAACATCTTATATTCTCGCTGATATATGAGAGCTAAGCTATGAGGATGCAAAGGCATAAGAATGATACAGTGGACTTTGGGGACTTGTGGGGAAGGGTGGGAGGGGGGTGAGAAAAGACTACAAATATGGTGCAGGGTATACTGCTTGGGTGATGAGTGTGCCAAAATCTCACAACTCACCACTGAAGAACTTAGGTAACCAAATACCACCTGTTCCCCAATAACTTATGGAAAAAGAAAAAAAAGAAAAAACAGTATATCACATGCCGTTATATAGAGTAATTATATATATTATTACTATATATTACATAGTGTTTGATAATGATAATCAATAACTGTGTTACTGGTTTATGTATTTACTATGCTTTGATGGTTATTTTAGAATGTAGTCCTTCTACTTATTTTTTTAAAAAAAGTTAACTGTAAAACAACCCCAGGTAGGGCCTTCAGGACGTATTCCAGAAGGCGTTGTTATCACAGGAGATGACAGCTCCATGTATCTTACTGCCCCTGAAGACCTTCCAATGGGACAAGATGTGGAGGTGAAGACAGATATTAATGATCCTGACCATGTATAGGCCTAGGCTAATGTGTACATGTCTTATTTTTTAACAAAAATGTTTTAAAAAGTAAAAAATAGTTTTTCAAATAGGAATATTCAGAGAGAAAATATGTTTGTACGGCTGTACAATATGTTTGTGTTTTAAGCTAAGTCTTACTACAAAAGAGTCAAAAAGTGCAAATTTTTTTTTTTTTTTTTTGAGAGGAAGTCTCACTGTGTCGCCCAGGCTGGAGTGCACTGGTGCAAACGCGTCTCACTTCCACCTGTGCCTCCGGGGTCCAAGCAATTCACCTGTCTCAGCCTCCTGAGTAGCTGGGACTATAGGTGCATGCCACCAAGGCTGGCTAATTTTTTTAGTTTTAGTAGAAATGAGGTTTCACCATATTGGTCAGGCTGGTCTCGAACTCCTGACCTCAGGTGATCCACCCGCCTCAGCCTCCCAAAGTGCTGGGATTACATGTGTGAGCCACTGGGCCCAGCCAAAAAAAATTCTATAAAGTAAAAACGTTACAGTAAACTAAGCTACAGTTAATTTATTTCTGAAGAAAGAAACAGGCCAGGTATGGTGGCTCATGCCTGTAATCCCAGCATTTTGGGAGGCTGAGGTGGGAGAATCGCTTGAGCCCAGGAGTTTGAGACAAACCTGGGAAACATAGTGAGACCCCATCTCTACAAAAAATTAAAAAGATAGCTGGGTTTGGTGGTACATTCTGGTAGTCCCAGCAATTGGGGAGGCTGAGGTAGGAGGATTGCTTGAGCCAACTAGTTTGAGGCTGCAGTGAGCTGTGATCCTATGATTGTGCCATTGCACTCTAGCCTGGGTGACAGAGCAAGACCCCATCTCTTGAAAAAAAAAAAAAAGAAACATTACAAAAAATTTAGTTCAGCCTAATTGTACAGTGTTTATAAGTCTCCAGTAGTGTGTAGTAATGTCCTAGGCCTTCACATTCACTCACTACTCACTCACTGATGCACCTAGAAAAACTTCCAGTCCTGCAAGCTCCATTCATGGTAAGTACCCTATCTAGGTGCACCATTGAAAGTCTTTTATGCCATATTTTTACCATACCTTTTCTATGTTTGATATATTTTGATACACACATACCATTGTGCTACAATTGCCTATAGTATTCAGTACAGTAACATGCTGTACAGTTTGTAGCCTAGGAGCCACAGGCCATACCATATAGCCTACATGTACAGTGGACTCTACCATCTAGATTTGTGTAAGTACACTCTATGAAGTTCGCATGAGAAAATAATCTAATGATGCATTTCTTAGAATGTATCCATTGTGAAGTGATGCATGACTGTACTGTATATACATTAGAATACTACTCAACAATCAAAGGAATAAGCTATTGATATATACAAAAACATGGATGGATTTTAACATAATTATGCTGAGTGAAAGAAGCCAATCAAAAAGAGTAGGTACTGGCTGGGCACAGTGGCTCACACCTGTAATCCCAGCACTTTGGGAGGCTGAGGTGGGTGGATCACCTGAGGTCAGGAGTTCGAGACCAGCCTGAGCAATATGGTGAAACCCCATCTCTACTAAAAATACAAAAATTAGCTGGGCTTGGTGGTGTGCACCTATAGTCCCAGCTACTTGGGAGGCTGAGGCACGAGAATCACTTGATCTCAGGGGGTGGAGGTTGTGATGAGCCGAGATAGCGCCACTGCACTCCAGCCTGGGTGACAGAATGAGACTCTGTCTCAAAAAGAAAGAGTACATAGTATATGACTCCATTTATATGAAATTCTAGAGAATGCAAACTAAACTGTAGTGACTGAAAGCAGTGGTTACCTGGGGACAGTGGGTGAAGGTGGGAAGGAAGTACATATTCGTATCTTGATTGTGTTGATGGTTTCATGGATATATACTGTATTAGTTTGCTACTGCTTCTACAACAAATTACTACAAATTTAGTGGTTTAAATCTGGAGGCCAGAAGTACAAAACGAATATGGGAGCTAAAATCAAGGTGTTAGCAGGGCTGCTTCCTAATGGAGCTAGGTTCTAGGGGAAAATCTGTTTTCTTGCCTCTTCCAGTTTCCAGAGGTTGCCCACATTCCTTAGCTCGTGTCTACATCACATCGGTCTCTGCTTCATGGTCACCTAATTGTCTCCTCACTTTGACTTTCCTGTCTCTGTCTTATGAGGATGGGCCCTAGTGAGTAGATCAGGCTCAGTCGAGTAATCCAGGATACTTTCCCCATCTCAGGATCCTTAACGTCTTCACATCGGCAAAGTCCCTTTTTTAGTCCCTTTTATCATGTAAGGTAACACAGTTACAGGTTCCAGGAATTAGGACAGGGGTATCTTTGGTGGGGCCATTATTCACATATACATTTGTCAAAACTTTTTAACTGTACACTTTAATATGTGTGGTTTATCATATGTCAACTATACTTCAATAAATCTGTCAACAATATCAACTGAGTCTAATAAATTACTTTGATGTTTTAAAAATGCATCAGGGCTCTGCCTGCCACAATTCATGAGCTGGCCAGAGGTCTTTGGATTCCTCCCAGTCATTGCTGAGATGAGTGAGGATTGTTTCAGAAAATCAGGCCTCCTCCTGGGGAATGTGCCTCAGCTTCTGGTAAGTGACTTTTCTTTCTTCTTTTTTTTTTTTAATATGGAATCTCGCTCTGTCAGCCAGCCTGGAATGCAGTAGTGTGATCCTGGCTCACTGCAACCTCTGCCTCCCGAGTTCAAGCAATTCTCGTGCCTCAGCCTCCTGAGTAGCTGGGACTACAGGCATGTGCTACCATGCCTGGCTAACTTTTTGTATTTTTAGCAGAGACAAGGTTTCACCATGTTGCCCAGGCTGGTCTCGAACTCCTGGGCTCAAGAGATCCTCCTGCCACTGCGTCCCAAAATACTGGGATTACAGGCGTGAGCCACTGCGCCCGGCCAAGTGACTTTTCAATTCTGGCTTAGCTGGCATCACCAAGGCAGCTTAGAGGGATGCAGAGGTGGGAATGCTCTGGAGTGTAGCGTGCCTTCTGGATCTCTGTGCCAAGGAGTCAAGGAAAAGTGAAGCCAATATCTCCTCGAGAGGCAGAACCGTCAGAGAAGGGCCACAGCGTTCTGTGCCTGGCAAACTGGGCTGTGAAGATTTTGCTCCGATTGACTTCTTTTGCTGTACAGCTGATGGATTCAGTTTATGTTATGTTATTTTATTTTAGTGAGAGCTCTTAACATGAAATCTACCCTCTTAAAAATTTTAAGTGTACAATACATTATTAACCACAGGTACAGTGTTGTACAGGGATCTCTAGAGCTTCCAAGTCCTGCTTAGCTGGAACGTTTTGCCCATTGATCAGCAGCTGGCCATTTCCAGTTTACTTTTTCAGTTTAAATTCCTGTTTCCCTGTGGCCACCACCTACGAGACCCTGTATTCAAAGAGGCTAAAGGAATTTTTTTATAATCGTGACAATTGTATAATAAGGAAGAAAAGAACAAGGACTCAATATCTCAGCTTTTTGTCTCTAAACCCTGTGATCATCCTCCCGCTCCACCCAGCCGTATCCACGGAGACTTAGGAGCTGATGAGGTGAGGAAGAGACTTTTGGGTCCTTCTGTGGCACTGACACTTGGAAGTTCTCTCTTTCTCACCTGACACCTGTGGGGGCTGCCATCAACCTGGGCCTCAGAGACACCTCTGCTTCTCATCCCTCCATACAGGCAACTTTATTCCTGAGCAAGATACGCTGATTCTTCTACCAGAATGCTTAAGTCTGCGGGAAGTGGAGACTTAAAATTTTCTTCTCTCCTTCCCTCCCTCCCTCTCTCCCTCCCTCCCTCTCTCCCTTTCTTTTTTCCTACTTTTCTTTTTTGTCTTGCTGTTGTATCATTTTTAGTTGCCGTGGCATGTTGTGAACTACACTTGTCCAGACATCTAACCACCTACAAGGCAATGAAGAGACCCTTTACTCCCACGTCAGTAGCTACCGCAGCTGCGAAGCGAATCCTGAAAATGACCCTAGGATCGTGCCCTGCCAGTGAACTGTGCCTTCTGCCATGGACTCCTCCATGGGAGTGAGCTCGTGTTGCACTAGCTCTGCCCCTCTGTGCACAAGGTCCTCTGCCCACGGAAGGATTAAATTGTCTTACATCACCCTCTACTGAATAGCTTTCAGGCAATGAGGGGGTCCTGTTTGGTTCTTGCACCAGAGTTTGTTCAGCGTGCGTGTACATTTTCTTTTCAGGCTGCATCAGTGATTTGGACACCCCTTAAGGACAAAGAGCGTGGTTGGGAGAAGAGCGCTTTCCACCCCTCTCCTTCAGGACCATCCTGGATGCAGCTGCAACTCTGCTCTTGGCTGTCCTATGGCTGGCAATAGCTTTCTTGCTCTCTGGCAGGCAAAAAGCAGGGTGTGTGTGTGTGTGTGTGCATGCGTGCACGTGCTCATGTGTGCATGCACTGGAAAGCTAAGGCTGAGGCATCGAATGACAAGATCCCTGAAGTAAAAGGCTCCACAGCTGCTTACCCAACCCCTAATTTGCTGGGGCTGGGCTCCTTCTAATGGGCTGCCAGACCCTGGTAGGCACAAGGAGACTGGCTGTATATGTCTCGTGTCCCCTGGGCGACTGTCCCAGTGAGCAAGGACACCACCAACCTTCTTCCCCCCTACACCCTCCATAGGACAGTGAGATCCTGCATTGGATTATGCATGAGGTGTATACACTCTGCTTGTACGTATGTATGGAAGAAAGGATTTTGGCTTGAAACATTTTTTTTATTGGCAGAGACAGCACTTCTCTTAAAGGAAATGGCGGAATTTGCCAAACTAAGCCTCCAGAAGAAAATATAACGGAGAGTGTAAAAGAAATCCATGTTCAAACATTGGCAAGTGTGAAACATTCAAGATTTTTGTGTGAACATCACATTGTGGGAGCAAAATTAAATTAAGCTGGTCTCTGGCAAGCATTGGAATGAAAGCAGAACTGGAGCAAGCGGATGGTGCTTGGGCATTTTTTGCAAGAAGCCAAACAGAGCATAATCAGATGACAACCAGGGATCCCAAGGGCTGGGTTCTTTTCTTCATCTCATTAACACACAAGAACTTAACTGCTTTGGGTCCGGAGGGTCCCAAGGAAGTGCCAAAAGAACCTGAACTTTCTTCACCTCCACAACTCAATGACAGGCAGAGAAGGAATGAATTTCATTCAAAAAATATTTATTGAGCATCCTCAGAATATTTATTGTGCAAACTACTGTTCCAGGCACCAAAGGAGGGGATGGTCCCAGCTCCTTTATGGAGTCTGCAGTCCACAGACTTGAACTCAACTAACTAGAAGGAAAGGCAGCTCAGAGCAAGTGCCCTGCTGGAGATTGAAGCAAAGTGCCAGAGAACGTGGGGGTAAATTCTGATAGAGCTCTCTGTAAGTGGGGAAGGAGAGGGTGGGGCAATATGCCTCTCTTAGAAGAGAAGCAGGCATTTGAATGGAGATATTGAAGTAAGTGGAATTTGGGGAGGGGTGGGAGGAGAGGGATGGAACTGAATGCCAGAAGGAGTCAAACAGCAAACCAGAGACCTCACACACGCCCTGCTCCCTTCCAGGGTTCTCTTCGGTGGCCTAGTGGGGAAAGAGTACGGTCTTGCTGGTGTGCCTGAGGGGCCTGAACACCACTGGGAGGGCTGCAGCCCGGGCTTCTGTAGGGGAAGCCCTGTTCCTGCCCACTGACGACTCAGCCCATGCTCTGCTGTCTTCTGTGGCTTGGCATTCACACTGGCCTTGTGGATATGGTAGAATGGCACGTCCCAGAGTTGGGCAGTGCTGATCCGTACTCTGTTGGGTACCTGTCAACCTATGGTTGTCCTATTACACAGTGGCAGTGCTTGGAGCAGGCAGGGGCCAGTCCTTCCATCCCTCTTCCTTCTATAAAGACATAAGAGTTATCGTCACAGTGACACATAGTCAAATTTGAGAAGCAAGACTAGACTCCATTTCTCCCTTTGGTGGTTGACAGGAGGTGGTTTTTGCTCAGAGATTTTTAGCTGCATCCTCTGGCCCAGGGCTGTCTCCTCCCTACCATTTCTATAGTCCACAGAGAGTACTCTCCCTTGGAGCCTCAGGCTGCAGCTGTTCAGCACTCAGATGGGGACTTGAGCATTCCAATGGGGATTGCTGTTGCTGGGTAGTGATGTTAAGGACCAGCTGAGGATGATTTGCCCAGAGCAGTTGCTGCTGCCCACAATGGCTCCCCACTGGGTACCAGCTGTTCTCATTACTGGTGGCACACCTGAGTACCCCTGGGCACCTGCCAGTGCTTCCACATTCTGGCCAGGTGCTCCAGGACTGTGCACAGCATTCTCATTGCCAGTGTTGTGATTGCTGTTTGCCCAAAGTCATGAGCTCCGTAAACGTTGCCTGAGAAGGCTGAAGTTCTTCTGGGCATTTGCCTGATTAGTTCGTGGTGGGAGTATCTTACCTGGCAACCTAAAGCTTCCAGAGCAGTTTTTCTTAGAATGTAAAATTGCTTAATGAATGCTAGGATTTTAGTTGAGAAATATTTTGAATCCACTGGATCTCTCTGGGATGAATTGACATCTCTTTAACATTGACGAGGTTATTGATTAGCTTTCTCACTTTTTTTTTTTTTTCCCCCGAGATGGAATCTTGCTCTATTGCCCAGGCTGGAGTGCAGTGGTGTGATCTTGGCTCACTGCAGCCTTTTCCTCCTGGGTTCAAGTGATTCTCCTGCCTCAGCCTCCCAAGTAGCTGGGATTTCAAGCATGCACCACCACGCCTGGCTAATTTGTATTCTTAGTAGAGACGGGGTTTGACCATGTTGGCCAGGCTGGTCTGGAACTCTTGACCTCGTGATCCACCTGCCTTGGCCTCCCAAAGTGCTGGGATTATAGGTGTGAGCTATCGCACCTGGCCTGATTAGCTTTCTCTTTACATTCTTCTGTTAAATATATTTTTTCTACATGTCCTACACAGTTCCCCTTAAGTAAAACCTAGGTATTTTGTGTATTGTTGTTACTGTGAATTATATAATTTTTTTCAGTGTTTTCCAATTCTGTGTGTATGTATATATGTATAATAATACACAAAAATATAAAAGCTATTGTAGTTTTAGTTTTTTAAGTTTCTGTTTATGTATGTGTGTTTATACCTGTTTTTTTGTTTTGTTTTGTTTTGAGATGGAGTCTCGCTCTGTTGCCAGGCTAGAGTGCAGTGGTGCACTCTCGGCTCACTGCAACCTCATGCAATTCTTCTGCCTCAGCCTCCCGAGTAGCTGGGACTACAGGTGCCTGCCACCACACCCAGCTAATTTTTGTATTTTTAGTAGAGATGGGGTTTCACCATGTTGGCCAGGATGGTCTCGATCTCTTGACCCCATGATCTGCCTGTCTCAGGCTCCCAAAGTGCTGGGGTTACAGGTGTGCACCACTGCGCCTGGCTGTCTGTTTTGTTTTTACACAGGCAATTATATATTGGGATGAAATGTTATCTCTTTCCACTTACATGCATCTGTTTTGTTTGTTTGATATTGTATTGGCTAGAATACACAGACATATATGAATACATATAATATGAATACTAAATCTGGCCATTAGAACTGGTGTCTTTATTTGCTCCTTACTTATTTGTCTGTTGATAATGATAGGGACACCCATAACACTTTACTGTTAATTAAAATTTTCATCGTTGATCTAAGAAATAGTATTTGGAATGTTAATCTCCAACCTAACAAAAAGAATGCAAAATTAGAAACTGCAGCTCAATTTCACTTATAATAGGATATTAAAAATCTATGCTAAATAATAACTCTAGTGTAACAATGCAGCAAAATAATAAATGACCAAATATGCCTTATTTGTGAATGTACAGATAATTAAATATTAATAAATCAATTTATATAACACATCACCTCAAGGGCATAGGAAAAAAATGATAAGTATTTCAATATAAAACATTTAAGAACCATTCCTAAATTTAATAAAAAAGCAAGTATTTAGCAAACTACATAACAACATTATTCCACCAAAAAATGGATTTTCAAGAAAAATAAGAATTGGAAACTAATCCTATGAACTTCATTGAAAGACAGTTCTTTTATATTTAAATAATGGTGGAGACAGCAACATTACAGTTTCCCCTTTCTTTTTATTGATTAGTTTTAGCATTATTAAATAGCAACTAATTAAACTGAATAATTAAGAAATCAGACGTGAGATAAGAACTCAAATGTTATTCATATTTTAAAAAACTGAACATCTTTGTTGAACAAGTCTGGTATTTCTGACAAAATGGGATTTTATATCCTTTGAGAGACTTAAGGTCTCTCAAGTTGCTAAGTTTTCAACCAGGCCACTGGTTCCTTGATGAAAACCATAAAACCATTGGCAGATTTCTAAGGGAAGACCTTATCTTCAGGTTTCTGAAATAGAGTTAACATTCTCTAGTCTCTGAAAGACAGAGTTAGTATTTGTAATATTGGCTTTTTTATTTAATGAGAAAAAGAAGGGAAACAAACATTAGATAGGTTAGCTTTCTATTTCACCTACCATTTTTCTCAGAGGGAGCTGCCAGTCATGGTATTCGATATTGTTACCAAGAAAATCTTTGTGTGTGTCAAGCAGCATCCCTGTTTTCAGTGAGAGGTGACCAGATAAACTGGAAAGTATTTTATCTGTCTTTGTGACACAGATTATGTGGTTGTCGTTTTTCACCAACTTTCTTACTAGATCTTGAAAATGGTCTTGGTCCAGGCATGATAGCTCATGCCTGTAATCCCAGCAGTTGGGAGGCCAAGGAGGGTGGATCGCTTGAACCCAGGAGTTTGAGAACAGCCTGGGCAACCTGGTGGAACCCCGTCTCTACAAAAAATATAAAAATTAGCTGGGAGTGGTGGTATGCCCCTGTGGTCCCAGCTACTTGGGAGGCTGAGAAGGGAGGATCTTTTGAGGCCAGGGGGCGGAGGTTGCAGAGAGCTGTGATCACGCCACTGCATTCCAGCCTGGGTGACAGAGCAAGACCTTGTCTCAAAAAAAGAAAGAACATGGTCATGCTGGAGCCAGCATTGGAAGAGATAAACCGCAAACCTGTCGGCTTCCCACATCAGTCTAATTGAGTTGTCTGACAGGAGCTGCCTGGAGGCAACTGAGAGGTAAAGACTATGTCTTCCTGTGCCAAAAACAATGGGGTGTTTAAAATATCCCCCAGGGCATTTTCTGCTCTGTTTTATTTGCCTGGTTAAGAATTCTGCTCCAAGAGAAACAGATTTGACGAAGATCCATGAAGTGAAATTCAACCCTATGTTTCATTTCCTACTTTAACACAAGAAGCTTGGCTTTTGCTTAGTGGGAAAAATTATTCTACATTCAGATGATACTGAGAGATTTCATATGTGTATCTATTTGCCTTCCCCCACCGTGGTGAAGCCAGTGGTTCCAAACACTTGAATCATCAATGGAAGGCCTTGTTAAAACACAGATTGCTGCTCCTCCCCCTGGGTTTCTAGGGTGGGGCCTGAGAATGTATATTTCTAGCAAGTTTCCAGGCAATGCTGGCACACCTAGGCCAAGGGATCCTACCTTGACAACCACTGCTCTAAGCAAACTTGCGAGTTCAGTGAAAATGCTTATAAAAGTTCTTAAATATCTTAGTTGTCTCATAACACAGTTTCTCAGGCATGTGAAAACTGGATCTGAAATGTACAGTTGGAAGCCCAGAATAACATAGGCTGATGGGGCAATCATAGGCAAGTTCCAAATTAAACAGGCTGATCAGTTTCACAGAACACACACCTGAACGACTCCAGTGAATACAGGGTTGGAGGCACCTCAGCTGTGAGGTAGGCTGTGTCATGACTGAAAGCTTGTGTGACATAGGAGTGTGTCTTGCCTTCCAAATGTGGGCTTCACTGCAGCACCTCTGGGGGAGGACATTGTCATGGCTCTAGGAGCTTATGGAAGGGCAACAGCACTGCCGTCCTCAGGCTGAATCACCCATGGCATTAGCTTTGTAGCATGCCTGAGAAGGACCTGGAAGTTATTTCTCAAGCAACTGAAACACACAAACACACATGCTTTTAAAATGCCCATTTTCTTGGAGCTGCCTCTTGTGCCACTTCTTATGGGACTGGAGGAAATGGCTTTGTCTCTACTACTCAGGGTCATGGTATAAAGAAGCTCATTTTCTTTGCCAGCGCTAAGCCTGGCTGAAGAGGCGAAGACCCTTCTCTCCAGCCTGTGCTCAGGAACAGACGGTAGCCTCCGTTACGCAAAGACGGAACTTCAGCAGATTTGTTATGGAACCCAGCACCAGGCTAGAACTTCTGCTGGTCAGTCTTCAGTGCAGGGGTCATACCACAGGGAACAGCACTCAACTTCCTCCTTCAAACTGTGTCCTGAACGACAGGACCTTCAAGCCTCAGGATATACATGGGAGGAAATAAAACTTCTTGATTCCTCCTGTGGCTGGGGGAACCATAGAGAGATCAGTCCCTTGCAACTGTCCCTGGGGACACTTACTGAGCTCCTGGACTGCCAAGTGCTGCTGGCTCCCCATCTGAATACTGGAACCAAATTCAAGCTGGTTTGTCTTTTACTGAGAAGCCTTTGAATTCTTTGAATATGTTCTGACTGGTGTCTAGCCAGTGGGAGATGTGATTACAGAAATTGATGGGCCTGTGGCACAGACTGCTTTCTGAAAACACAGGGTTGTGTATTTTGAAAGTGATTCCATAAATGCTTATTTCACCTGACTCCAGTTTTCTGTATGTGAAAGCAGTGGCTAATGTGTCAAATGAGGACAACCAAGCCATCAAGGTCTTTCCTCTGGAAGGTCACAGAAGAATTTAGGACTAAGAAAATGCAAGCATGTGAGACAATAGGGTTATTATTGTAAGATAGTCTCCTTTACATTTTCTTAAAAATTTTTTTGGTCAGGAATAGAGGGAGGGAGATAAAAGTAAGGTAAGAATTTACACTAAATTCAGAATCTGTGGTTACATCTACCTCTATCCTTCTTTCCTTGAACATCCAATTTTATCTAGCAGGTTAAAGCTAGGCATTTTAGACTTGAATATCATTCTTATAATTCTGAGAAAGAGCAACTTTAAAAAATTTATAAAAGAACAGCAAGTATGGATGTATAGAGCTATACCTTGTACTCTGTTAAAATACCAATCTTTGGTCAAGACTTTTTGGTGTATTGTTTCTTCCATTTTATTATTTAGCAATTGCTATTTTATTCTTGACTTAACGGTTTTATTGTTTATGTTTCTATTATTGTAAAATTCCTTTCATTTACTCAGTAATAAACAAATCCAAGGCAATGTAAATGATGTTTTCAACTATCTCCTTTTATCTATAATCTGCCTTCAATAGTGATGATGTGGTGTATTCCAGCTCTGTGGGTATTAAGATGGTTTTGTGTTCATTATTTTTGCTTGTGATGAGCAATATGATGGAAACCTAGAGAGAAAATTGACCCCCAAATAAAAACCTCTTTCAATATGGTAGTTTGGTGCTTATCTATGAGGTTAATTTTATTTCCATATCACAACTATTTTCAAGAAGGCCACTGGGAAGGATTTAATTATTTCGATGTAACTTATGAATCCCATGGGTGTGCGATGTCCGTGATGATGATGGAGTGCTGCATCATTTCCATAGTCTGGAGTGAATTAGGATGTGCTAATCAACCTTCCAGGTCATTCAAGAATGAGGTTGGAAGAGATCATTCTCCTGTTTGCAAATGAGAAACAAGTATAGGTGTGAAGAGACCTGTCCACAGCCATTCAACAAATGAAAAGTCCAATCGAAGATGGGACCTGATTTCTTACACCCCAGGTATCTGCTCATCATCTTGGGTAAGACCACAGGGACCACCAAGACACCCAGAAGAGACACTTGATTGTTTCCTGGATGTTCCAGTTTTGGGGCCCATAGATATATGCCATTTACTTTACATGCTTTCTAAGACTGGTTGGTGACATCATTCTTGCTTGATCTGCATGGGAGCCACTTGCAGGTGGGCAAGTTGGGCCAGAGATGTGGTGGTGATTATGTCAGAACAGGCAATCTCTGCTTTGCAATGGTGTCAGTCAGGCTTGCGTAGCTCATGGGACCAGCTCGCAATCATGCTTCTCCACCCAGTGATGACTACTTCTCAGTGGAACAGGTAAAGATGGCACCCCAGAGAGACAATTGTGTCATCTTCTAGAACTAGGTTATACTATTTTTTAAATATAAGAAAATCTTCGTAAATACGCAATCTCATTTTCATGGATTTAAAAACAAAAATGTACACCTTAGTGGTGAGGAATAGTCTAGCTGGCTGAACTAAAAATCAGAAGCTGGTGAGGCCTCTTCCACTATGAAGATGAAACCTCCAGACTCCTAAATAGGAGTCCTTTGCCATGACGATGGCCTAGATCGGTTGTCTCATCTCTTCTTTGGCTGTGTCCATTTCCCATTGTCAACAACGTCCACCCCAGCAGCCCATCTCACCAAGAAATTAGCATATTGCAATGAGAAGAATGTGGGGTCACAAACTACATAGATATAGGAAATTGGTGGGTCTGCAGGCAGAGGTCATGAACTTGTGACCTGTGGGCCACATGGCAGTATTTTAAAGGCAGTCACCAGGTACGCAACGTGTTTGCTCACAATGCAAGCACTTTTCACCTGCTTCCCTCCTCTGGCCCCTATTTCAGTCCTCTGTGTTCTCTGACTAGTTCCTACAGAATATTTGGGATCCCTGGTAGATTCATGGTGTCCAAAGCCAGCCTTCTTTAGAAGTTACTTTTCTTAGTTTCATCTCATTTCTGCTACTGTTGAGTCACAGCTCTATGTTTTTTATTTTTGTTGGAAAAGTCCCCTTTGTTTCCACGTATAGCAGTTGAATCCAGGCCATTCTAGCTTCTCAACTCCAAGACAATGGGCTGCACTGCTGTTTTTAGACTGTGGCCCAGTGGTATTCTAGAACTTTACCTCTTTACGGCATGGTTCCCCCTAGCTTCCATATTCATTCCTTGCTCCTCACCACCCCTTCCACTCCAGGCCTGGGTCATTTGTCTTTTGTCCCCCATGTCCAACTTGTTCCTAAATAATCTGTGACCCATTCAAATTAAAATTGGTAAAGCCTTCTCACTGCCATAAGCTTTATGTAAGATGAGTCTTGCCTATAACTACAAAGGATGTCTATTCCATATATACAACTGAAAGGTTCATATTCAACAGATATTACCTACTATAGAAGAGGCATCTAATAGGTGCTATCTCATATCTTCCTCCTTATGGCAATGGTGTGAGGTAGGGATCTTTATTGCCCAATGAAGGAAATAGATTCAGAGTGTTTTGGAAAGTTTGTGAGTTCACACAGCTGGTGAGTGGATGAGCAGTGGCCGGATTCACAAAGAGTCCCCTGATCCTAAGGCCAAAGCACTTTCTTAGCACAAGATCAAGGATCTGAGTGAAGGGGACACAGGCAACACCTCTTCCCCAGCTCCAACCTGAGGCAACTCTGTAGGGGTACCTGTGCCTAGGCAGGCCCTGTGAAGATAGGGATAAGGTGGGCAGCAGTTCCATTTAGTCCAGGCTGTAAATGGCAAGAGGCATCACTTTAGCCACTGTTCAGAAGCTAATCTAGGTAGAAACAGCAGGAGGCATCCTCACAAATATTCAATCTGCTCCCAAATCAATCTGCCCCTGAGAGCCTTGTCTCATCTGGAGGTGGGAGGAGAGAGATTCATGTGGTAGGAAGATGGCATGGGGAGCTAAAACTGCTGAGGCTTTCCTGAGGCTCTCTTGGGGTTCATGAGTTTGGGCCTTGGGCACTGGGGAGGAAGGGACAGTTAGGGAGTTTATTCCTCAGGGAGGATCTAGTCACATTTTGGCTGCATTGTCCTCCTTCTCAGGAGGCTGCACACAGAAAGGCAAAAGAAGGAAGAGGTTAGGTGTGAGGTGGTGGTGATGCTGAAATTGATTTCAGACGCTACAGGATGTAACCACACTTTTCTAGTTATAATTGCATGGGACAATTTTGGTAGTTTTCTGTGCTTATCAATGGCTAGGACTTCAGATTATTTTGAATTCCTTCAGAATCTTATAGAGTTCCAGACACTCACATATTCTTAATAAGTGTATATGGAATAAACAATTAAGAAATGAATAACGAGATGTCCCATTTCTAATTTTTAAATTTCTTTACTTTGTGCTCCTATCCAACAAATGTGTATTCAGCTTCTGCTGCAATTCATAGCTATGATCAAGACACACAAGAACCTTGCTCCCATGGAGCTTACATTGTAGGGGTGCAGAGAAAGATGTTAAATCTACAAACAACTAGATGAGAGAGTGAGACATGCCATCAAGAAAATAAATCAGGCAGTGGAATAGAGTGAAGGAGGTGGAGAGGCTGTTGTTTAGCTTGGGTGGTCAGGAAGGGTGTGAAGGGGCATGGAGGAACTAAGGTTTGGTTGGAAAGAAGGAACCAGCCTTGCATGGATTGGGAGAAACCTCAAATAACGAGGCAGACTGTTCCAGGAATCTATGTGGACTGAATGTACTGACATCACCTCTATTCATTTGCTAGGGCTGCAGTAACAAAGTACAGTCGACCCCCCTTATCCATGGCTTTGCTTTCTTCAGTTTCAGCTACCCATGGTCAACTGTGGTCTGAAAATATTAATAGGGAAATTCCAGAAATAAACAATAAGTTTTAAATCATGTGCTACTCTCAGTAGCATGATGAAATAAATATCTTGCTGTCTCACCCCATCCAGCCTGGGACCGAATCCTCCCTTTGTCTTGTGAATCCAAGCTGTAGGCACTACCTGCCTGTGAGACGCTTAGAGGCTGGCTCTGTTATCAGATAGCCTGGCAGTATCACAGTGCTTGTGTTCAAGTCACCCTTATTTTACTTAATAATGGCCCTGATCTGCCAAAGGGAAGCCGTAAGGTGATTCCTTTAAGTGAAAAGGTGAAAGTTCTTGACTTAATAAGGAAAGAAACAAATAGTATGCTGAGGTTGCTAAGATCTATGGTAAGAACCAATCTTCTATTTGTGAAACGATAAAGATGGAAAAAGAAATTCAAGCTAGTTTTCGTGTCTCCCCTTGAACTGCAAAAATTACAGCCACAGTGCACGATAACTTTTATTACAGTATATTGTTCTATTTTATTGATATTGTTGTTAATCTCTTACTGCATGTAATTAATAAACTAAACTTTATAGATATGTATGTACAGGAAAAACATAGTATCTATAGGGTGTGGTACTAGCTGCAGTTTTAGGTATCCACTGGAGTTCTTGGAATGTATCCCTCTGGAAATTGATTGTTCCACAGTTCTGGAGGCTGGAAGTCCAGGATGAAGGTGTCGGCAGGGTTCCTTCCTTCCTTTCTTCTTTCCTTCCTTCCTTCCTTACTTCTTCCCTCCCTCGCTCCCTTACTTCTTCCCTCCCTCCCTCCCTTCTTTCTCCCTTTTTCTTTCTTTCTTTTTCTTTCTTTCTTTCTTTCTTTCTCTTTCTTTCTTTCTTTCCTTTCTTTCTTCCTTTCTTTCTTTCTCTCTTTCTTTTCTTTCTTTCTCTCTCTTTTTCTTTCTCTCTTTCTCCTTTCTTTCTTTCTTTCTTTCTTTCTTTCTTTCTTTCTTTCTTTCTTTCTTTCTTTCTGTCTTCTTCTTCTTTCTCTTTCTTGACGGAGTCTCACTTCATCAAGTCACTCTGTCACTCAGTTGCCCAGGCTGGAGGGCAGTGGCATGATTTTGGCTCCCTGCAACCTCTTTCTCCTGGGTTCAACTGATTCTCCTGCCTCAGCCTCCCAAGTAGCTGGGATTACAGGTATGCACCACCACACCTGACTAATTTTTGTATTTTTAGTAGAGACGGGGTTCCACCATGTGGGCCAGGCTGCTCTTGAACTCCTGACCTCAAGTGCTTCACCCACCTCAGCCTCCCAAAGTGCTAGGATTACAGGCATGAGCCACCACACCCTGCCAGGGTTGGTTTCTTCTAAGGGCTGTGAGGAAGAATCGGTTCCATGCCTCTTTCCCAGCTCCTGGGGATTTGCTGCAATTTTTGGCATTTCTTGGCTTGTAGATCTCTGCCCTCATCTTCACAGGATGTTCTCCCTGTGTTTCCAAATTTCCCTTTTTTATAAGGACACTGGTCATATTGGACTAGGTCCTACCCTAATGATTTCCTCTGTAAAGATCTTATCTCCAAATAAGATCACATTCTGAGGTACTGGGAGATAGTACTCCATCCAGCATATGTTTTTGGCGGGGACACACTTCAACCCATAACGTCACCACTCATGAATGCCCTGGAATGTCTGTGTTACATGTGCTCACAAAAGTTTGTTTGGTTTTTCTCTTCTCTTCCATTATGTAGAATACCCTAAGGTATTTGAATTACCCACTGTTCCTCTTAGATCATTCCCTCCCAGCTGATGGAGGAACTTGGGAAAAGCTGCCAACCAACTCAATATTTTGCCTCCCTTAACTGGGAGATCACATTACTATGGGCAAAGTGCTCTTCATGCAAATCTCCATGGGTTTGAGGAAGAGGTCTGTGAATTCCAAATATTCAAGAGGGCACTGGGCAAGTGGCCCTACCTTTTTTCTTTCTTTCTTTCTTTCTTTCTTTCTTTCTTTCTTTCTTTCTTTCTTTCTTTCTTTCTTTCTTTCTTTCTCTTTTTTTTTTTTTCTGAGACGGAGTTTTGTTCTGTCACCCAGGCTGGAGTGCAGTGGCGTGATCTTGGCTCACTGCAACCTCAGTTTCTGGGTTCAAGTGATTCTCCTGCTTAAGCCTCCCCAGTAGCTGGGATTACAGGCACCCACCACCATGCCCGGCTAATTTTTTATTTTATTTTTAGTAGAGACGGGGTTTCACCATGATGGCCAGGCTGGTCTCAAACTCCTGACCTCAGGTGATCCACCAGCCTTGGCCTCCCAAGTGGCCCTGCCTTTTTAAAATAAAAATATAAATATAGGCTTTATTTCCTCTTTGGAACGCTCTAATCAAAACAAACTGGGCCACGCATGGTCACAATAACAGGTGGCTCGGGAGGTCCCTTGTGGCTTGCTGGCTGCAGACCTGGCCTCGTAGAGCCCGGGAGGGAGTGACATTGGCCCCTCATGCAGCGGGGCAGCCAAGCGTGCCTGCAGCTGGCCGAGGCCAGCTCTTGACTCACAGAATGACTAACAACGGGGAAGCGTAGACAATGGCGAGAACAATGTGGGAGAGTTGTTGCTGGAAGGAAGTGAGACTTGTCAGGGCTTCCCCCCAGCTGCTCACAAGGTAGTGCTTGGTGAAGCATGCCTTTCTCCTCAAAGTCTAAACAGGATCAGTGAAAACGTAACCAGCCCTCATGAGCCTGTAATCTGGGATTACAGGTGTGAGCCACTGCACATGGCCTGCCCCACAGCTTCTATGATGAGCCCCTCACCCCGTTTATACCACTTAAGTCTTCTCCTGGCCAGAGGTGATGCCCACACTGGGCCAGGCTGGGTCCAAGTGTGGAGTCAGGTCATCTTTCCCGGAGGGATTTACACAGAAGAGCAGGGGTCACACCCAGGGACACTGGGATGGGACGTCTGGCCCAGAAGTGGCTTCTGAACTCAATGCCCCGTGGTCTCTGTCACTTGAAGTTCTGCAACTCTAAATCTCTATTTTTATATATTTCATTGATTAAAGGCAAGAAACACTTAACTTTTGTTGAGTTTGAATAGAAGTAACTGCCCTTATATTTAACAGTGAGTAAATGTACAACGTTCCTTTTGAAATGAGGTCTTCTCCATCCCACTCGATTTCCCATATGGGAGTGTTGAAGGAATCTAGAATTCACTGTCTTCACAGTCCCCTTCACCTTGCTCAGAATCTATGTTGAAATTTTTAAAGTCCATTTTCTGTGCTGATTAAACTTTCACATGTTAGCCTTTGAGGCAGATATGGCATTTTGGTAATGTGGTATACAGATTACTGAATAATTACATAAGCTCTGGACAGCCACATTTCCTAACATGCATGTGCCTCTTCTCACGGGGCCCAGGACAATACTTCCAACTAAACAATTCCAAGAAGTTTTATTCAAATAACACTCTCTCTGAAGAATTTCTCCTGTTTAATGGGAGCTAGGGGATATAATTAACTTGAACACTTGATTTGGAATAAGACAGTAGAGATTTTAGAAATTGAGGGATTTGAAATATCAAACTCACTCCTAGGATTTAGACCCAGACAAGAAAAAGCTTAAAAATAAAAACAACATTACAATTATTAAATTTATAGTCCAAATTTAGATATGTGTAATGAATAGTCACTTTTTTTCTTCTTATCTGGAGGCTGAACAATCCCGAGCTGGGATTTTTTTTTTCTTTAATATGAAAGAAAAGAAAAATTAGTGTCTGGGAATGAAGGGTACTTATGACCTTTCTCCAGCCTCCTGGAGTGATGTTTGGGGACCTTTGCTGAAGTAAGTAGAGTTATTCATGTTGAAGACAGCTCGAGAATGAAGCACACAATTACACGGGGAGAAGAGATAAGAGAAAAGAGATCCATTTATTATTAGAGTCAACCTTTAGAGAGTTGTTGTGCTTTTTGAATGAACTTATCAGTGACAAAAAGTTAAAGTGTAGAAGCAGAAGGCATTTATTCAGATGGTATCTTTCACATCGTGAAATAATGTTATAAAACACAGAGGGCTTGGGCCTGGGAATTTCTGAGCCTGTGTCAAGGTTTAATTATTGGATTTTTATCAAAAATCTGCTTTTTTCCTGATGGTTTCAGGCTTCAACTAATGAGAGATTATTTAAACGTGCTCTCACTGAGGGTGCCAAAAGCAAAATTTTCAGCTGGTTCTAAAACCATCTTTGAACGTGAACATGGTCCTACGGCAGCTACTTGGTTTGAAGTCCCTCCTTTCCAAGTGACAGCATTCACACAGCATTTACTGTGGACAGTTCCCTCTGCTTGGGGTACATCTATGCAAATGTGTGAGACTCCCTGGGCTGTGCCACCTTCCATAAACAGTCCCTGCTCACCCTTCCCCTGCAAGCACATCATTGGAAGTCACCAGATAACCAGAGGCCGACAAAGAGACAAAAGGCCTACCCTGACTGCAGCACTAGGTCCCTTGCTTATCCTACTCCTTCAACCAGGAACAGCACAGCCCCTTTCTTGGCATATGTTTTTTACTTTCATGAAACTGGCCCTAAATGATACACCAGGCACCCACTTGGGTTCAACTTCATGGTTCTCAGTAGAAGTGGAAAATATGAGGGGCTGTGTTCACGTCAGTTAATTCTGTGATGGGTGCTGTGAACTGGGTTTGTCCTCAGGGAATCAGGAAAGTGGCCACCCAATTCAAGTATCTTTTAACAAGATATATAGGCCTTCCAAGATCTCTAAGACATTCTAAGATCTATAGCACATTCTAACATTTTAAAGCACAAGGTTCTAGAAATGTAAGAAAGGAACTGTCTGAGAATATATAGAGAAATACCATGGAATGACTTAATAGTTTACTAAGGCATATGTGCATGCATCAAAGGAGAACATAAAGTAAATGCTGATCTATCTAGAGTGTGGGTCTCATGTCCAGCCCAGGACTCCTCACTAGGGTGTTTATTGGTGATCCTGAAAGCTGTCTTGGACACAGTGGAGAATGAGTGTGTACCTGCACACACACACACACACACACACACACGATAGGTGGGGTGGTAGAGAAGGTGTCCCTTTTTGGCTTATCAGATGCACCTTTACTCCTCTGAGTCTCCCCTGATCCATGGACCCTTGTGCCTAATCACAGTTAAGCTCACTGTATTGGAGCTGGTATACTACACATTCCTGACCTGTGCCTGTAGTTATTCGGAATTCAGGCAGCGTTTTCCTGCCCTGACTCATCTTCATCGTTTTTTGTAGCGCTTATCATTTTTTTCCCATTTACCATTGCACTAGTTGGTGTCAAAGTGGGAGTCAGGAGATCCCATGCCATGTAAATGCACTCTATAAAATGTCCATGTGATGCCTGTGGATGCCTGTTACAGCATTAACGAGAGGGGGTGTTTAACCCTTCTCATTTTCTGCTGCAGGGAAAGATGTCACTGGGCTGAAGATGACAAGAAGATGTTTCCCAGTTGCTCACAAACCCTTTCCTCTGTGTTGTTCCCATCTTTACCCAGCTCTCTCTGCTGTCTCCCATTGTTAACTGGTCCCTGAATGCAGCAGCTGGAGGCATAAACTGCCTTTTTTTTTTTTTTCCCGACAAAAGGCATCTTAACACGGGCTTTGCTGCTTGAGTTTTCATTCTTCCCATGGTGTGGGTTACATCAACAAATTCTAACTCCTGGGCTGAGAAGGAGCCAAGTGGAGGTGCTGATGGAGCAGCATGCAGCATATGCCCTTATTTAACCTGCCAGTCCTTATCAGAGTGCATGTGGAGATGGCTGGGGTCATCCTGCCATGCTGCCCATCAGCAAGTCCCCAGGGCTGATCCTGTTACTATTAGGAAGTGGCCGTGCTGAGTGACGAGACACCTGGCAGGTCTCGCTGACGTGTCTAGCCCCATTCAGGACACCTTTTCAGCCTGACCAGTTGCTCCAAGGTGATGACAATTCAGATAAAATTCTTGTTCACAAATTCTTTAAATCAACTGAAGTAAATTCCAGACTATTGCCAGAAGTGAGGGTGCATTAGAAATCTCTGTGTAGCAAGCACTGGTATTTCTCATTGAGCCTGATAAAACTCAGAGCATATGGCAGGGAATCAACCACACATTGGACTTGAGATGTATTAGAACCATCCTTAAGTAGAGCCTTCTTTGAGATTGATTCAGAGTCTTGCTAAAGTGTTAATTTGCAAACTTACTCTTCTAACTATTTAGCAAAAGCGAGGGAAAATTTATTTATTTATATATTTTTACAAACAAAGGTTAATCATGTTGGATAATTTTTTTCTTTATAGGAAGGCAATCAAACAAAAGCAAAATTTAGAAGACTCTGTGTTCATGTTTGCACATAGATAACAGGGCCAAATCTGCCTCAAAGATCGTATTGATGTGATTCTTCATAGCCAGCCTCTCTCACCTTTATTCAGTGCGATTTGGGAACTACTGTATAATATTAAACTGATGGAATTGGCCCATTATGTCAAAGGACATCTGTATGTACACAGTTATTACCACACTTTTTTCCTGGTATAAACTCCTTAGTAAGGACAAGGAGCCACAACATCATGCTAATTTTTAAAAGCATTTAGATGGTGAAGCCATTATCTGTGATGGTGAAAACATGTTGGTATGCATTTAATGGTTAGGACCCTTTATCTGCAAAGGATACTTACAGGCCCAGGGCTCAGGAAACTCAAAAGGAAAGCTCCAGTTCCCATATCGAGTTGCTTGCCAGCCCTTTGGTAAGCCTTGGCAGGCTTCCACCTGTGTCCTGCCCTGGTCTGACCTCCAGAGCCTGTCAGTGCTGGCACCCTCTGAGTACGAGATGGGATGAATGGCCAGCGGCTAGTGCCATCTGAGACTTCAATCAACTTGATACCAAAGGTTAATCTCTTTCACGGGAATCACCTAATTTGTTATGGCCTGCAAGTACTTTCTAGCAGAAGCCTTTTTTCCTATGACGCCGTTTGGCTCATATGTTTAGGTATGCCTCAAGACCTCTAATAGTGTCTAAAATCTCCTGTTTGGGGAGTAATCCCTTTCCCCCTTTTTACATAGATCTTGTTCCTCGGTCTTGGGCAGACAGCATTCATGGGATTCTCTAGTTTAAGATCTTAACATGCTCTGTTTCTTGGATGTTTGGAAAATGTTTATTTGAGAGACAGAGACAGGAATGCGTTTTAGACTTTCATTCCCACTGGGCACAGAGAAATCTGATAGTGATAGAATCTCACAAATAGCTTGAGATATTCCATATCCCTCAGGAGGAGGCTGTTGCGATTTTTATCAATGAAACCTGGCTTGCTCCAGTCCATCTAAGATGATCAAAATGCTCACTCAGAAAAGCAGAATGTTACGTTGGCAATTCCCCTTTCGCACAATAAAATGAGCATGTTTTCTTCACCTACTTTCCTTTTCTTTCCTACAGCCTTCTCCTTCCCTTGGAGTTTGATGGGGTCTGATGCCCTTCTGACCTGGGAGGCTGTTTGAGGAGTTGACATTGCCTATGGGGGCAAAGAGGGGAAATGGGAGCAGAAAACAGCCTGGGATGGCCAATTGCCTCCTTTATCCACAGAAAATTGAAACACTTCAATTAAAAGGAACCATTAGAACAAGAGATTTCCATCTATAGTGTTGTCCCATATTACCAGAATGTGTTAGAAAGATGCTCCAAAACACCCGAGTAAATGTTGCCAGCATGATTCTTGGGGCTGGTGACCCTGGGTCTCAATCCCATGTCAACAAGTTACTTGTCCCCGAGTGACCCAGGGCTAGTCTCTGAGCCTCTTTAAACTTCATTATTTAGTAACTTTAAAACGTGAGTGACTGGGCCAGGCACAGTGGCTCACACCTGTAATCCCAGCACTTTGGGAGGCTGAGGCAGGACGATCACTTGAGACCAGGAGTTCAAGACCAGCCTGGGCAACATGGTGAGACCACATCTTGCTAAAAAAAAAAAAAATTAAGAAAAAAAAATGCTGCCATAGCCCTGTGGGAAGTATCCAAGATACTCCAGTCAGTAAAGGTCAGGGTCAGTTATTTGGAGGTGGAGCAGATGACAGGGCTGAGCCTACACAGCCAATTGGTCAGTTCCAGGGGTCTGGCAGCCAAGAGCTGATTGCATTGGTTTCAATTTTGTGCTACTGAGCAGTGCCTCATGGTCCAGTTTTGGTGCAGTTGAATTTGTGGAACTGGCTGTATCTGAATCTGAGGATTTAGCCCCTGCTGGCTGCTGTAAACATGTCCCTCTAGTTACTGAGCCACTGGTGTGTGGCTTCTTGCCTAATTCTGTACACCCTAGGGATGGCTTTGACCCTTAGCAAGGTGTCTTGGAGAGCTGGATTTCCAAGAAAGACCTCAGAGCTGGAAAGGGCCCTGGATCTTGCATGGTGGCTTTTCTCCAATAATAACATAGAGTAAAGGGGGCCCATGATAGGCAAGGAGAGGTGGTGCCAGAAGTGGTAGACTGCCTGGAAGTCTAAGATCCAGGGCTGAAGCTTGTCAGGAACACAGAGAAGGCGTGGGAGCAGGAAAGGCCTTGGAGGAGGGGCCGGTGGGGGGAAAACATGCAGGTAAGATTCCTTATGAGAGAGCTCCAGGCCTCATGGAACAGGTGTCCTCAGGAGCTGCAGCAGCAAGCACTACGGCTCTGCAGTTTAAAAGCCACCTTCTAGCTGAACGTGAGGCTAGTTATGAACCTTACTGTGTCTCAGCTTCCTCCTTTGTAAAGAAGGAATGATAATCTTACCTTGCTCATGGGGCCATTGAGAGCAGCTGATCCACATACATGGCTTAGGGCTGTCTGCGGCACAAAGTATCTCTCTTAGAAATGTTAGCCGTTACGTTTTTTACGGGAATGGGCCTAAGATTCTATCTCTGTGTATTTCTGTCATCCTGATCATGGGACTATCTCTTCTGCCAATCTCTTTTATTTGCTCCACTCTTTCCTTCTGCTCAGGAATCTTTAAAATCCTAATCAGAGGTATTTGTTAAGTAGTTAATTGTATGTGGCTCTCGGCTCCGTGGAGTATAATGATCAAGCTTGTTTCCTGAAAGTGAAAGTGGTTTTCTGAGCTGTCTTGGAAAATATGTGCCTGCTTTTCGGGCCCACTATTCTGAGACCAGTAGATGCTGAACAGAAGCAGGGGTGCTTTCTCTAGAGTATAAGTCAGTAATAGCAGAGGTCAGGGAGCCGTTGCCAAAGGGCTAAAGAGAATTTAGCCTGTGAACTAGATAGATAATTCTAGTTCAAATCAATGCTTAATAGAATGACAAAAGAATAATTGAAATATGAATTTAAGGGCAGTCAGATTTAAAAAATTATAACTGTTCCAGGTCTTAGGTGATCACTTTCTAGACATGAGGAACTGTGATATTCACCTCTTTCTTTTGGAAGATTATTGACGTCAGTGCTGACAGATTTAACTGTTGGTTTCAGCAAACGGATGTTAACAAAATGGACTTTAATAAGTTTATCTAAATTCCAAGAAAATCTCCAGAGCATGGGGGCATAAGCAGCAAAGGGGTTCTGAATTCCTGGAGGGTTTTTTTTTTTTTTTTTCAAAGGAGAATAAAATAGAAGAACACAATAAGATACTTTCTTTGGGCTCAATGAAAGCTGAGAGAGGAGGAAGAAAACAAGTTCATGTAGGAGAAAGATGAAATAAAAATGTGAATTCAGCAAAAAGAAAAGGAAACTGGGGCAGACTCCCAAGCAGCATACACTGCGGTGACAAAGACGTGGAAGAATTAAGGTCAAACTAGCAAAAGCAGTTCACAAGACACCACTTGCCAAAGACAAACAGGGCCGTGAGCAGGCACAACAAAATGTGACCTCTGTTCTTTATGAGGCAGGGATGAAGAGCTGATAATAATGCCATCCACCGAACAGAGATGTTTGATGTCCCTTTAAAAACCTTCTATACTTAAAAAAAAAAGAACAGGAAATAGGACAGAAGGCTCGGAGGGTGGTGGATGATGTTTCAAATGGGTTAAGGGTATTCAAGTCAGAAGTCTTAGTGTACTTACATTTCAGGGTATGAAAATGAAGTAGCCAAAGTCATTTCCAGAATGAATTTGTGCAATGGGGGAGGAACCCCAAAATTGTAAAGAGCTGTCACATCCATATACACCCGTACACATTAGTACACACACACACCACACACACACATGAAGGTTTAGGCAATAAACCCTGGGAAAAGTCTCCAAGTAAATTAGCAAGCATCTTGAATAAAATACGGTTCAGGGTAAAAGCCTTCATACTTAAAATGGGTGTCTCTGTCTAAGAAACTCTCTTGCTCTGTAGAGGGAATGGCTTCTTGGTCAAGGGGACTCACTGGATATCTTTAGGTTTCAGAGGGACCCAGTGACTGTCCAAAATGATGCTGATCAATAAACTAAGCAATACAACCAGACCAGCTACCATATGTGTTTGCCCTTTGTTCTGGACTGAGCAACTTTTCATGCATCGTGAGTTCTCCAGGTCTGATTTGCCACTATTTTTCCCAGTTTAACATTTTTTTTTTTAAGAGAAGGGTCTTGCTCTGTTGCCCAGGCTGGAGTGCAGTGGCACATTCATAGCTCACTGTAACCTCAAACTCCTGGGCTCCAGCAATCCTCCCACCTTAGCCTCCTAAGTAGCTAGGATTACAGATGAATGCCACCACATCTAGCTAATTTTAAAATTTTTGTAGAGATGGTGGTCTTACTATGATGCCCAGGTTGGTCTTGAACTCTTCTCCTCAAACAATCCTCCCACCTCAGCCTCCCAAAGCTCTGAGATTACAGGCATGAGCCACCTTGCCCAGCCTCCTGTTTAATTTTATAGTAGAATGTATTAGAAGAGAAATGAATTTCATGCATTGTATAATGATTTAGCACTATTACAAAAGGTATTGAAATGTATGATGAGATATGAAATGAATTTTTATTTGACAATAATATTTTTATTGACTGTTAACAGTAACCTAAAAACCATCTAATAGTTTTCACAGGCTTGAAGTAGAGTAGGAATTTTAAAAACTGTATTTTTTTTACGTTGTATTTACACTTTACAGAAATGAACTAAAGAAAGCCAAATATTAGTGAATATGCAACAGTTTTTCCTATTTTTTTTGTGCTTTTGATCAGCATTGTATCAGATTTTCTAATGGGGAAATTCTTGCAATATTGTTCTCACCTACCCTTTTCAGTGAAAATTCTCAAAACCTCTCATAATTTTAAGGTGAGACTATCAGAGATAAAAGAGACAGGACAGGCGCAGTGGCTCACGCCTGTAATCCCAGCACTTTAGGAGGCCGAGAAGGGTGGATCACCTGAGGCCAGGAGTTCAAGACCAGCCTGGCCAACATGGTGAAATCCTGTCTCTACAAAAAATACAAAAATTAGCCGGGTGTGGTGGTGCATTCCTGTACTCCCAGCTACTTGGGAGGTTGAGGCAGGACAATCGCTTGAACGCAGGAGGTGGAGGTTGCAGTGAACCAAGATGGTGCTGTGGCACTCCAGCCTTAGGGGTTAGGAGTTTCAGAGTTGGACAGACATAGGCTTACATTTCTGCTCTTAATTTTTGGGTGGCCTTGGGGTAGGGGTGGAGCTGTGGCGTTCTGAGCCGCAGAGTCTTCATGTTTTTGTGAGCTGACACACAACCAATGAGTTGTAAGGAGTAACTAGGAGAATTTCTGTGCGGTGCTCAGCTCGGCTCCTGGCCTCATTGGAGCTCATGTGCTTCCCCCACCTTTCCCAGTGTGATAAATGAGGTCCATGGAGTTAAATTACTTGCTGCCTGTTCCAGAGCTATGGGCAAGATAGAACAACAGCTGGCTTAAAGTTCCATCCACCCATCACAGCGCGGCTTCACTTTCCGTTCGCACACTATGGGCTGGGTTCTTCACAATTTATTTGTATTTTAAATTTCTGTGACTTCCTTCTTGGGATGGCAAATCTTCTGAAAAACATGTCAATGATATGAATAACATTGGCAAACTGAGGGAGGTGAAACCCTGAGAAGCCAAAATCTGAAACAGGATTAACCTATAGGTGCCAGCTGTCAGAGGTCATCAGGCTGTCCCTTTTGTGCCGCTGTGTGCGTCCAGCGAGTCTCACTCCAAGCTCATCTTTGGTTTCTGCTCTCTTGTCTTCACGGGGTCTCTGCAGTCCCTCACCGCCTTTCATAAAGGCTCTGTGGAGTTCTCTCAGCCCCAGCTACCTCTTTCACACCTGTATGCCAGGTGGGCACAGGCCTTATGGATTGAGGAGACTTTTTGCCAAAGTTGACTTCATGGTATACACGTTAAAGAAATGTTGGTAAGTATTATGTACAAAAAAGTTTTCTGTGTTCCAGTATATTTGGAGAAAACTAGGTTACACAGTTATAAGGATTCTTTACTGTGGGTCTTTCCAGAATTTTGAATATATCAATTTGCTTTGTGACTTTCTAAAAGGGAAATAGAATATGCATTGCTTCCCAAACTAACTAGGCAACTGAATTTTTCTTTCATAGAACACCTTGGTACCCATGTTCCCTGGAACACTCTTTGGGAAATGCTGACCTTGGGGGTCTTCTTATTTATCCTGAATTCTATTCTAACTTGCTTCTGTGTAGGATTTTTCTTTCTTTCAAGAAAATCAGGAATTCATTCAAGAGCAATTTTGACTGGATGGGGGTGCTAAATGAAAACTTCACTCTTTAAGGGAATCTATCCATCGCCCTACTATAGTCAATCTACCTATTATACTAAAGGAAATAGGTCAACAACCAAGCAAAATTAATCTGCTCTTTACTTTTAGAAAAGGCTGGGGGCCTCTCCTTATGGTACAATTCCACTACAGGGCCTGGTCGTTTATTCATTGATGCAGCAAACAGTTTCTGACTTTCTGCAATATGCAGGAAAAGAATACACATCTTGGCTTTCTCAGAAACAGCAGGGTCTCCTTGACAGTAGGACCACGTTGTGGTCCCAATACTGCATACATTGCCCTGTATATATGGTGCTGAATACACATGTGTGGAATCGAAACAAGCACTTAACATATGCAGGCTCTATGCTAAGTTCTGGTTCACCTCCTTCTGATTTCCTGCAGGTCAAGAAGAAAGCTAAACTAAGGGTGAGGAGAGGAAGGACTGCTAACAGAGGAGAAGAGACATTTTCTTGAACCATATCTAGCAAACCAGAAAAAGAAAGTCAATGTTTTCCTGCTTCAGGCAACTCACTTTTATCTGCTCAAAGTGTATTTGAGAATGCAAACAGCTAGTGCAGTTAATTTTTCAGAGTGCTCAGAGCTTCAGTTTCCAAATACTGCTGTATGTACCTGGATAGTTTGAACAGAGCTGGTGAACAGGTCACAGTGGCTCAGGGATGGAGGGGATGCAGTTTGCTCTTTCTTGGTCACTGCCCAGCTCATGCCTGGAGAAACGTGCTTAGGCCATTGCCACTGTCATCATTTGAACTTTTTCCCTCTCTTGCTGCTGAAGAGGGTATCAAGGGAGAAGTCATCATTGGCGAAATGGGTGTGGGCAGATGTAGATAACATCTCAGCTATTTATGCTCTAAGGATGGCCAAGGGTTACTTGGTTAGTTGTGTACTTTGCTGCCAGTAACATTAAAGAACCAGAGTTTACCTTGTCCACAGAGCAAGCTTTTGGTTTTGTGGGTTCAGGGATGCACATCTCTTCTGTTGAAACAACAAGGTCTATCTAAGCTGCAAGGTGATTTTCAGGGTCAGCCTCAGCTTCTTATTGATGGTACAATGCTGAGGGGAGCCTGACCCTTTCATAGCTTTAGTAGTTGGTTTTTTTTGTTTGTTTGTTTTTGAGACAGAGTCTCACTCTGTTGCCCAGGCTGGAGTGCAGTGGCATGATCTCAGCTCACCACAACCTCCTTTCCCAAGGTTCAAGCAATTCTCTTGCCTTAGCCTCCTGAGTAGCTGGGATTACAGGCACCTGCCATTGCGCCCGGCTAATTTTTGTATTTTTAGTAGAGATGGGGTTTCACCATGTTGGCCAGGCTGGTCTCGAACTCCTGACTTTGTGATCCACCCACCTTGGCCTCCCAAAGTGCTGGGATTACAGGCATGAGCCACCATGCCTAGCCTTTAGTAGTTGTTGTAAGGACTCCATCTTTAGTAGTTGTTGACTTTTAGAGGTTGACTATATTGCTACATGTCAAAACATATCCACTAATACAGTGGTCCCCAACCATTTTGGCACCAGGGACTGGTTTCATGGAAGACAATTTTTTCCATGAACCGAGGGGAGGGTGAGGGGGATGGTTTCAGGATGAAACTGTTTCACCTCAGATCATCAGGCATTAGATTCTCATAAGGAGCATGGAAGCTAGCTCCCTCACATGCACAGTTCACAATAGGGTTCATACTTCTATGAGAATCTAATACTGCTGCTGATCTGACAGGAGGCAGAGCTCAGGCGGTAATGCTCGCTCATCTGCCGCTCACTTCCTGCTGTGCGGCCTGGTTCCTAACAAACCACAGACCAGTACCCATCTGTGGCCTGAGGGTTGGGGCCTCCTGCACTAATAGAAAGACTGTATCTCCTTTTGAATATTAATTTGTATCTTCTTTTGAATATTTAAAACACTTACTGATCATAGGGCCTGGCTTAAGAATGTTTTCAAATCTTAATTTTAGTTAATATACACAACTCCATATATTTTCATTTAAAACACAAATAATTTATGCCACAGCTTTTGTTGAGATGTGTGTTCTTTAGTCAAATTCAATCAAACACTGAATTCTTTTTTTTTTTTTTTTTTTGAGATGCAGTCTCAGTCTGTCACCCAGGCTGGAGTGCAATGGCACAATCTCGGCTCACTGCAACCTCCACCTCCCAGGTTCAACTGATTCTCCTGCCTCAGTCTCCCAAGTAGCTGGGACTGCAGGCGTGTGCCACCATGCCCGGCTAATTTTTGTCAAATACTGAATTCTTTAGCTCCTGTGACAACGATTGATTTGCTTTTCACCAAACCATGTTCCTCTTTTTCTCAGGCACATGGATGAAGTACGTTTCTCAAAAGGTAGAGCCCATGAGATTGACTTCCAGACAAAGGGATGTGGGCAGAAATGATGTGTGTGGTTTCCATGAAGGAACAATCTGCAAATGGCCCACCATGCCCTTCCCCTCCCACCTTCTTGATGAAGATGGGTACGACCACCATGAAAGCCCTGATTTGACACGGCAGAGCCACAGGGTGGAAAAAGGAGCCTGGGTCCCAAATCACTACTTAAGAGGCTTCCTATTAGGAATATTCATTTCAGACTTCATGTGTACAAGAAACAAACTTCTATCCTGTTTGAGCTGTTATATAGTTTTGGGCTTTTTGTTATAGTAGTTCATGCTACCTTAACTGCCATAGTCCCTGAGAATCTTAAGAAAACCGTCAGGCAGCACAACATGGTGGAAAGGTCATGCACTTTGGAGCACAACAGAATCGGGTTGGAGCCATGGCTTTGGTATTTATTGCTGAGTGACCTCTGACACGTTACTTAACTATTCTGAATCTCAGCTGGGACAGTGTCAGTGCAGATGACCAGAAAGTCCTGAGCTACCTGGTTTATAGTAGCTCGTGTGAGATTATTCCCTTCTTAAAAAAATCTCATTCTGTGGGGAAGCTGGTATGAACAGGATAGGAAGGGAGTAAGACATTTCATTCCCTCATCCCATCATGGCCAGTGGTCCAATAACTAGCTTAGGTTCTGGTTTGCTAAGAGGCCCGGATAAGATGAGAGTGAAAGTCATTCTTATATTAGAGTAGCTAAATCTGGTCTCATAGCAATGACTCTTACAGTTAAATGTGCCAAGAGTCATATTTATAATTACCATTGAATGAAAGCATCACTTGGTCCTACCCTGGAAAAAGAGGTGAAACATATTTCAGAAGAGAAAGGGAGTGGGGGCTTCACCAGCCACAGTTTGCATCTGAACAGATCTGCTTGCAGCTGGAGAGCTGTGATCTGAATATTACTGACTTAGACCAAAGGAAGCAACATTTCTGGCTGCAGACACAACCTTACCCTCCCTGGGGATGTCTGTTAAAGAGCCATTTTTGGCTTCTTCATTTACTGACATTCAAGGGTGGGTGGTTATGCTGGGCTAGCAAGTGTGAAATTCTTTCTCTTTTCAAGTCCTTGGGCATTTTTTTCTTTGGGGAGTTTCTTGCACTGTGATGTCTCCAAAGGACTCAATTAAGTGGCCCATTTTGGGAAGGGAGAACTGAGGAGTGGGGAATTCACTTTCTCTGTTGAGAAGAATTCAACTAGCTCTGAGCACAGACACTTAAGATTTTAGACCGTAACTTGAGTAGATGTTGACTTACAGAGACTAGTTTAAATTGCTGAATGTCATAAAAAATATCTACCAGTAAAAAGATGGCAAATTGATTTGTTTTTTTTTTTTTTTGAATTTTTAACTTATTTTCTGCTCGTAGGGCCTGTCTTGATACTAAACTAGACTCAGAGAGAGATACCTTCCTGGTTTCAGGACTGGATTTTCCAGACAACTGTTTTAAATGCTGACTTTTCTGAAACAGGCACAAGTGGAAAACAGAGTCCTTTTTACTTTGGTTTTCACGTGCCTCTTACTTTGTAAGAATAGAGCTGAAATAGAGTTCATCCAGTATACTTGTGTCAGCTTTTAACAATGAGTAGAGAAGAATTGAAATTTAAATTAATATTTTAATGATGTTAAAGAAAAATGAATACACTTTTATTTCACAAAATCTATCTATTGGGATAATGTGAATGTGTTTTTGTATTATTTGGTATAGTCCATCTGGAATTTTCCAGGAAACTCAGGTTATCTAGGTCAATGGTAAAACTGCACAGCTTGGTAGAATGCTGCTGGAGAAGATTTTGTCTTCTTCTTTTTGTGTGTGAAATAATTGTTTATTCAAGAAAAGGGATGGATTCAATGCTGCTTTTTCCTTCCAGCTTTTTTGGGTCTCCAGATACAGGGGCAAAACTGATGTTTAGCAGTTCACAAATCTAGGACTACGAGGTGTAAGTGATATGGGACTTCTGATCAATGAGATAGCTTATTAGCACCCAAAGACCCAAGGAGTGGACATTGGTGTTGCCTTTGGTGTGCTAGTGATGCTGTTTGTCGTGGAAAGGTGTGTGAGCTTGCGGAGCATGTACCAGGTCAGCCTTAAGTGAAAGAGAATGGGCCTAGGTGGCCAAGGATCCTTATGCTCTGTTCATTCCTATCCTAGAGTTTTCTGTCCTCCCCAAGATCAAGAGAATATGACAGTGACCCTTTTTCTTACCCAGTTTCTGCATGTGTGTGCATTCAGTTGTGTGCACACATGCATGTATGTAACAACATTACGGCCAGTCTCAGATACTCAGGGAGTGATGTGAATGGTAAACCCAGGTTCATTGGTTTGGGGCTTGGCCACTTCAGCCAGCCCTTGCCATCACTAAGCTCCACTGATGTGCTCTCTCTCTCTCTTACACACACACACACACACACACACACACACACACACACGTGGAGAAGCACAGCAACTCACCAAGAAGGAAGCAAAGCAGATTCTATCTCATGCGCACACTCACTGGCACCGCCTAAGCAGGCCTTGACTACTTTTCTTTCTGAGAAAGGCATGCTATTGCAGGGAGCAACATAAAAGAACAGCACCATCATCAGTGGACCTTAAGAACGCTACCATAAGCAGCATGCCTTCATCTCACTATGCCTGCGTGACGCTACAGAGCCCTGGTTGAGCTTCCTGGGGAGGTATTTCTGGCCATGTGCTCAGAGAGCCTGGCACCTGTGGCTTTTCTCACCCCTAACACAGGCCTGGAATGGGCTTTCTGACCATTATCCCTCTCCCTCTCCTGTCTGTGGAGGCAAAGAACAGAGAACTGCCTTCTGGCCATCTGGTTTCTTTCAGGCCAAGGGATTATGGGCAAGCTTCTTTCCAAGCCGTGAAACCAAGTGGAAATCCCTGGGGAGTGTCTAAACTCAAACTTCTGCCACCCAGGGAAGGAACCTGCCATGCCACGAATTCCTTATCCACTGCCACCTTGACATTTTTCACAGTCAACAGTGTGTTCTGTAGCCTCGCGACATGCCTAATTTGTGTTGTATTTTGAATATCCTTAAAAATGTCCATGTAATGGGAGAAAAACAATGTGTGTGTCTAAGCAGAGTCCTGCCTCCACGTGCAAATCTTTCACTGGCAGAAGTCACATTAATGCTAATGAAATCTGAATGCTGAAGCCCTGTTCTGCAGCAGGGGATGGTCTCCCCTGTGCTGAAACACATTTTCTTCTCATTAGTCCCACCATCTTTATTAATATTAACGGCAATAAAGAGAATTAGGCAGGCTGGCTTCTGGCAGAAACCAGAATTAATGGGGGTGGGGGGGAAGACGAATGCTTGAGGAGTTTAGATGCACTTTTTTAGTGGATGAACTGCATCCTTCTGGGACCCTCATCGGAGTTATTTTGTTCTAAATGAGGTATATGGTGAATCATTGTCATCTTGCAATGGTTACCACTAATGGGGAACTGCTCACAGCCAAAGCCCTCGTTCTAGAGAAAACCTATCCTGGATGTTTTACAGTTGGTGTGTATGCATGCGTGTGTGTGTGTGTGTGTGTGTGTGTGTGTGTGTTTTATGTGTGCATGCTTATATTCATGCATCTATAGTCAAAGGCCAGCTTAATCAGGATTTTTCACCATGAGTAAGTTTGCTACGGGGATCCATTGTTTAATGTGTATCCATGAACATTTCAGAGCTTTAATGTTGTAATGACTGTTTCACCTACCCTGTGAGATATTTTAAAGGGAAATACAGTGAGGGAAGTGGGGGAAGAGTCAGGGAAACTTTCTTTCATAGCAGAAGAGAAATTTTCATGCTGTGGGAAAGTCAATCAAAAGTGGTGAATGATGTATCTCCTACTGATTCCATTCCTCTTGGAAATTTCTCTAATTTTTGCTGCTTATTCAAGCATTGAATGTCACTATGTCAAGTCCCCCTACTGTTCTCAGGGCTGTCTGTGACTCTGGGAGGGGTTTAGACACCTGTATGTTGTCCCCAGGTAGGCAAACAGCAAGGACAGTATGGGGGTTGGGAGGCCTGGGAGAGCACATAGTTCGTTGAGAATTGCTGGTTTTTCTATTCCTGCAAGCAATAACTGTGCCATGGGGATTATGACTGGTAGCAGGAAGGAATGAAATGTGGTCCATGATCAGCTGGAGTCCTTTCTGGTTACACATGGAGGATAGAATGTCTCACCAGTACTCTCTGGGGCACAGGAAAGGACAGCATCTTCAGTTGAACTTCTGTGGCTCATTCTGGAGCTGTTAGCAGCAAAGATGTGCTTACACCTATCTTTACTACTAGGCAGGTGCCCTGGAAGCCTCCAGGGTGTGTGACTCAATGCAAAGGGGTCCCACTTAGAAGCTGGGATACCCAGGTTGGAATCCATGTGCTGACAACATAGTTGTAACATCAGTGGTGTGATGTGGTTGGCAAAACCCTAGTGCACTCTTAGGGTGCATGAACAGAGGACACCATCTAGAATGGAGTGGGTGAGGGGTCCACCAGAAAGGTCATGCCTGGAGAACTAAATTCAGTTCTGGGTGCCACACTTGATGAGCAATATAGATAAGTCAAAACACTTTCAGAGGGCAGTATCCAGGGCAGAGAGGGGATATGAAACCATGTCGCATCAGGAACTCTAGGAGGAACTGAGGCCACTGTCCTGAAGAAGTGATTTGGGGAAAGGAGTGACTAATCTGCAAGAGCTGTCATGGGGAAGAGGAATTAGATTCCTTTTATGAGGCCTTAGAAGTGAAGTCTGGGACCCCAGCAGAAGCCATGCAGAAATGCATTTTAATTGCATGTCAGAAGGATCTTTCTTATAGTTGCAAATGTCTAAAGATACTTCAGATTGTTGCTGTTGGGGATAATTACACCAAATTCTGCAATTCTGACATGGGTGTTTTGATGCCATGGAAATTTTGATGCCATGCATTGAGGTGGTCATTTTGACACCAAATGCCTTTTAGGATAGAATCAAACCCTTTGGGCAAGAGCAGAACATAGCAAATGGTTTCATTCCTACTATTAAACTTGCTCCTCTCTTTTAAATTAAGTGGGAAACAGATGTTGTTGGCACATCTCCTTACACCCTCTTTCAGCCTGCCTCTTCTCTTCCCTGACCCAGGCTCCATCCCTGGGGCCCACCTACCCTTCACTTGTCCCTTTTGAGTAGCACAAGGATGGGGATATGATGACCCTGAAGATGAGTGACAGATCTCTGGGGTGGAGCTGGGGTTAGAGCTGAAAATACAAAAATAGTTACTTCTATTTATTTGTATTTTAGCGTAATTGATATTTTCTGCTGTAACCAGAAAGCCTCATTTATAATTTTATGCTTCACATGTCAAGATGTCCATGTGTCAAAATGGCCTCATCAAAATGCTGTTCTTACAACTAGCTGGACATACATTAGTCAAGTATATTGTACAAGGAACTCAAGCATCATAGGGGTGGTTGAACATGGTTATTTATAAGGTATTTTGTAATTCTGAAATTCTGTGCTCTAACTCAATAGTTCCCAGATGCAGGTCCTTGGACCATGCTAGTCTATGACAAAGTTTTTACCATGTGCATTAAAATGCAGAAAAAGAAAAACAATGGATTTAATTTTCTCTAAGCCTGCGTTTATTCAATTGTAAGGACTTTCTTAATTCTGAGATAAGGGTCTTTCTTTTCTTTTTGTTGTTGTTAAAATCTCCTTCATTTTGAAATTATAGTGATAGTAGGTGGTATTTAAAAATGTCAATGGACAAAATAAATATGCCTGTCTCACTATTACATTTTTTTTCTTTTCCCAATGTATTAAGTCCCAAAGTCTGGGAGGCCTGATTTAAGTCACCTAATCTTTGGAATCTTATTTATTTATTTATGAAACGTGCATAGGCTAACCTGGGTTCCATATCTCCCAGCATGATCATAAACTTCTCATAGGCTAATGTAGATCACTGTTATTTGTAGCTGAAAATGACATATCCTTTGTAGGAGACAAATGGCAGAATAAATGTGGCAATGTCGTTGTTAAAATGAGTTGTGTGGATAGACAGGATGGTGGGGCAGAAGTAAAACTTTCTCCTCTTGCCCTATTTTTTTTCCTTCTCAGCTTCCAGTCGCCCAAATAAATGGCAGCCAGGGAGCTTGGCTGTGTTCTTTCAGAATCACTATGACAAAGTTTCCGTCAGGGCAGCCAGAAGAAGATGAGTGTGCCCAGGGAAGCCAGCACACAAGCCCTTTGATGGAGCATGGTGGTGGGGCATTGGGGGTTGAAGGTTGGGGAATAGCCCTAAGAATGGGGAAGAGGAGTGGTCTTGGCTGTCCCAACACAGGTGTGAACATAGGGGTACGTTTATCAGGGCTGCATTTTCTAGCCAGGTGTGAGACCACACCCTACACCAATTAAATCATGAATCTCTGCTGACACCACAGTGTTCTAGGTGACTCTCATACATAGTCAGAATGGAGACATATGCTCTAAGCCCTACGTGGGGGCGTGGGAGGAACACTTTGAAAAGAACAACCAGGTTATAGCTTATTTGTGCTGATTTCTATCAAATGTAGCAAATTCCCCCCTTCAGTTTTCAAAGAACCATTACAGTTGGCAGCCATCTTGGCTAGAGCTCACTCTAAGGCATCTGCTAGTTGTATTTGATCTCCATCTTTTGTCGTAATATCTTAACAAGAGAAATAATGAAGTATTGAGGTTAAGAGTTCAGCTTCTGAAGAAATGGCTTAGTATAAAATGGCACTGACAAAAGGCACTGTTCCTCATTTACTGGGTTAATGGCTACATATCCCTCCATTACCCTTGTTAAACTTAAAAGAATTTGTCAAGCAGGATGTGAACTTCCACGGCTTCCTAGGAACCATTCCGTGGCTCTCAAAGAGATTCCAAGTGAGCTTTTCCCCACCACATTCCCAGAAGCATGAGCCATCGCACTCCTGAGAAGGGGAGCCCCGTGCGAGGAGGGACTGCCTGCCCCTCGGTGGGCCTGTCCTACACCTTTGCTGCACACCCGCTGCCCATTGCTTAGTTCTACAGCTGTAAGAACACTGGGCACAGGCGCTGCACCCCTCATTTTACTTATGGGAAAAACTGACGAGGTCTGAGAGGTGCCTGACTGGCTGCAGGGAGCACACAGGCCTCAACACCCAGCTGTCTGGCAAGGGCGCTGGGGTCTTCTCCGCCACCTCCTACGCCACCTCCCACCCCACCAGCCCTGAAACAGGCACAGGGCTGGTACCTGCCGTGTAGCTGATATGGCTTTGTGGACTCCCAGGTCCCTTTGGCTTCTGACTGCTCTTGTTAAATGCTCGTGTCCTAACTAGGAGGCAGGGGCCTCAACCCTGGGCCTGAATTAACTTTAGTAGAAATGTTGGACGATAACATGGTCTGAGAGATATGTTAGGGTCTATGAGGGAGGAATAGCGGCTGTGTGGCTCTTAGCAGATTAGACTAGTTTTAATTCCATTTGGTGGTCCGAATTTGCCCTTCATTAACTGCATGATGGAACATGCATCATGTTTACTGCAGGCTTGCTGTGCGCCAGGCATGGTGGAGGCCTGCAAATGCAGGCAGGGCTGAGGGCTCAGAGAGTGGAAGCCTCTGGGGGCCCTGTACGGTCAGCGGTGCATGGGAAGGGCTACTCTTTAGCAGGAGGCTCAGCGAGGACCTCTCTGATGTGGGCCGACCAAAGGGACAGGGAACAAACAGCTCATTCTGAAGCCTTGAGATGAGAGCAGGCTTGGAGTGGAAGGAGCAGCTGGGGGGTCAGTGTGGCTGGAGCAGGGTGAGGTGGAGGGTGGGGTGGGCCAGCCAGGGTCAGCCAGGCTGCAAGGATGAAGATCAGGCAGCTACTTTGCATTTCATTCTGAGTGTGATGGAAAGCTACTGGGGGCTTGGAGCTCTGAAAGATTCTTTCTTTTTTTGCGTGTACATTTAAAGGGTACAAGTGCAGTTTCGTTACATGAATATTTGCGTAGTGATGAATTATGGGCTTTTTGTGTACAGACATTTTTCAAAAGCAGATATACAACAAAATCTCAGAAATCACCGCTAAAGAACTTATTCATGTAACCAAACACCACCTGCTCCCTAAAAACCCATTGAAATAAAAAATAAATTAAAAAATCCTTGAAAAAATACCATACCACTCCCAACAGTTTTATTTATTTATTTATTTATTTTATTTATTTATTTTTTTGAGACGATGTCTCGCTCTGTCACCCAGGCCGGACTGCAGTGGCGCCATCTCGGCTCACCGCAAGCTCCGCCTCCCGGGTTCACGCCATTCTCCTGCCTCAGCCTCCTGAGTAGCTGGGACTACAGGCGCCCGCGACCGCGCCCGGCTAATTTTTTGTATTTTTAGTAGAGACGGGGTTTCACCGTGTTAGCCAGGATGGTCTCGATCTCCTGACCTCGTGATCTGCCTGCCTCGGCCTCCCAAAGTGCTGGGATTACAGGCGTGAGCCACTGCACCCGGCTAGTTTTATTTATTTTTTAACCTAAAATATATGTTTGAAAAGTAAATAACAAACAAAAGAAGAGATACAAATGACTTAGGTTCTTCAAGGATCACTCTGAGGGAGGGTGGCAGCTTTGACTAGGGTGTAGTGGAGGAGCTGAGAGTGAGTGGTCAGATTTGGGATTTGTTCTGAAGGCAGAGCCAACAGCATTTGCTGATGCATTGAGCGTGGTAGAGGAAGAGGGAGTTGTTTGGATGAGTAACTGCTGTGTCCAGGATGTGGACATCTGGAAAAGTTCAGTGGCCATGGGTACTTCAGGAGGTTCAACCTGGGGAAGTTACTGGCAGGAGATGGATGTCAGGAATAAATGCCTTCTCTGCAGCCTCTGCAATAAGTCTCAACTCTGCTACCTGAGTTATCTTTCTAAAGGAGGTTTAGTTATTTTCCTTTGTCCCAGACCAACAATATGTCCCATTGTCTTTAGACTAAAGTCCAAGCCAGCCTGTGGCCCTCAAGGCCTCAACCTACCTTGCCCATCCATCTCCAGCCATTTCCTTCCCTGCTTGTTAATCTACGACCCAGACACATCAAACCAGTCTTCCCCACTCAACCACCCCGTGATACCACAAATCTCACATCCCCTGACTTGGTTCATGCTCTTTCATGCTTCCCTACTTTTCAAGAGCCTTTTGAAATATAATTAAAATTCTGCCGTCTCGAAGTTCACATCCCCAATTCTTCACAATGGAATTATTTCTCTAATAAAACTTGACTTGTACGTTTAGTCTAGTCTTCATCTAATTCTTCTTTGTAACAAGTTAGATCTCTAAATATATACAGCTGTCCCTTGGTATCCTTGGGGGATTGGTTCCAGAACCCCCTGCACATACCAAAATCTGAGGATGCTCAAGTCCTTTATATAAAATGCTGTAGTCATTTCATGTAACCTGTGCACTTCCTCTCACATACTTTAAATCATCTCTAGATTACTTACAGTACCTAACACAATGCAAAGGCTATGGAAATAGTTGTTATTCTGTATTTTAAAAATTTATATTTTTAAATTGTTTTTATTTATTTATTTGACTATTTTTCCATCTGTAGTTGGTTGAATTCACAGATGTGGAACCCTTAGATGCAACGGGCCAACTGTATTATATATATTTATATTGTATCTTTGTATGTATTGTGTGTTTTGTGTTATAGTCAAATAGCATGATCATATTATTTTTATTAACATACTGTCTCTGGTATTAGATTAGGCGCTTCTCAAGGACGAAGCTGCATCTTACTCTGTATCCAAGTTTAAGCCAGATTTTTAGACTCGCAGTAGATGATTTGAAGCACGTTGATAAGTAAAATTAGGAAGGGGCCAAGAGAGCCGTTCTGGAGCATCAATACCCTCTGATTACAGCTATTGCTGGTAGAAGGGGGTGAGAGTAAAGTGCTTTTCAAAACCTGTAAATAGGGCAGCTCAGTTTCAGATGCAGCTATCGCTCTCCAAATAATCTGGCGGTCCACCATATTCCCCAGCATCCTTTGCGATCAGATTGGTCACATAACTAGCTCTGGTCAAAGAAATGTGAGTGGGAAATCAGAGTGTCACTTCTGGCTGAGGTGCTTAAGAGCCAGTGCTGTCTCTCATCTCTGTCTTCCCCTGCTGCAGTGATCCTGCAGCCATGTGGTGCTAGGTAGATCACAGAATGAGTGGGGCATGGATGCAGACTCCCCAGAGGGAGGAGGGCCCTGCCATCTCCTGTCAGACTTTGCAAGAACATGAAATCAATCGTTTGCCAAACCACTGTGATTTTGATGTACTTGTTACATCATTATAGCCTATTCTGACAACTATATCTTCTCAAAGTAAAGCTAGTAAAATCTCACACCATGGATGTGATTAGCCACCTGAGAAAGCTGTGTAAGAATTGGTCTATCTGTAGAACTTGCAGACATCTGAATCAGATTCCAGGTGATTCAGAGAATGAGCTCATGGAGGCAGAAGTAGAATATGATTGTAAACAAAGCAACAGCAGAAATCTAATCAATTGTAAGGTAGTGTGTTTCAGAAGGGGGATATAAAAACAGAGATGAAGAGCCAGTAGTTGGTTGTTTCCTTGAGAGAGGGTGTCTCCTGGCTGGATGGGGGAACAGCATCTGAGCCCTTGAGAAGATGTAATTGTACTGTGGAGATGGACATACCAGGCTGTTTTGGCCAATAACATAACACACCCAGGTTTCATAACTTCCTGCTCTTGTTGTGAATCCATGCCTGCCTTTTAACCTTTGATAATTCTCAACTTGCCATTAGTTCAAAGGAGAGAAGGTCCTCATGTGCTATCACATGTATTAGCTGACTTAATTGATAGATCATTCTCATTGTGAATTAATTTTTCAGCAATCTGTTATTTGTACTGGCCTTTGTTGCCAGGTCACAGGTGCACCCCAGGCACTGTCACTTAACATTGCTCCATGGGGTTGTGCATTGTACAGCATATGCAAACTTTAGACGTGTCCAGGGACAGAATTGGTTGGAAAACGTTCAGCTTTGTAGATATGATCTCATGAACCTTTACATTAAGGCTGGAGGCCCCCAAACACACTCTCATGGAATTTTCTCCTTGAAAATAAATTTGACTGTTTAATGGAAAAACTTACAGATCCAACCAAAAAAACAGACTCCAGTTTTGTTCATGTAAGTGAATTTTAGGGAGGAGAGTCATGCAAACGTAGTATAACTCTGCTGTTTTCCACAAAAATCTCAAGAAAATTTTGAATCACCAACAATAGGTATATCGGCAGCTGTGCGTTTGAAGGCTACCAACAAATCCATACTCATATATAGTTATTTCTCAAGTATGGTTCATATGAGAATCACCACTTGGAGATTTTCAGTTCTCTTTTTATCTTTCTAGTTTCAGATTTGAACATACTGAGTTAGGTTCTCATATCCCAAACACCAAGTTCCAAACTAAAAACAGAACAAAAATCTTTGTTACTTTTTTAATTGTAAAAACAATATATATATATATATATATATATATATATATATATATGTTTCTAAAAGAGTAGAAATATAAAAAATAGAAAGTAGAAACCTTCCTACTTCCATCCCCCAGAAATAGCCACAGTGAATATTTTGGTGAATATCCTTCCAGATCTTCTCCCTACACATATACAGCCATATGTGTTATTATTTACACAAATGGGATAATTTTATGCATGCTGTCTTGCAGTTTGCTTTTTTTCCTTTCAGCAACATATCTTGGGCATCTTTTTCATGTCAACGCACATTTGCATTTTTTAGTGGCTGCAGAATATTACATTTTCTGTGTGTACTATAATTTATTTAGCCAATTCCCATTGGTGGATATGTGGGTTGCTCTTAATTTTTCACTTTTATAAGCAATACTGAAATGAATGTTCTTGTGTGTGTATATATATATATATATCTCCTTGGGTACTATATGGTACTACTATAGTTAAATTTCAGGTAAGAAAATATCGTTTCAAAAGATTTCCATATTTTACATTTTAATAGCTTTTACCAAAAAGTCTGTGTCAGTTTACACCCTCATCACCACCATGCTAGCATCTTGGCTGGAATTGCATTTTGATAATCTTATGTAATAGAAACCCCAGGACTAGTGTCCACTCTGCAAGGCATCATTTTTGACTTACTAAAATATAAATATTACTCCATAGAGCTCCATTTTAATTGTGGTTTCACAGGGACAAGACAGTAACCGTGTTTCCCATACTGAGTGGCGATGCCTAGGGTAGACCTGTTATCTGGCAGCTGCCTAAATGGCTGCCCAGAGGCTTTCAAAAAGTCTCATCCCCTGACTACACATACACTATGACCACTGCACATGTACAAGGAGGTTTGTCACACTGGCCGGAGTGGGAAGTGCTTTATTTTAAGCCCGCCTTTTGCAAAGAAGTCTGTGGGGTTAAAATGGAAAAAGATCCTTAACTTCCATACTTGCAGGCCCTGCATCCTTGGGTGTGTCACTAATTCTCTGAGCTGATTTCCTCATTGGGCAAATGGCGTCCTGTGAGAATTAACTGAGAAAGTATATGCAACTCCCTTCCACAATGCCTGACACGCAGTATTTGCTGCATAGAGGTTTCTGGTGTGAATTAACCCTCTTCTGACTATCTTTATCAGCTCAGCATCCTTCCCCTGTGAACAGAAGAGCTTTTGTTCAAGGACTGATACGGTTTGGCTGTGTCCCCACCAGAATCTCATTTTGAATTGTAGTTCCCATAATCCCCACATGTTGTGGGAGGGACCTGCTGGGAGGTAATTGAATCATGGGAGTGGTTAACCTCATGCTGTTCTCATGATAGTGAGTGAGTTCTCACGAGATCTAATGGTTTCTTAAGGGGCTTTTCCCCCTTTTGCTCAGCACTTGTCCTTCCTTCTGCTATGTAAGATGTGCCTGTGCTCCTCCCTTGCCTTCTGCCTTGATTGTGAGGCCTCGCCAGCCATGTGGAACTGTGAGTTCACGAAACCTTTTTTTCTTTATAAATTACCCAGTCTTGGGTATTTCTTCATAGCAGTATGAAAATGGACTAATACAGGGGCCAAACGTGACTGTGACAAACACCTCCAGTTTTAACCTGTTTCCTAGAGAAGGGTAAGTATTTAGCTGTTGGAATCTTCTATTCCTTTTGACTTGTTTGCAATATATTGGACATTAAATTATATTGTTGAACAGTATGTGTTTGTTTAGAGCAAATTTCTCTAAATATTCTAACCATATCCATTTGGTTTTGCCGTGTGCGTTGTGAAATAGGTCACATTAGTGTTTGGCCACATTACATAGACCTAGTTAATTATGTTTAAATCTACCTGTTGTTTTCAAAGGTGGCTCTGTTGACAGTGGTTCCAATGGGATTGACTTTAGCCCAGTGATACAGTGCTGGTTCTATAAGACTTTTCACACTGTGCTCATGTGAAATTGTTTCCTGGGTGAGCTGCTGTGAGATTTAAAGAATCCATCTTTCTTCTTTTGGTAGCTGCCTGGTGGTCTGGCCAGGCTCTTGCTATGCTATTGACCATTTGGCCTACTTCAGGGTGCTCCAAACTACATTGCTTACTATCTGAAAGACCCAGAAGGGTCCTGAAGAATATGTAGGAGGCAGCTGCAGAGGGACACCAGTGTCCTGAGTGTTATGTTACTCAGAATTCTCACTAAGCTGACTCTATAGAGATAAAGGCATCAGGTTTCCCAAAGGTCATTCCTAGAGAAATACCTATCACACAGAAAGCTGATGTGAAGACAAGCCCTAGACAGAAGTGAAGCATCACAACCTATTCATCATACCCTGCTTTTTTTTTTTATTATGATACTTTAAGTTCTAGGGTACATGTGCACAATGTGCAGGTTTGTTACATAGGTATACATGTGCCATGTTGGTTTGCTGCACCCATCAACTCGTCATTTACATTAGGTATTTCTCCTAGTGCTATCCCTCCCACAGCTCCCCACCCCCCAACAGGCCCCAGGGTGTGATGTTCCCCGCCCTGTGTTCATGTGTTCTCGTTGTTCAATTCCCACCTATGAGTGAGAACATGTGGCATTTGGTTTTCTGTCCTTGTGATAGTTTGCTGAGAATGATGGTTTGCAGCTTCATCCATGTCCCTGCAAAGGACATGAACTCATCCTTTTTTATGACTGCATAGTATTCCATGGTGTATATGTGCCACATTTTCTTAATCCAGTCTATCACTGATGGACATTTGAGTTGGTTCCAAGTCCTTGCTGTTGTGAATAGTGCCACAATAAACATACGTGTGCATGTGTCTTTATAGTAGCATGATTTATAATCTTTTGGGTATATACCCAGTAATGGGATGGCTGGGTCAAATGGTATTTCTAGTTCTCGATCCTTGAGGAATAGCCACACTGTCTTCCACAATGGTTGAACTAATTTACACTCCCACCAACAGTGTAAAAGCATTCCTATTTCTCCACATCCTCTCCAGCATCGGTTGTTTCCTGACTTTTTAATGATCGCCATTCTAACTGGTGTGAGATGGTATCTCATTGTGGTTTTGATTTGCATTTCTCTGATGACCAGTGATGATGAGCATTTTTTCATATGTCTGTTGACTGCATAAATGTCTTCTTTTGAGAAATGTCTGCTCATATCCTTTGTCCACTTTTTGATGGGTTTTTTTTTTTTCTTGTAAATTTGTTGAATTTCTTTGTAGATTCTGGAAATTAGCCCTTTGTCAGATAGGTAGATTGCAAAAATGTTCTCCCATTCTGTAGGTTGCCTGTTCACTCTGATGATAGTTTCTTTTGCTGTGCAGAAGCTCTTTAGTTTAATTAGATCCCATTTGTCTATTTTGGCTTTTGCTGCCATTACTTTTGGTGTTTTAGTCATGAAGTCTTTGCCCATGCAAAGGTTTTCTTCTAGGGTTTTTATGGTGTTAGGTCTAACATTTAAGTCTTTAACCCATCTTGAGTTAATTTTTGTATACTGTGTAAGGAACGGATCCAGTTTTAGCTTTCTACCTATGGCTAGCCAGTTTTCCCAGCACCATTTATTAAATAGGGAATCCTTTCCCCATTGCTTGTTTTTGTCGGGTTTGTCAAAGATCAGATGGTTGTAGATGTGTGGTGTTATTTCTGAGGCCTCTGTTCTGTTCCATTGGTCCATATATCTGTTTTGGTACCAGTACCATGCTGTTTTGGTTACTGTAGCCTTGTAGTATAGTTTGAAGTTAGTAGCATGATGCCTCCAGCTTTGTTCTTTTTGCTTAGGATTGTCTTGGCTATGCGGGCTTTTTTTGGTTCCATATGAACTTTAAAGTAGTTTTTTCCAATTCTGTGAAGAAAGTCAGTGGTAGCTTGATGGGGATAGCATTGAATCTATAAATTACCTTGGGCAGTATGGCCATTGTCTTGATATTGATTCTTCCTATCCATGAGCATGGAATGTTCTTCCATTTGTTTGTGTCCTCTTTTATTTCGTTGAGCAGTGGTTTGTAGTTCTCCTTGAAGAGGTCCTTCACATCCCTTGTAAGTTGTATTCCTAGGTATTTTATTCTTTGTAGTAATTGTGAATGGGAGTTCACTCATGATTTGGCTCTCTGTTTGTCTGTTATTGTTGTATAGGAATGCTTGTGATTTTTGCACATTGATTTTGTATCCCGAGACTTTGCTGAAGTTGCTTATCAGCTTAAGGAGATTTTGGGCTGAGACGATGGGGTTTGATGATGGGGTTTTCTAAATATACAATCATGTTATCTGGAAACAGAGACAATTTGACTTCCTCTTTTCCTAATTGAATACCCTTTATTTTTTTCTCTTGCCTGATTGCCCTGGCCAGAACTTCCAACACTATGTTGAATAGGAGTGGTGAGAGAGGGCATCCTTGTCTTATGCCAGTTTTCAAAGAGAATGCTTCCAGTTTTTGCCCATTCACTATGATATCGGCTGTCGGTTTGTCATAAGTAGCTCTTATTATTTTGAGATACATTCCATCATTACCTAGTTTATAAAGAGTTTTTAGCATGAAGGGCTGTTGAATTTTGTCAAAGGCCTTTTCTACTTCTATTGAGATAATCACGTGGTTTTTGTCATTGGTTCTGTTTATGTGATGGATTACATTTATTGATTTGCATATGTTGAAACAGCCTTGAATCCCAGGGATGAAGCCAACTTGATTGTGGTGGATAAGCTTTTTGATGTGCTACTGGATTCGGTTTACCAGTATTTTATTGAGGATTTTTGCATCGATGATCAGCAGGGATATTGGCCTAAAATTCTCTTTTTGTGTATGTCTCTACTAGGCTTTGGTATCAGGAAGATGCTAGCCTTGTAAAATGAGTTAGGGAGGATTCCCTCTTTTTCTATTGATTGAAATAGTTTCAGAAGGAATGGTACCAGCTCCTCTTTGTACCTTTGGTAGAATTTGGCTGTGAATCCGTCTGGTCCTGGACTTTTTTTTGATTGGTAGGCTATTAATTATTGCCTCAATTTCAGAGCCTGTTATTGGTCTATTCAGATATTCAACTTCTTCCTGGTTTATTCTTGGGAGGGTGTATGTGTCCAGGAATTTATCCATTTCTTCTAGATTTTCTAGTTTATTTGCATAGAGGTATTTATAGCATTCTCTGATGGTAGTTTGTATTTCTGTGGGGTCAGTAGTGATATCCCCTTTATCATTTTTTATTGTGTCTATTTGATTCTTCTCTCTTTTCTTCTTTATTAGTCTTGCTAGTGGTCTATGTATTTTGTTGATCTTTCAAAAAACCAGCTCCTGGATTTGTTGATTTTTTTAAGGGTTTTTTGTGTCCCTATCTCTTTCAGTTCTGCTCTGATCTTAGTTACTTCTTGCCTTCTGCTAGCTTTTGAATTTGTTTGCTCTTGCTTCTCTAGTTCTTTTAATTGTGATGGTAGGGTGTCGATTTTAGATCTTTCCTGCTTTCTCTTGTGGGCATTTAGTGCTATAAATTTCCCTGTATACACTGCTTTAAATGTGTCCCAGAGATTCTGGTATGTTGTGTCTTTGCTCTCATTGGTTTCAAAGAACATCTTTATTTCTGCCTTCATTTTGTTATTTACCCAGTAGTCATTCAGGAGAGGTTGTTCAGTTTCCATGTAGTTGTGTGGTTTTGAGTGAGTTTCTTAATGCTGAGTTCTAATTTGATTGCACTGTGGTCTGAAAGACAGTTTGTTGTGATTTCTGTTCTTTTGCATTTGCTGAGGAGTGTTTTACTACCAATTATGTGGTCAATTTTAGAATAAGTGTGATATGGTGCTGAGAAGAATGTATATTCTGTTGATTTGGGGTGGAGAGTTCTGTAGACGTCTATTAGGTCCACTTGGTCCAGAGCTGAGTTCAAGTCCTGGATATCCTTGTTAACCTTCTGTCTCGTTGATCTGTCTAATATTGACAGTGGGGTGTTAAAGTCTCCCATTATTATTGTGTGGGAGTCTGAGCCTCTTTGTAGGTCTCTAAGGACTTGCTTTATGAATATGGGTGTTTCCGTATTGCATACCCTGCTTTTATTTAACCACTCTCAACAGTGCGGAGGCTAGTTAATAGTATCCCTAACTTTCTGATGAGGAAATGGGAACTCACAGGATGATTAAATTGCAGGAAATTTTTAGAGCTTGGGCTTGATCCCAAAACTTGTGGCCCGGTGCCCTCTCCCATGGGGGTTGGGGGTAGGGACTGGGATGGTGGCAGCACCTGAAAGACTGTGTCACTGGGCTACAAATGCAGGAGGCCCAGACACAGCATCCACAGCACAGTGTCAGGATCCAGTTGCATGAAGCTCAGGGGGAACACGTTTTAGTGGAAACCAGATTGGAACTGGGAGAGAGGCCAGTTCAGTGGAATGGATGGCTGAAGCCAGAGGTGGAAGGGTTTCAAGGATATCAAGATGCTCAGGGCACACCTCGGAGATATCAGTAACTTCACCCATCCTGAGACATTCTAGGAGAAGCTGGAGGCTATTAGCATACTGTTTCCTCGGGGTTTGTTCAGGTACAGGCAAGGCAGAGGCTCAGGGGGAAAGACAGATCATAGTTCCAGGTTAGAGGGGCTGTGAGCAGCAGAGACTGCAGAGACTGCACGCAGGGTTCACAGTTTGCTCCATAAACTGGCCCTGCTCAAGATGCTCCTCTGCCTTCCTCGCTTCACCTCTGCACCACTGATTGAGTGCAGTGAGCAATGCCAATGGGACCAAACTGTGCCAGGCTCCATGAACGTGCTCTGAGCCCACTTCACTCAGTTCTTTCCTTTCGTGTGGCACTCAATCAGCTCATTGTTGAAATGTGCACTGTTCAAGTGGTAGACTTCTGTATCTGAGGAAATTCTGAGCTGAGATTAAGCTGCTGCATGATTTCAGCCCCCTTCAAATTTAATCTCTGCTCATAGTGCTATTTATTCTGCAAAATCATTTGTATATAGCACATTTTCCTCATTATATTCTCTATGAATCCAATTACACTAAGGCTGTTGATACAGGACCATGATCTTGGTTCATACTCATGACCAATGGATTGGTTAACTGAGAGTTTCTTTATCTCCTCTCCCCCTTCCCCAGCCCTCCAGCCTCAGATTAATATCTAGAAGCTTCTGGAAGACTGATAACAAAATGTTTTTGCAAAGAGAAAAGTTTGGTTATTTTTCTTGAGCTTTGGATAACCAAGTTTACTTATAGTCTGGCAAAGAATAACCATAGAAGGCACAGGCCTGGATGCTCAAATTCTTTCTCTTAAAAATGAATGTTTATATTGATCTGAATTAGAAGATACTGAGGGTGACGGAGTGGGATAGGCCACATAGGACCTGCTGTAAGGTAGGAGTCCTGTTCTTGTAGTAATTTAGAGAGAAGCAAAGAAAAGTGGCACATTGGAAGACAAGAGGAATCTTTTGCATATGATGCTGTGTCTTTTTCAGTCTTGTTTATCTCCTGGCCTTATTTTTATTTTTGTGGGAATTAAAGGTAGGTCATTTATACTGCAATGTATAGAGATGAATAATATTTGGGGTGCTTTTGAGTAGCATTTCTCTCTCTGAGATTTTTTGATGCATTTGGGTAAGTAAATCAAATATATTTCACTTATATAAAATTGGAACAAATTGAAAGCTAGGAGAGAAAATAAAATCAGTAAAGCCTTGGATTAATCAAGCCTCTAGATCCAACAATGAATATACAGGAAAACAAGAAACAGAGGAACGTGGTAAAAGACCATGGGACGAGGTTAGCAAAATCCAGATACGGGAAACTGGAAAGTTCTTCCTCTTTCTCCTCCTCCTTCTTTTTCTTCTTCTTCAACACCACCGCCACATGGCAAAAATGCATGAGGGAACCTGTAGTTTAAAACAATCTTAGTGATACAATAACCAATAGTAATGTATGGAACTTAGTTGTATCCCAATTCAAACAGTAAACTACATAAAAGATTATAAAGATAATTTTAGGACAATGAAGTACCAATGAACAGCCCTAATAATAGACTGTTGGCTCTAGTATCACTTCCCACTAAAAGGAACCAGTGCTCCTAGGAAATGTGGCCAATTTCAGGCATGATTTACAGTGTGCATATAGAAAATCTTGTCCTATTAGATAGCAAGGAAGGCATCAAAGACTACTAGGGTCATATTAGAAAAACTCAGAGCTAACTTGGCTAAAGATGGGGAAATCTGAGCATGAAAAAGAATTACTTCAGTGAATATAAATGGTTCAAATATGTTTAAATTTATGAGTTCATAATATTACTCTTAAAAGAAAAATGAATTGATCGCCACAGGAGGATGCCAAGGAACCAGCTTATTACTTGAAACTAATTGAGGAGAAAGAATCAAGCATCTACTCTGCCTTTCTAATATGAACTGTACCATCAGATAGCTAAGTAGAAGATGAAGAAAGTTTCTCATTATAGAAGGATTCCAACTAATAATTGAAGTGAGGAATATTACCATTTTGTAATCCCTAATGAAGTGATGGATCCAGTCATTGAACATGAATGAATAGTAATATCACAAAGCTAGTGGTAACGAAATGTTGTGCATCCCCCAGTGGAAAAATAGAAATCCTGTATGACATAGGCTTGACAAAAATACCTGAATATGATTAAGCCTCTAGCTCTAACTACCAATGTACAGGAAATACGGATGACAGAGAAACACGCTAAACTATACCACGGGGCTACAATCGCCAGAATCCAGACTGTGGGGACCTTTATAGGGCAAACAACACAGTTTCTTCAAAATGTATAGCAAGGAAAAAAGTAAGAAGTGGTAAAGGAACAATTAATATCAAAGAAAACCTAAAGGACGTCAATCAATTGCAATGTACAGATCTTTAAATTCCATTTTTAAAAAGTATCCTCATTTTTTTAAACTGTGAAAATATTTTTGACATTTATGAGTTAAGAAAATTTAAACATTGTATAAGGAATTATTACTGCGTTGCCTGTGATACTGGTACTGTAGTTATGTCAGAGTCTTTATCTTTCACGGATACATTTAAAATATTTACAGAAAGGACATAAAGTCTGGGATTTGCTTCAGAAGTGTAGAGGGATGGGGATGAGGCCAGAAAGACTAAGGGTTGATGATTGTTGGGGTCAAATGATGTACATATAAGAGATTATTGTGCTATTTTATCTACTCTGGTGTAGGTTCAAAATTCTGCATAATAAAAAGTTAAGAAAGAAAGATATGGACATGTGAATACCAACTCATGTTTAATTGTATTGAGTAGTTAATGTTATTTTTTAAGTATGTTAGTGGTAATTTGGATTTCCATATTTAAAAATATAAAATGATTTCTAAGGTTTGCTTCAAAATAATTAGTGCTGGGGGGTAAAATTGAAATAAAAGTAGCTACTATTGTATACATTTGAAAATTTCCTAAATTTAAGGTAACATACAAAAAAAAAGGCCAGGCTGCAATTGAAGAAAAAAATTAGGATTGCAGCAAAGAATAATGAATATAAAAATGCCTTATATTTATGACTAAATTGAATGAAAGCCAAGCATTTATTTTTATTATTAATATTTCTCATGCTAAAGTTTTTGGTCATTAAAAACAAAAACTTGGCCGGGCGTAGTGGCTCACGCTTGTAATCCCAGCACTTTGGGAGGCCGAGGCAGGTGGATCACCTGAGGTCAAGAGTTTGAGACCAGCCTGTCCAAGGTGGTGAAACCCTGTCTCTATTAAAAATACAAAGATTAGCCGGGCATGGTGGCACATGCCTGTAATCCCAGCTATTCAGGAGGCTGAGTCAGGAGAATTGCTTGAACCCGGGAGGCAGAAGTTGCAGTGAGCCAAGGTCATGCCTCTGCACTCCAGCTTGGGGTACAGAGTGAGACTCCATGTCAAAAAACAAACAAACAAACAAAAAACAAAACAAAAACCAAAAAACCCCCTCACAAAACCTTAACATGAATCCATTTAAGGCAAAATGAATAGAAATATGAATCTAGTGATGTTAGAGAATCTTCTTGGTAGCAATCTTAAAATAAAATAGAGAATTTCTCTGCTCCATTTTCTCCCCCATATCAATTGAAGGTATGTGATTGGCCAGATAAAAGATTGTCCAGTGTCTTTTATGTAATCTTCATCCTAAATTAGTTTCCAAGGGTAAACTCAAAGTTTATCAGAGTTAGACAAATTCATATGTAAAAAATAAGTCAAATCACATATTACAAAAGAGAAAAGATAAGCATCCATGTAGTTGAGATTTAAGATGTATTAGAACAAGATAAGAAGGATTTTTTAAATCAAAATAGTAGGAGCTAAAAAGACAACATGTCTTGATTATATAAAGTGTTAGATTTTGGACAATGAAAAATCAATATAGAGGTTGGCAGGAAGAAGAAATTTGGCAAATTCAGGGAGCCTTAACTTGTGGAGTTCAAAGGTCTTAGAAGCAGTGGGTGCTGTGGATTGCTTGCTCAAGCTCCATTTTGCTTTCCTTCTAGTTGGAGGCACTGGAAATTTAAAATTGACATATGCCAGATTCCCTGGCAGCTAGGATTCTGAATAGAATTAGGTTCTGATAATTGTGTACTCCTAGGCTTCAGATCTGGAAGGCAGAAGTGAAGTGGAAGCCATCTTTCTTTCTTTTTTCTTTTTCAATGAGATTGTCCTGCAGCAGCATTGCAGTATGCCTTCTTCAGCTTCCTGGGCATTGAGACACAGTTGCAGAGAGAGAAGCAGCTGTGGTGGCTTCCTGATTGTGGCCTCTTGATCTCTGGATCACAGCTATGGGAGAGGGTCTTGAATCCATAGCTTCAGTAGAAGCCTCAGAGTAACAGCTAACCCATTGAGACAATCTGTGTTGTTCTGGGAGTCATTGCTGTAAGGGTCATCCACAACTTGTCTTTCAGCCCTTCCAAAGACTTTGTAAGCACCCAATTCCCTGTATTAAATATCTTTCTGCTTAATATACCTGAAATAATTTTGCTTTCTGTTTAAATTTTTTCAGGCCTTCACAAATGAGAGGCTTGCTGAAATTCACATTTCTTTCCCCACACACAATCACCAATGCCACTCACATCTTCCCTGTGATCTCCGTGTCCTGTTCTTTCAATTCACATACCCTTTCTTGCCAGTGGTCCCCATATTACCAGGTATCAGCAGTCAGGAAGGGACTTAGACTTGAGAGTGGCCAGCTGGAGAGGAGATGCTAGGTTGCCCCACACTTGATTGCCTCTAGGTTCAGATACAGATGCAACTATCTTGGAACTATGCCAAATTCTCCCTCCCCACAACATCTGTTATCACAAGAATCCTAAAATGTAGAACTTTTATCCCTATTCAAGACAGGGCACCCAAAGTTCAGAGACTTTAAATACCTTGTCCAATGTCACATGGTGCCTAAGTGGCAGATTCAAGTTTGGACCCCAGTGTTATCTGATTATTGAGTGAGCTTTCGAAAATGCACAAATGGGCTGAGCGCGGTGGCTCATGCCTGTAATCCCAGTGCTTCGGGAGGCTGAGGTGGGTGGATCACCTGAAGTCAGGAATTTGAGACCAGCCTGACTAGCATAGTGAAACCCCGTCTCTACTAAAAATACAAAAATTAGCTGGGGATCGTGGCGTGTGGCTGTAGTCCCAGATACTCAGGAGCTGAGACAGGAGAATTGCTTGAACTTGGGAGACAGAGGCTGCAGTGAGCCAAGATTGCGCCACTGCACTCTAGCCTGGGAGACAAAGCGAGATTCTGTCTAAAAAAAAAAAAGAAATGCACAAATGTAGTTATTCAGTAAACATCCTCGTTTAGGTCTATAATCCTGCCAAGGACTGAGTGGGAGTTGAACAAGAAACAGAATGATTTCTTTTTTCCTGTGCTGGTGATAACAACCTCCCTGGTTTTGTGTTGGTTAGTGGGAGACAGTCGAGGAAGAGGGGATGGGAAAGACCAAAAAAGCCAGTGAACAAAAGAGATAAAGGAGAGTGGGAATGAGTTGGTGCTAGGGGTGGCAGAGCTGAGTGGCACTGGCATTTTCACGGTGCTGGCAGTGGCAGTGATGGTAGCAGTCCTGGTGCTGTTAGTGGTGGCCGTTTGTCTGCTGCTAGCACTTAAAGGTAGGTGAGCAGATATGAAGTTGCTCAAAGTGTAACATTGCTTCTCCCTAGTTGGTCATTCCTGCTCACCTCTTTTAATCTATGATGAACTTCATTCTGTAGTGAAGGTGAATGCTTCTTTCTGCCCCAGCAAACCCCAGACAGCTCAGCCAGGCTGCAAGTCTTGGCGGGGACACAGACACCTGTCTTTTCCCTGTGAGTTAAGTCACACTCTGGCTACAGACTCATATCTCCTGAGTTTTGTTCTGGGACTGTGCCGATGAGTACTGGCCCACCTCAGCTTGACAATAAGTCTGGGATCTAGAAGACCTGGTTTGAGATTCTAGTTCCACAGCTTTCTTCTGTCTGGGTGATTCTGGCCAAGTTCCTTAACCTTGATATGCCTCATCTCTTTTAGAGATGTTTCTTCATCTCTAAAACAAGGGGAAATAATGCTACCTCACATGGGAGGAATGTGGATAATTGAGCTAACTATCTAAAACATGGCAGGTGCTTAAAATATGGTATCTATGCTATTAGCTATAAACACTCAACATGGAGTCAATGCATCCTCCTACTTGGGGAAGCTGATGAGAAAACAGGTGAGAATCAAAGTGTATTTTTTAATTGATCAGAACAGATTTTCCACAAAGAAACTCCGTTTTAAACTCGTGTAAATAGTCCTGTTTCTTATAAATGAAGTGTTGATTTTTGAGACGGCAAGGGCAAGATGTGCTCTCAACCACTTACCATCTGGTGTAAAACAAAACAAACTACAACCAAACAATTGGTGTTGGCCTGGGTGACTCTGATCTGAGGTGTCTGCCCACAGCCTGATCAAGGCCTGGATGAACACTTCAAAAATCCATAGATTCAACGTGACTTCCTCTTAAGAGGAGCCCGTCAACCTAATGAGTCATGTTAAAATAATTCCCGATTGTAAAAATGCTCATAAACGTTATTCTAAATAGCTCATGTGCCATTAGATTTAGTGGTGTCACTGAAATTTTATTCTGTTCTTCCTTTTATCATAAATATTTGTGTTTATTTTAACATAATTTATACAGAATCAAGGCTTAAATTATGTTTTTAAAGGAGATGGGGGAACAATTGATCAATCTGTGGATCGCCCCATTTCTATTTACAGACCGTCTCACAAAGTTTCTAGATCTAGAACTCCATGAGAACAAAAATATGAAAATATCTACATGATTAGAAGTAAAAAACAACATATTTAAGTGAGACATTTTATTATAAAATGCTCGACACCAGTAAATATTCAAAAGGAGCTAATCAGTAAATATTAGCTCCTTTTGAATATTTACTGGTGTCTTGTCTTTCTCTTTTTCTTTTTTTTGAGACAGGGTCTCACTCTGTCCTCTAGGCTGGAGCGCAGTGGCGCAGTCACGGCTCACTGCATCCTCTGCCTCCTGGGCTCAAGTGGTCCTCCCTGTTCAGCCTCCCAAGTAGCTGGGACCACAAGCATGTGCCAACACACCCAGCTAATTTTTGCATTTTTTTTTTCCAGGGAGACGGGGTTTTACCATGTTGCTCAGCCTAGTATTGAAATCCTGGACTCAAGCAATCTGACCACCTACGCCTCCCAAACTGCTGGGATTACAGGTGTGAGCCACCATGCCCAGCTAATTACTGGTGTCTTAATTTGATGATTCTAACTCATACTATGTTCAGAAAGTGTGTTTTCTTCACTTTCCAAAGGATCCTTAATATTTCCTTTCTTTCCATCCGTTGGCTATTGAGACCATACTAGCTGTGGATAACCCAAATATGATATACCCTCATGGGGTAGCAGTTGTGTGAAGTTGGGAAGACTGGAGTAAAATGGAATGTTCTAGTACTCTAAGGAAAGGAGATATTACCTTTTACCAGTGTACGAGTCATGTTTTAAATGTTTGCGTTGAGGTTAGAAGTCAGGTCATCTCTTTGTGTACTCTTTACTCTTCACTAGTAATTTGTTAATTCAGTCATCAAGCTTCTAGGTAGTAGCCAGACAACCTTAGCTGTCTCCTGTCCCCATCTATAAAATGGTTATCATGCCCACCCTACTGTCAAAGTATAAATATTTACTGGAAGCTCATTTTAGAAATAAATACAAAAAAAAAAAAAAAAGACATGGGCCCTACCTTCATAGAATTGATTGTCTTGCCTTAGAGATGAAAGTGAGAAATAAATAATATTGTGAAAAAAGTTTTTGTTCCCTGAGAATTAGATACAGATCCAGGGGCAATGTAGCTGCTACTTTTGTCACTGCATTGCTTGCTAATCATGTTCCCTGGATAGACTTGTCCTTTCCCTTCCATGGCCCAGATCTCCTGCAGCTGCATGTTGGGTTTGAGAGGACAACCTTTCCAGACAAAGATCATTCTTTGTTATGGGTACACACATGGCTGGGTCCCCCAAAAGAAATTTCTAATAAGCCCTAAGGGTCCAGTTGTAGCATAATGAGAAGTGAAATAGAATCATACTCCGAAAGTTGAGCTTTCAGTCTTGAGTTGTATTTAGTGATTGTTTCTGAAAGGCCTTCTGCTCTTCAAGCTCCGGCACGCTTTGGGCTTCTCTTTAGTCACATGAGGGTTATAGCCCCCAATGAGAAAACTTGGCTACTGATAAGATGCTTACGATTTTTTTTTTCCAGGTAGTCCAGGCGGGTCAGGAAGCAGGAGTGGAGGATGTCTTCTTGACCTATGAGATAAGAAAAACAAACCCATCTGACGCAGGAATGGCATTTGTTCCAATGCCTAATTTTAGAAGCAGAGTGTAAGGAGATGAGTTGAAGCATACATGAGTAATACCAATAAAAAGTTGAGATGGAATGTTCTTGTTCTCAACTTGAATGCTGGGCTGTGGAACCAAAGTGCACAGGATTTTGCAAACAAATAACTGTCCATAGATTATCGTTTTCTACTGGAGGGTCTGAGAGAGTCTAGCTGGCTCCCTGTGAACAAGGAAACAAACTTGGTAGGAATTGAAGGATGAAAAGTAATTTTCCTACATGAATAATCCAGGAAACAACAAGGAAAGGGAAGTAGAGAATCCCAGATGGATGACTCCCTTGATTAGATTTTTGTGGTGCTCTGTAATCAGGGACTCTGAAAAGATGTCTCAACTTTTGAAGGGAATGGGAAGACTAAAGACTGTCTAGGTGAGGGATGTCAGATTTGTGGTGTAAATGCCACCCTCCTTCTTCCTGTGCCATGGCAGACATCACCAATCAATCATGGCACTTTTTTCTCCTAAACTTCTCAATACTGGATTTTAAGATCTACAAAATCGCAAAGATCACCTCCCTCTGTGTGAAATCTTCCTTTGCCCTATTGGTTGGAATAAATTAGAATCATGAGAAAAGTGACTGATATTAATCAAAGGATTTCATTCTACCTTTCTTCTAATTTATTGCAACAGTCCTGAAGCCTCTTAAAGAGAAGTTTATTTTGGTGATTTCATTCTATTTCAGAGACTGGTCTTCTGATTTTTATTTTTTTTGCATGTTGAGACTAAGGTTGATTTTCAAAGACAGATTCACACTAATCAAGCTTTAAGAAACTGATGTATAGATGAAAACACCACTATATTAATTACTCAGTGAGTATTATATTTGCATTAGTTTGATCTGGACATCATCTTTCTGTGAAGTAAAATTATAATTTGGAAGTTGTTTGGGAGTTGTGGAAACAGAACTAAACAAATCAGTTGCATGAATTCATTAATATATTTATTGTTCCGATCATTCCACATTGAAGGCAAACTGTGTCCTCTCATAAAGCTTACATGGTAATAAAGGAAACAGATGATAAACAAATAAACAACGAATACACGTGGTAATTTCAAATGGCATTTAGTGGTGTAAGGAGTGTAGAACAGGTATCATGATAGTGAATTAGACGTTTAATAGTTTTGCACTTTATTAGCTGACTGACCTTTCTATAATTCATATATTCCCCATCCCTAGAAGCTGAATAACTGAGGCTTTCATCCTGGATGTGCCTTCTCTTGAACAGAGATTTATTGAGGACTGCCAAGCACACCTGTGTGTGTGTCCATTGCTTACAGCTGCTCTTTGGATTGATCAACATGTCCCATACCGGGGAGTGGCATAGAAAAGTGGTTGAGAGCATGAGCTCTGAAGTTTACAGATCCTGGGTGTGCCACTTTTATTCATTCAACAAATGTTCACTGAGCATGTACTATGCACCAGGCAGCGTACTAGTGCTGGAGACAGGCGGTGAACAACAGTCTTTTTCCCCACAAAGCCTCCTTTCTAGTTTGGAGAGACAGAGAGGGAGCAAATCAATATAAATGTCATTGGTGGTAGGCATTAGGAAGAATGAAGCAGTATAAAGAAATAGGGTAGGGAGTAACCCAGGCAGGGTGCTACTTTGGGAAGAGTGGTTTAAGCACAGCCTGGCCTAGGAGGTGACAGAAGAGACCTGAGTGAAATGAAGGTGCAAGCCAAGAGGATCTTGAGAGAAGAACATTCCAGGCAGATGGACAGGCAAGTGCAGAAAGCCTCAGCTGGGAACATGCTTGGCGTGTCTGTGGGTCAGCCAGGTTTTCCTGGACTGCAGTGGAGTGGGAGAGGGTGACCCAGTAGGAAATGGAGTTTGAGAGGGAGACAGAAGCCAGATCATGTAGCATCCTATTGGCTATAGTGAGGACTTTATATTTCAAATCAATTGGGAAGTCATTGGAGGGTTTTGACTTGAGAAGTGTCACGGTCTTTGCTACATTTTTAAAGGAGTCACTCTGGCTCCTAGGTGAAAAATAGACTGCAAGGGCCAAGAGTGGAAACAACATGGCCAGTAAGGAGGCGGATGCAGCAAGAAACGAAGTCAGGATGGGAGACAAAACTGACTTGGGCCAGGGTGATATTGGTGGAGGTAGGGGAGTGGTGATTCTGCTTGTTACTTGAAGGTAGTGCCCAAATGTGATTGTAGTTAATACCGTGACTTTCTTGTAACATGGTGGTGGCCATGTGTTTTCTCTCACAGCCTCCCCCTGTGGCCTCTTCACTCCCATCCAGGTCGATGCCAACCCAGCTGCCTCTCATCACTTCCACTTGTATTCACAGAGGCATGGGGAACTTCTGGGCCCTGACCTGCAGTCCACCAGCCATGGAGACCCAGGCCATGTCCTCCAATGATCCATCTCGTCGCATCCCATGCCTCCTGGGCACCACTGTTCCTGCTTCATGTTGCAAATGGCAGACTGCCCTGGAAGGTCCCAGCAGCATGCGCTCAGCCGATGGTTTGGGCTCCCCATACCTAACCCAGTGCCTGTAAAGCCCCTGAGACCCCCTTTGAGAGATGTGGGACTTAGGGGGTGGGGATCACATTCCTTGTCCCCAAATTTCTCCCTCTCTCTTTGTCTTCCTTCTTCTCTCCATTCATCAGGAGAATGGGTGAGATGTCTCTCAGGTAGAACTCCGGGAGCAGGTTTGCCAGACTTGCCTTCTGAAATGTTAAAGAAAGGTAGAAAGAGGGATTGAGGAAACCCCTTTCTCTCCTAACAAAGCCTTTCTGCAGGTTTGATAATCCTATTGTAGATGCTCACGTTGAACCTGTACCTTTCTCTTGGTGTTTACTTTCACATCCTAGTACTCCGCCCCCAACACCCCTCCACTCACTAGGAAGAAGGACATTTACAGAGAAGTGCAAAAAACAAAAGCACATAACATACAACATAATTGAACATCATCACTTTCACCAGTTAGGGTAATGTTCACCGTACACGGAGTTGCCTCTGTTGGAGGTGGCTCCAGGGCGGGAAGGGCTCCATTCCTCTGCACGGCGCCAGGCCTATCCCTTTCCCTGATTGTTTGGCTGAGGAAAGTTTGGAAAATCTCCAGAAAACAATTGTTAAAACTAATCTGAAACAGGCTGTAAGTGGCATGGGAGAAGTGCGAGGTGTGGACACGGGCAACCCTGCCATGAGATGGAGGTCTCTGAATGTCGAAAGCGAGTGATCTGCAGATGTACAGTGCCCACGGGGCAGTCAGCCTTTAAGGGCAGTGTGGGAACATGCAAAGAACAGGACCCCAGGCTCCCGTTGCAACCAGGTCAGTCCCTGTTTTCAGCACCACTGGGGCGGCCTCATGGGGAAAGAGGGTACAACGGGGCTGGAAGTGAGTTTAATGGGGCTGCGATTCGGAAGCTGAGGGTTTTAGTCCAGCAACTGCTTAGTTGTTCCCGTACAACTTCATGTTGTTAAACTACAAGGTTCAGTCCTTGATCAGTTAAATAGGAACAATGCTGTAAAACCTCTGTCCAATCTACTTCACAAGCCTCCTGGCAATGCACATAAAAGGGCTGCATACATTCCTAAGCTGGGACCAGGAAGGGTGGGAGGCAGACGTTATCCTGAAGACAGACAGAGAGCTAGTCGTCTACATTTTACCATGTCACCTGCCTGGGAACCCTCCGCACTTGCCTGGGCCTAGGGTCCAATGGGCTTCCTGTCTCTGACCAGAGGTCGGGAAACAGCTCTGTGCGGGAGTTGGCCGATCTGCTGAGTGGGGTCGTCCTGGGGTTGATATTTGTTCTTAGCAACAGGCATTTCAAATGCACAATGCATGATTGTAGCCCTTGGAATGCAGCATTTTTGAGCAGCGAAGTACAGGTTGCCAACTGTAAAATATCACCATGTTCACACTGGTTCTAAAGACAAGCGGAGAGAAGGGAATAATTCTATATTAAGACAAACCTTGCAATCTACCCTCCAGAGCCTTCTGGAAGAAATTAGGATCATTTTAAAAAGGGCTGCATTAACACAGTGGGGCATTCATTCCTTTTATTTTATTCCTTACATATTCACAATTGGAAAATTTTTATCATTCTGGAGTTATTAAGTAGTATGGGGGAAGGATTACTTATTTTTGCATGTATTTTTGAAGGAGGCTTTCCTTATTTCTTTTCATGTTAAAAAATTTACCCTTTCTGAAGCCTTTTTTTTTTTTTTTTTTTTTGGCGTATGTGTGTTTCGCAAAACTTGGCACGAGCATGAGAGGCTGACCTTTAACTTGAGGAGGAGGAGGAAGTGCAGTGAGGGGCAGCTGCGGAGGGCGTGGAGGAGGCAGGATGACTCAGTGTCTCTGTAACGCCCTCCTCTCCCCTCTCGGCCCTGGGCCAAGTGTGTCCAACCAGTGCTGCATCAGAGAAAGAAATCCTGCAGAAGTGACCGCTGTGGTAATGACAGCATAAATAGTTCCTCTTTTGAAGTTTTAATGCTCCTGAAGCTGTGGGAGAAACAGTCAGCTTTCAGATTCCTCCCTCGACTACTGGCAAACCGTGAAGAACTGTGTTTTCTCTCCAAGACACACCAGAGTGGTTATAAGGGCAAAGAATGATTGGACTTTAGAAGCCGAAAAAGGACTAGAGGCAGACAAATGGACAGCATTTCAGGGTGGCCCTGGGTTCACAGTGACCTTGAACCTTCACCTAAGTTTTTGGCAGCTGAGTCTCCATAAGAGGGGACAACTGCATTTACTATCGGAGAACTGCAGTTTCTCTCTCTGGCTGAGTAGAGTTGGTCTCTGTCTATGGGGCATCCTGTGGTCATCTCTCTCTGCAATGCAGGAAGCTCTGTCTGCCTGCCCCCTTTCCTACCTAACTGAAATTGAGGGGTAATTGCCTCCTGCACCCATATTTTCGAAATCTCAACTCACATACACACCATCTTTTGCTCTTGACTTCATAACAGCAATAGTAGAATGTCATTATCTTTGTCAGCAATGGCAAAATCAGCAAAATGAGCACTTACTGTGTATAAGCCTGGTCAAAGATAACAGACGCAGAGAGAGAGAGAGAGAGAGAGAGAGAGAGATTCCTTCAAGGGTCTTACAAGGTATTTGAGGATGAGACCATTATTCTTTCCCCAGCACGACACTAAAACTCTTCTCAACAAAGTTGTAAGTGACCTGCTAATTGCCAATCCCAGCAAACACTTCCCAATACCTTCCTGAAATGGTTGACGTGACCTCATTATTTGAACACCCTTCCCTGAATGGCCAAGACAGCACCCTGCCTTGGCTCTCCTGCTACCTTCTCACACCACACCCTGAGGTCAATTCTTCCTCCATCTGTCCCATAAATGTAGCTGCTGTTTCTCAGGGTTCCACCTTTGGTCTTCTTGTCAGTCCTCAATTTTCTTTTTTCTTAGTTACTTTGCCTAATCCTGGAGGATGTGAATTTACATTTTAACACATTTCCTAGAGGTACTGATATAAATCCCAAGCAGTTTTGAGACTCTCTGGACTTCTTCATCCTTCTAGTTCTTAGCATCTGCATCTATAAAATGGGGATGATAATGGTACTTGTTTCATTGGACTGTTGTTAGGATTCTATGTAAAGCACTTAGAAGAGTGCCTGGCACATAGGCAGTTTTACATAAATATCTGTTGTTAAGTTTGGGCAAAGGCCTAATAGAAAATAAGTTTTTGAAGGAAAGTTGGGGCCTTTTGCAGAGACAGATGGTTCTTTCCCCAAATCTAGTCTCTCCTTCTTCCAGAATCCCCCTGTGGCACCCAGTATCCCTGGCCTCTCCATGCTACAACAGTGGCTATGTTTTTCTTCAGTTCAATATAGCTAGAATTGTGCAGGAAAATTCCTCAAAGTATTTCTCTATTTCATGGTTACCTGCCTCTCTTGGAAAGGTGGGAGAGTGTGAGAAAGGAGGGAGAAGAAAAACTCATATTTACAGAATACCCACTGTGTATTTAGTAGCAAATATTTATTGAGCACCTCTAGTTGTCAGGCCTTTTACACTTCATGTCATTCTTCCAAGAACCTTATGGGGAGGGTATCCTCCTGCTCATATTGTCAGCAAGCACTCTGGTAGGTGCTTATTTATTCCCGCATATGCATTGGAAAGCAGGTTATTTTTTAAGGCTTTACGATGGGTGGTTCTTTCTCAGCATTGTGTGCATTTGATTCACAGTTGGCCGACAGATAATGAAATTCTCCAATGCTCTGATGTAAGTCCTGGAATTATGACTGCGTGTGGGGTTGGACATTGTCTCGAGTTCAGCACCAAATGATGTTTACCTGCTTGTGGATGCAGTAAAGTCTGCCTCCAGTCACAGGCCCCAGTTCTTTCTATACCTGGATCTTGATGTAGAAATATAGAACTTGGAATACTGGCTCAAACTGACATCCATTCTTCATTCATTCATTCATTCATTCATTCAACAAAAACGTAATACGCTCTTGTTTGGCTAAACATTGGAATTGCAGAATCGAAAATCCTTTGCCCCTGCCCTGAAGGAGCTCACATGTTGCATAGCATTCCCAGGATCAGAAGATAGGTCCTGGCTGGTCATGGTGGCTCATGCCTGTAATCCCAGCACTTTGGGAGGCCAAGACCGGTGAATCTTCTGAGGCCAGGGGTTTGAGAGCAGCCTAGGCAACATGGTGAAACAAAAATACAAAAGTTACAAAATACAGAATTAGTCTGGCATGGTGTTGTGTGCCTGTAGTTAGCCGGGCACGGTGGTGTGTGCCTGTAGTCCCAGCTACTTGGGAGGCTGAGGTGGGAGGATCAACTTAGCCCAGGGAGGTGGAGGCTGTAGTGAGTCATGACTGCACCACTGCATTCCAACCTGGGTGACAGGGTGAGACGCTGTCTCAAAAAAAAAAAGGTAGGTCCTCCTCAGCCAGGTCAAAATCAGTTATCAAATACCTGGAACTTTGTTGTGTAACCCGTGGCTTCTGTGCAATTTTGCTTTGTGGTTGTTATTACAAAATTTCCTTCTTTTGCTTTGTATGACATCGGTGCCCTTGAGGAATAAGAGGCTTGAGAGCTGGAACTGTGTCCCCACCAACTGGTGCAGTGTCTGCCACATAACATATTCAATGGCTGCTTGTTGAATTGATGGGTGAGATACAAAGACTATTCATTAATATTAGTATTCATCCTCTGTAGATGCCAAACATGAAGCCCAAAGACATTGACTTGACAGTATATTTGGAATATGCTAGGATTTAGATTTTCTGATTTCTAGAAGTTAATTCTTTATAAAATTATTTATTTATTTAATTTTTGACCTCAGGTGTACAGGGTTGAATTCAACATACTTTTTGGGTCATGAGTCACCAAAATTATCATGCTGTGCATGGCCTGTCTGTTGGTTACATTTTATTTATTTTTTATTTCCTTATTTACTATTCTCTGTCCGCTGACACCCACTCTAATTCATTGTATGAGTCCTTAGATATGTATATTTTTGGAGGCTGTACAGTGTTTGGACTGTGTATGTGTAGTGCTTAATTTCCAAGCATTTTTGGTGCTTAATTTCCAAGCATTCACAGATTTTCTAATTCCTTTCTGTCATTGATTAAAGAATAGACACTGTAAGATTTCAGCCTTTTGAAATATTCCCAGGGCATGGACTAGGATCTATTTTGGTAAGTTTTTCAAGCAAATTTCAAAAGACTGCGTATTATTTAATTTTGGGGTGTAGTAACTAGTGTATCTCAGTTAGGTTAAGTTATTTAATTGTGTGGTTCATATATTTTATATCTTTATTGACTTTATGTCTGCTTTGAGAAATATATTAAATATATTAATGTATTAAAATCCCCCACAAAGATTATGCATTTTTACTTTTTTTAGTTTTGTCTTTTTGTTTTATATGTTTTGAGTCTATGATGTTAAGTGCTTAGAAATTTAAAATTGCTGTATCTTCTTGGTAGAAGCTTTTACACTTATGAAGTGTCTCTATTTCTAGAAGTGCTTCTTGCCTTAAAGTCTACACTATCTAATATTAGTATAGCTACATCAGCTTTCTTTGGGTTAGGATTTGTATGATATATCTTTGTCATCCTTTTACCTTCAACATTTCTATTTCTTTATATTTAAGGTGGGTCTTTTGTCAGCAGTATATAGTTGAGTTTGGCTTGATTTCTCAGTCTTTCAAATGGAGTGTTTAATTGGTTTGCATTTAATGTCATTACAGGTATATTTCAGTTCATCTCTACTAAAAATACAAAAATTAGCCGGGTACGGTGGCGGGCACCTGTAGTCCCATTTACTCAGGAGGCTGAGGCATGAGAGTTGCTTGAACCCAGGAGGCGGAGGTTGCAGTGAGCCAAGAAAATTTCTGCAAACATATTAAGCATAGTTATTTTAAATTCAATGACGGACAACTCCATTGTCTGAATTTCTTCTAGTTATTTCTTTTTTCCCACTTCTTGGCTTCCTAATAAGTATTTTCTTCTCATTTGCCTGGTTATTTAAAGGTGTGTTTGTGTGTGTGTGCTAAAATAGACAAAACAAAATTTGTCGTCTTAACCATTTATGTGTACAATTCGGTGGCATTACTTACATTCAAAATGTTGTGCAACCATCATCAAAACTTTTTCATCACCCAACCAGAAATTCTGCCCCTGTTGAGCAATTACCCTCTGTTCTTGCTTTCCCTTGGCCCCAGGTAACCTCTAATATACTTTCTGTCTCTATGTATTGGCTTATTGTAGATATTTCATATAAGTGGGATCATACAATATTTGTTCTTTTCTGTCTGGCCTATTTCACTTGGAGTAATGTTTACAAGGTTCATCCATGTTGTAGCATGTATCAGAACTTCATATCTTTTTATGATTAAATAATACTCCATTGTATGTGTATATCACATTTTGTTTATCTATTCATCTGCTGATGGATACCTTGGTTGTTTCCACCTTTGGGCTACCGTGAATAATGTTGCCTTGAACACTGGTGTTCATATATTTGTTTGAATTCCTATTTTCAGTTTTTTGGGTTATATATTTAAGAGGTGAATTGCTGGGCCGCATGATAATTCTACATTTTTTTTTTTTTTTAGGAATTGCCAACTGTTTTTTGCAATGTCTACACAGTTTTACATTCCCACCAGCAATGTAGGAGGGTTCCAATTTCTTCACATTATTGTCCACATGTTATTTTCTCTCTCTTTCTGTGTGTGTGTGTGTGTGTGTTTGTGTGTGTTTTCAATTATAGCCATCCTAGTAGGTATTAAGTGGTATCTCATTGTGGTTATGATTTGCATTTCCTTAATGACTGATGGTGTTAAGGATCTTTTCACGTGCTTACTGGCTATTTGTATATCTTCTTTGGAGAGATGTCTACTCAAGTCTTTTTTTTTTTTTTTTTTATAATGGGTTGTCTATTAGTTGTTGAGTTATAGGAGTTCTTTATATATTCTAGATATTAGACCTTTTAAATATGTGATTTGTAAATATTTTCTCCCATCTGTGGGTTGTCTTTTCATTCTGTTGATAGTGTCCTTTGATGAATAGAAGTTTTAAATTTTCATCAAATCCAGTTTGTCATTTTTTTTCTTTTGTTACCTGTGCTTTTAGTGCTATATTTAAGAAATCACTGCCAAATCCAAGGCCATGAAAATTTGTCCCTATGTTTTTTTTTCTAAGAGTTTTATAGTTTTAGCTCTTATGTTTAGGTGTTTGGTCCATTTTCAGTTAATGTTTGTATATGGTGTAAGGGAAGGATCCAGCTTTATTCTTTTGCATGTGGATATCCAGTTTTTGCAGTAGCATTTTTTGAAGAATCTGTTCTTTCCCCATTGGATGATCAAAAATAAGTTGACCATAGATGTGGGAGTTTATTTCTAGGATCTCATTTCTACTCCATTGGTCTACATGTCTATCCTTATGCTAGTACCAAATTGTTTGGATTACTGTAGCTATGTCAATCAAGTTTTTATATTGAGAAGTATGAGTTCTTCAACTTTGTTCTTCTTTTTCAACATACTTTTAGCTAATTGGGGTCCCTTGAAATTCCATATGAATTTTAGGATGAGTTTTTCTATTTTTGCAAAAAATGCCATTGGGATTTTGATAATTAATTATTATTGGTTAGTTTTTTATATATTGGACCACCCTTCCATTCCTGGGATAAATCCCATTTAGTCATTGTGTATAATTCTTTGAACACGCTGCTGAACTCAGCTTGCTAGTACAGTAACTTCTCAACATCATCAACACATCCTTGGAAACTGTGACTTTAAGCAAAATGACCTAAAACAAAAACAGGTGTTTTTTTTTTTTTTCATTAAAATTAACATACAATGAAGTTGAACAGGAAGCATTATTGAAGGACTTGCTGTATGTCATTTTGCTTAAAAGTCACAGTTTCCAATAACTTACCCATGACCTTAAGTGAAGACTCTCTTTAATTCGTTGAGGACTTTTGTATTTGTATTCATAAAGGATTATTGGTCTGTAGTTTTCTTTTCTTGTAGTGTCTTTGACTTTGGTATTAGAGTAATGCTGGCCTTATATACAATGACTTAGGGAGTGTTCTTCCTCTTCAAGCTTTTGGAATAGATCGAAAAAGACTGCTGTTAATTCTTTTAAAAATGTTCAGTAGAATTCACCAGTAAGCCTTCTGGTGTGGAACATTTTTTTTGTTGTTGGAAAATTTTTTGATTATTGATTCAATTTCTTGTTATGGGTCTGCTGAGATTTTCTATGCTCTTGAGTTAGTTTAGGTAATATGTGTGTTTCAAATAATTTGCCCATTTCTTCTAGGTCAGGGGTCCCAACCCCTGGGCCATGGACCAATACTGGACTATCGCCTGTTAGGAATTGGGCCACACAGCAGGAAGTGAGTGGTGGGAGAGCGGGTAAAGTTTCATCGGTATTTACAGCTGCTCCCATCTCTTGCCTTACTGCCTGAGCTCCGCCTCCTGTCAGATCAGTGGCAGCATTAGATTAGGAGTGTGAACCCTATTGTGAACTGCGCATGCCAGGGATCTAGGTTGGGCACTCCTTATGAGAATCTAATGCCTGATGATCTGTCACTGTCTCCCATCATCCCCAGATGAGACCATCTAGTTGCAGGAAAACAAGCTCAGGGCTCCCACTTGTTCTACATTATGGTGAATTGTATAACTATTTCATTATATATTACAATGTAGTCATAATAGAAATGAAGTACACAATAAATGTAATGCCCTTGAATCATCCTGAAACCACCCCCCAACCCTGGTTCATGGAAAAATTGTCTTCCATGGTGCCAAAAAGGTTGGGGGCCACTGTGCTAGGTTATCTAATTTTCTGGCATAAATTATTCATGATATTCAAAGAACATAGTGTGTATGACTTTAGGAAATTTATTGAGGTTCCTTTGTGAGATTGTACATGGCAGATTTTGGTGAATATTTCATGATTGTTTTAAAAGAATGTTTTCTTTCTTTCATGCAGAACTGTATATACCTAACACTTGAGCTTAACAACTATTTATATTTCTCTACTTTTATTTGTCTCTTTGCTCCATCAGTTCCTGAAAGGGGCTTATTAAAATCTAACCACAGTTGTTTTATTGCATTTTCTTCAGACTTGGTTTATGTTTTGAGACCACGTTGTTAAGTACATATACATTCATTTTATCTTCATATTCTTCTTGAGTGTTTTACCAATTTTTAATATTCCTCTGGTTATTATTATGTTTTTTTACAAAACTTTGTGTGACAATTAATTATGTTGGCTTATTTTTGGTTCAGATTTTTCTGATTAACTTTATTACATTTTTAATGATTATTAAAAGGGTGCCCTGCAAATGCATAATGCTATATAAATAAAAAAAATCTAAAAAAAATCTAATCTGATTGGTGAGTTCAACTCATTTACATTTGTACAATTCCTGTTATATTCTTTATTTTTTATAGAGATGGAGTCTCCCTATGTTGCCCAGGCTGGTCTCAAACTCCTAGCCTCAAGCAATCCTCCTGCCTCAGCCTCCAAAGGCCTATAGGGGCTTCTTTTCTTTTAGGTTCTTTTTCTGTGTCCATGATATCTGCTCCCTCTGGCATACATTGTTAAATGAGCTGTTGTTCTTATTTAATGACTCATTTTTCCTCCTGAATCATATTGCCTTGGAACTGTATTAGGGATCCTTTCTCTGTTTGTACCTTTTCCGTAACAGGGTGACTTTGCTCCTCAGAGACCTTCTTAAGTCTGTTTTGGGCTGCTCCAATGTGTCCCTTCATTTCCAGCAGGCACTGGGCTGGGCTGGCATTGCTGCATTTAGACGATGGGCAGATACTTATCTTCCCAGGTTCATGTTGGGGAAAGAAAAGGGCAGAGACTGACAGCTCTCCATGGCTCTATGCTCATCGATGGCCTTGCCCTCCTCCAGCCTAGGATGCCTTGTCTGCATAGCAACCTAGCCACCTTCTGTGTTCTCGGGTGAGTCTCACAGCAGTAACACTGGGTTTTGGGGTTCACCACATTTCTTTTTGCTCCCGGAGTATCTCAGAATTTGGTTCAGGGGAAGAAGCAGCAAAGTGCATTAATTCATCATCTCATTGGGGCTTTTTCAACTACTCTCCTGATTTGATGCACTGACTGACTGGATGGAGTTGCTGATGGATGTACAGATTTCTTGCTCTATACCCGGCCAAAAAGTTTTGGTTGTGAGTGGGAATTTCAAATTTTCTTATTCTGAGTGGGAAAATGACACTACCAACTCAGTCTCACAAATAAAAGTAAATGTAAAAGCTGGATAATGTGGCAGACCCACAACAACCCTGTTAGAGCAAAGAGATTCCATCTGTGGAAGATGGAGGAAGGAAAGGCATCTTGTTTTGTGCCTGCCTCTGTCAGCGCTACTTGGGCGCTGACCTGGTACCCTACATCACTGAGTGCTTCTCTTCAGACTTGCATACCTCCCTCAGCCCATGGATGGCATTTTCTTTCTTTCTTTCTCTTTCTTTCTTTCTTTCTTCCTTTCTTTCTTTCTTTCTTTCTTTCTTTCTTTCTTTCTTTCTTTCTTTCTTTCTTTCTTTCTTTCTTTCTCTCTTTCTTTCTTTCTCTCTCTTTCTTTCTTTCTCTTTTCTTTTCTTTCTTTTTCTTTCTTTCTCTCTTTCTTTTTCTTTCTTCCTTTCCTTTCCTTTCCTTTCCTTTCCTTTCCTTTCCTTTCCTTTCCTTTCCTTTCCTTTCCTTTCCTTTCCCTTCCCTTCCCTTCCCTTCCCTTCTCCTTCCTTCCTTCCTTCCTTCCTTCCTTCCTTCCTTCCTTCCTTCCTTCCTTCCTTCCTTTCTTTCCCTGTACCGGTTTGCATATGTGTATATTTTTTATTTTTTTATTTTAGTTTAAGTTCTGGGATACATGTGCAGAATGTGCAGGTTTGTTGCATAGGTATACATATGCATAGGTATACATGTTGCACCCATCAACCCGTCATCTAGGTTTTAAGCCCTGCATGCATTAGGTATTTGTCCTAATTCTCTCCCTCCCCTTGCCCCTCACCCCCCAATAGGCCCCCGTGTGTGATGTTCCCCTCCCTGTGTCTATGTATTCTCATTATTCAACTCCCACTTATAAGTAAGAACATGTGGTGTTTGGTTTTCTGTTCCTGTGTTAGTTTGCTGAGAATGATGGTTTCCAGCTTCATCCATGTCCCTGCAAAGGACATGAACTCATTCTTTTTTATGGCTGCATAGTATTCCATGGTGTATATGTGCCACACTTTCTTTATCCAGTCTATCATTGATGGGAATTTGGGTTGGTTCCAAGTCTTTGCTATTGTAAATACTGCTGCAATAAACATATGTGTGCATGTGTCTTTACAGTAGAATGATTTATAATCCTTTGGCATTTTCAATGGTCTAGGATGCTGCTGCCACCCCCTTAATTGGTGTCACCCTGAATGCCAGAGGCTGCCTTTGATTTGGACATCAGGCATGCCTAACGTGTAAATATGAGCACACTGCATGGTTCATTACCAGGAAGTTCCTCTTGGATAGGGAGCCTGTGGAAAATCCTTATGCTTGCTCTCTGAGACAAAGTATTTCTCTTAGAGACTGGCCAGCTTTTCGTGTAGGCAGTGCTGGCCGGAGTGAGACTGTTTCTTTGTAGATGAAAACTCCAGGCTGTGCTCTTTATATCCATGCAATATCCAGGTGGGTCCAGATGCAGGCAGGGGCCTGGCCAGGTACCCAGAGGAATTCCCACTCTCTCAGATTTAATGGTGCATAAGAAATGGGAACAGAAATTTTAAAACTCGAATTAAGCGCTGTAACTGGTGAGCACTGTGTAGCTGCGAGTTATGCAGAGTTGGGAGTGAAGTGGTTTAGAGAGGGTATTTCACTTGCCTCTCATATGGCATATTTTCAAATCTCTAACAGTAACAATGACTAACCTTTGTAAGAATTTTGTACCAGGCAAAGTGTTAAGAGTATATCTGGATTATTTCCTTAAGACACACAAAAATCATGAGATAGTCATAGTTATTAATCCCATTAGATGAATGCCAAATCTGAGAATTGGAGAGACTGACTTGTCCCGTGTCACACAGAAAGTAAGTGGCAAAGCTGCTTTGACTCAATGAGGAGTCATGTGCTTACCAACTAGCTGTATTGCTGCTTAGCACCCAGATCCTCCGTTTGAAGGTGCACTGTCCATTATGGGTTAATCAACGTTTATCGTGGGACGACTTGCTCCTGTATTGTTTTTGAGTTGCTTATTTAATAGGCCTTTATTAGCACAAGCATCTGGTCTAGAAGAGTAAGTGTTAAAAAGGAAGCAAAGGTGATGGAGAGGCAGAGACATTCTAACAGGTTTCCTTTCTTCTGCTGCCATTATTGGCCTTTTGCTCCTGGGCTTCTATTTCATTTTTCCTTGGCAACAAGCTGGGATACACCAGCAAAGACGAACACAGCCAAAGTGCAGCTGCTCCGGGGCCGTGGGTAAGATGGCCAGACCTCTACTGCCAGTGGTGACAATAAAGCCACACGTGATCCTTAAAAATTCAGTTGCTGATTTAGCTTCTCTGGGCTCCCCAGTGTGAATGAAGATGGAAAGTTTCACTTACGTTTTCCTTTGCCATTTCACTATTTTCCTCCTTTGTGTTTGGTGATCCTGAGCTGGTGTTTTGGATCTGCTTTATTTGTTCATGCTACTTTTTTCTGAGGTGGAGAAAGTAGAGGGTTTTAAGCCAGGCACCCTTTCCATTTATCTTTAGCCCAGGCATGTTTACAGAGAAATGGAATCATGTACTTCTTATTTATATTACATTTACCCATGTGGAATCCCTTGGATATTTTGAGGAAGTCAGCAAAACCATGCCATGCATTTTCTCTTTGAACCATAAGTTGTATTTAGCCAAACTAGATAAAACAATGGCCAAGGGTGGGAGTAAGTGGAGATATTGTGAGATTTTATCCTGCAAAGCTGATCCTAAGCCTACTAAAGCAACTCCTCCTGGCTCCTGGGGCTTATCTGGGAATATTAGAAGGACACTCATTTCAGGGTAATGCATACCTCAAACATGGGAATGAGGAACAGAGGAAAAGAAATAAATAAACCCACCTATTTCACCTACTAAGATATGGAACTTGGAAAAACATTGGCCGTGGCTTACAGTGAAGTTAGAATGGATTTTTTTTTCTGCATTCATTCTGAAAAACATACCTGCACAGCCTTCTTTTATGACTTGAGGACTACTTTTCAAGTAATCCAGGGGAAAGAGAGACCTCAATGATGTGATGTCATCTTGATTCTCCTTTCAATGAAAATCTCAACTTTTGTTAATGAATTAGGTTCCAACCTGTCAAAACACTGAAAATACTACAGACATTGTCAAAATGGTGACATCTAGACCTGGTACAGGTGTGAAGTTGGGTGAAGTGTCTGTTCATAACTTTTTTCCTGATACATTTTCAAGTCAAAAGCACCATTTGGGTAACAGGGAAAGGACTGAGGCCCACTAAGCAGTTTTCTCTAAGTTGTGGGCCTCCCAGTCGTGCCGGCTGAGACTCTGCTACAGGCCGAGGTTGGTTGATTGTCTTGGCAGCTAACAAAAGCCGAAGTAGGTGTCTCAGTGGGAGTGGAGCACAGCCATTGTCTCCAGGGGCTGTGTGTGCAACGGATGCGAATAGAAGCAGGTTTCAGTGAAAGCCTTATGACTGAGCTTTTTGCTTTTATTATTTGGTTTCCATGGTAAGTCTTTTCAAAAGACTTGGATAACAGTGTCTTTATATACACAGGAGAGTAATACGATGAAGGATGCTGTACATCAGCAAGGGCTCGGGAGTTTACAAAGTATGCTGTGCGCAAGGCCTCATTTGGTCCCCACAAAGGTGCTATGGAACAGGAAAGGATTATCATTGCTGTTTTGCAGAGGAGAAAATTGAGGCCCCCAGAGGCTAAAGGGCTTATTTCAGGCAATACAGTGAGAATGTTCTGCCTCGGGTGTTGTCAGGCAACCCCATGGTGGTTTTCAGAGGATGCTCTGCAGAGGCCAGGTTGAAGGGTACCATCTCAGGCTCAGTGGCTGCCCTCTCCCTTGCAACCCCACTTAATTAGATGAGTTCCCAGTGGGAGCGGTAACCACAGAGGGCATTGAGAAATGTGTGGGGCTTTTTAGTTTCAGTCACTTGAGGTGGCGGAGGGGGGACCACCAATGTTGGGGATGGGGCCCAGGAATACGAAATATTTTGTGCAACAGGACTGTTCCACAAAATAAATTCTTTCTGGAATTTTCAATAGCATCCCTGTTGAGCAACACAGAAGAGCATGTTTTTTTCTTCTTTTTAAAAATACATATTAAGTTTATAATATGATTATATTTGAGATAAGCAAGGTTTTCCCTGTAAAAGTGGACATTTGAAAATGACTGGACTACCTGTTTTTTGAGATACCTTCCAGCTCAAAACTCTGGACTATTCTTTGCATCCTTGTTTCTGGCTTTCCCCAGAGGTACCACAGAGAGGGGCTCCGACCTTTTCTCTCTGGCCTAAAATTCCAAGGTGGAGCCCTACCAACCTGTCATCAAACTGGCAGGTAGCTTGGGCTCCATGCATGGGCACTGGACCTTGCCAGTTTGAACCACCCAGGCTGGTGATCCTTAGAAACTTTGCTGCAAATTCTGCAATTCAGCCGACAATCAGGCTAAGGATGCAGGAACTGGCACCGGCTGTCCTCACTCCCCTGCTGGGAAGACCTGATACTCACAAATTCCTCCATCTACTTGAAAGCTGCTTTTCTGTGCAGCCTGGGATTTTTCAACAGAAAGTGTTAAAGTTGGGGGTGGCAGGGAAGAGGGTGTTGCACACACATGAACCTGTCTGTCACAGCCACGCACTGGTGAGAGCTGAGATGTGACAGTTTATTTGCAAACCTGGTGAGTGGTGCTGGCAACATCTCGTTCCTTCTCCAAGTGTCTGACCGGCAGGGCTTCCTTAAATGTGCTGCCGGCTGCCTCCCTGCAGGAACTGGGAGCTGCTGGAGGAGCCTGCCATTCTTTCACCAACTCTTACCTATACTTCATGACAGAAAGAGGCACCATTGTAGGTCAGGATAGAAACAGAAAGCACTTCAGTGCTGCCATCATAATGCTGACAGAGACGGTTCTCATCAAGCACGTCACACACCTCACAGCCATTCTCTGCTCCTCACAGGGGGCCTCTGAAGGGAATCTGTTTCCACTCCACAGATGAGAAAATTGACCCTTGGAACGACTCTGTAAACTGTTTAAGATCCCACAGCTTCTAGGCGATACGGCCAGGCTCCTACCCACATGTGTCTGGGCTGAAGAACATCTTCATGGCCGTTGGCTACCTTGCCTCTGAAGCTGAGGCTGCTGGCTGACTGTATCATCTGAGGGTTGATTTCTGGCCATTTATTTCAGGTCTCCTTGATCTTGTGTGAAGACTCCTAGGGTTATGAGTGGGCTAGCAGCCCAGGCTCCACAGGCTTCTTGCTCCCTGTCACATCCTGTCATCTAGCCTGGTGACTGGCACAGAGGAGGTCCTTAGCCACCCTGCTGAATGAACACACCGGACGTCTAGGCTCCCCTCACATATCTGTGCAGCGCCAATAACCACATCCTGTTGTAAACTCTGCCGCCTCGCTCAGACAGAGCAGCTTCTAGAGTGTCAAGGAGGAGGACGGTGGCCATGGGCCACGATGGCATGTGCGTGACTGCAGCAGAGAGGACGGGGCACACAGAGGACAGTGGCTGGAGGAGTCGGGTGCATGTCAGGTCATGTTTCACAAATGCAGTGGTCCTGCATTGCCTGCCCCTGCTCCTCTCGCACTCAGGGCTGGGAGGAGGGTGAAGCAAATGAGGCACTGGCTCCAGGCACAAAATATAAGGGGGCTTCTCCATTCTCAAGATGGACACTGTGCTGGGCCATAGCAGAGCCTGAGGCAAAAGGGAGAATCACTGATCCTATCATTATCTAAAATATTGATGTTTAATCATGATTTTTTTGTATTAAATATGATCTTTAAAAATATTGCATTAAAATATTATTCATCTTGATTACTGAGCTTTTTGCTGCCCTTAATTTTTTTTTTCTTTTTTTGAGGCAGAGTCTCATTCTGTCACCCATGCTGGAGTGCAGTGGCATGATCTTGGCTCACTGCAACCTCCGCCTCCAGGGTTCAAGCAATTCTCCTGCCTCAGCCTTCCTAGTAGCTAGGTTTACAGGCATGTGCCACCATGCCCAGCTAATTTTTTGTATTTTTAGTAGAGACAGGGTTTCGCCATGTTGGCCAGGCTGGTCTTGAACCCCTGACCTCAGGTAATCCGCCCACCTCGGCCTCCCAAAGTGTTGGGATTACAAGCGTGAGCCATGGCGCCCAGCCTGCCCCTTAATTTTGTACCCACGGCAAATGTCTGCTCTGCCTGACCTCATGTCTCTCTGCCCCTGCCTCCCTCCTCCAGCCAGAATGTCCACTGCCCTTGTGTTTGAAGCCTGCCAGCTACCTGTTAGCCTCAGGGCCTTTGCACAAGCCACACTCGTTTCCTGGCCCTCTCTTTCTCATATTTATGTGGCCCCTTCTCAAATCTCCTTTAAGTCTTGGTTGGTTGGCTGCTTTTTTTTCTGTCCTCTGTAGTGTAAATACCATGATATAGTTTGGCTCTGTGTCCCCACCCAAATCTCATCTCGAATTGTTATCCCCATGTGTTGAGGAAGGGAGATGACTAGATCATGGAGGCGGTTTCCTCTTGCTGTTCTCCTGATAGTTACTGAGTTCTTATGAGATCTGATGGTTTTATAAGAGGCTCTTCCCCCTGGGCTCACACTCGCACCTGCTGCTTTGTGAAGAAGGTGCATGCTTCCCCTTCCACCATGATTGTAAGTTTCCTGAGGCCTCCCCAGTCATATGGAACTGAGTCAATTAAACCTCCTTTGTTTATAAATCACCCAGTCTCGGGTAGTGTCTTTATAGCAACATGAAAACAGACTAATACATAACAGGGAGGCAGGTGTTTGCATCTGTGATGTACATTGTCCTGGCCGGGTATGTGGTAGATCCTCAGCAAATATTTGGTGTATGAAAGAATAAATAAATATGAGAAATAGGTATAACTATTAAGGAGCTTAAACCACAATTAGAAGTTTTAATTTGAGGGATCATAGTCATTGTCCCTCAATGACTATGATCCCTTTTAATTGGGGTCATAGACATTGAGGGACAATGACTATGATCCCTCAAATTAAAAGGGATAGACTTTGAAAAAAGAAATAATAATATGCAGCTACTATTTACATGTGCAGGTGCTATGCTAAGTACCTTTTATGGATGTATTATCTTATTGAATCTTCACAGCAACCCTATTCTCCCACATTTTTCAGGTAGACAAAGTGAGACTGAGAGAAGTTAAGGAACATGCCCAAGGATCAGGGTCTTGGATTTAAACATAGATCTGTCTGAGCTTTAACAAGGATCCTTGATGTTTGCAGAATGTGTGGGGTAAAAAAGAGATCGAAGGTTGGTGGAACACAAAAGAAGTAGTGTGTGACATGAGGGAGGAGAGAGGCAAGGTGTCAAAACAATTTTCCATCACTGGTTGCATTCCTCCAGTGTCTCACTGCGTCTACCTATCCACAGGGTACAAGTCCAGGAAGGATTAGATGGGCTTATTGCCAACCAGCGGAAGGCAGGTCAGAACTAGGTTAAGAGTGGCTGGTAGACAAGTCATTAACTCAGCCAGACTGAACTCTGTTGAAAAAAATGGGTTCAGGACTTTTTTATAAATGAGATTGTAATCCGATTAGCAATGGTCATCTTTCATAATAATGAGCCCCCAGTATATATTTATGAGTTGAGCTCATTAACCAGGTCCATGCCAGCGGCTCTCAAATGTGTTGGGGTAGGAGAATCTTTTTAGAGCTCTTTGAGGGACAATGGCATTGTCGAATAGAAAGAGTAAGCCAGGAACACCTTGGTTAGCATTTTGATTCTACAAATTACTTAATCTTTCTGAGCCTATTTCTTCAGGGATATGTTGATGATAATCCCTTTCTCACCTGGTGCTGTGCAGATTAAATGAGATGATTTTCACAAAGCACCTAGCTTTATACCCGACACACAGGAGGTGTACCCTGGATGTTTGTGTCCTTTACTTTTTTTTGGTCTTTTTCTTGTTTTTCTTTGCAGGCTGGTCAGAGGGAAAGGACAAAAGGGGTGAGAGCAAGAGTTGAGAGTGGGTGACCTTCTAGGGAACACTGGCTAATAGGGTTAGAGATGCCCCTCAAGTATTGTTGCTTGGTTACACAAGCACAGATTTAAAAATCATACCTGATAATGAAATGATATTTAAAGAACACTGTTTCTCTAAGGAGTTCAAACCAGTTATACACACATGATCTTATCGACCCTGGTGGAATCCCTGGGCAGGTACCGTCATCTCCATTTTCAAAAGGGGAAGGAGACCTGGGAAGGACTAGAGACATACCTGGTCGCTATGCTCCCTCTGTTCCCTGCTCGGCACTGTTTTGTGAGCCCACATAGCAATCAGGGCCTGGCCAGAAATAAGTGATGCCTTCAGCATGCCTGCATGCCAAGTCCCCATAATCTTAAGCACCTTAATAAAGCAGTGGTTTCTTATGGGGAAAGTACAGCTTTCCAGGAAAGTTTTCTTGAAATGAATTACTGGAACAGCAACTTCATCTTGTTAGAATTAACGTGCTCTAGTAGAGCCCATGAGGGGATTTGCTTCATTCCAGAGTTCCAAGAGGACAAGTTGAGACACGCCTACTTAGTGTTGATGGTTTCTGACTAATTCACGGAATCAAAAAACTATTGTTTTTCTTTCCTGCTCCTTTTGCTTTTCCTTCTCCTTCTCTTCTCCCTCTTTTTCCTCCTTCTCCTCTTCCTCTTTCTTCTCCTCCTCCTTCCCTTCCATCCCTTCTCCTCCTCTTCCTTCCCCTTCTGTTTTTTTCCTCCTCTCCCTCTTCTTCTTTTCCTTCTCTTTTCTCTCCTCCTTCTGCTATTTTATTTTTATTTCTTTGGCAGGCTGTTGGCCCAGGGCCATTAAAATGGACAACTCTTTAGAATGAGATTGGTTAAGATGAAGAACTGCAGGCATAAAGTTAGGGCACGACCTTGGAAAAAGCTAAAGTAGAACTGAATTAGACTCCAAGTCCTCTAGGACTAAGAGACGACAACTTGTTAATTGTTTCAAAGTTGATCCTGATTCTGGAATGAGGCAGAGATCATCTGGGGGCTGCAGTGTATCTTTTACTCATCTGTTAGATGAACAAAGAAGGTGACCTTTGGTCCTCCCTTCGGGAGGTAGGGCCCAAAGACTCAAAGCTGCTGAGATGTGTTTGACTTGATTGTAACAGCCCATGTTCATAAAAAAGGAAAAAAAGGAAGGAACAGACAGACCCAAGGGTGGTTGCCAGTCTGTAATCTCTCTTGAAACCATCTCATCTGTTGAGCCACCATTGCTGAAGCCACATAAAAGTACTTCAATTTTAATCCAAATGTTCAGCAAGCAGTTAAATAGCCACCATATCATAGAGTTTTATATTCATTCATTCAACAGGCATTTATATACCAGGCACTGGAAGAGATGTAAGTCATATAAAGATGGGAGGCCAGGTGCAGTGGCTCACGCCTGTAATCCCAGCACTTTGGGAGGCCAAGGCAGGATCACGAGGTCAAGAGCTTGAGACCATCCTGGCCAACACGGTGAAACCCCATCTGTACTAAAAAATAACAAAAAAATTAGCACGGCATGGTGGTGCGCACCTGTAGTCCCAGCTACTTGGGAGGCTGAAGCAGGAGGATCACTTGAACCCGGGAGGCAGAGGTTGCAGTGAGCTGAGATTGTGCCACTGCACTCCAGCCTGGCAACAGAGAGAGACTCCGTCTAAAAAACACATACATACACACACACACACACACACACACACACACACAAAACTAAACAACAACAACAACAACAACAAAACAAGATGGGAGGGGTCGGAGAGAGCACTTTCACTGATTTTCTTTGATTTACTCATCACAACAGTCTAATGAGGCTGAATGGATAATGCTCCCATTTTATAGGAGGTGAACAAAGTTCAGAGAGATGACTAAAATTTGCTCAGAGTATTAGGAGAGTATAGTATAGGCAGGGATCAAATTCATATCTTCTGAAAACAAATGATAAAAACTAATATCATTGAACACTTACAGTGTGCAAATGCACTGACTTAGGTGCTTTACATGTACAGTATCACATCTAATTCTTACAGCAATCCTACGAAGTAGTTGCTATTTTTATGCTACCCAGCTTAGAGATGAGCAAACAGAGGCACAGAAAAGTTAATGTTTGTTGAACACATGCTCCCTTAGGCAGAGGGAGAGTGGAGCCAGCATCACACTCAGCCAGCATAGCTAAGCCGGCTGGTGCTGTCAGCTACTGAGGGGATTGAACTACCCTCTGTGAGTGGGGTGTGAGTTTCGTTTTCTTTTTGTGGGGAGCGTATGAGCCCTGATTTGTTTGCAATCTCTCAATTCCAGCATGCATTCAGCAAACATTTATGTTCCAGGCACACTTTCCGCTTGTCCTCAGAGGCGTTCCTTTTTCGGCTGTGATCATTGTGTAGCCTGGGTGACAGGGATGACATTGTGGGGTGGGGGATCGGCTTCTGGATGACTTAGAGCTTTTTTGTGGGAGTTCTAGAAGGCGCTAGTGGTGGTCACAGTGACCCCCACTGCTGTCGCTGCACCCCTAACGTTTTTCTAGGCACTTACTCTGTGTTGGGCACTGTGATAAGCAGCTGGAAAGCGTTAACTCATTTAATCCGTACAACCTCCTTATTAGGTAACTACTGATATTATGCCCGTTTTACAGAGGAGAGTCTGAGGTGTCTCTCCTCAGGGACTAAGCTACTGACACAGTCACTCAGCAAATAAATAGCAAAACTAGAGCATCTGGCAAGACAAAGGCCTTCCCTTCCCCACCTCTCGGGCAGGCTGGTTGGTCTGGCCTTCCTGGTCTCACAGGAGCATAGCTCTGCAGGCTGCAGCCCTCTCCTGGAAGCACAGCCCAGTGGGCTCTCCTGTGGGACTCCCTGCTTGGCCTAGAGCCCTGCCTGTTCATGACGACCCCCGGCAAGGGCTGTCCGGTGGTTTGGCGAAGGCCTCCCTGGAAGAGTCACAGTCTAGGGGCTGCTCTTGGGCCTTCTGCCTGATTCCCTCAGGGAGACACATGTGCTGGCTGGGGCAGGAGAGGGCAGGCACAAGTATGTTAATCTCCAAGTGAGTAACTCGATTTACTTGTAACTACATAAGTGGACCGTTTTTCTGGTTTTATTCACTCAAAAAAAAAAAAAAAAAAAAAAAAAAAAAAAAAAAAAAAGGCATAACTTGCCCGGCACAGTGGCTCACACCTGTAATCCCAGCACTTTGGGAGGCCGAGGTGGGTGGATCACCTGAGGTCGGCAGTTCGAGACCACCCTGATCAGCATGGAGAAACGTCGTCTCTACTAAAAATAAAAAATTAGCCAGGTGTGGTGGCACATTCCTGTAATCTCAGCTACTCAGGAGGCTGAGGCAGGAGAATCGCTTGAACCCGGGAGGCGGAGGTTGCAGTGAGCCGAGATCGCTCCATTGCCCTCCAGCCTGGACGACAAGAGCGAAACTCTGTCTCAACAACAACAACAACAACAACAACAACATAACTCAGGGGCTGTTGGTAGAAAAGGCAGGGAGAGAGGCAGAGTGCTCATTCACCTAAAGTTAAATGGAGCAGACGCTTTAATGTTTTAAATGTGCTAGACCCTAGGCTGTGAGGTTGCTGCGTCACCCTGACTGATGGTCTGCAGAGGAGGGTTTCGGTTTCTCCCAGGCCTAACAGGCGTAGGCGAGGCGGGGAGAGCGGCAGGCAGTCGCTGCGGCCCTGGGTCAGGTGGGAGGGTTGGGCTAAGGCCTCCCAGCCCAGGGCGGGCTGCTCGGAGACAACCTGGTCAACTCAGGGCTCAGAACTGATGGGCGGATCCTACTTCACCTGGACTCCTCCAGTGCTCCCACCCCAAAACGCTGCCTGGCCTCTGCCACCCACAGAACCAAAAAGGACAGGAGGAAACGGGGCTGGGCCTGAGAACTGGGGTGCTGGACTCGGAGGCAGTTGCGAGGACGGACAGAGCAGGCGGACCGCTCCTGTGTCCTAGCTAAGGCTGAGGTCCAGGGCTGGGCCGAGACAGCCTTGGTCTGAGGCCCCAGGGGAGGGTTGGTTGCATGAGCAAACCTCTCAGAATGGGACAGCGGCAAAGTCCCCGTTCCTCATTTGGTGGGGCAAGAGCTGGCAGGACACATTCTCCCTGGGAAGGGGAGCGGAAGGATCTGGGGCAGAGGTGGTGGCTGGTGCCAAGTCTGTGGGACGGAAGCTGCGCTGAGGGGACGAGAAGGGGAGGAGCCACTCCAGGCCTGGCCACCGACAGTCCCAGATGTGGAAGGTCATCCACTGGACTTTTCTAGCCTTTGTTTGTGAAGAACTGGACAGCTTGTCACTGGGGGCACATCACTGGAGCATGTGACACAACTCAGGAAACAGGGAAGTTCAACAAGATTAGGTTTCCAAAATCCAGGCAGCCTGAGCTTTGGATAATGGATTTAGGTCCGGGCGTGGGGGTCACGCCTGTAAATCCCAGCACTTTGGGACACCGAGGCGGGCAGATCACGAGGTCAGGAGTTCAAGACCAGCCTGGCCAACATGGCGAAACCCGTCTCTACTAAAAATACAAAAAATGAGCCGGGCGTGGTGGCGCAGGCCTGTAATTCCAGCTACTCGGGAGGTTGAGGCAGGAGAATCGCTTGAACCCGGGAGGCGGAGGTTGCAGTGAGCAGAGACCACGACACTGCACTCTATCCTGGGCAATAGAGTGAAACTCAGTCTCAAAAAAAAAGAATCATTTAAAACACTTGAAGCTGCACACTGGGGTTTTCTCATTAGCTAATCCTTCACTTATTCCCAAGTTATAGATTAATAGGTATAGATCATCATATCAATAGACACAGAGATAGGTATTTGTATTATTTTTCTGATTATAAAAATAATACGTATTTTAGAAAATTAGAAAGATATACAAAGTCACAGAGGGGAAAATTTACAATCACCCATAAATTTAGAGATAACCACTAGAAAGATTTTTGGTATTTAGCCTTCTGGGATGAACTTTATGCATTTGTGCAAATACATATAAATACATGAACACATATTTATACATTATTTTTACAAAAGGAATTGTACAATACAAACTTCACTTAATATATTTTGAACATTGCTGGTAAGTTTTTATTTTATATAATTATATTTAAATAGCTGCTTAGTAGTCCATTGGATGGATGGATGGACCGTAATTTTTAAAATTAATTCACTATTGTGGGACACAGATTGTCTCCACTTTTTCACTAGTAGAAACAAGCCTGAACTGTACATCTTTATAGAAAACCTCTCCACATTCTGTTTTATAACGGGTGCAAAGTTAGTTGTGGGGGGGTCTTTGAATTTCTGAATCATATGTTGGAAGAATTATGATTTGCATGTGGGAGCTTTGCTGCCTGCAGCAGTCAGGGCTGGGATCTTGGAGCCAGTAGAGTGGCATGGAGACTTCACAAATTAACCAAAATTTTATTTGGATTTAATAAAACAATGTCCAGAAGAGAAAGTGTCAGGCCCCGACTGGAGAACTGTGCAAAGGTCTGATGATAAGTGTAACAGGGGAATTGGCAAATGGGAGTTTGTCGAGAGAAGGACACAGGGTGGTGGAGGGTTCTTCAAGGGAGCCCTCAAAGCAGTTTCAAGTTTGTAGGCAGAGGGGTGCCCTTTTGGCCACAAAATGTGTGGATTTGAGTTTTTTCAGTCATAATGGACCACAGCGTTGAAGACGGAATGCCAGCAACTGATTCAGTTGAAGCCCTGCAGCTTTCTGTAAAAGAAATCTAGAGGGCAAGTGTGATGACCCCATGTTCATCACAGGCCAAGGCTTTGTCTTGTCCATCATCCTTAGTGCCTGGCTTCCATCTCGATGATTACCTCATGGTCGTATGTGACAGCTGGACTCCAGACATCCCTAGTCATCACATCTTTGTCTCAGGCAGCGCTGGTATTCATGCAGAATGCATAGGTTTGGCCAATTAGTTGTTTTAACTTCAATATATTTCTGAACAGCTGGGCAAAGAGCCACTGCCTCTTGGCATGCCTGGTCATCTCCAAGATCCAGCAACTAAAGAGTTAACACAAGCTACAGCAGGACCCTCCAAGATTGCTCAGCCCTAAGGCTGATGTCCATTGGAATGGTTGAACCTGATCAAAATCACCCCCATATCCAGCTAGGGAGACAGGAGGGGCAAGCAAAAGGCTCACTTCCCAGGGGAGTCGGTCTCCTTTGCGGAGCCTTTCCCAGAGACCCCCATCAGCTTTCGTTTAAGGTTCTTTGACTGCCACACTTGCAGTGCAAGCTGGGAAATGTAGTTCCGTGCTAAAAAGGTGTCCTATATTTCCAACCACTTAAGGTTCTTTCTCTAAGGAAGCAGAGGTGTTGAGCAGGCAATCATTGTCCCCTACTCCGGTAGCTACAGTGGAAGAGGCTCAACTTCTCACAATTTAGTGTGAATAACATCTCAAATTAAGTCAGCAACATATTGGGGGAAGATCCTCATTATAGTTGCTGACCGTGTGTGTGTGTGGTTTGGGAAAGAGAAGGGTGGATGGAGGGGCAGGGGTTATACAGTTGGGATGTTGGATCTCCAGAAAGAAAAGAAAGAACAGATTCCTATTTCTGGTTGTCAGGGAAAAACATGACACTTTCCTCTGCTGAGACCAACTGCCTTAAGAAAACCCCTCCTTTAAATAAAAACAAACCTCTGTTTAAAACAAAAATAAATAAATAAAACAAAAACAAAACCTTCCCCCAAAGCTGGTAGAAGTTTGAATTGGAAGGCAATTTGGCAGTATTCAGTGAAACAAAAAATTCACACACCATTTGACCCAGCAAATCCACTTCCTGGAATCTACCCTAAGAAATATTCATTTGCCTGTGTGAAGATGTGTGCACAAAGACGTTGATTGTAGTGCCGTTTTAAAAGGGGGAAAATTAGAAACCACATGAATATCTATCAATAGGGGATTTGTTGAACCAAATTAGGATATATCCATTCTGAAGAATTAAAAGAACGAAGCAGGCTTATTTTATCATCAGAGGAAAAAATCTACAAAATACAGTTGAAGGAAAATAAGCAAATTGAATAACAATTGGAATGCAAATTTAGTATATTACTGTAAAAAAGTGTATACATATATATGCCAGTATATAAAAGGGAACTAGGAGGGGACCTCACATTGTTGACAGTGGGAGGGGAGTAGGGGCAAATGTTGAAGGAACTTAGAAACTTTGTTCTATATACTGCTTAACTCTTTCAATCAGAATGTATTCATGAATTATTTATGCAATTAAAAAACTCATGTTGACAAACTGTAGAGTCTGTTGGAGCAGGCAGCTGGAGAGACACATCGGGAGTGGCAGGTAAAAGACTTGCATTTTCAGCACAGCATAAAAATAATGTAATACTAAAATGAATGTCAGTAAGCCCATGATAATAATATAAATAACACAGCAAACTTATGTAGTTCTTGTTATGAAGATGGACAGTTCTAGACACACTACATACATTCATTTATTTAATCTTCATGATAACTCAATGGGATTAGTGTTATTATTAAATATTATTATTTCTCTTTGACGAATTAAGAAACCAAGGCATGGGGAGGTGAAGTAAGTTGCCTGTGTTAGGCTGGTTTTGCATTGCTATAAAGAAATACCTGAGAGCGAGTAATGTATAAAGAAAAGAGGTTTAATTGGCTCATGGTTCTGCAGGCTGTACAGGAAGCATAGTGCTGGCATCTGCTAGGCTTCTGGGAAGGTCTCAGGAAGCTTCCAATCATGGCAGAGGCAGAAGGGGAGCAGGCACATCACCTGGCCAGAGCAGGAGCAAGAGAGACAGGGTGGGAAGGAAGTGCCACACACATTTAAATGACCAGATTGCAGGGGAACTCACTATCACGAAGCTAACACCAGGCCGTGAGGGATCCACCCCCGTGATCCAAACACCTCCCACCAGGCCCCCCCGCCGCCTAGCATTGGGAATTCCAGGTTGATAGGAGATTTGAATGGGGACAAATATCCAAACTATATCATTGCCTAAGGTCACACTGCTGCTATGAGGCAGAGTAGGGAATCTAACCCAGGTGTTCTGCCTGTGGGGCTCATGCTCTTAACCCCATGCAACGCAGCCTGTGTGCATTTGTGGCATTGCCTGTCATTTGCAGAGCGAATTCACATACATCATCACATTTGTTTTCTCAGAGGGGTTACTGTCTGCCCCTCTGTGCCAAGCACAAGGCTAGCTGCCTTACAGTTCAGCTCGTTCACGCTGAACTGTTCACCCCTTGTGACTCATTCCCTCCTCCGTGCCCACTGACGACTGTTCGTTACTCTTCATGGTCTCCGTGATACAGATGAAGAAACAGGCTCAGAGAGTTTGCAGTATTTTCTCAGATTCTCATGGCTGACATCTCAATTTGGGTTTCCCCCAGAGCAGATGAACAAGGATTTAATTGCAGGTAGCTTATTTGGGAGGGAATGGGAATGTCAGCGTTAGCCCAGGATGGGAGGAAAGCCAGTATGTGTGTTGAGGACAGTTATACTGTGGGACCTGGGCTTTGTCCTGCTGAGGACCTGCTGAGACAATGCAGAACAGACCACTGAGGGACGAGGGGTGTGGGGTCTTCATTGCTGCACGAGGGTCTCTCTCCAATACTTCCAATTTGTCCTGGGGGAGGACCAGATGCTTTTCCGGGGCCAAAGAGAAACCCAGGCAGAGGTGCAGGAAGCTGCTAGCTTGTCCTGGGACTGCCGGCAGCAGGTTGCAGGGATGTAGATGGCCATTAAAGTTGATAAATGGAGCAGAATCAAGATTTGAACTCAAGACCCTCTTGCCTCGTCATCCACCGACCCATCTGAGGAGTGCAGAGCATGGCTCTGGAAACAGAGTCCAAGAGGGAGTTCCCTGGCTGCTTTCCTAGTCTGAATCCTTTTGAGAAGGGGAGGATTAACTGAGGGGAAGAGGAAACCTTGAATAAACTGCTTTGCAGCAGCCACCACGGCCCCTGGCTCTTTTTCTAATTCCTTATACTTGCCTTTAGGCTTGCTTGTTCCTTTAGGTCTTTACTGCATCATTCCAGAGAGACCTTCTGTGCCATACGCTACAGTTCCACCCCCTCTTATGCCGCTTAGCACTCACCATTGCCCAACATAGGAGCTGTTTTATGTCTTCCTCTTGATTCTCACTGTTTCCTGCTTTGGAGCATAAGCTGGACAGAGGTAAGACGTGTTCGTTGCTCTATCCCCAGCACCTAGCACGTGCCTGCCATGTGGAGGGCTTCCAATAAGCATTTGCTGGTGGAATGATGAAGAAGGAAGGGGTCCTGGGGAGGGGGTAAGGATCTCTGTGGAGAGCCGTGTGGTGGGGGATAGTAGAGACAGGGGGTAAAAGGAGTGAAAGGGAGCCTCTCCAAACAAATCTGATCTTAATCTATTTTTATTGAAAGCCTGTGGTCCTCAGACCCTCCTTCTACTCTGGCCCTGCCTTCCTGGCCGGGAGAGCAGCCTTGCTGGCCTGGGTGGAGGATGGCATGGGTTTGGGGTTTGGGGTTTGGGAGGCCTGGAGTTGCCTCTCTTGTGTGCAGAAAGGGAGGGATGACAGTTGCCAGCTGCAATGCCCAAGAGCAGGGAGCAGGTGCCTTGGCAGCTGGGCCTTGACACAGGCAGCAGAAGCTTCCTGCTGGAGCCACAGCTTGGCCTCGCAGCCCAGGAAAGGCTGGATAAAAAGTGAGGTCTGTGTTGCTCTGCGGGTGGGCTGCAGGTTGTTCAGTCAGGTGGGAGTTTAATTGGCATTTCCTGCTCCTATGCAGCCCTTGGCTCTCTGGGGCCATGGTCTAGCCTCTGACCCCCCACACACCCTGAGACAGGAGCATCCTTTCCCATGGGGACCCTAAGATCCTCTATAGCTTCAGATCACCACATGCTTCCTTGCCGCAGCCTTCTCTCATTGCCTACCCTGGTCCCTGGGAGTCCTGTTCCCTTAAAAACTCACCAATAGCTGCTTTTTGTTGAGCAGCTTCCAAGGTGCCAGACCCTGTGCTAAGGGATTCCTGCCTATCTCCTCCCTTCACCCTCAAACTCCCTGTGAGACTGATACTGTTATGTTTCCCATTTTGCAGATGGATACGAATGATTGCAATCATTTATTGAGGGCTTTCCACGTGCCAGGGGCTGTCCTAAGCACTTCATATCTGTGACAGATTGTGTTCTTGTTCCAAGTCTTTGCTGCCCTTCCCAGTGGGGCCATCATGCTCCCCACCCTGTTGACGACATGTGTGACTTGTTTGGCCAATGGAATGGAATTGGAAGTGACAGGCTTCTAAGCAGAAGCTCCAAGAGCCACTGCAGTTCTGCCTTTCTTCCCTCCACACCAGCCCAGCCTGGCGCAGATAGGGGCGGGTTCCTCTGTCTGGTTCCCAGAGTACAGACAGGCAGCCAAGCCACAGTGAACATGGAACGGGAGCAGGACATAAACCTTTGTTGTTGTAAGCCACTATGATTTGAGGGTTGTTTGCAGCATAATCTATCGAAAGCTGGTGGATACAACCTGCATTACCACATCTAATCCTAAGAATAGCCCTGGAGGGTAGGTATTCATATACCCATTTTCAACATTAATACTATAACTCTTCTAAATCCTGGAGGAGGAGTCTGTATGGCTCAGCCTCTGCATAGAGTCAACTTTAAAGAAACACAGGGCAAAAGCCAGACTAATTACAAGGGAATTTTATTCTTACATCTTTAGAAAAAAAACTTAAAAGGAGTCCAAATGTAGCTCTCAATTGAATTCCCTCTGTCCTCCCAACCACTTTTCTTTCACCCCCAGCTGCTCCACAGCCTGACACAAATGTCCCCGACTTCTCCCCCATCTGAGCTCCTTATTGCTTTTCTCTCCTCCTTCCCTCACCAAAGCAGACCATTTTTTTTTCCATTTAAAAAAAGCTTGGATACTCCTTCTCTGGAGAACTCAGTATCTGCTCTTTTTCAGGATAGGCAGGTTTTGCACCCCCTGAAGAGCCTCCCTTCCACATCACCACACCAAGGTCCAGCCCCCAACACCTCCTAGGTCAGACTAGATGACTTAGTTAGCTCTGATCCCAGCAAGCAAGAATCTTCTGCTGAAATAAGGAAGAAGAGGGGAAATCGGGCTGGTAGAATTCTCATTGATAGGCAGTGGGAGGGAGGGGCAAAGGCTGTGTCAACCCCACATTAATATTTGCCCTGTTACAGTAGTAATAATAGTTGCTAATATTTATTACGCATTTATGTTCCAAACACTATGCTAAGCCTTTTTTTTTTTTTTTTTTTGAGATAGAGTCTCACTGTGTTGCCCAGGCTGGAGTGCAATGGCACGATCTTGGCTCACTGCAACCTCCGCCTCCCGGGTTCAAGTGATTCTACTGCCTCAGCCTTCCGAGCAGCTGGGATTACAAGCGTGCGCCACCATGCCTGGCTAATTTGTGTATTTTTAGTAGAGACGGGGTTTCACCATGTTGGCCAGGCTGGTCTCAAACTCCTGACCTCAGCTGATCCACCCGCCTTGGCCTCCCAAAGTGCTGGGATTACAGGTGTGAGCCACCGCGCCTGGCCGCTAAGCCTTTTATGTACGTTTAAGTCATTTATTCCTTATTGAAACCCTGTGAGATAATGAAACTCCCCTTTTAGAGACGAGGAAATTGAAGCATAAAGACATTGAGAAATTTGCCCAAGGATATAAGCTAAGAAGTGATAGAACTGAGGTTCAGATCCGGTTCCGAATCCGTGGCCTCAGTCTGTCACCCCTGTGCTGACCTGTGCTGATGCAGTTGGCTCAGAGCTCACAAACCTCCAGTGGCTTCCCAGAGCCCCTGGGACACATTGCTAGCCCCTGAGCATGCCTGGGAGCCCTCCAGGCTGGTCCCTGCATATTTCACAGGCTTGGTCCCTCTCACTTGGTCCATCAACTCCATGGCCATTCACTTCTCTCAACATCCCCAAGTTGCCTTGCTCTGTTTCCCTTTGGGGTCCAGATCTGCATGAGGACACCTGTCTGTCCAGCCTGTCAGTGTCCCTGGTTAAGGGACCCTGATCTTTCAGACCACGGCTTTCTTCGCCTCCTCTGGGCTCTCCCGTGGACACCTGTGCTCTCATGCTCCTTGTTGACTGTCCAGTGTTTCTCCAGCTGCATGTGTGCCCAGGGCATAGCACAGGCCTAAGACAGAGGGTGTGCTCAATTAACATTTGTGTAGTGAATGGATGACTGCTGTTTGGTGTTCAGTTTGTGTTAAATGGATTATTTTGTTACTTTATTTGATGACATTTCCTGGCTCATAGTTCCAGGCCACATCTGTGGTGTGCACTGTCTTCCTTCTGGCTTGGTGATGTGGTTTGGCTGTGTCCCCACCCAAATCTCATCTTGAATTGTAGTTCCCATAATCCCCACGTGTCGTGGGAGGGACGCGGTGGGAGGTAATTTAATCATGGGGGCGGTTACCCTCATGCTGCTCTTGTGATAGTGAGTGAGTTCTCATGAGATCTGATGGTTTTATAAGGGGCTTTCCCCCTTTTGCTCGGCACTTTGTTGTTGCCATGTGAAAAAGGACATATCTGCAAGTTTCCTGAGGCCTCCCCAGCCATGCTGAACTGTGAGTCAATTAACCTCTTTCCTTTATAAATTACCCAGTCTCGGTATGTCTTTATTAGCAGCATGAGACCAGACAAATACACCTGGTACTTGACCTTTTCATATTTGCCAAATGTGATTTTCTCCTTTATCACCTCCAAGCAGACCTGTTTTTTTTCCATTAACCAAAGTCTTGGATATCCCTTGTCTGGAGGAACTTGGTATCTTCTTTTTAATTTTTTTTTCCAGGATAAACAGGTTTCATACACCCTGAGATAACTTATCAAGAAGCCTTCCTTCCACACCCATTGACCCAGGCAGGGTCCAGCACCCCCAATGTCTGGATGAGTCCCCAGCCCAGAGAATGTTTTATTGGAGTTAGCATATCATAGATTTGTCACATAATGTTCTCTGCACTCCAGGCATCCATGACAAAACATGGATATCAGTCTCATCCAAAGAATAAAAAAATTATTTTACAACTTACAGCCAAAAACAAAAAAAGGAAAGAAAAGAAAAACCAAATAACCAACCAAAAAATGGCAAGCATTGGCGGCTTCAGCTGAGGGTTGGCCTTTCCTTCCAACTTGAAGAGAAGCAGGCAGTCATACAGCTTCCCATAGAACCTTGGAATTTTCACATTTGCTGCTTCAGAGGTGCTGGCTGCATCCCCTGTGTCTCCCCCGGGCCAGGAGAGCTTCCCTGCACTTGGTATAGAGAAGGTTTGAGTGGGGATGGGAGGGGGAGAGTGGGCAGGGTCTGGAAAGCTGCTCCTTTAGGTCACTTTCACCCATACTGCTATACACTTAGGTGTAATTCAGACCTGGGCATCATCTGATTTATACCAAGTACAAATTGACAGGGGGGCATGCACAGTCATGGCTGAATTGTAAGCCTGAGAGTGGAGATGCTATTGGGGCCCAGCAATGTGCCCAGTTGACATATTAGGCTCCAAGTCAATAATCCCTCACATATGCTCAGAATCTCTACAAGGATGAACTAACAATGATTGTTCTCCAGGCACTGTTCTAGAGGCCTTATATTAGTGCTTCTGAAACTACATCAGAATCACTGGGGGGATTGTTGGGCTCCATCCTCGTAGTTTTGGATTCAACAGGTCTGGGGTGGGACCTGAGAATTTGCATTTCCAGCACATTCCCAGGTAGGCTGAAGCTGCTGGTCCAGGGATACATGTGAAGAACCATTGCCTTACATGTGCTTTTTAATTACATTCTCAGAAGAACTCATCTTTGAATTTACAGGTGAAGGTTAAGGATGGAATTCAAGGTTCCATGGCCAGTTACTGGGAGAGCTGGGATTCTAGCCCACCCTCAGCTGGTCCCAAAGCCTGTTCTCCTTCCCTGTAGCCGCTTTATCTTCCCATCACACTTCTCTGCCTTGGGAACTTTGCATAAAGACAAACCAACAAACCACCAAACACAGTCACAAACACTTAAAGGACCCATTCCCCGTGCAGCCCTCTGTTACTTTTACCTCCAAGATAGAGACAAGCTAAGTAAGATTTAGTGGTATGACAGGCATGTAATCAAACGCTTGGCAGAGCTGGGGCTCGAGAGTCTGATTCCTGCCTGGTAGGGGGGTCCCAAGGCTGCAGCATATTTTAATCGAGGTGCTGCAGGATCAGAGATGTAGTTTTGAAATGATCTGGAGCCATGGCAGCCTTCCATATTGCTTCCACGCTCCATTGGCCATCTCTTGGCATAGCAGGGAATGGCTGCACAGCCCCTGCTCTGGAGGGCGCCTCAAGAGTGGCTTTATAGGAAGCTCTGGCGCCATGGAACCTTGCTTAAAAGCTGATGAATTTGTAAACAAGCAGAATAACAGCTGCCAGACAGCTGGGAATCTATAGCCCCAACCAAATGGGCCAGCAGGGAGAGATGAGGAGAGTGGGATTTTTTTTTTTTTTTTTTTTACAAGGCTGAGAGAATGGCATGTCACATTTAGCCTTGCAAGTAATACAGACATCACATTGAGAAACGTCTGTGGACACACATCTGTCTCTTGCAGTCATCTTGGGACCCATGGGCACACTCCCCATCAGCCACATTGTCTTCCATTCCCTGGGTGAGGGCTGTTCCATCAGCATTGTTTCAGTTGTGATGCAGCATTGACCATGAGCACAGGGAATGGGTAAACTCACTCCTCAATGGTGCTTTAAGTACCTTTATGCATAGGGAAAAAAATCAAAAGATTCCTAAAGCGCAAGAGGTGTCTTTCTCCAGTAAGAAAAACCAAATTTTATCAGACCTTTGATTCCCTTTTTAAAGTGATCCAGAGATGTTTATGATGTTTCTTGATTTCCTCTGCAAATATTTACCTCTCAAAAAGTGACAATGAAAGTGAAAATGATAATAACCCAAAAGACAAGCTAAACTCGAGGCAGGAACATCAGTAGCATCTTGGTCAGACATTTAAAATGAAAAATAGGAAACATACTCAAATCTTTCAAAGATTGGGGACTGGATAAAAGCTTGAAGAACTCCTGGGAAAAAACTCTTCTGAATAGATTTAAAAGCTCTGCTGAGCTGAATGACAGGAGGATAATTTTTTTTTAATGGAAAGGGTTAAATGTGCCACTTCTCTGGGTTCCAGTTGAAACCCTTTTTATTTACTGGCAGCTACCACCTTCCCCGGGCCTCCTGTGAACAGTTTTCCTTTAGCCTTTTCTGGGGTAAGACCTGACAATTCAGAAATACTGAGTGTCTTTTCATAAAGCCAGTAATGAATCCACAGGCAGAAGGACAAAATTTCATTGTGTGCAGATTCATCACATTTCATTGATGAGGCCCGCAGAAAGGGGCCAAGTACTTTCACACCGTCAATGAACCCACTGTTCCCAGGCATGCACTGTCAAATGGCTGATGCTCACCTCTTTCAGCACAGACACTTTTAATTCTCCCTCTGTCATATGGGATGCAAGTCTTCCTAAAAAGAAACCACATAACAACTTTGCCTTATGTCTCGTTCCTTAGGCACAGAAACTATAATACAGAGATATCTACCAGGGTTATGTTCCCTAGAAGACTCTAGTTGTTAATGTTTTTTTTGCCTATTCTGCTGTTGCCAGGTTTTCCTTAAAAAAGGAACCTCTCACCGTTCTTAACAGTGGCTGTGGAGGATTTGGACATCTGTATGGAAATGGGGGGGCATGGTAACTCCAAGGTTAGAGACTGTTCACCAACTCCTTTGAAGATTGGTCACCAGTCACTATGTCAATCAGGCAAGTCATAACCATGCTTGAAGAAATAACTCAAAAGACACACCGTTTATCAGGGCTGACACTTCTGAAAGTGATTTTACTCAGGAATTTCAGGGGGAGAAACCCTCTTTTGCTTGCTGTCACTAAAAGTCTTTTATTCATCACATTGCTACAGACGTAGAGGTGTCAGGGGTGCAGCAGGGAGGGCTTTCAGAGCTGAGCGCCAGCCCCTCTTCTGTCACTCACCTGGAGCTGGGGCACCTAGAGGTGGTCTCAGAGGTGGCTGGCCTTCAATTGTGAGCTGGGAGTGAGGGGAGAGTGGTGGTGAGCATGCAGCAGGCCCTGTAAGTTAAGAAGGCAGCCATGAATGTCTCCCCATATCTCCATGGCCAACCTCTTTTCCCTACCATTTCTCAAAGGACTCTGTTTCACTGCCCTTCCTTCAGATAGTTATGAACTCAGGATTTTCAACCTTAAGTAGTTTTCAATGTCTGAAGCCAGAGTTGTAACAACAGCTCTTCTGATGTTCCACTTCTCTGGTATTGTAGTTCCTTCTTCGATGGTGATGGTTGTTTAAAGCCATTTTCTGTCTTTGGACATGTGGCTTGTGTGTCTCTTGAGCTGCCTGATGCTTGTTTTTCAAGTGGTCTGTAAAGAGCACGTGAGTTCATCCTCAGAATGGGGTGAGAGAGGTGTCCGTGGTATCTACACAACAGGCTTCCAGATTGCGCAGATTTTTTCAAAATGTTACAGTAAAAGATGAGAGATCTGAATTCAAACAAATGGACTGTGAATCATGGAATTCCAGCCTGCAAAAAGTCTTTAGGGAACATGTATTTTACAGACGAGGAAAAAGAGGTCCAGGGAGAGAAATTGATTTGCCAAGTGCCACTCAACCTGTGAGTGGTGAGGTGGGCACATAAACCAGGCCTTCTGATTTCAAGTTTAATGTCCTGCCTATTACTGCCCTATCTAATTTCCTTTGATTGCTGGAGTAGTTTCATTTCCAGTGGAATAATTTCTTAACTCTCGTGACCTACTAATTTAGGAGGAATTAAAATATACTAGCATTAACATCAGTTGCAGAAGAATTTTTTTTTTTTTGAGACAGGATCTTACTCTGTTGCCCAGGCTAGAGTGCAGTGGTGCAATTATGGCTCACTGCAGCCTCGACTTCCTGGGGTCAAGTCATCCTCCCACCTCAGCTTCCCAAGTAGTTGGGACTACAGGTGCGTGCCACCACACCCAGCTAGTTTTAATTTTTTTTTTGTAGAGATGGGGGTCTTGCTATGTTGCCCAGGGTGGTCTTGAGCTCCTGGCCTCAAGTAATCCTTCTGCCTTGACCTCCCAAAGTGCTGGGATTACAGGTGTGAGCATTTTTTTTTTTTAAATAAAACGTAGTGGCAGGGTCCTGAAAATTTCTTGATTTTCACCCCCCACATTGCCCTGCTATATGCAAAGCTTATTTAAGACCAGAAAATTTCCAAAGAACTACTTAACTTTTTGCCATGGAAACTATTTGGTAGATCCAAAATGAGGTGTTTTTTTTTTTTTTTTTTTTTTTGTTTGTTTTTTTGTGCATGTGTACATCAAAGAGTATTATAACTCAGAGAAAAAGCATTTACCTGCTCTTGGGTTAGAGGAAATTAAAGGAATGAAAGAAAGCATGCACTGGGGTGTTAGTTATCACGCAGCAGCAAGAAGCCCTGGGTCGGTGTTTCTTCACTGTGAAAGCAAGTTTGAACCTTGAGCCCAGATTACACGATGAACCTTGGCTTCTGATCTTAATAACGAATTTCTCCTAAGTTAACTTTTCCTCCATTTATTCCTCTAGTACTAACATAGCACTTTAGAACACTCTGATTATAGCAGGAATTTCTCCAGGCATACAGGGAAATTTGAACTTCTTAGCATTTAATGAAAAGCTCAGGTTTAATTTAATCCCTGTGATTAAGCTGGTTTAATTAATTTCTCATAGCACTTAAAACTTTGTTAATTTACCTGACTCGTGATAAGTTTACTTCCAGGCAGTTTTTCTTTTCCTAACATCAAGCTTGCTAAGAATACTGAATTGAAGTCGTGAACTTAGGTCAAAAACAATCATGCTTTGCAGTGAGGGTTGCCAAATACTTCACAGGACATAATGATACTAAAAGAAAAAAGTTTGTTTATCTGAAATTCAAATTTAACTGGGTGTCCTGTATTTTGATTTGCTAAATGTAGCAACCCTATTTGAACTTTGTAATAGATGCCCTCCTGAAATTTTGTGTTTGGGTAAAGATTTTGCAAATAAAATCATAAATGTTTTAGGGAGCTGAATGTCTGTCCTTTGATAAACACATGCGTAACAAGTTCAGATTTTTATATATCTGGCTTGCTTTAGGTGCAGTATATCTGTGTTTTATAAATTCAGTTAAAAAAATGTTTACTTTAAATATCAACCATTGCTTACCCTCCCTTACCCAGCCACAAATTATAGAATTTCATAATTTGCAAACTTCACAGCACGGTTTAGAAGTATACCATTGTTCATTCATGTCTACATTTAGGTGCCTACATTTCATGACTTTTGAGCCTCTTTCAGTGAAAACGCTAGCCTGGTGTGAACTTTGTGGGATTTTTTTGGAGCTCTCTGAACCATTACCCCAAAAGACTTCTGCCTAGGACTTTGGTAACCACGGTAACAACACTTAATAAATGCTCACTGTATACAAAACCATGTGTATGCTCTCTGCATGCATTATTTCATTCCAACCCTGATGCTCCTATGCCCTAGGGTACTATTATTATCTTCATTTCACAGAGGAAACAAAAGGCCCAGTAACTTGCCTATGGTTTCACAACCAATAAACGAAAGTGCTAGGATTTAAACCCAGGTCTGATTCCAACATGCTTTTTAACTCTTACCCACATCAGCGAGTTCCCCACCCCCACATAGATAAGTTGGGGGCTTGTGGTGGGCCTTGTGGAGCATGGGAGGTGTAGAGACTCACTGAGAGAAGGGAGAACCAAGAGACGTCTACTGTAATCAACTGGCGAGGTTTGATTCTGCAGCTCATGTAGGATAGAGTGGGTTGTTTCCATTCTCTTAAGAGATGGGTTTGCAATAGAAAGCCCAGGATTGAAATTCACAAATTATTTACAAATGCTTTGAAATTACAGTGCCTATAACTTAACTTCTGTGTACATAAAAGTCACCTGGAGGACTTGCAAAAAGATGCTTGAACCTGTGCTTTGAGGTTCTGATTAAGATTCCAATTCAGGCTGGGCACGGTGGCTCATGCCTGTTAATTCCAGCGCTTTGGGAGGCCGAGGCGGGCGGATCACCTGAGTTTGGGAGTTCAAGACCAGCCTGGCCAACATGATGAAACCCCATCTTTACTAAAAATACAAAAATTAGCCGGTGTGGTGGTGGGTGCCTGTAATCCCAGCTACTCGGGAGGCTGAGGCAGAGGTTGCAGTGAGTTGAGTTTGTGCCACTGCACGCCAGCCTGGGTGACAGAGCGAGACTCCATCTCAAAAAAAAAAAAAGATTCTAATTCAGTGGTCCTAGGAGTCTGAAAATCAGACCTGCTGCTTCGTACTTTTCAGCTTTACTTCACTCAGTTGCATGTGTGCGCCAATGCAGACACACTTTGAGAAACCCTGCTAGAGACTGAGTTCTGGGAGAGCAGGAATGTGTCTTATGTATCTTTGTATCCTCAAACCTAGAACAGAGCTAGACACATGGTAAACAACCAGAAATTACTGATAGGGAATTACAATGAATGATCTTAACTAACTAACTTATTAATTAAGGGTTTCCGTTGACATTTCAGGCAGCTCGAGAATAACGAATTGTAATTCTAAACATGACTTACAGAGTTTTCTTCTGGGTTTTATAAGTGTAAGAGTTGACTTTGATCTCCTGGGTCTACATTTCAGGGGTGTGGGATGGGCTGCTGGTGGTGACGAGCACGTATTTATATTTGTGTACGGTGAAATCCTCCCTGTGCTTTTTCGGTGAAACCAGTGGGCACACTTCTTAGGATGTGAATATGCATCTCTGCATTGCTCCTTTGCACAGTTGACACTGGAGATTAGAGTTGAGCTGTAAGCTTGTAAAAAGCCTTTGAGGAAACCCTTAATGAGGAACTGATCCTTTTAAATTCAAGTCTAATTACTTTTACAGCAACATTTCTATTTTGGATGCTTTCAATGAATAAAGTCTCTTTTATGCCATTGATGTAATACTAGCCCCTCCATTGCAGCAGAAAAAACACCCAACACGTGGCCTGACTCATAGACCCCAATGAGGGAGCCGATAACTCTTTTCTGCTTGAGCAGTTCACTTGATTTTAAAGGCCACCAGGAGAGAAAAACTTGGATCCCACGTTGACAAGCCCTTGAAAAGATTTCTATCTTTTTTCTGCTATCCAGTCATTTGCTTCCTCTACTCTTGGGGGGTGACAAGCAACCTCGGGCCACAAGCCTTTGAGTGTAGTGTCCTATGGGTCCCAGGGAAATTGGAAGGGGTATTGCAGTCATTTTAGTCACATAGACACATGCCTTTTCAATATCCAATGTTTGATGGAAGCCATTTGGGGGCACTCTGGCAACTGGGTTTTCACAAATTGGATTTTGGGACATAACAGACAGTAAGGAGGTATTTTACAAATTGTCCCCACCATAGCATAAAAAGATTACTTTAAAAAGCATCTCAGGGCTGGGTGCGGTGGCTGACACCTGTAATCCCAGCACTTTGGGAAGCCGTGGCGGGCAGATCATGAGGTCAGGAGTTCGCAGACCAGCCCGGCCAGCCTGGTGAAACCCCGTCTCTACTGAAAATACAAAAGTTAGGCCAGGCGCGATGGCTCACACCTGTAATCTCAGCACTTTGGGAGGCCGAGGCGGGTGGATTGCCTGAGGTCAGGAGTTAGAGACCAGCCTGGCCAACATAGTGAAACCCCGTTTCTACTAAAAATACAAAAAATAAGCTGGGCATGGTGGCAGGTGCCTGTAATCCCAGCTACTGGGGAGGCTGAGGCAGAAGAATAGCTTGAACCCAGGAGGCGGAGGTTGCAGTGAGCTGAGATCATGCCATTGCACTCTAGCCTGGGCAACAAGAGCGAAACTCTGTCTAGAAAAAAAAAAAGAAATAAAATAAAAAAATCAGCCAGGCGTGTGGCGCATGCCTGTAATCCCAGCACTCCAGAGGCTGAGGCAGGAGAACTGCTTGAAAACCCAGGGGGCAGAGGTTGCAGTGAGCGGAGATTGGACTACTACACTCCACCCTGGGCGAGAGAGCAAGACTCTGTCTTGGGGCAGGGGGAAGTATCTCAGGTTGGTAGAGGAGAAATGAGGTCTGAATTTTTCTCACTAACCTCCACCACAACAGAGTTTTTTTTTTTTTTTTTAAATGCAGATAGCACTTTTTGACAAGAGAGAGGAAGGCAAAATGGGAAGAACACTAAATTAAGAGCCTTTCACTGATTTACCAAGCTCACCTGAGCTTCATCTTGAAAAAGCTTCTGTGACTGCAAAACCTTCTATAAATATAAGGTGTTAAAATTCTGGCATCCACTGCCTGAATAGTGGGTGAATGAATAGAAGGCTGAGCTGCATGTGGGCAGAGGTGACATGAATGAATTCTTTATGTTATGGGGAGAGGGTGTGCAGACCATCCTCCCACCAAGTCTCTGAGATAGACGAGAGGTGTTGCCCATGGCCATCAGGTGATGGTATTGGGTTCTGGAGAATATGTGGTCAGCACAGGCTCTGGGCTAAAACAGAGGTCAAAATAAAATAGATACCAGATCTGCCACTTGTGGCTACATGACTCTGAGCAAGTCACCTAATGACTCTGAATTCCCATTTTCTCATCTACAAGGGCCATCCGCAGGGTGCCTTGTGCTAAAAAGCACATCGTAGCTGCTCATGAAATCAGAGTTATTGTTAATTACAAGCAGGGATTCTTTAATGTCAGGCGTTGGCTTGAGGTTCTAGCTGCCACAAGTCTTTGTCCAGTAATTCGTGCAATTATTTAATTGCATGAGTTGGGTTCTTTTTGATGCCTCTTCGTTAGCTATTCTGTGCTGTAAACATGGTCCTCGTGGACACTAAGATCTTTTTCCCATTCTTACCATCAGGATAGTTCTTATCAATATTGGTGTACATTTATCATGATGGATAAAGAGAAATGAGAGAAAGGCCAACAAGAACATTAAAACCTTAGAAGTTATGGAAGTTATGGAATCTCTGACGCAGTCTGTGTGCTGGCATCAGACTACTCAGGTGCAGACGCTGACACCATTAATTACTTGCTGCATGACCTTGGGCAAGGTACATGACCTCTAAGCCGCAGCTTACTCATTTATAAAATGGTGATAATAATAATGTTTATAATGTTTATATAGTATAGGAGGTAGTCATAAATCATTATAAGAATTAAGGTAAAAATATATGCAAAGTGCTTAGCATAGTGCTTACTATGAGCTGCTATGAGAACAATGTAAAATAAGCTGGAGATAAAAGCTGAAAAGTGGCTTGGAGGCTATCTAAAGTATATTATGAAAATGTAGAATGTCATAGAAAATGAGATGAAGTTTCAGCAGGAAAGATTAGGTCATGATGAAGAATAACACGACTCTAGGGATGATTAAACACTTGGGTAGAATTTCATCCTGCTTCTGATTTCTTATAGATTTTTTCTTCTAGTTCTTAGCTTTTGTGGAGCTGCATATTAATAGAATAGCAACCAAAACAAAGCTTTAAAAAATACAGTTAGAGACATTTGTTCCAAATACAACTCATGGCAAATACAATTACAGTCATTAATACCATTATCATTGAATGTCAAAGTGCTCCTGCTGATTCCACAGGCAATGGCTGGGATTAGGATTGGGCATGAGATGACAACACCAAAGACAAAGCCCACCTCCTAGGTGCTTAGATACAGAGGTATAAACCGTAGTCCTTGCCTCAAGAAGAACCATCCATCTAAAACGGGACATCAAGTAGTCAGGGAAGATAGGAACACTGGCTGTGTATGTAGCGTTTGGCAGAGAGTGGACTGGGCTCCATGCATTTCTTGTTCATTTCTTGCTCAGTATCCCCAGGAAGTGCAGTTCAGAAGGTAAGTTAAATAACATCTCCCAGGCAGAGAGTTAAATCGTGGTTAGACAGTATTCAAATGCAGGTCCCTTTGACGCTGCAGGGTTTTCATGATGCCTTATGGCCATGCACACGTGGTATAGAATGCCTGGTGTTACCTTAGGTCAGAGATGATCAGTGAGGCCCAAATGAGAAGTGAAGGGGATCCGAGAGGGGTCTGTGTGGGTCTTTGAGGAAGAGCTGGGAGTTGAGTGGTGTTCTGAGAAGGGGTTATCCATCAGACTCTTTGCAGGCAAGAGACCTACTCAGGTTTACTTAATTAATTGGAAAGATGCTGGTGGCTCATGGAACTGAAGAAAACGCCGAGGAGGAGGAGGAGGGCTGGGGCAGAGTTTCTTAGTGAGTGGGAAATAAAGGAGCTAGAGCAGGAAGGTGGCCACCTTCCCTGTCGGCTACATTGTCCGCTTCCATAGTTTTTAGTTCTCAAATTTCCTAATTAAAAAAAGCCTCCTGACTTCTAGAGTTAAGAGAACAGAATCATTTCAGTGATTCACTCACGTTATCTTATGCCGGCCTCATCACTTCCTTTCCAGTCAAACTTCAGGGCTCCTGAGCTACCCACTGGGTAGTTGCAAACATGGAGTGTGAGTTTCTCTGGACTGGAATATGAAGCGAAGCCATAGGCAGCCAGACTGTGGGGCAGGGGTGGGGAGTGGTGAGTCAGAGGAAGACAGAACCCTTGGAGGTTAGGTTGGAGGCAGGAGGGAAGGTGGGGCTACTGACAGTCAAATCCATTGGGTTTGGGTGAAGAGGTCACCTGTAATCCTTTTTCGTTTGTTTTTTAGAGACAGGATCTCACTCTGTTGCCCAGGCTGGAGTGCGGTGGTGCCATCACACCTAACTATAGCTCAAATTCTTGGGCTCAAGCGATCCTCCTACCTCAGCCTCCCTAGAAGTTAGGACTACAGGGGCATACCACCACATTCAGCTAAATGTTTTTTTTGTTTTTTTTTTTGTTTTGTTTTTGCATTATTATTATTTTTTTTTAATTATACTTTAAGTTTTAGGGTACATGTGCACATTGTGCAGGTTAGTTACATATGTATACATGTGCCATGCTGGTGCACTGCACCCACTAACTCGTCATCTAGCATTAGGTATATCTCCTGATGCTATCCCTCCCCCCTCCCCCCACCCCACAACAGTCCCCAGAGTGTGATATTCCCCTTCCTGTGTCCATGTGATCTCATTGTTCAATTCCCACCTATGAGTGAGAATATGCGGTGTTTGGTTTTTTGTTCTTGCGATAGTTTACTGAGAATGATGATTTCCAATTTCATCCATGTCCCTACAGAGGACATGAACTCATCATTTTTTATGGCTGCATAGTATTCCATGGTGTATATGTGCCACATTTTCTTAATCCAGTCTATCATTGTTGGACATTTGGGTTGGTTCCAAGTCTTTGCTATTGTGAATAATGCCGCAATAAACATACGTGTGCATGTGTCTTTATAGCAGCATGATGTATAGTCCTTTGGGTATATACCCAGTAATGGGATGGCTGGGTCAAATGGTATTTCCAGTTCTAGATCCCTGAGGAATCGCCACACTGACTTCCACAATGGTTGAACTAGTTTACAGTCCCACCAACAGTGTAAAAGTGTTCCTATTTCTCCACATCCTCTCCAGCACCTGTTGTTTCCTGACTTTTTAATGATTGCCATTCTAACTGGTGTGAGATGGTATCTCATTGTGGTTTTGATTTGCATTTCTCTGATGGCCAGTGATGGTGAGCATTTTTTCATGTGTTTTTTGGCTGCATAAATGTCTTCTTTTGAGAAGTGTCTGTTCATGTCCTTCACCCACTTTTTGATGGGGTTGTTTGTTTTTTTCTTGTAAATTTGTTTGAGCTCATTGTAGATTCTGGATATTAGCCCTTTGTCAGATGAGTAGGTTGCGAAAATTTTCTCCCATTTTGTAGGTTGCCTATTCACTCTGATTGTAGTTTCTTTTGCTGTGCAGAAGCTCTTTAGTTTAATTAGATCCCATTTGTCAATTTTGTCTTTTGTTGCCATTGCTTCTGGTGTTTTAGACATGAAGTCCTTGCCCATGCCTATGTCCTGAATGGTAATGCCTAGGTTTTCTTCTAGGGTTTTTATGGTTTTAGGTCTAACGTTTAAGTCTTTAATCCATCTTGAATTGATTTTTGTATAAGGTGTAAGGAAGGGATCCAGTTTCAGCTTTCTACATATGGCTAGCCCGTTTTCCCAGCACCATTTATTAAATAGGGAATCCTTTCCCCATTGTTTGTTTTTCTCAGGTTTGTCAAAGATCAGATAATTGTAGATATGCGGCGTTATTTCTGAGGGCTCTGTTCTGTTCCATTGATCTATATCTCTGTTTTTGTACCAGTACCATGCTGTTTTGGTTACTGTAGCCTTGTAGTGTAGTTTGAAGTCAGGTAGTGTGATGCCTCCAGCTTTGTTCTTTTGGCTTAGGAATGACTTGGCGATGCGGGCTCTTTTTTGGTTCCATATGAACTTTAAAGTATTTTTTTCCAATTCTGTGAAGAAAGTCATTGGTAGCTTGATGGGGATGGCATTGAATCTGTAAATTACCTTGGGCAGTATGGCCATTTTCACGATTTTGATTCTTCCTACCCATGAGCATGGAATGTTCTTCCATTTGTTTGTATCCTCTTTTATTTCCTTGAGCAGTGGTTTGTAGTTCTCCTTGAAGAGGTCCTTCACATCCCTTGTAAGTTGGATTCCTAGGTATTTTATTCTCTTTGAAGCAATTGTGAATGGGAGTTCACTCATGATTTGGCTCTCTGTTTGTCTGTTGTTGGTGTATAAGAATGCTTGTGATTTTTGTACATTGATTTTGTATCCTGAGACTTTGCTGAAGTTGCTTATCAGCTTAAGGAGATTTTGGGCTGAGACAATGGGGTTTTCTAGATATACAATCATGTCGTCTGCAAACAGGGACAATTTGACTTCCTCTTTTCCTAATTGAATAGCCTTTATTTCCTTCTCCTGCCTGATTGCCCTGGCCAGAACTTCCAACACTATGTTGAATAGGAGTGGTGAGAGAGGGCATCCCTGTCTTGTGCCAGTTTTTAAAGGGAATGCTTCCAGTTTTTGCCCATTCAGTATGATATTGGCTGTGGGTTTGTCATAGATAGCTCTTATTATTTTGAAATACGTCCCATCAATACCTAATTTATTGAGAGTTTTTAGCATGAAGGGTTGTTGAATTTTGTCAAAGGCTTTTTCTGCATCTATTGAGATAATCATGTGGTTTTTGTCTTTGGCTCTGTTTATATGCTGGATTACATTTATTGATTTGCGTATATTGAACCAGCCTTGCATCCCAGGGATGAAGCCCACGTCATCATGGTGGATAAGCTTTTTGATGTGCTGCTGGATTCGGTTTGCCAGTATTTTATTGAGGATTTTTGCATCAATGTTCATCAAGGATATTGGTCTAAAATTCTCTTTTTTGGTTGTGTCTCTGCCTGGCTTTGGTATCAGAATGATGCTGGCCTCATAAAATGAGTTAGGGAGGATTCCCTCTTTTTCTATTGATTGGAATAGTTTCAGAAGGAATGGTACCAGTTCCTCCTTGTACCTCTGGTAGAATTCGGCTGTGAATCCATCTGGTCCTGGACTTTTTTTGGTTGGTAAGCTATTGATTATTGCCACAATTTCAGATCCTGTTATTGGTCTATTCAGAGATTCAACTTCTTCCTGGTTTAGTCTTGGGAGAGTGTATGTGTCCAGGAATTTATCCATTTCTTCTAGATTTTCTAGTTTATTTGCGTAGAGTTGTTTGTAGTATTCCCTGATGGTAGTTTGTATTTCTGTGGGATCGGTGGTGATATCCCCTTTATCATTTTTTATTGCATCTATTTGATTCTTCTCTCTTTTTTTCTTTATTAGTCTTGCTAGCGGTCTATCAATTTTGTTGATCCTTTCAAAAAACCAGCTCCTGGATTCATTAATTTTTTGAAGGGTTTTTTGTTTCTCTATTTCCTTCAGTTCTGCTCTGATTTTAGTTATTTCTTGCCTTCTGCTAGCTTTTGAATGTGTTTTCTCTTGCTTTTCTAGTTCTTTTAATTGTGATGTTAGGGTGTCAATTTTGGATCTTTCCTGCTTTCTCTTGTGGGCATTTAGTGCTATAAATTTCCCTCTACACACTGCTTTGAATGCATCCCAGAGATTCTGGTATGTTGTGTCTTTGTTCCCGTTGGTTTCAAAGAACATCTTTATTTCTGCCTTCATTTCGTTATGTACCCAGTAGTCATTCAGGAGCAGGTTGTTCAGTTTCCACGTAGTTGAGTGGTTTTGAGTGAGATTCTTAATCCTGAGTTCTAGTTTGATTGCACTGTGGTCTGAGAGATAGTTTGCTATAATTTCTGTTCTTTTACATTTGCTGAGGAGAGCTTTACTTCCAAGTATGTGGTCAATTTTGGAATAGGTGTGGTGTGGTGCTGAAAAAAATGTATATTCTGTTGATTTGGGGTGGAGAGTTCTGTAGATGTCTATTAGGTCTGCTTGGTGCAGAGCTGAGTTCAATTCCTGGGTATCCTTGTTGACTTTCTGTCTCGTTGATCTGTCTAATGTTGACAGTGGGGTGTTAAAGTCTCCCATTATGAATGTGTGGGAGTCTAAGTCTCTTTGTAGGTCACTCAGGACTTGCTTTATGAATCTTGGTGCTCCTGTATTGGGTGCATATATATTTAGGATAGTTAGCTCTTCTTGTTGAATTGATCCCTTTACCATTAAGTAATGGCCTTCTTTGTCTCTTTTGATCTTTGTTGGTTTAAAGTCTGTTTTATCAGAGACTAGGATTGCAACCCCTGCCTTTTTTTGTTTTCCATTGGCTTGGTAGATCTTCCTCCATCCTTTTATTTTGAGCCTATGTGTGTGTCTGCACGTGAGATGGGTTTCCTGAATACAGCACACTGATGGGTCTTGACTCTTTATCCAATTTGCCAGTCTGTGTCTTTTAATTGGAGCATTTAGTCCATTTACATTTAAAGTTAATATTGTTATGTGTGAATTTGATCCTGTCATTATGATGTTAGCTGGTGATTTTGCTCGTTAGTTGATGCAGTTTCTTCCTAGTCTCGATGGTCTTTACATTTTGGCATGATTTTGCAGCGGCTGGTACCGGTTGTTCCTTTCCATGTTTAGTGCTTCCTTCAGGAGCTCTTGTAAGGCAGGCCTGGTGGTGACAAAATCTCTCAGCATTTGCTTGTCTGTAAAGTATTTTATTTCTCCTTCACTTATGAAGCTTAGTTTGGCTGCATATGAAATTCTGCGTTGAAAATTCTTTTCTTTAAGAATGTTGAATATTGGCCCCCACTCTCTTCTGGCTTGTAGGGTTTCTGCCGAGAGATCCACTGTTAGTCTGATGGGCTTCCCTTTGAGGGTAACCCGACCTTTCTCTCTGGCTGCCCTTAACATTTTTTCCTTCATTTCAACTTTGGTGAATCTGACAATTATGTGTCTTGGAGTTGCTCTTCTCGAGGAGTATCTTTGTGGCGTTCTCTGTGTTTCCTGAATCTGAACGTTGGCCTGCCTTGCTAGATTGGGGAAGTTCTCCTGGATAATATCCTGCAGAGTGTCTTCCAACTTGGTTCCATTCTCTGCATCACTTTCAGGTACACCAATCAGACGTAGATTTGGTCTTTTCACATAGTCCCATATTTCTTGGAGGCTTTGCTCATTTCTTTTTATTCTTTTTTCTCTAAACTTCCCTTCTCGCTTCATTTCATTCATTTCATCTTCCATCGCTGTTACCCTTTCTTCCAGTTGATCGCATCGGCTCCTGAGGCTTCTGCATTCTTCACGTAGTTCTCGAGCCTTGGTTTTCAGCTCCATCAGCTCCTTTAAGCACTTCTCTGTATTGGTTATTCTAGTTATACATTCTTCTAAATTTTTTTCAAAGTTTTCAACTTCTTTGCCTTTGGTTTGAATGTCCTCCCGTAGCTCAGAGTAATTTGATCGTCTGAAGCCTTCTTCTCTCAGCTCGTCAAAGTCATTCTCCGTCCAGCTTTGTTCCGTTGCTGGTGAGGAACTGCGTTCCTTTGGAGGAGGAGAGGCGCTCTGCTTTTTAGAGTTTCCAGTTTTTCTGTTCTGTTTTTTCCCCATCTTTGTGGTTTTATCTACTTTTGGTCTTTGATGATGGTGATGTACAGATGGGTTTTTGGTGTGGATGTCCTTTCTGTTTGTTAGTTTTCCTTCTAACAGAGAGGACCCTCAGCTGCAGGTCTGTTGGAGTACCCTGCTGTGTGAGGTGTCAGTGTGCCCCTGCTGGGGGGTGCCTCCCAGTTAGGCTGCTCGGGGGTCAGGGGTCAGGGACCCACTTGAGGAGGCAGTCTGCCCGTTCTCAGATCTCCAGCTGCGTGCTGGGAGACCCACTGCTCTCTTCAAAGCTGTCAGACAGGGACATTTAAGTCTGCAGAGGTTACTGCTGACTTTTTGTTTGTCTGTGCTCTGCCCCCAGAGGTGGAGCCTACAGAGGCAGGCAGGCCTCCTTGAGCTGTGGTGGGCTCCACCCAGTTCGAGCTTCCTGGCTGCTTTGTTTACCTAAGCAAGCCTGGGCAATGGTGGGCGCCCCTCCCCCAGCCTCACTGCCGCCCCGCAGCTCGATCTCAGACTGCTGTGCTAGCAACCAGCGAGACTCCGTGGGCGCAGGACCCTCCGAGCCAGGTGCGGGATACAATCTCGCGGTGCGCCGCTTTCCAAGCCCGTCGGAAAAGCGCAGTATTGGGGTGAGAGTGACCGGATTTTCCAGGTGCCGTCCATCACCCCTTTCTTTGACTCAGAAAGGGAACTCCCTGACCCCTTGCGCTTCCCAAGTGAGGCAATGCCTCGCCCTGCTTCGGGTCGTGCACGGTGCGTGCACCCACTGACCTGCGCCCACTGTCTGGCACTCCCTAGTGAGATGAACCCAGTACCTCAGATGGAAATGCAGAAATCACCCGTGTTCTGCGTCGCTCACGCTGGGAGCTGTAGACTGGAGCTGTTCCTATTCGGCTATCTTGGCTCCTCCCGTCTAAATGTTTAACATATATGTTTTTAGATAGGGTCTTGCTATGTTGCCCAGGCTGGTCTTGAGCTCCTGTCCTCCAGTAATCCCCTGCCTTGGCCTCCCAAAGTGTTGGGGTTGCAGCTGTGGGCCACCACACCTGCTGTGCCTGGCCTCTTCCACAATCTTGATGCCTTAGTCCACTTGTGTTGCTATAACAGAATACCACAGACTAACTTATAAAGAATGGAAATGTATTTTTCACAGTTCTGGAGGCTGGGAACTCCAAGATTAAGTCACTGGCATGTGGCGTGGGCCTTCTTACTGCATTCTCACGTGGCAGGAGGCAGAAGGGCAAGAGCGCATCTAGCTGAACTTTATGAAACTCCTTTCAAAAGGGCCTTAATTCCATTAACGAGGGAGCAGGCCTCATGGCCTGATCACCTCTTAAAGGCACCCTTCTTCATACTGTCACATTGGCAACAGCTGAATTTTGGAGGGGATTAAGTTTCAACGTGACTTTTGGAGGGGACAAAAGTATTCAAACCATAGCGCTTGAAAAGGAGCATTTTCTATGGAGGAAGAAGGGTGTTTGGGATACGTCCTTTGGGTTATTAATTACAGTCGGAGCTCTGAGCGCTGACCTTTCCTGTTCCTTGCTTCCTGCTGACTTGGGAGAATTGTAACTGGTTAGCCTGGCTCCTGGGACTGTGGAAGACACAGCTTCACCTGAGAGAGTGTGGGTGACTGGGCGGTGACTGATAACACCTTTGGTTTATCTGTTCCACTCCCTGCTGAGTGAGAATAAACCAGGTGCAAGTTGGAGGTGCTTCCCCAGTCTCAGGATGAGTAAAGAGTGGTGTTTAGGAGAACAGATTCCAAACCTTGTGTTTGAGCAGTAACAGGGCACCTGGGTTGGGCTTGCAGATATCTGTCTCAGGTGTGCTGTCTCTTCTAAGCCACAGCAGCAGGGGAAATGCTACGGAGGCTGTGTGGGGGGAAGGACGCCTCTGTGAGGAGACATGGTGTCTCCCTTCCATGGTGAGTGGCCTTACCTGTGGAGGCAGCTGACAGTGTGCCTCCAGAGGTTGGATCCTTTGATCTGCAGTCATACTGCTGGAACTGCCACCACTTATTCTGTTTGTAGGTTCTCAAACCTGAGCCTTCATTAGCATTGCCTGGAGGGTTTGTGAAAACACTGATTTCTGGGCCCTATCTCCAGACTCCCATGATTTAGTGGATCTGGAGTAGGGCCTGAGAACTTGCATTCTGACAAGCTCCCAAATGTTGTTGATGCTGATGGTCCATCTGTTGACAATATTTTGGGGGTCACTGCTGCAAATCTTGTTTTCTCAAGTGCCCACCACCCTGAAGTGTTCTCAGGTCAACAAGACGTGGAGCCTGGTGAACAAGTCAGAAGACAAAATCCTATTGAGGATCCTGATACGGTTTGGATCTGTGTACCCACCAAATCTCATGTTGACTTGTAATCCCTTATGTTAAAGGTGGGGCCTAGTGGGAGGTGATTGGATCATGGGGGTGGTTTTCTCATAAATGGTTTGGCACTATCCCTATGGTGCTGTTCTCATGATAGTGAGTTCTGGTTGTTTAAAAGTGGGTAGCACCTCCCCTGCCCACCCTTGCTTCTACTTTGGCTGTGGGAAGTGTGCGCTTCCCCTTTGCCTTCCACCATATTTGTAAGTTTCCTGTGGCCTCATCAGAAGCTGAGCAGATGTCAGCATCATGCTTGCTGTACAGCCTGCAGAACCGTGAGCCAATTAAGCCTCTTTTTTTTTTTTTTTTATAAATTACCCGGTCTCAGGTAGTTCTGTATAGCAATGTGAGAACAGCCTAATACAGATCTCAGAGTAAACTCACTGAGAGACTCCAGGGAAGTAGAGGACAAAAGGAAGATTTTAGGCTTGCAATTTGCACAGAGCAGAATGCATAACAATTGTTAGCTCTGGTATGCTATGGACAAGGTGACTTCTGTGTTGTATGTCACATGAAGAGTTTTCCCCCGGTTTCTGGGAAAGACGTTGCACTGAGAAAAGTATTGAAGAGAAATCTGTGCCTTTCATACCCACCTGCTACACTGACACAATAGACATCTTTTTAGAAAAGGATGAGGTATTTCTGTAGCGTCTATTAGGTGCAGAGCAATAAGGTAGGTACTTTGCAAACATCGCTTCTTGCAATTTTCAAAAATCTGCAAGGTCTGTATTGTTTTCATTCTATACATAATGAAACCAAGTCTCAGAAGCATTAAGAAATACACCCAGAATCACAAAGCTAGTAATTGGCAGAGGCAGGACTTAAAAATATGTATCATTCTTATCCCAAATCTGTGTTCTCTTGATTTACCATTGGAAATTCAATGTTTCGTTTATAAAAACATGCAATTTTAAAAATGAAATATTACTTCTTAGTTTAAAAGCAAGGTTATATGTTCAGGACCAAGAAGACATAGGCCTGAATATGTGGGAGTTATAGATAGAGGGATAAAGACCATAAAACATGCCAAATCAGGACATCAGAGATATTGATATTGATCTGATTGGCTATTATGGCTTCTTCCCTCCTCTGCGCACTCTGGTAGTTTTCTCAGGTAAGAGTTTAGAAAAACTAAAATAACATGCAGAGGGAAGACTTGGTGAATCTTATATGTAAAGTGCTTAGAACAGCACCCAGTGCAATATTGATGCCCAGTAAATGTTAGCTCTCGTCACCATCATCATCACCATCATCATCTTCACTTCCACCATCAGCTTCTGCAGGGAAGGTGAGGGTAGGAACCAGGTGGGCACCAGCAGCAGTGGGAGAGAATCACAAAGGAAAAAAGACATTGCAAAGAGCAGCCTGCAATGAAGTCATGGAAATTTTCTGAAAATTCTGGGTTGTGATTTAGAAGGCAAATATGACTTTTATCGATGGAGCTGTGTTGGAGGAATTTGCGGGGGTGGGAGTAGGAAAGTTGTAGACATCTGTAAGAGAGAAAAATGGATCAGTCACGGAGAAGTACTTGGGGAGCCCTTGTATTTCAGGAAGGGAAATACCAGCTAGGACGAGAATTTGAAATTTGGGTTCCTCTTGCTAAAATACAAACTACCTGGTCGGAAGACTCATCCAGTATCTGTCAGGGAGACTCTGGGTGGTGTATACTTGTTGCTGTACTTAAGGCAGTCCTTGGAAAAAAGCTTGGCAGGAACACTTGACAGAGATAAATCCACTGATGGAAAGTGCCAGGACAGAAGTGGATGTGGTTGCACACGTGGGGATGACTGGTGGAGGGGCAGGTGGGCTGTGAAGAGGGACCAGGCTGGGGCAGCTGTGGGCAGGCTGCCAGAAACTGATTTCCACACTGCATGAGGAAGGAATGCCAGGGGAGGGGCTGGACTACTTTTTGTAGGAGGCTAAAGGGAGACAAGGACCAGCACTGCCAACTGCCACACATCTGGGGAGATCAACAACTGGCCAGATGTTTTAGACACAACCTGTGTGGCCACCTGAGTATATGCCAGTTATCAAGACGGATGATAAACAATAGCCAACTAGGGCACTAGGCTGCGTCTTTCTGAACTCACGGGCTCTCTGTGCCACGCATGCTGATGTGTGGGACACGGAGAGATGCAAGTGACGCAATGCAAAGTGTGTGCTGTTTCCATAGCTAATTAGGAGCCTGGTGACAAAGCAGGAGCCTGGCAGAGAGGTGAGAGAGGGGGTCTGCGGGCAGCTGTTAGAGCCTGGCACTGGGTATTCTCTGCTGGGATTGATGGATTGAGGCTCCAGGGTGGAGCCATTCTAGAACGTCCTGTTCCTGTCAGATTTGCAGCAGCAGCGGGCTGGTGATGTGGCCTTCATTTAACTCTTTTGTAAGACTGGCCTTTCCAGCCTGTTTCAGCACACTAGGGCCGTGTGACAGAGAGTTCTTGGCACAATTCACAGAGGTCTCCGTACTTAACAGCCTCTCATTTTCCTACTAGTCCGAGAGAGTTTGTACTGTGAGTTTTTCAATCAGAAACAAGCAGCCCTGAGATCTGTGGCTGGCCACCAGTCCTTGGGGAAGAAGCTAGCTGCAGCCCAGCACCCTGTGCCCGCGGCAGGCAGGCTGGGGAGGATGCACATTTGTCCAGGAACAGCAGGTTTGAGGCCCTTTGGCCATCCCATTGGCCATCTCCAGTCTCAGCTGAGTAAACTCCCTTCGCCCCCATCCCAAAGTTTGAACTCAGTAACTGTTTTAATGTGAATCAACATAGGAGGAAAATAAAAAACAGCTTGCAAGTTTACACAAACAAAACTTCAGCTCACAGAAATCCAGACTAGCAGGTGCTTGGGTGGTGTACTGCAGGACACCCCAAATCACTCGCTCCTGGGTCCCTGACTGAGCATGCTTCTAGAGTCAGTGTTAGTGATGGAAGAAAGCAATAAGGGAGGGGAGAAGGTGTCTGGAATGTGAGACAGCACAGTGGAGGGTTGCTGAGGTGGAAGGAGAGAAGCAGGATGTGGGCCCCAATGGAGTAGGAAGGAGGCAGGGTCCTTGACCCCAGCAAGTGTAGGGATTGCTGATGACAAAAGAGGCCTGTGTCCTTCAGCCAGGCAGGCAGGGGAATGAGGCCTGGAGGTAGGGTAGAGGTGGCCAGGGGTTAGGACACGGAGGAGCCGTTTGGAAGTAGATTATTAACGGGATCCCAGAGCATCTGCAGGGGGAGATGGGGGGCAAGCCCAGGAAATAGAGGGCTCTAGAGTTGCCTGTACATTTAGAGGACTGATGAAATCTTGTTCGAATAAAACCACTGGGCCCCAATCTGAAGTTTCTTGCAGGATGATTAGAAAATATGGCTTAAGGGGACTTTGCCTTGAGAGGGTCCTTGATAGTTACTCTATTTTTTTTTTTTTTTTAATTCTCATTTTCTCAGGTGAGAAACTGCCTGCCAGCCAATCTGATATTGGCTGGTTCCTCCAGGTCCATATAGCATTCCCTTTTTGTATATTGAGAGCCATCTCATAAATACATTCCATGACTAGGATTATGCGTGTCCTGCTGTTTCTTTGCTTCTTGACATTCTCAGCAACTGCTCCTCTCTCTGCATTGGGCATTGTCTCCCCAAGCCCTTTAGCAGCAGCGAGACTGCAGGCCACCTTTTATGCTTATTAATTTTAGGCAAAGTTTTCAGGTTGGCCATCCTGGTGCACTGGGAGAGAAGTGAAGGATGGGAGATTTGTTAGACTCATCTGGCAAATTCCTTTTACGTTTTACATTCTCCGCAACTACGAGTTTGTTCAGAGCAAGTATTGAGCGTCAATTCCACGCAAGGTATTATTTTGGACTCTTGGGGTTATCCAGGTGAGTGCATCCCCGGAAGCCTCATTCCTCCTTCTCTGTGCAACTGGGTTTCCAGGAAGCATTCAGGGAGCTTAACATTCAGTCATGAACAATAAGGCATTTTTCTGAATAACCATGCTATAGAGCAGAATGCGATGAGTCCTCTAAGAGGTGTCTAGATTGAAATGCTTTGGGAGTTCAAAGGAGGAGAGATTTACCGTGCACGTCAGAATTGTATGGAAGCACAAGTTGTACTGAGAGAGGATAAATAACCTATTCACTTCATCGTAATACCATACATAAAATATTATTGACATGGCTGGCAACACTGTTAACACTGTTTGGGCATTGCGAAAAAGTCTGATATATAAATAACCATGGGTTCCTAGAATCACGGCATCTAGAATGTGAGCACGGCAAGCAAATTTGGAAGACATCCAGTTCAACCTCCTCATTTTGCAAATGTATAAACAGATGTCCAGATAGGTTAAGCCAATTGCTCAAGATCATAGAGCTAGTTTTGTGGCCAAGGCAGGGGCAGAAGCCAGCTCTTCTTACCCACTGTCCCCAAAGCTCATCTCACACTGGAGTTGTGACATCAGCACTATTCTGCCTCTGCTATACAACAGGCCCTGGAACATACTCGAACCATGTAGGTGATTTGTGTCCCTGTCTCATCTTTCTTACCAGAATACCATCGGAGCTCCTCTGGAACATGTCCTTGTCTTCTCAGAGTGTGAAGTGTGTGTGTGACAGTGCTTTTCTGAGGACTCAGGTGACCTGGAGGCTGGAGAACAGCATGGAGCAAGGAAAACAAAGACGATGTGCTGGAGTGTATGTTGCTTTCATAATTATGTGAAAGAAAATGTAGAGAAATTTGAAAGGTAAGATCTGACCGCTTTGACCCCTCTCCTCACACCAGCCTATGCCCCACTTTCTTGAAGACCCACTCCCCAGCTTAGCAGCCAGGTACCCATCACAGCCTGGCTTCAAGAAGGGAGCCCAGTCCGCCAGGTTTGTTCTCTCTCCTTCGGTCTGTCTCTGTTGGCCAGTCTGTCCAGGAGTCACTCTGTCCATGGGTCAGTCTCTCCTTCTTTCTGACTGTCTTCCTATCATTCTTTCTCAGTTGTTCCCTCTCACCTTAAGGGCTGCCTAATTTCTCTCTCATCATGTCTTTACTTCTCTCCTAGCCTCATTTCCAGCTTTGGCTTCCTCATAACTAAAGTGTGCTGTGGCCCCAACATGGCATCCTGACTTCTTTTCAGAGTCTGCCTCCAAGCTTCTGGCTGGTCTTGCCACATACTCCAATTCATATCCCTTCACATTACATCAAGCTGGCTCAGTCTGTCTCTTCTCCTCTGGCCAGACAATGGCAGATCACCTTGGTCAAGCATGTCCTCTGGACCAATTGCCCCAGACCAGGATTATTTAAATACAACTCGTCCATCTGCAGTTGTCCTTAAAATCTGATTTATAGAAGGTCTGTGTGGGCTTGGCATTTCTGGTGTCCACTCATTCTGTCTAGTGAATTGTCCTTCTTCCATGACGCCAGTGGTGATAGATCTCACCCTCCTCTGATCCCTGGGCCTGTTGGTTGTGGAGTTTATGGGCCACTTCTGCAACTTGATGGCCTTGGGCCATGGAAAGGCCTGTCACCCCTTTTCTGGCACTAGAATGGAAGCTTCAGTAGGGCAGGAACCCTATTTAGGCATTTCAGTTAGGCTTGGCACACTGTCTTGCATGGAGAAAGCTCAGAATAAGACAGAGATCCTAAAGTATCTTCAACAGAACTAATCTGACAAATTTCCAAGGCTCCTTTGGGAGATAAAATCTACTTGGGGGAATGGGAAAAGGATGTCTACATAGATTTAGAATAACGACCACCACCACCATCATCATCCTTGACAGAACCTTTATGCCAGGTGCTGTTCTAAAGCACTTTACATACTTTATCTCATTTAATCCTAACAACAGCCCTGTAAGATAACTGTTACTATGCCCTTTTTACCTTTAATGAAGAAACAGCCTCAGGGAGATTAAGAAATTCACCCAAGGTCACAGAGCTAGAAGGTGAAAGAGCTGGATTTCCAACCCAAGTGTGCCTGATGTCAACTCTGATCTAAGATGTGGACGCACATGGGCAGAATGATGACGTGCTCTTCCCAACCTCTCATTTAGCCAGCATGTGAGAGGGCAAGGTGTCTTCAGCAACCATTTCATTTGTAAACATACGTGTTTTTATCCTTGGTCTACGCAATAGTATTACCACACAGGTAATACCAGTGGGTGCTGGGTGTTTTTTTTTTTTTCCTCTTCTACATATTCCCTCCAAAATAAATTATTAATTGCCCCTCTTCTAAATCTTATGTCACAGTCTTTAATGCCTGCATCTGAATTGCTGTTAAAACATCTCTTGGAGTCGTTCCCTGTGATATTACAGTCCGGGTTCCTGCGGCGTAATCCCACTTGCTGGTTTTTCCCTTTGCATTGCATTTGGGTGATGAATGGCCCTTTGATGTTCCTGGCATCTGCCTTCCTGCCTCAGGAACTCACTGCTGGGTCCTCTTTTCCCTGCTAATGGCCCTGTTTGCCTTCCACGACAGTTGAGACTCAGAAACACTTGCACCCACGGCACCTTTGGACATTGCAGTTTGCCTCTGTTTCACTGCCCTTTCTTCTATTTTTCTTTACTCTGCCTCTTCTGTTCTTTGCTCTGGCCTGCTCCTGTTCCCTGGCAGCTCCAGCCATGCAGCAAACAGTCACCAGTCTTCACTTTATCCTCAGAACTGGTGACACAGCACCTACTCTCCTTATCTCTGTAGAGGCTTCCTCCAAAATTTCTATTACTTAACCCTTTCTCCTAGACTCCTCCTTGCCGCTCATCATGGCTGAGGCCCTGCTCAGATCTGTTTCCCTCAGTTCTTTGGGAAAGCAGCTGTCTGACATTGATGTGCATTTGTTTAGCCTTTTCTATGTGTCAAGCATAGGTTTGTATAGTCATAGAGGTGGATAACATAGTCTTAGGTGCTTTTCTTCTTTTTTTATAGACTGCGTCTTGCTCTGTCACCCAGACTGGACTGCAGTGGCACAATCACAGCTACCTGTAACCTCAAACTCCTGGGCTCATGCAATCCTCCCACCTCAGCCTCTGGAGTAGCTGGGACTACAGGTTTGTGCCACTAAGCCTGGATAATTTTTTAAATTTTTTGTAGAGATGGGGTTCTCGCTATGTTGCCCAGGCTTTTTTTTTTTTTTTTTTTTTTTGAGACAGAGTCTTGCTCTGTCACCCAGGCTGGAGTGCAATGGCACGATCTCAGCTCACTGCAACCTCCACCTCGTTGGTTCAAGCAATTCTACTGCCTCAGCCTCCTGAGTAGCTGGGACTACAGGCATGCAACACCATGCCCAGCTGATTTTTTTATATTTTTAGTAGAGAGGGGGTTTCACCATGTTGGTCAGGCTGGTCTCGAACTCCTGACCTCAAATGATCGCCTGCCTCAGCTTCCCAAAGTGCTGGGATTACAGGCTTAAGCCACCGTGCCTGGCCTGCCCAGGCTTTTTAAAAAATAGATTTTATTTTTTAAGTCTTTGGTCCACATAACCACAGCCTCCCCTACTATCAACATCCCACACCAGAGCAGTACATTTGACATATTCGACGCACCTAACTTGACACATCATTATCACTCAAAGTCCACAGCTTACTCTAGGGCTCGTTCTTGGCATTGTGCATTCTGTGGGTTTTGACAAATGTATAATGACATGCGTCCACCATTGTAGTATCATCAGGAGTGGTGTCATGGCCCTATACATCCTTCATGTCTTAGGGATTTTTAAAGCCTAGTAAAAGACATCGGAAAATAAACAAAAAAATCACAGTAAAGTCTTAATAATGTTGAAACAGGACATAAATAAAAACAGTCTGAGCATAAGGAGGAAATAGCTAACGCTCTTTAGTGGGATCCATGAGAGGTTTTGGGTCCAGTAAGACATTGGAAGTCCATGTTTGCAAAGGATCAGGGTATTATGAGGCATGTGAGGCTGAGGGGACAGCTGACCAGGGAACACAGGCACGAACACCCAGGCATGTTTAATGGACCTCAGAATGTGGTGTAACAGAGTTGGTTAAGAGCCAAAACTCTTCAATCAATCCCATAGACAGGAATTCAAATCTGACCCTGCAACATACTTCCTGTGTGATCTTGGCCAAGTTACTGGACTTCTTTGAGCCTCAGTGTCCTCATCTGTACAATGGGCATGATAATAGTACTTGCTTGTGGAGATGCTCTGAGATGCCTGAGAGGCATGTAATATTATCCCAGTGCCTGCCCTGTGGTTTGGGGACTTACATGTCAGTTCGTGGTGTAGACTGAGAAGCTGAAAATGGGACCCAAAGGCACATTGTAAAGCCCATGGAATTGTATTAAGGAGTTTGGACTCTATCCTCTTGCTCAGTGACTTTCAAATCTTGACAGTACATAAGAATCACCTGGGAGTTTGTTAAAACACAGATTTCTTAGTCTTTCCCTGGTATTTTTTGTTTCAGCTGGCCTGGGGTAGGGCTAAGGAATCTGTTTTTAGTGGTTCTGATGTAAGTGGTGCAGATCACACCTTAGACTAGATCATTGGGAGGGTATAAGTCTTCTTGTAATATCTGTGCAAAATAAATCAAGAGTTTACAGAGGCAGAGAGAGGTCTGAGGCTTTTTGACAGTCGGGCTGCAAATCGCTCCGTGGAGCTAGAGCCAAAACCCCAGGCAGGCTTCCTGGTTTCAAGCCTGTGCTCTTTCTCCTTTGTTCAAACACCATCCACACAGTGCCAAAGGAAGCCAAACCCAAGGCCCAGCCGCCGGGGTTAAAGGTCTGAACAGCTCGTGTGCCCTGACCAGTTCAGATCTCTTCCGGCCACTGCTTTCCTTCTTCCCAAACCCCTCCCCCAACTACTTTATGGATTAAGCATAAAAATGCCTATGGGCATCCACGTCCTGAATCTGACTCCTTGTAGTGCTGAGCACAGATTTTTAGGAAGAGAGACCAGGCACCCCTTATAGAAAGAGCTTTTTGATCAAGAGCCATCAGGCAGCGCGTGGAGGGCCTCACCTAGTTCTTCCTCCTGGGCTTGGGCATGCTCTCCTCCCTGCTTGCCTCTGCTGAGGACTGTATTTCCTTGAATTCTGCCTACCTACTCCCAGCGGGGCTACAGGCGATTGTCTGCACCAGTCCTCACAGGAGGGTGCTCCCTGCCTTTTGGCAGTCAGTGCTATTTCTCTGAGCTAGGTAGCCTGCTCTAAATCTTACTAGGTTTACAAAGAGAATCCTCCATCCCACCTCTTTCTAGAAGAGGACTCTGAGACATTAATTGCGGTGAAGGCATGGGCCCTTGTTCACAAAGGGTGCCAGTAAGTCCTGGAGGAGTCCCTGCCCTGGTTTCTGGTTTATTCTTAAATCTTCGAAATCATCCAGTCCCTTCTCACTTTAAATTCAAAAGCACAGAGTGCTAAGCACTCAGGACCTCTCTTTTTGACTTGTTGGCTTTTCCTGGCAGAGATATTTAAGAGCAATTTCACACAATTGGCTGAATGTTTCCTCTCCATTCTCCCCACAAGTGTCTTTCAAGGAGAAGTGAAAACCCTGTGTTAAATGGCATCCTGGAGCTGGGAGAGCATCAGCTGCCTTGGCCCCAGGTCATGGACAGAGCTTATAAACTAACAAGCGCTGAAAGCAACTGTGAAGGCCATGGCCTCAAAGAGCCACTGATGCTGAGCCTGGGACTGACACGGGCCCATGCTGGGGCCAGTTACCATGGCCAGCCTTAAGTTTTCTGGATACTGGAGGCTTTGCAGAAATGATGCATTGAACTCAAACTTCCCGGTGCCAACTGGGACAACACAAACATAGGCCAGCTATTTATGTAGTTTTCCAGAGGCATCTGGGAGAGCAGTAGTCTGGAGGGCTCTGGAATTGTCTCCTCTCTGTTAACTGTGACGATGACTGGGCTGTCCTAGATGTAACATGCCCCCCACTGCACTCCCTGTGGCCGTCGCTCTTCTGCTCTCATGCTGTTGTAAATAAAAGCAACCGTTTAGGGAGCATTGGCTCTGTGCTAGGTACTTCATATGCATTATCTCAAGTCATAACAGCTGGAGAGCTATTCCTCTCACCCCTATTTTGCATAGAGAGGCCAAATGGTTGACCCAGTACAACCGCACAGAGTTCATACCCAGGTTGGCAAGAGTCCCACCTGATGGTGTTCCTGCACCCAGGATCCCACGTTGTGTTGTCTTTCCTGGAAGTCAGAGTCAGGTCATTATCCTGAGTGACAAGGAGGTTGCTTAGTAACCTAAACCAATCGAAAAGCATGAACTATGGCTTGACAGATGACTCGGTAAATTGTTTCCAGTCCTGGGCATGTGCAGTTCTGGACATTCCCAGAACTCATGGAACTACTTGGAAAGAAGGTGGTGAGAGGGAATGAGAGCCAAAAGAGAGATAAAGTGCTGGGACTATATGTAGACAAGAGTTGTCTACATAAATATGAAGGCTTTAAATTACACTTGCCTCGTGATTTCCCCTTCTATTGCTGCCTCTGTCTGAGGTTTCAGCCACAGCAGCAGAGCTTCACCAGCTGCTTATGCGTCAGAAAGGGCAGTGCTTGGGGCTTCTCCCCACTGACCAGGCACCCAGACCAGAACAAATGGTCCAGCCAGTGGGATTTATATTCAACATCATTATTATAGGTTACTATTTTTGACATGTATTTTGATTGGTGGCTTTACTTGTGATTTCAGGAGAACTGGTTATCAGTAGTGCCATCCTGCTCAAATATCTTCAAATACACACCACCATCCATGTGTGGGTTGATTAAGGAGCTGACGTTCATTAGATCTGCAGTCTCCTGACCTGATGTGCATCAGAATCACTGGGAGAACAAACAAACAAAAATGAATCCAAAACAAGCAACGAACAGACAGATTCTCAAGTCTTGCCAAGTCCAAAGATTGATTTGGTGGAGAAATTGTACTTTGAAAGCTGCCCAGGTAATAATTCTGGCATATAGCCAGGTTTGTAAAATCTTGAATGAACTGTCTTGGGCAAACAAAGGAATTCTAGTTTTTTATCTGCCAGCTTTTAAAAATTTCCCATCTTTGAAAGGAAAGTGTTACATTAATCACAAACTCCCATGGTCAAGGTGATAGCAAAACAACACTGTATTCTGGTTGGAACCTTGGAACATTCAGACCTTGGAGAGAACAAGCAAAACATTTTCATAATTATGATGTCATGTGGGTTGAAAGCAGAGTCTTGATTTGGGTTCCGCTGCTGCCCATAAACAGCTGGGTGGGAATTTGGGTCAATCCCTTCACTTCTCTATAGCTCCCTTTCCTCATCCCCAAAATGAGATGCTTGTTTGATTTCAGAGTTTCCTGCTAGGTCTACAATTCTGTGATTAGCATCTCTGCTCTCTGGAATATTCTTTTATGTCCGGTGACTTAAATCAGATTATCAAATATTTATTGAACACCTGCTATGTGTCCAGAAACTGAAATTATTTGAAAAATTGGATCTGTGGGGGAAAGAAGGGGCTGAGAAGGGACAAATACTAGTAAAGAGAAATGGATGGAGCTCAACAACTAAGAATTTTTGAACTCTAATAAATGTTTCTACTTTCTCGCTTAGAGCCATTATGTGTGAGTAAAGTGCAGGTTACAGTGAGACAACTGGCTGAAAGCAGCAAACAAATATAACCTGATAGATGGTAACTGAGGTACTCAGCCCTTTGGATGACAAATATTGCTAGGTGATAAAAAGCACTAATGCATCAGGTGTGAATCTGCTGCTTCAGGAAAAATGTATGACCAGAAGGGAAATACTGGTGATTTGACTGACAGGAACAGCTGGAGGCTCCTATAATTGTCCAGATAGAAAGCAGGAAAAAATAAAAAAGAAGTTGTGTGCTATATGGAAGGACCTGGTGTGAGCTTGTGAGCTGTGTCTCTCGAATGTTCTTGTTTCTGAAGATTTCTGCAGGTGGTTGATTCTATGATCTCTCGGTTTTTCCCAGAGCTCAGACTCGAGGTGTTCCTGAACAGTGGAAACCTCAGCCTCCCAAAAAGCCCTCAGTGCAGTTCTCCTTTCTGTGGAGGAGCCAGTGGTCCGGAGTGGGGGTTTTCAAATGGCTTTTTGAGTTGCACAGGAGTGCTGACGGTGGAGCGGGTGAGGGGGAGAGGGCAGCACAGCAGCACCAGCCGAATCTCCCTAAATTAGACCAGTCTCCTCTGACCTGATGGACATATTGGGGGCTTTCCATGAAGCACTGGGATGAGTTTCCCAGTTGGCAGAACTCGTGAGCTACTTTGCTGGCCTTAGTCACCCATTTGGCAAAATGAAGTTAGGCAGAGATTGAGTGCTTAGTAAGGCCAGTTTGGCTGGAGCAGTGACTGACTGTGTTCGGGGTGAGTTTGCTGGATAATTGATATGGTTTGGCTGTGTCCCCACCCAAATCTCATCTTGAATTGTAGCTCCCGTAATCCCTATGTGTCGTAGAAGGGACACAGTGGGAGGTAATTGAATCATGGGGGTGGGCTTTTCCTGTGCTGTTCTTGTAATAGTGAATAAATCTCATGAGATCTGATGGTTTTATAAAAGGGCAGTTCCCCTGCACGTGCTCTCTTGCCTGCCACCATGTAAGATGTGTCTTTGCTCCCCCTTTGTCTTCCACCGTGATTGTGAGGCCTCCCCAGCCATGTGGAACTGTGAGTCCATTAAACCTCTTTTCCTTTAAAAATTTCGCAGTCTTGGATATGCCTTTGTTAACAGCATGAGAACAGACTAATACAATAATGTAACCAGATTTCCTGATACGGAGAATGGGCAGATGGTACATTTACAGTTCCACACCCTCCTCCACATCCCATCACCATCCTGTCTTCTGGGGATAGTGTGGAATGAGTAAGAAGGGTAGGGTCCACCTAGAGAAAACTCACTGAATCCTCATAACAACTTTCTGGGTCAGCTGCCATCACCCACAACTTTGAGAGGAGGACACTGAAGCTTGCAAAGTTCAAAAGTCTTGTCTGAGACCATATAGCTAAGGAGAAGTGCCAGGGGACATTGAGGTGTGTGTTTGAAGTCACCTCCTTGGAGCTGAATACGCTAGAAAAGCCTAGACCTGGAAGCAACCAGAACTTTCTCTAGGTACCATGGAAACCAATAGCCTGGGAGTCAGACCCAGCTGTGGCATCCAAGGAAGAAAAAGGAGTGGGAGTTGGCCTTAGGGGGCTATGATATGATCAGCAGTTCTTCCCAGGCCTCAGCTTACAAGCACCTCTGCACTGTGGGATCAGCCTGAGATCGAAAGGTCGAGGAAGGACTCTATTTAATCTCTGGCCACAAACCTCCTGCAAGAGCTAAGTAAAAGCCCCTCTGGCAACAAAAACCAGGGTCATAAAATACTGAGCTGCACCAATAGGTAACACAAAGTCATAAATAGTTGAATTTCCAAAATTTATAAAGAGAAATGGAAATAACTCATTATTTTCCTATAACATATACTGATTCACATCCTTCAAAATTTAGGGATCACAATTTTACCCTCTGAGCTGAAGAAAGTAAAATATGCAGAGTAGGCACTCCATAAACATTCCTTGAATGAATAGATGAGAAAGGAACAAAGACAAAGTTATGTTAGGCATTCATTCCTTGTGTCCTGGGGATAAAGGCAGAAGACTGCTGTCCAGAAGAGAGCATTAATACAAAACAAAACATGTTCTTTACTTCTATAAAGTTGCTGAAAACTTGAGGTGATTTTCTGATTGTTTAATATTATTTACATTTTGCCTGTCTAAAGCAGGCGTGTTCCTATTTCAGAACTTTTAGTAAAGCCAACTGTCCACAAAGAAACTGGCTGGAGTGCTATCAGTGGCAGATTTCTTCTTCCTTTCTTTTTTTTTTTTTTTTTTTTTTTTTTACTTGGCAGACATCTCAGAGTTTCTTTCTGGTATCTCTCTCAGGATATAGACCCCAATAAAACATATGGCCTCACACAGCAGCGGCCTCACCAGGTCGCAGACACATGTTTAGAATTCCTCAGTCTACTGTGAGGCTGGCAAAGAAAGCCCCAAGCAAGAAAAGCAGACACTGGGCACTTTTGAACTTATTCTGGGTATTAAAGGAGCATTACATGAGAAAGAGTATGTGCAAACAGCGGCCAGCAATTTCATCTGACTTGAGAGATCCTTGTCACAGGAGGGAGTGGGTACATAGCTATGTGTGCAGCCCATGCATTTCGGAGGTATTTTCTAGGCAAACTGCATGAAGTCTTACATGTGTACCTGCTGTCCTCATGTGCAGAATAAAGCCTTCTGTAAAAGACAGCAGACCGGAGTTGCATCTGTGTCTAGGGCATCTGTGCCTTCCACCAGGTGGAGAAGTTCACAGCAGTTTGGATTTTTTCTGCCCAAGACCTGGCATTCAGCCTGTATCCATGGGGGAAGGTAGACTGGTTGCCTGTGGCTAGTGTCCATTCACAGTGGTTGATGCCGTGTTGTACCTGTTGTTGAATATTTTGAAAAACATACCTGCTCATACATACTTTCCATAATATTGATTAGGGGAGAATCTCTAGTCAACTTCTACAGACTTCTGTTCTTGTCCTCATCTTTAACTAATGACTTTAAAGAAATGGTAGAAAATGCCACTTGGAGACCAAATAAACTTGATAAATTGAACTTAATCTCACTCTTCACTTGGATAATGCCTTGGGTCTTGGCTTAAATGTTACTTCTCAGAGAGGTCTTTCATGATCCTGTGGCTAGATTAGGCCCCCTCCTAACTGCTCCCATAGCTCACAATACTTCCCCTGTTAAAACATCATTCTACTCCATTGTTATTACTTGTTTTTGGTGAACACTTTTCCTTCTGGACTGTGAGGTACATAGTGGCAGGGACTTCACGGAGCTTGGCACCTAATAGGTATTGGACTAATATTTATTGAATAAATGAAATGAGTATTTATTCGATGGTAGATGTAATGCCTGTCCTCAAGGGGGTCATTTTAAAGAAGAGACGGTAACAAGTCACCAGGTGTTAGGAGCACAGATGGCGCCTATACAAGGTGCAATCGGAAATGCAGTGAGAGGCGCAGTTAGCTTATAGGCATACATATGCCATGGTGGTTTGCTGCACCTGTCAACCCATCGTCTAGGTTTTAAGCCCCGCATGCACTAGGTATTTGTTCTAATGCTCTCCCTCCCCTTGCCCCCCATCCCCCAACAGTCCCCGGTGTGTGATGTTTCCCTCAAAAAGGGATTTAATTCTATGGGACTTCAGAGAGGAGGTTAGGACCAATGACTGGAAGCTTCCAAAAGCCTAATTTGACTAAATACACATAAACGTTTACTCACCAGGTAGAATTTTCAGAAACAAATGGGACTTTTATCAGTTTGGTGAACTTGCTAGTTAATTTTCATGAGGGAAGGGAGGAGTTCTGTTTGGTTCAGTATTAGATTCGTGGTCCCTGTATAGTGCCTGGCACACAGCATTTATTCAACAAATATTTATGAAGTAAGTCAATGAATGAAGGTGGTATTGAATGAGCTGTAAGCTCCTTTCTATTCCTGATATTATAGAGCTCTTACGTTGTTATATTCTAATTTATTCTTTTAATATCCCCTTATTTCACTAGACTATGAACTCATCAAAGTCAGAAATTATGTTTTAATTGTGTCTTCAATGTTCAGTCTAATTCTTGGCATGTAGCAGGTGCTCAACGAGTATGGTAATCATACAATTTTTAATTCAAACTAGGACATTTTGGGAGTAAAGGGGGTGCTGACCAGGTGCGAATTAATACCAGAGCATAAACTGTCACTGTGCCAGGCAAACCAGACAGTATGGTTACCCTAACCAGCAAGCACTTGTTGAATGAATGAAAAGTAAATGGGTTATGGAATACACAGAGGTAGGCTGTACTCATGTTTTTCCTTATATGGAGATTAAAGAAACTATTCTCTGGGAATTCTGCCCACTGGGCTCAGTTCTTTTTGACTAGACACACAGAATGCACCTAGACTTTCTTTCATGTGGCATTTAAATATATAAGTTGATAGATGGCTTCCCCTGTGCTGAATTTTCTCTTTTCCAGCCTAAACATTCCCAGTTTCTGTCACCATCCCCTCAAGGTTTACCTGGAGGTTAGCATGACTACATTTGGGGTTCTCTGGTTCTGAATGTGCTTCCATTTGATGAGGTCAGTTTAGATACCATGGACCTTGGCTCCCAGAAACCGCAGGTCTCCATCCTCCTGGATCTGTCCACTCACACTTGTCTTCTCACCTGTCTTCTCCCCATACTTCAAGTTACTTGACTCCCTCCCTTTCCCTGTCTACCCAGCCTTGTCAGAGTCTCCAGGGCCACTTGTCGACCATGGACAAGGGAGACTCAGAAAGTTCTGAGCCAATGTTCTATAGCTCAACCTCATCTAAGCCTTGCCATGGGTCCAGCCCTCACCTGGTGACCTGATCCTCACCAACGTGCTGTGGCCTGGCTCCAAGATCCAACTCTCTGTGGCCCTAGTTCTGGTGCCCGGGCCTCTGACCTGATTCCTTGGCCTGACTCCCTGTGTCAGTCACCTAGCGAGGACTCACCTTGTTCTCACTGGTCTATCTCCTTCCTGCCCCAGTGATAAGGCCTCAGCTTACTCCGCCCTGCAGGAAGGCATAGAATCCATCAAGCATTTGTCCTTCCAGGCCCTGACCCTCACCACCCACCTGCAAGGCTGGAGCTTAGCTCCTATCTAGTAAGTCTGGATTGGGGGTTCTGCCTGCTGGCACCGGCAAATAACCGTGCCATGGGACATTCCCTGGATGTGGCACATTTGCTTTTTCTCTACCTCATTGATAATCTTCGTTCATCATCTTTCTTCCTCTCTTTTCCCTCTCTTTTACTCTCGCTGGTTTTCTGTTCCCCCTAACCCCTTGTTCACTTTCTTTCTTCTTCTTTTTTCCTACACTGAGTTAATCCCAAAGAACGCACATAACTCTCAGTTCTTCTGTTGTTGCTTGCTTTTATGGGATGGGAAAAGAGGAAGCAGGTTCCCCAGGAGTCTGAACTGCTTGCATGGAGGGGCCGTGTTCTCCTTCCTCCACGTGCATCCCCAGTGCTGAGAGCTTAGCGATCTACCCACAGGCACACTGGCCAATCACTTCTAAAACAACTGAGAAATGCTGAATTTTGATCGTCCTGTTCCTCTAGTGGAAAAAATCTGTATATGTATACATCCTTTTATAAAATTGCTAGAATACCCTGAAGAGGGAACTGACCTTTTTCAAATTAAGTCACATTAGACCCTTGAGCTACATGTTTCATGAATTCTAAAATAAAAGTTAAAGCCTCTAAAAGGTTAATAATCTCAATGGCAGAGGGAATTTTTTTCAGATGAGGAGGATGATCTTTTTCATTAGCTTCTAACATCGGGCTAGTAGGCCCAACTGTATTTTCAGGAAAAAAAAAATAGAGATGGAGTAACTGGAACAGTATTCTGTTTTTAACTCCAAAACATTGTTCCTTGCTGTGTCTCTACCTAGTGATGGGATCCTAGGAAAGCCATTTCATCTCTCCAGGCCTTGCATTCTCATTTCTACAATGAAGATGTGGGCTGTGTGGCTTCTAAAGCCCCCTGAAGTTTGAGCATTTTGTGATTCAACACAAACACGAAGCAGTAACTGCGGTGTTGGGCTTGTGGTGCAGGTAGGTGCAGTGTTTTCTGTGATTGTAAGTGACTTGCTAGCTATGGAAATGGCAAGCTCCAGCCGAAAGACAGTCTCACCAGGCTTCTGTAGTCTGGAAGTTCCCATAGCCTTGTTTGCTGGAGAAGCTGCCAATATACTGCAGCAGTTCAGAGCTCAAAGGACCAAGGTGGGGGTAGGGCACTTTTATTTCCTGGCTGTGTGACATTGGACCTATTACTTAGCCACTCTTTAAGCCTCATGTGTCAAATGGGAATAATAAAAGTACCAACTCTGAAGGGGATTACAGGAAGTATTAAATGTTGACATGGTTCTTGGCACATAGTATGTGGTCAATCAATGTTAGCTGTTGCCATTGTTTCTTAGCTGTGAAGTGATAGTCAATCTCTAAGGGCCCATCCAGCTCTAAATGGCTCTAATTCTTTCGGCTTTGTGGAAAATGTAGTGGCAGATGACCTCCAGGATGTTTGGTTAGCTGGCATTTGGGGAACGAGGCCAAAGTTCACATGAGAACTCCAAGCCTATGACAATAGCAAGTGCTATTTTGGGGTTATGTGACATTTACTGACATGATGGAGCCTTTTGATTAAACACACCTCGAAGCATTTCTATTTTGCAACTGCACTTGTATTTTTCTGGGAGGAGGGGAAGCCAAGTATTTTGTGGTACCCTCTGCTACAGGCTGAGGAGTTGAAGCTATTAACCTAGAAATGCACTGCCCAAGGCAAATGGTTCCTTTAGTGAATCTGAAATGATCACAAAGGAAGTCAGGTAGTCTCTGGGCATGGACTGGATTGGGCAGTGCTGGCTTAGGGCTGTGTTTGGCCTCCCTGACAACACAGCTCTGGGTCCAAAGTCCAAGAAGCCTGGGGGCTGTTTGCAGAATCTGCTTTCAGGAGTCTTGGACTTCTGTGAATGGTTATTCTTCTGGGTGTTCTGTCCCGTACTCTGACAGTACTGGGACATCGCTGGAGACTTTGTTACTTTCTGTCCAACCGCTGATGTGCTTCTGCCTATAGCTTAGCCTAGGATGGCTCAGCTGGAGCAGGATGGTGAAAGGTAGCCTACATGTGTGCACTGACATGGCTGGGCTGGTCAGGCCTCCTAGCAAAAGACAAGTGATTCTGACAAGATGTTCCGACACTCAGCCCTCAGGATGATCATCTGTTAAGGTACTCTCTTGCTTGTTCAGCTGATCTTAGGCCTTAAATCTTTTGTATCACGTGCCTTACTTTTAAGGTCAAGTGTTACCCAATTAGAGTAAGTTTATATATATATTTTATTATACTTTAAGTTCTAGGGTACATGTGCACAACGTGCAGGTTTGTTACATAGGTATACATGTGCCGTGTTGGTGTGCTGCACCCATTAACTCGTCATTTACATTAGGTATATCTCCTAATGCTATCCCTCCCCCTTCCTCCCACCCCACAACAGTCCCCGGTGTGTGATGTTCCTCTTCCTGTGTCCAGTGTTCTCATTGTTCAATTCCCACCTATGAGTGAGAACATGCGGTGTTTGGTTTTTTTGTCCTTGCGATAGTTTGCTGGGAATGATGGTTTCTAGCTTCATCCATGTCCCTAAAAAGGACATGAACTCATCATTTTTTTTAGACGCATGCACACGTATGTTTATTGTGGCACTACTCACAATAGCAAAGACTTGGAACCAACCCAAATGTCCAACAATGATAGACTGGATTAAGAAAATATGGCACATATACTCCATGAAATACTGTGCAACCATAAAAAATGATGAGTTTTTTTTTTTAATCAATGGAAAACATAGTAAGTCATTGAAAGAAATAATACATGTGGAATCAAAGGTTATCTGTACTTGAGTAAACCATAGAATCTGTAATTCAAATGGAATGACCCATTAACTGTATGTAAAGGAAGTTGGAGGTTAAAGTACCTGGAATGTTCAATTTGAGACTTTTTACTTTATTTTATTTTGGAGATGGAGTCTCGCTCTGTCACCCAGGCTGGAGTGCAGTGGCGCCATCTTGGCTCACTGCAACACCCACCTCCTGGGTTCAAGCAATTCTCCTTCCTCAGCCTCCCAAGTAGCTGGGACTACAGGCACACACCGCCACACATGGCTACTTTTTTGTATTTTAGTAGAAACAGGATTTCACCATGTTGCCCAAGCTGGTCTCGAACTCCTGAGCTCAGGCAATCCGCCCACCTCGGCCTCCCAAAGTGCTAGGATTATAGGCATGAGCCACTGCGCCTGGCCTTATTGTATTTTTGAGACAGAGTCTCGCTCTATCACCCAGGCTGGAGTGCAGTGGTGCAACCGCAGCTCACTGCAGCCTTGACCTCCGGGGTCCAATCAATCCTCCTACCTCAGCCTCCCTAGCAGCTGGGGTTACAGGTGTGCACCACCATGTGTGGCTAATTTTTGTATTTTTTATAGAGATTGGGTTTTGCCATGTTGCCCAGGTTAGTCTCGAACTCTTGGGCTTAAGTGGTGCACCTGCCTCTGCCTCTTAAAGTGCTGGGATTATAGGCATGTGCCACTGCGCCCAGCTGGGCCGGGTCATTGCATTTTAGAAATCTCCTCCACCATGTCCTTCACCCTCTGCATCTTTTCCTTGATGGGCAATGCCAATCTTCTTATAGGAGAATGGCACAGAGTGATTTCTTGTCAGGTTTAGAGGTGATTTGGACCTTTCTGTTGGCTTCAGAATTACCCCTGGATCTGTAAAACAACACAATCAAGCACCAGGTTGAGGCTGCTGATTAGTGAGATCGATGATGTGATTGAAAGCATTAAGATAAGTAGGATTAAAAAAAATTCAGGTATTCATTTCAAGGCTACATAATCAAGGTACAATTAAAACAGAAGTTGGGAACTGAAAGTAAAGATGCCAAATAAATCACATTTTGACCCTCAACTCCCACCAGTGACTTTTTATGTCTCAGTCTCCAAGAGAAACTGATGATCACCTCCCTGGGGTGGGCTGCTGAGACCCGCCCCACACCCTCCCATCCCTGCCCCACCTCTGCTGGGGTGGGCTCGATGGTGGAGCAAGGCAGCTTCCTTCTTGTCTCTGCCACCTTCGCTGTAAGGGCTTGTGCCTGGCTCTGATTTTTTTCTGGTTGTGTTGATCTACTTGTCTTCTCTCCAGCATAGGGCTATGGTTCCTCTCTTTGACCAAAAATTGGCTTTTGTCCTTACTGTCTTTTTTTTTTTTAATTCCTTTTTTTTGGAGACAGTTTTCACAAGTGCATTTATTAAACATGTCTTCTTTTATAAATTGACAGGTAAAATGATATATATTTATCATGTACAACATGTTTTACAATATGTATACATTGTGGAATGGCTAAATTGATTTAATTAACATTTGCATTACCTCTCATACTTCTTTGTGGTGAGAACACTTAAAATCTATTCTCTTGGCAATTTTCAAGAATTCAATATATTGTTAGTAACTATAGTCACATGCTGTACCATAGGTCTCTTGAACTTACTCCTCCTGTCTGAAATTTTGTATTCTTTGGTTGACTTTGCTCCAGCCCTCCTTGCAGCCAGCCCCTGGTAGCCATCATTCTTTTCTCTGCTTCTGTGGGTGAGCCAGTCTCCGAGTCTGCACTTGGGATCTCTTGTCTGGATGTTGCCCGGTGACTTGCACTGACCTCTGGTCCCCATGCCACTTACCTGCTTCCAGCCTCAGCTGTGTCCCAGCCTGTCAGTGTCTGTGTGCTCCTTGGTTTCAGTGTGTTCCTGACCCTGGTTTGCTTAGACTTTCCCATCCCTACCTCTTACCTCATCCCTTTTTACATGTGGCTGTCTCTGGGTGATGCCCCGACATGCCCAGCCACTCACCCCCAGCTCTCCTCACGGGACACTGCTGGCTGTCTGCTTATCAGGCATGCCACAGAAAAACACTGGGCTAGAGTCAGACTCAAGCATAGACTTTCTACTTGCTAGTTGTATCATCTTAAGTCACTTGGTCACTTTCAGTCTGTGTTTCCTCACAGATGTATAACGTATAATGTATAAATGTATAAATGTTTATAAATTATTGTTTCTTTTGTGTCCCATCCTAAGAAATCTTTGCCCACCCAAGGTTGCAAATGTGTTTTGCAAGTGTATTTTCTTTTAAAAGCTTTATTTTTCTTTACATTTAGGTCTATAATTTATTTTCGAGTTAATAGTTGGATATCATATGTGTGCGGTAGGAGAAAACAAACTGATTTCTCCTGTTATATTATCAATACTCAACAGAGAAGACGTCTGTCAACAGATATGTGGGGATTTTCCCCACACATTAATTTACTTCTCTGGTGGACACCAACTGGGTGTCCTACAATTCTGACACTACCTGGAGTTAGAGTCAGATCCCGCAGATTAAGTGTTGAGTCCCCAAACCCTGACACCTCTCTACCCACCTTCCCATGGCAACTGCAGGTCCAGGCCTCTGGTAGTTCCTTTATTTTATTTTTTTATTTTATTTATTTTTGTGAGACGGCATCTCATTTACTCTGTTGCCCAGGAGGAAGTGCAGTGGCGCGATCTCAGCTCACTGCAACCTCCACCTCCTGGGTTCAAGTGATTCTCGTGCCTCAGCCTCCCTTAATAGCTGGGACTACAAGTGTGCACCACCATGCCCAGATAATTTTTGTATTTTTAGTAGAGACGGGGTTTCACCATGTTGGCCCGGCTGGTCCTGAACTCCTGGCCTCCAGTGATCCGCCCACCTCAACCTCCCAAAGTGCTGGGATTACAGGTGTGAGCCACCCCGACCGACCCCAAGGCCTCTGGTACTTCTGACCACTGGCTATAAACTGGGGTGCCCATGACCCCCTTCCTCAGGTTCAGTCATTTGCTAGAATGACTCATAGAACTCAGGGGACCGCTTTACTTACTATTGCTGTTTTATTACAAAGGATGTTTTAAAGGATGTAGATGAACATCCAGATGAGGATATGCAAAGGGTTGGGAAGGGTCCAGGGTACAGGAGCTTCTGTCCATGTTGTTGAGGTGCACTACTATTCTGGCACGTAGATGTGTTCTTGTTCACCAACCTGGAAGCTCTCTGAACCCCATAGTTCAGGGCTTTTAATGGAGGCTTCATCACATAGGCATGACCTATTATTAACTCAGTCTCCCCTTCCTGGAAGAGGAGAGGTGGGGCTGGAAGTTTCAAGCTTCTAATTGTGGCTTGGTCTTTCTGGTGACCAGCCCCCATCCAGGAACCCACCAAGAGTTGCCTCATTAGAACAAAAGACACTCCTACCACCCAGGAAATTCCAAAAGATTAAGATCTCTGTGTCAGGAACCAAGGTCAAAGATCAAAATGAGAAAAAAAGCTGCACCTAGCACCCCTATTGCTCAGGAAATTACAAGGGTTTTAGAATCTTTGTGGCAGGAACTGGGGAGGAAGACCAAAATATACTTATTTCTTAATAAAAATCACAATATCAGAATGTGAGATCAAGGTCGAAGTTTATCATTAGCCGTTAAGGAAATAACCACAATGAGATATTACTACACACCTATAAGAATAGATACAATGAAAAAGACTTACCATACTGGTTGTAGATAAAGGTTTAGAGGAACTGGAACCTCATGCCCTCCTTGTGAAAAATGTAAAATGGTACAACTACTTTGGTAAACAATTTGGTAGTTTCTTCAAAAGTTAAACATATACTTACCATATGACAGCCACTTCACTTCTAGGTGTCTAAAGAATTGAAAGCATATATCCCTACAGAGACTTGGACACAAATATTTATAGCTGCTCTATTTGTAAAAGCCCCAAACTGGAAATAACTCAAATGTCCATCCATAGGAAAACGGATAAATAAATTGTGTCATCTCCATACAATGGAATACGATTAAGCAACGACATAGATAAATCTCAAAATAATTATGGTGCATCAAAGGACACAAATACTATATATTTCCATTTATATAAAATTCTGGAAAATGCAAACTAATCATTAGTAACTGTTAGATATGAGTTCTAAATTTCTTTTCATAGAATTAATATGTCAGTGTGTTCAATTCTTTGCCTTTTACTTTTAAAAGTAACTTCCTCGTAAAGCAACCCTTTTCGATTTCCTACTCCACCCTGACTCATTCCGATCACCTGCTCCGCCCTGACTCATTCAGATTACCTGCTACCTGCTCTGCCCTGACTCATTCTCCATCCTGCATAACCATTTTTTTTCCCTCCAAAGCACTCACCCCATCATTCTCTTTAAATTAGCCAATCGGAATTAGTTTAGCCTGTGCGGTCTAACCCTAGCCAGTAAGGGAACGACACCGCAGCAGGAGCCACGTGCGTCAGGGATAAGAACCCCTTTCCCTCCCTTGTCCAGGTGTGTGCTCACCATTGCTGCATCTGTAGGGCGCATCCTTCTGTAGAAGTACCTTGCCTTGTTGAGAATTAAAAGAAAATTTTATATTCGAGTGCTATTTCTTTTGCGGCACTGAAACTTTATATACAACAGTAACAGAAAGCAGATGGGTGGTTGCACAGAGATGGGGGTAGGGAAAACATGGCATGATTATGAAGAAGCAGGAGGAGAGTTTGTGGGGTTGTGAATAATTTCACTGAGAATGGGTGATGGTTTCACAGGAGTATACATGTATAAAGATGTATCAAATTATATACCTAAATATGTACAGTTTATTGTACATCAATTATACCTCACTAAAGCTTCTAATGTTGGTGCAAATATCCACCAATGTTTAAAAAAAAAAGAGAGAGAAAAGGATTACAAGGCCCCGGAGAAGTAATGTTATAGGACCAAGAGGTCCGTATGCCCACTGCACAGTAACAGACTTATCACACTGAGACAGCAGAGATGCAGCAGAGAAAGAGTTTAATGAAATGATCATAGATTGCTGAGCGAGGACACAGGAGGTGAACCTCAAATCCATCTCCTCAAGGAGTTCTGGGCTAGGGTTTTTAAAGATTCATGGAGGGCAGGGGCTGGAAAATTGGGTTTGTTGATTGCTCGGGTCAAGGGGGATGAAATCATCAGGATGTGGAAACTTTGTTCTTCTGTGAGTTAGCTTCTCTTGGGGTTGCTTGGACCAGTGGAGTCTGTGGGGTTCTTCAGACCCACTGACGTAGTAGTTTCATCAGTGCATAAGACCTGAAAGAATGTCTCAAAGGGAAAACTTTCATGATGTTCAAGTTGCTATCTTTAGAAGAGTTAAGGGGAACTGTAATCTTGTAACAGGGTCTTGTATGATTCTAGGACAACAGGCACCAAACAACCATAGTTTTAGGAAGCAGGTCAGAGAGTAAGTTGACTTAATGATTCATGTTAAGGGTGCTGCAAACTTGGTTTATTTTTGTTTCTCCCCCACCCTTCTGCCCTGATTAATCTTATAAAGCTTATGGGGTGGTTTCAGTAATGCCCAGGAAACTGAACTGATAGCTGTAATCTGCTCTAGAAATGTACATTGTCATTATTATCTATACCACATAGACTAGGAAAGTTTCCTCCAAGGGAACCAGATGCAGTTTCTGAGTGTCCTTAGACTTTAATTTTCCCAACCCTGCCCAGTGGAAAATGTCAAATGTCAAGCTATAACACCCAGCACTGGCCTGATTGCATGAGGACATCCAGACCCTTGAGGCTTTCTTTCAGGGCTTGACCCATCCCAGACCCTCATCCCTGCCCCTCACTCTCAACAAATGACAACATAGTGCCTAAAAGTGCACAGTCTTGCTTTCAACCAGAATAGGAGTTCTCAACCTGGTTGTATGTGGGAATTCACTGGGGAGTTTTTGGGAAATGCTGATGCTTGGGTCCCATAGCTAGAAATTCCCATCCAGTTGATCTATATTTTTAAAGCTGTCCGGATGGTTCTGAAGTGCAGCTGGGGTTGAGAAGCACTGAGGTGGAGCCTGGACCCTCTTCGCTCACCTGTCCACCCCTGTGGCCAGGTTAGCTTGGCTCCTCTGCATCTCAAACTTTCTATTCAACTAGTGATGGAAAGCAGTCCAGTAGAACTGGGTATGATAGCAATAGTAATTGACATTCAAATAGCATTTGGTTTTTTCCCAAAGGGCTTCCATGGGCATTTTCTTATTGAGTCTCATGGGTAACCTGAGAAATAAGACAGGATCATTTAACACTTATTGCCCTTTACCTAATTAATTGTAAGTGCAGTAAATGGTCATTTTAGAATATTTTAAGGAACAAATACTGAAATCTATGAAGAGAAAAAAAAAATCTATAATCCAATCTCTCAGAGAAAACCAGTATTAACATTTGGTTTCTTTTAATGAAGATACAATATATGCACTTAATTTTTTAAAAACAACATTGGCACAAGCTGTACCAGTGTTTTGTAACTTGTTTTTTTTCATTTAATACATTTTAATCATTTCCCCATATTCTTTTTTCTTTTTCTTTTCTTTTCTTTTTTTTTTTTTTGAGACAGTCTTCCTCTGTCACCAGGCTGGAGTACAGTGGCCCAATCTTGGCTCACTGCAACCTCTCCCTCCTGAGTTCAAGAGATTCTTGTGCATTAGCCTCCTGAGTAGCTGAGACTATAGGCAGGCACCACCATGCCCAGCTAAATTTTTGTATTTTTAGTAGAGTTAGGGTCTCGCTATGTTGGCCAGGCTGGTCTTGAACTCCTGGCCTGAAGTGATCTGCCCACCTCAGCCTCCCAAAGCGCTGGGATTACAGGCGTGAGCCACTGTACCTGGCCCATTTCCCCATATTCTTAAATATGCTTTGAGAATAATATTCTTATTTTCTAGTACATTGCATGGAAACACCATGATTTTTTTTAACCATTTCCTACTGTTTAGCAGCTTGTTTCCATGTTTTCTGTATGAAAAATAACCATGCCCTTTTGTGAAGTAACTAGAACTCTCATACTCCTCCAGTGGGGATATAAATTCATACAACTATGTTAGAAAATGTTTGACATTATCTACTAATGTGGAATGTGTGCAAACCCTATGACTCAGCAATTCTCCTCTCAGGTGTGTACCCATAAAAATGTGTACATATGTTCAACAAAAGACAGGTGCAAGAGTTTTCACAGTGGCAATAATTTTGGCCCTAACTGGAGGCAACATAAATACCCATTAACAATAGAATGAATAAGTTAACTGTGGCATATTCATGCAATGGAATACAATGTAGCAATGAGAATTAACTAACTACAGTGACATGTAACAATATGGATGACTCTCCCAAACGTCACTGAGTGAGAAAAGGGATACACAAAGAATATAAACAAAGGCAGACACCATTAATCCATCCTCTTAGGAATTAGGGTAGGGGTTACCCCCTGGGGAATGGGGCAACAGGGGGTTTCCTTCTTGATTTGGTTGGAGATTCAACTGAACATGTTCGCTTTATGAAAACTCATTGAGTATATTTTCTGTATGTTTACTTCAATAAAGTCAACTAAAATCTCACTATATTCTTATACATAAACTTTTTTGTTGTCGTTGTGGCTCTGTCACCCAGGCTGGAGTGCACTGGTGAGATCTTAGCTCATGGCAACCTCCACTTCCCAGGCTCAAGCAATCCTCCTACCTCAGCCTCCTGGGTAGCTGGGACTGTAGGCACATGCCACCACACCTGGCTAAGTGTTTGTACTTTTTGGAGAGATGGAGTTTCCTGGGCATCATGATGCCCAGGCTGGTCTCAAACTCCTGGGCTCAAGCAATCTACCCGCCTTAGCTTCCCAAAGTACTGGCATTACTGGTGTGAGCCATTGTGCCTGACCATACATAAACTTTCAAGACAACTGTTGTTGCCTTGTCCTTTTGTCTGGCGAAAATGTGGCTTTGAGAATTGTTATGGGCTGACTTGTGTGTTCCCAAAATTCATATATTGAAACTCTCATCCCCTGTGGCTCAGGATGTGACTGTGTTTGGAAATCGAACCTTGGAGGAGGTAATTAAGTTAACATACGGTTATTAGGGTGGGCCCTAGTTTCACGGGACAGAGACACACATAGAGAAAAGGATGACTGTGTGAAAACACAGTGAGAAGGTGGCCACCTCCAAATCAAAGAGGAAGGTCTCTGAAAAAACCCAACCTGCTGAACCTGAATCTTGGACATCCAGCCTCCAGGATTGTGAGAAAATAAATTTCTGTTGTTTAAGTCATCTCATCTGTGGTATTTTGTAATGGTAGCCCTAGAAAACCAACAAAAATTGAGGAAATTTTGTTCAACATTGTACATGGAATAAGCAGCTGAGCAGGACTTGAATATCTGCCATCTGACTTCAAATTCTACAGTATTGCCACTGCCCCCAGTGTTTTATCTTTCTATGAGAAATTGATGGTGGTGCCATGAGGCAGCAAAGGAGAGTGCCATCTCCATGGATCAACCACTGCTCTAAAGAGGACATGTGTGGCTGGGCATGGGGGCTCACACATATAATCCCAGCACCTTGGGAGGCTGAGGTGGGCAGATCACCTGAGGTCAGAAGTTTGAGCCTGACCAACATGGAGAAACCCCGTCTCTACTAAAAATACAAAATTAGCTGTGTGCGGTGGTGCATGCCTGTAATCCCAGCTACTCGGGAGGCTGAGGCAGGAGAATCACTTGAACCTGGGAGGCAGAGGTTGCAGTGAGCTGAGATCGCGCCATTGCATTCCAGCCTGGGCAACAAGAGTGAAACTCCATCTCAAAAAAAAAAAAAAAAAAGGACACGTGTGTGAGGACCCAGGCCACTTTACAAAAAAAAAACAAAGCATCCTTTCCTTTGCTTGCTGGGGTGTGATGGGTTTGATAACTGTCGTATTCAGAGAAGGAGACTTGCTGGAGAAAGAAAATTTCTCTTCCCCAAAACTTACAACTTTTCAGTGAGCAGTAGTGTTTAGTAATTAATTATCACTGGTTGTTACAAGTCATGCCAGTTTTCTGAAACATCCTGGGAAATGTCTATGGGTGATAGTAATGCTATTTCCTGTTCCTCTTGTTACTTGCATCCTCACAGATTTGGACTTCTGGGAGCTGAAATATTTTGTTTTTACATTTATCTGTTCCCAGCAATATTATAATGTTCTCAGTTTAAGGGCTTACATATTAGGGCTTCCTCTGGATGTTAAAACATCTGTTTCTAACTCTCAAGAGAAAGGAAAAACACCCAACTTTTAATTATAAATACAACAAAATAAAATGTATGTGGACCAGACCACCTTCTGGAATTCTCCTGATAAACAGGTAGATTAAAGGGATGTGAAAGAGATTTGGAGTATAAGCAAGGAAAATTATCCCCTGAGGTCTTAATTTATTCTACTTTGGAGGATGTACTCAATTTTCTTTCAGTTCAGCAAAATTAGTTGAGAATCTATTCCTTTTTGGATATCGTTTCGCAAACAGCATGGAGGAAGTAGTCTTTTCTGTTACAAATGTATGAGCTTGTATGGATAAGTAGATAAGTGGCTCCACCTCTGATTTACACAGTTTACTGCCTTCAGAGAGTTTTCAGGATGTGACATAGGAAGGAAGAACCCAGGAGGGGACTGGTGGGTTTCCTGAGTTGAGAAGACAGACTGCTGAAATGTTTCCAGGCAGACCATGGCAGCTAGAGTTCAGAGGGCAGAGCACAAGAGACGAGATTGCTGCATAGAAAGAGAACTCCAGAGATCTGCAGAGGGTCCTGCTTGAGGATTCAGGTGAGTGTGGACAAGTTATATGCATATGAGGAAGTGCACCTGAAGTTAGGGAAAGAACCATGGAAGAGGATTAGAGAAAACAATGCCCAGTGTTCACATAGGGCCAGGAGTAATGACTGTTTACACCAGCCAGACTAGAAGAAAATCCATGACACATGGGGCATTAGATAGAGTACTGAGACAAATAATCAGTTGCAGATTGAGCATTGCTTGGGTCCTGTCTAACAAATCTTACAAGCAAGACCTCAAAAGATAAATCTTCCAAGTACTGTAACTGTATATCAGAATAACATATAAGAATATTTATAGAAATACAAAAATACCCAGCAACATTATAAAATTCACAATGTCAGGTATCCAATAAAAATTACCAAGCATGAAAAGAAGCTGTAAAATACAAAATGAGAATTAAAAACACACTTATTTTTGTTAAGATTAAGTGTGAAATTGACACACATAATCCAGAACTGATATAGATGCTAAAATTAGCAGACAAGAACATTAAAACTGTTATTATAATTTTATTCAATACATTGAAAACGGTAATTAGAGACACGAAAGATATAAAATCCCTAAATCAAAATTCTAGAGATGCAAGCTACAATATCTGAGATGACAAGTACAGCAGATAGAATTTATGGTAGATTACACATTACAAAAGTAAATATGAGAAACTTGGAGGCATAGATATAGAAACTATCCAAAATGAAACACAGAGAGAAAATAGACTGAAAAAAAGAGCCCTAGTGTACTGTAGAACAATGGCTAAAAGTTTTCTAAATTTGATGAAAACTATAAACTCACAGATCCAAAGTTCAATGAACCCAAAGAACAAGACACGCAATAAAAACTACAAGTTAGACTATAGTTGCTCAAAATTAATTAGAAAGAACACATCTTAACAGCAGCCAGAGAAAAAAGACACATCACATACACAAGGACAAAGATAAGGATGGCAGAAGGTATCTTCTTGGAAATTATTCAGATAAGAAGATAGTGGAGCAATATCTTTAAAGTACTAAAAGGAAGAAACAAACCTGTCCACCTAGAATTCTATACTCCAGAAAAATCTCTTTAAAAAATCAAGGCAAAGAAAAGACCTTTTCATACATACAAGAGTTGAAACAACTAATTGCCCGCATATCCACATTACAAAAAATTTTAAAAGAAGATTTTCAAGCAGAGGAAAATAATATCAAATGGAAGCCTGGTTCTACACAGAGGAATAAAGAGCACCAGAAATTTACAAGGGCAAAGATATAAGATTTTTCTTCTTATTGTTGTTGAAATCTGTTCAAAAGATAATTCGCATCTTAAACAAAAATAACAATGTATTGTGGATTTTATTACATGCATAAAATTAAAATGTATGACAGCAAATTAGAACATAAGTGAAAGAAAGAAAATAATAAAGATCAGAATGAAAATCAGTGAAGTAGAAAACAAAAAAGTGACAGCAAAAAGCAATGAAACCAAAAGTTGGTTTTTTGAGATAATCAATAAATTGATAAACCTATAAACAGACTGGTCTTGAAAAAAAGAAAGAAGACACTTATTACCAATATCAAGAATGAGAAAGATGACATCACTGGAGATATTAACAGAATAACAAGGAAATATATAAACAACTTTATGCCAATAAATTTGACAACTTAATTGAAATGAGAAAACTCCTTGAAAGGCAGAAATTACCAGGCTGGGCATGGTGGCTCACGCCTGTAATCCCAGCACTTTGGGAAGCCGAGGTGGGTAGATCACCTCAGGTCAGGAGTTGAAGACTAGCCTGGCCAATGTGGTGAAACCCCGTCTCTACTAAAAATACAAAAATTAGCCAGGTGTGGTGGTGGGCACCTGTAATCCCAGCTACTTGGGAGGCTGAGGCAGGAGAATCACTTGAACCCGGGAGGTGAAGGTTGTAGTGAGCTGAGATCATGCCATTGCACTCCAACCTGGGTAACAGGAGCAAAACTCTGTCTCAAAAAAAAAAAAAAAAAAAAAAAAAAAAAAAAAAAAAAAAAAAAAAGGGCAGAAATTACCAAAGCTCACTCCAGAAGAAATAGATAACCTGCATAGCCATATTAAATTTGTAGTTTAGAAATCTTCCTATAAGGAAAACTTTCTTGGAAATTCTTCCAAACATTTAAATAAGCAATAATACCAATTCTACGTAACAATTCTCTTCCAGTATATTGAAGTGAAAGAAATATATGCTAACTCATTCAATGAGACCAGCATTATCCAGATACCAAACCCAAGAAGACATCACAAGAAAAGAAAACTATAGACCAAAATCACTCATGCAGATAGATGCAAAACGTTTAAATCCAACAATGTATAAAAGGGATAATACATCAGGGCCCAAGAATGCTGGCTTAACATTAAAAAAAATCAATCAATTTAATTCACCATATTAAAAAACTAAAAAGGCATCGCAAGGTCAGGAGATCGAGACCATCCTGGCTAACATGGTGAAACCCCCTCTCTACTAAAAATCGAAAAATTAGCCGGGCATGGTGGCGGGCACCTGTAGTCCCAGCTACTCAGAAGACTGAGGCAGGAGAACGGCATGAACCTGGGAGGCGGAGCTTGCAGTGAGCTGAGATCGCGCCACTGCACTCCAGCCTGGGCAACAGAGCCAGACTCCATCTCAAAAAAAAAAAAAAAAAAAAAAAAAAAACAAACTAAAAAGGCAAAACCACATTATCATCTCAATAGATATAGGAAAAAAGCACAGGATACAATCCAAACCCAATGTTGAAAAACGCTCTTGATAAACTAAGAGTAGAATGGAACTTCCTCAACCAGGTAAAAAGCATCTATGGAAACCAATAGATAATGTTATATAAAATTAACTTAAAATAGACCAGATACCTGAATGTAAGGTCTGAAACAATGAAACACCTAGAAGAAAACATGGGAGAAACTGTAGCTGACCTCAGAATGGGGAAAAAAAACCACAAGAATTGCCCAACTGGAATGATGCTGCCATCTTTGGAAAAGTAAAGATTGGAGGTAGCTCCACAAACAAGAGTTTCTTGTGCCGCCTCTCCACAGAGGCCCTTCAAAATGCATTATTTTTTCTTTGTACTCTGTACTTAACATTCCTTGTAAACCGTAGCATGTCTCTATCAAGGTAAAACAGCCAGTGTAGGTTAAATTTCAAGGGAACCAATCATTGTTAACGACTGTGGTGACTGTGGTAGTATACAATGTGCAGAGAATATGACCCACTGGAGGTACTGTACCTGGACAATAGGCTGTACACAAGCAGCACAGCAGGGCCTTTATACCTGAAGTAGGATAGGTTCTGACATTTGGATTTCAGTGCTTTGTCCATCACAGGCAAGGCCAGCAGTTCAACACAGTATATGTCGGGGAAGTGGAGCCTGTGTGAAGAACACATATTTTATATCATACTATGTGCCAGGCACTATTAAGCACTTTATATCTATTATGTTATTCATATAAGATCCGGTGTTATAGGTATTATTATTTTCATGTTAAGCTCATGGAAGTTACATAATTTGTCCAAGGTCAACAACTGGTAACAGCTGGTGCTCAGGGTTGTCTTATCATTGTGGTTCTACATTTTTAAAATCTTTTCCATTTTATCAACTGTCTCCATAAGATCAAAAAATATTTTGCTAGGTTGCAAAGAATGGTATGCATATCTCTCTAGGACTTGAAGAGCATGAGCCCAGAAAAACTCTACCCCTTTATGAAAGGGCAGTTGTTAAAAAGGCTTGGCAAATCCCCAGCCTCCTAAGTGTTTGGGGGCCATACATCTCCTAAGTGTTTGGGGGCCATACATCTCCTAACTGTCTGGGGGCCATACATCTGCTAAAATGGGATACCTGGAATGTATTCCGTATGAGTGTTTCTTAGCAAAAAGATGTAAAGGTGACCCCATCTTTGGCCTTGAAATGAAAGAGATTTATGAGCAAATATGGTGTGGGTGTTGATTCCATTTGGACTCAGCATCACAAAGCTAGGTAGAGGTGACGAAAAACAACAAATCATGGTGCTACAGAAGAATTTTGTGACTCTTTCAGGCAATTCATTTCTAATGGCAGCTTATCTACTGAATAGATTTTCAATACTGATGGAAGTAGTCTCCTCTGGCATTGCTTGCAAAGTCAATTCTGACACACGTGGAGAAGGAGAAGTGAATCAAGCCCCTGTGATTTTAAGCAGAGGGGGGAGCCATTCCTGTTGTGGTAATATTACAGATTCCCATAAAATAATACCTTTGGCTAAAAGTTTCATTGTCCTAGAGCTTTCAAAGTGATCACACATTGCCTAGTTGTTCTTACATAAAAGTACAAGCTAACGCATAAATAGATGAAAACATTTTTCCTCCTTACTGGTTTTATTATCTCATAGTATGTCCAGTGAAACATTTTTAAATGGACCTTACTATCTTTTTTTTTTTTTTTTTTGAGACGGACTCTCACTGTGTCGCCCAGGCTGGAGTTCAATGGCACGATCTCAGCTCACTGCAACCTCCACCTCCCAGGTTCAAGCGATTCTCCTGCCTCAGCCTCCCAAGTAGGTGGGACTACAGGCACGTGCCACCACGCCCGCTAATTTTTTGTATTTTTAGTAGAGACAGGGTTTCACTGTGTTAGCCAGGATGGTCTTGATCTCCTGACCTCATGATCCACCCGCCTCTGCCTTCCAATGTGCTGGGATTACAGGCATGAGCCACTGCGCCCGGCTGGGCCCTTACTTTTTTTAAAAAACATTTTTTAAATCAAGGCTTTCAAAAATACAGCAGAGACAATCCTTATCCAGATTTTCTTCATTTATCTCATCTTTTTTCCTCTTCCATGAACATCTTTATCTCTATCTACTTGAAAGATCTTTTTCAGTGAAAATCATTTTCGAACCTTTTAACAAAGGTCCCTGGTGATTATAATAAACTTAACACTCTTATGAGATAGTTAAAGCTCTGTTCAATGTAGATTCAGCCTCCCTTTGTAGCTCCCAATATGCTCCTACATGAATTCTATGTCATAGACCATTTCAACTACTTACAGTCCCTGAATACATACTGAAAATTTCTGCCCCTGCTTATGTCATGCTTTCTGGCTGGAATGTCTTCCTTCATCCTATTTCTGGCAGGGAAAGTTGTACTCATTGGGGAGACCCTGGCTATCTGTTCATCTAATGGCTAGACTACAGTTAGACTACATTTCCCAGCCTCCCTTGCAGTTAGGTGTGGGTGTAATTGATTTACACCACTTCCAGGTAACCACATTCATTCTTCACTTGCTCACTTCCTCTGTCCATAAACTGTGCATAAACTGCATGCAAATATCAGGACAACTAAGCTGTGCATTTCAAATATTGATGATGGCAGAATCATCATCTGTCTTGTTCCTAAAAGATGGAGTGGCACAGAGCCTCTCTCTCTATGATTTTGAAGTTTTTATGCATTAGAAAAAATTACTTTTGACAGTCCAGTTTGCTAGGCCTTCTTTAAATGCTAATATTCCTACAGTTCCCTCCTTGGCCACTGTTCTACTCACTCTGTATTCCCCTTATCAGGTGTTGCCTTTCCCCTGGCTTTAGTTTCATTGAGAGGCCACCCCAGCCTCTCTGCCTGCTGCTAATACGTCACCTTTTGCATAGATAATTTTGTCAGCCTCCTAACTGCTTTCCCAGCCTGTAATATATCCCCAAACAGTGACAGCCATCATCTGTCATAAAGCCCCATGTGGTGTGTGGCCACCCCTCCCCATTCCCAGCACGCGTTTATTTATTTAATGTGCCATTGCTATAGCAGAGTCCAGTCTCCTCTGTGTGGCTCTCCTACTGGCCCTGCCTTCCTTTCCTGTCTCCCATCTTGCTCCCATTCTCTTGTACTCTTTGTTTTAATCAAACTGAATTACTTTCCTTGACTGTGCTGTCCCTCACTGCAGGTCTCTGTATGTGCTACATTTATTCAGTATGCTCTGTACTTACTCTTCCAGGAAGCCTTCCTTGACCTCCACTCTCATTCAGACTGGGTTAGGAGTCCTCTTCAATGCTGGAGAATCACCCTGTATCTCCTTTACCATACTCCTTAATACACTTACTTGTAACTACTTTTCAATTTCTCTGCTTCTCTAATGAAGATGGTATTATGGTCTAAATGGTGCTCCCCCACCCTCAAATTCCTATGTTGAAGTCCCAATCTTCAGAAACTCAAAATGTTACAGAATTTGTAGATAAGGTCTTCAAAGTGGTGATTAAGTTCATATGAAGCCCTTAGGGTGGGGCCCTAATCCAAAAGGACTGGCGTCCTTATAAGAAGAGGGAGAGGTACCAGGGGTAGGTAGGTATGCACAGAGAAAAGACCATGGGAGGACATAGCAAGAAGGCAGTTATCTGCAAGCCAACAAGATGCCCCAGAGAAAATAACCTGCTGTCATCTGGATCTTGGACTTCCAGCCTCCAGAATGGTGAGAAAATAAATTTCTATTGTTTCAGCTACCCAGTCTGTGGTGTTTATTATGGCAGCCCATGCAAAATAATACAGATAGTGAACAATTTGAGGAAAAGATCGTCTTGTTTCTCTTGGGATCCTTATCATAAACCCTAAACCTGTCATATAGTAAAGGCAAAATACATGTTTATGAAATCTCTCAATTGATTAATTCATTGATTGATCAATAAATAAACAAATTTGACATTGATAAGTAAATAAGATACAGTTTTGAGGAAGTTACTTTGATATGGTAAATTGGAACCCTATTATGCAAGAACTTGTAAATCACAGATGCTCAGGAAAAATTTGTTGGTTGGAGAATGATAGGGTCATATCACAGCACTGTTTTGTATTTATAGGAGGTTTTCTCTAAGACAAAAATGGCTCTGGATTCTATTAATACATCCCTCTGCAGTGAAAAGCACTAATCATTGGGATTTTTCTGGGGAGAGACCAGAGGTGAGGGAGGGGACACACAGCTTGCCCAGAACCTGTGTGAGCCACTGGCCCAGCTGGCATGGAGAGGGACACCGGAGTGTTCTTGCTGGCTGGCAGAGTGCCAAGTCCTACAGCTACTGCTTGTAGATAATCCTTACAAAGCTCTCATGAGATGACTTGGCCGTACTTGCTCCAGAATGACAATAGCACCTGGAAGGCACATTCAGGGATTATGCAATGGAGGTCAAGAAATGGCAGATTTGAGAAAAGAAAGATCAGCTCATCAGGGTTTATATAACAGCAATCAACAGGACACAAAGTGAAGGCAGGGTCAATCAGACATCCAGATTTTTCTATCCACAAATGTGACAATATCTGAAAACTTCTGGACGGTAAGTAGAAAAGCTTGTGTTTTTTCACATATGTGGCACATTTGGGCAAACCTGAGCTAGGAACAGGCTTGTTCTTAGTTCCTAGTTCCTCCCTCAGAAGGGAGCAGGTTCACTGTTGTCATATTCTTCGAAGGATTTCACTGGATGGGAAGTGGCTAGATTTGGCTGGGGCTGTGGTTTAAGAGGCACACATGCATATGCAAATAAGCACACATGAAGTTGGAGGCTGCTTGTGTGGCTCCAGGAGTACAGTGTGCCAGGACTTCCAGAGAGAAGAAGACCCCCCTCTGGACTGAAAAAAGGGCCCTGCAGCAGCCTACTAAACCAACAGTGTTCAGGGCATTGAACCAGCCCACACCTGTGCACAGCTGGTGACAAGCATCGGTCATTAGCATCAGTAGTGATGAGAGAACACTGTAGGATAATGTGCTCAGGGAAAGAATGCAGGTAGACTCAAGCCAGTGGTGAATGTGTTGATAGTCACGGTGGTTGCTATGGATAGGGATCAGGAGACAAGGTTAAATTTCAGTTCTTAGGGAGCAGGTATCATCTGCAGTAAACAAAGAGGGCTTGCTAGGAAACAGGGCTGTGGTTGACAGCCAGCACATGTTGCTGTTGATTCGTGGAGTTGTGGGCTCACTGGACTTGAGAGGGTCCTGAGACCAGATTAAGTGATGCTGTCACTCATATTCATTCACTTGACCAATATTCATTGAATGCTTTAATGCATGGATCAAGAACTACACTAGTTGGTGGAAATTAAATAGCAAAAAATAGGAAATCTTGTCTCCTGATCTAGCCTAGTGGAGGATATGGAGAAAATGAGGCGGCCGGGCGCGGTGGCTCACGCCTGTAATCCCAGCACTTTGGGAGGCCGAGAAGGGTGGATCACGAGGTCAGGAGATCGAGACCATCCTGGCTAACACGGTGAAACCCCGTCTCTACTAAAAAAAAAAATACAAAAATTAGCCGGGCATGGTGGCGCGCGCCTGTAGTCCCAGCTACACGGGAGGCTGAGGCAGGAGAATGGCGTGAACCCGGGAGGCGGAGCTTGCAGTGAGTCGAGATCGCGCCACTGCACTCCAGCCTGGGCGACAGAGCGAAACTCCATCTCAAAAAAAAAAAAAAAAAAAAAAAAAAAAAAAAGAAAATGAGGCCATTGCAGTGTAGCATCCTCCAGGCTCCTAAAGGGGCAGCAAGCTGGGCAACGAGAGCTCACGTGGGCCTGATGGGCAGATGCTCTCCTCACTCTCTAAAGGAAGTGAGGCCCACAGGGAGATCTGAAGGACGAGAGGAACTGAGCCAGAGGGAAAAAGGAGGGCTAAAGTGTTTACTACAAGAGGGGACAATGGCTGTACAGTGGCTCAGAAGAGTCAATAGTTCTCAAAGGCTGGAATATTCGGTGGTAGAAACAAGGCAGAAGTAACCTGGCCGGGTACTGGTGAGGCTCGTTTCTCCTGGTGGTGAGGACGATGAGCCGGCAGGCTGGGTCTGTGGAGCTGATGCTCAGAACACAGAGCAAGGTGAGAGGCAGAGATTGGGGAATCACTCACATGCAGCTATTAATCAAAGGCCTGAGGGTGAATAAATCCTCCCCCCCCGGCCCCCCTAGAGAGTGTCTGGGGTGAGAAGTGAAATCCCAAGAAACCCTGACATTTAAGGAATGGGCAGAGTCCCAGGAGCACCCAAGGCCAACAGAGGCAGAGAGTTGGGAGGGAAACCAGGAGGGGTGGCAGTGAGTGTCCTAACAGGACAGCAGGTTTTAAGAACAAGGCCGTGACTGACGTTGGAAATGGGGTTGAGAAATCGAGTAAAACCAAAACAGAGAAAAGGGTCTACTCAGCACCCCGGGATGGCAGGTGACCTTGATCAGAGGCTTCCTGATGATTCAGGCATGGGGAGGGGAGTAGAGGACTGAGTAGGAGGTAAGAAAACAGCGTGGCCAGCTTTTCTAAGCCCTTTGGCATGATGGCAAGACAGAGGTGGGTTGGAACTGGAAGACGTTGGTGCGGAAGCACATTTTTAAGATGGAAGAGATGAGAGTATATTTGAATCTTACTGAGGGCAACAGAAGGCTAAAATATTTCGGCACAGGTAGGGGTGGCTTCCTCTGTTTAGGTCTGCTGTGGCTTCTGAGAAGAGCGAGTGGAAGATGTGTCCTGTATTATGGCAAATCCAGAACCCATTTAGATGTGTGCGGGGGCAAGGGACTGAGCTCTGGGAGCAGACGGTGGGGGCTGAGTCCTGCCACTTGCATATCCTGGCTGTGTGATCTTCAGCACACCACTTAATCTCTCTGAGCCTCAGTTTCTTCATCTGCAACAATAAAATCTACCTCGTAAAGCTATTTTAAAAATGAAATGCAATGGTGTACGTAAAGCTGTCAGCACAGTGCCTGGTGAACGTGCATCTACGTCTAGCTTTCTTATCAGTTGTTCCACGTCAGAAGGATGGCTGCCTGTCTGTAGCCTGTCCATTCAGTGGAGATGCTGGGAGCCTCCTCCAGGTGTCCGCCTCTATCTTGAAAAGGATGAGGGCTCATTGTCTGCGCTCTGCTAAGGTCTCTTTCCCAGTCCCAGATGCAGTGTGCAGCTCCCTGTTGATCTCCAGGATGTCAAGGCTGTATTTGCTGCATGGAGAGCCTCTGGCAGAGCCCAGCTGCTGGCAGCACACCTACAGGAAACAGCGTAGCAGGACTGGGTGACACCTCAGGGGAAACCCAGCTTCATGACTCTTTGCGGGAAGCTCAGCCTCCTTTTTTTTTTTCTGCTTTTTTTTCTGCAGGCAGGAATCTGCTTTCTGCAGGCAGGATGGAGCTCCTGGAACACTATATGCTACTTCTGAGATTTCTTCTTTGTTTTTGAACGTCACCACCATGTCTCTAGTGTGATGTAATAAGAAGGGATCACCCGGCGGAGGAAAAGGATTCCTCATTTTCTAAACCAGATACTATGTTTCTTTCTCTTTTGCTTTCTGCTCTCTACTTCCTTCCAGTTGAGACTGTGGCTGTCTTTTTTCCCCCTCCCATTAGAGAGTTCAGTGGGCTTTTCCCCACTGGAATCAGATAGAGACTCTGGGATGGAGCTGGGGGATTTGCTGATAGTCTGGTGAACCTGAGAGGAAAACGAAGCTCAGGTCACACAGCAAGTAACAGAGTGGCCAGTCCAGGACTCAAAACTCAGGCCTCCTGACTCCTGGCCCAGTGCTCTTTTCAAAGCGTCCTTCCATAAACGATGAGGATTTTAGTAATCCATCCATCTCCCTGCAGCCTCCCTGAATGTTACAAATATTAATATACTCATCTGATACACCTTGCACACCTCCTGTGAGGCAGATCCTTTCTAGGCACTGGGGACTTATCAGCAAAACAGAAATAAATCCCTGCTCTTAAGGGGCTTATGGTTGAGTGATGGGAGACAGATAATAACCACAATAAACAAATAAATGATAGATTTTCCACAATGTCTCTCCAGGGAACATTTTCTCAACAGAATGGTTCTTGATTTTTTAAAGCCCAAACTCCATAAAATGTATATGCCTTTCTATACAATGTTTTTGAGTCAATGATTATATAGAAAAACGTGTATATTTATGACCACCTAGCTCAGTACAACATTTCAACAAAACGATTTGCCGAAATAGTCTTGAGTTCCATTCTAAATACTGTACATTTTCTTGAAAGGCATGTTGAGTGTCAGCATGGGGTGTGTGTCTTGGTGGTTGTTAGAACTAAGAGGGGAGCCACTGCAGGTCATCAAGCAACTCTTTGTTACAAACATGAATTTTTTGGTGACCAGGAAGCCATGCTTGAGGCATTTTACATTCTAACATGAGAGTTCATTATTTATATACAGATAGATAGGTGTTTTGCTGTATATTAGTTACATTTAAAAATTTGATTGAGAGTCTTGGGTGGTGGATGTGAAACATTGTAGCTTTTCCCAGGTAAAGTCATAGGAAAGACTCTGAGTTAGAGTTTTTGTGCAGAAGACTGATTTTCAAGAATCTCTTCTTGATGTTAAGTATGTGGTTGGAAGGTGAGAGGTGTTGGAAAATACTAGACCTGAATTTGTTCAGAGTCTCATAGCAATGCCTGGTTGAGACTCTGGTCTCAGCCTTAGTGTCCCCATGGGTGACAGGTCCCGTTTGTGGGGGGAGCTAGCACAGGAAATGACCAAAGAGTCAGATCCATTTAGGTGGACACCCTGGCTATGAACTTGTCCTTCCCTTGGCTCAGTAATGATGACCATGACCACTTGCAAAATAACTTCAGCAGGAAATGCAAAGTGATTCTCTCATTGAGTTCAATGTGAATCACTTGCCAGGAGAGGTGGCTCAATTCCATGAGCGTTTTCTTTTTTTTTGAATGGTAACTGTGGAATGGTAGGAAGCGTCCCACAAAGGATTTCCTTTGGTCATTGTTTTTTTTTTTTTTTTTTTTTTTTTTTGCTGAGGAAAAATATGTTATTGGGGAGGGATAAGAATCTCCCTCCCTTTGTGAGTTCTGTGATTCAGAGTTTAAAAGGCCAGTGACAGGATCTGGGTCACAGCGTTGGTTTCCTTCTTATGTGAGACCTTGTGCTTCATACGTCTGTCCCTTTAAATATTGGGACTGGAGCTCCATATTCTGTCTCATGTTTATACTTGGTCACATGGTGAAAGGTGGATTCCTTGAAGCTAGACTCTGTACTAAGGGAAATACCATGCATTGGAATAACCCAATCCTGCATTTTAACTTGTAGAGTTAAAAGGTCACTTCTTCCTACATCCTTCCTAAGCAGAAGAACCCCCGCTCCCCGCCCACTCCTAGTGACAGCTGAGTGAGGCCGGTGTGCTCCCAGCCTATCTGATCCTGTGTGGGTATATTTGCCAGGGTTTTCCAGAGACAGAACCAATGGCATGTGTGTATGTATAGAAAGAGATTTATTTTGAAGAACTGACTCACAGGATTACGGAGGCCGGCAAGTCCAAAGTCTGCAGGATGAAGGCCCAGAAGCAGCCAATGCTGCGGTTCAAGTCTGCAGGCCGTCTGCTGACAGAGTTCCTTTTTGCTCATCAGTCCTTTGTTTTATTCAGGCCTGCAAATGATTAGATGAGGCCCTCCCACATTAGAGAGGGTGATGTGCTTTACTCAAAGTCCACCAATTTAAATGTAAGTCTCATCCAAAAATCCCCCCACAGAAACATCCAGTATAATGTTAACAAGATAGTTGGGCCCCACAGCCCAACCAAACTGACATAAAATTAGCCATCAAGGTGGGGTTCAGCAACTAAAATATTATATGTACTAATGTTCAGCAACTAAACCACACACACACACACACACACACACACACACACACACACACACACGAATTAGACTCTCCCTCTGTGGAAGGAAAGGAAGGGCAGGCCTTGAGTGAGGACAGCCTCTTCTCGCTCCTTTCTGCCTAGGATGGGCAAGGGCTATGGCACCTGGGCTATGGCTGATTAAGAGCAGCCTTGGCTACAGAGACTTTAAAAGCTGGTGTTAGCCAGTTGCAGCCCGCCTGCAGCCCTAGATTTGTGTAGGGAAGAAAGGCAAATAGCAGATGTATGTGTATGAAGAGTGCACACACACACACACACACACACACACGTGGGAGGCAGAGTAACAGAATGGTTGGTGGTGTACAGAGTATATGGGGTATGGAGCCGCTCTGCCTGGTTGGAATGCCAGCTTATGCTAGACTTGCTGTGTAACTGTGGGCAAGCTACTTAACCTCTCTCTGCTCAGTTCCCTCATCAAATTAGGGAGGGAATTCATACATCCTAGGCTGTGAGGATTAAATGAGGTAGTAGCTGTAAAGTGCCTATAAGATCGCCTGACACATAAGTCCTGGACGATATCAGTTCTCGTTATTATCCTTATCATGTACACAATGCTCATCAACTGTCTATGTTCACATATTACACATGGTTATTGGTAAGCAAACACAACCTATACTTCTGGCAAATACACATACAGTGGGAATTTTATGCCAAAATCTTTCTAATGTATGCTTGCAGGGGCCATGCTGGATATTGCTTCATAAAAAGATATTTTTTGGTACTTTATTAACAAAATTCCATTGGATAGAATCCAGGTCATATTCACTCTAAATTAAATTAATGTTTTCTTTTCTTTTTTTTTTTTTTTTTTTTAAAACAGTGTTACAGCAAGATGCCCGCATGGCATTGGAGTAAATATAGCATTTTGGGCTTGTGAGGATCATTTGCAGCCAGACAGCCTTTCTGCTGGGGAGGGGAGAGTGCAGGAGGTCCCACCCTTGGTTGTCGCACACTCGGTGAGCATGTCGCTAGCCACCTGAGGCTCAGGTGTGCCTGAGGCTGCTGGAGCTGGCGCGGATAATGATAGCTGGTGGGCTTCAGTGTGAGCTGGCTCCTTCTCTCTGATAAATGGCTCCACAGATGCTGCCAGCTTCATGCTCAATTAATCCCAGCTGAATTGATCATCCAGTTATAAAGAAAAGCATTAGCAATAAAGCAAAACTTCCCAAAGAGCTTTTATGGGGAGGAGGAAAGGAAGTGAATTGGTTTTTTTCTTTAATTTTTTTTTTAAAGAAATTAAGATGATGAACTGTGTTTGAAAAGAAACCAGCGCCAGCCTTCTCTCTACCCAGCTGACTCAACCCTAAGGGGGTGGGATAATAAGTAATTTTTTTTTCACCTAGTTATCTCAGGAATCTTCGAAAGAAAATATTTTTTAAATAAGCAAGCACATATAAAGCTTAGCATGTGCCAGACTTTATTTTAAGCTGAGGAACTTTACATACACTGTATCAACTCATTTAGCTTTCTGACAATGTGGTGAGGCAGCCATTTTACAGATGAGGAAACTGGAAAGAGATGAAGTCACTTGGCCTGGATCACAAGTGGCTGAGCTGAGATCCACAGCCTGTGCTCTGGGCCATTTGCTGAATGAGTTCTGTGACTGTGTGGCCATCAGGACAGATTCCTACTGGGTCAGTCCCCTTCTCTGCCTCACCTTTAAGTCAGGTGCTCATTGTCTTATTCCTAAAATCTCACATTCATATTTGTAATACCACAGGCACGTGCTTTAAAAAGGTAACAGTGTCATGTAATACACATGTAATACATGTTTATTTTAGGGAAAAAAAGCAACAACAGAAAATGCTGAGAAGGAAACAGAAGAAAATATTAATTACTTGTATTCCTCAACCTATGATTGCCCTTGTTAACATTTTGGTACAGTTCCTTCTAGGTTTTTTTTTTTTTTTGTATGACATCCTTTCCTTTTAAGCAGTAATGAACTCATACAATGCATAGTATTTTGTAACTTGATTTTTTTTTCACTCAACAGTGGAGTGTAAATGCCTTTCCATTTAAATATAAATACATTTCTATAACATTATTTTCAGTTTGTAAAAAGTATTCCACCATATGGATATGCTACAATTTACTCAGCTAATCCTTTTTGTTTTGGACAACTGTTTCCAAATTTTGAAATTAGAAATAATGCTATTATGCAAATAACTGATAAGTGTATGAGGTGGTGCCTATGTTAATTAGCTTGATTTAGCCGTTCCACAATGTGTACATGTTCCAAAACATCATGTTTTATGCCATAGATACATACAATTCTTATTTGTTAATTAAAAATATAAATAAATAAATTTAAAAAATAAGGCTACTGTGAACATTCTTGTAGTATAATCCATATGTATATTAAAAATATTCAAATTAAATTACTAGTGGTATTAATTCTTAGTAACTATAAATTCCTATTAGTTCAAAAGATTTATTTAAAAATCACTACCATTTTTCCTTTCAAGATATTTTCTTATTAATGGAAATAATCATTGGGATCAGTAGTAACTTCCATATTTTTCATATATGTGAGTCTTGATTTCATTAAAATTGTATGACTCCAACATTAAAACTGTTGCACATCATTTTGTAATTTTTTAGGAGCTAACATATGAACAAAACATTAGGAAAGTGACATATTCTTGTGAACTCTCAGGAGGCTTCCTTGGGAGTCCTCGTTGGTCTCTGTTTCCTAATCTTGTTGAAGATTTAGCACTGATATTTCACTTTGGGGCAATCCCTCTGCACTTCCTTTGGCTCAGGCACTCAATTTGCCTCTTTCCTGAAATCTTTCCTCAGCTTCCTGCCTGGTTTTCCATCTCCTGGAACTTCGCTTCTCTAAATTCATTTGCACTTTGTTATCACAGTTAGCAAACATGCCAGACTGAGATTGCTCAGATACCTAAAACCTTTTTGCCATTAAAAATGGAAAGATTAAAGTAAAACCAGAGGTCAGTGTGAGCATCAAGGTATTAACCTACATCTACCTCCTACTGCTCCAGACTGCACGCTCTGTCCAAGCTTAAGCCAGGGCCTTGAGCCGGGCTTTGTCTGCCAGTAGATAGAAAGAGCTCTCCTCTACTGCTGGGGGTGCTTCCAAACCTCTTTCTGGGAGATTTGGTCTAGGCCCCAGGCAGTGGGGGTGCCTCAGGCCGCTTACTCTTCTGGGCCAAGGGCTGAGATTCTGCTCATCAGCAGTCTTTTTTTCTCCATCCCCCAGCATCCCCACAACCAGGGTTGGCCAGTCTGAGCCCAGATGCATGTTTTCAGCGTCTCTGTAGAAAATTGTCTTCTTCCTTTAAAGAGGTCTTTAACTGGGGAAGCAGAAATGGTAGGAATTTACAGCCAGCTCAGGGGACAGAATGACACTTGCTCTCTCACAAAAAAGGTGCTTGTGAGGGGTTTTAACATGTTAATATAGTGCGGATGGAACCGGGCTTGAAAAAAGATTAATTGAGCTCTCAGGGTATCTCTTAAGGTTGTTGGTGTCTTCAGAGAGTGTGTAGCTTATCATAACTTTGCATATTTTACATTGTTTTATCTAAAAAAGTAATCATTCTCTTTCCTTCCCTTTGAAGGCCACTATATATGCCTGTGTATACAGAAGTTATAGACAACATCAAAATGCTCCAGTGGTTTGGTCCAAAGGGCTGCACCTACTATGTGGAAGCAATTGAATGGAAAGATGGAGACATGGATTAAGTGAAGAATGTCTCAAGCAGTTAGATGGAAATGACAAACAGTGCTCATATATTATATGGAGATATAGGCCCAATGACCTGGTTCTTTAACTGGCCTATTTTTATAAAAATCTCTTTAATTTGCCTGATGCTTAAGTGTATAGAACACTGCTGTTTACATAACCTCATTTTAACTCAGGGAAATGGATTCAGAGATGTTAAGTGGCTGGCCCAAAGTCACATTCTCTAAGTGGTCAGGGTTAGACCTATGACTTTGGATCCAAGCCTTTCCACTCATATGCAAGTGTCATTTGGTAAGTGACATTTCTGTGCCATCATTTTCATTGCCTGTATGTGTGGATTTACTTCATTTTATGGAGCTTCTAGCTAAAATGTTGAGATTAAGTTTTAAATGTGAGCCTCCAAACTCCTAGTGCAGGTATCTTCAGGGAAAGCAGAGAAATGGCCTGTAAGTTCAGGCTGTGGGGAAGTGGGGCAGTGGTAGTGTGGGGGAGGGGTGGTCTTCACTGGTGTTGGGGCACAAAGTGCAAATGTTAGGGGTTGTTTTCCTCATCATCTCCTAAAACTGTTCTTGTGGGGCTGCTGGATGTCTGCTGAGTAAGTGGTTGTCCACACCATTGAGCTTGGGTTTGGACTCATGAAGGGGACCATTTGGGAGGGTCTGCAGGAGATGGGAGAGATAACGGAACTAATTTTTTCTATGGTGCCATTGGGGTGATACTTCTTATCTTTAGTAGTCAGGTAACTCCTTGTTTCAGGACAAGCTAGCAATACTTTTACAGTGTTATTTGATATGCAGATACTGCAATTTCCTGAGAATATATTTTAACCTTCTTTTCTTTACTATCAATATGTGGTTTTCTCTCTAGATTGGTTTAGAATGTAAAAAAAAAAAAAAGTGACATTGAGGAACAGGTTGACCTTAAAGGTGTCTACAGTTGTCCTAAATACTGTTTGGCAAAGGTTATAGACAATCTTAGAGATGAGCAAAAGTCAGGAAAATCAGGATTCTTGACTACTGTGACTGACCCTGCAAAGAGGCTCCATATGGGAAGGTGGAGCTGATCAAGGGGTCGAGGAAGCACTGTGTCTTCGGGTTTTTCCTTTCCACACCTTTTCTTGGTTGGCTTTCATGAAACCACCTGTGCTGAGGGAAATTCACGGAGGAGCAAAGGGAGTGGCAAAATGAATTGAATCCTGTAAAGTGGATGGGAAACCTCAAGGTGTACAGGTCAAAGTGCCCTTTGAAATGGAGATCTCTGACTTTGCTCTGTCTCACACTTTTTTACTGTCTTTTCTTCCCTTTGCATGCGGAAGAACCTGGATTTTTCTATTAATGATAGTGGAGAAAAATAATTCTTTTCCTTATTTTTCACTGATTGAGTTGGACTCTTTGGACAAGATTTAAGCTTAATGTACACCTGATGCATGTAAATTCAAACCATAAATCTGCCTAACAAGCAGCTAATAGTCATCCTCTCCCTTTCCACATTTTCCATGTTAAGAGCTCTGAAGAATCATCTCTTAACATAATGATGATGGCATACCTGTGGGTGCTGTTAATAATACCACCTTTGAAAGCTGGGACTATGGGATTGGTGACTGTTGTAAGGTCACCAGAATAGTCAAATAGTGAGCTGGAGTCTCTATCTGCTGCTTGCCCTTTGTTCTTTGATAGGAAGGAGGTGAGATCCTGAGGGGATTATAGACAGGAAAGGTAGGTGATTGTCAAGAAAGGTGCTATCTGGAGACTGGGGATGAAAAGTGAAACTGCCTTTGCAAAATAATGACAGTGAGAGAAATCTGGCATGGTTGCTTCTAACCTCTAATATGTCCTTGGTAATTCCTGGGTGTCGACAAAGCTAACTTTTGGACAAATTTAGTTTATAGTTTAATCTTAAAGCAAGGATGCTAATAGCCCTTCCAAAACTAAACCACCTTTGTAAAATTAATAAAAGTCCACAAAGTTAGGATTATGAGAGAAATCTGAATTCTGCTAAGATGTAGGCATAGTTAAATGATAACCAGCCATAGTTCTGCAGATCACAAGCTTTGTAACTTCCTCAATTAATCTGGTGAATAACATCACTATTGTGGAACCTAAGGTTGGTCTTTTGTGATATCTTTTCAGACTTTTGCATTTCTGATGATTGGCTGACTCCACCCAGACCTGCAACTCATGACTCAACTGGTCCTGTGGCCTGAGTCATCTCAGTGCACAAGAATCATTTCCACACCATCATGATGGCATCCCCAACCAATCAGCAGCACCCATTCCCTAGTCCCCCGCCCACTAAACTATCCTTGAAAACCCTAACCTCCATGGGTAGGAGGCTGATTTGAGTAAAAACTCCACCTCCTGTGTGGCTGGCCAGCCTTGCATCAGTTAAATTCTTTCTTCACTGCAACGCTATGGTCTCAATGAATTGGCTTTGTCTGTGCAGCAGGCAGGAAAAACCACTGGGCAATTACAAATTCAGGGACTCATCCAAGATCTGCCATTTTAGGTGCCTGCCCACAGGTTGTCAGCCCTGCACCAGTATGACGGACCTGGAGGTGAGTTCTGGTGGCCACTTATTTTTCTTTGGAACTGATGGCCATCCCTGGTGCTGCCCCTGACCATGGGGCACTGTCAACCCATAATGCTTAGGACTAATTGCATGGAGAAATGATTCCTTGAAAGACGTCTTTAAACTGATCTGGTGAGTATTCTAAGTGCAACCAACACTTCCTTCTCCCAATTGCTTTGGCTCTTTTGGGAATATTGATTCTGTGCCTTCAGGGATCTCTGCTGCCTCTCCCTAAATAGTAGAAAGAGTCTTGGTTTGGGGAGATTTCTCCCCATTAGATGGAGAATAGGAGGTTAGTTTGGAAGAATACTCTTCTGGTCTGGAAACTGGTTTAGAATCTTGGTTTGGAAGGCCTTTCTGTTTGTCTTTACCTCATTGTTCGTGTTTGTACGTATGGAGAGGATTCCCTGAAGGAATTACTGATGGAAGTCCAGCAGCCTCCCCTAGTTTGTCTGGACAGTCACATTCAGTGGGCCCTCAAGGTGACTGTCTACTCTTCCATCTTCCTGGAGACCACCCATTGAAGCTCCTGGTTGGAGGTCATCCCAACCCAATTTTGAGTGGATCAAAGATGACAGGGGCCAACAGGGGCAAGTTTGAGCCTTGCCAGGTGGATACTTGGGTGATAAACATGGTGACTAGTGTCTGTGTTTTGTTGTGTGTATTTTGCTCCTATCAGAATGAGAAGTGTTAATTCGGTTGCCTCATGCAGTCTGTTGGACTCCATCTCACAAAACTGAGAGGTTTTGCCTATGGTTCCATAAAACAGAAAAGGATGATTTTCTTTCATAATGCAGCTTGGCTGCTGCAGCTACGGTGCCATTAAAAGCCAATCTATTCTTCTGGAAGCCATGCAGAGAGAGGAAACCCAGAAACCTGGCAAGTTGGTAAAAGGGTAAGAATTTCTTACCATCTAGGTGTCTGGCCTCTCTCTCTCTCTGGGCAAACTCGTTGAGTGAATGGTAAAAATCACTGTTTGTCTCCTCTGCAAATTTTGTTTTGATAAACAGGAAAAAGGATTTGTAAGATGTGCCTTAGGCTGCAGCAAATCTGTGGTACTTTGTGCTATGAGTTTGTCTTTCTGTGTTGTTCTGTCATGAAGAAGGGTACAATAGGATAGAACATGGTCCTGGGACCCTAAAAGACTGCTGTTTGATCTGGCTCTTCAGAATGGTCAGCTACAAACTTTACTGTGGGTCCCTTAAACCAAAACCAGATGAGGGTTCCCTCTTGTTTTATGTCCTTGGGAGCTTGACCTTGCGACCATGTGGGGGTACACTCTCTTGGTCTCTGCCATCTGGAGGGCAGGAATTTTCAGGTTTATGCCAGGCAGCTGGTCTGAAAGGACCGGGAGTCTGAGATGAGGTAGCATACTCTTCATCCCAAATGTGTCAAGCCCTTGGGTGAGTTTTGTCTTAAAAAGTACCATCCCTACTAGGCTTTTTGTCATCGTTTGTTACTTTAAGCCCATTTTTGACAAAATTTTTGGAGATCATGGGGATGCCTCTTCTATCCTTTCTCTCTAAATGCCTCTTGCTTAAATGCTAAAAGCCTAGAAAGTTATCACTGGGGCTTTAAAATGGCTTTTGAATTGAGTTGCTGTTCGAACTGAGTACATCATTGTAATAATAATAATAATAATAATAATCTTGGAGATCTCTTATTTTCAACAATTGAAAAAAGGTTTAAATTAAAAGAAGGACGCATAATGTCATGGCTAGCCTTAGAAAACTCTCTTAAGCAGTGAAAATCCTTCACAAACTCAAAAATGACTGCTCCAGGCTCCTTCTTGGAAGAATAATGGTGACTGTCCTGTGCTGTCTCTCAGTAGCTAAGGTATTGCCCTTTCACAATGGTAACTGCCTCGTGCTGTAGCTCAGTAGCTAAAGGTGTTGAGCTTTTGCAGTGGCAGCCTGGGTTCAATTCCTGGTATAAGGACTGAGTCCTTTCTGGGTTGATACTTGTGGGACTTTTGCCATTTATTGGGTCTCTTCTCCTCCATGGACTGTTTCAGATTTCCTGTCTTGAATTGTCCTTTCTCTGAGCCAGCCCTCGGGCAATTCTAGATCTTGTAAAAAGTGCTTGCCATCTCTTTGGAGATATCTCACGCATCCTTGGTTAAGTCATAACCTTAGTTAAGGCTTATTGGTTTCACTTGGGGAAATACCTCTGGGGGAGAAAAATGCTTAAAAGCCAGAGGTGTCAGCTGTTCATACTGGCTAGAGGCTGGTAATAAGAGATTTAAAAAGATTTTTTTTTTTCTTTTTGAGACAGAGTCTTGCCCTGTCGCCTAGGCTGGAGTGCAGTGGTGTGATCTTGGCTCACTGCAACTTCTGTCCCCCATGTTCAAACAGTTCTCCTGCTTCAGCCTCCCAAGTAGCTGAGATTACAGACACGAGCCAACATGCCCAGCTAATTTTTGTATTTTTAGTAGAGATGGGGTTTTGCCATGTTGGCCAGGCTGATATCGAACTCCTGACCTCAGCTGATCTGCCTGTCTTGGCCTCTCAAACTGATGGGATTACAGGCGTGAGCCACCGCACCTGGCCTAAAAGGATTTTTTAAAAAAAGAGTTCTATCATTAAAAGTCAGCTTAATTAAAAGTAGATATTCAAGCTTTTAAAAATATATACATATGTATATACACACACATAAATACATATACACATACATACATACATACATACATACATACATACATACATACATATATTTAAGACCCTTATGCTTTTTCTCTTCTTGGATCTTGTTTTTTCGTGAAAAAGTTTTTTTCTCTCAGTTGACTGAATTGTGCCTCCACTTATTTTTGTCTGTCCACTTCCCACACTGGTTGTCCACATGAGAGGACCTGAGGTGGTTTCTGACAGCCTAGGACTCCTTGGGAGAAACAGAGGAAGCACCGCAGATCCTGCTTTGGGAAAAATCTCTGTTTTCCTCATGGAACCCCAGGATTTGTAAGTGGACAGACAGATCCCTCTCAAAATCTAAGGCTCTGCTCTCATTGAGTTACCTGATATTTTTGACTTTTGGGAGCATCAGAAGTGACTTTGCATCATGAGAGAACTCTTAGCCTTGGTGTGTAATTGCTGGGTAGGAAATACACTTTTAAGCATGGCTAATGGCAGTTGCTGACAGTGAGTGGTCATTACTTCAGGTGATACCCCTTTGTCTGTTTCAGATGAGAAAAGCATGCTCTTGGACACCTAGAAGGTATGAAATGGGAGGGTGGCCTGATTACAGAGTGAGCTGATAGGCACTGGGCTGCCCCATAGCCTCAGGAAAATGCCCTTACAATGAGATACACAGTGGAAGCATTGCACTGTCTTGGCCCACGGTGTTTCTCTTTTGTTGGGGACCCAGGATTCGCTGTGAAAATGGGATCTGTTGATTCTTAGTGATCTGTTTTGCTTTCAGCTGTGCCTGCCTCTTAGACCCTAGAGATGACATGCTTTCTTGGCCCTACTCCTTAAAGAGCACCACCCTAAAGCTAGCAATTCAATTAAAAAATTCACATCTCTAAGGAAATCACCACATGTAAGGTTGTCTGCTTTTCCTGGCTGTTTTAACTGAATTTTTTCTTACATGTTTTTCCTTGGTTTGAGTAAAGTATGAATTCCCTATTTTGTTTCACCTGAGTTGTCCCTTTAGAGTTGCCTTGCTGATGATTGTTTAGGGCAGGAATAAGTAATTAAGAGACTGATGGTCTAACATGGGAAAGAGAAAATTAGAAACTGGCAAATGAAGAATCTTACTACCCTACCAGATCTGCTTCTGTCTGTATATTTCTATGTGTTGTATGTGTGATGTTTCACTATCAAAGTATATGAAAGAGCTCTAATTAATTGGCTTAAAGAAGAATAAGCACTTCAGTGAAATATTTTGTTAGAAACATAAAAACTTGAGTACCTTTTAGTGCACATGGCTTTAGTAATCTCTGGTAAATAAAGACAGTTTTAAACATTATTGATATAAAAGCATCTTCAGAATTTGGAGACTTGGTATGAATTAGGCAGGTCACATACTGTCTTTGGTAGATGTTTTAAGGTCAAAAACTGCTTCTATGACTTTTTGATAATTATTTGACCTGTCTATTTTACAACCATTAGATTCTAGGTAAGGCCTGGGGGCATGTGGAGTTAGCCATGCCCCCTGGCTGTGCTGGGAAAAGTCAGACATTGTCTGCAGTTCTGTGCTTGTCCTGGGCTCTGTAATCTGATACATGGTTAAAATTGCTTACTTATCAGGTTCTTCACCAAAAATAAAATTTGCTAAGAGTTAACCTTGTAACATATGTAATTGGGACTACTGGAGAAACAGTTTTACATGCAAGGTTTGTAAGGTCAGTAAAATGTGTTTTGGTAAAAGATTATAAGAAGGCATGGACATATGATTTTTGTTAAAGGGAAAGTAATTTTGTCTAGTTTAGAGGTTTTAAAGGTTGTCTTAAGTTAAAAGAATGATAGGACAAAACTGAAGGTTTAAGCAAGTTGTTAAGTATTTGTGCAATATTGATCTTGTAAAAAAAGTTCTGTGGGCTGGGTGTGGTGGCTCACACCTGTAATCCCACCACTTTGGGAGGTCAAGCTGGGCAGATCACTTGAGACCAGGAGTTCAAGACCAGCCTGGCCAACATGGCTAAACCCTGTCTCTACTAAAAATACAAAAATTAGCGGGGCTTGGTGACGTGTGTCTGTAGTCCCAGCTACTTGGGAGGCTGAGGCGTGAGAATCACTTGAAACCAGGAGGTGGAGGTTGCAGTGAGCCAAGATCATGCCACTGCATTCCAGCCTAGGCAACAGAGTGAGACCCTGTCTCAAAAACAAAACAAAACAAAGTTCTGTGGGTGTGAGCAGGGTGGCCAAAATTTGAAGAGAGTTACTTGGTTTTTCTATAAATTAAACATTAATATAAGAAGCACATTGGACTTCATTCCCCTACTACCTCCACCAGAGCGGGTGCTGGTATCCACAGCTGAGAGACCTGAAGAAGATTCACATCACAGGACTCTTTGCAGACACTCCCCAGTACCAGCCCAGAGCCCAGTAGCTCCACTGGGTGGCTAGATCCAGAAGAGAAATAACAATCACTATAGTTTGGCTCTCAGGAAGCCACATCTCTAGGGGAAGGGGGAGAGCACCACATCAAGGGAGCACCCCCTGGGACAAAAGAATCTGAACAGCAGCCCCTGAGCCCCAGATCTTCCCTCTGACATAGTCTATTCAAATGAGAGGGAACCAGAAAACCCATTCTGGTAATATGACAAAACAAGGTTCTTTAACACCTCCAAAAGATCACACTAGCTTATCAGCAATGGATCCAAACCAAGAAGAAATCTCTGAATTGCCGGAAAAAGAATTCAGAAGGTTGATTATTAAGCTACTCAAGGAGGCACCAGAGAAAGGTGAATATCAACTTAAAGAAATTTAAAAAGTGTTACAGGATATGGACAGAAAAGTCTCCAGAAAAATAGAGTAAATAAAAAACAATCACAACTTCTGAAAATGAAGGACATACTTACAGAAATGCAAAATACACTGGAAAGTCTCAGCAATAGAATGGTACAGTTGGAAGAGAGAATTTCGGAACTCGAAGATGAGGCTTTCAAATTAACCCAATCCAACAAAGACAAATGAAAAAGAAAAAAAAAGAAAAAGAAAAAGAACAAAGCCTCCAGGATGTTTGGGATTATGTTAAATGACTAAGCCTAAGAATAATTGGTGTTCCGGAGGAAGAAGAGAAATCTAAAAGTTTGGAAAACGTATTTGAGGGAATAATTGAGAAAAACTTCCCCAGCCTTGCTAGAGATCTAGACATCCAAGTACAAGAAGCTCAAAGAACACCTGGGAAATTCATTGCAAAAAGATAATCATCTAGGCACATAGTCATTGGGTTATCTAAGGTCAAGACAAAGGAAAGAATTTTAAGAGCTGTGAGGCAAAAGCACCAGGTAACCTAAAAAGGAAGACCTATCAGATTAACAAATTTCTTAGCAGAAACCCTGCAAGCTAGAAGGGATTGGGGCCCTATTTTTAGTCTCCTCAAACAAAGCAATTACCAGCTGAGAATTTTGTATCCAGTGAAACTAAGTCTCATAAGTAAAGGAAAGATATAGTCTTTTTCAGACAAACAAATGATGAAAGAATTCACCACTACCAACCCAGCACTGTAAGAACTGCTAAAAGGAGCTCTAAATATTGAAACAAATCCTTGAAATACACCAAAATAGAACTTACTTAAAGCATAAATCTCATAGGACCTATAAAACAATAACACAATGAAAAAAAAACACAAGGTATTCAGGCAACAAATAGCATGATGAATAGAATAGTACCTCATATCTCAATACTAACATTGAGTAAATGGCCTAAATGCTCCACTTAAAAGATACAGAATGTCGGAATGGATAAGAATTTATCAGCCAAGTATCTGCTGTCTTCAAGAGACTCACCTGACACATACGGACTCATGTAAACTTAAGGTAAAGGGGTGGAAAAAGATATTCCATGCAAATGGACACCAAAAGTGAGCAGGAGTAGCTATTCTTATACCAGAGAAAACAAACTTTAAAGCAACAACTGTTAAAAAAGACAAAGAGGGACATCATATAATGATGAAGGGAAGTGGCCAACAGGAAACGATCACAATCCTAAATATATATGCATCTAACACTGGAGCTCCAGTATTTATAAAACAATTACTACTAGACCTAAGAAATGAGATAGACAGCAACACAGTAATAGTGGGGAACTTCAATATTCCACTGACAGCACTAGATGGGTCTATAAGACAGAAAGTCAACAAAGAAACAATGCATTTAAACTACACTTTAGAACCAATGGACTTAACAAATATTTACAGAGCATTCTACCCAAAAACTGCAGAATATACATTCTATTCATCAGCACATGAACATTCTCCAAGATGGACCACATGATTGACCACAAAACACACGTGTCAATAAATTTGAGAAAATCAAAATTATATCAAGTACTCTCTCAGACTACAGTGGAAAAAAATTGGAAATCAACTCCAAAAGGAACGTTCAAAACCATGCAAATACATGGAAATGAAATAACCTGCTCCTGAATGATTGTTGGGTCAACAATGAAATCAAAATGGAAATTAAAAAGTTATTTGAACTAAATGATAATAGTGACACAACCTATCAAAACCCCTGGGATACAGCATAGGCAGTGCTAAGAGGAAAGTTCATAGCCTTAAATGCCTACATCAAAAAGTCTAAAGGCACAAATAGGCAATTTAAGATCACACCTCAAGGAATTAGAGAAACAAGAACAAAACAAACCCAAATCCAGCAGAAGAAAAGAAATAACAAAGATCAGAGCAGAACTAAATGAAGTCATTATATGAAAAAAATATATGAAAAAGATACTTGCATACGCATGTTTATGGCAGCACAACTCACAACTGCAAAATTATGGAACCTGCCCAAATGCCCATCAATCAATGAGCAGATAAAGAAACTGTGGGATATATATACACCATGGAATACTACTCAGCCATAAAAAGGAATGAAATAATGGCATTTGCAGCAACCTGGATGGAACTGGAGACCATTATTCCAAGTGAAGTAACGCAGGAATGGAAAACCAAATGTCTTATGTTCTCACTCATAAGCGGGAACTAAGCTATGTGGTTGCAAAAGTGTAAGAATGATGCAATGGACTTTAGGGATTTGGGTGAAAGGGTTGGAGGGGGGTGAGGGATAAAAGACTACACATTGGGTACAGTGTATACTGCTTGGGTGATAGGTGCACCAAAATTTCAGAAATCACCATTGAAGAGCTTACTCATGTAACCAAACATCACCTGTTCCCTAAAACCTATTGAAATAAAATAAATAAATAAACAAACAAACAAATGCCACCCCTCCCTGAAAAAAAAAAAAAGAGTTATAAAGGGTTTGTAGATACCTTATGGTCAAGCTAATTAAAATTAGATTTGTTTATAAGATTTTATTAAAAATTAGCTTTAGCATTAACAGTGCACTGCAAAGGGGGAATTTGGTTTTCTTTTTTGAACAAGATTTTCATGTAATATTGAGAGATAATGAAAGTTTTTTGCCTTTTGAGCAAACTGCAGGAAAAAGAAAAGAGGGGAGAGAGAAGAGACAGATTCAGTTGGCCTCCTCCTGTCTTTGTTGGGTCTTGTTCTTTGGAAAGCTGAGTCTCTTCTCTATCGGAGTAAAGGATTTTTTTTTTTTTTAAATCTTTGAGTTAATCACTTTGGCTAAATGAATAACCTGTGATACTCTTTTGTGACAAGTGTTTTACACCTTTGATATTTGAAAAACTTTCCAAAATCAAGTTTTAAATCCCACCTTTTGACCTCATTAATTTTTTTAGATATTAGGTCCCTTGAAGTCTGAAATGGACACATATTTGACTTATTTGCTATGTTAAGATCATACAGGTAGTGTTGTCAAGTATGAAATGGTGTTTGGCTTTCTTTGGGCTGTATTTGTATTAATATGTTATTGCTGTGTGTTCCAGAGTTGTGTGAGGTGCCTATAATTCCGATAAGACTTAGTGTATATTATCAGTAATAATTATAATTATTTTGTTAAATTGTTGTATGCCACAAAATAACCAGATTTCCTTGTCAATTGTGTAATTAATCATAGTTGTTCTGAAACTTTTGTCATCTACAATTGTTTTACTTTGATCCTTTTCAAAAAGTGGTTTTATAATAAACTATAAAACGCTGACAGGTGCTCTTAAATACAGGTTTCTGACAACTTTGCATATTATTCCATTGAAATAGAGAGAAAACTTCCAGGACTCTTATGAAGAACTGATATGTTCATAAATATTAAGCAGAACAGGAGTTAATTGCATGGACTGTACTAATAGAAGGTAAATAATCTTTTTTTTTTTGAGACAGAGTTTTGCTCTTGTTGCCCAGGCTGGAGTGCAATGGCACAATGGCAGCTCACTGCAACCTCTGCCTCCTGGGTTCAAGCGATTCTCTTGCCTCAGCCTCCTGAGTAGCTGGGATTACAGGCGCCTGCCACCACACTTGGCTAATTGTTTTGTATTTTTAGCAGAGACAGGGTTTCACCATGTTGGCCAGGCTGGTCTCAAACTCCTGACCTCAGGCAAGCCGCCCACCTTGGCCTCCCAAAGTGCTGGGATTACAGGCGTGAGTCACTATGCCCAGCCTGGTAAATAATCTTTTTATGACTTTTTGTTTGAAATGTTGCTGATCCTTTTTGTAAAATCTTCAGCTGGGTTCAAGAGGCTTTTAAAAGGTCTAATGTGAAATTCCTTATGAAAAAAAAAAATCCAGAAAAGCCAATTTAGAAAAAAAGCCTATATAGCAAATAATCATTCTTCCTATGCTTTATGCAAATAATTAGGCCAAATATAATAAAACTAAAACTTATTCTGCAAATAAATTGCTCCTACTGTGATTTATCTTTGGTAGAAGTGAAAAACTGGAGAGAGAAAAAACATGTTTCAGAAAAACTATAGTACACCAGATTCCGGCCTTGGCCATTGGTTTTGAGTCTCTGCTGATGACCCAATACCTGATTGATTCTTGGCATCATTCACCTGGATCCCTCAAGGCTTCAGGTCAGTTCTATAGGGTTTTCACTCCTTATGTTAGGACTCTTATAGTCTGCTATTCTCTTAGGTGCCGTACTAAAGCTGTGGTTAAGAGCACTAATGTTTTTGTTATGCAGACCTTGAGATCCCAGCCAGGCACCCTTGAATACGTACAGACAACTGCAAAACTCTTTCACTCCTCTCACCCTGAGAGCAATATCTACTCCAGCTATGCCCCCTGTCAGCAGGAAGAAGTTAGAGCTGTTGTTGGCCTTTTTTCATCTCCATAGCTCATACCTCAGGATTGAGATGTGCTGAAACCCAAGGAAGGGATTGAAATTGCCTTTGCAAAATTACAACAGTAAGATAAATCTTATATAGTTGATGCCATCTTGGTTCTAATCTCCAAGCTGCCCTTGGTCATTCCTAGGTGTAGGGCAAACTGACTTTAGGGAAATTTTAGTTAATAATTTAACTGTAGAGCAAGGATGATAATAGTCCTTCTCTAAACTAAATCACCTTTGTAAAACTAATTAATGAAAGCCCACAAGGTTAGGATTATAAGGGTCTGAATTCTGCTAAGATGTAGGCATAGTTAAATGATAATCAGCCATAGTTCCGGAGATCACAGGATTTGTAACTTCCCCAGTTATTCTTGTAAGTAACATTACTATTGTAGAAACTAAGATTGGACTTTTGCAATGTCTTTTCAGACTTTGCATTTCTGATTACTTGGCTGACTCCACCCAGACCTGTGACTCATGACTCAGCTGGTCCTGCGGCCCCCACCCAGAGGTGGACTAAGCACGCAATAACCATTTTCCACATCTTCCACATTTCCCCCATGATGGCATCCCCAACCAATCAGCAGCACCCATTCCCTAGTCCCCTGCCCACCAAACTATCCTTGAAAAACCCTAACCTCCAAGGGTTCAGGGAGACCAATTTGAGTAATAACTTCATCTTCTGCATGGTGTGGCTGGCCTCATGTCAATTAAACTCTTTCTTTACTGCAATGCCATTGTTTCAGTGAATTGGTTTTGTTAGTGCAGTGGGCAAGAAGACTCCACTGGGTGATTACAGGAGTTTGTCTTTAAATTGATACATTAATAGTCTAAAACGTAAGAATGAAAATTTTAAAAGACATTTGCCTTTTGGGTGTTGATTATATTTATTTCTTTTTGATAAATGTATAGCTGTGCATCATTATGCATTTATCAAGTACCTGACAGGGGCCAGATGCAGTGTAGGGCACTAAAATTAACCCTAGATTATCTCTGGTATTGGTAAGCAGGGAGGAACACCATAATTTATTAATTTTCCAATGCTCTTGAATTGCTACTGGAGTTCCTGCTAATCAATACAATCGATTCATTTGAGTGTCATTCTTTTTCCCTTCTTTGTCTTCTGGCTGCAGTGAGTGTGACTGGTGACCACCTACAGCCCAGGCTTCAGAAAGTTGCACTGTGTAGGAGGCAGAGTCTGGGGCACTGACCATCCACAATCAGAACCCAGCACTCTTGAGCTCCTTGAATGCTCAGTCAAGAAATTCTGACATCCTTCAAATTCAAATTAATTACATCTTGATTCTTTATTTTTAAAATGAAGGAAACTTGCAAAAGAGTACTCTATAAATAAGTTGAGTGAAATAGAAATGGAACATTAGAACCAAAGAAATGAGTCTATGAATATACTAATTGTAAGTAATTTGCCTTGTTTGAGACTTGAACTTGGCTTTGAGCTTCATGGAAGCCTAGACAAAAGAGAAATAGGATGAACTGTATCTTTATTCACAGCTCCCTGGAAAAGACAAATCTGACCATGCACCAAATCTCAGAAGGATTTTTATGGGGCTGCACTGGGAAAATCTGGGTTTGAGGGACACCTGCATTTCCCACTAAAACAATGACTGAGAGCAAATTATTAATCATCTATAGCATGATCCAGTTTCCTCCCCATTCTTCAGTGCGGTTAATAGTAACTGCTCTTCAGGGTTGCTGTGAGAATTAAATGAGGGGCTTGGTAGAGTGCATTTTGCATGACTGTTTATTGGAATCAATCTAATTTTTAATCTGTAGGGGCCTGGATAAATAAAGTCTGATACATTTCTACCATGGCATATTACATCTTCCTTCTTGCCTCACCCTCCTCTCCCCAACCACACCCTGTGTCAATGACTCTGCTGTTGATCCCAGGAGTGTATTTCCCCATCCCACAAATATTGGACTTGACCATATGACTTGCTTTGGGCCATGAGAAGTAGACAGAGGCAACTTGAGGGGCACTATGTGTTTCCATTCACTCCTCTTGAGCTTCTGCCATCACCATAAGAAGAATGACACTCTCTAGAACAGACATGGGAAGCAGACTGGACCCAACCTGAAGCTCAGAGTCAAGACGAGACCCTCAGTGTGAGTGAAGAAAAAGATAGTTGTTGGGAGTCATTGGTGATTTGTTATGCATCATTACTGTGACAATTAGCTGACTACAGTGGTCTTCTATGAACAATCCTGGAAGACATCTGTAATATATTAAGTGAGAATAAAAGTTTATAAAGCAGAATAATATAAAATTCTCCTTTAGTAGGAAAATATAAATGACCTCATTTTGTTAAAAAAGAGTTTGTTTATACGTACAATTAAAAAGTGTGAGGGATGGCATTTACATATTTAAAAGTATAAATTTGAAAACACACATTTATACACATTGAAAAGAAAACTGTAGGTAATTTTTCTTTATTGCCTTTCTGTGTGTGTGCGTGCACGTGAGTATGTGCACATGAATTAAGAAAGCTTAACAGACCAAACACGCAGCTTCAAAGCAGGCTGCCACTGCAGCAAAACTAGTGGCCGCAATGTCTGGGGGTGTCTAGGAGAATTTGTCTGCCTGAATTTTTTGCTCAGCCCTGCCCTTGTTGAAAACAGTCTTTCATTCTCTCAGCTACCTCTGGGCCAAGGAAGTATTGCCCAGAGCTGCACACCTAAGGAGTAGTGTCTTTAGGGATAGAAATCAAGTTGATTTGCTAGCTTGCATTCTTATTTCCTTCCAGAAATATCTGTGCGTGGGCACTATCCTAAGTACTCGGTGAGGCTGGAGTGAACAAGATATTCTCACAGAGCATTGGGAGATCAACTCCCAGACTAACACTTGATCCATTCTGCATGTGTCTCTACTTCATGCATGCACACATACCTAGTTTTACCTATATGTGTAAAGCCATCTTATAATCAATTTGCTTCTCTCTTTTTAGTGCTGTCTCTATCATTATTTTTCCCTTTGTCTTTTGGCTCCCTTCCTCCTCACCTTCCTGTCCTATTGAATGTTCCATCCTTCCACCTCATCCCAACATACCCATGACGACAAACTTGTTGGTCGCGTGTATTTTTCTTTACGACTTTTTAAATGATCATGTATATATCACATGTATCCATCTTTGTGGACATATATCCATGTCATATGTCAATATATCCAGGCATATTCATGGCATCAGGTAGAAAGACTTGTGTCCTTGCCTTTACAGAATACAGTGGTCACTTTTTATTTTACAAGCAGAGTAGAGACACATGCAGTTAACTGTGTCAAGGACAAGTCAAAGCTGGGTACCCAGACAATGCCATTGAGATTCTCCTGCCCCACAGTTCTTCCACCAGTCCCCCTGTTGATCTTAGCATGGTGATATTGTCCTTTGCCAGCAGGTGACTGTGGCTCATTTAATACAAATGCAAGGGTGTCCCAAATCACAGAGCCACGTGTACCATGGCCTGTGGGGCTGGGTGAGGCTAGGTGGGCATGACAGGCAGGCAGCAGGATGACCATTGGCCCAGTATGTCACATTCACACAGACTTTTTTGATCAAGGTGACCAGTTAATATATTATCCAGACTGAAAACTGTTGGCAGTGAAAGGAGGCTCATGAATCATTCCATCAGGAAAACAGACATAAATTGACACTTTCCAGCCAAACCAAGTCATACTGTCAGTCCTTTTGGTGCCAGCGAATGGAGATGAACTGACCATGTCTGTGGCTTTATGTGATTCATCTTTATTTTTTAACATATTAGAAGCCCCCACCACTCCTAAAGCCCCAAATGTACGTGGCCCAGGCCTCTCAACCTTTGGGAATCCCTGGTGCATTCAAGTCACATATGTCACCTAATTCTGTTACCTTAGCCAGGATGTCACCCTGGAGAGGGGATTGCCAGACAGAGTGCTCTAGCCTGACTCTACCTGAGGGATCCCGTGGGGGCTCCCCTTAGCTCAGGTTTCATTATCTCTAAAAGGTGGGGTTCAACCAGGTGGTGTTTTCCATTTTTCTTTCTCCAATGTAATCTGGCTGTAACTGCTTCCCATTAGACAGCCATGGAGATTCCCAGGTTGGCTTTCTCTCTGACAGCTCTTCAACATTTTATAATTAGCACTGAGCAGTTGCCACAATGACTGTGACCCCCAAGTTCCTTCCTTACCTGATTTAACAAATTGCCCCTTGCAGTCGACATTATTTTTTGTGGAATTGTCATCCACAAGTCAATTTTCATATGCTGAAATCGCTATTAGGTAAAATGTTTACGAAAGAGATTTCTATTTAATTGAATTTTTTGATTTAATGAGATTTAAATAACTTTTACATAATTTTACCTTTTCAAATATGGTTTCTAAGTTAATGGGCCAAAATGTTACATTATATGGCATCTGGACAATACTCAGCACAGAGCTTAGGACATAGGGATGCTTAATAACTTGTTTTTTAATAACGACACCACCACTGTCATCTGTTGAAAGCAATTTGGATGAGAGTGAAATTATGGGCCCTGGCACCAGGTGGCTCGGACATGCATGCCTGTTCTGCCAGCTTGCTATCAACAGGACTCCGGCAAGGCACGTCACAATTCTGCAAATGTAATCTTGCCAAATGGCCATAGTAATAATACCTATTGCATATAATTATGGTGAGAATTAAAATTTTAATACATTAAAGTGCTTACAATCATGCTTGATACATAAAAACTATCCGTGTGTGTTTGCCACTATTATTGCAGTTAAGCATTGCCTTTGTTCTCAGAGCTTTCCACATATTAGCTCAGTTAATCATTGGAAAGAAATTTCATTCACTTACTTATGTGTTTGAGAGAGAGAATTTGGTGATCATTAGTATTTTCTCTTTCCAATCTCTATTTTTAAAAAGTCTGTATTTCAATCCCAGCACTTCGGGAGGCCGAGGCAGGCAGATCAATTGAGGTCAGGAATTCGAGACCAGCCTGGCCAACATGGTGAAACCCTGTCTTTACTAAAAATACAAAAATTAGCCAGTTATGGTGGTGGATGTCTTTAATCCCAGCTATTCGGGAGGCTGAGGCATGAGAATTGCTTGAACCCAGGAGGCGGAGTTTGCGGTGAGCCAAGATGAGACTGGGAGATTGTGACACTGCACTCCAGCCTGGCAACACAGCGAGACACTGTCTCAAAAAAAAGAAAATTCTGTACCTCTTTAAGTGACAACAACATCACACCAGCCACATGGATGAAATCTTTGATTCCTCCCTCTCTTGCTGTCCTTGCCTTCACTCTTCCTGCTCCCTATCAGATTAGGTGGGTTCAAAATCTGTCTCATCTTTTTCCTCAGTTCCTCCTCTTCCTGTCCCAGACTGGGCTCACTTGGCCATTGATGTGGCTTCCTAACTGATTTTCCAACAAATGTGCTTTATATGTGGGTATCCAAAGTATCTTCCTATGGCATAGCTATGAATAAAGTACCAGTTCCTCAGCCTGGAGTTTAAGTTCCTTTACTTTTGGATCTTAAAAATTACCTACCTTTTGGTATGCTCTCCTAACTAGCCTTCTTGGTACACTTTGTTACTGCCAAACTGTCTTCAAACTGCCCTCTTCTTTCCCACTTAAAATTCACACTGCCCACTTCCCTGGAATGGTCATCTTGTAATTCATATGAATACTATTCCCTTGTAAAATATTAAAACATTATATAGAAGGAAATTCTTTGACCAGGCCCCTACCCAATCTCATCCCCTCCTGCTTCTCCTGAGAGATCAGCATCATTCTTGGCTGGAGGGGCACCTTCCACATCCTTTCTGTGCATTTATGTAAACACACATGCACTTATAGAGAATGTATGGTGTGACTTGTTTTGTGTGTGGGTGTCTATGACATAAATAGTATCACACCGTACTTAGCATCAAACTGCACTTATCATTCTACAACTTGCTTTACTCACTCAACAATCTGTCCTAGCAATTTGTCCATCAAGATGCATCTCAAAGATGCATCTACTAGGAATTCCCCAAAATTTTATGTTTCCATTTATTGGAAGTGCTTTCTTGACTGAAACTTCTTGAAATCTCTTAAGACAGTTTCTTCTTTTATATGTGTGTGAGTATGTGTGTGTAGTAAGATTATGAGTGATTCTAAAAATATTTTTACTTTTATCGATGCTTTTCTATAATTAAAAAAATTCAAACTATCCCCCCAATATTATATTTTAAGCAAATAGAAAGTAGTTAAGAAACACACATGTACACACACATTCATGCATGCACACACACACACACATACATATGTACATATATGCTATGTTAGTCCATTTGGGCTACTATAACAAAGTTCCATAGACTGCATGGCTTAAACAACACACATTTATTTCTCATAGTTCTGGAGGCTGGGAAGTCCATGATCCCATGGAGGATCTGGTATCTGGTGAAGGCTGCTTCCTGGTTCATGGAAAACTGTCTTCTCATTGTGTCTGCACAAGGTGGAGGGCAAAGAGAAGATGCAAGTTCTTGTGTCTCTTCTTATTAGGATACTGATATGGCTAGGCTCTGTGTCACCACCTAAATCTCATGTTAAATTATGATCCTGAGTTTTGGAGGTGGGGCCTGGTGGGAGGTGATTGGATCATGGGGGTGGTTTCTAATGGTGTAGCACCATCCCCTTAGTGCTATCTCCTGATAGAGTTCTTGTAAGATCTGGTTGTTTGAAAGTGTGTAGCACCTCCCCATTTGCCTTCACTCTTCCTCCTGCTCCCACCATGTAAGGTGTGCTTACTTCTCCTTCACCTTCCGCCATGATTGTAAGTTTCCTAAGACCTCCCTAGCCATGCCTCCTGTACAGCCTGTGGAACCGTAAGTCAATTAAACCTCTTTTCTTTGTAAATTACCCAGTCTCAGGTATGTCTTTAGAGCAGTGTGTGAACGGGCTAACACAGACATCAATCCTATCACGAGGGCTCCACCCTCAAGACCTAATCATCTCTCCAAGGCCCCATCTTTAAATACCATCCACTGGGGATGACGGTTTTAACATGAATTTTGGGGGGACACAAACACTCAGGGCATAGCTCAGGCATCCATATATTTTCCTTTCTTTGCTGTAATTTTACACTACCCAGAAACCTAACTATTAATTTATGTTGCCAGTGACCTTGATCCTGGGAAAGCAGGTGCCATGGACGGAGAGGGAGGCCAGAATATAAGTCACCAGGAAAAAGTGCCACTGCTGCAAACTCTCCCAACACGCCCAACCTCATCACCGGGTTATGAGGAGAGTGAATCTCAGATGAAAATCCACCACCCCATGCTGTGTCCAGCCATGCTGGAGCCTGAGCAAAAGGAAGAATGTGTGCCTCTGTGTACCTTTATTAATAGTTAATATTTATATTATTATATCATTAGTATAGAATATCTTTTTTTTTTTTTTTTGAGATGGAGTCTTGCTCTGTTGCCCAGGCTGGAGTGCAGTGGCATGATCTTGGTTCACTGCAGCCTCCGCCTCCCGGGTTCAAGCGATTCTCCTGCCTCAGCCTCCTGAGTAGCTGGGATTACAGGCACCCACCATGATGCCCGGCTAATTTTTGTATTTTTAATAAAGATGGGGTTTCACCATGTTGGTCAGGCTGGTCTTGAACTCCTGACTGCAGGTGATCCACTTGCCTCGGCCTCCCAAAGTGCTGGGATTACAGGTGTGAGCCACTGTGCCCAGCCTCATATATTATCTTTTATATTTACTATACATTATAAATATGTATTATATAACTGATTATAAAAAATATATAAATTATATAATAAATATATAAATAAATATATAAAAAATTATATAAATACATATTATATAATTATATCATATTAATATCAAAAGCTAATAAAAGCTCTAATCAAAAACCATGACTATATAATGCCCACCCATATTGCCTAACCTGTGTTTACCATCTTCAGCCTTCGTAAACCTGCTGAGTGAAGGCGGCCCCAGGCAGGGGTCCTGGAATCTCTGGCTGATTGGAAACAACTGTTCTTGATGCACAGTAAAGCTGGGCTATAAAACAAACATCAACAGCCTGTCTTTATTTAAAACTGGGTATTTTGTTCATCACAGATTTTTTAAAACTTGCGTTAAAATATTTGCTTCGGCACCCTTTTAAATTTTGCACTTGAGGCGAACGCCTCGCTTGGCTCACTGCAGTCTCAGTCTTGCTGCCACACAGATAGCCACTTATTCACTGAGCATTTGTTAACAACCAAGCACAAAAGTGGCTCATGGAAGCTGTTCTGGAAGCTTGTTGAGATTCCAGCTCTCTGTCCACACCTTGTGTAAAAGCTGTGTTCACCGGAGGCAATTTCCCTGGGTTCCAGAGGCAGGCTCCTGTACTCTCATGGCTAGCAACGTGCAAGGAGAATCCTCCAAGGTCATGGCTGTTTACACAGGACTGTTTAGGAACTTGCCTTGTGCGCCATCCCTCAGGACAAGGGCTATGGGCCTCCTTAGATTCTTATACCCCGTTGCTGTAAGAGCTGGGAGTGTCTTTAAATATTTTAATCAATCCACATTTCTCAACTACCTTTACTTATTTTTTTACCAATTTCCAACATCCATCGTGCTATTCAAGAAGTCTACTTTAATCAATTAGAAATTTCATTTATAACATTCACTCTGCTTATTAGCAAAGCCTCAGGTATTGACCAAGGTATGGACTAGGGACATTCTTGTGATGGCCCACACTGGAATGTGGTCTTTCTGATGTAGGTGAGCAGACCACCACTGGAATGTGGTTTGTCTTTTGGGGCAGCCCTAGAATGAAGCTTGAACTAATCAGCACATTCAAAACATTACACTAGCTTTGCTTTAAGCTTATTAAAGTAAATTGCAGCCTCTATAACAATCACACATGGTGAATGGACATATGAATGATCTGGTTTTCCCATCTCAGTTTGCTGGGAGTGTGGTCATCCCAGGGATATTAAGCCAACCCACATTCATACTTGGCAAGCTCAGCTTTCAGGGTAGAGACTCCAGGGGCCCTCCTGCAACCGTCATTCCCCTGGTGGTCTCTTCTGCCTTGCTGTTCATTACAACCCACAATATCTGCAGATTGGTGTGCAATCAACAACGACATCAGGAGTGGCTGTCTGAACATGGTGGTGGTAGCATTGAGCAGGGAGTGCCAGTGGGGAAAACCAGATGCTGGACTAGAGTGAGGGAAGACATGCCAATCACTTTGGGTCTGACCCCAGCAGTAGACAGCATGAAAAAGTCAAGTGGCCACAGAGGTGTTAGCCAACAGGACCCATTGCAAAGGAGCTGTGGGAAGCTCGGGGGCCCCAGAAACTGAACTAATGAGAGCTCCAAGCCAAGAAACTGTGACTTAAGTGTAAAGCCCTTCCTGGCTGATGTGACAGGGGTACGTCCTCCCACACACTGGGGCACAAAGCTTGGTACATGCTCAGCACTAAACCAAGGTTCTGGGGTGAAGAGACCATGTTGAGTTTTCAGCGCCCCAGGGGCCCTGGCTGAGTGGTCATTAAAAAATTATGTTGCAATCAAGATACAGAGAGAGAGAGAGAGGAATCACCCTATGCCAGACTCAAGATACAGCTCCCTGGAATTAATTGTTCAACATCAAACTCTGCAATTAGGGGCTCATTTTCTGGAGATCTGAAACATTCTAAAAGAAAATGGCAGGAATAACTCCTGGTTAAACAAAGACACACGCTTCCTTGTAGGAAGTTACCAGCTAGCCAATGTTTTAATAATAGCTATTAACATGGATTGAATATTTGCTGTGTGCTATATGTAGCTAGATATTTGGCATGCATTAATTTATCACTGTGTCATGCATGAGAGGATTGAGGGGATATGTCACTTGCCCAAGTTTAGTGGTAGAATTGGGGTTTGAACTGGGTCTTTTCCCAGAGCCTCTGCTCTCAGCCTCAATTATTGTATATGGTCAACAGTACTGAAGAATTTATCAGAAGAATGCATGTGTTCCCTTGCTTTTCACCCAAAAGATGATGCCACTGTGCTGACACAGGAACTGTGAGAGCCCTTTCTGCTTAAGTCTAGAATTAATGGGCAATCTTTTTGAAACATCTGACTTTTGAAGGACTAGTGATTTCTTGATAAGTTGAGGCAGCTGTGAGCCACATTGGAAAAGCTGCTCTTACCACCAAAATAATCTGAGGATGAACAAAATGTGAAATTTATAGCCCAAAGTATAGCTATCTGTTCATTAAAAAAGAAAAGCTTAAATGAATGTGTTGTTTTGAACTGTCTCAAAACTCATCCATATACTTCGTATTATTATATACCCCAATAAATATTGGGTTAATTTCTGGCTCACGTCTCGCTTGTTGGATTAACTGAGATCACCCAGTTTCTTTGATTCTTTAGTTCTTATTAGTAAAACAGAGAATTTTGACAAGATTATTATCTCACAATTTGGGATAAAAGATAAATAATCTTTTTTATTATCCGTCCTTCTCCCATCCTCCTTTTAAAGTTTAGAAAACTTTTCCAGTAGAATAAATTGCATCTAAGTGATTTTTTTATTTTGATTTTTTTCAAGAATTAGAGATGTTTTTAACAGCCAGTGTAAGCTTGGCTGAACAGGAGAATAATATAATGAAATAATAGAGGTGTTTTAATTTGACCATCACCATTTTGGATAAGTACATGTTTTCTACGACAAGTTTTGAAATAATATAAGTCTTTGAATTTCAAAGACTTATGCTAGTCTAGAAGTCTTTGAAATTCCAGGTAGCTAACTGAGGGAATAAATAATCATCATGATCCATTTTACGTGTAAAATTCAAGTCTATGTCTCTCTGTTAATTTGGCATCTCCTACTGTATTGAGGAAGAAACTGAGGTCCATTTCATTTCAGTGATTAATGCCCCAGAACTTCATAATGAACACATTGTAGACTTCCAAGTTCCCATTCCTCCTCTACAGTTTCTGGACTTCAATATGTAACCAGAATTTATTTTGAAATGGAGACAATTGTGAGTGCTGATGCAAACATTAGTAAATCATTTACTGCAAAGTGGTCATCTGTAAGAGGTAAAGTAATACTTTACAAGTTAAGAAGGAAATATACAAAGATGTTTAATCACTAGATCTGATCAGATCATTCCATTAACTTGTCCATTTCAATCTTGCTGCTTTGCATTTCTTCAACCTGAAGGCCTTCATGAATGCCACAGTGGATCTACTCTGCCCTCCTCTTGCCATCATCACCCTCCCCAGGAGCTGGAAATCATGAGCTTTATTTCAAGATCCAGCCATGTGATTATAGATGGCTGTGTGGTCTTGGAGCTTCAGTCTCATCATCTGCAAAGTGGGGACGATGCTTTCCTATACATTTTACAGAACTGTCTGGTTCAAACAAAACAACGTGTGTAAAAGGTCTTATTTAATTACTTATCAAAGGTTAGTGCACTATAGAAATGTGAGAGGCTTCAGTTAGACCCAGCAGTTTCTTAGAAGTTCAAAGAGTTACATAATTAAAAGTTGGTTAATAAATGATTAATTTGGCAAAATATTTGAGGTAGTGTTTTACTTTCCCAAAGTGATCACATTGATTATTTCTGTTTTCTCCTCATAATAACAGGATTGGCCATGCAGTAAGGTGGTACAGGCATAATATTCATTTTCTTTTTTTGTTTTTAACTAGCTAGTAAAAGGTAAGAAAACATTTATTGGAGCATGTGCACCTGGTGTCAATTTTTTCTCCCAACATTATATTATGAAGTTTTCAAATAAGTAGAAAAGTTGAATGAAAGACTCTCTACCAAGATCACCTACAAACCCAACCCACCATCTAAATCCTACCGTTAGCATTTTACTACTTGATTTATTGCCAATCTGCCCATATATCTATCCTTCCATCCATTCATTAATCCTTCTTACTTTTGGGATACATTTCAAGGTTACTTGCAGGCATCAGTAAACTTTCCCTTAACTGGTGAAACAGCATGGATATCATTAACTGGAATTTGACATCTTCTTAGAGTACTTTTTTTTCTTGTTTATGTAAATGGGGTCTAATTTAATGTTATAAAAATTATGGCAGAGTTTGCTATTTTGTGTGTGTGCTTTTTTGCTATTGAAGTGGTGAAGCTCTCTTTTCAAACTAATTCTCATGCAGAAGCTGGCACATGAAACAGATACAAGCAGAGCTGCTTTGGATGAAAAGGAAACAGGGTGTGGAGTGCCAGTCCCTGAGCCCTTCCCTCCTTCCCTAGTCACCCCTGAGGCCCCTCATAGAACATCTCAGCTGCCATGGACTATTAAAATTGGGTGAATTTCTTAACTTCATGAACCTCAGTGTGATCATCTATAAAAGAGGGCTTTGGAAGCCAGGCGTGGCGGCACATGCCTGTAATTCCAGCACTTTGGGAGGCCAAGGTGGGCAGATCACCTGAGGTCAGGAGTTCAAGACCAGGCTGACTAACATGGTGAAACACCTTCTCTACTAAATACAAAAAATTAGCCAGGCATGGTGGCGCATGCCTGTAATACCAGCTATTTGGGAGGCTGAGGCAGGAGAATCGCTTGAACCTGGGAGGCAGAGGTTGCAGTAAGCCGAGATTGGGCCGTTGCACTCTAGCCTGGGCAACAAGAGCAAAACTCCATTTCAAAACAAAACAAAACAAAACAATAAAGAAAGAGGGCTTTGGAAATAGCTATTTTCTCAGGCCCTTTTGAAGCTGTCCTCTTCTCTCATTCCAGTGGTGTTAAAACATTGAAAATTTTGTAGACTTTCCCCTTCACAAATCTTGCAGCAGAAAGTTTTCTCTTGTTTTAATTAGCTCAATGCAAGAAGCCACATTTAAGACTGTGCATCTGAATGCCTGAAGTAAAAACCTCAGTCACAAAGGGATGTGTGTGGAATGGAAGAAAACTGGAAAAACAAGAACCTGACCTAAATGGATGGCCAAATAGAGCAGCCTGCACATGCAGCATGAGCATATCAATGCGATGTGCAAGCCACCCTGCCCATCTTCCAGGGGCTTTGCCAAGTCACAACTGAGAACACCTCTCAGGAATTTTGGTATCCTGACAAGAGTGAAGTTCACTTGGGATACTTACATTCTTCTGGTACCTCCTTGAGATACAATGCTTTTGCGTGTGTGGGAGGACAGATCCTTCCTTCACTACCTGGGGGGCCAGGAGGCTGTGTCGCTACCTGGGGCCTCAGGCAGGCTGGGCAGCAGCATGGGCATGTGGGTGAGTATTGAGTGGGAGCTGAGGCTGGGGCCAGGCTGGGCTGGAATCATATGAGGCAGAGGATAAGAGTGTTTGAGGAAAGGAGCAGGGCTTAGAGCCATAGTAAGACCATGCCAGTTATCCAGATATGAGAGGAGAGGGAAGGCAAAGTTGAGTCAGGGATTGAGTTGCAAAGCGAGAACTAGGAGAATAGGCCCAGGCCTGTGCTGCAAATAGTCTTGGGTGTCCAGAGGTCATTCTTACTAGATAGTAAGTGCTGTACTAGAAGCCCTGTGAGGATAGGAGTGTGCCCAGAGCCTAGGAAACTGAATGGTAGGCTGTAGATAGATGCTCAATAAATGTTTATTGAAGGAAGGAAAAAGGAAGAAAGGGAGGGATGGGAGAAGAAGAGGAGGGAAAAAAGAAGATGGGATGGGTGGGTTTATCTGAATTGTAGTCGGTCAGGACAGGCATCTAGCACCATTGCTAAAAGCACAGTGAGGTTGTCCTGGAGAACTTAAATCTAACCTTTTCACCCATGACCACTGCTTCAAACATATTTTGACTACAGCTCACAGTAAAAAATAGGCTTTTCATCATGACCTGTACACACATGAAACAAGCCTCTTAAAATGTGAGGCATTCCAATAATTTCCATCCTATCTTGAATGGTTAATACTGAGTGTCAACTTGATTGAAGGATGCAAAGTATTGATCCTGGGTGTGTCTGTGAAGGTGTTGCCAAAGAAGATTAACATTTGAGTCAGTGGGCTGGGAAAGGCAGACCCACCCTTAATCTGGGTGGGCACCATCTAATCAGCTACCATCATGGCTAGAATAGAAAACAGGCAGAAAAACGTGAAAAGGCGAGACTGGCCTAGCCTCCCAGCCTACATCTTTCTCCTGTGCTGGATGTTTCCTGCCCTCGAACATGGGACTCCAAGTTCTTCAGTTTTGGGACTTGGACTAGCTCTCCTTGCAAATGTCCTATCATGGGATCTTGATCTTGTGATCGTGTAAGTTGATACTTAATAAATTCATATATATATATATATATATATATATATATATATATATATATGGATGGAGATATAGATATATATATCTATATCTCCATCCTATTAGTTCTGTCCCTCTAGAGAACCCTGACTAATACAGATTTTGGTACCAGGAGTGGTTCTAGACGAACAGAATATTAAGGATGGAGTTCTTTCATTGGTCTTGCAGTTTCTGGAGTTGGCTGCTTAATATGATTGGACCCAAAAAATGCTAAGGACTCTATTTCTAATAGTATGGAGAACACTGACAGGCCTTGGTGTGAACTATTTAGAGAGTTATACAAGTTAAATGCATTTGACACTCCTGATTCATCACTTGTGAGAGGCAAGGAGTTTAGTGACTCTATACATAATACCTTTGACTATATGTGGAGAACCAAGGAATATAATGAAGCTAGTTGGCTGCTCCTAAGTTCAGTGGACAAAGTGATGAAAGAAAATGAACTCTGGGATTCTAACTCCTGGCTTCAGAAATAGATATTGAGCCTCAAATCTGCTAACATTGCCCCAACTGAGAGTCTTATCTCCTATGGAGAAAGAGCTGAAATAGTGGAAAAACAGACATAAGTTCTTATCATATGAGTGGCTGACCTGCAACAGAAGGTGCATGCATAGCCTCGCCAGGTGTCTACTGTTAAAATGAGGGCGTTGATTGGAAAATAGTGGGACCCTGCAACTTGGAATGGGGATGTGTGGGAGGACCCTGATGAAGCTGGGGACACTGAGTTTGTAAACTCTGATGAACTTTTTTGCCCGAAGAAACAGCTTCCTCATCCCCCGTAGTGGCAACATCCCTTCCCCGTCCCATGCTGCCATCAGCCTTTCCACCTTTGCCTGGGCAGATAAACCTTGTGCTGCCTGAGGCAACAGTAATGGCCTCCCCTGAGGCAGTTGCCAGGCAAGATATTGTTGATCCTTTTCAGGAGCCACCCCCAACACCCCTGCTTGCTTCTAGGCCTATAACTAAACTAAAGTCCCGGCAGGCCCCTAGAGGTGAGGTTGAGAGTGTGACCCATGAGGAGGTGTGCTACACTTGAAAAGAACTGCTTGAGTTTTCTAATTTATATGAGCAGAAATCTGGAGAACAGGCATGGGAATGGATGTTAAGGGTGTGGGATAATGGTGGAAGGAACATGGAATGGATGTCTGAATTCATTGATTTGGGCCCATTAAGTAGGGACTCTGCATTTAATGTTGCAGCTCAGAGAGTTTAAAAAGGTTCTAATAGTTTATTTGCTTGGTTAGCTGAAATATGGATTAAAAGATGGCCCACTGGCTGTCCCTCTAGAGAACCCTGAATAATACACCATCTCACCCTATCCCGTCCCATCCCATCCCATCCCATCCCATCCCATCCCATCCCATCCCATCCCATCCCATTCCCAAAATATTGGCTTGTAACCCATGGATTGGAAAACTCTAGATCCAGTTCCTTTTATCTCTTCTGGGACATTATTTTTGCAATGATCACTTTCCCTTCCAGAACTCTTATTCTCCCTTCTATATGGAAGTTAATCCTCTCTTCCTGTCAGCATAATCAGGTTCATCTTATTTTATAAAAAGCAAATGCAATTCTTCACTTGACTTTTTCCCTTTCTAGTTATAGCTCTTCACAACACCTTCCTTTACAGGTGTAGCCTTCCCATAAGTGATCTGTTCATGCTGCTGCCTTTGTATTCAGGCTTTCCTTCTTCACCCCCTGCACCTTCCTTAACCTGCAGGGTTATCTTACTATACCATTTTCTCTCAAAGGATTGTAATGACCTTTGGCTATACCTTTTATTCTTCCTCCTCCTTATTTTTCTCCTCCTCCTCTTCTTCTTAAGTCCAACCCTTCTTGATTGTGGATATTTTTAAACCCTATTCTCTTAATAAGCATCTCTTTCTTTGATTTATTTTTATTCGTGCATACATTTATTTTATTAGGCATTCACCATTGGTTTAAGAAACATTTCAATGAATAAAATATAGGACTAGGTGCTGAAGGGAAAATGAAGATGAATAAGATGCATAATTTCTTCCCTCAAGCACCTTAAAGTATATGAAAGGACTTGGATTTACTCAGCTAAATGCCCAGTACTACAGGTTGGAGGGCCACTTGGGTGGTGGAATGTGGTTAAGGACTCAGGCTTTGAAGCTGGATAGATCTGGATACAAATTTTGCCTCCATCAGTTTCTAGTCATCTGATGTAAAGCAAATAATCTCCCTTCTCTAAATGTCAGTTTACTCTTCTGTCAAATGGTGATTGATATTCATGATACCTACCCATAGAAATGTTGTGAAGATTACATTATCTCATTGAATCCTCACAAGATTCCTATGAGATAGGTACTATCATTAATCCCATTCTACAGATGAGGAAATTTAGGCTTAGGGAGATTGTACTGTCTCTAAGTGGCAGACCTGAGATATGAACTCAGGCATTCTGACTCAAGAATCTGTGACCTCAACCACAAGACTACCTTACTTCTCTGGTCTCTTAGAGTCCAAGCTCTAGTCCTTAATGATACAAAACTGGAACCTAGTATTATTGTATTTGCAAAGCTTATCAGGCACTTGAGAGGCTGATTAACAAGCCAGAAGATCACTTTATTAATTCGCTGTTCAAGGGATGAGACTGTGCATCTGCACACAATACATTCTCTCCTGCAGATAAGGACATCAAAAAATAATGATAGCTACTATCACCTGGCTGTATGCTATGTGCAGGGCAATTTACACATACGGCTCATCTTATCTCACAACACTCTCAAGTTGATTTTATTAGTCCAGCTTCACAGATGGGAAGATTTTTAGAGTGCATAATAAAAACTCAACACATTTTAGCTGCTACTGGTATAATAATTATTACTAATAGTAATACTAGGAGCAGTAGTGATGATGTTAAGGATTTTTCCCAGTAGTTCCTACTGGTAAATATCAGAGGCAGGCTAGAAATGAACCCAGGTCTATCTGATTCCAGAGATCACATTTTTCATCATCAAACCTTACAAAAGTCTGGAGTCGAGGCAGCAGTAGACAAAGGGGACCAAATTTTCCCATGGAATATTTCATCTCGTCTGAATCGCTTCTATTCTAAAAAACTATGTCTAGCAAAGAACAAGCTTTGCTGGTAATCAGTGACATAATGATGGGATTCCTTGGATGACAGCAGATGAATATGGATGGAGTGATCCTGATGGATTCCTTTCTCAATCAACTATCCAAGTTTGACTGATTTGATGCCAGTCACATCACACTATGATTGAGTGGGTTAAAGCTTTCTTTTTTTTTTTTTTTTTTTTTTTTTGAGGCAGAGTCTAGCTTTGTCACCCAGGCTGGAGTGCAGTGGTGCCATCTTGGCTCACTGCAACCTCTTCCTCCTGGTTTCAAGCAATTCTCATGCCTCACCTCCCCAAGTAGCTGGGATTACAGGCATGCACCACCATGCCCAGCTAATTTTTGTATTTTTAGTAGAGATGGGGTTTCACCATGTTGGCCAGGCTGGTCTTGAACTCCTGGCCTCAAGCGATCCTCTCGCCTTGGCCTCCCAAATGGCTGGGATTATAGGCATGAACCACTGCACCTGGTATAAAGCTTTCTTTACAAGGCTTAAATCCAGAACTTTCCTTTATTGAAGGTGCCCTGATCCTCTTGCCTAGATGCAGAACATATTATTATTATTATTATTATTATTATTTTCATTAACTTTTATTTTAAGTTCTGGGATACATGTGCAGGATGTGCAGGTTTGTTACATAGGTAAACGTGTGCCATGGTGATTTGCTGCACAGATCAACCCATCACCTAGGTATTAAGCCCAGCCTCCACTAGCTACTCTTCTTGATGCTCTCCCTCCCCCCACTCCCCGACAGGCTCCAGCGTGTGTTGTTTCCCACCTCATGTGTCCATGTGTTCTCATCGCATAACATATTACTCTCTTATCTTATATTATTCTCTTCTCTTATCTGGATCTCTTATGCTGTCTCTTACAACGAGGTACTTCTTCAGAGGGCTCAGGTATGATGGGTATATGTGGGGTCTTACAGGAATCCTAATACTGACTCAGGTCCCTGTCTCTGGGTTGGAGGAGTATTTTGAGGAACACTTATTTCCATGTGAAGAGAGACTTCGTGATGGCAAAGTGGAAAGAGCTTCACAGTTGATTTTGAGGGGTTTGGGGCTTTATGGTGAGCCAGTGAATAAGCAGGAGAGGTGTAAGAGAACACTGGTGTTGGAGCTTCGCTATTAGGAAAATGATGGTAAGACAGCAGCAACTGAAAAGAGAGGAGCAGAAAGAAATAATTTCATGCTGCTTTTCTGGAGAAGAAGTAGACAGCTGATTGTAAGAGGACAAATAGGGAAGATGTGTTTTTCTCCCTTTGCATTGCAAAACAAATTTGATTTGCACAGTTAAAATATTTGGCTAAGTCATATATATATATAATATATATATATTTTATATATCCTTATGACTTTATACAAACGAATAGGGTTTTAGACATTTATGCACAAATATATAAATATTTACCAAAAATCTTTAAAGGATTAAACAAATTTTACCAATGCGATAGGAGAAAATTGAGAAGCAGATAAAAATAGACTTGAAAAATTTCAGCTAACCATAGTAATTAAGTTTAAAATGAGCTGAAAATGTGAAAATATAGGGAATGCATTTGAAAATTGTTTCTGAAGCAGCAAAACAAAACATTTAATATTATTCAGTAATGTGGCTGCATTCGGGTACAGATATACTTGGTATATGGGAATTTTAACATGTTTAAACTGATTTACTCTACTAGAAGAAGTCAATAATTCAATAGGACACATGGTTGTGACAGGCTGCTTTGATACGTTTAAAAGAAGTCATGAGCTTGGACATACAACCAAGTAAATGAGTGAAAACAGAGTGGAAAGCTGTGTTTTATAATCAGTGTCTGTGCTCCGACCACTGTAACACACCAGAAACAGCGCAACAAACAATAACAGAAACAAAATCAAAGCCAACTCACCATTTTCAGATCAGTATTTGAAACACAAGTTTCTCGAAACTTCTGGGTATTTGGAAATGTCGAGGAGCAAGGTGAAGGCCAATGAGGTAGTGTTGAGTGATGTGTGCATATGGAGAATAATGCAGGGGAATGGCTGTGCAAACAAGAGAGAAAGAGCAGAGGGCTCAGGGCAGAGACTTTGGAAACACCAACATCTCAGAGACAGGAGAAGAAAAATAAAGAATTGAGGCATTTCGACAGGTAGAGGAAATGGAAAGTACTGGAGAAGCCAAGGATTCTCTAGGTTCATCAGGAGGGCGTTTGGCAGCATTGGAAACTGGAGAATCACAGAGAATGGGGTCTGAAAGCATGTTGCTGGGTGTGGTCATTGGGGGTTATTAGAGCAACAGTCACGGAGATCAGTAAGCGTGAAGGATGTCAGGGGTGAGGTAAGTGGAAGGCGAGGCAGAGGGTACCTAAGAAGACATTGATGATGGAGGAGAGATAGACAGAAAGAGAGAGAGTGAAAGAGACAGAATACCTCTCATTTTGAATCTTGTAATCACGTTTTCCCTATAAGCTTTGGGAAGGCCGATATTTAGTGAGACAAAAAAAAAAAAGGTGTAGAGGATAGGAACAAATTACTGATATCCGAGAACCTTGAGGCCAGCATGGGCTGGCAAGCATGGAGGAGAAAGTCTCAAAGGCAGCACATTCAAACGTGTGTTCTGCAAAACACTTGTCTGCAGGATGTTAACACATGTTTGGTGAGCAGAGAACTGAGTCTGTCCTTTCTTACAAAATGGTTTGAGTCCTCTCTGTCCCACAGGAGAGGAATTCTCTGAGTCCATTGCCTGCATCCTGAACAGGGGACCAGCAGGTCTGTCCTTTGTATTTCCACTTCATTTCTGGTTTACTGAGGGTTTTGTGTGTGTATGTGTGTGTGTGTGTGTGTGTACGCGCTGGGCTATGCCTTTGTTATTTTCTTATATTTTGTCTGTCATTGCTGTGTATGAATGTGGTGCAGAGGGACATGTTCAAGATTGACCCAACTGTGCCTTTTGGGCCACAAGTTCTTGGCAGAATTCTTTCCTTTAGGACATTTTGCAGTTTTATGCTCTGTGACTGTCCAAGACGGGAACAACCCATGCTCTATTTCCCAAATTCATGTGACCATGGGAGTCCTCCTTCACCGGGCTCCTTCTGTTGCCTGTTCTGTGAATCACACTTTGGGAAGGTTATAAATGAGATGAAAATGACAGGAAGTTTCTTTAGAAAATGTATAAAATGTATTTGAATGAAGAGCGGGAGGAGGAACGGCTGCTCTGGGAGCCTCTTGTGGCTGAGTGTGCCAGGAACGGTAGGTACCTCTGAAAACAGGGAGAAAGTTTCAGCCCAGTGGTGCAGGGAGGCTGCCCGGGGGGATGTCAGCAATCTCATCCAGGAATAGAAGTGGAAGGAACTTTATTTTCTGTAAGGCCTTGGAACTGAGATTGCTCAGGGAAGGACATAGCCTAAGGAGGCCCTGTGGGTGAGGCTGGAAGAAGTCAACTCTAATAATGCTAAGTGGTTGCCGTCTGCCCTTTTACCAGGGAGACCCTGGGTTCTGCTTGTTGTAGTGGAGGCGCCCATGCACCCCTACACATTTGCCATGTTCCCAAGCTACTTTCAGAGAGGAGGGTGCCCAGGTGACAGTAGTGTATGCTCCTCATTCAGGGCCATGGTCTAGGGAAGAGAATTCTGCTTCTTCCTTGGATGGTGATAAAAACGGAGATGTTAGTGTGGATATTCATCAACTGACTCATGGAACAAATATTTACTGGGTTTTTACTGTGTGTTTGAGCACCCAGTAACCAGGAACGAGATGAAATTGACAGAAAGTGAACAAAAAAGCAGTCCTAGATCTTATAAACTTGGATTCTAGCAGAGGAGACAAATAACCCTACAGCTGAAATGAGTGGAATGAGATCCCTGGCACAGGAAGTTCAGGGAGATATGAGATGCCTAGGAAAGGCACCATCTCAGAGGGTAATTTAGGGTGGATGTGCTGGGGGGCAGGAGACTGCTGTCCAGGCTGAGGGCTGAAAGATGGATTAGACAGGTAAGGTGGAGGATGTATAAATTCCAGGCCCAGAAAAGAATATTTTCGAAGATCCAGAGGTGAGAGAAATGATACTCTGTTGAAGGAACTGAAAGACATTCAACATGGGTAAACATAGAGTCCTGGGTGAGAAGTCAGGGTGGGGATGGGAGAGTGAGAGAGACAAGGCCTAGGCAGGCACAGCCCAGATCACAGGCCAGAGATCTCAGCCCGCACAGCGAAACTACCAAGCTGGGCCTTGCTCTCGGAGGCTCTGATACTTTCTGCTTTCTTCCTACACTGATTTTGCCTGCTTTGTTCTCCTCTTCAGCTCCCTTTCACTTTCCCCACCCTTAAATCTGCCCTGCAGAGAGCTTGACTCATCCTGTAGGGACAGAGGGTTTGGGGGGTCACCCTGGGAGTGACCTTCCCACTGTGGTGGGAGGACAGCAGCCAGGTAGGTGGACCCTGTGCTGGGAAGTGATGGTCCTGGTTTGTAGGAGTCACCTGAGGCAGATGGCCTATCAGGAAGGTTTCACAAGGGTGGGGATCGTCCAGAGGACAGGTGAAACGTGGCAACAGGGAAACTAAGTGCAGACAACAGGAGGAAACAGACAGGTAGTCTGCTGGCTGTGGCAGGAGGGCTGGCCATTGGGACCATGGTACAGTGGGTCCTTCTTACTGGATCTGGGATCATAGGAATGAGAATCTCATAGAGGGAAAAGGGACACCAGCGAGTGTGACCTGAGGCTGAGTCATTTGAACTTGGGAACCCAGGGTGCTCCAAGCTTCTGGTTAAGGACAACCAGAGATTCTAACCCGGCCAAGCCTGGCAGTGGAGGTCAGGGGCCTCGCTCTGAAGAGAGAAGGAATCTAGGCCAGGGAGCCATGGAGGGCATTCATTTTTCTGCTTCCAACTCTCACCTCTTTATTGGATGCTGTCAGCCTTGACCTCTCCCCTGTTAGGCTTCTCTGCCTAGTGAACTCTCTCTCTTCCTTCTGCTCTCAGCCTGAATGTCTCCTCATTGAAGCCATTCCCAGTCCCCTAGCGAGGCCAGGGACCCCTTGCTGTGGGTTCCCATGCCTCTGGGGTTTCCCTCAGCACTGTCTGTAGAGTTATCAGAGCAGTTACTTCAGTCTGTCCTCACTAGGCAGGGAGCCCAATGAGGGGAGGGTCTGTCTATTCTGCTAATCATTATATTTCCACTGTCAGCACCCAACAGGAGCATGACAATATCTGCTGAAAGAATGAATAAATGAATATTTCCAAATGCCTGCAGGACTTCCGTGAGATGACTCTTACTGCCATTTCCACAGGCTCAAAAACAACTGTCCTTCTTTTTCATTCTGTGTGTGCATTTTATATCTAGGCTGTTGATTGGAATAGAAATAAAAAGGGCTGCGGATATGAAGACTGTATGTGAATACTTCAAAAACAGACCCGCGTTCCCCATGGCCCTCGGGTCGGGCTATGCTGCAAACATTAAATGTGCTTTGAAAACGGTCAGCTGCGCGAGTGAGGCAGAAAGGGGGCCTCGGCGCAGCTTTGTGGAAAGCTGCCTTTTGGTGCACACACACTGCCTACTGCCTGGGATTCTGACAGTCACGTAGTGCTCAGGTGGAGGTGACGCTAATGATCCAGGTGCCCTGTGCCATCACATTTGAGAAAAGTGATCTCCTTAATAAGGCAGTAAAGCGCCTCAGGATGAATGCCGCATTCAGGCCAGGGTGGGGAGCAGTTGACGGTGCTGGGAGAGCTCTTTGTTTCTCCCTGGCATGTGGCTGCACAGCCTTTGATGTTAGAATTTTGGCTCATTAATAACTAATTTACATTTCTCAGACAGCAAATTGTGATCTGACACAAATTTATAAAAGAACTCCAAATGGTGAAACTCTCTTATACAATGAGTCCTTTGTGGGCTTTTTAATTTTTTTCCCCCTAACTTAAGGAGTTTGTGATTAAAATTTTAATGCCATCATTGAAATCTCTTGGGCTACTTAAAAATAAAACACCATCTTATTTCCTTCCTCTCAGAGATCATGACAACTGGCTGTTCCTATGTGGATGCTGTAAGTGCTACAATTGCGTTTTCATCTGCTCTGAGCCTCAGATAAAATAGGATGTCCTTAGAGGGCCAGAGGAAAGCCCTGGCAAAGGAACTGGCAGTGATGGCAGGAAGGCGGAGGTGCTGGGCTCCTCAGCTTCTGCTTCTTCTTCTTCTTTTAAAAGAAACAGGTTCTCATTCTGTTGCCTAGGCTGGAGTGCAGAGGTGTGATTGTAGCTCACTGCAGCCTCAAACTCTTGGGCTCAAGCGGTCCTCCCGCTTCAACCTCCCAAGGAGCTGAGATTATAGGCACACACCACCATACCTAGATAATTTTTAAATTTTTTGTAGACAGAGGGTCTCACTACGTTGCCCAGGCTGGTCTCGAGCTCCTGGCCTCAAGAGATCCTTCTGCGTTGGCCACTGAAAGTGTTGGGATTACAGGTGTGAGCCACCAAGCCCCGCCTGTTCAGCTTCTTCATGCTTCTTTGCAGGTTACTGAGGTGGCAGATTTTGCATGAGCTCATCTCTTTGGTCTTTAGGAGTTCCAGGGGTGACTCTCACTTCTCCAGATGCCTAAAAGCCTGAATAGGTTATTTTGGCAACACAAGTGGGTGAATCAGAGCTACCAAGATAAGGGTTTTATAGATTTATATACATATATAATCTTTCTTCTTAGCTACATCTTGGAAGGCTGAATGCCTCAGGAAAAACATGATGCTTTTTCTGTGTTTTACCTCATGTTTCTTTGGGAGAATATAGAGGTCAAAGGAAGTTGCAAACTAGCTCTTAGAAGGCAAATCTAGGTACATCTTGATCTTCCACCTCCATCATTTATCTTTGCAAAAGACTCTGTCATCTTGTGTGTTGATGACTCACAGCTCGGTGGGGGAGGCAGGGCAGAGCTTCTCTCCCTGTGTGAGAAGGAGAAAATGCCATGTCTACCCAGCCACCTGAAAACACCTTCCCTGACAATAAAGGGAGGACTGTGCTCTAGGGAAAGACAGGACAGACCAGAAAAGTGGACCTGTTGGAAGCAGACAGCTGGCCGTGGGGAGAAAAGTGGGGTGGAGCCAGGGACACAAGACATTGGGTGGCTTGGCTGATTGCATCACGTCTGGCAAGAAGCTTGGTTCTACTGAGTTACTCTTTGCTTGGAGAAAATAGTTTAGGGAATAGCCATGGGCTTGTTGTGTGGAATGGAAACATACCCAGAATGAAAAGATTTTTAAATTGGCACCACTTGAGGTCAGATTTTAAATGGTCACACAGCATGAGCCAAATTGACTACATGCAGAGAAGCAACAAGCCACCCCGGTTGCTTATATTATTTTAATAACAGAAAGAATGCATTAGGAATTCCAGGCAAGACTTCCACCTGGACACAGTCCCAGATTCTAACTCATCTGTGCATGCCTTTTCAAATCAGCCTTTCACAAAGAGGCTGTTTTTCTCTGCAATCTCTTTCCTACCCATAAAGGAATCTGAGGTTCCTCCTTCCAGCTTCGGTTGTAGGAAGCAAGAACCCTGAGAGTGCTGCCTTGAGACAGGTGGCTCTGTGGAAGGCCACTAAGAAAACTGCCATGCAGTTCGGGGTGGCCTTAAATTCAAATAACAAAGCCTATCTCGGGAGGTGGCGTGAGGCATGCCTGGCCCCTTTCTCTGGCTTGGACTGGCTTGGACATGGTGGCTCCTGGAACCGAGAGAGGACTGAGTGTGGTAGTTGCTCCTGTCAGTCTCTGGGGTGGGGCCTGGGTGTCTCTGAGTGACGTTTGGCCTCCGCTAGCTCCACTCATGTGGCAGGAAGATGCCTGTAGCTCTTGCCGACCACTCTGAGCCACAAGGCAGGAAGGAAAACCGTGTGTGTGGCCTGATAATAATTAGGGTCCTTCCTTACACCTGGAACATTGCTGACACTGAAAAATGAATGCTGCTGTCATGCTTGTTAATTTTACCCTCTTGGGTCCTGAATGGCTCACTTAGCACTTGACTATTTTTCCAAGTCACAGAGACCAGACTAGATTTTTCTGGAAGGGAGTCAATTCTGTTCTCAGCCACAGATGGATCAAAAAGGAAAAATCTCATTGCTGTAAACATGTTGGAGCCTCCTGGCTGTGTTGTATTCACCTTCTTCAATCTGGGGGGAGTCTCTGGAGTCAGGTTAGGTTAGAGTCTTGACTCTACTAGCACTTGCCTCTAGTGAGCTTGGATTTGTTACTTAATATTCCTGAGCCATTTTTCCCTCATTTGTTGAAAAAAAATATAACAGTTGTTAAGAGGATTAATTGCAAAGTTCTTAGCACATGGCCTGGCACATAGGAGGTGCTCAAAGGGAGTATTGATGTAATTAAGAGACTTACCATGGAGTCAGGTTTAAGAAATCTCTGGAAGTGGAATCCTGGGAAGTGATGAAATGGGAATACCCTAAGTTGCTCCCCTGTGCCCACTTCTGGGGAGATGTCACCATTGTTATGGCACCCAAATTTCTGGGCAATTAGGGATCTGTGTTAGACCCAGATACCAACAGGAAGTGGCTCTTTCTGCTGATGGTGTTTATAACAAACCCCATGGACCAGCTCTCAAAAAGAGAACCCAGCCTCCTTAGCAAACTCAGCTGTGGAGTATAAGCTCCTCTAAGGGAAAAACCTCATTTGCTTTTGTGCACTACTTTGTCCTATGCAGAGTATGGCATATCATGGGGACTCATTTTGAGGTGAAGAAAGTGATGATGGAGGAGCACAGAGCTGAGGGCCCCATGTCGATTCCTGCGTCAAGCTGCAACTCATGTTGTGCCGAGCACAGTCAAGGGAAATGGAGCTTGCTATCACAGGATATTAATTTGGTTCTTGGGGACTTGCTTTGGGCAATTGCAGAGACACAAACTAAGATGGCTTTATTAATAGAAGAAAATGTCCTGGCACATAGACTGCTCAGGATGTAAAGAAATAAGAAACTGATCCAAGAAACAGCTGTATCTTAGCTACACTGGTTGAAGGTTATCACTAGTTTCTTAGGGGGAGAAAATTTAGGACCAGGTTCAATTGTCTAGAATATCTAGTGAAATAATAGACAATTCTCATTACAGAATACCAGTCCAGTCTTCTCAAAAAGTCTTATTGTCAATTTCATATGGGGTTCAGTTAAAGACTTCCTCCAGATACTACTGACTGTTAGAATCAAGGTTCTAGCCTGGTGTGGTGCCTCGTGCCTGTAGTTCCAGCTACTCTAGAGGCTAAGGTAGGAGGGTCACTTGAGCCCAGGAAGTTGAGACTGCAGTGAGCTATGAGTGAGTTACTGCACTCCAGCCTGGGTGACAGAGAAAGACCCCATCTCTAAAAAAAATAAATAAATAAGAACCAAGGATCTGATATTTGAGTGGGAAAAACTGAGTGTTAAAAACATTAATCCTGCTTAGGTGGGATACATGGTGCAGAGGACGTGATCTGCTCTTGGTAATAATACTGTATATTATATTTTTGGCTTTGTTAAACCATAGTCGCTTTGTTAAACCATAGTCACATCTCTACTTTCATTTTATCCTCACATTATGCATGAGAGGTTAGCAGGACAGAGAGAGTGACTAGTATTGTCCTAATTTTGTAGTTGAGAAATTCAGGTTACAGTTTACTTTACTAGGAAAGGGCAGATTCTGGGTTTAGTTGGAGCAAGAAACTTGAGTCCCCAGCTGCAGGGTTCTTTGTCTACATCCTGTTAAATCATGGTTTAAACTGCCCAGACTGAAGACCCTGCACCTTCAGTCATGTCATGGGTCATGCTTCTATCTTCCAGCCCAGGAGGGTGGCCTGGTGGGATAGATAATGACTGCTATAAGGAAGGGTCTGGGAGGGGCAATGACGTGGCAATGATGGGTGTACATGAAGATGAGGGGAGGGAAGAATTTTCAAACCATCCGTGCACAGCTGACTTTTGCTTAACCAGAAATCTCATCTTCCAGAAGAATTTGGATCATGGGAGCAGGTTTTGAAAGGGGATCACTCAGTTTAAGTGGTGTCTGTGAATAGCAAAAGCAGCAGCCGAGCCTTGTCCAGTCTGTTTGCCCAGCCAAATCCAAAGAATCTGGGAATGCGATGATGACAGAAGCCTTGGGTAATGACTGCAGCCATCACATATTTTGACTTTCATCAAATGACTAGTATGTCCAGACAGAGAGACCTTGCTGTCTGAACCATCTGGTCAGTCCTGGAAGGACTGGCCATCTGGGAGTCAGCACAGAGCTCTCAGTGAGGGCTTCTCCCTGCAGCTCTGGCCAGTGTCATGAGTCTGCTGAGGGTCAAGGGTGTGTTTCAAGTCTTGAGGCTTCCAGGAAGCTTATGGATGGTTTAAGCCTGGAATGAGTGGAGCCAGGTGGGGAATTTTTGCATGAGCTCTTTAAGAACATAGGGCATGAGTGGGCTGGGGTATGATGGGGGCAGAGTATGCTGAGGCTTTAGGTCACAGTTCATATTGCTGTCTTGTGGTAATGTGAAAGTGTTTTTAATCACATGTAAACTCCTTCACTTTGGCACGTGATAGATATTTGGACCTTGTGTTGCCATCAGTCTTGAACCTCCTTGGTGTTAGGGCTGCAGAAAGAGTCAGCACCTGGCCGGGGAGAGCCGTGTGCAGACACAGGAGGGCAGGGGCCTGCTGGCTGCTTATTTCTTTGTTCTCATTAAGCCCATCTGTGACTTTCAAGTAAGTCCTCTGTACAGTTATCCACCTACCCACCCCCCCTTCTTTCCCTGATGTGAAATTCAGGAGATGAACAGTAATGCCACTCTTTGATTTAGTGTCTTTGAAGCAAATCTAATAAGATATCAAATAAATGCAGCAGTTTATTATCTGAAGTGGATTTTACCCATTAGCTGAGGGTGGTGGTTGTTCTTTGTGTAAAACAACGAGGGCATTTTCCTGGATGCTGGGGTCCTTAAGGAGAGCTGGGGGACCCTCCTTTGCCCACTTTTTGTCTAGAGCTGTAACTTAGTAATGTGAACTCCAAGAATGCAGTAACAGAGGCTTCCCATTGTCTTGCTATCACATATATCAAGGTACTGCTCTGTTTCTGACAATCAGGTATTCCCAGATTTCTTGGGAAACCTGGAAGTCATTTATAGTGATTTCTGGAAAGATGTATTTCTCCATGCAACCATTATGGAGAACAGGTTGCGATAATGGAAGATGCTTCACTGCAAATCATAAAACTCCTGATGTGGAGGGCCCATGGGGTCAGTGTAGGCTTTGGACTCAGACAGACCAAGGAGAAAATCCTAGCTCTCCAACACTGTGACTGGGCAAGCTTTGGCTTTCTTGTCTATCAAATAAGGCTATAACAACTGCTTCATAAGGCAGTTGTGGGGATTAAATGAGGGACGGTCTATGCTGATACTTCTTAGATAAGCATCCCTAATCCCTCTAGTCCAGAAATGCCTCCTGAGTTCAGATCTGTGTCTCCACCGGGATGCCCATCCATGCATGTACCCAGCATATCCCAGTCCACACTCACTCTTTCTCTCCCTCACCCTCCAAACTACCCACTTCCTCCTCCATGTTCACGGTAGTGAAGGGTTTTATTATTCACATTGTCCAAGCCAGTAGCAAGTCACTCTCAAGTCTCCCCTCTCCCTCAACCTGGAAAATTCCATCAGTCACCAAATTCTGTGAATTCTGCTTCCCCTATATCATTGCTGTCTATTTCATCCTCCCCACCCAAGGCCACTCCCTTAATCCAGTTCACTTCTTGTCTGGGTTATTGCAAAATGTTCCATTTAAAAATTTATACTGCCACCAGAGTGAATTACCTGGTGTCACACATCTATTAAAAATCCTCACCATTTCCTTTGTGAACTTCAAGGGAACATTTAATTTCTTTGACCAGGGAGAACAGGCTCTCCATGAGCTGTGTGCTTCCCTTCTGTCCAGCTCCATTTGCCACCACTTCTGTGTTCTTACCCTCAGCTGACACCAACTGAAGTACTTCGTGTTCTGTAGGAGTGCCATGGTCTCCTGGACTTTCCTCCAAGATTATCTGTTCTCTCGGCTTGAAATATTTTCTACTCCCTGTTCACCTCATTTATTCCTACCTGCCATTGAAGCTTGAGTGTCAGTTCCTCTTGGAAGAGGATCTTGAACCCTACAGGCTTAGTTGGATTCCTCCTCTCTGTAACACCACCACTTCATGTACTTATGCATTTATGAGAGTTGATTTTTTTCTGGTCTGCCTTCACTTGAGGGCAAGAACTGTGCAGCTCGGCAAGATCAGGCCCTAGCACAAGCCAGGCGCTGGTGAACATGCAGTACATGTTTACAGAATGAGTGACGAGTATTGAAGGTGTCTCCTAAAGAGCCCGGCTCATGGGACGAGCTCAGTAAAACAATCTTCTCTCTGATTTTTCCACTAAATAGCTAGCTAACTTGGGTAAGACCTATCACCTCTCCAGGCCTCAAGTTTTTCATGTGAAATGAAATTCATAACTAATTTAACAAACATAAAATTTCAAAATCAATATAATATAAATCTGTAAATCAGTAAGAAATAAATGGAAAGTAATTTATAATAAAATTGCCTGTATTCCATAGGTAAAGGCGTGCCTATACAAAGGTACTGTGTTTTCTCAAATGTTACTTGTGTTTTTTATGTCAATTTTAAATATTTTTACCTATTATTCATTCTGACCCTAGTAATATTCTCCTTGCTTAGGAGATCTCTTGTTTCCGTACTTTCAATATTGAGAAATTGGTAAAGATTGTTTTACTGAGCTCCTTCTATGAGCCGGGCTCTTTAAGAGTCACCTTCAATACTCGTCACTCATTCCGTAAACAATGAGGCACAGGAGGTTAAATAATTGATCCATGGTCACAGATAGGACATGGGGGATCCTGGATTGGTTGGTCTTTTTTTTCTTTTTGAGACAGGATCTTGCTCTGTCACCCAGGCTGGAGTGCTGTGGCGTGATCTCAGCTCACTGTTACCTCCACTTCTCATAATAAAGTGGTCAGATACTTGCACATGCTTATAATGAATAACTTTGGTTTTCAGAGCAGTAAGACTAAGCTATGTTTATACTTTTTCTTTAAATTTGTCATTTGGAATAAGGGTGACATAAAAATATTTGTAAATTAAAATGGAATAACTTGGAACAAACAGCTGAAAGTGCAGACTGTTAAAGACGTTTTCGTATTGGTTATTCTCATATACCACGAGAGGCAATGCTGCTGGTAACGCAGTTTTCTAAATGAATGTCCAAAATGGTAGACAACTATTGGTAAAGTTTCAAGCAAGACATCACAATTGTCTTTGGATTTTCAGTGTACTTGCATTCCTAGAAAATTCAGTATTTACTAAAATAGTGCAAAAAAGTGCATTTATATATAGAATGAAGTTAGGCTGTAGGCTAAGTTAATCACAAAGAGGTTTTTCACCTACACGAATGTGTAGCATGTTAGAAAGTCATGCTGGAGGTAGCACAATTCTCTGTGGTGTGGGGCTACCCTGCACATTGCAGGATGGCTAGCATTTCCGGCCCTCCCACATTAAAGGGTAGTAGAGCCCCTTGCATCAATGAAACATAGAAAAATACCTACACAAACAAATTTCCAAAACACCTTCTACATGCTTTCTAGGGAACTAGATGAGCTGTAACGGGTTGTACGGTGATGAAATGCTGTCTAAATATCCCTATTCTATGGAAAAAAGTGTACTTCACCCAAATTGTCTAAAGCTAATTATTCTAAAGTGAATTTGCTCCCTGTAATTAACAATTTGTAGCATTAGGAGGAAAGTCACTAACTTTAAATTGGGAAAGAATTAAATGTTAAATGAATATACAAAGGTAAACAATTTTATGATCTTTGAGATATGGGTTGCGTTTTCTCAAATGTTACTTGTCTTTTTTATGTCAGTTTTAAATATTTTTACCTATTATTCATTCTGACCCTAGTAATATTCTCCTTGCTTAGGAGATCTCTTGTTTCCATACTTCCAATATTAAGAAATTTACTCTCTTCTCCTGCATTCTTACCATTTATAATTACAACATCATCTGACACCAGTTAAGTTAGGATTGTTTGATGATCATTGGTTGTTTGACCACTGTGCCTTGAACCCATTTCTGATTTAGTCTTTATACCACCTAGCTGGGATTATTTTTTTCAATTCTGTCTCCACTACTAGTGGGAACTTCTTTACCAAATTTATTATTGTCTGCCTTAAAAGCAGGAGTCATATGCTATTCATCTTATTATCTCCAGAGCATACCCCAATTATCATCTACTAGCAGGTACTCAATTAACATTTGTTGAATGAATGAATGAATGTAGCATGTGATGTGCTTCAGCCTGCAAATCTCATAAATATAAGATTCGAGGTCCAAACTCATCATTTCTGATTACTTGAAATTCTGCAATATTGAGTCTATTTAAAAGGAGCATAAATGCTGAGGTGAGGGAGAAAGGGAGGGTTGTTGTTAATAGAGTTTCAGATTTGCAAGATGAAAAAGTTCTGGGGATCAGTTTCACAACAATGTGAATATACTTAACGCTACTGAACTGCACACTTAAAAATGGCTAAGATGGTAAAGTTTATGTTATATATCTTGTACCACAATAAAAAGGAGGGGCCAAAAAGGGGAGTATAGATATTTTCTTCTTAATTGGCTCCCCTTTCTGTTGATGGTACCACCATGCTACCAGGCTTCCCATCAGGAAATTCTGGAATCATCCTTGAGACTCTTTCCAGTCCATTACATGTCATATAGACCAGTCACCAAGTTTTGGCTTACTAAGTCTCTCAGATCTGTCTCTTTCCCCTACTTCTACTCAAATAATCATGTCATCATATTACACTTGAATTAATGCAAAAAACTCTGATTGGGGTTCTTATCTCTAATCTCTTTTCTTCCCAAATGACTTTAATCACACTGTGGATGTACTGCACAGGGAGCGATCATGGCTCTCTCCTGCCTAGAGTCAAGTCCAATCTCTCTAGACCCAGATCTTTCCAGTTTCCCCCAGTCAGATTGTACACCCTCATTTTTCCCACTCTCCTCCCCCTGCCTGTACAGCCTCTCCTGACGTCCTGTATTAGGGCTCATTTATTTGCTGGTAATCATACTTTTTCTTGCTTTTGTGGCTTTCCTCTGCCTCCTCTCTTGCCTGGAAACCTTTGCTTCCTTTCCATATATGTTGCATGTATCCTCCTGAAAAGTTTGCTTCCTCTCCCAGTTCTTCTGGAAAGGATTCTCTTGAGACTCCAGCATATCTTGAATTCTCCCATCCTGGGATTCTTGTATCATTTGTAGCCTCCATTATATAATTGGGTACTTTATAATTTAATACAAGTCCTTGCTTGCTTTCATGTCCTCAAGTCTTCTTATAAGACCATGAACCTCTTGTCAGGGGCTGCTGTCCATTTTATTTGTAAACAACACCAAGCTTACTATAATGATAGGCTGTAAAATGTGACCCACTGATGAACTGAATCTATGAATATAGTTGTAGTTTGGGTTCTTAGAGAGAAGCTCAGCAAACTTTTTCTGCAAAGAGACAGATAGTAAGTATTTTAGGCTTGTGGGCCATATGGTCTCTGCCACAACTAGTCAAATCTGCTGTTGTAGTGTGAAAGAAGCCATAGACACTATGTAAATGAATCAATGTGACTGTGTTCCAATAAAACTTTATTTACAAAAATAATTTTGGCTAGAGGGCTGTTTTCTGACCCCTGGCTTATAGTATGGTGTTAACGAGACCCATATCTGACTCCCTTTGTGTCCCTATTCATTAGCTTAGTTGCAATACTAGCATTTCTAACCCTGGCCAATAGTCTGAAAAAAGAGTGCATTGCCTCTGTTGAAGAACTGATTAAAGCAGAGGGCTACCGCTTAAGGACATGCAGATAATGCATTGCACAACTCCAGAATTGCCACAAACAGCCCTCTTGATAAACCAGATCTTTCTAGGGCAGATGAGTCCTGTTGTCCATCATGGGCAGGAAACACAGCTGTCATTGATTTGAGTACCTTCTGTGTGCCAGGTATCCTATACATTGTATGTCACTTCATTAAATACAATTATCCTTTGTGGTATGATGTTACCATTTCCATTTTTCAAATGAGGATACTGAGGCACAGGAGGTTAAATAATTGATCCATGGTCACAGATAGGACATGAGGGATCCTGGATTGGTTAGTCTTTTTTTTTTTTTTTTGAGACAGGGTCTTTCTCTGTCAACCAGGCTGGAGTGCAGTGGCACGATCTCAGCTCACTGCAACCTCTGCTTCTCAAGTTCAAGAGATTCTCCTGCCTCAGCATCCCCAGTAGCTAGCATTACAGATGTGTGATACCACACCTGGCTAATTTTTGTATTTTTAGTAGAGATGGGGTTTTGCCATGTTGGCCAGGCTGGTCTTGAGCTCCTGGTCTCAAGTGTTAAGATCCGCCCGCCTCGGCCCAAAGTGTTGGGGTTACAGGAGTGAGCCACTGCGCCCAGCCCCCGTTGGTCTTTCTGACACTGAGTTTGTGTTCTTTCCACTCCACCATCATACAGTTATTAACATAACAACTCTGGTGCATGAAAAACTAAACAGAATGTAATGCTCCTGACAAGAAAGACTGATGGTAGCAAGTTCGTATTTCTGGTCTTATGATCTTAGCTGAAATTCTGCAGTTAAGTTTATTAATTATCACATTTCTTCTTTTCTTATACTCATTAGAACAATCGGTGAATAATGCACTTGCAATGTCATGTATAACTAAATATCAGAGATCTTACTTTAGAAATAACCACTCACCTGGATGTACCAATATTTTCATTCAGTAGTAATTTTAATACAAATTGTAGTCTCAATGTAAGCTAAAAGGAAATTTGAATGGGAGTTAAAATAATAATTTTTCTTGTTGTAGTGTTTGTCTTTGTTGTGGTAAGTCAATATGAACCACACTGAGTTTTAAAAAAATGGTCACCTCTTTTCTGCACTTACAGCCATCCTCAGGGTAGTCAGATTGTTAAGGGAAGATGTTAAAGAAGACTATCTCAGTAATTCACAATCCCCTTGTGTCCAGGTTGTATTACTCAGGCCAGAAGGGAATGGAAATAGGGGAACAAATCATATTCGTTTTCGGATTTTTAAGGTTGAGTTTTCTAAGACCAAATAACTGCATTTGCTATTTGTTTCTATCTTCTTTTCAAAACAAAGTACAAGTTCAGATTCTTTTTTGCCTTACTTTCTTGCTGTTTTGTTTATTTCTTCTATTTTCCCCTTTTCTCCTTTTTCTCTTGCTCCCTCTCTCCTTCCTTCCCTCCCTCCCTCTTCCCTTCCCTTCCCTTCTCCTTCCTTCCTTCCTTCATCTATCTATCTATCTATCTATCTATCTATCTATCTATCTATCTATCTATCTACCTATCTATCTATCAAAATTCCAGGTTTTAATACTATTCAATGGACTGTGTTCTCCTACTGTCATTGTGTCTGTTGCGCCACTGAGTCTGTCTTGTCTGCGTTATGTTTTTCTCAGTAGTCTTTAACATATACCTGCATCCCCAAATAATTGTGGTTATCATTCTTGATTTAAAAAAAAACCAAGGTATACAGACAACTTATCTTTTACAGTTATACTCATTGTTGTCTTATCCCAGCATTCCTGTTTTATTGTTAGAGTGAAGATCCCAGGAAATGCAGAACAGTGGGAAAAGAATCTCATTGCACTTGGTGCCCTTTTTAGTGGTTTCCCAAAATACTGGATTAAACAATGACAATGACAACATGAAAAACACACTACAACTACCAGCCACAGAAGTTTGCAAACCCAAAAGATCACTGTCCTCCCAGTGCCGAATACATGCTAATGTGTTGTACTTTTGAGCACATGAAAATCAGGGACTTGCTGGGAGATGCTTCAGTTTTGGACCAAAAGGCTTCAAAGGCTTACCGCCCAATAAATGAGGCTTTGAAGTGAGATGGGTGGTGTGATGATGAGAGGAAGCTCACCCCTCGGTGCAGCTACTCTATTATTCCAAGCTTTTGATTTCCAGCTGCAAAGCAAACAAGGCCCCCTGGTGCTCTGACTTACCCCAGGTTATCTTTTACAGGCAGAAAGGGCTAAATTTCCAATGAAGCTAGAGATGCTAACCAGTCCAGTTCGTTATATATTCAGGCATCTGTGCACTTCTCCTTATTTTGATTTAGTTATAATCACGTGCCTTTTGACACTGCTTTTTGGTGTGAAAATTGGAGCTTAAGGAAGTGTAATGGTTTGATTATATACTGTGGTGGCAACCACTAAGTGGCTAACTTCACAGCCATTCTCAACCTTCTTTCTCCAGCAATGGCAAATGAGCCAGTTATTCACTTTCCCAGCTGCCTTCACAGCTAGGGTGGCCACGTAGCCCATTTCTAGCCAATGTTGATCGTAGTCCTGCTGGCTTTTGGGAAACCTTTTGCTTTCCTTGATAAAGGGGACAGTTGAGATGGTGCCAGCTTTTCCTTCTTTTTCCTGTCTTATATGTAGATAAGATGACTGGATCCTCTACAGCCATTTTGTGATGAATCAGTGACAATTACAAAGACATGCTAAGGATATTAGAGATGGTGGAAGGAAAAGATAGGAAGAGCCTAGGTCCTTGATGGTTTTATTGAACAGGTATACCAACATTATTTGCAACTAGTCTTTGGACTGCTTTGATACATGAGAAAAATAAATCTCTACTTGTTTCAGCTCCTATTAGTTGGGTTTTCTGTTACTTGCAGCTGAATGCATTCTTAACTCATGTAAATAAAATAGCAAATCAATGGTAAGAGCAGGAGGGTTTTTGACTTCTACTTTAAATTTGTGTGACCCTGGCAAGGCACTAGTTTTTTATTTATTTAATCAATGAGCATATAAATAAAATTGTAAATCAACCTTTAGAGTTTGTAAGCTCTGACCTCTGTGATCCTTGTGGAGTACTTAATACATTATTCAGTAATTAATGATGACACCAAGATACACACAAATGTAGCACTTTAATTGAATACTTTCTTGTGAACTTCCTCAGCACAGCTTGTTTAGTAAAGCATAATCTTCTCTCTCAGGGTCCCCAAGAGTACCTTTATCATAGGAGAAGCACCTTTTCTCCTAAGTTATAGGAAGTTTTAATGAAAAATACCTTATACTACACATATTAATCATCGAGTGTTAGTTGTACACACAAACAACAAGAAATTCTGGGCCATTAAGGTTCACAAACCTGCATATTTTACCCACAATCAACAATATGTTATTTCTTTTCTGAATCAGGCATGTGAGTTCTGAGATACAGTTCTTTTTGTGTTCAGCCTTCATGGTTTCTGAAGAATCTAGAGGAAACGCCAAGTCTCAGAGGAAGCCAGGAATCTCTCTCAGTCTTGCTCCAGTAGGACTATCTCTTCTTTTCCCCTCCCTACTTTCTTAGGCTTGGCAATAGTCATTGCTTATCTCTCTCCCTCCAAAGAAAACAAGTCACCAAATCCATTTTTTATTTCACCAGTGGGAGGAGAACTCTGTTACTTTTCTTTAGTATACACAGGATAGTCATTAAATGTGATCAACAGGACAAACTTAGGAATTAACAAAGACAGATTCCCAGTCTCTAACACTATCTTCTTTTTCTATGTACCTATATTCCGAAAAACCACTGACCTAGTTTAGAGATAAAATAATTCCTTGTAGTAAGAGTGAAATACAAGTCTGGAGAACCATACACTGCATAGACATCTTCCTGAAATGAGAATTTCTGAGCAGTTTGACTCCAACAAGTGTTTGCTTGGTATCATCATCTAGTTTCCAGAATGTGCCTCCCTTCCTATGAAAACCTCAGTACTAGAACTTTTAATTGTACCAGATATGTTTGCATGTATGTACCTGCCTTCCTTCTAGATTGTAAATTCCTAGAGGGGATCAGTAGGCTTTGATCTGTCTCTGTATTCCCTTACGTTGCCTAGTGTAAGATTTTATACTCATGTGATAACTGATAAGTGTTTGTTAAATGGAATTCTATCCATGCATTTGTAGCTTTGGAATATCTTGATCTTTGAGGTGAGTGACCTCTGAGTCACATACTCAGATGATTCTTAGCTAGGCTTCTGGGATTGTACTGAAGATCAATTTGTTAGTGTCACCAAGCTCTGATTAGTTGATGTTATATGATTATGCTGCAATTAAACTAAAAATAAGCAGCATTTTTAAATAACTCTAGCAGAATTAAGGTGACTGGGTGATTCACACAAACGTCCCTGCTCCTCTTTTCTTGGGGATAAAATTAAGTGTATCATTAGGAAAGGCTGAATCTTTCCAATATTCACTGGCCTCAGAGGCAAGTACACTTACTGGCAATTTGGATTGATATGGAAAATAAAATTAGGCCATTATGTTTTCCCTTTTAAAAGTGCCTATAAATAACATGACTTTAAATAGTAAATTTAAAGTCTGACTCTGTTTTTGAAAATTTAATTATAATCTCTGAAAAAGAAAACAATAAGAAACTTTTGTAAGTGGCCTCTTCTGGGGAGGAGAACTGGGAGCCGAGGTGCCAGGAATGGCAGAAAGACTTATTTCTTACTGAAAACCTCTTTGCGTGCATTTATTACCTATTTCAAGATAAAGACATAAGCAAACAAACAGATAAATCTCAATGCAATTTTGAAAAGGAATAAAATTGGAAGTCTTGCACAACATGATTCTAAGACTTACTATAAAGTTGAAGTATTCAGATAGTGTGGTATTGGGGTAAGGAGACAAATATAGATCAATGGAACAGATACAGAATCCAAAAATAGACCCCCACACATATGGCTACTTGAGTTTTGACAAAGATGTGAAGTTAACTCATTCCAACAACTAGATTCCACCAGGAAAAGAACTTTGACATTTACCTAGCATGACAAACGCCAAATTAACTCAAAATGAAACATAGACCTAAATGTAAAAGCTAAAATGATAAAACTTGTAGAAATGAAAATTGGATAAGATCATTGTGACCTTGGGTAGGCAAAGATTTCATAGGACACAAAAAGCAAAACCATAAAGTGAAAAAAAAGAAAAAAATGGACTTTATGGAAACAGAAACTTCTGCTTTTCAAAAAGCATCATTAAGATAATGGAAAGCAAGCCACAGACTGGGAGAAAATACATGCAAAGCATATATGTAGTAAAAACATTGCACCCTAGAATATGGGCAAAATACTTGAAGAGATACTTCATCAAGAAGATACACCAATGGCCAATAAGCTCATGGAAAGATGCCCAACATCAATAGCCATCAGAGAAATGCAAATTCAAGCCATAATGGGAAATTAAGATGACTGAAAATACTAAGTGTTGGTGAGGATATGAAGCAACTGTAACTCTTTACATTGGTAGCTGAAATGTAAAATTTACTGCACTTTGGAAAACAGATTAGGCATTTATTGTAAAATTAAACATACCACACAACCCCTAGCAATCCCACTTCTGGGTGTTTATGCAAAAGAAATAAAAATATATTCACACAAAGATGGGTACTTGAATGCTGGCTTATTTCCTGGGTTGCTGTAACAAACTCAAATTACGATAAACTGAGTGGCTTTAAACAGCAGAGAAACATATTTTCTCACAGTAATTGAGAAAGAAGTCCAAAACCAAGGTGTGGGCAGGGCCATGCTCTCTCTGAAGGCTTAGGGGAGAATCTGTTCCCTGGCTCTCTCTTAGCTTCTGGTGTTCGTGGCAACCCTTGGTGCCCTTTGACTTGTAGATGCGTTATTCCCAGCTCTGCCTCATCATCTCATGGCATTCTCCATGCAGGCCCCTGTGTCTGTGTCTCTTCTCTTCTTATAAGGATACAGTCATATAGGATTAGGGCCCATCCTGATGACTTCATCTTAATTCAATTACATCTTCAAAGACCCTATTTCTGTCTGTGCCTATCTGTGGCATTCACAGGTACCAGGGGTTAGGACTTCATCCTGTCTTTTTGGGGGACACAATTCAACCCACAACAAATGTAGACAGCAGCTTTGTTGGAAACACCCCAATGCCCATCAGCTGGTGAATGCATAACCAATTCTGATATATCCACATAATAGAATATTACATAGAAATTGAATTTCTATATAATAACAGATGAATCTCAAAAGGTTTTGCTGAGTCCAAGAAGCAAAAACCAAAGAGTACACACTGTATAATTTCATATACATGAAATTCTAGAAATGACCAATCTGATCTAGAAATCTCTCAAAAAGCAGATTAATGTTTGCCTGGGGTTGGGATCAAGGGAGCACGGAATTGTTGGACTGATTGCAAATTGGCATTAGGTACTTTTTGTAGAGATGGAAATATTCTATATTTTAGTTTTAGCAGTGGTCACAAAAGTGTATAAGTTTGTCAAAACTCACTGAACTGAACATTACCAAACTGAACACATGTAAATTATATCTCAATAAAATTTATTTAAAAGTTCAGTTGCAAACAACTGTTTAGTAATCTATGGCATAAAGCAAAGGTTACCTTTTTGAATGAGTTTATATTTTTACATTTACTCTAAATAAAGTTTGATTGTAACATCTATGGAAGGTAGTAGAATCTACCCATTTACCACTGGGAAGTTGGGGAGATGTCTATGTTTTTTTTTTTTCTTCCCTAGTGCCTTTTATCCATCTTCTGCAAGTAGCATTCCCTCTTTTTCCTTCTTTTGGTGAACTGCTTCTTTCTCATTCCAGCCACATATTTTTAGGTGGTCTTCCAATTGTAATGGACTTCTTGACAAACCCCACCCGCTTTGCCTAACCCCACCCCCTTTGCATCCCGCCTTTACACCTTCCAACTCTGCCACTGGGAGCACATGGAGAACGTTGACCCACAGTAGAAGATAATAATGCTGAACTGGTACAAAGAAGCCACAATAAAAGGAGGAAGAGAGAGAGAAGGTCCAGAAGTACGAAGTCTCTGGCCTCAGAAATCTGCCAATCATTCTCCACCTCCTTACCCCATAATTCCCAGTTTCTTGAGCCAATAAAGTAACACAATTTTACTTTTTGTTGAGAACTTACAGTTAAGTTTCTTCCAATTCCAACCAAAAAAACTTCATAAATTAGGATTAAAAAAAATTGTATTCACCGTAATCAGGCTGCCTCTTATATCAAAAGGGGGCAGTTTCTGTAAGAACACCCACCAGTCTATATATTTTCAAGTTGTCAATATTACTCTTAATGAAAGTCAGCCTGGACTTTCCTATTTCCCAATATTCCAGTACATACTCTTGCCTAGTATATTGAAGCTCTGACCTAGTTTCATTTTATTTTTTTCAACTTTAATTAATATGGCATAAAGTTGGGTTAGACACTTTGGTGGCTGTCTTAGTTGTTGCCTTATATTAAGCATGAAGGCAATGAATTAAAACTAAACCTGGATTTTAAAATATAAATTGCCATCAAGCTGGGTTTTCTTCATCAAATGCTTTTGCAGGTGACAGTTTCAACCCCTAAAAAAATGTGCATTTATTGCTGTTCAATTAAATTCTGATATTTTTCCCCTTTCTGATGGTTTAGAAGACCATTGAATCCGTATTCTGTTATCTGTGGTACTCTTCTCAGTTCAGTTTCATCTATTAGTTTAATCATCAATAAAGTAGAAAAAACGCTTTTTCATGTGCATCTATATCTGTCGTGGTGTCCTCCTAAGAGCTCACCAAGGTATGCCTAATACTAGTTTGGGAATTTCCCTGGAAATCCACAGGAAGCTTACGGATTGGGAGCCCTTGCCTTGCTATGAACAACCAATTCTCCCTTTTATGACCATCAGGAAACCATTTGCTATATTTAACCTTTTGGCATTTCCTCCATTCTCCAGGGTATTTAGAAACCCACTAACGTGGCTCTCTGATCACTTCTTCAATGCTTCTGGTAGTTACTTTTGGAGCCTAAAGACTTATACTCATTTTAAGACACTTAATGCTCTCCGAATACATTCTCATCTACTTGGGGCATTAGTTTCCTCCATCTGAGTCTCATTATCCTTGGTGCAGAAGTTAGAAACAAAATGAAAATATAATTATTAACTTCCTGAATTCCCTGCATGACTGAATCCCTGGAGCATCATTTTCCCCTTGTGGGCCTTTTGTGAGGGATCAAAAGAGATGGTATGGGCAAAGTACTTTGTGTAAGGCAAGATGGTAGTGATTGCTGGGCATTGCCCCAGAACCACTGCCCCTAGCAGGTTAATCCCTGGCGTGGACACCACTGATAGAGCAGGTTCTGTCAGGGAGTAAGGGGTATAACCTTTCTCCCTAAAGAGCAACAGCTCTTTAGGCAAATAGTGTCTCTGCCCATCCTGTTGTTGCTTCCAGGAAAGGTCAAGGACAAGGTTTCAGTTCCTGAGAAAGACTGACACAAAGTCCCAGTTCCTGAGGGTTTTGTCGAAAGGAGTCAGGCTTGGCTCTTGAACACCAAAAGGGTGCCCCATGATGGGGGGCAGGGGTGCTGAGACTCAGGGAGACCAGTGGTCGCTGGTGGGACACTGCATCCTCAGTCACATGAATGTGGGACTAGAGTGGCTTAAGATGAGAACAGTAAAAGTCTTGATACAAATGACTCGTTTGACCACTCACACTAAGAGACTTGACCAAACTCTAGAACATCTTCTATCAGCTCAACGCCACATCCCTAAGATGAGGACACCAACTTCCTTAAATGCCTGCCTGAGAAAGCTCCACCATGCCAAAAGCATTTGCTGCTTGTTCCAGCCAAAATCTGACTACAGGCTCCTGACTGCCCTTTTCTTAGAGCATTTACCTTAGAAAACTTATGACTGTAAACTCTTCCTCTGTCTCTTTAAGATGTATCTTCTGCAACCCAGGAATGCCTTTCTCAAGGACCTGGGAGCCATACCTTTGCAGTGAAATCATCAGGAAGGAGAGGGCTGCTGCTCCTAGTCTCTGTGGGAGATGCCTAATTACCCTGCCCAATCTCCCTGGAACACCCCCCAGGACTTTTCGCTTGGTGCACCCCAGCATTGAAAAAGCCTCCGCCTTTTCTTTCACTGAGGGTTACCTCAGTTTATGCTGGAGTCTTTCTCCCTTGTTGCAGTGGTCTGAATAAAACCAGCCTTGTTTTTTTTAAACAACTGTCTGGTGAACGTTCTCTCTTTGACAAGGAATTCAAATGATTACTGGTCTGAGATACTGGGGTAGAACCAAACTTTATGGGATGGGAGGTAAAAGTGGATCCAGCTGAGGTGGGCCAAGGTGGCAGAAGGAGGAGGAAGGAGGTAGTATTTAGCAATGATCCACCTTGAGGACAAGCTGGATAGATGCCAGCCTGGCAATAAGAGGCAGGGTGTCAGATCAATGAGTTGATAACAAAAAAAGAGCTCATAAATTAAGACAAGCCAACAAGTGGCCTCCAGTGGTCATACAAAACTCTATCTTTAGCTCTGTTACCCTTTGTATCAGTAGTTTAGAGAACTGTTTAAAAGCCATGTGTGTAGCAGTCATGATGGCATGATTATAATTCCAAATAATCTTAACAGTTTGAATAAAGAGCTAAAATTGTCAGGATGAAATCTAAAGGAAACAGAAGGGTGGGGAATCTAATATTCTAGGCAGAGCAGGCTACAGAATTTGCAGGGCCCAGTGCAACATGAGAATGCAGGGCCCCAGCCAGGACAGGGAAATTGTCTCCCTGTCAAACAGGCTCACTGCCCCAATCCACACCAGGGGTTGGGGGTTGGGGAAGATCCTCAAGAGACTGCAGCCTTGGTTCCAGGATATTTTTCATGCTTGAGTAGTTAAAAGGCTGACTGTGCTGTGGCACTGTGAGCCCAGGGTAGGACGCTTCCACCTTGCCATGGCCCAAGTTTCTATAGGGTACATGCTTGACCTCAGCTCTCCCTGGCCCATGCCAAGGCCCTTGCTGAGGGTGAAGTTGGCTGTGGGGCAAGGACAGGGAAGTGGAGTTGAGTGGGACCAGGAACCCATCTCAGGGAGGCAGGGCGGTGGTGGGAGGTGGGACTGTGCAGGAACTGAGGCTCCATTGGCCCATGGACTGACAAAATGCAAGTTCACAGGCACAATTCTTAAGAACTTCAAGATGGCGACCATGGAGCATTAAACTGCAAATAACTTCAAGATGGTGAGCATGGAGCATTAAGTCACTTTCCCTTCTGAAAGTGGAACCCTGTGCGAGGGCCCTGGTCTTACACCCACAAAGCTGACCTGGATTTGAGGCTAGAAAATAGTGTTTGAAAGACTGGAAATGAGAACCTTTTTTTTTTTTTTTTGTACAAAACACTTTGAGTAGATAGAATGGTTCTGTAGGGGAATGAGAAACGAGCTTAGGAGGCAGGTTGAACACTAACTTTAGAGAAACCAGATTGGGGATTCATCTATAGAGAAGACATCATCTATAGAGAAGACTGGAGAGCTGGGGAGTGACAAGGTGAACTCGGTATTTTAGAAGAAGTAATTTCCAGTGAGATGTCTTTTAGAAGCTTGTGCCTTTCAACTGTTCTTTTTTGTTGTTTTCATACATAAAAACTGAAGGAACACTTTTTTTGGATCAAAGAAGAGCAGTTGCCTGGAAGGCTTTTTTTCACTCACTTTTTCCTACTGTTCTGTGCCCAAAATCTACTGGAACTTTTGACATTTTGCTCTTCTTTGCCTCTGGATTTTAATGCCAGCAAATTAATGTGTAAGATGTCGGCAGAAAATGACTTTCACAGGACAGAGTGACCTTGCATTTTTGGTCAGGAGAAAAGGAAAGCAGCAGACACACTAATTGCTGAATTACAACGAACATTTCTATGAGCCTTTGAATCTCTCAGAGGAATCAAAACAAAACAAAATTAGAGCAGCGATATCAAGCACCAGCTTTGCAGGCAGACAACAGGTGGAGATAAAAGCCAAATGCTCAATTTCTCTCAAATATCAGAAAAAAAAGTGACTTCTGTTTCTAAGGGACTTGAAATAATTTTCATCTGTATTCCTCTCAACTTAGTAGTAATTTATAAAATCAGGCATTTCCATGGCAAATACATGTGCACACACCCACACACATGCACACATGCACAGGCATGCCCCGTAATACTTACTCCACGTACATGTAATTGAAGCTGCTAGAGAACTGGTAATACAGAACTTCTACAGAACTGGTAATACAGAACTTCTACAGAAGCTGTTGAAATGCTAGTGTTGTGAGAAAGAAAACTTCACCAGAGTGGCCTGTAGCCAGAATAAGATTTTTTTGTTTGTTCGTTTTTGTTTTTGAAACAGGGTCTTGCTCTGTCATCCAGGCTGTAGTGCAGTGGTGTGATCATAGCTCACTTCGGCCTCAACCTTCTGGGCCTAAGTGTTCTTCCCACCTCAGCCTCCTGAGTTGGGATACAGCTATGCGCCACCATGGCTGGCTAACATTACTTTTTTTTTTTTTTTTTTTTTTTGTGGAGATGGGGTCTTGCTAGATTTCCCAGGTTGGTCTCGAAACTCCTGGGCTCAAGTGAGCCTCTTGCCTTGCAGAATAGGAACTTTTATAGTGCTGAAGCATTTGCCAGAAAAAAAAATCTCTGAATTTCTCTAGAGACAGAAAAATGGATGCAACCTTTGAGTGGAAGAGTTTTGCTTTCTCTTTGTCATTCTTTCACTTGCATCACTGGCCTTGAGAAATCTGCCTATTTCCTTGGTTGCCATGTTCTGACTAAGAAGATGAGACAATCTTTCCCCCTAGTTTTCCTGTGCATTTTAAACTAGCCTCAGCCACTATAAAGCTCACTCTACCCCTCAGAATATGTTCTCCTTGCCTTGGTTATGTGCTCTTCTCATTCCTTTGAGCAGCTTTTAAATATTTTCAGCTTTTTGGACAGCTCCCTGCATAAATACACACATTTATGAAGATAGCACTACTGTACCTTTGTTATTGGGTGCTTTTCCCTTGTATAGACAGCGTGGCTTTTCTGAGAAAGTGTGGTTGAACCAGGGTCAGCAGTGGAGCCAAGCTGACCAAGGTCCCAGTCCTGGTACTGTCCTTTGTTGTCTCTGTGACCTCTACCCAGTCACTTGGCTTCCACCCTTCCTGACAATAGGGATGGTGATGATGCCCTCTCATGGGTGTGTTGTGAACATGAAAAACAATCATGTGTATAAAGCACATGAACATAGTAGGCACATGGCAAGTGTTACCACATGCTTAATTCAGCTGCCTGCCCTCCCAACAGTTCACAGAGTCTTGAGCCATAAAATCATGTGAGCAAAATGTTGCAGGTGAAAGCCTGTGCCCTGCTATGACCAGGCTTCCTTTCCTGCATATCAGAAATTCTAAGATGGCAGGTTTGCTTCTCCTCAAGATGTCCAGCAATTTCAATGAAAACCTCTTAGTTTTTCTCAATGAAGTTCAGAGAATCCACTCTTTTGTTGCTTCCTTTATTAGATCACAGTTGAAATTATCATCAGGGCAAGACTGGAAACTTGGCTGATGATCTGTTTCTGGGACACCTTTTCTAGAAGATGCCCTAACCACTGCCACAGGCTTCCTTGGGGCCATTTTGTGATGTCCATCAGGAATGGCCATGTTCCTTATAACACAAGCCCATAATCTTTAATTTCATAAGTTAGAGTAGACTCAATGGCAACTGGCCCTGCCATCTAATTATTTCCCCCCAAAAAGCCTTTCATATTGACTATTTTAAAATTTATTTTTTTATAGATATTTCTCAATAGCTTTTGTCGAATAACAACTGGATACAGTGAAACAACATTCATCTCTCTCTCTTTTTCTTCTTCCAATGAAACATTCCTCTCTTTTGATGTAACATTTTGCAGCCCATTTTTTATGGAAATTTTATCAGGAAGTTATGTAACTCAAAGTTAAATGGGTGCTGCTGCCCCTTATTATTTTCTAGCCGAAGTGAGTATTTGGTAACATGTACTTAAAACATTTTTTAAGTTAAAATTATTATGTCTGTATTCTACAGTGCATGACTTTAATCATCCATTTATTTGTATATAATGTGGGATCTGCATTGAAGAGAATCAATATTCTCCTTGGTCCACCTCCATTTATAAATTAAATACTTGTCTTTTGCCCACAGTGGTTGTGCTTCTGACCTGCAACAGAGAAGAGCTCCTTTATAGAGATTTGTTGTTAAATTTAACTTCAAACTTACTGCTGCTCAATAATTAGAACATACATAAATGAGAGGGACAATATTTATGAAGCATTGCTGAGAAGGTGTGCAACCCATTGTATTTGATACACTAAAATCTTTCCTTGGTTTAAGCTAAAGATTTAAAGTTCCTGAAGCATTACACTATCACTCTGTGTTGAAGGACATTGAGAAAAGCAGACATGTAGAATTTACTGCTGTATTTACTATAGATACTATTGCTGAGAACAGTATTCACTTCATCACTACTTGTCCTCTTTAGAAGACAAGGGAGAACTTTCTCTTAGTTCTTAGGATAAGGCATTTGCCGTGGATTGATGGTTTGAATATGGTTTGTCCACATCGAATCTCATGTTGAAACAGGATTCCCAATGTGGCAATGTTGGGAGGTGGGACCTAATGAAAGGTGGTGGTTGGATCATGAAAGCACCACCCTCATGAATGATTAATGCCATATCATGGGAGTAAGTGAGTTCTCACTCTCACAGAAATAGGTTAGTTCCTGCAAGAGTGGGTTGTAATAGGTGAGGCTGCCTCTTGTGTTAGGTTTCTTTGCACATGCTGCACACCTTTCTGCTTCTTCGCCATGTTGTGATGCAGGACATAGTCCTTCCTGGAAGCTAAGCAGATGCCAGCACCATGCTCTTGGACTTCCCAGACACCAGAATTATGAGCCAAATAAACCTCTTTTCTTTATAAATTATGCAGCCTTGGGTATTCTATTATAGCAACACAAAATAGACTGAGACAGTACCATAGCTGGCTTTCTCTATTATTATCTTGTGGACTCTTTGGCTCATTTAAATGTTACATTTTCCTCTTTGCTTGGGCTGCAGAAAGCTCAACCCAAATTTTCAACCTACGTTTCCTGAGTGTGCAGAGTGTATGGTAACCTCATATCCACCTCTATCCCATTGGAGAGGGTTCCCCAGTGGTCTGGGTGCTCTGCCTCTCTCCAAGCTTTTGCACCTTCATCAGCAGAAATAAAGACTCCTCATGTATCACATTCTTTAGTAAGAGAACAGTTCTTCTTTTCAATATTCAAAGCTTGTCTGCCATTATCTCCTTGAGATCATCATGATGTGTGCCTTTTATTATCCTTACTTATCAGTTACCACTAGATATGAAGACTTCCTAAGTCAGTGCTCGTTGCGGGATTCTCATCCCCTAAGGGTCTCCCATTCCCTTCTCTAATCCCATATCCTATGTCTCAACACCTTCTACATTTTCTACTGTGATTTCCAGAGTTCTGGGTCAGTTATTAGAAAGACCTCCCATATTTCCACCACTTCTAATTCTCTCCACCTTCTTCCTCTACCTGAAATTTGACTCTCTGCTGAAGTCAATATTTTTCCAGCAGTTTTTTCAAGTGGGTGTTGTTTTCTTTCTGACAGCCCTCCTACCACTGGGCCTAGAGGTGGGGTGCTGTCCTTCTTGCTCCACATTACTGTTCTAAACCATTCCTATCTGTCCTCTTTGCTCCCTCACCCCAGCTATGTAATTTATACCATCAGCATATTCCACACCCATCTCTCCTAGTTTCTGTCATCCATAGACCCCTTCCCCTAGGTCATTCTCTTTCATTTTCTGAAGATTTTAACTCCTGGTTCACTGACCCTCTCCTCACCATAGTCCTTTTATAATTACAGGTAAATTCAAGTAGATATCCCAATGCATTTTAGTTCCTCAAGTTTATCGTCTTTTACCCAACCTTATACTCTCAATCCTTTGCTCATATATCTTAAAACTTGACATTACCACAAAGGATTGGAAAGGAAATAAGCACAAGTGAGTGGCTTAAAACAAGACCCATTGATTAGCTCAAGGTTGTGTAGGTTAGACATCTGGGCGCACTGCTGGGATTCTCGGCTCAGTGTCTCACCAGTCTGCATTCTCAAATGGCCCTCACATGGTTGTGGCAGACTTCCGTTACTTGACGTTGTGAACTGAGGTCCCCATTGCCTTGCTGGCTGTCAGTCTGGGCCATTCTCTGCTCCTAGATGCCACCCACATTCCTTGACACGTGACCCCCTAAATCTTCATAGGCAACAACGGAGATTCTCTTTTCTATAGGGTGCTTCTCAAGTTTTGAATGTCTTTTATCAGGGAGAGCTCTGTCCCTTGTAAGGACTCACCTGGTTAGGTCAGTTCTTATTGGTCAGTTCTACATGTCTGATTAGGTCAGACTATCTGAGGCTAACTTTCTTTACTTAAAGTCAGCTGTGCTATGTAACATCACCCAATCACCTATGCAATATTCATATCTTCATAGGTTCCTCCCACACTCAAACAGAGAAGACTATCCAAGGGCTGAGTCATGAGAGAAGGGGGGGTCATTTTAAAATTCTGCCTACCACACCCTCAATGTTCTTAACTTGAAGAGTTCTATTCTTAAACTACCACCTACTATCTCTAGCTCACTTCCTCTGTCTCCATGACTTCAATGATACTTTGAACTCACAATCTCCCACATTTTTATGTCCCTCATCCCCATCCTCTCTCTACTGCCCTCCTTTATCAGCATATGATCAATCACCATAATCACTCATTGAAATATACCATTAGCTCTCTTTTCTTCTCTCCGTTTGTTTAATTTGCCTGACAAAACTCCAAAATGGTTAAATCTGACTCTACTTTTTTCTCATCCCTGTATCCATGTAGATAAAAGTGGCTAGAGAAAAGCATACTCCTACACTGACTGATCATCCTTTAAACCTGTGAGTACTAATTCAAACAGATTCTTAAAGCTGCCTAGCACTCATAAGACATTTCCCTACAATTAGATACCCAAACTTTTAGACGTAGAACAAAGGTATTCAACCATTTTTTACTTACAGATTTCCTAAAATAATTTTTAAAAACTCTGTACCCACTTGCATATTTTACATTGATATTGAAATTTTCATCAGAAATTCAAATAGTTGAAAATCTTATTACAATGTATTATATTTTTAAAAAGTTGCAAAACTCTTTTACTCTAAAGAAATATCATAGCAATTTGATATCCACCATTACCATTAGAAATGTATAAATAAGTTGGGCTGGGCACGGTGGCTCACGCCTGTAATCCCAGCAGTTTGGGAGGCCAAGACGGGCAGATCACGAGGTCAGGAGATCGAGACCATCCTGGCTAACACGGTGAAACCCCGCCGCTACTAAAAATACAAAAAATTAGCCGGGCATGGTGGGGGACGCCTGAGGCTGAGGCAGGAGAATGGCGTGAACCTGGGAGGTGGAGCTTGCAGTGAACCGAGATCACGCCACTGCACTCCAACCTGGGCGACAGAGGGAGACTCCGTCTCAAAAAAAAAAAAAAAAAAAAATTAGAAATTTTATATCATTCTTTTTTCCTTATTGAATTTATATTTCCACTCCACATATAACATAGAATTATATATTTTAAAATTTAAGATGTTTTGTTGTTCACCTTATCATACATTACTGCAGTCAATCACATATGTGATATATATGTCCTGAGTGGAAGGCTCTAAATGTTTGATTTTTTTTCTGACTTAAGGTATCATTACAATCATGATCATTATGTAATTAATCAAAATTATGCAAATATCTATTTTAGTAAATAATCACTAAATATAAAATAATAAAATTTGAAAGCTACATCTTACAGTAAACATAGAGCTGATGTGTATTTCCCAAAATTTTATTTTGGAAAATTTTAAATTCACAAAGTTGCAAGGATGGCACAATGAACACCCATATATTCTTCACATAAATTCAACAATTGTTAACATTTTCTTGTATTTGCATCCTCTCTCTCTCTCTCTAGTTTTCTTTTTCCATGGAACCTTTTGAGACTGTTCAAATGGCAGTAAGGACATGCGTCCATAATAATACAAGGGAAGGCAGAGTGCATGGACATGATACAGATGGTGGGCAAAATGTGGTGGGGGACATATGGAAGCTTCTATTTTTTTGTGTATGTGAAAGAGGAATCAGGAGGAAGGAGGAGGAGTTGTTGGATGTTTATAAAAAGATGAGAAAGTATGAGTCATATTGACCAGTGAACTTGTGTCTGGGGTGGAGAACCCCCCTTGACCATTTTTTTAATGGGGTACAAGACCATGAAGACCTTTTTTTTTAAATGGGGTACAAGACCTTTTTTTTTAATGAGGTACAAGACCATGAAGAGTTTTAAGCAATCCATTTCCATGTGTATTCCTTCCTTAGAATTCTGCCTGCCACTCCCTCCATCTTCCCAACTTCAGGAATCCCATTCTTAAATTACCACCTATTTGCAACTCATTTCCTCTATTTCCATGACTTCAACAATGCTTTGGACTCCTGTTCTTCTCCTTGATGCACTTTCTTTATGAGCCTTCTAGGACACCATATTCATCTAGTTTTCCTTCTGCCTCATTGTTCACTCCTTCTGGGCTTCCACTGCTTCTTCACCCTCAGCCCTGACTGCTAAATGTTGAAGCACGTAAGGCTGAAACCTTGGACCTCTTCTCTTCTCTCTCCATACCATTGTCTATATTATCTCATCCAGTCTGATAGCTTTAACAACCGTGTATGTGCTCACAACTTCTCAATTTGTATCTCCAGCCTGACCTCTTCTCTCAGTTCAAGATTTGTGTATCTAACTACCTAAATAAAATCTTCACTTCTCTGTATAGTAAACATGCAAAACGTTTTAGTCAAAACCAAACTCTTGCTACTTTTGTCTCCAAACCTGCTATACCTGAGATCTTCCCCACCCCATTTATAGCAATTCAATTCTTTTCAGTGCTCAAGTCAAAAATTTCAGAGTTACTCTTTATTTCTCTTTCAACTCCCATTGCCAATTCATCAGCAAATCCTGTTGGCTCTACCTCATAAACATATTCAGAATCCAGCCACTTCTCATCATCTCCACTGTTACCCCCTGGACATTGCCAATGCCATGCCACACCTGGAATTGTTACATCAGCTGCCCTACATCCACTCTTGCCCTCTTCAGCCTGTTCTCAACACAGCCATAATTCTGCTGGCTGCTCAGAATCTGCCAATGGCCAGAGTCCTTACCATAGCCTACAAGCCCCTTCCTGACTGTCCCCATTACCTCTCTAGGTGCACCTCCTGCCATCTCACCTACTCCCATCCTGTTCCAGCCATACCAGCTTCTTTGCTGGATGCCCAAAGTGCCAGGCATTTTCTCACCTCATGCTTTTGCACCTGCTGTTGTTGCTTACAGGGCTTATGCACCTGAGAGATTCCAAATCTTAATTTTCATTAGCTTTACAGTAAACCTACCTCTGACTATTGGTCTTGAGAACCTGACAAGACAAAACTAGGCTCCAGCCCAGAAATGCACTGACACCATGATGCTACATAGGATTCTTTCTGGCCACTGCTATGGTTTCTGACTTGCCCTGACTCCTGTGATCGGGGCTTGGCAGCCACCAACATCATATTGATGGGTGGTCCTCCCAAGGTGGCCAGTGGCTTGGATGGCTCCCATGTCTTATGAACCTGATCCAGTCTGTCCCATTTTTTTGTAGACTGGTGAGGTGAGTGAGCACAAATACTGTTTTGGGTTCGGGGATGGCAGTCAACTATGATTTTTGGCTCTTTCCTCTGATATTGGCATGGATCACTTATTCCGGTCTCTGCTCAAATGCTGCCTTCTCGGTGAGGTTCCACCAGCAACCCAATTTAAGTTAGCAACCCCCCCACCCCCATTTTAATAGTACTCCCTTTTCCCATTCCCTGTTTTATTTTTCTCCATAGCACTTATCTGTTATACTACTACGTTTTGCCTACTTGTTTACTATCTCCATCCAGAAAAACAGTGATTTTTGTCACTGCTAGATCCCTATACTATCTTTTCTTTAACATACTTTCCTGAATGCCTCTCCCTCAAGTTTGAGAATATCCATAGAGTTATATTTCTTCTTGATATGTAATGTGACTCTGCTTCCCCTCCCAACAAAGCTATTTCTTTTGACTTGAGTTTGAGCATACCTTCTGCAACTGCATCTCAACTAGGAGCTCCAGACAACCAAGGTTTTTTTTTTTTTTTCCGAGTGGGGGAGGGGGGCACAAGCTAAGTTGTATTAACCAATTCCCTTATTCATAACTCATAAATGAACATTAAAATCTGATGTCATCAGTATTGCTTCTGACTTCTTGGCTGTTTACTGTTTCGAGTGAATTATTGGGTACATCCCATCCTGTTTTCTTCTTTTTGAGACTGACCCCCTCCGTGTAAACAAGCCTAGGCTCTCTCTGTTTTCTACTCTTCCACATCTACTTCATATTATACTAGCCTGCCCTCCTGCCAAATTATTCTGTTGGCATTTTGAAATTCTTTACCTTAGAAGCTGGGAAAAAATTGGAGGCTGAAGCATGGCATCATTAGAAGTTTTTATGGTTGGGAGTAATCACTTTTATATTTTTATAGATTTGACAGCCTAGCTTTCAAAGGCACAGCTGTAAAACAACACATATTGGAAAATGTCTTGCTGGAGCCCATAACCTATGCTATCAGATACTTCACCCATTAATTATTTTCCCCTGCAAATAGAAGATTAGAAAGTGGCTGACCAAAGGTGCTAAGAACTGATTCAAGACAATTTGCATTTGCACACAGTTTAAAAGCACATTCGGAATGATTTCCACCTTGTAAATGTGTTAGTTATTATTCTATGGTGTGTAACAGCATGGCAAGAACGACATGGTTAATGCAATAATATAATCTTCCATCACTTTTATGAGATATTTGCATCCTTTTATGCAATACCTAATTGACAATTGCCCCACCAGTCCTCCCCAGTGGAACCACCTATTAAATGGAATTTATGGTCGTTGCCTTTTAAGTTAGTTAGATGATGTGAAATGAAAATCTATTTTAAATGATGATCAATGAAATCTTTTCTCTGGCTGGAAAAATTACATTTCAAAAATACTTGTTTATTGTGTACCTCCTGCTGAGTGATCGTGTCAATGTGTGTTGTGTTTGAGCGACCCTTTCTTGTGGGGTTACCTGCTTCTGTTTGAAAACACCAGTCCCTGCCCTTGCTGCAGCCCTTCTGATGCATATCAGGGCAAAGCCAAAGAAATGCCTATTCTCAGGAAACACATACCTCTCTTTGCCCCAACACTCCAGATCTTCTGTATCCTGCACATGCCATCTCCCTGATCTCTCAGCTGTCACTGGTTGTCTATCTCCTTCTGCTAGAGTGTCAGCATCAAGAGGACAGCGATCCTGTTTTTTTCATAGATGTGTGCTCTAACACATGCTAGGCACTCAATAAATATTTGCTGAATGATTTAATGAATCAATATGCTGATCTTGGCCTTGCTATTTAAGTTAGCAGCCGCGCCCCCCCCTCCCCGGTTTTAGTAGTACTAAAGAACTCAATGTACCTTGCTGGCCTTGCTGTTTTTGTGATTTTGAAACAATTTCATTTTTATCCTCCCCCAACCTGTTAAACCCTAACTCTACAAAACCTTTGAGTTTTGTAGTGAAGCCCAGGAATAGATGCTTTATTTATTTATTGTTTAAATGGGTGGATGAGCTCTGCTGTAGCTAATAACTGGCACTTCTTCCAGCTTGACTGGTGGGTGGTCCTCCCAAGGTGGCCAGTGGCTTGGATGACCCCCGTGTCTTATGAACCTGATCCAGTCTGTCCCATTTTTTTGTAGACTGGTGAGTTGAGTGGGCACAAATACTGTTTTGGGTTTGGGGTTTGGGGAGGGCAGTCAACTATGATTTTTGGCTTGGTCAAGGATCACTGTGGAGATCCATGTCCACATCTTCTGTGAGTCACAGGATCAAAAGAGATTGGATGGATGGTCAACTGGCTCTTTCCTAAGCTGTAAGAGCTGAACTGAGGAATTTACCTCATTATAGTGAACGTGAATTATAGGGAATGTGAATCTACCATGAGCTCACTGATGTCCTGACAGTCCTACAAGTTCTCAAACACAAGGACCACATCTACCTTGCTCGCCTGTGTGGCCCCAGTGCTGGGCATTCTTCTCTTCAACAACATTCACTGTGCTCTGTGAGCATGAGTTGGTATTTGGCAAATGTTGTCAAATGAGTGAAGTCATTCATTCTTTTTTCGTGTTAACACTATTTTAGGGGCAGTTTCAGGTTTTGTGGAGCCTGAAGCCTACCTACTTTGTGGGAGGGATCATCTTTAAGAAAAATAATACAAAATTACAAATTAGATATGAATATAAATATTTATTTGGAATGAGTAAAGATATTGTAACAAATTACTGGAAGCTCAGAAATTCATATCTCTTCTTTTCAAGCTCTTTTTGGCCATTTTGCCAGAAATGCTTTCTTAGGAATACTTCCCTCTTCTAAACTGTCTTTCCCTCCTCATTTAGAATTCTTTAAAAGTGTTAGTTATTCTCTGTACTACAGGGCTTATGCACCTGAGGGGTTCCAAATCTTAATCTTCATTAGCTTCATAGTGAACCTATCTCTGACTATTGGTCTTGAGAACCTGAAAAGACCCTAAAAAAAAAAAAAGGGGGTGGGAATGGGTGGAATGAAAGAGGATGAAGTTTTTGACCAAGGTAGGCCATTGACTTTCTAAGAAACTGTAGAAACAATTTGAGGCCCTAACCAGTCTCCAGCCCAGAAATGCACTGACACCATGACACTACACAGGATTCTTTTTGGCCACTGCCATGGTTTCTGACTTGCCCTGACTCTTGTGACCAGGGCTTGGCAGCCACCAACATCATACCTTTGGGTGGCTATTCAGTCAAGCCTCAGGCATACATAGAGTTGAATAAATTCCCATGCTTTGTAATCTATTTGTCAGCAATCAATGGGGCTAATGTAAGGTCAGTTGTTCTTTCTCTCTCTCTTTCATCCGATGTTTTATCTTCTCAGAGAGGGGAATAATAGATGAGTATCTATGTTCTTTGTTCCTCTTCTGAAACCTGAAAAGAAGCTTCTCAGAGTGATTTATAGGAACACATGATAGTTCTGTTTGCTTTTCTCTCCTTACGTCTTCCCAATTCTTTCATAGATCTGTAAGACCACATTTGCATCACACACATTGGATGTTATAGGCCTCTTCCATAATATTTCTGAGATAAAAAGCTCTGTAGGTGCAGTCATGTAGATCAAGTGAATTCAGCAAACATACAGTGTATGGCATTGTACAAAGGATGTTAACAGGGAATTTGGATAGACATGGAACCCTGCGGGGAGCATGTGCTCTGGAGAGGGCAGAGGAGAATGGCAAATGTATTGTAGAGCTATAAGACCAAGCAGATAACAATGATGTATAACAAGGAAAGTTAAAACAAAGCTTTTGGGATGTAGGGTGTGTAGAGAGCTACAAGAATTCAAGAGGGATAAACAGCGCATTGAATTATATATTCTGCACGAAGAGGGTAATATGTTCTATGGAACTTTAAAAAGAGGTAGGATTTCAGCATACATAGATGGGCTGGGAGAGGAGGAAAAAGAGCAACATTCCAGGCAACAAGCACAGCATGAGCAAAAGAAGAGAATCAGAGGAGCATGGGGGCATGTCCAGGGAAAAGTGAGCACGTAGCTTAGCTGCAATGTGGGAGAATATATTGGGAAATAGTTTTTTTAAATTAGAAAGAATAAATTAGGTAGCAATTATGAATGGCCTTAAAGTATTGGGCTTAACAGGTGATATGAAAAGGAGTGTGCTATGTTGAGGAAATTAGAAAGCATGGAATGAGGAGGTCTGAGTTGGATTCTGATGTTATGACTTGTGAACTGACTTGGGCAAATTGTTAAATACTTGGAGGCTGCCCAGTAGAATGGTAGGGTAATGTCTGAACTGGTGGTTACAGGATTATGATGAGGATCAAAATAGAGGAAATCATGTTTGGTCATTAATGCTTGCCAGAAACACATATTTAGTGTAGGGATATCGAGGGAATCAGGCATACAAGTTTATGTTCTCAAAGAGTTGGCATGTTGGTGCAGAGAACCAGATGAAACATGCACAGACCTGCCCAAAAGAAATAATAAGATAATTTCAGATAGTAATAATTGCTGCAAAGTGGGGAGAACTGACAACTGGATAAAGAGTAATGAGATACGGGTAGAAGACCTAGATTTTTGGTGCTTTAGCTGCAACAGTCAAGGAAGGCTTCATGGAGGAGTAGATGACTGATGAAAACAAGTCAGAAATGTGATGATCTGGGGCACTGGAGCTCCAGGCAGTGGTAACAGCAAGCCCAAGCCCATGTTTTAGGATCAGCAGGAAGGCCAGTGTGGAGGGAGGGCAGGGGGAAGAGAATGGAGGAGATGAGCTTCTTCAGATGGTCAGAATGGATGTCTTAAGACCATGAGGTCTTGGGAAAGGAGCTTTTTTTCCCATTCCAAGACCAGTGAGAGACACTGGCTGGTTTAAAGCAGGGGAAAGGCACAATCCAATTTATTCTGTGAGAAGAGAATTATAATGGGATGAGAATGGAAGGAGGAGATAGCCAGGAGACTTGTAATAATTTAGGCAAGGAATAGTGGTGGCTTAAAAAGAGTGGTTGTTGGGAGACTGAAATACATGGTGTGATGGTGAATTGTACGTGCAACTTGACTGGGCTAAGGGATCCCAGATAGCTGGTACAACATTATTGGGTGTGTCTGTGAGGGTGTTTCTGGAAGAGGTTAGCGTTTGAATTGGTAAAGTAAAGAAGTAAAGAAGATTGCACTCCCCAGAGTGGGTGGGCCTCATCCAATCTGCCAAGGACATGAATGGAACAAAATAAGGAAGAGTGAACGAAGGGTGAATTTTCTCCTCATCTGATCTGGGCCATCCATCTTCTCCTGCCTGCCCTGAGACACTGCACCCACCCCATCCCTTTAGAGTTGGACTGGGACCTACACCATTGTCTTTGCTGGTCCTCAGGCCTTTGGATTTAGATTGAATTACACCACTAGCTTTCCTGGTTCTCCAGCTTGCAAATGGCAGATGGTGAAACTTCATGGCCACCATAATCATGTGGGCCAATTCCTACAATAAATCTCTCTCTCTCTGTCTCTTCTTCTTCTCTCTCTCTCTATATATATGTAAATATATACATACACACATACATATATATACACATATATATGTATATATGTATATGTGAGTGTGTGTGTGTGTGTGTGTGTCTGTCTGTCTGTCCATCTGTTTCCTGTTGGTTCTATTCCTCTGGGGAACCCTAATTCAACATAGTTGGATTTGGGATATTTGGGGTATTACCATAAAATTGCTGATTAGATGTGACCTTAGATAAAATGCTAAATGAGAATGCGTTATGATCTGAAAGTCCTGTCTACATGCATATGAAGTATTAGCATTGCCTGACTTGAAATACTGAAAGTTGAAGATTATGAGTTTGGGAGTGGCATGAAGCAGCACCTCGGGGAGTGAATCAGGTAACACCACACAGCACAAAGAGAAGAGGCATAACCCAGGAAGGAGAACATGAATCTGCCCAGTGGTTCTCACCTTGAACTGGCACATGAATCATCTGAGGATCTTGTTAAAATGCCGATTCTGATTCTGTAGATCTAGGGTGAGATTCAAGATCCTGCATTTGTAGCAAGTTTCCAGGTGATGCCAAAGCTGCTGGTCTGTAGGCCACACTTCCAGTAGCAAAGGGTTCAGGAGGATAATTCAGGCATAAGTTAAGGAGGGCTTAAACTGGGTCGGGAGTGTGAGTAAAGAGAGACTTTTCTTTTGTAGTGGAGGTAGAGATTGAAGAACAGAAGAGAATCATTTAAAAAGATGATGTTTTAAATCAAGTTGAGCAATAAATGATGGGGTAAATCATATAAATACTGAAATCAGGAGGAGGTTTGGGGAAGGAATTTTCTAGGCCCAGTTATTTTTTCTTGTGTTACAGCTTGGGATCTGACTTGGGTACCTGGGTTGGGAAACACCCCTCATCTATTCAGTTTTGTCTGGAGGGATGAAGGGTCAAGTTTGCATCTTCAACTCCTCTCTGTTAGACCACAGAGACTGCATGTATTTAGACAGCCCCAAGTGGAAGGAGGATGGAGACCCTCGTTCCAAGCAATGTGATTGGAATTTGAACAGTAAATCATCTTGGAAGTCAAGAAAGGCCAAGTTTTCGTGGACTGTGGAGTCTTAGTCCATGCCTATGTACTGCTGAGTGTCCTACAAGGCCAATCCCCATTCCTCTCTCCAACACATGACGTGCTTCTGGCTTCAGACATTAATGCCATAAACCCTCAGAACTAGTACCAGTGCATCTGTATACTAATATTAATGAGAGGCCACATTATTGAGCATTTGTTATGTGCCTAGCACTCTTCTAAGCATTTTATGGATATTATTTCATTAAAAGCTCACAATACGAGGAGGAAGGTATTATTATTACCCCTCCCCATCCTAAACACCACCCACCCCCATTTTATTAATAAGAACATGAAGTTTTGCAAGGTTCAGTGGTTTGCCGCGTCCCCACAATAGGGTGGCAGAACTAGAATTCTGATCAATCCATCAAGTAATTCTTTCAACAAGCAAGCCCTGGGAGTCTGGTTCCAGCAGCCTCACCTCAACCATTTGTGAAATGGTTTCCCTGGCTGCACATCTACAAAATTACTGTTCTGCTTACCTGGAGTGAAAAAACTTGGCCCAGCAATTGGGATATCTAGGCTCCAGTCCTAGCTCTGCCCCTAGTGATCAGTGTGACCTTAAGTAAAGTACTTGAATTCTTTGGGACAAAATTTTCTCATCTAGGAAAACAGAGAATTGGATGAGAGAGTGCTTTCTCAATCCCTGATATCCATTAGAATCAATGGAGGGGACTTTCACAAATACTTATGCTTCCTCTTCAGAAGTTCCATTCGCATAGTTTGGTGGACGGCCGAGGCATTCGAGCTGTGAAATAGTTTCCAAGGGATTCCAGTGGACAGCCAAGGATGAGGCCCCAGAAGATTGATCACTCTTTAAGGAAGGTCCACACCTTCCACTGTCTTCCTAAGACTTCATCATACAAATCTCTGCATGATGTGCATGTCTGACTCTTGTGACCACCAGAACAAATTTCATGATTTCATGAAGGCTTTTATTCTGGTCACAAAGCTGAGTGGCTCTGTGGTCTGCAGCATTGGGCATTAGGGAGTTCTGATCTGGTAAGAAAAATTTCAGATTTTACATTTGAAAATTATGAATATGGGAAAGAGGATTCATTTTTTTTTTCTGGGTAAAAGAAGCTCCGTCTTGGGTTGATAGGTGCAGCAAACCACCATGGCACACGTATACCTATATAACAAACCTGCACGTTCGGCACATGTATCCCAGAACTTAAAGTAAAATAAAACAAAAAAGAAACTCCATCTCGAGAATGGCTCCTCTGAGGAGACTGAAGCAGCCCTGGTACTTTGTGTGCTGAGAAATAACCTGGAGTTGAGAAATGTACCAGACTCCAGAAGCACCCGCCTCAATTTGGCCAGGAAAGTGCAGTCACTGGATGTCTGAGATATTACGCAGTGACATGAATGTGAGGCACGAGTGCTACATGGAAATTATTTCTTCCTTAGGGTTGGATGTTGAATATTCTCCTGGGCCTCTGGGAACTTGTGCTCCTATGGGGTGCATGTGGCAGCACGTGGAGCCCCACAAAACCCCACTGGATGGAGGTAGCATCACGACCAGTAATCCTTGCCCGAGGGCATTTCAGCAGCATGATTCCTCCTCACAAACTGCTTCAATACATTTTATTTTAAGATGATTTAGTTGTTAAGAATTGAGTGCATGTCTCTCTACGTTGTCCCGATGGAGTTAAGCCTGGGTGGATGCCCTTTGGATCCCCAACTTTTCTCACTTCTGGTTCTGAACTGCTGAACCCAGAGATGTTTGCCTTTCCGTGGCAGGATGACATCAGCGAGGAGGCAGTTCCTCGGCCGAGGGAGCCAAGTCCTCAGACACCATCTCGGAAGCAGGACAAGTACATTTTGTTTCTGCGATTCAACCCAGAGAACTGCTTGGTCCCTGAAGCCTGTGCCAAATGTGTTTGCGCAACCTCAGCGGCGGCTTCCAAAACGTAGTTCAAGAATTTGCCAAGGGTGTCATTTCTTTTGGGAGTGAGGATACATGGATGGCATGACTCGTGCTGGCCAGACATGAGTGAATTGGAGGCTCAAACCTCAGAAAGGGTTAGGGTCCAAAGTGACAATCTTCCTGGCTAGACTAGACATGAGACATTGCTCCAATACTCACCCCAGTGGGGACACACAGCTGTGGAGAACATTGAGATCAAGTTGGCCGGGGCATGGTGCCATCTTGTTTTGGCTAGGGGCATGCTAATGCAGTGGAAAGGAGCAAGAAAAGCTACCAATTTGGCTGCGACTCCTGGACATTTGCTCTGCATTCTTGAATCCTCCTGGTCAAAGAGAATTTCCTTGCAAGTCCTTACACTCCAGGCAATGGTATAAGAACACACACACACACACACACACACACACACACACACACACACCAGAGTTTAAACCTTTTAGGAGATAAAACTCATCTATTGCATGTGTGTCCACATACATGTGCTACCACTAGGAGAAATACAGGACTACAAAAAGTGTGCACATATAAATGACCAACATTTTAAAGGCTAAAATGGTATCTTTCAAAGGCCAATTTTATAATAAACTCTTAAACTTTGTAGTATTTTACAGTTTATAGAACAACTTCACATCTCATCTGATCAGCCTTACAACTTTGTGTATGTATTAGTTTTTTCTCTATTTTAACATCTGAGGAAATTAAAGATCAGAGAGGTTAAGTGACTTGCTCAAGATTGCACAGCAATTAAGTTCCAAAATCAGGGTGAAAAACATGGCTCCTCCCCATCTAACCTCTCTGCCACATTGGCTCTCTAGTCTTGATGTTAGAAAGACTGAAGGCCAATAGGCATGTGACTCATCTATTTATAGGACTAGATGCCAGGACCTGATACCTCGAAGTGTGGTCTGAGGGCCGGCAGCAACATCCGCTTCACCTGGAAGTCATTTAGAAATGCAGAATCTCAGGCCCACCCCAGACCTTCTGATTTTTAATCCGCATGTTTACAGAATCGCCTCTGGTGATTCATGGGTTTAGTCAAGTTTGGGTCACCCTGGAGGAGGGAGCTAGGGTTTCAGTCTCATTTCTGCCACACTCGAGAGCCCCTAAGGGCCAGAACTGCATAATCTGGGGAACTAAGAAAATGATTATGCCAGGATCCCATGCCTGCAGTTCTACCTCTGGAATGGGAGTTGGATTAACTTGCTTAGAAAACTCTCCTGGTGGTTCTCATATGCAGCCAGACTTGAGAACCATGTGAATGGATCATCTCTGAGGTTTCTTCCCATCTTTTCTGAGTCTGTGAGCCTGGTCTTTAGGGAATGGGCCTATATATGCCTCACCCCCATCTAGTGCTTTATTGACATTTCAGCATTGGTAGAGCATTTTGTACTGAACCCAGCCTTTTTCCTTCTGCCCAGAGACTTGACTTTAAAAAGCATCCCTGAGGCCGGGCGCGGTGGCTCACACCTGTAATCCCAGCACTCTGGGAGGTTGAGGTGGGCGGATCACAAGGTCAGGAGATCCAGACTATCCTGGCTAACATGGTGAAACTCCATCTCTACTAAAAATACAAAAAAATTAGCCGGGTATGGTGGTGGGTTCCTGTAGTCCCAGCTACTTGGGAGGCTGAGGCAGGAGAATGGCGTGAACCCGGGAGGTGGAGCTTGCAGTGAGCCACCGCACTCCAGCCTGGGTGACAGAGGGAGACTCTGTCTCAAAAAAAAAAAAAAAAAAAATCCCTGAGTAGGTCAACCTCATGTGGTAACTATACAGATTAGATGGGGTATTTGATTCCCTTCCTCTCCCAGGGCAACAAAGTTAAAATGTCAAGCAGGTCCCAGGCTCCCTGCTTCTATCTGAGGACCTGTGAGAGGCGTAAAGTTTCATGCAGAAGCCCCTGGGATCAGGAGGAAGGACCCGCACAGTCCACTCTTTAGGTGAAGCTCTCAAATGTCTCAGGATTGGTGGAACAGTCAGTATATTGCCAGTGCCACTAAGAACACCATGAGAGCCAGATCCCAGGGAAAGCCTGGCTGGTTTTGGTTAGGCATTGAAAGCCTCAAAGACATTATTGTGTTCATTGCACCTCTTAAGGAAAAAAGCAAAAACCAAAACACAACCTACATTTTCCCATGTGTACAGAGTCATGCTGTAAGATTTGGGAATGCGTTCACTCTCCTGTGGAGCCATCTGCTTGAATATCAAGAAAGAAAATTCATTAGGGAGAGATTAAGCCCGGGTCAGGAGAGGACAGCTGTACAGCCGAGGCCACCGAGCCAGCCCATGTGTGAAGGAGCTCGTAATTCTAGATGTCCCATATTTCACTGCTTTTTTAGATATGCAGGGATGACGCCAGGCAGTGGGACCCAGACTGATTTACTGGGTTTGGCAAAACAGTCTAGAAATTGATGGGGGTTTCTTGTAGAGGCCTGCCCTACTAGTGTTAAGGCAAGCCCGGGTGCTCATATTTTCATCTGACATCTGTGCTTGTCAGGCCTCACACTGGACATGTGAGGACATGTGCTTAATCTGGGTGCCACACACACACAAATGGGCAGCTGTCGCCATTCCTGGCTGCCACACTTGTGCCTGCTCATGTCTCACTTTGCTCACTGCTGTTCCTTTCTCCTTCACTCTCTGCTTCATGGCTTAGCAGCTGCATGGCTAATTATTTTATTTTCCCCTCCTAAAACTTCTTGGATGTCTCTCATTACCTCTCTCTTGTTTCTTCCTGACCCATCTACTCAGGGCACCATCCAATTCCTACAGAAAAGTCTCCCACTCTCCCTCCCATGCTCAGGATCCAGAGAACCAGGAAAGACCGGGGTAGAACTTCTCTTGGATCTTGGGCTAGAGGCATAGCAGGTTTTGGGCTCTTGGTTCCTGGAGTCTTCGATGCTTAATCTCTCCACATAAATTGGCTGTCCTTGACTACTGCACGGCCCGTCAGGGGTGTGATCATCCATCTGATAAAGAAGAGGCCAAGGCGAGGAAGAGTCCTGATCTCTCTGCATGTCTAACAGTGGGATTGGGATGGCGTGGTCAAGTGGCCCCCAGATAACAAAAGCCAGCGGTTCTCAATCCTGGTATATTTCAGAATTCTCCAAGATATTTTAAAAACATTTAAATTCCTGGGCCCCACTCCTGGGATTCTGACCTTATTGGGCTGGGTTGATGTCGGGTGTCAGTATTTTTTCATAAGCTGTGGGCTAGTTTGAGAGGCACTGCTGTTCCACCTTCCTTGGGTAGGGTCTTAAAGAGTGTCAAATCGCCAAACCCCTATCTCCAAGACAGTGGGTATGCTACTTCCTGAATTCAAATTCTAGAGTCCATGTAAAAGGGAGCAGGATAATCTCATGTTTGCTGATCCAATGGGGGAAGGCCAGTGTGAATGAAAGTGTTGGGGAAAATGCAATTTGGCTGCTGCCTGGCACATGCAGTGGCTTATTAACTGCTAACTAAGTGTTGCCTGAGAGTGCTCCCGGAGGGGCTGGCTGTAATGAAAAAGATGGAGGAATCCGGCTCATTTGTAATTATACATTAGTACAGCTGAAGTGCTGCTCACACCTACAGCTCTCCTTACTGAGTGTCTCTGAGGCCAGTCTCTGTGCTGGGGGCAAACTCTCCATTGCGTATTCAATTATGTTGTGTCTCTAGCTAATAGCTTTTAGATTTGCCTAATTCTTCTGCAGGGGAACACCTCTGGAATGGCTACTATTTGTGTGTCTGTCTTAATTACCCTTTTCCTTAAGAGGAGAATGGGAACTGCCACTCTTAGCTGAGCTGATTGAGGCTGTGGGGAGAGGAGGAGCTGAGGACTCCTGCCTGTGGAATCCCAAACCTCTGCTGCTTCCAGCTGTCCCCATCAAACTGGCCTCAAAGACAAGTCAACATGCCTGTCTTTCCTTGCTCACAGTGGAAGCCACAAGTCCTCTTTGTGCCCTTAGACATCATCTCCAACTATGGCAACAGATGGAGAAGGAAAGATTTTTTAAAGGGACACTTGTGCAGTGGCTGTGATGCCCCATAAAGAATCTAGGGTATCAGGGCTGAGAGATCCGAAATGTCACCTAGCCTGGAGTTATATATTCGAATGTGTATGCAGCCCCGCCTAATGGAACTTTTTGCGGCAATGAAAACGTTCTAAAGCTGTGTCCCGTGCGGTGGCCACCAGCTGCCTGTGACCCTTGAGCACTTGAAATGGCTAGTGTGACTGAAGAACTGAATTTTAAAGTTTATTTAATTTTAATTAATTTAAACTTAAATGTAAGTAGCCCCATGTAGCTAGGAGCTACTGGATTGGATGGGCACAGTAGGTCTCTATAGAGTCAGGCAGAGCAGGTCAATGTTTGAGGTGAGCTGGGGGCTCAGATAAGCTCCCACTCAGGATGTGGTAGGGACTCGTGTCCTGTCTAAAGAACGACTCCTCACAACTGCAACAAACAGTTGCCATCTAGGAAGGCGATAGGCTTAGGGATGAGATATTCTAATTTTTTAAGAGAAGACAACAATTTAGATTTTTATTTGAAATCTACTGAGTTTTAAATGTTGGAAACTATTCAAAAATTGTAAATCACTTGTGACTTTTCTTCTAGTACAACTCCATTTTACTGGCGAGGAAACTGAGACTCAGGGAAATTCCAAGTCTTCTCCAAGGCTATGAAGGAAATGAGTGAGCCAGGCTTCCCTGGTTTAGGATTCTAGGTCTACCCTCTCATCTTGAAATCAGTATCCATATTAGTTCTGTATATTCTCATTCTAGACAGTATCTATTTTTATCCTCCAGACACTTTTCTTTTGTCAGACTGACAGAGTTTATCCACTCGTCTTATTCTTCCAGGAAGCAGGAATCTTGCCCAAGCATCTGAAGTACCCCCGTGGGAGAAGAGAGAGAATCTTTGCTCTTTGATTTAGGGGGCTGGAAGCAGTCTGTCTAGAGGTCTAAAATTTCTTTGAAGTCTCATATTTTATCTTTAAAAAAAAAACCCATGCAAACTTGGCAGCCTATTCTTTAATATATTTGTGCTTATTTAATATTAAGACAAAATTCCCCTTCAAATCTAGTAAAACTGAAGTTTTAAAGAGAAGCAACAGTTTTATCTCGTGGTTTCATGAGTCATCTGGCCCACAGCTCCTATCATTGGGCACCTCAGACTCCAGTTTGAAAAGTGCTGATGATGCATGGCAAACGATTTTAATGGTCGATTTAAAGTTATCTGCCATTCCCACTTACCATCATTTAACAGCTAGAGAGGAGACTTCTTGCTTGGGAATGTCAGGATTTCTAGTCATTTCCAGGAAGATGTGAGCAGTTTGGGGGCATGAACTTGGATCCTGTCTTATTATCCTTGAATTTAAAATATGTCAAGGGCATAAATACAGAGATAGGGTAAAGCAGAGACTATAACCAGGAGCAAAGAGAGATCAATCAGTCCCTGGCTGTTTGAATGCCATTGTTTTCCAAGGCTGCTTTTGTCTTCAAAGGAAAAGACACAGCAGATGTTATGGAAGTCATGAGGAAGGAAACTGTGCTGTGGGGAGATAGTAAAAATGGATGTAGGTCATCTTTCCATAGCATGTTCTTTAGGCAGGTCAATGTGGGGAGTGTTGTGATGGATATTCTAGTGCATGGACATATACCTTGAAGGGGGAAGCTGGGATCAAAGGTAGGCCACTGTCACAAAGAGAAGCCATGAGCTTTTAGTCCTGGGTCGGTTTTGTTGCTCTGTGGCTTCTCGGTGAACCAACTTATTATCTATGTATTTTGCGTTATCTCCTTTTTATCTCAAAGACTTCTAGTCAGTTAAAGGATGTAAAGAAAAGTTCAAGAATCCTGACAGTGAGTTTGTAGCTCGTCATGGCTTAAGAGAGGTAGTAGCAGAAAAGCAGTAGCAATGTAGCCTGAGCATTTTCTGCTTAGAGGAGAGGTGAGGAAAATGTGGGAGGCTTTGCATGTCTATTGTCCTCCTCCACAGTGATTGACGCAGGACGCAGTGCCTCGTGGGTTGTCCTGAGTGATTGATCTTACAGGGTTGCTCTGAACGGATCTTTGGGTCCCTTCGGTCTCCTTCCTATATTTTGTTTTATGGTTTGGTTTTAAATCTTGAATTCATCAGATGACATCCTCAAACTCCTAGATAGTTTCAACTATCACTCTTCCAAATTCTTGTGTCCCCAAAACATCACCCCCATATTTTGAATTGCCTACCAAATACATCCTCCCTATTGAGATAACATAAGCATCTCAAAGGTAAAATTTGCTAAACAGAATTTGTTGTGTTTCTCCCAAACCTGTTCTATATCTTACACATTTTCTCTCAGAAAGTAGTGAAACTGGCTCACTCAGTTTCTCAAGTTAGATAATCCTTCACCATCTTTGCTTTCTCTTCTTTCTCTCCTACCACATTCAATTTGTTGCCTGTCTTGCCAAATTTCTCCTTATATGTCTGGTAACATTCTCACTGCTATGATTTGATTCATATCATTATCATGTCCTGTCTAGACTATTGCTATGGCCTTTACACTGTGTTTTTTTTTTTCTTCTGACCATTTCTCTCTTTCATATCTGGGGTGACTTTAACACCATCTTCCTGAAATTATTATTATTTTTTTTAAGATTCAATATAGCCATCTCTTGCTTCCAATTCCATGTTGACCCCTGCTGCTCTAGGATAAGGTGTACATTCTTTGTAAATGTTGCAAGATTTGTCCCAGACTGAGTCCAATCTAGTTGTCCAGCCCATACTTTTGCCAGTTTTCACCTACATACTCGACAATCAAGCCAGCAGAACTGCTCGCCATTCCTCAAAGCTGGCATCCCATTTTGTGGCTCTAGAGGCATTTTCCCCTCTGTCCAGGATGCTCCTTCTTTTCTTTTTATTTTCTATTCATCTTCCAAGTCCAGTTTCAAAAGTCAACTCCTTTTAAAATTTTCCACAACACCATTAATCTGGATTAGGTATCCTGTCTCTTGTACCCTCCAATGCTTTGTCTATGACTCTTTTACAACAGTGATGTTTTGTAATTTATGGGTTTAAAATTTATCTGTGTTCTCTAATAGATGGTGAGATACCGAAGACACATACCTTGTTCATCTCTGTCTCCAGGGTCTGGCAACAGTTTTACTAGTCAACTGTGAATTCCTTTAGAGGAGGGATCACATCTTGTATATTATTGTGTCATCATTGCCGAGCATAAGTGCTCTCTAAATATTTATTAACTCAATGAATCAGCAATCCCCAGAAATCAAATGTAGTGATATCTAAGTCTCTCTCTGTCCCCTCCATTTTGTGGCCTTGGAAAGTTATAAGTCACTGCTGGGAACCAAGACTTCTAAAGTCCATCATGGTGCCACACTTTCTGTGTTTGTTTTATTTATACCCAGAAATTATACTAAGAATAATGATAGCTATATTTATTGAGGGCCTGGCATGCGTCAAGTTTTGCATTAAATATTACCTCATCCAATTAGCATTTCTTTAAAGGCAGCTATGATTGAACTGAGGGCTATCATCAGAAAAACCCTGGAATTTATTTAAAATTACCTTGTGCACATCTGAAAGTCTCAAATTATTGTTTGAGCCCCGCAGACATTACACCACTAATCCTTTTCTAATGATCTCATCTTAAGAAACAGCACTGGCAGGAGGACTGTGGAGCCTCCCCTCTAAAGACGTAATGAGCAGATGTGAGTATTTACATAATATCTCAGAATGATTTCAGGGCATTTTAGACAAAATATACAACCACTTAGATTGCTGTCATTGCAGTTATCTCATCACTCTTCAAAATTAAATGGAGACGGAAATGGAAAAAGCAAAAATCTAGGAGTTTTTGGATGTGTTGCACTTGGTTGAGCTACTTAAATGCTTTGGGTTTGTACCCAAGTGCCACAATTAGGAAATTTGGCTCATAGAAAATGCAACCATTAACGCTTCGAGCAAGATATCAAAAACTGATCTGAGGTAGAAACAACTAGATTCCAGAGATCATTTTGAAAATGGCTGCTACTTCACATTTATGGTGGTAGAGAACTGTCACTCCTAGGGTGAGATAAGTTGCCTAATTACCTGTTTCTGACTCATACGCTATTTTTGTTTAGTATTTTATTTCTATCTCTTTTTTTAACTTCACAAATTGGATATCACATTTAGTATTTTGTACCTTAAAATATTTACCCATATGTTTATTATTTTCTTTACTTCTGATTTCTTCTTGAGAACCATTTAATTCCTTTTGAGATCATTTTCTTCTTCCTGAAATTCATCCTTTAGAAGTTCCTGTACTGAGTGTTTGTTGGTAAAAATCTCTCAGGTTTTTCTTATTTGAAAAAATGTGTTAATTTCACCCTCATATTTGAAGGAGAGTTTTTCTGGGTTGACAATGACTTTCTCTCAGTGTTGTTGCTGTTCATGAATTAGCTGTTGAGCTAATATTGTTTGTAGGTTATCTGTCTTTTTCTCTGAGTACTTCTTTGTCTTTTGTGATTCTGCATTCTCATTGGGTGTGTATGGGTGAAGATTTCATTAGGAAATCTTGATGTTCATTGGGCTTTATGAATCCGAGGATCATTGTCATTAATCAGCTCTGGAAGGTCTCATTCATGATCTCTTTGTCTCACCTTCCCCATTCTCACCATTATCTCCTGTGGTGCTCCCTTTAGATGTATGTTAGAACTTTCCCCTCAATCCTCCTTGCCTTTTAACCTCTCCTTAGTATTTTTTATCTTTTTGTCACTGTATACATTTTGCATATTGGGTAATTTCTTTTCTTTTCTTTTTTTTTTGAGACAAAGTCTTGCTCTCTCACCCAGGTTGGAGTGCAATGGCGCGATCTTGGCTCACTGCAACCTCTGCCTCTTGGGTTCAAGTGATTCTTCTGCCTTAGCCTCCAGAATAGCTGGGATTACAGGTGCCTGCCACCACGCCTGGCTAATTTTTGTATTTTTAGTAGAGACAGGGTTTCACCATGTTGGTCAGGCTGTCTTGAACTCCTGACCTCAGGTGATCCACCTGCCTCGACCTCTCAAAGTACTGGGATTACAGGCATGAGCCACCCCACCTGGCCCATTTTGGGTAATTTCTTCAGCTTGATATTTGACTTTACAAATTTTCTCTGTAGTTCTGACTAGTTACTTTAGCTTTTGTTTCTCAAATTTCTAACTGATATTTTTATCAAAATCTGTCTGATTGTATTTGGTAGTCTCTTTTTCTCTGCCAACTTTTCTATACGATGTTTCTTTTTCATTGTTATAAAAACATGAAATTAATTATCCTCAATACATTTTTAGGGTAGAGTGTATTGTTAACTATAAGCACAATGTTGTCCAGCAGACCTCTAGAACTTTTTAATCTTGCCACCTTTTACCTTCATGTTTTATTTTACTTTATGTTTTGTTTAAGGCTAATCGAGTGAAGCAGTGGGAGTGGAAAAAGAACAAAGACATTTGTAACTGGTTGTAATTGATTAGTTGTAAACACCACTGCACTCAATTGGACCAGCCGCCGCCTTTCAGTTTTTAAACATATCAAACAAACATATCTTACATTCTCATCTGATAATCCTGTTCCTGTATTCTTATATGGTCTGGTTTTGCAATTTATTGGTTCTATTGATCCTTCTCATGGTGACTTGTTTTCTTTCGTGTTTTGGGATCTCTCTATCTCTGTCTCTGTCTCTGTAAACACCAGTTACTAGAACTTTATTGCAGCAATTTTCTGAGACATGGGTTGAAGTCTATTCCTTTTTAACTGCGTGTTTGTCTTGCATTTTTGGAATGAATTCCAGCCCCCAAACCTCTTAAGTGTAGGCTTTGGATAGATATTCTCTGAGGAGATGTTTTTCCTACTGATGCTCCCCGCCATCAAGGGCCAAGAATGAGACAGACTTATATCCAGCTTCTTCTTCGGTAGATTTTATTTTTTAAGTTCAGTTTTTGAGAGCGTTTCCCTTCTGAGGTCCTGTTGTTTGTTTGTTGCCAGGGTTCAGTCTGACTTTTCATCTCTAGCTGAGGCATTGTCTCCTGTCTTTTAGGCACAGAGCCAGTTAAAACCCAGGCTCGAGGTATCCAGTGGTCTTCAGACAACACAGGACAGCACTGGCTCCAATTGTAGCTTACCTCCCTGCGCTCATATCTTCTCACTGTTTCCAGCCTCTCAGAATTGTCCTTACTTCCTGCCAGCTCTGCCATACGTATCAAAACATATTTTAAAGGTATTCAGTGTTTCAGATATCTCTGGATCTCTAGTTAGCCATATTTCCCGGAGCAGAAATTTCAAGAGTGACTCCTTCCATGTCTGATTAATACGATAGTTGTCTTTACCATCTCAAAGCTGAGAAGCGCATGCATCAACAGGAGAAGTGATTTTCTTGATAAGTAATCAGTGTCTACACCAGATCCTGCGCCAGGATCCTAGGTATCACCTTAGCTGACAAGGCAGCAGCATTTGTACTAGCTCAGATGCTGAAGATATACAAAAGGCAGATGATGACCTTGCTTCATACTTCTTTGAGAACACAGAGTTAATTAGATAGGAAATCCCTCATCTTCTCCCTGCCAAATCTGCCAACACACCTGCTTCTGTGCTCACATCTTCACTGCCCTGCCTTCTGGTTCCGTGGGTGAACTTTCTGCTTTTACCCAAGTCAGCCTTTTCTCCTTGCACTTTGGGTCCCTTCCTTCTCACTATGTCCTGGATTTCCTCCTTGCATTTATCCATTTTATTTGCTGCCTCACTATTTCTGTCTCTCCACTGTATTTTATCCTTATCACTAGTGTTCCCACTTAAGAAATTCCTCCCTATGACCCCACCTCCACCTCCAGCTACTACTTGCATCTGCTGCTCTTTGTAGCAACTAATTGAAAATTTATTGAAGCCATGGTCTCTACTCCTTTTTTCCATGTTTTATCTTCAACCATTCCAACTGGGTTTCCATCTCTTCCAATTGCTCATGTCAACATCACCTTTGTGTCATCAAGACCAGTGATCACCAATCAGTCCTTTCCATGCTTGACCTCTGCCAGCATTTGGCACCACTAACTAACTATTCTTTCTCCTTGAAACACTTTCTTTTGCGGCTTGCATGGTATCCCCCACCCTGCTGGTTTTCCTCCTACCATGAAAGCATCCTCTGTTCTTAATTCCTCCTCCTCTGCTGGACCTTTAAGTTTTGTCGTGCTCTGGGTTCTGGGCTAGATTCCCCTTCTCTTCTCTGCCTACACACACCCCAGGGTGATGCTGTATTCCAATGGCTTTTAATGCTAATCATGGTCAATGACTTTCAAATCTGTATCTTCATTGGTTAATGGGTACCATGTATGTTATTTGGATACCCTAAAAGCCCTGACTTGACCACTGTACAATCTACACATGTAACAAAATTGCACATGTACTTCATAAATTTGTGCACATAAAAAAATAAAATCTCTGCTCTTCCCCTAAGCAGCCTGAGGTGATCTGTTAAAATGGTTCATTATTCATTTGAGCCAGAAAACTCCACAAAATCATGCAAATCAAGAGGTTCAAATCTTCTTGTTCACTTTAAGAACTCTCGTGCTCTGCCCGTACATGAACATTCCCTGACACATTGAAATGATCCTCACTGAAAAGGAACAATCGGCTCTTAAACCAGAAGAGGAGGTTGCACAGAAGAAAAAGATATCCCAGAAGAAACTAAAGAAACAAAAACTATGGCATGGGAATAAATTCAGCATAAAATAAATGCAAATAAAAGTTAAAAAAAATCTGTATCTACAACTTCAATCTTTCACCCAGGGACCCCCGGCATCCCCAATACCCAGAATAGTGTCTGGAATATAGTGCAGAGGCGTGAATACTGAGAACACAAGAATCAGAAGACCAAACAGATCATCTCGAAAACTCTAAGTCTGAAGCAAGAAGTGCTTCCAATCAGGCAAAATGATGGTACATTTTAGGATTACTGCCCCTCACCTGGCACATGCTGGCATCTTCAAAGACTTAATGGCAAAAATCCATGAAGTTCTTGGTATCCCTTAAAAGAAAAAATTCAACCTAAGTCTTCTCTTCTATAAAGCTTGAAAACTGACTGGTTCAATCTACTGTTCCTTTAAGTACCCAATGTTTTATTACATAATAAATTACTTAGCAGGTAAAAGAAATTCACAAACCCTGGGGCAATCCCCAGCAGAGCACTGAGGGAGCAAATATTTTTCAAAATCTGGACTGCTTTATTTTCAAAAAAGAAAGAAGTGTATATGTATGTGATTATGTGTGTGTTTGTGTCTCTGTATGCATGTGTCTCTGCACATGTGTCTATGTGTGTGTATGTGTGTGTGTGTGTGTGTGTGCGCGCACACATGCATCAGGGGAGAGGTGGTGGTATGGAGTGGGGAGGGGGCACTGACTGCCACATCAGTGGAGGAAGGACGGGGAAGATAATCTTCCTTACAAAGGCAAAACCTGTCCAGTGTCATGTCTGGGAGGGAAAATACAGATTGCTTCAGATATAAAATCAGGCCCTGGAATCGCAAGGCCTACAGAAGATTAATTAATGTCATGCCCACTTCAACCCAAGGCGCTCTCAGATGGAGTCCTGCAGGGGTCCCCATTAGGCCTGGGCTTATTTGAATTCTGGCTAATGATCTGGAGGAGGGTGTTGCCAGTCCACTAATGACTCTGAATCACATTAATTTTGAGGGCTTAAATCATCAGCATAGACTGCAAAAGAATGCACATTGTATTAACTTTCTATTGCTGCTGTAACACATTACCACAATTTAATGGTTTAAAACAATGTGTATTTATTATCTTACAGTTGTGCAGGTCAGAAATCTGACAAGGGTCTTGCTGGGCTAAATTCAGGGTGTCGAGGGGGCTGCATTCCTCTCTGGAGGCCTTAGGGAAGGACTTCTTTCCCCACCCTTTCCAGCATCTGCAGATCTCTGTCTGGTCCTTACAAATAGCCTGCTACATTTTGGGACCAGGACTGGGACATCAACTCTTTCTGACGCTGTTGTCTCTCTTGGGCTCTCTGCAGCCAGGAAAGCCTCTTACCTCACCAGGGCCCTTATGATTATATTACACCCACTCATTTAATCTAGGACACTGTCCCATCTCAATGTCCTTAACCTCAGTTGCATCTGCTGAGGTTTGCCATGTGTGGTGACTATATCTACACGTCCTAGGGATTAGAATGAGGTTATCTTTGTGGGGTGGCAGCATTCTTCTGTTCACTGCACAGGTAAAGGGATTAGAAATCAGAGCCAGGTAAAACTCCATCCCCCAGATGGAAATGAATGCAAAAGGGAAAATGGCTGATCCAAGCTGCTGGGATTCAGCAGGCCAAGAATAAGGAGAAACTGGAGACGCACTGCAAGCAGAGAACTGAGACACATTTCAACTGTGAGCAGGAAGCCAGCCATGTAAGTACCTTTCTGGGCTTGGCCCAGAGAACCCATTCTGGGGAAAGGTAAGGGCCAGGCCATTGCTTCAAGAGTCTATGAATATTCATCTTAGTGTTTGTGTTTAGTTCCAAATCCAAAGTTGGACTAATGTGTCTTAAATAATAAATTATTTCCTTGCGTAGGGTGTCTTGGAAGGAGACTTCAAGGGAGATAAATGTGCATGCTAATGGTTAAAAGGAAACCAGGAGAGGCCTGAGGACAGTTTACAAAAATGATGTCTGTGAATACACCCTGAAAGCATAGCCAAGGAGTCTAATGAGGAACAATAGGCCAAAATGAAGGTTAGTCAGTTTCAGTCAGGTCTAAAAAATAAGAACTATTGACATGGGGACTGTGGGAAGCAAAATAATAGTCCCCCAAAGATGTCCAAGTCCTAATCCCTGGAACCTGTGAATATATCACCTCATATTTTGGCACTACCTGGTAAACGGACTTCGCAGGTGTGATGAAGTTAAGGATCTTGGAGTGGGGGGATTTCCTGGGTGATCTGGGTAGGCCCAATGTAATCACAGGAATCCTAAACAGTGGAAGAGAGAACAGAAGAGTAGAGAACCAGAGAGCTGGTAGTATGAGAGAGAGCTTGTAGCATGAGAAAGACCCGGTCTGACATGCTGGCTTTGAATATAGGGGAAGGGGCCATGAACAAGGATTGTCTGTGGCCTCTAAAGGCTGGAAATGGTAAGAAAATGGGTTTTCCTTGAAGTCTCCAGAAGCAGGCCAGCCCTGCTGACAACTTGATTTTCACCCAGTGAGACCCAGTTTTGACTTCTGACACTCTGATCTGCAAGATAATAAATTTTTGTGGTTTGAAGACACCAGGTTTGTGGTAATCTATTACAGCAATGATAGGAACTAATAGCAGGAACATGCGTCTTTCGCGGTCTGTTTCCTGTAACAGAGTCTAAGGCTAAATGGATGCTCGCTCAGAGTTTGATTGAAAGAAAGAAAGAATGAATGAATAAATGAATATGTAAACTATGGAACAATCTTCTCATCCCAGAACACTTGGAAATGATGTCACTACTTTGCTATTTAAACTTCTTTTTCTCTTTCATAAGCTTTCTTTGATTAGGAGCATAGAACACCAACAAACCCACAGACACACACACTCTCAGAATACACACAGATACGCATACAAATGAAACAACTGTGGCTTCCAAAGGACAGGCAGAGGCTCCCCACTACCCCTCGATGTTTTTAATTTAAATTAAGCCTCGGTTGGAGAAAACAAAAGGCTGTCCAGTTTGGGGCCCCACAGTGGTCTGGTAGGATGGCCCGTAGCACCTCTAATGTCACAACCCAGGCTGTGAAATGTTCTGAATCACATGACCTTAGACTTTTGGTTCAGGCTAATTAAGCCTCTTCCGACCGTACAGAATGTTCTGGTTTGCAGCAGTTGTTGTGCAATCATTTAAACTGTACACCTTTGTTCCAGAGAGCTAGTTTGATTCTCTCTGCTTCTCTTTTGTTTTTCTGTGGAGAATCCAGGCCCAGGTGGGCTGTTTCCTTTTAAATAAATAAGAATGTAATCTACTTGGTGCTCTCATGAGATGTCTGGGCTTGTGGCCATCAAGGAGGCTATTTTCAGAGGTGGGCAGTGGGATAGAACCAGTTAGTACTTCCACCCTGCAAATCTCCTCTCTGCCTAATGGCCTCTTTCTTCCCTCCTGGGGAGGGCTTACCTACACGCACTCTGTATTTGAAAAGGGACAGTGGTGGGAAAGGTCACTGGGAGTCAGTGGGAGAAAAGTTGTTGCAAATGAATCTCTGTCCACAGAGTTAGTGTGGGAGGGAGAGGAGCAGGTCATAGTTTAAAATTTATTTTATCAGATGTTCCATAAGCATGAACTGGGCTTAATGATCGGACTATGTGACTTGGGTATTATGGTGTTATCATTAAATTACTAGTGAATCCTTACTAGGGGTGAATAAGGAAGAATTCTCACCATCTGTGGAAGTGAGACGATCGCTTGAGGCCAGGAGCTCGAGACCAGCTTGGACGGCATAGCAAGACCCCATCTCTACAAAAAAATAAAAACAGTTAGCTGGGTGCTGCAGCGAGTTATGATTGCACCACTGCATTCCAGTCTGTGAAACAGAGTGAGACACTGACTCCAAAAATAAAGAATTCTCAGAATTTGAGTCTGTGGTGTCTACACATTTCCCACTGTTTCAGCGTCAGCTTGGACTAACGTTTTTACAACCCCCAGTTCTGCAATGGCGTTAGAGGTTTTCTCAATTTCAGATTGCTTTACCTACTGTATATCTAAAGTGATAAAGATCTTGGAAAAGAAAGTAGTGCTTTCACTTTGGGGCAAGTTGCTTAGCTCATCTATGCCTTAGTTTCTTCATCTATAAAGTGGGGATAATAGCACCAAACATAAACAGTTGCTGTGGGGATTGAATGACTAGTGCATGTGAAGCTGCCAGTGTGGTGCCTGCCTCGGGGTGAGTGCTCTGCGAAAGTCAGCTACTCTTGTTATTGACAAATGCTCATGAGGTACAACCACGTGTCAGGTAAAGGCTAGGTGACTGAGTACGAAGATAACTAAGACAGAGTATCCTGCCCAAGGGATTGTTTGCAGCTTGTTTGGGGGAAAGATATGTGAATAAATACGATTAAGAATCACGGGTGCTGTGAAAATTCTGAGTAGGGTAGAGTGAGGGGCCCACTGTGCCTGGGAAGGGTTTGAGGGTGGTCAAGAAGGGCTTCTAGATCAGACAACTCTGGAGCTAAGGCTTGAAGTATGAGTAGGCGTTTACCAGGCAGATGGGTGGGAAGGCCGTTCCAGCGGGGACAGGAAAGCACCCCTTTCCCCCTGCTTGCTTGAGCACCCATCACAGAGGGCCTGGCAGTGAGGCCTGGTGGCACAACCTGGAGCATTGCCTGCACGCCCCTAAACAGACTATTTACTCGCCCTTGCTGCCGCCTCATTTTGGTTTGCCGAGGGTGGGGGAATATGACCATGTACAGGGCGTAATTGGAGACGAGAACAGCCCTCCAAGATAACTCCGTGTTGGTGATCACAGGGCTTACAGGGAATATGGGGGAGGCCCTGCACCCCAGCTCAGCTTCTTCAGGGGCCTTTCTCAATAGGGACTTTGACTTTCTGCAAAGTGATTGACTTCGGCCATGTCCAGCCCTTGCTTGTAGGGTGCGCAGGTGTAAGGAGGTGTGAGAAGTGTAGGGAGAAGGTAACTCTGAGAAAGTAGGCTCCTTGCACAGACACATAAGAAGGCTCTTTTGCACTTGCTCAATAGTAACTAATTCTTTTATTTCTCTGGCCTAAAAATAAGGCCCTTCACAAATTATTCTGAATCTAACTCTCAAGACATTACCTTCTTTTGCCATTCGCTGTATTCAAATGGTACCACTTGCCATTCCATTAATATTGATGTATTTCTATCTTCATAAACTTGCTTGTATGAGTCTCCACTCCTGGAATGCAATACCCTGCTACTCAGTGCTCAGTTTGAATGTTACCTTCACTTACGTAGAGGCAGAGGGAATGAAATGTTAGAAGTTACAGGGACCTCGGGATCTTCCACTTCTGCCTCCTTACTTCGGGGAAACCAAAGCCTAGGGAGGTGACAGGGTTTATGTTAGACCAACATTAAAACCAGGGCTGAGAAAAAAATCTCCTTGTTCTTAATTCACTATTCTTTCCATGTGGCAATGCCCTTCATTCACTTTCAATAACTTCCCTTAAAACACTTTTTACATTCCATTTTGTTTTACAATTTCTTTTAATTGTATTTATAGCTCTGAGGGCAGAGACCATGTCTGAATCATTTTAGTGTATCCCACAATATTTAACACAGGCTTACACATGGTAGGTGCTTACTATGTGTACTAAGCTTGAATGAATGAATGGATGGATGGATGGATGGATGGGTGGGTGGATGGATGGATGGGTGGGTGGTCAAACGGATGAATGGGTGGATGGATGGATGGGAGGATGTGTGGGTGGGTGGATATGTCAATGAGTCTTTGGATAATTGCTGATGTAGCAGTGCCCCAGGAATGTGCTCAGGTGTCCTATTATTCCCATAGAAGACTTTATCTGCAAATGTGTGTGTCATATAGCAGAGGTAAATAGAGCTGCAGGTGTGGCTTGCTCATTTTCTGATGTGGTGAAGAAAAGATTATGAGAGGGGGCTGGGTGAAGAGTATACCCTTCCAGGTGTGTACAATAATAATAACATAGCTCTTTATTTGTTCCAGGTTATGTATTAAGTACTTCTGTGTACATTATCATCTTTAATCCTCGTAGCGACTTTATGAAACAAGTGTTCTTATCGCAGATTTTCACACATTTAAGGAAGTTGAGTAATTTGCCAAGGAAATTTCAGAAGTAGGACTTGAACCCAGGTTGTACTGACACAGAAGCCCAGGCCCTTATCCACTCTATGGAGCTAGGAAATGTCAGGGTGGCAGCTGGCTGCGAGGCCTTGGAAATCTTAGCTGCTATGTTTGAACTGAGTCAGGCCACTAATTTCCTGAGTGGGCAAATCACTTAATTTGGCTTCTTGGTTTACTCTATGGTTTAATGGAAGTAATAGAATCTTCTTAGCAGGAGTGCTGTGAAAATTAATGACCGTGTATAAAGTGCTTTAAGATAAAGATTTTCAGATCAAAGGAGCTGAGGAAAGGGAGTTTGGAGTGCTATTAGGAGAAAGGGAGGACCTTCTGCTTATTCTATTTCCATGGACTGGTTGGTGAATGGGCAATGGATTTGCAAAAAAATCAGCTTCAAATCAATTTTCATTGATGAGGAGTTCTGGGGAGGATGTGGAACCTGGTAAATAATTTCTAGATTCAATTTTCACACGTTTATGAAACACTATTTTTAGCACTATATGATTTTGAAAGAGAATTACTGTGATAAATTAATAATGATGGTAATTAAACACCACTGGGGAACCAGGGGAAAAAGTACACCATAGGTTTCATCTCTGAGTCAGCCTGACTCCTTCATTGACAAACTCAGCATGTCGTATTCTTCTCCTCCATCTGCTTGCACTCAGTCATGGACATGGGAAAGGGACAGAGAAAGAGAAACTCTCTGTATGTCACCACATCCCCTTTCCCCTTCTCTCCAGACAAGAGCATCTCTTTTTTTTTTTTTTTCAGAATCTTGCTCTGTCACCCGGGCTGGAATTATGTGGCATGATCTCGGCTCACTGCAACCTCCACCTCCTGGGTTCAAGTGATTCTCTTGCCTCAGCATCCTGAGTAGCTGGGATTACAGGCATGCACCACAATGATCGGCTCCAAACAGGAGCATCTTGGTATGATTTTTGTAGGTAGGTGTATCAGTCAGTTTTTCTGTTGCCATGAAGAAATATCTGAGTCTGGGTAGTTTATAGAGAATAGAGGTTTAATTGGCTCACAGTTTTGTAGGCTGTACAAGCATGGCTCCGGCATCTGCTTCTGGTGAGGGTCTCAGGAAACTTCCAGTCATGGCAGAGGTGAAGTAGGGAGCAGGTGCTTCAAATGGTGAGAGTGGGAGCAAGAGAGAGAAAATGGGGGAGGTCCCAGACTTTTAAACAGTCAGATTTCACTTGAACTAACTGAGAACTCACGTATCACCGAGGCTACGGTGCTAAACCATTCATGAGGCATTCACTCCCATGATCCAGCCACCTCCTGCCGGGCCCCACCTCCAACATGGAGCTCACATTTCAACATGAGATTTTGACAGGACAAACATCCAAACCTGATCGGTAGGATTTCTGCTTCTTGATTTCTTCACCCTTTATCAGATTGTAGGTGACCACCACACATGCCCTCTTGAATTAAACAACAACAACAACAACAACAAACAAGCCCTTGGCCTCTTCTATCCCAGGCAGGCACTACTGTAGATTCACATATGCTTTCCCATCCACTCCTTTGTTCATAATGATGGAATATTAGCTCTGTGCCAAGTGCTGCTCTAACACGGGGAGCACAATGGATGTGATCCCTACCTCATGGAGACACTCGCTGTGAAGTAATCACACTGCTAAATAATTAAGCTGTGATGAGGGATGACAAGAGTGTTGAGGAAAATTGAACGGAAGTGGGAAAGCTCACGACAGAAGTCTGTGACCCAGTAGGATGAGGTTAAAGAAGGCTCCCTGAGGATGTGAGTTTGCAGTGAGTCTGAAAGACAAGCAGGAGTGAACAGGATGGCCGGTGGGCATTTTCTGTGCTAGGTGTGTGGGATGCAGAGATGAATAGAACCGACAGCATAGCCCTGATCTCAAGGCTCACCTACTCCCATCAGGGAGATGAACAAACACACCAGTGGTGACAGCACCCCGCAGCAGGGGGTGTAGATGGAGGGAGGAGGAGGGCTGGGGCATGGAATCTTACCCGCAAAGTCTCCAAGGAAGTCAGACTGTCTGGGGCGTTTGAACAGCTCTGAAGCAAGAGTGGGATTAGAAGATGAATGGCAAGGGGGCTGGGGAGGAAAATAAAGAGGGGACATTGCGTGCGAAGGTGCAGGTTGCTGAAGCATCCCTTTGAGAAAGGACAAGCAGCTTTTCAAATCCGGGGTGCAGGGACCTGTTGAGGAGTGGCAGTGGCCAAGTTAGAAAGAGCCTTGTAAGTTACAGTAAGGAACTTGAACTCGATCCTATTTTCTGTGGAGAATTATGGAGGGATTTTAGTTAAGGGAGTGAAGTGATGAGATCTGCACTAGAGAGATCTCCCTCTGGCAGGAGTGGGCTGAATGTGGGCTAGATGGGAGGTCAGGAGCCACATTAGGAGCTAACATAGAAAGCATCAAGAGTGCAGATAGGAGAGAAGGCAACTTTGGAATGACCCTGCGAGATGGAGTGACTGACTGCACCTGAGTGGAAGAGTATGAGAGGGAAGTCAAGGACAAGAATCTTCACCACAGTCACTCAACAGTGACAGAGCTTCACTCCGCAGTGTCCTTGAGGACTCCTGCAGCCCAGCTTCCTGATGGATGGTTTAGGTTCTCCAGATGTCTTTGACCATAGAACCATTTCTATTTTTAATGTATTACAACGTTTACTAACATCCAGAGTGATCTTGCTGAATTTAAAAGCTGAGCATATTTGTCCCTGCTTAAAATCATTCAGTAATTTTTGGGTAAAGTTCAAATTCCTTGCCTTTGACCTTGAGGCCCTTCTTGAACTACTGTTTGGCAGGACCCACTTTGGGAGAAGGGTTCCATGATGACTCTATTTGTAGTTCCTCTTTTAGGAAAATGTCTTTTCAAATCTTTTGCCTATTTTATTTGGTTGATCTTCTTTTTCTTATTGAGTTGTAGGAGTTCTTTATGTACTTTGTATATTTCTCTTGTCAAGTGTCTGTGCTGAAAGTGTTTCCTTTCAGTCTGCGTCTTGAGGTAACAGGAGGATGTGAAAGTTCAAGGGAAGTGATGGTGAACTGAGTTTTGGACAAGATGAGTTTGAAATGCCTGAGGGATATTCAGAAGCAGATTCCATAGAGACTATCTTGGTTAAGTTTCTACTTTTTTTTAAGAGGACAACATCTTGGCTATTGTCAAGATCTATGCATCTATGCCTTAATTATTAACACCACTTGCTGTCTACATTTTAGGTTGTGGGCCAAATACTGAAACAGAGAAGCCTTTATTATCTGATCCCATGAATAACTTGGTTGTGAGAAACAATAAGTATAGGAAGATATTTTTTAATAATTTGCAGTAAATATATTTCTTTAGATGTTCAGATCTTCACTTGCAAACAAGCCAGACCATCACATAGTTGCATGGTAGAGCTGTATTGTTTTGGACTCTTAAACGCTCGCTTTATTGTATTATGCCTTGGCATTATGTCTCAGCTTTATAGAAGAAGATTTTTAAACCACATCTATGTGCAACCTGTTGTTGATTCTAGGGTAGGGATGAAGTCCAAAACTTCCTCCGAAATATCCAAAATATTACAAAGCCAGGTTCCCTGCAAGAAATTGTTTAGGATCTAAAGAGAATAAATATTTAGTTTGCTTTTTATTTAGATTTAGTAAATCTAGTAACTATCATATTTCCCTTTGAACTGGCTGATAATGAAGCTGAGATAATTCAACTGTTTAGGGTTACATGGGATCCTGTGACTTTATGATTTTCTTCGCTATATCTTCCCTTTGATATTTTAATCCTTCATCAAAATATAAAATGTATATTATAAATTATATTATATATAATATATATTATATAATATATAATATAGAATCTATATTATATAATATATAATATATAATATGTATTATATAATATATAATATATAATCTGTATTATATATTATATAATATGTATTATATAATATATAATATATAATATTATATATAATATATTTTATATAATATATTATATATTATATATTTTATATAATATATTATATATTATATATTTTATATAATATATTATATATTACATATTTTATATAATCTACAATATATTTTATATAATATATATTATATATTTTTATATATTATATATAACATATATTTTTATATAATATATATATTTTATATATATTGTTTATTTTTTATATATTATATATTTTATATAATATATACATTTTATATATTATATAATATATACATTTTATATATTATGTAATATATACATTTTATATATTATATAATATATACATTTTATATATTATATATAATATGTACATTTTATATATTATATATAATATGTACATTTTATATATATTATATATATATTTTATATATATAATATATATATATATATATAAAATGACCTGTTTCAATGTTCCATGGAAAAAGGTGAGGTGTAAATACTTAAAGAACACTCAGTGAAGATGGTGTGGAGATAAATGAATATAATGGCTAGAGGGTAGTAGGGAGTTCTCATTTAAAAATATGGATTTGGAAGTCATATTAGTGCAAAGGATAGTTGATGCTCTGGTGATAGATGAAGTTCACATGGGATGATGACAAGGGCAAGAGGCAGAACCTAGGGGGTGATGCATAAAGAGCAAAAGAAAGCACAGAGAACACAAAGTAGGCTGGGAAAAATATTTATGGAAGTGGGGGAAAAAGGGTGGTATAGTTCCAGCAAAGAGTGTTATCACTAAAGATGGGGGGAGGAATTAAAATAGAGAGAAGGGGTCCACAATGTCAGCTCCTGCAGAGTTCAAGAGAAATAAAGACATTGGATGTGGGAATATGAAATTTGTTGGTGGCTTTAGCAAATGAAAGATGTCATTTGAGGAAAGAATCCAAGTACAAAGGAAGAAGTTGAAAATGTAGAAACGAAAGGAGAAAATTGGTAAAGAAAGAACCTTGAGGAGGTGGAAAGAGATGAGATTCAAAGCAGAGGGGGAAGATTTGACCTTGAACAAAAGAGGGAGACCATGTCTACTAAGCCTGAGGGCAGAAGGAATGGAGAGCATGGGCCAGGCACGGTGGCTCACGCCTGTAATCCCAGCACTTTGTGAGGCTGAGGTGGGCGGATCACCTAGTTTGAGACTAGCCTGACCGACACGGTGAAACCCTGTCTTTATTAAAAATACAAAAATTAGCTGGGTGTGGTGGCACGCACTTGTAATCCCAGCTACTCAGGAAGCTGAGGCAGGAGAATCGCTTGAACCCGGGATGCAGAGGTTGCTGTGAGCCAAGATCACACCACTGCACTCCAGCCTGGGCGACAAGAGTGAAACTCCGTCTCAAAAAAAAAAAAAAAAAAAAGGACAGCATGGCAGAGGCCAGGCAGCTGTTCACCAGACTGCCAGACCATTTTTCTTTCTTCTTCATATGCAGCCGGTGACATCCTAGTCTTTTTTGCCATTGGATGCAACATATGGTTGAGTTCTAGCCCTTGGAATGTGATTGGAAATGCGTGTGCCACTTACTGAAATTCCCATGCATGCTCCTCTAGACTCTCCTTCTTCTGAAGGATGGGGATGACAACCTTCAAGGAGGCTTTGAAGACCACGTGGTGGAGATAGCAGAGCCTCCTTCAGCCTGAGTGCCAGACTTTCTGTGTTGAGCAACTCCCTACGCTCCTAGTTCCTTTCTCTCCAGCTTAGAATCACCCTGGATTATCACAGGGGTGAGATATAAACTTCTCTTGTGAGAGTCACTAAATAACTACAAGTTGTTGCCTGTCACAAAGGTTGTATGCTATAACGATCCTGAATTAGAGAATATCTTTTATTAATAAAAGGAAGTGAGGGAGGGCCTTTTTGAGGAATGGCATTTAGGCAGAAAGCTAGAGGGTAAGAAGGTAGCTGTGCAGAGAACCAGGGGAGAGAGTTTCAGGCTGGGTGAAGAGTAAGCACAGAGTCTGTCGGGGGAGGCAGGTCTGCGTGTGAGTTGTCAGAAGTCCAGTGTGACTGGAGCACAGTTTGTGTAGGGATGACGAGGGGAGCTTGGATAGTTTGGTAAGACCTGGATGGAGTGTGTCTCAAGATCATGGCGGGATGTTTGGAATTTCTTCTAAGTACAATAGGAAACCATTGAGAGGTGCTAGGTAGAGGAACAACTTGTTTACTTTAAAAGCTCATGCTGGCTGCTGTGTGCAGGAGGAAGGGGTTGTGGAGGAATGGGGAACCCATTCATAAGCCTCTATTTTGTGGTCCTAATGAGAAATGTTGGTAGTTTGGATTATAGCAGGAATGTTTGAAACAGAGAGAAATTGATTAAGTGCAAATTTTTGGAGTAGACCCAATAGGATTGGCAATAGATTGAATGTGAGGGTTGAGGAAGAGGGAGGGATAAGAGATGACTCCAAGATTTCTGTTTTGATCATTTGTGTGAATGGTGGTGCCAATGAATCAGTTGAGGAAGATGGGAAGATCAGTTTTTAGGGGACAAATCAAAGCATGTTTGAACAAGTGAAATTTGACATGCATTGGAGTATGCAAATGGACATGTAAGTAGGCAGATGGATGTAGGAGCCTACTGCTTAGGGGCAGAGCAGGTGAAGATGGAAATTTGGTAATCATGAAAGAGATTAAAATTCATGAGACCGGATGAAACTACCTGGATGGAGGGGAGCAGGAGCCCTGAGGAATGCTGACATACCGACAGGCAGAAGAGGAGAGGAGGGAGGAGGCTGAGAAGAGGCAGTCTGTGAGGTAGGAGGAAAGCCAGAAGAGGGCAGATATCCCAAATCTAACAGAGGAGAAGGCTTAACAAAGGAGGCCATGGTCAACTGTGTAGACAGCTGATGAGAGATCAAGGAAGAAGTTGTCCACGGAAACAGAATGTTCCTAACTGATGGCCTCATTTTCTTAGTGGAGTTGGAGGGGGTGTAGAGGAACTGAGATAAACAGAGGTTCAAAGGCAGAGGAGAAAGTTTGGCTCACAATTGTGGGAGATGGAAGAGGAAGGGGGTCAGGGGAATGGGAAAGGGTCACTGGGCAGAGATTGTCAGAGGTGAAGAGGGGCAGCCATGGGCAGTTGTTGGCCTCAAGTGTCTGGCTCATGAGTACGTTTCTGACTGACATGTGGATTATTGCCTCCTGGAGGCCCCTTTCCCTGTTTATTCCTCCAGAGCTCATTTTCTCCCCTCCCCTCCCCTTCCCTTCCCTTCCCTCCTTTCTCCTCTGGAAGAAGCCTCTGCCAGTCTTGATCTAGTGCTTGGGTGAGATCAGCACCGTGAGCCGGTGAAACAAAGACCAGCTCAGGATTTCTAACACTGGCTCTACCACCCGCTCACTAGGTGTCTTGGGGTGTGATGTCAAGCTTCTCTGTCTCCTTTCCCTTATCTATAAGGTAAATAAATAAAACAGGGGTAGTAGTATCAGCTTGCTCTCCTTCACAGGGTTATTGTGAAGATAAAACAAGATGAAATATAGCCATTGGTGCATGGCTTTTCACTTTTTTAAAGTGCTTTTTCAAGTAAAAGTAAAAGCACTTTGAAAAAGTGAAAAGCCATGTACAAGTGGTCAGGCTATATTGAAATTGTGCATGTTCCTGACCTCTCCCAGAAGGCAAAGACTTGGCACACCTTTCAGCTCCACATCTGTTCTATCTCTTTTCTTAACTTCTTCCTGGCTTGCCTTACACACCTGTAAATTACAAACAACACTATTATCTGTTTACCTCTCACAGTTGTTTGTAATTGGGTATAAGGTGTTTAAAATAAAGCCCTGAATAGGGTACAATGTGCAAGCATTCTGGTTCTGTATTTGTTTATATATTGGTCATTATCTTTATTCAAGTCTTCATCCAACAAATATTTATTGCTTTTTAAACTATATTCCAGACATGGGGCAAATGACAAAACAATACACAGTTCTTTCCCTCATGGACTGAAGTCTTTAGTGGGAGACAATCAGATAATCATTATAATACAGATCATGAAAGGGTGCTATAGGAACATCAACGAGGGACACCTAAGCCAGAGTTGTGCCATCATGGAAGCTTCTAAAGGAGTCACTTAGTGGAGGAAGCAGAAAGGAACCCTTCTCTGCTGTTAGCCTTCATTCCCAAAAAGCACCCATTAGAGGAAGTGTGGATTCACAAAACCCATGCCTCATTTGTCCATGTTAATCTTTCCTTCCCATCCTTTTTCAAGGTTAGTTGATGGAGGCTCAAAAGGATTCATTTTCCTTTTCTTTATTTTTTTTTTTTATTTGAGACAGAGTCTCGCTCTGTCGCCCAGGCTGGAGTGCAATGACGCCATCGTGGCTCACTGCAAGCTCCACCTCCCGGGTTCACGCCATTCTCCCTTCTCAGCCTCCCGAGTAGCTGGGACTACAGGCGCCCGCCACCACACCCGGCTATTTTTTTGTATTTTTAGTAGAGACGGGGTTTCACCATGTTAGCCAGGATGGTCTCGATCTCCTGACCTCGTGATCCACCCGCCTTGGCCTCCGAAAGTGCTGGGATTACAGGTGTGAGCCATCACGCCCGGCCTCATTTTCCTTTTCTAGCCCTCTCTTGAAAGGGAGAATGACAATAAGTGGCTCAAAACCATTCTGCTAAAAAAGAGAAAAGCTGGGCATTTCCCTAACTTGAGTGCCAACCCTTGAGGAATTGACATTGACAAAACTGCCCCTCTCAATGACCACATCCCACCATTGTCCCTAGAGCTATGGATTCAACTGGATCCTTCCAGATTTCCACTGGTTTCATGTCACCTTCTTGCACTGGAAGACAGAGAGCTTGGGCTTTGTGGCCATGATGAGCCCTCTCTGTAGGGTAGATGGTGCTTGGGATGACAAGCACCCCTAGAAAGGCAAGCTCAGGCTTGTGCTGTTGGCCCAGTACTGCCTTGGGCCCTGGACACTCTGCCCTTGAGTGGGCTGTTTGGTGCATAGAGCAAAAGGCTGTTTGTGCCCTGAGTAAGAGTTCAGATTAAAGGATTTATATAAACTTTTTGTCTATGGGCCCTGATGGGTGCCTGCTGTCCAGATGTTTTGCTGAACAGATGTTTTGCTGGACATCTCTGAGTGGGCATGTTGTGCTGACTTCCCCCAGAGGCTGCCCAAAAAGAAAACATGCAATGTGAATCTCTTGTTACCTGCTCTGCAGAGTCAGTGGCTCTCTCCAACATGATGCTGTAGGCCAAGACATTTTAGATACAAATCAACTAAAAACTTAATGAGAGCCTGGGAAATTCACATTGCCTATTCTCCATGCATCTCTGCTCTCTGTTGCCGTGGTGATGTATCTGCATGGAGCATGAGGCCTCATGGCTTTAATGTTGCGTTTTAGATGAATGTGCCCCTAGTTGTCAGGTATGAATCCCCCTTGCTTTAATGGAACCATAGCCTGTAATGTAGCTATTAACTGGTAGGCTTTTATTTTAACCTCCTGTACTCTTCAGAAAAATAATAAAAGAATTTCCCCAATGAGGGAATGTGGAGTTTAGGTTTTACTAAACCCAAGTGATGTTAAATCATCCTTCTTGTGCATGCTTTGCCATTTAACGATGGCCTAGTACAAAGCATGCCACCTAGTAGGGCATAGTAAATGCTGGGTCCTGCCTCCTCCCTAAGTGACTGGCAAGGAATTTAGGCCTCTGGCCTGGGTTCAGAAAGGTTGAATTGGGTTCTGGATGGGTTATTGGTGTAATAGAATTGATGGAGTTTGAGAAAGAGTGTTCTGTTATCTTGTGTTGGAGGACGTGGCTCATCCTGTGATTATCTCTACACGCAGGTGTCATCTGTTGAGACCTGGTGGCACCACCCTTTGTCTTGCAGGTGTGAGAATCACTGCTTTCTTGTTCTTATAGAAGTTGGAAAGGAAACTCTGCCTTTCTGTTTCGGAGGCTGCCTGCAGCCTGCTGATCTCTGCTTGCTGCATGCAGGACAACCCAGTGGCTGTTTCCCCAACTTGGTGGGTCTCAGTCTTCCATGGGCTTCATACTCATCCGGGGTCTATGTTAAACTTCAGATTCCATAGTGCCACCCCCATAGTTCTGATCTGTAATATCTGGGGCAAGCTTCCATGTGTCAAGAAATACTATGCCCAAGCTTTGCGGTTGAAGGGGACTCTGCAGGTTCATAAGACTAAGACTAAGAGAAAGAAGGCCTGCAGCTGGGAAGAAAAAGGGTTGGTACATCCTCTTGTCACTGCTGTACGTTGACCATGGGTCCAATGCTCTGCGTGCCAAATATGCTATGTGACGTTCATTTCTTTAATACCAACTAGGTGCCAATCCCCATGCTATGTGCTGGGAATACAGAAATGAGCAAGAAATAGCTCCTGCACTACGAGATTCATAGTCCAGTGTGTATGGGCAGACAAATACAAATCAACTACAATACATGAAGACAAATGGTGCAATAATGTAGCCTGAGCCCAGCCTGGGGCAATTCATCAATGCGAGGAGCCATGGCATAGAAAAATATTACCTACCTTTTATTGAGCACTTATTATAGCCTGGGCTTTGTTTTATTTATATTAAGTAAATTTATTACAACAAACCTGTTAGGAAAGAGTTCTAGATTATTAACAGTTTGCACAAGGGTGCCTAGTTTATAAATAGCAAAGCCAAAATGTTGTTGCCAAGGGCCATATTCCTAACAGCTATAAAGTCTTTCTAGAGAGAAGGGACATATTATTTACTGAACATATAGTATGTGTGGGGGTCACTTAACTGAACACTTGTGACATTTCTGAGGGTGGCCAGAACTCTGTAAAGAAAAACACTGCAAGCACTGATAAGCCAGGCACACCCATCTGGATGCCACCATGACATCTATTAACCAGAGCTTGAATGGATAACAGGTATGCTGGGATATTGATTCCCTTAGCTTTCCTGCTGGCTGGGAAGGGCTCAACACCTCTTCACTATAGCTCCCTAGTCAGTTTACCCAGCATGCTCACAATGCAGGGCACAGGCTGCCCTGGTCTCTATAACCTTGCCTCCACAAGCAATGGATGCTGCATAGACAACAGCTATTTCAGCCAGAGTTATGATGGAGGACTGTATTTTGCATTTCCATCGTCTGGCCACTTTTGAATATGAGTGAGGTCTTCCCCCAGTCCTTTGAATGAGACGCATCAGGTTGGTAGGTTAGTGCTTGGAAAAAGCCCCCATCTGCTGGAATAGGAGTTAGACTTTTCAGTTCCTCACAGTCCATTTGCATCCCACTGACTCACTTTGCACACATTTTGTCTGTTGGGGTTTCAGTTGAAGACACCCTTCTTCACTTCCTCTCCTAAAAACAGTCATGTCTTGTGTCCCAAGAAACATGGCTGCTCCAGTATTAGCCATGCGTCATGGGTGGTCCCCGGCACCTCAACCTGACGATGGGCTTCATGGACAAGTCCTTAGTCAATGTGCATTTTCCATTTTTCTCTTTTATGTGTTACCGTTTGGGGCCAATTATATTTTTAAAAAGGCACTTCTTTTTCTTTCACTAGGTTCATCAAAAACAGGAAGTCAAAGGTCTGAATACTCTTCCTGTGAATCAACAGAGAAAGCTTTCTCATCTGAGCCCATGAATACGCAGCCTAGGGCCACTGACTTGTAAGAATGGAGAGTTGCAAGCTGGACCCTGGGGTATCAGACAGGCAGGTATGGGAGGTGGGAGCTGTCCCTCCCTTAAACCTGGGAGGTACTAAATAAAAGAGGCATACAAGAAATGATGGAGTGATAGGGGTGGAGCTAGGGCAGGAACAGCTTCATTCCAGGGTGTTATGAATAAGGTAACAGGAAGTGCTCACTCGCAGATCAGATGTACCATGCACTTCAGTAGCAGTGCAACTAGAATGACAGTCCTGGCCTTCTGGGGAGCTAGTGAGAGGGGTGGCTTTGTGTGGAGGTGTAGGGTGGTGGATGTAGGAGATGGGTGCATTTCTACACATTGTGCTGGATCAAGCACACACACACACAGACACACACACAATTGTTCCACAGATCCATTTGGCCTCACTGATTCAGTCCAACACTGAATCACAGGTTACTAATTCACGATTAGCGATATACATTTCAATATTAACCAGTGAGTCATAGGATCAAGAATAGAAAATGGACTGATATGGTTTCAAATCATTCCATGATGTCACTGGGGTTGAAAGACAGTCCTTTCTTGGCTGTTAAGGCGGCTGCTTGCCAGAGAGGAGCCATTCTGCCTGCTCTTGTCAAAACAGGCCTATGTGCCTTCTGTAGCAGCCACCTGCCTGCTTCTTCCCAGAGCAGAGGTAGGGTGAATGAGATCATACATAGAGAACGCTGGAAGATCTGGAAACAAAGGCCCTCTATATCTAGAAGCTATTCTGTCACTATTCCCCGTCCAAAAAACCCAGCCTTTTCTGCCACTGTTTCTGAGTGCTGAGAAAGCATAATAGCATCTGTGCCAAACCTGCCAATTCCTCTCATTCCCACCAGCTTTACCTGGAATCGTGCTCAGGCCAGGCTCTGAGCTTCCATATGGGTGTCTCTCTTTCTCTTGCCCACACTTTGAGCCTGCTCTTGGCAAAACCCTGGCCGAGGCACCAGTTTCCTCAGCATTGCTGACTCTTACATGCTGAGCCAGATATCTGGGGTGGCCCACAAAAGCCAGTCTTTCTGTGAGGATGTCATCTGTGGCCTTTGGCCTTGTTCATCTCTTCATTTTTTCATCTAGATTGTATTTGAGTTCCTGTCCCTATGCCATCTACTGTGGGGTGAGTTGGGGGTACAGAGGAGAGACTGTATGACTCGTGTTCTTGTGTTGCTTCAAGTCCAGCAGCAGATCAAGTCTGTCTATGCAGCAGACACAAGGCACCAAATGATCAACATGATTAGAGGTGCTATCTCACCACAGGGATACCTACGTAGGTAGCTTGTTTCATTTGCTGCTAGATCTAATGGTTAAACTGAGCCCAACTCTCCCTTTCTGTGAGTTTTAGTCATTTTTCCAGATTCCTTTCTCTGGAGCCGCACACACACCCTAGCCTTTCAGAATGAGGGCTTTTTGGATATGTGAAGATGACTATCTTTCTTCCATTACCTTCTCTTCCAAGGCTAATAGTAGTTTCCTAATTCTCACCTGTTTCACCCATGTCATTGGGTCCAGACCTGTCCCTGTTTTAATTGCTCCCTTCTGAATATATTCCTGCTTCTCAATGTTCTTATTGAGTGGGAAATCTAGAACAAAATACAGTATTCTGAGTTTATCTGGAGAGAAAAGTCAGAAATATAAATAAATGAAGAATAATAAAAATAATAAAAAGGAGCTTTGGTGTGTGTGTGTGTGTGTGTGTGTGTGTGTGTGTCTGTTTAACACATGGGTAGAGAGATGGAACATGTTTTTATTTCTAATTTTACATAATGCAAATTCAGTTCAAAGACTTCTCAGTACAGCATAATTGATTTTGACTTTCTTAGATCATAACATATGATACTTTTATTCTCTGGTGTTTTTATGCTAAGCTCTAAGAAATGTTGATGAAAATACCTGACCTACTTCTCTGGGCAGGTATTGTGGCTATCAGGCTGTCAAGTCAATCTCAACTTCCACTCGACCTTCCTCCTGTGGTCATGGCCTTAGCACCTTGGGTGGTGGATCCTCCACAATGTGTCCATTTCTAAGTAGCTCCTTAATCTAGTCATATATATGGCTTTCTTTCCATATCAAAGCTATAACCAAGACCTGCTTTGATGGAGACAGCTCTTGAGAAGACTGGCATAGATTATTCATTGAGTAGCTTCAGGGTTGGCCACTCTATCCATAGTCTCTGTGACTAGTGCTCAACCTGAGGAGTTCATTCCTTTCATATTCTAAGGAATGCACAACCTGTGCAACCACATGTGGCACCTGAATGCAGATTGCCTGTGATGTCTGCATTTAAAGCACAGACCAAGAATCCCATTTCTAATCTGTCTTGGGAGACACTGTTGATATTTCCAAATTTCTGGGTTGTAGGTATAGTAGATTGGCATTTGGCATTTATTCCAACTCTGTATCTCCCAGAATCCCTTGCAGCTAGAGTCATGGAAGCGAAGAAGTTTCCACAATTAGATGTGCCTATGCAAGATTTGAAAAGAGGAAATGTGACAAAAGGGCAGAGTTCTGCAGCTTTGACTACTTTTGCTGGCATGCAAGGTCTTGAAGATGCTGTGCTTTCCTGCAGCCAAATTCTACTGTATAGCCACAAGCTTCATGTGAGTAGAGAAGCAATTGTAGCAGCATGTTGGTAGTTTCTGTATCTCACAGCTCCAGGTTGTGTTCTGGAAGTCAACCATTCCTGTGGCACCCCACCTTCTAACTGGGGTAGAGGGAGCAGCTGCCTTGAAGGCTGGTTCACAGTGTCGTACTGGAAGGCATTCCTGGATCCAACCTTTAGCCTACCCTTCCAGCCCGTCCAATAGTTGTATGAACACTGAATTTCCTGTACTAAATCCCTTTCAGTTTAAAATAGCTAAAATCATTTCTGTTTTCCACCACTGAGTTCTGACAGATAGATTTATCAAAGGCAGCATAAAAAAGGTGATTTCAACTCTTTTTTACCTCAATTAAAAAGTGTTTTGTGACTGTTGCTAATAACTTCATCTCAAGAGCACTGTAAGGACTTGAGTTCTAGTCCTGTCTCTGCTGCCCATATGTTTGTGTGTGTGACCTTGAATAAGTCACTTCAGCCTTCAAAGTTCTTTTCCTTATCTATCAAACTGGGCACATAATGCCTGCTTTGTATGTGTGCCCATAAGTGGAGAGAATGTGAATGAAAGTGGGCTTTGGGCAATAAAATGTGACTGCTGTCTTTTTGCCTTAATATAATATAGTCTCCCTATGAAATCCTATCTCTTCCTCAAGGAAAGTACTAGTTAGAAAATGTCTATTCATCACAAAGTGAGAAATAAATAAAATAACCTGTCTTACATGTTGTTCAGGATTTTCTATGGCTATTGTGTTTGTCCATTTTGCTTTGCTGTAAAGGAATACCTGAGGCTGGGTAACTTATAGGGAAAAGAGGTTTATCTGGTTTACGGTTCTGCAGGCTGCCCGGGAAGCATGGTGTTCACATCTGCTTCTGGTCAGGACCTTGGGAAGTTTTTACTCAGGGTGGGAGACAAGGGGAGCTGGCATGTCACATGGCAAGAGAGGAAGTAAGAGAAAAGGAGGAGCTGTCAGGCTTTTCTTAACAGTCAGATCTTTCATGGACTAACAGAGCAAGAACTCATTACCGTAAGGGATGTGCCAAGCCATTAATGAAGGATCCACGCCCATGATAAAAACAACCTCCCACCAGGCCTCATCTCCAACCTTGGTGGATCACATTTCACATGAAATTTGGAGAGGACAAATATCCAAATCATATCAACTATTTTCAAACCAAATGTCCTGAGACACTCTGGAGAGAGAGTTGACATACCTGCAGGCATTTATAAATGAAGAGATAGATAGTGAGGTCAGTCAAGGGACCTTTGAAAGTCAGACAACTATCAAGATAAACATTAATATTATTTACCATGTCAATTTAATGGCTTACCAACAGATCTTGTGGAAAAAAGAGTCAGTTTATAACATCAAATAATACCATGTTGATGGCAAACCATTCATCCCCCTAGTTAATATATGTTGAATATTTGCAATGTGCAAAGTTTTCAGTTAGACATTGGGGCCCTATGCTAGATGTTAAAATAAGTATATTAGGGGAAATGTTACCGTATGTAAATTATACATCAGTTAACGTGACTAAAAAGAAGACACAAAAGTACGTCTCATAATAGGTATTCATTTTCCATCCTTAACAAAGCCTGTTTGTCGTGAATAACAGACTCACTGCACAATGTGCTATAATTCATGTCTCTGTAGAGGTCATTGCTCTTTGCCACACCCATGCCTGCCCTCATGCCACTGTTCCTCTTCATGGAAATCCCTTTCCCATCCATCTCTGCCTACCCAATTCTCAGCTCCTTTTGGGCCCTCGTCAAAGAAAATCACATACTCTGAGAAAGCTTTCCTGATTCTCTTTAGCCTAAATTAATCCCTCTCTGCTATCATAGTCCTTCATATATAGTATATGCTTTTTAGTATATAGTATATACTTTTCTAGTATATACTTTTTCTGTCTCATACGATTTTTTGTATTATTTTCCAGTTATCTAGATACATAAATATAAAATATTTATGTTTGCTATTTTAATTAATAGAATTTGGCATATTATAGTAGTAGATGGTTAATTAAGTTTGCTGAATTCAATTTTGAATGGATCTTACATCTATTTCACTGTACTGAATAGTTGAAAGAAAATAGCCATAAAATAGATATTGGTGCAGCCGAAGTGAAAAACAACATCTAAGTCTCCATCTTTCCTGTGATTTTCTGTCCTCTTTCTAGCCTCTCCCTGCCTACCTTTCCGTGTGAACAAGTGCACACCTATCTTGTTTGAGGCAGATAATTTATTATCATAGGCAAGGGATATTAGAGTGATAAGAAATGATGTCACCCTTGGGCCGGGTGCAGTGGCTCATGCCTGTAATCCCAGAACTTTGGGAGGCCAAAGTGGGTGGATCACCTGAGGTCAAGGGTTCAAGACCAGCCTGGCCAACATGGTGAAATCCCGTCTGTACTAAAAATACAAAAATTAGCTGGGTGTGGTGGCAGGCAACTGAAATCCCAGTGACTCGGGAGGCTGAAGCAGGAGAATCACTTGAACCCGGGAGGTGGCGGTTGCAGTGACCCGAGATGGTGCCACTGTACCCTAGCCTGGGCAAGAGAGCAAGACTCTGTCTCAAAAAAAAAAAAAAAAAAAAAGAAAAAAAAAAAGAAATGATGTCACCCTTTAGCTTAAAGTTTAATTCTATATAGTGCTAAGTGCATGACATGTCAGGGAGGAAAAAAATGTATAATTTACTCACATCCTGATTAAACAAAATAAATGAAATGCATAGGTGTATTCTGTAAGTGGTTATCCTGTTCACACTATTGAATTGCTAGTTAATTCTAAGGGTTATATAGATCCCTTTGAATTAAGAAAGAGGATGAGAACAACAGAAAGCCAGGAAAAAGAAATATTTAAGAAAGAGTAGAGGGCTTGCAACTGCCCGCCCGATGAAGTGAAATCTAAGGACTCATTAAAAAAGATTAATGTTATTAATAAAATGTAATACATTTATGTAGAGTTTTAAAGTGTACAATTTTGTTTACATGTATCATCTCATTAGACCTTCACAGTAACCCTACATGGTAAGTGTTATTATCTCAAGTTTGCATATGAAGAAATGGACTTTAGTCCTGTGATATGTCTCTTTGACCTCTGCACATGCCAAATTTCATTGTATATGATTTAGAGAAATATGCCAACCTGAAAAATTTATCAGCTACCATTTTATTACAAGATGTCAGACTATATCCCTAATAAACTTAATACCATTTGGTGGTAGCTTACCAGTTGGGGTCAGAATCATTCAATGTTACCCTGGACCTGACAGAAAACAAAATGATTTTCTTTGAAATGAGGAGTTTGCTCTTTGCTCATATGGGCAATAATGTTGGCATGACCATGGTCATGAAATATGTATTCAGCTTAAAGTCTGCACAAAGCAAAGGATGCTAAACATTCTAATCCAGATGTCTGTTCCCTCTCTGCTTTGTAGTGTATATCCATGCCAAATAGACACAAAGCTGGAAGGGGCGTGATTTGAAATGCTCTGGGTTGGTTACAGGTGAGTGAGAATGAAATCTTGTCTACTTTCAGCTCTCTGTCCAGCTGGTGTGTCACCAGCTAGAAATCATCCAGAAGTATGAGCTGTGTGATCTCAGGAAAGAGATTAGGCAACAACTCTCTTTTGTTTCAAATAGAGGCGTGAAAAATAAAAAGGTATTACAAATATAGCAGAATTTTCTCAAGTTAGCTATTCATCTGTTTAGCTAAGAAAATATCACTGTGCCATGCTCTGAGGGCACACAGATAGAGATTGAACAGTTCTCATCCTTGAGGAGCCCATGACCTAATGGAGCAGATAAATAGGCAAACAAAAGCAATGCAAGAAGAATGTCTACAAGATTGTGGAAGTGAGAGTGATGACCCATTTGAAGGGATGGGGAAGCCTCCTAGAGCAGGGGATGCTGCAGGGTTCAGAAGCTAGTTTTAATTAGTGGAGAGTAGGAAAATTATTCCAGGCAAAAGGAATAGTGTAGGCAAAAGCACAGGAACAGGGGTCTGGATGATTTGCTAAAATGGGCAGTGATTCATAAAATATGTGGAAAAATCCAAATTAAATGGGAGGAGAATACACATAAAAATAAAGAGAATTTCTAATAAGATGCTTCCATACTCAAAAGCTTACCTCACCTGCCTCACTCTGGGGAGCACAGCTCTGGAGCAATGTGTCTCCAACTTTAATGAAGTGCATAAAATTTAAATAGGAATCTTATTTAAATGCAAAGTCTGATTAAGTAGATCTGAGGTGGGGCCTGAGATTGTGTATTTCTAACATGCTCCCAGGTGATGCTGATGCTGCTGGTCTGTAGACTGATCTGGGGCTATGGATAGCAAGTGGAAGAAGGGAGGGTGATAAGCCCAGCAACCCCTTCGAGGCCAGTGGGGTATGTGTGTATGCAGGGTATTGCCATGAGCTGGATTTGATGCTCTTGGGCAATGGGCAGCAACCAATTTTGTTTTGTTTTGTTTCTGAGACAGTGTCTCACTCTGTTGCCCAGGCTGGAGTGCAGTGGCATGCTCTCAGCTCACTGTAACCTGCACCTCCTAGGATCAAGTGATCCTTCCACCTCAGCCTCCTGAGTATCTGGGACTACAGGCATGCACCATTACCCCAGCTATTTTTTTTTGTGTATTTTTAGTAGAGACAGGGTTTCTCTATGTTGCCCAGGCTAGTCTTGAACTCTTGGACTCAAGCAATCCACCTGCCTTGGCCTCCCAAAGTACTAGGATTACAGGTGTGAGCCACCATGCCTGGCCAACCAATGTTTTTAAACAGAGCAGGGACAAGATCATATCTGTGTCTGGTGAAAATGTGAAGAATGGCCGGGAGTGGTGGCACAAGACTCAAGGGTGTTGTCAGTAATCTTGGGGCTAATACTGGGGGCCTGAACATCACCAATGACAGCAAGCAAGAGAGGAGAGAGTGGATTCAAGAGATACTCAGGAGTTAAGATAGAACATTATCATTGTCTGGGTTGGGGGGTTGTGAGTAGAGGCAGAAGGAGGAGGAGAGAATGACTTTTTTTTTTTTTTTTTGAGATGGAGTTTTGTTGTTTTTGCCCAGGCTGGAGTTCAGTGGCATGATCTTGGCTCACTGCAACCTCTTCTTCCCAGGTTCAAGTGATTCTCCTGCCTCAGCCTCTCGTGTAGCTGGGATTACAGGTGCGTGCCACCACGCCCGGCTAATGTTGTATTTTTAGTAGAGATGGGGTTTCACCATGTTGGTCAGGGTGGTCTTGAGCTCCCAACCTCAGGTGATCCGACTGCCTCAGCCTCCCAAAGTGCTGGGATTACAGGCATGAGCCACTATGCCTGGCGGAAGAGGATGACTTCTAACGATCTGTCATGGAAGAGTGAGGTTTGGTGTTGCCACGATGAGGTATATCATGCAGAAAAAGGAATCAGTTATGTGAAGAATAGAAAGGAGCCTATGTGTCATGCAAGCCGAGCTCAGAAGGCAGTTATGATTGGGAACCAAGGTCCAGGAGATCTGGACACAAACCTGGGATGTACAGGTGCCACCACACTGTGCAAAGAAAGAACAAGAAAGCAGAGAAATGAATGCAGGATTCAATAAGAGGTGGTCTAGGGAGTAGGAATAGATCAGCAGACAGTGTTATAGCACGTAGAAGCTAAGTGCTTCAAGAATTAGGTAATGTCCGTGTCAAACACTGCAGAATGGTCACATATGGATGAGGATGGATTTAGCATTTAAGTGTTCAAGATGACTTTAGTGAAATGAGTTTCAGAAGGGGATGAGGGCCATGTATTAATGGGTTAAGGAGAGTATGGTAGGCATAATACGCCCCACCCCTCAAAGATGTGCCTGCCCTAATCCTTGGAGCCTGTGAATATGTTATCTTACAGAGCAAAAGAGGCTGCACAGTTGCGACTAAGGGCACAGATTTTGACATGGGGAGATTATCCTGGGTTATCTGGGTGGGCCCCAGTTTAATCACATGAGTCTTTGTAAGTCAAAGAGCCAGCAGGAAGAGTGTCAGAGAGATATGATATTGGAGATGGAGGAAGAGGGCCATAGGCCAAGGAAATGTGGTGGCCTCTAGATGCAGAGAACAGTTCTCAGTTTATAGGCAGGAAGAAAATAGAGACCTCAGGCCTACCAGTGCAAGGAATTCTGCTAACCACCTAAATGAGTAGGAAGTGCAGTCTCTTCTGGGACCTTCAGAATGGAGCACGGCCTGTCAACACCTAGACATTAGTTGGCTGCAATGCATACCAGACTTCTGATCTACAGAACTGTAAGATAATAAACTTGCATTTATTTTAAATACGAAATTTGTAGTGATTTGTTACAGCAGCCACAGGAAAATAACACAGAACCATTAAGACTTAAGAGTAATGACAACAATGAAAACATCAACTACTCTTTCAAGATGTCTGATGGTTGAAAACATAAGATTTTGATAACTGGAAATATGCTAACAGGAAAACCTTTGGAGTCATTTTCTTTGGAGCGGGAGTTGGGATGGTTTGCTGCAGACACCCAGATGTTTGATGCTATGTCCTTTTATCTTCACCTGCATGAGGCCGCTTGATATGTAAGTAATGCTATTTACTGCAGGGAATATCGTACAACTCCCCAGATCCCACGTTTGAAATTTATTTATTTATATATTGACTTTATGTCCTAGAGCAATTTTAGATTCATAGTCAAACTGAGCAGACAGTACAAGGATATCCCATATATCCCATTCCCCTCCACACCACCTCCCCCACTGTCAATATCCTGCACCAGAGGGTACATTTGCTACAGTGGAACCTATACTGACACATCATTATCATCTGAAGCCCACAGTTTACATTAGGGTTCATTTTTGGTGTAATACATTTTTTAACCTAAAAATAGAGAGGTCCCATCAGCAACCTTTCGTTGCTCGATTTCCTTCTTCAGTGATCTCACTGCAGTCCTCACTACATAGCTCATTGGAGTCCACACCATGGCTTCGTACGAGTGTGCACATGCAGTCAAAGGCACCCTTAATGCCTGCTGCTCTGCGTCCTTCGATGTCTCCTGCTCAGCAGTCCAGCTATTACAGTAAGTGCTTAATGTGTGCTCCAGCATTATTGTGGTATCATTTGGATGATTGCATGCTGGGCCGCACAAGTCAGAGGCAGCAAATGCATTAAAGGCTCATCGTTATCAGCTTGCTGAGGATGCAGTTGATGGAATGGTGGTAAACCTCAGATGTTCTGCTGAGACACAATCCTATTTGTGCTCTTTCCTCACCCTGTCCCTTCTCCTTATATTCTGTCCCTCATAAAGGCTGTTTCTCTATTGTTTGATGCAAATGTGTAGCCTGGCTGCTTTTCTAGTCTTGCCCACCTGCTGGGATCGTAGGAATATGATTGGTGAAGACATTGTTATTGGCTTTCAAATGAAAAAGCGTTTGGGGGCACTGTAGTAATGGGACAAGGGTGTTTTTAAACATCTTCAGAAATAGCTATGTACATTTCAACGTACTTTAAAATTCCTGTGAGTATTGCAGTTGTTCCAACTGTACTTATTTGGTGCGAGAAGCAAGACCAACACGCATTTAATGTATACTAAATATGCCCTAAGTATAGATTCCAATGCCACACCACTGATTTCTTAACACTGGTAAAGGTCTATACATCAAAGCAAGTGCTTCCTTTACTTTTTTCTGCATCCATCTATATTTTGCTTTTTCATCTGTCATATGAAACTACTATTATTTAGCATTTCTTTATGCTCAGCCTTCAGTCCAATTATTGGACACATTACAGGGTGCTGGGCACTGGACTAAACACAACTACTGGCAGTAACAATTCTAATTATGATGATAATGATCATTGGTCCAGTTCTGTCTCTCAGGTGCTCTGTGGGACTGAGCAGGCATCCATGGACACACGCATGCTTTAATGGGCACACCCATGCTCTCCTTTCCCACAGAGAGGCACAGAGCTGAGCATATTGCTTCAGACCCAGAAGAATCTCCTCCATCCCAATTGGGTACAATTGTGAAGGAAATGTGTTGGAGGAAGTCACCTTCTGTGAGCTGCTTATCCATCAAGTTGCACTCTGTGTGGGTGTGTATCCTTCCTATCTTGGCTGTCTTAGGTCTCCATATCCTAGGCAGTAGCCGGGTCAGTATTCCTTACCATGCACATTTGGGCAATAGAGGTACTGGACAATATAGGTAAATTCACAACCAATTCTTTCCCTGCATTTTCTCCAAATCTGTGGACCAAATCCTACTTACCCATGGCCCTACAAAGTTGTCTTTCCTATCAACACTAACACACCACACCTTGTTTCTCCTAACCTTCCCAGAATTCCTTGAAGGCTTTCTGATATTTGAGGCTTGACAAAATTTATTCATGCATTGATTAAGCAGCTAGGATTTATTAACCACTGTGAAACAGAAATTTTGCCAGGCAATGAAGATATTTAGTTGAGTAAGACAGTGCTTCTGTATTCAAGAAGTCTACCTGTGACCTATTTTAACTGTATGTTTCCCTGAATTTGGGGCATTCGAATGGTATGTACTAAATGTCTTATTGGATGGTTCATCCTGGAGGAGCGGCTAATGGAGGCTGGAGTCAAGCTAGGTGTCTGGGCTCATGTCTACCTTCTTCTGAGTATCAGAGGGCAGACTCTGATGTTCTCAGAGATAGATGTTCTCATAGTCTTCGGCTGGAGGAAATGCCCTTGTTCATGCCATCTGTTGACCTGTAGCTACCATGTAGACCTCTCTGAGGGCCTGTGGCTCATCAGGAGATCCGATGGACACCTGAATCTCAGAAAAACTGACCTATGGCACTGTTGTGATGCACAGGTATAGGCACATCTCAAAACATACCCGTAAATGTCCCAAGTTTGAATATTTTCAAAATTATAAGCTTGTATATAGCTTATATATTTGCATTGTAATCCATTTGTACAGTACCTAATTCAATGCGAGCAATTACTAATTTGGAAATTGTACTGATATAAATAATTCCTCTCTTTATTGCATGTAACACTGTGTCAGTGATATAAAAGCTATGTGTGTATATATATACATATATATAATATACAGATGTATTGAAATAACTTTTCTATTTGTAAACATAATGGAATTACTGTAGAATATCACCCTCAAGGGAAGGAAGAAATACATGTGAGCACTTTCAGGGTAGTTTGCCTGCATCTGAGCAGTTGTAGATACTTTGGTGGTATAACTGGTGATGAAGAAGAAGGAGGGAAGTTGCAGAGGAAAGAAGCTTGGAGATGTTTGGGATAGCTTTTTTAATTTTCACTGGAGTCGATTGTGCTAGGGCTTGGTTTTGAGGATCTGTGGGTAAATGCTGAGAGGGGTGGGTGCAGTTGCCTAGGCACAAATATCTGAATAGAGCAGATATGGATGAGTGGTTCAGGGGAGGAAATATTATCTGCCTTCTTTTCATTCTGCTTCATGCTAGGCAGGGCAATGATGATTGGTTTTCATTCAGCTTGTGCTCCAAGAGTACCTCAGAAAATGGGGAGCCATTTTTCCCCAGTTTTGGTTTTTAGAGGTTTATATCCCCAACTGGCTATGGTTGGCTGGCAGCCTTTAGCTTCAGTGTAGCCACACATGATTTCACGTCGTCTGTACATTCTTCGGCAGGAACCTGCTCCTTTTACTTCCAGTGGACACAGAGCACTTCAGCTATGGGCATCCATAACTACTTCCTCCTGGATCTGAGGCTTTCTTGGCTCTGAGAGCTTCCTGGGTTTGCTGACCTCACCCCTGTGAGGAGGAGGATTGGCCCGGCTGCTGAAAACATACGTGTAATTGAAGGAATTCTATTAAGAAAAAGGAAAAGAAAAAAAACACAAACAACAAACTCAACCAGATACATCTTCCATGGCCATTGTTCAATGCTGGGAATCTGTGGTTCGGTGCCATGGTAGGGAAGGAAGAGTGACTGTGAGAGGCATTTCCTCACTGAAGATTATAAAGAGCGGGTGAGGCTGGAAGTGGCCGAGCGGAAATGGAGAATAGTGTCTCCCTCCAAATAGGGTGATTCAGAGGGAGTTGATTTGAGGGAAATATGTGACAATGGGAGCCTAACAACTAGAAATCTTGAAACAAAATGAAACAACACACCATTATCAGCACCTAACCAGCCAGGAGCTTCCGTAGAATCCAAGGGTTCCACCCCTTACTACGCGGTAATTAGCCAGACCCATGGATCTTCCGCAGTGTTTCAGCATCCTCACTCAGTGATACATTCTAGTCAACATTCCTCAGGCTGGAAAACTTTTCTCATGTCTCACTTGAATCTCACCTGCTGCAGCTGAAGTTCATTTCTCCTTGCTTTGTTCCGGGGGACATGGAAAAGAACCGGTCGCCGTTTTCTCCTTAAGAATCCTGCGGACATGTGATGAGTTAAAAACACATTTTCCCCTGCCCACCCCTACTTAGCTGTTCAGAACTCTCTGAATTGGTAAATTCTGGAGAAACTCTGTTAAATCTTTATGCTCAGGGGAACAAGATCCAGTTACCAAGCAAAATTAAAGTGCAGCAACAACACCCCTGTTCTGGTTTGTCAAGGAAAACCCTTTGCCTGGACTCTCGATTTCCAAACAGAATGCAGCACAGTTTAAAGAGTATTTTGTTTTCCTTTTCTGGAACCCATTGTGTGTCACGTCAGAGACAATGAGCTGCTCATACAGCTGCAGTTGTCCAAGTATTAAACTTCCCATGCAAGTCCAGGTTAGCTTGGAAGATAGTAAAACCGCTGGGTGAAGTGTGTGTGTCCCCGTGTGTGTGTCTGAGTGTGCGTAGATAGGGGTGCCCGGGGCGGAGGGCTGACTATGCCGTTTTCCAGCTTGAAGCATTCATGGCCTCTTTCTTTCAGGCTCAGGAGGCTGTCCCCACAGCAACACTCACACACTGTGGAACTGAATAATCATTGGCAAGATCTAGGGGACAGTAAGCCAGATTGGGCGGGGAGAGCATTCCATTATTATAACACAATGCCATAATAGGATACAAAATTCTTTTCATATTAATTCTTATACAACAGGAATCTTAAATCTCGACTTTTACAGTGGAAGGGGAGGTAAAATGCAGCCAGCTCTTTGTTGTATTTTTGTAACTAAAGTTATCTGATGCACCTTGGGGGGCCGTGTGGGCCTTAGCTGCCTGTACTCTGCTCCCTCAGTGTCTAGAAAGGCTTTCGTTTCTCCCAAGGAGAAGCATGGAGCTCATTCACACCGCCAGGCTCGGCACCTTCTCTCAGAGTCCTTCCCTGTGTGTGGGTGCTGCTCTTGGGAAACCGTCCCTCCCAGAAGGCTGTGCTCATTCTTCTTGCCCCACGACCAGAGTGCCTTTGAGTGTGGAGACAGACTGTAACCAGGTCTCCTCTGAGGACTTGGGCTTGCAGCGCCTGCAAAGCTGATGGGGACCACACTGGTCTCTGAGTGACATCCAGCCCCCACCCACCCACCCCTGAGGTGATGGCGAGATGCTCACTGCCAGGGCTGTGGAGGACGGGAAGCCCTCCTTCCCGGGCCACTCTTCCTGAGCCTGGCAGAACCCAGCATGTCCCTTGTCCATGTTGTTGACAGGCCAACTCACAGACTGGGCATGGACACTGGGACCCAAAAGCCTGAATGCTATTTCTAACTTGGCTGTGTCCCTGGGCTTTGGTTTCCTACCACAGAGCCTGGGTGGAGAAGTCACTGGGCAGGGGCTCAGCTAGGCGGCTGACTTGGGGTGGATACTGGGAGACGTGGGGATTTCGCTTCATAAAAGTGTAGAAAATGAGTTTAGCAGTCTTTGTGACCTCATCCATCTAACTCCAATCTCTGACTTTGGCCATGGTAGGGATTAAAATATATTCAAATAAACCCCTACAAACTCTGTAGCATTTCAATATGTCTTTGATAGGAATTTAAACTCTTATCCTGAATTCATTCTTGTACTTATTCTTGGAGCATACATTTATTTAGAATATTTCAAGAGAGCCCTTCCTAAAAATCTCTATAAACTTTAAGTGCAAATAAGCTGTGTTTGCCAAGCCTCCAGCCCCCAAGGAGATCAATTCCTTCTCAAGTACCCTACAAGTTTGGGGCTGCCCAGGCAATATTTCAAACCTGTTTAATAACACCTTGTGGGGAAATGATGACACATTTTCTTATTTTCCATTAGTTTTCTATTTGTTCTTTGAATGAAAGAGACTCCATATGTAAATGTGATTATTATTCTCTGAACTTCCTCTGTGCAAGTTGGGTACCAGAATCTCCTGGGTTGTTTGAACAGGATTCAGGCTGGAATTTCAACAGCCAATATCAATGAAGGAAAGCAATAAAATCCATGAAAAATTAACATTGCTAAAGAGTACCACAGGCCCCCCAGGGCTACAACTATGAGGGTCACCAGTAAGTGACCACGATTTAATGAAGTGGCGCTCCCTCTGATTAGGAAGAAGTGGGCCTGGCATCTTCTACAGCATAAATACCGTGTTTCTGAGCATGCCAAGCCAATGCTTTCAGCGTCTGAATTTTCTCCCAGCCTGAGCTGGCAGTGGACAGCAGAGGACATTCCACTGAAATCGGGCCATCGGGAGCTGAAGACAAAGGCAGCTGATTCAAGTGCACCAAATTGGAGTTTCTCTAATCAAATATATTAAACCCACCATCATTCTTGATTGTTTTAATGGGAAGAAAGGGCAGCTGTGGCCTTCATTTTCTAAGCATTTTATTTAGTGCCATGGGGGTTGGAAGAAGGGGAGGGGAGGGAAAAGTGGGTGGGAAAGGAAGAGAGGTAGAGATGGCTAAGAAAGCTACAGGAAGCTAATGTCTTTTGTCTTAAAAGTAAAATGATTTTGCATGCTGTTCAGATCCACACAGAGAGTTCCCAGAGCTGTTACTCACTAAGAAAAACTTGAGATAAGCAGTTGATAAAGCACTTTTTCATAGGAGTAGAAAAGCAGCCCCAGACCAGGGCTTGGAATACTCGGGCAAAGAAATCCTGGTGACTAGCATTAAATGGATCTGCTTCACTAGTTACATGGGAGCCTGCTCAGTGGAGCATTCCCCCCACCTAGCCCCACATATATTTATGCTTTCTATAAAAGGATTTAATTTTCAAGACACTTGCAGGAACTTATCTCCACTCCTTTTATAACCTTCCAGGCTAAGAGCAGAATTCACAAAAGGCTTTTCTCACCATTTGAACAATAGGATTTGAAACTCTAGTTAAGAAACTGATGTCCCAACTTTTTTTTTTTTTTTAAATAGTTTAACAGATGGTCCAAGGGTGATGTTTCCTGGCCAGAGTGCAGTACCACATACAGTGTCTCGGTATGCACCTCCAGCTTCAAAGCCGAGCTTGGGCACGTGATGTCACTTCCTCCAGCTGCTGAGTTGATAACAGGATGAACCTGAACAAGATAGGAACCAGACACTCCACTGTGTAATTAATTATTTCACTCCAATGTAAGGCAGGAGACTTAGGTAGACACTGTTTTAGTACTTGGAGCTTAAATGCACTTTGCAAAGGAACAAAGGTCTGGGAGCTGTGGTGTGGGGCTCACAGGCTCACACAAGCTAACGTGAGTCATCTGGAGAAAGGGCTTTGGAAGCTGGTGCCTGTTACAGCCTGAAGCCAGCCTGTTTCTGAGCTGGAACGTGAAAGGCAGCTGGCTGTGTCAAAGGGGCAGAGAATAAAGCCGCAGTGTAAAATGAAGACACAATTCAGCAAAGAGAAGATGCTATTAAAATGGTTTCTGCTCCTCCAGCTTCTTTTGGAGGGCCCCCTTTTGGAAACAAATGATTCTGTTCTTTAAAAAAAGGAGGTGGAGGTTCCTTTCAGAAAAATGTTATTGGACTCTTTTTAAATGTCCCTATTTGAAGGGAATTAAAGGGAACGGCATAAGGCAGCGTCTATATACTCAGGGGCCATTGTAGCAAGTGACACAATGCCAGCTAAATGAAGCCCTCTGTCCTTTGGAGGAAATCTAATAACACAATCAATCAGCTCCAGTCTCCAGGCATCCATGGTGGGCTGCCAGCCCCTCCAGGGAGGGTCCTTCCTTTGCCACGAGACAGCTGGGCGAGGAAAGCTTTGGGAGAGGAAGAAATTGCCAGTGCATTCCTCCCCACACTCCCTCCCCACTCCCTCTCTCACACACAATGCCCTTTTGTCCCTATGACCCCCATCCCTTAGCATGGCTTGAGCTGGCCTGGAGGCGATTGCCAGGGAGCAGCTCAGCTCCCAGCATCTTCTTCTTGCAGCAGCTCTGTGGGATGGGCCTCCTCCACAGCACTGGAGTTGTGTCAGGAGCTCTGGGGAGGCATCAACTGTTCTCAGCTTGCTCTGGTCTGGAGGGTGCTGAGGATGGCTGTCTCTTTTCATCTATGGATAGTGCCTGGGGCACGGCTGGGGTAGGGGTGGGGGTGAGGGTGGAGAGGACACCAGGCAAGCGATTTAGAGACTGAGTGGCAGCCAAATTTGGTGATGAATTTAGCTACATCACCAAATTTACTGAGTAAGCCTTAGGCAAGTAACCTAACCTCTGCTGTAGCGCATTCTTCTCTGCAAAATTAGAGGCTGGTGGAGTTAACATCCAAGGTCTCTCTCTGGTCCAGTGCTGTGAACCTCTTTTTGGTAACTGAGGAGATAGGATAGGAAACATCGTGGGCTTCTGAGTCAGACAGGCCCTCAGTTTGTATTCTGCCTTCACCACCTGTGGTTTTGTGCAAGGTATAAAACTTGTTTCTCTTTTGAAAAAATATTGGGTTAAGTCGTATCTACTGTATAAAGATGCGTAAGTTTTACGACCCGAATTAAAAGACAGAGTCTGGGATGATGCCCAACACACAGTACATCCTTCTAAACATCAGCTTTCCTTGTAACCCATCTGACATTGAATGTCAAACAACTGCTTAATAAAAATCCACATTAGTTAAAGAGGCTTGAAATTTGAAAACAAATTATATAGCACTTCCATGTCATAGGTTACAGTTCCTAGACATTTCAATATCAGAGACAAGTAAAGTTGGAAAAACAACAACAACAACAACAAATCAATCAGGATTGGTAGCAAGGTAGAATTGCCAGCTTTTAAAATTTTGGCCAAGTAAGTTTGTTAAAGCAAAAGTCTCATCTGCTCTCATTATCCTTTCAAAAACAAGGTCACAGTGACTAATCAATCTTCACTAGGGATGGACACTTGTCCTAATTAAACAGACATATGTAGGTCACATATGTATTCTTATTATACATCCAATGCATATGAGCATTGTCCTTCCATTCCCTGCTATTTACAATTCACTGTGCGTGTGTGACAGTTTGTCCCATTCTGCTACCAAGATGGGGCTGTTAGTGGGAAACCATGGTCTTCATAAGTAAACTTATTTATGTACTTTTATGTGTAAAGTAGCCTCTGCTACTTTCCTTCTTTTCCCTTTTTACTTTTCTCTCTAAGACCCCTACCCCTGTGTACACCCCCGTGTGTGTTTACAAACACACATAACGCTTATGGTGCATTGGGCGCCCAATCTACCCCAATTTTTTCAGAAATAAGCCAACTGAATCGCAAGTGCCATACATTTTGATTCTGTACCCTTTCCCCCTCCTCCTTGAAGTCAAACGGAAAAAGTTGCTCCTTCCCTTTCCTCGGGAGCCTACTGAGCCTTCTCTAGGAGAGAGGGCCCTCCTTTCTTTAGCCTCCACTGGGTTTCGGGGCTGCCTGGCTGTGCTGACCCTTCTGGGCAGAGAACAAGGTACACAGAAAGCACAGCAGCCTCCTCCCTTCCCCTCCTGTGGCTTCAGTGGGCTTGGGGCATCTGCAGGGCTTCCCGCCGTCTCCTCGTCTCAGCGGCAACTTCTCCTCCTGTCCTGGCAGGAGTCCTAGGAAAGAAGGGCTTTTGAGTCAGTCGGTTTGTCTCCGTGCTCCTTTCCTTCTTGGTAGGAGAAGGCAGGCGACCTCTGGGCAGACGCCTGGGCTGCTTTCATGAGCTGGGAATCTGCACCGTCGCCCCCAGCTTGGAGTCGGGGGCGAGGGCTAAGCGTGCGGGAGTGGGATGGGAAACTGGACTGCTCTCCACCTCCTACTGATTTGAGTTCTCACACTGCGACCTCATGTGTTGTGAATTATAGAAATGCCAGACACACCCACAATTAAATATAAGCACCCAAAGGCTTTTGAACGCCAGTGTTAAGGGACTTTGAATGCTCCCTTGTTCGCGCCGCCTCCACACGGCTCACTTCCCTTACACCCAGTGGGGTGGAGCTTCTACCAGCTTGCACCCCACTGCGCTGGCCTGTTTCTGCTGCTTTCCTTTACCTTTCTGCCGCCAGGAACACGCCAGGCCGTGCTGGGATCGCATTTTCCTTGCAAGGGCAGTGACCCTTTTGTAGATATATTTCGTCTCTATGGGAGGTCTCTCTATGGTCAGAAAGGAACACACAGAAAATCCATTAAGCCCAATATCCAATCTCTTTCTGGGGTAATAGATGTCAGCGCTACTCGCTGAGATCTGAGTGAGAAATCTGCAGCCTCCTGGAGCTGAGTGCGGCTGAACTCATTGATCCAGCTGGCGGGCCACACGGACATGCAGCACGGTGCTACCTCTCTCCTCAAGGGGCCCAGACCCTGCAATACGCAGGTGGCAGTCACGCACAGAGGGTGGCCAGGGACTTCGCCTCTTCTGTCTGTTCCCTCCCCCACCCCCTGCTGTTTAGTGGAGCAGGTTCTGGCAATGCATGGGGGAAGGAGCCAGCAAGGAAGTGGGGTGGGGTGCACGTTTAAGCTGGGCTTTATCTTTTTTGGGCTTGTAAGTCTCTTTTGAAGTGATTTGGACCATAAAGAACAACGGTGCTTGTTTTTCATTTGGGAGGCTTCAGTTCTACCAAGAAGCGTCTTAAGTGTTAAGAGATTCACTGAGGTTGGCGCGCTCTCTCTTCATGTGGTTCACAGTTCTCATGTTTTACTTATTTTTGATGTGGTAGCTGTAGCCAATGAAAGCTATTCCCCACCCCCCCCTCCCCGGCCCCAGTTCAAAGTTATAAACTGAGAGTTTTGGGTTTCTGTCTTCAACGTTTCCTCTCTTTGACGTCTCTGTAGGACCAAAAATGCCAGTTTTTCAGTCACTCCCAGAGCCTTCATAGGGGCCAGTGGGTGGCTTGGGAAGGAACATGGGGGGAATTTGGCCTTCTGCCTTGGCGGGTATCCCTGAGTGCAGACCGGGTTCCAGGAACTATGTTAAGAGCTGAGGATGCCTTGGACACTCCCACCTTACCTGGGGACAGAGAGAGGACTCCACCATGCTCTCTTGAATGCCACCAACATCCTCTTAAATTGGCAAATCCAAAGATTGTTTTCAGTTTTCATAATCCTTTACCTCCTTCCAGTTCTAGATCCTGGTGACCCTCCCGTCTTTATTCATTGTTTTATTCAGTATATACCTAATAAGTGGCTAATTCATGTGCTATGGGGAGTGGCACAGCATCATGGTTAAAGGCAGGCTCTGGTGTCAGAGCGTCTGTCTGCACAGCCAGCCCTGACGTGTCTTAGATGTGTGACACAGGTAAGTTATGCAGCCTCTCTGGGGCTCAGTTTCCTCACCTATTAAATGGAGTTAATAATATTACCTATCTCATAAGGTTTTGTGAAGATTAGATAATACAAGAGACGTGCTTAGAACAGTGCCCTGGCACATTGTAGGTGCTCAATAAATAATGGCTGCTGTTACTGTGGTCTCTTCTCTCCCAGAGCTTACAGGCCAGTGATGCGGGACAGCCATCCAACAGGTGAAAGTGAGTTGCTCCGGTGAAAACAGCCAGGACAGAGCTATGCTCTCATGACCTGTGCTGCTCACTATTCCTCATTCCATGGTCTCTAACCCTTCTTTCTCTTTCTCCACCCCTGACTTGTCTTTCTCTTTTCTTCTACAATGTAGTGACTCCACAGGATTCTGTTTTTATTTCTTCCTCATGCTCCCTACACCTACTTCCAGACTTTCCAATAGGGCTAGCAGAGAAGCCTCAGGATGAATCGAAATATTTCACAGCCGTCACCCAGGAGTCATCTGGGGCAGGGGTGGAGTAACTTACATGTGCAGGCTTCCTTGTGACAGGGAGGTGGCTACAGATGGTCTCCCTGCTCAGCTGTCAAGTCTCTTTCAAGTCATCTAAGCTCTCTGCAATTCAGTTTACTCATCTCTAAAAAGGAGAGAATCCCTTATGTGGGATTAGTTGAATACACACGTACATACACACATACCCAACATACATATATATATACACACACACACACACACACACACACACATATATGTTCTGAATTAAATATACAATGTATATGCACATATAAACATATATACATAAATATATGTCTATGTGTATATATGTATATATTTACACACATGTACATATACATACACACATATATATTAATTTTAGTATACATAAATGTGAAAAAAATCTCAGTTCCATGTCTGACCCATAATAAGCACTCGGTCATTCGTAGCTGTAGCTCTTATTATGAGCTGGAGCTTTCATGTGGATTGTGGTTATTAAAGCACAGTTTCTGAAATATGGAAAAGTAGTCCTGTATGGTGCAACTCAGCCTTGTGTAGTCACTAAGCAAGGAATATGGAGACAAAGTTGACCATGACAGGGTCATGTCCTTAAAGGGGTTCACAGGGCAGATTTGTGCACGGGTAACTATAATGCAAGCCAAACTCTAGAAGACGATCAAATTGAGGAAGTCCAGAGGGGAAACAATTCTGCTCAGGCCATTAGAGAAGGTATCTTTAAGCTCAGGCATTTGAACTTACAGAATCAGAAAAATAACCATGGGTGGATAGGGCTGGAGGGAGGGCATTCTTAGTGGAAGGCAGAAGAAAGTGTTTGAGCCAAGGCACAGGTTCAGGCAATCTTGTGGCTGGTTTGGACTCTAATCATCTGGTTGGAGTGCAGAAGACATTGAGAGGCTATTTCTGGAAAGGCAGGCTGGAGTCTGCGATAGAGGGTTTGAAGGTTGTTAAAGAGTTTGCAGCCAACCACTCTTTTGAGCTACAAAAGCATTGTCCTAGAATAACTCAAAGGATCCATCAGGAAGATCCTAGCTTTCAAGGAGAAGACAGATTTAACAAAAGGAAGAGAATTTATAAAATAAGGAAATAAAACTGAGTTGAAGCATGCCAGCAACAGCATCTTCTTTGTTTCTACTGGCAAAGGACTCTGACATGAATAGTCACAGTACCATGGCTGCCATCAGATTAAAATTGTCAACAGATTTCTATGTGTAATAGAAACTTTAAACTTTTTTTATTACTTAAAAGAGAAAACATGGAGCCAAAGCCACAGACATTTTGGTGTTATTAAGCTTTAGTATTTGAGCCTGGTTATGTTGAGGTAATAATCTCAATACCAATCTTTCCCCATTGGATCCATCTTCTGTACACAATAGAACCTTCCAATAGCTCCTCACTGCTGAATAAATAATTTTCAAACTCCTAAGTTTGATTTATATTCTGCTTTACTCCTTCAGTCACTTCTCCTTGTGTTCCTCCTACCCCTGAAGATTTATATATTGAAATCCTAACCCCCAGGATGGTATTGGGAGGTGGGCCTTTGGGAGGTGATCAGGTCCTAAGGGTGGAGCCCTCATGGATGAGATGACTGTCCTTATAAAACAGGCCTCAGAAAACTCCCTCATCCCTTCTGCCATGTGAGGACACAGTGAGAAGACAGCCATCTGTGAACCAGGAGGAAGAGGGCCCTCATCAGACACAGCATCTGCTGGTGCTCTGATGTTGGACTTCACAAACTTTAGAACTGTAAGAAATACATTTCTGTTGCTTATAAGCCACCTGGTCCATGGTAAGTTGTTACAGCAGCCTGAACAGGCTAACACACCTTGTTGTTCTTATGAGTCCTTACCCTGAACATATTTAACTCCTCGTAGTTGCTTGAGCACGCTCTGCTCCTGTCTGCTCTGTGCTTTCGCAAATATGACTCCCTCTTTATCTTCTTGACCTGGTTAATCTCTTCTCTTTACCCAAAGCCCTTTTCTGAGGCCACCTCCTCTGAGCAGCTTTCCTAAACTCCTGTCTCAGGTGGTGCTCCTCTTTGGCTCTCACATAGTAACCTGTGCCTGTGTTTGCAATTGCAACTCTTCCACCTTACTGCAATTGCCAGTTTAACTGAACATCTTCCCCATGTGCTTGCGAGCTCCTGAGGGCAAGAGCTGCTTCTCTCACCCTTATATCCTCAGTGCCTGGCACATAATATGAATTATAAAACTGTTACCTAATTGATGAAGAGCAATTTGATAAGCACAAAACATATTGTTCATCTCAACAAGGCATTAAGATATTTTCAGGGCCTGGAGACAGCACCTAATCTTGAGTACTTAGTATGAAAGAAATAAAATAATCCATCCTTCAGGAAAAGGCAGGGCCCTCTTGAGGATTTAAAAAATGTTAACTTTGACTGAGGTCAGTGTATAAATGCAGTCTTAGACTTTCTTGCTTCAAAATCAACAAATCTGTAGCTAAAAATTCAGATTTCTGTGCCTCTACTTTATATCTTCTAAATCAAATCCCTGGGGGATGGAACCTGGAAATAGACATTTTTAACGTGTTCCCTTAGTGATTCTGATCTACTCTTAAGCCTTGGAACCCCTGACGTGGGCAAAGTCTCAAGTCAATGCAATTGTAATATCAGTCTGGGAGCTTGAGAAGGGACAATGCACATTGATGCAGTTTTTGTGGTTCAAGAATTCTCAGTGACACTCAAACCCCTAGAGTAAACTGCATCCCATGCAGGCCATCATGGGAGAGCAACTAGACTTCAGCATGAAACCTCGCTTCTGCTTCCTTCAGTTCTGTGATTTTTGAAACATTTAAAGAACAAGGAATGGGAACAAGATCTTCTGAATGTTACATTATCTGACTTGGATATTGGAACAAGGGCCATAGACATGAGCAGTCAGAACAGCTTGACAGGCAACTGAAGGTCATTAGAAATGGCCCCACCGTGGAGGGAGTGGGGAAGACCCGCGTGCCTCGATTTGCAAACAGAAATAAATAGACCACTCTGTAGGGCCCCAAGTAACAGGTTTTCCAGTGTTTTTGCCACTTTCTGGTTCCAAAGAGCAAACAATAAATTAACAGACAGGAGCTCTCAGCCTCCTAACCGGAGGGCCGCCATCAGACTGTGGCCTTCCCTCAGGTTACAGATGACGGAGAAATTTGAGGTTGTGGTGGCTCTGGTGTTACTTAGGTGTAGTTTCCATTGAAAACAGGAGACAGAGGGGGCTAAGGACATCTGGCTGGGCTTTTCTGGTCTATCTCTTACTGTACGAGAGGGGGGACCTGTTCCTAGCCTTGCTTCCAGCCTACTGTTTCCTCCCCGAGATAAACTGTGGTTCAGTTAGTGTAGAGAGGAAAGGCTCTGGGCCACATGGTAACTGAGACGAAAGGGAGCTAGGTGGTTGTGCCCCATCAGGATGCTTTGCTAATGGGTGATTCTGGTAGCATGACATCACCATCTGGGGATAACACAGATATGGAGGTAAAACCCTATTCAAGATAATGCTGTAACTGCAAGGAGACAAGAAACATCAACAAATAATAGAAGCAAGAGGTTGGAAATGTCCCTTATCTGTGAAAATAAATGCAGAAAGAAAAACTGAATATATGCTGCCAGATGGCTAAAGAGAAGATTAAGGGATGTGTCTCTGATGAATAAGCAGCTGTGATCTATTTCTTCATTTTATATATTTTTATTTTTTGAAATTGATAATGAGTTAGAAAAACCTTGGAGATTAATTTGACCTAGAAGCAAAGGCGAACATTATTGTGTTTTTTTCTGGTCATTCTCCCTAACACTGAAGGTCAAGGAGACAAATTATTTTTCTTTTCTTCTTTTCATTCATATATTTTCCCCTCTTTGCTTTAAATTTTGTCCTTGAAAATAAAATGGCTTTAGCTAATACAGGATTCTAATCACATTGTAAGACTATCATGATAAAATTGTAACCTTTGACAATGCAAATCTGCAAGATGTGGCAAGATGCAGTGATTAATATTTACTGTGCAGGTACTTTAAAACTCATTTGCCCTGAAATAACCAAGAGAAAGTTCTGTATGATAGAACTTTATCTAAACTCTCACTTACCTTGTAACATCTTTAAATTCTTACTAGTAAAATCTAGAATAAAAGAAGTCTAGAATAAAAAAAGTCAAGTAAAGACCCTCATAAAAAATATAAATCCTGGCTTATGTAAACTCAATGTATCTATCCAATTATAATAATAACAGAACAAACCCCAAAATATAAAATGAGGGGTGATTGTTTCTATTTCCATAGATTTTTTCAGATTTGCTGCAGGATTGTTTTAACCGAATATTCATCATAATTTACTTCTCCTTTTTTTTTTCTGCACACAAATTTTAGGGATAGATTTAGCAAATAAAACAAATATATATAATTACCCATTCGTTGAATCAGCATGTCTCTTGTAACTCTGTTCTTTGACTAGTTAGGTGTCACTTTTTCAGCTGTTGCTTTAAAAAACACTGATACCAGGCAGGTCTTCGTGACCCTACCAGATTGACAACCAAGGACTATTGTGGTGTTTACATTTCTTGGGTAAGTACAGCTTATCTGCCTCACATGCTGTGGGTGTAGGATTCTGGAACATAATCTAATATATGACTCAGCATTGTTAAGCACTGAAGGACTTCATGTGTCCATGGCTAGTTAGACGCATGCTTGCCACACATGGCCTCACCACATGTAGTAGCTTCCCACCTTGGCTAAACTCTCTCTCTTCTGCTTTTCTCAGAAATATGTTTCCAGACTTCTCAGTGAGAATGGCATTTGGGTACCTGTTATATTTCTAGTTGGCCATCCCTGAGTCACCAGGGTATGCCAAAGCATCACAGGGCCTTTTATTGTGATGTTAGACTGAATGTGATCGACGTGATAGACTGAATCATATCTCCCAAAATTGGTATGTTGAAGTCTTAAGCCCCAGTGTGACTATATCTGGAGATGGGGCCTTCAGGAGATAATAAAGCTTAAATGAGGTCATAAGAATGGGCCTCTAATCCAATAAGACTATGGTCTTACAGGAAGAGGCAGAGAGAGCTCTCTTTCTCTCTTTCTGCCATGTGAAGACACAATGAGAAGGTATAGTCTTCAAGTCAGGAGGGAGTCTGCACTAGAATCCAACCATGCTGGCACCCTGATCTTGGACCGCCAGTCTCCAGACCTGTGAACAAATGAATTTCTGTTGTTTAAGCCAGCCAGTCTATAGTATGTTGTTATAGAATCCTGAAAAGACTATTACACATATAAAACCTGGTAAAAAGAAATTGCTGAGAGGGCAATTTCTTCTAACTGAAAATACCTTGCCTCTTTCTATTCTGTCTTTGGAAATATTATTCCCTGTTTCTTCTATGGTGTTATGACTACTCATGGAAATACTAACAATTCTTATACTAATATATAACATTTACTGAGCTCTCACTATGGCCCAAGCACTGCTTGTACCATAAGTGATTACACAGTCTTTGGTATATAAGCCAGACACTGGTCTAAATTATTTTAAAATGTTAATTTTTATAACAACTCAGGTTGTTAATATTATCACCCCCATTTTACATGGGGTAACCGATGTTAAAAAAAAAAGGTTGTTTTGCCAAGGTTATTAATAAGCAAGCTGCAGAGCTCAGATTTGGACCAGGAAAGTCTGGTTTCAGAGTTCATACTGTTAACCCTTCTGTTATCTTGCCTATGAAAAGTTTGTTATAGCTCTTAAACCACACCACAGTCCTACAAGGCAGATGTTATTCATTTCCTTATTTTGCTGATGGAGAAACTGAGGCACAGAATGGCCATGTAATTTTCCCAGCATCAGACAGTCCAACCTGAGCCAGATAATTCTAGAGGCTTCCAGCCTTTTCTCCTCTGTGGGTCACCTCAAGATGACAAGGCTGGAGGCTGACTGTCTTCTGCAGGTGGTATTTAAGAAGAACTTCCATGCAAAGGGTCGAGGTGGTTAACAGCTACTGAAGAAGGGGGTGTGTGTTTGAGAGAAGCAGACAGAGATTTGTGATATTTTCCAGGCTGCAGGTACCAGATCTATGCCCTACTGAGTTCCATATGCTTTACCCAGGAACTACCATCTCAGAGGCAGTGAGAGAATTAAAATCTCTGGGCTCTGACTGTCAGATTCCATGTGTTCAGGAGTCAAAGCTTCATCTGGAGCTGGAACAACTTCTCTGGTTCAAAGTCTGCAGTGCACCTGCAGATTTCCCATTAAATTGCCTGCTGAATCAGGAATAATGATTCTCAGGGGGAAGAGATATTATTTGCATTTGAATTAATGTTGACTTTGGAGTCACAGATTCCTCATCAAGAAGGATTTAGAGCAATTGCTGATATCCTGGGGATCTGTGACCAGCTCATTATTTTCATCTCACAGGGTAGTACTAGAATTTTTAATTTTTTTTCAAGTCTTCTTTCGAAAGTTTGGCTCTCTTTATCCCCATGATCATAATTATAATAATTTTGAAACATCAGTCTGCTCAGATATCAAGGTGTTGAACGGATAATTTCACTTTAATGAATTTGTCTCATATGGGCTTATTTTCCACATCTGTCCTAAGCTGAATAGCTAACTGGTTAATATGAGAACTGTTCCGTCTCATTAGCTTCTCCCTGTTGATTTCCTTGAGGTGGAACTGATGCATTGCCAGTTGCAAGCTCTGTCAGCTCTTTCCTTTTAGGCAAAGCACACATCTAAATTCTATTCTAAGGCACTGATGCCAACTAAGAAGAATAAAAAATGAAATAGTTTGATCATCCAGATAAACTGCAGGATTCTATATACCCAGTGGCTTCTGAGAGATTAGCAAGTACTTGTTACAAACGTCATAAACCCTTGTACCTGAGGCCGTGGTGGGTAAATTGTACAAGTAAGGCCACAAAGCCCTGGCAGGGATGGGTGTGGGCTGAGGAGTAGAGAGTGAGAAAGAGGTTTGACTGGTGAACTCCAGAAGGGAGAGGACAGAGAAAAAGAAGGAAACAGAGTGGCAGTGGACCCAGGAGGCCTTGGTGAAGGTCTTGAGTTGGAGTATAAAATCTCCAACCTTTCAGCACTTTGAGAGGCCGAGGCAGATGGATCACCTGAGGTCAGGAGTTCAAGACCAGCCTGGCTAACGTGGTGAAACCCTGTCTCTACTAAAAATACAAAAAATTAGCCGGGCATGGTGGCAGGCGCCTGTAATCCCAGCTACTCAGGAGGCTGATGCAGAAGAATTGCTTGAATGTGGGAGGCAGAGGTTGCAGTGAGCCGAGATCACACCGTTGCACTCCAGCCTGGGCAACAAGAGCAAAACTCTGTCTAAAAACTCTGTCTTGATTGTTCCAGTAGCTAGGAGGGTATTTTGGGAAGGAGTTTAAGGTGAATGAAACTGTTAGTGGATTACTTAGCCTCCTGGAGAGAGAGGGGTGGTGCCTCCTTCATGGGGCCCTAAGTTCAGCTAAGATGGATAAATAATCAGTTAGGATGCTCTGTCTCTAAGTGAGATGATGACAAACAAGAAAGAGGTGGATCACCTCTCACAGCAAGAACCAGAGTGCACTTAAGGACTAGATCATTCCATGACTCTGTTCACAAGGACCCAGGTTCTTTCTGTCGTTCTGCTCTGATGTCCTTGGCAGTGTTTTCATTCTCAAGCTTGTTCTCCTCTAGGCCGTATGATGACTCCCAGAAAAGGTCAGGGCTGCACGCTTCCTTGCTCACTTTCCTAGGGCAGGGGAAGGGGAGACCCTCTCTGCATTCATGGGAGAAAAATTCTTCATTTAGAGTCTGATTGGGCCAATTTGACCAAGAGACAGAGAAAGAATGAAGCACATACGAGGCCTTGTGCCAGAATCCTTGTGCATCTTCCTTCCTGTCAAGTAGCAATGTGTATGACATGCTGTAGGGTGTGCCTGTGTGGCTCTCCCTGCACCCACCAAGTTGTTCCAGCTATGAAGTAAACAAAAGCGACACCGCAGCCAGCAGGAAACGAGCCGCCAGGCCATTCCAGAGACACTTGAAACTCCTGATGAGGCATAAAGAGTTAAGCAAGTTTGAGGGCTTCCTTGTGAGGGGAAATGGAAGACAGTGAAAAGGATGGAACATACTAGTTTAGTGGTAAGGAGGCCACTTACTGAGTTTAATGCCAGTCCAACTTAAAACTAGAGCAGCTTCTCAACCTCAGTACTGTGCTACTCATGGACGTTTCTCCATCGTGGAAGGCTGTCCATGATGGAGAAACACGTTGAAGGATGTGTAGCAGCATCCTTGGTCTCTACCCACTAGATGCCAGTAGTATCCCTCCTCCCCCAGTGTGACAACCAAAAACATCTCCAGAACATTGCCAATGTGCCCTGGTGACATTTTTGTGCCCTCATTGAGAACCACTGCCTTAGAGTGAGGCAGGAACTCAAGTGGTCAGGAATTATGGGTTTGGTTAGATGCTTCTCTCTAAAATGTTGAGGGACTGACAAAGGTGGCCAACAACATGTACAGATTGCCTTACAGCTGCAGAACTAACTTTGTGCCCATGTGTGAGGAAACTTCCAAAGGAGGTTTTAGGATCAAGAAACCATCGGATTAAAGCACTGACCAGGGCCAGTTTATGCAAAAAGGAGTATAGGGATTGATTGAGAACTGCATGGAATATAACTAAATATCTAAGCATGAACAGAAACCTGTATTGCATGTGTATAATGATAATAATGTGGATGACAGGACTACAAGTTGCTATGTACCTGGTAAGTGACAGGAACTGTGGCAAACGCAGATTATACCCAAGTTATAATCCCACAACTGCCCTGCAAGGTGACAGTTGCCCTCTTTTTACAGATGAGGAATCTGAGGGTTAGACAGGCCCTGTGACCTACTCAAGCTTCCGCCACCAGTTGTGGTGGAGACAGGCTAAACCCCAGTTCTGTCTAATTCCAAAGGCTGTGCTGTTTTCTCTACAACATATTATATATTATCAGGATGTGGGGTGTGTGTTCCACATAAACTATTGTGAGAACTTAATTATCATGTAAGACGCAGTGTGTATTATATACACACATATCAAATATGTATATGGGTAGAGATGCTCTTAACATATAAGATCATGTGGTAGCTCACAAAACTTTATTAAATTCATAAAGCAGCTGATATTTACTATTAGAACCCCAAAACCCTCATTTGCTGGGAGTTCAGAGTTCTGAGACCCCTTGAGTTCTTTTGAATCCAAGAGAGGAGGAGACTGGGTTGTAGCAGCCGGCTAGCTGCTGTGGGTGGAAAGGGTTTGCTGCAAGGGCCGGGATCCGGGAAGGAGCCCCCTAAGTAAAGGCTTCTTCTTCTTCTTCTTTTTTTTTTTTTATCATGGAGTCTTGCTCTGTCACCCAGGCTGGAGTGCTGTGGCACGATCTCAGCTCACTGCAACCTCCGCCTCCTGGGTTCAAGTGATGATTCTCCTGCCTCAGCCTCCCAAGTAGATGGGATTATAGACATGTACCACCACGCCCAGCTAATTTTTGTATTTTTAGTAGATACAGGGTTTCACCATGTTGGCCAGGTTGGTCTCCAACTCCTGACCTCGTGATCCACCTGCCTCGGCCTCCCAAATTGCTGGGATTAAAGGTGTGAGCCACCGCACCCGACCTGGCAAAGGCTCTTGAGAACTGAAATGAAGATTCTCTAGAGCAGCTCCTTAAACTTTCATGGCAAAGAAGTCATCTACTATTTAGTTAAGCTGATTCGGATTCAGAATCTAGGGTGGGGACTGGAATTCTGCTTTCCTAATGAGCCCAGAGTGCTACTGCTGGTGCGGGTCACCCTTTAAACAGCAGCAGCAGCGGCGGCGGCGGCTGCAGAGAAGGAAACCTTATTCTTCTGAATGGTTCTCTATAAAGCAAGTCCATTGAGAAAGGAACTGGCCATAAAGAAGCTACCAGACACAAGTGGGCCAAAGTGCTAAGATGACCAGTGGAGAGGCAGGGAGAAAGGACAAATAGGACCTTCCCCATCTAATACACTATCAGATGGAGAGAGAGAGAGAGAGAGAGAGAGAGAGAGACAAGGGGCACAGTGTGGCTTAAAACATTAGAGAACAAGGGTTTTGGAGGAGTTTGTAAAATTACAACTTCATACAGCAGGTAGTAAACTTATGAAACTCATCATTTCTAAATAGATATTAAAAATATAGTTACAAAAGTGCTATAAATAAAATAGTAAATTACATCCTTGCAGTAGGTTACTGAGGGAAGGGAGGCTGTGTTGGAACATCTCCCTAACTTTTGAGGTTGGCACACATGTAAGCTCTGTGCTCATAGTTTCTAAACCAAAAATGCAGATTTATGATTCAGCAAAGGATTCTGTTTTTTTGTTTTCTGTCTCTGTCTCTGGGTGTGAGTGATACTGGAGAATGCAGTATGGATGCTAGGATATTAGCATTTCTAAGAACTTTGGATGGTTTCTGAGAACAAAATGTTAAACATTTGAAGCCAGTGTTGTACTGGGAGTATTGTACTGTTTGTGGACAGTTCTTCAGATGCTACCTTGGGCCAAATTCCCAGGTTATTCTAGTAGTACTGGGTGTGTGGAATGAAGACTGGACATGTTGTTCTGTGCTTTGGAACTAGGTGGTCTGGACCTCAATCCCTCTATGCCAGCTCTCTATTTATTCCACTACATCAGCTCCTCTTCCCTTACTTCCTAAGGTGGCTTTAGGATGTGTCTTTAAATATTCCTTTCATTACATTTCCTAAACTCACTTATTTATTCACAGATATTTGTAAATTACTATGTACCCAACACTGGGCAAATAAAGGTGAACAAAACTCTCTCTCTCCTCTCATGAAGCTTACAATTGAGTGGAAAAAAGATGGGCAGCAAAGTTTGTCCTTACTTCTCTTAATGATAACTTATTTAAAAAGTGTTAGGAAGCATAGCGCACAATTACACACACCTGGGGACAGCCTCAGATTGATGGGTCCCAGCAGGCCTCTAAGGAAATGTATTTCCAGTTGGAACCCTGAGGATGAGGGGGAGCTAGCTGGACAAAGAGTTAAGGAGATAAGAACGCTCTAGGGGTATGGCAAGATGCAAAAGCAGAGAGAGCTTGGAAGCTGGTGTTGGTGGATATCATGATTGGAGTTAAGAGTGCTCTGTTTGCTGAAACTGGAGAGACTGTTCTTAGGGGGCCTTCTATGCTGAGGTCCGTTCTGGTTCCCTCCTCCATGCACTGGAAATCCATCAAAAAGTTTTGAGCAGGAGTCTGCCTTCGTTTGCTGTGGGGCTTGGAATATTCTAACCCCAAACCCAAGACAGAGGCTTGATACTGAGGCTTGAGTTTGGACCCGGCAAGCTCAGCTGCCCAGTGGGCACTAAGATGGGCAGAAAGAGCTTCCTCAGTCACCCACTGGGATAAACTGAATGGGTTCTGTGTCATGTCCAACCTGTAAGGCACAGGTTGACTTAGTGACAGAGAAGAGGGGTGGTACGAACACGGAACACAAGAAAGGAAAGAGCTACTCATCTCCATGATTTATCCTTTGGCATAAAGTAGGCGTAGTGAGTCTCACACAGAACCCTCAGGCAATTGCCATTAATTACGTTTTGTACTAACAGAGTCTTCTTCCAGGAGTAACTAACAGAGTGCTGTGAAGACCTCAAAAACTATTTTATATTCTGCATTCTCTCACCTGCATATAGTATTCCCTCAGGTTTGGGGGATAATTTAGATTATTATCTAAAAGGATTAGCCACTTAATGGTAGCTGGTAGATTAAGCTGGAAAAGCATTTGTTTTCAATGTGTTACCATGATGAATTAGGAAAGTAATTTGCTTTCTCTGTCTCCTTTTTAAAAAATAATCTTATGATGAATGTAATTGTTTAATTTGAAGGAAGTACATTCACATTATTCTCATATACCTTGGTCCCCAAGCTAGAAATCTCTTAGCCCATAGACAGGGGGCTGATTTTTAGCCCATACTACTGCTTATGAATCAGATATCCCTTAGGAATAAAAGGGTATGAGTTTCAAACCAGAAAAGAGAAATCTTTCCTTAGCTTATAGACCCCTAATTAAATTTTCTGGAGATCCACTTGCAGTCTGGAAAAAAGGGGAAAGATGGAGCTTGGAATTCTGAATAGTTTTTAACCAAAGAATTCACTTTTCTTATATCCGTTTAACATAAAAAGTTTTCAGAAAGAAATTCTGATACTGTTGTACTTCCCTCTTCACCTATAAGCCCCCCAAAAATATATCTCAAAGGTGGGATCCTGCAAAAAAAACAAAAAACAAATAGATGAAATTCAGTGTTTGACTCCATGGGAGGGCAAGTATCGGATTAGAGAAACCAAACTGTCAAAGACTCTAAAGTCAGTATAACTGAGAACTTTGTTTAATTCTACCCAAGAGTTATCACTATTTATTTGTTTTCTGAGTGTCTTAAAGCAGTTTGGGAAGAAGTTGGGGCCATCATTTCATTCTAGCTATTTTGATGTGAGATTTTCCCCATCAATCGCCACAGATGAAGAGCTTCTCCAGATATCGTGTGGACTTGGAGATGAGGGAGAAAGTAAATCCTTAGAAGATTTGCATGTCACATGCTTAAGGCACTGGGAGATGGCCTAAGTTTAAGGTTTCTGTCTCCCTGTGAGACCTCAGCTCAAGAGTGAAAACATAAATAAATAGAAGCTCTAGAATTTCCGAAGAGAAGTGCCTGTGATACACAGAAACAATGTTAGAGAATGATCCTCTGCTTCATGATCAGCGATAACAATAATTAAAGGGTTTTGGGACCTCGGTGGTCACCGCTGCACTGTTTAATAGTAATTATTGGGTAATTACATGTTATTATAGCAGAGATATATAATCATATAATTGTTATTATTAAGCATGATGTTGACCATTGCGGTTCCAAACCCATCTTCATTTGCGGGGCCTCTTTGGGGATGGTAATTGAGATAATAAGGGATAAGGTAGAGAAGAGGGAAAGTGACTGGGTGGGGGTGTGTTTGCTTGGCTCAGCTAGAACAAAGGACTGGGAGACAGACCCTGAGGAATCAGTGACATCTGTGCAGGAGCGGTTGGCTGGCTGGCATCTCTGACTGACCCGAGAGATAATTATTCTCAAAGAATTCCTGGCACAGAGTTTTCTGGCTTCATTTCCCTTCACTGACTTTGCAGAGTGTCTGACGGTGGCATTGCACGAGGGCACAGAACAAATGTCCCCACCTCGGTGTCTACTCTGTGAGGTGCCTGCGAACCCAGGGGATGTGGGGGACAGAGAGGTGGGTTACCAAAGACAGCTCAGACCAGGAGGACAGTTTCCGAAGCCTGTCACCCTGTCTTATTTTATTGCTCCTCCAGCAGCCCTCAGAGGGGAGGCAATGTGTTCTAACCCACAGAGCCCGCGAGACTTACGGTCAAACCCAAGTGCCAGCTCTCCCTGTGCTGTGTGGCCTTGGGAGTGGGGTGACTTAATGTCACCTCGTGTGTCAAGTGGGGAGAATAACGTCCACTGTGCGAGGTGGCCGCAAGGATGGAGTCCAGGTGTGCACAGCATCTGCAGCGGCCTGGGCTGGGATGAGTGTGAGTGACAGCCGTGGGCAAAGGTGGTCCTGGACTGTCTCTGCTGTTCCCTCAGGAGAGAACTGAGCCCCAGGGAGAATGGGAAGTTTGACCTGGGTCGCCAGGGTTTCTCAGTGGCAGCCCTGAGATTAAACCCCCGCTCTCCTTACCGGGGGCTGCGCTCCCTACACGGACGGACTATGACCGCCCTCCATCCAGGCTGCCCCCGTGGCAGTGGCCCTCGGGCGGCTCTGAGGTGCAGGGTTGAGCCTGGGCTTTCGGCGGCTTCCTCCGTTTTTCGGAGCGAAGGGCACGCCAAGGCTTGTTTGCCTCTGTCTTGAGTGTCGCCCAGGTCACAAGGAGGAGTTGCTAAGCAGTGAGGGAGCCTCCCGGGCGGCTGCGGGAGAAGGGGCGCGGCCGCGGCAGGAAGAGCCGCGGGGACCGAGGAGGTACAGCACGGGTGTGGCCGAGCCCCTCACCCCGCGCAGCTCCCCCTCTGGAGGGGTGACAAAGTTACAGGAGTCTTCAAAATGGAGGTAACAGTGGAGGCTAAGCGATGAGAACGCATGTCACAAAGAGGAGAGTAACACACACCGGGGCCTACTAGGGGGTGGAGGGTGGGAGGAGGGACAGGATCAGGAAAAAGAATTATTGGGTACTGGGGTTAGTACCCTGGGTTTAGTACCCCAGTGACGAAATAGTCTGCACAACAAACCCCCGTGACATAAGCTTACCTGTATAGCAAACCTGCACACATACCCTGGACCCAAAATAAAAGTTAAAACCACCACAACAAAACAAAATGGGGATAATGCCCCAAATCATTCCATAAATAAGTCAATTACTTATTCACAAGCACATTTTCAAATGCTCAATAGGAAAATGGCCCTCAAATACACACATTTAGAGTAAGAGACACCATTGGGAGCAGGAGAGGATTCATCTCTGTGGTTTCTTCTAAGAACATTCCTCCTGGAGAGAAAACCAGTTAAAATTAATGGAAGAATGCAGGAAAAAAAAAAAAAAAAAAGGATAAGCCAGCCCATGAAATTAAGTCTTTCAAACTAAGCATTGAGTTTCTCTGGTTCCTTCCGTCCTGAGAGCTCGCATTATTTATATCTTCCTTTAATAGGAAAGAAAAGTAAAAGGTATAGCTAGTCTCTCCCAGTGTGGGCAAAGTCACATCTTAAAATAAGGATCTTATGACTTTCATTTACCGAAACTAGTGCTTCTACCTCCAGACTCTAAGATTAACAAGAGTTTTTTTTATTTTTTTGTCTAATATGTATATGAATTTTTCAGTCTCCTCAGAATCAGAACATCAATTTCCTATTTTCTTATTTAAGAGACTATAAGGTTGGTGTGAACAGGAGGTAAATTTAGCACTGAAATGAATAACTGGCCTGGGATCAGGGAAGTTGAAGGGTAGAGTGGTCATTTTGGGTAGATCAGTGCAGCCAGAAGTGATGAGTGCTGGGTATTTTTAAGTAGCGCTTGACATTTGGAACCTTGGGCAAGTCTGGTTGCTGTGGCAGTATTGAGTCAGCCACAGTGAGTCAAGAGAAAGTCACCTTTGGCGCTACCACCATTGCCAGCAAGAGGTCCTTCTTTCTCAGGTGAGTTTCACTTGATTTGTCACTTGCTATAATCCATGGGGGAGCCAGAGGAAGCGGCTCATTTTGTTGGCTGACTGGTGTTTCAGTGACCATGTTGGAGGTGTGGCCATAACAACCTTGGACCAAGAGTTATTATAGGACTAGGTTCTGCTTTTGACCTGTGGTTAGGGAGACAATACACTTTACCTTTTTAAGACACTCTTGAGAGTCAAACTTTAATAGTTACTATGCAAGAAAATATGGAAACAGGGATTACCAAGGGCAAAGTGATCCATACAGTTACCCCACATTGGTCTTGGGTAAGTCGCTTAACCTCTTTGACTCAATTTCATTAATTTTGAAAAAAGAGATTCTGTCCTGTCTATCTCAAAGGTTTTGAGGCTCAAATGAAATAAATGTGGAAGGTGTTTTGAAAACACCTTCAACTTTACAAATTTACAGGTAATTTCCAGATGTCCAGAAGGGAGCTTAGCGGCTTATCTCTCCTTTACAGTGCTGAACCTGCTAATAAGCTCTACGAGTTTCCATTTTTGATTACAGAGAAACTGCTTGATTGCCATTTTCATAATTCTTGTACCCCTTTGGAGCCAATATCATTAGTGGATTTATCTTTTGGTGTAAGGAGGAGATATAACGTCCACCACGCGGTGGTGGAGGTTATACAATATCCTCATTTTCCTCTCCTGGTCAGAGAATGAGGAAGAGGAGTTTTCTTACTAGTGTTTTGAGACTCCTAATCATGGTCACAAGAATTAGCATCAGAAAGCCAAGGAATGGCATCAAGTTTGAGGTTTTTGTGTGGTTTTTAAAATGTTTACAGAATGACTGGCTATCCGAGCTCATCTGTCTCTGCTTATAACTATTTTGGTGGTCTCTAAGTGGCAATAATCAAAATATCACTGGTTTTGTGCCATATAATTTCTTCATAACACAAAGCCTAAATATATTCCTCTAGGCTTCCTTGGAAGACTGTTGCTGTAAGTGTGGGATATGGTGATCTCCCCCACATAGTATTGGGGGGCCCTCTTGCAGTATCCATGGCCCCCCAGAGCCTCATTAATTCACTGCTGCAAATGCTGACCTTGGCTCAGAGATAGAAGCTGAAGATTTAAGGTCAAACAACAAAAAATATTAGGAAAGTTGTTATAATTACATGGTGGGAGCATAGTATGCTGGGAGCCAAATGTTGATTAATGTTAATTTTAGGGTAAACAGAGGGAGAGAAAGACAGGAAAAGCAAGTGGACTCCAAAGCTAAAAATATTCTTGAGTTGAGACTCAGCATCAATGGATGTTCAATCTGATAATTACTCCTGAATGGTGATTACCTGTTCTTACATAATTAACCTTGAGGCTCATCTGGACTGCTGGATCTTCTTTCCTGGAACGTACCAGTCACTGTGATTCACAGACCACTGAACTAAATCTAGAAATGCCTGCACACTCGGTGACTCCACACTGCCGATTCAGAACAAGTGTCTTCTCTTTCTGGAATATAGGAGAGATATTGTTCACTGGAGACTAAACCTGTTGGGAAGGTAATAAAGGCAGCAAAGTTGCAGATACTTGCCTTGATGAGGGCGATGTGATTTAGAAAGGAGACACAGAGGAACTTAACAGCTTCACTTAATTAAGGCCACTTGAAGAGCCTTCCCATTCTAGAGTCCTCTCAGTCTCACTTGGGAAAGCCTGGACAAGAAAATGTAAATCAGCCCTTCAGCATTCTGGAATTGATTAGTACAAGTTGTATCCAAAATAAAGAGAAAGTGAGAGACCCAGGGAGGCAAAAGAAGGATCTTTAAGTCTGTGAATGTGAACTGAAATGAAATGTAATACTTTAAACTAGAACTGGGTTGAAATGAAAAGGAAGTGAAGGGTGGGGAGGGGGAGAGAATATTGTGCTCTTTTCTCTTTTAGAGACCTTCTGAGACTTGGCAGGACTACAGTCAATCATAGCTAATTGATTTAATTCTTTTTCTAGAGCAGATATTGTTGGTTGCTTAGCAGTGGCTATCCTCCCTTTCATCCTTGGAACAGAACCCTGGCTTTACTTGGAGAATCCACCCTCCTCCACACTGCTGTGTGGCTGGTCATTCCATGTCCTTTCCAGGCACTGGTTTAGGCAAGAGCCTGTGGTGCAATTTTGCCCAGTGACATGAGAAGGAATGTTTGCTGGGGCATAGGGGCACCTGGGAAAGCATTTTCCTTATAAGAAGAGATTGCCAGGAGGAAGAGGGAGGCAGCTTCAGCCTCTTTTCCTGGATGTAAGTGTTTGTATGTGGGGCAGGAGGCTAGTATCTTGCTTCCATGAAATGAGCTACCTTCAATACAAGCCAAACTGTTGAGTAGAGGGGGGCAGAGCTGAAAGACAGGAGCTTTGCTCACCTAGGAGATCTAGAAGCCCATGGATTAAGTAACCTTGGAGCTGTCCTTCCTTGGAACTTCTGACTAGATGAATAAGTCCTTTGTTGCTTGTAGCAGTTGAGTCAGGGTTCTGTTACCATTGGCTGAAAACATCCGAACTGATATAGTATGTTCTTAGGCAAGTTGTATCAATTTCTTTGTCTATATGAGGAGCCTCACATCCTTAGGAGGGAGTCTTCTGAACCCTCCAGTGGACAATGCACAAGGTTAGTAATAACAGCTATAGTAATGAGGTTGGGCATGGTGGTTCATGCCTGCAATCCCAGCACTTTGGGAAGCTGAGGTGGGAGGATTGCTTAATGCCAGGAGTTCAAGCTTACAGTGAGCTACGATCATGCCAATGCACTCCAGCCTGGATGACAGAGCAAGACCCCATCTCTAAATTTAAAAAACAACTATGGTAATAATTTGCACTTATTTAGGTTACATACTTTCTGAAATACTTTTACATTGATCCTTCATAACAGCTCTGGGAGGCAGGCGAGAGGAATATTATTAGTCTTATTTTCAAGATCAGAAAACTAACACAAAGAGGCAAAATGAGTTATCTGACATGTCTAATGACATGTTGATGGCAGAGCTAGGGTAAAACCTAAGTCTGGGAAAGAGAAATGTTTTGACAGTGAAAAAAAGTAAATGTAGGAAAAGATTTAAAAGCGTGGACTTTGGAGGCTGCCAGAACCGGGTTTAAACTCCTACCCTACCTCTTGTTAACACTGGGGTCTTAACACAAGTTATTTAAGTCTGTCAGAACTTCCTCACCTGAAAAACAATAACGATAAAACCCATATCACCAGGACATTTTAAGAAATACAAGAAAAAAAAAGTACTTCAAGTACTGAATTCAGTGCTTGGCATAAAATAGACTTCCCTCTCCTGAGTACTACTCACCTCTTATGAAAGAAATTGTGGTGACCCTGTCCTTGAAGCTTTTAAAAGATGAAATGGGCAACCATGAGTCCCAACCAAGGCAAAGAACTAGTTGGAACTAATTATTTCTAGAAATCCTTCAAAATGCATGAGAAGAAAAAATAAAACAGAGGATTAACACTGAAAGTATTTCTGGCCAGTTGATGAAAGCGAGTGATAGAAAACAGGATGCTGCATAATGGACACAGGGCTGGGTAATTTATATGGGAATGAAAATAAGGCCATAAAAACAGGCCAGGAAGGAGCTGGCAATGTACAAGTATGGAAGAAAAGGAGCTTGGGGTCGTCGTGGTACGCAAGCTAAATGTGAGTCAGTTGTATTTTGCTCTTATTAAGAAAAAGGCTGTCGTGGCTTTGGAACTCATGAACGCACACCCAACATGCAGGAACACAAACTTATCCACCCACCCTGTCCAGCCTCTGTCAGGCCTCTCTTAGAGCTCTGCATTCTCTGTGGCCCAGGCTCTTAAGTGAGATGAAGTGACCAAGAAGGGGTTTGAAAAAAATCCAGGGAAGGCAAATGGAAATGATTAAAGGGCTATAAAGCAGGATAGAAGAAACTGCAACGATTTCTCTTGTGGAAATAAGGGCAGGCAGGGAACCCACGAATTTCCATGCATGAAGGGGTGCAGAGGTCAAGAACGGCCTTCCACTCTTCTGTAGCCTCTGCACCTGAAATTTTTTTGAGTGCTGACTTGATGCTCAAAGGAATGCTCACTGGAACATTAGGATTTCAGATTTTCAGGTTTGGGATGCTCAGTCTATGGTGACTGTTAGTACTTACACAGTGCTTAGGATGTAGGAATAAGTCCATTAATATTAGCTATGATTATTGAGTAGGTAGAGAGTACCAACTTACTCATTTCAGGAGATGCTTTTCAAATCCCTTTGTCTTGGACTCCCAGCTTTGGTGGTGGTGTTCGCTCACTGTACTGCCCCACCCAAACTTTCCTTCCATGTTAACTTCTACTTCCTCCCACCTGAAGAGGGAGAAGGGGTAGTTGTTGTGGTCATGTGGCCTCGACTCTGCCCTGTTCACAAGGTGGAAGGTGTATACTTCCTGACCCTGAGTTGGGCTGCTCATATTCTGTCTCTCCTCCCCTTACTCTTTCTTTGAGGTATTTCAACTAAGAGACACAAGAGACCAGGACTCAACTGGTGGTGGTGTTTAAAGTTGGGAGGTCATATAGATGTGGTGGTGGAGGCCTCCTTGTTAGGACTGGCCATGTAGACCAAGCTGGTTTCCAGAGAGGAGACAGTGAAACAGAGGGGAGTGTTCCCTGCCTGGCAAGCTCCCCATTCTCCTGAGGCCTGGCTGTCCTTCTTCCAAATTCTCCATAAGAAACCCCTTTGTGATTTGAGCTGCTCTGAGCTGCTTAGTTCCTTGAAACCAAGTGACCTCTATCCTGGATACTGGCCCACAGTCTCTTCTATCAAACCTGAGAAGCCAGTCAGTAAATGTCGATGACGATGACAATGATGATGACAAGAAGGACGGGAGGGGGACAAGATGAAAAATCTGTTTTAGAGTCTATGTGCTTCTTAGATACTGCTGTGTTCTTCTGAAACCATCTAAGAGGGTGAGGGGTTTTTGTTTGTTTGTTTCGTTTTGTTTTCATCACTGCCCTGCCCTAGCTGTGGGTCAAAACAAGATGCACACCTGGTGAGTTCCTTGTTTTCTTGGATAACAGGAGAACTTCAGCTCCAGCTCCTACTAACTTCTCTCAGTCTACCCCTTACTCCTTTGTCCTTTTCTTCTTTCTTTAATGTCTTTGACCCAGACCCTTGGCTACCTAGCATCCATCATTCAGCTGAACCCTGGGTCCTTCAGGCTAACATTTCTTTAGTTTACAGTTCTACCAATTAGCATCATTAAATTACCATTTATGTTTCCTTAAAAAGTGGAGATTGCATCTTTTTTTGGAGATTTGGTTCTAAAGTCAGTATGTGAGGCAAAGAGTGAAAGCCTCTTATCTTATCCTAAAGTAGACAGCAGTATATGTGGTTTGTGTACATAAGCCTGTGCAGTAATACTTGAGTATACAAGATTAATAACACATGCAGTAATGTGGATTGTCTGATAAAGACTTTTATACAAAATAAATTTCCTACTTCCTCTCTCCCTTCACCTCTCTTTTTGCTGAGTGCACATAGTTTAATGCACAGGACAAGCCCTGTGCTATACTGAAATACCCTGTCTTTTCTGACATCGGGGGCTCCCAGTGTGGGAGAGGGCATGTGTCATCTCTGGTTTGTTGAGGAAGTTCCTATGGTGCTCCTGTCTCTGTGCACACTTTCCTTGCAGATGCTTCTGCAGCCCTGCAGGCAAAATACCCAACTGAGACCTAATCAGGAAACCAAAAGGAAAAATGAGGAGGTGGGAAAGATACTAAACAGACAATTAGCCACCCGAGACAAGTACTATTGGCTTCCGTGGCATAGACAGATTGTGAAAAGTTGGGGGAAGGGAAACCGAGTGGAAGGGCAATGTGGGGCTCTCCATCCATGGATCATTTTGCCTGCTGCCTCTGCTTTAAGGGTCAGATGTTAAACGGAGACAGCTGGAGCCTCTGGTTTTCACCAGGTGTGGCTAAGTTTCATATTGGAAACTGGCAATTCCTCTGAAAACTTAGATCACCCTTCAGATACTGGTAATGCCACCCCCAGGAATAAAAATGATCTTGTGCCCCCAGAGAGCAGGCTATCTGTATGTTCCTCACAGTGATTCACGCCTGTAATTCCAGCACTTTGGGAGACCAAGGTGGGCGGATCACCAGAGGCCAGGAGTTCGAGACCAGCCAGGCCAACATGGCAAAACCTCGTCTCTACTAAAAATACAAAAATTAGCCAGGTGTGGTGTCCTGTGCCTGTAATCTCAGCTACTCTGGAGGCTGAGGCAGGAGAATTGCTTGAATCCTGGAGGCAGAGGTTGCAGTGAGTCGAGATTGCACCAGTACACTCCAGCCTGGGTGACAGAGCAAAACTCCATCTCAAAAAAATAATAAAATAAGTTTTGAATTCGGCATGACTGACTTTTAAATAAAAATCACCTATCATGGTTTACCATATGTCTGATGAAATCCTGTAAAAATGAAATGCAGATCTCTGCCATTCACTCTTGAGCAAATACATATGCTGTCACATCTCAGAGCTATTTATTTCTCCTTATTTTAAGTGTGCCCGGTGCCATCCATCCAGATGCACATCAAACGCACAAGTAAAAATGAAACAGAATTTCTCAGTCATTTGAACATTTAGAATTTATTTGTAACATGGAACAGATATTAATTATGTTTTGGAAAATAAGAAAGGAAAAAGCCCACGAGTATATGGGCCAAATGTAGATCTCCTAGGAGCTGGAACCTAGATTCAGGGGTTGGCAGATGTCATGTGAGCCTTACTCAGGCTCTGTCCTGCCTGGGGTCATTGGGTAAGTCACCGGACTGCTCAATGACTCATTTCCCTGACTCTCCCTGGAGAAGAGTAATTCTGCCTCGATCATACCACCTTGACCCAGGATGATGATCAGAGGACTGAGAGAAATAAATGCATAAAAGCAAACTAGAGTTCAGAAAGTTGGTCTTATATGTGTATGATTTCATGCATCCTTTTGAGCCCAGCAAGTGGCTCGCTAGTTACTTTCAAGAATATTGCAGAAAAAGCTGCTCTGAAGTGGCTGCTCTAAACCTGAGCCTGCTTCCACGATGGAGGCAGATTGTAGCAAGGCAAGGAACTGCCCCTCCATGGTCTGAGGCCCAGAGAGAGCCTCAACACTGTATGGAAGTGGGTGTGATCAGAAGGTTGGGACCAAATAACTTTGCTGCCCACTCAAGGGGTGCCAGGAACTGAAGCTTCTGCACTGGAGCATGTGTGACTGTAGCTAGCTGCAGGCTGTCCTTGTCTCCTACCAGCTCCTTAACATTCCAGCTTCCTGTGTGGCCTGGCAGCATCCCTGGAGAGGCCAGACTCTCAGCGTCCCTTGAGGCCAGGGAGCTCTCTGTAACAAAGAAGAGGGCGCTCCATACCACCACCGTCACACAGTTAGACCTGCCCATTGCCCAGGAGAACACTTACCCAGAGGTTGGCTCTGACGCCACCTGACTTGTCAAGCAAACTCCTCCGTGGAGAAAGGAACAGCAGATTCATGCCATGCGCTGAGAGCCTGGCTCTGGTTCTCTACTCCATTGGCTCTTACACAACACAGGCCAGGCCCTCCACAGAACAGATGGAACGTTCAAACCGCTGACCCACCTGCATCAACAGCATGATCAGCTCAGCTTGCTCTTCCAACCAACAGACTCCCCTTCTACGGCTACAGGAATCCTAGGATTCTAGTCGAGGAAGAGAGCTTAAAAGATCAGCAAATCCACGTGCACATTGCAGAGATGTCATTACACATGCTAATGACTTGGCCACAGACAGTCTGCAAAACTGGCCTATCTCCTGCCTGTGTCCAGTGAGGATTTGGGGTGGCAGCAGGTGGTCATAAGCCAGGATTCTTAAGTCTTGGCTCAGAGACCTGCTGTTGTGACACTCATCCCTCTGCTGAGCAGAAGCCCTGTGAATTCCTCCCTGAAGGCTATGCCAATCTCTATGCAGTTGTCTCTTTCTTTTATGAGGCCACCTGTATTAGTCAGGGTTCTCTAGAGGAACAGAACTAATAGGAGATACACACACACACACACACACACACACACACACACACATAGGGGAGTTTATTAAGGAGTATTGACTCCCATGATCACAAGGTGAGGTCCCACAGTAGGCTGTCTGCAAGCTGAGGAGAAAGGAAGCTATCTGAGTCCCAAAGCTGAAGAGCTTGGAGTCCGATGTTCCAGGGCAGGAAGCATTTGGTATGGGAGAAAGATGTAGGCCAGAAGACCACCCCTTCCTCCGAGAATGTGAGAGCCTGTGTATTAGCCTGTGTATTATGGCACCTTGGGCTGCCATAACAAAGTGCCACAGATGAGGTGGCTTAAGCATCAGAAATTTACTTCTTATAGCTCTGGAGGCTGAAAGTCCAGGAACAAGATGTCGGCGGGTTTGGTTTCTTCAGAGGCCTCTCCTGGCTTGCGGATGGCCGCCTTTTTGCTGGGCCCTTACATGGTTTTTCTCCTGTACCCATCTCTGTCCTAATCTCCTCTTCATGTAAGGACAACGGGCTGAATGGGTTAGCACCTGCCCTAGAGATCTCATTTTACCTTAATTGCCCCTTTAATGGCCCTATCTCCAGTTAGGAGGTTAGGACTTTAACACATAAATTTGGGGAGGGGGCATAATCCAGCCCATAACATCTTGCTTATATTTCATCTGTCTGGAGCCCACTCTCACCTTTCCCCAAAGCACTGGGCTCCCAAATGCTCAGGAAATGAGTGACCATGCTGGAAAACAAGGATGAGCCCAGCTCCCAGCCCACCTCTCTGGTGGGCATGAACGGCAGCAGGGTGTCCCTGCCTGAGCTTCTTTCCTCTCTGTTCCTTAGAAGGGAGCTCCAGGCAGGAAGAAGGGCTCAGTTCACTGGTCTCCAGCAATGCAAACTGAATCCCTGTTCCCCCACAGCTGCTCCCCTTCTGGTGTTGAGCCCTCATGCGTGAACATTAGCAGTTGTTCTTCATGTTGGCAGCCCCCAGCAATCTGCCTGTGGCTCCTGTAAGTGGCAACTGTCAGGCAGTTATTCTCCTCACCTAATCACAGTAGTAGTTGCCACTTATGAGATGCCTGGCATGTGCCAGCTTGGCTTGGTGCTAAGAACTTGATTGAATATTAGAATATTAGTCCCATAATAATCTGGTGAGGTCACTATTACCACTCTCCTGTTAAAGGTGGGAAAGTGAAGATTTTAGAAAGGCTAAGGGAACATAGCTGGGGAATAGAGGAATTCAAAATTGAACCCAAGACTTAACTTCAATATTTCACTTCTAACCTTGACATGGTACTGCCTCCCTAGCTAACCCCATCGGCCTCTCTTTCAAAATCCTGTGTATTTCTATGGAACATTTTCTCACCTCCTGGAAAAGTTCTCAGGTTCTAACCTCAGTGTCACTCTTTCAGTATCACCTCTTGAAGACAGAGCTCAGACAGTGTGGTGTAAAGGGGAGAGGATGGACTTCGGAGTCAGGGTTGGGTTCAAATACTGGCCATACCGCTTACCAGCCATGTGACCCTGGGTAAGTTACTTCACTTGAATAAGCTTCAGTTTCCTTCTTTGTAAAAAGAGATAACGTCTGTCTCACAGGGTTGAAATAAGACAAGGCAGGCCAGGCCTCTTGCATATTGTCTAGCATGCACTAGGTGCTCTGAAAAGGCAGCCTTGGGCTAAAGGAGACTCAAGAAACATGACAATTAAGTACATTTGGGAGCCTTGATAGGATCTTGATTCAAAAAAGTACACAAGCACACATATTGGGGCAAATGGAGGAATTCGAATGAGGACTTTATGTTAGGTAATAGCGTGGTATTAATGTTAAATTACCTGAGTGTGGTCATGGTATTGCGGTTACAGAGGAGAATGTCCTTCTTCCTAGGAACTACATGCTGAGTCCCCAGGGACCCCAGGAGAGTGTCACAGTGACTCATGCTGACTTACAATTCTCTGGAGAGGAGAATGCTTGAAACGAAAGAGCCAGTTTCATACTGAATATCTGATATAAACTCTCAAATGGTTTATCAAACAAACTAATAAAAATGTGTGTATATGTTCCCACATGCACACATACACCATGGGAAAGAGAACGCCAATGTGATAAACGGGTATTCATTGTATGATGATTACAACTTTTCTGTAGTTCTGAAATTTTTCAAAATAGAAAGTTGTGGGATGAAAGAGCTTCATGCAGAGCATGGACAGTGAGCCTGTAGAACAGCACAAGGCCCACGGGCATTTATTTTGTTTTTTCTCCTGGGCCTGGACATGTCATAGGCCTGCCTCTGTCCAGGGCAGAAGGAACTGCCTCCCTTAGCATATTTCCCCAGAGGGCCTTCCCACACCCACCACCACCTGGACTGCAATGCAGAGCCCACCTGCTCCCTGGCTGTGTTCCTATTCCACATTTTAGAGGTTTTCATAAGCCCACATTTAGGGTTGCTAAATTTAGCAAATAAAAGTACAGAATGCCCAGTAAACAATGAATAATATTTTAGTGTGTCTCAAATATTACATGGGACAAAACTTGTACTGGAAAAAGTATTAATCTGAAATGCAAATGTAACTGGACGTTCTGTATTTAATCTAGCAACTCTAGCTCTATCAGGCTGCTGCCTCCCACAACCAGAGTCAGGTCATCTATGAAGACTGAGTCTTAGGAACACAGTAGGGAGATTTTCAGCCCAATGGCAAGATCTGCAAACCGTTGCAGAGACCCTAGGCCCTCTGCCCCACGACTTATAAAGGAAACACACAAGAGGGTTGTTGGTTGAGCCAGGATAGACTCATGGGCCTTAGGGAGAGAAAGAACTGTCTCAAAAGCCCTGCCAGGGTGTCTAGGCTGATCCACCTGGGTCATGCTCATGCGGGTGTGCCTGAATCCTGGGCATCTGCCTCTTTGTCCAGCTCCTCACCTCCCCAGCTGTGCCAGTCTCACACAGCCCAAGGGCTGTGAGCAGTGAATCCAGGGCTGGCCTGCTTGGGTTTGAATTCTGGCCTTACCACTTACTGGATGGGTACATTCAAATCATCTACCCTATCTCAGTTTCTTCATCTGTGAAATACAGATAAATAACAGTAACTCCCTTGCAGAGGAATAACTGAGCTAATATTTGCAAAGTACTTGGGACAGTGTCTGGCATGTAGTAAGCCTGGTATAGGTGTTTGTTAAACAAATAATCTACTCAGGGAAGAAGACTCGTGCTGTTGTGAGGTCAGCCTTATGGCTTGAGGCCCGCAGAGCCTAGAGGGACTGTGCTCTGGGTGTCTTTGGTGACACAGGCAATGGGCTGAGCACTCGCTGGGATGAAGTCAGGAAAGTGATGTGGAGGTAGAGAGGCTGGCAGCTATAAGGCGTGACTGTGTCCCCATCCCAGCTGGTTCCCATCTACGAGAACTGAGGCACTGGGGGGAAAAGAGGCTCAATGTGGGCTATTCTGTTTATTTTGTGTGTGTTTTTCTTTTAAATTTGAGATGGAGTCTCACTCTATTGCCCAGGCTGGAGTGTAGTGGCACGATCTTGGCTCACTCCAACCTCTGCCTTACAGGTTCAAGCGATTCTCCTGTCTCAGTCTCCCAAGTAGCTGGGATTACAGCCACACGCCACCACGCTTGGCTAATTTTGTATTTTTAGTAGAGATGGGTTTCCACCATGTTGGCCAGGCTGGTCTTGAACTCCCGACCTCAGGTGATCTGCCCGCCTCGGCCTCCCTAAGTGCTGGGATTATAGGCGTGAGCCACTGCACCTGGCCAGCATAGGCTATTTTGGAAGTAACTCTCAGGAACTATCCTATTGCCATGATAGTTTACTCAAAGTGTCTCCTTCACTCTTCGATTCTTTTCTTTCTTCCAGCTGGTGCCCCCTTCCTATTCTCTTTAGTATTCCATTTTGTTTCATAGCTTCTTCTCCTCCAGTCTGACTTACATTTCTTCACCTTATTCCTGGTTTCAAAAAGGAAAAAAAATTACTTACACAGTGTGCAGGGTTAAGGTTGGGGCAGGTCTGATGGCACCCCCAGCCAGTCCCATGCCATATTGATCATGGCACATTACCTGCAGAACAGGGGCTGGCCTGAGCCTTGCAGTCCCAGAGTGGAGGAGACCTTAGGGACGCCAGGAGAGTGTCACAGTGACTCATGGTTACTTACAATTCTCTGGAGAGGAGAATGCTTGAAACGAAAGAGCCGGTTTCATCAGATACAATGTGAAATGTGACTGCCATGTGGCTCCTTGACCCCTTACTTTCCTCATAGGCAAATTCTATGAGAAGCTGAATTATCAGAGGCATAGACATACAGGTATGTGATTCTTATATTAAACAACGTGAGTCCCTGATAGGCTGAGGTGTGCATCTTGACAACAGGACTCCACTTGCCACCTGCTCAGATGAGTGTGTCCTTCAGTGTGGATGCTGTGGCAGATTGCATTTTCCAGAGATGGCAGCGACAATACCTGTTGTCCTATGCCATTTTCTGCAAGCAACCTTGCCACTCCCCCATCAAGAGGTGGAGTTGAATACTTTTACCCTTGAACTTGGGCAGGCTTGTGATTGCATGGGCCAATGGATCTGGCAGAAGTGATGCTGTGTCACTCCTAAGGCTCAGTCATAAAAGGCAGTGCAGCTTTTGTCTTGTTCACTGGACCACTCATGTCAGAACCCTGAGTTGCAATGGGAGGAAACTGCTTACCCTGAGGCTGCATGCTGTAAGGAAGCTGAATCACACCCAGAGAGGCCACATCTAGGGACTCTGATAAGCAGTCCTGGTTTTGGAATCATCCCAGCCCGGGGCCTGAGTGAAAGGGCCTCCAGATGATGCAGTTCCTAGCCTTGGAGTCAACCCAACCTTCAGGTCTTTCCAGTTGAGGTCCCAGATATCATGGAGCAGGGATAAGCCCATCCCACTGTGTCCAGTCCAAATTCCTGACCTGCAGTATCCATGGGCATGGTAAAATGGTTGTTGTTTTAGACCGTTAGATTTGGGGTTAGGATATTACACAGCAACTGCAATGAGGACCGACACATTTCCCATTGTCAGGGAAGTGTTTGCCTTATTACTTTCCTTTTCTTATACTTCCATGGCTGACTAATCCTTCTTATTATTGACATATCTGTAATGGTGTTTTCTGCAAAAATAATATTGCTATAAAAATAGAAATCCAAGATCTAAGACATAAGTTACCCGCATTCCCATCTCCTAAACAAATATTTTTATTTGTCCCAGCTCATCTTTTCTTTAGATCCATGAATGTTTCCTACTTGCTTGCTGTGTGACCGGAAGTAAAGAGCCAACAGTCCCTCTTTTGATGCCCTCTGACAAAACTGTCTTTTCCAGAGTCCAGCCCAGGCTCATAAGATTAAAAAAAATAACAGTTGCAATTAGACCTTGTTCTCCTGAGATATATTTTTTTTCTCGTTAAGGTTGACTTTGGATATCATTGATATTGATCCATTGCATATTAATTTAGTTTGGGGACAGGGGTATGTTATTTACCTAATTTGCAAGTTATTGTTGGTGATGGTTGGCACCCACCTTCTTTCACCCCCATATTTCACCTGCACTAGCTTTCCCTTACTTGTTTTTCTTTCCTCCTATTTTGATATTTTTGCCCAAGATGGGGTTGTCAATCATATTGTCTAAGACATGGGGGTTTAATGAAATCTCAAATATCTAGATAACTTGGAATTTGGACTTAGCCTAATAAGATGTTTATATGTTCTAAGAGTTTAGAAGATTCTAGACAGAATTCACGGTTTATGTTTCCAGTTCTAAAGTCTTCCCCCACCACTTACTTGACAAATAGAAATTGTACATATTTATGGTATACAACATGATGTTTGGAAATATGTATGCATTGTGGAGTAGTTAAATAGAACTAGTTAACATGCACTTTATTTTGACTGAGAGATTTTTATTTATTTTTTACTTAGAGAGCATCTTTAGATTTGTGAAAGACGAAATGCAAGACCCAGAGCTGGGGTTAGGGTGGGGTGAATGTGGCATGACTGCCTAACTGCAGAGTTGTATCTGCCTTTACTTAAAAGTTTGGTATTTTGTTGATGGTGAATTTGCCTTCATTTTCATTTTTTAAAATATTGCTTAAAAACATTTATCTTGACTGCTGAGTTACAGGAACCCCTTTAAATTTTGTATCCTAGGCAAGTGCCTGCGTCACTAGCCCGTCTCTGACAGGACCACCCACCCAGTTTCTTTAAAGATTTATTCTTGTTCTAGCTCTTGCTTAGGGACAAAGGACACAGGCCTTCCTGAACTACTGCTTTTTCTCTTCCTCACGCTTGCTGCACTCCATCATCGCCTTTTCTTAACCTTGTGGGACCCCATCCCATGAAAACACTGAAACATTGAGTTGATGCTGCACCTGCAGCAGGAAATAAAGGACTGAGGCAACCAACAGGATTAATCAGAGCACAAGGTGACTCTCAGTTGACAGATGTGGAGAAATTAAATGGCTTTTTTTTCCCATGAATTATCAGAGCAGTTATTGCAATATTCTTATTCATGCTAGGTGTCCAGAAATGGCACTCCACTGTGACTAGTGCTAAAGGATAACATTTGATGCAGATGTGTTGATGCATCAAGATGGTCTGGTCAAATATAAAAATCATTTTTTAAAAGCAAGTAATACCTGCCCCACAAGTCTCCTTCCTGAACCTCCCCATCTCGTATGTGAGAACAGCAGTCTGAATTTCAAGGGTGAAGTATGGGCTTGTGTGAGGCTTTGGAAGGGGGGCGGTTATCTGCTTCCCCATTCATTTCTAAAAGATAAAAGCTGAAATTTTTTTTAAACATGACAAAATATTCTTTCATCAAAATAGTTGTATCAAAGCAGCAATGTCAAAATGTCATGCCTTGACTTTGCTGATTCTAGGTTCTCAAACTGTACTTGTTATTATGATTGTTAATTTCACCTGAAATTTACAATGTAATAAAACTTTGAAAGAAAAGTTAATGAAATGGCAGATTTCTCTGACATTATGAACATATGCATATATATATATACACACATATATATATGCTCCTTTCTTCCTTCCTTCTTCCCTCCCTCCCTCCATTCATCCCTCCCTCCCTCCTTTCCTTCCTTCTTTTTCTCCCCAACTCCCTCCCTCCCTCACTCTCTATCTTCATCTTTAAAATACTGAAAGTAATTTGGGTTGGCCTGTTAGCCATTTACAGTAATGTATTATGCATATCCTAATGAACCAGATACAGTTTTGTATACATTTTAAAGATGGATAAATTTGGTTGAATAATGACAGTCTAAGGTTTTGCTTGGCCTGACTAGACACAAAGGAGAATATCTTTTTCCAGATGTCTCTGGGCATTGGCCAGTGCAGTCTTCTGCTGCATAGAGAAAAGACACGTTGAGATAGACTGCCATATAGTACATGGCACATCAGAACATCAAAGCTCTTCTTTCCAGAACATGTTTTGACTGTAGCTTAATTCACTCCGTAAAGGAATTTAAAATAGATTCTTTACCTATAACATATATTTGACAACACTTTGAATTTTAATGTGAACCTGTGCAATGTAGACACAACTAAGTCTGGCAGCATATTCATGTCAGCGATAGCACATTTTATTTATAGAATTTACCATCTCCCCAATTCTCAGCTAGAAGCCCATACACAGTAATTAAGCCATTATAAAAACACAATAGGATATAACATAATAGAACCATCCTGCTGTCAAGGCACACAAAGCGGGGAAATCAGGATTAACACAGAAGAACACAATGCTTCCAATTCAGCTCTGCTGCAGAAATGTCACAAACTAGTACCCTCCCCAGGATAAGTAGGGGGGGAAATTACTTCCACAGACAACTGGGTTAATATTCAGAAAATGGCAAACTGACCAGCAAACTAGTCAATCAATCAATCAACCAATATCAATCAATCGATGTCTTTGTATTCAAGAGTCTTACAATCATATTGTGAAGTAAGGCTTAAAACGAAAATACAGTACAACAATGATACCAGGTATGTCACAAGAAGGATGAGATTAAGCAAAGGATGTGCATAAAAGCAAAAGGAGGCCAGGTTCCTATGTCTAGAAATGCCAGGGAACTCTTTACTTGAGGAGGTAGAGCTTGAACTGGGCTTACAAGGAAGTGGAAAATTTGGACAGGAAAAGAGGAAAAAGAAATGGTATGAAAAAAGAAAAATATTGGGAAGGCAGACATTCAAGAAAATACTTACGTGCAAATACTTGGTGCAATAGTTCCCAAAATAAAACATTAGACAAACTATGGATATATTGTTTTCCTTTTAAAATGTGGCAATGCTCTATTATTATCTAATTATTATTAGCAATTTTATATAGGTATAAAATTGTAATATATGTATATGCTTCCATCCATAAAAAATGTTTATATGTAACAGAAAAAAAGGATTGGAAGAAAACACATCAAATGTTATAGTATTTTTTAAATGAGTGATAGTAATATGGGTAATTTTATTTTTTCTGAGAAACTTTTTGCTTTCCAAATTCTAATTTAAACAATAAAATTTCGGGTGCAGCACACCAGCATGGCACATGTATACATATGTAACTAACCTGCACATTGTGCACATGTACCCTAAAACTTAAAGTATAATAATAATAAATAAAATTAAAAAAAACAATAAAATTTCTACAGTGAAGCAAGAACAAAGGGAGACCAAAAAAAAAAAAAAAAAAAAACCACTAGAAATACACTTTAAAATGGCATCTATATATAAATTTTACATTCTACCATTCGTTCATCCATAGATTAATGGACAGTGTATGTTAAAAGGAATTTTTTGAAACTCTCTGTTATGGACTAAATTACATTCCTCCAAAATTCATATGTTAAAGCCTTGTCCCCAATATGACTGTATTTGGAGATGGGGGCCTTTACAGAGGTAATATGAGGTTATAGGGTGGGGCCCTAATCCAATGGGACTAGTGTTCTCATAAGAAGAGAAAGAGATACCAATGATGTGTGCACAGAGAAAAGGCCATGTGAGGACACAGCAAGAAGGTGGCCATCTTCAAGCCAAGGCGAGAGGCCTTAGGAGAAACCAAACCTGCCAATGTCTTGATCTTGGACTTTCAGCCTCCAGAACTGTGAGCAAATACATTTTTGTGTTTAAGCCACCAAGTCTGTGGTATTTTGTTATAGCAGTCCTAGTAGACTCATATACTATCTCTACAAAACTTACATCATGTGGAAAGTATAATTTGTCTACCTATTTATTTTACTATAAAATTAACATAAAACAACTTGTGACATTCATCCACCAAAGTGAAACTTCCACACCAGTTATGTCTTCTACTCTGGGTAAATTCTTCTGCTGAGCACCACCAGAAAACTGGCCATGGGCCAACACTGGAGGAAGCTGCAGATTGTACAAGGAGACCCAGAGGACCTCTGCAGTGCCAACAGACAGAAAAGGGTAGCACTAACCGGCACTGCTGGTGCTGATGTCCTGAATAGGCCATCCAGGTCGGAGATTCTATTTGCTTGTTTTCCTGAATATGTGACTCTGCCAGATCTTCCTTCAGGATTGAAGGAACTGTTTCTGTAGCTTCTGGGCCTGCTGCTGGCTGACAGCACTCCATTCTCAGCTCTCTGTGGGCACTGAGCTCTACAAAGACAGCCTTCTTACCCATGAGCCATCTGCCTGGGACTAGCCTCCATTCAATGACAGGTCAATGGAGGCAACTAAAGATCTGACCCCGTACCCCAACTGAGGATGTCTCTGAAAGGCCAGTCTAGTTTTGGAGCTCCCTGTACAGTGAACTGAGACCTTTTCAGAGTCCACAGCCCAATTTTGCCCTCCGGTAAATCCTGTTTCCTTCCCTTCCTTGACAGGTGTTAGTCCCGAGACCGCACCCTAATAAATTTCCTATTTGGTAATGTCTGTTTCCGAACTTCTAGGGAACCAACCTGCAATATTTCTCAATTTGTTTGCACCAGCTATTCCTGCCAAAAACCCAGGTTGCTTATCTATGTAATCACAAGGCAATTATCTGTCCATCTAGGATTATAGTTGACCTTTTGTGAAACATCTATGTGTCATTTCAAGCCTTCTGGTTGAGGTTGAAAAGGGAAATTTATTTTATCTCTGATTTGATTTCCTACTGAAACTGTCCTTGAGCACTTGGATTAAATCATGAATTTTTTTTAGTTCTATTTGCCTTTCCTACCAGGTAGCTTTGTCCTCATCCAGCATTAGGAGTTTGAAATGAGAGCCTGAATGGGTCTCATTTGGTCCTAAGTGGTTGGTCTATCTATATCAGAACTGTACGACACAAAATGTCAAATCTCAAAAGCACCTTAGAAGTTATCTAACTCTAGAATGACTGAGGGATTTTCATACACATTTTGACTTGGACCAGGTGGTAGTGGCTGTTGGAATGCTGTCTTGAGAAGGGCTTAGCAGGAAAGAGCACTGAGTGGGTTATGGAAGTTGGGCAGGCATGGGTGTGGAGTGGGGACTGGTGCAGTCACCTCACAGACATTCTTGATAGTCCCACTCTCTCATATCACTGGAGATGAAACTGGCTCAAGATGGAGACTTACCCGAGGTTGTGTGGCTGGTTACAGGGTTTGGACCATAACCAGTGTGCCCCAACAAACAGTCCAGACTTCTTCATCCTATAGATGGTATATTTAGCATCTTTGGCTACACCTCCTCCGTTGCAGGCCCTGGTCTACCAGAGCACATGGGTCTTGAGTCAGATTCTTGTCCCCTCCTCCTTCCTGACTGCCCTCTGTTGCCATAAGTGAGCATGACTCCTTGGGCCAAATGCCAACAAATAGTTTCTGTTTCTTCCGTGTTTCTTGGTTAAGCCCAGCAAAGTTCCAGCCCTTGGAAATGGGTATTTTTGATAGATTAATTTTCTGCCTCTGGCCTGCTTCCCTTCTCATTTTTTTCATTTGTTAATTTAAAAAATGTTTAGGGTAGTTGTTATTGGGAATATTAAATTTCCTAACTACAGAGCCCACTAATATCTTTGAGCAGTGACTTAAATGTGTAGTAAGGCCCAACCTGCTTTGAAGGGGACATCTTTTCTCTTCTTTTTCCGCTAATAGCATCCTATTCTTCACTAGGGAGTTTCCCCTTCCCTCCCTTTCCACATGGTTCTGTTGGAGCTGTCAGTCACACCAGCCCTGGCCTGGCTTCCCTAGGTGGATATTTGACCAAGCTCTGGCTGTGGTGTCCACATAATGCTCCCTCCCCAAGGGCTGTGTTCTATCCTCAGAACCCTTGAGTATGTTTTACATATTCATTGCCATTTACATAAGTATGCCATTTATGTATACATTGCCATTACGCAGCAAAAGGGACTTTGTAGATGGAATTAAGGTTGTGGACTTTCAGATGGAGAGATTCTCCTGGATTATCTAGTTGGGCCCAAAGTAATCACATGGCCTCCTGAAAGTGGAAAAGAAAAGCAGAAGGATCAAAGAAATGTGATAACAATAAAAGAAGCAGGAGAGATTTGAAACATGAGAAAGACTTGACTCACCATTGCTGGCTTTAAAGCTAGAAGAAAGGGCTATAACCTAAGGAATGTGAGCCCTTCGAGAAGCTGGGAATGGTCCACAGATGGAGACAGGTAAGGAAACCGGGATCTCAGTCCTACAGGCACAAGGAACTGAATTCTGCTAACAAACTGAATACACAAGGAAACAGGTTTCTCCTGGAGAAAGGAATGCAGCCTTCTGACACCTGGATTTTAGTCTAGGGAGACCCTAATATGGTTTGACCTTCAGAATCATGAGGTAATACATGTGTTTTGTTGTAAGCTAATAAGCCTGTGATAATTTGTTACGGCAGCAATAGCAAATGAGGACACAGGCTAAATCTCCTGGCCACAGGAATTGGTCCAGGGATGAGCATGTGATTCAAGGCCGTACCAATGAAAGTCCTTCTTTCCAGACTCCAGGAAAGAGACATCTTTTCTCTTGATGGGAGCTATAAGGATGTGTGGTCCTGGAAGTATAGCTCTGGCCCCAGCGAAGTGGAAAAGCTCATAAGAACTGTGACAACACACCGGCAGAGCTGTGATGGGAGTCAGTGCAGGTCCCGACGGGGTTCCTCCAGCCACCCCACCCCCACCCTTCCCAGTCACATAAGCCAATTAACTCCTTCTTTCATTCAAATTCATTTCAGTTGGCTTACAGTTACTTGACTAATCTTGTCCAGCCCCTTTAGAATCCCAGTCCTTGGTCATCCATACTTAAAAATACCATCTTCTCCAGAAGGAACCCAACAGGCACATATATTCTCTTGGCACATTAGCAGAAATTATTCTCTCAGATAACCTGGTTGTCACGGAGTGATGACAGAGCCCAAAGGAAATGGTGCACACCATAGGAAGATCTGGTAGAAGACAGGTAAAGGAAAAGACCTGGGTCATGGGGGAAACAGAGGAGGGAGGGTGGAAGGAAGGTGTAATGTTGAGTGAATGAATGTTGCGGGTAGAAACAAACCATTACAGCCCTAGACATCGAGAGAAAAATGGAGGTTAAAAAAAGAGAGGGGAGGTCAGGTGCAGTGCCTCATGCCTGTAATCCCAGCACTTTGGGAGGCCAAGGTGGGTGGATTACCTGAGGTCAGGAGTTTGAGACCAGCCTGACCAAGATAGTGAAACTCTGTCTCTACTGAAAATACAAACAAATTAGCCAGGTGTGGTGGTAGGCACCTGTAATCCCAGCTACTTGGGAGGCTGAGGCAGGAGAATCGCTTGAACCCGGGAGGCAGAGGTTGTGGTGAGCTGAGATCACGCCACTGCACTCCAGCCTGGGTGACAGAGAGAGACTCTGTCTCAAAAAAAAAAAAAAAAAAAAAGGGGAGGTGGCAGCTTCTCAATTCTACCTCATGCCTCTCCACTCCTACTAGGGTTTTCAGTTATTCTTGACTCTCATAAATCTCGATAATGTATTCCAATCACAGTTCCTGGAGCAGGTGGGTCAGCAGTGGGCCCATCCTAGGGGAGGGAGTCCACCTATTCCTGGATGTGCTCCGTGAGCTGCTGGGAGTGGGCACGGACAGAGTGCCCACAGCTTTCTGGAACATCCCACGGTAGAAAAAGGAGAGCCACAGAAAAGCAACACAAAACAATCTCCTCGTGCAGTTTGCTTATTGTTGGAGTTTGAAATTCTGCCAAGTGCTCATACTTCTTTGTTGTCAGCAGTTTAGTTTGAGACAATAGAGAAAACAGCTCTTTTGGCTTCTACCTAAACTTTAGCAGAGAAAAGAACAGCTTCAGAAGTTGAACTCAAATGGTCTTCTTACCTTATTTGCCCTGACCCTGAGTTGCACTGTGCTAGCAAAGAATGGAGAACATGGGGCCTGGAAATGCTGTGTTTATGAGACGAGGCTTGGGCTCACACATTCTCTGAGTCACAGCCTCTGGAGTTGGTGGTGATTAAGTAGGGATGTGGGAGGGAAGCACTGTGCCAACTTGAGAACCCCCTTTTTGGACTCAGCATTTTAACCAAACTTGAAAACTCAAATCTTTCAGCTTTAGGAGTTTATTTTCTCTTGGAAAATATCTGGATCCTTTTTATTTTCTGTACGAGGGAAGGAAAAGGCCAAGAATAAAGATGACAGGTTTATTTGGACATAAAATCATTGTTGGACAACTGTTTTTTGCTGAGTTAAGTGTCAAAAATGTCTGTAATTTACAGAATAAATTTTCCTGAAATTACACAGGGGGTGGTTAATTGACAGCAAACTGCTTGAGCTGTTTGGCTGTGGCACTGTTGTCCTTTCAGAGAACTTGGGTCCCTCCCTTCCAGTCCAGAGCTTCTGGGGCAGAATATTTATTTTGAGCACCAGGGTCTGACCCACACCTGCTCAAATCTTCAGTTCCCAGCTTTGCCTAAATGCCCTCATTTCTGAGCAACCATGAGGCTAGCTTCTAGTTTGTTTGTAAGATCTGCAGGCATCCATTTTGATGGTGTCATTGATAATTTTGTATGTGAATCTCAAAAACACTTGTAAAGAATTTGAGTTTTCTATGGCCTGGAGGGGAGGGAAGTTGTATCCTCCCTATTTAGTAAAGATGACTGACAGCTTTCCTGTATATGGCAGGCTGTCTGTCGATTGGTGGCTTTACATCTTAGAGGAGGGCTCTCTGGAGTTTTCCATTCCTATATCTATGGGTTCTGACCCATGGCTGTCTCACTTCCCTGTTTTCTGGCTGGTTTGGCAGAGATGCCTTATTACATGGGTCCTATCTGGAGGCCCAGAACAGCCTATGAAATTTTATGTCACTGCAGAAAATGGCTTCTTTCAAAATAACATTTTACATAGCCTGGCTTTCTTAATTAATGTGCTGTGGGGAGTTTTCTTAACTCTTACTTGTTCATTGGCTTTCTTGTGCTGGTGTAAGGACTCTACATCATCATTAATTGACATTAATGACATTACTTGACATTTAGGTAGCACCAGATCCACCTTTAAAACCTGAGGATAAATTATAATTTGTTGTAATACATAAGGAAGGAAGAGAATCTGGAAGGAGTCATGAAGCACAGGGAGTGAGACCTCCCTAGAGAAGCTAGCGTAAGCTTTGATTCTGCCTTAACAGGATCCCATACATCTCAATGCAGAAAGAAAACAGTTTCCAGGATGTGGCACCAGGCTTCCCCACACAGGGTCCTGTGGCACAACACAGTTTACTGCTCCATGCCACAGGGTCCCTCGCTGTAAGAGCAAGAATTGGGTCCACTCAGGGCCCGTCAGGAGGGAGAGTTTTATGTTCATGGTATTCAAGTGTTCTGACGTGGGAACACTATGGGGAAGTTCCCTTCCTCTGATATCAGACAGTCTGTGAAGAGGTGAAAGCTCCCCAGTGAGCAACCTTTCCCCAGCCTCTCCTGACTGAAGTGGAAATGATGTCTGAGCAGAATAAGCCAGTCGATGAATTCATTCTTTGAACTTCTCTGACTGGGAAGTGGTTCTGAGACTTTGAAAATCTTCAAAGATCTCAGCTCATGAAATCAATAGTTCATTTTTTAAGTTGCCAGAGTTAAGGCAAGCATTCTACTCAGAAAAGAGTGGGAAGGTCCTCCTAGTTGAAGACCCAGACACTAAAAAGAATAAAAAGCTAGGAAGGCTATGGTCCCTGCCCTTAAGGTACTTTCTAGGGAAGAATGAAGGTCAAGACTGCCCATGGCCCTGGAATCAGCACAGGAGTCAGAGGTGAGAGCAGGCACATTGGGCATGGAGTGGGCGAGGGAAAACAAGGAAGGGATAAGGGCCTTTTCTGTGTAAGTGATTATATATGCTGAAAGTTGAGTGACAATGGAAATAATCTGAAATATGTCCCATCTGTGTGCATTTCTTGACTGATAATTTTGAAACAAGGTACTAAGACTAATGACACATAATTTTTTTGATATTTTCTTTTTTTAAAATTTTAGTTTAAGTTCTGGGATACATGTGCAGAATGTGCAGGTTTGTTACATAGGTATACATGTACCATGGTGGTTTGCTACACCTATTAACCCGTCTTCTAGGTTTTAAGCCCCGCATGCATTAAGTATTTGTCCTAATGCTCTCCCTCCCCTTTCCCCTCACCCGCCCGACAGGCCCCAGTGTGTGGTGTTCCTCTCCCTGTCACATAATATTTATTAAGCACTTACTAGGTATCAGGTATTATGCTATGAATTTACATGAACTCTCATGAATTATCTCATGTAATCCTTACCATAAATTATATGAGCTTTGTACAATTATACCCTCTCTTTTTTAGACAAGAAAACTGAAATGCCAAGAGGTCAAATAACTTGCCCAGGGCCCCTCAGCTAGTTGATGCAAGAACTAGGATATAAATTCACGGTTATCCCACTCCAGTGCTTTTCCTCTTAATCATCTTTTTTGTTGGATAGCTTGTTTTTGGTTTTTGTGTGTTATTGAGACCTGAGTAACAGTCTTACAGCCCCGGATCCTGAAAGAATCTGCCAGAACTGAGGAAGTTGTCATGCGTCTCTGTTTTGGAGTCGTGTGCTGCATGGCAGAAGTGAGCATGGCTAGCGTTCACCTATCTCCAGGATCATCTGCAGGAGGCCTGGGCTGTGGCGGGCGCTATGCAGGGAGCGCCCTGCATGGTTTTTCCCTCTCAGTCATGCTGATACTTCATCCATCTGCCTTGTTGGCTCTTAAACTGCAAACAGGAAATGAAACTGAAAAAAGCGGAAAACGGTGCTTTCAAGAAAAGGAAAAGCATCTTCCTTGAGGCACTGGCACTCTGAGAAGGGGAGTGATGACTAAGAGGTTTGTGAGACGCTGTTACCTGGTGATGAGGAGCCACAAAAACTAGATGCAGAATAGGAGTGCCGTGTGTGCCTGTGCATAGCTGGAGCCCAGCCTCTTGTCAGTGGATGGTGGAGTGTGAGTTGTCAGCTTCAAGCAGGATGTCAACTAAGCCTGCAGCACCCTGAGGGCAAACGGTTCAATAAAACACACACTTGATGAGAATGTTCAGCTTACAGATGTCACTAAGCTTCAGCCATGGTTGCTAAGAGTAAATAAATCACTGCTTGCAACTTTGGATCCCACAAACCTGATGCTCTCTTTTCTCACCCACGGGGGAGAAGAGATACAGGATAAACCCTGCTTCTTGGCAGTCAGTCTCAGCAATATCGTTTTGTGTTTTGAAACTGCTAGCAAATCATGACTGAGCCAGTCCACTGCTTTGAGCAGGTAGTGGTGGACTATTCATTTTGTGTTACCGACGAGAATCCCAAGAAGAGCAAAAATCCCGAGATGCAGGGAAGTAGGCAACATCAGAGTCCCAAGCTCGTCCTGCATTTATTCCTTCTGACTCAAGATGGCAGGAGTAGGGTGTGACAGTTGCTTGATCCTGGGAGGGGCATGATTGCATTTTCTCCTGACTTCAGTGGTCATTGTTCTTTAATGTTGTATCCTTGGGCAGCATGTGATCTGTCAGAGTCTGGGGGACCTGTTCTTTCCTGGTGAAGAAACATTGCTCAGAAATAGCAATGGTGTTTGCAAACAGCAGACACAGGTAGCAAGCAAAGGATGCTCTGCTATGTGTGTGTCTAGGTAATCCTCCCACATACATTTTATCTTAAAAATATGTATTAAATTATAAGACTCTTAGAAAATACTTGTCCCTATACTTGGGAAATTAAGAAATAATACAGGCATCACCTCACCCTCCTCACTTCCCAGTCATTATCATGTTTGCATGTGAATTTCTACTTAGGAAATTTCTTTACATCTGTGGTGTAAGTCCACAAACATTTGCTGAGCCCCTAACACGCACTAGCTACAGAGCTGGCTGGAGAAGGTTTGGGAAGTTTTGGGAGTGTCAATTTAACCAAATGGTAAGTAACTTAAATATGGTTTTTAAAAAGTAAAACAAATGGGGTTATACTATGCAGTAGAATTTTTAAAAGTGGATGAATCAAATTTTAATATAAACTGAGACTTCAAAAAGGGGCTACACAGCTTCTGTATGAAGAATGGACTAAATGGAGTAGAGGGAAGAATGTCTGCAGAGGCCCTTGCAGTTGGTTGAGGTAGACCCCATGGCAGATGAAAACCAAATGAGGTCAGTGAGTGAGAAGGAAGGAAACAGAGTGGAAGATAGAAGTTCTCATAAAGTGGAGCTGAGAGGACTTGTGATTGGTGCAGATGGTGCGAGAGGCAGAGGGAGGTGTTAATGTTATTGACTGCTTTCCTTGACTAATTTCCAGAAATTAGATGTGTCGACTCTGAAGCCACATCGCAGCACTTTGTCTTGTGCCATTGCCACATGATAATGCAAACAGCAGTAATCCTATGAGCTCACGTTGGTGCGTTCACACCACATGCTAGGCATCATGTGACCTCTTCCCACGCGTTCTCTTGTTTAATGTTTACATCCACCTATGAGGTAGGCTCTATTCTCATACTTCTTTCACAGATGGAAAAAACTTGAGGCTCAGAGAGGTTAGGCAACTTGCCCAGGATTAAACAGTTATTCATATGCCAGCACCCAGGTGACTAGAACACCAAGAAGGCATCTTCCAGGATGAAGGACCATACATAAATACAAACAGCAACTCCTCAGTTTTATTAGAATCCATTGACTATGAACCTTTCTTCATAATCTGCTTTGTTTTGGATGTTAGTAACATACCCCCACTTTACGTACCTTCTATAACATTTTAACAATTTTGTAAGAAGCCCTCTTAAGAGGTGTAAACCCCTGACCTCTTATATAGAGAATTTTGCACATAATTCAGCCTTTGGTTGAAACTTTATTTTGCTATCAGGAACACCCATAATGTAATTGGGAGAGACCTGGGGTGCTGAGGTGAGCAGGGTTCTTCGCTCCCAGGAGGCCAGCTCTTCCCTGTTTCTCTAGAGCCCACCTCACTCCACTGCGACCTCCATTCCCACAGCCTTCATTCCCACCTCATCACCCGCTCTGATGCTGCTTCCTTGTCTGCCGTCTGCTGAAGCTTCCCTCCGTCCTCCTGCTTTTATCTTCCTGTCTCCCCTTCCCAGCATTTCTCAGCTTTCACAGGGAACACGCTGTCTTGTACTGATGCTAGATCTATGATATGCTGACTGCCAGACACTGGGAGAGCTCTACTTCCACAGCCCTGCTGAATCCTCACCACAGACCTAGGGGTGTCTCATTCTGGTTCCAGCAGAGAGCAGCAGGCGCAGGAGGCAGCCATTTACCTCCGCAGGCATGCCCACTGCTCTTGAGTGTGGAGCTGGGATTCAAACCCACGTCTCCTTAATTTCAATCCTGCTTCCTTAGGTGCAGGGAGTGCTACCTGTAATAAGGAGGCCCAGGGAAGGAGATTGCTCTTGGCCTTCCATGTAACAAACCCAGACATAAGCTTTAGTCTGTGCTGCTTCTGTTGTTTTTATTATGGCAGTGACAAGCTCAAGGGCAATTCTTAGGGAGGCTGTTGAGTCCTGCCTGGGAGATGGTAAGGAGCACGGGCTCCAGAGGCAGATTGCTAAGGCCCAGCTTTTCACTTCCACACGCTTGCTGCGCGATGTGGGGATAATACTGGTACCTAGCTCATCATGCTGTAAGGAGTATATGCAAGTATATAAGGAGTATTTAAATCAGTCTTACAAGTAATGATGATAGTAGTAGTAGTGATGATGATGATGATGATGATGCGATGATGGCAGCTTGCTCCATGTCAAGTACTGCTCAAGTGCCTTATGCAGAGTAACACACTTACCCCTCACATCAACCCTCTGAGGTAGGTGCTGTGATTTTCCCCTCTCAGGGGTTGAGAGAACTAAGGCACAAAGCGACGAGGCAGCTTGCCTGAGTGCACACATCAGGGAAGTGGTGGAGATGAGGTGCAGACCCAGGCGGCCCTGCTTTAGTGTGTGGGACATCCTGCTCTACCATGTGCCAGGCAGAGCTACTTTGTCTGCCCCGCTCCCTCACCCTCACTTTTATGTCTGGGTGGGGTCTTTATGGCTTCACTCTCATGCCTCTCATTCACTTTCTCCCCTTCTCTCCTCTCTCCTCCTCTTCCGTTCTCCCTCCTTTTTCTCACTCTCTCTTCTTTCCAGTCCCCAGTTGTCCTCTGTCTCTAGAACCTGCGGTTGCTGCAAGGTTGCCTCCAGGTAATGGAGCTGTTGCTGCTAGGTGTGTCTTGCCCCCGCTGCATGGCCGCTACCCCCATAGCCACGCCTGCTCCTGAGCTCATCTGCTGCAGAGCATTAGTTGCTACCTTGCCACCCATTAAGCCCATGTATCATAATTGTACATTTTTTTGGTTGAAAGCCAAATGATGAAGCTAATAAGGTTCATGCTGGGAACAGATGTTCTTACTTCTGCCCAGATGCTGTACATGACAAGGACTTGCTGGCGCTTGGTGTCAGCGAGACTCTTGTACTCTCATTTGAAGTGTTTCTGGCTGAAGGGTTCTTAGGAAGGGCTGAAAAGTCATGCTGTCCTTATATGCAGGAGCTGGGCACAGGTCTTGAGGGGTAGGAGGTAGTCATCCTCGGTACTTTATAATCCATCTGCTTCATGAGGACATCATCCCATGCCTATTTGCAAACTGCCTTTGTTTGCATTTTATAATGACGCATTCAGATTTTTGCTTTTCTGGTTGTTTCAATCTCAAGCTAATTGGCAGTGAACAATTCTTCCATTTTCTGCTTTATTTCCTCATCTCTCCCTACTTGGAAATCAAGAAAAGTTTTTTTTCTCCTCTCATTAAGAATCTTAAATGATTATGCTAATATCATTCATTCATTCAATGTTTATTGAGTGCTTTCTATGTATAAGGCACTGGGATGTAAAACCGGATTTCTTCTTTTACGGCATTTACATTCTAGTCAGGAGAGATAATAAACAAATAAATAAACAACCTAATTTCAAATTAGAGGAGTGCTGTGAAGGAATGAAACAAGAGGATGAGAGAGAGAGAGAGAGAGAAACTAGGGCATAAAGTTTACTTTATATAATGTAGTCAAGGAAAGTATTTCTGAGGAGGTGACAGTTAAGCCGAGGTGAGGAAAGAACATTCCAGCAGGGACTGGCAAGTGCAAAGGTCCTGAGGTAGGGAAGAGCTGGGGAGCTGAAGGCACAGGCAGAAGGCCAGTGTTTTGGGTGCACAAGAGGAAGCAAGGGGAGGCAAGATGAAGTGAGGCAGGGACCACATCTTGTAACACCCTCAGGCTTCGTCTTCCACCCCTTGCATAATTTCTAAAGTCAGTCCGCAAAGGATGACTAACTAGAAATCATTCCCTGGGATTTGTTTTTGAGTTCTGGTCTCCTTCCTGAACCACTCGACAACTAGTTTGTAGCAGTCTGCCCTTCACCAGCTCTCTTCACATGCACTTTGTCCTAAGGGCTATGATGCAGAAGGAGAATAATATAAACTTACCTATATAAGCCATAGATGGATTTCTTTAAATCGAGCTTCCAGACTGTGGTTAAATTGGCCCGCAGCCACAGCTGGCATTTCAAAGTATCATGCCAGGGTTCCAGCACCGTCCTTGTTAATAAATTATCTTGATACAGAGATAAAATCTTGCTGCTTGACTTACATTGCAACGCATACACACAGACAGGGGAAATGTGTGAGTTTTAATAGCATTGTTGAAGCCAGGGAGGTGTGTGATGATGACGGCATACTCTGACTCCTGACAGCTCCTCCTGCTCCCGCGAATTTGCTCCTCATTCATCCCACTCTGAACAGGCAGAGCCTGGGGTTTCATCATGGAGTAGCTTGAAGTCGTCTGTGGCTACATGGTCAGCACCATACTGGAGACCCCCAGGCAAACCTGTGTGGTCCCAGTTCAGAAGCAGAGGCTGTGGTCTTTTCACAGAGCCCTGGGCCTTTTCAAGAACTGGCCAAGCTTCCCTGGGCACTGGCCACTGACCCAGCTTGGCTATAAAACCTGCGTTAAACCCGTCTTCAAAGATAAGGGACAAGGTTAGCTCAGGCGCTTATCCAATTTCATTCATGAGGAAACTAGATCTACATGTGGTCTAGAAACATCACCAGGTGAGACTTTTTTTTTTTTTTTTGAGACGGAGTCTCGCTCTGTCGCCCAGGCTGGAGTGCAGTGGCGGGATCTCGGCTCACTGCAAGCTCCGCCTCCCGGGTTCACGCCATTCTCCTGCCTCAGCCTCCCGAGTAGCTGGGACTACAGGCGCCCGCCATCTCGCCCGGCTAATTTTTTGTATTTTTAGTAGAGACGGGGTTTCACTGTGTTAGCCAGGATGGACTCGATCTCCTGACCTCGTGATCCACCTGCCTCTGCCTCCCAAAGTGCTGGGATTACAGGCGTGAGCCACCGCGCCCAGCCCAGGTGAGACATTTTGATGGACTTTGTGATGTTGATTCCAACTACCCCAATAGGCATTTCTAGGTTTCCCCTGGTTACTCACCAAAGTCAATCCCTGTGCACCTGCCACACTCCACTGCCCTTTGATATCTGTATGCCTATGGATGGCTATAAACACCATCAAACCAAAGGTATCTAATTCTAGCTAATGATAGGCCAGGCATGCACTGGGTGAGGGTCAGGAAACTGTAAGAGATGAGAGAGAAGCAAGGATAGAATGGGCTTTGAAGAGGCAGGGAGCTGCCAAAAAATGTCCTCCAAGTTACAGGAGAACTGGACCTCAGAACTGTCCTACTCAAGACAAAGGTAGGTCATCTGGGCTTGGAGGGTTGCTTCTGTAACAACTGGAGGTTGTTACAGAAGGTACAAGAACAGAACTTGAACCTTTCTTGGTGCAGCTAGAAGACCCATAACTGCTGTCTTTAAATATATAAAGTGGAAGAGAGTATTGGTCTTGTTCTTTGTCACCCTGGAAGGCATAACTCCATCAGTAACTGTGATGATATATTAATGTATGGCATTAATTGAATGGATACTATATCTAGGTCCTGTCTATACTGTACAAGCAGTTCTTTAACCAATCCTCACCGTAGCTCTCCAAAATAGGTAATGACTGGATCCCCTTTTTACCCATTAGGAAACAACAAACTGAGACACAAAGAGGTTATGCCTTTGCCCATGGTCACACAGCCAGCAACAGGGAGGGGCAGGATTAGACTCTATATTTCTCCAGCTCCAAAACCCATCCTATTAATCAGTGCGTGTTGTCACATTGTGATTTGAAATAAGGAATAACATTCTTAAACAATGGAAGGAGAAGAAGTGGGCTCCCGGTGGCCTGAGGTGCTTAAGCTGAGACTGTGTCCTTGTTCAAGGGAAGTCTGTAGGAGGAATTCTCACATTGGAGGTTGTTCAGAGACGTGGTTTCAGGATTGCTGAATCCGGTTCTAACCATGAGACTGTGTCATGACTGCTGGGGAGCTAGGGAGTCACGGGCCAGCTTGTTCCCAGTTGACAGGGAGATGGGGAGTCCAGAAATAGCCTAGACTCATCTAATTGTTCCGTTCTAGATCAGCAACATGTTCCAATAAGGGCCAATATGTATATTGTCTTCTTTATTTCACACACTTCAAATCTGTGGAAAATAAAATTGGAAACCGTGAGATACTGGCCTCAGAGGATGCGGCTGTCAGTGACTCGCTTTGTGTTTTCAAACGATATCCAGCCTGAGCTACTTCTTACAGTAAAAAGTACCACAGTTATTAAGTAAGGCTTTTCTGTATGAAGAAGCCCTTCTTTTCATTTGTCAGAAATGTCTCCAAGCTTATAAACACACTGCACACTGCACACTGCTTGATTTCCCTATTTTTGAATATGGTGATTTGGATGAAGAAATGGTGGAAAAGGGGAAATGGATACAAGTAGGCAGAGACGCACCAAAGCATTGACCTCCTGGCCTCCCAGACCTATTTGAGACCCCACCCCAACCTTCAGACATAGTTTCTCTGGTGTCAGAGGGAAGGGAGCCCCCCTTTTTCTACACCTTGGTTTCATAAAGGTAGCAATTAATATTATTCACTTGAACCTTTGGAAACTGCCATTTTTATGGGTTAAAATGGTCAAATATTATCATAATTACCAATATTATATAGAATAATAGAAAAAATACTAATAATTGAGCAAGTAGTGGGGCATTGAAATTTACTCATTAGTACTGAGATTTGCAAGGAACTAAAATGTGCTTTGATTTTCTCTCAAAGCCTAATTTCTCAGTAGCAGAAGGGCAGATGAGGAAGGGAGGGAACATTTAAATTTTCCAATTTAATGTAATTCTGTCTCTGATTTCTAATGGCCTCTTGCAGGTTAGCATAGTTTATTTGGGGAAGCTGGGGTAGTCTTTGTGGATTTCTGTTGCCCTTCTTTTCTTTCTCTTCTTCTGATGGTGCCTGTGTCTAAAGGGAAGCCTGTGTAGCACCTTGATGGCAGGGAGAAGTCCTCAAGTGTGTCCCAGGTGCTTGCTGGCCTCGCCTGAGACAGTCCTCCTCCCTCCTGGGGCTGGCCATCCTGCACAGGTGTCTGTGAGGGCTCCTGTGGGTGTCTATAGACTGAGTCTCCACTTCTGTCCCGAGAGCCCTGGATCTGCAAGCCTCTCATTCCTGACCTTCTGCCCTTTCTGGTCTTCTAATCTTTGCAGCATCGCTGAGGCCTCTGGAGGCTGGGGAACCTTCAGCCACATTCTCCCTACCCGCCTCTATCATGTGAGGCTCAGGAGGTGGCTTCCGTGCCCTCCCTAGATCTACGCATTTCTACCTGCTCCCTCACCCTGCTGGCTGCCCTGAATCCTAATCGGCCTTCCACAAAAGTCTTTTAGTCTTTCTGATTGTGCCCAAGGAAAGAAGGACTTGACATCAGCACTCTGGCCATTTCCTAAACTTGTAGAGTCCCTCCCTACTACCCTGCTCACCCTGACTCCTCTCAACGTTCACTTGAGGGCTGGTGGATGAAGAGATGTGGGGACCTCCCCAGGGCTGGCCAGTGTCCCGTCCTCTCCTCTGCTCCTGCCTCCCTCTTGTTCTTCCCTTCTAGCTGGAAGGAGCATCCCTTAATGTCCAATCACCCTCTTTCCCACTTGATGGAAGATTTCTACTGATTTATTTATGCATTTCTACTTTATGACCTTCTTTAGTCTAGGTGGAATTAACTTTACCCTTGCTTGGGACAATAAGCCTTGGAAATTTAATAGGATATATTTCAGAAACACTGTTCTCAATGTCTACAGGGGGCGAGATATGGTGCCAACCACAAGACACATATTATTAGATTTGCTCCTGCTAAAAACTAATAATAAACTCATTTTACAGGTGATACAATGCATGTGTAGAGATGGCGTGATTTGCCTTGGGGTCACACACAATGAATGGCGCCAAAGAAGCAGGATTTAGACCCAGGCCTGCCAGACTATGAAATGCGAGGACTTCCCATTAGCTGTGATCCTCACGTGCTGAAATCTCACTAATACATCTGTGGCATACATATCACACAAGTACGGTTTTAATGGGACCACCATATATTTATATGTGTCAGAGAGCATGCCTCTGAGGGAAACAGGAACCTTGGCTTTTGGTAATTTATGTAATGTTTCAACTCCTAACGTTCCCTACCTCGGTTTTTTCATTTGTCTAATCTGAAGTGTGTTTCCTTTCCCTCACCTCTGAAAGGCTCCGTTGACTGCTTGAGTCTTTTGCCGACTGTTGGGTCAGTCACCAACTGTCCCAGATGGGAGTCTGCAGAGCTGGAGCCCCACAGAGTCAGGTTTCCTGCATGCTGTCTTCCCTGTCCAGCCCTACAAAGTCTAGCCCTGTGCACTCCCTGTTCCACATTAGTGTTGACCGAATGACTAGCTAACTGAGAGAAGCCACAGGGTAGATGGATGCCTCTGGCAATAAGAACTGGAGGGCATTGTTTTTGAGTCAAAGTGTTGGGGAACTCTGAACTCCAGATGCAGGTAGGAGGAACTCCAGACTCCACAAACATTGGCAGCTCCCACAGACCAGCTAATGGGTGGTGTGAGCTCAGCCTGAAAAAGCGCAGTTTGTCACATGTCGGGCACCCGGCCTGGGCCTCAACATCAGGCAGTGGGGATTGTCCCATTCTGACCGTGAAGGGCAATGACTAAGACATGAGCTCAGTGTGGCTCTGACCACTGCTCCTTCTCACCGTGCCAGCCTGTCTGCCCCGAGAGTGAGCTTGGGGAGACATGGCCTGGGCAAGATCCTCCCACTGCTCTCACCCATGCAGACTCATTTATGGCACAAATGCCATGATTGATTCAGGGACAGAATAGATCCCACAGCTATGCAAGGCCAGGGACCCAGACTTGGATACCGTGGGGTGCTGTGTGGGCTCACAACAGCGTTGACATGTGAGTTGGCTTGTGAAGGGTGAGCTAGAGTTTGCCAGATAAAACAGGGAGAAGGTATTCCAAGGAAGAGGGAAGAGCAAATGCAAAGATGGGAGAGTGGAAATGTGTGGCCTAGGTGGGGTCTGGAGAGTGTTTTGTTGTGGGGCAAGAGCCCATTACACAAGTGTGCTTTGGAGATAGCATTCCCTCCTTCCCAGTGCACCTTTGAACGTCATCATGATGACACATGTCTGCTCCTCTTCTTTGGTCTCTGACTGTTTCCCAGTGTCTCCCTGCATGGGGTCACCCTCTTAGCCCAACTTACGTCAGCTCACCCTAGTCCTCAGCACCAATTGTTGACCTTCATATCTTAGGAGGGATCAAAACAAAAGAGCTCTGGTTTAACTCAATTCTGGATTCTATCTAGGCTGTTTCCCAAAGACTTTTGCCTGGTTCACATGGACTCATGGGTAGGCCCATAGACCAAAGGCCTGCCTAGTTTTAAGAATATTTCTCCAAATATTTGAATCTTTTTCCTAACTTTAGTTTAATGGCTGTAAGACTTCCCTGGTACAAGCTGCCTCTAGATTGATCCTGTATTTGTATAGAGGGGCTAATTCTTCCATTATTCTCTGAACAAAAATCCGGCTTCTGATTATTTATGGTTCCCCAGATTGCTTCTGTCTGTGTCTGTTGGCCCTGAAGCTTTCTCTCATGTATGGCTGTATATACCCTGTGCTCTCAATTATTGGTTCTTGGCACTATCTTTTGTGTTTTCTATACTATGTCATATCACAGGTACTTCCATTCATTCATTCATTCATTCATTTATTCAGCAGATACTTACTAAATACTAACTATGTACTAGGCATTGGGAATGCAGAGGTAAGCAAGACAAAGTTGCTGCCATCACAAAGCTTTAATTTTAGTGAAGGGAGACCCATAATACCCAAGTAGAGAAATCAACAGGCAAGATATTGAAACACTCCGAGATATGCCAGGAGCAACAACAACAAAAACACTGTGGGAGAGAGAGCCTGGTGGGACAGATGAGGCAGTAGTGGGATGACCTTTCAAGAAGAAACCATTTAACATGAGAAGTTAATGATGAAAATAGCTAGGGAAAGAGCACTGCAAGAAGGAGGAACAGCGAGAGCAAAGGCCAGGTGGTAAGAGAGAAAGCTTGGAGACGTGCACGACAGGGTAAGGTAGGCGAAGAGACAGAATAGTAAGACAGAAAAGCCCAGTTTTGGAGAGCAAGGCAAGGAATTTGGGTTTTCTTTTGGGTTCATTCTCTGTTGAACCATATTATGTGGGATCTACATTAGTAAGGATGGATTCATTAAAAATAATTGCATTGAAAAATCCAACAAGCGTGTGATTAAGATAGAGGCTTCAGTGAGGGTACCAAGTTCTACTTGAGAGCCAATTCAGAGATAGAAGTTCATGTTTCTTGGCAGTGTTCAAGGGGGCTACAGTGAGATAGCTGATACTGATCTTAAATGGCCATAATCAAGCAAAAACTGTGAAACTACCCAGAGGATAGCAATTGCTACCACCCCTTTGACCTGGCAGCATTATCGTCTCTCTTGAGAAGGGGTGTGTGTTGGGTGGGGGTGGAGATGGGGCTTCTGAAATGTGTAAACCTGCAGAAACCCCCATCCCCACCCCCACCCCCACCCAACACACACCTCTTCTATCTGCTGTGGCTTGGATAAACTACAGCCATTTCGTTCACATTTTATTGAAGAAATTATTTTGTTTTACTATTAAAAAGTTGTTTTTAGCTACACTGGCATAGATTTGCTTTGTGTAAAATTTCATTTGCTGGAGATAGCCCTAATTCAAACATGTGCTGCCACATCTCATTTTTTGCAAATTTTATGCTAACGCTTCTCTTGCCATCTCAGGTGAACTAGATCATTTCCTGGGCCCCCGAGGCTGACCTATTTATTTTAAAAGTTACTCTTCGCAAGTATTTATCTGTATAAATCAAAATTTACTTAAGCTGGTGTAACCAGAAATAAAATAAAGTGGATTCTGAGGTTAATATAAGACAGGAACTGCCTTTTTTTTTTTGAGACAGGGTCTCACCCTATCACCCAGGCTGGAGTGCAGCGGCACCCTCATGGCTTACTGCAGCCTTAACCTCCTAGGTTCAAGTGATCCTCCTGTCTCAGCCTCCTGAGTAGCTGAGACTGCAGGCATGCACCACCATACTCAGCTAATTTTTTCTTTTTTTGAAGGGATGAGGTCTCTCTATGTTGCCCACACTGGTCTCCAACTCCCAGACTCAAGCAATCCTCTTGCCTCGGCCTCCTACAGTGCTGGCATTATAGGAATGAGCCACTGCATCCAGCCTGCCCTCTTAATATAAGCAGCAACTGCTTAAAATATTGAAATGGCTTCATTGTCTTTATTAATTTAACTTAATGTGTTCTATAAATACTGGCACTCACTGAAGAACTATTGTCATAGGAAAAAAAGTAACCCCAAGTGAGGACAAGAGTAAGGAAGGCACAGGCAGGTGTGGAGCTTGCTCTTTACGGGTCCTCCTCTGGTCTTGGAGCACCAATATCTTTATACTTGCCTTTGACATTGGTTATAATTTCAACAGCTATTCCAATATGCATATACACAAATGCATATACATTTACATATACATAAACATAGACCTTTATACACATTTACTTACATGTACATATATATTTGTTTGTTACCAAAATATTTTGGGAACATTCCTGCCTTAGTCAATTGACTGACAAATGTTTGAGTCTCGACGATGTGCCAGACACTATTCCAGGGGGTAGAATTATAGCAGTGAACAAAACAAACAAAAATCCCTGCCCTGATAGTTTCCATTTTGTTGAGGGAGACAGATAATAAAGATGACACATAAATAAAATATATAGAACATTAGATATTGACACATGCTAAGGAAGAAAGCAAAGCGGGGAAGAGAGATAGGGAGGGAGGGAAGGGTTAGAATTTAGATAATGGCCAGAGAAGTTGAAATTTGAGCCAAGTCCTGAGAGAGAGGAGGGAGCAGGCCCTGCAGGCAGGAGGAACAGTAAGAAATGAGTGCACAAGGTGAAGAATAGTCCATATCTATGTCCTTAAGCTCTGAATTGTAGAAGCTTAGGTAGCAAGAAGCAGAAGCTTTTGGCACCCATTAGCAACCCAGGCCCCACCCCAGGGGCAAGCTGTACAAACAGGGGAATGTGTCTCCTTCCAGGCTATCTTTAAACATTATTAAGAAACCAAACACTAAATATATTATCTAATGAACTGATATTTTTCAAATTACATCTTTTCACATCACTCTTTATAAACATGAGCCTACTCCATTAACTCCAATAGTTCTACGGTATGCTATTAGATGCTTGGGCCATATTCTGCTTAACCATTCTGCTGGTTTTGGACCTTTCAGTTGTTTTTCACAATGATTAAAGATATTGCAGTAAACATCTTCATGTGCATATGAACATATATCTGTATGATAGAGTTCTTACCCAAAATGTTCATAGGAAGTTATTTTCTCCAATTAAAAGCTTTTAAATGAGTTTTATTAAGCTTTGGTTAATGCCATTTTGACAAAGCCATAAAATCATGTTAATAAAAGGTTAGGGAAAAACTCCTCTAGTGTTCTCTTTCAACTTCTCGCCTTTTGCCATATGCCAAAAAGCCTTTTTTTAAATAAGTGATTTTCTTGCCAGCAACTGCTTTTGGTGTAGCCAGAAGCTGAACATCACAGTGGGGGTGGGCAGGGAGGTTTTGCTTTGAATTGCATAATTTGGCAAACTCTCCTGCTATGGCAGTCATGTTTTTGCAAGATTCAGTGAACTTTTTTTTTTTTTTTTTTTTTTTTTTTTTTTTTGAGATGGAGTCTCGTTCTGTCACCGGAGCTGGAGTGCAGTGGAGCGATCTCGGCTCACTGTAACCTCCGCCTCCTGGGTTCAAGCAATTCTCCTGCCTCAACCTCCTGAGCAGCTGGGATTACAGGCACCCGCCACTACGCCCAGCTAATTTTTTGTATTTTTAGTAGAGATGGGGTTTTACCATGTTGGCCAGGCTGGTCTCGAACTCCTGACCTTGTGATTCACCCACCTTGGCCTCCCAAAATGCTGGGATTACAGGCGTGAGCCACTGAGCCCTGCCAAATTCAATGAACTTTCCAAAGGCTGCTTCTCCATCCATAGCTTGCTACTGTAAAATCAGTGACAGCATGGCTACCTGTCCTCCTGGATGCCTTCTTCCTTACAGCTCAGGGCTCCGTGGAGATCATTCACTCAGGTCCTTGGGGGTGTCTTCTTGTCCATGTTGTAGGTCTGCTCCTGCTTTATTCTTTCTTACACTTAAACCCTTTCCCCTTATGAATAGGATACTTTAGAGATGATAATAGGATGAGCAGTTCACCCCCAAACTACACTGGTGTGTTTGTGTGTGTGTGCACATGCAGGGTCCATAAACGTGCTTCTTGGATGACTGATAAGATGCCATTTCACCTTTGTCTAATGCAGTAATAATAACCAAGAGTTGCAAATATTGTCGAGCACTTACTTTGTGCTAGGCACTATGCTAAGCCTTCATCCTTTTATTTCATTCCCATAACAGCCCTATGAGGTAGAAACTATCCTCCTCAATTATATGGGGGAAAATCAAGAATAAGAAAGTAACTACCTAAAGTACATGCAACTAAAGGGTGACTGGTTTGGGGTTTGAAGCCAGGTCTTTTGGACTCTAGAGTCCTGCAGTCTTGACCACTGTGCGTTCTGCCTCACCTCCAGCGTAGTCTGTGTTTGAGGGCTTTTTCCTGTTGAATGAGCGTCTTCTCTGTACTCCTCTGATGCAAGTCAAAGCCACAACCATGGGCCAGTGCTGGATTTCAGAGAAATGTGATGTAGGTGTTTATGGCAATGCTGGTAATAACCATGACTCATCTTCCAAGACAGACCTACTATGTGGGGTAGAGGAGAAGAGTGGTTTAGAGTCAGAGACCTGAGTTAGAATATTGTCTGTATGACTTAATGAGTAGTATGACCTTTCTTAGTTTCTTAATTTGGAAAATAGTGAACATAATATCTCCTTTATAGCTTATTGTGAAGGTTATGTGTATAGTACCTGGCATAGATAGCACCTGCTACAGGATATTTTTATTATTTATTATTATTTTTTCCAAGGGAGTCAGATAAAGTTCTATGGGAAGGAACAGCATGAGTTTGAGTTCCTAACTGAAAAGACACAGATGTTTTTGAGAACTACAACATGGATGGAACTTGAAAACATTATGCCAATGAAAGAAGCCAAAGGCCACATATTGAATGATTCTATTTATATGAAATGTCCAGAATAGGCAAATCTATACCAACAGAAAGTAGTTTAGTGATTGCCCAGGACTGGGAGGTTGAGGGGAAATGAGGAGTGACCACTAATAGGGACAGAATTTCTTTTGGGGGCAAGAAAAATGTTCTAATATTGATTGTGGTAATGATTGTACAACTCTGTGAACATATTTAAAATTGTTGAATCATAGACTGAAGTGAGTGAATTGTAAGGCACTATAATTATATCTCAATTAAAAAGTATTAAAAATAAGTTTCTGGTATATGTTTAGTTAAAATAAATGGATAAATACCATGCTTATATTGAATACATTTCCCTGAAAAGACATATCCTATCTCTTTCTTAGCCAAGGCACTGAGAAGAAAGTTTCAAAAAATGGATATTAATTTTTTTTTTTTTTTTTTACAAAAAAGCGAAAGGCAAAACAAACTCAGGAAGAGAAGCCAGATGGAAAAAAATAGAAAGCCCGGAATGAGATTGCCTATAAGTCTGCCCTTACCCTGACTCATGCTCAGCAGGGCATGCATTTAAGCTGTTTGTTACAAGGGTGATGGATCTGCTGTGACTCATCCACACTGTCTTGTAGGGACTACATGTGACAAAATGGCCTCCAGGAAAAAACACTTTGACCTTGCCCCATGGGCCACACAGATGTGTGCACATTTGTGAGCCAAGGAAGTGGAGGACAACTTGTTGTTTGTGGAATCAAACCAGGGTGTCTGAATCCCAATTAACTGACCTATCCAAGTCCAGCTCGAGGTATTTAATCCTCAGCAGGTATAATACCTGCCAAAATATGAGAAGATGCAGAAGTTACTTGGTCATAAACATATTGTTTCTTGTCTTTGAAAAAAGAAAATAAACTATAAAAGCACCTGGCTCATGTGAGGACCTTACTGGATGTTTGTGGAATCTGTTGTTGTTGGAATGAATCCAGCCATGGAAGATCTTGTCTCCATGACTTTTACGTAATTAGTGAATTCAGCGGAAAAAAAGGAGTTGAACTTCTTTTATGACATAGAAATAATTTTTATTTTTGTAGTCCTTACAGTTCATAGAGTGCTTCTACGCCAATGGCTCCTTTAATTTTTGAACAACACTATGGAGACATGGAATGCTAGAGAGCAGACTCAGAGCAGGTGAGTGGTTTTCAAGGCCACATGGTCAGGGCAGGAACTAGATCCAAGTCCAGTTATTTTCCCAGGACATGTGAGCTGAAATTACTTGCCCTAGTTGATGAACTCAGTTTTTCAACTTTGCAAGGGATTACACAGATGCGCCCTAGCATCAAAGAGTATTGTTGGTAAAAACATTACATATGACAATGATAGGGGATGGCCAACCTAGCCACTACTTCTTGAAGCCAAATGAGTGTGAAAGCCTAAGAGTAGAGAATTCGCCTCCTATGGGGAAAGGAGCTTAACAAAGGGGTTAGGAGTGCAGGTTTGGAACCAAATTCTGACTCCACTACAGTTTCATCACCTGTAAATTAGGGGTAATATCACTACTATATAAGATTATTGTAAGGATTGAGTGTGCTGCTGTGTGCTAGTGTTTAGCACAGTGCCTGGCACAGAGTATGTGCTCATTAAAAGCTATTTTTTATTGCCCATTTCTTTCTCCTACTTCTCTTTATTTCATTCACTCATTATCATCCTCTTTACTGTCATTTGCTTGAGAACATGCAGGGTCATCTCATAACAACTGTAAATTTACATCACTTGTGAGGAGGCATAACCACAGGATTCCATATCTACAGAATCAGGGTAATCTGACTTTAGGAAGGAATGATGAGCTCCCCTTAGCTTCCTTAATATTTGAGAGCTGAGGCCAGTGTGGTTATGCTTGTTCTCCAAATGTTATTCACCCATCAATTCAATTCTCCATATTTTTTTCTATCATTTGTTAAGCTCCAACCATGCTTCGAATTTAAAGCCAAGGCAGTTCTACCAGTGAAGACTGGATCATCTGCTGAGCTGGAGAGAGCTGGTGGCTCTTTCAGGGCCAGGTCACAGAAGCACAGGTCAGAAATTGAGGCAGGAGAATAGGGCCTGGAGGCAGGGAACCTAAAGCTGATTCACTCTGACTTTCTAGAACTAAATCAAAAGGAAAACCCTAACTATCCACACCCAAGTAACAAAAGGACCAGAGGCTACTCCCTTTGCAACGCTCCCCTTTTCTGTGTGGCAGAAATTGAAAGTACCTCTGATTGGTCCCCTCCCACAACCAATCAGGCTGGTCGCAGGCCAAGTCTTCATTTACATAGGAGTATAACTTTGTAACTTCATTTCAGCTTCTGATTGGTTGCTTCCTGCAACTAATCAGATGCTTGATAGGGCGTAACGTTGTAACTTTGCTTCAGCCTCTGATTGGTCCTCTCCTGCAACCAATCAAACTGGTAGTGGGCCACTACTTCATTTACATAGGGTATATACCAAGTAACCAATGGGAAACCACTAGAAGGTATTTAATCCCCTGAAAATTCTGTGACTGTGATCTCAGCTGCTTGCTCGGCCCGCTCCCACCCTGTGGAGTGTACTTTCGTTTTCAATAAATCTCTGCTTTTGTTGTTTCATTCTTTTTTTGCTTTGTTTGAGCATTTTGTCCAATTCTTTGTTCAGGATGCCAATAACCTGGGCACCCTCCACTGGCAACAAAATGACCAAAATAATTTACAGCTGGGCTTGGGGATGGACCATCTAAAGAGCACATGGCACCAGAGGGCCAGGTGGTGAAATAAGAAACAGGATTGTTGTTAGTGTGAGTCACAAAGGTAGAGCTGTGGTCAGAACCAGAAGGCATAGCCATGGCCTTGCATCCCCATAGGCCAGAGGAGGTTTGCCCTTATCTGTTTGCCCTCTTGTCAGAGGTCCAAATGGGGCAGCAAGTACAGGTAGGGATATGGTGAGGGTGGATGTCACAGCTCAAGACCTCAGTCATGGAGGCTAAGGCAACAGGCACCTCAGTGTTGCAATCTAAGCTCTTAGACACAGGCCAGTGCAGAATCTGGGATAGGTGAGTGGTTCACTCTGCTCCCCACCACACACTGGGGAATGGTTGTGCCCTGTGTCGGGGGCATCACACCTCTAACCTCCAGGCAGGCCCAAGCCAGCAGATGCAGGTGGTTGCTTCTTTTCCAGGCAAACACTGTCATTCAGAGACTGGGGCTTACAGCAGAGGACCCTAAAGGAAATCATACTAGCTTTCAAATGCCCTAATTTATTATCGACCTGCCTAAGAAATGAGAGGTAAATGTAAACCAATACAAGGTTCAAGTTGAAAATCTTTTGATTTCTAAACTACAAGAGTTACTGACCCATTAATCAACTCTGTTGATCAGCAAAGGCTCTTTGACCCCAGGAACCAATCACCACAGCTGCAGGTAATCTCTGTGTGGCCAAACATCCATCCTCTTATCTTCTGCTAAATCTTTTGGTGGTGTGCACCTGTGCAATGAGGTAAACTACATTCTTTGCAATTTGTCCAGCTTAAACCAGTTCTTGCTGTAGGTGAATGTTGATTAAAAATCTACCTTGCATGAATTGTTAATGGTGTGCTATTGGGGAGAGTGGAAAATACTCTGAAACGCATCTCTGTGAAGAGATGAATTAAGTAAGCAGCATAATGAAAAGAGCATTGAGTTAGGATTCAGAGACCTTAATTCCAGTCTTGGCTCTATTAACTAGACTATAATCTGGATTGGCCTCAGTGTTATTGACTGTTAAATAGGGATCGTACTTTCACTGTCACAATGATCTGATGAGATAATGCAGGTAGAAGGATTTTGGAAACCAAAAAGTACTTAATTCTTTCATTCAAAAGTATTTGCTAATAGCAGCATGTTTGCTAACTAAACGTAGCAGGCCAGGAGAGGGCAAACAAAGAGGATGAACAGAGCTGGCATCATCTGGGACTCCATGCCAACTAGAGGATGAAGCTGGGCCTCAACTTTTATGAGAGAAGGAAGCATAGTGGGGAGGCCTAGAGAGAGGAGCAGGGTCTGGAGCCTGGGAGATAAACTGAGGCGGGAAGGAAGAGGCAGCTGCCTCAGGTTCAACAGGCAAAGATTATATCCAGGAAGCCAGACTGCAGGGACCAGAAACTACAGCCAGGAGCCTGAAAACAGAAGATGAGAGGTTCAGGAAGGGGGACCTGGGAAGAAATGGCCAGTAACCCCAGCTGCTATTCTGCATCAACAATCAGCAGTCTGAATGGAGAACAAGCACTTTCAAAGTTTCTTCCCCTTTCCAGACCAGTTGAACAAATGGCCACAAAAGCAAGCTCTAAGAAGCATGAAATGAAATAGTAGTTCTCAAACTTGAGTGCACATCAGGAACTCCTGAAGGGCTTCTGAAGACACAGGTGGCTGGGCCCCACCTCCAAGGTGTCTGATTCTGGAGGTCTGAGGTGGAGCCCTCCTCTGGAGTATTTGCATGTCTAATAAGTCCCCAGGTGCTGCTCATCTGTAGGGCCTGGGGAAGACACTTAGAGAACCCAACAAATTGCATCAGTGACTGTGAATTCCTAACCCAGGAGAGAAAAGGTAAGCAGAGGGAGCATGTGAGGAGCACCCTGGCTCCCTTCCTTCAACCTGCCTTCTGCAGCTCTTCTCACCTGGTTCCAGTGCAGGCTCAGACCCACCCAAGGAAGGGTCCCAGGCCAAGAGCCCTGGTATGGATTGCACTGCTGCTGCCTTCTCCATCTCACCTTGATTTGGGGCATGGGCAGATTAACTCTTCACCAGAACACCTGGTGCCCTTTCTGCTTTGCCTCGAAAGACACAGGTTTAGAACTTCCACTTACGGACACAAAGTTTGGGGGTATTTTTTTTTGTTTGGAATATTGCAAGTGGGAAGATCGTGGGCTGTGCCATGTTAAATCTCTTCTCTGATGCTTTGTCTGCCTGCCTTCTAGAGTTCCATGTTCTCGCTTTCTATGATTCTTCTGCAGTAATGGTGCAACTTAAACTGGGGGATGTTGGGGTCAGTTTAATATCCATTCTGGCAAACTTTGCATAGTTTTAGCAGTGTGAGAGATCATGCATGTAACTTCTTCCTTCCCCACCCCTCACTTCCTGTCCCCACCCTAAGAATACACCCAGAGGCTTACATTCTTCATTCATTATTTTCTAAATGCTTTGGTGGTGAAGAGAAAAAGACTAAGTAGAATAAAAGAAGTGAACTGCTACTGAGGCCCAGAGGAGGGAGTGGGGATGGGCATGACTGGGACATAGAAGTTTCTCTAAACTGGTATTTCCAAACTTTGGCTACTCATTAGACTCACCTGGGAGCTTTTTATAACCACTGATGCTGAGGACATGGAATTCTGATTTAGTTGATCTGGGGCCGGGGCCTTTGCATTGGAAAATTTGAATCTCCCTGGGGGATTCTAATGTGCAGCCAAGCCTGAGGGATTCTGTTTGCAACCAATTTTATTAACAACACCTGGCTGCTGAGCACAGCTGCATTTTTGTTCAACTCCCTTTTAACAACCACAAGCCACCTATAGAGTAAAAGTCCATGCTGCAAACCTCTAAATTTAGACAGGTAAGAACCGAAACCTCCTCTAGATATCTTGAGACTAAGTGGGATGGCTCATGCCTCTAATCCTAGCACCGCAGGAGGCCAAGGTGGGCAGATCGCTTGAGCTCAGGAGTTTGAGACCAGCCTGGGCAGTATGGCGACGTCCCATCTCTACAAAAAATACAAAAATTAGCCAAGCGTGATGGCATGTGTCTGTGGTCCCAGCTACTTGGGGGGCTGAGGCAGGAGAATTGCTTGAACCTGGGAGGTCAAAGCTGCAGTGAGCGGTGATAGCACTACTGCACTACTCCAGTCTGGGTGACAAAGTGAGACACTGTCTCAAAAAAAAAAAAAAAAAAAAAAAAAAAAAAAAAAAAAAGGACTAAATGGGAAAGATTTTAAAAAATGCAAGTTCAGAGAGAGCAGCAACAAAATCCCAGGCTGGGGAAAAAAAGAGACTGAGACCAATTCAGGGACATGAGCCAAAGAAGGTGTCAGAGCCAAGAAAGCAAACTTCCAGGATCAGGGATGAATAAAGCTTGATTCTAAAGCCAGTTGTGTATGTCCCGTGTTCTGGGCCAGTCCTGGGTGGGTGAGACTCAATTCACCTGGGGTGTTCACAGCCAGGATATAAAATATGGGAAGCTAGAAGGGTCTTCAAAGGAAGGAGATAAAAAGTAAAGAGTGCGGAGAAAATAATTTGTTTTCTATGATATTCCATAACCAGTTCCACTGTGTTTTATTCACCAAATCAAATATTTTTGATGTTTTATAGATACAGCCTGAGACTATGGGACTCCAAGCACAAACATTCTCTTAGAGCAGTAATTCTCAGACTGTAATAGCGCAAATGAATTCCCTGGGGATCCTGTTGAAAAACAGGTTGATTCTAATTCCATAGACCTGGGGTGGGGCCTGAAGGGCTTGAGATTCTGCATCTCTCACAGTCCCCGCAAGTGATGCTGGTCTGAGTAGCAAAGACACAGAGGACAGAGATGGTGTCTATTTACAGTGCATCGAAGGACACCTTGAAGAAACCTGTCTAGTTGTTATTGACATGTTGGTTGACACCTGTGTTTCCTCATTACTCAGCTAACTGAAGGGGGTCTATGGTTTTTGAGGAAAGTCCCATTTCTTGAGAAAAGTAACTTTCTGAAGACGTTAAGTACTGGAACATACCTATTTCATGTCACCCCCTCAGACACTCCCTCTCTTTCCCCACATCTTTCCCCTATAAAACCCTGATATTCTAATGACTGAAACTAGACTTGCATTGACCTAGTGAGGCAAGAAGCACAAATAAGTAACCTGTTACCTGGGAGCACAACAGCAATTCTTTCATAAATGAATGTCAATGAGGGATAATTTTCTTCTGTAGCAGAATCTCTACACCTGACAGTATTCTTAATATACTTTAATTAAGAGGTTAATCTGTTGTAGAAATTGCTTTTCTCTGAAGCCACCTGAAATCAATTTAAACTCAATTACAAGTGGTTAGCTATTGTTTATGTGGTTAAAGATTAGAGAATACATTTTTGCCTGTCAGGAGCCATCAGAGCAAATTTTGAATGTCACGATCAAAGGAGAGTCTGAATAGTTGAGTGCTCTTTAATGGGCATAGAGAAACCATTAGAAAATGTAATCAGTCATATTTGATGACTTGACCTTGGGACTCAGCTAGAAAAAGGTCTAATCATGTCTATCCCATAAGTGACACCAGGATGGCTCTGCTGAAATTAATTGATCATTACGTACTTTCTGAGAGTCTCATATACCCTATTTGATGGAATATAAATTGCAAAAATAATCTGTAAATTATATAACAAGCTTCAGAGTACATTTGCCCTCTGTCTCCTTAGCAGAGATTAAATCTGACAGCTAGTTTCAAAATGATCAAAATTGCTTAACTCCTTCAATAGTTTGGAATGCTTGAGATTTACAAAGGAAAAAAAAATCTATTGCTCGGCATGTGCCCAGTATATAAATTTGAATTACAATCCATTCTCTATCAGTAAAATGTAGAGATAAAAAGAGGTCTGAAAAGGTTTTCTGGGGGCTTGAATGCATTATTTTATTCAATTGCTTAGTAAGGTACTTAGCTGCTATTAAAAATTTGGATGCATGTCAGAGACAAGGAAGCTGTTTTGAATCCTATCCACTTCAGTGCTAAGTATATGAAAGAATTAGATGTCTCTAATAAGCCAGCCAGCTTGCTAATGTGATATCCCACAGACTGGCTGAGCCATTCACAATGACAGTGCACTCCACTGATTATCTGTAGGTTAAAGGTTTCTTGTCATCCTTTCAGGTGTCAAAATGATGATTCCAATTACCTCTCTCTGTTTATGTGTACTTTTCTGGGATCAAGACATTCTGCCATTATAATGTACACATTCCATGACATTTTGGTTAAAGTTGCAGAAAGTCTCCCTCTAGAACTGCCCCTCCCACCTCGGAGAATTATTCAAATAATTTTCCTTTGGGCTGGCACTTTTCATATTTGAAATAAACCCTTCTAGGATTTTTCTCCATAAATGTTGAATGGTTAACTGTTGAGTAGAGGAAGACCATCTGTTCTTGCCTAATTGGCATAATAAAGGAAGACCACATTTTTGGAGCCTGGAAAAAAAATATGTGTCATGAAATGGGCTCAAGCTAGTGTTCTGCATAAGAGACTATGCTCTAGATGCCAGGACAGTGGTAGGTTTTCCAGAAGAAAGCTTTCTGGGAACTTGACCTTTGTTATCTCTTGGGAGTGGAGTTAGGGGTGGCTCAGCTATAGGAACCATATTTATTACGTTAGGGCTCTGAATGACACTATACAGATTCAAATCCTGGCTCTATCACTTCCTAACTTTGAGTCTTGGGGCAGATTTCATAGCCTCTTAAAGTCTCAATTCCCCCCGCTGTAAAATGGAGATAATCATGAAGATTATATGCAATAACACGTGTAAAATGCTTGGTAGGATGTCATGCACATAGACTTGCTAAACTCTTCATCGTAATTAAAGCATACAATGATTTGGTGTCTATTTTTTCTGAGCCCTAAATTGGGATGTGCGATTTGAGAAAGGATTATTTTTCTTGGCGTGTTAAATTTTTGATATGAAGAGTCTTACAAAGATACCAAAATGCACTGTATTCGATTTTTCATTTCACAAATCCCCTTTGCAACAACTTCTCCTGGAGTGAGGATGGGGGTGAGGGATAGGAAAGGGTTTCAAGACAAGGTCTGCACTGAGAGGCAGGGGCCTGAGCTAAGGTCTCAGCTCAGCTGTAAATCAGCTGTGCAAAGTTGGGAGCAAGAAGTCTGTTTCTTCTTTGGGCTCAGATTATTTGTGTAAAATGACAAGGTTGAAAAGACTGTTGAGGTTGTCGGGAGCACCGAATGTCCAAGATTCTATATTGCTGATCGTCTCTGTCAAAGTATTTCCTGCCCCACTAGCCATGACATGGTCTATAGGCAGAGAGAGTGTGGGCACATACATGCCTGCATGAGTAGTGGTGGTGACCCCACACCTGTGGACTTCAGCCTCATGCTCCCTGACTCCTCTGTTCACAGCACATGGTCCCATGTGTGTGGCTTCTTTTGGGTGGCCACTCACTAAGGCAGCCTTTGGGAACCATGGCTTTCTTTAAGAAACATCAAACAAAAATCCTACACTTCCTCTCTTTGCGCCACCCTGGGAGACTCTGAAAAGCCTTCTTCAAAACCCCCAGTACCACTCCCTATGTTACAGGATATTATTTTGGGAGTGTTGCTTTGTCCCACTTTGTTTCACCCCTCCCTAGATACCCACTCCAGCAGAGGTCATAAAAGGGCATTCATTGAGGGCCAGTTTCCCCAAAAGGAGTTTTCACAATTGGAATTAGTTTCCAACATTTAAAAATAAAAGGATATTACATAAAACCCAGATTGCTGACTTCTTTTGAAAAAATTTAAAAAGGAAAATATGACCAGAGTTTTCCCAAGAAGGATGACCTGGTCCTTACACCAGAGGGTGAGGAGTCAGCCTGGGATCTGAGCAGGGCAATGCCCTGGGTCCCCACTCCAGGAAGTCTCAGTAGCACATTGAGCACTGTCCCCTCTCACCTCTGTTAGCTCCACAGGACCATCATGTTCACCAGTCACCTTGAGACCCTTGCTGGTAGAGTGTCAGGCACATAGGGTTGCTAAACTCTTCTTCATTATTAAGCAAAGCATACAGTGATTTGGTGTCTCTTTTTCTCTGAGCTCTAGATTGGGAGGCATGACTTGAGAATTATTTTTCCTGGTCCCACTTTGGAGAACCTCACTTCTGTCCCCTGACTTGCTTCAGTCCTGAAGTTACCTGCTGGGCATTTTCCCCTTTCCTTAGGTTCATCCATGAAGTCAACCTTTATAAGTTACAGTCCTTGAAGATTCCATCCTTGTGATCATGCAAATCCCTGGAACAGGAATTGCATTTTGAGCTTTAAATAAGTTATGCATTTAAAGACCAAAAGCCCTGAGCACACGTTTTGCTAAGAACTGGGAGGAATGAGTTTGAGGACACATAGCAGCTGGGTTGGGTTAGAGGATTAAACCAAGAATCTGAGAAGGGTGGGAGTGAGGGTGGCAAGAGACTGCTAGCTTTTATAATCCTTCCTCAACTAGTTCTGGAATTCTGAGTGGAAGCAAGAGGCAGGGAGAAATGGGGCATGAGCCAGCCCTGTCTCATACAGTTATTCTCCTCTTGCCTAGACCAGCTCTACGCAATGTTTTGGGGCATTGGTTCTTCCAGCCTTCTGCTGTCTATAAGGTAACAAAGAATCCCCTAGGGACAAGAGGACAGTGGAGAAGACACTTGGAGAGGAGATTTGGAGCAACCTCTCTGAAACACATGCAAATAATTTATAGCCCCTGGACCTGATTTTCCTCAGATGCTAAAGTGCCTTTTAGCTGTGGATTTCTATAATCTGGTTTCGTTTGCTGTACCATGAGAATTGTGTCTTTTGGCCACATATGAGGGCCCATCACTAGTGTAAGTATGCATTAGACTTTCCATCACCTACCACAGTTTGTTTGCTAAAAAGGCCACAGGTAAGTCCTGTCGAAAGCAATCGAGAATAAATTGTACTCTAGAGAAGGTTTGTATTAGAACCACAGAATCATTAAATTAAAACTAGTGAGGACAATACCAGGGGTGGCTAACGTCAACCCATGAGACCAAGTTCAATGTGCTGGTCAATGACTGACCTCAGAAGGCGTCAAAGGCCATGAAATCAATATCTACAGTGTAACTTCAACGCAATATTCACTGTTACTTTAAATTGGGTCATTTACTTGAGGACTCGACTACTGAACCGAAAGCAAGAATAGATGCCTGGAGAGTACACGTGCAGACAAAGGAAATTCTGACTGAGGGGATAATCTTCATTGATTTAGTCATACAATGAAAGTTTTCACTTATGCAAAATACTTTAATAGCCAAAGGCTTTTTGCTTTGTACTCTAAAAGCTCTAATGCCATTCCCCTAGAAATAGCAAGCATACTATGTCACATTAAATTCCTTCTGTCAGCTGAATATTTTGGCATGGAATTTCTGGGTTGAATCATTTTGTCCAAAAAAGAACAAAAAATAGGTCATTTACTCTTTCTCTCCGTAATTCTTTTGTTAATTCACTGGTTACTTCAGCAAAACCCTACTGAAGAAATGAAATGTGGCTTATGCCACATTCAGATATGACAAGAGGTTTGAGTTCTCCACTAAAGCTGTCAGAATATTTTTTAAAAAAATAGTCAAAAACACACATCCTGCCATCCTTATACAGCCATCATGTATGTATATTTTCCTCTAACCTTTTTGCATGTATATTTATATGGCTGTAATAAAAGTTAACACATAATATTTTCTTTTGTCCTTTTAACTTCCTAAACTTGCTACGTAGGCTTCACTTTTAATGACTGGAGAAAAATCCACCCAGTGAATATACCATTGTGGTAGATTGCAAAACAGCTCCTAATTCTTCACCCCTCCCTGTTTCTACATTCTTTGCAATGTGATTTTGCAGCTTCTCCCATTAGGGAGTGAAGTTTATTTTCCAGTTCCTGGAATATGGGCTGGCCTTGTGACTTGCTTTGGCCAAAAAAATATAGCAGAAGTGATGGGGTGCCAATTCCAAGCCTGTGCCCCAAGAAGCCTTGTGCACTTCTGCTTGCCTCCTTGGAACCTTGCTGTAGACAAACTACCATCATATTGAGATTTGAGAAAAATCACAAATTAGTGGAAAGAAACCCCAATCTTCCCAGTCATCACAGTTAAGGCTTCCCAGACCCGTCAGCTCCCAGCTGAACTGCCAGCTGACCTCAGTTGCAAGAGTTCAGCTGAGACTAGAAGAAACCCCTAGCTGATTTGTAGGCTTATGTGCAAAAACAAATGCTTGTTGTTTTCATCCAAAACAACAGAGTTTGGGGGCAGTTTGTTAGGCAGCAGTAGCTAACTGATACACCCACAATCCTCTTATTTCCCTTTTTCTTGTTTATGTAGGTGTTTCCAAATGTTCTCTATTATAAACTAATGTGGTAATCAATATCTTGATGCAAGTGGAGAATGTTTCTGTGAGTCTTCATTTGGTTTAAAAAAATGGACAATGACATTTTAAAACCTGTAACTTATCAGATACTACGTGATTGAAATTCTGGAGTCATCTCTACAAAATTATCATTGTCAAGCAAATATAAGCTTTCATATTGCATAATTGTTTCATATAATTGTTTTATATGTAAACGAATGTAGGACCAGCAAACATGTATTTTTCTAAGGAAACTTATGGCACAGGATCCTATCCAATCTCACACCAGACAAATCTCAAGAAACCTCAGAAGCCCATAGAAACTTATGTGTCAGCCTAGCAAACCCTGAACATATTGACTTCTTCCAGATGGTTCCAAATAATCATCCATATTAATTTTTTTATCTACCAATCTTTTCCAGAGAAAAGATGGCTATCCCGCCCAATGTTTGGCCCCCTCCTGCAAAGGCCAAAACATTCGTTGGGTAAGTTGTGGCTACTCAGAAGGCATATTGGAGGTGGGCCTCTAGCAAGTCATTTGCCTAAACAAAGTCATTCTAATTTTAATTTAATGACTGCTTCATATAAGTTGAATGACCTGATAATAATAGCAGCAATCATTTATAGTGCTTTTTCATTGCATGTATATAGGCCTTGCCCAGTCATGCCAGTCTGAGATGGTTGATATTTGAGAAGTATTGTCTAAGGGAAATACTGACCACCAAAGATCTATTGCAATATAGTCATGTTATTTATTTTAGGTCCCTTGGTTCATTATTATTATGGTCATTACTGGTGGTGGTGGTTTGTTGTTACTGAGATCTCTTCAAGAGAAAGAAACATCATGAAAAACATTTTTGGAGCTTTGAAAATCTGTTCTTACTGATATTGTCATTTGTGTTTTTCACCATTTCTTATATAATGAACCAGACAATAAATTCTGTTTAGATTTTGAGGCTGTTTTATAGTATCTCTCCTTTGATAAACTATTAAGTTTCCTTTTATTAGCTATTGAGAATTATAATTGCCCCATTCCCTTTTTTGGACTAACAAGGAAGCGTAATCACATATGTATCTTCAACTTAGAACATTCTACAACTCTTCCACTCCCTCTGTCTTTTCCTCCATGACTTAATTATTATTTGTGCCTTGACTATAATGGTTCTATTACATTTATATATTTTTGTAGGCTCCTTGGACTGCTTTTTGGTAGTATTCCTGCCCTATTCTGACTATGTAGGCCTCTGGAAAATTCTTATTTATTCTGACCTCTTATCTTACCAGAAAATAGAGATATCCTCATGGAGTATAGTACCACTTGGCTCATCACTCATTTTGCAGAGAAGCGAAAGCTCAGAAAATCTTCCTACCGAGAGGGTGTTTTTGTGGCAAGTGACAGAGCCAGCTCTATATCAGAGGCCCTGACTCATGCTCTCTTTGAATTACTGAAAATGTGAAAACTCCCTGTATATAATTTCAGACAGTATAAGGGGCTTCATTTTGTTTTAAATTTATTTATTTATTTTTGGTCGGGGGGAGACAGGGTCTCACTCTGTCACCCAGGCTGGAGTGCAGTGGTGCAATCTCTGCTCACTGCAACCTCTACCTCCCGGGCTCAAGCAATCAATCCTCCCACCGCAGCCTTCCAAATAGCTAGGACTACAAGTGCGTGCTACCACACTTAGCTAATTTTTAAATTTTTTTTGTAGAGATAGTGTCTCCCTATATTATGCAGCCTCGTCTGGAACTTTTTGGCTCATGTCACCCTCCTGCCTCAGCTTCCCACAGTGTTGGGATTACAGGCATGAGCCACCATGTCTGGACTGGGGCTTCATCATAAGAGAAAGATACTAGAACTTTTTTGTTGTATCAGTGAAAGTTATATTTTCCAAGCATTCCTGGCATTTACTCCTTCTTACTCAAATCTAAATAAAGTCCAGAGGTTGGTGAGATAATTATCAGTTTAAGTCCTGAATTTTATAGTGTTCTTTTTCACTTATATAATTTCAGAATCTTAAGTTCCACTCACTAACAAACCAAGGGTCTGGGTTATCAGGCCCAAGATTCTCCCTGTCTCTACCATACCATCCTGAGACTCCAGACTGGAATACTCACAAATCCTCCATATTCCCCCAGGGGCCACTTGTCACCTTTCTATGGATGGAAAGAGAGAGAAAACCCTGTAAGTGCCTGCCTCCCTCTCCCCAGGCAGTTGGTATCTCTGGTTAGAGTCACTGGGGAAAGAGGGCTCCTTCCTCCCCTCTGCATCCCATATAATTCTCCCACATCCATCAGTCTCCAGTCTTCTCAGGACGCTTCTGGGGCAGCACTGTCTTGTGAGACCTGGGGCTGTTATATACTCAAGGCCTGCTTGGGTCAGGTGCCTGCCTGAGTGACCAGGTAAAATTAGACCTAACTTGTAAAACTGGATCATTTGTATCTGAGCTGCCACCATATAATAAAATTGCATCTCCCTAAAGGCATGTTTTTTAAATGATCCTTTCATATATCTACATGGAATACAAGAACTTAGCTGAACTCAGGAACTAATAAGCATCAATCGTTAGCTGTATACTAAAAAACTTTCAAATATTTTTTGCAACTTTTTTTTAAAGAGTGCCTGGTGAACCATATCAAATCAAATAGATATATAAGTGCATTTTATTGAAAGAAACTAGAATCTCAAAATGTTCTCTGAAACAAATTGATTAATCAGTCTCTGCTTTTTGACTGCCTCATGGTCAGTGTTTCCCTGCTAATAAAGCCCTCTATCTTCTTATTACTGCTTTTACTTGCTCATTCAACAGGTTTTTCCTTTACTGTCTAAATAAAGAAGAATTTGTGCACAGTCTGAGTGGGTCAGGATTTCATCCCATGGCCATGTGGGAGCTCCAAGATTTGATCTCCGGGCTGGTACGTCACTTAAAATCAGAGACAGACTACCTATCTGTGAGAAGAGGACCTAGGTAAAGTGAAGAAGGTGGGAAGGAAGACAGAAGTGGTAAATCTGAGGTGACCCAAATGAAAACAAAAATAATGATTATGTTGTTGGCTAACACTAATTGAAGACATATTTTAGGAAGTCATTTAATCTGCCTCCATTCTCTTTTTTAAACTTAATTATCTATTTACAAATTCCCATAAATATTTACTGAATGCCTTTATAATAGATGTTTGATTAGATTCATTAATTCGTTCATACCTTCTGTGAGCTGGATAGCGACTTCTATGTTGGGGATATAGCAGTGAAAGTAACAAAGTCCCTGTTCTCAAAATGTTTATATTCTAGTGGGTCGTGGGGCAGACATAGACAAATGTATGGCACATCAGGCAGTAATAAGTGCAACAAGGAAAAATATATCATGCAGGGAAGAGTTATGGTGATAAAGTCAGGGTGGGAAGAGAAAGAAACTTTTATACTGGTGGTCAGAAAGAGTGTAAACATAGATTTTTGTTGGAAAGTTTTGAAATTGCTAGATTTGTTTTCTTAGAATACATTCAGATAATTTAAACCTCTTTTGGGCAGCAGTTCTGAAATTGAGACTGCAACTTGCTGAAAGCCCCCTTGCTATGCATTTATACACCTTTAGCCATGGGACCTGGAGGAAAGGAAACAATCTAAAGAGCCCTGTAGCATGTAACCCTGGAGGTCACTTTGTCCTTAACTTGTAAAACACCCTTTGTGGCTGGTCTGACGTCAATCAGCAAGGGTTGGCGGATGACTCATCACCATGTTCATATCATTGTTGGTTCCTGTTATTGTTTTTCTCCTCACGTTGTAGTTAATCATTTGTTGGAGTTGGGTTAAATACTCACGTGCTTTATTAGGTCTTTTCCTACAGTTTCATGCAGGCCAACTCCCTTGTGAAAACGTAGGTGTGGATTGGGTTCTATTTGGTTTGAGGCCGTGTTTCCTTTTCCCCAGGGGGCTAGCACATTGAATTGAGAGGCCAGAATAAGGGAATCCAATCTGTGAAACAAAATCATGAGTCTCCATAGGTTGGAGGACAGTGTGCCACTCTTTGGCACAAGAAAACTTACCTGGAAGGTCTTAGTTCTACTCTGAAATTACCGTAAATTTTAAAATAGTTCCATAATAAGGCATTAACCTGAATCCTTATCAGCAGATAACAAGAGAAGGGAGGGCAACCAGGATTTAAGAATAAACACGAGAAGGGTGGAGACCAGACGCCACTAGAAACCCAGATCTGCTTTCAAAATATATTCTAATCCCAAGTTTCTGAGTTGAAAAGTCACTCCTAAGCTATGCAGGCTTGAAGGGAATAGCTTAATAAAACTCTCCCACTCCCTAGCCAGGGTGAGGTACAGTCAAACAGCAGGAGGCCCTTAGCAAGCCTTTCTTTCCTTTTTATATTTTCTTCTAAAATATCCTCCTTCTTAGCTTTACAGCAAACAAGACAGACACTGCAGACCTGACTTGCTCTGTCTGGATTGAGACTCTTTCTTTCCACTGGCTTGTCAGAAGACTCTTTGTCCTTAAACACAGAAAAAGATAGATCTCACCACCATCAACAGCGTATTTCTGACCAGGCTCCAAATGAAACTTCAGACCAGACCGTATTCTTTCAAAGCCAGGCCGAGCTTAGGCTGGGTCCTGCTTGCAGAAACTACTAATGACTTGCTGGTAACCACCCAAGTCCAAAAAGCCTACAAACACTTGAAATAGGGCTTTAGAATTGAAAAAGAAGTTTCTTCTCTTAGTTCATCTCAACACCATCTGGCTAGCTTTTATAATCCTTATTGCACTACGATTAATTTTTTATGCCATAGATTTCTGCTAATTAATTGTAATTACCAAGGACAGGAAATTTCAGTGTGACCAGATCATGTTTATTCAGAACAGCAAAGTTAGAGAACTATGCCTAAAGAGATGTTCTCAGGATTATAGAATTTTTAGAGCTGGGTAGAACCTCTGAAATCAACCAGTTCAAATAGTTTACTTAATAGATGAGGAAGCCTGAGCCCAGGCTTTGTAGCCAGTTAGGAGCAGAGCCCTTAAGAGAATCCTGACTTCCACATTCCCAGTCCAGGTATGTTTGTACTATGCCCCACTGCCTTGAGAATGGGTGCAAACCAGAAGCAGCCACTTTTCTCCTTTTGGGTGGATTCATCAAATTCAGGATGGAATTTGGTCAAAATGTCTCATTGCATCATCATGTCGCTTTGAAACTCCAAGTTCTTTGGACATAGAGTTCTTGTCTATGTGATGTGAACCAATAAATTCTCTGGAAATAAAAAAAAATTAGTCCAAACACTTGGCTGGTGTCTTAGAGGAAAAAAAAAGTCTAGGTGATTGAATTTCTTAAATTGAATTAAGCAGCTGTTTTTGCATCTTGTGGACACTCATGTTGGGTCTAGACAAACTTGTCCGAAGCTGGGACTGGGCAATTGAATTGAATGGAAATTGTGTGGCAGCTCTGTAGCACGTGACTTACCAATGCTTGCCAGGCTTCTGGGCCGATGGGGAAGCTGCTGCTGTAGTCCAGTGGTTTTCAGACTGTCAGACTACATGTTTACTTTTAAACCGCAGAATCCTTATTTCAAATGAAGTATTTTTGTGTATTATCTACACGTAAAATAGATAGGGGGCATATTTTTGTTTAAAGTGATAACTTTCCCTTTACAAACAGCAATAAGTGAGAAAACTAAAATGGGCTTAATGAACTAACATTTGAAATTGTGAGCTACAGGAATCCATTTTAGTCGTAGAGCAGCATTGGCACCTAATTTGTTTCTGTATGTGGATCTACCGGTGCAGCAGCTCACTCATCTGGTGTAGCCAGTGCTCAGTGCATGATCGGGCCCACAGGAAGGATGCATGCATCGATTGCTCCTGGCTTGTGAGCTTCTGAAGGCAGGAGCTATATCTCAATTCACCATTTAATCTACCCCACTCCAAAATGACACCTACTGCCAGACTTTAACAAAGTAGGCATCTAGCAAACAGTGGCTGCATTAGGAGGTAATGAGCTTGTACCTGATGAGGTTAACTAATGGTGGTGTACTGGAGAGCTCAGAGGAGCTAAGAGCTGTGGTCACGTCAGTAAGTTTAATGGGATACTCTTAACTGCATCACGAAGGTTGAATCAGAACTGAATGTGCCAGCTTGGTTCGTACAAACTCTCCCTCCTTCTTGCGTAATCTAATTAATGAGATTCTCTTCATTCAAGTGGTCATCAGAACAGGGACATTTTTCAACTCTTTCTAGCTTACTCTCCTCCCCTTCCTCAGCCAGTGATAAGCTGCATAGATTTTATCTCCTATATGGACCTTTTTGGCCTCTGTAGACTATTCTTTTTGTTAATGCTTGGGCTCAGGCCTTTATCATCTTTCACCTGGACTATTGCGATAATGTTCTAACTGACACACTTGTCTCAAGAGTCAACCTTTTGTAGGCTATGTTGTTCTTTGTTATAAAATCTATTTTCTAAAAACCCAAACCTTGTCAGTTAAATCACCTGCTTCCAAAAAACCTTCAATGGCTTTATAGTGTCTATTGGTTAACTTTCAAACTCCTTTGCAGGAAATTCAAGGCCATGCTTTGCCCTCTGTCCCCACTGCCCCACCTCATGAGACCCTTACTTTACCAACATGGTGGACACAGGTCTTCTTGGGGCCTCTACTCTTTTGCTTGTGTTCTTCTGCTTGAAATGGCCTTGCATGCTCTCTGCCTCTGATGCCTGTCTCCCAGTAGACAGCACTTCCCATCAAGGCAGGTCCGTGTCTGTTTCTCTGTGCTTTATTCCCAGTGTTAAGTACATTGTCTGGCACAAAATTGTTATCCAGTTAATATTTGTTGAATAATTAGAAGAATATAAAAAGGCTGATAAGTATGATTTGCATTGAATTAATATTCCATTGTATTTCCACTACTAGGAGGTAGTACACCTTTTAGTATACTTTGCATTGAATTGACACTCAACTGTATTTGCACTACTAGGAGGTAGTATACGTTGATTGAGAGTGCTCAATTCAGTTCAGCACCAGACATAATAGGAAACACAAAGATTGGTCAGACATCATTTCTACACTTTAGAGAGACAGTCTGAAGTAATCAGTGCTGGCAGAGAATGTGATAGCCATCAAAAGAACTGGGCAGACTATAATAGGTAAACTGAGGTAGTGGTCTCCTTACTGGATTCCTATGATTTCTGTCCCTTCCAATACAATCTGCATATGTTTACCAGATTCACCTTCTCAAGTGCTCTTTTGGACACATCCTCCCTCATCCTAAAAATCAAATGCCTTGTGATCCTTGTTAGCTACAGATAGAAGTCCAAACAACTTATTAAAGCTGTGTAGTCTTCCCAAAGGATCCCAAAGGATCTGACGGTTGTGACCTGCCCTTGTGGGATTCTGTCTTGCTCCAGGGAACATCTTGCATCCCACAAGCCTGTGTTGCTCCATTCCTGGAAGGAAGAGCCATGGCATGAGGCAGCAACACCGTCCTAGGAGCAGTAGTCATTTGTGCTGGTTCATGATACCCTTGCTTGTCTGGATCCTAGAAGGCAGGTCTCAGTGTCCTAGACTGAACTCTGTTCTCTATTTCTTGCTCTACAAGCTGCACCCCCCTCCACCGACTCAAATCATACATTCAGGGTGCTTCTGCCAGCAGGAGCCTCAGAAAAACAATTGGAGTTCTCTGTCCTGGACTTTCCCTGCCCTATAATCAGGAGCTCGTAGAATTACTTCTTAGCTTAACTTACATTGTTTTCCAAAGTCTGCTGTCTCCCTACTTTATAGCAAAGATTCTAGCAATTAGAGCTCATCAGAATCATTTTAGAAGCTTACTAAAATGCAGATTTCTGAGCCTCACCTTTGAGAATGATGAGTTCTAAATCAGTATTCTGGTTGATTCTGGTGCAAGTAGTTCACTAACAACATTTTGAGAAACATCTAGAGTGTGGTCACCAATAGTTCTTCTGCATGTATTTATTCATTCATTCATCCAACTACAAACATTGGCATTTCTTCTACAACAGAGCTTTTGTAACAAGAATTGGATATGATGGGATCAATTAATTAAGAATAATGGATTACACCTACTGTTTATTCCAAACAACTGTATTCTAAAACCACCCAGTAATCATAACTTCTTAAGGAAGAAAATGTTCAAGTTTGCCCTGCACAGCCGCTTGGAGAAGCTGTGTAGTTTATTTGGCTCATTAGTGAATGATAAGAAAATGTGAGCAACTCTGCCCTTACATGGTGATAGGAAAAGAAATGCCTTTCTTAAGCTAGATGAATGGCTTTGCTCAAAGATGTTTGGTTTCTTAAAGCTATGCTCTTATATATGTATTTTTAATTCCAGAAAGAAAAAAAACTTTGTAATTGCACATCTGAAAATTTAACCCCTAAGTCCCTATATGATTTTTGATAATTAAATATTTATCAGGAACATAAGTTTTAAAGTATAGAGAACAAATTGCATTAGCTCATTTAGCCTACTAAGTTCCAAATACTGTGATAGGGACACAATGATAGAATGACAAACAGGACTTGCTTTCTTGGCTTGAAAGCTTTTATCAGGGTTTATGATGATCACAGTTTCCCAAACCAAAAATTAGGGGCTGTAATATGATATATAGTCTTCCAAATCTGAATGTGAGATTATTCTTAAAATTCCTGAATGCACATTCCTCTTTCTGTATGAATTCACAACTTCAGCCAGACTGATCTATTCACTATCATCAACCTTGCCACGCACATTTCTGGCGCCTCTCCTTTATTCTTTGGAGTACCCTCGTTTCTCTTGTTCTACTCATCTAAACCTAACTTTAACCGAGATCCAGTTAATGTTCTACCTCCTTTGCGAAGCCAACCTAAACCATCTCAGACCACAATGAACTACAGTGCACCTTTCTCCCTTATTGTCTACCTTCTTACTTGGCATTTAACAGATGCCAAGGCATTGTTATAAATCTTTTTACGCACAGGCTACCTCCCCAGTTACACTACTAAACAATCCTTTGGAGGGTAGTCATTATACCTTATGTGTCTTTGTAGTTTGATTGAGCATAACCTCTGACCCATAATGGGTACTCCTTAGACCTAAGGTATGGATGAGAAGGTGAACATTGTATGTATTCTATATTTACCAAATATTCTTCATTGTCCATTCTGTTATGCAGATTCTGAATTCCAGTTATGTCTACAATATCTACAATTTCAATGATGAGTGTTTTCAGGTTGATAACCCCAAGCTATTGCCTAGGAGTAATGTCCACTTAAAACCAAGAGTTTCAAACTCATGCCTTCATGGGGCAGGCAAGCAATCAAGTTGGACTATGTCCGTCTAGCTCCATATTTTTCCCACAAGGGAACACCAGGAAGATCAAACCAAGAAGCCTGTCTGTGTGATGGCCCCTTCTGGCTGGTGGGCTGCCAGGTTGCAGTCTTGGCTTAGAGCCAACTGGGCTGAGCAGGTTCATGCCTCTGTAGTGTAAATTACTAGGCCTCTAGCTCCATCAACTCTCCATGGTCTTTTAACCTGTTGCTATGGCAGTTTGTTCTCTGGTTAAGGCCCTTTTGCCACCCTGATCCAAATGCAATGCTTGGCTGAAACCAAGTACAGAGATCTGTCTCTGGGTCTACCCTAACTAATTTAGGTCTATCTACATAGATCCTTATTCTCAAAGATCAATACAAGCTCACCAGGCAAAGCTTTTTGTTGCCTTCCCTCTGAATTTGACAGCCAAGGGTGCTCCAGCTAGTTCCAACTCTCCACTGCCCTTAACAGGTCCTTGACCTCATTGCCTTCACCATTTAGTCAGGTTGACTCTCTGAGTTCCAAAAAAAGAGATAAAGAAGATCTTGTGCTCTGAGATTGATCATGTATTTTGTGTCAAGTGCTTTTGTGTGTTTGGCCATTAATTTTTGTTCTGATTGCGTATGGGGAGGTGATTTTTTCTTAACTTACTTTCAATTGTAGGCACATTCTGGTCTTTCTTCTTTATGTATCCACCATCTTTCTTTTCTTCAACTTAAAACAACAATGCTATAAAGTAGAAGAAGTTGGCTATTTTGGTAAAGACAGAATGGCTTAACCAAAAACACATGAAATTTGGGGTGAGGTAGATCTAGGTTTTAATCCAGCCTCTACTAATCATTGCCTCCATGAACTTAGGCAATATTATTGTGGTTTTTCCTCTACAAAAAAGGGCATTATGTAATTACGTGCAAGCAAAACTGACTCATAGATGGTGCTCAATCCTGTTTTTTTTCCCTTCCTTATGAAGTATTTTCACTTTGAGTAAAGTAGCCACGGTATCTGCTTTCTTGCTATAGAAATTAGCACTCACTATATGGGAGACATTTGTAACCTACTCCCCTCTCCCTTCTCCTTCTTCGTCAGTCTGTGGTCTCTTAGATTCAGGAAAGAGAATATACATTGGGCAGATGTTTAGTCAGCAACTGAGCAATTACTTTCTCCCATCCCTGACTAAAGGGATCTCACTTGGCCTGCAAGCTCGGGTAGCATTCTTAGACTGTGAGCCACAATGCTTATGCAATGTTAGCTATATGAAAACTAGGCAGCCTGCTGTATCCTGTTAAATGACACTGAGTCTGAGATGGCTCCTTGGAAGACTTACTTCTACTTCCTAAATATAATAGGTAATATGATTCTACTAGCTCCATCATAGTACAGGGCAGGACCTGATTCAAGTTATGGTTTGTTGTCAGGCATTTTACCAATTATATTATGTAATCATCAGGAGAACCCTGTATGTTAGGCTATCCTTCCCATTTAACAGATGAGGCAGCTAAGGCTCAGAGAGGTTGAAGTACTTGCTTAGGGTCATTGAGTTAGTAAAGGTCAAAGATAGGATTTGAGCCAAGTTCTGACTGGACACTAGTTTGTGCTTGTATGGATTGTGTTCCATTGCCTCTAAAAAGCAAGGGATTCTGAGAGTCAGCCAGTGGGGAGGGCAGCCTGCAGGGATATAGATCTTCATTCGGCTCCACATGGAGCCACAGGTATTTGGCATCTCTCATTGCCCTATGGGGGCTTGTAAAGAGTAAATCGAAGGCTAGTTTTAACTGTGACTCCATAAAATAATAATGTCAGATCATAGCCTTTTGTCTGTTGCTGTTCCAGTGTTGACTGATAGGTTACATTTTTAAAGATTGCATCGGCAATTCATGCTTTATTACTCCTGAATTAGCGTAATGCTTCAAATCATCTTGTTGTAATTCAGAATAATTATCTATAATTAAAAATAAATTCTTGTAGGGTGAGAATATCAATTTCTATTCAAATCCCTTTATTTTGATTGTGCCTATCAGCCATTACCCAGCTCCTACCCAATAACTCTGAGCACTTGTTGTGGAGCTAACTTTGCTCTATCCAATGCTTTTGTATTTTTGGCACCATTGTGTATTCTCTTTTGAGATCAGCATTCCTCTAGGTATTTTGCCTTAGTTGATGCTCTTAAAGGTACTGGCTTTTGTTTGGTTGGTTTGAGATTCTGATGAAAGCTATGAAACACACGTTAGAACAAAAATCACACAGGCACATACAGACAGATCAAGCATGGAATTTCAGAAGAATCAAGCATCCCCTAGGACTCACGTTCTCTAAGTATGTCCCTGACCAGCAGCATTAGCAGTACTGGGAACTTGTTAGAAAAGTAAATCCTTTGGCCCAACTGAATCAGAAACTTTGGGGGTGAGGACCAGTAATCTGGGTTTTAACAAGGTCTTCAGGAGATTCTGATGCCTGGAAGTTTGAGAACCACTACACTAGGAAGAGTTAAGAACTCTGGTCTGGCAGGATGTCGCTGAACATGCTGGAATAAATATTAGCACTTCTGAGAGCAGAAAGGGTAACGGATCCATGCAAGCTCTGAACTTATTACCTTCACCAGGTGTTAACACCTGCTTCATGTTTCAGACTAAGGATCCATTTGCTCCCATGGGAGCCAAGCCCGTGGCACTATCATCTTCCATATGGAGGGGTGAAGAACCAGCTGGGGACACCCCTGGGGAAATGCTCCCAGGCTGGAAATATTAAAGAAGATAGAGGAGGTGATAGAAATAGGTGGGTTCTCTCACTGGGTACATACCCATACTTAGATGGCCCACCTGGCCTGGCCTAGGAGTCACCCTTCCCTGAGGCAGGCAAGTACTGGAGACTCTCATGCTGTATAGCAGAGTCTGAGTATGATTAGAGAAAACACAATTTGATGCTTAGAGTTTCAAGACGTCAGAGACTAGTCCCAGCTACTCGGGAGGCTGAGGCAGGAGAATCGCTGGAACTCAGGAGGTGGAGGTTGCAGTGAGATTGTGCCATTGCACTCTGGCCTGGGCGACAAGAGCAAAACTCCATCTCAAAAAAAAAAAAAAAAAAAAGAAGTCAGAGACTGACTTTTAGAGTCAGAGTCAGTCTCTAACTTTTTCCATATAAGAGGTTGTATGTCTCAGCAGATAACTGTCATTAGATTTAATCTTTTAACTATGCTTCCATGCCTAGGTTTTACAATGTGAGTAAAATCTAAGTAAAGTTACGTAGATTCCTAAAGAAGTTCTCATTTAAGACCTGAATCTCTCTTGAGTAAACATTTTCATACACACAGTTTATTGCCCTAGATACCATAATCATTTGCCCTCCATGAGGACAGAGACCTGGTCTCCTTGCTTATGGTGAGCGCTCAAAAAATTTTTGTCTAAATAAGTACATTTATTATCTCATTGAATTTTCAAAACAATGCCCAGAAATCTGACCTGAGAATTATTAGGAGGCACAATTCTTCCCCTCTCCGTATTTCTATCTTAACCATAAAGTGAAAAGATCTGACCTTTTATTTCACCCTTCACAAAAGCGGGGAATACCTGAATTTCTCTGGCAAGTTTGGGAAAAGAAACTCTTGTTTCATGCATCTGCTCAGACACAGGATATGCTGTGCTCACTGCTTGCTTATTGCAAAGGCTTCTGGGGTGAGTAGACTTGGGTTATTTCAGTTTGACTAATACTGATGCAGGTAGATTTGCCTATTTCCAGCTTGAAATATTCCGAAGTCCATTTGGTGATGGGTCTGAGCTACATTATCCAGTCCAGCTTTATCTATGCATAGATAAAGATTCTTTTCTATCTGACCTCTTTATTTCCTCGATGGCTTCAGCACTAAGGACAGGTGTTATTTAGTATCCAGATAGAGATTACAGCCTTCTGAGATGTTGCCTTTCCCTGTTATAGTTCATACCCTTGTTCCCTGAGCTGACTAGGTTTGAACAATTTGTTTTCTGCAGATCCTGGTAGAAATCTCAGAGTTCCTTTTTTCCTCTGAAACTCCTTCCCTGTTCCAGCACTAGTTGTTCTGAATGTTTCAGTCACTTCCTAATGGCATCCCCAGAGTCACTGGCTAGAGAAGACTATCTCATCCCCTAGCTGCTGGCCTCATCCAGGCTTCTAGTACGAGAGTTGCCTCAAGCTGACTGCGTCCTGTACACACCACACAATCTTCCAGCCCACTGCAATGTATTTGACCAGGGGTAGACACTGGACCCATGAGTAGAGACTCAACGGAATCAAATTTTACATGGCTTGCAGCCTGTGGGTAGTCTGGTACTAAAGCAGTGTTCAAATAAAGTCAGAAAATCATTAGGCTCAAACTGGAATTCTTTGAAGGAACTCAACTGGAGATGTAGACAAATGCCCACTAGTTAGAAGGAGAGCCCAGGAACGAAGGTGCATAAGAGAGCTGGAATCTGACAGTAACTGAGGCTTGTTAAGGAGGAACACCAGAGAGAAATCACCAAGCATCTGCTGCTGGTTGCTACCTGGATAATCAGGTTGCTAGAATTGCCATGGATCTCAAGTCTAGTCATGTTCTACCTCCAATACTTTTGGGAATCTGGATATGTCTTTTTCCTTTGCAGCCAACGAAGCCCAACAGAGACTCTCATAATCGATGATGCTTCCATTTGTCTTTCCTGAATTCCCTTTCTGCTTCTCCAGCCCCCTCAAGAAAATTCCTGCATGTTATTCCTCACACAAATAGAGCATATCTCTCCATTCCATACCAAACAATTCTGTCCATGGGTGGGTTACTCCCCACCTCACATAGGACCTTCTTGGCCTCAGGGTCTTATGTAATTGATGGGGTGGAATAGAGGAGGCAGAGTGGGGCAGATGTGGAAAACACAGCTTGGGGGCTGGTCTCCACTCTGATGTGCCTAATTTGGCTTGCAAGTATTTGTAAGAAAACATTTTTTGAACTAATTTCTAATGTTTGAAGAGGATATTTCCTCCCTAAAAGTTCAGATTTCTGGATTCTCTTAAACTTTGCACACCTGATGGCACTGGGCCTCCTTTCCCCTGAGCATAGTCGTCGTTCAGAGGTGGGTAGCAGCCAGCCAGCCTTCTTCAGTTGAGCACTTCCTTAGCGCTAGTTCCTTTCTGGCCTGCCTTGGTCATGTATGTTACCTCTCTGACATCTGCTATCATTTGACTTTGCACTCACTGATAGAGACAGAATGAGGGAGCAGATGTGGAGGAGAAATGGAAGAAGTTATTCATTAAGCCAGGGCTAGGAAGAGCGCTAAGGAAGAAGTTCTAAGGATGAGAACCCAGCAATGTCATTGAGTTTGATAAGGAGGAGATCATTGATGGCTTCCGTGAGTCCAAAAGTCAGATGGCAAGAGAGTGAAGAAGCTGATGATGGTTATGTAGGGTATAAGAGATCCACAGAACTGAGTCATGAAATGCAGAAGAGAGGTATGACAGTTTCAGAGATGTAAAATAGTGACCATTGATAATGTCTTCAGAATGAGACCCATGAAAGAAGGTTAACAAAGAAGGCCATGCTTATGATATGAAGGAAAAATAGATGTTGTCCAAAAGGGAGGTGGCATATCTATGACAAAATACATATGGTGGGATGGAGCATTCTGATTAGACGTGGGGAAGATTAGTTTTCCAGAGCTAGAGAGGGTTCATCTGTCTCCTCTGAGATTTGTAGACTCTGATGGCATTTTGTCCATGTTTTAGTTTTCCTTTTAAAATGGAGGGAACCTGAAAAGATTTGATTCACCATTGATAGCAGTAAGTTCCATTAAAAAAAGATCCCCACGATAGTTTCTTTTGCTGAATATTGTCCTGTGGCACTGTTTCCTTTTCTTGGTGCCCTTAGGAAGATCACACATGAAATTAGCACCTCAAATTTACATAAATAAATTTGATTTACTGAAAATACTATGTAATAGCCATTAAACATCATTTGTGTAGCCTGCTTGTAATCACTGCGAATTATCACTTCTGTTTATGAAATCCACGTGCCTCAACCCACAACTACTGAGACGTTACCTCCTTCAAGACCTCGAGTAGACTTGGTTCATGTTCTACTTCCTTACCTTCCTAGGATTCTTACTAAATATACCCACTTCTGTCTTCCTCAAGCTCCCAGACTGGAAATATTAGCTATTGAATAAATACATAATTATTCATCGGGGCTGAATCTTCACACATAGCCGTGACCAGCACTTGATCTTCTCATATAGCCGTGACCAGCACTTGAAGGAAGCCAGGACAATTCTTTTAGATTCTCTTCCTTGAAATGCCACCTCTTCCTTCCTCTGTGGCCTCATGCTCCTCAATTCCTGCTTTTTTGAAAGCCATAAGCCAGGCAGTAATGTTTGCCTCCTTGGCTTGATCTCTGCCTGAAGCACCCAAATGCCCCTCTGAATTTAGCAAGAGAAGAGACTTGGCTCCCTGCGCTGGTGGCTGCTATCTTGTTTCTACTCCCCAACTCTGATATTCCCCTAATCCCATCTTGCAACTTGGCTACTTTTCCCAGTATAAACACTTTTCCGTATGACAACTCCCACAACGCCCAGCTAGGGAGTTTCTCTGTTTACAGTTTGCAATGGGTTCATTATATTTACTTGATGGGGAAGGTTTCAATTACACCTCAGCCAGCTCATCCTCTTTAATTCATACTCCCACTACCTGCTCTTGTTACCTATCCTTCTAAATATTAGTCACCTATGTGAAGATAATAAAAAGATCCTTCTGGGTTATCTCCAATTGTATGTCTCTTTTCAAATAACGACTGATTGCCTGAAAAAAAAAATTAAAGTCTGAAGGCAGTGAGCGATTTGTAGAATGTGCAGCATCCACATTCATTGGAGCTGGAGAGATCTTGGAGAAAATTTAATCTAAATTCTTACTTTCCAGATGAGGCCTGGGGCAGAGAAGGGATTTACTCCAGATCATTTTATTCATTAATGGAAGATCTCCCGCCTTCCCACACAAGACTCCACACATGCACGATTCTTTTCTGGTTTTTTATTTCTGCTATGACAACACAGTCATATCTATGTAGTCCTATCTACATACAATGTAGTCGTGTGTGTGTGTGTGTGTGTGTGTGTGTATACACGTATGTACCAGGAGAATGGTTCCCAAACCTGTCTGAATCATCAGAATCATCTGAGATTCTTTTTAAAAAGACAGTAGCGAGAGTTTCTATCATATGTCCTGAAACAGTCTCTGAGGCTGGGCCCAGGAGTCCAAGGTCTGGCCTTGGGGTTGCTGCTTGATAAAGTTCCCTTGCCCTCCCAGCCTCTTTTTCCCCTCCCATAAGGCACTGCATTTTTCAAGATTGGCCGCAGATTTCATAACATCATTATCAATGTGAAAGGGACCCTTGGTGGGTTTCCTATGTTGTCATGGAAGAGCCCAGCATCCACAACAAGAGAGGCGTGCATGAGGCAGCCTGCGGCCCCAAAGGCAAGGCCCTGTAACTTTAAGCAGAGCTTAGCAAGCCTAGTAACTGGCTTTGTTTGTGTGTCTACGTGGAGGAGGAGACCAGCTTGTGAGCAGTACCTGGAGCCCGTGGGCGTACTCTGGGGAAGCTGCTGCATGAGTCAGGCCTGCAGAGGGTTGGGGACTGGAGTCCTTGACGCACTCAGCAATGATTCAGGGGCACAGCCGAGACCTCGGCATGCCAGGTTAAGCGGGTAAGCCACTCTCCCTGCCAGAGTGGGCCCTGGATGCATGGTAGGGAGCCATCTTAACTTGAACAGCTGTGTAATCACCAGTACCAGTAAAAGAGAGGGGACATGAGACAGTTTTCTCCTGGAACCTCCCCTGGAGTGTGAACACAAGGGAGTGGAATTGTGGGGTCAAATGGTCCAGGAGACCTGCTCCCAGTGAATAAACAAATTCACTAAGGCGTTAGCTCTAGAAAGATTTTATAACTTAGCTGGGTGTATTTGAGGGTGTTATCCATCAGCCAGATACAAGAGGTGGGGAATCTAAATACCTGCATGTGTTTTGGGGGTTGAATAAGTCCCCTCTGTTGTCGATGACTTGGGACAGTCCTAGGTGAAAGAGGTGAGGTTGATCAGTGACATTCAGGCTGCTTCTAGCCCCGCTATGCACTATGTACATATCCGAACTGAGTTCAGGTACTCTTTCTTCTTGATCCCTCTGAGGGTGAAATATTGGTCTCTTTGACCCTACAGTTGCCCAAAGTGGGGCAGTGCTCATAAATATTCACTCTCTTCTGATTTTATGGCTGATTGTACCCAAAACCTTGCTGTCTGGCAGGACAACTAGAGGCTGAGGCATAAGAGAAGAAACAGTGTGTCACTCTGATTTTTTCTGGCATCATTTTTACTCAGAGTTGGAAAGTGCCTCTCCTGCCACACACCTGTGAATCATTTAGAAACCAGGACTCACAGAACAGAGGGCGGACTTCATGCATAACCAAAAAGTTTCCTGGAGGCCGATAAGCTGATACAGCCAGAACAATTGTCTCTTTCCAGGTAGACAAAGGAGTGCAAGGCATATGACCTTTACGTATTTTTGTTTGTTTCTTTTTACCTTGGATCCTTTAGCCATTCTTGTTGGAGAGCCAGTTCTGGGAGAGGGAGTTTTTGACTAAGCAGCCAGTCCATGTTGAAACAAGCATTGTGGGGCAAGTGAGCTGAGCCCCATGGTGGAATGACAGCTACAAGTTAGTGGCATGGCCCCTTGGCAGTGCTGCCTGTCAGTTTCTCCACCACCCAGGCACAGGTGGGAGCAGCAGGTGTGGGCTCATTGAGTTACAAGGAAGCATGACCCATGATAACCAGGTCACATAATAAGGGCTGGTTTATTGCAAGAAGCAAGGGGTAATGAAGAAGGAAGTTCTCTCATAAGAAACTGCTGTGTGGTTAGTCCACACAGAGACTAGAGCTGGAGGCAGTGAGGCTCTAGGGACCTTGGCACTTGGGGGCGGTGAATCCCATGCTCTGCCATTAAAGTGGCTTGGCCAACCCTGGCTCTGGTTATTCTTGATGTATGTGCTTTAGCTTCTCCTCTCACCACCATGACTTAACACAACTTCTCTACACTTAATCTTCTGCTCAATGGTAGTTTCCACTTTCTCACAATTTTGGCTTACTCTACACTTCAGCTAACTCAAGGCTACTCGTGCACTCTTTCAACCTCAGCCCCTGATAGCAGCTTGAGTCTCTGTGTATTTTCCAATTCAAAGTCCTGTGAGTGAGAATATGATTGGTCCAGTGAATTCCTGGTAGTGCTCAGCTCTTTACAGTAGATCTCCCGGTAAGCCTGGACAGGCATCCCTGAGGCAGGTGTCTACTTCCAGACCAATCAGATGAGGACAGATGTAATAGGGGTCCATCGAGAACTGCCATTTCAGCAGTGGCCCTGGGTGGGACAGTGTCCCTTAGAAAGGGCTGCGGATGTGTTCTGACCATGTTGTACTACAAGCAGTCAAGAGTGAAAAACACTTCCATTAAAGGGAAAACCAACAGTTCTAATCACAGGCAAATGTCATAAATTGGGATATTGTCACTAGGTACTTAAAATATGGAGAAAATTTGATGTGGCCTAATAAACTATGCATAGGATAAAATATAATGTTGCTGAAAGCAATAATAAATTAAGGCTGGGCATGGTGGCTCACGCCAGTAATCCTAGCACTTTGGGAGGCTGAGGCAGGAGGATCACTTGAGGTCAGGAGTTCAAGACCAGCCTGGCCAACATGGTAAAATTCCATCAATACTAAAAATACAAAAATTAGCTGGGTGTAGTGGCACATGCCTATGGTCCCAGCTACTTGGGAGACTGAGGCAGGAGAATCACTTGAACCCAGGAGGTGGAGGCTGCAGTGAGCTGAGATTGCACCACTGCACTCCAGCCTCGGCAACAAGTTTTGAGACTCCTTCTCAAAAAATAAAATAAAATAAAGTAAAATAAAATAGTTAATTAATGTAATTTTATTTTGTTATTTTTTAAAAAATTATTTTTTATTTCAATAGATTTTTTGGGGAACATGTGATATTTGGTTACATGAATAAGTTCTTTACTGGTGATTTCTGAGATTTTGGTGCACACATCACCTTTAGGGGTAAAACAAATTATACAAAGATATAGAGATATTGGGGAAAGGGAGAGATTGGGAGAAAGGAGGTGGAAATCCAAGCAAGCATGACATACAGAGATCTAGGGGTCATAGTGGAACACAAGCACTGCTGAATATGAACAAGCAAAATATGTACAATTAAGTTGAGTTAGAACATGATTAATAGGAGCCAATAGAATTTCTTGTGTTCTTAGCGTTGCCTAAATCTTTATTACATTTAGTTTTGTTTTCATATCTTTTAAAGAGATGAAAAGGGTACTGAGGAGATTGAGGGATGTGGGTGAAAAGAAAGAAATAGAAGGGCTGTGAAATAATCGTTAGATTCCTTTGGTCTGGGAATTTAAAAAATAGTCCAAGGATTGACTTTTTAAATTAAGCTTCAAAATCTAAGGCAGCAGATGGATAGACTATCCTTTTATTCCAATGCCACAATTAAAATCGGAAAGAAAAATGAGGAGGCAAGGACTATTGGCGAGTTGATTGCCAAGCAACCGATCAAATTGCAAAGGGCCAAGCCAATTCACTTTTCTTAACAGAATAATTAGGCAGTATCTGAACTATGTGAAATTTTCTCCATCTTAAAGACACCAAATGAATTTGATTGTTTAGTAATCAATTCACTCCTCAGCACTAGTATCTCAGCCACAAATTCTAGGGCTCCTTGGGCTTCCATACTTCTGACCAACTGGCTACAAATTCAGGGGTTCCTACAACCCCCTCAGGCTCAATAGTTTGATAGAATAACTTGTAGAACTCAGGAAAGTGTTATACTTAAAATTACAGTTTAATTATAAAGGATGCAAATCAGGAGCACCCAAAAGAAGATATTAGGGCAAGGCCTGGGATGGTCTCAAATGCAGAGCTTCTGTGCCCAGTCTCCATACAATCAGAATGTGTCACCCTGCTGGCACGCTGATGTGTTCACCACCAAGGAAGGGGACCCAAGCCTCAGGGTCCAGAGTTTTTATTGGGGTTTCACTGTGTATGGATGATTGAATCATTGACCACATGTCTGAGCTCAATCTCCAGTGCCTCTCCTGGGAGGCTGGTGAATAGCAAATGGCTTGAAGCCCCGAGCCTCTAATCACATGATTGGTCTTACAGGCCTGGCCAACCTCCATCCTGAAACTATCTAGGGTCCCACCAGGATTCACCCTATTAGCAAAACTCAGGTGTGGTCCCAGAGGCCAATGTCTTCTGGTGAGGCTGGAGGCTCCCAAACTGCTGCTGTTGCTGCTGCCACTTCCCATGGGGAGAAACAGAGAGCTTAGGTGGTATTTCTGTGTCATAACCTGTCTCCAAGTGGCTTGGCCCTTCCCCTCCCCTCAATGCCTTTTCCTTTCTCCTCTCAGGCTTTCTTACTTCATGCCCCAGAGCTCTAAGATGGAGAAGTCACTCTTTCCTGTCTCATTTTTTGATTCAGATTATGATTGGGTTCAGATCCTGGCTCTGCCAGTTGTGAGCTGTGTGATGTTGTGTGCATTGCATGGCCTCACAGAGCCTTGTCTTCCTCATGTTGCTGTTGTGAGGACTCAGTGAGATGATGTTGGTTGAAGCTTCTGTGTTACCTGGCACATTGAGACCTTTTCCCTCTTCCTCCCTGTCCTCACTGGTGCCTCAAGACCTGTACAATCATCCTGCCTCATTCCATTTGGCTGAAGCTCCTGCTCCACTTCTTGCTGGGCTGTGACCATTCAGGATCCCCCACTGTCCACCAGAGTCAGCATGTGCCATGACAAAAGATGGTGGAATATTTATCCCAAAGCCCCACCAAGAGTTCCAAAAAGAAAGAGCTGGTTGTTGGCACATTTTCCAGGGTCTCAGTTGAGTTGCTTAGACTGTGTGCACTCCTTATCATCAACGTCATCCACGGTAACCCGGAAGCAGTGGCCCACTAGTGTCTGGAAGAGGCAGTCGTCTGTGTATCTACCTAGAGAGCAAAACTAAGCTCTGGGGAGGGAGTAGAAAATGGACCAGCAGGCGCAGCAGGTGAGGTGGGAGGAAGAGAGAATGGGGAGGAAGGGTGTGAAATGCAGGCCTTCCTGCAGACAGCTGGAAAGGCCAGGCTACGGTCAGCCAGAACATCGCCTCCCATGGAGACCAGTCTGTGGGGGCAGCCAAGGCCAATTATTTGAAATGGAATGAAGGATGGCAGAATGATAGTGGATGACAGCCCTGGACCCAGCCCTCTCCCCTTTCCGGATGCAGGGGGCAGGTGGAGCACAGGCCAGCACATGGGCTGCGTTCATGAGATGCCCACATGGGACACACACGCCAATTACTGTGGCTTGGTTGGGTTAAGTTGTTCGTTGTGGGGACACAGGGACACTCCTGGTTCTCCTCTTAGTTGCCTGGTATGCAGTCTTGGGGGGCTGTTTGACATCAGGCTGTTTGGGTTCAGATCCTGGCTCTGCCAGTTGTGAGCTGTGTGATGTTGTGTGCATTGCGTGGCCTCACAGAGCCTTGTCTTCCTCATGTTGCTGTTGTGAGGACTCAGTGAAATGATGTTTGTTGAAGCTTCTGTGTTACCTGGCACATTGAGACCTTTTCCCTCTTCCTCCCTGTCCACACTGGTGCCTCAAGACCTGTGCAAGCATCCTGCCTCATTCCATTTGGCTGAAGCTCCTGCTCCACTTCTTGCTGGGCTGTGACCATTCAGGATCCCCCACTGTCCACCAGAGTCAGCACCTAAAAGTGAGTAGCGCTGAATTCAAGCTTCACATTTCCCCCTTCATTCACCCAGCCAACGGCTCAAGGACAAGCAAGGCCCTTCCTTTGCTCTGCCAGCTTTCCCTCGAAGAAATAAAAATAAAATCTCCCCTCTACAGTACCTGCTGAAATGCATCTACTGGTATTTTGTTCTTTTGTTTATGGCTTTTATGCATAGTGAAAATGCAAATTTTCTTAGAAGTCATTATATTTCAAGTCATTCTATTTGTTTATTGTATGCACAAATGAGTCACACTCTCTGCTCTGAGGACCCTGTGGGAGAGGCCATTGGCCAGGAAGGAAAAGGAAAAAATTCTACTTACACCTCCTTACGCTTCCACTCTACTTACACCTGCTGCACAGTTTTGCTTTGAGTCCATTCCAACAAAGTGTACAAAACCAATTTCTCATCAAGTTTGCAAAACTCATGTTGTCTGCCTTGGAGTTTTCTTCCCCTCCCCCTCCACACCCCATTTCCTCCCTACCTCCTATACTCCACTATTGCAGGAAAGAAAGATGTCACGTTGGTTGAGGGCCCACTGTGTGAGGGCCCCTGTTGAGGGCTGGGAGATGACCTATGGCATATCATTTAGAGCTCACTGCAATCCCAGCAGCAGAGACCATCAGTCTGCTTTATGAGCAGAACAAACAAATAACAGGCGAATTAGTACGTTCCCCAAAGACACCAAACCTCTGGATGGTACATCTGGGATGTGGGCCCAGGTTTGTCTGGCTCTAAAGTGTTTTCGTAAGGCAGTGTTAGCCGTTTGCTCTTTCCTCTGGATCTTACTTTCCCCTTTCTATTTCTGGTTTATTAACCTTATTACATGAAGTTTTTTTTAAAAAAGTTTCTAGAAAGAGAATAATATATTTCAAACAAAAACAATCCATCACAAACTCCTGGCATTTTAAAGACATCTTATTATGAAAACATTTAAATGTCCACAAAAGGTTAAGAATAGTATTACAGCCTTCCTAGAATCATAGCCTATTTTTACAGGTTAACAGGTAAAGGCAGGTTAACCAACTGGCAATAAGAACAGCATCAGCAGAGGCACAGAACAAGCAAGCTCAGCTTATATTCTCTTCACAGCCTTGCAGCAATTCCTTTCTGCAACCACCTGTCCTAGCTCAGGTTCCCATTATGTTATTCACTGGGAACAATGATCACTAATCCTTATTGAGAGTTTACTACGCAGCAGACGTTATGCCTTGTGCTTTGCAAATGATAACTAAGTGATTCTCACCATCTCCCCACGGGGAGGGCATAATTTCCACTGTCCTATTTTGGAGGATGCTGAGCACAGAGATGTTCATTTCCTGCTCACGGCCACATGTCTAGTTAGTCACAGTGCTGGGGCAGGGACCCAGGCAACCAAGCTCCAGAGGCTATGCTTTATACCCTGAACTTGACTTCCTCCACTCTTTCCCTGGCTACATTTATATTGCACAGCAGAATCTGAAAGCTTCATGTTCCCCATCTTTTGTCTGTTGACAGAGCTATGCCAGCCATTCTTGTTTCTCATATCAAATGCAAACCATTTAGAGTTGTCATTTGGAAATTCTGCAATGTTTGTCCCAAGAACAGGGGAACAGGACTTTGAGCTTTCAGCCCAAATGTTGCTCGCCCTCCCCACAACTCTCTCTTTTATGTAAGCTTCACTGGGAAATCATCAGAAACAGGAGCTATACAGTCCCCCGACCCAGCCCCAACCCTCTGATCTATCCTACACTTCACCCTCCCATCCCTATTTTTAAACAAGATTGAGACTCACTTGTTTGTGAAGTCGCCAAATCAATTCCAATTTATTAACTGAGAACAAGCAGGCAGACAAGTAAACAGAGTCTGAGGTGCAAAGCCAAAAATGCAGGTTAACAAACAGACAATGTGAAAGGCATCTGGACAGGCACGAGAACAAGCCAGGCTGATCGCTCGGCCCCTGCAGACAAAGTGCCACAGAAGGGATTAGAACACACAAGGACTTCAGCCCCACTGAGTCCCTTTCTAGGAAAACCACGTCTTGTAGCCATGCGATAATAGCTCAGCTTGCATGAGACATGGGGGCCAAAAAACCTGGCCCCAGGGAGCCAGAGTGCGGCCACCTGGTCTGCTCTGAGAAGGACTGTGGCCAGAGGAGAGGGCCTGGATGCCTTGCACCAGAAATGAGGGAGAGAGAGAACCAAGGGGATGTGGAAGCCTTCAGATGGGTCTGGGGACATGTGCTGGGTGGGACACCCCCATTCCACACTCAGTGCTAATGCCTTACACCCACTACCTCTGGGCAGCTAAGTGAGGTAGCCCTTCTTATGCCTCTCCTCTCCAGTGAGTGGGTCCTACAACCAGTGCTTGAGAGCACGGCCTCGGGACCAGAGCACCTGCCTTTCCATCCAGTCCCTGCTTCTCATGAGGAAGGTGTCCTTGGGTAAGTCTCATAATCTCTCTGTGCCTCAGTTTCCTCATCCAAGCTATGAAGACCATAATAGTCCTTATTCCATAGAGTGGTAGTGAGGATTTAGTTAGTATATGTAAAACACTTACATGGCCGGGCACAGTGGCTCACGCCTGTAATCCCAGCACTTTGGGAGGCCAAGGCAGCTGGGTTACCTGAGGTCAGGAGTTCGAGACTAGCCTGGCCAACATGGCAAAATCCTGTCTCTACTAAAAATACAAAATTAGCCGAATGTGGTGGCAGGTGCCTATAATCCCACCTACTCGGGAGGCTGAGGCAGGAGAATCACTTGAAACCAGGAGGTAGAGGTTGCAGTGAGCTGAGATCATGCCATTGCACTCCAGCCTGGGCAAAAAGAGCGAAACTCCATCTCAAAATAAATAAATAAATAAATAAATAAATAAATAACAAAACAAAAACCCACTTACAACAGTGCTTGAAAACTAGAAGGCGCTATATTATACAAAGACATGGTCAGACACCAGAGGAGGATGCTATGGGGTTTGGTGTCTGACTGTCAGAGTCCAAATCCAGCCACTGCTATTTTGTTACCATGTGGCCTTTAGCTAGAGACTTAAATCCTCTTGGCTTCAGTTTCTTCATTTATATGGGGAAGATAATAATAGCTGTATCATGGGGTTGTCAAGAGGCTTAAGTGAGTTAATATTATAAAGCACTTCAGATAGCACCTAGCCCCTGAAGAGTAGTTAGTAAAATTATTATTTAACTATATGGCTTCTGTCAAATCTTTCCTGCCAGGGTGACACTACGAAAAGAGATCATCTGTAAAGGAGGTAATAGGGTGGCCTGTGATATCTATGTTCCTGTTACCATGAAGAGATAATATGAAGTTTTGGTGAGAAAATTACCCCTTCTATTGGTCACTTTTAAATATCAGCCAGGACTCATTTATTCATATTATAGCATTTATTTTCGAATGCTACACTTTCTGTCACCAAAGTCTTCATCCAAAACCTCTCTCCAGCTACTTCTGCCACCTGAGTCCATGCCCCCTGACTTTTCCACATCAGTGATCCATCCATGTCACGGTCTTTTGTAACCAGCTCACGGGTTCCTGCCTCCTGCCTGAGTCTGTACGTTAGCCATAATTGCATCACAAGGTTATATGGCTCATAAAACAGAGCAGGATATTGAATGGAAAATTAAACCACAAGTAAGCTGGTTTCATCACACCTTGCAAGGGTGCATTAGTTATTCCATGCAATTTGATTCCAGCTCAAAATTTGCAGTAGGGTTTAGTAAAGGCAGCTGTTCTTTACCTATTACAGTGTTCAAGGGGGTTTTCCTGATTTTCTCAACGTTATGGGAATTCTGTAAGTGTGTTGTCTCTCAGCTCCTCCCCTTATAGAGCTGCTAAAAGTACATAAGGAACATGAACTTTTGAGATTTGCTTAACCCGTGGCCACAGCGCTAGCATAGCTGCTTTTGGAGAAATGGAGAACGTAGAAGTTGATCTGGACGCTCCTGTTTGATCCTCTCTGTGTGGCACTGGATCTAACAGTGGGCTCTGCAGGTCAGGCCTAGGGCTGGAAAGCTGCAGATAGAGAAACAGATCCGTCAGAGGTCATGGGCAAAGGATCTATGGATTTGGTGTTAGGGTGAGAGGAGATATTAAAAGAAGTCTCTTCTTTGAGCCTGGAATTTAAAAAAGATCATCATGATGGGAAGGTTGGGAAGAGTCAAGGGCTTAAAGAGAAGAAAAAAACACCAGTCTCCTGTTAATTGAGCACTGCAGGAGAAAAGTGTAAACCATGCAAAGTACTTACACTCTCCCTGGAGAGAAAAGTCACAACTACACACAAACCTGAACAGCAAACAATTGGTTTTGAGATCGGACCATGAAAAAGAATGCTTTATGACATTATAGAATTAGTTTGCTGTTTAATTACTTTCCGAATGGTTTATGTAGAGAAGAACCATTGGAAGGTCACTTCTGGCCAAGGGTAGGAGGGGAGATAAGGCTGCAGATAAGAAGTGCTGTCTGAGCTGCCTTTGACACATTGGTAGGAATTGCAAAGGTGAGAAAGACAGGCAAAGTGGCGCAAGCAAGAGTATGGAAGCTGGAAGGCCAAAGGGAGGATGAGTGCTCAAAAATCGGGCCACAGGAGGTGAATAGTTGGATCTAAAGCTGAAAAGTTAGAACAACACGCAGGTCCTTTTTAGCTGTTTTGGCAATTTACTTATCCTCTTTCTGACTCAGTTTCCTTGTGTACAAATGAAAATCATGACAGTACTTACCAGATGGGGAATTGTGAGGACCATGTGATACAACGTCTATGAAGAGATGATCATAGTGCCTGGTACATAGTAAACACTCACTGAGTATTTACTCATGATGATGATGATGATGGCAATGATGATGACAACCATCAGTGGTTCACTGTTACCAGAAATGCAGTGGAAGGCAAATGGTGAGCAGTGAAGCTGAGGACACATTGATTTTTTATTCTATCGGCCAATGGGGATTTTTAAAGGGTTCTAAACATGGGAATGACCAGATTTAAAATTCAGATAGTTTGTTTCCTTCGGGGGTCAGTGCAGTGAATGGATTTGGGGAGGGAGGATCAGACTAGAGGCCAGAAGTCCGGTGAGCAATATTACAGTAGTCCAGGTGAGAGGTAATAATGGCCTGCCTAACCCAGGGAAGCAGCCACGGGGATTAAAAGGAAGGGGCGTATTTGAGAACTTTAGGTGGTAAATGTGATAGGAGCTGGTAACGGAGAAGAAAGAACTGAGGACATCCCCAGGGTTTCTAAGCTAGGTGACTAGATGAACAGTGACTCATCTACTGATATAGGAGACATGTCAAAGAAGCATATACAGGAAAGACACAGGTAAAGATTAATCAGTAACACTGAGTTTGGCAGGGTAGGTGGCTCATGCCTATACTCCCAGCACTTTGGGAGGCCGAGGTAAGTGGATCGCCTAAGGTTGGGAGTTTGAGACCAGCCTGGCCAACATGGTGACACCCCATATCTACCAAAAAATACAAAAAGTAGCTGGGTGTGGTGGCACCCACCTGTAGTCTCAACTACTGGGGAGGCTGAGGCAGGAGAATCACTTGAACCTGGGAGGCAGAGGTTGCAGTGAGCCAAGATCCCACCACTGCACTCCAGCCTGGGTGACAGAGTGAGACCCTGTCTCAAAAACAAAACAAAACAAAACAAAAAACCGAGTTTGAGGAATCTGTAGGTAGCCAGGTGGACCTCTGTATATATGATACTGAAACTTGGAAGAAGATCCCAGCTAGAAACACAGACTTGGGTGTTGCCAGCACATTGATGATTATGGGACCATGAGAGTGAATGAGATTACCCAGGGAAAGAACATGGTGTGAGAAAAGAGAGATCAAAACGAAACACTCGGAAACAATACCATTTAAGGAGTATAAGAAGAAAATTAGCTAATAAAGCCAAGAAGGACTGATCAGAGAGGTTGAAGGAGAAATAATAGAGTGAGGTGTGACAGAAACTAAGAGAATAGAGAGTTAGGAGAGAGAAGAGATCCACCATCTTAAATGACATGTGTAGGCCCACCAAGGTAGGACAGAGAAGGGCCAACTGATTTTGCAAATGTAGGAAAAGGAGGTGAGAGTGGGGAGGAAGGAATGTGAGGTGAGGGAGCAGAGACAGACAGCACTGACCCTTTCTTTATTTCAGCTATTGTGTTGAGAAAAGAGAGAGAGAGGGAGGTAGCCAGAGGAAGGAATGGAAAAACAGAGCTAGAGTATGCTTAATGTTTTTTGTTCTAGTGGGAGAGATTGAAGAAAGTTTCTATCTAATAGGAAAGAACTTATGGAGAGGAAGAGGTTTTAGAGCCAAAAGAAAAAGAAGTTCAGAAAGAGACAGGTGGACACAATACCAAGAGCTTCACAAGGAAACAGCCTGGTCTAGAATAAAATAGGAGAAAACAAACAGGCAAAACCCACCATCTTTTCCATCTTTTGTTAGGTTCTTGGCAAAAAATGAGTGGATGAAAGCTTTTGTAGGTGTGCACCACCTTGAAGTTTGCACATAACAGTCTCAAGTTTTTAAAATATGTGGAAGTGGAGGCCATGTGCTATAAGTGAGGGATACAGTAGATTATTAAGACCTCTCTGGAGAATTGTGAAGATTTGGAGTTTCTACCCAAAGGGGACTGTGGAAGGACAAGAGAAAAATGGAAGACCATGAATTGACGGCAGCACCCATCTGCAATGCTGGGCAATATTTCTCCTTCCTCATTTAATGAATTGAGTTTAAGATGAGAAATGCAGACTGTAGTATTCACTCAGGCTTGGAGCTTTGCCACTTAGGCACAGAGAAAGTCCAGGAATGCAAAGGCAATTGGGGATGCTGGTGAAATGGTAGTTTCAAGGAAAAGCCATGAAAATAAGCTCAGGAAAGCTAATGATAGTCCTTCTGTCTTCTTATTTATCCCCAAAAGGCTCAAGGACAAGAAATTATCTCAAAAGAGATTATGTCTGTCTTATCATTATTTCATGGATGAGACCCCATTTTTATTTTTGCTCCAATTCATAATCATGAAAAACAATATATTTAACCTTAAAAGTTTCTTTCTAGACTGGTACAGTGTCTCACACCCATAATCCCAGTGCTCTGGGAGGTCCAGGAGGGAGGATCACTAGAAGCCAGGAGTTTGAGACCAGCCTAGGCAACATAGGGAGAACCTGTCTCTACACAACTTTTTTTTTTTTTTTAATTAGCTGGGCATCGGGGCTGCACCTGTGGTCCCAGCTACTCAGGAGGCTGAGGTGGGAGGATCACTTGGGCCCAGGAATTTAAGGCTGCAGCGAGCTATGACTGTACCACTGCACTGCAGCCTCAGTGACAGGAAAATTCTGCCACTAAAAAAAAAAGTAAAAAATAAAAGTCTCTTTCTCCTTGTCCTGGGGTTATCAATCAGCTTAAAGATTTGGAAGTTCCTGACTTCACTGGATGAGCTCCCATAGCAATCAGGTATTTCCCTGTGACCTGGGGGCTAGCGTGGACTTCATGTAGTGTTAGCAAGGGAAGAGGGATCGTTGTGCAGAAATGCTGAGGGCAGGGCATTCAACTCTAGATAGAAGTGACAGAAGGAGCTGGGTGTGGTGGCTCACACCTATAATCCCAGCACTTTGGGAGGCTGAGATGGGTGGTTCACCTGAGGTCAGGAGTTTGAGGCCAATCTGGGCAATATGGTGAAACCCTGTCTCTACTAAAAGTACAAAAATTAGCTGGGCGTGGTGGCGGGTGCCTGTATTCCCAGCTACTCAGGAGGCAGAGGCAGGAGAATTGCTTGAACGCGGGAGGTGGAGGTTGCAGTGAGCCGACATCGTGCCACTGAACTCCAGCCTGGGCAACAGAGTGAGACTCCATCTCAAAAAAAAAAAAAAAAAAAAAGAAATGACGGAAGACCTGGAAGTCACTTAACAAGCATCTGGAACATATAGGTGGAACAAAATAAGAGTGGAACAAAAGACCAAGAGTTTATTTTTAAAAGAAACAGGCAGTGACTTAATAGAAATCAATTGGCTGGATGAAAATGTTAAAAATTTAGTAAATAAGTTTGTCCTGCTACCTTAGTTTAATCAGCAGAACCATCTTTTTTGGTTGTTGTTGCTGGTGGTGGCACAAGAGCAATAATTACTTCCTCTCCCTTGTTAGGGACCCACCCCCTCAGTAGTGGCCATAGAGGAAGAACCCCCACCCCTCTAGAAGTGCCTCCTCCTCAGGAGGCCAAGGAGCTCTGAGAATGCACATTCTGATTCCTCTGGTACATAGTTTAGAAAGGCCTCTCGTTATTGTCAACTGCAAAATAAAAAGCTTCTTTGAGATGGCCTGTCCCATTTTAATGGCCCTTGGAGACATGCAGATAACTTATGGAGCCTCCTAACTTTGTACAAAAGACAAATGAATTATAAAGGTCACATAAACATATTGTTGAAAGTAATAATGGCATTTGTGCGGCACATTATGGTTTGCAAAGAAATGCCTCCTGTTACCGTATTTGAGCTTCGTAAAAACTCTTTGTAGTAGGTTGTTATTCTGAGTAACAATAGCCCCTTATATTTCTTGGCTTGAAAATGTACTTTTTCATTATATTTATTTGATTGTATTTCTCTATTGCTTTCTTTGGTATTCCTAAGTCATTTTTATTTCACTCTCCTACTCCTAAAACCGTCAATACATTTCTAGAATTAGATAAAATCTCTCATTCAATGTCCTTCATATTTCAGCTCAGACCATTCTTCCAACATATGTCCTTATGCTCACCTTCTTGAAAACACCTTTATCTTTGTTCTCTCTGTTCTCCCTCCTCCAATCCTTTTTTTTTTCTCTTCTCCCATCTTCTCTGCTTTTACCAAGGCTCCATCCTTGACTTCGACCAGCCCCTACAGGCTTCCTTAGATATCACCTCCTTGGTTAAAGTCTTTCCTGCCAATACCCTCAAACTTGGATGTGATATTTTCCTTTTCAGAATTTTCCATTTATTTGATATATTTGTTTCGAAACTTATGTCGTAACAGTGGCAAGGACATTTAGTGAACTAGTTTATTAGATTAAAATTTCTTGAAGGCTATGGCTTTGTTTTCTTCTTGATTCAAACCCCAGATCAAGTATCATTTCAACTATGAATTGTTTTCCATGGACAGTTAATAATTCCCTTTTCTCCCTATCATGTATTTTTTATATACTTTACCCAGATGTGCTAATCACGTTGTATTGAAATGGTTGGTTTTAATGTTTGTCTTCCCCGTTAAGCTAAAAGCACCTCAAAGGAGCACAGCATAGTTGTTAAGCGGCCAGACTGCCTAGGCTTAAATCTCAGCTCTGCTATTTACCAATAGTGTGACCGTGGGCAAGTTACTTAACCTCTCCGTGCTTCAGTTCCCTTATCTTTAAAACGGAGATAAAAATACTACCTTTCAGAGTTGCTGCGATAATTAAATTAATTAATGCATATAAAATGCTTATCAGATAGTATGCAATTATAATTATTATACTATGTTGTCCTTCATATTTTTATTGACAAGAACAATGCTTAAACTAAGCAGGCGCATGACAAATGTTTGTTGAATAAATAAATAAAAAAACGAGGGAAGATGCATAGGATGCTTCTTTCTAATAGATTCTAAACTCAAAGATAGAGACCGTCCTTCACCTGTAGATTTTCCACAACAAATTAATGACGTTTATAACAGATGATCAATAAGTATGTGTGGCGCATACTTTATAAATATTAATCCAGTGACTGGCAGGTTGAGAAAAATAAAAATAATAAATTGTGCAATGAATTCAGTTTAATCAAATAAATGATCACACAGGATTTTACATTAAGGTTGTGAGACACATTTCCCTCTTGTTTTAAAGCTCCCTGTTGGGAAGATGTTTCAACATGCATGGCTGTGCTTAGCCAGACCTTAGCTCTCTAATAATACGGAGGAAACCTGCCAGGTAGACATCAATTGGGGATGCCATCCCTGGGAGATAGATGAACATCACAGTGGGAGCCAGGATCACGCAACAGAGGTGGAGTATTAACACAGCTTCTGTGGCTCCCAAAGGGTGGAATGCAGACTCCAGACAGACCACTCTTTGGAAAGGTGTAGACAGCTGTGCAGTAGCCCCACTCTAGATCTGATAGATGTGGACTTTGAGCCAAAACGGAGGCTTTGGCTGGAAGAGTGAATCAACCGGGATTTTGAAAAGGCAGATTAGAAAAAAGAAGAAAAAAAGCCCTTCTTGGCAGATGAATCAGACAGGTATGGGGCTATTTCACAGTCCAGCAAATGTGCACATGCACACTCATGTCAGCGACCACAGCATGAAAAAAGCAGGGACCTGTTTGTTCAGTTAGAAATGCTTACCCCGGCCTCTTCCCCTCCCTTTCTGCTTTGTCACTCATTCTGTGTTGGATAGGTGTTCTTTTTCCCCTCATCCCCTCGGCTTTTTAAAGTAACATTAGCGGAGCAGTTAATGAGGCGGTGGAAAGCAAGCTGGTCTGTTCAGGGTTGCTAATGACTCCATTCCCGGGAGCCTAATCAAAGATTTGTACATTTAATTGCTGTCAAGCCACCGCCAACCACCTGCCATTTCGGCAGCACCTCAGCTCCCAGCTCGGTAGCCCCTGATTCTAAATGAATCCATCACCATTTCTAAAGGCCAGGAAGCTAGGCTGCTGGGCAACTTTGAAGTGGGCTTGTCCAGGAGGGCAGAGACCAACAGGCCTAACGGAGAGGTGTCACTTCCCTGACAGGGCCAGCATTGGAGAGGCGCCTGCACTTTTCTAGGATCCAATTTCTGCTTTTTTTTTTTTTTCCAGGGGGAGGAAAAGATAGGTGTGGTGAGGGTGACAGTGCGGAAAGGAGGAGAGGAGGAGAGAAGGTGACATCTAACCACATTCTTCAGAATCTACTGATGCTTTTATTCTCAGGGGTGACAATTTCTGACCCCAGCGCATGGTTGTGCCACAGATGAATGTTTGCTGGAGATCCTTTCCAATTAAAATGGTGATTGTTCTATTGCTTACCCCCATCCAGATTGTAGTTGTCCTCTAAGCTTTTTTTTTTTTCTGGAGATTTGGAGAATGAGAAAACATAGTCATTCTGGACCTGAGTGTAACCTAATGGTGAAACAGGCTAGCTACTTCATGGGGTATAAATCAGGCAAGAAAATTATGTTTAGCCATTGTTTGGACTGCAATAAAAATTCTTTAAGCTCGGCCGGGCGTGGTGGCTCACGCCTGTAATCCCAGCACTTTGGGAGGCCGAGACGGGCGGATCACGAGGTCAGGAGATCGAGACCATCCTGGCTAACACGGTGAAACCCCGTCTCTACTAAAAATACAAAAATTAGCCGGGCATGGTGGCGCGCGCCTGTAGTCCCAGCTACACGGGAGGCTGAGGCAGGAGAATGGCGTGAACCCGGGAGGCGGAGCTTGCAGTGAGTCGAGATCGCGCCACTGCACTCCAGCCTGGGCGACAGAGCGAAACTCCGCCTCAAAAAAAAAAAAAAAAAAAAAAAAAAAAAAAAAAAAATTCTTTAAGCTCACATACTAAATTCTGAGTGTATTCTTTGTACCTGTAATAGGCACATCAGGCATACCTATGATAGCTGATCTTTCAAAATCCGTCTCTAGAGTAGCAGTTCTCAAACTGGAGCATGCCTCAGAATCACCTGGGGGATTTATTAAAACACAGCTTGCTGGGCTCCCACCCCAGGGCTCCTGGTGCAGTAGGTCTGAGGTAAGGCCTGATGATTTGCATGTCTAACAAGTGGGTGGTGCTGACACCACTGATTTAGGGAGAAACATCTTACAGCCTCTTCGGAATGTACAGCTTACTGTTTGTAGGTGGATGAGATTCTCATTTACCAAGAACTTCATCTGCTGTCAGTACCTGAGTTGGCCATGGGAAAGAGGCACCAATCAGAGAACTTATGAAGAGAAAAGAAGGGATTTCTCCTTTTGTTTACCTTCCCAGCACAGTCCACTCACCATGTATTCAGGAAGGAGCCAGAACCACCGAGTCAGTGGGTGGGTAGGAAGGGTGCTTTGAGCTAGACAAAAAGCCCTTTTTATTTCAGAATTTCTTTGGTGGGAATGGATTTGGGAATTCTTTCTCTCCCAGGGTGATCAACCATCCTGGTTTGCCCAGGACCAAGAGATTGCCCCTGGGACTCCCAGTGCTATAAAACTGGGGGAGTTTTGGGCAAACAGGGGCTCTGTTCACGCATCTCTTCTTTAGTTAATAGAATCATGAAGGGCATATTGTTCATTCAGATTTACAGATAAAATGAAGGTAAAGATCGCCACAGGATTTCTTTCCATACCTCTGCCCCCCTCCCAAAGGAGAAAACTAAGGTATTCAGGCTGATAAATGCTCATTTTTCCCCCCAGCTTGCCATTGACAAGTACTTGCTCTAGGTGACTGCAGCTGGACCCATTTTTCATTATTTACTAACAGTAAGGACATTTCTTTTTTATTTCTTTACAAAAAAAAATTTGCTAAACTTCAACTGATTTTTAAAATAAATTAGGAGAGACAACCCCATCTTTTCACTGTAACATATAGCTTCTGCTCGGCTTGGAGCTGAATTTCTAGCATAGTCCTTTGTGACTAACCTGTTGATCTGATGAAGATACTGTAGGCACTAGCTCGGTCCTAAAGCTTTCTACTAATTGTTGTTTTCTTGTATTTACTTTCTCCACTCCAAATAGTTGTCACTGTGTTCCAGACAAATGCACACTTGTTTTGATTTCCTTCTTACTCCTTAGTCTATTTATATCAGGGGACCCTGGAAAGTGTGCAAGATAACCTTACTAGAAAGCTAAATTAATTCTAAAGAGCAAACACCATATGATCTGCCAATCAGATGGGAAAATATTGTTAATTGTTATTCATTTACTACCCTAAATCTTTCCCAAGAGTGCTTGAAATCACAAAAATGAGGTACATTTGCTCTCTATTCACCTTTGGAATTTAGATCTGAATGCCTCCCTGACCTGGGAAGATAGAACAAAAGAAATAATTGCCATCAATCTGACAAGACCGAGAAGGGCAAGTGCATGCATGTGTGTGAGTGTATATATTTTCATGGAAAAAATTAAGTTGGCAGCCTTCCTGATAGAAAATCCATTGCTTTTTGGGTTGAGAATTCCTCGAGGCAAAAATGTCCTGAAGAAGGGACTCCTGGTTCTGGAGTCATTGGAGTGGCTGAATCAGGATGGTGAGGGCACCGCATCGCTTTCTGCTCATTATCAGCACTCTATCAAGCACCATCCTCTGGGGATATCCTCCCCTGACCAGAGCAACTCCCACTTACAGGTCACTGGGACCGCCCTTACCTTCATGTTGCTTTATTCCCCCGTTTTAAGTCTTACTCACATAGCTCTGGGCCATGTGGGTATGTATGTGTCTTCTGACTTGATTGTAGACTCTTTAAGGCCAAGATCCAGGATATATTCATAGTGGGTTCCTTGCTGCCTGATGTAGAAAATGTCACCCAGTAGGTGCTCAATAAACACTGGTTGATTGAATGAGTGGCTGTTATGCTTGAAGCAGTTTCCATGATTCTAAGCCCATTCCTGGCTGATCATTTCTACAGAATTCACTGTGATTTTAATGCGGTAAATAGCTTTGGGCCAAGTCAAGTGATTCTTAGTGTAACACTCAGATTGGGCACAGGCATGCTCAAAGGTTAAACTGGCTGCTACTTGAGAGACAGGATTAAAAACATATAGTCAGAAAGGCAATTGGATTGCTTCATTTCACTCATAGCTTATGCACTCCATTCCCTTTGGCCCCATAAAACCCAGAACCATGGAAAATAAAGTCATCAGGAAGCTCATCCATTTCACTTTCTCTTTCCTCTCTCCCCCTTTTCCATGTAACTTGGGAGGCTGCCTTCTATGCTAGCACAGGACAACTCTGGCCCAGAGAAAGCTTTATTGTCACCCTGTAAATCTGGCAAAGAATAATGCTCAAAACGGTTCCACTGTGGCTTGAGGCAGAGGTCTTTGCTCTGCTCAGCCTAGCTCTCGTGTTCACTGCTTCTGCATTAATCCCAAGTATTAGGGTAAATGGTGGAAGAAATGGAGAATGTCCTTCTCTGGAAACCTTGACTTTATTGCAGGCATGACTCAGTTTATGCAATAGGTGTGGTCTCAAAGAGCTATGGGAAAATCACATTTTTAGAAATCAAGTCATATTTAAAGTGTACTACAAAAAAAGCTGACCATTTAATGAAGGTATTTATGAGTACTTTCAAAGTATCATCGTTGCTAGTGGAATATAAGTCCATAATTTCTCTTCCATGAACATCCAGATTTTCACAAGCTGTGTTTGCTCCAAGAGAGGTTCAGGAGATTGTGAAAGGTTGACTGCAGGTGGCATGGACATGTATAATTACTGTGTTTAGAGTCCTCTAAGACACTGGGGCTTGAGGGCTTTTGCTTATTCTCTTTCATCCACTGTTGTGCTGCCTCACTGGTGCCCCTCTCTATCCCATCTCTCCCCTACCTTCCCACCTACGCCCTCCCAGACCTCCAGGGAGAAAGAGAAGAGAGACATTTGAAATACTCTTCACTTCATCCTAAAGAGGTGAGCCACTTGCCAGTGGGTTCTAAGGAAACTTGAGGTTTGTGCCAGGGTAGGGTCACTGTCATCATCAGAGTGCAGGGAGTAGCAGCAAGTTGGGATTCAGCCAGCTCTAAACTCCTTGCTCTCTTTCGGACACAGGGCCTGAGAAGGGGAACTCAGTGTGATATGTCATGGTGCACACACAGCACTTGTCCCATCCCCACTTCCATGTTCTCTCTAGGCTCACTAACCCTGCACTCCATATTTCTGGGCCTCAGTTTCCCATACAGGCACTTCAGGGCCTCGAAAGGTCTGCGGGCAAGGGTGCCTTGGGAGGATGCGGTCCATTTTGTTTTGTGTGACTATTACAGAACCACACGAGGCGCTCTTTCGGCTAGGCCATGTGCCAGAAAGAGAAGAGAGAGTCTAGTCAGGATATTTAACTTATCATGGTCACAGCAGGAATTTTTCCTGCTGCAAACTTCCTAACATTCTGACCCTTCTGGTCTGAACATTTCCAAGGCTGTTCCTATGCCAACCGAAAAACATTCCACAATCTATGTTTCTTGTGCAGTATAGCAGTGGGCTTTTCAGTACCAGGAAGACGTATGAAAGGTTTGATTTATTGCCCATTCTTTTGTGTGGGAGAGTCTAGTGATTTCAGATATAACAACAGAACTCTGTGAGATGCTGAATTGCCCAGGGAGTGCTCAACTGCCCCGTGTCTTCACTTGGGAGGGTGTCAATCAATCATTCCTGGATACCTGACCAACATGGACGATATCATGCAGTTAATCTCAAAACAAAATATCCAGGTGTTTTCAGTTGTGTAGTCAACATACCCAAATGCTCCTCTGAAATACACCATTGTATTAGTAAGTCAGCTGCTTGGTTTCATGTCACCATAGCCTGACTATTCTGGACAAAATTCTGACCTTTGTTTTGTCTTTTATTTTATTTTTTTATAAATCACTCCTGTGTTTATGTTTGCAGGGAGAGAAAATCTTTTTCTGTCTGGTGTTTTTCAAAATTTTGATGATGGACTCACATCAAGGATGAAGAGCTTTGATGTCATTTGAACACCACCACCATCACCACCACCAGCATCAACAAACAAACAAGCAAACAAGCGTGAACTCAGGAGCCCTGTGGCCCAGCCTCCAGTCCATTTCCTCACTGTGATCTGGCTAAGTCACCTCCCCTCCACCTCAGTTCAGTCACCTACACAACAGGAATGGTGGCTCCTGGCGTGAAAAGTTCTTAGGAGCATTCAGCATGATGCTGTGTGGAGCACTTGGAAACTGCGTGTGCATCACCTCATATTTCTGGCCACAGGTCATTCAGACATCTGCCCTTTGCCCTGGAGGAGAACCACTAGGGACTTGTGCCCATAAGCACCAATTCTGGCTTTTACCCTACCCATCCTTTGCCATCCCAAACTATGCCATCAACAAATTCTAGAAATCAAGTTAGAAATGCTGTTCCCACGAGGGTCTCTGTGGTCTCTCAGAACAACAATCAGCTGGCCCTGCTGGGCAGATGTTGCCCAATCCTAACCCACACTTAGCTATCAACTTAATCATTCTCAACTAAAAACACCTACCTGAACACTTTTAGGGGTTAAGAATAGTATAATCTCACTTAGCCATTTGCATTTTTTCTTCTTTTTACAAAAAGAAATTTATCTTTTTTTTTTTTTGAGACGGAGTCTTGCTCTGTTGCCCAGGTTGGAGTGCAGTGGCGCAATCTTGGCTCACTGCAAGCTCCGCCTCCTGGGTTAGCGCCATTCTCCTGCCTCAGCCTCCCGAGTAGCTGGGACTACAGGTGCCTGCCACCACGCCTGGCTAATTTTTTTGTATTTTTAGTAGAGACGGGGTTTCACCGTGTTAGTCAGGATCGTCTTGATCTCCTGACATCGTGATTCGCCCTCCTCAGCCTCCCAAAGTGCTGGGATTACAGGCGTGAGCCACTGCGCTCTGCCAAGAATAGTATAATCTCACTTAGCCATTTGTATTTTTTCTTCTTTTTACAAAAAGAAATTTATCTCATTATTATGTTTAATCAGTTTCTTGAGGTATAACTTAAGTGTGCTAAAATTTGCTCTTTTTAGTGTACAGGTCTAGGATTTTTGAGAAACACATATTCATATGTGACCACCCCCATGATCAACATATGGAACAGTCATTTGCCACCCAAAATTACCTTGTGCCCTTTTGTTGTCAGACTCTTCTTTCTCCAGACCCTGGCAACCACTGATGGATTTTCTGTCCCTATAGTTTTGCCTTTTCCAGAATGTTCTGCAAATGTAATCATTTAGTATGTAGCCTTTTAAGTCTGATTTCTTTCACTCTGCATAATGCATTTGAGATTCACCCACGTTGTTACCTGTTACAATGGTTTGTTCCTTTTTATTGCGGAGTAATATTCCCTTGCATGGATGTACCACAGTTTGGGTAACCATTCAACAGTCAAATGAGATTGAATTTGTTTCCATTTTTTGGTGATTATAAATACAGCTATAAACATTTGTGAAAGTGTTTTGTATGTACATACATTTTTCTTAGACATTTGGTTTTAAGAGATGTATTTAGGTTTAGTTCCAGATGAACAATGAGAGACTGAAAGACTTAAGGGACCCCTGAGAAGAGCAGAGGGAATATTCCCTGAGGCAGCCATCAGTCAGACCTGGCCCTGTCATTTAAATGTGGGCTAGTGGTAGCAAGATGCTGTTATTATTTTCACCAAGGACATTTTTTGAGTAGCAATTAAAATGAAGTCTATTTCTCTGAGCCCCTGGAGAAGAACATAAGCACATGATGGTAACCATCAATTTAGTGGGCCTAACGTTATCTAGGTGGTTAATGTTTCCATGGCTTCTGGCAATTCCCAGTGTAAGTCACCTGTGTATACTGGGTGGATGCTTCTTTAAATTAAAGATAAGCTGTTCAGCTTAATAACAGCTAAGGGAGAATATAGAGCCCGTGGGTGAACTGTTTACTAACAAGCTTCTTCAGGGTCATTCAACTTGAATGAACTCTCTTTTAGGCTAACTTGGTTTGTGGAGGGAATGCATGTTTCTTAGTTAAAATAGTTACATTGGAATCCCAACTGTGCACAGGACTTCAAGGGTAATTATGAACCCCCACTGCAGATTTCAGGCTTAGCACCAATTCTCCTTGCTTTCTACTTGTATCCATCAAAAACAGAAGTTACGATGGAGTTACAGCTATACTTGTAAGGGTCTCAGTGAACCTCTCCCACTATTCTGCCTTATCACCTTTGGGTTCCTGTGTTCTCTACCCCCTCCCCACTGCATGTTTTCATTCAGCCAGGAAACATTTACTGCCTGCCTGGTATCAAGCCCTTGCATGAGGGTGGGAGCTCATAAAGATGACTACACTAGAGAATCATTTGACCTTTCTCATGTAGACCTCAACATGAATGAGTTTCAATGCTGATAGGGCAATCATTACCTTCAGACAAATTTTCAGGAACAGCCAAGACTAGAGAATGTATGGCTAAAACACAGCACTATGCATTTATAATAGTCATGGGTTCTCCTGTTTTAATTGTACATGGAGAATATTTCAGCTTTATTTGTATGGGCTGCTCTTATGTAAAACATTATTTCAATGAGGAAATGTGTTTGGGGTTCTAAATGACTAACTTACAAACACAACTTTGAATAAAGTCCATGAATAATTTGAGGATTTATGTCTATCAATGGCTGATTTACCAGATTGTTGGCTTTGGGTTTATTGGTATCCATGTTGAGAGGCATCAGATCATCCAAGGTTTAAGTTTCGTCCTGACCACTGACTAGCATTGAGACCTTAATGGGATTAATAACAATGATAATGATAGTGACAAGAGCTAGCTTTTCATGAGCACAGTGGCTAAGAGAGTTAGCATCAGTTCTAGCTGCTTTCATTGACATAGATGTAAATGGGGAGGGAAACCATGACTAGACTCAAATCTCTGCTCTAACGTCTGATACCTGAATATCACTTTGCAAGCCACGTCATCTCTCTAAGTTGTAGCTCTTTGTCTGAAAAATGTGGATAGTTAATACATTATAAATAAATTATTATTACATTAATACACAGAAATTCATAATGCTATTGTGGGGATTACATGAGATGATGGAAGTATTTAATCTAGTGTCTTGTATATGGCAAATAAAAAATAAATATTCACTGCTGTTAATATGCTTGTTGTCTTTTATGTGTGTATAGCCAGACTAAATGAATTTGAAAAGAAATGAGTGAGAAATTATGCTTTGATATTTCAAAATGATAGACTCAGGGTAGAGATTATCCTAGCTTTCCACAATTTGAGAAAGAAACTGAGATCTGGACAAAATATTTTAGTCCAGAACATGAAGGAGGTAATCTCATGCTTGGGCTGAGTAGGGATAATGTTGCCTCTAACACAGCAGAAAAAATTTCCATAATCCTTTGTAAATTCAATTTTCTTCAACAACAACAAAGAGAAACGATTTTCAGATCAGACTAGAAAGGATTAAGCCAACGTGAGGAGGGAAGAAATAATGTAATATGTTGGGACAATATCCAAGTGTCCAGAGAATCATGGAGAATGGAAAAGGTGCAGAGGACTAGAAATGAGAAAATGTCTTAGTTTTCAAAATTCTGGTTTAGATGATTAAAGAGATGACCTGTAATTTTTTAGAAGAGACTAGGATAGAATAAGGAACTCTCATGGGTTTGTGAAGACCTGGCCGTACCAACCCTCCTTTTCTTTCTTCACATGGTCACTAGCTTGAAAGATACAGGGAACACGTTGCCTAAAGTTGTGAAGAGAGACTTAATGAAATCTGAAATTGTGAAGTACTGGCATGATGGACAAATACAAAAATGTTACATTTAATAGGAGGAAATGTAATGCTTGATTCTTGACACACAAAAATCAGCAGGCTAAGAGTCCTGGTTAAGTCTCCCTGGTTTCAAGGAAACAAAATGCTGTGTGTGTTTCCAGTGTTTGTGTGTGTGTGTCCCTGGGGGGAGGCACCGTGGTGAGGCACAGGAATAAGTTTCAATGCTGATAGGGCATCATTATCTTCGGACAAATTCTCGGGAACAGCTAAGACTAGAGACTGTACAGCTAAAACACAGTACTATAAGTTTCTAATGGCCTTGGGTCCTACTGTTTTAATGATACATGCAGAGCATATACATATGGTTAGTGAAAGGATCTAGAGTCACCCCCCCCAACCCCCGCCCAGGAACAAAGCCCAAGTGGACCTCACATAACTAGACCAGAGACTGAGGCAGCTCTCTTCCTCCTCCTGCTCCTTCCCCCTGCCTCCCTCTCTTCTACCTGTCTTTCTTCCTGTAGGATCTCTTATCGCTCTTTCTCTGGTGTCTGTCCCATTAGCCCATTGCTTTCTGCTAACTGAATCTCTCTGCTTACTCTTCAGTGTGCACATTAATCAAAGGCTGCCTCAGCTGTACCTAGCCCCACCGCCATCTAGCCACATCCTCCACGGGTCTTAGCTCAATGTCTAGAAGGAGGAACTGGTGGTCCAGGCCCCAGGAGGAGCTGAGAGGCCTATAAACCATCCAATCAGCTGTGGTCAGGGGAGCAAGGGTCATGTGGGCAGCAGGGATGGTAGCTAGCGAGGTCTCTAGAGAAGGAGGTGTGTGTACTGCACATTCCTAGAATGAGACATCATGACACAGAAGCAAGTCATGAGAAAGAAATATTGGGTAGGTGGAGTTTAGACGTAATATATACCAAATAGAACAGGTAACTTTCTTTAGGTGTATTTAGTCACAGCTGTACAACCAACTGCATAGTTACGTAATTGGTCAGACATACATGGGATATTTCGTTCCGCTCTAGAACTCATCCAGAAAGAACTATCAGGAGCGTAAAATGTCTGCAAAAAGTATTTTATGAAGAATAATTGAAGAATGTTTAGTTAGGAAAAGATAGTATTTCAAGATAGTTTTCAAAATTCAGGGTAGGACTACCTGTCTGTAAACATTAAAGACTATGGTGTGGGAAGCCAACTTATTCCACACTTCCTTCCTCTTTCTTCACTCCTTCCCCTTTTTCCCTCCTTCCTTCCTTCCTTCCTTCCTTCCTTCCTCCCCCGCTTCCCTACCTTCCTTCCTTCTTTCCCTCTTTCCTTCCTTCTCTCCTTCCTTCCTTCCTTTCTTCCTTCCCTGCCTCTTTACTTCCTTCTCTCCTTCCTTCCTTTCTTCCTTCCCTCCCTCCATCTCTCCTTCCCTCCTTCCATCCCTCCCTCCCTCCCTTCCTTCCTTCCTTACTGCAACAAACATGCAGAGACTGGTTGAGCTATGCTACTTCCTGTAAGTCATACACTTTGCTATTCCCCCAGGGCTCCAAACATGGATAATTTCATGAGGTTACATTCTAGTAGGGAGGTAAACATTTAAACAAACACCACTGAAAACAATAGTCATTGTGATTGAGGTGGACAAAAGGCTCGGTGAAGGTACAGTGAGACAGAGAGGGGGTCACGGGAGAGTGGATGCTAGGGCACAGCCATGAAGGATCAGTGGCACTTCACTACGTAGACCAAGGAGACAGTCTTTCAGGCAAAGTAACAATATTCATGAAAACATATGGGGTATGAATAACCACTGCACATTCCCGGAACTAACCATAACTGTTCCATAGGGCTGGCCTGGAACAGGCAATGAGAAGGGTGTTAGGAGGAGCACTGATGCATATATTTGGAGAGGTAAGCCAGAGCCTGATCATAGGGGAAAGGCTTCATCCTCTAATGTTATAGGGCTTCATTGCAGGGCTTTCCCAATTAAGTCTCGATTCAGCTTGGGTGAGGGACCATAAAGGGTGAGATTAGAGGCAGAGTGATCAGTTAGTGGCTAATGCGATAATCCAAGAAAGAGGCGACAAAATCCCTGGGACAAAGAGAAGGCAGCAGGCCCAAGAGGCTATTTTAGAAAGACAGACTCACTTGGGTTTGGTAATCCATTGAATGGAAACAAGAAGGCTGTGTAGGGCCTGGTTTTGAAGTGGTTGATTAGTGGTTCTATTAGTTAAGATGGGAAACATAAAAGAAGGAGCATTTTTAAGAGGAAGACAAGTTTGATTGGTATCATTATGACAATTGCTAGAGACACAGTATAGCTCGATGTAAGGAAGATCTTCGTAATATTTACATCTGTGCAGAAATGAGATCCCCAACCCATGTATTCAAACAGAGGCTTGTATAACCATCTATCAAGGTCACCGAAAAGGCAATTCCTGCATTGGGTGGGAAGCCAGAGTAAACAAACTTTAAAATCCCAACTTTAAGATTCAATGATGCTATAGTAGTAGAAAAAAAGGCTGTTTATTTCATACATTGTTGGTGTCTCCTGACAGATTTTAAATACCACTGTGACATATACCATGAAATGAAAACAAGTAGAAGAAGGGAGTGACAAATGCACACTTTGGATGTGTGTATTGATAGCTGTGTATTTCCTTTATATGCATTTTTACATGAGGCTGTTTATATACAGAACTGTAGTTGCTGTTTCACAAATCAACAGTCAGTATTTGACATACTTGTCAATGTCAGGGGCACTGACACAGCCAGCTCTACATGCTTGTGTGTAAATATGTGGTTATGTATGTGTAAATAAGAAGAAAAGGACCATGATTTGTAACTAAATGATTACTATTTTCCATTTAGTGCAATATCAATTCTATTACTGCAAAGCAGTCATTTATAAATCTTTTGCAAGGCAATGATGCTGAGGAGAGTTAAATATCAATCTAAGTATAACATCAGTATGTAAACAGATTGATGAATTGCTAGATTGCTAGGATATAAACCATATGGAACTGCAAATAACGCTCTAAGGAGCTGGGGATAATTTTAGCATTTCATGAAAGCCAAGGATGAAACGGAGCTATACTACCAGTTGATTAAACTTCCCAACGCTCTTCTGCTTTCGCTCTCGGGGCTATGTGGGACAGTTAGCATTGTGAACATTAAAAGTATAACTTGATAGATGGTTCCTCTCCTAATGCAGGATGAATGGGCCCTGTGGGGATAGTACTGAAAAATATTGTAGAGGTGGACTTGGGAGAGATTGGTACCTGAGGGCTGGCCCTGTGCAATGCTGCCTCAAATTTTGTGTGTATTTGATTAAAGCTCAAAAGCATTCAGCAGATCTTCCAAGGAGCCTGTGATGCAAGTAAAGGTTAAGAACCTGTTACTTTTTAAGTGGTAGGAATAAGGCTTGAATCCAGGTTTCCTGTCTCTCAATTTGGGGCTTTTTTAATGAAATCACACTAGCTTCACATACTAAATCCTGTGATGGCGTAATACATTTTATACCTTGCTATCATCAAGATTCTCTCTCTTTTCTGGGTTATGAAGGTAGATCCTTCTCCCTTTCCAGTTATATATGTAGCACCCCTACTAATGCTCAGGGTGGGTAGAATTAAGTTGTGGGGTCTTGGGGCTCTTATGATTTAAAGAATTTTCAGCTAAATCTATGCAGTCAGAGTGGAGCACAGAATTAAGCAATTTTCAGCTAAATTTGAGCACAAAAGGCAGCCAATGTGGAAAATTACTTAAGCCCTCTCTGAATCTGGCTTCTGCAAATCTGACCTGAATTATCAAAGAAGAAAGCATTTTCTATGGAGTGCTCAGAGGGGAACCACAGAGATTAGTAAAGAAGGCTCCCAGGAAAGGCTCTAAGGACTGCAATCATTTTGACAAGGAGGCCGTGGGTGAATATGCTAATGGCTGCCAAGTTTACACAACATTTTCACACAGAGAATTACGGCCTGCGGTCTCTGAGCACAAAGGGAGGTCAGGGTTAGCCTACAGCTTGTGGCCTTCATGTTAGCTCCTGGGGTCCTGTTGGCCTGACTGAGGCATGGCTACCATTTGGGTGATCAGGGAGTGTTTCTCTTCTGACTCTCAAAATGGCAAGCCAAGGACAGCTCAGGGAAAGGCTGGGGCTGCCACAGCCTAAGAGCAGAAGGGTCCCTGAGTGGGTGGCTGGGTTCTGGAGCAGCCAGGCTTAGAGCAACTCTGCACATCTCATCCCAAACTGCCCTCCTCTCTCTCAGCAGGGACTCCAGGAGGAAGACTGGAAAGTGACTGGGGTAAGGACCATCATTTTGCTGCATTTTCCTTTTTCTTTTTTTTTTTTTAACGGAGTCTCGCTCTGTCACCCAGTCTGGAGTACAGTGACGCGATCTCGGCTCACTGCAACCTCCGCCTCCCGGGTTCAAGGGATTCTCCTGCCTCAGCCTCCGGAGTAGCTGGGACTACAGGGGCAGCCACCATACCCGGCTAATTTTTTGCTGCATTTTCCATTCCATGCTGCTCGACTGTGGATTCTTTTCATAGTGGTTTTGCCTGTTTGTTTGTTTTTTTAATTTAAAAAAACAAGTTAAAGTGTTGTTATAGTTTTCCTTTGTGGACTATCCTAAGTGCCTCTTACCGTTGAATATAGTAATTTATTCTAACTTCATTAGGTATTTATCCCAGATTTGTCTCTTGAAACTTCCTGGCTGCCCTTCCAACATGCTTAACTCCATGTAGCGTAATAAGGTAGGACCACTCATCAGCACCTTGCTGGGACAGGCATGAATAGGACCCAAAGGAGATACAATTTCTTGAAGTGAGTATATTAAACAGGGGCAGAAAATGTATGCACACCTTTAGTAGTACCTGGTAGGACTTGGTGTAAGGTATATCTTATGAGGTTTTAGTGAAATAAAAAATTACAAACACCAACCTGGCCGACATGGTGTAACCCTGTCTCTACTAAAAATACAAAAATTAGCTGGGCGTGGTGGCAGGTGCCTGTAATCTCAGCTACTCGGTGGGCTGAGACAGGAGAATCGCTTGAATCCAGGAGGCAGAGGTTGCAGTGAGCCAAGATCGCACCACTGCACTCCAGCCTGGGCAACAAGATGAAACTCTGTCTAAAAAAAAAAAATTTAAACACAGATATATGAAAGAACAGACTTTGAGTTAGATAGATTGATTACTGTTCTATGAAAGAATGGATAATGAAAAGAAAATGGAGGAGGAACAGGAGGAGGAGGAGGAGGAAGAGTGGAAGACACCATTTTGAACCTAAAGACACTAAAACCCACCACCTTTCCCAAAGGAAGTTTCTGAGTTTCATTTGCTACCTAAATATTGGTATCATCTCTTCATCGCATGTGCCATAGTTAGAAGCAGTCACAGTGGTGTCAGCTGCCACCCTAGGTGTGTAACCTTTGGCAGAAAGAGAATGCATTTGCTCCTGCCTGACTCCCAGTGGCCAGTTAACTTAGATAAAGCCCTCCTCTCAGGGCCATCCCTCCACTGATGACCTCTGTGGCCGTCCGGATCTGCTTTCCTGCTCTGAGAACTTCCAGTTAAGCCCCCTTATCAACTGGGAAAACTTGACCTCTAGCACACAAAGCATGTTATGGAACAGGGGGAACGGAACTTTCTGACTTCAAAGTCAATTTGGCTTTGCTTACCTTTGAAATTGAGCATTTCTGTTTTGAAACTGTTTATGAGAAGTTCTCTGAGAACTGACCTGCAAACACAGATACCAAGAAATTCAGGGGCCAGAGTGTCCGACTAACTAGGATAAGGACAATTGAGTTGAATAATAATAAAATCTGGCACCTATCTCTTGAGCTTTTAAATTCTCCAACCGCAATTCTTCCTTGTCCTGGGCCTTTGGTCCAGGGAAAAGAGCACAGGCTTTTGAAATGTTTGTCATAAAGAAACAATTTCAGTCTCCACTTGCTGTTTACTCCCTTTGAGAACTTAGGTAGGCCGTTCCAGTCATGAAACTGAGCTTTGGTTCTAGCAAATGCAAAAAAGGAACAACATCTATTGCACAGCGCTTTTAAGAGGACTAGATGGAGTAATAAGGGGTTTCTAAGTGTTTACAAGTATTTTATTTTTTTCCAAACTTTAACGATAAAGAAACTAAAGTCCAGAAAGGTTAAGTAACTTGTCCAAGGTACAGGTAGCACATCTGGTAAATATCATATTCTAGAATTTAGGTCAGAATAGGTGGTCAAGAAATGCCTGTGAAAATCAGATTAACATCGTGTTACTATGACCTTACCTCCCTCAGAAATTTGCCTTTTGTGCTAAAAGAACCGTGGTGCTCCTTGATTTCTTCACAAACTGTTTTGGGTTCAATTTTCTTCTATAGGGCACTTTGGAGATACAAGGAAGAATGAATTCCTGTTGCATTTGTTCTGTGATCCTTGTAATACAAAAATTACAGCAGAATTAATCCAGAACTATAGATACAAATTCAGGAAAGCATCAGCAAATTTAGCCCTTAGAATAGGGTTTGCAAATAGTATGTGTTCAACAAATATATGTTGATTGGGTGATTAAAAGAGTTCACCAATAGTTTGGTGAATGGTCAGGAAGTCTTGGAAAAGAGACATTTCATATTGCACTAAGTGTCCTACTCTGGAGAAAAATAACCAAGCATAGAGTTATGACAGCAGAGCTGGAGTCAATAGGACACTACAAATCTAAGAACTACAAATCAAAATGGTATTTTGGCCAACAGAGCAGGTTCTAGACACTTGCCACAGCACCAGGTGATGTGTATTCCAACCAGAAGGTTGTTATAAGGCATCTCTTGAATTAAGTTTTTCTTATTACTTGGACATTATGTCATATTCTGATAAAATAAAGTCATGATAACTCTGCTTTCCAAATGTATTTTCTTTTCACCTTCAAAAGCACACCTCCATCTTTATACATTGCCTTTTTGATTTGATCCCCAGAACCATAAGAAATAAAAATGTCTGTGATCTTTAAGGGGTGGGGCTGGAGGCTCGTGCATCTTCCTTGCACCTAGCAAAGTTACTGACACATAATGAGTCCTTAATAAACAACAAATTATAGCTAACATGGAGTGTTTACCGTGTAGCAGACACCGCTCTGAGTACTCACATATATTGGCACATTTCTTTAAGGAGTTCAGCATAATTGTGATGGGTGTGCAAGATTGCCACTTGCTAGCAGAGTGACCCTGGGCAAGTTACTGAAGCACTTTGGCCTCAGTTTCATAATCTGTAATATGGGAGTAATAACTGAGATAATTTCATAGGGTTGTTGCACAGATCATCTGAGTTAATATCTATCATGCCTTTGGAACAGTGCTGCATACATGATTGCTCAGTAAGTACTGGCTTGTGTTTGTATTTATCCTAAGATCACCTCTCAAGTCATTGGGGGAAATCAAGATTTGAACTCAGACTGCCTGGCTCAAGACCCTGTGTCTCTAATCACTATTTATTTTGAATGAGTTACTAAATAAGTGAAGAAATAACCCAAAGTCATACGGTCAGATAGTGACAGAATCCAGATCTCCTGTCCCTCACCCCACAATTCTAACACTAGACCCCTACTGAGTTGCCACAAGTGCACAGATCCAGGTTGTCTGGGAGGGAGGCAGGAAGTTGCTGCTGTACACATGGGTCTCACACTCCTCCTTCCTCCTCAGATTACACCTCCTTCCCAGGCTGCGGAGGCTGGTGGTGCCAGTGCACGCAGGTAGAAGCCAACATCTTCTCCATGGGAGCAGATTAATGGTAAAGGACTGTACTCTTCAACTCATGCAGAGAAAAATGAATGGACTGAGCAGAACAATAATAATAAGTGACATTTGAAGAGCACTTTCCAGTTGACAAAGCCCTTTCACATCCATTGTCTCACTTGACCACTGGAGCAACCCTGTGATGTAGGTTATTATTTCCGGTTTTGAAGATGAGGCAACCTGAACACAAGGATGTCACGTGACTTGTCCACGTTTGCAGGGTGGGCAAACCCTGGAGCCCAGGCTTGCACTGGAATCCCCTGACTCCAGATCCCAAGTTCCTTCCTTAACAAAATATTTGACTCAGTACACTGAGAGAACTTTGCCCCTGGCCTCAGAAAAAGTAGCTCATGGTATCTCCCAGTGTAGAGTCTGATCTGCTTAGGAAAGTAAGTTTGAACCTTCCTGAAGGCAGAGGTATGGACGAGATGACCCAGACCTCATCTAAAGCCAGGCAGCTTTGTGATTCCCTTCCAGGATTTTATGAAAGAAATAAAATTATTCACTTGGAATGTTTGCTACCAGAAATGTCAGAGAAGCTGTAAAGGGCCATTTATTTGGGACCTTCTAACCATGTGTTATGGTAGAAAATTTGAGAGAAGGAACAGGCCATTAGGAAAATTATTTTATTCACTTCAACTATTATTGTCTTGTTCTGATAATATTCTATTTGAAAACTTGCATTCATAGCACTCTTTCACATAAAATCGTGTTCTCTGGGTCCTTCCCACCTCATCATGCTTCTTTCTCTCACATGTATAGAGATTGTTTTTCATTTTGAACCCAGTTGCTTCCTCTTTGATGCTGTAGAAAATCACCCTTCTGGGCGTGTGGCATAATGACTTCCATGGCAATGGGCTGAAGTTACAGACAAGCCATTACGTGAGCACGACAGGCTGAGCAGAGAGACCAGAGCCAGTTCTTTTAAAACTGCTGTCCTTGATAATAGCAGGACAGAGGTAGAAAATTACTGGCATTATAAATTGCTTTTTCGATAAAGGTTTTGACTCTGTCTTTTAAAAAGCTGTGCCACACGGGGAAAATCTCTCTGCATTTTTAATTGTAGATAATTTTGTGTAAGAAAAACCTCCCCATGAAAATGGTCTAATGAAATGTGCTTCGTTTGACTTTGGCAAAGCTCCATGTCATTCTAAACGAGTGCATAAAAACAGACACAAACAATATTTGCTATTACCTAAAAGTGTAAGAGATAATTTACATCAAAAGCAAAAGAGGAGATTGAGAATTGGAGAGTGGTCCCTAAAGCAGAGCTCCCACTTCTACACGCACGCATAAAAGAGCAGGAATAAAGGAAGTGTGGTGTACTGCCACCCAGCGGTGAGTCAGGGAAGACTGAGGACTACCATGACCCCTCAGTGTCCAGAGCCCAACCTAGGTAGACAAAAACCAGGGCAAAAAGAAACAAGGCCCCAGTCCTGCTAAAGGAGAAGACATGTTCTAAAGTTTATGCTTTACTCAAAGAATGCCATCTCAGAATCTTGTTAATGCTTATCTTAGGCATAATTCTAACATGCATAACTTTCAAACCCATCAGGAGATCGAAACCATCCTGGCCAACATGGTGAAAACCGGTCTCTACTAAAAATACAAAAATTAGCTGGGCATGGTGGCGCGTGCCTGTAGTCCCAGCTACCCAGGAGGCTGAGGCAGGAGAATCGCTTGAATCCGGGAGGCGGAGGCTGTAGTGAGCCAAGATCACACCACTGCAGTCCAGCCTGGGCAACAGAGTGAGACTCCATCTAAAAAAAAAAAAAAAAAAAAAAAAAAAGAAGAAGCAAGTAAATAGAATGGAAAGAGGAAAGGAAGGCCTATTGCATGTAGGCTTCTCTGTGTAAGCAGTACGGTGCATCCCGTAGAGGACAATGGTGGACTCCTTAGAGTCAAGTGTCTCTGTGCCTTTTACTAGCTGGGGAACTTGCTCAAGTCATATCACCTCATTGTACTTCATTTTCCTCATCTGAAAAATTAGCATGATAATTGTACTACCTACCTCATAGAACTGTTTTTGAGGATTAAAGAAGAAATTCGTAGAAATAGGGCAGTTCCTGATACTTAGTATGCATTCAGTGTCAGCCATGAGCATTTTAGAAATATAGAAGCTCAAATCCATTAAGGACTAAATCCTGGTTGTTATTTAAATTATTCATTTGTTCATTCAATTCACATTTATTAAGCACATATTATGAGCCAGGTAATGAATAGCCGCTGTGTAAATAAATATCAATAAGCGACTGCCCTTCCCATCTAGGAACTCAGACATGCAAGCAAAATTTACATCAATGGTGGGAAGTGCTGGAGGAGCATTTACGTGGGAACACAGACCCTATCCCTGGAGAGGTCAGGATGGCTTCCTAGGGGTGACGTTCAAGGGGGTGCATGGGAGGTGAGGAGGGGGAGTGCATTCCAGAGGAGGATGCAACATGTTTAAACAAAGGCTCAGATGGAGGGAGAGCTGGTGATTTTGCTCCTCAGGGTGTAAGGGGTTCTGAGAGGGGAGTTGAGGCTGAAGAGGCAGGCGGGGCCAGTGCTGGAAGGCCCTTGCCTGTGCAGCTAAATCCTTAGGTTTGCTCCACGGTGTTCAAACTTCTTCAGCATTACATATATTTTTCCCCAACAAAATCTCATGGAAAACTCCAGCATATGAAAAAAAAATAAAAGCAGCATTTTGTTAACAGACATTTAGTTTGTAAGTTCAAATTTATGACGGTTACAGAATGAATCAATAAGATCAATAAAGAAGTATTAATTAATACAACATTTTGGGCATATGTGTGACAAACCCAACTTCCATTTTATATATATGTATATATTTATATATATTTCTAATTATATACTATTGAGAATATTCTGATTCACTCTGAGAACTAGTTGCAAAAAGTAGTTTTTAAAAGAAAAAAAAAAAACTCAGTTTGCAATCTCTAAATGCCCTTAACTGTTCTGGAAGTTTAAAAGGGCAATAGTAAGACATTTTTACTTTAAATTTGAATTATCATCTATCAACGTCTTACATTTCTTATCATAAATAGAAAAGTCAGATGAGAAGCACCATAATCTTAAAACCATAACACATCATTATCGACGTGTGGCCTGGTTCCTGCCCACTTGTCATAGTCTGGCTGTTAGCTAGGATGAGACTGTGTACTGAGATATTACACCCAAGCCTTACCTGGCCTATGAGTGAGGAAAGCGTCTTAGTCTGTTTATGCTGCTGTGACAAAATACCTAAGACTGGGTAATTTTCACAGTTTTGGAGCCTTGGAAGTCCAATAAAGGTGCCAGTGGGCTCAGTGTCTGGTGAGGGCTCGGTCACTGCTTCTAAGATGGTGCCTTGTTACTGCGTCCTCTGGAGGGAAAAAATACTGTGTCCTCACATGGTGGAAGGTGAAAGGGTTAAAAACAAACAAACAAACAAACAAACAAACAACAAAAAAACCCTAGCTAGTTCCCTTCAGCACTTTTGTAAGATTGCTAATCTCATTCATGAGGTCTCTATACTCATGACTTAATCACCTCCGAAAAGCCCTACCTTTGAATATCATAACATTGGGGTTGAAGTTCCAACATGAGAGTTTTGGAGAAGACACAAACATTGAAAGCACAGCAGAAGGCCGTGCATGTGAGCTCTGGGGGCCAGAGAGTGCTTTACACTGAGCAGCCAGCATGAGGCAGGTTGGCAGGTTTCTCAACAAATGGCAGCAGATTTTTTTAAAAGGTTTATTATTGTTGTTATTATTACTATAGGTTCAAGTGAAAAAGTCAGTAGGTAGTTGGACATAAAATCATATGTGAGCTTTGATGGCTGACATCACATTTTATTCATTTCCCTGTGTCCATTGCCCAGCTCGGGGCCTGTTACCTGGCAGGTTCTCCATCAATGTTCGTTGAATGAACTGAAGTTTAGGAGAGAGTGTTGACCTCAGGAGCTGGAGCTGAGCATTTCCAGAGTGTGATGTTTAATATTGAGTGTCAACTTCATTGGATTGAAGGATGCAAAGTATTGATCCTGGGTGTGTCTGTGAGGGTGTTGCCAAAGGAGATTAACATTGGAGTCAGTGGGCTGGGAGAGGCAGACCCACCCTCAATCTGGGTGGGCACCATCTAAGCGGCTGCCAAAGTGGCTAGAATAAAGCAGGCAGGGGAAGATGGAATAGTAGACTTGCTGAGTCTTCCAGTCTTCTTCCTTCCTTCCTTCCCTCCTTCCCTCCCTCCCTCCCTCTGTCCCTTCTTTCTTTCTTTCTCTCTCTCTCTTTCTTCTTTCTTTCTTTCCTCTCTCTCTCTCTCTCTCTTTCTTTCTCTCTCTCTCTCTCTTTCTCTCTTTCTTTCTCCTTTCTTTCAACGGAGTTTTGCTCTTGTTGCCCAGGCTGAAGTGCAGGCTGAAGGTTTGATCTTGGCTCACTGCAACCTCTGCCTCCTGGGTTCAAGTGATTCTGCCTCGGCCTCCTGTGTAGCTGGGATTACAGGCACGCGCCACCATGCCCAGCTGATTTTTGTGTGTGTGTGTGTGTGTGTATTTTTAGTAGAGACAGGGTTTCACTATGTTGGCCAGGCTGGTCTCGAATTCCTGACCTTAGGTGATCCACCCACCTTGGCCTCCCAAAGTGCTGGGATTACAGGCATGAGCCACCACCCCTTGCCTAGTCTTCATCTTTCTCCCATATTGGATGCTTCTGCCCTTGAACATCAGACTCCAAGTTTTCAGCTGTTGGACTCCTAGACTTCCACCAGTGATTTGCCAGGGGCTCTCTGGCCTTCTGCCACAGTCTGAAGGCTACATTGTTGGCTTCACTACTTTTGAGGTTTTGGGATTCAGACTGGCTTCCTTGCTCCCCAGCTTGCAGACGGCCTATTATGGGACTTCACTTTGTGATCCTGTGAGTCAATACTCCTTAATGAACTCCTCTCTCTCTCTCTCTCTCTCTGTGTGTGTGTATATATATATATATATAATATATATATAAAATATATATATTGATATATATGATATATATATTATATATATATAAAATATATATATTGATATATATGATATATATATTATATATATGATATATATATAGGATATATATATATATAAAATATATATATATATATCCTATTAGTTCTGTCCCTCAGGAGAAACCTGACTAATACACATAGTGTGTGTATGGCAGCTGAAACCCTCCACAGCTGTTAATAAACTCCTGCATGGAGGGTGGATGGAGTGAGGGGAGAAGAAGGTCACAAACCTGCAGAACATCAACATAACTGAGGAACATGCAGGAAGTAAAGCTGGTAAAAGAGACCAAGAAAGCACCAGCTGAGTTTTACAGTCGGCCCTAGAGAGTTGACTATGGTCTGCCAGATTGCACTGTGGGGATTTCTTGCCCGCACTATATACACCTACTTGCTTTACCACTAGATTTAAACTACTTTTCATTTAGTTTAAAGGCCTATAAAAGAGAAAGAGTAAACAGTGGCCACACAATTAGGGATAACCTTTTTTCAAGAATGTGAATGTGCAGATATAAAGTCTATACTACTATTACAAAGTCATGTGTAGAAGATCATATTAGGCCAGAGCACCTTTGGTAGACTCGTCTATCCCTCATCTTCATTTAAGTTTTCATCTTAAAGTCTTATGCTAGTTCTGGGTAGTACAGCACACTTGCCTCCTTTGCTCCGTCAATACTGTAATGGTGACTCATCGCATCCCTTGGGAGAGCTCTCACTTGGAAAGGGTTGGTTTGACTCTAGAGGATTATTGGGTTGGCAACCAAATTGGTGTATATTGAGGCATTGGGCTCTCTTATGAGGCTGAATCATATGTCCTGATGGAAACTTTCCCCATCCTGGGAGTCATTAATGTGTCATAACCCATAATTTAAAAATTATTGGGTTTTTAGGACTTCCTTTCTTTCTCAGCCCACAGATTCTTATCCTCACACACAGAATAAACCTTCTGAATATAAATGAAGGGGAAATCCTCCCACCACCTCCTCCTGGAGCAATAATATGAGAACAGACACGGCCAGAAGCCATATCGTCTGAGCTCCTTAGGAGGACAGTAATTTTTACCCTGCTACGCTCTTGTGTCTGGCTGTCACTTATTGTCCTCAACATCCCAACACTTTTTGCTTCTTGGAATGCCCTGAGTGACCAGACAAAATAAAGTATTCTTCTCTGTCTAGTAACTCGATGACTCATGAACAGCCAGCCAGGAAGGGGGACCTCCAGGATGAAGTGACAGAGGTCGTGCTTCTCTCAGGGTGGAAGCCAACCTTGCCAGTGTTTTACAAGCAAAGCCTGATTCCCAGGTGCCTTCAACATGAAAGCATCTTTTTATTTCCACGTTGGCCTTTGGGGATTAGGAAATGGAAGTTGAGAGGGATGGGACCAAGTGTTTGCAAAGGTCTTTCAATTTCCTGTCTGAAAGTGAGCAGTGACCCCAGGTCTCAGTGGGCAGACAGTGAAGACGAGGGCAGGATGGCAGAGAAAAGGGTGCGTGAAGGCATAAGCACCTGAAATTTTCTCCATTTCCCCCTCCTGGGGTCCTTTTGTGCACCCACTGATACATTTAGATCTTGATGTCTATATTTAATTTTATCTGTGGAAAGAAGGGAAAATAGAGCTAGTTAGACATTTAAAGGCAGGCATCTGTGTTTCTTATTTACTTTCAGATAAGCAGAATACCCACATAATTTACTCTTGATAAAGACTACTGGGCTGCTTGTTTGCCAAAGACATGTGACTTTTAAACCACGAACAGTATGAGATGTCACCAGCACAAAACTCTGAATTCTGACTTGCCAGCTTTCACTCCAGTCCCTGATCCCTGCTCCTCCCACTCCACACAGTACTGTTTAAGCTCCTACTTCCAGGTGTCACCCAATCACCCTGTGCTTCCATCCATTCCTGCTGAAACATCTGCATGTCCATATGTTTGGCTCATAGTATCTGTCACACTTTGCTTTCTGCCAGCTCTTCTGTGCTCCCCACATGCCTGGGGACTCCCCTCCTCCTCTCCCCAGCCTGCAGAACCCCGTCTCCCTGCAGAGAGTTTTACATGGAAGAGGAGGGTCTCTGGGTGTGCACTGATAGAAGAACCCAACAGCCAGGCCCACGGGACGAGGACATCTGTCTCACTGCTCTGCTCCTTCCTGCCTGTGACCTCACAGAGGCCTCAATTGGATCAGGCAATTTGTATGGTCAGGATCAAATGCTGCCCAATTTAATTCAATTACTCTTCACCACAAGAGAAAATATGGTTATTATAATGACAGGACCTCTGTGAAGAATGCAGGCTCCCAGCCAGCGACCTGCCAGCACGTTGCCAAGCTGTGAGGAACAGCCACGGTGCAGATGATGCTGATTGGAAGGGATGGGGCAGAGCTGTGCCTGCTCCCGAGCACTCACACGAGTGACTGAATCCTTTGCCACAGTTGCCCAGGGGCACCTTTCCCACAAACCCACAGAGAAGTGGGCATAGCTGTGGCTGAAGCTCAGAGTGGAGCTGCCAGGTTGAGCTGTGACATGATAACTGAATTATTTACCAAATCCTGGGGAGAAGAGAAGAAGCAGAAGTAGTGACAGCAGCAAGCAGAGGAAAGGGAGCTATTTTCCAAGATTACCATTTTAAGAGAAATTTCTTACTTATGGTTCATAAGTCTCTATGACAAATTTGACAACTAAGAAGATAATGTCGACCTGGAATCTTTTCTTCAACTTCATCTTATCCTAACTGCTCGTTACCTCACCATATTTAATAATAATTGAAACCACCATTTACTCGGCATTTACTGTTGGCCAGCTGCTGTTTTCATGGATCCATTCCTGTTGGTCTCTCAAGAATCCTGTGAGCTAAGCGTCCTATTAACCCCATTTTAGAGATGAGAAAAATGAGGCTGCAGGAGACTGAGCAGCCTGCCCAGGGTCATATCGCTAGTAAGTGACAAGATAGGACTTAAGCCAACTGATCACAAAGCCCTTCTTCTTGACCTTTATGCCCTTGGCCTTATTTTCTCAAATTGCCTTTGCCTTTATAGATGTGTCCTCATGTCACTGAAGAGGGAGAAATGCTCCCCAATACTCTCAAGTACATTGGATACACAGAACCTGTGTCTACACGGAATCATATCATCATTTCTTAACCAGTATAGTGGCTGGACACATGGGGCTCTGGGTTCAAATCTCAGCTCTGCCACTTCCTAGCTGCACGGCTACTGTAGGTTACCTAATTCCCTGTGTTTCAGTTCCCTCATGTGCAAATGAGGAGACTATTTCCTCATGGGGTTGTGGAGAGGACTAACAGAATCAACACACTTAAAGCACTTAGAGTGGTACCTGGAAAAATTGTTCAAAAATTAGTGGCTATTATCCATTTTTATCACTTCCCTTCTGAAAGCAAATAATGCAAAAATAGGAGGTGAGAAGGTGAGGGATGTTTTCTTGGCATGCACCCAAGACACTTCCGGAGGTAGTCCAGGGCATATTTGCAGTGCCAATGATAGAGTTAAGCTGGGTGCCATGGTCAAGAGTAGTAATACTGACTACCAGCCTAGCACCCGTGAGGGTGGGGGAGGCTGTAGGAGATCTGAGCAACTCATAAGCAAAATCCTTCTAGGATCGAGTGAAGAGTTCCTTTAACTTTATCTCCTGTCCTAGGCTCTGCCTCTTTTCACTCAGGAGCACAACCAATGGCAGAGACTGGAGGACTGATACAAGACAAGGGGGCAGTACCCACTCCTCAGGCCACCTTGTTAACAGGCACTGGCTGGGCTGATCCACATTCCCTCAGGCCCACTTCCCCCTGCTAAGGAGGAAGAGGGAAGCTGTGACTCTTTTGTAGACCAACTACGAACACAGATAAGCAGGGGCCTCTTGGCCCAGTACTCGGTGTCCATTGACACAGAATGTCCTTCACCCATATCTCTGAGTTTGCCCACATGCTTCCTTTAGAAGCAGTTGGGTCTAGCAGCCTTTCAGGGAATTATGAAAACTCTAAAAACCCACAGGAATTTTCCCAAGCCCTTACCACACATCCCACACTTGCCTGGGTCATCATGGTGACTCTGTTGCAAAGCCAGGGTGAAGCGTCTTCAACCTGAAGACATGTAGTCCAAGTGAAGACATGTAGTCTGAGTGCTTTGAGTCATACTTACATTGTTAATGATCGTTCTTGGACTTGAATTTTATTTTAGGGCCAGGATCACTTTTTCTAGGTGTCATAAATCCAAGCTAATATGCATATCAGTATGTACCAAATAGTACCAGCTTTGGCATCCAGCTATATGGTACTTTTGATGCTAGGGATGGCAGAGCTCAGCATGGGGGAGCTGTTCTTCTCCATCAGAACCCATGTGAGGGCATGTTACTCTGACGTATGGGATGATGTTCACCATGGTCAGTGTCTGTTGTGATTGTTTACAAAGACTTAGTCCTTGTCCTTTGCTTTCAGATCCCAGTGGAGGGCGCAGCTCATTCTAACAGAAGCCAGCTTTTTTTGGGAAGTTTTGACTGAACTTTAGGGAGTTGTGATTCTGAGAATGGTGTTTTCATACAGTAAAGAGTAACCGGTTTGCTGTCCTAACTAGAAATGGTATTTTTTTTTTCTGTGAGATAGTAGCTCCAAGAAATGGGATGAGACTGAATAGAAAAGCAAAGACCTGGCTTCTCTTCTTTGTTCTACACTTTTGAGCAAGTCCTTTTGCCTCCCAGACTCAGTTTCCCCATTGCTGTGGATATTGACATCAATGATTCCTACAGCCCACCCTGTCTCTTGCAAATGAATTGAATTAGTCTTTAATGCCCCAAATGGTTCAGTGGTAAGCACTGTAAATCTAAGTTAAAATTGCTGGTATTACACAAGGGAAATAAATGTTTCCAGCTCCAGGAAGATCAGCAGCTCACAGCTGTAGCTGGAAATGAGGACATACAGGCTGACAAACTGTAGACACGACCATCTCTTGGGTCTTCCGAAGGGAACCTGGGGAGAAAATGGCAGCCCCATCAGGTAACTGCATCAGTGTACCCTGAAGAGATGCTACCTTGATTTCCACACCAGCTGAGCACCTGAATAATTATATTTGAAGCAGCACAGGGCATAGAACAGATTTACTTAGCATCTGGGGAGCCAATTGCACCCAGGCCTGCCCAAACTGGTCTTTCTCATTGCAGGGTGTGGGAGAACATAGGGCTTTGTGGGTCCCTGGGGACCTGCCAGGCCCAAGGCTGTTGCTCAGCTGTGGGAGGCACGCCAGTTCTCAGGTCTGCTAATGAGTGGTGTGGTGTCTGGCAAGGAACTTGCCTGGAGTGAGTGTGACTAACCATGAATCTTTTCAATAATGCTGACAATTCATTCTCTTTTCTCTCCTTTACCCGCTCTCTTTGCTGGAGCTGGCTGAAATAGGAGCAAATTAGTCTCATTCTGGAAAAGGCAGGGCATGATAAAGGACCCCCTAAAAGGTTTCCAGAGCTCCGTGCCTGAATGTTTTGCAGTCCGTGTAATTATCTGACTTGGGTGAGTCGACAGGGTATTTTTTTTGTTGTTATTTTCTACACTCAATAGCAGGTGGCATCTGAAGAAGTGCCTTGTTACTGTTCCACTGGACTATTGAACAAATTTACATTTGACACCAGCAAAGGTAGTGTCATTATTATTCTATGTGTGTTCCAACCCGAACTGATGACCCTCCATTTCCTGTTCAAAGGCTATGTTTCTTTCAAGGGAAAGATAATGTTTCCACCCCTACATGGAAATGTGGTAGACCTTAAATGCCCTGGACTTCTAACCGGGGGTGGGAGCTGAAGAGGGAATGAACCTTTCCTCTTCTCCCTGCTGCCACCCGTTTTGTTGTTTGATTAAGTGTTCTCTGAGTGTCTAACACCTGAGCTGAACCTTGCATTCTCTCACTGGGAAGGTGTGTACCTGTGTGCTGCTGCGTGTCTCTTGGGAAAGTTGGTCATGCCATCTGTTGGTTAGTGAGTTGGAAGGCTTTCAGGTTCTGCTAATATTGGATCGAAACTTTTAGAAAGGAATAGAAGTTGTCTAATGAATGTGGTGTCATCATCATGGGTTAGACCTCTGAGTATGACTCAAACACACTTTCTTAATAACAGAGGAAAAGCATTTAATATTTGAAATACATGAGCAAGTGAAAGAAAAAGAAATACACGGAGAGTTGGAAAGTTTCAAACAGTTTTAACGTTCCTTATTCTCTAAAATAAACATACTGTCTAGCTCAAACCTGCTTTCCACCTTTTCGTATTTAGGCTTGTTTCTTCTTTCTTTCTTGGCCTTGTGGGACTACTATTAACTTCTAAAGAGGTTCAAAATGGTAACTGGAGGTATCAAAGCTATCTTTTCCAGATTAAAACTTGGGACATGTGTTCCAGCATGTGTCAGAATATTTTCAGGAATGATACGTGAATGTATTTAAAATTAGAGTTTTCTCTGACTATTCTGAACATAGAACTCCTTTCATTTTCTGACTACCTTGTATTCAGAGGCATCATAGATTACAGTTTCATGTAGGAGTTGCAACTGATGGCCCAAGGTCGGATCTCGGTTTTAGTCATGTTTTGTATAATGTACAAAATGTGCTGTTGTGTAATGTACAAAATGTACTGTTTCAAAAACCAGGAAATTTCACATAAACATCTAGATTTCTAACTTCTAAAAATTCTAAAATCTGGCAACACTGACTACAGAGGCCCAGAATGGTAATGCTATTAGAACTAAATGGCTGCTGCCTGTTCACAGGATGCTTTGCCACGTGCCTCACCACTGTCTAGTGCCTCATATTTAGCCTTCCTCACCTCTTTCCATTGTGTGTCTGGCCTCTGTAAGCATTTGAATTTGTGTTTGTTGATTTTGTCATACAGTCCACTTGTGGTTGAGGCTTCTGGCTACTCATCATCAGAGAAGGGATATGGCTTCTTGACTTTGGTTGAGTCAGGTCCCATCTCAGAGAGCTGGTCCTTAGTACAAAGTTGGTCATAAGCTGACATCTTATACCTCAGTTATTGAAAACCCCAATACCTCTGATATGTTCCATTTTTGCTTCTTTGATTAGAGTAGATCTCATCATTAATGGGTAGTTTGGTTTATTCCTTGGTATTGTGAAATGAGAGACATAAACATCTTGTATGTATTGTTTGCTACATGCTTGTTCATTGCATTTGGAACCAATTTTGTAACCACAATAACCATTTATAGAAGAGTAGATGGCCGGGTCAGGGGGTGAGAATGGGAAATAAGACAACTATTTGGCTTCTAGAGAATAAATTGATTGATTATGATATATTGAATAAATTAGTAATTCTTTTTTTTTTTTTTTTTGAGACAGAGTTTTGCTCTTGTTACCCAGGCTGCAGTGCAATGGCACGATCTCGTCTCACTGCAACCTCTGTCTCCCAGGTTCCAGCAATTCTCCTGCCTCAGCCTCCTGAGTAGCTGGGATTACAGGCATGCGCCACCACACCCAGCTAATTTTGCACTTTTAGTAGAGATGGGGTTTCTCCATGTTGGTCAGGCTGGTCTTGAACTCCCGACCTCAGGTGATCCACCTGCCTTGGCCTCCCAAAGTGCTGGGATTACAGGCATGAGCAACCACGCCTGGCCAAATTAGTAATTCTTACAATGTTTCACACTTGTTCAGTAAGGGAAAAGCATTACATCTATGGAGCTTTTTGAATTCTTTGACGTTGTCTTAAACAATGCTTCATAACTTCTCTTTGTCTGAGAATATTAATAAACTGTCTCTGTCATTTTCTTATAAAAACCTATAGATATAACTTAAATTTTTAACAAAATTCTTTTGGAAAATGAAAAGGTGATTGACATGTACATTCAGGCAGGTAAACAAGTATTACTGAAAATTATGGTGTCATTTAAGAGCCTTGTCAGACAGTAGGTCAGCAGGAGTGGAACTTTATTCATTCATTCATTCAGCAGATATTTACTAAGCACCCCACTCCAAGTGGAACCACATGAAATTGGAAATATCTATAAAGACAGAAATCTCCTGTGGTTCAATCTGAAGCCTGCTAGGTGCTATGTTAGGCACTGTGGATACAAGGAGAATAACAGGGATAGTCATGCTAACAAACAGTGCGATGAAGAGTTCTAAGTGCTGTGACAGATGCATAGAGGAATCCAGTGAGGACCTGGAGAAGCAGGTGCCAATTCTACTTAGGGGATAGGATTGGCAAACAGCTTCAAAACAAAGGGGATGCTCAAAATGAATCCTTGAAGAAAATGCTAATGATATTAAAATATTCTTGCCTGTGGTGAAGGCAGAGTGGGTGTGGGCATGGGTGGGGATGGAGATCAGCATACAAGCCCAAGGGAACAGTGAATAGACATAAAGGCATGCCACAAAATTCCTGGAGTTGTGAGTGCTTTGGGCATGTGGCAGGGCTAGACAAGTGGGCTTGGGGCCACAGAGACCACCTTGGGAGCTCCTCATTATTGTGTTAGAGAAGAAAAGCCATTAATGCATTTCCAGCAGGGATGGGGGCATGGTGAAACTCGCCTCTCAGGAAGGTTATTCTCTTTTCAGTATGGGACAGAAGCCAAGATGTAGGCCAGGAGAACTGCATGTATCACTGATTTGACCGGAACAAGAGCTTAGTGAGGTAGGTAAGTGAATGCCGGTTATTTTATGTCAGAAGATATTCTGGAAGAGATTCATAGATTATTCAAATGAAAGAGATTTCAGAGATATTTCATAATGGATATAGTAATCCCCTAGATTTATATGCAATATTTCCATGACCTAAAATCCATGGAAAATGCAGTCTTCTTTTTATAATTATTAATAACATTGGCTAATATAAATTAGGGGATACTACTACAGCATGTGTTCAGGGGTTCGTATTTATCTTATATTATGCTCATATAACTCTTATCAAGTAGGTATCATTACAATTCCCATATTTCAGAAGAGGAAACTGGAGCACAGAGAGGTTGAGTACTAGGCCAAAAATTACACAGCTCCTAAGTGTTGGAGGCAGGGTTCACGCTGAGTCCATGTTGCTCTAGTTGTGACATAGAAATGACAATAATAAGGACTTCTGACTCTTCAAATACTTCTAGAGATCCATAATCAACTAGGTTTCAGTCCCCAGGATGCAGTTTTCAGGTGCCAGTCTAGACCACTTGATGTTGAAGGGAATAGGAACCCACCCATGCATTTGCATGTGTGCTCACACAAACACTTGGAAATGGACTTACCCCATTCTGAATCCTGAATTTGTACATATCCAAGAATACAACAAAAAAGGCAATAAGATGTTCATATTGGTGATGTTTCTCAAGCAAGTTTCCTCTTAATGAAATAGAACTAGAATACTGCCATGACCTAAATTCCAGAGATTTTGCAGGCAACAGCCAGCTACCATTGATACAGTAATTGATTCTCCTTGGAAGAATGGCAATGGCAATTATTCATTGGCACAACCCTAGGGAACATAAAGGGAATGAAAAGAGAGAGAATTACAGGTGAGACCTCTTGAGGCCCTTTGTCAATCACCACCTTTTCACAAGCACAATAGGATTTGGTTTTCTGTGTGGTCCCAAAACCCTTTATGCTGCAAGTCACTGGCTCTGTCCTTTCCAGAAGTCCAGAGGCCACTTTTGCAACTTTGCCTCCCTCCTGATCTCAGTAGAGCACTAAAAGCCAGGACTTGGTATGACTCAGGTAGTCCTGGAATGGAAAAGAGGAAGAATGTGGAAGCCCCCAAGGGGACACAAGTCCCATCATCTCTTCCCTTCCCACCACCCTCCTCTCATTTCCCTCACTCCTGAGCTCAGCTGGTAGCAGTAGTAGCCTCTGTAAGAAGAAAACCAAGACTTGATCTCAGATGGATTGACAGGTGTTTCAAAAGAGACATTATTGGGAAAATGCCAAAGGGAAAGTATGAAGAGCAAAGAAGTGGAGAAGTCAGGAAAAGAACCTTCTTGTTAATTACTATTAGTGTAGGGAAATCTTAGCCCTGGAAGTGGGAAAGGGGAAAGTGTTCCTGGCACACCACAGCCTGCCATTCTAATTAACCCTGAGCTAACTCCAGTGATGGCTAAATCCCCAATTTCATTGGCTTAGAACAAAGTTTAGTTTTTGATTAAAGAACAACGTAAGGTGAGTCCTTGGCAAACAGCCTTCCACACAGTGTTTCAGAGATCCAGGCTCTTTCTATATTGTGGTTCCACCATCCCCAGTGCCTCAGATCCTTCATTCCAGCCAGTGATGGGGATTGAAAGAGAGCTTGGAAGATGACAGGAAGGTTTTCATGGGCCAGGTCAAAGTGACACACATCACTCCCATCCATGTTCCTATGCCCAGGTCTGAGGCTGTGTGAACCCACTTTGATAGCAGGGCAGCTGCTTCCTGGTCACAACTCTGTAGAAGGGAAGCCTGAATCTTTGGTAGGTAGCTGGTTTCTTTGCTACCAAATATAGTGAATGAGCTTCAAGAGATGGTTTTGGAGGGTTCCACTGTCTAAACCACTCCCCCATTTCCAATGATCACTACCATGCCACACAATTTAAGTCGGACCTTGGCTTATTTCAAGTGTCAAACAATTGAGGAGACTTGTGATTGTATTATTATGTGTGAGATAAATTCTACTTATTATTAATGCCATTCTTTTTATGCTGCTATAATTTTGAAATGTTTTCTATTAGAATCCAGGTCCATGGAAGTATTACTGTATTAACTACTACTACCAGTGTTAGCATTTTTATGGTAAATTGAACTTTTCCAGTATACTTATGATATTGTAGACACTTTCTTTGGTTCCTGTATATGATAGAAACATTACAAAGGTAGTTATGCACATGTCTGCTTTAAGAAGCCGAAGTGAAAAAAGGATTTGCATGTAATGAATCTTTAAATTATTTCCTTTATGTCTTAAGAAGTCATCTCAACAGCTTGCCCAGTGTTCTTGTAATGCAGGAGATGGACTTATGATGCATAAAAGAGAGGGGACAATCTTCTCTATGGTTATGATTCTGTTGGTTCGTGGTTAATGAGGGGCCCTCTCTAAGTTCATGGTAGGAGCCAGGCATTAGTGATTCTTTATAGCTGTGAAGGGTGAGTGGCCTTTCTCTATCTCATCTTTTCTAAGAGTTTCAGTTCTGAACGCATGAACGTCTGTACTGAAACTATATTAGTGTAAAGGGAAGGAAAGTGATCATGTACAATTCAGTTAAAGATATCTACTTTATAAACAGATTAAAATATATCTATATGTATTACTTTGTATCTGTATTTATTCCTTGTATATGTTCTGTTATCATTCTCACCAGGTGAGTCCTATCCTTATTACATTCTTCTTCGTGTCAGAGGTTGCTTTGTCTATTACTTTCATAACCCCACCTGTACTCCCAAAGTGTGTACATGTGTGTGACGTTGCTTAAAAAAACAGTCCCTGACTTTAATTTGCTTTTAATGTATTTTCACTGAAGAAACAAGACATAGGTGCAAAAACAATACAAAATAATGTATAAGAACCAAGTAACATGGCTAGCAAGTGATAAGAGAGTGCCAACGTTTTAGGCAGCAAACTGAGTAAGGGCGAGGAAGGGTCAAAGTGTACACTCCACATCATTATCTTATGTAAAGCTTACTCTGCAAGCTCCACACAATACTTCAACTTGTAGCTCCCATTCCAGAGTTTAGTTACAGGTCCATAACCAGCCGCAAGGGAGACTGGGAAGCATAAACTCTGGCTGGATGTTCTGCAACTGGGAAAAAAATTACAGTATTTTGGCAAGAAAAAAAAGAAGAGAATTGACTTTAGGTAGGCAACTCACAGTCTCTAGCAAAGCCAAGTTATGCTCTGGAGGCCATTATTGGGAATGAAGTTCTAGAACAAAATTTCAAAATGACAAAATAGAAAGAATTGCTCAACTATATTTTCCCCAATTTGAGTTATATTATGGAGATTTCAACTCCTCAAGATCCATGCTGCTGTGGTGATGGTAGTCAGTTGGAAGACCTCACATCAGTGAGCAGAGAGAAAAGGCATGGTGTCAAGTGAAGCTGAAACCCAAGGACGGTCCTCTGTTTACTGAAACATGCAAGAGCTTTGCCACCACGTGATACACAGGAGATGACCAGGCAGCAGAAATCAATGTCTACAATGGCTGCCAAGGCTGAAGGTCTGCCCTCTCTACTCACAACAGCAGCAGTCATTCCAGAGCCTGGAAGGGCATTGGGAACATACACACAAGGGTTGGGAAGCACCAACTCCAGGCGCTACACCCTGTTCCACCCCACTCTGCCTCTGTGTAGCTGGGCCTGGAGAGGACGAGTGGGGTTGCGTTAAACTCAATCACAGGTTGATGTGAACTAAGGCAGCTCTTTGAACTGTGCATGGCATTTTAAAAAGTACCCAAATGTATCAGGCTGATGCCCAAATGCAGCTTAACACAAGAAAGACTTGATATCTCTCCTCTCCCACTTCTTTCTCCTTACTCCTATTTTTGACCCAAAAGTGAGTGAGTTTGTTGCCTGAGCAGAATTAGGTCAGACTCAAGCTGAATATCAAGCTGACAGAAGGGGTGGGGGTTGGTGCCAAAGCTGATTAAATGAGAAGTGAAAAGAAAGTTTCACTCTGTATCCAAATATGGGAATTTAGAAGAGAAAAGGCTAATATTAGACTATTTAAGAATAGTACAAAAAGATACATGTATTGTCAAGAATCTGGGAGTTTCCACCCATGGCAATACTTCATTGTAAAAAAGCCACACTCTTATGTTGATAGGTATTTAAGATACGCTTTAACTGTTAATATTAAACAGTTAATTGCTGTTAATTGGATAAAAATTGCTAATCTTTTGTATGGAAAGTCTTGGAAAACTGTACGCATTTCTGCTCTTCCAACATATATTATGCCATACATTGTTATTGCAGGGTCATTTTTTAAGAGTTCTTTAACTGGTACCATTCCCCTCCCAGAGCTAAAACAGCAACTCTCTGTCATAAAGGGGACAGCTTCTGACAGTCTGGCTTCCATATAGAAATGACAATCTCATTAATGATACTAAGTTTAAATTGTAAATATATTATCATCACTCTTACACCAACTGCTTATGTTAAAAAATAATTACTAATTGGTTTCAGCAAATGTATTATAAAAAGGTGGCTAATTTTAACTATTTTCTTCCTCCCCATTTTGGGAAAAAAAAATGAGTGATTCAGAGAAAGCAATCTGTTACCTGGAGGAATTTAGAATTTTTTAATGGTCTTTGATCGGAGTTTTTGAGAATCTCATGAAAATGGTAGTTCATGTAAGAATGAGAAGTGAGTTGCAGCCTGAGGCTTGTATCTTTCTGCCCAAAATTTAACTATCAAAATTAAATCTACTAACTGATTCTACCTTTGTTTCTAATTTATTTCTAGGATGCCTTAACAAGATATGGTCTGGACACCCATTCTACTCTCCATGACTGCAGGCTCGTATCCTTCTAGGTCTCTCTCTCTCTCTCTCTCTCCTCCCTCCCTCTCCCTTCCTCTCTGCTCTTCAGCCTCATTCAGGCATCTGGTCCTTTCACTACTGCACTCACTCTCTTTGCAGCCTCCCTATCCAGCCTACACTATCCAAAATCAAATTTTGTTAACCCTTGTTAACCTCTCCCTCATACCCTAATCTTCCTTGTCCATCTTGTCTTCTGCTACTTTCCAGCATAACACAAGCCCAGAATCAGTCAACTATCCATTTTCTCCACTCTTAACCAGGACTGCCAGGTAATGCTAGAGAAAAAAACACACATTTTTCATGTATTGGTTCTATCATGAGTCTGCAGTTTCCAACGTCAGTTTCTTCCTTAACACTTTCCAGAAATCCTATTCATTCCCAAAGACCATTTATTCCTTATTGTGGTGGGACTATACTTTACCCTTCACCACTCCCAGCTGCCGTTTGGCTTTGACCCTAAGGATGGCCTTGACACAGCTCTTGCCAAGCTCAATGGTTCCTGGTCTTGGCTGAGTCCAGGTTAAATGGCCACAAGGGAGCACTTGGGATGGACAGCTGGGCTCAAATCCTGACTCTGCCACTCATTACCTGTGTAATTTTGGCAAGTCTCTTAACTTTCTGAGAACCCATTTTCACCTTTATAAAAGATATAAAAGGGAAGAATTTCAAAAATTAAGTAAACAAAATGGAAATAATTTTAAATTTTGTCTAATATTCTTTATCTTTTAATTGGAGCAATCTGTTTACTTATTACTAAATTTAGCTGCTGATATATTGGGTTTAAATTTTACATCTTACTGTTTATTTTCTGTTTGTCCCATCCATCCTATTTTTCCTTTTTTACTCCTTTCTTGCCCTTCTTTGAATTAATTAAACATTTTAATTATTATTTTTTTCCCCTATCATCATTATTAATATAATTTTTGTTTGGTTTAGGGTACTATCTATCATAAACTGGAATTAAGGATTTAGAGAAAGGATATTAAGGGTAGAGAAACGCACAAGGATAAAATTCTTCATTTGGACAGCAAGCTATTGTTCTTTCATTTATTGAGCACTTACTATTTACTACATTCTGTTCAAGTCTCCGGGAATGCAGCAGAAAATAAAAACAGGCAAAGGCTCTGCCCTTATGCAGTTTATGGTCTAAAGGAGAAAGAGAATGAATTTTGAGGTCAGACAGTCTTGGATTCAGAAACTAATGTTGTCATTAACTAATTGCGTGACCTTACACAATTGCCTACACATGATTTTTTCAACTGTAAAGGTTGAAATGATACTTTCTTTCAAGGCTTATTATAAGGACTAGAGATTAAGTATAGAAAGTTCCAGTACAATTGGGGCACATAAGAGGTAATGAATGGTGCTACAGTTATTATTATTATATTCATCAAACTTCAATCATATGATTTTTAGCCATAAACTAGTATTATTAAATACATTCCAAATGGTATATATTTAAATATTTCCTGCTCTTTCTCTCTCTGCCTATGAAAGAAAGCTGTGTTGTATATCTGTTTTAAATGTTTGTACTTTTCTGCAGTCTGGTTTTCAATTTTGTGAATATGATTTAACCCATGGTACACAAGTTCGCAATAATAAGGCCTTGGAATAATAATAACCATGTGTAACATATGGTGACATTTGCCATCTTCCTTGTCAAGGCAGATGTTCACAACTAGTGTTATATTACTTCTGGTGATTACTGACTGACAAATTTAATATTCATGCAAAAGGATATGTTAGGAAATCAAGATCATGACTTAAAAAAGAGTACTATCTACAAATATATCCACCTAGAACTGCATAATTAATATGAAATCGTTCTTCAAAATCTCTGGCTCATGACGACAATGTTTTAGATTGGAACTACTAGAAATTCAAACTCTTTGTAATCATTCTCATGTCAAAGATACTACTGGCACTTTAATATATTTATTACTTACTTGATTTCACTGACGTACCATTAACTGCATCTCTAATGCTGCTCAATACAATGTGCTTTCAGTTATACCTCCCAGGAAAGTGCAATTGAACTGGGTAAACGTGACTGATTATATTGCCAGGGAAGGTTATTAGCAGTGGCGCTGGAACTTCACTGTGCATAAGAATCACCTGGGAGGGAGCAGGAAAGGAGGGAGGGTATGTTTGGGGGCAAGGGTTGGAGATTGTCATAAATGCAGATTCCCGGGCTCTGCTCTGTGAGACTGCTTCATAGGTTGGCTATAAATAATCTCTTAATCTAAAGAGGGGCACTCAGTGGGGATCTTTGATTTCCTGGACCAGTGCCCAGGAATGAAATCTGAAGGTGGATTCTACACTGAATTATCACTCTCCACATCTCTTCTTATAGCACTCTAGTTAAGCCCAAAATTTTACCTGGACCCCACTTAATTTTTAAATGGATATTTATTTATAATGAAATTATAAAAGCCAGATTTCTTGAACTGAAAAGTGGGCTGTACAAACTGACAAGTATAACTATCAGTTGAAGGAAAAACATGAAATTGGAAATATCTAATCAATAATAGACAAAAGTCGTTTTTAAATCAATTCAGTTACAAAGGTACTTATTGGGCCAAATGCAGTGGCTCACGCCTGTAATCCTAGCACTTCGGGAGGCTGAGACGGGTGGATCACTTGAGGTCAAGGAGTTCGAAACCAGCCTGGCCAACATGGTGAAACCCTGTTTCTACTAAAAATACAAAAAAAGGAAAAGAAAAAATTAGCCATGCATGGTGGCGGGTGCCTGCAATCCCAGCTAGTCGGGTGGCTGAGGCAGGAGAATCTCTTGAACCCAGGAGGCGGAGGTTGTAGTGAGCTGAGATTGTGCCACTGCACTCCAGCCTGGGTGACAAAGAACATGACTCTGACTCAAAAAAAAAGTACTTATTGAAGGCCTCTTGAAGGCCAGACAACCCAATAGGCGTAGGGTAGAGAAATATTTGAGCTGTCAAGGAGCTCCATGTCCATCAGACCAGGTACACACATAAACAAAAACTAATAATACAATATGTCAAACATTAGAGCGTGTAAAATATATTATGGGAACAATAATGAAGAAACATTTCATTTCATCTGGGTGCCCAGGGAAGAACTGACATTTGAGTGGACTTGGAAAAACAGGTAGAAATTCATAGAGTAGAAAAGGGAGAAGGGCTACTACCTCATCAGAAGGAAAAGTGTGAGTGAGGATGTGGCTGGGGCACTCATGTTATTCAGGATGGCTGGCGTAGTAGAAATCAAATGAGCCAATTCGGAAGGGCTTTGCATGTTTGCTAAGGAGTTGGGACCTCTTTCTGCAGGGAGCAGGAAACCATTAGAGGTTTTTGAATAGAATGACATCTGTGTTTTAGAAATATAATTCTTGCTGTGACACAAAACTGAAATGTGCCATGATCTCGCTTGACCCTGGAGTGTTGTATGTGGAGCCCCCTCTGCTAGGATGCCTTTCTTCTCGCGATTCCCCTTGGTCTGGATTTCCTGTCTTGTCTGATGTCATGTCCTGAGGCATGCAGCAGGATGCTCTGGTTAACTTGGCTCCTGCTCATCTCCGGGTCTCACCTTTATATTGTTCTTTCAGGAACTCTTTTCCTGTCAACCCCACCCCCACCCCCCCAAATGGGTCAGGTGCCCCTGCCATATGCTCCCTGAATGCCCTGCGATTATTCCTACCAGAGATCTTATCAGACGGTATCAAAATGCTCTAGGTTTCTCAATAGACTGCAAACTTCCTCCAGTGAGAGAAGGTGTCTTGTTCAGTTTTGTATAGACAGTGGCTGCCACCTCCCTTCTCTGGCACATGTAGACACTTTCTTCTTTGAATTCACTCATTTAAAAATGAGAAAATTGTGAGTTTTTCTCAGTTTAGGTGCTGTGATATTGTGAAATATGTATTTGGTCTTACACCCTGTCCTGGTATACAAGTCCTAAAATTCTTAAAATCTCCCAGGTGATGTCTTTGGTATGATAGTGAGTCGACTGGTGGCTGGCATCCCCTAGGTAGCTTCAGGATGGGGCTGGTCATCAGAAAGATCAAGCAAGATTAGAGGGTTGGGACTTTCAGCCATCCCCATTCTCAAGGGAGGGGTGAAGGACTGAAGGCTAAGTTGATCATCAGTGGCCAATGGTTTAATCAATCATGCCTATGCAATAGAACTTCTACAAAAATAATCCAAAATGAACAGGGTTTGGAGAGCTTTCAGATAAAGGAATACGTGGAGGTTCCTCCAGGGTGGCACACCTGGGGAAGGCATGGAATACATAGAGAGAGGCATGGAAGCTCTATACCCCTTCCTCTGTACCTTGCCCTTTTCATCTGTATCCTTTGTGATATCCTTTTAAGTAAACTGGTAATCATTTTCCCCTGAGTTCTGTGAGTCACTGTGGCAAATTAATGGAACCCAAACAGGTATTTGTGGGAATCCCAACTTATAGTCAGTAGGTCAGAAGCACAAAACAACCTGGGGCTTGCCATTGGCATTGCAAGTCGGGAGCAGTCATGTGGGACTGAGCCCTCAACCTGTGGGAACTGACGCTATCTCCAGGTAGATTACGTCCGATCTGGTGTCTGCCACAGAATTGACTGGTTGGTTGTTGGTGAGAAGAAATCCCACACACTTCTTGGTGGCCAGAGGTAACAGAAGTCTAATGTGTTGATGCTTGTGGTGTGAGAATAGAGGAAAAAAACAAACTTTTTTCTTCACAGAGGTGCATGGACTAAAATCAGACCCTAGGCTCTACACCTATTCTGCTGTTCGCCACCATGTGATCTTGGGGGATTTACCTAATTTCTCTGTGCCTCTAGTTTTCTTGTTTCTCACATGGGGTTAACAATAGTACCTAATTTGCATGGTGGTTGTGAGTGGTCAATGCAATAGTGCAAGGAAAAGCTTAATTTCAGTGTCTGGCACTTATTGCATGTTCAAGAAATGCCTGCAGGACATACGTAGAGAGACGCTCTGCATGCTGGTTGAGAAAGAGGCTGGTCCTCAGACCTACTGACACAGAATGTCTAAGGATCAGGTCTGAGAATTTGTATTTTAAAAAATAGATGTATTTTTTTCTTTCAAAATCAATTCTTGCTTACTTTATAACATCTAAATGATAAATGATATAGATGTGTACAAAATAAAAGGTAAAATTTCTGCACCTCTTAATCCCATGATCCAATCCTACCAAGAGAGAAAGGTTTTTATAGCATGCATACTCTTTTCTAGGTATAGATATCATCAATATAGCCCAAATATATATTTCACAATATCACAGTACCTAAACTGAGATAGATGTGGATTAATAGATGTATAGATACATGATAAAGCAAGTTTAGTAACCTATTGGTGGAATCTAAGTGATAGATACACAAGTATTATAAAATTCTTTTAACTTTGCTATGTGGTTGAAATTTGTCATAATAAAATGTTGACAAATAACACAGAAATCGACAGAGACTTCTATAATATATATTAAGCAGGAAAGAGGAGGTTACAGAATACCGTGTATAGTATGATGCCAGTTTGTTAAATACTAGATAGATATTTGTAGTTAGAAAGTAAAATATACTTTTAAAGTAATAATGACATAAATTTAGATGTAGATAGCATAGTAGATATAGATCTATCTTTTTCTTTGTATCATACCTGTGTCAATATTCCTATGTATATCTAGATCTGGAACATAATATACAGCTTAAATATACAGACACAAAAGTTGAGATCATACAAATGCTTATCAAAAGAAAGTTGGTATGGTTATTCTTATATCAAACACAGTAGATTTTGAGGGAAAAAGCATTACTAGACATGAAGAAAAACACTTTATCATGATAAAATGGGCAACTCACCAAGAATATATAACAATTCTAGATTTATGTTTCTAAAAACATAGCCTCAAAATATATAAGGAAAAAAATCACTGAATTAAAAGGGAAAGTAGATAAAGCCACAATCAGAGAACCAAATGTCAACCAGCGGACAAAAAGTTAATAAAGTATAGAAGATTTGCACATACTAAGTAACAAATTGACCCAATATCTGAAGAAATATTTACCAAAATGTAGACAACATACTGAGCTATAGAGCTTTCTTGTAAAAATTCAAATGATTGAAGTTATTCAGAGGTTTCATGTTCTCTGACTACACTAAAATGTGGGTAGAAATATACAAAATAAAGCAAATGAAAAAAGTGGAACTAGAAAATGAAAATTAGAACATATTTTAAACTGAACCATAATGAGAATTATATATATCAAAACTTGTATGCAGTTGAAGTCATTCTTAGACTTTCAAATATATGTAGTTGAAAAAGAAATATCAAAATTAGTGATCTGAGTATCTATCTCAGAGAGTTAGATATAATAAAACCAAATAAAATGGAAGGAAGGAAATAATAAAGATAAGAACAAAAATCAATGAACTAGAAAGCAAATGTGCAACAGATTCAACAAAGCCAATATATTAAATTTTTTAAGACGAAGAAAATATATAAATTCCTAGCACAACTGATTAAGAAGAAGTAAGACATGGTGCAAATTATTCTTATCAAGGGCTGAATGAAGGAACTTTGCCACAGAAATTACAAACATTGAAAAGATAGTAAGGTGATATATAAACATATTTATGCTAATTATTAATTAATGTGAAAATTTATATGAAACAGACAAATTTTTAGAAACACACAATTTCCCAATACTGATAGAAATGGAAATTTCTAAAATCTGAAGGTTCCAATATTTATTTTTTTGAAATGAAACTTAAAAAAAATAGATAGTATTGTGTGTATTTGAGGTTCACAACAATGCTATGGGATATTAATACATATAAATAGTAAACTGTTACTAAAGTGAAGCAAATTAACAAAGCTATCATCTCACATGGTTACTTTGTGTGTGTGTGACAGGAGCAGCAAAAATCTACTGATTTAACCAAAATGTCTAATACAATACAATTTTGTTAACTTTAGTTCTCATGTTGTACATTGTTTCTGTAGACTTGTTCATCCTAAATATTTGGATATAAAGAAATGGAATCTTAATACAGATAATGATGATGATGACATTTGGAGAACCTCTTAGACCCTGGCTTCAATTTTTTTAGATCATGGGATTTTTTTGTTAGCCTAACGTCTTGTTCTCTCCCCATCCCTTATTTATTTGTCCTGACTGCAGAAAGTATTACCTGACGGAGGAGTTGGGAGAAAGAACTGGGCATGCTCAGTTCGGTCATCTCTTTCCTGTTTTCAGGTCTGACTTCCAGCAAAGAGGAGCTTTCTGGGCTCTCTGCACGTAATAATTTGCTTGCTCTTCCTGAGAAAACCTGCAATTGTTCAGTGATATCTGTAAGTGGGAGGACATGTTGTCTTTTTGGACAAAATATTAGCAAGGGTAAAGATCTGAGGTATTTCCTTTGATTGCCTTCATCAATAATAAAAGCAATATTTTGAGATTCATCTGGCTTATTCCAATGTCTATCTCTCAATTCTATTCCAGCTTGGGAAAGTAAGAAAGTAGCATTATTTATTCATTTTTTAAACTTTCAATAAGTAGGTAGCTCCACTTTCACATCTGAAAAATGGGGTTAATAATATTATTAAGTGAGTTAATATGTATAAGGTGTTTAGAACTTTGCCTGGCAAATAATAAGCACTTAATAAATATTAGTTACTGTTATTTGTGTTAAATTACTGCATGCCAGAACTGGGCTAAATCCTTTACACTGCATCTTCTTGTATAACATTGAGAAGAAATCTCTAAGGTGCACACTGATTACTCTTAGGTTACAGAGGAGGAAGCTGCAACTTGGGGAAGTTAAGTCACCTTGTTGAAGGTCACACATTTTGTAAGGTCTAACTTCAAAGTGCATAGCTGTCTTTTGCAAACACAAGCCATTGGTGATAAGTGGGAGAAACAAGAGAGAGAAAACCATTTGTGACAAATTTGTCACTACTACTGGAGAAGAAATTTAGAGTGCAGTTCCTACTGATGATTAGCCAACTAACAGCATCGAGTCCTGAGAAAAGGACAGTTAGTTTCTCATGATCTTTAGAAGGACCCAGTTTAACAAGAGTTAAATCCAAGTTGATGTTACATGTTCATGGATCATCAAGCATGCCCAAGAGTATTCTTGAACAATTTAAATATCACACCATTACCACTGAAAAGATTTGGGTCTTTGCCAAATGTTTGGAGCTCCAACTCCAGTTCTTTTGGTGCTTTATCTCCTTCATGAGAAAGTCTGAAGAACCCTATCCCTCAGCATTCCAGTGCGGCTTAAGTTACACCACTCCACTCTTAAAAATGGTTTCAAAATCACTTAGCCTTTTCTCTCCTCTCCAGTAATCTGGGCTAGCCAATACCTTTCTTTTCAGCATTAACAGCCTTGCAGTCAGGCTTACTGCACGTGCTTCTCCTAATCATTCCTGAAGAGGAGAAGAAAAGATCTTTTAGGAAAGAATATACGCTATTTGAAGCAGATCTTGGATCAGTGCTTGGTGGAGAAAACATGAGTTGTTAGAGAAAAACATACAGGTCCCTCAAGCAGATTTGGATCTTGCTAACATTCACGCAGGTGTTTGGAAAACCACGTATCTTTACAACCTGAATCTGAGCCAGGAGTTAAAGAAAAAGATATGTTTCTTACACTTTTGTGAGAAGATATATGTGATGGGGGACTTTCAAGAACTACAGTCATCTCTGGAGCCAAAATTTTATAACACTGAGAAGGGGGCTGTGCATTAAATTTCAAAGTGTTATTCAAATCAAGCCAAGCTGTCCAAATATCTGGAGTTAATGAATTAACAAATATTCAGAACATGTGAACAAAATCAGACAAACTTTGAAGTTTTTTTAAAAAATATGTATCGTATTTGTGTGAAGTCTAGTTTTTATTATCTGGTTTGTTATGTCTTTGGGCAAGTATAAATAGATTCTCAGGGACCTCAGTTTCCCTATCTGCAATTAGGACTAAATACAGCACATTGGCACATAAAGAGGCTTCTTATATAATGCCTATATTTCACTCTGACTTTCTTGGTTACAGCAGCTATAAAACCACGAATATCTGAGCCAGATTTTCCTTATGTCTGAACAACTCCCCCAAGGAATAAGTAAAGCACTTTTCAAAAGTACCATTAGCTCTTCTGAATTGCTGCTTTCTTGGATTGTATGGTACCCAGGTGGCTTTTAAGTGTTAACCCAACCTCCTGAAAACTGTCTCCCTGGTTTCCAAAGATTAACTAAGGCAATCGGAAGGTAAGATCTGCTCATTATTTTAACATTTTCTATATTTTCTTTATAGGGCATATTCAGCTAGCCCACCCCAGAGTTTCCATTTTATAAGAATGCTCTTTCCTAACAAAAAGGAATATTTATGAAGCTTTTTCTGACATCTCCAAAATCAGAGTAATAAAAAATTGTTTAAATTGCTAATATGAAACTAATGTTAAACTATGATAAGCAATAAGGTATAATTGCATGAGAGATTTAACAAAATTCTACCGTATTACACACTTGTATTTGTAACTATTAAGTTCCAAGCTTCAGAAAGAGAAAAAGAGGTAGTTTGTTAAATTATAGGATTCAGTAATCATAAAAGGGATGGTCTCTGCCCAAACTTCACATAAATAAAATTTGTGCGTGTCAAGGGGTTTTGATGGAGACACAAATTTTACTCATGCATTTTACTCTTGAGGCTTTATTATGTTTCCAGGATCACAGTTGAAATTATAGCTTTGAAATGTCCAGAAATGTACTCTTGATTTCTTAGGTAAATTATATATGAAGATGTGCTTTAAGTATTTAAAAAATTTATAGTTGCTTTAAACGGTATTGAATCCAAGGGTCTTTGGGCCTCAAAATAGAGGAAAAAAAACCACTGCTGATTTAAAAAATAACATTTCCTTTTTCTTAAAACATTTCCCTTTTCTTATCTGCATTATAGAAAATTTAGGAATTGTACATAAGCACAAAGAAGAAAAAATCATGCATAATTCTAGCATTTAGGAATCAAGATCATTGTACTGTTATTACATATTCTTTTCTCCATCATTTATAACGACCATGTGGTATAACATTGTATGGATATACCATAATTTATCCAACCAACTCCTTATTGTTAGAAATGTAGGTTCTTTTTTTTCCAAAACACATAAAATGACAATGGGTACTGCTGTAGGTAAATATCTGTACAGATCCATTGGATCATCTATGATTAACTTTGGGCAGAGACAGAACTTACAAGCGGAGAAAACGTAAAAGGTGGGGAAGCAAAGAAGCCTTGTTTTTTAAGAAGTCTGCTCTGGCTTCCAAGGTCATCTAGGCTGGAGTCAGACTCCTGCTGCTTGTGGAGCTTTGAGAGGCAGCCTCCTCCTTCAAAGACTGCTCCGCACAGCTTCATGATTAGAGATCTTCAAGATTCTAGGAACACCTCATCTTCCGGTTGCTAGGAAGAGGCATGGCTCTGGGAATAATAGTTGTGACCAAGTTGGAGAAGGTTACAAACAGAATTGTAGGCACGAGGGGGAAGTCAGTAAAGGGGGACGGGGTGGAAAGTTTCTCTCAACATATGTCCTATTGATGCATTGCCTCATTCACTGTCATGCTCCTGATAGGACTTCCCCTATATGCAGTGAGCCCTCAGGTGGGTGCAGACTGACAAGAACAAGCTACTGCCTTGGTTTTGCCCTGGCAGGGACGAGCCTCACTCGCTGCTCTCCAATTTAAAAATTGTCACTGACTTCTTAGAACCCATTGTGTCCGGACTTGGTTTCTTCAGATGTGTCCGGAGTTTCTTCTTGGCCTCACCGACTTCAAGAATGAAGCCACGGACCTCGCGGTGAGTGTTACAACTCTTTAAAAGGTGTTTGCCCCTCCCTGTGGGTTCGTGGTCTTGCTGACTTCGGGAATGAAGCCCCAGACTCTCGCAGTGAGTGTTACAGCTTTTAAAGTTGATGCGGACCCAAAGAGTGAGCAGCAACAAGATTTATTATGTAAAGCAAAAGAACAAAGCTTCCACAGGATGGAGGAGGACCTGAGCGGGTTGCTACTGCTGGCTGGGGGTGGCCAGCTTTTATTCCCTTATTTGTCCCCGCCCATGTCCTGCTGACTGGTCCATTTTACAGAGTGCTGATTGGTGCATTTTACAGAGTGCTGATTGGTGCATTTTACAGAGTGCTGATTGGTGCATTTACAATCCTCTAGCTAGACATAGAGCACTGATTGGTGCATTTACAATCCTCTAGCTAGACAGAAAAGTTCTCGAAGTCCCCACCCGACCCAGAAGCCCAGCTGGCTTCACCTCTCACCATGCAGGGTGAAGTAGCTTGACGTATAAATAACTCCTCTCCTCTGAGCTCCATCCTCAACTCCAGACTCACTATCAAAGCAGAGTCAGGCCTCAATACCCTTGGCGCCCCCAGCTTGAATATCTTTCCTCACTTCCACAGTCTTCCTCTTTCTGTAAAATATAGGATAACGTTTATTTTCTCAGTAGAACCTCCTCCAAGATTCCAGGCAGAATTTATTTCTCCTTACGTTTATGCCAATAGCAATGACACTATCAGGTTGGTTGTCTACGTGTTGCCTCGCCCAGCAGGCTGTGAATCTTTTGATGGTGAAGATGAAGGGCTCTGTATGAATGTCTCTTGGTGCTGAGAACAGTCTGACATATGCAAAACACAGTTTTGATTTCTTTTCTAATGAATGAGTTTAACTATTTGAGACCACTAACTCAGTAATTTACATGTCAGTATTTCTAAACAGCACTCATTATACAATAACCACTTTTATAATTCAGTCATTCATGCAACTCATCTGACCTGGTTATTAAAATGGGAAGAAAATTCACAAAACGATTTTTTAAAAAAACATTTGCTTTTCATTATATGTTGTTCTTAAAATAAAAAGAAGCAAAACCACAGAAAAGTTGTAGCATCATGCTCTACTGTTAAGAAGTATCTCTCTCTCATTTGCCTTGGGTCACTTTAGTATTCACAGAATCTCAGAATTTATGTTAAACCAAGAACTGAGTCCCAACATATGTTCTTATTGGAAGGCTTAGTATAGTACGGCCTCAGTACCTTTAAAACAACTAGGAAATATATATGAAGATGGAAGTTGTTATCATATGGTTATAAATCAGTAATAGAAACATACAATAAGTGCTTCAAAAGTAAATATAAACTAATACTTAACTTTACATGGTCTTTAATTTTCTCTCCTTTAGTTCCTAGAAAAGGCCACCAAAATTCATGGTGTGCAAATGGCCAGAAAATTTTACTGTGTTGTGGTCATTTTAAAGAAATAATATCACAGTTTAAAAAGTATCCTTCCAAAACTTGAACTTTATTTTGATGATCAGAATTTGGTAAAAAGAGAGTTTACCTTTTATACCATCCCAAGAAGTGAGGCTAATTTAATGGTACATATAAGGTGAGCTTACCTGCAAAGCATATCACAGTGCAGAATCAAAGAATAGTCACAGGGAACCCCAATATCAAAGTAAGATGTGCCTATTCATTTTGGGGTAGGCATGTCTTCCTTTGAGTGTCAATAATCTGGGGATGAGGAACCTGTGCATTGTGTATGAAGGGATAGCAAAGACCCTGGGCAGAAGAGAGGAAGGGAATAATATTGTGTCTGAAGGGGTTTTGAAAGGAATGTCACCTTGGAGAATTATGTAAAATGAGAGTTTCCAAAGGAAAAGAAGCCTGCACTTTACCTACAATATTTCTGTGCTTGCATTCACATTATATTAAAGTGCAAAAGTTGTTAACATTTTGCAGTTTTTTTTCACTTGAAAATCATTTAAATAATAACCTAGATAATGTATTCTCTGGGAACATGCTTGAGAAGCACCCAAGATGTGTTGCTTCTGGGGAGAATCTTAGGAAATTATGGGTTAGCATACATATGCTTAAAAAAGCACAGTTCTTAAAAAGCATAGAGGCATCTCGTATAGAATATAAGACCACCACCAGAGGAAATAAATTTAGAAACTGTTGACAGTTTGTGCCTCTGGGTAACGGGAGTAGAGGAAGACTTAAACTTCTTATTTTGGCTCTACTGTCTGGATCTTCAAAAAATTTTTATGATGTGTATGCCTTGCTTGGAATGAAGAAAAAAACTTAAAATAAGTATAAAGGATATACCCTTTAAAAATAAACAGCTTAGATCTTAGATCCTCAGGCTATGAGTCTACACACTGATTCTTTTAAAGAAGCAGGTGCACACCACCATGCCTGGGCAATTTTTAAATACTTTGTAGAGACAGGGTCTTGCTTTGCTGCCCAGGCTAGTCTAGAACTCCTAGTTTGAAGGGATCCTCCCAGCTTGACTTCCCAAAGTGCTGGGATTACAGGCTTGAGCCGCTATGCCCAGCTAAATTAAATTTTATTAAATAAAAAAAAGTTGAATGAGCAGACCTATTCATCCTTCTTGGAACTGTTCTTGAGTTCTCTATCACCATTATCTCTTGGTTTTCTTTGTACCTCTCTCAGACGCCTTCACTGAGCTTATCTACTACTTAAAATGTGTTTCACTCTGGAATTTCAGCCTAGGTCTTTTCTAATGTTTAACCCTTTCTCTTTGGGAAACCCCATTTATTCCATATCTTTGCATAACACCTGTAGGTATGATCCATATATCCAGTGGGGATGTGAAACTACTATATCTTCAGCTTGCATATTTTATCTGAGCTTCATATTTATGTTTCCAACTAGACCCGGTTATTAGAGAGATCTGCTTACCACATGGCGATGGGGTGGCCAAAGCACTATTTTCATACCACACCTCACCAAGGTTTGCCTGCAGACATCAGTTTTCAGTCACTGCCATCAAACACATTAGCAGATATGTATGAAGAAGCTACCTCTGTTGGAGAAGTATGTGTATCAAAAATTATACTTACCACATTTTGTCTTAAGGAGAGTACCATATAAGATGGTAATGTTTGTGATGTGATGGGTAACAGCTGGCAGGCTAAACTACATTCTTGGAGAATGGATTATTTAATTCTAGGCTTTTGATTTGCTGATTGGGGAGTGCAATTTTGGGCCAAGAGCCAGACTGTTCAGAATAATACAGGAAGGCTGAGAACCTGCCTTCATTTCTCGAACTTTCCCCACACTGTACTTATTGCCTCCTCTAAACAAACAAACAAACAACAGCAACAACAAAAAACTTCAGTAAAGTTTCAGGATACAAAATCAAGGTACAAAAATTAGTAGCATCTCTAACACCAATAACATTCAAGCTAAGAGCCAAATCAAGAATGCGATCCCATTTAAAATAGCCACAAGAAAAATAAAATACCTAGGAATACACATAACCAAGGAAGTGAAAGACCTCTACAAAGAGAACTATAAAACACTGCTAAAAGAAGTCGCAGATGACAAAAACAAATGAAAACACATTCCATGTTCATGAACTGGAAGACTCAACATTCTTAAAATGACCATACTGCCCAAAGCAATCTACAGATTCAATGCTTTTCCTATCAAACTATCAATGCCATTTTTCACAGAACTAGAATAAACTATTCTAAAATCCATATGGAACCAAAAAAGAACCCAAATAGCCAAAGCAATCCTAACCAAAAGAACAAAACCAGAAGCATCACATTACCCAACTTCAAACTATACTATAAGGCTACAGTAACCAAAAACAGCATGGTACTGGTACAAAAACAGATACATAGAGTAATGGAATAGAATAGAGGCCCCTAAAATGAAGCTGCACACCTACAACAACCTGATATTTGACAAAACAAGCAATGAGGAAAGGACTTCCTATTCAATAAATGGTGCTGGAATAACTGGCTAGCCATGTGCAGAAGAATGAAACTGGACCCCTACCTTTCACCATCACCACATAAAAAAAATTAACTCAACATGGATTAAGGATTTAAATGTAAGACCTACAACTATAAAACCTAGAAGAAAACCTTGTAAATACTATTCTGGACATCAGCCTTGGCAAGTAATTCTTGACTAAGTTTTCAACTGCAACAAAAACAAAAATGGACAAATGGAACCTATTTAAACTAAAGAACTTCTGCACAGTGAAAGAAACTATCAACAGACTAAACAGACAACCTATGGAATGGGAGAAAATATTCAGAAACTATGCATCCAACAAAGATCCACTATCCAGAATCTACAAACAATGTAAGCCATTTAACAAGCAAAAACAAAATAACCCAATTTAAAAAAATGACAAAAGGACATGAACAGACATTTCTCAAAAGAAGACATACAAGTGGCAAAAAAAAAAACACATGAAAAAATGCTCCACATCACTAATCATCAGAAAAATGCAAATCAAAACCACAATGAGATCCCATCTCACACCAGTCGGAATGTCTATTATTAAAAAATAAAAAAAAAAAAAACAGATGCTGGCAAGGCTGTGGAGAAAAGGGAATGCTTACACACTGTTGTTAGAATGTAAATTCGTTCAGCTACTGTATAAAGCAGTTTGGAGATTTCTCAAAGAACTTAAAACAGAACTACCATTTGACCCAACAATCCCATTACTGGGTATATATCCACAAGAAAACAAATCGTTCTACTAAAAAGACACATGCACTTGCACGTGCATCACAGTCCTATCACAACAGCAAAGACAGAAACTCAACCTAGGTACCCATCAACAGTGGATTGGATTAAAAATTATGGTACATATGCACCATGGAGTACTACACAGCCATAAAAGGAAGGAAATCATGTCCTTTGCAGGAACATGGATGCTATTGAAGGTCATTATCCTATTATCCTAAGTGGATTAACACAGAAACAGAAAACAAAATCCCTCATGTTCTCACTTATAAGTGGGAACATTGGGTACTCATGGACATAAAGATGGCAACAGTAGACACTGGGAACTACAAAACAAACAAACAAACAAACAAACAAAACAAGAAGCTGCCTTGGTAGACTGTCACACTAAATTGTTACTGTTGCTTCAATTTAACATCTATTAACTATAACAAAATGGTTTATAAAATAAAAAATTAGACATCATTTGTAGCAATTTCTTCAGTATTTAAACATTCGTGGAAGATAGAGAAAATAATATGGGCTTAAAACAGAATCTTCTCTCCTTTTCCCACAAATCACCATGTTTTATGTGTTCTCAAACAAAACCATCTGATGCCATGAAGCTAAATATTTTCAACTGAAATATAAGAGTAGTCTATAATATTATCAAATAAGGGTACTATTTTAATAATGTACCAAAAGAATCACTGGGGTTTGAATTCTATTTCATGAAAATCTAATTTTCTTCTTAATTCTGCAGCCCAGATGAAATTATATCGAGTCTTAATGAAGCATTTTGTTTATTGTTTTTTGTTCTCTTGTTACAATGCTATTTATTAATGGGGACCAATGAGACCTTTTAAATAAAATGTAATTCAATAGAATTAGTTTGAAAATAAATACAGCACATGTAGTTAGCTTTGCTTTTGAAATTAACCTATCAGGTGCTGATCTCTGTAATTAAAGAATCCTAATTCATAATTCTCTGAATCACTGAATTTGGCAGGCAAATGCCAGTAATTTTCATTTCACAACACAGTGCCTCAGACAGTAATAAGCCAGAACAAAACACATGCAGGTTTAATCAGGTAACAAAGCATGTCAAATACTTATCCTGAAATAAGGGAGTCTGGCGCATGAAGTGTGAACCTCTGAAAAGTTCCTTAGGGGATGTTATAGTCTCTGATCTGTACCTTTTCACAGCTTCTACTTACACCTTTCAGATTAAAAAAAGTCTCACCTGAAAAGGCATCAGTATTCAAAACAAATCACTCTCAGTGGGACTTCTGGGAGCCAAAGGTACAAACACACACATGTGTGTGCACTTCTGTACCACAGTGCACAGGTGCACACATGCACAAGCATGTATATAAACACAAATATAGATGCAGACTGAATAAAGAGTACTTGAAGAGTAGCCTTTGTTTATGTTCATGTAATTTTGCTTCAAATACCAGAAGAAGAAAAAATATGCTGTGTTATTATCTTTTAGGAAACGGTTCTGTGTCTCTCTCAACCTCAGTCTATAGGGTTCCCAAACAGCTGTTGTAGAGTCAGAAATAAACCATCAAGGGCTGGGCATGGTGACTCATGCCTGTAATTCCAGCACTTTGAGAGGCTGAGGTGGGCGGATAACTTCAGACTAGGAGTTCAAGAACAGCCTGGCCAACATGGTGAAACCCTATCTCTACTAAAAATACAAAAATTAGCCAGGTGTGGTGGCACATGCCTGTAATCCCAGCTACTCGGGAGGCTGAGGCACGAGAATCTCTTGAGCCCAGGAGGTGGAGGTTGCAGTGAGCCGAGATAGCGCCACTGCACCCCAGCCTGGGTGACAGAGCAAGACTCTGTCTCAAACAAACGAACAAAACACGAAATAAGCCATCAAGTATCAAGTTCTCCCTGTCATACGGAGAGTCAAGCTGCTGGAAGATTTTCAATGGCCTTCTTATGGCAGTTCCTGGGATCCTGTGTAAGTAACTCAACACCTAAGATCCATGACATAGGTGATGCAAGGAGCTAGTAATGAGAAAATTTTGTGAAATATTGGTATACCATGCACAACCCGCATTTCCAAACTAATCACATCCACCAGTGAACATGCATTGCCCACAATAGTAAGTTCTCCAGGCCTAGATGACCAGGTTTGCTGGCCTCTTCTACAGTGTGAAGAGGCTGTAGGACCAAGAGAAGTGCTTGACTCAAGCCCTACCCACCAGGATCCAGGTATGCAATCCCCAGGATTCCCCACCCTGACAGCTGTGAGCCTATTTCCAAGGTCAGTCCTCCTGAGGGCAGCCTTTGTTGCTGAGGTGCACACCGCAGGCCTGAGAGGGTGGCCCAGGGCTGTCTCTTGGGGTGACTATGGCATGCACCTGTGGGCTGGGGTACCCATAGGTATGTGCTCAATGCCTTTGATGGGTCAGGCAAGGCCTAAACGGGAAGAAAATGGGAGCAAGCCCTGAGCGGATGGGAATGGACTTATTTGTTCACTTTCCCCAGGCCCCACATACAAGAAAAAAAGAACTTGGCCACGTTTCTGCAGAGAAAACTTACCTAGGATAACATGAGGTTTCAGGACCCCAGAAGGATGACTTGCTAAACTTCCTTTCATTGTCCTATCTAGTTACGACCAAGAGCCTCTCTTCTGTTGCTTTCAGTGGGTATTTGACATACAATGACAAAATAAAAATGCTTGGTAAAGAAATACAGTGAAAAAAATTTTTTTTCTTGGCCATTACTGAGCCAGTCAAAGTAAGTTTAACATTTTACAGTACAAGAAAGGAATCAAGTTGTGGACTAAAATTGTTTAAATTAATGTATGATTTTTGCAAAGGGTGGAAAACCTATTAGGTTGGTGCAAAAGCTATTACGATTTTCGCTGCTGAAAGTAATGGCCAAAACCACAATTTCTTTTGCACCAAACTAATACATGTTTGTAACAATAAAGAACAATACATTTCAGTTTAATAACAAGTGCAATTATAGGAGTGACAAATTCTTTTTTTTTTTTTTTTTTTTTTTTGCTAGCTCTGTCACCAGGCTAGACCGCAGTGGCACAATCTTGGCTCACTGCGAACTCTGCCTCCTGGGTTCACATGATTCTCCTGCCTCAGCCTCCCAAGTAGCTGGAATTACAGGCATGCGCCACCACACCCAGCTAATTTTTGTATTTTTAGTAGAGACGTGGTTTCACCATGTTGGCCAGGATGGTCTCGATAACCTGACCTCGTGATCCACACACCTCGGTCTCCCAAAGTGCTGGGATTACAGGCATAAGCCACTGTGCCTGGCCAGGAGTGACAATTTCTAAAGAAAAATAAATTTAAATATCAAAGGTATTATTTCAAAGCAGTAAAATACTTTGGGTATGAAAAAAAATTTGCATATAGCAAACAAAAATTTAACACTTTGCAATTTGTACTCTTTTTTTTTAACTGTAAACACAAATTAAAACACTGCATAGTTACAACAAATGATAGAATTGAAGTAATTACGGTTCTGTTTCTTGTTTTTTTTTTTTTTTTTTGAGATGGAGTCTCGCTCCATTGCCCAGGCTGGAGTGCGGTGGCACAATCTTGGCTCACTGCAACCTCTGCCTTCCAGGTTCAAATTATTCTCCTGCCTCAGCCTCCCGAATAGCTGGGACCATAGGCACATGCCACCACACCTGGCTAATTTTTGTATTTTTGGTGGAGACAGGGTTTCACCATGTTGGCCAGGATGGTCTCGAACCCCTGACCTCAGGTGATCCGCCTCCCTGGGCTGCCCAAAGTGCTGGGATTACAGGCGTGCACCACCATGCCTGGCCGTTTCTTATTCTTTACATTCACTATCTGTTATGAACTAAATTGTGTCCCCACAACCCCTAAATTCATATGTTGGAACCCTAACCCCCAATACAACTGTATCTGGAGATGTGGCTTTAAAGGAAGTAGTTAAGGTTAAATGAGGTTATTAGAGTAGGGCCTTAATCTGGACTGGTGTCCTCATAAGAAAAAGAGACCCCAGAGCTCTCTCTCTTTCTGCATGTGCTCAGTAAACAAGGCCACGAGAAACATAGAGAGAAGGCGGCAGTCCGCAAGCTCAAGAGAGGGGCCTCAGCAGAAACCAACTCTGCTGGCACCTTGATCTTGGCCTTCCTGCCTCCAGAAAAGTGAGAAAATAAATTTCTGTTGTTTGAGCCACCTCATCTGTGATATATTTTCTTATGGCCTCCTGAGCAGACTAACACACCATCATTGTTATATCAATTTTTATTTTGAATCTAATATTTATGCACATGAGTACATAGTGCCATAGGAAACAGAGACACACAGGGCTACCAAATCTTGAACGATTCCAAACAGCTAGCCACAACCTCTGGAAAAAAAACATGCATACATGCATAGCCAAGTCTGTGAGGATCAGAGCCACTGGGAAACTGAAGTTCTCTGCATTCATTATAAGTAGAGTCACTCTTTTTATATGTAAAATCAACTCTTATATGTAAATTCAGCCGTTGTTCTAAATGTTATAGCATTGGTGAAAAAAATATTTCAGGAAGGAGTGTTTTATCACTGGCATTCTTTACGTTTTCTGGCACATGGTGACAGTGAAGAGCAGACAGACTGCTAGTCAATGTTATTGCTTTTCAATTCTCTGCATACCCACACTGTGCACCCCCTGATTGCCTGCACTCCACAGTGCTGCTTTTTTTTTGAGACGGAGTCTGGCTCTGTCACCCAGGCTGGCGTGCAGTGGCATGATCTTGGCTCACTGCAACCTCCACCTCCCGGGTTCAAGCCATTCTCCTTCCTCAGCCTCCCAAGTAGCTGGGATTACAGGCACTCGCCACCACGCCCCGCTAATTTTTGTATTTTTAGTAGAGATGGGGTTTCACCATGTTGGCCAGGCTGATCTCGAACTCCTGACCTCAGGTGATCTGCCCACCTTGGCCTCCCAAAGTGCTGTACAGTGCTGCCTTTGATGTGACTCTGCCTCTCCTTTTATCAGGGTTCTTCTAAGAAGCAGCCCATTTGCCTCATGAGACAATAGCCAAAGTCATCCCAAGGAACCCCTCTCACATAATAATTCAGGTACCATTATGCCTGAAAGAGGGGAACTGGCAACCTGCCACTGTCGAGGTCGAAGCGTGAACAAAACCTCCTAGAACTAAGATTTAAGAAGTGTTTCCTTCAGGGTACGGTGACCCTAGTTCACATGGGAGGAGAAACCACGAGTGTTAGAGAATACATTGAGCGTCCGTCTAGCTAAGAAGCATTTCTTAGACTTCCACTTTGTCAGCAAATGATAAACAGAAGTCTTTCCGAGTCTGTTTCCTGGTGGATCCTTGGATTCATGTTATTATAGCAGGATGTGCTGATAGCTGGGAGACCTGGATTCTACTATTGGCTCCATACTAATGTTCCTTGTGATTTAATGCGTCTCTGAGTTTTGCATGTCTAAGGTTATTTACAGCTTAAAAGATGCATTTATATTATGATTAGTCACCGGTGAGCTATGAAGTAGAAAGAAAGGAATTTGGGTTTTAGGAGCCACAGGGGAAGTCTGGTTGCTGAAATGAAGGGATGATAAGAAGCTGTAGCTCTTCTTTCTGAAGGAGCCCCACGCAGACCCATTGCTGGAAGCCTGAGCATTCATCTCTGCCTTAGCAAGTGTGCTTTCTAAGGGCTCCCTGGTTCCACATCACTTATTGGTTGAGTGCCAACTACCTCCTTGGTGTAGAACAGACTCTATTCCTCTGTCTCTTGACATATTTGTGACCGAGGGGAGCAGAAGAGTCACCTAAACACACCATTAAAATGATGTTTAAAAAGGAAAAGATTTGTCAATTTCAAAATATGTAATTCAAAGAAAAGGTGGGATTTGAAAAAACAAATCAACTGGACTTCTAAAGGAAACAATGCCTGGCACATGGATGAGCTCAGTAGATACTTGTTGATTGAAAGGTTCTCAGCACCTCAGAAGAAAGTAATGGCTCACTCTGTTTTAGTTGACTCTTTAAAAATACAAAATACATAAATATTTTACCATCATACTGGCAAACTCTATGACTAAAAATAAACAGAAGGAAGAGAAAGAAATGGGGCTGGTTGGGTAGTGGTGCCCATGGGTTGCAATGACAAAATTAGCATCAAGGAAGGAAGTCCAAGCATCCACATCTGCGGCCTAGAGCAGGCTGTCAAGATGTCTGGTAGGACAAAAGATCCTTCAACAAAGGTTAGGCCACAAATCAGAGCACAGAGCAGTGTGACGGGCCTCCTAGAGTGGCTTGTCACAGTGACATGTGGCAGAGGAACAGAAAAAAACCTGGAAACAGAGCCAGCGGAAGTGCTGGCCACAAATGTTTGCAGACCATTTGGCTTCTTTTCTCACCTCATCTTAAGCTCTTTTCCTTGCACAGGGAAGTGCAGTCGGCCCTCCATATCCGTGGGTTCCACATATGCAAATTCAGCCAACTGAGGATTGAAAATACAGTATTTGTGGGAAATGGAATCCATGGATATCGAGGGCTGACTTTTCATACCCATGGGTTTCACATGGCCAGATGCAGGAATTGAGCATCCATAGATTTCAGTATCGGGGTGAGGGAGGATCCTGGAACAAACCCCCTGCAGATGGCTGAGATGTCGTAGTAAATAAGGCTGACCATGTAGTAAATAAGGCTTCCTGGAATTGCAAGAACTAAAGATGGAAAATGTCATCCAGCATTCTGACCAGTGATCTAACCAGATTATCAGCATAAAAAGCCCATGGTCGAGAGAATGAGCATCTCTGGCCCAAACTTCTACACTTCTAAGAGTGGGAGGGTCCCCTTGAGTACACTGCATCCTTCTCAGGACAGTGGTATCCACACTTAGAGTGTGCTGCCCCATGAACTGTAATTATACCTAGACACCAGGTAATGGCTTGGCAGAGATGTTATGAATAGTTTAGACTGTAGATTGTTGGGTAGAATAGAAATGCTTTATGGTCCCTTCCCCAGCCTTATTCTATGATTATGAGATTGCTTTATATTCCCACATAGCATTCCCCCTTCCCACAGCTTTAATTGATGCTGGGATCAAGTAGGTATAAATTGATAAAGTTCAAGTGAGACATGGAGAGAAAAATCATCTACCCTCCTCTCCAACCTATCCCCCTCTTCTTCTGGATGAAAACCCACATCAATAACGCAAGTTCAAGGTAGGCATCCAGTACAGTGTAGCTTACTTGCGCTTTACTTCCACTGAGCTATGCTCAAGTGAAGTGCAATCCAGAGACAAACAGACAACATTCCCTGAAATTCTTCCCTAGATACAGAACATCATCAAATTGCCATTTTTTCATCCAGCAGTGTAGGCCACCAGATTCTATCCCAGTCCATAGATGTTGGAGCAGAATACAAAAATGAGGGGATCTTATTTGCATGACTGTTTGGGGAACACAGTTTCTGCTTTGTCTCCTTAAGGGGGAAGAAGCAAGAGTCCATTATGAAGACTCTTTCCAATATGAAGCTCCTCAAATGGTGTGTTGTTTTTTTCTCTTAGCAAGATGTTTGGAAAAACAATCTTTGTTAGGATTCAGGAAACAACTTTTTTAAACTTTGAAGTGAAGACTAGGTGCTTATTTCCTCTGGCCCTGACCATGGTCAACACACGCTATCAAAACAAGCCTTAGTAGGTTACCAGAAGAGATACATGGGCATGGAGAGAAATAACTACAGAAAGGAACGTCACTTGGTGAAAACCATAATCACAACAAGATGGAAAAAAGCAAAGAATTGCACCAAAATGCAATATCCCATTCAGGAGGAAAAGCTTCATGGTTTTTTTGCTTGTCTGTTTTTATGTGGGGCAGGGGGGGATTTTTTTGTTTGTTTGTTTTCTTTTTGAATCCACTGTTTTTGGACTTTCAAAAGTAGTAAAAGCAGCATGTTTTAAAACACTTGAACTTAGCTCAAAGAAATGGTGTCATTTCATCCTGATAGAAATCTCTTCCAGAAAAGACTATCTGAGCTACTCTGGAAATGAACGGAATTCCTTCAATTACGTCTGAATTTATAAAAATCTGAGAGAAAACTCAAGTTTACCAAGAATGCATTCTTGCTTGCATGGTGTTCCTTCCACATGATGCATTGTTACCAATAAGGATGCCATGCATGCCTTTCAGCCACCCATTGCTTATTGGAGAAAGAACTGACATCAGATGAGAAGGAAAGATCTACAAATTTAGTTGTTTTTTTTTCTGTTTCTTTTTTGCCATTTAGACTTCATTTTATCATAATTTTAGGGTTTTTAAAATTGTATAACATGGTTTTGTACTGGTAAATTTTCTTTTTTATGTAACAATTCTTTATTATAGGTATGTACTGATTGCTAAGGACTAGTAATTCAAGCATAAAGGAGGAAGGTTTTATTTTTATTTCAAGGACTTAATGGGCTATTGAAGGGGATGTACAGTGATGACACTGTACGTCACTGAGCCAGTGATGACAATACCAAAATAATGACTGCCTCAGTATAAGGCATGTGCAACAGTGGGAGGCTGGAGTGAAGGGACGGCTGCATACTCCATGGGGAATAGACATATCAGGGGTTGCCACGAAAATGTTTTTTCTTTTCTTTTTTTTTTTTGAGATGGAGCCTCACTCTGTCACCCAGGTTGGAGTGCAGAGGTGCAATCTCGGCTCACTGCAACCTCTGCTTCTCGGGTTCAAGCGATTCTCCTGCCTCAGCCTCCTGAGTAGCTGGGATTATAGGTGCCTGCCACCACACTGGCTACTTTTTGTAACTTTAGTACAGGCAGGGTTTCACTATGTTGGCCAGGCTGGTCTTGGATTCCTGACCTCAGGTGATCTGCCTGCCTCAGCCTCCCAGAGTGCTGGGATTATAGGTGTGAGCCACCATGCCTGGCCAGAAAATGTTATTTTTCCATGAAAATCCCTGTGGTGATAATTGTAAGATAAATGATCCAAAGGCATATATTAAAATTCATTTTGAGAGCCCATCATATAATAAACTTTCTGTGGGTAAGGCTGTGGATATTAAAAAATATAACATATTCATTCATTTGTTGCCAGGAGGTTTAATTTATTTTCTTCCTTCTTAATAAAGTAGAAGGAAAAAACATCCATGTTTATACGATGTCACTGCAGTTCAAAATAAGACTCATTAATTATCAGAATGAGTGGCCACTGAGCAATCTGCTCCAGTGAGTGGCTTGCACAGCTCACTGGAGTTTATGTTACATTTGGCCATTTACGCACTCACTTTCCAGAAAGCCCACTTTACTTGTGAGCTAAGTCAGATCCCCAAAAATGGATCTTCTTATGTTGAAGTTGACTGATCTTCCAAGATGGATGAATTTTTAATAAACTGATGAGAAGTCCTGTTTGCGATACATTGTTGATCATCACTCAGCCCCAAATGACTGGAAAGGTTATTTAGGGACTCAGGAAGCCCCAGCATAAGCAAATACCATAGGTACAAGCCCTTAAAATCAAAATGCCTAGATGTTAAATCAATGTCCCTATTATTGTTTCACATGGGACTCTGGTGACATTTCTAGAGAAGGAATGATTCTTGGCACTTTTCTTAGAAGAATGCCCTCTGCTTGTCGCTGGCTAGATGAGGGAGCATCTGCTATCCAGCTAACAAGGCAGGGGTCAGCAGGAGAACAGACTGGGGAGGCCGGGGATATGGGAAGGGTCCTCTCTGCAGCTGCTCTGTGGGGCAGGCGTGTCCTGATGACAGGGTGTCCTCAGCTGGAGCCATGGGGGAAAGAAGCAAGGCACGTCTCCTGGGTTTCCCCTTAAGTTCCAGTGAAGAGAAATTCAAAATACTTTCATTTTCCTACTAACCACACTTCTTCTGTGGGGAAATATGAGTGCTTCATAGCACCTACAGGACAACACCTCTTGTAGATATCAATTTGGAAGCTTCATCTCTTTGAGAAGTTGCAGGATAAAACAGCATTTTTAATAATCTCTTTGATAATAATCATTTGGCCCTGCATAATATATACATATATACTGTACATATGTATTATATATACACAATTTATGTATATGTTTTTATATGTGTGTGTGTTTACACATACACACAGAGATAAAATGAGAAAGACCAGAGGCAGAGAGAGAGACACACACACACACACACACACAGAGAAACACACTCTTTGATGATGATGAGCCAGATACCACAAAGGAAAAGGTTTCTGCCTACAGGTCTAGGACTATTGATGAGTAAATTCTGTTCTTTCCTTCCCACCGTAATCAGCCCTTGGTTGAGCAAATCTTGAGGGTTGAATAGGGTTTCACTTTCAACCTCACGCGGACAGAAATGGTCATGATTCACCTAAATTCCCTGTGAACAGAAACAGGCTGGCTTCTCACACCTCCAGTGAAGGCTGGACGGTGGTGGTAGGCTGCTCTTATCTCAATTTCAAGTTCTTTTGCCTCATTTCATGCCATTGAAAACATCATTTGGATTGGCCATCTGCACCCTGAATGACATCCGCATTTTACCCACTGACATGGAGCAGCCACAGCTGATTAATAGAGCCAGAATTCCTCATGTGGACCAATTTGCTATGCAGTTGTCAAGGAGTCAAAACCCAGCTTAGCTGTGTAGTGGTTTGAGAATGGTCATCTTTCAATGCTATAACAAAAATTAAAACTCTACTAATAGCTGAGCCCTGGATTTCTGTTGAGAATTCTGCTCAGTTTCATGTTAGGGTAATTTGCCTAAATGGGCTCAACCTTAACAGACAAGAATGTCCAAGAACAAGCTGGATGCTAATGTTTTGTTCTGAAAGAATGTTAAAGAATTTTTTTTAAATAAAAAGGTCTTGTTAATAATCCTTTTTTAAAAATAATTTCAACTTGTATTTTAGATTCAGAGGGTACATGTGCAGGCTTGTTACATGGGTATATTACGTGATGCTGAGGTTTGGGGTATGAATGATCCCATCACCCAGGTACTAAGCATAGTACCCAACAGTTAGTTCCTCAGCCCTTGGTGACCTCCCTCCCCCATCTAGTAGTCACCAGCATCTATTATTCCTATCTTTATGTCCATGAGTATGCGATGTTTAGCTCCCACTTATGAGTGAGAACATATGATATTTAGTTTTCTGTTCCTGCACTAACTCAGTTAGGATAATGACCTCCAGCTGCAACAGTGTTCCTGCAAAGGACCTTATCTGTCAATGACATTGCTAGCTTTTCTGAGATAGGCAACTCAGAGGAGTATGTGATTTCAGGCTTGGGATCGTTTGGTTCCAAGTAGCAGAAACTCACCAAGGAGTGTTTGCTAAAAAGTGGGATTTGTTGAAAGGATATGAGGTTAGAGGAGCAGAAGGTCTGGATGAAGACCTGGAGTAGAGTCAGGAACCAAGGCAATGCCTCCCAGCATCACTCCCTGGGGGTCAAGCAGCTGCTCATCCCCACTTCTCTCTGGATATCAGCATTATTTTTCTCTCTTCGCAGACTGTTTTTTCCTGATTTTCTGGAAGAGTGTCAGAAATGTGTTGCCTAACCCTTGTCTCTGCATCGTTCCCCAGTCTCAGGCTCCCAACCAACTGACCTGTCCCAAGAGAGACAGACACTAGTAGGTCCAGCTTAATTAGAGATTGGCTTCCTTGATCCACCTTTGACTCAGCTAACTATGGCCAGGGGCTAGCATCATTTGAGTGATCTGGCTCCTGGTGTCCAGTCCTGTGCAGGGGGAGGCATTTCTTTCAGAAAAGGGAGGTTTGGGCTACACGAACACCCTTGAAGCAGCCTCCTGTAGTTGTCATTCTAGGAAGGGGCTTAAATCGATTCATAGACATTGTAGAATTTATTCTAAGGGTAGCAAAATGAGCAAAACTGTTTCACAGATAGGAAAATGAAGGCAAAGAGTTGTCAGGAAATTGCCAAAGTCAGTTTGAAACCTGAGTTGCTGACTCCTGATTCAGGCTTGACTATGTCAAGTATTTCTTTCTTGCACTGTGAAGGCTGGCTGGCTGTGGATGCTTCATGGCTTTCAGAAAGGGGTAGTGGAGTTTGCCCAAATAATCTGCAATAAAGCAGAGCAAAAAATCTAATAGATTTGTGGCTCATGCCATATCATTTAACAAATAAACCATCTCTTCCCCAAAATACAGGCTGGCTCACCAGGGAGTGGCCTGGTCCCTTGAGCATGTGTTCTTTCCAGATCAAATGGTGGTGGTTCAGCTCAGTCTGGGTGAGCCTGGCATTTTTTCATCAATAAAGAAGACCTGTTAAAATTAATGTTGAAATAGTCTCCCATCATTCTGAAAGTATGCACTTTGCTCATCTGAAAAATATAATCAACCTGCCAGTTTCTAAGTTGAAATTTGTGTGTATTGCCTAGAATAACATTGACTCAGTATTCCTTTCAACATGAACCTTGGTAGTGTTTCCTCTTAGAGTTTTCCTCTTCTATACACTTCTTATGGTCTTCTACCTAGGTTCATGCACGCACACACAATGCACATACATGCACAACACAGACATGCAGAAGTGCACATGCAACTTATATCCCATGTATCACAAATTCCAAGGAATTAATGAAAATGGAGTATTTTGCACTGAAAAAGCTCTGGAGCTTAACTTCTCCATGTCAGGGGCTAACAAGTCAAGAATGGGATAAGTCAGTCCCTTCCTACACTGGGCACCTCACTCTTCATCTGCAGAATCCCAAGAATTTCTTGTTTAGAGATTACTCTGATGTTTCTACATCATTGTTTGCTGTACAGAATGTTTGACAGCATAGTTCTGTTAGATTTCAGCCTGATAATGCACAATGCAGTTTTCAAAGAAAAGAAAAATTAGTTCTAATGGAATTAGCACAATGATCCTCTAAGAATACAGCTTATGAACAACCCTTGGATGGGCTGTAGCAAATTCCGAAGCCAGAACCCAGGTTCTGTTCTTCATTATTTTCTGATTCAAAACACTTGTGGAGTGATTAATCTTTATGAGAATTATTGTCTCCCGTGCACATGTAGAAATAAAAACCAGAACCTCCAGATGCGGAGTTGTTACCTTAGTTCAGAGCTTTCTTCAACCCACTTACCACTCACAGCTTTTGTTTATTCCTTTACCCAAGACTCCTCTGTTTGCCTCCGCTCGACCCCATTCCCACCCTACCCCATGCCACGTGGAGGGCAAACATGCCTCTGGCAGGCCTACATAGCACATGAATAATACATGAAATAGTCATAGCTGTAATCAAGATTTCTGAATCCTTTCTATGTAGCTGTAGTGTGCTCAGGCCACAACAGATATTATTAAATCTCGTCTTCATACAGCCCTGCAGCATAAGCTTAATTTCCAGGTTAGATCTAAGATCTACCTGATTCCAAGCTCCATGCTCTTAACCACTAAACTGAATTTTTCATTCACAACAATATTCTTAACAGTTATTTAGAGTATTTAATGTAATTCTTTTTTTTTTTTTTTTTTTTTTTGAGACGGAGTCTTGCTCTGTCACCCAGGCTGGAGTGCAATGGTACAATCTCGGCTCACGGCAACTTTCACCTCCTGGGTTCAAGCGATTCTCCTGCCTCTGCCTCCCGAGTAGCTGGGATTACAGGCATCCGCCACCATGCCTGGCTAATTTTTGTATTTTTAGTAAAGATGGGGTTTCACCACATTGGCCAGGCTGGTCTCGAACTCCTGTCCTCAGGTGATCCACTCACCTCGGCCTCCCAAAGTTCTGGGATTATAGGCATGAGCCACAGTGCCCGGCCTTAATGTAATTCTTTACTGTTCTACTCCAAGGGTGTTAAAGGAAGAAAGAACACTGATGAGAACTCTGTGAGGGCAGATCCCAACCTTCAGCTCCAGCTTTGACCTCCATCCTGGCCCTAGACCCACAGAGAAGCTGACACACCAGGGTTCGTAGAAATGTGTGGCATAGATGGAGAGAATGCCAGCCTAGGATCAACAAATACTTGTAAGATCTGGCATTGGTACAATTCTCCCTCCTGGTGGATTACTTTTGTTTTTATTTTCCATCCCCCGCAAAAACAGGTGTGCCTTCCTAAAGACAGAAAGAGAATCCCAGAAAATGTGAATTAAAAAGAGAATGAATTTTAAGGAATTATTAATTTTCTTTAGATTTACGTGAGAAAAATTGGAGATCAGTACCACAGAATCACAGAGTCTTTAAGTTGAAAATGATTTAAGCTTCATTTTATCTAGTTGTCTTTGTTTTATAGGCCAGGAAAGCTAAGAGAGAAATAAAACATCTTAATTTGCCAACTCTATTGCGGTCCATGAGGCCTAATATAATCAAAACACATTTGAAAATGTAGCATGTTGATAAAATTATAGTAAAATACAAATTTTATTAGTACCTGAAATATTAATAATACCATTGTCAATACTAAAGCCTAGCAATTATAAAATGAAATTATTAAGTGACTATTCAATAAAAATGCATTCTGTAGCGGCTACCTTATTTGACATTGGTTCCACAAATATTTGTTGAGCACCTACTACGTGTCAGGCACAGAGCAAGGAGCTATGACTTCAGAAGTGAAGGCATAGTTCTTTCCTATTAAGAACCAAAAATCTAGTGGATAATCACCAGCTTTAAAATGTAACCGTAGTGGAGACAGCCTTGTTGAAAATTTTAGTAATTTTGCTAGTTTATCAAAAGCCCCAAACCACTTTATTTACCTGGAAGATCACATACACACACACACACACACACACACACACACACACACACACACACACACTCTCACACACACACACAATTTAAGTACCCTTCAGCCTATATTGTTTTAAATATCAAAGCTGCTTTCATTTTATTTATTTTATCACTATTATATTTCTTTTGAGACAGACTCTCGCTCCGTTACCCAGGCTGGAGTGCAGTGATGCCATCTCGGCTCACTACAACCTCCGCCTTTTGGGTTCAAGCAATTCTCATGCCTCAGCCTCCTGAGTAGCTGGGTTTACAGGTGTGTGCCACCACACCTGGCTACTTTTTGTATTTTTAGTAGAGACAGGGTTTCGCCCTGTTGGCCAGGCTGGCCTCAAACTCCTGGCCTCAAGTGATCTGCCCACCTTGGCCTCCCAAAGTGCTGGGATTACAGGCATAAGTCATCACGTGGGGCCTATTTTATTTATTAGTTTTAGAGACAGGGTCTTGCTATGTTGCCCAGGCTGGTGTGACGTGGCTATTCTCAGGCACGATCATAGTGCCCTACAGCCTCAAATTCTTGGGTTTGAGTGATCTGCCTGCCTCAGCCTCCTGAGTAGCTGGGACTACAGGCGTGTTCCACCATGCTTTGCTCCCCTTTCAGTTATATTGATGTTAGTGCCAAAACTTTGAAGGCTTTGAGATTTTTCCCTCCTTGCAAGCTAAAAAGTTAGCCTGCCACAGTCTCATGGATGCTGTTAGAGGACACAAGACTCCTAAATCAGAGACAAAAGCCTTTATTACTCACAGTAGTAGCAGTAGTTAGAATGTCAGCATTTTCTTGTGTTGGTTACTCAAGCCCTGAGCCTCCTATAGAGACACAAAGAGGGCCAAGGGATACTTGCACACCCAGAGGCCTGTGTTACTGGAGAGGAACCCTGAGCTTAGGGAACCTAAATCTTTTGTAATGGGCATTAAGCATGCCTACCCTTTGCTCTTGAGGGAGATTATCTTTATTGTACTGGGCAATAAGCACACCTTTCCTTTACTCTGAAGGTGGACACTATATCCATCCTTCAGTGCTACAAACAAACGTGCCCTTTGTCTTGGAGGAGACACTGTCTCTTTATCTTCTAAGGCTGTTAATATAAAAACATCCTTGGAAAGATAATCCAGAACAAAGCCAATCAGAGAGTGACTCTGCTTACAAGATGCACAGAAACCCAAGCAATCCAGGTAAAGTTTTTTCCCAACAGTTATTTGGTTACTTTATTACTAATATTATAGACATTTTTATCACTGAAGTTCTCATGAATTGTTAGAGCTGCATGTAAAATAAAGACTCCTGATATTTGTTCAATCATGTAGATTCTTGTCCAAATGACCACCAAATCAGTAGGTTGCATTTATGGTGGCATTTATCTTCCCAACTCATCGCTGGTTTACCCATAAAAGGGAATTATCACACTAAAAATTTGAATTTGAAAAATTCTTATCATCCCCATAAAGCAAGCACCATGTTGTCAAGTATCTTCCATGGCTAATTTAGCAAGAAGATGTTAGCTTTAACTCTTCAATTGTGAATGACTCAGAGAAGGCTATTCAGCCTTAGATAGAATTAGTAAATTTGTTGATTAATTCCCAAGTTTTGGGTTATCTTAAATAAATGTCTCTCTAAAACTAGGATACATGTATATGCATCTCACCATATAAAAGTTGGTGTTGATTGACTCTTTGTGTGATACATAGACTTTAAAAAGTTACCTTAAAGGAAAAGAAAATAATTACCTCCACTCTTTCCCAGTGTCCTCAGGGCATGTTATTGTCAATTCATGAATCTGTAATGGTGGTGGCCTCCAAGAACACTTAAATCCATCTTTTTGCTTAGCCAACAAATGGATCAGCCATAACTTACATGGGGCAGTTGTTCCCTAGGGCATGGGGAGCGGAGAAACACTTAGTTCTTCCATAGCAAAAATTACTAATAATAAATATCTTCAGTAGCAGATACTGATATAGGGCCTCTCATTGAACTTGGACATTTGTTTCATAGAAGCAGCATTGTTTTATGAGCTATAGTGACACAGCTGATCTGCTATCAGTAATGATCTGCTTATTGTATCAGTACTGGGACTGTGCTAGTTTAGTATACAGCCACAATGCGCAGACCAAGATTTTGCCCCAGTTTTCAAAGACATGATGAAGACCAGGGCTTCTTTAAATTATTACTATTAAAATCATATAAATGACATAGGTTCAGAAAAGTACCTTTGGAAAACATTGGCAGATCATTTTGAAACCTATAAGAGGAACAGGTTGATGTGGGAGACTTGACTTCTGTAATTCAGAAAAAGTTAGTAAATGCTTATTATATGTTGAAACTTGTATACAAACCCTTTCGTTTCCCTATAGTAATCCTCTGGGGTATGAATTTTTGTGCCCATTTTATAGGCCAGGAAATTAAATCTTGGACAGCTTAAATAGCATGCCCAAGGCCACACAATTAGCAAGCCTCTTGTCTTCTTTGTCACAGCTGCTTCTCTTTCCATCAGTGAAGAACTGCACCCACAAAGATGCAAAATAGCTCATCTTCTACAGAACCATGAACCATAAGTTCAGCCCAAATGGCCTATATATACTTTTACAAAACTATATAAAATAGCCATAACATATATGTTTATTTGCACATATATGGCAAGGTATCATTTTCAGCAAGTATTGTATATATGTGCAATTCCAAACATCTTTCAAACATATTATTTGTAATGTATTATTACATGTAATATTTCATTTCATCCTGACAAAGTGAAGAGGTATTATTCTCCCATTTCAAATGAAAAATGCTAAGATGAGAGATATTCTGAAGCAATTTCTAGAATGATCAATGCTGTTTTTTTGTGCGTTATCAATTTCCTTTTCCTGTTAGATTGTTTCAGTCAGTAAAGAAATAGGCTGTGTTTTCCCCTCCAGCCACTGCCCCATGTCTCTCCTTCCATTCACAACAAGATCTCTTGACATAGACTATGCTTTCCAGCCCAACGTTCCCAGCTTCTCTTGAACCCATTTCAAGCAGGCTTTTGGCTCTTTGCCACCTAAACTCTTCACATGGTTACCGATGACCTCCACATTGACCGACCCAATGGTTAATTCTCAGTTATCATATTACTTGACCTCCTGCAGCACTTAACTGTGTGGATCCTGTGAATAATTTTCTTTTCTTCATTTCCAGGACTTGACCAGTTTTCACACTGCTTTTCTAGCTGTTCCTTTTCAGTCTTCTTTGCTGTTTTCCTTTCATAGCTATAAACTGTAAATGTTTAAGTAGGCAGGGGCATAGCTCTTTAATCTCTCCTCTATTCAGACTCCAGCCTCTTAGCTTCATGGACCATCGATTTGCTGAATATGGATCTGCCCTCTGAACCCCAGACATGTATATGGAGCTGTACCTTGGCATGTCTACTCAGATAGGAAAATGGTAACTTGCAGTTACTCTTGGCTCCTTTTCTGACCCTCCACATAGGTTCCCCCAGAGAACCATCAATGTCCAGTGTATCTGGAACACAACTGCTTTCATCAGCTTTATCCATTGCTCCCACCACCATTTCTTGCCTGAGTTATTGCAAGAGCCTCCTGACTGATATTCCAGCTTCCATTCTCAGCACAGAAGCCAGACTAATTCTTTTAAATAGTTAGGTCCGGTACTTCTGTGCTCAAAAAGTGCCAGTGGCCTTTGTTATGAGTTGAACTGAGTGGAATTTTCCTCCCAAAATTCATATGTTGAGGTTCTAATCTCTACTGCCTCAGAATGTGACTTTATTTGGAGACAGGGCCTTTACCAACTTAGAATGAGGTCGTTAAGGTGGACCATAATCCAATATGACTGATGTCCTTATAAAGAGGGGAAATTTGGAGACAGGTTCGAGTACAGTGAGAGCACCACACAAATATATAAGAACAAGCAGAGGGCCATCTGCAGGCCAATGAGAGACGCCTGTAACAGATCTTTCCCTCACCTCCCTCAGAAGGAATAAACCTGCCAACACCTAGATTTCAGACTTGAACTGTAAGACAAGAAACTTCTGTTGCTGATGCCTCTGTTTGTGGTTATTTGCTTGCAGCCCTAGCCAAAGGAGGCGGCTTTGCTTCCTCTGTCCTCAGAGTAACAAAAAGGCTCCCCTAGTGACCTACAGGGTCCTTCACTAGGGGTCCCTTACATTTCTGAGCTTTTCTCTGCAGCCTTTCCTGCAGCTCTTTCTGCTCTAGCCCTACCGGCTTCTTCATTCTTCCTCGAACAAAACAGTCTTGCTCCTGCATTACCCCTTTGTACTTACTGTCTCCTTTGGGGAGTATTTTCCTTCCAGATTGTTCCATAGCTTGCTCCTTCATTTTCATGCTCCCTCATTTCAAAATCATTTTCATGGACTTTATTCAGATGCCACCTTGTTCTCCTTAGTACTTTACTGAATATTTAACTGACTTATTTTGCTTATTATCTATCCTTCCCACATGAAAATGCAAGCCACATTAGGTCAGGAATTTTTTTCTGTTTACTGTTGAGTTTAAAACAGCTCCTGGCATGTAGTAGGAGATCAAAAATATTAACCGAGTGAAATAATGAATCATGAAGTTAAGCTCGACTCTGCCATCGAAATGCACCATGTACAAGAGGCTCGGCATACCTTCTGAAGGGTAATAGGGATTCTCGCCATACAATCACAACAATGAAAAAGAGCTTCCACAGAGTAAACGCCACCAAAGGAAGGAACAAGTACAGCTTCTGACCTTGAGACAGAACACATTAATTGGAGACCAAACACATAATGCATGAAAAAAAATAGACTAGATCCACAGAGCAGCATGTCAACATTAACAATTAGATACAGCAAGAGATTATTTCTAAAAGTGGTGAGTCATGGAGCTTTATCGTACAAGAGCCTGTTATATAAAAACAAATCAATAGGTACCTAAGCACTAGATAGTCTCATATAAACCTTATATAAGGACATTTGCAGAATTATTTTTAGAAGGGCTCAAGTATATACACTGAAAGTGTTTATAATGTGAGTACATAAAGCATATTTCTTAGCAAATACTTTGTTCCCTGAATAAACACATTCCACCAAGTGGCAGCACCAGCACCTTAAAGAAAGAGAAAACTTGAAACTACTAGGAGCGCTCTGAACAGGCACAAGGTAATCACCAAATTGGGATCTGGGTATCACCTGATAGAAGCCAATTAAGTCTTGTAGAGGTGGAAAGAGACAGAAGGAAATAAAGTTAAGGGTAAAGTAACCCTGAGATATTTGCTTTTGATCTTTCTCCTGCTCCACCTATTTCTTTTTCTTTTGTTTTTCCTTCTTTACATTCAATCTCTCCCTCTAATTTCTCAGATGAGCAATTAAATCCCCACTTTAGGTATAAGTCCCTGAAGGCAGTCATTAATAAAAAACAATCTGCAGGTAGCTTGTGTTATCCGTTTTGGTGCTGATTCACCAAGTGTTCTTAAGTTGTGTATGAAATGCTCTAAGTTCTTTGGAAGAAAATCACTACACAAAGCAGAGGTTTATTATGATAGCATCAACTGCTGTTCTTTGCCTAAAAATAATCCCAGTTTCACTTCTGATGTCTAGAAGCTTCTCTGTTTTTTCTTTCTCTATTTTCTTTTTTTCCCTCCTCCTACCATTAAAACTTCCAGCAAAACAATAAACTAGCTCATGGGGGTGGCATAATTTCAAGATTCAAAACAGAAACACATCTTTACATGAATCTACACAGTTGTGGACATTAAAGAGCCTCTTATTAAGGGTCCAACACATTTAGATAGTAACAGAATATGTGAATTTCTGGAAGTATAATTCAAAAATATGTTTTCCATTGCATCAGAAAACATTATATTCATTGGAATGGCTCCCTTACATTACAGTGAGCCAAGTTTCAGGAGCATAGCTGCAAGGTGCAGCAGGTCCTTGAGACCAAACCACACATGCATTGGAACATAGTGAACTTGATCCCCACGGTTAAAATGTTCCGCTAAGCTCATTTCTCATCACTTTGTAGTTCAGAGGCAGACTACTTCATAGTGGAGAGTAAACCCAGACATAACTTAATGTTGTGTTACACTAGATTGTACAGCCATGCAGTAAAATGTTTGAGTGACTCCAATAAATAAATATACACCTATTGATTTAATCATAAATTACATAAGGTATGGAATAGTATGTACATTAAAACATATAATATAGAACAGTTTCAATGATGAATCAAAGACAAACAGGAATTTTAAATATCTTGCTAATCACAATGGCTGTATATTCTGATTAACTAACATCTGAAGGCTTAACATAAGCTTTAGCCAAGGTTCATCTTTAATGATAATGAAAGTAAATCCCAATTTCAAAGTCTTCTTAATAATGCCAAATGTCTTCTGCCAAATTCTTCTCAGGTGTGATGAGACCATCAATGTCTTGAGCCCATATTGTGGCTGACACAGAGCCTTTACTAGGGAGAGAAGGAAGGCCAACCTACCACCTTCTTTCCTTGTGCTTATCTCACTTGCCACGATGCATTGTGGGTTTCATCATGGGTTCTTTGCGGGATTACTTTTAAGTCAGTTTTTGTGATGGTTGGTTTAACTAAAACTAGATCATATAATCCTCAAACTCAAACTCTTTCAACAAGGGCACATGTAAATGCCATGTACTATAATATTCTGGAAGCAACGGAGGCGGAAGGGCACCTGTGACTCTCAGTGGTGGAGCTCTTCTTTCATGTAACATCAGACATGAGGACTCATAAATGATAGTAAAGTTTATTATCTTTCTTATTTTTTAGATGAATATAGAAGATCTACTATGTTGTTTTCCACGTGGGGCATCCACTTTGAAAACTACTGCTCTAGAAATTTTTTCAAATGTGGGCTTCGTCTTATTTTGAAAATATGATATTTTATGATGTTGGTGGTCCCGGTTTTAATTTTGAGGTACCTGTATGAAAAATATCACATTAGAATAAACCTGGCAAATCTTTCCCCCATTGAGGCGACAAGATAGCCAAATGTCAGATTTTATGGTCCTTGTGTTTTATTGTCTTTCCTGGCACCAGCTGATAATGATCCTTCATCAGTAACATTGTGCCTATAATTGCTACTGTTTCTTATTAAAAAGTTGAAAGTGGCCGGGAGCGGTGGCTCAAGCCTGTAATCCCAGCACTTTGGGAGGCCGAGGCGGGCGGATCAGGAGGTCAGGAGATCGCGACCATCCTGGCTAACACGGGGAAACCCCGTCTCTACTAAAAATACAAAAAATTAGCCGGGCGTGGTGGCGGGCGCCTATAGTCCCAGCTACTCAGGAGGCTGAGGCAGGAGAATGGCGTGAACCCGGGAGGCGGAGCTTGCAGTGAGCCAAGATCACACCACTGCAGTCCAGCCTGGGCGACAGAGCGAGACTCCGTCTCAAAAAAAAAAAGTTGTAAGTGTATGATATTTCTTTAGTAAATAACTTATGAAGCTAGTGGAGTCAGTGAAGTAATATGCCAATTAAGCAATTAAAAGTGTGTTAAGGCATAAACTACCAAAGATGCAGCAATATGGATGAATTCCAAAAACATTACGTTGAATGAAAGAAATCAGCTATGAAAGAGTACACATTCAATGATTCCATTTATATGAAGTACCAGAAAAGGCAGACTAATCCATGATGATAGAAGCAGAAGGGTTTAGCAAGGGGAGGTAGGATTGACTCAGAAGGGTCACATAAAATCTTTCTGGAGTGATGGAAATATTTCGTATCTTGGTAGGGATATGGATTAAATGGGTGTATGCACTTTTCAGAACTCATTGATTTGTACAGTTAAGATCTGTGCATTTCATTGTGTGTAAATTATACCTCAATGAAAAAATTTAGGCATGTTATAAATCAATTTCTAATGATCACTTTATGTCAATTTTATGACATCTTATTTAACACCTGAGTAGCTAGTTTCATTTAGTCACAATAAATGGAGAAGATATCAATTGCTAAAACCTGTTCATGAGATAGCAGAATAAAGTGATTCTAATAATAATATTACTTCATTGCATACTGACTATATGCCAAGCACTATGCTATTGCTATCTTTGAGAAAACACTCAGACATACAGAATTTGAGTATTGTCCCAAATATTAATAAAAAATAAATGGCAAAATTCAGGTCTCTGTGAACATGCAGTCCCTTACCTTCAACTACTGGGGCAAATGTGGTCTCTTTTAGAGAAGAATGTGAGAGTTTCCAGTCTTTTCAATGATGCAATATGCAAACAAATACTTACTGAACCTGTGCTCTGTTCCAGGCACGGTGCTAAGTGTTTCATGTTGCTATCTCTGTAGAGTTACTATTGCTTTCTTTTTTATGGATGAGGAATTTGAAGGTCCAAGAAGTTAAGCAACTCCCTCAGATCACAAAATAGGTACAAGATCTCAGATTCCATTCCAGGGCCAGTGAAATCAAAGTCGCTAGTATTTTCTACTTTCAGTGATGCTTAACTAGGAGCTACATCAGAATCAATGATAGGGAATTTTTAAAGTAGAGATTTCTTGACCCTTCCTTGGGTGTTCTTATCCTATAGATAATAGGAAGCTCAAAGATTGATCTTTTTTATAAAGCCCCACTGGTGATATAAGGAGCTTCCTACCTGAGAACCAGTATACTAAGCTGTCATTGGTTTGTCAATAGTATTCCTTCCTCTTAAAATGTCTATGAATTTATCTTATTGTAAAAATTAAATAGAGAGGAGCCCTCCTGTAATGACAGACAGACAGGAATAGACCTCAGTACATCTCAGTTTAGCTTTCACATCTGCCGTTAACTGACCGTAGGGTTATAGGCAAAGTCAGTGAAACTCTCTGAGCCACAGTATTCTCATTTGTAATATTAAAGTGTTGAACAACACTTATCTTTAAGATCTCATTTCGTTCTAACAATCAATAAATTAAAATCAACTTATTAGTTAAATTCTGCAACGCTTTTGAAGTACTTGGAGAGATTCTGGAGTTTCGTACAATTGGGTAGGAATTTGTTGAAATGTTGAAAATAAACATGAGACCAGGTGTGGTGGCTCATGCCTGTAATCTCAGCACTTTGGGAGGCCAAGGTGGATGGATCACCTGAGGTCAGGAGTTCAAGACCAGCCTGGCCAACATGGAGAAACCCCGTCTCCACTAAAAATACAAAAATTATCCAGGCATGGTGGTGCATGCCTGTAATCTCAACTACTTGGAAGCTGAGGCAGGGGAATTGCTAGAACCCAGGAGGCAGAGGTTGCAGTGAGTCAAGATAGCACACTGCACTCCAGCCTGGGCAACACAACGAAACTCCATCCCAAAAAAAAAGAAAAGAAAAAGAAAAGAAACATGAAAAATAGCTTAAATGTAGTGATATTTTCCAGGGGAACCTAGAGATACCCATTAGTTTCTAGACAAACTGATTTACCAGAGAAATCCAAGTCCTTGTTACTTCAAGAAAATTAAATAAAAATAACAATTCCATGTTTCATACCTGGGTAAAAGTTACAGCACTGTTCAGATATAATGATGTGCAAGAAGTGGTCTTTACCTCCAAGCAGGGTTCAGGAGATGCCACGAAACAGTACATAATAAACTCTCCAGTGTCTTTATAGACTGTAGGTGCTTCTAGTTGTGTTCAGGAGGTGGCAGCAGTGCAGGTTACAGTCACTGGGCCATTTGTCATTTGACTTGACAATATGAAACCTGTGTCTCACAACAGGTCATTCATTGAGAAATTCCTCAGAAAATACAGGTTAAGACTTTAAACTTGCTGTATTAGGAGTAAGAAGTCAACCAAAGACCAGAGAAGCCTGAATTGAGAGGAAAAAGAGAAAAGCACTTCATTTGTAAAACTGGAAGAACAAACACAGATGGAAGGAACTGGAATCACGAAGAAAGGGAGCCAACAATGACAGGTAGATATATGGAATTGGAAAAGCACAGAAAATAGGCTCAGCAGCAGCTGCCCACTCAGGCCCCACCAAAAGAGGGGTGCTAGCTACGATAAAGCAGTGATTCTGGTGTCCACATTGCTCTCGACCCCTGTTTCTGCACTGACGCTGTTCTACAACTCTGATCCAGCTAGGCTCACTCTTCTTCTCACCCTACTGCATGGGCTTACTCAGATCCCCTGCTGTGTGGGGCATGCCTGCTGCCTTCTTTCCCCTGGCTTCAGCCTCCACTCCACTGCTCTGGTCTCTTCTCAGAGCCAAGCTAAAGCCAGGTACTTATGAGGGGGAGAAGCCTGGGTGAGGGACTTGCTTGAGTGAGGGAAGTCAGGGCCTGGGTTCCTGCAGTCTCAGAGAACATGGTCCAGCTTTGATTCCCTTTTTTCTGCTTCTTTCTCAATTTTGCTTTTATACTGCTTCCTCTCATACGTAGTCATATATATATATATATATATATATATATATATATATATACACACACACACATTTGTATATATGTTTGCTGCATAAGTATATATATACTTATATGTATGCATATATAAATTATGTATGCCGTATAAGTATATATCAATCTATATATACTTATACGGCATACATAATATGCCATATAAGCATAATATGCTGATAAGTATATATCTATATATATACTTACACAGCATACATAATTTATATATGTATATATACATATATAAGTATACTTGTATATAAACATGTGTAATATGTAAATCGTATAACATGTAAATTTATATATGTATATAAATACAGATATACACATAAATTTACATATTATATATGCATATGCATTTATGTATATATAAATAAATTTATATAGTCTTTATATATTGCCTTATTTTATAGTTTATATATAGTTTCATATTTATATAGTAATTTATATATAGTTTTATATATAGCAGTTTATATTGTTCTAATATATAGTGTTAATTATTTTGATTAAAAAGTTTGAAAAAATACTTAAAATAATATTTTAAAGTTGATTAAACTAACCTGATAAAAAGCTGAAAAGGTACATGTTTAGAAAGAGGAAAAATTGAGGCATTCAGCTATCTTCCTATAGACTTTTGCTCTCTCTATGTATTTTGTATTCTTCAAAGAAGAGGTTTGATTTTGTTTTGCTTTTAAATATAAAGCAGTTAATTTGGGAAGAACTCTTACGTAAAATCCTACCTCATGGCTGTCAGGTTTTCTTTGGGGCTAACCTGCAGATTTCTGCCAATAACTGATTATACCGATCTCTTGTCTAATCAGTTGTATCCAGGGTTATGTTTACATCACTTAAGTAGGAAGCCTATGGAAAAAACTGACCTCAACAATTCCTTTGGTCATCCTGTTTTAGAAAGAAGCACTGGACAGAGCAATCAATAAAGAGTTTATGGACTTTTCATTTGTGTCATCAGAAACAACTAGATTTCCCATAGTCACATTTTATTAAAACAAGGAGAATAGCATGTTTCCCTTTAATTAAGCTTTTCCATTATAAAACACTAAACGTAAGTTTTTAGTGACATAGATATCAAATGCAACTTAAAGTTTAAAACAATGTTTACAAAAATGTGTAAGTAAGCTCTCTAAAGCACGGATGTCTTACTGAAATGTTACTTATAGACAATAAAATTCACCATGTTGAAGAGTATAATTTGATGACTTCCACAAATGTATACAGCCATGTAACCACCACTACAATCATGACCTATAATATTTCCATCACCTTCAAACATGTCCTAGTGCCCCCTTGCAGTCAATCTTCACCCACACATTGTCCTTGGAAGCCACTGATCTGCTTTCTGACACTGTAGTTTTTCTTTTCTAAAATTTTATATAAATGTCACCATGCAGTATGCAGTCTTTTGTGTTTGGCTTTTGTCACTTATCATAATTCTTTTGAGATTCATTTATGTTGAAGTAAAACATTCCTCAGCAAATGCAAAAGAACTGAAATAATAACAAATAGTCTCTCAGATCACAGTGCAATCAAATTAGAATTCAAGATTAAGAAACTCACCCCAAACCTCATAACTACATGGAAATTGAACAACCTGCTCCTGAATGACTCCTGGGTAAATAATGAAATTATGGCAGAAATCAAGATGTCCTTTGAAACTAATGAGAACAAAGAGACATCATACCAGAATTTGTAGGACACAGCTAAAGCAGTGTTCGGAGGGAAATTTATAGCACTAAATGCCTACAACAAAAAGCTAGAAACATCTCAAATTGACAACTTAACATCACAACTAAAAGAACTAGAGAACCAAGAGCAAACAAACCCCAAAGCTAGCAGAAGACAAGAAATAACCAAGATCAGAGTGGAACTGATGGAGATAGAGACACAAAAAATCCTTCAAAAAAATAGATGAACTCAGGAGCTGGTTTTTTGAAAAAAATTAATAAAATAGGTAGACCACTAGCTAGACTAATAAAGAAGAAAGGATAAGAATCAAATAGACACAATAAAAAATGATAAAGGGGATATCACCACTGACCCCACAGAAATACAAACAACCATCAGAGAATACTATGAACACCTCTATGCACATAAACTAGAAAATCTAGAAAAAATGGATAAATTCCTGGATGCATACACCTTCCCAAGACTGAACCCGGAAGAAATTGAATCTCTAAATAGGCCAATAACAAGTTCTGAAATTGAGGGAGTAATAAATACCTACCCACGAAAAAAAGCCCAGGACCAGATCCACTTATAGCTGAATTCTACCAGAGGTACAAAGAGGAGCTGGTACCATCTCTACTGAAACTATTCCAAACACTTGAAAAGGAGTTTCTCTTACCTAACTCATTTTATGAGGCCAGCATCATCCTGATACCAAACCTGGCAGAGATACAACAGACACGCAAAATAGAAAACTTCAGGCCAATATCCCTGATGAACATCAATGCAAAAATCGTCAATAAAATACTGGCAAACCGAATCCAGTAGCACATCAAAAAGCTTATCCACCACAATCAAGTTGGCTTCATCTCCAAGATGAAAGATTGGTTCAACATATGCAAATCAATAACTGTCATTCATAACATAAACAAAACTAAAGACAAAAACCACATGATTATCTCAATAGACACAGAAAAGGCCTTCAATAAAATTCAACATGCCTTCATGTTAAAAACTCTCAATAAACTAGGTACTGAAGGAATATGCCTCAAAATAATAAGATCCATATATGACAGACCCTCAGCCAACATCATACTGAATGGGCAAAACCTGGAAGATCTCCCTTGAAAACCAGCACAAGACAAGGATGTCCTCTCTCACCAATCCTATTTAACAAAGTATTGGAAGTTCTGGCCAGGGCAGTCAGGCAAGAGAAAGAAATAAAGTATATTCATATAGGAAGAGAGGAAGTCAAACTATATTTCTTTGCAGATGACATGACCCTATATCTAGAAAACCCCATCATCTCAGCCCAAAAGCTTCTTAAGCTGATAAGCAACTTTAGCAGTCCTAAGATACAAAATCAATGTGCAAAAATCACAAGCATTCCTATACACCAAAAAGCATGCAGAAAACTAAATCACAAATGAACTCCATTCACAATTGCTACAAACAGAATAAAATACTTAGGAATACAGCTAACAAGGGAAGTGAATGACCTCTTCAAGGAGAACTACAAACCACTGCTCAAGGAAATAAGAGAGGACACAAACAAATGGAAAAACACTGCGTGCTCATGGATAGGAAGAATCAAAATCATGAAAATGGCCATACTGCCCTAAGTAATTTGTAGATTCAATGCTATTCTCATTAAACTACCATTGGCATTCTTCACAGAATTAGAAAAAACTATTTTAAAATTGATATGGAACCAAAAAAGAGCCCATATAGCCAAGACAATCCTAAGCAAAAAGAACAAAGCTGGAGGCATCACGCTACCTGACTTCAAACTATACTACAAGGCTACAGTAATCAAAATAGCATGGTACTGGTACAAAAGCAGACACATAGATCAATGGAACAGAATAGGGAACTCAGAAATAAGACCACACATCTACGATTATCTGGTCTTCAACAAACCTGACAAAAATGAGCAATGGAGAAAGGATTCCCTATTTTATAAATGGTGCTGGGAAAACTGGCTAGCCATATGCAGAAAATTGAAACTGAACTCCTTCCTTACACCTTATACAAAAACTAACCAAGATGGATTAAAGACTTAAATGTAAAACCCCAGACTATAAAAACCCTAGAAGAAAATCTAGCAATACCAGTCAGGACATAGGCATGGGCAAAGATTTCATGACAAAAACACCAAATGTATTTATATTTACATATATTTTGTTAAATCTGAGGTAGTAAATTGCCAAGAGACTGCAGCCATTGATTGCTATAGGTTAGTAGTATAGGAGCATTGGATTTAGAACAGAAAATGAATTTTGATCCTTGCTATCATGTACAGTTGACCCTTGAAAAATGTGGAGGTTATGATAACTGACCCTTCACCCCCATACAGTCAAAAATTTGCACATAACTTTTGACTCCTCCAAAAGTTAACTACTAATAGCCTACTACTGTCTAGAAGCCTTACAGATAAAATGAACAGTTACGTGTTACAGGGAATTGGCGTATACAGCTGTGGGGTCCGGTTGAGCCATCTCTTCAAGGCTTTGTTTCTGTGTCTGATGTGGAACTTGAGATACACGTGGCAGACAGTCACAACAAGATCATGACTGGGCAAAAATACTGCAAGCACAAAGCTGGGACCCCACAAGAATAGACAGACAGCCTAGGCTGTTGTTTTGCCTCTGACTTTGGAGTGTATCCTGCAGATGCTGGCCCTTGTGTGTTCAGCACAGAGCTGAACACACATGTACCTGACCTGGGGGTAAGAGAAACTGAAGGAAGATCCAGGGGAAAGGGGAGCAGGTGCAGGTCCAGCTGCTGCCTCACACCCATGAGGTAACTCAGCAGATCCCAACAATGCTCATGACCTTCAATGTGGCCACTGCCTCCCCTTTCCTCTCCTCATCTCACAAGAATCCTCCTTCTGACTCTGTAACCAGAAATTTACAAGAAAGGTAATTTTGGAAAATGTAGCTCAGCCTATTCAAACTGTCACATTATAAGTCCCCACAGCAGCTTTTAACATTTCATTTTCTTTTGATATTGAACAGTTTTGCAAATACCGATCCACCAGTGAAACTGAAGATTCCTGCTTTGAGCTCTCTAACTCTAGGCAAAAATTGCTAAATGAGTGTAACTTATTTGAGCTGTTTCTAGTCAAGAGTTTTAGATGACCTTACCATCTTGCTGGTGCCCAAGCTGTGATTTGGTGGCTAATTCACTTTTCCAAAATCTCTTCTCAGGGAAGATGCTGATACTGTTCATAAACACCTTTCATAAACACCTTTAAGTCAAAGCTCTGTCTGCTGGGGGCACTCACTTCTTAACCATCATCTCCCTTTGGAAACCACAGGCGTCAGTCACAGAGGACCTTAGAGGCCTGTAAGGACCACATCTGGCAACAGTGGTTCCCAAAGAGTGGTATGGGTACCCCTGAGGGTATGCGAAATGAGTTTAGGCAATATATGAGTATGCTTATTTTAAACATGTCCTTTTAATGTGTATCAAAAAACATATTAAGAGTTATAACAAAATGAGTAACAATTTAAGGTTTTTTTAAAAAAATTGTCCCTGTTTGCAGATGACATGATTGTATATCTAGAAAACCCCATTGTCTCAGCCCAAAATCTCCTTAAGCTGATAAGCAACTTCAGCAAAGTCTCAGGATACAAAATCAATGTACAAAAATCACAAGTATTCTTATACACCAACAACAGACAAACAGAGAGCCAAATCATGAGTGAACTCCCATTCACAATTGCTTCAAAGAGAATAAAATACCTAGGAATCCAACTTACAAGGGATGTGAAGGACCTCTTCAAGGAGAACTACAAACCACTGCTCAAGGAAATAAAAGAGGACACAAACAAATGGAAGAACATTCCATGCTCATGGGTAGGAAGAATCAATATCGTGAAAATGGCCATACTGCCCAAGGTAGTTTACAGATTCAATGCCATCCCCATCAAGCTACCAATGACTTTCTTCACAGAATTGGAAAAAACTACTTTAAAGTTCATATGGAACCAAAAAAGAGCCCGCATCGCCAAGTCAATCCTAAGCCAAAAGAACAAAGCTGGAGGCATCACGTTACCTGACTTCAAACTATACTACAAGGCTACAGTAACCAAAACAGCATGGTACTGGTACCAAAACAGAGATATAGATCAATGGAACAGAACAGAGCCCTCAGAAATAACACCACGTATCTACAAATATCTGATCTTTGACAAACCTGAGAAAAACAAGCAATAGGGAAAGGATTCCCTATTTAATAAATGGTGCTGGGAAAACTGGCTAGCCATATGTAGAAAGCTGAAACTGGATCCCTTCCTTACACCTTATACAAAAATTAATTCAAGATGAATTAAAGACTTAAACATTAGACCTAAAACCATAAAAACCCTAGAAGAAAACCTAGGCATTACCATTCAGGACATAGGCATGGGCAAGGACTTCATGTCTAAAACACCAGAAGCAATGGCAACAAAAGCCAAAATTGACAAATGGGATCTAATTAAACCCAAAGAGCTTCTGCACAGCAAAAGAAACTACCATCAGAGTGAACAGGCAACCTACAAAATGGGAGAAAATTTTCACAACCTACTCATCTGACAAAGGGCTAATATCCAGAATCTACAATGAACTCAAACAAATTTACAAGAAAAAAAAACCCCATCAAAAAGTGGGCGAAGGACATGAACAGACACTTCTCAAAAGAAGACATTTATGCAGCCAAAAAACACATGAAAAAATGCTCACCATCACTGGCCATCAGAGAAATGCAAATCAAAACCACAATGAGATACCATCTCACACCAGTTAGAATGGCAATCATTAAAAAGTCAGGAAACAACAGGTGCTGGAGAGGATGTGGAGAAATAGGAACACTTTTACACTGTTGGTGGGACTGTAAACTAGTTCAACCATTGTGGAAGTCAGTGTGGCGATCCCTCAGGGATCTAGAACTAGAAATACCATTTGACCCAGCCATCCCATTACTGGGTATATACCCAAAGGATTATAAATCATGCTGCTACAAAGACACATGCACACGTATGTTTATTGCAGCACTATTCACAATAGCAAAGACTTGGAATCAACCCAAATGTCCATCAATGATAGACTGGATTAAGAAAATGTGGCACATATACACCATGGAATACTATGCGGCCATAAAAAATGATGAGTTCATGTCCTTTTTAGGGACATAGATGAAGCTGGAAACCATCATTCTCAGCAAACTATCGCAGGGACAAAAAACCAAACACCACATGTTCTCACTCATAGGTGGGAATTGAACAATGAGAACACATGGACACAGGAAGGGGAACATCACACTCTGGGGACTGTTTTGGGGTGGGGGGAGGGGGGAGGGATAGCGTTAGGAGATATACCTAATGCTAAATGACAAGTTAATGGGTGCAGCACAGCAGCATGGCACATGTATACATATGTAACTAACCTGCACATTGTGCACATGTACCCTAAAACTTAAAGTATAATAATAATTTTAAAAAAATACATTTATATTTTTAAATGAATCTTTTAAAAATTATTAAATAAATAATGAGTTTGTGTTAGAATCTGTTAACTAAATATCATTGCAACTGGTTCACCAACACTTCAAAAATTGGGAATTTGGAATTCAAACTGTAGAATATTGAGAAATACTCCCATTTGTGGTAGTTTAACGTCCTGATGTTTAAGGCAGTCCAGTGAGAATCCTGAATTCTACAAACCAGTTAGTAGAATTCTCCCCTCTGAACCTGAAACTCTGACCCAATCTCCCCAGCTCCCTCCTGAGTGGATTTCACGTTCACATGCTCCCGTGCTGTAGCCTCCTGAAGGCATTGACACTGTCAGGTGCTTTGGTTTGTACCTAACTAAACAGAAGATTGCCCAGACACCAGCTCAGGGACAACTTATTCACTAGAACAGGCACACCTGGATATTTCAGAAGCCCTTGATATCACTGAATACATGGTGTCTTCCAAAAACACAGGGAGTAAAAGCAGAATATGCCCACACATTTGGACTTCACCCTCCTCCCAACTTCTTGTATGTGCAAAACTCTAAATGAATTCTCCTTCTCTAGAATTCCTAGCCAGCTCTTGAAAATTGAAATGTTTTTGTTCCAGGGCTGTGGGTGCCAGAGTCTGAAATGCCGAAAAGGAGTTCTGCCAAAAAGGTTGTGTGAACCTTGAGATTGGCCTTTCTGCTGAGTACCTGAAGGCCGACCTTGGCCAACTTTGGCTGGTTGGTTTTAGGTTTACTGGAGACTTTTTAGAAAAGAGGCTCCAGGAACATTCATTCCTATGATTCAGTCATTCTCGGTTACTCTTCATAGGTTTCTACCCCTTGGTCTCTATAGTTTTGTCTTATGGGGAGTTTTGGGGGTGCAGGATATCTGGGTACACCAGGGGTTTTCTGCAGCTAGCTGCCCCAGCCTGGTCATGCCTCAGAAGCAGCCGGATCAGCTATCCCTTCCAACCTAAAGAAGAGCTTTGGTGATGATCAACTGTGTCTCAACATGGTTCTTGTTATTGTTGATGCCGATGCAGCTGTGCCTAGAGTTTGGCCTCCAAACTCCAATTAATGGCAGGAGAAGATGGTGGATGCATACAAGCCAGGTCTGGTCTCATTTCAAAAACATATCAATTGTTGATAAAGAAAAGATTATTGTAGAAAATAGAGGAGAAATAACTAGTCAAGATGGTCTTGGTTGGGTTTCTCGAATGTGTTCTGGTGTCTCTGTGTCTACGTGTGTGGGGGGTGTGTGCCTGTGTGTGTGTCTGTGTGTGGGGGTGTATGTGTGTTTGTGTAGGATAGTGTAAGTAGAGAGGAGAGTGACTGGGGTCTTGGAGGTGGTATCCTGGCACACAGAACCTGGAAAAGGAAGGGCCAAGGAAGAGAAAATTAGTCTCCCAAAATTTATTGTGGACCCCAAACTTGTGATCTTTCAGATCTTAGCTAAGATTTAGAGATTTCAAAGGTCTAATATTTCCTAGCACCAAAAACTTGCTGCTACAAGCATACAACTTGCTATGACCCAGTCCCATTTTTTCCCAGCTCCAGGCTCATCCAGGAACTCAACTGCCATAGTTCCCAGTGTCTTTGCCCTGTTCTGCTCTCCAGTTAGCCCCCAACCCAACAAGGGAAGAAACCAGACAGTGAACTGTGCCTAAATACACCCGATCCAGCTTCATCCTCCTGCCCAGTATGCAAATTCTTCTTGCCGATGGGCAATTTGGCAACCACAAATCATGAGCGTTATTAAATGGGGTGTTGGGAGACATTTGGTGCCAGATTTCTGCATTTCAGAGTTTTACTTTTAAAGAGGACTTACTTTTCTGTTCACATTTTATTTGAATGATTGTGATAGCCAAAACCCAGAGGTAAACATAATCCCTAGCATATAAAACTTAGAATAGGCTTAGACATAAATTCCAGGACATCTAATTCAATGCTTTACTAAATCCATATTTAGGTCATTTGAAATAATGTAGATATGCTTCAAAGGGAGTTTTTGCCCAGTTGAAATAAATTCCTGGTTTTTACCACAAGTCTCTCCACAAATAGTCAAACCATCCTGTAAGGATTAATACTGAGAAAGAGCCGCAAGACCTAGTACCAAAGCAGCATCATTAACCCTATGCAATTCTCTGCAGTTAACTTATACAACAAGTTTTGTTTACACTGTTCATTGCTAAACAGCTACTTTTGTTTAAAGCTAGCACCACGTATCTGTGTGTATTTCGTAATTGAAAGCATTTAGGCTTTACGTAATTACGCCAATGATATTTAGAACCAAGTGAGCTCAGTATATTTAATTCCTGTGGACCATTTAAAAGTAATCATGAGGTCAAATATGATTTTTGGATTGCAGAGCATTTCAAAAACAATGCTATAAAGAGAGTTGCTTGAGGCATATAAACAATCCTGGCTTTATAAACTCCACAGTCTACACACCCCAAGAGTTACTTATTTGGGGGGAGAATATCCATATTTGTGTGAGATTCTGTTTTAGAATCAGTTTGCAAAGATTGTCTGATTGATTGTATATTTTCATTTGTATTTGAATCATTATTATTATAGTAACAAAAAATTAGAAATTAGTTTTGATCAACCCTCTTTAATGAAAAATATATTGTGCTTTCCTGTTTAAGATTACAAAGCCACTTTACAATGTGATTTTCCGCCAAATGTTTTGGTGATTGTTTCTACCAACTTTCTAAATCAGTTTTATTATGAAAGCTGTTACATCTGTAGCTATTGTTCATTTTGGAAGGTGTCGATTCTGATTCATATATACCATATTCTTCAAAATGTTATGTGGCAACAGATTTTTAGCATATTTTTGAAATTTTCTCATTAGAAAAAGAATGATCTCTTGCCACCCCTCACAGCTCTTTTTCCTGTGTGCCACAGGGCGACTACTTTCCTATTGGCTTTCCCTAATAAATTATTTGCTAGTCAAATTCCAACTGAGCCCAAATAAAGTGTCTTACTTTGAATTTTTCCATTGCTCAGCCAGTATCGTGTCTATCACAAAATAAAGGCAGAGTAGGGAGGAATTGAGGAGCAGGGGAATGTTTCAATCTAAGCTTTTCATTCAGTATTATAATTATCCTTTTACATGTATCCCCCCACCAGAAGGAGACTCTTGCAAGTTGGGGTCATATCTCATTCATCTTTTTATTCCCACCTACAAGTACAGAGCTTGATTCAATTCATAACTCAAACTTTCATCAGGGTAATGTTTTTGAAAAAAAAATTATTTTCCCTTTTGCATGTCTAAGACTTTCTCTGAAGTCAGCCCAAGATACTATCTGTAGGGCAATTGAGATGGGAATGCAAAGAAACAGTCAATATTCATTTTTTATTTTCAATTACCAAAGTAAGATTTTTGCATTAAATCTTGGAAGCTAGGCTTTGTCAAGAGTGAAAGGATTTTCTAGGAAGTTTCCCTGTTCCTTGGAAGGGATCCTGATGTTAGCTAATGGTTGCCAGCCTACATAACCACCATTGGGTTCTCTATCGTGGCCTCAGAGGGTTCTGATATGATTTGGATCTGTGTCTCCACCCAAATCTTGTCGAATTGTAATCCCCACTGTTGGAAGTGGGGCCTGGTGAGAGGTGATTGGATCATAGGGGTGATTTCGCATGAATGGTTTAGCACCATCCTCTTGATGTTGTCCTCCCAATAGTGAGTGGGTTCTAAGGAGATCTGGTCATTTAAAAGTGTGTAGCACCTCCCCTCTCTCTCACTCTTGCTTCTCCTCTGGCGATGTGACATGTCTGCTCCCCCTTTACCTTCTGCCATGATTGTAAGTTTCCTGAGGCCTCCCCAGAAGCCAAGGAGATGTCAGCATCATGCTTCCTCCACAGCCTATAAAACGGTCAGCCAATTAAAGTTCTTTTCTTTATAAATTATCCAGTCTCAGGTATTTCTTTATAGCAATGTAAGAATGGCCTAATACATTAGCCCTCCAGCTGCAGGGAAGACCCCTTGAACCAGGGCTCAGTTGCAACCACATCTCACGGGAATAGTCAGCAGCCATGTCAAAGCTGACATGGGCTGAGACAAAGGGAGAGTCATGTTAGAGGTGTCATGTATGAAAAGAAATATCTATATCCATGAATCTTCACAGGTATTAATAACTGTATAAATTTGGATATCTAAAAAAATATATTTCATTCCCTTACCTTTGTTGGTTACTGATTTGAATATGAATATGGTTACTGTGAGCATTCAAAGTAAAGAAAGCTATGAATGAAGAACATCAGTCCTCATCTTTTCACTGATGACATAAGATACAATATGGATAAGGAAATGAACATAGCTATAGCTAGAGATGCAGGTATAGATCAGACAAAATATTGGGGTCTGCTGGATGGAACCAGGAAGAACAAGAGATGGTCAATTCATAGCCTCCTTAACATTCTCAAAATGTGTTTCATGACAATGGCAAAATACCTGCCATGATGGTTCATTTTATGCATCAACTTAATGGAATTAAAGAATACCCAGATAGCTGGTAAAACATTATTTCTGGGTGTTTCTTTGAGGGTATTTCCAGAAGAGATTAGCATTTGAATCCATAGACTGAGTAAAGAAGATCTGCCTTCACTGACGGACATGAGCAGGCCTTATTGCTCTCCCTTCTTCAGTTGAGATGTCCATCTTCTCCTGCCCTCAGACATCACAGCTCCTGTTCTCCAGTCTTCACACTCCAGGACTTAACACCAGCACCTCCCAAACCCCACCCCTCCAGCAAGACTCCCCTGGTTTTCAGGCCTTCCAACTCAGACTGGATTATACCACCTCCAGCTTCCCTGATTCTTCAGTTTACAGATGGCACGTTGTGGGACTTTCCGGCTTCTATTATCATGTGAGTCAATTTTCATAGTATATCGTCTCTAACACGTCTAATCTCTCTCTCTCTCTCTCTCTCTCTCTCTCTCTCTCTCTCTCTCTCTCATTGGTTCTGTTTCTCTGGAGAATCCTGACTAATATACCTGCCTTTCAATGGCTTGATTGTTTTGTAGGTCAGAAATATGTGAGCAGGAGAGGGCTTGTTAGGTTTGGAACTTGGAAATGTAGCTTCCAGAGGACCAGATTACCAACTGCCAGAAAACGGAAAATAGATAAGTGCTCATGTTTTAAAAAGTCACTTCATATGATATTTTTCTTACATTGGAACATTGGCATATCAATAACCTATATTACTTCAAAATGCCTCACCCTGTTCTATCACCTTAAAAGTTGGCAGTTAGTGTTTCATTTTGATCAATAAGCATTATCTTTAGAAGGTAAATTAGTTAAATCTTAAAGTAGATAAACTTAAAAGGTATACTCATCTTATTGAATTTTAATTGTTTTACAACCCAGCAGTGATTTGGCCTTAGGGAGGGTTCCTCTGAGGTAGACCTTGGTTCCTCTGAGGTAGACATTTGAAAACACCTCTAGAAGATTCTGTAGGTTTTCAGGCACATTTAACTCAGTCTTATTTTGATAATTAATTCACTTACAGACATTAACAAGTTCGGTGGCATCTAAATCAAAACACCACTCTCACGTGAGTAAACGGGCAAGAGGGGTGAGGGGATTGGATAGTCATCTGAAGGCAGGAGAGGATCCTAGAGATCTGGGGGAACAGGCAGAACAACTGGGAGAGGGGTACAGAAAGGAGAAAGGGAAAGACCCTAAGGTGAACCTTCCTTTTCTGGATGCTTATGATTTCAGCCAGGTGCGGTGGTGCACACCTGCAATCCCAGCAACATGGGAGGCTAAGGTGAGAGGATCACGAGTTTGAGTTCCGTCTGGGCAAAACAGAGTGAGACCTCATCTCAGAAAGAAAAAAAAAAAAAACTAGCTTACAATTTTGTTGTCGTTGTTGCTTATAAAATAACAACTAAAATCAAGTAAGCATACTTACCTAAAATACCAAGGCCCACCGCGAACTGACCCCATTTGACCAGATTATAAGCTCTGTTCCCTGGCTCATGGTGTCCACATTCTTCTTTCTTTCTTCACGCACCCCAAGCCTAGATCAACCGAAAGCCTTTGTTCTTTCTATAGTCTTTGCTTGTAAGTCTCTGCAAGACTCTGGTTTTTCCTTCCTGTGGTTAAAATGTCAGTGCAAGTGTCTCATCCTCAAAGAGGCCCTCCCAGGCCACTCAATCTAGCTCCTTTCAATTAAAGGAGGCTTATTTTTATCCAGATCGCTCTTACTCTCTTGATTTTATTTTCTTCATGGCACTTAGGGCTTTCTGACGTGATCTTTTTTTCTTTTGTCTGTCTCCCCCAACTAGAGAGCATCGTTTTTGTCCATCTCATTCACCACTCGTTCTCCAGCACCAAGGGCATCTTCACTGAATGAGGGAATTCATGAATGAATATTTGGATAGTGCTTTATATTTTGCGAAGTGATTGACAGAATACTACTTACATTCATGTTACTATTTAATCCTGCAACAAAGCTGTGAGGTAACATTGCTGTTTTCTTCATTTATACAGGAGAAAGCTGAGGTTCACAAAAGTAGATTTCTTCTCCGACATCCTGAATAATAAACAGAAAATTAGGACTTGGACTCAGATTTTTTGTGTCTGATGTAGATGTGCTCAATTGTTTTTTTTTCTTAAAAATAGCATTTATTATGTGTATTATATGCCAAGAATTATGTCTGGAAGCCACTGAGAAGATTTCAAGCGGAAGAGTGACATGATAATTTTGACTTTGGAGTATGAGGTGTGAGTTTGTTTTTATCCCAACACTGCTTTTAAATGTGTCATACCAGGTCTTTCTTCCTCAACATTTGAAAACATCTGTAGAAGATTCTGTAGGTTTCCAGGCACATTTGACTCTAAGACCAGTCTTATTTTGACAATTGACTCATTTACAGATATTAACAAATCAAGTAGTATCTAAATCACAACACCACTCACATTTAACCGGCACCTTCTGCCCCTCATCTCCATCCTGACCTGGGGGCTGGAGCCTGCAGTTTGAATCTACTCTATCATCTCTGTTTCTTGCTGTAAGATTTGAAAGAGGTAAAAGCTGAAGGAAAAGGCGGAAATATTCTTGTGTGTGTTTATTTTCAGATATTTTTTGGAAGGTTCTGCAAGACCTTGATACTGTGCACTTCTTTGACATAGGTGATGTATTCTAGAGATTGTTTCTTGTGACAGCTTCCTAGCTCTTGCCTCCGAAAATAGACCCCTGAGTCCCTTGGATGGCAGGAGTCCCACTTCCTTCTGTGGCATGTATTTTCCCATGGAAATGTGTGTATCCTTGCTGGGAACTCAGGTGGGTCCACTGTTTCTTCTCTTCCCCTATCTGAGCAGTGTTCAGACTATGGCAGGTGAGAAGCAGTCTCCTATCTGCCTCTGTCTTCACATATGTTGACAAACTCCAGAAGATAGAAGTCAAATTCTCCCAGGGGCTGTCTGTCATGCTTTGTTTTGGGTGACTGGGATGGGCCTCCTAGTTACTGTCATTCAGTAAACATCAAGCTGGGAGTGAAGGCTCAGGGTCCTTCTGTGCTGGCAACTCCACTCTTCTGGAAGAATTCTCTTATATCGCACCTCCCTGGGGTACATGGAGGGGTAAAGCCACAGCACTCCTCCCCTCCACTGAAGGGCTCAATGCCTCCTCTTCCTTACTGCTCAGACCTAATGAGCTCCAGGCTTCTGTATGTACTTGCTGGATGCAGTGGTGGGAATGAGAGATGAAGCACCCATTCGGCCTCTTCTCAGCCAGCCCTGGAAGGAGGTGACTGGTAGCTCTCTCTATGGCTCTTCAGAGTGCCTTATGGTTCTCAGCAATGGGACTCTGGGCAAAGGTGTAAGACAAGTACAAACTTCCCATGACAGAGAATGTTCCATCTTGTGGAAACACTAACATGATAACACTGTGAGGAGCTGACTGGAAGATGAGACTGGAGAGAGGGATTCCAGATAGCAGCCAGGTGAGGAAGACAGGGCATCTGAGCTGAGGTCTTGGTGATGGGAATGGAGAGCAAGAGACAGATTTGGAAGATGTATTCAGGTTTCTGGCCTGGGTGAGTGATAGTGCTGTTCACAAAGACATGAATCAGAAACAGGGCAGGCTTTGAGGAACACGGGTGAGTTGTCCTGCCCCCATGGAGTCCGATGCTTCTGGAGGAAGAGGGAGTAGAAGCACAATAGTTAAAAGGGTAGGCTGAGGCTCAAGAGTGGGGCTGACTTGGAACTCTCGATGGGAGAGTCCTTGGAATTCGGGTAGCTACTGATGCCACAGGAGTATCTGGCGATTCCTGGGGACTGTGTATAACAGGAGAAGGCAAAGGGCTCCACTGGTGCCCCCTAGAAGCCCCAGCATTTAAAGTTGGGTTGGTTTGTATGGGAGACTGAGACAGGGCCAGGAAGGTGAGAAGGAAAATTCCCTGAAGGATACTGAAAAGAGAATTCCCCTCCCTGAGGCCTTTTACTATAGAGGTCACCAGTCGGCCTAAATTATGCCACTTCTATGTCTTTCCCTTGTCCTGCAGGTTCTTGTCTTCATCTTTCCTCTTCCTTGATGAGCTATTTCATAGGCCCTCAAAAGGAAGGGGTTAATCTGTTTGTTCTTGGGCTTCGACAGCTTCCCCAAGCCACAGGCTCCTTAACAAAGACTCCTGGGATGAAAGCTAACTAATTGGAGGAATGTTCTTTCCATTTCTCAGGTGTGCCGGCTTCCCCTGCAGATGGGCAGGGAGCCACGATCCTGCTATTGGCCTCTGCCCCTTCTGCACTCACAGTCTGCAGCTGTCACTTTATAGCGGGGGCTTCTGCATTCTCTTCCTCAGCATCCTCAACCCTCAGAGGTCCCAAAAGGCTATGCCTCTGGTACCCCTCACACTTGACAAGCAAGTGGAATTTGGTGGGCCTGGCCAATTCTTCCCATTGCTGGGAAACAGCTCTGTGTTCCTGGCATCAGAGGAAGACAGTCACCCAATGCCACAGGTGGTACTTTGTTGTGGGATTCCCAATTCTCCTCTTCAGAAGTGATTATTACAAGGGCCCTCGTAAATTCTCTAAGAGAAAGAGAATTTTATTCTCACCAATGGATTTTTATTTGGTGGGATGGAGAAATGGAGAGAAGAATCATAAGAATGGCAAAGAGAAAAACTTAAGTTTCTCAAGACAACCCCATATCAAATCAAACCATTTGAGGGGTATCAGATAGGTAAAATCTGGTTTGCTTACAAAGTCATTGGGGGAGTAAATGGCCATGTTCAGCAGTTGTATACTTTGCTTGCTTAAAACAATGCTCATTAGCATTCCCGCTTTTCCTGTGCGCTCACCATTCTCAGCTCCCAGAGTGTATGTCAAAACTCACGTCTGCTTTTGTTTCCCAGTTCTTTGAACTAGCACGCCAATTTGCAACTATTGCTTTCATGCCAAGATAACCATGCCATTGTGTGGGCCAGCTTTGGGTTCTATGCCCTGGAGAGCTTTGCCAAAGTCACGGAGGAAGCTGGTGGGGAAGCCCGGAGCAGAGCACACAGCTTCAGCCTCTCAGGCCCTCAGCAAGCTGCAGGCTTGGGACTCTCGTCTATCTCTGCAAGTGCTCCTGGCTCTGATGGAAAGTAATTTTCCCCATTCAAATGAGAGACATAGGTGGTCCCTTAAAAATCTCTTGCAAATATGAGTCTATGTCAGCATGTACATTGATGTAGGGGCATTGTGTGCAAATTCCTAGTAGCTTCCTTAAGACAGGAGTCTGTGCTACTATCAGAAATATCTGTATCATTTAGGTTTGGAAGAAAATAATAATTTATGATGATAAAGATGATTATCTCTGTGGACCGATTAGAATTTTTTAGGGCAGGAAAGTATTTTCCATATGTACATTGAGGGCACTGAAAATGTCAGTTTGCAGCACAGGCAATATGATCACAACCACAGAGTAGGTGAGAGGAGAAACATGTCAACGGTGGTATGGCGCTTGTGAACTTGCCTTAGACTGGACAGTCGTATTGGATCAATAGTAAATACTTACCGAGCACTTCTTTTGTGTTGCTCACTCTGATTCTCATTTAATTCTTTTTTTTTTTTTTTTTTTTTTTTTTTTTTTTGAGATGGAGTCTCACTCTGTCACCCAGGCTGGAGTGCAGTGGCGTGATCTCGGCTCACTGCAACCTCCACCTCCCTGGTTCAAGCGATTCTTCTGTCTCAGTCTCTCAAGTAGCTGGGACTACAGGCATGTGCCACTATGCTTGGCTAATTTTTGTATTTTTAGTAGAGACGGAGTTTCACTATATTGGCCAGCATGGTCTCGAACTCCTGACTTTGTGATCTGCCCACCTCAGCCTCCCAAAGTGCTGGGATTACAGGTGTGGGCCACCGCGCCCGGCTCTCATTTAATTCTTACAACAATTGTGAGGTAGAACTATTATTTACCACATTTTAAAGATGATGAAACTGAGGTGGAGGTAGGTTTAATAACTTGTAGGGAGTCACCCAACTCGTAAGAGAGTAGTGGGAATAGAAGAAGATGCTATTAACTAAACTGACTGTATTTGCTTTTTAGAGATTTTTTCCTCCTACTGGGAGTGATAGAGGAAGATGTGCAATACAAATTTTCTTACTTGACCTCTTTTACTTGGAAGCCTGCCAGAGATAAAACACAATTTGTAGTCATAGAAATGAGCTGCTGCTGCTTCTTTCTTTTTTTTCTTTCTTTTTTTCTTTTTTTTTTCTTTTTTTTTTTTTTCTGAGGCAGGGTCTCGCTTTGTTGCCCAGGCTGGAGTGCAGTGGCACGATCTTGGCTCACTGCAACCTCTGCCTCCCGGGTTCAAGCGATTCTCATGCCTCAGCCGCCTGAGTATCTGGGATTACAGTCACATGCCACCATGTTCAGCTAATTTTTTGTAAAGGCAAGGTTTTGCCATGTTGGTCAGGGTGGGTCTCAAACTCCTGGACTCAAGTGATCTGCCGGCCTTGGCCTCACAAAGTGCTGGAATTACAGGCATGAGCCACCATGCCTGGCCAAGAGCGTCTTCTTGAAGCTTGAAAGCACTTAGTCCTCAACCTAGAAAAGTTCTAATAATTATTGCATATTTTAGAACAAATATTACATATTTATGACATTACCACAACATTTCAGTATTTATCATGAAAAAATGTTTCTCTAATGTTTACTTTTTAATTTTAATAAGTATGATAGAATAAAAATATCTAAGATGATGTAAGATAGTCTAGTGTCTCAGGTAATTTTTCTGAACACAGAATTGCTAGGGCACACACTAGAAAATGTTAAGCTCTGATTGCTTTCTTGCAACTTACCTCCTTCTCCTCTAAGTGTAGCTAAAAGCAAAATAAAACAAAAGGAGTTTGTTATGATTTTACCAGCAGAACAATAACATCTATCAACCTCTGGGCTAATTTTCTTTTCTACACATTCTTCTTGACGGAACTTGTTTCTATCTGTCCCATCTGTAGGTATAGCCCAGTTGAGTGGTCTGAGGCCTTATCGCTGTATTGGCAGAACTTCATCTGTCCAAGGATTTTGGAAAGTCCTTGGGGTGCAGACTTCAGGACCTTGGTTTCTCCACCTTATTCCTGGGCTGCCAGGCTGCTGTCGCTGTGGTTGATAGTTGTCTTGAGGTCACAAATCCACTGGGCACAGTGGTCAGGAACGACACAGTCCCTATCCCTCCCCTCTTCCCTTTCGATGCTCAATGTCAAGCTGTGGACAGCCCATTTCTCGGAATTCCTTATTCACAAAGGAGGTTAGACTGTAACTGTTAACAAGATTAAACTTAAGATATAGCTATAATGGAAGTGTCATGTAAATAATATTTTCAATGTAAATAGCAATATGAAGACTACATATTTCCCGCATGAGAATCCATAGTTTCCTCTACAAGAAGTGTTATATACCAGAGTCATAGCTGAAATTAGCAGAGAGAGGAGAACGCCATGTTCCTTGGTACATTCTCTTTCTTTTGTTGTTTTTGTTGTTTTGAGATGGAGTTTCGCTCTTGTTGCCCAGGCTGGAGTGTAATGGCGTGATCTTGGCTCACTGCAACCTCTGCCTCCCTGGTTCAAGCAATTCTCCTGCCTCAGCCTCCCAAGTAGCTGAGATTACAGGCGCCTGCCACTATGTCCAGCTAATTTTTTGTATTTTTAGTAGACATTGGGTTTCACTATGTTGGCCAGGCTAGTCTCGAATTCCTGACCTAAGGCGATCACCCACCTCGGCCTCCCAAAGTGCTGGGATTACAGGCGTGAGCCACCGCTCCTGGCCCTCATTGATGCATTCTAAGGCCAACTTCCTCATTTGCCTAGGATATCTTCTCCAGGATGATTGACTCTGTAAATATTCATTCCTTCAGGAAACATCCCACCCTTTCCACAGGTGTGACCCAAATGTAAGTCTCCAAGGAAATTCCACAATAGCTCCATTTCATTAGATTTATCAAAGCCTAGATTCAATTTTAAGCAACACTCTATGTGAGAGAGCAACAATCCAATCCACGATGAACCACACAGAACTCTGACTGACTCCTCTCCAACCTCTCTGTTATCATGGCCTGAATGCTTGGCTCATGTCTTCATCATAGTTCTGCTTTTCCTGCAAACAAGTGCTCAAGAAAGAAGCCGCAAAACTAGGAACACCAGCAATAGAACAGTGCATGGTTACTACAATAAACTAATTAGTTTGTACAATTTAGTTCAAACTTCGAAAATTTCTGTTGTTGCAAGAGACATAAGATGCAACACACATCTGCTGACTTTTTTTTTTTTATACTTTAAGTTCTAGGGTACATGTGCGCAACATGCAGGTTTGTTACATATGTATACATGTGACATGTTGGTGCGCCGCACCTATTAACTCATCATTTAACATTAGATATATCTCCTAATGCTATCCCTCCCCCCTCCCCTCAACAGGCCCCGGTGTGTTATATTCCCCTTCCTGCATCCAAGTGTTCTCATTGTTCAATTCCCACCTATGAGTGAGAACATGTGGTGCTTGGTTTTTTGTCCCTGTGATAGTTTGCTGAGAATGATGGCTTCCAGCTTCATCCATGTCCCTACAAAGGAGATGAACTCATCCTTTTGTTATGGCTGCATAGTATTCCATGGTGTATATGTGCCACATTTTCTTAATCCAGTCTATCATTGATGGACATTTGGGTTGGTTCCAAGTCTTTGCTATTGTGAATAGTGCTGCAATAAACATATGTGTACATGTGTCTTTATAGCAGCATGATTTATAATCCTTTGGGTATATACCCAGTAATGGGATGGCTGGGTCAAATGGTATTTCTAGTTCTAGATCCTTGAGGAATCGCCACACTGTCTTCCACAATGGTTGAACCAGTTTAAAGTCCCACCAACAGTGTAAAAGTGTTCCTATTTCTCCACATCCTCTCCAGCACCTGTTGTTTCCTGACTTTTTAATGATTGCCATTCTAACTGGTGTGAGATGGTATCTCACTGTGGTTTTGATGTGCATTTCTCTGATGGCCAGGGATGATGAGTATTTTTTCATGTGTCTGTTGCCTGCATAAATATCTTCTTTTGAGAAGTGTCTGTTCATATCCTTTGCCCACTTTTTGATGGGGTTGTTTGTTTTTTTCTTGTAAATTTGTTTAAGTTCTTTGTAGATTCTGGATATTAGTCCTTTGTCAGATGAGTAGATTGCAAAAATTTTTTCCCATTCTGTAGGTTGCCTGTTTACCCTGATGGTAGTTTCTTTTGCTGTGCAGAAGCTCTTTAGTTAATTAGGTAGATAAAACCACAAAGATGGGAAAAAAACAGAGCAGAAAAGCTGAAAATTCTAAAAATCAGAGCGCCTCTCCCCCTCCAAAGGAACACAGCTCCTCGCCAGCAAAGGAACAAAGCTGGACGTAGAATGACTTTGATGAGTTGAGAGAAGAAGGCTTCAGACGATCAAACTTCTCTGAGCTAAAGGAGGAAGCTCAAACCCATTGCAAAAAGGCTAAAACCTTGAAAAAAGATTAGACGAATGGCTAACTAGAATAACCAGTGTAGAGAAGTCCTTAAATGACCTGATGGAGCTGAAAACCATGGCACGAGTACTACGTGATTGAATGCACAAGCTTCAGTAGCCGATTCGATCAACTGGAAGAAAGGGTATCAGAATTTCATATCCAGCCAAACTAAGCTTCATAAGTGAAGGAGACATAAAATCCTTTACAGACAAGCAAATGCTGAGAGATTTTGTCTCCACCAGGCCTGCCCTACAAGAGATCCTGAAGGAAGCACTAAACATGGAAAGGAGCAACCGGTACCAGCCACTGCAAAAAAATGCCAAATTGTAAAGACCATTGATGCTAGGAAGAAACTGCATCAACTAATGAGCAAAATAACCAGCTAACATCATAATGACAGGATCAAATCACACATAACAATATTAACCTTAAATGTAAATGGGCTAATTGCTCCAATTAAAAGACACAGACTGGCAAATTGAATAGAGTCAAGACCCATCAGTGTGCTGTGTTCAGGAGACCCATCTCACATGCAGAGACACACATAGGCTCAAAATAAAGGGATGGAGGAAGATCTACCAAGCAAATGGAAAACAAAAAAAGGCAGGGGTGGCTGACTTCTAATTCATCACATCCAGACCTTCCCCTGAGAGTTCCATTTGCTTCGCTAAGGAGCCTACTCAAGAGTCTTTTTTTTTAGAACAAAAAGACAATGGGCATCAAAGGTAGTTTTAAGGTGCCACCTCCTAGAAAGCATAAAACTGCTTAAAACTTCTATAATGAGTTCAAAGGCACTTAGAGTTTCTACTCCGTTGAGTCAAGCCTGCGCCATGAGCAAATATCTCCTTGTTTGTTCAGAACTTCACTTGAAAAACAGAAGCAATGCCAGATGCATTTAGGAAGCAGTGTGTCTATCATCCATGGGAGGGCAGGAGGTGTCACCTGTTATCCTGGCCATGGGCAAGTGTGCTGCATGGATCACACCCAATAGACTGGACAGGCAGACAGCCTACTGAGGAGAGATGGCAAGAGGGTTCCCTCTAGTCCAACTGAGCATTCTATAGTTAGAGTTATACCCAGCTCCGACATAAGCAACCAAAGGGGCTCAGTGAAGCACCCACATTTAGGCTTAATTTCTTCCAATGTTCCCATAATTGAAAGTGAACAGTGTCTGTGGCCTTTTGTTTGTTTTACTGAAAATAGAACTAATAATATTACTGACTCTAGACATTTGTTGTAAGAAATAAAAGGCATGATATACAGGAAAATACTTTTCATTACAAAATACTATTATAGATGTTAATTATAATTATTATCTTCCATAAGAAATTATGGGTTTATTCTAGTTCACTCTTTTAAGTACTAAACTGCTGAGTCTATGAAAGCATTATGAAATTCTATTCTCTATCATGATTTCTTACAGTTACTTATATTTCCTCTGTGTTCTTTCCGCAGAGTTTTGTAGGCACTTCAGATGGGAACCTGCTGACCTAACATTACTGCTGTTGGCAGGGATTGCCTTATTTTTCTAAGAACAAAAGTTTATGATACCTTAAGATCATCTCTAAAACGTCTTGATTCTATAATGATTGTGTTATTTTTGAAACATTCCCTGAGACTGTACTATATCCAGGACTCACATCTACAGTTGTTTTGAAATTGTATAGTTGATCAAAAATATTTTGGGGAACAATCGAGCAGTAAGTATAATTTTTAAATCGGCATGGTGTCTGAGTTGGTGCCCTGGCCCCAGATCTGATACTTAAACCAAAGCCTTGCCTGTGGGAACTTATTCTGCTCAATCGTTTCATTGTTATTGAACACAATGAACATCATGACCCTGAAAATTCAAACACTCTTCCCAGAGCTATCTCTTTAGACCACCGCCTTATTTTTCTAACTGAAGCGTCTAAGATTTCTTTTCTGCTCGTTATGAAGCATGAGAATTCCAAACGGTCAACCACGGAGGCTTTCTTCAAACCTATTTCACATTGAATGAATCTTTGTTCAACACTATGTTAGGTCCTATGAGGGGGGTGTGAGACATGGTTGCTGTTCTTAGAGTTTTATCTAATTGCTGAGATCCAGCAGACATACTAGAGGGAAACACAGGTGCTTGCTAGGTCTGGTTAGCTACAAATTTAAGCTGTCTACCTTCAGCTGGACACAGAGTATGGCTCCAGGAAGGATAACCTATGTTTTGCTGCACTAGCAGATAGATCACAAAATGTCAGTGGGTTAGAAGAAAAGTCCATATCTCCAGGGTTGCTGTTTCAGGAAGAGAGAGAGGAAGATGACCCCGCAGCTCTCAATGATGTGTTACCCCTCATCAGGGAGGAAACACAAGGCATTTATACGCACATTTCACTGGTCAGAATTCTCCATGTGGTCTCACCTCACTGCTCATTGGCTGGAAACTGTAGGGAAGAACCTGGAGTGTGAAGTCATCATAGCTTGTGGATTCCTTCACTTCCAATTAAATCCCATTCCCAATGCTTGACATGTTATCTTGCTTCCACTTCACTGAGAAAAATCAAGCTACTATAATAAGCATTTCCTCCTTTCTTATCCCTAGGTTTTCTTTATAGCTCAGCATAGATGTCCTGAAGAAGTGGCTCTCCTCATTTCTAAGGTTTATTCTGACACTATACACTTCATTTTGGCATTTTGCTACCTCCAAGGCAAAACTTAATTCTATAATTATCTATTCTCTCCCCAATATCTTCAAATACTCACAGTGAATATCTCAAACTCAGGGGTGCAAGAACTATAATTACCTTTATTTTTTTAAAACATCATCATTTAGGTGCTGGGAAAACTGGCTAGCCATATGTAGAAAGCTGAAACTGGATCCCTTCCTTGCACCTTATACAAAAATCAATTCAAGATGGATTAAAGATTTAAACGTTAGACCTAAAACCATAAAAACCCTAGAAGAAAACCTAGGCAATACCATTCAGGACATAGGCGTGGGCAAGGACTTCATGTCCAAAACACCAAAAGCAATGGCAACAAAAGACAAAATTGACAAATGGGATCTAATTAAACTCAAGAGCTTCTTCACAGCAAAAGAAACTACCATCAGAGTGAACAGACAACCTACAACATGGGAGAAAATTTTCGCAACCTACTCATCTGACAAAGGGCTAATATCCAGAATCTACAATGAACTCAAACAAATTTACAAGAAAAAAACAAACAACCCCATCAAAAAGTGGGCGAAGGACATGAACAGACACTTCTCAAAAGAAGACATTTATGCAGCCAAAAAACACATGAAGAAATGCTCATCATCACTGGCCATCAGAGAAATGCAAATCAAAACCACTATGAGATATCATCTCACACCAGTTAGAATGACAATCATTAAAAAGTCAGGAAACAACAGGTGCTGGAGAGGATGTGGAGAAATAGGAACACTTTTACACTGTTGGTGGGACTGTAAACTAGTTCAACCATTGTGGAAGTCAGTGTGGCGATTCCTCAGGGATCTAGAACTAGAAATACCATTTGACCCAGCCATCCCATTACTGGGTATATACCCAAAGGACTATAAATCATGCTGCTATAAAGACACATGCACACGTATGTTTATTGCGGCACTATTCACAATAGCAAAGACTTGGAACCAACCCAAATGTCCAACAATGATAGACTGGATTAAGAAAATGTGGCACATATACACCATGGAATACTATGCAGCCATAAAAAATGATGAGTTCATGTCCTTTGTAGGGACATGGATGAAATTGGAAACCATCATTCTCAGTAAACTATCGCAAGAACAAAAAACCAAACACTGCATATTCTCACTCATAGGTGGGAATTGAACAATGAGATCACATGGACACAGGAAGGGGAATATCACACTCTGGGGACTGTGGTGGGGTCGGGGGAGGGGGGAGGGATAGCATTGGGAGATATACCTAATGCTAGATGACACGTTAGTGGGTGCAGCGCACCAGCATGGCACATGTATACATATGTAACTAACCTGCACAATGTGCACATGTACCCTAAAACTTAGAGTATAATAAAAAAAATAAAAATAAAAATAAAAAAATCATCATTTAATTTCTGAGTCCCCTTTCTGTTAAGGTCATAGAAAACTTCACCTTCTTTGCTTTCTTTCTCACCAAATAAGGCTGAAGTTGCCTCTGATATTTGGCCCATGATGGTGAATTCGTTTTTTGAAGAAATAGCTTTCTTCTGCAATGCCCTGTGCCCATGTGTATGTCTGAAGTAAGAGGGTTGGACACAGGCAAGGGGACGTGGCCAGCTCTTCCCCTCTGGTCATCATTTATAGTCTGAGTCAGATGCCACCTCCATCACAAAATTTTCTCTTGGATGTCCTAGCTGAAATTCTCCACCCATACTCTGATTTCCAATAGCATTTTATTTGTGTCTCTACCACAGTATTTATGACTTTGTGTTCTGAACTGGGGTGATCATGTTTACATTTAAGTTTTTCCTTTACAGCAGCAACTACATCTGACTCTGTATGCTCACTTCCTAAAAGAGTGTGTTGCAAGTAGGTGCTCCATAAATATTTACAGCAACAATGCATAAGCTGTTTCTGATATCCGGGAGTTGCTTTACAATATTCTAGGGGAAAAAGTGAGTGGGTGGAGGGAACATTTGAAACAAGCTTTGTGAGCCTTGATGACCAATGACACTGGGTGATGAGCACATAAGGGCTTATTATACTGTTCTCTCCACTTTTGTGTGTGAAGTTTGAAATTTTGCATAAAAATGACTGAAAAAAGCGAATAATTGAATGTCTTATTTTTTAAAAAATCATGACTCATGCCTGTAATCCCAGCACTTTGGGAGGCCTAAGTGGGTGGATCACCTGAGTTCAGGAGTTTGAATCCAGCCTGGCCAACATGGTGAAACCTTATCTCTACTAAAAATACAAAAAATTAGCCGGGTGTGGTGCCATGTGCCTGTAGTCCCAGCAACTCAAGAGGCTGAGGCACGAGAATCACTTGAACCCCAGAAGAAGAGGTTGCAGTGAGCGGAGACTGCACCACTGCACTCCAACCTGGGAAACAGAGTGAGACTCCGTCTCAAAAAAAAAAAAAAATTAATAAAATGGTTGCTTTTAGAGATAGACTTCCCATTTCAAACAGCTGAGTAGAATAGTTCATTCCATTAAGTTAATGTTAAGATACTGAAAGAAGAGAATCCAAGAATATTTTTTGGCTCCCAGCCTAGCTCTTTAAAAACTGTGAGTTATATACATTTTCTTTCACTGAAAGCTTCTCACGGCTATTCTTAAGTGAGCGAGGACTTGTTGGTGCTGCTGGGCTCTATGACATTGCTCTCCCCAGTTGCAATGCTCCATTTCCACTGTGCTACTTCTAGATAAAGATGATTTCCTGACACACTCTGTAAATCTGTGTGCAATATTACTATTTCTATTTGGTTTTATAATAGTCATAAGCATAACCTTTTATTGTCCCACCTCCCTTTGCTTTTCAACACCTTCTTTGCATGTGAAATCACTTTTTAAAATAAATGTTTTATTTTAGAATAGTTTCAGATTTACAGAAAAGCTGTGAAGATAATTCTCATATATCCACACCCAGTTTCCCCTATTATTAACATCTTACATTGCTATGGTACATTTGTCATCACTAATGAACCAAAATTGATACCCTATTAAGTCTATACATTTTATTTTATTTTATTTTATTTTATTTTATTTTATTTTATTTTATTTTAGAGATAGAGTCTCCCTCTGTCACCCAGGCTGGAGTGCAGTGGTACGATCTCGGCTCACTGCAACCTCCGCCTCTCAGGTTCAAACGATCCTCTTGCCTCAGCCTCCCAAGTAGCTGGGATTACAGCACATGTCACCACACCTGGCTAATTTTTTTGTATTTTTAGTAGAGACAGGATTTTTCCATGTTGGCCAGGCTGGTCTTGAACTCCTGACCTCAAGTGATTCACGTGCCTTGACCTCCCAAAGTGCTGAGATTATAGGCATGAGCCACCATGCCTAGCCTCAAATCTATACTTTATTCCTATTTTCTCAGTTTTTACCTAATGTCCTTTTGCTGTTCCAGGATACTATCCAGCATCCCACATTTAGTCTTGCTGTATGAAGTCATTTTTTTTTCCTATTCTTCCCTTTCCTCTTCTCTTCCCAGCCTCCAGTATCCTCTGTTCCACTTTTTACTTCTACAAGATCAACCTTTTTTTAATCTTTCACATATGAGTGAGCACATGCAGTATTTAACTTTCTGTTCCTGGCTTATTTCATCTAACATGAAGTCCTCTGGTTCCATCCATGCTGCCACGAATGACAGGATTTCATTCTTTCTATGGCTGAATAATATTTCATTGTGTATATAGGCCACATTTTCTTTACCCCTTCATCTGGTGTTGGACACCTACGTTGATTTCATTTCTTGGCTATTATGAATAGTGCTGCAAGAAACATGGAGATGCAGACGCCTCTTTGATATAATCATTTCCTTTCTTTTGGATAGATTCCCAGTAGTGGGATTGTTGGATTGAATAGTAATTGTATTTGTAGTTTTTTGAGGACCCTTCATACTGCTTGCCATAGTGGCTGTACTAGTTTACATTCCTATCAACAGTGTTTAAGAGCTCCTTTTTCTCTGCATGAAATCATGTTTAAAAGAACATTTAATTTTTTTCTAACCCATGATATCAACTCAGGGTTGTCCTAGAATATCCATCTTGCCTGAGAAATGCATGGTCCCTTTGCTTCCTTTTAAATAGTTTCTTGATTTAAAATTTGCCTTTGTTCTGATCGTCCCTTTATGAATAGGTAATGGCACTTTGACATTTCAGGATAGGGAAAAAAAAGTCCCCCTTTCTCCCACCCTGCAAAAATCTTCTCACCTCAGAGAAGGCAATTTGAGTTGGACAAGGCTTCAGGCTTTGAGCTCAGGGCTTTTTAAAGTCTAAAACAGAGGAAACATGCCCACAGAGAGATAAAGTCCTCTACATGAATTTGCCTGCTTTCCACTGTCATCAGTGCAAATTAGCTCAGGATCCCCTGAGCGGACGCTTCTGGTGAAGAGGAGAGAAATGAGAGCTTTTGAAATCTGAGGGATGGAAGCCTGGTCCTGACAGCAATAAAATATGCCCAAGGTGCAAAGTAAGTGGCACAAAAAATGACCAAGGAGCCCCCAGATTGAAGCCTGCCTGCCTTTGTCCTTGGATATATGACCATCCCCATTCCCACTAATATCCCTGTCTGACTCACAGCCAGGAGCAGGATCACCAGGACAAGTGAAGAAGCAGTGAGTGTGAATTTACTGATAGAGATGGCTGAGTAAAGGTGGGCAAAAGTTTAAAAATTATTACATTAATTTGTTTGTGCTCAGGACAAACCTCCAGCCCTTGCGCAGTTTCAGATGGCCTCAGAGTGAGTTTCAATACAGTAACCAAAAAGGAAAGGTAGGTGTGCAGGAAACAGCCATTGCCAACTGCCTATTGTTCAGAGGGGCCTGCTTGTCTTGTTCCCAGGTCAGATATTGCTGCCAAGATCTGAGTCCCAGCCAGCTACAAATGTGACCGGCCACACCTTCTCCACTCTGCTGTCACCACACCACCTCCACCCTTTGCACCTGCGCTCCTGCCGCCCACCAACTACCTCACAGCTGTGACAATCCTGGGAAAAGCCCTGGGTTTGCTGTCAGAAGTCCTTGGCTGTAAGGAGTTTGCAGCCAAACACTACTCCTGCCTGTAATGAAAACCCTACTGAAGGGCATCAGAGAGCTGCCGAAACTACCAGGACTGGGGGCTTCGTCGCTCCTAAGAGAAGAGGAGCAGTGGATACTGAGCTGAGAGTCTTCAGCCACTTTCTTCCTGGGAATAGTTGCTGGTTCTGGGTTTAGGAAAAGAAGCCAAAAATCTGCGCTTTGTCTGGGCAGAGGGACACTGCTGGGGAGAAAAGAAACCAGCAGAGACTGTGGCTGTTATGTGGGGCTGAAAGCATACAATTAGCGACTTATTGCACTAAGCTCCTGGTGAGAAGAGCAGATCAGAGAACTGAGCCTAGCACAGTAATGGGTTTCCCTTCAAGATATCTACCTGAAGTTTAAGAAATAAGCAAGATGTTTCTGAAAAGCATATTTGAGTTTTTGGTAATCTTTCCATTCTTAGAAGACCAGGATTAGAGCTCAGGATCAGCCATAAGGAAGAGTTCTAAAGGGAGGACATTGGGATCCCATGGTAGGCTTTGGAAGAAGTGTCGCCAAAGAAAATATAGGACAAGGCCCAGTTAAATCTGAATCTTAAATAGACAATAAACAATTTCTAAGTATGACTCATGCAATAGTTTGGACATAAAATTTAAAATTGTCCATCGTTTATCTGAAATTCAGATTTAACTGGGCATTCTGTGCTTTTATTTATTAAATCTGGCCACCCTACTTGGTGGACTTGTGGTGGGCAAGATAGTGACCTCCAAAGATGTCTGCACACTCTAATCTCCAGAACCTTTGCATATGTCACCTCATCTGGCAAAAGGGACTTAAAAGATGTGATTGAATTAAGCATTTTTAAATGGAGAGATTATCCTGGATTATCTGGGTGGACCAATCTAATCACTAGGGTCCTTATACAAGAGAGGTGGGAGTATCAAAAGTAGAAAAATATGATGTCACTGGAGAGGTGGAGAAAGAGAGGCCCTGAGGATGCCATCACTTCCTATAGGATGGAAGAAGGGGCCATGAGCCAAGGAATGTAGACAGCCTCTAGAGGCTAGAAAAAACAAGGATGACAAGGCCCAGTTAACTTTGAATCTCAGATAGATAATAAATTATTTTTCTTATAAGTATAATTCATGCAATATTTAGGACATAAAATTTAAAAATGATTTATTGTTCACATGAAATTCAAATGTAACTAGGCATTCTATGCTGGCATGTGACTGAAACAAACACCAAATACTTATTCTTCCCTAGCATCCCCTGAAAAGAAGATGACCCTGCTATAGCTTGATCTTAGCCCAGTGAAACCCATATCAGACTTCTGATGTACTTATAGTAATTTTGTGTTTTAAGCTACTAAGTTTGCAATAATTTGTTACTGGAACTCCAGAAAAATAATATAGGGCTATTCCTTAGGAAGAAGTTAACCCAGGGATAAACAGAGTCTCCTTAAACCTGCAACTCAGCTTCTAATGATGTCAGTGCATCCTTGGAATAAGACATTCTATCTGCCAAGCAGAGGGAAGGATGAAATCTCTCTGGAGGAAGATTAGCATCATCTGGAAGTTCTAAAAAGTGTTATTAGCCAAGTCCCACATTAAATAAAATTATTAGATGGAACCATATGATGAAAACCTGAGGAAAAACTAACAACAGAAAGTCTCACAGTTGATCCAGATATTGAAATTAGTAGACAAAGACTTTTCAGCTATGATTAGTATGATTAAGAGTTAAATAAGGTGAAAATAGATTTCAAAAATAAACAATTTCACAGAGAATTGAAGTCTTTCAAAAAGAATAAATATTCTTGAACTGAAAAGCTAAAAAAAACAATAACTGGAATTGTGCCCTCAATGAATGAGTGTAATAGCAATTTATACACAGTGGGAGAGAGGAGAAGATACTCAAGGACAGGTCAATTAAAAAATCCCAAATTGAAGCATGGAAAAAGAAAAATAGTGGAAAGTAAAAAGGAGTTTTAAAAGCATGTGGGACATTACAAAAGAGCCTGACCTTGACATAATCAGAATCCCAGAAGGGAAAGAGGAAAATGGGGAGAAGTCATATTTTAAGAGACAACAGTGAAGAGTTTTCTAAAATGGTGGGAAACATCAAGCCAGAGATTTGAGAAGCTCAGCAAAACCAAAGCAGAATGATAAGACCTATGAGATGAAAGTTTTAACACTATTGAAGATACACAAGGAGAATTGGACAAATAAAAAGATAGAACATCTACTTGGATAGAAAAATTCAGCCTTATAAAATGTGAATTCTTTCTGGGTTAATTTATAAACTTAATGTCACCCCAATTTTTAAAACGTAAGTTATTTTTTCTGAATCTAGACAAATTAATTATAAATTTTATTTGACAAGACAAACAGGCAATAATAATAATGGAAAACAACAAAAAGAACAATGAAGAAGATCTAACTCTACTAAATACTGAAACATCTAAGACTGACAATAGAAGAACATGGTATTAGCACATGGATAAACAAACAGAACAGAAGAGAAAATTCAGAAGTAAATTCAGTTGCATATAAAAATTTGCTGTATGATAGAGGTGAAATCTCCAATCTATGAGGAATAATGAACATTATATCAGGGAGTGCTAAGATAACTGGATAGCTCTATGAAAAAGAATAAAATTGTGTCCATTTCTCATACCACATGCCAAGATTAACTTAAAATCAATCAAAGATTTAAATGTAATCATAAGTTATATGAGTTCTAGAAGAGAACATATTACTATGTTACCTAGAATGAGAAAAGCTTTACAAATTCAATATCTAGAGGCAACAAAGGAAAAACATAGATAATTGGTTTTTTCACTCTTTTGTATGGTGAAAACACCAAAAGAGCAAAGTAAAAAACTCAATCATAATAGAATGAAATACTTGTATCACAAAGTGATATCACAAAATATTCCCCAAATTCAATGAACTTCTAAAAATAAATACAATTACCACAAATGCTATAGTTTATTGGGAAAAATGTAAACAACTCAAAAAAGGTGCTTGATTTCATTCACAATAAGAGATGCAAATTAAAGATACAATGACCTACAATCCTCATCTTTGGATTGGCAAAAATTTGAGAGTGTGACAGTGCAGTCTCTTAGCAAGGCTAAGTGAAAATAGGCACGCTTGTATGTTGAAGGTTGGAATGCAAAATGGTAAAAATCTGATGGAAGATAATTCAGCTTCTAAAACCTGACTCCTGGGATACACTGGCAAAAATGCAAATGCCGAAGGCTATTTATTGCCGTGTTATTGTAATAAGAAATCACTGAAAACAACCTAAATGTCCATCAAATGGGACTATTTAAATTACCTAGGGTAAATCTACAAAATGGAGTATGTTAAAGCTATAAACAATGAGGAATAACTCTAAATACTGCTATGGAGTGACCTCCAGGATATATTAATAAGTGGAAAAAAACAAGGTGCAAATAGTATACATAGTGTGCTACTTTTTATTTAAAAAGTACAAAGTAAAAATTTCCATTTTTTTAATGAGATGACAAACCAAAAATTATTTTTAAATGATCACCTGTGGTGGACAACAGGAACAAAGTAGGGGGAAAAGGACAGAACCAATACTTTCCTGAATATACCTTGTTTTATAGATTTGTCCTTGAAATGATATATACACATTTAAATTAATTATAAAGCAAAATTAAAATAAAAAATCAGTCCCTAAAAAAACAAAACTCTATAGTAAGTTGTTGACTTAATCTCAGAAAAGAATATTTCAAGTGACAATAAAACATTCTCATTTGACAGTACGTCTACAGTTGGACTATATCCTGTGGTCAAAAGGAATTACAAGGAAATTTTAAACTATTCTTAGCAGTCATTTCAAAAGTAATGGCATTGCATTTGTCATTGCAAAGCTATTATATTTAGGAAGCAAAGTTTTTGGCATAAGAGAAATAAGATTAAATATAAAATAAAAGAAGATAACACCACTAAATCGTAAATTTGAATTGGATGTATTTAAATAAACACATTTAAATACATTCTCTACTTCTGTCTATTGGAAATGCCGAGGAATGATGACCAGTCCGGTAACACTGACCACTTCTAATAACCAGGCTGTGATCTCCAAATATCATTTGGCAGTAAAAGAAGACAGGATGATTTGGGAAATAATTGATTTCAGATTATACTCAGAAAAGGTCCAATATGAGTCTAGACTCTAAAACATTTTGTTTTTGTGGAAAGCAAGGAAGTTATTCAAGGTTACTGGGGTTATGTTAAGAGAATTTAGTAACCAACTTGTAGGCCGTTACACTTGCCAAAGATGAAATAATTTGAATGTCAAAAACAAGAGTAACTATAATGAATTAAAACATATTAAATATATTAAAATTCATGCATTCATAATTACACTAAAAGCAAACAGTACAACATTGGTGGCCACCTTTGAAGAATGCTAGGGAACCAACTCATTCTGAAAACCTGTAAAGTGAAAAATGCGAACATGGATAGTTTTTCCTGCCCGTGTTTTACCTAAGAGTGACCAAATGCTTGTTGAGTGAAAGTTTTTAATTACAAAAGAATTCCAGCCAGTAAATAGAAAAGAGATGATAGAATTAGAATATCGATATTTTGCAAACCCTAATGAAATACCCATAGCTAAAACCATTCCATGAACTTTATGATGAATGAATCAGGCTGACCATGCTCAGATCCACTGATCGATCTCAATACCACAAAGAAAACCACACAACATATGCCTCCTGAAGATGGAAAGGGAAGTACGCAACATTGTCTATAAGGTATTCTTAATATAACCTTGAACCTGAATAAGACTCTGGATCCAATTTCCACCTTGCAAGAAATATACGAGATAGTAGAAAGCATTAAAGACATGGGGATGGAAGCAGCAAAATCCAGAATACAGGAAGAATGTAGGAAGCTCTACAGAACAAGCAGCCCGATTTCTTTAACAAATATATTGCAACAGGAGGAGAGAGAGGTTGAGAATGAGAATCTATAGATGTGATATAAAAGACATATCGACTGAATTAACGCAGCAAGAAATCTTGGGAGAACAAACACATTGACATAGGGTCTCCAAAGTATTTATGATTGAGGATGGCCTGTGTCATCAGCAAGCAAATGCTGGTATGAGGTCACTGGTATGGAGGGGGAGGTCTCAAAGAGAAAAGCACACAAAGAGAGAGCGTGAGTGGAGGCCCTGGTGACCAATCTTCCCTCCTTTCACTCACATTCAAGGTCCACATGGCTTGCAAAATGTGCACTCACATTTAGGGCATCTACGGGGCATAGGGCTCAGTGCACATTGTCCCTGTTTAAGATCATCTCTCACCCTAACAGTAGCCTGAGGGTAAGCTCCCACTACTGCAGAATTTAAACTCTGTGTTTTTATTCAATACAAATATCACTGTCCACCCATGTAACTCATGTACTGCAGTGAGCACTTGCACATACATGACCTCACTTAATATTCACATTGTGCTAATATTGGAATTATTTCTAGTTTGCAAATAAGAAAACAGACTCCAAGATATTAAAGGCAAGAGTAAGTTCACATAGATAACAAAAGGCAGAGCCTGGATCCAGTTTCTGACAATAAATTCTAAGCTTTTTTCCCCCTTAAAGTCCCTTAAGTGGGGAGAAATTAGGTTCTATTGGGCTTCTCTGACTTATCCTTTCCTAATGAATGATGACAAATGTCACACCCTCTCTCTCACCCTGAAATCATCTCCATCATCAGGGCAATCCTATAACACTCCATACGAAAAGTAGATCTCTTGGGGAAATTTTCTTTCTCCTTCTCAGATCATTTTTATTGGAGTTGAAGGCAAAAGATAACTTTTTTCCTCCCCAGTCATTTTGAGGCGTTCAGACTAAAATGACACCCTTGTCAAAGTATTCTTAATGCTGTGCTCACTGCTACACAAATGCAGACAGATGATGGAGGGGAGAGGAGGGGTGAAGAGGAGGTGTCCCTGAATTGATTAGAGATTGCTCAAAATGGATCATGCTCAACTGAATGATCTCCGTTCTCCCCATTGTTTTCCATTCTGATGGAGTAGCATCTGACTGGTAGGCGGAGACTATTTGGTATCTTTTTTTATGTAGTTGCCAATTCTCCCCACTTGTGTCTTGTCACTTGCAGGCTCATGCCTGCTGTGAGGCGGATTACATGCGATTGTGTGGGAGTAGGGTTGCTCAGAGGAGCAGTCTCCCGACACGAAATATTGCCTGTGCAGGTAAGAACTAGTCTTCAGAAAAGGAGGAGTCTCCCCAGAAGCTACTTTTTGCTCATGCTAAATAACAAGGAAAGAGGAGACTGAGAAAGGGCTGTAATAAAGAGGCACTAAATGATGTTTCAGAGAAGATGTCCTGTGCCCTGGAGCGTCCAGGTGCATCTTTATGAAGTTGGAATTTTATAAACCCATTTTGCCGGAGAGTAGATCATGAGTACGTTTGCTCATTCTCTTTTCCTGCTCAGCTACTAAACGCATTAGAACGGGGGGTTAAACTCCCTGATTTAATCTATAGAAGCCTCCATATTATATATTCTTCACAGGGAAGAAATCATAGAATGAGGTCTCCTTCTTTCTGTAGTTCGGTATTTTTTTCTGTCATATTGTCCCTTGAGGTTACAGCATAGATTATGAAGAGAATCTTTTGTTTCTGTCACTTATTACCACATCAGTTCATATATTTATAAATAAGATGTGCTTTGGTATGATATAAAAAATCAAAACCAGGGGAGCTAAATGATTAATATATGAGCTCATCCATAATGATAATGGTGACAATGCCTGCACAATACCATTCTTGTTAATTAATTCAAAATAATAGCACAAAACTCAAGAGACCCTTTGCTTTCAGTCCTTTACATCTTATTGGTTATTGCTTTCTTTGTCTGCATCATGAAAACCATGAATGCATGAGCCTGAATACAAAGGAATTATGTGGTTTCAAAAGAGAGCCCTTGAGTAGCTAGAATACAACTCTGTTAGGAATTAGCTAAAGATGCTTTGGAGGACTGCTTCAAATTATATAATATATACACTGGTAAGGACCTATTTAATAACATTAAGGCAGTATTTGCCCATTGGCTGCCTGAATGAGTCCTCTTATCTCATATCATTGATTAGTTATCTAAAGTCAGCAGATGATCACCTGTTCTTATCCATTCAGAGGTACAGTGAACATGTACTGATGACGCTTAAGGTTATAACAGTGTCAAGTTCAGTCTCACTGTTTGGGCCAGGTGAGATTGGCAGCATCCTCTTGTAGTATTTGCTTCAAAGAGGTTAGTGCCTATTTAAGAAACTACCATAAGCTATCTCAAGAGTAAAAAATGAATTTATATAATTTGTTCAAAAGCATGTCAGGGATATTATTCAGATTTAGAAATTGAATCAGGGACAAACAAGCTTACCTAGCATCTTTTGGCACAAAAGATATCCAGTCTTAGAACTTGGCCTTAGGATCACCTAAGATTTTTTATTTGACAGAATACTTAACTCTTTTGAATACTTACATCATTGAAGGTGTCCACTGAAACACTTTATGCGGACTTGCTAATTTAGAAGACATGAATTGACATTGCGATGACCTTGGGAAGAGAGATAACATGGAAGAAGAGGAGATAAATGGGAGAGGATTTTGCTGTCTATCAGGATGGAAATTGATAAGCCATTTTTTAACACTCCATAATGGATCTGCCATCCAATATCAATAAAAAATCACCTGTCTTTGTGAGGAGACCTAATTCAGGAAGCTCACACTAGAGTAAGCCATGGCACAAGGGTAGAGGACTTTGCTCATGTCACATTTCTTAACACAGATCCAATATATCACAGGTGCTTGATGACTCCCTGCTGTGTGTATTCATTCATTCATTCATTCATTCATTCATTAACAAATGAGCTAACTGTAGGATTTCAAATCAAATGCCCTAATCTTTAAAAATCTAGAAAAGATAACACAGCACACACTCATATAACTAACACCTTGAATTTAAAATATAGCAGCATTTTATAATATTGTCTTCCAATATTTTTTAATGAAATAAAACATTACCAAAAACGTTAACATTTTTACCCACCTCAATTCTCAACCTTCTTCCCCCTTTCATAGAGGCAATACTAGGTATTCTTTTTCTGAGAACCAATATTGGTGTGTATTTAGAGAAACTCAAAGAGAAAGCATGGTCAAAGGGCCTTCTGTTGACTATAATATTCAAAGAACTTTCTAAGTTGTAGGAGCAACCTGATAGTAATCGAGGAGATTATGTATAAGCTCAAAATATGAGGATATTGTATAATTACCTTGAAACTTAAAAAAAAGTGTGTGTATGTGTGCTGTACTGTGTGTGTATGTGTGCTGTACTGTGTGTGTGTGTGTGTCACTGTAGATGCTCCTGAAGGCTCCTTTCCCAGGTGCAGAGCTTTAAACAAAGATAGAAACTATATACTCAGACCTATGAACATGATTTTTCTATTTTACCTGTAAATGAACCATTTCAAATTGAGGAATAGAAGGTAGGAAAAGTGAGGAGGGCATAGAAGAGTCTAAGCTTTTTACAAAGCATTTAGGCAACGCGTTTTATAAAGCATTTATAGTACTTTTTGTAAAGCATTTAGGAAAGCAATTCTTCTTATCCTTCAGGTCTTATTTGAAACGTCAGTTTCTATGGAAGTGCTCTCTGATCCTTTAAACCAAGTAACTCATCTGTCATTCATACTCACTGTAAACTTCACTTTTATGTATTTTATTACAATTGTAATAAAATTACTTTGTAATAGAATACAAATGTAATACAATTGTAATAAAATTACTTTGTGAAATTACTTGTTTAAAGTTGCCTCCTGCTCTACTGTAACTTTCATGACAACAGGAGTCACATCTGATGTGGTCACTACTACAGCAGCAGCGCTTGGCACAACTATTTTTTGACAGAAATAAATAAACAAAAGAATAAATGAATGAACGAAAAAGAAAAAGAGGAAGAAAGGAAGGAAGGAAAGAATGGAGGGAGAGAGGAAAGGAGAAAATTATTGAACATTTACATTTGCATCAGATTAGTGCCTATGTCAGGATATTTAATGCAAATACTTAGTTGTTGAATACCAGATTCTTATTCTATCATCTAAGTCCAACTATCAGGCAGGACATCATTGTTCTTAGACAAATTCTGTGAGTTCAGACCACTATCTCTGAAGACTCATCTCAACTTGCCAACTTTATGCTTCTTATATTTCAGATTGGTACCTTCGGCTATCCCTGTGAGTTCCATAGTCTCAAAGCCTCAGAAAAAAAAAATCTGTTAAGTCTTATACCCATTTTAAGGATAGAAGTGTAGGAGAAAAACTGAGAGCCTCAGTAAGTGGAAAATCCAGGGTTAACCAAGCAAAAAGATCTCAAAGACCCAGATGGTTAGAGTATAATTCACTGCTAACAGCAGCTCTTTAATCATTTGTCCTTAATTTTACAATTCTTTTTGAAGAATCTGATGACATACTTCAAAGAATATGGAGGTAACTTGGTTAATGAAAATACCATTCACCATAAAAAATATCTATTTCTGCATTGCTTCAAGAACAGACACTAACATGTCCCAGGAAAGAGGGAGTTTTATTAATCCCTTCTTGAGTTGCTGCTGATGAGCTTTGAAGTGGGAAGGACTTCAGGGCCCTGGCATTACTCCCACTCAGTTGCTGCTCTTGTATGGAAAACTGGAACCCGCCATAGAAACAACTGGAAATCCACGTGTTCGTATTTCTCTTGGAGTTTTTAATTCTTGTGTTAACATAACAAAGGAAATAGTTCTCTCAATTATTCTTCATTCGACAACATTTTTTCTGAACTGTGCCAGGAGATACAACTCTGGAGATACAGTGGTGAGAAAAATGTACATGATCCCTGCCCTTGTGAATCCTCTACTCTATTTTTTTTTTTTTTTTTTTTTGAGACAGGGTCTCCCTCCCGTAGCCTGGGTTGGAGTGCAGTGGTACAATCTTGGCTCACTGGAGCCTTGACTTCCTGGGGCTTAGGTGATCCTACAGCCTCACCCTCTTGAGTAACTGGAACTACAGGCACATGCCATCACAGCCGACTAATGTTTGTAGTTTTTGTAAAGATGAGGTTTCACCATATTTCCCAGGCTGGTCTCAAACTCCTGGGGTCAAGAGATGCACCCCTTTGGCCTCCCAAGGTGATGTGAGCCACTGTGCCCGGCTGCAGCCTCTACTTTAAAGAGGCAAATTGAATTAATCAAACAATTATAGAGAGGATTCAGTTAAGGTGGGTGAGAGAATCAGAGAAGTCCTCATGGAAGAAATGATAGTGGAGCTGAGGGACGATGGAAATATAGGACTGGCTGGGTGATTCCGTTATGCCTGCGGGAGGATCAACCACTCTGGGCCAGTATGTGTGAAGGCTCTGAGGGAGGAAAGACCTTGACATCTTCAAAGAGGACCAGAGTTCTAGAAGGTTCTGTGCAAGAGAAACAGTGGCAGGAGATCATGCTGGGCTGATAAGCAGTGGCTGAGTAACGCTGAATTTTGTAGGCATTGTCAAGAATTTCTTATTTTCTCCTAAATGGAATGATAAGTCATTAAAGGCTTGTGAGCAGGTGTGAGAAGACATAATTTATGTTTTACTATCACTCTGGCCGCTCTGTGTAAAATGTAAGGAAGGAAGCAAAGAGTAGAGGTAAGGGTGTCTGCTTAGGCTGTAGCACTAGTCAGACAAGATGCGATGATGGCTTGGGAAAGATGTCACTGAGAACAGAGAGGAACTGTAGAATTTGAGGGATATTCAAAAAAAGAGAAAGTGACAAATCTGCTTGATAGGATTGTATGTAGAGATGATGGACAGGAGGAGCCCAGATGCTTGGGTTTCTGTTTGAAGAACTGTGGTGATATTTATGAGTTTAAGGAGAAAAGAGCTGGCTTGTGGGTGGGGAAGGCTATGAGATCTCTGAGACACATTTTTGGGATAAGGAACGTGATAGACTTGCTGCTTCCAGAAAGAACACATTCCTGTACTGTGGCCGGTGACCTCACTGGTTGGGCCTGCAGGCAACTGGAGTAGAGGTTCCCCCAGGTGCCATCGGTCTCTTCAAATAAAACATCTAGTAACCTTTACTAATCTCAAGGAAACTGTGGGTTGGGTAGGTAACTTAAGGAGAGAGAAATGATTACTTTCTGTAGACTGGCTCTTTTCATGTGCCTGAGAAGTGGTTTCCACCATGAAATATTTGGGTAAGGAAACCAGATAATGAAGCCCAAACATTTTTCATCTCATCTGGAGGTGGGTTTCTGCACGGAGAGCCCATGATTTCTGTTACTTTGAATTGTTATTTTGAGTGTATGTTTTCTTCCAATGACCACTTAATACATAAATACCAAAAATGCTTATATCACATGTTTTTAGAAGTCTATGTTACTCAGTTTCCTTGTTAGCACAAAAAAATGAAGGATTGACTATATCTGAAAATATTTACTTTTTTCTTCTGCACAACGAGTGGCTTCTATGGTATGTAGTTAAGTCAAGAGATTTTACACTCTGCTATTGCATATGACACAAATACAACAACCTTGAGAAGGCGAATCAAACATGCTCTTTCTCTCTTGCTATCTTCGTCCACCCTGAAGTGGTATCTGAAAATTTCGGGAACATAAGCCCTATAGCCAAGTTTTCTCATGAGCTAGAAACCTCCAAGCAATACATTGTTTTGTCTGTTGAAATCCCTGCACTTAGAACATCCTTTAAATGAAAATAAATTTCAATCTTTACTTGGGTTTTGAAACCTGTTCAACATAATTTCTATGCTGACAAAAAAACACATGGCGTAGACCCATGAATTTAATAGTCAGTTAGAACTTAATGCCACTGATAGGGGCTTATCTCTTCAGGCTTGTCTACATAGCCTACTAAATAATAATTCTAATTAGAACCTTAATTATGTTTCTGCTCAGAGTATTTTTAGATAGCCTTAAGATTTGATCTGTTTAGTCTAGTTTTACAGGTGGCAATAGATTAAAAACAGGTTTTAAAATAAGATATGACTATTACATTTCTAATAATAGGTGATTGTGGTCTCAGAGCCACTTTGTATTTAGTGACGCATGGAAAAACCCTTTGATGATGGCAGTTGTGCCCACACGCCCTATCCCTACACAGGGAAAAATAGGCCGCCCTTTGTAGTCAGTGCCTCGTTTCTGCCATGCAAACTTTAGCCCTTTCAATTCAGGATCTTGAGTTTCTTTCATTCTTTTCCTCTAAAATAACTTTCCTTTTCAATCCTGCCCAAATCCTCTGGTTACATGCTCCCCGGGACGTTTGTCCTGGTATTAACCCCATAGCCCTGCTACCCTTTCACAAAAGCAACACATGCTTTCAAAGTGGCTTCTTGAAACTTGAGTGTGTGACTCACCCAGGGTGCTCACAAAAAATGCACATTCCCAGGCTGCACCAGATTGCCTCTACCTCTTTGTGTCTTTCAGTAGTCTGGGAACCTACATTTTATTTTATTATTATTTTTTAAACTTGTATTTTAAGTCCAGGGCTACAGGTGCAGGTTTGTTATGTAGGTAAACTTGTTTCATGGGTGTTTCCCAGGTGTTTGTCGTTCAGATTATTTCATTGTGAATAGTGCTGCAATGAACATACACATGCATATGTCTTTATAATAGAATGATTTATAGTCTTTGGTTGTATACCCAGTAATGGGATTGCTGGGTCAAATGGTATTTCTGCCTCTCGGTTTTTGAGGAATTGCCACACTGTCTTCCACAATGAGAAGCTGTATTTTAAACAAAACATTCTAGGTGGTTTTAGACAGATTTTGAAAAACAATGCTTTATGAGACTCATTTTCTATTTTCAAATACACAGTTTCAGATGTTTCCGTCATGCTTATGGCTGTTTTCCATGAATGGTGTGTATCCTGTAATTCTAAAACACTGGACAGATAGACAAATATGAAGTGATACTTTTATTATTTCTAATTTTTTTTTAGAGAAAACATGGTTCCACCTCATATCAATTTGATTCTTTTCTCACTTTACAAAGTGGAAGAAAGGAAAGAAGGGAACATCAAGACTTAAACAAGAGCAGAGAGAGACTTTCCAGGAGTCTTCATTTTGGCTGGGCTTGAGGGAGATTGTAGCTCTACCATCCCTACTTGAGAAGTATGCTCCATCTCACAGTGGCCCCCCCAGCCATTGCTAAGGCCCTGATGATTCTGATGCAGGTGGGCCACTAGCCACACCTGACAAACAAGGCACATAGAACCTCTCCATTTGCCTGATACCTTTTAAGGTTCAGGCTCTTTTTATTCAAGACTTCACATAATACTCAGACTTCAGCTTGAACGTAGCACGCACTTATGCCTTCTAAGTGGTCAATTCCATTGTCAAAATCAGGCAACTCTAAAAGCAAGTCAGGGTTTACATTTTTATTGCAAGGACAAAGCCAGGACAGCCCTACAGCTGCCCACAGTCTTTGCAACATTCCTGGGAATGTTGATCTCGAGTGACAGTGGTTTGCAAAGCCAAAAGCTTTGGCAGCTTAAAATATTAATTCAGGCCATGGTAATAGGATGTTTTAGTTTAGCACTAAATGGTGATTAACTCATTACCTGAGCTTAAGTGCATTCTACAGGATGTCCCCTTAGTAATAAATGGTATCTCTTGGGTTCCTGCATCATTCTGAAAGAATGAGTCAGCCGTTCACTAATATTTATTCACAAGAATATATGGAGTATCTACTACATACTAGGCAACAAAGAAACAGGGTAATAAGAAACAAGCTTGGCCCTCAAGAAACAAACTCTCTAGTTGGGGAAACGTCCTACTTGAGTGTGTGGTGTGTGCTACAACAGAAGGCAGCATGTTTTACCTAGAGGTACAGGGAAGGGCAGACAGAGAGGACAAAGGAATCAAAGGACTTCCCAGTGGAATGGGCACATGAGTTGAGTTTTGAAGGACAAATAGAAGTTAGTCAAGAGGATTATGTTCAGATAAGGTAGGGGCTAACATTTCAGTCAAGCACTTTGTGTCACATGTGTTACATGCTCCCAGGGATACTTGTCCTGGCATTATATACTACAATAGCAGAGCGTGTGTTGTCAAGAGGTGCAGGGAAGGGCAGACATATGGAGGCTAAGAAAATATGGCTTAACTGAAAATGCAAACAATTTTTCAACACTCGACAAGAGAAATTGCATCAAGGTAGCATCTCTAGATTACACAAAGAATCCAGTCTTTCTCTTACAAGCTATGGAGAGCCTTTGAAGGCCATTAGATAAGGGATAAATATGGTAGAACTTTAGTTCATTCATTTATTCATTTGCTTCAAAAAATATTTATTGCAAACCAACTTTGTGCTAGGGATTTTGCCATGATGGGCATTGAGAATATAATGCTGAAAAAGACACAAATGATCCCTGCCTTCAGGGAGCTTAAATTCAGATGGAAAAGACACGTAATAAACAAGTGAACAGCAGAAACAACAAAAGAAAAGAAAGACTATAGATTGTGGTAAGTGCCAAGAAGAATATAAAATGGGTATGTGAGAATATGGGGAATGATTCCTTTTGTTAAAATAGTTAGAAAATATCTTAGGACCTGATATTTAACATGAAGTATGACAAAGAGCAAATAATAAAATTGGGGTTGATTTATTCATTCATTTACTCATTTACTTTTAACTACTATTTATTACCTACCAACTCAAGAGTGATTTGGGAAAACTGGGTGAAGAGTGTTCTAGACAGAGAAAAAAAAGCAAGAAGGAGTTTGGCTTAAGAACTGACAAAAGATAAGAGTGGCAGGTGTGTCTTGGACAGATGGTACAAACAAGAGATGAGGGGGTAAAGGTGGGCAGGGAAAAGCTGTGGGGGATTTAAGTAGAGAGTGGCATGCCTTGATTTACTCCTGTAAATATATTCTGACAGTTGCATGGAGAGGAATGGGTTGGAAGGAATGAGAATGAAGCAGACAGATGAGCTGGAAGACAGTTGGGTGGCGCAGATAAGAGAGCAACGTGACTTAGACAAAGTCATGGCTGTGGAGATAGGGAGAAGATTTAGATTGCTCTGAATGTGGTGCAAAGGAGAGAGCCTTGCAAGTATCACACCATTCCTTACGACCCACCTGGGGAATCACTTTCGGAGCCAAGACTAGAAACCAGGTCTTTCTATCTTCTGGCAGTGGTTTTTGTACTACATGATGCAAACTCTGAAGAGTCAAAAGATCTACAAAGTTTGGGCAAATAGTTTCTTTGCTCTGAGTCAAATTCCTTTGATTTAAAATAGAGCTAAGCTTTGCATGGTGGCAGTAATGTGAGCAATGAGGTTTATCCAAGGTGTGATTATTGTTAATTGACATACTGCCAAGAAGTATGACACATCAGTGACATGGATATTCCAAGAAAAAGGAAAGGACAAAAAAGTAAGCAAGTGATTAGATACAGTTTCATATTTTCTTTATCTTTCATTTATTGATTCATAAATGGGTTTTCTTTGGAACATTTTTACCCAGATGCTTTTGTTACATCAGAATGTGCAGTAAGTTTTCAATAAGCCCAATGACTTCCCTTTTCATGCCCAAGAAACATTAGCTAAGTGCCAAAAGGAGGACAAAAGATTGAGTTAGTGCTCCTGAAGCTCTCTGCTTTGGTCTTCATAGGTTGGAAAGCAGAGGGGCAGATGCAGCTGGAAGTACCCTGTGCTACTTCATACCATGCCATGAGGATTGAAGGCTGGCAGAGTTTTTCATTCATCCTATTGACCAGACACCCAGAACATGGGGGAAAGTTCATTCCCTCTAAAACAGTCTAGATTTTCTTATTTCCTCCAGACACAGCTGTAGTCATGGTTCATCTCTTCCTATACCCTTTTCTCTTCCAAGACAATTCTTCTCTTTCACTCTTTCTTCTTCTTTTCATAGTCTTTCTCTCTCTCAAACATACACACACATGCACACACACATACTTGCAATAGTCCTTAACAATACAAAAAGGAGGAGAAAGACAAGATAAAATGTCTCAGGGAGAAAAATGGCAGAAGACAATTGCTGTTACAATCACCACACATAAGTGCCATTCATTATGTATTGTTCCTTCAAATTAGTAGCTTCATCTAACTGAGTTATGCTGCTTTCTTGAAAGCTTCTCTATCAATGTCAAAATCGAAGATAGAGGTGGAGGGAAGATTGCGTTTAGAAGATGGCATTTTAAATGTGGGTTTCTCCAAAGGAAGTGCCACTCTTCTTCCAGCTATCTTTGTAAGCCTTTGTTCGTAGTGTGTCACAAACTCCACGAGAGTTGCTGGTTTTAACAGAAGTCCCAAGGAGAATTCTTCTTGGGAGTTAGACATGCAGAGTTGGTGGTTTGGGACTTATTTTGTGATGTGGAGGAAGCCAGAGCTCTGGATTTGGAGCTCAAAATTTGCCAATCTATTGCTTAGTAACTTGGGGATATATCAGATTAGTGGCGGCCCTAGACCCCCTTCTTTCTGGGCACATCAAGTCACTCCACCTCTCTGAGCCTCAACTTTATCACCTGCAATAAGAGAAGCTAAAGGGCATCAATTGACCAGGCAATGAACTGAGTGCCTTTGTCATTTAGAATCCATGAGGTATTATGATTCCAATTTTATGATGAGAAAACCAAGGCTCCACACCTCAGTCTAATTTTAAGGCCTGGGCTCTTTGCACTACATTTGTCATCTTCCAAGATTTCCACAAACATTTCACATAAAATTCACTTCTTGAAAGTCTGTTTGTTTACACTGTTAAAAAAAAAAGAGAGAGAAAGAGAAGAATAATCAAAGGTATTTTATTACACAGACTGCCACATTGGAGATCTTATATTCATTTCTTTCTGTTTTGGGGTTAATCGACTTTTTGAGGAAAACGTAATTTTTGAGGAAAAATAATTCCCCTGACTGCCTGCTTTGTTGAATTCAAAACAATCCAAAAATTGCAAGGGAGTTGTTCAAAATCCACATCCTTTTGAAGCTACTTGCCTGGTGTATTCGTTATCAATTGCTGCATAAAAATTACTCCAAAACTCAGTGGCTTAAAATAACATCTATTATCTAACAGTTTCTGTAGGTCAGGAACTTAGGTGCAGCTTAACAGGGTTTGCAACTCTCACACGCTGCAATGAAGGTGTTGAGTGGGGCTGCAGTCATCTAAATGTTCCACTGGGGAAGGATCAGCTTCTGAGCTCACTCATGTCATCGTTGGCAGAATTCAGTTTCTCAAGGGCTATTGAGACCATTCTCAGTTCCTTGACATAGATCTCTCCATAGGGCAGCTCATAGCCAGGGAGTGTGCTTCATCAGAGGCAGCAAGCGAGAAGGGCCAGAGAAAGTGAGTTCTAGCAAGATGGAAGTCACAGTCTTTTTGTGACCTAGTCTCATACATAGGGAAAAGGCAGCTAATTGCCTTTCCTGTATCCTATTCATTAGAAGCAAGTCACTAGGTCCAGCCTATATTCAAAGGAGGAAATTACATGAAGATATAAATACCAGGAGGCAAGGATCATTAGGGACTGCTATGGTTTGAATGTTTGTCCCCTCCAAAATTCATGTTGAAATTTAATCGCAACTGAAACAGTATTAAAAGGTGGGGCCTTTGAGAGGCGATTAGGCTGTGAGGGCTCTGTTCTCACGGGTGGGATTACTGCCATTATAAAAGGGCAAGTTCAGCCCTCTTTTCTCTCTTTCCTGCCCTTCTGCCTTCTGCCATGGGATGATGCAGCAGAAAGGTCCTAGCCAAATATTGGCTCCTCCATCTTGGACTTCCTAGCCTTCAGAACTGTGAGCCAATAAATTTCTGTCCATTATAAATTATTTAATCTATAGCATTCTGCTATAGAAATGCAAAGCGGACTGAGGCAGAGACCATCTTGGAAGTCTCCCTATCCTATCTACTGGACCAGTGTATTCCAAATATTGTAAAACTGAAACAAGTGGAGAAATGACTCAATACTGAGGATAAGAGAACTATTGTCATTCCTAACCCCAAATTTCTAATTCGCTCTCATGTTTGGAAAGCTAGTCTCATTATTTTCATTGATTGAACTCATAATAAATTTCAATTTATACCAGCAAATTCATATTAATAAAATGTCTTCTTATATCTGGGTACATATGGTACTTCCTTAGAAGAGTTTGTTGGGTAGGAGGGATGGGATAGAATATTTCTGTTTAAAACAAGTATTAAATTGTCTGGACTACCCTATGCACCATGGAAAATCAGGGAATTGGACTTTTAAATTATATTAAAGCTTCTGGCCAGGCACAGTGGCTCAAGCCTGTAATCCCAGCACTTTGGGAGGCCAAAGGGGGTGGATCACCTGAGGTCAGGTGCCTGACCAGCATGGCAAAACCCTGTATCTACGAAAAAATACAAAAATTAGCTGAGGGTGGTGGCATATGCCTGTAATCCCAGCTACTCAGGAGGCTGAGGCAGGAGAATTGCTTGAACCTGGGAGGTGGAGGTTGCAGTGAGCCAAGATCAAGCCGCTGTACTCCAGCTTGGGTGACAGAGTGAGACTCTTTCTCAAAAATAAAAATAAAAATAAATAAATAAATAAATAAATAAATAAATAAATAAAATTCAACTTTCCTTCCAGCTCTACAACTCACTTTTCTCATCTGAAAAATGTTCAGACTAATTCTGCTCTGACTACCTCACAGGTGTGTTGGCAGAATTAAATGATTGATAATAAATGTGAATATATTGTTAAAGTTATAAAATGTTGTTCAATAAAGAAGTTTCCAATATTGAACCAGTATTGAATTTGATCAGATTGCCAGGTCCCTTGAGTTGTCCACATGTGGGACAAGGGAGTACAGGTGAAAATAGCTTTCTGAAGAAAGAAGTGGGAGCATTCAGAGAGCTGCAGTGATTGGTCCATGCCTCTTGGTAGGCACAGCTGCAGGCTGAAGCAAGCACCTGTTTCCCTGGGCCTCTCTGTAAATGACTGGGACTCAATGAGTGCACCTCAGAACTGCAGTGACAGAAAATGACTCAGAACCAGGGAAAAAGATGTTTCCTCCAGGTGACATGGCTGAAAACAATTTGATTATAAGCAATTAAATTCCAAACAAAATGGCAGTGATGAAAATCGACAACTTAGCTTTGGATGAATATTTGGTTTGAAAGATTGTTTCTTTTTTTAAAAAATAAATATGTCTCAAATACAATTTTTTTTCCTGCATGGAAAATTTGGGTTCATCATCAGTTAGTTTTGCAACTATGCAAATGTTAATTATTTTTGCTTTTAAAAAATGTATTGGTGAATAAATACATTTCTCTTTTTTCCCTAGTTTTCTTTCTTCCAATGCATTTTCTGCCAATGAAATAATTGTACTCTGTGGAGTTTGTAATAGTGAAACTGTGCCAGCAATTTAAAAGTTGCTTCCAACTCCTCAGTGTTACAAATAATGCAGGGCAGGAACATTTGGCTGAAAGTAATTGTGAAATTAAAAATCATAAAAGTAGAAAAATTCTGAAGAGACATAGATGTCAACTGAGGATATTCCATTTGGATCATGTCATCATGCCAACCAAATTATTGTCCCGAGTTACTCATTTTCCTCCAAAACACACTTCAAGTTTCAGCATCTTGGGGAAGCTGCAGAATGCAGGGCTCTGGGCAGGGTCAACATTTTCACCACAGACCAAAGCTCTAGGGACAGTGGCAAAGCATCCTCTTTGCATGATGGCCTGGACAGCAGACACCAACAAGGAAGGCATGGAGGGGAGCTTGAAAAGATGACTAATAAATATGTGTAAGATGTCCCCGGCCAGACCCATCAGTCATTTAACGGGCTTTAGGGGAAATTGAATGTCTTGCAGTAAGCAGTTAAGTCCAAAAAGACAATGAAATTTAAAATGTCACTGTTAATGGTATTTCTTGTGAGATCTAGGGAGATTCAAATTATACAGCTGTAAGAAGTCATTATACACTTTGCCATCACCTTACCACTCATTTCAGATAGTGATTGTCAAGATAGGGTGCATGCTATTCACAATAGCAAAGACGTGGAATCAGCCCAAATGCCCGTCAATGATAGATTGGATAAAGAATATGTGATACATATACACCATGGAATACTATGCAGCTATAAAAAGCAATGAGATCATGTCCTTTGCAGGGACATGAATGGAGCTGGAAACCATTATCCTCAGCAAACTAATGCAGGGACAGAAAACCAAACACCACATGTGCTCACTTATAAGTGGGAGCTGAACAATGAGAACACATAAACACATGGTTGGGAACAACACACACTGAGTCCTGTCAGGGGCATGGGGAGAGGGAGAGCATCAGGAATAATAGCTAATGGATGCTGGGCTTAATGCCTAGGTGATGGGTTGACCTGTGCAGCAAACCATCATGCCACATGTTTACCTGTGTAACAAAACTGCACATCCTGCACATGTATCCCAGAACTTAAAATAAAAGTTGAAGGAAAAAAAATAGGGTGCAAGCAGAGATACAAAAGATGATCCAGTTAACCTAAAACTGCTCTAAAAATAGTCCGTTTTTAAAAAAGATAATCCACTGAGGTATGGGAAAACATTACAACTTTCATTTTTATATGCAAAAATATCAATGAAATGAAATACGCCAATATGTGATATAAGAATTAGCACCACCTCCCACACTTGCTTCATACAGTCAATGGTCCTAGGTCATCAATATCATGGGAAGAGTGAGTTACTTGCCTGAATTATCTGAATTGTGATGTGTTGCAATTGATATATGCCATAGTTAAATGGATTGTATTATTTAATTCTAACTAATCTAATAATCTCCAAATATACAAGTGGTTTTAAAAAGTTTCTACAAATTAAATAGAGATTACATTCAGTATAATACTAGAATGAAAGAGCAAGTGATCAGTAAGAAAATTTTAGAGCTTTTGCATCTCCTTCTAATACGAACTTTTAATGAGCCATAAATGTAAACTTTCCCTTCACTGTAATGGTAACCTTACAACAATACATTAAAAACGACCTGCTATTTGAAAGGAAATGTTGGCTATAGAGAGAACACTGTGGAAGCAAATGTCTGGAAATGTTCCCATCGTTTTATTATTTTAGTGCAAGAAGCAATGTATTTTACCTTAAAAACTTGTAACTTACTTAAGAAACTCAGAAACTTTTTTCTAGCATGTTTAAAATCCCTCTATTTTTTTTAAAAAAGATTTGTTGCTGTTTTTAAACTCATTTGTTAAAAATGTTAAAATGTAACTACTTCTGATGAATTGAAAGAACATCTGATTGACATCAGGGAAGACAGAAAATTCCTAGCCACGTTTCAGTAAAACTTTTATACAATTCGTGGAAGGGATGGATAAAAACATGTCATGAGTTAGCAGGAGTGGTAGCTGATCAACAAATACTATGGATTCATTGATTTCTCTGGTCTGCAATAATTTTCTTTTTCTCCATCTCCATTTATCTTATGGAGCTCACTTCCCTTCTCTGACACATTCTTCAGATAGCTGAAATATTATCCTTTCAGCAAAGGTTAAAGGCCAAGCTTCAATTCCATCCAGTCTACTATTTTTGATGCTATCCCCTTCCCAGACAGAGTGAGCCCTGAGCCTGTGAATGAATCCACTGTTTGTTAAATAAATAAATAAATAAAATGTTGAATGCTCTCTGAAAGCTTCATGAAAGAATTAACCTAAACTATAAAAGATAACCACCATACAAACCCTTAAGTAAATATGAATTTTTATTAAACTAGGCTTAGAAGTAATCATCTTCAGATTTCATATTCTGATATTATCATCAAAGTACTTATATGTGTCCAGCAACACTAATTCACAATTTAAAATCTTGTGATTATATTTTTATTTCAAAATTTAATTCTAATAAATGAAGACCTTGTAAATTCACCTGAGGTACTGACTCATAAAAGCATTGCTGAGTTGCCCTCTCTACTGGGAAACGCAAGACATGAAAAACTCAAACAAATGTGTGAAATAAAAGCACAGCTTCAGTTAGTAATGGATTAATCAAAACAGAATCTATTTAAGTAACTAACTTTGGTAATAGATTTAAAACAAAAACCAAAACCATGTATTTACTGAATTTTCCTCTCATGTTATGGGCATCAGTGTTATTTGTTTGCTAGTTACAACATGCTTGCAGCCAAAATGAGTGGAATGGAGCTCATGTACAATGCAGGAAAACAAAATGTGTATTTTAATACTACCACAATTGCACTTTTTGCCTTTGCTACTTTTCTTGACTTTTATTTTCATTCTGTGCACAGCAACTTCTTAATTAACATTTTAGATGAGAACGTCAAAAACAGGGAGATGACAGACTGCTACTATTCTTGGTCTTGCTGACACTTTTCCCATGGCAGAATGACAGTCACAGCTGCAAGTCATTGCAAGGAATCTGCCTGAAATTAGCTTTAAGGTTGGGTCAAAAAAGCTTCAATTTTCTGAAGCAGCTTTATTGTCCCGAGTAGTTCCCAAGCAAAACAGAAATCCACTCTAAGGAGTGGATTTGGATGTGAGCCTTTTTTGAGAGCCACAGCCCATACGGAATGGGAAGACCACAAATCAAACTATGCATTTCTTAAGAACTTTATTGAGCTTATATATTCATGGCACTGCAAAAAAATACAAAGGCGAGTAAAAAACAGTCTCTGCCTACAAGTGGTTTGCAATCTTATTGGGTTAAACGAGGCAGTCCACAACTCATGACTTTTATGAAGGCTCAGCATTCTCTATGCTGTTCACACCCAGCTGCACAAAACAACTTCGTTTGAGTTACGTTTTACCAGAAAAAAATTGATTATTACGCAGTCACTTATGCTGAGCACTTCAATGATAAAATCGGCCAACTCAGTGAATAAGCAACTCAATGAACAGACATGTGGGGGTGAGGTAGAGTCCAAGATTCCTTCTTTAACAGGAGGTTCGGAAGATGCCAGAATTAAGCAGTTGGTTTTTGTCTGTCCTCTTCACTTCACTTTGCCTGTGTAGACAGTGATATCTGGCTATGCAGTAGTTTGACTCTGGGCTAAGATCGTGAGTTCACTCAGGGGTCAAGGGATGTTGCTGACTGCTTCCTGTCGACTTAGAAGTGCAGGACTGATGGCTAGCCAAAAGAGGGTGCTGGATAAAGAGGCATTTATGCAGCCAAGAAACACATGAAAAAATGCTCATCATCACTGGCCATCAGAGAAATGCAAATCAAAACCACAATGAGATACCATCTCACACCAGTTAGAATGGCAATCATTAAAAAGTCAGGAAACAACAGGTGCTGGAGAGGATGTGGAGAAATAGGAACACTTTTACACTGTTGGTGGGACTGTAAACTAGTTCAACCATTGTGGAAGTCAGTGTGGCGATTCCTCAGGGATCTAGAACTAGAAATACCATTTGACCCAGCCATCCCATTACTGGGTATATACCCAAAGGACTATAAATCATGCTGCTATAAAGACACATGCACACGTATGTTTATTGCGGCATTATTCACAATAGCAAAGACTTGGAACCAACCCAAATGTCCAACAATGATAGACTGGATTCAGAAAATGTGGCACATATACACCATGGAATACTATGCAGCCATAAAAAATGATGAGATCGTGTCTTTGTAGGGACATGGATGAAATTGGAAATCATCATTCTCAGTAAACTATCGCAAGAACGCAAGAACAAAAAACCAAACATGGCATATTCTCACTAATAGGTGGGAATTGAACAATGAGATCACATGGACACAGGAGGGGGAACATCACACTGTGGGGACTGTTGTGGGGTTGGGGGGGAGGGATAGCACTGGGAGATATACCTAATGCTAGATGACGAGTTAGTGGGTGCAGCGCACCAGCATGGCACATGTATACATATGTAACTAACCTGCACAATGTGCACATGTACCCTAAAACTTAAAGTATAATAAAAAAAAAATAAATAAAAATAAATAAATAAATAAATAAATAAAACAAGAGGACCAAGGGGAAAAAAAAAAAGAGGCAGACTGACCTGGGTAATCTTAGCATTCACCCTTCAGATAGGATTCTGTTCTGCAGAGTGGAAAACTCACTGGCTTTGATTTTATTCCGCTTTGCATACCTTCACTGGATGCTCCAGTGGGAGAGGCTTTTCCCAGGAATCTTCCTTTAACTACTCACCTACTCTGTTAGCAACAGCACCTATTGTTTTCCTGAAATAAAATGATTATCAGGTAACTGATTTTTTTTGTCATAGGTAGAGAGATTTGCTGAGTTTTGGTTTTGGTTTTGGTTTCTTTTTCCCCTTCCCCTTGAGACGTGCCTAATTACCAAGATAAAATTCAACTTAATCCTTAGTGGAACTGCAACAGCTTGGCCTCTAGCATTTCCTAACATTAAAATTTCCAGACATTTTGAAATTACCTATCCCTTTCAAAGATCTTTAAAATATTTTGAAATGACAATGGATTATCTGTCTGTCTCTGAAGCCGTCTTTGAGAGTGCTTAGAAAGAAAGTTCTGTTGTCTGTTAGATATTACAGAATATCAAATCAGGTAATTGGTATTTTTGAGCAACCAACGGGTATACTCTTGCCTATCACATTCAGAGGAAGGTCATCAAAATGTACAGAAGTATTAGATAGAAGGAATCCATTTATCAACACCAGTTTAACTATGCACGAACAAGAGCCTTTATTTCACAGAGACCATTCAACCTATCCAGAAAGTCTACTCTACACATTCTTGTGTGCTGGAAGTGAGGGGATGGAGGAGATGCTCCCCTTAAATGCAAACTGCCTTTTCACCCTGCTCCCACACCTGCCCTCCCACAATTACCTCCTGCCCTCCTTGACTGTATCCCTCTCCTATCAAAGTTTCTTCCTCTTCCACAAAGCAAAAAGTGGTAAAATGAAGACTCCAACCTAGATAGAGACTTTTGAGCTTGCTGCCTGCTCCAGGACTACTTCCCAACTAGTTGTAAAGCTCAACCACTTCTCCCTATCATTTCTGCCACCACAATCCTCAGACCATCATCATCTTTTCTGTGGACTGGCTTCAGCTTTCTAGCGGACTACTGATTTGATAACTTTGATCTGTACTCCATCCCACACTGGAGGGGGCTTTCAAACACACAAATGTGAGCATGCCACTTCAGTGTTTAAAACCCATTAACAGCTTCCCATTATTTTAGGTTAGGAAAAGTCTAAACTTCTTAACCTGACTTACCAGGCCCTCTGTGGTTGGCCCCTTGCACACATCTGCAGTCTCATCTCTCACGTTTCCATATTCCATTCCTCCTTCTAGCTGAGCTGAGTGTTTCCCCTGCTCTCTGTTATGCCTGGGCATTTTTCCATGTATGTCCCTCTCCCTAGAATATTCTTTGCCCTTTCAACTCCCAAGTACCCATGCAACCTAATTATTATTATGGAACCTTTATATTTCGGCTTAAACACCACATCCTCAGGTCTCAACTTCTCAGCAATTTAGGGCCCCTTACTCTCTGTTCTCCTATCATTCTTCCCCTCTCAAAACAGTCAGCATGCTCACAATTATATACTTAGAGACTTCCCTTCTAGACCAGGGGTCAGGAAACTATGACCCTCAGGCCAAATATGGGCCGACACCTGTTTTTGTAAATAAAGTTTCACTGGCACACAGCATGCCCACTCATTTACTTTCTCTCTCTGGCTTCTTTTACACTGCAGTGGCAGAGTTGACTACTCGGAGCCACTGAAATATTTACTATCTGTCCCTTTACAGAAAAGTGTTTGTTGGCATGTGCTCTAGACAATATGTTCCACGATTGTAGAGACTGTGTCTGTCTTAAGTATCGATGTATCCTTAGTACCTAACACAGTGCCTAGAGGTTAGTAGGTGGTCAATAAATATGTGTCAAATGAAGAAAAAAGTGAGTGAATGAAGTGAGTGTGTGGAAGATTTGATGAAAACCATGGAGACTCTTGTATTACCCCACCTTTGGAAGGACATGAATTAAACAAAGTAGAGAAGTAAAGGGGATGTGCAGACCCTGACTCTTGCTTGGTTTGTAACTGTGTCTGTTTGACTGGGGTCTGGGGGAGATTTAGGCTTCATATCTCCCCAAACCTGCTCCTGCCCCTACCTTCCACCTGTTCCTTCCTACAGTCTACTGCCTAGTCCAGCCTCTTTAATCACCCTGTCAGAGCCTTCCTCTGTCCAGGTCTCTGCTGGCTGTAGGTATTTAATAAGTAAGTATTGCATTAATTGTAAAGTCTACAGTTGTCCTCCAGTGGCCCCCATGTCTAGTCCCAGATCCGCCCCATGATTCCTCTTCCCTCCAGGCCTCCTCCAGCCATATGTCTTGGTGTGAATCTTTTCCCACATGCCGGCAGGTTTACTTGCCTGGCGCACTTTCCAAGGACAGGCCCTGCTTAAGGTCACCCTGATGCTTCTGTTGTGTCTTCATCAGATTCAGCAGAGCCTTCAAGCTACTCAAGTAGCCCCAAGGAGGAAAGGCAATTAAAGCTGACTGAATCACCAAGCAAACCACCCAGGAAATCCCCTCTGGGTCTCCTGTGATAGATCTGACTTCTGCTTGAAACCTGGTTCCATCCTCTGCCTTCTGACCCCACTTTCACACTGGATGTCAGAAGTCTGATGCCCTTGGAGTACTTCTCTGTGTCTTCTGGAGTGAGTCCCTATTAGCTCTGCTATCCTCTTACTGCAGACAGAATCTGATGTCCAGCATCACATTTTACTGTCTCCTGTAATAGCTCCTTCAGTGAATGCCAACCCTGATCACAACTTATCTAGCTTCTTGCCTTCTTAAATTTTCTTTTCAATCTAGAATGACCTCCTCTATGTAGGGCATCCCCATCTATGCCAAACTACTTGAGGCAGTATTTGATGTTACTTATTGGGAATCTAAGAGGATCTGAGAGTAGAAAATGAGGCTACATACTAGGTATGGTGCAAATCCATTCATACCCATTAGCCTCAAACCACAGACACAGTTTGAGCTTGTGACTTACTTTAGAGATGCCCACAGCTGTTGAAGACACACAGGACACAAGATCAGGGAACCAGGAAATCTGTTACTAGAGTGACAGGTTTTTTTTTTTTTTGAAAGACTGAAATCCAATCTGTATCTCAATGGTTACTTCAATCACAGTTTAGTTTCATGTTGAAGCTGCGACCCATGTAATACAGGCAAGGACAGATATTGAAATACCTTGGTTAAGAAATGAAAAGAGTGGGCCGGGTCCGGTGGCTCACATCTGTAATCCCAGCACTTTGAGAGGCTGAGGAGGGCGGATCACTTGAGGTCAGGAGTTCAAGACCAGTGGCCAATGTAGCAAAACCCCATCTCTACTAAAAATACAAAAATCAGCCAGGCATGGTGGCGGGTGCCTGAAATCCCAGCCACTGGGGAGGCTGAGGCATGAGAATCACTTGAACCTGGAAGGCGGAGATTGCGGTGAGCCGAGATCACACCACTGCACTCCAGCCTGGTGAGAGAGGGACATTCTGTCTCAAAAAAAAAAAAAAAAAAAAAAGGAATAAATGAAAATAGTGCAAACTCAACCATTATTTAATGGAAGTATTCTGGAATGACAGTGGTGACTTTACAGGAGTTTTTGTGTGGATGGCATGCCACAAAAGTGAGCGAAAGAATACATATTATTTAATCCTCTTTTTTGGTGTTGGGGAATGAATCTTCTGAGAGAAGCTAACTGGAGGAGTGTGGATTTGAAGCAGCCTGGGAGAAAGAAGCAAATGAATTTCCTGGGACCTGTGCAGGCTGCATCTAGAGTGAATTCCAGGTATTCAAAAATACTGAGTGCCTAGTAGGTATGTGACATTGAAATGGCATCAGAAAACAAGGTAGATATGGTATCTAGCCTCACTGAGCTTTCAGTCTAGGTTATAAAAATCGACCTGATTCACAACACAACAAGGGAGAAATCTTACTCTACCAGGAGGCTTCAGTAATGAGATTGGTCTTGCCACGAACCACCACACAAGAAAGAAGCATTTGCCATCAATATATGAGTGCACGAGGGTCCCCAATGAGGCAGCTGCCTATATTGACAACTGGGAGGCACTCCTGGGAAGATGAGGGATTGTGAGATATTATCGGGATTCCTCTTCCTCCCAGATTAGAAGGGCTGGGGTTGGAAAGAATATTTTGCAAGTCAGCTGGAGAGCAGGGCACAATGCTTAATTTGCCTCTCCTAAGCTCCTGTGGCTGAAGAAAATGCCTGTTTCATTAGCACAGTGCTTGCCATTCAGAAGACACATTTCTGCTTCATTCTTTTCAACTCTATTAAGGATTATTTTTATTAATGCTTATGGTAATTTAGGCATGACATGGATGACAAGGCGTAACAGTATGAAACTCTTCCAAAGGATGCTGAAAATACTAAGGCATGGTAAAATCCAAACGTGTCCTCCTCTCATAGTTTAGGTAGGAAGTTTTAGAAGGAGGATGGACACACCCACATTTAGTACTTTGTTTGACAGCTTTTCCCAAGCTGACCCTGACTTCGAGGAAATAGAAGAAAAGCAACAGGATTCCAAATCTGAGCAGCCCTAATCTGAGAAGAGGAATTCTGGTCCCTGTGTGTGAGGCCATCTTAACGATGACACTGGAAGGTCCAGATGCCTGATTTGGGATGATGGGTGGAGGAGCAGATCTTGGTATCTCAGATTTTAAGGTAATAAAATCTGCAATGACAGAAAGGCAAGGGAAAGAAATAATTAACTTTAGTGACCCCTCATCCCGTGTCAATGTGGCTGAGGAGGGTAATGATCACAAAATCCCTGCAAAAGGAGTCCAGGAGGAATCCTCTCGGGTACTCCAAGGCCAAAGTCTATGTCCCTGCATTTTAGCTCAGCTCCTGAGTCAGCCTGTTGGTGGCATCTATCCTTTCTCCAACTTTGGTGGGTTCTGTGTGCTAATAATATAGCTTTAAAAATGTAAAATAAACTTCAGTGTTTTTTAAAAATAAAACTTGATAATTATTATATCTCCAACTATGCAGTCATCAAAATACCAGTATTTGTCAGGGAGACACAGTTTTCACTGGGCATCTCCGGGATTCTCGAGTCTCTGTGCCTGAGCTGTTCACAGCTCCGTTGTCTGCAGGATTCATCCTGTTCTTCTCATAGATACCATCCCTCCCTTCGTTTCAAGGGCCTTCTTGGGTTTGCATTGGGATATCTGGCAAATCACCGTGCCTCCCTTCTTTCTATTCTCTGCAGCTGCTCTCTTCCCTTTGCTTCTCTGGGGCCTGATGGCAATGTGGTAACTTCCTAGTGCTCTGTTGGCTACGAGTGTGGCTGTCAGAGATTTTTCTCCTGTCTTCTCTTTTTCATGTTGGATGTCTACACAATGATAGTGAAATAGGATTGTATTATGAGCAAAGTAGCTGAAGAGGGTTGCCACACCCTTCTTGTACCATCTTCCCTTTAAGTACTCAAAGCTGGGGAACAGACTGAAGAGCTGGATTGAAAATTGCCCACCGGCTGCTGTGAGCACTGTGCCCCTGCCTGGGCCCTGCCTCTCCTTCAGAGCATGGCTGTGCTATGGGTTCTGCTGCCTTAGGTAATGACTTCACTCAGTCTTCTCCTCTTGTTCCTAAGACAGTACATAACTGCAGGCTGGCTTGAGATGCTTCAATGCATAGATCACTAAGGTTACCTACCTAGTAGGGGAGACATTATATCCTGGGTGTTTCAGGTTGGCCCAGTGCCAGGGAAACTTCCCAGGCCTCCTGCCCCTGTGGTACATTCAGAAAGAACCCTTCACTGATCACCGTCTCCACAGAACATACACTGGGCTCTGAGGCTGTGCATCTCCTTCTGAATTCTTTCCTGCAGGGCACTCAGTCTTTCTCTCTCAATCCCCCGGGTTTGTTTTTCATCCTACCATCCCCAGGAACCCAGCTGTGACTTTTCTGTGGTGTCCCACTCCCTACCCCCAACACCCCCAATGGTTCTCAGTCATGTCTCTGATGTTATCATCTGCAGGAAATCAAAACACCATGTGTGTGAACATAAAATTCTGTCATTTATTTGTGCTACAGACTTCAGGAAGGGAAAAAAATCACAGTTCTCTTTTCATTAAAAAAAAAAAAAATTGGCACAATGTTTAAGCATTCGTGACCTTAAATCAGCCTGTTATTAACAGCCAGGAAATGCCTGACCGACAGGTCCTCACTGCTATTATAAACTGTGAAAATTATAAAAATGGAAATAAAAAATAAAGTAATTACCTCTTCATGTATTAAAAAGTTAGGTTGAATGGCCTGTTGCCATGGAGATGATTTCCTGTTTACTGAGCTGGTCTTCCCCAGCAGTTAAAGACCAGTCACCCAGCCAATGGGAAAACAGCATTTTTCTTTCCATGTTCCATTAGCATTTATCATAGTGACTCAATACAGTCTATAATTTACCAGTCAGTAAAATTTAGTAAGTTGTATTTTCAGATATATTAGTGGGTTTTAATTTTTATTCATTGTATGAAATTACCACCATGGCTAAAACACTACTTTATAGTTTGAGAGGGGAAGAAACCCTATATTTAAAAATATCCTAGTTGCCCCTTTTAAAACCTTGCTACTGTCTTTCTAGTGCATCAGAAGGACTTTCACAGTAAAACAGTTTCTCATCTCTTCATCGCTTTGAAGGAAGGCTATATTTGTTACCAATAGTAATATTACAGATAATACTCACATTAACAACAGCAAGAACCCAAGCTGCCATTTAATTATCTATCAGTTCTTTGGGCTTTTTACCTGAAAGATCCCAGGATTCTAAAATAAACTACTTGGTGCATGATAGTAAATAAAATTATTTGAAAACCAAGGAGTTATTTTCCTGAATGTAAAAATAAAACTTAATACAAAGATATCTAATGCCTCTTAGGAGATGGGACTACAGATTTCAGTAACTAAGTCTTTTGAAGGAGAAGGATGTGTTGACTTGTTAAAAGTTCCAAGCCCCATGGAAATACAAATTGTGGAGATAAAAAGGAAAGGGAATTGTATACTTTCTCTTGAACATTTAGCTGAGAGGAAGGCAGCCTGAAGTGATCTGACCAAAGCTTCAAAGTGCTCATTATAGAGTTGGCCCCAAACAACAGCTCTGGTAACAGGGACCTTCATGGAGCTCTTTGTCTTCCTTCTTCATGGGCCTGCCTTCACCTCTGAGGAAGCCCAAAGTTTCCCTGTTCTTCCCAGTCTACTTTCCCACCATTCTCCTTCCTGCTTAGCGCTCTCTGACCTCTCCTTCCTGCCCCCTCCCCTCCCCATCCACCCCCTGCCCTCCCTCCTCCCCCACAGCTGATCCTGTGTAACATCTGTGGCTGTTGGCCACACCCAGCCCTGGAGGCACAAAATATGGGCAACAAAATTATTCAGACACAGCTCGGGGCTGGACACCGAGTATGACTGCAGTTTATCTCAAAGAATTAAAGCATTTGTTGCATTTTTAAAGAGTTGTAATTAACAATAGACATGGATTCAGCATGAAAAATTGGAATTGTGGAGTGTAATTTTAAAGTATCACTGATTTGTGTCCACTCCGGGTACATGACAGAGGTCCTAGAGTTATTTGTGCACTTATTTAGTTCTTCCTTCCGAGATAACAGTGTCTTGAAAGCAGCAATCCTATTTTATTGACCTTTGTATCTCTCACAATATCTACTATAGGGAGGAAGAGAAATTCATTTTTTTTAATTTTTATTTTAGGTTCAGGGGTACATGTGCAGATTTGTTATAAGGTAAATTGTGTGTCACAGGGGTCTTGCGTACAGGTTATTTCATCATCCAGGTAATAAGCATAGTACTCAATAGGTAGCTTTTTCCATCCTCTCCCTCCCCCCACACTCCACCTTCCAGTACACGTGTCCACATATACTCAATGTTTAGCTCCCACTTATAAGTAAGAACATGTGGTATTTGTTTTTTCTATTCCTGCTTTAGTTCACTTAGGATAATGACTTTCAGCTCCATTCATGTTGCTGCAAACAACATGATTTTATTCTTTTTATGGCTGTGTAGTATTCTATGGTGTATATGTGCCATATTTTCTTTATCCAGTTTACCATTGATGGGCACTTAGGTTGATTTCATATCTTTGCTATCGTAAATAGTGCTGCAATGAACATACACATGCATGTCTTTTACGGCACAATAATTTATATTCCTTTGGGTATATGCCCAATAATGGGATTGCTGGGTCGTATGGTAGTTCTTAAGTTCTTTGAGAAATCACCACACTGCTTTCCACAATGGCTGGACTAACTTACATTCCCACTAGCAGTGTTTAAGTGTTAACTATTTCTCTGCAACATTGCCAGCATCTGTTATTTTTTGTCTTTTTAATAATAGCCATTCTGACTGGTGTGACTTGATATCTCATTGTGGTTTTGATTTGCATTTTTCTAACGATTTGTGATGCTGAGCATTTTTCATATGCTTGTTGACCACTTGTATGTCTTCTTTTGAAAAGTGTCTGTTCATGTCCTTTGCCCCCTGTTTAATGGGGTTGTTTATTTTTTGCTTGTTACTTTGTTTAATTCCTTATAGATTCTGGATATTAGACCTATGTAAGATGCATAGTTGGCAAGTATTTTCTCCCATTCTATGGGTTATCTGTTTCCTCTGTTGATAGTTTCTTTTGCTGTGTGGAAGCTCCTTAGTTTGATTAGGTCCATTTATCAATTTTTGTTTTTGTTGCACTTGCTTTTGGCATCTTTATCATGAAATCTTTGCCCGAGCCTATGTCTGGAATGGTATTTTCCAGGTTATCTTTCAGGGTTTTTATAGTTTTAAGTTTTAAATGTCTTTAATTCATCTTGAGCTGTTTTTTGTGTATGGTGTAAGGAAGAGGTCCAGTTTCAGTCGTCTGCGTATGGTTGGTCAGTTATTCCAGCACCATTTATCGCATAGCGAGTCCTTTTCACATTGCTTGTTTTTGTTGACTTTGTTAAAGATCAGATGGTTGTAGGTGTGTGCTTTTATTTCTGGACTCTATTCTGTTCCATTGGTCTATGTGTCTGTCTTTGTACCAGTATCATATTGTTTCAGTTACTGTAGCCTGAGTATAGTTTAAAGTTGGGTAACACGATGCCCCCAGCTTTGTTCTTTTTGCTTAGAATTGCCTTGGGTATTCGGGCTCTTTTTTGGTTTCATATGAAAATAGTTTTTCCCTATGAAATAGTTTTCCATATTAAAAACTATTTTCATATGGAACCAAACTTATTAAAATAGTTTTTCTAATCCTGTGAATAATGTCATTGGTAGTTTGAAAGGAATAGCATTGAATCTGTAAATTGCTTCAGGTAGTATGGCCATTTTAACAGTATTGATTATTCCTGTGTATGAACATGGAATGTTTTTCCATTTGTGTCATCTCTGATTTCTTTGAACAATGTTTTGTAATTTTTGTTGTAGAGATTTTTCACCTCCCTGGTTAGCTGTCTCCTAGGCACTTTATTCTTTCTGTGGCTATTGTGAATGGAATTGTGTTCTTGATTTGACTCTCAGTTTGAATGTTGTTGATGTGTAGAAACACTACTGATTTGTAAACACTGATTTTGTACCCTGAAACTTTATTGAAGTTATTGATCAGATATAGGAGCTTTTGGGTAGAGACTATGAGGTTTTTCTAGGTATAAAATCATATTGTCTGCAAACAGAGATAATTGGACTTTCTTCCTGTTTGGATGTCTTTTATTTCTTTCTCTTGCCTGATTCCTCTGCCTAGAACTTCCAGTACTATGTTGAATAGGGAAGGTGAGAGAAAGCATCCATGTCTTGATTTGATTCTCAAGGAGAATGCTGCCAAGTTTTTCCCATTCAGTATAATGTTGGCTGTGGGTTTGTCATAGATGGTTCTTATTATTTTGAGGTATATTCCTTCAATGCCTAGTTTGTTAAGGTCTTTTTTAACATAAAGAGATGCTCAATTTTACTGAAAGCCTTTTCTGCATCTATTGAGTTGATCATGTGGTTTTTGTCTATAGTTCTGTTCATGTGATGAATCACATTTATTGATTTGCATATGTTGAATCAACTTTGCTTCCCAGGGATAAAGCCTAATTCATTGTGATGAATTAGCATTTTCCTATGTTGCTGGGTTCAGTCTGCTAGTATTTTGTTAAGGATTTTTGCATCTATGTTTCTCAAGGATATTGGCCTGAAGTTTTCTGTTTTAAACTCTCTTTTATTGTTGTGTCTCTGCCAGGTTTGGGTAACAGGGTGATGCTGGCCTTATAGAATGAATTAGAGAAGAGCCCCTCCACCTGAATTTTTGGGAATAGTTTCAGCAGGAATGGTACCAGCTCTTCTGAATAAGAAATAACCCATATCAGGTAAGTTTGGGTAGATATCTGGTAGAATTCAGCTGTGAATCTATTTGGTCCTGGGCTTTTATTTGTTGGTAGGCTTTTCGTTACTGATTCAATTTCAGAACTCATTATTGGCCTCTTCAGAGATTTAATTTCTTCCTGGTCAACCTTGGGAAGTTGTGTTTCCAGGAATTTTTCCATTTCTTCTAGATTTTCTGGGTTGTGTGCATAGAGGTGTCAGAATGGTCTCTGAGGGGTTTTTGCATTTCTGTGAGGTCGGAGGTAATGTCCCCTTTGTTATTTCTGATTGTGTTTATTTGGATCATCTCTCTTTTTCTCTTTATTAGTATAGCTAGTGATCTACCAGCCTTATATATTCTTTCAAAAAAACCAACTCCTGAATTCATTGATCTTTTGTATAGTTTCTCACATCTCAATTTCCTTCAGTTTAGCTCTCATTTGGGTTATTTCTTGTCCTTTGCTACCTTTGGGATTGGTTTGCTCTGTTTTTTCTAGTTCCTCTTGGTGTGATGTTGGGTTGTTAATTTGAGATCTTTCTAACTTTTTTTGATGTGAGTGTTCAGTGATGTAAACTTCTCTCTTAACACTGCTTCAGCTCTGTTCCAGGGATCCTGGAATGTTGTATCTTTATTCTCATTAACTTAAAATAATTTCTTGATTTCCATCTTAATTTCATTGTTTACCCAAAAGTCATTCAGTAGCAGGTTGTTTAATTTTTATATAACCGTATGGTTTTGAGAAATTTTCTTAGTATTGGTTTTTATTTTTATTGTGCTGTGGTTCAAGAGTGTGTTTGGTGTGATTCTGGTTCTTTGAATTTGCTGAGGATTGTTTAATGGCCGATTGTGTGGTCAATTTTAGAGTATGCGTTATGGGCAGACAAGAAAAATGTATATTCTATTGTTTTTAGGTGGAGAGTTCTCCAGATGTCTGTTAGGCCCATTCTGTCAAATGTCAAGTTCAGGTCCCAACTATCTTTGTTAGTTTTCTGCCTCAGTGATCTGTCTAATACTCTCAGTGGGGTGCTGAAATCTCCCACTATTATTGTGTGGTTATCTAAGTCTCTTCATAGGTCTCTAAGAACTTGCTTTATGAATCTGGGTGCTCCTGTGTTGGGTGAATACATATTTAGTATATTTAGGTCTTCTTGTTGAATTGAACCCTTAGCCATTATGTAATGCCCTTCTTTGTCTTTTTTCTTTTTTTTATCATTGTGGGTTTAAAGTCTGTTTTATCTGAAATTAAGATAGCATCCCCTGCTTTTTTTCCTGTTTTCTTTTCTTGGTAGATTTTCCTCCCTCCCTTTACTTTGAGCCTATGGGTGTCATTGCATGTGAGGTGGGCCTATAAAAGATAGCATACACTTGAGTCTTGCTTCTTTATCCAACTTGCCATTCTGTGCCTTTTAATTGGAAGCATTTACCCTGTTTACATTCAAAGTTAATATTGATATATGTAGGTTTGGTCCTGTCATCATGTCATTAGCTGGTTATTCCGCAGACTTGATTGTGTGGTGGATTTATAGTGTTAATGTTCTATGTACTTCAGTGTGTTTTTGTGGTGGCCACTAATGGTCTTTCCATATTTAACACTCCCTTAAGGAACTCTCTTGAAGCAAATCTGGTGTTCCCTTAGCATTTGCTTGTCTGAAAGGGTTCTAATTTCTTCTCTGCTTATGAAGTTTAGTTTGGCCAGATATGAAATTCTTGGTTGCAATTTCTTTTCTTTAAAAATGCTGATGGTAGGCCCCCAATCTCTTCTGATTTGTAGGGTTTCTGCTGAAAGGTCCACTGCTAGCTTGATGGGGTTCCTTTTGTAGGTAGCCTACTCCTTCTCTCTACCTGCCTTTAATATTTTTTCTTTCATTTTGACCTTGGAGAATCTGTTGACTGTAAGTCTTAGGGATGATCTTCTTTTATAGTATCTCATAGGGGTTCTCTGTATTTCCTGAATTTGAAAATTGGCCTTTCTAGACAGGTTGGAGACATTTTCATGGATGATATCGTCACATAAATTTTTCAAGTTGCTTGCTTTGTCTCCCTCTCTGTTAGGGATGCCAGTGAGTCATAGATTTGGCCTCTTTACATAATCCCATATTTTTTGGAGGTTTCATTTATTCTTCTTTATTGTTTATTCTTTATTTTTGTCTGACTGAGTTATTTTGGAGAACCAGTCTTTGAGCTCTGAGATTCTTTCCTCAGCTTGGTTGATTCTTCTATTAATACTTGCAATTGTATTATGAAGATCTTGAAGTGAGTTTTTTTCTGATCGAGCAGATCAGTTTGGTTCTTTCTTAAAATGGCCATTTTGTCTTTTATTTCCTGTATTGTTTTACTGTATTCCTTAAATTCCTTGGATTGGGTTTTGACTTTCTCCTGAATGTCGATGATCTTTATTCCTATCCATATTCTGAATTCTACTTCTGTCATTTCCGCCATTTCAGCCTAGTTAAGAACCATTGCTTGGGGACTGATGTGGTTGTTTAAAGGAAAAAAGAGACTGGCTTTTTGAGTTGCCAGAGTTATTGCACTGGTTCTTTCTCATTTGTGTGGGCTGATGTTCCTTCAGTCTTTGATGTAGCTGTCCTTCAGATGATTTTTTTTTAATTTTATCTTCCTGGATGCCCTTGGGGGTTTGATGGTGGTATCAGTCAATGGGGTTCATTTCTGGAAAATTTTAGGGGGCCAAGGCTCAGCTCAGCACTCCAGTTCTGCATACTCTAACTCTGAAGGGCTGGTACTGGGAACCTGGTTTTGGTCTCTGGCCCCTTAAGGTTAGGAACCTGCTGCACTGGAGGGGCTGAGATATTCCCAGTTCACTGGTCACAACACTCTCATGGGTGGTGCTGGCCAAAGCACTTCGCTGGGGCAATAGCAGTGGGATCTGTGCTTGCTTGTGTGTGCCAGCAGCTGTAGCAGTGCCACAGGGTGCATGCATGTCGGCTGGGGCAGGGTCCTGGCAGAAATGGGGCTGCTGCATTCCTGCATGTGTTCAGGCTGGCAGCAGGACACAAGTGGGGGCAGGGTTGCCAATGTCCCTGCTTGAACTTGTGCCGGCAGTAGCCGGGGTGGGGCCCTGGTGGGCAGAGAGGTGGGTGGGGTTGCCAGCATAGCAACTGAGTATTATTGAATAAAGGACTATGTAGGGTTTAAATAAGATGAAAAAGTATATTTGTTGTGCTCACCTTCACTACATTTTATTTTCTTTGTATTAAGCCTCATTACCACTTTTGAACAAACTTGTAGTGTGTGCTTTTTTGAGATGTACTCAGGTTGGAAGGTGGGTACAAAAGGGGGGTGTGATATTTCAACAGGTTTTTGTTTAAAAAACCCTAAATGAGAGGCAAAATTAGTTTTTCTCTGGTTTCAAAACAGGGACAATGTAGAGTTCAGGCAAAAAGCAATGCTATTGAATAGTTGCTCTTGCATTCATGGTGGGGTTGATCTTTGTCAGATCTATTAGAACTTGTACATTCATAAGGGATGTCCTCTTTATCACTGGGGACTCTGTTTGCATTTGAAGTGTAGATTTTTTTTGAAGTCATTCCTTGAAACTGCAGCTGAAAGATGCACACAGTTCTCTTGTATGTTTTCTAAAATGAAGCCTAATTCATTGTCAAATGTCAATCCCACCTGCCTGAATGTGAAATAAATATTTACATTTTTGTCATATTAGTTGTGGAATAAAGGATTCCTCAGCTTTGGTTGGCGGGTGGAGAAAGCTTGGTTTCTTCACTTTGGAAAGGTTAGAGTGATGAGGGAAAGGGAAGAAGAGCCCTGTAGGATGGCTGTGGCAGTGCCTTTGAAATCAAAGGTGGACACTCCACTGTGGACATCAGGGGCTGATATGGAGAAGAGGGGTGGTGAGGTGGCACAAGGAGGCCAGAGCCATATTCTGAAAGCAGCATCTTGAATACTGGTACCATCAGCTCCTACCACCTTGACAGTCCAAGGAATACTCACATTAATGCCCCAGAAATTAGAATTATAACTTACTTTATTACTTCACACAATTTCTTACACTTTATTTGTTTTGATTTTTGGCCTTGGCCAAAACTTTTGGGAAGCCTTGGTTTTAACAGTTTACATTATTCACCTATCTTCAGCAAATTACATTAAAAATATTGAAAAGTAGTGAATTTCTGCCTTCTGAAAGAGAAGGAAGATTTCCACTGTGTTGCTCTGAAAATGGAGGTGAAGCACAACACGCTTATCTGTCTGACACATGCCAAGCAGTGACAGGTGATGTTACCAGAAGGGTCAGATGTGTTTGCCTCGAAAGAGACAGGTCCCACAAGCAGCAGTATTTTGTGAAAGCTCATTTTCCCAGTCTCTAAATGCTAAATGGTCGAACACTTATATTCTAGGGAAAAAAAAAAGATAAATGCATGTGTAAGAATTTTTATGTCTGTGTCTTTTTATCTGTATCCAGGTTTGACGTTAGTCATTTGTTCTGATTCACACAGAAACTCTGGGGCAACTGTGGGATGCATTTAATGTGCTCGGCATCGAGTTTAATCTGGAATGCAGAATTTTTTTACGGTGCAATTTTGGACAGGTTCATCAGGCATGAGGTTTATGTATGAGAAAAGGGAACTGTGGCAATGCGAAAACAGAAATGAGTATGGCCACATGAGCATCCAGGGGATATGGCTGTCTTTCAGCAGTACCTAGAGAAATGAAGGCTTCAACTGAAAGAGCCTTGACAATTTCATTAGGGGAAAGTTGTCCTTACCATTATTATCATCATCATCACCATTATCAAACTGTTAGTGAGCTCCTGCAATGAAACCCTACCCCAGTCCAGGGACCTATGTGAAAGGTCTCTGTGAATTGGCTCAAGCTTCCTCTCAGGAATTCTCAGTGTGTCTGGCCCTTCCACTTCCTCCCTCACCCTCCACCAAGTTCCTTTCTCGCCCTAGCAAATGGCATAACACAGTACTGTCTTACAGACGTATAATGTGAGTCACAAAATATGCTATTTTAAATTTCTTTTAAAGAAATCAAATGAAAGAGGTGATATTAATTTTAATAATATATTTTACTTAAGCCAATATATTCAAAATGTCATGATTTCAAAATGTAATCAATATTTAAAATATTGAGATATTTTACATTCTTCTCTTTCACTCCAACCCTTGATAATATGTGATACAGTGTGTATTTTGCACTTAGAGCACAGCCCAGTTTGGACTGGACACATTTCAAATGTTCAATAACAGCACGTGGCTCGTGGCTACATATTGGGCAGCACAGATAGAACTGCTCCAAGCGCCATCCTCTGAATGACTCATACATTGTCTGTAGACGCTCCACCAACATTTACATTCCCAAGATTACTCCTCTGAGGTCTTGGGAGACCCATCAATTCCCCAATCAACTCCATGGCTCTGAGCTGCTGGACGGCTTAGCACCACCTTTCTCAGCTCCGCCTCTAGAGGGCAGCCCCGAAAGGCGTCTCTGTGAGCCCTCTAGTGACTGCTGTCAGAATGGACAGGACTTTACAAATAACTCCTATGGAACTTTAAAAACCAATCCCATTAAAGTACCATTACAGGATCACAGCTCTAAGGGATTCTTTTAGCCATTGCCTATAGTAGGACACCGGCCCATAAACTTGCCCTGCAGGCAGCCGTGATCCGTGGAGATCCCTTCAGAGGTACTGCAATAGAGAGTTCATCACCCCTTTATGCCATCAGCAGAATTCAGCTGTCTGGGAAGCTGCTAAGCAGTGTGCTTCTCTTCATTTGCCCCCATGGCCCTCAGGACATAGCCTGCTCAGAACCCATTTCACCCCTTTCTGCTGCCTCTGAGAGTCCCAACTTTGATCCAGCACCCATCTCTCCTCACAGAGGTCGTGGGCCCCAGAGGAACTGCCCAACCCCAGGACTGGGATGTCTTGGGACATCCCACCCTCCTTGACACTGATTGGTCAAGATGGCAGGACTGGCCCAATCAATGCATGGGCCTCGAGAATCTGGCTTAATTAGATGCTAGAGGAAGTTTGACGAGAGCTTCTGGGCAAGACATTTCCCTTCTCTTAAGAGTAAGTATGGGAAGCGACGGCTATTTTCTCTTCCTGTGGACATTACGGTATGTGGATGTGAAGTCAGAAACTACTGTAGCCACCCCTCCACAGGGGGAAGCTGCATGGGATGAAGCTGACACACAAATATGACAGCAGCCAGGGCAACTGTAGAAATAGAGTTGGAACCACGGGATTAAACTGACTCTGAAGTCCACCTTTTTGTATTTTCAGTTACATATTCAGTAAATTTCCTATTGTTTAAGCAGCCTGTGCAGTGGTCTGTGACTTGTAGTAGGACTCTCCCTAGTGGAAACAAACTTCAACACAAACCGAATTCCAGAAACTTCCCTGCATAATCTACAGCTCCTGATAGCAGGGGAGCAAGTGAAACTTCTTGGAATTATTTGTGTGCAAATGTATGTATTTATTTGGAGCAGGGGCTAATATCTGATACCCCTAAAGTTAGGATGGATGCGTTGGTTATATACCAAACTGGGCAGCCTAAGGCGAGTAAAACAGAGCATCTGTTCACTTGCTGCAGGATGGAGACACAGATTCCGTTTGATATTTAATGAGAAACATTCTAAAAATGGAGAAATCCTAGCACCCTACAGACTGAGTTTTCCATTAGAAATGGAGGAAATAGTAACATTGAAATACATCTTTGGGAACCTTTCTGTCAAAAGAACTTTCTCTGGCCCCCTTGATTCAGGGGATGTGACCAATTTTGTTCTGCTGCTGATGACAAAGATGATGGGACAAAGCCACAATCTACCTCGCAGTAGGCCAGTAGTCCTCCCAACTCCAGGGACACACGCTCCATCCTTTCTTCCCTGCCAGCTGCTTCAAAACCTCGCATGTGCAAGGAGAGGAGCTGGGTTCAGCACAGACTCACTTCTGTGACTTGCCAAGCAGTCTGGCCCTGACCTTGTGAGAATTGTCTCCTCTCCCCGGGATTCGTTTGGCTTAACAAAAGCTGGGCCCACTGCAGCTCCCTTTATTTCTTGATGGGTCCCTTTTTGCCTGTCCTAAGAGGATTGTTTTCTTTATTTCCTGTGATCTGCAAGGCCCTAGCTTTAACCTCCCTTTCTCACTGATCAGAGACCTCTCCTATTACATTTTGTAGGAGCATTTAAACCATTCAGTGCTAATTAATGCCAGTCTGCATAACCTCTCACCTCTCCATCTTGATCTTTTTTAATACCACTTTTAATTCAGACGAAGGCTCTCATCTTTGCCAATATTGCCTCTTTCTAAATATCAATTTAATTGAATCTCTAGCCTGTGGCATCTTCCTTTCCTAGCAGTTTGTCTAGGAAAGGCAGTATACCACAGAGGTTATGAGTCTGGTACTCTTGGCCACAACTCTTGCCTTTTAATACTGGCTGTGCCACTTACAAATGACTCCTAAGGAACTTTAAAAACCAATTCCTGTGCTTTAGCTGTGCTTTAGCTGTGGTAAAGCTCTAAGGGATTCTTTTAGCCATTGCCTATAGTAGGACACAGGCCCATAAACTTGCCCTGCAGGCAGCCATGAGCCGTGGTGATCCCTTCAGAGGTATTGCAATAGATAGGGGGATCTTGGGGATGTAAACCTAGTTGGTTTCCTTATCTAACCTACTGAGATAATATTTCCGACACCATGAGAATCAAAGTAATTGACACATGTAAAGTATTTAAAACGGTAAGTGCATTAAATGTTAAAACATAATCTGTCACATAATAGGCACTCAATAAATGTGATTCCTATGAAGCCTATCTCATAAAGAACTTAATATGTTGCTTCTCATATCATAAAATCTCAATAACTATTAGCTGTTATTTTACGGTTATTACCATGCCATTCCTCTTGACTACTTTTATCAAAGGTCAATGGGGGAGTTGGAAAGAGAATAGAACAGATCAGTAACCACACAGATCTGGGTTCAAGCATTATCTCTGTGACTTACAGGTGTGTGACCTTTGTGGAGTCATTTATATACTCTCACAGTTCTCTCACACGGAGAATGAGATTAAGAACATCTAACTGGAAGATTTTGGAGAAATACTCATGGTAAAACACATGGCACTTGGTAGGTGTTCAGAATGATTATCATCATTAAGACCTTCCTGGCGAGAACTTCTGATAAAACAACTCAGTGGAGGAGTATGCTATATTATTGACTAATACGTAGTTTGAACTGTCAACTGATTTTATTTATCTGAGGCAATGCTATCAACACATCGATGGAGACAACTGCATAAATATCCATTTTTGTAGAATTTCTCTTGTAATAAAGTTATATCTTTTTATTTTTACTTCGTATCCAAAATTTCAACATTGGAAACCCCTGTTTGTAAAAAGAAAAAGACACACATATGTAGATGTAAGTATGTCTAACAATCAGCTGAAGATGTACAATGCCAAATACAAATGGTAATGACAGGCTGAACACAGGGTCTATCAGCCACAAATTGACTCAATTTACTGATTAGTCACATATTTCCACTTGGAGCTATTGTTTAGTTCTATAGGTATTATGGAGAAGACCCCATCACCCTCACCGCCACACGCAGACACAAACATACATAATGTGTTGAGTGTAGTCTGATTCTTCAGTTTGTGCATTCAAATTATCTCCCTTTGGCAGATGTGTCTTGAGCACCAACTGTGCTCACTAGCTGCAGAATGGCACCTCTTACAGATCACCTCCATGAAAGGATGGGGTGATTTATTGCACTTGCCCCCTTTTTTTTGAGATGGAGTCTTGTTCTGTTGCCAGGCTGGAGTGCAGTGGCACGATCTCAGCTCACTGCAACCTCTGCCTCCCGGGTTCAAAAGATTCTCCTGCCTCAGCCTCCCGAGTAGCTAGGACTACAGGCGTGCACCAGCACACCTGGCTAATTTTTGTATTTTTTGTAGAGATGGGGTTTCACCATGTTGGCCAGGATGGTCTCGATCTCTTGACCTCATGATCCACCTGCCTCGGCCTCCCAAACTGTTGGGATTAAAAGTGTGAGCCACCGCGCCCGGCCCACTTGCCCCCTCTTTGAACAAGAACCATGTAGTCACTGCAGAGAAATGGGGTGAGCTTAGAGACATAAAAGAATTCAAATAACTTTATCTTGCATGTCAAAGTACTTTTTATTTTCAGAGCTTGTCTAGTCTTTGCAAAGCTATGCAAATTATAAAGCAATTCATTATGGTTAAGAAAAGAGTTTTTCCCAAAGAGCTGCAAATACTCACCAGTGACACAAAGTAAACAAAGACCCAAAGATGGAACCAAAAGATAGTTCTTGTCTTTAGAGGAAGAATATCCAAGATGCATTGGACAGAACAAATAATACCCTAGTGTGTTAAACCATTTGAAGGGGAGCTTGATAACTTTTTCCTCAAAGTTTTTTTGAAGAGGTCTTTTAATTTAAAAGTCCTTTATCACATAAGACAAGAATGAATGAGATATATTCTGCTTCCCTGGAACATTCTGTAAATTGACAGTGAGGGAGAAACTGACCCAGTGGTATTTGTGGGCTAGACAAATGTTCCAATTGTTATTTTCCGATGTTTGAATTTTTCTAAACCAAAACCACGTTTTATCCTAAGCTCTTTCCCCCTGGATTTTGGAGTCATGTGTATTTGGGGGGAAATTGAATCCATATGTGTTTAATCTATTTATACTTAAATCATTAATGTGCTGTTTTGTAAGATTATTTATGTGACCAAGAAACCCTCTGACCATCTTTAGAACTCTGCTTGTCACACCACAGAAGTCCTCATTCTGTGAAGAGGTCACATTTGCCCATAGGCCCTATAATCTGACCTTATTATAAATTCATAAACCAGATCCCTGGGACCATTCTTATTTAATGGGTTGGTATCACATGATTTCCCAATTTCAGAAAAGGAAATAAGCTTATAAATGCGCTACCCCGAAAAAGAAGAAAGAAAGAACAAAGACTCTAAAAACCACTTATGTTTTTTTTTTACTATTTGGATGAGATAACAGTAGATTAAGAATAAAAATATGCCCTACAGACACAAATTGGAAGGATAATTGAAAGCATGAGACAGATCCAAAATAGTGCTTGAGATTATCAGTAATCTGGAAGGATGGGAAGGAAAAATAAATCCTACCTGGTGGGCCCCATAACAGACTATACACCTAAAAGACTTGTTCTTACAGGTTTCTTGAGTAATAGTTTTAAAAATCACACGGCTCATGCCTGTAATCCCAGCACTTTGGGAGGCCAAGGCGGGCAGATCACAAGGTCAGGAGATCGAGACCATCCTGGCTAAAACGGTGAAATCGTCTCTACTAAAAATACAAAAAATTAGCCGGGCATGGTGGTGGGTGCCTGTAGTCCCAGCTACTTGGGAGGCTGAGGCAGGAGAATGGTATGAACCCGGGAGGCGGAGCTTGCAGTGAGCTGAGATCTCGCCACTGCACTCCAGCCGGGGTGACAGAGTGAGACTCCGTCTCAAAAAAAAAAATAAAATAAAAAATAACTGAAGAGGGAGAGAAACCTAGGCAGGTTATTATGCCACACTGGATGGTGTTTTATGCAGGGCTGATGCAAATAACAAATAACAATCGTTGAGTTAACGTATCCTGCAAAGACTTGCTAGAGCTTCCCCTTGGAATCTCTACTGGACACAAACAATAGGAATCCATGGCCTTGACCATGGCAAGGCAAAAGAAGGTTTCAGGGGTAAGCTGATATTTTGAATATCCCAGTTCAAAGAATCAATAGATTCTTCAAGCAGAACTAAGTCCAATTACAACTCTAACCTACCACAATATAAAAAATAAAGTCAACTCTAATGGTTGCACACTTTATGCCTAGAGAATTTTGTAACAGCTATTGTAAAAAACACCAAGTTTAATTTTTTAAAAAAGCATAAAGGGAATTTAGTCTTCTAATGAGTGCTGGCAACCCAGCAGGATGTCCTGAGGTCTCTCTGTGAATGCATGCTGTGGATCTGACAAGTCATACGCATAGAGCTGAACTGGGGAAAGCTTGGCCAATGGCCAAATATTGAACAGAAACTAGACGATCTCTAGTTTTTACACAGATGCCTTTTTCTGATTATCAGAAAGACATTTAGTGCTAAACACATGTGAGTGAGAGATAAAAGGTTAATTAATACACACACACACACACACACACACACACACACACACACACACACAATTGTATTGTCATTTCCTGACCACACCAGAAACTGCATTTCAACTCACTGCAATTCTGCATAGTGGCACAACATGCCAGTGTGTGCTGAAGTAGCACCTTAGCTCTCCTGAACACAGTCAAGAAGCAGAGGGGTAGGCTCTAACATTTAATGGGTAACAACCACAAGCCAGGCTTGGTCTAGCCACTTTACATACAACCAGCTTTCAAAGTAATCCTGTGTGGGAGGGAAAACTAACACACATTCAATGTCTTCTCCATCAAGAACTTTATATAGATTAATTAAGTCCTTTAATTCACCCAAAGAGTCTGGACTGATGTTTTGAAACTTGCCTTTTTCACATTCTGAAGTATTACAAAGATTTTCCAATCAAGATGTGAAATATTCTACAACTTTTCAATGGTTACATGGTATTGACTGAATGAATGTACTATAACTTATTTAATAGTCTCTTACTACTGAACATTTATGAAATTTCTATTGTTTTCCTATTACATATAATGCAACAATAAACTTCCTTTTAAATAAGTTTAGTTCACTTCTGTAACAATTTTATCAAACTTTATTAGTAGAAACAAGTTTCCGGTACATTTTCTGAAATTTTGATTCATATATCATATTCTTTCCTGTTATATAGCATTAATTTATTTCCCCTGCCCTGAGTGTGTAATTTTCTTTTTATTATTATTATTATTATACTTCAAGTTCTAGGGTACATGTGCACAACGTGCAGGTTTGTTACATATGTATACCTGTGCCATGTTGGTGTGCTGCACCCATTAACTCATCATTTAGCATTAGGTATATCTCCTAATGCTATCCCTCCCCACTCCCCCTACCCCACAACAAGCCCCGGTGTGTGATGTTCCCCTTCCTGTGTCCATGTGTTCTCATTGTTCAATTCCCACCTATGAGTGAGAACGTGCAGTGTTCGGTTTTTTGTCCTTGCAATAGTTTGCTGAGAATGATGGTTTCCCGCTTCATCCATGTCCCTGCAAAGGACATGAACTCATCATTTTTTATGGCTGCATAGTATTCCATGGTGTATATGTGCCACATTTTCTTAATCCAGTCTATTGTTGTTGGACATTTGGTTTGGTTCCAAGTCTTTGCTATTGTGAATAGTGCCACAATAAACATACGTGTGCATGTGTCTTTTTAGCAGCATGATTTATAATCCTTTGGGTATATACCCAGTAATGGGATGGCTGGGTCAAATGGTATAATTTTCTTATAAGACTATGATCTCCTTTGGGTTTGTGATTATACCCACTTCCTTGTTACTACACCTGACTACCTATTATTACCCCATTGTTATTTGTTATGACATAAATTTTGTTAATTTGTGGTCTTTGTCTTTTTTTATTATAATTGCCAGAGTTTTGTCTAATTCATTAGTTCTTTTTATTTGTTGGGGTTTTAATCACAAATATTCAACTCTTAGATTTATCAATTGTAATATCTTACATTTCTCACATTTGTTTTTTACTTTTAGCTCTAAAATTCTTTTTTTCTGTAATTAAAAAAAAATCCGAATAAGTAAGTAAAATCCTTGCGTTTTTAAAAAAATTCTCATTTAATGATGGAAACATTTGAGGTTATGATTGTGTCCTTTAGCGCTGTTTTGATCTCATCCTATAGGTTTTGATATGTAATGTTTTCATTTTCAAACAGCCTATAACTGTAGTTTGATTATCTATTTGAGTTTATAAGTTAGAAGAGTAATTTTAATGTCCAAGTAGTCAGAGGGTTTTGTTTGGTTTTGAACATAAATTACTAATTTCTTGCATGGCTTTATGATGGTCTGAGAACTGGGCCTATCTGGTGATGTCATCCAAAACCCAGGCCTCCTTTCTTTCTATTTCTCCATCCTTAGCATATCTTTCACTTTCACACATTCATGTCATGGCCAAAAGATGGCTGCTGCAGCCTATGTTAGTGTTTAAGGCAGAGATAGGAAAGAGGATCTGTGCCAGCCAAGGTGTCCCCTTTCATCAGGAAAGCAAATGCTCCCCCAGAAACCTCTTTGGCATACTTTAACTCAGGTATTATTAGCGAAAACCAGATCCATAGTCATCTCAAACTCCAAGGGAGGCTTGGAGAGAGAGACAAGGATTATAATGATTGGCTTAGACTAATCATGATTGATTTATTGTCTAGGGCTGGGCACATGAATACCTGCACAAAATGAAGCCTCTATTAATAGGAAAGAAGAGGCAAATAAATTTTGTTGGGAAACAACTGACAATAACAAAGTGAGAATAATCCAACATTTTAGAGCATTATCATCATTATTAATTGTTTAACATTATTTAGCTTCTTTCTAAATAATAGTTTGACATTTGCATAAGTTTTATATTTACCAACTATTATTTAGAGTTAAATTTATGCAAAGTTTAATGTTTATCCTCAGATCTTTTAGATCACAGTTTTGTTGTTCTTGAATTCTTTGCAATGATTCATCGATTCATCTCTCATGAGTTCAATCACATTATCAATTTTTTCAGGAAGAACACATGATTCTTTCATATGCAAGGTTCTTGCAACTGAGCTGTGTATAAAATTATGACGTGTCAAGTTTTATTCTGTTAAACGTTGAAGACATTATGTTTTTTCTCTGTTGTAAAAAAGAAATTTGGTGTGCTTAATTATTAATTATTAGTAGATAAATTGTGCAAGTGTGACTGGTGGGATTTTGTTTTTCTTCCTGGGATGATGCTTTATTTTTGTAATGTAATCTGAAAATGTCTCCAGGATAAGTCTATTGTGAATCACTTTGCATTAATTATACCCAGTAACAGATTAAGTCCATCCAATTTGAAGACCCACATCTTACTTCAAATTAGAAAAAAATTCTATTATACTTTTGATCGTTAGAATTGTTTATTGTTTCCCTCAAAAATATAATGAAATGTTAGAATGCCATTATATGCCTTTACTTTTATGTACTTTTATTTTATTTTATATTTTGAGACAGAGTTTTGCTCTTGTTGCCCAGGCTGGAGTGCAGTGGTGTGATCTCGGCTCATTGAAACCGCTGCCTCCTGGGTTCAAGCAATTCTCCTGTCTCAGCCTCCCAAGTAGCTGGGATTACAGGCTTGCACCACCACACTCAGTTAATTTTTGTATTTTTAGTAGAGACAGGGTTTCACCATGTTGGCCAGGCTGGTCTCGAACACCTGACCTCGGGTGATCCACCCGCCTCAGCCTCCCAAAGTGCTGGGATTACAGGTGTGAGCCACAGTGCCTGGCCACATGTACTTTATTTTTATATTATTTCTTATCTTTTTAAATTTTCCTAGAAACTTTAGGAGAATTTTTGAAGTTTATTCTCTGTTATCGATTATATTTTCTATGTTACTAATTTTTTTTTTTACCATTTCCAGTAAAGATTTAATTCCATCATTGCATTTTAGTTTGGTATGTTGCAGGCACTGTTGTAGTTACTTTAATTATCACAATAATTCATGGAAGTAGGTGCTATTTTAATATCAATTTAACGGATGAGAAAACCAGGGCTTGGCAAGGTTGTGTGACTTGCCCAAGGTTGCACGGCCAGTAAGACACAGAGCCAGGTTTTGAAGGATTGGATCCACAGTCCTCATTATAAACTACACTTTCCATTTCTCTCTCAATCTCTGTCTCCTCTTTCGTGTATACACCACTCCTCCACATCTAACAGCACAAGCAGACCTAAGTTTTGGACCGGTGCTTGGGGTTCCTTTGCATAACAAGATTGAGTACTTCATATATACAGTCCCGGAGCTTGCAGGCAGTTGACTCAGGTTCTGGCTGTGCAGTGATTTTTGTTTGCTCCCTCTTTGCACTCCATGTAAACAGATTTATTGAAGCCAAAGCTTCAGTAGTAGTTGTAACTTTTTCCATTTCCATCCAGAGTTTAGGGGTGGGGTGCCCTACTTCAACTTCATTTTTAGGTAAAGGGCCCAGCTCTGGGCTGCTGACATCTATGGCATACTCTATATTTCCCATATCCTAAAGGAATCAGTCTTCCAGATACCTGGATATATCCTAGTATCAGCACCTAGGAGACCTATGGCATCAGCCTTTACCTATTTTCTAATTTCTGCTCCACTTCTGGTCCACAAATATGTGCATCTTTTTATGTGACAACAATTGTGTCTTTTAAAAAAATATTGTTTTCTCTTTCCTACTATTTTTTTTTTAATTGTACTTTAAGTTCTAGGGTACATGTGCACAACATGCAGGTTTGGTACACAGGTATACATGTGCTGTGTTGGTTTGTTGCACCCATCAACTCATCACTTACATTAGGTATTTCTCCTAATGCTATCTCTCCCCCATTCCCCCACCCCCGGACAGAACCCAGTGTGTGATGTTCCCTGCCTTGTGTCCAAGTGATCTCATTGTTCAATTCCCACCTATGAGTGAGAACATGTGGTGTTTGGTTTTCTGTTCCTATGTCAGTCTGCTTAGGATGATGGTTTCCAGCTTCATCCATGTCCCTGCAAAGGACATGAACTCATCTTTTTTATGGCTGCATAGTATTCCATGGTGTATATGTGCCACATTTTCTTAATCCAGTCTACTGTTAGTGGACATTTGGGTTGGTTCCAAGTCTTTGCTATTGTGAATAATGCTGCAATAAACATACGTGTGCATGTGTCTTTATAGTAGCATGATTTATAATCCTTTGGGTATATACCCAGTAATGGGATTACTGGATCAAATGGTAATTCTAATTCAAAATCCTTGAGGACTCGCCACACTGTCTTCCACAATGGTTGAACTAATTTACACTCCCACCAACAGTGTAAAAGCGTTCCTATTTCTCCACATCCTCTCCAGCATCTGTTGTTTCCTGACTTTTTAATGATCGCCATTCTAACTGGTGTGAGATCATATCTCACTGTGGTTTTGATTTGCATTTCTCTGATGACCAGTGATGACGAGCATTTTTTCATGTGTCTGTTGGCTGTATAAATGTCTTCTTTTGAGAAGTGTCTGTTCATATCCTTTGCCCCCTTTTTGATGGGGTTGTTTGTTTTTTTCTTGTAAATTTGTTGTTATAACAATGTATGTGCAACTTGAAATCATTATACCAACTTTACCAAAGTCTTGTATATCATCTTGAGATATTTCAAGAGACTCCGTCTCCATTTTATTATTCTATGACATTTTTTATACTCCATGTGTTGTTGCTATTTTTCCTATTTACTTATTTTCGAAAAATAATTTCAACTTTCATTTTAGATTCGGGGGTACATGTGCAAGCGTGTTACATGAGTATATAGTACGATGCTGAGGTTTGGGGTATTGATCTCATTAATCAATTACCCCAGGTTTGAGGATTTATCTCATTACCCAAGTAGTGAGCACAATACCACATGGATAGTTTTTCAACCCTTTCCCCTCTCCCTCCTTCCCTCCTTTTGGAGTCCCCAGTGCCTATTGTTGCCATCTGGAAAATCAACATGAAGAAACTATTTACTTAACTTTGAACAAAAAGAGATTGATCAAGACTTCCTGTTTGCTAGCAGACAAAGTCTGTGATTTGCCTTTGGCCTTGTCTCCTGTTCATTTAGATGTGGTTACAAAATCCCTTTTGACTGACAATTGAGGGGAAATTGAGGTGCATAATTTTCGGCCTAATTCCCAGCGGGTGGCCTATATCCATGTACTTAGACATTCTCTTACACTCAGTGCTGGTTCTTTGTCCTGAAAAATTAACCATGGCATGCCCTTCCTAAATCCACTCTCACCTCCGACCCTTTATTGCTGGGATTTAAGCTCCCAGAATGCAACATGCCGCTGCCAGGCCTCCCTTCCTTCTTCTCTTCTCACTTCCTTCCATACACGCTTCCTACTGTGTGTTTTCTTAGAGGTTCAAATATCCAAATAAATGAAAAAGGGAAATTACCGATGGGGGAATGGGTTATATGGAGAGATGTCTTGTGAACCACAAAGAAGTCTCTAAACAACCGCAGGGTGGCCACATTGGTTTTTGCTTGGAATAGACCTTGTATCTCTGAACTAAGGTACAGCATTGAGAAGGGTACCACAAATCTCTCTACCTCATCTAAAACAATCTGTTAAATTCTATTTCAGTGAGAAAAGGATGTGCAGGTCAACAATTATGATTTTATTTCCACCCTATATACTCTATAATTGATGGAATTTCTTCCAAGTTTCTGGCAATATGTTGGCTGTCAGTTTTCATTTTGTTCAAACATGCATTCTTTTTGCTGTCTTTATGGTTGTTTGAATAGGAAGATAATAGATGGTTGCATCAGAATCTGTTCACCAAATGACTTTAAACCAGAAATCTACCACTGATTTTATCTTTAAATACAATTTTGTCTGCAACTATTACCGACTAGTAAGATCCCATTTCACCATGTTGACAAGAAAAATTTTGATTATTTCTGTTACAGTAGACATTCTAAAACTATCCAATTATGCAAAGGCCACCTGTTGAAACTCCTTATTTGCTTGGCACTATGAAACTCTGTTTAGTTATTTTTGGAAATCAGTCTGGTCCAACTTAAACTGTGAGACTCAGAAACATCTTTGCAATCAGAAGTCTTAGTTCATATCCCTTGTTCAGAACTGCTATTTATGGCTTCTTCACGTATATTTAGAAAAAAGTTATCTTTTCATCAAGAAACTTTACTTCTCTCTGCTAAACAATTGCTATATTACCCCGATTTTTGTTGAACAAGCCACTTTACCATCATTTTCCAGAGTTTGTCAAAATATAGAAATGTATAATACTTATGATGGAAATGGTTTCTCTTAGAGTTGTGCGCTACACACCTACACAACCACAAATGACAACCCTGCTCTTGTGTTCTTGAGAAAACTACTTTTAGAGATCATAAGAAGACTTATGGTCAAAGAGAGTACATTAAACACAATTCACTCTCCTGAAACCTGATTGAAATGAAAGTAAAACTTTTAAGTCATTTGTCTACAAGGACAAAGAGCAGGAGAGGAAGATATGGCAATATAACAGTGGAACCTGGAAAGCAAAAGGATGAATGGTCAATGACATAGCATAAATCAAAAATTCCAATACTACACTGCCAGTGGAAAATGCTGAGGATAACATGATTTGCACTGTGGAACTCCCCTAAACTTTAGAGATTGGCAACGTTGGGTAACTATAAATTTGGAAATGACAGGGGAGCTGAAAACAGGATGGTTATTTGAGAGTCTGTGTAAGAAACATTTAGGCTCTCAGATTCCACACTGAGTTTCCACTCAGTGAAGTGTGACCTCAGCATCTCCCCACCTTGGTGGAAGGATGGAGGCTTATGCTTAGGACTGGGTGGAAAAGGGGGATCTCTGAGATAGGGGAAACCAGGCACAGTTAAGGATGGGAATGCCAATTGAAAACAGATGGTTGAAGTCAAAGTCTATCTACTATTGAATGTTGGGACCATAAATCACTATTATCACTCAGATCCCAGAACACAGACAGCCAGGCCAATACCCTACAGGGGACAAGAAGTTCTTCATTTGAAATCTGAGCATCCCAAGAAAAAAAATCCGTAGATATTGACATTGTGAATTCCCAGATCACCCTCTTGTGTGTCTCAAAGGTGAAAAGTTCCAGCCCTGTACAGAACTGCCTTTCAACTTTTGAGGGCCTCTTTCTTAAATACAAGCAGACAGCCGAGGATCATCTGGTCTCTGATGAAACATGAAAAATAGAGACCAACGCTCAGAAACAGCAAAATTCAATGTGGAGAAACAGAAGCTATGCAGTGAATTAAAGAAGAAAACTATCAATATCCTCTGAGAGATTAGAGAGATATTTGCTCCTTAAAACACACTAAAAGGATAATTTTCTTTAAAAATAAACATTCTAGGAAAAAATCCTATAGATTAAAAATATTGTAGGAGAAATTAAAAACTTGATAGAGACGTTGGACTGCAATGCTGAGAAAATCTGAAAAAGAGACAGATAAAAGAAAACCGAACTAGAAAAGAAATTTAGAGGATCAGTCTATGATGACCAATATTTAAAAGGCAGAAGTTCCAGAACAAAGAATAGAGAAACTAAGGAAAACATGGGGGTGAATAGTAATAAGGACACAGAAGACAAAGGAAATAAAAACCAAGGCAATTATTAATTCCAAGGAGAAAAAACATTGCACCAAAAAAGTTATATTTTTATGTGACTCAGTTTTAAACAGCATTTACATGGTAATGGTTATGTAATCACTGATTGTATAGGACACGCATAGGGGTTGGTAGCTAGCCAGGGTAGAAGGTAGTAAATTCTTACTTAATTGTGGGGGGGCGCAAAAAATGCCTAAATAGAAAAATCAAAAAGTATGTTATCTGGAGGGAAAATGGTAACCTCTCAGAAATGAGAACAGTGGAGGTTGTAGAGGATGCAGTTGTTTTTTGTTTGTTTGTTTTGTTTTGTCAACCAGCCTTGAAAAACTATTTGATGATTTGAATTATGTAAAAGCATCATCTTAATTTTTAACAAAAACATTTTTTTAAATCTATGTAAATAGAATCATGAAAGGGAAATCATGGATAGAAATCTAAGAGGCAGATAAATTAGAAGATATGAAGGAAAGAAAGATGATTGCATAAAGGAAAACATAAACAAACAACTCTTATCCTACACCCTAAAATTATGCTAAATTTGTAGAAGCAGTGTAAATGGAGCACATTGAAAACCGAAATGCAGGAAGATGCTGCCCAATGCCATCTGGATGTCTAGTCCTGTTAAGGGTGAAGCCTCCAATAATGCATGATGTGAACTATTTTTAATGAGCTGGGGAAGGAGGAAGGGCAGACATCATTTAGAGATAGGCTGCACTCGAAGATTAAAGAAAGTTCTCATGCCCCCAGCTGCATCTGCCTAAGTTAATTCTGGCTTTCCCACTTTCTTTTTTCCACCATCCCCACCACCAGTGTGATTCTACTGGCTCTCCTCCCATTCTGGAGCTGATGGTACCTGCTATCACCTATCATCTGACAATAAATTATATAACTATTCTGACAGAGTGTGGGAGAATCTTTTTTTCTCGTAGTTTCGATATGGTCAAGGTTAGTGTTTCAAGAGTCTATATTGAGAAAGCAAATTAAAAATAACAAAACAAACTTGCAAAAGTATAAAGACATCTTTTTTTTCCCCAAGACCCAAGACCCAGACACCTTTTTCAACTATGTGGTCACGGACTGACATTTATTATTTTTTATTTTTTTTAAATAATTTGTGTGTGTGTGTGTGTGTGACGGAGTCTCGCTCTGTCGCCCAGGCTGGATGAAGTGCAGTGGCGTGATCTCCACTCACTGCAAGCTCCGCCTCCCGGGTTCACGCCATTCTTCCGCCTTCATGCCATTCTCCCGCCTCAGCCTCCCAAATAGCTGGGACAACAGGCGCCCGCCACCACGCTGGGCTAATTTTATTTCTGTATTTTTAGTAGAGACAGGGTTTCACCAGTTAGCAAGGTTGGTGTCTATCTCCTGACCTCGTGATCCACCCGCCTCAGCCTCCCAAAGTGCTGGGATTACAGGCGTGAGCCACCGCACACGGCCCCTACAGATTGACATTTATAAAGCACAATCTTCAATTCTCTTCTCTAGCTTTGTCCCTATCTTGGAATATTTGCCCAGATCACACATTTACTGAGATGAAGAGAAAGACTATTGTGGAATTATACACTAGAAAGGGAGTTACTGGAAACCAAATTAAAATGAAAAAGAGAAGCACAATACAAAAATAAATAATTTTTAAAAATAGATTTGAATTGTTCAAGGCAAACTATATTAATTACTTTGAAAAGATCTGATATTTTTTATCTTAAAGGACAAGAAGGGTATTTATTCTATCCACTTTGTTCTTTAATTCCAGTAGAAGATTAGTTCATGTAAAAAAAATCAGACATTTAGTAAATCACCTCTTGTTGGCAAAAGAAGGTGGTCATAGTCAGGAAATGTATACCTTCTCACAGCAACATTATGGGCAGAAAGACCACCTTGTTAAATACCCTCTTTCCAATGATGCATTCTGGATTATTTTCCCGTAACAGAGTCTGTTGAGTCCCACAACAGTAGATGTGACTCAAATCTTCATTATACCAAGAAAAAGAATTGAGTAATTTTCACTTGACTATGTAAACACAATAAATTATGTGTGCTATTTATAAAGATACAAGGCCTGCTGTTTCAATTACCTGATAGAACACAGACTTTTAAAGATAAGTTCAAGATAAGATGGAATTGTGCTGAATGTAATAAGAAACAATGTGAGTTTATAACAGTAAACCTTATTAAATGTGAATTTCTGAAAAAATTCAGGAGAATATCAGCATTTTATTTACCTTTATTTGGATTATTTATACCTATTCTTTCTATCAGCATGGAAACATTTTATGTTAATTATATTTGTCTAAAAATCAGGGACATCATCAAGACAGCTGATTATAGGTGTCCAATGCTTGCCTCCTCCAAGAACAAAACAAAAAGTAAACAACTGCACTTTGAGTAGAGTTTCTAAGGCGAGAACACTGGAATTCAGTAGGAATTGACAAAACTCTCTGAAGAATGTCAACTTGGGGTGAGAAAAAAGCAAAGGGCCTGGAAGGGATTGGCCTGGAGTCAGAAGTGACTCTCCATTGTGGGGAAAAGATTCCCAGGATATCCCCAGCAGTGTCCATTACTACCATGGATGCCTGCAGTCCTAGCTACAGGAGAGTGTCATAACTCTCACAAGCTCTGAGCCTATAAAGAGCTGCCTGGAGTCACATGGCTGCATTAATCCAGAGAAGAAACTAATGCTATGTCATCCCCCAACTCCCTGGGACCCAAGCTGCTAGAGCATGGTATTACTTTGAGAACAAAGTCACTGCTACAGTGCATCCTTCCCTGGGACCCAAGAGCCTCTGCATCTCCACTTCTCTGGAGCACTTCCCTCTTCCCATCACACTCATACAATAGGCAGCAATGCCACATCCACAACTGGACCCAGTGGTACAGCTGTAACCCCAGCACCTGAGCCCACACAGTGCTCTATACCTCAAGGAACAAGCAGTACAGCACAGCAGGGAGGCCTCCCCAAGAGCAGGGAAGCCAGCAGGCACACTCCCAGGACCTGAGAACAAACTGCCCAGGTGCCTCAACAGGCAGAGCTGCTGCATGTCATGCATGCCTCCCAGGGTCAGAGAACTAGCCTACCCAGCACCTACCGCTGGCAGTGCCACTCTCACAACCAGCAGAACTGCCGTTCCTGGCATGCACCCCTCCAAGGACTGATAACTGCCCTACCTGGTGGCCTCTATCCCCACTAAAGCTGCACCACTGCCTCCACAAACACCCAAAGTCTAGACCACTAAGGGACTCACAGACATTGCTGAGATTAATTATGGCTGAAGAAACCACATAAAGATTATACAACTGCACCCACCCAGAACCAAAGCCAAAGCATCCTACCTCACTGATTTCATAGGACACATCAAGAGGAAGAAGTCTTTTCTGACAAATACTACTCCATAAAATTGGGAGGGGTGACTGTTCTACCAGATGTGCAGATATCAATGTAGGGACACACAAAAACCATGAAAATGTAAGGAAACATGAAACCTCCAAAAAAAACACACAATAATTCTCCAGTAACAGACCCCAAAGAGAAGGAAATCTACAAAATGCTTGAAAAGGAATTCAAAATAATGATCTTAAGAAAACTCAGCAAGATTCAAGAGAATACGGATAGATAATTTAATGAAATTAGATAAATCATTCATGACACATTAGAGTAAAAAGTCAGACAGAGATAATTCTCAAAACAGCAAAAGAGAAGCATCAAGTTACATATAAAAGAGAATCCCTGATAGACTAACAGCAGATTTCTGAGTAGAAACCTTACAGACAAGAAGAGAATGGGATAATATACTCAAAGTGCTGAAAGAGAAAACTGCCAGTCAAGAATTCTCTACCCAGCAAAATTATCCTTCAGAAATGAAGTAGAAATAGTCCTTCCCAGACAAGTAGAACCTAAGGAACTTTATCACCACTAGGCCAGCCTTAGAAGAAATGCTTAAGGGAGTCCTATATCTGGAAGCAAAAGGACAGTAACTACCATCATGAAAACATATGAAAGAGTAAAACTTCCTGGTAGAGCATATATACAAATGAGAAAGAGAAAGGAATCAAACATTATCACTTCAGAAAATCACTAAACTGCAAACATAAACAACAAGAGAGGAAGAACGGAACAAAGAATATACAAATATACAAGGGAAAACAATTAACAAAGTGATGGGCTTGAGTCTTCAGCTATCAGTAATAACCTTGAGTGTAAGTGGATTACATTATCCAATTAAAAGATACAGGCTGGCTGAATGAATAAAAATACAAGACTCAACTATATGTGTGCCTACAAGGAACTCACTTCACCTGTAAAGAAACACATAGACTCAAAGTGGATGAAAAAACATATTCCATGCAAACAGAAACTAAAAGCAAGTAACTATGTTTATATCAGATAAAACAGACTTTAAATCAAAAGCTGTTAAAAAAAAGATGCGTAAGGTCACAATATAATGTTTATCAACATAAGGTCACAATATAATTGTTTATCAACAATATAAGTTTATAAAGGGATCAACTTAGCAAGAGGATATAACAATTCTAAATATATATGTGCCCAACACTGGAGCACCCAGACATATACAGCAAGTATTATTAGATCTAAAAGGAGGGAGATAGACCCTAATACAGTAATAGCTGGGAATTTCAACACCCCGCCTTCGGTATTAGACAGATCATCTAGACAGGAAAAGTCAACAAAAAAATTGGATTTAAACTACACAGTAGACCAAATGGACCTAACAGATATTTATAGAACATTTTATCCAACAACCACAAAAAACACATTCTTCTCATCAGCACATGGAAAATTCTCCAAAATAGACCACATGTTAGCCACAAAACAAGTCTCAACAAATTTTTAAAAATCAACAGAATATCAAGTATCTTTCCTGATCACAATGGAATATAACTAGAGATCAATAATAAGATGAACTTTGGAAACTGTACAAATACATAAAAATTAAATAACATGCTGCTGAATGACCAATGGGTCAATGAAAAAATTAAGGAAACTTAAAAATGTCTTGAAACAAATGAAAATAGAAACACAACATCCAAAACCCATGTGATACAGCAAAAGCAATACTAAGAACAAAGTTTATAGCAGTTAGCATCTACATTGAAAAGTGGAAAGACTTCAAATAAAAACTTAATGATGCATCTCAAAAAACTAAAAAAATAAGAAACAAACCCAAAATTAGTAGAAGAAAAGAAATAGTAGGCCAGATACAATGGTTCATGCCTGTAATCCCAGTTATTTTGGTGGCTGGGACAGGAGAATTGCTTGAGGCCAGGAGTTCAAGACCAATCTGGGCAACACAGCAAGACCCCATATCTACAAAAAATAAAAAGAATTAGCCTGGCATGGTGGGGCACACCTGTACTCAGGAGGCTGAGGCAGGAGGATGACTTGAACTGAGGCATTCCAGGTTACAGTGAGTTATGATCACACCACTGCACTCCAGACTGGGTGATAGAATGAGAATAAGTAAATAAAAAAAGAAATAATAGTGATCAGAACAGAAATAAATAAAATAGAGACTTTAAAAGTATAAAAGATCAACAAAATCAAAAGCTAGTTTTTTGAAAGGATAACTAAAATCAACAAATTATTAGCTAGAATAATTATGAAAAAGAGAGAAGACTCAAATAAAATCAGAAACAACAAAAGAGACATTACAACTGAGAGCATAGAAATATAAAACACCACTAGTATGAACAACTATATACCAACAAATTGGAGAAACTGAAGAAAACTGATAAATTTCTGGACCCATAAAATCTACCAAGATTGAACCAAGAAAAAACAGAAAACCTGAACAGACCAATAAAAGGTACTGAAAATGAATCAGCAATAAAAATTCTCCCAAAAAAGAAAAACTCAGGACTGGAAGGTTTTACCGCTGAATTCTACCAAACTTTTGAGGAAGAACTAACACCAGTCCCCTCAAAATATTCCAAAAAAAAAAAAAAAAAATTGAAGGGAAGAGAATTCTTCCACATCAATCCTACTGATACTAAAACCAGATAAGGACACAATAACAACAGAAAAACATTAGGCCAATATTCCTGATGTAGAGTAATTCAAAAATCCTCAATAAAATACTAGCAAACCAAATCCAACAGCATAGCAAAAAGATTATACACCATGATCAAGTGGGATTTATCCCAGGGATTCAAATATGACTCAATATATGCAAATCAATAATTGTGATACATCACATCAACAGAATAGAGAACAAAAGTCATATGATTACCTCAATAGACACAAATAAAATTCAATATCCCTTTATGATAAAAATTCTCAACAAATTAGGTATAGAAAGAAAAATCCTCAACATAATAAAGCCCGTATATGACAAACCACAACTGGCATCTTACTGAACAGGGGAAAAAATAAAGCTTTTGGTTTTTCCTCTAAGAACTGAAACAAGACAAGGATTCCCACTTTTATTCAACATAGTGGTGGCAATCCTATTCGGAGCAATTAGGAAAGAGAAAGAAAGAAAGAGCATCCAAACTGGAAAGGAAGAAGTCAAGTTGTCCCTGTTTGCAGATGATGTGATCTCATATGTGGAAAAACTTAGAGACTCTACAAAAGACTCTTAGAACTGATAAATGAATTTAATAAAGTTGCAGAATACAAAATCAATGTACAAAAATCAGTAGTGTTTCTATATACCAATAATGAAGTAACTAAAAAAAATGCTAAGAAAGCAATGCTATTTACAATAGCTACCAAAGGAAAAAAATATCTAGGAATAAATTTATTCAAAGAAGTGAAAGATCTCTACAATGGAAACTATGAAACACTGATGAAAGAAATTGAAGGGGACACACAAAAATGGAAATATATCCCAAGCTGATGAATTGGAAGAATTAGTATTGTGAAAATGTCCATACTATTTAAAGTGATCTACAAATTAGATGTAATCGCTGTCAAAATACCAGTGACATTTTTTACAGAAATTGAAAAAAAAATCCTAAAATTCATATAGAACCACTAAAGATCTGGAATCACCAAGTAAATCCTGAGCAAAAAGAACAAAGCAAAAAGTCATCACACTACCTGACTTCAAATATACTACAGAGCTATAGTAACCAAAACAGCATGGCACTGGCATAAAAACAGACACATAGAAGAATGGAAAAGAATAGAAAATCCAGAAATAAATCTATGCATTTATAATGAACTGATTTTCTTTTACAAAGGCACCACGAATACATAATGTGGGAAGTATAGCTTCTTTAATAAATGATGCTGGGAAAATTGGATATCCATATGCAGAAGAATGAAATGAATACCTGTCTCTCATCATATACAAAAATCAACTCAAAATGGATTAAATGTTTGAATGTAAGACCTGAAACTATGAAACTACTAGAAGAAAATATAGGGAAAGTGTTTCAAGATATTGGTCTGGGTAAAGATTTTTTGGATAAGACCTCAAAAGCACAGACAGCAAAAGCAAAAAGAAACAACAGCAATTTTATCAAACTAAAAGTCTTCTGCACAACAAAGAAAGCAATCAACAGAGCGAAGGGACAACCTGCAGAATGGGGGAAAGCATTTGCGTACTATTCATCCAACAAGGAATTAATGTCCAAAATACACAAGCTCAAACAGCAGCAGCAGCAACAACAACAACAATTTCCATTTAAAAATGGGCAAGTGATCTGAATAGATATTTCTCAATAGAAGACACACAAATGAAATGGTCAAGGAGCATATGGGAAAAAATGCTCAGCACTACTAATCATCAGGAAAACGCAAATCAAAATCACAATGAGATATCATCTCACCCCAGTTAGAATGGGTATTATCAAAAAGACAGAAAATAACAAATGTTGGTGATGATTTAGAGAAAAGAGAACTTTTATACACTGTTAGTGGAAATGTATCTTATACACTGCTAGTGGAAATTACTACAGGTATTATGGAAAGCAGTCTCAAAAAACTAAAACTAGAACTACCATATGATCCAGGAATCCCACTATTGAAATATAGCCAAAGGGAAGGAAACCACTATGTTGAAGAGATATCTGCACTCTTATGTTTATTGCAGCACTAGTAACAATAGCTAAGATATGGAATCAACTCATGTGTCCATCAACAGATGAGTGGATAAAGAAAATGTGATATATACATGAGGGAATACTACTCAGCCATAATAGAGAATGAAATTCTGCCATTTGTGGCAACATGGATGAGCCTGGAGGACATTATGTTAAATGAAATAAACCATGCACATAATTATAAATACCACATGGTTTCACTCATATGGGGAAGCTAAAAATTTTGGTCTCGTAGAAGTAGAGAGTAGAATAGCGGTTACCAGAGGTGGTGACAGTTAGGAGGGTGGGGGAGATGGCCAGAGGATGATTAATTCATGTTAATATAAATGTGCAGCTAGACAGGAGGAATAAATTCTAATGTTTTATAGCACTTTAGGATGGCTATAATTAATTTATTGTATATTTTTAAATAGCTAGAAGAGATGATTTTGAATATTCTCAACACAAAAAATGATAAATGTTTGAAGTAATGGATATGATAATTATTCTGATTTGATTATTACACAATTGTATATGCATATCAAAATATCACACTGTATTCCATAAATGCATACAATTACTATGTGTCAATTAAAGATCATAATGAATAATAAAAATGATGAGATACAAACAAATGTAAATAATGGGCTGGCACTCACATTTTATTCCCCTTGTCTAATAATATATTGTGTATCAAATTTTGCTAAGGGAGGATCCAAGGTGCACAGTTAAGCAGGCATACTACAGTACAACAGATTTCCAGACATTTTTTTAGAATCAGTTTAAAGATAGGAACCTTCATCTCAGAAAAATGCAGAGGAGGTTATGCTTAAAGTTCAGGGGTTTATGTTTTCCCATGTGTCTATTTTTGCTTTTGTTACCTGTGCTTTCAGTGTCATAACCATAAAATCACTGCCAGGACCAATGTCATGGAGAATTTTCCCTATGCTTTCTTCTGGGAGTTTCATAGCTTTAGGTCTTACATTAAGTGTAATCCATTTTGAGTTGATTTTTGCTTATGGTGTAAGATAAGGGTCCACTATAATTCTTTTGTATGAGGATATCTGGCTTTTCTAATACCATTTGTTGAAGAGACTATCCTTTCTCCATTGTGTATTTTTGAAACCCTTGTCAAAGATCAGTTGTTCATACACATGTGGGTTGATTTCTGGGCTCTTTCCTCTGTTGCATTGGTGTGTATGTCTGCCTTTATGCCCATACCACACTATTTTCATTGCCATCATTTGGAATATATTTTGAAATTAGAAAGTGTGATGCTTCCAGCTTTGTTCTTCTTTCAAAGATTGATTTGGTTTTTTGGGGTCCTTTGTGACTCCATATAAAATTTGGGATTTTTTTTCTATTTCTGTGAAAAAAAAGTCATAGAGAGTTTGATAGGAATCCACTGAATCTGTAGATCACTTTGGGTAGTATAGACATCTTAACAATATTATATCTTCCAATCCATGGCCATGGATGTCTTTCCATTTATTTGTGTCTAATTTCTTTCATCAATGTTTTGTAGTCTTCAGTGTACAATCATGATTCTACTTACATGAAGTATCTAAAATAGTCAAACTCACAATCTGGGAGTAGAATGGGTGGTTGCCAGGGGGTAGAGGGGAAGAGAAATAGGAAGCTGCTAATCCATGGACATAAAATCTCAATTATGCAAGATGAATAAGTTCTCGAGATCTTCATTGTTCCTTTGGATAATAAGACATTATTGTACACTTAAAATTTAAGAGGGTGATCATATGTTAGGTGTTCTTACCACAATAAAATGAAAGTTTAAAAATTCTTCAGGGGTTTATGGACTCCCCAAAAGCCATTCATGGTCCTGTAATCATCAGATACACATTTTTTTAATTTTCAGAATAAAGAGTGGGCAACTTTGAATTGTTGCTAACGTAATTCTCAAGCTCATATATGACTTGAAGAAATTTTAGTGGCTAGCTACTATCTGCTCCTGGGTACGCTCTGGTTAAGGAGGAGCATGACATTTGCAATGGGGCCTCAAGGTTTCCTTGTAGCAGCCATTGCTCAATACCGAGACCTGACTCATTTACTCAGAAAATCCCTATGCCTCAAAGGGTTGCTTCAGAAGATTGTAAAATCAGGACAATGGGCAAAGAAAAGCTGTTCCAAAAAAATAGGGAGGAAGTCCATTAAATAGAAGAGTGTGGCTGTCACCTGATTTACAATTTACAGCAGTTTGTGACAACAAAAAGGATGTCAGGTTGTGTCCCCCTCAGAGGATGTATAAATCAAGGGAATTGTGCTATTGTTCCACTAAACAACACCAGAGAGGCCAGCTTCCAACACAATTCGCTGGACTAGATGGCTACTATCCATGAGGCCTAGAACTGGCAAGACGATGTTCACCAAGGCCCAGAGGATTTGAATTCTTTATCCAGTGACCAACATCAGGCAGTAACAGATGGTGGTCCTGGATGAGTTGCGACAGTTGACCATTTTTCCCAAACCTTCTCACTCTTTGATATATCCCTTGGCTTAGTTCTATGTGCAATATAATTTGACCTGAGCATTTCCCATGCTTTTAGAATTCAAATTAGTTGTCTCCTCTTAATGTTATCATTATCTGATTGGGATTCCTGCATCTCCATTCTCTGGTATGTGATGGTCTTGAATCCAATTTTATAAGCACTTTTAGTCTAGGAGGTAAGAAGACAGTCCCAGATAGCTGATGTTTATTAAGGAAGCCAGGATGCCTCAGTGTCACTGCTTTTGTGCTGATTTGGAATAGTGTATTTTAAAAGGCAAAAAGGCCTTTTCTAAACCAAGGACATCATCTGATAATAAGTTTAAGAAATGAGTAATTAGCATTAAATGTTTTGTGCATCATACCACAGGAGAATAATCCCAGAAAAGGGCAGGCATTATCAGCTTTACACTTGTGCAGAAATCTGGTCTTCTGTGCCTTAGAAGAAAATTGTTTCTAAAAATCATATCAGGCAAATTCAACCTTAATTATTAGTTAGCCAGAGGCAATACATTTGAAATATAAAGTCTCTGTCTTCTAATCACTGTCCGGCAAGTTGTTTGTGCTGTGACTTTAGGCAAGTCATTTGACCTCTTAATTGTTCACATTTTCTCATCTGCAAAATGTGCGCATTAGTGCTAGAAATCATGAAAAGAAGCACTTGCAAAGTATTGATGTAAAGTAATGCTGTCTTCATTTTCTAAGACATGATTACTGATCTGAAGTTTGGCACACACTAAGCAACTTCATAAATGCTTATTATATTTATGAGTGAATGAATGGGTGAACAGATTATTCAAATGTGCTTTGCCATATTTTTCATGCAGGCAGCCCTGGAATTTCATATTTTTATATATAAAAAAGTTTAATTTAAACAATTTATATATATACACACAATTTATACAATATAAACAATTTATGTGTGTATATATACGTATGTGTATATATACACACATATATATATGTGTGTGTGTGTGTGTATATATATGTGTTTAAACAATATATATGTTTATACACACACACACACCCAGGGGCTTAAACCTCAGGTCACACACACATACAGACACGTATATATATACACACACTCTTACAATATTATGCGATCATCCCAGCCCAATAGCCATTGGATTAATCTTCCCTCTTGACTCCTTCGAATTTCCTTCTGCTCTTCTCTTTCATTCCCATTTCTTTCTCCAAGACACCTATTTCTCATTCCATAAACTAGCCTTGCCTACCAGTCTTCACTAATTTCAGTACAGATCCAAACTACTTCAGGGATGGTCTAAAATGGCAAGACAGATAACAATGGATGCTCATGTATCCAAAGGGCACAAAGAGAGAATACCAGATTAAAGCGGTGATTTTCCAACTGTCTACCTGTCTTAATAATACCTCAGTTACCAACAACCGAGTCAGTGAAAAAGAGGGGATAACATACATGTTCAAAACATACAGCATTCATGACCTTGGGGATGCTTCTGGAGTAGATGATCACATGGACAATATAAAAAGTTCTCCTGGCTCCAGGGGACCAGTAATTTGCTACATCATAAAGCTTAGCAAATATCCTGTCCATTCACAGAGCAGATTAGTCTATGGCAGTGTGTGGGCTCAGCCTCTGATTTTACATAGGTTATGTAAGGTTTCCTTGAACCTCAAGTTTCCAAATCAAAATAATAGAATTATTGTTATCTTAAAATAATCAAAAATGTATTTTTTTTGGACTAACTGGTTAATTCGTAACTGCAAGTTCAAATATTCTCCGAGCCTCCTGGATGCAGTTACAGCTTCTAATCATTTTAGCTTAAATTTCAAACTTCTATAAACTTGGAAGAAAGGATAAAAATACTAGGACAACAAAGGCCAAACAGAGGTGGCTTTATTGACAATATAATGTAATTAAGATTTTAAAGCAACCATCAGACAGTTAAGTTTAAAAGCTACAGAGGCCCAAGCACTTTGCTCTATGACTCCAATTCAAAGTCATGACTCAAATATCTCACAGCTTCATAACCTTATCATTGCAAAAGTTTCAACAGGGTGACTAGATGATGGAGTCAGGAAGCTTGAAGAAAATCTCCTGTATGATGAAACCAAGGCCCTGAGAATTCAATTGACCAAGATCGAGTTGACTTTGTCAATGAGCAACAGCTCCCAGATCCGGCAAGTGAAGTTTTGATGCTTGGTATTCAGGTAATAGGTACATGGTTTGATAGGTCATTTAATTGTTAACACCATTAACCAGATTTGATTAGTTCTTTTAATTCTTTGAATTTAAGACCACGGGAGTCCTCTGAGTCCAGCCAACAAGAGGGCAAGGAAGGGTTGAGAAGGCACATTCATTCCTTCAGCTCTAAAGGGACTTCATTCCCACCATCATTTCATTTGCAAAAGCAAACCACATGTCTCCATATGGATGCCAGAGGCTGGGAAATCTAGTCTCTAATGAACAATCACTGCCACCCAGTGACAACTCTATACCATGGAAGGGGAACATTAATTTTTGAAGAGCATCTAGCCATCTCTGTGGCATTCCACTCTGTCTTTCACATTACCCTGATTCTTTCATAGTTTGTATCATGATCTAAGGATAGGGATAGCTCAAGATCAGGTTGAGGTACAGTCATTCCTTGATCCAGTGGATTAAACAACATCAGCAAGATTTTTTTTCTCTCTCCCCATTTCCTGGCTTGTTTTTTTCTTCGTTGGCTTTCTTCTCAGGCAGCTCTCCCCATATGCTGGCCATGATGGCCAAAAGCAGTTTAGATTGTGTCATCTTTAGAGCAAGTAATCTCAGAAGAAAAAGAAAATAATAAAAGCACCTCTCTGTCATGATACCCATAGGAATCTCTGAAAATAAATCTGATTGATCTTACTTGAAACATGTGCTCACCATTGAACTAATTATGTCCAGGAGCAAGAGTGCTCTGTTCAGCCTCCCCTGTGGCTGAAGAGGTAGAGTCATGGGATTGATTGCTCAACAGGTCTTTTGGGAGGAGAAGTTTCTGAAGGGAAAGATGCTGGACATAAAATAAAGGACCAAGTAATGATAGTGAGTAAGAATGGGATGTAAAAGGGCTGCAACTTGTGAATTTGCTTATTATTATTCCTATCATTGTTAGTTCTCCTCTAGTTTTGAACAGCACATATCTGCTCATATATTTCTGATTGTACGTCTATAAGAAAAGAAAAACTATTGTTCTCATTTTCTCTCATTATACTATAAACTTTTCTAGGTGAAAGACCATGTCACTCCTGTTTAACAACTTTAAACAATAAGGTGTTACATAAAAAATAAATGCCGACCAATGTTCTGATAAGAAGACCAGTTAGAATACATGCAAAACTAGATTACACTGTATTTCTTTCCACTTTGGAGGATGGTGTTGATTTGGTGGGGGGTCAGCTTTTCACGTATCTTCCTATATATGTTCATTCTGTCTACTATGAAGACTGCAAGTTTCTTAAAGACACTAGGAAGGTCAGAACTATGTACTCTTCACAGGTGCCAGACCTCTGATTCTTTTTTCATATCTGTACCATTTGGATAGTACCTAAACTGAAACATTGATTGAATAATTACTTAGTTATTTTAGTTATTCAAGAAAAATTATCATTACCATTGTCAGTATTAAATATTAGCACCTATGATATGCCATAGGCACTGGGTTAATCCTTGCGGATGCAGCCAGTAACAAGGCATGTCCTGCCTTCCCAGCACTCATAGCTGCTGGGTCAGACCAAATCCCAAACAACAGAGAGTGATGACTCTTAGGAAAGAGGACTCACAGGGGCCTATGGACACATACAACCAGAGACGACACCTGGTATAAGAACACAAGCTCTGCCAGTTTCCTAGGGCTGCCATAACAAATTACTACAAGTTTGGTGGCTTAACCAACAGAAATTTATTCTCTCATGGTTCTGGAGGCTTGAAATCAAGGAATTGGTAAGATTATACTGTCTCCAGAGGCTCTGGGGAGAATCTGGATTCCTTATGTCTTCTAGCCTCTGGCGGTTGCTGGTTTCTTTGTCTGTGGCCACATCACTCCAATCTCTTCCTCTGTCTTCATGTGGCCTTCTCCTCTGTAGGCCTTCTCCTTTATGTACCTCTTATGAGGACATTTGTCATTGGATTTAAGGTCCACTTGGATAATCCAGGAGAATTTCTTCATTCAAGATCCTTAGCTTAATTACATTTGCAGAGAACTTTTTTCCCAAATAAGGTAACATTTACAAGTTCCAGAGGTAAAGATGTGGATATATCTTTTTTGGGGGTACCAGTCAGCCCACTGTAGAGGGCTGGCCTTCCAGAAGCTAGTCAACATGAAAGTTGAGACCTAAAATATGAGTAAGCGTCTGGGGAATCAAGTTTGGAGGAGTGTTCCAGACTGAGAACAGCGTGTTCAAAGCCTAGAGGCAACAGCATGGTGTAATCAAGGAACTGAAAGAAGTTCCTGTTTGGACTTAGCTCAGAGCTCTAGAGAAATAAAATAGAGACAAGGCTGGAGAGGGAGGCAGGAGCCAAATTGTGTGTAAGCCACATAAAGGAGTTTTGTGTTTATCCTTAGGCAATGGGAAGTCATTGAATTTTGTAAGAAGAGGAGAGATATAATCAAATATGCACTTTTGGAAGATCTCTGGCTTGCATATGGAAAATGGATTAAGAGAAACCTAAAGTGGAGGCAGGGGACCAGTGAGGAAGTTACTACCTTAGTTCGGGAGAAAGAATGAAAATGGTCAGGGGAAGAATAGCGAGAAATACCAAGATCCAACGTGTATTTAAGGTAAAGTTGGCAGAATACGCTGATCGATTAGAAGTGGAGAGGAGAGAAAGATGGGGAAGTATCAGGAATGATACTCGACTTTCTGAGTGTCACGGGTTGACTTGTGTCCCCCCCACAAAATGCATATGTTGAAATCCTAACCCATGGTGCCTCAGAAGTGACCTTATTTAGAGACAGGGTTTTTACAGAGGTAATCAAGTTAAAATGAGGTCATTGTGGTGGGCTCTATTGCAATATGACTGTGTCCTTATAGAAAGGGAAAATCTGAAGACAGACGTGCACACAAGGAGAACACCATGTGAAGATGTGGGCAGACATCAGGGTGACGCTCAACATGCCAGGTAGCCCCAAAGATTCTAGCAAACCACCAGAAGCTATGGCAGAGGCATGAAACAGGCCCTCCCTTCCATTCCTCAGAAGGAATCAACCCCACTGAACCCTTCATCTCTGGCTTCTAGTCTCCGGGACTGTGAGACAATACATTTCTATCATTCAAGCCAGTTAGTTTGTGGTACTTAGTTATGGCAGCCCTAGCAAAGTAAGAACCTGGGGACACTGGGTGATACCATCTGTGGAGTTAGGGAGCACTGGAGAAAGTGCCACCTGGGGAAGACTGATGCCGTCACTTACCAACTGAGTAATTTTCCAGCTGCACATTTAAAAATTGTTTTTCTTCATCTGAAATTGAGGTAATATATAACTTAAAGCAAAATCAGTTCCCAAATGATCAAGCAGCTATATCATTTGAACTAAATCAAGGTTATGTTGTTACTTGAATACAAATTAGAGGGAAAGTTTTAAAGAGAAAAACCATAATGTTTTCATTACTTTTTACCTCAAAGCAAAGAAGACATTCTTGTCCCCCAGGTCATTATTTGGAGAAGTAGGCTGAAGGAATATTCTGATGTCTGCTCTTCAAGTAGGATACTAATTAGTCGGAATCACTTGAATTTATTTAATCTATGTAGTGTTTCAAATAAGTGAGATATGTGATTACAATAAAATATCTGTCAATACAAAGCAACATTTTTATTAAATCTGTTTATACCAAGTAAAAGAACATCAGTGCCTAGCCCAGTACTTGCCATAGAGTAGAAGAAACTCAATAACTCTTTGTTGAATGAATAAGTAAATTATATAGTCATCAAACATTAACATTGGAAATGTAAGTGCAAGATTATCTTCACTAGTAGTTTTCAGATAATTTTTAGCTTCAGAACTTCTTGTTCAAAGACTTCTTGCATGAAGCTCATTACACAAAACTGATGAAACAAAACTATGCTGGTTAAAGCATTGTTAGAGATTCATTGTACTGAAACTCCACAATCTCCCTCCTCATCAATCTTCTATTGAAGTAGAAATTTTAGGGCCCTAATAGAGAACATTTTTGAAAAGTACTGATTAGAGTTCCAGCTATACATGGCAAACTGTCTCTTATTTTCGAAATCCCTCCTGAACCCCACTAACAGAATAACAAAGAACTTTGATTTTTTAAAGTTATATTTCACAAGGACCAAGAGAAAGGTAGAGTGCATGAAAGATTTCAGCAATTTTTTGAAACACAGAAAGTCAGTGAAGGAGCAGAAGGGAGGAAACTACCAGCTAAGTACTGGCAAAAGATGTACTAATTTGACGGCAGAGCCCTGAAAGGCTCAGGACTGGAGGCCCCTGGTGCCACAGAAGGTGGGAGTGAAGTACAGGGCTGGAAATAGCATTAGTCAAAATCAGTGAACAGAGCCATAGAACTTCCAGAATGTGCTGTACACCTGCACCCAGGTGACCATAACTCTTCAGGATACCAGAGGAGTTTCCCCAGAAAATGTTAATAAGGCTCTGAGATGGAGACTTGAGGGCTCCAGGTACCGCTATAGAGAAAAAAAGAGAATGAGAAGGAGGTAAATGAAAATCTGTAATCTGAATGGTGAAGCCCTTAATCTTTTTCTTTCCCTTCTCTGGTCTCAGAATATCAGCAGCCAGCCTGAACACTGAAGCCTTCCAGGTAAGAGATTAAATAATTTGTCTCTTGAGAAACTGCGTGACCCAGAACAAAGACCTCCACTGCATGCTGACATTTAGGAGCCCCTCAAATAAAGAGCAAGGTCCATATCCACTCACCTTAAGGTGAATTTCATTAAAAGTTATGCAAGAAAGTAATTATACAAGAAAATTTCTCAAACTTAAAAATTCAAGTCTCCAGTTTGAAAAGCCTCTTCAAATGCTTAGCAAAAAAAAAAAAAAAAAAACTTTTTAATTTTTTTGAATAAAGACCCACATCAAGACTCACCAGTTAGAAATTTCAGAGCACTAACGATAAAGAAAAATATCTAAAAGCTTCTAGAAATGTTTTTTAAACATGCACAAATTTAAACAAATACAACAAAGGGATATAGAAGCCAATGGAAAATGCCTTCAAAATTGGGTGAAAAAAAAAAAGATTTTTAGTTTAAATTCTAATACCAAGCCAAATAATAAGACAAATGTAAAGGTGGAACACAAATGGTCTCAAAAGACTAAGGAGATCTTTTTAAATTTAATAATGAGATTAGCCTTTAAAACAATAGTGTAGGCATCCTGGCTTCCCCTCCAGCCCTGCTTTTCTCCTCAGCTCTGGGCTTGGCCACATCCCTTCTCCTTCCTGGGCTGTGCTGTTTCTTCCCTTCAACACCACAGGCCAAGTGGCTGCACAAAACTTGATTGCCCCAGAGAACCTCCACTGGAGGCCAAAAGCCAGCAGGATAATAAAAGTTGGCAAGAAGAAAAGAGGGAGATCTTGAAAAGATACTTTTAATTAGGTGATTCAAAACAGCTAGATCATTTATTGACTCAATTCCAGGGTGTTGTGGTTTCCAGTTTTGACTTTCAGATAGGCATGGTTTTACTGTATTTGGTTAGGAAACTTAAAATAATTCAACATCAAACTTCATGAGACAATGATGGCAATTTATAGATTTTAAAAAGAAGGAAAGTAAATGAAAAGCAATGCTTATACAATAGTAAGTCCAGATCTTCCAGAGCAGCTGATGAAAATACCAAGTACCTTGTCATTAGACTATGATTGATGCTTAGGTTGTTTTACACACACAGACACACACACACACACACACACAGAGTTTTTAGTAAGACCTTCAAAAAAAGGACATAACTCCTTGGACAAATGTCTGTTCACAACAAAAGCATAAATTAGGAATCCTATACAATAATCAGAAGCACTGAGTCTATTTCTCTTCAAATCAAAGTTACCCTGTCCTGGAATATGTAAACCTTGTGCAAAGACAAAACCATGGTGGAAATGTCAAAATTAAAAATTGTATTCCTTCAATGTGAGACTGTGATCCTTGGTAAAATGCAATTACACCAAGAAATAGGAGTGCATTAAACTGTGAGAGGAGCCATCAAAGGTTTGCTGTGACCAAGTTTGAGAACCTTTGAAAAAGCAGGTTTGTACATAGGGGGAAACATGGGCACAGACCAGGAAATGAGCACAGCAATGAAGCATATCAGAGACAAATGTCTCAAGGTCTCAGGTGTCACAGCTGGCCTCACAGTTATCTGCATGGTGTTTGCTTATTCACTTAAGAGATATTAATTCCACGCTTAAAATATGCCAGGTATTGTTTGAGGTTCTTAGGACATCAGTGAATCAAACAGATAAAGACCTCAGCCCTCATAGGGCTTACTTTTTAGCAGGAAGAGACAGAAAATGAACAATAAGCAAAACATAAAATTAAATTCTATGGTATTTTAGAAGGTGATAAATTGCTATAGGAAAAAAGGAAGAAGAAAAGCAGAGCACAGTCTGGAGATTAGGGATACCAGGGTAGTAGGAGCGGTTTCTAATTTTAAATAAGGTGGGTGGTTGGGATTTTCAAATAGGTAATTCAGTTAAGAGTCCGCTGAGTGTGTAATCAGATGCCAAGTTTAAAAACCATAAAGTGCATCTGTGACAACTGCCAGACACTGAAAATTCACATAACACATGGGCTAAGAGGTAGTGAAGGCATTTATTATCCTCTCTGGATATTTATAGATGTTCAAATAACATCACATTATCTCCTTTATTGTTTCGTGAATGCAAGGGACATGCTGAGTTTCATAATCAAAAGCAAAGGAAAATGTGTCTGTTTGAGCAATGACACACCTTCACCTCCTCTTCATCTGTAGACCTGCATGTGTACAAATCATGCTTAGTTTATTGGGTGTTTCCTTCATCAACATACAAGGATGTTTAAATATTTGAATTAAATATTCTTTTTAAAGATGACTATTATTATAAGTGTTGAGAGTGTTGTGATCTGCCTCACACTGAAAGAATAAAAGACCAGAGAAAGCATTGTTTCAGTATGTTCTTCCTTTCTAATAGAAGGTAGGCCCTTAATCACCAGGTTCTGTTCTCTGTCATTAGCATTCAGGGAGTTGAAACAGCATTACTTGGTAATTGAAGCTCATTGAAAATTACAAGGGAGAAATAGTCATGAAAATCACACATAAGAGCAAGAATTCAAGTCAAGATTATTTTATCCTGGATTAATCAAACTATATCTTGAGATTTGCTTTGTGTTGACTTTAACCTTCAAATCACACATTCATTAATCATGTCTGAACAAAACCTATGTGCTGGGACTGGAAAAGAAGAGAAAGAAGTCATCAAAACGTTAATTATCTGCCCAATGTAATTACTGAATAAGTTGAACAACTACTGCTAAAGTAAAACCTTGTTAAGCAAGATTATGTATCCTGAGTACACGCAGCAGATGTTATAGACACAAGTTTTCTGAGTAACAGATGGCATTTTGCTTTAAATGTCTTGAGTTTGAGGTAGCTTTGAGACACCTGCAGTAAACATTTCATATTGGGAGGGAGGATTTGCTATGCAACAGTCAATTCCCATCCCATCGGTGGAAATCCCTTTGTATGTTGGGGTCATCTAGATCCTCTCTCCGCTGGCTTGTAGGGCACAGGCACATGATCCAGGATCAGCCATTTGGATAGTCCAACTGGAGACTCTGAATCTTGCATGTGATGCTAGGATGGTGGCCAGGGGGAGTCCGTTCCTGACACCCAAGACACAATCGTAGTGCTGGAGGCAGCAGTGGTGGCAGCACAACCCGTGGTTGTGGCAGGAGTGACTGCAGGTGCAGTGTGTCCGCAGAGCCTAACTTTCCCTTTAGTGAGAGTTGTCTGTGATTCTAGCTTTGTAAACTCCTGGGGATGTTCTGTTCCCGTCCTTCAATCCGTCTCCCCTGTCTCACTCACAATCCTAAAACTGCCAGATATCTTATGACAGATTCACTTTCTGTTAAGCTACCCAGGGTTGTTTCCGTCTTCAACCAAAAACCTTAACTGATGACATTCATGTGAAATCTGAATGAGTATCTAACCCCTTCATCTCACTAAAGAGGAGAGGGGCTCTCAGAGTGGTTGTGATTTTCCCTGGGTTACTCAACAACAGGTGTTATCAACACCATGAACACCATGACTCAAATACCAAAGAGTTTATTGAAAATGTATACATAGAACTCGGGAATTAAGATAAAGATAAATTTGTTGCTTAAGCCTTGAGAATGAATAACATCACCATTTGAGACTGTGCAATGGGACCAAAAGGGAGAGCTGAGAACTGAACCTTAGGGATAATTCACTTTTCAGAACTGAATTTAACAAAAGAGCATGCAAACTAAGGCAAACTAGGAAGAGGTTGATAAAATATCAAGAAAAGGAATAGGAATGTAGGGCCATTGAAACCAAAGGATAAGGGAATGATTCAACGAGAATAATTGATTAGCAGGTGATGACATAGACAGTAAGCTAAGAATTGAGAAGAGAATTAATTATGTGATTATGAATTCATTTGTAAGTTAAGGTATATTTAAGATAGAAGTCCTTAGAGAGGCACTGAAGCCAAAGCCAGTTTGCAAAGTGTGCAGAGTGAGTTAGGATATGAGGACAGGGAACGTTAACTTTCGTTTTAGAAAGTTTAGTGTAAGAAGAAAAGAAGAAATGAGATTGTGTGTCAAGCAATGCAGGAGTGAGGGAGAGACTTTTGTGTAGGATGGCTGATTTAAACACGAAAAAGAAGGAACTAATGAAAAAGGACATGAGCAGTAAGGATAAGGACTGAGACACTTTCTGTTGAATATTTGGGTTCACACCTGCTTTCTCTTCAGTCAGTTGATGGCTGGCTGAATATTGTTCTTGCTTGGTTTCATGTAGTTCTGATCATAGCCCGTTGTGTGGTTAATCACATTTTCTATATTTGGTTCAATTGCTGTCTTTTTTTATTTTGTACTACTGCACAATAAGAACTAGATGTTATTCATCTAATAGGCACAGACATATTCATCAACAGTAGGCCTGCACTACCCTCAGAAGGCAATTATCTCAATAAGTCAAGGCAGGAACGGTTAGTTGCCTGGAATACCTAACTGTTCCATGACCACGTATGGAGTTAGAATGGATTTTGAGGGAGTAGCACTATTGGTTCCACATTGCATCTGTTATACAGGAGTTTCCCACGGTGAAAACCTAGCTGCCTCACCTGCCGTTCCCAGATAACATCACTGGAGGAACTGTGGTGTCACTGAGTGTCTGGAAGGAAAGATCGTTTTGAGAAACTCACAGATCTCAGAAAAGACATTCTTGCTGCTGCCATCTGCTTGAATGGAGATGAAGCCTCCAATTCCAAGTTACTCTATCATAACTGTTGTGGTAGAGGTATTGGGTGGTAGTGGGTACAGGTATTGATAAAACTCCTCTCCTATCTACACTCTAGCTGTATCTTGCATAAAACAGACTTTGGAGACTGATGAGGTTGAATTCTCAACCAGTCTCCAGATTATTAGCTCAAAGTATTTGTCTCAAAAAGATTCACCATCTGTTAGCTCTGGGATCTTGGACAAGTTACTTAACCTCTCAGAGGCCCAGTCTCCCCCTCTTCAAAATGATTGTGTAGACTTCTGGGGCGTCTGAGGTGATAAAATAAGACATGCGAAGCACTGAGCCAAAGGCCTCAATAAATGGTGGTGCTTTTGTTCACTCTCCTTGAACTTTGAGATGTATTTTTTTCATAATTAACAATTCCAGAACATTTGTGTGCATGATGGGTAACGGGAAATAGCAGCCAAGCTAGTGAACCTTGAGTTGATTCATAACCTTAGCTTTCTTATACTAGAACATGATGTGGGCCTGTTAGTATTAAAATGAAAGTTTTTAATATAAAATAAACATTTGGATATTAGCTCTAATATGTTGGTTAAAAAATAAATCAAACTAATGTGAGAGTCGTAGACATTCAAACCATGTTAGGTTATGATTGTTTAGGATGTGTTATATTTGCACATGACATTTATCTCTTGCTTCTCATAAGATCTCATAAAGCCTCAATGATCTCCACTATGTATATATGTGTGTATACACACACACACACACACAGACACGTATATGACCAAGCATAAACTTGTGGGAGCCATGTCGATGCAAAGACTGCCTTATATCTTCTAGTGAATCTGTCACGCAAATGCAGTATGTTACTGAAATATGCAGAAATATATAATATTTACGCATTTAGAAGCTTTAGAAACTTTTATGGGCCAATCTTCTTTTATTTCCCTGTGGCATGTAAAGAACACTTTTAGTATAATAGAAAAAGAATCTTGGACTCATCCTTGACTCCTCTCTTTCTTTCACTCTCAACAACCTATCTGGCAGCAAACATTGTGGGCTCCTCCTTCAAACTATATTCAGGATTCAATAATAATTATCTTCTTACTAGGTCACCTCCATTCACCCTTGTCTCTCTACAGCCTCTTCTCCTCACAGCAGCCAGAGTAATACAGTAAAAACTTAAGTCACCAGTCTGTTCAAAAGTCTCAAATGACTTCAACTCTGGGTATACACTCAAAAGACGTGAAAGCAGGGACTCAGGCAGATGTTTGTATACTAGTGATCATAGCATCATTATGAGCAATAGCCAGAAGATGGAAATAACCCGAGCATCCATGGATGGATGAATAAACAAACTCTATATATATAACATATATTCCATTGTGTGTGTGTATATATATATACATATATATAGTATGTATATATATACTATATATACTATATATATGTATATATATATACACACACACAATGGAATATTATGCAGCAATAAAAAGTAATCAAATTCTGATATACACTACGACATGGATGAATCTGGAGGACATTATGCTAACTGAAATAAGCCAATCACAAAAGTAAAAACATTGTTTGATTCCACTTATATCATGTACCTGAAATAGGCAGACAGATAGAGGCAGAAAGCAGAATAGTAGTTGCCAGAGTCTGGGGATAGTGGACAATGGGGAGTTATTGTTTAAAGAGTACAGAGTTTTAGTTGGAGAAGATAAAAAAGTTCTGGAGATGGATGGTGGTGATGGTTGCCCAACAATGTGAGTTTACTTAATGGCAATGAACTGTACATTTAAAAACAGTTAAAATGGTAAATTTTATGTCATGTCTATGTTACCACATTGTGATGGTTAACAATGAGTGTCAACTTGATTGGATTGAAGGATGCAAAGTGTTGTATCTGCATATGTCTTAAGGGTGTTGCCAAAGGGGATTAACATTTGAGTCAGTGGACTGGAAGAGGCAGCCCCACCCTCAATCTGGTGAGCACCACCTAATCAGCTGCCAGAGCATCTAGAGTAAAGCAGGCAGAAGAAGGTGGAAAGAGCACACTTTCTGAGTCCTCTGGCCTTCATCTTTCTTCCACGTTCCCCTCGAACATCAGACTCCAAGTTCTTCAGCTTTTGGACTCTTGGACTTACACCAGTGGTTTGCCAGGGGCTCTCGGGCCTTCGGCCCCAGACTGAAGGCTGCCTTGTCAGCTTCCCTACTTTTGAGGTTTTGGGACTTGGACTGGCTTCCTTGATCCTCAGCTTACAGATGTCCTATCGTGGGACTTTACCTTGTGATCATGTGAGTCAATTCTCCTTAATAAACTCCCCTTCATATATACAAATATCCTATTAGTTTTGTCCCTTTAGAGAACCCTGACTAACACACACACACACACACACACACAAACACACACACACACACACACAAATACCTACAAAACTGGAATGGCCACCCATTTCAGATTAAAAGCTCAAATTCTGATATTGACCTAAAGATCCCATGCAGTTGGATTCCATATTATCCTCTGCTCTAAGTTCTTTTGCCCTCATCCCTGTTCACTCCACTCCAGCCCATGGCAACTTCTTTGTAATCCTCAAACACCCAGAGCATGGAGCCTCTTCAGGTGCTGCCGTTCACTCTACCTGGAAGGCTGGGGTGCGAGACCCCCAGATACTCCGAGGGCTTACATTCCTCCCTGCCCCCACCCTTCATCTCCATGGAATGTGTTAATTCATTACTTGTAGTAGAATTTTAATAGAGTGAATATTAAATTTAGGCATCAAATTTCAAAGCAACAAAAAAGGAGAGAAAATAGAGTTGATTTGTGACTGCTCTGAAATAAATTAACAAAAAGACAAATGGCAAAGTCAAGACATTGTTCTGTTAATAACAGTTACTACTCAGATGTGTCTTCTCAGGGAGGCTTCCCTGACCACTGCTTCTAATGAAAACACATTCCCCCTTCCCTGTTTTACCTTTCTCTAATATAACTTATTAGCATTTGACAGTCTATATAACACATATATGTTTACTTGTTTCTACCACTCTAACATAAGTTCCATGAGGATAGAATTTTACTTCTGTTTTGTTCACTTCTGCTTCCTTGATGCTTAGAATAGTGCCTAACACCTAGTAGTCACTCGATAAATATTTGCTGATAAATATCTAATATGTATGAACTAATAACACAAGCTAAAAGGCAAGAAAATACATTCAAAACATCATTTTAAAATCCAAAATCTTAGCCTGGGCAACATAGCGAAATCTTGTTTCTACAAAAAATACAAAAATTAGCTGGGTATGACGGTGCATACCTGTAGTTCCAGCTACTCGGGAGGCTGAGGTGGGAGCATGGCTTGAGCCCAGGAGGTGGAGGTTGCAGTGAGCTGAGATTACACCACTGCACTCCAGCCTGGGCGACAAAGTCAGACTCTGTCTCAAATAAATAAATAAATAAAATCCAAAGTCTTTATATTAATTAATTAAATATTTCTCAGAAAATCTAATGAGATGAATCATTGATTAGGAATCTAATCATGTAAGATTTAGATTTTTAGTTTTTCCTGAATAATACTAGGTTCTTATATTTTGATATCTAATATTTCATGGTTTTTTATTTCCAAAATACCTTGCAATCATTCATATTCAGATTTAATTCAACAAACATTTACCAAGGGCCTTCTATGTACTGGATAATATTTGTCCAATTTGATTTGGCTTCATTATTGTCACAGCTCTGTAATCATCCAGTAAATGTTTTTGGTTTTTAAAAATATGTACCCTTTCAAATTTGAATAGAAGCAAATTTTTATCAGCTGGGATGATAAATTGGAGATTGAGATTGTTTTTTCCCCCATAACCATGATTCCTTCTCTTTATGCCCCTCAATGCCACTCAAAACTAGTGACATTACCAGATCCGGGGCAATCATAGACTTACAAAATCATAGAGATGCGTGCACCATGAGAATCCATCTCACCCACTGCCTGCTCCAGGCTGGAAGTGATTTTATCCCATTTTACTAAATAGGGATATATCTTCTTTGGAGGTTAGTCTTTCAGAAGCACTTACTTCTACCATAATTACATATAAAAATTAATCGTGTGTTATATGATGATCCTCATTTTATAGATGAAGAAATTAAGGTAGATAATTTAAGTTTCCTACCTTATCAAATCAAGTTTGTGATAGGATTAAAATTCACACAAACCTCAAATGATCAACTTCTGAGTGGCTTTCTGAAGCTTATTAATTTTTTTTTTTTTTTTTTTTTTGAGACGGAGTCTCACTCTGTCTCCCAGGCTGGAGTGCAGTGGCGCAATCTCGGCTCACTGCAACCTCCACCTCCCAGGTTCCAGTGATTCTCCCACCTCAGCCTCCTGAGTAGCTGGGATTACAGGCATGTGCCACCATGCCCAGCTAATTTTTTGTATTTTTAGTAGAGATGGGGTTTCACCATGTTTGCCAGTCTGGTCTCGAACTCCTGACCTCAAGTGATCCGCTTGCCTCGGCCTCCCAAAGTGCTGGGATTACAGGCATGCGCCACTGCACCCGGCCTTGAAGCTTATTGATTTTTATTAGCACACAATATCTTTTCTTCGACAAGTAACATCTTCCACAAACCAATGTCTTTGGAGTAAAAGCATACAATTTTTGACTCTATAAATGACTCAATTTTGAAACTCTCTCAAATCAGGTTTTTAACTTATAAATGGCAACATATAATTTTCAGGGATGCAGTTAAAATTCTATCACATCCACCTCCCTGGGATGTGTCAATTAATTACTTGTAGTAGAATTTTGGTAGAGTGAATATTAAATTCAGCCATTAAATTCCAAAGCAGCAAAAATGGGAGAGAAAATAGAGCTGATATGTGAGTGCTCTGAAATAAATCGACAGACAGACAAGTGACAAAGTCAAGATGTCGCTCTGTTAGTAACAGTTACCACTTACTGATGACAAAGATTCTCTCCTTGACCAAAGTTTAGTCAGGCCTCTCCGAGCCCTCTCTGGACTGGACTTCAGCCTCAGCTCCTGTTCTTGCCAAACCTGCAGAAGGCCAGTCTTAGCAAGAATCCTGCTAAGTCACTTTAGAGAAAATTTCTTACCCTTGATGTCTGATTACCCTTGATATCTGATCAAGTTCCTCTTCCCCTACTTCTGATATATAAGCCCTTGACCTGCCTTCAGCAAGAATCCTGTTAAGTCAGTTTAGCAAGAATCCCTCCTACCGTTGATGTCTCCCCTTAGTAGTGTTCCATCCACTGAAGCCCTCACTCTGCTCATTGGCTACAAAGCCCCAGCTGTCTCTGCTCTATCTGGAGTTGAGCTCAGTCTCTCTCCTCTGTTGCAATTGTCTTAACACCTATTGCAAGAGTCCTGAACAAAGTCTTCCAGTCTTTCTTACCATTTTAACAAGTGTCAGAATAACTTTTTCTTTACCACTGAGCATCTTTCCATTTATTTATTCTGTCTGTATTCTCTTTCAAGGTCTTGCAATTTATTTATTAACTGATGGGAAATTCACACTTTGGGGTGGTTTGGGTGAGTAATAAGGGAATTAAACTGTTTGGATTGATGCATTGTTTTGAAGTTAGTGATGAGAACAAAGAAGAGAAGGAAAAGATGGTAAGTTTCAGTTTATCACCTGGAAGATTGATTAAAAGGTCCTATTCTGCCATCTGGTTCCTAGATATCTCTAAACACATTTTTAATAGTTTTGGTAAATTGAGACACTGTCTTCAGAGGCTGCTGCTCACAATTTAACAAGATTATAAGTTGAGAGGGACAAATAGTCCTTACCTGGACATTTGAATATTGGAAGTGAGCCAGCTCACTCTCCAGGGAGTATTTTTCTGCAATTCTGTAGCTAGTATAGGAAAGGATCATGTAAAAAGGAGAATAACCTGGGCTAAGAACTAATCTCTCCAAACCTTACTGACGGAATCTTATTTTATTTTATAAGATGGAAATGCTTGTTAAGTTTTTGTGTAAGATTTTTGTGAAGCAATGCAATTCATTTCTGTTATGGTGCATTTTACTTCATACTTTCATATTTTTGTTACAATTTCCAATTGAACTGCAAGACCACTTGTACCTATTTTATGATAATTAACTTATGTGGCCTTGCAAACAAATTTTTAAAAACTCACTAACCCACAGGGACACTCATAATCTTATCCCATCAAAAGCAATTTTGTTGGCTTTTTAACCTACAAGGCTGCATTCATGATTCAAAGCCTTAATAGACTAGCATCACAACCAGAAAGAATAATCACACCAGTTGTGAATTAAATCTAAGACAATGATAAGGAGAAAATGGTCACAGTAATCATGTATTAAGAGATTAAAAATAACTCCCCCAAATAGGCTGCTGAAATTCACATCACAGAATATGATGTTGAGCATTTTAAAGCTCTCACTACCTAGTACTCAACAAACAAAGGCACGGAAACTCAGCTGAATGAGAGGAAAATTCTCTTATCTTGCATGGAATGATAATGAGAAACTTGATCTGTTATGTTATGCTGCCAACTCCAAGGTTGCTGTAAGTCAGTTATTTCATGAGGTCTTGCCAATAGTATGTTTATATTTAAGTGCAAATCAAGCTATGTCAAGGTTACAATGTTTAGTTGGAGAGAACATTTCAAACACCAAAGAACTAAATATTTTTAACCACAGGATCAAAAGGAGATGCCTTTTGCTCCTTATTGTGTACAAATCAGGACCTGAAACATTTGGGGCAGGAGAACCTGACAGGGAGAAAAATTCCTTTTAAAGGACAACACTGTTCTCCAGGCCAAGTGTAAAGTTAGAGAATTTCAGAATAGGAAAGAACCCCAGGAGTCATCAGATTCAGGCCTCTCGTGTTCCAAAAGAGGAAACAGCAGCGAGGGAGAAGAAGTTGGACTGGAATCCAGGTCTCCTGACTTACCAGTGTTTCTTTCTGCCAGAAAGATGCCTTCCCTTGTGTCGGAGGGGGCAGGATTCCCTTCTTCAGGTGGAACACAAGGCTAGCCCAATGCCATACCATGTACAAATTGTGTGCAAGTGGTGTAGACCACCTCTGTCTATGTGGGGTGTCATCCTTGTGTGGCGCTACAAATCCCACGGCCCACTAAGGAATAGCAGCTGAATAAAGCCTACTTCTTTATTTCCATCTCTTTATTCTGTCTGTATTCTCTTTCAATGGAATAAAGGCTTTGTAGGCTTTGTTTCCGCATCAATTCATTAATAACTCAAGTACTTACTGTTTCCATATTTAATTGTTTCTCTTTTTAGTGCCATTCCAACTAAAGATTTGAATTCAAAAATTAGTACATACAGGCCAGATATGGTGGCTCCTGCCTGTAATCCGAGAACTTTTGGAGGCTGAGGTGGGCAGATCACTAAGGCCCAGAAGTTCAAGATCAGCCTGGGCAACATGGTGAGACCCCGTCTCTATACAGGGAAAAAAAAAGTATATATAGAGCCCTTCATATTTAAGCAATAACCCTTTTCTTTTACTGTATTAGTTCTTTTCATTCTACTGAAGTTTCCAGAAGCATTGGAAAGTGTCTTCTTACACCAATATTTTCATAACTAGGCAATGTATGGGACTCTTCCCTAAGGCTCTGCCTATAGTTAGTCGAGTTTTATAAAGAAAGTCACAAAAACATGGAACCAGTTATTTAGATTTAAGATAGCTAAAATATGTATTTCAAATATTATTTGAAACTTTCTTCAACAACACTGCCATTTTCTGTCACCATTTCTCAATACCCAAAGCATTAATTTTTATCCTTCAATCTAGGCTCAGAAGTAAGCTTCTAGGCAGGTAAACACAACACTTTGTATAAGTGAATTTTAAAATCTTGTAGATATTGACTGATGAAATTCATCCCAGCTCCCCCATTCACTCAGTGTCAAAGGAGATATAAAAAAGAGCTTTCTTCTTCCCATCACTCTTTGTCCTTCTTTCCTTTCCTTCCTTGAAAAATAAGTCTCAGTCACCTACTATCAAGTAGGCAGTCAATTACTGTCTGTGGAACCAAAATAATTCATGGTTTCTGTCCTCAAGAGGGGGAAAACATGTTAATAGATAAACTCTTTTTTTTTTAAGTATTCTTTTAACATTTTTGTTGCTGCGGTGAGGAGGGGAACAAATCACATACCAAAAAAGACATTTGAGTCAAAGGATCCCCATGGAAATACCCTAAGATCCTTAAGTGTTGATATTTTAATCTACAATTTTCCAAATGTAGGAATTTTCTTAAGCCATGTGATCAATTTCTTTTTTTCCTGGAGTTTGAGTATCAGTCCCCATGCATTCTGGAGTCAGGCCATGAATACTGATAGACAAGAATTTCAGGAAACCTAACCAGTGAATGGGTTTTTGTAACAATCCAAGAAGCTGATAATACCAAAGGCTCCATCCTGGATTTAATTAAACTCCAAGTGTAGAGACTCTAAAGCCACAAATTAAGCAGAAAAAATTTAAGAAAAATTACCTAAGAAATCCTCTGAAAGAAGCCATTGCTTAGCTGTGAACTAACTACCTGTCACTCTGCCAAAGCATTGTACTAATTAAATACCCCGCATGAGAAATATCCTAGGGAAAACTAAGCCTAATTCAATTGATCATCTTACTCAATGTATTAGTTTCCTAATGCTGCTGTAACAAATTACCACAAACTTAGCAGCTTAAAACAACACAGAGGTATTCCCTCTCAGTTCAGAAGGTCAGAAGCCTAAAATCAGATTCACTGGGCTGAAGTCAAGTTGTTCTCAGAGCTGGTTCCTTCTGGAGGATCTAGGAGAGAGTCTATTCCTTTACCTTTTCTAGCTTCTGGAGGCAGTGTACTTTCCCTGGTCCCTGATCTGTTCCCCAGATCACTCTAAGTTCTGTGATTGCCACATCTCCTACTTCCTCCTTTGACCTTCTTGCCCCACTCTTACAAGGACCACTGTGATTACACTGGGCCCCCTGAACCTTTCCATCTCAAAAGCCTTAACTTAATTACATCTGCAAAGTCTCTTTTGCCTTATAGGATCGTATGCACAGGTTTTGAGGCCTACAATGTAGATATTTTTGTGGGGCCATTATTCAACCTAACACAGTCAGCCGGAAGTCAACTGGACTGAGGGAAAACCTCTAATTCACTCACCAATGTGGGTTAGAAACAAGGCTGAAATGTGGATGTTTAGATGACCTATTGCTCATCCTTCTGCACTATTTCTTTTCACGTTCAGTGTGGGAGGTTTTGTTACTGGCTAGACAGAGACACAGATTCTGGTTATTTTTTTTACCATTGCTTGCTAAGTCATGTTCCCATCTCTAACGTAATTTGCTTTACACTCTAACCCCAACATTGCTTTTGGCACTTGGTCCTGACCAATTCCCTCCCACTCATGGTGTTTGTAATTGACTCCCAGTGATACTGACGTTCAACTTGAGAGATTCCCCCTATTTCCTCCCCTCTCCCGTTTTTAAACTTTCTAGGGTTTTCACAAAATGTTGTGTTTTTGAGCCAAATGCAAATTTAATGGTTGTACATTACTTCTTTGAAAATTTAATGAATCTGTTTAAGAAGGTGACATCTAATTTTGATCTCCATCCAATGATTTCTATAAAATAGAGGACCCTTGGTTTATAATCTATACAAATTTCAGTCAATACAATAATTTTTCAACATTTCAAAATATGTTTAGGGGAAGAGAGAATCAAAATCATACTCTAAGACACCATAAGGTCATACTATTTCACTCCTACTGTCACTTATATAGACATAAAATTGAACAACGTAGTTTCGTGTGCTATTTATATTTGTTAGTCTTCCCTTCTCAGTTAGATTAGTTGTTCTTAATAGAAAAAAAAACCCTTTGCTTCTTTTATATGCTCAATGATAAATAGTATTGAATTGGCCACACAATTAGCAATCAAATTATTTTTGGCTGATTGAATAGTCTTTTCTTATAAGTCACATATGGCTATATTATTTTATTCCTTTCTACATATTTGGAAACATTTCAATTTAAACAAATTATATCTTTGAAAACTTGGGTTGTAAAAAAGAAAAATTATAATATGATGATTTACTTTCAATTAGGATATAAATTCCTATCCATGAGAAATATCCACTGGAAAAATATATATATATAATTTGTACAAGAATATATTAATTGACAAGGTAGGATATGGTTGTACCCTGATTTATTGCTTTGTTTTTGATCTTCAGCTTTCTAGCAATTTTTTTTAATCTAGCAATTTTTAAAATATCTTTGTGCTGCTTTATAATTCCATTATTCTATTCTTTTTAGAGAGAGAAAAACAGAGTGTTGCTCTGTCACCCAGGCTGGAGTGCAGTGGCACAATCATAGCTCACTGCAGCCTCAAACTTCTGGGCTCAAGTGATCCTCCCACCTCAGCCCCCCAGAGCACTGGGATTACATATGTGAGCCACTCACCATATTATTACTTATTCTTAATACCCCACGTTTGATTCTGGTTTATATATCATGATAGTTTCCATATTTACCATTTTTTAAACTTTCATTGTATTTTGTTTTGATTTTTACTTTTTACTAATGTGTAGCACATCTAAGAAAGCATATGGGTCACAGTATCCAGCCCAACGTATCTTCATCAAGTACCACCCCTCTCATAACCCCACAAGGGTGTGGAAACAACATTGCCAGTGTCCCAGAAGTCCCGGTCCTTCCTCCCCAAGCTAACCTTCCCTCAACTTCTAATACCATAGATAAATTTTGCTTGCTTTGGAACTCATTTTATTGTAAAATTTGCTTGTTTACTTGTGTCCAATTGTAAAAAGGTTCAGATTCTGCTCCCTCCAACCCCCCCAAAAAGAAAAGATTCCAGGGGATTCTGGGGATATATTTTCTTTCTTCTTTTTAATAGAGAAATTTATTGATGCGGTTAATTATCTCAATAATGTTATTTTCATCATTAAATCCATCTTTCTTCTTACTAATGGACCTCCTGTTTCTTTTCTCTCTATTCCTTTTACAAAAGCCTTGGAAGTCCCTCTAATCCTTACACCTTCACATTCCTTCCAGGGACTGCTGTCCTTTCTTGTCACTTGTAGTTCTCAGGATTCCTCTGGTCAGAGCCCACCTTCTTTCTCACTCTCAGAGGGACATGCATTTTATATCTTTCAAGGTGAACTCTCCTATTTTCCTTTGTGTGTTCTCAGTACAATTGTACTTTTCTTGTCTTAAAAGAAAAAAAATCCCATATGTATTAATTATAGAGTGTGGTTTAAATTTCTGAAGATTCCTGGGGGTACTTATAAGCATTTAATAATTATCATTTCACTTGTCTGGGTTATTTTATTCTTAAAATTTTAAACCTAGGAATCGTGCCTTATACTGCTTTGGGCTATATGTTCATCAGTTTTTATCATGCCAAATTCAAATGGCCACTGTGTCTTCTTTTCTGTGACTCTCATCCTCATTGACTTCCCTCTCCTGTGTTCAGAGGCAGATTGAAGTTTTGGCTGAGGCTCTATCCTCTGCTTCTAATATCAATGCTTCTCTCTCTGACTAATGAACCATTTGGATGATGGATATACTATGTGCTTGTTTTCCAGAAGATGCTTCGAATAATTCTTTCCAAGGAAATATTTTGAGCACTCTAAAGAATTTGAAGAATTGAAAACTCTTAAGTACATCTCACATTCTTGATACACTTGAACTGTAGGGACACAGAATATTATAGACGATAAAGCTCTTGACTGGAAGACAGGAAACATGTGTTCTTATCTTGGGCAGCCAGCTAACCAGCTATAGGATTTGAGGCAGGCCATCTGTAGGCATTTTTCTTCATCTGCTACAGGGATTGTGCTACAGAGATTTCCACGGATGTGGAGAAGAAAAGTACCTTGTACCTCTAGGGACACAGAAGAATCTATAAGGGTGCATATTTTTATGTCCCAAACTATAAGAAGTGAAATTACTGAAAATTATCTCGGGTTGTAGAGATGCATAGAAGCTTCATTGAAAAAGTGTTGTGTGAGAAAATCAGTTTTAAAATGTTGAAAATACTGGGCAAGAATATCTTTAGGATCTTTGATTTCTGATATTTATGAAGATCTTTAGGTTGCTTTCATTTCTGGAATTTTTGATCGCATCAGTCATTCTCTTTTCCTGTGCCCTGCCCCCCATGGAGTTTGTTATAAATTATACAATCCCCACCGATGCTTTCTAGGCCTTTTACTCCTCCAGATTTCCTAATGAAAATAAATAATTCTTTCTACTCAGTAAGAAATATAATCAAAAACCAAAGGACCAAGTCCTCCGAACAGGAAGCTCGCCCAGCCCAGCTCTCCCATTTGTGTTCCCTGCCGCTCGGTGCTGCCAGAACTGGGATGCTGGAAAGAACAGTGGGTTGAATTTCAGATCTGAGTCTTTTTGGTCCTGTGTTTCCCACTGTTGATGGGGTTCAGGACACACTACCCCAGAATATTTTAAGCTGAAAGAATTTTAGAAAACTGCAGAAGCAGGAAGGTCACTCTGATCTTCCCCCCACCTTTCTCACCTGCAGCAGGTCATAAAACCTAAAAAGCATTTTCTGACCTTCCCCGGATGCAGGGCATGAGACCCTCATTCATGAGGTGCCCTCCCTATACCCAGAGAAAAGGCATAGCCTTATCTCTGAAGATACAGGGTCACAGAGAAGAATCTAAACAAACGAGTCTTGCTAAGTTCCCCCCAGTTATTAGATCCAAGCATATTCTTCCACAACTGTCTACTCTTCATCAAACTTAGCATAAAAATACACAAGTTTACTATTTCTTTGTGTCTCTATTTCCTTATGAAGGCTTTCGTGCCACATAAAACTTATACTAAATACATTTGTATGCTTTTCTCTCGTTATCAGCCTTTTGTTATAGAGGCCTCAGCCACAAACCTAGCTTTGGTGAGAAAATGGTGCTTTTCTTCTCCTATACTAACTATGCAGATGACAGGAGCACTCTTTCACCTCCTGGGGCTCAATCCCTGAATGAAAAATTTCCATTTTTCTTCCTGTACTCTTAGAATTGGCCTAGAATCAGCTCTGGGGAGAGCTCCCTTATTGCAAGGAGACCAAAAGACTCTGAGGGCACTCAGTCTGCCAAAAGAGCCTTCCAACTAGAGCTCTGTTTTTCACAAGAGTCTATTTGGGTTGGGGTGAGGGACAAGAGCCCTCAGAGAAAATCCTTCAAGAAAAGCCCCAGCAGAATGGCAGCTCCAGGGACAGGGATTTTAAATCAGGGGAGCCAGCTGCTCCTTCTCCCCATTCCCATCTCAGACCCGCAGAGACACCAAGAGGAAGACGGGTGACAGAAATCCTTAGCAGTTGTTTGGTGACGGTGGCACCTAGGAAACAAACTATGAGATATAGAACCAGTAGAATAGGGATGACCAGTGTGAGAGGGATGCAGGAGAAGTAAGGACTCCTGCGAAAACATCTGGAGATGATCATAAACTAAACCTTTTTAAATACTATTTTAGAGTAAATTAAATGACACCATATTATTTATCTGTCTTTGCCACTTGGCCTCAGGAGAAGCTGGTTTCGGAATGAGACTCCAAAGAGTGGATCTCAATGGGCAGCCTCCCAATGATTTTTTCCTCTCCTAGGATGATGTATTGGAAAGAAACACTGTGAGTCTCTGCATCCCAGAATGCGAAGTAGAGCCCCTCTGAAGAGGGACTCTGGTAGCAGTGAAGAGGTGGGGTGAAAGTTGGTTCCGGTGGGTAGAAGACCTTTCCCTGCACCTGAAGACCTACATTGTCGTGGGACAAGGGAAGAGATCATTACAACTGTAAAGAATTAACTTGCATGAATAGTGAGGCACTGGAGTGCAGTGAGCCCAAAAAAGGTTAAGCTTTCTTATTCACACACACACACACACGCACACACACACAGAGTGGGAAAAGATACCTGAGAAATGGACACTATTTTCCTAATGACTGCCAAGAGTTGACTGTGGACTCCTTCCATCAAATGGCCAGATAAGCAATGGGGCCCTTCCTAGCTAGGACTTGGAAGCATTTTGGTCAAAGGAATGGAAGGGCTGAGCCTGTTTTGCTGACTCCCACAGGAAGTGGTGGGCCGAGAGCACAGCTACAGGCTTTCCTGTGCAGCGTAAATTGGCCCAATGTGTGCAAAACATTCTTATCTGATAAAGAATGGAAGTGCGAGCGTGTGCTAAAATGTTGGAAATAATATGGGGTCTCTGCTTCACTCTTCCCTCATTTTTCTTTCTCTGTTGTCTCTTCTTCATCTTTGGCAGTCATACTGGGCTCTGGGTTCTTTTCTAGCTTCTCATATGGTTTTGATTAGGAGAGACAAATATAACACAGAACAGAGCTGATCTGAGTTCTTCCCTCTTCTTCTGGATGAATATGCTTAATTGTTAATCTTCTTGTATGTTTACATCAGGAATACACACACATACGCACAGACACACAGACAAACACACACACACACGTATATTCAACATAAAAGCATCCCTTTTTAGCCTATCCCTTTTTAAAAGATGTCAAGGAAAAAAAAGTATTAATATAAAACCAACTACACTTTGCTAAAAACTATTTCTTTTCCAGGAGGAATAAACTAAACCTGTAATCAGACATTTGATTTCCAGTCCTGGCTCAGCGTCTAACTAGCTGTGTGCCTTTAGACAATTTTCTTGAAGCTTTTGGTGTTAATTTTCTTATCTCTAAAGATGAAAAATTTGGATTAGGTAAACTCCCAAGTACCTCCCAGGAGGTGTTATGATTATCTTTGTGAGGTATATTGGTACCACATTTATGATAAAAGCTAAAATGGGTCTCTACATGCACACGAAAATGAAGGCAAAAATAGCAAAACAAAACAGGCATTTGTATGTATTTCTCTAATGAAATTTTTTAAATGGCCAAAAAGTAAAGTGTTTTGCAGTTTATTAGCACCATTTTACTAAGCACATAGGAGCAGCAGGAACACAGATTTCAGAGCCATGTACAATATCTGACACTTAGAATGCACATAGTAAATGTCTGCTGGAGGGTGTACTGCTCTAGCTGCAGACAGGGTAGCATAGCCTAGTGACAAGAGCACAGAATTTCTAATAGTAAGACTCAAGTCTCAGCCCCACTACTTACAGCTCTGTAATTAAGAACTAGCCTTTCTGAGCCTCAGTTTCCTCAACTGCACAATGGGATGAATTCCTGCACTTCAAATCTTGGGGTAAAATCAAATGACAAAATACGTATGAAAATGTTTCACAAAATGTTGAGTACTTGCAAATGTTCAATTTGTTCTGTCACTGTCCTAAAGATACATGTCTGTTTCCTTAAACTCAGTATTCATTGGGCACCTTTGCACACTGTGATAAACCGATAATTTTACCCCAAATTATAGCTGACTCATTCAACTTTAAACTGCAGGAAGTATACCTGGCCACTAAGATGAATGAACAAGAGAAATGAACACACCCATATAATTTTTTTAAATTACCCAGTAAATCCATCTCACCAGATGAGCTGAGAAGTCTTTGCTTTCCAAATTCTACAGCCTCTAGTAGGGTGCTAGAAGTCTTTCCATCCTAAACACGGCCAACTCAAGGCAGAGGCCTGAGGAGTTTGCCTCTTTTATCATCCTAAAATAGCTTTTGTCTGTGTGGCAAATTTTAAAAACTGTTTATTTGGAAATAATTTGAAACTTACAGACAGCTTGCTTAAAAATAAAATGTATAAACACAATTGAAATCCTCTACCCAGATTTACCTGACATTTTACCCATCTGCTTTATCATTTGCTATTCCATCTATCTATCTATCTATCTATCTATCTATCTATCTATCTATCTATGATTTATCATCAAATTTCTTTTCTGAGCCATTTGAAGTAAGTTACATATGTCATGGTCTTTTACCCTTAAATATTTCAGGGTTTATTTCCTAAGAATAGGGGCATTTTTATACATTACCAGAATACAGTTATCAACTTCTATAAATTTAATATTGATACATCTTAAGATATCTTTTGCAGGAACTACGGCTTCCATGAAAGACAGTGGGATAGCTGGGTGTCAGAATTCTGTTTCCGTTCTTGTCCTTGCTCTCCCACTCCAGAGTACTAAACATTGAACATTCGAGCCTTAGAATGTACATCAAGGAAGTTGGCCTCTGCGACCTGTAAAGTGACTTCTGGCTTTGAGCATTATTTGCTCTAAGACCAGGCTGCAGTTCTGTCCCTAGGCAAGTTCCCAGTTCCAGGCAACTTGGAGCAATATTTATTCGGTCTGCAGGTTTGGAGAGAGTGGCTAGGAGATTCATATAACCTCACTGTTGGCCCTACATTGCATCATGTGGGCCCTTCTGCAAAGACATTTATGGGCATAGTGAACTCATCTTGTTCACCGTTATCTGCTAAGACATTCCACCCCAGGGCTCAGTGTGCTGTTATCATCAAAAACACTGTAGTCCTGGCCAGGCAAGGTGGCTCCCACCTGTAATCCCAGCACTTTGGGAGGCTGAGGCTGGTGGATCACCTGAGGTCGGGAGTTTGAGACCAGCCTGACCAACATGGAGAAACCCCGTCTCTACTAAATATACAAAAAATTAGCCGGGTGTGGTGGCGCATGCCTGTAATCCCAGCTACTCGGGAGGATGAGGCAGGAGAATCGCTTGAACCTGGGAGGCAGAGGTTGCAGTGAGCCAAGATCGTGCCATTGCACTCCAGCCTGGGCAACAAGAGTGAAACTCCATCTCAAACAAAACAAAACAGAGCAACAACAACAAAAAAACACTGTGGTCCCAAAATATAAGACTTTTTTTTTCTAATATCAGTGTGTATGCATGCAATCTAGTGGAGAAGGGGGACAAACATTTGGTAGTAAGTAGCAAAAGATTTCAAGTTATGCATCTCATGTTTCACTCCAGTTGAGTGTCCCTTACTTTTATTTTACCATTTATTGAAAATAAGCAAATTGCTGGTAAAGTATCCTAAATTTGCAATGGAAAAATGACTGTTTACAGAGTCACCTGCAAATCTACATTACACAACGTGAAAGTTGGTTTATTATTGGAAAGTGTAGGGGAAGTGTCTTTACCTAAAGGATGTAAGGTCACAAGTGTTCTATCTTCTGATGCCTCGAATGTACCAATGCACATCTTCCCCGGCCAGCCTGGCAGTCAGACCTCTCAAAGAGAATGCAGGGAGTGTGAGTGCCCCTGACATGGAGGAGGTGCCCTGTCCACACTCTGGTAAATAAAAGGTTGTGAATGAGGGCAACTGCTTTGGCTTATAAAAATAAAAAAATTAAAAGGGCAGAGGAATTGAGCAAGGAACAAAAACTCCAGCTTACAATGAAAATATCTTTTGAAATTTGTGATATTCATTTTTATAATTTAGGATCAGTTTTTACCCATTGTTCTCTATTGCTTACCCCCAAAATGACTGTCAATATGATTATTCATCTCCCATGAGTCTGTGTGTCACCAGTACGGTAAGGGGTGTCTCTTCTATTTTTAGACACAAAGATTATCCAAGCAAAAGGGCACATTCCACTTCCATTCTGCTGAGGGCAGGCTACACCCTGGCACAGTTTTACTCCTAACCACACAAAGGCTTGTTTTGAGAGGGGAGTGAGCAGTGGGTTGAGGAAGGTTTCAGCGAATAAGAAGAAAAATATTTCTAGATTTAAACTTGAACAAAGTTAACGCTGATAGCAGAGTTAAATGACCTGCAAAATTCAAAAGTGCAGACAGGGCATTGCAATCCACACCCAGTGTTCCCTGAAGGCAAAGACTATGTCTCCCATGACCCACAAGGGTGAGATTGATTAGGAAAAACCCCAGAGGGCAGAATTGATCTTTGAGGATTAGCCAGTCTTTTGTTTAAGGGTTTAGTCAATATTTTAGTAGGGAAGTGGATGGTATCACAGGCGCTGATTAGCCTGAGTGGCATGTTTCCTCCCTGAGTTGCTCCTGATCAGGGATACCTGACCTCCAGGTAGACCATACCTGCTAACTTGCTGTCCCCACTCCTGTCCCCACTCCCCAGGTTTTCTTAAAAACCAAAACTACCTCCACCTGGAAAGGCAGGGCCATAAAGAGGCCATCAATGCCTTTGCCTGAGACCTACCTGTACCCTCTACCTTCAGAGATGAAAGGCTGAAATGCCACCCACACCCAGTGGCATGAAATTCACAAGTCTGTCATTTTGGCTGCAAGGTAGGACATCTTCTGGCAAATTTAATAAGCAGATTCTCTCAGTGATAGGAAATTATTGCTTAATGCAACTCTATTTCGCGTGTTTAAAGCATTTTGATAGCAGTAGTCACCTGACCTGGTGTGAAGTACAAATAGAAGTTTTCTTTCCTTTTTTTCAATCTTTTCTCTTTTAAACTTCCATTTTTTTAAGGGGGATGGGGAGGTCAGGCTTTATCTTTAATAGGCCCGGTTCATATAAAACAACTTGGGTTTGAATTGTGAAGCTGGTATGATATTAAATCTGATTTACAGAGTGGCCAGCACTTGCTTAACGTTAAGTGCTCCTCTTGTCATTGGCAGGTCTATGATCCCTATGCATGTGGCTAGTGATGGAGAGAGGCTGTTGCAAAGCTATGAAAGAGCAGAGGGTGGCTGGGCATGGTGGCTCACGCCTGTAATCCCAGCACTTTGGGAGGCTGAGGTGGGTGGATCATGAGGTCAGGAGTTCAAGACCATCCTGGCCAACATGGCGAAACCCCGTCTCTACTAAAAACACAAAAAATTAGCCAGGCGTGGTGGCACGCGCCTGTAGTCCCAGCTACTCAGGAGGCCGAGGCAGGAGAATTGCTTGAACCTGGGAGGCAGAGGCTGCAGTAAGCCAAGATGGCGCCACTGCACTCCAGTCCAGCCTGGCAACTCTGTCTCAAACCAAAGAAGAAAGAAAGAAAGAGAGAAAGAGAGAGAGAGAGAGAGAGAGAGCAAGAGCGAGCAGAGGGCAATAAATGGAACCTAAACCAAAGTGTGGAGTTACTTATTGTAGATAATGCAGGTTAAAAGCCAGTTCACATGCCAGGTACTTCTCAGAAATCGCAAGTCTCTACAGCTGATAGAAACCCAGACTTTCAGACCGAATTAATGTCCCTTCACCTCGGGTTGCATCACAAAAATTGAATCCTCATCTGCTCTTCCACTTCCTAGCCTGAAAAGATCACCTGTAAAGTGGGAACACGTGGCCCAACAGGTAAACCACCTCCCCAGCTGCTGTGCTAAGGCACAGTAATAGATTTGAGAGTGGTTTTAAAAGTTTAACATGTACAAATTCAGAAGTCTGCAGAAGCACAATTTTGAGTTTCACTACAAAAAGGGTATAACCTCAAAAGATCTCTTTTATTCTAATAGTCCAAGTAAACAAATGCCACAGGCATTTATGTGACTTCGCAGGTCTGCATTTCATCAGTTTGTCAGGAAGCTAAACAATGTACCTATTAAAAACCCATAAAAAAATTGGACGCTGTAATTCTGATTTTTATTTATAACTTAATTCCAGTGAGCTGGCACCAACCTTTTAAAGAGATTTTTTTTTTTTTTTTCAAAACAGAGTATGACTCTGAGTCAAAACCAAATTGATTCCAGCTTTCTCAGTTTATTCATTTCCTTTTGATTTTCTGCATCTTTTAGTGGCCCTGCTGTTGCTGCTCAATTATTATGCTGCTGATTCCCTACACACCCTTTTTTCCCTGAAGAGACTGTAAAAAGTGAAGGGACAACATCCAGTAGTTCAAAGTCAGTACTGGAGTGAGATGGACAGGACCCACATTTCAGCAAAAGAAGTTAATATATAATCAAAATAATAGTACTCTATTACCAGTGGGGAGGGGAGGGGGATAAAGATACCAAAGACTGTTTTATGAAGCCAGTCAGCTTTTATAAAATTTGTCAAATTTATGAAAATTGACTTTCTCAATTAGGGACCTTCCTTTTGACTCTCCTTGGATGCCAGAGCAAAAGGCCCTACATAGGAGAAACAGCCTAGGCTTTGTAATCTCAAACCTGAAATATCTGACTGACTTTACTCCTTACTTATATGTATGATTTTGATAAATTACTTCAATACTCTGAATATCAGTTTCTTTATATGTAAGAGGAAGACATTAGTATAATATATGTTTTAGGGTATTGCCCTAAAACATGTAATAGAATTCAAAAGATTCTACATTAAACACCTATCGTAGTGCTTGGCACATAGGACATTCCAAATAAAGATAAGTCACAATTGTTACTTTGTCAAATGCTTTTTTTTTGCATCAATTGAGATGATTATGTTTTGGGTTTGTTTTCCTTGGTTCTGTTAATGTGGTATATTTCTCTGATTTTCATTTATCAAACCATCTCCGCATTCTGAGAGTAAGTCCCACTTGGTCATGGTATATAAACCTTTTAATAACCAAATTTGGGTGCCAGTACTTTGTGGATAATTTTTGTATCAATATGCATAAGGGATATTTATCTGCAGTGGTTTTTTGTTTGTTGTAGTATCTGCTGGTTTTGCTGTCAGGATAATGCTGGCTTCATAAAATGAGTTGGGAAATGTTCCCTCCTCTGCAATTTTTTGGAAACATTGAGGATTGTTGTTAATTCCTTAAATGTTTGTAATTTACCAGTGAAGCCATCTGGCTCAGGACTTTTCTTTATTGGAAGGTTTTTGATTACTCATTTAATCTACTTGCTAGCTATAGGTCTACTCATATTTTCTAGTTCTTCATAATTTAATTTTTGTAGTTGTGTATTTCTAGAAATTTGTGTATTTTATTAAGGTTAGACAATTTTTTGTCTTACTAATGTTCATAGCATTGTCTTAATTTTTTATTTCTACAACATCAATAGTAATATCTCACTTTGCTTTCTCATTTTTGAGTCACTTTTTTTTTATTAGTTTATTAGTCAGTCTGGTTACAGGTTTGTCAATTTTGTTAATCTGTTCAAAGAACCAACTTTTAGTTTCACTGGTTTTTCTCTACTGTTTTTCTATTCCCTATTTTGTTTATCTCTCCACTGATCTATTATTTCCTTCATTTTTCAAACTTTAGGTTTAGTTTGTTTCTCTTTTTCTAGTTCTGTAAGAGGAAATTTAGGTTTTTTTTTTTTTAGATCTTTCTTCTTTTTTTAATATAAGCATTTATAGTTAGAAATTTCCCTCTTAATACTGCTTTTGCTGCATCCCATTTCTCTAGTTAATTTCTAATTTCCCTTGTGATTTCTTCTTTGATCCATTGATTGTTTAAGAGTATGTTATTTAATTTCCAAATATTTGTGTATTTTTCAGGTATTCTGTTATTGAGTACTAGCTTTATTGTAATCAGAAAAGTACTTTATATAATTTCAATCTTTGAAATTTATGAAGATTTGTTTTGCGGCCTACTATATTGTCTATTCTGGGTAATGTTCCATGTGCAATTGAGAACAATGTATTCTGCTGTTGTTAGGTGGAGTGTTATCTACATGTCTGTCAGGTGTATTTAGTCTATAATGTTCTTCAAGTCCACCATTTCCTTATTCATCTTCTCTCTTGTTGTTCTATCCATTATTGAAATTGGAGCATTGAAGTCTCTTAGTGTTATCTTTGAGCTGTCTATTTAATCCCTCTAATTTTATCAATGTTTGCCTGAAATATTTTGGATCATTGATGTTTGGTGCATACACATTTATAATTTTTACAACTTATTCATAAATTGACCCTTTAATCAACACATAGTATCCTTCTTTGTCTTTATAACAGCTTTTTACCTAAAGTCTATTTTGTCTGATATTATTACCTCAGTTCTCTTTTGGTTGGTTACTTTTAGCTGGAATATCTTTTCATATCCTTTTACTTTTGATCTATCTTTATATCTGAAGTGAATCTCTTGTCAACAGCGTATAGTTCTAATATTTTAAAATTCATTCTGCCAATCTATGCCTTTTTATTGAAGAGTTTAATCCATTAATATCTAACATAATTACTGATAAGAATGGACTTGCTTTTGCATTTTATTGTGTTTTCTACATGTCTTGAAGCTTTTTTGTTACTTATTTCCTCTATTACTGTGTCTACTGTGTTGAGTTTTTGTAGTGACACCCTTCTCATTTATTTTTGTATATACTTACATATATTTTCCTTGTTGTTACTATTGAAATTACATATAACATCCTAAAGTTATAACCATATAATTTAAATGGATATCAACTTGACTTCAATCATATTTAAAAACTACTCACATAAAGCTCCACCCCACCTCATGTTATTAATGTTATAATATTAATCTTCATACATTGTATATCCACTAAAAGATTTATGATTACATATTATGCATTCATCTTATAAATCATGTAAAAACTAAAGAATGGAGTTAAAACCAAAATTACAACACTAGTGGTGTTTATATTTGCTCACATATTTACCTTTAACAGAGATCTTTATATCTTCATCTGACATTGAGTTACTGTCTAGCGTCATTTCCTTTTCATTTGAACAACTCCCTTTAGCATTTCTCATAAGACAAGTCTAGTGGTAGTGAGCTCCCTCAGTTTTTATTTGTCCAGGAATATCTTAATTTCTCCCTCATTTTTAAAGGACAGTTTGGCTGGGTTGAGAATTCTCAGGGACAGTTTTGTGTGTGTTTTGGGCTGGGGGTGTCATTCAGTACATTAAATGTATCATCTCACAGCCTTGTGATCTCCATGGCTTCTGTTGAGAAATTGGGAAATAATCTTATTAAGGGTCCCCTATATGTGATAAGTTGCTTCTCTCTTAATGCTTTTAAGATTGTCTCCAGCTTTGCCTTTCAACAGTTTGACTATAATGTGTCTTCTTATAAGTCTCTTTTGGTTTATCCTACTTGGAATTCATTGATCTTGGATTTTTAGGCTTGCATATTTGATAAAATTAGGGATGTTTTGGTCATTATTTTAACAAATAAAGTCTTTGCCATTTTCTTTCTCTTTCTGTGACGTCCATAATGCACATATTGGTCCTCTTGATGGCATCCCATAAGCCCTTTAGTCTCTGTTCACTTTTCGTCCTTTTTCTTTCTGCTCTTCAGAGTCAATAACTTCAAATAACCTATCTTCAAATTCTCTGATTATTTTTTGGGCTAGCTGAGATTTGCTTTTGAGCCCCACTAGTGAATTTTTCATTTCAGTTATTGTATTTTTTAGCTCCAGAATTTCTGTTTGGTTCTCTTTTATAATTCTAATCTCTTTGTTGATATTCTCATTTTTATATATCATTTTCAAGATTTTCTTTACTTCTTTTTTCATGTTTTCCCTTGGCATTTTGAGCATACAGAAGAGAGTTGTTTTAAAGTAAGTCCAATGTCCGAGCTTTCTCAGGGATAGTTTTTGTCATTTCATTTTATCCATTTAAATGAGTCATATTTTTCTGTATGGATTTTTTTTGTAAACTTAGTGATTTTATGTTGTTGAATATTGGGCATTTGATAATAATAATGTGGTCTTTCTGGAAATCAGATTATCCCCCTCCCCAGAGTTTGCTGTTTTGATTTTGATTGCTGAAGGCTATAGCAGTCCATTTGTTCTGAGATTTTTTTTTCAAACATTTTTTGCAAAGGCTATTTCTTGTCATGTGTGCTCAGTGAAGCATGTGTTCCTCTAGCTTATGTTCAGCTATGTTTTGATAGATTTCCTTGAGTCCCAGGAGCTAAAACAAAATTTTAAAAGTACCAGAGAGACGGGGTGGGGGTGGGGAGGACAAAGCACCTCTCAGGCTTTTCAGACCCAGCTGTATGCTTGGGGAATCCTTTAGCACTCAGGCTTGTTCTGAGCCTGGATATCAGTCTTGGGTGAACATCTAAGGTCTCCTTAGAATTTTTTTAAGCATGTATCTTACCTAGCCATGTACATGGCTTCCTAGATTCCCCCATATAAACAGCTGCTTTTGAATGTCCTAATTTCCCAAAAAGTCTCACCCCAGCTTCTCTTTCAAGCCTTAGTTGGACTATCATATGTCTTCAGCAAGACTCTCTTGACTCAGCCAATCAGTGGGTTTGTAGCCCCCTTGTACCTTTTCTGAACAGTACTCATTGCTTCTCTTGCATGTTTTCTGAGTTATGTAAGACAGAGAAGAGCAAGTCAGTTTTTCAGGTATCCCCAGGCAGGTTGGAACAGACACACATAATAATCTGCAAAGGAGGTCTACTCTCTCCTTCTGGTTCAAAGAAAGGAACTGGGAACTGGGTTGCTGCTGCTCAAGACCAAGACTGTTTCCACCAGGAGAAAGGAGTGGGGCAAAGGAGGGTAAAACACCACACAACTTCACTGACATTTAGAAGATGACCTTTTCTTGATTGGCTGTTTGCTTGGTTGCTGTAAACCTTTGATTGTTTTCTAAAACTTCCATAAATTTGGTTCACACAGCCTCTGGTTGATTTGGGGTTTGTTTGTTTTAAATACTTTTTTGAGAGAACACACGAGTTTGGAGCTTCCTAGTCCACAATTTTGCTAATGTCCCATCATTATTATTTTAAGTGGATTTACCACATACCAAAAACTGTACAGAGCTTAGTATTTCCCCTTTGCCCTGCAGACCCACTCTCACCCTCTATGTCCTACTGTGTCCCTTGTAGGCTGATCTGTACAGGCTGTACCAGTGGGCTCCCTGCTCCAGTGAAAGGAAAGGGCGTCTGTGCATTCCCTTCCTGCAGTGTGCACAGATTGGCTATGTTTTCCATCAAATGCCACAGCCTCTCTCCAGTAACATTCTACCTATGGTTACCCTCTCTGAGATCTGGAACTGGCACACTTCTCTTCAGATTCAAGAGCAATAAAGAGCTCATGCATCATTATCAGTTTCTGCCATTTTAGCCCAGGGTCTTTCAACATCCCTCTTACATGCCCTTACATCTTCCCATCCTGTTTTAAATCGCTCTTTTATTAACATTTATCCCTGAGTAACAGTTTGAGAATGCCATCTGTTTCCTGCTGGAACTCTGATGGACACACTGCACCATTGGCTGCTATTGCTCTTTCAGAGAAATGCATCTGATTCTGGAGAAATGTGCTTGGATACTAGCAGATTCTGGAGACTACTTTATGTCAAGAGATAGGAATTCATTTCCCTGAATGAATTTATAGCATTCATCAGGGTTGGTAGTCAGCTTGGGGCTCAGAAAATGTCTGTTAGTGAACACATAGCCTTGGTCATACCCTGTAATCTGAAACATGAACCAATTTATGGCTTAAATACTACAGGGCAAGATTGTTCTCCCTTCATGTGCGGGCAGTGCAGAGCAGCAATTTCTCATCACAGTGGCCTGTCCCAGCAGTGGCCTGTCCTGCCTTCCCCCAAATTGAGAAAGCTAGTGCGTCCTGTGTCCAGACGAGCTGTCCATAAGGTAAGATCAAACACTAATTGTTCTCTCTTGAATTCATCCTTCTCACTATTGACATCCTTTTTTAAGCACAAACGAAGCCACTCCTTTGCCAGAAAGCACCAGTGGCTGACTTTGACAAGACCAGGATGACAAATACTCAACATGTGAGCTGTCACTCCTGCTCTCACCTCCATGGCATGCTCACCCTCTAAAGCTGCTTTCAGTCTTGGACACCTTCACCTTCCAGCTCTCCAGATAGCCACTATTTATAGTGTTCTCCACTCAATATAAATGTCTTTTACCACCTTGCTCTTCAAAATATGATGTGCTTCAAATTCAAAAGCATAGCATTATACAATGTGGTCCCAAATCATCTAGGCAAGCATCTTAGCACTTCTCTCCTATTCTTTTGTGCCATATCTTTAACACTTTGCACTAGTCATAGCACATATTGGGTATTCTAAATATATGTTAGACCAACATTTATACAGTCCTATGAATTAAAGTTCTCTGTGTTACACCCATGAACATGCAACATTTAAATCTGGAGCTAACCATAGTTTGAGTCAAATATGTTTGATGTATTGCAATAACACCAGATAATATTTGTAAATTAGCTTAGAACATTTGTTCATACATTTATTTGTACAATTTAAAGAGTAGAAAAGTTCTATTAGATGAAAGTTCAGAAATATTTTCCTTACAGAGTAAAAGCTACGAATTCAGCTTGATGTGCCTTCAACTGGTCTTTTCAAGCAAAGGGCCTGATGACATTGGTTTTCTCACAAGTGAGGGGACATAACTTTCACATGTGAGATTGACTGTTGTTTTCACTGTAGCTCAACTATCTGGACTGTAGCTTATTGTGTCTGAGACAAGGCCCAAAGCAAATCACAAATTATTGTCATTCTCCCAATTTTACCTCTCCTTGGAAAAACCAATTACATCATTTATCTGCTGACTCTTTTTTGGTGTAAGCTTATTAACACTAATTTACTGAATTTGCATTAGAATTTCAAATTTAGTTGCTTTAACAGAAGAGTAAAACAAAACCACTATTTTTTAAAATAGCGCTAAAATTTTTAAGTGTGTTTCGAGAAAAGAAATTGAATTCCAAATATAGACAACTCCTACTTATTAATGCCAATAGGGAGCATGGCAAGTTGATAGTCAGATGAATTTCTGTCCAGCAATATTTACTGAGAGACTGCTGTGTCAGAAGAGGCTGAAGACTGGAGAAGGTTGAAGGTCAAGGGAGGCCACTGCCCATCCTCCCACAGCATGCAGGCTCCTGGGGATAGAAGATGTACACAAATTGTTGTAAATGTCGTAACTCAATTATTAATTTTAAACTGAACTCTTTAGATAATATTTTCACGCACTGTTTATGGAGCATTTGTTGTGTGATGAGCAATCATTATTTTTCATGTCTTATGTCATTTAGTTCTCATGATAATTTTACGAAGTAGATTTTATTACTTATTCCACTTTAAAGATGGGGAAACTGAAGTTCAGAAAGTATGGATAATGCAAAGTTTAATTCACTAGTAAGCCAATGCTCACAAAGAGCCAGAATTTTGGAGTTATATTTTTAGACGGACACACTTTGAAAACATTAAAACTTAAGAGTACAAATCATTCAAACACTTAACTATCAGTTCCTGGATAACTCAAGATATTCCAAATACATAGTAGTTGGTAGCTGACAACCTAAAAGCTAGTTTTGTTCTGAGTAATTTATTTACCAAAATCTTTTTTACACAAATAAACTCCCTGGAAAATATTTTCAAAATCATTTCTAAAGCCGCAAAAACAAATTTAGACCTAGAAAAAATAGATTGTAGATTTTGATCTCAGCACAGGATTTATCTTTATAAATAACCCAGGGTGGTATGTGGATGTGTGGCTGAAAGTGATAAGATTATAGAATATCAACTAGAAACACAGTCACAATAGTGGAGTCTGGGGGAATTTGGCACAATTGAAATAGCTTTATTATTGTTGTTGTTTTAACATATTTTGAAAGTGGAAACAGTGGGCTAAGACGGAAAAATACTTTTCTTATGAGAGACTTTGATTTCTCTGTAACTTCCAAAATAGGAAGCAAACTGTGGAATCCAATTACTTCCACTAAGAAATTACAATTGCTAAAATTTGAGGAAACATACCTCTCTTTCAGTGCAGTGTTTCTAGGTGCCATAGAATGTGACCCTGAAAGCAGCTTTCACAATTTGAGACTCTGGGTTTAGCTACAGAAGGGTTCCAGGACTTGAGTCTCATATCTACTCTTATTTGCAGAGAGTCCAGAAATGTGTCGACAGACACAGCTGAACAAAATCTGAATGTCCTTCCAAGAGCTCCCTGCACAAATGTCCTGCACAAATACAAAAAAGCAGAGGGAACTTCTCTAAGAAGATGGCTCAAGAATCCCACAACCACAATTTCCTTGGTCAGGGAAACTGCTCTTTTGTACGAAGCAGTGGGCCAGAAGGTATTTCAGAATCTTTGGAAAGAAAGAAAATCGAGGAACTTGAGTTGCGTATATAAAGTCTTGGGTTTTTAGTCCAGGGTTCTAGAACACCCCGGCAGTTTGTGCTTGTGCTTTGTGCATTAGGGGGAGAAATGAGAGAGTCAGAGATTGCTTTAGTTTGGCAGGTGACATAGCTTGGTGTTGAAGCAAACCCACTTGAGAACTAGGCAATGCAAGTTCAAGTAGTGAAAACTCTTAAACCTAGAAAAAAGGCAATTGTGAATTTTAATCTTGGAACAGGATTTATTTAATAGGATTTACTCAGTTTGTGTACGTGTGTGTGTGTGTCCCAAAGTACAAAGATAATAGAATACTAACCAGAAACACAAATTCAAAAGTTCAAGTTCTGCCATTTACCAGCTACATACCCTTGAAATTTTACTTCATTTTTGCCAGCCTTAGTTTCTTCATCTGTAAATCCAAGATGATGAAAGTACTTACTTCACAGGCTTCTTGTGAGGAGTAAGTGAAGTTAGTGTTTAACACTGTGCCTGGCACTTAGTAAGCATTTCATCTCATTAGATATTACTATTATCGGCTGGGCATGGTGGCTCACGCCTGTAATCCCAGCACTTTGAGAGGCCGAGGTGGGTGGATCACCTGAGGTCCAGAGTTCAAAACCAGCCTGGGCAACATGGTGAAACCCTGTCTCTAACTAAAATACAAAAATTAGCCAGGTATGATAGCTAGCGCATGCTTGTAATCCCAGCTGCTCGTGGCTAAGGCAGGAGAATCACTGGAACCCAGGAGGGTTGCAGTGAGCCAATATCACACCACTGCACTCCAGCCCGGGCAACAGAGCAAGACTCCATCTGAAAAAAAAAAAAAAGAAAGAAAGAAAAAAGAAAAAAAAATATATTGCCATTATCAGCACAGAGCTGCTTCGAATAGTCATACAAATCTAACCTTTAACCAGCCATGACTTGCTGAGTCTTTAAAAAATTAGTCCGTCTTTCCCTCCTTCTCCTCTCTAGCTATTTCCTTTTCTTCTTTTTGCTTTTTCTTTCTTTTTTTTTTTTTTTTGAGATAGAGTTTTGCTCTCGTCACCCAGGCTGGAATGCAATGGCACGATCTCGGCTCACTGCAACCTCTGCCTCCCGGGTTCAAGTGATTCCCCTGCCTCAGCCTCCCAAGTAGCTGGGATTACAAGCACGTGCCACCATGCCCAGCTAATTTTTGTATTTTTAGTAGAGACGGGGTTTCACCATGTTGGCCAGGCTGGTCTTGAACTCCTGGCCTCCAGCTATCCACCCGCCTTGGCATCCCAAAATGCTGGGATTACGGGCATGAGCCACCGCTCCCAGCCCCTAGCTATTTTCTAACATTGAAGAGCTCACCTGGGAGGTCAATAAAGTCTCATTTCAGAGAACAAAAATAAGCGTGTCCCCTCTACTAGGTTCCTTCTTGTGCATTCTCAAAAGACCCTCCCCTACAATCCCACTTGACTTCTCCAGGGATGACCCAAACCCAGCTTGTCAGTTGGTACTACAGGTTCCAATCAAAGAAAAATGTAAAACCTCCTGGGGCAGTTTCCAGAGGGCAGGCAAATCTCTTTGTGTGATTCCCAGCTTTTGTGGTGAGGGGCAGTGAAGACGGCCATCGGGCATGGCAAAGAGGGGAAGGTGGGGAGAAACTCCAAAAGCAGGGTCAGAGACTGGCTTGATGCTGGGCCTGGAACGATGTAATCTGTTCCCGATGTGAGAGAGGCAGGCTGGGTAAGCAAGAGAAAGTGTAAGGTACCATCTGTTCTAGACTTCTGAAGATTTTCATTACATTCAGATCAACTTGATAAGACACCCCAATCTACACCAGCATTTTTCAAATAGGGTTTTCAAGAGCTTTCTGAGGACTGCAGAAAGCAGAGCTGTGGAACTTGGCAGGAGATTTAGCACGACTTCCTGCTGGAGCCAGGTCAGCATCTTCAGCGCCGTTCCCCTGGCGCCTCAGCCCTATACACTATCTGACCTTTCTGCACTTTCTTTCCTCCACGCCCTTCTGTCATCTTATCTCCACTGCACCTCCTTATTGGAAAAGGATTCTTACCTAGGTTGTTACAGGGGCCTATCCTTTAATCAGGATGTTCACAAGGGGTTTCAAAATCACCCTGATGGAACTGAACTATACACCAGGGTGGTTCCTCCCCGACTTCTTTCTTCTCTACCTTTCTTTCTTCCTCCCTTCTTTCTTCCTTCTTTTCTTCCTTTTTCCTCCCTCCTCCCCTTCCTCTTTCCTTCTTTTCCTCCCTCCCTCCCTCCTTCCCTCCCTCCATCCCTTCCTTCCCTCCTTGTGTATTTACTGACTGTCTGCTATATCCCTGGCACTAAGCCTCTGTTAATTACATACACTTAGGCCAGGCTCTTGAATTTGCAGACAACAGCAAATCCCGTTAAGTTGCCAACACTTGAAAGAGAAGAACATTTATAGATGTGTTGAATAAATGCACTCCAACTAATGAGAAAGCTTATAAAATTATTTGGATTCATGTAAGTTTAGATTTAAGGTAGCACAAGAGCAAACAGCAAACCACTGGGAGAGGTGAAATGAGATTGATAGGGAAAAATAGATCAGCAAACCAAATCAGATATATTTGTTAAGCACCTTCCATTCATCCTGACCTGTGCCAGGGACTATGGGAGATGGGAGGAAAGTAGAAAAGATGCTTTGAGGAGGTGTCTTGAGACAGATGTCATTAGGAACCACTGACCAATAACACTATGCGTGGATTCCCCAGGGAATCCATAGGCCTGTGGCTATGAAATGGCCACAACCACAGCAGAAGTTTAGCAGTTGCTTAGGAAGACGTAAATTCCCAGCTGTGACTCACCGTGTGTCAAGGAGGATTTTTCTGACATCAGTTTCCAAGCAGCTCACCCAGACTTTCTTACCCAAGAGGGTACCAGACCATGATGCCACTGGAGTTGCATTTTTTTAATTTATTTATTTTATTTTCCAAAGGGCCATTTGAACCAAGAGTGACCTGTGGCCCCTGGAAACTCTAAGCAGTGGTTTGGCATCTTGAGAATCTGTCATGCTTTGTGGAAGGGTCTAGTCCTGTCTGGAAAACAAAACTGGTGATATTTAATGTGAAAGTGTAATCCTACTGTCTCTCTCCTGATAAATGCTCAAAACTCAAGTATAAAAGCAATGAATTCCCCTTGGATATCTAAATGTAGCACTTAAAATCAATTTGATTTTATCTGAATTCTGTTAACATTGGATTATAGATGCACGGTTGCAGGCTTTGAGTGTTTTCAAGTTCTCGATATTTTAATTTTTTCCATACCCACATTGTTTTAAATGTGAGGCCTAATGTCTTCCAGCCCTAGGCTTGCAAATCCATGTTCATCTCTGTGACTGACCCCATAATATTTACTTATAACGTTCATAAAAATACCCTGCATGCCAAAAGCTGTTAGCTGCAGGAAGATGATAAAATATAAAAATATTTAATCAGCCAGTGGGAATTCCCTTACATGTTAAATCAAAGGCTCTCTCAGAGGACCCACGGTGACCTCGGAAGGCCAGAGGGTTCAGCCGCACTGTGCGGCAGCAGGAGGGAATGCCTGCAGAAAACCCACCCTGTTCAGGGCCCCTTCATGTCCTCCAGAAAACACAGCCCTAAGGAGATGCTCGGCTTCACTGCCAAGGGACTCAGGGGCCGGCATGTGCAGGCTCTGTACGGCTTTTCCACTGAGGTTTGTGTAGCTTGTCCCATCTCTCTCAGGGCTATCTCACCATGTAACATGTGCTCTGTTCCTCTTCCTCCCAACCCCCAGGACTCAGTGTTTCTCAAAAAGGAGCACCACAGAGGCTTTCTAAGGAAGAAGTGCTAGAGAAATCATACAGGGAGTGATGGGGAGGGAAAAATATCCCAGGGAAAGGAGTGCTGGATCCAGCCCTGTCTTTGCTGCCACATGTGTTGAGCAAGTCATTGCACATCTCTGGAAGTTGGATGGATCTGTGGTTTTCAGCCCTAATGGTTCCAAGAGGTATCCCTAGGTTACAGAGAGGATGACAAGGGGCCGCTGGGTTTTTATACTCCTTCCCCCTTGCCCCACTCCTTATGTCAGTCAGCTCAGCAGTAATCAGTTTTTTGTTCTGGATTACACATAACATTTAACTCACAAAAAGTGTCTGCTGTTAAAAAGAAAAGTTTAAAAACCAGTGGAACAACGAAAAAGTCCTATTTAATATAAACATAATTTGAGGCTCAATAATATCCCGGACTCCAATTTCCTGCTCATTGGCAGTCCCTACTAAAAGCTAGTTGAAACTAGTTCTTTACATCCCAGTGCCCACTAAGGAGCCATCAGAGCATAAGCTAGGCCTAGCTGAGGGGTGGGGTTGAGTGGCATAGTTCAAGGATGCTACTCTGCTTTTGCAGAAGAGTATAAAATTACAAAGGCTGCAACTTGAGCCAACTGGCAGAATGCTATTCACCCCTTTTGCATTACTTTCTACTTGAATGGCACCAAAGCAGTGTGCTTGTGTTCCTACTTTCTGGTAACATTTTTAAAAACTAAATCCGGTCTTTGAATTTTGATATAACCATTTCCTTTCCCAGGACTCAGGAAATTCACCAGCATTGTATTGGGACCCATGTGAGTGACAAACACGATGATAACTCAGAACCACTGAGCCTCTCACTGTGGTGCTTTGCTCTTAGGCCAAGTTTGTCCTGAGATGATCCTTCCCAGATGGCTGCTCAGAACTTTATGCAAACTGACTCTTGAAATGTCCACCAAAGGAACTCATCCAAACCCCAGTACTGGATGCCACCAGCCCAGCTACATTAATCATACCTTCCTCTTTTGTGCCAAAGTCCTCATTTTAAGCCAGATGATTTAAAATCATTCCATCACCCCCAAATCATTTTGTCATTCAATTTCCATCTATCATGCTAGATGTCCTAAGTTTTGTCCTTGATTCAATTTTGTGTCAACTCAGTAATATTGAATCAAAATTCTATTACTAATTCAAACCAAAAGTGACAAAAACAGAAAGTTTTACAGGGTAAAGCATAAGAACTTTTCCATTCAGCTGCTTAATATTACCTGTACTCCTAACATCAAAAGACAGTTTTCACTAGCATTTTGTTGTATAGTCTTTCATATCTTCTTGATATATACACAATATTTTTAATAGCAATAAGATCACCAATATATGCAGTTTTGCGCTCTGCTCTTTTGACTTTAAACAAGAGCCTAAATTTATCCAATGTTAACTAATATTCTTCTACAATATAATTTTTAAAGAATAAAAATTAATTCTACAATATAATTCACTACAAAATTAAAACTTTCAATGACTATGTAAGATGCATAATTTATTTAACTCTGTTCTCTACTGTTGCAATGCTTGCTTTTTCAATTTTTTAATATTAAAAATCCCGAGATGAATATACTTATACCATCATTGTAATTTTTATAGTTGAAATTCCAGTATCAAAAGGAATGCTTTTAATAAACATTAAGGAACTTTAATAAATATTGACAAGTTTTCCTGTGGAAAGATGAATACTTCTGCCATCATTTTTGGCTTGTTACTTAGCCAACACTAGGTATTATCATTTTTAACCTTTATATAACTGACAGAGGAGAAATGGTATCTTATTATCGCTTTTAATTTGAACTTCTTTGCATTATATTAAGAATGAATATTGGCCAGGCATGGTGGCTTGTGCCTGTAATTCCAGCACTATGGGAGGCCGAGGTGGGTGGATCACATGAGGTCAGGAGTTTGAGACCAGCCTGGCCAACCTGGTGAAATGCTGTTTCTACTAAAAATACAAAAATTAGCTGGGCGTGGTGGTGGGCAGCTGTAATCCCAGCTACTCAGGAGGCTGAGGCAGGAGAATCACTTGAACCGGGGAGGCAGAGTTTGCAGTGAGCCGAGATCACGCCATTGTACTCCAGCCTGGACAACAGAGTGAGACTCTGTCTCAAAAAAAAAAAAAAAAAAAAAGGAATGAATATGATGTCAAATGTGTATTGGCCATCCATATTTCTTTTTTGAGCGAGCCTATTCATGTCCTTTGCCATTTTCCTTTTGGTATATTCAGCTATCGTTGATTTCCAAGAGCTCATTATATATTAAAGATCTTAACCTTTTATCTGATATGTATGTATACAACAAATATTTTTTTGAATGTTTTAAACCTAAAAATATTGTTTAGGCTATTTATGTTCAAAATGATAAAAACAATTGATTTTAGTGTCATGATTAGAAAATGCTTCCTTATTTCTAGAATCATGTAAATATTGCTTTTCCCCCCTTTGTTTCCATTCCACATTGAAATTATTAATTAATTTGGAATTGATATTGTAATAAGGTATGAGATAGGCTTCTTTCCTCTAATCCAAATATACAGTCTATTGGCAAATCTTTTCGGTTCCTCTTTCACAGCTCCTGCTGTATCTAGTTTTCTCTGCATAAAGTGACTTTAATACAGATATTGGTCTGCTCTCTAAAACTGGGCTCAATGGTAATCTGGCAAAACTTCAGAAACTCAGGGCAATTAGAAAAGTTGAGCCTTCTTATGCTCTTGCAATTAAAAAGTAAATAAATTTTTATTTATTTGACCCATTGTAACATAATAATAGTTCATAGTGTCTAAACTAAATTTTGATTCACTAAGTCCAAAATGTTGGTTCACAGTTGGTTATTAGGAGACAACAATCCTTTGTGAGCGCTCTCTTTTTAGGTCTACAAGTCATTTCTTCATAAACTCTGCAGAGCCTCCACTGTCCAGGCACCTCACTGCTACCTGTGAGCCTCCCTGTGGCTCACACCACGTGGCTACAACTTCCTCCCTAACCAACCATGTCAGTTCCATTGTTCAAACTGCTATAAAATCCTGCTTTTCACCAGAAAGTGTTAAAAGATTGCTTATCTGAAAGCCCAAGGGCATTTCTGACTTCTTCATGAAGTTCTGTATTATTCACCATTGCCACCTCCACCAAATTTCAATCACCTCCAACATATATGGAACCTAAAGGTTTTATCAAAAAAAAACTTAATTTTTATAAAAGTTTTGGGTTAACAGAAAAATTAAGAAGATAGTCCAGAGAACTTCCATTAAAACTTTGTTTTTTTAAGTGAGAATTTCCATAACCCTCTATGTGTTTTACTTTACCATTTTCCTAAAGTAGACATCAGTATGGTTTTCACTTGCGTAGACATTTCAGGGTGGCCTTCTTATACAATATTAGCTCCTAGAAAAGTATAAAATTCTCTTTTTACCGTGCCACATTTTTATTAACATACAAAGCTCTTAATGGTTTTGATGATGATGAGGTTGAGGATGAGGATGACAGCTACAATATTTGTGGTCCTGAAAATACTTTTTATGTAATGATATGAAATTGTATTTACTCCTTATTTTGATGTCTTTTTTTCTGTAATTCTATTCTTCCTTTAATATTAAGACACACTTGGCCCATTTATTTTTCTGTAAAATATCGATTTTTTAGATATTGTGTTTAAAAATGATTTCCTGGTGCTGGAACTGCACATATATTATCAATTTCCATAGTGGCATATTTTTCTAAGTAATGCTGTCCTCTTAACATAAGCTGGCATTTCATTTGAAAAACAAATGATTTATGAGTACCCTTTGCGTGGAAACATTCATTTACATGTCCACCACGATGCCTACATATGTTCCCAAGTTTGAAAGGAATTCAGAAACAATCAGCATGTTTGGGTAGCGTAAACTGTTTATTCAAAGAAGCGTAATTTGAAAATTCTGAGATGTATATTGAATTTAATTTTGCACCAGAATGTCTAACTTCCCTTATTTTGTTAGTTTTTTCCCTAGAATCTTTATTTTCTCTTCCAGGTTACATTTTATTATTCTTTTTAATTTTGTTTTTAGAGACAGGGCTTTACTTTGTCACCCAGGCTGGAGTGCAGTGGTGCTATCACAGCTCACCGCAGCCTTGAACTCCTGGGCTTAAGCAATTCTTCCACCTCATCCTCCGGGACTACAGGTGTATCCCATTTCACCTGGCTAATTTTTTATTTTTATTTTTGTAAAGATGGGGTCTTGCTATGATGCCCATGTTGGTCTCAAACTCCTAGTTTCAAGGGATCCTTCTGCCTCAGTCTGCCAAAGTGCTGGGATTACAGACGTGAACTATCATACCCAGACCCAGGTTACATGTTAAAGAAAAATACGTAGAAGCTGTTTCACCACTTCTCTAGCCTCATAGCTTTTTGGATTAGTTAGAAAACGAATGATTTTAATAGTGATGCCAAAATAGCAGAACATGATAAAGAAGTAGCTCTCTTTTACTTTGGTGAATTTTTGTTAGTTATTGTTATTGCAGAAGTATGATTAAAAAAAAAAAGAAAAACTCTACTAGCACTACAGCTGAAGCACTTGGGCAGCATACTTCCTTCCAGAATAAGATGTGACCAAAGGGATCACAGGTCATTCAAGAACCCAGGGAAGCAAGGAAGGAAATAACCTGGATTGAGGAGCATTTGATTTCTCATTGAGATCAAGAGCTTCTCATCGCCCTCATTCTGCAAGGATGTGAGAACTGGAGAGACACTTCTGACAGGAAATAGTAATTTTGTGCATCCCAAAATGTATTCACTTACTTGGAAATGTGAAGCTATGATGAATCTGTGGCTGGTCATTGGATGAATTGATGTAATGTGGCCAGGTTCCAAGGAACAACAGCACTTGTCATCAAAGCCATATGGCTAGACACTGACTATTATAAGTAAAAGAATCCAGCTTTGCCTGCCAGCCATAAGTCCCATTAAATTAAAGTTCCATGAGCTCAGGGATCAAGTGCATGTCCATGACTGCTTGTTCACTGCCATGTTATTCATTCATCCAGTCAATCAATATTCATTAAGTATCTGCTGTGTGCCAGGGACTGTTCTAGGCACTGGATTGTGATAGTGAACATAATAGAAAAAGCCCTTGCTTCATGAAGCATAGATTCTAGTGACACGATAGACAATATACCTGGCAGATAAGAGCTCAGTAAAATACAGAATGGTTTAACTGATTAGATAATGAGCCTTACTCAGACAGAAAATATTTACAAGAAAACTAAACAAGATGGAATAAAAGACCAGGAAAGAGCTTTGAGGCTCACAGAGTCACATGACGGGTAAAAGAATACATCTGTAAGGGTCATCCATAAAGACAATTATCTAAAGCTGGTTGCAGTGGCTCATGTCTGTTATCCCAGCACTTTGGGCAGCTGAGGCAGGAAGCTCACTTAAGCCTAGGAGTTCAAGACCAGCTTAGGCAAGATAGTAAGACCCCATGTCTACAAAAAATTAAAAATTAAAAAAACTAGCCAGGTGTGCTGGCACACCCCTGTAGATGCAGCTACTTGGAAGGCTGAGCTGGAAATATCGTGCTTGAGCCTGGGAGGTCAAAGCTGCAATGAGTTGTGATCACACCACTGCACTCCAGCTGGGTGACAGAGCAAGATTCTGATTCAAAAAAAAAAAAGAAAAAAAAGACAATTATCTGAGGTAAGTGGGAAGTATATTGTTACTCTAGGAAGCCAGGAACTCTCTCTCTCTCTCTCTCTCTTTCTCAGTATATACACATTTTGGTAGGCTGAATAATGCCTCCTCAAAAGATATTTACATCCTAATCCCTAGAACTTGTTAATGTAACCTGGTATGACAAAAGACAAGACTTTGCAGGTATGATTAAGGATTTTGAAATGGAGCAATTTGACTCGGTGGACCCTAAATGCAATCACAAGTTTCCTTATAGGAAGGAGGTGGAGGAAGATGATACCACAGAAGAGGAGAAGGCAATGTGACCACAACTGCAGAGATTGATGTGCTTTCCACAGAGTAGTCAGTGGGAACCTTAAAAATATATAAATCAGATTAAATAACTCCCTGCTTAAACCTTGCAATGGCTTCCCACAGCCCTGTTGTTAAATCATTATTTTCCCACAGTCACAGGCCATCATGATCTACCCCTGTATACCTTGTTGGTCCTTCCCTCACTATATCCAAGCCCTACTGGCTTTCTTTCTGCCACTCCAATAAGCCCAGCTCATTCTGACTTCAGAACCCCTGCACTGTGCTTTCTCTGCCTGCATCAGCCTTCCCTGGCTTTGCATAGCTGGCTCCTTCTCATCCTCTATATGTGAGCTCCAAAGTCCTCTTAGAAAACCCTGATGTGACCACTCTACCTAAAGTAGCCCCTCACTCCTTCCACATCATCTTTTGCCGTGCCACCTTGTTTATTTCCTTCAGAAATTACCTTGGTTGTTTGTTTCCTTTTATTGTTTGTAACCTTACCCCCACACCCTTCCTGCTAGAATGTACACTCCTTGAAAGCAGGGGCACCTTCTGTCATGTTCAACACTGTTTCCTTCTTAACTAGAGCAAAGGCTTGCTTGTAGGTGCTCAACAAATATTTATTGAATAAGTGAGCAAATAAATGACTCAAGAACACAAGGTTGCTTTAAAAGAAAAACTTATTCTGACGAAGGCTGAAAGAGATGAAAGATTGATTCACTATGTTGGAGTGTCACAGTCAAAAGCTGTCCTTGGTTGGAAGTTGTTTAGCATCTCTTTTCCATTCCACAGAGAGCGTTAGTAAGGAAAACACACTGAAATGAGTGCCCAAAATCTGTACCAGTCTCATGTGTGCTCTTAAATTAACAATGACGATGAAAGAAAAAGAATAAGGAGAAGTAGGAGAAAGAGAAGGACAGGAAGGAAGATAAGGAGGAGGAGGAAAAGGAGGAGGAGGAGGAAGAGGAAGAGTAGGAGGGGGGAAGGAAGAGGAAAATTCCTATTTTTTTTTAACATTCTTATTCTATAAAATTTCTTTGGAAAAATTCCAATCTTGCCTTTCAGCTGAATGGAGAAAGAGGATGTTCAATGCAATGGGCATTCAACTGGGGAAATCAGCAGGTAATCTAACAGTCAATTGTTCAGTGGCAGCTGAGATAAAAAGAACAGGTGAGCAGAACAAAAAATGAGTAGAGAATCTGTGACCTTGACTATTCCAGTTAAACCTGAATAAGTATATTCAGATTTACCTCCCTGAAAACTTCCACACTATTGTTAGTTTTAATGGTTAAGCTTCAAGTAACAAAAACATCCCAACTCAACTGGATTAAACAATAAGGGAAATTTGTATCCTCAGAACAGGAAGTTTAGCTGTAGAGCAGCTCCTGAGTTAGCTATTTCAAAGGCTCCTGATATCACCAGGCACTTGTTCTCCTCCTATCATTCCTCTTGGCTGTCCTCAGCATGGGGCTTGTCCTCAGGCTAGCACTCACTGCATTGCTGGCTGGCTGTAATAGCTCCAGGCGTCTCATCCAGAGCCCTCAACGTCCATCAAAAGAAAGTTGTCCATCTTTTTCTGTGCCTCTCTTTTTGTCAGTGAGGAAGCCTTTCTCAGAATCCTTCTATCAGATTTTTCTTCAATTCTTATTAGACAGAAATGACGTCTCCTATAACAAATGATTAGCATAAGTACCACTTCATTGCTTAAGATTATACAAGATTTACCCTTGAGGCAGGTGATATACTTTGGGTATTTGTCCCCTACAAATCTCATCTTGAAATTTGATCCCCAGTGTTGAATGTGGGGCCTGATGGTAGGTGCTTGGGTCATGGGGGTAGATCCCTCATGAATGGCTTTGTGGCATCCTCATGTTCCCTCTCTTGCCATGTGAAACGTCTACTCCCCTTTGCCTTCCACCATGATGGGAAGCTTCCTGAGTTACTTACCAAAAGTGGATGATGGCAACATGCTTCTTGTACAGCCTGCAGAACGATGAGCCAAATAAACCTCTTTTCATTATAAATTATGCAACCTCAGGTATTCCTTTATACAACACAAATGGACTAAGATAGTAGGTATGTGATTTCTCTCCTGAAATATGGATATGTGAACAAAATCAGAGTACTTCTTCCAAGAAACAGGTTGGGGAATGAATTTTGAGTTGGCAACTAACAGGGTCTGACACGGATCCTTCCTGTGCTCTTTTTCAATTCTTACCTTTCCTCATTTTTGCCTAACACAGATGAAGCTGATATTCCTGTTCCTTGAGTAGGTACTTGATATATGAGTCTAATTCAGAAGAGTAGTAGGGGTTGGACCCATAGATCTTGGAGCTATCTGTATGAAGATGGAATTTAAAGTGAAGAGACTGAATTAGATGACCTGTAGGTGTGAAAGAGAAGAGGTCCAAGGGTTGAGCCTTAAGATATTCCAATGTTTAGAGATCAGATGTTTAAATGAAACATCAAAGGAGACTGAGAAAGAGAAACCAAAGAGATAGGAAACTAAGAGTGTGGTATCTTAGAAGTCAAATGAAGAAATAGTTTCCAGAAGGCAAGAGCAGTCAATTATGTCAATTATAGTTTAAATAGTATGACTAAATTTTAACTACTGGATTTAGCAATATTGAGGTCATTAAGTGGAGAGGCAAAAACAAAAGCATGACAAGAGTGAGCTTGAGAGAGAATGGACAGAGAGAATTCGGGGACATCAAGTGTAACCAACTGTATTAAAGAGTTTTGCTGTAAACGGTAGGAGAGAAATGGCACAGTACATGGGACAAATAACACCTGATGGGAATCATTCAAAAGGTGGAGTTGGGGAGCTGACTCTTCAGGAAAGACAAGAGAGAATTTCTGGGCAATATCTTTAAGTAGAATCCAGGGAATGAAATTCCATTTTCATGTGCAAATACAGGGGTTGACGTTGTTGAGAAGACAGGATAGTACATCCACATTTAAAAGGAGAGAAAGTAGAATGTACAGTCTCATATGCAGTCAGTCACACATGATAGGTGCACTTATGGAACCCTCCTTCTGATTGCTTTAATTTTCTCAATTAAATAGTAAGCAAGTTATTAGGTGAGAGGAAGGATGGAAGGGATAATGAACATTTGAGGAAAGTAACAAAATACAAAATAATTTTCAAGAAATGTAGAAAGTAGAATGGGCTAAGGAAATATACAGTATGGTTAACTCGTTTACTTGGATGTTACTATATATAGAATTCCAAGCTACAGATAAAGAGTCTAAAATAAGCTCATCTGGGCTTATAATGTACAATGGTAATTAATCTGAGTTTATGAGTTTCCAGAAAAACAAGTTATACTATATCAGAAGTAGTTGGAAAACCCTCTATGTAAGAGAGAGAAACTGCTGCAACCTTCATCCAAAGTAGCTTTCCAGCCCCAACGTTTATTTCAGTCTTAGACAATTGAAGATTTATGCTAACCAGATAGGTCATGTTAGCATGATCTCTTCCAAACTCACTTCCCAGGGAGCTCTGGGCATTAGCATTGAAAGACACATGTTAGACCTCTCTAGTGAAGAGAGAGCTCTGACCACAGCTCTGTATGAATTGGTTACCTGGATACATATCAGAATGATTAAAACCATGGGCTCCAATGCCACCTACACTAGAATCCTGACTCCCCTTCTTTCACTGTGTGGCTTGAGTTAGCCACCTAACTTCACTGTGCCTCTTTCTTCATCTATAAGTAGGGATAAAAATAAGGTCGTTGTGAGTGTTGTTGAATGAAGTAATCAAGTAAAGCATTCAGAACAGTGCCAGCACACAATAAGCGCTCATAAATATTAACTGCTTTTATGATTGTCAGCATTGTTCAAAACTAAGAGGTACCTGGAATTGGGAACCTGGGAGAATAAATCAAGGACTGACCCTGCCTAGCTATGAAGATCGTGACTGGGGTGGAGGTCACATGGGCTCTGGTGCTTAAAGTCCGAAAGAAATTATTTTGCATGGGGTTTTCAACACAAAGCTGTTAATTTAAAAATAACAATAGCACTGGGTTAATTATACATAAGTATACATAATAGTTTTATGTAGCTATATTTACACATATTGATGTTATTTAATCTTCACGTGAGAGAATTTCCCCGGATAGGAATTGGCATAATCTTGCTACTCCAGATGAGAAGCAACATCTCATCCAGGGGAGCTCTGTGTGCCTTGTTCCTTGGTTTCTCCAAGGTGCTAGCTGGACTGGCTAACTTCCCTTACTTGTCACACTGTCCCCAGAAGCTTGCTGGCTGCGGGGACTGCTAAGACTTCCTCTCCACTTCCCATATTCAAGGCGTTTTGTCTTTATTGCTTCTAGTCTGCAACTATTTGTCTTTTATCTTTCATGTATCTCTCTCTCTTTTTGCATTTCTGTAGATGTCCAGTGCATTTTGTCTTTTTCTAAGTGGAAAACACCTCTCCTCTCTGTCTAGGTTCAGTCAGGAAAACACAATTCTCATTTAAACTCTTACTCCTAGTTCTGCAACTTCAAGAGTAAAAGGCAATGTGACTGGGGCACCTGGAGCCTCAGTATCTGCTTGCTCTGTATTTAACATACATCAATTTTATCAAAGGTATATGTTCTAAACTATTTTATCCTAAAATAAACAGATATATTATGCTAAATGCTCATAATGTTTTTGAATATGAAACCGAAGATACCAAGAAATTCCACTTCATAAAGTTAAATATGTCAAACAATGTTCCAGGTAACTGTTCACTAGCTTCTGCCATTAAGCATACCTAGGTGAAAATCTGGGGGAAGGACTTTGTTATATTTAGTACCTGGAGTACTTCCCTGTCCAAAATTATTAAATGGCTACCATTGCCTTAAGATAAGGCCCAAACATCTTGACACAGCTCAGAGAGCCCTCCATCATCCGTCCCCGTCTACTTCTCTAATCCCATTTCTTCCCACTTGCCAACCTCCTTTTCACACGCTACTCTCCAGCTCTATTGAATTCCTCCTTCCAAGTGCCCTGTAAATTTCCTGTGTCCTGGATCATGACTTCCTCACATTTCATGTGGTTAATTTCTTCTGGCCTTTAACTTACTCATCTCCTTCTCGGGAAGTGTGTCTAGTTTAGTTCCCCTGCCTAGATGTTCTCTGAGCAACTTGCCCCTTCCTCTGCCATACCACCTCCCATACTTTATTTGGTTTCATACACATTTATCTGTCTTCCACTTAACAGTCTTTTCTTCCGCTTGTTCAATACTGTATCTCTAGCTTACCACTGTATCCTTAGCTTCTTACACAATGCTTGATACAGAAAACTAAATACCTGTGTATGGGTGAGCTCCTTTTTGCTGGACTCATTTTCCTTCTTGTCACACTATCTGCTTGCTTTTCTTTCTTATGGAATTTCTCTCAGCATTCACTTCACAAGTCAAATGTTTTTTAGGATCACCTAACTCTAAGAACAATTCCATCCATTTCAGTTTTCTAAAGAACTCCTCCTTAATCACTGGATTGTATGGTCAGGTGATTACCATCTCTATTAATTCTTTGCATTCTGTCACGACTGTCTCTTGAATTCAACTCTCTCTGCAGTCCCTTAGGAGTCTACAGGTCAAAAGGAACCCTCAGGCCTCTTGTATCAACACACTGGGAGAGGTTATTCTCTCTGGAGTTGTTCAGATGGGAAGAGGCCACTTGAAAAGTTCTGCTCATGGGAAATAAGGAGCCCTTTTTTCATTTTAATTTTTACGAACTTAGCTGTAAGGAATCCTGAGCGAACTTTTCAAAATGTCCTGCCTTCACTCTTCCAAGCTCAGGTTCTGAAGCAAATACTTGCTGATTCAGACCTGGTTGGTTGTTCTCACTCTAATCAAATCCTTTAGGATCCTCATTTTTAAGAGTAGAGATGGTCTGAAGTTAGTTTTGATCTCCCTGAGCAGAGTGTTCCTGGGACACACATACTAACGTACGTTAATGGTGGGTCATGCGGAGTAGCAAAGTATGTATAACAAAGAGGAATTGACAATGGTAACACTGTAATGCAGGTGGTCCCTAGACAATTTAGAGTGGTGAAGGAGAGTAGTGAACTTGGATCCAGTCTGGACTGATAATGAATTCAATAAACAAAATCTGGTGAATGCAAACTTAGAAATAGAATATTCTGGGAAGCGATGAGCCTCAAAGTCAAATGGATAGCAAGCAGTTTTATTTTTCCAGAATGGAATGACATAGGTTGAAACAAGACCCCAACCAATTACTTAGGTGTAGGAAAATGGCCCATCTTTTCCAGATTGTGGGATAGCTAGAATTAGATAGACTATTAAAGAACTAGCAAGTCAGGCTGGGATTCAGGGAAGACCTCTCATTCCAGTAATATATTGTAATATGAGCCAGGATGTATTATTCAGAGCCTAGTCAGAACCTTCAGGAAATTGGTTCCACTGATATGAAAATGCTGAAAAAGCGAAAAGCAACCAGTAGGTACTGGGGGTGGGGGTGGGGGTTGATGGGGACAGTAAGAAGCAATTTCCATCCCTTGAGGAACGAAGGGGGAAGGAGAAGTAGCCAGAACTAGGATCTCCTAGAATGGACCGCCAGGAGCTATTCCCAGGGTTTCTGGTCACAAGATTGGACAGATATGGTAGAAAATGGTGTGAATGCATTCGGTAAGTATACCCTAGACATAATAGGAATGGTTAAGCACAGATTAAAAGTAAATCTAGGCTTCACTTGCTCCTGAAATGAGGATCTCAAGAGATTTTGTCAGTATTAGAACCAATGTACAGTCCTGAACCAGTGGAAGATGAAGCACCTTCAGAACCTCATCTTAGAAGAGTTGAGGCAGGGAATATCTTGAAAATTTGGCATTGGATGATGAAGAACATTATATGTTCATCTAAGATACATGAGATGACAAAAAGGCAGAACATAAAAAAGGGGCTAGGCAAGGTACCTGGAAAATGCTTTTATGCAGGCATTTAGAGCAATCAGAAAAAGAGAGAAAATATGGTCAGAAAGGTAACAATTGGTCCAAAAAACACAGGTTCTAGGAAGACAAAGGAGAAAAGAATTTAAGCAGTGGGGCAAGGTTAATAAGTTCCCTAGAAAAGTTAGAGGAGAATTGAGAAAATGCCATTGCATTTGGTATCCTTGTTTTGATTGTCAACCTTTGGAAAGAAAGTTTCCATGGAGTAATGAGGACAAAATCTATTTCCCTGGTTTGACAAAGGATTATGGTGTAGAAAATGTAAGCAGTTTATGTCGACTTCTCTTCTGAGGAACTAACTGTGATAGAAAGGAGAGAAGAGGGTGAGAATTTGAAAACAAGCAGTGTCAATGAAAGCCATGAGAAAGATTGATCACATGTGTAATCTGAGAAAAAGGATATATTTGAAATAAAGAATATAAGCATTCCAAAAAAAAAAAAAAAGAAAGGAATTAAGTATAGGATAGAAAGATGCCAAAAAATAACAATCCATCAATGGCTCAAACCTAAATTTATTCTCCCAAGAAACTGTGGAGCTATGCCTTTGGTGGAGGTAGTTAGGGATCCTTATTAAATATCCCAGCAAATCACTCTCTTTTTACCTGGAAAGAGCAGAAAGTTGACCTACCTTCAAGGGAGATCCCCAGGTGTTATCATGGAGGGAAACTCTTTCTCCCCACCTGGTCAAAAAATTAAAATACATGCAGACAGAATAAATATAATCATCTCATTCTTGAGCAACTTTTGTTAGCTGTTTTCTTCTCAAGTCATTCAAATCCAGCAACTGTCCTGACCAGCCCAGCGAAACTACTCTTGCAAAGTCATCAGTGATTTTCATGTTACGAAAGTCAATAGAGGGTTTTCTGTCTTCAGCTCATCAGAAGCATTGGCTTACCACTCTCTCCTAGCTTCTATGACAACACTCTTCTGGTTCTCCTTCTACCTAGAGCTTTCCCTCCCCTCCCTTCCCTTTCCCTCCTCTCCACTACCTGGTCTCATTCTTTGTCTTTTTAATAACTCATCACTTTCTACCCAAATCTTAAATGTTGAAATTCGTTGGTACGTTGTCCTAGGCTCTATTCTAAGACGTGGCTTTAAATACTGTTATAAACCAATAAAGATTATAAATACCTTTAGATGCCATTTATATATAACAACTCCAACCCAGGTCTTTCCTCTGAGTTCCAGCTATAAGACTTACTTAACATCTCCAGCTAGGTGTTCACATTAGCACCCTAACTTCCCATCCCCTCAAAACTGTTTCTTTCCAGCTTTTCCTATCTCAGTAAAGGGCATCATTATTCACCAGGTTGTTTAAGCCAGACACCTAGATGTCATGCTGGATTCTTCCTTAACAACTCCCAGATCCAATTCAATAGCAAATATTAATTTCTCCTCCAAAATGCAGTCAAATAAAAATGTCTGACTTCTATTCTTTTTCTTTCCACTGCCATCACCATCTCACACTGTGACTATTGCAATGATGATCTAACTAGTCTAACTGTGTCAGGTGGATTTTGGCTTCAACTTATAGGACACTCAATTCAAAAGGTTTAAATAATGAGGATATTTATTATCTTGCATTACAAAATATTCATAGATTGAGCATTCCCTAGGTTTTCAAATTAGTAGCTCAAATATGCCATTAAAGAGTGGATCTCCTTCTCTTTTACTGCTTTGTTCCCATGAGGCTTAGGGAATCAAGGGGAACCAATGCAAACCTGAAATTCATGCTGCTTGCTGTGTCATAAGAAAGTACTTTGTCTCTGACCCAGGATTCTTATGTCTTCTGCCAGCCTCCAAGAAACTGGCAGTCTGACTTGTGAGCTTGCAAGAAGGGCAAGATCTCAGATCCCTTCACAGGTTATGACCCCTAGAGTCCCTGTTACCATGCACTTGTAGTTATACTTCTGTTATTCCTTGTGGAATTATTCTCTGATGCTGGCAACTTGCTTGAACTACCTCTGCAACCATGCCCTGTCCACACCTGCTAAACAGGACTTTCTCCAGGTCCTGAATCTCATGACCAACTTCCAACACCTGCCCAAAATTTTCAGGCAGGCAAAATTCCGGACAAGTCCTGCCCCATCTGCTCCACAATATCATTTTATTAACCAAATTACATCATAACTAAGTTATTAACATATTACTAATGAGGATACCCTAGCATCCAAATATAATCATTAAGTGGTCCAATGTCCACATTTGAAACTTCATTGCTGTGGGTGGTCTTGTTAAAGAAAAACAGAAATCCAGTTACCTGCTCTGACCCACAGTCCTCTGGTTTTGTTAAACATTCATGAATTGTGATTGGACTACAAGATGGATGTAAAGCCTCTGAGGCCACACAGACAGCTTGGAAAACGCAACACAACCGTGTTAATTGAATTAAGGGGAGAGAATGTTGCCATCACCACTTTGTCATACATATTCCAGACACAGCGCAGAGCTTCCCAGATGTCCAGAACAGATGTCACACAAGCAATGGTGTCATAATCATGTGAAATCATTTGTGTGCAAACTGCTTAACAATTAACACTAGGGCAGTGATAGCTTGTGTAGTCATTAAGGTTACAGGTCTAAATGAAATTGTCATCTTCTTAGAGTTTGCTTCGTATCTAATAGCAATACTCATCAAAGAGATGAGAATATTAATTACAATTAGAAAAATGGCACCTCACATTTACCTTACTTTATAAGTTACAAATCTCTTTTCACATTGGCTGTTATACGTTAGCCTCACAACTCTTTGAGATGAGTGCTCTTAACTCCATTTTATAACAAAAAAAAGGAGGAGGCTCAACTCTGGAACTTAGCAATTTGACAAAGCTCAGCAAAAACACACTTAAGATCTATGCATTTTAAATATGCACATTTTCCATCAAAATAAAAAATGGTAAGCAAATATTCAACTCTAGTTAATGCTATATATGCTGAAGTATTTAGGGGAAGTATACTAATATCTGCAAATTTACTTTGAAATCCATCAAAAATGTAAGTGGATCAGTGGATGGATAGAGTGATAGATACATGAATAGATATGTGATAAAGAAAATGTTAATGATTAAGTTTAAATGGTGGGATTATGGGTGTTCACTGTAAAAGTCTTTAAGCTTTGCCGTTTGTTTGAATATTTTCATAAAATGTTTTGGAGAAAACTGGAGGCTTAAAGAAATTAAATGACTGTCTTCATGTTACAACCTGAGGCTGGACTGAGACCCAAATCCAGTTCATCTGATCCTAATTGCCATGCCTAACATGAGCATTTTAGAAAAGTTATTATTGTTCAGTGTTTAAGGGAAAGCAGTAGCGCAGATAAGCACTAAATTCTGGTTAACTAAGAGCTCTGCAAAACCAGGGTGATCTGCCATAAAAGGGATGATATGTAAGTAAGGAGAATTCATTTTTAAATCCCGTACTGATTCATCTCAGAGAGTTTTGTCCCCTTTATAGTAGTCCCTTTGGGGTGTTTGACATTTATGGTAATGATGCTGTCTTGCTCAGAGCATTGTTGCCCCTCTTAAGGGGGCACATTCATAACTTAAGATACCTCATGTATTCTCAGTGATGACAAACCTTTGTCCAAAGGTTTAAAAAGGTTAAAGGTTTAAAGATTAAAAGATCCAAATGTCAGCAGAAGCCCAGTCAGGTGAATGAAACTCAAGGTTTACAATGTCATTTCTGTGCAAAGCTAACAAGTAACTACAGGGCATTGGATACTTTTTTGGTTGGCTCGTTGGTTAATTTTGTATTTTAAAATGAGGTAGCCCTCTAAACTAACAAAACTATTTTTCTTGTATGACACAAAAATTATCTCTGAAACCTAGTCTGTGCCAGGACAGGTCAATGGCAGCATCCTTCCTGTGCCTCCCCCATCCTAGCACTTACCAGCCCTCATGTCAGCCACATGTTTAACAGCTGGCTCCTCCAATAGACTGGACATTTCAAAAGCATGGAGACCCTAGAAGCTGTCTCACCATACCCCCCAATGCAGTGCCTTTGTTTTTATTTATGAACAATCATTAAAGAGTGAGTCAATGAATGAGTAAGTCAACCAATGGACTGATCATGTCGACTGATTTGAAAACTGACCTGACCATATCTTGAGTATATCTGGCCTAGTATTTCCACTACAGTTTAATTTGTTTGGTATGATGGCCCATACATGGAATTCTGTGCAGTAACTGAAAAGTAGCAACACCATATGTAGAGGTAACAGGTTTTCTGTGGATTTTTTTTTTCTGCCTTTTAATTACCATTAATACTTCTTGGCTACCATTCTTGAGTTCTCTAAGTAGACAGTTTCATCTATCATAAAAAGAAATCTTACTTTTCTATATTTGCCTCTTTTATTTTTTCCTTTCTCTATACTTTCTCTATTTCTGCTACACATCCCACTAAGATAAGTAACAAGGTAGCCTGGACCCCTCAGTCTTGTCACTTTCAACTTTTCTACTAAATGTAATGGTAACTCTTGGGCTAAGTATATAGTGTTTATGGTGGCCATTAATAAATTTGTCTTTAATACACTTTTAGAGTTTTACTGATGAATGGATTCTGAGTGTTATTGGATTTCTTCTCATTATCTTTTAAGCTAGTGATATGCACTGTTTTATGTTACTGGCTACTGTGAGGAAGTAGCCAAGATCTACTATGTATTTTGCTGCAATGAAAATAATAGTATGTACTCTCCAGATTACTGTGAAGTTGGGAGAAAACTGACAAGCAGATCACCTGAAAGTGCTGGTTACGTGGTAGATGCCGGTGAAAGATTCCCATTGCCTTTCTTGGATTTCGCTTAGCTCTAGAGAACTGTGTCAGCTCCTCCCCATGCATCTGGGCACATTCTGTCCCCAGGTCCTGCCCCTGCTTAGGTATTGTCTTTGCATTTCCATTTCCTGGTTTGGCATATCTCTGGGTCCTGGGGTTCCTCATCTTCCTTCATCCCTGGCTCAGAGTTGGCTTCTTTTCAGACTGTGGCTCTGGCTCTGGCTCTGGCTCTGGCCGTGCTGGGACTTAGCTCCTCCTCTGCTTACATACAGGCCCTTCCCCCAACCCCACTCCCACACTACCTTCCTGCCCCCAGCCATGGATCTCCCTAGAACTCTCCACCGCCACACCTCTGTGCTGCTGCCACTTGACATCAGACACCAAGAGTGGCTTCTTGCCAGACATGCCTACTGGGTTTAAACCCTCGGGTTTGACAATAAAAAAGAGAGAGGAATTGTTTACAACAAGAAGTTAGGCCAAAAAATGAATTTTAGAAATTAATTTGAGATTGATGATGGCACCCCCATAAAACCATTCCTTAGGAAATCTGAACAAAATGAGTGAAAACTCACTAGTTGTTCTCATTGAGGCTGGGCCCCAGGATTCTGACCTTGATTCAGGATCAGGGGATCGTGATCTTGATTCAGGATCAGGAAATTCACTTCTGTGGGGGTGCCCTGGTCCGTCCTGACTTCCAGCTGACTGTGGGCCAGCTGCTTCCACAGCAGGAGAAATGTCCTCCGTGATGCTGGGGGCCCACGACCTGAGGTGGGGGGAGAGATTCCAGCAGATGTGTTCCATACGGACCATCCGTGAGAATGGCTGACCCCCACCTGGATGACTTGCTGCTGCAGCTGGACTGTGAAGCTGACCTCCCCAGCGGTGTGGTGCTGGGGTCGCTGCACCTGCAGAATGCCACAGTGGGAGCATGCACCAGCTGCCAGGTGGCTGCTAGGGGGACCCAACAGAGAGGGAGGCACCTCTCATGCTTCCCAGGGGTTGTCAATGTGAGGGTGACCCCCGAGGTGGAAAAATTCATTAAAAATGAATGATTTCTCAAAACCACTACAGGCAACTCCCAGGTACAAAGCCTAATTGAATGCCACTTTTTAAGAACCAATTTAGCCCTGAGTTAGAGGTGGTGGAAATCTTCATTCTACTTGCAAATCAGCTGCGGTGCTTTAGCCAACTTCTGCAGTGTTCTACGTTCTATTAAAGCTTACACTGAAAATGCTTAGTTAACAAACGCACTTTATCAATACAATAAAGTGTTCACCTACTATTTTTAGGCAACAGCTAGGCAACCCACTGTGTTTCCTTCATCATTTTAGCTACTGAGCTGTTAGAAGTCTGTATTATAGTAAAAAAACAAACAAAACAAAACAAAAAAACTTATTTTTTACTCAGGTTTCTGATATAACCATTTTATATCCCTCCTCTTTTACCTTCTTGGTCTTGTCATTTTATTCTTGCATTATTATGTAAAAACAAACAATCTTGTCATTTTATTCTTGCATTATTATGTAAAAACAAACAATGACTTGGGGTCTTCATTGTGTTGCTTTTGTAGATACTGTTTTTAAAAAGAAGGAAAAAAGTAATTTTCCCTTTTTCTTTCCTTATAGAAAGGCTAGCAAAGCCTTAGGATTTGAGTTCCAAAGTTTACTGTCTTTAGGGGAGTTTGCAATTATTTTTGTATTTCAAGGACTAAAGCTCTAAATAACCCACCCACCCCACTGCTGTGCTGCCCCAAAGCTGTGTTTGGAAATGCTCAGCACTTTTGAAAAAGGCAAAAAAGTAGATGAGCATCTGGACTGGAGACTTGTGCTTTGACCGATAAGGAGAAAAGACAGAGTAAGTGGTATTGCATTTCCAAGCCCTCAGAACTGGGAGACAAGAGAGGGGACTATGGGTAGTAGACACCGGTAAACACCTGTAGACTCCAGTAACCCCTCCTGCATAGCACCCCAAAGGTGGTAGGTCCTCAGATAAAGGTGACTGTATGCATACCAAGTGCCTTGGTCCTGTCAACTGAAGAATGACCAGGCTCATAGATTTGGAAAGGAGAGCTTTATTACTCATAAAGGGTTGCAGCCTGACAGGTGGCCATTCTAACAGGCTGGGAAAGCGTAGCTTCTGGCAGAAGCCAGAAACAGACAGACATCTGGAAGGCGGGGGCAAAGGGAACAGGAACAGAGTGGCTAAAACATGCACATGTGCAATTGAGCTTCACGCCCCTTCATGAGTCACATGTGCAAAAAATGGCAGCATTAGCATGATCTAAGGGTGGAGTTTCTGGCCATTTGACATTAAAAAGTGAAGCAGAGAACACGATAATCATCACTGTGCCTCCTCCATAGACTAGACAGAACTAATCTGGGGTTGGAGATCACTTATCAGGAAGGAATGCTGGCTGGTTGTTGTGTTGTCAAAACCACAAAGTGGAGGGGCAGCATTAGGCAGCTGGTGGGTATCAGCTTGAGTCTTCCCAAAGGGCTGGTTTCTGTTAAACCCTTAGGGAAGGAAGTCTAATAGTGGTTAGCCAACGAGGGAGTTTAAGGAGGCATGTTCAACCTCCCATCCCACCGTGGCTGGGAACTCAGCTTCCAAGGTTTCCCTGGGGTCTTCTTGGCCAAGAGGGGGTCTGTTCAGTCTGTAGGGGGACTGAGAATTTTTTTTGTTCTCATCCTGAAAAATAGCAGTGTCTACATGGTAAAGCCTGGCATGAAAGAACAAGCTGTTGTAGGGGTATCTCTGCAATCCTCATTAAACATCAGAGCCCACGAGACAGGTTGGATTATTTCTGAAGCTAATCATAGAGTAACACAGTCCATCAACTGGGAACCAGACTCTTTCCTGTGTTGCTGGAACAGAGTTCTATAAGCTAACAGAGGTAAGGAAAATACACAAATTAATATTTGATTTTGTATGTCTTACAAAATCTTGCTCAAAGACAGATTTTACTTGCTATTTGGAAAAAGAAAAACTAAGATTTCTTTCATTCAAGTGGTTCAGCAATTCACACTTATATAACTGGATTTATCTTTTATTTTATGCACACTATATGATATTGTAAATTACCATACAATCCTTTTAGGACATACATAAACTGTAAATAAGTAGAAGATAAGCAAGTTTGAATGCTTTACTTGTATCTCCCCAGAATTTCTAAGGCATTCAGTTTATCAGGCTTTGACTTGCAAATATAATGCATGGTTCAACTTCTTGATCTGAGGGACAAAACTTCACTCAGGCAGAGGGATAACAAAGCTTCAGCTTTCCATTTCTATCATTGCCTCTTTACTCAATATTTTCTCAAAAAGGGGAGGTCCCAAGATGGCCGAATAAGAACAGCTCCAGTCTACAGCTCCCAGCATGAGCAATGCAGAAGACAGGTGATTTATGCATTTCCAGCTGAGGTACTGGGTTCATCTCACTGGGGCTTCTCAGACAGTGGGTGCAGCCCACGGAGTGTGAGCCGAAGCAGAGCGGGGCATTGCCTCACCCGGGAAGCTCAAGGGGTCGGGGAATTCCCTTTCCTAGCCAAGGGAAGCCGTGACAGATGGTATCTGGAAAATTGGGACATTCCCAGCCTAATACTGCATTTTTCCAATGGTCTCAGCAAACACCACACCAGGAGATTATATCCCATGCCTGGCTCAGATGGTCCCATGCCCACAGAGCCTCACTCACTGCTAGCACAGCAGTCTGAGATTGAACTGCAAGGCAGCAGCGAGGCTTGGGGAGGCGGGTCCGCCATTGCTGAGTCTTGAGTAGGTAAACAAAGTGGCCAGGAAGCTTGAACAGGGTGGAGACCACCCCAGCTCAAGGAGGCCTGCTTGCCTCTGTAGACTCCACCTCTGTGGGCAGGGCATAGCTGAACAAAAGGCAGCAGAAACTTCTGCAGACTTAAACGTCCCTGTCTGACAGCTTTGAAGAGAGTAGTGGTGCTCCCAGCACAGAGTTTGAGTTCTAAGAATGGACAGACTGCCTCCTAAAGTGAGTCCCTGACCCCCGAGTAGCCTAACTGGGAGACACCTCCCTACTGGACACCTCATACATCCAGGTGCCCCTCAGAGACGAAGCTTCCAAAGGAAGGATCAGACAGCAACATTTGCCATTCTGCAATATTTGCTGCTCTGCAGACTCGGCTGGTGATACCCAGGCAAACAGGGTCTGGAGTGGACTCCAGCAAACTCCAACAGACCTGCAGCTGAGGGTCCTGACTGTTAGAAGAAAAACTAACAAACAGAAAGGACATCCACACCAAAACCCCATCTGTACATCAGCATCATCAAAGACCAAAGGTAGATAAAACCACAAAGATGGGGAGAAACCAGAGCAGAAAAGCTGAAAATTATAAAAATCAGAGTGCCTCTTCTCCTCCAAAGGAACGCAGCTCCTTGCCAGCAATGGAACAAAGCTGGACAGAGAATGACTTTGACGAGTTGAGAGAAGACGGCTTCACACAATCGGTAATAACAAACTTCTCCAAGCTAAAGGAGGATGTTCAAACCCATTGCAAGGAAGCTAAAAACCTTGGAAAAAGATTAGACCAATGGCTAACTAGAATAAACAGCATAGAGAGGACCTTAAATGACCTGATGGATCTGAAAACCATGGCACAAGAACTACGTGACGCATGCACAAGCTTCAGTAGCCGATTCCATCAAGTGGCAGAAAGGGTATCAGTGATTGAAGATCAAATGAATGAAATGAAGCCAGAAGAGAAGTTTAGAGAAAAAAGAGTAAAAAGAAATGAACAAAGCCTCCAAGAAATATGGGACTATGTGAAAAGACCAAATCTACATCTGATTAGTGTACCTGAAAGTGATGGGGAGAATGGAACCAAGTTGGAAAACATTCTTCAGGATAGTATCCAGGAGAATTTCCCCAACCTAGCAAGGCAGGCCAACATTCAAATTCAGGAAATACAGAGAACGCCCCAAAGATACTCCTCGAGAAGAGCAACTCCAAGACACATAATTGTCAGATTCACCAAAGTTGAAATGAAGGAAAAACTGTTAAGGGCAGCCAGAGAGAAAGGTCTGGTGACCCACAAAGGGAAGCCCATCAGACTAACAGTGGATCTCTCGGGAGAAACTCTACAAGCCAGAAGAGAGTGGGGGCCAATATTCGACATTCTTAAAGAAAAGAATTTTCAACCCAGAATTTCATACCCAGCCAAACTAAGCTTCATAAGTGAAGGAGAAATAAAATCCTTTACAGACAAACAAATGCTGAGAGATTTTGTCACCACCAGGCCTGCCTTACAAGAGCTCCTGAAGGAAGCACTAAACATGGAAAGGAACAACCAGTACCAGCCACTGCAAAAACATGCCAAATTGTAAAGAACATCAATGCTAGGAAGAAACTACATGAACTAACGAGCAAAATAAACAGCTAACATCATAATGACAGGATCAAATTCACACATAACAATATTAACCTTAAATGTAAATGGATTAAATGCTGCAATTAAAAGACACAGACTGGCAAATTGAATAAAGAGTCAAGACCCATCAGTGTGCTGTATTCAGGAAACCCATCTCACGTGCAGAGACACACAGAGGCTCAAAATAAAGGGATGGAGGAAGATCTACCAAGCAAATGGAAAACAAAAAAAGCAGGGGTTGCAATCCTAGTCTCTGATAAAACAGACTTTAAACCAACAAAGATCAAAAGAGACAAAGAAGGCCATTACCTAATGCTAAAGGGATCAATTCAACAAGAAGAGCTAACTATCCTAAATATATATGCAGCCAATACAGAAGCACACAGATTCATAAAGCAAGTCCTTAGAGACCTACAAAGAGACTTAGACTCCCACACAATAATAATGGGAGATTTTAACACCCCACTGTCAACATTAGACAGATCAACGAGACAGAAAGTTAACAAGGATATCCAGGAATTGAATTCAGCTCTGCAGCAAGCAGACTTAATAGACATCTACAGAACTCTCCACCCCAAATCAACAGAATATACATTCTTCTCAGGACCACATTGCATTTATTCCAAAATTGACCACATAGTTGGAAGTTGGAAGTAAAGCACTCCTCAGCAAATGTAAAAGAACAGAAATCACAACAAACGGTCTCTCAGACCACAGTGCAATCAAACTAGAATTCAGGATTAAGAAACTCACTCAAAACCACTCAACTACATGGAAACTAAACAACCTGCTCATGATTGACTACTGGGTACATAACAAAATGAAGGCAGAAATAAAGATGTTCTTTGAAACCAATGAGAACAAAGACACAAATATACTAGAATCTCTGGGACACATTTAAAGCAGTGTGTAGAGGGAAATTTATAGCACTAAATGCCCACAAGAGAAAGCAGGAAAGATCTAAAATTGACACCCTAACATCACAATTAAAAGAACTAGAGAAGCAAGAGCAAACAAATTGAAAAGCTAGCAGAAGGCAAGAAATAACTAAGATCAGAGCAGAACTGAAGGAGATAGAGACACAAAAAACCCTTCAAAAAATCAGTGAATCCAGGAGCTGGTTTTTTGAAAAGATCAACAAAATTGATAGACCGCTAGCAAGACTAATAAAGAAGAAAAGAGAGAAGAATCAAATAGACACAATAAAAAATGATAATGGGGATATCACCACCGATCCCACAGAAATACAAACTACCATCAGAGAATACCATAAAAACCTCTATGCAAATAAACTAGAAAATCTAGAAGAAATGGATAAATTCCTGGACACATACACCCTCCCAAGGCTAAACCAGGAAGAAGTTGAATCCCTGAATAGACCAATAACAGGCTCTAAAATTGAGGCAATAATTAATAGCCTACCAACCAAAAAAAGTCCAGGACCAGATGCATTCACAGCTGAATTCTACCAGAGGTACAAAGAGGAGCTGGTACCATTCCTTCTGAAATTATTCCAATCAATAGAAAAAGAGGGAATCCTCCCTAACTCATGTTATGAGGCCAGCATCATCCTGATACCAAAGCCTGGCAGAGATACAACAAAAAAAGAGAATTTTAGACCAATATCCCTGATGAACATCGATGCAAAATTCCTCAATAAAATACTGGCAAACCGAATCCAGCAGCACATCAAAAAGCTTATCCACCATGATCAAGTTGGCTTCATCCCTGGGATGCAAGGCTGGTTCAACATACACAAATAAATAAATGTAATCCATGATATAAACAGAACCAAAGACAAAAACTACATGATTATCTTAATAGATGCAGAAAAGGCCTTCGACAAAATTCAACAGCCCTTCATGCTAAGAACTCTCAATAAATTAGGTATTGATGGGACGTATCTCAAAATAATAAGAGCTATTTATGCCAAACCCATAGCCAATATCATACTGAATGGGCAAAAAACTGGAAGCATTCCCGTTGAAAACTGGCACAAGACAAGGATGCCCTCTGTCACCACTCCTATTTAACGTAGTGTTGGAAGTTCTGGCCAGGGCAATCAGGCAGGAGAAAGAAATAAAGGGTATTCAATTAGGAAAAGAGGAAGTCAAATTGTCCCTGTTTTTAGATGATGTGACTGTATATTTAGAAAACCCCATTGTCTCAGCCTAAAATCTCCTTAAGCTGATAGGCAACTTCAGCAAATTCTCAGGATACAAAATCAGTGTGCAAAAATCACAAGCATTCCTATACACCAATAATAGACTGAGAGCCAAATCATGAGTGAACTCCCATTCACAACTGCTTCAAAGAGAATAAAATACCTAGGAATCCAACTTACAAGGGATGTGAAGGACCTCTTCAAGGAGAACTACAAACCACTACTCAACGAAATAAAAGGACACAAACAAATGGAAGAACATTCCATGCTCATGGATAGGAAGAATCAATATTGTGAAAATGGCCACACTGCCCAAGGTAATTTATAGATTCAATGCCATCCCCATCAAGCTACCAATGACTCTCTTCACAGAATTGGAAAAAACTGCTTTAAAGTTCATATGGAACCAAAAAAGAGCCCACATTGCCAAGACAATCCTAAGCCAGAAGAACAAAGCTGGAGGCATCATACTACCTGACTTCAAACTTTACTACAAGGCTACTGTCACCAAAACAGCATGGTACCGGTACCAAAACAGAGATATAGACCAATGGAACAGAACAGAGCCCCCAGAAATAATACCACACATCTACAACCATCTGATCTTTGACAAACCTGACAAAAACGAGAAATGGGGAAAGGATCCCCTATTTAATAAATGGTACTGGGAAAACTGGCTAGCCATATGTAGAAAGCTGAAACTGGATTCCTTCCTTACACCTTATACAAAAATTAATTCAAGATGGATTAAAGATTTAAATGGTAGACCTAAAACCATAAAAACCCTAGAAGAAAACCTAGGCAATACTATTCAGGACATAGGCATGGGCAAGGACTTCATGACGAAAACACCAAAAGCAATGGCAACAAAAGCCAAAGTAGGAAAATGGGATCTAATTAAACTAAAGAGCTTCTGCACAGCAAAAGAAACTACCATCAGAGTGAACAGGCAACCTACAGAATGGGAAAAAATTTTTGCAATCTATCCATCTGACAAAGGGCTAATATCCAGAATCTAAAAAGAACTTAAAACACATTTACAAGAAAAAAAAAACCCATCAAAAATTGGGAAAGGATATGAACAGACACTTCTCAAAAGAAGACATTTATGCAGCCAACAGACACATGAAAAAATGCTCATCATCACTCACTGGCCATCAGAGAAATGCAAATCAAATCCACAATGAGATACCATCTCACACCAGTTAAAATGGCAATCATTAAAAAGTCAGGAAACAACAGGTGCTGGAGAGGATGTGGAGAAATAGGAACATTTTTACACTGTTGGTGGGACTGTAAACTAGTTCAACCATTGTGGAAGACAGTGCAGCAAGTCCTCAAGGATCTAGAACTAGAAATACCATTTAACCCAGCGATCCCATTACTGGGTATATACCCAAAGAATTATAAATCGTGCTGCTATAAAGACACATGCATATGTATGTTTATTGCGGCACTATTCACAATAGCAAAGACTTGGAACCAACCCAAATGTCCATCAACGATAGACTGGATTAAGCAAATGTGGCACATATACACCATGGAATACTATGCAGCCATAAAAAAGGATGAGTTCATGTCCTTTGTAGGGACATGGATGAAGATGGAAACCATCATTCTCAGCAAACTATCGCAAGGACAGAAAACCAAACACCGCATGTTCTCACTCATAGGTGGGAATTGAACAATGAGAATACTTGGACACGGGGTGGGGAACATCACACACCGGGGCCTGTTGTGGGGTGGGTGGAGTGGGAAGGGATAGCATTAGGAGATATACCTAATGTAAATGATGAGTTAATGGGTGCAGCACACCAACATGGCACATGTATACATATGTAACAAACCTGCACGTTGTGCACATGTACCCTAGAACTTAAAGTATAATTTTAAAAAAACTGGGAAAAATATATATATATATTTTCTCATTATCCTAGTGTTTTCCAGAATTCACTCTTCTACTTTTACTTTTGTATTTGGGTTAAGACATATGTAATTTCTTATAGTATCAACTTTGCCCAAAAAGAAAACAAAAGGGAAGACTTTATCCTTTTCAAATTTGGTCCTTGTTCTTTCAGTTAATTGATTTGTAAGACAGTTTTATGATGGGCAATATCTGAAACAGGACAGTTTCCAGAATTTATGGTGGATCAAGACACAGGTAAGTCAGTCAGTTTAATTGTACCAAGTATATCAATAATGTACCCAAAAGATTATTGTGTGTAAAAGTTAGTCTTATCAGACTTCCTGTTACGCTTTGAGAGAAAAACCAAACGTAGCAAAGAATACCAAGTGATGTCCCCTATGAACTCATCACTATTCGAGGTCTAGTCCAGAGCCCTGCAACCCAATCAATCAGAACATGAGGAGCAGACGCTTCTCTCCTTGGAGAACTCATGTTAATTGGACCCTCAATTATTGATGCATAATAACCAGGATGGCAATGTATTTGTTTACAATGAAAGATGTAGAAAACAGCAGACTGAATCCTCTTGTTTGTTCGTTTGCTACCCTGTAGACAAATCTACAAGGAAAGCCAAATTATTATCAGAAAGAAGTTTGAGGAGATGAAAGTCAAGCAAGGAGAGCAAGTTGGGCAATCTTAACAGCTGCTGCCATCAAGCCAGACTTGGGAACTCCAGTCGAGTCCCCAGGGCTGTGCTGGAAGCATTAGCCAGTGTTTATTTAAGTGGCATTCTTTGCTATGCACTCACAGATCCTAATGAGTACATCATACTTCCTAATGTATGACGTGAAAGTATTATTTCACTTATTTTATTTTACATTATTTTATTATTTTACATTACAATAAGTATTTCAATTATTTTATATTAGAAAGTAAAACAAATTTTACTTCTGAGATATAACTGAAAGCATTGTGAATACCTGACAATTTTTTTTTTAATATGCCACAACATATATTAGGGCATCCTGCTGCCACAGGATCCCAGTACCATGACAGGGCCAGAAGTCCTCTCACCTACTAGAGCCCACATGAGACAAAATTAGCATTACAACTTTGATAACTGGCTGGCCATCAGGTGTGTGGCATGTCCTTCTGACCCTGCTCTGGCTTCTGGGAATCTATGCCTTCCGATGTACTCATTGTCAGCTTGGACAAAATTTATTCTAATCTTTGTTTCCCATGGGCACAAAAAGACTTTTTCTTGTCCGGCTCCCCAGTGGCCCTGCTTCCTGTGGATATCCATTCGACTTCTGTTCCTTCTCCATTCATTTGACCAGCTGTGTCCTTGATGTATCTTTTACATTCAGGTTTCATCTCCATATCACCTGCCCTCTGAATGCCACCACCTTTTTTCTGCTTTGTCCATCTGAAGTTGTAGAATTTTACATAAACCTGATGACAGCAATATTTTTTGTTGAGCATCTTTATGTTTTCTGTTACTAAAGTAGTAAAATTTATAGTTGACCATACAATGAAATTTTTAATTAAATTACTAAAAGAATAGTTTTGGCTTGTTTTAACCTTAGCAATTTCTACTACAATGTTTCGCAGGCTTAACACTTACAGTAAATGATAAACACAATAACAGAATATTTATGAAATACGACCTTTCCTGAAAGTGTATGGTTTTACATTTCTTATTTGTTAAAACCTACAGGATATAGGTTTTAATTACTATATAATTATTATATGGTAATTAATAATTACTACATGGGATATAATTACTAGTGAAACATAAGATAAAAGAGGCTGATCATTACTGTCCAAAGGCATACACATGTAGAACAATATATCTTTAATTACTTTAACAATAATTTTACTACAGAGGCAAAATAAAGGCAGAATCTATATCATCCCCTCTGAAAAATATTAAATGTTAGCCATGTTCATTTATATGATATACTTAAAATGATTGTTATTAAGCAACCAAATATCCATTAGATTGTTTATATTCCTAATGAACTATATTTTTCAAAATGATATGTGACCATAATAATATTATCATAAAATGACTAAAAATCCCATAATTCTTAAGTGAAACTAAGTATACTCTAATCCACCAATGTTGGTATTTGGAATGGGTCATTTGTCTGATACTTGTTGTGATTCACAGCTAAGTAAGAATGGAGATTCAACGGGAATTTGGAAAGAAAATCATTAATTTAATTAGCATGTAGTAGCTTCAACAGCTTCTTTCTGACCCACATCCTTGTTCTTTGGGTATATGAACATCTTAAATAATGCTACCTTCAGAGTAACTTTCACCTGACAGGCATCTATCTCAGAAAAGTATGATGTTAAATGGGATCCCTGCTTACATAATTTAAACTCTTTAGGAGCAATCCTATTTCTCTATGCCAGTTTTATGGGATAAGAAGAAGGGGAGAGGGCCAGGCGCAGTGACTGACGCCTGTAATCCCAGCACTTTTGGGAGGCCAAGGCGGGCGGATCACTTGAGGTCAGGAGTTTGAGACCATCCTGGCCAACATGGTGAAACCCTGTCTCTACTAAAAATACACAAATTAGCTGGGCGTGGTGGTGCGCGCCTGTAGTCCCAGCTATTCGGCAGGCTGAGGCAGGAGAATCGCGTGAACCTGGGAGGCAGAGGTTGCAGTGAGCCAAGATCACGCCATTGCACTCCAGCCTGGGCGACAGAGCGAGACTCCGTCTCAAAAAAAAAAAGAAAGGGAGAAAAGGAACACTTTTATCATTAGTCACATGTTTACTGCCGGTAACCTGTACTAGTTTTTGTTTTTATTTTGTTCTCCCCCCACACTCCTCCCCCACCATTTTCCCTACAGATCCACACACCACGCTTTTTTATGTGCAATCAACACCGGAAAGTTGGATAGGAAGTGAAAGATACCAACAGGCCCCATGACCCCTGGCTTCTGGTTGGGTTCGGCCGGGGACAGTAAAGTTCTGGTGGTTATTCCCCCAGCTCCCTCCCTACAGGGTCACCACAGGCAGGCTGCCCTTCAGTGCTGTGAGGCAGCGCTCTCTGCAGTTACCCTCTCTGTCTCCAGGATCATAACCGCTGGCTCCCTTCAGGTGTGTGTGGTAAAAGCTCAGGATGGTGCTAGCTCCGGGGTACCATTGGTAGACTACTTCCTGGCACCTTCGTCTGTACTGTGGTCCCAGTATGTCTGCTCAAATTACCCAGTAGGAGTGTCCCATCCATTTCTTCCTGGGACCCTGCCACAAAGATTATCTTCACCATCAGACAAATTATCTTCATAGGACCCCTTCCAAAGCAATGAAATGAGGATTCCATTACAAGACTCTGCTGAACCTGTGTGTGCTACAATAGTGAGGTTAACACTTCAGTTTTTAAAGTGTAGGAATTTAGAAAGAAATTCCAATTCCAAAAGACAATCACTCAACTTCTTCATCCAAACTGTAATTAAACTTTGAAATAATTCTCCTCTTTGACATATATAATCATACCTTTCTAACAGAAAAGTCAGATTAAGTGTTTTAGACCTAATATCCTAACTAAAAGTGAAAAAGTTTCTAAATTAAGACATGAAGGCTTTAAAATAGACAAGAACACCCTGAATTGCCTTTCTCTTATCAATGTTTTGCATTATCACTCCTAATAATAATAATATTAAAAATAATAACAGGTAACAATTATTGAATGCTTAGTATGTGTGAGGACTGTTTCAGGTGCTTTTTGCATATTATGTCATTCAATGCCCTCAATAAATCTATGATGTAAGGACTGGTATTACCCTTGTTTTACAAATGAAGAAATAAAGTATGAAAGATTAAATAACTTGCCCAAAGTAGTTTTCTTTATGCTGCTGCCTTCATGGGTTTTAGAATATAATAAACAGTTATTTCTGTCCAGAAAAATCACATGTACAAATACTTATCTTTAATTAAAGACCATTTTTATTACCACCTCCACATTGCTAACAGATTTCATCCATAGACCTAGATGATATAATCATTGAGTTTTCTATTTTTTCAACTTGAAAATTTGTTCTGAATTATAAATTTGTAATTCTGAGAACTTCGGCAACGATGTTTATAATCCTGAACATTTCTTTCAAGAAATGTCCACATGTATTTGCATGTTGGAGCTATTGCTGGCAAAATAGGAAAATCATTGTGTTTAAGTATTATGTTCTTAAACATCATTTCAAAGTTAAACTAATGAAAAGATTAGTATTATCTTAACTGATGTAAAAAATCATCTTGCTTAAAACTAATTTGGGCAACCAATGTACAAAAAGGCTTGACAGTGGCATCTGGTCAAGTATGTTACAGGAGTACCAAAAAGGAATATACTGAGGGTATGAATCTTTAAAAAACTGAACTGTGAATACATGTCTCTTTAATACATTTCTGTATTTTAACCTAGTCTGTCATATTGCAGTCAGAGGTCCAAGGAGCATTTCTACTTCTATGTAACTGTAGAAACACAATAAACCTGCTTTTCTGGCCCATTTCAGGGAAGCTGTGAGCCACAGATTGCAACTTGGAAGCCAGATCATGACCAATAGCTCAGCTGCCTGGTGATGAGATTAAAGGTGTACAATCATATTTTATGTTTCTATGTTGTGTCTGTCACTGAAACGAAATCTTTCTGCCAAAAAGTTCTTGCTACGAAAAGAAAAAGAGTTAACTCTATATTCTAAGTTGCAATTAAGTCTCAAATAGCATAAATAATAGTTTTTAAATCTCTTCTATGTCATCAAAATATTAAATAAAGGCAACAAATTTGTTTTCAATCCAACATTTGGTCACAATGTAAGTCTGATGACACTGTTTTGAACAAATACATTTATCATGACCATAGATGCAAAGGAATAACTTGCTCAGAAAGAAGAAAGCTAGAGTACCAGAAAGGATCTTAAGGATTATCTACTTTAGAAAGGTGAGGTCAATAAAGATGAAACAATTTGAACATTCATTAATGGAGTGATGTTGTTTCTCATATTGATAACTACAATCACTTCTTGTTTTCATTCAGCCTTCAAAATCTTCTGGCTCTTAGGGCATTTCACTAAACTGAGACACTAAAACCCCAGTGCTTAAAAACCCAAACCTACATTAGCATGTATATGTGGCCTTTTCAGTCTCTCTCAATATTTTACCTAATATATATTGGTTACAATTAATATGTAAAGCCTCATTTAAACTAATGAATGATTATCCTCCCCAATTTTCAACACACAAGTTCCCCAATTAATAATATGTTCTTTGTTCATCTCTATTTAACAACAATAGTCTCTATTCCATCTTTAGCCTGGAATATAATGAGCTTTCATTCAGAGGTTTCAAGGACGTGAACTTATTTATACTAATAATGCCTCTGTGTGAAGAAAATGTTTTATTGCCTCCATATTTCACCAATGATAGCTGTAGAGCCAGTGCTGCTGACTTCTTCGAGGCCATGCCAAGGATCATCAGCCAAATCTAGGGAGCCAGAATTCTCAGTCCCAGCTCTCAATTAATCTATGATTTGGATAATAATATCAAAACTGTGTTAGTATTAGATGAATCAGAGTTGCTCAACCCATCACCCGTTCTTTACCACTCATTATTGAAAAACTGTGAACTAGCACTTTATGGGTATTTGGTAAATCTGTTGAATGTACAATTAATTAATCTCTTAGTCACTAATCTCGTTTCTGTGCTTTTGTTCTGTTCCTTAAATACCTTTCACATTTGTATCCAAAATAGATAGATGAACAGTAGGCGTTTAATCCGTTTTTGCAGTGAAAAAAAGTGAATGCTTGATACAACTTAATGAAATGCCACCATAGAAAAAAAGTCTATGAAGCCACAAAGTGAATTCAACAAGTTAGCAGCTACATCTAAAGTGGGAAGAAGAGAGAAAGGAAGCCTGCAGAGTGGCTTTAATTACATACGTAAGTTTTGTATTCCATTAAAAAATTGGAGATCAGAAACAATACAGTAAATCCTCCCAATTTGATTGATGGGCTCTCTTGATATCTGTTGCATTATTTTCTGAGATTTGAAATATTTCATATTTTAAGATTTTAGTAAAGCAATGTTTCTAAATGTGAGTAATTGGGGAACAACTTTTAAAGAAAAAAAATCACAAAGCTTCAAAATATATCTGCAGACCCAATTTGAGAAAAACTGAAATAAAGTGTTTACTGGAGGAAGAAAATTAAAACAGAATTTTTTCTTCTCTATGTTTTGCTAATTTTGCCATGTGCTTGGAGTTCAGAAGAACAGAAAGTACGTCCCCATTGAATATCTGTACTTTGAGGGCTTGACTAGTACCTTATTTTCACTTACTCTGTTCTTTCACTTACTCTTTTCAGGTCTTCCAGTCCTTTTGTGAGCTCATTACTAATCTGAATTTGTTCAATGTCTTTAAAAAATTATAAGTATAAACAAGAATAGGCCAGGCATGGTGACTCACGCCTGTAATCCCAGCACTTTGGGAGGCGGAGGCGGGCGGATCACGAGGTCAGGAGATCAAGACCATCCTGGCTAACATGGTGAAACCCTGTCTCCACTAAAAATAAAAAAAAAAAAAAAGTAGCTGGGCGTGGTGGCAGGTGCCTGTAGTCCCAGCTACTCGGGAGGCTGAGGCAGGAGAACGGCGTGAACCGGGAGGCGAGCTTGCAGTGAACCGAGACCGCGCCACTGCACTCCACCCTGGGTGACAGAGCAAGACTCCGTCTCAAAAAAAAAAAAAAAAAAACAACAAAAAAACAAGAATAGGACATGCAGGAACAATGAACCTAAGGTTTTATTGTGTTTAACATTTTAGTTGTGGTATTTTGGGATTTCTAATATATACCCAAAATGAAAAGAAAGAGAAAAACATACAGTGAGTGAGTTATGGTGAATTATATTGAAGGTTGAAAACTTTCATTTACTTGAATGCTGAAAATGGTTTTATAAACAAGTGAACTCAGTGTACTCACAATAACCCTCAAACAATACTCTCACTGGTTAGACCTTAGTTTTAGAATAATTCACATAGCTGTAGTTGGCATCATTCTCAAGATGAGGAAAATAAAGCCTAAGGAGGTTAAGTTCTGCACCTGGGAGGCCAGGAAATAGCATGAATACTACAATTCGTCTTTCTGATCCTGGGGCAGACATCAGTAATCAATCATCAGATTCTTTGACATATGAAATAAACCTAGTTAGTGGCCGGGTGCAGTGGCTCACACCTGTAATCCCAGCACATTGGGAGACTGAGGTGGGCAGATCACTCGAGGTCAGGAGTTCGAGACCAGCCTGGCCAACATGTTGAAACCCTGTCTCTACTAAAAATACGAAAACTAGCTAGGCGTGGTGGCCAGTGCCTGTAATCCCAGCTACTCATGAGCTGAGGCAGGGGAATCGCTTGAACCTGGGAGGTGGAGGGGGCAGTGAGCCGAGATCATGCCACTGCACTCCAGCCTGGGCAACAGAGCGAGACTCCAGCCTGGGTGACAGAGTGAGACTCCATCTCAAAAAAAAAAAATCAATTTAATTGAATTTAATTTAAAAAATAAATAAATAAACCTAGTTAGTAAGCCAATTCTAGACCAAGAACACATAATGGTCAGGAGATAACAAGGAAGCCAGATTACCAGCCCATCACCACTTGCACCCAGCCAGATCTATCACTACTGCTTCTTATTTTGACATCCTTTTCCACATGACTTCATTCTCATAAATGCTCTTCTTCAAGAAAAATAAGCCATTTATCCAGTGGATGACTAAAGCCACTCTCTTTTCCTAGTGACACTTTGCGGTTGATGATGACTGAGAATCCTGTCTTCATACTTGATTCTCCCCATGACCTCAAATGGTTGATGCAAACGTCTCTGCTTACTCTCCTGGGGCCTGGTGCTCCAGGCAGGCTCTTGCTTTCTCTGGCTTGCCCTACTGCCTAAAGCCATCTGTCTAAACATGGAATCCCTCAGCCCACATTCCCTCATTGCTCATGTTCTGCCCCTCTCATCTGTCTGCGGCTTTGGGCTTGGCAAACAACAGGGAAACTCCTTGTGTCTTTACCTGTATTCTGAATAGCATTTAACCATGGAAAACTAGAAGTTTCATAACAAATCGTGTTTTAATCTTCTTTGGGGAGGCTTCTCTTTCATCACCTGCTCTTAGAGCAACAGGCAAAAAAGACACAGAGAAAGAAATAGGTTATTTTGAAGGGGAGAACTAATGAAATAACAATGACTGATGTGTAAGTTTGTCTTTTAGCTTAAAAAATGCTTACGGAAAGCACTTGGTATTACAACATGGTGGATGGGGAGTGGAGATTCATCTTTCTCCAGCCTCCTTGAAGGTTTCTACAGCACAGAGCCAAGAGTTCGCCACCAGTGGGCTAGCTGGGGACACTTTCTGGAATGCTGTAAGCTTTTCTTTATACCTGTCAGCAATAATTTTGAGAAATACATTTTCCCCCATTTTAGTGGATTTAGGCTTAACATACAAAACAGTGGTTTCTAACTAACTCAGTTGACTAATTAACCAACTCAAAAGTAGGCACTGGATGGTCAAAAGCCACTGCCATTTCATTCCAGTCCACCTGCCCACATGCTAACACTATATAAGCACTGGAAAGTATTAGGAATTTGAGTGAGGAATGCTGGCTGGGGGAAAAAGAAGAAAATATCTTCCAGGCAAACTCCTTCAAAGCAAAACCTGATGACTCCTTCTTCACCCTCTATTCATCAGTTTATTCGTTCAACATACATTTATTACACTCCTTACTTAGGGCAGATAGAGACTGAAGCATAAAAGATAAATAACACTAAAAATTAGGTGTAAACATTCTCATTTCCAGAGCACCTAACATATAGCAGGTAAGTTCATGTCCATTCCATATTCAATCCTGTGATATAGGGAGGTATTATTAATCTATCTTTTTCTAAGCAAGTGATAAAATGGAGATTTGGGGAGGTTATATAGCTTAACCTCAATCTCAAAACTAAACCATAGCCTAGATTGGATTTAAACCCAACCCTGACATTCTACCATATTGCCCCCAACCCTCACAATTAAGTGAAAGAAACAAACATATAAGAATGCACTTCCCAGACCAAAGTCTTGGAGTGTTTCCCCACTGTTTTGTTCATATAGTTTCATGTCTTAGATTTAAGTCTTTAATCTATTTTGATTTGATTTATGAGTATGATGAGAGATAGGGGTTTAGTTTCATTCTTCTGCATATGGATATCCAGTTTTCCCAGCACCATTTATTGAAGACTATGTTTTCACCATTGTATGTTTGTGGCGACTTTGTTGAAGATGAGTTGGCTGTAAATACCTGTTTTCATATCTGGATTCTCTATTCTGTTCCATTGTTCCGATGCCTGTTTTTATGCCAGTACCATACTATTTTGGTTACTATGGCTTTATAATGAATTTTGAACTCAGGTAGTGTGATGCTTCCAACTTTGTTCTTTTTGCTCAGGATTGCTTTGGCTATTTATCAAATAAATTCCATATAAATTTTTGGATTTTTTTCTATTTCTTTGAGGAAAGTCAGTGGTATTTTGATAAGGATTGCAATGAATCTGTAAATTACTTTGGATAGTATTGTCTTAACAATATTAATTTTTCTAGTCCATGAGCATGAACTTTCTTTCCACTTATTGTGTCCTCTTCAATATTCCTCTCAGAAGGATTGTTTTATAGTTTTTCTTGTCTAGATCTTTCACTTCTTTGATTAGACTGATTCCTAGGTATTTTATATTTTTGTAGCTATAATAAGTGGAATTGCTTTATTGGTTTCTTTTTCAGATTGTTTGCTGTTGGTGTAAACTCCAGGCAATCAAAGCAAAAATAGACAATTAAGATTACATCAAGCCAAAAAACTTCTGCACAACAAAGGAAACAATCAACAAAGTAAAGAGACAACCCACCCAATGGGAGAAAATATTTACAAACCATCCGTTTGACAAGGGATTAATAATGAGAATATATAAGGAGCTCAAGCAACTGAATGGGAAAAAATCAAAAAATCTGATTTAAAAATGGGCAAAAGATTTGAACAGACATTTCTCAAAAGAATACATACAAATGGCCAACAGGTATATGAAAAAATGCTCAACATTACTAATCATCAGAGAAATGCAAACCAAAACCACAATGAGATATCATCTCACCCTGTTAAAATGGCTTATATCAAGAAGACAGACAATAACAGACGCTGACAAGGATATGGAGAAAGAGAACCCTCATTCACTACTGGTTGGAATGTAAATTTGTACAATCACTATGGAGAACAGTTTGGAGGTTCCTCAGAAAACTAAAAATAAAACTACTATATGATCCAGCAATCCCATTACTGGATATATATCCAAAAGAAAGGAAATCACTATATCAAAGAGGTATCTACACTCACATGTTTATTACAGTGCTATTCACAATAGCCAAGGTATGGAATCAACCTAAATACCCATCAACAGATGAATGGATTAAGAAATTGGAGTACATATATACAATGGAATATAATTCAGCCATAAAAATGAATGAAATCCTGTTATTTGCAGCAACTTGGATGGAACTGGAGGCCATTATGTTAAGTGGAATAAACCAGGCACAGAAAGACAAATATCATACGTTCACCCTCATATGTGGGAGCTACAAAAAGTGCATCTCATGAAGGTAGAGAGGAGAATGGTGGTTACCAAAGGCCAGGAAGGGAGGGGGGAGGGGAGAAGGCAAGTGGGGGAAAAAGAACATAAATATATTTATTGCTATTGAACTGTACATTTAAACATGGTAAAGAGTAAATTTTATATGCATATTTTACCTCACTAAAATCTATTTTGTAGAGAATGCATTTCCCTTGAAAGGGATTAATGCTGTCGTGAAGATGTGTCCATGATGCTATAGGAGCACGTGGTGGAGAGCAACATTCTTTTCAGGGACTTCCAACCCTCACTGTTATGAGGGCTAACATGTGAGAGACCCCAACATGGGAAGAGGGAGTGCAAGCATTACTTTTATTCATTTTAAACTTTCAATCAATTTTATAAATATATTTTTAGGAGAAATGCATGTGTGGCATAGTTTGTAAGTCCTTACATATATAAAATGTCTTGTTGCTAATAGAAGTTAACTGAAACATATGATTTAGGGAGAAAAGAAGCAAATTAATACAATTTCCATAGAGAACACTGCAGATTCCCTTTTGTTGTGGAGTATGAAACCACAATTTAGGAGGCTATGTTCCCTAAAAACGTATAGATGTTGCTTCATGATCTATTCCTGACCTGTAAAGAATGTATGCATGTAGGCCGGGCGCGGTGGCTCACGCCTACAATCCCAGCACGTTGGCAGGCCGAGGCGGGCAGGTCATAAGGTCAGGAGATCAAGACCATCCTGGCTAACACGGTGAAACCTCGTCTCTACTAAAAATACAAAAAATTAGCCGGGAGTGGTGGTGGGCGCCTGTAGTCCCAGCTACTCCAGGAGGCTGAGGCAGGAGAACGGCGTGAACCCGGGAGGCAGAGCTCGCAGTGAGCCGAGATCGCACCACTGCACTCCAGCCTGGGCGACAGACCGAGACTCCATCTCAAAAAAAAAAAAAAAAAGAAAGAAAGAAAAAGAATGTATGCATGTAGATAAAAGTCTTCACTATGTGGCAGGTACCATAAATAACGAATATAACTTGCCCTTGTGATGTTATCAAAACTATAGTTCAAAGAAACAACTGAGAGTAATCTAGACAGATAAAATCCAATATATCTAAAGAAAAAACATCAGATTGGCTTAACTTCCACCTCCACATTAAATACTCTAATATCATGGAATAGCATTTTAAAGCTATTAAAAAGAAGCATTGTTTTCTTATTTTATAAAGGCGCACAATTTCCAAAGCAGCCATACCTGCCCAGGCTATAAGTTTTCAGTCTTGCACTACTTCTGACCAAATACCACTTTGATTCCATGGCTTTTGTGAGAAATGTGAAAGGAATGTCAATTTGGGAAACCCACCTGGGCAGGAGAGTAACAGTTACTCAAACAGAAGCCCAGTCTGAGTCATCATCACACTCTCACCTTATGCAGAGGCCCTGGGGGAAGGCAAAAACATTTTCTTTTGAAACTGAAAATATATAGGTGATCAACATTTGGTTATTTTGTCAGGACAAACGTTATTTTTTAAAGCCTTTAAATTGAATAAAAAACTAATTATAGTGATACATTTTCTTGGTAGTGTTGGCTTTAAAAAAATTGCATCAACACTATAAGGAAAGGAACTCCACAAATAAATTGGTAAAAAAATTTTACTATTGTAATTGAGTGTTATTGTTATAAAACTCGTAACTCAGTAGGGTCTTCCTGAACACTTTGTTTTCTGTCCAAAATGGGAAGGGAAATAGCCGGTGTGCATGGCACTAGGGACGAGGTTGGACCTGTAGGCTGAGCACAGAACTGAATAAAGCGGTGTATTTCTGGGAGAAGGGGAGCAGGATTAACTAGTATCATTGAAAAATGAAAGCACCTACATCCAAAATTTTGTTTTTCCAGGCTGTCATCGCTAGGCAATGATTCCTTGTTTGTTCCCCATTCCACATTCTCAATTGATACCTTTCGCCGGGCAATATTTATTTTCACTTTAGTATTTGAAAAGTGAAGGAGAGTATGCCTGTCCTGTGGGTGACCTGAACAAGGGCAGCACAGCGCAGTCACTGTCAATGGTTAGGCATTCGCCACTGCTGGATGAGTGGCAGAGACGACACTATGTCTCAACTGTGTGGCTTACTCAAAGAGCTATGCCACAGCTAATTGGGTTCACAGAATTTTTTAGTCCGTTGATTCAGCTGCAGTGGTTTAGACACAGTCTTTCCTCACAGCAGGGGCCAGGCTGGAGCACTTTCTGAATGGCTGAAATGACCAGCAGTAAAACCTATCATTCAGATCGCTCCTTCGGTGCAGACACAACCTGTGAGCACAGGCTGAAATTATGGGTTGAATTGATGCAGTGTTTCTTTTTTTCCAACGTGGAAAAGCTGAGCAAACTGTGTTTGTTGTTTTGCTATTTTAGGTACAGCAGAATGTTTAACTACTAAGTTAATTTCACAACTTTTTGGACAATTGTATAATAGGAGCATTTATATAAAGACTGTCTTTTTCTTAATAAAAGATTTTCTCCCGAATGTTGATGAGTGGCTTTCTTACATCTCTCCGGCTAAGTGTCTCATCTCAACTCCATCACCATGTTAGATGTGGTTCTTCTGAACCTTTCTGCTCAAACATCTCCAGAGCCAGGACTCATCTGTGTGTTACTTAACTCAGAATACGCCCTAGCTGAGCCATTTACAAGTCCACCTATCATCTTTGGGCTCTCAGACCTCCATTATTGGTTAAGAAACCCATGAGTGTACATCTGACCTGAGATCTTCAGCTAAGTGATCTAAACCACAGATTTTTAGAGAACAGGCTTCCTCAGTTTCCTCCTTTAGCAGCTTACCTATCCCTTCCTTAACCTTCAACATTCAATAAGCAAGCTCAGATTCTTTTGTTTCTCTCACTGGCTGTGCAAATGAGCCTGACTGAAAACATTTGATCTGCTCAGGGTCCTCCTGCCAATTTGGCCATTCACTCTAGACATCCAACCCCAGCTTAGCCTCAGCATTTCCCACCAATGCAAATCTGTCATTTACCCTCATGTCCACAATCACGAGTAAGGGTCGTGACTGACGTCTGCCTTGAACCTTTGGAAATGCACCCAACATTAATATTACCCTAGACTATGAGCACATAACTAGTCAGGAATAGAATATTAGATGAAATTAAAATTGTAAAGAGGAATTCTAATTGGTGCTTTCTTTTTGCCATTATGATCTAACTATCACAGAAAGAAACTGTTGTCCTCAAAAAGCTATGTGGGCTGTTTCCTAGAATGGCAAATTGTATACTTTTAGTGTTTGTTGTTGATACATTCCAGTATCTTTAATTTGAAAAACAGTGGAAGATATGTCACATGATAGTATGTGAGTTACCGCCAAACAAGTGTTATATGGAATGCGCTGCTAAGTCTTCAAAGAAAACAGAAAGGGAACAGACATGTTTTGATCTCTTATTGGGTGCCTTGCATGAGGCTGGGAAGAGGCAAGTAGAGGCTTTCAATTGGTTGAGAAGGCTTCATCCCCAACTTTCAAGACTGAAACCTGGGAATGATCCATCTTTGGCCCCTCCTTGTCCCTCACCCTTTATGTCCAATCCAACATCATCACTTCCCTTGATTTTCACTGCCACCATTCTCATCCATCCATCAATTCCTTCTGGACTACTTCCATAGCCCCCTGGTGGTGTCCACACTTCAATTCCTGTCTTCCTCCCATATGCACTCATCACATGCAGCCAGACCAAGTTTTTAAAGCTTGCATCAAATCACATCACATGCTGTCCCTTCTGCCAGGTGCCCTGTCTCTATTCTCACTTGCAAAGAACACCTGACTTCTTATTTTTCAGGACTTAGCTTAAATCTCACCACCCTCTCTAAGTACATTCTCCCTATTATTCTCTCTTTGCTTATTCTTTCTTACTTACTTGTTTGCTCCCAGCTTATTTTCTGCCTCCCTCAATAGACTGTAAAGCTCCACAAAGTAGAGAGCATGGTTGCCTATTCACCGATGGGTACCCTGAACCTAGCACGTCAATTGGTAAGTACTAGGTACTCAATAAATGTTTGTTGGATGAATAAGGAAGAACAACTTGACTCTAGTGTTAATGTTGAAGAAGCTGGCATTCAGAGGCTAAACCATGGTAACTCACATTGCTAAATGGGCAAAGGGAAAGATGAAATAATATAAGAGAAAGAGAGAAGTGGGAAAGCGCTGGGTGTAGGAGGGTGTTGGGAGCAGAAGAGTCTGGGTGGACGTACAGAGATGTGGGCAAAGAGCACTGTAAGGTAGTCTGGGAAAAGTGGGCCAGGTTTGATGGGACCTCATGCTGCCGAGGTGCCCACCCTCTGGTCTGGTACTGCACGTCTAACATGGCTGACATCAACTTAGACCTCAGCATGCAAACTAGACTGAAAAGTCCCAGAGAAAATGCCATAATCAGTTTTCAAAAGCATGAGTCCCCAGGTGCATAATATTACACACGTTGAGACATTTCACCACCATAGGATGATATTCCATACATTCCAAGGGAGTGTTCCTTATACCCCTCACAGGACTGTTCCATATCAAATAAGTAATTTGAAAGAGGAGCTGAAAGAAACATTGGTAAAGCTCTTTTGAATGTAAGAGTGTACCTACGATCAGGAAACAACATGAAAAGAATAGTTCCTGGCAATGGTGGTGATACATAACCCAGCCATCTACTAGAAGTATGACATTGGAGATGAGAACTAGCTAAAGACTTGAGGTGTCACTGAGCACACATTTAATTCTCTACCTCCATTATTGACATGGAATTAAACATCAAAGCAACAGAATACCCAGTCTATTAAAAATTTCCATAATAAATATAGTGTTTATAGGAAATCTGATCTGAGTCACAGGGTCTTCGGTCTTTTCAACACATTAATCCTGTAGTGAAAAGGCCAGGTGGATGGGGCATGATTCTTGCATTGACTAGTATTTCAGGTCACAGCCAAGTTTCTACTGATTTGATTAAACTTTATCTCACACCCAAAGGACACGGTGCAGATGTTGTTCAGGAAAGTGAGACTGGGGTGATGGTATTGAGTTGAGCTTCTTATGCCCAAAGAAAGCTCTTGACCTAGGAAAAGAAAAGGTAACAATAAACTATGGAGGAGCAATCTTGGCCTTTATCCCTTTGATATGAAAGGGCAGGTATGGGAGAATAATGTTGGCTTAGTTCCTAAAATGTTTAGTAAGCTCCTGAGAAGAATGGTATTGGAATTTTAAGTACAGTATTGTATGGATTGCTCACCTGCAGGAAACTGTAGGCATATTCAGCAATATCTAAATTCTTTACCTTTTTCAGCTAGCTGATTAATGGTTCACCATTCCACTCTAGTATGTTCTGACATGGGTGTGCCAAGGTGCCATACACAATAAGGTTTATGCCCCCAAGATCTGGAGGATCTGATCGGAGAGTTATCTAAAGAGACACTAAAAAGCTGACATCCATTAAGGATTGAACTTCAGAGTTTGAGAAGCTGAGAGCTTGTAGTCTTTTAGGACCAGACTAGTGATTTGGTTTAAGTGAGGTTGTTAAGGGAAGGGCTTGGAATAGCACGAGGGCAGAGAATGAGATGTTCCTGGGCTGAATCAGCCCCATCTCTGTTCCTGCAGTTTGGATTCACTAACAGGGACTAGAACCAGGAGCTATTGGACTATTCTCCACACCGTTGCTCTCTACAATGTCCAGTTTCCAAGCCCAGTATCCTCTAAGAGAAGCCCATTTTCCTGTGGGGAAAGTGACTCCTCCCTGACCTCTGAGGGCCAGGAAACAGAACTGAGACACCTCTCAGTCATCTGTGACCATTAAGTGAAATAGGATCTCCTCATAGGCTCTTGGTTGCTCACCTCCATCTACAAAACTCCCATTCCCTTAGATACGCACAACGGGCTTAAGGTTAGCTTTCCAAAAGCATGCACTTCTACTGGCTCCCCCAGATATCTTCATAATTTTCCTCCCTGATAGCCCAAGAAACTAGCAACAGCTCCCTTCTCAAGAACTCTAGCTACAACATTTTAAAAGCAAATTTTATTAATATAAAGAACATTAATAAGTATTAGATACCCTGAGGATGCACATTATGGTAGATAAAGGACCCATTAATTTCCACAATAAGTATTATCTAGTATCACTTAATTGCCTGGGAGAACTCTTCATTCCTCTCTCTATATGGCCAGTGATTGCCCCTCTATTCCAGAGGCCACAGCTCTAAGAAAATGGTCCCGGTCCTGGGGGTGCCTTCACTACATGATGAGCATCGGACAGGCAGAGGAGAGCATCTTTTCTCTGCTCATGGAGGATTTGGGCAGGGATAGGTTGCTGTAGCAAGACTTATTCCTTCCACGCTGGGAAAACATTAGCAAATGCTACCCAAAATGAGTAACAGGATTATAACCTCACCACATAGATTTTTCTGATGAAGTTTCAAATATTGGCTGTCTTACCTTCAATGTTAAACCTTTCTGTTGCTAAGAGGAATGGGAAAACAAACAGCAACCAGGAAAGCAGCGATTGGTGTATGGGCTGGTTCTTAGTGAATACGCAGGCTTTTTGCATAGGAACCTGTTGCACTATTTCTTTCCATGACATATAATTTTAATTGCTTGTATATCTTAAATTATCCCAGTCAGGTTTTTTTCTTAATTAACTTTGTGGGATGGGACATAGGCTCTGCTTTTCGGGAACAGTTTCCAAATTAAAATTGTCCAATTAATTAAATTGAGCTAGTGTCGGCCCATAGATTGTGAGTTTCTTACCTTTATTCATCCAACACCTATTTATGTCCAAGATGCATAATAGACATATGTTATCTTTTAAGAGACATATGTTTCTACTGCCTCCCAAGTGTCTTCATATAAAACTCCACTCAGGAGAGTTTTTAAATTACCTTCGCCCTTTGCATCACCATTTAATCTATTCTCCAGTCTCTGTGTCTGGATATTTTGTTTTTCCCACCTATTTGGCAACTTAAAATGAAAGCTCTCATCACACCAACTCTCAAAGCTATAATCAAAGCCTTTAAACCATCATGTACCGTGGCAGAAGGGTTATCAATTTTTAAAGTAAATTTCACTTCCAAAGCAGCACATTGAGCATCTTCAATCTGTGTGGCCTCTCTTCATGTCCACATCTGTCAGCCTTCCCTGCTAGGATCTCCTCCAAACAACAGCCTCCTCTCCTATTAGGGGGAACCTCAAAACAACAATCTTCTCTGTAGGTTAATTCAGACATGAATTGTCAACCCAATGTATTGTTTTAACTCAGTGTCCCAAGTTTCTCCTATAATTACTCAAATTTTCTTAATCAGAATTCCACCTAAAGAGTATACATGGAGGAATTATCTATTCCTTTATGATCAGCTTGGTAAGATGGAGCCATGTGCTTCTTGACATTTTATGTAAACAGAAAGTACTATGTGCAAAGCTGTTTGCAGAAAAACGGTGCATAATAGAATATTGTGGTTTCCAAACCTAACTGATAATAAGTAACTTGGGAAGTTTTTAAAGATGGAGATCCCTGGTCTCTATCTCATACAATTTTAATCAAATAGGTCTAAGATGGAGTCAGGAGTCTGTATTCTTAGAATCATTCCCCCAAATAATTCTGACTACCAGCTGGAGTTGGGCTCCAACAATGCAATGTATTATTACATTTCTATAATAATAACTATGGCTTTTTGTTTTGTTTGATTTTTAAACATTCTGTTTTGAGATAACTGTAGATTAACTTGCAGTTTTGAGAAATAATACAAAGAGATCCCATGCATCCTTTACCTAGTTTTCCCTCTATAATAACATCTATGGCTATACTCCATCTTGCAAAACCATACAGTATCACAATCAGGATATTAACATGGACTCAATGCACCCATCTTATTCAAATTTCTCACATCATATTTATACCAATTTGTGTTTGTGCAAGTGTGTGTATTTAGTTCTATGCAATTTTATCTACTTGTAGGTTCATGTATGCACCACCACAATCAAGACACAGAACAGTTTCAACATCACGAGGATTCTTTCTGTCACCCTTCCATAACCACACCTACCCTCCTTCTCCCTGCACCCTGGCAACTTCTCATCTGTTCCCCATTTCTGGGATTTTTTCATTATAATAATGCTACATAAGTGGAATCCAGCAGCATCATGATAGCTGAATAATGGCCTGTCCATGTCTTAATCCCCAGAACCTGTGAATACATTATTCTATATGGTAAAAGATACTCTGTAGATGTGATTAAGTGAAGGACGTTAAGAGGTGGAGAGTATCCTGGGTTATCTTGGTGGGTCCAATATAATCACAAATATCCTGACAAAAAGGAGGCAGGAAGCTCAGAGATATAATAGTAGGAGATGTGGTGATGAAAGCAGAGGCTGGAGGGATACTAGGAAGGGGCCACAAGCCAAGGAATATAGGCATCCTCTAGAACCTCAGCAGGCAAGGAAATGGATTCTCCCCTAGAGCCTCCATAAAGAACCATCCCTACCAACATCTTGATTTTTCAAGACTTTAGAGACTGATTTTGGATTCCCGATTTTCAGAACTATAAGATAATAAATTTGCATTAGTTCAGCCATTAAGTTTGTGGTAATTTGGTACAGCAGCAACAAGAAACACATTTAGTATGTAATCTTTTGGAATACTGGGTTTTTTTCTCTCCATATAATTCTCTTGAGATTCATCCATGTCGTGTGAATCAATAGTTCATTTCTTTTTATTGTTGAATAGTATTCCAAGTCTTTGATGTACCACACTTTGTTTAAATATTCACCTATCAAAGAACACCTGGGTTGTTTCCATTTTGGGGCTATTATGAATAAAGATGCTATAAACATTCATATATGGGGTTTGGTGTGAGCATGAATTTCCATTTCTCTGGGATAAATGTCAAGGACTGAAATTGCTGGATCACATGATAATTGAATGCTTCATTTTATAAGAAACTGCCAAACTGTTTTCCAGGGTGACTGTACATTCCCACTAGCAATGTATAAGTGATCCAATCTCACCTCCTTCATTTTGTATTGTCTCTATTTTTTTAAACATTCTGGTAAGTGTGTAGTAATATCTCATTTGGGTTTTAGTTTTCACTTCCCTAGCTAATCATGCTGAGCATCTTTTTATATTTACCTGTAAGCCCTCTTTAGTGAAATGTCTGTTTATGTCTTTTGCCTATTCTATAGTTGGGATATCTGGATTTGTTGTTATTGTTGTTGTTGTTGTTGTTTGAGACAGAGTCTCACTCAGTCACCCCGGCTAGAGTGCAGTGTCATGATCATAGCTCACTGCGGTCTCCACCACCTGGGCTCAAGCAATCCTCCCACCTCAGACTCCCAGGTGGCTGGAACAACAGCCATGCGCCAGCACACCCAGCTAATTTTTGTACTTTTTGTAGAGACAGGGTTTCACTATGTTGCCCAGCCTGGTCTTGAGCTCCTGGGCTCAAGCTATCTGCCTGCCTTGGCCTCCAAAAGTGCTAGGATTACAGGTGTGAGCCACCGTACCCGGCCATGTTTTCTTCGCTTTAGAGTTTAGAGAGTATTCTATCTAGTCTAGATACAAGTCATTTGTCAAATATGCGGTTTGCAAATATTTTTTTCCTAGCCTGTAGCTTGTCTTTTTATCCTGTTAATAAGGTATTTTGCAGAGCAAAAGGTTTTTTTTATTTTCATGAAGTCTGATTTATCAGTTTTCCTTTTATGGATCATACTTTTGGCATCAAGTCTAAGAACTCTTTGCCTAATTTTAGATTCTGAAGATTTCTCTGAAGTTTTTTTTCTAAAAGTTTTGTAATTTTACATTCTATTTTTAAGTCAGTGTTTCACTTGAGTTAATTTTTGTATAAGGTGTTAGGTTTAGGTTGAGGTCCACTTTTATAACTATAGGTATTCAGTTGCTCCAGCATCATTTGTTGAAAAGCTATCTTTCATCAAATCGCTTTTGCAGGCTGGGCGCAGTGGCTCACTCCTATAATCCTAGCACTTTGGGAGGCCAAGGTGGGCAGTTCACTTGAAGTCAGGAGTTCGAGATCAGCCTGGTCAATATGGCAAAACCCCGTCTCCACCAACAATATAAAAATTAACCGGGCATGGTGGCAGGTGCCTGTAGTCCCGGATACTCAGGAGGCTGAGGTAGGAGAATCGCTTGAACCTGGGAGGTAGAGGTTGCAGTGAGCCAAGATTGGGCCACTGCCCTCCAGCCTGGGTGACAGAGTGAGAATTCGTCTCAAAAAGAAACAAACAAACAAAAAAGTTGCTTTTGCACTTTTCTCAAAAATCATAGGAGGATATTTGTGTGGATATATTTCTGGGTTCTCTATCTGTGCCACTGATACATATGTCCATCCCTATGCCAATATCACACTGTTTTAACCACTACAGCTCCATAGTTAGCCTTAATATTGGGTAGAGTGATTCTTCCTCTTTATTCTTCTTTGTCAGGATTATTTTAGTTATTTCAGGGTTTGTATCTTTAAATACAACTTTCAGAATAAGGTTGTGTATGCCTACAAAAAAACACTTTGCTAGAATTTTGATAGGAATTGCATTAAATGTAATGATCAATTTAGGGAGAATTAACATCTTTACTATATTAAATTTCCGATCTATGAACAGAATATGTCTCTCCATTTATTTAGATATTCTTTGATTTTATTTATCAGCATTTTATAACTTTCATCAAAAAGATCCTCTACATGTTTTGTTGATTTTTATCTGAACGTTTCATTTCTGGGGGGCTTTTCTATGTGATCATGTCATCTGTAAATAAGAGCTTCCCTGATTTTTTTTAACCAATGAGAAAATCCTAAAGTTTTCCTAAATAGAGGAGTCTGGACTACAGAGCACTGCCACATCATAGTTGCAGAAGACGGGGGATTGTTCTATAAAAGCAGAAGGAAAGAATTCAAAAGAAGGGTGCTAATCTCCATTCAAATACACAGAAAAAAAATGTCAGCCCCGCAATATTTTTCCTCTGCATTGCTTTCCTCCATGTTGAGTTTTCTGGTAACTTTTCTCTGTGTTGAGCTGGTAACCACATCACAAGATGAAAGGTAGGTTGATTTTTATTTTCATAATTGAAATTGGCCCCAAAAAGCATGACTTCTGCACTGTCCTCTGTTTTGCAGACAGGGAAGTATGGGCCAACTGTGAAATTCGCTTTGGCTCTGCATGGGATTATGAGTTTTCCATTTTAAGGACATCCAGTACTATCAGAGAGGTCCCAGGGTATCAAAAGTGATGCTCCTTTGAGTAAGAGACAGATCTAGTCTCTTGAGCTCTAGAAATGGCAGCAGAGAGCCACGGAGCAAGTGAGTCCCCAGAGTCAGCGACCATGTCAAAAACAGAAACAGAACTCCTGACATTGAGTCTGCCAATCTAACCACCAGACCGTATTTCCGCCTTTTAATTTTCACTCTGCCCTCCACATAATTACATCAATGCTTCACTGTGTTTATGACACACGGCATGGATTAAAGAGCTGAATGTAAAATTCTATGCCTGAGAAGGCAATTACTTTGAACAATTGTTTCAGTTGGATAGAAAGGTAACCGTAAGCACGTTGAACCTATGATCCTACATTAATTAGTAAGACTTCAAGCTGTGTCCTGGAACCCAAGGGCAAAGATACCCCAAGTCCCCAGGAGGGCACTGGAGCCAGGATTTGGAAATCTGTAGGATTCCTGCTGGCTCTTCTCCCAAAGCTCTACTTCAGAACTTCAGATCTCTTTCTCTCTCTCTCTCCCTCTGGTCACAGTCTTATTTCTATAGTTTCTGTGCTTTACAATCAGACTTTTTTTTTTTTTACCTACTTGCCTCAGGAAGTACAAATTGTGTGATCTGATATAACTAGCACCTAAGAGAAGTGAAAGACTATTGACGATTATCATAAATCACAGACTTTAAACCCCTCTCTCGGGATTGCACGACGTAAAATAAATCCTGTAACCATTTTTGGTCCTTCCTTTCATTATTTATGAAAAAAAAAAATCTACCTGGTTTATTTTCTAGAAATTTTGTAAATATTGTGTTAACATATGCAAAAAATGCTGTATAAACCCTAGGACACTACAAAAATAGAAAATACTGCAACCATGCTTGTCTTGGGATTCATGTTATTGGAAATAAAAATAATCCTATATAGGATCTTGTATTTATTTTCACACAAGATAAGACACTTGAGGTTATTTGGGGCAAAAAATATTTTTTATAAGACTCTTTTGAGGTTATAAGACTCCTTTGAGGTTATTTGGGGCAAAAAATATTGTCATCATTTTGTTGGAGGCAAAAATGAGGACCAAATAAAATAACTTACCAAATGTCACATAAACAGTCATGGAATAAGATCTTTTGGCTAGGATGTGATATTAAAGAAACAAGTTTCAAAACCTGAGCCCAGATCGTCATCCTATTTACACCGAAAAAGGAAGGTGTTTCTTAGTATATAAAATTCCCAGGAAATGACCGCCAAGCCAGCGCTTCTGGAAGACGGAAACATGAAGTTCAAGACTAGCTCCCTAAATTTCATTGATGACCATGTCCTGTTTTCTCCTCATAAATGGAAAACACCACTATACCTAAAATTTGAGCCCTCCCTTTACGGATTCCAAGACCACCTACTGCTCTCCAGCCCCCTGGGAACTATGCACAAGATTCTGCAGCTCCTGGGATGCAAGCGAGTACTCCGAAGTCAACAGATTCTCTTTGGTGCATTCTATGTTGCTCCCAATTGCCTCGGATATTCCTAAGAGACAGAAAACAACAATGCCTAAATTTTATGGAGTGAGGAATTTTATTTCTGAGAGGACAAGAAGCCATTAAGTAAGAACATGTTTTTGCCCTTATTCACTTTAAAAAGATAAGCAGAATCATACAACAATTTTACAAATATTCTCAAGGGGAATCAGAATTGTGCTATTCTAACACACCTAAAAAGTGAGAGTAGCTTCAACTCCATGCTCTGGAAGCACAGGTGAAACTGAAGGATTTTCTGAACGTTGGCTCCTTCATATTTGTCCTCAATCATAGTGAGCAGCCCTTGTTTTTTCTTCTCTTTATTAAGTGAAACAGCTCTGAGAAGGTCTGAAACTGGAAAAAGCAAGCCATGTGATGGCAATGTCATCATTAAAAGCATCTGTTGTTATTTGTTTATTAGGTCACATCCTACAGTGAAAATGCTCAAAGAATCAGCCTATGTCCATTTATTATCAACACAGATATCCCAGATTTATTCTGCTGTATTAGTTTAATTGGAACATTATTGAGAAATACAGGTTTCCAGTGAAAAAGGAATAAAAGTCTAGATAAATTACGCAAATAACATATGGCCTTTTCCTATGATGATCATAAGCAATTTGTATGCCATTTGTTTTCCAAGGGCAAGGTTTTTTGTGTGTTAAATTGAAATCTAAAGTAAGGTACATTGATTTACAGGAAATTGTACCTTTACCCAAAAATTCATCACTCACAAATACTATTTCGGGGGCTAGATTGAAAGAAGGCTTATTTTTTGAGCCAAGAATGTCATCAACTGTGTCCATATCTGTTTATAAGCAGTTTTTTCCTAATTCAAAGATTGAAGGCTCACAAAAATATTTTTTTAAATCATGTGAAATAAGCAGCACAAAATTTAGTCTTAGGATTCACTTCCAGGGAAAACTGTATTCACTCATATTTCATAGAAAAAGAGTAGGGCAGGTGTGGGAGGGGCACCTGGGGAATAAAGGGTGTAGCCAATTGAAAGGTTAGTGCCATTTTTCTAGGAAATGTCATTGGTTCTTTTTCAAACTAAAAAAGAATGGTTGTGTGGCCCCATCTCCTTTAATATGAGGATTTTTTTAAATCCCCCAGGGTTTTCCATTTGCCACTCTGAGCTTACAGGCAGTCTTTTTATTGCCCAGCATATTTATTTGCAGATCTTAAAATGTCCATATGTCATGGAAGATATGAGGCTTTGGTGACAGGTACCAAGACGTGTCCAAAAACCAGTTTTCCAGGGCCCAGTGTCTGAGTCCTTTATTTAAGGGTTTGCATCCCGTAAGGAGAATTAAACAGTGAGCACTACCGTAGGTTTAGACAGGGCTCTCTCCTCCTCCACCTACCCGGCTTCCTCCACTTTCTTTCAGTTTCAACTGCGATCACATTGCAATCAAGCCAGAATATTTTTCCATTTCTAATGCTTGTAATCCAAGGTCTTATTGCTAGGAAAATTTTCTTCTTTCTGGAAAAGGGCTCAAAGAAGAAAAATGTGTTGAGAATACAAAGATGTGGGCGTATTTACCCATCTGCACAGGATGTGCCTACCTGCTGTGCTCACATGGGAATGTAGAATTATCAGTGGTGAAATGGCAAAGTGGCAGGAAGTGGGGGTAAACCTATTTGACTCTCTGCTGTGTCTTACCTCTTGAGTTTCAAATAAAAATATTCAATAACCAATGTGTGTGTAGTTTAAACACATCTGATGCTTTCCTGGAGGCCATACACTATTCAAATGTGACCAAGAAGCACCACAGTTTTGAAATCCCATGGACAATGATTGTGGTGGGAAAGGCATTTTCTGATATATTACCTGGATGCTGGTGACTTAGGTATCATTTGCTTTTGCCTTGACTACATAATCATTTGCTAAAATGAAAAGAACGAAAGCATCAATCATTGGCCTCAATTCTGAAAGCTTATTTTTCATTCATATTGCCTTGAAAATAAGGTTTGATCTTGGTTGGTTTCCAAATCAGTAATTTATTATGTTTTGCTCCCCCGTGCCATCTCTTGGCATTGAGGAATTAAGGTACTATCACAGGCAAAGGAAGGCAGTACTGGTCCCTTTGTTTAGAATACAAAGAACACTGCCAACTCTACCACAGAGAGGCAAGAACGAGGAAGGCATCTGCCACCCACCCACTCTGCTTACTTTCCCAAATACAACCATCATGACTTTATACCAGTTGTTTCAAGCAACCGAGAGAAAATACCTGCTTTATCCTGCTTTCCACTGCAGACAAGTTGCATGGTTCTGACCTATGACTCATTTTGTTTTACTTGGTCCTCCCCAGAATCTCATCCTATGTATTCGAAGATCAAGTTAAAAACTGCTAATTAAGATTGTGTGTGCAAGAAGCAACCAGATAACCATTTTGGCTTAACTGTCTGTGTGATTTAAACAATCTATTTGCTTAGGAAAGAAAGGGGGAGTTCTTTTTTTTGTTTTAGGTTAACTTTCATTTTCTTACTCTAACTGGGTAGGGTTTTTTAAATGCATTTGCATATATTCCATAAATTCCACTTTTTTTATTCCTTATTTGCTTCCCCTTTCCTTTTCTGTTTGTGTTGCCTTCTGTTGCAAACCTACTGCCACCCCTTAATGTCTCAGTGTGTATCTGATATTGACCTACAGAGATACTTTCAGATGCCTCTCCTTGACCATACCATGCTCCTGAGGCATATCATGCCCCTTGGACTCTTCTTTCAGTTTCCAGTTTTCTTTCTTTCATTTTCATTTCTTCTTTTGGGGTGGGGTATATAGGTTTGGGATTTCGCATTCTTTCATTTCAAGCCTCATGTACTTTAATTCTCCACTGAACTGGCCTTAACTCTGGCCCAGAACATCCTCACTTTGCTCCATTTGCTCCTTCCAAGCCTGCTTTTATACATTATGCCCTGAAGACACCCTAGGAGGTAAATTAGTTTCTATCTCTTTCGTTTCACAGATGGGGAATCTGAAAGCAGAAAGGGACTGTAGAGCACCAAGCTAGAGGTGAGCTGTGATTCAAACTCCAAGTCCTCGCTTCTAGCTGTGTCCCAGTGCAGGCAGTCCACTGTTCAGCTGTTCCAAGATCTCCCTTCAGCCTCCACGAATAACAATTGAATAATGCTGCTAATGAGGTCTGACTTGTATTCCTGAAGGGAACATTCTCTTCATATATCAGATTCTTATAATTTCCTCACCTGAAGATTTCCATATTCCAAAGCCCTGGGCACCCACAGCCTCTCCTTCAATGCACACTGTTATTCGGGGACCCCATTTGGTTGAGATAAACCTGTTATTTAATTGGTCTTAGGTGGTTACTATTTCATAATCCCTAGCCTCCTTCTTTCCATCCCAGATCCCCAAGAGTCAAGAAAGAACACGATCACTTCTGTATGATATTTCTTTATTTAACCTTCCTGCCAATCAAACACATAGAATCCATTTCAGGTAATGACAGAGAATTTTAACTGTGGCGATTAGCCACAGCTCATCAACAGCACAAGAACCTGCTGAAATTTCTCTCAGAAATCATTGCACTCAACTGTGATGTGCTGATTGAGATAATGAGCTGTAAGATGAAAATTGAGAATGAATATCTTTTTTCTTTTCCTCTCACTAAGAAGAGGAAGAAAAGCAAAAGAAAAAAAGGGAGAGGAAGCTAGGAGCTAAAGTTTATTTTCTAACACATTCCTTACTTAATTTTTCCCACCTAAATCTGATTAAGTCTACCGCTTTCCAAGGCTTTTGTAGGTTTCCACCAGTTGTGGCTTTCGGGCTGAAGAATGTCTCTGCAAGAATGTAAGTTGGATTTGTCCTTGGTTATTTGAGTCTTAAAAGCCACAGTGCCAACAGCTTTTCTCTGAATCCCTTTTCCTTTTACCCCTCCTCTTCCAAAGGATGGATTTTAATATTGACTTTTGTTTAGCACCAGTGCCTTGTATTGGATGTCTGAGTTTTAGTTGTTAGCAGGCAGACGCAAACCACAGTGTGCCTTTGCCATTGTTCGCCCTGGAATTCCAGAGGCATCTAGGCCACTTGGCTCTGCTGCCCTCATCAGGGGCAGCCCCTCTCTCCATACAGGGCATCCAGTGGATAGAAGCAAATTCCCACAGCTCTGCATCCCAGCCCTGCCCTCCCCTCCTCCTCCCAGAGCAGGATGGAGATGGGATGGAGAGATAAAGACTGCCCTGGAGATTTCATCCTCTGAGGTAACAGCCCATTAGGGAGAGCAACATAAGTGCAAATCTTAATCTTTTTACTTTTCCGGTCACACAATGAACTTTAATTATGAGATTATAAGATTGAAAAGGAGGCTTAGGAAGGCGGTATGTGTGCATAGTGTGTGTGTTGTGCACCGTGTGTGTGTGTTGGTGAGGTGGATGAAATAATTTCTGGTATATATCCCAAAAAAAGTTCTTTTGCAATTCCATCTTGCAAACTTACCTACTCTAACAGTTACCAACACTTACCTACTCTTGATTGACCCTGTGGCTTATTCACTGACTTGCCTTTCATCTTCATAGGCAACTTTATGTATAAGTCTATGTTAAACTTTTATGGTGTTTATTGCACAGAAATAACTATATCACTCACCCCCAAAATATAAAATGCATGTATATATGCACACATAAATCTGCGGTAAATATATGAGATATATGTATTATCAACAGCTTGACACCAATGAGGTATAAATTGGTTAAATTTCATATGAAAGATATTGCTTCCCAAGTGTCATTTAAAATACACATACATGCTCTCAATGTACATATACTTAGATACATACACACATATATATCTGTGTGTATATATACATATACATTGAGTGAGAGACAAACAGTAAAAGAAAACATTAACATTTGTGTGTACATTTTCCTTTTTCTCATTGAATGTTCATTTTCTCTTTCTTTACAATGGATCTTCTCTTTCCCAGTGAAAGACCCTGCTAAAGGGACAAGCTGCTTTGTAAGAGAAAAGAACCAGGCTCAGCGCCAGGGGTCCTGAGTTCAAATCCCACCACTCTACTTCCAACAGGACATGAGATCTTAGCGCATTTCTTTAACCCTCTCTGCCTCATTTCTATTAACAGAATAGCCTCTATAAAATTGTGTGGGAAGGAGATCGTGGTAGTTAGCTCACAGTATTGTAAGACCTCTTGATTGAAATCCACAACAACATCAATTCTAAGATCTTTAACATTTTTCACATTTTAACGTCTCTGAATTTGCATTTCACCTTACGATGGATGATGCATTATATTTAATTGGCATATTTTCTTTCCTAATGGCACATGAAGCAATGATATTTCTTACAATTGATGATATGTACATTTAATAAAACACTATTTGAGTTAAAAATTGTCTTGCCAGTTTATGGTATTATTCAAAAGTCATGTTGTCTTGTTGCTAAATAATGAACCACGAAATCGATCTCCCTGGCCTGTTCTGAACAACCAAAGACATTCACTGAGTTACAAAGTACCCGGCTGAAGCAAAAGATGAATTAGGTAAGAAGGAAAAAATGTCTGTCTTGAAAAACATTACACATAAGAGCCGCTCACTTGGTTTAATGATCTGGTGTTATTGTCCTGAAATTCTTTATAATTTTTGCACAAGAGGCCTTGAATGTTTACTTTACACTGTTCTAGAAAAATGACGTAGCACATCCTGATGAGAAACTTACTTGGTTAAAAAATTAAAGTCTGTTGACTTTTCTTGCGTTCACCTTCTGGCCCCTGGCATGCAAGACTGTGAGTGTCTCAAAAAGAGTCATGAACTTTGTAGTACTCAAATCAGCCTTTTCAAGCACGCTTTGTTCTGTTTTCAGCCTTCGTATCCTCAGCCCACATAGGACAGCAGTTACAAACAGACCTTGGAATTCTGAAGGTTAGAAATAGATAACATATTTCAAAACCTTTAGCTTTTAAAATAAAGACCCTTAAGGAAAGCACATGTACTTTTTTTTTTTTTTTTTTTATAATTTGAGGGAGAAACCCCTGAAACTTCAAAGCATCGTTTCATACTTTTATACAACTCGCATTTTACATAACTCATGTTCTGTAAAGCAGATCATAAAGTTACTTTTTAAAAGAACGTTACTAAAATAAAGTTACAATAAGCATCTTTTCTGGTTATATTTTCTATCACCACCTTATATCTCCACTTTCTGTTTTGTTGGGGATGAATATGGTGCAAGCAATTTTCTCTGCTAAAACCAAAGTATGCAAGGAAATTAAAACCTCTCCTTTGAAATGTATCACCGAGAGTCAGATTCTATCCAGAAATAAATTGTGAACATGATTCTATAAAACACGTACTCTAGACTTAGAATTTCTGAGAGACTTAAGTGAAGAAAGTGAGGATGTTGATGGGATGAAATGAATAGGCTCACTTAAAATGACACATTGAGCTCGTGAAATTTTCTTAAGCAGATTTTGCCCAAGTAGAAGACTAAAAGTTGTCTCTTTTCAAACATGCTTCAAAATCTAACATTTCTAAAGGCTTCGCAGTTGTGATTGGCCTGTCTACAAGCTTTAGGAAGTCTTTGCTGCTACCTAAGCAACAAAGATTCAACAAGACAAAGGCAACAGTGTTGAAAGGAAAAATAATAGGTGAAATTTAAAAGGGATCACTGCAGAGGACCAAGAACACCCAAACCTAGACACTCGTTTTTCTCCTGGCCCTAGGGAAATATATGCATGGAGGATAACAGCCAAAGGACATTCACTGTTACTATTAACTTTGGGGCCCAAACCGCAATGTAAAACTGGAATGACCTGTCCTTGAAGGCGGCGAGCGCAGGCACCATGGTGGATGGCAAGGAGGCTGCTCCCGGGGAGGTGCTTGTTTCAGGAATACACAGGCAGCTGACTTCGCAGAGCAGCCTAGCCCCTGAGGTCTTCTTGGAGTTCATCCTTCACCATCTACCCATTGACCACAACCGGCTGCCTGAATGAGCTGCTGTCCCTCTCTGTGGTCTGTGCCCACCATCTCCTCCTGGGCTTCAGTTACAATAAAGGCCTTTCAGACAAAGTGATGGAACTGGCTGGTGGGGTTGAAGTGGAAGGCCTGCCACAGTTTACTACCAGAAGTGATTCAATGAATGAGTAGAGCTAAGGCAGAAGACCAATCACACTGTCTTCATCAGCTACAGGGGCTTAGAAAGGAGGCTGGGATGAATGGGATGCCAACCCCAGCAGCTCTCTTAAAAACTCCTGCTACCACCAACAAAGAAAGAGGCAGGTGGAATGAAAAGGAATCTGTCTAGATTGGCTTTTTTTTTTTTTAAGTTCTCATTCTTCCAGTAGCTATCACTGTAAAAGTCTGCATGAATATTTATGTATTCATAAATCATGCACTCTAAGATGAGTTCATCAACATTGTAAAAGCTCTTCTTTTTTTATTTTAGTTTTTAAATGTCAAACTTTGTGTTTAAAATGCGCTTTTTTGTTGATGTAATAATAGCAAGTAATGAAATTTGTTGTTTGGATTTTTTAGCAGTGGAGGGAAAAAAAGTGTGGGGGCAAAAACTGAAATGACTTAGGCTGGAGTACTCCTTTTGAAGATTTCTGAAAACAGATTCAATAACATCTATCTAATCCCCCAAAACCTGGGCACAATCTGTATTATATCAAGAGCTTAAATACAGTGTTTTCGATGAATCATATAAACAGCACAAAAGGTTAAGGATTATGTTGTCTGTTAAAGAGGAATTTAAAATCAGAGCTCTTGGGTTCCCATTCTTCGCAATTTCACGCTCATTCTTTGGATGCCTCCTCTCTTATTCCTCACTGGGAGTCATCTCACGATGATGTAGATGTACTTGAATACCTGGAGAGAGGGAACTCTCTCCAAACCCGCATTTCTTATGGGGGCCACGCTGTATAACTACATCTATCTCTAAAATTGTAGATGACTGCTTAAGTAGTCCAAAGTCCAGGGTATATATCTAAGTTATTGATATGGTTTGGCTGTGTCCCCACCCAAATCTTACCTTGAATTGTAATAATCCCCACATGTCAAAGGTGAGGCCAGGTGAAGATAATTGAATCATGGGGACAGTTTCCCCCACACTGTTCTCATGGTTGTGAATATGTCTCATGAGATCTGATGGTTTTATAAATGGGAGTTCCCCTGCACAAGCTCTCTTGCCTGCTACCATGTCAGACATGCCTTTGTTCCTCATCTGCCTTCCATCATGATTGCAAGGCCTCCCCAGCCATGTGGAACTGTTGAGTCAATTAAACCTCTTTCCTTTATAAATTACCTAATCTCAGGTATGTCTTTATTAGCAGCATGAGAACAGACTGTTCTATAATGCCTTCTTCTCCAAAACAAATATAAAGAGGACTTGGCCACCTTCTTCTAAAATGTCTAATATTACTATATCACCAGCCTCCTTTTTCTGAGTTAGAATTTAGTCTAGCATCATAAATTCTCATATTGCTTTCTCTACTTTCTTTTATATCTAGCAAACTCACCAAAATGCAGTATCACATTTTTGACCCTATAGAGGCAATAGGCACTTCCATTCTTTTTACTTTTTATGTAGGTTCTAGATAATTTGGGGGTCAAAGAGGAAGGAAGGTCAAGAGAAAAATAATGGCACAAGAATACTGCAATAATTTGCAAACAGTTCTTTTAAATGAATTATCTTTATAATGTGGGCACTATTGTTATATAAAAACAATTCAACAGTTTTAAAATGTGTGATAAATATTAGGGAACATATAATTGTAAAACTTTATCACTTCCCTTTTAAAGATAAGAGGAAAAACAGTGGTTGGAAGAAGTAATTTAGAAAAATTTGTCTTAGTGAATAAGCGTATCTAACATTTTCTTTCAGTGGTTCTCTGCCAAGAGTGATCTTGCCCTCCACCCCTACACCAGTGGATATTTGGCCATGTCTGGAGATATTTTTGATTTTCACAACTCCGGGGGGTGGGAGGGCATTTCTACTGACGTCAAGTGGGTAGAGGCCAGGGATGTGAAACACCCTCCAATGCACAGGGCAGGCCCTGCTGCAGAGAATGTTTTGGCCCCAAATATCTATAGTATCATAGCTGAGAAACCCTGCTCTATTTTATTAATGGAAGAACAACAAAAAGAGGGTAGACTGAGTTCTTTAGGAAATACTTTCACAATCCCTAAATGGGTCACCTCAACTCCAGGGCACTCATCTGCTCAGGTGTTAGTATTATGGAGACAGATACCAAGAGTCCAGTGTTCCCAATCAATCCTGTCTTCATCCATTCTTTATATTTTTAACTCCACCAGCTCCAAATCGTTCAGTCTCCTCTAGTAATTGGACCAACTCTGCCCCCTGCCTATGATTTAAACAGCTGGAAGCTTGACTTTCACATGCAGAAATCAGAAGTCTTGAAGCTCAAGGAAGCAAAAAATCTGTGCAGATGCTTAAAAATAGCCTGGCTCAAAGAGCGTCAAGAGGTAGACACTCTAATCATAAACATTAGGGTGCATGTTCTAAAAATGTTCTGAGTAGAATCTGAAAATCTAGCAGAAAGTCCTTTGTCAGTTTGATTTTACATGAAAATCAGGCTCTGAAGCATTCAAGGTTATACTCCTAATTTGTAGGAACTCTCAGAGAACACTATCTTACGCAGCTTAACTTTCAGCTGCCACCCTCATGGTGTTTTGCTTCTTATACCGATTTACTATTATCATACTTCTGTTTCTTTTTTTTTCTTCAGTATAATGTGGGAAAATGACTTTTGTGGACATTCCTACTGTGAATATTTGCATTTTTGAACATTATCTGAATGGCATCACGAATTCACACCATCTGAAATCACAGAGCCTTGCAGGTAGCAATCAGAATAATTTTACACAGATAGAAATTTTATGCTGAGCAGAAAACCATGGCAGTCACAGTCTGAAACACAAAAGAAAGCAGCCATAGAAGTGCAGTAAAAAGTAAACATTTGCCTAAAACAGTAAAAATAAAAAAGCTTCGGTTTAGAATCATATCATTCTATTGGAGTCATTTGTATTTTTTGCATGCAAATGTATGTTTTAAAATAAATGCATGAATATATGTATACACAGGTATAAATATACATCTACACACATGCATATGTATTTCTCCAGAAAATTTTTATTAGTCGATATTTATATTCTTATCATCAACAATAACTTTAAAATATATGTGTAATAGTGGGCATTATAGAAATGAGTGCCAAATGCCTAGTCTGAGGGGGTGTCAGAACGGAACAATCAACTCCAGATATGTGCTCACGTCAATCTGAAAAGGAACAAGCCCCTTTTCAGTGTATATTATATTTTCACACTAAAGCCTTGTTCTTTAAGGAATACATTTTTTTCTGTCATCCCAAAACCAAAAAAAGATAATATAAGTAATTGATTCTTAAATTACTGCTAAGTCTTCCATAATCAACATCAATACAAAATGAGGGAACTCTGCCCAAAAGAAAGAGAAAATATGTAAGGTGAAAAGAAAAGAAATAGCTGTTAAGGGAGTAATGTCCAATGGGACCTGATATTAAAGAGAAGGCCACAATGTCATAGAGGATAGTTTTTAATATAGAGTTTAAAATATCTGCATTCTACTTCAGCCCCATTTTTTTGAAGGGGGAAGAGTGCAGTTACTTCTTTAAGCCACAATTTCATCACCTGTAAAACAGGATAAGCAAATATATGCAAAAGTACAATGAAAACGTCAAAGAGCCGCACACATATAATTTAAGATTTAATAGTACAGTTGCTAAAAGGAAATTCTTCCAGCAGTGACAACCTCATGTTTAAAGGACGACAGAACATACCTGTGATGAAGAGTGGCCACTTGACTCCATTACTAAAACTATGGTCAGGTCCCCAAGACTTTGTGGCATGGAATCGTTTACCCTCCTCTTCCCTCATGATTCCGAATCAATCAATCATCAGCTAAGAAAAAAGAAAGCCACCCAAGCCAATGAGTTCTACCATCTGAGCAGCTGCTCCAGCTTGTATAAAGTACCATGCACACTGCCATGAACTGTGGAATGGGAACTATTGACATTATCTCATCTATGGACAAATAAAATGATGAGGATGGCAATTCACAATATTTCTAATACACTAACAATAGCTAATACTTATTGGCTGTTTGCCAAGTCAATAAATGTTATTTATCAAGAATGAGGCACTGGGTACGGTGGCTCACGCCTATAATCCAGCATTTTGGGAGGCCGAGGAGGGTGGATCACTTGAGGTCAGGAGTTTGAGACCAGCCTGACCAACATGGTGAAACCCCATCTCTACTAAAAACATGAAAATTAGCTGGGCATGGTGGCGGGCACCTGTAATCCCAGCTACTTGGAATGCTGAGGTGGGAGAATCACTTGAACCTGGGAGGCAGAGGTTGCAGTGAGCTGAGATCACTCCATTGCACTCCAGCCTGGGCAACAAGAGCAAAACTCCATCTCAAAAAAAAAAAAAAATTAAAAGAGGCTAAGTTCCTCACATTGATTTTCGAATTTATAAGAAAACATCCATTCCTTCCATCTTACATATGAAAAACTGACATGACAAAATTAAGTAACTTGCTAAAGGTCATACAGTGCATAAGCTCTAGATTATGCAGTGGCATGTTAATGTTAGATCTAGATTCAGGGTAAGAAAGCCAAGAGACAGAAGAACAAAAAAGGAGAGACTTTTGCAGTGACTACTACATTTAAGGTGTTAAAGACTTGTCAGTAAGAGATAGAAAGTATTGAGCATCGGTTTTTCTAACACTGTTGTTAGTTCTTTTTAACCCCCATGTTTTCTTAGATGAGCCAGATTGCAAAGTCTCTGACATTGGGGAACATGTCTGATACTTTGAATCTACTATGGGACCGGGCACACAAATAAATGTACCTGTCTGAATTAAGCAAGCTTTTTGCAAAGTTAAAATGGGATCTGGTGGTGAATGGGGTGTATTTACAGCTTGAGTCCCACTTACTTTGTGCAGTGGAGGAGTTTTACCCAAGAACAATCAGCGTGTTTTGGCAGCCCCAGGAGAGGCAGGCATGTCTCTTGAGAAAACAAAATTTAATTTTCTTTTTTTCAAGTGGTTCTACACAGATATTAGAGCCTGGGTGAAAAGTTAGCACAAACAACAACAACAAAGAAACCCTAAGAAAGGAGATGCATCACCCAGGATGCTGCAGGCCTTGATGAGCAGGTTTAAAGCAATGGTGACAATTGGAGCTAAAAATTGTCACAAGAATCTGTTGGAAAAGCCCAGGGTTCAAGAGTCACATGATATAAGCTGAGCCTCCCCACAAAGCAGCAGAGGAGAGACCCCTACGACAAACAGAGGTTCCACAAGATGCCCAGATGTGGGGCTGGAACAGGCAGTTGTGCAGCGTGGCTGCTCAGCAAAGTCCTAGGAGGCACAGAAAGCAAACAGCAAGGGGATGGGAAATGTGCAATTGTTGTATGATATTTTTGGTGACTTGAGCTAGTGTTTGCCAATGGGAAAGCATCAGGAAATCCAAAAGGATAAGTTTCACACGTGTCTGAATGGCTCAAACTCAAATACTCACTCAGATTGGAATCAGATCCCCAGGAGGTCACCTGGACCCTTTCTGCCACAAACACAGACTCATACAAGTAACAGGAATAATTTCTTATTTCTCCCAGTTAAATGATGGTGGAGATAAATTAGGTCAACATTTCTTTCTTACAGCTATAAACCATGTTTTTCAGAGATTCACAGTGGTGTCATATTAATATTAATATCATCTTGATTTTGCTGCTTTATGTTAACCCCTGTGTGGTTGTAGGAACCTCCCCATCTCCTTTAATTATAAATGGGAATCCCTGGGGTTCTCTCATTCTCACTGACATTCCTTTTGGCTCCCCTGTGTGACTCCCCGCAGTTATATTTCCTCTCCCATCTGAGCCTCCATTAGGACCATCTATGTCCAGGCGTCAGTTCCCTAAAACCGCATGAAGCTCTCCACCTCCACCTCTGGTACCCACTGGTGTGCAGTTTCCCACTGTGCCTCTAGGGCCACTGCTGTCACCAGTACCACTCATCACTGCCTCGGCCAGGCCCTGCAGGAGCCCTCCAATGCCACTCCACCTGCTGCGTACTGAACCTTTGTGCCCCCCCAAATTCATATATTGAAACCTTAATTCCCAATGTGATATTTTTATATGCAAATGTATATATTTGGAGGTGGGACCTTTGGGAATACATTACATTATGGGAGTGGAGCCCTCATGATGGGATTAGTGCCCTTATAAGAGACATAAGAGAGCTTGCTAGTTTGCTTCCTCTCTCTCTCTCTCTCATTCTCTCTCTCTCTTTCTCACTGCCTTGTGAGGACATACCAAAGAAGAGAGCCCTCACCAGGAACCAAATTGGCTGGCACCTTGATCTTGGGCTTCCCAGAGTCCAGAACGGTGAGAAACAAAATCTGCCATTTAAGCTACCCAGTCTATGGTATTTCTGTTATAACAGCTGCAGCTGACTGACACATCATCTTTCCTGCCTCTGTCCTGATGAGTTCAGCTGGCACACTGGGGCCACGTTCTCTGCAGTACTCAAAGGCTGAGGCCACCACACAGCCTTGTGGTGTCATTGCTGAAATGGGGAACTGCCTCTCTCCCAAGTGTGAACACAGAAGTCAGGATACAGGCACTTCCCTCTACCCCTGAATTGTTGTGACATAATTCTTTCCACTTTCACTCACTGCACTCAAGCAAATTCACTGCAGGGTGGTGGGCAGGAGGCTTCTCTGGCAGTCCACCAGACTCATCGGACTCAGACTGGTTTAGAGCGGCGCCTCACGATGGCATAATGAGTTCTGCCCTACAAACATTACCAGGTTATGTCCAGCACTTGAAGATTATTGGAAGGATATGAATACATGCCTCCTGAGGCTTCATAGCTATTGTGAAAACGTTCTTTGCCAGTCAAGCTTCATTTCACAAAATCAGCATTTCCATTTCAACAAAAATGGCATGTCCAATCCAATTTTGAGTGCTCTTACTCAATGACTTGACAAGCCCCAAAGTCATCTGCTACTGGGGTTTGGTGTTGGGGGGGGAGGTGGGAGGTGGGAGTAGCACGGGAGACACACACCTAAGTGTGGTGGAAGGAAAATGCTGTCCACTCTTCTCCTGGCACCAGCCAGGACTGGAGAGGCCATGGGTGCTCCCTAGAGGATGTTGTCTGCAACTTCTCTGGGAACAAGAGACATACATTCCCTTCCTCAGTGGTAGCCTTGGGGCAGCAGAGGCGTGCTGTGTAAGACAGGAAATCAAAGTGCAGGTGATAGAGGACTCAGAGGGCTTCCAGTTGGGAGCCAGAAACTGCTAACCTTAGAACTTTGTTAGGCTCTGTAACTTGGGCCAGAGGGATATGGTGTGGTAAGAAGAATGTGGGCATTAAAGTGACAGGGGGAGAATTCCCTAACGTCATCGGGAGATAGTAATGCCTCAGATAGTAAATGGACAGTCATTCATAAGGGCCAGAGGCATATGGTGTGGTAAGAAGGACGTGGGCATCGGGGTGACATGGGGAGAATTCTCTAACGTCACTGAGAGATGGAATTGCCTCAGATCGTAATGGATAGTCATTCAGAAGGGCCAGAGGCATATGGTGTGGTAAGAAGGATGTGAGCATTGCCCCAGATAGTAATGGACAGTCATTCAGACTGTGTGTGACAGTGAACAGCCCTGGTGTTGTGCTTACTGCATGGAAGGCACCCCACCACATGCTGTGATTCTTCACGTGCCTCTGCCCTTTATGCGCTCAGCCCATTTTAACAGGACCCGTCTTCAAGAACAGCAAATAACAGGGCAGCTGACATATTGGGTCCACTCTCCTTCCACTAAGGCTCGAAGAGGAAGAAGGAGGAGGGCGTGAATATCCTGGGATAGAGAGAGTGGTGGAGGCAGCAACAAACAGGTGAATCTGCTGAGGGGGCTGCAAGGAAGGGAGAAAAGGCTGAGAATGAGGAGTCGCCTGTTGCTGAGAAAGGCCCTGAGTTTGGAAGTGCATCCACCTGGAGAAAATCCAGCCTGCGTGGACACCATGCCTCTGACTCTGTTTATGTGCTATCTAGTACTTTGTGTCATTTCCTATTCTTCCTCTGCCTTACCATGTAGCCTTTCTGTATTTATCAAAGGATAAATTAGAAAAAAAATAAAGTGCTGTGAACTTCATATTAACCTATTGGTCTCACAGCTAGCTGCATTGCTGGAAAGGTTTATTCACTCAGGAAAGCTGAGTATTGGCCAGTTTTGAAAAGTTATTTATAGATTTCCTTTATCAGTGTTTTCTAAAAACTCCATATTTACATGAAAAAAAACCCACAACAGCTAGTTTTATTTCTTTTCAAACAAACCATCTGTAACCAAGCAGAAGTAGGATTTTATTTATTTATTTTTTGAGACAGAGTCTCGCTCTGTCGCCCAGACTGAGTGCAGTGGGGCGATTTTGGCTCACTGCAACCTCTGCCTCCCAGGTTCAAGCAATTCTCCTGCCTCAGCCTCCTGAGTAGCTGAGATTACAGGCGTGCGCCACCACACCTGGCTAATTTTTTTTTTTTTTTTTTTTTTTTGCATTTTTAGTAGAGATGGGGTTTCGTCATGTTTGCCAGGCTGGTCTCGAACTCCTGACGTCAAGTAATCCACCCACCTTGGCCTCCCAAAGTGCTGGGATTACAGGCATGAGCCACTGCACCCAGCTAGAAGTAGGATTTTAAATGATAGATTTACCCTGGGGATTTCTCCAGAATGCTTGGACAAAACCCACTGAAAGTGAAGCACATGAGTTAGATATATAAAAACTCTCAGCATCAAGAGAAAGGCTCGGGTTCATATTATCTTGCTTATTTGTGGTATTATATAATTTATTGTACATTTTATAAATATGCCAGCCTTGTGAATTGTCTTCATTTCACCACAGAAGCTGCACTGAGTCATTTGCTATCTTGATGCAGGATTTTCTTTTCTGTTTTCATATTTATGAATTTGTCCTCTTGGAAAATATCAAGGTCAGTTTCTGCCATTTGTTGCAAAATGCAGAAGGTTTAACTGAAGGTGATGTTGATTATGCATGCATCCAAATATAGATATGGGTCTTAAATATTCATTTAAAAACTGAAAACTCTTGGGAACACAAAGCCACAAAATAAAACAAAACAGAAAACAAAAGAAAAGCGAAATGAAATATGAAATATGTTTTCTTAACCCTCAGTGTTACACCTTAGGAGATGGCAGGATCTAGTCTGTGCAATGACTGGTTTTCAGGTGGTAAAAACAATCTAAAATGAAAATATGAAGGTGGGCCAGGCACAGTGGCTCACACCTGTATCCCAGCACTTTGGGAGGACAAGGTGGGAGGATCACTTGAGCCCAGGAGTTCGAAACCAGCCTGGGCAACGTGGTAAAACCCCATCACTACAAAACACACAAAAATTAGCTGAGCATGGTGGCATGTGCCTGTAGTCTCAGGTATGTGGGAGGCTGCGGCAGGATTACCTGAGCCCAGGTAATCCTGGGATCACACCACTGCACTTCCAGCCTAGTGATAAAGACTCTGGAAAGAGGGAAGGGAAGGGAAGGAAAGGGAAAAGGGGAAGGAAAGGAAAGGGGAAGGAAAGGAAAGAGGAAGGAAGGAAGGAAAGCAAGAAAGGAAAGAAAAGAAAAGATGAAGGTAACACATAATAGTTTACAAATTAAGTTTTTAAACAAATTGGAGTTTTTACTAAGTTGATGTTTTCTTCACCTGGGGATGCACTTTTTTTATTTTTAAAGAAAATAAGTAGCATTTCCAGCCCCAAAACTATTTTGGAATGAAACACAAAATCAAGGAAGATGTATGACTATGGACAATTTATGAAGTCCCTTTTTATACAGTCAGCTTACATAGCTCTGAAATTCTAACAACTTCCTGGGCACAGCAAGGAGCAAAATAGCAAACACAATAGGTAAACATGGAGAGAAAATATCAGTGACTGATACTCACCAATTGTTTTCCTAACTTTACAAACACATGTACAGAAAGACAGTCTTCAAATTAGAAATCAGAGTAAATAAATCTTAAAAGATAGGAATCATCTGTAGGGGTGGAAGTACACTAACAAAAGCGTGATAGGAAGGTGGAAAACATTCACTTGGGTGCTAGAAGTCAATGGAGAAATGCCTTAAGTGTTCTGAGGAAAACTGAACTGCAATTTGACTAAGGGCAAAATAAAGACATTGTGGACATGCAGGGACTCAGATTTAATACTCACAAGCCCTTTCTTTTTTTAAAATTTTTTATTTCCGCAGATTTTTGGGGAACAGGTGGTATTTGGTTACATGAGTAAGTTCTTTAGTGGTGATTTGTGAGATTTTGCTGCACCTGAGCAGTATACAGTGAACCCAATTAATATTCTTTTATCCCTCACCCTCTTCCAACCTTTTCCTCCTGAGTCCCCAAAGTCCATTGTGTCATTTTTATGCCTTTGCATCCTCATAGCTTAGCTCCCACTTACGAGTAAGAAAACACAATGTTTGGTTTTCCATTGCTGAGTTACTTAGAATAATAGTCTCCAGTCCCATCCAGGTTGCTGTGAATGCCATTAATTCATTCCTTTTTACGACTGAGTAGTATTCCATCATACACACACACACACACACACACACACACACACACACACACACACACACACACCACAGTTTCTTTATCCACTCGGTCATTGATGGGCATTTGGGGTAGTTCCATAAATGCACAAAAGTGCAGTGGCATATTTGCAATTGCAAATTGTGCTGCTATAAACATGTCACACACCCTTTTATAGAGAGTATTATCCACCAAAACCAGGGAATAAATCAAGCAATAAATTAAGGAAGCTGTGGCTCCAACAATGGAGCTGGGAAGGGAGGGTCCTGGATGGCCACTGGGTTGCTGGAGATGAGTGCATCCAGATTAGAGAGAGAGAAGGTGGGCCCCAGGGAGATTTCCAGGAAAAAAAGAAAATTAATGGGCCATCTGACTTTTTTATGTGATTTTTTCTGGTATTACTATCTTTTTATTGTGGTTAAGTGTATAGCATAAAATGTACCATTTTAACTATTTTTAAGTGTACAGTTTAGTGGCATTAAGTACTTTCATATTGTTAGGCAACCATTAATGCCATTGCCAGAACTTTTCCATCTCCTCCAACTGAAACTTTCTGTCTGTTAAAGACTAACTTTTCATTCCACCTCCTCCCAGCCCAGGGCAACCACTATTCTACTTTCTGTCTTGATAATTTTGAATACTTTAGGTACCAGATATCAGAGGTATAATCATATGATATTTGTCTTTTTATGACTGGCTTATTTCACTTAGCATAATGTTCTTGAAGTTCATCCATGTTTCTTTTTTTAGGCTAATATTTCATTGTATGTAGATACCACATTTTGCTTATCCATTCATCCATTGATGGACATTTGGGTTGTTTCCAGCTTTTAGCTATTGTGAATAATGCTGCAGTGAACATCGGTGTAGAAGTATCTGTTCCAGTCCCCAATTTCAATTCTTTTGGGTATACACTAGAAGTAGAATTGCTGGGTCATATGGTAATTCCATGTTTAATTTTTTGAGAAATCACCATGCTATTATCTACAACAGCTCCACCATTTTACATTCCCACCAGCAATATACAAGGGTTCCAATTTCTCCACATGCTTGCCAACACTTCTTATTTTCTGTTTTCTTGATAATAAGCAACCTAATGGGTGTGAAGTGGCATCTTATTGTACTTTTCATTTGCGTTTCCCTAATGATTCATGATATTGAGCATTTTTTCATATGCTTATTGGCCATTTGTATATCTTATTTGGAGAGATGTCTATCCAGGTCAGGTCCTATGCCCATTTTTCAATTGGGTTGTTTGTTTTGTTGTTGTTGAGTTGTATGAATTCCTTACATATTCTGGATAATAATCCCTTATCAGATACAAAATTTGCTAATATTTTCTCCCATTCTGTGGGTTACTTTTTCACTCTGTTGATAATGTCCTTTTCTCAGAGGCATGTGAACCAGAGCAACTCCATGTTGAATAGGAGCTGGGTAAAATGAGGCTGAGACATACTGCATTTCCAGATGGTTAAGGCATTCTAACTAACAGGATGAGATTAAAGGTCAGCACAAGATACAGGTCATAGAGACCTTGCTGATACAACAGTTTGCAGTAAAGGAGCTGGCCAAAGCCCACCAAAACAAAGATGGCAATGAGAGTGACCTGTGATTGTCCTCACTATTACACTCCCACCAGAGCCATGACGGTTTACAAATGCCATGGCAACATCAGGAAGTTACCCTCTGTGGTCTAGAAAGGGGAGGCATGAATAATCCACCCCCTTGTTTAGCATATAATCAAGAAATAACCATAAAAATGGGCTGCTCTGTCTATGGAGTAGCCGTTTTTTAAATTCCTTTACTTTCTTAATAACCTTGTTTTCACTTTACTCTATGGACTCACCCTGAATTCTTTCTTTTGTGAGATCCAAGAAGCCTCTCTTGGGCTCTGGATTAGGACCCTTTTCCTGCGACACCAGTCTTTCACCTCCGCGGTTAAGTTTATTCCAGCATTTTATTCTTTTGATGCTATAATAAATAGAATTGTTTTTAAATTTCCTATTTGGATTATTCATTGTTAGCGCATAAAAATGCAACTTATTTTTGTGTGTTGATTTTGTATCCTACAACTTTGCTGAATGTATCAGCTATAATCATTGCGTGTGTGTGTGTGTGTGTGACATGTGAGATCATATGTTCTGTGAACAGAGCTACTTTTACTTCTTCCTTCCAAAGTGAAAATGAATTTTTAATTTCCTTTTATTGCCTAATTGTTCTGGCTAGGACATTCAGGACTATATTGAAAGTGATGAAAGTGGTGAACGCAGGCATGCTTGCCTTGTTCCTGATCTTGGAGGAAAAGCTTTCAGTCTTTCACAATTGAGTATGATGTTAGCTGTGAGTTTTTCACATATAGCGTTTATTATATTGAGGTAGTTTTCTTCTATTCTTCACTTCCTGAGTGTTTTTATCATGAAAGAATATTGAATTTTGTCACATGCTTCTTATGCATCGAGAGGATCATATGCTGTTGTTTTTCATTCTATTAATATGGTGTGTTACATTGACTGATTTTCATATGCTGAATGAAAGGTCACAATTGATAGACCTTTAGCTAGAATGACTAAGAAAAAAGGAGAGAAGTCTCAAATAACTAAAATCAGAAATGAAAGAGGGGACATTATGACTGATTTTACAAAAATAAAAAAATTATAAGGAAGTAACAATTATATGTCAGCAAATTAGATAACCTAGTGAAATGAACAAATTCCTAGAAACACAGAACCTACCAAGACTGAATCATAAAGAAATGAAAAATCTGAATAGACCTAAACTAAAAGGTGATTGCATCAGTAATCAAAAACCTCTAAACAATGAAAACTCAGGAGCAGATGGCTTCACTGGCAAATTCTACCAAACATTTAGAGAATAGTTTATACCAATCCTTCTCAAACTCTTTCAAAAAATTAAAGAGGAGGGTACACTTCCTAATTCATTCTATGAGTCCAGCATTACCATGAAACCAAAACCAGACAAAGGCACTACCAGGAAGGAGAACTACAGACCAATATCCCTGATGAATATTCATGCAAAAATTCTCAATAAAATACTAGCAAACTGAATTCAACGGCATATAAAAAGGATTATACACCATGAACAAGTGGGATTTATTCCTGGAATGCAAGGCTGTGCCAACTAGACTGCACTGTTGAGTGCCCAGATTAAACCTTATTTCTGGGTGTGTCTGTGAGGGTGTTTCTGGGTGAGATTAGCATTTGAATCAGTGGACTCAGTAAAGTAGATGGCCTTCCCAGTGTGGGTGGGCCTCATCCAATCCACTGAAGATCTGAATAGAACAAAAGGTGAAGGAAGGATCAATTTGCTCCTTTTTCTTGTCTGCCTGCTTGAGCTGAGACATTGTTACCAGAAAGGGGTCCCAATCCAGACCCCAAGAGAGTGTTCTTGGATCTCGCACAATAAAGAATTCAGGGCAAGTTCATAAAGTGAAAGCAAGTTTATTAGGAAAGTAAAGGAATGAAAGAATGACTACTCCATAGACAGAGCAGCCCCAAGGGCTGCTAGTTGCCCATTTTTATGGTTATTTCTTGGTTATATGCGAAACAAGGAGTGGATTATTTATGCCTCCCCTTTTTAGACCATATAGGGTAACTTCCTGATGCTGCCATGGCATTTGTAAACTGTCATGGCGCTGGTGGGAGTGTAGTAGCCAGGACAACCAGAGGTTACTCCTGTCTCCATCTTGGTTTTGGTGGGTTTTGGCCAGCTTCTTTACTGCAATCTGTTTTATCAGCAAGGTCCGTCTGACCTGCATCTCATGCTGACCTTTTATCTCATCCTGTAACTAAGAATGCCTTAACTGTCTGGGAATGCGGTCCAGCAGGTCTCAGCCTCATTTTACACAGCCCTTGCTCAAGATACAGTCACTCTTGTTTGTACATCTTCTGACAATGTCAGTCTCCTGCCATTGGTTTAGGATTTACACCATCAGCTCCCCTGATTTTTAGGCCTTTGGACTTGGGCTGGAATTACACTACAAGGTTTCCTGAGTTTCCAACTTGCAGACAGCAGGTCTGCAGTTCTCAGCCTTCATAATCATGGGTGCCAACTTCTGATAATAAATCTCCTTTTATATTTACCCTCTGTCTCTCTCTCTCTCTCTCTTTCTGTCTCTATCTATCTGTCTTTAATTTCCCTTTGGTTCTGTTTCTCTGGAGATTCCCAACTAATGAAATTTTAATCAAATACAAAAACAGTACTCAGAGGCTATGCCCCCACTTCATGTGACTAATGTCACAAATCATATCTTTATAATACTATGTTATGCTCATTAACATAGATTTATAATTATTTATTACATACTTATCTCTTAAATTCTGTATAAAATAAAAAAATTAGTTATAAACAAAAATTACAATAATACTGTTGTTTTCTATTTATCCATGTATTTACTTTTACTGAAGAATGTCATATTTTTGTATGGCTTTAAGTTTCTGTCTAGTGTTTTTTCATTTCAACTTAAATAACCCATTTTTGGCATTTCTGGTTGGACAAGTCTATGGTAATGAATGCGTTCAGCTTTTGTTTGGGAATATATTAATTCTTCCTTCTTTTTTTTTTTTTCTGAGACAGATTCTCTCTGTGTCACCCAGGCTAGAGTGCAGTGGCATGATCTTGGCTCACTGCAACCTCCTCTCCCTGGGTTCAAGTGAGTCTCGTGCCTCAGCCTCCCAAGTAGCTGGGACTACGGGTGTGGCCGCCACACCTGGCTAATTTTTTTTGTAATTTTAGTAGAGACAGGGTTTCACCATGTATGCCAGGCTGGTCTCAAACTCCTGACCTCAAGTTATCCACCTGCCTGGGCCTCCCAAAGTGCTTGGATTACAGGTGTGAGCCACCTTGCCTGGCCTTCCTTCATTTTTGAAAGACAGTTTTGCCCTACACAAAATCCTTCGTTGATTTTTTTTCACTCCAGCAGTTTAAATATATAATGTTATTCCTTCTGGCCTTTAAGGTTTCTGCTAAGAAATCGACTGATAATCTTACTGAGGCTTCCTTGTACATGGTGAACATCACTTTTCTCTTGCTGCTTTCAAACTTCTCTGTCATTTGCTTTTGACAATTTGATTATAGTGTGTCTCATTGTGGGTCTCTTTGGGTTTATCCCACTTAGCGTTCATTGAGCTTCTTGGATAACATAGCCATGCCTTTCTCCTAATTTGGGACGCTTTCAGCCATTATTTCCTCAAATAATCTATCTCCCCCTTTCCCTCTCTTTCTTCTCCTTCCGCAATTTTTACAATCCTGTGTTGGTCTGTTTGATGGTGTCTCATAAGTCTCATAGGCCCTATTCACTTGTCTTCATTCTTTTTGCTCCTCAGACTTGATAATTTCAAAAGATTTGACTTCATGTTTGCTGATTCCTTCTGTTTGTTTGAGTCAGCTGTTGAACCTCTCTAGTGAGTTTTTCAATTCAGTTCTTACGTGTTTTACTTCCAGAATTTCCTTATTGTTGTTACTAATTTCTGTCTGTGGAAGTTTTTATTTTATTCCTACATTGTTTTTCTAATTTCCTTTAGCTCTTTGAGCATACTTAAGAGAGTTGTTTTAAAGTAAGTTTGAGATGTGTGTTACTGCAGGGATTGTTTCTGCAGTTGTATTGTGTCCTTTTGAATGGGTTACGTTTTTCTGTTTCCTTGCATCCCTTGTGATTTAAGTTGGGTATTTAAAAAAACAGCCACCTTCTCCAATCTTGCAAACTGGCATGGAAAACCTTCAGTAATTTACGAGCCCCTGAGCCTCAATATCAGACTGGGGTTATGGTTTAAAGTCTTCTCAGGTCTTTTCTGAACATGTGTCCTGACTTGGTCTATGTGTGTGTTTCCCCCACCACCCACCCTAATTATCTCTGGCTGCATTGAAAAGTCTTGATTCCCCAGAGTCTCATCCTAGCTTCCTATGGCCTTAGATGTCCTATTGTAATGCTCTGTGCATACTGTCTTGCCCCCAAGTGCCCATGGATCTGCATTCCCTTTGCAGTTTTCATGTACACACCCGCCACTGCCTTCTACAGCTTCTAGCCTGAGATCCAAAATATGCCAGTGTCCCCTATCTGAGCTCTGAGTCAGGCAAGGCAAGACCAGACCCTCAGGTGACCCACAGAAAGGTCAGAATGTTGCAAACAATTCTACCCTGCTCTTTCCATCCCAAAGGGAAAACCAGGAATTAGGCTACTTCCTCCAGATTTCACCATGCTGGGAAGGTGAGACAAGGTAAGTAAAAATGCTATGAAATGTCCCACCATGTTGAAGGTAGATTTCTCTTGGTTGAGCTTTTGTTTGGTTGCTGTAGATCTTTGACTTGTTTTCAGAGTTCCTATAAAGTTATTTTTGTCACCCTAGCGGTTTATTTGGTGTTTCTATGGGGGAACAAGGGCCTGAAGCTTCCTCATCCACTAACCTGCTGATGTCATTGTTAATAAAACATTTCGAAAGAAAATTGATGATGGGTGAATAGCACATGAGAAGGTACAGTTATATGTGTGGCTTCATTCCATTTAATTCCTCTGTCAAGAAAGAATCAACTAGAACCCGAAGACAGCCCAGTTAATTCAACTGGTTTTGTGAGGAAAAAAATACTGTATTAGTATGTGTATATCTATTTCATTCAATTCAATCTAACTTAACAAGTTTGTTTTAGCCCCTATAATTAGCAAAGAAAATAAAATATTTGGGTAGTTGTATAAAAAAGCAATGCATAGATAAAAGAAAAATAATAAAGAATAAATTTATGAAAAGAACCAAAAGGAACATTTGGGGAAAATTTATGAAATGTTAGCTAACCCTCATAACAATAGTTTATTTCATAAGTGTTGAAATGGAATATGAATAAGCAGAAAAAATGTGAGTACAATTTAGGAGCTATTGATGAACTCTAAAAGTGTGAAAAGCAGAGGTAATATAAAACATGTACTTCCGTTGGGCCCAGTGGCTCATGCCTGTAATCCTAGCACTTTGGGAGGCCAAGGCGGGGTGGGGGAATAACTTGACAGCAGTTCAAGACCATCCTGGGCAACATGGTGAAACCCTATCTCCACTGAAAAAATTAAAAAATTAGGGCCAGGCGTGGTGGCTCATGCCTGTAATCGCAGCAGTTTGGGAGGCCGAGGCGGGTGGATTGCTTGAGGCCAAGAGTTCAAGACCAGCCTGGCCAACATGATGAAACCCTCTCTCTACTAAAAATACAAAAAATTAGCCCTGCATGGTGGCAGGTGCCTGTAATCCCAGCTACTTGGGAGGCTGAGGCAGGAGAATCACTTGAACCTAGGAAGTGGAGGTTGCAGTGAGCCGAGATCACACCATTGCACTCCAGCCTGGGAAACAAGAGCAAAACTCCATCTCAAAAAAAAAAAAAAAAAAAATTTAAGAAGTTAGTTGGATGATTTATGTTCCAGATCCCTGAGGAATCGCCACACTGACTTCCACAATGGCTGAACTAGTTTACAGTCCCACCAACAGTGTAAAAGTGTTCCTATTTCTCCACATCCTCTCCAGCACCTGTTGTTTCCTGACTTTTTAATGATCGCCATTCTAACTGGTGTGAGATGGTATCTCACCGTGGTTTTGATTTGCATTTCTCTGAAGGCCAGTGATGATGAGCATTTTTTCATGTTTTTTGGCTGCATAAATGTCTTCTTTTGAGAAATGTCTGTTCATATCCTTCGCCCACTTTTTGATGAGTTTGTTTTTTTCTTGTAAATTTGTTTGAGTTCATTGTAGATTCTGGATATTAGCCCTTTGTCAGATGAGTAGGTTGCAAAAATTTTTTCCCATTCTGTAGGTTGCCTGTTCACTCTGATGGTAGTTTCTTTTGCTGTGCAGAAGCTCTTTAGTTTAATTATAAATCATGCTGCTATAAAGACACATGCACACGTATGTTTATTGTGGCACTGTTCACAATAGCAAAGACTTGGAACCAACCCAAATGTCCAGCAATGATAGACTGGATTAAGCAAATGTGGCAAATATACACCATGGAATACTATGCAGCCATAAAAAATGATGAGTTCATGTCCTTTGTAGGGACATGGATGAAGCTGGAAACCATCATTCTCAGCAAACTATCGCAAGGACAAAAAAACAAACACTGCATGTTCTCACTCATAGGTGGGAATTGAACAATGAGAGCACATGGACACAGGAAGGGGAACATCACACACCGGGGACTGTTGTGGGGTGGGGGGAGTGGGGAGGGATAGCATTAGGAGATATACCTAATGCTAAATGACAAGTTAATGGGTGCAGCACACCAACATGGCACATGTATACATATGTAACAAACCTGCACGTTGTGCACATGTACCCTAAAACTTAAACTATAATAATAATAAAATAAAATAAATTAGTTGGGCGTGGTGGCACATGCCTGTGTTTCCAGCCTCTAGGGAGGCTGAGGTGGGAGGATTACTTGAGCCTGGGAGGCGGAGGTTGCAGGAAGCCGAGATTACGCCACTGCACTCCAGTCTGGGTCACAGAGTGAGACTCTGTTTCAGGAAAAAAAACACAAAAATCCCACAAACAAACAAAAACCTTACATATTATTTCTTTCTTCTATACTCTTTTCATTACTACTTCTGCTGTTTTCCATGTACCTCCATTTCCAAAAAAAAGATTTCCTAAGTAAAAGTAAAAATACTTGGGATAAGTTATACCCCAAATAAAGCATGGCTGTTTACTAAATATAATAAACCACTTAGGAAAACCATTTTGGTAAACCATTGATTTTTGAAATTTAAATATTGGAATCAAGAAGGAAACAAACCTCCAAGAGGCTACATTCAGGTGAACCTCTCCAGCTTATTTGAGCTCAAACCAAAGTGATAGATTAGCTTAACAACAATCTTTCCAGAAAGTTGTATAGTTTCCCAATTACATTTTATTAGTTTGATTGAAATCTACTCTCTTTTTAACTACTTTTCTTCATTTGTTGAATATGTATTTGTTATGAACTGAATGTTTATATTCTCCTAAATTCATATGTTGAATTCCCAATGTGATGGTATTTGAAGATGGGACTTTTGGGAGACAATTAGGTTTAGATAATATCATGAGGGTGGGGCTTTCATGATGGAATTAATGCCCTTCTAAGAAGAAATATGAGAGCTTGCTCTCTCTCCAAGGCCACCACCTCACCTGCCATGTAAGGACATGGCAATAAGGTGGCCATCTACAAGCCAGCAACAGAGCCATGCTGGTACCTTGGGCTGAGATTTCTAGCCTCCAGGAATGTGAGAAAGTAAATTTCTGTTGTTTAAGCCGCCTAATCCATGGTATTTTGTTATGGCAGCCTGAGCAAATTAAGAAGTATTTACTGAGCACTTTCTATGTGCCCAGTATTGGGGTAAATGCTGAATGTGAAATAAAAGTAAGACACAGTCATTGATCTTAAGAATCAGAGTCTGTCTTGGGCAACTGACATATAAACCAGTAATTTAATACCAAATGATCGGTGCTGCAGTAGGCCAAAACACAGAGCCCTGTGTGAGTACAGAGGAGAAAGCCTTCATATCTGCTATCATCCAGTGGCTCTATTTCATGTTCGAAAATGTCCTTAAGCCTCTTATAATTCAAAAATTCTGAGGTCCTGCCTGCATGATGGTGAGTTTTCATGTTGTGTGTTTGGGACTCATCTCCTATCTTTTAATGCAAGATGCATCAGTGCATGAGTTAATGTCTCTGTATTTTCTTCCCAGTTTGGCATTTGACCAGACTTTGGGATAGTCACACCTCTCCAGCTTTTTGTCAGTTTTTCCATCTGTAAATTGAAATGTTAATATTTATCATAAACTTCTGTACATGGATAAATTAAACAATAGGATAGCGCTCAAAGTGGGAAGGGTAAAAACAAGCAAGAAGATTCGTATTCCATTAAGGTGATAAAAATGATGTAGGGCAATAAATAACAAATAAAATTGATAAGGCTAATTCTCTTAAGTCAGTGCTTGTTAGATTACGATGGGCACATAAAGCACATGCAGCTCTTGTTAAAATGCAGGTTTTGATTCAGAAAATCTGGGATCGTCTCAAGATTCTGTGTTTCTAACAGGCTCCCCAGGTAGGCCGATGCTTCTGCCAGGTAGACTACACTATGAGCAGCAAGATTTCAATGATTTCAGGCCCTACTGTAAGTGCAGGTATAATTTTCATAATTTCTAAATGTTTATTTACTTACCAGAGCCACTAAGGCATCACTTAAGATGGTGGTTCTCAAACTTTTTGGTTTCAGAACCCCTTTTACAATCTTAAAAACTACTGTGGAGCGCTTATATCTACCTGTACTTACCACATTTGAAATTAAAATTGAGAAAATTTTAGAACACAAGAGTATATCACCACATATCGTATTATTTTTCAGACTCATCATGTTATTCCATATCCTGTAGCCTCAAGAAAACACTACTCTACACTCATGAGAGACTGAGAATGAAAAAGCAAATGGTGTTTACTACTATTATGAAAATTCTTTTGACCTCCCTGATCCCTTGAAAGAAATGGCTGATTAAGACATTTTCCTTCCTTCCTCCCTTCCTCCCATCCTTCCCTCTCTCCCTTCCTCCCTTCCCTTCCTCTCTGCCCCCCTCCCTCCCTCCCTCTCTGCCCCCGTCTCTCTTTCTTTGTTTTTTGTTTCTTTCTACATAAGATCTCATTCTATCACCCAGGCTGCAGTGTAGAGGTGCAATCGCAGCTCACTGTAGCCTAGAACACCTAAACACAAGTGATTCTCCTGCCTGAACCTCCTGAGTAGCTGGGACTACAGGTGTGTGCCACCACGCCCGGCTAATTAAAAAAAAAAAATTTTTTTTTTTTTTTTTTTTTTTTTTTTTTTTTTTTTTTTTTTTATAGATAGTATCTCACTATATTGCTCAGGCTGGTCTCAAACTCCTGGCCTCAAGTGATTCACCTGCCTGGGCCTCCCAAAATGCTGGGTTTACAGGTGTGAGCCACTGCACCTGGCCAAGACATTGTTCTTTCAATATACATAGCTGTACCACAAACACTACTAAATTAATCAGAAAACAATCTATGGTCATTTAATTAACTTAAAGATGCCTTTCTTGAGAACCTAGTATATACAAATCAAGGTATCCAAGTTTTCCCATTAAAAATGTATGATTAAAGCTGTAGTTCTTATCTCTGGGAACTTTTAAAAAAATATCAATCTGATCTCCATTCAGATCAATTAAATTAATATCCCTGGAAATTAATACTGTTTAAAAAACTAAGAGGTGATTCTAATTTGCAGCCAGAATTAAAAACCACCACTAGGTTAAGGAAGCAGGATATAAAGTACAGAGGCCCAAAGTAGAAGAAAGTGTGCACATGGGGTCAACATTGCTTAGGGGTCAGATGGACCAGGTCAGAGTCTCGGTACTATTGTTATCTAGCTGTGTGATCTTACACAATAAGCTTATCATCTCTCACTTTCAATTTCTTTAACTATAACTTGGGATAGTAATGGTTCAAACTTATATAGGGTTGTTGTGAGGATTAAATGAGGAAAAGCATGGAAAGCACATGGTAAATATTCATCAAATATTAGCATTATTAATAGAGACATTAAGCACTGCAAAATCTAACCAGACAAACTATGAATTAAACACGTTATGTTGGGATGGAAGGTAGGTTGCAAACATTTGATATGGACCTGGAAGGAAGATAAAATTAATCTGAAGGCAATTGCCACTCTTACTATCACCCCTGGCACAAATTGGCTTAACACAGCTTGGGGTATGATTGAATAGCGTGTTTTTGTTTTTGCTTCTTTAATCCTTGATGGAGAAAAGGAGCCAAAGTAGTAGGTTTAGCAGCAAGGATTTTTGTCTACCGCTGATGGGTTCTGAAAGGGTTTGTTGATCTCCAACACTAGATCTTTCACATCCTGAGAAAGGAGCTCCCCTGAAACCATAATAAACCAGCCAGGCTATACTGCATAAACAGTCCCATTTACTGTTAGTATATAAACATTGCTTTGGCATTAATATAGAAAATATGAATCAGAGGGTCTTATTCATAAATACAATATTTGGATAAGAAGAAAAGCCACCGTAGAGTTAATTTGCCTGTAAAGTCAAAGGGAAAAAAGAGGTGGAAGTAGAAATTCTGCTGTCAGCTTCAAGTAATACTTTGGATACACGGCAATTATCTGGTTAATCTGGTCAGTGTGGAAAAATTCAAGAACTCTTTCAAATTGGCTAGCCACACCGACCAAAGTATTCAAATAAGTAACAAATCTCTACTTTGTATTGGGGAGAGGGGTAATGTTAAAAATATGTAATAAAATGGTACAATATGAAAAAATGGTACAGTATAGGAACTAACAATCACAGCAGATAATTGCCCAAGCAGACCCAATGTCAACTGTAAATATATGGTTCATCTGTACTTAGGTGTACCCACTAACTATCAGCTTTAGGGTGGGTGTCATCTCTTGTCTCTTTTTTCTTAGCACTCTTTCATGAAAATTAACTCTTCAAGATATGTTACCTAAATATTTAAGGATCCCAGCTGGTTTTATGTACTCATCATTTTAACCACTTAACAACAACAAACAGTCTTTATTTTTTATTGTAGAGACATCTGAAGCAAAATAAAGAATTTTAATGCTCTGTGTCTTTTCAAAATAGATCATTTAGAATACTGTTAAGATTGTTTTGCTGGGCATGGTGGCTCTCACCTGTAATCCTAGCACTTTGGGAGGCCAAGGTGGGTGGATCATGAGGTCAGGAGTTCAAGACCAGCCTGGCCAAGATGGTGAAACCCCGTCTCTACTAAAAATACAAAAAATTAGCTGGGCACGGTGGCAGGCACCTGTAATCTCAGCTAGTCGGGAGGCTGAGGCAGGAGAATTGCTTGAACTCGGAGGGTGGAGGTTGCAGTGAGCCGAGATTGCACCACTGCACTCCAGCCTGGGCAACAGAGACTCTGTCTCAAATTGTTTTTTAAAATGGCAGAGTAAAACAACAAGGAAAGGTAATAGAAATGCAAGCTCCACCCATGGCAACACTAGGAAGTATATATATAACAATATATAAGAAGAGCTGGCAAAATCAGTGGAGATCAAGATACCAAGAAAAAGTGCTCAAGCTGCCAATCTCAGAAAACAACAGAATACAGTTTTCCAAGGTTTGTCCCTTAAAGGGATAAAACCAACAATCTCTTGTTTGAAACAACATACATAAGTACTCTTGATAGCTTCAGGAAGCCTGGAAGGTATGGTTGAATGAGGAATCACAGAGAGAAGCCACCTTTGCAGGAAATGACCCATCAATTAGATTAGAAAGCGAAATACTGAGTTTAGTTAAAGAGATATAATGTTTCAGTAACTCATCACATACACACACAACCCTGAATGTTAAGAAGAATATTTGCTAGCTTGAAACATGGCACTGATCCCTTTTCCCCACAAACCTCTAACAAATCGCTGATCCAGAAATAATTTATGTACTTCAAAGATACTGCAAAGAGGAACAAGGGGTGAAACAGAAATTTTAAATACCACAGAAAGCACTTACGTCAGAAAAAAATAAGTTGCATTTAACAAATGAACATTTTGACCAAGTATATATCATTGTAAATTTTAAATCTTTAAGAAGCAACCACTTCTCTAAATCAAGAGCATAAAGCAGAAATGCAAGAGCTCAGAGAATTTATAGTAGGACAATAGAAAGAGATGAAACATGAATTGATAACATAGGAAAAAGTGAAATGTAAAACTATAATAATTCTACAAACAAAGGTCAAACTGAAGCAAGTGAGAAATACAGTAAGGATTATAGAGAAGAGAATTGAGAAAAGCAAGTAAAAGTATATGAAAATAGAAAATACTATACTATAGTTAACAATACTGTATTGTACACTTAAAAATTTGTTAACAGGGTAGATCTCATATTAAGTGTTCTTACAACAATAAAATAAAGTTTGAAAAGCAAGCAAAAATTAAGGCTTATAAGAGATATAAGAAAAATATAAATGGCAGAGAGAATAAAAAGGCATAATTTCTATCTGAAGAAGAGGACAATATAATGAAAGTGGCAAATATTTATTAATATAATTGTTTTTAACTTTCAAGAATTGAGTGAAGATTTGATTCTACAAATAAAGGTGACATGCAATGCTGCAGGAAAAATTGATACAGAAGAATCATTGTTAAGATGGTCTAGTAAAGTCACTGAACTTCAAAGATAAAATATCAAATCAATTAGAGTGGAGGAAAAATACTCATGCTGTTCTCAGACAACTTTAATGCTATATTCACTACTAAAAATGACAGTCTGTAAAACCTACAAAGTTCTCAATGAAAAAAAGTAACCTAAGAATTTTATTCTTAGATAGGGTGAACAACTTGTCCTGGTTTACTCAAGACTGTCTCAGTTTTAGCACTGAAAGTTCTACATCCTAGAAGCCCCCTTAATTCCTGGGCAAACCTTCATTTCAAGTGTCCATACAATGCTTATTACAATGTCATGTATTAGGCTACAGTGAAGAGCTCAGTGAATTTCTACCTGTATAAATAATACACATAACATTCTCTAGTTACTTGAAGTAAACCTAGAAATTAATGTAAAAGCTAAAAAGTAGAAAAATCTCTACCATTGCCTATTTTCTTCCACCTCTGCCACCTTTGAGACAGCAAGACCAATACCCCCCTTTCTCCTCCTCCTCAGCCTACTCAGTGTGAAGACAATGAAGATGAAAACCTTTATGATGATCCACTTCCACTTAATGAATAGTAAATATATTTTCTCTTCTTATGACTTTCTTAATAACATTTTCTTTTCTCTAGCTTACTTCATTGTAGGAGTACAGTATATAATACATATAACGTACAAAAATGTGTTAATGATGTTTATGTTATCATAAGGCTACCAGTCAACAGTAGGCTATTAGTAGTTAAGTCTTGGGGGATTCAAGAGTTATACACGTATGTTCAATTGCACGGGGGTTGACACCTCTAACCCCTGCGTTGTTCTGGAGTCTACTATATAATGAAATAGTTGGGGGAAGAAAACTGATTTCTTAAACTACTTTGAAATAAGTCAACGCAGTAAGATGGATTGCTGGATAAACAGAGATAAATGTTACAAATGATCATAAAGAAAATGTTATTTGTAGAATCTATGAAATCAATAAATCTATGTGTTCCCTGTATAATTTTTTTCAACTTTGTTGTATGTTTAGAATTTTTCATAGCAAAATATTGACAAAAAATTATCTCAAGAAATTAGAAAGCAAATGACAAAAGGAAATTTTGGTAAGTATGAAAACTGAAATTGATAATGTCAAAACAGAAAAATGATAGAGTTAATAATTCCAAAAACTACTTTAAAAAATAATGAAGTGGATAAACAATTACCTAATTTAATAAAATAAGTATTAAGCAGAAATATGCAACATTTACAAAGATAATAGGAAATGATCATAGACACACAGACTTTGAGTTATTCACAGAAGAGTACTTCAAGTCTGCAAATAAGTTTGGGAACCGAGAGATAATGTATAATTGTTTATGACAATAGAAAATTTCCAAAAAATGACACCACAACAGATATAAAACCTTATTAACCATATATTTAAAATGTTGGTTGCCTCGTTTTATTCAGCAGTTTTGTATATGTTCTGTAATGAGAAGGTTTTTTTTTCAGATATATAATCTACCATATTGTCATAAATAGAAGTTTGCAAAAATCTCTTGTAAACTACAAACACTCTGCAAACATAGCACACAAAAAAGCAAACCCATAGACCATGGTCATTTATTAATACTGATGCAAAATCTTAAATAAAATACCCATAGACATAATCTGCTAGAATCAATGCCTAGATCATTCGATATTAGGAAATCTGTTACTAAAATACTATGGATCACATATTAATTAGTCGAAAGAGAAGAATCATACTTTCATTTCCATAGATGCTTAAGAGCTTCAATACAATATAATAATACCCATTCTAGATTTTTAAAATCTTAAATACCAAAAATAGATTCATCTTAACAGGAATCACACATATATGTCTATCTAAATCTATCTAGATATACATATAGAAAGTGGGTGTCTGTCTGTTTGTATGTATGTATGTAAGTATACCAGCTTCTTGCTAGCGAGATTGTCATTGAAAGCCTTGTTTTTAAAATCTGGAACAAGAAAGCAAGGCTTTTGTAAGCAATCTTATACTGTTCCTGAGGCAACAGTCCATGCAATTAGACAATAGAAAAACATTTTCTTAATTTAAGGTGGCAACATTATTTTTATAGGTGATATAATTGTTTACCTGAAAAACTCAAGAGAATCAACTTAAAAATATAACACAAATGATGTGAGAATTCAGAAAAAAGACTGAGAAAAAATTCATAGTCATTATATATATGAAGAACAACCAGTTAGATGATATATTAACAAAAAGTATCTAGAAATAAGCCTAATATAAAAACGTTAAAATTATACTTAGGGTCATAAACAAAGACTTTAAAATATGGACATAAAGTCCAATCTCAAACAGGAAGATTCAATATTATAAAGATGTCAGTTCTCCTTAAGTCAATATATTTTAATTCACTCTACTCCCAACAAAAATACAAACAATATTTTTTAACTACAGGAGATGATTCTTAGTTTATGAGAATGCAAAATTTATGAAGCAGATGAAATAGAAATTTATAAAATAGAAAAGTAATGAGGAAGAACAGTATCTATGAGATATTAAAACATATTGAAAAGTTACATTAATTAGTTTATAAATCTACAGATACTAGACTCATGCTTTGTGAATAGTAGAAAGATCAACAATGGGAAAAAGACTACAAAAGCCAGAAATAATAATAAGTAGAAAAGCAATAATAGCTTATGTTATTTAGAGCCTCTTGTATACCAGGCTACACAATTTTAAGCCTTACACAATTTTTACCTTGCATTTTGTTATCAGCAATCTCATGGTGTTATTGCTATTTTTATCCTCACTTAGTGCATGAGGGAATTGAGAAAAACAAATTACATAATTTGTTCAAGTTTGTACCACTCGCAAATAAAGGAGATAAACTTCAAACCCAGATAGCTGGACTGCAGAGCCCACACTCTCAAATATTATGCCTTACTGCCTAAACACAAGGGAGAATTTAATAAATGAAAAGTGTATTTCAAATCACTTTCAAAGTGAAGGTTAGTCAATATAACCTACCTGGTTAAAAAATAGCAATGGAACCCTACCTCACATTTATTTAAACAAATTAATACCAGGTGGATAATATATTTAATATTTAAATAAACAAAAATTTAAAATAAAGATCAGGTATGTTATAAATAGTTTTGGTGCCACAAAATAAATAGCACTCAAATATAAAATTTTCTTTTTTTCTTCTCAGCAAGGCAATTTACTTCTATAGAAGGGTGCGCCCTCACAGATGGAGCAATGGTGAGTACACCCCTGGACAAGGAAGGGGAAGGTGTTCTTATCCCTGACGAACGTGGCTCCTGCTGCTGTGTCATTCATCTATTGGCTAGGTTAGACCACACAAGCTAAACTAATTCCGATTAGCTAATTTAAAGAGGGTGAGGGGGTGACTGGTTTGGTGGGAAAAATGGTTATGGAATGAGTCAGGGTGGAGAATGAGACAGGGTGGAGCAGGTAATTGGAATAAGTCAGGGTGGAGCAGGTGATGGGAATGAGTCTGGGCAGAGCAGGTGATCAGAATGAGTCAGGGTGGAGCAGGTGATTGGAATGAGTCAGGGTGGAGCAGATGATCGCAAAAGGTTGCTTTATGAGGAAGTGAAGTTTAAAAGTAGAAGGCAAAGAATTGAACGTAGTGACATATTGATTCTTCGAAGAGAAATTAATAACTCATGTCTAACAGGTACATCATTGCTGCATGATTCTTAACAACAAAATCAAAATATCCATTAACTAAGGATTGGATTATAAATTGGAGTAAATTCATACTGTGTATTACTGTTCAGTTATTTTAAAAATCGAGGCAGCATTATTTATACGGCAGTGAAATATGATGCAAAACATATCATTGAGCATAAAAAGGAACAGAACTTTGTGTGTAGTGTGCTATCATTTGTTTTAGACGTGTGAGTGGTCTGAGTGCAGATGCACAGATGATCTTTAAAGTATGCAGGGGAATTGGAAATTAGGCAACAGGGATTGCCTATGGGGAAGAGAACTTGATGGCTAAGGTCCAGGGTAAGAGGAACTTAATGTTTACTGTATATCCTTTTTTGCCTTTTGAGATTTTTACAGTGTACATGCTATTACCTATTCATAAATAATAAAATTTAAAACCAACAAGTACAAGTGAGTATATTTTAATCATCCCCTGCGTAATGCTATCTCTGCCAGGTGAAGTAAGCAACTTTTGTGAAAACACAAAGAATAGTGAAGTTTAGAAGAAAAGAGTGGTGGAGAAAAAAGTTAATAATGGATTTTTAGGGCTTACTTTTCTTCAGGTCATCTTGTCTTTTAACAATCTATGAACACTAAAGTTATTTAGAAAGTAACACATATTTGAGATAAGAACAACAATAGTGATAATAGCCAACACAATTGGTGTTTACACTTAGACAGACACCATTTTAGTGCTTTGCATACATTTACTTATTTAAGCCACACAGCAACTCTACATGCTGTGTGTGTGCGTATTATGATCCGCATTATTCTGAAGAGTAAATCTGAGTTTCCATTTGGTTCATCCCTCACAGCATTTCCACCAGATGAAGAGTCACAGAGTAGACAGGGGAAGATGACAAAGCCATCTGGCCACATTTCTATAGCCAGTCCCCAAGGCAGAGTTTTCCGAGACATCACCTCCCACAACTGGAATGGCTCCAGAAGCACAAGGTCCTGCACTGGTTACAAGATGATCATGGGCCGTTGGGTGGACGCCTGTGAGCAAATGCCAACAATCAAAGACAATGTTGCTGATGGTGCAGTTTCCTGCTTTGAATACCTCACATTCCTGCATATTCACAGGGAGGGCTGAAATAAATATTCATCCAGGACCATATACTGATTACCATGTGGTGGAGTACGTGTGAAGATGGAAAGGGCAATTAAGCACTCTGCTTACCGTTTATTATTTTATAGTGGTAACAGTTGTCACACAGGAAAAGCTCTAAGCATGGCATTTCGAGAAAATTCCATGCCAAAATGTAATTGCTCCACACCTCTATCCTAAGTGGCTGAAATTCCATAGCAAGGAAGCATAGTTGCCTTCTGTCTGCCAACTGCAACTTTTTAAAATGAAAATAAAATGAAATATATACAGTTTTCCCTCACTATCCATGGGGGATTGGTTCCAGGATCCCCACAGATACCAAAATCCACAGATGCCCAAGTCACTGATATAAAATGGTATAGTATTTCTATATAACCTACACACATCTTCCCGAATACTTTAAATAATCTCTAGATTACTTACAATACCTAATACAATGTGCTTAGTTGTTATGCTGTATTTTAAAAAATGTTTTAATGTCGTATTGTTGTTTTTTTCCCAAATATTTTCAACTAACTGTTGGTTGAATCTGTGAATGCAGAACCTGCACAAATAGAGAACTGATTGTGTGTGTGTGTTGTATGTGTATATATGTATATGTGTGTATGTGCATAAATATATATATAGTTAACACTTAACAAATAAGGTGAATCATATTAAAACAGCAAACACATAGGACTCAGTCAGTTATTTGTTCTGAGCCTCACTATGCCTCTTAGTAACTCTATGCAGCCAGGCAAGATTAGTTAATCTGTTTCTCATCTGTAAAATGGTGAAACTAATTCTCATTTCTTAGGGTTGTAGGGTGAGTTAATACACACACACACCACACACACCACACGCACACACACATCACTTGATACAGAATCCAGTTAAATGCTAAAGCATGCAGTTAAATGTTCCACTAACATCAGTTTCCTCCCACACTTTCCTACCAATTAACCCCATCTTCTTGGCAGGCAGTGCAAGAACACTTTGCTGAAACTAAATTTGACCATCTTGCCTGGAACTGGCTTTTTGTGCAGTGACCACCCACACTCTCTTTTTCACTCCACTCCCCTGACCCTTGACCCAGTCTGCTCATTATAGTTCACAGCATGATGAGCCAATCTCACAATGAAGAGGGACATTTCCTACCTTTGAGAAAAAAAATGGGCAGAGAACCAGCAGACTTGTGGTGCCTTCCATTTCCCATCTGTAAATTTCTCAAAATCCCTTCCAGTAAGCAATCTCTTGGGGCTCATAATGTGATTAATAGTATTAAGTGTCTCAGTTGTCTTGAGCATTTCAGATGCAAATCTTTCTTAATAATGTATAGTTATTGTATTATGGATGGGAGACAGTTTGATCAGGCTTCTTCCTCTTCTCATGCATGCTAGAATCTGAGGGGGCTTACACGAATCAATCAGTCAACCAACAAGTAAAAGTTTTGCTTCATTTCAGCAATGAGTTAATAGGGTTGCTGTGGGTCAAATCCAAGTGTCCCCTCTGGAATCCAGAGACCTCAAATCAGCAGGGCTAGATAGAATTCACATCACAGAGTGGCTCTTCCTGGGAGCCCTATAAAAAATGATTATCAATTTCATATTTGTCTGAAATGCCACCTTTGTAAAGTTGAATCTTAAAAGTGCAAATATAAGTGAGTACCATTTTCTCTCTGCAAACCTTGTTTCAATATCACTTACCCTACTGGGGTTGTCATTTTCTTGAAATGTGATTTCCAAACTGTCCAGTCCTAACAACTGTGCATCTCCTCTCCACTCCCTGCCCATTGACAACAAACTCTGCAGGATCCCACGATCACCTAGAACCACATGCCCTTGTCCGGGCATCCACTATTCTCCTTCCACTCACTGTCAGCTGGATTAAAAGGGGCCGAGCCAGTGTTCAGCTGCCCTCTTTATCTGCCTCCCCATTCCTTCCTCTGGCTATTCATGCTGCCGCAGAGGTCTGGACCAGCTTCCTGTAATCTCCTGGAGAGGGAAATTTCTCCCTTTAGCCTGGCCTCCCAAGCCTGGTTGTTTTGGGTCACTGATTTCCTCCTCTCTTCTCACTAGGGTTCATATAGCTTCCTTTGCTAGCCTGCTAACCCTTCTCCACCAGTGAGGAGTTTTAAGCCCTAGGATTTCAGAGTGCTCCTATGTTTCCTGCTGTTGGAGTGCAGGATTTCCTGAGCCAGGGATGTATACGGTTGAGGCACTGCTGGGCTCTATCCTGACTGTACCTTATAGAGATCATCCTACTCTCTGTACATCACATTTGTATCCCAGGGCATTGAGTTCTGTCCCTACTTTGATATATCATTTCCTTCACTCCCCAAAGCTGAGCAAAGTGGAAAATCCTCCATCCTCCAAGTACTCTTAACCCCTACTCTCTCCGTTTTGATTTGGGAGTGGTCCTTCTGCTTCAATTTCTCATCTGAAGGATTTAGTTTAAATACAAGATAAACTAGAAAAGCAAGATGTTGTATGAGGTGTAATCTTCCAGCTGAGGTCTCTTCTGAATGCCCTATCAAAAATATTAAATAATTCAAAAATAAAAGGATTAGCAGAAATACCTGTTAGGGTAAATTCTCTGATCCTTTTTGTTTCTGATGGAGGAGTGTAAGTAGACACTGTTAACAATTTAAAGGATGAATTGTGTGTACGAGAGAACTCCTGAATAGTAACTAGAAAATGACCATAGACATAAGTTAATTTTCAATCTGAGAAGGGCTGGTCTGATGGTAGTGGGTTATCAGAATTTATTAACATTAGTGTCACCAAAGTTGGTATAAAACCCCCAACTGCTAAATTTGACTGGCTAGAAAAACTAAATAAATATGAGAAGGTAGTATTTACCAGTGAAGACCCAAAGTAAAATACTTAATTTCTCACATGGCCAGATAACAAGAAATCCAACCCCTTTAATCCCTGCCTTACTACCTTCAGTTTTCCGACATCCTCACTATATACCCTGATATAGCCCAGAATGCCAAGGAGTTTACTAGAATTTCAACAAATTCTCAGTTTTCCAGTTTTATTTCTGGAGCAGGGACTCAGATGCACCTCTTTTGATGACCTTCATTGCTGTTGCAAAGCAAGTATCCTTCTTCCAAAGGTAGAGCTAGCTGAATTCCAGGCATTCAAAAAGGTTCTCTGTTGACTATGCCATAGCCACAAGGCTGAAGCATATTGCGGTTGGCCATGATCAAGGCCAAGGACCTGAGACTGGGCCTTCACTCCAATTCCTGCCTAGTCCCTGGCAGTTCATCAAGTTAGACTTGCTCTTCCCTAATACATTGCTCATTTAGGAGTTCCCACAACCAAATGACACTGAGTTGAACATGTTAGCCCTCAGACACATTTTTTTCAGGCTACCAGACTGTCCCCAGGATGCATGCTCATCTCAGCACCCATACTCTGGGAGCTCCTGAACCACCAGCCTTCAGAGTGGGAGCCCAGAGGTTCCTCTCTTTCTATTCTCTTGAAAACTTTATTTGAAGGACTTCACTGTTCTCCCCTGTTCCTGGGCCTTGGTTAAGGACATTATCTTCATCAAAACAGGTTTCCTTAACTTTGAATCTAAGAGAACAGGAGCTGGAAATCTCCTTGTAGACATCTGGACAATTGCCACATGAATTATTCACTCCTTTACAGTAAACTAAAAGCTCTGGTTATTTACAGTTTCTAACAAATTCCAACTCAGTGAACTGTCTACTGTGTTCTAAACTATGAACTCCTTGTGAACTTCAGGTCTTGTTGACTTCTATATCCAATGCTTACTGCCCCTGGTGCAGAACACTGTTCAGCAAATACTAGTTGGACGGATCTGAAGCCCAGAGCTCCTGCCTCTTCTAGGTAGTGGTGGTCTCCTCCAAGTCTCTGCTGGAGTTTACCAACTAATCTAGAATCCACCACTCATTGCTCACAGCTATTCTAGGCCATGCCATTACCCTCATAGGATGTTCTCCTGACGGGTTCTGCACCTGAGCTATTCTTTGCAGGTGATGTCAGGTGTGCTGTACTCTGACAAATAGGTATATTCTAAGTGTTCCATGAATAGAAGCTCTTGGCTCATCAATGAAGGTGATGACAGCTTTTCCAGGCACAGCCTTCTCCTTATCCCTTCTTAATGTATTAAATGGGCTGTGTGGAGTGGACCGTGTTATGTGACCAGATGGAGCCGGCCCTGCATCAAACTTTGCAGCAACCAGCTTGCTTCCCTTCTTACCACACTTTCTCCCCCCAGAATCCATGCTGTTTGGGGCCACTTCCAGCCTAGCTTCCACTTCCTGTAGGCTAGAATGAAAAATGATCTCACTTGCCTTCAGGTTATATGTTTATCAGAAGACCTTCAACAAAAGAGGAATGGAAAATGCCCTCGGTAAACTCAAGTTGGACTTCTACATGAAAATTGTGTTACAGTTGTATTTGGATGGCCACTTAGCTTGAGGAGCTGCCTATAGATAAATGATGTTCAGGTGTGCTGAGATTAAACTGAGACAGATTCTAGGTCATTTGTTGGTTTGGGGTCAGAGTCCAAATTAGTGACTGTATTTTATAATATTGAATATCTGGTCACTTAAGGTTAGTTTGGATTGGTGTGTAGTCTAACAGGCCTCTGGGAAGTATTGTCCTTTTCAATCTCACAAGCACATTAGTAATACTGCCAACTGTACCATCATTTTAAAATAAAAAAGATACAGTGCTTGACTCTAAGAATTTAACATCAAACAGAGAGAACAATTTTAAAATAAGGCATTGTGTTTATGACATTAGGAATGAAAAAAACAAAACAAAACAAAACAGAACAAAAATGAACAAACAAATATTAGTCATCTGGTAACTAAAAAATCCAGGCTTTTGTGTTGTTAAGCATCAACATTTTCTAAATAATACCATCCTACTTGCCCAATGGCTGCCACACTCTTGTCAAGGACAATATTTATTTCCATTTAAAAAGTAAATATTTCCTAACAAAGGGCATAGGATTGAATGATATAGCTTTGTCTCCACCTGCAGGAATAAAGAGAATGAATTATTATTTGTTATTTGAAAATATGTAAGACCTCTAGGATCATCATTAAAAATATGAGGTGAAATCAATACTCGAGCTTTACTAATACATTCTTCTATAATGAAGTAATTGTAAAAAAGACATAATTAATGTGAGCCACTATGCCTGTTTAACTTTTTGCTGAACTATAATATATGTATAGAAAAGTTCACAGTCATCAATATACAGCTTGATGAATGATCACAAAATAAACATACTTGTCTAACCATCATCCAGATCAAGGAACAGGACATTCGCAGCACCCTAGAAGCTCCCTCAAGAATCACACTTACTTTTCAAATCAGGATTCAAAGTCCTAGTTTTTAACCTATTCACCAGTCACATCCCATGGGAAGAAGGCATCTTATGGGCACGTGAGCCACAGACTCCAGACATGCTGTTCCCCCCTGAGCACCGTGGTCTAGGTGCTGCCCCTAAGAAGGCCATTGCTAGCCCCTGTTGTGATGGGGGGAGGCAGCCCCTGACTTCCTATGGCTCCTGTCTTCTACTGTGGCTCCAAACACAATCAGCTTGTGCTCATGTTCAAGGACAGGTGTAGCTCTCATTTTCATTTCATCCTCAGTCTGGATGAAAATGAGGAGAGATTGAGGTTTTCTACTCATCAAAACCCATTTCTGGTGCACTTCTTGAAGATCCATGGCACACAGTATTTAGGGAGGACTCCTGTCTGACCTGGACAAGAGGGGGGCCTCCCACAGGTTACTACAAGCAGCATGTCCAACATTCTACACCTCCACCAAGGAAGAAATTAAACTCTTTTGCTGATTGCCCAAACTACAACTTCTAACTAAAATAGATCTGCATCTGCTTTAGGTTATCTTAAGCTACCTGTTGTCCAGTGTCTTGAAATGATTATTTCATAGTTTTTTCAGATTTTCGGTTGTTTCAGATAGAAGGGTACCTCTAGTCCCTGTTACTCCATATTGGCTGGAAGCAGAAAGCTGAAGAGTTATCCTCTGATGGCCCTCTGGCCTCTTGAAAAGAGCGAGGTTTCTAGAAATACAAAGCATCTGATGATTCCTAGGCTTTTCTGCACAATGGGTAATGTTTTCCCCTTTACCCAATATGTGTGGTTGCTTGTTCTGTGACCACAAAGTCTGTAGATATTTTCAGATTTAGATTTAAAATCAATGAATGCTATCATCTCCCACTGATTCAGCTGGGAAAGAACAAGTTCACATTGTAAGTTAAGAACCCAAGGGAAAAGGGTTCGAGAAGAGAGGAAATTAGAAAGAAAATTATAAAACAACCAAATATAACAGGTTTAATTTTCTTCCCATAAAGTATTAATTAAAATCATTTGTTAGATTATTTCTAATATTTGTTAAAATTATTTGAAAAATATATTTGGATGTTTGTCACTCAAAGAGTTAAGCCAGGCACCATGGAGGGACTTGGGACTGGTGACCCTGCCAGGTGCTTTTGGTAAAAGGGAGGTAACAATGTGTCTAGTGCATACATATTGTGGGCACACTTCAGCTATTCAAACCCAGACAGAGGAAATGGGGGAATTGGGGTGGGAGAAGGATGGGGCTTAGAAAATGAATAAAAAGAGAAAGTGGCCCAAAACTCTTTGCTGTGGCTCTTCATGCAATGAAAGCCTGCATTGTGTCAAGCTGTGAGTCAAAATAAGAAGGTTATTCAGCGATCACAGCCTGCATCTAAAATATGAAATAGTTCCATTCCAGCCATTTAGTTTCTCATACTAAAAAAAAAAAAAAAACCCTCCGCATTTGCTCCTACTTTTTTCTGCAGCCCACAGTCATTTCATATTTTCAGGGGAAAAACAAATGTTAACTTTTAAAAACCTCTCTTCTCTAACCTGTCAACTGATTTTGCATGTTCCAGTGAATTGGGATGAATGCTTGGACCTAATTTGATGTTTGCCAAAAAAGAGTCCTCCAGCCCTCTAATAAGCGCCCATGTATTATGTGGGTAGCAGCTCTCACCTCCCCTTCTCTTCTCTAAAACAGCTCCCCTCTGCATCCTTGTCCCCACCCCCAGGCCCTTCACCTCCATTTATTTTCCTTGGATGAGAGTCTCACAGTGAATAGGAAACATCTTTAAGAAGGGGAGAGGAGTTGTGAAAGAGATTTAGAGGCCAAATGGGGCTCTTGGAGAAAAAAGAATTCAGAACCGTTGATATAACTCAATGGCATTCATGCAAAGAGTTGCAGAGAGTAATGAACTTTTTACTTAGTTAGCAACAGTTCATCCAATGTCCTAGACTAATTTGAGGCCATTTTCCAAGAAGAAAAGAAAGCTATGCAGTTCACAGCCACGCATCTGTGCACAGTAACGAGAGCCATCGCCTTTCCTCGTGCAGATTTTTGTGCAAGGAAAAGACTAGCTCTTATCTTTGTTTCTCTGCCCGGGTCCTTGTGTGGCATTTTTTCATATGACTAAACACAAGGGGAAATTAAATGGCTCATATTCCATTCTGAAGGGTAAGTTTTGCCTGAAAAATTATGTGCTATAACTTGAAAATAATATTCTATGTCCAGATGCCCTCAGACCTCCCTAAATAATAGGAGTGTTTATAAAACATACAAGCATTTATCCTAAAGCCAAGTCTTCTATTAAGTTGGCTGAAAGTGTAATACGTTGAGAACCCATGGGGTTTCTTTTGTCATTTCTTCCATATTATTATGGATATTAGGCCAAAAATAGTATTTTTTACTTCTTGTATTAATAAATTAATAAATTACTTCACCCCAGACATTGTCTTTGAATAGAAGGGACATTTCTTTCAGGGAAGGGTCAGCTGCCAGGGCATGCATGCCTGAGGGTAACATTTAGACTACTGGTGGTCTTGCCTTCCTTGGTGCCAGCCATCATGTTGCTTTATATATTCAAAAGCAAAGTTCTGAACATTTAAATTTAATTTGGTCAGATATCAGGAGTTGGGATATTCTGATCCTATCAAACATCTTCTTTTCCCTTTTTGAAAGCAAGCTTGTTGGTGTGACGGCTGTACTTGAGAAAAGTAGGCAAAAAAGTAGATTTTGGTTTCTAGTTCGAACTCAATGCATTTGTAAGTCAAAAATTCAAAACTCTTTTCTCAGTCAATTTCCTGACACATGTTCTTGGAATGTCACTGTGGACTTTGACTGGAGCAGATAGCAATTATTTTCTTTAAGTCCTGCATGGGTTAAAATTCTATTCATTCTTCATCCATCAGCAAGTTTCTTCCAATTTAAGAAATACTGTGACTTGCCTAGAGTAGGTGCCTAATAAATGTTTCTTAATTTTATTTAATCTAGGATAATATCTCTATGGACTATTTGGTAGCCAGATTCTTGAGCATTCTTGTAACGTTTGTTCATGATACCTCAATTCTCAGAGGTGAAATTGAGGTGAATGATGCTGAAGTGATTTCTGGCCCTGGGTCCCCTTCCTGTGATGTCAGAGACACAGCTTTCTGAGGTGACTTTAGGACAGAACCCTGGAGAGGTCTTCGTTCAATGAAGCCACGTTAAGAATCTGAAAGGATCTATTCAAGGGTTCCTGAATTGCTCCTCATGCCTGCAGCTGAGATTTATGCCTCTGATTTCAGCAGGACCCTGGGTGCCATTTGGTCTTTCTCATCTCCATGATGTTGAACCTGAGAAGTCACATAGCCTGGCTGGCACTTTTCCAGACCACTTCCTCTGATGAGAAAAGAAAAACAAGGCTTTGTGACACAGAAGAATGCATGCTGCCTGTCCTGGATCTGCAGCCTAGGCAAAACAGTATCCAGGTTCTGCAAAGCCCAATAGGATGATGTGGAGATAACACCGTTGCTTATAGGAATGATCGATTTAAGAGACACACGTGACTGATGCCAGCATCTTTTGTTCTTGTCTCTGGATTAGCTCTATCACAGGTCAAACAGACTTAGAATAGAATTAGTAATCAGCATCATTGCTAATCTTACTGAAAGCACTTACCATACACCCTGCACTGTTTTAAGCTCTTTACATTGATTTATTTTATCCTTACAACTCTATAAAGCAGATACTAATGTCATTTCTATTTTACTGGTGAAAAAATTGGAGCATAAAGCTTTTAAATAGATTGCTCAAGGTCACGCAGTGTGACAGTTTACAGTAGCATGCAAATTTTTTGACACTCCTCTCTTCAAAAAGTGGAGTATAATTTTCCTTCTCCCTTGATTTGAACCAGACTTAGAGACTCAATTCTAATAAAAAGCATATGGTGGAAGTGAGGGCATATGCTTCTTAGGCTAGGATGTAAGACACTACTCCTTCTACCTGGCATTCTCATGGATTTCTCACTTTCAAGGAAGCCAGGCATCATGTGGTGAAGACTCTCAGGCAGCCTGTGTGGAGGCCCACAAGGGGAGGACCAAAACCAGACCAACGTGTCAGCCATGTGGATAAGCCACCCTGGCAGTGGCTCCCCTCCTGCCCCAGTCAAGCCTTCAGATGACAACAACCATGATAGCCCCTGAGGCAAAACTGCCCAACTATGCCACTTCTGAATCTCTGACTTAGAGAAACTGTGAAATAATATTGTTTTAAATAACTAAGTTTGAATAATTTGTTCTGTTTTCACAGATAACTAATACAGCTTCTAAGTGGCAAAGTCAAGATACCAATCCAGGGGGGTCTGAAGGCAGAATCTACACGTTACTGCTATATCCTCTCCTGATACTAAGGAGATTATCAATAAGCTCACATTCTGGCAATACATGTTCAGTAAATGTTTTATCTAAGCTGCAGCAAATTCTGATGTGTTTTTAGACACTTAGAAATCAATAATGCACATGAGCTACATAGTCCCTTCTTTCATTGGTTGTTATGAATTAATGCTGGTCAAGGCCTTTTGCCCTATGCTGCCTTTTCTAGGCTCTAGGCAGACACTACCTTTCCATTACACATTACTTCAGAGAAGCCTGTTACAATTATAATTAGTCAGATTATAGCATCCTTTAGGGTCCTTCCTGTCCTGAGAATACACCATAGTCACTTTACCCAAATTGGATATGTATTAAATCTATCAACCTCAAGTATTAACTATTTTTTATAAACTATTCCTTTTAGGCTGGGAGGAAAATATAAGTAACTCATCTCTTAGACAGGATAACTTCTGCACATAGTTATTTCCTATAATGTGTTGATTAGGACTGCTTAACTCTCAGAAGATTGACTCTTTGCTGCCACCTTGCTGATACCATGAATGTTAATGCCCATGGCACTGGGCTTTGCACAGAGTGGATATTCAGTAAATGGGTAGTTCTTGTTTCTCTCCCACATATGCAGTTAGGAGCACATTAGTCTTCCCAGAAACTGTTAGACTGCTGTCAGTAAGTAACCATTATTTGACATAACCCCACTGGCCGCAGCAAACATACATTCCCTACTACCCTTTTTTCAGTATCAAGGAAATGGAAATAACTACTCAGAGAGTTAGAAGGCACATGATGAGTAATTTCCTAGTCATTTAGAGTCAGACCAGATGGCCTTAAAGATACTCCAACCAAGAAGAGCTAACCTGACTCTGCGATTGCAACACTGGTGATCCCTCACCAGGAAAGATGCCAGTCTCTCTGCTGCCCCTCCTGTGTGTTCTTCACATGGCAGCCTTATTTCTGTTCTTAAAATCCAAAGCAAAGTTCAAGTTTTCCACCAAGTAATACAAACCTGGCCGGTTTCTTCTCCTGGCCTACCTCATCTTCCAACAACTCTCACATTTTTCAACCTAATAACATTAAACTTTATGTAGTTTCCCAAGTAGCTATCCTCTCCAGCTCCACACCCCCTTCTAACCTAGTTAACTCTTATTCTTACAGGAATCAGGTTATGGGTCAACTCACCTGGGGTATCTCTCTCCCATGCCACCTGACCTCTGCCCTCGTTCCTTGCTCTTCACTGCTGGAGTGGACACCCCCCTCTGTGCTCCAGGATGACTCTGAAAATAGCCCCACACACTGAATATGCTGTGTTGACACTATCTATTTGAATGCTTATCTCCCCTACTACATTATAAGGCCCTGCCAACAGTGGCAGGGTCATATTTAACCTTGCCTTCTCAGTGTCTGGCAAAAAGAAGGTGCTTAATAAATTAGATAATGTATGCAAAGTAGTTAGCCTAACACTTGATGTAGCAAGTGTTGTTGTTAATTTGGTGATGGAACCAATTGTTACTTCTCACCTATCTACAAGCCAAAAAGCTGTTTTGGTTTCTTCCTGGTAACAACTAAAGAGAGAAAAGCTGAATGAACAAAAAAGAAAGCAATAGAAAAGACACGTAGAAATCAATTAAGAATCTAAAGACACTAAAAATAAGCAATTAAATAAACAAAATCAAATGAGACTAATGAGAAAACTAAACAAAAGCAAGGGGAATTTGACAAACTTTCCTAGCAGCTAGATAGTCCCCACTACAAAAGCAGCTTCGACAGAAGTGGTAAATTCCCTATAACCTGAGTCACTAAAGACCAGACCAGACAAACCGCTTGAAAGAATACAGCAGTAGACATCAGGGTACTGGCTGAATTAGTGGGCTTTTTTCATCTTCAATTTCTCTGATTCATTCATAAAATATTTATAACAGGGCTGCAGAACATTTGTTACATCTTTTCCCATTTGTTCTCCTTCATTTTCCAAAGGAAAAGTGTACAGTATTAATATTTACTTAGTTAACGTTACCAGGCAAGGGGACTGTGCAAGATCAGAAGGGCTAATATCTAACAATAACAATGGAGAAGACAGAGACAGCTATTTTACTGGAAACTTTTTTGACAAAACCTGATTATTCTGATTAGGTCTATATTGGAAATAAAAAACTTAGGGCAGATTGCTTCTGGGTGTTTGTTGATTTATTCTTTGGATAAAATTGGTCAGAATAAACTTCCTTAAAATAACAACCACACATAGCACACAAGTTGTATCCTCTTGCTCCCCTTCTGCCTACTCCTCCTCCCTCCTCTGCCTCTTTTTTTTCACCTCAGAGTTCCTAGAAACAAAGCCAAACACTGGAAGGAAAGTGCTGATACTACTATTCTTTTGTAGTTGTTTTCTTTATCTTTTAAAATATAGTTACGTTTTTCCAGCTTTTTGCTGATCAGAAGTTTGCCTAAAACAAAACTTTCGACCGGGTGCAGTGGCTCACAGCTGTAATCCCAGCACTTTGGGAGACCAAGGCGGGTGGATCACCTGAGGTGGGGAGTTCGAGACCAGACTGACCAACATGGAGAAACCCCATCTCTATTAAAAATATGAAATTAGCCAGGCGTGGTGGCACATGCCTGTAATCCCAGCTACTTGGGAGGCTGAGGTAGGAGAATCACTTGAACCTGGGAGGCAGAGGTCGCAGTGAGCCGAGATCGCACCATTGCACTCCAGCCTAGGCAACAAGAGCAAAACTCCGTCTCAAAAAAAAAAAAAAAATTTCAGATGTATCTCTGAAAGATTATTTTAGGATATTTCCAGCTTTTACTGTAGCTGGATTCCAGATGCTTTAATTTGTTTCGGTATTGTATTAAAATGTAAAACTACATGAAAAAGAACTACATTATTAGGGCTTTGTGAGCCACTCAAGCAAGGTCACAGGATGTGAGGGGTGAATGGGAGCAGGGAGCCTTCTGTACAACCCCCCTCAGTTTTAGTGATGAGGAAACCAAAACCCAGGATGTATAGTAAGGTCAAAGGCTAGTGAAAGTCAAAGTCAGGACTGGATCCCAGATGTCCTCGTTCTTCATCTAGAACTTTTCCCATTATACCAAGTGGGTAGAGTGTGTGGAGAAAACTGAGCTGTTGTATACTTTTTCTTTTTCTCAAATCTAATCCTAGAAACATAACTATAATGAAAATAAGAAGAGCTAACATCCAGTGAATGCTGATTTTGTGCCCTCCACTGTTCTACACTTTTTACCTGTCTTAACTTATTTGAGTCACAACATCATTAGCCTCATCTGACCAATGAGGAAACTGAGACAAACTAGGTTATGTTACTTTCCCAGAGTAACTTACCTTAGGTAACAGATGACAAACGAAATGGAACCTCCAGGCCAGGCCTGGCTCCCGAGCAGACACACCCACCCATGATGCCTGACGGCCTCCCAGCAAAAGCAGAACTTCCTCCAAGGCTGGGAGAGCAATGAGCAATGGAAATGCCCATTCCCCTGCCTGAGTGTTGATATTTCATTGTCATTTTTGTAGCTTTGCATTTTTATAGCCTCTTTTAATGTAACTATTAATAATAAATTTGCAATCTCTCGGAATTATCTGAATACAATCACACTGATTTTGCAATGGTGTGAAAATATAAACTTTGAAATTTTTTTCCAGCCAGGCGCGGTGGCTCACACCTGTAATCCCAGCACTTTGGAAGGATGAGGTGGGCAGATCATGAGGTCAGGATTTTGAGACCTGCCTGGCCAATATGGTGAAACCCTGTCTCTACTAAAAATACAAAAATTACCTGGGCATGGTGGCATGCACCTGTAATCCTAGCTACTCGGGAGGCTGAGGCAGAAGAATCGCTTGAACCCGGGAGGTGGAGGTTGCAGTGAGCTGAGATGGCACCACTGCACTCCAGCCTGCGTGACAGAGCGAGACTCTGTCTCAAAAAAAAAAAGAAAAAAGAAATTTTTTTCCAACTTTGTGAACTTCCTAGATGTAAAAATATTTAAAATTCTGCTCCAAACCACTGATAAAAGTAAATTATAAACAAAAAGACTTACAAAAGAACCAGCATAAAAGTCCACAGAAGTGAAAAGAAATTTTTAAATATCCAACACCACCAAAGAGTTTTTGAGCATCAGTTGTAACAAATACTAAATATAGTTCTCATATTTGTTTTTTAAAACAATGTTTAATAAATATCTTATATTCTTCTGTAAATACCAGAAACAACTGGCCTAACATTTAGGGGAAAAATGATTTTTCACTGGCAAAAAGAAGACTTCAAAATGTGTATTACCTTCATAAAGTTTTAAAATGATATGTGGTTTGGGAAAGAATAATGTGGAAGACTTTGAAAGTCAAGACTAAGGTTTCCTTCGGCAGCTATGAACTTGGAGCTTATTGATGAGCATCCTATAAATAGCATGCTCTCATTTGCCCTTTAAACATAGTCAGGGAAGCAGTCAGCCGGTCATTTCCTGCAATTTGACCATCCTGATCTGTGACTGTGGGGCAGTTTCGAAGCCTGTACAGTCAGCCCACACCACATACTCCTATGGATTTCTAACCAAACGTCTGCCAACCTTCACATTCCCTTGTATGATTAATTTCTAGGTTTATTTTGGTCAGTATTTAGACATGATTGGGTAAAAAAAAAAAAAAGCAAAAATGTCAATAGGTTTGTAATTTCCATTTCCATCTGGACCAATTAGAGTACACCATGATAGGTTTTACATGTGCTATCCAAAGCATTTCTTATTCTAAGGAATGCATTGACTTTTAAGCAATAAGTAGCTGATTGTGAGGTGGATAGAACTTAAGTAATAAAAAATAATTAACCTATTTCCTCAAAACTACTAGCTTTAAAAGAATCCTGATTGGAGTCAGGCTGGAACAGAGTTTCTACATTCCAGTGATTATTCTCTCTAAATAGAGTAACTCCTAAGTGATAGTGGCCCAGCTCTTTTATTAAATGGGTGCCGCCAATCTAAAATCATTCACTCTTCAGTTCAGGGCTTTTGTTTTCCTCTTGTTCTAATTGAAGCAGAGGTAAAACATACGCAGCTTCTAATAATTGAGAATTATGGTGTCCCTGCCTGTTTGGCTGTTAGTGGAAAAATGTAAAAATGGCATAAATTATCTTTCTCTTTGTCAGGAGTCTCAGAAATAGACAATCTCCAGTGCTTAAGATCATGTAAAGATCTTTCCCCTCACACTACCAAGGAAGTTGATTTGGAAAGTGCCTATTGTGGCTTCCATTTAGGCCTAAGCCTCTTCCTAAGAAATAAGTGTTTGTAAATATCCCAAATGACCTGCACCCTTGGAAGTCATCTCCTCCCTCTGGCTGCCTTGAAGACAGACAGGCTATTTTTCCCTTCCTGGCATTAGGATGGAGGGAAGGTGGAGAGGTAAGAGGAGTGGGGGTGGATAGAAATGGCTTTGATCTTGCTGTGCCACTGGGGCAAGTCCCTCCATCTCTAAAGCCCTTCCGATTCTCGACTAATAAACAGAGACCCAGGTCTACCTTGTCAGTTTGATGTTAGGAGGAGACATAAAATATACAAAGCTCCTGGCCCCAAATTGGTGATCCAAAATGGCAAATGTTCCGAAAGAAGATAGTCCCCAGAGACAGTGGCAGGAGGGCAGGTCTTCACCAGCTAGCAACTGCTTTGCAACTAGAGCCTCTGGCTGGAACATTTGGAGGCTCTGTAAAAGCCTTCAGTTCCTCAATGGGGGCAGGAGAGCCCAAGGTAATTGGAAGAAGGATGTCTGTTTCCTAAAAAGACCATAAGGAAAATCAAGTACTTGGCTACCTGGACCATCCTTAAGAGGTCAAGAACTGAGTTCTCAGGCCAGCACAGTGAGTCTGAGAAGAGCCCCTAGGCCAGGAAACAGATGATACGTGATGTGACTCCATGGTGCCAGGGAACTTTAGGAAAGCCTATGTCAGGTGTTTATTGACAGCTCCTCTAACTTTAAAAGACCAGTTCAACTGATGTTCAGAGGCTGGTGTCCTATAAAGAACACAAAGATGAGAAAGATCCAGCCCTCAACCCTCAAACAATGGAGAGCTGAAGAAATAAAGACTACAAGCTCCCTGAGGGCAGGAATCATGTCTGTTTGGCTTAAAATAGAATGCTTAGTGCTGAGCCAAATGCCTGACACACGATAGGACTCAAGAGATGTTTATTGAATAAAATATGCAAAGAATTATGATGTGAAGCAGGTACAATATATTCTGGAGGCTCAGAGGTAGGAGAGTCATCAGTGGGTCAGGAGAGGAAATCAGGAAAAGTTTGACAACTACTGTAAGAGGTTAAGCAAAACTGGAGCAAGGGAAGACATTTCAGGAAACAATGTGAGCAGAGATGAAACACAAGATGTGTTCAGAGAACACATATCTTCCGATACATGCTCTGGGTTCTAATCACACCAAGCTTGCTGTGAGGACCAGCACCAGAACTGGACCAGCAGGACAGGGCCTTGCTGGGGAAGACCTGGAAAGGAGGCTGAGGCCTTTGTACTTAATTTGGGAGGAAGTTTTTGAATGAGACAGCGGTAGTTTTATTTCTACTCTGTGCCAGGCTTCAGCCTTCTCACCCCTACCTTGCACCCTTGGAAGGTATGTATCTTGTTCAGTGCTTTTCCCCCCAGCACCAAGTATAGCGCCAGGAACCTGGCAAGCATTAGAAAAAGGTGTTGAATGGATAAATGAAAAAGTGAATCAGGCAGGGGGATGAGATGAGAAGGGCCCGTGGTCATTTTTAATAACCATAAGATCATATGTGCTTTTCAGTTACTTTATACAATTAAGCTTTCAAGTCATTACTTTCAGGGATGCTCAAAACAATTTGGTGAGGTGGGTAGACTATATATTTGTATTATCTTCCTCAGGCAAGTAAGAAAAGGCCAGTGGAGTTAAATGTACTTTGCCAAGGCAGCAGCCCAAATGAGAGATGGAACCAAGACTGTCCTCCTGCAGAGGACCATCCTTCTGTGCCAATGCACTTCCTTGACTCTGACTCCAGGGCCCAGTCACAAAGCTTACTGTGAAGACCAAGTGGCAGGACTGAGCAGCAGGGCCGGGTCTCCCTGGGGAGCGCTGGGCAGCGGGTGAGCCACCAGTTACCCCTCACTATAACTCCCTCCAGGTGTCTCTGGGACACACACCTGGCTATTCTTGTCCAGTGTGGAGACGATGGACGAAGAAGTGCTTGGAAATCTTACAGGATGACTTAAACACAGCAAATGCCTTTCAGTACCTGCGGGAAACAAGCCAGAAAGATGGTTGGATCTGTTACCTGCTGAGTGATACGCAGAGGACAGGCCTTAAGTTGTTGGGAATTGGTGGCCCTGCCCATCAACCTTGTATGGAATGACCCTAAGCAGTGGCAGGCTTTCTTCCTGCTGATGTGGGAGGGGGTGGCAGTGCTCAGCAGTGCCACACGTGTCTGCATGGACCTGATCTGCAGCTACTTACATGACATGAGGAGCAGCTAATGAGGAGCAGCTAATGCTTGAGCCCCAGAGAATGTAGGATTTTCTTTAATGAAAGTGAACTAAAAAGACAATTAATGTTATCAAGTGAGGTCTTGTAGAAACAAGAAGAGAAGGCAATGAGGCGGTGGAAGTCCTTTTGAAAAAACCTCTTGGCAATAAAGAGTGCGGTAACTACACGCTTCAGCTGTTACTAAACTTTTCAGTAATTAAAACTTGATTGGGAGAAATGAAAGCCCGTGATCTTAGGCCTTTTTCATTTCAAATAAGCCTTTCACAATTAATTCTTGCACCATTCCTCTTTAAGCAAATTTGACAGTGAACTTTGTTCAGTATTCTGACTAATGGCTATAGCCACCTCTGGAGACACAAATGGATTTCTTTCTCTTTTTAATCAAATGGATTAAATTAAATAGCACTGAAAGGAAAAATGAATAAACACGATAAACACGTACTATGGAGCATAATACAGGGGGCAGGGTGAGGCAGTGGAAAAAAATACTGGATCCAGTGACAGAAGACCTGGGCTTCAGTCAAGCTTCTGTCATATAAGACAAATCACTTAATTGTCTCTTACTGTTGCTGCTTTATCTGTAAAAATTGAATGAGAAATAACATGTAACTTTGAGGACCTCAGTGAGGAGGCTAATGAGAGGCCATACATGAATGCGCTTTGTGAAAGCCCTGTGGAAATGTTGGCTGCTCTTAGCATCCCTGTTAGCTGTCTCTAAGGACACCTCCGTCAATGTGAGGGAGTCTTTGTGTGGCATGTGTTGTCTTCTGGAGTGCTGAGGTCAGTGGCATTCCACTGCAGCCCAAAAAGAAAACCTAACTAATATGTGTAAGACAATAGCAGTAGTCGTGGGTGTTAATTAGATAAATTACCAAACTGCCTACCACTTGTGATATGAACTGGAGAATATTTTCACTTCCCGATATTGATTTCTAATTTTCTTTGCAGGACAGATTTAAATTGTGTGTGGTACTATAAGGTAAAGAGTTCAACAGCATGACTGCTAGATGTTAGCTACTTGTTTTAGTTAGTTCGGGCTGCTTAACAAAATACCTTCGACTGGGTAATTTATAAACAGAAATGTATTGCTCACAGTTCTAGGAGCTGGGAAGTCCAAGATCAAAGGCATCAGCAGATTCAGAGTCTGGTGAGGGCTTGTTCTCTGCTTCAAAGATGGGACCTTCCACGTGGTGGAAGAGGCAAACAAGCTCTCTCATGCCTATTTTATAAGGGCACAAAACCCTTTCATGAGGGATCCAGCCACATGACCTAATCACCAACCGAAGGCCCCGCTCTCTTAATACCATTACCTTGGGGGTTAGGTTTCAACATATGAATTTCAGGGGAGACAGAAACTTTCAGACTATAGCAGTACTGTATTCGACTATTTCCCTCTACTCTTCAGTTTTAACATAAAATAATAATTTCTAATAATTGTTGGACACTATTGTGTATCTAGCTCTGTACTAGATTACCTGGCTTTGCACAGATTATTTTAGTTCTCACAATAAACCTATACCTTAATGCAATTTATAATTCCTACTTTGCAGATGAGAAAACAGGCTTAGAGAGAGCAAGTAATCTTTCCCAGGTCCCACGGCCAACAGCTGGAATTCATTTCTAAATGTACTCTTAATATCACATGGGACACAGAACATGGTAATCTGGAATATTGCAACTGCCTGGCTGGAGAAAGTATAAGTTGGTTCAACCACTCTGAAAAACAATTTGGCACTCTCTTATAATCTTGAACATTCTCATATTCTGTAACCTAGGAATTTCACTCCAAGGTAGGGAAATTCTCATGCATAACACTAGTATGTGTACATAGGAGTGTTATGGAAGCATTGTTCACAATGCTAAAGAAACAAAAGACTTTAGAAAAGCTCCAGACATTCTGTTGACAGGAGGGTGACTAACTTGTCACAGTGGATTATACAGCAATGAAGATAAATGAACTACAACTCCACAGAGGTGCAGAGATGAATCTTAACATTATGTTAAGTGGGGAAAAAACATTACAGAAGGCTACCTACAGAATAATTTTACCTTAATATGCAAAACTAAAAAATAATGAATAGGGATACATACATATGTGATAAAACCTTAAAAAAATCAAGTGAAAGGTCAGGGCAAAATTCAAGCAAATGCTTCCCTCTGATGGTAGGCGGGGGGTGGGATACATATGCACAGGCAGATGCAAGAGTATTTGAAACATTCCAGTTATTGAGTTGAGTAGTGAAGTCTATAGGTGCCTGCATATTATATATATTATGATATATAATAGTATCATATATTATTTTAAATGAAGCAGATATCACGTAATTACAACTTTCTTATGAAAAGTTACCACTGAGCCTTGACTGCAAAGGTAGTATGAAGATGAGTGTATTAGGAGTCTCTGCTTCTGACTCCCACCCCCAGGAACCTAGAGCCTAGATGACTAAAAAGAAAAAACATCAGATTAAGGGCATGGCTATGATTATCCAGGTTTGTTTTTCTGGCCCCTCCAAGCTAGAGGACTACCTGGGGCTCTGAGCCCTGGATAAACAATCCTGCTGGTACAGCAAAGCAGATGAGAAAGATCTAGGCCACCCACACAGCAATCAAGAGCTCCACTGGGTGGGCCAGGAAATTGCAATTGTCCCGCCCTGTGGCAGTGCTAAGCCACCTGTGGAGTGGCAGTAGGGGCCAGGAGGAGTGGCAGTGTTCCGGGTTCAGCTGCCCAGCTGGTCCCCAGGGACCAGCAAGTAAGTGCCAGTGAGATACCAACACCAGGGCACTCCAGCTGAGGCAATTTAAAAGAGTGCATAATTGCACATAATAGAGTTAAAATATAATTGCCTCATTAAAATGGGTTACTAAATCTCATTGTGTGTGAGTGTGAAAGAGATAGACAGACATGTGTGTTAAACTGCAAGAAAGAGAAGTTACATAAATGAATGTGAGCAGGTAAGATCTGAGAGTGCCTGGCAGTGCCACCTAGATAGAAGAGACCCTGGTTCCTAATGGACAGCATGTGGAAACCCCCGGCTTGTGGCTGCTCTTGTGCAATGACAGCTCAGAGTTGGGACTGACTAAATGTAACCAAGTCTCATCTTTTGCCAGCAGGTCTCCATTTTTAAAATCAAAGCTCCAGTTTAGCAATGCTTTTCTATCCCTTTGCTGTCTCTAGCTCACCTTGGCATGGCTACCAGAGCAAGCTGTAAAATTGGGACTTTTCATGTCTAGTTGCCTTCGTGGCAGATTCAGAGCTGGAGTTGAGGCTGTTGGCCTGAGTGAAAGGAACATGACTGCAGGGGTGAAATACTTCCAAGCAGCCGCACAAGTCTTTATCACCCTGTAAGGGAGCCCATAAAAGTAACATCTTCTGCTCCTTCCCTGAAAGTCTGTACACAATCAGGCTTTGGTTAGATTTAGTAAATGCTCCCACCACTAACACACACAGAGAGAACGCCCTTCTTTGCTAACATGTGGTACATAAACTACAATGTTTCCTGCCATTGCCACCTCCACTTCCACTCCGAAAATCATCAATGCCCCCAGTAAGAACTCCTGAAGGGGGAAAAATGTCACCTACTCACCTCCTTTAAAATATTTTCAAGAAAAAAATCCGTAATTTCTGACAATAACCTAAAACTCTCATTATCCCAAGAGCCTCAAGTGGTCATGCTTCACTTTGTTCTCAATTTCCTAACATGAGTACAATCTGGCAATTAGCACAACTTAGTCCGGAAGGAGCCAAATTATTTTTTGTCTCAAAACCCTCACACATTAAAATGTCAAGACTAATGAGTTATTTTCTTTTCTGTTGTAGAAAGCAGATAAACGTTAACAATCTGGTGTCAGTAAGTGTCACTAAGAAGACCCAAAATATGCAGAGTGCTTATTGTAGGCACTTTTTAGGCAAGGAGATGAAGGAAACAAATAGAGAAGGAAGGGGGTAGAGTTCCATACCCCAGCCCTAACCTGTACACAAAACACTGATCATACCCTATCACCCTTTAAAACAAGACATGTCAAGTCAACATTAGAGAGCTTAACTTCACCCTAACCAGCTTACGTGACTCATCTCTCCTGGTAAGCACCTGCCTTTAAATGCAGATTTTCACTTATATGCACAGATTTGTTTCTATGCATGATTAAATACTCTGTTGATTCTTCAGATAAGTTCAGAAGCGCAAAAAAGTAGGAGGATAAGCTTTTTAATTACAAGCAATTCAGCCTGGCAAATAGAACTCTCAACCTGTCCAAGTCCTGGACTTCCAAACCTTGCCAAGATCCCCATCTGCTTCTTCTGTGGGAGCTTGGGGAGGGGGTGCTGATTCAAGTTCCCACAGAAAGAATTAGAAAATCTTGGACCAAATGCTTAGTTCTAACAAATAAAGAGCCTCAGTTCTGGATAAAAGTCAAATTGTTAAGATATTCCACTGCTCTGGTTTTGGGATGGGGTTAGGAGGGAGTATGGGATGGGGTTAGGAGGGAGTATGGGATGGGGTAGGATGGGGAAATGACAGAACCAGATTTCAGCTCATCTTGATGAAATTTGGAGTTACAAAGGCTACTCTTGTTCCCCCAGGTTTTTTTGGGAATGGGCCAGGGGTGACTGGATGCCCAGAATCCTCTGAGTGGCTCTCCCTACTCCACCTCCATGCCCAGTTTCCTTGAGTGCCAGGATACTCCAGAAGCCTCTGAATGGAAGCCCCTGAAATGTTATGAAACAGAAATTGGCAACCCTTTCCTTTCAAGTTGCCAAGTGGGAGAAGTATTGGTAGGTGGTGGAGGAACAGGGAAGGTGAATGCAATGTGTTAGCTGGGAGTCATGACTCAACATGTAAGGTGTCCCCAACTGTGTAGCCACTGCTCAACTGACAGGCAGATGGAGGGGCAGATGGGCGAGAAGGGTGGAGACAGAGGCAGTACTGGGGAGAGGGTCCAGAAGCCAGAAGTGGCTGGATGGCAGCTGCTGAGTCTCAGCCAGGCTGGCACAGTTATCAGGAAGCCTGGAGTGCCACCCTCTGGTAAGTGAGCCAAGGGTTGGGTTGCTAAATCCTGTAACAGAACCCTCCCTACAGGCACTTGGCATTTGAGCCTTAATGGTTTTGGCACTTGGCCTAATTGCTCAGAATATGTGCTCGGTTAGAGAGTAATTCCTTCATTACACTCAGTAAGTATCTGCACACAGCACAGAAGCTGTGATATTTTTATTCCAGTAATTCCTTTGCCGACCACCAAAATTCTATGAAACCTTAGGCTATTGGATATAAACCAAACTCAGAGTTTTACATTAAGTTTAGGCTCCAGATTATGAATAATTTTTAAAGCAGGATGTCTACCCAGTAAGAAAACTGCTTTATTTTGTTCAAGAAACCACCTAGAAGGAAAGTTGCAACATACAGTTAAAAAAAGGATTCACATTTTATCTTAAAACACCAAAAGCTGGAAATCAATCTGACATACTTGCTTAAACTTGTTAATGTGATTGAGTACCATAACACATTTTGGGATTAAGGTCATTTCAGTGAGTGAAATAAGATTATTTCTAGTATATGAGATATCTAGATCTTTCAGAGATTAAAGTCATATGCTAGTATTCAAAAATCAGCTAGAACCAACAGAATCCCACTCACCCAATCCAGGGTCTGGGAGAGAAGGATAAGTGAACAATATGAATAGGGCCTCAATATGCTGTGAGGATTTGCTTAATTTACCATGGGATCAAAGCAAATGGAACTGCCAGTAATTCATATATCCGTGATTGGCTTAATTGGTAAGTCTACAGTTAATTTTTATAAACTGTGGAATAGGAGACAGAAAGAGAGAGATATCAGAGGGCATGGCAGAAGGAAGTCTCTTAGCGACTCTTTTTTAAGGAACAAATTTGATTGCCTTATTTCCTTGCTAAAAACTTTAATAGCAAAAATGCAAATAACATACTTCTAAGTAACACATAGTTCAAAGAAGAAATCATAATAGATAGAATTTATATATCTAGAAATAGCGTAAAAACATATAAAGCAAAAACTGACAAAACTAAAAATACAGAAAAATCCACAATCATAGTTATTTAACAAGTATCTCTCAGTAGCTGATACACTATGCAGATTAAAAATCAGAAAGGCTATAGATGATTTAAACAAGATTAACAAAATTTATCCTTTTACCATATGCAGAGCACTGCACCCAATACTACAGAAAACATTTCTAAATCTAGAAAGAACAATTTACTAAAACAAATCATATGTTGGACCATAAAGTACGTATGAATAAATATCAAAAGGATGATACTAGGAATACATTTTCTGGTTATAGCGGAATTAAGCTTGAAATCAGTAATATAAAAATAACCAGAAAACATTCATATGTTTGAAAATATATTTCTAAGTAATCTATGAGTCAAACAATAAATCACAATGGAAATTAGCAAATACTTCTGAAGTAAAAGGTAATGAAAATATGACATATAAAAGCTTATGGATATAGCTAAACCTGTGCTTAGATGGAAACACAGATGAACACATTAAATATATTTAAATGAATACATTACAACAGAAAAAGGTCTGAAAATCAATAATATAAGCTTCCATTTCAAGAAAAGAAAAAGAGGAGAAAATAAAATACCAAGAAAGTAAAAGGAAGGAAAAATATAGAGCAAAAATAAATGAAATAGAAAACAAATATACAATAAAAAAAAAATCAACCAAGTAAAACATAGGTTCTTTGAAAGGATAAATAAAATTCATAATTCTTCCAAGACTAACCAAGGAAAAAAAGAAAGAAAGAAAACACAAATTACCAATATTAGGTCTACAGACCTTAAAAAACTAAAATGATAGAACATTATGACAAAAACGGTTAGATGAAATGGACATATACCTTGCAAAATAAAATTTACCAAAACTGACACAAGAAGAAATAGAACAACCAAACAGTTTTACGTCTATTTAGAAAATGGGATTTTTAATTAAAAACCTTCCCACAAAGGCATCTCCAGGTTTAGTTGGCTCTACTTGAAACTCTTCTAAACATTTAAGAAAGAAGTAATAACAATCTTACATTCTTCCAGATAACAGAGAGAATATGTACCAATTTGTTTTATGAGGCCAGTATTATCCTGTTATCAAAACCTGACAAAGACCTTTAAACAAAGGAAAATTACAGGGCAATCTTTCTCATGAACAAAGATGTAAAAATCCTAAATGAAGTGTTATCATATAAAATAAAAAGATATATAAAAAGGATAGTACATTATGACCACTGGGTTTATTTCAGAAATGCAAGGCTGATGTTTGAAATTCTCCATATTAAGTAAGTAAAAGGGGGGAGGCACAGATATCAATTCTCCCCAAATTGATACTTAGAGTCAAAGTAATCCCAACCACATTCCCAACAGTTGTTGAAGAAATATAGGTGGATTCTCTATTATTTTTCTGTATTGATCTCTAAATAGATACAGAAAAAAAATTGATAAAATTCAATACTTATTTGTTATTTAAAATAATCATGACACACCAGGAACAGAAAGGAACTTTCTTAATTTGATAAAGCTTATCTACAAAATACCTATCTAACAATTGAAAGCTTCCTCTCCTTCCCCACATTTTGGAAAAAGACAAGGGTGACCGCAATTACCATTTCTATTCAACTTTGTAACACTGTAAATGGTTAAACATTATGTAGTGCCACATAGCAAGAAACGATAAAAAGGTAGAAAGAAAACTGTCACTAATTATATAGATTGTGTGCTTGCCAATTTAGAAAATACAAAATAATACACAAATAACGCTTACAATTAATAAGTAAATTTAGCAAGGTTGCTACTAAATATACAAAAACATACAAAACTAAATCCAGTGATTTATACAGAAAGGGAAAATAATATGATCAACTTAGGCTTATTTTGGGAATGCAAGAGTGATTTAATGCCAGGAAAATTATAAATATAATTCATCACATTAACAAATAAAGGAGAAAAGCCAAGTGATCATCTCAATAGATTCTGAAAGTCACTTAAAATTCAACGTCCATTCATAATTAATAACAGCATGTGAGAATACAAAATAACTTCCTCTCTGATAAAGATTATCTGCTGAAAACTTAGAGCAAGTATAATTCTTTATGGTGAGATACTGAAATCTGAATTAAGAAAAGTAACCATTATCATTGCTATTAGTTAACATTCTGCTGGAGGTTCTAGCCAGCATAAAAGAAAAGAAAAAGAAATAAAGGGTACATAGGCTTCAAAGAAAAAAAAAAAAAAAACTCTTATTTTGTCTCAAATAGATCTATATAGAGAAAACTCAAAGAAAAATCACGGAAAATAATATTATGAAGGTGCCTCGATCTATTATAATCAACATATAAAATCAATTCCACTTATTTTTTAATTGTACTTATTTATGGGGTACAGTGTGATATTTTGATACATGTATCCATGTGTAATGATCTAACAGGGTAATCAGCATGTCCATCACCTCAAATGTTTATCATTTCTGTAAGACACATTCAAAATCTTCTAGCTACTTGAAAATATACAATAGATTGTTGTTAATTACAGTCACCCTACAGTGCTATAGAACACTAGAACTTATTTCTACTATTTAGCTGTACTTTTGTATCCATTAACCAACCTCTGACTATCCCCACTCCCATCTCCTTACATGTCCCTGCCTCTAGTATCAATTATTCTACTTTCTACTTCTATGAGATCAATGTTTTTATCTTTCACCTGAGTGAGAACATGCAGTATTTATATTTCTGTGCCTGGCTTATTTCACTAAATATACAATGTCCTCCAAGTTATCCATGTTGGCACAAATGAGATAATTTTGTTATTTTTTATGGCTAAATAGTATTCCACTGCGTATATATGCCACATTTTCTTTATCTACTCATCTGTTAAAGGACACAAGTTGATTCCATATCTTGGCTATTGTGAATAGTGCTGCAATAAACATTGGAGTAAAAATAAAATGTCTCTTCAACATATCCATAATTCCCTTTAGATATATACCCAGTAGTGAGATTGCTGGATCATATGGTAGTTCTATTTTTAGTTTTTAGAGGAATCTCTATACTGTTTTCCATAGTGGCTGGACTAATTTACAACAGCATATGCATTCCCATTTCTGTGCATTCTTGTCAACATTTGTTATTTTTTCTCTTTTTGATAATAGCCAAAATGAGATAATATCTCATTGTGGTATTGGTTTGCATTTCCCTGATGATTAGCGGTGTTCAGCATTTTTTTTTTTTTCATATACCTGTTGGCCACTTGCGTCTGGTTTTCAGAGATGTTTATTTGGCTCTTTCGCCCATTTTTAAAATTGGATATTTTTGTTGTTGTTGCTCAGTTGTTTGAGGTCCTTGTATGTTCTAAATATTAATCCCTTGTCAGATGAATAGTTTGCAAATATCTTCTGAAGGTTGTCTCTTCACTCTATTGATTATTTCTTTTACTGTGCTGAATCTTTTTAGTTTGATATAATCCTATTTGTCCATTTTTGCTTTTGTTGCCTATGCTTTTGAGGTTTTCTCCATAAAATCTTCACCCAGGCCAGGGTACTGAAGTGTTTCCCATATGTTTTCTTCTAGTAGTTTCATACTTTCAGGTCTTACATTTAAGTCTTTTATCCATTAGGGGTCTAGTTTCACTTTCTGCATATGAATATCAGTTTGCAACTGCTGTACATAGAAGTCAATTCCATTTCTATATACAGCAACAAATAAGTTTAAGTGTAACTTAAGAATAGATATCATTTACAAAACAAGAACTATAAATTTCTTAGGAATAAACACCAAAGTTTTCTTAGATCTATATGAAGAAAATTACAGTGTTTTTGAAGGACATTAAAACTACCCTAATAAGGAAATTTTGACATGCTGTGATTTGGATTAATCTTATAAAGATATCAATTCTCCTCAAATTGATACATAGAGTTGAAGTAATCCCAACCATATTCCCAATAGCTGTTGAAGAAATATAAGTGGATTCTCTATTATACTGACAAATTTACATTGCTATTTGTGGAACAGCAGAAAGCCAAGAATGGCTAAGGCACTCTAGATGAAAAAAAGAAAATGAAGCACTGTGCCATATATTGAGACTTTCTATAAAGTTATAATAATGGCATTCGTTGTTGGTGCAGGAATGAATAAACCTATAAAAAGAGTGCAGTAAAAATACATAAATTTATTCACATATGGGAATTTGATGTATGACAGAGATGGTACTAGCCTTCCCCCACCATTATCACACACAGAAAGAAGGAAGCAATACTAATTCTGCACCATTCCCCAAAGACCTGAGGTTACAAAGAGCAACACTAGAGCTAATGATTTACCACTTGCAGAGAGTCTTTTGGTAAATCATAGTAGTGTGTTTGCACATTTTTTGGTTAATGCAAATTCTATTATGGTTTGTTATTGTATGATTCATTATATTAACCTATTAATAGTTCAGTGGAGAAATTATTTTCTTTTTTGTAAGATTTAGAATAAAGGCAGGGTACATTGAGATGTTCTTTCTGTTTTTGTGGTTTATTTTCTTTTTTAGCAGCACCTTTTTGGCTTTTTAATGCTTGGCTTGCTTATATCTTTGTCTGTAAAAGAATCTAATAGTTTAAAGCAAGAAAAATTCCTAGTCTGCAATTAAATACGTATGGCAACTATGTGGAATACTAATCAAATCTTTGGTGTCCTTTCTAAGGTAAATTCATTTTTCTACCTCAGTTCAATCTTCATTATCATTTTACATTCCACTGGAGGCCCAGCTAGCACAACAATGGCCAGCTCTTGCCTGAATCCCGAAAATTAGACTTATATAAATGATACCCCCAGAAAGACTCGGGGCAATCTCAAAACAGGAGACCAATTTTTGATGCTGGCTTGCATTCTTGCTTCTTGTCATTTTGCTTTTAGTAGGCCAAAGCTAATACTTCTCCAGTGGAATTTCAGATGTTGACATTGATGGAAACAAAGAACATATTTAAGTAAATTAATTTCCTGGTAGTAAAGTTATAAACTTTGAAATCCTAGACTGGCTTAAACTTTCACTGTTAAATTCACAATAATGTAACACTTTGCCAAAAGATGCTATATACCCTCAAAGCAAGCAAGTATAACATGTTAATACTTGTGGCCTTATCAACAATTTCCCCAATTCAGCTAATTTTTGTAAGCTTAGTACCATTTATTTTTACTTATTAAATTGTCAGTGCTAAGAAAGTTTTACTTTTAACATTCACTGGCATTAAGGGTAGTTGGATTTGATAGACTAATATGCTGTTATTAATCTAATTATTACTATTACATTCATTTCTCAGCTAGTTTATAGAAATTTCATATTTGGACCTGCAAAAATACATAATTATATTATCTATCTTCCAAAGCACATTCTCTCAGAGGTGAAGTAAGTATGCAAATTCAAGATGATAGGTAATTGTGCTTAATATAATTATAGCCCCAAAGTAACCATATGTAGGCCTATTTATTATTCTAAACAGCATATTTAACTAAATTAGGAAAGATTAACTGACCTGCAAGTATTCAATATTATTATATGACTCTGCATTTTACTTACATATTTATTTTAAAGTCCATAGTGTATAAAAAAACTGGTAAATATTCCAAGACTGGACAATTATATATCAGTACTATCACCAGGTTCAAGGAAAATATTCCTCAATTTTTGGTTTTCAAAAGAGGCCATCAGATCACAAAAACACAAAAGATCACAATTAAGACATGAGAACAGGCCTGTTTTAATTCCATTATATTTGCAATTTACTTTAAGAAAAAATTCATATAACATAAAATTTACCATTTTAAAAAGAGCACAATCCAGTGGCTTTTAGTATATTCAATGCTGTGCAATCATCATCACTGTGTAGTTCCAGGACATTTCTATCACTCCAAAAAGTACCTGTTAGCTGTCTCTTCCCGATCAGTTCCTCTCCCTGTCCCCTGGAAACTGCTAATCTACTTATATGTCTCTGTGGATTTGCCTATTCTGGAGATTTCATTAAAATAGAATCAAATTATATATAGCCTTTTGTGCTTGGCTTCTAATTAGAATAATGTTTTCAAGATTCATCCATGTTGTAGCATGTTTCAGTAGTCCATTCCTTTTTATAAATGAATAATATTTCATTGTATGGATATACCACATTTTGTTTATCCATTCATTAGCTGATGGATATTTCAGTTATTTCTAATTTTCAGTTATTATAAGTGCTGCCATGAATATTCATGTAAAAGTCTTGGTAGACATAAATTTTCAATTATCTTGGGTAAAAGCCTAGGCATAGAATTGCTAGGTCATATCATAACTCTTTTGAGGAACTGTTTGTTAAACTGTTTTCCACATCAGCTGTACCACTTTATATCCCCACCAGCAACATATGGGAGTTCCAATTTCTCCACATCATACCAGCTTCTAAAATTACTAACATTATAGCCACCTTAGTATGTGCAAAGTAGAATCTCATTGTGATTCTGACTTGCATTTCCCTAATGACTAATGATGCTGATCATTTTTTCATGTTAGGGTTAGGGTTAGCTATCTGTGCATCTTCTTTACCTATTCAAATACTTGGCACACTTTAAAATTTAGTTGTCTTTTGTTTTGTTTTTCAAGGAAGAACTTGATGCCCCAAAATTATTATTTTGCAGAGATGGGGTCTTGCTATGTTTCTCAGGCTGCTCTTGAATTCCTGGCCTCCAGCAATCTTCTCACCTAGTGCTGGGATCACAGGCATGAGCCACCGCGTCCAGCTCGTCATTTTTTTTTTTTTTTTTTTTTTTTGAGAAGGCATCTCGCTCTGTCGCCAGGCCGAAGTGCAGTGGCACAATCTCGACTCACCGAAACCTTCACCTCCCAGGTTCAAGTGATTCTCCTGCCTCAGCCTCCCGAGTAGCTGGGACTACAGGCATCCGCCACCACGCCCAGCTAATTTTTGTATTTTTAGTAGAGACGGGGTTTCACCATGTTGGACAGGATGGTCTCGATCTCTTGACTTCATGATCTGCCTGCCTCGGCCTCCCAAAGTGCTGGGATTACAGGCATGAGCCACTGTGCCAGCCCTCGGTTGTCTTTTTATTGTTGAATTGCAAGAGTTTATTTTGGATACACAGCCGATCCTTGAGCAATACGGGTTTGAACTGCGTGGGTCCACTTATACATGGATGTGAAACCACCAGTGAATTCACCAGGGAAGCAATTCACTGGGCTTTGTTCTTGTTGGGAGTTTTTTGATTACTGACTCCATCTTGTTGCCATAGTTCTATTCAGATTTTATATTTCTTCTTGAGTTGATTTTGGTACTTTGTGTTTTTCATTTGTCCACTTCCACTGGTTTGCATATAATTATTAATAGAATTCTGTTATCCTTATTTCTGTAAGTTCAGTAATGTCCCGTTTCATACTTTAGTAATTTGAGTCTTTTTTTTTTTATTGTTCAGTCAGCTAAAGATTAGTCAATGTTTCTATCCTTTCAGAGAATTAACTTTTGGTTTTATTAATCTTCTATATCATTTTTCTAGTCTCCATTTTCTTTGTCTCTGTTATAATCTTTATTATTTCCTTTTTTCTTGCATTAGGTTTAGTTTGCTCTTCTTTTATGTTTCTTAAGGTTATTGATTAGGTTAATTTATTTCTTTCTCTTTAAGGTAGGCTATAAATTTCTCTCAGAACTATTTTTGCTGCATTTCATAAGATTTGGTATGGTGTTTCATTACAAACTTTCATCTCAGAGTATTTTCTAGTTTCCTTCGTGATTTCTTCCTTGTTCCACTGGGTTAAGAGCATCTTGTTTAATTTCCACATGTTAGTATATTTTAAAAATTTCCTTTTGTTATTAATTTACAATGTCATTGTGGTTGAAAACATACTTTGTATAATTTCAATCTTTTAAAATTTATTGAGACTTGTATTGTGGCCTAACATATGGTCTATCTTGGAGAGTGTTCCCTGTGTATTTGAGAGGAATGTGTATTCTGTTGTTGTTGGGTGGATTGTTCCACTGATGTCTATGGGATCTAGGTGATTTAGAATAGCTACTGAGTGTTCGATTTCCTTGTTATTCTTTAAGTCTTTTGGTGATTTTTTTGTCTAGCGTCCTTTCATTTCAGCTCCAAGTACTCCGTTGAGCAATCACTTAGGGCAGGTTGGCCAACAATGAATTCTCAGTTTTTGTTCATCTGGGAATGTCTTAATTTCTCCTATGTTTTCACAGTTTTGCCAGATACAGATATGTTCCCCCGCCACTGCCGCCCCCCGCCCCGCCCAGAGCTCTTTGAATATACCAGCTAATGCCTTTTGGTTTCTACAGTTTCTGATGAGAAATTAGGATATTCATCTTATGGAGGATCACTTGTACGTGATGAATTACCTCTCTCTTGGTGTTTTCAAGATTCCCTCTTAGCCTTTGGCTTATAACAGTTTGATTGTGATGTGTCCCAGTGTACATATTTTTAGTTCATCCGACTTGGAGCTCAGTGAACTTCTTGGATGTGTAATGTTTTACACCAAATTTCTAGTATCCTGACAATATTTCTTCAAATATTCTTTCAGACTCTTTCTCTTTTTCTCTGAGACTCCTATTGTTTGTGTATTGTTGACGGTGCTCCACAGGCCTCTGAGGCTATTTTCTTTCATTCATTTTTTTTTCTTCCTTTTCCTCAAACTGGAACATCTCAACTGACCCACCTTCAAGTTTTCTGAGTTTTTTCTCCTGCCTGCTCAAAATTGCTTTTATCCCCTATAGTGTATTATTTATTCTGTGTACTAATTCTCATGTCCAAATAAGTTTTTCATAATTTTTATAAAGTGTAACTTTAAACTTTTAAAATTATAAATGTATTAAAAACTTCCTTTTTATAATTGTATCTCTTTATTATATTCTGTATTTGGTGAGACACTCTTCTCATACTTTAGTTCTTCAGACTTGGTTTCCTTAAATCCTTGAACATATTTAAAATAGTTAAAATCTTTGTCTAATAAGTTCAATATCTGGGCTATCTGTTGGAAATCAGATTAGATTCTCTTGCCCCACCCCGTTTGTTGTTGCTGCCTTTTATAGCTGTGATTATATTTTAGTGACTTTCATGAACTCATTCTGTAAAATCTACATTCTTTGTCATGTGTAACCACTTATGTGTCCGATTCATTAGCTTAATTGTCAACTAATGATTAGATGAAGAGTTCCTTGAATGCCTAAACCAAAAAATTGCTCAGTCTTTGCTGAAGGACTCTGTGTGTCTGTTGGGACATGTCTTGGACACTCAGCTAGGCAGCTTCTAACTTTGCTTCTGCCTTCATTCCCTGCTTGCTCAGATCCTCAAGGTCAGGCAGAGGTGAGAGATTACGGTCTCTCTGTTCATTCATGAACATGCACACAGTCCTAAACATGCACAGAGCCTTCTAGATTCCCAGAAATACGTAAGAGCTTTTCAAAGTCCTTATGAACATCTCATTCCCAACCTTTCTTCCAAAGCTTTCTGGTTAGTTTATTGTTTGCTCCAACTTTTACCCATTGCTTCATGTAGCAATGACAGGTAAATGTTTTAAATAAATTCCCCACCCCCACCCCAGTAGAGGGTGAGTTCCATAACAGGCAAGATAAAGGCCGGTTTTTTAAATGGGTTTTCCTGGGAGCTATCAGACAGATCAAATAAGGATAATCTGCAAATAAGGTCCATTCTGCTCTTTCCCATACCATGAATGTGGCGTGTTCTTTTCAACACTACTGCTGAACTAGGGAGCAAGGTATGGAAACGGCATAAGTTAAACACCAAAATGCTTGCTGTTATTACTAACATTTGGCTTTTTTTTCTCTTTTTTTAAGTAACTCAGGTTACTGTGATCTTTTGATTAGTTTCTCGAGTCCTGAAAAAGTTGACTTTGATCATTTTTTGAAGGCCAGTTTTATTGCTACCTTTATGAAGGGACAAAATTTTTAAGTTCCTTAATCCACCATTTTTCCTCTCACCACACTATTACATAATTTTACATCTTAACCAAATAGTTAATAGAACCCAATCATTATGATAATCTCAGACTGAACAATGTACAGTTGTGGTTTGAAACTTTGTTTTCTGTGCTCTCAACCTCTTATACCAAGGACATCCGGCTGAATTATAAAGGATGATATTAGTTCATTTTTTCTTCTTGCCAACATGCACAAGCACTCTACCAAATTTCATGATGTTTATTTACAATACATGTAACTATCATTGTGCAAGACAGGGAATTCCTCAACGGGAAACACATAATTTGGTTATATTTTTAAATGCTTATCACAAAGCCTACTACCTAGTAGGTACTTAAGAAATGTGTTTAATGATAAGACTAATGAAAAAAAATAGCTCTCATATATTGAGTTCTAACTTTAGCCCAGGCCCTATGCCAAGCAAATTTCTAAACTATTTTTTAAAATTGTAAAATATATGAACAGAAGTTTATGTAACATATATGAAAAATTTTAAAGAATATTTAAGAGTACTAACAACCTAGCATAAGAATAAAACATTATCAGTAACTTCAACACATCCTGTGTTTCCCTCTCCATAATCTTAAATTGTATTAATCATTTCCTATATTTTCCTTACACCTTTACATGTATCCACATTCTATAAAATTAGTATTATATTATTCTGATTTCTTTCTCAACATTATGTACTTGAAAACCATTCATTTTCTCACTGCTGTACTCCATCATATGGATATATCTAAAGACATTTAAGCTAACATTATTCTGGATAGAAAAGGTTGAAGTAACAAATCCCTAAAGGAAGGATTAAAACAAAAAAGTATCCAGGATCAAGCCCTAGAGTATGCCAACTTTTAGAAATCATATAGAGGCAAAAGAGCCAGGGAAGAAGGTCAAAAGGGGGTTGGGTTAATGAAATGGGAGGAAAATTAGGAGAAAGTGGTGCCATGGAAGACTGGAAAGGATAGAATTTCAAACAGAAATGTGTAGAATGACACTGAGAGTTCAACAAATAGAGATACAGAAGAATCTGCTAGATCTGACAACATATAGCACTGATGAAAAGCTTATCAGGTTAGTTTCGGTGTAGTAGTGAGAGACTGAAACTATATTGGGATACTTTAAAGACAGAATGAGAAATAAGGAAGTAGACGACAGCATGTCTAAACCAGGAAAGGAAGCAGAGAAATGGAAGTGTTAGGATCTGAGTAGAGAGTTTTTAAAAATACTATGAACATTACAACATTATTTATGACATTGAGAATAATCCTACAGAGAGGCCAGTTGTTGCTGAAGCAAAATGAAGGGATAACCCAGAGACAGAAGGATCTAATAAGAAGATGAGAGATGCGAGCCAGAGCATAATGGAGGGAATATCCTGTCATAGAAAGAGAGATAACATCTCAAGTACAAAACAAGGAAGGAGAGGAGATGGGTGTGATGTTTGAGAATAGGAAAATGAGGAAGATTAATCTAATAGTTTCTATTCTTGGTGAATTATGAAGGATATTAACTGAGAATGTGGGTGTAAAAGTCCTCTGGAAACATGGCAAGTTAAGAGTAGAATTACAAAGCAATATTGAATGTCTGTCTTAGTTCATTTAGACTGCTGTACCAAAATACCATAAACTAGCTGGCTTATAAAAACAACAGACATTTATTTCTCCCAGTTCTGGAGGCTCGAAGCCCAAAATCAAGGCACCAAAAGATTTGGTGTCTAGTGAGGGCCCACTTCCTCACTGATGGCTGTCTTCTCACTGTAACGTCACATGGTAGAAGGGACAGGGATCTCTTGAGCCTCTTGAGTAAGGGTACTAATTCCATTAATGAGGACTTCATCCTGACAATCTAATCACCTCTCAAAGGACCCACCTCCTAATACCATCCCCTGAGGGGTGAGGATTTCAACATGAATTTGGGGAAACATAAACATTCCAACTACAGCAGTGCCCATTTGAACACTGTAATCATGAATTTCGAGTAAAGCCAATTAGTCCATTTGTGTCATCTTTTTCCTCAGGTAATATCCACCTGCTCAAATGAAGGCACAGAGAAAGAAATGGAAAAGTTCAACCACATAAGGGTTTTGCCATTCAAACACCTTTCCTCTCTGAAAGAAGGGCAGACATGCCTTTTCCAGGTTATACTTATGCCAAATGAAAATAGTTCAAAATGCAAACTATGGAGTAATAGCAAATTTAGGTGTTATATTAATAGATTATTACTTACAATGTTTTATTTTGCCTTAGCTCTCAAGATCATATATACCACATTTTTCCTGTGAGTCTTTCACTGATTACCTCAGTTTTGCCCTATGTTGTATTTCCTTTTCCATTAGTGCATTTTCTAAAAACACATCAATAGGATATATATCTACAGGACAGCTGCAATAATTGCTGCTCTAGAAATATTTTAATATTTTATTTGAAAAAACCAGGTAAAAAGCACAATAAATTTTCCCTATAAAACAAAGGAATTCACTCATAGCAAGGTATCAATCTTCTTTCTCTGTAGAAATAAATTATATACAATTTAAGCTCTTGATTTATACTTTATTTTCTGTCTTTATATGTAACACATACTAATCAAAGGGAAAAAACTAAAAATACAGATTTATACCCAAATGGATAACGATTATATAATCATTCTTACTCCAAAAAGAACTGTATTAGGTATAAACAATTATAAACTTCAGATAAATAGGTCATATTCTATAAATACTAATTTGTTATATACAACACATAATCTTCTACAAATACTAGTTTTATGTTATTACTTTTCAAAATATTTCAAACTAGTTATTTTTTTCCTTGTGCTTCAATTTTCTCATTTGTAATTTAGGGACTTACCCATTTTTATAGATTTACTAGAAATTAAGTTTTTTTTTGCTGACAAGAATGTCAAATCAGGCACACTGGGATTTATTCCTTTAAAAATACAGTCATTTTTAATCTTCCTAATAGGTAATGGTCTAAAGTCAGAGTCCAGTTACAACATGGAGATAAGACACACTGCCAATTGGCAACTCCTCCTCTGGCAGTTTTTTTCTCCAATGTTTGAGTAGATCATTGTTTCTTTGGTTTGAACACCAGATAAAATGTGTAGTTGGTTGGATTTAGGACCCATATTGTATGACAAATACCCATCTTTAAACACCAGGCTTAGACACAGCTCAGGCTATCTACATGCTTAGAGCTCATTGGAAAGGCTGAGCTCCACCTTGAGTTCCATCGAAGGCTCCCACAGAGTGGAATCCACCCTGTTTAAATCACTTTTCTCTCTCCTTTTTTTCTAATTATTGCTGAGTGTATACTTAAAATTGCATAAGAATGTACACAGTCAAATATATATAGTATGCTAAAGTAGAACAGAAAGGAGATTCACTGCCATATACACCAGGAGCACATTCACTGTTATTTTTCTCTCTGCTAACAACTCTTTAAGGGCAGCTATTTTGGGGACAGAGACATAGGCTAGGTTCAGAAAAGCTACTAAGTATGCCTACTCATATTAAAAGAAAGCAAATGAATCTTTAGGTAAGGAGACATTTATTAGGTCATATCCTTATACTAATTATTAAATTTAGACAAATTTTTTATAAGCTGTTAATTTAGAACTAGTCTTGTAAAAAAAAATTCTTCAAACCTTTCATACTACTTTATGCTTCCTGAATACAGTGAAAACTGCAGAGCTGGAGAGATGGCTAGCAAAAAAATAGATCATCTCATTTAGAGTAGATACACAGCAATACTAGCTCAGGTCAACATGTTACTTACTTCCCTGTTACTGAGACCAAAAAAAAAAAAATTATCGGGACTTACAATCTTATGATACAAAGAAAACTGTAACTATCAAATTATAGAGTAAAAATTCAAAGAATAAAAAATAACCTTCAGTGTTTTAGGGAGGTCATATTTTGCTAACACAATGAAATAAGATAATCAGGAAAGAAGCGTCTGCACTTGCTGCGGCGATCGGTGAAGAATGTTCTCTGGATCTTTGTATTCATTGATTGGATTCATCACGGCTGCATACACTTCACCATAGGCTCTGCAGACTAATTCTGTAGATTGTTTTACGATCTGCTCTCTATTGATAAGCAAACAAAATGTAAACACATCATTTGAAAAAAATATATTTACTAAGAATTGTAAGACAGCTTGACACTTCAATCAACACATTTCATTTTCATTATCATCACACATACACTATTTAATAATCACTATATGGCTACACAGTTAATCCTAATTTTGGGATAAAATATAATTTTGTATTCATTATTTATTAAATCTTTCTCCATTACTATATAGGTTGCAGAGGGCATGGACTGTGTTTTGTTCCTGATATATATTGGACTGCTATATATTTGTGCCTGATATACAGGACTGCTAAATAAGAAACAAAAACTGTGACCCAATGTCAATGTATTGATTTTGCAAAAGTGGTAACACATTAAAGAAAGATGCTTACAATTGTTTCAATTTATCAACACTTTTATCTCTCAGGAAAACTTAAAGTAAACTGCTCTTTCACCTTACAGCTTTTACACTAACAACCACATCTCCTAGCTTTCTCTTCATCTCTCTATATCACCCCAAGCTAAAATGTGACACTTGCCTGCAGCAAATCACAGCTTTCTCACAAATATACATTTCTACAAAAGCACATAAAGAATGAGTCCTGCAAATGTTTACAAAATTATCCAGCTAGAAAAAACAGTATTGGTTCATTAAATGTGCAACAACTCTCTGCATAGTTCCATGACATTAACTTCCTGTCATCCCTAGCTACTCATACTATTCATGTATCACCATGAGAAGATGGTACTAACGGTACTCATGGTTCTCATGGTACTCATGGTACTGGCCATGAGAACACTGGTACTAATTTTCTGATTTTTACAAAAACTAAAATAAAAATGTGTGTTTAAAGCTTTGCTTCCACACCTCCTTTTCTTGTAGTTTCCTACTTCTGTTAATGGCATAACAATGTTGTATCACTTCAGCTCAGGTTCTAAAATGACCTCTTGCCTGGAGTACACACAAACTCCTATCTATTCTTCCCTCTTTCAGTCTCTTCAATATTCAATCCATCCTAGGCACTGTTGTTAGATCAATCTTGCTGAGGCATACTTTCTATCACATCTCTCTCTTACCTGGGGCTTTCAAAGAGCTTCAGTAGCCTCTTTTGGTTTCAGAGAAGCCCAAATTCCTTCTACCATTCAAAAATTATCTAACACTTTCCCTATCACTATTCTAATTCCAGTGCAACCCTTGACTGTTCTCTGGGCTCTGGTTTGCTGATCTCAGTTCCTTTGCTCCTACTTCATTTTCCTAGAGTGCCTCTTTCACCACTTGTAAATGCTCTTAATGTTCAACAAAAATGTTCTCTCTTATCCATGAAGTCTTGTCTGATCTTTAGAGCTAGAAATAATTACTTCCTTTGTGGAATGTCCATGGCACTTTTTCTGTTCCTTTCATATAGCTTTTACCACTCCTAACTTACAATAAAGCTTCTACATTTTCTTGATGTTCAGATCCCAACAGCTTTGTATTAGGAAGGGGTTAGTTCTGCATCAAATGGATATGACTGCAATATAACCCAATTTCCAAAATGTACTTAAAAAATTGTTTAGAATTACAGAAATACATGTTGTTCATGTCTTACCTGTCCTACAAAATTTCAACTAACTTGACACTGTTTATGTTCACATGTCCCTTAAAACCCAGTATATTTTGAATATGATGGATGCTCAATAAATACATGTTCACTGAATGCTTGATGGAGAAAAAGAACTTTTTCCTTATTTACAGAGTCCTATTCTGGGCTCTTGAGCCACCACTGTTTTCCATAAATGCTGAATCAGTGGCTATTTCAGGAAAACTGTTTCTTCACATAGTCAAGAGTACATGACTGTGACTAGCTAGATTAACGTAATAGTTATAGCAGTAATAGTAATATTGTGTTAAGTTGTCACACAGGTCAATGTCATGAAGTCATCATCAACAGAACACATTCTTTGTTTTTCTAGGAATTATGTTCTTTTTTGATAATAATGGATAGAATAATACATTTTTAAGACTATCTGTGGAAATATATGCATCTGTGGTCTAGAAAAGAAAATAGTTGGATGGAATAAGGAAAGAAGTCCACTTAAGATCTTGGAACATCTGTACACTGTTCTAATGGGGTCCAAACTCTTGACGAGTTGGAGTAACTTGACATTTTCCAAAAATTGCTAAAGCTTCCAAAATGACAGTGAGTAGAAGAAAGACATGCTGAGTAAATTTTCTGAGCAGAGTAGACTGGTGCTACTGGTTGTACTACCTTTCTGCTGAAAGGGAAGGGATGATGGTAGAAACTGGTTTAGAAAACTGCTTAACTAAATGAGGCTTGGGGATTTTTTTTTTTTCTTTTTCGAGACAGTCTCACTTCTTTGTCACCCAGGCTGGAGTGCAGTGGCATGATCTTGGCTCACTGCAACCTCTGCCTTCCCGGTTCAAGTGATTCTCCTGCCTCAGCCTCCCGAGTAGCTGGGATTACAGGCATGCACCACCATGCCTGCCTAATTTTTGTATTTTTAGTAGAGACGGGGTTTCATCATGTTGGCAAGGCTGGTCTCAAAATCCTGACCTCAGGTGATCCGCCCACTGTGGCCTCCCAAAGTGCTGGGATTACAGGCATGAGCCACTGTGCCCAGCCTGGAGATATTTTTTGATCTATTGATTAGTGGTCTTTCCTGTAATTAAATTTGCTTGACAATGAATGTAACAAAATAATGCAAAAATTATTTTTCATTAAAAACTACTAGAAACTAGTATTTTAAAACTTTGTTAGATATAACATACATTTGATATCCACTTTTGCAACAAGTCAGATACTGGATTTTAGAAACAGTGTTCTTAGTTCTTTTCTAAGCGCAATAACATAGATTTCTGAGAAGTGTGTAAAGCATTCATTACTCATGCCTCATACTCAAGTCTATACTCAATCTCAATACAGCATATATTTGATCGTATATAAGGAGTACACAAAAATAAGGCTATTCCTTCTCATAAAAAGTATAAAATAAGAATAATGTACAATTATAAATATTGAATATGATTTTTAAAAGTTCAGAGTAACTTGTAAATGTAGTATTTAACTTGTAAATGTAGTATTGTTGAAACTTCTAAAGTAGTGAAATTTAAATTTCATTTTCAAGTAACAGTGATAAAAAATTTAAAATTTACTGAAATTTAGTTGTAACTTGACACATTTGTTTCTAAGCTATATAAATTAGCTCACGAATGTCTGTAACTAACAATACAGCTGAAAATCCACTGTAAGTCTGCAATAGATAAAATAAAGCAGTACCACATAAACACAGATAATTAAATAAAATCAAGCCAGTTAAAACTAAACGAGTGTTTAAAATTCATTTTAAATTTTGGTGTTAGATGGTATAGTATGTCTTCAATCTCCGCCTCAGCTTAAAAAGCCACTGAGATATGGAAGGGGTTAAAAAAAGAATATGCATATGGTGGAGAAGATGAAGAAAGCAAAGCCGCTGGATAAAAAGAAATCTTCATGTATTACATGAATGAAGGAGGAAGGAAAAAAAGCAAAGAATAAGGAACTGCTCCTCCTGGCCTGCTAACTGCCTGCTAAAGCCAACAGGATAGAAATAAAATGAAAAGGGAGATTCTCTGAAGCGAGTCTGAGTCAAACTTAAATTATAAAGACCAAGAACTCTGGCTGACAGTGTGATTCCACATTTCTGAACAAATATGAGTTCATTTATCACTACCAAAGCAACAGGTTCCTACACTCACTTTTATTAAGTATTTTCTAATCAGTTCTATATGGTACAGTACAGATAAAATGGTATAGACGAGTAAATTACTGTTAGAAGGCTTACATTCTAGTTGAAGCTCTGCCACTTATTGTTGCCTTGAACAAGTAATTTAACCTCTCCAAGACTGCTTTCTCCACTATAAACCAAATATTGAACTGGTTAATCTTTATAAGGTACTTTAAGCTTTTAAGCTATATTATTCCACTGAGAGTTAAGAGTATTTTAATGAGTTATTGTTTTAAAAAAACTACCTACATGAATAAATACATCACATATACATACACATACATTATTTTAGGGAACTAAGTTTCCCAAAATATGATTTATAAAAGCGTATCAGTTATTTGTATATAAATGAATGTTTCTATAGTGTTAAAACCATTTTATTCTCTTGCCAGTTTACTATATTTTTATTTACAGTAATAATTACTATGTAAATTCATCCTTTATCTTAAAAAGTATATTAAGTATCTGTCTATCAATCAACTGATCTATCTGTCTATATTGTCTGCCTGGTCTTAGCCCAAATTATTCACTAATTACTAATATCACATATGAAATACACAGTCTCAAACAATAATGAATCATTATAGTAACAAATAATCAATGTCCAAAATGTAAAAGTTTCAAGGATTCTATGACTAAATCCAAAATGACCAACAAATCATCTCAGTTCAGTCATATGCTTCTGAAAGTTGGGAATGTCCTTATCAACTAAACACCCTATGTACAGGCAGTGAAAACAGTGAATTTTTTTGTTGTTGTTGTTAGCAGTGCATGCTGAACACTGGTTCTAGCATGGGCATGCACTTGATTTTACTTACTTACTATTTTGATCAATCACAGCCTAGTCCATAGCTGACGGGAAGTACTTTCAGGACTGTTTCTGTCCTCTTGCTTTTCACAACACCAAAAGATATGCAAAAAGACCAGTTGAAAGGGGGAAGTAACTTTTTTTTTTTTTAATGATACTTTAAGTTCTAGGGTACATGTGCACAACATGCCAGTTCGTTACATAGGTATACACGTGCCATGTTGGTTTGCTGCACCCCATTTACTCATCATTTACATTAGGTATTTCTCCTAATGCTATCCCTCCCCTACTCCCCACCCCATGACAGGCCCCAGGGTGTGATGTTCCCCGCCCTGTGTTCAAGTGTTCTCATTGTTCAGTTCCCACCTATGAGTGAGAACACGTGGTGTTTGGTTTTCTGTCCTTGGGACAGTGTGCTTAGAATGATGGTTTCCAGCAGTATCCATGTCCCTACAAAGGACATGAACTCATCCTTTTTTATGGCTGCATAGTATTCTATGGTGTATATGTGCCACATTTTCTTAATCCAGTCTATCATTGATGGACATTTGGGTTGGTTCCAAGTCTTTGCTATTGTGAATAGTGCCTCAATAAACATACGTGTGCATGTGTCTTTATAGTAGCATGATTTATAATCCTTTGGGTATATACCCAGTAATGGATTCACCGGGTCAAAAAACTAGTTCTAGATCCTTGAGGATTTGCCACACTGTCTTCCACAATGGTTGAACTAGTTTACACTCCCACCAACAGTGAAAAAGCATTCCTATTTCTCCACATCCTCTCCAGCATCCGTTGTTTCCTGACTTTTTAATGATCACTATTCTAACTGGCGTGAGATGGTATCTCATTGTGGTTTTGATTTGCATTTCTCTGATGACCAGTGAGTGATGATGAGCATTTTTTCATGTGTCTGTTGGCTGCATAAATGTCTTCTTTTGAGAAGTATCTGTTCATATCCTTTGCCCACTTTTTGATGGTTTTTTTTCTTGTAAATTTGTTTAAGTTCTTTGTAGATTCTGGATATTAGCCCTTTGTCAGATGGGTAGATTGCAAACATTTTTTCCCATTCTGTAGGTTGCCTGTTCACTCTGATGGTAGTTTCTTTTGCTGTGCAGAAGCTCTTTAGTTTAATTAGATCCTATTTTCCTACTTTGGCTTTTGTTGCCATTGCTTTTGGTGTTTTCGTCATGAAGTCCTTGCCCATGCCTATGCCCTGAATGGTATTGGCTAAGTTTTCTTCTAGGGTTTTTATGGTTTTAGGTCTAACGTTTAAGTCTTTAATCCATCTTGAAATAATTTTTGTATAAGGTGTAAGGAAGGGATCCAGGTTCAGCTTTCTACATTTGGCTAGCCAGTTTTCCCAGTACCATTTATTAAATAGGGAATCCTTACCCCTTGTCAGGTTTGTCAAAGATCAGATGGTTGTAGATGTGTGGTGTTATTTCTGAGGCCTCTGTTCTGTTCCATTGGTCTATATCTCTGTTTTGATACCAGTACCATGATGTTTTGGTTACTGTAGCCTTGTAGTATAGTTTGAAGTCAGGTAGCGTGATGCCTCCAGCTTTGTTCTTTTGGCTTAGGATTGTCTTGGCAATGTGGGCTCTTTTTTGGTTCCATATGAACTTTAAAGTAGTTTTTTTTCCAATTCGAAAGTCATTGGTACCTTGATGGGGATGGCATTGAATCTCCAAATTATCTTGGGTAGTATGGCCATTTTCACAATACTGATTCTTCCCATCTATGAGCATGAAATGTTCTTCCATTTGTTTGTGTCCTCTTTTATTTTGTTGAGCAGTGGTTTGTAGTTCTCCTTGAAGAGGTCCTTCACATCCCTTGTAAGTTGGATTCCTAGGTTATTTTATTCTCTTTGTAGCAATTGTGAATGGGAGTTCACTCATGATTTGGCTCTCTGTTTGTCTGTTATTGGTGTATAGGAATGCTTGTGATTTTTGCACATTGATTTTGTATCCTGAGACTTTGCTGAAGTTGCTTGTCAGCGTAAGGAGATTTTGGGCTGGGAAAATGGGGTTTTCTAAATATGCAATCATGTCATCTGCAAACAGGGATGATTTGACTTCCTCTTTTCCTAATTAAATATCCTTTATTTCTCTCTCTTGCCTGATTGCCCTGGCCAGAACTTCCAACACTATGTTGAATAGGAGTGGTGAGAGAGGGCATCCCTGTCTTGTGCCAGTTTTCAAAGGGAATGCTTCCAGTTTTTGCCTGTTCAGTATGATATTGGCTGTGGGTTTGTCATAAATAGCTCTTATTATTTTAAGACACATTCCATCAATACCTAGTTTATTGAGAGTTTTTAGCATGAAGGGCTGTGGAATTTTGTCGAAGGCCCTTTCTGCGTTTATTGAGATAATCATGTGGTTTTTGTCACTGGTTCTGTTTATATGATAGGTTATGTTTATTGATTTGCATAGGTTAAACCAGCCTTGCATCCCAGGGATGAAGCCAATTTGATCTTGGTGGGTAAGTTTTTTGATGTGCTGCTGGATTCAGTTTGCCAGTATTTTATTGAGGATTTTTGCATCGATGTTCATCAGGGATATTGGTCTAAAATTCTCTTTTTTTGTTGTGTCTCTGCCAGGCTTTGGTATCAGGATGATGCTGGCCTCATAACATGAGTTAGGGAGGATTCCCTCTTTTTCTATTGATTGGAAGTTTCAGAATGGATGGTACCAGCTCCTCTTTGTACCTCTGGTAGAATTCACCTGTGAATCCATCTGGTCCTGGACTTTTTTTTGGTTGGTAGGCTATTAATTATTGCCTCAATTTCAGAGCCTGTTATTGGTCTATTCAGAGATTCAACTTCTTCTTGGTTTAGTCTTGGGAGGGTGTATGTGTCAAGGAATTTATCCATTTCTTCTAGGTTTTCTAGATTATTTGCATAGAGGTGTTTATAGTATTCTCTGATGGTAGTTTGTATGTCTGTGGTATCAGTGGTGATATTCCCTTTATCATTTTTTATTGCATCTATTTGATTCTTCTCTCTTTTCTTCTTTATTAGTCTTGCTAGCCGTCTATCAATTTTGTTGATCCTTTCAAAAAACCAGCTCCTGGATTCATTGATTTTTTTAAGGGTTTTTTGTGTCTCTATGTCCTTCAGTTCTGCTCTGATCTTAGTCATTTCTTGCCTTCTGCTAGCTTTTCAATTTGTTTGCTCTTGCTTCTCTAGTTCTTTTAATTGTGATGTTAGGGTGTCGATTTTAGATCTTTCCTGCTTTCTCTTTTGGGCATTTAGTGCTATAAATTTCCCTCACACACTGCTTTAAATGTGTCCCAGAGATTCTGGTATGTTGTGTCTTTGTTCTCATTAGTTTCAGAGAACATCTTTATTTCTGCCTTGATTTCGTTATGTACCCAGTAGTCATTCAGGAGCAGGTTGTTCAGTTTCCATGTAGTTGTGCAGTTTTGAGTGAGTTTCTTAATCCTGAGTTCTAGTTTGATTGCACTGTGGTCTGAGAGACAGTTTGTTGTGATTTCTGTTCTTTTATATTTGCTGAGGAGTGCTTTACTTCGAACTATGTGGTCAATTTTGGAATAAGTGCGATGTGGTGCTGAGAAGAATGTATATTCTGTTGATTTGGGGTGGAGAGTTCTGTAGATGTCTATTAGGTCTGCTTGCTGTAGAGGTGAGTTCAAGTCCTGGATATCCTTGTTAACTTTCTGTCTCGTTGATCTGTCTAATGTTGACAGTGGGGTGTTAAAATCTCCCATTATTATTGTGTGGGAGTCTAAGCCTCTTTGTAGGTCTCTAAGGACTTGCTTTATGAATCTGGGTGCTCCTGTATTGGGTGCATATATATTTAGGATAGTTAGCTCTTCTTGTTGAATTGATCCCTTTACCATTATGTAATGGCCTTCTTTGTCTCTTTTGATCTTTGTTGGTTTAAAGTCTGTTCTATCAGAGACTAGGATTGCAACCCCTGCCTTTTTTTGTTTTCCATTTGCTTGGTAGATCTTCCTCCATCCCTTTATTTTGAGCCTATGTGTGTCTCTGCATGTGAGATGGGTCTCCTGAATACAGCACACTGATGTGTCTTGACTCTTTATCCAATTTGCCAGTCTGTGTCTTTTAATTGGGGCATTTAGCCCATTTACATTTAAGGTTAATATTGTTATGTGTGAATCTGATCCTGTCATTATGATGTTAGCTGGTTATTTTGCCCGTTAGTTGATGCTGTTTCTTCCCAGCATCAATGGTCTTTACAGTTCGGCATGTTTTTGCAGTGGCTGGTACCGGCTGTTCCTTTCCATGTTTAGTGCTTCCTTCAGGAGCTCTTATAAGGCAGGCCTGGTAGTAACAAAATCTCTCAGCATTTGCTTGTCTGTAAAGGATTTTATTTCTCCTTCACTTATGAAGCTTAGTTTGTCTGGATATGAAATTCTAGGTTGAAAATTCTTTTATTTAAGAATGTTGAATATTGACCCCACTGTCTTCTGGCTTGTAGAGTTTCTGCTGACAGATATGCGGTTAGTCTGATGGGCTTCCCTTTGTGGGTAACCCGACCTTTCTCTCTGGCTGCTCTTAACATTTTTTCCTTCATTTCAATCTTGGTGAATCTGACAATTATATGTCTTGGGGTTGCTTTTCTCGAGGAGTATCTTGGTGGTGTTCTTTGCATTTCCTGAATTTGAATGTTGGCCTGCCTTGCTAGGTTGGGGAAGTTCTCCTGGATAACATCCTGAAGAGTGTTTTCCAACTTGGTTCCACTCTCCCTGTCACTTTCAGGTACACCAATCAAACGTAGATTTGGTCTTTTCACATAGTCCCATATTTCTTGGAGGCTTTGTTTGTTTCTTTTTACTCTTTTTTCTCTAAACTTCTCTTCTTGATTTCATTAATTTGATCTTCAATCACTGATACCCTTTCTTCCACTTGATCAAATCGACTATTGAAGCTTGTGCATGCGTCACATAGTTCTCGTGCCATGGTTTTCAGCTCCATCAGGTCATTTAAGGTCTTCTCTACACTGTTAATTCTAGTTAGACATTCATCTAATCTTTTTTCAAGGTTTTTAGCTTCCTTGCAATGGGTTCGAACATCCTCCTTTAGCTCAGAGAAGTTTGTTATTATCGACTTTCTGAAGCCTACTTCTGTCAGCTTGTCAAAGTCATTCTCTATCCAGCTTTGTTCCATTGCTGGCGAGGAGCTGTGATCCTTTGAAGAAGAGAATCTCTAGATATGTAACTAAATGGAGATATTATTCTCATTTTAAAATATGTTCAAAGAAATTTACTGTATTCTAAATAATTATTTAAAACTGAACTGAGATAAGAAATGAACTGCTTACTTCCAAAAATCAGTGAGCTTGTCATTAATCTGTACTTTAGGATTTTGGTTGCCATAACAACATGATACAACTTTCATCATTACCATAAACCCAGCATTTCCAGAAATAGACTATTTCAACATCAGATTCTGTGATCACTAAAATTGAGTTTTATTTTAGCACCGCAGTTAAGAGTGCAATCAAATGTGCCACAGGAGAAAAAAAGGCGTTAAGCCTAAAAGCCCAAGAAGAAAAGACGATAATATCCTTATGAAAAACAGATTAGTTAAAATTTTGATTTTTCTTCATTACCATATAAATATAAGAAATGTCACAATGGGTCAAGACAATTTTTCATCCTAGGTCAGCTATGTGTCTATAAATGAAATTAAAGCATATTTTTTATGAGGCCAAGCTACATATTTCAGATAAGTGTCATCTATCATCATATATGCCAGACGTCTACGAGCATTCTTTAAAAATAATAAAATAATCTCAACACAGAAAGAGCTAATAAAATACAGTATAGTCTAGTGTTGAAGAGAATAGGGTCTAGAATCAGAAATGTTGGATACAAATCATGGCTCTACTTCTTACAAATTTTTTGACCTTGATTCAATTACTTAGTCTTTCTAAACAATATCCTCTTTTAAATTCATCGAAAGAATTGAACTAAGTAATCTATTAAAGGATCACTCTGAGTGTTCAGTTTAGGCTGCAGGGCTTGGGTGGATGGTGGTGGAGAGGGCAAGTGTGAAAATGGAAAAGTTCAGAGGTTAATGTGATAAACCAGGCACAGATGATGCCACCTTGGGCCAGAGTGCTAATTATGGAGATGTTCAGAAGTATGAGTCCTCTCTCATATACTTCTTAGATACATATTTAATGAAATGATTCCATGAGAATTTTGATTAAAGTTGGAGTTATTTACAGATTAACCTGTTACACTAGTGAATTTTTCAGTCTATGAACAGAGTATGCCTATTTAGTCAGATCTTTTAGAATTTTCAATAAATTTTTATAAGTTTCATTATATAATTTTCCACGTATATTATCAAATTTATTTCTAGGAAACAATCCTGTGACTATTATAATAAAGTCTTTTACTTTTCATTGTTATAATTAGATATTTCTGGTATACAGAAGAGGTACTAATTTTAGTATGTTAATTTTGAATCTGGCCAAGTAACAACTCTATTTTAGTTCTATTAGTTTGTTAATTGCTTGCCTTTTTTGTTTTTGGTACAGACATTTAAAATTAATAAGTTTTATTAATTCTTTTCAATATTTATGACTCAATTCATTACAATGGCTAGAAGCTCCAAGGTAAACAGATGTGACAGTAACTATGCATATATTGTTTTGAACTGTAATGAAAAGGTTTCTAATGTTTCATCATTAAGTATTATGTTTGCTGTAGATTTTCAATATTCCAACATAGTGTCATGGTACTCTTCTCTAACTGGTTTATGTAGTAAATTCAAGTAAGATTTTTCTTTGTATGCTTTGGCTATAGTGTTTCCTCTCTTGATGCAATGGAATGTTTGATTTTTTTAAATGATTTTTTATATCTTTCAGGATTTTTACCTAAGACCTACTTAAGCATGACTTTTATCAATATAAAACATTTCCCTTTGACCTTTTATTGACTTACACCCTGAATTCAATTTTGCCTGTTAATATTGCAACTCTTTCTTTCTTTGTATGCCACTTTGTTGTAAATGGTCTCTTGTAAAGGGCATATAGGTGAACTGCGGTTTGCTTTTTTTTGAAATCTAAACTGACACTCTTGTATGTTAAAATAGGGTAGCTTAAGTTATCCACATTCATTGTAAAAACTGATTTAGCTTGGAATTTATAAAGAAAAACTTGCTATGACTTTTCTAGTTCTTGCTAGGAACTTTCTAGAACTAGAATCATCTAGTTTGAGTTCTTACGTTCATCTACTTAGGATTTCTTATTTCCTTTTTTGCTCATTCTTACATTAGTTTCATGAATGTTTTATCCGTACTTAAAAACAATGTGTATTTTCTATAGTTTGTGTGTAGTATTTTAAATATTTCTATTAGGTAAAGATTGGTAGTACTGTTCAACTATGAAGCATCATGTTAATTTCCTATTTTTTTGTATCAATTACTGAGAGGACTATGCAGAAATATCTAACTGTATTTCTTGATACAGCTACTCCTCATCAATCCTGTAAGCTTATATTTCATGTTATTTGCAGCTCTGCTATTAAATGCACAGATATACTACTATATTTACTTCATGTATTAATCCTATTATAAAATGTCACGTTTTATCTCTGGTATTATTATCTGTCTGTAGTCTAATTTTTCTTATAGTAATATAGCTACTCCAGCTTTAGGATTAGTGCTTGCATGGTATATCTTTTGTCATCCTTTTAAACTATCTCCACCTTTATATTTAAAATGGACTTTTTATAGATAGCAGATAGTTGTACCATGCTTTTTCATCCAGTCTAACAATTTTGTCTTTTAGTTCAAATCTGTAGTACTTTCACATTTAGTACAGTTACTTATTAGGCTGCAATTAAGTCTATCTTCCTGCTACTTGTTTCATACTTGTCTCATTTGTTCTTTTACCCTCCTTTTTCACCTTCTTTTGATACAATTACTTTTTAAAAATTCTATTTGTTCTTATCTATTGGTATGCTAAATAACTTTATTTGTTTCAATGGTTGTGGGAAGGTTTACAGTCTACCTCCAATCAATATTATATATTTCATGGATAACTTAATATCCTTACAATATTAAAACACCAAACTTCCACTTCCCTCCCACTGCATCTTTTGCACTTTTGTTGTCGTATGTTTTATGTGTTTAAAATTCCACAATTAGGAGAAAGATGAGCAAATAGAAGCCTCCAGAGATCGTCCCCCAAGCAGGAACGCCAAATCTATCCACACAAAAAATCACCTTCCTAAGAACCAAAAATTAGGTGAGCAATCATAGTACTTGGTTTTAACATCATATTAAGGAAAGAGGCACTAAAGAGGATAAGAAAGATAGTCTTGAATTGCCTACACCATCCTTCCCCTAATCCCTGGCACTGGCAGCATGGCGCGGAGAGAGAATTTATGTGCTTGTGGAAGGGAGAAAAAAGAGTGATTGTGGGACGTAGCACTGGAATTTAGTGCTGCCCTGTCACAGCAGAAAGCAACACCAGGCAGAACTCAGCCAGCATCCACAGAGGGAGCATTTAGACCAGCACTAGTCAGAAGGGAAGCCTCCATCCCAGCGGTCAGAACCAGAGTTCTGGCAAGCCCCACCACCATGGGATAAGGTGCTCTGGGATCTGAAATAAACTGAAGGGCAAGTTTTGGGCCATAAGGGCTCTAATTCCTGGGCAAGCTTCTGTGCTGTGCTGGGCTTAGAGCCAGTGGACTTGGGGTGCACGTGACCTAGTGAGACACCAGCTAGGGCAGCCACGGGAGTACTTGCATCACTCCTCCCGCAACCCCAGGTGATGCAGCTTGTAGCTCCGGGTAAGACTCCTTCCTTCTGCTTGAGACAGAAGCATGGGAAGGACTTTGTTCTGTATCTTGGATGCCAGCTCAGCCACCTCAGAACAGAACACCACATATAATAGATTCCTAAGGTTCCTGACTCCAGGCCCTGCATCCCAGACAGCTTCTCTGGACCCACTCGGAGACAAGGGAAACTCACTGCCCTGAAGGGAAGGACACAAGCCTCACTGATTCATCACTTGCGGACTGCAGAGCCCTTGGACCTTGAGGGAACATAGGCAGTAGTCATGCAGTGATCCCTGTGGGCCTTGGGCAAGACCCAATGCTATGCTTGCTTTGGATCTCACCCAGCGCAGTACCAGTGGTGGTGCCACGAAGAGGCATGTATCACCACTCCCCCAGCTCCGAGGCAGCTCAGTACAGAGAGGGAGACTCTATTTGCCTGGGGGAAAGTAAGGGAAGAGAACAAGAGTCTACACCTGGTAATCCAGGAAGTTCTCCTGGATCTCACCCAACACCACCAATGTAGTACCCTCATTGAGTCTGCAAGAGCCACAGGGCTTGAGGTGTTCCCTAATGTAGATATGGCTGCAGTGACCAAAGACTTAATTCACAAGTCCCCTTGAATACTTGGAAAGCCTTCATAAGAAGGACAGGTACAAGGCCCAGACTATGAAGACTATAACACCCACCTCTTCGATGCCCAGACACTGATGAACATCTACAAGCATCAAGACCATCCAGGAAAACATGACTTCCCCAAACAAATTAAACAAGGCACCAGTGACCAACCCTAGAGTGACAGACATATGTGACCTTTCAGACAGAGAAATCAAAATAGTTGTGCCGAGGAAGTGCAAAGAAATTCAAGATAACACAAAGAAGAAATTCAGAATCTTGTTTTTTGTTTTTTTGAAATGGAGTTTTGCTCTTCTTGCCCAAGCTGGAGTGCAATGGCACGATCTCGGCTCACCGTAACCTCCGCCTCCCAGGTTCAAGCGATTCTCCTGCCTCAGTCTCCTGAGTAGCTGGGATTACAGGCATGCACCACTATGCCTGGCTAATTTTGTATTTTTATAGAGACAGGGTTTCTCCATGTTGGTTAGGCTGGTCTTGAACTCCTGACCTCAGGTAATCCAAGTGTCTCGGCCTCCCAAAGTGTTGGGATTACAGGCGTGAGACACTGCGCCTGGCCAAAATTCAGAACCTTATCAGGTAACTTTAACAAAGAGCTTGAAATAGTCAAAAAGAATCAGGCAGAAAGTCCGAAGCTGAAAAATACAAGTGACATGCTAAAGAATGCATCAGAGTCTCTTAGCTGCAGAACTAATCAAACAGAAGAAAGAACTACTGAGCTTGAAGACAGGATATTTGAAAATACACAGTAAGAGGAGACAAAAGAAAAAGGAATAAAAAAAAAAATGAAGCACACATACAAGATCTAGAAAATAGCCTCCAAGGAGCAAATCCAAGAGTTGTTGGCCTTAAAGAGGAGGCAGAGAGAGATTAGTGTAGAAAGTTTATTTGACGGGATAACAGAGAACTTTCCGAACCTAGAGAAAGATATCAATATTCAAGTAGAAGAAGGTTACAGACCACTAAGCAGATGTAATCCAAATAAGGCTACCTCAAGACCTTTAATAATCAAACTCCCAAAGGCCAAAGAAAAAGAACGTAAAAGCAGCAAGAGAAAAGAAACAACCTACAAAGGAGCTCCAATAATTCTGGCAGCAGACTTTTCAGTGGAAACCTTACAGGACAGGAGAGAGTGGCATGACACATTTAAAGTGCTGAAGGAAAAAAAAACTTTTATCCTAGAATACCATATCCAGTGAAAAGATCTTATAAACATGAAGGACAAATAAAGGCTTTCCCAGACCAAAAAAAAAAAAAAAAAAAGGACTTCATCAACACCACATCTGTCCTACAAGAAATGCTAAAGAGAGTTCTTCAATCTGAAAGAAAAGGACATTAATGAGCAATAAGAAATCATCTGAAGGAACTAAACACACTGGTAATACTAGGTACACAGAAAAACACAGAATGTTGTAAACTGTAACCATGGTGTGTAAACTACTCATATCTTGAGTAGACAGAATAAAAAGATGAACCTAGCAAAAATAACTACAGTAACATTTCAAGTGACAGACAGTATAATAAGATATAAGTAGAAAAAACAAATATTAGCAGGGCAATGAAGTTAAAGGGTAAAGAGTTTTTATTAGTTTTCTCTTGGCTTGTTTGTTTACACAATCAATGTTAAGTTGTTGTCAGTTTAAAATAATGCAGTATAAGATATTATTTGGAAGCTTCATGGTAACCTCAAGTCAAAAAACATACAACAGATATACAAAAAATAAAAAGAAATTTAAAATATACCACCAGAGAAAATCACCTTCACTAAAAAAGAGACAAGAAGGAAGGAAAGAAGGAAGTGAAAATCACAGAACAACAAGAAAGCAAGTTTTTAAATGGCAGAGTAAGTCCTTATCAGTAATAACACAATGTAAATGGACTATGGTCTCCAACAAAAAGTCACAGAGTGGTTGAATGGATTAAAAAAACAAGACCCAAAAATCTGTTGCCTACAAAAAAAATACTTCATCTACAAAAGCAGACATAGACTGAAAAAAAGAGAGATAGAAAAAGATACTCCATGCCAGTGGAAACAAACAAAAAAATAGGAGTAGCTATACTTATTTATATCAGAAAAAATAGATTTGAAGGCAAACATAAAAAGAGACAAACAAGTTCAGTATATAATGATAAAGGGGTAAATTCAGCAAGAGGATATAACAATTGTAAATATACATGCACCCAACATTGGAGCACCCAGATATACAAAGCAAGCATTATTAGAGATAATGAGAGAGACAGACTCCAAAACAATAATAGCTGGAGGCTTCAACCCTCTACTTTGAGCACTGGACAGACTTCCCAGAGAGAAAATTAAAAAAGAAATATTGGACTTAATCTGCACTACAGACCAAATGCACCTAATCAATATTTGTAGAGTATTTCATCCAATGGCTGCAGAATAAACATTTTCTCTGCAGCACATAGATCATTCTCAAGGACAGACCATATGTTAGGACACAATAAAAGTCCATAAAATTTTTTTAAAAATGAAATTATATCAAGTATCTTCTCTGACCACAATGGAATAAAACTAAAAATCAATAACAATAATAATTTTGGAAAGTATACAAACACATGGAAATTTAACAATATGTTCCTGAATAACCAGTGGGCTAATGAAGAAATTAAGAAGGAAATTAAAAAATTTATTGAAACAACTGAAAATGGAAACAACATACCAAAACCAATGGGATACAGCAAAAGCAGTACTAAAAGGAAACTTTGTAGCTGTAAGTGCCTACAAAAAAAAGTAGAAAAGCTTCAAATAAACAACCTAATGATACATTTTAAAGAACTAGAAAAGCAAGAAGAAACCAAACCCAAAATTAGTAGAAGAAAATAAAGATCAGAGCAGAAATATATGAAATTGAAACAAAAGTACAAAAGAGTGATGAAACAAAAGGTGATTTTTTGAAAAGATAGACAAAATTGACAAACCTTTAGCTAGACTAAGAACCAGAAGATCCAAATAAATAAAATCAGAGATGAAAAAGGAGACATCACAGCCAATACCCCAGAAATTCAAAGGCTCATTATAGGCTACTATGAGCAACTATAAGCTTAGAAGAAATGAATAAATTCCTAGACACATGCAATCTGCCAAGACTGAACCATGAAGAAATTCAAAACCTGAAGAGTCCAATAACAAGTAATGAGATCAAAGCCATAATAAAAAGTGTCTCAGCAAAGAAAAAGCCAGGAACTGATGGCTTCACTTCTGAATTTTACCAAATAATTAAGGAAGAACTAATGCTAATTCTACTCAAACTATTCCAAGAAATAGATGAGAAGGGAATACTTCCACGTTCATTCTATGAGGCCAGTATTTAACCCTGATACCAAAACCAAAGACAGATTAAGAAAAAAAAAAACAGTACAACAAAAATACAGGCCAATATCCCTGATGAGCAATGATGTAAAAATTCTCAAAATAATAGAGAAAAGCATAGAAAATGATTTTAAAGAATTCTTCCTTTTTGGCCGGGCACAGTGGCTCACACCTGTAATCCCAGCACTTTGGGAGGACGAGGTGGGCAGATCACAAGGTCAGGAGTTTGAGATCAGCCGGGCCAACATGGTGAAACCCCGTCTCTACTAAAACTACAAAAATTAGCCGGGCACATTGGCAGGTGTCCATATTCCCACCTACTCAGGAGGCCGAGGCAGAAGAGTGGCTTGCACCCAGGACGCAGAGGTTGCAGTGAGCCAAGATCGCGCCGCTCCACTCCAGCCTGGGTGACACAGCAAGACTCCGTCTCCAAAAAAAAAAAAAAAAAAGAATTCTTTCTTTTTGTACCCATTTCTTACAGTGCATTATGCTGGGGATAAACCTTCTCTACTTTCGTTTATTTCAAAACATTTATTTCACTTTCAGTTTGAAAGACACTTTTTTTTTTGATCGATCATTTAAAGTTGACGTTTTTATACTTAGCTTTTCAAAGGTGATGATATTCTACTGTGTTCTGGTCTGCGCTGTTTCTAACAAGAAGTCAGTAATGCCACTGTTCCCTGCAAATGTCTTTAAAAATTTTTCTCTTTATCACTGGTTTTCAATAATTTGATTATGGTATACTTTGGTATTTAATTTCTTGGGTCTGAGGGTTCCTATTTGCCATAACATTTAGAAAAAATTCCCCTTTTATTCAAATTTTTCTGCTTCAATTACACTATGATATCTAATTATACAGGTTAGACTGCTTAGTATTATCTCACAATTCTCTAAGACTCCATCTATTTTCCAGCCTTTTAATTTTTTTTCTATCTGTGCTTCAGTTTCTATTGTCCTCTCTTCAAGTTAACTGATCTTTCCCTCTGGAGTGTTCAACTGGCCTATAAGACAATCCAGTGAATTTTTCATTTTATATACTGCATCTCTGAATTCTAGAATTCTAATTTTGTAAAATCCCCTATTCTCTAAGGGTCATGTTTTCCTTTAAATTCTTGAACATATTTTTAACAGCTTTTTAAAACACCTTATCTGTTAATTCTGTAAACTTTAGCATTTGTAAGTATGTTTTTACTGACTGATTTTTTTCTCTAGGTTTGGCTCATATTTTCCTGCTTCCTCACTGCAATAGCATTTTATCACATGCTTAGCATTATAGATGTTACACTGTTGATTGTCTGTAACTGTCATCTTTAAGTATGTATGTTTTGTTCCGGAAGGCAGTTAATTTAATTACAGATCAAGTTGATAATTTAGAGGCTTGATTTTAAGCTTAATTAGTATGAATCTAAATTAGCTCTGATAGTTAATCTTAAGGGTTAACTTGACTGGATAAGGGATACCTAGTTAGTTGATAAAGCATAATTTCCGGGTGTGTCTGTGAGGGTGTTTCCACAGGAGATTGGCATGTAAGTTGGAAGACTGAGTGAAGAAGATTCACCGTCAATGGGGCGGGCTCCATCCAATCAGCTGAAGGCCTGAATGGAACAAAAAGGCAGAAGAACAGCAAATTGCTCTTTTTCTCTCCTGCAGCTAAGATACTCTTTCTTTTCCTTCCTTTGACATAAGAATTCCAGGTTCTCCAGCCTTTGGAGATTAATCCTGCTTTTAAGGTTTGGACTTTCTGAGGTCTCTAAAGCATTCAGTTCACAGCTGTCCAGTAGTTCTCTTCCTGGTAGTATTTTTTTTTAATTTTACCCCAAACTTGCTTTATTTTTGTCTATATGGATATTCCTGATAGTACAAGTGAATAAAAGAAGGTAGTTAAAAGAAAAAAAAGTGTTCAATTTCTCTCAAAAAAATTACTCCATTATAGGTACATGCTTTATTTCTAGCATATTATTTCTATAATGGAGGAAAAACCTTGAATAAAAGAGTTATCAAAACTTACCCATTTTCCCATATGCTCACTTTAGGAAGCATCTGCATTCTCTTTATTTCTTAAGTTATTATGGAAGTAACTGTGACTCAATAAGCAAAGATTTATTGAGAACATTTTATATATGCACAACTGTGGTTTCTGTAGTCCAAACTCTATTTTTGTATTGCTATAAGGTGAATATTGGAGATTTTGCATTGAAAATAGAACAAGAAGCTTCAAATTCACTCCAAAGGGAAGAATTCTTTAAAACCATTTTCTTTCTCTATTCTTTTCCCTATTTCCTATACCACCTTGTTTCCTAGCTACTTAAATGTATTCAATAGCTTATTCCAAGGCTGAAGTGCTAAATCAAAATCTCCTTTGAAAGTCAGTCAAACTAAGACAAGACAAGAAAAAGGGAGACACAGGTTATAGGTGTCCCAAAGGTATTGCAACTATGAAGATAGATAAAGTTCAGGAGAAGAGAACAGGAAAAAACCAAAAACAGATAGTAGGAGCGCAATTTAAAAATTTGCTTTAGGCCGGGAGTGCTATCAAGCCTGTCACCCCAGCACTTTGGGAGGTCAAGGCAGGTGTATAATTTGAGGTCAGGAGTTCGAGACCAGCCTGGCCAACATGGTGAGGCCCCCATCTCTACTAAAAATACAAAAATCAGCCAGGAGTGGTGGCATGCACCTGTAGTCCCAACTACTCAGGAAGCTAAGGCAGGAGAATCACTTGAACCCAGGAGATGGAGGCTGTAGTGAGCTGAGATTATGCCACTGCACTCCAGCCTGGGTGACAATGCCAGACTCTGTCTCAAAAAAATAAAAATAAGAAAATCTCCTTTAATGTTAAATCTTTTTTTTTTTTTTTTTTTTTTTTTTGAGATGGAGTCTTGCTCTGTCGCCCAGGCTGGAGGGCAGTGGTGCGACTGCGGCTCACTGCAACCTCCACCTCCCGGGTTCAAGCGATTCTCCTGCCTCAGCCTCCTAAGTAGCTGGGAATACAGGCACACACCACCACACCAAGCTAATTTTTGTATTTTCAGTAGAGACAGGGTTTCACCATATTGGCAAGGCTGGTCTTGAACTCCTGACCTCATGATCTGCCTGCCTCGACCTCCCAAAGTGCTGGGATTACAGGCATTCAGTGAACCACCACGCCCGGCCTGACGTTAAATCTTAAATATGTAAAATGCCCTATATTTTCAAAGCAATCCTGATTTGAAAATAAGTAGCTAAATTTATACCATAATTTCTGTTCGTCTAAACAAATATTGAAAATTATGTTGCAGATCACATTTAATTTTCCAATACTTTGCATATAACATTTAAAAATATTTCTGAATGAAAACAGAGGTAAATAGGTACTAAGAAATTTCAAACTCTTGTTTGTAGTATTAATACTTATATAAATAATATGCATATCTCAATTTTAAATGTCATTATAAATAGTAAGAATTCATAATAGGATGTTAGGCACATATCATAAAATAATTTTAAAAACTAAATTAAAAATTCACATTTAAAAAAAAGTACCAAAACTTGTTCATTTGTCTGATAATAAAATAACAAAGTTTACATTGTTACCGTTAGACAACAGGACAATAAAAGTAAAGGAGAAACTAAAATATTGTCTTCAATAATGGAAGACAAACATTTAATTTCAAAAATGATTTAAGCTTAGGAAATCTGACAAGTTTCTGAGGCAAACGACTCGAATAGATCCATACACAATACTCAATCCCACTGCTGGTTCAACAGTTTTTTTAAACTATTACCAAGACTAAGAAAGAAAAATAAAATTTTAGAAGAGCCTAAGAATGTATAATTTTGAAATTTTGTGGAATGTTGCCAAACTGCTCTTTGAAAAGATTGTACTAATTTATACTCTCATTCAAAAAAGTGTGAAAATGCCCACTTTCTCAGACCTGTTCCATTAGTATGTAATAAATGTTTTATTGTCAGCAGTCTGATAGACAGAAGTTCTCGTTGTTTCAGTTTGCATTTTTTGATAATTACTATTTCCTCATATATTTACTTGCCATTTCCATTACTTCTGTGAGTTGTTCAAATATTCAGTGCCTGTTTTTCTACAATTTGTATGAATTTATAGGATCTTACTATATATTAAGGATAATATATTAAGAATAATTTATCTGTTACATATTTTGCAAACATTTTTCCATATTATTGTTTATATTTCAACTTAGTTTATATTATCTTTTTCTGTAAAAACCTTAAAATGTTACAGAGCCAAATCTGTCCATCTGTTTCCTTTACAGCAGCAGCTCCCAGTGGTTTTGGCAGCAGGGACTGGTTTTGTGGAAGACAATTTTTCCGTGGACAAGAAGTTGGGGGATGGTTTTGGGATGAAACTGTTCCATCTCATAAGGAGCACATAACCTAGATCCTTCCAGGCGCAGTTCACAGTAGGGTTTGTGCTCCCAACAGGCCACAGACCAGGGTCCCTGGCCCGGGGTTGGGGACCCCTGCTTCACAGCATCTGAGCTACATGTCATCTTTTAAAGTACATTAAAATCTCTCTTCAATCATTATATTATGAAAAGAATAACAGTATATTTCACATGTAGTGACATGGCTAACAACATTCTAATATTACGTACTGAGACACAGTTAAGTTAAAAAGAATTACAGGTATTCAGTTAAAAATTTAATAATTTAAGAAGCACATTGGCCGGGCGCAGTGGCTCACACCTGTAATCCCAGCACTTTGGGAGGCCGAGGCAGGTGGATCACGAGGTCAGGAGTTCAAGAACAGCCTGGCCAATATGGTGACACCCCATCTCTACTAAAAATACAAAAATTAGCCAGGTGTGGAGGTGGGCGCCTGTACTCCCAGTTACTCAGGAGGCTGAGGCAGGAGAATCGCTTGAACCTGGGAGGCAGAGATTGCACTGAGCCAAGATCACTGCACTCTAGCCTGGGAGAAAGAGCAAGACGCCGTCTCAAAAAAAAAAAAGAAGCACCTACAAACAACCTGAGTCACAGCATAACAGTTTCTTTGGTAATCTCTTAAGTCTTTAGAATTCTGGTTATGTAAATAGTATAATATCTTTTAGAATAATACAATATAAAGGTCACAAAAAAAAATTAAATTCATTTACTCTAGTCACTCACCTAAAATGGAACTTTCCTAACTCTGTGTCTGAGAAAAAAAAAAAAAGTGGTCCATAGATTTCCAGCCAATTCTAATTGATACCAAATTCTGCATGGTGAGTTAAAAAGCTGCTTCTTTGCTCTATTTTCTGCTGTAGTTCTATACTCAAGAACAGAAAATAAGTATATCACCTCTATAACATTACATTCTTTTAGATATCTGAAATGTTTTGTTCAATAGTTCTTTCCTTACTGTACATTTCAATGTAAATATTTGTTCGCATGTTTAACTGACCTATTAGGTTATAAGCTCCGTGAAAACAGTGCAAATGTCTTTTAAGCCTTAACTCCTAGTGCCTGTTATGTAGAAAACACTTACTGCACTGCTGTTTGAATAGAAAGAAAAAAAAATGTGTAGATAATGTTGCCTAATTTCTTACCTATAGACAATTTTGCCAATATTTTTCTTAAAATCAAGAAAGATCATATAATCTCTCCGCTTCTTCTAATTGTTATATTCTAATATTTTAATGTATGATTTGGTGTCCTGAATACATTCCTGATAAATGATATTGAGTAATTTTATATCTACAGAACACTACCTTAGATTCAAAATAGTCTATAAATCAGTTCATCTGCATTGCATAATGAATATATTATTGATTTTCCATAACATATTCAACATTATTCTGACATGTTTGTTAACGTAAGGGAATTTGGTATTACAGCTATATAGCTTCAATTATATTCAAAGTAATTTTAACAATCATGTACTAATTAGAGATTTTGGAGTGACATATAGACATGGAATAAGTACAGACATGTTCAGATCTCATCCTTTGGCATGCCAAGGCAGAAGAAAGGTTGAGAACTATAGATTTTCAATGGTAAATCATTTATTCTTGAAAATAAATTTTTTTCCAAAAAAATGTACTTGATATTTAAAAATATGTGAATCTTTACCAACTACTTGGGACCAAAAATACTTACTTCACTGTGGCACTTAGAAGAAAGTTCAGCTGTGGTATCAATAGGTTGTCTGGGGCTGACAGATAACGATCAAACTGAACCTAAATGAAACAGAGAAATACAAAATATAAAGTACATATATGTGCTAACAAACAACTCAAATATAAACATCTCTTTTAAGAATTAAATCCTTGAGAAAAATTCCATACTCTAAATAACTAGATTGTTGTGTTCAAATTGTGTATTTTCTAAACATTCTAACTAAAACTCCCTAAAACTGTCAAATCTGTAATATAGTCAATATTAGCAATACTTACTTTCAAAATCCTGAATCCAAACCATTCATTTTAGTCTTCCTCACAAAGCTTTTAAGTAATAATATTAACAAGAAGTAAAGTCATCAGGTTTCAGGTCTACCTGTTTCTTGATTTTACTATATTTGTTCATTTGTTCATTAATGCATTCATTAGTTCAACTAATACCTACCATTGAAAAGGTACTATATTAAGTAATGGAAGTATAAAAATGAGCAAAAAAAGGATAGTCCCTAGCTTCACAGAGCTTATGGCCTAGCAAGAGAGGTGTTAAACAGATAATAATATAAATAAATATATAATTACAAATTTTGTTAAATGCTATTAAGGAATAAAACAAGGTACTATAAAGCATAAATCAAGGACCTAGTCTGTGGATTCGGCAAAAGCATCTCTCAGGAAAGGACATTTGAAGTGAAATCTTAAAGATGAATATACATTAAGTAAGTGGATTGATGGGTGGGGAGGTTCAGGGAGAGGAGACAGCATGAAGACTTGAGGTGGGAAGGAAAACATATAAGTAGAGATCATGTAGGACTGGCATGCTTATTTAAGGATTTTAATTATTTCAAAAGCATTAGTAAACCATTGAATTTAAGTAAGGGAGAAATCTGATTTAAGTTTTAAGAAGCTAAATCTGGCCATAGGAAGACAGAATGGAAGATTGCAATAATAGATACAAAGACACCAATTAGGTACCTTAGGTACCTACTGCAGCATTTTTAGACTATAGGGGCAATCAAGGTGAAAGACGTAAAGATATTTGAGGACCATCAGGACTTGGTTACTGATAGAATGAAGGGATGGACTCCCAGATTTTGGATATGTATGAATTAATTCACCATATTATCATAACACATAACTGTACTCTTCATTCATTTATTTGTGTAGTAGCTGCATCCCTTACTAGATCATATCTGTTTTCATCCCAATTCTTAGCATGATGCCTAGAAAATAGCAGAAACTCGGTTAATAACTATTTAAATGATAAATGGATAGAAGGTCTTACAATTTTCTGAGTTAATAATGCCTGGAAGAGGACTTAGGTTTAGGGTGGAATGTGCAGAGTTAGTTTTGGACATGCTGAATTGAAGTGCCTTAGAAACCCCTAAATGGAGACAACAAATGGTTGTATATAATCACGTATTAAATACAAAACTCAAGCAAGATTTGTTTCTCCAGAGACATCGTATATTCATATTCACCTTAATTGTTCTGAAAATTAACACCAGGAACATGAAGAATTTTTAATGGCATTTCAAATATTTTATGAGTTGTATTACAGACTGGATATGTGTCAAGAGAGAAGGAGAAACAGAGGAAGGGAACATATATTTGGTACTAACTAATGTTACAGATCTAAGTGTGAGCATAGATCTTCATTTTTGGGGGGTAAATATCTTGAAGTGGAATTGTACTGGATAGTATGGTAAGTGTATATATAACTTTCTAAAAACATATCTTTTAATGAATCTAAAATTCATTTTCATCTATTTTTATTTAAACTTTTTAATATCGAATTTTCTTTGCATTTCTAATTTTTGCTACTATGTTTTTGTTTCATATATAGAAGTTATAACTGTTGCTTCTATATAGTGTCTTTTATCACGACATAATGTTTCTTATTTGTCTCATTTAGTCTTTTTAAATTCTACTTTATCTAATAATCATATAGATAGCTCCACCTTCTTCTTTGCATTTGTTAGGTATCTTATGAGCCTATCCTTTTGTTTTCAGTTAAACTGAGTTCTGGAAGATAATATATAGGAAAGCCTTGGCATCAAAAATTGTTGGAAAATTTAAAAACCTTCCTACAGGACTATCTATGAAAGTCAGGCCATTGTGGTAGTGAGTATACGTGAGTATTTTAAATACTTAGGATCACTAGTTTAGTACAGTAGTTAAACCCACAAGCTCTGTAGGCCAACTTCCTGGATTGAATGGGGTTGTCATGAGGATTAAAGAGTTAATACAGGGAAAACACTTGCTATGCTAATGTTAATGGCTGTTGTTCTTCCATATTATTATTACTATTACTAGTAGTACTATCATAAAACTTCCAAAAGGGATCATTCCTATGAGGGATAGAGCTATATGACTTAAATATCATACAATGAATGGCTATGCATATGAACACTATACATATGAGGAAAGTATATGTATTTAAGACACAGAAACACACTACAAAAAGTAGTGATCATGCAAAAAGGAAGGTACAAGATCTTCACCTGAAAAGAAGGAAGGTAATAAAGTGGAAATTCAGTGAGTCTCAAACTAAAGAGTAATAAACTGTTTTAAGAGTGGAATCTAATTTCGATTTTCACGTCAGGAACTTTAAACGAAGGATCAAGGTAGTAATAAGTTTATAATGATATACAGCCTAATTTCTTCATATCTGTCATTCCTGTTTCTCACTTAAATTAGGAACAAAACTCTAAAAATAGAGTAAACAGTAATCCTAAACAGTAATGATGAGACTATCAGAGCATAGTGGAACACTACTATGAATGTAAGACTTGGCCAGAACTGTTCAATTAAAGTAATACAGGCTCAGTCATTATTATTGGACCCAACGTTAATACAGCATGTCAAGAGATAAAAAGTGTCACCCAGAATGAAATTATCACACAGCAAAAAATGAAGACTATCGATCCATAAGGAAATCTAAATTAAAATGTTTTATTATACACTTACCATTGCAGCCTTCAGTGTCACAGAATCTAGGTTGGGCATATTAGCTAAAGAGCCCTATTTAAAAAAAAAAAAAAAAAAGCAGATCCAAGATGTAAAAAAGGAGATATACATTTCATTTCACTTACTGAATATAGTTCATTAGTGCACTGCCCAAATTTGGAAAATCATTTAGCTTATTTCCAAAGAACTCAAGTGTAATTTCTTCAACCTCAATAAGATCAGGGACTATGATTTGTTGGAGAGAGCAAGACGTGCTCAAGTTTATTAACAACAGAAATATCATGATACTTCAAGTTTACGCATACCCAAGAAAATGAAGGCAATGAAGCACTGGAAGATGCCAGTGACACATGGAGGCTTGAACAGTTTCACTTTGATACTTTTAGAAAGTACAGAAAGGCAGTAAAATTGGTTCCTACTGGTAGAAATTTGCTTACCACTTCAGCAAAGAAAGAATTGAAAAGTTGTGTTTTAAGAGCTTCATTTAAGAGTTTCTGGGCCATAACACAGTCTTCATGTTAATGCTGTTTGAATGAGTTCTTTGCTTTCTTAAGAAAGATGGCTTACATGGTTTTCTAAGGTTCCCACCACTCCTTTATTTCTACTAGGGTTCTATAATTTAATAAGATCATATGCTGGCCCCAGAAGTGACTACCTTCTCAAAGTAATGGGCAACAATTTGCTAAATTAAAAAGAAGATGACTGCTATTTATACAGTAATCTATGCATTCAATTAACTAATAGTGATATAGGAATCTGAAAAACTTACCAGTATGAATATTCTTTAGACATTTTATAATACTAATTTTTGTATATTTTCATTACTTTTAACAAAAACTATTTTTAATAAAAAGGATTGTTAATACTGTGGGGCACTCTACCATATTTTAGGAAGTCATCTAAGAACTATGCATGTATTATGTCTTAAGAACAATCCTATGACACAGATACTATTATTACCCCCAATCCACAGGTAAGGAAACAGATACAGAAAAATAAGTCACTTTCCCAGGAGAACACAGCTAATATGTGGTAGAGCCAAGAATCCAGAGTGCAGCTCTAGAAGACATACTCTAAACTGGCATGTTCTTAGAATTAGGAAGGAACATCTATGCACTTACCTGTTCAGGTTTATGTTGCTGTACAGTGTTATAGATGTAACTCAAGCCTACCCTAGTTAAAACATAAGAGGCTTGCTCATTTATAAGTGTGTCCAAATGTGCTTCGATCTAAAATAAAACACAAAGAAAACATTTTAAAAGAAGAATGACACTGATGAGAGTAGATGCAGTGCCTTGCATTGGCACTGATGATGAGGCACAGGGATCACCTCTGTAACAAAGCCTCTTTCTTCCCCCAAACAGTAAGTCTTTCTATGAAAGGGGGAAAAAGTCTTACTTTAAAAATTATAAACAAGGAGGATTCTAGGACTATCCTCCAGTCACAAAATTTGGGTTGCTTCTCAGCCCTTTTAAAAGCTGCTAATAAACAAAACACAAACAAAAAACACTAGTAAACAACAACAGTATAAAATAAAATATTTAGGAAGAATTCCGAGATAAGGGCCTGATGTTCCTGACCTCCTGTCCTCCTCACGCTCCCAACTTTCTAGACTGACTTAACAAATCAAATATACCATCTGGAGAAGCCTAGAGGAAATCCCACTACAGCTCAGGTAGTAAATTCTCCTGAGGATAAGGCAGGTCTGTGACAAGTAGGGAAGAGCTGAGGGCCCAGTAGAAACTTGACTAAAGATTTCAGGTTCAGGAACTGCCTAAGAAGATGCAGCTAACAGATGTGAGTAGTATGGGCTCCCCAGCTTTGTGCTATTTTGGGGGATTCCAACTAATGCTAATGGAGATAAAAACCACAGAAGAGAACTACCTTGATGGGTTGAAACATTCCCTGGTGAGAAAAAATCTTGTTCTTTTTTTTTTTTTTTTTGTGCCAGTACAATCCTGAGTCTAGAGGTCTTCCTTCTATTCCTCACCAGAATGTTCCCCCAGATTTTACCAGTTTGCTTGCTAATGACATAGTACACTGTCAACTATGGTATCTGTTACCATCTAAATGATTGCCATTTTCCAAGCAACTCCAATAGCTCTGCTCGTCCCCCTAAAAAACTTAGAACTGATTTAAAAGAGGTGAGGAAGCTAAAAGAAAGCCCTTGTGAATAATCAGAACAAGTATGGTTTCTTTCCTGAGGCAACACTACTGAAAGACATAAAGTACTTTCATTTTTTTTTTTTTTAAATAAATGCCCAAGGAAGTACAATTAGAGCCCTTACTTGCTGGATTTACTAGAAACCAAAGAAAAACAAAGTGCGCAAAGGTAAACACTCAATGAAGGTGAAAAAGAGTTACTGCAAAGCATCAAATCAGCGGTCTGAAAGAAAAATGGAAGGAAAGTAATACAGAGCAAATATCAAAGAAATAGATTAAAGTGAAGAGATTTAAAAAGAAATTAGATGGCAGATCCGTGAGATAAAACCAACCAAGGACAGGGGCTTCAAAATATAAAAAGTAACACATAGAAAAGTGATGATTAAAGAAATAGAACTCTTTACTAAGCAAAAGAAAGGTTTGAATCTTTACATTGAAATGGTTCTCCAAAGTCCAAGATGCAAATAATTTTTAAAAAGAGACATACCAAAAATATCCTGGGAAAACATATAAACTCAATGGAAAATCCCTGTAAGTTACCAGATGAAGGGACTAGATTACTAAAAACAAGAGAATCTGACTAGCCTGGACTTCTTGCTTGAAACACTGGAAGAAGCTATATAAGAGTGGGAAAAAAATAATAGGTTATTGGTAGTAAAGGTCCTAAAATCAAGACTCCTTTACCCAACAAGGTAAATTGTTACTTTGGAGAAACGTGATAAACCACACCTTCACATATCCACACCTTTGTATTGTCCTCTATCACACCGAATCCAGGCTGTTCTATGTGGCCAGTCTTGGCTGACAGCACTCTGACAAGCATAATGCAAGAATAGGCCAATAAGCACTTCCACACTGGGATTTGTCCACTTGGAATACCCACTCAAGGGACTGCCAGTGGGGTCTGAAAGGGCACTGGGAAAATTGCTACTGGAGTCTGGAGAAAGGGGAACCTGAATTATCTGCTGACAGAACAATTACTGAAAATGCTGCCAGGACTAATAAAGATCTGGCTCAAGAGATTTCTGGAGAATGTTAAAACACATGTAAAAGTCCAGTTGACACATCCAATGGTGGCAAAAATAAGCAAGGACATAGATAACTTGAATAAACTAATAAGCTTAATTTAGCACATAGACCAAGAAGAATTTTTACCATGCGTAAAATAGCTATGGAACACATAAGAAACATAGATAATTGGTAATAAAGCAAATTGATAAACACCTGACATATCTTAACATCTTAAGATTTAGATAAATGGCAGGGATTTGGGCTTGAATTAGTGACAAATACATAAAAAAGTGACATTTCTTAAATAAAAATGTTATTAATTCCACAGAAAATGAAGAAGTTATCCAAGAAAGGTAAATTAACCATTCTTCATTACATGGCTCAGTCACCAATAATGTTTACATAGTAATAATAATTTAACAAAACATTGATCTAACCAAAATTTATAATATAGCTACATTGGGAGGATGGGAAAACTCTTAAGTATGACCATATTCTTATCCAGGGGGGTTGGGGGAGTGGCAGTAGATAACTAAATTTTCATTGTTCATTTCATTTCACAATGTATTAGAATATATCTAATTTAATACATTAGACAAAAAACTAAAAAAAATCTATAAGTAGCAATACACGTAAGTGTTTAGAATTACAAATATAAATACCAAAAGAAGCAACTATAAAAACTGAAAGAAATTGTGCTTTTGAGGGAGAAATGAGAAAGAGATGTTGGGGGTGGAGAGGATGGTACACTGGTGGCTTTTCGTAACAAGTTCTGTAGAATTATTTGACTTTAAACCACAAATATGGAAAATTCTGATACATTTATTTTAAAAGAAAAAATTAAAAATTAGAAAATATGAATTTAGATATATCAAAACTCATTCCTATACCCACTGTCAAACTGTTGATATATGTGTGATAGCACAGAACATTCAGAGTTGTTTTTTTAAAAAACAGTATATTTACCAATAATCACTGCTTAAAACTGGAATCCAACTATCTACTAAATTTTACAACTGGCTTTGTTTTAGTCATCATATACTCTCTTAAGTGATAACCATTTGCTTTATAGGACTCAAGAACTCAAGTGGTTGGTATAGCAATTTGTAATGTTTTGCCTAACACTGGTTTACACATAGATAAAAATATATCTGTCCTCTGTAACACATTTTGCATTAACTATGCAGCTTGAAAAATATAGCATATTATTCACAGTTCAGAAACTAAAATCCACATACAGACTAACTGTTCAAATTAATCAGAAAGCTTCAATCTACTATCACATATTATGGTATGAATCAAGTATTTTAAACATTACACATTCTGGTTCCTCTAAAGCTGAAAACTGAAATACTGAATTTGTGTGTGTGTGTGTGTGTGTGTGTGTGTGTGTTGTGTATGTGCGTGTGTTGTGTATATGCATGTGTGTCCTTTCATCAGATGATATCAAGGGATCTATAGGAATTAGGTCATTAAAACTAGTTAAGCCAATAACTTAAAGCTATCACATAGAGAAAAAGATTCAATCATAGTCAATAGTCATTTTATAGAAAAATTTACCTGAAACTGTAGCATTTCCAGACGTCTGTCAGTGAATTCAAATAGAGCTAATGTTGTCTTCATCATATATAGTGAATTGACCATGAAAGTGGCCATGTCAGCTGTGCCTAAATTGCTGGCTGATACAGTACACATCTGTAGGAGAGGATCCAAGACACATGATAAAACCTACAAATGAAAAATAAAATGAACTCTTTATTTCTCAATCACTGATAGGGTCTTGGGTTAATGATATTTAATGCCAAACTAATTGGAAGGAAGCCAATTTATAGAAGCACGTAGGAAAAGATTAAACATAAATCAATGCTTTTTAAGTTATGATAACTGGTTTAATATTTGATGGAAAATTAACAGTAAGAAAGAGACTGTCAAAGTATATGAATTACAAAATTCCAGAATTGAAACACAGTGTACAATAGAAGAGCAAAAAACAATCATTAAAAATGAATTTATAACATACCTGCACAAAATCAGCTTGACGAGCATCTAATGGTACAACTGAAGAATCGTGAGATGCTAAAACTTCACGCAGCAACATGAGTGTCTGATTTAGTGCAGAACTTGGTCCAAGATCAGGTGGTGGGAGTTCAACCTAAAACAAGAGATGATTTACCCACTCCTTATATTTTTTCCACTAAATTTTAATGTATAAATGTAAGTTCATAGTAAAAAAAAATGTAAAAGTTATAAAGCACAGACTCACACATTAGAAACCTATAATTTATCAATAGCTTACTTTGAACTATATTAACAGCACACAAAGTGAGAGAAAAGTTCTTTGTCAGATTATCTCAGAATATGTCACCTTGTACTCTAAAATTCAAAAAATTAATTTGAAAAGTTAGTGTTCAATTGAATTGTAGAATTACATTTTAATATGGATTTAAAATGGCCTACTGTTTTATTTTTTAGCCCAAATCATAAGAAAAAAGCAGTCTATAGACCAGCACTATTCCAACTATAATATAATTGAGAAACGTCACCTACTCTCAGGCCCAAATTTCAGAGATTTTAGTTCAATATGTATAGGTTAGGGGTTCAGGAATTGACAGTTCAACAAGCACCCCAGGAGTCTCTCAAGAAGGTAACCCATGGGTCCCACATTTTGAAAATCACTTCACAGAAACAGTATAACATTACCATTAATATATTGGGCTCTAGAGTTAAACACATTAAGTTCAAATCTTGGATCTATCACTTACTAGTTGTGTAATCTTCAGCAAGTTACTTAAGTTTTCAGAGCTTCAGAGGGACTCTGTAAATATTAAATGAGATTGTTGCATGGCTGAGTAACATGCCTTGCACTTACTAAGTAGAAGGTATGCCAAGTTCACTATCCTTATTTGGTGGCACCATGATACATAAAAAGAAGTGCCTATGAATTTCTTTAAAAATATTTTCAGAATACTTACAATGTTAATAAAGTAACATTTTGTAAATTTTTTAAAAATAGCACTTAGAAGACAATGTAAGAGACTACATCTTAGTGGCAGGTAGGCAGAAAGGTGTAAGAATTTTCAAATATCGGCATTTATTATAAGATGGTTTCATGTAGAAAGTTAATACATAAGTGACATCACCAGGAATAGCAAAGTAAGCATGTCCAAAAATACTCTCTCCTTCATAAAAACAACAAGAACAAAAAAATCATAAAACATGCAAGCAAACAAGAAAATATAGTCCATGCACAGCATGCACAGAAAAACACCTCAACAGAAACATTCTCTGAAGTCCAGATGTTAGATTTACTAGACAAAGACTTTAAACAAGCTATTTTAGATACGTTCAAAGACTGAAGAAAATCATGTCTGAAGAACTAAAGTATGAAAACAATGTCTCACCAAATAAAGAATATCAATAAAGAGACAGGAATAATAAAATACAACCAAAGAGAAATTCTGGAGTCAAAAAGTACACAACTGAAATGAAAAATTAACTATAGGGTTTTGTTTTTGTTTTTGTTTTTTGTTTTTGACAGGGTCTTTCTCTGTCACTCAGGATAAAGTGCAGTGGTGCAATCACAGCTCACTGCATGCTCGAGTGATCATCCCACCTCAGTTTCCCAAGTATTAACAGCTAGGACTACAGGCACATGCCACCAAGCCTCGCTAATTTTCTTTTTTGTAGAGATGGTAGTCTTGCTATGTTGCCCAGGCTGGTCTCAAACTCCTGGGCTCAAGTGATCCTCCTGCCTTAGCCTCCCAAAATGCTATCATTACAGGTGTGAACTGCTGTGCTTGGCCTTACAGCAGATTTGAGCAGGTGGAATAAATAATCAGCGAACTTAAAGACAGGAACTTAAAGATTATTGAGTCTGAGAAATAGAAAGAAAAAGAATTGAAAAAATGAACAGAACATCAGAGATAAGACACCATTTAACAATATAAGTATAAAGGGGAAGCCCAGAAGGAAAGAACAAAGAAAAAAAGGCAGTGAAGAAACAATGACAGAAAGATTACCAATTTTGACTTTAAAAAACATTAATCAACATCCAAGAAGCTAACTGACCCCCAAGAAAGATAAACTCAAGAGACCTACAGTAACACACATCATAATCAAACTGTCAAAAGACAGATAATCCTGAAAGCAACTAAAAAGAAATAACTCACTATGAACAAGGATTTTTGACAAGATCAATAGCTGATTTCTTACCAGAAAACATGCAGGCCAGAAGTCTGCATATTGGATGACATAGTCACAGGCTGAAATAAACTGTCAACCAAGTATTTCAAATTCAGCAAAACTATTCTTCAAGAGTAAGGGGGAAATTAAGACACTCCAAATAAAGGCAAAAATTCTTCACTAGCATACCTGCCCTACAAGACATACTAAGGAAAACTGGACACTAGAAAGTAACTCGATCCACATAAAGAAATAGAGCACTGGTCAAGACTCCAACAAAGATAACTATAAAAGACAGTTTTAATGTATTTTTTGTTCATAACTCTAATTTAAAAGAAAACTGCATGAGGCAATAATTATAAGTCTATGTTGATGGGCATACAATGTAATAAGATTTAACTGTATTAATAACGGCATAAAGGAAGAGGAGAATGGAGCTATGTAGGAGCAAAGTTTTTGTATACTATTCAAAGTATGTTGTTATAAATTAAGATGCTAATTGTAATTCCCAGGGCACCACTCAGGAAATATAACTAACCCTATACCCACATACATATATGTTTAAATAAGGGAATTAAATTAGTAGACTAGAAAGTATCTACTCAGTGTAAAAGAAGTAACAGGGACACAGAGAAAAAAAAATCACTTAAGACATACAGAAAACAAAAGGGCAAATTGCAGACATAAATCCTACTCTACCCTCAATTAAATTAAGTGTAAATGGATTAAACATGACAATCAAAAAGCAGAGACTAGCAGATTAATTTGAAAAACCACACCATGTACCAACTATATGCCAACTTCAAGAGACACACTTTTAAGACAAAAATAAATTAGATGTACAAGGATATAAAAAGATATACGTTGCAAACAATAACTGAAAGAAAGCTAGATTAAATTAGCTACACTAATATACTAATATCAGACAAAACAGACTTTAAAACAAAATTACTAGAAATAAAAGATTCTGATAATGATAAAAGGGTCAATCCATCAAGAAAATAAAATAATTATAAACATATATGCACCCAACAAAAAAGCCCCAAAACACATAAAGCCAAAACTTACAAAATTGAAGGAAAATATTTCTTGGGTGAAGAGATACATATTTCAAGTTCCACAGTTTCTTCAGTTTTGTCTCCTTTTCTTTCATTAGATTCAAATAAATGTGAACTTAAAAAAAACCTCCAGAATATGATCTTTTCTTCACAAAAGTATTCTATTTATCATTCCTACTTCAAATGATATCCAGACTGTTGTTAAACTGATTATAATAAAGTTAACTAATGTTATTTCCAAGAAGAGGGTTTTTTAAAAATTTTCATCTTTGTGCTCTTCTCCATGGTTTAAATTATGTATAAATATATGCATATCAGTTTTACAAAATTAATAGAGTGATCTCTGCCCCCTAAAAGAAACAACCAACTACCAAGCAGTTAATAACAGTCAATTCAGGGTGACAGGATGTAGATGAGTGTTATTTTCTTGTGTTTCCATTTGTTTTTAAAAATAAATATACATTTAATAGAAATCAACATACTCATAATTCCAAAAATTTAAATATAAAGCTATTCCATATATGTGCATGCATATACATAAGAAATATAAACTGAAGATACTCAAATTTTTTTCAGTGGAATCTTTAGCTTAGAACAAATCAGAAAGATCTGCTAGCATTCTAATAGCTATAATATAGAAATAGACAGCTATAGAAACCAGAGCAAACACGTTATGTGTCAGTTCCCAATACCTTTCATAAACAGAAAAAAAAATCTAATAAATCCTCCAGGGAAGCTAGATGAGGAGTACAGCTCTAGTAGAACTACAAACCTTGTATGATTAAGAACCTAAATGTTTAATGTGTAATTTTCTCTTCTAGGTTATAAACTATAATATATAGTATGTGTGTGTTTGTGTGTGTGTGTGTGTGTATAGAGAGAGAGAGAGAGGAGTATATAGTGTCTTTTGGAAGCAATAAATCTTTAAAAATTTTTTTTTAAATTTTAACAGCTTTTGGTGTACAAGTGGTTTCTAGTTACATGGATGATTGTACTGTGGCGAAGTCTGAGATTTTAGTGCACCCATCATCCAAGTAGTGTATATCGTGCCCAATATGTAATTTTTCATCCCTCACTCCTCATCCTCTCCCCCTTCTGAGTCTCCATAGTACATTATATCACTCTGTGTGCCTTTGTGTACCCATAGCTTAGCTCCCACTTACAAGTAAGAACATACAGTTTTTGGCTTCCTATTCCTGAGTTGCTTCACTTAGAATAATGGCCTCCTGCTCCATTCAAGTTGTTGCAATTTCTTTATCGACTGATTAGTTGATGGGCACTTAGGCTGGTTCCATATCTTTACAACTGCAACCGTGCTGCAATAAACACATGTGTGCAAGTGTCTTTTTGATATAATGACTACTATTCCTTTGGGTAGATACCCAGTAGTGGGATTGCTGGATTGAATGGTAGATCTTTTAGTTCTTTAAGAAATCTTCCTACTGTTTTCCATAGAGGTTGTACTAATTTACATTCCCACCAGCAGTATATAAGCATTCCCTTTCACCATATCCACATCAATATGGTTTTTTTTTTCACTTTTTAATAATGGCCATTCTTACAAGAGTAAGGTGGTGTCTCACTGTGGTTTTAATTTGCATTTCCTTGATTAGTGATGTTGAGCATTTTTCATATGTTTGTTAGCCATCTGTATATCTTCTTTTGAGAAATGGCTGTTCATCTCATTTGCCCACTTTTTGATGGGATTATTTGTTTTTTTCTTGCTGATTTGTTTGTGTTCCTTCTATTCTGGATATCAGTCCTTTTTCAGATACGTAGTTTGCAAATATTTTCTCTGTGGGTTGTGTGTTTCCTCTGATGGTTATTTCTTTGGCTATACAGAAGCATTTTAGTTTAATTAGATCCCATTTATTTATTTTTATTTTTGTTGCACTTGGAAGCAATAAATCTTAAAAAAAAAAACTTTCAAAAATTAACACAAGAGATTTTTAATTGCCAAACAAAACAGAAGACCAATGATGTAAAACTTACACACTGATGGGAGAAAGTTGAAAGGAAATTTTTTTCCCCCTTGAAATAAGGTCTTTAAGGAGTTTAAATTTAAGGCTAAAGTCACACTTTGCCACAGTTAGAGTTGATGGTAAATCATTGCAAGTGAGTGCTACTTGAACTCAAGTCATTCAACAAACTGCCATTCTATGAGGTGTTTTTACACACATCCATTAGATCGGCAACAAGGTAAGAACCACACTTCTAAAGCTAAGTGAAAATTATGGCAGTTTTTCAGATAAACAAACTTTGTGACTATAAAATCCTGTAGCAGAATAACAGAAAGAAAATCTAAGGAGGAGAAATAGCTCACTTTTGTCACTTTAGTTTCATTTTGTAAAATTCATTTCTAATGGTTAAACTTTGTAAGAGACAAGTCTATATTTCTTTTTCTTTTTTTTTGAGATGGAGTCTCACTCTGTTGCCTAGGCTGGAGTGCAGTGGCATGATCTCGGCTCACTGCAAGCTCCACCTCCCAGGTTCATGCCATTCTCCTGCCTTGGCCTCCCGAGTAGCTGGGACTACAGGCGCCTGCCACCATGCCCGGCTAATTTTTTTGTATTTTTAGTAGAGACGGGGTTTCACCTTGTTAGCCAGGATGGTTTTGATCTCTTGACCTCGTGATCCACCCGCCTTGACCTCCCAAAGTCCTGGGATTACAGGCGTGAGCCACCGCACCTGGCCAAGTCTATATTTCTTTTGAAGTCCCTCCAATGCATTCTTGCACTTACTTTATACTAACCATAATCTCCCTTAGGGAAGAGACCCTCTTTACTATGTCTTTCATATCTCCATATAAGGCTGTGGAGGCCAAATACTAGAATTAAGTGGGCTTTGTTATTTAGAGAGCCTAAAACAGGTAGTAGCAACCATTAGAAACAAACAATTTATGAACTTCATGTAAAACAATAATCATAATACAGAAATTCCTATAAGCTTTAAGCTGTGTAGAAAATCCAAGTTTATTCACACTCCACTTCCTTGGAAACCAGTCAGCATCAGTAAGTGAGTGGCAGATGCATCCTCAGAATGATGTGACTGGGAGAAAGAGGTGTTAATATTATCACTGCTACTTATGCCAGGACTTGAGCTATTCATAGAAATCTTACATACTGACAGAAAGTTGAAGAAAATGTGAACTTTTGCCTTACAAATAAAGATTTCCCTCTTTCTTATTCTGTATGTTTGACTTTTCCCTCTATTTTTGTCATGATCTTAAACTCTCAAAAATCTTAACTAGAGTTGTAACCTGACGTTGGCCACATGACACTTCGCTGAGTATCTACAGCAGGCATGCAAGTACTTGCTCGGGCAGGTAAGCTTTGTTGCAAACATGGCCACATTACTTCCAAATACCTATACCATGGTTATGTTCCACTAACCTAAGTAGGTTCATGTGAATGAATGGATACAAAATAACTGGTTATATTCAAAGCATACTCCCTTAGGGACAATAAGCAAACATCTTTGCTTGTTTTTAAATCCAAAGTACAAGGCTACTAAAATGACATGTGAGAACGTCTACTTCAAACAGATTAGACTCCTTATTTCAGGCACATATCTTCTTAACTGCTCTATCTTTCACAATGTTTTAAGCATAATGGATATCAATAAAAACTGTTGACTATGGTCACTTACATTCAATTTATGTTCCTGCAGCATAGTTACAACATAAAACATATACATATACCACTACATATTTAATCAATTGTTTTGAAATACCAAGGGACTAAACAGTAAGTCATTTCTTAATAAGCCTCTGGACAACAGACATGTTCCAACAGTATTATGAGGGAATATTTTGGCATTATAAATGCTATTTAATAGGGAAAATGAACTAAAATAATTCATCTAAAACTGGCTTCTACGTGGAAGAATGGGATCCATAAGTACAGTATTAAAGATGTTTCCAAAAAAAAGAATTAAGATTTTATTAAGCCCCAATAATATGTTAAATGAAAAATGCAAGATACACATCAGGGCTGGGCATGGTGACTCACGCCTGTAGTCTCAGCACTGGGAGGCCGAGGCGGGCAGATCGCCTGAGGTCAGGAGTTCGAGACCAACCTGGCCAATATGGCGAAACCCCGTCTCTACTAAAAATACAAAAATTAGCTGGGCATGGTGGCGCATACCTGTAATCGTAGCCACTCGGGAGGCTGAAGCTGGAGAATCGCTTGAACCCAGGAGGTGGAGGTTGTAGTGAGGTGAGATTGCACCACTGTACTCCAGCCTGGGCCACAGAGCGAGACTCAATCTCAAAAACAAAAACAAAGACAAAACTGTATGCACATCATGTGTACAGGTGTGTGTACACTCATATTTTTAAAAGACTGAAATATTAAAAATGCTGAATGTTACCTATAGTCATGTTTAAACTTTCTTTATATTTCTATCTTCAAAATGAGTATTTTGTAATGTGAAAAAATAATCTAAAAACTGTACCATGTATTTTACATGTGATCTTCATTTAATCCTAATGAGCCTAAGGTATATATCATTCCCATTTTACAGAAGATGAGTAAGACTGATGAGAAGGAGGAGGAAGGAATAATATCAAATTTTATATATGAGGAAACTAAAGTAGGGACAGATTAAATAACCTTCCAAAGGTCCCACTGTTCTTAGAAGGGGCAGAGCTTAGACTCTCACCCAAGCATTGACTCCAAAGGTCACGCTTATAACCACTACACCGAAGTGTTAATTTTGATTTTCATAGGTGATATTTTTACTTGAATTCTATAAAGTTAATTTTTTCAGAGAGGATGCTGTAGCTCTTAGATTCTTCTGTAGGGAATCTATGATAAGGTGCTATTAACAGCTGTTTCTTAAGATCGTGACCACATTGAAGTCTATGAGCACTAATGGCCCCAGTATCTTACAACCTATTTGAGGCCTTCTTCAAGTTTACATAACGCATCCTTTCTTCCTAAATGTTTTGCTACATTGAAATTTTGCTAGCTAATTTTATATCCTTGTGACTCATATGCTTTAAACTTTTCAAACCGGTGATTCTTACATGTTACAGGTGGAGGAGGAAGGCAGACTTCTTTAAGAATATCATTGAGTTTACCATTTGTTTCTCAAAAAAAAAAGATAAACATGGAAAATTACAGAAACAATTATAGATTAATAGAAGCCCACTCATGGGCTCCAATGTAATCTTAAACAAAAGTAAAATTAGATATGCTGTTTTATAAGTTAATATTTTTTAAAAGACAGAAATTAGCATTATATGGTAAAGTTAAAATTTTTCTTTCGTCAAAAACAAAAGCTAATGTCAAAAAAAAAAAGAAAAGAACCAGCTAATGTCTTCACTGCCCTATTTAAAAAAGAAAAATCTTCTAAAGAACTTAGAGTTTGTATGAAATACAAAAGGGAGTAGGAACAATAGTTATCACTTTTTATTTTACAAACATTAAATGGGGGTATTTAAGCATTAATGATATCCAATTAATCAGATCAACAACCGAAAAGTATTTGTTGATTTTTTTCTTTTCTTCATTTCCCTCATTTAATTTACTGAATTATCTCTAAACCATTAAAATATATTCCAAATGCAAATGATCCAAATCATCCTATGCTACTACTCTATAGTAGGCCACTTTTGCCAGGTTTACTTACTCTAAGAGTCTCCTAAGTGGTCTCCTTTCTTCCAAATTTGCTCCTCCATACCCACTTTCCATTCTCCATACAGCAGTCCCAATGATATTTTTAAAATGCTTTCAAAAATGAAGATGTGAGACCAAATCTTCAATGGCTTACTCTTGCACTCAAAAACAAACTGCCTTAAAGGTATGTGGAAACAGAATCAACGATCAAAATCAACTCTATACTAGAAATACATATGTGTAAAATAAAATTTAAAGAGAAAAATAAGTTTCAAAAGCATCAAAAAAACCACTCAATATCTGGGAATAAATCTAACCAAAGATGTGCAAGGCCTGAACACTATGAAAGGTTAGTGAGAGAAACTAAAGACCTAAGTAAATGGAGAGATATATGATATTCATAAATTGGAAATCTTGGTATCATTAAGATATTAATTTCTCCTCAACTGATCTATAGATTTAATCAAAGCCTCAGAAAGCTTTTTTATTTTAAAAATGCACAAGTTGATTCTAAATAAAATGAAATCAATGGAATAAATAAATAATCTAAAATAAATCAATGGAATACACAATTACCAAACAAATCCACATACATGGTCATGTAATTTATGACCATTTCCACTTCACTGCAGTGGGAATGGATGGCCTTTACAATAAATGGTGCTGGATCAAGTGTATATCCACATGAAAATATGCACAATAGCGAAGATACGGAATCAACCTAAGTGCCCATCAACAGATGACTGGATAAAGAAAATGTGGTGTGTGTGTACATATAACACATATATATTTGTGGACACACACATATATGTGTTACATATCACATATACACACACACCACACATATACACACACACATATATATACACATACACTCACACCATGGAATACTATTCAGCCATGAAAAAGAATGAAATCATTTCTTTTGCAACAACATGAGTGGAACTTCAGGCCATAATCTTAGGTGAAATAAACAAAGTCAAATATTGCATGTTCTTATAAGTGGGAGCTAAATAATGTGTACACATGGACACAGAGTAGAATAATAGACAATGGAGACTCAGACAGGTTGGGAGGGTGGGAGGGGAATGGGGGATGAGAAATTACCTACTGGGTGCAATATACAGTACTCAGGTGATGATTACACTAAAAGCCCAGACTTCACCATTACATAATATATAAATGTAACATGACTGCATTAGTATCTCATAAATTTATAAAAATTAAAAATAAATAAAAGGAAAATGTTAAAAGGAACTATTATGTATGGAACATCCACCAGGAAGTAGGCACAGGCTTAGCAATTAGGCAGACCTGGATATATATTCACCCTTAGTGACTATGTGACCTAGGGCAGGTTAATCTACGTTGACTGTGCCGTAATTCTTTGTTTTACATTTAGTAAAAACTCAATTACATAGTGACAACTTACTGAAAGTCATAATGATTGGAAAAGTTAGAATTTGAGTACAGCTCTATCAGACTCCAAAGCCCAGGATTTCTCCTTGAGCCATATATTGCCTTTCTAATGCGGAGCCCCATCAATTGCTCACCCGAGATAAGTATCCCCAACAAACTCAGACTGAATCTTTAATTTAAGAAAGGCTATACCTGCATCGCAGCACAAAAACCACCTGCAACTACACTACTGGTACTAAGACAACCAATTATTAAATATCAACTTAACTGGAAAAAAACATAAAAGTCTCAGGTAACCTAAGAAATACATATGTAGCTAAGGACAAAGATGACTGAGAAGATTAGCTTCTAAGGCTCTTCTAGTTTTTCAATCTATCAAACATCTGTTGAAGACCTACTATGAGAACATGGTATTAGGTATTGTTATATTTTACCAGACATTACGACACGGATCAAGGCCAAAGGCAAGAAAAATTGAAAGCAAGGAAAATAAAGTAATTTAAACAACACACACACACACAAATTAAACTTGACCCCTACCTTCATACCATACTCAAAAATTTGAGATGGATTGAAGGCCTAAATGTGGAAGCTAAAATAATCAAGCTTCTTAGAGAAAAATACAGAAGAATGTCCTCATGACCTTGAGATAGCCAAAGATTTCTTAAACAGGACACAAAAGGAACTAATCATGAAATAAAAGCTTGTTATACAAGACTGAATTAAAAATTGAGAATTTCTGTTAATCTAATACATGACTAAGAGAGTGAAAAGACAGTTCAAAAAGTGATAGAAAATATCTGTGATGCTTATTATTCCATAAAGGACTTGTATCCAAACACATGTTTGAAAACTCTTATAAGTCAATAAGAAAAAGGTAACAACCCAGTAAGGACTCTCTGCAACAGTCTTTAAAAGACAACTTCAAAAGAAAGTACATCCAGCAGCCAATAAACATGAAAAATTGTTCATCACCATTAATCTTGAGAAAAATGCAAACTACAAGCAAATGAAATACCACCACACACTTTCTACAATGCCTAAAATTAAAAAGACTAACAACATCACGTACTGGAGAGAATGTGGAACAACTGAAACTCCCACATTTCTGGTGAAGTGATCTAGGACAATTACTTTGGAAAAATACTTAGCAATATCTAGTAAAGCTAATCAATCTTATAATCCAGATATTCCATTTCTGGGCATACATACAAGAGAAATAAAAACTTATGTCCACCAACACATGTATAAGACTATTAATAATAGCTTTATTTACAATATCCAAGAACTAGAAACATCCCAAATGTCCATCAGTAACAGAATGAGTAAATTGTGGTGAATATATATAATGAAATTACTACACAACAATTAAAAAATGAACTACTGAACATGCAAAATATATGAATCTTACAGATATGTTAAGTCAGGGCCAAAAAAGTATACACTGTATGAATCTATTTACATGAAGTTAATAGCAGGCAAAACAAGAGACAGTAGTCAGACAGCAGTTTACACCGGGGTTAGATATTGACTGGGAAGGGGAAAGAGGATGCCTTCTGAAGGGCTAGAAATGTTTTATATCTTATCTGGGTGATAGCTAATGAGCATATGCAAATACAAACATTCAACTAACTGTATACTTTAGACTTGGGTACTATATCTGCAGTTAAAAATAAAGCTTGGCTGGGTGCAGTGGCTCATGCCTGTAATCCCAGCACTTTGGAAGGCTGAGGCGGGCGGATCATGAGGTCAAGAGATAGAGACCATCCTGGCCAACATGGTGAAACCCCGTCTCTACTAAAAATACAAAAATTAGCTGGGTGTGGTGGTGCATGCCTGTAGTCCCAGCTACTCAGGAGGCTGAGGCAGGAGAATCACTTGAACCCGGGAGGCAGAAGCTGCAGTGAGCAGAGAGATTGTGCATTACACTCCAGCCTGGTGACAGAGCGAGACTCTGTCTCAAAAAAAAAAAAAAGTGAGCTCATTTGTTCTTCTTCTTCTTTATATTATTGTACATACTAAACATCAAGTCATTATTATTAAATACTTATTTCAAAATTTGAATATTTTCTAAGTGACAAAGTTGAAGTATACAGAAAAATTTCACATTTAAAAGCATTTAAAGGCCAGGCATGGTGGCTCATGCCTGTAATATCAGCACTTTGGGAGGCTGAGGTGGGTGGATTGCTTGAGACCAGGAAATCAAGGCCAGTCTGGCCAACATGGTGAAACCCTGTCTCTACTAAAAATACAAAAATTAGTTGGAGATGGTGGCGGATGCCTGTAACCCCAGCTACTCGGGAGGCTGAGGCAGGAGAATCGCTTGAACCCAGGAGGAGGAGGTTGCAGTGAGCCGAGATCACACCACTGAACTCCAGCCTGGACGACAGAGACAGACTCTGACCCAATCAATTAATCAATCAATAATTTTTTTAAAAAAAGCATTTAAGCTATTGAAAACTTCATATTCCATATATTAGAACCTCTCTTTTTTTAAATGTGTAGAGCTATACACAAAAGTCCTCATTGTTCTTGTGACTATTTACTTTTTATCCCTTCTGTAGTTTAGGTGCTCTGACTTTTACTAGAGAAAAATAAAAAGGTTGCACCATAAAAATTCCAAAAGCTGTTCCTACAACTTCATCCCACTACCAACTTTAGTTTTATTCTTTCAGCTATCTTCCATTTAAGGTCCTATAATTTTCTGTTGTGTAGCTTCTTAGAAGGCCCTTCGCCCATTTGCTTTCAAAAAATAAAGACTAGCCAACCAAACACAAAGTTCTCATATTTTTAAACTAATTTCCTCATTCTCTCTCTATATATATTTAAATATATATATATATATATATATAAAGGAGTATATATATATATAAAGGAGTATATATATATATAAAGGAGTATATATATAAAAGAAGTGTGTGTGTATATACATATATATAAATATATACATTCCTTTTGCTCTAAATACATACATTCTAGTAATTGACAATATGTGGAATTTAAGTTTTTAAGTCAATAAAATTGTCCAAGATAAATTTAGGACTGCAAACTAACATGTTTGAAATAATTTCAAATTACAACTTATTTTACACACTTTTATTTTTTTAAATATTAAAGCATTTCAGATAAAAAAAATTTGGTTTTCTGTTTGTTTTTCCTGGCAGAATCATCTGTAAGGAATAATGTAAAACTCAAACTATTCAACCAGAACAGCACCTCTCAAACTATAATGAGCACATGAACCTCCTGGGAATCTTATTAAAATGCATAATTCAATTCAGTAGGTCTGGAGCAGGACCTGAGATATCTGCATGTCTAGTAAGTTCCCATATGATGCCCAAGCTGCTAATCCACATACTATGCTATGAGTAGTAAAAAGAGATTCAAAGCAGTAACCATATCCTAGAATTTAAATGACAATTTATTTAAAGAATCATTTGGGGTTTGTTTTTTTTTCTCCAGAGGACTGGGCAAATCAATCCTGACTACTATTAACTTGATATGGGTTTCATTTAAGACAGGCTATATCCTTGCAATTAGAACTGCACTATTACTATAGTGAGAAATAATTTTAGAAAATGTCAGTCTAGCCTAAATTGACACAACATTGTGTCTTTTGCAGTATAGATGCATATTCTCTTTAAACTTCACTAGATTTGCAGTTATGAATATTTCAGGAGAGCTTGATAAGGAAGGGAGTATGCCTACTTGAATACTCAAGTGCTTCAAACTGCTTTGTTAGGGAAAAGGTACATCTTTCAATAAAATTATGTCCTTGAATTTCCTTTTTCTCACGCTAGATAAAGAATTAGCTCCCAAGTATGTCTTTTTAAAAGCACAAAAGCAATCATATTTTTAAAAATTCCTCTCTGGCTATACCTTTATTTTAAAAGCTATTCTTTCCAACAATTATACTATTCACTTAAAATTCTATTAACAAAAATTTCCACTTGGGTGCTTTGCTAATGAAGAACATGCTACAATAAATATTGTTTTCTTCATAAAGCTACAGTGTTTTTAGAGGAAGTGAAATCATTTACAAGAAGCAGAATAAGTAAAAGATATAACTAATATAAAATTATGGAACATTAAAATTTGATGAAAGGAAGATATTCTTGCAAAAAACCTGAAATGGTTGTAGATACAAGCAACATATGAGTTGTAAAGAGAATCATAACACGGTCGCAATCTAATGTAAAAATAACTCTAAATATGGCCCAGTTCATATCTGAGAAAAACATCCAGGGTTCAATTAGTAATAATGACAACAAAAACAACAACAATAATGATCAGAGCCCATTCACTGCTATAAACTCATATAAGCTGCAATATTGATTGGTAATTAATAAATTCAGATTACAATTACTTTCTTTCCTCATTTTCATCCTATTCTGTTCAAAGTTTTAATTGGAAGATGTCATCCTTCAGTTGCCTTTTACTATCCATTACAGATGACCCTTAAACAACACATGTTTAAACCACAAAGGTCCACATTTACATAGATTGTCTTCTCCCTCTGCTACTCTCTGAGACAGCAAGACCAGTCTCTCTTCTTCCTCCTCCTCAGCCTACTCAATGTGAAGACAATGAGGATAAAGACCTTTATGATGATTCACTTCCATTTAATGAATAGTAGATATATTTTCTCTCCCTTATGATTTTCTTAATAACATTTTCCTTTCACTAGCTTACTTTATTGTAAGAATACAGTGTATAATACATACAACAAAAAATGAGTTGACTGCTTATGTTATTAGCAAGGCATCCAGTCAATAGCTAATTAGCAGTTAGATTTTGAGAGTCGAAAGTCACACGCAGATTTTTTCAACTTCACAGGGGTCAGCATCATAACTCCCATGTTGTTCAGGAGTCAACTGTATGTTTTCCTGTTTTGTTGCAACTTTCATTTTAACTTTTACATGACTAATAAAATATATAGAAACTTACTATTAGGGGAATAAAATAAAATAAATGGATAACCACTTGGGAAAGAATAAGATACTAAGTTTTCAGTCTGAACAATAATAAACTTCAGTAGATTAAAAATTTGTTGCAAAAGTGAAACCAGGGCTAGGGCCAGGTGTGATGGCTCACACCTGTAATTCCTGCACTTTGGGAGGCTGAGGCAGGAGGATCACCTGAGGCCAGTAGTTTGAGACAAGCCTGGGCAACATAGTGAGACCATGTCTCTACAGAAAAAAAAAAAAATTTAAATTAGCTGGGCATGGTGGCATGCACCTATAGTCCCAGCTACTTGGAAGGCTGAGGCAGAAGGATGGCTTGAGCTTCAAGGCTGCAGTGAGCTACGATCCTGGGCAACAACAGTAAGACCCTGTTGCTTAAAAAAATAAATAAAGTGAAAACATAGAAACACCTAAGAAAATACATCTAAATAAATGTATTAAACAATCTATCATTTCCCCACTAATAGATGCTATCTTTATTATATATTAAATTCTAAATGTTTTTTCTTGTGGGAATACTTTCAAGCATGGAATGCTCCCAAGGGAAAAAAACTATAAAAAAAGTTCTATTGAACTATAAAAAAATTAAAAGTTGATGTGTCAGAAAATACTACAGGCAAATTTTAAAGGCAAATGATAACGTGGAGAAAATGTCTGTAATATATATGATGGAGTTAATATTCTTAATGCATAAAGAATATCAGAAATGAACAAGACAACCCAATAGGAAAATGGCAAAGGACTTGAACAAGCAATTCACAAACAGCCAAAAACATATCTTAAAATGTTCATTCTCACTAGAATCACAGAAATCCAAATGAGAAAAACAACAAAATGTCGCTTTTGCTCGTCATGTTGGTAAAGATTTTTTTTTAATGTCCATTATCCAGTTTTAGCAAGAGTTGGCACTTTTTCAGTAGGAGGTAGTATGGTAGATTTGAGGAAATGGGTGAAAATAAGTGAGGTAAATGTGAGTGGCTGCCAAAGGACAATCAGTATTTGCTGGACCTCCTGGGGGGCTTTCCTGATGTTGGAGACAATTTTTAGTGATTCCTGTCTGTATGATGTAATTTTCTTTAGCAGAGCTCAGGAAAAATTGAAAAATTGAATTAACTCAAGGTGGTTTTGCAAAGTGAATGTGGTAAAATGGCAAGGGTGCAAGAGATTTAAAGCTAATGGCAAGATAGTGATGGAATATAGGCCAGCAGAAAATGAACTGAACCATTCATGTTACCAGTATTTATTGAGCACCTCATGAGCTGGTATATAAGAAAATTAATTACATTTGTATATTGATCTTTTCACCAACGACTTCACTAGAATTCATTTTCTGGTTGTATAGCTTTTTAGTTGATTCTCCTAGGTCTTCAAAATAGACTATCATAACATCCATAAATAATCTAATGTCTCCTCCTTTAAAATATTTACAATTCATTTCTTTATCTCATCTTTCTACCGTGGTTATTATTTAAAAGTATTGGCAAGCATTCTTGTTCTTCACTTAAATAGAAGAACCACTAGTGTGTCAATATTAATTATGATGTTGGCTGTTAGTTTTATCTCTCTTTATATGGTTAAGGAAGTATTCATCAATGACTTGTTTTAATATTAAGATTTTCCCCAATGTGATCAAATATGAGAATATAAAATTTATTTTATATACTCATTTAGTATATTTCCTAACACTGAAACATTCTTATATTCATGTAATAAACCATTCTTGGTTTTAATATATAAATGCTGAATTTTGAAGTTTTAAAACTTAAAAAGTGACTAATCTATGGTTTCCACTACTGACTATCTTTAAAAGGTTTTATGTCGGTGTTATACTACCTAAAACAAACTGGGAAGCTTTCCATATTTTTTCATGTTCTGGAGAATTATCTGTTCCTCCTAAGGATGAATGAAGTTCTCTATATAATCTGAACTAGGCCTGGCAACACGTTCTTTAATAACTTTTCTTCCTTCCTTAGGTATATTCACACTTTCCACTTCCTTTTGACTCACATTTTACCAATTTATGTCACCTTAAAAAGCATTCATCTTATTCTGATTTTCAGATGATTAGCACAAAACTGCACATGGTACTCTCTAAGTTTTAATTCTCATCTGTGGATTGTCTCTAATTTCTAAAAACTTCTAATTTTCTTTTTTTCTTGATTAGACTTGCTAGAAGTTTGTCAATTTTGTTTATCTTTTCAACAAATAATTCTGCTTTTGTTTTCTAATTTGTCACGGAAATTTAATTCCATCCTTTCCATATATCTTCATTTTATTGCTCTGTTTCAAATTTTTTAATACAAACGCCTAATGCATCTATTTTCAGTCTTGAGGCCCATATGTTTTCTAATTGGTAAAGCTTTGGGTAATATGCTTACCCATGAACTTTTCTACGTACTACAACCTGGCTCCTATCTCCACCACAGGACTAAAATTGCCCATTTAGGTCACCTATCACATATATATTGCCAAAGATAACAAGCCTCCTACTTGAACTCTTTAAAAGCATCTGTCATTATTAACCATGCCCTCCTTCTAGAAACTGTCTTCTCTTGGCTTTTCTGATAAAACCTTATCCTAATTTTTGTCCTGCCTCTCTGGCCATCCTCTCTCAGCATCATACTGTTGACGTTTTTCCTTCTCTTAAACGTCAGTGTTTCCCAAGACTGTGTCCTGGTAGCTCTACTCATAAAAAAAATTATTCCTAGTGACTTCATCCAAACCCATGAATTCAACTATCTCTTATATGTAAAACTCTCTAAATCCAAATGTATCACTCCCTTTTAGATTAGACCAATTCCAGAGGGATCTCTCATAGGCACCTCAAACTCAACTTATCTAACTTAGATGATACCATCTTTATCTCCCAAATTGTACCCTCTTTCTGCATTCTAGATATTTGTGATTAGCCTAGGAATTATTCTAGATGACTCCCTCTCACTAACCCACATTCAGTCATCAAGTTTTGAAGATTTTACCTTTACCCTTCATGAATCTGTCCCCTCTTGCCTATTCCCAGAGTCTTTCCCTTAGATCATGTATGAATAAAAACAGTTTCAATACTCCTTTAATTTTCCTATTTCCAACCTAGCCTCCCCACTTATATATATAAAACACATCACTTTACAAGTGATATTTTTTAATAAATGAAAAATTCTTTTATAGGTAACTCATACTCATGTTCTAGCATATTCTATTTCTTTCTTCTATTTAAGATGACCTCTATGCACTCCTTTCCTCACCTATCTAAAGCCTACCTGTTCTTCAAAGTTCAACTCCATTACATCTCTCTATGGAAAGCTTCCTCTCTGTAAAGGAGTACAGATAAGTTTGCTAAATATACTCCTCCTTTGGTGCTAGCATATACCCTAGGCACATGTCTTTCATAAATCATAGAATTCTATAATAACCAGACTTATTTGGTCATTTTCCACTAAAGGAAAAGCAACCTTAATGAGGCCAACAGATGTTGAGTGTTCATCCTTGTACTCTCAACAGCTAGCACATATTTGTTCATGTTTAATGTTTGTGTATCATGTATAAATTATTTTAGAAGAGTTCTGTCTAAATAAGAACTCATAATAACAAATATAACCAGAAATGATTGTTAGTAAACTGTTGATGCAAACAGAAATACACAAGGCAAGAAAAATAAAGGTAGATATTCCAGCTCCACAAATTCATGTTGCTTTTCCAAATGAATCTGAGTCATGCATGTGGGTCAGGAAGTAGACTCCTATTAAGGCTTAGGAAAGTGAAGACTGAACTTAGGAAAGTGAAGATTGACCACGTATTCTGGACTAAATTGCTACTGACTATTTTATACCATATTACAAAATCTGGGCCTAATATAGCTAGCCTATTAGATAGAGTAGTACAATTAAAAAGCCAGCATGGTGATTGTGACACATCCTTGAAAAACTCATGTTCTCAATAATGAAACAAAAATAAAGAAGGATTTGATCATTGTAAGTCTATTCCTTAAGGTCCTGCCAAAATACCCTGCTCAATTTAAGATATTAGATCTTACAGGACTCTTTGAGGATTTTGTTGTTTGTTTTTTTGTGGGATGTTTTTCCTTGTTTGTTTTCATAAATAATTATATAACTCAGAGGAGCATACATTTCATAAGGACAAAACTGTAACAACAGGGGTAAAAATATAAGCTGTTTGGAAAAAATATTTTGTAAGAGTTCTGGTTTTCCAATCTGTATGTCATCTTAGCCCCCAGCTAAATACAGTAAGTTTGCTTTAATTATACAACTTCTGTGATAGAAAAAAATGGTAGTAAAATTGGAGCCTGAGATGCCATCTCCAATTATAACTCAATGTTATACTGTTTCAGGAACAAAGACTATCAACTTAGGTCCAGTAAGCCATCTCAAAATGAAAGTTGTTGGTGACAGGAAGAACTCAAAAGAACACAGAATGTAATGGGAAAAGTTATCAATCAATACAAAAATCACTAAAACATCTTTAATGTGAAACATTCACATAATTTAATAATTACATTTTTCAAACATACCTTGTCCATTAATTTACTTGCATGAAGACTCAAGCTATTGAAGAATATTTTTTTGCTTAGCAAATGCATTTCTTCAATGGTAGTCAATAATGCAGTTGCACTATTTCCAACAATACCACTAAAAGCAAAGAATATTTCAGGTTGCAAAACAGAAACTGAAACAAAACAGTTCCTTAACTGAGTAGAATGCTTTAAAAGGATCTAGATTTAAATAAAAGTTTTTATGTAAAATATAACCTGTGAATTAAAAATACTCTAGTTTCATATTTTAAAAATCAGGATTTTTGTTTTTCTTTTGAGTTAGGTGATGAAAAAATAAAAACAAACTACTATGTTTTCAATATTTCACAATCTCTTTTAGCAAAACCGTGGGTCAGAACAGATATTTGTGATATATAAAACCCTATCTCTATTTTTCCTCTATTAGAGTAAATATATATCTCAATTATCTAAGACAGTTAATTTTAATTTTAAGAAGAGCACTGAATCAACAGCTCTATTGATAAAATATTTAAATTGTATAAATACTGAGTTATTCTTTTAATTAAAACTGTTATACTATATCAATAACACACCTATAAATCAGTTTCTCAATTTTTATACAGCTGCCTACAGAGCAGTATATTTAGACTAATTGAAAAGTCTGATAGCATTTTGAAATGGCTAATTACATTAGTACATTCCATAATCCTCAATTTGCTATTGTATAAGGCTATTTCTTAGACCCATTCAAGGAGGTTTCCCATTTTTGCCAAGATCTAAGACAAGTATGTATATAAAACAATTCCCATTTTTTTCCTCCTAATTCACATACTAAAAGTGATTTTAACAACCTTCTAGGGGAAAAGTTTCATGTGGTTATGAAAATATGCTGTAATCCAGTAAGGAATTATAATTTCTAAAGGCATAACAACATCTTCCATGCCTAAAAAATTTTAGATTGTTAAAGATGAATATAATGGCATTAAATACTACTAAACAGTAAGCTAAAACACAGCAAGTTTACTGATAAATCATATACCACATGTATTATAAAAGCAAATACTAATATTTGCAAATGTAATATTTCAGTACAATTCCGAAACCAAAATAAATTAGGTAAATTCTTACATAGTTCATGAAAACAATGTAAATTATTAGTAAAGTGCATATATATATAGCAAACAGCAAAATACTAGCAAATTACTAAACCAGTAGCCATAATACTTATATTTTAAAGAAACAATAAGTATTTTAGTTAAAAATATTGTATGCCAAATACTAAAATAAACTGGATAGAATTCCCACACATGCCTGCACATGCAATGAAAACAAGTATTTCTCTGAATAAAAGTGTACATCAAGCAACAGAGGAAGCAAATTAAATGAAAACAAATGGAAACAATTTAATGAAAAATTTGGAGAGAACTCAACATACATTTACATTCATTTTTTTTTTTAATATGGAGTTATCAGCTGTACTTTGCAGTTATTCAGATCTAGAATTTACTAACGTTTATTGAACACTCATTATGTTCCAGTAACTGGTACAGATAATTGTAGATGTTTCTTCTGACATTTCATTCCATATTTCTATCCAACATGCCTATACTCCCATTACTTGATTTTTCAGTTTTAGGTATTATCTACAAATTCCCTGATGTAGAAGATGAGAGTTAAACTCTCTTATACAGTTCTCCTCCTCCACCACAACACACCCAAACTTCACCTTCCCCAGGCTTCCTAATATAGCCATGGGCACAGAGTTCTGGTAAATAACTATTCAATATTTACATCATTACACTCATGTAAATACTATTCAGAGCTGACCAAAGAATCAGGGATACCCAAAACAAGCCAGTGAACAGGCTAGTGAAGAAGATAAATCCCAGTGTGACAGCCAAGCAGCTTGCAGTAGGCCTAAAGGGCAACACATCTAGACTGGAGGGGAATGAGGGCTCCAAGAAGGGTATCAGATAGGGGCAGGAGAGAGGCGGATTACTTGTTGGACTACATGGTGAGACAATGCAATGTTGAGTTCTCTTAAATAGCTTGGATCCAAAATAGTGATAAGGGCATAGGAAAGTAAACAAGTACAAAAGCCAAGTGTTTATTAATTCCAGGGAGAAAAGTTTTGCAGGAAAGGATATATAATCCAAGCATGCTCGAGTCCCTGTTTCCTGGATTCTATATCTTCCTTTTGTTAGGAGTTTTAATGTATGAGAGGTAAATTTTTTGAGATCTTGCATGCGTCCTGCTTCTTCCCCAACTTCACCACTATTCCTTCCCAGTTTTGTCGTTTCTCCTCTTCTTGACTCAAAATATTGGAGTTTCCCAGGACTCAGTCCTTAGCAACCATTCTTTATCTATACTCATTTCTTAAGTGATCTTACCTACTCCCATGGCATTGTGTCATCTGTTTTCTGAAAACTAAGACATTTTTAGCTTCAGCCCTGATTTCTCTCTGTATTATTTGATCACTCAAAATCTCCTGTATATTCACAGATACATCAAATCTGACAAGGCCAAAACTGAACGGAACTCTTCATTACCCACCACTCCCATCAACCAGTTCCTTTCCAGCATTCCCTATCTCAGCAAACAATACCATTCACCCAGCTGTTCAAACCAAAAGCCAAAAATTCATCCTTGACTCCTCATACCTCACTCTATCTAGTATGTATACATGTCCTATTGGCTGTGACATAAATTATCTCCAAAATCAACTACTGTTTACCATTTCTAAGACCATCACCCTAGTCTAAACATCATCATCTCTTCTCAGGAGCACAAACTGCTTTCTAAATATCTTCCTTATTTTCCCTTTTGTCTCACTACACTACATGATTCACAGAATATCCAGAGTAACCTTATAACACAAATCTGCTCAGGTCACTCAAAACCCTCACATTTTCCCCAATCTTATCCACTCAGTATAAAATCGAAATATCCACTATCGCCTTCAAAATCCTGTGTGAGCTGGCCTCTCTCTACCTTTCTGATTTCATCTCCCCCTACTCCTTCCAATTCACTACACTCCAATTCCTGGTTTTCTTTCTAGTCCTCCAAAATGCAAGCTTTTCCTAGCTTCAGCACCAGAGTGTATTTTTGTCCTGGACACTCTTCTCCATGATCTTTTCATGCCCAACTCCTTCATATTATTCACATCCATATTCAAATATCACCTCTATCGAATGGCCTCAAAAACAGTCACACACACATATATCTTCTCATGTATGATCACTGCCTATACTTTCTACTTCCTTTTTCCTGCTTTTTCTTCAGTACCCTTACCACTACCTAAAATTATTATTTTGTACTTGCTTGTCTCCCCTACTACAATGTAAGTTTAAGCTCTGTTTTGTTAATTACTGTTTCCTTACCACCTAGAAGAATGACAAGTATACAGTCAACTGTTTAATTGACTAAATGAGGAAATGTGTGAACAAGTAGACAAAGTACATGCAATCAATAAAAAAAGATTTTAATTGTCATCTTCAATATCATCTTCAAAGATAGAAAAATTATAATTCTCAGAGCCTAAAAAAACCTATTATCATCTTCAGAATCTGAATTATTTTATTTCCAGCATTTTCTACATTAGAAACTAAGATATCAATATCTTTAAATAATAAATTTCATGTAGTCCCATCATGGACATTATTAAATAAACAATTTTAAAAATTATTTTACCAGCATCTTTTTATAACACAGCATTTGCTATGTCTAGCTTTCAGCTGCCCTTGTGTTTTCTAAGTATTTATCATTCTCTTATTACAGGATGCTATAATATTACAACTGAAACTAATTCATTGCTTTTGAATTATGGGAATGATGACAACAAGTTTATATCTAAAATATTAAGGGACTAATCCAAATCCTATCTCTGATCAGTTTTGTAGACTATGACTTGTTAGTTTTGTTTGAAAATCTACTAGTAAGATGTGAAATCCATTCCCTAGCTGTTAAGTTCTGGGTGGCTACTCTCTGTCACTAAGGGGTAGGTGATAACCTTACCACAGTTTTTTGGTACTCTGTAAACTAGTGCTCCCTGAACCTTTCCTGGTAATGTTAGTTACATCCTTCTTAGATTTTTAACAGTTGGCCTACTATTCCTGATACTGGCATACTGCATAACAAATAACTTTTAAATAATTATTTAATGGAAAAATACAAAAACTATCAAAAATATGGCTTGGAAAGACATTGTTTTAACATAACTACATATATAACAGTCTTACAGTGAGAGTTATAATAAAACTCACGGGTATACCACCAAAACACGTAAGTAAAGCAAAAATGAATGCATATTTTGGAGTCAAAGATCACATTTTATATAAGACAAGTGGTTCCTAATCAGATAAAGTTGCTGTTATGTAGAGAAGATAAAGCTATGACTCTATTTTATCACTTATAGTAAACTAAATGCTAAAGAATTTAGGTTATTTACATCCAGAATAGAACATTTCATTCACTATGCCCTATTGTGAGTACATGGTAGGTTATTTACATCCAGAATAGAACATTTCATTCACTATGCTCTATTGTGAGTATAAGGTATAGTTGCTTTAGTTGCCTTGGATGTCTTTTACCAATGCAGGAAGACTCAATAAAGACTTACATTATAGACTTATATTGCTATATAAGGGGTGTGTGTGTGTGTGTGTGTGTGTGTGTGTGTGTGCGTGTAGTTAAGCTTGGAGAAAAAAGGAGAAAGGAAATAATAGACCTTAAGGCATAGCATGTATAATATGCATATAATGATTTACATGGTGTGGAAGTCCTACTAGTTACGCTTAGTCTATACTTAGTGTATAATTACTATACACAATATAAAAAAAAATCTTATACTGTGCTCTAACTGAAAGAAATATCACATTGGATTTAGCAAGCACATTTTGCCATTCTACTTACCTGATTGTATGGTGATAAAATTTGAGGAGATTAGAAATTTTATATAATAAAACTGCCCCAGGTTCAGCAACTATTACTTGCTCAATTCGAACCTATTAAAATATGTGAGAGGAAAGTAAACATTTCTTAAAAGTATAACTTTTTTTCATTAATAACATATGGTATGAATAGCATAACAAAGATAAAATTTTATTACTGCAGAGATCACAAAATGCCTCCTAAATAATTTCTGAGTAGTAAGTCATAGAAGATGGTAAAGTAACAAACATTTTAACAGAGATATACTCTACAAAAATCTGACCCATTATTTGCAGAATTTGGTTCAAGGCAGTTGTTACCAGAAATGTCAATACATTGAGATCATTTGAGATTTATCACCAGTATATAATGGAATTTGGTTCAATATGAAATTGAAAAGGCAACTGTTACATCCCTAAAACAGATTATCAATGAAAACATAATGCTTTATTGCTAAATATTCAAGAAAAAAATAAAATAAATTCCAGTCTATAAATTATTATATCGTTTGTCTATTAATCAAAGAATAGAAAACTAGGCAAATCTTGAATTAGCACCAACATATTTGCCAAATTATAAGACTACCAGGGAAAAATCAGATCTAGTTCAAGATTAATTTGATTTGCCTCAAGATTTAGGAAATATGAATCTTTTCTAATTAAATTCCATCCCTCACTGATCCTTCTTTTATATTATCTCATTAATGAATACAATCTAAACTACACTGATAAATGCTTACTTAAATATTGTATCTGTCCTTAAGCTACTGCTTACATTCTATCTTCTTGCTTTCCTAACTAGTTTCTAATACAAATACAGTATAGACATTATGTCTTCTGCCTATTTTACATCTCTGTAGCATCTGGTAGAACAGTATACACACAACAGATGTTTAATATATGCTTTTAAAAACTGAACTTTCTCTGTATTTAGATTTTGGCATATGTCATAAAACAAATGTGATTTGCTAAAATGAGATTTTATATCTGCATATGAAAACCTCTTAGATTACAGAAATCAATTTACCTTTACATTAATATGTTTATGAAATTGATCTGTTGGTATAGGTGATAGACTATCTAATTAACACAATACCATGGATCATGAATGGCATTTGAACTTAAAAAATATATTTTTCCATGATTTATTTTTAAATCAAGGCCTTAACAGTGACTTAAATTATACATTACATCAATAAAAGTGATATTTTCTTAATTTTAATATAATTATTACAGCAAAATATAAAAAATGTTAGTTGTAGGCAAACAGCTCTTTACTAGCAGATTTTAAACAACATCTCAGCTATCCGGCCAGCTGCCTTCCAGAATTTTGAGGCATCAAGAAAATATTCTTAGTTCTGACTCCCTTAAGAAAGAGAGAAAAGAGGGGAGAGAAAGAAAGAAAGGAAAAGCAAAGAGGGAAAGGAGGGAGAAAGGAAGAAAAAACAAAAACAATTTCCAACTCTCTCCATGAATATAAAGGTTTTGAGGGAAAGTGGCAATAAAGAATACAACAGCTACAATACAAAATACAACAGAGAAAGGCTGGAAAATCAGGAGACTGACAAATAATACACCAAGAATGCTTTGTTTGCCACACAGAAATAAACACTCTGTCTTATGAGAGCTATATAAGAGGGTAACCATTTTCAGCAAAACCCAACAGTCACAGGAGAAACAACAAAGGACAAGAGAAACGAAAAGTAAAAAGTAAAAAAAGGTCAAAGAGACTTAAAGGAGTGGTGGTAGCAGCAACTGACTGGAAATTATCACTGTGATGACAGTGGAGGGAAAAATCATTAGCAGAGCTGGAAAGCAGCAACGGGAATAATGGCTCAGATATAAAGTATGTTGGAACAGACCCTGGCACATCATAAGCACTCAATAAATCCTAACTGCATTACGAGAAGCAGCATCAACCATAAAGGCAGAGATATTAAAAGTAGCAAAATGAGCTTCAGGCACCCTGACAGCAGAGAAGGTAGGGAAGAGCTAAAAGACAGAACAGTGGCTCTCCTCTCCAAGGCCAGAGAGAAAGCTAGAGCAAAAGCGAGAGCAAGAGAAAGAGAGTGGGTTTGTGTTCATGAAGGGGACACAGGAAGAAGGGAGGACTAAAAAAGATGATGACAAACCTATTTTACCTTAATATCACAGACAGCTGCTCAGGGTAGACATCTGTTCCTATGTATACCTCAATCTGAGGGTCCAATGACTATATTGTGTACAATATTCAGCTTTATTTTCCATGTCATTGATCTTTTACATATACCTGCTTTCATAGAACCCACCATAATCTAAGGTCTGTAGCATACACTACACTAAAGTTTTTATTAAAAGAGAAAATTCAAATGATAGCTGGTAATCTCTCAGCAATCTAAAACATTCACATAAAAGAAGGATTTTATACCCATGGGCTTAAAAAAAAAATTTAATATATTAGTTCTGGTCTTTCTAGCTACAGTTTTGGAATAAAGACATGTACAAAGTAATAGGGTTGATGCTGATGAGCCACGGTACCCCCTACACAACATATGCAATCTTAAACTTAGAGCACAGATTCTTTAAACTGGCAATAGGTTTACAGATCTTATCTTAATGCATACATTTACAAATATTTAATCTACTACCTATGATGTTTCACTTTACTAAGACAAAGAAAAGATTAAACAAGGTAGAATAAATCAAATATATAGTTTCTCAAGGATTATCTCCCATTACCACTATAACCTTTTATGTTTCTAAAAATCAAAATCTCTTATTCCAAAAAAAATTCATATCTACAAAGAATAATGATGGACAGAAAAGTAGCCATAACATCCAATATCATATGTCATTAGAAAAAGTTTAGTTGCTTATCAATTAGGAAGAAGAAATTTTGTATGAGTGGGATTACAAGAGCAGATTGATCACTAGAAAATTTCAGAATTATAATTGCAAAAAAAAATAATTAAAGTCGAAATTTTTTTCCTCAACTAACAACTATCTCACTGAAAACATAAGATACTCAAATAAGGTCATACAGAAAAAAAATTCTTAAAATACTGTAACACTGTCTATCAGTATATAAGGAAGGGAAGGTATGAGAGTTGCTGGATTACATATCACTATCAAGCTAATTTGATACGTAACTATTGTGAACACCTGCTAAATATTCTCTGGATGCAATACATATTATCATCATATGGAAAGATTTGAAGTTTCTGCCATTTCAGAAAAGGAATTTTTCTTCATTTTACAACAAAAAGATGCTTGTCTGCTTACTAGTGTCTTCTTTACCTTTGGCATCTTACATTTAAATTTGCCAGCAGATCACAATAATGTCCTACAATTGCCATAAAGATCTTTCTGGGTATGTACATTAAAGGAAGATGAAGTGAGAATTTCTAAGTACATTTTAAAACAAAGGCAGACTTCAGTATATAAAGTCTTTATACAAGTGGCTGGATTAGTTTAAACATTTTTAATATAATAATTCTTACTCAAACCAGGACAGGAAACTGAAAAGTCCATTATAACCCTTAGATTCTAAAATTATAGTATTTATAAAATTACTTTTTAAAAAGAAAAGGAAAAGCATACACCTACTATGTACCCACAAAAATTAGAAAAATTGTAAAAAGAAACATAATTACATAAGCAAGGAAGGGGGGAAGGTAAGGCAGATAAAGTAAAATTTACTTATCAAAGTGACTAGGAGTTTAATTTAACTATATGAAGTTATAAAAAGGTATAAAAGCATAGCAAAATAAATTTCATTTTATTCCTCCTCTTCTTCTACCTTTCCAGTAACTGCCAGTATACAAAATAAACAACATTTATATAAGTTATATATGTCTACATCAAACTATGACAAGTAAATATTTCATTTGGGAGAAATAAGTAAAATAATTTCAAGATACTTAGCCATTTATTTACTGAATATACAGTTAGGTCCTATGAGATCAAGTTAGAGTAACAGTTAAATTTGTCAATATAATCAATTGTCACCAAGTGTGTCATCTGAGATTTCCTTGCCTGAAGCATATACCAAAAAAACAAAAACCTTAGAAATAAAATAAAATTAATTTTAAAGTTCATTTCTTGAAAAATTAATTACTAAACTTCTGGATTTCAATTTCTATGTATGAAATTAAAGTCAATCAATGAAGTTGGTTTACAAGGAAAAGTAAACCAACAATTGCCAAGTATTCTCTAAATATTAATAAAGGAAAATAAAGGTATTTACCATCTGCTAAATACTTAGTGTCATAAACTATGTACTTCATCTACACAGTCATCCTCACAACAACCCTGGATGATAGGTGTTTTAATATACAGGTCCCACCAGAGCATAATTCAGGTGCAGAAGAGTTAAGCGGATGCAATAAGTAAACACAATTAAGTGGCAATATGGGAATTCTAACTCAAATTTGATTCCAAATTCTGTTCCTTGCACTATAAACAGTATTGATGATAATACCAATACACATTATTTTATCCTTGGATTAATCATTATTTATTGCTATGACAAGCAAAAACTCTTCTATGCTTGAAGCAATCAAGTAAACAAAATATTCTTAGTAAATCTCTCTGTTAAGAGTTCATAGATTCGCTGTTTAAATTTAATAGATTTTTTTCTCAATTGAATAAGAAAAATTACTACAGGAAATATAATCTGTAAAAAATAGGTCAATATATGCAAACTACAAATATTTCCAATTTTCTTTCTCAGAGAGAAAACTGGCAATTATTATTTTAAAATGTTTCTTATTAGTCTACATTAGTGTGCTAATTTGAAAAAATTATAGATTGTATTTGAGCTGGTATCAGTTTCTTAAGTTTCTATAAATAAGGTAATAATTTAAGCAGGTACCATATAGCATATGTAAAAACAAAATATTTTACCTTTAGAGGCCTGCACACACCTTCAGTGATATGCCCAACAACTTCTTGAATATTTTCTTCAACACCTAAAATTAATGACTACATAATTAATATTTGTTTCCATATTATACTTTGCTTCATATAAGTTCAAAAAACTAACAAATAATATATAATACATATAATTAATGGCACTAATGACTTTTAAAATAACCATAACAATATTTTAGTAAGTTTGATATCTCTTGGGACATTACTAATTGTGTTAACATATTAATTGTGATAATACCTAATGTGTCTAGAAAGCCTTGTTAATTCATCTGACTTTGAGTTAATAAAATAAATATTTCTTTGTGAAAAAGATTAAAGTTATAAGACAGAGGAAAAAAAGAGGGTGAAATGTATTAATTGAATGAAGTGATGCCAAGATGTATTAGCATTTGTTTTACAAACATCTTGTTCCAGGCAGTGCTGCTTAGCACATACACTGAGGGTATAAAGATGAAAAATATACCTTGAAATCTTTCAGAAAAACTGGTATTTTCAAAACACCAACTATTTATCAAACTCTGTACTGGGTATTTGACATTTACTGCTTGTAATCACCTTCATTTTCACAGATGGAAAAACTGAGGCCCAGAAGATTGAAGTCATTCATGTAGAATAACCTACTTCAACTAACTACAGTCTATTTACTTCCTTAATACTGCCTTATACTTTTCTAAAACATCTTTAAGGAAACACATTTATTTAAACTGGGTAAGGAGAATAATAACAGAAAGAGAACCTAACGATGCACACTTTGTGCCAATCTAACATATATGCTGAGTCTAATCTTGATACTGAAGAGTTAGAAGCTATAAAGTTAGTATTACCACCAATTTGTAACACTGACTCATCTTGCAGATAATGTGAACCACAGAGATGTGTGGCTGAGCTATGTAAAATAGTCAAGTGATACCAAGCCACAGTGTCTCTCTTAACTTCCTACCAAAAATAGAACACTTTAAAATCATACACTAAACCCTCAAACTCTAAAACAGGCCTCTTTAGGTAATCACAACTAAGAAGATTTGGAATTCTGTAAACAAGACATCAGCAACTCTCAACTACAGTTATTTTTCTTCCTTGACATCAAGACAAAAATTTTAAGTACATTTAGTACATATGGTGATGTAGTTTGGATGTTTGTCCCCTCTAAATTCAAGTTGAAATGTAATCCCCAATGTCGGAGGTGGGGGCCTGTGGGAGATGTTTGGGCTATGGGAGTGCATCTCTCATGAATGGCTTGGTGCTGTCCTCACAATAGTCAGCGTTGCTTAAAAGTGTGTGGCACCTCCCCATCTCTCCCATCTCTCTGTCTTGCTCCCTCAATCACCATGTGACATGCTGGCTCTTCCCCTTTTGCCTTCCACCATGACTCTATGCTTCCTGAGGCCTTCACCAGAAGCAGATGTTGGCATCATGCTTCCTCTACTGCCTGCAGAACCGTGAGTCAAATTAAACCTCTTTATAGGTTACCAATCTTCAGGTGTTCCTTTATAGCAATGCAGAAACATACTAACAGATATGATAATTGTCTTAAAATTTTAAAACAGTGCCATGAGAATGAAAAAAGAGGCTGGGTAGCAGAAATGAAAGAATTAGTAGCTTAAAGACCTAAAACAAGTCACTCAGCCTGTTTACACACAGATAAAATTAAGATAATATCACCCTGTACCTTTAAAGTGTCATGCAGAGGATTTGAGAAAATGTATGCTAAATATTCCAGAAATTTCTTAAAAGTGACACAGAGGAGTCTAGGTTTGATATGAAAGGTCACTAGGTTTCACTATAAAACTGAACAGTTGAGTGACAGGACAAAGGTGATGGAAGAGAAAGTCTATTAGCAGAATGAGGGAGAATCTAGAGAAGAGAAAGAGTAATCAGGATGCTTATTGTACCATCAAGGTGTTTATCTAAGTGAAGAAGATGGCAACAAGAACAGAAACAGAGATGCTTGTGTTATTTTCTATATTTAGGCATTAGCAATACAATTGGTGGACCCACCTTGTGTAGTTACATGCTTTAAGAGAGCTTCAAGGTGTTCCTTTTCAGAAGCAGTAGCTTGATGGAGCCAAGCCAACATATCTCCTACATACCTAATGAAAACTAAATGTTAATGAAGATTTCCTTTGGAAAAACATCAACTCCTCTTCTGCTGTCTGATTACTATACCTCAAAGGGTCATGAGAATGCATTTCAATTGGTCTAGGTGTACCTCCGGGGCCCCCTCTTGTGAGCGCATCAATAAATCCACGAACAACTGTACTTCTTCTGGCTGTTCCAAATTCATCTAAGGTATATCTAGAAGAAACAAGTTATATAAAAAATGGTTGGGGTTGTTTCTAGTGGCTATATCAGACTATTCACGCAATTTCTGAGACAACCAAGTACTTAAAAAGCACTTAAAGCTCCTTTAGATATTCGGTCAAGCAACATTGCTTTCAAACAAGAAAAAAATATTTAAGAGATAACTTCAGCTCATTGAAAATTCAATCAAAAAGTAAAAACTTTTACCCCTCCTAAGAAACAATGCTGGGATTTGGGACTAAAGCAGAGGCAGCAGTAATAAGGGATAAAGCAATGGACTTAGTAAAAGTAGGAAAATCAAGCCAAGGTGGGAAGACTTAACTTTTTAGGTTTCAGTATATTCACTATACTAGGTTTCGGTATATTTCAGTATACATATTTGCAGTCTAAAACATGATGCTCTACTGTTTTACGTAAAGCCATAACAGTTCTCAAAAACTGATTATAATTAGAACTCTGCAAATCCAAGGCTGGGTGCGGTGGTTCACACCTGCAATCCTAGCACTTTAGGAGGCCGAGGAAGGTGGTCACTGGAGCCCAGGAGTTTGAGACCAGCCTGGGCAAAATAATGAAACCCTTTCTCATTATTAAAAAAAAAAAATAGCCAGGCATGGTGGTGCATGCCTATAGTCCCAGCTACTCGGAAGGCTGAGGTAGGGGGATCACTTGAGCCCGTGAGGTTCAGGCTGCAGTTAGCAGTGACTGCTCCACTATACTCCAGCCTGAGCCACAGAGCAAGACCCTGTCTCAGAAAAAATAAAAGAATTCTGCAATCCCAAAATTGACATTTTTCTCTTCTACATTAAAAAAGTCTTCTTTACACATACTATCACAATCTATCACCAAAATTTGCTCCAAAAATTGCTATCCATCTTTAAAAGCTTATTTTGACTCCAATATTAGACATAACAGATGTTCCTTAAATTTACTGACCAAACACATATACAAGCAAATACCTTTTTAAAAAACATGTATTAAGAAGTCACCTATTATAATTGAAAAGGCATGGAAAGGCTTTCTAAGGTGAAGGAACTGGTAGGGAAGGAAAGCTTTTAACTGGGGAATAGGACAATTTGGGATTCAATTTATAAAAATGGCCTGGAGCTCTCTGGAGTGCCCATTTCTTTGACTTGACTCAGCCTTGTTTTCCATTATCACCACCATTCCTGACATCCATCCCTCAATTGAAAGTTCTTTCCATTTTAAAAGTATAAAGAAAAACAAAATATATTTTAGCAGTCTTGATGTCAGCAGATTCTAGACTAACTTTTAAATCTCTAAACAGTATTCTACCATACTAAATTTTAAGAATTATGTCAATAACCTATATATAAACAAAAATTACCAAAACTTCCCAAGATACCCAAAATAATTAATATCTTAGGCTACATAGCTTTCTTTCATATGCTGTTAATTGGATGAAAAATCCACATTTTGGTAAACATGTGAAAGACGGTTTATTTCCAAATCAAAGAGAAAGTCTGTAGAACTGGCAAATAGCTATAAATATTTAGGAATATGAACCTTTTTTGAGGACTGTTTACTATTAACCAGACTATGGTTCTTTGTGGGTTTGTCTTCCATTAAAAAGAAATGGTTTTGAGATTCCCTGTGGTGACATACTACAGAAAAGGGGAAGTGCAATATCCAGCTAAGTTTTGCTAAATTGCATAATTGCCTTGCATTTACTATTTTTTAAACAAATTAGAACCAAAATGCTCATTGCTATTTTTTCCCTCATGCTCTTAAATTATTAATCCATTTAGTGTGAAGAATGCCTTCTTTTAAATGATCACCTGATTCTCTGAAATAATGAACTTATGACTGCTTATCACAGCATAAAATTCACAAACGTTTAACTTTTTAAGTATATATAGCTAATCCTCATTCCCAAGACCCTACTAACTATATTAAAAATAAACAGCATAATTTGTTTCTAGGACTGTCCACTGGGACGACAGCTGTAACAGAATCCAGTGAATCTTAAAATCCAGTGTATTTTAAATAGGGGGTAAATTACCAAGCCTGGCAAACACTGGAATTTCATCTGTTCAATACTATAAAATATCAATAAACATTAATATTAATGTCAATCCTCCTATAGAACAAATATAATTTAAAGCAAAAACAGCATAAGCCACGTGAACCTTCAATATCTTTAGACATGAAACATCCTTCCCAGAGACAGAAGAAAAAGTCTTTGACCAAAATCAGACATTCTTCCAACAATAATCAAAAATCAAAATGGAGCTTTTTCAGAGTGAATGTTCAAATTATGTAAATATTCTCAAATACCTCAAGTTAAAATTAAAAGTCTCATTTTAAAAATTGTGTTTAGCTACAGTTAAAGAAATTCTGGTCAAAAAGCAAATTAAAAGAAGAAAAATTTTTATCAAAAAGCAAATTAAAAGATAATAGTAAAGAAGTGCCTCTTTGAAACACAACAAATACATAAAGAAGGAAGAAAAATCAGCATTGTATGTATTACTACATTTTAAAATAACTTATATTCTAAAGGCTTACCAAAGAAAATAAATTATCAAATTTTTTCACTTCATTTATAATTGTACATGATTTATTATTAAAAGTCAATAATGCATTAGCATTCCAGTTATACACCACATAAGAAACACTGAGTATGGCAACTTTCCCCACGGATTTCAATAATTGACATTTTTCTTGTATATAATACTTACATTATTTGAGACACAATAATGGACAGTGAAACTTTTATACATTACTTATTAAGTTCATATAGTGCCATCTGGTGGTTAACATGATACATTATTAAGTTTTCCCTAAATGTAAGGAAACTACCACTTTGAAAATAATTACTTAATGAAAGGCCAATTTTCTCTTTTTTAGCATTCATCTTGTTCTAATCATCTGGTCTTAAAAACTTACTTTCCTACTCAACTTCTAAATGTGTCTTAAAATCTTCCAAATTGGCCAGGCGCGGTGGCTCACGCCTGTAATCCCAGCACTTTGGGAGGCCGAGGCGGGTGGATCACGAGGTCAGGAGATCGAGACCATCCTGGCTAACACGGTGAAACCCCGTCTCTACTAAAAAATACAAAAAATTAGCCGGGCGAGGTGGCGGGCGCCTGTAGTCCCAGCTACTCGGGAGGCTGAGGCAGGAGAATGGCGTGAACCCCAGGGGGCGGAGCCTGCAGTGAGCCGAGATTGCGTCACTGCACTCCAGCCTGGGCGACAGCTAGACTCCGTCTCAAAAAAAAAAAAAAAAAAAAAAAAATCTTCCAAATTGCCATTACTGCCCCCTGCTTCTTAGCATATGCCCTTCACAGATAAACCTTCTTTGCCTATTATAGTTCCATTCTTTATCTTTCAAGCTTTTTCCCAGATTGCCATGTAGCCCTCAGATACATCCCTCCTTAGTTGAAAACTTTCTAGTCATCTCCTCTCAAAATAAAAATAATATCTAAAATTTAGTGATGTACCAAGCATTACACTAAGTGCCTTAAGTGAACAATCTAACTTAATCTTCACATCAACCCTGTAAAATAGGCACTATTATTATCCTCATTTTACAGCTAAGGAAACAAGCTTATAAAGGTACACGGACTTCTCAAAGAAATTTGACTCAAGAACCCACCTTATAGCCATTTAATATTGCTCCTTTCCAAGTTTTGATAAAGAACTATAACTCAGTGAAAATTTATTTGCATGGCAGAAGTCAGCTGTTGAAAACAAACAAAGGTGCCCAAAACACAGAAAGGCTTTTTTTTTTTAATACATAAAAGATTAACCTTGTGAATAAATATTAATCTGTAGACAATGCAACAGCTGTTAAAATCAAACGCCAAATGTTTTAAGTGCTAAAAGACTCATAATTAATGTCAATATGTTAAAGTGAAAAAGTTGGGAAAGAAATTTTAAAGCAGGAATAAACTGTTAAGCTGCTGATCAATGGTAAACATTAACTTATCTTATGTATATGCACAACATTCAGGGCTATTATGATCCAGCTGTTGCTCCTAATTCAATAGCCAGTGCAAGCTTTTACAATTAATTTCCCAAAGGTGCATTATCTCTCAATGTATATCTTTGCATTACTGTTCCCTCAACCTGCAAACTGTTCTTCCTTTACTTCTAGGAAAATGCCTATTCAGCCTTCAGAACTCACTTTATACCTAATTCCTTAGGAAACTTTCACTGATGCTCATCTCTTTCCCCTACACCAGAATACTTGAGCCACACAGCATCTGGCACATGACTTCTAGACTATCAATTAGTGTATTCAATTAAAATGCGTTTGTTTATCTCTGGTTCCATAAAATAAAGCAGTTTGAGGGCAGTGCTTTACTGACGTTGTGTTTCTAGAATTTAAAATGGTGCTTAACACATAGTACTCAGTAAGTAACACTGGGGTGTTATTATTTTACACAGCTGTTCAGCATTTGTGTTCTGTGACCTGATGATAGGATAAGTAGTGTTCCAATCAGAAAGTAATGGGGAGGTCCTCTAAAAATAGTATAAACAGATTCTGAAAGGGATGATTCAAAGCAGGATGCACTACCTTGGTAAGAGTCCCCTCGTTTCCTGTTTTCAGAATTATTAATATCATCAACCCCTACATCTACCTAAAGCTTATGCTAATACTACTCCAGGCATTAAAGAAAGTATTTACCTTTTATTTTATAAAAATTAAAAGAATAAAATTAAAATATAAAATAATAAAAAACATATCAACAAATACAAAATGCATTAAATTCTTATCCAAAACATTACCACATAGCTCTTGTTTGGCATCAATTACAGGATCAAAGACCTGGGCCCTCTCCTCCTAAATCCTATTAACAGATTACCTTGATATTAAATATTCTTTTTTCATCTCTGCATAACCATATTTCTCAGTACTGATATGACTTCAGTCTCTGTAGGGAAGTATTCATACAGGAGTTTTAGTTACTTACAATTCTAAGGGAGTTAATGAGACGACAGGGGAAAAGTCACTGAACCTCTATATAAGTAAGAGGTAGTCTAGATACAGAGACACTTTGGTTTCTCTTTCCATATTGTATTCTATAGTATGTAAAATTCAAATAAGCTGATACCCCATGAAACAAATTCAAGTTAAGGTGAACAGTATTGTTGTAAATTATTATAAATATTACTCAAACTATTATATACGCTTTTGATAATACTAAAATTTAAAGTAAGATATCAAAAGAAAAGTAGGCTTTCATTTTTAATTAAGAAAAAGTCACCAACTTATATAAGACAGGTCTGTCCTGCAGGGCTTCCATTGCCTGTGTCAATACTGGAGATACGTCACATGATTCTTGTGTCAATGTTCTGCATTCACCTGAAAAATAATTAACATTATAACTTTTGTTAAATTCAGCTTAGATGTTTATTATGTCTGTTGCATTCCAGGAGTCTAAATTCTATGGCAAACACCCCATAAAAAAAAATCCTCAGAAAAACCTAGAGAATACACCAATCAAAAATGAATTTATGCTGTCAACCAAACTAAAAAGTTAAGCTTAAGTAGTTATATAACTTTAAATGACCACATATGCTATCAGGTATGCCCCAAAGCTGTATTTTATTATTATAAAACACTATAGAGTCCTGAAGAAACCAACCAGTGAACAAGTATTTCCTAATAACTGCCATATACATGACAGTATTAGGGAGGCAGGGAGGAGTACTAAAAAGATATTATCAGTTCCTTCGCTGGGAAGCAATCTTTAAACAGTTTGCTAAAATTGTTAATGTGGTTAACTAATATATAGTGATATAATTTCAAAAGAGTTTGAATTTTAAACTCTTAAAAATTTCTACACCAACTTTTCTTTATTATTCTAATTTTATCTATAAAATGCTCACAAGTGCCTAGTATATTCAAAGAATTTAGAACTTCTCAGAAATTCCCAACCTTTGGTACACAAGGACTTCACACTAGCAGTATACTTTCTAGCATGCACTGACTGAAAACAAAATATGCATAGAGAATTGAAGACACCTTAAAATGACTTCATAGTCTCCACAAGACAGAGCCCACAGTTGGGAACCACTATGTAAGATGTTGCGGGAGCACAAAAAAATTTGAGTCAATGTCCATGCCTTTGAGGAAGTAGAAAACTAGTGAGATAAGACATACATGAAAAAAATACAATGAGATGCAATGAGAGAAAGGCAGACAACACTCCAGATGGAAGCAAACAATGTAAAGAAGGAGAGAGGTAGAAAAACAAACAGGTTTTAGAGATAAAGACTTAACCAACCAGATCAGAGAATTCCATTTGCGCAGCATAGTACAGGAGTAGCTGGTTAACCAAATTTAATTCCAACCCCTTCCAACAGTCAGTTGGTAACACCTATTAAAATATGTGCTCCTGTTCCATGCTTGCTTGTTTTAAATATCTTCTCTGGTTTTAACAGGCTATTCTGCAAAAAATCTATTGAAACATTTTCAAACAAAACTAAAGCAAATAAAGCATTCCTGGTAGGCAAAATAATGGCCCTCCAAAGATGTCTGCATCCTAATCCCTGGAAACTGTGAATATGTTACCTTACATGGCAAAAGGGACTTTGTAAATGAAATTAAGGCAGTAGACCTCAAAATGGAGAGATTTTCTCAGATTACCCAAGTGGGTCCAAGGTAATCACACAGGCCTCACAATGGAAGTGGCTGGCAGAAAAGTTAGAGATATGAGATAGAAGATGAGGCAGGGTAGAATCAACATGAGAAAATGACCTGACATTGCTGGCTTGGAAGATGGAGGAAGGGGCCGCAAGCCGAAGAATGCAGGCAGCCTCTAGAAACTGGGAAAAACCCTCAGTGACAGCCAGCAAGGAAACACAGACCTCAGTGCTGCAAACACAAGGAACTGAATTCTGCCAACTAACTGAATGAGCAAGGAAACATTATCCCTTAAAGCCTACAGAAACAAATGCAGGTCTACCAACATTTAGATTTTAGCATAGTGAGAACCACATCTGATTTCTGACCTACAGAAGTGTAAGGCAACAAATATGTGTTGTTTTAAGCCACTCAGTTTGTAATAATTTGTTACAGCAACAGCAGAAAATCAGTTTACCACTTACAACTTTACAGTTATGTAAACAACAAGAGATACCTAATCTGCTTTAAAATAATCTAGGGCAGAAACTGTCTTCATTGTTTTATTCTCACACTTAATCAAGCATACTGCTTGGCTGATAGCTGGTGCTCATGATACAAACACAAAAAACAGTGTGCTCAAATGTGAAGTTTGTTTTTCTTTTTTAAAATATTTTTGATTACTAAATCAAAATGCATCAAAGACCAAGTAAAAATTTAAAAACCAAATACAAATACTATTTTTATTTTTAAAAAATGTTTGATTACTAAAATCAAAATATATCAAATAAAGACCAAGTAAAATTTTAAAAAACAACTACAAATGTTCATGAATCTAGACAACATAAAAGAAATCACTTACTTTGAGCCCATCGGTAAAGTCTTTCATAAGCCGTTTCTTGAAGTAAGGCCATCTGTTCCATAATTTCTAAACTAAAAAAAAATTAATGATTATAATTTAAACTTTAGTCAACAGATACATCTAAGCACCTAATTATTTTGTTTGCATATTACATATTACAGCATATTAACTTTTTATCATTTTATGGGATGATTTTTCAATAATTTTCTACAATTAAATAAATGTCACATTTTAACCATCACTTATTTATCAACTGCTGTTTTAGCCTAAACCTGTCAGAGTATAACTTCACCATTCTCTAAAGATAAATAAAGATTAAACTTCTATTTCACAAAATGCTATATAGTTCACAAACAATCTAGAATATCTTTAAAATTTTGGAAACATAAGCAGCAATGCAATTAGTTCAGTGAGCAGTTACTCACCCTGCCGTTTGTTGATTTGTACGCAAGAGAACTTTGACATCATTATGAATCTGTTTTACTCTTCCCAGTGCCTTGAAAAAATCCTTTAAAATTAAGAATGTGACTTTATGTCCATGCTTCAGGCAAAATTGCATTATTTAAAACTGAAAGGTCACTACCAAGGGCAAACAAACTCTTTCACCTATTTTAGGGAAGCCTTCCTATACTGATCTCAACTTTCTCTAAGTTTTCATAGACGGTGTAACTGGTATTTATTCACATTTTAAGACATATTAATATATTAATTCAGTTTCTACTATGTGCCAAATAGTGTTGACAGTTGCCAGGAAAATAAAATTTATAAAGACAAAAATCCCTGTCCTCAAGAAGTGTACGTAGTCTAGTGAGAAATGCAAAACTAAAAATTACTACATGAAAAAAAGTATTGTGTATTACACACCTTATTACTTAAGCCTGGCATTCTTATTGCTGAAGATGATGTTTTATGTATCTGTTGTATACTCATTATTGCTCCCTCGTCCAAGAGTAGAATGCAAAGTTAAATATATAGGAGGTGACAGATGCCAAACTGTTGATTGATATTTAAATGTACTGGAGGCTTAGGTTTCAGAGTGCCACAAATAGTGTTCCACCCACGAAAAATAACGGATGTGTTATTTTTCTTTGATGAATAAAACTTAAAATAATAATAATAATAATAACCCTCATTTTCTAATTTCTACCAAGGGGAGAAAAAATGATATGTCAAATATTTCATATGTGCAAAGTTCCTCAAAACATGAGGGCAGTACATACTAATACATAATATCTCTATTAATTCTCTCACCTATTTACCTCTCTACACCCAAATGACTGGTTCCATTTTAGCCAAGCCAGTAAAAGTGATACCTACTCAGAGACACTCAGTGAGAACCCTTCCCCACCTCAAGAACCCTTCTTGCCCTCTGATCCCACAATGATGACGATAGGCTTAAGTTTACAGTTCTTCCCAGCGAGAAGACCAAAAGATTCCTTTCTGGAAAAATTGAATGTCTTCAAGGAAAAAAAAAGAAACGAAACTTTTTCTTGTTATTTAACATTTTGAGAGGTTATATAATTCTGTCAGCCAGTTTGGAAAAAATGGAATAGCTTAAAAAATTAATTAGATGAAAAAACAAGTGATTTCTAACCCAAGGAAAGACACAAAGTTATAAAAGAAAGAACATGCAATCACTGTAATGTCACTGTAATGAAAATGAAAAATGTGTGGGTAGGTACTATGGCTCAGACCTATAGTCCCAGCACTTTGGGAGGCCGAGGTAGGCACATCGCTTGAGCTCAGGAGTTTAAGACCAGCCTGGGCAACACAGTGAGATCCTATCTCTACTAAAAATTAAAATTAAAAAATCAGCCAGGAGTGGTGGTGCATGCCTGGATACCCTAGCTACCTGGGAGGCTGAGATGAGAGGATCACTTGAGCCTGGGAGGTTGAGGCTGCAGTGAGCTGTGTTCGTGCTACTGCACTCCAGCCAGGTTGACAGAGCGAGACCCTGTCTCAAAAAAAAAGGAAAAGAAAATAGAAAATGTGGTCTAACTGTACTATGATGTATGAAGGAGATAAAGAGAACATATGTGTGTACTATCTGTGTTGGGGGAGGAGACAGAGTGGGTAGAAGGCTAAATCCTCACATTTCACAATAGAGAATCAATAGAAAATAGTTAACATAGATAATCAAAGCATATTCTTTTTAACTATAGATCTAGAATATAGAATTTACAAAAGAAGCAATTAATAACATTGAAAATGGTTGACAAAAGACCTAGAGGTGAGGAAGAGTAAAATAGGTGACATAGATTTTCTTTTTATAACTTTGACTCTTTTTAAAAAGTACATGTATTACTTTGAAAAATATAATTAAAATACACATCTTAAATTTCCAAACATAAAAATATTCTCAGATGAAACTTTTTTTAATGGGAAAATAAAGCTTCAAAAAAGCAATTTCTCTCTAATATCTGTAACTACTAAACTTTAAATGATTATAACAGAAAGCCAGGATACCTCAGTAATGGGTCCTTCTCTTGTACCTCGGAGAAGACTCATTTCATCAGAAGTCAGTTGGAACTTGGATAAGAAGGCATCTGCAACTTGAGCTCTTATCTCTAATTTTTGGCTGTAATTTTCAAAACAAGCAATAAAAATCAAGCATCTTACACAGTTGCATAGCTTTAAAACAAATTCTATCTCAGACATAATAAATTTTTAAAACAAAGGTATGAAAAGTTCTCAATATTTTCAAAAGTCTTGTTTCTGCCTCAAATATTAGAATTTTATCAGACATGTAGGTGATAAAATTAGCTAATATTGTTCTATTTCAGATACTTGCACACAATAAATGGAGTTGATCATTACGCAAAAGAACAAATAAGTCCATGCATGGTCCCTGCATTACAAATTTGCAGCCACTTACAAGTACTTAAATAGTTCACCTTGCAGTTTGCTAGATGCTTTTATAAGAGAGAAATATGTTCCTGTTTTCAACCAATTTCTTTTCAGTCACTAAAACAATTCCTAAGCCTTTTAAGTTTTCACATGACGTACATATCAAAAATCAAATTTATTAGTTTATTTTATGTTATAGAAGAACTCCTTTATTAATTCTCCATAAATTGCTAGTCACTTATCCACTTTGGTCTTCCCCACTTTTTCTACAAAATATAGTAATAAAAACAACCTTTTAAATTATATGAGTGCAACCTATCTAAACTAGCTGACGGAAAAAGGCACACTCAAGGACCTATGGGACTGAGAAGAATCAATACCCACAGGCAAGTTAGGAACACAAACTACTTGAACAGAAACTCAACATTCCTGGTTTCTGTATCTCAGAACTGAAAATATATAAATAAAGTTATAAAAGTATTTCACTAGCAATATTCAGAGAATAGTAATATTCCACAATTAAACAAAATTCAAATAAGAATGAACAAAGATAAACATAAACACTATTTGTATAGATGGTACAATGCATCTGCCACCTCTGTTTTATTTGCACCTTTGGGATGGAGGTTTTAAATTCAAAGTTGAATGCTAATGCTCCTACTGAATAAAGAAATTTACAAGCAAAAATCCTCCAGGTGGCAGCAAAGATCTGTTTATTTCAAATGATAAATCACCTAATTGAATATACACAGATTTAAATGTCATGTTCTTAATCATCTTATTATTGATATCTAAAAGTTATCTTAATATTTATCTTATTTTTGCTTTGTTGCCTGTGCTTTTGAGGTCTTATTCAAAAAATTCTTGCCCAGTCCAATTTCATGAAACAATTCTCCTATTTTTTTTCTGGTAGTTATACAACTTGGGGTCGTATAGTTTACTCTTTAATCCATTTAGAGTTTATTTTTATGTATGGTGAGAGATCATGGTTATCAGAGGTTGGGGAAGATAGTGGGGAGAAGGGGACAGGAAGAGATTGGTCAACGAGTACAAAGTTACAGTTAGGAAGAGTAAGTTCTACTGTTCTATTACAAACTAGGGTGACTACAGCAAATAACAATGCAGTGGTATTTCAAGATAGCGAAGAGTTTGAATATTGTCACCACAAAGAAATGATAAATGTTTAAAGTGATAGATATGGTAATTACCTTGAAACATTACATTGTACCCCATAAATATATATAATCATTATATGTCAATTATAAATTAAAAATGAATTTTTAAAAGCTTAAAGAGTTACCTTAACAGGTTTTGTTTTATATTTTTAAAAGTTCCAGTCATTATCATTAAGAATTTAAAGTAATTATAAAATTTCATCAAATTCCTTGAGACTATGCAAATTAACCATGTGAAATAAAATGTTTTTGGGAGCTTTTTTGGATCTATCTTTAGAATCAATTTATTAGGCACAAAGGAAAATTTGTCTCTTTAGTTTATAGTTTCATTTTGTTGTAACCAAAACAAATGCTACCCACCTTGATCATACCCCTTAATCATTACAATTCATTCCAAATAATGTGGATCTAAAAATCAATCATGAGATAAAGACAGAAACACAGGCTCTATATATAGCTACAAAAGAGATGGTGCAAAAATATTTTTATAATGGGCACAGTACTAAAACAAGAGTTTAATATATCAAGATGGTAACTTTAAAAGTAGTGACAATAAATTCTAATATATTTTTTATTATCATATTACTCTAGTTTTACCACATGTATTCTTTCCAGGTAAATTTTCACAACCATTCTGACAGGAAGTTATTGTTAGATGGTCCAGTGATTTGGTTTGGGAATATTCACTCATTCAAATAACATTATTGGAGACTCACAATGTATAAGGCCTATGCCAGAGACGAGTGTGATAAAAGGCACTTATGACACAGACCTTGTCCTTACTTTACATCAACATATGGAACTTTTAGAGGGCTTTCAATGTCTAAGTAAAAAGTATAGGAGATAAATATTAACATAACATATAAATTATAACTTCTAGCGTATTTAAGATTATGTTTGTGCAATCACTGTATATTATATAAATAAATAATAATATGTGAAATATACACTATGGAAAAATACATAATAGATCAAACTGAGGTAGATCTATATGTACTAACAAAATGATCCATAAGGCATTTTATAGGTATAAAAAGTTGCGAGAAAGTATGTATAGGAATCCCCACTTATTTTTAAGAAGTAATTACAATGGTCCCCCCTTATCCTCGGGGGATATAGTCCAAGACCCTCCAGTGGATGCCTGAAACTGCTGACGGTACCAAATCCTACACGTACTGTTTTTCAATCTGATAACTGAGACGGCTACTAAGTGACTACTGAGTGGTGGTGTATATAGCATCACACATTAGAAAAAGGGATGACTGATGTCCCACCAAAGTGGGAGCCAACCACTTGAGATTTCATCATGCTACTCAAAATGGTACATAATTTAAAGCTTACAAATTGCTTATTTCTGAAATTCTCCATTTATTACTTTCAGACTGCAGTTGACCATAAGTAATGGAAACCACACAAAGCAAAACCATAGACAAGGTTGGGAATTACTGTATATAAACACATGTACATCAATTTTCAGTATGTCCAGTCGTATACTGCCTAAGTATTTAAAATAAACGGACTACTTAATTTTCATGATTCCTTCAAATCAGCCCAGAACATGATTTATGAATCCTGTGGTACTTTTCTTTTTCTTGAAAACTTATCTCTGTCGTATCTTAATTCTACCTCTAGGTTCACCTACACCAAATAATTTCGAAATAATTTTTTAAATGGACATAAGATATAAACCAAAACAAAAAAAGTAAAGAAATATAAATGGCAAAACAAAATGAGAAACATGTCGATTCATCACTATTCGATGATATGTAAATTAAATGGTGTGATACCGGGGCCTGTCGTGGGGTAGGGGGAGGGGGGAGGGATAGCATTTGGAGATATACCTAATGTAAATGACGAGTTAATGGGTGCAGCACACCAACATGGCACGTGTATACATATGTAACAAACCTGCACGTTGTACACATGTACCCTAGAACTTAAAGTATAATTTAAAAAAAATTAAAAATAAAAATAAAAAATAAAATGGTGTGATAATATTTTTCATCTACATTGGCAAAGTTTTTAAAGATGATATCTAATGCTGATAAGGGTTTAATAAAATAGACAGAATGGAAGTAGAAATTGTGATAATCTTTTTTGAGAAAAATTTAGGCATTATATTTCAGGACACTTCCAAAAATGATCCTCTTGATATAAAAAATCATAGGAAAATGAACATAAAATATTAAGGGAAAAAAGTAAAATATTAACAATACACACACATACTCACTCTGGAAGGAAATATACCAAAATATTAATTGTGGTTCTATCTGAGTGGTAGAGTTATATATGATTTTAGTTTTCCTTAAATTTTATACAATAGATTTATATTAACATTATGTCAAAAAAATTTAAGAAAGAAAAGGCAGTTTTTTACACTTAAAAGATTCCTTTTACCTAATTCATATGATGGAAAGATAAGTGAAATAACCTGTTTGACAGGATCTTAAAGAATCTGCTTATCATTTACAATCCTTAAGAAAAAGTATTTCTATAATTTTTTTTGGTTCTAAAATAGAAAAAAAGAAGAAACTTTTCATTTTAAGTTTTTATAAAGTATCAAACTGAAAGTTAAACGTTTTTGAAAGACTGGTTAAAACTCAATAGAGATAAAATCCTGTAATGAGGTTGTTTTCTTGTCAGCATTTCCAGTACCATGCCATGATTTCAAAACCTGATAAATTTCTAAATTTTTATCTTAGTATTTTAAAACAAATAGATAAAATAACTTCAATACAAAAATACATTGAAAAATAAAGCACATACAAATGACAAAAAAGATAAAACGAGCTACATCAAAATTTAAAATGTGCTATAAATGATATCACGAATGTGAAGATAACCCAAAAAATGGGAGAAAATGGCTGCAAATAATGTATCTGTTAACAAACCTATATCCAGAACATATAAAGAACTTTTACAACCAATAAATAAAAACACAAATAACCTAAATTAAAAAATGGGTAAAGGACGTAAATAGACATTTCTCCAAAGAAAATATGCAAATACCAATAAGCAAAAAAAAGATGCTTGACATCATTAGTCATTAGGAAAATGCAAATCTAAACCACAATGAGTAGTACTTCACACCCAGTAGCATGGCTATCATCAAAATGACAGATTAAAAACAAAGATGTACAGAAACTGGAATCCTCATATGCTGCTTTTGGAAATGTAAAACTGTGCAGCTTCTTCGGAAAACAGTGTGGCAGTTCCTCAAACACTTAAAGAGTTATCATATATGATTCAGCAATTCTACCCCTAAATATATACCTAAGAGGAATAAAACATGCCCACACAAAAACTTGTAAACAAATATTTACAGCCAGCATTATTTGCAATAGTCAAATAGTGGAAATAACCCAAATGTCTATCAACTAGTGAGCGGGTGAACAAAATGTGGTGTTGCTATACAATGGAATACTATTCAGCCATAAAAAAGGTTAAAGTAACATGGATGAATCTTAAAAGTGTTTATCTATGTGGAAAAAGCTAGTCAAAAAGGGCCACATACTGTATGATCTTATTTGCATGAAAGATTCAGAATAGGCAAATTTAGAGAGGCAGAAAGTAGGTTAATGGTTCACTAAGGCTGGATAACTACTAATGGTCAGGAGTTTTCTTTCTGGGATGGTGAAAATGTTGTAATTCAGATCATAATGATGATTGCACAACTCTGAATATACTAAAACCAATAAACTATATACTTTAATTTTATGATATGTGAATTATATCTCAACAAAGATGTTTTTATAATAAACAAAAAAGGATCTACCTTTTGAATTACAATTACATGTATTATTATAACTGTACAAAATACAGCTTAAAAGGCATCTAATACATTCTTCCAGCTTGATACTTTCCACTCCTTAATAACATTTAGTTAAGTATATATGCACACTTGCTATTACTCTTATAAAGTAAGAGTCTCAAATATTAACAGGCAATGTCAGCTGTAACTATTTAAAATGTTAAAGTAACCATGTAGACATATTCAGTTGAAAAGTTTTCTGTGTAGAAAGGAGTGGGTACAAAGAGCATTAATACACTGCCTTTGCTATCCAGTTAAAATAGTCAAAGACCATAACGTCCAGCACTGTTGAGAAATCATAGGGCAGAAAATAAGTGCTAGAAGAATAATGTGTTGTGGGAGTACAAAGAAGGAACTAATTATTTTTTTTTCTGGTGACTGAGTAAAGGTTCCTGGCTGAACATGGAAAATATATAATAAAACTGTAAAGTACAAAGGTGAAATAAATTTCCTATAAGCTGAAGTATTTTTTAAAGTAAGCAAGACTTTCTTTGAAACATATATAGGTACATACATATATACATTCTCAAGGAACATGTACATGCATGTGTGACACAAACATACACATACATGATAGCCTAAAATTCTTAAGTTTTGTAAAATATTTTGAAATATATGATGGGCATAAACAACAGGGAACCTAAAATGACAAATGAGTTTTCAACAAATTAATTTTGGGAAATGGAATTCCAGGTAGAATGAATAAGAATATAGAAAAAGTCTACCTGGTTGATAAATGTAGTTAAATCAGGAAATAAACAGCAATAGCCACTTTAAATGAAGCGTGCCCACAAAAAAAAAGGAAGAAAAAAAAAAGCTCTTTTGTATTGGTGGGGAAAAAATGTTACGCAAAAAAAAGCTCTTTTTCATTGGTGGGGAAAATTTGATCAGACAAAATTTTCATTTAAAAAAATCCATACCATCTCCAAACCCAACTTTTAAAATACTTAAACCAAAGATTATTTCTAAATTTTTCCTCATACTATTTCCCTTACAGCATGATCATAATCACAAGAAATGGATAAGCCATACTGTGCCTTACCCCCAAATTTTTATTTCCAGTCCAATATGTGTGACTGAAATAAAGTTGTTATAGCTTATCTCAGTCAGGCTCCTGCATGTCACTGGCAATATTTCCTTTTGGATAGCTGCTACTATGTACAAATGAGACAAGAAGAAAGAAGAAAGGAGATGTGATGCTCCCCTGTTTTCCCCTAACCTTTTATTAGGTAATGAAAGAAAATGTGCCACATACGCTTCTGTAATATACTTTTACATGCAATATAAAACCATTTATGCAAGATAAAGTTTTATATTTTTATGCTACCAATTTCAAAACCTGAGTTAAAGTAGTTTACAATGCAATAAAAATAAATTAAAACTATTAAAAACTAAAATAGTAAGAAATAAAGGGAAAGGCTGAGAAAGTAAATCATACATCTGAGGAAAGCTATTGCAATTAAGCACAAAATAGCTCTAAGCTTCCTAGATGACAGAGCAAAAATAGAAATAAGATGAGTGACATAGATTTCTTTGTCTAATAAAAGGGGAGGACTAGGGAGGGGCAACAGTCTTTAATGTATGCCATGCAGTGTCTTCAGCAACTTACGTAAATAATTTAGTTATCTCAAAAACCCCATGACATAGATATTTTCCCCTTCCTTCTTTCAGACATAGAAACTTAGGTTAAGGGAGGTTAAGAAATAACTGTACAAAATCAAAAATCTAATAATCTCTTACCCAAGGTTTCGATTAAGATTCAGATTTTTGTCTTAAGTCCTATATTCTTTCCATTTTAACATACTGAACTTAAAAAAATACACACACATAAACATTCTCCAGAGATTATTTTTCTGAGTCCAGAGAGAATTCTGGCTGGTGGGCCTTTATAAGAGATAATAAAAATATAATAGTGATTTTAGTAGTATTTTAAAAATACAAAGGTATGTTCATGTACATATAGTCTTTCCTGATTATCAGTGAAGCCCATCGTCTGACTACCAATGAACTATTAAGGGGAAATGCTAACCTGCAGTCCTGTGAATAAAATTCTACATTAAGCTTTATCTATTAGAGCATCTCAGCTGTCCTGACGACTGACTTCCTTCTCACTCAGTTGGAAAAATATTCATATCATTCATACATTTGTCTGAATAAAAGTATCGTATTATTCAAATAATCCCATATAGAAACAGATTTCTATTTCTAAAGCTAACTGCTTGTTTAACAAAGTTTCTTGTTAAAAAGATATTTTAAAATGAAAAAACAACTCCCTGCCAGCCCCCAGAGACCTGTTATCATAATTTCTGCCTTGCAATTTTCCTAAAATACATTCACACAAACGTTCACTTGGCACATCATATCTATAGCTCTTGGGATACCAGAATGTCATAAATTTTCACTTCCCAAAAGCATATCAGGCCAAAACACTTCCACAGGCTTACTAAAATAATAAACATAAACCTTGCTTAAATAGTTTTGAGAACACATGAACAGAAGCACAATGTTCTAATATTGTCTCCTATATACATTATTTAGAGCCCCATATTACAAGCTCCAATACAATGCTTATTTTTCAGTTTTATGTTCCTTTCCTAACATTATAGTTGCTTTCCATATTCATTTACTCAAAAATTATTTATTGAATCTGTAAAATAGCAGGCACTGCAAATACAAAAAGGAGAATAAGAAATTGTCATTTTTCTCAAGGAGCTCACAGTTTAGGAGAAACAGAGACAATCAAATCAACGATTAGTTGCAAACAACTGTAATACCTATTACACTAAAAATTAAAACAAAAAGATTTAACTGAGAACAGGAAAAGTTTAAAAAGGCTTTGCATACAGGATTATTGATCTGTTATCCTCTTAGTTTTAATCACAATTTTCAATTAAAGTAATGCTTGTTTTTGTGTTCAGCATTAACTTAGAGAAAAATTAATGTCAAGGTCTCTAACAGGGAATGTGTTTTTCTAGGAAACTTTTCTTTCAAAAGAACTGTTATAAAATGCAATCTAATTTTATGGTGAAGGCACAGGCTTAATTCTGATAAAGAAATTTAACACTGCCTTTCCTCACAGAGCTGGCTGCTTTGCAGAGTCAACCATCTCCCACATGGGCTTAGTCTGCAACTTTTCTCACACTGTCCACCCACCAACAGGACACTATTTGTGGTGATGGAACTGTGTACTATATCGTGACTATGGTGGCGCATTCAGGAATCTACAAATGATAAAATGTATAAAAATAAATACACCAACGAGTAAAACTGCAAAATCTGAATAAGACAGGTAGATAGTATCAAGGTCATTATCCTAGTTGTGGTACCATACTATAGTTCTGTAAAATGTTACCTTTGGCAGAAACAAGGTAAAGGCTACCTTGGATCTCTGTATTGTTTCTTTTCTTTTCTTTTTTTTTTTTTTTGAGACGGAGTCTCGCTCTGTCGCCCAGGCTGGAGTGCAGTGGCGCGTTCTCAGCTCACTGCAAGCTCTGCCTCCCTGGTTCATGCCATTCTCCTGCCTCAGCCTCCTGAGTAGCTGGGACTACAGGTGCCCGCCACCACGCCCGGCTAATTTTTTGTATTTTTAATAGAGATGGGGTTTCACCGCATTAGCCAGGATGGTCTCGATCTCCTGACCTCGTGATCCGCCCACCTCGGCCTCCCAAAGTGCTGGGATTACAGGTGTGAGCTACGGCGCCCGGCCTTGTTTCTTACAACTGCATGTGAATCTATAATTATCTCAAAATATAAAGTTTAACATTTAAAAAGTTAAAATGTTTTTTCAAAGTTTACCAGTTAGGAGATGAGAGAATTAAGGTAGGGGAGAGGGACATTCCACAAAAAATTAAAAATATAAGTAATATTTTGTCTAAGGCCAGGTGTTTCAAATTATAGTCTCTGGACCACTGCATAAAAATACCTGGGATATTGTTAAAAGGGCCGAATCCTGAGCCCAAATCAAGATTTACTGAGTCATTAATCAAAAAAACACAGTTGCTTACTTTTTTCAGTCAGATTCTCTGAGGATGGAGGCCAAAACTTGCCATTTTATCAAGCTCCTTGGTGGCTCTTATGTTTACTGTGATAAGGTGTGGATACATGAATCGTAATGTAAAAGACCAGAAAGGAAAACTGAAATAAAAGATGGCTCCAATGACACCTAACATAAGACTAAATATTTCCAGTGATTTTAAAAAAAAAGCTTTGAAGAATTGTTCAAATTGTAAGGGATAGAAAATTCTTGCTTATCGTTAAGTCAAAATTTGCCTAAATTTCTCCTTTAAAACTCAGTTCCAAACTCAGCAGCAATATATAATAAAATTTAGCCTTTTTTAAAACAGGAAAGATCATCAAATATTTGAAGACAGCCATCATGTCCTTCTTAGTCCTATACTTCTAAATAAACAATTCTGTTTTTTTCAACCCTACATCATTTTTTGAGACCCTTTATCATCCTATTCACCTCTTGCCCAGCCCCACTTTTTCTTAAAAGCTTGATTCTGTTGATACCTTACACTTAACATTCCATACTTTGTGTCATTCACAATTTTCCAAGTAAGTTGTCTATATATACACTAAAGTCTTTGATTAAATGTTAAACACAAAAGGATTGGATTGAAGATGCTCTGAAAAGTACTAGAAAACTGACTTATAGGTCAACATCAAGTAATTAACCACCAATGTGGGGGATATGATCATTTATCCAGCTATAAAATACAGAATGACAATATCAACAAGATAAAAGGGAATTTAAGGCCAGACTTCCTAAATTTAATTTCTATCCAGGCAATTTGCAATTCTATAAATCTGAGGACAACATCAACTTGCTCTCATTTTGGCTTGTAGAAAACACACAACGGGTAAAAGTGGATTTTTAGTGAAAGAGAAGGTAGTTAGTAAACAAAAAGGGGATTAAATGCATGAAATTATGATTAAGCTTTTATAAAGCTTTGATACTTAGTTGTTTTTAAAGATTTTTCTCTGGCATGAGGAATAAAATCAAAAGACTATTTTATTTGGTATTCTACCTTTCAACTAGTCTTAAAATTGTGCAATATTTTTATATTTTCCTGCTGTCAAACTCTTTTTTCAAACAAAATCTTACATGGAATCCTAATATATTAAACAAGTAAAAGTGAAACTGCTCTCACTAAAATTAGGGTGAGAGAATCTGACCTCCAAAACTCCATTATCCTTCTACGTCTTGCAAAGAAACCCTGAGGTTCAATGAACTATGGTTTGAAAGCCACAGGTCTAAGATAAGGTACATGTTCCAATATCCAATAATGTACTTCCTATACGTGTAAAGAAAATGTTTTCTTTGTTTTGTGCTATTAAAGATAGTATTTTTTAGATGATATTGGTACATATATTTTATTTTGCTAATTTTGTCACATTTTCTCAATGTTTTTATAAGACAGAAAAGTAAGTTACATTGGTTACCATTTTAACTGCAATGGATCATTCCAGTTGATCTCTGAGTCCTTTGTAGCCCTAAGACCCATGATATCCTTTTACACAAGTAACTTTACACCTCTGCACTCTTTATAATTTCCCATTCATCAATCTTAGTCTGAAGAGAATTGTGTTAAGAAGGATTAAGGGCTCAAAATAAAAGAATGTCAAGATCAGTGGATGTAAAACTAAGGAGTTGGGGGTCATGTACTTGCCATTTTTGGTCTAGGGCAGTGTTTTTCAAACTCTTGATTATGACCCATAATATTAAACCATTTAAAACCATTACTGAAACTGAAAGAAAGGCTTCACAAAATAATATTCACTCAAACTATTTTTACTTATTTATTTTTTAGAGACAGGATCTCCTTCTGTCACCCAGGCTGGAGTGCAGTGGCACTATCATAGCCCACTGCAACCTTGAACTCCTGGGCTCAAATGATCTTCCCACCTCAACCTCCAGAATAGCTGGGACTTCAGGTGTGCACCACCATGCCCAGCTACCCAAACTATTTTCTATTTTATTTCATTCTAATTTATTTTTTAAGGCTAGCTATGATCGATTTAAATAGTAGTAATGATTGATAAATCATAATTTACAACCCATTGATCTTGACCTGAACTACAAAAAAACACTAGTTGGATCAGAAGTCACAGACTTTTTCTGTAAAAATCTTGATAGTACATATTTTAGGCTTTGTAGGCCACATATGGTCTCTGTTGTAACCACACGACTCTACTGCAGTAGGGTAAAAGCAGCCATAGACAGTATGTAAACACAACCATAGCTGTGTTCCAATAAAGCTGCATTTACAAAAGCAGGTGTTGAGCTGGATTTGGCCTGTGGCCATAGTTTGATAACCTGTGGTCTATACTATAGTATACTGACCTACCCCAAAATCAGCAGTTAAAGTGGTAATATCTCCATATTACTGATGAAATACCTAGAATACTAAAAGGTTTAAGTGATGTACCCAACTACTGAGCAGGAGACAAGTATACTGCATCATAATATAATGCTTCTCCCCCCCTATACTACTCCACACATGAGAGATGCAGTTAATGAGTTTTAGCATAATTGCTATGAGTTTTAGCAATACTGAACACCACACATTACACAAATCCAGACTGTACTCACCTTTATTCACTCACTCACTCATTCATTCAATCAACCAATAGTATACCTATTGTATAAACTACAAGGAGAATTTATACAATTAACTCTTAATTATACCAGAGAGGATATATCATAGCTTAAAAATAAAAGACAATGATTGTGAAAAAAAAGTAATAAAACTATTAAAAATCTGAAAACATTTACATTTTAAAAAGCATCATTTCTGAACTCCACAGCAAACAATAACGATACATCATCACCTCTCTTCCAAAGAAGGAATAATCTCTCAACCTCAATGTCAAGTTTATTGCTCCTAAACTACTGTCTTTATGCTTAAGTTACTATTGGGTAATATAATAGTTTAGGACCTTATGAACCATGTTTTTTATTATTCTGCTTTAATTCTGATTTGGAGTTATATATAATTTTCTTTGACTCCAATCTCCAAATTATTGAAAAGGTGGTTGTATGAAGAAAAACTTACCTTTCAGATTGAAGCTTAGTGGTTTTTACTATTAAATCTTGAGTCTGTTCCTTTGCTGCCTAAAATTATAAACATATCTAATATAAGTAAATTCCAATTTTATTATATTTCAGAAAACAAATACTACCACTTACTGCAATTTAGACTTAAAACAAATGAGATCACTCTATGGAACTCAAAAGCACAATAAAATGAAATACGTAGATGTTTCAAGGCTCATCCACTGGAGGAACACACTCAGTTCTTAATATACACATAATGCTAAGGCTTACAAGAAAGAAAAAGGTATCCAGATACTGACAAAGGAACTTAATAGTTCATGATGCTTTTTAGTGCAACAGAAGCACTGGAAAAACAAGTTAAGAATGAAGAACATGACTTCAGGTATGGACGTGTTGAACTGAGATACCATGCAACCTTTACATGGGGTTGTTAACTAAGTCACTGAAATGCTAGTGTGGAGCTCAATAGAAATGTATAAGATGGAGGTAAAAGTTTGAAAGTTGTAATATACAAACTACCTGCCATATAAGTTTTTGGTGAGGATCAGAGCTAGCCCCATCTAAAGGACACAAGGCTGTTCCTAATCAACTTTCATTCTAAGCAATTCTCCCTTCCCTAAGCCAGAGTTGATCAAAAGTGGAAAGTCAATTAAAAAAGCATCTTATCCAAGATTAGAAAACATTCATGAAGTGGCTTTAAACAAAAGACAATGAGATTCTCTCTCAAATATCTGAACTAGGGAATATTTACAAAAATAAGGCAATAAACAATAAGAAGAGAAGTAGTCATGAGGCACGTAGAGAAACAAGGTCTGTGCCTTGAAGAAATATTAAATGAGCCAGAAAGATGCATAAATTAAGTCATTAGTAAAGTGGAGAAAAACACATAAAATAGAAGGTGAATCAGTCTGTTAAAGAGAAAATACCAGAGCAAACACCTGAAGACACTGGGTCATTTTCATGTTGGAATACCACAATAAAGAGTCAAGCTTCTGCTACTGCGGTTTCTTTCTAGAGCTGCCTTAGACCTAGACACCTCCAGTTCTGGGTTCTTAGAGGCCTAATCCTCTACAAACTCAGTTTTCAGACTGTGAGGGAAATTCTCTGTCTTATTGCTTTCTAGGTATGCTGTCAATAACAGAGCCTGATTGCCACCTCAAATGAAGCTATTTTGAGTGTATGTTCCCAGGAAATAGATTTTTTAAGAAAACAATTTGAACCTAGATAATTTTGCATATCCCTTATCTTTTTTTTTTTTTTTTAAAGAGGCAGGGTCTCACTCTGTCACCCAGCCTGGAGTATGGTGGTGCAATCTTGAGTCACTGCAGCCTTGACCTCCTGGGCCCAAGCAATCCTCCCACCTAAGCCTCTAGAATAGCTGGGACTATAGGCATGTGCCACCATGCCTGGCTAACTTATTAAAAGTTTTTGGTAGAGATGGGGTCTTGCTATGTTGCCCAGGCTGGTCACAAAGGATCATTCTGCCTCAGCCTCCCAAAATGCTGAGATTACAGGTGTGAGCCACCACGCCCAGCCATTTCACTGACTTTTAAGGAATGGAGCTCAACATGATAGCTCCCAAAATATTCTTTTAGAATTATTAGACTGCCAATAAGTTCTTCAAATGCTCATACTTCTTAAATGCTAAAGTTCCATTTCCACCCTTGTACAGTCTTGCCTTGTGCAATTTTTAAAATATAGTATCCCCTCAAGTCAAAGATATGTTTACATTTTAATATTTCTGAAAAAAAGAATGCTTCACAAAATCAACATCAAAAAACCTTTACTAGCTTTTTAGGCTAGTCGTTATTGAGGGTGCACCTTACAATCAACACCATTTATTAATCAATGAAATATGATAATTTAGCACAATGTTATATAATAAGAATTTGCTAATTTTTTTGCATATTTCCTGATTTTTTCATTTATAAACTATGGTAAGAATTCCAAAGTAATATTTAATAATATTAATGAAGATTAACCTCAATCTCCATTTATCTTAAATGTTAAAGATGATTATTTTTGAGTTAATAATAAACATATGCATCTAAATGCATGTTTATTATTTAAACATATGCAAGGAAAACCACAAAGGAATAAATATTAACATATATAAAATGACTGATTACATTTTTAAATGTTTTCTAATAATTTCTAAAAGGTACCATAGTCAAAGCATTTCAGAAAATATTAAATAATTAAATGAATCATTATAACAACATTCTATAAGAAAAAGGGAAAGTGAGGATACTCTAAGAAACACTTTTCTTTATGAATAACTTAAAAACATTAGAGTTGATATTATGAATGTATACTATTAGAATTCCAATAGTGCTATATCCAAATAAATTAGCTTTAAGCAAAATTTTAAGGAATAAACAAAACTTTCAAAATCATGGACCTCCTACTATTAAAAATGATATGTGGATCAAAAACAAATGTAAACAATAGGCAGTATTAAATATTTTTAAATATTCAATCAGAAAGCTATGAGGCAATCTTTTATATGTGATAAAAATGTTCTGTATCTTGATTATAGTTGTTGTTTCACAGGCATATAAAAATGCCAAGCCTATCAATTTGAACACTTTGAATGGATGCAGTTTATTACCATTCATAAATTATTCCTCAATAAAGTTGATCTGAATAAAGAAAGAAAATAGGCCCATGCCACTGCAGAAGAAAAAACAGGATGTGAGGTGGGTGCAAAGAAAATATAAAGGACTGGCCGGGCATGGTGGCTCATGTCTGTAATCCCAGCACTTTGGAAGGCCGAGGTAGGTGAATCACTTGAGGTCAGGAGTTCGAGACCACCCTGGACAACCTGGCGAAATCCTGTGTCTACTAAAAACACAAAAATCAGCCAGGCATGGTGTCAGGCGCCTGTAATCCTAGCTACTTGGGAGGCTGAGGCAGAATTGTTTGAACTCAGAAGGTGGAAGTTGCTATGAGCCGAGATCACGCCACTAAGGATACAGCGAGACTCTGTCTCAAAAAAAAAAAAAAAAAATACAAAGGACAAAACAGAAAGAGACACTTTGGTTGTAATTTAAAATATTTATAAACTGTTTGAAAAATAGCACAAATAAAAATACTATGATCTTTTTATATTTAAATCTCTCTATGATGAAAAGTATAAAAACATAATTAAGGATACAAATTAAAAAATAAGAGATACTATCACTAAAGATCAGAAACTGAGTAGTCTAATATAACAAAGCATAATGTTATTTAAAAAACACAAAAGTACAATATAGAAAACCTTATAAAGTATAATTTGAGAAAAGGCATTACGTCATGGAAGCTAAAAGAGGAGAAAAGGAAATAAAGTTAAAGAAAAAGAAGGGTCAAACAAAATCAACCACTGAGGAATAAAGTAAATATATGCCAAAAATGTGAAATGGCCATTAATAATTAGTATATATTATATAATTATTTAAATATTGTCAAATTAACAAATATCTAAATATTGGACTAAGAGACAATAAACATGCCAATAATATCTGATAGATTAGTAAGAATATCAAAATTTAGACAAGACCAGAAAAGATAAAATTTTAGAGAAACAAGAAATTAACTCATCCTGCAAACTGATGATGCAAGTAGCCTGTGATTAATCTGTAGAATATGCATTAATGATTCTTCCTAGAATCACTGTTGATGTCAATCGTTCCAAGAGACACTTAGAGATATAAATTCGCTGTTAAAATGTGAAGGCAGTAGACATAATCATGATTGGCCCTTAGGAGGAAACCGTTCTATGTACTATTCCAAAATTAGATGAATGAGGTTAATTAAGTCAAATGCTGATTCTGCTACCAAACTATAAGTTTAGGACTGCTTTCATTAAAAGACCTAAAAGTATACATATTTTCCCAGAATTTTTTAAGGTTATGCATAAATCAGAATTAAGCTAGGTCTTTATCAGGCACAGCTTTAGTGTGAAATTATTCCTAAGGCTTCTTACTAAAAAAAATCATTACTCCTAGATTTCTAGAATATTACGGAATTGAAAGGTTTATCAAAATTCTACGTAGTTAGCTCTGTACTGGCTAGACCAAAATATAAATGCTCTAAAGTTAATTGAACAATATTAATAAATCATTATCCAAAGAAACACAAAGATAGCTACAATTTTTAAAAATAAGGATTATATTTATACCCAAATTTCCTACAGGGCATTATGGATTAGATATCTACACATTTTGTCAATAATAATTTTTGTAAGTTTATATCAGGAACTATGCCAAAATCTAGCCATTATATAATACCTGTAGGCGACTTGTCATATCTTGACAACAGTTGCTCATTGCTTGAACATCTTCGCTTATGCTTTCAAGTTCCTGAAAAGAAGAAAAGTAACATCAAACATCATATATACAGCAAGAAGAAGATTCTCTTCTGTTAGCTAAATCCTTATTTTAGTTACATAATTTTTTATTTTTTTGGTCAAGGCATGACAAGAGATCCCATATTTAAAATTGGAAATGATTAAAAAGAATAACATCTAGTGTTAGAAAAAATGTAAAGAAAATAGTCCATTCCTTTTAGAGAATATGACCGCAGGAAAACAGCAAATGCTTTATAAAACTGAATATCCCTTTATTGCTAGTGTTATTCAATTGCAGTTACTCTTATTGATGTTCAAATAGTCTTATGTTTGGCCAGTAGAAGAATCCTCTTCACATTAGCTCCAAAGTCCTTTTGACATGTATCCAATAGTCTCAGATAGCATCTTTGCTTTCTGATACTGGTAAGATTGTTCCTTTTAGTAGGAAATGATGTTTAAAAGAGCCAGGCATGGTGGCAGGCACCTGTAGTCCCAGTTACTTGGGAAACTGAGGTGGGAGAATTGCGTGAGCCCAGGAGTTCGATGCTGTAGTGTACTATGATCATACCTGGGAACAGCCACTACACTCCAGCCCAGGCAACATAGCAAGAGTCCATCTCTAATGTAATTTTTTTTAAAAAAATCCTTTCCAAAGTATTAGTCTTCAGTCAATAAAAACCTACCAAGGTGTCAAAAACAACCTATTTTTATTGAACACTCATTGAAACCATGTGCAACACTTCCATAACTCACATAGAAATATATTAGTATTACAATGTATTAAAACAGCTAATAAAATATTACATAATAAAGATATAATAACATAAAATTTATTTTCACTCTGTGGTGAGTGGACTACACTCTCAAGTATGATGAATCATTATTAATACATTGAAGTTACTGATCTTAATCTGAAATTTTCATATTTTAGGATATAGTAAAAGTAACTCAATTCTAATTAATCTCCAGTAGAGAAGTTGTTATCCAAGAGAGGTTTATGCAATGAGGGGATATTTCTATTGGAAAGCCATTCAGGGAAATGTTAATTTTTTTGTTAAAAAAGCTAAAATTCCTAAGATAATCTTCTAGAACAATGTTAACTTTCTAAGAATTAATATTTGTGGAAGTCACAGATTCATAAATCACATTAATACAAATAAAGATCTAGATGCAGCAAGAGAAATTAGCTAAGCTTTCTATTTGGGCATAGTATACAAATAGCAAACATATCAACCTAATTCAAAAAAATACTTAGCACAGAGCCAGGCGTAATAGTAAGTTCTCAATATATGCTAAATGAAAAGAGTTTACATACCTCCTTCACTTCCTTGAAAATGCTTACAAATTCTTCATTGATGGCTAAACTTTTACGTTCAATATCTCCACGTAAATTTCTTCGAGTCCGCAGACTATTTTCAACAAAAAAGGTTGAAAGTGCCTTGAGAGCTTCTAACATCTCCTATACAATTGGTAACAGAAGACAGTTACTGGAACTAATTTTTAAATGGTTTCAAATCTCAAGACAAAATGTAATGAAATCATTTTCAAATGATTTATTTTCATTAACCAATCCGAAAAATATTGAATGACCTTCAAATTACTGAAGCATGCTTATTTCCAGAACACAAGAAGGGTATACTTACTTGTGTATAGTGTTATATATACAAGATTATTCACTGCAGAATTGTTGGGAATTGCAAAGACTAGAAATAATATAAATGTCCATCTAAAAGGGATTGGTTAAATAAATTATGATATACTCATTCACAAAAAAAAAATCTTTATGCACTTACGTAGTATAAGCTTTGAGATATGTTAAGTGAAACATCAAGGCATAGAAACAGTTGTAATACCAACAGTTAAAAACTTAAAAGGAATATATACATGCATACTTACTTGTGTATACCTAGTTGACACATATATAATGTGCACATTAACTATCTCTGGAATGATCTATTTAAGAATAAGTACTGGAATCCTCCAGGCTAGAAACTGAATAACTGGAAGTAGAACTTGGAGAAACTTAAAGGGGAAGGCCTCTCTGAGGTGACTTTGAACTGAGGCCTCAGTGTAGGCAACAGCCAGTCATGGGGACAAAGCCTTCCACAGACAGAGCAAACAATGAGTACAAAGACCCTAAAGTGGTAGAAGGAAGGCCACTATGACTGAAGTTATGAGAAATTATTACGATTTTAGGCAGGGGAGTAATGTAATACGATTTATATTTATAAAAGTTTATTCCAACTTTGTAAGGAAAATGAATGGTAAAGGGGTACAAGAAAGGAGGTAGGTAAGAGAAAAAACAAAAATAATCCCAGTATGGTTTGATAGTGGCTTAGACCAAGATGGCAGTAGTACAAATGAAAAAGAGATATTCCAAAATATGGCACGGTGGCTTACACCTGTAATCCCAGCAGTTTGGGAGGTCAAGTTGGGAGGATAGTTTGATGCCAGTTCAAGACCAGCCTGCATAACATAGTAAGACCCCTATCTCTATAAAAAAATCAAAAAATTAGCCAGGTATGGTGGCATGTGCCTGTAGACCCAGCTACCTGGGAGGCTGTGGCAGGAGGATCGCTTGAGCCAGCAAGATCAAGGCTACAGTAAGGCCATGTTCTCTCCATTGGACTCCAGCCTGGGCGACAGAGTGAGACTTGGTCTCAAAAAAAAAAAAAAGATATTCCAAAAATATTCTTCAAAGTAGAACCTATAAGATATGTTTGTGGATTTGCAGGAGATGTAAAAAAAAAAAAAAAAAAGTGACAAGAATCCAAAATTATTCATATGCTTCTTGCTTGACTGGGTAAATGGTGACGTTCTTTAGTGAGAGCGGAACCAGTTTAGGGAAAAATCAAGAGTTCCGCCCATGTTAAGTTCTATGACGTCAATCAGTATCCAATTGGAGGTATAGTATAGACAACTAATTCTACAAATCTGGAGCTCAGTAGATGTCAGAAACAGAGTTATAAATTTGAGAGTAATCATGCTTTTTGCTACTTAAAACCATGAAAGTACAAGATTTTTCTTACAGAGAAAACATGAATGGAAGAGAGAGCAGAGAACCAAGCCCAGGACATCCCCATTGTACACTAAATTCTGCAGATATACATTTCTACACCTCCACTACTGTATATTCTAGTAGGCTTACCCTTTCATGTTTCTATTTGTTATTTTGAAATATTGGCTGGATTGACAAAAACAGTAAAACTATTTATATAAATTCAATTTAATATTTCAGAGGAAGCAAAAATATGTTTACAACTATAAATACTTACTGTACAGAAAAAAAAAACCCATGAAGTGAAGCAGTTTCTTTAGACTATAGCCTTGAAATGTCCTAAGGTCTGGTTCAAAGAAGTAATCAGTAATGTTGAACGAATGAAATCACAGACTCAGATGCAAATTACAGTTCCACCAGTTACTAGTTATATGACAACCTAGCTGCACTCTCTCCATGCTTTATTTTCCTCATGGTAAAAAGAAGGTTATGTGGCCGGGCGCAGTGGTTCACGCCTTGTAATCCCAGCACTTTGGGAGGCTGAGGCGGGCAGATCACCTGAGGTCAGGAGTTCAAGACCAGCCTGACCAACATGGAGAAACCCCGTCTCTAATAAAAATACAAAATTAGCCAGGCGTGGTGGCACATGCCTGTAATCCCAGCTACTTGGGAGGCTGAGGCAGGAGAATCGCTTGAACCCGGGAGGCAGAGGTTGCAGTGAGCCGAGACTGCGCCCATTGCACTCCAGCTTGGGCAAAAAGAGCAAAACTCTGTCCAAAAAAGAAGGCCATGTTATCTATATCAGAGCAAGTAGCAGTCTTAAATGATATAATAAATATCAATATGAGACACATTAAACACTTCATAAATTTTATGATAAAATTAATATTTGTTAAGAAAGAGTAAGTGCCAGGCTCTTTGCAAAGGACTTTACCTGGAGTCTCTCACTGAGTCCTCAAATAACAACCATGAGAAACTTAACAGCAGGATTCCTAATTCCTAAACAGAAGCTGAGATTAGTGAAGGGACTTACTCAAATCATGATGCACACATTTAGTGGTTCTATCTAATAAGTGGTAGTCTCCAGAGCCCTAATTTCTTATTCATTACATTGCAATGTTATTTTTTTACATATCGGAATCAAATTGTTATCGACAGCTTATTTTCAGTTACCTACATATTCACCTATAAAACTCTCTAACTTTGACATATGTTCTTCTTTATGTTACACTGTCATGACCAATTTACCTAGCGACCCACAGAGACAGAAGAGATGGCTGGGTATGTGAGGAGCTGTAAAGTCCAACTTAAGTTTCAGGAGGTACTTGTGAGAGCATGCTGTCAGTTTATCTTCTAAAGAAATACAGCCTGAGCCCACAAATCATAGCGCTTGGCTCAACAAAAACTAGTAGATATGAGTTCATTTCAGCCACGGGCAAAGGTAGTTCTTTCGCGCTGCAAATTATTGCAATTGTTGTCACTTGTCCGTGGAAATGCACCCTTATCCCTACCACTGCTCTCTTGGTCTCCCGACCCCCATTTGCGCTACCTTATCTTGGAATCTGCTCTTTTGCATCTGTTTCATATCCAGTCTTGTGCTCTCCTCCACTCTCCCAGCTCACACAGCCAAACGCCTCCAGGGGTGTTTGGAGGACACTTCTCGAGGCACCACCGTTCACCAATCCCATCCAGAGAGCCTTGAAGGCACCTTTTCAGGTGGAGAGAACACCCAGGAAACCCCTTCGCTTTTCCGGAGGTTGCTGGGGCTCCCCCTTCTCACCGCCCCCGGCGCCCGCAGAGCAGCGGAGCCCGCAGGTCTGGGGTCACTCGCGGTCCCTCTGCTGCCGGGACGAGGGAGACCGCGGTGGGTCCCTGACAGACGCCGCCCCTGGCCCGGCTCAGCCCCGCAGGAACCTGTGACTCCGGCCCCGCCAGCCCCGGTTACCTTGTCGTTGTCCAGCCGCGTCTCCAGGATCTTATGCAGCTTGCGCGACAGCGGGTTGCAGGTCGTCGCCGAGGTCCCGCCTGCCCCATTGTTGAGGCCGTTGGCAGCCCCGGTCGCAGACACTGCGACCACTTCCCCGCTGCCCTCTGCCATAGCGCTGCGCGTCCCGCCCCCTGCTGCCACCTCAGCCAGGCAGGGACCACGGAGGCAGCGCGAGTATTGCGCATGTGCAAATCGGCCGCGCATGCGCATCGGCCCCGGAAGTCTTCGCCGGGTAACCCTGCTTGGGCTCTCAGAAGCGTGAGGGGCGGAGAAGATGTGGGGGGCGGGACAAGACCCTCAGGTAGAAGGAGAAAATTTATAGGATTAGAGAGGACTTTGGAATTATGGATCTGCGACCTTCAGAGCTAATTAGATGACAACCAAATGTAGTATGTAAAATACACCATGACTTGTGCCTGGCATATACATTCAATATAAGTTAACTGAAAGTTTAAATTACATTTGCCTTATCTGAATTCATTTTTTTGAAAATTATTTATTGAAGGCATAGTATGTGCCAGGTACTCTGGTAGGCATTGGAGAATCTACATTGTGTGTCTGAAACAGACAAAGCTGTTAATAGATGTTATTAGGTTGTGATGAGTGCTCAGGGGATGAAGTAGTACAGTGAAAGAAAATGGAGGGAAAGGCCCACTTCACTCAGGGAGGTTTGGAGAGGAGTTGACACTTAAACTGAGATTTGAAGGAGAATCAGAATGTGAGGAGAAATCATTCCCAGGCAGAAGAAAGTGTGTAAGTGTACAGGCCTCAAAACAAGATGAACTTGGCCCTGACACAAATGGACCAGAGCCCATGTAGCTGTAAAGTAATGGATAAAAATGTAACAAGTTGAAAAAACTTCCCGGGAAACTCTGGAAAACAAACATCATTGCTTTTTTTCTTTCTTTTCTCAGTTTTTAAAATTTGGATCAAAATAAAATCGCTGGGCTTCTGTGAATTATTTGTCAGAAACACTATTTGGCTCTTGTCATAAATTTTCCTTGTTTCATATATGTCTATGTACATAGTTATATTGTATATCAGACTTAAGGGAAAATTACCTATTACAGAGGTCACATAAAGAAAGCACTGACAAAACCACTCATCTCTACTCTAATGAAGAAGAGAAGGCCCAACTATCCAAAAGAAAAAAATATACAAAAAGCAGCAATATCTAGGTATGAATTCAACAAAAAATACAGAGAACCTAGATGAAGAAAACTTTAAAATGCTACTGGGAGAACATAAAACTTAAATCAATGAAAAAATATATTGTTCTCTTCAACAGGAAGACTCAATATTGTAAGATGTCTTTTCTCTTTCACAGATAAATTTAAGTTCAGTGTAACCAAAATTAAAATATCAAAGGTTTACCTAAGGTGTATATATCCAAATGAATTTGCATATATACAAAGCAATAATATAATGTAGAGCTTGCAAATATGTACAATTAAAAGGAATGACGATGATAACATGCCAAGTCAGGAGCGGTCATGAAATACCACATATTGTATGACCTCTTTATGTGAAATCTCCCAAATAGGTAAATCAATAGAGATAGAAAGTAGATGAGTGGTTCTGGGAAGAGGAGTGTTGGGAAGAGGGAATGGGGAGTGTCAGTTCATGGTACAGGTTAATTTTTGGGGAGATGAAAATACTCTAAAGCTAAATTGTGGTGATGGTTGCACAACTCTGTAAATATACTAAAAAACACTGAACTGTACACTTTAAATGAATGAATTGAATGGCATGCAAGTTTCATCTCAAATCTGTTTTTTAGGCCAGGTATGGTGGCTCACACCTGTATTCCCAGCACTTTGGGAGGCTTAGGCAGGGGGATCTCGAGTTCAGGAGTTAAAGACCAGCCTGGGCAACATAGCGAGACCCTGTCTCTACAAAAAAAAAAAAAAAAATACGAAAACTAGTCGAGTGTGGTGGCATGCCTGTGGTCCCAGCTACTTGGAAGGTTGAGGTGGGAGTATCACTTGAGCTCAAGCCTGCGGTAAGTCATAATCATGCCACTGCCCTCTACTCTAGCCTGGGTGATGGAGCAAGGCCCTATCTTAAAATTGAAAAAAAAAAAATAAAGCTGTTTATTTTAAAAAGTAAATTGGAGATAAATAGACAAAATGTTTAAGTAATAAAAAATACAAATTTATATTAATTTTTAAAATCTTTATTTAGATATAATTTACAGGCCATAAACTTCACCTATTAAAAGTATAAAATATGACAGCTTTTAGTTCATTTACAGAGTTGGCAAATATCACCATCATCTAATTTTAAGACATTTTCATTACTTTAAGAAGAAAACTGTACCCACTAGCACTCCCCATTTTCCCCTCTCTACCACCCTAGGAAACCACAAATCTGCTCTCTGTCTCTATAGATATGCCAGTTTGGACATTTCATATAAACAGAATTATACAATATGTAACATTTCATGCCTGACTTCTTTCACTTAGCATAATTTTTCAAGGTTCATCTATTTTGTAGCTTGTATCAGTGTTTCATTCCCTATTATTGCCAAATAATAATCCATTGTATGGATCTCCCATATTTTATTCATTCGTCAGATGGCTATTTAGGTAGTTTCAAATTTTTGGCTTTTATGAAAAATGTCTCTGTGAATTTTCATGTGAGAGTTTTTGTGTGGATGTATGTTTTCACTTTCCTTAGGAAGATACCTAGGAGTAGATTGTTCTTATGGTTAACTCTATGTTTAATGTTTTGAGAAACTGTCAAATAGTTTTCCGAAGTGACTGCCCCATTTTTCATTCCCACCAGCACTGTATGAGGGGCTCCAGTATTCTTCACATCCTGACTAACACTCATTATGGTCTGTCTTTTTTATCTTATCCATCCTACTCAGTGTGATATGATACCTCATTGAGATTTGGCTTTCCATTTCCTAGTGACTAGTGATATTGAGTTGTAAGAATTCTTTATATATTCTGGATACTAGTCCTAACAATTTATTGGAAAATATTTTTTCCTACTTTTGCTTGTCTTTTCACTTTCTCAATGGCATCCTTTGAAGCACAATTAATCTTAATTTGATGAGATACAACTTATCAATTTCCTTTTTTATTATTTGTGCTTTTGGTGCCTTATTCAAGAAATTATTACCCAACCTAGATCACAAAAATTTATTCCTGTGTTTTCTTCTATTACATTGGCACAAAAGTAATTGCAGGTTTTGCCATTGAAAGTAATGGCAAAAATCGCAATTACTTTTGCACAGGCCTAATAAAATTTTATAGTTTCAGCACTTATATTAAAGCCTATCTTGTACCTTGAGCTAATTTTTGTGTATGGATGTTAGGTAGGGATCCAGTTTTATTGTCTTAAATGTGGATATTCAGTTGTCTCCCACACCATTTGCTAAAAGGACTATTCTTTCTCCCATGTGAGCTTTTCTATAGATTGAGAAAAAGCCGATGATAAAATCCAATATCCATTCATGATTAAAGAAACAAGTAAACTCTTAGCAATTTGAATAAAAGGGGATTTCCTTAATTGGATTGAGAGTATATACAAAAAAAAACCCTATGACAAACATCACACCTAAGGAAATATTTAAAACTTTCTCCTTGACATCAAGAATAAGACAAAAACTATCCACTAACACTGCTATTCAATATTTCACTAGAAGCTCAAACCAGAATAATAAACTAAGAAAAAAGTCATAAAGATTAGAGAGAATTTTTAAAATTTACACTTTTTGATAGGTGATGCAATGTGTCCCTAGATAATCCAGAAGGATCTATAGAAAAAGTGTTAGAATTAAAATAATAACCTATTTCACATATTGTTTTCCAAAACTCCAAAAAGGACAGGATCTTGGAATTCAACTAGCTTGCAAAAGAAGTTGTGTGACTCTTTAGCACCTCATTGCAAAAATGTGTTTTTATGTTGGTCAGGACTTACTTCATCAATTACCGCTGCCTGTAAAGGTGATTAAAAATCCAAAATTAAAAAAGATATGGAGCCGGGTGTGGTGGCTCATGCCTGTAATCCCAGCTACTCAGGAGGCTGAGGCAGGAGAATCGCTTGAACCTGGGAGGCAGAGGTTGCAGTGAGCCAAGATTGCACCACTGCACTCCAGCCTGGATGGTAGAGCAAGACCCCTTCTTTAAAAAAAAAAAAAAAAAAAAAAAGAAGAAGAAAAGAAAAAGATACAGAGGCTGGGCACAGTGGTTTATACCTGTAATCCCAGCACTTTGGGAGATAGAGGCAGGAGGATCACTTGAGCCCAGGAATACGAGACTAGCCTGGGCAACATCAAGAGACCCCACTTCTATAGAAAATTTTAAAAATTAGCCAGTTGTGGTGGTGCATGTTTGTATCCCAGCTACTTGGGAGGCTGAAGTGGGAGGATCACTTGATCTCAGAAGGTTGAGGCTGCAGTGAGCCGTGATTGCACCACTGCACTCCAGCCTGGGTAACAGAGTGAGAATCTGTCACCAAAAAAAAAGAAAAAAGAAAGAGAGGGAGGGCTGGAGGCGGGTGTGGAGAAAAGAAAAGAAAGCAGGAGAGAAAAGAAGAAGGAAAGAAAAGGAGAAGGAAAGAAAGAAAATATTTGGGCTGGGCATGGTGGCTCACACCTCTAATCCTAGTACTTTTGGAGGCTGAGGCAGGCAGATAACTTGAGCCCAGGAGTTTGAGACCAGCCTAGGCAAGAGGGAGAAACCCTGTCACTTCAAAAATACAAAAATTTCGCCAAGCGTGGTATCGCACACACCTGTAGTCTCAGCTACTCAGGAGGTTGAGGTGGGAGGATTGCTTGAGCCTGGGAGGCGGAGGTTGCAGTGAGCCGAGATCATGCCACTGCACACCAGCCTGGTCGACAGAGTGAGACCTTATGTTTTAAAAAAAAAAAATTGATTCCAATGTTATTTAAGTTATTCTAGGATTCAGGATTTCTTAACTTTGGCACCATTGACATTTGGGGCTGCATATTTTGTTGTTGTTGGGAACTATTCTGTTCACTGTAGGATGTTTAGCAGCATTACTGGCCTCTACCTACTAAATGCCAGTAGCATCCTCCCCAGTTGGAACGATCAAAATGTCTCCAGACATTGCCAATGTCCCTGAGGGGCAAAATTGTCCGGGGTTGACAACCACTGTTCCAAGCCGTAAGTATTTTAGTTATCTGATATTGCTTAACATATTTCCCCAAAACTAGTATATTAAAAAAAATCATAACTTCTGTCAGTCAGGAAATCAAGAGTGACTTGGCTAGGCGGTTTAGGCTCAGGGTCTCTCATGAAGCTGCAATCAGATATTACCTAGGACTGCAGTCATCTGAAAGCTTAATTGGTGCTGGAGGATTCACTTCGAGGTGGCTCACTCACATGGCTGGCATATGCTACTTACTAAAATGAGGCTCAATTTCTCACCAAATGGTCCCTCCCACAGGGCTATCTGAGTGTCCTCATAACATGGCACTCTTCCTGTTAGGCATTTACTATGGATATAATGCAAAAACTTCCCACAGTATATGAACAAAGATATTTATCTACCATGGTTTGTAATAGAGAGAAAAATAGAGATAGAGAGAGAAAGAAAGAGAAAGGAAGGAAGGAAGGGAGAAAAGCAGAAAGAGAGAGAGAGAGAAAGAAAGGATGGAAGGAAGGAGAGACTAAGGGAGGGAGGAGGAAAGAGAGACAACCAGAGTGTCTATCAATACAGGACTGAACAAATAAACTATCATGCACTCATTCATTCAGCAGAATACTATGCAAGTGTTATCTGCTATGAAGGAGATTTAAATGCTAACATGGAAATAATTCCACAATATACTCTGTGAAAAAGCAAGCTATATTATGTATGTATGATGAGATCACTTACGTGCACGAAATGGAGAGATACATATAAATTTAGATTTTTTTTCAGGATGGCATTCCAGTGGAAGGAAGGCTTCCATTTTCCATTTTGTACCTTTCTAAACTGATTGAAATTGTCTAGTCTTATTCATGTATTACTAAATATATTAACAGAGGTTATTAAGGTAGAGTAACCATGACCCACTTTTCTTGTTTATTTCTAATTCTCTGAATTAACAATTGTAAAAAAGTAAATGAGATAATTCATGAATTAAAATAATATGTGGTAGCATGAAAACAGGGAAATTATTTTATGTTTTAAATGCTTACTTAAGTATGTTTTTATGAGGTTAATTATAAATTGTTAAGAGCTTAAAATCAATATTTGTCAAGAGTTAAAATAAATTTTCAGGTGTGCCTCATCAGATACGTGTGTGTGTATGTATCCATATATTTTTGAAAGTAACGTTTTTTAGTGAAAATGTGAAAGATAATTGTTTATAGTAAGCTCCATAAAGTAGTAGAACATTAAAATAATTAAAAGATATGCTTTGACCTAAACATTTCAATTTAATAGGAGAACAAATACACGCATGTAAAAGAGCAAAGGATTTAAAAGAAAATGACAGAAGAACCATGCAGTAGACTGAAATGTGGAGATTCTTACCTTCTAAGAAATGATTGAGGCCAGATGTGGTGGCTCACCCTTGTAACTCCAGCACTTTGGGAGGCCAAGGTGGGCAGATCACCTGAGGTCAAGAGTTCGAGGCCAACATGGTAAAACCCTGTCTCTACTAAAAATACAAAAATTAGCCAGACATGGTGGTGCGCACCTGTAATCTCAGTCACCAGGGAGGCTGAGGCAGGAGAATTGCTTGAACCTGGGAGGCGGAGGTTGCAGTGAGCCGAGATTACACCACTGCACTCCAGCCTGGGCGACAGAGCAAGACTCCATCTAAAAACAAACAAACAAAAAAAAAAAAACAAAGAAAAGAAAGAAAAAAAAGAAAAGGTTGAAAGGAGGGCCTCTCCAAGTTCCTATTCCTCTCCTTTAGATCAAGCTCGTCCAACCTGAGGCCCACAGACTGCATGGATATGGCCCAGGACAACTTTGAATTCTGCCCAACACAAATTTGTAAACTCACTGAAAACATTATGGATTTTTTGCAATTTTTTTAGAGCTTCAGCTATCATTAGTGTTAGTGTATTTTATGTGTGGTCCAGGGAAGCCAAAAGATTGGACACCATTGCTTTAGATGGTTAAGCTTTCTTGCCCTTTGGCTTCTGAAATAAGAGGAAGTCACTTTGTATTGGTTACTGTGGCTTCATCAAAATATAATATGGCATTTATTACGGCTATGTCTAGTGAGTCATAGAATTTTCAGCCTTCGACATCTTTCATTGTGTTGATAATAGTAGCTCCCGTTATTTAGCAACTATGTTTATTGAAAATCAGGCTCTGTGCTAGAATTTATTATACACTATTTTTATCTTCACAGCTACCCTGAAACATAAGGATCATTACATTATCATGTAATTAGTACTCCTCTTGATGAGTAATCCAAGACTAAAGAAACCTTTCCAAGGATATATGGCTAACTCAGATAACACAGCCAGCTACCACCTAAGTTGGCGTTTAGCTAAAGGGTTCAGCCAGGCGTGGTGGCTAATGCTTATTATTCCAACATCTTGGGAGGCCGAGGTGGGCAGATCGCTTGAGGTCAGGAGTTCGAGACCAGCCTGGCCAACTTAGCGAAACCCTGTCTCTACTAAAAATACAAAAATTAGCTAGGCATGGTGGTGTGCACCTGTATTCCCAGCTACTCCAGAGGCTAAGGCAGGACATTCTCTTGAACCGGAGAGGCAGAGGTCGCAGAGAGCCAATATCATGCCACTGCACTCCAGCCTGAGCAACAGAGCGAGACTCTCTTTTTAAAAAATAATAATAATAAATGAAAAATAAATAAAGGGTTGCATTACTGCTTTCTCGGTTTTGAGCTGTGTACACCTCTCCCTTGGAATGTAAGCAAAAATTTTTGCAGCTAAACGTTCAAATGTGTTTTATGTTGGTGTTGCCTTGACCAGGTTCTTACTGCCTTCACAGTGACACCAGCATTATTTTTCTAAAACACAGATTTGATCCTGTCATTTTTTTGCTTTAAAAATCGTGATGGTTTGTGAAACAGGTATCTAGTGGGGATCTTTAAAAAAAACAAAAATAAAGAAAAAAGAAAAGTAAAAAAGTAATAAAATGAAATAAAATAAAAACTGTGATGGTAGTTATCAAATAAATGAATGTTTTATTATGGTATACACAGGCATTCATAATCAGATCTCATCATCAGATTTCATGTTATCACTCTGGCCTTATTTCTAGGCACTTGCTTCATGATTGCAACATTCTGGCCATACTCTACTTGCTAGGCTACAAGTGCATCACAAACTTTCATCTCCTTTTGTTGGCTCCTACAACCCACTTGTGTTAGTCCATTTGGGCTACTATAACAAAATACGTAAACTGGAGAGCTTTTAAACAACAGAAATTTATTTTTCACAGTTGTGGAGGCTGGGAAGTCCAAGATCCAGGCACTGGCATATTCGGAGTCAAGTGAGGGCCCGCTTCCTTGTTCATAAATGGCTCCTTCTCACTGTAATTTCACAGGTAGGAGGAAGTGGCTAGTGAGTTCTTTGAGGCCTCTTTTGCAAGGACACGAATTCCTATCATGAGAGCTCCACCCTCATGGCCTAATCACCTCCCAAAGGCCAAGCCTCCTAATTCTAACTTGGGAATTAGAATTTCAACTTATGAGTTTTGCAGGGACACAAACATTCAGATTTTGGCACCACTCTTTCAGGAAAGCCTTCTCTTATAAAACTAGTGATATCCAATTTGTCCTTCAGGCCCCACTCAAACAATTCTTTGTACCTTCATGAAGCACCCTACCTCTCCTTGAGCAGAATTAATTGGTCCCTCATGCAAATTCCACATCATATCATTATTTTTAAAATTTCTTTTTATATTTGTTGTTCCCCCACTAGACTCGAAGTACCTGTATGATAAGGACTATGTCACTCATCTTTGTCTACCCAGTTTCCAGCACAGCATCAGGCACAATATATGTGCCTTAGTAGGCTAAAGGCTTACTCAATGAAAAGGATTGAAATGAAGTTTTATGGCTTTGTAAGTTAGGGTTCTTAATTGCAATTGTTAGGAGCAGACTGAAGACGATTTAAATAGAAATGTATTTATTGAAAGAATAGTGGGTAGGTCTTAGAATCAACAAGAAGGAGGAAGAACCAAGCTTGTAGGAGAGGCAAAAACATAAGGAAACTAGGCACACATAACCATCATCAAAATCACTGCACAAAACAACTCATCATGGACCCATTGTGAGATGGACAGATTGCTCCACCCACACTGCAATGTCTGCAAAATGCTATAACAATGCCTGGGTTATGAAATAAGATGTATAGAAGCTGAATTATCTAATTTGGAAAATAACACACAACTGCCACATATATCTGAGCTATGTCACACCACCATCAGTGAAACTATACAATCAACCTTTTCAGTCCAAGTCCCATACAACAATTCCTCGTTCTCCGACAAAGTACATATATTTACACACATTTCCTATTCTCTTTCAGTCTCAACGTTCATCTGGCACACACATGTCCATGCATATACATAAATACATCGTCTAGTATTAAGGTATAAATATTCATGTACTTTCTAAAGCTCTGGTTGTGTCCTCTTTCTTTATATATTCATTCATTCTCTAAAAGCAAAATTCTAATTGTGTTCACTTGTCTGTTCTTGTAGTCCCAACCTGTAGGGTTGCCTTATTTATTCAGTACATACCACATTTAACCCCTCAATAGCAGGGTCTCCAATTTAAATATCACAGTTAGTAATTTCATTATTCAACCTCTATGCTGGCAGCTTTAACACACAAACTATCTATTTTTCCTTCTTTCTAGTTGGCCTCCCAGTCATTATTCTGCATAGGCCTGGCAGCCTTCTGCTTTTAATTGATTGCTATTGATTTTATTTTCAGAATATACGAACCCAGGGCCTCTTAGTGGAATTAAGCACCCACCTGTCACAGAGAATCTGATTTCTGTTGAACTCTTTCTGCTTACGTTTCCCATGTACACTATGCTGTGCCTTGCCTATCCTACGCCTCTGCCTGGAATGCCCTTCCTTTCTTCTTCCCTTGATTAGACTTATTCATTTAGGTTGCTCAGGAGCCTCATCTCCTAAGTGCCTTCCTAGTTAGGCCAGGTGTCCCTTCCATGTGCTTTCAAATAATCCTAAAGATTGTTCTCTCACTGTACATTTCACAGTAAAAATAATTATCCATGTGTTTTTATTATTTCCACTAGTCTGTGAACTACTGAGGTTAGAAACTATGCCATTCATCTTTGAATACCGGGTCCTTTATGCAGTTCCTGAAATTTAGCAGGTGCTATAGTCTGAATGTTTGTGTTTCCTCAAAATGTGTACATTGAAATCCTGCCCCCAAGGTGATGGTATTGAAGTAGGACTTACCATTTGACCCAGCAATCTCATTACTAGGTATATACCCAAAAGATTATAAATGATTCTACTATAAAGACACATGCACACATATGTTTATTGCAGCACTATTCACAATAGCAAAGACTTGGAACCAACCCAAATGCCCATCAATGATAGAGTAGATAAAGAAAATGTGGCACATATACACCATGGAATACTATGCAGCCATAAAAAAGAATGAGTTCATGTCCTTTGCAGGGACATGGATGAAGCTGGAAACCATCATCCTCAGCAAACTGACACAGGAACAGAAAACCAGACACCATATGTTCTCACTCGTAATTGGGAGTTGAACAGTGAGAACACATGGACACAGGAAGGGGAACATCACACACCAGGGCCTGTCAGGGGATGGGGGGAAGGGGAGGGAGAGCATTAGGACAAATACCTAATGCATGTGGGGCTTAAAACCTAGATGATGGGTTGATAGGTGCAGCAAACCACCATGGCACATGTATACCTATGTAACAAACTTGCATGTTCAGCATATGTATCCCAGAACTTAAAGTAAAATTAAAGAAAAAAGAGGTAGGACTTCTGGGAGACGAGTAGATCATGAGGGTTTCACTCTTACAAAAGAGACCAAAGAGAGCTAGCACACCCTTTCTATTATGTGAGAACTCTCCAAGTAGTCACCATGTTTAGGAAAGAGGCCAGGCCCTCATCAGACACCAAATCTGCTGGCATCTTGGTTTTTGACTTCCAAGTCTCCAGAACTATGAGAGATAAATATTTGTTGTTTACATGCCACTTAGTCTGTGCTATTTTGTTATAGCAGCCAGACTTAATTAGCAAGGAAGAATTTAGTAAGTATTGTTGAATAACTTAAAAATTAATATAAATAAATAGATGGACCAACTTTATTTGAATAAATCATGATCCAAATGGAAGCAAATATATTCTATTTTGTTGTTGTTGTTGTTTGAGATGGAGTTTCACTCCAGTCTCCCAGGCTGGAGCATAGTGGCACCATCATGGCTCACCACAGCCTCAGCTTACTGGGCTCAGGTGATTCTCCCACCTCAGCCTCCTGAGTAACTGAGACCACAGATGCATGTCACCATGCCTAGCTAAATTTTGTGTTTTGGTAGCGATAAGTTATCTGTGGTGTTGCCTTGCTTATTCAATATATATTTGATTAAAAATATATGCCCAAGATGGTCTCAAACTCCTAGGCTCAAGCTATTCATCTGCCAAAGTGCTGGGATTACAGGTGTGAGCCACCGCACCTGGTCTCTTCTATTTTAAATGAAGCTGAAAACATAGCATTTCAGGTACATTCTTAAACAGGCCTAAAAATTTTAATGGTTGAGATACAGTGAAAATAAAAATATTTTCAATGATTTTTTTTTACTTATTAATGTTTCAAAAAACTTTTTGGCTTTCTAAATTTTTATCATTAATATTATAATGTGCACATAATATATGTATTAAATATTTTATAGTCATATAATTTTTATATATCTATTCGTATTTAAACCTATGTATATGCTTTGTTGTATGTATGTTTTTAAAAGCCTTTGTTTAATACTTTGTGATACAGCAACGGAAAGTAGCTATTCTAGTTTCAAGTTGAACACTAACATGGCAAAAAACAGAGAAAGAAACGTCTCAACATTTCACAAAGTCACAATATATATTACTGAATACTACTTATAAGAAGGTTCACCTAAATAAAATTGCATCTATAGCCATATTTCATTGTCACTTTTAGAATAGTATTTCTTGTCAGACCTCATCCGATTAGCACTGTTTTTTTCTTGTAATGTGGGTGTTGAATATCTTGTACTTGGAATCAAAGGAAGGTCAGCTGTACCATATTTTATTTGTAATTGTATTATGAGTATTATTTTCTTTTCTTTTCTTTTTTTTTTTTTTTTTTTTTTTTTTTTTGAGATGGAGTCTCACTCTGTGGCCCAGGCTGGACCAGGCTGGAGTGTAATGGTGTGATCTTGGCTCACTGCAACCTCCGCCTCCCAGGCTCAAGCCATTCTTCTGCCTCAGCCTCCTGAGTCGCTAGGATTACAGGTGCGCGCCACTACACCCGGCTGATTTTTCTATTTTCAATAGAGACGGGGTTTCACCATGTTTGTCAGGCTGGTCTCGAAATCCTGACCTTGTGATCAGCCTGTCTCAGCCTCCCAAAGTGCTGGGATTACAGACGTGAGCCACCGCACCCGACCTTGAGTATTATTTTCAATCTGTGGCTTCTCTAAAGGAATCTCTTTAAATCTATCTGTAATTTTGTAAAGACGAATTTAGTTAAAATTAGATGACATAATCTATAATGCCAACTAACTGGGTCCCTCATAACCTGAAAACTCAATGAAAGGCAACAAAAAGTGAAGCTTCCCCTCAACCTCTCAGCATTATGGAGCTTCCACGGTACCCTCAGGAAGCCTCCTCTACTGTACATGAAATGCAACATGTGACCTTGAAATGTAGACAGTGAAGGCATTCAACCAATAGAGTACATTTCATACTGCTTTTTTTACCTTTAAGATTAAAAATTAAAGCTCAGCAGAAGCTTTGACATCTTCTCACACCCCCATGCATTCTCTTACCTACATCCTGGAGTTTATGCTCCACTTTGGAGGACATTAGTGTAGAGAATCGAATCCACACTGCTTTCTCTGGCTTCCAGGTGCTCTATAACTTGACCTCAACCAACCCCAGCACGGCCTATATTTCACTCTCACTGCTGCCCTATGTTTAGTTTCTACTATACTCCAAGAGTTTTAATCCTGTTTCTTAACATGCCCAGTGCTTGCCCTCCTCACCATGCTCATGCCTTCTCTTCTGCCTGCAATGTTCTGCCCCTGTTACCCCTGTATCACCACCTACCAGGTTTCTCCTTCATTAAACCTCCTTCCGTCTGGGGTATCATTTTTTTTTAACCTCATCTGAACAAAGATTCATAGAATTGAAAAGTTCTCTTTGACATCTGAGGTAGAAATAATTATGCACATGTATTATCTCTTCTATGAGTAGATTATAAACATAAGGTGCCCTTAAGAAGGGGCACCAGAGGCTGGGCATGGTGGCTCATGCCTATAATCCCAGCACTTTGGGAGGCTGAGGTGGGCAGAATACAAATTCAAGAGATGGAGACCATCCTGACCAATATGGTGAAACCCCATCTCTACTAAAAATATAAAAATTAGCTGGGCATGGTGGCACGCACCTGTAGTCCCAGCTACTCAGGGGGCTGAGGCAGAAGAATCGCTTGAACCCGGGAGGCGGAGGTTGCAGTGAGCTGAGATCGCACCACTGCACTCCAGGCTGGCGACAGAGCGAGACTCCATCTAAAAAAATAATAATAAAATAAAATTTAAAAAAAGGGGCACCAGGTCTCATTAATTTTTCTGTTCTCAACAATTACCCTGCACACTTTTTGGCATATAGCAGATATCCATTTGGAAGCAGTATGATAAAATGAAAATATATGGTTTTAGAATGAGAGATACCTAATTCATGGACAAAAGATTAACATAATTGTGAAAACTTTGGAAAAGAAGAACTTTCTATCATTTAGAGCTGTCCAACAAGAGGGTGGTCATACATTCACTCTCACTAGAGGAAGTGAAGCAAGGGCCAGCTGACAAACCTAGAGATGTTAAGGAAGAGACTTCTCCATTTGGTGGAAGATCAAACTGAAGTTCCTTTCAACAGCAGGAATCTATGGTTTGGAGCAGAAAGAAATGCCACATTTCTAAAGGTTACTTCCAAGTAGAATGGTGTTACATTTTATAGTCGCCTGTTGTGTCTCAATTATATTATATAATTGTAATATACCATCTCAGATGTTATTATTGACTAACATATGTACAAAATACCGTTTAAAAAATGAAAAGTGATCTTAGATTTTGATAGGTTTTAGATTTTAATAGAGTTGGTCATCTTTTTGTATGTGATCCAGCTCAGGAATGGATTATGGTTCAAGTTTATTTTAGAGGAGGTTGTCAAGCTGACAACAAGAAATATCAAACCAGCCAGGTGCGGTGGCTCACCCACCTACTTGGGAGGCTTCCAGCTACTTTAGAGGCTGAGGTAGGAGGATCACTTGAGCCCAGAGGTTGAGGCTGCAGTAAGCCTTGATCATGCCACTGCACTCCAACCTGGGCGACAGAGTGAGACTGTCTTAAAAAAAAAAAACCTATTAATTAAATGTAATATCATCCAGCTGTTACCAGAAGGAGGGCCTTGTGTATGAATTCTCCAGGAACTTGGTGTTTTGGACAAATAATTGGACAAAACACACAAACTAACAAAGGAATAAAACACAGGAACAGGAATGAAGCAGTGAAAGCAGGGATTTATTCAAACATGAAAGCATTCTACAGGGTGGGAAATCTTTATGGGAGGCAGAGGGACTGATGGTCTTTCCTTCTGTAACTGCTTCATGCTGATTGGGGCATAGTCCCTACCTATTGTGACCACAGAACTCTCGCCCTGCTCTGTCTAAAGGAGATGTTAGTGCCAGAGGTGTTTAAATCAGACCAATTCCATCTTGAGTAGGGGCTGGGTAAAATGAGGCTGAGACCTACGGGGCTGCATTCCCAGACATTAAGGCATTCTAGGTCACAGGATGAGATAGGAGGTTGGCACAAGATACAGGTCATAAAGTGTAGGAGATCGGTCAGGATGGTGAGAAAAATCGTAGAAAGATGCAAACCTTCTTGGAAGGCCAGGAGGTTTTACAAAAGCTTCAGGAAAGGATTTTGCTGAAGGCAGCCAGCTTCTCTTATCGGGAGGCATAAATAATTCACAATGCAATAATATCTAATTATAGTTTTTAGCATATAATCAAGAAATAACCTTAAAAATGGACAACCAGCAGCCCTTGGGGCTGCTGTCTCTATGGAGTAGCCATTTTTTACTCCTTTACTTTTTAAATACACTTGTTTTCACTTTATAGACTCGCTCTGAATTCTTTCTTGCATGAGATCCAAGAACCTTCCCTTGGGGTCTGCGTCGGGACCCCTTCTCTGTAACAATAGGAGGCCTGAGCTTGTTTTGATTAGTTGTCCATCTTGGGCAGTTAGGGTGAGTATCATCTGGAATTTGACAGCTGATAAATTATTGGTTCCATATCAGACGAGGCAATTCAGGATACAAAGTCCTAAAAGTAGTGAAACAAAAATCATTACTAAAGGTCCTAATATAGGTAATATTATTGGTAATAGCCAATTTTAAAAAGGAGATAACAAATTCCTTAGCCAGCTGGGTTCAGCCCCAACTTGTTCTCTTAGCCTGTCAATGATTTGTAGGTTTTCTTTTAATTTATTTATATTTTCTTCTACCTGTACTACCTGTACTGATGTATGTATATAAAACAACAAGTTTCATTTAATAAAGCACAAGTTCCTCTTGCTTCTGGAGTAATTACATCTAAAGCTCGGCAGTTTTGCAAAGCTACCTCTACAAGCAAATGAAATTTTTTTTGCTGATTTTCAATGGCTGCTGCTGTGGCTTTCCAAGACTCTTATACCATTATAGTTAAGTTTAAAATACTTTGTTCTAGTATGAGAATTCCAGCAAACCAAATCAGTCCTCTAAAAATAGAATAGCCTATGCCAGGCTTTTCTAGTATAAGATCGTCAGTGCCACAGCCATGTTCTGTAGTGTTAACGAAAAGGGTCAAACTCTGTACATTTTTTTTTTCAACGGAGTTTTGCTCTTGTTGCCCAGGCTGGAGTGCAATGGTGTGATCTCGGCTCACTGCAACCTCCACCTCCCAGGTTCAAGCAATTCTCCTGCCTCAGCCTCCCAAGTAGCTGGGATCACAGGCATGCACCACCATGCCCAGATAATTTTTTTTGTATTTTTAGTAGAGACGGGTTTCTACATGTTGGTCAGGCTGGTCTCAAACTCCTGACCTCTGATGATCCACCTGCCTCAGCCTCCCAAAGTACTGGGGTAACAGGTGTGAGCCACTGCACCCAGCCCAAAATATTTTAAGAGATTTATTCTGAGCCAAAAATGAGTGACCATGGCCCATGACACAGCCCTCAGGAGGTCCTGAGAACATGTGCCCAAGGTGGTCGGGGTATAGTTTGGCTTTATATGTTTTAGGAGGCATGAGACATTATTCAAACACATTTAAGAAATACATTGGTTTCATTCAGAAAGGTGGGACAACTCAAAGCAGGGGCTTCCAGGCTATAGGGAAATTTAAACATTTTCTGGTTGACAACTGGTTGAGTTCGTCTAAAGATCTGGGATCCATAGAAAGGAATGTTCAGGTTAAGATAAAGGATTGTGGAGACCAAGTTTTATTGTGCAGAGGAAGCTGTCAGATAGCAAACTTCAGAAAGAGCAGGTTGTAAAATGTTTCTTATGGGACTTAAAAGGGTGCCTGGCTCTTAGTTGATTATATCCTGGATCTGGAAAGGAAGGAAGGAAAACAAAAGGAAAAGGGATTCTCTATAGGATGTGGATTTTTCCCACAAGAGACTTTGCAGGGCAATTTCAAGGAATGTCAAGGAAATATATTTTGGGGTAAAACATTTTGATTTTCTTCCATGTTATGCCAGAGTCAGATTATGTCATGATATACAGGGTTAAATCAAACCCATCTGATGAAAATTTATGGTTTCTAGGGCACGTCTCCCCAGAACCCTTAGATAGGAATTTGGGCAAGATAAAAATCAGAGCTTAGTCCTCAGTAGGTACAGATAACTGGGGAAATTGTGCAATAAAAGTTACATACTTTATTGAAGGACTAGTTTTGCCATCTTCCACACCAAGTTTTTGTCCATTTAGTAATCATAAAAAATACTGGCAAACATTGTTTGTGACTGTGACTGTTAATATCCTACCAGAACAAAAATATCATACACACACACACACACACACACACACACACACACACACACACACTTTTATGGTGCACGAAATATTCAGCATTAGAGTCTCTTCTGAGAGATAATGTGGCAATTAACATTTTAATTAAAGCCAAAGCTTCTGGAAGATGCTTCCACCTACTTTTTTTTAATTTTTATTTTTTGAGACGAAGTCTTGTTCTGTAGCCCGGGCTGGAGTGCAGTCGTGCAATCTTGGCTCACTGCAACCTCTGCCTCCTGGGTTCAAGCAATTCTCCTGCCTCAGCCTCCCAAATAGCTGGGACTATATGCACTACCACACCCGGCCCCTTATTTGTTATATCCTCTTATTCCAGTTTTGGAAACACACAGGTATGTTACTGGATTAGGGATGGTGAGAGTGAAAAATAGCATAGAAACTAGAGGTTGCTTAAAAATATGCAAAGATCCATGATGAAGAGGAGGTGGAACATAAGGCACAGAAATGCAAAGTCATCTCTCAGGCCAGCCTTTGTGCAGCACCACTCTTAGCTCCTGATGAGCCTCAGCCCCGGAAGCACATGGCCTGTCAGCAATCAGAACTGGCCTTTAAGAGGATCGCTGGAGATAAAAATGCTCAGAAATAATTGCTCAGTGCCACAAAGTGAAACCAGCACTCAGGCAATAGTTTACCCAGCAAGGCAATTTACTTCTGCACAAGGGTGCTGCTCATGTCAATCAGGATTGCAAGAGCACAGGGAACAAGGGAAAGCAGGGGGGTTTTATTCTTAAGGCAATCCCTATCTCTGTGTCACTACCCCATGGGCTGGAGTGGGACCACACAATCTAAACTGACCCAATTGGCTACTTGTAAATATTTTTCTAAATATGGAAGGGAAGGGGGATGTGAGGTACAGTGGTGAAGCCTACGAGACATGCAGTTTCGGGGAAATAATGGGTACAGGTGACTAAGGGAACAGATGTAAGTTATTGATTAGAGCTGATGGGAAGTGGGTAGGCTGTTTACAGTAACTAGAGGCAAGGAGGCATGTAGAACAAGAAAGTTAGGTTTCAGAACAAAGAACAAGTAAGTTAGCAGGCTAAACTTTTGAAGAGCAACTCAGAGAAATTCATTGTATCCTGCAGTATTCTAAACTCTGCCGCCTGTAGACACCTAAGGAACCTCACTTGGTATATGAAGGGGAGTTTACGTGCCTAACAACGAATCAAAAAAAAAAAAAATTAGCCGGGCGTGGTGGCGGGCACCTGTAGTCCCAGCTACTTTCGAGGCTGAGGCAGGAGAATGGCGTGAACCCGGGAGGCGGAGCTTGCAGTGAGCCGAGATGGCGCCACTGCAGCTCCAGCCTGGGTGACAGAGTGAGACTCCGTCTCAAAAAAAAAAAAGAGTCTAAATTAATTCTCCACTTTAATCAATACCTCAATACCTTTATCTTATGCTTACCCACCATGTTTGCCCAATTCTCTTCACCGATTTAATTTTCACCAGTATAGTGAAAAGGAAAATTAACTAACCCAGAAATCAGCAAAACACAGCATAAACTCTTAAAAAGTGACTTTTTTTTAAAGACAGAGTTTCTCTCTGTTGACCAGGCTGGAGAGCAGTGGCGTGATCTTGGCTCACTGCAAACTCTGCCTCCCAGGTGCAAGCAGTTCTCCTGCCTCAGCCTCCCGAATAGCTGGGATTACAGGCTCAAGCCACCACGCCAGGCTAATTTTTGTATTTTTAGAGAGACGAGGTTTTGCCATGTTGGCCAGTCTGGTCTTGAACTCCTGACCTCAAGTGATCTGACCACCTCGGCCTCCCAAAGTGCTGGGATTACAGGCCTGAGCCGCCGCACCCAGCCTGATTTTTTAATCTCTGGCACAGATCCACTGAGTCTCATTAGAGTGCAGAGGAGGAAGTTCAGGTTACAAAGGAGAAGGAGGAGGAGGGGGAAGAAAAAGGAAAAAAGAAAATAGTTTAAAAAGAAAAAAAAATGTTCCTTATGTAATATTTTACTGCTGACCAATTTTGAAAGTCTCTAATCTAATGTTTTTGAAGTGTGATCCCTAGAAGGGATATTTTAACAAGTCCTCCAGATGATTTTGACACACACTAAAATTTGCGTTCTGCTTTGGTATAGTGTATGTGGGTTTTTCAGTAAAGGAGTATCCAATTATGACAGACTCCTAAAAGAAGCTTTATCTCTACAATAACTTTGTTTACTCTGTCTCTCTCGGATTCTCACAAGCCTACACAGATTACACATTTATAAAAATAAATGAAGAATAAAAAGCAGAATTTGCATTCTGGTAATTGCATGCATACCTCATCTATTTTCCTAGTTAATAGTAAGATACCTTGAAGTTTAAGAATGCATGTTATTCATCTATACACTCCACAGCAACAATCTGTATAATGGTTTATGCATTTAATAAATACTTATTAATAGAAAAATTAAATTGTTCTCTTATGGGAAGCAGGTTTTGTGGTTGGAATGTGCAAAAGTATCCAGTTCAAGGTGGTGAATTTTAAATTACTTTTTAAAATTTGTGTAACATTTTCATCTAGTAATAAAAACATGACGTGTGTTAATATCTTAAACACGGAGGAAGTTAATGACTGCAATCAAGAAAAACAATTCAAGTTAAATATCCTACTAATTTCCAATCAACAGCATAATTTCCCCATACTAAGGAAAATCATATTCTTAGGTCAGTCCCAGGTTCTTAAAACATATTGAGTAAATCATAGTTAATGATGATAATATTGATATTAGGGCTCTAAGGTCTTTAGGTAAGAAATCATTGGAAAATTTTATGTCATTCCTGGCAAGTTAAATTTATGCTGATCAGCAAATTAGAAAATATTTGCTAATTAACCGACTAGAAAAAGTACATATTACCAAAATATGATAAATTTTGAAAATGCTAAGAAAGACCATAAAATCAAACATAGACAGTTAAAAGTAATGTATTTCATGAGCACAGATTTATGGCTCAGTTAATCAATATTTTAATTAGGTGTGGGTAGCTCAGTTGTTAAGCCACTTCTCTACAAACTGCAAATTAATATTAATGAGAAATTCAATGGCATTCAGCAGCAGCATTCTGTCACTTGTTAGAGTAATCATTAATTTTAATTTTAAATATTAATGAAATATGATTTTTTTGTCAGCTTTAGGCAATAATTTCAAACAAACAACAAGACCTGAGTCAGGAGAGACCCTATCATAGGCAATTTGAGAGCAAAGCTGTCAACAGTGACTGGTTAGCAAAATTGGAATCACTCTCTAGCAATTAGCAGATGATTGTGAATGATTACTTCCTTTATAATGAATAGCTGACCCCCAGGGTTATTTGGTTTGCAGTTTGTGACCAGTCTGTTTAAAGACCTGCCTGGTGGCAAAGATGGAGTGATTCATTCTGAACAAGTAATTCAATCTTAAGTCCAAGGAACAGAGCCATGAAAACCAGCCGGCACTTTGTACCAGGGGAGAGAAGAGCAGAAAGAAAAGCTTGGGAAAGCAGTGACAATAGGTGAGCCCCCCCACCAACCTTTATGACATCCCAGGATCTTGACATGAGAGGCCTGATAAACACTGGACAGCATGTTATTGAGCCTAGTCCTACTCTTTAGAGCTGATGGAGTGAAGACAGGATATTCTAATCATCCTGAAGTAGAGAAAACTTTTCACCTTTCTCAAGGGGCGGGGAGCAGCTCTTTAATCAAGATGAGAGGATTCCAAAGCCTAATTTACATGTCTCAGAACACGGAGAACAAAAGGTAGCCAGAATTGTCATCCTGGCAGTGCCCCTAAACCAGAGCGTCTCTCTTTCTGGGACCTCTGACCTAGAAAGCATATCAGGTGGATGGCAATATACAAGGAGAAATGCTGTTTTTCTCTTGCATAAGTCCAGGATGGCTCCTCAGAATGCTGTGTCTAAAAACTATTCTCTATTTTTTAGAGTAAAGGATAAGCATCGTTATTGCTGTTATTCGTAATAAAAAGCTTATGAGTCACCTGCCTCTGACAGGGAATTGACATCAAAATAAAAATTACTTAAATTACTTATAAAGTATGTGTCTACATATTTGCCATGTCTGACATAAAGTTATGATAATGAAATTGAAATTTTCTTTCAAAGTCATTGAATTAATGTATCTCATTTCTATTCAACTTTAGGAAGTCTTTTTTTTTTTTTAGAGACGGAGTTTTGCTGTGTCTGTAGCCCAGGCTAGAGTGCAGTGGTGCAGTCTCGGCTCACTGGAACCTCCACCTCTTGGGTTCTAGCAATTCTCCTGCCTCAGCCTCCCGAGTAGCTGGGATTACAGGTGCATGCCGCCATGCCCAGCTAATTTTTTGTATTTTAGTAGAGACAGGGTTTCACCATGTTGCCCAGGCTGGTCTCAAACTCCTGAGCTCAGGCAATCCACCCGCCTTGGCCTCCCAAAGTGCTGTGATTACAGGTGTGAGCCACCACACCCGGCCTGGCAAAGTCTTTTTTGGTAATCTCTAATGATGCTAATATCGTCTTTTTCTTAAATAAAAAAAAAAAGACATTTTTGATGTATTATAATTTTACATGTTCAGTGACCTTTATTTCTGAAGAAATACATGTCAATTTACAGGGTAACTTTCTTAAAAATAAAAAGCAAAACTTAATTATTTGTTGAAATTATGATATCCTTCAAAAGGTAATAAATCATTTAAATTAAGTATAATGAAAGAAAGTTAATTGCCAGTAACTTTTTATAAGCAATGACATTAGTTCTTCTCTCCTTCCTCTCCTTCCTCTCCTTCCTCTCTTTCCTCTCCTTCCTCTCTCCTTCCTTCCTTCCTTCCTTCCTTCCTTCCTTCCTTCTTTCCTGTCTTTCTTTCTATGGAGTCTTGCTCTGTTGCCCAGGCTGGAGTGCAGTGGTGCGATCTCGGCTCTCTGCAACCTCTGCCTCCCGGGTTCAAGCGATTCTCCTACCTCAGCCTCCCGAGTAGCTGGGACTACAGGTACGTGCCACCATAATGAGCTAATTTTTTTGTATTTTTAGTAGAGACGGGGTTTCACCATGTTAGCCATGATGGTCTCGATCTCCTGTCCTCATGATCCACCCACCTTGGCCTCCCAGAGTGTTGGGATTACAGGCGTGAGCCACTGTGCCCTGCGAACATTAATAATTTCATAATGAGGTTTTCCCTGTCAGAAAGAGAAGCATAAAATATAGACATTGCACAGAAAAATAAATACACATTATTGAGCCTAATATTTCCATTTGTTCCCAGTAGGGTGCAAACAATATACCCTGACAATCAAAGCATTATTTTTAATTCAAAGAAAGGACTATTTCCCAAAATGCCTCAGATAATATTTGATTTATCATTAGAAATAGAACTACTCTCTACTATTTTAAAATGCTGTGCTTGCAAAAGCTATGTATATGTTTATAACATTTTTGATTGTCCATACACTATATGGAACTTTGGTTATTCAATGAGTGTAAGAGCTACATTAAATGTATTTTTGGAATAGAACACTGTATAAATATTAAATTAGCAAGTATGGGAATATTAATATAAGCATATTTTATACATTTATATGTAAATGCTTGTTTATATGCATAAATGATATAAACAAGCATTGTTTATATCATGATATATATAAATGATTACATAAACATGAAGAAAAAAACCAGATTGTTCAAGGAATGAGAGAGATCATGTAGGGGAAGGTGAGATTCACAGAATAAAAGACTTCACTAAAACAAAAGCATGTGTTCTTATTTATGTAAAATTAAAAACGTGTGAGTATAAAATTAGACATAAAAAATAGTTCCAAGAAAGCATATTTTGGGAAGATAGAGGAATAGGAAGGATCAGGAATTAGTCTATATACCTAAACAATTGTACAGTGTTTGTCTGATGTAACTATTTTGGAACTCTGGAGTGTATTCAAGGCTTGCAAATTCCAGAGGAAGGCTTGGAAGGTAAATTGCAGTTAACTTTGGTAAATTTCAGCTCTTCCTTCAGTAGTGATACCCATCCTTCAACCCCAGGCCTGTGGCAGGCAGCTGTGAGGAGGAGTTTTGGAGCATCTTGTATGCACCCAGTGAGAGGCCAAGGTGGGCAATAAGGACTCTGTCCTCCAAATATCAGGGATTTGTGTTCTAATTGCAGATTGCTGTTTCTGATCATGGAAGTTCAGTATGGAGCGGGGATAGCCACTGTTGCATCCTCCCTTCATTGTTGCAAGCTTCACCCCCTCCAACTGAAGTGACTTCCAAGGGATTTAAAGGGCTGGTGCCCTTTAACCTCTCTCCTCTATTTTTCTCTCCCCCCCACTTTTGGATGCGAGACCTTAAAAACTAGAATATTCAAAGCAAAAAAGTTAGCACACATGCCCAGGAAAAGACGCAGGCTCAAAAAAGACCTGAGTAGACTTTACATCTCAGGCTGATCCTTGGCATAGAGACAGCCTACAGCAATCAAAAACAAAACAAAGCAAAAACAAAAACAACAAGCCCTGGGGAAGAAAGTAGAATATAATATTCAGGGTTGCCACATTATTAGATTCAAATGTCCAGTTTTCAACCGAAAAACTCAAAAATATACTGAGAAACAGAGAAGTATGGCTTATCCAAAGGGAAAAAAACCCAGCAGAAACCGTCCCTGAAGAAGACAAGATGCCACATCTATCTTATCTTTAAAGCAACTATCTTAAAGATGGTCAGATAACTAAAAGATGGCATAAAGAAAGGAAATGGTGTATGAACAAAATGGAAATGTCAATAAAGGATGGAAACCTTAAAGGTAATTCAAAAAGAAATTTGAGAGCTGAAAAGTACAATGAATTAAATGAAAAGTTTATTAGATGTATTCAAAGCTTATTAGAAGTAGGCAGAAAAAAATCAGTGAACATGAAGATGGGACTATTGAAATGGTCAAATCTGAGGAACACAAAGAAAAAATACTGAAGGAAAGTGAAAAGAGACTAAGAAATCTCCGTGGTACTATCAACAGTACCAGTGTGTGCATTATAGGAGTTTTAGAGAGAGTAAAAGAAAGATTATTTGAAAACAAATGGCAAAATACTTCCCAAATTTGATGAAAGATATGAATATAAACATCCAAGAAGCTTAATGGATTCCAGGTAGGATGAACTCAAACAGACCCACACCAAGGCACATAATAAGACTATTGAAAGACAAAGACCAGCAAGAGAAAAGCAAGTCATCACATAAATGGGATCCTCAATAAGATTAACAGCAGATTTCTTTATCAGAAACTTTGGAGTCTAGAAGGTAGTGAACTGATATATTCAAAATGCTGAAAGAAAAAATAAATCTGTCAACCAAGAATTCTACATCTAGCAAAGCTATCCTTCAAAAGTGAGAAGGAAATTAAGACTTCCCTAGATAAACAAAAATTGAGGGAATTCACTACCACCTGACCAGCCCTGTAAGGGAGTCTTGCAGGTTAAAGTCATATGAAGAAATAAAAATCTCAGGAAAGATAAATACATGGGCAATTATAAAAGGTAGTATTAGTGTAACAACAGTTTGTACATCTACTTTTTGTTTTCTATGTGATCTAAGCGACTAATACATTTTAAAAAATTATTAGCCTAAATTGTAACTTTGTACAATTTTACAACATTGTAACTTTGGTTTGTAACTTCATATATTGTTTACTACACAATTCAAAAGACTAATGCATTAAGAAAACAATTATTTATTTATATTTTTGAGCATACCACATCCAAAGGTGTAATTTTGTGACATCAAAAAATAAAACAGATGGAGACAGAACTGTAATTGAGCAGTTTTTATATATTATTGAAGTTAAATTGACATAAATTTAAATTATAGTGTTATAACCTCAGGATGTTAAATGTAATCCCCAGGGCAATCACAAAGAAAATAGTTATAGATATACTAAAAAGGAAATTAACAGGCAATTAAAATGCTTTACTACAAAAAATTAACTAAAAACAGGCAGTGAAGTAGAGGACAAAAAGAGACAATGATGGGGGACAAAAAAAGCTATAAGGAATAAAGAAAACAAATAGTGGCCTGGTATGGGGCTCATGCCTGTAATCCTACCACTTTAGGAGGCAGAGGCAGGTGGGTCGCTTGAGCCCGGGAGATTAAGATCAGCCTGGTCAACATGACAAAACTCTATTTCTATAAAAAATACAAAAATTAGCCAGGCATGGTGGTGTACACCTGTAGTTCCAGCTACTTTGGAGGCTGAGGTAGGAGTATCATTTAAGCTTGGAAGGTCAAGGCTGCAGTAAGCCATGACGATGTCACTGAATTCCAGCATCAGTGACAGAGTGAGACCCTGTCTCAAAAAAAAAAAGAAAAAAGAAAAAGGAAAAGAAAACAAATAGCAAAATTGTAGAGGTCATATTAGTAATTACTTTAAAAGTTAGTGAATTAAACTCACTGATCAAAAGACAGAGATTGGCAGAATGGATTTAAACACACACACACACACACACACACACACATACACACCACACAAAATGATCTAACTTTATGCCGTCTATAAGAGACTCCCTTTAGATCCAAAGGGGCAAATACGTTAAAAGTGAAAAAGTGGAAAAAGATATTCCATGGATATAGAAACCCAAAGAGAGCAAAGATGGCTATTCTAATATCAGATAAAATAGATTTAAAAAAAGATTGCAAGATACAATGAAGGGCATTATATATTAATAAAAGTTTTAATACAATAAGAAGATATAATAATTATAAACCTTTACATGCCTCATAACAGACCATAAAAATATATAAAGCAAAAATGGATAGAATTGAAGGAAAAAATAGACATTTCTTTTTTCCTTTTTTATTTCTTTAGATTTTTAAATTTTTTTAATTTTTCATTATTATACTTTAAGTTCTATAACAATTATTGGAGACTTCAATATATCTCTGTTAATAATAAATAGAAGGCCGGGCATGGTGGCTCACACCTGTAATCCCAGCACCTTGGGAGGCCAAGATGGGTGGATCGCTTGAGGTCAGGAGTTGGCCTGACCAACATAGTGAAACCCCATCTATACTAAAAGTGCAAAATGAGCCAGACATGGTGGTGCACACCTGTAATCCCAGCTACTCAGGAGGCTGAGGCAGGAGAATTGCTTGAAACAGGGAGGCAAAGGTTGCAGTGAGCCAAGATCACCCCATTGCACTCCATCCTGGGCAACAAAAGTGAAACTTCATCTCAAAAAGAATAATAATAAATAATAATAATGATGACTAGAACAATGAGATAGAAGATAAGTAAGAAAATGAGGACTTAACACAATAAAACAAGCAGATCTAACAGACATATACAGGACAGTCTATTCAACAACAGAATACACATTCTTGTTAAGTGCACATGGGACATTTTAGACTATATGTTAAGCTACAACTTAAGTCTCACTAGGCTTTAAAACATGGATGTCATACAAAGTATCTTCTCTGACCAAAACAGAATGAACTTAGAAATCAGAATAGACAACAGAAGAAACATTAGGAAATTCACAAATTCATGCAAATTAAACAACACACTCTTAAAACACCAATGTATCAGAGAAGAAATCACAGGGAAATTAGAAAATTCTAAGAGATAAATAAAAATGAAAGGACAATGTACCAAAAACCTATGGAACATAGTGAAAGCAGTAGTAAGGAGGAAATTCATAGCCATAAACATTTTCATTTTAAAAAACAGGAAAGATCTCAAATCAATAACCTAATTTTACAATTTCAGAACTAGAAAAAGAACAAACAAAGCTCAAAGATAACAGAAGGAAGGAAATAATGAAACTAAGAGAGAAACACGAGAGAATAGAAAAACAATAGAGAAAAATCAATGAAACCAAAAGTTGTTTCTTTGAAACGATCAACAAAATTGACAAACCATTCGCTGTATTGACTAAGAAAAAAGGAGAGAAGATTCAAATAACTAAAATCAGAAAGTTTAAGATATTACTACTGACTCTGCAGAAGTAAAAAGGACTATAAGAGAGCACTCTGAAAATTGTATGCCAAGGAATTAAATAACTTAAAAGAAGTAGACAATAAGCAATCTGGAAAGAAAATTTAAAAAAAAAAACTCCATTTACAATAACATCAAAAAGAATAAAATACTTAGGAATTAACCAAGGAGGTGAAAGATGTGTATAACAAAAACTATAAAAAGTGCTGAAATACATTAGATGCTAATAAAGAAAAGGCACTATTCAATTATTGAAAGGCCTAATATTAAGATGTCAATATTACCCAAAGTGATCTACAGATTCAATGCAAATCCCAATACATTTTTGCAGAAATAGAAAAATACTTCCTAAAATTCATATGAAATCTCAAGGGATCACAAATAGCCAAAACAATCTTAAAGAACAAAGTCGAAGGACTCATACATCCTGATTTCAAAACTTGTTACCAAGCTACACTCATGGCCAGTTATGGTGGCTCATGGCTGTAATCTCGGCATTTTGGGAGGCTGAGGCAGGAGGATTGCTTGAAGCCAGGAGTTCAAGACCAACCTGAGAAACGTAGCGAGAGCCCATCTCTATAATTAAAAAAAAAAAAAAAGCTACAGTTATAAGAACAGTGTAGTGCTGCCATAAAGATAGACATTTAAGCCAATAGAAAGAAGGAACAAGCCTCCAAATAATTGCTTACATATATGGTCAAATTATTTTTGACAAGAGTGCTAAGATCATTCAATGAGGAAAAGAAATCTTTTCAACAAATAGCGCTGGGAAAAGTAGATATCCACATCAAAAGAATGAAGTTGTACCCTTGCCTAACACTATATACAAAAATTAACTCAAAATGGGTCAAAGTCCTAAACATAAGAACGAAAACTATGAAACTCCTAAAAGAAAACAAGGCAAAAGCTTCATGATATTAGGTTTGGCAATAATTTCTTGGCTATGAAACCAAAGGCACTGGCAACCAAAGAAAAAAACGAGACCAACTGGGCTTCTGGAAAATGATAAACTTCCATTTACCAAAAGACAGTACCAACAAAATCAAAACGTAACCTACTGAATGAGAGAATATATTTGCAAATCATTTATCTGTTAAGGGATTAACATATCCAGAATACATAAAGAACTTCTAAAACTCAACAACTAAAAAACTAATTATCCGATTTGTTAGGATTATGTGCCTTTTTGCCATTCATATGTCATATTTAAGACGATATATGAATGGCAAAAAGGCACATAAAAGATGTTTAATGTCACTAACCATTAGGGAAACGCAAATCAAAACTACATTGGGATACCACTTCAGACCCATTAGGATGACTATTATTAAAAAAAAGTACGCACACGCAAAACCTAAAAATAACAAATGTTGATGAGGAGGTAGAGAAATTGAAACCCTTGTGCATTTTTGGTAAAATTATATACCTGCAGTGGAAAACAGTATGATATAGTTCCTTAAAAAATTAAAAATAGAATTACCATATGATCCAGCAATTTCACTTCTGGGCATGTACCCAAAAGAATTGACAGCAGAATCTTGAAGAAATATTTGTACACCCATGTTCATAGCACATTTATTTATTTATTTATTTATTTATTTATTTATTTATTTATTTACTGAGACAGAGTATAGCTCTATCGCCCAGGCTGGAGTGCAGTGGCACTGTGCCGGCTCACTGCAACCTCCGTTTCCTGGGTTCAAGCAATTCTCCTGCCTCCAAGCAATTCTCCTGCCTCAGCCTCCCGAGTAGCTGGGATTACAGGCGCCCACCACAATGCCCAGCTAATTTTTTTTGTATTAATTTTTTTTTTTTTGTATTTTTAGTAGAGCTGGGCGCGGTGGCTCACGCCTGTAATCCCAGCACTTTGGGAGGCTGAGGCAGGCAGTTCACGAAGTCAGGAGTTCAAGACCAGCCTGGCCAACATAGTGAAACCCGTCTCTACTAAAAATACATAGCACCTTTATTAACAATAGCTAAAGCATGGAAGCAATCAAGTGTGCATGGACAGATGACTAGATATGCAAACTGTTGCATATACATACAGTGAGATATTATTCAGCCTTAAAAATGAATGAAATTCTGACACATGCTACAACATAGATGAATTTTGAGGACATTATGCTAAGTGAATTAAATCAAGCAGAAAAAGGCAAATACTGTATGATTCCACTGATATGAGGTACCTAGAGAAGTAAAAATCATAGTAGGAAGTAGAATGGTGGTTTCCAGGGCTGGGAAGATGGCAGAGTGGGAAGTTATCGTTTAATAGGTATAGAGTTTCTGTTTTGCAAGATGAAGGGTTCCAGAGACTGATAGTGGAGGCAGATGTTGGTTTCCTCATAATCAGATTCAGTATGCATTGTTGTTAGGTATATCACTAAAGTTGATGCTGTGTTCTTATTGCATCTTATCAGGTGGTGCAGAATTTCAATTTGTCTGATTACTAATGATATTCACTTTGATAATTTGATTAAGATAGTGTCTGCCAGGATTCTTCACTGTAAACTTATACTTTTCTCATTTTATTTATTTATTTATTGGAGACAAAGTCTCACTCTTTCACTCAGGCTGGAGTGCTGCGGCATGATCTTGGCTCACTGCAACCTCCGCCTCCTAAGTTCAAGCAATTCTCCTGCCTCAGCTTCCTGGGTAGCTGGGATTACAGGTGCATACCACCATGCCCAGGTAATTTTTATACTTTTAGTGGAGACAGTATTTCACCATGTTTGCCAGGCTGGTCTCAAACTCCTAACCTGAGATGATCCACCTGCCCCGGCCTCCCAAAGTGCTGGGATTACAGGTGTGAGCCACCTTACCCGGCCTCATTTCTATTTAAGAAGTGTTTCATGGGAAGGTAACTTGTAACTTGGTGATATCCCATTTCTCATCATGGTTTCTTATTGTATTCGATGAGTCATAACCCATTGCTATATTTATTTCTTTTAATGCTCAAATTGGACTGGACTTCATCAGTAGGAGGCCATCCAAATTGGCTTCTGTGCATTTTTGCTATGTTTCCATCTTTTTTTTTTGCTTATTTGCTTGCATTCTGTCATAATAAGATAGCCTGGCCTCATCTCATACTTTCCCTTTAAACAGGCCATAAACTTTCCAGTTTGCCTCAATTCACATCACTCTCTATTGCTCCCCCAAATTTCTCCCTGTCTCCATGACTTTGACTACTCTAGCTACCTCATATAATAAGTGGAATCAAATACTGAGGTCAAATGTCAATTGCCATTTATCATCAAGCACCATTTCTCTCTCTCTCTCTCTCTCTGTGTGTGTGTGTGTGTGTGTGTGTGTGTGTGTGTGTGTGTTTGAGACAGGGTCTCACTCTCGCACCTAGGCTGGAGCACAGTGGTGCGATCATGGCTCCCTGCAGTCTCAACCTCCTATGCCTCAGCAATTCCCCCTACGTCAGCCTCCCAAGTAGCTGAGACCACAGGCATGCACCACCACACCTGGCAAATTTTTTACTTTTTGTGGAGATGGGGTCTCACTATGTTGCCTAGGCTGGTCTTGAAATCCGGAGCTCAAGCAATCCTCCTGCCTTGGCCCCGCCAAAGTGCTGGGATTACAGGCATGAGCCACCAAGCCTGGCTACCATTTCTCTTACAGTAGAAAAAAAACATCAGTTTTTATGAATCTTCCAAAAGTGGGAAAATAAATGATGGGGAAGGCCACTTGACTTTTCCTATACTTGTCCTCCTTTACCCATTCATGCTCCATATCTGGTCTCTGAAGGCATTGGAATTTGAGACTTTTAACTTAAGTAATTTAATAATTACTGCCCAACCACCTTGAGTCATTTTGGCTAGAAGAAATATTTGAGTGTTCAATTTGAATAGAAAAAGAGGTTCTAAGGAAAGGAGAGGTGGGACAGTCAGTCATTTTATATGCAGTAAAAATATAAATGTATAGTTCTAATATTTATGCCCCCTCCACCCCCAACATAAAAAAACAAAGGAAACAGTGAAAAGTGTTACTCAAATACAGAGGTTATAGGAGTATACTTTCAGTAGGCAGGGGAGAACCAAGGAAGAAGGACTCGCAAAGTAATTCTTGAACTGAGCCTTAAAGGATAAGGATTTTCCTTGGCAGAGAGAAATTTATTACTTCATGATGAAGTCTGGGAATAAATATTAGAACTTTGATTTTATTCTTTCCCACTTCAATATTTTTCTAATAGCATTCATTACTGTTCTCTCAAAGTGATAGGCCAGGATAATATGGATCCAGTAAATCCAACAGTCTTATATTATAGAGTCAGTCATTCCTAGTAGAATCACTTCTATTAGAATTTTTTGAAAGCATCAAACCTTTATTTGTTATCTTGTTGGACATTTAGTTGTTTTCAATTTTGTTTTTACTAACAATTATGTATATCTTCTTTATATACGTTCATTTTTGTGAGGTCTATGTCTGGGAGTGGAGTTGCTAGGGGAAATAACACACCCATCTTCAAGTTTACTAGCTATTGTAAAAACTATTATGCAAAGTATGGCACCAATTTATTCTAACTAAACAATTAAGAATCCTCATTGTACCACACTATCTCCAATGATTGATATTGTCAGGCTTTCTCATTTTTGAGAGTTTCATAGTTATAAAATGGTATTTCTTTGATATTATAACTAGTACTTCCTTAATTACTAATGAAATACCCATCTTTTCATGTCTACTGGCATTTGGCTTTCTACTTCTGGGAACTGCTTATTCTTTTGCCCATGAGGTTTTGTTTTGTTTTCTTTTCTTTTTCTTTTAGTTTATTTGTACACATTATTTATGTATTCTGGATACAAATTCTTGTTGGTTATATATCTTTTCTCAGCCTGTGGCCCATATTTTTACCCTTTATGGTGAACAAAAAATGTTTATTTGAATTTAACGTAGTTTCTCTCTAGAAATATAAGCTCTTGGACAGAAGGGCTTTTGGTCTCTTTTGTTCAATGATGTATCCTAAGTGCCTAGGGCAGTGTGTGATAAGTGTCAGATGTTTAAAATATTTGTTGAATGAATGAATGGAAGGAAGATTACTCATCTTGTCTCTTACATGATGGCATTTTGATGGGAATTGTATTGAATTTGTAGATTGCTTTTGGCAGTATGGTCATTTTCACAATACTGATCCTACCCATCTATGAGCATAGGATGTGTTTCCATTTGTTTGTGCCATCTCTGATTTCTTTCAGCAGCGTTTTGCAGTTTTCATTGTAGAGATCTGTCACCTCCTTGGTTAGCTATATTCCTAAGTATTTCATTTTTTTGGCAGCTGTTGCAAAAGGGTTGAGTTCTTGATTTGATTCTCAGCTTGGTCATTGCTGGTGTGTAGCAGTGCTACTGATTTGTGTACATTGATTTTGCATCCTGAAACATTACTAAATTCATTTATCAGATTTAGGAACTTTTCGGAAGAGTCTTTAGGGTTTTCTAGGTATACAATGGTATCACCAGCCAACAGCGACAGTTTGACTTCCTCCTTACCAATTTGGATGTTCTGATTTATTTCCCTTGTCTGATTGCTCTGGCTAGGGCTTCCAGTACAATGTTGAATAGCAGTGGTGAAAGTGAGCATCCTTGTCTCGTTCCAGTTCTCAGAGGGAATGCTTTCAACTTTTCCCCACTTAGTATAATGTTGGCTGTGGTTGTGTCATAGATCGCTTTTATTACCTTGAGGCAGGTCCCTTCTATGCTGATTTTGCTGATCACAAAATGATGCTGGCTTTTGTCCAGTGCTTTTTCTGCATCTATTGAGATGATCATAAGTTTTTTGTTTTCAATTCTGTTTATGTGGTGTATCACATTTGTGGTCTTCCATGTGTCAAACCATCCCTGCATCCCTGGAATGACACCCACTTGATCATGGTGTATTATCTTTTTGATATGCTGTTGAATTCAGTTAACTAGTATTCTGTTGAGGATTTTTGCATCTGTGTTCATCAGGGATATTGGTCTGTAGTTTTCTTTTTTGGTTATGTCCCTTCCTGGTCTTGTTATTAGGGTGATATTGGCTTCATAGAATGATTTACAGATGATTCCCTCTTTCTCTATCTTTTGGAATAGTTTCAGTAAGGTTGGTACCAATTTTTTGAATAGAACTCATCTGTGAATCCAGATTTTTTTTTTGTCCACAATTTTTAAATTACTGTTTTAGTCTTGCTACTTATGATTGGTCTGTTCAGACTTTCTATTTCTTTCTGATTTAATCAAGGAGGGTTGTATATTTCCAGGAATTTATGCATCTCCTTTAGATTTTCTAGTTTGTGTAGATAAAGGTGTTTATAGTAACCTTGAATGATCTTTTGTTATTTCTGTGGTATCAGTTGTAATATCTCCCGTTTTATTCCTAATTGAGCTCACTTGTATCTTGTCTCTTCTTTTCTTGGTTAATATCACTAATAGTCTATCTTTTTTTAATCTTTTCAAAGAACCAGCTTTTAATTTCATTTATTTATTTATTTATTTATTTATTTATTTAATTTATTTATTTGCTGTTTCAATTTCATTTAGTTCTGCTCTGATCTTTGTTATCTCTTTGCTTCTGCTGGGTTTGGGTTTGGTTTGTTCTTGCTTCTCTAGTTCCTTGAGGTGTGGCCTTAGAGAGTCTATTTGTGCTCTTTCAGACTTTTTGATGTGGGCATTTAATGCTATGAGCTTTCCTCTTAGGACCACTTTTGCTGTGTCCCAGAGGTTTTAATAAGCTATATCACTGTTATCATTCAGTTCAAATAAATTTTTAATTTCAATCTTGAATTCATTGTTGACCCAAAGATAATTCAGGAGCAGATTATTTAATTTCCATATATTTTATCGTTTTGAGGGTTCCTTTTGGAGTAAATTTCCAGTTTTTTTCTACTGTGGTCTGAGAGGGTAGTTGGTATAATTTTGATTTTTAAAAAATTTATTGAAAATTGTTTTGTGGCCTCTCATACGGTCTATCTTGAAGAATATTCCATGTGCTGATGAAAATAATGTATATTCTGCAGTTGTCGGGTAGAATGTTCTGCATATGTCTGTTTAGTCCGTTTGTTCTAGGGTACAGCTTAAGGCCATTGTTTCTTTGTTGTTGTTTCTTCATTGTTTCTTTCTGTCTTGATGACCTGTCTAGTGCTGTCAGTGGAGTACTGAAGTCCCCCACTATTATTATGTTGCTCTCTGTCTTGTTTCTTAGGTCTAGTAATAATTGTTTTATAAATTTGGAAACTCCAGTCTTAGGTGCGTATATATTTAGGATTGTGATACTTTTCTTTCAGACTCATCTTTTTATCACTATATAATGTCCCTCTTTGTCTATTTTAACTGTTGTTGCTTTAAGGTGTGTTTTGTCTGATATAAGAGTAGCTACTCCTGATCATTTTTGGTTTCCATGTGTATGAAATACCTTTTCTACCCCTTTACCTTATGTTTATGTGAGTCCTTATGCATTATGTGAGTCCTTATGCATTAGATGAGTCTCTTGAAGACAACAGATACTTGGTTGGTGAAGTTTTATACATTCTGCCATTCTGTATCTTCAAGTGGGTAATTTAAGCCATTCACATTCAATGTTAGTATTAAGATGTGAGGCACTCCTTTATTCATTGTGTTTGTTTTTTTTAATTGTATTATTGTTTTATAGGCCTTGTGAGACTTTTGCTTTAAAAAGGTTCTTCTATTTTGGTGTATTTTGAGGTTTTGTTTCAAGATTTAGAACTCCTTTTAGCATTTCTTGTAGTGCTGGCTTGGTAGTGGTGAATTCTCTTAGCATTTGTTTGTCTGAAAAAGACTTTATCTCTCCTTCATTTATTAACCTTAGTTTTGCTGGATACAAAATTTGTGATTGGCAATTATTTTGTTTGAGGACCCCAGTCCTTTCTGGCTTGTAGGGTTTCTGCTGAGAAATCTGCTGTTGACCTTACAGGTTTTCCTTTATAGGTTACCTGATGCTTTTGCCTCACAGTTCTTAAGATTCTTTGCTTAGTCTTGAGTTTAGATAACCTGGTGACTATGTACTTAGGTGATGATCTTTTTGCAATGAATTTCCCAGGTGTTCTTTGTGCTTCTTGTATGTGGATGTCTAGATTTCTAGCAAGGCCAGGGAAGTTTTCTTCAGTTATTAACTCAAATAAGTTTTCCAAACTTTTGAATTTCTCTTCTTCAGGAATACCAATTATTCTTAGGTTTGGTTGCTTAAAATAATCCCAAATTTCTTGGAGGCTTTGTTCATTTTTTAAAATTCTTTTTTCTTTGTCTTTGTCTGATTCGGTTATTTTGAAAGTCTTGTCTTTGAGCTCTGAAATTTTTTCTTCTATTTGTTCTAGTCTATTGTTGACACTTTCCAGTGCAGTTTGTATTTCTCTAAGTAAGTGTGTCTTTCATTTCCAGAAGTTATGATTGTTCTTTCTTTATGATATCTACTTCTCTGAATAATTTTTCATCCATATCCTGTATTTTTAAAAAATTTCTTTAAGGCCGGGCGTCATGGCTCACACCTGTAATCCCAGCACTTTGCGAGGCCGAGGCGGGTGGATCACAAGGTCAGGAGTTCAAGACCAGAATGGCCAACATGGTGAAACCCCGGCTCTACTAAAAATACAAAAAATTAGCCGGGCATGGTGGCGGGTGCCTGTAATACCAGCTACTCTGCAGGCTGAGGCAGGAGAATCACTTGAACCCAGAAGGCAGAGGTTGTGGTGAGCCAAGATCACGCCATTGCACTCCAGCCTGGGCAACAAGAGTGAAACTCTGTCAAAAAAAAATTATTTAAGTTGGTTTTCACCTTTCTCTGGTATCTCCTTAAGTAGCTCAATAATCAACCTGCTGAATTATTCATCTGGCAATTCAGAGATTTCTTCTTGGTTTGGATTCATTGCTGGGAAGCTAGTGTGGTGTTCTGGGAGTGTTCTAGAACCGTGTTTTGTCATATTACCAGAATTACTTTCCTGAGTCCTTCCCATTTGGGTAGACTATTTCAGTGAAAAAAATCTAGAACTCAAGCGCTTCTGTTCAGATTCTTTTGTCCTGCAGAGTGATCCCTTGATGTGGTGCACTACCCCTTCCCCTAGGGATGGGGCTTCCTGAGAGCCAGACTGCAGTGATTGTTATTGCTCTTTTGGGTCTAGCCACCCAGTGGGCTCCAGGCTGGTCCTGGAGAATTTCTGCAAAAAGTCTTGTGATGTGATCCATCTTCAGATCTCCCAGCTATAGATACTAGCACCAGCACCTGCTTTGGTGGAGGTGGCAGGGGGGTGAAATAGACTGTGTGAGAGTCCTTGGTTGTAGATATGTTTAATGTGCTGGCTTTCTTGAATGCTGATTATGCTAGCAGAGAAGTTGTCATGTGAAGAGACTCAGGACCTCTGGTTAGCCAGGATGTTGCAGGCAATGGAATTAGCTTCTTCTTCCTCGGAGCAAGGTTATTCTGTCGTGACTTGCTGTGATATCCTGAGTTGGTTGGTCTCCAGCCAGGAGGTGGTGCTTTAAAGAGCACCAGCTGCCATAGTAGAAGGGGGACGTAAGCTTGCCCTAAGTTGGCCAGGATCAGTATTTAGGTTTCTCAGGCAATGGGCAGGGCCATAAAGCTCCCAAGGGTTTATGTCTCTTGTCATTGCCTACCAGGGTGGGTAGAGAAATGCCATCAGGTGGGGACAGGGTTAGGCGGGTCTGAGCTCAGACTATTTTTGGGTGGGTCTTGCTGTGGCCACTGTGGGGGATGGGGGGGGTGATTCTCAGGCCAATGGGGTTATGTTCTAGAGGGAATTATGGCTGCCTCTTTCACCAGGGAAGTGGGGGAAAGCTGGTAGCAATAGGCCTCACCCAGCTTCCACACAGTTGGTGATGCTGGTCTCACTTTGGGTGTGCCCTGCTAACAGCTCTGAGTTTATCTCCAGGAAGCCTGAGTGCAGGACTCAGACCTTGCCCCAGGCTATAAGCTTCTCTGCTGAAAAAGCAAGCATGGCTTTCAGGCTTTGCCCCTCACCCCTCCCCATCTCCCCACACTGTCAGCTATGTCTTCTGCTCTTCTTTCTGCAGCAGTTCCCATTTACTACCCAGATTCTGCTCAACACTTTGTGCACAGCCGAAATTATTACAAAGTTCAGTTGGAAGTTTATTTTACCCTGTGACCTCCTCTCAAATTCTGCTGGCTGCCTTCCCTGAGGGCCCCCGTGAGATATAGTCAAGGATGGCTCCTCTGGGCTTGAGTTGGAGGCTGGGAGTTCCTACATGGCTCTTTCCACTACTGCTTCTGCTTTTATATTCATGCTAAATCTGTTTTGGCTCTAGGTAAGGTTAAATCCTTCTCCCACAATCTGGATTTTCAGGTTCCCCAGTGGGGATGTGTGTTTGGAGGCAGGTTTGCCCCTCCTCTCACACTTTGGGAACTCACAGCTTTTCACCTGTCTCATGGAATTTGCAGTGGCCTGCTACTTCTTTCAAAGGATCTGTGAATTGTTTTGGTTTTCCTGGTACTTTTCTGTGGTGGTTCCTGGAGCAAAAGTCCATGGCGTGAGTCTCCACATGTTCTGTCTTTCCAAATGGGAGCTGCACGTTAGCCCTGTCTCCGATCCTCCATCTTCCTCCTCTCTCTTCTTTATTAGAATTTAAAGATAAGAAACTTGTTGTGAGGAGTAGAAAACATTTTGAAGATGATGCCAAGTCCTGTGGGTGAGTTCTGGCTTTGCATTTAACTCCTTGTATGACTTTTAGCCGGATAAAACTTCTCTGAGTTTGTTTTTTCATCTCTAGATGGAAATAATCCCATCTGGCCTGCCTCACATGGCTGTTGTGGAAGTTTACATGAGAAAAAAATATCTGAAAACACATTCTAATCTGTGCCATGTCCATCAATGTGAGGTGTAGGTGGGCATATTGGCTCATGCCTATAATCCAGCACTTTGGGAGGCTGAGGAGGGAGAATCTCTTGAGGCCAGAAGTTTGAGACCTGGGCAACATAGGGATGCCCAATCTCTATTAAAAAAAAAAAAAAAAAAAAGAAGTGAAGTGTTATCCACAAGAATGTCCAGCACAGAGAAAGACATAGAGCAAGTTCTTAATATACATATATTTTTTAAATTGTATCTTGGAATACTTGGAAATTTACGGAAAATTTGCAAAGATAATACGAAGAGTTCCCATACACCCCTCACTCAGTTTTAGTTTCCCCTAATGTTATCATTGTTATACAATGGTAAATATGTCCAAATGAAAAAAACCAACATTGATACAGGACTATTAACTAAATCCTATACTTTCACCAAACTGATATCCCAGTTTTTCTCCTAATGTCCTTTTTCAGCTCCAGGATCCCATGCAGAATACTATGCTGCATTTAATCCTCAGGTCTCTGTAGTCTCCTCTGCTCTGCAACAGTTTCTAAGTCATTCCTTGATTTTCATGATTTTGACAGTTTTGAGGAGTTCTGGTCAGGTATTTTGTAGGACAGCCCCCAATCCGGGTTGGTCTGTTGGAGTCATGGGATTTTGGAAGGAAAACCATGATGCTGAAGTGCCCTTTTTTCATATAATATCAGGTGTAGTTGGTGTCCATATGACATTATTGGCAATGCTCACCTGAGTCACTGGGTTAAGGTAGCATCTGCCAGCCTTCTCCACCGAAAAGTTACTATTTTTCCCTTTCCATACTCTAGTCTTTGTAAGTGAGTCATTCAGTGGAGTCTATCTTCAAGGGTTAGGGGGATAAATTCCACCTCTTTGGTGGAGTGGGAGATGGGGAAATATATACCTATATTATTTGGAATTCTTCTGTAAGGAAACAGTATTTTTTTTTTTTTTTTTTTTTTGAGATAGAGTTTCACTCTTGTGGCCCAGGCTGGAGTGCAATGGCACGATCTTGGCTCACTGCAAACTCCGCCTCCTGGGTTCAAGCAATTCTCCTGCCTCAGCTTCCTGAGTAGCTGGGATTACAGGTGCCCACCACCACACCCCGCTAATTTTTGTATTTTTAGTAGAGACGGGGTTTCATCATGTTAGTCAGTCAGGTCTCGAACTCCTGACCTCAGGTGATCCACCCACCTTGGCCTCTCAAAGTGCTGGGATTACGGGCATGAGCCACCATGCCCGGCCAGGAAACAGTATATTTTAAACCATCGAATAACAGGAACAATATTGATTGATATGAGGTTCAGTTTTTATTCTCTGCTTACTTAACTTCTGGTAAGAAAGCTAAGATTAACCTTTCAGACAATAGGCAGAGTGCAGGTGGGGGAATGAAGAGTCACTAAAGACCGAGAAAACCCACAAATTAGAGAATAAGCCTCTTTATGCCTGAGAGTTGACTGTCATTCCAGCTACCCCATTGCCAAAGAGCAGAGCTTCCTAATATGGGAAAGCATACTCCTGTGATAACAGCAGATGTCGCTATTGAGTAACGGCCGTGTAGCTTCTCCCTCACGGGGTCTTTGCCTAAATACTAAGCTCTTGCTGTAGACTGAAGAAGCAACATTCTATACCTATCATTTAAATTCTTCCCTGGAAGATATTTTAAAATTTAAATAAGAAACATAATATTTATTCAGTTTCTGCAAACTGATCAAAGTAAACACTGTGTGGGGGTTTCTATATCAATTCTAAAGTCTGATATAGACTATTTTAGTGGAAACATGGGTAAGTATTCCATTTAATTTATTGTTTTGTCAGTAGACTTTCTTAAACATTTGATACTCAGATGTATCTCTATTCTTGCAATGATAAATATGGACAACAATATGAAGAATTAGAAGGTCACGGATACTTTTGAGACAGTATGTTTTGTATTCTATCCACAAAACTCATTTTCAAAAATAATTGTTAGTTAGAATTGATATAAATCAGTTAGGGCTATTGATTGCATGTATGAGTTAATGTTATTTAAGAAGGATTTCAAGATTGTACTAATGAACCCAAAGTACTCTATGGAACCCAAAGTGCTTTCACATCTTAAAGTTACTTAGTAGGACCATCTGGGCCTCAAATTGTTGAGTCCAGTATTTTCTTTGTCTCTGCTAAGGTGGCTGCTAAACTGGATTGTCAAGATAGGCTCAGAAATAGGGAGGCAGAAAGAAAACAAAGTTAGAGTTGGACTTGATTAGAGCAAGAAAAATCTCACTTTTGGAGGCTTTTCTCTCAGAATTCTTTTTTATGTTTTATTTTTTATTTTTGAGACAGAGTCTTGCTCTTGTCGCCCAGGCTGGAGTGCAATCACGCGATCTCGGCTCACTGCAACCTCCACCTCCCAGGTTCAGGTGATTCTCCTGCCTCAGCCTCCCAAGTAGCTGGGATTACAGGTGCCTGCCATCACGCCAGGCTAATTTTGTTTGTATTTTTAGTAGAGATGGGGTTTCACCATGTTGGCCAGGCTGGTCCTGAACTCCTGACCTCAGGTGATCCATACACCTCGGCCTCCCAAAGTGCTGGGATTACAGGTGTGAGCCACCGTGACCAGCCCTCTCTCAGATTTCTTGAGCTCAGAGTAAACATATATTTCTATCACTTCTCCATTGTTTGATTTTCATTAAAATGTATCAAAGTATCAGACATCATGTCCATTGAGAAGTCTTTATTGGCCACCATTTTGTTCAAGATAGTAAGCTGATCAATACATCAAAATTAGGGTACTGTTTGATGTTTTTATTTCTATGAAAAACTTGGTCAGAATTTGTCTTTTCTTTGAAAATAAACTGTGGAAAACATAATAGATTGCATGTTGAATAATCATGTTTTTAAAAGAAGGTTCATATTAGTTTCATATAACAATTTATCTTAAAAGGGTAAGTCAGACATTTATTGTAAGTTTGACTGTGTTGGATTATTTCTTGCTAACTGATCCTAGAATAATAAAAGAGAAAACTTATTATTGATACAATAATAGCCACCATTTATTGAGCAGTTGCTACATGTCAGGCATGGCTTTAAGTATTTTACATATATTATCTTATTTAGTCTTTAGAATAACTCTATGGGCAGAGATTATTATCTCTACCTTGCCCATGAGCATATTGAGTTTTAGACACAGGCTAAGTGTATTAGTCCCTTTTCACACTGCTGATAAAGACATACCTGAGACTGGGCAATTTACAAAGAAAGAGGTTTAATTGGACTTATAGTTCCATGTGGCTGGGGAAGCCTCACAAACATGGCGGGAGACAAGGAGGAACAAGTCATGTCTTACATGAATGGCAGCAGGCAAAGAGAGAGCTTGTGCAGGTAAATTCTTGTTTTTAAAGCACCAGGTCTCATGAGACTCATTCACTATCACAAGAACAGCACAGGAAAGACCCACCCCCATAATTCAATCACCTCCCACCAGATTCTTCCTACAACGCATGGGAATTGTGGGAGTTACAAATCAAGATGAGATTTGGGTGGGGACACAGCCAAACCATATCACTAAGTAACTTACCTGAGATAAGAAAACCAGGGAGTGGCAATGCCCAAATCTGCCTCCTCTAAACTACACCTGGCCTTCCTCTCACAGGAGGTATTTCTATGGCTAAATCAAATTCAGATCAATCCTGTCTTGGTAGCAGCAAATCATTATGCTATTTCTGATGCTTCTACTTAAGTTTATTACATGTCAACACTTGAAGAAAATCTGAAAAAAGCACGTAGACAAAAAAATCTTTTCTTTTTAATATTAAACAGAAAAAAGCAATTGGAATTATGTTCATTGTACTATGTTATGTTTAGGGTCTTGACCTTAGCATGCTCCTGGCAAACCAATTGTCCCCTATAATTCATCTTAAAAGAGATTGTCAGACATTTACTGTAGATTTGAATGTATTGAACTGTTTTTAACTAAATAACTTCTAAGATGGCAGAATAGAAATTATGAAGAACCTGGGTAGGGAAATAAATGATTTAAAACTGATGGTTTGGATGAATTTAGTACATTTGGATGCCTGACATCAGATTGTTCATCGTTCTCCAGCACTGATTAGTACTGATTAGTGTAATGGAATTATTATTATGGCTTTAAAAAAATTAAAGAGTATTATTTTATCTAAGTAGTATATGAATAAGAAATGGGAGAAAAGTTAATCAGTGGCACAATGGTGCATTCATTCACCTATATCCCTGCTGTGGTTTGTTTAATCTTCAAAAAGTTTATCTCACGTAGCTAACATACTACAGCAAGAAATTTTCTGATACCAACCTGACTGGCTATTGGTAATTACTTTATCAGTCTCATTCCACAAACTTTATGTAAATCATTGCTATAGGCTGAATGTTTATAACCCTCACAACATTCAAACATTGAGACCTAACTCCCAATGTGACGGTATTCAGAGGCAGGGCCTTTGGGAGGTGGTCAGGTCATGAGGACAGAGCCCTCATAATGGGATTAGTGCCCTTATAAAAGAGATCCCAGAGAGCTCCCTCGCTCCTTCTGCCATGTGAGGACACCACAAGAGAAGACAGCTGTCTATGAACCAGGAAGCTGGCCCTCACCAGACCCTGAATCTGCCAGTGTCTTGATCTTGGACTTTCCAGCCTTTAGGACTGTAAGAAATATATTTCTGTGTTTAGAAGGCACCTGATTTATGGTATTCTGTTATATTGTGTTAAGTATTCTGTTACATATATTCATGGTATTCTGTTATGGTATTCTGCCGTTAAAAGTAATGGCAAAAACTGCAATTGCTTTTGCACCAACCTAACAGCAGCCCTAAGGAACTAAGACAACCATACAGCTTTGTTGGGAGCAGAGAACAGAAGGATGATCAGATTCCTCATTTTATACTGTTACTTGTCCAAAATCAAGCAACAATTTAACAGCTACATCAAACTCAGAAGTGGGTGTTCCTGACTTCTACCTTAGTGTTTAGATGTGGCATTGAGCTTCTTTTTGTGTCTCCCTCTTTTCTGTCTCTTTATATACAAAATTGCAAGTTAGGAGGCATCAATCAAACGCCGGATGTTTATTCTCGGTCTATTTAGCCAGACCCAAAGGCTTCTTTGAATCAAGGAAATCAGGCTTTTCCTCTCTTTGCTGCACCATAATTATTTGTTTTCTAAGTTATATCCAGGTTGAAATAAGACTTGCAATGTTTTCAGATCAAAAGCAGTGTAAGTAAAAACTTAAAACTGTGAAGTAAATACCTCTACATAATTTCTGATTGAGAATCATGACCATGAAAGAAATAATAGCCACATATACGAAAACAAAGGCAAAGGAAGAAATATAATTAAGCGACAGGGAGCTTATAGCAAAGATAGAACGTGGGCTTCTCCTGACTTAATGCCACTTTCAATATACCTATACTAAGCCAAGCCTGTGCCCATGTTAATGTGTTAAGAGTAGAGACATTTGAGATACTAATCAATTAACAGAAAAGTCAGACAAAATTAAGCTGAAATCTAACCTGTATCCCTACACCTAGAAGAGAAATTACTGAAGATTCAATCTCCTTTTTGCTGCATTTCTGCCACTAGGAGGCGCCTGGTATAAAGAAACAAGTACTTAACAGTCAGGAAAATTGCATTACAATCCAAGCACTGTCATTAATTCAAGCTCTACCAATTGCTAATATGAATAAAGGAACTGATTCATGTCATCTAAGGCAAATGATCATATATAATGGTGAATAATTTTATTAGATAAAGACACTGTTGAGAGTAAATAGGTTATAATAGACGTGATATTTGAGTCATAATTAGCATGTTGAAGATCCAGTCTCAGAATTTGAACTCAGGTTTCTGACTCCCCATGTAGTGTTCCTTCCGCTCCTGAAGGCAGTGCATTCTGATTATGATGGTCAGAAGCCCGTTCTGAGTCTTCTTGGAAAAGGTAGATCTCTCTGAAGGCAGCTGAGCAGTGTATTTTTATATGCTTTTCTTTAGACCAGGAGTTATGTGGGATTCTTATTTTAACATTTTGGCTCAACGTATCTCTTTAAGGCAATATAGAATTCATGCTAAATAGATGAAAATGTGTTGTTCTTAAAGAGGTTTCCTTTCTAATAATATACTTTAAATAAGATTACTTTATGTTTTTAAAAAGGAGACTGACATTTGAGCTAGTTAATTTTTTTAGAAAGGCACAAATCTAAACTCCCTTAGCAAGATAACTTTGTTCTTTAACTGGGGCAAGGGGTGGGGCTCAGAAAAACTCTTATAGTGCCTTTGGTCATGATCACCCCCAGAGGGTGAACAACAGGGAGACACAGGGTGAATGCTGAAATGCCAAACAATACAGAGAACAGAAGAAAGACTTACCTTTCCAAGCGCAGCCTAAGAGAGAGGTGCCAAGGGGCTCAGAAAAAGTTAGGGGTGCAGGAGAAGTCATTGAAGGAGGGAGAGGGACTGGCCTGGCTGTACAAATTGGCAGTAGGCAGAATTCCCTGAGGAGACAGCAGCCTGTGTGAAATCCCCCATGGCAGGGGTTCTAGGATTAGGAGGCCCAGTATTCCATTTTGGGTGAACTGCTATGAAGAACCAAACTGCAATCCCCCTCCCTTGTCATCCTGTAAGCCTTTAGGAAAACCGCTACCTGGTATGGTCTTACTTGGGAGATAAAGAAGTCTGTTACCACTTGGGATTTACTAGGATAACTCTAGGATGAGACAGATGTGAGACCCACAGCTCAGAGAGAGGAGACCAGGGTTTCTCCAAGGAATCTGCAGAAGTGCAGGGGCTTCACCGGATAGGGGTGTGAGCTACTGCAGAGTGTCAAGTTGACCCAAAGTTAGGCCTTTGCGACATGTTAGGCTCAAAGTCAAGGTAGCATATGAAATTTTAGTCTTCTCTCTCCCTCTCCTTCTATTCTTCCTTCCCTCTCTCCATCTCTGTCTCCTTTCCCTCTCTCTCCCTCCTCTCCAACTCTGCTGTCTAACTGCTGATATGGTTGATGTTGTATGCTGCTCTCAACTCTACTCTTATTGTATCTTCTGCTTCTTGTCACCTCACCCTTGCTCTTTAGCTTTTTGTCACACAGACATAGATCTTTCAAAGGCAAAAGTAGCCAAATATAATAGCATCTCTTTTCATCCAGTCATTCACTCTAACTGGCAAATCAACCAAGTACAGTGTTTAAGATGCAATCTTTGACAATTTAACTCAGTGCCAACTGCTAAAAATTAGTTCCTACTTTTCTTTTTTTTAAATTATTTTATTTTATTATCGTTTTTTAGGAGGAGTCTCACTCTATCACCCAGGTTGGAGTGCAGTGCAGTGGTGTGATCTTGGCTCACTGCAACCTCTGCCTTCTGGTTTCAAGCGATTCTCCTGCCTCAGCCTCCCGAGTAGCTGGGATTACAGGTGTGTACCACCACACCTGTGTAATTTTTTTTTTTTTTTTTTTTTTTTTTTAGTAGAGATGGAGTTTCACCATGTTGGCCAGGCTGGTCTTAGCTCCTGACCTCAAGTGATCCACCTGCCTCGCAGTTCCCTCTTTTCCACATGACTCCATAGTACAGCCCTGGTGTAGCCGGCATATTGGTCAATAAACAGTAATATTTCAGCAAATATTACACTTTTTTTTAATCTATATACCCATAATATTCATCTTTCTACATATTATGGAAAAATAAAAACACAAACCAAAAAACATAGTCATAATGTTGAAAAAAACAGAGATGATTTTTGACCCTGGAAGAAAAAAATAACTTAAAAGCAGCAGAAGCATGACCCTGATTCAGTATTAAACGTAATTATGTACTGCTTTAAAATGCAAACTGGGTCACGTAGCAAAAGTATATATATTACGTATTATGGACATTTTCAATTTTGATGGTTTAATATGAAGTATTTGCTATGTTAAATCTGATTTAACGCTTCACTTTTTTTCTTATAAATAAGTTATTAATTTAATATTTATATGCTACTTTAATTCATAAAAGAATAATACATAGAAACTCTATGGCACTTCATAGTCCAAAGTAATTTGCAAACTTTAAATGAATAATGCAGACAGCAACACTGGGAGCAGGTCACAGACGGTATCTACCTCATTTCCATGAAAGCTCCTGGGGAATTCAGTCATACAAATCACTATGTTTAGAAATTGTATGTAACTAGACAAATACAGTTTCTATGGGGTGGGGGGTGTCTTGCGTCTATCAAACACATGAAAGAAAGTTCATCGAAAATGAAATGGGCAACTCCGATTTAATAGGATGTTGAGATAGCTATGGTAAATATATGCATACAAATAGGAGAGTTAGCATTCTAAAAGCAATGCACTATCTCACTCATAGACTACTGGAGATGGAGTGCAGGAAATCTGAGAGATCACTTGTCCCCTGAGATTTTTCCCCCATGTATATAATGGACTCATTGCAGTAAAATGTCATAGCAATCAATGCCCCTTTAAATTAGTCTTGAGAAGGGATTTGTGAAGGGAAAGGGCAATTTAGAAATGAAGAGAAGTGTAATCCCAGCACTTTGGGAGGCTGAGGCGGGCAGATCACGAGGTCATGAGATCGAGACCATCCAGGCTAACACAGTGAAACTCCATCTCTACTAAAAATACAAAAAATTAGCCAGGCATGGTGGCGGGTGCCTGTAGTCCCAGTTACTCGGGAGGCTGATGCAGGAGAATGGTGTGAACCCCGGAGGCGGAACTTGCAGTGAGCCGAGATCGCGCCACTGCACTCCAGCCTGGGCGACAGAGTGAGACTCCGTCTCAAAAAAAGAAAAAAAAAAAAAAAAAAAGAAAAGAAAAAAGGAATGAAGGGAGGAAGGAAATGGCAGAATGGAGGAACTTACTATGATCTCCAACTATGTTTTTTTAAACCTTGTTCACTGCATCTGTACTGAAAACTGTGATGGTAGGTTTTCAGCTGGTGGAGCATTTCTTGGGATATCTCGCAGCATGTGTCGAGGAACAAATCATGTATTTTTTTATTGACAAAGAAATGATGAGCTCCACATCCAGGAGAAGTTAAGGAAAAAATCTCTCCTCCCTGCCCCTACTTAAAGCCTCTCTTTTGTTATCTACTGGTTCTCATTTGGACCTCCCACCTGTCTGCATCTCTCTCTTGCTGGTTTGTATTTAAGAGGAACCTTTTCGTATCAGGCTATTTTATAATGCTGAGAATTTCTGTCTCTCTGAATTGCTCAAAGTTGAGACTTTAAGAATAAACATTTTATAAGCCATTTTCATAGCTGTTCCTGTTTCTATTGCCACACTTTAAGGAGGGTCCATCTTCTGCAATACACACTGTGGACAATGAATGCCTCCCCAGCCACTGTTTGCTTGAGAAATTCTCCCTCAACACTGTTATGTTCTTTCCTGGTTCTGTTTCATGTCCCCACACTCTGTGCCTTTGTTGTGGTGCTGGCCTCTTGAGTGTAACAGAAGAGTTGGTATGAATAGTGTAGCAGGTAATAACAGTGACTTAACCAGGTGAGGATTCTTGATCTTACCCCAAGAGAAGTCCAACAGCCTAGTGCAGATAGGGAAGAAGCGGACTCTTTTCACCACTTTGCTCCATCATGGTTCGTGTGCTGGCTTTCCTCCTCATGCCTGTTGCTTCATGGCTGCACAATGAATGCCGGGCTGCAAAGTGCTATCACAACTGTTCTCTGGGCTGGAAGAAAGAAGAGGTGGAGGTGATGGTACCAGCACCCTTCAATGGCCAGAACTGTCACATGGTGTTTCTGGAATCTCTAACCAGGTTTTTCCTCTGCTTTCACACCAACACAGTAACAGTCAACACAGAAGACTTCTGTGACCCCAAGGTATGGGATATTTCCCCACCAGCAAACAAGCAATCACCTCCGCAGCAAATACCAGCTGGGTGTCCTCCAGTTCTATTCTGACAATATCTACCTAGAGATGGCATCAGATCCCATAGATTGAGGCCTCGGTCCCCAAGACTGCCCCTGTCACCCCACATCAGTCACAAGTCTGGGCCTTCAGAACTTCTGACAAACTGGCTTCAAATTGGGGTTTGCATGACCCCTTCTTTGGGTTCAATTAATTTCCTGGAGCAGCTCACAGAACTCAGGGAAACACTTATGTTTACCAGTTTATTATAAAAGGATATTACAAAGGAAACAGATGAAGAGATGCACAGGGCGAGGTATGGGGAAAAGGGTGTGGAGCTTCCATGCCTTCCTGGGGCACACCATCCTCCAGGAACTTCCAGTCCTCTTGGTTTTGTTTTGTTTTGTTTTGTTTTTGAGATGGAGTCTGGCTCTGTAGCCCAGACGGGAGTGCAGTGGTGCGATTTGGCTCACTGCAACCTCCGCCTCTTGGGTTCAAGCTATTCTCCTGCCTTAGCCTCCTGAGTAGCTGGGACTACAGGTGCACACCACCACACCCAGCTAAGTTTTGTATTTTTAGTGGAGATGGGGTTTCACCATGTTGGCCAGCCTGGCCTTGAACTCCTGACCTCAGGTGATCTGCCCACCTTGGCCTCCCAAAGTGCTGAGATGACAGGTGTGAGCCACCACGCCAGCCCTCTTGAGTTTTTTTGTTTGTTTGTTTGTTTGTTTTTGAGACAGAGTTTCACTCTTGTTGCCCAGGCTGGAGTGCAATGCTTGGTCTTGAACTCCTGACCTCAGGTGATCCACCCGCCTCGGCCTCCCAAAGTGCTGGGATTACAGGTGTGAGCCACCATGCCAAGCCTGCCCTCTTGGGTTTTTATGGAAGCTTCATGATGTCACCATTGCTTTCCTCAGGATATGGGGTGGGTCCCTCTCAGGGGAGGGTCCTAAGACCCACAGTCAGAAAGGAGGGGGAAAGATTAGAGTACTGCCTTGGGGCAGGTGAAAGGAGAGCAGAAGCAGGTTAGAGAGGTTCTGTTTCTTGAGGTCTGTTCCTGAGGCCTAACATACCCAACACTGTAACAAAATACTGTAACAAGGGCTATGGGTGTTGGGAGCTAGGAACTGTAGACAAAAATTAATATATATCATAACACACACATCGCCCCTCAAATTTCAAGGGAGGCTAGGACGTGGAGATTTTAGCTTTCACTGCTTTCGTAGGAGATAACAATGTAAAAGAAGTGAGTTGGAAATGATATCAGCCAAACTGTAGTGTTTGCCACAATTGTGGACAGACTAAATCCCTTTCCAATCTCTCTCTGGTAGTCAGAAGTGATTGATTTCATTATGTTCTCGATATTTCATTATCATGCTCCTTCCCTAATTTCACATAGCATACCATTTGTTTAAAAATTAAATACCCACTCTGTAGGCTGCATTAGAACAAGGATAGTAATCACGATGATATTGATTTGTTCATTAAATCCCACAATTACTGTTTGATTATTGAGTATCTGTCTACATTGCCAAGCACTGAGATACAATGTTCACTGATGTATATTTCCTCTCATTGAAAATGTCTTATCTATACCATGCTTTATCAATTAGGAATGCTTTTAGCTACTAAAAGGAGAAAATTCAACTCATAGTGATTTAAACCATATTAAAAATCTATAATTTACTTTTTAAATAATTCAAATGGAGGTGAGAAGCTCTACAATGTTAGATCACTGGGAGTATGTCTCTGTGACCCCCCACCTGGTTACAAGAAGGCTGCTAGAGCTCTAAACACCTTCAAGAATGTGCCCGAAGACAGTCATGATGGTGAGAGAACTATTCTCTCACGTCTCCTTATTTTATCAGAGAATACAATCTTCCCCAGAGGCCTCCTTAGCAAACTCATTGGCTACAGCAGGATCAAGTGGCCATTACTTGCTTTAAGGGATGCTAGAAGAGTATCTGGTGAGAAGGGAGAGGGGATTGTGAATTAATACTGGGTAGCCAACCAAGAGTGTTGTCATAAACACTTTATAGCTTTCCATATACTGTCGCATTCATGATCTCATCTTGTGACTCAATGAGACTACTATCCAAACATACTGGAAACCCAAACCTGGAATAGGTGTTATAAGTGGCATCTGCTATGTGGGAACTTCTGGCTGTGAAGTAATTTAATGGTCCTTTAAAGGTACAAATTTAATGCAAAGGGGCTTAAATAAATTATAATGCATTTTGCTTACAAAGTGTGCATGGAAGAACATAAGGAGTAATTCAGAAGATATTATAGTTTAGTAAGATAATTAGAAAGAGAAATCAAGATATGTGGATTATAGCCTCAGCTTTGGGTAAGACACTGGAAGAATTTCGAGCCTCTGTTTTGTCAGCTGTAAAATTACATACTTGAACAAGATTAGATGATCTCTAAATTCCTTCTCAAAGATAAGAGGACCCATATAACCATGATGCTGGAAGTTGTGAGCTTAAAAAAAATTAAAATAACCTATTTCAATCTCTTTTTAACAATGAGATAACTTAGGGCTTGGGAAGATCACCATTTGTCTGAATTCACTTATTTAAGTTAGAAATTTGAGTCCCAGTATTATACTTTCACAAATAATTGATATTGCATCCTGAAAGATTTTTAAAAATTTGGCCTCTTCTGTCATTTTTTTTTTCATTTTAGGCAGAATCTCTGTGATAGCATTTACTCTGCTTAAGAGAGTGCAAATAATGAGATTTTTTTAAAAGTCATTTTTTAGCTGTAAATTTTTGGGCAAATTACTTCTTATCCTTGCGGTAAAATAATAATTATTCCTTCTTCATAATTTTTCTTTTCTTTTTTGAGGACTGGATAAGTAATCTATTAAGGGACCTTAATGTACTAACACACAGCAAGGAGTCAATCTGTAGTAACCATGATTATCATTAATATGTCTCCAGCCAGCACTTGCGCTTAAGCTTTCTCACACTTAAGAAAGTGTTTGAGAGCAATTTCCCCTGCAGGTTGTACGGAGGTGACTCCGATTCTCACTATTATTCTTTTGTCTTTTATGATCATATCTTCCACCATCATATTATATAGGTATGAAGGCTCTGTGTAATAACTAAGGGTGTGGTACCTAACTGGAAGTCAGACCAATCATTCTTATGCTGTCACTGAAACCAGTAACCGGTGATTTGTAAGAGAAGAGTTAAAACAACTTAAACTCAACAACAACACCAAAAACAAAAACACTTAAATTGGGGATTCTGAATATGGGATTCATGGATGGGCTTTAAGGGAATGGGAAACCACCTGATATTTCATTCAAATGATTGACATTTTGGCCCAGGTAATTTTGGGGACTGTCCTGTGCACTGTATTTAGCAGAATCTCGGGTCTTTACCAACTAGATGCCAGTAATACTCCCCATTCATGGGTTATGATAATCAAAATTATCTTCAGACCTTGCCAAATATCCCTTTCCTTCTTCAGAATCGCTGTGGTAAAGCTTTATATGTCCGCGCATTTTTTTTTCTGGAAGGCTTATCAGTTTCATCGTATTTTTTAAAAGACCTGTGACCTCAAAAGGCTTGGAATCAATCACTTAAGGTCTTTCAAAATAATAATAAAAGAACACATATCTCCAGCTGTCGTTGTGGGAAAAATGTACACCATCACGGCTAATTAAAATGGTGCAGTCTGAAAATCTGCTATGAAATATATACCTACCAATTTATTACTTTCAACTCCTCTAAAAAGACACCTCACAAAAACTATATCTGGGAAACTGTCTACTTCAAAAACTGCTGTTCCCAGATGGCATACTTCTTAAAATACTGTGTTCAGCAGAGACTCCCACAGTCATCTACTGAATCTAGCTCTAAACTTCTAAAGGGGTTAGTGCTAATGACAAGTGGAAAAAGTCCTCAAGTCCAGAGGGGAACTAAAAATCAGTTGTTTCTCAGAAAAGAAATCAAACGATGGAATAAATTGCAAAATTGATCAGGAGGCAGGATGGAGGAGAAGGGAGGGAGGAAGTGAAGGGAAAGGGAGGGAGGGAGGGAGAGAGAGACAGAGAAACAGCAAGAGAGAGAGAGAGAGACCTTTGAAAGAGTGTATCTCTTGGGAGAGGCTCGCTAGAGGTCCGCCCCTGCCTTCTCCCTGGCTCGTCTGGAAAGGCAGCTGCCCCCATGCCATACATGAGCCTTGGGCTGTCTGCTGTGCTTTAATTCCCACGTCCACAACCGCCTCATTCACCGCCTTCCAAAGTGACCACTTCTCAAAAGCCTCCTCAAATCTCAAAGGGGCCACTTTACCCACTCTTTAAGGCCCTCTTTCCCGTCTACGGCTTCTTTTAACGGCGGCAGGAAAACAGGAGCATAAACCCGAACAGTAAACCCAGAAAAGCCCCAACAGGCAAAGTGTGTCATCTTCCGTGGCTCCTCGGGGTCACCCAGGAAGACAAGCAACTTTCTCCCATACTTCTCGGTCTGTCTGCCTTCCCCACTCAGCTTTGAATGAGACGCAGGGAGAGGGGGCGCGAGGGGGCTCGGGGCTAGGGGAGGAGCCGCGAAAGCTGCCCCCGGGGGTGGGCCTGGACCCGCGCGGACAGCGGGGCACCCCCCCACTCCCTTCCCGGCGCTCCAGGAACGTCCCCGGTGCGTCCTGGGTCTGTCTGCGCGGAGTTCCCCGGGGCGCGAGGGGAGGGGACTGGAGAAAGAGGAGGGCCGGGCAGCGGAGGGGAGGAGGCGGTGCGTGCCTCGCCTGCCAAAGGGAGATCCGCTCCTCTGCGTGCGATCCCCGGCGCCCGCGCGCGCCCACAGCGCTCCGCCAGAGCTGCCGCCGCGGACTCGCCGGGAGTGGGGGTCTCCGCTGGTGCCAGCCCGCTTCTGGAGACCCTCCGCCTCCTGCCAACCCCTGCTCTTCCAGGTCGGGCCCCGGGGTTCTGCGGCTGTTAGGGACAGAGGCAAAGAAGGGCAGGACGGTCCGGTTTCCCGTGGATGTTCCCGCCCGAGAAAGACAGCAAGTTGTGTGTGCGCCCGGGACGCGGGAGGGAAGGTGGCCGCCGCCCGCCAGCCATGTAAGTAAATCACTCGGCTGCCCCGTGGGCGTGGGCTCCGCTGCTTTCTCCCGGGCTCCCTCTCTGCCCCGGAGCCGGAGTTGGGCTGCTCCCGGGCTCCGGACTTCCTGAGCTCGGCGGATCCGTCGGCTCTGCCTGCCAGCCGCGTCCGCTCTTGGCGTCTGCCTCCGGGGGGTGCTGCCTTCCCATCCTTATCCCCTCCCTTCGTCCAGAGCCGGCTGGAAAATGCCTCTTGCCCCCTTTTAGAATGGAGGGATCATTGTGTGTCTCCATGGGTGGAGTGGCTCGGTGAGGCAATGGCAGGGGGCTAAATATGGGCTTGTCTTGGCGAGGGCGCCTCACCGCAGTTGGAGATGGGGGCCCCCTGCCCGCAGGCCACCCCCTGCTGGTCTTCCCCAGCCTCGTGGCCCAGATAGATCAACTTCAGCCCTGACTGCAGTTGACAAGATTAGAAAAAAAAGTAGTAGCCGACCTCCCGTTTGAGTGACATCCAGAACTGAAAATGGGCGGTGGTTAGAGAAAAAAACGGGTAGGGGCGAGGTGAAGAAAGGGGGAAATTTGCTATGGACCCTGAAAGCTGGAGTTAGGGGTCCTGGGGGTGGAATTCTAGGGTGGATGGGCTCTGTGCTTCTGTATTCATTTCTTTATGGAAAGTGTGAGAAATGGTTAAGGAACTCTTTTTGAAAGGCTGGGGTGGAAGTAGATGCCCCTGGAACCATTTGGATGACTGGGGTTTGATGTAGCATACTGGGAAGTATGGATTGCTGTTCAAATTAGACAATCATTCAGTGGGAGAAATGATTGCAATAGAACTGTTGGAATCAATGAATCAAAACTGCAGACTCAAAATAAGTCATACACAGGCATTCTTTTACACTAGAAGATGTTAAGACTAAAGAAATTCTGAAATGCTGCTGAATGAGTACAAAGAGTGTCTGGTAATAGTTCTGTACTGTGGGTGCCTCCGCAGACCATAATGCTTGTTAAATTTATGGTACTCTGCAATTGTGAAAAATTATCCTAATTAGTTTGTTTGGCTCATGCAGAGAGTTAATGCACCCTTAAAGGGACATAGAAAAGTTGCAACAAACTATGAGCATGAACTTGCAAGCCAAAAAATGGAAATCATGGCATGGTTCATTTTATTTTAATTGTTTATTGCCCAGTGAAAGTGCTACATTACTTTTAATGTGAGTATATAATATATAGAATGAATTCATTGGCCTGTCAAATAAAAATCGGGCGTTTCTTTAAGTAAATAGCTGTCAGAGTTAATTTGGAAATATTTACGGAAGATAAAGACATGAAAAAGCTTTGAGCTGGTTTGACAAAAATCGAGTTATGAAGCTCATAGAGAGAATTAGTTCTTCCCACTTTTAAAGTGTTGAGGCAAGTCTCAATGTTTATTAATTGAAAATTGTAGACTAGCTGAAACAGTGTTATCACTTCTTTTAATGCCTTTAATTTTTAATGTTTCCTGTTGTTTTACCAGGGACCATCATCTTTAGTGCAGAGGATGGAAAGTTGATGCCCAGTAAGACTGAAGATCCATTCTGCATTACGGAACTGTGGATTATCTGTGGGTCCCTGGTGATTTCACACCTTCATTCACTCCTGCAGTCCCTGAACACTTACTTGGGGTCCTCATTGCCCTATCTGGTGAAAGATGGCATCCAGCCTGACTTGTACTGGAGTAATCTGGGCTTTGCTGTCTTTTCTTTGTGCTGCCACCTCCTGCGTGGGGTTCTTTATGCCTTACTGGCTCTGGGGATCACAGCTGGGCAAGCCTGTGTCCTTCGGTACCTTCCGGAGGTGCTCATATCCTGTGCATGATGAGAGTCGGCAGATGATGGTGATGGTGGAGGAATGTGGGCGCTATGCCTCCTTCCAGGGCATCCCCAGCGCAGAATGGAGGATCTGCACCATAGTGACCGGCCTGGGTTGTGGCCTCCTCCTCCTGGTGGCGCTCACTGCCCTCATGGGTTGCTGTGTTTCCGACCTCATCTCCAGGACAGTGGGAAGAGTGGCTGGAGGAATTCAGTTTCTTGGGGGTAAGTGACTTGCTGAGCTTGAGTTGTTTACTGGAATCCCAAAGCAGTATTAAAAGTTATGTTTCAGTTGTCTACTGAGATTATTATAAATGACACCTGGAATGCATAAGAGAAATAGATTTGGAATGGCTTTGATGATAGGTTGCCAAAGTCAAGATTATTGTCAGAATTGCTGCTTTACAACTTCAAGAGTTCTTAATTTCTGTACATATACATCACTGGCCTGCTAAGTGCCACCTATGTGAAACAGTAACATCTAGGTTGTTTGAGGTGTAGTAGGGGCGACAGTTTGGATTTTATAGCTTCTTGTTCGTTATGTTAAACAATAGACAATTAGATTATCTTTGTCTTCATGGAATCCTCGGGTCTTTAAAGGTAAAGATTTCACAGAAAAGTGGAAAAGGTTTTTGATTCAACATTGTTATCATGAACCTCTAATACACTTTGGTGGATGCAAAATTTACTCTTGCCCAATCTTAAACTCTATTTCTAAATAAATGTTAACTATTTTAAATGAGAGATCAGTTTTATATAACAACTATGAACTTAACTATTCTACAGAGATAGCTATCCACTTAATTACCTTGTTAGGTCTTAACTTTCCTGGGTGCTCTTGCTGTGGAAAAAAAGAAAAGGGATATTTAGCAAATGATGTGTGCTTGTCCCAGATGGACTGGATAGTTTCACTAACGCCAGAAAAGGTTTGATTTTTACTTGGATTCCCTCCAGCAAGTATTGCTTCAATATCTTTGGTCATATGGTTTTAATTGTACTTTATGTATTTTCCACTGTGCTTTTCACCTCCATTCTTCAACCTGACTGGCTGAACTTGTCTGATTTACAGTCCACCCTGGTGAAATATGACAACCTCCATAGATAGTGCAGAGTGAAGGGAAATAGGAAGCCTGGAAAACTTATACAATGTATTTGGAACTTCATTACAAAGTAAAGGTCTGTTACTCCCTCATTTGGTGTTTTCTTACAGTCTTTTGTGAAGAATCCAGAAGAAGAAAAATGAATTAAAAATGAGTAGTTGTGAGACAGTCTCCCCATATTAGAGAACCCCAATGGATTATTTCAGAGTATTTAATATAAAACTTTCAAGTAACATTTTCAGTAAAGTTTAATTCTTGTGCTGAAAATGCAAGTGGCAAAGTTTTGTGTTTTGAAATGAGATAGAAAGTTTTGTTTTAAAGTGAGATAGAATTGTCCATTCTTTCCTTACTGATGTAACTTTGTTCTCATTTGGGTTTTTTCCCATTGGGTTTGCACCTTAGTCCCTCCCGGGAGGCAGTGTGGGGGACCTACCTGTCATCTCTTTACAGCTTCAATGTTTAACACTGACAAAAGTCTTGCATGTGATATGTATATTTACACAGGTATGTACTTAAAACTATTAGGAAACCTAAAGAAGTTGTCATTGAAAGTGGAAATGTAAATTCAGAGTTTGAAAACTTACAAATTTTAAGAATAGATTTTAAGAATAGAATTAATGCCAAGAGTATTTAAAATTTTTTTCTGTAAGAATAAAGTTGGTCTGCTGTTTGTGTTTCACTTGGCTCAGGAAAAATGCTTAAGCAGTTTCATTTTCTCCTCTTATGGTAAATATTGCTTTCCATTTTTCCTTCATTTTAGGGCAGGGCCTGCTATTATTTCTGGCAGAACAGGAAAATGCTTACAAAGAGAAATCAGTTTTTATTGATTATCTTTAAACGTGTAATGAAGGAAGGCAACAGGAAGTGAATCTGAGACCCATGAGATTTATGGTTCCTTCCCTAAGCTATGTATAGATTTTTTTTGAATTATATAGAGCTAAATGTTCTACTTTACAGAATACCCAAGGGGACAGACAATTGGGGAAATTATATATATTTTTAAAGAACCATGTTTTTTTCTTTGTGAGTACTTTTCATGAACTCTGGCTTGGTAAGAGTTACTGACATTAAGCTAAGAGTATAGTTTGTTAGTAGCAGCTGGCCGGGTGCGGTGGCTCACGCCTGCAATCCCAGCACTTTGGGAGGCCAAGGCAGGTGGATCACGAGGTCAGGAGATCGAGACCATCCTGGCTAACACGGTGAAACCCGGTCTCCACTAAAAAATACAAAAAAATTAGCCAGGCGTGGTGGTGGGCGCCTGTAGTCCCTGCTACTTCGGAGGCTGAGGCAGGAGAATGGCGTGAACCCAGGAGGTGGAGCTTGCAGTGAGCTGAGATTGGGCCACTACACTCCAGCCTGGGCGACAGAGCAAGACTCTGTCTCAAAATAAATAAATAAAATAAATAAAGATAAATAAAATTTGTTAGTAGCAGCTGATATTCTCTAATTTCTCAAAAATATTTCTCATACTGGCAAAAATAATTCTGGATGTAAAATCTAAGAGGGTTTTACAGAATCTCACCTCTCGAGGGCACAAGTAAACATACCCATTACCAAAGATAACAGTAAATTTAGAATTAAAAAATAACTTGAAATATGGAAAAAGTTTTAAAGAATCTGCTGTTTATCACTGTTACTTAATGGAGACCAGATGACCAAAAAAAAAAAAGTTTCAAAAAGAATTCCCTAGGTAGCTTGTTCATTTCATAATTGTTTGGGTTTTTATTCACAAAAACTTATGCAGTAAGTAATTTTATTTCAATAAATTTTTCCTATGATGAGTTGGGTTTCATAAAGACTCGGCAGAATGCCAAACCAGTGAGTTCTATGAATCTCATAGACTGCCATGCTTCAGAAATGTAATCAACATACAGGGAACTTTGCTATGAGGCAGATTCTCCTGCTAAAAATGATATGCCCAGGAGGGTTATGTTTAGCTAAAGTTAGGCTGCTCCAAAAACAACAGGAAACAGGAGAATGGCAAAATACAGAGGCATCCTGCTTAACCCCGCCTGCTGTGTCTAGAGTTTGTACATATGGTATAACATCAGGCAGTAAAACCCCTGCAGTACTTTGGAACAAGTTAAAGGACAAATTGTCAAACTTAATTCTGAATCTTCTTGCTATGGTTGGTTAGAGGTTAAAATGTCAGCTGTCAACTGATAGAGCAATGTAAAATGGGGCTGCCATACATGGATATTTTCTACCTATAGTAGGAATACCTCAAGGAGTCAGTGACTATCACTTTTCCTGTGGTAATCTGTACAGAAACTTTAATTGCCACCATCTCCATTTCATATTATAAGGTATGTTTATGTCTAACTTTAAAGAACCAGTGTGGGTTGAGTTACCCTCAACTGAGTTTTTAAAAGGCATGTAGAAAGGCTGTGGGGAAATACAATGTAAAATAAAAATGTTAACATGTATATAGTGTGGTAAGGATGCTAGGAGAAAATAGAGGCTTTAATGTTTTTGATTGGTGAATATAAAATTGTGTGCTTTCAAATACCGTTTTAGTCATTAAGGACTTTAACAGAATTTTAAAAAATTAATATCAAACTTTTTGGTGCACGTATTAGTAAGATTTACATGCCCTGCAAATGATACACGTAAGAATGTTGTAAAGACATATTAAGCGTATTTGTTAAGTTCTGTCAGGTGGTGCTTGCAAATGTCAGAATCTGAATGTGTACATTTCATCTTAAGAAACTGCTGGTGCAGTAATGAGGAAGTACCAAAGAGAGTCCCATATTTATATTATTCCATGTTTAGTTTGATCGTTAGTCATATATACATATGAAATGCGTGTGGAATGCTAATCAGCAGTAAACCATTACCTTTCCTGCTTAGACACTGTTCTGTTCTAAGAAGCCGGAGATCATCTCAACTAATAGACAGTTAAGTGCTGCTGAAGACAGTAATGATGTCAGAATGTTTCTTTGAGCATCCCTTGCTCTATGTTATGAAAGCGTCATTGCCTTTTCAGAGTCTCCTTACTGTAGAGTTCCACCTGGGCCTGTCTTTCATGACTTGAGGGAGACTGCTTGGGACTCTTGTTCCCTTGCTTTACTGTAAACCTGACCTGTCATATGATATGCCACGTTATGCTTTTCTTTATATCCAAGCTCTCTGCCAAGTGACAGCTGAGTAATAAGCTAAATAATGAGTGTTGGCATATTAATGGGCATAGTGGCTTTCTGTGACAGTGTCTTAACTGAAAACAGTTGCTCTAATTTAAAGAAATGTAGAGACTTCTTCTTAGGTCACTTGGGGAAGCAGGCAGGGCTCTTTTTTTTTTTTTAAATTATGCCTTATAGATTACTATAATAACTACTCTTGTTTTATTTGGCTCACTCTAACCTATGATAGAAGGTCCAGGTGAGTTGTCTTGAGTTTTTAGCCAGCAGTTTTTAAACTCTAGTATGCATCAGAATCACCTGTGGGACCTTTTAAAACACGGATTGCAGAATTTCTGTCAGTAGATTTGGTGGAGTACCTGATAGTTTGCACGTCTAACATGTTTTCAGGTGATGCTGCTGCTGCTGGTTCAGAGATGACACCTTGAAAACCATGTTCTGAGTTAACCATTTCCTATTTAAGAAGATGAGACTTCTGGTAGATGGCTTACTTTCAGAACTGAGTTAAAGTGTAGTTGTGTCATAATCTGCTATAAACCTCTCTAAAATTGAGCTATAAAGGGGGTCTGCTGCTGTAGTTTGGTATTGATTTAGCACATTCTTGTTCCATTTCTCTTAGTTCTTGTCACAACAAATTGTCTGCAGTTCTCTCTCAGTGCATATTATATATAGATACATACATATATATGTTATAATATATGAATTATATATAACATTTCCTTTTATTTATCATTTTTTATACCAGACACAAGATTTTGGATATGAAGTATTCAAAATAAGACCTTAATACAACTTCTGAAGTTTGCATGCAGTGGATTTTCAGTAAGAAATTGTTAATTGAAAGATAGGAAGACCGTACTATAGATCACAGGGATGGTCCTGGACGTCCCTTGGCCAACTCTGTACAGTCATGTACATCTTGGAAACATAGAATGATTAGGCCAGAAGGGCACACTAGGAGCCAGTCCTTCTGAATTTCTCCTGCAAGGTAGAATGGCACTTAAATCAGCTTTGACTAATGAAAAGATCTCCTGGTCTTCAGCACCTTTGGGGAAGAAGATGAGAAACTCTTGCTCAGTGGTCATACTTTTTAGGGCCACAGACCATGCCTTTCATCACAACCACGAACACTGATAATATAAAGGAGCAAGCTTCAGATGGAGGCCTACATGGTGAAACAGTGGGAGTGGGGCTTTGCCAGCCAGGAAGGAATGAAAGGGAGATGCATGCTGGGCGCGGTGGCTCACACCCATAATCCCAGCACTTTGGGAGGCCAAGGCAGGCCGATCACCTGAGGCCAGGAGCTCGAGACCAGCCTGCCCAACATGACAAAACCCTGGCTCCACTAAAAATACGAAAATTAGTCAGATGTGGTGGCGTGTGCCTGTAGTTCCAGCTAATCTGGAGGCTGAGGCATGAGAATCGCTTGAACCCAGGAGGCTGAGATTGCAGTGAGCCGAGATTGTGCCACTGCAGCCTGGGTGACAGAGCAAGACTCTGTCTCAAAAAAAAGGAAAGAAAGGAAGATACACTACAGGCGGCTGACAGTGAGCACCAGTGAGAGCATGCACTCTAAGCTCAGGATTTATTAAAAGCAAGGATGTTGAGGAATTAATAAATCTTTTATAATATAGAGAACACAAAATTTTATATGTTTGTATCTAATAATGTTTTTATTTTTATTTATTTATTTATTTATTTTATTATACTTTAAGTTTTAGGGTACATGTGCACAACGTGCAGGTTTGTTACCTATGTATACATGTGCCATGTTGGTGTGCTGCACCCATTAACTCGTCATTTAACATTAGGTATATCTCCTAATGCTATCCCTCCTCCCTCCACCCACCCCACAATAGGCCCCGGTATGTGATGTTCCCCTTCCTGTGTCCGTGTGTTCTCATTGTTCAATTCCCACCTATGAGTGAGAACATGCGGTGTTTGGTTTTTTGTCCTTGCGATCGTTTGCTGAGAATGATGGTTTCCAGCTTCATCCATGTCCCTACAAAGGACAGGAACTCATCATTTTTTATGGCTGCATAGTATTCCATGGTGTATATGTGCCACATTTTCTTAATCCAGTCTATCATTGTTGGACATTTGGGTTGGTTCCAAGTCTTTGCTTTTGTGAATAGTGCTGTGATAAACATATGTGTGCATGTGTCTTTATAGCAGCATGTTTTATAATCCTTTGGGTATATACCCAGTAATGGGATGGCTGGGTCAAATGGTATTTCTAGTTCTAGATCCCTGAGGAATCGCCACACCGACGTCCACAATGGTTGAACTAGTTTACAGTCCCACCAACAGTGTAAAACTGTTCCTATTTCTCCACATCCTCTCCAGCACCTGTTGTTTCCTGACTTTTTAATGATTGCCATTCTAACTGGTATGAGATGATATCTCATTGTGGTTTTGATTTGCATTTCTCTGATGGCCAGTGATGGTGAGCATTTTTCCTTGTGTTTTTTGGCTGCATAAATGTCTTCTTTTGAGAAGTGTCTGTTCATGTCCTTCGCCCACTTTTTGATGGGGTTGTGTGGTTTTTTCTTGTAAATTTGTTTGAGTTCACTGTAGATTCTGGATATTAGCCCTTTGTCAGATGAGTAGGTTGCGAAAATTTTCTCCCATTTTGTAGATTGCCTGTTCACTCTGATGGTAGTTTCTTTGGCTGTGCAGAAGTTCTTTAGTTTAATTAGATCCCGTTTGTCAATTTTGGCTTTTGTTGCCATTGCTTTTGGTGTTTTAGACATGAAGTCCTTGCCCATGCCTATGTCCTGAATGGTAATGCCTAAGTTTTCTTCTAGGGTTTTTATGGTTTTAGGTCTAACGTTTAAGTCTTTAATCCATCTTGAATTGATTTTTGTATAAGGTGTAAGGAAGGGATCCAGTTTCAGCTTTTTACATATGGCTAGCCAGTCTTCCTAGCACCATTTATTAAATAGCGAATCCTTTCCCCATTTCTCATTTTTGTCAGGTTTGTCAAAGATCAGATAGTTGTAGATATGCGGCGTTATTTCTGAGGGCTCTGTTCTGTTCCATTGATCTATATCTCTGTTTTGGTACCAGTACCATGCTGTTTTGGTTACTGTAGCCTTGTAGTATAGTTTGAAGTCAGGTAGTGTGATGCCTCCAGCTTTGTTCTTTTGGCTTGGGATTGACTTGGCAATGTGGGCTCTTTTTTTGGTTCCATATGAACTTTAAAGTAGTTTTTTCCAATTCTGTGAAGAAAGTCATTGGTAGCTTGATGGGGATGGCATTGAATCTATAAATTACCTTGGGCAGTATGGCCATTTTCACGATATTGATTCTTCCTACCCATGAGCATGGAATGTTCTTCCATTTGTTTGTATCCTCTTTTATTTCATTGAGCAGTGGTTTGTAGTTCTCCTTGAAGAGGTCCTTCACGTCCCTTGTGAGTTGGATTCCTAGGTATTTTATTCTCTTTGAAGCAATTGTGAATGGGAGTTCACTCATGATTTGGCTCTCTGTTATTGGTGTATAAGAATGCTTGTGATTTTTGCACATTGATTTTGTATCCTGACACTTTGCTGAAGTTGCCTATCAGCTTAAGGAGATTTTGGGCTGAGACAATGGGCTTTTCTAGATATACAATCATATCATCTGCAAACAGGGACAATTTGACTTCCTCTTTTCCTAATTGAATACCCTTTATTTCCTTCTCCTGCCTGATTGTCCTGGCCAGAACTTCCAACACTATGTTGATTAGGAGTGGTAAGAGAGGGCATCCCTGTCTTGTGCCAGTTTTCAAAGGGAATGCTTCCAGTTTTTGCCCATTCAGTATGATATAGGCTGTGGGTTTGTCATAGATAGCTCTTATTATTTTGAGATACGTCCATCAATACCTAATTTATTGAGAGTTTTTAGCATGAAGGGTTGTTGAATTTTTTCAAAGGCCTTTCCTGCATCTATGGAGATAATCATACGGTTTTTGTCTTTGGTTCTGTTTATATGCTGGATTACGTTTATTGATTTGCATATGTTGAACCAGCCTTGCATCCCAGGGATGAAGCCCACTTGATCATGGTGGATAAGCTTTTTGATGTGCTGCTGGATTCAGCTTGCCAGTATTTTGTTGAGGAATTTTGCATCTATGTTCATCAGGGATATTGGTCTAAAATTCTCTTTTTTTGTCGTGTCTCTGCCAGGCTTTGATATCAGGATGATGCTGGCCTCATAAAATGAGTTAGGGAGGATTCCCTCTTTTTCTATTGATTGGAATAGTTTCAGAAGGAATGGTACCAGCTCCTCCTTGTACCTCTGGTAGAATTCGGCTGTGCATCCATCTGGTCCTGGACTTTTTTTGGTTGGTAAGCTATTAATTATTGCCTCAATTTCAGAGCCTGTTATTGGTCTATTCAGGGATTCAACTTCTTCCTGGTTTCATCTTGGGAGGGTGTATGTGTTGAGGAATTTATCCATTTCTTCTAGATTTTCTAGTTTATTTGTGTGGAGGTGTTTACAGTATTCTCTGATGGTAGTTTGTATTTCTGTGGGATCGGTGGTGATATCTAATAATGTTTTTAAATGATGTTTCCAAATTGTCATGGTCACCAGTTTAGTTTTTTACATACTTTTTTTTTCTAAAAAGCTTGTTTTCTAAGCCTTAACGTGGGAAAGATTTTTATTGTTTTGATGCTTTCCTGTGAAGTTTCTAAGTTCTCCATATCAGGATTCAATGGAATATTCTTTTTTTTTTTTTGAGACGGAGTTTTGCTTTTGTCGTCCAGGCTGGAGTGCAATGGTGTGATCTCGGCTCACTGCAAACTCTGCCTCGTAGGTTCAAGCGATTCTCCCGCCTTGGCCTCCTTAGTAACTGGGATTACAGGCGCCTGCCATCATGCCTGGCTAATTTTTGTATTTTTAGTAGAGACGGTGTTTCACCTTGTTGGCCAGGCTGGTCTTGAACTCCTGACTTTAGGTAATCCACCCGCCTCAGTCTCCCAAAGTGCTGGGATGACAGGTGTCAGCCACTGCACCCAACCTCAATACAATATTCTTTTAGCTTTCTAGTAGGCTTAAAAATCACCAGAGAGCTTATTCCATGTAAACAGTCCAAGGCCTAGCCCCAGAGAGACTGCTGGGAAGGTCTGGGTGGGGCCCAGGGAGCACTTTGAACAAACTCCCCACGTGTTCTAGACACAGATGGTCCACAGACCATATTTGGAGAAATACAAACCAATTTTATTTGCCTAAAACCTCATATTGTACTAGTATTGGCATGTAGACTTACACCACTGTTAAGCTTAGAGTGAATCATTGTTACCTCTGCAGTGGTCATTTTGGGGGTGATGTGATTTGAGCTGCAGAACATCAGAACTGGTGTAGGAACAGATGCATTTATTGTTGGTTTTGCTTTTATATTGCTTGCTGACCTTAGGTGATGGTTAGCCTTGTATATACACTCATAAAAAAGAATGAAATATTTTCCATGCTATACTTAGATGAGGACCATATTTTGATGTATGACTCCAGCTACAAATTGCAAACCCCACCATCATTCCCAATGCTGTGTTTTTCCTCCTTCGTCCTGCAACAATGTGATGTTGCTGCTACATGTTCTGGTAGAGTAGGCTCAGATCTAGTTTCTTTTTTGCCAAATTTATCAGTTTTTCCCCGTTTTGAGTTACTATTTTTTACTTTTTAACTTTGTATTTTTGAAGTAAAAATAATAATCATAGTAAGTCTTAAAATAGTGGGATATAGAGTTTTCCATTATACTTGGACTTATTAGCAGCTATGCAACACTTTTTCGCTAGAATTATTTATTTTTGACCTGGTTCAGTTCTCCATTTACTTTAGGCAGAGTAGAGTCTTTCTAAGAGAGTTGTTTGATTTTTAACTTACTTCCCTTAGTTTCACCAGCAAACACAGCCGTAGCCAGATACCCCTGAGGCCATGGTCAGTATGGATTAGTTAACCTCACTAACAGACTGAAATGCAAATTGTTGACCTATCTTGTGAAAACAAATTGTTAGTCACAAAGGAAACCAACTGAGGAATGTAAATTCATAAACATTTCCATAGAAAGAACTCAAAAACCACACTCAAGAGATCTTTACATCATTCTGTGTATCATATCATACTTACATATCAATGATACTTACATGATTCAATGTAAATATCGTGAGATGCATACAATTTGCACTCCACACAAAGTCATCACTGTTACACACTCTGTATTTGAACTCTCCAGGTTGGCAAGGGTGTCTTATTGTGGGTGTTGGTTATAATCAGAAAGAATAAAAGCAGCAACTCAAAACTTTTATTCTTGGATGTCACAAGAATTGATCTTGTTGCTCCCTTGAAGCATCAGCCTTAAGTGAGTTCTGAGGAACATTAATTCCTGGGTGTACCAATAGGTGCTACCAGGAAAAAGAAAAACAAGTTTTAGGGACAAGTATGTTTGAGAAGCACTTGGTTTTGGAAAGTTAATAGATTCATTGCGGCAGAACTTCACAGAGCTTTTGGTGTGTTGATGCATATTGCCAATCTCCCAGATAAAATGGGGAGGAATATAGGATTCAATATTTTCCTAATTTATTTGGGTCCTGCACCCTGAAGGGACCCTTGATCTGTAGAACTTATTCAGTTTTCATTTCACCTCAGTGAAGCAGGTGATTAATTTTTTTTTAACAGCTGAGAACACTGAATTTTAGAGCATGAAAACCAAAGTTATCCCATTAGTTACTGATTAGGCTATGAATACTATCACCATAATATTAAAAGTGTTGATTAAACTTCTACTTTATATTATATTTAGAAATCAGAATTTTTGTTCACCATGAATAAGTCTCAACATAAGGGAATATTCTTATTGTCTCTTTGGCCCTCAGTTTATGCTTCTGGTATGATAGAAATATTGGTAATATGATATAGTAACTTTTTGCCAATATTCAAAAATTGTATTACATGTTAATATTAATAATGTAATATGTAATAGAGAGGCCATTTGGGGAGAATGCCAAAATATCTGACCAAAGCAAGCATACTGTCTTTTAAAAATTATTTAACAGACGATCGTGTGCTGGCTAAATTTTCTAGTGTAGACACCCATTGTTGGAAGCCTTTGTAATAATCCTTTATTAAGGTTAATGATAATATTAATTCCAAAGGACATATTTCTTAAATAACAAAACCAAAGGCTTTGTGTCTGTCTTTAAAAATGAAGGATAATGTCCTACTTTATCAATCTGGATCAATAAAATGTAGAAACAAATGGAAATTTTAGCTATATCATAATAAAAAAAAGTCCAGGAATTTCTCAGAGATTTTTAAATGGTCATTTTTAGAGGTTCGTCGGGTTGGATACAACATTGCTCAGTTCTGGTCATTAATATTGGTTAAGTTATTATTGGGGATCTAGTTTTTAAAAAATTTTCTTTATCTGGGCTGGGTGCGGTGACTCACATCTGTAATTAATCCCAGCACTTTGGGAGGCCGAGGTGGGCAGATCGTGAGGTCAGGAGTTCGAGACCAGCCTGACCAACATGGTGAAACCCCATCTTTACTAAAAATACAAAAATTAGCCAGGTGTGGTGGCATGCGCCTGTAATCTCGGCTACTCAGGAGGCTGAGGCAGGAGAATCGCTTAAACCCGGGAGGCAGAGGCTGCAGTGAACCGAGGTGGCGCCACTGCACTCCACCCTGGGCAAGACTCTATCTCAAAAAAATAAAAAAAAATTTATCTGGTAGATGTCATTCCAGTTAGTGATTTGCTGTTAGAATTCATGAAATTGAAATTGTAAGCTCCAGAGCTGACCTGCTTATCACTTCAGTAAATAATTACCCTCCATGGGTCTCAGATTTTTAATAATCAAATAGCACCATGTATCTTGATGTACAAAGCATGTATAAAAATATTGTTGGATAAAAAAGAAAGTTTCATTTTATGGTTCTCTGTTTTTCTTATCTCTTCAAATAGGGTAGGAACGATGACTTATATTTTTATTCTAATGCTGCAGTGACTAGAATAGTAAATGACACTTTATATATCCAATTAATACTTGATGTATTCTTTAGATTTAATTATTTATTAGCAACACTTCTATCTACAAGATGTGACCTTATTCTTCTGTACCTCATGGGAATATTTCAAAGATAAAAGGAAGTAATGCTACCAATGTGAAGATATTTAAGCAATGTCCCCTTAGAACTGAGGTTCCTGCATAATGTTAGTTCTTTGGAAAAAGTATTTAGTCGTCATGCATGTTGAAACGATGGTGTGTCATACTACAGTTCCCTCTTCAAGCACATTTTAAAAGCTCTGAATAATTCTGCAATAAACAAACCAGCTTAAGTTTATTTAACACTTTGTTTCACAAACTTATTTGGGAATGGCAGGGCCCTATTTACTTGTAATATGCATTAACATCTCTTTGAATTAATGGTCAACAGAACAAACTTTGGGAAATACCAAGTTCAAGTATGTTGTAAATCCAGGGGATTGGTGGTTAAGGGCATTTACTTATCGAGTGCCCACTGTATGTCAAATAATGTGCTACGTGTTGGGATAAAAATTGGGTTCCTGCTGTTGCTGAGCTCACAGTCTTATAGAGGAAACCAACATGCAAGGTATAATTACAGTCCAAGGACTCATGATATGTAGCACACACACTTCTGTGTTTTGCTCAGACGGTGATCAGCTGGTGAGGCTCACTCGGCAGCCACGTGAGGGGCTCAGCAGCCTCACACACTGTGTGCCACTCATTTTCCATCCCGACCTTTCCCTGCTTGGCTGTAAATCACAAGGACTACGTTTCCTGGAAGACTTAGCATCTGGCATCTGGATATCCAGCCAGTGGGAGGCACTTTTAGAAGACAGAAGGAGACTGGGAGAATCCAGGTTATTTCTCCTTCTCTTGCTTTTCCTTGTGCAGTTTCGTGGGCATGGTTCCTCCTCCTAGAAAGCCCTGCCCTTCATGATCCCAGCTCTCATCAGAAAATCACAACATGATCCTACCCTAGTCAGGAAGCCCAGTCCTCTCATCACTAGTAATGCCATCTTCTGTCAATATCACTCCTATCTAATGGACAGCAATAGTTTTCTGTTGATGCTACTTTCTGGGTTGCCTCTTTAGCTCCTGTTTGGCCTTTTAGCTCTTCGTCATCTGTAGAACCAATTTCTTGTACAAAATTCTCTGTGTTTGAAATATCTAGGATGGTTTCGGCTTCCCTGGATGGATCCTGGGTGAAACACAATACATAATTCAAATTCATACTGCTGCCAAGGCAGTATGGAGGATTGTGTCTTGCTATGAACTTATAGGATTTTTGGTGACTAGACCAAAATCACAGATGTTTAATCTAGGAATGTCCAGGGTCCACTAGAGTATGAACAAAATGCTGCAGGTGTGCAGGGCAGGAGTGACATTGTGACTGGCAAGGCGTCACAGCAGAGGTGCTAGTTGACCTGGGTCTGGTGAGCAGACAGCCTCCTCAGCCTTCAGACAGGGGAACATCAAGTCCTCAAAGCCAAGGAATTGTAAAGAGATCTGATGGGAGTTCAGGGAATGGTAATAGATTTACTACAAGGTATGAGGTGAGAGTGATGTGATAGGGACTAACGTGGAGAGGACAGATGGAGTCAGGTTATGAAGGCCCTGATTTATGTTCCAAGCTGAGGATTCTTTTTTTTTTTTGAGACGGAGTTTCACTCTTATTGCCCAGGCTGGAGTGAGGTGATGCAATCTCGGCTCACTGCAACCTCTGCCACCTGGGTTAAAGCAATTCTCCTGCTGCAGCCTCCTGAGTAGCTGGGATTACAGGCGCATGCCACCATGCCTAGCTAATTTTTGTATTTTTAGGAGAGACAGGGTTTCACTATGCTGGTCAGGCTGGTCTTGAACTCCTGACCTCAGGCGATCTACCCACCTCGGCCTCCCAAAGTGCTAGGATTACAGGCGTGAGCCACCGTGCCTGGCCCCAAGCTGAGGATTATGTACTTAACTAAATTGAAGCTTTTCAGTGGCTATGGGTGCACCTGACTTAGGAACTATATAGTCTAGTAGCAGTGAGGATTGGCTTGGGGAACACCAAAAGCAGGAAAGGCAGTTACAGGCCTGTTATAGCAATGTTGGCCAGCGATGGTGAGAATCTCAGTGAAGCTGTGGGAATAGAAAGAAAAGGATTTTGAAGAATTTTCTGAAGTAGAGTCAAGACCTGCTGTCACAATGAATATTTTTAGATGAATAGATGAATGAATGAATATCTCAGTAATTTTATATCTCTGTTTATATAAGTAGCCAGCATTTTCTTTTTTTCTTTCTAGTTCCTCAAAAGTTAATGAAAAGGGGGAAAGAAAATACAATAAATTACAACTGTTTTGGCTTTCAGTGGGTTATTTTTTAAAGTAGTAAATATTGTCGTTACCATGGTATGTAGATGTGGTTTATCATACAGTGTTACAATGTGCATATCTCTGATTTTAGAATCATTTGCATATTGGTCTGCATGTAAGCATGTGTTACTAACTGTCCAGCACACCTGGGGGCTTAAAAGGGGAATACTGATGACAACTAAAGCAGCTGACAGTGTCACTGAACTTCACTGCTTCACACAAAAAGACACTCTTTTTTTCTTCCTAAAAATGCAGGAAATGCTGTGTATGTGTATATATATATATATACACACAATAATTAGATGTAAGAGTGATTTTATACATCTCATTTTCATAAACAATTTGGCGTTTTCTTTTTTTCCCTCCATGTTTTAATGAATCTATTCTTATTTTATTAGTCTAGAGATCTGATGGGAGTTCAGGGAATGGAAACAGATTTACCACAAGGTATGGGGTGAGGGTGCCCCATATATTTTTTTGAGAAAAATCTAGTAGATTTTAATCATAGCTAAAGTTAAAATGTCCTAAATTTTATTAGGTTAAGCATCCTGCAATAACCATTAATGGCTTCCTTTTTGCCCAAGAAGGATGTCTCATAACACGTGATACATAATACTATGAAAAGAAAAACTTTTGACAAATTGAATTGAATAGCTTATTTGAGCAAAGAATGATTCTCTAATCAGGCAGCCCTCAGAACCAAAGGAGGCTAAGAGAGTCCCATTGGGCAAACAGGTGGGCAGGGAGCATTCATAGACAGAAACGGAAGTGAGGTACAGAAACAGCTTGATCAATAATTTGATATTTTAAATTATACTTATATTTTACTTATAAAGAAATAAATGAATGTTATTTATCAACCTGTTTACCATTGAAAATTGCTGTCAGTCACCTGTAGTAAATTGATCTTTTAGTCTGGAGACCTAATAGATTGCTTTCACAGCTTATGTTATTTGTGTTACAGCTACGTATTAGAGTAAAGCAAATAAACTAGCTATCCCTTGATTGTTGTCTATGAGTTAATGCTCATGGTATGTCCCAAGAGCCAATTGCATTGAAGGCCGTGACACACAAAACGTACTCTTGTCAATCTAGTGTAATTTATAGTTCTCATATATTTGCCATATCACATTTTTGGGAAAAGCAATGTGCCTGCAAGCTGTAAATGTTATGATTCTGTGATAAAATATAATCCTCATTTGATATTGTGCTCCTTAGCAAGACTCACTATGTATGAGGCATGGATTTCCTAGTTGTTTCTGTGTATTCCCTCAAGCTCTAGAAGTTGAATTAAAGCACATGCCTCTAATGCCATCTTATGATGAGATTATCCTGTTTGCCCTCTCAGTAATCTACTAATGCACCTTCCATATGGGTGTATTGGGGTGCTGTGGGGTGCAATTGGGCACACACATAAAGCAGTGGACTCCTTACAGGACTATGTCATTTCAACATGTGTGTGGCTAGAAAGTGGGAATCTAGGTACATGGTCAGAGTCACCATAGACTTCTCGTTCTTGGCAAGATTTGGCTCCCCATAACAATCCAAGCTCCCTGTATTATTTCTTCTTCCTGGCTGTGTGTGCACAGTTGTCTTGGGTAAAAGTATGAGGTTTTCCATGTTCTCTTCATGTCTAGAAGGGAACTACAATGGAGTCATTATTTTCTGCAGTTTGGTATATGTTGGAATGTTGTTTTTGTTGTTTTGCCCTTCTTACTTGGGTTTGCATTACCCAATCTAAAGGGAAAATTATAATCCTAGACATTAAGCCTGTTCCTTTATAGACTCTATAGTCAGGTCTACGTAAGAATATTACTACCATAAAATTACTCCAAAGAAGAATATTAACTCTAGTCTTAAAGGAAGTTACCCTGGTACACACTAGATATAAAAACATAAAGAAAAAAATTAATGGTTTTTTTTTTTTTTTTTTTGAGACAGAGTTTCACTGTTGTTGCCCAGGCTGGAGTGCAATGGCGCTCTCAGCTCACCGCAACTTCCGCCTCCCAGGTTCAAGTGATTCTCCTGCCTCAGCCTCCTGAGTAGCTGGGATTACAGGCATGTGCCACCACGCCCAGCTAATTTTTGTATTTTTGGTAGAGACGGGGTTTCTCCATGTTCATCAGGCCACCTCAGGTGATCTGCCTGCCTCAGCCTCCCAAAGTGCTGGGATTACAGGTGTGAGCCACCGTGCCCGGCCATTGGTTCTTTGTTTTTATTCACTTATTCAACAAATGTATTTTAGGTGTCAGGCTCTGCTCTAGGCCTTGGAGATACATTGCTGCTCAGAAAAGTCTGGATCTTGCCTACTAATAATCTAAATCTAGCAAGAGAGACAAACATTAATCAAATTCTCCCCAAAATGAAAGTAAAATTACAGACATGATAAACATTAGAAAGAGAAAATATGTCACAGGCAGGCATGACCTAGAAGGGTGCCAAGGAAGACATTCCTAAGGAAGTCAGGCTGGAGTCGAGGCCTGACACGGAGGAGGAGGGGAGGGAGCCTCTCAGAGAGGGAACAGCAGGGACAAGACGAGGCGCTTGGGTGTGAGGGAGCAAGTTGCCTTCGAGGCACACTAGACCGGAGGACACGAGGGAGGATGGGTCAGGTGAAGCTGGAGAGGGAGGCAGTGGCCAGAAGGACTTGCATTGAGGATTTGTTCAGGATATTGATGAGATTAAAAGCCAATGAAGAGGTGAAGAGGTATGAACCAGGAGTTGCTGTTTATCCCTATACTTGCTTGCATGAGAAATTTGTTCATTTAGGCAAACCGTGGAAGAGTTAACTTGAAGGTTTGTTGGCTGGAAGGCACCTGGATTCTTTCACTTATGCTAGTCCTTGTGAGGTAGAGGTAACCATTATTGTAATTTGGAAAGAGAAAATGTCATTCTGGAATTTCTCTACATATTATTTGAATGTGTAAGTTAACACTGGTGTCTAGGTATTTGATTGGGAGGTACAACTGTTAGAGTTTTGCACCCAGCCGTATGTGGTAGCTCACACCTGTAATCCTACCACTTTGGAAGGCTGAGGCCAGTGAATTGCTTGAGCCCAGGAGTTCAAGACCAGCCTGGGCAACATGGCAAAACCCTGTTTCTACAAAAAATACATAAAAATTATCCAGGCATGGTGGCATGTGCCTGTGATCCCAGCTACTCAGGGGGCTGAGGGGGGAGGATCACTTGAGCCTGGGAGGCAGAGGTTGCAGTGAGCTGAGATTGTGCACTGCACTCCAGCCTGGGTGACAGAGCAGGACCCTGTCTTAAAAAAAAAAAAAAAAAAAAAAGAATTTGGCATCCTGTACATTTTCTTCATAAAATATTGTATGCTTGTGATAACTTAATTTTTGCAATTAGGTGTATAATATCTTTCTTCTCTGATTGTAACTCCCCAAGGTCAGAGGTCTGTTTTAATCACCGCACTATTTCCAGAGCCTACCAAAGTGCCTGACAGAGAATGCAATAATAGTTTGCTCTCCACCTGAGACTTAATATAATATGGCCTCCTTGAAAAGCTGTTGTATATATACTTTTAACCCAGTTCAATTTTGCAGCTTTTGATCCAATTTCTACTTTGCAGAATGGCAGATGCTAGGCCTTGTGTTGAATAATGACTTAAATATGACGATGTCTGTCTTCAGGAGGCTCAAAATCTGGTGTGTGGAATTGTACAGATGAATGATGCAGCTGCTAAGATGATTGCTGTTTGGTTGATATCCTCAAGATCCTGTAAGATACACATATTGGGTAAGCTATGGAACAAGGTCATCGTCTGTCTGTCTTAGCCAAACTCAGCTGCAGACCCTGAATCCTTTCTCCTGAATTTTCAGCATTGCCATTAAAACCACACCCCCACAAAAGGGCCAGGCAAGGGTACGTTCAGATCTCTTGAATATTTTGCTACTGATCAAATTCCTGCATTGTGAAATGCCTTCCCATTGGTTGCGGGTTAGCTGTGGTAGCCACATGATCATTACATTTCCATCCTCTCCCCTGATCCTGCTTTGTAGGATTGGCTCTGCATTGATTTCCTTAATGGCCTTACCCTCCAAATACCCCAGTTTGATAAAAGTCTCACTGGACTACAATTCACATGGTTGGGTCTTGTTACCCTCTTCTTAGCGATTTGCAGAATGAGACCCTGGACTCTGGGACATGTAAGACAGAAAGAGAGCGAGATGAAAGATGGGATGAGAAATGCAGTCGACGTGACTTGGCAACTGATTGTCATGTGAGATTATGCATCAGTAGCAGCTCTCTCTTTTCAAGTCCATGAGCCTCGTAGAATGAGGCCGCTGCTTTTGGAGACTGATGTGTCTACAGGAGGCCTGATTTAGGAAGCAAGGGGATGAGTTGAGTTCTGGACAGCTTTTGGTTCAAGTTCTGCAGGGACTTTAAGGTGGAAGGCCAAATGGACAGTTGGAAACACTGGGCATAGAGCTCATGAGAAAGATCAGGGTAAAATACATAGATTTATGAAAACAGTGTTTTGAAAACCTTCACGTGGGTAGATACTACTTCATTTACTCTTAAAAACACATGGCTTTTGAATTTTGACATTTTCTTTTACATTTGATTGTGCTGGTTGAAAGGCAAGCTCCTAGCTGTGTCTACTTTAATCATAATTTTAAGCCTCCCCTCAGATAGTGCCAGCTGCTTAACAGTTACTACGCTGGTGGACCAGGATGATGGAGAAGTTTGTACTTTATAGGAATAGCACTTTTTTTTGGTTTGTTTTTGGTCTGGAATAGATTGCAATAAAAATCAAAGTAGGAAAACAATTATGATGTTCATTAACAAAAGATACCTTGGGGGAAAGCAGAATCTAGAAGTGACCATGTAGTTAGAAAAAAAAAAAAGAGAGAGAGAGATTGTGAAAGCTGAATATTTTAATTTCTTCTTCTTCTTCTTTTTTTTTTTTTTTGTCTCATGCATAAAGATGGTATTCTATTTTGATCGCCTGGTGGAAGAAAGTCAGTTCGTTTATCTCATCCACCCACTGGTGGCTATCCTGATTATAGCCTCCTGGTAGGAAACATTTAAAATTCAATTTGGCTGTCTGTGCCCTTGGTGCTCAGTAGGTTTCATTAAATTACACAGCGGTGAGCTCTTCTTCCCTGTGTGGCACCTTTTGATGTACATTTGACTTCAGTGTAATTTCAGACAATTGTACTTTGTGTGGAGTGGTTTTACCATAATAATCTTGCAGTCCAGATGAGGCAGATCTGGAACTCTGAATCTGATGGGATTCTAAGATGGTGGAAAATATTGGACCAGGGAAATATTTTCATTTCTCTATACTTTCCTTATTTAGCTTGTTAGGCTTGTAGGGTTTGGCAGATTGTTTCTGTAGCATTACTTACAGCATGGGATTAGAATAACATTTTCCCCCCATGTGGGATGCTTTAGGATTTTACATGCAGTCAGATTCCAGAAAAAACTGTTTCCTCAAGTCTGTAAGTAAAATGAAGTGTTAGTACTTTTTTCTTGTATTAGCAAGTCTTAAAGTACCACCTTTATTCGTGTGTTCACATTACTCTATGGCCATGTGTTGTCGTGCAAAGCAAATGAACAGAGGATCTGGACAGACAGGGTTAAATTCTGCTGTTCATCAGTTTCCTGGTTCTGGACAAGTTACAGACTCTTGGCCTCAGGTCCTTTGTTTACAGGATGTAATAGTAATATTAGGTCCTAATAGTAATATTAACTCTTTGAATTTTTGTGAAGTTTAAAAACATGTAAGTTACCTAATATCAGGCATGATAAAGTAGATTCCCAATAAATGGTCGCTATTACCAACAGTTGGTTACATAAATATTTATTGAATCCTGCTCTGTGCCAGGAAACATTCTAGATATTGGGGGTAACGTAATGAACAGAAGCAGACTAAGAAAGAACAGTAAAGAATTATAAAGAACTGTAAAGGAAGAACTACAAAGAAAGGACTTTGGTTCTATTTTCATCTACTTTTAGTTTTCTATTGCTTTCCCACTGCATTTCCTTAGCTAGCTGATTTTTGGACTTGTAATATTCTTATTAGTAGGTGACTTCTTATTCAGGACGTGGTAAATATACTGTGTTACTAGATATATTTGACCTCCACAGATCATAATTTGAGATGCCATGCAGATATCCTTATGCATGTTCTCAGTGTCTGGACAAGTTTTTTTTTTAACACCTGTCACCACATAATGGGTTTTCTTACTTCTGATGGCATTTTAAATATCATCTGTCCCTTCTGTGAGACCCCATCTTTAATTCCCCATCTCTCTTCCCATATGCTTTCATGTGTTTATAGTCTGATTACTACCTGTTCATAAATTTGTATTTTTATCTCTTTTGCATAACCACTGAGACCAATTAAAAGTACAATTAGTTCTTTAGAGTTCTAAGTCAACTAATGCCAGCTGCTTTTAATATGGCACTTCGTAATATACAATAAATGTTTATATACATTTTCTCATTTAATCTTAAGATTCTGCTGCAGCTTTGTGCTTGAAACTGTGATAGGTACTATGGGAACAAAGAAGTAAATGTACTACAGGGCTGTGACCCTGAGGAGTTTATAAATTCATTGCTTTGGTCAGTAGACTCTTTTCCTCAGAAAGATGCCATTGTTATTCTACCAACAGCAAGCTTCAGTATCATGTTATATTGCTAGATCGTTATTCTATCTTCACAAAATGAAACTTGCCAGTGATATTTGCAGGTGTATGTTGAAGTGATATTTTCTAAGATTAGGGCTCAATTGAGGGGTTTCGGAGCTTTCATTTCTGATCCTCGGGGGAATTGAGCAAAATAAAAAGAAAATAATATCTTTGATGGTTGTATATAATTCTTTAAAAACTGTAACAAGTATATTATTAGAAAAAGATAAAAAAATTTTTGAAATTGATGTCAGAAATGGGACAGAAGAATGTGCTGTAAAACTGAATTAATCTGAAACTAGAAGCTGAATCTGATAGAATGACAAGAAATTTCATTGTCTTGAATTTACTATAAGAGAGTTACTTAATGTAGTATATACCTCTATGTCATGGAAGCATGCTGTTACAAGAGTCATGTCCTGCTGGGTCATGACCTGCTGGGTGACCATTTAAAAAGCCTTCTGGCATTAAATATTGTTCTCGTTTAGTGTCCTGATGCACTATCACATTTGTTTCAAAATGGCTCAGAAGACTTGTGGTGGGTGGAGAGTATCTGCCCTTGGCCTGGGCTCCCTTCCTGCATGCCTGCCTCACTCCTATGCAGCCTCATGTTGCTGCCAGAGTAATCCTCTTGGGTGTGAGCATGGCCCTTTCATGCTCAAAATACCTTGGCTGCTCCCTGTAAGATAAAGACCTCCTACAGTGTTACCCCAGGCACTACTGGACATATTACCATCCATTCACCCCGGTCTTGTTTATTCTACTTTAGCCACACTGAATCTTCTGATGTTTCTTGTGCACTAGTTACACGAGAGGTTACATAAGATTAGAATAACATTGTTGTGCCTTTGCTGAACGCTGTTCCCTTCACCTTTCTCTCCTCTCTTCACAGACCCCAAACCTATTTGCCTTTTAAGGCCTGGTTTGAATGTTGACTTATCCATGAAGTCTCCTCTGATTGCCCAGCTGGAGGGAATCTTCTCTTTCCTGAGCTCCTGGGAAACTTTATGAGCAATGTTTTTGGTGGGGATTTGGGAGAGCACCATCTACCACAGATGACTGTCAGCTCCCCTGGCCCCCGACTGTGGCCTCTTAGCATAACCTGTACCTGTCACAATTTTTATATGCATTTGAATGATGACTTGTTGAAACGTATTCTGGAAACTTTTGAATTCAGGTGTTTACCTGAGCAAGATACTGATTTGGGGTTCATGACTTGCTTGCCCCGTGTCCTCTGTGTTGTGCTGGTAATTTCCTTCCTTCCTTTGGCTAAGTCACTTCTTGTGTCCATCACTCTCACACCTCATGGCACAATGCAGATTCTATGCAGTTTTCTGTCTTGGATGCCAATGACTGAATGCTTAAAATAAAATTCTGTTTAAATGTATATATCTCTGGTCAAGTTAATTTCAAAAGACGATTTTCTTATATCTGTTCCTACTTTAGTTGCACTCATACAGACAGCACAGAAATGCCCAACAGTTGAACATGTTACTGTGAGGTAGTCCGCGGCTGTTGCTTTATGCTGATTTAATCATTTCTGTCAGGGGTCTTTAGTAGGGTGCTTTTGTCCTATCACTCCATGATGATTGATTCAACCATTTACTTTAGATAACAACTAACTTGGTTGCTCTTTTCCTGGAAAGGAAAAGAGAAATTTCCAGTGATATGGGTTGAGACATGCTGCCCGTGTGTATTTTAAAGGTGGTGAATGCACTGAGAACACTTCTCTTCAATTCAGTCTTGGTTGATGGATAACGTGTCTTTTCTGGCAAGCTGCCAGGACATGCTTGTTTGTGTGCTACCAGACATTTCTATTTTAAAATATTATCAAATGTCAGCATTAATATTGAGTTGTTGGGGCTGGGCTCATGGGATTACAGGCTTATGCTTGTAATCCCAGCACTTTGGGTGGCTGAGGTGGGCAGATTGCTAGAGGTCAGGAGTTTGAGACCAGCCTGGCCAACATGGTGAAACTCCGTCTCTACTAAAAAAAAAAAGTACAGAAATTAGCTGGATATGGTGGCATGCACCTGTAGCTAGTCCCACCCTTGGGAGGCTGAAGCAGGAGAATCACTTGAACCTGGGAGGCGGAGGTTGCAGCGAGCCAAGATAGCGCCACTACATTCTAGCGTGGGCGACAGAGTGAGACTCTGTCTTAAAAAAAAAAATTGAGTTGTTGGAAAGATACTCATAAGCCACCAATTAATGCAGATGTTGTGTTTTTCATTAAGACCATCACACCAGACTGCCTCTCATAGATGATCCAAATACATCTAATGGGATAATAGCTCACTGGGGTGCTTAGAGCTTGATACTTAGAGACAAGTGGAGCTCTTGAATGTGTGTGCACATTGAGTTTCATTCTTTTAACTTGTACTTGGAAGCACATATGCTCCTTTCTAAAATGCTAACCTTTCCAAATTTGAAAAGCAGTTTCCTGAAATGCGTACACTTGGCCCTCAAGTACTTGCTACTTCAATTTTCCTTGGAGGAACACTGCTTTCTCACTTAGGGTGTAGCCTGTTGGAGAGAAGGCGGGGGTGCTCTGGAAGACCAGGAGGAGCAGCAAAATCAGGTATATTTGTTCAATTTAGGAATACTGTAACCTTCTTAACTGCCCAGTGAAATTTTTGTTAAAGTTTTAAAGGTCACATTAGCACTTAAGTATTTTTCTAAGTGTTATCATTTTTCACTGTTTTGTTTTTTCTTTTCATTTTTAACTCCATGAAGATCGTGAGTTTATCTGTCTTATTGGAGCGTTTTGCATCTTTAGCACACAGTAGGTCTCAACAGATTAGGACATTGGGTGAATGAATGAATAAACACATTCTGTTGGTAAGAAGGTAAGGGTAATAGAATAATAATGTTCATATATCTAATGCAGGACTGGTGATATAATTTGGGAGACTGAATACAAAATGAAAATGCAGGGCTCCTTGTTCAAAAATTATTAAGAGCCCAAGCAACGTAATGAGACATTGTCTCTAGAAAAAAAATTTGTTTAAATTGGCTGGGCATGATGGTGCATGCCTGTAGTCCTAGCTACTCAGGAGGCCGAGTTGTGAGGATCACTTGAACCTAGGAAGTCGAGGCTGCAGTGAGCCATGATCACCCCACTGCACTCCAGCCTGGGCAATGGAGTGAGACCCTGTCTCAAAAAAAATTATTAAGAATTTCAAGATGATGACAGCAGAACAAGTGTGACCCTCTGGAGCTGCACGGGTCAGAAATCATGAAGCCACTCTTTTGTAATGCAGAAAAAAGCCAGAGATTTGAATTCCCATTTTTTATTTTTGCTTGTGAAGTAAGCATACTTTATTCTTTGTTTTCCAGTTAATAGTATGAAAGCTTTGCTTCTTTGCTTCCTAGTGAAATAGGGAGAACAGCTATTTAATACTAGTACCTGTCACACCACAAATTGGAACTAATGCTTAATTTACCATCTTTGATGTCAGCCTCCACCAGTTTTCTTAGCACAAAATTTAAAGCAGTAAACTCTACCAACCTAAGCAATCTATTCTCATTCATGGCCCCAGTATTTTTACTGACTTTAACTGTGCTGTACTAGTAAATCATTTTGACCCAAACCTAGTCTGTATGAACTCTGTTAAAATGATTTTAAATTAGAGCAGTGAAAAATGGGCTTATTTCCTCTACTTTTGGAGACATAGGAACAAGTCCCAAATGGAATTGCCAAAGAGCCACTGGTCCCAGGAAGAGGTAAGCGAAACCTTCACATTTAAGAAATCCCCTGGGGTAGGTTTCGTTTACAAGTAAAATTGAATTGTAATAAAGCAGAAGGAAGAGATGCCTCCTCTAGGGCTCCTTGCAAGGTAGATAAACCTGAATAGAAAGTAAATGTTGGCCCCTCTGTGGTCTCCACACATTTGAAAGTAAACTGGTAATTTCTAATCAGACGTGTCAGCACAGATAATCCTTCAGCTGCTGAACGTCAATCTGAAGATAGGAGCAGGCTAGAGTCTGCACCAGGGCTGTCCTGTGGTTAGAAGTGAGACATAAGGAGAAACCGTGCACACCCGGGCAGAAGCGAACCGGACCCCACAGCGGAAGGAGCTCCCCACTCCACAGCTGTCCCCATGTCCTTCCCACTTCGGAATTTTGAACTTTTTGACCGGCAAATTGCTACCCCAGTTCTTTGCTGCTTCTTTTCCTTTAGTTGACTGCCTGATTCACAGCGTTATCACTTGTTACTAAAAGCTAGGGCTTTTAGAATTAAAATGAAGCTAAAAATAAATCTGGCCACTTGGACTTCTTAATTTTGAAACATAGAGATGTCATAGTAAATTAGCAAGGAGTTGTGACTAAAATGATATCTTATGACTATTTGTGGATTTTCATGATACTAGTTTTTAATTTTAACACTAATCTTTAATTTTAATATAGATAAAGAAATGCTAGTAGTCTGGAGGAAAATGTATTAAAAATCGTTCCTTAACTGTGCGCTAAAGTCTGAAATACAAGTAAGGGTACAAATAGTTTCAGAAATGATTGTCCTGGGGGTATTAGCAGAATCACAAACCAAAATATAACACGTCATCTTTCAGTCTTTACATCTGTGCTCTGCTATTCCCAGGAAAGGTAGTATAGCTCTGGTTACCCGTGTATGTGGTCATCATTGTGTTTTCATTTGATGAGGTATCCTGTAACAAAGACAGAGAGGGACAGGCGGGGAATAGAATGGAAATTTCTTAGACCCACCTGTATTTTTTTTTTTCTTGAGATGGAGTTTGCTCTGTCGCGAGGCCAAAGTGCAGTAGCGCTATCTCGGCTCACTGCAACCTCTGCCTCCCAGATTCAAGTGATTCTCATGCCTCAGCCACCTGAGTAGCTGGGATTACCGGCGTGCACCACCACACCCAGCTGATTTTTGATTTTTAGTAGAGACAGGGTTTCACCATGATGGCCAGACTGGTCTCCAACTCCTGACCTCGGGTAATCCACCCATCTCGGCCTCCCAAAGTGCTAAGATTATAGGCGTGAGCCACCACTCCTGGCCCCACCTGTTTTTTGATGAAGGAATCACACTGCCTCATTCTTGCTGGTACACTTGCCAGTACACTTGCCTTGCACATCCAGCCTCTTGTACATCCATATCAATTTGCAGAAATCTCAGTATGTCATCATCCAGCTAACTATGGATGCGAGACCTTGCTCTGCAGTGCAGCTAGGAGAACAAGATTTTAACACGCAAAAATCGTTGAATAATCAATTAATGAATAGTCCAAATAATATGAAATATGACCTATTATTTACACACCATGGGTGGAACATGTTTATTTGTAATCTTTTTTTTTTTTTTTTTTGAGACGGAGTCTTGATCTGTCACCCAGGCTGGAGTGCAGTGGCACGATCTCAGCTCACTGCAAGCTCCGCCTCTTGGGGTTCACGCCATTCTGCTGCCTCAGCCTCCTGAGTAGCTGGGACTACAGGTGCCCACCACCACATCTGGCTAATTTTTTGTATTTTTAGTAGAGACGGGGTTTCACCATGTTAGCCAGGATGATCTTGTTCTCCTGACCTTGTGATCCGCCCGCCTCGGCCTCCCAAAGTGCTGGGATTACAGGCGTGAGCCACCGCGCCCGGCCTTGTTTGTAATCTTTACTATATCTTTCTAAGATAGTGTGGGCCCTGTTTCACAGATGTGAAAGCCGAGGTTTAGAGAAGTCAGGAGTATGCAGCAGGCTACTGGCTGAGCTGGAATTCAAATATGGATCAGGTGCGTCAAAATCTGTTCCTTCCCATTATAATATGCCCCTTCCCTGTCTCGCACACAGATGAATTATAGTGAAGCTATATACTTTCTGTTGGGAGATACTTCATTTTTCTCTGGAATGATGAGAGAAGGTGCCTTGGACCCGTATGTAAACCTGGCGATATATGGTTTGCAAAAATGATAGAGGAAAAATATTTCAAAAATAATAAACAGAGGAAAAATATTTCAAGCTTCCTTTTTATGTTTTATAATTATTTCCTATAAAGTTTCAAAGTGATTAACTATTAGCCTACTCATAAATATTAATATTGGAAGGAATTTACTAGATGCAATATTATTTCTTTTTTTTTCTTTAGTTATTTTTCCTAGATGCAAGATTATTTCCAGTCCCTTTTGTGTGGGGCAAAGTAGAATAAAGATAACACTGTAATTAAAAAACTTGTGATGTTAAACCGAAAGTATTTTGTAAAAAGTTATACCATGTAAAAGAAGGGCATTTAAAGTTCTAACCTTCAAGCTCAGAAAATTTTCTATTTACAACTATGGCTGCTTTTCCTTAGGTGGAGATATGCATTCATAAATTTTAATCTATTTTGATGATTATTGTTCTATTAAAATAGTTTTCTTTATTCTATATTTTCATTAAGATCTTCCAATTATTTTTCTGGTCCCAGAACAAACTCCATGTGAACGGTTCTTTTTAAAAACATACATTAAAAAAAGATGCCTTCCTTTCGAAGGCTAAGACCTATTGATACATACTCATTTAAATTGTAAAATCTATTTCAGGAGTTAATTTGTTTCACCTAGTTTTTTTTGCTTAGTAGAAATAGGAGTATTTAGGCAAGAATGAATCTCTATTCCACATTTTCACCTATTTTGATAGGGGAAAATCTCTATCAAATGTGTTTTGTACCTAAAATACTGTTGTATCTGGAGTCCTATACCATACATTTTTACAAATCTTCAAAACACAATAGAAGTTACGGCATTGGCTAGGTTAAAAAACAGTATGCGGTACATTTAGTTTCAATCCTGGTTGTTTCTTCTTTACGTGGAAATAAGCTAGGAAATTTGCCATCATCAGATATTAGATTGCGTATCTCACCTTTAACCTCAATAACATTATTCATTACTTTCCTATGAATTCTGATCCCCTTGCCCTCAGCCTTGTGACCCAAAGACCATGTGACTGGCTGACTTGGAGGAGAAGCTAATGGTCATTGACTGGTATTTCACAAATCCAGAATCCTTCCACTTAGGAGAAAGATGGCTTTTTCTACCAGTTTTTGATGGCTTGGGTATGCAAACTCAGAAGGTTAAGATCTGGCTATTTGTGCAACAGCTGAGTCTTAAAGTGGAAGGTGACGATTAAAGGAAATAGAGGACAGGAGAGGCAGGCAGCAAGAGTGGAGGAGACACAGAACCGCCAACACATTTTAGTTATGAGCAGAAGGAAGATAGGTGGCCAAGCCTACTTTGCGTAGAAAATTGGACTGTGGTGTGTTTTCCTTTTCAAAAGCTGTAACAATTAGGGATAAAGCTTTTACTTCTTAAAGAGAGGTTTTTGAGTAATAGGAGATGGATGTACTGTATAATACCCTTTATTGAGAATCGGACTGGAACCTCTGAATTATGGCTTTATACATATATTCATAGAAGATCTATGTCTGGGCCCTGCATTTGTGTACGTGTATATGTTTCTGGAAAGAGGTCTCAGACTGATTCTCACTGGGGACTGTCACACACACACACACACACACACACACACACACACACACACAGAGTTTAAAAAATATACTACCACGGCTCTGAGCCATAAATGACTAACTCTTTAGATTTTTCTATCTTAAATGCTTTATTTTATATTTGATTGTATGCAATATTAGGTGTCTTTATTTTTATGAAAGCTTACTACGTTGCTATCTGATTGCTACTTATGTAGGACACAAGTACAATTCTAGGAGATTCTTGTCCTGTGATACAGTATCCTTGGCCAGTTCATGTCCTTTGCCCCTGATTTAATTGTCACATTTATAACCTTGGACATATTGATGCAGGATTTTTCTCAGCCCCTTCACCAACTCACGGCAGGGGAGCCCCCTCTACTTGGCTCGTCACACTCAACCCCTTGCAGGAGGCAGCACATGAGCAAGCGAGCGTAGGATCCGGCCAGCCACTCTGGGTGCTGACACAGAAGCAAGCTCCATGCAGGGCCCGTGGCCAGACCAGGCATGTCACCTTGAGGGGAATGTGGTGGCGCCCCTGTGAGGGTGCCCATGACCCCAAAGCCCCAGAGAGGATGTTACAGTGCTCCTTAAATTCCACTGTCCACGGACAGCGGTGTGTTAGCAGCTCAGTTGGCCTCTTGCCTTGTTGTGTGGGGTGGCTGCCCTCCGCCGTCAAGGGCAAAGGGCCGGTGTGACAGCCTTACTGGATACCCGCAATCAGTGGGTCCCGAGCTCTTGTCCGGCATCCAGGAAGAATGAGGTCACACAGATAGTTGAAGGATGGTGAAGGTGGGTAGTTTTATTGAGTGATGAAAACAGTTCTCAGCTGGAGAGGGGAAGAGAAGGGCAGGTCATCTTCCCTGATGTCAGGCTGTCACCTCCCTGAAGTCAGGTCGTCTCCTCCTCTACTGACTGAGTCTGGGGTCTTTATAGGCAAAAGGTTGAGGCAAAGACACCACTCAAAGTTGGATATGACGGTGTAGAAGACCAATTAGGAAAGGGTAGGGATATGTAAAATAGGTGAAGGGTGGGGATCAATAAGAGGAAAGCGCATCGAACAGGAAGACAAGTTCTCAATCTGGTCGGAGGATTTAACTTGTAGCTTGGCTTTCAGGCTTTAAACTGTCTTTGGCTTGGAGGTGGGGTTTCACCAGGGACCTGCCCTATCTGTCTAGGCATTTGGCTGCCTCCTATCATTATCAATATGTGGTCACAAACATTTATTGAAATAAAGCCTGATTTGTGGTTTGAGGCATCTTTCAGCATTTCCTAAAAAGAATAAGCTTGCCTAAAATCTGAACTACATGAAGTGGTTAGTTTATTGTTGTTTTTCACACTTTCAATCTAGTAGTGGTTAGATTAATGGAAATTAAGGATTCTCGCTTACTGAATCTGACTGGATGGGGAGATAAAGAATGTTATCCATGGGTAAAAGAAATTACAGGGTTCTTCTTACTTTGAACATTCATCTTCAAGAAATAGCCTCATTTGCTTTAGGCTTTTGCCTTAAATATTTAGGAGAAAAACACACACGTGGCATGCCCATGCACACACACACATTCACTCACACGCACTCACATGCACACACTGTTGCCCCATACTGACCGTTGATAGTGTTAATACTTAAAGTACAACTATTTTATATCTACCAGAGCTATAATCATGATTAAATCATTGTTGCTGCAAATGGTAATTGCATGGCAATCTTCTTACTTAGTTCTTTGATTATCATTCTATATATCATTCTAATATATACATTATATATTGTATTATATAAGATTATCATTTTATTTTATATTATTATTCTATTATATATTACTCTATTATTTTACTCCCACATCCTCTTTTCTTGCCATGTTTTTAATGAATCCTTCTGGATATTTAAAAATTACATAAATTAGCCAGGCGTGGTGGCTTATGCCTGTAATCTCAGCACTTTGGGACAGCAAGGCTGGAAGATGCTTGAGCCCAGGAGTTTGAGACCAACCTGGCCAACATAGTGAGACCCTGTCTCTACTAAAGATGTAAAGATTTTAAAATTTAAAGTGATGGCTCACTTCTATAGTCCTGGCTATTCAGGAGGCTGAGATGAGAGATTGCCTGAATCCAGGAGTTCCAGGTTACAGTGACTATGGTTGTGCCACTGAACTCCAGCCTGGGTGACAGAGCAAGACCCTGTTTCTAAAAATAAATAAATACAATAAAATAAATTTAAAAAGAGTAAAGAAAGATTAAGCTTGAAAAGCTAACTTGGAGTCAGAACCTGCCCATATGACTTTTCCTCAGGCCATTGTTTCCCTTGTATATAGATATTTCATAGACTCTCAGAATTTTGAAGTGAAAAGAATGTAAGAATTTCCTTTTCTTCCACCATTCTAAATCATTCCTTCTGGACAGTCAGAGTCACCATGTGCTTGAACAGGTGCTTAAAGACTCCAAAAGTTGTTTCATCCATTTTAAAACGTTTCGAATTGTTAGCATTTTCATAATTTTCCAAATGAGCTTGTGCCTCCTGCTCATTTCTGCTAGTTCTAGTTGGGCACTCTGTATATGTAAGAAAGTGAAGATATTAATTTATTAATAGCACCCTTTAGTGATAATTTTTCAATAGTTTGAATACACCTTACTGTCCTGTCATCCAAACTTGACTTTTCCATTTTGATCATAAAGAATATTAATTCATCAAATATCTTACAAAAATCAAGACACTTTATACCTGTAGTATTTTCTCGTCAAAACCAAAGTTGAGGTAAATTTAACACCGTTTATTCTTGGTGATATAGTATTGCTTGCTGGTAATCTACTTTTTCTTGAGTAAGTTTTTTAGGACATCTGGTTAATAATACCATTTGCAATTTTTTCAGGTTCTCAACATAAAATTATTGACCTGTATTTCCAAAAACTAACATTTTCTCCTTTTGAAAATGAGACCAATAGATTGATGGGTTCCAAGACCTGGCTATCTAGCCTATTTATGCTTGCTGAAGTCCTTGTCATCATTAATTGCTAATAGATCCCTTACATTTATGAACTCCAGAACCACTATGTTTCAACTATTCAAATAGGTTTGCAAAGACATTTGCGGATAAGCTCTGTATGGTTTAGAAACCAATAACAATTCTGATGTTTGCAGTTTATATCTGTCCATCAATCCATCCATCCATCCATCCATCCATCCATCCATCCGTCCGTCCATCCATCCATCCATCCATCCGTGTTTACTAAGCCTCTATTGTGTGCCAGAAACTGAGCTAAGGCCAAAGATACATTGATGAGCAGGGCTGACATGATCGCTGCCCTCACGGGTCTTATTCTGCTAGGATTTTCAATTTCCAAGCAGTAATGCAAACCAATATGGGAAATGGTTTTAAGCACCAATGAAAAGGGTTAACTGCTCAGGTTGAAGGATGGATGATTGAGGAGTGTGGGTGAAAGTTCAATAGAAATCCCTCTGTGTTTGTCGAATCCTGAACTCTAGGGTTGAGGTCACTGGATATGATCAACTCAAATTCTGGTCTGCTGCTGGAAAGCAAAGCAAGAGTCCATCTCTGGAGGTAGCACTGGCCTCCACCTAAACTGGACAGTGTGAACATTAGAGGATGTAGGGGTGAAAGGAGCCAGAGCCTGGAGCTTCTGAGATGGGCAGGAAGGAGTTTTTGAGTTATGCATCATGCAGAGAAAAAGTGAAATGTAAATACATATAAAAACAATTTCACAGTGCTTTCCAAGTTTAATTTCTAGAATGAATATTCTGCTTACAGAATTGAGAGAAAGCTAATTGAGAAATATGACTTTTGGAAATGATTTTATTTGGGTTAGGTTTTTTTATTTATATAGGCAGATATATATGGTGTTTTGCTCTGTTTACATAGCTTTATACCTTTTTATATACTAAATTGAAATGGATAGGTAGAAGCAATATTTTCAGAATTGGTCATTGTCCTGAATAAAATGAGCCACTGTGTTCTCTCAGGCACCATGCAAGCTCACCCAATATTCATATACCACAAAAGGGTGTTTTTCCTGCTTAAGTTTATATTCTATATCATATTCTGTTTTTTTTTTCTGGATATTTCCACTTTATATTGTTCTCTTTCAACATTTTGTAAGAAGTAGTATTTCCTATTCTCTGCTGTTACAAAGACTATGAAAATACATGCAACTCATTTAAAGAAACAGGTGGATGTCTGGAAGTTTTCTCTACCTAACACTTTCACATATAAAATTTATGATGTTTGGTTTCTATGGTATTTAACATTGGCAAGAAAAAATAACTCCCAATGAAGTAACTAAGACCACTTGTTCTAGTTCTTCCTGTAGTGGAAAGAGATAGAGAAGAGTGATAGTAACAAAGTATTCTCATTACTCTAGAACAGAGATTGGCAAACATTTTTCTGTAAAGGGCCAGATGGTATATACTTTTGGCTTCGTGGGCCATAGGGTCTCTGTTAAAACTGCTCAACTCTGTCTTTGGGGTGGGAAAGCAGCAGTAGACACTTTGTAAATGAATGGGAATGGCTGTGTTCCAATAAAACTTTATTTACAAAAATAGGCTGTGGGCAGCATTTAGCCTGTGTTCTGTAGTTTGCCCATCCCTGCTCTATAAAAAGAGTAGGAAACTATGCCCCAGGGCCAAATCCAGCCTGAAGCCTGTTTTTGTTTGGCCACAGAGCTAGGAATGGTTTATGTGTTTTCAAAGAGTTGTTAAAGGAGGAGAGGGAAGAGGAGAGGAAGGAAAAGGTAGAAGAGGAGAGGAAGGGAGAGAAATAGGAAGAGGAAGAAGAGGAAGAAAACCTTATGTGGCCCACAAAGCGTAAAAGTTGACCATTTGGACCTCTATGGAAAAAGTCTGTTAGATCTTGCTCTGAGAGATTGTTTACTTGTAACTTCCTTGATAATTTCAACTTACGGATTTGATTTTGTGCTCATTTTCTATTTTCCTATGCTTATAGTCTTCGTAATATGAAGCAAGTAAGTTTATTAGTCAGATAAAATACAGAATTTAAAATTTTGGTAATGTATTGGCTATCAGAAAAAATACTGATTGCTTTCTGTGTCACTTTATTCTTTTGAAATTTGAGATTTTATAAGAAATTTTGAAAATGTATATTATTCTCTTGTCTTGAAAATGTTTTTAAGTGGGAATATAAGAAACAAGGATGTGTTCCTGCTTAATTCTGTGCCTGAACTTTGGAGTCTTCTGATCTGTGTTTGGGACAGAGAATGCTCTAGCTATGCTAAAACCTTTTCAATAATTGTAACGTTGTTTGATGTTAGCAAAAAACAAAAACAAAAATGAAAAAAAAAAAAAAACCCTGGCTAACATTTATTCAGTGCTTAACTATGTGAAAGGCACCATGCTAAATGCTTTTAACATTATTTTCTCACTATTCTGGGAGGCATGTGTGATTATAAACCTGGTTTTAAGGCTGAAGAGATCAAGACACAGAGAAATTAAGTATTATTATTTGTCCAGGATTAACAGCCAGATAGTGGTAGAAATGGGGTTTAACCTAGGTTTTAGAGGAGTTCCGCCAAGTAGAGGTCACTTTCAATTTTCCTACAATGCCCTTTAAAGCAAATTTTTTTTTTTTTTTTTTTTTTTTTTTTTAGACAGGGTCTTGCTCTGTTGCCCAGGTTGGAATGCAGTAGTGCAATCTCAGCTCACTGCAGCCTGGACTTCCTGGGCTCAGGTGATCCTCTCACCTCAGCCTCCTGAGTACCTGGGACTACAGGTACACGCCACCATGCCCAGCTAATTTTTTGTAGAGACCGCGTCTCCCTGTGTTGCCTAGGCTCGTCTCAAACTCCTAGGCTCTAGTGATCCACCTGTCTCAGCCTCCCAGAGTGTTAGGATTACAGGTGAGAGCCACAGCGCCCAGCTGAACTCATCATTTATTACTTCGTCAATCTCAGTAACCTTTTGTAAGTGATGCCACAACGGACAATGTATACTGAGTCATTCAGACATGGTTTCTGCTTTCTAAGGATTTATTAATATTTCAAAATGATGCTTGATGCCTAGCAAGTAGAAAAATCCAGTTGCCTTATTAGAACTTAACAAAAATGAATGAGTTAGAAAATTAGCAGTCATGTATTCCTCTGTTCTGTACAGCTAAATACAATTTCCAACTTCTTAATGAGGGGCTGAGAGTTCTGTATGAAGACTTCTACCTCCTTTTTCTGTTTTTGTTCCAACAGGATAAAATCATGTGTTTGACATGTTGAACTTGAGAGGCACATACTTGCCATAATAAGTATACATGGTTTTTCAAGTTCCTAAAAGTCCTTTCTTCATTTGTTTGAGTCTATGTTTCAGATAGATCCTAGGGCATAATAATTTAAAAATCCAATTAAACCATAAAACAAAATGTCCTTACTGTTTTTCTGTTGATTTGGTCTCTTTTTATTTGGCAGCAAAGTTTCTTCCTGTTGTTATTTCTCATGTGACTCCCGTGAACTGGTGGGTCCTGGAATCCCCACGTACAGTGGGTTGGAACCCATTCTGCCTGGGAGCCCCAGTGTAGGTGGCTGAGGCAGTGAGTCAACAGCACTGGAATTTGCTTGCTTCAGAGTGATAATTCTCATGCAAATAGTTCTCAGTTTTTCAAAAGAAGGGCTTGTCAGCCTCATACTTTCAAAGTGACTCTGCCAGGAATTTACAGTTTTACGAGATTATACATAGAATGTTCTGTTATAATAATCAAATGTTCATTCAGAAATAACCCAATTAATGCAGACTGTACAACAGATCGCCACCATTTGCACCAAAATTCCATTCAAACTACAATTCCCTTCTCCACTGTTTCTTTGGTTCTTTCCTCCTCATTCAGCAGCTTGTTTTCTGCTGTCTGATAGTTATGCCAACATTCCATCTTATTTTAACAACTACACAAATATAAAAACCACAGCACCAAAATTGAAGTTGGAGCTTCATTTTGTACTATTTAAGAACTGTATTGTCGTATGTAATTTGCAGTAAACTTGAACACAAAATGAAATTTAAAAAACCTTTCTTTTTGCCTGTAATGTTTAGAAATGATGTTCTCTTTGAACTGTACTGGATTTTTTTTTTTAAGGGTACACTATCATTCTATGATGAAATATACTGTAATTCAACTAATTCAACTGCTTTTTCTCTGTTTTATCTTTCTTGGCTTATTGTCCTCCTGGATATAAGATGATATAGATGGCAAGCTTATTTCAGGACAGTTTGTTTTTTATTCTAAGCAAATGGTAGTTTTTAAACAACAATGGTCATTTTGATCTTTGGAGATCGGTCTTCCATTCTTAGAGCATTGGAATGTAGAAGAGATGTTTATGCCTTGGGATTGCCACTCATCCAGAGCCACTCCTCTGTGAGAATACAATCTTTGATTTGTTGCCCTTTATATTTACTTTACTTCTTATTGAACGATGTCCACTATACAATAGCAAGATATAATAAGGTATAGAGACAGAGTTTACAGAACCTTGCCCCATTAGCATTTTCAAATTTTGTCACATCAGAGTTAGTATACTGCTCCAATTTTCAGAAGAACATAGCTCATTGGCAGAAGGTGGAAGTAGTGTTCTTAACCCTTTTACATAAAAGGCTACTTAAATAAGCAAACTTAATTCTTCCATCAGCTTTTCTATTTTCTTAAGTGCAAACTGACTTTATTTACCCATGGTTAGATACTTTTGACTTACATATTTCCCAAAGGCAACCAAAATGGTATAATAGCGTAGTGCAATTTTATGGGAGTCTCTTTGGCACCATAGTAATTCTTTTTGATCTACAGTTCACCTCTGGGTATGGTGGCTACGGGTGGTGCATCACAAGCAGAGTCAAAGGCCATTTTTAATGCTCTTGGGTTTTGTACTGCATGGGCCATTTTTTGAAGTTTAGAAATATGAAGATGCACATATTTGTTGCTCTGGCCCAGTATTGATATCATAGGCCAGATGGGTTTGAGATAGAGAGCACATACATATTTAATGTTCATTTTTATTCTTTATTGCCTCTAGTGGAAGGACTCCAAAGAGGTCATCTCATTTAATCTTGGCAATAGATTTTACCATTTTTTAAATCAAATACTCCCCATTAAGCACTCTATATTTATAATTGTGTGTTAGGTGCTATATTCAGAGTGTACTAAACAGACTTTATTCCTGGCCTTGACAATTTGTCTGCGGATTTGGCCAAATCTGTGCTGTATTTCTTTTGAACAAAAATAAAATGCTCCAGAGGAAAACAGCTCCCAATCTCCTGGATTTAATGACTCTCGATGGTGGGAAGCCTTCCAGTGCAATGATAATAGCAGTCCATGTTTACTGAGTGTTCACCATGGGCTCAACGTGATACGGGGAGACTTACACCATTTTTATCACCTTTGGGGGATATACAACAAGTGTCTATTCTCTCACATAACCGCCCTAGGGGATAGTGTCTATTAGCCTCATTTTCAGGGGAAAAAGCCGAGGCTCTGAGAAGAAAAGGAACGTGCCATACCTCATTCTTAATTTTGTTTTCAGTCCCCTGAGTTAGCTGGTACACTTTATGACCTGAAAGCATGAATAGAATCTGTTACCCTGGCAGGAATAATAAAACACAGAGACATGACAATGGATTAATAAAGATCTGATGAGGAGCAAAAACCTCCCAATCACCCTAAGAAATGCTGCTCCCAGGGAAGTAGAAATTATGTTCTGAGTCCCATATTTCCACTTTGCCTGCCTGTTTTATTCTTATTAGCCAAGAAGGCGTTAAAATATGCAATGATTCTGCTCTTGAGAATGCCTCTATACTGCTGACTTGTGAGCTTTTACCCTCTAAGAATATTTTTGCTCCCTTGCCTCATTATCTAACACCTATTTGATCTGTATAAGTCACTTATCAACCCACCAGACTCATGTATTCTAGTCACTTAGGAATATGCTTGCTTTTTTCCTGTGCACAAGATGTATCTCTCTATTTTGTTTCTGTCATCTGCAGATTTAGTGACTTGGGGCAGCATGGACTGTCACAGAGGGGTTTTCTTGTTTGATCCATTCTTCTACTTTTCTGCTTTTATATGATCTATATAATTTAAAGTTATTGGAATTCCAGCTCCCTTTTATTTTTAGTTTAATCCTGATTTTTATTTTTAATTTAATTAGCTCTAATTTTTTTAAAAAGACATTTTTAACATTGTTGCTTTGCTGGATAATTCAGAGATGCTGTGTGTGTGTGTGTGTGTGTGTGTGTGTGTGTGTGTGTGTGTGTGTGTTTCTAGTATTGCCCCATGACCTTTATGACTCATTTAATGAGGAATTTAAACAAATTACTATTACTCCTACTGCATTCATTATCAACTAGCAGGCATCAGCTTTCTGCATAAAATATTTTTTTTCTTTGAATACCCTCTATTTCCCCTCTGTGAGGAATTTATTCTCCCCTTGGTGCATGGGGACAGATTATGTTCATAATAGCCATTAATGATAATAGGAAGAGTGTGTAAATCTTTGAAGCATTGAAAACTGAATGGCGCTCTGGTGGGTCTTTTTCTGTGTCTTACCTTACTAGATTTTGTTTTGCAGCAGGTGCTATTGGTTGGGTAAAGTGCCGTTCCTCATGTTTTTCTCTTTATTCTATACACGTAGTGTGTGTGTGTATATATATATATGTGTGTGTGTGTGTGTATATATGTGTGTATATATGTGTATATGTGTGTATATATGTGTATATATATGTGTGTATATATGTGTATATATGTATATGTGTATATATGTATATATGTGTATATATGTATGTGTATATGTATGTGTATATATGTATATGTGTATATATGTGTATATGTGTATATATGTATATATGTATATATGTATATGTGTATATATGTATATGTGTATATGTGTATATATGTATATATGTGTATATATGTATATATGTATATATGTATATGTGTATATGTGTATATATGTATATATATGTATATGTATATATGTATATATGTATATGTATATATATGTATATATATACACACACACACACTCAGAACATGGTTCTTCTCACACTGGAAGAGGATTACTCTTTATTTGTTGGTGTCTCCATGAGGGCAGGAGCTGATTCGATTCATTTTCCTCTCCATGTTTAGTACTGCACACAATGCACCATTCATGCTGGATAGATATTCCTACCTAGAGGAATGAAAGGGTACATTCACTTCCTGAACATGAAAGCAGAGTGGCTGCTAATCCTGCCTGGGGCAATATTCTTATGCTAAAATGCATATTGTAGGAGTTATTGCATAAATATTTGTTCTTATTTATAACTCATGGGAAATAGTTTAGAGAAATGAAAAGAATACAGAACTTGAAATTAGAAGATTTGGCCCTCATCCTGCTAATTATTGACTATGTATGAGTTTTAGGAAATTTTTTAAAAAGTCTCTAGCTTCAGTTTTCTCATCTATTACATAGAGATAATAGTTTCTAACTCAGAGGATTGTTGTGAGAATCAAGTGAAAGCCCATATTCACTCTGATTCAACAAACATTTACAGAGTAGTCACTCAGTGTTAGGCCCTGGGGTAAGTTCTGAGAATAAATAAGATGCCACTCCTGGCCTGGTGCCATGGTTCACACCTGTAATCCCCAGCACTTTGGGAGGCCTAGGTGGGAGGATCACTTACGGCCAAGAGTTCAAGACCAGCCTGGGCATCATAGCAAGATCCTGTTTTTACCAAACAAACAAAGCAGACATGGCGGCTTGTGCCTATGATTCCAGCTACTTGGGAGGCTGAGGCAGGAGGATCACTTGAGCCCAGGAGTTTGAGGCTGCAAAATTGCACCACTGCACTCCAGCCTGGGTGACAGAACAAGACCCCATCTCTTAAAAATATTCAGAACTAACAAACCAAATGCCACTTCTCTCTTCCCAAAACTCAGACACTGAGAGAGGTTCTCGTCAAAGTCCAAAATGCACATTAAGTTGTGGGGATCTTATTAACAATGATGATTCTGATGCTGTAGGTTTGAAGACGACTCAAGATTCCCTGGAGACATCAATGCTGCTGGTCCATGGGCCACGGCTTGGATAGAAAGGGTTTAGGGAGAGGTTGACAAGTAATAATGCAGGGTGGGTGAGTACTGCTCTACTGGCATTCTAAAAGCAGAGTGAGACAGAGAGGGGTATGGGGAGTGGGGAGGAGGCAGGCAAAGCCTCCTAGAAGTGAGTGACTTGGGCCCTGAATAGGTGAGTCAATTTACCAAGCAGAAAAGTAGGAAAGGCCTTTGGTCAGAGGGAGCACCATGGATGTGGACCCCGGCTGGCTCCTGCATAGAGTGAAGAATGCAGAGGAAGGTGATGGGACGATGGCCAGAGAGGAGGCTGGAAAGCTCACCAGGGTCTGGATGGTGAAGGGTCAGCTCTGTTTGCCATGGTAAGACCTAAGACTCCAGTCAGCAGGGAGTCTTGAGGTTTCATAGAGGTCTGGTTATAGTGGACATGACAAACTGCTTTGAAAATAGCCAATACTACATCATGTTAGAGAATTTGCATAACCCAGCAGGGCGCGGTGGCTCACGCCTGTAATCCTAGCACTTTGGGAGGCCGAGGTGGGCGGATCATGAGGTCAGGAGATAGAGACCATCCTGGCTAACACGGTGAAACCGTCTCTACTAAAAATACAAAAAGAAATTAGCCGGGCGTGGGGGCGGGCACCTGTAGTTCCAGCTACACGGGAGGCTGAGGTAGGAGAATGGCGTGAACCCGGGAGGCGGGGCTTGCAGTGAGCCGAGATCGCGCCACTGCACTCCAGCCTGGGCGACAGAGGGAGACGCCGTCTCAAAAAAAGAAAAAAAAAAAAAAAAAAAAGAGAATTTGCATAACCCAAAGGAGATTGTGCTTGAACACTCCCAGGCAGTGAATAATCTGCAAAGGAGTAAGACTGTAGTTGAGAGGCAGGTTTTTAGACTTCCACAGGCTTGGGAGACAAACAGAACAGAAATTGATTTCTGGTTCCCTGCTTTCTAGCTATATAACCTCAAGAAAATTAATTAACTTTCTGAATCTTAGTTTTCTCACCTGTAGAAAGGATGCAATAAATCCTGTCTCATCAAAGAATTGTGAAGAGGAAGTCATTCATTTAATTCATTGAAGCACTACATTTTGGCAAAGCATGCAGTTTGTTGATAACAGGAGGTATTTGTTAACTTATTATTAATGTTGATTTGGAGCTCCCATGAATTTTTGCCTAGGAAATGACCTGGTAGATCGGATAGTTACCATGTTGATAGATTGCCAAGTGCCTTTTCTCATGTGTGGGGTTCTGATGCCATCATCAGCTGGAAGCTCAGTTGGTCTTGTGGGTGGCATGCTGCACCAGTTGTCTGATTCAGCAATGCTGTGAGAGAATTGAGAGGGCGTTCATTCAGTAAAGGGTGGGAAGGATTTTCTTAAATGTTTAAAAATAAAAAAAGACAAATAAATGTTTTCTCTTTAGAGGAGGGAAAATGGGGGACTGCCGTAGTACTCCCCAAGGATTTAATTCAATAAAACACATTATTAATAATATAGTTGAGAAGATTTTCCTGACATAACCACATGTAGGTTAGGTGGCCTTCTCTGTGCTACAGCATGCAGTGGCCATTTGCAGCCTGGCACTCCTCACATTTAATATAATCCGTACTTTTCACCCGTTCTTCTAGATTTGAGCTTCTTGAGGCAGACAGTTGTCTTTTTATCTTTGGTTTCCCACTGCCTGGAGCAGAGGCACATCGTTGGCTTTCACTAAATGCTTTTATCTACACACTTATTCTCTGAGCTATGTTATCCTTGGTAGAAAGGAATGGCACTGGAGGAAGTGGGGCTTACGGAGCTCCGCGTCATCACTCTGGGGATCTGCAGTGTCCTTGTTAATTAGTCAATTCTGACTCTGTGCCCTACTTTGGATATTATTTTTGAGATCGAAGTGCCCCTCTTTAACCCTGTCTGCCTCCGCATCATGCTTCCTGTTCATTAGGTCAGTCACATGAGAATAAACACTTTGTCTCCTCTGATCAACTCCCATCCTTTGACACTAGCCGCTGCCTCTGAATCCCAGCCTAAAGAATGGAGCCTGTGGGCCTCTCCCATGTCTGCTGAATGTGGCCTTTGGGTGAGGACATCTCTACCTGTCCCTGGAGGAGAGGCACTGAGTCCTCCCTTGGCCTCAAAACTGGTATCTTCCCTGACTCTTGGCGGTCAGTGAGACTTCCGCCAGCTGTCTGCTGTTGTCTCCTTGGATGTTGCCTTTGGTCTGATAGACTGGGCTTATTTCAGTGCCTGCAACAGAACCTGTCTCTCAGCACCTCTCCATCGGGGAGGCTCTAGCCCCTCCTACTCTGCTTTGTTCATTTAAACTTGAATGGGCCAAGACCAAAGGCGTGATTTCATGAAATGAACAAGAATTTCATAGAATGGAATTTTCTAACGATATTCATCATTTCCAGTAAGGATTTTAAAAAGGTCAGCTTTACTTAAATATATGCAAACAGAGTGGTATTTAAAGATTGGAAAGCATTATTTAAGAAAATGATAGATTTCCCTTCCTAAAATAGGGTATCCTGCCTGGTGCTGGGGAGAGAGTAGGCAGGTCAAGGGCTTCTCCTCTCTATAGCATTTCTGCTTCCCAAAGTCATTGTCAGATATCCCTGATTTTATTTTATACGCCAGCATACAACTTAGGCCAAAACTTGTGTCAGAACTGCTTTAATGAATATATTTGTAGTGGCCTTTTAAAAATGATATCATCATCGTGTCATCTGGTAAGCAGAGGAAGTAAGTGACTTTGAAGCAAGTTCTATTGGTGAAAAAATATTTCATCATTATGAGAGAACATTGAATGATGAAAAATAAAGAAGCGCATTATACAGTTGAGAGGTAACTTCCAATTATGTGTTGTCAAAATGTCCTATTGAACTTTGCTGGAGATGGTGGAGAAAGGGTAATTAACACCTAATATTTATTTAGTAACTGCTATATTATAGGCATTGCATGTATGTTATCTCATTCAATCTTTATAACCTTATCTGTTCCCTACCGCGAGGCAGGAATTATTCCTATTTTTCATGTAATGAATTGGAGGTTAGGTGACCTGTCCAAGGCCCCACAGCTCATCTACAAAGTCTGTTACTATTCTACACTCTGTGAGACTAGTGTAATATTTTAATATTCACAGTAGTACCTTGATTAACTGAACGGTGTGATAGTGTGTTGGTCTGCTCTTGCATTACATTAAGAAATGCCTAAGGCTGGGTAGTTTATGAAGAGAGGTTTAATTGGCTCATTGTTCTGCAGGCCGTACGGAAAGCATGGTGCCAGCATCTGCTCAGCTTCTGGTGAGGGCCTCAGGAAGCTTCCAATCATGGCAGAAGACAAAGGGGGAGCAGGTGTGTCATGGCCAGAGCAGGAATGAGAGAGCAAAGGGGGAGCTCCAAGACTCTTAAACAACCACATCTTGCATAAACTAACTGGGCAAGAACTCACTCATCATCAAGGGGTTGGGGCTGAGCCGTTCATGAGGGCTTCCAAGCACGCTGAGGAGCAACACCTGTCAGAGAGATTACTATGACTAATAGGGTATCAAGTGTTACTATCCGACACCTCCCATGAGGCCTCATCTCCAACACTGGGGATCACATCTCAACATGAGATATGCAGGGGTCAGATATCCAAACAATATCTTTCTGCATGTGGCCCCCACAGATCTCATGTCCTTCTCACGTTGTAAAACACAATCATCCTTTTTTAGTAGTAGATCTGCCACCGTATCTACTGCAGGTGGGACTAGAGGGCGGCAGCCCCCTTGCCACAGCTCCACTAGGTAGTGCCCTGGTGGGGACTGTGTACTGGGGTTCCAACCCCACATTTTCCCTCCACACTGCCCTAGTAGAGGCTGTGCAGCAGGCTCTGTCTGGACGCTCAGGCTTTCCCATACATCCTCTGAAATCCGTGTGGAAGCCACCAAGCCCCCTTCGCTCTTGCATTCCATAGGCCTACAGGCTTAACACCACATGGCGGCCACCAAGGCTGATGGCTCGCCCCGTCTAAAGTGGTGTCCTGAGCCAGAATGTGGGGAGCAGTATCCTAAGGCTGATCAGGGTGGTGGGGCCCTGGGCCTGGCCCCTGAAACTGCTTTCTCCTTCTAGGCTTCTGGGTTTGTGATGGGAGTGGCTGCCTCAAAGATTTCTGAAATGCTTTCTAGGCCTTTTTCTTGTTGTCTTGGATAGTAACACTTGGCACCCTTTTAGTCATAGTAATCTCTCTAGCAGGTGGTTGCTCCTTAGTGTGCTTGGAATCCTTCTCGACCACAGGGCCAGGCTGCAAGTTTTCCAGACTTTTATGCTCTGCTCCTATTATTTATTTATTATTTATTTAGGGACAGGATCTTGCCCTGTCACTCAGGCTGGACTGCAGTGGTGTGATCATGGCTCACTGCAGCTTCAATCTTCTGGGCTCAAGAGATCCTCCAGCCTCAGCCTCTTGAGTAGCTGGGACTACAGGGATGTGCCATCATGGCTGGCTGATTTTTATTTTTTTGTAGAGATGGAGTGTCACTATGTTGCCAGGTCTAGTCCCAAACTCCTGGGTTCAAACAATCTTCCCACCTCAGCTTCCCAAATTGCTGGGTTTATAGCATGAGCCACCATGTCCAGTCACTGCTTTCTCTTTAAATATAAATTCCAATTTGAAGTCATTTCTTTGGTCCCGTTATCTGATTATAAGCTGTTAGAAGCCACTAGGCCACTTCTTGAATGTCTTACTGCTTAGAAATTTCTTCTGCCAGATACCCTAGGTCATCACTCTGAAGTGCAAACTTCCACACATCCCTAGGGCATAAACACAGTACAGCCAAGTTCTTCGCCAGGGTGTAACAGGGGTGACCATTACTCTAGTTCCCAATAACTTCCTTATTTCCATCTGAGATCTCAGTCTGGACTTCACTTTCCATATTTCTATCAGCGTTTTGGTCACAACCATTTAACCAGTCTCTAAGAAGTTCCAAACTTTCCCTCATCTTCCTGTCTTCTTCTTTGACCTCCAAACTCCTCCAACCTCTGGCCATTACCAAGTTCCAAAGCTGCTTTCACATTTTCAGCACCCCACTCCTTAGTGCCAATTTTCTGTGTTAGTCTGTTCTTGTATGGCTATAAAGAAATACCTGCAGCTGGATCATTAATAAAGACGTTTTATTGACTCACGGTTCTGCTGGCTGTACAGGAAACATGGCGCTGACATCTGCTCAGCTTCTGGTGTGGGCTTCAGGAAGCTCCTAATCTTGGTGGAAGGCAAAGGGGGAGCAGGTGTGTCACATGGCAAGAGTGGGAGTGAGAGAGTGAAGGGGGAGGTCCCAGACTCTTTTAAACAACCAGATCTCATGTGAACTAATTGAGTGAGAACTCACTTACCACCAAGGGGATGGTACTAAGCCATTCATGAGAGACCTGCCCCCATGATCCAGTACTTCCCACTAGGTCCCACCTGCAACATCTTCAACATGAGATTTGGAGGGGACAGATATCCAAACCATATCATGTATGGATGGAATGTCCTTATTAATTGAAATTTCTTGTTGAAGGCCATGAAAATATTTATCAGTTTTGTTAAAAATCTTTCAAAATTATGTTGGCTTCTTTTGCTATCTTTATAAACGTGTTATATGCTATGTATAATTTAATACTTAAATTTTTGTTACTAAATATCTTGCCTTCACTTATGTTTATTATTGTGAACACCAGTTTCAATAAACTGATGCTTAATAAGCTCACTAAAGTTTAGTGCTAAGTTAGCCTCAGCCATTCATTTTACAGATGAGGAAATAGTGACCCAGAGAAATTGAGAGACTTTGCTCAGAGTCACCGTGTTTGTTGTTAGAGGCACAGTGTGTGTGTGATTACAGAACTTTCATCTGAATGCTATAATATGTGCCTAAAAGAAAGCGCTATCGCATGAGTTCTGGTAGCACCTTATTTTCTTTCTTAATTTCACAGCAGAATGCAAAAAAAAAAAAAAAAGGGCGGGGAGAGCTCTGTTTTTCAAAGTTTTACTGTATTCAGAAGCCACCTTTCACTTATTTGATTCTGCCCAATATGTCAGACAGACAAGGATGAGAATACAAAGGGATTGGAGCACCTCTGGGTCCTGATTCTAATTGAATTTAACATAGTCATATTTGTCAGTTTCCGAGTAGGAGTGAAGTAGCTGATGCTGTATTGTAATATTGTTAGAATTTTGAAGGAGCCAAAAGCTTACTTGGCCTTGTTCGTAATCTTTTATTTTTGATAATGGAGCAAGAGTATTTATTTGCACCACATCTGGACTTGACTTCTGGCTAGAAAAGAAAATTTTTTCTGAAGAGTTCCTCCCACTTCTAAGACCCCAGATCCACAACACATTGCATTTAGCCTATCAAGCATTGTACTGTTGTATGAGGGATGCAAAGGTTCATATGCCATGCTGTCAAAAATTTACAACCTTTAGTACTTGACTAAGTAGAGGTTAAACTTTAATGAAAACTTTACTATAACAATGGAGGCATATTCAAGGTGTTCAGGGAAAAGGACAGATCTACCCAAGGGCAGTAGATGGGGATGTGAATGGCTGGGGGGACACACGCCTATTGGAGAAGACAGTCAGAAAGTTGTCAGTAGTTGAATCAGCTTGTTGAAAGTTCAGTGGGTGGGGAGGAGGGGGAAGACAACAACATTTGAAAACACGGAGATGTGAAAAAGTCTGGTCTGTTTGGGCATTGATTCTGGTGTGATGTGACTGTAGAAGTATGCAGGGATGCAGGCGAAACAACTAGAAGGAAAAATTGGGATCAGATAATGAAACATCTTGAATTCCATGCTCAACTGTTCAGAACATTCTGTAGGAAACTGGGGGTTGTTAAAGTGTCTGACTTGCATTTATGGGATGATATGTCCTGACATGCATTTTAATAAAACAATGATTTTGATTTAGTAAGAAAATTATTCCTCTTTAGCGATTAAAGAGTATATTAAAGAGGCAAAAGAATGAGGAAAGGAGACCTTTTAGAAGACAAATGATGAAGACTTTTACTTGTGGTATGGCAGAAAAAATGGAGACTGGTAGATAACTTTGAGATCTACATCTGTATAGAAGCTGCCAGATTAAGTGATTGATTATAGGAAGTACAGGAGAGGGAGAAGTCAAAGTAGATTGCTTAATCCAGAGTCATAGGACAAGTAATGGTGTTATTGGTAGCTGAGAAAACACAAGGAGAGTTAAAAAGAAAGTTATAGAATGAAATCCAAGGAGCAACTTTGAAAGGTAGATGAGCCTTTCATAAGGTATAACAAGCCACCTCAAAATTTCATAGCTTAAAACGACAACCATATATTAATTAAGCTTGTGAGCTGATGGGTTGGTGGGGTGGTTCATCAGGTCTGGGCTGGCTTAGGTTAGTCTGACCTTTTTTTCACTGATTGTCTGCCATCGGCAGGGAAATTGGCAGGTGGCTGGCTGGTTTAGGATGGCCTCAGCTGGAATGATGTTCCACTATCTGTTTCTGTTCATCCAGCAGGCTAGGTAAAGTTTGTTTTCATGACAGTGGGTCAGGATTCCAACGTGCACCTGGCCTTTTTTATTTATTTTATTATTTTTTGAGACAAGGTCTTGCTCTGTCACCCAGGCTGTAGCGCAGTGGCGCAATCATAGTTCACTGCAGCCTCACACTGCTGGGCTCAAGTGCCACCTCAGCTTCCTGAGTAGCTGGGACTACAGGCACAGACCACCATGCTGGCTAATTAAAAAAAATATTTTTTTTTGTAGAGATGAAGTCTCACTATGTTGCTCAGGCTGGTCTTGAACTCCTGAGCTCAAGGGATCCTCATATCTTCGCCTCCCCAAGTATTGTGATAAGAGGTGTGAGCCTGCATGCCTGGCCGTGCCTGAAGTTTTGAAATCCAGTCTCAAGACTGACATAGTGTCACTTCCACTGCATTTTCTCTGGCCAAAGGAAGTTTCAAAGCCTGTCCAAATTCATGGGGTGAAGCTGCAAATTTACATTCCAGGGAGTTGGGTATAGGAAAGGTTGAAGAATGGGGTTTTTGCTGTAATTAGTCTACCACAGTGATTCATAATTATTAGATGATTATCAAAATAATTTCTAAATTGTATTCCATTAATTGTATTTCTGTGCTTTCCCATGAAGACTAAAATGAATGATTTTCTAATATTAGCTTAAATGTATTGACATATTTCAATTTTCTCATTTTGTGGGATATTATTCTGGTTGCTCTTTGCAGGGTTCCTGATGCTTTACATTTTTAAGTTTAACTTCATTTAAAAGCATTAATAAAGTTTTTTTCTCTTTTATTCAGAATTACCTCCAGAATAAGTGTACAACAAATCCTGCAAGTAAGGTATCCCAAAGCATCATCCTCATTCTTGGTCACCACCTCCAGAATAAGTATACAACAAATCCTGCAAGTAAGGTATCCCAAAGCATCATCCTCATTCTTGGTCACCACCTCCAAAAAGGCACCCATTAAATTAAAAAAACTGGCTAAATATGTAACTGTGCCTTCATTGTCTTTGGGTGGAGACCTTCACTTCAGAAGCTTCATGGGCTGTTTTTTCACTGTTGCTGGTGCATTGCAAGATGTTGCCCTTGGCAAGGTGTGCTTGGTCCCTACAGTTCTTCTCTATCATTCTTATTAATGATGTTTTGCTAGTCCCATGCAGAGCCTTTGAATATCATTCCAAGAAAGGACCACCCACAGTGAAAATATTACGCCTATCCAGTGGTCTTGAATGTGTCCCTTATGAAGTGGAATCTTTATGTAAAATAGACACTTGGGAAGCAATTATTATTAATTACGGACCCTTTCATCACAGCCTTTGATCCCTTGCATGCACCAGTACTCACTCCTGCTGTTCATGACAGTGACAGTGTGTCACTGTCACTGTCCAACAATGGTTTATGTGCCATTAAGAACAAAGAGACTTTTTGAAAAATAGTCAGTTTACCAATTGCTGTCACAATCATAGTCTTTGAATATGGTTGTGTGTGTTCTTCTCAGTTAATAGATTCTCCTTATATTAATGCTGACCCCTGCCTCTGTTACAGGCTTCAAGGGTATGTGTTTAAACTGACCTGTTGATACTGGGGTTAGATTATCCATGTATGCAATTTATTTTGAACCTTGTGAATGAGATAATCACATACAATTTCTGATCCATGAAGGGAATGCTATCTGGCACAGAGGGTGCTGATTTGTTAGATTTTATGTTCTCATGATTATTTTCTGATGTTTGAAATAATTACCATTGTTTAATAAAAAAGAATAGGCCAGCAGTATATAGCTAATTCACTCATAATTAAGGAAGTTAGCCAAGATATTCTGAGTCATTATTCAGTCGAAACTTTTAGATACAGAGGGCTATTAATATGTTAGTAACTGAAAACCTAAAAATATAAAAATATTACTTTTGTCCCTGTTTTAAGCACATTCTTTCAGATGTCGAAACTTGACTTTGAAGAATTGAGTGAGGGATAGGCAGGGGTGAAAAAGAAGATGCCAGAAATAAAAACTAATTTTTTCCTTAGAAAAAAATTAAGTATCTGAATAAGTGGAGAGAGATACTGTGTCCTTGCATGGAAGTCGTCAATATTGTTAAAATCAATTCTTCTCTAGTGGATTTATAGATTCAATGCATTCCCAATCAGACTTCAGCTGGACTTTTTGTAGAGGTTGACAAGATGACTCAGAAACTTAAAAGGGAAGGCAGTGGAGCTAGGATAGTAAAAGCAGTTTTGAAAAAGAAGGACAAAGTTGGAAAACCATACTACCTGATTTCAAAATTGCTATGTTTTGCATGTGTTCTCCAAAAGTTCATGTGTTGGAAATTTAATCCCCAATGCAACAGTGTTGGGAGGTGGGGCCAAATAAAAGGTAATTGGGTCAGGAGAGTAGAGCCCTCAGGAATGGATTAATGCCATTACCACAGGAGTGGGTTAGTTAACTCAAGAGTGGGTTGTTATAAAGTGAATCTGGTCCCTGGTGCTTTGCCCTGTCTCACTCACTTCTGCCACCCACCAGTCCCCCATGGGATGATGCTTATCAGATGCCAGCACCATGCTCTTGGACTTGCCAGCCTCCAGAGCCATGAGCTGAATAGGCACCTGTTCTCTATAAATTACCCACTCTGTGGCATTCTGCTAGAGCAACAGAAAATGGACTAAGACAAAGATTTATGGACTGTTGCATTAATCAGGGTCAGTTGCTATTAGCAAAAGAATAGACAAAGGATAGATCAATGGAACAGACTAGAAAGCACAGAACTAGCCCCATACATATAAAAGAGAGCAAATGACAACATGTGGGTAAAAGGTCAGTGAATCTGGGTAAATGTTATTTAGAAATTCTTTATACTATTCTGATTCTTGCAAACTTTCTGTATTTCACAATTTTTCTGATTTAAAAAAATACAACTTTCCTAGTAGAAAAACCTAACATACTCTTTAAAAGCATTCAAGACTGAAATAATTAAATTTTGGAATGTTTCTCTTAATTAGGCACATGCTTTTTCAGAATGTAAAGCCCATTGTTAACTTAATAATAAGCGTATGTAAACTGAATTTCTCTTATTCATAAAGCCAAAATAAATGGATTCAGGTCTAGTTAATAGCTTTATAATTGTGACTGGAAATGCACATGTCTGCATTACCTCTTATGTTTATTCAAAACAATTTAAAAAGTGGAATGGAACTACTTTCATGGTAAAAAATGGAATGACATCATGAATTCAAAGGTATTATGATTGTGCACTAATACAGTATTGGTGGGGGAGGGTTGGTGAATAGTCTTATCACTCCAATATACAAATTAAAACCATAAAGCAAAACACAGTTTTTCTGATGGAAAATGTGTATACAGATATTTAAAAGTCAAGTTCATTGAGGTATTATTTACTTGCAGTAAATTTAATCCTGTTTATAATAGTTGAGTTTTGACAAGCACGTACAAATGTGTAACCCCCACCACAACCAAGATATAACATGGATCCATCACTCCCAGACAGTTCCCTCAAGTCCTTTCTAGTCAACCCTTCCACCTGCTCTGACAATCAGTGACCTGTTTTCTGTGCCTATAGTTTTCCCTTTTCCAGAAAGCCATATAAATGGAATCATGCAATATGTAACTTTTTTATTAAAAAGAGCTTTCTTGAGATAAAATTTATGTATCATACAATTTCCCCTTTAAAATATATAATTCAATGGTTTTTGGTATATTCACAAAATCATGCAGTTTTTTTCACAATTTGAGAACATTTTCATCACTTCAGAAAGAAACTCAACACCCATTTATTGGCATTCTCATTTCCCCATTTTCTCCCAACCTCCCAGCCTCAGGAAGCCACTAATCTACTTTCTGTGTCTAATGTAGCCTTATGAGTCTGGCCTCTTTTACTCAGGATGATGCATTTGAGATTCATCCATGTTGTTGTGTATGACATTATTTTGTTTCCTTTTATTGCTGAGTAGTATACCATTGCATGGCTATATCACATTTTTGGTATCATATGTGTCAGTTGAAGGACATTTGTTCTATTTTCTTTTCAGTTTATAGTGATTATGAATAAAGCTACCATAAACATTTTGTTTGAAAGATTCGGGTGAACTTAAGTTTTCATTTCTCCTGGGTAAATGACTAGGATTAAGACTGCTGGGTTATATGGTCTATGTATGCTGAACTTTATAACCCAAACTGTGTTCCAAAGTGGCTGTACCATTTTTTGTTTCTACCAGCAGTATATGACAATTGTAGTTGCTTGACATCCTTGCCAACATTTTGTATAGTCTGTCTTTTTAATTTTAGCTATTCTTATCTATGTATAATGGTATTTCATTGTGGTTTTTGTGTTGTATCTAGGAAATCGTTATTTCACTCAGGGTCACAAAGATTTCTAGCATACTTTTTTCTAGCAGTTTAATTGCTTTAGATTTTACATATTGGTCTATTTTCTGTATATGCTAGAAGTCAAGGTTGTTTTTTGTCTGTTTTGTTTTCTTTGCATATGGATGTACGATTGTTCCAACATTATTTGTTGTAAAAACTGTCCTTTCACCATAGAACTGCCTTTGCACTTTCGTTGAAAATCAGTTGAACATATATGTGATTTCAATTTTTTTTTTCCTGATGGTCAGTGAACATTATTTCATATGCCTGTTTGCCATCCATCCATCTTCTTTGATGAAGCATCTCTTCAAAATCTTTTGATCATTTTGTAATAGGGTTGTTTTAATATGATTAAGTTCTGAGAGTTCCTTAAATATCCTGGATATGTTACTTGATAAGACATGCCTTTTGCAAATATTTTCTCAGTCTGTAACTTGTTTTTTCATCTTTTTCTGAACAGTGTCTTTCAAAGAGCAGAAGTTTTGATTTTGATCAAGTCTAAGTTATCAATATTTACCTTTGTGGATTATGCTTTTGATGCTTCCAGAGTGGCTCCTGCATTTCCATGACACAATCCCATCTTTTTATTCAAGTACTTCCTCATTTTCTAGAACAACAAGGTGTTCCAGGCCTCACTTTACACTTTCCCTGCCTTACCCTGGAATCAGCCATTTCTATGGACAAACCCCGGTTTCTTTTACTGAGGCATGGTATTAAGGAGGGAGAATTTTGAAAAACTTTTTCTATCTCTTTTCTGCCTTAACATGCACCATAGACTTATGAGTCATTCTGCATTATGATTTTGGACATGAGTTTGATTCTGAAGGTAGGTAATATGATTTTTTTTTAAACCAAGAAATAATAAGGGAAAAAGCTCATCATCAGTAACTCTGAGTTGTTTGAAGACAGATCTCCATGTGTCCCATGCCTAGTCTACGGCAGCTGCTGACCATCGGGAGTTATGTTGTTGCCCAAATAGTGAGACTACAACAGAAAAGGTCACTAGTCTTTTCCACATTTTACAGACATCCAGGTGGTTCTTTAATTTGAATTAGAATCTATTGTTTTTAAAAGATTTTCTTTCACCTTGCCAGAGTAACAACAACCATAAGGGGACACAGTCTCTGATTCCTAAATTTGCCTTTGGGGAGGAATGTCTGCTTTGAATTCCCAATGCATATTCTATTATTAAATCTTTGGAAGGAGGTAATTTCCCAGGTATTACCTGGGAAATATTATGTTTTCATAATATTCTGTTTAACTTAGTTTTATTACATATATGTATTCTTTTGGAAGCAGTCCTTTATAATACTTTGTGAACATCTCCTAGTCTTTCTTATCTTGCCATGGTAATTATTTTGTCTTTGACGTAGAACAATGTGGTCCCACTGAGTTTTACGACCTTTAAATTTTGTTGATTTTCCAGGGAGTGGGATAAGGTACATAAATCCATTGTGTTCCTAAAAGAAAGTGACTTAAGTTTGCATCTAAGGTATAACATTACCTAACATTCTTCACTTTGGGGCATTTCAGCTCCACTTAACTTACTGATTCTGATCATTTAAATACATAATATATATCAGAATAACACTTCATTCCTTACAATATTATGAAAATTATTATAAGGAAAATCATTCCTTACAATATGAAAAAAAGGAATAAATTTTTTAAAGAGCTTGGAAACATTAAGTATGGTCTTTGATTTGTAAAAAGTGTATGATTTAAAATTGGCTGAGCCCTTCTGTCTGAGGTTTAGCAGCATGCAGCACAGAATCCTCAATTCTCAGGAGCTGGTCCAGATCAGATTTGCTGCAATATCTCACTGTTTTGCAAAATGTTCAGAATATAGTGTCTGCATTCTAATTTAGTTAATTTGAGAATAATAATCATGAATTTAAGACCAGTTCCTTGGAAAGACTCACTACACAGAAAATTACCTGGCTGCAGACCACAACCCTGATCTCAGCCAACAACATAGTAAATCTTGTTACTGGTGGATTAAAAGGTTCAGCAAATTGATTTTGATTTCTTTCTGTGACAAAGCCCCTTGCTAGGTATTGGGGATACAAGATGAATGGAGCAATGAGTGGGTGAAATAGACATAAGGAAGCAGGCAACCAGAGATGAGGCAATGTGTTGGAAACCACTGAATGGGCTGTAACTCTATCTTGGGAGAAAGGTAAAAAGGGCTTGGGATTTTTTTCCCCATAAAATAAGTAAATAAATTAAAATTAGAACTAGTAAAATTTAGCCAGGGCACTGGAATGGGGAGAGTGAAATGTGGAAGGAAAGGAGCAGCAGGAGCTAAAGTTTGCAGGTGGGAAATAGAATTTGTGGAGGAAAATTCTGAGAGGCTTCATGCTGTTAGGGCAGAAAATTGGAGGCAGGGGGTGGTTATTAGCGAAACCAGCATACTAGGAAGAGGCAGAGGCAGAGTCTGAAAGGACTTATAAGCCATATTAAGGATCTTTAGTCTTCAAAGCAATGGGAATTTGCTGAAGGGTGCTAAGCAGGAGAGTGATAGTGTCAGATTTGCAATTTAGGTGCAGCACGGGATTTGAGAGTGACATGACTGGAAGCAGAGAAATTTGGTAGGAGTCCTTTGTGGCAGTAAAAAAGCAGTGGACAAAGACATGGAATAGAGAAATAGAGGTTGGGATGCAAAGAGGACAAAATAAAATAGACAATACTTGGTGGTTGATTGGCTGCCATAAGTGAGGAATAGAGATGGGGTGGAGTCAAGGGTGACCCTGATTGCTGGCTCTCGTGTCTGGGTCTCTGGCTGTATCTGAATGGGAAGGTACAGATTAGTGCAGTTGTAAAACCCAGCTGGAGGGTTGTAAAACCCAGATGGCTGGTTTATCCTAAAGTTTCTGATTCACTAGGTCAGGTGGACCCAAGAATTTGCATTTCTAACAAGATCTCAAGTGATGCAGATACCAAAACTTGAGAACAACTGGATTATTGGTTCTCAAATTAAAATGTCTATCGGAATCTGCTAGAGTGTTTATTTAAGAAAGTAGATTCTCATGCCCTAAAACTAATTGAGTTCCAATTTGTAGGCATTGCCCAGGAATCTACATTTTTATAAAGGATCAGAAGTGGTTTGTAATGCTGATGAGAACATAGGCCACATTTTAAGCAACATTTAGATTAAGGGTCGGTCTATGGCGTGAGTTAGGTGTGTATTACTAGCTAGGTCATCTGGCCCCAAATTTCTTATATCTAATCTCATCATGAGATTTCATAGTCTAATAGCTATTATTTATTGGGGGCTTACCATGGGCTAGGCATTCTCTAATCATTTTACAATATGCAATTTTATTTAAAGCTTGCCAAACTTTACAAAAGAGATAGAGTTGCCCCTTCATATCCATAGGTTCCACATCTGTGGATTCAAACAATCTTGGATAGAAAATATTAGGGAAAAGAAAAACAATAAAATATAACAATACAACAATAAAAATAATACAGTTTTAATTTAATTAATTCATTTGTTTGTTTGCAGAGAAGCAGCCTCACTATGTTGATAGGGCAGATCTCAAACTCCTGGCCTCAAGTGATCTTCCTGTCTCAGCCTTCCAAAGTGTTGGGATTACAGGTGTGAGCCACCTTGCCCAGCCTAAAAATACTACAAATTTTTAAAATACAGTATAATAACTATTTAGGTAGCATTTACATTATATTACATATTATAAGTAATGTAGATATGATTTAAAGTATACAAGAGGATGTATGTAGGGTATATTCAAATAGTATGCCATTTCATATCAAGGACTTCAACATCCCCAGATTTTGGTATCTGCAAGGATCCTGTAACCAATCCCCCATGGATGGGGAGGGATGACTGTACTACTATTATTATTTCCGTTGTCAAGGTGATGAAACTGAGAGAGGTTAGTAATTTGCCCAAGATCCCAGAGCTAGTAAGTGGGTTCTTATTTATCTGTGATTGCCTTCAGTGGCTTCAGAGCCACTTACTGTCTGTGTGGTGGACAGCATTCAAGGGTGTAAAAGTGATGCATTTTAGGAATGGACACAATATGGTATGGCTGGAGGGAGGTGGTGAGAGAGCCAATACCAACTAGGATTCCTTCCCTCTGCACTTGTTCTGTTAGATTTCTGACCACTTACCCTTAGTCACTTTTTTTTTTTTTTTTTTTTTTGAGACGGAGTCTCGCTCTGTCACCCAGGCTGGAGTGCAGTGGTGTGATCTCGGCTCACTGCAAGCTCCACCTCCTGGGTTCACACCATTCTCCTGCCTCGGCCTCCCGAGTAGCTGGGACTACAGGCGCCCGTCCCCACGCCCAGCTAATTTCTTTTTGTATTTTTAGTAGAGACAGGGGTTTCACCATGTTAGCCAGGATGGTCTCGATCTCCTGACCTCGTGATCTGCCTGCCTCAGCCTCCCAAAGTGCTGGGATTACAGGTGTGAGCCACTGTGCCCGGCCCCCTTGGTCACTTTTTATTCCTTTTTAGTAATCTTGGTTTGAAAATTAAGTTGGATGTTTGCCTATTTGTAGTAAGTTTGGTGTTATTTATTAAATAACCTTTATATAATTAATTCAATGAACAATGCAAAATTAGCCATGAAAGAATACTTGAAACTTTTTGTACTGTAACAGTTTTTGCCATCCAGTTCATTCCTTAGGACTTTTCCCATTGATAGTTCTATTTTAGTATGTCTACTTTTACCAGATTCTTGTAGGTTTCTTTGTCCTTCGCATGTGAATTATTAATGTTTCTTACTTTATAAGGAAAGAATCATTCCCATTCAATGTAGTCTGAGAGGGTTTCTGTTCATTTAAGTTGCATTACTTTTGTTGGCAATGATTATCTCGTTGTCATCACCTACTGAGGAGAACAAGTGTACTCTCAGGATTGCCACTTGGAGCTCCTTGGGTTAAGGGAGAGCTTAGTGAAGACAAGTGGTAGTTCTGTATCATTGGGAGGCTATCTTCTATTCATTAGCCTTTTGATTTTTGTTCCCCACTTTCAGATATTCTCAGTTCATATCTGTTGCCTGCAAATAGCTGAAATAGCATTGTACGAGCTAGAAAGGTGTCAAATGAGCTAATTTCCTGCTCATGAATTCAGAGAAGTTTCTAGAACTGCAAAAAATTATATAGCGGCAAAATGTACTAGCCAAAGATGACTGCAAAACAAATTCTTCCTCAGTGAACGAGCCCAGACAATTTTCTTTCAAATTGTACTTGTTATCAATTTCCCCCTCTTTTTGCCAAAAGAGAGGTAATATCTTCATTCCATTCTTTAAGTTTTTAGACAAAATGAATATTATTTTCCTTCATTTTCTTCTACTCTTCAATGATAATAGCTAAATAGCCTAGTTCCAACTGGAAATTATACCTCTCTTGCCCATTGAAATAAAAGTCTATGATAGTTTTCCAACTAGTCGAAATATAAAAGAAAGGACACAGCAGAATTGCTAAAGAAGCTGTAGGTAAACTGTTTTCATAATCGCAAGACTTTTTAGGAATCTTTTTGGACATTTTCCAGATGTGTCTGAGACATGTCATCAAGATACTGCTTTGTCTGCTTTACACAAATTGGCATTATGCAATTTTATAACTGAACAGGACCAGTTAACACCTTTATTTTAGGCTACAGTCGTAGATTCCTGAGACCTGAGGAGCTTGTGACTTGGCATAGTTATGTCATAGTAAAGCTGGGACTGAAATTCACATCTCTTGACTCCCAATCCAGCACTATTTGTACTTATAATTTCTTGTAGATACTCTTTTCTCTGAGCTGAGGAGTTTGGTAAAAATTTTTGTCTGCGGGGGGCCAGATCCATTAGTCTTATGCAGGGAAAATGAATGGCAGGTCAAAAGTAAGGACTATGACGAAGTAAAAGAAACTTCAGAAAGATACTTCTCAGAAAACCCCAGGGAACGTCCTTCATGCACTAATAAACGGCTGTTAATTGGGTGCTTATTATGTGCCAGCACCATGACAGATGGTGGGATAAAAAGTTGGAGAGTCACATGTGTTCCCTGCAAAAACCAAACACAAAGAATGTTGGTGGAAGGTTCTAGGTTTGAGAAAACAGATTCTGGACTAAGGTCTGCAAACTAGTGGGCAAGAACTGGCATGCTTTCCTTTGCTAGACAGTAAATTCCTCCAAAATAGGAAAGAGTGAATGGCTAAGGAAAATGTGATATATACATACAGTGGAATATTTTTCAGCCTTAAAAAGAAATAAAATTCTGATAAGTGCTTCAACATGGATGCACCTTGAAAACATTAAATGAAATAAACCAGACACTGAAGGACAAATATCATATGGTTTCATTTATATGGGGTCCCTAGAATAGGTAAATTCATAGAGACAGAAAGGAGAATGGTGCTTACCAGGGGCTGGAGGAAGAGGGGAACTTGGAGTTCATGTTTAACTGGTACAGAGTTTCCATTTGGGAAGATGAAAAAGTTCTGGAAATGGATAGTGGTGATGGTTGTACACCATCGTGGACATACTTAATGCCACTAAAATTTATACTTAAAATGGTTTAAATGGTAAATTTTATGTTACGTATATTTTGCCACATACACACAAAAACTTGGAGACACGTCCTGTTCATCATTATGACCCATGCGACTTAGCACATAACGGGCTCGACAAGTATTTGTTGAACTCTGAATTGAACCAAGTGCCAGAGGACAAGGAACTGAAGAGAAAGTTGATTAAATCATGTTGGGGGTTGCAGAGAATTGGGGATTTCAGCTTACTCAGGCAGGGTGGATTCCCACAATGGCAAAAAGATTCTCCCAGAGGTTTGGCATCCTGACAGTGGAGTGGCTTGTTAAACAGTCTTACAAAGTCAGGGCTGGAGCCTTCTTAGATGGTCTGGGCTGGTGGCAGGTGCAGAAGAGGCACAGTGGAGCGATGAGCCAAATGGGAAAGACATTCTATGGTGTGTGTGTCTGTGTGTGCATCTGTGCTTATATTGTCATTGTAACTTGAATATTTCATTATTACTAAATGGTGAAGCTGGCATTGTGCTACCTGAAACAACAGTGAGCGTGTGGCCACATTTCCAACGTTTATTAGTTTGGGTAATTTCTGTCACTAGTTCATTCTTTCATTTCTTCCACAATTTTTTTCCACAGCTCAATACATTTTAACTATGCAAACACACACATAACTATTATTCAGGTGAAGATACAGAATATTGTCAGCATCCCAGGAGTCTCCCTAATCCTTCCTTCTGTTCAGCCTCCCTCACATGCCTTTGGTAACCTGTCCCATGCATTTTTATTTTATTATTATTATTATTATTATTATTATTATTATTATATTTTTGAGATAGAGTCTCTATCTGTTGCCCAGGCTGGAGTGCAGTGGCATGATCTCGGCTCACTGCAAGCTCTGCCTCCCGGGTTCACGCCATTCTCCTGCCTCAGCCTCCCGAGTAGCTGGGGCTACAGGTGCCTGCCACCATGCCTGGCTAATTTTTTTTGTATTTTTAGTAGAGACGGGGTTTCACTGTGTTAGCCAGGATGGTCTCGATCTCCTGATCTCGTGATCCACCCACCTCGGCCTCCCAAAGTGCTGGGATTACAGGCGTGAGCCACTGCACCCAGCCAACCTGTCCCATGCATTTTAAATGAGATTCTGCTACGTGTCAGGCAATGTTCTAGGCATTGGATCAGACACAAAAATAAATACGGTGATCCCTGCTCTGTAGCATATCATAGCTCAGAGATGGAATAGACACATAGAAAAAGAAAGGGCTAAATACTCCAACAGATGTGTGTTTAAGGTCAGTGAGAGTGAATAGAGACAATCCTCATGAGCTGGAGTAATTAGTAAAGTCTGTGCACTGGACTTTAGTTGGGTCCTGAAGGATAATAAGATTTACAGAAGCAGAGTTAGAGGATGAGGCCTGCAGGTAGGGAGTGAAGGCTAATGGCAAGAACAATCCCTGCACCAGGTTATGGAGGGTGCCTGGCTGCATCATCAATGACATAATGTCGCACAGCTAGGGGAGGGCCTGTGGAGAGCTTTGAACACTAGGATGGGGCAGTATGTCTGCAGAATTGAGTTTTGCTTATTTTTTTGCCTGAATTTTTTCATAAAGAGCAAACATGGAAAAATGGACTTCATTGGTGTTCAAACTATGTCTTTAAAGCAACCCAAACCAAGCTCTTCTCCTTTGGGGTGTCCATGAGATCCATTTACTCAGTAGTGGCCCAGCTGGAGTGGAGAGATGGAGGATGTTTTCAGGAGCAATACTGGGCTTCCCAGAGGTGGCTTATGTTCCCATGCTGTGTACTCTGATGGTTATCATTAACAAAACACTGGCTACATTTCTGGAGAAATAAACCTTTACTAATCTTGTCAGGCTTACTTCTCTTGTATAGAAAGTATATGTCTAGTATAATTGTTTCTTGGTGACAGTGTACTTGTTAAGTATTAACTATTCTTGTTTCATTTTAAACTTCTCTTCAACACTGAAATGTACATTTTATAGTTTTCTCTCTGTTAACGTGTTCTAAATGTTTGAGAGAAAAAATGTTTCTAAATGCATTTGTTTTTGCTCTTTGGTAAACTGTTCTTTATCCAAGTTAATAAAGAAAGAGGTATTCCCAATTTAGCTAAACAGAGGTTTGGCAACTTAAAATACTTTGAAAGGAGTGTGTTTCTATTATTTTCTCACTAAAATAGTTGTTTCAACTCTTAGGGAAGTATTGTCCAATGGAAGCCTATTTTACAGAAGCATAAGACTATTTTATAATTATAATATTAATTGTTAGCCCCCCAAAACTTACACAGTGGGTTAAATACTTGTTATGGTAAGCAGATTACAGATATTCCTAATATTCCATCAGAAAATCCTTTCTGCTATGTTAGAGGAGAGATAAATTTCCCCTTCTCTTGTCAAATTAGCATACATTTCATGGCACAAATTACTGTAGAAATACAGTAGTATATCTAGTAATATACATATTGTGTCCCGAGGTGGATAAGATTCTTAAAAGCAGGTAAAAATACATAATGTTTCTGTAAACAACTTTCTAACAAGACTTAAAATTAGCAATTTTTTCTTATATCATTTCTGGTCAATTTAAATTAAGACTCCTAACTAATACATAAATAATTAGAAGACTCTAATATGGTATTTTTTCGTGAGTATCCTACTTTACTGCCTAGTTTGAACCATAAAATATATTATCATGAAAATTGTGGCTCTTTATATAGCTTTATATTCTATTTCAACTGCTTTTATGACCTTGAAACTTGGCAGGAGTTTCACCCCTCCACCCTTACCCTTCAGTTCCAAAGAATTTATAGGCTATCTTAACACTGTGGGTTTTTAAAAAATCTGAATCATGATTTAGCTTTCTTTTTATTAACAGAGAATCTATATAACATGAATTTTCTCTCAGTTTTTACTTATCATCCGTGTGAAACTCTTTTAAGAACTAAGTCTGTTTGGGTTTCATGATATGCCATATTCTATAAAAGTGTATTACATGCAGTTTTAATGGCAGAGCACAAAACTGAATTGATGAAAGCTTTCTATTATAGGTAAACTTTTAATAGGCAGTCTGAACCAAAGGGGCAACTTAATTAATCCTCTAAATATTTAATACTGACTTCTCTATTTCTAATGTCATCTTGAAGAGCAGTCTGGGTTTGTGGAAATCATTCTTAAAGGATTGCTCATTTATGAGCATCCAGACAGACAAACACACATTTTAATTGAATCTGCACCTGCTTGGTAAGAGATACTGACCTCACCTATGCCTTACGCTGATTAATTGAGTTCATTTTCCCCAGTGGCACCTGTGTTTATTCTCCCAGTCACGTGCATGTGCAGCATATTGTTCAGGAAAATACTGATTTGCTGAATAGCCAGTATCCAGAGGACTTGAAAGAATGAGCTGGGTTGCAGTGGTAAAATGAGGTGAAGGGCCCAATCGTCCACTTATCGTCAAAAGCTGTTCAAGTACTAATCAGCTCCAGGACCAGAGATCACTGGTGATTTGGTTCATTGGATGAAAGAGGCTTTGAAGAGTTCCATTTCCTGCTCATATGGTTATTTCATTTTATAAGCATGTTGCTTTTTTTTTTTAAAATAAAATCTGCAAGTCACATGATAGAGAAAAGACTAGCTGTGCAAGAAAACACTTGGCAGATAATATGAAACCATATGTTCCTGCTTTTCGAAATGCAAAAGAAAAAGAACTAAAAGGCTAAGGTAATGCCATGCTGTTAACTGGGGCCAAGGACTGTATTTGTCATAAGCCCAGCTTCTATTTTTTAATTGAAAGGGCCGATTAGGGGTGGGAAAACTATGGCCTGTGAGTCCCTCTGTGTTTATAAATAAAGCATTACTGAAACACAGCCATGCACATTCATTTCTGTATTGTCTATGGTTGCTTTCATGCCACAATGGTAAAGTTGAGTAATTGCAATGGAATCCATATGGCCCGCGAAGCCTAAAATATTTACTCTTACCCTAAAAAGTTTGCCATCTGGAGTAGATGAATAACTCCATGGTAGATGAATAAATCACATTTTATATTAAGATATTTTAGTGTAAATTGCAGGTATCCTTACATTTTACTTCTAATTTCTTTATTGAATATCTCAAAAATAATGTTGCTGTATAACCAAATTGAAATCGTTATACTTAATAAAGTAATAGTTTTTCCTTAATGAAATTTGATATCAAGTCATATAAAAATTTCAATTGCCTCCAAAATATTATTTACAACTGGTTTCTCCAAGTCAGGATCTAATTCAGGATTATTCCTTGCATTTGGTGTCTGTGTCACCAAAGTCTCCTTTAATCAAGATATGTACCTTTCGTCATGACACTGACTCCTGAAAAGGCCATGCCATTTGTCCCATAGAATATGTCTGAAATATATTTGATTGCTTTTGAGTGGTGTCATCTAGTATGTTGCTCTCTGACCCGGATTTACTTAAACTGGAAGTTAGATCTCAATTGAATTCAGGTTAAACATGGTTGGCAAGAAATCGTGCAAAGGGATCCTAAAATCTGCATCAGATCTGAAGATTTGTGTCACTATTAGTGACACTAAATTTGACCATTAGCTTAGTCAACAAATTATTTTAAAGATAAGAAAAATGGGCTGGGCGTGGTGGCTCACGTCTGTAATCTCAGCACTTTGGGATGCCAAGGTGGGTAGATCACCTGAGGTCAGGAGTTCGAGACCAGCCTGCCCAACATGGTGAAACCCCGTCTCTACTAAAAATACAAAAATTAGCCAGCTGTGGTGGTGTGCACCTGTTGTCCCATCTACTTGGGGGCTGAGGCAGGAGAATCGCTTGAACCTGGGAGGCGGAGGTTGCAGTGAGCTGAGATCCCGCCACTGCACTCCAGCCTGGGCGACAGAGTAAGACTCCGTCTCAAAAAAAAAAAAAAAAGAAAGAAAGAAAGAAAGAAAAATGGCATTCAGGGTATGAGAAGTAAAGAGCTAGAAGTTGAACTAGCCACCTGACGTTGATTTCTTGCTCCCTTTTTTGTTCCAGGGTGCCCTCTAGACTGTGTGGTAACCTGATCTTGACTCTCCATTGCTTTCTTAGTGGTTCTGTGCCTGAAGTATATTCTTACTCCATGAAATTTTGTAGCGGCTTAGCAGAATGGGGGTAGGCCTATTTTCCTGATAATTGTGCTTTGTTTGGGTTCTGTGATTGTTGAGGGTTTTGTTTTTGTTGCATTTCTTTCCTTTTAAGTAGAGGAATATCAGCAAAAAGCAACAAAATGATTAAAGATGGTAAAGCTTGATAATGAGACATGAAAGAAATCTGAAGGACTTGTAATTATTGAGACTTAAATAGAAAACCCCACGCTGTAAGTTAACAAGTACATTTAGGTAATTATCACCATTAAAAAATTTGAATGCAGTTTTAAAGCCCTGAAATTTCCTAGTGTGGATGGTTGTAGTCTACTTCCCTGGCATGAAATATTCCGGAGCTGTAAGGATAAATCTGCCAGAGGCAGACACATGCTGGGACCTGTGACCTTCTAAAATGGACTTTTGTTGTGTTAGTCTAAGTTTCCTCTTTTGCTTTATACCTATTATTTCCTTGGTTCATAAACTTGTGTTTTATACCCAAGGTCTAGGTTTTGATGCATCATCCATAAAGCCACGTGGACTTGTGTGGTGTGCGTGCCGAGGACTGTGAACTTAGAGCTGCCAGTAGCCCAACCGGTTCCATTATTCTCAGGCAGGAATGTGTTTAAGGCCTTTGCAAGAGGAGCGCTAGAGTGAAAGGCAGGAAGACACTGCAAACAGAGAACCATGAATGAACTTTAAAAATTCCCACAAGGCTTGAAGGGTTGCCATCAGTAGGAAGACAGTTAATCAAAATGACAGGGGCAGAGGAACAGGCCCCATGGAGGGAACGTTCTCAACAGCTTCGTAATACCTCAGGGAAATGTCTGAGCTTCTTTTGGATATGGATGTATTAGAATAGGTACAGAGAGGAGACAGCTAAGGGTCAGGAGTTGAAAAATAACAAATCATGCTTCATTGCTTTAGGAAAAATGACTGCTTAAAAGGAAACTACCTATTATTTGCCCTTGAGGTCTTAAGTAGACAAGAGGTAAATCAGAACTGGATTAATTACTGACTGATTCACTATTAAACTAGTTCAAGTAGAATTTTAATTGCATTCTGCTGGTTAGATGTGCAAGACATTTGGGTGAGGAGAGGGAAATACTGATGAAAGATAAAGGGGGAAGGATCGGAAAAGATAGGGAGAGCTGCTGGACTGGACAATAGTCTGAGACCTGTGGAAGGAGAGAAGGAAAGAAGAAAGTTGGGCAGGAAGAGCTCCAGACTTCAGTGTGGTTCTGAAAAGATCTCAGCCAGGCCACCAGGAGTCCCTGGGCAGGAGCTGCGCGTTAGGAGAGCCATGAGTTGGGCAGGAAGGCTGAATCTAGTGACCTCACAGTGCTCAGTCATTGGCTGGGAGCATCTTGGAAGAGGCACGGCTTTGGTAGGAGTGCAGAGAGCCTGGAGATGTAGCAACTGATGCCCACTCTGTTAACTGCTCCCCTCTCGAAGGGAGATCTGAGTGGTACAACTCCGTGGCCATCAAAAGCAAGTGGTATGACTCCTCCTTCTCTGCATTCTTTTTCCCCTACCTTCATAGCAATCACTTGATGTGTAATTAAATTGAATAAGAGTGTTTGAATGTCAAAGAGTGGTGCCTTGCAATGTACATTTCTTTAAAATTTTAGAACTTGCTCTATAGGAAAAATATTTTGATACTGAAAGCTTACTACTTGCTGCTTGTGAACTTGGAGCTGTGACCTGGCAAACAGATATTTTACCAACTAGATAATGAAAACACATTGAATGTATAAGTTGAATGGGGTGAGGTTAGTGTGTCTCATTTTTCCTTTCCTATGTAGTGTCAAATAGAAAGCTGAAGCAGGTAATCAAATAGGCTTCATGAGTGGTTGATTACATTTATTCTGATCTCTCCTTGCTTGAGTTATTTATTTAGAATGCTAATGGTCTCTGCCAGACCCCATGCTCATTTATGTCCTGAGCTTGATTGTTTATTCACTATAATAACTAGGAACAGGTGATTATGACTCTCAAAAGAAGAGGTAAAATCACAGCAGAAGAATGATGGTTTTGTCTCTAACAAATCTTCAAGTTAATTTCTTATTTGCTTTAATTTAGCTATAAAATGTAATAGCACACATGTCTATGTAGGTCAACTTCAACCAGGTAAAAAATGATAGCTAGTAAAGCAGAATGTGTACACTGTCCCTGAATTCATAGAACATCCTGGATCAGTGCCTGAAATTCCTGTTTGGTGATATGTGATGACCTTGATTTCCTACAAAAATAGCCACTTTCTGTTCTTTTGAATTTTTATCTAAGTTTCTTCCACCAAAAAATGCATTTTAATTTTTTTTACAATGCCAGCCATTAATCTTTAAAATTGTTGTACTTAATAATGTAATAGTTATTCCTTAATGAAATTTGGAATAAGATAAGTGATCATTGGGATCACCCAGCCACTCTGCTGTGTTGAGCTTGGAGCAAAAAGAGGAGACAGAGAAACAAGTTCTATAAAATGTTGTGTGTGATGATGTGGGTTATGTTAGTGTTATAGGTTGAATTGCCTCTCACAAAAACATGTTAAAGTCCTACCTTCAGGTACCTGTGAATTTGACCTTGTTTAGATGTAATCAAGTTAAGATAAAGTCATTAGGGTGGGCCCTTCTCCAATATATGATGGATGTCCTTATAAGAAGAAGGAAATTTGGACAGAGATACGCAGAGAAAATGCTGCATGAAAACAGAAGTAGAGATTGCAGTTATGCTGCTACAAATCAAGAAAGGCCCGGGGGTGTGAGAAGCTAGTCAAGGAAAGGAAAGATCATCCTCTAGAGGCTTGGCTGAGAGCATGGCCCTGCCAACATCCTGATTTCAGACTTCTAGCCTCCAAAGCAGTGAGGGAACAAATTTTTGTTGTTTTAAAACACCCAGTTTATGGTACTTTGTTATAGAAGCCCTAGGAAAATAAAATGGGTAGTGAGAGGGTGATGGTTGCACAGGTGGCAATGAGAAGAAAATGCTTATAATTATTAATTTCAATTTATGTAAATTGGTAATGCATAGATATGGTCCACAATTATAAAGGCATAAAAGGGTATATAGTAAAAGCATCTCTGTTACTACATTTTCCCCCACCTCCCCAGGTCTCCACCACTCTTAGCCATTTTCTTGAGTATCACTCAAAAAGTGTGCAATGCATTTATAAGCATTTAATAATTTCCACCTTCCTTTCCCATCTCTCCTTAATAAGTAGCAATGTGCTATTTACACATTTTGGATCTTGACTTTTCACTTACAATATATTTTGAGATTTGGGAATATTAACACTTACACAGCTATTTTGTAATAGGGAAGATTTAAATTTGACCTATATATGAAGCCCAGTAATTGCCTTCTTCTAGTTTCCGTTGTTAGTGTACCACACAATCATATATGGGATGCTTAACACCACTGCATTTTGAAAACTGCCATTGCTAGGTACTATGCAAAATGGCTTACATATTTTATTTAATCTATCTTGGGTGAGGGCAGGAGGATTAACAAGAAAGCTTCAATTTCCTTTGCCTAAAGAACATAAAAAGAAATGTTTGCTATTGGAACAGGATCAAGTTCCATTTTTGCTGTAGGCTCCTAAAAAACAAAAAAGTAAATTTATATATGTAGTTCCAAATACTGCCAAATTGCCTCAAGGTTAGTTTCATGGTAAAAAACTTATCTCTTGTTTTTTACTTGTCATCATTGAAAAACATCATTTCTTTGGTGTTATAGATCTAATTTTTCTTTCTACAGAACTTATGCCAGGAAAGCAGTCTGTTTTTGATATTTCTGAACGTTCCTAACTAGGATGGCAACAACAAGAGTACATATGTATTTTATACTGAGGATGTGAGCCAATCACATGTACAACCCAATGTTCTACCCTAAAATTACTATGACTGTCACCCCCCACCCACCATTCAAATACGGGTTCTTCACTGGCAACTTGACAGCTGGGAATTAGAAATGTGTGGAATGTTGTGTATGGTGGCAAAGGAGTTGGTAAGTATCTGTAGCATTATTGTCTTGCTTCAGACATGGAAATATGGAAGACCACGTGTCTTCCAATCTGCCATAGAAATAGGGTAGATGAGTCCTTCTGAAAGCACACTAGAAGACCTCTGTTCTTGGCATGGACTCCAGTGGTGGGGAGGACTCCCTTCCATTTCACTTGGTTATATGTTTGCCAGAGATGTGGTAGCAGAGATGAGTGGTTTTCCATCAGCATCCAAGCTAGGGAGTTTATATCAGCCTCCTTTGCAGCTAAGTGTAGTAGCTAACCAAGTTCTGGTCAATGAGGTTTGGGTGAAAGCGATGTGGGGCACTTCCCGGCCATACCTTTAGAAGAAAGGTGTGAGTTCCTTTGCTGTTTCCTTTTCTCTATTCAGACATGCATGTGATGGTAGAAACAGGAGCTGCCATCTTGGATTCAAGAGGGAAGCCACATGTTGAAGATAGCTGAGCCATCCTACCACCCTGGAATATTCCTTGAGAGAGAAATAAACTATTGTCTCATTTAAGCCCCTGTATATTGGGGGTATTCTTTGTTTCAGCAGCTTAGATTGTGTCCTAACAAATATACCCACATACCCAGATATGGGTAAGGACTTGGGCCACCCACATGTTTTAACTATCTTCTGGAATCAAATATTGGAGATACAAATGACTAGTTTTAGAGCAGTCTAGAGTCCAAGGTTGCAATGTATTCTCTTGTTTCCTTTATTTAAGTCTGTGCTTGAGAAATGTCTATGGCTTAAAATGGGACTGGTTAGTGTAAAGTTGGTGATAGCAGTATTTTCCAAAGTGCTTTTCAGAAAACATATATTAATGGGAATTCTTCCAAAAAAGGTGTGGGAGATGATTTGAAGACAGTATGTTTGAAAAATAACGGGTCATATAACTTTAACTAGTTTCTTCAGAGCCTCTAGTGGGAAATGAATACCCTAATCTTCCAGTGGGAGGATACAGCATGCAATGTGGTCCAATATAATTTGGCCATGAATCTCTTTCTTTGGAACACTTAGTAATGTTTTGTGGAATCCTAGTGTTCTTCTAAACATAAGTTGGAATGACAGCATTATAGGGTTACAATTATATTGTATTTTACTAGTCTAGAAAACATTCTGTCTCTATTAAGGATGACTATATCTCATCTATTTTGATTGATTCAAACTTTAACTCATAGAAGACACCATGTTTATTTTAAAGGTCTAGAGGAATATGGCATATTTGGTCCCATGGGATATATACATGGTACAAGTAAAAAGGACTGATATTTTCTTTATGAAAATAAAATGATATAAATTTGAATATATGAAATAACATTCTAATAGGGAACCATTTTTATCTGCTTTGAATTATTTGGACTATGGGTAGGATTTTACTGGAAAAAATAGTGATACAGCCACAAAAATAAGTCAAAAAATAAGTCAAAAAGTTGGTGTTTGTCGAGGAGTGGTGGTGGTTGTGAGATGGAAAACATCAGTTGGGGCTGTTTTGTGGAGGGCTGTGAATGTCCACTCCATTTGGTAGGCACTTGGGAACCACTAAGGGTTTTTGAGCAGCAGTTAGGGCAGGAGTAGGATTAGTGTTGTTCTTTCAGAATGAGATTCTGACAGCAGGACAGAAAAGGGTTTAGGGTAGGTGAATGCTGGAGGGAAGCAGGATTATTAGGCAGGAGGTCACTAACACCCAGGGAGAGGAACGAAGGGAAGATGATTCAGGGGTAATTTCCAGACTTTCTGTTTTACATTCCTGCTGTTGGCATTATAGTTTGCATACAGCTGAAATGTGGCTTTTGGAAGCATAAACCAATAACAGAAAATGAAAAATTAGAAGCACATGAACTATACTTGAAAACACGAAAGCCAAACCTGTCTCGTGGCTGCTTTTGACACCCTGAAATGCTTTTCAGGGTGTTGGCATATATCACGTGACCTTTTCCCCCATGACTCTCCTTTCTTCAGCTTACTTGTGGCAGAAGGGTTGAGTTATGCAATTATGTTCTGTAATATGATATTTATCCAGCAAAAGGTATTTACTCTTTAGTTGAATTGTCTATGCTCTTAATGCGGTGGTCACACTTCTGTCAGGAGATTTTTACAGCATCTGGGCCACCCACATCTAGCGTTCAGGGGCTGATGGGAAGCTGCGGATCTTAGAAGGAATCTACCTGAAGTCTGAGGAGCTTTTACAACCTAATGCTCAACCATTGGAATTCCCAGTTTAAATTTGGTACTTCTGTACCCTTTTATTTCCAAGCGTATAGGCTTTGGTGGCCCCAGAATAGTTTGGCTTGCATTGTCTGGAATCTCATGAGACCCCCAAAGTACATTTTGTTAATTTAAAATAACCTCTTCCCTTTTATTTAAGCACACCCTAATTTTTTTATTGTCTTTAAAATTTTATGTGTCCAAAGGGTAACAAAATGTAAGCATGGCTATCTACAGGGAGACAATGAGGCTCATTAATTCTCATCTGCATAAAAGCCATTTCCACCAGCACAGCCGATTTTTCTGTTACAATGACATGCAATATATTCAGAAAAGGATGTTTCCTAATAGTCATGTCACTAGGGTATGGTCTACATTCAGATTGCTTTTAATACTTACTCTTAAGTTCTGCCAAAAAACTTTTGTCATAGGAACGAATCATTGGAAAAAGCTGAAGTTTGTTTATTAGCTGTAATTCATGACCTTGGCATGAGTTAACTTGCAAATAATTACTCTGTGAAAAGTAGAGCCAGTTAAGTGTGTATTGCTTGTATTAGTGTAGACACCTCATGAATGTCACCTTTGTTACAATTCTTAACCAAATATCTCCCCTATCTGTAGCAAGCTGGAGGTAGTGATCTCGGTGGAGTTTCTGCTTGATTCTGTAACCAGCATTGTAGCTTTGACAATGAACATCCTCTGGGGAATTTTTTTTTGTCCATGATGTTATGTAGTTGGGAGTTTGGAATCTCATGGCTAATTTTAGGTCCTTTTCCATATGCTGCTTCCCCAGGTTCAGTCACGGATATGCAATATCATTCATTTGCCTTATCACAGGTGAAATAAGCAACCACAGCACAATGCAAAAGAAAAAAAGTGATAATGTAAAAGACATTTTGTACAAAGTGTCAAGAAGGAAAAGGTTTTATGAAACACGTAGTTTTATTCTGAGGTTCATCCAATGGTTATTTTATCCAATCCAAGTTTTTAGGACTTACGAGTTGTGCAGTTCCAGGGTGACACTATTCATTTAGAATATAAAGAGGCTGGTGCCCTTTGAATTTGTGCAGTGTGATGACACTGATCTTGTTTACCTGCACTGGAAACTCTCCGGTAACAGAACGTCTCCTCATACCCAGTGGAATTAAGTTCAAGCCCTTAAGTAGAGGCAGATATGGTGCTCCAGTTTGCCCCCGCTCATACCTCCAGGCACCTCTCTTCCTACTCCCCTCCGCACTCTGTTTCAGTTCATGGAATGGGATCTGGGCATCTTGGATGTCCCCATGTCTTTACATATGCTACTCTTTTCTTTTTTTTTTTAATACTTTTTTTTTTTTTTGAAACAAGGTCTCACTTTGTCGCCCAGGCTGGCTTGTCCCTGGGCTCAAGGGATCCTCTTTTTTAAGCCTCCTGAGTAGCTGGAATTACAGGTGTGCACCACTGCACCCAGCTAGTTACTCTCTTCTTTAGTATTCCTTTTCCCACTTTATGTTCACTCAAAGAACCCTACACATTCATCCAATATTCAGCAGTTATTTACTGAGTACCTACTATGCACAATGCATTGAACTAAGCACACAGTGCCCATTTGTAGTTTTGGATTGGATAAATTAATCATTGGATGAACTTCAGAATAAAATTTTCTCTTTCATAAAACCTTTTTCTTCTTGACACTTCGTGCAAAACTTCTTTTACATTATCACTTTTTTCTTTCGCATTGTGTTGTTGTTGATTACTTTATCCGTGTGTTTCCTCCTTTTGGATTATAAATGCAAGTCCAAAACCTTTTTATTTGCTTCCCAACAAACAGCTCAGTAAATTGGAAACAGCAAAAGTGCAAGTAGAATAGACTTTGAAGCATCTCCTCCTACTAGTGGGCAAGTTAATTAATTTTTCTAAATCCCAGATTCCCCATTTGTGTGTTGGAGGTAAGAATATCCAACAAAATCAGCCCAACAAAGTTTATTCTTTGCTCTTACTGTGTCTGTAGACTTTAAATGAGAACATATTTGTATATTTGCAGTACAGTGTCTTACACACTAAGTATGAACCTACTAAGGTGTTCATCCATTAGTAGCCTTCTTTATATCCCCTGCCTAGGACTTTGAACATAGTAGGAACTCATGAATATCTATTAAATAAATGCACTCAAGATCTCTGTCATTAAATATATTTAGATAGAAATAAGGGAATTGGGCCAGGTGTGATGGCTCATGCCTGTAATCCCAGCACTTTGGGAGGCCAAGGTGGGTGGATCACCTGAGATCAGGAGTTCGAGACCAGCCTGGCCACCATGGAGAAACCCTGTCTCTATTAAAAATACAAAAATTAGCCAGGCATGGTGGCGGGTGCCTGTAATCCCAGCTACTCAGAAGACTGAAGCAGGAGAATCACTTGAACCTGGGAGGTGGAGGTTACAGTGAGCCAAGATCATGCCACTGCACTCCAGCCTGGGCAACAGAGTGGGACTCTGCCTCAAGAAGAAGGAAAAAAAAAAGAAATAAGGGAATTGGCATGAATTTTGTACATTATTTTTTGGCAGTGGTATCTCTGCACAGTGGGTCCTGGGAAAGAGTAAACTTGCCCTCCAGCTGTCTTAAACAGAAGCTGACTTGCACTGCCTTAACCATCTTTCTGTCTTTTGACAAGATAGAGTAATTCTTCGAAAATCAAGCCATATACATTTTTTTCCTTCGAAAGTGTCTAAGCAACAAAATAAATAAATGTATTATTCATTCTGGGTTGTGTTAATTTTTCCTGCCAGAGGGGAAAAATGAATTTACAGGGAATTCCTGGAAGAATATCTTGGGACCTAAAAATAAAAATCATGGTTTTATTTTAAGCTTGTCAACAGGGGTGACAAGTGTAAGAATTGTAGCCCAGATGTGCGGGAAGCAACTCATAAATTCTATTTTCCACTATGTTTTATCTTGCCTGCCACTTTCCCTAAAATGGAAATCATTTTTAGTATCATAGAGCGAGATGGGAAACGTGGAAGTTTATTTGTAAAAGTGGCACTATGGTGAGCAAGCATTCACAGGGACACTGGCCTATTTTAGCAGCTGGCCTCTGGGAGAGAGGGATGCCCTACAGCTTGGCACTGGAGCTCTTTGGGATGCTGCTGAGCTTGTCATTGCTGTTCCTCTTTGGGGTCTCCAGGCTGCTTTTAAATTCTCTAGGAGGTGACCATGGGACCTTATTAGATGAGCTTTAATTTCTCTTTCTAAGTTGGCTTGTGCAAATACAGATATCTAGTTTTTTTTCAGTCAGAGGGGAGAGGAAGGATAGAGTTGAGGAGTGGACAGTAAGCATCCCCATTCAGAGGCAGATGCAGCCTGGTTTGGGGAGACGGTAGAGGACTAGAACATATTAGTGTGTATGGAGCTGGCCTGGGCGCTGAGATCCAGAGTGAGGAATGTGCCAGAGATTCCATCTGTTTGAGCTGGCATGAATCATAGTGTGAATCAGTAGATCTCTTTTCTTAGCAAAAACCAGCAAAAGCCCTTCTTGTGAGGGTCATATGAAGCGGAAGGAGATGAGATTCTATATTGATTTAGTACTAGTTCATGAGCTACCAAATCTAAAAACTAGGAGTCAGGTCAGATAAAATAGCATATTTCTAGCTTAAAGTTTTATGATCATGAATCTTATAGAAACATAGTTAACTTAGAAATTAAAGATTTAAGATTAAGTTAGAAATAGAAGTTGCTAGAAGTTCTCAAATGTATACTTCTGACAACTTGGTTAAATCCCTGGCATATGCAGAAAAGTTTCTGTGATTAAAAAATAACAGAAGTATGAGAGTTTTTCCTTGTCCAGCCAATTTTGTAGTCTATTTGAGAAGGTTAAAAACAACTGTAAAAGCTAAGTAACAAGGAAACAAAAAAATGATGAGTATATAACCAGAAGGAGCCCAGGTACTATAAAAGCTAAGTAACGAGGAAACAAAAAAATGATGAGTATATAACCAGAAGGAACACTCAGTTTGATTCCCATATCAGGAAGTTCTTGGGTTCAGTGCAAGACTTGAAACCTGACATGGTTTCATTAGATTGTAGAAAACGCTTTTTTTTTTTTTTTCTGGACAACAGATGGAACCATGTTGTCGGTTGTTCAAAGATGGACAGGAGACAGAAATCTATCAACCTGAAGTCAGCTCCAACTGCAGCTGTCTGTTCTCCTGAGGACTGTGCTAGTGGTCCACAGAGGTCACCTTGCTTATCACATGATATTTTCTTGATGTTAGTTGAAGCACATCACCTTAGGTGACACATGAGGGCCAAAGGCCTCTTTCTCAGGGATGTATGTGAAAGTGTGGTGGGTTGGGGACCAGCTAAGGAAAAAAAGACATGAAGGAGAATGCAAGCATCTTACAGTCATCATTCAGTAAGAAATCTTTATGACTGGACAAAGGAAAACATAAACGCCCTTTAACCTAGAATGCAAATTTCTAGTGATTTTTACTTTTTTAGTGTATCAGAAGTCACTGAGCAAGGTAAGTACCAGCACTTACAGAGACGGAGTCATAAAGGCTGCTCTCTAAAAGTAGAGGATGTGCAAAACCTGTAGTACCATTTAACAGATTTTTGACCTTGTTAATTATGTCATTTTGAAACTGGAATAAATATGTAATTCGAAGGTTGATTTTTCTGAACAAAAGTAAGTCAAGTCAAAGTTTTCTCAGAGTCTACTGTTTGATTCTTGAGGGTATTCAGAATTCAAGATTGATGTGCATTTCAACATTTCAGTTTCTGCCTAAGTGAAGCGTCACTTAAAGCCTTCGAAATTACAGATGTAAAATGAGGTTGCACGTGATGTCAGTAGCTATAATTCCTACTCTGGAGGTAGCTCGATGTGTCTGAAGGCTGAGTGAGCTGCGGCAGGATGAATGAATCTTTGACTTCAGGAGATGCTGTTCTAGTCTGTAACCTTGTCGTGTGGAATCAGCCCATCTGATGCTGAACACTAACTTGAAATGGCTGGCCGAATGCAGAGTAACACATCAGAGCACTAGACCGGTGGAAAGAACCTAGATTGCAAGTCCAGTGAATTATCTGCATCTTCATTTTGTTAGGTGTAGATTTACTTTTGTTATTGGTTGCAATTGCAATATTTTAAAATCATGATTATGCGTTAACTCCATCTATTTCTAAAACATTGGTATTTGTGTCATTTTTAGTGTAGCTTGATTTTTGTTTTCTTCTTTCTGGTACAAAAACGAGTTTCTCCCTCCAACCCCTGCCATGTATATCTGTATCATGTATATCTGTATCTACATTCCTGTCTACTATCAATGCCTACTATTTACAAGGTAGTTCAGTTCGTTTCAGATCAACTAGAATTTATTGAGTACCCTGTATGCTAATCCCTGTACCAGGGGCTTGGGATATAACAGTGAATAAGTTCCTGGGGCTTACATCAGTCAATATAGGGTTACTGTCTATTGAACAAGATTATTTTTGGGTTTCTATCTATTTGGGGATATGATAATGCATGTATTTATTCCTAACCATCACACAATAATATTATGAAACAATGTTAGTAGGAGGAAGGTGAGAGCCTTCATTTTAACTGGGAGGACTTGGTTCTGTCTAAGATGTTGCTTTTGTTATGGGTTAGTGCCTATTAGATAACATTCTGTTTCTGTGACTGATTATTTCTTTTTGACCTTCTGAGTTTTAGTTTGTCCACTGAGTTTTAGGTAAAAAAGAAAAAAAAAAGGAAAAATTATCTGTAACCTCAAGACTTTTTATGAGGATTATGATTTTACTGTGTTTGATAATAAATGCCTTTTGCATGCACTGGTTTTCAGCATACAGTTATGAACATTTCCTAGTGGATGAGCTTAAAAAAGGGAAAAGCTCCTTGAATTCATGATATGGCTTTTGGCCACATTTCTTTGGCTTGGCCATCCTTAGTATTTTTTTTTTTATTGTCACTGTTCCTCAAGGTCAAAAAGAAGATGCAAGGCTATGCAGGTCCTTAAGTGAATTTACTGGTCACCTTCCATTTCCAGTGGCCTCATGCTATTTACATTAACCCTTTAGCAGTTGATCTTAAATTAGTGAGTGACGTTACATTTATTACCACTCACATGAAGTCTTAAAATAATATTAAATGCAGAGAGATTTATTGCCAAGTTAGATAATATCTTTCCAGTAATACGATATTACGACAAAAGATATTTTTATGAAAATTAGTTATTTCATTATCTCTTCAGTATAAACTTTAAGTCAGAAGGAGAACTATGTCACAATGCTTTTCATTATTGAAGCCTGAGTGTTAAAAAAGACAATAGTCTTTCTCAGGCGGAGACCTCAGAAACAAAACCCATGATTAGAGTCTGTAATGAAAATGACTCTTAAACGAATCTGAGAGTTAGGAATAGGACATCGAGATTGGAAAGAAAGCAATTGGCAGCACCTCTTGCCACCTTCTGCCCGTGGACTGTGTGTGTCTTCTCTGGTTCCTTTGTATCGAACTCAAACGCCCTGAGCATTTATCATAGGTGGCCCTCAAATACATTTTTCTTTTTCTGCCAGACATGTTCTCTTCCATTTATGTCAGATGAGCTTATTTTCTTGCCATTTTTTCATCAGCAGCATGACAAAGTTGTCACTCCTGGCAGAAAATGGAATAATTCAGTAAGTTTTATTTCCTTTGCTGATTTTATATTCTCATCATCCCTATACCCCAGACTTGGTTAGAACCCTCAGTTATATGCAATTTTAGTGCAATTTTCTATTTCCTCATAACATTTAGCACAAAAGTAGTTAATTATTTCTGCACTTAGTTTTGTTAAAGTCCATCTCCCCTAGTGGCCTGTAAATTCTGTAATAGCAGGAGGCCTATTTGTCTCATGTTCCCCTAAGTCCACTGCTACATAGTTGGTTTGGAGCAAAGCAATCAAGCATGGTTGATATTGGTGCCATTCTTTCAAAGTGCTTTCACTAAAAGAAGACAGGGGTTTTATAAATGACCGGATACCTCTTCCCTTTGCACAATATACCTCCTGCAGATCAAAAGATACCTGCAAAATATTATAGAGGGTTGAATCAAGACCTTGTTCCCTTCTCTTTCAGTGAGCCTTTGAGCCATACATTCATACCAGCTTCAAATAGATCTAGTTCCTGCAAGTTATGTGATAGAAATTGTAATTAATCTTGAAAGGTGTATAAATAAATGTGGTTTTTATGGACCCACTTAGAGACAGCTCCGTTTCCCTCATCCTTTTTTTTTTTTCTAGGCCTTACCTGTGAGTGAGTCACCTCTTTCCTAAAAACAAAAACAAAACCCCCAAAACCCTGCTGATTAAACCATGCTTACACTGAGTGTAATCCAGTCTATAGGAAATGAGTATAGACTGGCTTTTTCTCAAAATACATACTAAATTGATATTTGTTGAATATTTACTTCTTGAGCGCAGTGGCATTCCTATGTCCCTTAGCCCCTTTCTTCCCTTTATCTAGGCTTCTATTTCATAATCTTTATCATCTGTGCTTTCTTTACCTCTTTAAAGTATGACCTATTTGTATTTTAACCATGCTGGCATTGGGCATTGCTTTTCATTATCTTTTATTGGTACTCTGCCATCTTTTCCTATTGCTCCATAATACAAATCTTCATTTTTTTTCTTTTTAATGTTAAGATAATGTTAACTTTCCTTTGAAGCTCGCCAGCTTATTTATGGAATCTTTCTTTAGCTCTTAACGTCTATGCAATTAACCTCTTTTCCGTCTTTCTTGTCTTATTTATTCTAATACCAGCCTTGATTCTGGAAGTTTTACTCACTTTTAAATCTTTTGTAAAATAAATGGGTGTTGTATTGATATACCTAGTTAGAGAGCAGAGCAGTAGTGGTGGTAGGCAATGATAAAATAGTAAATTCTGTACCTAAGATTTCTCAGGCTGTTACATCTCATTGCAAAGTTCTCTGGAACTGCCAGTGAAGAGTCCAGTTGGATCATTCTTCTTATGACCTGGGTCTTCATATCTGTTGGGCTTAAGCCTACACTACCATTTTTTTTTTTTTTTTTTTTCCTTTTGAGACGGAGTCTCGCTGTGATCTCGGCTCACTGCAGGCTCCGCCCCACGGGTTCACGCCATTCTCCTGCCTCAGCCTCCCGAGTAGCTGGGACTACAGGCGCCCGCCACCTCGCCCGGTTAATTTTTTGTATTTTTAGTAGAGACGGGGTTTCACCGTGTTAGCCAGGATGGTCTCCATCTCCTGACCTCGTGATCCGCCCGCCTCGGCCTCCCAAAGTGCTGGGATTACAGGCGTGAGCCACCGCGCCTGGCCTGCACTAACTTTTTAGTAGTTGTGTCACATTGTCGGTGTTTACTGAGTTTTCAGAAATCTAACCCTCCATAATAGGGATAATAATAAGAGTTAACAGAGACCACATGCTTTCTGCATAAACCGGCACATTACATGTATCAGTCGTAAAGCATAATATTATATAAAGGATGAAATAAAGGCCCAAAGTGGTTATGTAAATTGTCTAAGGTCATACAATTAGGGAGAGTTGAGGCAAATGGTTCTTTTTTTCCTACAAAGACTTTTGAGTAGTATTTCCCTCATCTTACATTTGAATATTGCTGATTTCAGATACCTACTCATATGGTATTCCAACCATGTTAGTTTCAACCCATTCTTTAAGGTTGATTTACCAGCTATGAATCCATCTAATCATGTGCTCATTCTGCTCATATTTCTACACTGTCCATACGAATTTAATGCAACTGAAATCAAGAGCGAGACACTATATTAGATCCTGTGCAGATGACAAGAAGAACAAAACACTTTTTTTGGTGTGGTTTCTTCTTGTGGTTGCCTGTCTGGGAGGAGGGAACAAACAAATATACAGATCATTATGTATAAACCATGATGAATTTTCTCTCCAATATATACAGACCAAGAGAAATTTGAACTGGGAAGAAATAGATCTTGTTTGGGGAAATAGGAAGTCTGTATCTTAATGGCAGTGTGCAAGCTGAACCTTAAAAGGGATGTGGAAGGCTGTGCAGGCCATGAGATTGTCAGCTGAGTGCGTGGAGCGGGACTGGTGCAGGCTGTGTGTGTGGAACAGTAAGTTATTGGCTATCACCACAGCATGGATGCTTTGGAGAGTGCAGTACACAATAATATTGGAGAGTTGGGTTTAAAACTTGGACTTGGCCATGCTAACAACAGTGTACTGGTTAGGAGCATGGACTCTGGAGCCAGACTACGCGAGTTTAAATCCTGCTGTGCCACTTACTAGCTGTGTAATCTTAGGTACCTTAGGTAATTTACTAAAACCTGTGCCTCAGCTTATCTGTCTGCAAAATGAAGTTAAAATATCAACTGCCTCTTAAGATTTTTGTGAGGGTTTACTGGATTAATATTTGTTAAGCACTTGCACAGTGCCTGGCATATGGTAAGTGCTAAGTGCTTGTTAAGGAGAAGATAGATTTTTGTCTTTGGGAGAGGAAAGTGATGTGACAAAAGTTGGAAATCAAAGCAGTCATGGCAGGGGTAGTGCACATAGTGGATTAGTAAGAGGCTGTGTGTGTACTAGGGGTTTGGGGTGAGGCAAGGGTTGTAGTGAAAGCAATCGGGAAGCCAATGGAATGGGCAGGATGTAAAAGAGAATAGTGACAGGGCCACTTTCATTCGGGATTCCATTAACTTTCACGTCACTAATTGGTTTTCCTTTTTGGCTGGTCACAAGCTCTCTTTTTGCTCCCTTCTGCCTTTTGAAAAAAGTAATCTGCAGAGCAAGCCAATAATAATCTGCAAAGCAAGCCAAAAAGTAATCTGCAAAGCAAGGATCTTTCAGATGCTGTGCAATAGGCATGGTAAGACATGTTGTTGAAAATTTGGATAGATAATGACTCTTTATCGTGACTACATTTTACTTCTGTAATCTGAGGAAAGCATACAATTCATTGCTTTCTCTGTAGGTGTGGTTAATAAACACACACACACATACACACAATGACAACAACAACAACAAACCCAACCCGTTGGATATCTTATCAGCAGCCCTATTGCTATATAAAAATTTTTAGCTGCTACTGACCAATCAATATAAACCTGATAATCAAGCCAGAAGTTCTCCAAATATGTTAGAGGAAATCTAATTCTAATCTTAAACCACTAATCTCCCTTTCAGCACATGAAATGTACATGTAATGCACATACAGCAAATGATAGGTTAACAGTAGAACTTGGTTATATATAATAATGGCTATTTCAGGACACTGTGAAGTTCTGCTTGCTAAGATTCAATTCAAGATGAAAGATCACATAGGTATTGTAACATGCAACCCTGGATAGCGAGGTAGTTTAAAAATAGGTAGTCTACTTCAAACTTGGAAGAAGTACTGATTGAAGCTGTGAGGAATGGCCTTTATCTCCATTTCTGATTTGTCGGAATGATCTGTCTTAAAGGCTGCAGGTACCTTATGCTACCTCAGACCTATGAAGGTAGGACCTATGTTAAAAGAAAGGAGAATAATTGTTGTCCAAGTAGTCATAATTTTAGAATTATGTAGAATTTGACATGGACCTGTGTTTTCAGATCATGCCTGGTGCCAGCATTTCCAGTTGCCTTCTTCCCAGAACTGAGGCTGTCCATGACCCATCAGTAGTCCCTTCCCAGTCCTGTAGTCATTCTCAACCTTGGTTGCACAATGAAATCACCTTGGGCACTGGAAAAATACCAACGTCCAGACCCACACCCAGAGATTCTGATCTAATTAAATGGGGAGGGGATCCAGGCATCAGTGATTCTAATGTGCAGTCAGGGTTGAAAGTCTCTGCTCTAGAGACTGCTTGTACCTCAGGCAGGAGAGATTTCAGGAGATTGAGGTGAATGCTCTTCAGCTCAGCGATGCCATCGCTGTTGTTGTCTGGCCGTGACATGGCTCCACTATTTGATAGCTCATTTCTCTACCAGCGTCAAAGACTCAAATCCCACCTTTGACCACAGTTCTGATAACAGGAGTCCTGCTTTCTTTTCCTGTGGCCAATTCCACAACTTGTTAATTTGCCCAGTTCGTCACAGTCTGGAAGACTTGGACTCTTTTTTATTTTTTACATATGGGGATTGAAGCCTTGCTTGATGAATTGCTACTAGAATGTCCTGTGCTAACTGAAAGTTCCATACAGCACTCTTCCTGAATGCCTGCTTTCAGTATTCCTCCTCCTAGGACACACTCTTGTTTGGGTTGTTTGGGTTGGGTGTCCCTGATAGGAGGGCTGGTCAGAGCAATCACCGAGGGCCACATTCTCAGGGTAGCTTTGTGCTGGTTGACTTGACCTGCTGCGTTTCTGGCTGGGTCCCGTTCTGTTTTTCCCAGTGTTTGTTCCAGTGTAGAGGCTGGGTGTGGTTCTTGATACAGGCCCTTCATGTCTACATCTGCCCTAACTGTAGGTCACCAAATCTTACACAGCCTTTTACATGACAAAAGGTGTTGATTCAGATGAACCGATTCTGAAGACCAGGCTGCTGGGCACTGGGCTCCCAGATGGAGGGTGGATCAGAACCTTCTGAGGATCCTGAAACATCCCACTTCCTACTGACATCACTAATGTACACGTCTAGGAAGCCTTTCTTGTGTGGACCAATCCTATGAATCCCTACATCTGGTGGCTCCGGTGGTTAGTGTGTGAACCAGGGGACTATATGTCTGCAAACAGTGGCTTGAATGTTAAAGATTTGCTTTGGGTAGATTTAACCTCATTATTTTTTTCCCCCCTTGGTTAGTAATACCCAGAGTGTTTCATCTATTACCTCATTTGTCTTCTAGAAGTCTGGGAATTAGGATTTGCAGGTGCCCACTCTTTTATTGATATGGAAGGAGAAAGCATGGGGCTTACCTAAAGGTCAGAGAGAAAGAATAGATTGTAACTTTTATTCTCGGCCTGGATTACATATTTCTTGTGTGTCATATTTAGCTTCACAATTTTAGCTGTCTTAAAAGAAAAAGAAAAAAATCTATTAGTGTTCAATAATTGAAGATTTTGTTTGTTGTTAAAACCAGGAAATTAGATCATTTCCCTGGTCTAATTGATCTGAAATAAATTGCAGACTGAGGGAGAGATGAAGAGGGAGACAAACTAATGCGTGTAACGTTTTTAACACTCAGTGATCTGGGACATTAATGCTGACCTGGTCAGCATCAGCATTATTTGAGGAAGATGTCCCTATGAGCTGCCTTGAAAAATTATGTTCAAAAGTCAAATTTAAGTCAAATAGGTGGATTTACTATAGAATTTCTACTGTAAGCAAATTCCTCAAGTGTATTTATACAAGTTGTATCTCACTTACTTGGCTCTGATTTTTTTTTTATTTTTATTTTTTGAGACAGAGTTTTGCTCTTGTCACCCAGGCTGGAGTGCAGTGGCCTGGTCTCGGCCCATTGCAGCCTCTACTTCCCGAGTTCAAGCAGTTCTTCTGCCTCAGCCTCCCGAGTAGCTGGGATTACAGGCGCTCACCACCACGCCCTGCTAATTTTTGTATTTTTAGTAGAGACGAGGTTTTGCCATGCTGGCCAGGCTGGTCTCAAACTCCTGACCTCAAGTGATCTACCACCTCAACCTCCCAAAGTTCTGGAATTACAGGTGTGAGCCACCATGCCTAGCCCTGGGCTCTGAGTTTTGAAGCAGCTACTTTGCTTAATATCTGGCTTATTAACTCATTCTCACTTCGACGTGTTCCATCGTGGACTGGATGCTACCCATTAATTGTCCAACTTCAGGGAACATCAGTAGACACGTGTTTGGGCCTCATCTCTGAAGTTTTTGATTGATTAAATCATGGCAGGGGGATGGCGGGGGATGGGAGTAGGGGCCTGAGTGTCTGCATTTTTCAGAAGCTTTCCAGGTGGTTCTAGTAGATGCAAAAGCTGAGAAATACTATTGTAGAAGGATACAAATACACAGGTGTGGCCTTTAGAGATGCTTCCAACCCTGAGTTTCCTTATAGGTTGATTCAGTGTGAAGTGTCAAAAAGTTTTGGAAAGATTTAGAAACTTACAAACATATGAAGTTAACAAAGAAAAAATATACATTATAGTAGAATTATTTACCAGTAAGAAGGATTTTCTACTGGGCTATTTCAAATAGAGTCTCTAGCACATTCTACATATAAGTTGATTAAAAAATATAAGGTGTTAAAAAATACAAGATTGACATACAGTTTTTTGAAACACATCTAACTGGGGAAAGTAGCCAGGATGTCTCAGACCTCTTATATTTTCCCAGAAAAGAAGTTGTTTGAGACCTAAAGTGTTGGTACTTTAATATTTTGGGATCTGGGAAAACTAACTTTAAGTTTGCATTATTATTATTAATAGGGAGGTACCAGTACAGTTGAGTTAGACAAACATCTAATGGGAGATTTATTGGATGAAGTGAAATTATGGAGGTCTCTGAGGTCTTTGAGCGTCGCTATTCGAAAGTGTTTAAACTTTATTCTGAAAGCAGGGGAAGCCATCGAAGCAGGGGGTGACCTGATGAGATTTTCACCTGAGAAAGATCACCTAGCGGGAATGGATGAATTAGAGGAAGGGAAGGGCAGTGTGGAGATTGGAATCCCAGCCAGTAGCTTATTTCAGCAGTCTGAGCTAGAGAAGATGGCACAGGCCCACCCATGGCTGGGGGTGGGTGGAACAGAGAAGGTGGGAGTTGTGGAAATGATCTCCACATAATTTATCTTCTAAATCTGGACTACTGTGAGAGTAAAGGGAAGTACAATTAATAGTAACAGCAGGCTGGACATGGTGGCTCATGCCTATAATCCCAGTGCCATGGGAGGCTGAGGCAAAAGGATCCTTGAGCCCAGGAGTTCAAGACCAGCCTTGGCAACATAGAGAGACCCTATCTCAATTTTTAAAAAATTATAATAATAACCCCAGGACAAAAGGTGTACATGGAAACTGTCTCAGACAAACAGGGACATATAATGGTGCTAAATGTGGAGAGAACAAGGACAACTTCTAGGGATTTTTCAAGGAGTTGAGGAAAGCTGGACAGAAATTTGTATCTGGAGCTCAGGAAAAATGGGCTGAAGACATGTATTTGGGATCTTCAGTATAGACAATAGTGATAAAGGATGATGTCTGGATTAATTACATTCATTTAAGAATTGGGATAAGAAGGAGAGAGCCAAGGATCCTGTACCTATTTGTAAAACCAGAGCAAAAAAGTATTGTTCATCTGATCCTCTTGAAAATCATGAATGCTTAGAACGTGAACAGACAGGGTTTGTCCTTCTTTCTTTTCTCCCATACTATGAAAGTTCACTGGCTTAACGTGTGGTGTCTTCATTTATCCTCTTTGTACTTCATTATTTCTTTTCTTTCCAATCAGCAAATTGCATTTTAAATAGTCTTGGGTACTCAGGAACTAATTATATAATTCAGAAGTTCTCATTACCCCCCTACGGTCCACAGTATTTTTCTTTCAAACCTTTAGAGATTTGGCAACCCTTTCCCTTTAGTACCATGGTGGGTTTCTTTAAAGCAACTTCTAGAAAAGGTATTATTTTTGGGTCATGTGGGGAGATCAGAATTTTTGTTTAACCTCTTCTTCTGAAACTATATAGCACATTCTGCTTCCAACGTGGAAGATTTAATCACCATCATGTGGCGTGCATTAAATTAATAGAATGCTACATGAGCTGATTTAAGAGGCTTTGTATAATAAGTTGATCAGCTGCATTGGTACGACTCCCTCCACTGTTGGCACTTTGGATGTTTGCTTTGTGTTTTGACTGTTGTCTTTGGGACTGTAAATTACTCAGGAAAGCTCATCAGAGTAAATCCACATCTAATTTTCATCAAGATTTTTATTTTATTCAGCTTTACTGTTTGGCTAATTGAGGCGTACAGAGGCCAAGTGCCTTGGCCAAGGTTATCGAGCATGTTAATATCTTAGCTCAGACGAGTTTTCTTTCAGTCCCTGTTGATTCCTGCATTATATATTCATCAGTCTGGTAATTAACATCCAGTCATCCTTGTTGCTCTCCTTATGAACTGGCTGTGTTTAAGGGTTCTCCACACCAGTGGGATTTATGGGAAGTCTGCATGTCCAGGCATTATCTTTTATCTGAAAACGAGAAACATATAGAGATCAATTATGATAATCTCCTGCATGGCAGATGCAGCTCTCGAGGGATTTGTTACCCCATGACAGCAAAATCAAGCCAGGGGCTGCTCGGCTCACCACTTGGACGCTTGAGCGGAGTGGAATGATAAGTCATAGACTGGTATTTGAAGCTGGCATGGTAGAAGGCAGGATGGCCTGCAAATAAATTACTTCATTTTAGGGGCATGAAGCCTTTGCCAGGATAGAAATGTTTGGCATTCATTTCCTAGAGGCTACTGGAAGTGTGGCATAGCTGTTAGATTTTTGTTGCTTGAGGGCTTTGTCTGCCCAGATACAGAATGTGAAGCGTACAGAAATCCAGCTAGGAGACTATTCCAGAAGGATCAGACAATAGGAACTCGTAATTAGCCTCCACAGTCCTGAGTCTTATAGGATATGCTAGAATGCAAAATACTTTGAAAAATTCCTGGGTTGAAATTTAATTTAAATATATCAAGTTGAGTACCATGAATAAAGAGAAGGGTATACTGTAATTATGTATAACTCTTGAGGTATGAATTCATCTAAAACTACATTCAAGCTATGTTTTTTTCTCCCTGGTGAAACTGTATTTCCATAGTAATTTTCTTTTTTAATGAAAACAAATAGTTTTTATTATTGGCCTCCTCTCTTAGTTAATAATGCTTTTTATTTTAAGCAATTCCTGTAATTTGTGTCTCTTTTCTTCTGTCTCTCATCATCACGCACACATCTGTATGGCAGGGAAGACAATGTTAATGTTAATATAAGGGCAATCAGCGAGCCAGTTAATCACCTACCCCAGCACAGATAGCTGGGAGCTGCTTTGCTGTCGGGCAGAGATAAATTAGAAAGGGAGAATGATGATTTAAACCAATGCCTTAGAATGATTATCAAACAAAGGCAAGCATTTAGCAAGCTGTTAAGCCGAAGAGAAATCCCCAGGAAGGAGAAAGGCGACAGCCTTTATCTAGCAATAAGGGCAAATGGTAAGAATAAAGTGTCAGCCCAGGCACACTTTATGTCAATTCAAGTGACTAAAGGCCAATTTGGTGCAGCGTGTTTGGATCATATGTTGTAAAATGCATGACCTTGTTTCCTGATGCTGATTTATAGCTTGATGTGCTTCAAGCTTTATTTTCTTTCATGAAAAAATCCTCAACCCTTGATGGGAAAGTGGCAAACCTGAAGTAGCTGCAGAGGTCTGAAGGCGCATTGCTTCTTGAAGGCAGCGCAGCTCATCCCTGGCTTGGATTGCTTTGTGAGTGGAACTAACAGGCAGGGACAGTGTCTTGTCAGAAATACCATAAAGTGTAAAATAGAGTCAGGTTCTTTGCCAGGTGAAGTGGGCAGAGCTGTTAGAGGTACAGCCACTCCACTTAAAGGGGATTCAGGTCTCATCAGGATCCAATGAACGCAGTTCAATAGCAGTGGCTCGGATGGTCCTCAAAGGAATGTGTAGGGCTGATTTGGGAGTTATTTATTGAATTGATCTATTCCTGCGAATGCCTAGAAAACTCACATGTTCATCTTACACATTCTTGGAGCTTGTTTTCCAATATGTGGCATTACGTGGGGGATAGAGTCCCTGCCTTTAGCACTTCGCTATTTTTCTTCTGGGTTTTGGCTGGCTGGAATTAAAGTTTCTACGTCAATCATGTCCTTGGTTGGCTTCTTCCACTTTGAGAATATTAAACTCTTTCTTTTATATGTAAGTGCAGAAATGCATTCACGTTGAATTCAGTGTTTTGCTTCCCTTTCCCTGTTCCTGTTTTTGGAGCTGTGCTCAGGTTGGGGATGTAACCTTGCCCGCCTCTCATCCCCTGGCACTCAGTTAACTTTGGCTGGGTAATAATGCACTGCCCAGGTGGAGTTTGGGGCTCACATTTCTTCAGTGAATTTTGTGTTCATGGGTAGCTTGGTGTTCCTGCCTAGATTATTGTGGTGCTCATTCGTGACTGGATCAGAATGATAAGCTGCTTTTCAGAGCAGGTACAATACCTACTGCCTAGGGACCTGTGTTGATGCCAGAGCACTTTTCCTTTATTGGTGTAAACAGTGAGTACACTAATCCCTCATCATCAAGAGAACAGACTTCCAGTCATTGCACTGCTGAGCTCTGGATGTGGAGAGGGGTTGGGGCTTTCATTGTGTGCTTTCGGAAGAGACCCTTGGACTTAGAGCTTTGTCACTTGTGACCCCGCCCTTCTCTGCTTGTTAATTCATTCATAACCAGGGAAATAAGAAGGAATTGTAAAATTCTGAAGCTCTAAGAGACTTTAGTCCCTTCTGATTATTTAGTTTACATATGAAGGGAGTGAACCCAGTTACTTTAGTTTGGCCAGTTTAAATGATCAGTAGCTGGGACTAAACCAGAACATGGGTCTCGTGATCCTCAGCTAAAACCTTCTTTGACTCCATCACTCAGGTTCTCCCTGAGATGAGCACAGTGACCAGGAGCAGGGATTAGGAATAATTGTTGGGTTTCCAGAGTCAAGTTGCAGAGTGGGCTGAGGATGGGCTCATCAATTTTTTTGACTGGTTCTCAGAGTTAGAAGGGACTGAATTGTGTGTATTATTTATCTCATAAAATATCCAGTACGGTAGGGATCACACTATACACACTAATAAATAGAAAGACATTATGTGAACTAATGAGGGTCATATACATGTTGTAGGATCATAAAGGCCTGTGTTTGGATCTTGAAAAGATATATAACCTTGGACAATGAAACTTATCCTCTCTGAAGTGTAGCTTCCCAACTGTAAAAAGGAAATAATACCTACTTTATAGACTTATTGTGAGGAATAACTATGGTAACATATAAAAGCTCCTGATATAGTAACTGGAATATAGTAGGTACTCAATAAAATGCAGTTTACTTTTCTTATTTTGACATTTCTCCATGGCTTAGATTAGTAAGCACCCTCTAGAACATGTAGACTTATTTCTTTACTTTCTGAACTTTCTATCTTTGTATAGTTTTAGCCTTCAAGATTTCCAGAGAATATTTTGGGAAAAAAATTCAAATAAAGGCCACTGGAAGGCATAGGATAGGAAAAGAAGCCAAAAGTAAGACTGAATGTAGAAGATAATACAAACTTGGGAGTATAAGAGATGAAGGCTGAGAAAACTTTATCCTGATGATTAGAACACAATAATTGTTTTAGGTCAGAATCCCATGTAATTTTATAAGAAGGGCCATGCCCTTCTTATTCAGTTAAGCAGCTCTTTTAACTGTTTTAAAAGAACAACTAAAACAGTTCTTCTAACTAGTTATTTGATTTGCTCTAAAATGATCCCATGTAACTTAGGACAAAACCTCTCACAACAACTGTTTCCAGTTAGTAAAATTTTAAGGTTATTTGCTATTATTCAGAAAATGCCCATTTGATGCTTCCAAAGGACAGGAAATGGGAGTTGGGAAAAGGTACAGATACACAGCTAGCAAATGGAGAGGATGTTCTTCTCTAATAACACCCAGGACAGCGTGGTCATCAGTCATGACAGTGGCCAATAGCAGAGGAATGAAAGGCAGACAGTGTCGCGCGTGCCTGGGCACGTCTTTCAAGCCTGCCATCTCACCTCTCCAACGGCCAGGAATGGGCCTTAGCACAAAACTGGCAGAGAGAGAGACTCTCTTAATAGATACTTATCTTGTCTTCTCCCAGATTCCAAGCATGCCAGGCCTGGTCAAGCTGTCCTACCTGCTTTTAGAATTGAAGAATTGTCTGAATACATCATGAATATTTTCCAAAACAACTACACAGCAGAACAATTTAAGAAGGGAACAGAACTGGCTAATCATTCTGTAACTGATGGAAGAGAAATTTGGTCTGATTTCTTTTTCTTTTCTTTTTTTTTTTTTTGAGACGGAGGCTCGCTCTGTTGCCCAGGCTGGAGTGCAGTGGCGCAATCTCGGCTCACTGCAAGCTCCGCCTCCCAGGTTCACGCCATTCTCCTGCCTCAGCCTCCCGAGTAGCTGGGACTACAGGGGCCCGCCACCATGCCCGGCTAATTTTTTGTATTTTTAGTAGAGACGGGGTTTCACCGTGTTAGCCAGGATGGTCTCGATCACCTGACCTCGTGATCCACACGCCTCCGCCTCCCAAAGTGCTGGGATTACAGGCGTGAGCCACCGCACCCAGCCTGGTCTGATTTCTTGTATGTTTGACCTGTTTTGAAAATAAGGAAGGAAAGGCATTACTTGGGTTTTAGTCAAGAAAACGTTTCACATAGAGCTGCAGAATGACGGTGAGATGAGAGAGAACAGGAAATCAGTGTTAAGCAGGAAGAAGAAGGTAAGGCTTGGGAAGCTGTTGAAACAGTAGGCACATGTTTAAGACTTGACATTATCTTTATACCTTAAAAGTCTTTAAATTACAAATAAAGTATTAAAAACCCATTTTAACCATCCATCCCACTTCAGAACCAGAAAATTCTAGGTGTTAATAGGTCGTCTCATGGATACTTGTGAACTGCCTGTCAGAAAATGTTTCGAGGCATTTACTGGGATGGGTAAGAAATATAACTTTCAGAAGGTGTTGGAAAATCCTGAGTGAATGATAGGAAGCTACAATGGAGGGTGCCTATGTGAGGATTATTATCAAGAGCATTTCTCAAGGATAGCTCTGTACTTGTTTTTGCTCCACAAAGCAGATACCTAAAAACAGGTGTAATCTTACTGTAGAGCACCAGCTACAGAAAAATACATAGCAGGTATCTTTTCAGGCTAATTCTTGATCGAGAGAAAAGTAGACTTTAAATTGGTGATTGATTCCAAAAAGAAAATTAGTGGCCTGGGGTTATTCATTTTTCATAAAGGAAAACTTCTGTAATTGTTAATAGTATATTCTAGAATATTCTTTGTTCATAAAATCAAGCTAGTTGGCCTGGAATGCTTAATTTTTACCCCTGACTTTAGTTGAATCCTTTGTTTACTGCTGTTAGGTATTCATCAGAGGTGGCGAATGTATCTCTTTTCTGTCTTTTTTTTTTTTTTTTAAGAATTTAAATCAATTGACAGGGGTTAGGAACAAAGAATGCTGTGATTGATTACTGATGTCAGCCAAAATGGGAGGAAATATGTTATTTTTTATGCCTTCTAGTTCATCCTCATTTGCAATTTTTTAGCCAAAAATGACTGTATGTATAATATTGTATTACTTTAAGAAATAAACAAATTTGACAAAATGTTAAGATTTGAAAAATTGGAAAGTGGATACAGAAGTAGCCATTACATTAAATACCCATGACTTTTTTTTTGTCCATTTGAAAGACTGCGTAAGAAAATATTTTGGCTAGGTGCGGTGGCTCACGCCTGTAATCTCAGCACTTTGGGAGGCTGAGGTGGACGGATCACCTGAGGTCAGGAGTTTGAGAACAGCCTGGCCAACATGGTGAAACTCCGTCTCTACCAAAAATACAAAAATTAGCTGGGCGTGGTGGTGGGCACCTGTAATTTCACCTACTCGGGAAGCTGATGCAGGAGAATCGCTTGAACCTGGGAGGCGGAGGTTGCAGTGAGCTGAGATGGTGCCACTGTACTCCAGCCTGGGCAATAAGAGCGAAACTCCCTCTCAAAAGAAAAAAAAAAAATTTAAAGTAATGATTACAAATACCAGTAATTTAATTTCAGGTTTAAGTTGTATATTTCAAACTGTAGTTTTCCTCTTCAATTATTTTTTGTTTTATTTTGTTTTATATAACTTTTTCACTCAGGAAGCAAAGTTGTCCACTTCTGTAAATTTCTGTAATATTTCCATTTAGCTAGTTCTGTAACTCCTGACTTTCTACCTGCTTCTCCATTGTGTGTGTGTGTGTTTTCTCTTTCTAGAAAGATGTGTTCTGATCTCTTGATTGACATAAGGTTTGTTGAAGAACTGAGGTTATAGATCCAATGATTTCAGACTTATGTAAAACACTATAGTTTCTCAGGCATCTGCTATCCCCACCCCACAATGCTAAAAGTAAAACACCTGCAGCAGCTGGAGAAAATTGGTTCTGGACTTTCAGTTTCTAATGACCTACCCCTGGGGAGAAACAAACAGCTCTCTTGGCAGTTACTACAGACATCGCCACCTCAGTTTGCCCCAGGGCAAAAGTTACACTGCTGGAAAAGTGTCAGGTGAAAACAGGTTTTATAATTAAGGACAAAAAAATAAAGGAAACTTGGTGAATCTTTCTTATAAACCAGTGCTGCTCAGAATATATAATTTGACAGATTTAACTCTACCTTCAGTGGGTGGTGCTGCAATGTTTAATTAGTTTTTACTCTCACGTGAAGTGCTTTGATTGTATAGGACTCCAGAGCAATGCATATTTATCATTACGCCTCATTGTTACCATCTGCAGAGCAGTCAGTAACCATCAGCAGATGGGCAATTGAGTGGGATTCAGTCTTCCTGCAGGATTCTCTTTGAGCACCGTGAGTTTCTGTCTTAGAGCCTATTTTATTTCTTGTAATCTGTAAATTGTTACTTTTATATCGTCTGGTTCATGCCAGTTGTAGTATTTTTATTTTATTTTTTTGAGACCAGGTCTCACTCTGTCACCCAGGCTGGAGTGCAGAGGCACAGTCATGGCTGACTGCAGCCTCACCCTTCCTCTCAGCCTCCCAAGTAGCTGGGACTACAGGCACATGCCACCCTGCCTGGCTAATTTTTTAAATTTTTGTACAGATGAGGTCTTGCTATATTGCTCAGGCTGGTCTCAAATTTCTGGACTCAAGGGATCCTCCCTCCTCAGCCTCCTACAGTGCTGGGATTACAGGCGTGAGCCACTGTGCCTGGCCCCATCTTTATTTTAAAGCCCCTTCTTTATTGGTCATTTTGGCATTCCTAAAGAAAAAGCATTGATAATACTGGAATAGAAGAAAGCTTTAAAATAGTCCAAAAAATTTTTTAAAAGAAATATAAAATAGCAAAATAAAAAAATCAAATTTAAAAATAGGCATATACAAAAAAAAACTTCAGCGCATACCTTAAACCAACTTCAGCACATACCTTAATCCAGAGTTAATCTGAACCGTAGTATGTTCCTAAATCTCAAACCCCAACTATAAAACTTCTAGAAGAAAAGAGAAAAAGGAAATATTTATGACCTCGTGTTAGGCTAAGATTTCTTAGATATGACATTAAAGGTGTGATGGATAAAAGAAAAAAAAATGAATGACTATTTGCAAATCACATACCCGATAAAGGATTTGTATCCAAATTATTTAAAAATATTCAAAACTTGATAATAAGAAAACAATGCAATTAAAAATGGGCAAAATGTTTGGACAAATATATGGATGGCAAATACCCACATGAGAAGATGTTCACCATCGTTTCATGGATGGCAAATAACCACATAAAAAGATGTTCACCATCATTTATCATTTAGGAAATGCAAATTAAAACCACCGTGAGATACCATTCAGTGCTTACTAGAATGACTAAAGTTAAAAAGACTAACCATACGAAGCATAAATGAGAATGTGGATCAACTGGGAGTTTCATACACTGCTGGTGGCAATGTAAAATGGTACAACCATTTTAGAAAACAATTTGGCAACTTCTTTAAAAAGTTAAATACATATATACTGTATTACCCGAGCCAGTCCATTCATAGGTATCTACTAAAGAGAAATGAGAGCATGTATTCATATAAAGAGTTGTGTATGAGTTTTGTTAGTTGCTATATTTCTAGGAATGCTATTAGCCCCAAACTGGAAACAATGAAGATGTCCATCAGTAGGTGAACTGATAAACAATATTGGGATATATCCATACACTGGAATATTATTTACCAGTGAAAAGGAATGAATTTATAATACATGCAACAATGCAGATAAATCTCAAAATAATTATGCTGAGTGAAAGAAGCAAAACAAAAAGAGTACATACTGTATGATTCCATTAATATAAAATTCTTGAAAATTCAAACAGATCAATTGTGAAAGAAAGCAGATGGATGGTTTTCTAGGATGGGGAGTATAGAATGGAATCGGGGAGGAAGAAATTACAAAGTAGTATGAGGAAATGTGATCAGGTAATAGATATACTTATTATCTTAATTGTGGTGATGGTTTTGCCATTGTATGTGCATCAAAATTTATCAATTGTGTACTTCAGGTATGTTAATGTAATTATATGTAAATTATGGCCTGGGGCAGTGGCTCATGCCTATAATCCCAGCACTTTGGGAGGCCCAGGCGGGTGGATCACCTGAGGTCAGGAGTTCAAGACCAGCCTGGCCAACATGGTGAAACCCCACCTTTACTAAAAATACAAAAATTAGCCAGGCGTGGTTGTGCACACCTGTAATCCCAGCTACTCGGGAGGCTGAGGCAGGAGAATCACTTGAACCTGGGAGGCGGAAATTGATTGCAGTGAGCCGAGATGGCGCCATTGCACTCTAGCCTGGGCAACAGAGCGTGACTCTGCCTCAAAAAAAAAAAAGTAAATTACAACTTAATAACACTATTAAAAAGAAAAAGAGGGAAAAGAAAGGGGAGGGGAGAAAAAAAGGGAAGGAAGGAAAAGAGAAAGAAATGGGAGGGAGGGAGGGAAGGAAAGAAGGGAGGAAGGAAGGAAGGGAGGGGAGGCAAGATAAAGCCTGGACTTGAAATCAGAGACAAATCTTGGATTTATCATTTACTTGCTGTGTACCTGTGGATAAACTGCATAGCCTCTCTGAACTCAGTTTTTCTTTTCTGTAAAATGAAGTTAATAATATCTACCACATACTCAGATACTGTAGGTAAAACTATTTTTCTATATGCAGATTGCTCAAAAAATATTTGGTATTATTATGAATATTACTGATGGTATTTGACAAGCAGATACAAACTGCAGCAATTTCAATATTTGGCATTATTATGAATATTACTGATGGTATTTGACAAGCAGATACAAACTGCAGCAATTTCAATATTTGGCATTATTATGAATATTACTGATGGTATTTGACAAGCAGATACAAACTGCAGCAATTTGGGGCATTTCCCACATACTTTGGGGAGAAATGCCTGCAGTCCTTTGAGATGGGAGGGGGTGTTAAAGTGGATGTGATGTAGAGAGAAGCAGCAAGAATGTTTATCTTTTTCTGTGAGAGGGAAAATAAAACCCCAAACTTGCTAGACCTCTGACGGCACAGGAAATGCACTGCAGCTTCCCTCCTGTCTGGGGTCTACAGGTCCTAGCATGCAATGGCCTGATTTCATGTGGGCCACAGAGCACTGCTTGTAAGGACGTGTAGCTTCTGTTGGCTACCCGTGATGGAGAGGAACTGAAGCAGAAATGGGCAATAAATTCTTAATGCATTGCACACATTACGCATCATGTTATTTTTAAACAAAAGGCATACCTTGCATTTTCCCAGTAAGCTAGAATGCATTTATGTTTACCAAAAGGTGGCCAACTATTGCTTGGATAACCCGAACAGCTTTTATAAGCACAAACGTGTTTATACAAACTTGTTTAGAAACATGCATGCACTGTTCAAAAAAATTTGCAGTTTTTCTTTCCATTAAACATCTCCTTCTTGGCTAGCTCAGAGTGTGGAAGTAAACTCAAAGCACTAAGCCATTTAAAATAGAAATCAGAATTTAATAAGGGAATGTCATGTTTCATTTAAAAGCTTATCTTCACCTCCTTTTCTTGTGCTGTCAAGTGAAAGAAAAGCTAGCTTTATAATTACATAGCTGCCTCAGCTTTAGCTTATATGTGAGATCTCACATTATTTTTCCACACCTTCCCCCCCACCTCCCTATCCCACCTCCTTCCTTCTCTGCCATTCAACCCTTTCCCACCCTGACTTGCTTTCTTATGCTTCTTAAGGAGCTGACAGAATGATGGAGCTCTGTTGATTAAGCTGCTGAGTGGCGGTGGCCCTTATTAATTTAGGGGTCACAAGCAAAAAATGAAATGAAATAAAATAAAATAAATGACTTTAGTGTGAAATGTTTCTCACTGTGGATCATCATCCTAGCCTGGCTGGATAGAAAATTAGGTGATTTTGGTTTCCACTGCTCAGAAGAGCGTGAAATCCCATGGGACTCAACTTTGACAAATGTTTACTATCTTCTCTGAGGTCCTTTCTCACAGTTGGTCTTCGTATTCATCACTGAACACCATTAGGATCCTCACCCCTTGTTAAGAACTTGGCCAAGGAATTAGCAGCGGGACCCTCAGGTGCTCTTTCACATACATTTTTATGGTAGCCTCTTCTTGTTTTCCTAATCACATCTATTAACCGCACTGTTGATCACAGAATATTACGTCCACAGAAGCCAGAGCTGAATATTGGAAATCATATTGTTCCCTAGAAACTGTTATTGTAAGGAAGTAATGTAAAAGATCATAGTGTAGTATAAAACCATATTATTATACTTGGGGCTGTTTTGTCTGTAAAAAGAGATAGTTCTTGCTTGATCACCTGCATGACAAGGTGATCAGTTTTGAATGCAGGCTTTATCTGAGTTGAGTGGTTAGAGGTTAAAAGGAGAGATGTTCCGCAGATCCTTTATAATAAATGATGAGGACTGAGAAATTATTGATAGCTCCTCTGTGGCAGTAAGATAATGCATCCTTGTTTAGAGGATAATATTTTCATTTGTAATATAGACAAAATGTCATTTAGAAAATGTATAAAAGTGGATAATACCCTTCACTCTATCACTGGAAATCTGTAGTGGGTACAGACCTAATGAAGTTTCTCAGCTTTAGAAGGAACCAAGAGAGTCAGCTATTCTCTGTCTCACCTGTGAATCCCTCCACAGCACCCCCAAACCTTGTTTGACACATTCGGTGAGAAGGAACTTGCTACCTCACTGTTACTGGATAGTTATATCAGAAAATTCATCCTTCTTTTAGCCAAAATCAGCCTCTCAGGAATTGAACTAGTTGATTAAACTCTGCCTTCTGGAGCCTCTGAGGATAAATCAAATCTGTTTCTGCCAGGAAGCCCTTCATGTGTTTTTTTTTTTTAGACAGTTCTCGTATCTCCTCTGAAGTTCTCTTTTCCTCCACCAAGTAACATAATCCTCATTTCTTTCAGTAGTTTGTCACTCAACCTCCTCTGGGGTCTTGCGCAATTCCTTATGCATAGTAGGCCTTCAGTGAATGTTTGAGTTGACAGATTCCTGACATCAATTATGTTCTGAGTTCCACTGAGATTCTACTGACAACTGTCTTCTACTCCGATTCCGCTCTCTAGAATGTGGAAATAGCAGTGATTCTGAGGATGTTTTCATGCTGATAACATCTATACCTGATTGATGTTAAACCATTCTCTTGACCTCACGTTTCCTCCTGGAATGGTTGACTGGTCCTCCCTTCCTTTCTCTTTTGCGTTTGCATCAATTCCCAGAGAAGAATGTTTAAGAGAAAAAGGTGTGTTTGTGTAAATGAATCTAAAATGAAAGATCTAGGAAAGAAGCCTAAGCTTTGGGGGAACATACAAGTCCTTTCATCTTTCCTAGTTGATGGAAAAAACTAGAAATTGTAGTTGTAGTTAAATTCATTTTAATTCATTCATTTATGTAATGAGCCAGGTCATTTTTATTTATTTCAGGAAGGTCATGTACATTGAAAATGACATTATACAATTTCCTCTGCGGTTTTGGCAGCATATATGACAGCAGGCAAAGATGTAGGGGAATATGCTTATTCCTGAGCATAAGTACTAGAATTAGAAGTGTGGGGTTTCCTCCCCAGTTTCATGTGTGACAGCACTAACCTTCAGTACCTCAGAATGTGACTGTATTTGCAGATAGTCTTTAAAAAGTTAATTAAGTTAAAATGAAGTCATTAGAGAGGGCCTTAATCCAATGTAACTGGTGTCCTTAGTAGAAGAGGAGAGTAGGATACAGACAAGTACAGAGGGAAGGACCATGTAGGATGAGCAAGAAGGGGACCACCTGCAATGCCAGCCAAGGAGAGAGGCCTCCGGAGAAACCAAACCTGCCAGCATCTTGATCTTGGACTTCCAGCCTCCAGAACTGTGGGAAAAGAATGTTTGTTGTTTAAGCCACCCAGTGTGTGATACTTCATATGTGAGCTCTAGTAAACTAATACAGCGAGGAAATCTTCTAATTTAAATTCTGAAATATGCAGTCGAATTAAGATTAAAGAAAAGATTTAAGATCCCATAAGATATAACTACAAATATTTGGTCATTAATGATAATGTTGGATCTACTAATCTTATTCATCTGGATTTATTAATCTGAAATAATACCAGTCCTTCCCATTTAAGTTTTGAAAGGAAAATTTATAAAACATTGTGATTAAACTATATGCTTTAAAACATTATTCTGTGCTACAGATATATTAATATAATTTAAAACATGTTAGTGATCCTTCCGGTGACTCACTGATGCCTTGCCTCACCACAGTCATATATTTATTATTTAGGTTGGTGCAAAAGCAATTTTTGCCATTAAAAGTGATGGCACTATCAAAGCTAACATTTTTGGCAATGGAATGATATACCAAAACTTCTAATTTTACCATGTTATCATCTTTCTTATTTATACATGGTCTGCCAGCATGTTTAATTGTTAGACTCTTCAAGAACTTTTGGAGGAAGCTTTTTGTATTTGACTTGTCAAAAGGCACATTCTGGGAAATTGATCTGGGCCCTAAATAGGCATTCAGCAAGTTATTGGCAAAATAAGTCTGCTTGTCAAACTGTGGGTGACCTACTAGTGAGTTGCAGCCAAGACTTAATAAAGTAAATTTGAATAGAATTGGATAGAGAATATCAGTGTACAGACATAGTAAGGTTACGTATTGTGTAAAATTTCTTTCAATTATATTCATTAATTCAACAAATATTGAGCACCTACTGCATACCAAGCACTGTTCTAGGTGCTTGGGATACATCATTAGACTGACAAAAATCCTTGGCCTCATGGAGCTTTCTCTGTAGTGGGAAAGATAAATAATAATTAGCACAATAAGTAAATTGTGTGGTATGTTAGAAGCTGATTGTGCTATGGCAAAAAGAAACAAAGTGGCAGGAGGGGATTGGGAGTTATGGTAGTATGTGGGGGGGATGGTTGCAATTTTAGATATTAATAAAATGGTCAGGTAGGCCTTATTGAGCTGCTGTTTGATCAGAGACAGGAGGCAAGAGAGTTGACCATGTGGATATCTGGAAGAAACGTGTTAGAGGCAGAGGGAACAGTCAGTGCAAAGGCACAAAGGTGGGAATTCCTAGAATGTCTGTAGAATGGCTGGGAGGCTAGTGCCTTTGTGAGGAATGAGGGAGGGAGCGATGTGTCCAGTGGTTGAGGGTGCCGGGTCAGGTAGCATTTATAAGTCACTGTAAGCATTCTGGCTGTTCTGAGTGCAGCTTGGAACCACCCAGAGTTCTGGGCATAGGACTCACATATGTATGGATTGTAATTGAAAATGCATTTATTGGCTAGGTGTGGTGGCTTGTGGCTGTAATCCCAGCACTTTGGAAGGCCAAGGTGGGAGGACTGCTTGAACCCAGTAGTTTGAGTCTGCCATAAGCTATGATCGCACCACTGCCCTCAAACCTGGGTGACAGAGCAAGACCTTGTCTCTAAAATAAATAAATAAGATACAACAATAATAAATACAAATTTAAAAAAGAAAATGTATTTATTACTCTGGAAAAGACTAGAAGAGACTGTCATGTTAAGGAATCTGTAAAAGTCCCATTAAATGGAGTTTCTGTGTTTAGTATGTTGGGAGTTCCACAAATGGTCTTTTAACTTTTGATACTGGTTTACCAAACCTGAGGGAAAATAGAATCACTTGGGGCTTTTTAAAGATCCTGTGTTCCAGCTTCACCCTCACCCTGGACTTACTAGCTCAAAACGTATGTGTGTGTGTGTTTTAGAGACAAGGTCTTGCTCTGACTGGAGTGCAGTGGCTTGATCATGGCTCACTGGAGCCTCAAGCTCCTGAGCTCAAGTGACCCACCCACCTCAGCCTCCTGAGTAGCTGGAACCACAGGCGCGCCACCATGCCTATTTTTTTTTTTTTTTAATTTTTTGTAGAGACGGAGTCTCACCATGTTTCCCAGGCTGGTCTCGAACTCCTGGGCTCAAGCGATCCTGCCGCATTGGCCTCTCAAAGTGCTGCGATTACAGGTGTGAGCCATTGTGCCTGGCCAAAATGTGTATTTTTAATATGCTGCTGAGTTGACTCTTGTATGATCAGGAGGAGCATTTGCGAATCACTGATTTTTTGAAAAATCTGAGTTCAGTTTCTGCCACTTCCTAGCAGTCAGGCATTGGCCAAGCTACTTAACCTCTAGCCTCAGAGCCTTCCTGGCAAGGCCATTTTGAGGTGTTTGTGCACCATCTGTGACACACACAGCAAACACTGTAAATGGGAGCCATGTAGGGCCTGGGGATTTTCCCCAGTGTGGCACTTCAGAATCAGAACAAGTGATAAGGAATCCACAAGAGAGTGATTTACAAGAAAACAGAGTTCTGCCCATGAACAATTAGTTGTACTGCAGACCTCCTGGGCCCTTGGCTCACTGTCCTGCGAGAGTCATGTGGCCTGGTGAAATCTGTGAGCCCAGGTCCCCTTTGATCTGGCTAATTATAGTGAAGCATGGAAAAAATGTTAATTGCTTGACTCTTGGCTCCTCTTTTTCTTAGCCTCATGCTTCTCTGCCCTGGTTCGCTCTGGGCCAGCCTCTTGTCAAGCTTTTGAACACATGGTTGATGTCTCTTTAGAAACTCCATGACCACACTAAGAGCAGGGGTTCCAGCCTGCCCTCTCCATGGGGTAAATGGAGAGAAAACATTTCAACTCATGAATCTTGTTTCTCCATACCTCACCCACCCCCAACCCCTCTTTTTTTGTGAAATGCCACAAATAACCATCCTCAACAGTGTCAATAAAGTTGAGAATCCCATAGATAGAGCCTGGGGGGAAGCCTCAATATGTTTTGTAGGAAAATTGTAAATAATTGTTAGGGGGGAAGGTAATGGAGCAAGTTTAAGCCCATTGTCTAATTTCTTTTAAAGCACAGACTCTCTAAACATTGAATTTTAATTGAATTCGGGAGGCAGAAGGAAAAAATACATTCTATGATGTAAAAAAAAATTCTGGGCTGTTTAGAGAAAGATAATTTCAAACACTGTAGCGCAAAGTAATAGAATAAGATACGAGAAAGGATAGCGTGAGAGGCTGGCACTATACTGAATGGTGTATCCACATAGGAGGTATTGTGGCAGAGTTCAAAGAACCCTGGACTGGGAATCAAAAGGCCTGCTTACTAGTCCAGCTTTAGACACCGACTTCCTGTTGCTAACAGCAAATATAACAACACCGGGAATAACAGAACAGATCGGGCACCTATGATGTGGGCTTCTGAATCTAGACCTCAAAGGTGCCCACACTTTTCTCAACAACTAAGATAGAGGAAAGGATGAGACTCCAGGGCAGTGGTCCCCAAAGGAGAGCATCAACATCACTTGGGAATGTGTTAGAAATTCACATTGTCACGCCCCACCCCAGACTTACTGAAAAACAAATTGTGGAGGTAGAGCCCAGCAATCTGTGTTTTCCTAAGTTTTCCAGGTGATTCTCATGCTCACTCAAATCTGAAAATCACTGGTCTGAGAGACACAATCCAAATTTCTTGTCCAAGTTTAATTTATGTTTAATACTATGTGAAATACTGGGTTTGCTTTTGGTCAGAATACTTAATTTATTTTGAAATTAAAAGAGGTGTCAAATTTTTATACTTATCAAGAGGCGTAGTATACATTTTAAAAGGTTTGAGAACATTTAATATACAATTCATGGGCCTTTTCTTAAGAAATTTATGATTTAATTGAGGGAATGACATCCTTGTTAATCTATCAGCAGGTGCATAATAAGGAATACAGGAAATGAGCTAGTGCCGATGGAAGTAGAAAGAAGAATTGAGATGGGGGCCGGGCACGGTGGCTTATGCCTATAATGCCAGAACTTTGGGAGTCTGGGAGGTGGGAGGATCGCTTGAGCCCAGGAATTTGAGAGCAGTCTGGGCCACATAGAGAGACCTCATCTCTACACAAAATAAAAATTTATCCAGGCATGGTGGCATGCACCTATAGTCCCAGACACAAAATAAAAAATTAGCCAGGCATGATGGCATGCACCTATAGTCCCAGCTACTTGGGAGGCTGAAGTGGAAGGATCTTGAGCCCAGGAGGTCGAGGCTGCAGTGAGCTGTGATTGCACCACCACTGCACTCCAGCCTGGGCAACAGAGCAAGACCCTGTCTCAAAATAAAACAAACAAAAAAAATAAACAAACAACCCCAATAAAATAAAAAAAGCAAAATGCAAAGGGCTTATACCTGGAAAGTGAGATGATGAAGGGTTTGAAGAAACATACTGAGGCAGGACCTTGGGGGTCAAGACAGAGAGAAACTGGCTTATCTGGGGGTAAAAAGGACCCAACTGGTAAGAGAGAGGAGTTTGATTAAAAAAAAAAAGAATAAACTCATTTGGATTTTGCAGGAAACTTTCTAGAATCCTGGACAAAATAGCACAACAGAAGGATTCTCAAGTAAGAGTGTCATGTCAACAATGTGTGTGATTGTGTCAGGCATGACCGTTTCAGCTGCACGTGACAAAAACCCAATTCAAAGTAGTTGGATCAAAAAAGAATTTATTGGCTCAAGTTACTGAAGACCAAAGATAGCCTGGCTTTCAGCCTGCTGGATCCAGGGGCTCTGGCAAAGTCACGATTTATGGGTCTCTTCTTACCATCTCTGTGCCAGCTCCTTTCTCAGGGAGGTGCCTTTCTCCAGCACTAAGCTGATGGCTAGAAGCTCCAGGCCTACATCCAATTCTCAGAAACCCAGGTAGTGTCCTAGAATTGAGCCTCTGGTTTCAGACAGGCTAGACCAGGTTCACGTCTCTCCTGAAAGGGTGGCGTATAGGGCCATCTACACCTGGACCTCGTGGACTGAGAGTGGGCATGGGCTGGTTCTGTTTTAAATAGGAATGTGGTTATCTGAAAAGAGGCGCTGAGGATGCCTGGGCTGCAGGTCTGTTCTCTCAAGGGATGGTGAAGGGAGGAGAGGACTGAGGAAGGAAGACCAGCAAGGAGGCTGCTGCCATGATCCAGGTACAAAGTAATGAAGGCCTGGCTTGGAGTCATTTCTGTAAAACCCAAGAGGACAAACTTTGACCATCACTGTAAACAAATAATCACTATGACTTCTAACAGGGTTAATAAAAGAAAAACAGCTCATTGCCATGCCTTGAGTATAGAAAAGAGATTGGTTGGTGCTCTTAATAGTCATCATGAGGTTAAGAAGTTTGGGGAAAAGGCAGGCCGGGTGCGTGGTACACGCCTGTAATCTTAGCACTTTGGGAGGCCTAGGCAGGTGGATCACCTGAGGTCAGGAGTTCAAGACCAGCCTGGTCAACATGGCAAAACCACGTCTCCACAAAAATACAAAAAAATTTAGCCGGACGTGGTGGTGCGCTCCTGTAATCCCAGCTACCTGGGGGGCTGAGGGAGGAGAATCAGTCGAACCTGGGAGGTGGAGGTTGCAGTGAGCTGAGATCGCGTCACTGCACTCCAGCCTGGATGGCAGAGCAAGGCTTTGTCTCACAAAAGAAAAGAAAAAGAAGTTTGGGGAAAAGGCAAAGCCTCACAATATCACCATGGGAGGTTTTTGTAGTTGCTGGTGGGAGATCCAAGGTGCATAGTTCATCTCTGTGGACAGAGAGGTAGAACTATGGACTTCACTCCTTGCACCCTTTATCCTTGAATTGTTAGCACAGAGAGCTGGCAGTGCCTTTTTGTTACCTTTGTTAAATTAGATATTTGGGGGCTTGTTTATCTCTTCCTAATGTAGCTTTACGCTTTGAGAGCTGGGCTGTGTTTTGGACTTCCCAACCACAGCTGCATACTTGAATTATTCAGACTTTCAGTCTCTACTGATCTTCTCTCCCTGATTTTAAACTTTGTATTAAATAAATCTGAACGAGAAAAAGGGGCCAATATGCCTTTTAGAATTAAAAAGGATCCTGATACCCCCTACTGTTCTATGTGTAGATAGAAAACGTGCAAATCATTTGAAGTACTTTAACAAATAGGATGTGATTAGCTTGTGTCAGCCAGGTTTAGCACAACCCTCTACAGAGTAGGTGCTTGGTAAATGCTCTTTACTTTAATGGAGAAGGTGACTAGGAAACAAAAAAGGTTTTCAGTTGATTCTGAGTTGGGCATGGGGTAAGTCCGGTCTTAGGGGAAAGTCACTTGTTCTCTGGAGGTTTAATTAGAAACTGGACCACTTACTTTTTGTGGAGTGGTTTGGGAGTAATCACCAGAAGCAGAGTAAAATACTTGGAAATTAAAGAGATACTAAAATGTTAAATGTGCCATATGGTAATAAAGTTTTAGAGCAAAATGGAAATGTTCGATGGTTTTTAATCTCGTGACTGATAGGGACTCTAGGTGGGGTTAATTTATCATAGTTCGCTGCAGAGGCTTCAGTTGTAGCTAAGAAGAGCAAAGCTTTACAAGTGTATACTAGCACTAAAATCAGTGTCTTCATTAGAGTATTAATCGTGTAGAAGTGGGAATTAAACTTGGCAACATGACAGAGAAGCTGACATCAGAGTTATTAAATTAAAAAGATTGCTACTGAAATTAAATCAGATAATGCTATTACTGTCATCTCTGGCACTCTCAACAGTATAAAGAGAGAGGAGAAAATAAACCCTAAGTTAAACAGCTGTGTGTTCCTCCCCCCCATCTTTGGAATTGCTATCATAAACCCAGAAGATTAAATATGTAATCAAAGCAGAAAGGCTTATCAGTTATTGACTCCTGTACACATATTACCAGTTCATTAGTTCCAAATTAATTTTGCCCATATCTATACAAAATGAAAAGAGAAAAATCTTACTGCTAGAGAGGAATAAATTATGCTAGTAAATGTTAGCCGAGTGTTTTTAAAAATGCACACTTTGTTCTAAGGAGTGGCATCTTCTTCCAAGTGCCTCTTAGCATGAGGGTAGCACCAGAGATGACATGAAATTCCTACTGGGAATTCGGTAGTCCCTATAAATAGGAGCGTTCTCTCTGCATTTCTCTCCCTTAATTATGGCAAAGTTATTAAATTTGAGCTCATGTATTGAGAATAAAATCAGCTCTTTCATGCCTCTCTCACCTTGACCTTTCCCTCATGGTATTCAAAGTCAATGCCGGTAAGTACAGTGCTTGTGGCTTTGTGATAGCCGATTTTTTACTCACTTTTTCTAAGCATTACCATAAAACCTGACATCATGCCTTCAGTCTGCCTGTTGTGGAGATTGTAATAAGTGGGGGTTGGCTTAAAGCGCATTAGTAGATTTTGAGTGTAGTTTACTTGCTCAAGATGATGAGCAAAGTGATCTATCATTGAATCCATACTCCTTACTGAAGGTAATAGTTCAATTTTGTTTTTCTAGCTCCACAATTTACAGCCAGCAGTTAGATCTGGGATAAGCTTCTGCATTTTTGATTGCAGAGTGTTATGATTTTAGTACAGAGGTTTCATGGAGCCACCTGCAGCCTGCACATCAGAGATGTGGCCAATACTGTGGTCATCTCTCCTAGTGACTGAGCTATACCCCTGGGTATCATGGAGAATGATGACAGCACTTCACTCCCAGTTGGTCATTGGAAATGCCTCTGGCACCTGCCACCCCTGGATCCCTGTGGTGGCCAGTAGAGCAAACATTCTCTAAAATGAGATGTAATTAGCCTTTTCACTAATAACAGATTTCCTGCCTTCCTGTGGTGAGTATTTTTGGTCTAGCCATTCATGAAGCTGCATGCTCTTTTATATCTCTCTACTGATGAATTATCCAGCCTGTTTTCTCCAGAAGGGATGTTTTTCTTTGACACTCAGACATCTGGTCCTTTGCATTTGGGAAGTATAAATGTCATTGCATGCCTGCATTTTTGAAGTAAGTGCTGGGTTTTGAAAGAGCCTTCTTTAGGGTCTTGTTACATCACATTTTATAAAACTAGTCTTATGGTCTCAAGGTGCTGTCGTCTGGATGTTTGTGCCCCTCTCCATTCATATATAGAAATCCTACTCTGAAGGTGATGATATTTGGAGATGGGGCCTTTAAGAGCTGATTAAGTCATGAGGGTTGAGCCCTTATGAATGGGATTAGTTCCCTTATAAAAGAGGCCTCCAAGAGCTACCTTACCCCTTCCACCATGGGAGAACACAAAAAGAAGACAGGCTCTCACCACATACCAAATCCACCTTCATGTTGGACTTCCCAGGCTCTGGAATTGTGCTAAATAAATTTCTGTTGTTTATAAGTTACTCGGGGTATGGTATTTTGTCACAGCAGCCCAGACAAAGATGCAAGGGATCAAGTTGGCTGAGCTGTCTTTTTTCTTTCTTCTTCTCTAATCTCCCTTTTCCATAGAGTTACCATTGACAGAATACCTGCCATGTGCCAGACCCTTTATATCCACTATTTTATTTTATCCATATTTCCCTTGACTCTAGACAAACTGAAGCTCAGAGAGGTAAAATAACTGCCTTGGTCACCTAGCTGGCTAGCAGTTGAGCCAGATTTAAGCCCAGGCCCTTGAATTCCTGAAGCCTGAAGTCTTTCTACAACACTGCTGGTCCCAACCCTGGCCATGCAGCAGGATAATCTGGTGAATTACTAAAAAAAAAAAAAAAAAAAAAAAAATTATTGAGTTACATCCCAAGCTTCTCATATCCCCAGCTTCAAGGTTGGTATCTGGCACTTAGTAGGCATATTATACATATTGATTTACTACAACAGTTTTGAGAGATAATAATACAATCTAGGAATCTATAATGTTTCAGTTATTACACGATCATATACTTACAAAAAAAAAAAAAGCCTAGTATGGTCGTTGAAAGGAAAGATATCCAGATGGATCAACTGAGTTGCTCCATGCAGTACCACAACTTATCTTTTCACTGCTAGCCTCTAAAATGGGCATGATTTCTTTTGATGCCTATAACTGAAATATTGTGATCACTCAATGAATGATTTGAGAACTACAATGTACAATACAAATGAAAGGTATTATCATAAAATGAATTATAAGAGAAATTCCATACATGATTGACTAGACTCACTGAATCCTATTAAATGAAATCAACCGGTCAGCGTGAGAGAGGCTATAAATGGCAAATATAGCCTAATAAAGAGGTTCTGAAAGACCAGTACCCTGAAATCTGAATAGATTCATTAATTTGAGGCATATTTTCATGTTAATAAAATGTGTTACAAGGTCTCAAAGCAACACATAGCGAATGTACTTGGAAAATAGACTTTTCCCTGTTTGGTTCACATCTGTTTTCCTAAGCCTGGAAGTTGATCAAGTTTGCTTGTTTTCCACTTGCTACCTTCTACCTATAGATATGAATGTGGTGAGCACGGAGAAAGTGAGATGGGAGAGTGGGGTGCAGTCATTTCATGTTCTAACTCAAGGCCTGAGGTTGGCGTATGCAGTGGTGGGGCAGTATAGGCAGCTCACAGTCACACAGTTAAATGACTTTCCAGCTGCCAGCTCATGTGATCGGTAGTATAAGCAATCTGTTAATAAAAATGGAAAATTCTGAACTAATTAATTTGAAAAGGAATGCCCATAATCTCAGTCAGAGAAACATTTATTTTGGCACGGCACAATTCTATTCTCTTGTGACTATGTCAGTATGGTAAGTGTGGCACATTTGATTCCAATTAAATCTTAAATGACTATAGAGCTTAATTCCAGTTAAATACCCTAGTGAAGCTGTAGTTTTGTGAGCTGTAGCTATAGAAAGGGGCTTCTGTGAATTATTTTCCTTTTACTTTGACATGATTAGGATAATTTTGCACATTAGCTAGAAACTGTTTGCATAAAATAAGGATATAAACTCCAACCTGATTTTATAAATAACATTCAGAGCAGAGTTTATGAGCATGGTGGGCTGTATGGGAGTGAGCGGGGTGGCCAGGAGTCAGGCTGTGTACCTAGTCAGGCTGCCAAGGTGGAATCCCATCTCTGATGCTCCTTAAGTGAGGGACCTCAGACCACTTACCTTCTGTATCCTTCAATCTCCCATTTATGAAATGGGGTTATTAACAAGTCCTTAATGATTATTTCCCTATCTACCACAGGGGAAATGAATGGTAAAAAATGCCACGAACTGCTTAGCACAGTGCCTTCCTTATGGGCAGCGCTAAGAGCTGCGACTAGCAATAGTCCTGCAAATGTAATGATGGCATTTGAGGCCAGTGTGCTTTCACAGTGCTTCCTGCCTTTTCACAGGGGTAATTGCTTCAGCACAATGGTCATGACTATAAATGAACACCACCTGCCCAGGACATTTGAATGGTATTATGGGGTACCCTTGGCAGATTCCCCTACATGAGGCCTGAGACTGACATGGAAATGTAATGTTTTTCTTTCTAGTGGGGAGCTGATGAGATTAACATTCTTTGACTATGGTCTGAGGTTTAAAGCTAGGTCACCTTGCACCTTCTAAGAAGAGGGATGAAAACATGTAGTGTGCAAACTTCTTGTGAAGTGTTTCTTTGCTTAGAAATCATGCTTGTTTGCTTTTCTATATAAAAATAGAGAGAAACTTGTCTCTTGATGTCCTAAACAATAAGAGAGAAGGTCTTAGATATCACCATGAGCCCTGATGTCTTTCCTGAGGACATTGATGATAGGGTCAGAGCACCCTGTGTTCTTAACCAGGACACTCTTGATTCACTAACAGAAAATTGCGTCTATTATAGAGCATTTCATATGTGGGAAGGCTGGGGTAGAAGCAGATAAAATTACTTTACAGTTTTTTAGTCAAGGACAACCATTGCTAGTATTTTGCCATTCCCAGGCTTTTGTTCTCTGTCTCTATGCAACAGGTTTTGGTTTTGTCTTAAAAAGTGGTGATTATCCTATCTGTGTAAGTTGGTTCTGTGTGTTTTTGTTTTATAAGTATTTCCTATCTCATTTCAATTTTTTCATAAACAACTTTTACATGTGTTATAAAATTCACGTGACATAATTTATGATTCTTTTATTATTTGATGTTAAAGCCTTTTAGCAGTCTTACTGTATTACGAATAATGCTTTGGTGCCCATTGAGGATTCTTTTCTTTTTTTTCTTTTCTTTTCTTTTTCCCTATTTTTTTTTTTTTTAGTAGAGATGGAGTTTCATCATGTTGGCCAGGCTGGTCTCAAACTCCTGACTTCAGGTGATCTGCCCACCTTGTCCTCCCAAAGTGCTGGGATTATAGGTGTGAGCCACTGTGCCTGGCCTATTTTCTTATAATATGTTCCTAAAAGTGAGATCCTAGGTCAATGCTATAAGTATTTTAAGTTTCTTAATATAAATCACCAAATGGCATTCTAGAAGATTGGCATGAACCTGAATGACCAACAGCAGGAGTATGGTTATAGAAATTAGGGCATATTCACATGATGGAACATTATACAGCTATTAAAATTGTTTTAGAAGAATATTGAGGCCGGGCGCAGTGGCTCACACCTATAATCCCAGCACTTTGGGAGGCCGAGGTGGGAGGATCACCTGAGGTCGGGAATTCAAGACAAGCCTGACCAGCATAGAGAAACTCCATCTCTACTAAAAATACAAAATTAGCTGGACGTGGTGGTGCATGCCTGTAATCCCAGCTACTCGGGAGGCTGAGGCAGGAGAATCACTTGAACCCAGGAGGCAGAGGTTGAGGTAAGCGGAGGTTGCAGTGAGCTGAGATCATGTCATTGCACTCCAGCCTGGGCGACAGGAGTGAAACTCCATCTCAAAATAAATAAATAAATAAAAATAAAAAAGAATATTGACATTGCTTATAATATAAAAATTTACCTTTTTTTGGAAAAAATATGTATATTATACACACAGGAAAAAAGGCATAAAGGAAACACAATAACAATGAATGTCTTTGATTTAAAAACTGTAGGTAATTTTTATTTGCTCTTTTATTTGAATACATTCCAAAGTCTCTACAAGAAATATGTATTCCTTTTATAATCAGAAAATTGATTTCTAAAAGCATTTAACTATAAATGTATGTTGATGTTAAGGTTCCAGCATTCGTATAAATTCTTTTGGCTATTTTAATGCTCTTGAACAAAAATAACATTACCTATTTTACTAAGAAAGTGAATGCTAATCATTCAGCCTGTTTAGTTCATATGCTCTAGAGTTTTTATTTTGGGGTCACTCAGGGAATGACATTATGGAGACAGCCCACAATTGCTATCTTCACCTACAAACAGATTTCCCTAAATCAGTAATTCTTTAATGGTGAGTTCTAGACTTCATATTCACAATGTACTCATTCATTAACTCATTCATTTAGTCATTCACAGTATTGAGTACTTATAGCGCTTGGCACTGTACTAGAGATAAGGAGATAGAAAGATGAATGAAAACCGTTCCCATCTGCCAGAAGGTCACAGCTTAATGTATTTTAAGAGGCCCTTGGCTCATGCCAAACATTTTGAGAAACTATCAAAAGTAATGTAAATTTCTGCCATCTCTTGTTTAAACATCTTTAATGTCATTTTGCCTGATTTTCTTGACTTCTTACCTGTACATATTTTTTACTTGAGAACTGTATGTCCAATATAGTAGTAACTAACCACATGTAGCTATTTAAATTAAAATTAATCAAAGTTAAATAAAATTAAAAATTTACTTTCTCTGTTGAACTAGCCATACTTCAAGTGCTTAGTAGCTGCATGTGGCTGGTGGCTCACATTGCAGAAATTTGTATTGGACAGCCCTACTTTAGAAGGAGAGATTATCTCCTTTCCCCTTGTCCCCACTCCATGTCCTTACCGAGTCCTTCCGAGGATTTAATTGTGGCTTCCCAAGTGAACTCCAGGTATTTCCCTTGAATTTAATCTTGCACATCCTCATCAGAAAGATAATCTTGAAAGAACCATCGTGAATTTATGGCTTTCTAATTAAAAACTGTTGGTTTATCTCTTGGCTTCCAAATAAAATGTAGACTCTTGAGGCAGGCCTTCAGAGCCCTCTAAAACCTATTTTCCACTCTCTTTCAGGCCTTCTCTCTGCTGCTTCAGCTAGTTGCAACCATTCCCCATCTTTGAAGCTCCCTCCGCTCTTTCTTGCCTCTGAGTTATCCCTTACGCGAACCCAGCTGTCAGAAATGCTATTTTCCCTCATGGCCCAGACTAGGAATTACTTCACATGTCACTTCTGCCATGAGTCCTTCTTTGATCCCCAATCATAAGTTACCCCTTCCTCCTCCTTGTAAATGGCTCCAAATTTGTAAACCTTATGTGGCATCATTGCTTCACATTTTGCCTTGTACTTCTTGCAAATACGTTTCTCGTTTTCTATACTATAAAGTCTTGGAGTAGTGTATATGTGCCATGGTAGACTCACAAATCTTTGTTGTCTAAACTTAGAGGCACTTTGCAGTCACTATCTTTATTTTAATTACACCATTTGAGTGCATTAAATAGCAGAGTGACCCTCATTCCAGTGGAGTTTGAGTTGGTCATCTGTTGCAGAGAGCTAATGTTTTGCCCACATGCTTGAAATAATCGGAAGTACTTGGATTTAATACTGCTCGTTTCTATAGGACTTCCAGGAAAATCAGGGTTCATTAAATGGGAAGAGAGTGACATTAAGAATAGAAAAATCCCAAAGCCAAATAAGTAGCAATGAGTAAAGAAAAACTGTGTCCTTAGCAGCTGTCCCCTCCAGCTTTACTTTTCAAATTAAATGAATAATTAAAGCTTCCTTTAGACTTTGCGATGTTATTGTTCTAATTGTGGTGTTACCAGTTCACATGTCATAGTGGCAATTTTGTGGCAGATGCTTAGCAGTACAGCTGATTACATGGCCACAGATGTAGCATTAGTAGCTACTGACTTACTGTAGCCCTGTCTTTTTCCTAAAGACTCCAGCAAACCTGCATTCATTGCATCCAGCATGATTTTTTCCAGAGTGGAGATGGAGTTAACACAGAGACTGCTGTACCTGAGAGCGAGCCTACCGGTGGCTAAACCAGGACTGTTCTCTTTTGGGTGTCCTCTAAGGCTGATTTATCCATACACCCACTTAGAGACTATGATTTTTATCTACCCTGCTTTGTTCCCCTATCAGGCTTTTAGAGACTTACCTCCCTCTTGGTTTGCGCTTGTATTGTGGCTCTATTGTCTCTAAGAGAGAGATTCCTGCATAAGAAATTCCTGCAATTCCTGCATGTTTTGGAATTCTTGTGTTTCGGAATTCCGTGTTTTAGAATCCAAGCAATTCCTGCGTGTTTTGCACTCAGTGAAGAGGAAGAAGAGAAGCAGAAGTTCTGTATAGGATCTTCTTAATTCTGTGACGTTTCCTGTTTTTTTTTTTGTTTGTTTGTTTAATCTGTTATTACTTGTTGTCTCCAGGTTTCCAACTGTAGGCAAAAGAATAGCAGTTTGGATTTGATTTGAATTGGTGCTTGCTTTTAATTTCATCTGTTACCTTTTCTTGTTTATGGGGACTGTTAGTTTTGTGGATCTTTAAACAGAGGTCTAAACTTTACTCCAGCCCTTTAGAAATTGTGTAGTAAATCCAAAAGTTGTATAGTAAATTCAAATTCAAAAAGCCAGGCCAGGCATGGTGACTTACATCTGTAATCCCAGCACTTTGGGAGGCTGAGGCGGATGGATCACTTGTGCTCAGGAGTTCGAGACTGGGCTGGGCAACATAGTGAAACACGTCGTCTCTACTAAAAATACAAAAATTAGCCGGGCATGGTGGTGCGTGCCTGTAGTCCCAGCTATTTGGAAGGCTGAGGTGAGGATCCCTTGAGCCTGGGAGGTGGAAGTTGCAGTGAGCCGAGATCATGCCCCTGCACTCCAGCCTGGGTAACAGAGCGAGACCCTATCCCCCGCTCCCCTCCAAAAAAAAAGCCACAGCATACTTCTCCATTCCTTTGATATACCTTTAACACAAACATGTGTATGAAAAGCCATGGAATCATATTATTTTCTATATATTTTAAGATTAAGAAGGAGCTGAGAGATGATCAAGACTAACCCTTTTGATGAAGCATTGGTGTAGACAACTGATAGACCTTGTCCAAGGAAGCACTCCTGATCAGGAACAGTGCTGGGACTGGAACCTGGGCCCCCTGACTTCCAGGTTCGTGCTCCAGCAAAGAGATTCTTTCACTCTAGAAAAAGAAGAAAGTATCAGCTGTGCAAAACAATTCCTCAAGGTTCCTAGACCTCCCAGTACGGTCAGTATTTAGGTTCTCATACCATTGTTCAGTGACTTGCACACCAGTTTTGATGTGGACATCAAACACAACTACTTAATGAGATGCCACAAAACTGTGTGTCAAAGAACATGTCAGGACTGAACATTTTGCTGGTAGATCTTATGTAAAACAGGAGAGATGGGAGTCCTTAAATGATATTGTTCAGATCATTTGTGAGGTGGAGTAAAGCGGGAAAGCCAACAGATGAAGGAAAGGAGCCACATAAAGCAGACGGTTTTCTATTGGGGCATTTATGTCCACACCCTCTGAGTTCATGATGAAGGAGATAGAATCTAAAGCTGTATCTGCAAAGTCCCATGGTTGAATCCAAGAGGTGGTTATTGATGTATTGATAACAATTGATTTTTGACGTCTTATGCTATCTATGATAAATATCTAAAGATGTTTTAAATCTAATTAGCACCATTCATTGGGTGACCATAGAACTGAAGAGCGATGTACTTTGCTTCATGTTTTCAGGAAGGGGAGTCCTGAGCCTGGCTACTAGGCGCTGATTATAAAATACATTATAATGATTAATAATTATGCATTACATGATCCAATTAAACACAATTATAGCTTCATTTGGTAGTAAGAATTTCTTCACGTGGTGAGGAGAGTGTGTCTAATCAGAAAAGTCTGCCTTAGAAGTTGCATTTTTGATAGGAGAGAAGGATGTGATTCAGTGGAGAGTAAGGGAGGAGGCCCTTGTAAAGGACAGGAATGGAAAAGGAACAGACTGCTGGGGTAAAAGGGAGAGTCACCTCACTTCACAAGCTATCCATCACCTGTTCGCAGAGCTCACATTTAAACTGTCAAGGCCTGACCTTTTACTTAGATACTTTTATAATTCTTACTAAACTAGATGTCTTAGTCCATTTGGATTGCTATAACAAAAATATCTTAAACTGGGTGGCTTATAAACAACAAACATTTACTTCTGACAGTTCTGGAGGCTGGGAATTCCCAGATCAAGGTGCCAGCAGGTTCTGTGTCTAGTGAAGGTTATTTCCTTGCAGATGGTGCCTTCTCACTGTGCCCTTACATGCGGGTAATATGCTCCCTGGAGCCTCTTTTATAAGGGCATTAATCCCGTTCATGAAGGTGGGGCCCTTATGACCTAATCATCTCCCAAAGGCCCCACTTCTTAATACCATCTTATTGGGTGTTAGGTTTCAACATATAAATTTTGGGGGGACATCAACATTCAGACCATAGCACTGGATGCAATTTTTAAAATTAACTTTCTTGTTCCTCCCTGGGGTAAATAGCAAAAGCAATTAGAGAACCACCATGCCCGGCTAATTTTATATTTTTAGCAGAGATAGGGTTTCTCCCTGTTGGTCAGGCTGGTCTGAAACTCCGGACCTCAGGTGCTCCACCCATCTCGGCCTCCCAAAGTGCTGGGATTACAGGTGTGAACCTCAGCCTCCCAAAGTGCTGGGATTACAGGCGTGAGCCACCGCACCCGGCCTAGAGAACATATTTCTTTTAATGTCACCTAAAGTCTTGTCCACAAAATAACCTGAATGCACTGTATCGTGCAAAGTCTCTGACATAATCCTATGGACCATATATAGTACATTAATGTGGGAATTTGCTAACTGTTGTCAAATGCTTTTAGAGCATAAAACCACTTTCAAAGCTCAGTATGATTAATTCGTAAGAACACTTCAGTGAGGTATATAGATGCTGAGCCCTATTATTTTTGTTGTCATTATCTTTCTTATTTCACAGTTGGCCACACTAAAATGCAGGAAGGTTAACTGCTTTAGCCAAGGTCACTTAGGAATCCCTTGATGTGGCTAGAGCAGGACAGGAGAGCTGTAGGCTGAAGCACAACCCTTTATCTATTAAAAAGGGAGAGTTTGCTCTTTTGTCTACTAAAAATTAAGCCAAAAAGGCACTATAAAATTTTGGGAATTGAAGAATTTCTTTTTTATCTCTATTTGTTTCTTGAATAATATTGGAGGGGTATGTAATATTGCCCAAATTGACTGATAGTGCATTTATAATTTTTAACAATTTTTGGAAGAAATTCTTTCTAGAGTAGCTGATTTTGTCTGTTGGATGGTTTCCAAAAGATTTTTAAGATTATATGTGTAGTTTGTGAGAAACAGCTCACATTTCATTTATCAGTGAGTCAAATACATCTTTCTTTGGATAGAAAGGGTAAATTTACATTTCTTTGAGTTCAGTTTTGACCCTTGTGCAAGCTGTGGCTGCCTCAGAAGATAGCAGCATTTGTGCTGAAGTCTCTGTTGTGTGCTGATTAAGTACCATTGAATGGATTAACAGGGATATGCAAATGATTTTTAGTAATTTTTCATAAGCAAAGACACAATTTCAATCCTTTCTTTAGAGCTACTCACTTGTTCTAAATTATTGAGGCAGAGTAATCCAGCAAGGAACTACACTGTTTTTCTTTTGACATTAGATATCCTGATAGGTTAGCATTTTCCTTTATTCTAAAAGGAGGCTCAAAGTGACCCCTGCTTTTCAAGCTGGTGGGATTGAACTTCCCTTTGTAATGACAGGTTGCAATGCCTCTTCTACTGGTAAATCTGTCTTTAGAGTGGAAGAAGACACCCTGACCATCGTCATCATATTGGCGGTAATAGTAACCACTTGGGGTGATACAGTTTACACCCCTGTGTCTGCTCCCATTGGTGACCTATAAGTAACCACTATTTGCCTCAAATATTTCAGGTTTGTGGGGCTCCCTGGGATAGGTGTGTATGTATACCACCCATTTGTAAGTGCTAAGACAGGGTTGCAATACATTTTTTTAAATACCGTGTTAGCTGACCCAGCCTATACTGTTGGTAGCAAAAACATTACTATCTCTCCACACAGTAACTGCCTTGCTGCAGCTAGCCCTTCTGTGGAAATAAAAAAATGACATGAAAACAAACAAAAATCTCCTGATACAATGGAGACTCACTAAGTACTCCACTGGAAATCAGTGATGTAGAAATATGGAAATTCCAGGTCTTGTCCCACTAGAAATTCCACTTCCACTCTCCAGTGGATGCTTACAGTCTTACTAAGAAAGAGAGTGAGACCTGCAAATGGTTCTATCAGATGTTGGCAAAACTGTGTGGAGTGGGTTTGGGGTCAGCCAGTCTTAGGTTCGACCCTTACTGGCCCAGCAGACTTTGTGGCCCTGAGCAGGTTATTTACCCTTGAGCCTTGGATTCCTTCTCAGTAAAATGCGAATGATAATACTTATCTTGGAGGTTGCTGAAAGGATTGGAAACCTTGTTTGCAAGGTGCTTTGGATAGTCTAGAACTTAGTAAAAGATCAGTTAATACCCATTACTATTGTTATTACTAACAATAATAATGGCACAAGTCAGTGTGTGCTAAGTGCAAAATCGTTGGTACAAGTATAAATGTTATAGGAGGTCAAAGCAAATTAAATTTCTTTCACTACAATTTCTAGATTTGAAAAATTGGGCTCATTCATCCTTTCCTTTAGTTCCACCCTGATTTCTTTTGTTCCCTGAAAATGTACTTATTTTCATAGCTGCCTTCATATTGGCTAGCTCTTGATTATTCATAGTGGTGGAAGCCAAGAAGCACATAAATAATTGAAATTCCAAGGTAGAATGCTGGGAAACCTTATTTTACTCTGTTTTCTTCTCTAGTCTTGCATTTACCAGAATTCTATCAGGGCTCTAGTAAGCAACAAACTGAACTGTCCTTTATCTTCCTTCTATTTCTTTCCCATTGACCCATAGGGTTGCTAATGACTTGTGAAATGACTTAAAGATGGCTATCAGATAGGAGAAGAAGAGATTTCTCTTGAATCATGTATGAATTACATAATTAATTGTACAATACTTTCAAAATGGCTGAACCCATTTCTCTGAATCTGAGATACAAGTAGAAGTTTCAGAAAGTATTACAATGCCTCTAAGGCATTGTTTTGTTGGAAAATAGTGATGTTGATAATCCAGGCTATGAGATACAGCCCAAAACATTTCTCCTTGTCTTTTGTATGCAGCATGATTTTTCCCGCTGATTTATCTCTCTTTATAGTTTGCTTAATCTGGTACTAAATGTAGTATTTCCTGAGTGGTCACTGACTCATGAGGGCAAAGTGAGCCTGAAATTTATAAAGCATTAGTAGAGACCTTTATAGAATTGAAACTAGGCCATAGAAAATCCACAGGATAAATGAGAATCTTCTATAGATGAAAACTGCCCTGTTCAGGCATTTGTTTTCATCACTGTAAATAAAAAAAAAGTTTCTTCTGGCTATTCAAGGAAGGGGGGAAAAGTCCATCAGTCCTTCTGAAGATTAGGAAGATGGTAGGCAGTCACCTACACAAATCTCTGGGGAACTCATCTGCCACACACAGGTTCGCACCTCCTCATTTTGCACACATTTCTCACCTCCTCCTCATTCATCCCCCTCCGCAAGTGAGAATCACTGCATATAACAAAAGATATTTCTCAGAGTGGTTTATTACAAATGTAGATGAGGTGAAAGCTTAAACCACCAAGTACTTAAAATTCTCACAACTGACTACAGCCTCCTGCGTAGATGCTTGGTCCTTCCTGAGGGATTTCTCATTAATGGAAAGGATTTCAAAAGAGAAAATAAATTATTCCTGTACATAAAGGAGGGTAGATAAAAAGAAAGGGAGGGGAGCAAAGGAAAGAGAGAGGGAAGGGCTGTCAATTTTCCATCAGTGGATGATTTTTCCCAGGAGAATTCACACTGTTTACAAATCAGGATCATGTTTATTGAAAAAAAGAGTTTCTCTGTTCAGCCAGGGTTTCCTCTCATTAAATTTTCTAACAACAGCAGCAAACTAAAGAGACCTCAAGCATGACTCCAAAGTTGAGGCAAGCATGACATCTATTCACTGGAGCAGTGGATAGATGGTGGTGCCTACTCTGATGACTGCTAAGAGAGGAACACATTTTAGGGTGAAAGATCATGGGTATGGGGAATCAAAAGTTCATTCCGGCCACACTTTGTTGGATATGAAGTGCTTTTGTAGGCAGTTGGCTCTGTGAATCTGAAACCGGGTGGAGAAGATAGGATTGGGGAAAAACTTGGAAATGATTGTCACGTGAATGGCATTGAAAGCACAGATCTGGATGGAATCACATAGGAAGTGTAAATAGAGAGTATTTGAGAAGAGCCAATACTTATGTAGATGAGGTGAATTGTCCTCTTCCAACAGAATCTTTTTAAATTAAGAAAAATAACTTATTCAACTAAGAAGAAAAGTAATACTTGTAATCCTGATCAGTAATATCCTTCTCCTTATGGAATGCCAGGTTTTAAACCTTAAACATCTGTCTGGTCTCTTATACATGTTAAAAGCAATATGAGCTCAGTGAGACTAGGCCATTCCCTCCCCATGGAAGGAAGAGGGTGGCAGATAATCACAAGCAAGTGCTGGCTGAATATTTTAGCCTCTTCCTGTTGCTCAGTCAATAAGCTATTTACATTCATGGCCCCATCTTCTTCCTCTCTGCATTGATTTTGGTGCTTCTGTAAACTCCTAAATTGCATCCACTTAGCTTCTGAAACCAATGAAGAAAACTGCCTTAGTATTTCATCAAAAAATGAAAGGAAAAGGAATCTATAGCAAAACACTGTGTGTTTCATGGTATCATTAGAATGCCCTTTGCCTGAGGCAGAATTGGATGAAAAAGAGCAGGAAATGGTTTTGTAAAAAAAAAAAAAAAAAAAATTGTAATGAGGAAGACAGGAGTTTGGAATATTCTAGGCCAATTGTTTTTGTATATATGACATTTTTATGTTAGACTTGAGATAGGGGGCAAAGAAAACTTCCATTTTCTGGTTAAGCTCCAAAGTTACAATATTAGTACAGTTTCTCAAGTCCTTGCTCCAAGCACAAGCCTTAGAAAGAAATAGCCAAGGAGGGTACACATTTTGACAGCTAGAAAGCTGGAACAGGGCAGAGACTGTGCCACAAAAAAATTTTCCTCTTTTTAATGTAAGTTCAAATAAATCACTTGTATAACATTACTAGTTTTAAAATGTCCACATGTGTTTCCAGTGTGGTTTTAAGTTTCATTCAAAAAGTAGTGTTTTTAAAATTATGATTATAATATATATTCACTGTAGAATTTCCCAAAGTGGGAAATACAAAAAAAGTATTGCAACAGTAAAATAAAATTTACCAACAGCATCTGAGATCACTGTTAAAACTGGGAAGATAAAAGATGAAAGCTCCTTTATCCATCCTTTGCAATGTCTTCCATTTTACCTGCATCTGTACTGTGTACTCTGCCTTACCTTGTGCTACAACAGTGAAGGGCAGCCCCTCCACTTGAGTCCTGTATCTAATGCCTTTTCTTTTCATCATCTTTTGTATCACCCACCTTTAATGAAACTCTACCTTCCCTTCCAACTATTCTTGCTTTGGTAGCTTTCATACAGTTGAGTTTTCTTATTTGCTGTCTGTGCTTCCCTCTTACTCTCTTCCTCCAGTGGTATTCCTTCTCATCATTCTCCTAAAACTGCCATTGTTGAAGTTACCTATGACCTCAGTTTTGCCAAATCCAGTAGTTAATTCTCTGTCCACTTTACTATATCTCTCTGCAGCATTTGACACGATTGATTATTTCTCCTTCCTCAACAATCTTTCTGTTCATCTTCTATGACATTATGCCAATCAGTTTCTTGATAAATCACAAGCTATTCTTATCTTCCTGTGCTTGACCTATTAATTTGGGTAAGACTGTTCTTCTTAATTTTTTTTTTTTTTAAGATAAGGTCTTGCTCTATAGCCCAGGCTTGAGTGCAGTGGCACGATCTTGGCTCACCACAACCTCCACCCCTAGGTTCAAATGATTCTCCTGCCTCAGCCTCCTGAGTAGTGGGGATTACAGGCATGTGCCACCATGCCAGGCCAGTTTTTGTATTTTCAGTAGAGATGAGGTTTTGCCATGTTGGCCAGGCTGGTCTCAAACTCCTGACCTCAAATGATCTGCCCATCTCAGCCTCCCAAAGTGCTGGGATTACAGGCATGAGCCACTGTGCCCGGTGGCTATTTATACTTTTTATATGATTCCATCCAGTGCTTTAAATGACATCCATATGACAATAATTCGCAACTTTTGCACCAATCCTATCCTCTTTACCCAGCAGCTTCAGATTCATATAGCCAGTTGCCTACTAAGCACTTTACATCCAACAAAACATGGCCGGAATGAACTTTTGATTCCCCATATCCATGTTCTTTCACCCTATAATCTGTTCCCTCTTAGCAGTCATCAGAGCAGGCACCATCATCTCTCTACTGCTCCAGCTCTCAACTTTCAATCCATGCTTGATGTCTCTTCTTCCCTCAAACTTCACTTCTACTCCATCAGCAAGTACTCAGATGATATCACACTCCTGTTGAAAATCTTGCAATGAATTTTTATTAAGTAAAATAAAATGTCAACTCATTACCCTGGCCTTGCATGATCGGATCCTTGCCAGTTCCTGCGGATGCCTCCTGAATCAGTCTCCCGCCCCCTTCCTTTTTGTGTTACAGTCCCAATGAGCTCATTGAATCTAGGAGGTCTTTGTCTTTGTCTTTGCTGTTATTTAAAGTCCTTTATGTCCTTACATCTTCATGTGCTGGCCTTCCTGTGTTATTTAGGCTCCATCCCAGATATCTTTGCTCAAAGAAGCAATCCCTGATTGTACAGTGTCAAGAAGCCCCACCTCACAATGACTTTCCATTACATATGCCTATCGTATTTTCTTCACAGCACTTAGTAGCATCTGAAAAGGTCTTTCTTCTTTAATTATTTGATCATTATATCTTATTAATTTAGAGTGTAACCTCCAGGAAAGTGGCAACCTTGTCTGTTTTAATTACCACACTGTACTCAGGGAATATAGGTGCTTCGTATGGGTTGAGTGATTATGAAATAAACAGTTTGAAGTATTTTCCTCTAATCCTTGTTTACTGTGAACTAAGTCATTGTATTTCAGTCATATATAGTATTTTATTGCCTGATGTTTTTTCAATTACCATCATAAAATTAAACATTTTCCTGTGTTGTTAAGGCATTTTAAGCAATATTTTTTATTATAAAACTAATACAAGTTAATTGGGCAAACTTTAAAAATACAGGGAGAAAAATAAGGGGGAAAACCAATCCATGATATTCATTAATAATTTGCCAAAAATCCATCATCTGTAGACTTATAAATATATAACACATTAAGTTTGCATGCTAATGAATATAATTTTAGTAACTTGTGTTTTGTTCTTATGAATATGTCATAATTCACTTAGTATCTTATGATCATTTAGTTAACTCCAGTTTTTCAATATTAAATACTGATGTAGTATGTACCATTTTTTGACCTTAAAATGATTTCAAATTCTATAGATCAAAGATTTGTTCTTTCAATACTGTTGGTAAAAGACAAGCCTGCAGTCACTGTTGTGTCTGTGCCATGGTAAAAATTATGGTATAATAATGTCATAGTTGCCTGATTCTGCCTTGACTTACTACTTCCTTTTCTACACAAGTTTTTCTTGAGTAAAAAAGGGTGGCCTCTTAGACCAAGGAGTCCCCATGAGAGGGAGGGACATGAGCAGCCCACACAAAGATGTTACCATTATGGCATTTTCTCTAAGACCTATTCACAAGCTACCAATCAAGACACATGCTTTTGGGGTAACAGTAAATGGCCTGTATCTCAGGGGGTTCTGCCTTGGTATCTCCTTCTTACAATATCAGAAGAGAACTTTTATCTTGGGACAACAGTAAACAAATGACAGGGCCAGTTGAGGAGGAATTTAGTAATAGATGCTCTCTATGAACTATACATATTTGTATTAATATATTCATATATAGATGCTTCTGTATCAAGATGCTAGTATAAAATTCAAATTCAACTATCTTGTTTTGAGTAATAAGTGCTTTCATTTAAATATACATTAACACTTTTATCCAGGAGGTTAACAGTACCTCCCTCATAGTCCAGGTCTAGGTTCAGATTGTTTTCTTCTTGTTCTTTTCTAACACTTTGTTTTTCTCAGACAAGACCTTCTTCAAACTGGCACATGGAAGAATCTGTGCCAAAATATTAATGGGGGTTATTCATGCTTGTGGTGTTATGGGTGGTATGTTTTCATATATTTTTCTACATTTTCTAGTTTGTTGAATTGTTTGCAGAGTTTCCAACAATATGGAAAAATGCCAATTTTATAATGTGGATCGAAAAAAGAAGTCGCGCTATGAAATAGTATGTAAACATGCTCAGACTCAGGTTACTGGTTTCTTGGCTGTTCGGGGGTACACCCGGCCCTGGCACTTGTAAGTAGGAATATGGTCATGTCAGTTGTTGGAGACTGTCAATGTTGATCTGCCTTTAAACTATGTTTTCTGACTCAGCTACACAGAGTTTAGCTGATAGTTTGCTATTAGTATGCAGACTATATAAAAATGCTTGTGTGTTTATATGTCTAGCTCCCTTTCTAGTCTGTGAGTTCTTTCAACTGTTATTTTACTCATTATTATATTTCCAGCATTTAGCACAATGTCTGGCAACCCACAAAGACTCAAAACATGTTTATAGTGCCGATTTCCAAAAGAAAAATCTGGTAAGTATCAATTTAGCTATGATTTCTCTGACATTACTGTTGATGCTTTTCTATTCCCTATTCCTATTTTATTCTTCTCTTTATTCCTGTCTCTGTGTTTTTGTTTCACATTGTTATCACTCAGCAGCTTTGCAGTGATCCCAAGACCACTCTGGAAAGAACTGCAGGGCCTGCTTACATCATGGTGATGGAGCTCCTCTGTAGAAGGGTTTCAGAGACTGCCTCTGTGAATTTAGAAAAAGTTCTTCTCAGCCAACTTCTGCCTAGAGTTTTCCCAGTACTCAAAAGGTGTTTTTGGAATTGTTATTTCCTGTCACTTACTCCAAAAAGGCATTTGTGCCATCTTGCTGTTACTCTGTTCATGACCATTATAGGTGGGATCCTCTCAAAACCTAGTGTATTAGTCAGAGTGCTCCAAAGAAAGAGAATTGTATATATACAGATAGATAGATAGATAGATAGATAGATAGATAGATAGATGGATGGATAGATAGGTAGAGATCAACCTATGTCTGTCTATCTATCTATCTATCTATCTATCTATCTATCTATCTATCTATCTATATCTATCTCCCATTGGTGCTTCATTATATATAATAAAGAAATCTCATTTTATATATATGTATATATTATATATAGAGACATATCGATATATTATGGATAAAGAGATTCATTATAAGGAGTTGGCTCATGTGATTATGGAGGCTGAGAAGTCCTGTGATCTGCTGTCTGCAAGCTGGACACCCAGGAAAGCTGATGGTGTAATTTCAGTCCAATTCCTAAGGCCTGAGAACCAAGGGAGTTGATCATGTAAATCCCAGGCAGTTACAGGAAAAGGCCAATATTCCAGCTCATGCAAATAGACCAAAAGCAAGAGGGGTGAATTACTTATTTCTCTGCCTTTTTGCTCTATCCAGGTGCTTATGGATTGGATGATGCCCATCCACCCTGGGAAGGGCCATCTACTTTATTTTACTGAGTTGACTGATTCAAATGCTAATCTCATCCAGAAACAGCCCCATAGATACACCCAGAAATAATGTTTTATCTGCGCACTTCCTGGGGCAGTCAAGTTGACACAAAAAATTAGCCATCACACCTGGATAATGGAGCTAGATTTAAGAGAGACACTATATCCATACAAAGTACATTTAATGTGCTATCAATATGCAAACTATATAGGAATGTTTGTGTGCTCATGTCTAGCTTCCTTTCTAGTTTGTGAGTTCTTTCAACTGTTATTTTACTCATTATTATATTTCCAGTATTTAGCACAGTGCCTGGCAACCCACAGAGACTCAAAACATGTTTATAGTGCTGGTTTCCAAAAGGAAAATCTGAAAATATCTATTTAGATATCACTTGTCATAGCTTCCATTAATCTCTAGGTGGAATGTATTAACTCCTTGAAGGCAGGGATCCTCACTTCTTAGAAAATTCTCTGCCCCCTCGTCTCTAGAACAGTGCTGCACACAGTAAGTGCTCAGTAAACACTATTCAGGCTTTAGCTTGATTTTGTAAATGAGAGGACTGTCTTGATTTTGGAACATTTTCTTGATTTAATTCTTCTCAAAACTGGACATTGGTTTCCAGATGGATGCTGTTAAATTAGCAGTAACTTGGCTTGTAACCTTCTAATTGTATCACATTCTTTTTGGATAAGTTTAACCATGATTGTCATTTGTGGAAACTGATATACAGATATTTCATACTCAGTGACACCATCATTATTTATTAGCTATCTGTTGACTCTATGATATGCTTCTAGATGCTTGACATAAACCATACGAAGAGCTAAAACTAGAACCAAAAATTTATGTGGTATTTTATTCTCCCAAAAGTTACATTCTCTTCTCACTTGACTAGGGAGTAGATACAGGTTATTCACTGGCAAACAAAAGACATCATGTTTTATCTCCTTATGTAGGGAGGAGATACAGGTTATTCACTGGCAAACAAAAGGCATTATGTTTTATCGAAGGATGAATTCTCGCATGCTCTAAAAGTGCCCCTTGGTTAACACATAGAACTCTCTTCTCCTTGACAGTATCTAAAGGCAGGCACCCAGGGGATTCAGTAACAGGGTCACGTTGCTCTTTACAGATATTCCTGGGACAAAGAATATGTTTGCAGATCAAGTTCTACTGAAAAAAGATTTCAGTGCTTAGCATGATATTCTATAATTCTTGTGGTAGAGATGCAAATAGAATTCTAAAAATACTTGTGAATAAGTACCTGCTCCCAAGAAACTTACACAGAGATTCAGAAGTGCATAAAGTGCTATCAGCCAAATAGGGTAGCTCTGACTGTATATGCAGCAGTGGTTTGGGGAAAGGAGAGAACCCGACAAAGATGGAATAGTTAGAAAAGGCTTCAGAGTCACGAAGGAGGAGTCTGGGCATGAAGAGCATCATCAGCTCAGAAACAGAGGTTGCAGCAGAGGGACCTGGGGGAGGTAAAGTCACTAGAGATGGGGGAGGGTTGGATCTGTGGCACAGGGAGAAGACCAGGTTCAGAAATCACAGAATGAGTGCTAGGGAGTGAAGGACAGTGAGTTTGAATTTATAAAATGTCAAAACCTCTGTTTTACTACCCATCTTCAATCTGTTACTATTTGCAAATATTGTCAACAGCTGATCAAACATTCGCTTTATGTAATCACACAAAGACCATGCAGAATATCCCCACTTTGCACTGGAGCAATGGGCCTCCCATTTAATGAGGCCCCAAAAACCCACATATTTTGTTAAACTGGGACACTGCTTTTAAGCTTGTGAGTCTGTTTGCCATCATCTTGAAGGGAGGAGGCTCCTCACAGGTTTTAGATTATTGAGTACATACATTCTTAAATAGTATTGTTGGTGTCCCTTGGTAAATATGGTTTACAGATTCTTCAGACCTGCAATATTTTCTTTTTACCAGACTTATGTTCCAGAGATGTTGTAGTTGATATAAATTATATTGGAAGCTTGAGGAAATGCAATAAGAATGCACTTTGCCCTTAATTCAGTTTTTATTAACATTTTTACTTACCTTCAGCAGAATCTCTTTAGGCTCAGCTACCTTCCCAAATTGTTACTAGATCTTTACTAAAAGAATTTATGCCAAGGACCAAATAATTCTTTGGCACATGTTATGTTATTTTAGGTGCCAGCCTTTATTCAAATAGTATCTGTGTAATTTAATTTAGAGTTTAGTTTTCCTTTTAGAGTTCAAATTTTTATTTTAAATTTAATTAACATGTGCTGAAATAAAAATAGATGTTTTCAGGCTGGGCGCGGTTGCTCATGCCTGTAATCCCAGCGCTTTGGGAGGCCAAGGCAGGAGGATCGCTTGAGCCCAGGAGTTTAAGACCAACCTGGGTAACATAGCGAGACACAGTCTCTATTAAAAATAAGTAATACAAATTAAAATTAAACAAATAGATGTTTTCATACAAACTAAAAGAAAAATGGGATATGTGTTTCCTTGGGTTAAGTACAATATTAATCATGTGTTTTTATAGAAATAGTAAATACTCAGTTTATGGAAAAGGTAATTAATTCTTTTAGTTCACCTGAAATAACAAAAAAAATTACTGCTAATATATAGTCAGGACACAAATATATGCACATACTCATTACCTACATTATTTTTTATTCCCTTCATTGTGGAGCTCTTTCCTTGGGTTGGATGATCTTCTTGGGGATAGGGAGACACTCCGCCCTTCACTGCCAGCTACAGTGCTACACATCATTGCCTGTGCTTTCTCTACGGTGGGGAGGGATAGAGAGTAGTGATCCTTAGACTTTTTACTGGAACCGATAACTGATGTTTCTTTGGGTGTGCTGTGATCACGGCATCCTGTTACTGCTATTTCTCGTGTACACTGGCATCTCCCAGCAGTAGTCTCTCCTGGGCCGCAGAGCTGTGATGACAAAACTGTCATGGTGCTAATGAGAATGTGGGTGCTGTCTGGGAAGCCCCCTTGTGTGTGGCTATGGGTGGTGTCTGCAGTATTTATGGGCCACCTGGCATCGTCTGTTACAAGATGTGCTGCTACCACAGCATCCTTGCAATTTTGGTGGGCATGTTAAATCATTGTATTCTGACATTAGTGCCTGCATTAAAAACAACAACAAAAAGGTGTTTTTTGTTTCTTCATGGCTTCCTTCCTTCCAAAAAAAAAAAGATGGAGCAGTAAATCAAATGGAAAGAATTTGTTACCTCAATTTTTTGTTACTAACATTGAAAGTTATTAAGCACATCTGATCTTATTTCTCATTTGTTTTAAATAGTTAAACTGATTAGGATCATGTACAAGCATCTACACATGATAAGCAAGGCCTTCATGATCAGACATCTGCCTGCATGTCTAAGATTGTCACCCTCCAGTTTCTCGATCCTTCTGTGCCTGTGCCTTCTGCCCTACTCTGGTCTCACAGATGGTTCTTCTGCCTGATGTGCCCCTCCCAGCTCCACTACTCAGCTCTGTCTGTCGGCTGTGTGGTTCTCTGAGGGTGGTCCTGGGACCACTTGAATCAAGATCAGATGGAAGCTTATTCAAAACACAGGCTCTGGGTCACATCTGAGATACGCTGCTTATAATTCTCTGGGAAAGCAGTATTGGACTCTGTGTTTAAAAAGTTCAATCTAAAATGTGAAAACCACTGATCTACCAAACAACATCCTTCTTTGAAGAATCAGTTCCACCACTGCCACCTAGAAGGCCCTCCCCTACTCCCCATGGGCTGTTAGGGTCTCTCCTCTCTCCTCCCCTTCCTGTTCTTCCAGCCTCATGTGTTGTGTGAGATGCATCGCTGTCTGTGGTACTGGCCTGCCCCCACCATGGGTCCGTGAGCTCCCTGTGGCCTGGGACATCTTCTGACAGCTCCACTTGTCCAGTACTTATCTCAAGGCCTTATTAAAAAAAAAAGCAGAGTTTAATAAATGTTTATAATTTGTTCATTGCCAATTCAGAATTAGTGTGTCATGGCATTACATTAACCTAAGAGTATTTTTAAATTAAAGTCATAATGACTTCATAGTTTGACTCTACAAGGGTAAGAAAAAAGGTGAGGAAACATTTTCTTCTTTTGAAAAAGAGATCCTGTTTAAACAGTTGAAGGGGAAAACAATATCATAATTTTTAAATTATGAACTAAAAGCTAAATATGAATAAAAGTAACTTGTTACCAATTTGTCATGCCAGGTTATTTCTCATGTGAAAAGTGAACATTGACACAGATCAAAGAAAATGGAAAAATAAAAACAAGTGAAATTCTCTTCATGAAACTGAAAAATAATTTGTATTGTTATGTTAAACAAACCCATAAAATAGGAAAGCTGTATTATTACAACAAGTAGACAATTTGTTCCTTTTCTTTCCAAAGTGATATTGCTTAAACATTTTGTATTACATTTTCACAGACCAGAAGCTACAGAATATTTAATACAGGGTCATAAAAAAGGCATACCCATAAAATATCTGTTAGCAGAGGCTTTGTGTCAGAATTCTTTTGGTGTTGCAATTGCAATTTTATTTAGGAAGATAAACCACCCAGCATTGGCCTCGAATCAATGACTGTATTGAATAGTTACCCTTTCCCCAAACTCTGTCCTAACATATTGAGGACATTTTATGTAATTGGAAATTTACTGGATGGTCATTTATTTCTGGGAGCTTTTTCCTCCTCATTTCTCTTTTTGTTTCTCTAGAGGAGCAGAAGAAGAAATAAATTAGACTTAATGTGTCCTGTAGTCATACAAGAAGAATCCAAAGGAGATTCTGAAGTAGCATTGATGGTTTTATTCAGTCTTAAAGTTGCTCTTTGCCAGCACTTCAAGTGACACATCTAATTATAAATTTGTCTCTGTGAGACCCTGTCATTGGTAACGCAATTGGCCAAGGGTTATTTGTGGCAGATTCACATAAAGTGACTCAGGTAGGACTTCTGTAGAAACTGAGGGGGACTGTTGTCAATGTATCCGAAAGAAAGAAGATCTGAGTGTGCTCAATTATGTAAAACCTTATAATCTAGCAGAATAAGTAAAATTGGACACATTTATATTGGAAGAAATTAAACTAAGTCTGAATAGCACTGTGGAGGAAAAAAAAAATGCCACATCCTTCACCTGAACTACCGTTGGCTTTCAGTCTTTCACTCTGGAGTCCCTAAGGTACCCAGTGATTCCCTGCATATTTTATAAAATATATCTCAGCATGGCATATTGGACTAGTAAACACAAAATGTATTTGTGTTTGTGTGTGTGTGTTTGTGTGTGATCTAGTATCTTCTGTTCTTATTCTGGAATAAATGGGCATTTCTCTGGAGAACTTTGGTTCTTAAAGCACACCTGTTCAAAGGAGTCAAGTAAGGCGGCATCAAAAGGTGGCTGGTGTAGATAGAGAGGACCTGGCCATCTTTAGAACTCTCACTTAAAAGGAGGCCTCCATGGAAACCTGTTTCCCACTCTGCATCTCCACCCTCCAACCCGAGCTTGCATAGCTATCACCTAGTGGTTTGAGGGTTCTGTGAGTGCTCCATTATCCGGAGACACATGCCCCACCTTTGCTTCAGCTGCCTGGTTTACTCTGTAATTGCCACTCACAGTGCAAAATTATTGAAGGGCTCATACATTCAAGGGATTTCAGCTGCAGTTTTGGAAAGGACTATACTAGTGAAGGCCTGTTGTTAATAAAGAAGGGGGCCGGGCACGGTGGCTCACGCCTGTAATCCCAGCAATTTGGGAGGCCAAGGCGGGTGGACCACCTGAGGTCAGGAGTTCGAGACTAGCCTGGCCAACCTGGTGAAACCCCATATCTCTAATAAAAATACAAAAGTTAGCTGGGCGTGGTGTCGGGTGTCTGTAATCCCAGCTACTCCGGAGGCTGGGGCAGGAAAATCACTTGAACCCAGGAGGCGGAGGTTCCAGTGAGCCGAGATTGCATCATTGCACTCCAGCCTGGGCGACAGAGTGAGACTCCATCACACACACAAAAAAATTAATTAAAATGATAAAATAAAGAGGGGAAGAAACCTTTCAAATACATTAAGAGGGAAAGTCCCTGCTCTCACAGCTGAACCCGGGCATATTCCCCAGGAAATAAAACAAATAGAAGCTGTATGTTGTTCATCAGACTTCAGAGCACAAGTCCTGTAACAATGAAGACACCAAGAGAATGAGAAAGGACGCAGATTCACTTCTGTGGACCTCACTTGGTGGACTCATTATAGTTGTCTTCCTTGAAAACATCCAAGGAGAAGAGCCTTTAAGAGAGTGAATGGAAGTGCGACTTGTAAGAGTGCTAGTAAGTGAGAAGGGGAAGGCATCTCGGATTGGATGGAAAGGAATCAGTGATTTTTACTTGTTAGTGTCTGAGTCCTTTCTCCTGTGCAATGGCCGGGTAGTATATATTTGGGAAATGATATGCACACTCAGCCACAAGGAGAAGGCATGTTTCTAAACTACTACGTCTAGGACCAGGGAGATCAGATGGAAAAAAATGAATGGAGCGCTAGAGGAGGTGAAAATCTCAGGTTCTGGTCTCTGCTCTGTCACAGTTTCCTGTGTAATTTTGGGAATACCTGTCTGGAGTATTTATTTCTTTCCTGTGATAACAGATAGAAAAGAATAAATGCATTCCATGTATCCTATCCACACCATCTTCTGGAGACAGGATAAGAATCATTTGGTGATTAGTTGTTGAAAAAAATGTTAGGGTGAATTCCTTTTTTGTGAAAAGTAACTGGATTTTTCTAGGATAACAATAAATGGGAATGATTATCATGTTTACATGAGGTTAAAGCTTTTTCCTACAAGAATAAATTCAAATGCCATAAAAATGAATTCTAGTTCCTTGGTTAATTTCTCTACAAGGTTGAACATCCTGGTCTCTAATGATACACATGATACATGTGGTACAATACACGTGTAAGTACCAATGGATAACATAAAGCCAGTTACAATTCAACTTAGCAACACAGCTGTATGTATTCTTGGTAAATCAGTATGTGGGGGTTCAGAAATGACACTGGGAGACAGAGAGGTATGCAGAGATTCCTTGAGGGATTGGGACCTAACGGCAACCACTTTTACAGAATGTCCTGGTTGGGCTGTGTGTGATTAAAGAAGCTGCCTGCCACAGCAAAGGGATTACCCTCTTGTTTCTGCTCTCACTTGGCCTCCGCTTATCATGGTACCTAAAACACTCTAGGAAATTAATTGATTAATATCTTCCAGGAGAAAATACTGAAGGTCTGAAATAAAGCAATGGCAGTGAGGATGGAAAGGAGGGGACAGACTTCAGTGATGTGCTCAGGGTGGAAAGGTGGAAATGATAGAAATTCATGCCTCCTTTGTCTGATGTAGCTTTCTCTCCTCCTCTGGCCAACATTCCTGCATCCTTCAGTCTTTCTATATTCAGTGCAGGCATCTTCTCCTCCAACAAACCTTCCTCAGTCTGCTGGGATGCTGCAGTAGCTAGCATCCAGCTTCTATTTCTACCATAACTGCATGATGGTTGTTGATTTTCTTGGCTGTCTCCCTGGCTGGTCTCTAAATCCTTTCAGACAAAACCCGTCTTCCTCAACTATGTAGTTCATGGTTTTCCTCAACTATGTAGTTCATGGTGCCTAGAAGAGAGATTTGTTCACTGTGGATGTCCACTGAATATTGATTGAGCAAATGCCTGTATATCTGAAGTGGAGAGAGGGAGAAGGAGGTAACCACGGTGATGATGGGCCGCTAATGGAAATGTTTAGTATTCTCCATAACATTAGATAAATCGAAAAGCATTATCTAAAACTTGAGTTACTATTAAACTTGTTTTGAAATCAGTGGGGTTTTTTTCACTCAAATTCTTTTAAAAGTTAACTTCCAAATTCAGAAATTTGTTGGACCAAGAATCAGGCTTTTTTCTGTAGTTTTACATGTTTGTCTATGTTATTAACTATTTATTATAAATAACTAATCCATATATTATGGAAGATTAATTTATGGGAGTACTCATTCCTTTGCTTAGTAAGTTAGAAGCAGTGTGCATAGATGAAATGCGATACATTACATCCCAAAATAAAATAATTTAAGTCATATAAAAGAAATCATCTTGACTTCTTAAATTTTTTGTCTGTGTTTATAATTTAAAAAGTTCTCTTTTTAATTTAGCTCTTAGTAGCCAGTGTTTAATTACCGTATAAAAACTGGCATATAATAATGATTAGAAAGTTGATAATGTGAAAAAAAATGAACCAAGAATGAATTGCTAAATGTTATTAAATTAAAATTGAAGCTAATTTTGCTCAAAATTTGGCAAGAGCTTTCTTAACAAATTAAACATATTAGATTTGGGGGTTTTTGCACTTCTTTGAATATATCCAGCACAAAATATTATATTTGATAGAGAAGAAATATTGAAGAAGAGTTCCTCTTGACCATTTAGTTTAGCAAAGGTTTTACCAAAGGAATTTTCCATTTTAGCTAGCCTATTTTGACTTTCTGTGGCTTATATATATATATTTTTTAAGCGAGTGGAGAGATGAAATGGTTAGCTGGATTATTCAAGCCCTCTAAGTTCTGCAGATACATATTGCTTCTTGCAGTACTTTCCTGATGTTCCTTCACATCTTCGTCTTTTCCGAGATGTAAGTAATTACTGGTAATTTCAGCCCTCTAGTGCTTTGCCTGTGTCTCTAGTGTAGTAGCGATGCCATCTCAGTGTGATTGTACCTGTCTGCCTCTGGGACTACAACTGGTTGTAATAGCCTTATAGAAAGAGACAGCATATTGCATTTTCATTTTTTGTTTCCCTAGTGCCTTGTACCCAGCAGATGTTCAGCAAATGCTTTGAGAAATTACTCTAATTATCCTTTGATTTTATGTTTCACATTGTTGAGAAGCTCTATGTAGCTTACTTGGTCAATCAAAACCCACAAACATCTACTACAAGTTTATTCCATGAGCCTGTCTGGCCTTCTAAAGACAGAGTTTACTGTATGCTCTTGATGACCTTTTTTTCTGATTTATTTTCAGTCCTGAGCACTAACCCATTTGTTTTCCCTCAAGGTGAGCAAGGAAACAGGGCTGTCATAGGGAGGATTTGGGGGTCATGCCCAGGTGTGGGCAGCCTGATGTAAAGCATCAGGGGAGCTGCCTATATTCCACAGTGGATGTGAGTGTAATGCCATGAAGAAAGATATCAGCCACCTTGAAGGAGGAAAGGAACCAGGGCTATTTGAACTACACTGGTAAAGAGGGAAAGTGCGTGGTGGTGGGCAGTTTGCCGATGGCAGAGGAGAGGGCGGAGATAGAGCTATGAACTGAATGGCCACAAGAATCCCAATCTCAGATGCATTTTGAACACAAAGTGGCTGGCAGCACACAGTGCCTGTGTTGCAGGGTTACCCGTGTGCGAGAGAGGTGGGGAGGAAAGGAAAATAACCTACTGGGAGGCCAGGAGACAAAAGTAGAGTGACTTGAAGTACTTTCAGGGCAGCTCTACTGGCAAGAGAGTTAAGAAGTGTCTTGCTTTGGTGACTGGTGCCTTATAGTTAAAATCCTTGTGAATAGGATTATTTTTTCACCTAAAACAGTTACTGCTATCCTAGGCCTTATACAGTTAGGCTAGCCTGAGGCATACTAACTTAGTTAAAATATTTCTAGCATTAGAAACAATGCTTTGGGGTTTACTTGATACAGTGTTGCAATTCAAACCTGATACAGGTTTTTTTTTTTTTCTTACATTTGGCATCTTCCAGCTGTATAAGTGGTGAAATGAGGATGCTGACCATAACCTTAATTCCCCTATGAAATCAAGATTGAGTTTTCGATACATTAAAAACAGTCCAAGACTTGGCTTCTTCTGAGAATTGTAATCATATGCAGAGAAGTCATAAGTGGTTGTTAATGAGAATGTAAAAGGGTAATATTAGATGTTTTTGATCAGAAAGGTGTATTCAGACCATTTCCTGGGGATATGAATAATCCTGATGGATTTCAGAGTGCAAATCATGACATTACTTTTAGGACATGGCCAAGGATGAAGAGATACATCATGGAAGCATTATGCCACTGACAGAAATGTTAAGATATTTCATGGCTCTTGGCCCAGTTCAAAAAATCAGCCAGCATTTTTTTTTTCAGGAACTGCTCAATACCAAATTGTTCTCCAGCTGATTGGAGCACCAAGGATATCAAAGCACACAGTTCCTGCTGCCCACACCCAGCTTATTCTTTGGGATCAAATGATTAAAGCCAGGAAAAATGCATGATTACTCCAAAACAGCTATAAAGGGAACTGTTTAATGTTCATTTTCTATTATAGAAAAATGAGAGGATAAGTAAGAATAAAGAAGTAATGAATTTTCAGAAAGGAATTAGGAGAAAAAGATTAAAGGAATATCAAATACATAGGCTTGCACAGATCACAATGGGTTTACATTATGTAAAATAAATGTGAAGACTTGAGTTTATGTAGATCGGTGAAAAAGATAGCAGTGGAGTGGTACCATTGAGAAAGATTTTATTGGCATTGAATGGAAGAAATGTGGAACCAAGAGGAACAAGTATATTAATTTGACAGGCATGGGGCAAAAGAGGAAGGCTTCCCCTCTGTTTTTTGAAGCTTCCCTGAAAATGATCTTACAATGGGCAGATAAATAGAAAAGGCACACAAACTTATTCAATGTGCACAGGGGAAAAATCACGGGAAAGTGATCACTCAATAACCCAATGGGGTCCAGATGCTTATTTACCCTTCTTCATAGGGAAAGGTGAGATGGGGAGAATATGGCAATTTCAAGAGCAGTAAATAATTTTTAGGGGGAGTGAATGAGCCAAATGTCCAGACAATGATTAGTAAATAATTCTTTTTGTGCATTAAACAGACAATACTTGGGGACAAAGTTCACCTGGGCCCTAGGTGTGGTGTTTAATTTTTAGTCTCTTCCTCTATGATATGAATTTAATCTTCTCTGATTAATGAAATTTTAGGGAGGGGATCAAAGCTAATTGCATTTCTCATTGGTGGATCTAGTTTCCAGGTAGATAAGGGAACTTCAGAGAACAGCTTTATCCAGTGCTTTTGGAGAGAAAGAGTCAGCGACAGGAGCAGGGTTGGTTAGAGAGACCTTGAGGCTGCTTCTTTAATTCAGCATGTCAGAGGGCCATATTTCAGGGTATTGTTTGCTGAGCCCCAACACAGGCAAGAGGATTCCTTAACCCTGTGGACTTGCAGACACCTTTCAAAAATTATGAAAGATGAATGTTGAAAATAGTTGGGAGGAGATTGATTCATTCATTCACTCATTCAGCAAATGTGTATGAAATGCTTTCCATATGTCAGGCATGGTACCAAAAACACAAATAAGACGTGGCACCCAGACTCAGGAGACTTAGGATTTAGAAGAAAGATGGGAATCATAGGTGAATAAGGGCAGTTAAGGGGAACAGATGAATAACGGCAGTTAAGGGGAACAGTAAGATGGGGACACAAAGAAGATGGAAAATAATAAACTGAGGTTCTCTCTGTGAATTGGAATCATATTTGCTGTAGCTCCTTGTCTAATTTTATCAGAACTTGTCTGTTTTTCTATTCGCGTGGCACACCCATGTGTTTTATCACTTTATCACTAAGTAACAAAGATCAATGTATACAAAATAATGTAAGACTTTATAGAACAAAGCAAATAGATGAATAATGATGGTGTAGAATTTCTATGTTTAGCTCTTATATATTTGACATATACTTACCTGAAGTTACTTAGAAAAACCTACATCAGAAAAACAAATGTAATTTATTCTGCAGTGTCATTTTATGGTAAATGCTTAGGAAATCTGGTTAGAAAGGTGTTTGCCGATGAAGTGCAAAGTCTTCTATATTAATATATCCTCATTTATTCCTTGTTGTATATGGGGATGAGAATGAAGAGCAGGGGCTTTAATTTCTTTTGTAAATGCTATAAAATGAGAAGGTATTTCAAATTACCTAGAGTCACATAATTTGTCATTGGCTGATTAATAGTTCAGACCTGGCCATCTGATTCTAAAGCCAGGGCCCCAAACTACTAATTGGATCTTTCTAGTCTGTGACCTTTGTAAAGTCAAGACCTGTGTAGTAGCCATACTCTTAAGGTGCTTCAAATCTTCTATATAACATGACAAAGTTTCAATACAGAGACATATTCATCCCTGATTTTCTCACAACATGCAGCAGTCTTTGCATTGCCCAGGGCATAATCAATATTTTTCAACTTGAATTCATGCTGATGTCAAGTGGAGGTGAATCTAAATTGGGAGATATTCCTCTTCCCCTCTTGGCTCATTGTGCCTTAGTGTTCCATTTTTCTCTACCTGGGAGTATCTAGAATTATGTGGCAATATTGAGAGAACCTTAGAAAAATCAATCAAACAAACAAACTCAGATCCAAACATTTAGGCTGAACGTTTTTAAGATTTACTAAATCATGTCCCCAAATCTCTTCTCCTAGTGAAAGATAGCTGAAGAATAGACCGAAGTGGCTGTTCTCTCATGAAGAGGAACCCACTCTACTCCAAAGGCTGGCATTCAAGAAGGGAGTGATTTTCCAAGAGCGCAGGGCTCCAGGGAAGACCATGAACGTTCTACCCAGTAGTGCCACACTTAGGATCCCAGTCACAGTATGGTGGAGGAAGCCGCCACCCATCCTCTCTAGTTCAGTCTTCTGAGTGGTGCAAGGAAATCTTCCAGACATACACCTTGCTAGGTCATTGCTAGCTGCTGCTAGACTCTTTTGCAGTGAAAGGAACTCTCTCTCACCATGCAGCTGCCTCCTTTCGTTTTCTTCATGTTCATTCAAAGCCAGGATCCTTATAATGTGCTACCTCTGTTCTGCGAGGCCACCCTGAAATTCTACCCCTGTAAACCATGTGGGATGGACTTGAGACTTCTTTTTCCTACAGATGAACGTTTCAAATATTTTCAGACAAGATGATTAAGTCATTTTCCAGTTTGCCTTTTCCAGACAAGCAGCCCTACTTATATGACATGCTCAACTCTGAACGCTTCCCCTAGGAATTGGGTGCCCGGCACTGCGGGTGGCAGTTTGGTGGGATATGATCTGAAGACGGTGGGAGTCTAATTTTTAAACCTAAAATTTCATTAATTGAATAGTCATAATTTGAAATGTCTGAATATATTGGAAAAGTAGTTCCTAAATTAGGGGAATGAGTTATTTGGAGGTCACAGAGACAGGCAAGAGCCTAGAATTTTTTAGCTCTAACTCATATTCTGTCCAGGAGTCACCTTGCTGAATGTCTTGTTAATGATAGGTTGGCATGCCGCTAGCAGTCTCAGTCACTCTAGAAATTAGTATTGGTACAGCCACTTTAACATTTCAAAAGAAAAGTTATTACAGAATATTATTATTTTAAGACTACAATCGATAAGCTGGTGGGCATTTTCTCTTTGTGGTTTCTGATTTCTCTGAAATCCCATGAGAATAAAGAATCTCTCAGGTGATCAAATCTTCAATTTTTTCTTTATTGCCATAGCAAGTAAGTCTGTTTTTACTGCTCAAGTTAGTTAATCAATTGTGGTCTCTGATTTATGCTGTTTGACAGCTGCCATCCCTGAAGATTACTGGCTCTTTGTTCTTCTTTGGCTAATAAGTGCCCCTATTAGAAGACAGTACTCCCAGATATAATATACACTGAATTATCTGAAGGACTTCTTCAGTATGTGAGTCTGAGATTTCATTGCAGTATAATTAACCTGAATAACAGTTAAGGCCATATTTTCCCCCATTGTATGTTATTGATTAAGAAGTGAAACAAGTACACAATTCCCAGTTCTCTGGAATAGGTCATATACTTTATTTCTATAGTAACCAAATATTCAAAATGCAAGTCAAGACGTTAGGTCAGACAAAAAAAAAAAAAAAAGACTGTGCTTTTTCCCCCAATAGTTAAATTTATCTACATTGAGTCTTTCAAATGTTATAAAAATAAAAGTATATTTAGCTACACTGTTAGTTAATAGACTTCATGGAATAGAATAAAAGAAGTGCGGATTTGAGCTTCTCTACATTTTTTGTAGTGGACTGGTATTAAAATATGTTTTTTACATGTGTTCTCTCATGGAGAGTTAACTACTGTGGTTCATTCCAAATTCCATCTTAATTGTCTTTAGTAACTATTCATTTTATGGGTTTATCTTCAGTTTCATTTGATTTCCTTCTCTGTTTAGCTGTTTTCACTTTGTTGGTCTGGGTCAAATATGAAATGATTATCCTTTGCTGTTTTATATAGGATCTATTTCCATCAGCACCTCAATTTATTGGTTTGTATCAAAATTATCATTGGAAAGATTTAATTGGCCCCCAAATATCACTTCTAGTATTATATAATCCACCCATCCTCATGGAGTTTCTATGCTGTACTGAAGACTTTTTTAACTCATCACTCTTTTGAGTCCTAATTCATGGACTGTTTAATTGCTGAGCTTATGAAAAAGAAATGTAAGTCACAGACCTACTTGAAAACTCACCTTTTTGAGTACCTCCTTAGTTTACAATGCCCTCTGTGCCTTGCATATTTTACTTATGTAGAATGTATGAGTTATGGCTCCAAATTTCAATTCTGGCATAGCCTTGTCAACAGCAACACAAGGGCTACCTCTGTATAATAAGGGCTTTCATTTCTAATCAGCATCAATATGTTAGGTTTGCTCAATTTGCATATCTAGAAACCTGTAGTGAGGTGGGCAGGAATAGCAGACTGTCTGCAGTGTGTCATATTTGCAGTCTACAAATCAGGGCTTGTTAACTTGCGTGCAACCAATTATAGCATGAGTGTGCTGCAACATAATCCTCAGTAAATCAATTACTGCAAGAGAATTCCCCACTATAAAGAATGAAAACTATGAGATTTCATACCTCCCTGCCCTTTTCTCTCCTCACTTGCCTAATTGAAAGTCTGTGGCTGAAATATTCAGACTTTTCTCATCCAACTGTAGAGCCTCTACACCTACAGTGGGACTCATGGACTTTCGGAGGCACCTACCTGGAGATTAAGGTACTATGACCTTCGCCCCTACCTCAAATAAATCTTTGTATGCAAGATATACATTAATAGGAAAGTTTGAATAGATTATTTTATATTGGATATTCTTTTGTTATGCTGAATAGTTTTATAATCAATATTATTCTTCTAAGACTACCACTGATCAGTTTTTAATAATTATATAAAAACTAGTAGAATAAACACAATAAGATTCACTATAGATTTTGGCTGTACCTTTCTCCACCTCCGTTTTCACAGTGTATAAATTAACAATGAACAAAATGGTTTCATGATTGGGGAGAAGTTGTAGGGTTGATGGTAGGGGAAATTGAGTCATACAGGGTTGAAATAATTTGACCAGACTCATACCAAACATATAAATGAAGGGAGGGCCATGAGCATTTGCTAGTTGATTCTGTACTCTTGCCATAGCCCGGAATCTTTCCAACTGTCTTTCAATCTGGGCTGGCAATAGCGATGAAGCCCATTTCCTGTCTCTGCCAGAGATCGCCTTATGGGTGAGGTAGAGGAAGACTACAGCCATGCGGTTCCCTCAGGATGCTGGTTTTTCTTGGGAGCTACTTTTCTTTCCTGAACATGTTCATGGCACCCTTTTTGGAGAACTGGAGAGCATGAGTTTGTATGATTACAGCCTGGTTTGACTAAGCCTTTTCCTTGAAGTTAACCATGCCAGCACCCCCAGCCCCATCCCGAAGAATGAATCCAAGCTTCTCAGGGGCAATTTTCACCTTGTTCCCACAAAACTTAAATGCGTGAGGCTTTTTGAGGGTCACAATAACATAGGAAAGCACATCACTGGAACTTGGAATCACGCAGACTTGAATTTGATTCTTGCCTCTGCCATCTACTGCTTTGGACTTGCCTGGCTTTGTTTTCTTATCTGTAAAACAGAGACAGGAATGTCCACTGCCCACTTCACAGAGTGAGAGGGTAATGAATAGCACATAGCCTGGTCTGTGGCATTTATTTGTTGCTTAATACAGGTTTGTGTACTTTCCTTAAAAGCCCTTGAATGATATATAACTTTATAGGGATAGGATAACAGAGTTTGGACATATTTGTAGAAGGAAATGACTTTAAACATCTTGACAATTATGTGAGTGAGAGATTATTTGCAGTTTGCTAACATTTCCTAAAGCTGTGGTGTGTGAGATACAGTAACACACACATTTTTTTTTAAAAGCAACCAAAGCAAAGGAATTTTAACTAACTGTAGTCTATCAAGGCAGCATGGTTTTGAAGGAGCAAGGCTGGCTGTAACAATTATTGTGGTGACATTTTGATAAATAAATCCTTAGAGGGGAGTGTTTCTGAGGGTTGAGCTGCCTCTTCTTCTAAAGGTGGTGTTAGCAGTGTCATCTCCAGCCTTTCTGAAGAGAGACCTAATAAGAGAAAGGGAGTTAGTTGCCAAGTGTCTGCTCTGTCCATAAAGAGTTAGAAAATTTGTAGTTCAGTGAGAGGAGACTGGAACCTGTCGGAGGCAGGAGACCCAGTATAGTCAGCCCCACCTCTGCTAAGCACTGCCCCAAGATGAGAGCTGACTTTGAAACATTCCCAGGTGACAGACTCAGCCACAGGGCATTTTTTTTTTAAAGTGAATCCTAGTCTACTTTTTTGTCTTTGTTGTGAGAGATTTCTAACCCTAAAGAATTCAGGAATTTAAAAAAATAGTGATAGTTGATGACATGGCAAATGCCTGAAGTAGGCTCATATTTAGAGAAGAAGAAATTCCAATGGGATGTACCAATGTATGCTGGGCTGAGACTGTTTAATGCAAATACTTCAGCAGCAGGTTTCTGGGTAGATTTTTATTTTGACTTTCCCAGCTGTCCCTTCACCTTCACCCTTTTTGGTTCCCTTCCCCAGGTATAACTAGTTAAAGGTCATGTTTTTTTTTCCTTTTGGGCATAGACTAGCCTTAGCATCTCTGAATATAAATCATCTTTGATAATGTCTCAGCTGTCAGGAGAAACTTGCTTAAGGGGTGATGATTTGTGATGATGTTAAAGTTCTCCGGTTTGTCTGTGGACTGTGGAACTAGATTCCTCCCCTACCTGCCCTTGTGAATGTAGCAGTAAACATTATACAGATAGTGCTTATACATTGCTGGTGGGAATGGAGATTAGTTCAGCCACTGTGGAAAGCAGTTTGGAGATTTCTCAAAGAGCTTGAAAGAGAATTACCATTTGACCCAGCAATCCCATTACTGCGTATATACCCAAAGGAATATAAATCATTCTACTAAAAAGACACATGCACACGTGTGTTCATCACAGTACTATTCGCAATAGCAAAGACATGGAATCAACCTAAATGCCCATCAGTGGTACCCTAGATAAAGAAAGTGTGGTACATATACACCATGGACTCCTATGCAGCCATAAAAACGACAAGATCATGTTCTTTGCAGCAACATGGATGGACCTGGAGGCCATCATCCTAAGCGAATTAATGCAAGAACAGAAAAACCAAATACTGCATGTTCTCCCCTCTAAATGAGAGCTAAACATTGAGTAAACATGGACACAAAGAGGGGAACAATAGACACTTAGGCCTACTTGAGGGTGGAGGGTAGTAGGAGGGTGAGGATTGAAAAACTACCTATCAGGTATTATGCTTATCACCTGGGTCACAAAATAATCTGTATACCAAACTCCCATGACACGTAATTTACCCATGTAACAAACCTGCACATGCACCCCCTGAACCTAAAATAAAAGTTGGAAAGGAAAAAAAGAAAAAAACACGCACAGATGAAAGGACGTCTTGTTTTAAAGCACTGGCAGAAACACAGAGCAAGTCTTTTCTCCCTATTAATATTTTCAAAGAGCAAATGAAATGTCTGCTCCAAGGGAGCTAGTTAACTCCTACCTAGAGCATCTGTTAGGAGTTCAAGTCATTAAGGAGCATGACTCTCAAAATAGCCAACACTGTTTGCATTTGTTTTGTCATCAAATACTGTTTATTAAGTATGCACACATGTTCTGGGTTCTGTACCAAGTAACTTGAAAGAACCCACTATTTCTCTTTAAGAAATCATAATTCAGAATTGCTGAGAAAGGGATGCTGTGAATCCTGGGCCAGCTGCTTGTTTGGGTTGTTTTCTGTTCTCTTATAAGCTTAGACCAATGCCCAGGTTGTGTCAAAAGCACCTTTAATATTTCCACCATAATTAACCATTTCCACCATGGTTCTTGTTGTGTCGCCTCTTGAGACTAAGGAAAGGATTGGAGTTCTTATTGAGTAATTTGATCAGAGCTCTTTTAACTATCTTACTTTAGGTAATAAACCATTGTATTCTTGAACCTTAACTTGTATTAAGGTGGATGTGAGCTTTGCTCTTTCTTGAGCCTGTCATGTTTTATGGGTTGTATCAAGTAAACTACTAAGCATCGTATGGTGTGAGCTTTTTGGTTGAAACACTTGCTAATTTGCAGAGATCAATTAGTCATAGCATGAGAAGAGAAATTTCTATAGATATTCAAGGCATTAATTAAATTTTGTAAGGTAAGTTAAGAAGGGGAGGGATTAAGATACAAAGACATATATCTTTTTTTTTAAAGAAAAGATCCTCTTACTCCACATTCTTTGTAATAATTGTGGAAATCTAGAAGAGTTGTAAGGTATGCTAATATGTCAACACCAGTTAGGATATTTTCAAACCTATTTTTAGTGATTTCTTACACATCAAAACCCTGCTAAAATGAGGCACATTTTTCTGAAGTTGTTTATGTTTCAGGTTGCTGGAGTTTTTGTTGTTGCCACAAATGATTATCCCTAAGTTCACATGATCATGTTTATAGCTTCAACTTTGCGGGACCCTCAGGCTGTCTTGTCAGGCTGAGTTTTAAAATTCCAAACTGAATTGCGAAGACATGACATTAGGGAATGGGGAGATAAATAAGAGTGTATAACCAAGAAAAATGTCATATCCCAAAGGTTTAAATTCCCATGGGAAAGAAAGTCTTGCTTTCAAGGACTAATATTGGAGGATAGAATGGTCAGTAGTTGTTTCTCCTTAATGTTAAAGTATTGAAAATTACTGACGAGTCAGCTACCTTCCAGCCAGCCCAGATCCTGAGCAGGGTGGAACCGCTTGTGGCTTTGTGTCCCTGGCAGCTGGCACAGTGATCAGCCTGCAGCATGTTCTCAGGTTTGTTGGAAGGGAGAAAAAGAAGGGAAGGAGAGAGAAAGGAAAAACCATGAAATAGAATTAAGGAAAGGAAGGAAAACAGGAAAGAGTAAAGAAGAAAGAAAAGGGAGTGAAATAAGTGGAACTGGAAAACTGGTTTGTTAACACACATACACAATACACACGAACACACACACACACACACACACACACACACACACACACACACACACATTAAGGAACTTGTCCAGCTATTACTGACAGACCTGGAACCAGAACACAGGCAGGTCTTTATAATCTATCTCCCTCTTGTCCCTGTGCTTCATAGTGGGAAGTCATTTCATGGGCATTTTGAAAGCCTTGAAGAGAATTATTAAAATGTATAAATTAAAAGTCCTTGGAAGGGAAACCATGCCTTAAATTGAGGTATTTACATTTAAGAGAGCCAAGTAAGATTTTAAAAGGCCCCAGGAAGGTTACAGTTCATAGAAGGAAAAAAAGTGTGTTGAAAACATCTGGAAAGTAATTCTTCAAGTTATTTCTTCGGTATTTCCTTACAATATTTTAATTTTACAACAAAATAATATTGGCACTCTCATGTCTCATGTTCCCATCCAAATGTGGACTTCCTAACCCTCTTTTTTTTTTCTTTCCTCATTTATAGTTACTTTTTCTCTGTCCACCCATTGTACCTGGTGTCTGACTTGGACTCTGCTTGCCTTTTTTTTTTTTTTTAGGCAGGGTATTGCTGTATTGCCCAGGCTGGAGTGCAGTGGCACAATCACGGCTCACTGCAGCCTCTCATGGCCTCAGGTGATCCTCCCATCTCAGCCTCCTGAGTAGCTGCAACTACACATGCAGGCCCCCATGACTGGTTCATTTTTTTGTATTTTTTGTAGAGAAGGAGTTTTGCCATGTAGCCCAGGCTGGTCTCGAACTTCTGACCTCAAGTGATCCACCCACCTCAGCCTCCCAAAGTGCTGGGATTACAGGCATGAGCCACCGCGCCTGGCTTGCTTGCTTTCATTGACCTCAACATTCTTTCTCACATCTCTTGTTTTCCTAGGTGTGTATCCATTTGTATTGCTCAGTTCTTCCCCTGTTTTTCCCGTAACCTCTTTTCTTAGCCTGTACTTTTCTACTATTTTGCTTTGTTTTGTTTTGTTTTTTGGTCAGCTGTTCTTTCTCCTGGTTGGCATTCCTCTCTCATTTTCCTCTTTAGCTCTCTTTCTTCCATTCTTTTCCCCTCCCATCCTTTTCTCTCGCCTTCTTCAAGGTTTACTAAAGGCAAACTGTCATTGGAAATCTGTTACAGGATGAAACTATTTCTCCATTATGTAATTGAATGTACCCAGAATCAGCTGTTATTACTGTCTTACAGGTAATAACACTTTTCCCAAAAATATAATAAAAGCTCCTGGATGATATTCATAGTGGTGAAAGGTAGTTTCTTTGGGCTGGACTTGACATTTTAGGATCTGGATTTCTGATCACTCTTTTCTCAAAATCTTAATTTCACTGTGTTACTCTGTGGCCATTTTCTATGTTCTTTTCTATATGAACAGGCAGTGGATAAATAGGAACATTTATGTAATTTTTACTTTTATTTATTATTAAAGTATATTTATACAATACAATTCACCTATTTTAAGGGTGTGGCCTGAGGAATTTTGGCTATTCAATTGTTTAGCCACTACCACTATCAAGATATACAACAGTTTCCTCATCTTAAAAAGTCACCAAGTCACCTTCTCCCTTTACCACATACCTGATTTTTGTCATTGTGGTTTTGCCTTTGCGCAAACAGGAATAGATTGCAGAGTCATATGGTAAATGTACCTTTAATATTGTAAGAAATTGCTATACTGCTTTCCCAAGTACCTGTATGATTTTGCATTTTTACCAGCAATGTATGAGAGATCTACTTGCTCCACATCCTTTCCAGCACTTGGTATTGTGAACCTTTCCAACTGTAGCCAATCTAGTAGGTGTGTAGTGATATCTCATTGTGATTTCAATTCACATTTCCCTAATAACTAGTGATGTTGAACTTCTTTTCATGTACTTATTGCCCATTTGTATACCTTCTTTTGTGCAGTGTCTGTTCAAATCTTTTGCTCATTTTTAGATTGTCTTCTTGAATTATAAGAGTTCTTCGTATATTGTAGATACAAGCTATTTGTTGGACATATGTATTGCAAAGATTTTCTCCTAGTATGTTGCTTGTATTTTTGTTAACTGTGTTTTTTCAAATATAAGATTTTTCATTTTGATAAATCCATTTTATCATTCTTTTATAATTTGTGCTTAAGAAATCTTTGTCTAATTTGGCCAAGTGCTGTGGCTCACGTCTATAATCCCAGCAGTTTTGGAGGCCGAGGCTGGCGGATCACTTGAGGTCCAGAGTTCAAGACCAGCCTGGCCAGCATAGTGAAACCCCACCTCTACTAAAAATACAAAAAAAATTAGCCGGGCGTGGTGGCTCATGCCTGTAGTCCCAGCTTCTTGGGAGGCTGAGGCAGGAGAATGGCTTGAACCCGGGAGATGGAGTTTGCAGTGAGCCGAGATCACGCCATTGCACTCCAGCCTGGGCTACAGAGCAAGACTCTGTCTCAAAAAAAAAAAAAAGAAATCTTTGTCTAATTCAATATCACAAATGTTTTTTCCTGTGTTTTCTTCTAACATTTTAGCTCTTATGTTGAGATTCATAATTCATTTAAACTTAATTTTTGAATGCAGTCTGAGGTTCTTTTGTATTTTTCCATGCAGATATCTAGCTGATCCATCACCATTTGTGGAAAAGTCTATCTCTTCTCTCATTAAATTTCCTTGGCATCTTTGTCAAAAATCTATTAGTATGGTGGATTACATTAATTGCCTTGCATTACTGGGATAAACCCCACTTTGTCATAATATATTGTCCTAATTATATATTGTTGTATTCAATATATTAATATTTTGTGAAGAATTGTTTTTGGTTTAATTTCCTTCAAGCCAGGAAATACATTGATCTCTTGACTTTTCGCAGTTTATCAAAAGTGAAAATCTGTATTTCTGCTATCTAATATCAGCCTTTTACAGATTTGGGAGTAAAGTGCTATCTAATATCATCCTTTTACAGATTTGGGAGTAAAGTCAAATCCTTGAATAGTTATTTTCTAAACAATCCTCTGAAATTTGGAAGAGCATATACATTTATCTCCAAAAGAGTCAATTTTCTGCCAGTCTGCAGATTATCCCCAGGAAGATGTGGCCCAGATTGGTTAATAGGCACTTTTAAGAAACTGACACTTGTCTAGATGTGAGTCCAAATAAGTTAGCAATGGCTTTTGCCCTCAGGAAGATTGTGTCCTTCTCTTGCTTGCTACTGGATTGTTTCTATTTCCTTGTTAACCACTCTGAGCAACACATTCCAGCTCTTATCACTTACTTCCAGCCTCTGGCAGTCAAGTCAATACATTTGTGTCCTGTTTTGATGACAATGATATGGATTTCAAGTAAATGTATGTGTTTCCGTATTCATAACATGGTTCATCTGAAATTTAATCAAATTTCTGATTTTTTTATTTGTTTCTTATGTGTTTTGTTCATGTAAACAACATAGGCTGTGTGACTTTAATGTGGTTAGAAAAAACAAGTTCCTTTCTCTGCTGTCTCACATGGTAATCTTATTTGCCTCTGATGACTGGAGCAGATGAAGTAATCGCTTCGCAGCATCTGATAAATACATTACGTTAACTGTGAGAAGCAACAAGAGACTCAAAAGCCTTGTTCCCAAGTGAAATAAAATCAGGTTATTGTCCTCATAAGGCATTTCTCTTCCTTAGGCTTCTGAGCAGGAGTCATTGGTGCTGCACTAAGCATTTCTGCTCTCTCTAGAACTAATGAAACTCTTGGCAATTTAGAATAAAGGTCATTATTTTTGACAAAATGGAAGATGGGATTTGGTATTCAAATGATTTAGGTATTTTTATGCTAAAAATATTGATGGTATGTGGAAATAAAACCACACCTTTTCTCCTTTGATGGGAGCAGTGTGTACCTTTATATTCCGTTATTTCAGAGCATGCTGTGAAATTTCAACTTTTTCACTCCCTGTGTTCTTCCATGACTAACCCAGTTTTCAGGTCAGGATGAGGGGTTGCCGCCGGCCCGGCTGTAGCTGCTTTAGGGGGAGTATTCTGCATGCTCTGGGCGCCCAGAACATTTTGTTAAATGATTTAAACATGAAACAGCTGAAACCACTTGACTTGGTTTTTTTCGAGGGAGTTGGGGGCTTCTAAACAACAAAACTTTATTTCTCACAATTCTGGAGATTGGGAAGCCCATGACCCATGTACAAGCAGATTTAGTGTCTGGTGAGGGCCCATTTTCTGATTGAAAGACAGCTTCTTCTCCCTGTACCCTCACAGGGTGGAATGGCACTTGACTTTTATTGACAGAATCTCCAAAGTGGAAATAATAAAAGTAAAAAAGTGAAGGACACTCTATAATCTACAATAATATAGTAACATTTATTTTTCCAGATGCATTTAAAATGTCAGCAATTATATGCATTGTGACCTATTGGATGAAAATATTGTATCTCCACTCCTTAAATGTATCAGTAGGAAGACAAAAATGATGAATATGTATAATAATTCATTCTATCCACAAAAGGCAGCTCTTTAAAGCACTAATGATAATTCAGTGGTGCTAAAATGGAATTACCAAAAGACCTAAGTACCAAAACCAAACCCAGCTCTTACCCAGGCATCCTTTGATTACAACTCTTTTTTTTTTTTTTTTTTTTTTTTTTTTGAGACGGAGTCTCGCTCTGTCGCCCAGGCTGGAGTGCAGTGGCGGGATCTCGGCTCACTGTAAGCTCCGCCTCCCGGGTTCACGCCATTCTCCTGCCTCAGCCTCCCAAGTAGCTGGGACTACAGGCGCCCGCCACTACGCCCGGCTAATTTTTTGTATTTTTAGTAGAGACGGGGTTTCACCGTTTTAGCCGGGATGGTCTCGATCTCCTGACCTCATGATCCGCCCGCCTCGGCCTCCCAAAGTGCTGGGATTACAGGCGTGAGCCACCGCGCCCGGCCCCAATTACAACTCTTAAGGAAACGTTAGAGAGAAGAAATTGGAGTGTCACCAACTCAGAAGATTAAATGGTGTTGGATTGTATTTTAAAGTATTAACTACAGGTTTTGATCATCTTAGTTTCATTTTTCTGGATTATTAACCTGTCCTATAGAAATAGAATACTTTATAATGAGACAAATTAGAAGATTATACCGATAGTTTGAGATCTAATATTCCTTAAATTCTCCATTTTTCTTGAGAATCAGAAATCAGCTCTTGATTATCCCCAAGTATGAAGGGAAACTGGGTTGGAACATCCAAAACAATCAATAATTCTGAAATCAATTGCATTTGCCTAGGGGATGCAATAAAAGAACTCAATCGAAGTGTATCTTAGGAAGTCCACGTATACACTCAAAACCCCTGAGCCTGACCTTGACTTTGGCCTTATCCCATTGCTCTCAGGTGGCCGATGGGCTAGAACTGCATTGAAGAGAAAGTTAGATTCTTCTTTTCCTTAACCATATCACACACGACTTGCTTGTTGAATTCTTTCTCCAGTCATGATACACATTGCAGTAATTTGTCTGTCTTGTTCAACTCACACCCATGCTGTTGAGTTAAAGAACAAATGAATGGACTACCTGCCCAGGGAAGGCAAGGGACTCACTTTATATCAGGTAGTTAGTCATGAGGTGGAAGTAGAAACACTCCCTTACCAATAGCGTGGCCTGATTTTCACTTAGCTGCTGCTTCTATCAGTCTGGATTCCTTAGCTGGGGTACTAATACTTGCCTTGCCAATGTTGAATATTTTAATGAAATTTAAATGAGATAATCAATATAAGTTTTTACAAATCTCAACATTATAAAAACATGACACAAAGTATTTTATTTGCTTTTTGAGATAAAGGGTTCTCTATTTTTAGGCAAAAGGTACTGCATGAGTTAAATGCCCATCATGATATACTTCAAGGCTACTCACAGTAGAAATACTACATAAGCCTAACATTGATATAGCTTCATTCATCCTCTTAATTTGCCTGATGCTACCTTTCATTTTATTTTTTGCTCTAATGTAAATTCAATGAAATGTTGCTTATTTTATTTGAATAAACTAGGCTTATTTTCAGCCGTAACTGCCATGCCATCACTTAAATGTAGTTTTTCAAGTAAAGCCAGTGAAAATGTATTCTATTAGGGGCAAGAATGACCTCAACTCTCAGGGTAAGGCCAAAAAAAGAACGGCCTTCTGTGTTCTTCTGTCTGGTATATGCAGGTGAGTGAAGTCAGCAGGCTTCTCTCTATCTCAAGTGTTCATAAAAAGCTTTTGAAAGGTCAGGATTCCAGGGAGGCCTCTTTGTTCCTGGCATCTCAGTTTATTCCAGGCTGCCTCTGGCAAAAGTAACAATCTCTATCACTATCTCTGGGGGAAGGAAACTGAGACAGATGGACAAAACCAGAGGATGGTACAGAACTATAGAGAACAGAGCCAGCTAAGCAAGAGGAGAGCATTATAAAGGGAAAAAGACTAGGATGCCCTATTTTTAAATGGAGTGGCTGTCCCAATAATACTATCAATGGATATGTCTGTTTTTCACATCTAAATTTATGCATTGGCCATTATTCTTGCGGCTCTTCCTTTAGCTTGAATTACAGTCTTCAGCATCTTAATTGTGGTGTTTGAATGAGGCAGCAGAAGAGGAATGTGTGTGAGACACCCGGTGTCTGGGTATCATCATAATGAGTCTAGCAGAGCCCTGCACAAAGTCCTCCTGTCACCCCACACTCCATGTGAGACAGCACTGGGATCTGTGAAGAAAGGGAGGAGCATCTCCCTACTGCTCCACTTTACATTTTTAAGGCATTATCGTAACATAGGCAATTGTGGTTTTCCATTTGCTTTCACCAAAATGTATGACCCCCTCCTCCCTTTCTCTTCTCTAAGTTGAAGTCTGTATTTCTGAATTTGGTGATTTGTATCAAAACCTGGGCTAACTGGCTTAGTATGTAAGAGTTTCTCTTTGAAGGGCAAACATTTCAAATATGGAGTCCTCCTAGTACTCCATAATCTGGACCGGCTGAAGATTGTTTTTCAGTGCAATGTGCTGTGTTGATTTTCTTTTTCTGTGAAGCCTTGTCTGGATTAAACCTGTGTCCTGTGGATTGCTTCACTTCCCTCCGCAGCCCAGTGGGGAGTGGGACCAGCTGGTGTAATTCTGTTGACCTCATTTAAACTCTCTGTTATATCCTTTTTTTTTTTAACCTTGATGTAGCTGTACATAACAAATTGTCCATAGAAAGTTTTTGTTCCTTTAAAGTGTAAGGTTCCTCTTGGGCCTTGATGAAGATCATATTCATTCAGTTCATGGCCCTGGTCCAAAAATAGTTTTTAAGCTTGTCTTATGCACGTGCATGCGCACACACACACACACACACACATATTTCCTGTAGTTTTACACTTCTGCTTTCTATAGTTTTATTACTATGCTTAGATAGGATTTTTCTCACAATATTTAACAGGAATTACTTGAATATATACTAGAATCTTTAGATCTTTAGGAATATTAGTAAAGGGTGTAACTTGATAATGCTTTAAAAAAGACCAGGAAAGGAGAATCTATTTGGCTCAACCTACTTTATGAGACTTATTAAAAAGAAAATATTAACAGTAGAGACATATGCTGATAGGACATGTAAGGAATTAAACTATCATTATAAGACCCTGCTTTGTTATAAACAGCTTTTATGTACTTTCTAAACATACTACTTTAATCTTCTGAAGAGCATACATTTGAGTTCAAAACAAGCTCATTTAATAGCCAACAATAGTGCGAGTTTGATTTAGTGGCTTTTTGTGAAACAGTTTTCTTTCTTTGGCTAGGTTATGTAATAGGTTGGCTACAGGCCAACTGTTTCTCAGCAAGGTTAACAATGATTATAAACCCTGATCTTCTGAAATCACAAAGCATATTCCCAGCTTGGAAATAAATTTACTTATAATAAAATCATACTGCCAATTGATGTTTTTCCTTTACCCATTGTTAATCACCCAATATCTTAGTTGCTGCAGAATAAAACAAAAGTTCAGGTTTTCTTGTTTTTAACAGAAATATGAACAAACTTAATAGTATCTTCCATTGACTCTGTAAACTATTTTTAATCACACATCTCCCCCTTAATAAATAAATAAACAAACAAAATGGATCTCATGACTGGGAGAAAAACCTGACAAGTTTCCATTTTAGCTTCAGTGCACATTTCCTGGGCAATCATAAGCCAGCAACTGGTGTTTACAATCCAGCTATCTTCCGGAGAGTAGAAATAAAATATTACCTAGTATTATTGTGAGTTAGAATAAAACTCTTCGTGGTAAATTTGTGGTAATTGAGGGTCCTAATATGTGAACTCTTAAATATCAGGTTTTGTTTTATTATTTTTACTTCTATTGTGACATTAATCACATTTTTCTTTGCAGTTCAGGGTCCCTACTGCTCAGTTACTGTATGTTTATAGTCTAATTTAATTTTATAATTCAGCTAAGTAAAATACTGTATGGGAATATTATACATATCACAAAATGGCCCATAATAACATTAGCTGGAGCCATATGAAATGACTGATATTTGACTGTTTTTGACCTACAGAAACGGAATTCACTTGGTTCAGACCTACCAAAACCCCACTATTTAGTGGTTCAAATCAAGAAGCCACCCACTTAGTACACCTGGGTGTACTAGCAGCACCTACTGAGTGTAGGCAAAATCAGCTTGAAGTTCTTAGAATCTAAGCATGGATAGATAGAGAGAGACACAGATATCTCTTTATATAGCCATATCTAGGTAGATATCTCACACCCACACACCCACATACACATACATATTGTTTTAAGCCTTTTAAATGGATAGCTTTCTAAAATGAATTAGTACTTTCATAACTCATTAAACTGACTAAACCAAACAAAATAGGAACTTTCTGAATGAATCAGACATCAGAATGAACATCAACTCTTCTACTATGAATGCAGTACCATGATGCCAGCAGGACCTATTGAGTTATATTGGTTCTCACTGCAGTATCCCCAGACTATTGTGCTTTTTAAGCTTTAGTCAGTTTTGACAGATTTTCTATTTTGTCTACTATTGTATCTCTGCTCTCATAGAACCTATAACAAGTACTAACCCCATTTATTTATGGCTTCTAACATTCTTTAGAAATTTAGACTCTTTAGAGATTTAGAAAACAGGTTGCCAAATTTGTAATATTTTTAGGTAAAGCATAAAAGCAAATAATCTGTAAAATTGATGGTGTATGAGTTTCTCCTCCAAGACAGAGCAAAGAATTTGATGGCTTGACTTTTGTGACTTGGCTAATTGATTCTCAGTTGTGTTCCAAATATATGAGATTGTCAGATGAGTATTTGTGGATAAAGGAGATGTTATAAGAAGAAGCCAGGGAAGGTAAGTCTGATGCAGAGCTGTGGAAATTAGCAAACTATTCAATCTTAGTTTGAAATTCCTTTTTTTTTTTTTTTTGCTACTTTCAGAATCATTGAACTCTTAACCATTGACCTTGGATGGACTTGGCAACTGAGTCACAGATATCGTGACTTTAAATCTTTAGGTTAATAGCACTCAGTTTTCAGTGTGGGCTCCAGTGGTATCCACAATAATGAAATCTTAATTGCTTAGATGATTTGGCTCAATCTGTATATCTTATATTCTGTCCTGAAAACAAGTTCCATCATATAAATTAAAGGTAAGGCAGTCTGTTTCGTCAATTTAGGCTCATTTTAAATCCCAAACTTTAAACTGAATGTTAACTATTTCACAGTTACAATATTTTTCAAATGGCAAAATTGTAAATCTACTTCTGTAAATAATATTGTGGGAAAATCATAACAATTGCAATGTTGGAAAATACTTTTCCTATCAATACTACTTTTTCATATTTTCTTATTTCATATCCATTCACACCCTTGACCAGGACAAATGAGGACATTTTTTATTATAACACTAACCTTTTATAACCGTATAAGTAAATATTACTTTATTAATTTGTCAGATTTAGAATCAGGTGTTAATTCTTTGGTTTGCCATTTAAGTACATTTTACACATATGTGTTTAGTGCATATTTCAAGTAACTGTCGTGAAATGTAGTGAGGAATATCACTGGTCATTCAGAACAGAGGGTCAGTTTACAGTTGATGTGGACGTCTGTATCTGTGAGTGCTGGAGGCCCATGCAGCCGAGATGCAGTGGAAAAGCTTCCCTGGCTTGTGAGGCCAGTAGCACCTCCCTTGCCCTATTAAAGCTGCAGACTAGCAATAAGTTTCCATTTGTGCATTGACATGGTTGAGGCAGTTTTAGAAGGTCTGACAGCATTGGGATTAGCTCCCCAGATCAGATGACTTCTAATGCATCTGCTCACATTGTTTTGCCAGCTTTCAATTGGCCAGTTTCCCCAGTAAGTTCCTTTCATTGCAAATCTAATCCCCTTTACAAAGTAGAATATTACTCTTAGTTTTGTCCTGAAATAAGCACATTAAGTAATTCATTATAGTCTTCCAGTAAATGGTTCCTGTTACAGGCATTTTAAATATTTCCAAATGATCTGGTTGGATTAACATCAGTAAATTAAAAGTGTATTTCACCTGTCTGAATTTAGAGTTCTCTCATGAATGATGGTTTGGACAACCAAAAGTTCTGTTAAAAAGAATTGTAGGCATGTGATTTCTGTTAATGAGGCTTTTCCATATTTAAATCTAGAACTACCAGCAGACCTGATCATAGCAATTTTGTACGTTAAGTTGTACATTGTTTACAGAAAATGAAAGTAGAGATACAAAAATGATGAATTTCTCTTGTGCCTAATGTCTGCTCTTTTCATAATTATATAATTTAGCCAATGTGCTAGATTCTTTAGATAACCTTGTTCCCGCCTCTTTAAAGAATCCTTCTCTATTTTGCAAACTTCCCCACTTTCCTACCTGATGAATAAATGTGCAGTACAGACAAAGCTCCTGCATAGAAGCAGGTCGTGTTCCATAATGTATTTGTTTGGACCTCAGAATATTATATTATGATATGTAGGATCTGAGGCCAATAGACAAGAGCATATTTAACACAAAATGTACCCTGAATAACAGTGCTATCAAACTGAGTCATCTTGGAGAACATTATTTCCATGAAAAGTGAGGCTTCCAAAAATTTAAATGCAAGCAACAAATCTGCTCTCACTGAAACTCTGTAGCTTTGAGATCTGTGCCTTCCCACCACCCCTGAGAACTGGGAGGAGACTCCCACAGTTCTGAATGTGTGATTGATTTGGCCTGGTGCCTGGCTACAATGAAGGAGATTAGGATTTGGGAAGAGGGTAGCACAAATATTCAGGGTCAAGGAATTAGAATGAAGATGGGAGGACTATGTGAAGGGTCTGGATGAGGAAAGAGGAATGGAAGAACATCCCCAGATGAATTCCCTCCTTTTTCCTTATAGTTTCTCCTTATCCTTCCTGTTTCTCACTTTCCAGACTTTTCAAAATTATCAGTAATTTATGAAGGGTGGAGAAGAGCAATGGCCCAAATACTATACTAGGTCGGGGATGGATCTCCCTCTTCTTGCATCCTTCCCTTTTCCTCTCTTGCTGTGTGAGAACTCAACCGTTGAGTGACCTTGGTGCCACTGAGAAGTGGATGGGTAAGACTGAGCCCTGGGTGCAGAATATACTCCATGTGTTGTTGAAGAGGCCTGAAGTCCAGTAGCAACAAAAGGGAATTCCTCTTTCAGGCTCTCTGGGCTTGCAGATCTTATCAATTAGATTTGTGGTATTACTGCTTTTCATTTAGGACACACAGTATCTTTCATGGAGTACTCTCCAACTCAAGAATTCCAGGTCTGATCTTACCTATGGGGTGGAGTTTAATGAATCTGATGAAAAATTGGCAGTTCAACCAGGATCCTCTTAAAGACTTGATTCCTAAATTAGATATATCAATTTAAAAAAAATATCGTGAAGTATAGGCATTATGAACAGCAAGAGAAAGCTTAAAAAAAGATTATGAAAATTTCCCTTATAATTTCATCTATTTGGGGACACTCAAGAGAGTCTGCACTGTACTAAATGGGCACACTCAAATTCAGTGCATATTGATCCTTTTGTGCTTCATAAGCGTGATGATTGGGTTTCACAGTAACGTGTGAGATGTGCCTTCTTCAGCCTTATTAGGATGTTGGCACATTACCCATCTGATATGAAACAAAATCAGTACATATTTAACTCTGTGTTCCTATACAAGGCCAACTTAGATTTGTGGTTTGAAAGGATTTGGGCTCTAATTTGTTCATTTAATAGTCTGTGGCTAATTAACTGGGTTGGTTAGAATTCAGCTCTAGAGAGCTTAAGGTCGAGGGCTCAATCTCCCTGTGAACCAGTTTATCTTTTCTGTTTCTTGGTCATTGATTACACTCCTTATTCGTATTCAGGTGACTTACAAAGTTGTGTTATTGATTATGAGGGATTGGATATGGACAAATTAAAGCAAAACCTTTACCAGAGCAAATGTATTGCATATAGTTAACAGGTCAAAATGGCATGCCACTTAGTATCGTGAAGTTTGCTATTGGACGGGACCTAAATGAAAATACCGGCTTTGCCACTTAACTAGAGTACTTTGGGCAATATGGTTTACTTTCCTAAATCTTAGTTTCTCTAGCTACAGAATGAAGATGGTATCAGCCTCATAGGGAAGCTATGAGGATCACCGAGATCCTCAGATACGACGTTGATTGTGGTACACAGTTGGGACACGATCTTTGTTTACCCTGGCCCAGTTCTCTCAGGGTATACTGTCCCATGCTGAATGTCCTAGGGCCTCTGCTTACTCTGTGCTCTGCAGATGGTATCTGTTTAACTTCTGCACCCACCATAGTTCATCAATAGCTGTCTCCAGCTGTACATCGGGAGAGCTTGAGAGCTTGCCTATGAGGACAGTTTGTTCAATGATTCCTCTTATTTCATAGCACCTTTCAACTAAATGGTTCTGAGTGGTAGGAGTTACAGTGCACAGGAGAGGATGGGAGTCTCATAGATACATACACAAAAGATAAGTAGGCCTACTCTGTTGGAGGAGATTACATAGATGGGCTTCAGGCTGTATCTGAATCTTCATATTTCTTCCACTTTATCAGGGCCTTCCAGTGAGTTATCATCCCAAAGTCATTTTCAAGTTTGTGCTCCTAACTACCATGCTCATTTCCTCATTTGTAAATTTGTTCATCTCCCAGGAGAGAGTTGAAAGTAATAGGTATCTTAAAGAAGACTTGGCATACAAATTATAAATAAGATCAATAAAAATATGATGGAATGATGCTTTTTAATTCTCCTTCTAAGATTATTAGCTCTTTTTTGTGGAGAGAAAAATGCAAATGTGATGCTAATTATGAAGACCCATCTGTTATACTTAAAGTACCACAGGAAAAAAAGCCTAAATTTAAAGCTCTTCTGTGGTACTTTGCAACCTTTGAAGACTCATTTTGGAGAGGCTGTTTCCATTTCAAACAAACTTTGATGTCCTCTAAGGTAGGATGTCTACTTGAAAGACTCTGAGTTGCTATTTGAAGAGACCAGTTTATTCTGATGTACCACTGTTTTTTGTTTGTTTTATTCTGCTGTACCAAATATGTAGTTAATGGACAACTGAATAATTATTTGGAAAGAATTGTTAAATAAATTATGAAAAGCAAACATTAGATAACCACCAACCTGAGTACTTACTCAGCTCAGAATTTGTTTCTTTTAATACCCTTCCTGGGCAGGGATTCCAGAGTACTTTACTAAACGTCTATTGAAATCTGTTCTATACTAAGACTGAGCATTCTCCTGGTAATTTGGGTCAGGTCCAATTTAGGAGCTGGGTGAGAAATTCATCTGACCTCTCTCATCCTGTGTTTTTTAATTTGTAAAACTGGAAAAGTTATTTTCAGTAAATCTTCACAAAGTCCTGAGTTAAAGAACCTAAGTATTGTTAAAGCCCCAAATTCATGTTCTTTCCATTGTGTGATGTGATGTCATATGGCATAGAGATAGAGATTTATAAGTTATCAAGGTAAAGGGACTGTGTCCATTTCATGCTGCTATAATAGAGTACCACAGAATGGGTAATTTATAAACAATAGAAGTTTACTGGGCTGTTCTGGAGGTTGGGAAGTTCAAGATCAAGGGGACGTATCTGGTGAGGACCTTATTGCTGCATCGTAATAAGGCTGAAAGCATCACATGGTGACAATGTGCACAAGAGATAGCAAGAGAGGACTGAATTCACTTCTGTGATAATGACAAACTCACTCCTGAGGTAATGACATTAACCCAATTAATAAGGGCAGCCCTGCCCCTGTGGCTTTGCTGGGCTCAGTCCACCCAGCAGCTCTCACAAGTTAAAGTCTTGTGCCTGCAGTTTTTCCAGGCTGGAGTTGCACACTGGTGACTCTGTGGTTCATGGTCTCAGGGGCCACACCATTCCCATGGCTCCACTAGGCATTGCTCTAGCAGGGACTGTCTCCAGTGGCTCCACCCCTGTGACAAGTCTTTGCCTGAGCCCCCGACTGTCTGTAACATCCTTTGAAACCTAGATGGAGGCTGCCATGGCCCCACAACTCTTGCATTCTGTGTGCCTTCAGAATTAGCACCATATGGATGTTATCAAGATTTATAGCTTGTACCCTGTGGAGTGGCAGGTGAAGCCACACCTCAGCTCACTTGAACCATGGCCAGAGCAGCTGAGGGGTGCTGTACCAGAATTCCAGGAGTGGAGTCCCAAGGCAATGTAGGGCAGCGAATGTTGAGGTCTTGTAGGTACCTCTCTGGAAACCTTGCCCTTGAAGTTCTAGCTTGCCTTGGAGATCTCTGAAATGCCTTCAAGGTCATTGTCCTATAGTCTTGATGAGTAGAACCTGGCTTCCTTCTATCCATATGAATCTCTTTAGCAAACGTCTCTTGGCCACACCCTTAGTATTCTCTGCTGAACAAACTTTTTTATTCTTTACATGGTCAGGCTGATATTTTTCCAAATCTTTCCATTCTGCTTTCGTTTTAATTATAAATTCCATTTTTATATCATTTCTCTCTTCCTTCATTTTACTGTAAGTATCTAAAAGAAGCTATGCACAGCTTAAACACTTTGCTGCTTAGATATTTCTTCTGCCAGATATCCTAGTTCCTCACTCTTGAGTCCCCCGTTCCACAAAGTTCTAGGACATGGACATAATTCCATGAAGTTCTTTACAACTGTATAACTAGGATAAAGGATGGCCTTTATTCCACTTTCCAATGCTCCTTGACTTATGATGTGATTACATCTTGATAAACCCATTGTATGTTGAAAATACAATAAGTCAAAATACATTTAACACATCAAACCTACTGAACATCATAGCTTAGGATAGCCTACCATAAACATGCTCAGAATGTTCACATTAGCCTATAGACAAAAGCCTATTGTATAATCTAGTATGGAATATCTCATGTAACTTATTGAATGCTATATTGAAAGTGAAAAACAGGATGGTTGTATGGGTACTGAAAGAACTGTTTCTATTGAATGCGTATTACTTTCACACCATCATAAAGTAAAAAAAATTGTTTAAGTTGGGGACCATCTATATCTTGCTTCTTATGTCTGTCTGATACCGTATTGGAATGGCCCTTACACTCCATATTTCTACCAACATTCTGACCATGACCAGTTAAGTAATCCGTAGGAAGATTTAGGTTCTCCTACAGCTCTTGTCTTCTTCTGACCCCTCACCAGAATTGCCCTTACCACTCCATTCACAGCAATCCAAGCTTTTACTAGCTTGCTGCTCCAAATTTTTCCAGCCTCTATGCATTACCCAATTCTAAAGCTGCTTCCACTTTTCAGGTATTTGTTACAGTAACAACCCCATTCTCTGTACCAATTTTCTGCTTGTGCTGCTATAACACAACACCAGAGATTTTGGAGTTTATAAAGAAATGAAATGTATTCTGCTCATGGTCTGGAGGCTAAGAATTCCAAGACTGAGGGACTGCATCTTGTGAGGGTCTTCTTGCTGTGTCATACCATGACAGAAAGCAGGAGGGCAAAAGAGTGCATATGAGAGACAGAGGAAGAAAAGGGGACAGAACTCATCCTTTTCTCATGAACCAACTCCTGCAATAACTAACCAATGCCCATGTTAATTAGCTCACTCCCATAGTAACATTGTTAATGCATTTATGAGAGTAGAACTCTTGTAACCTAATCACTTTTTAAAGGTCCCACTTCTAGACACCATGCCTTGGGGATTCAGTTTGCAACACATGAACTTTGGAGGATGCATTGAAGCCACAGCAGGGACTAATGGAAGACACTAGATATTTTCAACTCTCTGAAAAAGGAGAGAATAAGAGAGAGAGAGAGAGAGAAAGAGACAAGAAGCTTCAGTTAGCTCAGGAACTGAGCCATGAGGGTCAGCTCTGATTGAGGACAGTAGTATTTGAAATGAGTCCCTGAGTTGTTCTCACCATAAAAGCGAGGGATGGAGTTTTAAGAAGGAGATTGTTCTCAATACTGCCAAATGATGCAGAGAAGTCCAAAAGAGGGAGAACAAAGACAAGGCAAAAATTCACAGTGCAAGAAAGAAAAAAAAGAATAGAATTACAGAGCCCACAGAACCTCTGAGATTTTCATTAATACAATACACATACCAGAAAACTAAGATCAAGAAAGATAGACACTTAGAGCTACATAGCTAATCAGCAATCGTTCCCAGAATTGGTTCTGTCTCCAGATTCCCAGCCTATGCCTTCTTCTTTCATGCCTTCCCTTCCCTTTGCAGCTAGTCAGTGCCCATCAGACCCTTTAGCACTTTCCAAAGTTTTGATTATAGTGATATTTTAAATGTGAACATGAATCTCACCAGAAAGTTTCTCCACACATGGAAACTTGTTTGGGGCAATGTAAGTATTAAACATATTTTTCTTAAGGTTTGCTCAAGAGCTTCTTATACTGAAAAACTTACACATCATCTCTTAATAGCTAAAAATATATACCCTGATAAGAAATAAAGGGAATTTGTGATATGACATTTATAACAATTTAACAGAATACTTATTGACATATTCAGATTTTTCAACTACCTAATTTTTTTTTTAAACTCAGTTCTTTCCCATGATCATAGAAGACTATTTGATATGTAGAGACACCTAAAGAAGTTTTAGCCAGCTGGGGGCGGTGGCTCATGCCTGTAATCCCAGCACTATGGGAGGCTGAGGCAGGTGGATCACTTGAGGTCAGGAGTTTGAGACCAGCCTGGCTAACGTGGTAAAACCCTGTCTCTACTAAAAATACAAAATTAGCCAGGCGTGGTGGTGCATGCCTGTAATCCCAGCTACTTGGGAGGCTGAGGCAGGAGAATCGCTTGAACCTGGGAGGCGGAGGTTGCAATGAGCCGAGGCAGCACCATTGCACTCCAGTCCAGGCGACAAGAGTGAAACTCTGTCTCAAAAAAAAAAAAAAAAAAAAAAAGTTTTAGCCCAGGTGCAGTGTAGTGGCTTACAGCTTTAATCCCAGCTCTTTGGGAAGCTGAATCAGGCAGATTGCTTGAGCCCAGGAGTTCAAGACCAGCTGAGACACATGCTGAAATCCTATCTCTACAAAAAAATACAGTAATTAGCTGGGCATGGTGGCATGTGCCTGTAGTCCTAGCTACTTGGGAGGCTGAGGTGGGAGGATCACTTGAGCCCAGGAGGTCAAGGCTGCAGGGGGCCATAATCATGCCTCTGCACCCCAGCCTGGGTGACAAAGTGAGACCCTGTCTCAAAATAATAATAATAATAAAGTATTTTTTTTCAGAAATTCTGAATTTAATTGATGACAAAATTGAAGCAATATATCAGGAAGGCGGTAGACTTTTTTCTCCATTTTCCTCCATGGTGGTCCTACAAATTGCTGCCCCAGCCATATTTTAAATCCCTATGTCTAGGGTAGTTTAGGTGTTTTGTTAGGTATTTTTGACTTCCTGATCAACTAATAGCCTAATAAACAATGCATTTAACAAGGCAGGGGCCAGGTGCAGCGGCTCACACCTATAATACCAACACTTTGGGAGGGAGAGGCAGGAGGATAGGATAGTTTGACCCAGGAGTTTAAGATCAACCTGAGCAACAGAGAGAGCCTTTCTCCAAAAAAAAAAAAAAAAAAAAAAAAAAAAATTAGTTGGCATGGTGGCACATGCCTGTGGTCCCAGCTACTTGGGAGGCTTGTATTAGTCCATTTTCATGCTGCTGTTAAAGACATACCTGAGACTGGTATTTTACAAAAGAAAGAGGTTTATTGGACTTACAGTTTCGCATGGCTGGGGGGGAGGCCTCACAATCATGGCAGAAGGTAAAAGGCACATCTAACATGGCGGTAGACAAGAGAAGAGAGTTTGTGCAAAGAAATTCCCATTTTTAAAACCATCAGACCTCGTGAGACTCATTCACTATCATGAGAACAGCGCAGGGCAGGAAAGATCTGCCCCCGTAATTCAATCATCTCCCACCAGGTTCCTCCCACGACACGTGGGAATTGTGGGAGTTACAATTCAAGATGAGATTAGGGTGGGGGACACAGCCAAACCATATCCGGCTGAAGCAGGAGAATTGCTTGAGCCCAGGAGGTGAAGGCTGCAGTGAGCCATGAGTGCACCACTGCTCTTCAGCCTGAGTGACAGAGCAAGACCCTGTCTCAAAAATGACAGCAATAACAACAAAAACAAGGCACATATCAAGCTCCAAGAAAGGGCCTATCTATGTAACTGGAGATTATAAAGTCAAAGAAAGTGCCTATGTATTTGCTCTCTGTTTTCTGTTTGTTTGAGTTGCATTTTAAAAAATTTTATATAAAGACTCGTATCTCACTTTGTTGCCCAGGTGGGTCTTGAACTCTCAGCCTCAAGCAGTCCTCCCATCTTGGCCTCCCAGAGGGCTTAAATTACTGGCATAAGCTACCACACCTGACCTGCTCACTGTTTTTTAAACAGAGTGTAGACCACACCAAAGCTCTGGGCTCTGAGCTAACCCAGAGTAAAACTATGGAGTTGACTAAATTTATCTTTAAATTTATACCCACCACCTTCACCCAGTCCTTATAATTAACTCTTCCTTAGGAGATGTGATGTATCATTGCACAATCTCTCCAGATAACTCTCTAAAATATCTTCTGCTCATCTGAGCTACAGTTATGTGATCTCTCTCTCTCTACCCTTTTAAACCATGATGAGACTTCTTCCTCTAATACATACTTCACCATTCAGGCTCTGTGTATTAACTGATTAAACTTAAAAACAGTTACTTAATGAAGTTGCACTAGAGAAAACAGTAGCCACTGTTAGTTACTGTATTAGTTCACTTTCACACTGCTATAAAGAAACACCTAAGACTGGGTAATTTATAAAGAAAAGAGGTTTAGTTGACTCACAGTTCTACAGGCTGTACAGGAAGCATAGCAGCTTCTGCTTCTGCAGAGGCCTCAGGGAGCTTTTAATCATGGTGGAAGGCAAAGGGGGAGTGAGGTAGGCACTTCACATGCCAGAGAAGGAGGAAGAGAGAGAGTGGGGAGGTGCTACAGACTTTTAAAAAACCAGATCTCATGAGAACTCACTCACTATCATGAGAACAGCACCAACGGGGATGGTGTTAAACCATTCATGAGAAACTGCCCCCATGATCCAATCACCTCCCACCAGGCGCCATCTCCAACATTGAGATTTATAATTTGGCATGATATTTGGGCAGGGACAAAGATCCAAACCATATTATTATATCCCAGACCCCTCCAAATCTTATGTCCCCCTCACATTGCAAAATACAATCATGCCTTCCCAAAAGTCCCCCAAAGTCTCAACTCATTCCAGCATTAACTCAAAAATCCAATCTAAAGTCCCATCTGAGACAAGGCTAGTCCGTTCCAACTATTAGCCTGTAAAATCAAAACAAGTTAGTTACTCCCTAGATACAATGAGGATATAGGCATTGGGTAAATACTCCTATTCTAAAAAGGAGAAATTGGTCAAAAGAAGGGGGATAAAGGCAAGTCCTGCACCCAGCAGGGCAATCATTACATCTTAAAGCTCCAAAATAATCTCCTTTGACTGCATGTCTCACATCCAGGGCACACTGGTGCAATGGGTGGGCTCCCAAAGCCTTGGGCCATTCCACCCCTGAGGCTTTGCAGGGTTCAGCCCCCTTGGCTGCTCTCAAGGTTTGCCATTGAGTCTTTGTGGCTTTTCCAGGCACATGGTGCAAGCTGTTGATGGATCTAACATTCTGGGGTCTGGAGGATGGTGGCCCTCTTTTCACAGCTCCACTAGGCAGTGCCCCAGTGGGGACTCTGTGTGGGGGCTCCGACCCCACATTTTGCCTCTGCTCTGCCCTAGTAGAGGTTCTCCATGAGGGCTCCATCCCTGCAGCAGGCTTCTACCTGAACATTTAGGCTTTTCTGTACATCCTCTGAAATCTAGGTAGAGGCCCCCAAACCTCAACTCTTGTACTCTGCATACCTGCAGGTTTAATACCATATGGAAGTTGCCAAGGCTTAAGGCTTTCACCCTCAAAAACTGTGGCCTAAGCTTTACCTGGGCCCCTTTGAACCACAGCTGTAGCTGAAACGGCCAGGATGCAGCAAGCAGGGTTCTGAGTCTGCAGAGGGCAGTGAGGCCCTGGGCCTAGCCCAACAAACCATTCTTCCCTCCTTGGCCTCTGGGCCTGTGATAGGAGGGGCTTCCTTGAAGGTCTCTGAAATGCCTTCAAGGCCTTTATCTCATTGTCTTGGATATTAGCACTTGGCTCCTCTTTACTTATGCAAATTTCTACAGCCTGGTTGAATTCCTCCCCTGAAAATGGGCTTTTCTTTTCTACCATATGGCCAAGACGCAAAGTTTCCAAACTTTTATGCTCTGTTTCCCTTTTAAATATAAGTTCCAGTTTCAGTTCATTTATTTACTCATATGACCATAGGTGGTTAGAAGCAACCAGGTCACATCTTGAATGCTTTGCTACTTAGAAATTTCTTCCACTGGATAGTGGAATCATCAGTCTAAATCATCAGTCTCAAGTTCAAAATTCCACAGATCCTTAGAGCAGGGGCACAATGCAGCCAGGCTGTGCTAAAGCGTAGCAAAAGTGACCTTTACTGCAGTTTCCAATAAGTTCCTGTCCTGATTTCCATCTGAGACCTCCTCAGCCTGGACTTCACTGTCTATATCACTATCAGAATTTTGGTCACAACAATTTAATACGTCTCTAGGAAATTCCAAACCTTGTTGCATCTTTCTGTCTCCTTTTGGATCTCCCAAATGGTTCTAGCCTCTACCTGTTTCCCAGTTCCACATTTTTAGGTATCTTTATAGCAGTGTCCCTCTTCTTGGTACAAACTTTTATATTATTTAATCCTTTTTTTTTTTTTTGAGACGGAGTCTCGCTCTGTCACCCAGGCTGGAGTGCAGTGGCGCAATCCCAGCTCACTGCAAGCTCTGCCTCCTGGGTTCACGCCATTCTCCTGCCTCGGCCTCCCAAGTAGCTGGGACTACAGGCACCCGCCACCACGCCCAGCTAATTTTTTGTATTTTTAGTAGAGATGGGGTTTCACAGTGTTAGCCAGGATGGTTTGATCTCCTGACCTCGTGATCCGCCCGCCTCAGCCTCCCATAGTGCTGGGATTACAGGCGTGAGCCACCGCGCCTGGCCTATTTAATTCTTGCACTGCTGTAAAGAAATACCTGAGACTCAATAATTTATTAAGAAAAAATATTTCATTGGTTCGTGGTTCTTCAGGTTGTGCAGAAAGCATAGAAGTTTCTGCTTCTAGGAAGTCCTCAGGGAGTTTTTAATCCTGGTGAAGGCAAATGGGGAGAAAGGCATTTCCCATAGCCAAAGCAAGAGGAAAAGAGGGAGTGGGGAGGTGCTATATACTTTTAAACAACCAGATCTCATGAGAACTCACTCACTATCACAAGTACAGCACCAAGGGTGATGGTGTTAAACCATTTATGAGAAACTGCCCCCATGATCCAATCACCTTCCACCAGGCCCCAACACCAACATTGGAGATTACAATTTGACATGATATTTGGGTAGGGAGTCAGATCCAAACCATATTCATTACCCATTATAATGATGTATAAGGAAAGCAGGATTAAATGGAGAGGTAAAATCTAGAATTACACTAATAGCAACGATACTAATAATATGATTATAAAAGCACAGCAGCTTACATGTTTTGAGCACTTACCATCTACCAGAATATGTAAGCCTTTTTATATTATAATAAGTCTGTAAAATTTGTCACCTTTTGAATGAGGAGAGGTCTAGGCAGGTTATAAAATATATCTGGGGATTTAGAGCTGTGGATTTCATCACAGGTCTGTTGAGTTCCAGTGGCTTAACTACTGTGCGATCAAGTGGTTGAGTGGACCCAATGTGTAGGTCACTCTTATGATCCACATACACCTCCCATTGTTGGGGCCATAGCTGTATTTAACAGCTATTGTTAGGCACACACTGGGATGTTGAAAAGCCACACTAACTCAGGAAACACAGTGATCAATGTGATATTGATGTGTAACCTGCAACAGGTGTGACCACACAAACCATAACATTGCTGTGCTTTATAATACATAATTTTAGAGAACAATGATTTAATATTTGTTGATAACCTGCAGATGAGGGGAAAAGTTGTTTTATAAGGTAGTATAGTTTATAAGTATTGGTAGGAACTAGAAGGTTAAAAACTCTTGACGGGACAGGGGCTATGGAGAAGAAATATGTATCTCAAGAATTGCCATCAGAGCAGGAAGAAAGGAAGGGATTGAATAAATATGAATAGGGCAATGAAAAAGGAAGAGATGTTTCTCTAGACTAAAGCTGCTGTCATGTATGATATAATTCAGTTATTCATTTGTTTGTTAACTTGTTACTTTTTATTTAAGCAAGCTATGCTCATTTAAAAAATTTTAACAGGACATCAAAAATAAAAATTATATTACTCATAATTTCACAACTTTACTGATATAGTTGACATTGAAGTACATCTTTCTTCAGCTATTTTTCTCTGCATGTTATATTTTATTTTGGGATCTTTCTGCATGTACTCCTCTAGAATATTCAGTGGCTGCACAAAATTTTCTTATATTACTGGTTTTCAAATGATTTGGCCTCAGGACCCCTTTCTTTACATGCTTAACAATTGTTGAGGACTCCAAAGGATTCTGGTTTATACTATTGATATTTACCTTAGTAAAAATTAAAACTGAGAAAAGCTTAACATATTTATATATTTATTAATTTAAAAATAATATTAAACCTAATACATGTTAATATAAATAAATATATTTTCCAGAACAAAAGAATAGTTAAGAGTGACATTGTTTTCCAGTTTTTTGTGAACATCACTTCTTTAGTGACTGGTTTAATAGAAAATAGTTAATAAGTTCTCATATGTATGCATATGACCTGTTTCAATAGGTTGTTTTGATTGAAAATATGAAGAAAATACAGGTTCATACAAATATGTAGTTATTAAAGTGGTATTTTAATAGCATTTTGAGATAATTTTGAATATTCTTCTTTGATGTCACACCAAAACTTGACAGGTAATTGTTTCTAAAGGTTGGTGGAAATGTGGAATCCATGAGTTCTTCGTATTTCGCTGTCTATGTATGTAGTATATACATATGTATGTATTAAATCCACCATCCTGTCTTGCATTTTCAATGGAGAATTTACTCACGCATAATTCTGTAACATTGTACATTAGTCATTTGGAAAATAACATTCTGAATTATATAGAACTTCTAAATGTTGATACATTTTACTTTATAACATAGAAAATATGGTATTTATTAATACCACTAATGACCTCATCTAAAGGTCTTTAAGTATTGAGAAGCTGCCAAGCATACTGTGACAGAAACAAATCTTCCAAAATTCTTATATTTGCTTGAAAGCTCAAATTTTACCATTGGCAACAATGGCAACTGTCAATGTGGGTTCACTTTCCTCTTGGATAAAACGTTAGCCCAATGCTCAAGTCTGGACAACAATACTTTGTCATCTGTTGTTTCAAGTGAAATATTTTCATTAAAAAAAGGTTAATTTGGCTTGAAACCCAAAAACTCATTACACAAGTGCTGTATCTCAAGATAGCCATCATCTTTCTATGTGCATATTTCTCATTTTGTCACAGAATATGAAAAAGATATGTGCTGAGGTTGATTTACTTCTTTTTTTTTTTTTTTTTTTTTTTTTGAGACGGAGTCTCGCTCTGTCGCCCAGGTCGGACTGCGGACTGCAGTGGCGCAATCTCGGCTCACTGCAAGCTCCACTTCCTGGGTTCACGCCATTCTCCTGCCTCAGCCTCCCGAGTAGCTGGGACTACAGGCGCCCGCCACCGCGCCCGGCTAATTTTTTGTATTTTTAGTAGAGACGGGGTTTCACCTTGTTAGCCAGGATGGTCTCAATCTCCTGACCTCATGATCCACCCGCCTCGGCCTCCCAAAGTGCTGGGATTACAGGCGTGAGCCACCGCGCCCAGCCTGATTTACTTCTTTATCAAGGATATTCTTAAGTAACATTGGCATTTTTTTATTGCAAGCGTGGAGGTGAAGTCTACATGGCCAGGAGTAGTACAGTTTGGTGCTGCAACCATGACTCATGCTAAAGTCCAGGCAATTTAACCCACCATTTCATTTGGGCCATCAGTGAGGATGTCAGCTTGGTGAAAATGGGTAGTAACATTGCAATGTTACTATGAAAGCAAGTTTAAAAACAATTTAACTTGGCACCAAAATGATTGACATATTTATAACAATTTGAGATTGTTTTATAACATCTATAACATATATAATATGCAAAGGAAAAAATGAAATTAGAATCACTCATGTTGCAAATGCTTGATAGAGAAACAGCATCAGAGCAGAAAACATGGATTCTGGGGTTAGAATTCTGCTGCCTTCTTTGCATGCTTATTAGCTGTATGACTTTGGACAAGTCATTTAATTTCCCATTCTTCTTCTGTAAAATGTCAATAATATATTTTCTTACAAAGATGTTGTAAAGGCAAAACAAGACTATGTGGAAAGTGCCTGATATAGTACCCAACATGTAGTAGGTCTTCCTTAACTAGAAGCTATTATATTTTTATTAATGAGAAAAGATCTCCCCAAATCAAGGGCTGGGGCCAAGAGGTCTCTTATCTAGACCCATGCTGCCTCTGAGCATGCAAATCAAAGAATCCATTGGTAGATGTGGTTGCAGGAGGTGGGAAGAAAAATAGGAATCCAAAAGCCTGATACAAGAGTCTGTAAGAGTCATCAAAACAGAAAGAGGGTCACAGATAGCAGGCTCTTTGCTATCCTCTCCCAGAGAGCCAGGGAAACAGGAGCAGGAAATCGATGGGTTGAAGGGAGTAGAGGAAACAAATTTCATCCCAAAGGAGGCTCCTGGTGACTGCTGGATTATTCAAACTTCTTGGCTGAGAGAGCTGGTTTACAGGGCCAGGGTGGGATGGATAGGAATTCTTATACTTTTAGGCTGAATAAGAATTTTCTTGCCAACATGACAGCTTTGAGCAGCAATCAAGGGCTTCAAATTTCCACAACATCTGAGGTCACTCAATTTATACTTAACTTGCCAGTTTTATTATTATTTCCAGTGTCATATTGGATTCTTGGTAATAATTGTTTATCACTGAATATCAGATTGACACTAATTCTTTCTCTGGGGTCTTCTGTACAGATCACTGACTTTGAACAGATGTACATGTCCAGATGTCTGCAACCTTGTCAGGAGTTTCCTCTGGCTTAATCGGTGCTTTTTGATATTTATTAAGCACTCCTCAACATGATGGATCATCAAAGGATTATGTGTGTTACATGCTCTTTACTTTATATAAAGTGTATTAAAGATAGAATTGCACATGTGCATCTATCATATAAGTTATAAAGCTCTTGATCCCCAAAAAATGCCAGTCACTTCCAGTACTTAGCTTTGTTAGAATTTCTTTTGTTTTATTTTTTAGTTGATTGGTTGACTTGTTTGCTAGAGTTAAATATACATCATGGTGAAAGTTAGGTGCTATTTAGAAAAAAAAGCATTACTCACCAAATTAGTTGTTTCTTAACAACTCACTGATAGATACTTAATTATCAGAGCCTTATAACAATTTAGAGGTAGAAGAGCTTAGCTGGCCAGCTTAGTTCTCCTACCTCTAAATTGGCATAAGGCTCCAATCTGTTGATTTTAGCATCAGAAGGCAAGATCTAGTGACTGGATAGCTTGAATGGATTTTTGCATATGTATTTCTTAGCCTCATAGGAGGATAACTTGAAAATAATTTATTTTCTGTTTTGGTATTTGTTTTCATATTAACAAGGTATGTATTCTATACTTCAGCCATAAAATTGGGGTATAACAAAAATGTTTAGTCATCAGTTCAGTGATAGATTGATTGACTGATTAATTGATTCAATGACCATGTATTGGCTACTTATTATGTGGTAGGCAGTGTTCTAGGTCCTACAGAAACATCAATAAATAAAACTGATAAAAATATCTGAATTTGTGGGGCTTACATTTTGGGAGTGGAGTGGGAGGAGGGAGAAACAATTTTTTTTAAGTAAATCATAAAGCACATTGAAAGATACTAAGTGCAAAGGAAGGAAAAACTTATACAGCCAGGAAAGGAAACAAGAACTGCCTGGGATGGAGGTGGGTTGCAATTTTAATGGGGCAGTTGAGGAAGACCTAATCGAGAGTGAGATTTGAACAAAGATGACATAGGAGAGGGGGTGGACCCTGCAGAGGAAGGGAGAGAGGTTGAACCCTGCAGAGGAGGGGAGCATTTCAGGCCAAGGGATGAGCCCATGCAGAGGCATTGAGGGGAGACAGCAGGGAAGGTAGCATGTGTAGAATGTGAGGTCAGAGACAGGAGTGAAGAGGGAGGGAATGGACAGAGGGGAAAGCCATTATAAAGTCTGAGCACAGTGTAAAGTGATCTGCCTTATGTTTTAATAGAATCACTCTTGCCACTGGTTTAAAAAGACTGTATTGGATGTGTCTTAAATTATTTGTGCTGTTATAACAAAATACCACAGACTGGTAATTTTGAAATAAAAGAAACTCATTTCCTCACAGTTGGAGGCTGGGAAGTCCAAAATCAAGGCGCTGGCAGGTTAGGTGTCTGGTACAGACTCATTCATCTAGATGTCCTCACGTGGTGCAAGGGACAGAAGGGTAAAAGGGACCCAAGCTGGGTTCCTTCCAGCCCTTTTATAAGGCACTAATCTATTCATGAAGGTGGAGCCCCCTTAATTTAATCATTTCTCAAAAGGCCCCACGTCTTAATACCACCACAATGGAGATTCAGTTTCAACACCTGAATTTTGGGGCACACATTCAGACCATAGCAGGGGGTAGGGACAGACACAAGGAAAAAAAAATGGGAGGGATTGCAGTTAAGCCAGGTGAGAGATAAGGGTGACTTGGGCTGGAGTGATAGCTGGGTGGTGAGAAATGGTTAAATATTTTTAAAATAGAACAAACAGGTTTGCTGACAAATTTGATGTGGAATATGAGAGGAAGCCCCCCCCCCCCACAAATTCTACAGGGCTTTTGGCTTATGTAATAAACAATGAGAATTTGGAGTTCTCATCAACTTAGATGGAGAAGACAGTGTGTGGGTAGTTTTTTAAGTGAGGGAGTGGTATTGATCAAGTATTCAGTTTCAGATATGTTAAGTTTGAGATTTCCATTAGACATCAAAGTAATAAGAAAAGTTGGAAGGTTGAGAAGAACAATGGATATTTCAGTCTTGGGATTCAGACAAAAGGTATGTGCTGGAAGTATGAGTTTGTAGGTGTTGTGTTCAGAATTGGTTCCTTCCAGTGGGTTCTTGGTCTCGCTGACTTCAAGAATGAAGCCGTGGACCCTGGCGGTGAGTGTTACAGTTCTTAAAGATGGTGTGTCTGGAGTTTGTTCCTTCAGATGTTCAGATGTGTCTGGAGTTTCTTCCTTCTGGTAGGTTTGTAGTCTTGCTGACTTCAGGAATGAAGCCGCTGACCTTCGCAGTGAGTGTTACAGTTCTTAAAGATGGTGTGCCCGGAGTTTGTTCCTTCAGATGTTCAGATGTGTCCAGAGTTTCTTCCTTCTGGTGGGTTCGTGGTCTTGCTGACTTCAGGAGTGAAGCAGCAGACCTTCCCAGTGAGTGTTATAGCTCTTAAAGGTGGCGTGTCTGGAGTTGTTTTTTCCTCCCAGTGGGTTTGTGGTCTCTCTGACTTCAGGAGTGAAGCTGCAGACCTTTGCAGTGGGTATTACAGCTCATAAAGGTAGTGCAGACCCAAAGAGTGAGCAGCAGCAAGATTTATTGTGAAGAGTGAAAGAACAAAGCTTGAACAGCGTGGAAGGGGACCTGAGCAGGTTGCCGCTGCTGGCTTGGATAACCAGTTTTTCTTCCCTTATTTGATCCTGCGCATGTCCTGCTGATTGGTCCATTTTACAGAGTGCTGATTGGTCCATTTTTACAGAGTGCTGATTGGTGCATTTACAAACCTTTAGCTAGACACAGAGTGCTGATTGGTGCATTTTTACAGAGTGCCGATTGATGTGTTTACAAACCTTTAGCTAGACGCAGAGCGCTGATTGGTGCATTTTTACAGAGTGCTGATTGGTGCGTTTGCAAAACTTTAGCTAGACAGAAAAGTTCTCCAAGTCCCCACTCAACCCAGGAAGTCTAGCTGGCTTCACCTCTCAATGTCAGCATGTAAATGATGTCTCAGATCAGTTTTCCCAGGAAGCAGAAACTGAGATGAAGATTTGCACTCAGACATGTATTGGCAAGGACTTTTGAGATTAATAACTGTGAGGAGTAAAGGAAGTAGGAATGGACAGAGGGAAAAGTTGGGCTGCCATAAGATCAGAAGTAAGTCCTTCCACCAATCTCATGGAGAGCTCTAGAGCTGGAAAAACCTCGCAGAATTGTCATAATTTATACCCCCTACATCAGTCAGTTACTTGATGCCCAAGCTTGTGACCTTGAGTGAGTCAACTTTCTTCAGCTGATGGCAGTTGCTTGGTGAAGATGGGGAATAAGTTTTGAGAAATCAACCATTAACATTCTCAGCAGTGGGGGTAATGAGTGGTTCAGTCCTAAAGGGCAGGCATTTGAGTGGTACACCCAGCATACACTGCAGTAGTATTTAAATCCACAAGAAGGATGAGATCACTAAAGAAATGAGTGTGCTTAGACAAGATGCCCAAGGGCTGAGCCCTGAGCCCTACGGCATTATTAAGTTATGAAGTTGAAGTAATAAGATGGAAAAAGCAAAGATCTCAGAGAAGGAGTAGTTAGTGTTGCTGATTGATTGCAAGGAGGGTATGGTGCCCTACAAGCCAGGGAAAGAAATATGCTTTAAGGAGACAGTGATCACATATGTCAAATGCTGCAGAGAGGTCAAGTTTAATGAAAATTGAGAATTTACCTTTGGATTTAGCAAGATAGAGGAAGTCAGTGGCCTTGACAAAGACTTGTTTCAATAGAATAGTAGGAATGGAAACCAGACTTAAACAGGTTCAAAGTAGAATGGGAGAAGAGGATTTGGAGACTGTGAGTGTATATAATTCTTTTTAGAGTTTTTTTCATAAAGAGGATTAGAAAAAATAGTAGCAATAATCACATTAAATATAAATGGTCAATATATTGATATTGAAAAATCAATATCAGTAATCACATTAAATAGAAATACAGGCAAAGATTGTCAGATTGTATAAAAATGTAAGACCTAACTATATGTTGCCTATAAGAAATGCACTTTAAATTTAAAGACACAAATAGGGTAAAAATAGAAGGATGGAAAAAGATATACCATGCTAACACTAATCAAGAGAAGGCTGGAGTGGCTATATTAATAGCTGACAAAATAGATTGTTATCAGGAAGATTTTGTAAAGATAGATGGGTCAATTCATCAGGATACCTTATAATCCTGAATATGTACCTATTTATAGAGCTTCAAAATACATGAGACAAAAATTAATAAAACTGCAAGGAAAAATAGAGAAATCCACAATTATAGTCAGAGATTTTGATATTCCTCTCTTGAGAATTGATAGAACAATAGAAAAAAAAAACAGTAAGGATATGCACGACTTGAACAACACTGTCAACTTGATCTAATTGACATTTGCACAGTAATCTCCCAAACAACAGCAGAATACACATTTTTTCAAGTGCAAGAGGAATATGTATGATAAAACAAGTCTCAGTAAATTTTAGAAGATTCAAGTCATGTTGTCTGACCACAATGGAATTAACTTAGAAGTAAGTATTATAAAGATATCTGAAAAGTACTGCATTATTTGGAAATGAAATAAGACATTTCTAAATAGCCCGTAAGTCAAAGAAGTCAAAAGGGAAATTAGAAAGTATTTTGAATGGAATGAAAATAAAGAGAAATACATCAAAATTTGTGAGATGCTGCTAGAGCAATATTTAGAGGGAAATTCAGTCTAAAAGAGTATTGCTCCATTAGAATAGAAGTGTCTCAAATCAACTTGCACTTTAAAAACAAGAAAGAGAAATTCAAAGTAAAGGAAATAAATGTCACAATAGAAATCAATGAAATAGAAACAGGAAAAACAATAGAGAAAATTGATGAAACCAAAAGCTTGTTTGTTGAGAAGATTGATAAAAATAATAAAGCTCTATCCAGGTTGATGAAGAAAAAGAAGAGTAGAAAAGATACAAATTATAAATATCAGGAATGAGGAAGGTGATATCACTAAAGATGCTATAGATTACAATGATAATACGGGAAGATTATAAATCACTGCATACCAATACATTTGACAACTTAGATGATGTGGAAAATTCCTTGAAAAACACAAACAACAAAAGGAAACAGAAAATATCAGTAATTCTATATCTATTTTAAAAATCAATTTGTAGTAAAATACCTTCTCTATAAGAAGCTTCATGTCCAGTTGACTTTCCTGATGAATTCTATGAAACTTTTAAGAAAAAGTAATATTAATTCTACAAATCTCTTGCAGAAAATTGAATAGGAGAGAATACTTCTCAATTCATTTTATAAGGCCAGCATTATGTATAAGGCCAGACAAAGACATTCAAGAAATGAAGCTGTGTTAGTTCATTCTCATACTGCTAGAAAGAAATACCTGAGACTGGGTAATTTATAAAGAAAAGAGCTTTAATTGGCTTATAGTTCCAATGAGCCAAGTAAACAGTTCCAAAGAGGCTGGACAGGAAGCGCAATCCTAGCATCTGCTTTGCTTCTGAGGAGGCCTCAGGAAACTTACAATCATGGCTCAAGGTGAAGCGGGGAGCCAGCACTTCACATGGCTGGAGTAGGAGGAAGAGAGAGCGGGAAGGTGCTACACATTTTTAAACAACCAGTTCTCTTGATAACTCTATCAAATTAACTAAGATGACGGTGCTAACCATTCATGAAGGACCCACCCCTGTGATCCAGTCATCTTCCACCAGGCCCTACCTCCAACACTGGGGATTACAATTCAACACGAGATTTGGGTGGGGACATAGATCTGAAGCATATCCGAAGCCTACAAATCAGTATCACTCATGAACCCTAGTGCCAAATTTCGTTACACTTTTTAGCAAGTCATATCCAATAATGTGTAAAAAAATTTTTTTACATATTGATGATGAGGTGGAATGTATCCCAGTAATGCAGGGCTCATTTAACATTGAAAAAAAATCAATTTAAATGACAGTGTTTTTAGAAGTTTAAAAATTAAATCATCTGGTCATTTCAATAGATGCAATAAGAACATTTTACAAAATCCAACAGCTATAACTGATAAAAACTCTTAGCAAACTAGGAATAGATGGGAACTTCCACAGCTCAATAAAGGACACATATGAAAAACCTATAGTTAACATGATTTTTATGGTGAAAGACTGAATGTTTTCTCCAATGATCAGGAACAAGGCCAGATGTCCTCTCTATCTTTCATTAAACATTGAACTGGAGATTGTAATCACTGGAATAAAGCAAGGAAAAGAAAGAAGACAAACCCAGATTAGAAAGGCAAACTATTTTTATTCTCAGATGCCATGTTCGTCCGTATAGGAAACAAGAGGGACTCCTCAAAGAAGCTTCTTGAACTAATAGATGAATTTAGCAAACTTCAGGATACAAAATCACTTCAAATAAAAAGTATTTCTATTTTAATATATTATCAACAAGCACATATAGGGCAAGCTTTTTTTTTTTTTTACAAAGATGCAAAGGCAATTAAGGCAATTCAGTGGAGAAAGAATATTTTTTTAAATAAATAAAGCTAGAACAATTGGATGTTTAAATGCAACAAAATGAAATTTGATCCATATCTCACAGCATATACAAAAATTAACCCAAAATTGGTCAATACCTAAATGTAAAACCTAAAATTATAAAAATATATAAGCAAACATGGGAGAAAATCTTTGTGACCTTCAGTTAGTCAAGTATTTCTTAGATACGATACCAAATGCTCAATCAATAAAAGAACAGATGGATAAACTGGAGATAATAAAATTAAAACATTATCTTCACTAAAATATTTCTAAGGGTAAGCAAACTATTTTATGTACGTACAATAGAATATTATTCAGCCATAAGAAAGATTGAAGTTTTAATATGTGGTGCACCGTGGGTGAACCTTGAAAATGTTATTCTAAGTGAAATAAGCCAGAAGCAAAAGGTTAAATACTGTATAATTTCACATACCTGAAATATTTAGAATAGGCAAATTTATAGAAAATAAAGTAAATTAGGCCAGGCGCGATGGCTCACACCTTTAATCCCCGCACTTTGGAAGGCCGAGGTGGGTGGATCACCTGAGGTCGGGAGTTCGAGACCAGCCTGACCAACATGAAGAAACCCCACCTCTACTAAAAGTACAAAATTAGCCAAGCGTGGTGGCACATGCCTGTAATCCCTGCTACTCGGGAGGCTGAGGCAGGAGAATCGCTTGAACCCGGGAGGTGGAGGTTGTAGTGAGCCGAGATGGTGCCATTGCACTCCAGCCTGGGCAACAAGAGTGAAACTCCATCTCAAAAAAAAAAAAAGAAAAAGAAAAAAAGAAAAGAAAGTAAATTAGAGCTTACCAGGAGCTGGAGGGAATGGAGAATAGGGAGTTATTGCTTGATGGTTACAGAATTTCTGTTTGAGGTGATGAAAAAGTTTTGGAAATAGTGGTAATGGTCACGTAATATTGCAAATCTATTTAATGCCATTCACTTGTACACATAAAAATAGTGAAAATAGCAAATTTTATGATATATATTTTTTACCACCATCTTAAAAAAGACTATTAACAGAATGAAAAGACAGTGGGCCATGGTAGCTTGAACCTAGAATCCCAGCTACTCTGAACACTAAGGCTGAAGGGTCACTTGAGGGCAGGAGTTTGAGACCAGCCTGGGCAGCATAGTGAAACCATGTCTCATATTTTTTTTAAAAAGGAGAATGAAAAGACAGGTTACAGATGAAGAGAAAATATTAGCATATTGTATGTTGATAAAGGACTTGCGTCAGAATATATAAAGAACTCTCAAAACTTCATAATAAAATAATCCATTAGCAAAAATGGGAAAAAGATTTGGACACTTCATCAAAAACAATATATGGACAGCAAATAAGCATATAAGATGCTCCACATCATTAGATATTAGGGAAATGCAAATCAAAAACCACAATACACTACCACTTCACACGTATTAGAATTGCTAAAATTAGAAAGGAAAACCATACAAAATATGGGCGAGGATGAACTGGAGTTCTCATAAACTGCTAATGCAGTTTGGCAGTGACTTCAAAAGTTAAACACTTACTGTATGGCTCAACCATTCCACTCCTAGGTATTATCCCATAAGAAAAGGAAATATATGTCCATATATACATAGACTTGTATACAAATGTTTATAGCAGCTTTGTTTGCAATAGTCAAGCACTGGAAAGAACACAGACATTATCAACAGGTGAATGGATAAGCAAATTGTGATATACCTATGCAATGGACTGTTACAATAAAGATGAATGAACTATTGATAATATGCTCAATTAGGGTGACTCTCAAAATCATTATGCTGAGTGAAAGAAGCCAGATGAAGAGTACATATGTATTATTTCATTTATATTCTCTAAACTCCAGAGAATACAAACTAACCTGTTATGATTGAAAGCAATCCATAGTTGCCTGTGGATTGGAGGGAGAAGTGCTGGCAGGGGTGGAAGGGAGGGTTACAAATGGGAACCTTTGGGGAGTGATAGATATGTTCATTATCTTCATTGTGGCCATGGCTTCCTGGGTATACATATGCCTAACCTTATCAGATTGTACCTTTCAAATACGTGGCATTTATTATATGTTGCTTGTACCTAATGAAAATGTCTAAAACAATTTAAGAGTACAAAATAAAACTGTAACTTTAGTACTCAAATAATGCTACGATTCTTTGCCCTATTACTTTTAAGACTTCTGGGAAATAGTCTAGAAATGTGCAGTGCCCTCTCTCTAATTTTCACATTAATATATTACAGAAATGAGATATGATAGCCACAGAGATTCCAGATCTCTGAAATTATACCAGTACATTTTCCTCATTTTGAAAAATTGCAGTACCATTTTTTTCACTTTGTAACAATCCCCGTAATATTAAATTGGATGTTATCTTACTACCTGTTTATGTGACTGTGGACTGGCACATAAACAGGTGATAAATTTTTCTGTAGCTCCACTTTGCAATTTCCTTTACTCGGGTGCCCTTCTACTTCACATTCACACAATAGGGATGTTTCCTTCATAGCCCACATTATCAACCATACGAGGCTGAGCTCCTGGCGCAGTTGCTGACAGCTTTATTCAATAACCTATTCATACCTACCTGGTGTTTCTCATTTTTCACAGTTTTCATTTATTTAAGCTTTCTTACAACTTTATTCCTTTATTGTGTGATTCCTTTATTCCTTTATTGTGTGATTCCTTTATTCCTTTATTGTGTGATTCAGACCCTAAGATGGAAATCTACTTCTAATTTTCATTGACTTTCCAGATCTAAGGTCAAATTATTTTAAAACCTTTTGTATTATTCACTTTCACAGTATTTGGGTTACACTTTCATTTTAATGCATGAGCTACTTTAGGAAAAACGATAATTTTCTATAACTATTTTGTATGTGCTCTTTAAAAATATATAATATGTGTTGTGTATCATATATAATATAAATAATACATATGCTGGCTCATAGGAGTTCAATACAGAGATTTTACCTTCTTCCTTCCCCTTGCCTTTACTGTAGCTCCTGCCACTCCCATCCCTCACCTGCTGTACTGTTGCAGTTTCTCAATTGGTTTTACTGGGTCGAATTTCTCCTACTTCTAATCCAATTCTAACCAGAGTGAGCATGTTAAAATATAAGCATGTCACAGTACTGCAGAGGATCCTTCCCCAATTCCATGTTGCTTTGATAAAAGCATCCAGACAACTCCACATGACTTATGTGAGGTCCAGTGTGCCCTGGCACTACTTTATCTCACTTGCTCTGTTTCCTTTCTCATGCTTGACTCTTTCTACATTGAAATTCTTTCAGGTCTTTGTCACAGATATTGATTCCTATGCCTGGGATCACTTTTCCTCACCTCACATGATTCTCATGTATCCTTTGTGTGTCAGCTTTTGCATTATGTTCCCTGAGAAAAATTAGCCAGCCATGGTGGTAGGTGCCTGTAATCCCAGCTACTCAGGAAGGTGAGGCAGGAGAATCGCATGAACCCAAGAGATGGAGGTTGCAGTGAGCCAAGGGTGTACCACTGTGTTCCAGCCTGGGCAACAAGAGTGACACTTCATCTCAAAAAATAAAAAAAAAAAGAAGCCTTTCTTTCCCCAAGCTGAGTGTGATGCTTTGCCTTTGTGCATTGCGAAACATCCTGTATTCCTCCTGTCAGATCCTTTAGATTTATTGCATTATGTAGTTGAAAAATATATGCTTCAAATACTCCTGAAGCAAGATTTAACTAAAGCCATTTGGCACATAGAAGTGTTGTTGATATTCTAACCAAGTAAATCTTTGTGTAATGTCTTAGATAATCTGAGTACTACAAGAGATTTGTTGAGAATTATACACAAGTAGCATCCTTTCTTTGATTCTTGGTGATGTGGTTTGGCTGTGTCCCCACCCCAATCTCATCTTGAATTGTAGTTCCCTGTAATCCCCACATGTCATGGGAGGCACCTGGTTGGAGCTATTATAATTTAAACATGGGGCTGTTACCCTCATGCTGTTCTCGTGATAGTGAGTGAGTTCTCATGAGATCTGATGGTTTTTTAAGGGGCTTTTTTCCCTTTTGCTCTGCACTTTTCCTTGCTGCTGCCATGTGAAGAAGGACGTGTTTGCTTCCCCTTCCGCCATGATTGTAAGTTTCCTGAGGCCTCCCCAGTCCCATGGAACTGTGAGTTAATTAAACCTCTTACCTTTATATATTATCCAGTCTTAGGTATGTCTTTATTAGCAGCATGAGAATGGACTAATACACTTGTCTTCCTTACAAGCCACACAAATGAGGCTCCTAACCCAAAATAAACTGCTGAAGGAAAGGAGTTGTCATGAGAACTTTCCAGATAAAAGAGTGTATTTTTATAAGGAATTTGTAGCTGTTGCGCATTGTGTTTTCTTCTTCTTCTTCTTCTTTTTTTTTTTTTTTTTTGAGTTGGAGTTTCGCTCTTGTTGCCCAGGATGGAATGCAATGGCACCATCTCAGCTCACTGCAACTGCCGCCTCCTAGGTTCAAGCAATTCTCCTGTCTTAGCCTCCTGAGTAGCTGAGATTACAGGCATGTGCCACCATGCCTGGCTAATTGTTTGTATTTTTAGTAGAGATGAGGTTTCTCCATGTTGGTCAGGCTGATCTCAAACTCCTGACATCAGATGATCCGCCAAAGTGCTGGGATTACAGGCGTGAGCCACTGCTCCCGGCCTGTGTTTTCTTCTTGACGTTAACTGCACCAGCATAATTATTTTAGAATTCATTATACCTAACATTAGAACATACCATATAGTCTGCTGCCACTTACATAGAAGATTATGATAGCAGCACAGCTTCTCTCATAACTTGTCATTTCCTGGTACTTGCTCCCAGGTTATTGACCTGTGATTAACAAATAAGGCTAGAACAATTGGATGTTTAAATGCAATACAATGAAATAACAAAATCTGCTAAAAAGGGCATGAGATATGATCATCTCCTGAAGACTTAATCATTAGTAATAATAGTAATGGTAGCAACAATAAAAAACCCAAACCAATTGTTTATGATTGCCTCATTCTTTGTGTTACTGGGCTAGCCAAGTATTAAGACAACTAGTCTACCTGACCATTCTTTATGAGTGTACAGATTCCTCACATTGGTTTTGTAGGTGTGCATTTCTCCAGGTAAAGGAACAGAATTCAAATATGTCATATAAAAAGATTTTTTCATATAGCCAACCTTCAAATTATTAATGTGACAGTCTGAAACCATTTTTCAGCCTTTTCCATCCTCTCCCCAATATCCTTTTATTGGACTGCTTTGGGGAAGTAGAAACAGATGACAGCTGTGAATTTCCAAAATAGTCCCCATTAATTTCTCCACTGTTTACCAGTGGGAATGAACTTGGAACCTTGAACTTGTCCACCCGTTAATGTGGGATCTTGCCATTTGAATATTCAATTGGAAATGATGATAATTTTTATCATGAAACATCTGATTTCATACCTTGTAAACCAAAAAGTGGAACAGTAGACTGTCATCCACCCAGTGAAATCTCCTAAATGACAATGAGAATTTTTTTTAATTTTTTTATTATTTCAATATGCAGGATCAGTCATAATGCTGGAATCTATTTCATCACAGTATGTGTGTGTTTGTTGTGTTATGAACCTAAGACTTCAAGTTGTAGAATTCAACATTTAGTAATATCTCTGAGAAATTTTTAAATTATTGGTTATATTTTATGAAAAGTTTAAAGCAAACATTTTTATCATTGAAGAATTTTAAACCAATAAGCAAATATGATACCTGAGCATCACTTTGGTGAATTTTGGAGTTTTACTTTCAATCTTTTGCCTTTTCTCCATGATGGGAAGGCTTTCTTTTAGGGGATATAACAGGAGAGTAAACGGGCATTCACACTTGTGATTTAGTTTTTTTTGTTGTTGTTGTTATCTGATAGACAGATATTGGATATTGCTACCACTAGGAATAAGAATGCCTTCCTGGCAAAACAGAAATGATAAAGCACAACTCCTTTTCAATTCTGTTACCAAAGTATTTCCTAGTTTTGAGGGGGGGGAAAAACACAGATTCAGAACCTAAAGATATGATATTGCTGTCTATAAGAACGGAACTATATGAAGGAAGTTCTTTCCAGGACACGTAACTTCAGGACTTCTGGTACAAATTGAGAAACTTCTGGGCAAATACAATCTATAGAACTTATAACAGTTTTTATCTTGCTACTGTTGTTGTTTGCGACAGCATACCATGAGGGTCTTCTTTTCCTGTCTCTCACCAAATTCATATCCCTCAAGTATCTCTTACAAGGAAGGAAAGTGAAAATAAAATTATTTACACTTTTCAAACAGCCTCTTGAAAGTTTTCTAACTTTTGACCAAGTTCACCTCCTTCTTCCCTACTGAAAGTCTTGAGATATTAATTTCCCTACTCAAACGTCACAAACCCCACTTCCTTCAGTATCTACAAATCAGTTCTGGAAGGGAGTCTTGGGTTATACTCATGTATTTTAAAAATCTTGTCATTTTGATACATTAAGGAAACCGGTGTGGTTGTTCCCAGTTTCTGGCTGGTAAGCACTCTCCTGTTTGCTTCTTTTAGAACAGTTCTTTTAAGTGCTTGTCTTACTATTTCTCCCCCATGATGCTGGCAACATTCATTGCTACTTACAGAAAGAAGACACAAAGGATGAATGATCCATTAACCAAACCTACCTAAAGAGGTTCAAATTGAGGTATGGATTACATTTTGATGGGCAAAGGCGTACTCTGTAAGTTGAGGATTATATAGTAACCCAGACCTTAATCTTCAGACACTCCAAAGTCTTTGGAAAATAAGCCTTATTTCTGAGAGTGTGATGTGCCTCAATTAGGAAAAGAGCTGTGGGAGAAGAGTGAATACAGACTCCAGATAGCCTGATTTGAAGGAGGCTTGCCTGTTAGCGTAAAGGCCAGGGGCAGCTAAGCAGGTGCAAACACAGCTGGTGATCCAGACCTTCTAGGAACACACAGGCTGTTAGGCTGTGCATTTTCTATAAAAGCGCTTTGTGCTTTGTTCACTTTATTGAAAATCATTATTCTCGACATTTTTACTTCTGTAAAAGAAATATGTATCTTATTAAGAGTTATAAAAAGTACTTGGATTTTTAAATATATTTCTAAAAAAAATTTAGTCAATCATAACCTATATTGGTGAGGTTTACCTTAGGGAAAGACTCTCAGGAAAAGATAGAAAAATAACTTATGAACTCTTTGCAAGCAGGAGAATATGATTGTTAAAAATCTATATGGGCCTAATATTTATACAACTCGAAATGATTAAATTTTTTAAAAAAATTTCTTCATCTGTCCTTCATTTCTGAAATGATTAAAACCTTTAAAAAAATAAGATTTAGAAAGAATCATGAACTTAAACTACTTTGCTCAATTAGGAATATTACAACTTTAGTAAAAGCTAAAACATTTTGATTCATTTCAGAAGACTAATTCAACTCTTATTTCACATATAATGAATGAGACATTTATTGGTTATAAAGCTTTTCACTTTTTGTTTCCTTACTTATCCAGAGAAGAGGATGGGAATACCAAATATGTTTTGAAACCATTTCATCCAAAGCTGGCTGGAAATGTTTCTCTTTTTCTTTGTTCAATGATAGGTAAAACACTGTAACTTTAGAGCACTGTGATCACATTAGTGACATCAGCTTAAACTTAGGGACTAGGGAGAGATGAAGGAATTGTAGTTGTATTTCACAAGAAGTCCAGAGTAGAGAAACAACTCATTATTTGCCATTTTTTTCACATCTAAAAGTGTTCTCTTTCATAAGCAAGATTGGGGTCAGGACAAAAGGGAGTGCAGCCTGTTCTGGGTTTTGTTGAAGCTGTCTCCAGAAGCTAAGTAGATGGACTGGTACAGCCCACATTTGAAATGTAGACTGATTCACCTACTTACTAATTGGGAAGCTAAATCCATGCCCTAACCATTTCTTAAAAAATAAATATTATAAAATAAAATAAGGAAAACATTACTGAAACGTTTAAGGAAGGTGAATCTGTGGAATCTGTATTCTGATCATTGGGCAGCAATATTTGTGTATCACTAAACATTACACCCATTTCCCACCTTTATCTCCCAGGCAGCTCAGGATGAATGGGATTCTTTACATGCTGTAAAGTCGGCAAGGCTGTTTGGTCACAGCAGAAATTTCATGTTAATGCCAAAGATTACTAGAGTAGAAGATAGGAAAGGCAAAGCTGTTTAATTTTGTCAAAGATAAGACAATATTGTGAGGTTTCTGTGACTGAATCAGATATTGTATTTTATAAATGAAGAAAATGCACAACCGCTATTGGGAGCTTCAAGGAATTCTGCTTTAATGAGGGGCCTTGCCGATCTTTATCATTTAAAGTGGATGATAATCTTTAGGGGCTGCACACATTCAAGCTGACATTCTCTTCCACCCTACTTTTAATATGCAGCTTTTACTTCCCCCAGACGCTACTTGCATTGTTAGGAGATTTCTGGATAAAATGTACATAAGTCTGTTAAAAATAAGGGAGTAAGAGAAAAGTTAGACATGGCCAATTCCTTTTACTCAGATTTTAGTTATATGGCATTCTGGAAAAAAAAAAAAAAAAAAAGACCAAAAAAACTTTACCCTTTAAAAAAAAATCTTATTTTAGGAATCAGAGCATACTTCTAGGCAATCATTTCATTTTGAATCTATTATATTCCATTTGTTCTTTAAGTTCATTGAATATTTAAAAATCCCTGCAGCATTTTTTTCAAATCCCATGTAAAGAATTAGCAGCTAATTTGGCATACTACAGTATTCATAAGATAAAATATGTAAGTAAGATTGACCAGGACTTACTTGTTTATTTCATGCATTCATTTATTTTACCAGGACAGGGTGGGAGTGGGATGGTGGAGTGGGAAGAGTAGATGTGGGGTTTGTTTGGTTTTGTTTTAATTTGGGCTTATCTTAGAAGATGTGAAATGCCTTGTTTTGATGCAGATCTGTCTGTGGATTGGGTGCTAGGACACAAGACTAACACTCTTTCTCTCCCCACATAATGCTCTAAATCTTGCAACAATACTGACTCAATGACTTCAAATCCCATGCTCCTTTCTTCCTTTCTTTCGCTTTCTAAACATGTTTGTGTTATGAATCATACTCAGACACAGGGCCCATTTGATGGCTGGGGCTGGGTCTCCTTGTCACCACCCCAGTCAATTGGAATGCAGCCCACAAAGTCGCCCCTGCCCCGGCCCAGGAGCTCCGCCTGGCTGGGTGAGTTCATTGATGTGCTGAATATCACAAAGACTTAATTCTGTGCTGAAAGGTTAAAAAGAAGCGGGGAGGGGAAAGAAGAGAGGAATAAAGATGAGGTCCGTGGAGAATGGTTAATTCAGCTAATGAATTTTTGCAGAATGGCTAACAAGGAAGAATTTTGCTTAAGGAAAATTGGTCCTTGATGTGACTCCTTCCCTCCGTCTCTTTTGCCTTTTGAGCGGGTGGAAAGTTAGAGGAGCTGTTAGTTAAATGACAGAGGGAAATAGAAAGATGTATTTTCAAAAGGCAAAACAAAAACTACCACTTTGGCTTCCAATTCATGCTTTGAGGAATGTCAGCTTCTCACAGCGTTGCTCCGGCCGCCCCTGCCCCATTTAATATTATGCAGCTGGTGTGACCTAATTTAGCCTCTGGGGGCACCCAAGTCAGAGCAGTTGAGGGCTTCACACAGATTCTTCTGCAACATGTCTGTTAACCAACAGTGCCTTTGGGAAAAAGCTTGGGTAGTTAGTCTTTTTGGTAGAGTCCAGTCCTGTCCTGTTTCAAGAGGGATATGAATAAGGCAGGATGATTCCAAAGAAGAGAAAAGACACTGGACACTGGTAAGAAGTGTAATAAAAGCAACTTGGCCTATCCCACCTTTGTTTCTTCCTGGAGTTAAGAGGAGTCTCCCTACACCTTCGGGCTCTTCTAAACTTGGAATAACCTAAATGTATCGGCAGGCTAGAAGAAATCTGCAGATGACATTTTAAAACAAAAACATGTTCATGTTTAAGAAGAAAACCCTTATGTGATTGTACAAGATGTATTCATTATTCAAGTACCTGTGACAAATGTTCATATGCCTATGGTAGACAAGAAGATAAAAATAGGTGCTGGGACTAGCAGAACTCAGGTTTTAACAACTTTAGGAGGAAAATTTGATTTGCATGCCATTTACAAATTTTTTCTACCACCTCTGACATCAGAATTATAAATGTTTAAAAAACTGCACAATGACTTTATAACTTTCCTGTATTTGATTTATGTTCACACAAACTGTAAAAGAGAGAAAGCTAGCACTTTCTCTTTTCTCTTGCAATTACATACTGCATTCACACATTAAGTACATGAAACTGATACCACTGTTCTCCAGCTGCAGACTTTTGACTTTATTGCCCAAATATTCAGAGGTTGTATGGAAAAGGAGCTCAAGGTAGGGGAAGGGAAAAGGCATTTTATTCTCTACCTTTTTGTCCTTTAAACTGTATGATCAAAAGTATCATTGTGTGGCACCACAGTTGGGGAAAACATAGAGTAAATGAACTGGAGAATGAATTGGCCTAATATAATGGAGTTTCATGCCTCCTCTTTTTTTTTTTTAACATATTAAGGTTCATTCATTCAACAAACATGTGCTAAGCATCTGTAATATGTCTGGCATTGTTCTCAACCCTTGGGATACATTAATGAACAAAACAGATAAACATATCAGCCCTCCTTGGGTTTATATTCTAGGGCTTGATCATTGAGTCAATAGAACCTGATTCAAATTGTTCAGATTATTTTTCCCCACATAGTCTTACTACTCTTACTCTCATCAAAGACGTCAGTTCATATTAATTTTCTTTACCATTTCTGTTGCAATTTACATTTGCTCAGTACTCTAACTTCAGTCGTTACCCAAGGAGACTGCATAATCTCATTTCTTGGACATTTCTTCATTTCACATCCATTCTGTCATTATACACTTGCTATGGACAGAGAATCTAGGGGTGATGTCTGAAGGACCTTTCTAGTCCTGATTCTGCAAATATCTAAGCATCAAATGTCTACTCAAGGTAGGTAAGTATTGTTTTCTTTCTTTCTTCGTAATGTATTGAACAAAGTTCAAGGAGGCAAACTGGCTGCAAATGAGAAAGGCTTGAAAAGTGTCAAGGTTTAGACTTCTCACTTTGAATTCAGCACTGAGACTATGAAGCTTTGCTGCTTGTTGTATTTATTCTCCCATTCATTTATGCATTTATTAATCCTTCATCCAGTACACCTTCGGTTACTGCAAAACTATGAGCCAGACACTGCCCCAGCTGCCAAGGGGAGCAAAGATATGCCAGAAAGCCACTGCCCCCTGGAGTTCAGTCTGGTGGGGCACCGGGATGCTTCTTTGCAAGCACAGTTCTTAATTTCAATTCATGAAGGACTTAAGTGTTTCTTCAGCTTGCTTTTGTTTTTTGTTTTTTTTTTTTTCAGTATTTTTATGGCAAGCTGTCTTTGCCAGCAGAGGAATACACTATTAACATGTTGAACACAGACCTGAGTTCTTCCACATGTGCGTATGCATACACATGCATGTGCATACACATGCACAAAAATTTGTTTTTCCTCAACTTTGCTGAACTACTTTTCCTTCAGTTATCGGCTGAGGCAATATAGTAGTATGCAAGCTTTTCAGAAATCCAACGGGATTCATGCCCAGCTGAGTTATTTCACTCTGCGTTCTGTGTCAGTTCCTGGAAATTAACAATAGAGCATTTCACTTTGGTCTTTGATCCCACCAGCTCAGTCATGGTATTTTTCCAGATGTTTCCGTCTTAGGTTGCTATTACAAAAAAGCACAGCACAAGTTAAACTAGGACAAGTTGGCCTGTCCTGGGGTCTGAGGAATGTGTTTTCCACCAAATAAACTGGTCATGTGCCACAGACGGGTTAGAAAGGGAAACTCAGACTTTATAATCAGAGTGATCCTTTTCATTGTGTGTTTAGGAAAAAGTACCATGTCCACCCCCAGTAATTTGACTCAAGACCCTGTAGCTTCTCAAAGACATTGATTTGGCCTGGTTCTAGTAAAAATGATTTGTGTTTTGAAATAAGTTACCATGCTATTTTCTCTCAGGTTAATTTACCCTAGCCTGTATAATACTCTTAGGGGTCTAAATGCCAACAGGCATAGGAAAAAACCTCAGTTGCCAGTAATTATATCATTTAGGTGGTTGGGCAGAGATAAGACAAATAATTGGTGTTATCATGCCTTCTATCCAAGTTTTGTAAGCAAGAATTTCATAGCATGTTTTAACACAAATGGCAAAAAAAATAAGCCCACAGCAGCTTGAAGCATTATATGTGAAATTTACTAAACTAGAAATAAGAAGAAGAAGTGAAAACAGTACCCCAAGAAAGTCCCAGAAGACTGATAACACCAAATGCAGGGGCCCTTGCTCTACCTCAACTCCAGCCCAAATCCACCATGAAGACTCCCTCAGTTGTCCTGAAACACATGCCCTGAAGCATAATGTGGTATTATAAAATAAATTTCCTGAAAAATGACAAGATAAGCTTCTAATGAACTGTGGCTAAAATCTGATACTGGAAAGAGGAAGATGGAAGATGGAATTAGGAAGATGTTGTGTGAATGTTGACACATATTCTCACAGCTAATGCTTATTTTATTAAGCATTTCTCATTTGGTTTGTGCTACTACTAACTCATAACATTATTTATTGAGCTTGATTTCCAAATAGGTAATATCTTTCTAAATGCTTTTATACCCTGTGATCTGGCAATTTCACCCCTCCATATAGTCCATACAAAAATGTATAGATATGTGAATGAAACGGCATATGAGAATGTTCCCAGAATTATTTTTTTGAGCAATCAAACACTGGAAATTGTCCAAATGCCTATGAACAGTAGAGTGGATAAATTGTGGTATATTCACATAATGAAATGCTATGCAGCAATGAAAATAAACCAATTCTAATTATACTCATCACTATGGATGAGTCTCGTAAACATAAATTTGAGTCAAAGAAGCCATAGCAAAAGAGTCCATAATTTATGATTCCATTTATTTAAGTACAAAGAGAGGCAAAACCAATCTATTTTGTCAGGAGGTAGGATAACCCTTGGGAAGGGGTGGTGATTAAAAAGGAATAGAAGGAAGGCTACTGGGGTGCTGGTTGATTCTTTTTAATGTTTGTAAAGTTTACATGGTGTCTTCAGCTTATGAAAATTCCTTGAGCTCTGACCTTATATGTACACTTGTCAATATGCATGTTAGAGTTTAATACACTTGTGCAAATGCAAACATATGTTCACTTATTAAAGACAGCAACACAACAGAAAAATTCATTTAAAACTTACTTAAAGAAAAAAAAAAAAAAAACTAGTCGGTTGTGATGACACACGCCTGTAGTCCCAGATACACAGGAGGTTGAGGCAGGAGGATCTCTTGAGCAGAGAGGTTGAGGCCAGCCTGGGCAACATAGTGAGACCCACCCCCCCTACCCCCAATTCCTAAAAAAAAAAAAAAAAAATCCTGAGTAGTTTCGGGTTTGACATTTAAATAAGAACATAATTTACGAATATTTTAATCTTATTTTCCTACTTTAAAGATTAGGATATTTTCCTGAGTACATATCAATGTGGATACATTTCATAGTTATTATTTGACCACAGGCTCTGAAGAATTGGCATAAAATATTGCATAATACAAGTATGTTAAATTGGATTAAAATGAATAACAAATGCTATTTTTCCTTCGTTAAATATTCCAGATTTCTTTGATTAGATATCATCTCTCCCTCTTTTGAAAGTCCACAATATGTTGTATTTCACTTAGCGATGCATATATTGTACTACTTTGTATTATGTCTAATTTTATAAACTCCTTGGGGTAGAGTTAGGGCTCGTTCATCTTTGAATCTACTGTGATATCTGCAGAAGGCAGGTGTAATATAGTGAAGATGTTAAGAGAGTGCCTACTGGTGCTAGACATGGGTTCAGGTTCCCTTGCTGCCATTTACAATTTTTTTCTTTTTTTTTTTTTGAGACGGGAGTATTGCTCTGTTGACCAGGCTGGAGTGCAATGGTGCAATCTCGGCTCACTGCAACCTCCGCCTCCCGGGTTCGAGCAGTTCTCTGCCTCAGCCTCCCGAGTAGCTGGGATTACAGGAGCCCGCCACCACACCTGGCTAATTTTTTAATTTTTAGTAGGGACAGGGTTTCACAATCTTGGCCAGGCTGGTCTTGAATTCCTGACCTCGTGATCCACCCGCCTTGGCCTCCCAAAGTGCTGGGATTACAGGCGTGAGCCACTGCACCTGGCCTACAATTTGTATAAATTTGGGGAAGTAGTCTCTCTGTACTTCAGTTTCTTCTTTATAAAATGGGAACAATTGTGGCATCTGCCTCTTAATGTTGTGAAATTAATCAATCGCCAGAAAGCTCTGAGGACAGTTCCCAAAACATAGTTAGTTCTCAAGAATTGCTAGCTGCTATTTTTAGGCATGGTAGTATAATTAAGATTCCTGCTGTGATTCCTGAATGAGAAAAAGAAAAGAAAAAAATTAGAAAGACTTAGAAGTAGTGGTCAGTCAAAAGTCATATGTAAAAATCTAAAATTGCTTGGTAAAATTTCTGTCTGCTAATTCCCCAATACAATTTTTTTCTCAAATGTTCTTCAAATAAAGTGCACTGATCATTTATAGTTGAATATTTTCAAAGTGTTCTAAATCAGTCTGGTCATAAACAATTACTAGATTATTTCTTGTAAGTATCGATAGTCTCCTGATTCAGTTAGGTAGGTGGGACCATGGTAATAAATAGACCTAAAAATGTATAACGGTTGAAACACGGTAAAAGTTTATTTCTAGCTCACATTACAGCCCAAGTAGATATTACCAGTCAGCTTCCATATGATGATTCAAGAATCCAGGTTCTATTGATAGGTATACCATCCCCTAAGTCTCTTCTAATACTTATGTCCCACAGAAGTGAAAGAGAGTATGGGAAGCTGTATCCATCTACTTCTTAAAAGCCATGATGAGAAACAGCACACATCACTTACTCCCATATTCCTTAGCTAGATTTCACTTAATGGCCACATCCCACTGAAGAGACACTGGGAAATACAGTTTAAGTATGTGCCTCAGAAGGAGAAATTGAATTTTGTAAATAGCTGGCAGTGCTTGTCATTATTTAGAGGTAGGCAAGGGCTATAGTTCTACTTCCCGACAATTCCATTGCAAATACAGAAGCATACTCATAACATTCCCACACAGATATGTCATAGCAATCAGGCCCCAGTAATCATAGCGCCTTTTCTGAAGCTCATGAAAGTCCCAGGTCTCTGTCCCTGTAGGTGCTTCAATCACAGCTGATATGAAAGGGTCCTCGTGAGATAAACACAACACTATTATAAGGGCAGGACTTGGTTAAGCTTAGAGAAGGAATAAGGCAACCGAAGTCCTGTGAATCATGCTTGGATATACCACTATTTTGGAATCAAGTTCAGCAACCATTTCAAAAAGCACCTCACTTCCAAAAAGTGGCTCACCTCCTTAGCTCCCTGGATTATTCTAGTGTTACACATAAAAGGGAAGAATGTCTTTAGATTCTATCCAAATCCACATATATTGAGCACCAATAATTTTACTAACAAAAACCCCCACCTCTTATACCCGTTTTGCCAATTAGAAAAACTTCTCAGGTTGGTGTGGACATAAAAATAAGGAAAGCAGATCTGTAGCAGCCACCCTGGAGTGTGGCCTTTTGATGAAATATTAGCAACTACAGTTGATGTGCATATTCGTACATAGAGCAACTCACTGCCCCCAGGAATAAACAGGTTATTCACGCATACATATCATACTACCCGTGCAGACATGTGTTTATTATAGGCAGCAAAATATTATAAAAGGTAAATTTAGCCTTTTATTTAAATATCCCTCTGACAGAGATTGTCACTAAGGAAGGCTCCCCTATAATAAACCGCTTATTTATAATACAATGGTTTAATATGTAATAATTGCTTGAAATATGGAATGTTGTCCGTAAGCCAAGCAGTTGTGTGATCAGGAAGTTGTAGATTTCTCTTTTTCCCTGCAAAGATTGATAGGGGACAATGACTTCTTGATTCAATAACCTTCGGAAAAGGAAGTAGTGAAATGTTAACATTCTTCAAAGACTTGACTTTTGAAAAGCATCCTGAAGCCACTGTGGGCTGATTGATCATCTCAGTGGGGGTGTCCTCTGGGAGGTTTTGTACAAAATACTCCTGGATTGTGCAATAAGGAGCTGCATTTCTCCAGAACATGAGAAATATCTGTTGTGAATGTTATTCATACATTTTTTTTGGATACTCAAAAATTCCTGTTTTTCGTGACTGTCTTTTGTTGGTTTTGTCATTGTTGGTGGGATGGGGAGAAAGAGGATCTGTTTCTCTGAAATGATATTTGAAGTATGTGTTTAGATCCTAGATGGAGAGTTCACTTCTAAGTTGTGTAATAACATTGTTTTCAAGTTTAGTGGTGGTGTTCCATGGGGATACTGGAGACCACCCTACTTGTGCTTGGGGGCTGCTATCTTCATTCATTGTGGTTTTCACCATGGCAATGGGAATAGAATTTTCAGCTCTCTGAGCTCTTCTGCATTCTTAAGTAAGCTTGCATAATACTGCTGAGGACAAAGCAGTTGCCTGCTGAAAGCCAAATGAATGCATAAATTTGGCCTCAAGATTTTTGAACTGTTGTGAAAGAGTTTTTGTGTCTTAGGTTTCTTTTTTTCTTTCAAATCACCACTAGCAAATTTTTTCTTCAGATGATATCTTTGTTATCCAAAATCTGATGTATAATGAAGGTAGGTAGACAATTTTAACACATGATTTACAAATGAGTTGCAGAGGCTAGGTAAGTCTTTTAAGAGTTTTTATATTAAGTGAAAGCTCCCCTTTTAAACATTTGTCTGGGATTTTGTGCTGGGCATGATCCAACAAAAGATTATTGCTTCTGTAACAAAAATGATAAACTCTGTAGAAGTTGGCTTAGAGATCTTGCCATATTGTTGAATAGCATTGAATGCTATTGAATTATTCTTTTTCTAGATGACTGAGCTAAAAGGAAGCTATTGTTACAGAACAATTTATTTTGGAATTGTTTCTTTTCCTTTTCTTTCTTCCTTTCCTTTCCTGTCTCACATTATATCTTCCCTAACCAAATGACATTTGTAATTACTGTTACCTGAAGACATTCTGGTAAGTTTTACCCAAATAATTCAATGGTTACTTTAGGAAACATAAGAAGTAAGTGCATATATTGAACTGTCATGTCAAATTTGTGTACTGTGGAAGGCAGGCATTTGAATCAATAAGTACAGCTTGGCCCAGAGACATATAAGTCCCTGAAACCCTTCAGGGATGAGAACACTGTGACAACAAATAATGCCTATCAGTGGTGGTCATGCGTAGTATCTCAGTACATTTCAAATGTTTTTTTTGTTTTTTTGTTTTTTTTGTTTTTGAGATGGAGTCTCACTCCGTTGCCCAGGCTGGAGTGCAGTGGTGCAATCCCAGCTCACTGCAACCTCCACCTCCCAGGTTCAAGCGATTCTCCTGCCTCAGCCTCCTGAGTAGCTGGGATTACAGGCATGCATCACCACGCCCGGCTAATCTTTGTATTTTTAGTAGAGACGGGGTTTCACCATGTTGGCCAGGGTAGTCTAGAACTCCTGACCTCAAGTGATCCGCCCACCTCAGCCTCCCAAAGTGCTGGGATTACAGATGTGAGCCACCGCGTCTGGCAGTACATTTCAATTTGAGCTAGGTCTGATGACTCAGGGAATGTCTTGAAGGAAAAATTCATTTAGAAATATGAAACAAAAGGCATTTGGCGCATAGATTTAGGTGATGTCAAAGTTACCTGCTTAACGCTACAAATTCCTCATATCTTAAAGTGCACTAAGCTACTTTCCCACTATCCTGCACAAATGGACCACTACTTTGATTATTGTGATGGCTCTTTACAAAACATTCAGGTGGCTTTGGGTTGGAAAAAGCCAAAAAAGGAGTTTTTACTTTCTTAGATGACCAATATAGTCAATTAAAGAATAATAATAACAACACAAACCTCTCATTCCTTCTATTACTATTACAAATTTTGTTCTAAATTACATTTCTGGTCATGCTGCTGGAAGCTCCAAACTGGATCTGCTTTCTGTTTTGGATGTTGACAGGCAGAGTGTCATTGTGACAGAAGGCATCGGCTGTTTTCCATGGTCCGCTTATATTTGAACCTGACTTTTATTTTCAAAGGCTCAAGCCATAGCAGTTCAACAATAAGGAATAAGTGTTTGTTTTTTGTTTGGTACAAAATATAGGAAAGCACTATAATGAAAATAGAATCGGCCCAAATTATGGGAGAATGCATTGTTTATTAAGTCATTTTAGTTTCCTGTAATAAGAACTGGGAAGTCTCTGGATATTTATAATTGTCTATATGTAAGCAGTAATCCTGGAAGATCTGTGTAAGGATCAAATGAATTGCACTTAATTAAAGTGATTATACCAGGAACTTTCTAACATTGTTTTCAATTTGGGGATGAAAAGATATCTTCATTACTATGGAATAATTCCCTGGCCTTCTGGTCTGATAATCTGGGGAAAGACTTCTGCCTGCATTAGGGCAGTTAAGTTTAGTCTACAAGTTAGCCAAGATATTTCCATAAATCAAATAGCAATTTCAATTTATGTCTGACTTATTAATAAATTTACATTAAACTCAGCTATTTCTTAGCAAAATTGAGTAACTTATTCAATAGTTTTTGACACTTTGGGGAATGCATATATGTTGTATTTACTTATTTTATTTCCACTGTATTTCAAAAGGGATTTGAGATAGCTGAGTATAAACATCCTGCTTTAGACCATGTCAGGTACAAAGATGAGTAAGTAGTCTCTGGCATCCATTTTGGTTACGCTGTTATGCAGAAGGAAAGGGAAGCGTTGAACACTGTGTCCCAGACAGCGTCTGCCACCTTCCATTCATTCTCAGAAGGAAAACTCCCGTTTCTTTCCAAGATAATCCACTACTGTTTATCTGACTCTAAAATTGTTTTTTATATATTTATTGATGGCTAATTAAATGAGTCAACTTTTATAACGTGGTTCTTGAAGAAAAAAGTTGACAGGTCATAAATTCATTGTTAAAAATTATGTGCAAAGGTATATGTTCTGTGTACTTGTATATGAATGGCTCAGTTAATATTAAAGTGGAACACCCTTTTAAAAAATATTTATTAGGTAGTAGAGCATCACTTTCATAGTTCATTACATTTAACTCCTATTTATGGCTCAGATATTTTTTCCATTACAGGCAGATATCTTCTAAAGCATTTCTAAGTCATTTTCCTTAGCAAATAGCAAGTTTTGATGACATGACCTAATTCTTCCAGTTTTCAATTTCTAAGATGTTTGGCCCATGTCCCATTTGGCACTTACCTGGGAAGGATCAAGAATAGTTAGTGAAGATGTTTGTGGCTAAAAGTCTGGAAAATGGAAAACTTACTTGCTGCAGACAAATGCCTTAGCCTGCATCAAGGTGAACTTCAAACTGCAGTATGGCCAGAAGGTGGGGGTACTCAGAAGGGCTTGGTCTGGAAGAATCAGACTCTGCCCTGGGAGTTCTTTCTCAGGCAGAGTATCTATAAAAGGATTGGAGAGATTAGGAAAATCATTAATTACTTGGTCAGTACAGAATTTTTTTTAAATGGGCAGGGAACCCTTGGAATCCAATGGAGAAATTAATTATCTATGAAACTCAAATAAATTTGAATTAATACAACTGAAGCAATGAAGGATGTTAGCTCAAAGCTTCATGTGGGTTGCAAAATTCTGCCAATAGAGGAAAATTAAACAAAGATACGGCTTTAATCTAGCCATGTGTGCTGCAAGACCAGGCAAAGTCTGTAGACCCATGTTGGTTTAATGACTGTCAAACAGGGTTTCTTTGGTGTGTTGATGATGGTGGTGAGAAAAATTACCTTGGATCTCTTGCAATCTCAGAACTTACCTCTAGGCTAAAACCTGCAGTTGATACTCAACCACTCCCAGTGGTTGAACATTTGCTTGTCAGCATGACCACAAAATTGTTTCAGGTGATTCAGTAGTTTCTATAAGACTTAAAATTAAATGTACAGTGTTTAAGAGAATCACCCCATAATATTAAATGCTTTTGTATTAATAAATCTGGATGTATATGGCATTTTAATGTATGAGTATTTTCATTGAACACTGTGATTACATTAAAATGGATAATTGACTATTTTATTCAGAGTTGGGTTTTTAAGTTGAAATTTTAATGTTTTATCAAAAATATTGAACAACTTGAGATAACTTAGGATCCACCGTGTTTGTACTTTAATTTGTTGCATTTACAAGAATTACTTATGTATGTGGTAGTATTTGTTTTTACTCAAACAATTGAGGCAATTAAGGAAATTGAAAAGAAACTTTATAAATATAAGTTTAAAATTTTAAGGAATTTGATTAAATACATGAGACCAGACATTGATCAAAGATTCCCTAAAAGCAATTGTTAATATTTCCTAAATTTCAAAAGAGAATTTTAAAATATTTTAAGTTGGATTTAGAAACTTTGAGAATATTTATTTTGAAAAAAATAAATTCTAGGTAATCTTACCTGTGCACAAAAAGTCATACATTGATACTATCCTGACACAATTCTTCCTCAAATGGTGTATTGTATTACATAACAATGTAAATTGTTATGTAAAACACATCTAACACATTATTATGGTCAAGCCCCTATTGGAAAAGAGTTATCAGCCACTTTCTGTGGCACAGGACTGAGCTGGACCAGGGAGCGAAACTGTACTGTGAATCCTTATTCATTTTCTCATTCATCCCGAACTCTGGTGAGCTCAGCTACAATACAGAATAATAAATTAATGTCAGTCACACCCATGAGGACTCTTTTAATGTTACCCATTGCAAAAATACCTTGGACAAATTCCGTCCTTTGCTTTAATAGGATGAGTCCTGTGGTTAACTCAGATTTCATTTGGAAAAAGAGCTGTCTCTGCCCTCGAGCAACTCGGACTAATCTTGTGTGTCCTTCATTAGTACTTTTACCACATGCCTGTTTTCACCCTGGAGCTCCCTAGAATTTATGCGTACTCTGTCTCTGATGTGGCCTGTGAACACTACCTTAATTTGCAGCACCTGCTTTTGTTATTAGGCAAAAGTGCCTGAGAGCTTCTTTTGGTCTGTTTGTTTGTATGACAGCTTTTTGAAATTAGCAAGAACGTTTCTTGTCCCCTGCCCCCAGTCTGGGTTTCTGCTCAGAAGTTGTCTGTTCATGCTGAATGTAGGAATGGTAGTTTGTGGAGACAGCCCAGAAGATGTTTATATCGTCAAGGATTTGGGTGGAAGATAAAAATGGGAAGAGGGTAAATATTTTAGAGCACATAAACCAATCTGTTTCTTTTAGCACAGCTCTTTGATTCATCAGGCTAATCATTTAAATATTATCCCAAATGCTTGATCAAAATTAAGTAAAGATGACAGTTTTCAAAATGGAGCTCTTTCTTTCACATTTTATGAGTGAATCTGGTTTTCTGACTCAGATAAACAAAAGGCTGCTGACTTATGCAAATGTTTCATATAGCTCAGGAAGACTTGCTGGGTAATGAAATTCAAGGCTGAGACAGAAGGCAGAGTTGGGATGGATAGATAGCCTGTACTACGTGATTTATAAATTAGACCGTCCATGCTCAGTTTCACTCATTTAAGTCAAGGAGGACAGATGTCCACATATGTGTATTACTCTTTATCACCTCACACTCAATTTTATTGGTCTTTGTTTTTGTATATTCTGCATTATCCAGCTCTCTTATGTTACATATGCATTAATTATGCTTGTAAAGAGATTACAAGTTTTTTCTCTGTCACTCCACAGTACCTGTTAGAAAACTGATCACATAGTACTCAAATATTTGGTTAGTTGGCTAGTTTTAATTTGGGGGATTAAGTATCTGTGAAAAGGTAAACATTGAATTTATTGACCATTCATTTTGCACAAATACATATTGTCCTGTCCCAGGTACCGTACCAGATGCTTAGATGCTGTGATAATAAAACAGTCTAGGTCTTGGCTCTCATAGGGTACACCATCTAGGAGGCATAGGGAGGATCAGAACAAAGATGGCATAGCTAAGGATAAAATAAGAAAAAGTACAGAAAGCTATGAGATGGAGCTCATAAATGGCAGAGAAACCTAAATTAGCTGGAGTGATTGTTGAAGTCTTTGCTGGAAAAGTAACATTGAAACCAGTGGTTCCCAAACTTTGGTGCACAATGAAATCATCTAGGGAATCTTTAAAAACATTGCTTTTTAAAACTGAAGCTCCCACCTCCAGTTGTTATTATTTAATTTGTATAGGCTGTGGCCTGGGCATTGGGATTTTTGAAAGCTGTCTGGGTGATTCTAATATGTAGCAGAGTTTGAGAGCCAGTGATTTAGGCCGAGACCTGAAGAGTGAATCAGAATTGACCAGGTGAAGAATTTTGAGGGAATATAGTGTTCTTGAGTTGGAAGGACTGTACACCCAAAGGACTGAAAGAAGGCTTGCTTGTTGGATCAGGGTGAAAAATGGGGCTGTTGACTACTGACTAAACTAGTTTGGTCATGAACAACACTTAGATTGATTTTATTAGTTAGCAACTAAGAAGTTTAAAGTATTATAGGTGAGAGAAAGCCACTCCCTTATCACCTGGCTACTAGGTTATAAAACATGTAAATTTCAAACAAAATTCCATCACGTGCTTATTTAATAAGCAGCCATTAGCAAAGCAGGCACAAAGCAGTTCACACACTGTGTTCCTTGAGCTCCACAAAGTCTCAGCTCTCTATACGTCCAGGTAAGTTGACCTTGCCTTGTACAAAGGTTTACTTGAGGCAAAAACAACAGCATTTATCAGGCATGATTCCAGGCCTTCTACTTGGCCTCATAAATCAGAAATTCTCCTAAACCAATGCTGGGCACATATCCAACTAGGTATCAAGCCACAGACGCCATTTTTCTAAGAGGTACGGGATTCAAGCCTAAGGGATACATGATAACAGGCCTGGCTGGATTCTTACATGTTTATACAGTGGTGGGGGTATGTCCAACATATTTTTACCCATGCACATACTTTGAATATCTTAAACATCACCTAATGAAATTTCATTATTACATCTATCATGCTAATTAGTGAACCACTACTTTCACCAATAAAAATCTAATGTTGATGTTTATTGGCTATTGGCAAAGTTTCTGCTCTTGATCGATATAGAGATAATAAAAGGGCTTGTAGTCGCTGCCTCTGGAGTGTGGCTCTTACTGATTGAATGTTACTTTGCCACCCTAGTCTTGCCTCCTTTATAGCACGTTTCCTTGATGACTCCTGAACATGAAAGTGTAAACCAACTGGTATATGCACAATATCACATTGATTATACTGCAGTAATTTAAAGTAGATTACAGACTGTAACAGAAGAGTAATGGCCATCTCAGAGCCTGGAAAGATTGGAAAGGAGGCAATGATAAAATTCTTCTTGGGTGAGAAAGCTGACACTAATTAACTTTCTTTCTTGCCTATTTATAGAACACAAGAGCCTATAGAGAGCAAGGAAATAAGGAGGAAATGGAGAGCTGCTTGGATGTTCCCTTTTATAAACAGGCAAATTGTCTAGCTCTGTGAATGACTTGAATTGCCACTTGACAAAAGCATTGCTTCTCCCATACCTCACACAATGTATTGATCCCTGTTTTTCCCTATTTCTCAATAGATGGGAGTCTAAATATTAATCAGAAAACTTCTGATACAAGTATTAAATTATCTTGTTATCTCCCTGGGTCACTGTGTGTCCCGTTGAGGGAATTCCTTCGAGGACCCTTTGGTGCTTTTTCAGTAATTAGGTTCCATCTTTGATCAAGAGAAAATCAAAGTGAGGACTTGAGTACTGTGGGAGTCACAGCCCTAACCTCTAGCAGACTGTGAGAGCTACTTTCCCACAGCCAGTTCAAAAGACAAGGCAGGGATTTTAAAATCTGTGTTTGATTTCTTTTTGATACTGCTGGATTACATAGATTAAGCTGCTGGCTACGCCTTTATGCCATTCTCAATAGCAGAGATATTTATGAAGCCTTCTCCATTTCCAGCTACTCTTCTGCTTTTGTTGCCAGAGGATTCGTTTGCCTTCATAGCAGATCATTTTTAGGGTTGCTTTTCATGAGTCTGCATTTTCTGTGCTCTTTTATGTTACAGATGGAGCCTGTGATCCTGGTCTGTATTTGTGTTGTCAATAGAAATATAGTTTGGACTACATATGCCATTTTACATTTTCTTGGAGCTATATTTCTATATTTAAAAAAGCAAAAAGGGCCAGGCACAGTGGCTCATGCCTATAATCCTACCACTGTGGGAGGCCAGGACTGGAGGATCACTTCAGGCCAGGAGTTCAAGACCAGCTTGACCCACATAGCAAGATCCCTATCTCCACAAAAAAATTGCAAAAATACTAGCCAGGCATAGTGGTGCGTGCCTATAGTCCCAGCCACTCAGTAGGCTGAGGTGGGAGGATTGCTTGGGCCCAGGAGTTCAAGGTTACAGTGAGCCATGATTGTGCCACTGCACTCCAGCCTGGGTGACAGAGCAAGACCCCAACTCAAAAAATAATAAAATATTAATTAATTAATTTTAAAAAAGCAAAAGAAACATGAAATTAACTTACATTTTATAGAAATAAGTATATCAAAAATATTGTTGTTCTAACCTGTAATCAGTTCAAAAATATTATGAGGTATTTTACATTCTTTTTTTCTTATGGAGTCTTTGTAATTGGTGTGTATTTTCTACTTTTCCAACACATTTCAAGTTGGACTAGCCACATTTCTGTTGCTCAATATCCACATGTGGTTAGTGGTTACCATATCGGACGGTATACATCTGTCTAAAAGTACTAAGAAACCTGTTATCTAAATAACCCATTGTTCATTTTGTAAAGCACAGGCCTGGATCATTCCCTATCTTCCTAGTGGTTGTCGTGACCAAGGCACCTATTGTTGAGATGACAGGGTTAAGGGCATTACTGGGGAGCAGCTAATTGGCTTTTTGAAATTCAAATATATAAAAGTCTTGAGTCCCATGCCCTAGCCATTTTGGTTAATTGTTCACAGTGATATAAAAATGATAGAAGTAGACTAATTGCTTATGGTAGTGGAGTATTGGCAAGTTAGGAAAGGTGTGAGAATGATTAAGCGGTAGAACTCATGGTACTTTTGTGAAACCTGAATTTTAACAACTCAGAAGGAAAACACTGAGCATATGTATCTCCAAAAAGCTCATAAATACTCATGCTGCTTATCTTTCTGCTTCAGTGCCAGCCTAGTAATGACTGCTGGAAAGAACAGACACAAATGGAGGATGCCTCCCTCTCCACACCTTATTGAATCTGACAGCATGAGACAGTGAGGTCATCATTTCCCACTGTTGACTCCAAGTCTCCTTCACCTGTATCATCATGAAACTGATGAATTTCCCCTCTTAAGTGGAAACAGTGAACTCTCAGTTTTAAAGGAGAGAGACAGAGAGGGAGGAACAAACTGTACTTGTTTTCTTCCTGCCTAGCCTCTACTTTCATTGTTATGTAACAGGTTCATGCAAATGACTTTGGTGTCTGTGTGCGCATTTCTAAAAATTAAAAAAGACATTGTAAAATCACCACCCAAAGCCACGTGAAAGGATTTCAGGGGTTATGTAATTGTTGAACTTAGACTACTCAGTGTGTCTACTATGGATATTTGTAGTTGCGCTCAACATAGTCATGAGACTGGAATTTAATGTCACATAAGCTCTATAAAGGAATAGTTCAAATCACTTTTCTATATGTTAATTATAGGATGGCTTGCTCTATGGTTTCAATTATAATTTTCTATAATACTTCTTTGTTTATTTCTTTGGTGATTAAGCTTGAAAATAGTTGAAACTGGTACTTAGTAGTGAAAAGGAATGATAAAGGTTTAGAATAAACATAGTAGTTGATGCTAACAGGCATTTTGGTGCTGGGAAGATATATAAGAGTATTACTAATATTTGCCATTCTTTTTTTTTTTTTTTTTTTTTTTTTTGAGACGGAGTCTCGCTCTGTCGCCCAGGCTGGAGTGCAGTGGCGGGATCTCGGCTCACTGCAAGCTCCGCCTCCCGGGTTCACGCCATTCTCCTGCCTCAGCCTCCCAAGTAGCTGGGACTACAGGCGCCCGCCACTACGCCCGGCTAATTTTTTGTATTTTTAGTAGAGACGGGGTTTCACCGTTTTAGCCGGGATGGTCTCGATCTCCTGACCTCGTGATCCGCCCGCCTCGGCCTCCCAAAGTGCTGGGATTACAGGCGTGAGCCACCGCGCCCGGCCTTGCCATTCTTACAGTAGTCTGAAATGTCTGAAAACCATTCTGTCTAACACAGCACTGTCCAGTGGAACTGTCTGCAAATGATGAAAATGTCTCCCATCTGTGTTGACTAGTATGGAAGCCACCAGCCACATGTGGCTATTGAACATGGAAAATGGGGCTTGTATGGCTGTGAAACCAAACACCTGATTATTTTCTAGAGACTTAGATTTTGATTGAACTCACGTCAGTGTTTTTTCCAAGTTAGTATCAACAGCAAATACCAATTTGCAGTGAAGGTATGCTGAGGTGCACATTATTGCCACCCTTCATTTTAAATTTGGCTATTAATAATTTTCACCTTACTTAGGCCTGCTTTCTTGGATCAAATTTGGTTGTATGAATTTTCTTTTCTTTTTTGTTTTTGTTTTGAGACAGAGTTTTGCTCTTGTTGCCCAGGCTGGAGTGCAGTGGTGCGATCTTGGCTCACCGCAATCTCCACCTCCTGGGTTCGAGCAATTCTCCTGTGTCAGCCTCCTGAGTAGCTGGGATAACAGGCATGTGCCACCAGGTCTGGCTAACTTTGTGTTTTTAGTAGAGACGGGGTTTCTCCATATTGGTCAGGCTGGCCTCGAACTCCCAACCTCAGGTGATCCACCTGCCTCGGTCTCCCAAAGTGCTGGGATTACAGGCGTGAGCCACTGCACCTGGCCTAGTTTTATGAATTTTCTTATTTAACCCTGGCAGTCAGAGTTTTCTGATCTTGGATCCCCTTCATCTCCTTTCAGGTGCCGATGATGCCAGAATTTATCTTACCACAAATGTAAGAGGCAATATTAGTCATAACATTTTGGCTTCTCAGTGAATTTCTTTGCTTTCCACAGCGTGATCTTTATAGGACGCTATCCTTTCAAGTCCCATGCTTCTCCCTCTTCCACTAAAAAGAGTTCATAATTCTTGTCCTGATTTGCCAATTCTGCTATCCTAAATTTCCAATTAAGATACACCTACATAAGTGTTGTCATAGGAGTTTAGAAAGAGCTTGTTCAACTCTTGCTTCCAAGTTTGTCTCTTTCCTACTTATCATTTTCCTCCTCTAATAAATGCTAATTAAAATACTTTTCTTGCTGGTTTAGAGCCTTCTGTTTTAATATTCTTCTGTGTAAAGAGGCTAAATTTAGTTTTCCCTGAATTCTTCAGACCATTTTAAACAGAAATGAATATGTAAAACCACTTTAGACTGTGGTGTCTGTGTTTTCTCAACAAGATAGCTGTAAGTACTATAGAAATATGGTTATATATTTTAATAGAAGCCAGCAGAATAAACCAGATTGACCCTATGCTCTTTTGGCTTACAAACATGTATGTTGAAACTTTGAAAGCCCCTTTTATGGTGTCTGGATAACCATAGGATTTTTAAAACTTGAATTCCTGCACTAATCAGTGGCACTAGGAAGGCACTAGGAAAGACTTGGAGTTGTAGGGTAGGTTGGCCACACTTGTGTCGAATGATTATGAAACGTACTCTGCTGTTCTAGAGCAGCAAACCCTAACTTTCTGGCACCAGGGACCTGTTTTGTGGAGACAATTTTTCCATGGACAGGAGGGTGTAGTGAGGATGGTTTGGGGATGAAATTGTTCCATCTCAGATCATTAGGCATTAGATTCTCATAAGGAGTGCACAACGTAGATCCTTTGCATGCACAGTTCACAATAGGGTTTGTGCTTCTATGAGAATCTAATGCCACTGTTGATCTGACAGGATGCGGAGCTCAGGCAGTAATGCTCACTTGCCCACCGCTCCCCACCTGCTCTGCGGCCCTGTTCCTAACAGGCCAGGGACTGGTAGCGGTCTGTGGCCCAGGGGATGGGGACCCCTGTTTTAGAGGCTGGTGGCACTTGGTTAAATCCAGTAAATTTACAATATCCAAGAAGGCAAACTAGTGCCAACAAAGCTTCCAAGGCTGGTAAAATGTATCACTTCTGCAGAGTCACCTCAAGTTTGGGCTAGTGAAGACTGAAGCAGCTTACCATTGCTCTGCCCTTTGCAGAAAGGCTTTACCCTTTAGGGAGTTGAGAAATACAGGTTTCTGGAAATACATCTTTCTTACTATTTGGTAAATTAAAGGAAGATCCTCTCAAGTCAGGTCCAGAGAACTCAATGCCAGAATGTTTAATAACTTTGTTCTTCAAAGAGCTCAAAGAAATTTACTATTCTTTCTTAAATCTTCATGTAACATCCAGGAAGTTCCTTAGGAGATTTTACAATTTTTTAAAATTTTGTTTCATTGAGCTTATTCAGAAACTCAGTAGGAAAACAGGCAAAGAGAAGCAGCCCTGGTTGAAATGGAGTTTGCCTCCGAAGTCCTTCCTTCTTCTCTTTCCTTGATTATGTTGTCTCCATGTGTCCCAGCCATGCAGTCCTCGGAGGAGGGCCCACGGAACACACCCTGAAGACTGGCCAAAAGTGTCACTAAAGATGTGTGTGGTGAACAAAAGTTTGGCTGAGATGCTGCCTCCACCCTAAAACACTATGTCATTCTAATGCTGTTCAGCAGAGTTACTGCTTCTGTCTCTCTCTACACAAATGCACACAAACACACACACACACACACACAAAGTCTGACTTTCCTAGATCTCAAAATAATTCATTAGTTACGGCTCTAAATAAATGGTAATTTCAGAATAGATTGGGCCTTTCTGAGTAACCCCCCCTTTCCAACAAAAGGAAGACAACGGAAATTATTTTCTTTCCGTGGCTCCCGGAACAAGTTTCTTTCCAAAGAGCTTCTTTCCGAAGCTCCCAGAAATAGAGTTTATATGGAAATACAAACATTGGCTTCAGAATAACAGTCTGTGCATTTGGAGAGGAGAAACTCCACAATTCTAAAAACAAAAAGTGGAGAACAAGTAGCCAAACCCTGAGATGCCAGAGGAAAGAGGGATATATGACCTTACTTTACCTTCGTCACGGATGACTTACAAGAATTAATTAAGTAAAAGTCGGTAAATTTCTTCAAGCTCTTTGGAGAAAGAAGCTATTTAAATATAAATTATGATCATGCAGCTTGCATCTCACATGTCAGGCATGCATGGTTAACTATGTCTGACGTGTAAGTTATGCTTCCTCCAGGTTATAGCAGTGAGGATCCTGGATCGACCTCCCTTCTTTGACACAGTGGTAAGACAGAGATTGATGGTGTTATGTGTGGCATCTGAGTCTAGGGCATGTGAGCCGTGATGTTGTGCTTGGAGAAACCAGAGCCTCTATCTATGTCTCTTCTTGGGGCCATTTTCTTAAGACATTTGAGGATGGGGTGGGAAACAGAAGTTAGTAAATTAAGAAAATCTACTTTTTTTTTTCAATTTACTTTATTAACTTATTGCCTAAGAGGGTAAAACAAATTAAATGAGAGAAGAATATATTTTTAACTAGGTGTTTTAGTTTCCTAGGGCTGGTATAAGGAAGGACCACCAATCATGAGGCTTAAAACAACAGAAATCTATTCTCTCTCAGTTCTGAGGCTACAAGTCTGAAATAAAGTTGTTGGCAGGGCCATGCTCCCTCTGAAGGTTCTAGAGAAGTTTCTCCTTGCCTCTTCCTAGCTTCTGGTTCCCCTAGGCATTCCTTGACTTAAAGCAGCGTGACTCCAAACTCTGCCTCTGTGTGTGTGTATGTATGTGTGTGTGTGTCTTCACCTGCCTGTCTTCCTGTCTTTTTTTCTTTTTGAGACAGTGTCTCATTCTGTCACCCAGGTTAAAGTGCAGTGGCATGATCACAGTTTACTGCAGCCTTGACTTATCTGGCTCAAGTGATCCTCCCACCACCTCAGCCTCCCAAGTAGCTGGGACCACAGGCACACACCACCACACTGGCTAATTTTTGTTTTTTGGAGAGATGGTGTCTTGCCATGTTGCCCGGGCCGGTCTTGAACTCCTGGGCTCAAGCAATCCTCCTGCCTTGGCCTCCTAAAGTGTTGGGATTACAGGTGTGAGCCACTGCACCCAGCCTGGCTGTCTTCTTATAAGGACACCAGTCACATCAGAGTAGTGACCTACCCTACTCCAGTATGATCTCATCTTACCTAATTACATCTGCAACAACCTTATTTCCAAATAAGTTCACATTCTGAGGTACTGGGGGTTAGGACCTCAATATACCTCTGTTTTGGAGATAGGGCGATGCAGTTTAGCCAATAACACCAGGTTAGGATAGTTTTCAAAATTATGGAGGAGCTGAACCTTGCCCTTATATACAATATCAGGTGCAGCCCCATCAGAAAGCAGGTAGAGCAGCCCCATCCTGGTGGGGGCAGCAGTGGAGGGCAACATCTCTGCTCTGCATCCCCCAAGCTCACCTTGCTCCATCCCACCTGGGCACATGTTCTTTAGACACCACAGAGACACCCCCAACACCCTGCAGAGGTTCAAGGGTCACAGCAGAAAAAGCTGCAAAACTAGATGTTCCATTGGTTTCCTTTCTGAAGTAAAACCCTATGCCTTCATAGCAGGCAGCTTTAAGGCACACAAATTGTGAAAATAGTCTGTTTATAAGGCTTGTTAGAAAGCAATCGCATTTCCTTTGTTGGTTTTAATGTAAAGGAAATAGAATCTATACTGAAAGCAAACTTCCTCCACTGTCACCTTTGCTTTGCCACCAGCAGCCATTCAGAGTTGGGTGAAAAGCCTACCACAGACTGAGGGCTGATTTTTCCCTTCTAAATGTTAACGTCCATGGAGAATGGTAGCATACAGCTCACCTTCTAGAATGTGACTTCCTCCTTTCATAAAGACTGGGAAAGTGGGAAATTCATTCTTGTAAAGACTGAAACAGAGGGAGTCACAGCCAGTCCTACCTGCTGAGCAGCACAGGGTCCACCCACAAAACCAATGACTCCACAGCAGAAACCCTGACTGAGGTCCACGGCACCTCCCGCCCGGAGTGATGGAACTCTTGGGAATAGTTTGCCCAGGCTCCGGGGAGGAATGCAGACGTCCTTATCAGTCTTTGGGAGGCTGTGATCTCCCTGGCAAGGAGAAAGAATTATATTTTTTAGATAACTAGATCCTGGAAGAGGAGGCTCTGGGAAATAGTACACAAAGCAGCCCAAGGGGAAAAGTCCTAACGATAACTCCATAAAAAGCGGCTTTAAATGGTCTCAGCTGATCCATATTTTTAGAAAATTGTTTTTACTCAGCCTGCCTGACTGTAATACTATTGCCAGAAACAGCAATGAAAGGGAGATAAACATGATGTTGTGATCTTTCTTTTTATGCCTCCCTTGAAGCCCTGGGTAGTATAAATTGTGCTTGACAACCTTTGATTAGCAGCTGCTCATTCTGCTGAAAAAAGGAGGCATTTATCTGAGACACTGTTCTCCCTTCATAAATAAGCTAGGAATTTGCAGCTGATGATAGTTTCCCTGGAGGAAGCTGGTCTGATCCACCTCTTTCACACCTCTGGACACTTCTGTTTGGAGCCCCGTGGGAAGGAGCAGTGGGGAGTCCATGGGGCCAATTGGGGAAGCCGGTGTCTCACGCTTAGGGTAGCGCTGGGTGACCTCAGAACTTTTTGAATGTGATATAGTCTGTGCCAGGCAGATCAAGTACTTTCTTCTTTTCTGTGTGACAGCGTGGTGCTGCAGAAAATGCTTTGGACCGAGCAACAAAAGATTTCATTCCATTTCTGATTCTTTTACTAACTGTGACTTTGAGCATGCCACCTAATCTCTTTGAGCTGCAGCCTAGATTCATTCTTCTAAAACTGAGCTATCCATGTACTTAAAGGGAAATGGCTCCAGATATGTGAAGCCACGAGATAAACCCAAAATATCTTCTAAGAGCATCAATTTTACTCCATCATTTTGAGGAAAGCATTTTTATATGAGAAACAAGGCTACCCATGGAGTAGAATGGAGAACTTCACAACAATTTTTCAGTAGGTACAAGGAAAACCTGTTTCAGAGAAGTACTGACTTAAGGTATGAGTTCACTACTCTTTGATTTTAGGAATATTTTCATGGCAAAGTTTGAGAAGCACTAGATTAGATCATCTTGAGGCTGCCTTTCAACTATTACATTTGAGGATTCAACCACAAACCTCTGTTATGGGCTGAGGTTTGAACTTGCCCCCCACAAGTTCAAATGTTGAAGCCCTACTCCCCAGTACCTCAGAATGTGACTATGCATAAATAGGCCTTGAAGAAGTGATTAAGTTAAAATTAGGCCATTAAGGTGGATCCTAATCTAATCTGATTGGTGTCTTTATCGCAAGAGGAAATTTGGGGCTCGGTGCAGTGGTTCACACCTGTAATCCCAACAATTTAGGAGGCTCCGGCAGGAGGATTGCTTGAGGCCAGGAGTTTGAGACCAGCCTGGGCAACTTAGCAAGACCCCATCTCTACAACACATAAAAAACTAGCTGGGTGTGGTGGCGTATGCCTGTAGTCCCAGCTATATGGGAGGCGAGGCCAGAGGATTGCTTTAGCCCAAGTAGTTCAAGGCTGCAGTGAGCTAGGATCAGGCCACTATACTCCAGCCTGGATGACACAGGGAGACTCCATCTCTATGAAAGAAAAAAGGAAAGGAAATTTGGACTTACAAAGAGACATTAGGGATGTCTGCTTAGAGAGGAAAGACCGTGTGAGGATACCGTGAAAAATGGCTATTTGCAAGCCAAGAAGAGAGGCCTCACAAGAAACCAAACTGCCCACACCTTGATCTAGGCCTTCTGAGTCTCTAGAACGAGAATAAATAAATATATGAATGAATAAATGAATGAATGAATGTTTGAGCCACCCAGTCTGTGGTGTTTTGTGATTGCAGTCTTAGCAAACATTACAGGTTCCTTTTGGCTACTACGTAAAGGCCAACTTCCTTGGCCCAGAATTAATGACCTTCTGCGAGGGTCATTGACCCCATCCTCACCATTTAGCCACCACTGTCCTCTACTCCCTGAATTCTAACTTGCTCTTGTTTTCATTTTGTGCCTCCCCATCTCCCAGCCTGTTCTCTTCACCTGAGATGACCACGTCTACTTCTCAGAATGTACTCATCCCCTAACAGCCTCCTTCCCCTCAGGTCCAGCCTAAAATGAACTGACTTATCTGGTATCTGTTGGTTTTGCTGCTAACATGACACAAATATAGCCTTGTCTTTGGGTTGTTTCTGCATTATTCTTCCTCTCAGATGCCAGAGTAAAAAGACCACTTCTTCCGTGTTTTGAATGTTTCCACAGTGAGAAGTCCCATGCTTGACACAGAGTCAAAGCCCACCAGCTCAGTGCATGAAACAGACATTAATCAGTACTGTTTTCTCTGCCAAATATATTTTAAAATATACAGTCATTCCTTATTGTCCTTGGGGGATTGGTTCCAGGACCTTTCTTAGATACCAAAATCTGCAGTTGTTCAAGTCCCTCATGTAAAATGGCACCGTATTTGCATATAACCTATGCACATTTCCTGTATACATTAAATCACCTCCAGATTACTTGTAATACCTAATATAATATAAATGCAATGTAAGTAGTTGTTATAGTATATTGTTTAGGGAATAATAACAAGGAAAAGAAGTTTGCGTGTTCAGTGTGAACGTAAATTTTTTCAAAATATTTTTGATCCACAGCTGGTTGAATCCATGGATTCAGAACTCATGGATACAGAGGGCCGATTGTATCTTATAAATATATTTTACACATATATCTTTATTATATATTATATATAACTACATAAAAAATACCTTAAAATGTATCTCGTGCTTTGATTCCTGGGTATACAACTGGTATTCAGGTTTTTGTTTGTGGAAAATTCATATTGAGATAATTAAAAGATCAGGCTGAAAATGAGTATTCCTGATTCTACCTTCTGCTAGTTCTATAATGTGAAATGCAGCATTTACTCTTTTGTTTTGTTTTGTTTTGTTTTGTTTTGAGACGGAGTTTAGCTCTTGTTGCCCAGGCTGGAGTGCAATGGGGCAATCTTGGCTCACTGCAACCTCTGCCTCCCAGGTTCAAGCGATTCTCCTGCCTTAGCCTCCCAAGTAGCTGGGATTACAGGTGCCTGCCACCATACCCTGCTAATTTTGTATTTTTAGTAGAGACAGGGTTTCACCATGTTGGCCAGGCTGGTCTCGAACTCCTGACCTCAGGTGATCCACCTGCCTTGGCCTTCCAAAGTGCTGGGATTGCAGGCATGAGCCACCGCGCCCGGCCACTTTTACCGATTTTGGAGTCTTTTTTTATTTTCATTTTACTGTGCTGGTTATGATAATCTATTTGAAAAGATATGAGTCATTGTGACCGCTTGTGGTAGTATTTTAAATACTTCTTCCTTTGTAAAATACTTTATAACCATATTTCAAGGTACGTTTTTATATCTTTTAATATTAAAAAACACTAAAGACAGATGTGATTTAAATTAAGTCAAAGTGGAAAAAAAGTATTGAACTTACTGGAAACAGAATTCTCAAGTACTTTCAAAACTTGTTTGGGACTGATCAGTACATCACAGATGGAAAAGTAAAAAGTTGCAGTTATCCTTGACATTTCAAGAGAGAAAGAAAACGGAAAGGAAAATCATGATAGCTGTCTTGAAAGAAATTGCTTCCATACTGCTGTCTGTCAGCTATTCCAGATGGTTTTACTGTTTTTTCAGTGGAAGTGATGGTATTTTAAAAAGACCTGAGGAAAATGGATGAGGTTCTTCTTTCCTGATGTCCCAGAAAAAGGATGAAGGGGAAAATATTTTTAAAGAATTGTTTCTTTTAAGTGAGTTGGCCACCTGTACCACCGTATTGATGGTGCATATCAGCAATCTTATGATACGTTCATATTCTCTAAATTTTTAGTGATGAAAAAGTTGCTATATGAGCATAAATAGTGAAAACAATATATATCCTAAGCTGAAAAGTTAGTAGAAGTTAGTAGAAATCTGTTATAAATGGCTTATATATTCTATTAAAAATGAATGATTATATATAAGGTTTGATACACACATATGTATGTATATGTCTGTATGTTTTATACACACATACACACACACACACATAAATCCTTATAATCCTTACAACATAGAGCTCTATGATATGGATTTTATTCCTTCTTAACTGATGAGGAAACATACTCAAGAGAAAGGCAAGAAAGTTGCCCATGATCACAACGCCAAAGGGGAACATAGCCACACTTTTAAGGCCACCCTTTTCATTACCATACAACGTGGCAGTAGTGTTTGTGAAATTCACAGGGTGTTTGGTTTGCTGTGGTATCAAAATCAGTAGTAAAGACCTGGATTCAAGTCTGTCCTCTAGTGTGTCAAGACAAAAATCTACGCAGTTTCATGCTTTAATTTTCTTGTTTGCAAGCTAGGGATAAGTAGTATCTGCCATCAGAGTATCTAGGACTTGAAGAAATGTGCTATATCAAGGCATGATATGCTTATTTTCATTAGTACTGAGGCTTTTCAATTGATACTTTCTGCATTACTGTTTTTGGATTGGATTCTTATTTTATTTATTTATTTATTTAGTTTTGAGACAGAGTCTCGCTCTGTCTCCCAGGCTGGAGCGCAGTGGCGCGATCTCAGCTCACTGCAACCTCCACCTTCCTGATTCAAGCAATTCCCCTGCCTCAGCCCTCCCAGAAGCTGGGATTACAGGTGCACGCCACCACGCCTGGCTAATTTTTTTGTATTTTTAGTATAGATGGGGTTTCACCATGTTGGCCAGACTGGTCTCGAACTCCTGACCTCAAGCAATCCGCCCGTCTCGGCCTCCCAAAGTGCTGGGATTACAGGTGTGAGCCTCTGCACCCGGCCTTGGATTGGATTTTTAAAAAGTTTTTATTTGTATGGATTTAGGAGTACACGTACAGTTGTGTTCCATGGTTATATGGCGTAGTGGGGAAGTCTGGTAGCCATCCCCTAAATAGTGCACATTGTACCTGACAGGTAGTATTTCGTCTCTCACCTGCTTCCCACTCTTTATTACATTGTAAAATCTTGTTTCCTTTGTTTTTTCTTTTTTAGTTTTAGAGACAGAGTCTCATTCTCTCTCCCAGGCTGGAGTGCAATGGTGCAGTCATAGCTCACTGCAGGCTTGAACCCCTGTGCTTAAGCAATCCTCCTGCCTCAGCCACCTTAGTAGTCGGGACTACAGGCATGTACCACCACGCGTGGCTAATTTTTTTTTTCTTTTTTAAGAGAAGGAGTCTTGCTGTGTTGCCCAGGCTGGTACTTTTCTTATTTATCTGTATAAGAGGCTTCAGTTAGCTCACTGTGGCAGGGCAAACTACACAGAGTCTATATAAATTTGTAGAAAGTCCTTCTTTCACTATCCAGTTCAACAAATGTAGATTTTACTACTTTTTTAAAAATATGTCTGACATCCTACTTTACTGTTGGTGTGGGGCTCCTGATTTACTTAAGACCCTTAGAAATATGTAAGAAGAGGAATTATTTCTTATCCAAACTTTTTAAAAAAAAGTTAAGTAGAAATGAATGAAGGTAGTTGGGAGTCTGTTGGTGCTTGTGCTCTTGATGTGTTGGTTAAGGGCACTCGTGGGGAGAGAGGTTTAACTCTTCCTCCTAAATATTGTTATGTTAGAACTGAAACAATTTCTGCAATAGAACTTACACAGGAGAGAAGCTGAAGTAGAAGCCCCAGGGAACTCATCACTGCTTTGTAAGATTTCTCTACCTGAGCTCTGCACTGTCTTGGGTAATTTTATGATATTAGTATATCAAAACTAAGGAGGGAGATATTTTCCCTCAAATAGTTTGCTTTCTCTGCATGTGCTTCTCCTGAGTGATCTCCTATAGAACATCTTCTGTCATCATATGCAAACATAACATGCCACTGTCTGCCACACACCGGGGAATTGGTGTGCGTTGCTCTGATGGTCACACCATCCCCAAGAGGTGCAGGTGGCTTTGTTCACACTGGCCCTGAGAGAAAGGCTAAGTTTCAAAACAAGTGACCTGCCTAGGCCACCACTCACCAGTGCAGAGCCTGGCTCCAGACCAATCACTCTCTGGTTCCAAAGCTTATGGCCCTTCCTCTACAGCAGGCTCCTATTTCAGGACCCCATTTGAGTTAAAGCTTGGCCATACCCCTTCTTTATACGTTTTGGCCTTAGGTAATGATTAAAAAATAATGAATTACTATTTCTCACAGCCATATGAGAAGGTACATTCGCTGGGACCCTTCTCAACCCACAAGCTCACTCTTCCTTTCTTCCAAGGGAATTTGGTTACTCACACCCCACTAGTTCCCCACCCAGTCAGCCCCTCCCCTGAGGTCATGGGATCCAGTGTAGAAGCTGTGTATTAATTAGCATGACAAACAATGTAGTTCCTCATATGATCTGCACAGAATCGGGCAACTTGGTTCCATCGTTGTCTCCATTCAGACAGGAATGCAACCCCCAAATCTGCTCCAGTTTTTGCAGGAGATAGTGTATTGCAGGAGTCTCTTCTCCAGCTAACTCTGTCTATGCACGGCTTGGCTTTCAATCCCATCACAAATGTCCCTCATATCAGCTCACCCAGAATCCCTGAGAGGATCGCACAATGAGTGCAATCGGTAGAAAAGACGTGATTTCCCACGGCCAGTGTAAATCGCTCTACAAGCCTGCCGGGAAGGAAACTGTGAGTTAGGGCTCTAACAGGAATCAAAGATCTGTACAGATGTCAGGGGAAGGCTTGGAGGTGGCTGGGGATGGCATTCTACTTCATGATGCCAAGGTGTGTTGCCTGTGAGACTTCAAACACACAGTATCATCTGCCCTGCAATTCCAGTGGAAGTTTTGCAAATCTCTCCCACAACACTGTGCATCCTAATGTAATGATGGTCTACTTTGTTTTCATAAAGTCACTGTTACAGAAATAAAAATAAATGTTCAAGGTGTTACCTCCCCCTCCTCATAATTTTCCCCCATTTTACAGATAAGGAAAACTGAGTCCTAAAGAAGTGAAATGGTAGAATTAAGATGCCCTTAACTACTGGGGTTAGAAAGGTGTTGCTTTCAATCAGATGTAATTTCCCAGAAAACTGTCACGTAGAAATTGCAAAATCTTCCCCAAATTTTCATTGTTTGAAACAACTTTATTTTTTTTCTCCCAATGATTGCCTAGGACCCCAGGAAGATAAAAAGTGACAAGTCACTCATGACTGAAGTTAGCTTGTGAATTTTTGCTCTGAGCTAAGGAGCAAGTATTTTGGTGCATAACGCATTGTACATGTCTTTTGTGTTTTCTGTCACATGAATTAAAAAAGAAGAATGAGAATCAAGGCACCATTTTGAAAAACATTTTAAGGAAACCCGAAGTATACTCTCTTCTGCAGGATGTTTTCAGCCAAGAAATAGCCTTATTGTGATTTGTTAAAATATTTTTGATAGGTTGTCAAATTATCATATTTCTGTTTTATATTTTAGTGTTTGAATAAGATATGCTTTCCTTGGCTAAGCTTCTGATAATAACCCATTTCTCATCTTTATACCTCCATGTGCTCTCTTTGGACAGAAGCTTTTTGTGTGCCAGCGCTCACAACTGGGGTTCTCACTCACCGGCCCCCAGGAAAGGGATTTGCAGGGTTTCCAAGAGCCCATCCCTTGTCGTTAGTCACAGGCAGCAGTGGGAGACTTCCCTGTGGCTAAAGCAGTGTCATTCTTAGACAAATGGTGACTGGAAATCTGGCTTGATCTTCTACCCCATTCCTCCTTCCCATTTACACACAGGGTTCAGTGTGTGTGTGGCTATGGAAAGTAAGCCCAGAGATGGGACAGTGAACACTTGGGGATTTGGGAGGCATTGGAGAAGAGGGGTTAGGAGCACTGGCTCAGGGCTCAACCTGGATGTTTGTCCCTGGATCTACCACTTGAGTAGATTTATGAGCATAGGCCTGCTTGTGCAAGCTTTGGTTTCCTTCACCTATTAAACAGGGGTAATGATATATTCTTTTTTTTTTTTTTTTTTTTTTTTGTGAGACAGTCTCTCACTCTGTCACCCAGGCTGGAGTGCAGTGGTGTGATCTCAGCTCACTGCAACCTCTGCCTCCCGGTTCAAGCGATTCTCCTGCCTCAGCTTCCTCAGTAGCTGAGATTACAGGTGTGCACCACCATGCCCAGCTAATTTTTGTATTTTTAGTAGAGATGGAGTTTCACCTTATTGTCCAGGCTGGTTTTGAACTCCTGACCTGGTGATCCACGCACTTCAGCCTCCCAAAGTGCTGGGATTACAGGCGTGAGCCACCGTGCCCAGCTGATATATTCTATAACTATGAGTCGATATCTGGACTTCAAAAACATGTGTGTACAAAAATACATTTTTCTGAGGATTTTAAAGTACTAAATAATATTACTATATTTAATATTTAACAAATATTGTGAATGAGTGAGCTGGATGCAAGTAAACATAGAGTGTCTGGCCTTCCAGGACATGTAATACTTACAAATAACTGCAATGTATGGTCAGCCTCAAGTAAAGGGTAGAGAGTGCATCAAAATAGCAGCTCACAGGAGAGGCAAAACCTATAGCTCGCTGCTGGGATGACCAGGAAAGGCAATGTGTTGAGGCTTCGTAGACCTTAAGTGGTAGTATTTTCTGAGCATTAAGGTAAGCAGTGAGTGTCTCAGTCAAAGAGAAGGGATTTGACTTTCAGAGATGAAAAAGCTCAAAATATATTCAAAGAACCAGTAATAGGTGCAGTAAGTCAGGGATCCCCAGTCAGAAATGTCTTTGAGTCTGGCCAGGGCACCCAGGCAGTTAACAGGATGACCAGGACCTGGCTCCAGCCAGCCACTTGCAGGCTCTGTGTTGACATATGTTTCAATTATTCAAGAGATACAAGAAATCTGGACTTAGATATACCAAGTCCCACTTAGTAAAACATGATGATGGTCAAATACAACATGTCTCTGGTTGAACTCAGATTATGGGTGGTGAGTGTGTGACTGTGGAGTGGACTTATGTCCAAGCATTGAGATCATGATAGGTGGAAAAAGAGCTCTGGCCTAGGATCCAGGAGGCCCGGGATTAATCTGAGCTCTGTGTCCTTGGACAGGCTTCTTACATCCTCTGTGCCTCAGTTTCCAGAAAGCACTTTGATAGGAGGTGTGGTTTACTAGAATGCAACCAAGCCTTTTTTTTTGTAGACTAAAGAATGTACTCCTTGAGTTTCCAGGGTCTGAAGAATTACACTGCTGACCCCTGCTCTTGTTCCTTCCCCACCACTGTATTTGTTTTATTGTTACATTTCTTGTTCTTACATTTTGTAAAGGGGCCATTATCTAGGGATGAAAATGGACAAAACTCGTGTACATCAATTAGCATATGGAGAATTTGAGATGGAAACATGCCAGCCTCTTCCAAAGAGAAGTTCAGATAACAGACTGCAAGATTGAGCAGCTTTCATGAGAACAGTAAAGAAAACAATTTCCCTCGGTGCTTACCACAGAAAGGAAGATAAAGGAACTGGAGGATGGATAAAAGTATCCAAAAAACATAAAAGATGAATTGATGGGAAACACTGGTGTGACCACTCAAGGGGCCAAGGGTGGAAAAAGTCATTCCATTAAAAAAATAAAATAAACAGTGGAAAAAGAATGGAGCCATAGTCCTGGAAAAAAGTGAGATCACATTAAAAAAACTTTCAAGATTGGCCTGGAAAAATAAGGCTTTATGAGTTTAACATGAGGACTCTATTCTTACCACCTGTGGAGAGTAATTGGCATTGGCTGACTAGAGGTTTGTTTTGCCTTCTTGGCAGGAGCTGAATTGTTATGTTAATAGTCCGCTGGCTAAGTGTTAAGTACTGTGTTTGAATAGAAAGAGTTTTGCAGAAGGGAAAATTCCCAGCCCCAGGTTCTTATTCTGACCACTGAGCTCTTTACAGACTTCAGACTTCACACACTCAAATTCAAAGAAACAATTAGTATCATGCTGATATTTCTAGCATTTTGTGAAATCGAAGAGTTTCTACTAGGAACGCTCCTGTAGGTGGTTTACGGCCAGTGTATCCAAGCTCACGTTTGGGCCCAAGGGCCCATTTGGAGCTAAAGAACAGACTTTCATCACAGCAGCATTGCCCACCTTTTTGTAATTGTCTATGCCAGCTCTTTTCCATTCCCACTGGCTCCTCCTTAGAGGTCATTCCACTGACTTAGTCTTAAAATATTTTAATTGTCCTTGAACAGGGTGAACCCAAAAACCGCAGGGCACTCAGGAGGAAATGGTGTAGTAGTCAATGCATTATTAAAATGAACTTTTTCAAATTTAAGAATTATCAAGTCATCTGTTGGATTATTGCTTTTTCTTTTTTAGGAGGCAGCATCTCTCTACAATCCTAAAACCTCTTTAAAAACAATCTTCCCCATGGCCTTTTGCCTCTAGATTGCTGATTGCAGCAAAGTGCTGGTAGAAACTAAAGATTGAGCTAATTTGCTGTAATTTGTGATTGACTTATGACCCCTTAAAAGTTGCACATCCTTGGGGTCGCAGAAATAGATTGCTTCTTAATTGCAAATGAGCTTGTAGCTGCAAATGATCTCACACCTCTTCCTGCAACCCACCTTGGTTCCCACCTTCCTCTGGTTGCTGACTTGCTTCACAACATCTTTCCTCACTTCCACTCGTATGCACAAATTTCCAAAATGTGTGAAACTGACGCCTTTTTTATGTTGTCTTTTATGGCGGTGACAAAGGAATTTGGTTGAAATTAAGGCCATGTGGTAACCACAGGGTTTAGAAATCTAATAAAACCCATGTAAATAATATTAAAGCTTGTGAGCTAGAGATTCTAATTGAGCCATATACTCCCCAGAAGCAAATTAGGCAACTAGAGCTATTAAAATCTGTCAGGTCACTAAGACATCATTTGGGCAATTACTTCAAATTCCAGAAAATTTTCTGAGCTCTATTTCTGCATACAGTGTAATACCCAAGCGGTATCTAATTCAGGGATTTCTAAACTGTGCTTCCATCAAACATTGATTTCCACAACATGGGCTAAGATTTAACACTGCTGGAAATGAACAATGGCAGATTTCTTCCATTAAAAAGATGTTCTCACTTTTACATTTAATTGCCTCTACTTTACAAAATAGTACTTCAGTATAGACAACAAAATACTAGTTGACTTCAGTCCTCCCCCAGAAGACAATTAGTTAACATTTGAAGTATCCTCTTCAGAAATCTACATTTCAGGGGAGGTTACTTAGCCTGTTACATTTCCTAACGAGAGACCATACCACAGGCATGCTTAAAGGCAAAGCTTTAGAATATTGCTCTCTACACTTGCCCCAGAAGTTTAATAATTAGCATAAATTGTGCTTCGAGATAATTTTTACTTAAGGAAATGGATGATGTTCAAGAAATACGGTGGGGTATTAAGATCAGTATTGGCTCTTCTGCCCTTTTGTGAGTGGGCATGTACCAGTCAGAGTTTGACCAGTAAGAGAAACCACTCCAGATATTTCCAGCAGGAAGGGATGTAGCCCAGGGATTTAACGTTTTTTGTAGACCTACTAAGAGGTCTGAGAAAGTGAAGGTCAGAGAAGCTGTTTTGAAGAATTCAGGAAATCAGGAAGTGCTGGGATCAAAAGAAGCTACAGCTGATAATCCACCCTTAGTGGGTGATGAGGAGGGGGACACCTGGAAATCACTCCCAAAATGTCACTGTCTACTGTCTGCAGAAAGGCTTGCCCCTGGCTGCAGGTGTGAATGTGGAATACCAGTTTATCCTTTTTATTTTTTATATTCCACGTGAGAGCTTCTTATTGACAGAGTATGACCCAGAACTCCCACTAGTTTATGAAATATAGTTTCCTGACCTCTAGCCCTACCTAAAAGGAAGAACTTTAAAGAGCAGTGATGATTTTGATTCTTAACAAGCACCATCAGGCTTAAGGCCTAAGAACCTGACAAATCCAGCATTCTTTTAAAGTGTGTCTTATATCTAGCACAGCCATCCTCCAGTAGAACTACAGTTATGGAAATGGTCTAATTTACACTGTCCAATATGGTAGCCACTAGTGGCAGGTGGCTGTTGAGCACTTGAAATGTAGCTAGTGCAACTGAGGGATTGAATTTTTGAGTTGTATTTAATCTTAATTAACTTAACATTTAAACTTAAAGGGCTACCTGTGGCTATTGGCTACTGCATGGGGCAGTCCAGGTTAAGATCTTTCTCTTTGGACCTGTGCTCCCTCTCCACTTCCATTTAATGGAAAATATTGTGGCCTGATCTGACCTAAAGTTTCCCTGAACTGTCTCATATTTGTCCACTGAGTGTTGAAAATTTCATGTGAGGTCCTTGTTACAATGACTATATGATGGAGTTGTGTTGGGCAGGGGGGCAGGTCACTGGATTTCACTGAGCTTACAGAATTGGTCTTCTGACTCTTTTTCGTGCCAGCTTACTAATAAACATTTGTTGCATATTTGGCCAAATTTGGTCTGAAACTCCCTTTTACCATAACATACGGTGGTAGCAAGTTAGTGGGGAGGCCACTGAAATGTTTACCTACATATCCTAATCACTGTGATAGCCAATTAGCCTGATCATACGGTTTGTAACGTACATTTTTTTCCCAGAAATGTTTCTCAAATTTTTGGAGTCTGCAGTTTCTTTCCTGCTAGCAAATACTAGCAGGTGACAAAACAAGAGCTACATAAATATTAATATAAAAATTCAGATAAGCTAGTTGCCCTCCACTGAACAACTTTTTAAACATGTGAGCATATGTTCATGGTATGTTTTTAAAATTCATACATGTACCACAAATTTCTGTGTATAAAATTGTTCCTAATTTATATGGTTGAATCTACATTTCAAAGTAATGTGGCTGGGCGCAGTGGCTCACACCTGTAATCCCAGCAGTTTGGGAGGCTGAGGCAGGCAGATCACAAGGTCAGGAGTTCAAGACCAACCTGACCAACATGGTGAAACCCCGTCTCCACTAAAAATACAAAAATCAGCCGGGCATGGGGGTACGCGCCTGTAATCCCAGCTACCCAGGAGGCTGAGGCAGGAGAATCACTTGAACCCAGGAGTAAGCCAAGATCACACCACTGCACTCCAGCCTGGGAAACAGCAAGACTCCATCTCAAAAAAACAAAACAAAACAACCAAACAAACAAAAAACAAAGTAATGTAACCTACTCTAGGTTTGGCTGCTTGCCGGTAGAAAGCCAGACAGAACGCAAGAGACAAAGTTTGGTGGGAGGAAAAGCAGGTTTAATCGGAGAACCAGCAACCTGAGAAGATGGCAATCTAGTGTTCTAAATACCATCTTACATTTTAAAATTTACCATAGGACTTTTAAAGGGAAACTTGGTATAGGAGACATTCCGGAGTAGTGCAGGGTACACAGTCTGTATATCTTGTTCTTGTTAAATTGAACTAAATGTGGCCTGAGAAAACCTCCATACTTCCATACGTAAGTCCTTGAGGATGAACCATAACCTAACTTAGTAGGTAGACAAGTAAGTAGACTTAGTAGAAAACCTAATTTAGGAGTATGCTTCTGTAACAATAGCTGCAATCTCAGCCAATCCCAGCATCCATACTTCAACAACGCATATGCTGCTGACTGTTCAAACTGTGTTCAGATAAGTCAAACACCAAGCTGTAACCAATCCATCTGTTTCTGTACCTCACTTCTGGTTTCTGTATGTCACTTTCCTTTTTTTTTTTTTTTTTTTGTCTATAAATTTGCTCTGACCAGAAGGTATCCCGGGAGTCTCTCTGAATCTGCCATGATTCTGAAGGCTGCCTGATTTGTGAATTTTTTTTAACCCTTACTCAATTAAACTCTGTTAAATTTAATTTGTCTAAAGTTTTATTTTAACATTCTGATGGCCATCTTGGGTAATTGCCTGTCCAGAAGTCTGGCTGGCATTATCTTGACTTCAGTGATGGTGGACTAATGGTGGAACTCTTCCTAAGTGGGAGGATTCTGCCATGGGGTTCCAGCCTGGTTTGTTTCAAGAGCAAGAGCACAATTAGATAAGCATGCGTTGTTGGAGGGGAGTATCTAGAGAGTGAAGGAATGAAAGGGTGAGAGGGGAGAGAAGGAAGAAAAAGAAAGTGGGTGATTGTTAAAACCAAGGTCCCTGGTTACAGTATCACAAAAACAACCCAGAATTCCACAAAAGACTCTGACTGCCAAGTGTTCTGCCCCTTGGAGAGCCCCTGGCCTAAGTGTTCCATATGTAAGCTCCTTTCTATTTAGTGTCCCAAAGTGACTAGCATAAGACTGGGCCAGACTAGGTGTTTTCATGACTTCATGGCACATAGTTTTTACTCGTAATGAACATTAGCAAATAAAACTGTTTTTCATTTACTTGTCAGGTAAAGAGGAAATTACTGATGGCTTAAGTCAGAAATCCCCAACCTTTTTTACACCACGGACCAGTTTCATGGAAGACAATTTTTCCACGGACTGAGTGGAGGAGGGTGGTTTCAGGATGATTCAAGCACATTACATTTAGTGTGGACTTTATTTCTATTATTATTACACTGTGATTATATAATGAAATAAATATACAACTCACCATAATGTAGAATCAGTGAGAGCCCTGGGCCTATTTTCCTGCAACTAGACAGTCCCATCTCAGGGTGATGGGAGACAGTGACAGATCATCAGGCATTAGATTCTCATAAGGAGCATGCAACCTAGATCCCTTGCATGCATAGTTCACAATAGGGTTCGTGCTCCTACAAGAATCTAATGCTAGGCCGGGCACAGTGGTTCACACCTGTCATCCCAGGACTTTAGGAGGCTGAAGCAGGCAGATCACCTGTGGTCAGGAGTTCTAGATCAGCCTGGTCAACATGGTGAAACCCCATCTCTACTAAAAATACAAAAATTAGCTGGGTGCAGTGGCAGCCACCTGTAATCCCAGCTACTCAGGAGGCAGAGATGGGGAGGCAGAGGTTGCAGTGAGCTTAGATTGCACCACTGCACTCCAGCCTGGATGACAGTGCGAGACTCTGTCTCAAAAAAAAAAAAAAAAAACTGATGCCACCACTGATCTGACAGGAGGCAGAGCTCATGTGGTAATGTGAGCAATGGGGAGTGGCTGTAAATACAGATGAAACTTTACTTGCTTGCCTGCTGCTCACCTCCTGCTCTGTGGCCCATTTCCTAACAGACCATGGACCCATACTGGTTCATGGCTCGGGGGTTGGGTCCCCCTGGCTTAAATGTTACTATTTTTCTTACACTTAAATACTTCTTGTCCAGATGCCTTTCTGCATTTGTCATCCTTTAAAAAAAATTGTTCACAAGATCTTCTCAGAAAGTGGTGCTACCTATTAATTTAAGAACTGAGTATCGCAGACATGATACCTCATTGTTTATTAAACATTCATGGAATTCATTTTGCACAAAGCTTGGCATCCTCATTAATAATTTCTTTACTTAATGGTGCCCAAAACTAGTTTGGAGTTGTCTTTAGAATGCTGTACATTCTATCCCAAGGGGAAAAGCCTAAGGAAATTGGCCACTAGGACATTTGCCTCGTCAGCAAAAGCTTGTATAACTTCTTTCTAGATTATTCTTCAGCTTCAACATAATTCATATTTATGCAGTTGCATGTAGGACATCCTGAGACTAGTGATTCATAGTTTCAATCATTCTTTCTAGCACTCCCACAAGTAGATGGCCCTCTGCCTTGCATATAGAAGGCCCTTCATGTCAACCAAGGGGCAGACTGGGGAAAGCATTACCAGGGTAGGAAATGTATCAGGATGGGTGTGGGGGTGAGGGAGGCCTTTCCTTAGGGAGGCCTTTCCTCAGGGTAGTTGAGGACAGGGATGGAAAGTAGCTAGCTCTCCTTTAGTTACCTGTAAGGAAACAGATTATTTGTATGGATTACTACTGGTCAATTTATCCACCAGGGGTGACTGACTGGGGTAGGGAGGAAAAAGACAAAAGACGGCCCGGAAGGGACTTGGTGCAGAAATATTGAAGATCTCCTTTCCTAGATACATTCCGGGCCCTGCCATCCTCTTCCACGTTACCATATTAATGGATTTTCCTATTTAGGGGGCTCTGTCATTTAGCACCTGATAAGCCACTTCCCCAACATTAGACTATGTATCTGTTGGTCCTATGGGTTCAGCACATTTGTGGTACTCACAGATGTTGATAACACCTGTGATTGACACAACAAGATCTTACTTTCAGATTAGCCCACAAATTCAAATAGTGAGTGCTTAAATCTCGTTTAGCTTCTTGTAAAACCATGTTAGGCTTTGATGCAAACTAAAGACTCACCAATTGAAAGCTGTCAGCTCAGAGAGTGCTGCCAGGATAACTTAATCTATATTAAGAGAAAACCATCACTTTCTTTGGTTTAGTCATCAAAACTTTTGGTTTTAGCAGCAAGGGGTGCTTAGATTATGATAAATGTCTGTCTTCCTGAGACTTTCTGAGATGCGTGGATGCTCAGTGATTCTCCACATCGCCTAATAATGGGCAGTACCGTTCAGAGGTTTGATGAATGTGCTGAGGCCATTCATGAAACTCTTTATGTTCTTTCTGCCCCTGGGAAAATTTGACAACACTGAATCATTCTATTTTATTCTTAAATAGGAAACAAAAATCTAGTGAATAAGAAATCATAACCTATTAGGAACTTTTGCTTGCTCTTGAAATACTTGTTTGCATGGATTAATGGTGGAATTGGTTGGCTTTTTGCAAGAATGATTTAAAAAGCTTCTGAATTGTATTTCCTAAACAGGATTTGCAAGGCTTTTAATGCTTTAAAAGGCAAAGTTGGACCCAAACTGAGCTGTCAAGTTTTTTTTTCTTTTAAGCTGACTTGAAATTGTTGTTGGAGTCAAACTGACCTTAGATTGCTTAAAAGAGTTGTGGCTGGTGCTGTCTAAAAAGCAGACGCTATGGTCTTGTTATATTGCTAAATATTGATCCCACCACCTTTATCTAGTGATGCAGAGAAGCACTGGTAAAGCCCTCTTGTCTTATCTCTTTGCAGGCTTGTTGATTGGTGCTGGCTGTGCCCTCTACCCCTTGGGCTGGGACAGTGAGGAAGTCCGGCAGACTTGTGGCTACACTTCTGGCCAGTTTGACCTGGGTAAGCTTTCTTCATGGATGGCACTCCTTTTAGAAAAAGAACCTTATCTGATGTTTCATAGAAGCAGAAAGTGGAAAGGGGACAGATAAGAAAAACCTCCCTGGGTATTACAGCCAGTAGTCACGTGTAACAATATAAATGTATCCATTTATTTAGTGAAGAGTTATTGATAATCTACTGTTTGCTCAGTACTATGATGAGTATTGTAGATACAAAGATAAGAAATGGCCCCTGCCCCGAAGAGTTTATACTCATTGATCACTTCATTTTTCAAAATCATGTATTTTTTACCCATTGCATGGGCTAAAAATAATTCTGTAGAATTTGCAGTCTGAGAAGAGGTGACAACAAAATAGTCAAGGAAATGATAATACAAGCTAAGCAATTCAAAGCAATTTCACATCGTTGGTCTAATAAGGCCACTTTGTGAAAGAGGTGAGAATGGAGTTCAGTCTTGAACAAAGTGCTACATATGGATTATCAGGATTAGATGGAAGCACTTTGCAGGTGAGGAATACAGTATAGCAAAGGCACAAGGAAAGAATGGGAAAAGCTCATCAGGAGACCACAGGGATTCCAGCAACAGGAAGAGTCAGGTGCTACTCTGATAAATGTGATGATTGGGTGAGAGTCTGCACATTGATAAAAGGCTCTTAACTCACAAATTTGTTTTTCTGCAGACTAATAAGAAAATTTCAGTTAGTTTTCATTTGTAACCATAGTGTAGTCTACTTACTTATGTTGCGATCTATAAAATATTTTGCAGAATACTCCATGGTTTGCGTCATTTTAATTTGTAATAATTGGGTAATATTTCACTTGCTTGATAAACCTACATTTACTTAACCACTTTCTTATTTCTTTCTAGCTGGGCATTTAGTCTATTCCAGTATCTGTTGTTTTAAGACATGTTATGATGAGTAGTTTAATGAATATAAGTGCTTTTCCTACTGAATATTTTCTTAGAATCTTTTTCTAGAATTGGTATTACTAGATCAAAGAATATGAACCCATAAAACACTTATCATTGTATGGGAAAAGAAATGTATTTTCTCTTCCCCATTGCTAGATTCAGACCTAAGGCTCCTATAATAAAAGGCAGATTAACAAGAGAAAAGCATACAAATTCGTTTAAAATAAAATTTTCATGACATAGGACCCTTCGTAAAGAAATGAAGACTTGGAGAGGCAGGTAAACCTGTATACTTTTTATGCTAGGTTTAATGAAGAAGTGGGATTGTTCTGGAAAAGTATGATTGGACAAAGAGGGTATGATCTAGTGGTAATAAACTGCAGAACTTAGCAAGACCTGTTTGTTCAGACTCCTCTCTGTGTCCTTGTATTGCCGGAGGTAAGAATATTCCTTTCTTCTGGGTATGGTGAGAGCGTCTTTCCAGTGGTGGCTTTATGATCTGCTTCAGAGGAAGGTCAGATAATCCTTTCTAGGTTTTATGATCTGCTTTAGGAGAGAAGAGCAGCAGGGGAAGGTGAGAGAGACTTTCCTGCTTCTGCTGCTTTCTCAAATGTCAAGGTGCTGCATTTTACGGTAGCATGTCCTGAAGCCCATCATTGCCAAGTGATAGCAAATATATTTTCCCCTACTATATGGATGGACAGACTGAGATTCTCATAATTAGTACATAGTCAGTTACTAACTTAGACATCTACTTTTTACATTAAATACTTTAAGAAGAAAAATTGTGAGGGAATTGATCTAATGGCAGTATTACTATATTCCAAATATTAATTTTAAATTTTTATGTTAGAACATCTATGAAAAAAAATTCTGTTAGATTCTGAGAAAAAGGGACAGAAAAAAAGTATTAAAGGTCTGTGAATTTGAAAATGAAAAAATGAAGCAATTTTTATTTGACTTCATGGGTGACAACCACTCTACTTCCGTCGAATATAATACTGGCTCTTCTGGTAGAGAAGACTGTTCTAAATACCACCTAATTTGCATGGATAAAACAAATAAGAGATTTCCTTTTACCTATTCTTCCCTCTTTGATGACAAGGCTTTCCTAAATCTGGTTTAGTTTGGGTTTGCCATAAATGTAGAGAAGGGGGAAAAATACTGAAATGCTGGCATGCAAAGCTGACTGCCAGCTTTTTTTTGGAAAGCAAACTGTGTCTAGGGGAGATATTTTAATACAGTGCTTGGCATTTTTCTTTCCCTGGTGTTTGAGGCATTCTTGGCTGTTCAACACAGGCCTCAACTTGATCATGATCCTGTGTATGCTGACCTGTTGTTATTGTGTATTGCTATATTAATTAGCAGATTATAATGAAGTTCAGGTCCTGTTATTGCAATTTTCATTACTGCACCTCAGTATTTTGTATGTCCCCAGCATTGTGGAATAAAACTTTGAATGTCAAACTAAACGTTGAAAAATACTTGCCTCTTTACTAGTGGTAATTGTTTTTTAATGTTATTATACACTCTAAAACCATTCTGGCAATTTAAAAAACTATAAAGTTGTTTTCATTTCTGATCATGCGTTTCTAAATTTCCTTAGATTGGTTAATGAGAAAAAAAAAACTGGCATCATCCACAGATAAAATGAGTTCTAGGTCCACTGCATAAGTTTTTTGGGGTTTATCAAGGTCTGTTTCTCTAGGTTACTGTTATCTTTGTGGACTCTGTTATCTATTCTTTGAAAAGAAGACCTAAAGAGAAAGTGTGGCATAGAGATATCTCTAGGCCCATCCCACTTCACTTTCCTTTTTTTTTTTTTGAGACAAAGACTCACTCTCTCGCCTAGGCTGGAGTGCAGTGGAGAGATTTCAGCTCACTGCAACCTCCACCTCCCAGGTTAAGCGATTCTCGTGCCTCAGCCTCCTAAGTAGCTGAGATTACAGGCACCCGCCACCAGGCCCAGCTAATTTTTATATTTTTGGTAGAGATGGGGTTTCGCCGTGTTGGCCAGGCTAGTCTCGAACCCCTGACCTCAAGTGATCCACCCACCTCAGCCTCCCAAAGTGCTGGGATTATGGGCATGAGCCACCCTGCCTGGCCCATCCCTGTTCACTCTCTATGCTTTCTACCTTTTAGAAATCATTACTGTTCCCCTGAACACTAATGAAAGTTGAGCTTCAGTTACCTAGTGAAGTCACAAATTATGAAGTTAAATAGGGAGCGTACCTGGAACTGTAGCTGGTGGGCTGCAGCATGAGGTCATGAGTGAGCATTCTTGGTTAAGATGGCTCCAGCAAACATGCTGCTTGCCTCTGCCACACCTTGCCTCTCAGATTCTGAGAATCCAAGTTTGTTTCTGCCTCTTCTCAAGGGAGACAGCACGTAGACACATCTTCCTCCCAAGGGTTGTGAAATGTTAATGTTATTAAAGCTCATGCCCTTCTTATTGGAGAATACGTGTCTCTTTGTTGACGTGCTGTTTTTGATATGTTGTTACTCTCTGATCTGGAGCATCCTGAAAGAAATAATTGCTTTTACTCCTACATAGAAGATTATTTAAGTAGTGCATTTATCTCAATTAGTCAGCCAACAAATATTTATGGAGTGCTTATAATGAGCCAGCCCATGGGCTAGGTGCTGGGGATGTGGCATCAGCAATGAATAAAAAATGACACTATTCACTGCCCTCAGGGAACTTAAATTAGCAAGGGAGGCAGATGTTCAAAAAGATAATATAAATGTGAAGTATGTTAGAAAGGAAAAGTGTTGGGTGCTAGAATGGAAATTGTGGTTGACTTGCTGACATTATTCCACACTAGTTGTTGCATCTAAGCCAGAGGTTGGCAAACACTTCTATAAAGGGTCAGATAATATCTTCCGCTTTGTGAGTTATATGGTCTCTATTGCAGCTACTTAACTCTGCAGAAAAGATAGATGGCCCCAATAGAACTTTTTTTTTTTTATAATTTCAACTTTTATTTTAGATTCAGTGGGTACATGTGCAAGTTTATTACATGAGTGTATTGCTTGATGCGGAGATTTGGGGTATGATTGATCTAATCACCCAGCTAATGAGCATAATGCCCAAGAGTTAGTTTTCAACCCTTGCCCCCTCCGTCCCTCCCCTCATAGTAGTCCCCAGTGTCTATTGTTGGCCACATATATGTCCATGAGTACTTAGTGTTTAGCTCCCACTTATTAATATAAATGAGAACATGCAATATTTGGTTTTCTGTTTTTGTATTTACTCCTTAGGATAATGGCTTCCAGTTGTATCCATGTTGCTGCAAAGGACATTATTTCATTCCTTTTTATGGCTGTGTAGTATTCCATGGTGTGGAATACTACATTTTCTTTATCCAATCCACCATTGATGGACACCTAGGTTAATTCCATGTCCTTGCTATTGTGAAGAGTACTTTGATGAACATGTGGGGTACATGAATCTTTTTGGTAGAATGATTTATTTTCTTTTGTATATATATCCAGTAATGGGATTGCTGGGTTGAATGGTAGTTCTTTATTAAGTTCTTTGAGAAATCTCCAAACTGCTTTCCACAGTGGCTGAACTAATTTACATTCCCACCAACAGTGTATAAGCATTCATTTTTCTCCATAGCCTCGCCAGCATCTGTTGTTTTCTGACTTTTTAATAATAGCCATTCTGACTGGTGTGAAAGGGTATCTCTCATTGTGGTTTTCCATTTCTTTGATAATTAGTGATGTTGAACATTTTCTCATGTTTGTTAGCTGCTTGCCAATTAAACTTTATTTACAAAAGCAAGCAGTGGAGCCATAGTTTGACAATCCCTGATCTCAAGCAAAGAATACCTCTGGTGTGCCAGAAATGGTTACATTTCAGCTGTGCTCGTTTATTGATCCCTGCGGCTCTCAAGGCAGCTGGTCAGGACCCAGGATAGTTGAAGACTGCACTGAGCAGCCCCATCCAATTACCCTAGTACGCTGTATAAATACTACAATTTTCTTGTTGAGTGGCAGTGGGAAGGAAGGTGGCAAGCACTGTACCTCAGCCTTTGTCAGCCCACTGCTAACACTGACATAGAATGGGAATGCGTAGCCTCATTTGGACCAGTGAGTCTAGAGGCATCTTGGGGAAGAAGGGATCCTATGCCTAAGGGAGAGGCCACACATTCCTGGCTCACCCCCTCTGACAGCCCCCTCTGACCATGGGGACCTGCAGGAGTAAGCAGCCTGCAGAGGAGTGGGCAGAGAAACCAGTCTGTGGAGCAGTCATCCCTGAAGCTGGCCTTCCCTAGGAACGTCCAGCCTGTGTTTTATGGAAACAAAAAACACAGTAATTTGTTTCCATATTGGGTGATGTTTGAGGCCTGTTTACTCTCGCAAATGAAAGTAGCCTGACTTGTATTTAGTTGCTATCTCATATTTCAAGGGGACCTAACCTCACCTGTGAGCTTCCTCAGGAAGTATTATACAGGCGGAGCTCTCAGCCCTTGTAGGCTTTAGGTAGGTAAAGGGTTTGAGTCTGCATGTGGTCTGGGGTGACATGGAGAGATAGGTTGCAGAGAGGGCAGGAGGAAAAGTCAGGAAGGAGGCTACTTTATGTACTGCTTCCCTGTTTGGACAGGTTTTAATTCCAAGTATCAGCCATGGTACAAAATAATACTTGAAGAGCCTCCCAAGGTCAGAACATTTAAACTGAGTTCAAAAATATAAGTAATAGTTAGGCAAGAAGGATTTCATAAAAACCTCACATTTGTAGTTGTAGTATAATGTGTAGGAATCTGAAAGAACCTACTTTAAAAAATACCTCTTTTCCTTAGAAAGGAGAATTGGAGAGAACTTTTTTATATGCCTTAAAAACAATCTTATAATCCGATTGATTCTCAAGCATTTTTATATTTTATTAAGTGCAGCGCTCTGAAGCAATCTTGCAAAAGTATTCACTTTCACAAATCAAAGTCTGTTACTCTGCTTACTTTTGGATCACGCTAATTTATGAAGAAGCAAGGAGTAGGTGTGAATCCACACATTTTTTTAAACAGAGAAACAAGAATTCAGACAGGCTGCATAATTCTTTCTTTTGCGGTTTAAACAAGTATCCAGTGTGATTTAGGTGTAAGTGGTCAGTGAGCATACTTGAAAAAAATCGTCCTTAGTTGTATAGAAAAGTATTTTTGTTTTGTACTTGCCTTGCTTAACAAACATTCATTATGTTTTGTATAGACTAGGATGCTTTAGGTTTAGGTTATACAAGTCTGGCTCAAACAGGCCAAAACAAAGAAGACGTGTGAGATCTCTTATTATAGCAAGGCAGGAGCTAAGGTCAGCTACAGACTTGACTGACTCAGGAGCTCAAAGATGTTTTCCAGGGCCCATGTTCAGGAAGAACGTGTGAGATCTCTTATTATAGCAAGGCAGGAGCTAAGGTCAGCTACAGACTTGACTGACTCAGGAGCTCAAAGATGTTTTCCAGGGCCCATGTTCAGGAAGAACTGTCTGTAGACTGGCTGTAACCATCCGCCATCTGTAGGCTGGCTTCATTTTGACGTTAGTTCTCCCCATGGTTGTAAGAGCGTTTGGCACTTGTGGCTTTAAACATCCTTGTTCATGCCAAAAGGAGAGGACAAGCTTCTCCCCAGAAATGGAATCAGAGTCTCTCTCCTCACTCTAATTGGGCCAGCTTTGTCATGTGTCCGCTCAAAGGGATAATGGCTGCCAGGGAATGCCACGTGCTTCTTATGGTTCAGCTTAGATGCACTTAGAGTTTTATAAGATTTGATTTTACTGAGAAGTAGTGGGATTTGTAAGAGGAAGATGAGATAAAAAGGAGAAAAGGCATTTTAGTCTTTTCTTTCTTTTGTCAGACTTCACTGTCTGTGGTCCTATCATCAGTGTAGCCTGTGGTTGTGGACAGAGGGACAGTCGTGGCAGGTGTTAATAATGCTGATTTTTATTTATTGCTTTTTGAGAGAATAAAACAGTATAAATGATAAGAATACATAGTGTCACAGCATCTGGCACATAATAAAAGCCCAGTAATGTTTGCAGTTGGACAGGACCATTTAAATGCATATTGGCTGATCAATCTTTATTCTTCCTTTTACATTCCGCAACAGTAAGTTTGGGTTTACCCATTAAGCATAAGGGCTTTATAATCAGGTTATCCAATTGATTTAATTCATGCCTCAGAGATATTCTCATCCACCAAAGACTTTTCTAATTATATCCTTGTGATCAAAAGTAGTGTTTCAATTAATTTGTCTCGCTATTTTGCCAAGTAAATTTGAGTAATTATTGCTTTCATTTTGCTATTTAATTTGATTAAGAAGCCATCATGGTTCCTGTTCTTGAAATTATGCTGGTGGCTTCTTAAGAGCAGTGCCGTAAACTGGAAACTCAGAGCCTCCCAGTGTTGATAAAGATGAGAGTCTGTTTCTTCCAATTTTCAATCAAAGGAAGAAATCTCTTCTACTTTAATCTGAACACTGACTGTCCCACATCTCTTTAGACACATATCCTTTAGCTCTTTGACTCCTGACTCATGCCGTCTTGCCTCTCAAATCTAATCATACTTGAGAAAAATCTGTTTGCAATTTCTGGCTAGGTCAGCTGGGTAAAAATGCAAACAAAAGTATAATTTTTTAAAAAAATTTTGAGCTCTTGGTGTTAGTGGATGCTTCTCAAGCAAGAGAACCTGCTATTGGTCTCTGTGACATTCAATATGACTCGCTTCATTTTGTCCAGAAGTTAGAAAGCTCCTATGACTCCTGTGGACTTTTCGGGTTGCTTCATGCTCAGGCAGGCCAGGCAGCTCTGTGCAGTTTCTGCAGGCATCTGCGTTGTGTGCCAGAGCAGGGTTCTCCTGACTCAAGCAGCAAGTGTTTGCAGAGAGCGGCAGTTAAAGTGTCTGTCACTCAGCTCAGGAAGAGACTCCTAACACTTGATGCACTGGTCATTGCTTAGAGTAAATGGATTATTCCATTTTGAGATTGCTATTTGGGAGGTTGGTTAATAGTAAGGTATTGAACATGCATTGAAATGTAGGCAAATTTAAGGCCGTTAATGCAGCAATGATGTCCTACCTCCCAAATGACTATTAACTGAATATTTTCTAAACTTTTGACACTTAAATCCAAGTCACTGGAAGTCATTTAGAAGGTCCAGCATGAGCCTGGATTTCCTCACCCAGAGCTCTAGCACAGAATCACAGGAAAGCCAAGCAGCTGCTGTGAATTCAACAAAGACCCAAATTGTATAGGAACCCATGGGGGCACTCAGGAACTTGGCTCCAAATGATGCAGGGAAACTTCCGCGTCCAAGGGAGCCCACCCTGGCCAGTGATGACATGACTGAGCAAAGTGTTCAGGCACCCGCAAGGCAACAATAATAAGCTTTTCTGGTCACTCAGCCTTTCTTAGGGGCCTCTTTCCATCAGATGAAGAGTTTTCTGCCTTTACTCTAGAAGTAGGGAGAATGCCACATTTTTTCAGGGATGTTCATTCAACCTGCCCATTCCAGTAGGTTCCACGTTTTCAAAATCAGAGCCAGAACATTTCTATTTTATAACTTAGTAAACACCTCTTGTCCTGCTTTGGGAAAAAGGACCCCACTCTGTACAATCATAGATTCAATTTGATCTGTTTCCCTAAACACAGTTTTGCAGATCCCAGATGAACCTGTGGGATAGGATTTTTCAACTTCGGTGCCTAGCTTGGTGTTTGGTGTTCAATAGATTCACTTACTTCCTCAAGCAAATATTTATTAAGCACATTCTAGGCAACAAAAGTTGTGCCACAAACAAAATTGTGAAGAAGATAGACATAATTCTTACTGGCATGCCATATATCTGCCATCTATTGAATGGTTAAAAAATTAGGAGGGAGAATGAGAGGAAAGGAAAGGGGGAAGGAAGGGAGGGAGAGAGGGAGGAAGGAAGGAAGGAAGGAAGGAAGGAAGGAAACCTACTATGAATTTTTGATCACAGAAACAGCAGCTGCCATCATGTTTCTGTATATATTTGGCCACTGATATCCTACCAAGAATCATGGCATCACTTTTTAAGGGACTAATGGCCTAACCACCTCCCAAAAAAAAATTTAAAAACCAAGTCAGGGTAATCATTTAAAGAACCAGATACCCTGATAGGTGGAAAAAAAATTGCTCTACATTCTTTTTTTCTCAAGTCTATTTTGGCTTGGTTATTTCAGTGTGGATCATTCCTACTCTTTTATTTATGCCTTTGTAAAGCTTCATTCAGTGGCTTGCAGAGATTTATAGCAGGGAAATTCAAGCAATTGTGGGAAAAAGGAAATCTCTTAGAAAACCTGTGGGAAATAAGATTTCTTGAGATATGGTTACAAAACTATTGGGGAGAATATGCTAGTCTCTCTTTTAAAGATTCTTCTTTTTTTTTTTTTTTCAGTGTTGTCCTTTTATTAGTTTAAAAAAAAAAAGACGTACCTGAGTTTGCCTTTTCAGATGTAAAGTACTTAAGGACATTTAGGAAATTGAGCTGTTTCATTCTAATTATTTTTTGTATTATGTGTTCTCAACCATTATATTCTTTCCCATCATTTCAGCCAGAATATATAAAATATAAAACAGAAAGAAGCCCCTTTTTATCATTAGTGGCTCTGTTGTCAAATAGTCATTCCTGAGACCTGTGGACATTTATAGAATGCTGTTGCCATTTTAATAAGAAATCAAGACTGAAATAATTTTTTTGTTCTTTCTGGTTTTGTTGTTGCATTGCAATTGTTTTATGTCACAGTTATTGATTATTCATTGCAGTCATTAATGATGCCTGTCTCTTTTTATTCTCTCACTTCTAATTTGTGCCCTTTCTAAAGATCATAAATCATTTTAAAATCATGCTATGAAGGAACAATCTTCAGTCCTTTTTTCTGAGGATTTTGTGTCTTTTTTGATGTTGTTATTGTTGTTGTTGAGACGGAGTCTCACTCTGTTGCCAGGCTGGAGTGCAGTGGCGTGATCTTGGCTCACTGCAACCTCCACCTTTCAGGTTCAAGAGATTCTCCTGCCTCAGCCTCCAGAGTTGCTGGGACTACAGGCGTGCACCACCAGACCCAGCTAATTTTTGTATTTTTAATAGAGACAGGGTTTCACCATGGTGGCCAGGATGGTCTTGATCTCTTGACCTCGTTATCTGCCCGCCTCAGCCTCCCAAAGTGCTGAGGTTACAGGCGTGAGCCACCATGCCCAGCCTGTATTTTTTTTTTTCCTCCACCGCCCACTGCAACCTTTGCCTCCTGGGCTCAAGTGATTCTCCTGCCTCGCCCTCCCAAATAGTTGGGATTACAGGTATGCACAACAATGCCCGGCTAATTTTTGTAATTCTTAGTAGAGACAGGGTTTCACCATGATGGCCAGGCTGGTCTCGAACTCCTGGCCTCAAGTGAGTGACCCACCCGCCTTGGCCTCCCAAAGTGCTGGGGTTACAAGCATGAGCCACCATGCCTGGCTGGATTTTACATCTTTGAAGCATTGATGTTTATATGTTCTGGCTAGTAGTTTTTAACCTCCTGATTTGGGGTCATGTTTTGGATAGGTGGAGATGTTATTAATACTTAATTGATATCTGGCTAAGTAAGCTACTTTGGGTTAGCAACTGGATGTTTTGATGACACTGGTAGAAGAGTTAAATGTTATGGTAACCTTTGATCTTCAGACTGATTTTAACTTAAGGTCTCCAGACCGTTTAAGTGGCTCATAGTCCATCAGTAGGCTTCAGAGAAATTCAGAATCTACTGAAATGCTTTGCAATTTTCATAGGCTTTTGGACATGTGCTTTTTTCTGGAGAGAATATTCATAGCTTTTGTTATTATTCAAATGGATTCCTGACACCTGAAGACTTAGAACCTATATAGTAAACAACATTTGGAAGTCTTACATGGGAAAGCTTAGAGATCTGAACTCTAGACCTCACCTCCCAACAATCCTCAAATTCCTCCAGAAAGCTAGAACACAGTTGAACCCCTTTGACTTGATTTCATTATCTACGAAAGTATTTGTTAAGGGATATTATACAGAAACGCACCTCTGCTTACAAGAAGTGTTATGCAAATAAATGCTACCATACAATAGTTCCTTTGTATTTTTATTTTTTAAGCCATTTTTGTCTTTTTTATTATTTCAAATTTTATTTTAGATTCAGGGGATACATGTTCAGGATTGTTACATGGATATATTGTGTAACACTGGGGTTTGGGGTACAAATGATACCATCATCCAGGTAGGGAACATAGTACCCCATAGGTAGTTTTTCAGCCCTTACCCCTCTCTGTTTTGCCTCACTCTAGTGATCCCCTGTGTCTGTGGTTCCCATGTTTATATCCATGCCATGCACCAGTTCTAATTCAAAATCACATCTGTGAAAATGAGTGTTCAGCCTTCCTAGTGAATTGAATATGCTTCCACTTAGGATCTTAGCCAGTTTCATTAGTGCCGCTGTTGGAGATTGTTCTTCACAGATCTCTTGTGTGTTAGCACAACTTGTCAGCACAGACACTCTATTCTGAACTATCATTTCGAAGATGTTTGTGTAGTAAACAGTCTTGGAAGTAGAGCAGAGGATAGGTGTGTTTAGTGTCCATTATAATAAAAATAATGCCTTTCTCTGGGGTAAATAAAGATTGGGCAGATTTTATTGCAGTCCATTATAAAAGATTTGAGTTCCCTTAGTTTGGGTTCCTCAACTGTGACACAAACCCACTATGTTTGTTGCATTCATCTGGGCTGTTTCACATCAGCCCCTGTGAGGAGAGGGCAACAAAGGGAGTGGACATAAACATGGAGCTCATGCTGCCTGCTGTGCTGTGAGTAATACAGTCCTTTGTCTCTGATCCAGGAGTCTCCTATCTTTTGCCAGCGTCCACAAAATTGTGATAGTATAACTTGTTACATTGCAAATAGAGTAAAATATCAAACCTTCACAGTTCTTAAGACTACTGTTACAATGCCTATAGTTCCTTGAAAAATACTTCATCATAGACAGTGATATATGGGTATTATTTAAGGGAAACCACAACTCGAGTGCATATTCCGGACTGGATACTCATGGGTGCTAGTACAAGTGGTTCTGTTATTCATATCTTGACTAACACTGGAAGCTTTACTAATTAGCACAGCAATGATCAAAATGGACTTTTATTGGTAGAATTAGATCTTATTAAATAGCATGATGAATATTAAAAATGGACTTTCATTGGTGAAATTAAAAATACTCAAGATTGTGGATTGGTAGAATCCACATAAGTAGTTAGAGACACTCCCTATTTTTGCTTGCAAGGATTTAAGCATCCATCCAGTCATAGTGTTATCACTCTAAGTCTGAGTGATATTCAAAATATTTAATAATCAATATGTCATAGGCTATGAAAAATGTGAGCTAAAACAAGTACTGGCCATGTGCAGAGGCTCCCATGGGGCCCTCCTTTGCCAGGCACTAGCCCTTTGGTTTCTGGGATGTGAGGCAAGGATTCCCTAGGGTTTTCAAGGGAAGAAAGGGTTTTGGGGGAACTTGGGGCAGTGGCTGTTTACCTACAGACAGAGGTACATATTTTAGTATTTTGATACCCAGTACAGCCTTACTGATGCATTCCATCTGTGCCCTCACTATTCTTAGGAATGGTATCCACGGCTTGATCATCCCTAAAGTGTTCAGTTTCTAGTCTCTGGTTTGGAAGATTTCTGGTTTTTTGTTGCCAAAGAGAACAGAATCCTGCCATGGAACCTTGCTGCATTTTCCCTAGCAGTTTATTCAAGAAGTTGGTCGTCCAAATACCTAAAAAGAGAGCTAGGACTTAACTAGCTCCCAGGTCAGTTTGATGTTTTGTGCCTGCTTTTTGATGGCTATTTGTTGAATAAGTGTCTGTATGTGTAGGAGGATTTGTTCCGAGACTTGCTTTCATTATAAGTTGGAAATGAGATTGTGGAAGAGTATCTTACCACGTCTTGCACTTTTTCAACAGATTGTAATTTACCAAAAAGAGTCTCAAGGCTATGCTTGCCCAAATTGAATGAGGTTCGTTCCCAAGAGCTACTGTACAAGCAAAAAGGGATCATCAAGGAAAACCTTTTAGATTGAGGGCAGCTAACAAACATCAAAGCAGTGCTTGCTGCAGTTCCGTTCCGGTTCTCTAGGTATGTAACCGGATACCTAGAGAGTATATTCAGAGACTGCTTGGTGGCCAGTGGTAGTATGACCGGTACAGACAGGGAGGGCAGATTAATAACATCACGAGGAAATGCAGCACCTCTTCACATGGGTTTTATAGGAAAATGGCTGCAGCCATAGTTCACATGGAGGAGCAGTAATTAGAGACAGACTGGTTCTTTTCACACTGTCTTCTGGGCAGTCCATGAGTCAGAGGAGCTGGATTTCAGGTATTTCCAGCCTTTATAAATAGCAGCTACAGACAGAAACTGAAGGATAATCTTTATCACCATACACTAAATAAAGCCTGATTGGTTATCTTAGCCACCCCCACCTGGAGATCAGATTCTGTGTCAGTTCACAGTGTGAACACAAAGGCCACCACTATACATTGAGCCAACATGTTTGCTTTATCATCTTAACAGTACATCATCTCTAAGGAAACTTTTAGGATGGATTCAGTGCTAAGAAGCAAGGATTGATAGCAGCTGTGCTAGCAGATACTCAGCTGGCCAGACAAGACAAAGGGTAAACCATTTTTTGTGTGTAAGTGGCACAAATGTGTATGTTAAGAAAACTATTGGGTGGGGGGTTGAAGGGTGCAGCAAACCACCATGGCACATGTATACCTATGCAACAAATCCGCATGTTCTGCACGTGTATCCCAGAACTTTTACAGTTAATTAAAAAAAAAGAAAAGAAAAGAAAGAAAACTATCCACCGGGCCACAGAACAGAGGTCCATTTGATTGGTGTGATCATAAGAATTCAGAAGCCGCTCCACTCGTCCTGCTGAAATGTGGTTATGTTTCTGGAGAAGCCAGAGTATTTCTGTTTCTTTTGCCATTTCTCTGCATTGGGGGAATGCTAAATAGGCAGAGCATCTGCCACCCTTTCCATGGCATGTGCTTCCTACTGGGATTTCAGGATGGGGTGACACAGGGCCTTGACTCAGTGGAATTTAGGAGGAAGGACCCTGGATGGATCTGATGGAAGGAAAAATAATTAGGTTTGGTGTGGTATGAAAGGGAAACCCCACAGGACTCTAGATAAGAGGGGAAGTGCAGAGAGTTTGTTCCTGTGCAGCCATACCCAGCAACATCACCTGGACATCTAGTTCTCAGATCTTCCAGGGCCGGTTTCTCTGATTGGCCCATCTCTACTCTCTTCCCTGCCACATAACCCTGCCCCTTTTGTTTTCTAACGATCTCATTTCCACAAGTAGTTTACTTATATTGACATGAAGTACAGTCACGCACTACATAATGATGTTTCAGTCAATGATGGATCGCATGTGTGATGGTGGACCCACCAGATGAGGATGGAGCTATGTAATGGAGTAGGCTATACATCTACGTTTGTGTAAGTATACTCTATGATGTTTGCACAATGACAAAATCACCTAATAATGCATTAGCAGAGTGTATCTCCATTGTTAAGCAATATATGTCCCAATGTGTATATATATCCCAACGGCCTGGTTTATTGATGAAAAATTTGTTTTTTTCCCATAACTTTATAGCTTTTTGTTCTGGGTGTGTGAAATTAAAAGAGCAGGCAGGTAATTATGTGGTGCAAGTACCCAAAGAGTCAGGACTGCATTTTTAGATTAGAGTAACCCAGCATCACCGGCCTGCTTTAGACTGGGAGCCAGGAAATTACAAATTATAAACAAAGAATAGGACTCAGCTACTGAAGAGAACACATTCAAGAGACATGGGAAAGCCCTGTCGGTGTCCTGGGGAGCAGTGTTCTCATTGGGAAAGTACGGGAGATGGCTTACATCAGGGGTTGGCAAACTATGGGCCAAATCTAGTTTGCATGTTTTTGTAAATAAAATTTTATGGGAACACTGCCATGCTCATGTGTTTATTTGGTGACCGTGGTTGCTTTTGAACTACAATATTTACTATCTGGCTTCTTTCAGAATAAGGTTGCCAACCCATGACCTAAATGATCCTTCTCCTAGGTCCCTCTGTCTCTAAAGTCTGTGATGCTATGATGCTCTGGGTGGCAGAAGTGACAAGGATAAAATCAAAAGGATGCAGAAACAGAGGGGTGATGCACTGGCTTTTGACAAGGCTTGAATTTAAAAGAGGCTCTGTCCTGTTCAGGTCTAATCCCTTTCCTCTAATCCCTGCCTCCCATCCCTTCTGCCTTCCTGTCTTGCCAGGAGCACTCACAGCTGGAGCTGCCTGGGGATGACTTTGATTGCACAAATAGTCTTTCTCTTTGGAAGACAGGCTTTGCTTGTATAAAATCCTTCAAATGTATCAGCTGGAAAAACCCCTTTTTTCAGTGGGAAATATTGTTTCCCACATCGAATATATAACCACTTTACCTTGCCAGGCTGGGGAAATTTTGTGGAGGAAAATGGGCTCTGTGCCCCGATGTGTTTCCCTCATCCTCTGGGCAGCTCCTGCTGGAGAAGATGGATGACACTCTGTTCCTTCCCCACTGGACACAGGTCCTGCACACTTATTCATCTCCTGAATTGTCTCACGGGAACATTGTATGATTCGTGCTGGTGTGTCATCTTTATTTAATTGATTCAATTTGTAGGTTGTTTGCTCAGTTGGGTATGGTTGGCAGGAATGGGATGAAGTTTTGTGTTAGATGGGATGTGGCCAGAGGGCAGGAACCAACTGAGCTGCCTCACCGTGTGCTGTGCTTAACAGAGCCACACAGAGTGTAAGAGGGTCATTGAGTATTTTCATGAGGAAAATTACAGAATAAAAATGGCCATTATGCAGGTGTCTCATTTTGCATATCATATGGTCAATATGTTTATTGATTTCTTGCTCCTTAAACTTACAAGAGTAAAAGTCCCCACTGATTTTGTGTATACTTATACATATACATACACCCATTGTATTAGTCCGTTCTCACACTGCTATAAGGAACTACCTGAGACTGGGTAATTTTTAAAGAAAAAAGGTTTAATTGGTGCACAGTTCCACAGGCTGTGGAGGAAGCATGGCAGGGGAGGCCTCAGGAAACTTACAGTCATGGCAGAAAGCAAAGGGGAACCAGGCACGTCTTACCTAGCCGGAACAGGAGGAAGAGAGAGAAAGGGGGAGGTGTTACACACTTTTAAACAACCAGATCTCGTGACAACTCACTCACTATCATAAGAACAGCAAGGGCGAAGCCCACCCCCATGATCCAGTCACCTCCCACCAGGCCCCTCCTCCAACACTGGGGATTATAGTTTGACATGAGATTTGAGCAGGGACAAAAATCCAAACCATGTCACATAGATATCTTCAAATTCTTGTTTATATTTGTGTAATTTTGATTTTGGAGTAATTTTAGATATATAGAAAAGCTACAGAATAATACAAAGAAGTCCTATATTCCTTTCACCTGGATTCCCTTAATGTTTGATTTCATCACACTGGGTTTATCAATCCCTACCTCCCTCCTGCCCTTTTCCCTCCTTCTGAGACATGCTGCCCTCCCAACCGTAGATACTTAAGTGAGTAATTCCTAACAATAACATTCTCTTATCTGGCAATGCAATTACCAAATTAGGAAATTAACATTGATAAAATGCTATTATCTAATCTACAGACCTTATACCGATATATTTTACATACAGAATTATTAATAAAAGAAATGGAACTCATTTCCTTGTGCTGGGTATTGTTTGTCATGGACTTTCTTTATGCTTACGGTTTGCGACTTGCAAAATATAACAAATGAAAAGCACATTTAAAATCTTAAGAGGCTCAAGGGCCAGGCACGGTGGCTCACGCCTGTAATCCCAACACTTTGGGAGGCTGAGGTGGGTGGATCACAAGGTCAAGAGATCGAGACCATCCTGGCCAACATGGTGAAACCCCATCTCTACTAAAAATAGAAAAATTAGCCGGGTGTCATGGCATGCACCTGTAGTCCCAGCTACTTGGGACACTGAGGCAGGAGAATCACATGAACCTGGGAGGCGGAGGTTGCAGTGAGCCAAGATCACGCCACTGCACTCCAGCCTGGCGACAGAGTGAGACTCCATCTCAAAATAAAAAAAAATAAAAAAAATTAAAAAAAATTCTTCAGAGGCTCAAAATTTGAAAGAAAAAAAGTTGCTTTCTTCACTAACTTCATTCTGATGTTAGAAATTGTTAAGATGTCAGAAAAGTATTAATAGTGACGGCGTTAGTAATAATAATGATGGCTAGCAATGTCTTCCATCCTCTGCTGTATAATTTGGGCTCAGCACTGCTGACCCTTGTGTCAAGTCCAGCTACTGGTCAGTGTGTCCTGCCCTTTCACAGATTTGAGCAGCTGTGCAAGTATGAGATCTCATATAGGTATTTTCTGGTAAATTCTTGTGTTGATGATGGCCGGCACCATTTCTTTGGAGGACAATAACTGGTACAAATAAATGGGCACAAACCTGTTATTTTCTTTTGCCCACAGTCTCTTACCTTGAAAGTGGAGCTAAAACATTTGAGGGGGCGGGCAAGAGAGATTCAACAGAGCAAATGAAAACTATGGCTCTTCAGCAAAATTTTTGTGGGAATCCAGAAGGGAAACTTATACCATTGAATATAAAAGAATGCATTTGTAATTCAGAAAGGTTTTTTTTTTTTTTTGTCCCCTTACAATCTGAGGCCCATCTAACATGTGCTCCTATTTGAGCTTAGCGTTTGAACAGCTGGTCATTGCCCTCTAATGCATGTCTCTGTAGAGCTCTTTCCTTACTCCTCCTACTCCAGCTACAGAATGGATTAACCTACACTGGATAAAATTGACAAGGCTGATATATATTTTCCCATCAAAATTCACCCCTAACATATCTCCTTAGACATAGCACTGTTCTGTTATGAGCTCTTTGCCAATACACATCTTATCTTTTCTAGAGCATAAATCTCTGCTCCCTTTGACATGCGTGGTTATGGAGAGCGCTTAATGCCATAGCTTGAGTGTGTCAGTTCTTACTGATGAACACATCTGCATTTTATCTTCTGGTTAGCTCTGTGGAGAAAGTAGGGCAAACAAAAAAGATGAAGGGAGTCTTTAAAAAATGTCTTGGCTGGGCACAGTGGCTCATGCCTGTAATCCCAGCACTTTGGGAGGCTGAGGCAGGCGGATCACGAGGTCAGGAGATCGAGACCATCCTGGCTAACACAGTGAAACTCTGTCTCTACTAAAAATACAAAAATTAGCCGGGCGTGGTGGCGGACTCCTGTAATCCCAGCTACTCTGGAGGCTGGGGCAGGAGATTGGCATGAACCTGGGAGGCAGAGCTTGCAGTGAGCAGAGATCGTGCCACTGCACTCCAACCTGGGCGACAGAGCGAGACTGTCTCAAAAACAAAACAAAACAAAACAAAACAAAATCCTGTCTCCTCTTTCTGTTGAAGTGGCTCCAATACTCTAAGCTAGAACATCATACATCGAGGCATACTGCGTGCTTTGGGGAAAGGTGTTATCCCACTTTTAAGAGAGTCCAAATCCTACCATGCAGTCCTCTAAATCTGATAATAAATAACAGAACAGGTCAAAAGAGCCTTGTATGTTAGAGTCACATTAGAGAGCAGAGCTGCAGTTTTTTTTTTCTTTTTCAATGTTTATTTTAGATTCTGGGGGTACATGTGCAGGTTTGTTACAGAGGTATATTGTGTGATGCAGAGGTTTGGAGTATGATTGAATCCGTCACCGAAGAAGTGAGCATAGCACCCAATAGGTAGATTTTCAACCTTTGTCCTACCTCCTTCTCCTTGTATTCCCCAATATCTATTGTTCCCATCTTTATGTACATGTTTATCCAGTATTTTGCCCCCATTTATAAATGAGAACATGTGGTATTTGCTTTTCTGTTTCTGCATTAATTTGCTTAGGAAAACGGCCTTTATGTTGATTTTTTTTATGGCCATGTAGTATTCCATGGGGTATTTGTATATTTTCTTTACCCAATCCACCATGGATGGGCACATGCCTTTGCTATTGTGAATAGTGCTGCAGTGATCAATACAGGTGCATGTGTCTTCTTGGTAGAACAATTTATTTTGGGCATATACCTAGCAGTGAGATTGTTGAGTTGAATGGTAGTTCAACTCTTAGTTCTTTGAGAAATCCCTAGACTGCTCTCCACAATGCCTGAACTAATTTACATTCCCGCCAGCAGCGTATAATTTCCCTTTTCTTCACAGTCCTGCCAACACCTATGTTTTTAGGTGTTTTGTTTTGGAGACAGAGTCTCACTCTGTTACCGAGGCTGGAGTACGTGGTGTGATCTCGGCTCACTGAAACATCCGCCTCCCGGGTTCAAGTGATTCTCCTGCCTCAGCCTCCCGAGTAGCTGGGATTACAGGCGCCCGCCCTGCTGATTTTGTATTTTTAGTAGAGATGGGGTTTCACCATGTTGGCCAGGCTGTTCTAGAACTCCTGACCTTGTGATCCACCCTCCTCGGCCTCCCAAAGTGCTAGGATTACAGGCGGGAGCCACCACACCCAGTCTATTTTTTCACTTTTTAACAAAAGTCATTCTGACTGGTGTGAGATGGTATCTTGTAGTTTTGACTTGAATTTTCTGATGATTAGTGATGATGAGCATTTTTTCTTTCACATGTTTGTTGGCCGCTTGTATATCTTCTTGTGAGAAGTTTCTGTTCATGTCCTTTGCCCACTTATTAATGTGGTTATTTGGTTTTTCCTTGTTGAATTGTTTAAGTTTCTTACAGATTCTGGATATTAGGCCTTTGTCAGATGCATTGTTTGTGAATATTTTCTCCCATTCTGTAGGCTGTCTGTTTACTCCGTTGATCATTTCTCTTGTTATGCAAAACCTCTTTAGTTTAATAAGGTCCCACATGTTGTTTTTTTTAATTACAATTGTTTTTGAGGACTTAGCCACAAATTCTTTACCCACACCTATGTTGAAAGGGTGTTCACTAGGTTTTCATCTAGAATTTTTATAGTTTGAGGTCTTACATCTAAATCTTTAATCTCTCGAGTTAATTTTTGCATATGCTATAAGGAAGGTGTCCACTTTTATTCCTCTGCATATGGATAGCCAGTTATACGAGCACCATTTATCGAATAGGGAATCGTTTCCCCATTGCTTACTTTTGTTTACTTTGCCAAAGATCAGATGGTTGTAGGTGTGCAGTTTTATTTCTAGGTTCTCTATTCTGTTCCATTGGTCTCTGTGTCTGTTTTTGTACCAGTACCATGCTGTTTTGGTTTTTGTAAATTTGTTGTATAGTTGAAGTCAGGTAATGTGATGCCTCCAGCTTTATTCTTTTTTCTTAGGATTGCTTTGGTTATTCGGGCTCTTTTTTGGTTCCATACGAATTTTAGAATTTTTTTTCTAATTGTATGAACAATGATGTTAGTAGTTGATAGGTTGCTCTGAGCAGTATCTACCAACCTACAAAGTTGGTAGATTGCTTTGAGCAGCATGGTTATTTTAATGATATTGATATTAATGGTTGGTAGCTTTTTAAGTTTCTGATTTCTTCCAATTTATGAGCATGGAATGTTTTTCCGTTTGTTTGTGTCATCGATGATTTCTTTCAACAGTATTTTGTAGTTCTTTTTGTAGAAATCTTTCACTTCTTGGTTACATGTATTCCTAGGTATTTTATTTTTTGTGGCTATTTTAAATGAGATCACATTCTTGATTTGGCTCTCAACTTGAATATGATTGGTGTATAAAAATGCTACTGATTTTTCTGCATTGATTTTGTATCCTGAACCTTTACTGAAGTAATTGAAGAGTACTAGGAAGCTTTTGACAGAGTCTTAAGGGTTTTCTAGGTATAGAATCATATCACCAGCAAAGAGAGATAGTTTGACTTATACTTTTCTTATTTGGATGCCATTTGTTACTTTCCCTTGGCTGGTTGCTCTGGCTAGGGAGCCCAGTACTATGTTGAATAGGAGTGGTGAAAGTTGGCGTCTTTGTCTTGTTCCAGTTCTCAAGGGGAATGCTTCTAGGTTTTGCCCATTGAGTATGATGTTGGCTGTGGGTTTGTCATAGATGGCTCTTTTTATTTTGAGGTGTGTTCCTTTGATGCCTAGTTTGTTGAGGGTTTTATCATGCATTAGAATTGGTACAAAACTCTTCTTTGAGTGTCTGGTAGAATTTGACTGTACATCCATTTGGTACAAGGCTTTTTTGATTGGTAGCTTTTTACTTTTTTTGTTTTGTTTTGTTTTATTTATTTTTTGTTTGAGACAGGCTGTGGCTCTGTTGCCCAGGCTGGAGTGCAGTGGCACCATCTCGGCTCACTGCTACCTCCACCTCCCAGGTTCAAGCCATCCTGTCACCTCAGCCTCCCTAGTAGTTGGAACTATAGGTTCATGCAACCACACCCAGATAACGTTTTATATTTTTTAATAAAGATGGGGTTTCACCATGTTGCTCAAGGTGGTCTCGAACTTCTGAGCTCAAGTGATCTGCCAGCCTTGGCCTTCCAAAGTGCTGGAATTACTGGTGCAAGCCACCATGCCCAGCCTGATTGGTAGCTTTTTAAGTTTCTGATTCAATTTCAGAACTCATTATTGGTCTGTTCAGGGTTCAATTTCTTCCTTGTTTAATCTTGAGAAGTTGTATGTTTCCAGGAATTTACCTATTTCCTCTAGATTAATGACTTTGTGTGCATGGAGATGTTCATAATAGTTTGTGAGAGTCTTTCGTATTTCTGTGGGATTGGTTATAATGTCATCTTTGTCAATTCTGATTGTGCTGTTTTGGATCCTCTCGCTTTTTCTTTGTTAATCTAGCTAGCAGTCTATCTATCATGTGCATCCTTCCAAAGAACCAAGTTTTGGTTTGATTGATCTTTTGTATGAATTTTTACATCTCAATTTTGTTTAGTTCTGCTGTGATTTATTTGTTTTCTTATGTTTGCTTTGGTGTTAGTTTTTTCTAGTTTTTCTTTTCCCACAGATATGATGTTAGATTATTAACTTGAGATCTTTCTAACTTCTTGATGTAGGCATTTTGCGTTATAAAGTGTCCTCTCAACACTTCTTTTGCTGCATCTCAGATATTTTGTTATGTTGTGTCTCTGTTTTCATTGATTTAAAAGGATTTTTTAAATTTCTGCCTTAATTTCATTGTTTATGCAAAAGTTATTCAGGAGTAAGTTAATTTTCATGTAATTATGTGGTTTTGAGAGATCTTCATGGTATCAATTTCTATTTTTATTTCAGTATGGTCAGAGAATGTGCTTGGTATGATTTTACTTTTTAAAAATTTATTGAGACGTGCTTTATCGCTGAACATGTGGTCAATCTTAGCATATGTTCCTTGCACAGATGAAAATAATGTGCATTAAGTGGAATATTCTGCAGGTGTCTGTTAGGTCAAATTGGTCATGTTGAGTTTAAATCCAGAATTTCTTTTTTTGGTTTTCTGCCTTAATGATCTGCCTAACACTGTCAGTGGGATCTTGAAACCCCTCACTATTTTTGTGTGACTGTCTAAATCTTTTCATGGGTTTAGAAGTGCTTCTTCTATTAATCGAGGTGCTCTAATGTTGGGTGTTTATACACTGAGGATAGTTAAGTCTTCTTGTTGAATTGAACCCTTTATCGTTATGTAATGCCCTTCTTTGTCCTTGTTCACTGTGGTTGGTTTGAAGTCTGTTTTATTGGACATAAGAATAGCAACCCCTGCTCTTTTTTGTTTTCCATTTGCACAATACATCTTTCTTCCTCCCTTTACTTTGAGCCCATGGTTGTTATTACATGTGAGATGGGTCTCTTGAAGACAGCAGATGGCTGGGTCTTATTTGTTTTACCCAACTTGCCACTCTGTACCTTCTAAGTGGGGCATTTGTACCATTTACATTCAAGGTTTATATTGATATGTGAGGTTTTGATCATGTTATCATGTTGTTAGCTGGTTGTTTTATACTTGATTGTGTGATTATTTTATAGGATATGTGTACTAGGTACTTAAATGTGTTTTTGTGGTATCAGGTACTACTCGTTCATTTCCATGTTTAGAGGAAGGACATCTGGTAAGGCTGGTCTGGTGGTAATGAATTTCTTTAGCATTTGCTTCACTAAGAAGGATTTTATTTCTCCTTTGCTTGTGAAGTTTAGTTTGGCTAGAATGAAATTCTTGGTTGGAATTTGTTTCCTTTAAGGATACTGAAAATAGGCCCCTAATCTCTCCTGGCTTGTAAATTTTCTGCTAAGAAATCTGCTGTTAGCCTGATGAGGCTCCCTTTGTAAGTGACCTGACCCTTTTATGTAATGGCCTTTAAGATTTTTTTCTTTCATGTCAACCTTGGAGAGTCTGATCACTATGCATCTAGTATGGTACCTTGCTGGGGTTTTTAGAATTTTTTGAATTTGAATGTTGACTTCCCTAGTGAGATTGTGGAAATTTTCATAGACTATATCCTCAACTGTGTTTTCCAGATTGCTTACTCTCTCTCCTTCTTTCTCAGAAATGCCAGTGAGTCGTAGGTGTGGCCTCTTTCCATAGTCCCATATTTCTCAAAGGTTTTGTTCATTCTTTTTCATCCTTTTTCTTTATTTTTTCCTGAATGAGTTGATTCATCAGACTGGTCTTTGAGCTCTGAGATTCTTTCCTCAGCTTGGTCTATTCTGTTATTAATGCTTCCAACTGTATTACGAAATTCGTGCAGTGAATTTTTCAATTTCACAAGTTCAGTTTGGTTCTTTCTTAAAATGGCCGTGTCTTTTTAATCTCTTGGATTATTTTACTGGTTTCCTTGGATTATTTTACTGGTTTCCTCGGGTTGGATTTTAACTTTCTGCTGAATCTTGTTGAACTTCTTTCCCATCCATATTCTGAATTCTGTGTCTGTTATTTGAGCCATTTTAATCTGGTTAGCAACCATTTCCGGAGAGCTAGTACGGTCATTTGGAAGTAAGGAGACCCTCTGACTTTCTGAATTGCCAGAGTTCTTGCCTGATTATTTTTCATCTGAGAGGGCTGGTGTTCTTTTATCTTTTTGAAATTGTTGTTGCTTGGGTGGGGCTTTTTATTTTTTTATATTCTTTATTTGTCTGAGGGTTTGACTGTGGTGTATGTCATGTACAGTCAATTGGCTTCTTCTGGGTGCTTTCAGAGGCCCAAGACTCTGTGCAGGATCTTTATTTGTGGCTAGATTCCTGCACTTCACCAGTGATGTGTGGTGAAAGAATTTTTGTTTGATGGTGTAATTCAGGCTGCAATCCAGTGGACGGTGCATACATGTAAGGGCTGGCAGATAGGCTCTTACTCAGTGGCACACTTCTTTCATATTTCAGTGCATTCACAGCAGCAGTGGAGAGCTGCAGTTCTTGAGAGGAAATACTGGTCCCACCCACTGCAGTGCTGCTCTGGTGACTTTGGAAGCATCAAGATGGCCTCCTGGGATATTTTGAAAATAGACTCAATGCATGGGATTTGTGAGATTCTACCATTACACACACCTTCTCACTACCTATTCTTTTGGGGAATACTGTGCAGGGAGCGGTATTCCCATTATATGCATGTGTGCAGCACCTCACCCCCAGGGCACATCCATTAGGAAGCCCATAGAATGCAAAATAAATAGACGCCTTGGAGTTGTGTATAGGACAGCCCTGACAATCAATATGAGTTTATACTTTTTGTAATAAGCAGACATAAAGAAACAGGAGTTTTTTTGTTTGTTTGTTTTTTGTTCTGTTGCCCAGGCTGGAGTTCAGTGGCACAATCTCGGCTCACTGCAACCTCCGCCTCCCGGGTTCAAGAGATTCTCCTGCCTCAGCCTCCCTAGTAGCTGGGACTACAGGCGCATGACACCACACCTGGCTAATTTTTTGGTTTTTTTTAGTAGAGACTGGGTTTCACCATGTTAGCCAGGATGGTCTCGATCTCCTGACCTCGTGATCTGCCCGCCTCAGCCTCCCAAAGTGCTGGGATTACAGGCATGAGCCACCGCGCCCGGCCGCAAAGTAGCTTTTAAAAAGCACCACACCCCACAAACATTCTTCTCTCAGCCGTTTTACTTCTACATTTTCTGCCCACCAACCAAGTTTGGGTGGTCTTCTCTTTATAGGCATATGACAAATCATTTTTACTACTTGTCTCATTAAAAGTTTTATTTAGGATCAGGCGTGGTGGCTTACGCCTGTAATCTCAGCACTTTGGAAGGCCGAGGCGGCTGGATTATCTGAGGTCAGGAGTTTGAGACCAGCCAGGCCAACATGGTGAAACCCCATCATCTCTACTAAAAATACAAAAATTAGCTGGGCATGGTGGCACACACCTGTAATCCCAGCTACTTGGGAGGCTGAGGCAGGAGAATACCTTGAACCTGGGAGGAAGCAGAGGTTGCAGTGAGCGCCATTGCACTCCAGCCTGGGAGACAGACTGAGACTCTGTCTCAAAAAAAAAAAAAAAATTATATATATATATATATGTGTGTGTGTGTATGTATGTATATATATATACACACATATATATACATTTATATATATATACATTTATATATATATACACATATATATACATTTATATATATATATACACATATATATACATTTATATATATATACACATATATATATATAAATGTTTTCCCTCTTTCTACTGATCCTTCAACCTTCCTGCCTTCATTATTAATACAGCAACAAGGATACAATCTAATATGTATCCTTTTTTACCCAAACTTTACATTTAAATATTAACATGTTAAAATTTTCAAAATATCACAGACAAAAGATATTCTGCCTGGATAAATGAAGTCAGTCAGCTTATCATATCCTGACTCAGACACTATGGCTACAAGGCATTATGGGTGCTCAGCAGTGACTTTGTGGGGAAAGAGAAATGGGGATCCCATGGAGCTCAAGTTCAAGAAAAGAAACTGTAAACATGGAGGTTTTGTGATAAATGGCATGCAGTCAGAGGGCAGGAACTGCCCGAGTTACAGTGTCCTGTGCTGCGCTTTCCAGAGCAATACAGTACACAGTGGAGGGCGCTACCATGGAGTCTCTGGGTGAAAGTTAGGATGGTATGGTGGCACCAGCCAAACTTCTGAGGGTTCATAGGCAGACAGCAGCTCTGGAGTGGAACTAAAGTGTATCCAGGAGCTGAAGCTCTTAATCAGCTAGGGCTCACACAGAGTCAAGGTAGGGTCAAAAACATTCAGTCTGGGACCATATCTAGAGGCAGTTTCTCCTGCAGGTAGCATTAGTTATCTGTTCCTCAAGCAAGCTTATTTTAGACATCACATTTCCACATCCTTAAAGAAGATGCATTGCCAAAGGTGCCAAGTGTGGTTTCATTGCCTCAGGAATTGGGGCTGTCAAGTCTTTGCAAGGTGCAGACCTTTAGCAATTGAAACCATGCTGTTGAACATGGGCATTGTCAAAGTAAAACTTTGGCTGAATTAAATTTAAAGGAGTTTAATTGAGCAATGAACAATTCGCAAATCAGGCAGCCCCCCTGTATCACAACAGATTCAGAGAGACTACTGGGGTGCCTCATGGTCAGTACAAATTTATAGACAAAAAAGGAACGTAACATACAAAAATCAGAAGTGAGGTACAGAAACAACTGGATTGGGTACAGTTTGGTGTTTGCTTTATTTGAATATAGTTTGAACACTCAGCAGTATATGAGTGGTTGAACTATGGCTGCTGGGACTGGCGAAGACTCAGCAATTATTACGGGTGCGTACTCCTAAGTTAGGTTTTCAATCTTGTCTGCCTATTAAGCTAGGTTATAGTTCATCCACAAGGACTCAAATATAGAAGTACAGAGTTATTCCCAGGACATATTTAGTTCACTTTAACAGCATGTAGTCTTCTAAGAAGACTGGCAAATTGAAGGGGTAAGGTAAAATATGTTTTATTTTTTTCTCGGGCATATAAGTGCCAAGACAAGTACTATTTAACAAATGAGAAAAATGCATTTGATTAAGATCTTTTTTTATACATTATCTGAGCACAGGAAAAAACTCTGGAATCAGTTTGACCCAAGTTCCGAGTTCAAGCTTTGCTATTTATTTGAGATAATGGGTAAGTTACTTATCCTTCAGTTTCTGCATCTTCAAAGTGAGAATAATGTTGGAAAGTATAAACAGATCAAGGATCCTAGACAAAAATGATTAAAGGAGAGACCCCTTCATAACTTGTAGCCCTTCACTTGCTGTCTATATATGACAGCTGTTATATGACGATTAATTTTGTATTTCTATTCTTAGCACAAGTATAACGTCTGATATCCATTCATGCCACAAATGTGTATCGGTTGTTGTGATCAGGTCATCATACTGAGTGCCCGAATAGAACATTGAAATAAGCAGACAGTCACACTTGGTAGGCTCCAAATTGTTAATTGAACAAATTAATGAAAAGGCAGAGGTTAAACTCCAGTGTCCTTAAAAGATGAAACGATCACTGGAATTCCATTGTTATATGTAATAAGACTGGATTCTTTGTACCTCTCTTTCTGTCTCTATCACTTCCAAAAGCTATACTAAAAACTAATTTGAGCCACCGTAAGAAATCAGCAACATCCCTCCCCACCCCTATCTCTACTCTGGGGCTGCCCTGGAATTCCGCCACAGTCTTTTTCTGTCGACTTGGCAGGTGGCTATGGTATGCTGCTTTCTGTCCCATTAACCTCTATTTTATCTGTCAAGAATAGTATTCCCCATTGTTGAAAGCAGTAATTTGCCAACCAAGCAAGCTTGGAGTCCTGTTTGATGGAGCATTACGGAGAGCAAAAGGGAAAGTTTAAACAGATTTCCTTCTCTAATTTCCTGAAAGGATCACAGACAAAACTTGCCCTCTGGAAAAATGCTTTCTGTTTGCATTATAATAACAAGCATTTATTGCCATGACAGGCATAGAGGGAGGCCATGGAAGAATGGCCCTGTATTTCCTGGTTTTATTTAGTTTCATTACTACTCATGAAGAGTATGCAGAAACACTTTTTTTCTATGACTGTAAAACATGGTGCTAATTTCTTGTTATTGAGCACATAGGTTTTAACAATAGGATCATGCTCAGAGAGAAAAATCTATTTTTCCTTTTCCTTTGGAGAAGTTCAAAGTGACAAGCCTGTGCCTGGTAAACCTTTAATCTCTCACAGAATTCTGGATGTTTTGCTTTCACATTTATAGTTTTATGAAAAAATCCTATTGTATCTGGTTTATTTCATTGAACTGAATTTCTACAAAACATGTGTAATATACAAGGAATGTTTCAGAATAATACAGCTGATGTGAGTGATATGAACTGGAAAGTAAGCTTCATGAGACCAAAGACTCTGTCTGTATTGTTCCCGGCTGCGTTTCCAGCTTCTATAACATAGCAAAACAGGTAGCAGGAGCTTAAGATTTATTTGTGACTGTTAAATACCTCATATTCCTACCCAACAATACAAATGACAGTTTCAAAGAGGGAATTTTCAGGCTTCAAGCTCCGAACTCTAGAGGTGGTCATACCCAAACCCATCCCTTGCTTTACACCCAAAATGGGATCCATCTCTTACTTGAGCAATACTTTAGCAAGACCCAAATCTGTCTGCATTTCTCCATTATATTTCCCATCCCCTCACTCCAAGCATACTGTTCCCTGGCCCCCCACATTCACGCTTGGCTCACTCCTGAACATCTGCAGGTCTTGGCTTAGATCTCACTTCTAATTTAAGGCTCTCTTTCACTGACCTGACCGCACTACGTAGATCACTTGCAATATGCTGCCTTCGCATCCTGGATTTTTTTCTTCAAAGCACATATCACAATTATCAGTATAGAAATGTCTCATTATTGCTTAATGCTTATTTCCTTGACTAGACAATAAGCTTCTTGATAGCAGGAATTATATTATTCCCAACAAAGCTCCCAGTACCCAGTGATTCATTCATAGTTGGAGCTGGCACTCACTGAATGTTTGTTGAATCAATGAATAAATTGAGAGAGGGAGCGAGGAAAGGAAAAAGGAAGGGAAGAAGAAAATCAAGAATCAGGGTTGGATGACAGTATTTTTTCAGATTTGCTTAAATTCTATTGACACACCTTACTCTAACTAGACTGATCTTGACCATTTTTCTCAAAAGACATGTATGCATATGTACTTTTGTATATTTTTTGAGGCTACTTTGATTGGCTGGCTATATCTCAATATAATTTGTAATACTAGAACAAATTCATATTAAATCACTTTTTGAATTAATAATTATTTTAAAAATTACTTAGTAAATGAAAAAGCCTTCATGTCTTAAATGAAGGACTCTTTTTCTTTTAAATCACATTGAACATTAACAGCTCATTTTGGACCTTAACCAGTTGTTGAATTTTAATCCCAAATTTTGTAAATCATACACACAAACTTGCATATATGTCTGATTGGTGGCCATATTTTCTTATATCCTCAAACATTTTCTGCTATTATGTTACACTCTTTAAAGATCTTTGCTTAATTTTCTGCCAGTTTTCATCTGATAGACATTTAGCCTGATACGTTAACTACCTGTTTTATGACATAAACAGGAATGGATCCAGATAACAATGACTAGAAATTACAATTACACCTGAGCAAGACAAGGATTTGCCCTAGGAAGAGGGTAGTGTGGGGAGAGTGGGAGAGAGCTGGTGCCGAAAGCTCTGCTCTGCCTCTCTCAGGGGATAGCAGGGCTTGGGTAGGCGGGTGGGGTGGCTTAGCTTCTGACAATGGTAGAAACTTACAGATCCCTTGACAAAGAAAAGCAAGAAAGTCTTTGTTCATTCACTCCTTAGATCTGGTTCCCCAGAGTGCATCCTGAGATGAGGATTTGAGTTCAAGTGATTGAGGAAATGTGCCAAGGAAAAAACAGTGGGGAAGTGGAAAAGCAAGGTAGGGAAGGAGTAAACACCCAGCAGGGTGCAGTTTGTCATGAGGGTTCAGCCTCAGCCTGAACTCACAGGGCTGGGAACATTCATTATCATTACACTGCAGACTTTGTTCCACCCGGAGGGAAGAAAGCCCGGTGTGCACACTCCAGTACAAGTACATCGCTGGCTGTGGGTCACACCAGGGGGCACTTCAGCTGTCAGAGAGCTGGGACAGAGTAATGCCAGTCACTCATGGGTCCTCTGAAGAGCGTTGCAAATATAAGCTATTGGGAGCAAAGCACGAACAGAAGCTGGAGATTGAGAGTCCAGAACCAGCAAAGGGACAGAGAGGAACTGGCTGGAGAATCTACAGCATCGGCTGTAGCTCCCCTGCCACTTACGAGACCCTGAAGCTTAAACTTCTGCTATTTTATTGACTTCTCTGCCAAAAACAAAAGCAAAACCAATACTATCCTCTCTCTCATTGTCCTCTGATAGCCAACCCTTTACTAGCTTCTTTTTCCATCTTTGTTTAATAAATGTGTCTACTGTCACATACACTGTTTTCAAATAATTAGCCTCAGCAATTTTTTCTTAAGTGCCAAATAATTAATAAAGAATTATATACTCTACTTTTCATGTTAGGTCATAGAACTATGTATAGGTCAATACATTATTAATAATGAACAATTGATTGTATTCTGTGTTATGAGCCCAGTGCTAAACAGATGGACCACAAATTTTGCCAACTCTTTGAAATGTTCTACACGATTGGCCATCTCTTCTCTACCTATTAATTAATTCCCCCTCATAGGTGTATTTAATCTAGCTAAAGAATAATTCAAAATGGAGATTATTCCCAAGACTCACAACCACATTAGTTCATGGTTGTCAGCAAATCTGACCTGTGAAGGGGGACTCGGTTACCAGTGAAAAATGCTTATTCTATCTGTATTAATGGAGGTCATTGTGCCAGTGAGACCTACCCAGAGGTGGAGAGGTGATCTTTCAGAATCTGTTACCCCGTTAAATTTAGCACACTCTCTAGATGAGGCCGGAAATACATACTTGGTTTGGGAAGTTCTCTCCAAAATTTCAGTGCCAAAACAGGACACGAGTTACTCTTAAAATGCTAGACTTACTGTTTTTCAGGTATTAGCTGCCTGCCCGGTTTGCTTCCTTTCTGCTTTTCTTTTACCTTGCCTTTCATTCAACAATTATTTATTAGGTGTTTACCAGAGGCCTGGCATTTCCACGATCTGGAAGTAGAATTTCTGGGTGGAAGGAATCACAAGTGTGAAGCTCTCATGTCAGCAACAAGGCTGATGTGCTCCAGAAAAAGTGGTCAGTGTGGCCAGAGACAAGACACAGGAGAGAGTGGTCATGAAGTGTGAGAGGTCAGCAGACATTTAAGCCCTCATAGGCTATAGGAAGGACATTGATTTTTGAGAATTCATTAACGGGGCTTTTTTTTTTTTTTTTTTTTTTGGAGACAGAGTTTTATTCTGCCATCCAGGCTGGAGTGCAGTGGTGCAATCTTGGCTCACTGCAACCTCCGCCTCCCGGGTTCAAGTGATTCTTATGGGTGGGCCACTTGTGCTAATTTGCTCTGTGTGCTTGATGTCTGTGTGCTTATGTAATGGCCTAAGAACTTTTAAGATGTGGAGGCTCTTGATCAAATTTGCCCGGCTAATTTTTGTATTTTTAGTAGAGATGGGGTTTCACCATGTTGGCAAGGCCAGTCTTGAACTCCTGACCTCAAGTGATCCAGCCACCTTGGCCTCCCAAAGTGCTGGGTCATTACAGGGTTTTAAGTAAGAGCATGGCTTGATCTGATTGATTTTTAAAAAGACAGCTGCCTACTTTGCTGTTGGTGATGATATGAGTAGAAGCAGAGAGACAAGAAAGCAATGACAGCAGACGAGACTGCCTGGGGGATGATCGGGCGTTTGAGAAGGGGCAGGACACAGGATAGATATAGGGGAGAGTGGCAGAGGACTTGCTACTTATTAAGGAGAAGTCCTGGAGCAGCTTATTAAACTTTCCCTGGCCTCAGTCTTCCCTTCTGAAAGATGAGAATGATACTCATATACCTACCACATTGTGTTCCTATGAGAATTTAAGCATTAATATTTACTCCATGTAAAGCTCCATGACAATTTTGAGAAAATGGTAATCAATACACATTTGCTTATTTTTTAATTATTCATTGGATGTGGAAAGGGAGAAATCAAGGATGACACCTAGGTTGAGGACTGAACAACATAGCTTGATGTCTGTGTGCTTAGGTAATGGCCTAAGAACTTTTAAGATGTGGAGGCTCTTGATCAAATTTTGCTGCTGTTGACTCATGGTGACCACAAGCCAATAACTCCCTTAGCTCTGTCTTGCGTTGCCTTTTTATCTGCGCCTGGGGCACATGCTAACTACTTCTCCAGTAAACGTCCAGTGAAGATCCAAAGTTTAATTGCACATTGTACCTAACAGTCTTGGAAATTTTCAGCAGGGAAGTTATTAATTTTTCACAAATGAACAAGGTAAAAGTGGCTGTGTTCCGCGGTGAGCAGGTCTATGCAAACCCCACCCCACAGGGTGAGAGGCTGAGAAAAGAGGTGAGGAAAGAGGCTGACACGTCCAGTTTCTCAGAAAGAAACATTTGATAGGGACGTACAAACAGAAGCCATGTCTCTGGCAGCTGTGAGATGGTGGATCTTTGCACCTGCCCTCCAGAAAGCAGCCTTTACATAGCAAGCTTTTAGGGTACAGACAAGTGCAGCTGGTCACATCTCACACTTCCTTGCCAAAACTTGTGACCTCTAGGGAGATGAGATAAACGTCTTTATGAAAGGTTATCTATGCCATAGGCATTGTTTCTTTATGGGGGGTTATCTACGCTGTGGGAACACTTCGGTATGCAGTAGTCAAACGCTGGTTGTCATTGAGGTTTCACTTCAGTGTCACTCTTGCCAAGCAACAGGCTGTTTTCCTGCAGACTGACTTGTGAAAAGAAGGGATGTGATTTTCTTTCTTTTTTTTTTTTTTTTTTTTTTTTTTTTGAGATGGAGTCTCGCTCCCTGACCCAGGCTGGAGTTCAGTGGTGTGATCTCAGCTCACTGCAACCTCCACCTTCTGGGTTCAAGTGATTCTCCTGCCTCAGCCTCCTGAGTAGTTGGGATTACAGGTGCCCACCACCATGCTTGGCTAATTTTTGTATTTTTAGTAGAGACGGGGTTTTGCCATGTTGGTCAGGCTGGTTTCAAACTCCTGACCGCAGGTGATCCACCCGCCTTGGCCTCCCAAAGTGCTGGGATTACAGGCATGAGCCACTGCGCCCAGCCCCGTGATTTTCAATCTATGGCCTTTATGTTCAGTGACTGTGAAATCCAAATGTCTTGGTGTTTATGTTTGTATCTAATGTAATGCAAAGCAAGAACCAAAAGGAGGAACATGGTTGCTGTTGGAGCATCATCTGATAAGATGGTAAGACCGGCTGAAAAATGAATTAGAATTGAAGCAGAAAGTACAGTGTCCAGTATAAGATATAGAGGCCTTCTTTACTGTGCACACAAAAAGAATAACTTGGATGTCATTAAGAAAGAAAAAGCTAATGAATGCAGAAATCCATTCCATTAACCCATCTGGGGACACCGACCTATTCTTGGGATCTAGAACCCAGATTTGAGCCCTGGCTCACTTTATTCCAAATTATAAGCATATGACTATGGGTAAGTCACCAACTTCTTTAAATGCTGAGAAGCTTTTTTGTCAACCATGTTGAGCTAGTATTCTACCTTATAATGTTGATAAAAGAATTGACAAAGACAATACAGATAAATAAATCTACTTACATATTTTTAATATTTTGGGTTTGTTATGAATATTAAGACTAATCCAACTCTGAGAAATCAGGACCCACTTGGATGCTTGTCATTATATTTTCATTTAAATGACACTTTATCTTCAAGGTGAGTGTTGATCCCAGAAGAATCTGGGAATTTTTGTTTTCTGATTCAGACAGTAGAGAGTAAGTCACTTGACCATTCCACATAAATGGCAGTATTCACCTTAGCATTAGCCATTATCCTTCAAATGGGTTGCCTCCTCAAAGTGGCCCTTTTGCAGAAGGATTGCATCAACATTTATATTTTTTTCCCTAAAGTACTTTGTTACGCAGGTGAGCTTGGGTGATGTAAGTTACAATTAACTCCTTCATCTCCTATCCTGGTTGCTGCCATTCTTCTCTATTTTTGGCCAGGGTGTGGATATTGGTGGAGGAGACTAGACTTCTCTTAGCCCGTGTGAGAGGTAGACATTGAGATCCTTCTGAAATGCATCCAGCCATTCTTGCTTTCTTCACTGTCAAGATAACTTTCAGCACATTATTATTCCATTTAAGCGAGGATACCATATTCCTAAAGGGTGTTTCAGAACCCACACACTGGAAGCAATAAGAAACCCTGCTGCAAAATCATCCTCATCTGTGACTTTCTTCTTTCCCCTTCCTTTGTCCTTAGGGAAGTGTGAAATCGGCTGGGCCTACTACTGCACGGGAGCAGGTGCCACTGCCGCCATGCTGCTGTGCACGTGGCTGGCTTGCTTTTCGGGCAAGAAACAGAAGCACTACCCATACTGAGATGGAGCTACCAAGAGCAGACAGAGGAGAAGATGGGCCAAAGGGGCTTGGAGAGGTCAAAACATCCACCTACCTTCAAAAGGTGGGATAGTAGTTCTAATCCAATACAATGCTAATAAAATGAAACCCGATAAAATCAGGAACATGATATAGGAAGGAAGGATTGTAGGAGATTTGTGGGGGAAAAAAAAGGAGAGTATAGAATGATGGAGAAAAATGGACCAAAGGCTAAAAATATTGCAGGGCATCGGGTGTTTCTATTCCACAGAGTATTGTTAATGTACAACACACACACACACACACACACACACACACACACACACACACACACAACAAATCTACATATACAAACAAGGGTTTGGGTTTTAGTTTTTTTTTTTTAAGGTGAGGACTCAGAAAATCAAAGGGCTAGTAGAAACAGTGTTATGTTGGGAAGCAGGGTACCCCCAAAGATGTTCCCTGTAGGTCACGGCACTCCCAAAAGCACACAAGCACATACAGACATATGCATCCCCACACACGCCTATGCACAAACGTGGATTATCGCACAGACTGGGAGGTTTAGTGGTGCATTTCTCCTCTGTTTTCTTTTTAATATACATTTAAAATACAGTATTATCACTTTATAAAACATACATTAAGCCTAATAAATGGACCAATAAGCCAAACTATCAGTATTTTGTATATCCTGCATAAACTCTAATTTAGTTCCTCAACATATTTTCAGTGTTTATGCAGACCTTTAGAGTTAAGCCTTTGTATTTCCATGTTATTCCACAATATGCAATATTTCTCTGAGTAGCTTCTGCTATGATATTCTTATGAAGAAAAGGGGCAACTTTCTGTCCACTATAGGAGAGAATTCAGCCGAAGATATGAGAGTAATGAGAGACATTTTCCAGTCATTGGATCGTGTTTTCTTTTGTCCATTATTGTACTGTGCTGTACCACATTTATTTCTATATTCATTTTGTAAAAAATTTAAAAGTGCTATTTTGTTTGTATTTGAAAATCTCTGTGAATAAATTCTCTCTTTGATCAATAGCTAGATGAGTCATGGAGTGTTAATTCAGTCATCGGATTTGCTTCTTTAATTTCTCCAATGTAGCTCTTCAACTACTATAGTCCTGTAAAATTTCCTTTTCTCTTTTAAGGCCTCTCATTAATTCACTCACTAATCAACCAGGCATTGTTCTAGGCACAAGTGTATTAAAGATGAGTAAGACAGTTTCTGCTTTCAACGTGAATTCTTTGCAACCAGAATTCTAACTTCCTGCTTGTTACATTTCAATCATAACCAAATTCTGAGGACAGAAGAACTTCAGGTCTGTTTTGTATTAAGTTTGAGAATATGGGTGGTATTCAGATGTGATTTAGGGCAACAAGAGCTAGACTGTGGTTCAGGAGGTGACTGGACTGACAGTCACCAGCATGGTGACACGACTGTTACAGTTGCCAGTGACTTGCTGTTCCTCCAGCTTCTACAAAGTGCTGGGTTTCTTCTGTACTTCTGTGTCAGGGAAAATTTTATATCACTGCCCTTCAGGGATGTTGGCCATTTGAAAAAGCTTATCTCAACAGCCCTGCCCCTCCAGCAGAAAGTCTTCACCAAAGAGAAAGGTTTGGACCCTCACATGGCCCCTTAACAGAACTAGCTCTTTCAGGGCTAGGTGTGATGGCTCACACCTGTAATCCCAGCCGAGGTGGGGAAATCACATGAGGCCAGGAGTTCGAGACCAGCCTGGCCAACATGGCAAGACTCCATCTCTACTAAAAATACCAAAAAAAAAAAAAAATTATTAGCTGGGCATAGTCATGCACTCCTGTAATCCCAACTACTCAGGTTGAGGCACAAGAATCGCTTGAACCCAGGAGGTGGAGGCTGCAGTAAGCCGAGATTGCAACACTGCACTCCAGCCTAGGCAACAGAGCGAGACCCTGTCCCCACCAAAAAAATAAATAAATAATAACAAATAACAAAAACTAGCTCCTTCAGGAGCAAAGATTGCATTCTGAATATTGGATCTAGCCTTTTGTTTAGTAAGCCTGAGATATTGTAGCAAATCCTTAAGAATTCAGTTTCAGTTAGCTTCTACATTCATTGTACTTTTCAGATTTGGCAATTGAACATGCTGGCTATTTATTCATGTAAGTACATTTTCTATGCTATCTATACACATTTATCAATTTAGTTTGAATATCTGACTATTCCACTTGCTTCTGGTACTTTTAATCATTCCAGGATGAGAAGCCATGCTGCTCTGGAAGAACAATACAGGATCTGACCAATAAAATTCTACACTCTGAGGCTTTGTTGGTGTGGAGAAAGTCATTCCACTCTCAGATGCTTAATTCATATTGTGCTGAATGTGATTTGATTGTGTCTCATTGTCTGCTGAGCAGGGGCTTCTCCACTCTGTGGTTTCCGGCAGAGAAGAAAAGATTGCACTTTGCTTCCTCAATTAGCCCATTATTTTCATGTATAGCTGGTGCTTTTCAAATTTCTTTTAACTGCACCTTCCTGTAGAGTAGTGTTGTGACTTCTTAGCTCCCATTATCAAGTTGGAGTTCTCTAGGGAATTCATTAAGATCTAGTTCCTTGGACAGATTTAATGATGACATTGTCATTTTTATGTAGTTCATGTGATTTTAGACATTAGTGAGCCTCACTGGAATAAAAGATCAGCCACTCTACTGGTAAAGTCAAATGACAAACTCTTATATGGCAATGGCAAATTCTGGCTAGTCATATCATTTTTTTTTTTTTTTTTTTTGCTCAAGATGTCCCAGCATTTTAATAGGAACATCTAAGTTATTAAGAATTACATATACTGCTTTTGAAATGAAAATCACAATTCATAAGCTAATAACAATAACAAAGTCAGTGAAAAGTATATATTCACAGCATTCTTACTGATATACACATGAGAGACAATAAAAAGCTCAATTTTCACAACCTTAAAAGCTTTCATTGCTTGCACATGCCTGTGCAGTAAATGGGGAGTTTACCTTGTTTTTAGGAAGAGAAAATGACATGCAAAGAAGTGAATTGATGAAATTTAATTGACTCTAGTCATTGAACACCTGCTACTTGGTAGGTATTCTACTAGACATAAAACGCTAAATAAAATACAGCCCATGCTCTCAAGTCAGTCATAAGCTCATGGAAAAAAATAACAGGAGCATCAGTGATTACCAAATCATATGTCAACTAATTCTCAAAGACAGGGAGGAAGTTCCTCCCAAGTAAAGAATTCTGCACAGACAAATTAAAAAGGTATAAAGAAAGATGAAAGATGATATATTACAATGTTCTGCTCTTCAAAAATCATCATTAAGAAAATAAAAAGATGTGTCAACGACTGGAAAAAGTTATATATCTGGTAAAGAACTTGTATTCTGAGTACATACATGACTCTCTCAAATGAATAATAAAAAGGACAATCCATTTTTAAAGGGTAAAAACATGAATGGGGTATTTCCCAAAAGACAATATACCAGTGGCCAATTACACTGAAAAGGTGTTCAACATCATTAGTTGAGAAGAAAATGAAACTTCCAGAACCACAATGAAATGTTGCTTAACATACACTAGAACAACTAAAACAAAATATTGACAACACCAAATGTTGCTGAGTATGTGGACACATGGCTGGAAAAGCAATAGGTACATTTTTATTAAGTGAACCATAGTAATTCCCTTCCTAGGTATTTGTGCCAAAAAAACAAAACAAAACTATGTTCACAAAAAGATTACATAAGAATGTTCATTTCAATTTTGTTCATAATAACCCTAAACTGGGAGCAACTCAAATGTTCACCAGCACATACATAAATTGTGGTGTATTTAGATAGTGGAATACTACTCAGCAATAAAAGGAATGAACACATGGTATACACATCAACTTGGATGAATCCCACAGACATTCTGTTGAGCAAAAGAAGCACAGAGGAAAATTGATACATGGTCATGGAAATTAGAATAATGGTTACCCTCTTATGTGGGTGGGAGAATTGACTGGTGAGGACGAAACAGGACTTTCTGGGATGAAGGAAATGTTCTACATATTGATTGGAGTGGTGTCCACATGGATGTATACACTTGCCAAAAATCCACTGATAACATGCATTTAAAGACTGCACTTTATCGTGTTCTAATGGCGCCTTAATCAAAGAGAAAAGCATGGAGGGCCTTAAAGGTTAATGGAACTGTGGGTCATCTCACATGGCAGCAGTTGGGGTGCATTTGGGCAGGTGGAAGATGAGGTGGGAGAAGGGCAGGCAGTGCTTTGGGTACCATGCTAAAAGGACCAAAATTTAAAATGGATATTGGAGGCAGTGGGAGGATCTGACATAGGGGAAGATGTGGCATGAACAACTTATGTTTCTTAACTAGATCCCTGGAGGAAGTATTGTGAGACACTGGGTGGCAGAAGTGGGGAGAGAGATTGTTACAGTGTAATCATTCCACCAACAGAAAGCGGAGCATCTACTATGGTCTAAGTGATTGGGAAAAGGAAGTGAACAAATAGGGGGATGTCAAGGTGTGAAATGATAGGGCCAAACTGGGCCAAATTAATAGAGATGGAGAGGCTGGGAAACTATTAGAGAGAACAGGATAAACTCAGTAGGTCCTTGGAATAGAGACAGAGGGAAGGAAGAGAGTTGGGTGGATGAGGGTGCCACAGATAGAGATAAGACATGAAAAGAACATATTCTACAGTGCATACATACATCAAAACATCACATTGTACACAGTAAATATATACAATTATTGTCAATTAAAAAATAACAAAAATAAAGGAATAGACCATCAACCTAAATAAAATTCTATACCCAAGAAAAATCCTTCAAAAACAAAAACAAACTTCAAATAAAAATAAAGGCCTTTTAAGACGCACACAAAAATTGGTGTAATTAAGGACTTGGTATGTGTAAATTACCTGTGAGATATCCAGACACAGATGCTTAGCAGGTAGTTGAAAATTAAGGGCTGAGGCTCAGGAGAAATTTTAGGTATATAATTATGCATTGCTTAATGATGGAGATGTATTCCAAGAAATGCGTTGTTAGGCAATTTTGTCATTGTGGGAACATCATAGAGTGTACTAACACAAACCTAGATAGTGCAGCCTTCTCCACACCTAGGCTGTATGGTATGACCTGTTGCTCCTAGGCTTTAAACCTGTACAGCGTGTTACTGTACTGAATACTGTAGGTGACTGTAACACAATAACAAGTATCTGCGCATCTAAACATATCTAAAATAGAAAGGAACAGTGAAAAAATGGTATAAAAAATTAAAAATGGGCCAGGCGCAGTGGCTCACACCTGTAATCCCAGCACTTTGGGAGGCCGAGGCGGGCGGATCACGAGGTCAGGAGATCGAGACCATCCTGGCCAACATGGTGAAACCCCATCTCTACTAAAAATACAAAAATTAGCAGGCCATGGTGGCACGTGCCTGAAGTCCCAGCCACTCGGGAGGCTGAGGCAGGAGAATCGTTTGAACCTGGGAGGCGGAGGTTGCAGTGACCCAAGATCATGCCGCTGCACTCCAGCCTGGCAACAGAGCGAGACTCAGTCTCAAAAATAAAATAAAATAATAAAATAAAATAAATAAAATAAAATAAAATAAAAAATAAAATAATTAAAAATGGTGCACCCATATAGGGCACTTACTATTAATGAAGCTTACAGGACTGGAAGTTGCTCTGGGTGAATCAGTGAGTGAGTGGTAAGTGAATGTGAAGGCCTAGGATATTACCATACACTAGTGTAGACTTTATAAACACTGTACATTTAGGCTATTATAAATTAATAAAAATATTTTTATTTCTTCAACAATAAATTAACTTTAGCTTACTGTAACTTTTTTACTTTATAAACTTTTTAATTTTAAGCTTTCTGACACTTTTGAAATAACACTTAGCTTAAGCTAAGTTTGTTTAAAAACATTGTACAGCTGTACAGAAATCCTTCCTTTATATTCTTATTCTGTAGCTTTTTTCTATTGAAGTTTTTTTGTTTTGTGTTGTTTTTTTACTTGTTAATCTTTTAAAAGAACTAAAACACAAACACACACATTAGCCTAGCTTGCACGTGGTGAGGATCATCAATATCACTGTCTTCCACCTCCACATCTTGTCCCACTGAAAGGTCTTCAGGAGCATTAACATGCATGGAGCTGTCATCTCCTATGATAACAATGCCTTCTTCTGGATACCTCCTGAAGCAGTCGCTTGAGGCTGTTTTACAGTTAACTTTTTCTTTAAGAAGTAGAAGGACTATATTCTAAAATAGCAATAAAAAGTAGAGTATAGTAAATACATATACCAGAAAGGGTCATTTATCATCATCAAGTATTATGTATCGTACATAATTGTGCTATACATTTTTTGTTTTGTTTTTGTCTTTTTGCTTTATTATTATCTTTAATTAACACACAATCATACATGTTTGTGGAGTGCAGAGTAATATTTCAGTAGATGTACACAATGTATGATGATAAAATCTAGATAATTAGCGTATTCATCACCTCAAACATTTATCATTTATTTGTGTTGGGAACATTCAAAAATCTGCTCTTCCAGCTATTTGAAAATATACAATGAAATGTTAATGATAGTCACCCTAGAGTGCTACCATATCTGCTATACTTTTATATAACTGGCAATGCAGTAGATTTGTTTACCCCAGCATCACCACAAACACATGAATAATGCATTGCACTATGATGTTACAATGGCTATGACATCACTAAGTGATAGGAATTTTTTAGCTTCATTATAATCTTATGGGAACCACTGTTGTATGTGTGATCTATTGTTGACTGAAATGTCTTTTTACAGCATATGACCACATAGATAATGGATATAAGTGATACTGGTGAATATGAAGACAACAGGAAGGAATTAATGCAGGAGAAGAAATCTTAGAGAACAACATCATTGAAAGGATAGACCATTAAAAGGATCTTTGTTGAAGGAGCAATCAGAGATGTCAGAGGAAATTTTTTAAAAGGTGTTGTCATAGACACCAATGGAAGAGAAGAGAATTTCAAGAGGAAGAGAGTTCTAAGTAGTGTTTGTGGAAAATGTTTCCAGGGAGCCAAGTTGCACTTATTTGATTTGGTAACTAGAGGGTTAATAATGCCCTCAGGAAAGAGTGGTTTTAGTAGAGTGGTGGGGTGTTAATGACATTAGTAAGGGTAAAAGAGTGAATAAGGGATAAAGAAGAACAGAGAATTATAGAATAATCTTTCGAGAACCTTAGCTGTGAAGGGAAGGAAAAAGATGAAATTCATTCTGCATTTTCGTTAATAGCAAAAATAGCCTCTGAGTAAAAACCATTTTTGCAATCCTTGGTGACCAGAGTGAATTTGCCAGATCAACAAATGTTCGTACACCCTTCTTTGATTCTCATAAAATGGAGTGGGTAACTCCAGACAGCCTTCATGGAGATAAGACCACTAGATTGTTACCAGGTTCCAGCAAGCCCACAGGACCGAGAAGAAACTGCCTTCACCTCAACAGCAATTGTTGAGGAAACTGAATTGGACTATTTCTCCACTGCAAGGCAAGACGATACCATGAACTGGATCACTGCACTAATAGGTCGATGAGAAAATGACTTTTTCCTGGAGAAATACATCTCTTGTAAAAGGTGAACAATATTCTCATAATCCAGATCATCTTTAGTTCTGTATTTTCAGTGCCTATCCTAGTTTCATGTAATCAAGTGGTGGTTAAAGTAAATATTTACATGTGAAAATAAATTATTAGCATAGTGAAAAACAAGATTTTTTTAATATGAACAGGAGCAAGGAGAGAGCTTAGTGTTGTGAGGCCATCTGTGACCACGTAAGCTTAATTACTTCCACGAGCAATTGAATCTGGAAATCCTTCTGCTCATGTATGCTTCCTGAACAACTTTCAGAATTGCCACTCCTCTGGGAAATGGGGAGGAATGGTTGTTTGTCCTATTCAGAAGCTTATACTGTACCTTCTATATATGATTGCCCGAGATGTTTACATTGGCTCACCTAGAACTCTGTTATATGGCTTCTGATATCCTTGTATGTTTCTTTTAGTTATTTATTTCTTTACAAGTGTTTACTTATCACATTTTATGCATCAAATACTGTGATAGAATCTACCACTGACATATTTTGCCTTTTACTATGGCCTTTAAATGTTTCTACTCATCTAAATTCTTTAAAACAAATACTCTTTGTTACAATTATTTAAGCATATTATAGATCATAATGCCAATAATAATTTTTTAAAATAAATGTTTAACTTATAGCACAACAGAAATAGCCTTCATTACGAGGGACATTTTTGTAAAAGGCTGTTTTTCTGTACTTAATGAATTTTTATTTGCTTGACATGAGTTATTAAGTCATTAGTTTTCAACCCACTTTACTGACAAACAGCAGGTCTTTAAGGAAACCTTGAGATTAAGGATACAGCTAAGCTAGGGAGATGGATAGTTCAGGGCTAGTTATCAGCAATGAACTTAGTCTGCTGTTTGGCTGAAAGTTTGTGAATACACCAGTGATTAAAAACTTTAGACTCCCAGTGCCCAAGTTTGAATCTTGATCTTGATTCCATCATGCCCTAGTTGTGTAAACTTGGCCACGTTTCTTTTTCTTTTTTTATTTTTCTTGAGACAGAGTCTTGCTCTGTCAACCAGGCTGCAGTGCAGCAGCATGATCTCTGCTCACTGCAACCTCCACCTCCCAGGTTCAAGCGATTCTCCTGCCTCAGCCTCCCGAGTAGCTGGGATTACAGGTGAGTGCAACCATGCCTGGCTAAGTTTTGTATTTTTAGTAGACATGAAGTTTCACCATGTTGGCCAGGCTGGTCTCGAACTCCTGACCTCAGGTGATCCACCCGCCTCGGCCTTCCAAAGTGCTGGGATTACAGGCGTGAGCCACTGCGCCCAGCCTGAGCACATTTCTTAACCTTAGTTTGTTCATTTGTAAAATCTGAACAATAATTTTTCTTAATAAAGTTTTATGAGGATAAAACAAGATAATCCATGGAGAACGCTTTGTAGTTGTCAGTACATGGTAAGCACTCAATGATGTTAACTTTTGTTAACATCATTAATTTTTTGGTTCCTTTCACTCTGGGGCCCAGAATTTTGACTAATGGTAGAGGAAGGCTTACACACTCTATGTATACATCTGTAACAACCAAGAGGAGTAAAAGAACTCCAGACTTTTTTTTTTTCTTTTACACTTTAAGTTCTGGGATACATGTGCAGCACGTGCAGGTTTCTTACATAGGTATACATGTGCCACGGTGATTTGCTGCACCCGTCAACCTGTCATCTAGGTTTTTTTTGTTTTTGTTTTTGTTTTGAGATGGAGTCTTGCTCTGTCACCCAGGCTGGAATGCAGTGGCGTGATCTTGGCTCACTGCAACCTCCACTTCCCGGGTTCAAGCGATGTTCCTGCCTCAGCCACCCGAGTAGCTGGGACTACAGGTGCCCACCACCACGCCCAGCTAATTTTTGTATTTATAGTAGAGACAGGGTTTCACCATATTGGCCAGGCTGGACTCAAACTCCTGACACTGTGATCCACCCTCCTCGGCCTCCCAAAGTGCTGGGATCACAAGCATGAGCCACTGCACCCAGCCTGTGATCTAGGATTTAAGCCCTGCATGCATTAGGTATTTGTGCTAATGCTCTCCTTCCCCTTGCCCTAACTCCCCTGACAGGCCCTGGTGTGTGACGTTCCCCTCCCTGTGTCCATGTGTTCTCACTGTTCAACTCCCATTTATGAGTGAGGACGTGCGGTGTTTGGTTTTCCTGTATTAGTCTGCTGAGAATGATGGTTTCCAGTTTCATCCATGTCCCTGCAAAGGACATGAGCTCATTCTTTTTTATGGCTGCATAATATTCCATGGTATATATGTGCCACATTTTCTTTATCCAGTCTATCATTGATGGACACTTGGGTTGGTTCCAAGTCTTTGCTATTGTAAACAGTGCTGCAATAAACATACGTGTGCATGTGTCTTTATAGTAGAATGATTTATAATCCTTTGGGTATATACTCAGTAATGGGATTGCTGGGTCAAATGATATTTCTGGTTCTAGATCCTTGAGGAATTGCTGCACTGTCTTCCACAATGGTTGAACTAATCTACACTCCCACCAACAGTGTAAAAGCCTTCCTATTTCTCCATATCCTCTCCAGCATCTGTTGTTTCCTGACTTTTTAATGATCACCATTCTAACTGGCATGAGGTGGTATCTCATTGTGGTTTTGATTTGCATTTCTCTAATGACCAGTGATGATGAGCTTTCTTTCATATGTTTGTTGGCTGCATAAATGTCTTCTTTTGAGAAGTGTCTGTTCATATCCTTTGCCCACATTTTGATGGGGTTGTTTGTTCTTTTCTTGTAAATGTGTTTAAGTTCCTTGTAGATTCTGGATATTAGACCTTTGTAAGATGGGTAGATTGAAAAAATTTTCTCCCATTCTGTAGGCTGCCTGTTCACTCTGATGATAGTTTATTTTGCTGTGCAGAAGCTCTTTAGTTTAATTAGATCCCATTTGTCAATTTTGGCTTTCGTTGCCATTGCTTTTGGTGTTTTAGTCATGAAGTCTTTGCCCATGCCTATGTCCTGAATGGCATTGCCTAGGTTTTCTTCTAGGGTTTTCATGGTTTTAGGTTTTATATTTAAGTATTTAATCCATCTTAAGTTAATTTTTGTATAAGGTATAAGGAAGGGGTCTAGTTTCAGTTTTCTGCATATGGCTAGCCAGTTTTCCCAGCACCATTCATTAAATAGGGAATCCTTTCCCCATTGCTTGTTTTTGTCAGGTTTTTCAAAGATCAGATGGTTGTAGATGTGTGGTGTTATTTCTGAGGCCTCTGTTCTGTTCCATTGGTCTATATATCTGTTTTGGTACCGGTACCATGCTGTTTTTGTTATTGTAGCCTTGTAGTATAGTTTGAAGTCAGTTAGTGTGATGCCTCCAGCTTTGTACTTTTTGCTTAGGGTTGTCTTGGCTATACAGGCTCTTTTTTGGTTCCATACAAAATTTAAAGTAGTTTTTTCCAATTCTGTGAAGAAAGTCAATGGTAGCTTGATGGGGATAGCATTGCATCTATAAATTACTTTGGGCAGAATGGCCATTTTCACGATATTGACTCTTCCTATCCATAAGCATGGAATGTTTTTCCATTTGTTTGTGTCCTCTCTTATTTCCTTGAGCAGTGGTTTGTAGTTCTCCTTGAAGAAGTCCTTCACATCCCTTGTAAGTATTCCTAGGTATTTTATTCTCTTTGTAGCAATTGTGAATGGGAGTTCACTCATGTTTTGGCTCTCTGTCTATTATTGGTGTATAGGAATGCTTGTGATTTTTGCACATTGAATTTGTATCCTGAGAATTTGCTGAAGTTGCTTGTCAGCTTAAGGAGATTTTGGGCTGAGATGATGGGGTTTTCTAACTATACAATCATATTATCTGCAAACCGAGACAATTTGACTTTCTGTCTTCCTGTTTGAATACCCTTTATTTATTTCTCTTGCCTGATTGCCCTGGCCAGAATTTCCAATACTATGTTGAATAGGAGTGGTGAGAGAGAGCATCTTTGTCTTGTGCTGGTTTTCAAAGGGAATGTTTCCAGCTTTTGCCCATTCAGTATGATATTGGCTATGGGTTTGTCATAAACAGCTATTATTATTTTGAGATATGTTCCATCAATACCTAGTTTATTGAATGTTTTTAGCATGAAGGGGTGTTGAATTTTATTGAAGGCCTTTTCTGCATCTATTGAGATAATCATGTGGTTTTTGTCATTGGTTCTGTGTATGTGAAGGATTATGTTTATTTGTTTGTGTATGTTGAACAAGCCTTGCATTCCTGTGATGAAGCTGACTTGATCGTTGTGGATAAACTTTTTGATGTGCTGCTGGATTTGGTTTGCCAGTATTTTATTGAAGATTTTTACATCAATGTTCATCAGGAATATTGGCCTGAAATTTTCTTTTTTGTTGTGTCTCTGCTAGGTTTTGGTATCAGGATGATGCTGGCCTCATAAATGAGGGAGGATTCCCTCTTTTTCTATTGTTTAGAATAGTTTCAGAAGGAATGATACCAGCTCTTCTTTGTAGCTCTAGTAGAATTCAGCTGAGAATCTGTCCGGTCCTGCACTTTTTTTAGTTTGTAGGGTATTAATTACTACCTCAATTTCAGAACTTGTTATTGGTCTATTCAGGGATTCAACTTCTTCCTGGCTTAGTCTTGGGAGGGTGTATGTGTCCAGGAATTTATTCATTTCTTCTAGATTTTCTAGTTTATTTGTGTAGAGGTGTTTATAGTATTCCCTGATAGTAGTTTGTATTTCTGTGGGATCAGTGGTGATATCCCCTTTACCATTTTTTATTGCGTCTATTTGATCCTTCTCTCTTTTCTTCTTTATTAGTTTGGCTAGTAGTCTATCTATTTTGTTAATCTTTTCAAAAAACCAGCTCCTGGATTCATTGATTTTTTGAAGGGGTTTTTGGGTCTCTATCTCCTTCAGTTCTGCTCTGATCTTAGTTATTTCTTGTCTTCTGCTAGCTTTTGAATATGTTTGCTCTTGCTTCTCTAGAAGAACTCCAGACTTTATAAAGTATGTAAAAATATTTGTTATAAATACTAAATCAACACTTGACGATAAAAGCTAGACACAAAATACAATTTCTGACCCCTGTCTTCAATTCTTCTGAAGATCTGTTGATCACCCTTTTCCATGGAAGCTAAGGGAATGGTTCCTGCTGGTTTAGTTTATCTTCTCTGTGATCCACATGGCTTTGTCCTGTGAGGTCTGATATGCTTTAGAATGTCTTCTTCCAAAACACAGATCTCTAGTCCTAAGTCTTTATCAGTGTATTTCTCTGCAATGTTTTGCTTTCCTCCAATGGCCCAGAAACATGTGGCTGCAATTTTGCTGCTGCAGCTCGCTGAGATCTCAAGCTGAGCTTTCTGAACCTTTATCTGTGTTCTTCCTGGCACCTGCCTCCTCCCTGTTCTACCCCTTTTCATGATGAGAAGGGAATTTTAAACTATTTTGTCAAGAAGAATAATTTTGGTTTGCACATGCGCCAAGTAATTATGGACAAGGTTTTCACTGAGGCATTTTCAACAATAGTGGAAGTCTGGAAGCAACTCAAATGACCATCGATTGGAAATTCCTTAAATAGATTATGGTACATCCATATGTAGAATATGATACAGCCATGTAAAAGGCAGCTTTTCTGTACTGATATGGAAAGCACTTCAGTGCCTATTATGAGAGAAAAGCAAGATGTGGAAGAATTTATACAGTATGCCAATGCTTCTGATAACATTTTAAAAGACTATACATGTATTTGCTTTCTGCAAATAGCATGTTTCTGGAAAGATAAATAAGAAACAGATGATAATGGTTGCCTCTGGATAAGAGATAGAATGAGAGGGAGACTTATTTTATGTGCCATTTGTATTGTTGAACTTGTGACTATTATTAGCTACTTGAAAATAATACAGAGATAAGGTATAATATATGAAATATATATAACCCAGACATAAGATGATAGATATGCTTATCCTTCAAAATATTTAGTAAATAAGCCCTTCAATTTCACAGCCTATCAGAGTTCAAGGCCAGTCCCCAAATTTCTGCAAATTCCTGGGGTGGGGAGTGCTATTTTCAAAGACTGTCTCAACCACTGCATTCTTATATATCCATATCCTGCCTTTGTTCTTTATCACTTTGACCCCAACATGAAACTTAGCTTTGTATAGAGCACCCTTGACATAAGTAACTCCACATTAGAAAAAAGACTCCATCTTACATTTCAAAAGGCACTCTACCAACCAGGACCAGATGTTTTGCCTGATCAATAAGGACTGCATCCAACCACATAAGGACACAACCAAGCATGCTCCTCCACCATCAGTCCTCATCAGAGGACCCTGTGGCCATAAAAAGCAGGATTTCAGCATCTTGAAATAGCCATGTTAACAGACACCATCTTGCTGTCTTGTGATAAACACCAAGCATCTGCTGCTGAAGACTCTGCCCACATCAAAGGCTCTTTCTTACAAGACCAAGGGACCTTTAGGCCCAGATCAGGATATTCTTTTTGTTCACATCATTCTTCTTGGACTAGTTTGTTTTCTATCCCCTTTCTCTTGATGTTAAATGTTACTTTGTTTGTTGTGGAATGTTTAATTTATATCATTTATGTACTGATGAAGTATACTATTATGTATGGTTTGCAATATTGACTGACTTGTGAGATGGCTTGCGCTTATGTGCCTGTGGCTCTGATTACCTAGTGAACAGGAAGTACTAAGGAGAATTACCTCCTTGGGAACTCTGTGGAGCGCATGGCTTTCATGATTGAAATAGCATCAATAAAAGTCTGACATTGTGGAAAAACACAAACATGCATGGACCTGGTTATCTCTGACCTTACGTCACTCATGATAAGCTTCTTCTCTGGTTTCAAACAAAACAAAACAAAGAAATGAAAAACTCAGTTACAATGCAGCGTCATGAACAACTGTAAATGGAACAGTAGGCAACCTTTCTTCAGTTGCCCTTCCATTGTGATGTTTAAGTAACCCCACCAGCCTGGCATCTCTCCATCGGGCTGCCTCCTCTGTCCTCTTTTCATATTTAAAAAGCAAAACAAAGGAATTTAATCTGCTGCATAGCCATTCTGTGATGTTATTTCACAGCATAAGTATGCCATTGAGCCTACTGCAGTGCAGTCTATCTCAGTTGGCTTATCGATGTGTTTTCCCAAATAAAGCCAACTTATCTGAAAATACATTTTGCTATCAGTTCTTAAAATTATGTAAAATGACACATATTTGCTAGAGTTACAACACCAAAATCATTACTGATGTATGTTGCTCCAATATTCACCCTCTAGATGTTGGCGTTCTTCAGGGCCTTTTCCCTTCTTCCTACATCATTATCTACCTAGACCATCTCATGGTCTCCCGTGGCTTTAGTTATCTCTGCTTACTAAAGCCTCCCACAAGTACTTCTTCAACCCCAGACCTCTTGTATCCAACTACATATGAGTAATATCTTCATTTAGCAAACTCACAAATCTATCAAACCCAATCTGTCCAAAACCAAATTTGTAATCTTTCTCCCAAACCAGCTGTGTCTCCAGTGTTCCTTGTCTCTGTATATTGCACCACCATGTACCAAGTTGCTTATGCTAGAAAACCGACATTCTTGCTTCTGCCCTCTCCCTCAATCCATCCCTTCAGTAGATTCACTTTCCTCCATCTCCACCATTGCTATCTTAATCCAGTTATTGTCAACTAACCTGAGCCAACTTGGCCAATCAATCTCATTTTCAGGTTCATGTTGACAGTATTACTAGCTTAAGACATATGGAGATCGAAGAGAGCTCTAGTATCTTCCTCCACAAGCTTGCCGCCACATGGGATGTTACAATGAAAGCAAGTCTCAGACCAGATGCTGCCACATGGCATTTGCAAGTAAGCACAGAAACTGCCATATAGTCCGTTCCATTTGTTTGTACTTTGGCACTTTGCAAAGTACCCAGCATGAGAAGTTCCACTGAGCAGTTGCAATAGTCTAGCAACGGGATGCAGCTCACCTTCTTATGGATCAGAATTCTCTGTGAAGTGGTGGGACATGGAACCAAGTGGTCTCTAGGCCTATGGTACCACTCCTAAATTTAGAGGCCACTGGGCTTGCCAGATTCTCAGAACACTGTTCATGCAAACGTAGTGGCTGTATAATTCACCAGCATCAATTCATTTATTTTAAATGCTACTCATTGCACTAATGAAATATTCTATCTAGTATTCCTTATACCAATTAACAAATGCTCTGGTGAAGATGTAACAGTGATATTTGAAGTCATTTGTTGTAACTGTCTTGTCTGATGAGGATATATTAAATGTTAAGTAATCTCCAGGGTAGAGATTAAAAAGAATTTACATATATTTGTATGTAATTATACATATAATATTATATGTAATTGTACTCAAAAGGTATATTTTTGAGTACACGTACCTACGTATGTATACATATATATATATACACACACGTATATATATGTGGGTATGTGTAGAATATTATAAATACATATGTTTATAGTATATGATACACATATATACATGTATATATGCATATGTGGGTATGTGTAAAATATACATATATGTATATATATGTGCGCATGTGGGTATGTGTAGACAGACACATATATGTACATTTATATATCACATTTTAAAATTTCATTAAGGACAATATATTCCTTATCTGCAGACTCCTAATTCGTCATCCTGCATCCTGGCTTTCTGTTCTCTAAACCCGTGTTTCACAGTAGTGAAATAATCAATTTTAAAAATCATAAATCTCATTCCTCTGCCTCAATGATTCTCAATTCTCTTTTTCTGACTGGTCCATATGTATCTTACCACCCTGTCTCATGACACTCTCCTCCTTATCTATTGGGCCTGATTACATCATTGTCCTCCTTTTTGTTCCTTCAACTTGCCAAGACATCTTGTGTCTTGTAGTGTTTGCACTTCTGTCCTCCCTTGCATAGAACATCATTCTTCGCCTCTCTTGGCCTATGTAATCCTCTGCATAAGTGAGTTCACAGCTTAAGCCCATTCTTCAAGGAAACATTGCTGACTCCTCCCCAGTTCAGAGGAAGTGAGCTTCCTGGTAGACCCACCTAGGACAAAGTTGCAATTAATTAATTACAGAATTGTCTGTTTTCTCACTTAAGTATTGTCATTACAGGGACAAGTTTCATGTCTCTCTTACTCACTTAGCACTGCCTTTGTCTGGGTGTTTAATAAGTATTTACTGCATGACTGAGTGAATGTAATGGCTATATTGTATCTGAGGAATTTCAGCCACATGCTTACGTTGTGTGTCCTGTTGGAACGTGGGTTTGTTGGTAGTTATGTCTGGGAATATCAATTGGTGTTGGTGTTGACTTTTTAATGATATTTTCTGGAAAATGATATGACACATCAATTCCTCAAACTAGATATACAGAGAATACATACATCTGATGTCCTGTGAAATTTAAATCATAAATCCTTCTTATCTGCTGGCTCCTAGCAGTCTTTCAGAAGGAAAAACAACATTTAGGACAAGAATGAAGACAAACAATCGCATATCATGTCTGGAAGAAGTTTCTTCATCACTTTTTCTCAGGCCCTTCTTAGGAAAGCAAAGCAGGGGTCAAAGGTGACCACAGGAAGACCTTTAAAATGGGACTCAAAGGAATTTTCCCAGCAAACTAGGTTGAAAACTGCCAAGAATTAACTCCATATGGGGAAATCTTACAAAACACAAAATCCATTTGTCTGCTTTGCTCTAGTAAACACAAATTAGAAGTCTATTTGTTTATATTGCGAAGATTGAGCTTCTTTTATGGTATTGTTCCACAATGTCTTGGAGGCAATATGAAACAATTTATGCATTGAACGATTGCCAATAATCTCTCAGGCATTAAAATGATCATATATTTTCTCCCAACTTGTATGGTTTATTTACAAAGCAGATGCTTGGGCCTAACAGAGATTATTATTCAGGAGACAAGGTGTAGGGCCCAGTATTCAGCACTTAAAAAATAAGTTAAGACATTAAAAGATAGAGAAAGACATCAGGAAAATAGACCAAACACATATTAATCCTCTTGGTTCATAGAGACCTGGGTCACTCTTTTTATCTACTGTGGAAAGTTCCATCCTATGACATCCTCTCCACAGGAGAGATCGGTGATGCTGGAGGGTATTTGTGGATCTCCTGCTGAGGAAATGGGACATCTTGAGTTGTAAGTGGAAGTGAATACTGTTACAAGTGAGGGAATAAAAAACAGGTAGATTTTTGTTCCTCCAAGCAGTGGACTGCATTGTTTTTTCAGTACAATTTACTAGCATAGATGTGCCTTCCTTACTTCTTTATTTTAGAAAAAAAAAATCTGAATTTCTATAACAAATAAGTGATGGGTAATAATTAAAATGGCATTCTCTAACACATTTACTAGATAAATGTACTTACAATATTCTGACTCAAAATTTCTTAGGAACACACCCTCTTTCCAAAGAAAGATCCACTTGTAAATCTACTTTCAAATGAAAAGAACAAAATTTTGCTCACTTGGCCATTCTTGAACAGAGCTGCTATTTGAAACATATGACCCATATATTTTGGTATGAAGTCAGGATTTAGAAATGTAATATGTTTTTTGACTTTTTGGTAGAAACCAAGGCTGAGGAGAAGAATGTGAATTGTGACCAGGAGTGGATAGCTTTGAGTTGCCAGATAAATAGGTCTTTATCAATTGTCTTTTGGAACCTGTCAGGAGGGAATTCAGATCTCTTAACTCTCAGACTCCCTAGGACCTCATTTTCTTTGGAGGATTGAGACTTCTCAGAAGAGCAGAACTTTCCAGAGAAACGGGGAGGAGGCTACTAAGAGTCTTTTACAACATAGTTGAATCTGGAGTCTTAGATTGGAACTGAAAAGAAAAGGAAATTGAAAAATTCCAAAAATTTGACCAAAAACCATGAGTGGATGCATTTTCAGGGAGAAAAGGCATGCGTGGCTGCACGTGTGTCTATGTGCCTGCATGTGTGTGTGTGCCTGCATATGTATGTGCATGTATGTTTGCACCTGTATGTGTGTGCCTGCATGAGTGTGTGCCTGCATGTGTGTGCATGTGTGTGTACCTGCATGTCTGTGGGTGCCTGCTTGTGTGTGCTTGCATATGTGTGTGTGCATGTATGTGTGTGTGCATGTGTGTGTGCCTGGATATGTGTGTGTGCAAGTGTGTGTGCATACGTGTGTGTGCATGAACATGGGTGTGTGCATACATGTGTGTACCTGCATGTGTGTGTGCATGTGTGTGCCTTCATATGCACATGCATACGTGTGTGTGCATGCATGTGTGTGTCTGCATGTGTGTGCATCCGTGTGTGTATGCATGTGTGTACATGAGTTTGCATGCACGTGTGCCTGCATGTGTGGGCATGCATGTGTGTGGGCATGTATGTGTACATGCCTGTGTGTGTGCATGCATGTGTGTGTGCATGTGCCTGGCCTGCATGTGTGTGTGCAAGTATATGTGTGCGCCCACACATGCATAAGTGTAGTGATGGGCATAGGCAGTTTAAGGTTAATAAGAGTCAGTATTTTTCAATATTTCCATATTTTCCTCAGTTTTGACATCCAACAGTGACAGAAAGGAATGACAGAAAACGTTTAATTATAAATAGCTGACTCTTGCAAGGGTGGCAATAAAATATATAATAGAATTCTGAGCCAGGCTTCAGAGACCAGAATGGGTGGTGGGAATAGTACGTATAGATTTGATTAATTTGGATAATAGCCCTGTGTGGACGGAGTGAGGGGTGTCTAGTAATTCCCTCTGGGCTATTGGAAATCTTCATTCTCTCTATAACTGATTTTTCTAGAGGCAAAAGTTAAGCCAGACAAATAGGAGAATAAAATTCTGATTTTATTACAACAGTTTGAGTCACAAAGGCAAAATGATTATATAGAGTTCTGAGTGTCTGACATGGGACATTTGTTCTTTCTTCCTAAGCATATGCCAGCTGTTGCCAACGCGTTTTTTCTTCCACGGTTCTGGAGGTGACACCAGAAGAGGCAGGGTATATGCAAGTTTCTCTAGAACATTCATCTTCGACCCACTCCTGCAAGTGGGGCAGGAGTCCCACTTGCTCACTCTCAGGGTCCTGGACAAGATTGCTTTGACCTTTCTTGCTTCATGATTTTGCTTCTTTGGTTCCTTTTTGGATTAAATCATTCTTCCATTGTTGTTTTCTTTTAAACTCTAGCTATGCTTGGAGTTTAAAGCCATAGAACAGTAACAGTATATGTCAGTGTAAAACAGTCTGGATTGGAGACTCATTCCTGCCACTTACTAGCTGGGCAAGTGTTGAAATCATGAAAACTTTGTTTCTTCACCTTTAACTGGAGGTGAAAAGAGTACTTAATGGGAAACTCACATCATAGCACCTAGCAAATAGTGAGTGTTCAATAAATGTATTATTTTTTCACTGTTAATATTTTCACATTTTGAAGTGACTAGTGCTCTGTTATGACTTAAGGAGCCTACAAGAACCATCTTTTTAACATAAAGTGAAGAGTCTGCATCTGACTCCGAATTGGAAATTTGCTTCTTCATCTTTAGATTTCTCTGGCAATAAGCTTCCTTGGAGAACATTTTAAAGTCTATGAAGTGGTCTCTAATTGTATTATCACACACACTGAAGACCTATTTTGTCAGATCATTATGCAATGAAGAACGCTGCACATCTATTCTGTGGACTGATATTTTTAATAACACCTCACAACACTCATCACATTGGATATGGTGTTTACTTTAAATTACATTTCCCAGTTGGGGATGGAACCCTTCAGACTTACATGTATCCAGTCAGGCTCTGGAGGAGGAGATCTGCCAGCAGGAGTAATGAAAGGACACTACTGTGAACACGATTCACTGTGCAGGCATTAGAGAACTAAGCCTTTCATTACTTTGGGAGATAGTATATATGAAAAGCTACGAGTGTTGTTACACTGCCTGAAGTATTCACAAATGTGAAGAAGAAATATTCAGCACAAAGCAAAGGACCCCAGAGCTGGTGTCTAGGATGAGTTCTTTGTTGTTTCCTGAGCTCGGGATCTTAGACATTTCTCTAGAGCCCAATCTTCCCCTCCTCTGCCTCTGCAAGTTGTCAGTAGTCATTCTCAGACACTGGGGGCTGCTTGGGGACATGATTAGGCTCTCAAGGAGCCATTCCCATGAGCTTTTGCTAAAAGTGTCAGGTTGCTGAAGCAGACATTTCCAGGCACTTGATTTCATTTTTCTGCCTCTGGCAAGTGGTTTTGAGCTATTCAGTTAGTAAAGAAAATGGTTGGATTGTTTGGGAAGATACAGCACATAAGAAAACATTGTTTTGACCTAGTTAAGCAAGTGAATAGATTGTTGTATTTTAATGATTGGGGCTATCATTTTTTTTAGGAAAACTGTAATTGTTAATTATAAATGCTTATTTAAAAAAGTATTAGGAGCAACATAGCTTTATGAAACATGCTATATACAATTTCCTTCCTTCTCTCCCTCCTTCTTCCCTTCCTCCTTCTCTCTTCCTTTCTTTCCTTCCTTCTTTTTTCTGTTCTTCCCTTCCTCCTTCCTTCTCTCCCTTCTGCCCTTTATCTTCTCCTCCTTCTCTCCTTTTCTTCCTTCTTTCTTCCATTTTATTTGTAAGTGAGAAAAGCTGTGCTGTATGTGAGAGGCTACACTACAAGCAAAAGGTCTTTGCCCTTAAGAAGCAGTCTAAAGGGAGACAGACATATTAATAAATAGAGCTATAATTACAGAAGTGTGTGCACGGTCCTGGGAGGAACATAGTAGGAAGTGGTCATTTTATTTAGAAAGTGTGGGAATGCTATCTAAAGGAGCTGTCACTTGAGCTTTGTTTCTGTTAAAGAAAAAGCAGCAACTGAATTGAGCACTTTTCAGTCTTTATTACAATCATGTACACACACACACACACACACACACACACATACACACAGCCAGTAAAGAAATAGACTCCTCTAGAATCTTAGAATAGGATTTTAGACAGAACAAGAAAAAAAATTGTTTACCAAAACCCAAGACTGAATGCTTAGCCACGATACTTAACAAATTGCCTCAGTCTTTGTAAAGTTCAGCTCTTTAGGACCCAACTTTGGGGCAGTTAAGTACATACATATTCATTGCTGTAGTATTTTTCTTGTTGTTGTTGTCATGTTTTTTTGGGGGAAAATTGTTAGACTTGTAAAGATTTGGTACAGATTTTGGTTAACTTACTATTGGTAACATATATAGCAGGTATTACGTGCAAATTCTTTCTCAATCAGAAGAAATGGATATTCATCAAATTCTTTCTTAGTAATAAAATATGGATAGATATCTCAGCAGAGTGGTAAAAGAGGGTACTCCAGGAAACAGGGAAAGCATCAGCAAAGGAATAGTCAGTTCTGATGGAGAATTGGAAATGGTTCATTACAGTGAGAGAGTGGGCCCAGAGGGAATGAGGCTATGAGTGGTGCAAGGGCCAAATCTGCCGCTTAACTCCTGATGGCAGGCATGTTTATGAACACAGCCAGGATTGCTTAACTGGTGAGTTGCTTAATTCCTGATCCCTTTTGTTTCTTTCTTCTCTTTGGGCACTTCCACTATATTTATGTTTATGCATGGAATGATGTCCTACATTTCAGTAAGGCTGTTTATTTTATTTAATTTTTTCCCTCTCTTCTAAGTACATAATTTCTACTGATCTTTCTTCAAGTTTGCTGATTCTTTCTTCTGCCAACTCACATATACTGTTCAGCCTCTCAAGTGAATTTTTCATTTTGCTTTTTGTATTTTTGAGCTGCAGATTTTTCCTGTGGTTCTTTTTTTAAATAGTAATTACTACCTGCGTTAGACTAGATTCTTCAGAAAAATAGAACCAATAGGGTATGTATAGGTATATAGAAAGATTTATTATGAGGGATTGGCACATATGATTATGGAGGCTGAGAAGTCTCACAATCTACCCTGTGCAAGCTGAAGACCTTGGGAAGCTTGTGGGGTAGTTCCAGTCCAAACCTGAGGCCTGATAACTGGGTAGGTGCTGGTGGTATAAGTCTTAGTCCTGGTCCAAAGATCTGGGAGCCCAGCTGACATCTGAAAGCAGGAGAAGACGGATTTCCCAAATCTAGCAGAAAGACCAAATTTATCCTTTCTCTAGCTCCTTGTTCTTTTCAGGCCCTCAGTGGATTGGATATTGCCCACTCATATGGTGAGCATGATCTTTACTCGCTCTACTGATTCAAATGCTAACCTCTCCCAGAAGACCACACCCAGAAATAGTGTTTTGCCAGCTGTCTGGGTATCAGCCCAGTGAAAGTAACACATACAATTAAGCATCATATTATCTCTATTAATATTCTCTATATGGTGAATTATTATTGTTATGTCTTCCTTTGATTCTTTAAACATGATTTCCTTTATTTATTAGAACATTTTGATAATAGCTGCTTTGAAATCTTTGTGTGCTAATTCCAAACTGGCTCCTTTTGAAGGCAGTGATTTTTACCTGCCTTTTTTTTTTCTCATGAATAGGTTATACTTTTCTGTTTCTTTACAGGTCTCAAAATTTTTATTAGAAATTGAGCATCTTAGATAACATATTATTATAGCCATTTTGAATGTTATTCCCCTTCCCATTTCTGAGAACTTAGTATTTTTTCTTTTAGTGTGGTTACTTATTTATCAGGTGGGGCTGGAGTAATTCTGTGGAGTCAATTTACCCCACATTGTGCAGCCTCCAATGTCTTGCTCGGATATTTTCTCCAGGACCTTTTGTCCTGGCTTCCTGGGGGTTCCATATGGGTCTGCATAAATCAGATATTGGTGGAAGATTATGATTAAGCTCGTATCCAGTTATATTCTCATCCTGTTTTCACAAATTACTTACGTGTGTGGCTTGCAGATTACCCTCACATTTTGGGGAGTTTACCATTTTGCCCATGTTCATCCAGGGGCTACAAGCTTGGAGATATTCTCTCCAGTCCCTCCTTACAGGACATGGTGTTGGACATGTGGACAGACTTCCAGTCCCCCAGGGATGATAATGGTTTCATTTTTAAGCCAAGGCTTCTAGGACATACCCCTGGGTCAGAGTAGCTTATTTTTAGCCAGTATTTGGTCAGAAGTTGTGCTAAGCCCTTTGATCCAGTAAGACTAAAAGAATCTTTGCAGGTAGATTGGTGCATGGCTTGGGAACCCTTCTGAGGCTGCCCCACATCCTGCTTCAGTTGTTTCTGAGAGGGTGCAGCGTAGAGCATGCGCACAGCCTTCTAGATGCCCAAGGATAACATTGGTCATGGAAGGGCTCTTCTTGGCTGACTTCTTCACTCTTTCTCTCTGTTATTTTTTGGCTGTTCTGCCCTTTTGCTCTTTGCTACTAGTATCTTGGAACTACCAGCCCCCTCTTCATTACTTGTCACCACTACTGCCATTGTTTTTGACAATATCTTTAGGCATGAACTGCTCCATGCTCTGTTCCAAAGTTGTTTGCCTCAGGCAGAGCTGTGGAGTTCTCTATTCTTACAACCTGCTCCTTCCCCTGGGAGAGCCTCAGAGCCATTATACCAGAGCTAGGGATAAAATCCCACTTCTCCCAGAATGGCACCCACTCTAAAGCAGGGCTGAGTGGATGGTTGCCTTTTACTTTCTTGGCTGCTTCACTGGTGTGGAACCTCCTCCCTATGAGCAAGCTGTAGTAGAGACAGTCAGTGCTTTCAGCTTGCTGCACCCGGGCCAGAGCTCTCACCCTCTGAATGTGAGCTGGGTGGGAGAAGGGATCCCCATTTCCATTGGCCATGCCTGCTCAAAACAGTGCTTCCACAATGTGAGACTGTAGAGAATGAGAGATGTTAGTGGCCTATCCCTTCCAGGGTGAAATTATAGTCCTAGAGTAGAAGCTGGGGAGAGAAGGAGACCCCAGCTTTTCGCCTGTGCCCACCTGGAGTAGTTCTTCCACCTCATGGAGCTGGAGTTGGGGTGGGGTGATGGGAACAGCCATCACTCAAATGCCAGAGACTCAATCGTTTGCATCAAGATTTAGTAAAACTCGACTAAATCTTTTTCCATTTGCTGCATACTCCTATGAAAACATCTGGAGTTGTAAAGTGGTTTTTTTGTTTGTTTTCTTTTTCTATCCTTTCACCAGTTAAATGCTTTCTTTGCTGGGAAAAGCATTCACCTAGATCCTCACATTGCCATTCATTCCCCATGTCCCTTCTCCTATTAGGCCATTTATAAAGTTTTGAAATCTGGGGCTGTGTTAATTGCCACCCAGCAAGCAGGCTGTCAGTTTTGCAAAAGCATCAAAGAAATGCCATTGTTATTGTTAATGGAAATGATTTTAAAATGATAAATCCATATCAGTTAAATGGATAACATCTTACCAAGTTATTATATTGAGCATGGTGGTGATAACATCAGCTACAAGTCAGACTCAGCATCTGGTATTTTTTTTTTTTTTCTGAAACGGAGTCTTGCTCTGTCACCCAGGCTGGAGTGCAGTGGCACGATCTCGCCTCACTGCAACCTCCACCTCCCAGGTTCAAGTGATTCTCCTGCCTCAGCCTCCTAAGTAGCTGGGATTACAGGCATGCGCCACCACACCTGGCTAATTTTTGTAGTTGCAGTAGAGACGGGGTTTCACCATTTTGGTCAGGCTGGTCTTGAACTCCTGACCTCATGATCCACCCGCCTCGGCCTCCCAAAGTGCTGGGATTACAGGCATGAGCCACTGCGCACAGTCTGTTATGTTTCTTTTCAAAATTATTATTATTTTTTTTTTTTGCTAAATTAGAAACTTCTAAGTAAAAAAGAATGCAAGTGGTTGCTGGCTCTGTTGAGTAGATTTCAGGGGAAGGCAAGAGCTCAGAATTTCTGGGGAGATTTCTCTCTGAAGATGACTTCTGGCACTCTGTCAGGTGTAAAGCCAGCAGGATTAGGAGGGTTTCAGCATGGGATAAAGAAGCTTATGGTTTCCTAATCTACTCTCTTATTACATTCTACTCTGGAAAATAATTTTTTCCCATTTTTATTGCCTCATGTGGAGATGGTTTTAAAATGTAACTGACTAATATGAAGTCTACTAATTCTCTGGTTGAGTGAAGAACTTCACAGACTTTTTGGAGAAAGGAAAACTCTCAGGAATTAGTCTATCATATTTTGACTTTCTTATAAAATCCTGATATTACAGCATCAGCAGTAACATCTTGAAATTTCACCTCTGAAGTGACAGCTTTAGGCTATCTAGAGTTCATGTTCTATTGTTGAGCTATGACACATGAGCAAGTTTCATTGAATCGTAGAAATGGTTTTTGGCAGCCTTGTAAGTGTCAGGGTGAGCTGATTTTGTAATAACTTTAACTTCAATAGCTGAGGTGAGCATCTTCTTGATGGTCAGAAAACCTCAGAGTGTAAAAGCAGATATATATTGCCAATTTATTTGCAGAATATGCTGAAAATGAATGTATTCTGTCGGCTCAATTTGTCTGCATCACAATTGTTCCTCTCACCATACCACTGAATTAAGATGAGGAGTCATTTGTTGACTGCTAACTGTTGCCCATGAGTAGAGTGCTCACGGGATGATGGTGTCAGAGACCCTTCCTTATAGAGCCCTTAGCTCAAGCTTTGTCAGTACTGAAATCAACACATTGTTTTTCAGTCTACACCACCATAAAATAATCCTTAACTTTAAAAAGTTCTTTTTTCAAAAACATGGTTTCAGTGCCAAATAGGTCAAAGCATCCTCCAGTCCATCAATTCCGTGCACACAGTGCACAAGTGCCAAGAGCTGACTCATACAGCACAACACTGCAGTTCACTTCTGATGCTAACTACCCAGTGTTAGTGCAGACTGCACGGGTTCAGGACAGATCCCCAACAGGACTGTGCTTGTGTCGGATGCTAGCTGTAAGTCTGGGAATCCTCAGGCCTCCTGCACTTCTGACCAACTGGCTACAAATTTGGGAGTTTCCATAACCCCCTCAAATTTGAAAATTGGCTAGAAAAACTCACAAAACTCAGGAAAATGCCATACTTACAATTACAATTTATTATAAAGAATACAAATTAGGACCAGCCAAAAGAAGAGGCATAGAGGACAAGATCTGGGATAGTCCTGAATGTGGGGTTTCTCTGTTCTCTTCCCACGGAATTAGGCTGCATAACCCTCCAAGCATATAAACCTGTTCACCAATTGGCAAACTCAACTGAGCTTCAGTGTTTAAAACGAAATGTTACTGGGGTTTCAATACATGGGCATGATTGACTGAATCATTAGTCAGGTGACTGAACTTAATCTCTAGCCCTCCAGCCCTTCCCAGGAGGTAGGTCTGATATCACATGGCTGCTCAAAGCCCCAGCCCTCTCATGGCATAGTTGGCCTTTCCAGCATGGGCTAGCCTCCATTCTGAAACTATCTAAAGGTCCATTATAAATTGCCTTGTTAGCATAACCTCATAAGGAGCCTACTATGAATAGCAAAGGTACTCCTATTACTCAGAAAATTCCAAGTGTTTAGAAGCTCCATCCCAGGAACCTAGGTCAAAGATCAGACAAATTCATATACAACATGCAACTTCATCCAGCAGTGTGTGTATTCATCATTGCCTTCCTGCTGGTATGCTGTTTATAATTTGTAGTCTCCATGGCTCCACTTGATAAAAAGCCTTTGCCAATATCTTACTAAGCTATTTCTCTGAGCCCAAGATTATTATCATTTAAAAACATAGAGGAAATCTTCTTGATACTGGTCTAGGCAAAGATTTTTTTTTAATATGACCTCAAAAGCACTTGACAACAAAAGTAAAAATAAACTAATGGGATTGCATTAAGCTAAAGAACTTATGCACAGCAAAGGAAATAACCAACAAAGTGAAGAGACAACCTATGGAATGGAAAGAAATGAACCATATATCTAGTAAGGGATTAATATGTAAAATATAATATAAGAAACACAACTCAATAGCGAGAAAACAAATTACCTGATTAAAAAATGGGCAAAGGACCCGAATAGATATTTCTCAAAATAAGACATACAATCGGCCAACAGCTTTATGAAAAAATACAACATCACTAATCATCAGGGAAGTGCAATTAGTGAGATGTCATCTCATACCTGTTGGGCTGCCTATAATCAAAGCAAAAAATAAAAAAATGTTGGTGAGGATATGGAGAAAAGAGAACCCTTGTACATTGTTGGTGAGAATGTCAATTAGTACAGTCACAAAACAGTATGGAAGTTCCTCAAAAAATTAAAAATAGAACTATGATCCAGCAATTCTATTTTGGGTATATATTTAAAGGAAATGAAATCAGTGTGGTGAAGTACCTGCACTTCCACATTCACTCGAGCACTATTTACAATAGCCAAGATCTGGAATCAATCTAAGTGTTCATTAACAGATGATTGGATTAAGAGGATGTGATATATATATATATATATCTGATATATATATATATCTGATATATATATATCTGATATATATATATGATATATATATATATCTGATATATATATATCTGATATATATATATGATATATATATATATCACCAGATATATATCTGATAAAATACTATTCAGCCTTAAAAACAGGGTAAATCCTGTAATTTGCAATGAATGGATGAGCATGGAGGACATTATGCTATATAAAATAAGCCAGACAAATACTGTATGATCTCACTTATATGTGGAATCTAAAAGAGTCAACCTCACAGAAGAAGAGAGTAGAATGGTAAATACCAGCACCTAGCGGGGCAGGGGTTGAGGGTGATGTTGGTCAAAGAATACAAAATTTCAGGTACATAGATGGAATAAGTTCAAGAGTTCTATTGTATGACATGGTGACTATAGTTAATAACAATGTGCTGTATACTGAAAAACTGCTAAGATAATAATTCTTTTTCTCACTACAAAAAAGTTAAGTACTTGAGGTAAAACATAAGTAAATTAGTTTGATTTTGTCATTGCATAATGCGCACATATAGCAAAACATGCTTTACAAAATAAATATATATATATAATTTTTGTCAACCAAAAAAGGAAAATATCTTTAAATAATTGTTTCATTCCTCCTTTCATATTACTTTGAATTCAATAAACTATTGTGCTGAAAATAAATTTTAAAAAATCCTTTGTACCTGTGTATGCCCAAAAATGCGACTCCAAGGTTGGCTTCTCTGAATTTGGACTCTTCTTTATTTTTAATAATTGCTAATACTTATTGAGTATTTATTATTTCCCAGGCATTCATTTCAGCACTTTACATGCATTTTACCCTCATAACAACTCTGTAAGATCAGACACTTAATAGTACCCCTGGACAAAAAAGGTAAGTGGGGCAAAGATACATTATATCCAAAGTAACTTAAAGTGACAAAGCTGGTAAGGGACAGAGGTCAGATATACACATAGGATGTTCAGTTTCAAAGCCTGTGCCCTAACCTATCAGACCATGCCACTTGTAGCAACAAAAGCATCAGTTTTGCACTGAAAAGTTCTGGAGAAACTCAGTTGGTTCACCATAAAAGCAACTGTTCTTTGTTTGAAAAATGATGCAAAAATATCAATGATTGTAATGCCCTAATATGACATTAAAAAAAAAACACATCAAGGATTCAGGTCAATCCAATAAAATCAAATTTTCCAATGTTTGTCATTCATTGGATTCTTGTGAAAAATCTTCACTTGTAAATTCACTATCCTAACACGTGCAGAGACAAACTCTTTATTTACGTTGGAGACCTCTTCACTATTTATTATGAAGTTAGTCTAAGTTACACGACTGTTTCTATTTTCATGACTATTTTTACACCTTAATAAAGGATTTTGTTTTTTTTTTTGAGATGGAGTCTCGTTCTCTTGCCCAGGCTGGAGTGCAGTGGTGCGATCCTGGCTCACTGCAGTCTCCGTCTCCTGGGTTCAAGCAATTCTCCTGCCTCAGCCTCCCAAGTAGCTGGGACTACAGGCATGCACCATCACACCTGGCTAATTTTTGAATTTTTTGTATAGACAGGGTTTCGCCATGTTGGCCAGGCTGGTCTTGAACTCCTGGCCTCAGGTCATCCACCCGCCTCGGCCTCCCAAAGTGCTGGGATTACAGGTGTGAGCCACTATGCCTGGCCAATAAAGGACTTCTGAATCACTGACACATTAAAAAAATTATAATTGTAGCAATAAAAGTTCAAGTTTAAGAACATTGAGAAAACGTTTAAATGATGTAAAAATACATTAATCAATAAATCATCTCCTGTCTGTGAAATGGGGTAGTAACCTAAGTGGACTGTGTGAGTCCTCTGCAGTACTAACCTATGTAAAGTGCCTGAGTGAATGGAACAGAACCCCAGAGACACACGGAGCTGGAATCTTCATTGCCGGTGGGCAGGTACTGACAGGCCTGCTGGAACGCTTTGATTAGACTCCTTCATTCTTGCTGTAATCATTTCTTATTCTGAAAAAGTTGTGTTTCTCTTGTGGCAGGGATTTTTACTTCGGTTTTTGCAGCTACCAGGAGGAGAAATGTCAGTCTGCCTAGTCCGACAAGGAAGAGTGAAGTTTTTGCCTAGAGATCTCATTAACGGAGAACAGACAGGATACAACATCAAGAGCGAAAGGGCAAAGTAATGAGAGAGTACTGTGTACTTTTTCCTGTTTTTATCGTATACGACACTGATACAACCTATTTTATTTATACTCATTTATTGTCCTAAAACTTGGCATGTCTTTGAAAAGTGATGAGGTGTTCTTTATTCACATATTTTATAAACCTATCCCACAATTATGAAAGGAGGTAGAAGAGATATTTAAATTAATTTGGTCGCTATTCTTTATTACTTTTAATTTCTCCTAAAACTCAGCAAGCTGACTTTGAAGGGACCTTAGTGAAAAACATTTTTTAATTAAAAAAATTCACATCCAGAACTTTTGTGCTCAGCTGCCTTGATCCTAGCGGTTCTGATAGCTGCAAGTTCTTATTCAGAAATTCAGCCCTACAGATCCCCCAGGGCTACAAGACAACAAGCAAAAACAGACTTCAGCTCTTGAAACTGTGTAATGAAGCCCATTCCAAGGGCTTCTCATAGATTTTCCAAATATATTTAGTTAATGCACAAACATACACACACACACACACCCCTACTCCTTTGAACTAAAAACATTTAAAGCCAGCAGTTCGCTTATTTCTGAAATGTAAACCTCCTTTTGAATTTGTTTTTGGTCTAGCTCATGATAAGGTATGCTGTGTAATTAACTGAGTGATTTGCTTTAAGATTTGGGTGGGGTTCAGGTGCTGCACAGCAAAGGTTGGGATTTTTATGCAGCCCTCACGTGGCCTGGAGCTCTTGGCAACACATTGTCTTTGGCCTCTGACTTGCCCCTCTTCCTTATAAGCTACTTTGTTTTCTATGAGGGTTTCTGCTTCTTTCTTGCTTCCTTCCTGGGCGTCTGCAGATATTTCTCCATCTCAGAGAACCAAAGCCCCACCTTCATTTATTCAGCATTCTCCACTTCCCATCACTTGCACAGGATTAGAGATATCAACTGCAGGCCACCACCTACCACCTGTGTTGACTTAAACAAATTACTTAATCTCTCTCCTCTTTCATTTTTTTGTCTGTAAAATGGGAATAATGCTATTCCTCACATATTATAGTTGATTAAATGAGGTAATAAGTGTAAACTTCTCAGCACAAAGTCTAGTACACATTAATGGCTAGTAGCTTTTATTTACAGTACCCAGAAAAGCAAGAGGCCTATTTTTTTTTAAGTGTATGAAGATGTCTCCTGATGCTGCTTAATAGGACAGATGTCAGTAAGCCAACCTCAGTCATTTGCTGGGCTTGGGGGCAAGACTACAAATGTGCACCCACTCCTGCTATCTTTCCTCCTTCCACGGAGTCGCTCATTTTAAGGAGCCTCATTCATACGAGTGTGTGATATCCTAGTCTGCACATTGAAGTTGTGTCCAAGCCCACCCCCTTCCTGTTCTGCAGACAGCTGCTCCTTGGCTACACCTTAGTTCTAAAGATGGGCCCTCCAGAGGACACACCCAGGGCAGAGCCTCTTGTGGACCTGGCCATGGCTTGAGCCCTTGCATTGGGAACCCATGATCTCGGGTCCCTGGAGTGTGGTATAGAAGAGGAGAGTGGCCTGGACTTAGTACCTTGGAATTCTTTTTCATGGAGAGTCACGGCAAGTGGGTGGCCAGAGCCGAGTCCATAGGACGGACCTTGAATGTCTGGTGCTAATCATGTTTGCTGGTAGAAAGAACCAAGCTTTGGAGAGGGAGGCTTCTCCATGCTCTGTCACTCTAGCCAGCCCGAGGCCCTTGTGTCCTGTTCAGTCACCATGATGCCAAACCTGTGAGTGTAGGAACCTGCTCGTCTCACAGAGGCCCTGACAGCTACCAGGAAGCCAAAGGGCGTCCTTTTTGGATCAACCCCAAGGAATGCAAATTCCTGCAGAGCTCAGTGCTTGATATTACAGTGACTGTGCCCCCTTTCCTCGGCTCCCTCACCAGCTGCAGCACAGACTGTTCTCCTCCTCCCCTTTTCTGTGGTTTCTTTTCCTTGGCATTTGCTGGGTGGACATAGAAGTAATACTGGGAGGAACTCAAATACCAGGGATCTGAGAAGAATCTTAGGTACAGTTGGACAGAAAGGGATGTGTTTGCTGTTAGTAACATCAACTCTAGAAATCCCAGTGAGGAAATCCTTAAGGCCAGCACTGTCCCACTTCCTGCAGAATTGAGTTTATAACCCATCAGCTCCTTTACAATGTATGATTATGTCTACATTAGCAACTCTCCTTTTATTGCTGAGAGTTGCAGCACCTGTATGTTCTGCATATTGCTGCAAAGGATTTGGGCTGAAGTGTTAACAACTTTAGCTCTTTAAGAAATAGTTTGGTAAGAAAAACAGTTATGAGGAATAATTCAATAGCCAAATACACAATAAAGATGAAGCATATGTGGTAGATAGTAAATCTTCCCCAGCAAAGGAAATCAGTGCCTTCAAGTACAAGTTGTCATTTAGAATTTGGAATCCGAACAGCAATACCATCCCATGAGTACAAAGTATTGAGTGCTAGAAATAGAAGCTTTGCTTCCCTCTCTCCTGAGCAGAAATATTTTGCTCTGCTGTCCCCAATAATCCCCAGATTCCATGTGCACGGCCTAACTGACTGACACAGCCAAAGGCTTCAGAACCGGGTGAGTCTGGTCAAGAATTCTTGTGTACAAGGTTATGCACAGAACAAGAGAAGGGACCTCTTTCAGCGCTTTTGTGTTCTGTTTTTTTTTCTAAAAAAAAAAAAAAGATAAATCTGACTGACATTCCAACTAGTGGGCCATAAACATGAGTTTCTTATGATATTAACGGGGATTTCTATGGATTGAATGTTTGTGTCCACCCCCCTCAAATTTGTATGTTGAAATTGAATCTGTAATGTAATGGTATTTGGAGATGGGGTCTTCGGGAAATGATTGGTTTATGAGGGTGGAGCCCTCATGAAGGGAATTAATGCCCCTATAAAAGGGAGCCCAGAGAGTTCTCTCATTCTCTTTTCATCATGTGAGTCAATGGTGTGCAACCTGTAAGAAAACCCTCACCAGAACCCAACTATGCTGGCACCCTGATCTTGGACTTCCAGCCTCCAGAATCAGGAGAAATCAATTTCTGTTTCTGAGCCACCCACATTATGTTACTTTGTGGTAACAGTCTGAACCAAGAGGCATGATATAAACAGTGCTCTGCAGTTTAAAAGTTTGAGAAATGTTAAACTAAAAATTAATCTAAGAATGTTTGTTTTAACTGCAGGATATCTCAGAGCGTTTATTACACTCGAGTGCTATATTATTTGAAATGAGACTGTAAAATATGTTTTCTCAAAATAGAATGTACTGTAGAAATTACTCATATAGGTCACTTTTTACGCCTTTGTCTTTTTTCCTATCTTCTTTCCAGATAAATATTTTAAATATCTAAGTTTAGAAATGATATTTAAGACATGATAACTTAAAATGTTCCATGGGGGTGGACAAGTTGATTCATAAGTGTTGAATTCCAATATTACCCAAATCGTCCATCTAAGGGGGAAAACAGGAAAATATTCTGCCAAGTTTCTCATGGAAAATCAGATGTAGGGGAGCAATTTCTGGCATTGGAATATTCCTTGGCATCTGTGTGGTTTAGGTACCACATAACTTCACAGTCCCAGCAGGGACCACCCGGAGTTGAAATCTCCAGGCCTCATAGTAAGTCTGCCCCTGACAGCACTCCTTCAATTCTCAGGATCTCCTCTAAGAGACAAGGGGCTGAAATATGGGGGAAATGGCAGTAAAGCATTTAGGAAAACATTCTCGTTCTTCCACAGTACTTATATTATTTATCCTTTTTCTTTTCTTTTCCTTTCTTCATTTAGTTCCACAGATGAACCAGTGGCCCCAGAAGCATCAACTAACTTTGTGACATTTGAAGGTTGTTTGCTTTCCTTAATTCAATTGACTTTCATCCTTACTGAGGTAGTGGGTTTGACTCAAGGGAGAGGAAGCACTGAGAAATAAGCTTTACACTTAAACAAAGATGCTGGGAACTTCCATGTGCATTTCCTTACATTTAAAAGATGGAAGCTATTTTGGACACATCGTTTAGCTGTAAGGAGAGCATTATCATGGAATCTATAAACATGGTGATCATAGTTTCCAAATCTCAAATTGGGACACATTCCCTGGCTAGAGGATTGTTATTCTTTCCGTGAGGTGACTTACTCTTTATGAGGTGTACATTAATTTCATTTAGCTAGTCAGTAATGGAAGTGCCTTGGTTAGAGAAAATAGAATTTCATAAAATCATAAGTGTACCAGAAAATCTAACATAGTGCTCAATGTATGTGATTCAGTTCACACAATGTTTAGCTTGCAAAATCATCCCTAAGAATATTTTTGGTGCCTTTTGTACTGTTTTAAAGGATGAATTCTTTGTATTTCTCTTGTGAACCAAGGCTTAGTCTGCTCTACCACGTTTTTTTAAAGGAGGCTTTTATCACTCAATTTACATCAGTGAGTGAAGCTGCAAGATATTTTTCCTCTTTCGGAACTGCGTTTTTCCACCCTGAGATATTACACATAAGGCTCTAGAGTGTGACTATGCCTCAGGGTCGTGGGACTTTCATTGTCAACCCAATCATTCCAAAACTCAAATCTCTGAGTTTCCTGTGTTATTTAATAACATTTTCAATTAGGCTGCATCTATCAAGGTCTGGTTTGCGTTTAGGTAAATAGGTGAGCATAAATGCACACTTCCTATCTAGGATGGATGGGAGAGTGTACGCCATGGAATATTCCCTATCAGGTTCCCATATTTGGGTAAGAGTTGGCTTGGAGTTGAAACACAATAGGGTAGTTGGACCTGAAGAAATATAAGAAAGTTGGCAAAGCAGATCTGTGGGTCACCTCACTCTCCCTCTTCTGGATTCACCTTATCCAGAGTAAAACCTGGGCTATAAATCCCTAAAAATTGTACCACCACAAGAAATTTTCTTTTTCCTTGCTTTTAAAATGACTATGAGCTCACTTCTTTAAGCCTTTCCATTTTTACTTTGCTAAGGGAAGGTGCTGAGTCTGACAATTTGGGAACTTTGAGTTTCTACTATACTTCTTCCTAAACTCATAACAGAATGCTTATCAGAGAATTTCAGCAGGACCAGATTTATCCAAAACATTCTCTTACTGGGAAAGACCAGAGACTCTGATGTCTTATCCAGTGGAGTGCTGGTAAATGTTTAACAATATAGCCACCATGATTGATTTAGTCTCCAGTGTGTCATCACTGGAGAAAGAGTTGGGAAGGAGCTGGCTTCAGCATCACTGAGTTTATGCCCCTAGGACATTGGTCTCCAAATTTTAGTATGAATCACTATTACTATTATTAAAAGTAGAAAAGTTGATTCAGAATCTCTGGGGCTGAGGCCAGAGCATTTAGCAAGTTTCTCCAGGTGATCCTGATCCAGTAGTTTGAGTTCTTGTTCCCATGTTTATTCCCATACAAGGCCAGTCTTGAATAAACAGCATTGCCATTCCAGATCAAGGACTCTAAATACTTTTTCATACCATGAAATTCACTAGGCTATAATTAAAATAGACTAAATTTACTAAGACATAATTAAAATGGATTCTAATGTTCAAGCTGAATGATCACAGTATTCACTTTTATATAATAGTCTATATTCAGTTCATTACTTCTCATTATCCTGAATGTAAAATGTGCTATGGAAAGTCAAATTCCATATATTTTAGGAATTAGACAAAATCTTTATGGAGCACATAGCTCATCTTAGAGTTGTAAGAAATATTTGTATCCGATTTTTTTTTGTAAAAAAAAAAAACAAGATTCACAGGACAGCCTTCTTTGCTTCCCATCAATTTTCTTCCAATAGGTTTGTGCCAAATGTGTTGTGAACTTAATGATTTGTTTATGACAATAAAATTTGATAAATATATACTAATTTTCTCTGAAAAAATATTTGGGTGATTTTTAAAAGGCTTTGTGCAATTAGTTTATTCTTCTTCAGTGTTGAATGTGTTTCATTGGAGATGATTTTACTGCTTCAGACCTAATCTTTTCCCAAGATCTGCATTCACTCCACAAATATCTACCAAGACATACTCCATATTCAAAGGAGTTTACAATCTAACTGGAGTTTTAAGGATTCCTTCCATTAACAATTGGAGAAGAAAACGGGAGGTGTTTGACATTATGGCTGGTATCGATTGTTGCATGCGTTTTCCAGGTCGTTTGGTGGGGGAGACAAACGTAAATAATTACCAGAGTGTGACAAATACTGGGAGACAGTGACTAAAATTTCCCTGACGATTCAGGGCAGCTTCACAAAGGAGGTGACGGTGACGTGAGCTGAGACCTAAGGATAATTAGGAGTTGGGGAGGTTGAAGCACAGGGGGCTTTTCAGGAAGAGGAATGACACCAGGCACCTGGCTGAAGAAGAGAGATTTTCAAATTGCTCATTTGAATAGCAAATATTCGCCTCTGTACACAGAACTGTGCCTGGCACCTGGGGGAAGGAGAGGGGATGGCACAGCCCCTTAACTCAAGGTATTTATATGCCACTTGGATGCCTCTAAGACTTGCATATATTAGAGAAGGAGAGGGGCAATAGCATAGCCGGATACCGTGGAGCACTACAGATAGTAAGTAATGTGGAATATTGTCAAAAGGTGAGATAGGTGTGGGCTGAAGTGTTTAGGGAAGTCTTTCTGGGCTAAAGGTGTTCAGGCAAGCAAGAGAAGTGGGTGGCATTTAAACAGACAGAGGCTGGAGAGGGGGTTTCAATGGAGACAGAAAGAAAATCCCTGTGACCAGAACAGAAAGTGCTGCTGAGTAGTGTGGAGTCTGAGAGGACGGCGCAGCGGAAAGCGCATACTCAAAGTGCCACCTCACCTCGGGGCTGGACAGAAACTTGTGGGGGAAAGGAAAAACCCTGTCTTTTCAGATCCTCTATTTCTCTAACTATAGAATGGGCAGAGTAAAATTTAACTCACAATCTTGTGAGGATCAGATGAGGCAATTTATGTGAAAGCATTTTATAAACTGCAATATGTTATAATTATGAGTCATTATTAATGGATGTGATTCATTCTTCTTGAAGAGTGGTTCCTTTCTAAGAAGCCAGGACTTCACGCCTGTGTATTTAGGCTCTCATGAATGGCGTCCCTTGGCTTGAGGATATATATTGCATGGCAAATGTAGATATGCCACTGAGAAGAACAACCTCAGAGCCAAAACATCTTTTTATTAAATAAAAGTTTATTTAACAAAATATATAAATAAATATGTCAAGAAATGTTGATTTTTAAAATTTTATTAATTTTTTTATTATACTTTACGTTCTGGGATACATGTGCAGAACGTCCAGGTTTGTTACATAGGTAGGTATACACGTGCCATGGTGTTTTCCTGCACCCATCAATACGTTATCTACATTACGTATTTGTCCTAATGCTATCCCTCCCCTAGTCCCCCACCCCCCAACAGGCCCTGGTGTGTGATGTTCCCCTCCCTGTGTCCATGTGTTCTCATTGTTCAGCTCCCACTTATGAGTGAAAACATGCGGTGTTTGGTTTTCTGTTATTGTGTTAGTTTGTTGAGAATGATGGTTTCCAGCATCATTCACGTCCCTGCAAAGGACATGAATTCATCCTTTTTTATGGCTGCATAATATTCCATGGTGTATAGGTGCCACATTTTCTTTATCCAGTTAATCACTGATAGGCATTTGGGTTGGTTCCAAGTCTTTGCTATTGTGAACAGTGCTGCAGTAAACGTACGTGTGCATGTGTCTTTATAGTAGAATGATTTATAATCCTTTGGGTATATACCCAGTAATGGGATTGCTGGGTCAAATGGTATTTCTAGTTCTAGATCCTTGAAGAATCACCACACTGTCTTCCACGATGGTTGAATGACAAATGTTGATTTTATCTCCAGTTGATTTTATCATATTTTAAATGATAAACTTAACAAATTTAATGGTTTAAATTGTGAAATAACAATATTAAATACTTGTTAATATTGTAGTATGTTTGATTGTGTGTGTATTTTCTTCAGTGGGTCACACTCCCAAAAGAAAAAATATATATAGAAAGACAAACTTGCCTTATTTAAACAAAAATTGTTAGTTGCTAATCTGATTAATGGATGTTCTTTTAGGAAGCATTGTTTTGAAATGGAAACAGTGCCACTGATCTTAAAGTATCCCTTTAAAGAGCTCGTTTGCCCATCAAGTAAAATACTAGTGGTTAAAATAAATGAGCCTGATTCTAGTCTAGTGTACTACAAGGATTCTATGGCCATTCTCCCATCCAGCCTCCAAGATATGTCCATTAAAGTGACACAAATACAATAAACACTATTAAAAAGCTCTTTCTTTTGTATATGAGAGTGACATTTTAAAAAGAAAATCATAAATTTTATAAAGACAGTTTTCTATTTGCACAAAAAGAGAATTTCTAAAATAGATTTCAGTTATTTTTCTCATTTACACTATTATACTCTTTCTCACACAAAAACTTCAATCTTTGATCCTCCCTCCCACTCCAATTCTGAAGTTTTCACTGTTTGCAAGGAGCCACAGAAAATGAAGCTGTTAGCTTGTTCCAGAGAGCTCTGCCTCAGCTATGCTCTGGGGCCCTTGTATCTATTTTGGATCTAGCATCTGTGCAGCACATGAGGGCCAATTGCACTTCACTTTTTCAATTTAGTTCCATTGCATTTCTTGGTAGAACTACCCACTTGGATGTGGCAAATGACACATTACACAATTCCTTTGCATCTTGGGCTCACCCCTACCTCCCAACACATCTGCAATAAACATACATTAAAAAATGTAAATACAAATTATATTTCTATATTTGAGGAAAGAAACAGGTTAGTAGATGGCTATCACTTTCCATTTCAAATTGCTCAAAATACTTCTCAAATATAGCTATCATCTTTCATATTTTTAGCAACACTGTACTTATTTCCCTCGGAAGAAGAAAGTGCCTTTTTTTGGTTATTTTATAGGTGTAATTAGAATGGTGGTTTAGCTAATCTGATAGATTCTACAAAATAAAAATGAGGGCATTGAAAATTCCAGCCATTTTGGTTGTTGAAAAGAATAAGTTGTGTTAAAATACTGCCAAAACAATGTGAAGAAAAGTGGAAAATTAGTGTAATTAATTTTTATACAATTCTCTCTCTTTTTTTTTTTTTTTTAGACAGTCTCACTCTGTCGCCCAGGCTGGAGTGCAGTGGCACAATCTCAGCTCACTGCGACCTCCATTTCCTGGGTTCAAGCGATTCTCCTGCCTCAGCCTCCGGAGTAGCTGGGACCACAGACGTGTGCCACCATGCCTGGGTAATTTTCATATTTTCAGTAGAGGTGGGGCTTTGCCACATTGTCCAGGCTGGTCTTGAACTCCTGACCTCAGGTGATCCACCCGCCTCAGCCTCCCAAAGTGCTGGGATTACAGGCATGAGCCACCACACTAGCCCTTATTTTTATGCCATCCTAAACCCACCACTTCTTTGGTTGAATCAAATTCCTGTTGCTTTGGTGGTTTGTTTTAGTAAAATTCACTTCTCTATGGCCTGAGGAACTGTCATCCTCCTATTTGAGTTCAGAGCTACTGCTGGTGATAATCTTAGTGTGTATATTTGTTTCTGCTTTTCTCTTGGTGGGGGGTGGGAGGAAGTGAAGCCAGCTTGCCTCTACACTCTGCCATTTTGAAACTGGGAGTCCCTGATTTTAGTCTAATGTCATGGTAGATTAAGGATGGCTGTAAATTCTCTGTGACTCCTGCTATTGAGAGTTAGAGTCTGGCCTCGGAGACTTGCTTGATCAATGGAGTGTGGTGGTGGAAGTGACACTATGGGACTCACAAGGCTAGGTCACAACAAGTCTTAGCGCTGCTGCCTTTTCTCCTTGGAACACTCTCTCTGGAGCCCTGAGCTGCTCTAAAATAAGCCCATTTGCCTTGAGACTGCCATGCTTGAGACGCTTCATGTCAGTGCTCCGGTTGATAGTCCTAGCGGAGCCCAGCCTTTTTTTTTTTTTTTCTGGTAGTGATAGGGTTTTTCATGTTGCCCAAACTAGTCTTAAATTCCTAAGCACAAGTGATCCACCCATCTAGGCCTCCCAAAGTGCTGGGATTACAGGCATAAGCCACTGCACCTGGCCTGAGCTCAGCCTTTATGGACAACCTATCCAGTCATAGTAGAGTCTAGTTCTCTGGAAACCTCCGGACCAGTCCATTCACAGTTGACACCACATGGAACAGTAGACACTCAGAGGATCCCTGCCTGAATCCCTTAACCATAAAATTGTGCTATAATAAAATGGTGGTTGTTTTAAGACTGATAAATAATCAAACACATAGAAAGGATGTCCTTTGAGATAGTTGAATTCTTGTCCATTGGTGTTTTTACTTTGCCCTGTAAAAGGCATTACAAATAACATCTCTTTCTAATTCTCACAATGATCTTGTACTATGTATATTATTATCCTCATATTACAGATGAGAAAATAGGCACCAAGAGAATAAGCAACTTGGCTAAGTATACAAAACATGGTCAATACAGGATGGAAACCTGAGGCTGTTCAGCTTGAAAGCCTATGCTATTATCTGAGTGAGAATCTTAATTATTGCTGATGTAATCACATAGCTAAGAAAGAAAAGTTTCTCTGGATTTTCAGGCCGTGATTCCATGAGTCTCAATCAGGGGTCAGAAAACATTTTCTTTCAGAGCTAGACAGTAAATACTTTAGGCTGCAGACCATATGGTTTCCATGGTGACTACTGTACTTGCTTCTTACGGTGTGAAAGTAGCCATAGACAACATGCAAGCAGATGATAGTGGGTACGTTCCAAAAATTTTTATTTACAGAATTAGTCAGTGGGCTAGATTTGGCTCCCAGGCCGTAGTTAGCTGACCCCTGATTTACAGATCTGAGGTGATCATATTTGGGTCTTTTTGAGTTTTTGGAAAAGAATTTCGTATCTCAATGAACTGTTGATGATACTTTAAGATCCAAATTTTAAACCAAAGCTCAAGGTTTTATAAATTTCTAAGACTCAGCAGAATACGTGTAAGTCAATGGAATGTGTAAATCAATGTAGAGAGTATCAAAAAAATGTAGATTTAGAAACGTCATTTTTGAGGTTCTTTTTGATCTACTAAGTTACAAATCCTAGAAGAGGATTGATATGCATAAAAATAAACTAGAAGAGAATGTGGAATGTTCTCCAGATGGGCGTTACATATAAGAGTACCTTTAGTCAGTTGTTATTTTCTTTAACCTTTTGGAGTTGTAAAGTGATGTTCTTGATAGTGATGACACAGTGTTTTCTGAAACATTTTGTACACTATTTATGGTACTTATTCTACCTTCTGTGTCCTTCATGGTCTCTGTCGGCTGAGTTACTGGCTGTTTGACAGCTGCACATCTATGTTATGTGCCAGGTCAGAACAGAATACTCCCATCTAACAGAGATGGTGTCGGCAATTGTGGGCAGCTGATGATGATTGGAGCTGGAACTTTGTTCTTTAAAGAGAATTATTAAGGTCTTGGAAGTCAGAGAGGGCCAAGATTTTAATTACCTTTTTCCTTCTGAAAGATATCTCTACAATCATCTTTTAGTGTTACCTGAGCCACCCTAAGTTATTTCAGTCTGAGCTGCTCATTAATTTTTTTCTTTCTTATTATCTTGGACCCATTTATTCTATTAAGTATGAAGTGGCTTAAGGGCAGGGAATGTTTCTTCTTCTTTGTATTTTCTTCCTATTGCTTGACATATAGCTGTGTTTAATACATTTTTAAAACTGCTTGGCCATTGTCTTTAAGTTTTCTTATGTCAAATACACACACACACACACACATATGAACATGTACATATGAAGACTTTTAATATTGACTTTTTAGCTATTCAAGAATGCTGTGAGCACAATATATAATATTATCATCACTAGCTCCTGTTGTTATAATATTTCTTTTACAATTTGATTTTGTGAATTAGCTGCCCACAAAATTTCCAATGACTTTGAATTTATCTATTCACTTAGAAGAGGTAATGTATACATATGGTGCACAATTTTAAAAATTACAGAACAATATATAGTGGTGAAAATTAGGTTTTCTTCCCATCTTGTTCTATAACCTTGGTTTCTCATCACTGTACCCACTTTATTGAGCATCATGCTACAGACACACTGCCTACACCAGACAAGCACATACCCTATCTCCCCTTTAATTTGCACACACACTAGAATATTGCACATGCTTTTCTATATCTTGATTTTTTTCATTCGTTATTATATTTTGGAAATTATCCATTTTAGTAGATATAGAAATGACTTCTAAAATTTTCTGTTAGTATTTTACTGTGTACTGTAGTTGACTTATTGATGTACATTTAGGTACATTTTGCTATTGCAAGCAGTGCTATAATAAATAGCCTTTGACATGTCTTTGTGCACATGTGAGACACTATGTGTAGAATAAATTCCAAGAAATAAAACTGTTGAGTCAAAGCAATATAAATTTTGAATTTTATTAGGTATTTTCAAGTTAACCTCTATAAATTTGCACCAATGTACACCCCAAGCAACAATGCACTAGAGTTGTTGCCCATTTCTTCCACATGGAATGTTTCATCAAACTTTGATCTTTGTTCATTTGACAAGCGAAAAAATATTCTCTCCATAGAGTTTTAAGCTGCAGATTTCTGAGTACTACATGGTCAAGACCTTTGCTTGATTTTTATTTTTTTAATTTAATCAATTTTTTTTAAATTGAGTCAGAGTCTTGCTCTGTCGCCCAAGCTGGAGTAGAGTGGCATGATCTCTGCTCACTATAACCTCTGTCACCCGGATTCGAGTGATTCTCATGCCTCAGCCTCCTGAGTATTTGGGACTATAGGTATGCACCACCACACCCGGCTAATTTTTTTGTATTTTTAGTAGAGACAGGGTTTCGCCATGTTGGCCAGGCTGGTCTGGAAATCCTGACCTCAGGTGATCCACCCGCCTTAGCCTCCCAAAGTCCCGGGATTACAGGCGTGAGCCACCGTGCCAGGCCAAGACCTTTGCTTGATTTTTAATACAATTATTAAATCTTTCTCTTCTTGCTTTATAGTTCTTTGGATATTAAGAAAATTAAAACTTTGTTAGACATATGTTTTGAATGTTTTTCTCAATTTTTGTCTTTTTAATGTAGTCAAAGTTGTGAATCTTCTTTGGCTTAGGAGTCTTTCCCTTGCCAATATTATGTTAAAAAATTCACCCATGTTTTCTTCCAATACTTTTGTAATTTCTTCTGTTTTTTATTTTAATATTAGATTTATCTAGAAATTTTGGAGTGAAAGATGAACTTTTTTCCAAAATGTTATCAAGTTATCAAAACTTCATTTACTGAAGATTCTATCTTTTCCTGTACTTACATCTAATGCCTCCTTTAACGTACTATAAATTCAAGTATATGGTTTTTTTGTACATTTCTAGTATCCATTTTTTTCTTCCTTTAGACTGTCTTTTTCTACATACCACATTATTTAAATTATTTTTGTTTTAAAATGTTTTAATATCTAGTCTTCATTTTTTTCTAGAATTATTCTAGTTATACATGGATGTTTATTTTTACATGAATTTTAAAATAAGTTTAGTTAAAAATTTTTGCCTATCTTTTTTTGTGTGTGGTGACATTTGACAGTGGGATGAAAATTTATAGATTAATTTATACAGAATTGATATTCTTATAATTATTAAGTCTTCTTACTTAAGAACAGAGTATCCTTTACATTATATTCAAGTCTTCTTTGAAGTATTTAATTTTTTTCTCACAGGTCTAACTCATAACTTTAAGTTTATTCCTATTGCTTGTTTGTTTGTTTGTTTGTGGTTACTTTGTAAGTAGGTTATTTTCTTCCTTTTTTTTCCTAGTTGGTGGTTATTTCTATTTAGTAAGGCTATTCATTTTTATATATTCATTTTGAACCCAGCCACTTTATAGAAATCTCTTATTGTTTACATATTATTAAGTTTATATTCTTGAGTTCTTTAAAATCTAAAAAATAATTTTCCACTTATATAAAATTTTTTATCTTATTGCTTGTCAAAGTTCACAAAATTTCAACTAGATAGGAAGAATAAGTTCAAGAGATCTATTGTACACCATGATGGCTATATTTAATAACAATATATTGTCTACTTAAAAATTCCTCAGAGACTAGGTTTTAGTGTTTTCACCACACACAAAAAATGATAGGAAGGGTAATACATATGTTAAATAGCTTGATTTAGTCATTTCACAATGTATACATACCTCAAAACATCATACTGTACGTCACAAATATATATATTTTTACTTAACTAAAAAAGAAATTTAAAATTTTATCTCTTAATTTTTTATATTCCTTATGTTAACTCATTTTTTAAAAAGTTAAGTAAGAGTGTTGATAAATAATAATCATGCTTGGTTTGCTTCTGACCTCAATAAGAATGCTTCTAGCACTTTTAGCATCAAGTATGAGGCTAGCTTGAAACTTATAAGGAAGTATTCAAATGTACAGATTTAAATATGTATTTATTTAAATACACAAAGTTCTCAGGCTAGATATATGTCTATATATATACACACACACACCACACTCATGTATTTATTTACTTAAGGGAATTTTAAAATTTTTCAGGTGAATTTGTGTGTATACACAGGAAATGTGTATAAGAAAATGTTTAAATGTGTTCAGATAATTTAATTTCTTTTCTCTGCATTCCTCTTTGTCCTCAGAAAACATGAGCTTCTTCAGCTTTTCGCCTCATGTATCTCATCTTTTAGTCTCTGTAGCAGGTTCATTGACTATGACTAGAAATTGAATCATATGGGCCCCAGAGTTCTTCCTAATTGCATTTTAAGATTATAGAATTCTCTGATGTATTGAATTAACCTCTTGGAAAGAGGCCACAATATTTTTCCTCTACAATGCATTTCCAGAAGTTTAATTGGATTTTTTGAGCTCCACCTAGTTTATCAAACACCTGTAGAAGAAAGATTGCAAAACACAAATATGATGAGACTCAAGGTTGATGAATGATTGCTGACTTGCCTGTGATGGTTACTTTTATGTGTCAACTTGGTTGGGCCACAGTGCCCAGATAAGTGGTCAAACATTATTCTGGGTGTCTTTGTGAGGGTGTTTTTGGATGAGATTTACATTTAAATTGGTGGACGTTGAGTAAAGCAGATTGCCTTCCCTAATGTGAGTGGGCCTCATCAAATCAGATGAAAGCCCAATTAAAACAAAAGACTGACTGCTCCTGAGCAAGAGGGAACTCTGCAGCACTTGGCCTTCAGGCTTGAAATGCAGCACTAGCTCTTCCTGGGGCTTCAGCCTTCTGGCCTATTCTGCAGATTTTGGACTTGCCAGCCTCCATAGTCATGTGAGCAAATTCCTTAATGTAAATTTCTCCCTATATACACATATATATATCCTGTTAGTTCTGTTTTTCAGGAGAAACCTAATATATTGCCTTTCTGCAAGATTGTGACAGGGAACAAGAAGTGACTTTCTACATTATTTTGCTTCTTTTAGAACAAGTTCTGAGGAGCGAGATTTACTTTCAGTAGCTAGAGCGAGTTGGGGACAATGAGACCAGGCCCCCTCCCATACTCTGGACATTCCAGATTATGCTAAGAATGAAAGTGGAAATACCAGAAAAAAACATGTGATGATCTGGGCCTGTGGAATTTCTGGTCTGACTGGAGTTCTGGGAGACTTACAAATTTTGCAGTAAGTCTCATACTTGGACTTTCTGAGTGCTGTATTTGTTTTAAACTCACACACATCCACATACTGCAGCTAGACTTAGATCCACTGCTGGTTTGTTTTCCTGTTTCAATCACTTCTGTAGTTGTCAAAACCAGTTCCCTGGAGCCCATGTTTTCTCTTTTCTTCTTTGGCAAAAAGTAAGATAAATTTCATCAGTTACATGTTTTTGTACAAACTGTGCTATCTTCCTGAAATAATTATTTCTCCTTTTTTCCTGTATTAGTCTGTTCTCATACTGCTATAAAGATACTACCTGAGCTTGAGTAGTTTATAAACAAAAGAGGTTTAACTGACTCACAGTTCCACATGGCTAGAGAGGCCTCAGGAAACTTACAGTCAGGGCAAAAGGCAAAGAGGAAGCAAGACACATCTTACATGGCAGCAGGAGAGAGAGAGACAGCAAAGGGCAAAGTGCCACTTTTAAAATCATCAGATCCTGTGAGAACTCACTATCACAAGAACAGCATGGGGGAAACTGTCCTCATGATCCAATCACCTCCTGCCAGGTCCCTCCCTCAACATGTGGGAATTACAATTTGGATGAGATTTGGGTGGTGGCACAGAGTAAAACCAAGTCATTCTGCCCCAGCCCCTCCCAAATCTCACGTCCTTCTCACATTTCAAAATGCAATCATGCCTTCTCAACAGTGCCCTAGAGTCTTAACTCATTTCAGCATTAACTCAAAGTCCACAGTCCAAAGTCTCATCTGAGTGACAAGCCAGTTTCTTCCACCTATGAGCCTGTAAAATCAAAAACAATTTGGTTACTTCCAAGATACAATGGGGGTACAGGCACTGGGTAAATGTTCCCATTCTAAATGGGAGAAATTGGCCAAAACAAAGGGGTCACAGGCCCCATGCAAATCTGAAACCCAGAGGGGCAGTCATTAAATCTTAAAGCTCTCAAATGATCTCCTCTGACTCCATGTCTCACATCCGGGGCATGCTGATGCAAGGGTGGGCTCCCAAGGCCTTTGGCAGCTCCACCCCTGTGGCTTTGCAGGGTGTAGTTCCTGTGGCTGCTTTCACGGGCTGGCATTGAGTGCCTGTGGCTTTTCCAGGTGCACAATGCAAGCTGTAGGTGGATCTACCATTCCGGGGACTGGAGGTTGGTGGACTTCTTCTCACAGCTCACTAGGCAGTGCCCCACTGGGGACTCTGTGTGGGGGCTCCAACCCCATATTTCCTCTCTGCATTGTCCAAGTAGAGGTTCTCCATGAGGGCTGTGTCCCTGCAGCAGACTTCTGCCTGAGCATCCAGGCATTTCCATACATCCTCTGAAATCTAAGTGGAGGCTCCCAAAGCTCAAATCTTGTCTTCTGCATACCTGCAGGCCCAACACCACATGGAAGCCCCAAGGCTTGGGGCTTGCACCCACTGAAGCAGTGGCCTAAGCTGTACCTTGGCCCCTTTTAGCCACCACTGGAGCTGGAGCAGCTGGGACACAGCGCACCAAGTCCAGAGGTTACACAGAGCAGCAGGGCTCTGGGCCCAGCCCATGAAACCATTTTCCCCTCCTAGGCCTCTGGGCCTGTGATGGGAGGGGCTGCCTCTGAAGATCTCTGACATGCTCTGGGGACATTTTTCCCATTGTCGTGGCAAATTAACATTCAGCTCCTCATTATTTATGCAAATTTCTGCAGGTAGCTTGAATTTCTCCTCAGAAAATGGGTTTTTGTTTTCTACTGCAAGGTCAGGCTATAAAGTTTCCAAACTTTTATGCTCTGCTTCCCTTTTAAAAATAAGTTCCAATTTCAAATCATCTCTCTCAGGTTCAAACCTCCACAGATCTCTAGGGCAGGGGCAAACTACTGCCAGTCTCTTTGCTAAAGCATAACAAGAGTGACCTTTGCTCCAGTTCCTAAGAAGTTTCTCGTCTCCATCTGAGACCACCTCAACCTGGACTTCATTGTCCATATCACAATCAACATTTTGGTCAAAACCATTCAACAAGTCTTTAGGAAGCTCCAAACTTTCCCACATTTTCCTGTTTTTTTTTTTTTTTCTGAGCCTTCCAAACTGTTCCAACCTCTGCCCATTACCCAGTTCCAAAGTTGTTTCCACAGTTTTAGTTTATCTTTATAGCAGCATCCCACTATCCTGGTACCAATTTTCTGTTTTCACGCTGCTATAAAGATACTACCTGAGAGTGGGTAATTTATAAACAAAAGAGGTTTAATTGACTCACAGTTCCACATATCTGGGAAGGCCTCAGGAAACTTACAATTGTGGTGGAAAGTGAAAGGAAAGCCAGGCACATTTTACATGGCAGCAGGAGGTGGGGTGGGAGAGTGCCAGACACTTCTCAAACAACCAGATCTTGTGAGAACTCACTCACTGTTATGAGAACAGCATGAGAGAAACTGTCCCCATGTTTCAATCACCTCCCACCTTGTTCCTCCCTCAACTCATGGGGATTACAATTCAGATTACAATTGGAGATGAGATTTGGGTGGGGACACAACCAAACCATATCAGGGAGCTTCACAGTAAACTGGAAAAATATCCCTGCATTCTTAGTGGTAATAAATGGAGTATGTTTGCTTTTCATTCACCAAAAACTAAAGATCAATGGCAGTGGCTTGCTGCCACTCTCTATGGCTATGAAACACATATATTGTGGAGGTTTGAAAGTAGGCTGTGGTGGACAGAATAACAAGCTTCCAAAGATGTCCATGCCCTAATCCCTGGGACCATTGAATATGTTCCCATAGTTGGAAAAAGACTTTGCCTGTGAGGTGAAGTTTGTGATCACTTGGGCCCTTAGAAGAGGAAGAAGGAAGTGGCAGTCAGAGAGATACGCTAATGGAAGAGAAGGCAGAAGAGGCATGGCAGCCTGAGGAGGACTTGACCTGCACCTGTGGGCTTTGATGATGGAGGAAGGGGACCATGAGCCTTGGAATATTGGCAGGTCTAGTGTCTGAGAATGCCCTGGTCCACAGTCCACAGCCAACAAGAAAATGTGGACGTGGGTCATAGCCCTGCTGCTGCCTTAATTTTGGCCCTGTGAGACTCTACACAGATGCCCAGTTGAGCCCTGCAGTTCTGGGACTTCTGCCTACAGAAACTGCGATGATAAATTAGTTTTGTTTTAAGCCACTAAACTGTGGTGATTTATTATGGCACCAAAGCAAATGACTACAGAGGGATGTCACAGAGGTGGTTCACTTACCTGGCACCCAATCCACATCTGCATGTTTCAACTCATGCACAGATACCTGGTGCAATCCTTTGATGATGGGTTATCAGGACTTATTTCAACTTCAAAGTCGGGATTGGGAATCAAAACAGCATATGCCCATCCCCAAAAAACAGTGGTTTGGGGTCACTTTGATTAGAAGAGAGCAGTATAAATGTAGGCTTGTGAGACATCAATGACTCTTTGACGCTGGACAGTTGAGAAGTCTTTCATCATCCTTTTAGGTCTGACATTACTTTCTCTGTGTTCAGCCATTCAGCCACTCAACAAACATATTGAGGGCTGTCAAGCATTGCCTGGCACTTGTACGTATCTTGTTATAATTGTAATGATTTATTTTCATGCTCGTTTCCATCTCCAACTCCTACTACATTACTGGCACATAGTGGAACTTCATAATTGGCTATAAACAAATGGACTCCAGTAATTAATTTGTCCTAATTAATTACTGACAGTGAATATGATTATTTTGACCCAAAGTAAAATACTGTCATGTCCTTCTTCCCTAAACTATTGTACAAAAGCCTTTCCATTTCTTCTAATTCTGTTATGGCCTCTTACTCTAAAATAAGAGGAACATATTCAAGTTATTAGAGTGGCAAATCATAATTTAAATTTCCCTTGGTTTTCATTTGTGTCATCTCTCTATTATTGTGACGATAGCCCTCTAATCCTTGTTTGTGTGATTCAATATAAAATATTCGGAGAGTATCACAGAGAAGGCTGTCTCTACTCTCATTTATTAATATAGGCCTAGGCGTGCAATTTAAAACTTGCATGTTCATGTTTCAGCTGTTCTGTCAATAGATTTTTTAAAAATTGTACATTCCTAGGGGAAAGAATAAGTCACAGTTGCCCATCTCTCATGACATGCATGTGTTGCTATTTTAAATCCTAATAAATTTGTCACTTCTGGACAGTGCTGTGCTATCTTGACCTTGCTCAGTCAGGCTTGTTGGTGAAAAGCAAATCATTTGAAAAGGCTGTGCCAATTCATTAGTTGTTGCATTTTCTATTTTTTTTTTTTGCAACATCAACTCTGAATATTTGATCATTTTTGTAATGAAACACCTTAACATTTTCTTGACTTTCTCATTCTTACTACTTTCATTAGCCCTGGAGTTCTTAAACAAACTATCATACTCCCTCCCAGAAGTTACAGTTTCAACATGCTCCTTGTACTGAATTTTACAGTAAGCACAAGTTCAAAGCACATTTCCAAAGAATATTCTTTTGTTAATTTTTTGAACACAGGGCTTGAGAAAATACCTGAAGTTTGAGATACATGTTAAAAACAAATTTTACATAAGCCTATATTTAGATGGCTGGTTATTTCTCATCCAAAGAGTTCCTTTACAGGAGAAAGATTTAAAATTTACAATTTTTTCATGCAGTTTCCTCTGAGCATTTGGATGGGCATCCAAAGGAGCACTGGGCAATTTCTTTTAAAGACTTTAAAACAAAAATGGCATTGAGAGATCCTCTGTGTTGAACAGTGAAAGTGTACACATGCGATTTTCAGCCTTTACAAAACTCACTTTCATGGAAAGAGAGAGAAATCAAGTACTATAATGAAATCAAGTTTATCATAAAACAAAGGCTACTTCTATTCTTACAGATGACAGTATACTTCTACATTTGCCCCACTGTGTGTTCACTCTTCTGGAGTCATCCATTATTATGTCAAGTATGGCCCACTAGTTATGCAACAATTTCATTGCTATTATCTCAATCCACACAAGAACTTGGGAAAAGATGAAAAGGGATCACGATGAAAAAGTATTTTCAGTCTTCTGATGAAAGGCTACAAACCATTATTTCCCACTTACGTCTTTCTAGCCCCCTGGCTTTAATGGAAACCCAGATAATAATAATAATTATTATTGTTATTGTTATTTTAACTTTTAGGCTCATGGGTACATGTGCAGGTTTATTATACAAGTAAATTATGTGTCATGGGATGTTGGTGTACAGATTATTTTGTCACCCAGGTAATAAGCATAGTAACTGATATGTAGTTTTTTGATCCTCTCTTTCCTCCCAGCCTCCACCCTCAAGTAGGCCCTGGTGTCTATGGTTCCCTTCTTCGTGTTCTTGTGTACTCAGTGTTTAGCTCCCACTTATAAGTGAGGACATGAAATATTTGGTTTTCTGATCCTACATTAGTTTTCTTAGGATAATGGCCTCCAGCTCCATCCATGTTACTGCAAAGGACATGATCTCACTTTTTTGTGGCTGTGTAGTATTCCGTGGTGTATACGTACCACATTTTCTTTATCCAGTCTACCACTGTTGGACATTTAGCTTGATTCCATGTCTTTGCTATTGTGAATAATCATGTGATGAACATACATGTGCATGTGTCTTTTTGGTAGAATGGTTTATATTCTTTCAGGTATATGCCTAGTAATGGGATTTCTGGGTCAAATGGTAATCAAGATTATTTTTCCTCATCTGATGAAAAAGGTGTTTTGCAGGATGAGCCAGGTAGCTTGTGACAGAAGTGTGGAGTCCCCAAATGGGCACCAAGGAAGAGTAAAATGCATTCAATTGATTGCACCCTTAGAGCTTTGAAAATTGCTCCATGGCTGCCTGATCTACCAGTGAAACATCTATTTTAGAATACCGGATAGGTTGCACATAAAAACATCTTCCTTTGTTCTTCAAGTCTATGAGGTCTTCCTCATTTATTCTTTTCCAGAAAGCCAGTTATTCTGCCTTTTAATTTATTGGATCACTCTGCATCATTTCCTTCCATAGCAGGAGAACTTTCAGAGGCGAATCCATGAAAGAACAGATCCCTTTGGTATTGGATTCTGTGGAAATTTTCCTTTTACTGTTAACTTTTTTTTCCCACGAAATGATAAAGAACACTTTGAAATGTTTTTATAAAGGCAAACTCCAAGACATTTTTTTTTCTGTTTCAAACCATTTAAGGTGGAGAAACCTATTATGTATATATATAAGAAACACATAATTTGCACATTAGTGTTATGTTAGTGTTTCTCAATCTTTTTGAGTTTTTGGATGGCATGCTTCAATGATTTGTGAAGTTAGGCCAGAATAGTGGTGGCACAACAAAGAAATTTCTCACTGAATGTCTGTTCTCTTTGACTACTCTTTTTTCCTCCATCCAAGGATCTCTTAACTCATTAAATAAATGGGATTTTTTTTTGAAAAAACAAAACCCCAAACAAACCAACTGGTAAGTAAATTAATATGATTTCATCCAGAGACTCTTAGTAGAACTTTTGCTATAAATAACCATATGGGGCATCTGCATAAATGTGGGGCTAGTCAACCAACTTCTTGCAAGCCGTGTAGAGGATAGGCTTTCAATCTGTCTGGAAGAAAACAGAATTGAGTGTTCTCAACCAGATGCATTGCGTTGGTGACAATTTGTGAAGTGTAAAGTTTTCTGAAAACACAATGTCTCACTGTAACCCTAATGGGTCTGTTGCTCAAAGTACACAGCAAGTTAATATGCCAAGACACCAGGTTGCAGCAGAGAAAGAGGTTTAATTGTAGGGCTGCCCAACGAGGAGACAGGAGGAAACCTCAAATAAACCTGTCTCCCCGAGGAGTCTGGAGGTAGGGTTTTTAAGGGTTTTGGAGTGGGCTGAAGGGTGAAGACCATTGAGTGGTAGAAGAGCGTAGGGTGAAGTGATGGGACAGGGAGACAAGAAGCTGTATTCTCATGCTGATTCTATTCCTCTGTGGGGGTCTTCCAACTGGTTTGTGTCAACTGTTTTGCTGTAATTTGGGATCTGAAAATCATCTTAAGCAATTCTTAAGCAAAAGCCTTATGATTCTAAAGTCCGAAATCTCATCTACAGGAAAAATGGGGATGCAAATGGTGAATAGCTAGTGCAATGTGACTTTCAGTTACAAGGAAGTGGATCAAAGTGCAGCCTGATTAATGCTAAATTATAACTATATTTCTGTCCAGAATGCTTGTTAACCCTGTGAGGATTGCTTCATCGCCATTGGCTCATCATTTCAAACTTGGCCATTTGAAAGACTACTGGAATTATTTAAGGTGCATTTCTCACCAATACAATTGGCAATTATTCAGAGATAAATATCTGATAAAAAAGAATCAATTATTTTGTGAGGGCAATACTTATTACATTATGCAACCAAATGATCTGTTTCTATACCAGCATGTTGCTGACTTTTAGATGATATATTATGGGATAGCTTTGTAATTGGAGTTGATGGTGAATTTCTCCAAAGTCATGTCTTGGTGGAAGAAAATAAATTGTTTATAACTGTCCAGTAAAAGGAACCCAAATAACAGAGCTATTTTACAACACGGCTCAAAATTCAAGAAACATCTTCTTTGTTTTTTAAACCTTTATTTTAGGTTTAGGGATACATGTGCAGGTTTGTTATTTAGGTAAACTCATGTCATGGGGGTTTGTTCTACAGATTATTTCTCCACCCAGGTACTAAGCCTAGTACTCAACAGTTATTTTTTTTTGGATCATCTTCTTTCTCCTACCCTCTACCTTCAAGTAGGCCCCAGTGACTGTTGCTCTCCTCTTTGTGTCCATGAGTTGTAATCATTTAGCTTCCACTCATAAACGAGAACATGCAGTATTTGATTTTCTGTTCCTGCATTAGTTTGCTAAGGATAATGGCCTCCAGCTCCATCCATGCTTCTGCAAAATACATGATATCATTCTTTTTTATGGGTGTATAGTATTTCATGGTGTATATATACCACATTTTCTCTGTCCAGTCTACCATCGATAGATATTTAGGTTGACTCCATCTTTGCTATTATGAATAGTGCTCCAATGAACATACATAGGCATGTGTTTTTATGATAAAACAATTTATATCCCTTTGAGTATGTACCCAGTAATAAGATTGCTGGGTCAAATGGTAGTTTAAGTTTTAGCTCTTTGAGGAAATGCCACATGGCTTTCGACAGTGGTTGAAGTAATTTACACTCCCACTGAGAATGAATGAGTTCCCTTTTCTCTGTAACCTTGCCAGCATCTGTTATTTTTTGACTTTTTAATAGTAGCCATTCTGGCCAGTGTGAGATGATATCTCAATGTGGTTTTGATTTACATTTCTCTATTTATCAGTGATATTGAGCTTTTTTTCATAAGCTTGTTGGATGCATGTATGTCTTCTTTTGAAAAGTCTCGTTCATGTCCTGTGCTCACTTTTTAATGGGGTTGTTTGTTTTTTTCTTGTAAATGTGTTTCAGTATGGATGCTGGACATTAGACTTATGTTAGACGCTGATGTGGTTAGGCTTTGTTTCCCCATCCAAATCTAATCTTGAATTGTAATCCCCATAACTCCCATAATCCCCACATGTCAAGAAAGAGACCTGGTGGAGGTAATTGAATCATGGGGGCAGCTTACCCCTTGCTTTTCTCATGATAGTGAGTTCTCATGAGATCTGATGGTTTTGTAGGGTGCTCTTCCCCCTTCACTCAGCACTTCTCCTTCCTGCTGCCTTGTGAAGAAGATGCCTTGCTTCCTCTTTGGCTTCCACCATGATTGTAAGTTTCCTGAGGCCTCCCCAGCCATGCTGAACTGTGAGTCAATTAAACCTCTTTCCTTTATAAATTACCCATCTTGGGCAGTTCTTTATAACAGATGTAGAGTTTGCAAATATTTTCTCCCATTCTGCAGGTTTTCTGTTTACTCTGTCGATATTTGCTTTTGCTGTGTAGAAGCACTTGAATTTAATTAGATCCCTTTGTGAATTTTTTGCTTTTATTGTGACTGCTTTTGGCATCTACATCTTGAAATCTTTGCCCATTCTTATGTTCAGAATTGTATTGCCTAGGTCATCTTCCAGAGTTTTTGTAGTTTTGGGTTTTACACTTAAGTCTTTAATCCATCTTGAGTTGATTTTTGTATATGGTATAAGAAAGTGGTCCACTTTTATCTTCATCTTCATCTTCTGCATATGGCTAGCCAGTTATCCCAGCATCATTTATGGAATAGGAAATTCTTTCCTCATTGCTTTTGTCAGCTTTGTCAAAAATCAGATGGTTGTAGGTGTGTGGCCTTATTTCTGGGTTCTCTATTCTGGTCCATTGGTCTGGATGTGCGTTTTTATATCAGTACAATGCTGTTTTGATTACTATAGCCCCATAGTACAGTTTGAAATCAGGTAATGTTATGCCTCCAGCTTTGTAATTTTTGCTTAGTATCGGCTTGGCTATTTAAGTTCTTTTTAATTCTATACGAATTTTAAAATAGTTTTTTTCTAGTTCTGTGAAGAATTCCATTGGCAATTTGATAGGAATAGCATTGAATCTGTAAATTACTTTGGGTAGTATGACCATTTTAACAATATTGATTCTTCCTATCCATGAGCATGGAATGTTTTTCCATTTGTTTGTGTCATCTCTGATTTATCTGAGCAGTGTTTTTAAATTCTCATTGTAGAGATCTTTCAACTCCCTTGTTAGCTGTATTCCTAAGTATTTTATTTTTTCTGTGGCTATTGTAAATGGGATTGCCTTCCTGATTTGGCTCTTAGCTTGGCTACAGTTGGTGTATAGGAATGTTAGTGATTTTTGTGCATCCATTTTGTATCCTGAAACTTTGCTGAAGTTGTATCCCAAGTGAAGGAGCTTTTGGGCAAAGACTATGGGGTTTTCTAGACATAGAATCAGGTTACTACAAAGAGAGAGTTTGACTCTCTTGTTTCTTATTGGGATGCCCTTTATTTATTTCTGTTGCCTGACTGCTCTGGCCAGGACTTCCAACATTATGTTGAATAGGTGTGGGGAGAGAGGGCACTCTTGTCTCATGCTGGTTTTCAAGGGGAATGCTTCCAGTTTTTTCCCATTCAGTACAATGTTGGCTGTCAGTTTGCATAGATGGCTCTTATTATTTTGAGGTATATTACTTCAACACCTAATTTATTGAGAGTTTTCAACATGAAGCGATGTTTAATTTTATCAAAAGCTTTTTCTGCATATATTGAGATAGTAAAGTATTTTATGTCTTTAGTTCTGTTTAGGAGATGAATCATGTTTATTGATTTGTGACTGTTGAACCAACCTTGCATTCCAGACATTAAGCCTTTTTTGATCATGGTGGATCAGCTTTTTGATGTGCTGCTGGATTTGGTTTGCTAGCGTTTTGTTTCTTGAGGATTTTTGCATTAATGTTCATCAAGGGTATTTGCCTGAAGTTTTCTTTTTTTGCTGTTTCTCTGCCAGGTTTTGGCATCAGGATGATACTAGCCCTAAAATGAGTTGGGGAGAATTCCCTTCTCCTCAATTTTTTTTAGAGTAGTTTCAATAGGAATGTTACCAGCTCTTCTTTGTACATCTGGTAGAATTTGGCTGAGAATTCATTTGGTCCTGGGCTTTGTTTAGTTGGTAGGCTCTTTACTACCGATTCAATTTCAGTGTTATTGGTGTGTTCAGGGATTCAATTTCTTCCTGGTTCAGTCTTAGGAGGGTGTACGTGTCCAGAAATTCATCTGTTTCTTTTAAATTTTCTAGTTTGTGTGCATAGAGCTATTCACAGTAGTCTCTGATGGTTATTTGTATTTCTGTGGGGACAGTGGCAACATTCCCTTTGTTGTTTCTAATTGCATTTATTTGGATCTTCTTCAGGTGTCTCTCAGGTTCATTTGGTCAAGCGTGGAGTTTAGTTCCTGAATATATTTTTTAATTTTCTGCTTTGATGATCTGTCCAGTACTGTCAGTGGGGTGCTGAAGTCTCCTGCTATTATTGTGTGGAAGTCTAAGTCTCTTTGAAGGTCTCTAAAAACTTGCTTTATGAATCTGGGTGCTCCTATGTTGGGTGCATATATATTTAGGATAGTTATCTCTGCTTGTTGAATTAAACACTTTACCATTATGTAATACCCTTCTTTGCTTTTTTTTTTCATCTATCTTGGTTTAAAGTCTTTTTTTGTCTGAAATTAGAATTGCAACCCCTGCTTTTTTATGTTTTCCACTAGTTTTGTAGATTTTAAGAAACAGCTTCTAAATGTCCATAGCATATAGCTGAGGACATTTGCCAACAGTGTGACACAGGTACACAGGGAATTCCTGTCTCCTGGTATCTTTTTTTTTTTTTTTTGAGACGGAGTCTCACTCTGTTGCCCAGGCTGGAATGTAGTGGCATGATCTCGGCTCACTGCAAGCTCCACCTCCCGGATCCGTGCCGTTTTCCTGCCTCAGCCTCCAGAGTAGCTTCAACTATAGGCGCCCGCCACCACACCTGGCTAATTTTTTGCATTTTTAGTAGAGACGGGGTTTCACCATGTTAGCCAGGATGGTCTTGATCTCCTGACTTCATGGTCTGCCTGCCTCGGCCTCCCAAAGTGCTGGGATTACAGGCGTGAGCCACCGCGCCTGGCGTCTCCCGGTATCTTTGGATCAGCTGAGACATATCTACTTCTGATCATGTAGGGAACAGTTTATATTTATACTCTACCTGAAGATTCAAGGTTTAGATATAAATTTGGCAAGAAGAAGAATGCAAATGTTTATTGGGAAGGAACTCTATTAAAAGCAATTATAACATTAAAATATTTTAACTACTATGATTCATCAATAGGTTACTCAAATAATTCTTCAAGATATCAGAAGTTTAAAATTGGAGAGCCAACCCAAATTCAACTAGGCTAGGCTGTTACACTTTTGTCAGTTAAAATATTTCATTCAGCCATTAACTCATTCATCTATTCATTTATTTATTTTATACAAACACACACACACACACACACACACACACATATATATATATATATATATATATATATATATATATATATATATATAAAATTTAAGACAGAGTATCACTTTGTTGCCCAGCCTGGAGTGCAGTGGTAAAATCTTGGCTCACTGCAACCTCCGCCTCCCGGGTTCAAGCGATTCTCCTTCCTCAGCCTCCTGAGTAGCTGGGATTACAGGGGCTCACCTCCATACCTGGCTACTTTTTGTATTTTTAGAAGAGATGGGATTTTGCCGTGTTGGCCAGGCTCCAAACTCAGGTGATCTGTCCACCTCGGCCTCCCTAGGTGCTGGAATTACAGGTGTGAGCCACTGTGCCTGACCATAATAAATATTTACTAATGGCCTACTAGGGCACTCCAGACCCGTTACATACATTATATCTAATCCTGTTATCAAAGCTGAGAAGTAGGGATTATTATGTCCATTTTACAAGAGAAAAGAGATTTAGAGAAATTAGATTTCCCAAAGCTACATGGTTAAGCATGTGATAGAACCATCATTTGAAATGAAGTTTTGCTTTAAAATTCTGAGGTTTCCCCTTTACCTCACTCTACCTCCTTACCAATATACTTGGTGCACATATAAAACATTTTCTTAAGCCATGCTCCCTGAAACATAAACTGTTAGCAACTGTTACAAAAAAGGGGTTCCATACTCAAACAAGTACTCAATATGTCGGTAGATTGTGATCCTATTCTCAATTATCCACTCCCCACTTCCTTATAAGAGAATTACGCATCCCTGAGGATTGTCATGTGAAGCATAGTGCCTCCTGCAGGAGAGAGAGAGAGAGACCTCCCATGCCCCATCGCCTTTGAGTCTGGCATGTGATATTCCAATGGAACGTGAACGCCCAGGCAGAAACTCTAAGATGCCTTGGGACATTTCTACCATTCCTCTTACTCTTATATCTGGCACGTTCTATAACACGGCTATTTTTTCAGCCTGAGACCTGGAATGAGAAAACATGTGGATCAGAGCCGTGATGACCAGCAGCTGGTAACATGTGTTGTGAGTAAGAAACAGAGCTTTGTTGTGTTATAAGCTGCTGAAATTGAGAGGTTGTTTGTTATGGGGCAATGTTAACTCATATAAAAATACTGCATAGTGTATCTCCCTCTCAGATATCCACAAGGAAACTGAGCATATTTTAGGTTCTGAGAAGTCTTACATTAAAAAAAAAACTTTAAAAAAAACATAGTGGATTAAACAGTCATATATTTACATCTATTCTTTCATGAACTACTGTTAAATGTCAGTTAAAAGGATTTTAAACAAAGAAGGCATAGTACAAAGAAGACAGGAAATAAGTGAAGTGCAGATAAGAGATGGCATCAAAATCTTGGAAGCTGGCTAGGTGCAATGGCTCACATATGTAATTCCAGCACTTTGGGAGGCCAAGGTAAGACGATCACTTGAGGCTAAGAGTTTGAGACCAGCCTAGGCAATGTAGCAAGACACCATCTATAAAAAATAAAAATATTAACAGGACATAGTGGGACACACCTGTAGTCCAAGCTGCTCAGGAGTCTGAAGTGGGAGGATTTCTTAAGCCCAAGAGTTTGAGGCTACAGTGAGCTATGATCACACTATTGCCCTCTGGCCTGGGGAATAGAGCAAGGCCCTGCCTCAAGAAAACAATTTTTATTGGAAGCTGCAAAGCAGAAGAATGTATATCTAAAATTTCTAGACCAAAGAAAGAAATCTAAGCAAACAGTGGGGAGAAGTCTGAAACACATCAACTTGAACCCTCAGTCTCCCAAAGATTCAAAACTGAAGGCACAAGATACCTCTGAAGCCAGGGGTATGGTTAAATCTGCAAGTAGTAAGTGGGTTTGAAAGCTTAAAATAAGTAGCAGTTAGAGCCAGTGTGTCCTCCTCCTTTACCCCATGCAGCAGAATGACTGTCTTTCCGCCACTGTGTCAGAAGATGGGTGTTTTAGTCTCTGGGAAAATGGAGCCAGAGGGATCTGGTATTGAAAGCTTTATGAGAAGGAGAAGGTAAAACAAAAAGGAAAGGTTTCAGTGAAAGTTGACACTGATGACTGAGGTCCACCTCCACACCCTCTTTCACATTTAGCTGCCAGGATACTGACAGCAGGCCTATACTCCCCAAGCAGGAGATGGGGGTATTCATTTCTGGGGATGCTGACGAGACCATGAGAAATACCTAGAGACAGAGTTTGGGATACTCCAAGGAAATGGCCACCACATCACTTGAGAGTACAGCCCAGTGGACAAGTCCTCTGCCCACCAATGAAACTATGCTCATGAAATGAGAATATACATCAGGAATCAGGATGACAACCCCATAGTACTGATAGGAGCTAGAGAGCAGCAAAGCAATGCCTTCAAAATTCTGGGGTAAAATATTTTTCCACTTAGAGTTTTATAGCCAGAAAAGCTATTAATCAGATGCAAGGTTAGAATGAAGACATTAGTAGACGTTTAAGGTCTCAACATATTTTCACCTAGGCTTGTTCAGGAGGTCCTTGAAACATCTGCTCCAGCAAAATAAACAGAATAAAACAAGAAAGAGAGAGAGTTCTAAGCTCCAGGAAGCAGAGAAGCAAAGAGGATTGTGTTGATGACAAGAATGTCCCACGGCTACAGCTGTTCCAGAGAGCAGCAGAACTGCTTGTCACAAGAGGACAGAGGGCTCCAAGGGGTATGCCTTCAAGAAGAAAGCTACACAGTTAGAATATTTAATGTTTGAACTAATTCAAAGGAGAGTTTCAGTTATGTTAGAGAGTTCAGTAGTAAATTATTAACTGACATAGAAAACTAAGCAAACATAAAATGTCATTTATAATTCCAGTTGATATAAGAAATTTTAAATAAAGGAAAGGTAGTACTTGTGGCTCAACTGTGAATAATAGTTGTGTAGCCACAGTAAGATAAACTGCTTATATTTATTTAAACCCAAATCACAATATAAGTATACTGAGTGAAATGAAGAGTGGGACACACCTAAAGTGGATATAATGTCTTAGTTCATTCGTGTTGCTATAAAGGAATACTCAAGGGTGGGTAATTTATTAAGACAAGAGGTTTATTTGGCTCATGGTTCTCCAGGCTGTACAAGCAGCATGGAACCAGCATCTGCTTGGCTTCTGGTGAGGTCTCAGGAAACTTCTACTGGTGGTGGAAAGAGAAGTGGGGCTGTGTATGCAGAGATCACACGAAGAGAGAGGAAGTAAGATAGAAAGTGGGGAGGTCCCACGCTCTTTTTAACAATCATCTCTTGCAGGAACTAGAAGAGCGACAACTTACTCATTATCAAGAAGACAGTACCAAGCCATTCATGAGGGATCCATTCCCATGACCCAAACACCTTCAAACAGACCCCACCTCCAACACTGGGGATTAAATTTCAACATGAAGTTTGTGGGACAAACATCCAAAGTACAGCAATATCCTGTTTCACAGACAGCAATAGGTGATATCTAAAACTAAAGGATCAAGAAATAGGAGATAAGTGTGTCATATAGATTGCATATGGTAAGTAGCAGAAGAAACAGAAAAAGAGTTTAAAGTGTCTGATGTATTAGTTGGAAAAACAAAGAACAAAACTACAGCACAACAATGTGAAGTTTCAGAATTCAAGGAACAAAAAGAAATTCCTAAAAGCTTCCAGAGAGGTTAAAAAATAGTAGATGACAAATCTCCTACAAAGGGGATTGGGTGTGGGGAAGAATGGGATGAAGAGCCTTTTAAATGTAAGCTTGTAGTAGTACCTAATTTTAAAAATTATGTTCTTTTGTTACTCGATAACAAATAAATCTTCAATTTAAAAGCAGAATAGAAAACCACTGTTAACTAAATGTACCCACTTATTTGACCACAGATCACTTTTTTTCCTGGCTCTTGAGGGACAAATGATCTATGAATTTCATTTTTAGAAAAACTGCTCTGACAGGGAGAAAACAACAAAAAAACTCTGCAGAGGATTACATGTATAACTATGTCCTTGAACTATTTACATAAGTGCTTAGTGGAAAAGGAAGTCTTGATAAAGAAAGAACCCAAGTGCACTATCCATGAGGGACTTACAGTTCCTCCTCTTTCCCCTGCTTTCGGTCAGATGAGCAACTTTCTGTGAATTTCACTAAGGGGAATGGGAAAGTCTTTGTAAAACCCTATCTTGCTCTAGCATATCAACAGCTTGTCTTTGGTGATAGTATTCTAGATACACAGGCCATGATCATTCATCAAGCACACTGCCAAATTACATTCCTTTGCTTTGGAATTTCTTTGCCTTTGGAGTTTTCCATTGCTTTGTGAAGACTCTGGCTTCTAAAATTCTGATGACATACCACATTTCAGTGAGTGTCATGGGATTACTGAGGGGGTGAAATAAACCTGACATTACAAGTATATCTGACCACTGCCACTGTTTCTTTGTTTGATATGTAATACTTTCTGGAAGCTCCACTGCACTGCTGCCCCATATTGAACTTACTCTCAACTTGGACCTAAAGGGTTTAAGAACTCTTTTCGCACATGCTGCTGTTAAGCCCGATCTCCTCAGTTTTATATTTGGATTCAAGTTCTTGACTTTACCTGTCATAAATGAAGTATGGCTTGAGAGATCCTTTTGAAACTTGTTCTGTCATTCAAAACATATTGCACCTCTCATAGCTTCATGTCACCCACCTATCTTATAAGCACTCTTCTATGTATTTATTCAAGTGATTGCTTGAAAGGGTGAATCGGTTGGATCCAAGGAAATTGATCAGCACATTTAGCAACCACTGATTAATCAGTTTTAATTAGCCAAATTGTAATGTCATAATGCCCAAATTTCTCCAGCCTGTCCAATGGATATTATGTCAGATGGCTTAAATTCCAGAATCATTGTATCTATCACTGTCTGTTTGGTGGGCTTAGTTATCCTTTCACAAAAAGAAAATGTAAATAATTTCACATGATGTTTTGAATGAACATCTTCTGGCTTGATTATCACCATTTCTTCTTCTGAAGATTGCCTCACAAACCATTCTAAGACATTGATTTTAGAAGTTTCTCCAAGATTTCTGTCCAGAGGAAAATAATCTTTCTTTTTTTTAATGAAAAATCAAAACTATATATTGTCCTATGCTTTTAGCACTTCTTTCTCCATAGTTCTTGAAAGATCATTGACAATGTTTCATGCATCTTTTAGAAAGTGATCTCAGTATTCTGAGACATAAATTGCCCAGATCACATGATTTTTTGCTCATCTTAGGCTTCAATTCCTTCTCTTCATTTTTTTCTGAGGACTATTCTCATATATCCTTCATATCAAATCAAAATTAGGTTTGGAGAGCATTCTCAACTGCAAATGTACAGGGGGTTGTAAGGATAGTAAACTCAATAAGAGTAGAAATCTACCTTTAAACCCAAATAGATTGGTAATTACATTAAATTTACATTGACTAGAGACTCCTATAAAAAACAAAGATGGCCATGCAAATTTAAAAAAATCCAGTTATTTCCTGCTTACAATCTGACATCGAAAACATAAGGTTACAGAAAGACTTATGGTAAAAGTATACAAACAATAAACCATGCAAATAGTAATGGAAAAAAAGCTAGTGTATTAATAACAAACAAATAGTCTTTGTGGAGAAGTCATTCTTAAAGAAAAAGAAAGATGTTTTGTGATCAACTCACCAGGAAGATATAACAATCCTAAATATGTATCCATATAATATATAACCTCAAAATATGTAAAGCAAAATTGCACACATTAAAGGAATAAGTAGATAAAATCAAATATTAATGTGTATTAGACTGTTTTTTCATTGCTATAAAGAAATACCTGAGACTGGGTAATTTATGAAGAAAGAGGTTTAATTGGCTCACAGTTTTGCAGGCTGTACAAGAAGCATGTGCCAACACCTGCTTGGCTTCTGGTGAGGGCTCCAGGAGGCTTACAATCATGGTGGAAAGTGACGAGGGTAGAGTGAAGGGGGCAGCATGTCACATGGCAAGAGTGGGGGTAAAAGAGTGAGAAGAGAAGGCCAGCCTCTTTAAAACAATCAGCCCTCATGTGAACAAACTCATCACCAAGGGGAGGTGCTAAGTCATTCATGAAGGATTGGCCCCCATCCAATCTCCCGCCATTGGCCCCACCTCCAACTTTGGGAATGGCATTTCACCATGAGATTTGGAGGGGACAAACATTTAAACCATATCACACAGTGAGACAATTTAATACAACTGCCTCAGTAACTAATAAACAGGGAGTTTTTGACAAAATTATGGTAAGAATACAGAAGATACGAACATTTCAGTTGACAAACTCGACCAAATGGAAACCTCTAAAAGAGTGCACTCATGATTTTTAAATAAACATTATTTTCAGACACATGTGTAGCATTTACAAAAGATACGGCAGTCCATAAAGTTAATCCTACCAAATTTAAGAGAATTTAATACAGAGTGCGTTCCATTTTCTCTAATCACAGTGCAATTAAGATAACAACCAATAGCATAAAGCTAATTGGAATATTTCCATATGTTTGGAAATCAGGATTATACTTCTAAATAACCCATGGGTCAAGAAAGAATGGAAATTAGAAAATATTTTAACTGAATTGTAATGAAAAATACTTAACTCGTCTGGAATATAATGATCGTTGTGCTTAGAAGGAAATTTATTACCTTAAATGCATATGTTAGAAAAAAAGGAAGTCTAAAAATTGATGACCTAAGCATATAAATGAAGAAGTTTGTAAAAGAACAATAGTTAAGTCTAAAGAAAGTAGAAGGAAAGAAAAATAGAAGTAGAATTCAGAGGATCAGCAAAGTTTGTCATTTGACATACATAATACAAGTGATAAACTCCTAGTGGAATTTTTCAAGAAAAATGGAAAAAAGTACAAATAACTAGTATCAGTAATGAAAAAATATCTTTTATAAACTCAAAAATTATAACATCTTGTGAACAAATGCATTCCCAAAAGTTTGAAAATTTAGATAAAATGTAAACTCCTAGAAAACATACCTTATCAAAATAAACACAAGAATTAATAGAATATCTGAAATCTGCATAAATCTGTACCTATTAAAGAAGTTGAATCCATCATTTAGAATTTCCCACAAAGAAAACTCTAGTCACATTTGGCTTCATGTGTGAATCATTTCAAACATTTAAAGAAGAAATTTCACCAGTTTTATACAATGTTCTGCAGAAATAAGAAAAAGAATATATTCCAACTTGTTTTATGAGGCTAGCATAATTTTGATTCTAAAACTTGGAATGAACAATAAAAATTGGAAACTTATAGGTTAGCTTTGTTTATTAACATAGATGCAAAAATTCTACATAAAATATTAACAAAATGAATCCAGCCATATATGAAAGGGGCTCATATCCAAAATACATAAAACCTTTTACAGATCTGTAACAGACAGACAACCCAGTAGCAAAATGGGCATGAAAATTGTACAGATATTTCACAAAAGGAATATTTGAACGGCTAATAAATGTGTGAAGGGATGTGCAACCTCATTAGTAATCAGGGAACTTAAAATTAACGATATAATGAGATATCACAATATATCCACCAAAAGGGCTATATAGTAACTAAGACTTAGTGTAGGACGTGGTGTGGAGCCACAGGCAGCCTTTGCTCTGCTGATGAGAGTGTAAATTGGTAACTTCTATGGAATTAGCCACTGAGCGTAAACATATGCACGTTCTATGGCCCAGCATTTCTACCCCATGTCTGTATATGCTCAACAGAAACACATGCAGATATGTACCCAAAGACATGTACAGAAATGTTTGTAGAAGTGTGTTTTATAAAAGCCAAAAAATGAAAAACAAGCCAAACACTTATCAAAAGACAAAGCGATACATAGTGGTTTATTCAAATAATAGAATACTGTGGAGTAGAATAGAGTAAATTAATGCTATATGCAACAACATGGAAGACTCTCATAAACATATTGTTGGGTGACTAAAACCAGAGACTATATATATGCGTATATGTACACACACACACACACACACACACCCATGACTTCATTTATATAAAATTCAAAATTAGGCAAATCGATAGTGTCAGAAATCCAGATAGTAATTACCTTTGGGGAGAAGGAAAGGGAGGGTGGTGTTTGGGAAAAGGGACAGGAAAAGGACTTCTGAGGTGCTGATAATTTTCAATTTCTTGCCCCGTGTGGTAGCTACACAGTTGGGTCTATTTTTCATAATTCATGAACTGTTCAGCTATGATTTATATGTTTCTGTATATATTAATGTATGCTTATAAACATTTTTCTATTACAAAACTTAAAGATATTATGCAATTAACACTCAACTGATTTTCAAAAATTAAAAATAAAATTGACTAACCCATTATTGGTGAGAATGTAAACAATAATTCTCATTGTCTGCTGGTGGGAATGTTAATTGATACCAGCATGTACCAATTGGAAACAGATTGGCATTAACTAATAAGACTGAAAAATCATGCTATGATCTAGGAAATCCACTCTAAGTACATACCTGAAGAATATCATGCAAATATGCACTAAAATACCTGTAGCGTTATTTCAAAACTGAAAACCATATATGTCAACATGATATATAAATTATGATACATCTATAAAATTTATATAAAATGTACACAAGTAAACTATTGCTGCAAACATCAACATGGATGAATTTTACACATATGTTGCTAAGTTAAAAAGACAAGACACAAAGTCACATATGCAGTATGATCTCACGAGTTCAGAAACATGCAAAACTAAAATCTTACTTTATCAATGTCATTTGCACATGGTAAAACTATAAAAAAAGAGATGTTATTGTCACAAAATTTAGAAGAGTGGTTACATTTTACGGAGTGGGGCAGGTAGTGAGTATAATTTGCAAGGCTATAGGGACTTAGGTTTATGGGGATAGTGCCCAAGTTCTTTCTCATGACCTCCATGGTTTTTCATGAACTTTTACCTTACGTGTATTTGTTAATTTAAAATACATGCTATATCTATCTTTCCATCTATATGTAATATTTTAAAGTAAGAAAATGCTATAATACTTTCTGAAGAATGTATGTATTATTGAGAGTTACTTTTCCATAATAATTATTTTTATTATGAAATCATGTTTTTATTCCTGAAGTCAATTGTCACAATATCTTCGTCATAGAGCATTCAGCATATTCAGACCTTACTCATATGAAATCATTTATTAGGATCTATCTATTCATTTGATTCTGATATTGAAAAAAACAGATCAAAGGTTATAAACCCAAATAGTTCTCAGAGTCCAAGAACTAACACAAATGAGTTAAGAGGGCCTGTTACAGGACAAGACCGCTAAGCTTTTATGGCAAACGTATTTAATAACTACTTAAAATATTGCAGAGTCAGTGAAACACCCAAATAAAACATACTCTTGAGCCAAATAGAAGAGAGGCAAATATTTTTGATCCTTTCAAAGAATGTGGCATCTGCCAGGCTATTTTGCATAATCCAGTTTAATTCTGGGTTCTCTATTTGTTGTATAGTTGTCATCATATATTTACATTTCTGAAAATGTAGCTTTATTCACTCAAAAATTTACCAGAAACTTTATTTAAGCTATCACGATCTTTCCTTATGTTCCCCGCAAAAATGAAGAAAAGAGGTAGTACAGACTGATAAAAAAAAAATGCCCAAACCAGATTGTAGAGAGTTAACTCAATAAATGCCCATCAGGTTTGTCATTGCTCAGAATGTCCCCTAAAGTTCTATGACTCGGATTGGTCCTATTAAGTCTGAACTTTCTCAATTACATCTATCCAATCTAACTTACGATTTACAAGACAAAAGGAGTTTTCTGGATGTTGCGCTAACTGCTCACACTCTTTGTTCATTTCTACCACAGAAAGTAGTCTTTTCTAGGTTGTATTTACTGGACCAATGTGGACAAATGATCATATGGCTGACCCAAAATAGGCCCAAAGCACAGGCTGCCTTTTACAGCACTATCAAGCTGATCAACTGTGAAGGCACCCTTAGCAGAGACATTTGCTATTGACATTTTAATTTTTTTATCTCATGTAACTGCTGAAGTACAGTTACTAGAAACTAGTGTGATTTAAGGAGAGTTTCTTGCTCTACAAAAGTTATTTGGACAAAAGTACATAACATTGGGTACGTGGGGCTGCCACAATCCAAAGATGCTATTTTGTTCCAGAAGCATGACTTATCACTTTGGTGGGGTGCTATCCCGGAATAGCTCTGAAGCTTTAAAAACTCGCTCTGAATGCCTATTTAAAAAAACATCTTTTATTTTATGTCTTCTTTTTTATTTTAAAACTTCTGTCTAACACAACAAATCAGTACTACAGAAGTGGCCCTACAGTTTACCCCAGCAATTTATTCATATTTGATGTAATTTTAAAATCTTCTTTTTAAAAGATATGTCTTGCCCTTCTCTCCAAATTAGGAGAGGCCACATCTTCTCTTCCATGGTTTGTAAGGACCGTATTCTAAAGGGGGAGAACAGAAGGATAACACATAGGCAGGAAAACAAATCTTTGTTTCTCTAGCTTTTCTCTTTTTTTGCCAATATGACTGTCTTTTGGCAGGCTGCTGGCCAGCTTCTAGAGCCACTAGGTCATTGCTTCTCCCTTGATTTGACCTTGTCTAGAGCCATCATACTAATCCAAAATTGCTTCCTTTCATTGTGCAACCTTGGCTTGAACTACACTCACCTTAAAACACTGCTGTCCACATTAGGAGCATTTAATTAATATCCGTGTACCTGATGCAATTGGTGCCTAGGGATTCTATTCACAGGCTGTTGTGGGTGCTGCTGCTAATCCATAAGTCAGCTGTCTCTGGAGGACTTCCCCTGGATGTTGCAGCCTTCCTGTTAGGCGGTGCTTGGATGGTGTGCTCTCCCCAGTATCACTCCTGGGTGGCCAAAAACCAATGACTGTCTGGGGTCGGGGGATAAAAAAGACCCACTCAAACCACTAGTAGGATGAACTCTGAAGTGCAATTTAAACTCTACTTGTCCACCATTAGATTGAGATAAGCATAGATTCCATCTGAACTCACTGTCTTGCCCCTTCCCCATTCTGCTTCTCTCCCTCCCCTGCAGTTTTCTCCTGAGAGCACTGTCAAGGACTGTGAACAGGGGTAGGTTGCCCTAGTTGCAAGCTAAGTTAGCCTGCCACAGTTTTATCAATGCTGGAAGAAGACAGGAGACTCCTGTGTCAGAAACAAAGAACAATTTTGTACACATAGCAATAGCAGTAGCCAGAGTATCATTATTTTGGCATAGGTTCCCCAAGCCCTTATTTTCAAACAGGGCCAGATGACAACTGCACGTGCAGTTCCATTACAAACACTCTGAGCTTCAGGATTCTGAATCTTTTATAACAGGAAGTAAGCAAACCAGCACTTTGTTGTGAAAGGATTTACTCTCTTTGTCTTCCAAAGCTGTTCACTATACAAACACTTCGTAAAAGATAGTCCAGAGCATTGGTAACCAATGCCTCTGCTCCCAGGACATGGAGAAACATGAGAGACCCATAGAGAACTGTCACTCAGCAATTCTCTCATTTCTACAACCTCCTGGTTTCTGGAAGAATTTCCCAGTATGTATACCAAAGTTCTAACAAGTCAACTGATTTCTTCCCTTAGTGGTTGTGAATTTTTCTCCTTTCACACTTTAGTGTAGGGGTGCATCTTTATAACTGTTTTCTGTAGAGTGCTGGAAATTTCTGCTGCCCATTTTTATACTAGTTGTGACAGTGGGGTGGACTTGAGGCTGACGGCTAAATTGCTAAGGAAGTCTCACCACGCAGAGGAAAATTAGCAACAACAAAGGCGCCACCTGGCAGCTGTCTTTTAACCTACTTCCCAGGATTCGACCTGCAACCACCTTCCTCATTTTCATTACCAGGTATTAAATTGAGGACTACTCTTTGCCTGGCTGACCATACAACTTGGTCAGGATATTCACTACAGATTCCCCTGAATGTATTTCACATTCTCTTAATTGGTTCAAGAAGCCTTCATTCTTCCCCTTTCAGAAATCATGTCTTTAGCAGAACCCCATCCTTATTGCTAAAGCGGTCAGGACTTTAAAGGTCTGAGATTGGTTTTTACTTGCAAGCTAATAAGTTAACCTGCCACAGTTTCATGGATGCTAGAAGAAGAAAGGAGACTCTTGTGTCAGAGACAAAGAACAGTTTATGGCAAGTGGCATTATCCACAGGGTGATGCAAAGAGAGCCGGATGACACTTGGATACACGGTAGGTTGCATTACAGAAGAGAAAACTTGAGTTTAGGGAACCTCAATCTTTTATATTGAGAACTAAGCAAACTTGCCTAACCTTTGTCTTGGAAGAAAATGTTATCTTTACTATACTAAACAATAAACACACCTACCTTTTGTTATGGATGAAGACAGTGTCTCTAGCTTCCATGGCTCTGCTATATAAATACGTTGAAAAAACAATTAAGAATAAATGCAGCCAGTGTCTCTATTTATAACATACACAGAAATAGGAGAGACCAGTGAAAAAGTATCCCCCCATAAGCATTCCTTTAATAAATCAATTTCATATGAACTTTGTCTTCAGCTTTGGTTTTTTGGAACTCAAGACAGGGAAAATAAAAATGAGGAGTTGGAAGGCCAAGTTTGAAAACCACAATAATAATGATTATTATTGGATTATATTATATAATTTTGTACATTATTATTTAAAGTTGAATAACAATGAGAAGGCATTTTTGTGGCCACATGCGTTTGGCTCTCTTTCCTAGTACTGTAGTTAATAAATTCTAATGATTAAGAGAAGATGGGTGTTTGCCAAGGGAACAATGTCAGTAGAAACATTTCCATATGGGAGTGGGCAGATTGAATGTTTAATTCAGCTAGATTTGCAAACTACATCATTAGCACAAATTACCTTAAAGGCCTCCCTAGATATTTCTTTCTGGTCCAATTCACTGGGCTTTTTTCTTTCCTTCCTTTCCTTCTTTCCTCTCTCTTGCTTTCTTTCTTTTTCTCTCTCTTTTACATTTTTCCCTCCCTCCCTCCATCCCTCCCTCTCTTCTTCTCTTTCTTTTCTTTTCTCTTTACTTTTCTTTTCTCTCTCTCTTTCTTTCTTTTTCTTTCTTTCTTCTCTCTTTCTCTCTCTTTCCCTCCCTTCCTTCCTTCCTTCCTCCCTCCCTCCCTCCCTTCCTTCCCTCCCTCCTTCCTTCCTTTCCATCCTTTATTTCATCACTAAGGCTCACAGACTATTTCTTGGTTACAATATTATTATTTTTCTGTCAAAATAGCCTGCATAACTTGGAAAATGGAGAATTTTGAGTTCTATGATGTGTACAAGGAAATGAAGTACACATGAGTCTTCATAGATATATATGAAGGCCACAGAGATATGTATGTGTCTGCATGTTTAATACCAGTATACATTATACACGCACATTGAAAGTAAGTTCCATGTTCCATCTGGATTTTTAATGTAGACTTTCCACAGTTGAATGTAAGCAATTACTGTCTTAGAAGTTTAAATGAATCCCATCTGTCACAAGACTCTATTAATCAGTACCATGGCTATCATTGCCCCCTTGGCATCCAGTAAATAGAATGTGCAACATGGTCAGCACAGAAGATCATAATTGGTCATTAACTTTTTTATTTCACAGAAAAGTAAGTACATGCTACAAATCAGTAACTATCCAAATGGCTTAAAAATAACCACCTTTCCAAGACTTCAATGTAGGAACAGGAGAAAAAAAGAATAAAAATATTTGGGGACATAAGCCAGCAGCCTTCCATCTTTTCACATCAGTCTTATAAAAGAGATATTATTATCTATATAATACAGAATAGGGGAAGGGAGTCTCAGAAAAGTTAATTTCCTTGTCAAAGATCCCAACACCCAGGAAGTGGCAGAATGGAATGTAAACCTGGGTCTGACCCCCTCTCATTTTTCTTATCAACCAACCACATTGACTTAAGCTGGGAATAATTACTCCACCTCAACAGACTGAACCTGACTTCTGTATCTGTCCAAGAGATTTACCACCCTAAGCCAGGGCACTTAAAAAATGCCTTTGCCTCACCCAAGGCCCACTGAATTCCCCTTCTGGAGAAGGGAGATGGGCTGCCATCAATAAAAGTTCTGCGATTGATTCTAATGTGCTTTTAAGTTTGAGAACCTTCAGTCTTGCTCAACACACTCCTTTTCAGGGCCCGTTAGTTGTACCACACCACTTCAGACTCAAAATATATGATCCAGTTATCAGACACACCATCTCCCAAACCTTCCTTTTTTATCTCAGTTTCACCAACAGACTATCATTCTTTCGGGCTTCATCGAGCCTCCAAATTTTAAGGTTTTTTTTTCCTCCAGGACTTTTAAGAAGAAGCCTTTAAGCTGGGCTGGGTGGTACCCACCTGTAGTCCCAGCTATCCCTGAGGCTGAGGCTGAGGCGGGAGGATTTCTTGAGGCCAGGAGTTGGAGGCAGCAGTGTGCTATGATTGCCCCTGAGAAAAGCCACTGCACTCCAGCCTGGGCAAAACAGAGATCCCGTCTCTAAAAAAAAAAGTTCTTAATTTAAAAAACCCAAGAAGTCATTCTTAATTACTTGCATAGCTGTACTGAAGGGAAGGTAATTCTTTTCTTAGCACTTTAGTTTGTTTTGCAAGTGATTACTGCTTCTGGTGCTCTGCAAAGAAGAACTGATCTCTTCACTTCTGGGATGAGAACAGAAAAGGAGATAGGGCATTGATGATATACGTGTTGTTTCCATGACTGACATTCATTGACTCTGGAAAGAATTTTTTCTCTTTTTGACATTTTAATGACTTTCCAGCAAAAATTCTTTAAAACAATGCCTTGACATGAATATAATCCTAAGTTAAGTAGACTCAAAGAATACTTTATATGCCTGAACATAACGTAATCCTGATAAGATAATTTTCCCAAGGATAATTTTTTGACCAAGTTGAATATATGCATTTTTACAATGCTTGATGTGTTAATTTGTGGTACACATGTTAATTATAAATAAAATAATGTTTAATTAACATGTACAGCCATGCATTGCTTAGCAGTGGGGACATATTTGGAGAAATGTGTCATTAGGTGATTTTGATGTGGTGCAAACATTACAGAGTATACTTACACAAACCTAAATAGTATAGCCTGCTACACACCTAGGCTATATGATACAGCCTATTGCTTCTAGACTACAAAATATATGGCATGTTACTATACTGAATACTGCAGCAATTGTAATACAATGGTATCTATGTATCAAAACATAGAAATAAACATAGAAGGGGTATGGTAAAAATGTAGCTTTATAATGTCATGGGACCGCCAGAGTGAATGTAGTCTATCATTGACCAAAATGTTTTTATGCAGTTCACGTCTGTATTATAAGTACATAGAATATTGCATAATATATATCATAGTGTTGTTTAATTTAGAAATATTGCTTTTTTATTCTTACATTTTCTGAAAAAATTTATTTGAACCCTTTACATATACTTTTTATAACAATCTCTGTCATTACTAAACACATTTTAGTATCATCAAACACATTTTTCTGGAGTATTTCATCTTTACTTTCATGTAATATTTTGTGAAACAGAATTCACATATGATACTATTACGGATGGAAAATTATAGCCTGAGCTATAAGTACCCATTTATATGTTTATTCATTTATTTAATAAGTATTGCCGAGTATGTACTGTGGGCTGGGAACAGAGCTTAAGTCCTCTTCTTATGGTGAAGACAGTAATAACCTTTTGAAATAAAAGGGTTTTTAAAATAATTTCAGCTTTTATTTTAGATTCAGGGGGTACATGTACAAGGTTATTACATGGGTATATTGTGTGATACTGAGGTTTGAGGTACAAATGATCTTATCACCCAAGTAGTGAACATAGTACCCAATAGGTAGAGTTTTTCAGCTCTTGTTCCCTGTCCCTCTCCCCACTCTAGTAGTACCCAGTATCTACTGTTCCCATCTTTATGTCCATGAGTACCCAATGTTTAGCTCCTACTTACAAGTGAGAACACGTGGTGTTTGGTTTTCTGTTCCTGCATTAATTCACTTAGGATGACCACCTCCAGCTGCATCCATGTTGCTGCAAAGGATATGACTTTGCTCTTCATTATGACTGTATAGTATTCCATGGTGTATATGTACTTACATTTCCTTTATTCAGTCTGTCATTGATAGGCACTTAGATTGATTCCATGTCTTTGCTATTGTGAATAGTGCTGTGATGAACATATGAGTGCATGTGTCTTTTTGTAGAATGATTTATTTTATTTGGGTGTATGCCCAGTAATGGGATTGCTGAGTTGAATAAGTAGTTCTGTTTTTAGTTCTGTGAGAAATCTCTAAACTGCTTTCCACAATGACCAAACTAATTTCCACTCCCACCAACAGTGTACAAGCATTCCCTTTTCTCAATAAACTCACCACCATCTGTTGTTTTTTGACTTTTTAATAATAGCCATTCTTACTGGTGTGGTTTTGACTTGCATTGAAATGTAAGTTCTGATGAAGTTATTCTACTGAAGAAAGACGTGAAAAATATTTATCAGATACATTCCATGAAGTGCCATAAAGTCGAATAAAAGAGCAGAGGATGGAGACTGGTGGTGGGGAGTGAGATGCTTCCTTAAGGTATAAGGGAATGCCTCTTTGAGGGTTGCCTTAACTGCATCCTTTATTTTCTGTATTCTGATGCTTTCATCCCTGGGGCCTGGCTGATCCTGGAGGGACTGCCTCTCTCAGGGATAGCCAAGTCTTAGAGATAGTAAACAACTCATGGATGTGCTTTCCAAATCCAAACCAAGGAATCCAGATCCCAGACCCTAACCCCCTCCTTTATCGTTTGTCATATTCTAGTCCACTATCCATCTGCTCTCATCACCTCAGGGCCAGACACCAGATAACTAGGGACAACCCCACTGAAATTATTCAAACTAGTCCATCCTAAACTTGCTTCCCTTCCCCTGGACACTGTAATAGAAGCTTTTACCCACAGCTGTCCCCACAACCTTCTGCCTCCTGATTGGCCCTAGTGTTTCCCCGCTGGGTCCACCATGGTGGGTCATGCCCCTGTTCTTGGCAACTGTGAGTAACAAACTGTCCTTTCAGTGGAATTTACCTCCTGGTCTATTGCCCTTACAATACCTCCACATTTCTATTAATACACTGTATTTTAACACAGAGGGGGTGACATTGAAGGAGAGACTTGAATGAAGTAAGGAGACTAAGGATATGTGGAGAACGAACATTGCAGTCAGAGAACTGCATGTGCTCGTGGGCAAGTTTGAGGAGCAGCAGGTTGGCCCTGTGGTCAGAGCTGAGTGAGCAAAGGAGAGAACACTACAGATCCATCAGGAAGGAGGCTGCAGTAGTGGTTAACGTGAGCACAGGTGCTGAGTTTCATTTGAAACTGCCAGTGATTAGACTGTCAATGGGGAGAGGCAAAATCTAGATAATCACTTTTCCAGATACTGAATAACTATTGTCAAAGGCATAAACTAGGGACAGACATAGGAGCAGATAGTTCACATCTCCTACAAGGTAGCTCTCGACTCCCATGAATGACAGAAGAGAAATTCTGTTTCCATATCGTGCTCTCTGACTATAATGGATTATTATGTTTGTGAAAGAAACACTATGTTACCTCAAACCAGAGCACTTTCAAAATGACCTGCTGGATCATCCCCACACCTGAGATCTTGTTTTGAATTTTGACTAAATGAAGCTTCTTTTCCTCTGAGTTTTTCTAAAGTAGCAAAAAATTTAGGACAAAGGCATTACTAATGAAGTAGGTCATAACAGAGTTGTCTTTAGCCAGGACTTATGCATGTATGATTAAATGCAATATTTATTATGTATGTGGGGGTGGGAACAATATTTAGTATGCATGTGGTGGGCACACATTAATTAGAAACTCTTTCTTGCATATCTTATTACTGTGCTAGGAATGAAAGATGCTCAGAAGTATAAAATGGTGTTCACCTTAAAGAGTAGTCATCAAGACAAACACAGATAAAACCCTTGTAATTACAATATTTAATAACAAGCCAAATTTTGTGGTATAGATGATAGCGTTTCTTTGAATTCAAAGCAAAGAGATAAGAAGTGTTGGCATGATAAATGAAAAGATTGATTTTAATTTTAATGTTGACCTTAAAGAAAGCATGTGATTTCAACAGAAGGATGGTAGAGAGACTGCATGAAGGGAGCAAACCGTGAAAGCAGAAGAGAATGTGGAGTGTTTGGGGACAGTAAAAAGTTAGCTTGGTTCAAAAGAGGAAAGCATGGAAAAATATATAACTGTTCGAGATCTTGAAAATAAGGCAAACAAGCATTTAGTAATAATTGGAGGAAATGGTGTATCATTTGTCATTTTGAACAAAGAAGGGACATCATGTGAATAACTTTTAGGAAAGATTTTTCTGTCTGAATTAAGCTGAATAGTTCAAAGGTAGAACAGCTAGAATTAAGGACAATAGACATGAGGTATATTAGTTTCCTAGAGGTGTCATAGCAAAGTACCACAAACTAGGTGGCTTGAAACAACACAAATTTATTGTCTCATAGTTCTAGAGGCTAGAGGTCTGAAGTCAAGATACCGACTTGATTGCTTCCTCCTGGAGGCACTGAGGGAGAGTCTGTTCCATGCCTCTCTTCAAGCTCTGGCAGTTGCTGGCGCTCCTTGGTGTTCCTTGGCTTGTAGATGAAGCACTCCAGTCTCTGCCTTTGTGGTCACATTGTGCTCTCTCCCTATTTATATTTGCATCTAAATTTCCCTCTTCTTTTAAGGACATCGTTCATTGGATTAGGACACACCCTAATCTGCTATAACTTCATTGTAACTTGATTACATGTGCAAAGGTCCTATTTCCAAATAAGGTCCTATTCACAGGTACCACAGATTAGGGCTTAAAGAAACTTTTTTAGAAGACACAAACCCACAACATGAAGATTAGGTAGTAATGTAAGTGCTATGGACTGAATTGTGTCACCCCCAGATTCATATATTGAAGGCCTAATCCCCAGTGTGGTGATATTTGGACATGGGGCCTTTGGGAGGTGATGAGATTTAGACAAGGTCAGGAGAGTGGGGCCTGATCATGATGAGGTTAGTGCCCTTATGAGAAGAAATGCTACAGAGCTTACTTCCTCTCTCTCTGTCTCTACCATGTGAGGACACAGCAGGAAGGCTGCAAAAAAGGAGCCCTGACTAGGGAACCAAATCAGCCAGCAGCTTGATCTTGGACTTCCCACCCTCCAGAACTGTGAGAAATAAATTCCTATTGTTTAAGACACTTGGTTGGTTGTATTTGACTATGGCAGCCTGAGGTGACTAATACAGCAGGTATGAGGTGATTTATGTATTCAGTAGTTCTCAGTGAACTGCCATGTGCTAAGTACTATGCTACATATTGGATCCCATAGACCAGGGTGTTGTGATTGATTCATTAATGCATTTATGCATCTATGTAGGTGTGTGTATACTTATCCACTACTTTATTCCCAAAAGAACTTTGGCATCTAATGTGATTATAAAACGGGGAATAGAAAATCAAGTAGAAGTGTGATAATTTGGAAAGATAAGAATTAGAAAATAATATGTAACTCCAGAGTAACAAATTTGAAAAATATAGAATAGAAAACTTCTTGACAAAATATAAAATGCCTAAATTAAATTAACACATAAAAAACATGATTAAATCAATTACCATAGAAGAGAATGAAAAGATGATTGAAGAACTACTTCCATTATAATGATGTCAGAACCAGATGGGCTCAAGGCTGAATTTTATCTAACCATTAAAATAACAGATGATTCTATCATTTGTTAAAACCATTTTCAACTTCAGAAAAAGATGGAAAACTAAGTATTCCTTTCATAAATCCAGCTTAAGTTGAATATCAAATTTTATAAAGATAATATACAAAAGAAAGCTATAAACAATTATTTGTATTAAATGTAGATTAAAAAATTATAAATAAAAAGCCACCAATAAAATCAACAGTATAGCAAAAGATTAATATTCTATGACTAAGTGGAGTCATATTCCAAGAATGCAAGTCTTATTTTATTTTTATTATTGGGAAATCTGTCAACCTAACTCAATTCATTTAAATTAAAGGAAAAAGTATATGATTACACGAATAGATGCTGAAAATGTATTTAATGGTCTGCAACAGGTATCCTTAATGTAAAAATTCTAAGTTATATAAGAATAGATAAACACTATTTATGAAAGAAAAACAAGTATTACTCTGAATGGTAAGACACTAAAATTGGAAGCCAAAGACGCCTGCTTTAAACAATGAAGCAACAATGTTTTAGGGCTGTGTGGTAGACTGACTTCTAATATCGTCTCCAATAATCTCTGTCTCCTGGAATTCACACCCTTGTGCAATTCCCTTCTCTTGAGTCTGGGCTGGTCCTAGAGATTTGCTTTGAATTTTATTAAATATATGGCAAAAATGATGGGCTACCACTTCTAAGACTGGGTTACAAAAGATAGTGACTTCTGTCTTACTAGCACTCTTGCTCTCTTTGACTCTTCTTGCTTGCTTGCTGTATTGAAGTCCTCTAGACTAGGAGTCCCCAACTCCCAGGCCATGGACCAGTAGTTGTTTGTTTCCTGCTAGGAACCAGGCCACATGGCAGGAGGTGAGAAGCGGAGGAGGCAGTGAAACTTCATCTGTATTTACAGCTGCTCCCCATCACTCGCGTTGCCACCTGAGCTCTGCCTCCTGTCAGATCAGCAGTGGCATTAGATTCTCACAGGAGCATGAACCCTACTGTGAATTGCACATGTGAGAGATCTAGGTTGTTTGCTCCTTATGAGAATCTAATGCCTGATGATCTGTCATTGTGTCTCATCACCCCCAGATGGGACCATCTCATTGCAGGAAAACAAGCTCAGGGCTCCTACTGATTCCACATTATGGTGAGTTGTATAATCATTTCATTATGTATTACAATGTAATAATAGTAGAAATAAAGTGCACAATTAATGTAACATGCTTAAATCATCCCAAAACCATGCCCCACAATCCCGGTCCATGGAAAAATCGTCTTCCATGAAACCAGTCCCTGGTGCTAAAAAGGTCAGAGAGTGCTGCTCTAGGCAACAGCCAGGGAGGAACAAACAACCTACAGAGATCTGTTTCTTTCCAGCAACAACTTGAGTGAGCTTGAAAGTAGGTCCTTCCTGGCTGGGCGCAGTGGCTCAGGCCTGTAATCCCAGCACTTTGGAAGGCCGAGGCCGGCGGATCACAAGGTCAGGAGATCCAGACCATCCTTGCTAACACGGTGAAACCCTGTCTCTAAAAACACAAAAAAATTAGCCGGGCGTGGTGGCGGGTGCCTGTAGTCCCAGCTACTCGGGAGGCTGAGGCAGGAGAATGGCGTGAGCCTGGGAGACGGAGCTTGCAGTGAGCCGAGATCGCACCACTGCATTCCAGCCTGGGTGACAGAGCGAGACTCCGTCTCAAAAGAAGAAAAAAAAAGAAAGTAGGTCCTTCCTCACTTGAGCCTTGAGATGGAGTAGCCCAGGCCAACAGCATGGTTGTAGCCTGTGACAATTCATGAAGTTGGAGACCCAGTTAAACTGTGCCTGAGTTTCTGACCAACAGAAACTGGGAAATAACTGTTATTTCTTGCAAGAATATCAAGGAACATACGTTTGCTACCCATGGATAGCAGAAGCATTATTAACAAAATGAAGAAAATATTTTAGAAAAGGAAAAATCAGAATGATTAGAAGGATACATACATCGAAAGGTTGACAAGTTTGATCATCTTAGGAAGAGCTGTAATGGCACATGGGAACAGCAGTGATGACCTTTGCCCGTATATAGTGTTGTATTATATTGTTTTACTTGTTGCAAGTAGCATGAATTACCACTGGAATTTGAGAAAAAATGAAATATATAAAATTTCTAAATAAACACAGTATTAAAATAGTGTGGTGGGGGCACTTTTTTCCCTAGTATTTGCTGTTTTCTTTCTGTGAAGGAAGCTGATATAATTTCTAGACTATCCCTGCCCCTTTGCTCACCCCAAGGCAAGATGAAAGGTAGGATTAGAAGATGTACTAATTGATCGACCTGGGGAGACTGACTTTGCAGACATTGCCCAATTCAGCTCCTCTTCCCCTTGGAAATAAAATGCCATCAGGGAGCAGGCATTCTGCTCCATTTCTTCCAGGACAGGATTTCTCCCTGCAGGATTGGCACTGGCTGGGCAAGGAACTGTGCCCACTTCTGGAGTTCATCTGGCAAGCCCATTTGACTCGATCACTAAGCTACCTCTGTGTTGATCTTCCATCTGCCTTACTATTTGTTTTATTTCTCAATTTACTCAGAATTGGGGCAGAAAAGAGAAATGTTATTTGTTGATATTCTTTAAAAAGCAACAGTTTTAGTTGCAGAAAAAAATTTAGAATACAAACACAAAAGTGGTTTGTAGTGTATATAAATTTTATCTAAACACACTGTAAATAAATATGAACTCTAGTCAGTTGAAGGAACAATGGTTTTATTGAGGAAATGGCCTCAAGATGGGAACAAAAATATCCTGAAGGATTGTTGGTCCCTTTCCCATGGGGGATTGAGAGTTAAGCCCAAGGGGTCAAGAGATCAAAAAGAGAATTGTTACGAGGGATGTTTCCTAATCTACTTTTGATGTTTCCTTCCTATGCTGGGAACACAGTTAAATGACTCTGACTCTGTCCTAGATTGTGGGACAAAATATGCTCACTCCTGGTCTCTGTCTGCCATTTACTCATTTCACCCCAAGGTGGCAGTGGTGTGGTGATTTGTTCTATTGGTTAATTATGGATAACTACATTGAGCATACATAGCCCAGTTTTACCCTTCTCTTGAAAGCAAGCCATTTACAGGAAACATGCATTCTGCTCTGCTCCTCCTGGGACACGCTCTGCCCATGAAGGGTGAAAGGGCAAAAGATCTGCCTCAGTGCTCTTTTGATTGGGTGGGTAAGTGTTTCTAATTAGTGGGTTCAGCCAGCAGCTATACCAGGCTCTCCCACTAAACTATGATCTCCCAATTTCACTTCTAGTTATAAAGATGAAGTTTTGATTTCCCATCTGCCTTACTTTTTATTACTTAATTTGTTCAGAAGAGGATATGCAGGAAAAATCTCCCCTCAAAGATGCCGATGTGATTCTATGTGACGTTTTTCATTCTAAAGAGTTTTTTGAAAGCGGGGGTTTCTGTTATTCTCGGACACTTGGATGGATTGATAATGTTCCCAGTGTTTTCCCACACTCTAGGACAGAGTCAGTGACTGATGTTCCGCCTTTGATTATAGGCTAAATTGTAGTTAGGGAGGACCCAACTTTTATAACATAATGTATTTAACTTATTAAGTATTCTGCTCAATACCAGGTCCAACTTAATGTTCATGAAAAAAAATCCTTAATGTGGATAAGGATATTCACCATATTATGTGTGACTCAATGAGTTTATATGAATTACAAAAGGTTACAAAGATAATCAATACCAATCAACCAAGCCTAGTTCTGGTTCTAACTTCAGGAATCTTTTTGCCATATGATGCAGTTGATTTGCAAAATCCATTAACTCTGCTGCTTGATGAGGAGTCAGAAAAATAGTGAGCTCTGAATAGACATGATGTTCAATGGCATTTGTGTTTAAAGTATAAAATAAAATTTAAGGGAATATAGGAATTGTGATATTACCTAAAGCAGTATAGGATCCGTGGGGTCCTCCTGTTGGAGTCCAATCTCACTTTGTCTGGTTCTGAGGCAAATGAGCATCATTATCTTCCCAGCAATATTTTAGAGTTAGCAACTGCTACATCATTTTTAAATGAGAAAATACTCTGATCTCTCCTGAACTGTTCTTCTCTCCAGAATCAGAGAGGAAACTGCAGCTCTTAGAAGCTCCTCACACAATTTCTGGTTTGTAGTATCTTGAAAGTTGAGTATTGATGGTTTGCCTTTGCATCTTTTAAATTTCTTTTTCTCTTTTTCCCATCTTCATCTTTTGTCTGTTACAGCTGATAATGAGTACGGATCAGCAGAGAAACTACTAAAACCCAGTTTCTTCCCTGCAAGCCTGGCCCTAGCAAATATTAATGGAAATAGATTTCTCTTCATCTGCGGGCTGCTTCCTCGGATTGGCCTTCATGTTTCTTTCCATTCCCATCCCATCATCAGGAAATCAGCATCTTAACTGTGGAGGATAACGTCTCCTAGGGTGTTAGTGAGAGAGGAGGGCCCAAAGGCCTTGGTCAGATGGTATTTACACATTTTAGACTGGAGCTTTTCTATGTAGTCATAGTTAATGTAACAGTACAGATGTCTGCCCAGTAAACTTTCTGGATAAGATCAGTTTTCCCAGGCAGGGCTATTTACAGTTCTCATATCATAGTGTGAAGGGAGCTTTTGTATTTCCCTTGTAGGACTAAGCCTGCTCCCAGGAAATAGGTAAAATAAAACAAGGTAAAAATGAAATGTGCTATCTCGGGGACCCCAAATAAGTGGTAATTTCACTGTAGCACTCTGTAGGTGAAATTGTTTAGTGTTGTGACACATAAAGTCCTTATCATTCAAAGCCCTAAATTTAGAAGGTGATAAAAGTCTTCTGTCCTCTTGGTTTCTTTAGCTTTCTATTATTAAACCTTGAAGCAGCCAAAGGTGAATAAAGAAACCTCTTGTGTCAGGAATTGATATCTTCATTTGAGATGATGTATTCATCCATTTTTATAAATTATTATTAATGAAACAGAAACCAATAATATATTATCAGCCCAGCATATTTTAATCACATTTCTTACTATTTTATTAATAATTAAATAGTATTTTAACTAAAATATAACTAAATATTATCATCTGTGGTAATCAACTTTCACTAAGAGAGGAGGCCAGACACTTCGGTGGTTTTAAATCCTTTTTTTAAATTTCAACATCTTGTCATTGTCAAGAAGTTTCTACTGACCCCTCCCTTCTCCCAAGTGCACATCACTGAGCCTGCACTTGCATTAAGACATTCCCTTCAGATCAGGCTCTCCCAGCAAAGCGTGGACAGAAAGTCACACATTCCAAGGTGCATAGCTCCAAATATATGGATATATTCTTAGATGGAGTCAGAATCCTTGAGACAATCTGTTTCAAAGGGTAAATGTGGATGGTTTTGCAAAGATACATATAGTTTTACCCTCACTAGCTAGCTGAAATAAGTTCCTTGTGAAAAAGAGCAAATACCAATCAATTTCATCAACTCAGTATATGTTGCATATAATCAGCCCAGAAAACTGTTTTATACAACATCCAAAGCAGGCAATGAATGAAAAAAAGTGCATTTCTAACAGAGTTCCATTGACATGTATACATTCATCTAATACATATTCATGACTGGCACTTTATTGCAAAAAGTTTCAATTAATATTAACAATACTAAGGGAAGCAGAAGATTTTAACAAAGTCCTCTCCAGATGCCTTGATAAACAATAGCAATATGTAGAAATCTGGTGATTCATATTTTCTAAGAAGTTTAAAATGTATCTTAAATAGAAAATATTTTCAGAATCTGAGGTAACCACTTCATCTCTGCTAGTACTTTTCTCAGTATTATAGAGTTTTAAGAGCTTTCTCTTTAATGTCTGCTGGAAGGTGGCATTCAGCTAAGAATTAAGTCCTGAAATGAATGTGTCTTTCCTTAATTAGGAATTTCAATCAAATACCAAGAATTGACATCTTGAAGCTAAGGATTGTCGATGAAAAGAGTCAAACTCTGATAATATTTGAAGAGATTTATTCTGAGCCAAATGTGAGTGTTTAACTCAATTCTAACTCTAACTGCCCAGAGTTAGCCCAGACTTCACAGGTTAAGGGCTCAGTGCCACAAGACTGCCCCCCACTTCAGATGTCAATTGCAAGTAGCGAGTCCCCACGTTGCCACAAACTTCTGTCTGACATGGCTAGAAGTCAGAGGTTCCCACAACCTCCTCCTCATGTTTGATAATTTGCCAGAATAGTTCACAGAATCCAAGGAAAGTTTACATACCATTACTCACTTATTAAACAGGAAATTTTAAAGAACACAAATGAACAGCCAGATGAAGAGATACACAGGGTGAGGCCCAAAAGTGTCCTGAGCACAGGAGCTTCTGTCCCTGTGGAATTTGGGGGTGTCACCCTCTTCACAAATAGATGCATTCTAGTTCATCAACCTTGAAGCTCTCTGAACCTCTTTGGTTAGCATATTTATGGAGGATCTATCACATAGTCATGATTGATTAAATCATTGGCCATTGGTGATCAGCTCAGCCTTCAACACCTCTCCCTCCCCCCAGGGTTCAGGGGATGTCACTGAAATTTCCAACCCTTTAATCATGGTTGATTCCCCTGGCAACCACCCCCTCCTCACTGCCTCATGCTTAGGGGCTTTCCAGATGTTGCCTGATGAACAGAACCTCAGATGTGGTTGAAAGGAGCTTGTTAGAACAACAGAGGCTGTTCCTTTCACCTTTATCTCCCCAGAGCTGTTTCAGAAATTGGAGGCAAAAAAAACCCAAAACAAAACAAATAATATAATAAAAGATATTCCTATCACTCTTATCACTTAGGAAGTTACAAGGGTTTTAGGAGTTCAGGCCAGGAGCTGGGGACCAAGACCAAAATACATACAAACATGTCTATTTTTTCTTCTTTAGTATCATTTTATTTTTAAAATTAATTTTATTTCATATATATGAGGGCTACATGTTATGGGAGACATATAGATAGTAAAGTGGTTACTATAGTGAAGCAGATTAACATATTATCTCCTATAGTTACTTTTGTGTGTATGGCAAGAACACACAAAACAGCTAAAATCTACTTATTTAACAAAATGACAAGAACAGCTAAAATTTACTTATTTAACGAAAGTCCCAGCAATCTCTCTTCTGCATATATGCCTAAAGGAGATAAAATCACCACCTTGTAAAGACACCTGCACTCCTATGCTCCTTGCAGCATTATTCACAATTGCCAAAATGTGGAAATAACCTAAATGTCCATTGATGGAAGAATGAATAAAGAAAATGTCACGTACATTACACACAACCTAATATTATGCAGCTTTTAAAAAGAAAGAGAGCCTTCCATTTGCACAATGTGGGTGGACCTGGAGGACATTATGCTAAAAGAAATAAGCCAGACAGAGAAAGAAAAACATTGCATGATCTCACTTATAGGTGAAATATATTTCTTATATCACAGTATCATACTTGACAAAGAGTACACACTAAATAATATTTTGAATAAATGAGTGATGATTTAAAAACCTCTTGGGAGACCAATTTCCTTATTTATAAAATAAAGATGTGTACTTAGATGTTCTATAAAGTACTTTTGAGCTCAAAGAAACTTCTAAAATATCACAATTTCCTTTTTTGAAAAAATTCAATTAATTTCTCTGATTATTTATGTTAACTTAGTGAAAATTATTCTTTAGAAGATATTTGGCTGGCATGGAAGCTAAGAACTCCATGTACTCGGAAAGGAGATTGCAATGGAGAGACTCTGTATGTGGTAGCTGGATCTGAACACAAGCTCTCAGCCCGTCCAACAGCCCTTCACTGACCACCAGATTCCACTGGCAACTTTACTCATTATAGTGTAGAAGGAGGTGTTACTGGGGCTCCTCCCTGCTTCAGGAGATACCAAGGCCTCACAGGATAGATATCAAGATATCAAAGTCAGAATACAACAGGCCTCCACCATATATATTCAGATACCCAAAGCAAACGGTTTTAAGACCCCTTTCCACAACTCAACCCTTGACTGCCTCAGCCAGACCAGAGATAGAAGTCCCAGGGAGAACTTTGAGATGAGACTCGTAGACAGACTTCTTTGAAGAAAGCTAAAGCCTTTCTGTGCTGTGCAATGGGTGCTGTGGTTCAGCTCCAAGCCTAGGGAGGAGAGTTTTAGGAAAGCCACTTGGAGAGCTTTGAAATGTGTTCTCCTCAGTAGCAACCTCAGGAGGCCCAATTCTTGCCTAAGAAAACTAAAGCTGACTGTGGACCGATTGAGATTCACTGCACCCTTGAGTGTGAGAGAGCACTGCCTGGTCAGGGACAGACCCTTGGGAGCAGGGAAGAGATAATGTGGGATAAATGTAGAGCTTGTTCCTGGAGCTATGAGGAGACTTTGGGAAGGGTTAGGGAGTGACAAAAATAAATCTACATTTTGACCTTAATGCATGAGTCGTGGCTTGTACAACACTGTAGTTACATCACGCTTGCTGCAGGTTTGCTGGTTTTCTGGTGCTCCCCTGAATTGGATGTGTTGTGTTTGAAATTTTCCAAGATTGCATGTTGTTTCTCAGTAGCAGAGAAGAAGAGGCCTTGCATGAGAGCCGCCTGTTTGGGATATTGTATTACCAGTGAGCAGTACTGGGATCTGATCTGCTAAATCATGAGAAAAGATTCATGGGATCACTTGTTTAGCAGGACCTGCCTCTGGTCTTTTGTGGACACTGTGATACATGGCCTATGTGGACACCGTGATACACGGCCTAGATCCCACTTCAAGGACTTGTTCCCCCACCTGTTGGGCATGCTGTCAGCTGACAGGCTTCCCCTGTTAGGCTTTTCTGGGATTGCCTCAGTTGGCTGCAGACAACTCCCTCACTCAAGGTCAAATCCCTTTTCCAGGTGGTCTGTATCCAATGACTGACCAAGGCAGAGGGATAAACATTGGCTATTTTGACTCAACTCAAAAGTAACTCTGATGGGTTATTTGACCTTCATAGCTTCCAGTGAGGTCATCTGGAGCTCATTTGGCCTGCATTACAACTCACTTCTCCCTCTGCCTGCCTCTGTCCCCACCCTTCCACAGGTGTGGCTACTAAGGGCTCTCCCTAAGAAACATCATGCTCACTAAGTTCCCAGGAAGCCTTCCCTGCAACAGAAGCCCTCTAACTGCACCTCGTGAGTAGTTTGTATCCTTGAAATACTACTTAGTTTCAAATTTGCAAGTACACATATGCACAGTGCTGTAAAGGTGTGAGCTTAGAACAACTCAAGTAATGCATGTTTGCATAGAAATGTGTACATTTAATTGGCAACATTATAATTTGTGAAATATGTCATTTGTAAAATTTTAATCATAAGGTACAATTTCCTTGAGGCTTCTTCACAATGAACATTGAGCCCATGGTGATATCCCCAGTCTTCTTGCCCTAGAGGCAGCCACATATGCTTATGCAGAAATCAGTTTCCTGAACATTTCCATGTAGTCTGTCCTAAACAGAAGTTTCTGTTTAGTTAAAAAAAAATAGAGCATTAATAATTTTATCACTCTCTAAAGAGTAAAGCAAGAGTGACAAAACAAGTGTTACAAATTCTGTTGCTTTTCCAGGAAGAGTTGATCAAGCAATGCAATCCCAGGCTTTCAACTCCACTTCATTTTGAAACAGTGTGTGCACACTTTCATTTCAGAGACACGGTCAAATCTTCTACTTAATGAGTCTTTAAAATGAACTGTGCTCTTGCTTAGCCCATACACATTTATTATTAACTCATTATGAAATTATATTTTCCATTATGTCACAAGGCTGCACATAAGGCACTGCCTTTCCACTTGGCCCCATTAAAAACTTGATAAACACATTTATTAAAACTAACTGGTAGGGTTGAATTGTTCTTTACAGTAATTTGTTCTGATGCCAATTCTGTTTCAAATCATTGCTTCTTTAGGGCAGAGAGTGATTGTAAACCTCCGCATTTGCTCACAGGAATGTTTAAAACAGGGCCTTGCATGCAGCACACGACTTAATATCACATAATTGAATTCAACAAAACTGGTTCAATGGCACATTATTTAGCAAACGTACCTGTTTTGAGAAGTAATTTTATTATAAACTTCCTTCACCGTGACTTTATTATTGCCTATGCACTGGGAAGTCAAGGTTGATGGAGAGCAAACTTATTTGCATGTCCTCTACTCCTAATTTCACTTTCATTACAAGCACATGCCAAGCCCAAGCAAAGAAATTCTGAATTAGCTTCTGGTTCCAGCATTTCTAGTCATACCATGGAGTGTCAAAGAAGTGACAAAAAGAAGGCCCCAAGCAGGCCCCAATTCCTTGTCTCTTAGAGAATCTTTGAATTATCGATGTTTTTATTCTCATTCCTGGCCCAGTACAACTTCAAATGGGCACGTAGGCTCACACATGTCTACAGGCACACACACACACAGTTTTCATGTATTCTGAGAGGCTGCAGTAATGTGCAGAGTTCTGCATTCCTATGAGGGTATTTTGTCTTTGTACAATTTGTGGCTGTCTGACTTTACATGTTTATATGTGTGATTGTTTCACTGATGTCTAGTCTTCTCCTGGACTTCACTTCCTTTGAGCGAAGGCATTATTACTTTCTCCATGCACCTAGCACAATGCCCAGCACGCAGTAGACTTTAGTAAATGTTGTGGCCTAGCCCTGGACTTTAGAGTCCTCTATGCGGGCACAGTTGAGATTTTTCCATTTCTCTTTTCTCTTTGAAAAACGCTTGGAGTGCCTTTACAAGATTCATCATTCAAGAATGGAGCTGCCAGAGTTGTGACATTAAATAAAGTTTTTGGTGACATTGCCTTGACACTTAAATTGTTGAGTGAGTCCTAAGAGGTACTAAAGACATAAACCGGGTAGATGATATCCAAGAAAAGTGGAAAGTCATACTTTCATACTTGTGCAGGACACACATGCGTGTGCACACACACACTTTACACTTATCATGGAAGCCGTTGTTATCTTCTGCAGAGTTCCTGGATTCCCATGGAGAAAGGAAGATCAGTTCCACCTCCCACTCCTAGGGACCTAAAAAGAGAGAGCTGCCTAAATCTAGACTGCAGTTTTGGCTAGAAGGAATTTGAGCCAGGCAAAGCCAGGAATGTTAGGCAGGAACTGTAGATTCATTAAATGTGTTTTAGCATCCAAAAGACCTAGCAGCAGAAATCAATAGTTTAGAATATAAAATTGAGAACAAAAGCAAAGGCATTAGGGTAATAGAGATGAAAAAACAGCAGTAAGAGGGAATCAGCACGAGGAAAACGCCCCTTGAGGTGCATTTCCTTGTGTACGTGCTGCCCAGGACAGAACCCATCTTAGATTACAAAGAGGTTAGATGTCACGGGCAGAGACAGGCAAACACCTTGGCTGTCAGCCCAATAGTTTAGTCTTTGTATGGGAAGCAGTCTGCGCAACTTCTGAACACTTATTTATTGACACTCCTTTACTGTTGTCTTTTAAAATAGTAATAATGAATTGTGAAATTTAATGCTGTGCTTAATAGGATGTCATGGGATGTTTTGACTGAGTAAATTGGGCTCTTTAGTTTTCTAACTCCTTAATAACCAGAAAATCTTCAAACTTGTACCTGATTCAAATACATTGGTCAATGCCATTTAAACTATCAAAGTGATAATGTTCTGGCCACCAGGTGATGAAAAGTCTCATTGATTTGCATTCAAAGTTAGTGAGTGGCTTAGAACCTATGAGGCTCAGACTATACACGTCCTCTGATGGAGGAGTGCTATTCAGTATCCTGTGTTCCCTTGGAGATCTACTTATAGTTCCCTGCAGAGAACATGCCCTTTTATGTTCTGTTATTTTGTACAGTGTTTCTTCCAGTGGGAACCCCTTTGTTCTTTTCCATGCCTATGTAAATTCTACTCAATCCAGAGTTTAGAGCTGAAGCAGGAGGTGCATAATTAGTCAAACAGATAAATAATATCACATCTTGTACTTCATTTATTGATGTGTAGTAGTCAGCCTCTAAGAAAGCCCCAGTGATCCCTGCCTCCAAGTATTCATGCTTTTGTGTAATCATGTAATCTCCTCCTATTGAATGTAGGCTGGACTTAGTGGCATGCTTTTAATAAATAGAAAAAAGCAGAAATGATGGTATGCACATAACTCAGAGATTAAATCATAAAACAGCGTGCTCTCTTTCTCCTCTCATAACTTTCTCTTGGCAAAGTCAGCTGCCTCATCACAAATAACCCTATGGAGAGGCCCACGTGGTTAGGAACCAAAGCCTTGGTCAACAGCTGCATAAGTGAATTTGGAAGTACTTCCTCCAGCCCCAGTCAATCTTCAGATAACTGCAGCCCCAAGATACCCTGGGGCTTCATGAGACAACCGGAAATGGAACAACCCAGCTAAGCTGTCCTTGGATTTTTGACCCATAGAAATGATGAGATCATAAATGTTTGTGTTTTCATATGCTAAACTTTGGGGTAATTTGTTCACAGAAATAGATAACTAATACATCACGTAACCTATATTTACCAAGTTCCTACTGTGTGCTAAGGGATGTCAGGGAATACACTGTGACGATCAAAACCAGACAAATACTTCATCCTCATGAAAAAAAAACTATTATTAAGTTTTAAATATCCATATTTATTAATATTAACCTGAATGCACAAACAAGGTTTTCTGGAGCTAAGAATATTATTATTATTTACTCATGGCATATAATTTTAGGGTTCCCTTGTGCCTTAATTCTTACATCTAGTGTGACAAAATGAGAGCCAAATGCATCCTATACATAAAGGGGATTGTAGGTGAGGAACCCTGAAAGAAAATAATCCTAATTTTTATTATAGGAAAGGCAGCTGTTTCCCCTCTCCAGAAAGTCTCTTTGGTAAGGATCCTGGGTTCTTACTCTAATTTTATGGAATGAAAATAAATGTCCCCAGGGGAAATATAAGCTCAGATGTCTCCATAGTCCTGAGTCTTACCCTCCATTGAAATGTATATTTATAACTTCCATTGCTTGCTTTTAGTGGAGGTCCCAAGATTTTCCCCAGGAACCTCTAACTTTGCAGCTCCACAACTATAACATCTTCATCATAACATTAATCAGAAAATAAAAATTCTGAAGGAAGTTGAATGTTTTACAATAATGGAAATGGTAAAATAAGTAATGAAAGAGAAACTAACAATCCTGTGCATGTGGCGTTAGAAAATATCAGCTATCTAGACTCAATCTAACTAAAGATGCGGAAGGTATGCAAGATATGGAAAGCTACAAAATATTACTGAGAAAAAAATCAATAAAACAGTAACAAATGCAGGGAATATATACCATAATCAGTGATGGAAAGTCTCAATATTGTTAGGTGTCTATTCTTCCCAAATTGATTTATAGATTTAAGGCAATGCCAAGGAAAATACCAACAGGCTCTTTTGTAGAAATTGACAAGCTCATTCTCAAATTTTTGTAGCCTAACAAGGGATCCAGAATAGCCAATGCAATATTTTAAAAAATAAAACAAATGTCAAAATCAAGAGTTATTATAAATCTACCTGCTACAAATCATATACTTTATTATCGACTCTAAATTAACTGGCTTAAGGATAAATAAATAGACTAGTGTAACAGAGAGAAGCGTCCATACATGTATATACAAGCGCCTGATTTATTACTAATGCTTTATTGTAATTCAGTGGGGAAAATTACAATATCTTTAATAAAAGGTGCTGAATCAACAGGATGTCCATATAGAAAGAAAGAAATACTGACACCACCTCACACCATACACAAAACTTAATTCAACATGGGTCATAAGAAGAGTTAAATGAATCAAGCTTCTAGAAGACAACAAAGAAGAACATCCTCATGAATTTGGAGCACACAAGCATTTCCTAAATAGAACACAAAAAAGCATTAATCATAAAAGAAAATATAGGAAAATTAGATTTTATTCACATTAAGAACTTCTGTTTGTTGAAGAACATTAAGAGAATGGATCCACTAAGACAATGGACAGACAAGCTGTAAACTGGGAGGAGGTTTTTGGAACACATATATCTCTCAAAGGACTCTTATCCTGAAATATAGACTCCTACAAATCAGTCAGAGAAAGAAAGACAACCCATCCTATGCACAACCTATCGCTATTGTAAGGTTTAGAGGAGACAAGGCTCATAAACAGTACTTTAAAATTTTTGCAAATAGTTAATACTATCATTATTGCCACTCAAAGGACTAAGAGCTGTTGGCCCAACAGTTGTCTCTGTATGGGAAGCCCTCTGCACAACTTCAGAGCACTTATTTATTGATGCTCTTTTGCTGTTGTTTTTTAAAAGAGGAATAATAAATTCTGAAATTTAATGCGGTGCTTAATAGGATGGCTTGGGATGTTTTGACTGAATAAGTTGGGCTCTTTTGTTCTTTAACTCTTCAATAACCATAAACTCTTTAAACTTGTACCTGATTCAAATACATTGGCCAACGCCATTTAAACTGTAAAAGTGGTAATGTTCTGGTTATCGGGTGATGAAAAGTCTCATTGATTTGCATTCAAAGATGGTGAGGCACTTAGAACCTATGAGGCTCAGACTACACATGTCCTCTGATGGTGGGCACAGACATTGCGACACATCTTCATCTGTTCTTTGGTACAGTTGTAATTTGCAAGTCTGATTATGTCATGATTTCAGAATGTAATAAATCATTAAAATTTTTTACTGAGTCAGGAAATTATGAGCTAGAGAAAACCTTGGTCCTGCCGACTCAAACCGGAAGAGAAAGACCGTAAGCATCGGAGGAGCCGTAGAGTATGCATGGCATGGATCTCCCATAAATATCAATTTTACTCTGTTATGTAGAAGGAAAATGGCAAATAATTTAATGATGCTAGTTTAATAGTAACTAATTTGAAACATTTTTATATTAAAAATATTGATATATACTATGAAAAGTATATAAACTGCACAAATTTTCAAATAAAACCTAAGAATTCCCAGACTTTATCCACTTGCTGAGGTTCCCTTAGGCAACAAAGTCCTAGGACCCTGGGAATAAATGTTCATGTTCCTCTTAGGGAGTGAGGTTTGTGAAGCTCTCATAGTCCATCTAAACTAACTCTCTTATTTTACAGTTGAAGATTCTGAGGTCCAAATAGGCAAAGTTAGTGGCAGAGCCAGGGCCACAGCCTAGGAGTTCTGCCACCCCATCTTGAAGGTTTTCTGTTTTGTTTCCAGAATATGACTGGTGATGTTGCATGAACCATTGACAATATGCCTGAAGTTGAAGCTGTGTTCAGTGGTTTACCAATACCTCTTAGAAAAAGACCTTCATTTTTTTTTTTTGCCAAGTTGACCTGAATTCATAGATGGATTAGTCTCCACCGATTACATGACAGATATTTAGTAATTAGCCCGTAGGGTTAAATAGTGTTCTGCCAAACTCACTCAAATGGAACACAAATGCCCTGATTGAGATTCCAGCTTTCACAAGCAGTGTGCCTAAGGGCGAGCTAGAGGGTAAAGGACAACACTGTGATGTATTTGCAGTGACAACCCCTCACTATCTTGGCTTAAAAATAGCCCTGAAAAGAAGTGGCCATTAATGATCCAACATTCATGCAGGGACATATGGTTCTACTCTAATCAGAGTTATAATTTTTGGAGCATTTCTAAGGCACTGTTGTTTTTCTTTTTAAATTTTCCTTTTAAAGTTACAGAAATGGGGAAAGCAGGGATATATCAAATCTCTGCCAATCAGAATGAAATATTTTATCTAATTTTATATAATTAAATATTTTATGAGAATGTTAGTATTTTCTAAGTTTTTCTCTGAGAATAATGGGAAGAATTTGAGTGGATAAACAACTTTTAAAAAGTGCAAATCCGGGCTCTTTGGATTTTGCCAAATGCTCTGTGGTGATGGAAATGATCTGTCATCTGCTGCCCTGGAGGTCTGGAAAGGTCCTGGAGCCATCGAGAAGCTGCAGACATCATGCATTCGGCAGGGGGGTGATCTGCTTCCTTTTCCTCTGCCATGCGCATTTATGTCATACGACATTTGATTTTGGTTTTCAAGGCCGTGTGTGTGCATGTTGCATTCAGCGCGTATCCTTCCTCTTGCCAGCCATGAGACTCCATAATTTCTACTCCTGCTTGTCTGAAACAATCACCCCGACCCCCATTTCATTTTCTTACTTGAAAAAAATATATAAGTAACTGGTGATTTTTATCTGACACGGAATATGGCACCAGAAGAAATATACATATATTTTTTGGATAAAATTTTTGTGTTAGAACAGTTTTAGATTGACAGAAAAATTATAGATATAGTACAGAGAGCTCCCGTAAATGCCAGTTTCCCCTATTATCCATACTGCATTAATATGGTACATGTGTCACAATTAATGAGCCAATATTAATAGATTATTATTAACTAAGGTCCATACTTTATTCAGATTTCCTTAGTTTTTACCTAATGTCCTTTTTCTGTTCCAGGAAACATCTAGGATGCCACATCACAGTTAGTAATCATGTCTCCTTAAGTTCTTTTTGGCTGTGACAGTTTGTCAGAATTTCCTTAGAAGTTTTGAGGAGTGCTAGTTATATATTTTGTAGAATGCCCCTCAAGTGGTATTTGCCTAACGTGCTTCTCCTGATTAAACAGGTTGTAAATTTTGGGGAAGAAGACCACAAAAGAAAAGTGCCATCCACGTTACATCCTATCAAGGGTACGTGCCATCAACGTGACTGATGTAATAGTGTTAACCTCGATCGCTTGACTGAGGTAGAGTTTGTGGAGTTTCTCTTTTTTTTTTTTTGTTTTTTGAGACGGGATCTCACCGTGGCCCAGGCTGAAGTGCAGTGGTGCAGTCACAGCTCACTGTAGCTTCAATCTCCTGGACTCAAGTGATCCTCCCACCTCAGCCTCCTGAGTAGCTGGGATTACAGGCACGCACCAACACAGGCTAATTTTTCTTTTTTCTTTTCTTTCTTTCCTTTTTTTTTTTTTCTTTCTTTTTTTTTTTTTTTTGGTAGAGATGGAGTCTCACTTTATTGCCCACGCAGGTCTTGAACTCCTAGGCACAAGCGATCCTCCCATCTTGGCCTTCCAAAGTGCTGAGATTAAAGGCATGAGCCACTGCGTCTGGCCTGGAGTTTCTCAACTGTTCAGTTGTTTGTTCTCCTTTCCAGAGTGTACTCCTGTGAAGAAAGTCACTATGTGCCATGCACACTTAAGGAGAAGGAAAGCAATTACATACGTTATTTGGAATTATTCTATATGAGAGATGTGTCTTTTCTTTGCCATTTATTTCTTTATTCAATCATTTACTTACACCAGTATGGATTCATGGACATTTATTTTAGAGTTTGAGTTATAATCCAATAATACTTTATTTCGTTGGTCAAATTATTCCAGCTTTGGCCTTTGGGACATCTTTTAGTTGGCTCTTGTGTCCTTGTGTTATACTCCGATTAGCGTGTGGCTTTTTGTCTGGTTGGTTTTTTCTTTGCTTTAGCTTTTCTGTCATTACAAGATGCACTAGGATCATCGTATGTATTTCCTGCCCAGATCCTAGACATTTCTTCAAAGAACCCTGGTTTCTTTTATTACAGAATGGCATTAGAAACAAAGATCTGTGTGGTAGGTTTGTTTGTTGATATTGGGGTATGGCTGCTTCTAGGCCCTGTGTATACTAACCTGTGCCTATGTGTGTCTATATATATATATACACACATATATATATGTATATATATATATGATGTATAGATATATGTCATTCTAATATCTCAGTCCTAAGCCGTCAGCAGAGATCATTCTAGCCATTTCCCCTTGCGTACCTGTAACTTCACTCTCCAACAGTGAGAAACATGGCTCCCACCATCTGCCATCCATTTGATTAATTGTTAATTTTCAGTAAACATGTATAGTATATCACAATTATTGGCCACTCTCCTTTCAGTGAGGTTGTTCCAAACATTTGCAATAAAGTTAGACTATTTTAGCACATTCTGTGTTCCATCCCGGGATTTCTGGCCTCCTAAATAATTTTTTAAAACGTTTTCATAGATTAAAATTCGCTATCTTGGTGAAAAATTCTATGGGTGTTTACAAATGCATAATGTCATATATCCACCATTATAGTATTATACAAGATAATTTCGCCACCTAAAACATCCTGTACTTCACCCATTCAGCCCTCCTTCCTTCTCTGACAATCACTGACCAATTTACTATTTCTATAGTTTAGCCTTTTCCAGAATGTTATATATTTGGAATCATATAGTATGCAGCCTTTTCAGATGGGATTCTTTCACTCGGTAATATGCATTTAAGGTTCATCTGTATATGTTTGTGGTTTGGTAGTTCATATATTTGTTGCTGAATAATATTACATTGCATGGATGTACCAGTTTGTCCATTCATCTATTGAAGAATTTGTTTCTTCCAGGTTTTGGCAATTATTAATAAAGCTGCTATCAACATTTTTGTTTAGTTTTGTGTACATGCAAGATTGTGTAGACATAAGATTTAAAATCAAATGGATAAATACCTAAGAATATGATTGCTGGATCATATGGTAAGACTATGTTTAGCTCTATCGTAAATTGCCAAACTCTCAAAGTGGCTGTACTATTTGCATTCTCACCATTGATGAATGAGAGTTACTATTGCTCTGCAACCTTGCCAGCAATTGGTATTGTCAAACTTTTGGACGTTAGCCATTCTAATAGGTGTTTAGTGGCATTTTGTTGTTTATTACATACTTTTTCACTCAGATATTAAAGTCTATTAGTTGTTTTGAAAGTCTTGGTGGCCTGTTAGCTGCTTCTCATCACTAAGTATGCTGTATTCATAATGTAGGAATTGAGGTTAATTTTCTAGATCATACAAAGTATTCAATTACTGTGCTTGCAATCGAGTTATTTTATAAGTGGAATGGTTAGTTTCTTATATTTTTTCCTGGGAGCAGAAGGGCTGCTGTAGACATTTTATATCCAAAGTAAAATCTATTGGCACATTTTTTCCCATTACACTCCATGCACTTTACACCTATTCACTCTTTAGTCACCTTACTTCACAAGGTAGGAAGGATAGGATAGTGCAACCCATTTAACAGATGAGTCAATTCAGGCCTAGATACAGTGGGTGATAAATAAAATAATCATTCGGTAGCCACCGATAGAAACACCTCATAGGTAGGGACTGTCTTTTCTTTTTTGTTTATTCCTAACCTCAATCTAGTAGAGAAGTATTTGGAAATTTTGACTAACTAGACCTGTAAGAATACCTGGGTTTTCAGATTTCCTGACCAGAACTCTATGCATTACCTCTGGCCACTGATTCAGTTTACCTCTCTGAATTATGCCTGAATTATTCCTAAGTTTACAGAATAAGCCTTGATCTTCGACCACAGGTAGCTTATCAGACCTAGTGGTCTGGGCAGTAGTGCTGGTGGTAAAGACAGACCCCAGAAGGTCAGCTCTATTTCAAAGTGGGGATGGAAGCTGTAGGTCAGCTTGGTGTGGGGCTGGTCTGGGGGATCCTTTCACACCTGATTGTCCTGTTCTTTGCATGGACACCTGCATGAGGATGTCTAATATGTTTCCCAGGAAGATGGGAATAGCTATATTTTATGCTCACATGTGAACTCACATGTGTGAGCTCTGTATTTGCCCCCAAAATTTTCCCTTTGTCTTCATGCACTGCATTAACATGCTTTTGGTAATGTCTCGCACTAGAAAATAAACTTACGTTTCCTACTTTACTATCACATAGTCACAATGTGTGGCTAATTTACAGCTGTGTTAGGAACTTCTTCAGAAACACACAATTTCATATTCAAAATGTACAGGTTGAAAAGAAGAGATAAGAATAAGATGAAAAGACTCAGAAGATGAAAGCTGTAAATGAAGACAGGTAAAAGTGGCTTAATTCATCTTTTATTCTGAAGCACACTAGGTGAACACAAAACTCAGTTTCAAAGCTATGTCATACATGCTATTATGTGTGTATAGAGAAAACTGACACTCATCCACTTGACTATGTCTAACATTAATTACTTCTGGGGAAGAAATTGTGTATGATAGCTATTGCCCTAGAACGTCTCAGTGCTTTTTTCCAAATTTATCAATGCTGTAATTAACGATGATGAAACCATAACTAGCTAAATATTTTCCTTACTGTTTTACCTAGGATCCTTGAGTGAGGACTTAAACTGGCTATGGGCTGTGAAATCAGGCATGTACAGGCAGGTCTGTGCCAACCAGCTGAAAGATTGACAGGGGCTCCCATTATGTGAGGACAAATGAGTCTCATGGGAGAGGCAGTGATTGGATTCGTTGATGAGTTGTCCACAGGGTTAAGGTTTTCAAGTAAAAATAGCACAAGGGGCTGCCATTTAACTTCTCAGGCAGCAAACTTTTATGGAAGCAAAATTCACCCTCAGGGGAGCAAGAGGTCATTGTCCTCGCCAGGTCCAGGAAACCAGAATGTGAGTGAGGCATGTGGATTTAAATGAAGTAACACATGGAGCCCAGCACCCATGGAAGGTTCATCAAAGTCCTGGAGAAAAAGGTTTGAATAAACTGAGTCAAATGAGCAGGCTATACTTCATGTGGTAGTCCCGTTGCTGAGATGGAAGGAAAAGGTTTTGAACACTGGTGAGATTCAGCATATTTCCAAGTCTGTGCAGTAAAAGATGGCAGAAAGATTGATTAAGACAAAATCAACACCAATGATATAATGAAAAACTGTTGGATGCAGAGCCAGGCCCAGAAGATGTACGTTACAAAGCGCTCAGCCCTGGTACACATCAGGGCAGAGGGGAGGCAAGTGCCATTAAAAGGAGGAGAAGAGGTAAATAGTAAAGTTTACCCAGTGGCACCCATGACTCATTCTGGGGACCCCTATAAAGACTGGGACCTGGGAGGCTGAAGTTTCAGTGATTTCACCAATAGAGGGATATAAACCAAAGGCTACTTGTTGGGGCCCATATTCCATTAGCAACCTGTCTTCAGGAGCCTCCTATTTGACTTTTTAGGTGCTGCAGATGACAAATGTGAATGAGATACAATCTTTGCTCACCAGGCAGTCACATCTGCAAGAGAGAGAGAATGAGAGACAGAGAGAGAGAGAGAGAGAGAGAGAGAGAGAGATAAATAGAGAGAAATAAATCAGTAATGACATCATAGTGCCTTATGAGCTAGATTAAATTTATGCATGGAGCAGGGTGCCTGATTAGAAATGAGGGAGATTCGAGAGTCTTTGAAGAGCTAATATCTCAGCTGAGTTTTAAAGGACCAGGAGAGGAAGTGTATTCTAAGCAGTTATTCATTGATTTTTTCAACAAATATTTGTTGAGCTCCTGTGGTGTGCAAGGCCCTGTGTTAGGGACTGGGATATCGTGGTAAGCCAGACAAACATCATTATCATCAGAGATGCACGGAAGGAAAACCACAGAGAGCAGCGCCTGCTAAAGAAACCGTGAGCGATTTAGCAGTTCTGAGACATAGGTGTTTACAGAGAGTAAAAGAAGATGATGTTGGAAGGTTGGCAGAGGCCAGGTCATTGTGGGCCAAGAATATTATAACACGCCAAGGATTGATGTTCTCCTCCTCCTGGTGTCCGCTGCTGGTTATGCTTATTTATTGGAAGTGGAGTAAATAAGAAGGTGTGAAGGCACTCAGTAACTTTTAAAGTACTATATACTTTTAAGGAATTATCATCATGTGATCATGTGATCGTGACATCACAGTTAAGAAGAGGTCAATTGTATCTCTGTATGAATTAAACCTGTTTGACAGAATTGGCAGTGCAAATAATTTCAGTTTTGCCAGAATTAACAGGCCAACCATATTTAATGCCAGCAATCAATGTAAATCATAAAAAGGCAAAGTCGGGCAGCTTGTCCTGCAATGACTGCTCCAAATATCTTCTCTCCTGGGCTCTGAGAAAGGAAATTTGAATGTCTCCTCAATTCAGACATGCACTCTGTGGCATGTGAGGTTTTAGATTCCTCCATGGAAGTAAGGATTTGCTCACACAAATCACCTCAATAGTCCCACCTGTAATCCATTCAAATGCATTTTTTAAAACAGGACACAATAAATGTGCTTTGTTGTCTATTTTGATTTTGAGAGTGCTAAGAATGATCTTTAGACTTATGTATTTTATTTTTGTTGTATCCTTCACTTACGCTGGTGGTGTTAGCTGCTGTGTCCTTTGAATATGCTCCTTAAGGAAATGAAGGAGGCTTTAATAGTATAAAGCCATTTTCCAGCTCAAGGTTGTGGGAATTATCTTCTCCTACACTTCTCAAAAGTACAGGGGACATTTTCTCTCATTTGACGAATGTCATACTGCATCTGGAAAAGCCTTAACTAACTTTCCACCAAAGATTTTCTAATTACAGTGCACAGCTGCAACATTATAAACAAGTGCATGCCAGACATTGCCCAGCTCCTGCATCTACTTTGAAACATTTTTTAAGGCCAGGCACGGTGGCTCACCTGTAATCCCAGCACTTTGAGAGACTGAGGCGAACAGATTACCTGAGGTCAGGAGTTCAAGACTAGCCTGGCCAACATGGTGAAACCTCATCTCTACTAAAAATACAAAATTATTCGGGCATGGTGGTGCACGCCTGTAATCCCAGCTACTGGGTAGGCTGAGGCAGGAGAATCACTTGAACCTGGGAGGCGGAGACTGCAGTGAGCCGAGATGGTGCCATTGCACTCCAGCCCGGGCAACAAGAGTGAAACTCCATCTCAAATTAAAACAAAAATAATAAACATTTTAAAAATGCAAGCAGCTGTTATTTCTCATCCTTGGACCAAGTATCAGTAACACAAGGACAAGGTTACTTGTTAACCCTGCGCTCCTTCAATTTTGCCTGGAAAAAATCCTGTTTGGCTATCTCCTTTGTCAAATCATTAAATAACATTAGAGCCTGAAATGATTCCATTTCCAGAAATGACATAAATTACATTAATAATGGGTCTTTAGAATATATTTCACTTTTGGCCAAGGATTCAAATGAATTAACCAAATAATGCTTAAAATTCACTGGTGTTTCAAAGTTCTGCTTGTTTCACACATGAATTCCAATCACCATTTACTTATTCATTCGGTTTAAATTTTGTGATATTATTCATTGAATTTAAATTCTGTGATGCTAATTGTTGAAATATGGGATCTGTTCTTTTAGTAAAGGTAACGTCAGATCAGAGTCTGATTCTTCAAAGAACTGAGTGAGTGCAAGTTAGATTTGCAACAAGCCACCTAGATTCACCACTCCCAGTGAATCTTCTAATAAACTATATTAAAATTTAAAAAAATTATTCTAAAGAGATATCAGATGACCTGAGTAGAACAAAGGTGACTGATTTAGGATTCATTATTGGCAAGAGAATGTTCTAACAAATAAAAGAGAACATTACTCTAGTTACTACTTAACGGTCTTCAAGTCTACCACAGGATATATCCTGAGAGCTTGATGCCAGTGTAAACAACAATAAAATGAGCAATTAAATAAATAAGTAAATAAATGACAGTGTTATCATCTGAAATTATTTATAAATGTGTTGTTGACGAAACTGGGAGTTTCTGAAATCATCAATTGCAAAAAAGGGTGTGTTGAGGGGTGAGACTGATGTCTGTCTGCATGGACAATAAAAAAATAAAATGTCATAGGAAGGAATTTTTAGTATTTATCCATCTCCAGTGAAGAGATATGCTATATGGAAGATTTGACATTTGAGTCATTAAAAAAGTGAATAAGTGATATTTTCTTGGATTTTGCAACAGTTGAGGTAAATTATAAGATTACAAGCTTCTCTTTACTCTTGCCCCTGCTTAGATACTACAACATGTTGAATTGTTCTTTGTAGCAGAATTGGAGGAGAGCTAAATGGGGGATGGAGATAGGAAGGAATGGGGGCAGGAAGGAAGAGGTAGAGAAAGGAAGCCTGAATTCAGGTTTAATTAGGAATATATTTATCAAAACTCATCCAACAGTATGCCACAGACATGTGCATTTCACTCTCTACAAATTTTACCTTCATAATACAAAAACTCCCGTTTTTAAAATAAATAACCCCAATTATGAATGAATACATTTATATTTAGATTTATGTCTATAAGACACATGAATCTGCATAAATCCCTTGGAATTTAGTTTCTCCTAGAGAAATGAATAAAGTTAAGTTTCTGAACGTGTAAAGCTGAGGGTGTGACCATGGTCTATGATTATCCTAACTTCATCTACTTGACCAGCCCACTCCCAGTTTCAGTCTCCTAAATTACAGATTTGTCTCATGGTAAGAGGGATAATATGTATTGTAACCTCATATTTACATCATGCTTATCCCTTTCATGGAGACGAGGGTGTAATAGATGAATTGAGTACTGGTTGGTAGCCTTGTGCTATCCATTCTGCCTACAAATTTTATTAAACTACTTAATTGCTCACCCATAGCATGATTTCTTTTATGACAGGTCTAATGCTGTACAGACTCCAGGGAAATTTGCATGTGCTTAAGATTTATCACATAATCATGTAAACCACTTAGGAGCTAAATTTACTTAATCTTATATGCATTCTAGGGGGAATAAAGCAGATCACCTCTGCATGGTGTTTCAAAAACAGAATGTTTACAAAAACAACATCTGAAATGAACAGGAATAGAAATATATCCTATGGAGTAGCAGTTTCCAAAAGGTGTTCCCTGAAATACTAGTGCCATGGGTGTTAAAAGTTGTTGATGACTAAAGGGTCCCATGGTCAAATATGTATGGGTTAATGTGGAGTCAAACAAAATTAAACTGATTTCTTTACTGTGAGAAATATCAGTTTTTCATATGCTAATAATTTATGAATCTCTTAGAAGAAGCTATAATATATAGCAACCTCGTCTGACCTTGAGAGTGGGTGCACTGTGGAAGGTAGTGCTCTGTTGAATACATTGGAAACATCACTACAGACAGCAGCATGGTACCTCTAGGAGAAATCCTGGCAGGCATCTGAGTATCTGATAACACCTTGAGAATGACTATATAACAAAACTAGGTGTAGGCATAATTTAGCCCTAAATGTAGAGGCAGGAAATAAGTAAACAGTAATATATTTGAGCTGTTATCATTAGAGCATATTTAATGTGTTATCAGGAGGTATCATGGAGCTGTATAAGAGAATCCATTTTCAGTGGATCTAAGCCTAAAATATCCTTCAAAATAGGTTTGAAAACCTTCTTGCAGCTCCACCTTGCAACAAATTCTGATCTTAGAAGAAAGGGCAATGGTTCCATCCTCAGGTGGCATAGGGAGCCAGTATTCTACAGAGCATGCTAGAGAGAAGAAATGGCAATTCATAAAGACTCAGTGAACAGTGTCTACTTGGAACATCTGCAATATAAAGAATAGGCAATTCCTGAAATGAATGATAAGACCTCTGATCAAGAAGCAGGTGTCTCTGAACAGATGATTCAGGGGACAAAGAGAATGGGGTACCCAGGGGGCCATACCAGAGACTACTGTCTCTTGGTCACTTAAGGGTTATCACCAGATTTATTACTAATAAGGAGCTGGAAATTGGTTTCATAATCCTTTATATATCCTTTTGCATTTCATGCATATAGTAATCTTGTTGAGTGCTGTGTGTTAGGTATTATTTCATCAAAATTTCACAATAACTCTATACAAGTTGTGGAGGATTTGCTGGCAAAATGGCCGAATAGGAACAGCTCTGGTCTGCAGCTCCCAGCAAGGTCAACATAGAAGGTGGGTGATTTCTGCATTTCCAGCTGAGCCTCCGCTGGTGATACCCAGGCAAACAGGGTCTGGAGTGGACCTCCAGCAAACTCCAGCAGACCTGCAGCAGAGGGGCCTGACCGTTAGAAGGAAAACTAACAAACAGAAAGGTATAGCATCAATATCAACAAAAAGGACATCCACTCAGAGACCCCATCTGAAGGTCACCAACATCAAAGACCAAAGGTAGATAAATCCACAAAGATGGGGAAAAACCAGCATAAAAAGGCTGAAAATTCCAAAAACCAGAACACCTCATCTCCAAAGGATCACACCTCCTCGCCAGCAAGGGAACAAAACTGGACAGAGAATGAGTTTGACAAATTGACAGAAGTAGGCTTCAGAAGGTGGGTAATAACAAACTCCTCCCAGCTAAAGGAGTATGTTCTAACCCAGTGCAAGGAAGCTAAGACCCTGACAAAAGGTTAGATGAATTGCTAATTAGAATAGCCGGTTTAGAGAAGAATATAAATGACCTGATGGAGCTGAAAAACACAGTGTGAGATGTTCACGAAGCACACACAAGTATCAATAGCCGAATCAATCAAGCAGAAGAAAGGGTATCAGAGATTGAAGATCAACTTAATGAAATAAAGCAACAAGACAAGATTAGAGAAAAAAGAATGAAAAGGAATGAACAAGGCCTCCAAGAAATATGGGACTATGTGAAAAGACCAAATCTACATTTACTTAGTGTACCTGAAAGTGACGGGGAGAATGGAACCAAGTTGGAAAAAAACTCTTCAGGATATTATCCAGGAGAACTTCCCCAACCTAGCAAGACAGGCCAAAATTCAAATTCAGAAAATACAGAGAACACCACAAAGATACTCCTCGAAAAGAGCAACCCCAAGACATATAATTGTCAGATTCGCCAAGGTGGAAATAAAGGAAAAAATGTTAAGGGCAGCCAGAGACAAAGGTCGGGTTACCTACAAAGGGAAGCCCATCAGAGTAACAGCGGATCTTTTGTCAGAAACCCTACAAGCCAGAAGACAGTGGGGGCCAATATTCAACATTCTTAAAGAACCCAGAATTTCATATCCAGTCAAACTAAGTTTTATAAGTGAAGGAGAAGTAAAATCCTTTACAGACAAGCAAATGCTGAGAGATTTTGTCACCACCAGGCCTTGCCTTACAAGAGCTCCTGAAGGAAGCACTAAACAGAAAGGAACAACCGGTACCAGCCACCACAAAAACATACCAAATTTTAAAGAACATCGACACTATGAAGAAACTGCATCAACCAACAGACAAAACAACCAGCTAGCATCATAATGACAGGATCAAATTCACACATAACAATATTAACCTTAAATGTAAATGGGCTAAATGCCCCAATTAAAAGACACAGACTGCCAAATTGGATATAGAGTCAAGATCCATTGGTGTGGTGTATTCAGGAGACCCATCTCATGTGCAAACACACACATAGGCTCAAAATAGAGGGATGAAGGAAGATTTACCAAGCAAATGGAAAGCAAAAAAAAAGCAGGGGTTGCAATCCTAGTCTCTGATAAAACAGACTTTAAACCAACAAAGATCAAAAGAGACAAAGAAGGCCATTACATAATGGTAAAGGGATCAATGCAACAAGAACAGCTAACTATCCTAAGTATATATGCACCCAATACAGGAGCACCCAGATTCATAAAGCAAGTTCTTAGAGACCTACAAAGAGACTTAAACTCCCACACAATAATAGAGGGAGACTTTAATACCCCACTGTCAATATTAGATCAATGAGATAGAAAACTAAAAAGGATATTCAGGACTTGAACTCAGCTCTGGACCAAGCAGACCTAACAGACATCTACGGAACTCTCCACCCCAAATCAACAGAATATACATTCTTCTCAGCACCTCATCGCACTTATTCTAAAATTAACTGCATAATTGGAAGTAAAGCACTCTTCAGCAAATGCAAAAGATGGAAATTATAACAAACAGTCTCTCAGACCACAGTGCAATCAAATTAGAAGTCAGGATAAAGAAATTCACTCAAAAACGGCACAACTACGTGGAAACTGAACAACCTACTGCTGAATGACTACTGGGTAAAAATGAAATTAAGGCAGAAATAAAGATGTTCTTTGAAACCAATGAGAACAAAGACATAATGTACCAGAATCTCTGGGTCACATTTAAAGCAGTGTTTAGAGGGAAACTTATAGCACCAAATGCCCACTAGAGAAAGCAGGAAAGATCGAAAATCAACACCCTAACATCACAATTAAAAGACCTAGATAAGCAAGAGCAAACAAATTCAAAAGCTAGCAGAAGACAAGAAATAACTAAGATCAGAGCAGAAGTGAAGGAGATAGAGACACAAGAAACCCTTCAAAAAATCAATGAATCCAGGAGCTGTTTTTTTGAAAAGATCAACAAAATAGATGGAAAACTAGCCAGACTAATAAAGAAGAAAAGAGAAAAGAATCAAAAAGACGCAATAAAAAATGATAAAGGGGATATCACCACTGATCCCACAGAAATTGAAACTACCATCAGAGAATACTATAAACATCTCTATGCAAATAAACTAGAAAATCTAGAAGAAATGGATAAATTGCTGGACACATACACCCTCCCAAGACTAAACCAGGAAGAAGTTGAATTCCTGAATAGACCAATAACAAGTTCTGAAATTGATGCAGTAATTAATAGCCTACCAACCAATAAAAACCCAGGACTAGATGGATTCACAGCCAAATTCTACCAGAGGTACAAAGAATTGCTGGTACCATTCCTTCTGAAACTATTCCGAACAATAGAAAAAGAGGGAATCCTCCCCAACTCATTTTATGAGACCAGCATCATCTTGATACTAAAACCTGGCAGGCACAACAAAAAAATTAAATGTCAGGCCAATATAGCCGATTGACATTGATGCAAAAATCCTCAATAAAATACTGGCAAACCGAATCCAGCAGCATATCAAAAAGCTTATCCACCACAATCAAGTTGGCTTCATCCCTGGGATGCAAGCCTGGTTCAACATATGCAACATATGCAAATCAGTAAACTTTTTGTTCTAAGTTCAAGATCCTTTAGATCCTTTATTTCATTTTTGTACTTTTATTTAATAGTAGTTATATGCTTTCCTTTTTGTTCTAAGTTCAAGATCCTTTAGATAGCCTGCAGGTCACCCTGTGGTTTGGCTCCTCTTAATCTCTCTAGGCTCAGCTTGCTCCATGTTGCTGCTCATTCTCTGAGCTCTGGCCCCACTCATATTTTCTGTATCTCCAACCCACCATGCTCCTTCTCACTACAGAGCATTTAGTCAAAAGTGTTCCCTCTCTGTCTGACTTAGTTCCTACTCAAATTTTCCACTATATATTCTCCATGAACCATTGTGGTAGGTCGGATTATTGTTCAGAAATATACCCCTCCACATTTCCAAGGGAGGAATATAGCTCCCCATCCATTGATGTTGGACTTAGTATTGACTTCCCTCGGCCAGTGTCATGAAAGCATATATAACATAGAAGAATTTTGGAAAGTGCTTGCACAATTAGTTTTGTCTTCTTTTTGCCTCTTCCCTCGCCATGAGAAGAGCACTCCTAGGCTGCCTACTGGTTCCAGGAGGAAGATAAAAAGCATGAGAGTAGAGCCACCGCAACAAAGTCCTTCCTGATAAGCCAACCCTAGCTGTCCTACAGAACTAAAGAAATGGCTATTATTCCTTGCTGCTGAGAATTTGTATTTTGTTATTTGCTATTAGCAATAACTGATACCACCATATATTTCTCTTTTGCAGTATTTGCAAAAGTTGTAATTTTAGATTTAGTTGGGTTATTATGTGATTAAAAATATCTTTTCACCACTAAAACCTACATGTGGTAACCAAGAAGGTGCTGCATCACCAGCACCCAGCACAGAATCTGACATAGAGCAGGCACCCAATAAATACTTCTTAAAAACATAAATAAATTAAGGATCTCTCCAAAAGCTGACAGATGAATAACAGAAGAAAGAAAACAGGAAGATTAAATTTTCTAATTTGTATTGGTCAAATAGTAACCAAAGAGACTTTTGTGATCATTTTCAGAAAGGCTTTCTGGGAATTGTCATTTGGATTTTCCTGTCACCTGCATGCCAAAATCAAGAATGAAAGCTTGAAACAATTGCATGTGTTTACAACATAAATCAGTGCTACTGATGAAAAAAAAAGTCTACTATCAAATTAAGCAAGGGAGAGACTGATTTTCTCTTACATTAATCACTAACAAAAATCTATTTCTTCTTCCTACATTTCTCTTTCTTCTACCCCAAGCGGGAAGAATAGAAAGAAAAGAAAGAAAGAATGTGTTTCACAAGAGTCTGGCTAAACACAACACCAGGCAGGCTAAATGTGATTAATGAGGAAAAACTACTAAGGACCAGCGCTGCGTTTGTGAAGACAATAAAAAAACGGTTTTTAGGGCAACATTATTCAACACTGCAATTGTATATCACACAATGGCAATTCTTTCCAGTAATTTGCTTAAAAGAAGATGCTTCTAAGATTCTGCGATATAGTAAGAAATATATATTTGGTCTTTCCCGTGGCTCCTGGCACACAGCTCCTAAAACTTTTGGAATTTCTGGAGTGGTAAGAGTGTCTTTTGTATGATAATGAGATGACTGGTGGTTGGGGCCCCTAGGTGGCTTCATGTTATGAGCTGGTGGCCAGAAAGACTAAGGAAAGATTAGGGGGTTTCAACTTTCAGTCCCATCCCTGACCTCCAGGCAGGAGAGATGGGCTGGATATTGAGTTGATCACCAAAAGACAATGATTTAATCCATCATGCCTACATAATGAAATATCTGTAAAACTCCTAAGTCATGGGGTTTGAAGAGCCTCCGGGTTGGTAAACACATTGAGGTGTTGGGAGCCTGGTATTCTTGGAGACAGCATGAACGCTCTGAGCCCCTTTCAAACCTTGCCCTATGCATCTCTTCCATTTGGCTGCTTCTGAGTTATAATCTTCACAATGAATTGGTAAGTGTAAGTAAAGTGTTTTCTTGAGTTCTGTGGACTGTTCTAGCAAATTATCAATCCTGAAAAGGGAGTCATAGGAACCTCCGATTTATAGCCAGTCGGTCACAAGCACAGGTGATAATCTGAGACTTGCAACTGGCATCTGACATGTGAGAGGGGGAAGTCTTGTGGGACTGAGCCATTAACCTGTGAGGACTGTGTTGACTCCCGGTAGTTAGTGACAGAATTGAATTGCTGGACACCCACTTGGTGCTGGAGAGTTGGAGAATTGATTGGCGTAGTAAAAAAAATCTCCATACATTTGGTGTCAGAAGCATTGTAAGTAAAAACAGTTTAGGTGCTATAGAATGTTTCCTCAAATAAAGACCCAAATCCTGATTTTTGTCTCTCTCAATTTAAGCTTATTAAAAAGCCTTATGTAAATTGATTTCTCATGGGACTCTATAGATGGTATTAATTACAACTCATGCCCTACCTGGTGTGCATACTGCTCTAAGCTCCATGTGTCATGACATCTAACTCCTTGTACCACGCTCTCAGTATCTCTTATGAGTCACAGGTAATGTTGAAAGTTCCAGGGCAAAGTCACCTGCAAACTAGAGGTGCACACAAAATTCAGGTCTCTGGATGTACTCTTCTTGGCTACGGAACATGTGTAATAAATGCAGCATTTGCAAACACTTCTCAAAAGGAGCAGAGAAGTAAGTGGAGGTGTGACAACTTTATGGACAGGGCCGGGGTGTTAGACCACATGCCTCCTTCTTTCATTCCTCATTTGCTCATTTATTCCACAATATGTATTGAGGGCCTACTATGTACCACGCACTGTCCTGGGCACTAGGGATAGAAAGATACTACAGTCTTTGTGGAGAAGACAGAGAAAAAGAAAAGAAATGTTCATGCACTGGCAAGGGCCAGATAAGGCATGAGGCAGATAAGGCAGGATGCTGAGGGATCATACAGGAGATGAAACTGTGTCAGTTTAAGAGTGGTCAGGGAATGCTTCCTAGATGAGGAGACATTTAACCTGATACTTGAAAGATGACTGGCACTTATCTCAAGTGATCAAGTGGTAAGGAAGGCTACTCTAGGCATTGAGGTCTAAGGTGCAAGGCTTGGCTGTGGTGTTGTGAGGTTGTAGCACAGGTTGGGGTTGGGATGAGGAAAGGGGAGTACACGATGATAATGGAGTGGTTAGCAGGGGCCAGTGCATGGGAGGTGTTGCAGGCTGCCTAGGGAGTTTGCAATTTAACCTTTGGGAAATGGGAGCCACAAAGGATCTTAAATAGGGATTGACATGATTATGAAAGTTAAGAAGCAGCAGTATGTTGCCTTTGCTGGGTTTTTCTGATGTGTCTTAAAGCTCTGAACATATAGACTTAGTTGAATGACTGCCTTGAAATTGGTCCCTCTGCCCATAAAAGACCAGGCATGATTATGAATTGCTCAGCAAAAATACATAATGCCATTCAAAGGCCACCTCCAAACACACAACTCCCGCATATAGCAGGTTTGTTGAAGAGCTAGAAAAACAATGGGAGCAATAATAAATACTTACACAAAATGATAGCATAAAAAAGAACTCTGAAATAGAATTCAGGAAAGTCACATATGCACTCCAGCTCGGCCCTAAACCAAAATTTCTTTTTGCTGCACTTTTCTTATCTGTAAAATGAGGGAAGTTGGCTAAGAGATAAAAATTTACAGGAACATTAAAAGGCATGGATATGTTGAAATGTACGCAATGCTTACTTTGTTTTTACTAATCTTTGGAAATCAAAAAAGTCATTTTTATTACTTTAGAAATATAAAAATGAATTATATAAAAGTTATTTTGCTTTTAAAATAAGATTGACTTCTTAGGATATGAAGCATTAGAAAAAGTTCAAACCTCTGGAGAAAACTTTCCTCTGAAATATCAGAAAACTCATTAAAAAAAGTATTGAAGTGGAAAAAAATGTGTCTATCATAACTTTAATTAAATTAGATGATCACTAGTTGCTTTGAAACTCTAAAATTTAAATCTTTTTTCATGGACTAGAGATATTATAGAATTTCAACCTTTTAAAAGTATTTTCATGTATATTGTATAATTTAACCTTTAATCATCATTCTTGGCAAATTATTATTTTGAACTTTGAACTGAAAGACCTACAGCCCACACTGCCCAAATAAACAAATGCTTTAATGTCTCCCCACATCAGAACATTTCTCAACCTTGTACCAATATTTAATCCATTTTTTAAAAATGTTGTCTTCTTCCAAAATTAAATAACAGTTTAAAATACTTCCCCAGGAGACTAGAAGTAATCATTCATACAGAATGAGTGAAGGTAGAGAAAATCCTGACAGATTTCTTCACATACTAGTGCCATTAGCCAAGGGGAGTAATGAGTTCTCTGTGGTATCTTCAGTAGGGATCTTAGAAAGAAAACAAGTCAAGATCACATATTTGGGAACATTTGAGAAAAGGTGCTAGGAGTAGTCTTCTTGAACTGGCTGGGGAGATTCTCTCAGAAAAGGATGTGATAGACAGAATAACAGTCCCCACAGAGGTCTACCATCTGTCATATGTTATGTTATACAACAGGAGTGAATTAAGGTTGCAATGAAATTGTTTGCTAACCAGCTGACCTTGAAATAGGGAGATTATTCTAGATAATCTGGGTGAGCTTGATTCAGTCAGTTGAATGAATTTAGAAGCAAAGTTGAGATTTCCCTGAGAAAGAAGCAATTCTGCCAGTGGACAGCAGCTCCTCCAGGCCTGAGATTTGCAGCCTGCCCTTGCCACCTGCCTGCAGATTTCGGACTGTCTAGCTCTCCCCTACAACTGTGCAAGCCAATCCCTTGCAATAAATCTCTTGATATATAAGACCTAATGGTTCTGCTTCTCTGGATAAACCCTTAATGATACAAGGGATTAGGTAGTTATTTGGTAGCAACACATTGACTATTTTTCAATAAGAGTATCCTTGTCTTATAAACCAGAATAATAAAAACTCAATTTGAAACTCTGTATAACAAATGATCCTAATATTGAGTGTCTATAAGACCATAAGCTGTTTTCTCTGAGCATAACTGCTGAAGATCTCCAGTCCATTATATTTCTCCTGCTGAGTAGCACATGCAAATAAAAAGTTCCTGCAGATTAAAGAAATTCTTTTTTAAGAAACAAAATAAACTTGAAATAAAATCATCTGCTATCAGTGTTAGAAGCTGGCATTTAGGGAAAATATGTATGTATCTGTGATGGGTAATACTGAGTGTCAAGTTGACTGGATTGAAGGATACAAAGTATTGATCCTGGGTGTGTCTGTGAGGGTATTGCCAAAGGGGATTAACATTTGAGTCAGTGGGCTGGGAAAGGTAGACTCACTGTTAATCTGGGTGGGCACAATCTAATCAGCTGCCAGCACGGCTAGAATATAAGGAGGCAGAAAATTTTGAAAAGAGAGACTGGCCTAACTTCCCAGGCTACATCTTTCTCCCAGGCTGGATGCTTCCTGCCCTCAAACATAGAACTCCCAAGTTCTTCAGTTTTGGAACTCAGACTGGCTCTCCTTGGTCCTCAGCCTGCAGATGGCCTATTGTGGGACCTTGTGATCATATGAGTTAATACTTAATGAACTCTGCTATATATATATATATATATATATATTCCATTAGTTCTGTCCCTCTTGAGAACCCTGACTAATACAGTATCTAAACATGTAGCCCTCATTACTCATATACTGGTGCCATTAGCCAAGGGGAGTAGAGATCTCTGTGGTACATGTTTACATGTAGCAAGGCTGGGCTGCATGCTATCATGTGCATGTGTACAGTGTAGACAAGCTAAAATCCGTGTGTGTGGATTATTGTTTGTGAGTGAGCTCAGATTTAAGGTTTGCAAAGCACATCTAGGACCAGCGCTATAGACCAGGAGAAATGGTGAGTTTCTGTTTCATTCTCATTGTTTCTTCTCTGTGGGAGTACAATCTTTTCTCTCTATTTCTGGTGAAGTTCAAGCAATCACACTGTGTATCATGAGCGCCGGCAGGTCTGTAGATCACACAGAAGTTTGATCAAGGAAAAAGATTGCTCTCTGGAGGTAAACCTTATAATCCAGGCTGCTGGCTGCTTCAGGATTTGAGATAAATTGACTTGCTGATGAGGACTTAGCAGCTATCAGTCACTCTGACATCCTTGGAGTAATGAGGAGAGAAAACTACTTCTCTAAGGAAAATAATATTTTCATATTTCATCCCTAGTCCAAGTTTGCTGAATTGGGCTAAGAGGGTACTTTCACAGGTGGTCTCCCGGGAGAGGGGTGCTGTTGGAAGATCATTGCCTAAAGGACTATAATGGGCTTGCTTCAGAAATTTATTATAGATCGTCTCTGGGATGGGTAGCAGTCTGCAGTTCTGAGGTTGGGGAAAGCTAGCTTTGCAAGAGGTTAGCAGGACTCACAAATGCTATATCTACCTAAGCAACCAACTGAATAGGGAAAATCTTTGTTTATGCCAATGGGCTGGTTTCCAACAGTTTCTACTTAAGTTGAGATGTCACTATATTGTAATAATGAGGAAATTGCATAGTAGGGGTGGACTCTTGCTCTTCACAGCCCCTTCTTCTGCATTTCTTGAATTATAGAATAATTTGATCTCTGGTTTGGTGCTGTGAAATGTGTATGGATTGCTGTTTGTGAAAATCCTTAAATGGGACGGATTTGTATTCATCAAAATATATATATATACGGCTTAAATTCACCTATGTAAACTGCTTACTATAACGAAAGGGAAGGATTTTAGTGAAAAATTTTAGTTATAATTTGGAGCTGAGATGGTTTCTAGAGAAAATTACAGAAAGTGTTCTATCAGGAAAGAGGGAGCCCAGAATCCTGAGAAGATGGTAAAGAGGGTCTGTAGAAAGATAAGGATTAAAGGACCCCCAACATGGCCAGAGATCTGGGAGGGCGGACTGCCAGTCCAGGCAACCAGGCAAAAGAATGGACCACTTCACTCTTCATGATGTTGCCTGGTGGAGTGTATAACATTCAGCACAATCCACCTCAAGCTGAGGCCACAGCATGGTCCCTTTTCTGCCTCACAACTCTTTAAGATGACCCCTGAAGTCCTCTTACCACCCAGAGCCCAGAAAACTGCTTGGTGTGCCCCCTCTCTCATAAAGAAGGCTGGCTGGGGTTCAGAGATGGAGGGTTCCCATTCCTCTATAAGGGCTGAGAGGCAAGAGCCAGCAGGGAATTTGAAAGCCCCTCCCCTTTTTAGCTTCATTTTGTTCTCTGTGTAGAGGTGAAAAAAGAGCAAAACAATAATTAAAAAGAAAAAAAGAATGAAAGGAAACCATGAGGGACAGACAGCCAACAGCATTTTCATTCTGCTCATCTGTTCCTATATTGGGGACTGTATTAGTCAGGATTTTCCAGAGAAACAGAACTAATAGGGTGTGTGTGTGTGTGTGTGTGTGTGTGTGTGTGTGTGTGTGTGTGTAGAAGGAATTAACTTATTTTAGGGAATTGGCTCATGTGGTTTTTGTGAATGGTAAGTCTCAAAAATGTAAGGCAAACCGATGGGCTGGAAATTTCAGCAAGAGTTGATTTGCAGTCTTAAGTCTGAAGACCCTCTGGAGGCAGAATTCCCTTCTCCTTCATGGGCCTTAGTTTTTTCTTAAAGGCTTCAACTGATTGGATGAGACTTACCCAGTGAAGAGTAATCTGCTTTACTCAAAGTCTACTATTTAAATGTTAATCACATCTAAAGAAGAATGACTTCACAGCAACATCTAGACGCTGTTGGACCAGACAACCGGGCACCATAGCCTAGCCAATTTGATGAATAACATTAACCAAGGCAAGAACAAAATGTCTCTAGGAAAAAAATTAAATTAGTGTTAAAAATGAATTGGGCGTTTTAAAATGCAAATCTTAAGTATTTGCAGGATGGAGGAAACAATTTTAGTCTGATAAGTAGATAATGCATGTTTAGTATCATTTTAGTAACTCTCTGGCTATGTGACTTCATGCACGTCCTTGACATTCTAAGCATTATCTCTGCCCCCACCCTTCGAAATGAGTAGACTGGACTATATGCATCAGTTTGTTTTTTTAAAGATTGAATCAACAAAACCATAATGAATCTGTAAGATAGGATCACCTGGGTCTATGTTAGATATCACAAATTCCCTGGAGGTCTACAATATGGAGACAGTTCTGTGAATTTCGTTGGACCTTTGAACAACATGAGTCTTGTTCTGAACTGCTTGGGTCCACTTATATGTGGATTTTTTTTCGATAAATAAATTGGAAAATGTTTTGGAGATTTGTAACAATTTGAAAAAACCTGAAGACAAACCAGGTAGCCTACAAATGTCAAAAAAATTAAGAAAAACTTAAGTATGTCACAGATGCATAAAATATGCAGATACTAGGCTGGGTGCTATGGCTCATGCCTATAAGCCCAGCACTTTGGGAGGCCAAGGCGGAGAATGGTTTGAGCCCAGGAGTTCAAGACCAGCCTGGGCAACATGGTGAGACCCTATCTCTACAAAAAATGCAAAAATTAGCCAAGCATGGTGACATACTCCTATAGTCCTAGCTACTTGGGAGGCCGAGCTAGGAAGATCACCTGAGCTGGGGAGGTCGAAGCTGCAGCTGGCGAAGTAGAAAATGCAAATATGAGTCTATTTTATCATCTCCTACCATAAAGTAAACACAAATCTTATATAAAAAGCTAAAATTTATCAAAACTTACACACACCCTTATAGACTGTACAGGGCTCTATTCACAGTCAAGAGAAAAGTAAACATGAAGAAGCAGTATTAAATGAAAATGGCATAAAATTAACTGTAGTCCATGTTGTACTACTAAGAATTTTATAGCTACCTCCTCTTGCTATTGCAGTGAGCTCAAGTGTTGTAAGTGATGTGCACGTGTGGTCCTAGCTACTTGGGAGGAGGATCACTTCAACCCAGGAGGGCAAGGCTGCAGTGAGCAATGTTTATACCACTGCACCCTAGCCTGGGTGACAGAGCAAGACTCTGTCACCAAAACAAAAACAAAACCAAGAACAAACAAACAAAAGTGATCTTTTGTGGTTCTCACATATTTTTCATATTTTACACCTTGAATGACAACGTGGGACCTATACAAAGTGCCACTAGTTATGCTTGCAGTGCTCTAAAGAAGCAGAGAAAAGTCATGACATTACAAGAAAAAGTTTAATTGCTTGATACATATTGTAGATTGATCTGCAACTGTAGTTGCCACCATTTCAGATAGATAATTCATTCATCTTGTCGTCAACATAAACTTATGGTATCAATAAATACAGTACAATACTGTAAACATATGTTCTTTTCTTTAAGATTTTGTTAATAATTTTTTTCTCTTGCTTATTTTATAATAAGAACACAGCATGTGACACATGTAACATACACAATACGTTTTTTTTTTTTTTTCGAGACGGAGTCTCGCTGTCGCCCAGGCTGGAGTGTAGTGGCGCGATCTCGGCTCACAATATGTATTAATTGACAATTTATGTTACAGGTAAGGCTTCCAGTAAGCAGTAAGCTATTAGTAGTTATTTGGGGAGTCAAAAGATAAACTTAGATTTTGATTGTGCAGGGATTTGTGCCTCTAACCCGTGTGTTGTTCAAGGGTCAACTGTATTACAAAGATTAAAGATTTTGAAAAGTAGCAGCAACAGTTTCACAGCTAGTTCTGATTTTTCTCTCAGCATTCCATTTTCCTTCCAGTGTAAGGCAGCTTGCATCCCAAGACCTTTCTACATGAAGAGCTAGAGGCTAGGATTTAAAATATTGATTTTTGCTAAGTATAGCTCTTGCTTGAATGTGATAGGTTCTTTGGTTAATGTCTAATTAATGGCAAAGCACAGCTATATGGTTTAATGAAAAATATGTTTAAAATAATAAAAATGCAAGTGACTTCCTGACCTTCAGATATTGCTCTCAGAAATGAAAGCTATTTTATATCAATTTAAAACCACAGCAAAATGTACTTAAATAGACATTTTTAATATACTGCATCAACAATGTATTGTATTATATTTCAATATATTAAATATATTTTCCAAAAGAATCATTGACATTAGATGATCACCATTCTAGACACTTCTCTATGCATATATTCAGAGAGGATAGAGGCATAGATTCTTTTTTATTAAGCACTTACTGTATCCCAGCCACTATACTGAGCCCTGAGGACACAAATGATCAAGACTAAGTTCCTTCCTTCATGAAGCTTATCCTGGAGCGGGAGATAGAGAAAAGTACAATTTTTAAAATTAGGTAATTTCAGATAGGAAAAGTGATCTGAAGAAAATGCAAATGGATACAAGAATAGTTACGGTAGGAAAAATTTTTATTCATCACCAAAAGCTTCTCTGTGGGATCCCTTTCTCTTTTTTTAAAATTTTTTATTTTACTTTAAGTTCTGGGATAGATGTGCAGAACGTGCAGGTTTGTTGCACAGGTATACATGTGCCATGGTGGTTTGCTGCACCCATCAACCCGTCATTTAGGTTTTAAGCCCTGCATGCATTAGGTATTTGTCCTAATACTCTCCCTCCCCTTGCCCCCTACTCCCTGACAGGCCCCGATGTGTGATGTTCCACTCCCTGTGTCCATGACACATGCACACGCATGTTTATTGCAGCACTATTTACAATAGTAAAGACTGGGATCCTTTTCTTTTGGGCAAATACCTGAGTGAAGTAAGAGAGGGATCCATGAGAACACATAGAGGCAGAGCATTCCAGGCAGAGGGAGGAGCACGTGGGAGGGCTCTGCTGTGGGAATGAGCTTGGGCTATTTGAGGCACCTCACATGTTCCTCTCTGCCTGGACGGCACTACTTTCCCCCACCCCAGGGAGTTCCTACTCTTTTTTTAACACTAGCATTGGACAGATTGTTACAGTATCACAAATTCATTTTAAAATGCTTCAGTTTATCAAAGTGATATTATGTATGTGCCAGTTAGTTTATGCTTCCACTGTGGAATGGGGAGCTAACATGTCACCCAAACGCCCAGGCTAAGGGTGGTCAGTAGCTCTCCCTCCCCGGGGAAACTACTACAAGCCTGCTGTGGACTCTCTCGATCCATAAGTGATACCGCTTTACCATGATGAGTGTCAAGAAAAGCTGGTGACTTATTACCATGATGACTGTTAGAAATGAGCTTTCATTACAAAATTAACACTATTAATTATGTGGATTCACTAAAAGAGTTGAGCTCCACTCTCTGCACTAGCCTGAACAGGCTCTAAGTAAACAGCACATTTGTAACCTGTATTCTTAGGCATGGTGCCCTACGTACTCTCCAGTGGCCTTCTATCCAGCATTGGTTTAGGATGTGTTTTGACTGAATGGTGCAGAGAAAAAGCAATGGAATCCTGCTCTAGGAAGATTTTCCTGTCTTCCTGGAATGAAACTTTCAGAACTTCACCGACTTACAGGACATTTGTATGGATGTTTTGTATCTGCGTTGCTCAAGGGTGTTGTGTCTAATAAATTGTGGTTGAATTTGTTCTGAGGCTTTCTGAGCTGGTAGCAAGGGTGAGGGAGGGTGGCTAACCCTTCCCATCTCAGACTTTTTGGGTAGCTACATATATCTACCAAAAAGTACCTAAGAGTTGTACATGACTAAACTGACTTGGTTCAGTTTGCAACAAACAACTCAGGTTTTACTGCCTCGAAAAAGCGCTCCCCAGCACCTCTTTACATTTCTGTCTGTATCTTGGATGCTCCATTTCTGTGTTCTTATAATCCCTGTGGGTGTTTTTATCAATACAATGATCAGTTTTTCTACTGTATTGTGAGTTCGTTGAGGACAGGTACTATTCATGATTTATCTTTGTATCCTCAGCACAGAGGACTATAAATATTACTGAAAGAGACACTATCAGCTTTATACTATGTGCCAGGTACTGTAATGTGCTCTGGAGATAAAATAAACACATGGACATAATTGCTGTTCTCCTGGAGCCACAGTCTAGTGACAAGAACGAAATCCAAAATTTACTCATTTTTTAAAACTAATAAAGTGCTAGGAAGCAGATATGCAGATTGCCAAGAGCATATATAACAAGAGAGTGACTGAATCAAGGAATAAAAAAGAAAATTTCCTTGTAAAACATAAACTAAAATGTAGTTATTTATCATGACGTTTACTATCTAAGACTTTTATTTTTGGAAAAATAGGCTAAGATACTGAACATCTTGTTGAAAATACGAGATAAAGATCTCAGGAGCCTTACCTTTTTAGTCATTCAAATGTATCCCTTCTTAATCCCTCAACAAAAAGTTTACAAAGTGACTAATTCAGGCCGTGCATATATGAAGCCAAAACAAACAGACATGAAATGTTTCTAACCAGGTGTCTGGCATCATGGAAAAGGATTCCATCCATCAAATGCATGTTTAGTCTGAAAATGCCAGGGAATTGATTTGACTAGGACATAAGTTGACTTTTCCATGGCAAAGTTACCGATAGATGAGGAGACAGAATCATGGAATGTCATAATTGGAAGGGGTTTTAAGAATATGAATGACTTGGCCAGCTTTGAACTTGTACTTTTCTGAGACACCAAAGAAGGCCTTGGATTTCCTGATTAGCCTTCTCATCCTGTAGTTACCACTCAATATCACAGTGGCAGTCGTAGTCATTAGGTGGAGGAGGTACAATACAGCTGAGGGTGTAAAGAAGAAGAGCACAAATGAAGGGGTCTTGAAAATGGTCACTGCCATCTTGGGCAAAGGATCAAAGCCGTAGCTACACTGATCTATGATCATGGAACTAAAAATAATTTTTTCTTTATCTGTTTTAGAAAACAGATCTACCAAGTTTTCTGTAATGAGAATATCATAGTGATAATAGCTAATATTTATTAAGATTCCATAGTGGACCAAAATTATGCTATTCATTTAATCATCAAAACAGGCGTATAGGCCAGGCATGGTGGCTCATGCCTGTATCCTATAATTTGGGAGGCCAAGGCAGGAGAATCACTTGAGGTCAGGAGTTTGAGACCAGCCTGGGCAACGTAGTGGGACCCCATTTTTTTTGTTTGTTTGTTTTCAACTTTAATTTTAATTTCATGGGTACATGTGCAGGATGCGCAAGTTTGTTACATAGGTAAATGTGTGCCATGGTGGTTTGCTGCACAGATCATCCCATCATCTAAGTATTAAGTCCAGCATCCATTAGCTATTCTTTCTGATGCTCTCCCTCCCCCGCCCCCTCGACAGGCTCCAGTGTGTGTTGTTCCCCGCATCTGTCCATGTGCTCTCATCATTCACTACCACTTAGAAGTGAGAACATGCGGTGTTTGGTTTCCTGTCGCTGTGTTAGTTTGCTGAGGATAATGGCTTCCAACTTCATCCATGTCCCTGCAAAGGCCATGATCTCATGCCTTTTATGGCTGCATAGTATTCCACGATGTATATGAACCACATTTTCTTTATCCAGTCTATCATTGATGGGTATCTAGATTCATTCTATGTCTTTGCTATTGTGAATAGTGCTATAGTGAACATATAGAATGATTTATATTACTTTGGGTATATACCCAGTAATAGGATTGCTGGGTCAGGTGGTATTTCTGCCTCTAGGTCATTGAAGGATTGCCACACTGTCTTCCACAATGGTTGAACTAATTACACTCCCTTCAACAGTGTAAAAGCACTCCTTTTTCTCTGCAACCTTGCCAGCATCTGTTGGTTTTTGACTTTTTTAATAATAGTCATTCTGACTGGCATAAGATGGTATTTCATTGTGATTTCAATTTGCATTTTTCTAATGATCAGTGATATTGAGTTTTCTTCATATGTTTGTTGGCCACACGTATGTTTTCTTTTGAGAACTGTCTTTTCAACGACTTTTTGTTTGTTTTTTTCCTGTAAATTTGTTTAAGTTCCTTGTACACTCTCGATATTAGACCTTTGTCAGATGGATAGATTGCAAAAATTTTCTTCCATTCTGTAGGTTGTCTATTGACTCTGATGATAGTTTTTTTTTGTTGTACAGAAGCTGTTTAATTAGATCATATTTGTCAATTTTTGCTTTTGTTGTGATTGCTTTTGGCATTTTTTGTCATGAAATCTTTGCCTGTGCCTATGTTCTCAATGATATCACCTAGATTTTCTTCCAGGGATTTTATAGTTTGGGGTTTTACATTTAAATTTTAATCCATCATGAGTTAATTTTTGTATATGGTGTAAGGAAGGGCTCCAATTTCAATTTTCTGCATATGACTAGCCAGTTCTCTGGGCACCACTTATTAAATAGGGAATCCTTTCCCCATTGCTTGTTTTTGTCAGGTTTGTCAAAGATCAGATGGTTGTAGGTGTGGTCTTGTTTTTGAATTCTCTATTCTGTTCCATTGGTCTATGTGTCTGTTCTTGTACCAGTACCATGCTGTTTTGGTTACTGTAGGCTTGTAGTATAGTTTGAAGTTGGGTAGCATGATGCCTCCAGCTTTGTTCTTTTTGCTTAGGATTGTCTTGGTTATTCAGGCTCTGTTTTGGTTCCATATGAATTTTAAAATAGGGTTTTTTTTCTAATTATGTGAATAATGTCAATGGTAGTTTAATGGTAATAGCATTGAATCTATAAATTACTTTGGGCAGTATGGCCATTTTCACAATACTGATTTTTCCTATCCATGAGCATGGAATGTTTTTCCATTTGTTTGTATCCTCTCTGATTTCTTTGAGCAGTGGTTTGTAGTTGTCCTTGAAGAGGTCCTTCACTTTCCTTGTTAGCTATATTCCTTGGTATTTTATTCTTTGTAGCAATTGTGAATGGGAGTTCATTCATGATTTGGCTCTCTGTTTGCCTGTTGTTGATGTATATGAATGCTAGCAATTTTTGCACACTGATTTTGTATTCTGTGACTTTGCTGCAGTTGCTTATCAGCTTAAGAAGCTTTTGGGCTGAGAAGATGGAGCTTTCTAGTCATAAGATCATGTCATCTGCAAACAGAGATAATTTGACTTCCTATTTGAATACGCTTTATTTCTTTCTCTTGCTGATTGCCCTGGCCAGAATTTCCAAAACTATGTTGAATAGGAGTGGTGAGAGAGGGCATCCTTGTCTAGTGCCAGTTTTTAAGGGAGTGCTTCCAGCTTTTGCCCATTTAGTATATTGGCTGTGGGTTTGTCATATATGGCTCTTACATATTTTGAGGTATATCCCTTCAATACCTAGTTTATGGAAAGTCTTTAACATGCAGGAATGTTGAATTTTATCAAAGGCCTTTTTTGTATCTATTGAGATAATCATGTGGTTTTTGTCTTGAGCTCTGTTTAAGTAATAAATCACATTTATTGATTTTTTTGTCTTTAGTTCTGTTTAAGTAATGAATCACATTTATTGATCACAGTGAGGTTGTGTTGAACCAACCTTGCATCCCAGGTATGAAACCAACTTGATTGAGGTGAATAAGCTTTTTGATGTGCTGCTGGATTTAGTTTGCCAGTATTTTATTGAGGATTTTTGTACCTATGTACATCAAAGATATTGGCTTGAAGTTTTCTTTTTTTGTTGTACCTTGGTCAGGTTTTGGTATCAGGATGATGCTGGCTTCATAGAATGAGTTAGGCAGGAGTGCCTCCTTTTCAATTTTTTGGAATAGTTTCAGTATCAACGATACCAGCCCTACTTTGTCACCTCTTGTAGAATTCAGCTGAAAATCTGTCCTGGGACACCACTTCTTAAGAAAAAAAAAAAAGAAAAGAAAGAAAGAAAGAAAAGAAAAGAAAAATTAGCCAGGCATGGTCATCCACACCTGTTGTCTCATTTACTTGGGAAGCCTAGGTGAGAGGATCACTTGAGGCCAGACTGGGCAACATTGTGAGACCTCATTTCTACCAAAAAAAAAAAAAAAAAGCCAGGCATATTGGTGTGCACCTTTGGTCCCAGCTACTCAGGAGGCTGATGTAGGAGGATTGCTAGAGCTCATGAGAGTTTGAGGCTGCAGTGAGCCATGATCACACCACTGCATTCCAGCACAGGTGACAGAGGGAGCCCATGTCTCTCTCTATGTAAATGTAAAAATATTTACATATTTGCATATATGTAAATATGTAAATATAAATATATTTACATATTTGCATATATGTAAATATGTAAATATAAATATATTTACATATATAAAATATATAAATAAAATTTAAAAGTTATATAAAATAAAATGATGTTATTATCCTAATTTAATAGATGAATCTTGGTTAAAGCTGAGAAAAAAGAAAGCCCCAAGCTATATAATTCTTGAATAATAGAACTTGGATCTGAATCCATTTCTGTAGTTAAGCTTAAGTCACAACCACTATATACTGTTCTAAAAAGTCAAAGTAACTTAGTTTAAAAAATACTTTGCAGTATAAGTTTTGACAAAACTTACTTTAAGCAAAAGCATTTATGACGTAAATTTGTTCTCATTCGGTAGAGTGGCATCTTAAGTTGTCACCACAGTTATGGAAACCCTTGGAGCTGTCCAAATTTATTTGTTTATCTCTTAAAGACAGAAGGGTTGTATGGTCCCCAAAATGTAGGAAAAATGTACAATGTAGGAGAAAATGTAAAATCTCATCTGGCTCAAAATTCTTTATCATGCTGATAGAAAACACATATGCATCTTAGGAGTCTATCAAATTCAAAGCTCTTTAGATTTTGACAGAAAATACCTGTACATTTCTTCAGAACCAAGGACATGTAAAATTGAATCAAGTAATCTGAGTAAGAGTCACTGAGTTGACTGAGACTAGATACTGTGAGCAACAAAACTTATACTCTTTCCAGATCTGAAGCCATGACATGATAACTACAAAAGGCAGCTCCATAAACTTTCCCAGTCTAAAAAGACCTATGTATTGTATCTTTACTCAGTTCACAAAATAATTTTACCAGCAGCGCAGAAACCTCCCATATCCCTTTCCAATCACTTCCCCATCATTATTAGTTTTGTCTGTTTTTATACTTTATGTAAATAGCATCTGATATGGTTTGGCTTTGTCCCCACCCAAATCTCATCTTGAACTGTAGTCCCATAATTCCCATGTGTTGTGGGGGGGACCTGGTGGGAGATAACTGAATCATGAGGGCAGTTTCCCCCATACTGTTCTCATGGTAGTGAATAAGTCTCATGAGATCTGATGGTTTTATAAGGGGAAACCCTTTTCATTTGGTTTTTATTCTCTCTTGTCTGCCACCATGTAAGATGTGCCTTTTGCCTTCCACCATGATTGTGAGGCCTCCTCAGCCATGTGGAACTGTGAGTCCATTAAAACTATTTTTCATTATAAATCACCTAGTCTCAGGTATGTCTTCATCAGCAGCATGAAAATAGACTAATATAGCATCATACAGTATACTACTTGGAGAATAGCTTCTTTCAATCAAACTTACATTTATAAGATTTGTCCATGTGGTGGGTGACTGTTTATTTTTATTCCTGAATTCCAAAATTTATCTATCTATTCTATGGTTGAGGACACTGGAGCAGTATTGGCCTGAGCATTCCAGCACTTGTATCTCAGTGAGTTTATATACGCATTTCTATTGACTATATATTACAGTAGTGGACTTACTAAGTCATGGAATGTGCATGCAGTCATCTTTAATAGAAACTACCAAACACATCTGCAAGGTCATTCTACCAACATACAATCCTATTAGCAGTGTGTGAGAGTTACAGTTATTCTACATAGATTTTTGATACTTTCCATCTTTCTCATTTTAACTATGCTGGTGAGTGTGTTGTGGCACCTTGTTGCATTTTATGTACCTGTTTCTGAAGTCTACAGTCAGGAGCATTTTTTATTTATTAATCATTTGGATATACTTTTTTAAGAGATGGAGGTCTCACGATGTTACCCAGGCTGGAGAGCAGTGGCTACTCACAGGCGGGAATCCCAAGATGGCCTCCAACTCCTGGACTCATGCTATCTCACCTCAGCTTCCTGAGTAGCTGAGACTACAGGCACACACCACCATGTCCAGCTTCAATATCCTTTTATGTAAGGTAACTGCTCAAGTCTTTTGCCCATTTTAACATTTTAAACTGTTTGACTTTTTCTTACTGATTATCTTCTATGTATTCTGGGGTATATTCTCGACATATTCTTTTGTTGGATATGTATTGCAAAATATACTTTCCCACTCTGTAGATTCCATTCTTTACTCACTATTACATTTTTTATAAGTGTAAATTCTTAGTTTTAACGTTTTTCAATTTATCAATTTTTTTTTTCATATTCTGTTCAGTGTGTTTTGTTCTGTATCCTGTTTAAGAAATCTTTACTTACTCCAAATTTGACAAGATATCTTAACTAGTTTTGCAAATGTTTTAAATTATAAAACAAAAACTCTTCATTATAGAAAATGTGTATGATTTAGAAAAGTCCAAAGAAGAAATAGAAAAGTCCAAAGAAGAAAATAAAAATCAATAGCACTCTCACCACCAGGAAGGCAGTCACCATTATCCTTTTTTTTTTTTTTTTTTGAGATGGAGTTTTGCTCTTGTTATCCAGGCTGAAGTGCAATGGCATAATCTCGGTTCACTGCAACCTCTACCTTCTGGGTTCAAGTGATTCTCCTGCCTCAGCCTCCCAAGTAGCTGGGATTACAGGCACCTGCCACCATGCCCAGCTAATTTTTTGTATTTTTAGTAGAGACAGGGTTTCTCCATGTTGGCCAGGCTGGTCTCAAACTCTTGACCTCAGGTAGTCCACCCTCCTCGGCCTCCCAGAGTGCTAGGATTACAGGCGTGAGCCACCGTGCCCAACCAATTATCATTTTAGTTTTAGTCTTTGGTGCGTGTGTGTGTATGTGTGTGTTACATAATGGGGACCATGTACATACTCACTTTTGTATCAAGCTCTTTTTTTTTAACCATTCACCTATATTATTTAAAACTCTTCAAAGGCCTCTTATTTTTAGTGATTATGTATTCTGTTAAGATTTCAGAACATATAAAGAGGCCATTATAAATACTGTATATATGATGTGTAATTCTTTATTATTCTAAATCGTGAGATGAGTATTTATGTACATATATTTTGAACTACACCTACCAAATATCTATTAAAAATTAATAAATCTGAGATCTAAATATTTGGTTCCTTGATGTCTATTGTAAAATGCCTTTGGAAAAGTTTTATCAATTTGCCAGTCCATCAATATTTAATGAGAGTACCCAATTCATTGTGCTCTTGTCAGCATAATGAAATACACAGCAAAACAGTATAACCAGACCTGTGGAAATTTGATGCCAAAAATGAAAAGATTTTAATTTACATTTCTTTGATTTTAAAAGGTTGTATATTTTTCAAATGTTTATTGACCATCTGTATTTCTTATTTTGTAACTTATGTCTCTATGCTTTCTTCATTAACTTTTTAGAGTTACAACTTGGTATTTAGGATTCCAACTAATATATAATAACAACATACATTTCCTTGCATATAGATTTATAAGTTTAGATACATAAGAAATATGAGAAGCTATTGAAATTACAGGAGTGAGTGGCTAAGGAGATTTTCAAGCTTACATGAAATATTTTAATTGTCTATGTATTTAACTAATTAAAAATTGATTGTTCAAAGGAATATTCTAGTTCATTGTATGACTTCAGCTGCTAGTTTGGCTTCTGTAAGTTATGAATGGCTCTTTGTTCTTTAGTAGCAATAACTGCAGAGTTCAGCAACCTTCCCCCCATCTGACTAAAACATTGTAGCTCAAGGAGGTCTGCGAGGTTTCATCTCGTGGGCCATCTCCAGCTGATTTTTCATGCCTACCTGTAGAAGAGCGTTGACTATAATTTTGGAACTGATTTATCAGTGCTGATTGTCATGGAGATGGGGGTTGGGAGAGCAGAGGGACATCATAAATGCCAACCAGTGACCATTTCTGCTTTAGATACTTAGACTTTATAATTGTATTACACTATTTTAAATGATCCCAGGGCCAGGGAGAAGAGGTTGATAGTTTAGCACCTAAGACTAATTTTTAAATAAGAAACCTATTTTATACTGTCAAAAACAAAACTGGAAATATTTGCTATTAAGCTATTAAATGATATGTGTATGTAATAATCAGTTGATTGTCTGCGTTGTCTAGTTTTGAGATACTCTCCCTTAGTAAGTCAGTCTCTCCCTGAAACCCAGGATGTCATTATTTTGTTATATGGTGACAGTTGCTAAATTGTTTCTATCAGGTAATATGTGTGTCATTAGCTAAGCTATTTCACAAGGTTATTCTTTCTAAGATGAAGAGGGTGTATTATACCTAGGGATATTCATTTTAAGGACTTCAAGGCTATGGTCTCTACTGAACCATGTAGGTAAAAGGAGACATCTGAAGACACAGGACCCAAGCCCTGATAATTTGGAGTTGCTTTTGAACTTCTTTATGCATCTTAAAATGCTGCCAGGGGACACTGACTTTGAAGAGTCAGCTAAATGGTGAACAATAATCTTTGAAGTCCTAAAAGGGCAGGGAGAAGAGGATAAGACACAGCAGATGATTTAGCAGAAAGGGCAAATTGTCCTAGGCTTTAACAGCAGCAAATGCTGTCTGGCCAGTTTTGAATAATTATTACTAAGACCACCCCAGACTCCAGAGCTCTGCTGTATTAATTCTTGATTTAAGTCCCTGTTGCAACTGTTGACTGGCCAAACTTTACCTCAGGCTCTCAGCTACATCATCAAAATCATCGTTATCCAAATCATAGTTGTAATTTCATTGAACACTTCACAAGAGCTCAAAAATCTTAGGTGCTATAATTATTCTTAAGTTTCAGGCTCTGTGCTAATCAATTTAAATGTATCATATCGTTTATTAACATGGTCCCTTCCAACTTTACAGATGATGGAACTGAGCTCATTGATGTGAGGTGACTTGTTGAATGTCATGCGGCTGCAAATCATGAGGCTGGCATCTGAGCTCGGTTCTGAGTGCAGGGACCACATGCTCTGTCTATATGTTACACTCTCCAACCGCAACTCCAACCTGCCACCCACTCCTGATGAGCCTCTCCGTCTGCATGACCATGTGCCCTGCTGTGGTAGGCAGAATAACAAACACCCACAGGCACCCACATCCTAATCCCCAGAACCTGTGAATATGTTATGTTACATGGCAACAGGGAATTCAGGTGGCAGGTGGAAATATGTTTGCGAACCAGTCGATCGTGAGATAGGGGCATTATCCTGCGTTATCAGGGTGGGTCCAGGGTGATCACAGGAAGAAGGAGGCAGAGGACAGAGTCAGAAAATGTATGATGACAGAAGCAGTGATTTTATGTGAGAAAGACTCAACTTGCCATGCTGGCTTTGAAGAATGAGGAAGGAGCCACGAGCCAAGGAATGCCGGCAAATTCTAGAACTGGAAAAGGTAAGAAAACAGATTCTCTCTGTGAGGGTTAATTTTGTGTGTCAACATGATTGAGGCCATGAGGTGCACAGATTAAATATTATTTCCAGGCATGTCTGTGAGGGTGTTTCCAGATGAGATTAGCATTTATTTAAATCGGTGGACTCAGTAAAGTAGATGGCCCTCCTCAGTGTGAGTGGCCCTCATCCAATCCTTTGAGGGCCTGAGTAGAACAAAAATCAGAGGAAGGAAGGATTTGCTGGCTCTGCTTTGCTGCTTGAGCAGACATGCCGTCTTCCGCCCTTGGAATGAGATTTACAACATTGGCACCCTGGCTCTCAGGTCTCTGCACTTGGTCTGGAATCACGTTATTGGCTTTCCTGGGTCTCCAGCTTGCAGACAGCAGATTGTGAGACTCTTCAGCCTCCATACTTGTGTGAGCCAATTTTTCACTACATATATATTTCCTCTTGGTTCTGTTTTTCTGGAAAACCTTGACTAATACACTCTACTGCAGCATCCAAAAAAGAAATGTAGCCTTTTTGATATCTTGATTTTAACATAATGAGACTCATTTTGATATCTGACCTCCAGAACTGAAAGATAGTAAATTTGTATTGCCTAAGCAACTAAGTTTGTGGCAATTTGCTATAGCAGCCATAGAAATTTATTACACCTGCTATGACAGAAGGAAGACCTGAGTTAGTAGTGGCCCTGGACCAAACCAGGGAACACTGGCAAGAGCAGCCAAGCAAGACCCTCTGCAAACAGACAAAGCATGCAGCCAAACACAGGTGTAAAACAAGAGATCAGTTATTTCCTCTCATATGCCAAGCACTGTGGGGCAGGAGGTGGAGAAACATGTTACAAGTACAAAACTAAGCAGGAACATGGCAAGGGGTGAGACAGCCTGGTACACAGGACATCTGCCATGTCAAATAATAACTGCCATTTTGTCTAAATTATAAAAATGTTGAATGATTTCTTACACTTAACTGACTTTTAAATATTTATTCTATTTAACTCAAAATTAAATAAGTTTTGACAATTAGATAAAGACATAGGGATGTTCATTTGTTTGCCATTATTACTAATTCATTCATCTTCAAAAACAATCTAAACTAAATGTTATCTAATTCCAATTATATTCAAGGACTTTCAAAATTTATAAGGAAGGATGAGGATGCATATTCAGATATACAGTGATGAGACCACTCTGTATGGATTTGGGTTTTTAAGACTAGGTCATCATAGAGACTTAAGTGTGAATTCTCATTTTGCTCCTTCATATTTAAATGAGCCAAGATGAGTTACTTCTCCTCGATGACGCTCAATTACTTTTGGCTATAAAATAAAAATAACAATATCTACCCTAGAGAATTGTTGTAAAGATTAAATTGGACAGTGTGTGTGTGTGTGTGTGTGTGTGTGTGTGTGTGTATTTGAAGCACAGATGATTGTATTATATAAAATAGAGATACTAAAATCTACTTTGCAGTGTTGTTAAAAAAGTTAGAGTTGTTGTCTTAGAAATGCCTGACATTAGAAAAAAGAGCCCTTGTACACTGTTGGTGGGAATGTAAATTAGTACAGCCATGATGGAAAACAGTGTGAAGGTTCCTTGGAAAATTAAAAATAGAGCTATCATATGATCCAGCAATCCCACTGTTAAATATATATATATCCAAAAGAAATGAAATCAGTGTGTTAAGGAGTTAATCTCCACTTCCATGTTCATTGAAGCATTTTTCGCAATAGCCAAGATACAGAATCAACATAGGTGTCCCTTAGCAGATAAATGGATTAAGAAAATGTGGTGTATATATACACAATGGAATACTATTCACCCTTTAAAAAGAAGAAAATCCTGTCATTTGTGACAACATAGATGAGACCGGAGGACAATATGTTAAGTGATATAAAACAGGCACAGAAAGATAAATACTGCCTGATCTCACCTTTATGTGCAATCTAAACAACTTGAGCCCATAGAAACAGAAAGTAAAATGGCAGTTACCAGAGGCTGGGAGAGGAGGGAATTGGGGAGATGTTGGTCAAAGGACATAAAATTTCAGTTAGACAGGAGGAAAAAGTTTGAGAGATCTATTGTACATCATGGTGGCTACAGGTAATAACAATACATTGACTACCTGAAAATTACTAAAAGAGTAGAGTTTAAGTATTTTCACCACAAAGAAAGATAAGCATGTGAGGTAATGCCTATGCTAGTTAGCTTGATTTAGCCATTCCACAACACATAAATACATGAAAACATCATATTTTGCACCATAAAATTATACAATTTTTACTTGTCAATTAAAAAAAAGAAATTTGAAAGAGGAAATGCTTGACATTATACCTTGCATATAACTGAGTCTCAACGGTAGTTATCACCACTAGGGCCACTGCCACTTTCATTACTATCCAACTCTTGTGGTCACCAAGGGGCAAAGAGAATCATAAAGAAAACTCTAACCCCACCCTTGTGGGGTTAGAGTTTTTGAGAAAGGAGCTGAAGACTAGGGTTTTTCCTACTCCTTCAAGATCTTGTTTGTGTCCTGATTTTGGGGTATAAAATTGGATTGAATTTACTTTCTGTTTAAAAGATGATCTTGACCTTGGAGGACTGAAGTTTTAGGAGAAACAAAGCAAACATAAAGCTGGTTGCTTAAGCTTGGTTTTTAGAAAAAATAAAGGGAGATCTTTGGGTTCACCAGAATTGGAAACAGAAATAGTACATTTTCATGTTGACTTTCCTTCCTAAGCAATGTACCTGAGATGTGATGCTCAAACAGGTTATAGTGACGCCTGGGCTATTGGCCTTATGATCAAAGTTAGTTTTCACAAAGAAGCAATTAACTCAACACTAGCTATATATGCTTTCCCAATCATACAAAATATAACTTTTAAAACCACAGCATAACAATAAATTAGAGTTGACAAAACTATTTAAGGGGATAAAAAATTTTACATGAAGATGAGTAGTAATCTTAATCTAAAAGATCTTTCTCTGATCTGATTTTCCGTAAAACAAGTCTCTCCATCCCAACACTTGATTTGGGGAGAATAGTCTCTCTCACTGAGGCCTTGAGGCAGTTCCATCACCCCTTTTTCTGTTGCAGGATTTAATCAAGATCCTTGGTTACTAATGGGTTTCCTTGGTTTGAAGACTAGTGCAGTGTAATTATAGTCTCATTCCACACGATTTGTCTGAAGAGAGAAGTTATCAGCGTAGACAGTTTCCTTTCATCCTGAAGAAGTTATATTAATCACTAGCAGGCATCCTGCTATTGTTTGCTAATCCATCACTAGCATCTATATAAAATTTATCTTTTTACTAAAAGTGCTAAAAGAAATCCCAGTTTATTCTCAAAACTGTTTTTAATATTTTTTAAAGTTTCTTTATGTGACATATTTCATTTCTTTATACCTGCCTTGTTCCACAGAGGACTTAAGCTGAAAAGTTTCTATGGTTCCCCTATTATTTCTCTGACTATTCTTTCTCAATTTTTTTTCAATGCTGATGTTTCCCAAAAGCGAATTTCTTCTCTGTGCTCAAGGAGCTCACAGCTGGTGGACAAGATGTGTGGCAGTGTCATACTGATACCATATTAGGATGAACGCAAGATGATGCAGGCAGAGAGTAAACGCAGAGTGAACAGCAATGAGCACCGCCTGGAGGGGTCTCAGAGGGCTTCACAAGGACCTAACACTTGAATTGGGTCTTGAAATTGGAGTGAGAGTTTGGTGGACGAGGGTTTCAGAAAAGGCACTCCAGGTCGAAGAAGAACACAAATAAGGCTCTGCATCCAGGAAGGGTCAGATGAGTGGAGACATATTTTGAGGCTGGGGAGTCAGGACAGTGACAATGAATGAGACAAAACTGGAAACAAGAAGAGCCAGATTTTTTTTTTTCTTTAGACAGAGTCTTGCTCTGTTGCTCAGGCTGGAGTGCAATGGTGTGATCTCGGCTCACTGCAACCTCCGCCTCCTGGGTTCAAGCAATTCTCCTGTCTTAGCCTTCCAAGTAACTGGGACTACAGGCACATGCCACCACGCCCGGCTAATTTTTGTATTTTAGTAGAGATGGGGTTTCTCCATGTTGGTCAGGCTGGTCTCGAACTCCTGACCTCAGGTGACCTGCCCACCTCGGCCTCCCAAAGTGGTGGGATTACAGGCGTGAGCCACCACACCCAGTCAGGAAGAGCTAGATTTTAAAGGACTCTATATTATCTGAGAAATTTTTGGATTTTAATCCTGTAAATACTTTGAGGAAATGAAAATGTACTATGGGACCCAGTTGAACCTAAGAGATAAGGTATGCGAAGCCCTTGATGGAAGTCCTCTTAAGACTTACTTGATTTGATTAAAATTCATGGGAGCTAAGGAAACTTCTGAGAAAATATCTCAAATAATGACAACTATTGGGTTCTAGACATCTACAGGAATGCCTAACACACTGGAGACAACCAGTGGAAGCTAACCACAGAAGGTGCAGGGATGCCTGACAGAGAATCCACCCCAAGAGAAGAAAGATTTGGTTCTCTGAGTCCAACTAGTAACAGAATGAGAGAATGGGAGAGAAGTGGTTCCAGGTATATGATAAATGTATCCCTGACCTGGCCACCCTAAAGGGGTGCACAGGCCCTCTAGAGGTAGAAGATAGAGTACAAACACTGTGTGAAAAGCCAACAAAATGTTAAAACATCAGAAAACAAGCATAGGACCCTATGACAGAGCCTAACATTCATCACAGGAATTCACTTTCCAATACATATCACAGCAAAGAAATGTATGAGTAATTCTGAGCCAATGATGGCAGACCAGGCATTATGGGTGGTGGCCCAAGTGGAATGATGAGACAGTGCCCGGACAGTGGTCTGGGAGCAGTTGTGCCTGGGGCAATAGAGGTATGTTGGTTGTGAAAAGTCTGGTGTTGTAGGTGGTAGCCCAAAAGATGAACCACATGATGCACATGTGTAATGTAACATTTCCAGGCACTCACAGAAAACAAGAAGAGAAAGAGCCTTTTTAAGCTTGCAATATTTGGGTGTATACTATTAATGCAACTTCACTAGCTCAATGGATTGCTAAGGTTACAGGTAGACTATACCTCTTTATAAGAAGGTGAGTGACATGCTGTGGTTTACATTTTAGAAGTGTCATTCCAGGAGGTGGAATAAAAGATGCTTCAGAGAGGACAGGAATAGTAGAAAATTAATTAGGATATTTATAGTATGTCCACATTGAAGATAATAAGGGATTGATCAAAGGCAGCAAAAGTTAAAAGAAAAGGAATGGAGTTTGAGAGAGATTTTGGAAGTAGGATTCATTGGAGTTGGTGACACAGGAGAGGAGGGAAGAGAGAGAAGTTAAAGAACTACCCAGATGTCTGGAAATCCACTATCTGGTGATAGGGAATTCAGGAGAGGCAGCAGATTTCCAGGGAGACCTTGTCTTCCAAGAGAATGTGAGCTGTGAATGTGTAGGGACATCAGGCCACATTTGAAGAGACCAGAGCCTGGCACTGCTGACTTCAGCACTGACCCCATTCTCTCCATTGCCTTAATGGCTTAAGGGTACAGAGAGTACTTAAGCATTTTGGGATCTCTTTCAACATGGAACATTGAGACATTCTCTTAACAACTTCTTGTTTTGTTTTTTTCATCTTTGATATAATAATAATGTTCTTGGATGAAAATTTGTGAGCTAATGCTTACCAATCCCTTTGAGAACTTTGGCTGAAGGCCCAGTATAAATGACTTTATGAAGTATTCATGAATACTTCCAGCTTGCATGTTTAGCCTGAAAAGATAAAAAAGAACTACCTTTCTTTGAAAAGATATCTTCCTCATATGTTTGTTTTTTACTGATTGACAGGTAAGAAAATTGTGAGAGGAGGAAGAAAGGAAGCAAGAGGGAATGAATAACACTGGAAATGCTACTAGGATAAGTATTTCTTCAGGCATGGGCTTCAGAAATCTAGGGATCAAAATCATGCAAAGACATCATCTGGGCTTGTTCCAGGGAGGCAGGATTCCATTCCTCACTATCAACATAATTCATGGTTTCTGTTGGCTCTTGCCCATGGAGGAGAGGATCAGGCCCAAGCTTTGAGTACATATAGAGGCTGACAATGCTCCGACAGGGACAGAATACTGGGTAGTAATCAGAGCCCACCCCTAACTTTCAGGAGGCAGAAATGGACAGCCTTGGGCCCCTGAAAGTGACAGGCAACAGGGCTGCCTGGTGCTGAGCACTTTTAAAAATAAGAAGTGGCTCAATTAATCGATAAAAAATGGTACACATAAGCCATGAAAACAGGGACCCACAAGCCAAAGACTGGACCATCTACATGAGCTGCTTAAACTTGTAATGGGGCTGAGAAGGTCATTCCCCCAAAATGTGGTGGTTTGAGATGTTAAACTGAAGAAGAAACATCAAGGTCTCTCTCACCTCCCCACTTCTTGCCTCTCAATCCTTTCTCTCTCCTAAAGTGCAGCATAAAGTTGTTCCCTGAAGTTCCCTCATCTGCCTAAAGTCCAGACCCATCAAAGATGAAAACAATGATCCCTGGTTCCTTCCCTGGGTTTTCATTAACTAAACTCCTCTTACAGGAAGAAAGATTAAAGTCTGTTAACACACCCAGACAAACTTTTGTCACAAACCGTCGTCTGCTCAATGGGCCCAACAGATCATTGTCCCAGATCATTGTATGTTTTTTAAGCCCATTGAATTGCCCTAAACATTATTTACTACTGTGCTGAAATAATCCACAATTTCCCATTTCCATTTTCTCTAAGGAGAAGTGTATAGAAGCATCTGTACCCCATTGTGTGATGAGGTAATCACTGTGGTTCACCCTGTGGATGTTAATAAATTTGTGTGCCTTTTCTACTATTAATCTGCTTTTTGTCAATTGATTTTCAGCAAACCTTCAGAGGGTGAAGGGGACATTTTCCCTTGGCCCCTACACCTGCATGTTGTTTGCGCTTCATTTCTCCATTATCGTTCATTTTAATAGGAGAAACAGAGAATGGGGCCTGAGTTTTGTCCTTCTCTTTGATCTGCTTGTGCATTTCTCCCTTCAGTTATTTTTGGTCTTTGTCTAACATTCTGACCTCTCAGACTTTGTTTAAAGGCAGCCTTCTGCGTTGATCTCACTGGGAGCTGCAGACTGAAACTGGCAGAGACAACAAAACAAGAAAATTTCAGGCCAATATCCCGAATGAACATTGATGTGAAAATCCTCAATAAAATACTGGCAAACTGAATCCAGCAGCACATCAAAAAGCTTATCCACCATGATCAAGTTGGCTTCCTCCCTGGGATGCAAGACTGGTTCAACATATGCAAATCAATAAACGTAATCCATCACATAAACAGAGTCAATGACAAAAACCACATAATTATCTCAATAGATGCAGAAAAGGCCTTCAATAAAATTCAACACCCCTTCATGCTAAAAACTCTCAATAAACTAGGTATTGATGGAACATATCTCAAAATAATAAGAGCTATTTATGACAAACCCACAGCCAATATCATACTGAATGGGCAAAAGCTGGAAGCATTCCCTTTGAAAACCAGCACAAGACAAGATGCCCTCTCTCACCACTCCTATTCAACATAGTATTGGAAGTTCTGGCCAGGGCAATCAGGCAAGAGAAAGAAATAAAGCATATTCAAATAGGAAGAGAGGAAGTCAAACTGTCTCTGTTTGCAGATGACATGATTGTATATTTAGAAAACCCCATCATCTCAGCCAAAAATCTCCTTGAGCTGATAAGAAACTTCAGCAAAGTCTCAGGATACAAAATCAATGTGCAAAAATCACAAGCATTCCTACACACCAATAACAGACAAACAGAGAGCCAAATCATGAGTGAACTCCCATTCACAATTGCTACAAAGAGAATAAAATGCCTAGGAATACAACTTACAAGGGATGTTAAGGACCTCTTGAAGCAGAACTACAAACCACTGCTCAAGGAAATAAGAGATGGCACAAACAAATGGAAAAAACATTCCATGCTTATGAATAGGAAGAATCAATATTGTGAAAATGGCCTTACTGGTGAAAGTGATTTATAGATTCAATGCTATCCCCATCAAACTACCACTGACTTTCTTCATATAATTAGAAAATACTACTTTAAATTTCCCGTGGAGCCAAAAACAAGCCCGTATACCCAAGACAATCCTAAGCAAAAAGAAGAAAGCTGGAGGCATCACACTACCTGACTTCAAACTATACTGCAAGGCTACAGTAACCAACAAAGCATGGTACTGGTACCAAAACAGATATATAGACCAATGGAACAGAATAGAGGCCTCAGAAATAACGCCACACATCTACAACCATCTGATCTTTGACAAACCTGACAAAAACAAGCAATGGGGAAAGGATTCCCTATTTAATAAATGGTGTTGGGAAAACTGGCTAGCCATATGTAGAAAGCTGAAACTGGACCCCTTCCTTATGCCTTATACAAAAATTTACTCAAGATGAATTACAGACTTAAATGTGAGACCTAAAACCATAAAAACCCTAGAAGAAAATCTAGGCAATACCATTCAGGACATGGGCATGGGCAAGGACTTCATGACTAAAACACCAAAAGCAATTGCAACAAAAGCCAAAATTGACAAACGGGATCTAATTAAACTAAAGAGTTTCTGCACAGCAAAAGAAACTATCATCAGAGTGAACAGGCAACCTACAGAATGGGAAAAAGTTTTTGCAATCTATCCATCTGACAAAGGGCTAATATCTAGCATCTACAAACAACTTAAACAAATTTACAAGAAAAAAAAATCCCATCAAAAACTGGGAGAAAGATATGAACAGACGCTTTTCAAAAGAAGACATTTATGTGGCCAACAAACATGAAAAAAAGCTCATCAACACTGGTCATTAGAGAAATGCAAATCAAAACCACAGTGAGATACTATCTCACGCCAGTTAGAATGGTGATCATTAAAACGTCAGGAAACAACAGATGCTGGAGAGGATGTGGAGAAATAGCAACGCTTTTACAGTGTTGGTGGGAGTGTAAATTAGTTCAACCATTGTGGAAGACAGTGTGGTGATTCCTCAAGGATCTAGAACCAGAAATACTATTTGACCCAGCAATCCCATTACTGGGTATATACTCAAAGGATTATAAATTATTCTACCATAAAGACACATGCAGACGTATGTTTATTGCAGCACTGTTCACAATAGCAAAGACTTAGAACCAACCCAAATGCCCATCAATGATAGACTGAATAAGGAAAATGTGGCACATATACATATACACCATGGAATACTATGCAGCCACAAAAAAGGATAAGTTCGTGTCCTTTGCAGGGACATGGAGGAAGCTGGAAACCATCATTCCCAGCAAACTAATACAGGAACAGAAAACCAAACACCACATGTTCTCACTCATAAGTGGAAGTTGAACAATGAGAACACATGGACACAGGGAGGGGAACATCACAAACCAGGGCCTGTCAGGGGGTGGGAGGCTAGGGGAGGGGTAGCATTAGGAGAAATACCTAACGTAGATGACCAGTTGATGAGTGCAGCAAACCACCATGGCATGTTTATACCTATGTAACAAACCTGGATGTTCTGCACATGTATCCCAGAACTTAAAGTATAATAATAATAATAATAATAATAATAATAATAATAATAATAATAAAAGAACTTTTAAAAAAGCAGTCTTCTGTCATACAATGTTAGCACTAAGGAGACTCCTAAAAGACCTACCTTTTCATTTTAGACAGAAGGAAATTGAGGCCCCCCAGAGGTGCTGTGGTGCTCTCTGAAGTTGTCCAGCTAATTAGTGTGAGAGGCAATCTATCAGCAGCCTCTCCTCTGCGCATGTTGCCCATTTCTCACTTGCACACAGAACTTCCTCTTTTATCCAGACCTGCTGTGCCATGAGTTTGCAAACAGTGGCCCACCTTACCAGCCCAAAGTGAGTTGTCATCAGCAGGGGATTGACAACCACAAGCTCAAAGTAAAAGTCTAATGAGACACTCTGAGCACTCCAAGAAGGTACAGAGAAGACACAAAGAAACAGGTAATCAGAAAGTAAGAAGGAGTCACCAAGCAATGACTCCTGTTTGGTGTGTTGGTAAGGCCCATGGGGAAGGAGAGGATGCAGGGAGTGATGTCGGTCCACACAGTGCAGCTCAGGGAACAGCTCCAGGACAGCAGCAAGGGTACACATTCAGGTAGGATGCTCTTGTTGTTCTTCCCAGTATGTTTCATATTTCTTGGTTCTGTTTATGTGCCCCTTCAACTTACACATGTTTACTCTTCTCTTCAAGAAGCTATGCTTGTATTTTATAGAAAGTTGATTGCAATTAGATGAATGTGTTCCAAGTAATAAAGCTCCAAAATAGTCACAGAGCCTGTGATGCCAACTACCTAACTCCCCATTGCTTCTGTAACACTTCTCATTGCTTACAAGTCAGGAATTTGGTCTTTTTTTTTTTTTTTTAAGTAGTAAAAACGTTACTGATAAGATTTGCTTCTATTTGGGGGTCATAGCCACTGCTTTCCAAGACTGTAGAAATTGGCTGGCCTTTTAATTATTTTATTTATTTATTTAAAAATTTATACAAAAATTAGCCGGGTGTGGTGGCATGTGCCTTTGGTCCCAGATTCTTGGGAGCCTGAGATGGGAGAATTGCTTGAGCCCGGGAGTTCAAAGCTGCAGTGAACTGTGATCATGCCACTGCACTCCAGCTCTAGGTGACAGAGAAAAATCCTTTCTTAGAAAAAAAAATTTTTTTTTTCTGCTGTTGCCCATCCAGGGTGTAGCCATCCAGCAGCAACATGCAATTTGTAAATTTAATCCTGGCTTCAGCAATGGAATCACCATTTGAGCAGTTGGAATTTGAGAGGTAGCATAAACTGCCATGTTGACAATTGCTTTAGAGAGAAAGTGAACTTGTGAACAATCATCTTTCTGGTCCCATGTCCGCACTGATTAAGCCTCCAAAAGTTTGCAGGCAGGTCAGTCAAAACAGTTAGAGATGAACCTCTAAGATTCTCCTATCAGGGGTAAAATGGTATCACCTAGCAGTCCCAGAGTGTAATGATACAATAAAGTAAGAACATAGGCACTCACCAATTTATTCCTCGTTTACCCCATCTAGGTAGATGCCTGGAGTTCCGGTCCTATCTAAATCTACCCAGGTTTCTGAATCCCTATGGCAATACTAAGCTATTCCTCATACTCTTGGTGTTCAGTGGTCCTGATGCTCCAAATGGAGTTGATTGAAGCATTGCTGTTACTGCCAGTGAGTGCCAACATTGATGCCTGTGGGACTCTCCTTTTTCTAGTTGCTTCTGTCCATTCCAACAATTCCAGAAGTGGTATCAAAGGAGAAAACCATTAGGACTAAACTCTGGGTTGTCACAAGTTTTCTTGGTTTCCATGAGAAATTTTAGTGAGTAGTAGAGACTACTCTCAGTTATGCGTCCTCTCATTTAGGTTTCTGTCATCCTCCCTAATGAATCAGGCTGTTCCTCTGTCTGCAGCTGGCCTTCAGGCGATACTTTCAGGAGTTTTCACCTCGACCAATCTCATACACCCTGAGTCTCTCTCCCATCTCTTTTCCATCTAAGTTCCTTCCCTATTTGGTAGATTGAAGGCTAGGAGAGAGGGCATGGAAAAATAGGAGGATGGTTCTTGATTTTTGTTTGTTTGTTTTTGAGATGGAGTCTCGTTCTGTCACCAGGCTGGACTGCAACCTCCACTTCCCAGGTTCAAGCGATTATCCTGCCTCAGCCTCCCGAGTAACTGGGATTACAGGTACGCGGCACTATGCCCAGCTAATTTTTGTATTTTTAGTAGAAACAGGGTTTCACCACGTTGGCCAGGATGGTCTTGATCTCTTGACCTCATGACCCACCTGCCTCGGCCTCCCAAAGTGCTGGGATTACAGGCGTGGGCCGTTGTGCCTGGCTGGTTCTTGTTTTTAAAAGAGCTATGGCCTCTTAATCTGAAGCTGACAGTCGACTTCTTGGTGCTCACTCATATTTCTTTCCTCCCAATTTCTGTTTCTTCTTTAAATATACCCTGGTGGGGTAACTCAGCCAACCCTTCAGATACAATAGAATATTCTGAATGGGATAAAGATATATTATCTAGAGCCATGTGCGGAGATTCATGTTTTGTCTTCTTGAAGCTTTGACATCACTAAAACGATCCTGAGTTTTGTGTAATATCTTCAATGGAATTCTCAGGGAACCAGACTCTGAGTTGAAGATCGGATTGCTGGAGTTATTGGGGGTGCTCTTGGGAATATTTGTAAGAAAGCAAGGTGGCAAGATAGGGAAGAATGCAAGGGGAAAACTGCAAGGTGGTTGCAACAGAGACTACAGCCAATTCCATGGGGAATTCTGAAGCTGGGATGGTCTTTCAGATTTGTCCAGAATTGAGGCAAGGAGGTCAGACTTTTGTATAACTGAATCTACCAGTCATTGCATGTGGACTGCCAGTCACACCCCCGGAAAGGGTAGGACCTTGGGCAAGGCAGCTGCCTTCACTGGAGGGCAATTCCCAAAGAGGAAGTCTCTAGTTAATACTCCTGGCCACTGGGGGAATAATTGCCTTGATCCAGAAGGTGGGACTTGTATGGCCCACTCCTGCATCCACTCCAAGTGGCAAGCATTTTTGTTGAGTTTTTTTTTCTCCTCCACTCTGGCCATACTGAAGACTTTGGTACTATGTAATGCTTGAAACCCAGGGATAGATATAAAGATATAACAAAAAAAGTCATATTTTTAATTAAAGAGAACTTCTTCTATAGTTTTGTCACTGTCATTTTGTTTAATTTTTCTTTGTATTTATTTGCCGTTACAACGTAACACTATAATATTACCAGAAGAATACTGATGCTTTTATTATATATTTTTTTTCTACAAATACTAGAAGGGCAAGTTTTTGCCTTTTTCATTCCATGACTCCTTTCAGCCCACATGTGATGAGAAAAGCAGGCAAGGTGATGCAAATGTGTAATCACATGATCTATTGCCAGCAGTGCATTGCCCAGAGTTATTGACAGATAAAACCTGTTGGCCGGGCATGGTGGCTTATGCCTGTAATCCCAGCACTTTGGGAGGCCAAGGCAGGCGGATCACGAGGTCAGGAGATCGAGGCTGTCTTGGCCAACATGGTGAAACCCCGTCTCTACTAAAATACAAAAAATTAGCTGGGTGTGGTGGCACGTGCTTGTAATCCCAGCTATTTGGGAGGCTGAGGCAGGGGAATCGCTTGAACCCGGGAGGCAGAGGTTGCAGTGAGCTGAGATGGTACCACTGCACTCCAGCCTGGCGACAGAGCAAGACTCCCTCTCAAAAATTAAAAAAGAAACAAAAAACCCATTAGCTGCACCCAAATGCCACCTCCACAAGGTGTGTCTGACTGGTACTGTAACATTTACTACTAGCTCAACAAATCCTTTTTAAAATTCTAGTTGGAGCTTTACCTCCTATAAAATAATCATCCCCCTATTTGATAATTCTCACTCAATATTCCCCACACCCTACTTATATCTCTTTATTTTTCATATTTTTAATTAAGGACAATTTTAAGTGTGGTTTTGTTACTGTCATTTTAATTTTTCTTTAATGTATTTGTTATTAAAACACTATAACACTACCAGAATAATAATATTCCTTTTACTTATATAATTTTTCCTACAAAAATCAGGCAAAATATTAAAAGCTCTAATTATATTAAATGATTTGACTTCTCCCATTCAGATGTACCTGTGCATGATTCAAATTGGAAACCAAGTCAAATGAAGAGAAAAAGGCGTACAAGCACCTGTGTTTCTGAGGTAGTCTGGGAGGTTAGGTGTCATTCTGGAGCTAACAGTTTTGGAGTTGGGTCCTTGCTTCCTAGATTGTGGCTGAGACATGATGGTCTTGTGGTCATCAGTTGCTCTTGCAACTTCCTGACTCCCACCCTCCCTGATGGTGCTAGAGGTAGTTCTTATCCCAGAGGAGCAGCTCTGTGGTATTATTCTTGGAGTTAATCCTCCATACTCAGCCTTTAAGGGTTCTGTAAGCATCTAATTCCTTTAATTAAATTTCTTTAGATTTGTTCACTAAGGCTAAATCCTGATACATAAAAACCAGTAATTATTTGAAAATTTGCATCCACTTCTTTAGAAGCATTGAGAAGCTATTTTTTGACGGCCAATTTTGTCCTAATATGTGTTGTTTCATTGTCCTAAATGTTACGATTCCCCTGTTGAGTGGTCCCAACATTTCTGCCTACCGAGAGATTTTGTCACTTCCCACTGAGGACAGGATCTGTTGTGAAGTGCCAGACCTTTTCCAAGTCAGTTCTTTTATCTTCCTTAGTCTTATCTTTCTCTTGGCTCTTTGAGTTTAAAGAATGCCCAGAAGGCGTGAAACAGAACCTAGGTAATCGCTCAGGAGCCCTAATCTCTAAGCATGCAAACTCTTTCTAGCAGATATAACTTGGCCTTCCCTGACAAACCCAATTTTTCACCCTTGAGTCTGAGGTCAGTTGCATGTGGCAGTGGCTGTGATCTGCAAATGAGGAGTTATTTCCTGCTGTATCCCCTAGTGATCACAGTTCCCATAACATTAGCAGTTACCATCCGTATTTGGTGACAAACCAACATGAGAAAGTCTATTTGCTTCCTGTCTTCCCAAGCTTTTTTGCAAGCCTGGCATAGCTCCAACGCCAGCCAGAAAAGACTAGCTAGGGATCTTACTTGGGTATTCTCATTTTCCCATTGTTTTGACCTTTACCCTGACCATATCAAAAAGAAGAGCCTTCTTATCTTAAGACTCCTGCTTCTAAGTCATTTTCCTCCTCTGGTCCATACGTTGGGTCAAACTCTTTGGAAGAGTCCACTCGTCCTGGTGAATCAGCTTTCAAAACTTTCATCTTCCTGGCTGCCTCTGTGGCTAACCTCTGCAGCAGGTTCCCTTTTTCCTGGTCCCCTGGCTTTTCAACCTCCCCACCCCCACCCCCATCTAGTGATAGCTCCTTGCATTCTACAACTAGGAACACCCCCATAACACCACTGTCAAGTTTCTTGAAGGTTATAAAATAGTTCCCTCTCTCCAAAACTTGAAAATGGATAAATCAAATTTATACCAACCGGATTTAGTGTCCTTGTAAGAAATTTCATAGTATGAGATCATGCCAGGCATGTCCCTCTCAGCCCTAGTGTGTCTTCATTGAGACCAGTTTAAGCACACACTGCTCACTCTGCCGTGTCTATAACAGACCCAGCCCTTATAGCCATGGTCAAGTGTGAACAGCAATCAAAGGGTGCAGCAGGCTGCCAAGGTTGCTCCAAATACAGGTCAGTTTTTATGGGGCACCCGGACAGTAGTTTTTGCCTTTTCCAGCATATAATTCTTTCCAGCAGTGCTGATATGTTTAGCAGGTAAGACAATGTGGATGTGTGACTTTGTGATTTATTGCTGTATTAAAGGCCAGAGTCAGTAAAAAATTGAACAAGTCAGCAGTAACCAACAGCCCTCTACACAAGGTCTGACTGACCTGTACAGTTTCTCCCAGGAAGTGATGACATAATTCCACTTATTTCTATAGACAGCCCTTAAATATCTTTCCCTCTTTCTGTCAATGATCTTACAAAACGAAGCCACCAGATTTCAGGGGTGCTGGAAGAAATTTTTAACACATACATTTATTTTTAGCCAATTGTTTTAAACTTCCTTTTACAGAACTTTTATAAAGTACATTATATATAATATTATATATATATTATCACACATCACTTAACGAGAAGGATACATTTTGAGAAATGCATTAGGTGATTTTGTCATTATGTGAACATCAGAGTATACTTACACTCTATGATGTATACTTACACACTAGATGGTGCAGCCTACTAAACACCTAGTGTTAAACACCATTGCTCCTAGGCTACAAAACTGTACAGCATTTTACTGTACTGAATACTGTAGGCAATTATTACACAATGGTAAATATTTGTGTCTCTAAACATATCTAAACATAGAAAAGGTACAGTAAAAATACAGTATTATAATTTTTGGGGCCACTGTCTTATAGTGGTTCTTCATTGATTGAAATGTTACTATGTGGCACATCACTATTTATCTAAACATAGAAAAGGTGTAGTGAAGACAGTGTAAAATATTTAAAATGGTAAACCTTTATTGGATACTTATAATGAACGGAGCTTGCAGGACTGGTAGTTGCTCTCGGATGAGTCAGTGAGTGAGTGGTGAAGGCCTAGAACATTACTGTTCACTACTAAAGACTTTATAAACCCTGTATACTTAGGCTACATTAAATTTATAAAAATATTTTTTCTTCAATAATAAATTAACCTTAGCTTACTGTAACTTTTTTACTTTATAAACTTTTAATTAATTAATTAATTAATTTATTTATTTATTTTTTGAGACAGAGTCTCACTCTGTCACCCAGGCTGGAGTGCAGTGGTGCGATCTCGGCTCACTGCAAGCTCTGCCTCCCCGGTTCACCCCCTTCTCCTGCCTCAGCCTCCCGAGTAGCTGGGACTACAGGCGCCCGCCACCACGCCCAGCTAATTTTTTTGTATTTTTTAAGTAGAGACTGGGTTTCACCGTGTTAGCCAGGATGGTCTCTATCTCCTGACCTCGTAATCCACCCACCTCGGCCTCCCAAAGTGCTGGGATTACAGGCGTGAAACACCGCACCTGGCCTTACTTTTTTACTCTTTTGTAATAGCAGGTTAAAACACAATTACATTGTACAGCTGTATAAAAATATTTTTAATATCCTTATTCTAGGAGCTTGTTTCTATTCTTATTTTTTTACTGTATAAACTTGTGTGTGAAAAACTAAGACACAAACACACACATTAGCCTAGGCCTACACAGGGTCAGCATCATTAATATCACTGTCTTCCACCTCCACATCTTGTCCCACTGGAAGGTCTGCAGGGGCAATAACATGCATGGGGCTGTCATCTCCTATTATAATAACAAGGCCTTCTTCTGGATACCTCCTGCAGGACCTGCCTGAGGCTGTGTTAGAGTTAACTTTTTAAAGTATATAAAAGTAGAAGGAGTACACTCTAAAATAATGATAAACAATCTAATAGATACATAAACCAGTAACACAGTTGTTTATTATCAAGTATTATGTACTGTACATAATTGTGTGTGCTATACTCTTATGTGACTGGCAGTGCACTAGGCTTGTTTACACCAGCACCACCATAAACCTGTGAGTTATGTGTTATACTACAATGCTATGATGGCTATGGCATCCTTAGGCAATAAGAGTTTTTCTACTCCACTGAAATCATATAGGATCACCATCATATGTGCTGTTGTTGTCCAAAATATTATTGGCTGTGTGTATATATGTGTGTGTATATACAACATGTATGTGTATATATTATATAATATATATGTATAGCAGTGCATGTATGTTGTCTATTAATATACATATATTAAGTTGTATGAGCTCAGTTTTTTTAAAAACTGTTAGTGCTGTGTGATCAAAACCTGAAAAAAATACTGCTATAATCAATCAACTCAACATGTAGTACTGTACTAATTTCTAAATATTTGGATCATCAGAATTGATGACATAATAATAATGTTCCTTCTACATATTGTTTGAAAAAATAGAATATTATGAATTCAGTAATTATTGAAAATGGCAATGTATTTTATCGCTGTGGCCTATGCACATTGGAAAAATAGTAGTGTATATCTATGTGCAAAATACGTACTTTGCCTATGTTACATTTGTAGATATTTTGCAATTAATTTATGAACTCCCCAGGGAGTGCAACAACAGCATAGCAACAGTTGAGAAGGATGTTTCTTTCTGTGTGCCTTATAAGGTCTTAGGTTCCCAGCCTTAAATATATCTGGCAACTTATTTGTCTAAAAAGGAGATTAACTGTCTAAAGTGAGGTATGAGGAATGGTAAGACTGAATCCCACTAGAAAGCACATATACATTTCAGAAAGTTCTCTTTAGTAAACCATTCCTTAACCAGGGAATACCCCTATGGCTTAGCAGAGTTACTCCTCTCTCAGGAAGTTCTCTTTAGTAAACCTTTCCTTAACCAGGGAATACTCCTATGGCTTAGCAGAGTTACTCCTCTCTCAGGAAGTGAACAGTGTGCTATAAATGGCTCAAGTGTGGGACAGTAAAGTCTATTGAGGTTTTCAGGGGATGAGGAAGTGTCTTTTAAATACCATACACTGAAAATATTACTTGCATTAGCTTTGTGCTGCTTTTCTTTTATAAATATTAGCACTGATCTCTGTAATTTAACTTTTAAATTGAAGATATGTGACATCTATAATTAGGGTCATGTCCTTCCTAAAGAGGATGCTTTAGCTGGTGCTAAGGAAACTACGTCATCCTCAGAGTACTCCAGAGGCAATGATGAACCAGAATGAAGCTGACAACCGAATGTTTTCATTTCATTTCCTTAGTCAAAATAAGAAATGGAAATGAACACACAAATGAATCATGAGACCTTTCTGGTAGTGATGATTTGAAAGTGAATACCTGTGTGGCTCACTAGTAATATACGAGGAAAAGAAATAGTTATATTTAAATTTTTTATCATCATGATTGGTTTTCTGTTTTTCCTGAAGCTAATGGGTTTTGCTTTTGTAACACAGTGTGCACTAAGGAGTTTGTGCATTCTTTGTGGCTGAAGCAGGTTACTTAGTCTTCTTTTGTCACGTCCTTCTTCAGAATCTAATTTAAGATACTGTCAAAAGGAAAATGTTTACTGTAAGTGAGTCACCCTTTGCTGAAATCATTTTGGCAAATACAACCCTAACAGAAATAAATTCACTGTAATTGTTTCATATCTCCTGAGGTCCCCTAAGTACCCATCTGGCTCTTGTGCTCTAGGTGAGGGCACAGAGCGGGTAAAGAAAGCTTGTTTGCACCATGCAGCATTCAAAGGTTCTATTTCTTCTGCCTGGAAATCCCTCCCACCCCTGTCCATCTCCAACTGAAATCTACTACCACTTAAAACGTTTGCTTAAATGACACTTCCTTGGGGCCTTCTGATCCATTTAAATTAGGCTGTCTTGTTATAATCCCTCATTGCACACTATATTTTCCCTTCATGTTGCAATTTGTTATAATTTTCCTATATATTGTAGCAATTTATACCATGCTTATTTGTATTATTATTTGTTTCATGTAATATACACAAGAACAGGGTTTGCATCTATCATATCCCCACCTGTATCTCAGAATGTTCTGTGGCTCATTAGATGAAGCTCAAGATATGTTTATTAAATAGACTTTTTTTACATAATTTTAATATCTTCTATTTTAAGGCATTAGAATTTAGGTAGATAAGAACACCCTTGGTAGCTTTTTCATAAAGTTGTCACTCACCGTTATTCTCAAAGAGAAACAAAACACTCTCAATTACTTCTAGGTACTGGGATTGTTGACATACCTCTTTCAAGAACAAAGTAATTTTGTAAATGATGGTTTGATTTGCTGAATAGGTACCAATTTATTTTCAGGGTTTGAGACTCATAAATCAAAATTTCCACTTAAAATGTTAATATACATGAAGAAAAATGGGGGTTCACATTCTCGGCTTGGGAAAGAAAACACTTTGGTATTGAATGCCTTAAGATTTGCAATTAAAAATGCAATGAAAAGCAAGGCTCAAGTGGTTGCAGTATACTAGTAGTCTTTTCCACAAGATTCTGTTAAGAAATAATGAGTCCAAAAGTTGTTTTCAATATTGTTTAAAAAGAAAGAAGCATCATACACTCCCCCTCAGTAAGATTTCACAGAATAACTGAAATGTCGTACTCCTTTGATTTTGATTGGAATTAGATTAATCAAACATGATTGTGCATGGTGATCAGTTAATTTTTAAGGCTAAGAGCAAATATTACATCAAATTAATAAAAAATAGAAGTCTATTTTTTTACTTTATAAATATGATTTGTTTGCTAGACAGCATCTTTCAAATACCTAAGGGCTAATGAAAAACATATTCTAAAAGGCATCCCTGGTGGTAAACAGTTTAGGAACTTCCATATCCAACAGTTTCAAGGAGAGGGATGAATGTCTTCTTTGCTAAATAACATGACAATTTTCTTGCTGGAAAGCAGCATAAATTAGGAAATAAATAATGAAAATCAGCACTTACAGTTGGCCTATTAAAAAGCCTTAATTAGTGATGGTTCCTGGGAGGTCCTAAGGGTATGACATATGTTCTATGGAAATATAAATTAAGAAATTCCAGGCAACCCAGGAAATTAATCATTTTCCTTAATTCCCAGCAAATGGTCTTGACTCCCACTTTACAGAAAAATGAGGTATCATCAAATGGGAATTTCATTAGCTTCCCTGACCGTATCTGGCTTGCATTTACCTGGAGGGGATATAGTGCCCCTCCTTTGTCTAAGACTGTTGCCTCCTCTGTTCTTTGAACTCTATTCCCTCCACCGTCTTAGGACTATACTATTGAAGGACTATTCTTTTCCTTGTTCTGATCTTCAATCTTCATTTTCTATCTCTCGCATGGTCTGAGCTCACTGGCTCTGTCCCACCAGCGCTTAAACAGTCAAATGTCCCAGATCTTAAAAATCATACAAATAAAAATGTCTCTCAACACACAATACCTTCCAGGCATTGCTATTTCCCTCCTTCTTTCTATGGAAATAATTGCCTATACTTTCCACCTTCACTTCAGCGCTATTCATCACCCCTCAACACACCTGCAGGCTGGACTCGGGGCTCACCATTCCACAGGAACAATTCTTGCCAAAGTCACCAGCAAAATTCTTGATAGTGAATTTAATGTACATCTCTCTGTCTTTATCTTACTTGGCCTCTAGGCAGCCTCTGAAAACTAGTCTTTTCTTCATTCATTTATTCAGAAAATATATCTTGATTACCTTCTAAGAGACAAACACTGATTTGTGTGCTGAGAATACAGTAGGGGAGAAAAATGAGTCTTGAAGCATTTCCTTCTGTTGGCTTTAGTTACATGAACTTTCTTGATTTGCTTCAATTCTTCTGACCTCCCGTTTTTAAATGGTTTATTGATAGCTCTTTCTCTTCTTGTCTTGCAAATGTACTATTTTTCATCTACATTAGGCCCAGTTTCTATCCACTGCACCATCTGTGTACAGTTATTCCCAATATGAGTTTGAAAATCTGCATCCCTCTCCTGAGCTACTGCTCCACATATCAAGCTTCTCTTTAAATTGTCCCCCAGCAGTCCTACAGGATGTTCCAATTCAACATGTGCCAAACTAGATGCTGATCCTTCTCTGGGAGTGACCCCACCATTCCTTCAATTGCCTACACCAGAATCTTGGTCATTACCTGTGATTCCTCCCTTACTTCATTCTCAATCAATTCTACCTCCTCTACAATTTTCCAGTAGTTGCCCTCCCATTTTTCCTCACTTCCACAGTCCACTTTAAGGCCATCAGCATTTCTTACCCGCCTTCTCATAACTCTCTAACTTCAATCTTGACTCCTCTAATCCTATATCTTTCAGCCTAATGTGTCTTTCTAAAACAATATATCTGATCATTTGCTTCTTCCTTAATACTTTTCATTGGATATCAGGTTGTTTTCTTTCTTTTTTTTGAGATGGGGTTTTGCTCTTTTTTCCCAGGCTGGAGTGCAGTGGTGCGATCTTGGCTCACTGCAACCTTGGCCACCCGGGTTCAAGCAATTCTCCTACCTCAGCCTCCTGAGTAGCTGGGATTACAGGCATGCACCACCATGCCTAGCTTATTTTTTGTATTTTTAATAGGGACAGGGTTTCACCATGTTGGCCAGGCTGATCTCAAGCTCCTGATCTCAGGTGATCCACCTGCCTCGCCTTCCAAAGTGCTGGGATTACAGGCGTGAGCCACCACACCCGGCCCCAGGTTGTTTTCAGTACTACATTCACACTCCTTGGTATGACTTAGCATGGCTCTCTGATAATGTGGCACTTACCTTTCCCTCCAGCCCAATCAACTATCATCCCCTCTGTCAAACCACTTCATGCACTCCAGCCATAATCATCTTCATTTTCTCTAGGTCTGGTTCTTCATAGGTACTGTTTTCTTTGACAAAAATATTGGTTGTAGCTGATGCATGTATATAAATATATATATATATGAATACTGCTAATTTTTATAAAGTAATCTCCTATTTGACAACCTTAATAAACATTCTTAAATAAATTCAAGGCAATTTGGGAAATTTGAATACAGACTATTATATATTGTTTAAAAATAATTGTTTTTTTTTCTTCAGATTTGATGATGGAGTCAAGGTTATGCTTGAGGGAAAAATCCTTATTAGTTAGCAGTAGAATTGGTTTTAAAAACTCACACAAAAGAAGGATGAGGACGAGAAAGTGAAGAAGGACAAGGACAAGAAAGAAAGTAGTATGTGGAATGGATAGATGAAACAATATGGAAAACCTATCAGTGTTGCGTCTGGGTGATGAGCTTGTGGAATTCATTATACCACTTTTATTTTTGTTTAAAATTAATAACAGCAAGTCTATAGGAAAGGGAAAATTCTATCAGATGATTTTTTTTAATCCAGCTCTACCATGCTTTTTATCAAACTTAAGGAAAAATAAAACAGAAAGGCAATAAAGATATGTAAAAAAAGACATATCTGGAACATAGACAAAGATATAACTATTATTATCAGGGAAAAGTAAAGGCAAAAGTATTACTAGAGTTAAAGAAAGACACTACTAATGATAAAAGAACAATCTGCCAAAATATAGAATTCTCATGAAATTGTATGCATAAAGCAAAATCACACAGAATAGAAATTGATATATCTATAGTCGTGTAGGAAGATTTAAACATATTTCTCTCAGAAATTAAGATCAAGTAGGATCATTTAGTAAGGACACAGGAGATTCAATCAATTCAAGTCCCAAACTTAATCTATTGTTGCCTATAAGTTATGGAACTACTAAATAGAGAATATATGTCCCTTTCAAACATCCATGAAAAGTTTTGAAAATGACTGTTTTAAGCTCTTAAGAATCCAGGTTATAACCTATAGCCCATGTCCTTTGGCTACAATGCAATTAGATTCATTATCAGTCAATAAAAGATGGGAAAGAGTAAATCACAGTGGAAACTATGAATTTCTTTCTCTTTTTCTCTTTCTCTTTCTTTTTTTTTTTTCCCTTTTCTTTGAGACAGGGTCTTGCTCTGTCACCCAGCCTGGAGAGCAGTGATTCAAACACAGCTCACTGTAGGCTTAACCTCTTAGGATCAAACGATCCACCTTCCTCAGCCTCTCAAGTAGGTGAGACTACAGGCACATGCCACCACGCCCAGCTGATTTTTTGTAGAGACAGGGTCTCCCTTTGTTGCCCAGGCTGGTCTTAAACTCCTGGCTCAACCTCCCAAAGTGCTGGGATTACAGGCATGAGCCACAGCCATGAATTTCTTAAAAATAATTTCCAAAGAAAGTTTTTTAAACTGGTAGGATATAGGTAAGCAGTACTTAAGAGAAAATTTATAGCTTTGAAGGTATATTTATAAACATTTTAAAAAGCAAGAAAAATTAAACATAAGCCAGTTAAATATTCAACTCTAGAAGCTACAGCAGGAACAGTGGAGTAAACACAAATCAGAACAAAGAAAATAATAAAGATAGAACTAAAAAGCAATGAGAAAAATAATATTTAGAGTTAACCTACAATACAGGCCAGGCACCATGGCTTATGCCTGTAATCCCAGCACTTTTGGAAGCAGAGGCCGAGGAGGGTGGATCAGGAGTTGAGGTCAGGAGTTCAAGACCAGCCTGGCCAACTTGGTGAAACCCTGTCTCTATTAAAAAAAAAAAAAAATAGCTAAGCGTGGTGGCACATGCCTGTAGTCCCAGCTACTTGAGAGGCTGAGGCAGGAGAATTGCCTGAACCCGGGAGGTGGAGGTTGCAGTGGGCCGAGATTGCACCACTGCTCTCCAGCCTGGGTGACAGAGTAAGACCCTGTCTCAAAAAATAAATAAATAAAGACTAAATTAAAAAAATAGAGTTAACCTGCCATAAAAACGCTCAAAGAGACTAATTAAAAAGTTAGTAAATCTCTAAAAACATGTATTAAGAAAAAGAGAGAGAAGGCCCTAGTATGAATGTAAAGAAATGAAATGCAAGAAAAGGAAAGACATTATTAGTCAAGCTAAGGTAGTTTGTGCTGCAGTAAAATCAATACCAAGACTTCAGTAGCTTAACAAAGCAAAAGCTGATTTACGTTCACAAAAATATATCCAGGTGACTTTTCAAGGTTCTTCCTGAGGTGGCTGAGCGTTCTACGTTGCTTTGCTCTTCTGACATTTGCTTCCATGATCACCCTGTAGGAGACAGTGATATACCCACTATGAACCACACACTGGCAAATGGAGACAATACACCACTCCTTCTCACACAGCACAGGAAAAACAAAGTCAGCCTGCCAGGCTTGATGTCAGGGGGGTGGGAGGAAATAGAATACCTCTGAAAGCACACTGAGATGAAGAGAATGGGAAATATGGACAAACATTAATAATGCCTACCCAAATTATGACTAATTTTATGACAATGAAGATAAACATTTACATGAAATGCAAACTCTTTGAAAAAAACAAATTATTAAAATTGACTTAAAAAGTAATAGAGGACCTAAATATAGCCAAAATTATTAGAGATACTGAATCAGTAGTCAAGAATTTTCTCCCACTGAAAAATACTATGCCCAATCTTCAAGAAACAGGTAATGCTTCTTTTATATAATTAAGAACATTTTTTAAAAGATTAAAAGCTACCTACCTTCTCTTATGAGGCTACTATAACTTTGATAAGATACCAGATAAAGACATTATCAGAAAGGAAAACTGAAGATTAATATTATCAATGAACATAAATGTAAAAATCCTAAATATAGTACTGGTATAGCCAGTACATGAAACAAGCAGGAATCACAGGATGTGATCACAAAATATCTTTACTTTTTTCCCCTCTGTTCCTTTAAAGTGTGTTTGGAGAGATGGATTGCTTAACATTCCCTGGATAAAAACTCAGGCAATCTCATGATTTTTTCTGATTATTCCTTGGTAATTAAAAACCCTAAATCAAACATAATTTCAACTCAGAAATTTGGATATTGTCTCAACTCAGAAATTTGGATATTAAGTCTCATATTAAAACTCAAACTTTCTTTAAGGATAAATCTGGCCCAGCGCCATGCCTCATGCCTGTAATCCCAGCCCTTTGGGAGGCCAAGGTCAGTGGATCACTTGAGGTGTTCGAGACCAGCCTGGGCAACATGGCAAACCTGTCTTGACTAAAAATATAAAAATTATCCAGGGTGAGGTGGTGGGTGCCTGTAGCCACAGCTACTCTGGAGGCTGAGGCAGGAGAATCGCTTGAACCCTGGAGGCGGAGGTTGCAGTGAACCGGGATCGTGCCACTGCACTCCAGCCTGGTGACAGAGAGAGACTCTGTCTCAAAAAAGAAAATAAAAAGAAAAGGAACCAAAGGTTGGGGAGGGGAGACAGAATTGGCTCATTCTTTTTCTTATTCATTGTCTTCCGTACTTTCATAATTTAATAGCCGATCTGAAGTTGAGAAAGTAGGGTGAGAAGAGGAGATAAAGAGAACCCTAGCATTCTTTTTTATGCCTGTCACTGTTGTAACCTGGCCATGTGCTCTCTGGACGTAAGGGATGTTTAAAGCTAATGCTTTGTCTTGTGAGGTTTTCGTGTGTGTGTGTGTGTGTGTGTGTGTGTGTGTGTGTGTGTGTTCAGTAGTGCCTTCCCTTTACCTATTGCTAGAGACCTCTTGTCTGCAGTTTTCTTGGTGCAGATAGACATGTCTCTATTTCAGCTTCTCACTTACTCCTTTTGTAGCCCTAGGAATCTTGTCATACCTTAAGCTTTTTTTCTGCTGACATTCATGTGCCCTTCAGGTGGTCCTGTTTTGCATCACCTAAGGTAATCCCACATCAACTCTGTCCTGCATACAACAGGGCTTGCCCTGACTGACTCTTGGAGGAAGGCTGACCCTGGAAGCCTCAGCTGTCAGCAGCAAGCCAGCCCATCTTAGTCCCTTAGATTTTTTTTAGGTGGGAATGAGACATTAGCCTCCTCTGTCCTGCTAACTTCGGGTGACACATAGCAAACTCTCAGAGTACTCCTGTTGATCGTCCTTCTACTAGGTTTAAGGAAAGAAGTAGACATCCTGTATCAAATAGTTCCTTGGTTTGAATTAGAAAAGTAATTCTTCCTCTAGCTGAAGATCTTCTAGCCTCAGCACATATAGCCAAAATTGAAAAATGAGACCTAATTGAAGAGCTTCTGCACAGCAAAAGAAATTATCATCAGTGAATAGGCAACCTACAGAACGGGAGAAAATTTTTGCAATCTATCCATCTGACAAAGGGCTAATACACAATATACAAAGAACTTAAACAAATTTACAAGAAAAAAAACAATCCCATCAAAAACTGGGTGAAGGATATGAACAGATACTTCTCAAAAGAAGACATTTATGTTGCCAACAAACATGAAAAAAAGCTCAACAACACTGGTCATTAGAGAAATGCAAACCAAAACCACAATGAGATACCATCTCACACCAGTTAGAATGGTGATCATTAAAAAGTCAGGAAACAACAGATGCTGGAGAGGATGTAGAGAAATAGGAACGCCTTTACACTGTTGGTGGGAGTGTAAATTAGTTCCACCATTATGAAAGACAGTGTGGCGATTCCTCAAGGATCTAGAACGAGAAATACCAGTTGACCCAGCGATCCCATTACTAGGTATATATCCAAAGGATTATAAATTATTCTACTATAAAGACACATGCATGCGTTTGTTTATTGCAGCATTATTTACAATAGCAAAGACTTGGAATCAACCCAAATGTCCACCAATGATAGACTGGATAAAGAAAATGTTGGCCAGGTGTGGTGGCTCACGCCTGTAATCCCAGCACTTTGGGAGGCCAAGGTGGGTGGATCACGAGGTCAGAAGATCGAGATCACCCTGGCTAACATGGTGAAACCCCATCTCTACTAAAAATACAAAGAATTAGGCAGGCATGGTGGCGGGCGCCTGTAGTCCCAGCTACTCGGGAGGCTGAGGCAGGAGAATGGCGTGAACCTGGGAGGCGGAGCTTGCAGTGAGCCAAGATCGTGCCACTGCACTCCAGCCTGGGCAACAGAGCGAGACTGTCTCAAAAAAAATAATAATAATAAAATAAAATAAAAAAGAAAATGTGGCACATATACACCATGGAATACCATGCGTCCATAAAAAGGGATGAATTCATGTCCTTTGCAGGGACATGGATGAAGCTGGAAACCATCCTTCTCAGCAAACTAACACAAGAACAGAAAAGCAAACACCACATGTTCTCACTCATAAGTGGGAGTTGAACAATGAGAACACATGGACACAGGGAGGGGAACACCACACACCGGGGCCTGTCGGGGGTAGGGAACAAGGGGAGGGAGAGCATTAGGAAAAATACCTAATGTAGATGATGGGTTGATGGGTGCAGCAAATCACCATGGCACGTGTATACCTATGTAACAAACCTGGATGTTCTGCATATGTATCCCAGAAATTAAAGTATAATAGAAGAAAAAAAAAAGAAAAACCTAAAAAAAGATTAAAAATTCCTAGAAACCTAGGATTGAAGGAAATTTCATAAATTTCACTTATTTGATAAAGTATATTTTCCCAAATGTACAGTAAACATAAATTTTAATGATGAAACAATAAAAAGATTCCCATTAAAGTAAGAAAAAAGACAAGTATGTCTACTGTCATTCCTGCCATTCGATATATAGGTTTTTCTAGTCAGTGCAATAATAACAGAAAACACAGAAGCTATAGAATGCTCTAAAGGGGAAGACAAAATTAACATTTTTTTTCCTGACAAGATGATTGTAAATTCTCTTGGATCATCTATGTGTACAAACTATCAAAACTAATGAGAGATTTAATGAAGGCCAGTTGATATTTAATCAACATAAAAATTAACAGCCTTATAAACAAGCAGTAAACAGTAAGAAAATGTAATAGGGAATAGTTACAAAAACAAATCTAAAAATGAATCTAATACTAAAACTACAAACCTTTTATGGGGAAAATTATAAGACATTATTGAAGGGCATAAAAGTAGATCTAAATAAGTAGAAAAATATACATGTTCACAAAGACTCAATATCATACAGATAAGTCTCCCTAGCTTAATTGACAAAATAAATGTCATTCCAATAGAAATTCCAAATGTGCTTTCCATGAAATAAAGCAGATATTCTAAGATATGTATGGATGAAAAAAGTCAAATAATAATCAAGATAAGTATTTAGAAGCAAAATAGGGAAGGGAGACATCCCTTACCAGATGTCAAAAATTTATTAATATAGAGATGTATATTATAATTAAGACAATGCACCATCATCTAACAATAGACAAACAGAAAATTAGGACAGAATAGTGAGTCCAGAAATAGACCCAAGCATATCTAGTTCCTTGATGTAGAATTGAGAAGACAATCCAAGCAAAATAAAATAATAAGCTGTTCAATAAATGCTGTTGGTATAATTCAAGTTCCATGTGGGAAAATAAGATAAAATTAGGACCTAACTAATATGATACAGAAAAATAAACTCTAAATGTATTGAAGACCAAAATATTTTTAAAAAGAAAATTACAAGTCATTGGAAGATAATAACTTTAAGATTCTAGAGTAGGAAAGATTCTTAAACACATCAGGTTGCAAAACAAAACAAAACAAAACAAAAAGGGAAAACATTAATAGGGGAATAAATAAGAATTAATAAACACTGGAGTAGAGATCCAAATATGGAAAAAGAGTGAACACAAAATTATCTCATTCACTTTAAATACTTAGGTTAAAAAAAATAAGTTTCCCTGTGAACATTTCTCCCTCGAGAAAAGTCTGGATATCAAAAAGGCATTTCTCTAAAGAAATATCTACTCGTCTAAGAAATATTAATATGTTAAAAGAATTCTAATAATTTAGGCCAACATCCACCAACGAATGCTGGTTTCTATCTGCTCACAAAATAGTTATAATTAATTAGCCCAACAATTTTTTATTTTTTTAAGATCTAAAAGGATGCCAAGTATGGGAAAGACTAAAGGCACTGATGAAAATGTGTTTTCTGTTAAATAGGTTATGGAAGAAAACCAAAAATACTGAAGTAACAAACATTTCCAACAGAAACAGTAGAGGGACTCCAATTTCCCAGTAATTCCACTGGAATAAGTCCAGTAAGATTTGTCAGAGGTTTAAACCCTTCTCATCCTAAAATAAATCACCAAGACACACCAAAAGGTTGTCATGTTCTAATTAATTTAGAAAAAATAACTCTTTAAAACTGGATTCAACTAGTGTTAAATTCTGAAGCCAAATCGCATGCAACTAAATCAGAGATTTGCACATGATGGCTAGGGGGCCAGTTCAGCCTGCACCTGTTCTTTTTTTTTTTCTTATGACCCATGATCTAAGAATGACTTTTAAATTTTTAAATGGTTTCATTTAAAATGGTTACATAAGTACCTTCGTAATGTCTTTGATTGTGATGCTTGGCCAGCAAAGCTTAAAATATTTATGACTTGGCCCTTTGCAGGAAAAGTTTGCCAACCCCTGAAGTCAATGATCATAAGACTGGGAAAATAAGAAAAACAAGCAAGCCTCAAGAGCAGAGGATATATTTCCAGATGTAATTGGAATATAATTATGATGTTGTTTAGCCACTATTATTAGGCCATTTGCACTCATTTTTCTGTAATAATGAGGAAGCATGTCCTGTATTTTATCACTTATCTCCATAGTGACTTAAAAAAAATCAATCCCATGCATTTGCAGATGGCAGGCATGGGCACACAGATTTACTTCGTGATGATGTCTTGCTTATACAGATCACTGGTATTGACTGTGGTTAAGATTATTGTAAGATAGATCAATCAAATGCATGGCCTCAAGGTGCATACATGTGAGTTACTGAAGATGGTGGGTTCTGGAGCTAAAAGGACCATTTGTTGAATGTGATAAAGCCGAGTATAATGATTAGCCCAGGTGGAAAGCAAAGATGATAGGTCTTGGAGATCACAATGCCTTTCTAAATGAGCTATCAAAAAAGGCAAAACTTCCACCACGCAAGATTCTTCAGCAAATAAAACTTGAAGTTTCCAGGGCCACAATTCCTTCCTGAATCCTCTGCATGGGATGTGGCTGCATGTGCATTTCTATATGCAATGGTTGCCTCTAAATGAGTGGGTTGGCATCTGAATGAATGTGGATGGTTAGTTCCACCGAGTGAGTTATGGTTACAATTGACTCTCTTTGGGGTGATTCACTCTTGTGTAACAACTGAGGTCTGAAAACAAAATCACAGTGCTAACTGTGATGATTTTTCTCTCGCTTTCTCTCACTTATGCTCTTAATAATCTCGTGAGTTAATATTATTTTTCCCATTGCAGATAGGCAAGTTGAAACTTAGAGCAGTTATGCAACTTGACCAAAGTCATGTCTCTAGTGTTCCTTCAATTACATATTCCATTCCCAAATAGTGTTTGGCACTGAATTTTGGATAGTGTGATTTTTTTTTCTATTGTTGGTTTGTTTGGTAGTTCTTTTTATTTACTTTTATTTTTAACATCTTTATTGTGGTATAAACTGCACATATTTAGAGTGTTAAGTTTGACGTATTTTTGATGTATTTTGACATAAGCATATACCTGTAAAGCCACCACCCCAGAGTAAAAATAACGAACATATCCATCACCCCCAAAAGCCTCATCATGCCCCTTTGTGATCTTTTAATCTCTTTCTTCTCCCTTCCCCACCCCTCACTTCTCCGCAGAGGGCAGACATTTTTATTCATCGCTAAATCCAGGCACCCAGCATGTAGCCATTCAAAACCCATTTATTAAATGAAAGAGTGTGGTCTCAGCCTGAGTGACTCCCGTAACACATAACAAGATGCTGAACAGAGAAACCTATGTCTGAGTTCTTGGCCCATCTCTGCCACCATCCATGGAACTTTGTTAAAGAATGGGTAGGCTTTGTGATATTTAAAGACATGTCTAGCTTCATCACTCCGTGACTCTAGGAAACTCATGCCATGAAGCAGCCCCTGCCATTGTGGAAATTCTAAAATCTTAGAATTGTTTTTTCTTTTAGGATACTAAGTTTAGCTTTTGTTAAAAAAAAAAAAGAAGGAGACATTTTCTATTTTATCTACTAGTGGCTTGAGGACTCTTTCCTTTGGGAAACTTCCTTTGCTGAATACCAGGCATGTTTAAGTACTTTAACACTTACTTTAACAACTCTAGCAGCTGGGTATTATTATCTTCATTTTACAGATAGGGAAACTGAAGCAAGACTTTAGAAATTTGCCTGAAGCAGTAAGTAATTGAACTGGATGAAGCGTAAGAAGTTTGAACTTCAGAGTCCATGTTCTTTCTTCTATAATTTATTGTATTTTACATTTAATTTTCTTTCCGAATAGGTATTACATTTACATACTTAAGCAAACAATGTAAAAAGTTATATACTGAGATATACTGAGAATCTTATCCTCACACTCTCCTCCCTATTAAAAAAAATTTTATTAGATTTTAAAATTTATATTTCCAAGATTTCTTTATGTAAATACGAATATTTTTGTTTCTTTTTATTTCTGCCACAAAGGCAGCATTTTAGATATACTGTTCAGTTTGTTTTGAAAAAGAGTCATAGTTTTAAATATTCACTATTCAGTGTTTATTTGAAAGAATATAAAATCAGTAGTAAAGAAAACAGAAAAGAATGTCAGCATAAACACATATCTACTTCACCTAGATTTTCCAGTTTTTAACATTTTGCCACCTTTACCTTTCTCTGTCTAGTCATCTTTTTTGTTGTTTTACTGAACCATTTGAAAGTAAGTTGCAAATATGACACATTATTCCTAAATACATCAATGTGTAACTTCTAAGTAAGCAAAATACCTTTTTATACCTTGCAAAGTTAATATTGATTCAATAACATCTAATATAAAATCCTTATTCAGGTTTCCCCAATCGTGCCACAAATGTCCTCTACGTTTTCTCTGATTCAGGAAATCACAAAGTGCATTTAGTTTTATGTCTCTTTAGTAGCCTTTTACCTGGAAAAATTTACCACAAATTTCTTGTCTTTCCTGATATTATACCAGATGTTTGGTGGAACATCTCATATGCTATTTATCTGATGGTTTTCTTATTTTACATTTAGGACAGTTATTTTGGTAAGACTACTACATAGGTGATGTTATGTCCTTCCCATGCAGCACATCAGGAGGTCCTGAACCAGTTTTTTCCTTTATTGATTTCCTTACATTTGATTACTTGGTTGAGGTTGTTCACCGAATTTCTCCATTGTAAAGGTCACCTTTCCCTTTTTAACTTTTCCCTTAAGACTCTATGATTATCCTGTTTCCCATGGCCCAGACTTTCATCTAATAATTCTTACTATTCTTTGATGATTCTTGTCTGAATTAATTATCGCATTGAGGCGGGAAAATGGTAGTTTTCAAATTCTGTCATTCCTTCTACAATTATTATAGCTAAAATTCTTACTAACAAGAGCTGCCTTCCATATACACATTATTAAATTTAGTAACATTTTGGTCCCATGGATGTTTTTAACTCATATATTATAGTACATTACTGTCATTATTCTTTCTGATTCTCAAACTTCGATGTTTTAAATTTGACCTGATCCTATATTCAGTTCACCTATTTCCATTAGTCTTTGAATACTGTCTTACTTTTTGGCACAAATAGATGTTCCATACTCATCTTGTATTTTACCTAAACATTATGCTTTTTCCTCCTAAAATATATTCTGGAGATTTCTCAAATCACTTTACTAAGCCCATACTCATTTTTTGACGGATGCATAGTATTTTATTCTATGGATTGTTTATTAAATCTGTTCCCTTGCTGAACTTGAAGTTATTTCCAAACAACCTTGCACACATGTCTTTTTATTCCTATGTATTGGTAGAATAGATTTCTGAAAGCAAAATTACTTAGTCGACAAAATACGTACTTAATTGTTGTTAGATGTTGCCAGATTCCCCCTGTATGTATTGTACCATCTAGTACTTCTACTAACAATGCAAGAGAGTCATCTTTTTCCCTCAGCTCCACAGCGTATAGATTCATACTTTTGGATTTTGCCAGTTTCACAGGTAATAAAAGATTTGTCAGTCTAGTTTTAATTGGAATTTTTCTTTTTATAAAAGAGGAGGAGCATGATTTCATATATTTAAGAATCATCTGCATTTTTGGGTAAACCATCTATTTATACATTATGCTTATTATTCTATTGAGTTATTGGGTTTTTTTTCATCTCAATTTCTGGGACTGGTTTATATAAGGAAGATTAGCCATTTGTCTGTAGTATAAATCGCAAAGAAATGGTCGCTATTTACCCTTTGTGTTTTTTCCTCAGATTACAGTTTTTTCTTTTGTCTTGCAAAAGTTTTTGATTTTTATTTAGTCAAATTTTCTATCTCCTTTTGTATGGTCTCTGCATTTTGCATCAAATTTATAGGTCCAAGGTTATAAAGAAATTAACTTAGATTTTCTTTTAGTTATCTTATGGTCTCATTTCCCTTCTTATATATTTGACGAATTTGGAGTTTTTCTTGGTTTGTAAGGCGAGGTATATATTCATTTTTGTCTTTTTCCAAATGGATAACTTCCTATCCCAAGATTATTTATTACAAATTCCATATTTATCCTACTTGAGATGTCATGTTCATCCATATACTGAATTTTGGCATATTTTGAGATTTAGCTAAGAACCTTCTATTCTGTTCCATTGGTCTATTTATTCATGTGCTAATGACATAATGCTTTACTTAATGAGGATTTATGATATATTTTAATATCTATGTAAGCCTGTGCTCTGTTACTACTTTCAGATTTTAAAGGAATTTTTTTCTGGTCTTCCTTGCTTATTTAATTTTCCAAGTAAACTTGGGATCAGTTTTCCTGACTTCAGAAAAAGTCTTAGTATTTTCATTAAGATAGTATGAATTAGTGATTATAAATTAATTTAGGGCAACTTAGAGTTGAATTCTGATATTGGATCTACTTATCCAAGAATATGGTATATCTTACTATTTAGATACATCTTTCCATTTAGACATCCGCCTGGAGGGTGTTAAGTTTTAATCACCAAATTTTGCACATTTTTATTAAGTTTATGTCAGGTATTTTGTCTCTTTTATTTGCTATTGAGAATGAGAAAGAAAGTGTATAAGATTAACCTGGAATATCTAATTACAGCAGAAAGAAAAAAATTAATAATCAAAGATTTCTGAGGACGTATAAAAAGGTATTGGATCCAAATGGAAAGGGCTCCTGCTGGCCAAAGCTGAAGCACTTTGAGTAGCCAAAAGAATAATAATCAAAGTGGATTGAAACACAGTCAAACATGTTAAAATCCATAAGTTAATAATAACACTTAAAAATAGTGACTCTTTGAAGTTGCCAGATCAAGTCATTATGCTGACAATTGATGAGAAAAGTAATAAAATACATTGCTTGCTTTCCTGTGTGAACTCCATTTCAGGGCAATTCATTGATAAGGGAAAGTCCTTTTTTAAAATAGGACAGTTACAAATGAAAAAGCAGGTGGGCATGGTGGCTCACACCTGTAATCCCAGCACTTTGGGAGGCCGAGGTGGGCGGATCGTGAGGTCAAGGGATCAAGACCATCCTGGCTAACACGGTGAAACCTCGTCTCTACTAAAAATACAAAAAATTAGCTGGGCGTGGTGGCACACACCTGTTGCCCCAGCTACTCGGGAGGCTGAGGCAGGAGAATTGCTTGAACCCAGGAGGCAGAGGTTGCAGTGCGCTGAGATTGTGCCACTGCACTCCAGCCTGGGTGACAGAGCGAGACTCCATCTCAAAAAATCAGACAAAGAAAGAAAGAAAAACCAATGCTAGAATTAGAATATCATCATTTTGCAATCCTTAAAGAAATAATGGACTTAGATAACAATCATGAAATGATGACTGAAACCATTAGATAAGAAGCTAATGAAGAACTTTATAATTGATGGATCAGTCTGACAATACATGAACTCTCTGTCACAAAGTGAGATAGACATTGTGTGACTCTCAATGTGTTGCAATAGGAAGTACACAGAACGAACTATTGGTAAAATATTTAGTTACTACTTCACAGGAAATTCAGGGATAGAGGAACATGCCAAAAACACTAAGGCAAAATCCAGAACAGGGGAATATGCTATCAGACAAATGACCCCATTTCTTCAACAAATAAATGACAAGAGAAAAAAGAAAGAAGGGCACTTTCACAGATTAAAAGAAACATAGGAGAAATATCAACCAAATGCAATGTGTGGACCTTGTTTAGATCCTGGTTCAAATAAACCAAATGAAGAAAAAAAACAATTTAAGCAATGGCGGTCATTAGGTGATGTTAAGGAATTTGTTATTTTCAAGTGTGATGGTGGCTGGGTTTGGCTATAAAATATTCCAGTGGTATGGGACAATGAGGGGAAAAATGAAGGAAGAATGACTCTGAACATTAAGTACATTCAGAGTGCATTATACTATTCTCTCTACTTTTGTGGATGTTGGAAATTTTCCATAATAACAAGTTTATAAAACAACAAATTAGAAAAAAAATATGAATGCAGTGCTCTAACAAATAATTGATTGAATCATGTAGATTTAGGGATACAAAGTTCTTGAGTTATAGAATGTTGGTTTTAACTGTGGTCACCAAAGAATTACATGTGAATTCAGGTTACAGGGAATCAAGCCCCATGGGCATGCTTAGGAAACCCATCTTTGATAATGTAGTGGGTTGACTGGAGGTCCTTCAAAAGAGGTGTCCTCCCAAACCTGTGAGTGTGACATTTGGCAAATGCGTCTTTGCAGATGTAATTAAGATCTGGAGATGAGATCATTGTGGATTAGATTGGGCCTAAATCCAAAAACAAATGCTATTACAAGAGGAGAGAAGGGGAGAAAACAAAGAGGAAAAAGTGACCTAAAGACAGAGGCAGAGATTAAAATTATACATCCATAAGCCAAGGAATGCCAAGGATTGCCAGCAACTCCCACAAACCAGGAAGGGGCATGGAACAGATTTTCCCTCAGCATCTCCAGAAGGAACAAACCTTGCCAACACCTTCACTTTAGACTTCTGGCCTTTAGAACTGTGAGAAAATAAATTGTTTCAAGCAGCCTAGTTTATAGCAAATTGTTATGGCAGCCTTAAGAAATAAATACAGGTGAAAAGAATGAAAAGGATGTACCGAAAGAGGCAGAGATGAGAGACAAGACAGATTCAAAGACAGAGATGAAAGAAGAACTTACTTAGGGCCTAACAGCATCCCTCTTCTCATGGAACCAAGCTGTACTTAAATTCCATTATTTCTTGCAAGGATAGAAATCAAACTTTCTAGTGGCAAATTTCTGGAATCCAGCCTTCTCACATTTTTGAAAACAGGTATAATATTGATCCATCTCTCTAGTCTTCTGGGAAGATAGTCATTTTCCTGATTCCTCAAATATATCCTAGATAATATTGTTAAGTGAATTGATCTTCATTCAATTCTGCAAGCCTAAATCTATGGATTTAAAAACTAGGTTGTTAATATTAAAGTATGCAAATATGTTTAGTGTCATTAATGATTCCAAAGTTAAAATTTTGATCAATTTGTGGGCCAATTAACTTTACATTGCCCTAAGACTTTATGCAGGCTGCATCTTAAGTCTAAGCTATACCTTTGATCATCGGTGGATCAAGAGAGTGTGGTTGAATGAGTACAGATGCATTTACTTTGAAGAAAAAATATCTGTGGAGGACACTGTGGATTTGCTTCCTCTGCATCATTCCAGGGCCCTTCTAGTGCAATTTCCTCTACTTCAGAATAATAAACCTAAAAGCTACATCTCCAGGCTTCCTTGCAGCTAGGCTTTAGTTTCTGCCAATTAGATGCATTTATGGGAGATTTGGAAAGCAGAAATAATGTAAAAGACTAGGTTTTGGAATACTTCTACCATTTTAGTTGGCAGCACAACCCTGGCAATAGGCTGTATTCTGAAGTAGATTTTAGTTATCAGCTTTATAGGGATAGAGACTGGGTGGCAACCTCCTTTTTCTTTTTTTAAAAGAAATATATCTGACAGATATGGTGTGACTTCACTGTAGTGATATCAGCTTCCTGGTCCCTAGATTGCTGCTAGTGAGGTGCATTCCTGAAGTTCCAGTGTTTTCTAAATTTCCCACCTTCCTGATTGAGGTAGAGGTAGCAACTCCACTGGTGAGCCAGTTCAGTGGTGATTTTCTGAAAGTTATTCCGGGAGGCCCATTCTAGCACTCACTTTTGCACTCACCCAATACTTTTATAAATGCCTATTTTCCAGTTTTAAATCTCTTTCATTTTAAATACCACAGAAGCCGAAGCTTTATCAACTTGAACACTAACTGGTATAAGTCAAGGTTCAGGTCCTGACTCAGTTGTACAATATTATTCTACTGAGAATAACACATGCTTATTACTGTCAGGTCCTACTATCGGGGAAAGGGCAAGTTTAAAAAGATTGCATTTGCCACCTCATTTTATGTTTTAAAATGCTCCTGGAAGGGCATATAAGAAATGTGAATAGGCCAGGTGTGGTGGCTCACGCCTGTAATCCCAACACTTTGGGAGGCGAGGCAGGAGGATCAACTGAAGTCAGGAGTACGAGGCCAGGCTGGCCAACATGGCGAAACCCCATCTCTACTGAAAATCAAAAATTAGCCGGGCGTGATGGCAGGCGCCTGTAATCCCAACTACTCAGGAGGCTGAGGCAGGAGAATCTCTTGAACCAGGAGGTGGAGGTTGCAGTGAGCCGAGATCGCACCATTGTGCTCCAGCCTGGGCGACAAAAGTGAAACTCAGTCCCCAAAAACAAACAAACAAACAAACAAACAAACCCAAAAGAAACGTGAATAGTAGTGATCTTTGTGCAATGAAATGACGGTGCTTTGTGTGCTTGTTTTAACAAATGTAGCAGATGCTGTAGGTTCACTGTTTATACCTGATTGGCCCACCTGGGATCACCTGTGGTTTCAATAAACGGTTTCATAACACACCTACAGCTTCCTACCTCAAGCCTCTAACGTGGGAATATGCTTGGCTTGAATGTGGTGGGTCAGAACTGCTGGAGAGATGATGTTCTATGAGTGACGATAAGTGGGTAAAGACCCCACATTTCTTGTCCCTCTGGATTGATTCTGGGGCTTGATACCATCTCCGAGAGAGTCCTCAGTGAGATTAAGTCCAGTTGCCCACGTGAGAAACTGACTCATGAACGCACTCCTTATTGGCTTCCCTCCCTCCCCTAGCTTTCTTGCCCCAATCCCTCAGGATCACCCCACTTCCTAAGATCACATCCCAAATAAATAACTTGGGATCCCTCACCGGCCTTCTTCCCCTACTCCCTCAGGATCACTCCCACTTCCTAAAATCACATCCCAAATAAACAACTTGCATCTCAATTCTTGCATCGGGGTCAGCTTTGGGGGATTCAAATTAAGAAACAATGAACATGTATTACTCTTAAGATTAGGGGGGAAAGTTATTTTAAAATCCTGTTACAAGGGGTTGTCCATATGTCAAAATACCAAATATATGTTAAAGAGGATATTTATATTTGGTTTTTGATCTGGATTGAAGGTAGAAATCTTTATTTCTTATTATCATGGGATCATATTTAAAGTATTAACATGGAGAATTTTTTGCATGTCTCTGAGTTCACTGAAAATTATTTTATTCCTCCACAATCAGTTTCAGTCATTCACAGCAGAGTCAGAAAAGAGGCCCCAAAGCAAGGCAAAAACAGTAAAACAAAATGGACAAGCAAACAGCTATCTGACCTAAAAGAAATAAATATTTGGTTGTATACTTGTATAGTGATGTTTTTCCACACCAAGAAGCTAAATGACTTTCAGTGTCTAGGAGAAGGAAGTGTGGAAGATAGGGAGCCCGTGTGCATGAGCAGCATGTGAGAGGCCAAGAGGGCACAGAGGGCTGGAAGTCTCCCTCACTAGCAGGACCACGGGGCAGGTGCAATCTAGCACAGTACCCTGGTCTTAGTGGCCACTTATGACCACTGAACTTCAAGAGTTAGCACTTTGTCCATCAATTGCCTCCTTGGGAGTTAGCCTCAACTGAGCTCTGGAAGCTTGCCCAGCTCACCATCTGACCCATTCATGTGGGCAATCTCTGTCAGATATGCCCACATGCTTACATACTCCACCTTCCCAAACAAGGTGGGGAGGTCGGGACACCTTGATGTAAAGGGTGAATTTTGCCTTTGAGCAAAGTGCAACCCTATAAAATTGCCTTGAAATTGCCTACTGAGCTGGGAAAATGATGAAAGCATTCCCCCTATTACATGATGACTGCTATTACTAATAGTAATTGTTGCTTATTTCAGTTCTTATGAGCTATGCTTTATATTTAATTTCACAGCAACCCTTTGAAGTGGATATATTCTTTATCTCATTTTACAGATGAGGAAATGGAGATGTGGAAAGAGCAAGTAATACAGGGATTGTACCACTAGTGAATGCAGAACTAGACTTCTGACACCAATGTCTGACTGAATGTTTAACAAATATAGTATACATAGCACAAATTCTTACTACTGTTGTATTACAAACAAAAGAAATGGAAGAGACACATTTAAAACTGGGCAAAAAATGTTAAAAATAGTTATCATGTTGTTGGATTAAGAACAATTACTTGCCTCCCATTGTCCACTAACATATGACATTATTTATCATTCTGATGTTATTTTTACTGTCTCTGGTATATAGGTAGAGTCTTGGGCTTTAGATCGGGAGCATTAGTTTTTCACTTTAGTGTTATAGAAAGAATGGTCTTGGTTTGGACCATTTCTTGCTTATGATATCACCAGTACCATTAGGACATACTCATTTGGTATCATTCCTTTTTCCCATTACAAATTTTATCACGATAATATGGCACAATGCTAGAATTTTAATGGTTCATACATTCCGTGAAACATGATGGTAATAAACTAATGCTTTGACCTCAGCTTTTTAAGTGTTGATGCATTGTCTATTTCCAGCTCACCTAGCTCTTGCCTTTCCTCATGCTACATGAATGGGGATGAGCTGGAATGGACAGTCACTCAAAGCAGGAAATATTTACCAAGTGGAATACAACTGTTTATCAGCCTATTAAAAGTGCATAGGTGCTCATATTCCATTTTGAAAAACACAAATGACCATTTCTCCTGACAGAGAATACAAGGAGAATGCAAAACAGAAAAACACGAATCAGCTCTTATTACAGAGATTACAACAAGAACAGAAAGTGACACATTTATCATCCATTCTTGAGGCAATGGCCAATGTGAGAGCTGGAAGCACTGCAAATGCAACTTTCTTTTTCCTGCAGTTGGCTGCATATATCTGTTAACAAAGTGAAAATTATTAGAAGATGAATCAAAGGCAAATTCTGCATCAAAGAACAGCCTCATTATTTATTTAAGACTCATACCATAACTCAGGTACAACCCAGAAATAGGATCATATCCTTTATGGAGCTAGCCAAGAAATATCCTGACTAAAAGGAACAGTTGGATCATATGTTTCGTGGTTTCATAGCCTATCACTGGGCTGTTTATCACAGACAAGACTCTTAAAAACAAAGACCACAATTATTCTTGCTACAATTTTCCATGACAAATAAAGTGCTATGTTCTTCTGGTAGCAATTATGTGTCTATCATTTTTCTACAAAGTGGTGATATCAAGATGAAAAAGCTCCACCCCAAGATGTTGTTGAAGTTCAGAAGAAAGCCTGTGGGAAAGTAGAGGGTGCTGGCAGAGGAAAGTGAGTTGAATTATCTTGGAGGATTTAAAGTGTTTTATTGGTGGAACATGGTGGCTCACACCTGTAATCCCAACACTTTGGGAGGCCGAGGTGAAAGGATTGCTTAAGGCCAGAAGTTCAAGCCTAGGCAACATAGTGACCCTATCTCTACCAAAAATTAAAACATAAATTAGCTGGGCGTGGTGGCACACACCTGTGGTCTCAGCTACTTGGGAGGCTGAGATGGGGGGATTGCTTGAGCCCAGGAGTTTGATGCTGCAGGGAAGCATGATCATCCACTGCACTCTAGCCTGGGTGGCAGAGAGAGAGACTCTGTCTCTAAAATAAATAAATAAATAAATAAATAAGTGCTTTATTGTTTGACCCTTATTTTGTAAATCCAGAAACTCAGTTTTCAAACCCCAGAATTAAGCAAGCTCAATTGATTTAATCATACATGCATACTTCATGGAGGTGTATAAGTATATTATATACAAGGAGAACGCTAATTCATTAATATATTACTTTATAAAGAGAGATACTGCTACACACTGAATCCAGGTTTAATTAATGGGATAGCCTCATAATGCATCCACCCTTAAAGCAGGGAAATTCTTTCTAGAGACTATATTGGGCAAGTCCATAGAGAAGGCCACCCCATTCTTTTCCCTTATGAATTCTTAACTATTCCTCTTTTGTCTGTATTTCTATGCTTTATTGGTAACCATCTCACTTCTCGTGACATAAGCCTTCTTTAGATTTGTTACTATTGTATGTAGTATAATAGATGTTCCCTGCTTCTTCTTACTTTATTATTTTTACTTCTAGTTCCAGTGAAAATTTTGTATTTAGAATACATTTGCAAATGTGTAATCCATGGTTTCTGGTTGCTATTATAAAACATTTTTCCCAGAGATAGTCTGAAAAAAGTGGCCTACTGTAAAACAGTTTTGGGAAATGCTGCATACTATATGCCACTATTAATGATTCATAGTGCACTTCAGCATATTAAAGAATCTGAGAAACTCTATGCCTTAAATACATATATAAAGTTTGTTAACCTGATGTTCCCCCAATTTTCTGTCCAGGGAAGTCCTTCATCTTGTAACATCTGTTAACATCTCATAGAAAACACTGATGTAATCACATGTGCTGTGTGCTTCTTTGATCACTTAATTTCAAACCAGATTTCTGAAAATGATCTGGATTATTGATGTGCCTCCTATACAAATAGATCCTTCTACAATAATTTAGGAAACAACAGTGCTGATAAATCCATAAGCATTTTCCCAAACTCCAAATCCATATATACAACATCGAATATTATTAATCACCATATCTTATTTCCTCTCTAAACATTTCTTTAGTTTGGTTCCCCTTCTTCACCCTGCAGCCACACCTCTTTTGAGATGCTCATTGCTTTGCAAAATGATTCACTCCTTCATCTGACTCTCCTCAAATTTGTTTACATTACCAGAGCGATCCTTTAAATTATTCTTTTTCCATTAAGAAAGAACTTTAAAAGTAATATATGATCATTATGGATAATTTGGAAAGTACAGAAATAGATACAGAAGACACTAAAAATAAGGCATTAATTCCAGCATGTAAAGAAAAACCATGTTAACGTTTTATGAACTGTCAGTATGTTTCCTTTTATTGGGCTGGGCAAAGATTTTATAGAGAAGATCTCAAAAGCACAGGCAACCAAAGAGAAAATAAACAACTAGAATTTTATCAAACAAAAGTGTCTGCACAGCAAAGGAAACAATTGACATATTGCAGAGACAACCTGCAGACTGGAAGAAAATATTTGCAAACTATTCACATGACAAGGGATTGATATCCATACTATACAAGGAACTCAAACAACTCAACAGTTAAAAAAAAAAAAAATTAAAATAGGCAAATTAGTTGAATGGACATCTCTCCAAAGAAGACATACAAATGGCCAACAGGAATAGGAAAAAATGCTCAACATCACTAATCATCAGGGAAATGTAAATCAAAACCACAATGAGATACCATGTCACCCCAGTCAGAATGGCTGTAGACAAAAGGACAAAAAATTAAAAATGCTGGTGAAGATGTGCAGAAAGGGGAACTCTCACACACTCTTGATATGAATGAAAAATAGTCCAGCCATTATTGAAAATAGTATGGAGGTTCCTCAGAAAACTAAAAATAGAATTACCATATGATCCAGCTAGCCTACTACTGGGTATATATCCAAAGGAAAGGAAATCAGAATATTGAAGATATATCTGCACTCCCGTGTTTATTGCAGCACTAGTCACAATAGCCAAGATATGGAACCAACCTAAGTGTCTATCAACAGACGAATGGATAAAGAAAATATACTCTCTCTATATGCCATGGAATACTATTGATATTCAGCCATAAAAAAGAAGATAATCCTGTTATTTATGGCAATGTGGATGAATTCGGAGGACGTAATGTTAAATGAAATAAGCCAGGCACAAAAAAAAAAAAAAAAACAACTGTGTGGTCTGACTCATATGTAGCTAAAAACATTGATCTCAGAGAGTAAAATAAGAGTCACTAGAGGGTGGGAATGGTAGAAGAAAGGGAGGGCAGCCAGAAATTGGTTAAGGAATACAAAATTATAGCTAGAGAGGAAGAATAAGTTCTAGTGTTCTATACCACTGTAGGGTGACAATTATTAACAATAAATTATTGTATATTTTTAAATAGCTAGAAGAGTGGATTTTGAATGTTCCTCACACAAAACATCATAAATTTTACAGGTGGTGGATATCATTACACATCGTATGCACATATCAAAATATCACTTTGTACCCCATAAATATGCACAATTAATATGTGTCAATTAAAAAGAATAATATAAGCAAAAAATGTGTCCTTTGCCTACTACTGGAATGTTAGTACTTTTCCTAACTGATTTTAAGGCATTTATTAAGAATATTAATCCACGTATTTTATTTGTTACAGATATTACTCTTAGCTTTTACTTCCTTATATTGTCTTTTTTCTTCCCCTTTGGTTAACTCTTTTATAGAAAGATAATATGAAAAGGTATATCATGTCACTTTCTTAGGAATAAACCTTCAGTGGCTTCCCAAGTGACTCAGCATGGCTTTGCCTTCCTTTCCAAGTGCCTAGTTAGACCTGCACATGTATCGTGCTCTAGCCTTTTGCAGCTACATATAATTCTCCTAAAGAGGCCTGCCCGGCTCAGACTGCTTCCTCTCACCAAAATGTCCATCTTGCCCCCTACAACTGGAAAACCGTCATTCATCCTTTGAGACTCAGTCCAAATTGAGTTCCCCCATTCTCTTTCCACAGCATCTTCTGCTTCCTCTATCATCGAAGTTATGACACTGTAATAACTATTTATTTACTCTTCTTTTTCACTGATCTAAAAAAGCAGGGAGTTTTCTTATATCTGTACTCAGAATCAGTACAATATGTGACGTATAGTAGACTTCAATAAGCAACTGCAGAATGAATGAATGAATGAACTAGTAGAGGTATCCAGAAGAAAATGTGATTAATTCTGCCCAGGAGAAATAAAGAAAGGTTTTACAAGAGAGAGTGGTATTTGTAGAAGCTATGGAAAGATGAGTAGAAATGTGTTAAAAAAAATAAAAGAGCAAAGAAAAATTATTTCAAACACAGTCATTAGTCAGAATTTACTATGTAATTTTACACTAAATTGGGAGCATGTGGTAGAAGATTACCTTTGGGTAAATATTTCTAATGCAGATATTTGGGGCCATGGTGCCATTCAGTGATGAGAATAATTTTTTAAAGGGCAGACAACAACAAAAACTACCACCCTCCACAAAAAAATGGAAAACATATTCATACGGGTTAGAGGGTCTCAAGGAATTCACAGGAGGTAGGTTGAAAAGATGAAAGCCTTGACAGCTTGACAGAGTGATCTGACCAAGTTTCTTTCTAATCCTCTTAAACAACCACATGTAGCCTTTCAAGGAAGTAGTTTACTATGGACATCAAAGGAAATTTCTCCTTGAAGCAAGATGAGATGAAGAATCAAGCAAGATTGGAAACTGGCCCAAGATAAATATTTTAAGGCAATATGAAAATATTTGGGACATTTGGGGCAGGATAAAAAGGAATTAATCGGTTGTTGCTGAACTCTTGAAAAGTCAGTAAAGATATTAAAGGAAATCTTCTGGAGGAGCTGATTCTAAAGTGATGTGATAAATGACTCTTGAGCATGCTCAGAGAGCAGCGGTGCATTACCAGGGCAGGAGACTGAATAATTTACAACAATGATTACATATATATGTGTGTGAGCATTCATTAGCTGGCAGAAAATAAAACACATTTGTTTGATCTCTGTTTGATTTAGCGTCAGGGGGTTCCATGATCTGGGATGAATTGATCATGTAAATAATGTATAACCACTGACTACCTCCTTTCACCCAGTCGTAAACATTTCTAAGCTTCCAGTTTTCACGATTTCATCCCCATCCTCTCTAACCCAGAGATATCGTCCCTGTCGCAGGCATTGTGGTGCATCACCCAGGTCCTCTCTACAGGACCCATTCTGGAGTTTGTTCACCCAGCTGCTAGGAGTGTTGGCTCCTGATGGCTAGTCCTGCGCCCTTCTCCGGGGGCTGCCCTCTGGGAGACGCCTCACTCAAGATCATGCCCCTTGCCATGTTGATATAAGGGTCAAAGGCCAAGCTTCCTCTTCTGAATTTAGAACAATTCTCATTAGCCATCTCAGCTGCAGAGAACTTCATGTTATTAACTAAGATTTAATTTGAGTATGTATCGCAGGTCAGCTTCTATCTCTACGCAATTTTTATTCCATCATTTTCTTAAGTGTCTTGTTTCTGAGTGTGATTGCCAATAAACTTTCTGTACACAAATTTTCTTCTCAGACAAAGCTCATCTCCAGGGACTCTGTGTCAAAAGGTGGTCAAGTGGTCCTTGGAAACAGAATTTAAAGTGGGATTTTGGAGCTGTGTCATTCTCTGCCCAGATGACAATGAGGATCCTTTTTCTGGCAGTAGGTGGAGTCCTTATGTCCCTTGGCATGCAACATGCTATAGCTGTGCACTGTCCCGCCTGTACATGGGCACAGCCACCCTGGTCTGGAACGGCAATGCTGTTTCAGGACAAGAATCTTTGAGTGAGTTTTTTGAAATGTTGCCTTCCAGCGAGTTCCAAATCAGCGTGGTAGACTGTCAGCCTGTTCATGATGAAGCCACAATGAGCCAGACCACGGTCCTTGTTGTGATCTGTGGATCAGTGAAGTTTGAAGGGGAACAAACAATGGGACTTCAACCAGAACTTCATCCTGACCGCCCAGGCCTCACCCAGGAATACAGTGTGGAAGATCGCAAGTGACTGCTTCCGTTTCCAGGACTGGGCCAGCTAGTGGGGGTGGCAGAGGTCTCTTTGCTTCATTCAGCCCGAGCTCTGTAGAGAAATGCAAATCTCGACTCTCAAGGATGTGAGGAACACAAGTTCATTTCTGTAGTTGCAAAGACACTGCAGACTCCACTGTGCTGAGGTTGAACTCTTTTTTTTGTTGCTCAAGTTCTAGGAGTCCCTTTCCTGAATATATACTTGTTTGTCATAGTTTCCTTTTCAAAGTAGTCAACTTTTCTATTTTTCTAAAAAAAAAAAAAAAAGATTTTCACTAATGAAGAACTGGGAAGGGATACAAGTGGAAGAGAAGGTGCTAGCTGGTATAATATCTCAAGCATTCGAAAGATACTAGGAAAATAGTAATGATAAAGCCTGCAGAACTGGGTGGCAGTTACTAAGGGCTACTGAGGTGCTGGAGAAAAATGATGGGAAAAATGTTACAGAGCTATCTATTGCTCTGTAACAAACCAACTCAATACTTAGTAGCAACCAAAACATTAATTTTGTTCATAAATCAGCCTCAGGCGGGGTGGCCTAAATGCTAGAATCTGGAATCATGCAAAGTCTTGCTCCCTCACATGTCAGGCAGTTGATGCTAGCTCTCAGCTAGAACACCTACCCATGGCCCTCTCACATGACTGCTTCAATTTATCACACCTCGGTAGCTGAATTTTTAGGGGGAAAAGTCCCAAGAGGGGAAAGAGAGTGACGTGGAAGCTGCATTGCCTTTTATGAATTTGCCTCTGAGATCATGCAGCATTTACTACCAGCGTTATATTTGTTAGGAGTAAGCCACAACAGCTGGCCGAGATGTCAAAATCTGCTGATATGTTTAAACCCATCGGAATGATGAATCACTAATTTAAGGTAAGTTGTAAAAGTCAGAGGGTCCCCTTTATCACATTTTAAAAGACTCTCATCTTCTCTATAGCTAGAGGACAGAACAAAGCTGATGATCAGCCTCAGGAGTCCAGAGAATATTAAATGATCAACCTCAGCAAGTCTGCTATGCCAAGGTCAGAGCCTTAATTAGGAAGGAAGAGGAGGGTGGAATTTGGGTTGAACATCTGGGTCAACGCACTCAGCAACTTTGAAACCCCAGGTCATTCTCTGCACTTTGGGCCTGCAGAAGTGGCCCACTCCTTCCTTTAAATGCTAGCACCAACCTTTTTGATGACAGTGCAAGTGCTGAACCTCCTAAGGGAGGGAAAGGACTATACCCTGAAGAAGCACAGACCACAGGAGCTGGGAGAGTAAGATGGGACTGGGTCCAGGGAGTGCTGATCAAGTCATGTACTGGAGTACTCTTCTGGGGCACAGAATGTAACACCATGGCAGAGATCTCACGAGACAATGCCCATATGTCAGTAGGCTGGCTCTGGAAAGCCTAGGGAAAATGATGGTCCACACTGTATAAAGTAGAAACACTAGCCTGTGTTGTGACTCACGCCTGTAATCCCAGCACTTTGGGAGGCAGAGGTGGATGGATCACCTGAGGTCAGGAGTTAAAGACCAGCCTGGCCAACATGGTGAAACCCCGTCTCTACTAAAAGCACAAAAATTAGCCAGGCATAGTGGTGCATGCCTGTAATCCCAGCAACTTAGGAGGCTGAGGCGGGAGAATTGCTTGAACCTGGGACGCGGAGGTTGCAGTGAGCCGAGATCACGCCACTGCACTCCAGCCATGGCAACAAGAACGAAACTGTCTCAAAAAAAAAAAAAAAAAAAAAAAAAAAAAAAAAAACAAGTAAAAACACCAGATGGTTGTGGCAAACAGTGGTGTAAGGAATCAAAATACTCAAGGAAGTAGGCATATTAGAAAAAAAATGCTTACATGCTATATAGAAGTTAAAAGCCCACAAGTTGACTTTATATTCAATGGCAGGACCCAGAAGAAACCAGTCTTGCCGAGAAGCTCAGTGGTGTCTGTGTTCTCTAGGCCAGGGTGATGATAGGTGATGCTGTCACAGAACTCTGTCCCTGATAGCGGCAAGGACAATAGAATATTGAAATAATTGAGGCAAGTTGGAGGTGCTGAATAGCCAAAAGCAAGTGAATAAAATGATCATTAGAAGTGCCAAGGTCAAGTGGCAACTAGGGGAGCCTTCCCTACAGAGCGCTGGTTGATAATACATGTAATCCCTCGGGACAAGGTAGACAGACAACCAGCAAGTGTACTGTTCATTCTGTATAACCAACAGAAATCAATGAGAAAGATTAGGAAGCTGAGGCAGATATCTCAATAAAATGCTATGATCCTTGTTCAGTTTCTGGACCTGAGCCAGAGCCAGAGAGTATAAGTATAGCAACCCTGACCCCTAGATTATTTACTACAATAACTGCCTCTCTTTCAACTTGTATCTATGGCTACATATGTAGGTCCCCTAAGGACAGCTGACAGAAAAGGAAAGAGGCTTAAGAAGGGGTTGGCTTGGTATCTGGGTGCAAGGCCAAAATAAACCGCTGCTCTCATATAGCCCCGTTCCCAGATGGCATCGAAAGACACAGGTGAAGGGAAATCATTCCAGTTATCAGAGATATGGGCAGTGTTCCTGGTCACCTACTTTGTCAGGAAAGAGAAGTGCTCTGCTATAAAAATATCTGGACTATGACTGTGTATGAATGGCTGCGGTGAATGGCTTGGTGAATAGCAAAGGCTTGTTGGTCGGGAGTCTAGAAGGAGAAGCACAGGTAGAATGAGGGCTTGGAAGAGGCATGTAGGCGTACCTGTGGGAGTGGTTGCAAGGTGTAAAGACCTTGTCTTGCATTCTAACACCCATCTGGGATCATTCCCCATGGAAAAGACACCAAACAACCAAGTAAACCGAATAACTCAGTTGGTGTCCGCTGGTTTCTGTCATCAGCCGTCCTGTTCTGGCACAATGAGTGCATGTGTTGAGTACCCATGATGTCAGAGAAGAAGGCTGCCAAAAGCATAGACTCCTACACATAAGGTTGATCTAAATTTCTGTCACTCTGAACACCCAAACTGCCAGCAACATAGATCAACCCTGACCCCGATACAGAAATATCCCTAGAAGGAATAAATCAGTCATTTGGCAAATTGACTACTTTTGACCTCTTCCACCCTGGAAGGGGCATGGATTTATTTTGGTTGGAATAGTAACAGGTATGAGTTTACCTTTCCTTCACTCTGGGTCCCAATCAGCACCAAACCTGAAGACTTACAGAATGTTTGATCTGCTGACATGGGATAATGCAAGGCATCACTTCGGTCCAAGAGACCCACTTTTCACCAAAAGGGATGCAGCTGTGAACACATGGAACCCGCTGATCCTGTCATAGACTGCACCACTCAGGAACTGCAAAGTGGATAAAATGATGGAATGACTTTGTAAAGGTGAAGCTAAAGCACCAATCTGAAGATGACACCTTGCAAGGACAGAGTGCCAGCTTTGATGAAGCTGAGTATACACTAAATTAAAGGAACATTATATGGTGCCGTGTCTTCAATAGGTAGAGTGTATGGACCAGGATCCAAGGAGACTGAAGTAGCAGTGGCCTTGTTTACCAATATGACCACTTTGGAACTTTATGCTTCCATTTTCCAGTAGGGCAAGGAAAAATAGATTTGCTCCCAGGGATATGTCTTGGTACATTCCCATCTAATTTTAATAGTAAATGGGCACATTAAGTAGTCAGTCTGAGATGGGCATGGTGGCTGGGGGTTCAAATCCCTCAAGGATGTGGGTCCCAGTCGCCCCATAAGGAAAGCCACCCAGACCAGTATAGCTGCTAGCCAACAGTGAGATAATCTAGAATGGCTAGCAATAAAGAGATGATGAGAATCAGTCATAACCTTGAAGCCAAGTAGAATGTTAGTGTCTGTAGCTCATCCCACTAACCTTCTTATTGTGGGCTTACCCAGGAAATGAGACCAATCAGAATCTAGGATTCTGAGCTCTAGAGCAGCTGGTCCCAGATGGGGTGAACTTACTATAAGGAACAAATGGTGCCGGGGGTAGACACTCTGGTGCATTGGTCAGATTGTCCCTTTCAGACTAATGCAATAGTTTTCCCAGCTGCCAGGAGGGCTGACTCTTGATACTTCATAGCTGGCTGCCTCTCTGGGTACTCTCTTGACCAAAGAGAGTACCTTACCCAAGTTTACACCCCTTCCCAGGGAAGTCCGCATCGCATAAATGGTAGCTGCAGAGTGGAAAGGCTTTGCCCGTTTGTCTCAATTCAGAACACTGAAGGACCACCCAAGCTCCAGAGGTCCCCAGTGAATTAGCTGAGACCTCTATTAAAGATGCATCACGTCACCATTCTATTTCTTCCTCTGGCCAGTCCTGCTTCCTTCACTTCCTTACCAGTGTTATTACTAAGCACACTCCCTAATGAAACTCCTACACATAAATCTCCATCTCAGAGCCTATTCCCAGAGAACCTGCCTTACACAACTCTAAACTTCTTCATCCTTTAGTCAGAGTGAAACACTAGAGAGAAATATACTAACTCATTATGTTATTTGCATGTTCTAGGTTGGTTCTGGTTTAGTTATGTTTGACATTTCCAGCTCCCTCTTTGCCTGTTTTGGACCCAAGGCACATAGGAGTCTCCCTATCTTCATCTCCGTATCTAACCTGGTCCTCCCTCCTTCATATTTCATATCGTTTTTGTTTTATTTACATTTATTTTTATTTAAGTATAAACATTAGTGCAGAAGGTGCACTAATAATAAATATACACTTAGAGATTTGTACACATGCATCTCTTTCTATAATCACTATGCAGATCAAGATACAGAATGCTTCCAGCATCCCATACGTTTCTGTCATACACTTTCCAATTCTATAGGCATCTTCCACCCTCACGGAGATAACCACTGTTCTGAATTGTATCATCATTGATGAGTTTTAATGCTTCTTGAGCTTCAAATGAATGTAATCATAGAGTATGAGGTCTTTTGTGATGGTTTTTTTCATTGAACATAGTTTCAGTGAGATTAATTTATGTTGTGTCTTTCAGTAGTTTTTTTTTTTTTTAACCACAGTGTAGTTTTCCACTGTATGAATGAGCTAGTATTTACTAATTCTCATGTTGATGGATATTTGGGTTATTTCCAGTCTGGGGCTATTGTGTATAAAACTGCTATGAACATTTTCATGCACATACTTTTGTGGGCATAGATATTTATCTATCTTGGGTGTACATATACTTAAGTGTGAACTGCTAGATCATAAGACAAGCATATGTTAGCTTTAGCAGAAATTGTCAAACAACTTTCCACAGTGCTTGTGCTATTTGGCATTGCAACTAGCAATGTATGTGAGTTCCTGTTGCATATATTCCCACTCACACTTGGTATTGTTAGATTTTTAGGTTTTTGCCATTCTGATGTTTGTGCAGAGATAATTTATTCCAGTTTTATTTTGCATTCTCCTAATGACTAAGAGGGTATGCATGTTTTCATTTGCTTTGCTATTTGGATTTTCTCTTTTGAAGCTATCTTTTATCCATTTTTGTCACCCACTATTGTTCCCTACAATTCCATATTCTGTTTTGGAAAGAATGGATTTAAATAATAATGAGAAGAATTGAGAATAGGCAGACTTTATCTCGATTTAAGAATGAATTTTACAATGATTAGAGCTACCAACAATGAATACGCTGACTTGGGAAGCTATAGAGGGGAATGAAATATCCGATGGATAGAAGAGAAATATGGCTATTTAAGCATTATAATTCCATGACATGCAAGATTCTATCAGGGAAGCGACATTAGCAAGATGGCCAAATAAAAGCACCTAACGCTTGTCCCCCTAAGAAAGACAAACAGAACAAATAAACAACTACATTTTTAAGTACACAAAAATCAATTTATTTCTTGTATGTAAGCAATAAGCAGAAAATATAATGGAAAACAATCCAATTCCCCCATAGCAGCAAAATAATTTTTAAACCCTTAAGGAACAACTGCATGAAAAAAATTACAAATTCATACTGAGTAACGTTAAAAATACCTTGGTTTAATGTAGAAACATACCATGTTCTTTTTAAAAATTTTGTGGGTACACAGTGGTATATATATTTATGGGGAACATGAGATGTTTTGATACAGGCATACAGTGTGAACTAATAATATCATGAAGAATGGGGTATCCATCCTCTCAAGCATTTATCCTTTGAGTTACAAACAATCCAATTATACTCCTTAGTTATTTTAAAATGTACAATTAAGTTATTGTTAACTATAGTCAATGCAGAAAGGGAGAAAATATGTTCAGACTATTCAACTAACAAGAGATTAATACTCAGAATATACAAGGAACTCAATAGCAAAAAATAAAAATAATCTGATTTTTTAAATGGGCAAGTGAGCTGAATAGACATCTTTCAAAAGAAGACATACAAATGGCTAACAGGTATATAAGAAATATGCAACATCATTAATTATCAAGTTTTCAGGGTTTTCTAAGATTATATTGTTTGCAAATTGGGACAATGTTTGCGTGTAATATAAATCAAAACCACAATAAGATATTATCTCTCCCTAGTTAGAATGACCATTATCAAAAAGACAAAAAATAACAAATGCTGGCAAGGATGCAGAGAAAGGGGAAGTCTTATACCCTGTCCATTGGAATGTGGATTAGTATAGCAATTATGGGAAACAGCATGAAGTTTCCTCAAAAATCTGAAAATAGAGCTACCATATGATCCAGCAATCCTACTATTGGGTATATATCCAAAGGAAAGGCAGTCAGTACATCAAAGAGATATCTGCACTCCCATGTTTACTGCAATACTATTTCACAATATCCAAGATATGGAATCAACCTCAGTGTCCACCAACAGATGAATGGATAAAGAAAAGCAGTATATATACTCGATGGAATACTATTCAGCCATAAAAAATTATACAATCCTGTCATTTGTGGCAATGTGAATGAGCTTGGAAGACATAATGTTAAGTGAAACAAGCCAGGCACAGAAAGATAAATACTGCATATTCTCACTCATATGTGAAAACCAAAATTATTGATCTCGTATAAATAGAGAACAGAAGAAATTATAAGTGTTTTATGTGATAGATAACACTAATTACCATGTTCTGATCATTATATATTGTATACATGCATTGAAATATCACACTATACCCCATAAATATGTAAAATTATTATGTGTCAATTAAAAATTATAAAATGAAGAGTTTTAAGGAAAGAGTCTATCAATAGTAGGGCCCCAAAATTTTATAATTTGACTTATAGTTACTGCATGGGTTTGAATGTGTAAGTTTCCTATGAGGTGACTATATTTCTATTTTCTCTGTTGCTTAGAACATCTTAAATGCCTATCCATCTCCCACTCTACCCCCTTTTATCTACATTCTCTTGGGGAAAAAAAAGCTTGTATTTGGGTACTCCAAACCCACTCATTCCACTATGAAAAAACAATCACAAACATGTTAAGTCATCCAATTTATTAGTGAGAGAGCCAGGTCTAGAGTCCATATTTCCTGCCTCCCAGCCCATGTACCAAATTACTGGGATGGGAATGAATATGTGTCCATGTGTGCATAGAAGTTTACATGTGTAAATGTGTATGTGAGTTTGGTTTAGGCTGTGGAAATGGACTTGTCCCACTTTATTCACTAATATGGATGTCCAGGAAAAGGAGAGGCAATGGACCTGGCTAAATTAGCAAACTGTAAAGAATGCCCACAATAAGAGTTGGGGAAATAAATGAATAATACGTTTGCATAGTAACCACTTACATATCGTCAAATCTATAGAAGAGCCAAAGAGAATCTGTGGAATCAGTTATTTAATTCTTAGTATACCCAGCATAAATCTCAACCATCTTACCTCAGGTATATTAAGAAAATAAATATTCATTTTACACTTTTTCTTTCTTTTTTTTTTTTCTTTGAGAGGGAGTTTCACTCTTGTTGCCCACACTGGAATGCAATGGTGCGATCTAGGCTCACCACAACCTCTGCCTCCCGAGTTCAAATGATTCTCCTGCCTCAGCTTCCTGAGTAGCTGGGATTACAGGCATGTGCCATCACACCAGCTAATTTTGCATTTTTAGTAGAAACGGAGTTTCTCCACGTTGGTCAGGCTGATCTCGAACTCCTGACCTCAGGTGATCCACCTGCCTTGGCCTCTCAAAGTGCTGAGATTACAGGCATGAGCCACCGCACCCGGCCCCATTTTATACTTTTTCAAATCCAAGATATGTCTGGCTTAAAATATTCCCAGAGTTGACTCTGAGACCATACATTATGCTGATCAATATATTCCTATATATTTCTGTGTCTTTGAGACCACATTGGTTATAGAAGTGAAGGATCTCAGGGTCATAATCAGAAAAGTGTTTAGCTGGAGCTCCTAAGCTGTTTCTTTGGTGGTCTCACAGCACAAGTTCACCAATGGCTGCTTGTGCTTACATGCCTCTACCTCACCTCCATGCTAAGAAATGTGCCACAGTCTCTTTATTTTCTCTGAGAATCTGAGGCCCAAATATTGTGCAAGAAAGCCATTTGATCTCTTGGCTTTCCTGAAAGGTATTTTTTTCTCTTCAAGTTTGGAAATCTGGATCCAGCTCCATTCAGTAAGCTCTTCAGGATAACAGTGCTTTATGCTATATTAAAAGGTCTGTTTTCCCAGTGCTGAACTTGTGTTCCCAAGTTAGGAGCATCCTGTGACTACCTCTGAGCTCCTTGCCAGCGCACCTTCGGCAAGTGGGCAGAGGACAGCCCCTTCCTTCCTTCCTTCCTTCCTTCCTTCCTTCCTTCCTTCCTTCCTTCCTTCCTTCCCTCACTTTCTTTACTCCTTCCTTCCTACCTCTCTTTCTCCCTTTTCTTTCTTTCTTTCTTCTTTCTTTCTTCCTTTCCTTCTTTTCTTTTCTTTCCTTCCTTCCTCCCTCCCTTCCTCCCTTCCTTCCTTCCTCTCCCTCTCTCCTCTTTCTCTTTCTTTCTTTCTTTTTCTTTCTTCTGCCTCTTTTGTCTGGATTCCTTTCACAGTTTATGCCAGAGCCTTTCATGTACATTCAATTCTCAATGTCCATAGAGTGAGATGGAGAAATACATTTCCAGAAAAAATTTATTATCACCCTAGACTGCCAAAGTACTACCTCAGGGAAGTTAGAAAGTTAAAGAAAGCAGCTTAAGATCATCACCTCATAATTCTCAAGCTACTGTCTATGGGTAAAATCACTAAAGAGGTATCAAATACAAGCACTGGCTAGAGAAGAGTTTTCCAAACAATGCATTAAAATATCTTCTTTAACATGTACAGTTCTACAAGAACCTTAGAGGTACTTCCTGGAACTTCTAGAATGGAGCATCATATTCTACCGCACCTTCATTATACACACTTTTGCCTTCCTGTCAGATGCTATTGTCTATTTCTGCTTAGAGCAGCAGTGAGCTTCTTCTCTCCAATGTTGGCAAAGCAGGGCAAAATCAAGTCTGCTGCTGTGGGCAGGTCTGGCAGCACTGGTGTGCCCTCCTAACCTAATTCATGTTTACCTCCCAGTAGTCTCTTGAAATTTTGAGAGCTGACAGAACCCAAGGTACAGTTCCAAAATCTGTGTTCCAAATCCAATTTGAAATTTAACAAGTGTTGGCCTTGTCTTCTTGACAGGAAAAAAAAAAACACACAAGGAATAAGAAACCCTTAACTATTTACATTTTCCTTGTTGCTCTTCAGGGGAAAATTTAGAATGAAGACAGATTTGTAAGCCTGTTTCTAAAAGCAGGCAGATTTAAATGGCTTCTGGCATAAATTTTTAAAAAGCAAGTAAAAGATTTGATTGTTTCTTTTTAAGTGGTCCAATTTATATCCAAGAAACACTTCTACTTTAAAACTACTCATCTTCCTGTGCTTTTTATACATCTAACACCCTGTCCCTCCAGAGAAATGAGCGCTGTATTTCTAAAGTACGTATCAATTGAGATAAAAACACCCCATGCTAAAAGGAGTGCTTAACTTTTCTCTGCCTTGCCTGGCTCTGCCCTCCCACCACCCACACACTTCATTGTTCACAAGGAAAAATCCTGTAATTAGATAGACGTGGCTTGCACATGACATAGTAATAACCAACATTGAACCTTGGCCATATGCCAGGTACTTTACATGGACTATTCATTTAATTGGTGGGGGTAAGTATTGTTATTTCCAGGTGATGGAGAAAGTTGATGCAGGGCGGTCAGATCACTTGGCTGGGATAGCCAGCTGGGAAAGAGGGAAGCTGGCATTCACACCCAGACAACCTGATTCTAAAAGCTGTACATCTACCCCTTAGCTGTCCTTCCTCTTAACATCCAGTGTCAGTTCACGGATAGTGCTTCATGATGCAGCTCAGAGCAAAGATGGGGCAAACCTCTCTTAGTGTAATTAGTCCCTAGTATCCCATATTGGTAGGCAGAAAAAAAGGTTGAAGTTACACTATGGGCTGAATGTGAATTTTTCATGCACACTAGATGAAGTTTTTGGAAGGAAATCCACCTGCACTGTAGTGAGATATGTTTGACTTTGGATACTGTAGGAAAGGAACAGCTGCAGCCCAGAGGGAAAGCCTTTCCCTTGCAGCCCCATAGGCTTGTTACCCTCCACAGGACTAAAACATATTCTGCCATTTTTTTTCCCAAAAGCAGAAAGGTACATCCAGCCAGAAACCAGTCATACCTCTGTATGGAGTTGCAGTAATTGGATGGAAGAGAAACATAAATGAAATCTAACACACTAGGTGGCAAATTTGTTAAATGCAGAAGAGATTGCTGGAATCAGACTCTGGTTAAGGTTAGGGGGCAGTGCAGAGATGGAAATACTAGAGACACAGGAGGGAGAAAATGTTAAAGGAAGAGTGCTTTGGCAAGATAAGGAAAGTAGAGAGTAAGGAATGAAGGCCCAGGGGAGAGGACAGGAAGAAGAGCTGGAGATCATCCACACCACACTCTTCGCAAAAAGCCTAGAGAGTAACACTGTAATGGTACTGCAAGGAAACTAGTAACTAGATTAGGAATGCAAAACCCATATCCTCTCTATTAGTACTTACCACTCACTTACCCCCACTCCCAACTCCTTCAATAAAGAGCTGTTAAACCTTCCCAAACGTTGGGAAAGTCATGTGAGAAGCTGTCCTCAACATTTCAACCCTAAGAAGGCATCTATAAATACACAACAAGGGATGCAAAAATGTAGGGGCTCCACATGGCTGATAGCCATTATTTCCAATGCCAGACCACCACATCTACTGCCTAGTTAACCTTTAATTTTTGTAATTATAAAATTTAAGACACATTCCAAAGAGTGAATAAATTCATATGTATATATTAAAAATAGCAGTAAAATGAATATTTGTGTAATCTGTGGCCAACTCAAAAAAGAGAAAATAAGTAGCACTTTGGATGCTATTTTTGTGGCCTTCCTGAATTCCTTCCCTCTCCCTCCCCATTCAACTACTATTTTAAATTTTAGTTAAACATTGTGTTGTTCTCCTTGGTAGTTAAATTAATTATCCTTCAATAATATACTGCTGAGTTTTATATAAATAGAACATACAGTAGTTTTCTTCTGAAATTACTTATTTTGTTTAATATTATGTTTTTGAAGGTCGTGCATGATAATATGTAGCTGTAGTTTGTTATTTTCCATTACATAAGTATAAAAATGTGTTTCTTCTACTATTGATGAATATTTGGATATTTCTAGTTTGCTGTCACAAACAATGTCACTATCTACTTACTAGATCTTGTCCTTATAGGCAAAAGTTTCTTTATTTTATAGCCCTAGGAATGAAATGTCTAACCCAGAGCACACATATTTGTTGAACATACGAGCCAACACTAAACTGTTTCCCAATATTTACTTCAATTGATATTAGTACCACCAGCATATAAGAAACCTTTGTCTTTAAATACTTATAAAAACTTAGGTTTGTCAGACTTTAGTTTTTGCCAATCTGTTGGATACAAATTTGTATCTAACTGCTTTTTAAAATTTCTACTCTCCTGATTATACAAAACATTGAGGATATTTTCATATGTAAAAGCTTTTGGTGTTTCTGTGAAATTCCTGCTAATATGTTTACTCATTTCACTATTCATAAGAATTTGCTATGTATTTTAAACAATAATCCTTTGTTGATTATACATGAGGCAAATATCTTCTTTTAGTTTGTGGCTCGTTTTAAAATGTTTGATAATGTCATTTGATAAACAGCAATCCTTAATTTTAATGTAGTTCAATTTATCCTTCTTTTTATTTGTATTTTTTGAGACAGAGTTTTGCTCTTGTCACCCAGACTGGAGTGCCTGGCATGATCTCAGCTCATGGCAACCTCTGCCTCCTGGGTTCAAGCAATTCTCCTGCCTCAGCCTCAGGAGTAGCTGGGATTACAAGTGCCCGCCACCACGCCCAGCAAATTTTTTGGTATGTTTAGTAGAGATGGGGTTTCACCATGTTGGCCAGGCTGGTCTTGAACACCAGACCTCAGGTGATCCACCCCCCTTGGCTTCCCAAAGTGCTGGGATTACAAGCGTGAGCCACCTCACCCAGCCTATCCTTCTTATTTTGAACCTTTTAAAATAATTCCTTTCTTCTCCAAAGTTAGAAAAATATATTTATGTATTGTCTTCTAATAATTTTATAGTTTTACTTTTCATATTTAAGTATTTAATATACCTGGGATTGATTTATTTTTGTGTTTGGTAATAATGCAATTGTATTTTTTCCATATGGAAAACCAATTGTTCAGCACAAATTATTTGCTAGCCTGTTGTAGCAATAAATACTACATATTCACAAAATTCTGTTCTTCTCTTCAACCTGTGCACATGAATGCTCAAATCAGCTACCTTCCACAGCCTTTCTTGAAGCTTCAATTGACCATATAACTACATTGTAGAAGGGATAAGTACCACCTCCACATTTAAGCTGTAAGACAGTGGCGTCTTCTCGATATTTTCTTTCCCTTGCCTGCCCATCGAAATTTGAATGCAGGCAATGACCCAGACTTGGCCATGCAGATGGCAATAAATTTCAGAAGGACTTGCATTTCATAAATGAAAAAGCAAAAGTCAGCATAACCATTTATACTGGGACTGCTAATTAAGAGAAAAATAAACTTCTTTTCTATTTAAATTACTGTATTGTGGAAGCTCTTTGCGACTGCTGCCTAGCCTGGCCGTAACATAAGAACTGCTACCAGAAGCGGGGTGTTACCCTGACAAAAGCCTACAATATGTCATTGTCTTGGTGGACAGTCAACAAATGCTGAGAAAACAGATGGAAAAGGTAGTAATCCTGTGATGTAATATCGACATATTTGACAAAATCATGCTGTATGGTGAGATGAAGAGCAGACCATGTGCCAAAAAAGCATAGAGGTTTATAAAAAGCAGTTAGAAAAAGTAAGAATGTTAATGTGTATTTTGTAGTTGTGTATTGCCTTTAGCAGGTATAGATGAGATAATAGATAAGAAATCTATAAGCTTTGGAAGAATCAGCAGTTTATAAGCAAAGAGGGAATGAAATAAGGACTGTCCAGAAACATGGAGACTCAGCAGTCACTGCAAACATCTATTATAGACATAAATTGTTGTCTGGAGCCTTTTCCAAAGTCTTCCTTTTAAATCAAACAAAGGGATACAGGTCTGTTTGGAAAATATTAAGCTAAGACGCTTGCATTGTTGTAGATGGCCTCAAGATAGCTGCCATTAAAAAAGGAGCAAGGTACAAGATCAATCAAGGAATCAAAAAAATAAGGTATAAGAATTATGTCCAGAAAAGAGCCAGCACATGAAACTGACTGGGAGCAAACATCCCAGAAGCCTAAGTTTCTAAGAGAATGATATTATCAAAGAAACTATAGACCTATCCTATAAGAGTCCTTGACTATTCATCCCCCAAGAAGGGCCTCTAAATACCCATTTCAGATATGGACTAGAGAATAGTAGGCCAGGATGAACCTGTCAGACAGAAAAGTCACAGACCATGTAGAACAAAAAAATGAGGGAATAACTCTCTAAGCAGGGACAACTCTATGGCAGAGAAGAGTGTACTTGTGATTCTTGCTTTCCAGGATGTGTCATTGCTATGGACTAATGAATGCTGTGTGTTTCTCATTCTTCCATTTTCTAAATGAGAGTCTCCACATGGTTATCATTTTCTGCTCCAACATGGCATACTGTTTGCATATTTGTGCTGGATGGGGAGCAAACAGCTATGAGTATATACAGCATTGAACCCAGGAGAAGTCACATCTGGACCTTACGAAGAGGACAACAGATGAGCAAGTGATCTGGATTGCCATTGAAATGGATGGCATAATTGAATGAGACTTTCAGTTGCCTCTCTTGTAGAGAATGACCGTGTTCAGTGAAAGACAGAATACCCAAGGGAGGAGGAAAGGGCTGATTCTGGCTTTATATTTCACAAATAAGTTAATTTTTAACAATATATGTTGCTGAGATAAATTTCCAATATATCCTGTTAATTCATGTGTTTAGCTGTGGTAGTCATTTGTCATTATTTGTTGCTGAAGAACATCTAACATACCTGCCCTTTACTTTAATTTGGGCACTGAGGATGCAGAGAGGCAAAGGTCATGGAGAATTCTCTCTTTGATGGAGGTGACAGCTGATGTAAATAAAGTTTTCAGAGGAGAAGTGGCAGAAGTACTCATAATGGTGTTCACTGGCTGATGGCTAATTTTCAGGGCCAAGAACATTGGTAATACAAGCTGCATGAGCTAGTGACAAGCTCAGATGTGTGATCTGGGGACATTTCTTGTGTGGCTGAGTAGGCTGCAAGCATCATTCTTCAGCTTTGTTGTTACTCTGTGAACTATCCAGTGTGTCTTTTTAATAAATTTCATTTGTGCTTGAATAAACCAGAGTAGATCTCTTTTGCTTCTGACAAAAAAAAAAATCTAACTAACATGGCTAATAAAAAACTACTTTATACCATAAGCCATTTTTTCTGTTTGGTATTTCCTTGTTCAATTCTTTGCAAAAGCTCAAGTACAACGAATTCAGTGAGGGAAATAAAATAGTTAGAAAAGTGACTAGTAAAAATTGCCATTTCCATTCTTGCTATCTACCCCATTTTGGACAGAAGCCTGGCTTCTTTCTTTATTTCTGAACCACTCAATGTTTTATCTATCCCATTTTCCTGCAAGCTCCTTAATTCTGTCATATCTCTGTTTATATTGTGGTCTCAATAGGACCCAATTTGGAGGGCTTCATGAGGCTTGCTCATCCTCACACTGATACTTTCAGCTTTCCTCTCTTCCCAGTGCATCTTCAGGCTTCTGATAAGCATCATCATCATGTGCTTAACATTCATTCATTCAACAAAATCACTTTGTGAGTTCTATGGCAATAACATTGGTAAATGTGGGAACAGCTAGGGAAAATATTTTGAGGTGACAGATTGATGGCAGCTTTGCAAATAGATTCAGAAATTCTGTCTCAGACATATTACTCATGAAATTATATTTTTAAAGCACTTCAATACAGCTTTACTTCAATGTAAGCCTTAAAGGAAACAGGCAAACAGAATATAGCATGGAATGAAGATTTTCACTGAAAGCCTTTCATGATTAATTTAACAGATGCAACAAATACACCCCAAACTGAGGTGGTTTTGAGGTAAATCGAATCACTTTAGTTCATGATATGATTTAAAGCAGCTGTCAGCAAGGCTTGAGTTAATCAATTTTACTATTCAGAATATTGCTTAATATAATCAACCATCTATTGAACAGATACTGTGTGATAAGTACTGCAATATGCTACCAGTAGGATGCGAAGGCAGCATGAAGTGCATGAAGGCTTCCCAGAAAAAGTAAAAATAAAAACAGAGAGGAAGGCAAAGATGGGTGTGAAGGGGGATGCAGGGAGACTTGAATGCATTTACTCACAAAAACATATTTGGTATGCCTTTCAGATCTCCTTTTCAAAGGAGGGAGAATCAAATTTGTATGTGTGTGTATACCTATATCTATGCCTATATATTTACATCTATGCCTACATCTATATTTCGAGAAAGTGAGAGGTAGGGGAAACAGGCAAAGTTTTCGGAAATTAACCACAGTAATGGCGAGGCCATTAATGTATTAGTTGGGTTTTAGTTAAATAATAGAAACTAAGTTAATTCAGTATAAACAGAGAAGTGACATATCGAAAGGACATTAGTAGCCTACAGAATTACTGGGTGGTCATGTGAACCAGGCTTAGATGAAGGCTGTGCAGCCAGAAGTTCTCCTGCAGCACTGATCTGGCACTGCTGTTCCAGAAGATCTACCTTATTGTAATCAACATTGCTGCTATAGAGAGGATTTTCTACAGCCCCAGAGTTTTGTATGAGAAATACCTGACTCAAATTCCAGGGTGCATCTGACCAGCACGTGCTTATGCCCTCACTGCAAGGGAGACTGGGAAAGTGAGCTACTGGTATCTGATATTTCAATGACCACTACAGTAAAATCTCCATTTGTTTCCTGTGGTTGCTGTAAAAAATTACCACAAACTTGGTGGCTTAAAGCAACAGAAATTTATTCTCGCATAGTTCTGGAGCCCAAAAGACCAAGTCACGGTGTCGGCAGGGCCACACTCCCCACTTTCTAGTTTCTTGCCTCTTCTAGCCCGGGTGGCTGCAGGCATTCCTTAGCTTGTAGCCACATCACTCCAGTCTCCACCTCCATCTTTATATTGCACTTTCCATGTGTATTTGTCAAATCTCCCTCTGCCTTTCTGTAATAGCATGTGATGGCAGATAGAACTCACCTTAATAATTCAGGCTAACCACCTCATCTTAAGATCCTTAATTTAGTTATGTTTGCAAAAATATGCCCCAAAAGGTAGCATTCACAGGGCCTGATATCTTTGAGATTCAGATGCAACAAATTATCCTTTACATTAGAAGGAGTATTTAGATGTACACCTTTCACTAAGATGGCAAGCCCCTGAATGTTTTTTTCAGGTTTGTTTCCTACAGGTTTGATATGCAAACGTCTTACAAATATGTCTTTAAAGCTTGCTACCTCTGGCTCACTATCTCTAATCAGAAAACAGGTAAAGAATTCCTAAACTATAATCAGGCTCAGATGTTGTCCACCAAAAAGAATGGTTAGTGTCTAGTACAACTAGTATACAAGATTTATAATGTAAGATCTTGTAGACTTTTGTTAGAAGTACACCATAGATTTTGTGCAACTAAATCATTCTTGGAAAATAACAAGGTCACCAACTAAGTAGCCAAGCTCTTCAGTTTCTCTTGCTCTTCTCATCTCCCTAATATGTCCAGTCTAAGCTTAAATGCAGGTGAACTGTAGTATAGGTATGTAAGACTTTAAAGAGAAATTGATAATTTCTAGTATATCCTTCTCAAAGATGAAAGAAAGCATAGAAGACCTAACTATGATATAATATTTAATGATGGTTTCATGAATGGGGAACTCAGTAAATTTTCCCAAAATGTATCCTATAAACCACATTTGGCACACAAGTGCCTGTGTGTGTTGGCTAAATAAGGTTCCATTTGGATTCATCTTCTGCTTCCTCATTGGCTACAGGCAGAGCCTGTAGAAATCATCACAATTTCTACCATGCCAGTCCTATAAAGAGTATACCTTTCTCCAAGTAGAGTAAATCCAAGTATAGATCAAAGCATGATCATAAGCCAAGCAGATAGCAGGTGGTGCAATATAATATTAAGACACATCACATGCAGCTTTCAGGGAACCAGATCAGAATAGGAGTGTCCTATTACACGAACTAGAGAGTCTGACTAAGCTGGAGAGATAAAAGATCCCAAACTCTCAAAAGCCAGGATGGAGATTCTAAAACCCAAGTTGCTTATAGACATATTTTTTCCTTTAAAAATTTTACTTTTTAATAGGCAACACAATATAACAAAGAGCTCTTGGGTATGTGGCTGCCCAGCCAAAGCCTATGACTCACAGGCTCCCTTGCAGTGGAGATGTGACTAAGTTCTGGTCAGTGCAATGTGCTTAGAAGTGATATGTGTGACTTCCAGTTTGTGCACTTAAAAAGGATATCCCATCGGGCGCGGTGGCTCACGACTGTAATCCCAGCACTTTGGGAGGCCGAGGCAGGCGGATCACCTGAGGTCAGGAGTTCGAGATCAGCCTGACCAACATGGTAAAACCCCATCTCTACTAAAAATACAAAAAGTTAGCCAGGCATGGTGGCAGGCGCCTGTGATCCCAGCTACACAGGAGGCTGAGGCAGGAGAATTGCTTCAACCTGGGAGGCAGAGGTTGCAGTGAGCTAAGATCCCACCATTGCACTCCAGCCTGGGCAACAAGAGTGAAACTCCGTCTCAAAAAAAAAAAAAAAAAAAAAGGAGATTCCCCCCCACCTTTCCCTTTTACATCCTAGTCATTAGATGTATTTTACTGATTGTGACAGTTGTGCTAGAATACATACCTGCAACAACATGTGCTTAGTCTTCTGTATTATTGTCAATACCTCCCTTTCCTGGTCAGCTGATACTGATGTTGGATACACACACTCTCAACCCAGCATAGCCCCTAGCTGGTTCTGACCAAAGTGGTCTGTGTTTCAGAAGGCACCATACCACTGAGGTTCAGACTAAGTTCCAAATATGATATCCTCCTTTTTTTTCCTGTGGTACAGGTATGATGTCTTCTTGATCTTTTAAATCTCCAGTGCCTAGCAGAGAGCCTGGAGCCCTGGTTGGTCTTTGATTGACAGGGTCTAGATTATGACCTGCAAACCTTTGCTAGGGAAGCTACAAAAAATAGAATATCTGCCTGTAATCCCAGCACTTTGGGAGGCCGAGACAGGAGGATCACAAGGTCAAGAGATCAAGACCATCCTGGCCAACATGGTGAAACCCTGTCTCTACTAAAAATACAAAAATTAGCCGGGTGTGGTGGGGCATGCCTGTAGTCCCAGCTACTCAGGAGGCTGAGGCAGGACAATCACTTAAACCCAGGAGGCAGAGGTTGCAGGGAGCTGAGATCACACCACTACACTCCAGCCTGGTGACAGAGCGAGACTCTGTCTCAAAAAAAAAAAAAAAGTATCTGGTTTCCATGTGTCCTTCAAATCACAATGTGGGGGATCTTTAAAATATGGAAAGAATATTTGAGTTTTCTGGATAATAAAGAAAGAATGAATAATCAGCATTACAGAGATGGAATATGTAAGCCATCTACTCTAGTGAGTGGACTAAAAGGTGATCAATAGATATTTAAATGAAGAAATGGATGCTTAAATGAAGAAAAGAAGAATGAGCTTTGGCTTGGATCCTTATTAGTACTAAAAATTTTCCATGGGGCTGACAGCCTTCTCCAAACCCTAGGTTATGTGACTGAAGTCCTGCTAACTACCGTACCCCTTGCCAGCCCCTTTTCTCAGAATATGGAAACTCTTCCTTTGATCACTATGGCTGGCTAGGGACCTGTTCTAACTCCAACTATGCAGAACTGCAATGTTGCCTCCTGCCTGACTTCAAGTATCTCACTGCCTAAAGACCTCTGAGACAGCCAAATCCCGCCTCCATGCTTCACCTTGCCCCCGTGGGCTTCTGGCCACTCCACTCAAGGGCCACTCTACGACTCTGCTTCTGAGTCAGAACCTGTAGCATTTGATCCGACTTCTTTCCTTCTCTACTTGCCTGTTCTGTTGGAGTCCTGGTATGACTTGAAACCCAGCCCCTAGGAATTCTGATGGCAATAAGTTGCCTTAAAATTGAATTTCTGGGAACTTAGAGCATGTAATTATATTAACTGTGAGTGAAGTTATAGTCACATCAGAATCACATATTTGTTGATCACTAGGTAACTTGGATTCAGTAGGTCTATGGTGGTGCTAGGGAATCTGTTTTTAAAAAGCACCACAGATAAACTCTCTGATGCACACCCCAAGTTGAAACTCATTGTTTTAGAACTATGTGAGTTCTATGGACTAGGAATCACCGAAGTAAAGGAGATGATTTAGACCAAGAAGTCAAGGACCTAGGTTTCAGACCAGCTAACCATTTGACATTAAGCTTAATCATTTGAAGAAACCGGTGGTTTTCTATGAAGTAAAACCAATAGGATTGTGATCATTGAGTCCCTTCCAATTTGGAAATTATCAGATACATGACAAAATGCTGAGTTTTTCAAATGTATCAGGATCCTTGCTAAGGCAAGGGAAAACACAACTTTAAGGTCCAACGGAGATGCGTGTGAATTCTGCATTAGTTATTTATTACCTATGAAACCATGACCAAATTACAAACTCTGAGACCCAGTGTCCTTATTTGAAAAGTAAGGTCAATATTGGCTGTCTCTTATGTTTCTTATAAAATTAAAAGCAACAAAAATCGGGTTAAAAATTATATTTACTCCTTGGAGTTGATGTGAGGATTAAATGAATTAAGACATGTAAAGCAGTTAGAATTGTGCACATACAAAAAAATGTGTGTTGTTATTTTATTATTATAAGACTCTGCACAATGTCTGGCACATATCAAATACTCATAGGTGTCACTTCCTCTCTTTTTGCCTACCGTCTGGATATTTAATCTGCCAGAATACTTTAAGCAGAAAGCTCCTCAACTCAACAAAGGTGTTAAATTGGTTTTAACTGGCTGAGTGATTTTGAACTCTTCTTTTATCTCTTCCAGTTTATTTAAATGACTTATTTCTTCTCCCTGTTGCGAGTCCTCTTGACTGTGATAGTGAGCACGATGAACCTCACGCCCCATTTAGTACATAAAGCTTACTCAGTACTGTTCATCTGCTATCTTACAAGCTAGGTGCTCTCTGCTGTTTCCATGGGTAGAATAATCAGGCTGCCTGTGGGAAATGGCAGTTGTGAAAGACCGATGAGTATAATATGTGGTCTGAATTCGTATCAGCCGCTGCCAAATTAAGAGTGAAACCACAAAAACATTTCTCTAAGCACAAGCAAAACATGTTACAGTCTCAACAATGGTGTTGGTAATTAACCCATGGAGAGTTACAAATGGCCAATGACTCATTGATTTGAGCAAATGCAATTACCTCTAGGAATGTGCTGTGCTGATCCTCAGAGTGTATGAATGGATTTTCACAATCATTTCCTGGAAGGCTGATGACATGCTACTTCAGCAAAAATGAGACTAAACCTGGATCCAGTTGACAGATGTTAAATGTAATCTTGACATTGGAAGTACATCTAGTCCAACACCCTCACTTTAGTTTAATTTAATTGTAAATACAGTGGGGAGATGTGCATGTTTGTTACATGGGTATATTGAGTACTGGTGGGGATTGGGCTTCTAGTGTATCTATTACCTAAATAGCAAACATTGTACATGATAGCTTATTTTTCAACCCTAATTCCCCTCCCAGCCTCCCTGCTTTTGGAATCCTGTGTCTATTATTTCCATCTTTATTTATGTTTACCCATTGGTTATCTTCCACTTGTATGTGAAAAAATGCAGTATTTGACTTTCTATTTCTGAGTCAGTTCACTTAGGATAATGGCCTCCAGCTCCATCCATGTGGCTGCAAAAGACATGATTTCATTATTTTTTATGGCTGTGTAGTATTCCATGGTGTATATATATCATATTTTCTTTACCCAGTCAACTGTTGATGGTTCCATGACTAAGTGGTAGTTATCCAGTCAACTGTTGATGGTTCCAACCTAAGTTGGTTCCATGACTTTGCTATGGTGAATAGTGCTGTGATGAACATACAAGCGCAGGCAATATTCTCACTTTAAAAAAGATGAGACTGAGGTCCAGAGGGGCTGAGTCTAAATATTTTATTTGTGTAAGGTAGATAATCCAAACTATAGAGCTAGCTTTAATGGGACATCTAAAATTGGAGTATTTGGTGACTGAACTTCTACATACATTTACAAACATATTTTGTATGTGACCAAAAAATGTTGAAAATATCAGAATTTATTTAGGTTCAATGATCAGAATGCTTGAAAACCAGATGACCCAGAAAATCTAAAGTATATTATCATGATTGCTAAAGACTATACATGTCTTACACCTACTGAAAGCTGAGTGTTAAGAAAGTGGATTCTGGATTCAGACTGCTTGGGTCCAGTTAGTGATTCTGCCTCTTCCCAACTGTGTGCCTTTCAGCACATTGCTTTTTCTGTCTGTGCCTTAATGTCCACATTTGTATAATGGATAATAATAGTTGATAGCTACCTTGAACAGTCAACATTAAATAAATTAATATAAAGCATTTAGAAGGGTGTCCATACATAATAAGCACTATAAAATATTAGCATTCTTATATTTTAAACCCTCACAGTGATATTAACTGAGAGACTCATTTTCAGTTTTAAAGCATTCAATAGCTATGTGCTGGTGGAAGAAACTTCAGGGAAGGAGGCTACATAAGCAGATCCTGGTGATAGGGCTTTGCATTTATAGTCCATAGTTTGGAAATAATTGTGGTCCTGTGGTGATCTTTTTATGATTTTATTATTCTATGATTTTATTCTTTTTATCTTTCATGGTTTTATTTTTATCTGTTTCTTTGGAAAATTCATTTCTAAGTCAATTTTACTTCAACCTGTTCTTAATAATAGTCAAAATTTCTTATTAAGGTCATAGTAGAGGTCTTCATTAAAACATATGCTAATTGAGAACAAGATTCTCACCATTTGGTCTGAAGAATCTCTGTTCTAATGTGCCCAACTGCCTTGAGTCTGTTTCTCTCTTATGCACAGGCCCTGACCCCACCCAGCCAGTCTGAATGCCCCACTTTGCTCTTCCCATAGTCCATGTGCATTCTAACCATATCTTTCTTCTGTAAGGAAACTATTATTTTAAGAATGTTAAGTAGATTTGGAATGATCTATTTGATAATGACTCAACAACATATGATCATATTAAGACCTTTACCAAGCTCTGGGCTAGATTGTGGGACACCCCTCTAACCCATCCCAATACCCACAGGGTATAATTCAAAATAAAAAGAATATTACATCATGAAACTGGTTTAATGCAGTCCAATAAATTCTTATTTTTTTTCCCATGATGACTACTTTGGTGGTGTTTTGAAATATCCTGTAGAAAGACTTTACATAAAACTTTTCTCATTTTTGATACTCATGTCTTCTGGGAAACCCTTAGTTAAATTTTCCTTTATAGACCGAAAACCCCTTAACATTCACCAGACTGGCAATAAATTTTGCCTCCTTGTGGGAAATGTGAGATTAACAAATGGAGACTGTTGTCTACTGTACTGAAATAAATCATACAATGCATTTCTATGAAAAACAAATTTCTCTTTATTATGAAAGAAAATGGATAATCTGTCTGTCTGGGGCTTCTAAAAGTTGTTAGGCACTGAGCAAGGTTGACTTTGGAGACCAAGTCACGAAGCATGACCGACCTTTTGCCCTTCCTTATTATTACTTTTTGTCCCAGTTCAGACCAGATGGTACCTGAGACAGCAGACTTCTTGGCTAAGGTAAAAGACCCCTTGACCATTACATCCTTAATGTGGAATGTTAATATTCCCTTCCCAAAATGAAACACTGCCTATGACCATCAAATTGCTGTAACTATGCACTAACCTTACATGGAAAATGTTGAGACCCTATTCAGTTTCCCCAGCTTTTGCCTATATTAACAGCCCTCAAGCGTCTCCTCTTCGGTGCACTGACCCTATCTTTTTGGAGTCTCTGTCCTTACCAGTGGTTTTTTTCTGACTTTGTGCTTGAATAAACTCAATATTTAATCATATTGCCTGAATCCTAATTTAAGGTTGACAAATTAGCGATTATGAAGGAGACCTTCCCAGTCATTTCACCAGCAGCCAGATCTTTGATACCAGCACAACTGATGTATCTTCCACCCTCACCAGAGTTAACAGGAATCCCTGGTAAGGTGCCTCACCTTGGTTGAGGATTCAGAATTTATTCAAGCTGTACCTTCCTAACTCAGTGGGGTTGGAATTGAAGTTCTGTTCCAAGGTAGAAGATTCATTTGTTATTCTGTAGAGATTCTAATAGCAGATTTCTAGCTTTCACTTTCTGTGAAGTTAAGATTTGTCTTGAATTATTCCTTAGAGTTTTTACAACCCTTCTGTCGTTCAAAATTTTGGTACAGAGACAGCTTCCCTTTGAAAAGATGTGGTGAAAGGAAGTGAATCTTTGTGACCTGCGGGAAAAGTTTATAGTCTTTAAAACTGGCCAGGTTCTGAAGCTTGGTTCAATTGACAAATCCAGACTTTATTTATGAATAACCAAAAGTATAACAGGCTCCCTGTGAGGACAAAATAAGTCCCAAAGATAAGAGACACCATTTCTCGCTGCCAGATGGTACCTTAGGTGGTTTAGTTCTAGTGGGAATGTCAGAGTTAATCACTCATGATGAGTAATAGTCTCATACGAAACCCCTAAGAAGAACATAAAGGTAGCCTCACTTAATTCAGCTGGCACACATAAAGGATTGATCAACTAGCGCGGAAAGTGCCAAAGTTTCTTGGGATTACCGAGACGCTTAAGAGGGAAGAAGTGACTCAAGGGTGACACCTTGAGGAGCCATCCCCACAAGCAGCACACTTGACTCAAAAGTATTTTGGTCATGCAGGAAGGAAAGCACTAAATTATGGGCAACTGAGCATCTAAAATGAACTCTTCCTTCTTAACGAGGACCCACCATTAGAAACATCAGCTAGATTTGTGTTTAACACCTATAGTGTATTTTCATGCAAATATTTAGAAAATTGATCACACATAACTCCTGATGACCCCAAATTACAACGGCCAAAATGCACTACCTTTAATGCCTAAATTAGTTAACTTGCATGCTCAATTAGAAAAAGCTGACTCTGAAATAGAACAATTGTGAAAATTGTTTTCAACGGTATTTGGAAACTTCCAAAAGGGGTTCTGATAAAGTCCTTTCTCTTCAGGAAGGAAACAAAAAAAGATGACCTAAAACAATTCCTGTATTTAAAAAGACTGCTAAAATTTCTCCTCCTCCTTTAGCTCCTTCTTCTCTTTATCCTTCATGGTCTGGACTGCCTTGCCCATTTGTACCTTCTGTTCCTCCTCCTTCTCCGACACCTGCTGTTTTGGCTCCATTTTGTGAACAGCAGGTGTCTGGTGAAGGATAACCTGCTTTGGTTTATTAACCATGGTCAAAGGTACAACTAAAACGAATAATTAAAGAATTCCCAACCCTCACAAGGACTCTATTAGTTTTGCCAGCTAATTTGAACTGAATATTCAAGCTCATGATCCTGGTTTTTCTGATTTATATTAATTAATTCACATGTTAGTAAGAGAAAGTAAAGCTAAAGATTGGATAGCTAAGGAAAATTGGAGGAACTCCTTTGGAGACTTTCTGAAATTTTCAGAAACTAATTGTGAACATGCCTATGATACTGCTAAATCTTTACTTGATGCTATCTCTTTAGTCTTTCAGAAATAGTTAACTAGAATAAAACCATGTCAACAAAATCCAAATGAGTCGGTGATGTCATATTTTGGGAGATTTTAAAAAATATATTTAAACACTCAGGATTATCTGAAGTGAGTTATGCTAATCATTAAAATGATACTCTCCTCAATTCCAATTTCATAAATGGGTTAGATGAGAAATTAGCATTCATAGAAATAAGACAATGCTGTAGTTGGGCTATTTCTCAAACACAATTTGTTTAATCTTGGCAATCATTTGTCTTGTACCTTAACTAAGGAAGAAAGAGGAAAGAGTGCAAACAAAAGAGTAAGGCTAATAAATTTCTGAGTTTACAGTTGAAACAACTATATATCCAATCTGGGTCTCTAAAATGTCCCTATAAACCTCAAAATGAACCCAACCCTCTGCTTTGCAATTATTGCAAAAAGTCAGACCACTTTTTTAAAAGTTGTGGATTTTCGCATTGATGATCAGGGATATTGGCCTGAAATTTTCTTTTTTTGTTGTGTTTCTGCCAGATTTTGGTATCAGGATGATGCTGGCCTCATAAAATGAGTTAGGGAGGAGTCTCCCTTTTTCTATTGTTCGGAATAGTTTCAGAAGAAATGGTGCCAGCTCCTCTTTGCACCTCTGGAAGAATTCGGCTGCTAATCCATCTGGTCCTGGGCTTTTTTTTGTTGTTAGGCTACTACCGCCTCAATTTCAGAACTTGTTATTGGTCTATTTGGGAATTTGACTTCTTCCTAGTTTAGTCTTGGGGGGGGGGTGTATATGTCCAGGAATTTATCCATTTCTTCTAGATTTTCTAGTTTATTTGCACAGAGGTGTTTATAGTATTCCCTGATGGTAGTATCAGTGGTGATATCCCCTTTATCATTTTTTATTGTGTCTATTTGATTCTTCTCTCTTTTCTTCTTTATTAGTCTGGCTAGCTGTCTATTTTGTTAATCTTTTCAAAAAACCAGCTCCTGGATTCGCTGATATTTTGAAGGGTTTTTTTGTGTCTCTATCTCCTTCAGTTCTGCTCTGATCTTAGTATTTCTTGTCTTCTGCTAGCTTTTGAATTTGTTTGCCCTTGCTTCTCTAGAAGAACTCCAGACTTTATAAAGCATCTAAAAATATCTGTTATAAATACTATATCAATACTTGACAATAAAAGCTAGACACAAAATATAGTTTCTGATCCCTGTCTGAAATTCTTCTGAAGATCTGCTGATTGCCCTTTTCCATGGAAGCTAAGGGAATGGTTCTTGCTGGTTTAGTTTGTGTTCTCTGTGATCTACATGGCTTTGTCCTGTGAGGTCTGATATGCTTTAGAATGTCTTCTTCCAAAACACAGATCTCTAGTCCTAAGTCTTTATTAGTGTGTTTCTCTGCAATGTTTGCTTTCCTCCAATGGCCCTGAAACATGTGGCTGTGATTTTGCTGCTGCAGTTCACTGAGATTTCAAGCTCAGCTTTCTGAAACTTTGTCTATGTTCTCTCTGACACTTGCCTCCTCCCTGTTCTGCCCCTTTTCATGATGAGAAGGGAATTTTAAACTATTTTGTCAAGAAGAATAATTTTGGTTTGCACGTGCACTAAGTCATTATGGACAAGGTTTCCATTGAGGCATTTTCAACAATAGCAGAAAGACGTCTGCTATAAATGACCATCGAATGGGAATTCCTTAAATAGATTATGGTACATCCATATGTAGGAAATGATACAGCCATGCAAAAGGAAGCTTTTCTGTACTGATATGGAAAGCACTTCAGTCTCCATTAAGAGAGAAAAGCAAGGTATGGAAGAGTTTATACAGTGTGCCAACATTTCTGATAACATTTTAACCAGCTCCTGGATTCACTGATTTTTGAAGGACTTTTCATGTCTCTATCTCCTTCAGTTCTGCTCATATCTTAGTTATTTCTCATCTTTTGCTAGTTTTTGAATTTGTTTGCTTTTGCTTCTCTAGTTCTTTTAATTGTGATGTTAGCATGTCAATTTTAGAACTTTCTTGCTTTCTCCTGTGGGCACTTATTGCTATAAATTTCCCTCTAAACATTGCTTTAGCTGTGTCCCAGAGATTCTGGTACATTTTGTCTGTGTTCTCATTGGTTTCAAAGAACTTACTTATTTCTGCCCTCATTTCGTTATTTACCCAGTAGTCATTCAGGAGCAGGTTGTTCATTTCCATGTAGTTGTGTGGTTTTGAGTGAGTTTCTGAATCCTGAGTTTTAATTTGATTGCACTGTGGCCTGAGAGACTGTTAGGATTTCCATTCTTTTGCATTTGCTGAGGAGTGTTTTACTTCCAATTATGTGGTAAATTTTAAAATAAGTGCGAAATGATGCTGAGAAGAATGTATATTCTGTTGATTTGGGGTGGAGAGTTCTATAGCTGTCTATTAGGTCCGCTTGGTGCAGAACTGAGTTCAAGTGCTGAATATCCTTGTTAATTTTCTATCTCATTGATCAGTCTAATATTGACAATGGGATGTTAAAGTCTCCCACTATTATTATGTGGGAGTCTAAGTTTCTTTGTAGGTCTCTAAGAACTTGCTATATGTATCTGGGTGCTCCTGTATTGGGTGCAAATCAAAACCATAATGAGATACCATCTCACACCAGTTAGAGTGGTGATCATTAGAAAGTCAGGAAACAACAGATGCTGGAGAGGATGTGGAGAAATAGGAACACTTTTACACTGTTGATGGGAGTGTAAAATAATTCATCCATTGTGAAAGTCAGTGTGGCGATTCCTCAAGGATCTAGAACCAGAAATACCATTTGACCCAGCAATCCCATTACTGGGTATATGCCCAAATGATTATAAATCATTCTATAAAGACACATGCACACATATGTTTATTGCAGCACTATTCACAATAGCAAAGACTTGGAACCACCCAAATGTCCATCAATGATAAACTGGATAAGGAAAATGTGGCACATATACACCATGGAATAATATGCAGCCATAAAAAGGATGAGTTCATGTCCTTTGCAGGGACATGGATGAAGCTGGAAACCATCACTATCTGCAAACTAACACAGAAACAGAAAACCAGACACCTCACCTTCTCACTCATAAGTGGGAGTTAAACAATGAGAACACATGGACACAGGGAGGGGAATATCACATACCAGGGCCTGTTGGGGGGTGGGGGGCTAGGGGAGGGATAGCATTAGGAGAAATATCTAATGTAGATGATGGGTTGATGGGTGCAGCAAACCACCATGGCATGCATATACCTATGTAACAAACCTGCACATTCTGCACGTGTATCCCAGAACTTAAAGCAAAATAATAATAATAATAAAAAGATTGTAGAAAAGTAAGACGAAAGGAACAGCAACAGACAAAGGAAAAAGAATAGGGATTCTCTGAGAAACTTAAAGAGAACTTTTATTTCCTTCTTACTAACACTTGGAAAATAGAAATTGTTTTGAGTGGAGAACACACACAAGCTCTTGCTGATATGTTATCTGTAATAAATCCAACCTTATTACTGGGTTCCATTCCTCAGAGTAAACAAACAATTCAAAAGGTGGTTGTCACTAATACTCCTGTATCAGCACATAAGTCTCAGCCTGTGGCTTTTCAACTAGGTCCCCTACAAAGGGCTTATGTTTTCCACTTGGTTCCATCAGCCACCATTCATCTCATAGAGAGAGACCTTTTAGAATTATACAGTAACATCTTATTTTCCCAAAAAGGGATATACATTTAGAGCTAGAAGACAGAATATTTTAAAACATTAGATAAAGAAAATTTTAAAACATTAGATACAGACAATTTAAAACTTGACCCTTCTAATTTATAAATTGCCCTTCACATTGCCAGGGAGGATACTGAATATTGAGTAATGAGGAATTACAGAAACTGCTAAAAGCAGTGCCTGATCAATTATGGTCATAATTCTCCAGTGATATTGGAAAACTTATCTTGGCTGCCCCACTTAAAATTTAAATAGACCCATCAAAGCCTCTTCTGAACCTTAAGCCATACCCCCTAGGATCTGAGGCCTTGGAAGGAATAAGACCTATAATTTCAGATTATATAAAAAGAGGCTTGACTATTTCTTATATGAGTTCATGTAACACTCCAGTTCTGTCCATGAGAAAGCCAGACTATAGAGGATGGAGATTAGTACAGAATCTAAGAGCAATTAATAATATAGCCATTCATTGACATCCAGTAGTGCGAAAACCTCATACGTTGTTGACTATAGTCCCAACTGACAGTGAATTATTTGCTGTGATAGATTTATATGATGCTTTCTTTAGCATTTCTGATTATAAGGACAGCGAGTTCCACTTCACCTTCACTTCAGAAGACAGACAATATTCATGGATGGTTATGCTTCAGGGATATACTGAGAGTCCAACTCATTTCTCATAAATATTAAAAGCAGATTTCTTGAATGTTGAATTTTCCAAAAAAAATCCACTTTAATAAATGTGTGGATTATATTTACTTTTCTGTTCAGAAGATAAGCAAACCTCTATAAGAGATTCACTTGTTACAACAGTCGCCTTTAAAAAAAAAACCCCACAAAATTTCAAAAGAAAAGCTTTAGTTTTGTCAAAAAACAAGTGAAATATTTAGATCGCCTAATATGAAAGAAAGTCGTTTTCATTAGTCTGGGAAGAGAAAAAGGGATATTGGCCTTTCGTATCCTCAAAACTACCAAAAACTAAGAAGATTTCTGGGGCTGGTAGGGTATTGCAGAAATTAAATTCTGAACTTTTCTTTAAAATCTCTGCCTTTATACACTCTTTTTATTATTTTTTTATTATTATACTTTAAGTTCTAGGGTACATGTGCACAATGTGCAGGTTTGTTATATATGTATACGTGTGCCATGTTGGTGTGCTGCACCCATTAACTCGTCATTTACATTAGGTATATCTCCTAATGCTATCCCTCCCCCTTCCTCCCACCCCACGACAGGCACCGGTGTGTGATGTTCCCCTTCATGTGTCCAAGTGTTCTCATTGTTCAATTCCCACCTATGAGTGAGAACATGCAGTGTTTGGTTTTTTGTCCTTGTGATAGTTTGCTGAGAATGATGGTTTCCAGCTTCATCCATGTCCCTACAAAGGACATGAACTCATCGTTTTTTATGGCTGCATAGTATTCCATGGTGTATATGTGCCACATTTTCTTTATCCAGTCTATCACTGATGGACATTTGGGTTGGTTCCAAGTCTTTGCTATTGTGAATAGTGCCACAATAAACATATGTGTGCATGTGTCTTTATAGCAGCATGATTTATAAACAGACACTTCTCAAAAGAAGACATTTATGCAGCCAACAGACGCATGAAAAAATGCTCATCATCACTGGCCATCAGAGAAATGCAAATCAAAACCACAATGAGATACCATCTCACACCAGTTAGAATGGCGATCATTAAAAAGTCAGGAAACCACAGGTGCTGGAGAGGATGTGGAGAAACGGGAACACTTTTACCCTGTTGGTGGGACTGTAAACTAGTTCAACCATTGTGGAAGACAGTGTGGCAATTCCTCAGGGATCCAGAACTAGAAATACCATTTGACCCAGCCATCCCATTACTGGGTATATACCCAAAGGATTATACACACTTTTTTTTTTTTTTTTGAGACGGAGTCTCGCTCTGTCGCCCAGGCCGGACTGCGGACTGCAGTGGCGCAATCTCGGCTCACTGCAAGCTCCGCTTCCCGGGTTCACGCCATTCTCCTGCCTCAGCCTCCCGAGTAGCTGGGACTACAGGCGCCCGCCACCGCGCCTGGCTAATTTTTTGTATTTTTAGTAGAGACGGGGTTTCACCTTGTTAGCCAGGATGGTCTCGATCTCCTGACCTCATGATCCACCCGCCTCGGCCTCCCAAAGTGCTGGGATTACAGGCGTGAGCCACTGCGCCCGGCCTATACACACTTTTAAAACAAGACAAGCCAGACTCTGGAATGGGCAGAGGAAGATCAGTTAACATTAGAAGCAATTAAAAGGGATCTTATAGATGTCCTGGCCTTAGGACATTCAAATTATAATATTCTCTTTGCACTTTTTGTATATGAAATTAAGGACATGCCCTAGGCATTCTGACCCTAAAACATGGGGGTCAAAATAGACCTATAGGATATTATAGTCAGCAATTGGATACAGTGGTTGGAGGACTACCTTACATAAGAGTGATAACAAAGACCACCCTGCTGGTAAAAGCAACTGAAGAAATAATTATAGCATCTCCCTTGTCTTTGTTCCACATTTTTTGGAAGCACTTCTAAATTTACACCATATTCAGTATTATTCAGTGAGCAGGCTGGCCTCTTCTGAAGTCCTACTTCTATTTGTACCTCATATTACAGTCCCTAAGTGCTATAATCTAAATCCTGTTACTCTTCTACCTGAAATTTGTCATGCAAATTATGCTATAGTGTCCTATAGTGCTGAAGAAATAGAAAGTGCTTATCTTCTAAAAACAACATCAGTTCTACAAGCAGGATTGAAGCATTAATTAGAGCTTGTCAATTGGTAAAAGGAATAACTGCTAATATTCATACAGACAGTCGATATGCCTTGGAGTAGCTCATGACTTTGGAATGTTATGGAAACAAACAGTATTCCCAACCTCTTCTGGTCAGTCCATTAAAAATGGACACTTTATCTCGCAATTATTAGAAGCCATATTATTACCAAAATCACTAGCAATTATTAAAATCCCAGGTAATTCCAAATCAGATACACCAGAAAACAAAAGACATCAGCTAGCTCATAAGGTAGCAAAGAGGGCTGCTCTCAATATATCCAGGCAAGAAAAGCAATCCATATTAACTTTTAAAGAAGGCTGTCAATCCAGAGCTCCAAAAACAGAATAGGAACATTAGAAAACAAAAGGGAAACATACTCCCCTGTGGATGAAATATATTATGGGCCAAATGACTTGCATATAATTCCTACTAAATTACAGTAATCATTTTTAACATATGTGCATGATTTAACTGACGGGAGCCTTTATACAGTGGTTGCTTGGGTAAAACAGTATTATTGGAAACCTTCTCTGACTATAGCTTATAAGGCATATAGTTGCTGCCATATCTGCCCAAAATATACTCCAGGGAAATCTACACAGTGTTCTCAAGGACGTTTTCCTTTACCTGAAGTCCCCTTTGAAGTGTGGTCATTGTATTTTATTCAGATAAACCCATCACAAGAATACAAATACGTTCTAGTGATAGTTTGTACATTTTCTCATTGGGTAGAAGCATTTCTGTGCAGAAGAGCAATGGCTTTAGTACTAGGTAAAATTCTCCTGGAAAAAAAATTACTCTGACTTGGGGAGCCCCTTTAGAACTTCACAGTAACAGAGGTACTCATTTCACTGGACATATTATCCAATCAATATGTAATATTTGGCCAATTCTTCAACATTTCCATGGTGCAAATCCAGGTTAGAAGAATGCACAAACAGAATAATCAAAACTCAATTGGCAAACTTAATCAAGGCTTTTAAAATTCCTTGGCTAAAATTTCATTAATTGGTTTTGCTTAACCTAGGACCCATCCCTTTTATAGCAGACATCAGTTTTCTCCAATTGAGATAACAGACTTATGAAACTATCTATGAATTCATAATGCTAAAAGGAGATATATTCTATTACCATAATGGCCTTATGAAACAACTAAGTAAAAAAATACAATTTGGCAAAAGATTATTTTTATTGTGAACTCCCCCCCAAAAAAGAACCTCAAACCCATGGTCTTCAGCCAAAATATTTTGTCTACTAGAAATGACATCTTCTAAAGAATTCCCTTCAATAGAAGTGGAAAGGTTCCTATCAGGTACTTCTTACTAACCCTTTGCTACAAAGTTTGAAAGCATAGACTCATGGATCCACATGTCTCATTTAAAGAAGGTTGAGCCTCATGAATGGACTGGAAGGTGGTCTTTGACTAACATTGATGCCAGGCTAAGAAAAAAAAAGGTATCTGAGGTAGACAACACTCCGAAGATGCCAGACCAGACCTGTATCTAAATGAACACTTACACTTATCTACTAGCAACCATTATCATCATTGCTGCAGAAATTTCATTAATTGTTATTATTTTATGTGACATAGGAAGCTGCCCATTCTAGTCTGTTGAGATAATTACTGTTTTAGTACTTAGCAGGGGTAGTTCAACTAGAAAAGAATTAATTTTATTTTTTTCTTTGTGGTTATTCCTTTATCTCGATGCATGGAATGGCATGATAACACTTTGATTAAACTTTCCCAAATTGTTGCCACTGGAGGAAATTGAACTGTTGGATCTGCTGTATGATTCCTGGACCTATTCATGACCAATATATGTCATTAGCAAAATTTGTCACTAGTTTTCCAGATACATCTAATGCCATTACATATTTCAGATACATCTAATGCCATTACAAAAAAAAAAAGAGAAAGAAATGCATTGCTGAAAAAATGAATCCCTCCTCTGCCAACATCTCTTTCTGCTTTTTTGTTTTTGTATTTTTTTTTTTTTTTTTTTTTTTTTTTTGAGATGGAGTCTTGCTCTGTGGCCCAGGCTGGAGTGCAGTGGTGCGAGTCTCGGCTCACTGCAACCTCCGCCTCCTGGGTTCAGTCGATTCCCCTGCCTCAGACTCCCAAGTAGCTGGGACTACAGGCACCCGCTACCATACCTGGCTAATTTTTTTTTGTATTTTTGTATTTTTAGTAGAGATGGGGTTTCACCATGTTAGCCAGGATGGTCTCAATCTCCTGACCTCGTGATCTGCCCGCCTCGGCCTCCCAAAGTGCTGGGATTACAGGCATAAGCCATCGCACCCGGCCCTAACATCTCTCTTTCATTTCACATTATACAAGTGGGTTCTGGCAAATAATGCAAAAAACGAAATTTCTGATTTGATCTGGTGCTCTCTACCCTTCCTGTTAATGAGGCCATTAATGAACATACCCCCAGAGGAATTACTTGTGTTCCCCCAGGTTATGTGTTTGTATGTGGCATTGGGACTGATTTGCCTACCCAATGTTGGGCACATCATTGCCTCAATAGTTGGTAAATAGAGGGTATATCTTTGTTAGGTCATTTCGTAACTCCCATATCCTTACATAGAAATACAGATGAACTCCCTTTCTCCCTCCATTCAGAGCTAACAGGACTATGTTAGCAGGATATGATGATATCTCAGAGCAAAGCATTTTGGGACTAATCCCAAATGCTAGAGTTTATATTAAATATCTGAGTCCAAACCTATCAACCACTATTGGTCAGATAGCTGAAGACACTGCAACAAGCACTGCAACTCAACAAAAACCTTTGGATTCCTTAGCCCAGGTGGTACTAAATAACAGAATTGCCTCTGACTATTTATTGGCTGAAAAAGGAGGAGTCTGTGGAGTAGCAACACAGCACTTAACGTACTTATATCAACACCTCTGGGGGAAGTAGAGACTCAATTAGAAAGAAAAACTTAAAAGTCTAAAGAGTTACGAGACTTAAGAAAAACTGATCCTCTAAATGATATGTTTAGTTGGTTACGCTTGGGGCTAAGTTCTCTATTTCATCCTGTTCTTTGAGTAGTTATTATCATAATCATAAGCACAATTGTCATTTTCCTAGTTATCAAATTACTCGCGATTTGTATTTCAGCTTGCCTATGATCAATGACTAAAACTAGAAGAATGACTGCTCAGAAAATTGTATTTAGTTAAAAATATGGTCATGTCACCTGAACCAGACCAAGTTACTTTCCTCCTGTTGCCTTATAATTCCACCTTACACATTTCCATCTTACAAATTAAACATTTCCCTCCTCCACTGGACATGACTCTATAGGAATGAGCCTTCCTAGGAATGCAGGATTTAACCACTTCTCTAAACAAAATGATTTTTCTGCAATGTTTCTTCAAAAGATCTTGAAGAAAAGGGGGAAATATGAAGGAAAGTGGATTTTCTGTCTATTTGGGGCTTCTAAAAGTTGTTAGGCCCTAAGCGAGGTTGACTTTGAAGACCAAGTCATGGAGCATGACCTCTTAGTTACTGACCTTTTGTTATAGATTAACTTCTTTCCTTATTTTCTTGTTTCTGTCTCAGACCAGATTGTATCTGAGATAAAAGACATCTTGGCTGAGGTAAAAGACCCCTTGACTATTACATCCTTAACATGGAATGTTAAATACACCTTTCCCAAAAAAGGAACACTGCTTATAAGCAATCATATTGCTGTTACTATGCACTAACTTTGAATGGAAAATATTTAAATCCTATGCCTTAATCCCCTCTTCTATAAGGACATGAGTCATACCGGATTAGAATTCTAATGACCTCGCTTTAACTTAATCACCTTTTAAACAATTATTTCTCCAAATGCAGTCACATTCTGAGGTACTGAGAGTCTGGGCTTCAGCATTTGAATTTTAGGGGGACAAAATTCAGCCCATAATAACGCCTAATGCCATGTCCATTGCTGACATTCCTGCTGAGAAATGGTCCCTAAAAAAGAGAAGCTGTGGTCAGTCATGGTGGCTCATGCCTGTAATCCTAGCACTTTGGGAGGCCAAGGTGGGTGGATTACTTGAGGTCAGAAGTTCAAGACCAGCCTGGCCAACATAGTGAAACCCCATATCTACTAAAAAATACAAAAATTAGCTTGTGTAGCACATGCCTGTAGTCCCAGCTACTTGGGAGGCTAAGGCAGGAGAATCACTTGAACCCAGGAGGTAGAGGTTGCAGTGAGCGGAAATCACACCACTGTACTCCAGCCCGGGCACCCAGAGCAAGATTCTGTCAAAAAAAAAAAAAAAGAGAGAGAGAGAGAGAAGCTACAAACAGGGCTGAAAGTCTCCCAGCAGAAGAGGCCCAACATTGAGCTCAGGGGACTCTGTGTTGGGTTGTTACATTGGGTGAGTCCTGCTAAATGAGGTGGAATTTGCCTGAAAATTCCAAATCTCACTCCATACTTCTCAAAAGGAGCTCAGGTATTTGGTGCAATAATAGATTATATTTTCGTGTGAATTACTTTCCAAATTTATCCCAGGGCCTTGAGCACTGGAGGGTGTGTCTGTGAGTGCAACAGGCAAAATGGTACCTAATAAGCCATTCTATCATCTCGGGACTATGAGGACAATATAAAGTTATCTGCTGAGCAATGAGCCGTGTCCAGGAACTATTGGTCAGTGGTAATGGTCATAGGGTTTGGCCTCTGTGCTAATAGATGCAAAGCTTCCCTGCATACAGTACTCTGGTGACAACTGATTTATGGTGTCCACAAAGAAGCTTCTCTAATTAGTACCAGAAGCATCCTGCAGTATCCTGAATGCTCTGGAAGAGGCCTGCTGTGTAAAACTGTCCCCTGAAATGATGGCATTGTCCTCTATTTGTGGTGTCATTAACACGTTAAAATAAAACTCTTGACAGGTATTTTTGTTTCATGACTAAGAGTTGATAGCTTTGTGAATTGCAGTATGTTTTTATGAGAACACATAACTCACTGGGATATGTGCTGTAGAGCTGCTTCTTCCATGAGGCATGGACTGAGGAGGTCAGACAGAGACATAGACAGAAACACCCCTGCTTGCCTAAAGCCACTCTGTAGTTGAAATGCTCCACATGAAGCTGGAGACAAACTTCTCCTGGCTGCCATCTGCTTTCAGCCCTCTCTACTGGCAGCTGAGAAGTAATGGCAGAAGAAGCACACATTGAAAGCAAGACATCTATTATAATCTCCTGTCCTAGCTCTTGAAAGAGTGAATAGCTAATAAAATGATCAAAGGTGCTTTGATATGACTCATTCTGGCTTACATGGCTGACTCCTTTTACAACTGCTGAGATGATTCAAAGGCTGATCTCTCTTCGAGGTTCTGCAGAGAGGCTCTTCAGAGGGAAATAGAATCTGAAAACTTTCTCAAATGCATTCCAAGTTTAAAAAACAAACAAGGTTTGGAAAAAAATACTGAGTGGAAAAAAAAATGAATTGCCTTAAAAAGTCATTTTCTCCTAAAATTGGCTTGCGAATTACCCTAATTATTCATGAGATGATGGCTGAAAACGACTAATTTTCAAAAATGCATAACTTAGAAACCCATTCTTCTCTTTTACCTATATTTATGCTAATTGAAGAGGTTATTGATTATAGAAAAAGTAACTTCAATTACTTCTAGAGAATAGTTTTATTTCTCAGGTTGAAAAAACTAACATTTTAATTTTTAGATTAATAATACATAACTTAAGATGCATTTAGAATCTAGGCAAGCCAACATACTGATTGGTTTATCAACAACAATTCTAAGTGGTGCCATAGAATTATGAATAAAATTGAATTGAGCTTCAGCACATAGACATAGCAGTTGAAAATTGTAACAATCTCTGATCCACACTACATTAGAGTAGGGAGTGGCTGGTAATTTGCCTCAGTAGTTCATGAACAATGCTGGGGAGAAGGGTGCCTAGAGTTGGCCAGAATATCTGGCATGAGTGACCCCACGGGTGGAAGGCAATAGTCAACCATATCAACTTTTGCCCTACCTTTGTAACCTTAAGGAAGGTAATTTATTCTATCTCTTTCCTTGACAATATTTTTCCCACCTTTTATGGTCCTTTCTATATACAGGACAATGAAAGTAATGAGGGAGGTATAGATAGTGTTTCTCACATTTATCTCTGGTGTAATCTTTCTCCTGACTTTCAGACCCTTTTTCTAAGGCCTCTGAGGAAATTCTCTAGAAGAATAACAGGAATTCTAAAACCTGCATCTTCAGACTGAATTCATGATCATCTCTCCCCTGTAATTGACTCTTATTTTTTAATTAACTTAATAGCTCAATTAGATACCACTGAATCATCCTGATTCTTTCTTCTCTCTCTCTCTTCCTGGATCCAGTCACTGCATTTTTCTTAAATTCTTCCTCCTCTCTCATACCTACTATCACTGACTTGGTTAAAGTCCTTAGTATTTATTTTGTTCATTTGCTGAGCTTTTGTGGGGGCTAGGCACTAATATTAATGAACTCACATCTTTGTTTTATAAATTCTCAGTATCTACAAATGTGGCAGAAACTGTACTAAGCAATGACGATATAGAGCTGAAAGATACTAGCCCAACCTTATAGATCTGGCTAAAAAGAAATATTCAAATAAGTGGAAAAAAAGGTGTGCTCTCTATTAAGTCTAATTGGTAGAAAACAAGCAGTGGGGGTGCAGAATCAGGAAATATTTGAAAATATTTATGCCGGGGTTTACGTTTACGTTAGGATTTTGAAGGATGAGTAGAAGTTAGCTTGGTAAAGAAGTAAAAAAGATATTCCAAGCAAAGGGGATGGTATGTACAAGGCATAGGCACAGAAAAAAATCACAGCAAGTTTATACAACTGTGAGCAGTTTTGCAGAGCTGAAGGATAAGGAAATAAAGAAAGTGGTAGGAATATTGTAAAAGACATTGAAAGATTTTTAGAATGTGGGATGGTCTTAAAATATGTCAGTGAATTTTTTCACAGTCCTCCAAAGGTGGTTCCTAATTCCCCAACCCTTGAATGTGAACCAAACTTAATGACTCACTTCTAACGAACAGAATGTGGCACAAAGTGATGCTACGTGACTTCTGAGGCTAAGTCATAAAAAGGTTGGCTTCGGCATGGCTCTTTCTCTCCTGGGTGCTCGCTGCAGAGAAAGCCAGTGTCATGCTGTGAGAACACTCAAGCAGGCTAAGAGAGGACCATGTGGTGAGGAACAAAGGCCTCCTTCAATAGCCAGCATCAAGTCGCCAGCTACAGGAGGGAGCCACCTTGGAGGTGGATTTTCCAGCTCCATTCAAGCCGTTAGATGACTGCAGCCCCACGTGACAGCTTCATTGCAATCTCGTAAAAGACCTTTAGCCAGAAATACCCAGCTAAGCAACGCCCAAAGTCCTGATGCATGAAAACAATGAGATTAGTAAATGTTTCTTATTGTGTTAAGTAACTAAGTTTTGGGATTCTTTTGTGTGTAACAAGTTGTCTTGGATAACCAAGACAAAACAAGAGTGATGTGATTAGACATGTTTCATGAAACTTTTGTGGCATTGTGAACTATAGGGAAATTATTGGAGTGGAGGTAGAATGAAGGCAGTTGAATAAGTTAGGTCTGTCACATGAATTAGGTAGGGATGTGACATGGACCTGAACTAAGGCCTTGGCTTTAGGATTAAAGAAGAGTGAAAAACGTTTGAGAGATTTAGGGAGGAAAAAGCAACAAAATTTAATGAATTTGTGAGGGATGAGAGAATAGAAAGCACAGGAGATGGGGAGATCACTTACGATAACGGGGAATAAAGAAGGAAAAGCAAATCAGGTGAGGAAATAAGCTTAGTTTTTAGTTTTGAATGTACTGAGTTTGATGTGCCTGTGGAAAATCAAAATGATGTCTTAGTAGAGGTGTGTGTGTGTGTGTGTGTGTGTGTGTGTGTGCATGTGTGTGTGTGTGGATACAAAAACAATCTCTACCCTAGGAAAGGAAAATGGGCTGAAAATAAATCAAAGGAGAGTGGAGAGTGTAATATAAGTTGGCAAATGGTAGAACATTAGATCACTTCAACATTTAATGATAGAAAAGGATACAGGGAGCAGGGGTGTGAAAGATTCAACAACAACAACAAAAATTAAAGTGGAGAGAAAGCATAAAAACCCAAAAGGGAGAGAATCCAAAGAAAAGGTGGACAGTGAGCCAACAGAGATAAAGACTAATAGTTGTCTACTCTACTGAGCAACCAGGAAGTTACCGGTAAATTTGACCATGGCAGATTCAATAGGACAGATGGTGACAGAAGCCAGACTGAAGTGAGTTGAAAAATGACCAGATGGGAAATGCAGAGGCATTGAATGCAGCGTGTGTGCTCCAGCAGCTCACTGTGAACGGGAGCAGGGGGAGCCTCCCAAACGCTCCCTCTGCCTTTGTTTTGCCTTCCCTATTTCTGTTCCACGTTGCTACAAGCGTGATCTTGTCAACATCCAAATCTGCAGAGGCTCCTGATTAAACATGGTAAACCAGCCCATATAATTGTCTCCCTTCCTTCACAAGATTTCACTTAAATAAATGTAGAGAAAAAGATTTAAGTACAAACCAAAATAACCAGAGACATAGCAGGTGAGAAATATCAACAGATTTTTGGAAGAAGGAAAGGCAAAATAGGAGTAGAAAGAACTTAGAAGAAAGCTCAAGTGCTGTAGGAGACTAGAAGAATTGTCTGATTTGCTCCTATAGGGCCTCTGAGATTCCCAGAACTTAAGATGAGGCAGAGCAGATAGTAAAGTACTGAGCTAAACAAATATGGATTGATTAAAAGGCTGTATATGCACTGGCTAGACTTCTAGATATGTTGCAGTTTATTCTCTGTATAAACAGATCAGTGAGTTTCCAAAAGAAAATGCCTTCAGTACCACAAAATTAAGAAAATATTTTGAAAACATTGATTAAGCCCTCCGCTATTTCTGCAAACTGAGCCATTTTCCATCATGAGATGAGAAAGTCAAACATGCAGTGGAAAGACAATATGCAGGGTCATCAAACAATTTGAAGGAAAATATTCAAACCACCTCCAAGATCAACCCTTGTTTTATCTCTGCCCATTATTTGAATTAGTGTATAAATGCAATTTTTACTGAATTTTTGTTAAATATAGGAAATACAGATTTATTTTTCATTTTTGTGGGTAGTTTTTCAGAATAAAGTTTTAATCCAACCTTTCTTCCTACTTACCCCCAAATGTTGATCACCTTGTAAGTTCTCTTCATGTGGACTTTTCCTGATACCAATGATTATGGATAAAAATGACCTCCTAGCTGTGTATTAACCTAAATCTCACTACAGTAATTTTTCACATGCTTGTGATTTCTGACAGGCAGAAATTACCCCTTAGCTAGGAATGTGACTTTCTCAGTCTTGCATCTCTAGAATCTAGTACAGTGCTTAGCACTTTAAATGCTTATTAAAAGAAACAGAAAGGAGGGAGGAATGCAACTTATTTAGCTATCGGATTAGTTATTATGCCATTACCTCCCTGCTGTGGAACAACCATCCTGCCCTTTCAACAGTCTTTGCATTGGTAGCCATGGGGCTAAAACCGTGCTCAGGACTAAGTTGCAGTGGTGGAGGGGCCTTCAAGTGACCTCATCGCTGGGAGACCTCATCTCTCCAAGACCTTGTCCTTAGAAATATAATCCACCTGTTTTCTTCCCTCAACCAGAGTCCACACCTGGAATAGTCACTGGATAAGTCAATGCTCCACTTTTCCCTTTCATCAGGATGGCATCCCATATGTGCAAGGGAAGAAGTGAGTAGGAGCAAGGTTAGGAGTAAGGAAGTGATGGAGAAAGTAGATATTGCTTCCAAGAGGTGTGTCCAGGAGTCCTAAGAACCACATCACCAGGGAGGGACCCGGATTGCAGAGGGAGTTTTGTTTTTAGTCTCCACAATGAGAATTGGTGTGTCATTTACCTTTTAAGTGAGGCTATAATTTAGAGTTCATTTTTAGAGTGTTATCAGTGCAGAATTCAGCCCTCACATTGTAGCAATTATAATCGGAGTATATACTTATTTTACAGAAATTACTAGGCAGTTATAACATTATTCTACTGATAGAACATTCTGGATCTAAGCTCAGAAAATGTCACACTGAAAAAGACCTTTACTTGTACCGGTTTTGAAAACGCTTATTGCTTCCCCACAAACTTGTGTGCCTTTGACCCAGGAGCCTATTTTAAATATCTTCTAATTCCTGATAACACACCAGTTCCTCTGCTTGTGGCTGATTACAGCATGCTCATTACAGAAGGCTGCTAATGTCATTTCCCAGATATACCATATCTTATTAGGATTTTTTTTTTCCACATACTTATGTTTAAGCGATCACAAGGGGCCTTTGAGAGGAGAGTAATACAGGTCAATTCTCAAGATCTGTTATTGTCAGAGCTCCAGGGAAAGGCTGTGGTTCACCTGAACTCTCCTATCATCACAATCTCAGGGGACAAGACTTACACTGAGATCACTAACTCACAGGTGCAGTGAGAGGCACAGACCTGGGCAGGTGCTAATAAAAAACCTGGAGAAGAACAAAGGGAGCATTCTCTGTGCTCCTCAGGAAATGCCACGCATAGGAAGGGAAGCATTGTCTGTGGAGCATGTGGGCTTCATCAGGGCCCACTAGACAGAGCAAATCAATGCTATTGTTGGGGATGGGCTCAATGAACGCCATTGTAGCTGCTATAATGAGTTCAGCGACAGAGCAGGATAAATTTCCATCTGGCTTCTATATATCCTGAAATACCCATTTCATCTAGTGGCCCACCTGCCACCTTTTTCCTTCACATGTAGAAGTCAGATTCGACTGAAAGTATCCCAAGGTTACACTGCCTTCTTTTAAAGATCACCCAGCTTCTATGTTTCTGTTTATTTTTCAGTATCCTGAAGTTGTATCTACACACAAACACGTGTGAGGGACTGGGGTTTCAGAAAAAAACAGAAAATCTGATTTTGCAAAAGACGCGCTGACTTAATTCCATTTTCACCTGCTCCCCACCTACCCCTAATATGTTTGTGTTCATAAATTAGGCCAGGCTGAGTTTTGACATTTTCCCTACCCACACAGACACACAGGCTTTGCATGGCATATAGGTTTCTTAGTTTGTCAAGAAGACAAATCAGATAAATGTACACTAAGATGATAGTGATAAATCAGATTTTTCTCTTGATGTAATATACATTATAAAAGAAAAGTTTGCAGCTTGGAGCAGAAAAATTCATCCTTATATAAGACAATCCCTCCTTCTGCACGATATTTAGTAACCCTGCCTACCTCTCTTCTCCCTGTTTGCCCCATCACATCCTTCTGCATTGTAATAACCAAAAAGTCCTCCCAAGCTCCTCCAAATATTCTCAGTTAGGATCTACCACCAGAGATGATGTTTATAACAATTGCAGTGAAGCATTGAGTGCCTGCTAGTTACTAAACACTGTACTGCATGCTTCATACTTAATCTGAGATAAACTAATCTCAGGTGGTAGACTTCCAGGCACTTGGTTGGGTGAATATGCGCAAGCAGATAAGACTTCCTGATACTACCCAAAGCACATAGGAAGGTAAGATATTCATGGTTTAGGCCAACCCTGGCCAAGACAAAAGTGAGAAAATCTCAATGAACTTGCAGTTCATTGAGAACTCAAAGCAGTTATTCTCCATCACTGCCATTTTCTGCAGCAAGGAGGCCTTATCCATGGACAATATGCTATTTCTTAGGGCTTGCTAGAGGACATGCTAGAGCTCCAAAACAGAGTATGGCTATTTTGTTTGCCATTGCCTAAACTTGTAACGTGTCTGTCCGCTTGACACCCTTGCATTCCCTTCAGTTGCCAATATGGCACTACTGGGCTGCAGAATTTGGAGAATCTGAAAGCCCTCTGTGTCTCCAACTGGCCTGACCCACACTGGTTCACTGGCAGCCAGACAGAAAAACAACAGACAGAAAAACTCCCACAGAACTATTATTTGACACAAATTCCAAAAAATGGGAGTTAGAATTCAAAGAGCCTTGCAAGTTTTGATCTACGGCAGAAAGAGGGCCACATGAGAATGCCTCTGACTTTTAAGCAGTGGCTTCTTGAAAGAGATTAGAGGCTCTGGAAGCAATGATGAATACTTATACTGACTGAGGAAACTGATCATTGCCGACATCCATTTTTTATATTAAAGTCCCTGCTAACATTTCGTTTAAAAAAGGGCTTCCAACAAGCTCAAAATACTTCCAGCTCAATGTTCTCTGCTCTGGTTAGTGTTTACAACAAGAGTATTCCTTGCTTAGTTTACTAGATTAGATCTCCAAGTAGGCTCTGTGATAAGGTTTGAAGAGTAATATCTTGACAAGAAAACAAAGAGAAAGCCTCTTAATTATGTCACTTTTTTCCTGGAAATTATGAAAAAAGTCATTTCTGCTTTATTTTCTGGGCACGCTTAGATGCAATTATGCTGAAATTATTGGGGGTAACTCTTAAAAAGCTATTTGTTTTCATAGATGTGTCCTCTTCCACCATGCATCTGTTCTCTTGTCATGCACTATAGAAGGTCTAGGTGTTTTTAGTGTATTGGAGGAAGGTACCCCACATGGTAATGGGCGTAAATGAGTTCAAGTTCCTGAATTACTCCTTCCAAGGAGCTGCCACTTGGGGTTATTCAAGAAAAAACATTAGCTGCCCCAAGGCCTCCAGTTGCACTTCAGAAACAAATCAGAGAATTTTTGCAGTCAAAGAGAGTAGAATCTGAACCTGACCTTCAGTGTAGCATGCAGAGAGCCTGAACTTCCCCCGTGTAGCATGGAAGGAAGATGTAGGCAATGCTATATGCCATGAGCTTGCAAATGGCTCAAGACAAGTTGGTACTTGACAATTATTATGTTCCATTTGCGAAATATCAGTTATTTCCTACTAGTTAGAGGTAGGAAGGGTCTGTAGGTCTTCTTCCCCACCGTATCAGCACCAGGTGATGATACACTGACAGAGAATCTCAGATGTAGTTCTAACACGTGAACCAATTTTTCTTAGCAAGCAGGCACAAAAACCAATCACAATTTATTTTGTAAGCTCAGTGAAGTGCCAGCTCTCTGTCTTTTTAGGCATCCCAATAGACACTTTGTCTGGAAGATTCACTCAGCAAAAATCTAACAGGATTTTCCTGTGTGAAAATTCCTGGGTGAGAGGTCACAGATGAGATGGATTAGAATCCTAATCTATGGCTGCCTCTCGGAAAGATTTGGGCTACTGAGCTTGCTGAATTCTCATAGTGCTTGCCTGACATTTTTGGCCAATCCACATACCTTAAATACCACTTATTTCATCAGCGAAAAAGTTTTTCTAACATCTGTTATGCTAATATTAATTCAAGAGAGTCTTTGATGTTCATTGGAGGTAAAGATAGCTAAAGTTCTTATAGCTGCCTCTAATGTAAGCCTTTCATTAAGAATCTTTTAAATGTTTATTAATCTCCTATGGGATTTCTATTCCAGATTAGAGTATGTCAATTATTAACAATTGCCCCTATATCTAGAGTCAAAAATACAAATCACAAATTCCATTCTCAACTACTGAAGATAAGTTACAGAGAATATAAAAGATGGGTTAGAGAGCCACAGAACCATGAGACAGGATAATGTCACTCCCAAAATGAATAAGTCAAGCAGAGACAGCAGCATTTTATGGTATACATTTGAAGGCTGCTCCTAAAAAAACAAATAGTCCAGGAAGATGGAAGAAGGTATAACACCTAGAACAACCACTAAAGATGCCATGCAGAGAAACATATTCAAAGACACTATAGATAAATCAAAATAGAATTCTAAACAGAAATTTAAAAGCCTCCCAGATACTTCACATGCTAGAGAGGAAATGGCTGATCGTATTGGCTCATTGTATTGGCTGATTCATACCAGTTACATGTTTAGTAGTAAAATAGTGAGATGAGTTGAGGAAGTTAATTTTTCTCCTGTGAGTTTTACAACATTACTATAAGTGACACCATGCAGACAGTATATGGAACTGTATTACAGAAGCAAAAATTATGTCTTAGAGGAGTTCTGTGATTCATAAAATTGTAGATCTGAGATTAGAACCCAAGTCATCTCATTTCAAGTACAGTAATCTTAAATAAGCACTAAGTACATTAAAAAAAGATGGTGTTAATTTCACTTTCTACTTAAGTTTCAATAGCTGTCATTTTTATTATCTGTCTGTCTCCCAGAGTTGGCATAACCCAATTGCTTCACTTTTCCTCACCACTACTAGAGATAGTACTTTTGTATCCCTTCTATCGCCTAGGGTACATTCACTTCATTTTGTCTATTGTTAAGTATTTGTTCTTGGATATACTGTAAGAAAGAAAATACTTCATTATATGATATCTTTATCTAGAGAAGAATTAATTATTTTCAAAATTATATAAACACAAAGTCTGAAATGAAAACCAGGATGCTGTGAATCAAGAAGATTGTCAGAACTGGGAGACCCCCACCTGTCTACTCAGTCCAGCTCTGTGACTGCCACACAGTCCCTCTTCCCTTATGTGCTCCTGGGGAGGGGTATTCTGTCTGAATCACTAGTATAGCGTGTGAAGAATAGCATTAAATTTGGAGTCAGAAAGCTTTGATAGAGTAGGCATCTGTTGGTTCCTCTGACACCATGTGGTAATTCAAAATATTTCAGTACGAAAAGAGTAATAACCGGGTACAAATTCATTCTCATTTATACCATAGGGGAAGTTAATCAGAACTTTGAATTATCTTTTTGTTGTCATTTTAACTTGTTTTATTTTATTTTCCAACTTTTATTTTAGATTCAGGGGTACATGTGCAGGATGTGCAGGTTTGTTACATAGTTAAATGTGTGCCATGGTGATTTGCTGCACAGATCATCCCATCACCCAGGTATTAAGCCCAGCATCCATGAGGTATTCTTCCTGATGCTCTCCCTCCTCCCACCCCAACTCTCCATCAGGCCCTAGTGTGTGTTGTTCTCCTCCATGTGTGTTATCATTCAACTCCCACTTATAAGTGAGAACATGCAGTATTTGGTTTTCTGTTCCTGCATTTAATTTGCTGAGGATAATGGCTTCCAGCTCCATCCATGTCCCTGCAAAGGACATGATTTCACTCCTTTTTATGAAGGCACAGAATTTTGAATTCTCTAATAAAGACTCTACATTTCACCTTCAGAAGTAGTTACTCACCACAAATATTCTTATCCAAATACATACTAGGAGTTCTGTTGCATAGCATGAAGTATGTTAGTAATAATTTGTATTGATAATAATATCCATAAAAATCAAGTAGTGTTCAAATTGTGTCATGTTGATTAAGAAAATTGTCGTCTCTTTTCTCAGTGAAGTGCAAAAATCCAACAGGCCCAGCAGTCATACAACATGCCTACTGGAAGAAAAGTAGTGGTTTTCAAAATGGAGTACCCAAATGCTTGGAGGCTATGAGAAGATTTACTAACGAGTTTTAAAGAGCTCCATTTCCAGATCCTCAAGTTTCTCATGCATTCTTTTGTAAAAACTGTTTTTCCTGGGAACGTGCCTGTTCCAAACCACTTCTGCTTTCCCACCACCTCATTTACCATAGTTCTTCTCCTACGTTATGAAAGAAAAGTAGACCTCTCACTCAGAACCAGTGACATAATTGGCAGGAACTAGTACAAAATGAAAATGTGGGGTCACTTGTTCCAAGATTATTAAGAATTTCAAGACAGTGTGAGCAGTGTATTAAACCAATACCAATAGCTGAGCTGGGGGTTCTGTGAGAATGCTGGTGTAGCCTACCCTGTTGTCACCCTATCAAATCCTGTCACAGCATATTCTTACAAGGGCATTGTAAAAGTACTTGGGCAACAGATGAAGGGAAAAGTCAGTCTTTTGGCTTGGTATTGAGAAAGTAACAAGTACTTTTACAAGTCTTGTGGTCTCCCATTTGTTGCTTTCAGCTAAACTAAAAGAGGATGAAATCAAGTTCTCAGAAGATAAATGATAAAAAATAATTTCGATAATAGATCACTATGTGATTTTTGGCATATAACTGAAAAGGAATTCAAATAATCAATCAAATGACATTCCTATAATAAAACTTCTTTTACTCCATCTATATAGTAAAGAAGGAAAACTTTACTATTCCATCTATGAATGGATTTTCTTTGAAATTTTATTTACAAAAATGCTAAATGGAAGTAAAATCAATGCTGAATACCATCTCATTTTAGTTAATAAATACACAGGCATATACATGGATATACATGAAATAATTGTTTTGGATCTCCATCTTATTAAGAGATATGATTCTAATAAAAATTTTCTAGGTTTAATAATTTTCCTTTAAAAATGGGCTACATATTTCATATCTGAAATGGTTTGGACCAGAAGTGTTTCACGTTTTTTATTTTAAGGATTTTAGAATATTTACATTACACTCACTGCTTGAGCATTCCCAATCTGAAAATCCAAAACCTGAAATCTCCAATGAACATTTCCTTTGAATATCATGTCAGCTCTCGTGTCATGAAAGTTTCAGATTTGGAAGCATTTCAGATTTTTCATTTTTGGATTAGAAATGCTCAATCTGTATATGTAATATGTTTACGACATTTAAACTAATTTTAATGTAATAATTATAACAATTTAGTCCGGAAAGAAAAATTCATGAGCCTTAAAGTCACAGAAATTTTTTGAATTAAAATTTAAATGCATATACTTATTTTCATTATGATATGGGGATCAATAAAACCCTTTCCAGTATAAAAATATAAGAAATTATGATAAATCTCTGAAAAGGAAGGAAATGAAATGTAAAAAGGAAAAAGAGGAATTATAGAAAGCTTTTTACTGTTAAAGAAGTTTATTTTTTGATGGCTCATAATACCATGGTACTGTGTTTAAATTCCATAGGCTACATTTAAAAGACTAATGTAACAGGCCTGGCATGGTGGCTCCCGCCTGTAATCCCAGCACTTCGGGAGGCCGAGGCAGGTGGATCACCTGAGGTCAGGAGCTCGAGACTAGCCTGGCCAACATGGCGAAACCATATCTCTACCAAAAAAAAATACAAAAATACAAAAATTAGCCAGGCGTGGGTGGTGGGCAACTGTAATCCCAGCTACTTGGGAGGTTGAGGCAGGAGAATTGCTTGAACCTGGGAGGCGGAGGTTGCAGTGAGCTGATATCGCTCCATTGCACTCCAGCCTGGGCGACAAGAGCGAAACTCTGTTTAAAAAAAAAAAAAATCAGGGCAGCGCCAAGATACAAACAGCTCTCTGCGGTCAGTAGCTCCCAGCAGTACAAACGCAAGAAGCGAGTGATTTCTGCATTTCCAACTGAGGCAGCCAGTTCACCTCACTGGGACTGACTAGGCAGTTGGCATGACCCAAGGAGAGTAAGAAAAAGTAGGCGGCGGGGGGTGACAGTTCACTCTGGAGCTGCGGAGCTGCGTGTGGTAAAGGGACCTCCCTCACCCAGCCAAGGGAGGCGGTGAGGGACTGTGCTACCCACCTGGGGCACTACATTTTTCCCACGGATTTTTGCAATCCACAGATCAGGAGATTCCCTTGTGATCCTACACCACGAGGGCTTTGGGTCTCAAGCACAAAACTGGGCAGACCCATGACATCTGCTCCCGTCAATGGCTATTCCAGCAGGCACTGAGCTGCGGCAGTTTTTACATACTCTGGCAGCGCCTGGAACTCCAGTGAGGCAGGAGAACCATCCACTCCCCCGGAAAGGGGGCAGAAGCCAGGAAGATAAATGGTCTCACTCAGAGGGTCCCACTCCCACAGAACCTCGGAAGCTAAGACCCACTGGTTTGAAATCTCTGCTGGCTAGCACAGAAGCCTGGAGTCTGCCTAAGACGACTGAGTTGCCAGCAGGAGGGGCAACCGCCATTACTGTAGCTCTAGTTGGTGGCTTTTCCCTTCCCAGTGCTAGGGAGGCAGGGAGGTTTGGACTGGGCGGTACTCCTCACAACACAGCACAGTGGTTGTGGCAGATTGTAGCCAGACTGCTTCTTTAGGTGGGACCTGGATCTATCCCTCCTCACCAGGCAAGGCCTCCCTGCAGGAATGCCAGCACCCCAGCCAGGAGCTTATAGATAATCCCTGGGGCAGAGTACCTCAGGGGAGGGGCAGACACCATCTCAGGTTCAGAGGACTTAATCTTTCCTGCCTTCTGGCTCTGAGGAGTCCAGCTGATCTGGATGAGGGAGATTTTCCCAGCACAGTGCACCAGCTCCACTAAGGGACAGTCAGACTGCCTCCTTAAGTGGGTCCCTGATCTGATGCCTCCTGACTGGATGAGACCTCCCAACAGAGGTTGCCAGACACCTCATACAGGAGAGCTCCAGCAGCATCAGGTCGGTGCCCCTTTGGGATGGAGCTTCTGCAGGAAGGAGCAGGCAGCAATCTCTGGTGTACGGGAGTCTCCACTGGTGATACCCAGGTGAACAGGGTCTGAAGTGGACCCCCAGCAAACTCCAGCAGACCTGTGGAAGAGGGGCCTGTTTTAGAAGAAAAACAGCAACAACAACAACATCAACAAAAAAAGACCCCACAAAACCCCCATACAAATGTCAACAGCCTCAAAGATCAAAGGTAGATGAACCTACGAAGATGAGGACAAACCAACATAAAAACACTGAATATTCCAAAAGCCAGAATGCCTCTTCTCCTCCAAATGATTGCAAAACTTCTCCTCCAAACAACTGCAACACTTCTCCAGCAAGCACGCAGAATGGGGCTGCAGCTGAGATGGATGAACTGATAGAAGTAAGTTTCAGAAAGTGGGTAATAACGAATTTCACTGAGCTAAAGGATTATGTTCTAACCCAATGCAAAGAAGCTAAGAACCATGATAAAAGATTACAGGAGCTGTTAACTAGAATAAACAATTTAGAGAGGAACATAAATGACCTGATGGAGCTGAAAAACACAGCACAAGAACTTCATGATGCAAACACAAGTATTAATAGCTGAATCAATCAAGCAGAAGAGAGAATATCAGAGCTTGCTGAAATAAGGGAGGCAGACAAGATTAGAGAAAAAAAGAATGAAAAGGAATAAACCAAACCTCTGAGAACTATGGGACTATGTAAAAAGACTGAACCTATGACTGATTGGAGTACCTGAAAGAGACAGGGAGAATTGAACAAAGTTGGGAAAAACACTCTTCAGGATATCATCTGGGAGAACTTCCCCAACACAGCAAGACAGGCCAATATTCAGATTCAGTAAGTCCAGAGAATCCAATAAGATATCCATGAGAAGATCTACCCCAAGACACATAATCATCAGATTCTCCAAGGTTGAAATGAAGGAAGAAATATTAAGGGCAGTCAGAGAGAAAGGCCAGGTCACCTACAAAGGGAAGCCCATTAGACTAACAGTAGACCTCTCAGCAGAAACCCTACAAGCCAGAAGAGACTGAAGGTCAATGTTCAATATTTTTCAAGAAAAGAATTTCCAACCAAGAATTTCATATCCAGCCAAACTAAGCTTCATAAGCGAAGGAGAAATAAAAGCCTTTTCAGACAAGCAAATCCTGAGGGATTTTGTCACCACCAGCCCTGCTTTGCGAGAGCTCCTGAAGGAAGTATTAAACATGGAAAGGAAAAACCGTTACCAGCCACTACAAAAACACACTGAAGTACACAGACCAATGACGCTATGAAGCAACCACATTAGCAAGTCTGCAAAATTAACCAGCTAGCATCATGATGACAAGACCGAATTTACATGTAACAATATTAACCTCAAACGTAAGTGGGCTAAATGCCCCAATTAAAATACATGGAAAGGCAAGCTGGATAAAAAGACAAGACCCATCCATGTGCTGTATTCAAGAGACACATCTCACTTGCAGAGACACACACACATAGGTTCCAAATAAAGGGATGAAAGCAAATTTACCAAGCAAATGGAAAGCAGAAAAAAAGGAAGGGTTACAATGCTAGTTTCTGACAAATAGACTTTCAACCAACAAAGGTCAAAAAAGACAAAGAAGGTCCTTACATAATGGTAAAGGGTTCAATTCAACAAGAAGAGTAACTATTCTAAATATATATGCACCCAATACAGGAGCACCCAGATCCATAAAACAAGTTCTTAAAGACCTACAAAGAGACTTAGGCCCCCACACAATAATAGTGGGAGATTTTAATACCCCACTGTCAGTATTAGACAGATCACTGAACAGAAAATTAAAGGTATTCAGGACTTGAACTCAGCTACAGATCAAGTGGACCTGATAGATATCTATAGAAACCACCCTAAAACAACAGAATATAAATTTTTCTCGGTGCCACATGGCACTTACTCTAAAATTGATCACATAATTGGAAGTAAAATGCTCCTTAGCAAATGCAAAAGAAGTGAAATCATAACAAAGTCTCTCGGCTTACAGCAAAATCAAATTAAAATTCAAGATTACGAAGCCCACTAAAAACCACACAACTACATGGAAATTGAACAACCTGCCCCTGAATGATATCTTGGTGAATAATGAGATTAAGGTGGAAATCAAGAAGTTCTTTGAAATCAGTGAGAACAAAGAGACAATGTACCAGAATCTCTGGGATGGTGCTAAAGCAATGGTAAGAGGGAAATTTATATCACTACATGCCCACATCAAAAAGCTTGAAAGATCTCAAATCAACACCCTAACATCACAATTAAGAGAACTAGAGAACCAAGAGCAAACAAACCCCAGAGCTAGCAGAAGACAAGAAATAACCAAGCTCAGAGCAGAACTGAAGCAGATAGAGACATGAAAAGCCCTTCAAAAAAATTAACAAATCCAGAAGCTGTTTTTTGAAAAAAAAATCAATTAAATATGTAGGCCACTAGTGAGGTTAATAGAGAAGAAAAGTGAGAACATTCAAATAAACAATCAGATATTATAAGGGGGATACTGCCACTGACCCCCTAGAAATACAAACAACCATCAGAAAATACTATAAACACCTCCATGCAAATAAACTGGAAAATCTAGAGGAAATGGATAAATTCCTGGACACATACACCCTCCCAAGACTGAACCATGAAGAAGTTGAATCCCTGAATAGACCAATAACAAGTTCCAAAATTGAGGTAGTAATAAACAGCCTACCAACCCCTCAACAAAGCTGATTTCTACCAGAGGCACAAAGAGGAGCTGGTACCATGTCTTCTGAAACTATTCCAAACAATTGAAAAGAAGTGACTCCTCCCTGACTCATTTTATGAGGCCAGCATCTTGATACCAAAACCTGGTGGAGATACAACAAAGAAAACTTCAGGCTAATATCCCTGATGAACACTGATGCAAAAATCCTCACTAAAATATTGGCAAACTGAATCCAGTAGTACATCAAAAAGCTTATCCACCATGATCAAGCTGGTTTCATCCCCAGGATACAAGGCTGGTTCAACATATGCAAATCAATAAATGTAATTCATCACATAAACAGAACTAAAGACAAAAACTACATGATTATCTCAAAAGATGCAGAAAAGGCCTTCAATAAAGTTCAACATCCTTAAAGTTAAAAACTCTCAATAAGCTAGGTATTGAAGGAATATGCCTCAAAATAATAAGAGTCATTTATGGCAGACCCACAGCCAATATTATACTAAGTGGGCAAAAGCTGGAAGCATTCCTTTTGAAAACTGGCTCAAGACAATGATGCCCTCTCTCTTATTCAACATAGTATTGGAAGTTCTGGCCAGGGCAATCAGGCAAGAGAAAGAAATAAAGGGTATTCAAAAGTAGGAAGAGAGGAAATCAAATTGTCTTTGTTTGTGGATGACATGATACTATATCTAGAAAACACCATTGACTCAGCCCAAAAGCTTCTTAACCTGATTAGCAACTTCAGCAAAGTCTCAGGACACAAAATCAATGTGCACAAATCACAAGCATCCCTATACACCAATGACAGACAAACAGAGAGCCAAATCATGAATGAACGTCCATTTACAATTGCCACAAAAAGGAATAAAATATCTAGGAATACAGTTAACAAGGGAAATGAAGGATCTCTTCAAGGAGAACTACAAACCACTGCTCAAGGAAATCAGAGAGGACACAAGCAGATGGGAAAACATTCCATGCTCATGGATAGGAAGAATCAATATTATGAAAATGGCCATATTGCCCAAAGCAATTCATAAATTCAATGCTATTCCCATTAAACTATCATTGACATTCTTCACAGAATTAAAAAAAAAAAACTAAAATTCATATGGAACCAAAAAAGAGCTCATATAGCCAGGACAAACCTCAGCAAAAAGAACAAACCTGGAGGCATCACACCACCCAATGTCAAACTATATTACAAGGCTATAGTAACCAAAACAGCATGGTACTGGTACAAAAACAGATACATAGACCCATGGAACAAAATAGAGAACCCAGAAATAAGGCCACATGCCTACAACTATCTGATCTTTGACAAACTTGACAAAAACAAGCAATGGGGAAAGGATCCCCTATTCATTAAATGGTGTTGGGAAAACTGGCTAGCCATATACAGAAAATTGAAACTGGATTCCTTCCTTACACTTTATGCAAAAATTAACTCAAGATGGATTAAAGACTTAAATGTAAAACCCAAAACTATAAAAACTCTAGGAGAAAATCTAGGCAATACCATTCAGGACATGGGCATGGGCAAAGATTTTATGATGAAATCACCAGAAGCAATTGCAACAAAAGCAAAAATTGACAAATGGGATCTAGTTAAACTAAAGAGCTTCTGCACAGCAAAAAAAGCTATCATCACGGTGAATAGACAACCTACAGAATGGGAGAATATGTTTATAATCTATCCATCTGACAAAAGTCTAATATCCAGAGTCTACAAGGAACTTAAACAAATTTACTGGATGAAAACAATCCCATTAAAAAGTGGGCAAAATATATGAACAGATACTTCTCAAAAGAAGACATTCATGTGGCCAAGAAACAAATGATAAAAAGCTCAACATCACTGACAATTAGAGAAATGCAAATCAAAATGAAAATGAGATACCATCTCAAGCCAATCAGAATGGTGATTTTTAAAAAGTCAAGAAACAACAGATGCTGGTGAGATCATGGAGAAATAGGAAGGCTTTTACACTGTTGGTGGGAATGTAAATTAGTTCAACCATTGTGGAAGACAGTGTGGTGATTCCTCAAAAATTTAGAACCAGAAATACCATTTGACCCAGCAATCCCATTACTGGGTATATACCCAAAGGAACATAAATCATTCTATTATAAAGATACATGCATGAGTATGTTCATTGCAGCACTATTCACAATAGCAAAGACATAGAATCAACCCAAATGCCCATCAATTATAGACTGGATAAAGAAAATGTGGTACATATATGCCATGGACTATTATGCAGCCAAAAAAGGAATGAGATCATGTCCTTTGCAGGGACGTGGATGAAGCTGGAAGCCATTATCCTCAGCAAACTAATGCAGGAACAGAAAACCAGACAACACATGTTCTCACTTATAAGTGGGAGTTGAACAACAAGAACACGTGGGCACAGGGAGGGGAACAACACACACTGGGGCCTATTGGGGGAGGGGAGGGGAGGGGAGAGCATTAGAAAAGAGCTAATGGATGCTGGGCTTAATACCTAAGCTGATAGGTCCAGCAAACCACCATGGTATATGTTTACCCATGTAACCAACCTGCACATCCTGCATTTGTACCACAGAACTTAAAAAAATAAAATAAAACAGTAAAAAAGATGATGTAAAAGGTATACATTTAAATGCCCATATCTGCAAAATCCCAGAAATTAGCTACTTTGCAAGGTTTCCCAATTTATAAAGTAAGAAATTTTGACTATGATCTCTAAGGTACTTTCCAGCTCTGTTTTGGTAATATGTTTAATATCAATTCCATTCCAACTGTTTTCTTTCTCGACATACATTAGAATAAAAACAGCAGAATACATGACTCTTTCCTTTATATACTTGTTCAATACATCTTTATTAAGAACATACCATATCCCATGCATTTTTTGAAACACTAAAAATATATTAATGTTCAAAGCTGATGAAGTATCCCACCCTCATGGAGCTTATATTTTAGTGGGAGAAAATACATAAACAAACAAATAAATAAAATATGTAATATATAAGATAAATTCTATCAAGAAAAGGAAAGCAGGAAAGGGATGGAGATTCTATGGGGTAGAAACAATTTTTAATAGGCTCGTTAAAGAAGTTCTCCTTGAGAAAGTAACATTTGAACCATGCGTATAGTTATAGGTATTGTGGGATGATCTGGAAATCCTCAGCTACTTGAAGACTGACATAAGTCAGTAAACATAAAAGTGAGATTTTAGCGACTGTTCACAAGAAAGATCACGGCGGTGAGCCTGTGAGCAGGGGCTGATTTAATGAGAAGCTAAAGAAGCTTCAGTTTCAAAGACCCTCATTTGCATGGGCCCTTTTGAGGACCCCAGGAGAAGCTAGCAATACATTTGCCTGGTATTTTGTGATCTTTTACTTGAAAAGAGCACCCCAAAGTGTATAAAGCTCAGTCCCACAGAATTTGGATCCTCTCCAGCTGTAAATGTCACACAGGGAGAGAGGTGATGGTGTGGCTCATGCCAGGAGCACACAGAATTCAAGGGACTCCCATTGAACCTGCTGATAAATAATTATCCAGCTAGTGGTGGATTGCATTATTGTTCTCTACTCTTTCCTTCTCCCTTTATCTACCACCTTAGTCATAAGACTTTGCAGTTTGCCCTACAAGAGGCAGAGTATATTTCCTTGCCTAGCTGATACTGGATTTAGCCGGGAAGCTTGCTTTGGCCAATTGAATGTTCTGAATGGGATGAAAGCAGTCCATTTAAAACACATCTATAGGCTTGGGGTTGTCCTTTTGTGCTCTTTCCTTTTGTCATGAGAAGAATGTGTCCAGGGTAACCTTCTAGTCTCAGAATGAGTAGCACGTGGAATGTACCTGAACTCAGCCTAAGCCTGAAGCCACGGCCAGCCAAATCCAATCTAGATAAGTTGGACCTCAGCCAACCTGCAAACAAGAGTGAGAAATAAATGCTTATTTTTTAAATACCAACTGGAATTTTGTAGCAAGACTATGTTAACTATGTAGCATAATTGATGGAGTAAGTAATACAGTTTTGTCAGCTTAGGCTAAGTTATGCTGCAGTAACAAGAGATCCCCGTATTCCTCACTCATGTAATAAGCCATTGTGGGTCAGCTGAAACTCTGCCCCTTATTTTCACACAGGGGCCCTATTTGATGGGAAAGCCCCTATCTGGATTTACTGGTCTCCAAGCAGAGGACAAAGAGAGATAGGGAACTATTCACTAGCTCTTAAAATTTCTGCTCAGAAATAACTTACATGACTTCACTCAAATTTTATTGTTCTAAATAAGTTACACAGCTCCACCTGAACAGGGCAGGAATGTGTAATCCTTCTGCAGGAAGCAACACAACAGAGAAAGGGCCCCCAGGAAAACTTTCACTTTGGGAAGAGGCAGTGAATAATTTGAAAAATAATAAAATCTACCATAACAATATACCTTGGACATATGAGTACATATTATGTAGTGAATTGTCTCCATCCCCTGCGCCTATCTTTTAGTTTTTGTCCTGATTGGCTTGAATTATGCTTTAACTCGAATCTTCAAGCCAAAGGGTGTATGTGTGCATTCATGCGAATCTGCACATTATCACACACTCCCCTGGTGGGATGTGTCCACTACTCTTTACAGGACAGCCAAGCAATGATATACAGCTTATAATTTTTCCCCGATATTAATAATATCAACACTGCTCTGCTCTCTAAGCATCAGATTTCCCATGGAAAAGAAATCAGAAATCATTAATTTTCCACATCAAAATGACTGTATAGTGGTGCCATGATGCTATAGAGACCTCATTTTCACCTGTTGCTTTGGAACAGTGAGTCCTAAATGCTTGGATGTCAAAATTGATCCTGCTGGACCTAAATTCCACCCAACCTCCACCTCATGCCACAAAGGCTGAATTTTATGTTTCACCCTAGTATGGAAGAAAATTCTATAATTTCTTTCTTCTGTAATTAAAATCTAAAGAACCAGTTAGTCAAAGCAGTGCATCATTTTTCTTTGGCTTTCTTTTTTTATTTTTATTTTGAGAATGTGAATTTTATTGTTGTGTGTTTCTTTTTGGTATTAGCACTTTATGCAGCAGCCAAGATGGTCACTTTCTGTGAAGGAGATAATGGAGGATAATGCAACCATCCAGCTGCTTGAGCAAGAGACCTGGGCATCTCCAAGAACAATCGATTCTACTTTCCCTATTTTCTTGCTGCTGCCATTGCCTTAGTTCAGGCCCTGGAAATCATTTGCTATATTTAGCCTCCTAGGAGCCTTTCCACTTCTAATCTCTTTCCTCTCTAACCCCCTAAAATAACCAGTGATACTAGAGCTCCTCTCGAGTTTTCTTTTGGTAACTGACCCAAGAAAGCTTTGGATATGTTGTAATCAGACAGAGGAAAGAGATTTGATACAAAAACAAATCATGACCCCAAAATATGAAACTATATCTGATAATTTCACATTTTTGATACCTTGTATCCTTTTGAGGCAGAAAAAGAAAAAAAGTCAAAAGGTATATAGAATCTGTATTGGACTTTTTTAAATCATTGAAACTTAGGGGAGAAAAAGTCATCCACATTTTGGATGGGAGTAGAATGACAGGAGAACTCAAAGTACTTGAGATCTTGATTAAGCGCTTCTGAAAAATAATATGGTCTCATGAATCCCTGGCTCACTTAAATGCATTAAGACTAGCCTGCCCTGAGCAGGAGTGGAGAGGGAATTCTCCAGCCTGACAGGCTGTGAACTTGAGCCGCAGCATCAGCTTTTCCTAGGTTTTCAGCCTGCTGGTCCACCCTGCAGATTTTGGACTTGCCAGCCTCCAGTATAGTGTGAACCAATTCCTTCAAATAAATCTCTTTCTCTCTCTCTACACACACACCCTATTGGTTCTATTTCTCTGAAGAGCCCTGACTAATACAAGGGCTATACCATTTGGCATTCCCAACAATCATGTATGAGAGTGCCTGCTTTCCCAAAGCCCTGTTGATAGCATATCAGTAAGTGTTGAAATTTTTGCCAAACTGATAGGTAATAAATGGTATCTTAACATACCTTTAATCTGCATTTCTCATGAGTGAAATAGAGCATCATTTCATATGTTTAAATATCATTTGTATATCTCTTACACTGAAAAGGCTTTTGAAAAGTTTTGGTAATGAAAAAATACATTTCTTCCTATGGACCACTCTAAATCCCCCTTAGAAAGATAGACTGGGTTCCGATGATAAATATAATCTATTATTTCTGATAAGAATACCCCTTCCTTTATGGAATGCAGGGTGTACATACTCCTTATTTTTTATACATACATTTTATTTTTATTAAGCAAAATTTGATTAGCAACATAATGTATACAGGGAAATTCTCTTTGATAAAATGTGTCCTGATGAGAATCTAGATTTTACAATGGAATTGTAAAAAACCTAGGGGAGAAGAGATGCCTTGTTAGGGCACGTGGACTCCTGACCTGACATTTTTTATTAACCAAGATAGTCGTCACTTTCTTCCTCTCCCTCTTCTTACTTACTCCCTATCCCCCAGGTTCTCCAAAGTTTTCTTTGTGTTGGTTGAATAAAGACAAGTCTGTGCCTTTTTTTCTTCCTGTAGCTAAACACTTTCATTTTAACACAAGCAAGTGTAAATATCTGCTTAAAAGGTGCAAAGTGAATGCATTTCAAGTTAAATCTTCCTCCAAAGTGCTAACTCCCAAGAAAACTAAACTGTAACAGGAACTTTAATATCCTATGTGTACTGCTCACTCCTAAATAATATTCCGTTTTCCCAAACTTGCCAGCAGAAAATGTGTTTAATGCAAATAGAGGTTGAAGTGATCAGCAAGTAGCTAGCTAGCAGTTCCCCGACACCCGACAGTTGCAAACTCGCAGCTTGTGAGATGAAAACACCTTGCAGACATGTTCAATTTTCTTTAGGTTTGAATAAGTTGTATTTATTTTGAAAATTGAGAAGTTTATTGAGCCAGTGCTTTTTGAAAAGGTCCTGGTTTTTCTCCAATATTTTCTTTAAGACATTATAATGGATGCATGCAATGAATGCAAATGTTGTTTTGCATAAGGAAGGTGTAATTTCAACATAAATTCCTAAAAGGTGGACTTCTGGACCAATAAGAATGTACTTTTTTAAAAATCAAAATCTCCTTTTGAGAAAATGAAGCATAAAAACTGCTTGCCAAAGTCCCCACCACACCCTATCACTAAACGTGGTTCACTTCTGCCATTGTTATTATTCATCTGGCATCAGTAGACATTTGAGTTTACCGACATTGCTGCAAAGAGCTAGGTAATTTCTGCTATGCTCATGCTTCTTAGTTCCATTCATGGAAACATCTGTCTGTGCTTGAAATATTCCAAGCTCTTTCAGACCTCTAAGCCCTTATTAATTGTGTTCTCTCTGCTTGGAATAAGCCCCCATCCAGCCTTCTCTCAGGAGAATCCCTGCACCTTCTGTAATTCAATGTCAATTTGTTTGTGATATGTGGCAAAATTGCCTGCTCCCTCCTCTGGGCTCACAACGTAGTTGAAGGCATCTTTGTCATACACAGTTCTCCCCATTCTATATTATGATTATGACTGCATCTCCACGCCCTTGACTGAGGGGTCCTCAAGGGCAATTGTGAGGATCTACATGTCTTTGGATCCCCATCAGCTGTCTGGCACATGGTTAGATGTGATACATGCTTGTTCTGTGAATGGGCAATAAATAGCCTCTGGGTCTTCAAACAATGCAGCACCAAGTAGAGAGAACAATATTGCTATTTGAAAACTGCATCCAAAACTGGGCTCTCCCACTCACATAACCTCTTTAGCCTATGTCTTCATTTTTAATAAGGGTTAGCAACACCTACCTTACAGAGTTATTCTGAGAATTAAATGAGAATTTAAATAAAGTGTCCATCATCACAGCCAGAAGCTCTTAGCACGTGCACATTGCTCATGATTAGTTTGGACTAGTTTGTCTGCTGAATTTGAAAATCTGAAAAAAAGTGCATAAGCAGAGAAATGACACTTATTCCAAATAAATAAATTGTCCATTTTTCACTCAGTCCATCTTAACCATGTACAATGAACTAAATTACTATTTATAATTTCCTATGTACAACAGAGCCACAGCACAAGAGGGTGGGCATAAGAAGTTGCCACCCAGAAGAGCTTTCACTCATGAAAGAAAGCCCTACAAATAGGCCCAGGAGAAGCAACGTTCACCAACAATTATGGACGTTCTCATTTTTTCTGTTCCTTGGAATTTTCTCTTACCTGTTGCTTTCATTTCTAAAACAACTATGAAAAGCAAAGATTTTTTTCTCTCTTCCCTCAAGCCAGTTGCTGGCAGTTACGCTAAATTAAGAGGGAGATGGGGTTCAAATTTTCTAAACTTTAAAATTCTGATAATCTATATCAGAGACTGGGTTGTGTCCGATGCATATATTTTTATCTACCTCAGAGATACTATATACATTTACATAAACCCATTCTTTTAACAGAAAGGCTAATATCATCATAAAATAAGAGAAATGAACAAAGAGAAAAGGAAAACATGTTTTGAAGCTCATGAATCAGACTTTTTCAAGAGAATGAGATTCAGAATTGGTTGCTTTTTGAAGATATTAAACAGGACCCCTGATTTCCCCAGAACTGTACTCTGAAGGATATTTCGAACTAGAAAGCTACATAGGAAGTAAACATGACAGAAATTGTCATTCCTCTTGTCACTCAGAAGAACCATCTGCTTCTGAGTTGAAGCCATTTTCTATTAAATTCACCAGCATGCTAATTAAAGAATGACTGGAGGATAGTGAAGCTGCCAGATGCTATGAAGATATATCACTGTCTTTTTATATGGTTAGGCAAACGTTTAATTAAACCTGCAGCTGCTGTGTCTGGTCGATCTACCAACACAGCTAAATCTCATTTACCTGAGAAAATCATTTCGCATTAGTGTCTTTCAAGAAGTAAAACAACTTAAAACAGACTTTGCTGAAATATTTAATATCTTTGTACATGATTTAATTATATGCATCAGTAATTACATCAGGGCAACTTGAACCTGACTTTCCTTGGGGTTCTTGTTGTGTCTCCTGATAACTAATCAAGTGTCTCCTCATTGAAGACACTGGAGGAATAGAATTACAGAGCGCCTAAGTATAGGTGCTTAGCCTGTTTCTACTACATTTTACTCGGGCATATGAGTTTGAGTGCATTTGAAAGGCCGCTTTTTGAAGAAAATTAGACAAGACCTAGAGGAGATGGAAATGAAATGCAGCATCAGGGTGCTTGTCTTGAAACTCTGCTAATGATCAACACAATCGCCACCAGTACTGTGGACCTGTGCTGATTGTTTCTTTAAGAAAATAGTCATTTTCTTTTGTGATAGAGTTTTGTTTGAATTTTGGATGTATGCACATTCTTCTACTTTGTAAATAGAACAGTGTTTTGATCAGCAGTGGGTTTTAACTGGAAAACATACTGTATATCCCCAAATTCAAAAACAAATCATCACTATTAATAGATGCTAGCTTCAGATTAAAATGGAGACAGTTATCTTAATTGAGGATCTTGAAGACTGGATATATATAGTCTTCATTGACGGGTTTTTAGGCTAATGTCTTAAGCATGAGATGCAGTGCAAAAGGGGGAAAAAAGTCATGTAAAAGCCCTAGATCAGCTGAGAGATGAACCTCAGCTGCAGATTTCCCTGCTCTTCCTCAGGAAAGAAAAGCCTCCTTGGAGGCAGCCAGCTTCACCTCCCTGCTTGGCTGGTCCCTAGAACGCTGTGACAGCAAAGCTGCTGAGACAGTTTGCCTGAAGGATCAGAGGCAGAATGTGGCAGTATATACAAGAGAAGCACTACCTGCCTGGATTGTGCCACAAATTTAACCCAAGGAGTTTGTGATTCTATTGGCTCCCCCTTCCTAGAATGCTTGGTGCACTAGTGACTCCTTGTCAAGCACAACTTAGCCAGCAGTTTCTCCAGACTTTCCAGCACCAAGGATTGTTTCCTTCTGTTAGGTAAATGGACGTGCTTTGGTCAAGAATAGGCTGAGGCAGACATCCAGGCCAGTGTGACTCGGAGTTTATAGTGCAGGCACACAACTCCACTTGTTATATAACCTGTTTGTATAAGCTCATACTTGGCTCGAAGCCACTATTGTCTGTAAAAGGTATAACTGCCCTGCTGACAACTGTACACACAGCTCTTGCAGATGGACAGCGGGGAGCCAGGAACCAGCCACGTGCCAGGGAGTGCAGCTGTAAGTGTGGGAGCGGCAGGAGCCCCAGAGCCTGAGCAGGCAGCCAAAACAAAGGTGGACAGTGTAAGAGAGCTGCTGAATAAAACCATATTTCACCTGCCCATGCCCCACCCCGAGTGTTCTTTCAGCTATCTGCCACCCATCTACCCACTCCCCTTGGAACTCAGCATGAGCTGGAACCTGACACTTGGTGTGACACCTTCGCAAAAGAGCTGGGGAGAGATGCCACAGTCAACATTTGTGGGATCAGCTTTATGATGTATAGCTGCTAGGACAACATGATGGCCTTTGTGGCTTGCTTTCTTGCTGAGGAGAAAGAGGGAAGTTCTCCTGGGGAAAACTTGGTGATATTTTCAGTTCTATGCGGTAAATATTTTATCACTTTGGTAATGGGATAACTTGCTACCTTGCCAGCTACCCCTAGAATAATGTCTTCCCCCTTCCCTTAATAACAAAGAGCTTCTAAATGCTGTAGTTGTAGTTGCTGAGGAAAACAGTAGAGGAGGGACACAGAGGAAGTTAAGAAAGTGGGTGCTTAAGAGTAGAGCACTGTTTTGTGAGCCTGCACCCCCTAGTGTGAGTTTCAATACGTTTCATTATGAAGTTGTACAATCCAAATTAGAATTTTTCTTTTCTGGGTTTGTTGTCGTTGTTTCTATTTTCATTTTTAAGGAGAACATTCACCATCCTGTAATCACACCACAGCTATGTTTTGACAGCATGGGACACAGCCACTAACATTCTGTCCTCTTTCTGATTATTTAGGAATAAACAGTACAGAAACTAAGAAAGCAAGACACACTGAACGGAGTGGGATTCCTTGGAAGCAACTCTATGGGGAAGTGTTAGACAATCACTTCCTACTTGGTCTGTTTTAAATTAGTCCTCTGAATGTCCTCATTTCTAAATTTTAAGTTGACTATCCAAATTTTAAAAATCAGACAATCAGGAGCCTGCAACCTGAGTCAGGCCTTTCTGATTTCAAACTTACAATTGTCTGCAATCTCGCCATTGGCAACAGTCCAAGAAAACATGTGAATGCAGCTGCCCAGTGTGCTCTGCCACAGACATATGCTAGACTTAAAGATATTAAACCACAAGCTCTAAATACAAGTAAGTATGCCAGCTGTTGTTTTTCCATCAGGATCAAGTTACCCAGGTAAATTCTCTCAGGAGAGAAATTGGAAAGTGGAGGAAATAAATATTCTTAACAGGAATTCCCTATTTCTTTCTGAAATTACACAAAGTAAATAGTTTTGGATTCTGAAAACATAATCATTGTAAAAATTAAATATCTGGGGTAACATAAATGAAGAGCCATTTATAATCCCAAGAGTCAATAAAGAGGGAAACAATTAGTTATCAATGTTAATAGTTGGTTACAATAGGCCAGGCACAGTGGCTCACGCCTGTAATCCCAACACTTTGGGAGGCCGAGGCGGGCGGATCACGAGGTCAGGAGATCGAGACCATCCTGGCTAACACGGTGAAACCCCATCTCTACTAAAAACACAAAAAATTAGCGGGGCATGGTGGCGGGCGCCTGTAGTCCCAGCTACTTGGGAGGCTGAGGCAGGAGAATGGCATGAACCCGGGAGGCAGAGCTTGCAGTGAGCCGAGATCGCGCCACTGCACTCCAGCCTGGGTGAGAGTGCGAGACTCTGTCTCAAAAAAAAAAAAAAAAAAAAAAAAAAAAAAAAAATAGCTGGTTACAAGAAAGTAATCAAAAGTATATTATAACAATATTTTCTTTCAATTTATAAGCATGGCATTTATATACCCCTGCTCGAGAGGAAATGAACTTTGGGTGGATTTTCCAGTGGTAGGGTTATTCTGTCCCATTTTTCTGAGATGACTAGTCGTGGCTAAGGATGGGATTTGTGACTTTGTAACATGACAGGCTGTTTAAACTTGGCCTTATTGGTGCCACCTGCCAATCAGTTGAAGTGTACAGTCAGGACAAAGCAATAATTTGTAGAGAAAATATTATGTACATTTTCAGGGAGGCTCTCAACTACAGCTCTCAATAATAGCCAGAAATAGCTAATTCAGATGGGATTCATGAGCTAACTTACTCTTATGATCTCATCTAATCCCAGTTACCTCTCCAATGGCCCCATCTCAGAATACTATCAAATTGGGGATTAAGACTTCAATATATGAATTATGGGGTGCACAAATTAGTCCATAGCAGTTAACAAGAAATGTATATTTATAAGTGCCCTCCCAGTTATTTATGTTTGTCTTCATTTAGCAATTAATTTTTAAACACTACTATGGGCATACAAAAATGCAAAAATGATTAAGACACACATTTCCTAACCTTAAGTAGCTCATAACTCAGTGAGGAAGATAGACACACAGAAAACAAAAATTGAAATAAGGTGTGATTATTCTAATAAAGGTTTGTAAGAGGAAATGTGTCAAGGCTTTATTACAGTTCAGTAGTTTAGTTCATCAGCAATCTCTCTGAATTTATTGAGCACCAACCACATACCAGGCAATGCGCTTGGCACTCAGAATATAAAGAAATAGAAACAGAGTACTAGCTCAGGCCAAAGGATCCAGGGAAGATTTTCTAAAGAAAATGGTGGGATGCGCTCACCTGAACTGAGGAAAAATTAGCCAGGTTGGTGAGAGGGGAATAGGCATCCCTAGCAATGAGAGGAAAGTGTGCAAACACACAGTGGTATGAAGTACTGGCAGAGAACTAGACAGTGTGGCTGGAACATAAAAAGGCGTGAGACTGGCCTGGGTCAGGGAGGTGGGGATGGGAGAGAGGTGATAAGAAATGGCCAGATTCTGGATATATTCTGAAGCTAGAGCTATCCATTAAGGTATGTGAGAGAAAAGAGTTAAGCTGACTCAAAGATTCGTATTCGAGAAACTAGAAGAACAGATGTATCATTTACAAACAAAGACTGGTGGAAGGAACGGACATGTGGGAAGAGGCTGGTTCAGAATCAGGAGTTTGGTGACTGGAGATTCATTTGCTTCACAAGTTTTGTTTTAAGTGGGCTCCCAACTGAAAGAGAATAAAGGCCTAAGAGTGCTGTAGGAGGTAGAACTGACAGAATTTGTGGACTAATTAGATCTAGGCAGTGAAGAAAAAGGCAGAGAGTGGAGTCTTAGATGACTCTGACTGGGTCACGAGGTAGACAATGGGACCATTCACTGTGATGGGCATTACAGGCAGGAAAGGGAAGTTACAGTGGGGTGATAACAAGCTCCATTTTTTTAACGTTACATTTAAAGGCCTGCGATACACCAAGTGGAAATGCCATCAGGGTCTCTGGAGCTAGGGAGGGAAAAGTGCTAGAAATGTATCACCCCCTTTAGTGGCAGAAACTGAAGCCATAGGGTAAATGAGAAAGCATATAAAGATGAGATACAATGCAAAGAGAAGCAATATAAAGACAGAACTTTATTGAACAATATTTAAGGAGAAGAGCCCAAAGAACTTTGATCCTGATCTAGTTCAAACTTTCCTGTTGAAGAAAAATACATGTGATCTGTACAGAAGAGCCATTAGAGGCTTATAGACTAAGTCAAATTTTCATAATCATGATAAGATAAAGAACTATGTTTCAAAGATCAAAAGCAAGATTAAATAAATTCATTCTTTTATGCTTTATACTCAAGAAATCTAGGCTATCATAATTTGAGAAAATATTTTTAAAGTTTTATTAAAATATAGTATGCCTACAGAAAAGTGTACATATCATAGAAGTACAATTAGAGTAGTTTTCATAGACTGAACACACTCATTTAACCGAACCAAGAGGAAGAAATAATATATCACCAACACCTCACCTCAGATGACGTATTTATCAATTTGAATGTCATGGACATTTGAGTAGCTTCTAGTTTGGGACTACAAAGGACTGCTAGAAATATCCTAAAACCTAGCTTTTGGTAAATATATATAGAAGTGGACTAGTTGGATCATAGTATATCCTATGTTTAGCTTTAGTTTTTCAAAGTGGCAGTCCAAGTTTACACTTAAGCAGAAGTGTGTGAGTTCTAGTTGGACCGAAAGTTTTCAAAACAGAGGGAAAACTGTTGCAAAGGAGCTCTTCAATGAGAGGAAAATGTCCACATCTCAAAACTGGTTAATATTATATTTTTTCTCATTTTAATTTTCTATGGGTGAAAAGACTAGTGATGGAAATAGGAATTACTTTAGTACTACATACATGCATTTTACTTAATCACTAGTAAGCCACAGCCCCCTTGCCTCTCAACTTAAAGCAGACTTTCTCAAAGTCAAACTCAAATGCTACTACTGTCCATACAGCTTTCCTTATCCTCTCAACTAGAAGTGATGTCACTTATTAAAATGTTTTTTCTGTTTATGCTATTGAAGTCCCAACTTTTATTTTGGCCACATTGTGTATCTTATCTCTTATTTATTAGTGGCTTGAAGGTAAGGACTGTGTATATGTATATCACTATCTATTCCATCTAGACTTTTTCAATTTACCCATAGTTTTTCATAAATTTGTTCACAGAATAAATAATTTTCACATTTATTGTGAAGAGTCCCACTCATTTATTTCCAGTACCACAATGTGTTAGTATCCCTTGGCTTTAGGGAACAAATGACTTAAAAAAAAGACTTGATTTCAGAAAATTAAACATTGAAGCTCATCTCTAACTTACACCTCAGGGAGCAGGGAGTGGGAAGGAATTTAGAGGGGAAGCAGAAAGTCAAGCAATTTTTATTGTTCAAAGGAATGTGCAATATGTTCTCTTGAAGCTCTGGGGATTTAAATATCAGGGGGATTGTTGGCAGCTTGGGTTTGCATATGCAGCACTGTTTGGGAATGCTCATATGGTGTGTGATTGTGCTATGCCTAGAACTGACAGCACCATCTGTTTCCTTGCTTTATTGAGCAATGGGAATTAGCCTGCCCTCTCCAAATGAGCACATGTGCGAGCACACACGCACACACACACACACACACATATGCATGGCCCCGACCCCCACCCCAGCCTAAACAGAATACTTGATCGACTCTCCATTTCAAGCTTTAATCTCAGCAAGCAATTCAGATGAGTCAGATATCAGAGTATGGCCATGGTGAGATCCTACTCTTTCATGGAGAACTGCGAGGTCCAAGTGACAAGGAAACAAGTAATCATCACATGCAAAGTTATTCAGCATGGAAGATGAGTTATAATGACAGATGGTACCAGTCAAAAAAAATAGCTCTATGGAAAAAAGCATGCTGACAGGATACCAGTGTATAAGTCAAACATGGGCAATGTAATAAAATAGCAATAAGGGATGACACAACAATTTTTTGAGAAATGTTCACAAGAACTGTTTTAAGTGTACCTGTACATCTGTTCTCTATTCGTCATTTGGAAATAGTAGTTATTTCCTAATATCATCATCATCATCATCATCATCTTCATCAAATAAAACAATAGAACTCAATGTTCATAGATGTAGCTGCGCTGAAGGAGATCATGTGCCCTGAACAGAAAGGGAGAAGTTGAGCTACGTGATTAATGTGCTATAGATGCAGAGAACATATGCCCAGGACTTTCTGTGATTGTCTCAATTTTATGTAACTTTATTCTTAGAAAAAAAGGGACAATGATTGACTAAAGTTATGAGAATTTAATTTTTACACAATTGTCTTTTCACATGAAAAAGTTCACAAATCAAGAAAAGTTTAGAAAACATAAATATCACAATGATGGCCTTGAGAAAATAAGTATGTTGGTGGCGATGTATGCAGGTGGGTAAAGCAATAATCATTTTCAGCAAGTTGTTAATCCCCGTTACAAAATGCAGAATAAAAATAACAAGCATTCTATTTAGTGTATTAACTGAGTTTGTAAGACAGTAAAAAGTAATTAATATGGGTCTGAAATGGAAAGGAAACTGAAATCTTCCTGGTAAAGACTCTAAGCTGACCCTGTGGAAGGCATTCATTTTGGGTAAAGTGGGAGAGTGCTTGTTAGTTTAGGTAACCTAAGAACCTCAGCTTTATACCCAAAGAAAACTAGGCCTTGGGTAGCCTGATGTAAAAGTTCAAGTCCAAATAGGGCATTTTGCATAGTCTCAAAGTATCTCCCTTCAAATATGTAGCAATTACAAATGGAAAAATAGTTAACATCAGAGTGCAGCAACTTGGCAGACAACATCTAAGTGAAGGTATCATGATTAACATTGTGAGTAATATATGCACATTGACATGTACCCCTGATAGGATGTATTAAGAAGGACCCGTAACTTTTCTAGTATCCTTCCCATTGGTGTGTAACTGCAGCATAATCATGAGAAAATGATAAACCCAAATTGAGGAACATTCTATGAAACAACTGAGCAGAACTCTTGGTGAGTGTCAAGGTTAGAAAGACAAGGAAAGAATGAGGACCTGTCCCAAATTAGGAGACTAAGGAGTAAGGAGTCATGATAGCTGAACCTAATGTGAGATCTTGGGTTGGATCCTAGAACAGAAAAAAATGACATTAGTTGAAAACCTGGTGAAATCTAAGTGATCTTAGTTTATTAACTTAAAAAAGCTAATAGTGTTATAACAAGATTCACTTCTTTGTTTTGATCAATGCATTGTGACTAGGTAAGATGTTAACGCAACAGTGTATACAGTTGTGGAAGATATTAATATAATGGAAGGATGTATGGGAATTTTATAGTTTCTGCAATTCTTTAAGAGTAAATTTATGTCAAAAAAATTAACTGTTTAAAAAACAGGTACCAGTGACCTCATTGTGGCTATAAAGGGGATCAAGAGAAAGAATGAAATAAGAAGAAAAAAAAAGGTCATTAAATCATGGCTAGAAAATTAAATTCAAATCTAATGAGTTGGCAGGGACTCTTCTTTATTATAAACTGTGTAACAGGATGTGTGGGCACTGTGCCCATTCACTCCTTCCCACCTGCTGAAGTCACCCAGTAAGTGACAAGCCACTGCTAATGGCAATGTAAACCCCCCAAAAAAAGCTGTCAGAGAAGCAGGTGGCATCAATGTCCCAAGTGGCTTGAAATTTCCTGGAGGCAGCTCCTACCTCTTTTAAAAAACTGTGGGCTGAGCATTGTGACTTTAATGAAACCATAAAAGTAATAAGGCATTCAACAAGCCTCAGACTGAAGAGACCGGAAAAGTGAGAGTGCAGGAACATTTGATTTGAATGAATCAAATCCAACTAATGATACATGCAATCACTGTAAATCAGTTACTCCAGGTTTTATGTTCTTTCATGTCCCTAAGAATTTTTCTTACATTCTAAAGAGACGTTTGAGGGTGGGTGTGGTAGATCATGCCTGTAATCCCAGCACTCTGGGAGGCCGAGGTGAAAGAGTCCTTTGAAGCCAAGAGTTTGAGATCAGCCTGGGAAACAAAGCAAGACATCGTCCATGAAAAAACTTTTTTTAAATTAGCCTGCTGCAGTGGCATGTGCCTGTAGTCTCAGCTCCTTGGGAGGCTGAGGTGGGAGGATTGCTTGAACCCTTGAGCCCAGGAGTTTGGGGCTGCAGTCAGCTATGATCATGGCACTGCACTCCAGCCTGGACAACAGAGGAAGGCCCTGTATCTAAAATAAAATAAAGAAGTTTGAGATATGGTGAATAACATTATCTGATTGTCCTAGAAAGTGCTACTACTTTCCTTGCAATTTAGCAGTGAAAAAATGAGGGTTAGGGATGGAATTTGGGAACAATTTGACCTCTGATTGATTACAAATATAAATAAGCTCTTCACAACTTCATGCAATGGTGTTTAACATAGTGGATACAGATGCAAGGACTGGAATGTTTTAAATATGGAAAAATAATCATAGAACATACCATTTGGAGCTGGACAGAACTTTGGAGGTTATCTGGTCCAGCTCCCCACTTTTGATATGAGAAAACTGAGGCTCAGAAGGATGAATGGACTTGTTCAAGACAACACAATGGCCTAGCAGCTCACAGCCTAAATGTCCTGCCACCTGCTGCACTTCTTAAAAGCAAAGATACAAGTTGCCAGGTGAGCATAATGTGTGGACATCAAATCTGAAACAGGCTTTAAGATGTAAAATGAAGTCAAAATACAAGTAAGTACCTTCACTTTGTTAATACTCAATTACAAAGGAAACCCATCATGTTCACCGGGAAAAACTCAATTTCTTTTTGAAGATTTTAACGTTAACTTCTAAGAAGACATAGAAGATGATCTGATTCACCAAGAACCACACAAGAGACACTCACAATGAAAGGAAATATGATCTTGGGACGAAGGCAAACGGGGATTCCTTACATGGCCTTTGGTGTTTTGATACTAACTATGCAGAAACATTGATGTCCATGCTTTAATGTATGTGAGTTTCTTACCCTAATTTTATACTGTTTATGTAAATAAACCGTAGCTTTTTGGTGGTGCAGTAAGCTTTGAAATAAGTTATACGTAAGATGTGATATTCTGACAGGATACCTAGACTTTATGTTCTACAAAACAGTCATACATAAGGTATAACATAGAATGACAATAAAGTATTGATATGGTTTGGCTGGGTCCTAACCCAAATCTCTTCTTGAATTGTAGTTTCCTTAATCCCATGTGTCATGGGAGGGACCCGCTGGGAGGAAATTGAATCATGGGGGCAGTTACCCCCATGCTGCTGTTCATGACAGTGAGTTCTCATGAGATCTGATGGTTTATAAGGGGCTTTTCCCCCTTTTGCTTGGCACTTCTCCCTGCTGCCACCATGTGAAGCACGTGTTTGCTTCCCCCCTTCTGCCATGATTTTAAGTTTCCTGAGGCCTCCCCCCAGCCATGCTAAACTGCGAGTCAATTAAACCTCTTTCCTTTATAAATAACCCAGTCTCATGTATGTCTTTATTAGCAGCATGAGAATGGACTAATACAAGTACGTTGGTAAATCAGAAAGAGAGAGAGAGAGAGAGAAACAGCTAACATTCAAGAACCCAGGTTGAAAAATACAAAGATAGAATAAAATACACCAAAGAATACTTATCAAAAAAAAGCTGGCAGAGAGTCTTATTTCAGAAACCAGAAACTTTAAAGCAAAAAGCATTATTAAGAATAAAAAACTTAACCATGTGGCCAGAAAAACAATTCACTAACCATAAAAATGATAATGCTAAACTTCTATGTACATGATGACATGGCCTCAAAATATATAAAACAGAAATTGATAACATTCCAAAGAAAATCAATGAACTCACATTTCTGCCACTAATTAACTCATGGGTAGCAAAATTTTTTAAGAATATAGAAAATTCAAATAATACAGTTAGGTAGTTTTATCTACAACAATTAGAGAACTAGGTAGTTTTATCTACAACAATTAGAGAATGACAACAATTAGAGAAGACTCATTCTTTTCATGCATAAATGAGGCATTTCAAAATTGACCATGCACTTAGTTACAAGGCAAGTTTCAACATACTAGATGGTCTGTATCAAACATACTATCTTCTCTGTCCACTATGCAATTAAGTTAGAAAACAGTAATGCAAAGATAAATATAATTCATCATAATTTATAAATTTAGTAACAAACTTCAAAGACAAATTTTTATGGAAATAAAGTATTTGGAGCTCGATTACAATTAAGATACGATACTCAAAACCTGGATGGCCTAACTAAAGAGGTACTTAGAAAATTTATAAAATTACAAAATAAAAAGAATTTTTAAAAAATGAACTAAGCACGTACTTAAGAAGTTAGAAAAATAACAGAATAAACCCAAAAAGACTAGAAAGAAAGAAAAAGGGCCAAAATTAATAAAATAGAAAGCAACAGATTACAGAAAGAATCAACAAAGGCCAAAACTAGTTTTTTGGAAAGACAAATGGATAACCTCTGGCAGTATTGATTATTTTTAAATAAAGGAAATCACAAATAAGTAATATTGGGAATGAAAAAGAGGCCATGGGTAGAGTGTAGCACATATTAAAGAAGAACACCAGAATGGACATTGATGATGGAGTGGGAAGTTCCTATTCTCATCTCTATGGCCTTCAGATTTTTCCCCACTGGTGGCTCTTATTTGGCTCACTCCCTTTGATATTTTGCTCTGCAAAGCTGGCCATTTCATCTATTAGGTTTAAACTTGCCTAAGTCTACAGGGCCTTGTGCTTGTAGAATCTGTGTACCTTTCCAGTCAACAGGGTTGTAGAAAAAGAGACTGAAGTACTCAAATCATAGAAACTAAACAAAATCGGAGCTCTCACCCAGCCCCGGTGTGCCCGTGTCATCAGGTGTACTGCCTTCCTTTCCCCGATTTCTACCCCTGTTCCTCATTGTCCTGTCAGTGATTACTCTCACAGCCCATTAAAGGTTACTTTTTCTCAAGTTTGGCTCTGTTCTATTCTCTAGGGTAAAAACATAATTTTGGCAGTTTTGGAGACCTGGGAAAGATAAACTTTTTCTTTCATTCTGTGGCTTTGGTGAGGGCTTAGGAACTATAGCTATAAACTAACCTAAGATAGCTTCCGCAGAAATTCCTGCCCAACAGAAAGGGCCTATCAGCATTTAACAAGTAATGTTTGTAGGGGCTAAGAAACTTGCCCTGAGACAGCTGGTATCACAGTTGTAATCTCAATTTAGGTCTGTCTGAGACAAAATACTGCTCTTTTTTCCCCTATGTAATTTCCACTGAGGTTAAATCTTGGTTTCCTGTGATGAGTCCTTTCCATCATTATATGCTATTTATGTTTTCCATGCTTTGTGTGAATGCCATTACAACTTCAAAAATGAAACCAACAGATGTTTCTGAATAACTGTACACTAAGGAAAGGTACTATTTTTAAAAAATAAAACCCTAAATGCATAGTGCCCTTATCAGACTCTGAAGACGCATAAAATAAAAACATTCACACAGTGTGAGCACATTTTCTCAATAATGATCAGTCTCCTCACTTGAAAAATAAGAGAAAGATGGAGAATTGGACCAAATATTAACCGCTTTAGCTCTACTTGACTAATGAACTGAATAATACATGGACAGACTTTCCCCCTTTCAATGTACCTAAATTAGTATTTTCAGGCATCGTGGGAGGAGCTCTTTTGTTCAGGAGCTGATAATTGCCAATTTTTGCAAAGCAACAACAACAACAAAACACCTAAAGTTGAGTTTTAAGATAATTAAATGAACAATTGCTTTTACCCTGTTTTTGAAGTCAAGTTGATGTGATTTTGTGCAGTTTGAGTGAGAGGATTTTACTAATCACAACTAATATTTGTGATATTTTTATGCCATAAAAATCCCTGTGCCTAAATATACTTATCTTCAAAGTTTTGGTGTGGTAAAAAAGGAAAGGTGTTATTCTAATGATTAAGGTAGGAAGGTATGGGAGAGGTATTTCCATTTCCTCTCTCATATGCACTTTCTTACTTTCCCAACTCAGTGGGAGCAGCTTAGAGCATAAAGAAAACTAGAGAAAGCCCCACTCATTCTGTAGACTCTCATCCCTTCTTGTGTCAACTATACTTTCCAATTGTTAAACTCTATCTTCCACTCAGCAAGTTTTGCCATTTCTCTCCAATCTCAAAAGCAGACACATCTGTGCATTCAACCACTCATCCTTTTCTAGCAAGCTGACACCCCATTTATCTCCTCCTCAGGCAAGCTTCTTGAAAAATTATTATACTTCTTATCTCTCCTTCACCACAATAAATTTCTCAACACACACAAAATTGACTTCAATTTTCCTAGTTGCTAGATTGAATTTGCCTTTACCATAATTACTGAGGACCTCCTCAATGTTCATTTCATTCTTTGGTCTGTCTTAGAAATGTTTCTACGCTTGCCGCATCTTCTTTTTGAAATTTTTTTCTGGCTTTGGTAACTTCTATCATGCTTGTCTTCCCTGGGTTTCCTGCCATCTCTGTGGCTGCTCCCTCAGTCTTCTTTGCTAACACTTTCTTTTAACCCTCATCTTAAAACTTAGTGCTTTTAGGCTTACACTTCTTAGTATTCTGTTACTGTCTCTGCTTTCTGAGCAATCTCACCTACTGACTTAACTTCTGACTTCTACCTAAACAAAGATGTTGTTGGGGTGATCAGACCCAATACCAGGTCATTGGGGTGACAAAGTCTGGCAGAGTCAAAGGATTGAGGAAAAGACAGTGAAAGAGAAAAAGGTGGGCCATCACTATCATGGAGTCTGTGAAGGCCCAGAGCTCTGGGAGCCCACGGTATTTATTGGTAATCCAACAAAGAAACAGGTGGTGAGAATGTGGAGGTCAAAAGGACATGTTGCATTAAGCACATGATTTACAGCTGTGATGGTTTAGCATTTATATGGAACATGTTCTGCTACTTGAGATAATGGGAATAGGAGCCTAGGAGCCTAGGAGGGCCATAAGCAAGGAGCCAGCAAGTCTAGACACATTCCAGAAGACATTATGCAAGCCCTGCCTCAGTTTCCCTCCCAACCCTCAGCTTTTTCCCAACAGATACGTCCCAAATCCCTATCCTCAGCCCAGACCTTCTTCCTGAGCTCCAGGCTGGGATATAAATCTGCCTGCAAGACATAAAATCTTGAATAAACCACAATCATCTCAAGTTCTAATCATGTCCCAAGTTGAGTTTGTTGCTTTTCTTTCTCCAAACCTCCTGGAATTTATCTCTTTCCTTTTCCAGAAACCCCAGCCAGAATCTAGAATCATTCTAAACTCTTTAGTGTTCATCGCTTTACTCATTCAGTTTCATGCAACCTGTCTTATGGATTCTATAGTTATAATGCTATCCATTTCTAGCTCCTCCTTTACACCCCCACTGACTTAGCTCATATTCTTTTTATACCTGGCTCTAACTACTTCAGTGATTTGAAGAATCCCTGCCATTGGTCATTTGTGCCCTTTATCTCCCTTCCCAAACATCCTCCCCACAGTGATCAATCTGACCTTTCCAGAGTGTCATTTATAAAATGACATAAAGGTACATTTACTTTGATGTTTTAACCCTGTTTAACACCTGTCAATGTCTCCCCACTTCAGAAGTCCCTAAACATGAGTTTAGGGATTACTGCTGGGCTGTGTTCAGTAAGCTGATTAGAGGGGTGACATAGAGGAGAAGAACAAATATGTATTTTTCAAAAGTTCCCACTATAGGATTCTAATATACAGCCAAGGTTGAAATTCTCAGGGCAAAAGGCCAAACCAAAATCACATATGCAAAGGGGATTAATCACTCTGGATGACCCATTCGTACTAATTGGGATGTGAGCCAAGTAGTATCCTGTATTTCTCAGGACTGTTGAGAACTTCTGACCAAAAGGTCCAAGTCAAAACTCAACAGGTACAGAGGGCTCCCTATCATCTGATCCCTGACCCAATGTGCTGCGTAATCCCCTGCCCTCTCCAAGCATCCTGTGTTCCAACCATATGAAGCTATTAAAACTCCTGACTGGGCGCAGTGGCTCACGCCTGTAATCCCAGAACTTTGGGAGGCCGAGGTGGGCAGAGCACGAGGTTAGGGAGCTCAAGACCAGCCTGGCCAACATGGCAAAACCCCGTCTCTAATAAAAATACAAAAATTAGTCGGGTGTGGTGGCAGGTGCCTATAATCCCAGCTACTTAAGAGTCTGAGGCAAGAGAATCACTTGAACCCGGGAGGTGGAAGTTGCAGTGAGCCAAGATCGCACCATGGCATTCTATCCTGGGTGACAAGAGCAAGACTCCATCTCAAAAAAGAAAAAAAAAATCCCTAAGCTTATTATGCTATTTTGTACTGGCTGGAAAATTCCTACTCATTCTTTAGACCACTTTGAAGCTTCTTTGCTACACATTCCTAGGCTCAGGAAATAAAAGCCAATAACTTCTCATTTATGCCCGTATTATTCCTTGGACATGTTTCTATGCATTTGCACTGCATTTTAACTCTGTGTACATTACCCATTAACCTGTGATAGCCTTAAAGACAGAGATAATATCTTAGACATTTTTGAGCCTCTAGAACCTGAAACAATATCTGATCCATAAATATTCAATCTATTGAATGAATGTATTCCTCCAAAGAAGATCTCCCCAAAAGATTAAATGCTCAAATATTAGAAAATGGGCTAAATGACAAGGATTAGTCAGCCTTTGATCTAAATTAATTCAATAAGTCTGAAGCTTGATTAGTATCATCTACTAGTTCTTCTAGTCCCTAATCCTTTCTCTTCACTCTGATGTGCTAATTCATGGGCCATTTGGTGGAGGACACAGATATTTATCCGGTGAGACTCTGGAAAGACCAGTGTTTGCAGTGTTTATTTTTTCAGGAACAAAACGAAATAAACTGAGTGATTTCCATCAAGGATCAACTATTATCTGTTGTGGAACCTATTATATGCCAGGCATTATACTTGGCATTGAACGTGCAAAGATGACACAAACATAACAGAATTATGCCCCCAAAATCTATTAGGGTCCCAAAGAGATATTTGATTAATTCTGCCTGAAAGACTGTGCATGGTCTATGAATTCATGAAATGTTAGTTTGTGAAAGCCAAAAGGTGACATCTTAGATAATAAATGGCTATTGTTCACAACAACATTTATACAAACAAGATGACAATAATGCATTTGTTAATTGTACTCTATTTATGGAGAGGAGCCCAAGCTGTAGATGGCAATAGTGGCTATTGCAGAAGGCAATGATAAAGTAATCAGCAGAGCCAGACCTATGTGAAGTTGTTTATTGAGAGGTTTAATCATTTGTATATCAGGGAAAGCCTTATGCCTTAATTACAGTGATAATAGAAAAAAGTATTGATTAGGCCTGGATTTCTGTCATGAAAGTAGAGATTACAAGGTATCTTCTTTATCAGTAGACCTTGCTGACTTTAAGAAAGGCAGACTTTCCTTCAGTCTTAGTTTTACGGAAAAATGAAAACTTATTTAATAAAATTTTTATAAAAAAGGGAACGAAAACCTCAGAGATATAAATAAATGATTCAGAGTCACACACTGGCAGTCAATTTCACTTAGACCCTAAGCCCACCCTCTTTTCACCACATCCAAGATTGGATTACCATCAACAATTGACTGGATACAAGTGTAGAGTGTTACTGAATCCCCCCAACCGACTGATCTGTTTTGTTCTAAATATGCTGTGGTGCGGCAAAGGGCACACCAATCGAGCATAGTAATGAATGATACATGTAAAATGGGTGCATTGCATTCACACTTTTACTGTCTGAGCCTCATACTAGACGTAAAATATGAATAACTTGGGAAGAATAGTAATTTAAGGACATCAGGAAAATAGAGCTATGGTTTAAAATTTCACGCAGCTTCAAGAGTAGACAAGCAAATGAAATTTCCCATTGTGATTTCTGTCTTCATGTGGTGGAGCTTGTGACTTGAAAGGTGGAGAAAATGTCAAGAATTTTGGTTATAAACTATTAGGCACGTATCAGCCAGTAGTGGGAATTGCCAGGATCTAGAGGCAGATAGGCCTTGGCTGAAACCCAGCTCAGTCACTTTCTACCCTTGTAATACTGGCACTCAGTTTCCTACATAAATGATAATACTAATAGCTGCCTTGGAGGGTGGCCGTCAGGAACAAACAAAATAATGTGCCAAGAGGAGCCCGGCATGAAATTCTTAGTGAGGCTCCCACCTTTCTCCTTTCTTTTGTGAGGCCCAGACTATTTGTCAGGTTCAGATTGGCTCCCCAGCCTTCACCCTAAAGCCAACGTTAGAATGAAGTGAGTGAGGCAGTCAGCTCAGGCACAAAATTTATGGGGATGCCAAAATGCAGTAATCAAGATAAACAATATAATGAATTATTTTAACAATCAAAATGCCAAAAAAGCCCATGATAAATAAAATTTCAGCAGTTTAAAATTAAGATAGGGTCCAACCCTTCATTTACATAACTTAGCCTCACTTGCCTCACCACCACACTGGCCCTGCCGGATCCTGTCTTTATTTACAAGTTTGATATTTTGTTCTTCACGGGTTTCTCATACTGTGATTTTAAAAATCATTTCAGTAAATATTACTTAGATTGATGACTGAGTTTTTTGGTGGGCATTACATTTTATGTCTGAGCCACACGTATCACTCACCTCCTCTTAATCTTGAACCTACTACTTCCTTCTCCCAGGCCCCAGGTCTCAGGAGCCTTTCCTATCTATCCTCCCTCTACGAAGTTGGCATTCTAGTCTTAGGGCTGCTCAGTGCTAGACTTGCTGCAGTGGGAGGCAGTCTATCAAGGGCAGGCTCTTTTTGTCTTACGAACCATTTTGAAGATATAAGGATAAGACAAATGTAAATGGAAGAGGGCCATTTTATCTGCTAGGAGACACCCACACAGAGCCAGGAACCATTGAGGTAGAGGGGAGAAAAGTGTGGTGCTGAACAACCTAGCAATTCCACCTCTCACTACCTGTGTAACCTCGGGAAGTTACTCAAGCACTGCCCTGTGCTAGCTGTGTCATCTTGGGCAAGTTATTTAAGCTTTCTCCTTACTGGTTTTTTCATCTAGGGCAACTTACTTGAGCTCCCTTACTAAAAATTAAAGATAGCTGTTGTACCAGCTAGATTGCAGGTAGCTAGGTAGCTTATGCAGATGTCAGACCTCTATGTCCCTTTTCCATCTCCTTTTGATGAGAATGGTAAGTCTGCTTACCCTTGTATGTTCACATAAGGAAAAAATTAACCTATTTAAGGCTTGATCCCTGATTTAGCAACAGAGGGGTCCTTTGGGCCTGAATAACTGGCTACTTAGGTTCTAGGGGAAGAGTCTTTCCTCTCTGTTTGCTCCAGCCACTTGTGAGAGTCTTGCCCTTGACACAGCACTGCTCCTCTGTGCTCAGCTCTGTGCAGACTAGAAATCCTGCCCTATAGCTTTTCTATTCTCCACCATTGAAGGATCTTTGAATCCAAGTGCAGTTGTATTAGTTGTGTGTTTACTATGTGCATAGTACTAGGTGAGGCATTTGAATGACATCAAAATTCTATTCTCTGCTATTTTACAAATTTGATAAAAGTTAAGGCTTACAGAAGCAACTGAGAATAATAAATATATTAAAGTCAAAACTAAGGAATAAATAAGAATGGAGAAAAGAAGAGAGACATTTTCGAGAAAGATTTCAAAAGCTATTAAAAAATAGTCATGGTCTTGATAGTTCATGACATATCAAATGTCCCAAGAGAGTTTTCATTTAAAATTTGCCTTTCATATTTTTCTAAATGGGAAAAGTAGTGTTCATTTTCTTTTTGTGATAATTATAAGCTCTTGTTTCTACATAAATATTCATAGGTCTGATATGTCCAAACGAGGCAGGTAACGATCTTTATGTGCATTTTTTTCAAATTCATTTAAGATCGACTTTAAATATGATTTCCAGCCATTTCTTGAGAGTCAGCTGCTTTATTGATGATCTGAAACCTCTTTGTCTTCCTTTTCTCCAGTAGAGTCATCCATCATCAGCCCTATTAAGGGCCTGAGAAGCTGAAGACATTCTAGCCCATTTTTTTGTCCACAGTAAACTTGTCTTCTGCCTTGTGGAGTTATACCCTAGAGGATCCTCTGCATTACAGACTGAAAGCTCCATGTTAAACTGGAAGACAGGGCACAAAGTTGTCCTGAAAATAAATTGTCATTAACAGCCATCAGTTAAGGAGGATATAAAACATTGTCAGAGCTAAAAGTTGATAAGGTTGATGTTTATTGAGTTATTTCCTACAGAAAGGACAGGAACTTTTTCTAAGCCTGTGACTGACAGAGGTGTTTTATATTTTCAGCTTTGACTACCTGCCATTGCTAGTAATAGCTTACTGTTTGGTAAGTAGCTTACTAGCTTGCCAGTAGTGATAGTTTACTAACTTGGTAAGACCATGTCACATAATGTATCAACTGATCATAGAAAATTTTTCCTAGTTCAGATCATTCTTACCTATCATCTTTTCCTATCTTTCATACATGCTCAACCTCTTCTTCATGCCAACCAACCTTACCATTCCTACCTCTTCCCTACCCAGTAAGTTTTCTGTTCAAAATTTTTAGCCATATCTGCATTGCTTTTCCTAACACTATACATTCCTTGCGAGTCATATGCACTTCTGTAATCCCTAATCCTTAGTAACTTCTGCTGTTCATGTTCTCTGGGCCACGAACCATGGTGAGAGAAAGCAAGGAAAATAAGAACTCTTGACACACTCAGTATTCTTGCTCTCTGATTTCAGTTGGCAATCACTTCACTCGTGTTGTATTTTCTATTATGCTCTGTGTTAATAGCTGTTCAAATCCTCTTTACTTTCTCTTACACCCAACTACTTTTCTCACTTAGCAGATGTATTATAGGTCAAAGTTATTTTGCAAGTGTTCTCTCACCTACCATTCCTCCACTGAAAAGTCTATTTTTTGTTGTTTTCATTCTCCATTCTCCAAACTTCCGTTTTAGTTTTGTTCCCATTCTTTAAATCATTTGATTAAAAATAAGTTTTTAGGTTTAATTTACATTCAATAAAAAATGCTCATTCAAGTATACCATTCAGTGAGCTTTAACAAATGTATATACCCATGAAAAATCACCAAAATAAAATTAATTTTTCCATAACATGAAAAAAGTTGACACATACCACTCACTCATGGTTAATCTCTAACACCCATGATAATTCAAACACTGATCTGCTGTATCATGAGAGATTAGTTTTGCCTTTCTAGAATTTCATATGAATGAAATCATATGGCATGTGCTCTTTTATTTCTGGCTTCTTGTGCTTAGCATAATATGTTTCATGCTCATTCATGTTGGATATATCAGTGATTTTTATACATAAAGTTTTGTTTGAACACATCTATTCATTTACACATTGTCTATGGCTGCTTTCATGCTATAACAGCAGAGTGGCGTAGGTGTGATAGAAAACATATAATCTACAAAGCCTAAAATATTTACTATCTGCCCTTTAAAAAAAGTTGACAACTTCTTATCACAGTGGTTTTGTTGCATAGAAGTTTTTATATTTTTAAATTATTCTTTTTAATTTCTATAGGATCTGTAGCATAGGATCTAATGCCTGTAGGATCTATAGTGTCTCAATTATGACAGGTGTTAGAGATTAACCATAAGTGGTATGTATCAACTTTTTTCATGTTATGGAAAAATTATCTTTATTTGGGTGGTAGTTTCATGGGTTTATACACCTGTCAAATCTCAGGTAATAAGAAACCATTTCCATTCCTGATGTTTTGGTAATTTGTTTTTTTTTTCTTGATCAGTATAGCTACAGAATTATCCATTTCTTTGATCTTTTGTAATATCCAGCTTTTGGTTTCATTAATTTTGTATGTTTTCTAGTTGATTGATTTCCATTTGTTTATTATTTTATTCACTGATCTTTGATTTAATTTGCTCTCCTTTTTATTCTTAAAGTAGGATCATAGGCCATTGATTTTTTGTTTCAAGTGAAAGCAAGTTTATTAAGAAGGTAAAGGAAGAGAGAATGGCTGCTCCATAGGCAGAGCAATGGCTTGAGCTGCTTGGGTAAGGATACTTATTGTTACTTCTTGATTATATGCTAAACAAGGGGTAGATGAATGAGTTTTCTGGGAAAGGGGTGGGCAATTTTTGGAATTGAGGGTTCCTCCCCTTTTTAGACCATATATGGTAACTTCCTGATGTTGCCATGGCATCTGTAAACTGTCATGACACTAGTGGGAGTGTCTTTTAGCATGTTAATGCATTATAATTAGCATATAATGAGCAGTGAGGACAACTAGAGGTCATCTTCGTTGCCATCTTGGTTTTGGTGGGTTTTGGCTGGCTTCTTTACCACATGTTGTTTTATCAGCAAGGTCTTTGTGACCTGTATCTTGTGCCAAACTCCTATCTCATCCTGTGACTTAGAATGCCTAACCTCCTGGGAATACAGCCCAGTAGGTCTCAGCCCAGCCTCATTTTACCCAGCCCCTATTAAAAATGGAGTCACTCTGGTTCAAACATCTCCAACATACTCCTCCACCCCCACTCCCCTTTATAAAAGAACCCTTAATCCTAAGGGTTGTAGATGGATGAAGATCCATCTCCAGTAACTTCTTCAGACTGAATAGGGGTGATAATATTCCTGCCTAACTATTAGGGTCTCTTGTATTTGGGGTAGAGAGGAAGCTTAGTCAGAAAGTGTCAGTATGTTGTGGGCCATTAATAACTCTTGAGTTCCGACAAAATGTGATATCTGGAAGATTAATGAGTGTCCAATTTAAGAAAACATTCAGTAAGTTTATCCTGCATTCCTACACAAAAAGTACAATAGCAATATTCCACAACATTAAAGAAAAATAAGCAAAATTATCATAAGTAAACTAAATAAAAAGGCTCTCCAGGACCTGGGCAACTGCTGGAACCAAGCTGCTATGGGGTCGCTGGCTGATTCCAATACATATCCAGAATTAGAATACTGATCCAGATTTTTACATTACCTATCCCTCTTGTTTCTTCTGAGCTGCAGCCAGAGATCACTGGTTGGTTCATAGGAACAAGTTTAAATTGCAGAAAAAAAGAAAACTTAAAGACAACTGAGACTAGAATCTAATAACAAGTGTACCATAGTTCCTGAAATATAATTTTTCTCTTGCCAGTTTCCCATTTTTACTAAACAGAAATCATGGTAAGACTTATTTGCTTTATTATACTTGGCCTGATTATTCATATAAAGTGAAGCAAGAATAATTATTTTTCACATAGGCTTTTAAAATTGGCTTTGATGAAACTTTGTTCCATAAAAGGAATCTCAGATAAGACTTTTTTAAGGCCAAGCTCAGCCAACAGTTTGTACCCTCAAATACCTATGAGTTGGGTAAATTCCTCTCCCCTTGATGTCCCAAGATAACTTGGGGCCCCTAGGCCTGTTAGAAAGTGACATTCTTTACTTACCACAGGTCAGAAACCCTGCACGGGGACGGTGTAAATAAGGTATAAGGCTAGTTTTTCCAAGGGGCTTTTATTGGCTCTATAAGTCAAGTTTGATTCCTTAAAGGAAAGCATACCATTCCAGTCAAAGCCTTGGTAAAATCACTAGTTTCTCCAATTGTGTCCTGTTACAAAATAAAACAGATTCTTATTGCACTTATGCAAATAACTAAATTGCCATAAGTTAAGAATACTCACAACTAGTTTTCAAATTCTGGAGAAATCAGGTAGAGAGAGACGAATGTGCTCCAAATTTTGTTTACAGGAGTATACCTTACTCAATTGTGAAAAGCTACAAGTAGCTTAAAAAAAAGTTTTTCTTGATTCTGAAAAACAAAACAGGATCAGCAACATTTTAAGCAAAGTCAAAAAGGTTACTTCAGCCTTCTATTAGTTCAGTCCACACAGTTAACTTCTGTCCTGCTTGATATTCACAAACATTTCAGCTGTCAATGAGTCCTGAAAGTTTTTATTCTATTCTGATGTCACAATCTCAAAGCTTATTAGAAACTTGCATTCGAGAGCACCTGTCTAAGTCCTATATCTGATTATAAGCCACCTTTTGAAGAGGATCAAAACAAGAAAACTATCTGTGGATGACAAAAATCTTAGGAGAGCCACTGTTAAAGCCACAGTTGAAAAGGAAATTTTGGTTACTTCTGTGGCATACAACAATTTTACATAACGATTATAATCATTAATAACATACCCTAAGTCATATTAGAATTATTAGGAATTTTCCATAATTTTGGAACACATACCAATAACATATTTATGCAAATATAGCCCTAAGAAAGCCAAACACTATTTCACATTTGACAATGCTTTCTGTATGGACTTTACACCAAATAAGCCAAATTTCACCTTTACATTAGTGTACTCTTAATGATAAACCCAATTCTTAATAAAACCTTATAGACAAATTTACTCAATTTTAATCCGTTTGACCATAAGGTAAGATTCTTATAAACTTGTAATTAAACATCCTCACCTCCCCAGCAAAGTGGATCATAAAACTTTTATTAATATAACCCTTTACAATTTTTGGGAAAGAGCAGATCAGTGCTCTAAGAAAAACCTGTTGTGCTTTTATTCCAATGTTCAATTTACATAAAAACTGAGTACCCCTTTAGCCAATATGTTCACACACAGAATTTCTCTCATGAGTTACTTTTTACAAACCTTCCACAACTTGTTCAAACCTTCAGCTTTATCTTATCTAACTTATAACAATCCTTTAGCCCTTTAATCTAGGCAGAAAAAAATCCACATTCTCATGACTTCTTATCTTTTACCAAAAACACATTTCACTTCCTTTACACACCTTGCATGTAAAACAGTTTTTATTTCCCAAAGATTACTAAATCATGTGAACTAAAAGGCATTACAGATTTTATTTTTCTGATAAAATATTTGATTTAAGCTCTTATTTTTTTAAACCAATTAATCAAAGCCCTTTCATATCAAACACACAACATATATAAATATACAGACAGACAGAAGATCCAGTAGTTGTAAGATTTTTCATCTGCCAGTTTCTTAATTGGATTACTGGCTTCAGGGTGGAGCCCTTGGAGGAAGAGGGCCAGGAAAGCATGCAGTTTCAACAGCCTGATAAGCAGGCACAGGTGGAAGGCAAAGTAGATCCTCCAAAATTAAGGGTCCCATTTTATACTAGATCCTGCCCCCAACTGCAAAACAAAAAAGTGGGGGAATCAGCCCATTTCCCATGGGAGTCTTATCTCTCAGTGGGAGATAAGAAGGTATTTCCATACCTTCAAGGTGGCCAAGAGCATGCTTCTCTAATCCAAACATGCAAACACCTAAGTATTCACCCATAACTGCCATCAGCCATTCCTAAAAGTATATTTCCTACCTAGTTATTACACACCAAAAGTCCCTCATAATGTGAAGTAATTTCTGATACCACCAAAAGTAAAAAATGTCAGATAATGCAATGCAAAACAGAACAAAGTCTTAGATTTTGAGCAAGATGTATCCATTTTCAATTCCTGGGGTTCAAAGAGGAAAACAGAGGTTTTGCCCAAAACCGGGTCCCTGGAACCTCCTGTTTTTCCCAAGAAGTCCCAGGCTATTAGAGCTTGAATTAAGCTGACTGTTAACTATAGTGCTATTAAAAAAAATCCTTGAAAATGTCTTATTACCTGACTTCGGCCACGCCAAACCACCAATATTTCTGGCTTTTGAATTTTACCAAAGGTAAACTCCAAGGTGCTCAAAGAAAGGAAAATTTCCCTGAGAACCTGGAAAGGAATTTCTCTGGGTACCAGAAAGGACTCATTCTCTAAGCCAGGAATTGAACCCTGCACCTGGACCACCATTGTGAAAAGACAAAGCCTTAGCTACTGAGCCAGAGCACTGCGCAGTATCCATTATCCTTCCCAGAAGGAACCTAGATCAGCCAATTTTGAGCTTGCAAAGGCTTTTAACTGTTCAAGATTATTTTTAGGGCTATTACATGAATCCCCAAACTCCTGTCTGCTGGATAGTGGAAACCAAGGGAAAATATGACCACATGATTACAAGGTCAAGGTCCCAAAGACATAAAATAAGACGAAAGGGAAACTTCATCCAGTTTTTTTTGGTTTTTTTTTTTTCAGGGACTTGCATCAAAGTTTATAATTGACCAGTTCGCTGGGCCATCTTGAACAGTGGGCTTACAGGTGTCCTAGGGCTGCATTCCATCCTAAAGTACCCCTCTTTATGAAAGAACAATACAGAAAGACGCACAAAGCACACCAGATTTGCTACAGTTTAAGACTAGCCTCACAAATTCTTTTCTCATTAATCAAAACTTTACCCGAGATAAACAGTGATTTTTACCGTTCATTCAACCTGTTTGCAGAGAGAGAGAGAGACAGATAGAGAGAGAGACCAGAAGTCAGACTGATAAAAATTCTTACCCTTTTGCCGCATGCTAGGCTTCTGGGTTCCCTTTTCCTAAGTGGCCCTAGTAACCCAGCTCAGTGCACCATAGCACTGGGGGCCAAGCTGCAACACAAAGGAAAATTATCTTTTTCCATTCTGGCCAGAGCAAAATACGTGTGACAAAACATAGACATTAACCACTCTGCTTAGCACCCAATATCACACTGGCAAGGCTCAAACTTGCCCCTGGTTGGGCTGGGTCATCATCAATCCAACCTCCGACAAGGAGTTTCAACATGTGGTCTCTGGGCAAGATGGTCACCCTGAGTAATAGAAAATATAAGAAAGGGGGCCAGGCGTGGTGGCTCACGCCTGTAATCCCAGCACTTTGGGAGGCCGAGGTGTGCAGATTACAAGGTCAGGAGCTCGAGACCAGCCTGACCAACATGGAAATCCCGTCTCTGCTAAAAACACAAAAATTAGCTGGGCATGGTGGTGCGTGCCTGTAATCCCAGCTACTCAGGAGGCTGAGGCAGGAGAATTGCTTGAACCCAGGAGGCAGAGGTTGCAGTGAGCCAAGATCGCGCCACTGAACTCCAGCCTGGGTGACAGCGAGCTGCATCTCAAAAAAAAAAAAAAAAAAAGAAAGAAGAAAGAAAGAAAGGGAAAGGAGAGAAAGAGAGAAAAGCATTGCCTGTGGTAGGCTGGGGACAGCGAAGAGCTCAGGGAGGCCAGAGAAAGACCCACCCATCCCAGCAACACTGAATCAAAAGTTCAGGTGGCTGCTTGTCAGTCAAGAAGGGATCTTTTTCAGCAGTCCCATTAGCTCTTAAGTGTCCCTGTTTGGGGAGGAAAAAGCTCCCCATGTCCCATGATCCTGTACGTGCCTAATTATGTCACCCATAGCCATCAGCAAAGAGTGCAAGGCAGATTAATCCAAAGAGAATGGCAGTTAACACCCCATAGTATCAAATCCGTTCTTAGCCAGGAGGAACTTTACTGGGAGGGGCCTCACACCCCCTACATCTTAGAAGGGACTCTAACCCTGCTAAGTTAGGCCTCAAATCCAACTTCAGTCATGCATCCTTGCCTTTTATTAAGAGAGGCCTTTAACCCACTCCATCTTAGGAGAGATTCTAACTCTCCTAAGTTGGGCCTCTAACTCTATCCCGTTTTTCACCCGGGTACACCACTACTTACCCAAAGTTAGCCAATTGGTGCTCCAGTCCATTTCCTTTGGGTCAGAAGTCTCCTCAGTATCATCCCTTTGGGGTTTGCCAGGAAGATGTTACCAGAAAGGGGTCCTGATCCAGATCCCAAGAGAGGGTTCTCAGTTCTTGTGCAAGAAAGAATTTGAGGCGAGTCCATAGAGTAAAGTAAAAACAAACTTTTTTTTTTTTTTTTTTTTTTTTTTTTTTTTTGAGACTGAGTCTCGCTTTGTTGCCAGGCTGGAGTGCAGTGGTGCGATCTCGGCTCGCTGCAACCTCTGCCTCCTGGGTTCAAGCGATTCTCCTGCCTCAGCCTCTTGAGTAGCTGGGACTATGGGCGCACACAACCACGCCCAGCTAAGTTTCGTATTTTTAGTAGAGACAGGGTTTCACCATGTTGGCCAGAATGGTCTCAATCTCTTGATCTCATGATCCGCCCGCCTCGGCCTCCCAAAGTGAACAAGCTTAATAAGAAGGTAAAGGAATGGCCACTCCATAGGCAGAGCAGCCGACCACTGATTTTAATTTTTCTTCTTTTCTTGCACAAATATTTATAGCTTTATCTTTCTAAGCACTGTTTTAATTGCGATTCACATATTTTGAAGTGCTGTATTTTCATTTACTTCACGATATTTTCTTATTCCTTTTGTGACTTTTTTTCTCTGACACATGAGTTATTTACAAATGTAATATTTACTTTCCAAATATTTGGTAATTTTTCAGATGTTATTTTATTATTGACTTCTAATCTAATTCTAATTAAATTACAAGCATATTCTGTATGCTTCCAAATATTTTAAATTTATTGAGACTTGTATTATGCCTCAGCATGTGCTCTATCTTAATGACTATTCCATATGCATTTGAAAAGAATATGTATCCTGCAGTTTTTTTGGATACAATGTTCTATAGATATCATTTTGGTCAAGCTTGATAATATTGTTCAGATCACTTACATATTTATTAAGTTTTCCTTTTGTCTAGTTGTTTTATAGATTGCTGAGAGATGGGTGTTTAAATTTCCAACTATGAGTATGGATTTGATTTTTCTTTTATTTGTCATTTTTCCCTTTAATGTATTTCTGAAGCATTATTAGTTATATACACATTTTGATTCTTAGGTCCTCCTAACACTTCATCCTTTTATCATTATAAGCTTTCTCTCTTTATCTCTGATAATATTTCTTGTTCTGTAGTCTACGTTGATAATACAATTACTTCAGCTTTCTTCTAACTACTTTTGTAATAGCATATATCTTTACATCATTTTATGTCGAACTATCTTTTCTTTATATGTAAAGTTCATCTTTTGTATACTGAATATAATTAATTTGCTCTTTCACTTTTATCCAGTATGACAGTCACTAATTTTTCATTGGGGTATTTAAACCACTTACATTTAATGTCATATTTAATACGACTGGGTTTAAGTCTAACATAATGCTGTTTTCTATTTGCCCTATCTGTTCTTTTTCCTTTTCCCCCTCTTTTCCAGTCTTCTTTTGGAATTGACAATTTGTGTAGCATTTTACCTTCTTCTACTGATTTATCACAAATACATTTTATTTCATTTTCAAATGGCTGCACTAGAATTTAAAATATTACTCTGTAAGTTGTCAGGATCTACTTTCAAATAATATACCTCTTCTCATATCCTTAAAACATGTTTTCATTTCACCATATCATCTTTTGTGATATTTTTGTTATATTTTTTACATCTACATATTATATAAATACATCAATACATTGTTTAAGTATTGCTTTAAACAATACTTAAAACTTTAGAAGAAGTTTTTTATTTTTATGCATTTTATTTTTTATTTTAGATTCAGGGGAAATATGTACAGATTTGTTACCTGGACAAATTGCATGACACCGAGGTTTGGGCATCCCATCACCCAAGTGGTGAACATAGTTCTTGATAGGTACTTCTTCAACACTTGTCCCCCTCACTTCCTCCAACTTTTGGAATCCCCAGTGTTTATTGTTCCCATCTTTGTGAACCCAATGTTTGGTTCCCACCCATAAGTGAGAACATGTGGCATTTGTTTTTCTATTTCTGTGTTAATTCACTTAGGGTGATGGCCTCCAGCTATATCCATGTGGCTGCAAAGGACATGACTTCATGAGGTTTTATGGCTGCATAGTATTCCATGGTATATATATATACACCACATTTTCTTTATCTAATCCACAATTGATGAGCACCTGAGTTGATTCCAGGTCTTTGCTATTGTAAACAGTGCTGTGATAAACATTCAAATGCAGGTTTCTTTTTGGTAGAACACTTTCTTTTCCTTTGCGCATATACCCAGTAATGAGATTGCTAGGTCAAATGGTAATTCTATTTCTAGTTCTTTGAGAAATATCTAAAGTGCTTTCCATAGGAGATGAACAAATTTTCATTCCCATCAACTGTGTATAAGCATTCTCTTTTCTCCACAACGCTGCCAACATCTGTTATTTCTTTGACTTTTTAATAATAGCCATTCTGACTGGTCTAAGATGGTGTTCCATTGTGGTTCTGATTTCCATTTCTCTGATGATTAGTGATGCTGAGCTTTCTTTTCATATATTTTTTGGCCACTTGTATGCCTTCTTTTGAGAAGTGTCTATTCATATCTTTTGCCCACTTTTTAATGGGGTTATTTGGTTTTTACTTGTTTAGTTGTTTAACTTCCTTACAGATTCTGGGTATTAGTCTTTTGTCAGGTACATCATTTGCGAATATTTTCTCCTATTCTGTAGATTGTCTGTTTACTCAATTGATAGTTTATTTTGCTGTGCAGTAGCTCTTTAGCTTAATTAAGTCCCACTTGTCAATTTTTGTTTTGCAATTGCTTTCAAGGACTTAGTCATACATTATTTGCCTAAGCCAGAAGAGTATTTCTTAGGTTTTCTTCTAGGATTTTTATAGTTTGAGGTCTTACATTAAAGTCTTCATTCCATCTTGAGGTAATTTTTGTAAATGGTGAGAAGTAGGAGTCCAGTTTCATTCTTCTGCAAGTGGTTAGCCAGTTTTCCCAGCACCATTTAATAAATAGGGTGTCCTTTCTCCATTGTTTACTTTTGTCAACTTTGTTCAAAAATCAGCTGATTATAAAGGTGTGGCTTTATTTCAGGGGTCCCCTTCTGTTCCATTGGTCTATGTGTCTATATTTGTACCAGTACCATGCTGTTTTGGTTAAGGTAGCCTTGTAGTATTGTTTGAAGTTGGGTAATATGATGCCTCTGGTTTTATTTTTTTTGCTTAAAATTGCTTTGGCTATTCAGGCTCTTTTTCAGTTTCATATAAATTTTAGAATAGTTTTCTAATTCTGTGAAGGATTGTCTTGGTAATTTGATAGAAATAGCTTTGAATCTGGAGATTCCATTGTATAGTATGGACATTTTAACAATATTGATGTTTTCAACCCATGAGCATGGGATGCTTTCCCATTTGTTTGTGTCATCTATGATTTCTTTCAGCAGTATTTACAGTTCTCCTCATAGAGAGCTTTCAACTCTGTGGTTAGATGTATTCTTAGGTATTTTATTTTTGTGTGTGTGGCTATTGTAAATGGGATTGCATTCTTGATTTGACTCTCAGCTTGAATGTTATTGTATGTAGAAATTCCACTAGTTTTAGTACATTGATTTTGTATCCTGAGGTTCTATTGAAGTCATTTATCAGGAAGAGGAGTATTTGGTGGAATCTTTAGGGTTTTCTAGGTATAGAATCATATCATCAATGAAGAGAGATAATTTGACTTTCCCTTGGATGCTTTTTATTTTTCTCTCTTGCCTGATTCCGCTGGCTGGGACCTCCAGTACTATGTTGAATAAGAGTGCTGAGAGTAGACATTCTTGTCTTATATCAGTTCTTAGGAGGAATGCTTCTAGCTTTTGCCCCTTCAGTATGATGTTGGCTACGAGTTTGTCACAGATGACTCTTATTGAGGTATCTTCCTTCAATGCTTAGCTTGTTGATAGCTTTTATTGTGAAGGGATGTTGGATTTTATCAAAAGCTTTTTCTGTGTCTATGGAGATGATCATATGGTTTTTATTTTTAATTCTACTTGATGAATCACATTTACTGATTTGCCTATGTTGAACCACCCTTGCGTTCTGTGAAAAAAGCCTACTTGATCATGGTAAATTAACTTTTTGATGTGCTGCTGGATTTAGTTTGCTGGTATTTTGTTGAGAATTTTTGTGTCTATGTTCATTGGGGATATTGGCTTGTAGTTTTCCTGTGCCTTTGCAGATTTTTGGCATAAAGATGACACTGGTTTCATAGAATGAGTTAGAGAAGAGTCCCTCCTCCTCAATTTTTTTGAAATAGGTTCAGTAGGACTGGTACCAGCGCATCTTTGTACATCTGGAAGAATTTAGCTGTGAATCCATCTGGTCCAGGGCTTTTTTTGGTTGGTAGGTTTTTTTTTATGATTGTTGATTCAATTTTCGAACTTGATATTTGTCTGCTTAGGGTTTCAATTTCTTCCTGGCTCAATCTTGAGGGGTTGTGTGTTTCCAGAATGTGTCAATTTCCTCTAGATTTTCTAGTCTGTGTGCATAGAGATGTTCTTAGTAGTCTCTGAGGATCTTTTATTTCCGTGAAATTGGCTGTAATGTCATCTTGGTCATTTCTGATTGTGCTTATTTGGATCTTCTCTCTTTTTCCTTGTTAATCTATTTATCAGTCTATCGATTTTGTTTATCTTTTCAAAGAACCAACTTTTTATTTCATTTATCCTTTGTATGGATTTTGGATCTGAATTTCATTTAATTCTGCTCTGAGTTATCTTGTTACTTTCTCTAGCTTTGGGTTTAATTTGTTGTTTTTCTGGTTTGTTTAGGTACAAGGTTGTGTTGTTAATTTGGAATCTTTCTATATTCTTGATGCTATAGTGATGCATTTAGTGCTATAAGTTTTCCTGTTAAGACTGCTTTTGCCACATCTTAGAGGTTTTGGTATGTTGTACCTCTATTTTAATTTGCTTTAAATAATTTTTTGACTTTTGCCTTTATTTTGTTGTGTACCTAAAAGTCATACAGGAGCAAGTTGTTCAGTTTCCACATGTTTATATGGTTTTGAAAGTTCCTCTTGGTATTGATTTTTATTTTTATTCCACTGTGGTCCAAGAATTGCATAGTATAATTTCATTTTTTAAAATTTGCTGAGACTTCCTTTATGACAGAGCATGTGTTTGGTCAATTTTGGAGTATGTTCCCTGTGTAGATGAGAAGAATGTGTTGGGAGAATGTCCTGTAGATATCTATTATGTCCCATTGGTCAAGTGTCAAATTTAAGTTACAAATTTCTGTTAGTTTTCTGCCTCTATTATCTGTCTAATGCTGTCAGTGGGGTATTGAAGTTCCCCACTATTATTGTGGGGTTGATAGTCTTTTCCTAAGTCTTGAAGTAAATGGTTTATAAATATGGGCGCTTCAATGTTGAGTGTGTATATATTAGGATAGTTAAGTCTTCTTGAATTGAACCCTTTATCATTATGTAATGCCGTTTGTCTTTTTTTTTTTTTAACCATTCTTGGTTTAAAGTCTATTGTATCTTATACAAAATAGTGACACTTGCTCTTTCTGGTGTTCCATTTGTATTTGCATGATAGCTCTTTCTCCATCCCTTCACTTTGAGCCTATGGGCGTCATTACGTATGAGATGGGTCTCTTGAAGATAGCAGGAGGATGTCTTCTCTATGTCTTTTAAGAGGAATTCTTTGGTTATTTACATTCAAGGTTAATATTGATATGTGAAGTTTTATTCTTGTCATAGCATTAGCTAGTTTCTTTGTAGTCTCTATTGCATAGTTGCCTTATGCACTTTTTGGGCTATGTGCTTGTGCGTGCTTTTGTAGTAGCAAGTATTGTTCTTTCATTTCCACATTTAGAACTCCCTTAAGTATCTGTTGTAGGTCTGGTCTGGTGGTGACAAATTCCTATAACAATTGTCTATTTGGGAAAGACCGTTTCTCTTTTGTTCATGAAGCTTAAATTGGCAGGATATGAAATTCTTTGCTGGCATATCTTTTCTTTAAGAACGCTAAAAATGGGCCCTCGATCTTTGGCTTTTGAGGTTTCTGCTGAGAAGTATATTGTTGGTCTGATGGGGTTCCTTTTGTAAGTGACCTGATCCTTTTCTCTAGCTGCCTTTAAGGCTTTTTCTTTTGCATTGACCTGGGATCATCTGATGACTATGTTCCTTGGGATTGTCATCTTGTATAGTATCTCATAGGAATTCTTTGGATTTTTTAAAAAATTTGCATGTTACCCTCTTTAGCAACATTGGGGAAATTTTCCTGAATTATATCCTCTAATATGTTTTCTAAGTTGCTTACTTTCTCTTCCCCTCTCTCAGGAATGCCAATAAGTTGTAGACTTGGTGGCTTTATATAATCCCATATTTCTTGAAGCCTTGATTTTCTAAATTCTCTTTTTCATATTTTTGTTTGAGTGGGTTGATTCGAAGGACTGGTCTTCAAGCTCTGAAATTCTTTATTCTGCTTGGTCTAGTCTGTTGCTAAGGTTTCCAATTGTATTTTGAAATTCCTATAGGGAATTTTTCAATTCCAGAAGTTCTGTTTGGTTATTTCTTAATATAGCTACTTTGTCTTTCAAATCTTGGATCATTTTTCTGGCTTCTTTCTGTTCAATTTCAACTTTCTCTTGGATCTCACTGAATTTCTTTTTCATCCATATTGTGAATTCTATATCTATAATCTCACACATTTCATTCAGATTAGGATACATTGCTTAGGAGCTAGTGGAATCCTGTGGAGGTGACAAAACACTGTAGCTTTTGATATTGCCAGAGTTTTTGCACTGCTTCCTTCTCATCTGAGAGAGACGTTTTTTTGTTTTGTTTTGTTTGTTTGTTTTTAATTTGCTATTGTTTGGATGGGGCTTCTTGATTTTTTAATTCTTCTTTCCCTTGGGGTTATGGCTGTTACGTATATTGTGTCTAATCAATTGGCTTCACTTCTGGGTGCTTTTAGGGTGCCAAGGACCTGTAAAGGTTCCTTGGTAGCAGATATGTTTATGCAATGACTCTTTCAGATATTGCTTTTTATAATGATGTAAGTTTATTTGGCAGTGTATTTTATGCTGCATTCCAATAGACGGTGCTTAAGAGCCAGCAGGTAGGGGAAGGGGTGGAGCCAACAGAGAATCGTGAAAAGTGCCCTCTTCTGGCATGTATTCACCTTCAGAGGGAGATGAGCCACTGGAGAAGCCTGCAAAGCAGAATTTTTCAGTCCATGTTCCCCAGGCCCAAATGGGGAACGTCCCTGCTGAGCCTGCAACAGCACATTGAGAAGGGGGGTGGGAGGCAAGAGATGACCCCCTCTCCATGTCCATTCCTGGACTTTGGTGGTGTTGCCTTCAGTGGTTGGCACTGCATTCATGTTTCTTTTGACCCATGGGGGACTTTGGTGGGCTGCATTCTGCCCTCCCTTACGGGCAGTCTGTGCCAAGGGTTAGATTTCCAGGGGAATGGGGTCTGCCTCTCTCCTGCTCTTCAGAGATAGTGGAGCACTGTCCCCCAGCTAACCAAGGGAACAGGCTGGGACACCCAGTAATGACACACGGAGACCAGTTCCAGGTCACAAAACCGTTCCTGGCTGCATGTCTTACTGCCCAGGAGAAACCTCAGCTTCAGCAACTCTCCTCCTGTTCTAGTTCTGTGATGGGAGAGAGCCTAATTCCAGTGCCTACTGTTGGGGCACTGTCCACACTCATTACTCAATTTTGGCTGTTGGGTCCCTTCCCCTGTCCAGAGCCAGCACTCCAATCTCTGCCCCAAGGCTAAAATGCCAGCTGTAACCACCATGGCCAAGTCACCAAGCAATGTCTCTAATGATGATGCCAGCTGTGGGCTTGCAACTGCAGAGGTTGGGACCCTTTCAGACAAGCAGCGTGGACAATAATCTGTGAGGAGTGTGGTCCACTTGAGTCTCAGTCTCACTAAAGACTGTAACAGAGTGCTGGGTATTATCCTAGGCAGGAGTAGGAGAACCTGGCTTCCCTTCCCTTCCTTGGCTGGGTGGCAGCTAAAGCCACATCAGCCAAAATTCAAGCCAAAGGTGGGGTAGGGCTCAGCATTACAATCTCAAAATGATACTTTGGGCCTGCAACCAGGTAGGATGAGGCACTGTCTGGGCAAGAAGCACGGGCAAGAAGCTGTGGGGAATGCAGCCCAGTTGGGTCTCAGTCTCTCAGTAGCTCATTGCAGAATAGTGGGTATTGTCCAAGATATGCATAGGATGTCCTGGCCTCTCTGTCCCTCTTTGGCTGGGTGGCAGCTGCAACTGCATCAGCACAAACTTCGGCCAAGGGTGGGGTGAAGTCCAGCATTAGCCTCTCAAAATAGCACCTTAACCTGGGGCCAGAGCTGTGGCACCATCCAGGCAAGAAGCATGGGCAAAAATCTATGTGGGGTGCAGTTCACTCATGTCTCAGTCTCAGCAGCAGCCCCTTGTAGGGTAGCAAGTATCCTCCTAGGGTTGCACAGGCATGCCTGTTCTCCCCTTTTCCTTACTGGAGCAATGCAGCAGCTGAAGCTCTGTCTGCAGATTCCCAGTATCTATGTTCTGAAAATACTGCCCAGCTGAGGATGCTCCAGGCTCGGATGCCTGTGGGATTCTGTGCGGATTCTCTTTATGCAGGAACATCTCTGCAATATTTAGGCAGCTCTGTATGTCAGGCATGAGGCTCTAGTGGGTTGAGGGTTTCTCCTGTAGCAAAGATCATGCAAGCTCATTTCAGAGCTCTGGGGATTTCTCTCTTACTGTCTCCCCGTGTCAAGAAGCCTCTCTTGGTGCTGCCAGTTCCCAGCTGGGGAAGCTGCCTCAAACCCCCTCCTTACTTCTAGCACTTCCTGTCTCTACTCCAGTGAGTCCAAGTGTTCTCTCCTAGATAATCTGCTCAAAATATATATACTTATTATTCTGGTTCATCACCATGGAGAAGGAACACACTACCTGTGTCTACTCAGCCATCTTGATCCCTCTAACTGAAAAAAAATTTTTGTGAAAAAATGTATTTTCCATTTAGCCACAAACTTTACCATTTTTGGTCCTTTTTCTTTTTGTAGAGACAAGTTTTCAAATGATATTTTCTTTCAGCCTAAAGATCTTTCTTTAATATTGCTTATAGTATAGGTTTGGTAGGAATGAATATTCTCAGCTTTTGTTTGTTTGAAATGTCTTTATTTTCCTTCACTTAAAAAATGTTTGCTGGATATAAATTTCTAGGTTGGCCAATTTATTTTTCTTTCAGCAAATTTCAGACACTATTATACTGTCTTATGATTTGCAGGGAAGATTCCATTCCTTGCCTCTTCCAGCTATTGGTGGCTGCTGGCATTCCATAGCTTTTCATGGTATGGTCAAGATGACTTCCCTGCTGTCCTGGTTTAGGAAGCGAATATCTTGTAAAGCTATTATTTAGATTACCACAACCTATTTCTTTTCTTCAAGTAAAATATTTCCTGTCCTTTCAGCTTCACAGAATGTCAGTTGAACACACAAAACTCAGAAGTTAGAAAACAGCTTCATCCCTGAGGTGATTTATGAGGACAAACAGTAGGAAAGAAAGTTGGAGACAGCTGTGTAAAATGTAATGTAGGATACAGAATATATTTGAAGTTGCTTTGAAAATTCAGTGTTTCAATATGAGAAAGGATTCTTGAATACATTTAGATGAGGAGAAAGTGAGAGCTAGCATGAAAATCATACATTCACAAAGAAAAACGCAACACACAAAAAAAGAAGGCAATGCTGAACGTCGCCATGAGCATCTGGATATCACAGTGAAGCCTAGGATACTGCAAAAAGAAACAAATCTAGAAACGGGAAAGAAGACAGTAAAATAGTGATGATGAAGAAAGTCAATAAGAAAGGAAAAAGGAAGAAAGGAACTAGGTCTCAAGAAAGCAGGCTAGGACTAGTGCAGGCTGGTGGGTGGATCCTACATACAAGTCTGAAATAGAATCTAAGTTGATAAATTACTAGAGATCATTTGACCTGAGAAGTTTAAATTGAATTGATTAAATGATATAATGAACTATTAAAAGACATGAAACTCAACAAAGAAACTAAGTTAAGTTATGATACAAGGTAATGAGATTCATTCACTTAGTCACACTTGACAAGTATTTACTGACCACCTACTATGTGCCAGGCACTGCAGTACCAAAGCAAACTCATCTTCCCCTCATAAAGTTTATACTCCATTGAGGGAAATGGGTGATACACAAATAAAAAAATAAATGAGCAGTGTTAGAAAATTATGAGATATAACAAAAATAAGGCAGAATAAGAGAAGAGAGAATGACAGGAGTCAAAATTTATTTATCAATAGAGCAAATGTTCAAGGTGCACCTCTTTGAAGAGGTTGTATTTGAGCAGAACCTGAAAGAATACAGCCGTCCTCAGTATCTGCAGGGGACTGGTTTTAGGAACTCCCTTAGGCACCAAAATCCATGTCAAGTCTCTGATATAAAACGGCATAGTATTTGCATGTAACCTATGCACATCTCTGATGCTCAAGTCTCTGACATAAAATGGCATAGTATTTGCATATAACCTATGCAGATCCTCCTGTATACTTTAAATCTTATCTAGATTACTTATACCTAATACAATGCAAATGCTATGTAAATAGTTGCTTTATTGTATTTTTTTATTTGTATCCATTTTTATTGTATTATTTTTCCCCCAAATATTTTCAATTTGCAGATACAGAACCCATGAATTTGGAGGGCCACCTGTATGTGGACTGAGTCACAAAGATTTGGAGCAAAGGTGTTCCAGGAAGATAGAAGAGCAGCTAGGTAAATAAATGGTGGTACTATTTTGAGATGAGGAAAAGAGACCAAATATCTATTTTGCACATGTTATGTTTGAAATAATGATTACATGTGCAAGTGGAAATGTCAAGGAGGTAATTGTCTATCCAAGTCCATAACCCTGAAGAGCACTTTGAACCACAAGTGTTAGTTTGGGAGTCATTTACATTTGGATGGTAATCTATTTCATCAGACTGATGTGGTGGGATGAGTACAGATAGAGGGCAGGAACAAGCACTGAGTCCTGAGGCACTCCACTATTTAAAAGTCAGGATGAAAGAAGCAACCAAAAACAAAGACACTGGGAAAGATTCCGTGAGGTAAGAAGTCCAAAGAATGTGAAACCCTGGAAGCCATGTGAAAAATGTATTTCAGGGACATGTAATTTGGAAAACCAGTGTCCTAACTTTATAGTCAACTTTGTAATTTTTACCAGCGAAACTCTCTTATATTCAAAATAATTATATTCTATTTTGAATAATTATATTCAAAATAATTATATTCTATTTTGAATAATTATATTCAAAATAATGGAGTGCTAGGATGTAGAGGCTTTCAGAAAGGCATGGGAAAGGAAAAAGGAGAGGTTGAGGGAAGTAGCCAGTATTAGTCCATTCTTACACTGTTATAAAGACATATGCAAGACTGGGCAATCTATAAAGGAAAGAGGTTTAATTGACTCACAGTTCCACAAGGCTGGGGAGGCCTCAGGAACCTTAATATCATGGCATAAGGTGAGAGAGAAGCAAAGAAACATCTTACATGGTGGCAGGTGAGAGACAGTGAGCGAGTGAGCGAGTGAAGGGGGAAGAGCCCCTTATAAAACCATCAGGTCTCATGAGAACTCACTCACAATCACAAGAACAGCATGGGAAAAACCACCCCTAAGATCCAATCACTCCCACCATGTCTCTCTCTTGACACATGGGGATTAAAATTGGAGATGAGATTTGGATGGGGACACACAAACCATATCATAACCCAAACAAATGTGCCTGGAAGGGTTCCATTCTAGAAGGGTAATTTCCCCCTTTTGCTTTATTGAGTGTGATTGCAAATGAGGTCAAAATCCTTTTGGGGTACATAGGATGATACCTCTCTCCTGTGATTCTGCACACAAACAGTACCATTATTAACATTTTGATCTCTTCTGGAATGTGTTGGTGCAATGAATAGAACTTTAGTTCCACAGGTACACTCTGAAGCTAGATTGCCTGATTTCAAATCCTTGCTCTTCATTTGCTGTTGCTAGACCTTGACCTTAGTCTCTCTGTAGCCCAACTCCTTCATGTGTAAAATGAGAATAATGATGACAACTACTCACAGGAGAATTTCTCTATAAGAATTAAATAATACACAATGCTTAGAACAGCGTCTAGTTCAGAGGAAGTCCTATGTACATTGTTATTTAGTTATAACCATATAAACATAATGGATATCTTATAGTCTTACATTGATTAATGCAAGTCTTTCTCATTTCATGTTGTCATAATCATTTTCCAAGTGGTTTAATACTCTTCATAATCATTTTTAAGGCCCACACACATAAGGGTCAATGTAGAATAAACAGACCATACTTTATTCATTGCTGTCTTGTAACACCGTAACTTCTAAATTTTTGCTACTTAATTAACAAATATCACAGTTTGAGATATTCCTTAATATAGTCACATATTTGTGCACATATGTGTGCATATCCCTCTGAGAGCAGACTAGCCTAATGGTTGAAGCACAGGCTTTACAAACATACTGCAGGTGGTATGAATCCCAACTCCCCTGTTTACCAGCTGGGGCAAGTTGTTTTCCTTGCTGTGATGCAGTTTCTTCATCTAATAATGCTTACTTACCTCGAGGCCATGGTGAGGATTTAGCTAATAAATGTTAAATGCTTACAGCAGTGCCTGCCAAGTAGAAAGTACCTATTCAATAAATGCCAACTATTATTTTATTTGAAATATTTCTCAAAGCAGATCACTTTGTTGAAGTACAATTATTAGCTCAGAAGTTATTAAATGTTTATAGCTTTTAATACATTACTAAACTAAATAATTAAAAGATTGTATTAATTTATACTAACAATATTATGTAAGAGTACCATTTCAATACATCTTAATCAGCATTCACTACCAAAATTACATTAAAAATAATAATTTGACAATAATTCCTTGTGGGTTTTTTTGCATGCACTTTATTATGCAAAGAATTTAATTGCATTTAACTGCCAGTGCCTTATTTTTCTAATCCTTTTATTTGAACTTCCAAAATAGTTACTTGATGCTAGTATGTCATTTCATCGTTTGCTTGTCTTAATTCAAGACCCATTTTACTGAACTTTCATTTTTCTACATCTTGAGGTAGCCTTCTTTCATACACATATATGATAATTTTATTCAGATTTAGGTATGTTTCAAAATATACAAAGTGCTTGGGTACAGTGCAACTCTCTAAAAGATAATGAACATCTACTTAAGTTCTAGATCTACTCTGTGTAAAAAAGGACTGCCTAGGACAGGAAGAAATGTGATACATATGATTAATCATTCATGGATCGCAATCAGTACAATTGTTTTTTTTTTTTTTTTTTTTTTTTGAGACAGTCTCAGTCTATAGCCCAGGCTGGAGTGCAGTGGTGTGATCTCAGCTCACTGCGACCTCTGCCTCCCAGGTTCAAATGATTCTCCTACCTCAGACTACCAAGTAGCCAGGTTTATCGGCATGCACCACCCACCCGGCTAATTTTTTGTATTTTTAGTAGAAAAGGGGTTTCATCATGTTGACCAGGCTGACCTCAGGTGATCTGCCTGCCTTGGCTTCCCAAAGTGCTGAGATTATAGGTGTGAACCACTATGCCTGGCCCACATAATCTTTTAATCAGGAAAAGTATCACTCAACAAGGTAGTAGGGATGATAGACCACCTGAGCTGACAGAACACTGCTGAAGGGATAGATCTGGGATCCACCCTCAGCTTATTCATTAACTCTTGCCTCTCACATTGCTTGTCTGAAAAATATAGGGGGTTAGATAAAATAAGAGGTATCTTAAAGACTTCTGCTTGGCTTCCTGCTCTTCTTCAAAAGTCCAAATTCCACTTATCGTTCCATATTGAACTCAGATGTCTCCTTATGTGTGAAGTCTTCCATTTTTCTCCACATTCTCATATTTCCTTTTCTTTGTTCTAATATTCTCAGCCCATACCCCTACCCAAGCACTGCTCGACACTGAAACAGAAATATGTGTCCTCCCTTAAATCACCAAAGGTCCTGAGGGAAGGTACCATATTAGTGCCTGCTATTAAATATGGTACTGGAAGTCCTAGCCAGAGCAATTAGGCAAGAAAAAAAAAAGGCATCCATGTTAAAAGAAGTAAAATTATCTCTGTTCACAGATGACATAATCTTACCTGTAGAAAACCCTAAAGATTACACACACAGACACACACACACACACACACACACACACACACACAGAATAAACAAATTCAGCAAAGTTGCAGGACACAAAATCAACACAAAAAATTCAGTTGTGCTTCTATACACTAACAACAAACAATCTGAGATGGAAATTAAGAAAACAATCTCATTCATAATAGCATCAAAAAGAATAAAATACTTAGGAATAAACTCAATAAAGAAGGCAAAAGCTTACACAAACTACAAAACATTGCTACATGGAAATACATTCCATGTTCATTGATTGGAAGACTTAATACTGTTAAAATGTGTGTACTACCCAAAGCAATCTATAGATTCAATGCAATTCCTATCAAAAGCCCAATGGCACTTTTTTTTATTTTTTATTTTTGCAGAAATAGAAACAAAATATTTTAACATTCTTATGGACTCTCAAGAAACCCTGTGTTGCTTATACAAACTTAAAACAAGTTGAAGATTTTATACTTCTGAATTTCAAAACATTACTAAGCTACAGCAATCAAAACAATGTGGTACGGCCAGGTGCAGTGGCTCACACCTGTAATCCCAACACTTTGGGAGGCCAAGGTGGGTGGATCACTTGAGGTCAGGAGTTTCAGACCAGCCTGGCCAACACAGTGAAACTCCATTTCTACTAAAATACAAAAATTAGCCAGGTGTGGTGGTGCTCACCTGTAGTCCCAGCTACTCAGGGGACTGAGGCAGGAGAACTGTTTGAACCCGGGAGACAGAGATTACAGTGAGCTGAGATCGCACCGCTGCACTCCAGCCTGGGTGATACAGCGAGACTCCCATCTCAAAAAACATAAAAAAGTCAACAAAACAAAACAATGTGGTACTAGCATAAAGACATACAAATAGACCAATAGAAAAGAACACTGAGTACAGAAATAAACCTTCACGTATATAGCCAAATGATCTTCAACAAGGGTGCCATGAATACACAGTGGGGAAAAGGATAGCTTCACTGACAAATGGTGCTGAGAAACTGTATCTCCACATGCAAAAAAATAAAACTGCACCTTTGCCTTACACCATATACAAAAATTAACTCAAAGTAGATTAAAGATATAAACATTAAGACCTAAAACCAGGCCAGGCACAGTGGCTCACACCTGTAATCCCAACACTTTGGGAGGCCAAGGCGGGCGGATCACTTGAGCTCAGGAGTTTGAGACTAGCCTGGGCAACATGGCAAAACCTGGTCTCTACAAAAAAAATACAAAAGAAAAAAAAAATTAGCCAGGCATGGTCGCATGTGCCTGTAGTCCCAGCTACTGATTAGGGGTGCTGAGGTGGGAGGATCACCTATGTCTGGGAGGCAGAGGTTGTAGTGAGCCTGGATCATATTACTATACTCCAGCCTCAGCAACAGAGCCAGACCCTGTCTCAAAACAAAACAAAACAAAACAAAAAAAAAAACAAAAAAAGGCCTAAAACCATAAAACTCCAGAAGAAAACATAGGAGAAAAGCTTTATGACATTGGTTTGACAATGATTTTCTGGATATGACACCAAAAGCACAGGCAATGAAAGCAAAAGTAGACAGATGGTATGGCATCAAACTTTAAAACTTGTGCACATCAAAGGAAACAATTAACAGAATAAAAATAGGCAACCTATGGAATTAAAGAAACTAATGGCAAATCATATATCTGATAAGCGGTGAATATCTAGAATATATAAAGAACTTTCACAACTGAATAACAAAAAAACAAGTAACGTGATTACAAAGTAGACAAAGGACCTGAATAGATATTTCTCCCAAGAAGACATACGAATGGCCAACAAGCACATGTAAAATACTCAACATTACAAATTATTAGAAAAATGTGAAGCAAAACCACAGTGAGATATCAGGACATACCCATTAGGATGGCCACTGTCAAAACCCAGAAAATAATAAATGTTGATGAGAATGCAGAGGACCCTTGTGCACTACTGGTGAGATTATAAAATAATGGAGCAGCTGCTGTGGAAAACAGGATGGTGGTTCTTCAGAAACTTAAACATAGAATCACCATGTGATCCAGCAATCCCACTTCTGGGGTATAAATCCAAAAGAAGTGAAGGCAGAATCTTGAAGAAATGTTTGCACACCCATGTTCACTGTAGCATTATTCACAATAGCCAAGAGGCAAAAGCAGCCCAAATGTCCGTCGACAGATGAATGGATAAAAAATAATTGGCATATATATACAGTAGAATATTATTCATCTTTTTAAAATAAGAAAATCCTGTTATATTCTACAACATGGATGAACCTTATATGCTAAGTGAAATAAGCCAGTCACAAAAGGACAAATACTGTATGATTACACTTATATGTAATATCTAGAGTAGTCAAAATCATGGAAATAGTAGAATTGTGGCTGACAGGGAATGCAGGGAGGGGGAATAGGGAGTTGTTCTATGAATATAGAGTTTCAGTTTGTAAAGATGAAAGAGTTCTAGCTATCTGCTATTCAACAATGTGAATACTGTTAACACTACTGACCTGTATACTTAAAAATGGTTAAGATGGTAAATTATATATTATTTGGTTTTTACCAAAATTAAAAAATAAAGCCAAAAAACCTCACTGCCTGGCATGGGGCATCTGTTAAAAAAAAATAAAAGGAATAAACTTTCTCCTCCTCAAGCCTGATAACGTGGCTTTACAATCAGATATAAGAAGCGACTACAGAAACAACTAAATGTTTTATAATTACTCAAGAATAAGGAGTCCAATATTAATCATGCCAAAACAAAACCTACTGAAAAAGAGGGAGGAGATTTTTTTCTAAAGTTCAAATGAAAAAAAAAATACTGAATAACTCATTCGTAGGGTGATTTGTTCAGTTACCTACATTTTTGTAGCTAACTCAGTCTGGGTGTTACTCAAAATTAGGTCACCTTGTAAAAGCAAAGTGTGTAGAAGACACCACCTTCTCTTAATTTTTTCTTGGTTAAAATTACCTCAATAGGGACTGAGTAGGTAAAGATGTGTGTTGTTTATAGTCTGGCATGGTAGTTCAGAAACTCAGTTTGGTTTGGATCCAAAATGACTTTTTAGAAATTCCTGATCTTCCCCATCTGCTGCCATCCCCTTGGGCTCACATCCACACACACAAAAAAATGTAAAATCCAAACACCCAGAACTCCAAATTTCTAAGCATGAAGGTCACATTGGATAATACATTACATTAAAGGGTTGGCAGAAGGCAAATTACACAAATGAACAGGGGAATTCAGTGAAAACAAATGATTTATCATCATTATGAAAATCTAGTCACCTACTAAGCTATCCAATATAGTAGCCAATAGCCACATGAGACAATTTAAATTAATTAGAAATATGGTAGAAAATTCAGTTCCTCAGACACACAAGCTACATTTCAAGTGTCTAAAACCATATGAGCTAGAGGCTACCCTATTGAACAGCAGAGATACAGCATATGACATATATGTATAAGATATGAAATATATGATATATTATCACCATCACTTCTATTGGAGAGCTGAAAACTAGGCATCCAGTCCGTGGTGTGCGTGCCAAATATGAATGCTTACTGAGTTACTGATTTAAATACCTCATCACCTTTTTACGTCATTCTTGACTTTTCATCACATAAAAAAGTGAACATTTCTTTCTGTTATATTACATTTTTGTTTAAGATATGTTGTTTTGTTTCACTGACAAGGATCCATGGAATGAAAATAGAAAATATTTTGTGGAGGGAGGGGGACAAGATGTCTGACTTGATGCAACTAGGAAGTGCCTCTCCCACCAAGAGAAACCAAAATATCAGGTAAACCATCACGTTTCAAACAGATCTCTTGAGTGGAAAAACTGAGTGCTGACAGAAGGGTGATACAGACATTGAGGTGGAAGAGGGAGGAAGTTGGGAACCCTACATGGAGTTGCCAAGCACTGGGACCAGCTCCAGACCTTAAACAGGTCTTGAGGAAGGGGTGAGTGAAAGAACTGCAAGGCAACACTCTCCTGCTGTGGACCTCCAAGATCCTAGCTGCAAGAGCTCCCACCACCCTTACAGATATTTGGATTGGCAAGGGGAGCTGCCCAGAGAGTAGACAGAGGCAGAGTTTGAGCCTGCACGGAGCCCAGAAGGTTTTGCGGGGGGCAGCTACAGCAAAACACGACCATCAACAACCATCTCCCTGTGGCTCTAACCTCTGCTGACTGCCAAGGCCAGGAGAGAGCAGGGCTATCTTTCCCATGGGACCAGGGTGACTCTAATCTGCCACGCCCCCTTCTCTGCCAGCCCCTCCCAAGTCTTCCGGCTGGCTGCTCCCACAAAAGCATACACATAGCACAGCTTCCACTGCCCCTCCTGAGTGCTTTGCTGGTGGCCTGGGAGCACTTCGGCCCCCCTGCATAGCCTGTGCTCAACCCTAAGAGGTCAGAGGACAAAGCCACAGGTCCAGTCCCAATCCCCCAGAGTTCGGACACACAGCTGAGGAATATCCAACTGAGATCTATGGCCAGAGCTAGATTGGGGTAAGAGCCCCTACTCTCCAAACACTGAGAAGTATAAGGTGTGGGTTTGTGGGCTGGAGCAGGAGCAGAACGTGCTTCCCTCTGCAAGACCAGCCAGGGAAAGGTGTAGCCTGTTTGTCAGCCAAAGCCTCTGCCAGAAGGAGCCCCATGGCCCAGAACAACCAACAGCCCAGCAATCTGTGTGCAGGTGGAGTGAGACAAAACTAGCTGGTCATGCCAGCTACTAGGATAGACACCGTAAGGAGATCCCGTTGTGGGAGCACGAGTGGAATGGTCCCCACAGCCATCTGCTAGGAAAAAAAACCCAAGCTGCAGTCACCACACCAGCTGCATACCCACAGCAACACTGCCCTGCCCAGGGATCCTCACCCTTGACCTACTGCATCAAGGGGGCACCTGTTGACATATCCCACAACCTGCTCTGACTCTGCCAAGCACAGAGGACCAGTGGGTCCCCAAGGACCTGCGGGTCTCCTGGTGACCTAAACTTTGGCTTGGGTGACACTAAGGGAAGGGAGAACACAGCCTACCAGCACCCCACTTTGGGACTAAGAAAATGTAAGCATGGCACCAGTGACTGGAGGGGGCTCTCCAAGACCCAGGAATGGATTTGGTGAGGTTATCTCTTGCCAACCCCCGTCTAACTCACCCCAGAGTACTGCTGCGAATGCACCAAAATATAAGAGGCGTGTGACTAAGAGCCTATCTACCAGCCCTTACTCTTTTCAAAAAATAGTCTTTTTTATCAGCTTACATCATGCTTTTTCTTTTTTAACAAATTTTTTTAATTAAAAATGTTTTTTATTTGCCCTTACTCTTAAGTGCCACGTACTAGATCACAGCCTTAATTAAACCACCAAACATAAATTCTTTCACCATACATCACCAGTGAAACCCAATGCAGGAATCTAGCCACAAAGAAAGATCCCGCACAGAGCCTTGACCCTCTGAAAGCACCCAGGAATGAAGTCAATCGACTATAGGCAGCATACTCCAGTCAAACCCTCAAGGGAAATAAAGAATATAAAAACAAATAGCCCCATCCAAACAACAGCCATTTCAAAATGATAAGGCAACACCAGCCCTCTCATATGAGAAAGAATCAGCCCAAGAACTCTGATGATTCAAAAGTCAGAGCATCTCCTTACCTCTAAATGATTGCACTAGCTCCCCAGCAATGTCTGGTTCCCTACCAGACTGAAATGGCTGAGAGAGATGACAGACATAGAATTCAGAATCTGAAGGGCAAAAAAGCTCAATGAGATTCAGGAGAAAGTTTAAACTCAATCCAAGGAAGCCAGTAAAATGGTCCAGGAGAGATGACATAGTAATTTTTAAAGAAAGAAACAAACTTTCTCTACAACTCATTGGCATTCCTGAGAGAGAAAAAGAGAGAGTAAGCAACTTGGAAAACATATTTGAGGATATAGTCCACAGAAATTTCCCCAATCTCACTAGAGAGGTAGACATGCAAATTCCAGAAATCCAGAGAACACCTGCAAGATATTATACAAGACAACCATCCCAAAGACACACAGTCATCAGATTCTCCAAAGTCAACAGGAAAAAAAAAATCATAAAGGTGGCTAGGGAAAAAGGCCAAGTCACTTACAAAGGGAACCCCATCAGGCTAACAGCAGAGTTCTCAGCAGAAACTTTACAAGCCAGGAGAGACTGGGGATGTATATTTAGCATCCTTAAAGAAAAGAAATTCCAACCAAGAATTTTATATCCTGCCAAATTATGATTCACATGCAAAGGAGAAATGAAATCCTTTTCAAACATGTAAAGACTAAGGGAATTCATTACCACCAGACCTGCCTTACAAGAGGTACTTAAGGAGAGAGTTCTAAATGTGGAAAGGAAAGAACAATATCTGATACCACAAAAACACACTTAAGTACATACACAACAGATCCTACAAAGCAATTACATAATTGAGTCTACAAAACAACCAATTAATAACAAAATGACAGGATCAAATCCTTACATATCAACATTAACCTTGAACATAAATAGTCTAAACGCCCCACTTAAACGGCACAGACTGTCAAGACCCAACCGTCTATCTTCAAGAGACCCATCCCACGTGTAAAAACACCCATAGTCTCAAAATAAAGAAATGGAGAAAAATCTATCATGCAAACAGAAAGCAAAAAAGAGCAGGGTAACTATTATTACATAAGACAAAACAAGCTTTAAACCAACATAGTCAAAAAGGACAAAGAAGGGCATTATATAATGATAAAAGGTTCAATTCAGCAAAACATAACTATCCTAAATACATATGCATCCAACACTGGAGAAGTCATATTGATAAAACAAGCACTTGTAGAATGGCAAAAAGACTCAGGGCTGGGCGTGGTGGCTTATGCCTGTAATTCCAGCACTTTGGGAGGCAGAGGCAGGCGCATCACCTGAGGTTGGGAGTTCGAGACCAGCCTGACCAACAAGGGGAAACCCTGTCTCTGCTAAAAATACAAAATTAGCCTGGTGTGGTGACACCTGGGCAACAAGAGTGAAACTCCGTCTCAAAAAAAAAAAAAAAAAAAAAAGCCACATAACAATATTGGAGGACCTCACCCCACTGACAGTGTTACACTATCAAGGCAAAAAACTAACAAATACATTCTGGACTTAAACCTGACACATGACCAATTGTACCTAATAGACATGTACAAAATACTACACCCAACAACCACAGAATATACATTCTTCCCAACTGCACAGGAAACACACTCTTAAGATTAACCATATTTGGTTATAAAGCAAGTCTCAGTACCTTTTAAAAAATTAAAATCATACCAACCATACTCTCCAATGACCGTGCAATAAAAATATAAATCAATACCAAGAAGCCCTCTTAAAACCACATAATACATGGAAATTAAACGACTTACTCCTGAATGACTTTTGGGTAAATAATAAAATTAAGGCAGAAATAAAAAATTTCTCAAAAATTAATAAAAACAGAGACACAACATACCAAAATCTCTGGGATGCAATGAAAGCAGTGATAAGAGAAAAGTTTACAGTACAAAATACCTATATCAAGAAGTTAGAAAGATATCAAATTAATAATCAAACATTGCCCCCAGAAGAACTAGAAAAACAGGAACCTCAATGCTAGCAGAAGAAAACTAAAATCAGAGCAGAACTGAATGAAGTTGAGATGCAAAAATACACACAAAAGATCAATGAAACCAAAAGTTAGTTTTTTGAAAGGATAAACAAGATTGATACACTGCTGTCTAGATTAATAAAAAGAGTAACAATACAAATAAGTAGAATCAGAAAAGACAAAGATGACATTACCACTGATCCCACAGAAATACAAAAGATCCTCAGAGACTAACTACTAAAACATCTCCATGTACTCAAACTAGAAAATCTAGAAGACAGCCTGTGCAACACAGTGAGAACCCATCTTAACAAAATATTAAAAAGTTAGCCTGGCATGGTGGCATGCACCTATAATCCCAGCTACTGAGGAGGCCAAGGCAGGAGAATCACTTGAACCTAGGAGGCGGAGGTTGCGGTGACCCAAGATCGCGCCGCTGCACTCTAGTCTGAGTGACAGAATGAGGTTCTGTTTCAAAATAAATAAATAAATAACTGAAGGAAAAGGAAGGAGGGTAGGGGGGAAGGGAAGGAAAGAAGGAGAGAGAGAAAGAAAGAGAGAAAGAGAGAGAGAGAGAGAAAGAAAGAGAAATAGAGAAAGGAAAGGAAGAAAGGAAAAGAAAACAAAATCTGGAAGCAATGGAAAAATTTCTGGAAACACACAACTTCCCAAGATTGAACGAATAAACTGAAACCCTGAGAAGACCAATAATGAGTGCTAAAATTGAATTAGTAATAAAAATCCTACCAACCAAAAAAAGTCCTGGACCAGATGGATTCACAGCTGAATAATATCAGACGTACAAGGATGAGCTGGTATCAATCCTACTGAAACTATTCCAAAAAAAATCAAGGAGGAAGGACTCTTCCCTAATTCATTTTACAAAACCAGCATCATCTTGATGCCAAAAATCTGGCAGAGACACAATGAAAAAAGAAAACTGCAGGCCAATATCCCTGATGAACACAGATGCAACAGCCCTCAACAAAATACTAACAAACCAAATCCAGCAGCACATCAAAAAGTTAATTCACCATGATCAACCAGACTTTATTTATGGGATGCAAGGATAGTTCAACACACACAAGTAAATAAATGTGATTCACCACATAAACAGGATTAAAAACAAAAACTATGTGATCATCTCCATAGACCAAAAAAAAAAAAAAAAAAAAGCCTTCAATAAAATCCAACATCCCTTCACAATAAAAGCCTTCAACAAACTAGGCACTGAAAGAACATACCTCAAAATAATAAGAGCCAGCTATGACAAACTCATGGCCAACATCATACTTAATGGGCAAATGTTGGAAGCATTTTGCCTAAGAATTGGAATAAGACAAGAATGTCCACTCTCACCACTCCTATTCAACCCAGTACTGGGAGTCCTAGCCAGAGAAATCAGGCAAGAGAAAGAAATAAAAGTCACAGAAATAGGAAATAAAAGAAGCCAAACTATCTCTCTTCCCTGATGATATGATTCTATACTGAGAAAATGCCAAAGCCTCCACCAAAGCCTCTAAGAATTGATAAACAATTTCAGTGAAGTTTCATTATACAAAATCTGTGTACAAAAATTAGTAGCATTTCTATACACCAATAATGTTCAAGCTAAGAGCCAAATCAAGAACACAATCCTATTTACAATAGCCTCAAAAAGAATACAATACCTAGGAATGCATCTAACCAAGGAGGTGAGAGACCACTAGAAGAACAACAAGTGCACTGAAATAAATCAGTAATGACACAAACAAATGGAAAAACATTCCATACTCGAGGATGGGAAGAATCAACATCATTAAAATGGCCATATTGCCCAAAGCAATGTATAGATTCAACACCATTCCTATTAGAGCACCAAGATCATTTTTCACAGAATTGGAAAAAACTATTCTAAAATTCATATGGAACCAAAAAACAGCCTGAATAGCCAACACAATCCTAAGCAAAAAGTACAAAGTGGGGGGGCATCACATTACCTGACTTCAAACAATATTATAAGGCTACAATAACCAAAACAGCACGGTACTGTTATAAAAATAGACACATAGACCAATGGAACAGAGTAGGAAACCCAGAAATAAAGCTGCACACCTGTGACCATATGATCTTTGACAAAGTCAACAAAATAAGCAATGAAGAAAGGACTCTCTACTCAATAAATGATGCTGGTATAACTGGCTACCCATATAGAGAAGAATGAAAGTAGACCCCTATCTATCACCATATGTAAAAATTAACTCAAGATGCATTAAGGACTTAAATATAAGACCTCAAACCATAACATTTCTTGAGGAAAACCTAGGAAATACCCTTCTCAATACTGGCCTTGACAAAGAATTTACAGTTGTCTTCATAAACAATTGCAACAAAAACAAAAATTGACAAGTAGGACCTAATTAAACTAAAGAGCTTTTGCAAAGCAAAAGAAACTATCAACAGAGTAAACAGACAACCTACAGAATGGGAGAAAACACTCAAACTATGCACCTGAAAATAGCCTAATGTCCACAATCTATAAGGAACTAAATCAATAAGCAAAAAACAAATAGCCCTGTTAAAAAGTGGGCAAAGGATATGAACAGACACTTCTCAAAAGAAGACATACAAGTGGCCAACAAACAAATGGAAAAATGCTCATCATCACTAATCATTAGATAAATGCAAATCAATCTCACACACGTCAGAATAGCTTTTGTTAAACCGTCAAAAATAACAAATGCTGGTGGGGTTGCAGAGAAAAGGGAACACTAATACACTGTTGGTGGGAATATATTAGTTCATCCACTGTGGAGAGCAGTTGGAAGACTTCTTTTTTGTTTTGTTTTGTTTTTTTAGACAGAGTCTCGCTCTGTTGCCAGGCTGGAGTGCATCGGCGCGGTCTTGGCTCACTGCAACCTCCGACTCCCTAGTTCAAGTGATTCTCCTGCCTCAGCCTCCCAAGTAGCTGGGATTACAGGAATGCACCACCACGCCTAGCTAATTTTTTTTTTTTTTGTATGGAAGACTTCTTATGGAACTAAGAGCTGAACTAGCATTTGACCCAGCAATCCTATTACTGGGTATATAACCTAAGAAAAATAAATCATTCTACCAAAAAGGCACATGCATCCATGTTCACTGCAGCACTATTCACAATAGCAAAGACATGGGATCAACCTAGATACCCTTCAATGTTGGACTGGATAAAGAAAACATGGTACACATACACCAAGGAATACTATGCAGCCATAAAAAAGAGTGAAGTCATGCTGTTTGCAGCAATATGGATGCAGCTTGAGGCCAGTATCCTAAGTGAGAGAATACAGAAAGAGAAAACCAAATACCACATGTTCTCACAAGTCGGAGCTAAACAATGGGTACACACAGACATAAAGATGGGAACAACAGACACTGAAGAATATAAGAGGGAGGGGGTTGGGAGAGGGAGAGGGCTGAAAAAGTACATATTAGGTATTACCCTTACATCCTGGATGACAGGTTCAATTATACTCCAAACATTAGCATCATGCAATATACCTTTGTAACAAATCTGTATATGTAGCCCCCCAGAATCTAAAAGTTGAAAATATATATAAACAAGTAAAATAAAAGGCATGATTTTGATACATAATTGCACTAATCTATTTAATAATATAGTCCATTAAAAATCACTTTTATTGCTATTGTTGATAACCAAAGTTTCTTCTGATATCTATAATTTGTGGAAGACTATGGAAACTTTTCAAGTTGAGCCAAAAAAAAAAAGAAAAGAAAAAACAAGAGCTTGTTTTTTCCAAAGAATGGATAAGATTTCATTAAATGAGAATTATTTATATTTCCTTCTTTGCCACAGCTACAAGAAAACTCCAAATTAACTTAATATTTTATTGCTGTAACTATTACTAATCCAGGTTTCCAATAAATGTACTTTCTATAAAATGTTTGTTTGACATTACTTTTTCTATTTTAATGTATTCTTTTATTGTAAGGAAACTCAATTTCCTTTTGGAGATGGAAGAAACATAATTAGTAAATTGTATAAATAGAACTCTACTGCCCTTTGTGTTTCAAGAATAGAAGTTCCAAGCAAGACATCATGATTAAAATGTTTTCCAATAACATAAGAAAAATAATCTGTAACATTCATTACATCAACATATTGTCTACATCAATGTCAAAAGCCAGTTAATAAAATTAAGTATTCTTAATAAAACTCTAAGAGACAAAGAACTGAAATATGAAAATTACCAAAACTTAATAGCAAATATCGTATTATTAATAATTGGTGTAGTGCAAACATTTCCATTAAAATCAGAAATAAGATAAGGATATCCCCCTATCATTCAACATTGTTTTAAATAGTGTAGCTAATGTAATAAAATTTTGAAAATCAAACAAGCAATACAAATATTGAAAGATGTATAGTTTTTTTCAGTGCTCCACCCACAAAATCCAAATGTCCATAATAGCTAATTAAAATAATTAAGGTTAATTGTTAAATTAACTCATTAAATTATTAAATTAAATTAATTAAGGTTAATATATTATATATAAAACAAATTGATTCCTTTTCTCTATACCTCCAATAACTAAATAGAAATGGGGAAAAATCCTACTCTAGTATCGGTAATAAATGCATGGAATAAATTTGATACAGGAATCTAAATTTGTCACGAGAAAAAGGCACAGCATCTATTTTTTTAAAAAAACTTGTAAAATCTTAAAGGACATAAGACATTGGAATGACATATTCCTGGATACAGAATCTTAAAACAATAAAAATATCCATCTTTCTCAAATTAATGCAGTTTAACTCAGTATTACATTTCTTAGGAATGCTTTCACCTGCAAGAAAACATTCAACTAACAGTGGCTTTAGTCACATTTAATTATCTCCCATAAAAAGAAGTCTGGAGAAAGGAAATACAAGGACAATGTAGTGGTTCCCTAACATGCTAAAAACCCAGGCTCCTATCTTTCTGCCTTAAGATTGCTGCTTTGTGGCTTCATGGTTCTGAGACGGCTACTGCAACTTCAGGCATCACTTCCAAGTTCAAGGCAGGGAAGAAATGGATAAAGGAGTGATGCTGCTATTTTTTAAAATCAAAAAAGCAAATGCTTTTCTAGAAGTCTACCAGTAGACTTCCAATTATGGTCAGAGCCACGTCACAGAGCTACCTCTAGTTGCTAGCAGGCTGAGGAAGTGAGCACCCAGCTCTTCCAGTCGTTACAGTAGTGGAAGGAAAGGCAGAAGAACACTGAAAATGGGTATTTGCTTAACCAACTAAGTGTTAATGTATACCATAAATGTTAACCAAAATCCCATTTTTCCTCTCAATTTCCTCTGTCTCTCCAACTAGAATATAAATTGCAGAAGGTGGGAGTCTTTACCTTGATCATAAATTACTTGTTGGATAAACAGCATTAATGCCAACTAAAAATAGCCATGTTTTTTAAAATGGCATTTCTAAATGATAGATGCTTTAGTATATTACAGCCTTACCTTTAATTTTCAATACTGTGACTAAACACAGAATTATATAATAGGGAAGTTCATGTGGTCTCACCATTCTCCCAAACCCTGCCCAAAGGTGGTAGCATGACTGCCATTGTCTGATTGAAACACCACACGTGAATCTCTTAAGGTTTGTTGAGTGCTTATTGCATGTCAGAGACAGGGCTTAATGCTTTACATGCATGATCTTATTTGTATTCACAATAATTCCATAAGGAAAATACTAGTATTCCCATTTCACAAATGAGCAAAAAAATGAGGCATAGCTCAAAACAATACAAATTAGTTGCAGGGCGTGGATTAGAACGTAGGTCAACCTAACTCTGGATTCCAAGCTGTGAAACACCAAGCTTTACCACATCCACTGCTACAGCCCATTCCACTGCTAGAGGAGGGTTCTTTTATTGGGCTGATCCAATGGACCACTCTATTATTTGTACTCATTGTCTTAGTTCTGGAGGAAAGTGCAGAATTCTATTCACTCTACTACATGATCACCCTCTGAGACTTCAGAATTATTTCCAAACACTGTTATTTTGGTTACCTGCTTGTATTAGTCAGGGTTGTCTACAGAGACAGGATGAATAGGATAGATGGATATATGAAAGGGAGTTTAAGGAGTACTGACTCACATGATCCACAAGGTAAAGTCCCATAACAGGCCACCTGCAAGCTGCGGAGCAAGAAAGCCAGTCCGAGTTCCAAAACCTCAAAAGTAGGGAAGCTGAAAGTGCAGCCTTCAGTCTGTGGCAGAAGGTCTGAGAGCCCCTGGCAAACCACTGGTGTAAGTCCAAACGTCCAAAAGCTAAAGAACTTGCAGTCCAATGTTCAAGGGCAGGAAGCATCCAGCATGGGAGAAAGATGAAGACCAGAAGACTCAGCCAGTCTCATCCTTCCACGTTCCTCTGCTTGCTTTTATTCTAGCCACGCTGGCAGCTGATTAGATGGTGCCCACTCAGATTGAGGGTGGGGCTGCCTCTCACAGTCCATTGATTCAAATGTTAATCTCCTTCGGCAACCCTCTCACAGACACACCCAGGAACAATACTTTGCATCCTTCAATCCAACCAAGCTGACACTCAATATTAACCATCACACTGCTTTTGGGTTAAACAGTTTATAGGATGCCCCCTTAAAATGTAGTAGCCAAAGGAAACAACACCACGGAGCTATTTACTAGATATATAGACTATCTTGTCGATTAAACTGCCATTAAATCTACACTTCAATGTTGTCTAAGATTGCAACATTTTTCTTAACAAGGCTTGTAATATTTTTGGCCAACAAACTTTCCAAAACTTTTTCAAATAATTTGTTGCCAAACCAGGTGTCCTCCGATGAGGACTTAACGTTTAGCCATGTTGTTTCAACTGTCTTGATCCAGTTCTTCTGACCTAGTTGGGCATAATGCCCTTTAGATGCACATTTATATTTACACATATGCACACAGACTGCACAAACGTAACCCCCATACGCTCCACACAAAACTGAATACATTTACCTCAATTAATGTTGATTAAAAACAAACGTACATATAGTTAGTTCCTTCATCCCTTTAGTTAAGTAAAAATAAGTATTTCAGTTCAATACAGGAAGCATCAAAATATTTAAATACTTCTTTATACACACTGTGAAGAAAAATGTTATAAAAACATTTAACTGGTGATTGTGACAATTTGTATATAAATGTCGTATTGTAAAAAAAAATTTCTAACACATATTACAGTAACTAATTCTCACTAGGAACAAATCTGAGAATCTGCACCATGCAACTAAAATTTTCTTCCTTTGATAAAGCGGCTGAAAATTGAGAAGCAAGTTTATAATATCAATTTGTTGTGACTCACGCAAATTAATCTATTAAATTAATTTAAATTAAAATTAATTTATTTAAATGTAACTCATGTAGGACATGCTTGTTTTAATGTTACAGTGAGTTTTTTATTTATGAATTACATAGAAGCAGAATTAAGTCATATTACTTCATTGTTTACAATGGAAAAAATAAGTTTTAAGTAGTGTTATTTTTCATTGCTCAAATTCTATTCAATTCTTATACACCAAAGGAGCATCTACATGTCATTTAGCGTTTAGAGGATTAATTTATAAACTCATGGATTCCAGAGTAGCTGATGAAGAAATGACCTAAGAGTCTTTATAAAAAACTTATTTTTCTTATTTGTAAAGTAGCAACCACAAGGTGAAATTGTTTTTTTTTTTTATACAACAGCAACAACGACAACAAAAAACAACTACTAGGGAGAAAAAAGAATGATTCCCCACTAATACAAATTCATTCTCTATTGTACTAAACTCACACATTCAGATTATAGTTTCACCTTCATTTAAAATAAGTTAATTCACTTCTGGCTGTTAGTCTGAATTACTGAAAAGGTTTAAACTTTTTTTTTAATTGTGGACAAGTCCAATTAACCAGTAAAAAATTTCCAACAATGCTTGGAAAATGTTTCACCCATAAAGCAATTTCCTTAAGATGTAAGCAAGTGGCAGAAAAAAGAAAAACAATGAAAGTATGGTGAACACTGTAGCTTCAATTAAAAAAAAAAACAACCAAAGTATGAAGTTTAGCCCATGTTTGATTTCAAGAAATGCTTATAAGCAGAACGCTACTGACCTCTTGTGTATCAAGAATGTAACATAACACAAGTGCCAAAAATGGTATCTCCTAAAACTACTAAAAGACAAGGTTTAAGTAGCTTGTTTTCCCAACCAGGTAGGGAACTATTAGAGCAGAGGACACTTGACTGAGTGCTTTTATATGTTTGTTGTCTCAAAACTTTTTACTGAATCAATAAAGATGATTATTTTGATTTTTTATTGTTGCTGAAAATATATAGCAGAGAATACAACAAATTAAAGTAATAAATTTAGGACTTTTAAAAACTCTCATTTATTTTGGTAAGCCTAAAAAGCAAAAATTTGAGTTTCCATTTTAATGCTGACTATCCAATCTGTCCTGTTTTCAAATGCAAAAGTGCTTAAAAACAGCAAAGGCAAAACAAAATAGGACTTTATTGCCGTAGCCTTACACTACATTGCTTGAAGCAGTCTTTTAATCTGTTAAGTGACCTAAGAACAAAGTCCTAGCACTTTGGGAGGCGGAGGCGGGCGTATCACGAGGTCAGGAGATCAAGACCATCCTGGCTAACACGGTGAAACCCCATTTCCGCTAAAAATACAAAAAAAAAAAAATTAGCCGGGTGTGGTGACGGGCGCCTGTAGTCCCAGCTACTCGGGAGGCTGAGGCAGGAGAATGGCATGAACCCGGGAGGCGGGGCTTGCAGTGAGCCGAGATGGCGCCACTGCACTCCAGCCTGGTCGACCGAGCGAGCGAGACTCCTGCGCTCCAGCCTGGGCGACCAAGCGAGACTCTGTCTCAAAAAAAAAAAAAAAAAAAAAAATTCGTGGTAAATCTCTGTTCACCATCAGATTTCATCCAAGTTTTCTCTGATCGATAAATATTCCACTTGAAAGACCCAATCTGATGGTACAGGTAGGGAAAGATAGAGCTAAATCTATAGCCTTTGGTTTTCTAATTTAGAACACTTTCTCCCCTCCCCACTCCAAGAATAGACCTAAAAAGTAGAAGTATAAAGATGTTCCACTTTTAATGCAGAAATGTAGACAATTAGCTAGTTATTACTGTCAGTTGTACCCTCCCACCACCTCAAAACAAGCTACATTCTTTAAATGTTCTAAGCAACTTCTAGTCATATTTATGCACATCAGCTTACACGCTATATGTGTGAAAAGTGGGATATTCTTTCAGCATCAACTTGTGATTTCATAATTGCTGAAATTCTTTAAAGGAATAAAAAGTTATAGACTGCTTTTGTGACAATAAAATCAAACTTTAATTGGGGAGCCAGATAATATTGCCTTTTCTTTCCAAAATTTTAATTTATACTTTTTAGTAAAAAACATAACACATTTCTCATTCATTTAACCAATTAATCCAAAGGAAAAAAGTGAAGTACTATAATCACAGGTACACTAACAAACACTTTTACAAAGACATTCAGAAATATTTGCAGCAGGTTTTATAAGACTCTGATATAAAACAAAGTAAAATAAAACGTTTTGAAATGGCAAAATCGGTTTACCTAGCCTGAATTGCTTCAAAGAGGCATTTGCACTTCTTGTCCTGGCTTAATAAAACAAAGTAAAATAAAACATTTTGAAATTTCAAAATCAGTTTAGCCTAAATTGCTTCAAAGAGGCATTTGCACTTCTTGTCCTGGCTTAAAAACAAACCCTGAAATTACTTTCTTTTATCCAAATCAATTGACCATATTAATCTGCATAAAGTCTATGAGGATACGTTTTGATAAATGCTATAAACACAAAATTAAGGCAAATCTGATAGTTATTGTCAAATAAATAGCACATTTAGAAGGGCCTTTGTTAATAAAATGCCTCTAATGTATCCAGAGGTATAGATTTCAAAGGGCAAGTCTGTACCTGTTGCACATCTGATTCTCACAGCATTCATGAAAGAGGAGACAATGATATTCCCATTTCACTGAAAACTAAGGTGACTTGTTTAAGGTCATACAGTCCGATCAGTGGCACCAACACATTTACCAATGGCCTTGGAATACAGAGTACAGGGCTTCCTGTTGGTAGATTTACCTTCCTAACCTCACGGAGATGTGATCCAAGTATCAAAACAAGTGTGAGTCCCTTCAGGTCTGGAAAATACTCCAGCCATAACAGGTGAAGAGGAAAGTCAGCTCAAGATTTGTCATATGCTACACAATTTACAGTAAAACACTGGGAAAAGCAGGAAGCTGATGTGAGGAAGGGTGAAGAATGATTTGAAAGATTACAAAATGGCAAAGTTCCTCCAAAACCTATAATAAGCTAAAACAAACTGGAAAAAAAAAAAAAAAGGTCTTAATTGGGAAGCCAATATTCACACCAAAGGAGGGAGTGGGAGGAGAAGATGTAGGAGGAAAGCAGGAAATTATCATCTTAACAGCTCAAAGGATTTGGCACATATCCATGTTATCTAAATAATCTTGAAATTTCTTTGAGGTAGACAAATGTTAGGAATAAGTTGAGTTCATGTAAAACAAAAGAAAGAAAAAGAAAAAAAAAGAGAAGGAAGCTCTACAATCCTTAGTTATTTGTAAAAACCTCTTTTACTAAAGTGCTTAGATGCCAGCCATTTTATTCCTACATTTAAAGGCTGACTGACATTAAATATCTTATAGGTAATGGACAGAAGCCAAGTTGGGCTTTAAAAAAGGCCTAAAAGCCTATCAAAGTTTACAGTACACTTCTAACTTTTTATACCTTCTTTACTTGGAAATTATTGTTTTCTCCTCCTTGTCCCTTGGTAAGCTCCTCCTCAGTTTTCAAGTCTGAGCTCAAATTCACTTCTCCTGCGAAGTATCCATGATTCCCTCAGTCAAATGCAGCACTCCTACTCCAAAAGTCCCACTATGCTCCAAGGTCGCTTTTGCTGTGTTGTGACTGTTTGCCTGCTTGTCTCCCCACTAGACTGCAAGCTACTCAAAAGGCAATCCTGCTTTTTCATTTTTAAGTCGTCAAGACACAGCACTCTGTGGGTACTCAAATTAATCAATAGTTCATCTTATTTACAATCTCTCAAGCAGCTCATTTTATGTTAGTTGCACAATCTGGAGGTCTGGAGTTCTTCACATGAAATTTAATAAATTATCATGCAAGCTCATTTTTATTCCCATTTTTTTTACCCAGGGAGAATCAGTCTACCAGGGCAAATAATGAGGTTACCACCTTAGTCCCTCTTCCCAACCCCATTTTTTAGTTACTTTCCTTTCATTAAAATATCCTTATGCACTTACAAATAAAACTAAGTCCCAAGAGGGCAACAAAATATAAGATTCTTAATGATACAAAAACAAATCTTTCTGATACTAGATCTTTTATACTAGAAAAATAAATTCTTGTGCTTGAACATCATTTTTAAGCACTTAGTGAATTGAGAATCTGAACTGCCACTTGAAATATTCCCAGGAAAGAAACATTATGAACCAAATGAAGGAACATAGCTATTCAAAGGGACATATTTTTGTACTTGTTTTGCTCCAATTTCTGCTACATAGACTGCTCCAGTCTTTCTGTCGACTTCTAGGAGATGTGGCAAAACTTGATCTGCTAGTTGGATTGTGCTGATCACAGAACACTCCCCAATGCTTCCCACTGGGGGTGCTGCTACGACTGAGAGCCTGCTAAGATTCAGCTGGGCCACAATCAAGTACTTCCCATCAGGAGTAAACCTAAGGAGAAAGACATTTAACATAATAAATGTCTGTGAAAAAACATAAGGGTATTTTTTTTCAACATTTTAATCCCCTACTGTGCCAAACAACAGTAGGCACCTACTTGCTGAATGATTCTTTTAAGAAGAATTTTAATTTGATCTAATTCTGTTTATGAAGGAATAAGATGTCCATGATGGTAAGCAAAGCCAAAGATTAGCTTAAATTTGTTAAAAGTATCAATATCATAGTCCACAAAATGAAATTAATGAAGAATTGATGTTAGGCTGGGTTTGATTTTTGTCCTGTTTAAACATTTACCAAATAAAGGCTAGAGGAGAGGTCTAGCATATGTTATTTCTTGTTTTCACTTTACCTGGCATCTGAAAATCTTGGATATCAAATTTCTCTGTATATTTCTATTTTCCCCTAATTCAAAATTAACAATAAATATTTTAAACTTTCAGCTAGCTATTCAGAGGAAGTGAGACACATACACTAACTAAAACAAGCATTTTGCAATAAAATGAAACAATTACCTGACTGAAGAAGGTCCCTCTTCTGTGAAACAATTATTCCATGCTCCTAACCACTCCCCAGTGTCTTTATCAAATACTTGGATTCTTTTATTTCCTCGGTCAGCAACCCACACCTGAGAAACACACAAAAATGTCAATTGAAAAATATCCATGAGAAGAAAAAAGGGAAAAGAATGTTTATTTTCATTAGTTTCACCATACATTATCTCACTTAAGAGGATTCCAAAGAAGGTAGTTAAGTCCCATTTTCAGATGAGGAAAAACTAAAGTTCAGAAAGGTTGCCGTCTCTGAAGTGAGCTTACAAATGGGAGAGGCACAACCCAAAGCTGTCTTAACCCAAAGCTTATAATACTCTGTCTACTGTTCTAAATGTGTGAATAACTAAAAAGCTGGAGTACTCTACCATAATGCAGGGGATCAGTAGATAATGAAAACTGACAACATTCATTCATTCCTCTAACAAGCATTCATTTTTCAATGAGTACTACTGGCTTGTCAGCTCCTGGGCCAGGCAACATGACAAAGAAAAGCAGCCTTACTTCTCAAGAGCTCAATATAGCAGGATGTGAGGTATTCATTCAGATTGCAGTATCATTAAACCCATACCTGCTATTACCAAGGTATGTACAGAGTGCTGAACCAACTGAAGAAGCCTGAGGTATTTTAGCAACAAATAAAGAACAGTAATAGGTTTAATTTAGGTTTGTTATAGGCTGTAATGGGTTATTAAGGAACTTGTTCTAAGACAAGAAGTGAGATGCATTCTAAATGACATTTCATGGCCACATGCATGCAGCTTAAAGCATAAAGGGAAATGGTTTTTTTTATTTTTTGAGATGGAGTCTCGCTCTGTCACCCAGGCTGGAGTGCAGTGGCGCAGTCTCGGCTCACTGCAAGCTCCGCCTCCCGGGTACACGCCATTCTCCTGCCTCAGCCTCTCCGAGTAGCTGAGACTACAGGCGCCCGCCACCACGCCCGGCTAATTTTTTTGTATTTTTAGTAGAGATGGGGTTTCACCATGGTCTCGATCTCCTGACCTCGTGATCTGCCCACCTTGGCCTCCCAAAGTGCTGGGATTACAAGCGTGAGCCACCGCACCCGGCAGGAAATGGTTTTTGATGACTTGTGGCCAGGGTTGTAGAGAGGTATGAAAGAATGGACTGGGAGTGGGTCAGTCCTCTTTACTTCTACCTCCCTGCTTTTGGTCCTTTGGATTTCTTGGGTTTGTGGATTGAGAGATAATTTCTTCACAGGTAACCCTGATTACAGCTTCATCAATATGTGTGAATTTTGGTAGCCATTGAATTAATCTCCAATCAGAAACAAATCAAAACTCACTACACCATTTAAGAAAGGTTGTTGATGCCAAAGTAAAGCAATTTCTCAAGGTCTTTTCCTGATCTATGGTCCTTTAGTAAGGATAGGTTTTCTTAAAGAGTTTGAGACTAGTATCCCAGACAAATGACCAAGGAAGAAGTATAGTTTACACCCTAGGATGGAATGATACTTTAGATTGTTAGCATCATCTGTCCTGCTCAACACTCAATGAATTTTGATTATGGGAACTCCTGTTTAACACATAACAACAAGTCTGGAACTGACTAACCTTTCATATAGGGTTGTGGTGATGATTAAATGAATTAATTATGTAAAATGCTCAGAACAGAATTGCTATTGTTATAAAACACAATTTTGTATAATTGACACTCTTTATCACTCAGGAATGCCAGAGTACCCCCATCAGATGATTTCCAAGGCCTTTTAGAAGGGCGTTCCTCACCATGATGAATTTACCTGGGTCGAGGTCTCGCATGTTCTGAAATTTGATTTTTTTTCTTAGCACACAATGAGTCACCCAAGCTCAGGAGGATAATGTGCAAAAGTTTAATTCAAAGTTTCCAGTTCCCAATTTATATACAAAGTTCACATGGTTGATTAACGTCTTATGGCAGATCAGAAGATTTAATGATCAAAACATTCTCATTTTTGTCAATCAATTATGATTAGGAAGCCAAGTCATAATTAGAAGTTTGTTTGCTGAGCACTGAATCAGAAGTAGAAATGGATTAAATGCCTAATGGTATGAAGGCAAGTAGCCTAATGTACCCATTGTGTGTCAAGACATTTAGTCATTTAATAAATAAATATGACTACTGTGTACTAGGCACAAAGAAATAAAGCAAAAGAGATTCAGTAAGCACTTTCAACAGCCTGACATCTATTAGGGGAGACAGACAAATGATTATAATATAGCATGATAGTTACTATGATACGAAGTACAGGCTGCTATAGGAAAAGAGCAGGAGAAACTAATATACAAATTTTTTGGTGGCGGTTTCGTTGTGAAAAGGTAACCTCAAAGAAGTGAGATCTATGCTTAGAAATTGAGTAAATGCAAAAGAGATAGTAGTGAGTAGGGTAGAAAAGAGAGAAACTGATTGAAATTTGTTGGCTAAAGCTTTCTGTTCCCTAAACAATGTGGAGTTAGTGAGAACAAGAGTTTGCCTAGGTGACTCTTTTTCAGACTTCCAAGGTTAACCTCTCCCACTCCACTTTAGATCAGCACATTTTTTTCTTGAGAAGTGAAAAGATATTCAAACACTTTTAGTGGAGTTTTCCCAGTAAGAGGGCAACTTTTTCTTTCAGGTAACTTTATGTTCAGATCCATTATTTGTGCCTTCTATCCTTTTAAATGGTACAGGAAATCCATTTTGCTCCTTTCTAAATGTTTGGGGAACCCCCTCACTATAGGACTCAAACACTTGTAAGAAAGTATGTGTGCACACCCAGCCCCAGAGTAATTACCCAGACATACCCACTAACACACATGTATCCACATGCCCAGACACACATGTATACCACAATCTATATATACATGCCCAGACACACACACACACACACACACACACACACACACACACAAACATATTCAGACACAAAGTCCCAGACACAATGACGCTGTATTTGTACCCGACCAGCTGAATCAAGTGTAACACTGTGAGGTATGTTGAACTTAGCAGGCCCTGTCCCATTTTCTCCATGCAGCCAAAGGATCATGAAATCTATAAACGGTAAAAATATATAGTCAGAGCAACATATAGAATGTCTCATGCATTTGCATATTTTATGAAACAGGTTACAAAGAACTATTTAATTACACCGCTGGTTCACTTGACTATGCTTTCTCGGCTTTCCTGTCTATATGCCCATTTGCCCATTTCTTACAGTTTTTTTTTTAAAGTTCCTTCTCTGCTTTAGGGAATTAATCTACTTCTTTAATTATTATCTCCACTTGAATTTTTCATGACTGCTTCAAAATCATTGTTTAGGGTTTATGCCATCCTCTCCCTAAAACTGGTTCCCCTTCCCAACTTATCTGTTACTTGATATTAGTATTCCACAGACCTTAAAAATTCACATTATGATTTTACCGTCTATCTCCTTTATTACGCACTACGGTGGGTTCAACTGTGGTCCTTTAAAAAGATGTCCAAGTCCTAACTCCTGATACCTGGGAATGTGATGCTATTTGGAAATAGTTTTTGCAGATAAAATTAAATTAGGGATCTCATGAGATCATCCTGGATTTAGGGTGGGCCCTAAATCCTTATTAAGAGAAAGAAGGGAAAGACTGGAGGCACAAAAACACACAGAGAAGAAGGGGCCGCCATGTGAATATGGAGACAGACATCAGAGTTTTGCTGCCACAAGCCAAGGAATGCTTGAGCCACCAGAAACTAGAAGCGGCAAGGCAGGACCTTTAGAGTGAGCACAGTCTACCAGATTTCTAACTTCTGGATTCCAAAACTGTGAGAATAAATTTATGTTGTTTAAAGCCACGCAGTTTGTGGCAATTTGTTATGGCAACCACAGGAAACTAATACACTTATATTCAATCTGTCTCCTAGATTTCGTTGTTTCTTTCATTCAATTTTTTGGATTCTTGCTTTATCCTTATTCTACATTTCCCTTTCAACTGTTATCAACCAAATTCAGTTACTAATTGATAAATTGACTACACAGCCTCCAAATGACAGAGCTCACTTGAAGTAGATCCTAAAAGAATGTCTTATAAAACCTGCTGTTGTAACATCACTTTTCTACTAGGAAAACCTCAAAAATGTTATAGGCAAAAACATGGCTTTAATAATCCTCAAATAAGACTTCAGAAACATCCCAAATTGTATTTTCTGCTGCTGAAAAAGTGCATCTTCACCTTCTTTCCTGCTAATAAATGCCTGTAGACCATGCATGATAAACCCTCCATGAATGTTCCATCCATCCTCCCCTCTCCTCCCACCAAAACTAGTTTAGTTCAATAACTACTTCCTTCATGATATCTTGTTCTATTTCTCCAGGCAATTTAGTTTCTCCTCCTAAGTCCATTTTGCTTTAAGAATCAATAGCATAGACTACATTTCATTGTTTCAATACATAATAGATCTGCACCTCCTGATACTAGAGAGGACACAGAAAGGGCACTCAATAAAATGCTTGCTGATTAATCAGCCTGTAGGATACTTGAGTCTGGGATTCTAGGTTTCTAATTTCTACATGCTTAATTAAATAGGATACACACTTATCTCCTGAGCCCACTAGAAATTCTCATACTGTTGCCAGTTACTTTTGGAGGAATCTCCTGGCCTTTGGTGAAGAATAAGTGGGCCTGTTATCAGGATCATTTATTGTGGGCAATCATACCCATCTGTTTTTCAGTTTTCTCGTAGTAATACACTTAGCTCTTTACACACCGCTTCATACACAACACTTAAAACATTATACCAAATATCGAACAAATTAAAATCAATTTATAATATTTTTATAATACCATAAACAAGTAATGTACCTTGGGACAGTTTGATCAATCTGTTATTCAATCCTCCATCTCCATCCACAATGTAAATATCTCCTGTGTCCTCTACATATAATTCTGCTGGGTTATCAAACTGCAAAGGATTCAAACTAGTGCCTTTTTTGCCTGGAGTACCCAAGACTTGAACAAGATCACCAAAAGAACTGTATTTTTTAACAGTATGACCAAAGAATCCTATAAAGATAGATATGTACATCTCACAAATAAAACCACTATACAAACATTCAGATTTTTCAAGTAAGCTAAGAGCAAAAATTTGATAGAAGTAAATAATAACAAATAGGTGATAGGCTTAGGAAATTACATATAATTGACAAGCACTATAGCTTCTTCGTAAATTACAGCCAAATTTGATCACGAATTAAAATCTCCATTAGTCCAAAATAAGCGGATTCTAAATTCAAATAAATAACATCCCCATAATTGACTCATTATACAGGAAACTCAGAATGCTAACAAAGTATTGGTGCACCATTTTCTTTTTTAATCTTATGACCTTGAATAAGCATTGCTTATGAAAGGAAATCAAGAAGAAAATGTAAAGGGAACAACTTATATTTGAAACTGTTATTTCAATCACTCACATACAGACCTTAAATTTCAGTAAGTCAACAAAAACGTTCTCTATGGTACAGATTTTTTTTTTAACTGCATTTTCACCTTGTGGAGACATTCAAAATTCAACCCAACTTTTCTTTGCTAAGAAGAAAATAATCTTTGTAAATCATGAGTATCTTATTTTCTCACGTTAAAATTTCTTTAAGTTAAAATTATCTTACAAGCAAGAGCATAAAGCAGACTACTAATAAGGGAATATCATAAAGCAGTGAACAGAAATCAATTTGAAGGTACATATGCCAAATTAATTGATAGGTATTCAAAAGACAAACTGGATACATTGAGCTTACCAGAAAGAAAGTGAATCAGCTTGCATTACAATTCTATGTTAAATAATTTATTTACTATTACACTTTTAGACAGTTGAGCTAAAGTTCATAGCAATAAAAAACACATAAGCCTCCAAGTTTCTAAAAACTAGCAAAAAAGACTACCAATAAAAAATTTTCTCAAAAAAAAAAGGCTAATTTGTAGCCATATTTTTCATTAGAGGAAATTTATTCCTTTGGGAAATGGGAATATAAAACTGTCTTCAGATCTCTGGGTAGAAAATTAGCTGTAATGGAAAAAATGAAGAGATCGTCTGTGCTCTTTTTATTTCTGGGAATCAAGGAAGTCTTATTTTTAAAAATCACATGAATAAAATGAACTCAAAGAAATGGTCTTTAACAGTGGATCTTCAGGAAAAAAGTGAAAATAGACTCTCATTATAGTATTAACAATTCACTCAGTGATAATCTATAGACTTTTTTTGGTTGAACCAGATTCATACTATGTAAAACACAGCATGAAATAAATGGGCCATCAGCTGAGGCCCAGAAATCTTATGGGTTCTGAGAACAGCTGTGATAATGGCACTACTTACAGAAACTGAGAACTCATTATCTCTAAAAAATGGTATCTGAATCAGCCAGGACTGTAGAACCAGGATGTCTCTCAATTCAAGAACATAACTGGGCCAAGGAATACTAGAAATAATGTCTTTATAATCCCATTTCTTCCTGAATTCCTAGGGTAATGCCAGGATATCTCAGGTATTGCCTTGTCTTAAGCTACAGCCACAGGTGAATTGTTTCTCTGAAAACTTTCTCCATAGCTGCACATTCAGTTGTGCTCACTTCATTTTTCAGCTTTTTCTACTAAAAATATTTGATGGCAGGAAGATTTCAGACATGCTTCAGTCAGTAGAATTTCAAAAACATTAACAACAGTTTCTGCAATCTTTGCACTTTGAGCAACAAAGCAGTTACGATTTCACAATCTTTTATGAAAGAAAACTGGAAAAGGAAAATAAGAGTCAAGGATTCCAGTCATTGCTTTCAGAGACTGCCACTTTATTTGGCTTCAGTTTAGAGTTATTTAATCTGAGAAGAGCAACTGATGCTTTAAAGAGGAAAAGACCCTAGACAAGTTCAAGGAAAGATCATATTAACAGGCTCCTTGTCAAATTTCTTTCTTTTTTTTTTTTTTTTTGAGACAGAGTGTCGCTGTGTCACCCAGGCTGGAGTGCAGTGGCGCGATCTCGGCTCACTGCAAGCTCCGCCTCCCGGGTTCACGCCATTCTCCTGCCTCAGCCTCCCCAGTAGCTGCGACTAAAGGCGCCCGCCACCACGCCTGGCTGATTTTTTTTTTTTTTTTTTGTATTTTTAGTGGAGACGGGGGTTTCACCGTGTTGGCCAGGATCGTCTCGATCTCCTGACCTCGTGATCCGCCCGCCTCGGCCTCCCAAAGTGCTGGGATTACAGGCGTGAGCCACGGCGTCCAGCCCTTGTTAAATTTCTTAATTCCACAGAAGTACAAAATAAAGTTTGTTAAAAACATGTGATTTCATGAATCGTTAAAGAAATTACAATTAGATTCAGCAACTCTGATTTTAAACAATACAAACAAGGACATGTGCAAAGATGTGATTTCCAGTAAGATAATTTAATAGATATTACTATACATACCACTTCCTACATCCGTGATCCAGACGGATTGTTCATATAGAGTACTGGCTGCAAATATACCATGAGGTGTGTCAACTGTATAATTCCAGGCTCGTAGGAAATATCCATCCTCTGTGAACACTAATATCTTTGGGATGTTATCCCCTCTCTGAAGGTATACAAAAAATAACTTCTTAGGATCAGCTTAAAGGAAAGGTAATCTGTATCTTGGCGAAGAAAAAAAATAACTGAGAATTTTACTACAAAAACCACTTTCAAAATCTAACATATCTTTCACATTCGAAACCAAAATACTTGAGACCAACTCAAAAATAAATTGCACAATTAGCATGATATAAACGCATATGGTCAGTTACTACAGCAAGACAGGAAGGCTGTTACTTCCTTTGTGTTCATAATTTTTTTAAATCTCTATTTACTTACTTGACCTATGTAAACCAATCCATTGAGGGAGTCAACTGCAACACAAAATGTTGTTCCGGTAAAATATTCTGGGTGCTTAGGCCAACCCACATCCAGCCGGTAAAGAATTTTCTCAGTTCTCCAGGAAACTGCAAAAGTAAAGTTCCTCAAAACCTTAAACAAAATCAGACAATTCAGATTTAGTTTACCGTCTAGGTAAGAACAAAAAAAGGGCGGGGGGGCCGGGTAACAGGGCTTATTTTTAAGCATGCCTTGACAACTAGAAGTTTGCTGGACTGAAATAATTCCAAAGAAATGAGCTTAGATGCCTAAAGACCAACACGACCACAATACAAGTCTGCAAATTATTTGAGGATGTAGTAAGAGTTGGGAAAGAGGAAAATGGCGATGTAACATACACAAATTTTTAAACTCAAAGGGTCAAGGCAGTTTGGACCCAGGTGCAGGCTTTGAGACAAGCTACTGAGGGAACCAGGGCCTGCCACCTCCATGCCACGACCGTGGCGACGCCTCCCAACAGGGCTACCCGCACACCCGACAGTCATTTCCTCACTACCCAACTCACTGGAGAGCCACAAAAACGCGAATGCAAAACCAAAAATGCAAGAAAGAAGCCAGCACCGGCTACGCAGACCCAGAATCTCGCCATGACCAGACGGGAAGCCAGGAGAGGGAGGGTCCGCAGGTGTCTGGGGGAGGACCTGACAGCCTCAGGCTGCAACGGTTTGCAGCGGCACAGAGGGTCTGCCCGGGGCCCGAAGACCCTATCTCCGGTTTCCCCTCCCTGGATGCACGAGCTTTGAGTACGAAAGGGAACAGAGACCAGGGCGAATGAAAATCACAGAAGACCAGTTCCGGACTTCGTGTGCATTTCGGGGTCCCCGCCCTCATGTCAGGTGCTTCGGGCTGACCCAGTGACCACCCTTTCCCGCCCTCAGGGCAGTCCGCGCCGCTGACTTTCAGTGGCCACCAAAGTATGGGCGCCCGTAGATATGCCTTAATCGCTCGCCATTTATTCTTTTTAATCCAGAGGGCAAAATCAAAACATCGCACACTCAGACACGAGGTATGGTGGGGATGACATTCAAAATAATGACCGCTAGGCTTCGGGAAGGATTTTTGCCACATCCTATTCCTACCATCCAGGCATCCGCTATGGATGCCTATATTCCCACACCAGGACCCCACCTCTGGCTTTCAGGAAAGAGGGGCCCAAGCTGGCGGCGCAGTGTTGAGTTTACTTGGGCGCGACTGGCTTTATTGTAGGTCCCCATGAGCTGGTGGGGGCTGTAGGGGTAACCAGGCAGGGCGTCTGGCGCTGTTGGGGCTGCGTTTTTCCGGAGTCCCCCTATGCGAGGCCGTGCCCCTCTTCGCCCGGCTCCTGGTGCTCCCCAGCCGCCGGCCCGCTCCCGGAAGCTGCAGCAGCTGGTAACAAAGAGCCTGCCGGGCCGCCTGCTGCCGGGGCCGAGGTATCCAGGAGTCGGGCGGAGCGGCTGGGGATGAGCGCGAGCCGGACCATGCGTCCGGGTTCGCGGCGGTGAGGGTCGCGGCCGGCGGCCGAGGCGCAGGTGCGGGTCGAGAGACCGGCGCCTCCCTCCCCGCCGCCCGTGGACTCTGAGCGCAGGTGTTTCTACTCTGCCGGCCGCTCCACCTGGGAAAGCGCCTTCAAGAGCTACCTCTGGCGGCACCTGGCCCTCAGCTGCAGGGAAACCGCACTCAAACCTGCCGCCGAGCCCGGGTTTTTCTGCAAAACTCAGAGGACCTGGCTCTTGCCCGAGGTGCCCTGAACCATTGTGTGAATAAGCTGGGGAAGCCTGACTGGAGTGTTTTTTCTTTTTAATAAAAAGAGTTTTTCTGAATCTCAATTTTTAGAAATTTTTTTTGCGAAGTTTGCAATACTCTCTACCTCTTCGCATCCTCTCTTGCTCGTGGAGTCTTTTTCCTCCTCAGCTATAAATATTTTTTACTATCGGCGGAGCAGACCAGGGATGAACGTCTTTTAATTGCAAGTATAACTGTTAAAACCACGTCGGGATAGTAGTCAAGATGGATAAAAAGTCCTTTGAAATGGTGCTGGATGAAATTAGAAAGGTAATTAGACCGATTCCATGAATTATTTTATGAGATGAATTCTCGTGTTTTAGACTCTCTTTGAGGTACTGTATGGAGATTGTGCAGAATAAGGGTCCTAGGATTGCCAAATTGGTTTGAATTTTCACGTGTAATGGAGGAGTTTATATCTTGATACGTTTCCAGTACAAATAGAAATTAAGTTACGTTAACGCCAAATTTGAGACTCAGCACGGTGTCGTGGGAATTACATTTGTAAAGCCCTCGGTTCCAAAGCCGGCTTTACAAATCCGTAATAGCTCTGTACTTTTTGGGTAAGGGGTTTAATATTTTTGAGTTTATTGCCTCATCTTTCAGTAACACAAGAGTGACTGAAAACGAGAGGTAATACGCAGAAAGTTTCTTTTATGGTAGTTATTATGATGGGGTTTTCAAATCTAAGCATAAGGTAGAGTATATTTGTTGCGTTGGCCATGCAAAATTCGTGTCCTGATGGTAAGTGTGGCATTAAGTTTAAAGTCACGTTCTTAGGAATTGGCCGTCAATAACTTGAGCTTCAAAACTTTTTTCTCCTGCTTTCCAAGTTTTTGCTGCTTTTTGAGGCTGTTGTGTGGATCGCATTTCCCAGAGTGAACCAGACAGCAACAATTCTGGAAGGTAGTCTTGAGCCTAACAATATCTCAAGCACAAAAATACCGAGAAGTTACTTATTTTAAAATGTAAGGACTTGATGTACCATTGTTACATCAACACACGGTGCTTTCCTTCGGCCTTCCGGGCAATTATTCTTTCGTCAGCTGCATACCTTTACGACCCTTGACTGAAACGGAAGAAATTGTTGCCATGTGCTCTGGTGCTTATTTCAGTTTACAAAGCTATTATTAAAATTGTCTCTGGTCTTGCTGTTTTGCTTTGTTTTTATACAGCTTTTTTCTTTTTTCAAATTGACGTGTTTAAGTTTTCATATTTGATAATACTGAACATTCTTTTTTGAACAAGTTCTGCTTTTGCAAACCTAAGTGTCCAATTAATTTTTGAAATAAAATATTGGTTTGCTAATTATATGCCTAGAAATTTGTCACAATTTGTTCTTGGGCTGATTTTTAATTACTTTTCATGAGAAAATAATTGGTGAGTCCAAGTAGACCAGCAGATTTTTACTTTTGGAAGATACAGGGTCTCAGTGTGCATATTCTCTTCCTGGTGTCATAAAAACGTCACAGTAAATTCTAAAGAGGGGAATAGGAAATTTTCCAGATATGAAAGTGTTGTTCACATGAGATGGCAACTTAAGTCTGTATTTCTGGTCAGCAGTTAAAATATATCTTCTGCTGGCTTTGCCGAGTGATTAGACACATCAACATTGTCATGGTCTATTAAAATGGAATAAAATATTGGCATATCTAAATATGAGCATTACTACTGATTTTCTTAAAAATCGTTCTTTGTAAATGTAAGTCAGTTTAAACCAGGTCATCTCTTGAGTATCACAGTGAGTTTATATGATAGATAATACTGATTGTCACTACTGTCATTTAAAACAGAGGCATATAAGAAGCCACTAGCAGAAGAACTGGGAAAGGGAGTAGAAAGGGGGAAAAAGCAATGGTTAACTGATTATTCAAAAAGGAGGGAATGATAGCTATTAATTAGTGAGCACTTACTTTGTGAGCCTGTTTTTAAGCACTTTCTCCAGTCATTATTTGTTTTGATTCTCCTTACAACGCATGAGGTGTAGGCACTGTACTTCTTGCTTATAGCTGGTGGCCTATTCTCTGTGAGGTTAACTATCAGCTCAAGACTCCCTAGGTGGTAAGTTGGGGGCTGGGGGCAGTATTCAAACTATGCTTGCAGAGCACCATGCTGTCCTGCCTGGGGTTACAGCTGGGCCTCTCAGGCATTGATGGAAGAATTGAGATATGACTTGGCATCAGTACAATCCAAGACTTTGTTCAGAAACTTGTATTTGACTGTGTCCGATTATTACATTGATAATAAAACTCCTAGGAATACATTATTTAGAATGCCATTTTCTCCCTTTTCAGTGAATATTGAACTACTGAGCACCCAGGATATTTCAGTTGACTGGTCATAATACTTTCTCCTAGCAGAATGATATATGTGAAAAATATGAATATTAAAATTATTTTATAGTACAAGCAAAGGGATTAGTTCATTTTTAATGATTAGTGGCTACTGACTTAAGATAGCTGTTTCCATCTCTAAGCTGAGCAAATAGCTGCAAGGGGAGCATGTGTGATTTAGTGGGCTCTAGATAGTGCTGCATCAAAGCCACCAACTTCTCTCTCACCCACTGATAGATTCCGAAAAGGAAAGGAACCATCACTTACTGAATACCTGTTATATGTCACATCTAATGTCCACTATTATAGTCTTCATAGTAATTCTTTGAGGTTGGTGAATGGTGTTCCCTCTATGAATGAGGACGCTCAAAAGGAATTAAAATGCCTCTCAAAGTCTACACTGCCAGTTAGTGGCAGGCACAGACATTGAATTCAGGACTTCTTGCATTCTTATGTCCCTATAGAAATACTGAGAGCCTCAACTAGACCTTGTCTTATTCTTGCTTCTCTGTCACTTAGCACATAGTAGATATTCAATAATTGATGAATGAGTAACATCTGATATGTTTAATCTTAAAAATGACAATTTGGATTTGGAATGTTTTGAAACTCTTTAATTACATATTTAGGAATTCTAAATGTTGTGTATACTGATGTTGAATCATATCTATTACAATTTTATTCCCTTTCTTTGTAGAAGTTGGTAGGGAAGCCCAGCAGATCTTCCTGCTTGCTCAGTGTGTCCCTCACAGTATGGAACCTGGAAAGATGGAAGGAAGGGCCTCTCACCACAGTGACCTTAGTTCCTCTGAATGACAGGGCTGAAGTAGACCTGCCACTGTTGAGTTGCTTGGGCAGTTTTGATAGATGTATATTACTGTGCTGCTTACGTATATTAATGCTGTTTTACTCTGTGTGTGTGTGTTTTTTTTTTTTAGGCTGTTTTGACAGAATACAAATTAAAAGCAATTGAATATGTGCATGGATACTTTTCTAGTGAACAGGTATTCCTCATTATTTGTTTAAACAAAGCTTTCTTTTTATACCAATGTTCTGGTTAATGTCTGTCTGCTGGCCGAATTCAGAATTGGTTTTACCTTTTTGCTGTATTTATTCAAGAACTCGAGAAGCTCTCAGTTTTGGCAGAAAACTCTACAGAATTTATAATTCAGGGACTAAGCACCTCTCCACTTTCACCCCAATTCATGTTTTAAAATGATTTTAAATATAGGGTCTTAAAGCAATTCAAAGTGTTTATGGTTCTGGGCACAATATCAAAGATTTAGAGACTCGTAATGGCAAATTTACCCAAATTTTTATAGTTACATGTAAGACAATTACAAAATTCGTCATGTAATATAAAAGAAAATGTGAACAAATAATGAAATATGTTTTTATATGAAGCCACTAAATAAAAATTTCAACAGTAAGAAAAATACACAGTGTTATTTAATAAGTAGTTTCTGTAACTGCCAGAATACTAACATTTTAAGCATGATAGTTTAGTGAAAACTTCATTCCACCTTAGGGGCAGTTTGCTAATTAAAATATATGTGTGTCACACACACAAGGGGGCATGTTTCTGAGGGATAGTTGGAAAATTCTTGATAGAGAAGTCAGGCATAAATATTAATAGAAATGTCTGGAGAACAGCTTGGGGAAAGGATGGACAATAAATGTATATATTGAGTTAGTAAATGCTCCAATTGAGTTAGTAAATGGTCCAGCTTTTCATTGGTTTCTCAAGAACTTCAAAACTTGAAACCTTAAATGACTTTTAAGCCTATAGAAGTTCTGCCCACTAAATTCTTAAAAGCTACTTTATGATTTGCATTTGTTGTCTTTATGTCAGTTTTTCAGCTTTCCCATTGCTTTACAAAGTTACTTTATGCTCTTTTAAAAATTTAAATGTTTTGGCTGGGTGCAGTGGCTCACACCTGTAGTCCCAGCACTTTGGGAGGCCAAGGCAGGCGGATCACTTGAGGTCAGGAGTTCAAGACCAGACTGGCCAACATGGCAAAACCCCATCTCTACAAAAATACAAAAATGAGCCGGGCATGATGGCGGGTGCCTGTAATCCCAGCTGTTCAGGAGGCTGAGGCTGGAGAATTGCTTGAACCCAGGAGGCAGAGCTTGCAGTGAGCCAAGATCGCGCCATTGCGCTCCAGCCTGGCTAACAGAGCAAAACTCTGTCTCAAAAAAAAAAAAAAAATTAAATGTTTTAAAAAGATATATAATTTCTTACAGCTAATAGCATTTTTTTTCTTGGGTGTATGTGATGTACCACCCTTAATGATGCTTCCACTTTGCTAAAGTCATTACAAAGTTTATTAAGCCACTTTCTAAATGAGCTTATTGTATTAAAGATTTTTCTTTGTATCTTAGATATGGTGGCTTGTAAAATTTTATGGTTGGTTAAAATATAGCATTTATTAGATATTAAGAACATTATTCCCATCAAAGTTAAGGACATAGACGTTTATCAAATTAACTGGAAAGTATACATAATACTTATTTGCTATATATATATATCTCTTTATAAGGAGTAAAAATTATTTTTACTCTCTTTACATACCACTCCAGTTTGCACCATTGACCTTGCTGTATAGAATAATTGGAACCTTAGCGTATTTTCAGGAACTGTCTTCTTGTATCACTTTTTTCCCCTTTTGGAGCATCTTTGGAGGCAGTCAAACAGGGTGGTGGTGATCATGCTGAGACTTCAGTGTCCTGATCTTTATGCCCTGTGCTCCCCTCTTACTGGCTATCTCATAATGCTTCCCTCATTTGTTTGAAGTTCTTAGGTGGTGGTGGGAGCTAATCTGAGCTGCACACTCTGAGCTCTCAAATGATGTATCATTTAGGGGCTGCTGGAGTAATTCATGTTGACTCTTAACATTTTTAAGGGACTAGATTTATGATTTGAGTTTATGCCCTCCAGATTCAAGTTAAAGGACCTACTAGGACTAAAGTTAGTGGACCTACACTAAAACATACCACTGTGCCTTTGTGAGTGCTGTTCTCCCCTCGTGTTGAAAGGTTTTCCATTCACAGTCCATCTTTATAATCCTGAGCTGACATTTGATCTCCATCTAGTACTTCTCAACCATCCTTTTCCTATTAGGATACTTTGTTTTTTTCTGTATTGTATATTTTTCTTTCTTTCTAGACCAGTGCTGTCTAGTAGAACTTTTTGTGGTGGTAGAAATGTTCTCTATCTGCAGTGTGCATTATTGTAGTTATCAGCCTCACATAGCTCTGGAGCACTTGAAATGTAGCTTGTGTCACTAAGGAACTGATTTTTACATTTTATTTGACTTTAAGTTATTTAAATGTATATAACTATATAATAGCTATTCTGTTAGCACAGTTTTTAAACTTTAATGCCACCTGTATCACCTGGGCCTGGGCTGCACGTGTCGAATTATAATTTCAAGTACTGAAATCTTATAGAAATGTTTGCAAACATGCTGTCATTAGAGCTGTTAGTTCTTTGTTTTCAGGTGGTTGATTTGCTGAGATATTTTTCCTGGGCCGAGCCCCAGTTGAAGGCAATGAAAGCATTACAGCATGTAAGTAACTTATTTTTTCCTTCAGAACGTAGAATTTAAGTATTTTTAATTCTCCCAGTTGTGTGTAATTTATTTCAGTTGTAATTTATTTGCATTAGAAAAGCGAACTCTATGTGTTATTGTACTTTGATTCAAAATAGCTATGTTAAAAAATTAAAATTTTCTAAACTGTACATTTAAATTGTATGCTACAGTGTCCCGATTGGCAAGTTAGAAGAAAACTTCACCAGCAAGCAAAATATAGGATTTGAATTCTTAATGGTTTTTTGCACTTCTGTTTTTTAATATCCATCGTCACCATCTTTCTATTTAGTCTTAGAAGAGTTATTACTGTCCAAATAAATTTTCAGCGATGATGGAAATTTTTATATCAGCACTGTCCATTGTGGTAGCCACTTGAATGTGCCTCATCTGAGGAACTATATTTAATTTTATTTAATTGTAATTAGTTCAAGTAGGTACATGTGCTTAGTGGCTACTATATGGATAGCACAGCTCTAGAACCTAGGTCAACAGGAGCATCTGGATCACACAGGAGTATCTGGCTGTGTAGGAAGATTTTTGAAGCAATATCAGGCCTGGATATCTTCAGTGGAATCAATTTACAGATCCTTGACTTTCTAAACTGATGAGCCTAAGAAAGTGTCTGGGTCTGTTAGTGCTGCTTTCTGACCTCCTCTTTAATACTTGCTTTTTTACTGCTTTGCAAAAGAAAGAGTTATCGCACCTGTTCTCTGGGGGTGAAAATGTTTCTCCAGGTTCCAAAAGGACAGTGCTTTGCTCTTGAGAGGGAGAGCAAAGCAAAGAGAGAGGCTCTGTAAGAAATATTGATAAGGGGCTTGGGGTGGTGGCCAAGCCTGTAATCCCAGCACTTTGGGAGGCTGAGATAGGAGAATCGCTTGAGGCCAGCAGTTCTAGACCTGCCTGGGCAACATAGTAAGACCCTGTCTCTAGAAAAATATAAAAAATTTAAATTAGCTGGGTGTGGTGGTATGCTCCTTTAGTCCTAACTACCCAGGAGGCTGCGGCAGGGGGAATATTGATGAGGGCTTTGCTTTATTTTATCAGGACAACAAACTCATGACAGAGCTCTGAGGCCTGCTTGCCTGTCTCCCTGCCTTAGACTTAAAATTCAGAGGTGGCAAGGGTATCACAGGGACAACTCAATACACTTATTTGAATTAAATTAAGTCTGACCTTTTCTAAAAATGTCAGTCTGATTTGATTGTTTTCTCACTGAAGACTGATTTCGCCAGTTGAGTTACGTAATAAATATTTCCATAAATGAGCTAAATTAGTAGTTTCAAAGTTCTTTCAGATATATAAATGTATTTAAGAAAATCGACCTTTTGTGAGTATTTAAACTTCTGATAAAATTGTTAGGTATCAATTTAAAAACATGCAAAGGGGCTTATAGTTTTATTAGTTCTTCTGGTAGTACATAAAAGTATGTGAAAACCACTCCTCCAAATTTTAGGAGCTCTTGGATATTGATTCTAACCAGTCTTACTTATGTTGATGTTGCTTTTAATTTTCCTTCACTATTAACATAAATGTCCAAATTGGCCAAATCTTCTGAATGTTCTTCAGAAATAAAGGTACTCTAGTCAAATAATTATGTAACATTCCACACAATCTTGGTGCATCACAATGCACATTAAATTAAAATAAGACTTAAAGTTCTGCAGTAGAGAAACCTGTTTAACCCAGCTTTTCCCTACCTTATATGGCTAGTGTAACCTTTTTTTGTAATATGTTTAACATCATGGAAGCACTGATCTGTGGCATACTTAGCCCTCTAACTGAGGAGTATAGTAATGTTTTTCTAACCTTTGAACAATTTAATCTCCCATGTGTATGAGTATCACCTTTTTATATAACCTTTCTGAGGAAAGTAATACTTCTGATTTTTTTAATTCTGTAACTGAACACATTGAGAAATGGATAAAAAAGGAGCATGTAGGAGAACTTAGATCTTCATTAGATCTTCAACTGAAATGGTTACGTTGATAGAGCATAATTCATTTATTGTTAGAACTTTCTTTTGAGTAAGTGGTTTTCACCTAAAATGTGATATATTTTATCTAAAATGTTTATATTAAGAGCATTTAACTGTACTTCCAGAAAAAGGTAATTTCTGGCATGAAAATTTCACGTTAAAAATAAAATTATTTTTTATATCAACAGAAAATGGTGGCTGTCCAGCCAACAGAAGTGGTCAATATACTCAACTGTTTCACTTTCAGTAAAGACAAACTAGTTGCTCTTGAACTGTTAGCCTCGTAAGTATTTCTTTTTTTTTTTTTTTTTTTTTTACTTGGGAAAAAATGTAGAAGCGTTTTAAGTGTCTAATTAGTGTGTGTTAATGTGTCTAACAAAATACAGTCAAAAGCATAGTGGTACATTCTGATTTCCAAATGTGAATAAGTATCTAGTGTACTTATTACATATATGACTATAACTTATAAAATGAAGGGGCTTAACAAGATTGTTTAATTTGATTTTTTGTATTTCAGTTATTTGCTTTGCCTTCCTACTCTGAAAAGACAGGAATTTAAGAATTAGAGATTCTTTCACTTACTGACACAATAATTTTTTTTTTTTTTGGCAAGGTGCTTATTTTTTCTGAGCCTTATTTGCCTCAATTGTAAAAATAAGGCTCATACCCACTTAATAGGGTAATGAACTTTAAATATCAGAAAGTCTGTGAAAGCACCTACCACAGCATTTGACAGATGACCGTAATGAATGTAAGCTCAAAAAGACATGGAAAGAACCTACTCCTTTGCATAACTGAAGAATGTATAAGTTATTTATTTGTAACACATACATTTTTAAGTCCTTTTTGTATGCATAGGTGTCCATAAAAGCACAAAATTAAAGCACAAGATAAAACTATGCATTTAGCATAAAATGATTTTTATGCATTTAACACATGGGTTGGTTCTATTGGCATAGCTCTCCTAACTATCACTGAAGAAAGTATATTTTGAAAAATCTCAAAATAATGATTTTTATTTGCAGTATTACTGTTTTACTTTTCAGTAATCAGATAAACCTAAGTTATTATATTTATATATAAACATGTTATTTAAATTGAGCTGTTAAAAGTAAATAGTCACACTTTTCTCCCTATGTCATGGAGAACGCTTACTCAGATGTTTGTGTGGTAAACAAAGGTTGCTTACCTCGATGTATGTTCAGATTTTTAAACAAAAAGCTAAATTGTGTTTTCTTGGTAGGAACATTATTGATGCACAGAATTCTCGTCCTATTGAAGATTTATTCAGGGTAAATATGTCTGAGAAGAAACGGTGCAAGAGAATACTTGAACAGGTAGTTTTCTAAAGATTGTCATGTACTTGGTACGCTGGTTTTTCCGAATATTGAAGACGAAAAAGCACCTTTCTTCTTACTAACTTTGGTGAATAACTTGAATGCTGTTGTACAATGGGTTAAAAATGAACATCCCTGCGGTCTGCGGCGTGGAAATAGAGCTGGTTGATGGGGACATTCAAGGGGGAGGAGATGGCTTGAGAGTGAGAAGTCAGTTGGCCACTCAGCTTGAGCCTCATGGAAATGTTTGTGTCTTGGTCCCTTGGTACCTTTGCCATGGCTTCAAGTTTTTGCTTTAAACTTTATGTACTTAGGAACTTAACTTTTCAAATTTGCTTTGTTATCCAGTTTATTTTAAATCGGATTCATAAGAGGTCAATATTAAAGCCAGTTTATTAGTTAAAATTCCAGTTTATTAGTTAAAAATCTGTAAGAATGGGAGAAATAGTACTTGTCCAACCCTAGAAAACTTGATTTGTCATCTAAGGTAGTTATTTCTAAGGTAGGATTGCGATGTCTGGAAGCTGAATTAATTAATTAATTATGAGCCTGGCAGTTCAGTTGTATTTAATACTCACAAACTCCTTTAAGCCCAGGGATGGTAGGCAAATTCACCTTAGTCATACATTGTTGTAGAAGAGTTAAGATCTGAGCCATGTTTATTTACTTCAGTAACTTCCTTACCAGTTTTCTTGACTAAAACCTTTAAGGCAACATGCATATTACTGCTGTAGTTTTCTTTCTTATGAAGTGTTCCGATCGTGTCACTTTCCTTCTCAGAAATATTCTGGGCCTGAGTGTTCTGTAGAGTGGGCCCTCTGGTCAATATAAATTAGTACAACTTTTCTAGAAGGTAAACTTGAAGAGCCTTTACAATATTTATACCTTTTGGCCCCAAATTTCTACTTTTAGGAATTTATTTGAAGGAAATGTTGAAATATACAAATTTATATATAAGGGCATTCACCCCGGTACTCTTTATTATAGCCAAAAATTCAGATGATTTCAGGGTTGGGGTATTTAGTAGAGGGGCTGGGTTATATAGCTAATATACATATATGTGTTGTGAAGGGATTTATAAAACCAATATATAATAAAATACATTGTACATACTTGTGAATATATATATACACACACATATGTATAGCTGGATATTTCTATAACATAATATAGATACATTGGAATATATGTTGCCTAATACAGTGTTTTTTCATTTATTAATATGTATTGAGCACCAACTCAGTGTGTGTGCGGCATCATTTAGAAGCTGAGGATGCAGTAATAAACAGCTTAGACCTAAATCCCTTCCCTCACTATTTCTCATAAATATGTAATAGTATGTTGAACATTGTCTAAGTTGGTTTTTGAACGGTATGTAGGTCTTTGGACCACCCAATGTCATGTTACTTGTTTATGATGTCCTCCACTGGGTTGTAAAGAGCAGGGACCATGTTTCTTCCATCTCTGTGTCCTCCTTTCCTCAAATGTAACATGACCTTGGCATTTGTAGATTTGAACTGTTATTTCTTGCTAGTTGAAGAAATGGGACAGATTAGATAATAAACACTTTTTTACACAATTTACAAAATCTACTGTGAAGACATTCTTTGTATGAGTCTGTTGCAGCATTATTATGTTAACCATTTTAATTATTCCATTTAAATAAAGTGATTTTATTACTTTTGGTCACATTCACCACTGTAAGTGCTGAATTATGTATGAGCAGATTGAATGTAGTGCTGTTCTTTAATTCATGTTTTTTTTAGCTGAGCTCCCAATGTTCAGAATACTTATCTTTTAAGAATTTTTTTCCTACCCCTCTTCTTTCTTATATTACAGGCTTTCAAGGGGGGCTGCAAAGCTCCTCATGCTATGATATCTTCTTGTGGAACAATCCCAGGAAATCCATATCCCAAAGGAAGACCTAGCCGCATAAATGGAATTTTCCCAGTAAGCATACTTCTGTAGCTGTATATGAAACTTCTCATGGTTAAGTATGAAGTGTAGAATAAGTTAATGATATTTAAAGGAAAGGAATTTTATGTCGGTAACTTAATTCACAGGCTCACCACTGATTGAAAGTTCATGTCTAAACTTCATTAAAGTATTAAGGGTATCTATATAAAATCTATAGAACAAGACAAATAGAAGAGAGGATGATTTTATTTTTCAAAGTACTTTAGAAGCACTGATTTACATTTAGTAAAGGAACAGTTCTCAAATTCTCAGTATTCTTACAATCTCAGTTTCACTCAGTGAAGTGTGTTTGGGAAACTTTGCATACAGTGTTTCCTTCCTGGGGAATCGCATATAAAGGCTCTGAGAAGTACTATAAAAAAGAAACTTGTTTTTATATCATCTAATGTTCCTCAAACCTCTTTGTAAAACAGCTTTCTCAAAGAATGTTATATTTCTGTAGCTGCATAACAACCCCACAGCTTACTGGATTAAAGCAATAAATGTTTATTACCTCACATGGCTTTTATGGGTCAGGAATATTGGAACGCTTAGCTGGATAGTTCTGGTTCAGGTCTTTTCATGAGGTTACATTCATCTGAAAATTTGATTGGAGCCCAAGAATAGGGCCTCAAGGTGACTCGTTTACATGCTTGGCAAGGTAGTGTTGGTGGTTGGCAGGAGTCCTTTGTTGTCCACCACAAAGACTTTTTTGTAATGCTGCTTGAATGTCCTCATGACATGGCAGCTGGCTTCTACCAGAGCAAGTAATCCAAGCAAGAGAAGACAAGTGGAAGCTGCCTGGAAGTCAGATGCCATCCTTTCTGCAATGTCCCATGTGTTACACAGGTCAGCCCCATTCATTCTGGGAGGGAATGGTGCAAGGGCAGGTAGGAGATGAGGATCAGTGGGGGACATCTTGGGAGTTGGCTTCCACACTAGTATATACCATTTAGCCACACACAGTGTTAGGGCGATGACACACTGCAATAATCTATCAACTTATTCTGATCTGTTAATTTTAACAGTCTTGAATAAGGTCTCATTTACCCTTGACAATATAAATAATCACACTTAATCTTTATAGAGAACACCATTTTTTCTTATCTACTTTCAACTGTAACATAGGTACTCTTATTCTTTGAGTATTATACATACTGTGGCATTGGAAGTTCATTTCTGATTGCTCCTATTTGTGAAGAAGAAAAATCAGAACATACTGTATTCCGAAAAAAAGCAATAATACAGTAAAACAATGCAGCATAACAACTATTTACACGGCATCCACATTGTATTCGGTATTATAAGTAATCTAGAGATTATTTAAAGTATATGGGTGGATATGTTCAGGTTATATGCAAATACTATGCTGTTTTATATAAGAGACTTGAGCATCCATGTATTTTGGTATTTATGGGGGAGGTCCTAGAACCAGTCCCTGTGGATACCTTATATTTTCCTGTCATCCTCTCTGTGTTTTTCATGTTCACTTCTGAGTACCTTTGCATGTGATATGAGAGTTCCATAGCATAGGAGGATTGAGGACCTTATCAGGGTCATGCCGCCAGCCAGTGCAGAACTGAAATGGGAATGCAAGTCTTTACACTCTTACCAAGTCCTTTTCTTCAGTGTAATACAGTGAGGTTGGTTATTGTTACTGGTTTGAGGGTTTTTTTTTTAAGTTTCAATTACCTTTTTTTTTTTTTTTTAATAGGGAACTCCTTTGAAAAAAGATGGTGAAGAATGTACTAACGAAGGCAAAGGAATAGCTGCACGAATTCTTGGGCCATCCAAACCAGTATGTTTAGAAAATGATGAAACAAGCCCAAACTCCTTCCTACATAAAGTTTCCTTTTTACTCAAAGCATAAATTTTATTTTTGTGTTGCAAAGTTTGAAGTATTCTAGAAATTGTAGGAGAGTGAGAGAGTGAATGGATGAGGGAAACATAAATATTTAACAGTAGTAAGAGCCCCTTTGAGATTGAGCTTTTTATTTTAAAGTAGAATCAGTGAAATTGCTTTCAGTTTTTTTCTCGAGATGCATTCAGCTGCTCAGTTGGAGATACGGAGTGTGGAGAGCTTGTTTTAACTAAGTTTGTAGTTTAGCTGAATTAGTGTTAGTGAAACCACAGTGAAGTCACAGGTTGAAAGTATTTACAAGATAGTGATTATAATGATTGCAATGTAAACAGGACAGGAGAAGACAACCCCATGGGTTGAAGGATCTTTGGAGTTGAAGTACTAGAGGCCTGCATACAACCACCTTGCAAAACCTGCCTGTCCACATGACAAGAACTCCAGTGGAGTTGTTTATGGCAGAATAGTAACAGATCATGGTTCTTGCACAAGACTTCAGATAGGGCCACAATTATGGGAGCTGGAAAGAATCTGGCTCCCTTACCACCAGTGGGTCCTTTCCCCTGCCTCACAGGCATGCACATGCTCTCTCTGTAGGTAAAAAGTACAGCATCTGGCTTAGCTTCAGATACTTCCAGTTTTCTAAAGACCAGTGCTTTGAATGCTTTTTGTTACTTAGGTAAGCTCCATCAACTGTAAAATAAGTATTGGTGGATTTATGGATTTCAAAAGGCAGAACAACTAACATACTGAATTCCTGATTCCAGTCTATGTTCTACTGGAGTTGTCAGAATGCCAAATGCTAACGCAAACAGTGCTTTTTTCTTCTAAAAGGAGGAAAGAGGGTGGGAATGAGAGGATGAATTCCTATCAGTTTAGGAGGATGTTGCCATTGGGAGTTCTTGCGTAATTTGAGATTGTAAAACCTAGAAGGTTTCTTGTCTTTGTTATGTAGGAGGAAACAGGAATTCTTGGTTTAACTTAGGCTGGGCCTGGGAGGAGTTTGCTGTTTACAATGAGATCTAACCCCTTATTGGAGATGATTTTAAAAATCTCTGGCCACCTCTATGGCCATCTTTGGCAAGATCTGCATTTGGAATTTAATAGCAACCACATTTATTAAAGCAAAGAAATTTCCCTCATTTGTTGTCCCATGTAGTCCAGTAGTATGATATGCGGGGACATTTTTAGCATATTAGGACTAAATATTTTGAAAGACAAGTTGCCAGGAGACAGCTTACTTGATTTTCTTCTAACTGCTGTATTTTCCCCCATGTTTTAGCCTCCTTCAACATATAATCCACATAAACCTGTTCCTTATCCGATACCTCCATGCCGACCACATGCAACTATTGCACCAAGTAAGGAGTTCCCTTATTTTTTACTTGTTTTTCTTTTTTGCTGTTTATTTATTAAATTGAAAGTAAATGCTGGTCTATGTGGTTGGCAAATCTGTAGCACTTATGAAATGCTACTGTGAGCTTAATTATGCCCATAGTTAGCTAGTAGTGTCCTGGCCTACAACACTGCAGCAGATAGTTTATTTAGGATATTTTCTTTATGATAAATTAATTAGATTATTTTTAGTCATTCATTATTTATGGGTTTTCACTTTGGTAAATCATCTTGAATTCCTTTTTTTGGTAGTTGGTAGTTCAGAGGCATCATTCATGCATTTAACTTCAAAAAGTCAAGTATATGCGTTTGGCAGAAAAGACAAATAATGTAAGTATAGCAGGTTCTGCCTGCCATGCCATTCACTGAACTTATCCCTGCAATGAGCATGCAGTGGGAAATAGGAATCTCTGGTTGTTTCATTTGGTGTCAGTTTTCACTTAACTCTAGACATAAACCTCCATATAAAATCAACTGTATTAAATAGGAGTTTTTATAATAAATTGAATAGCTGCATTAATATAGTTTGAACTCCTAGTCACAGAACAATACCAGTCACAGAACAGTCCTAAGGTATATTTTTTTCTATTGTGTTTTTATTTTAGGTGCTTATAACAATGCAGGTCTGGTACCATTAGCGAATGTCATAGCTCCACCTCCACCTCCATATACTCCTAATCCTGTAGGAACAGGTAAAATGTTATTTGGGGGTGTTTAAGTAACTTATTCATATACAAATGTACACTTGGAACGGACAGTTGTTTGGCATGACGTATTCTAACAGAGGGAACACAAGCTCAAGAGTCTGAAGGATCTGGAAGTGAATCCTTGGTAATGTGGGACAGTTTTCATAGTCTTGATGGACTTCACTTTCTCTATTTGTAATATAGGCTAACATTTTAATAGCATCTGTTCAGTAACATGTTTAATGAATATTAGGTGACCCTATCATGTGTTGTGTGCTGTGGATACAGAGGTGCACAAAGAGTCATGTTTGCAAAGAGTTTAGTCTAGTGAAAAAATACAGATGAGGAAAGAGAAGGCCATTTCAATATATTCTACATTATTGGTTCTCAATTGCACATTTTTTATAGTTTAATTTCTCTGAAATTAGAATGTGATTTATAGCAAGTGGCATCTTAGATTCAAAGAGATGCGTTGGAATGATCAGTGCTGTGATAGGGTTAGGGTGCTATGGAAACTCATAGGAGAGGCATCCAAATCAGCCCCACTAAATTAAACGTGAGCTGCTTGCATAATATACTGTTAAAGGTTGTTGACCCAATAATGAAGCTGCCATTTAATTGAATTAAGTTAAGGAAGAAACAGGTGAAAACAGACTGATAATCAAATATGAGGAATGACAAAGCAACAGTGAGGTGGTTTCTCTGTAGCCTGAAACTACCTGGAGCACTTTTAAAAAAATACCTTTAGTTCCCCACTTGTAGAGATTCTATTCAGTGTATTGTGATAGGGGGTGCCTGGTATTTTTATTTTTTTTAATGACCTACTGGTGGTTCTTTAAGCAACTTTGGGAAATGCTAGAATTTGTGCACAGAGAACCCAAGAGAGATCAAAGTATCAACTTTTTTTTCAAGGATCTTTATTAAGTGCCAGATTGAAGAGAGCTGGGGGACTTTCTGCCTCTAAACTTTTATTAAGAATCTTTGGACACTAGGGTAGGCACCTTTCTGACTCAGCAAAGGAACTGTCAGAAACTGAAATTGATGGATGACTGTGTATGGAGTTGACAGCGGGATAGCAAAGAATACTCTGCACAAAGGCAGTTTATCACATGCAGATTAGAAGAGTAATTACTTGGGGAGGGGGTGAATTGGGTATCCCGTGCCTGTCAGAGGTAGGGCAGGAGCTGGAATTCAGCCCACTGTAGCCTAAGTTCCACGGCCAGTTGGCATGATTGTCTCCCCATTTACTTTGCTAATGACATAAAAGACTCCATTCAAGTGGCCTTGGGTCACATATGTAAACACAGGCTAGTTATGGGAAAAAGAACTATTTCTCATGAGTGGTAAAACTTTGACGTGCTATGGAGAAGTATCATTGACTTAATGAATGCCACCATTTGAGTAAATTATGCCTACCATGGAGAGGAAGGGCTCATAAAAAAGCAGTGAGAAGGACTAAAACACCCCAACACTTGCCAGGCCAACCTTTTTCAGTGGGTCTTTTGGTAACATGGGATATGAACAATGAATGGTTTCCCATATGTTGTCAAACTATTCTCCAAAAACCCTATACCAGTTTAAACCTGTCCATAAGAGTATATGAGGCTACAGTTTCTTCACACCCTTTCAACATGGAAGATTTTCATTTTTTTAACTTTGCCAGTCTGGTAGACTAATTTAGCTTACATTTTTGTTTGTGTTTTTTAACAAAAAATTAATTTTTATTTATATCAGTTGTTGTTTGTTTTACTCATGAGTTTGATGTGTTCTTTATTAAAATTCCACTGTAGTTATTTTATTATTATATACTAATTTTACTACCAGATTTGTAGTGTGTTCTAATGTTTCATAAGGCAGGCTCCCCCTTATATATTTTTGTATTTTTATTATCGTTAGAAATCTTCCATCTGAACCTTAAGATCATTTTCTGCAACTTAAAACAACAGGGGTGTGTGTGTGTGTGTACAGAGAGAGAGCTATATAGTAATTTCAGAAGAACTGACATTTTTATGATAGTAAGTCTTACCATTCAGTTATGTGTATATATCTTTATATCACGTCAAGCTGGTAGTGTTTTCTTCCCCAGGGTTTATTTTATTCCTTTCAAGAAGATACTGTAGTTTTCTACATGCAGATTCTGTTCCTTAAATCTGTCTATAGAATTTAGAGATATTTTTGGTTGCAATTATAAATAGAATGTTTCATTTCTAGGTGCTTATTACTAATTACCCTCTCTAGTTTTTTTTTTTTTTTAAGTCTCTTGAGTTTTCTAGATAGATATAAAATAATATCAGCTGAGTTATAGTCTTACTATAAAATATTTCTTTATTTCCTAGGCCTTATTCAGTAATAATATTGTCCTGACTTTATTTTTATTTCATAAAAAATATTTTGCCTGTACCTTTATTTTAAACTTTTTTCCCCTATGATTTTATTTGGTAGATTGGCTTGGTTTGTAAATTGTGTATAGCTGAATTTTTATTTTTAAACCTGTTAGACTTTTAATAGGAATTTTTATTAATAATAAAAATTACACATTTGTTCTTAGTCCTTCCATTTTATTTTTATTTTCATTATTCTTCTATTCCAGTTTTGTTTTTCTTACCTTTTGCTAAATTGTATTGGTCAAATTGCCATTTTGTTTTTTTAACAACTGTTCTCTCCTTGACCCCACCCAAACTTAGAAATTTTCTCTAATATCGCCAATGATTACCTTCTTATTCTTAATGGTTGTCAGTATACAAAAACTTAAAACTATTCTATATATCATTTTACTTCCATATTCTCTCCCTTTTTTTTTTTTTTTTTTTTTTTTGAGACAGAGTTTTGCTCTTGTTGCCCAGGCTAAAGTGCAGTGGCGCAATGTCGGCTCACCACAACCTCCGCCTCCCAGGTTCAAGCAATTCTCCTGCCTCAGCCTCCCAAATAGCTGGGATTACAGGCATACCACCATGCCTGGCTAATTTTTCTTTTTTTTTTTTTTTGTATTTTTAGTAGAGACAGGGTTTCTCCACATTAGTCAGGCTGGTCTCGAACTCCTGACCTCAGGCGATCTGCCTACCTCGGCCTCCCAAAGTTCTGGGATTATAGGTGTGAGCCACTGCGCCCGACCTCTCCTTTTTAAAATCAATTTGTATGTTTTGTTGGGATACTAGACATTTTTGCTTCTGATATTTAATTTCTTTAAAATTGCCTTTGATCATGACTTGTTACTGTTTCTTCTGTTTGTTTGATTCTTTGTCTTGATGTGCCTGTTATAATTTTCTTTTGGTAGAAAATGACGTGTAAGAAATTACTTCAGAAAGGACACATGTATAGAGTTGTGGATGGGAAATTTAATTCCAGATAATTTTCTTTATTGGGAACTTGGTCTCTTTCTGTAAGCTTACAAAGAATTTTTTTTATCTTTGGATTTCAGAAATTTTACCAGTATGTTTAGGTGTGTATCTTGTCATTAATCTTTTCTGGCATTCTGTAAGTTCTTTTGATGTGAAAACTCAAGTCTTTAAAGCTTAGGAAAATTTTGTTTTCGTTATTCTTTTAATTGTTGCATTTTCCTCTGCTTTTTTTCCCCTCCTCCTGCTACTCTTATTTTACATTTTCTGTATTTGCTTTCTAAGCCTATTAACCCATTCATTTATGACATCTTTTCCATTAAAAATTTTTTTTTGGCATTCTAAGTGATATTTGTTTCTTGTTTCCAACCATAGTTTAACTTTTAGTCATTTTATTTCTAATCTTTATTATTCTTTCCATTTATTAATTTGGAATCAGATTTTTATATGTAAAAGTCTTCTCTGCTTATTTCCCAGTAGTGTGTGTGTGTGTGTGTGTGTGTGTGTGTGTGTGTGTGTGTGTCGGGTTTTAAAAGTCCTTTTTCTTTAATTAAATCTCCATTGTTCTGGTGGTTATTTTTTGTCACCTCAGTCAAGCTCGTGAATTCCTCAAACAAGCTGTGGTTTTTCTTTGCTCACTATACCAGGGCGTGGAGGTTTCCTTTACACTGTATGCCTGTCACAGTATTGGTTTCTTGGGCAGTTATTGTCAAGCCATAAGAGGTTAAATTTTTCTCCCTTTGTATCCTTGGCTGATGGGCTGTTTGGATAGATCCTTTCCCTTGAGGAGTGTGCTTTGGGTTGTCAGTCTCACAGGCTTCAAGTTAGCCTCAACTAGGCTAGTTCTCCATGGTAATTCCTAATATAGGGCCTTTCCCAAGCTGAGTACAGCAAATGGGCAGGACAGTTTCTTTCTGTTGGCTTGGACAATCCACAGTGAATGGCAGCGAATTCTACACTTATTCATCCAGCTGCCACCTCGCTTCTCAGTCTTCCCACTCCTGTAGGCACTGGTACTCAGAGGAGCTGTCTGTCAGGTCAGCCAATGATAGTGGTCCTCTCTGCACTACAGCTGCAGGGTACACTTTCTCCTGGATGGCACCCTCAGGCCAGCATCTTTCCAGAAAGTGTTCTTGAATATAGTATATATGTAAAATTAACAGTGTGTATTTAAAACTTGACAAGCTAAGGTAGAGATGCTAGGGGATAAAAGAGCACTCACTCAGTTTCTGGTAATCCTCTTGCTCTTCAGATAGAGTAGTAAAGTATTAGTAGTAATAATAGTAGAGTTACTACTATTTTTATTTATTTTCCCATATGTGTACATTTTTTTCCTAACATAGTCCATAAATATTTATATCCTGTGTTTTTCTTTTTATCCAAATATCTGTTTATTATGGTGGCAAATATTTGATTAAAGTTTAAAATGAACTTTTATTTATTTTTATATAGAGAATGAAGACCTTTCGAATCCGTCAAAACCTATACAGAATCAAAGTAAGTAGCAAATTTGATCCAGAGATAACGGATATCTGTCATGGTTTGCTCTGTTATTCACTGAGAATAATTTGAGTATATTTGGAATGGTTATGTTTTAGGAAAAGTTTCTGGTTAAAGAATATAATTCATACTTGTTAAAAGTGGTTTACTAGTGTTACATATTATATACATAACATGAAATGCACGTGTTAACTGAATTTAAAATTAATCTTAGGACTTTTATACAATTTGCAAAACTTGCAGTGTAATGTAAGTACTGCGTAGCTTTGCATTCACATTCACTTTACATTCTGTGATACTGGAAACCTCATTTGTTTTTTGATATAAACACATGGGATGATAAAAATCCTTTTTGACAAATGCTAGTCAGATTCTATTTTTAGAGTTCATTATTTCAATAAGTATTATTAAGCATATCTTAATGTAGGAAAGAACAAGGGGCACCAAAGCAGAAAATGGAATTGAAAAATGAAAATGAAGTGTGTCCTACATAGTGCCTCCAGATGGCAGCAGTGCTGCGACGTTGTATTTTTCCCCTAGGTGATGATCTGTGTGGTCAGGAAGGAGAGGCTTTCTTGTATGAGACAAAACTACATCAGTTCTTGTTTAGCAAAGTAGCACAATAGCCTGACCATTGTAGTACATAGTTAGGAGTCTCAGTGGGAGAATTCCATTCCCTGAGAACAGTGCCTAGCAGGTGCTTCTCAGCTGGTAGTTTCTAAAGGAGGTAGCATAGTGGGGTGTAAAGAACACTAAGTGAAATGTCAGGACATCCAGTTTCTTATCCTGCCTCTGGCATCACCTAGTTTTGTGACCTTGAACAGGTAATTTAACTCCAGTGAAAAGGAGATTGAGGAAATTTCAGCTTTTATGTTCATCTTTATTATTTTATGTTCAAATGTTTTTGAAGGGAGTAATCAGGTTAGTTGTTGTAAGTACCATTGGCAGGAATAGCATATTGTTTTCCTATGTTGTACGATGTTAGCATGATTAAGATTTTATTTTTTCCTTTTGGAACTGTATTAAGAAACAAATTAAGACAAACTAGTATAGCAGTTAAAGACATGAGTCTGAAAGACCCAGGCTCAAGTCTTGGCTCCACCATGTAGTAGCTGCATGATCTTTTATCCAGTTGCTTAGTCATAGCAAGCCTCAGATTGCCCATCTGTCAAATGAGGGTGTTAGTTTCTATCTCAGAGAGTTATTGTGAGGACAAGTGAAATGATGGGCCTAACTTAGCACAGGGCTTGACAGATCATGTTTTATGGTTAATAACCAAATTAGATGACTGGAAAGTGCTGTTTATTATGGTATGTGGTTGGGATTTTTTTTATTTTTGTTCGTTTCATTTTTACCTGCAAGTGCTATGATTAATAATGCATAGCTTTTGCTTTATTAAATAAAAAGATCCAACAGAGGCTGCTATAAATAATACTCTAGGATAGCTTGGTTTTACCTTCAGATTTGTCATTAGCTACATGGTCTTCAGCATATAGTTTAATAAATAAGATAGTGATTTCTCAAATGATACCCAACACCTATGGACTTAAATACCTTTTTGGTACATTATTTACAAACATAAGATTAGGTATATATTCCTTATCCTTTTAGTTCTTATAAAAGAAATTAAGTACAAAAAACGTACAAATCCATTTTTATAGGTACTGTAAGTTTAAAATGATAGCTAGTCTTATTGAAACCAAATCACTGCTTACAACATTAATACGGTCAAGACTTAAGGACTTTTGAGTTTCAGTTTATGTACTTAAATATGACTGTCAATTTTCCAATCATTTTTTTTTTCTAAAACAACTACAAAATTTGTTCAGCCCAATGTGACACCCCTTGGCCTTCACATAGTGCAAATGAATTATGTATGTGTTGTTTACCTCCATTTTCTTCCTATTGTCCCTTCCCATCTATGAGTAGCATAGTGTATTCGTTGACCGTGTCAGCTTGCTTATGTCAAAAGAATCTTAATTATACATAAATTGTAAAATGTGTTAGTCCATGAAAATATTTCTCAGTTGGTTATCACTGCAACAGGAACATTCTCTACAACTGAAACAGAATTTGATGTGAGTACAGTATCAGATGATAGTTGTGTTTATGACATTAGCTACCTAAGTCATGATATCCCTTGACACCAAGATTATCACAGGTGGGGATAGCCATTGAATACATTCAGAGGGGAGCCCACATCATCCCCCAAAATGCTTATTATTTGTAGAGTTTATCAGAATAAAAATAGCAAACTCTAGAAATAGTGTTGGGAATAGTCCTTGAGTGGGTTTGGGAACTGTAGTTTGAGGTAATTATGATATATCCAGCCCAGCAGACGCTCATTAACTATGCAGGTGCTGTGTTCTGTGCTAGGTACTAAGACTATAAAGATGAATTAGACACAGCTTTTGCCCCTAAAGGAGTTGCCAGGTAAGGGTTAGGGGTTAATGTAGTGTAGAGCGGTCAGTATGAGCAAATGTATGGGGGTGGGGCGGGGCAACTGTACAGATGAACAATCTGGAATATTAAATTCAACTCACAGAGTGGCAACAAACAATACTGGAGAGCTGGGCATGAATCCTGGAAAGCCTTGTATGGCCCTGCAAGGGAAGCCATGTTCTGAAAGCTCCTATGAGGGGGACTGACTGACTCTAGATAAGTAGATTGAAAGAATTAGAGGTAAAGTCAGTGCAGCAGCACTAATCACAATTAAAATAAATGCTTTAATTTTTAAAAAGCGGAAAAACATGAAAGGACACTTCGCAAGCTTCTCAAAACTTCCTGTGATTTGGAGGGCTATTTTGAGCAGAGTCTAGACGAAAACTGGATCTGACTGGCTCCAGAGTAAAGATCTGAGAAATGGAACCCAGCAATTTAGATATTACAAGAGCCTGTTATACTTGTCATTTTTTATTTGGTATTTGTTAAATATTACAAAAATGGTTATGCTTTTTAATTCAAAATTTGACGTTTCAGCATGATGATACATTCTTGCCTTTTTTCCCCCTTCCATATAGCATTTTCCACCCCAGCAAGTCAACTCTTTTCTCCTCATGGTTCTAATCCTTCAACACCTGCTGCAACTCCTGTTCCTACTGCATCCCCAGTCAAGGCAATTAATCATCCATCAGCATCAGCAGCTGCCACCGTTTCTGGAATGAACCTGCTGAATACTGTCCTTCCTGTGTTCCCAGGGCAGGTCTCCTCAGCCGTTCACACACCTCAGCCATCAATACCAAACCCAACAGTTATCAGAACCCCTTCATTGCCCACTGCACCTGTTACATCCATCCACAGTACAACCACCACTCCTGTTCCTTCCATTTTTTCTGGCCTAGTGTCACTGCCAGGTCCTTCTGCCACTCCTACCGCAGCCACTCCTACCCCAGGACCTACACCACGGTCCACTCTTGGTTCCAGTGAAGCATTTGCTTCTACTTCTGCACCTTTCACTAGCCTCCCCTTTTCCACCAGCTCTTCTGCTGCTTCTACCAGCAACCCAAATTCTGCTTCATTGTCATCAGTTTTTGCAGGGCTCCCTTTGCCCTTACCACCAACATCCCAAGGCCTATCCAACCCGACTCCTGTAATTGCTGGTGGCTCTACTCCCAGCGTTGCCGGTCCACTTGGTGTGAACAGTCCTCTTTTGTCTGCGTTAAAAGGTTTTCTGACATCCAATGACACCAATTTAATCAACTCCTCTGCTTTATCCTCTGCTGTCACAAGTGGGCTGGCTTCACTATCTTCTCTTACTCTTCAGAACTCTGACTCTTCTGCTTCAGCCCCTAACAAGTGCTATGCCCCATCAGCCATCCCTACCCCACAGAGGACTTCCACTCCAGGGTTGGCCCTGTTCCCAGGCCTGCCGTCTCCCGTGGCTAACTCAACTTCCACTCCCCTGACATTGCCTGTACAGTCTCCTTTAGCCACTGCTGCATCAGCTTCCACGTCAGTGCCAGTTAGCTGTGGCTCCTCAGCCTCCCTTTTGCGTGGCCCCCACCCAGGTACCTCAGATCTGCATATTTCATCTACCCCTGCTGCAACAACTCTTCCTGTTATGATCAAAACTGAGCCCACAAGTCCTACTCCCTCGGCCTTCAAAGGTCCATCTCATTCTGGGAATCCCTCTCATGGCACTTTAGGTTTGTCAGGGACATTGGGCCGTGCATATACTTCAACATCCGTGCCCATCAGTTTATCTGCTTGCCTTAATCCTGCATTGTCAGGTCTCTCCAGCTTGAGTACTCCTTTAAATGGTTCAAATCCTCTTTCCTCTATTTCCCTTCCACCACATGGTTCCTCCACTCCCATTGCACCAGTATTCACTGCTCTTCCTTCTTTTACTTCTTTGACCAACAATTTTCCTTTAACTGGCAACCCATCTCTTAATCCGTCAGTATCTCTCCCAGGGTCATTAATAGCCACCTCATCTACCGCTGCCACCTCCACATCTCTCCCTCATCCTAGCTCAACGGCAGCTGTTCTCTCAGGGCTTTCTGCTTCAGCACCAGTCTCAGCAGCACCTTTCCCCCTCAACCTGTCCACTGCTGTTCCCTCACTTTTCTCTGTTACTCAAGGACCTCTGTCATCTTCAAATCCCTCCTATCCAGGCTTTTCTGTCTCTAATACCCCAAGCGTTACCCCTGCTCTTCCCTCATTCCCGGGGCTGCAGGCGCCCTCTACAGTCGCAGCTGTCACACCACTACCTGTGGCTGCCACAGCCCCATCCCCAGCTCCAGTCCTCCCAGGATTCGCCTCAGCATTCAGTTCCAATTTCAACTCCGCTCTTGTTGCACAAGCCGGGTATGTGGATAGTTTGGAAATAGGATAAAATTATTCTTCACCTAACTTGTAGTTCACATTTCATTTCAAGTCATCAAAATGAATGTCAAAATCTAAATGATGTTTTTCTGGGTGAAAACTTTAGCACTCTGAAATGTTTTATGAACCATGTTAAGATAAATGTATAAAATATTAATGCCTGTTGATACAATGTTTGGATTTGTATTTGATAGTTTTATTTATAAGACAGCAGAAAGGATTATATGCAAAACAGACTTACTGAATTTCGAATAATATACTTCACAGTAGAAAGATTCATATCAGGGAATGGCTGATTTTTATGGTCCTTCCAACAGAGGAATAAATTCTAAGGTTTTTGTTTTGTTTTTAACATTTTAAGATTGTATTTGACAAATATGGAAACAGTAGCTTTTATGTCTTGTCTGCAGTTAACTTGTTTTTCTGTCAATTGTTTTAGTTTATCATCTGGACTTCAAGCTGCAGGCAGTTCTGTTTTTCCAGGCCTTTTGTCCCTCCCGGGTATCCCTGGGTTTCCTCAGAATCCTTCACAATCATCCTTGCAAGAATTACAGCATAATGCGGCTGCGCAGTCAGCATTGTTACAGCAGGTAAGCAGCAATGGCTGGCATAAATTACATGGTAACATGTATAACTAACTTCTGTAGTGATAACATTGCAGTATCATTTGCGATATCCCAACATTGGCAAAAAATGGCTCTTAGCAGAATGCATAGAGATTTGATGATGATTACTTCTCTCCAAATTTGCAAATTTTGCTTGTCTTCTTTCAGGAGAGTAACAGAGGTGGTAGGATATAGTTATCTGTATGAATTGTTTTTCCTTCCTGCTTATAGATTTCACTTGATAAAATTTAAGAATCTATTCATGACAGTTAAATGTTAACTTGTCTTCTGTAATTCAAGCTTAATGATTGACCGTTAAAGCACATTATCTGTAGAAAACCTATTGACTTTTGAGAGAATATTAAATATTTTAATGACAGTTCTATGCATCTCCTTCACCTGAAGAAATTTGAACATTTTCTTAAAAATTTTAAGTGACTGAGCAGACTTTATTGTGCCTCAGAGTTTTGTCTTGTCTTTCTTTCCTATTCTGAATATCTCTGTGTGGCATGGGTAGAAGCAAGCGCAGGCTTGAATGAACTTGGCACTCTGCTAAACCACACGCTCTTCTTTCCATCAGGTCCATTCAGCTTCGGCTCTGGAAAGCTATCCAGCTCAGCCTGATGGGTTTCCTAGTTATCCTTCAGCGCCAGGAACACCATTTTCTTTGCAACCAAGCCTGTCCCAGAGTGGGTGGCAGTGAATACTTTTAACTTTTATTCTCCTTCAGAGCAACATCAGAATTGCCTGAGAACTGCAATGAACAATCTGACAAATGTGAAGCTGGCCAAAAGTCGGAAAATGAGAATGAGGGTAATCCTGGAGAAATTGTGACAACAATTTGAAAATTGTGGTTGCATTTTAAAGTGTGAACACTCCCCTATGTAAATATGCTGACAATAAATTGTATGGAGAATGGTATTTAAAAAGTGTTTGGAGACTTTTCACCTGTCCTATAAAATTTTGAATTGTGTATGTGATCTACATAGAAAGAATATTAAAGAGTAGGTTGAACTCTTTATAGCCGAATACAGCCTTAAATATGCTTGTATAGCATCCACTGGCAGAAGTAATAGTTGTGCCTCAGACTTGGGGGTTGCATGTGGCCCTGGGGGAGTTACTACCCTTGGTATGCATGAGCGGTTCCTATTAGCATCAGTGGGAACTCAGTACTCTGTATGTATCCACAAAAGGGAACTTGAGACCCACAGTTATTCTTAATTTCTGATATTAACAACCGTACATACTGCTGAATTTAACTCAAAATATTTCAGGTAAGTGAAAGTGGTGCTTAATGTAGACTATAGAATGACTTTCAGGTGTTTTCAACTGAAAGTATATATCCAGAACTGCATCCTTATAGAAATACAAGTAAGACTTAGGATAATTTGCCTTCAAAACAGTTTTCCTAATCTCAGCAGTATCCAGTGAGTGAAGAACACTTGACTGACTCTTGGGCCACCTCTGTTACTTACTGTACTATGGAAGCTCCTGGTGAATGTTTACAATTATGGGATGTAGTATTTCTATTTGTACTTTAAGTCAAATGCTTATATGAAATATGTGACAACAAATAGAGAAGACTGGCTCTGTTAGTAATTATGCAGTATGTACTCTATTTAAGGATCTGTGGTAGTATAACATGAGTGAATGTCATTAATTTTGAAGTAATAACTGCCACATGTGGGAAGTAGGGGAGTAAGGAGAATGAATTCCAATCTGTGATTAAAAGTGTAAACTATAGACTCTACTGTAGTACATTTCAGGATCTAGAAGTTTTACTTTTATAAAGATGGTGTCCGGAAGATGTTGCTAATGTATTTTACTTCAACATAGGGAACAAACTTTTTAAGTATATTAATAAACCTGTATGGTTAGTTTTTAACAGTTTTTTAAAATAAACTATGGATATGACAAATATTCTGTGTTTTACTAAGTGCTTGGATAGGCTTTCTAATTTTGTATACGTGCTAGAGTTAATTATTGAACATTTTTATCCAAATTTAGTTGTAACTCTGTTTATACTACTGATTGCTCATTCGTTTAAATGATATTTTAATGTAAAAGTCATAACCAACATATGAACAGACAGATTTATGTCTTTAAACACAGAATGTAAGCTATAGTTTAATCTGATACCAGTTGCTGGAAGTTGCCATTTGTTTTTCTTAAATCTATACCCATAAAACTTCTTTTAAGATTATATTGTGTTTTTTATATATGTTGACCATTCATTCAGAAAATAATTATTGAATGAGTAGTCTTGATACAATGTGATGCCACAACAAGGTGTATTTCTGCTATCCTATGAGCCCCTTGAAAAGAGGAGCTATATCCTATTCATCTTATAGATCCCTGGCCTCACACATAATTGGCCATTCAAAGGTATATATAAAAGTGAATGTTTTTAGAATCCTTGCACTAATTCGTAGAGGCTAGTTTTATGTATATGTTTCCCAACTATATGGGATAAGTAACCTAATTCACTAAAGAATCCAAGATGTAAGTCACATAAAAAGTGGTAAATCTGAATCAAGCATCTACTATGAATACTTCTACTACCAAGTGCTAAGAAAACACGAGAAGTGAGGGGAGTATCTTACTACCTGAGAGAGTCTAGAAAGATTTATCAGTGACATTAAAGTCTTAAAGAATGAGTAAGAATTACATGATTTATAAAGGCACAAAGTATGACAATAGCATAGCAATATAATATATGTGGATGGAGCATGGTAGTTTGAGGATGAAAAGCAAGAGAGGTACCTGATCATGAAAGACCTTTAAAACATGCCAAAGACCTGGGGATTTGTTCTGTGGTTAGTTTGGAAACGTATTGGAGTGCTTTAGAAAAATCACTTAGGTGGCAGCATGGAGGTTGGATTAGAGGTTACTGGAGAAACCCAAAAATGAAGATTATGAAGATTGTGTTCCTCTCTGTCCCCTTTATGTGAAGGCCAGTAGTGTGTTTAAGGTTTGCAAAAGCTGTTAGTTAATTCATATAATTGATGAACTTTAAGCCTCACCATTTGATTTGCCAGATTAGTTTCTATATTTATAAAATATAGTTGGTGTCAGAATTGTAGAAAAGAACTCCAAATTTAATGAGGACTTCAAATTTTTGTTGTTTTTAGAGGTGACACAACATATTGGCAAACAGTATCTAATTTGGTCAGTTACAAGGCTAAATATTGAACATTAGCAAGTAAGTTGGGAAGGGTAATCCAAATTGTCCCTGATAAAAACTCCAGCCAAATTAAATTTAAAGGAGTTTAAGTGAGCAATGAATGATTCGCAAATTGGGCAGCCCCCAGAATCACAGCAGATTCACAGAGACTCAAGTGCAGCCACGTGGTGGAAGAAGATTTATAGACCAAAAAAAAAGGAAACGATGTACAGAAATCGGCAGTGAGATAAACAGCTGGATTGCTTGCAGGTTGGTGCCTTATTTGAACACAATTCGAACACTTAGCAGTGGTTGAAGTATGGCCGCTGAGATTGGCCAAGATTCAGTTCCTGTTACAGGCACATACTCCTAAACTAGGTTTTCAATTTTGTCTGACAAGCTAGATTACAGTTCATTCAGAAGGACTCAAATACAGAAGTACGGAGTCCTTCTCAGGCCATATTTAGTTTTAACATCCCCAAGATCCTTTTATTCAGATGAGGCATTAGGATAGTAAGTTTTTAAGTATCTCTGACAAAATTTTATGGTAAGAGCTAAAAGTCAATGGTGTTTATCACTCCTAATTTGTAGAAAGGGTAATCGGAATAAACAAAAATATCCAAAAGACAAGAAGAAAGGCACAGACACGTGTAAGAAATAAGCACACGGTGAGACGTTAATTAGGCTTTCCTGTACGGTAAGTCTTCATTTGGATCATCAGTAGGTTTTTGGAAACTGCGACTAAGAGAAACAGAATAATCAAACCAATTTTACCATAGGCTAATTGACGTAAGCAAAATTAAGTTCCTGTGGAATGTTTCTGGCCACAAAAACTACACTAAATAAAGACCCAGAACACTTCTAATTAAACATTGAAATAAATGTGACCTAAACATACATTTAAGAAAGTAATAAAAACTAGATAATTACCCAATTTTTCGTCAGTGACTAGTGGTGGTCATGGTGGTGGGCTAAGTCATGGAATGTGCGTACATATCCTTTACAAAGAAAATTGTCAGGAACACCTCCTACCACCGCGGAGTTCAAAAACAATCAGAAACATGGCAGGCTCGCTGAGCGCTTAGGCACCACATCATTTATTGTCATGCATTTGTATGATTATCGTGGACTTTACAAACCTTTATTTTACAATTTGTATTCATTGATTTTCCAACGCACTTATTCCAGTTCAGGGTCACTGGTGGCTGGAGCTGATCCCTGCAGCTCAGGATGCAAGGCAGGGACCCATCCTGGACAGGACACCATCCCATCCCAGGGCACACTCACACACCAATGCTCACTCAGACTGGGACAACCTAGACACACGAGAAAACCTAACAGGCACCTTAGGATGTGGAAGAAACCAGAATATGTGGAGACAGATGTGGGGAGAATGCAAACCATGCAGACAGAGGCCCCAGCCACTCATCTTACAATAAAACAATGTGGAACAAAAGGATGTTATTTGAGGACCTCCTATATTAGAATCTCAACACTTGTAAATGGAAAGGAAGCAGTGTTGGAAGGCTTTTCTGAGTCCTGAACTTTCAGGGATGGGCCATTTTAAGGACATACAAACTCTTCCAGTAGAAAGACACTCCTCTTTCTATTGACTATGTATGAGTATTGACTCTTTCTATTGACTATATATGACTATATGACCCCTCAAGTCATTCTTAAAGACCAGCTTAACCATGATACCAAAACTCAGACAAGAATAGTATGAAAAATAAAAAATACATGTCAAGCTTACTCAAGGGAATAGTACAAAACCATAAAGTATTAGCAATACAAGTAGAGCATTTTTTTTTTTAAAAAAAGATGACAGACCATGATCAAGTTGTGTTTGTTTCAGGAGTGCAAGGGTAAAATAACATTAGGAAATCTAAGAGTGCAATTTGCCACGTAGAGAAAAAACATTCTTGGTCTATGCATCAAAAACATTAAACATTTGATAAAATTCAACCACCATAATGGCTAAAAAATAAAAAAAAAAAACTCTTTGCAAACTAGGTTAAAAAAAACTTCCGGGAGGAGCCAAGATGGCCGAATAGGAATAGCTCCGGTCTACAGCTCCCAGCATGAGCAACGCAGAAGACGGGTGATTTCTGCATTTCCATCTGAGGTACCGGGTTCATCTCACTAGGGAGTGCCAGGCAGTGGGCGCAGGCCAGTGGGTGCACGCACCGTGCACGAGCTGAAGCAGGGCGAGGCATTGCCTCACCTGGGAAGCGCAAGGGGTCAGGGAGTTCCCTTTCAGAGTCAAAGAAAGGGGTGACGGACGCACCTGGAAAATCGGGTCACTCCCACCTGAATATTGCGCTTTTCAGACCGGCTTAAAAAACGGCGCACCATGGGACTATATCCTACACCTGGCTCGGAGGGTCCTACGCCCACGGAGTCTCGCTGATTGCTAGCACAGCAGTCTGAGATCAAACTGCAAGGCGGCAGCGAGCCTGGGGGAGGGGCGCCCGCCATTGCCCAGGCTTGCTTAGGTAAACAAAGCAGCCAGGAAGCTCGAACTGGGTGGAGCCCACCACAGCTCAAGGAGGCCTGCCTGCCTCTGTAGGCTCCACCTCTGGGGGCAGGGCACAGACAAACAAAAAGACAGCAGTAACCTCTGCAGACTTAAATGTCCCTGTCTGACAGCTTTGAAGAGAGCAGTGGTTCTCCCAGCACGCAGCTGGAGATCTGAGAACGGGCAGACTGCCTCCTCAAGTGGGTCCCTGACCCCTGACCCCCGAGCAGCCTAAATCGGAGGCACCCCCCAGCAGGGGCACACTGACACCTCACACGGCAGGGTATTCCAACAGACCTGCAGCTGAGGGTCCTGTCTGTTAGAAGGAAAACTAACAAACAGAACGGACATCCACACCGAAAACCCATCTGTACATCACCATCATCAAAGACCAAAAGTAGATAAAACCACAAAGATGGGGAGAAAACAGAACAGAAAAACTGGAAACTCTAAAACGCAGAGCACCTCTCCTCCTCCAAAGGAACGCAGTTCCTCACCAGCAACGGAACAAAGCTGGATGGAGAATGACTTTGACGAGCTGAGAGAAGAAGGCTTCAGACGATCAAATTACTCTGAGCTACGGGAGGACATTCAAACCAAAGGCAAAGAAGTTGAAAACTTTGAAAAAAATTTAGAAGAATGTATAACTAGAATAACCAATACAGAGAAGTGCTTAAAGGAGCTGATGGAGCTGAAAACCAAGGCTCGAGAACTACGTGAAGAATGCAGAAGCCTCAGGAGCCGATGCGATCAACTGGAAGAAAGGGTATCAGCAATGGAAGATGAAATGAATGAAATGAAGCGAGAAGGGAAGTTTAGAGAAAAAAGAATAAAAAGAAATGAGCAAAGCCTCCAAGAAATATGGGACTATGTGAAAAGACCAAATCTACGTCTGATTGGTGTACCTGAAAGTGATGCGGAGAATGGAACCAAGTTGGAAAACACTCTGCAGGATATTATCCAGGAGAACTTCCCCAATCTAGCAAGGCAGGCCAACGTTCAGATTCAGGAAATACAGAGAACGCCACAAAGATACTCCTCGAGAAGAGCAACTCCAAGACACATAATTGTCAGATTCACCAAAGTTGAAATGAAGGAAAAAATGTTAAGGGCAGCCAGAAAGAAAGGTCGGGTTACCCTCAAAGGGAAGCCCATCAGACTAACAGCGGATCTCTCGGCAGAAACCCTACAAGCCAGAAGAGAGTGGGGGCCAATATTCAACATTCTTAAAGAAAAGAATTTTCAACCCAGAATTTCATATCCAGCCAAACTAAGCTTCATAAGTGAAGGAGAAATAAAATACTTTACAGACAAGCAAATGCTGAGAGATTTTGTCACCACCAAGCCTGCCCTAAAACAGCTCCTGAAGGAAGCGCTAAACATGGAAAGGAACAACCGGTACCAGCCGCTGCAAAATCATGCCAAAATGTAAAGACCATCGAGACTAGGAAGAAACTGCATCAACTAACGAGCAAAATCACCAGCTAACATCATAATGACAGGATCAAATTCACACATAACAATATTAACTTTAAATGTAAATGGACTAAATTCTCCAATTAAAAGACACAGACTGGCAAGTTGGATAAAGAGTCAAGACCCATCAGTGTGCTGTATTCAGGAAACCCATCTCATGTGCAGAGACACACATAGGCTCAAAATAAAAAGATGGAGGAAGATCTTACCAAGCAAATGGAAAACTGAAAAAGGCAGGGGTTGCAATCCTAGTCTCTGATAAAACAGACTTTAAACCAACAAAGATCAAAAGAGATAAAGAAGGCCATTACATAATGGTAAAGGGATCAATTCAACAAGAGGAGCTAACTATCCTAAATATATATGCACCCAATACAGGAGCACCCAGATTCATAAAGCAAGTCCTGAGTGACCTACAAAGAGACTTAGACTCCCACACATTAATAATGGGAGACTTTAACACCCCACTGTCAACATTAGACAGATCAACGAGACAGAAAGTCAACAAGGATACCCAGGAATTGAACTCAGCTCTGCACCAAGCAGACCTAATAGACATCTACAGAACTCTCCACCCCAAATCAACAGAATATACATTTTTTTCAGCACCACACCACACCTATTCCAAAATTGACCACATAGTTGGAAGTAAAGCTCTCCTCAGCAAATGTAAAAGAACAGAAATTATAACAAACTATCTCTCAGACCACAGTGCAATCAAACTAGAACTCAGGATTAAGAATCTCACTCAAAGCCGCTCAACTACATGGAAACTGAACAACCTGCTCCTGAATGACTACTGGGTACATAACGAAATGAAGGCAGAAATAAAGATGTTCTTTGAAACCAACGAGAACAAAGACACAACATACCAGAATCTCTGGGACGCATTCAAAGCAGTGTGTAGAGGGAAATTTATAGCACTAAATGCCCACAAGAGAAAGCAGGAAAGATCCAAAATTGACACCCTAACATCACAATTAAAAGAACTAGAAAAGCAAGAGCAAACACATTCAAAAGCTAGCAGAAGGCAAGAAATAACTAAAATCAGAGCAGACCTGAAGGAAATAGAGACACAAAAAACCCTTCAAAAAATCAATGAATCCAGGAGCTGGTTTTTTGAAAGGATCAACAAAATTGATAGACCACTAGCAAGACTAATAAAGAAAAAAAAGAGAGAAGAATCAAATAGACACAATAAAAAATGATAAAGGGGATATCACCACTGATCCCACAGAAATACAAACTACCATCAGAGAATACTACAAACACCTCTACGCAAATAAACTAGAAAATCTAGAAGAAATGGATACATTCCTCGACACATACACTCTCCCAAGACTAAACCAGGAAGAAGTTGAATCTCTGAATAGACCAATAACAGGAGCTGAAATTGTGGCAATAATCAATAGCTTACCAACCAAAAAGAGTCCAGGACCAGATGGATTCACAGCCGAATTCTACCAGAGGTACAAGGAGGAACTGGTACCATTCCTTCTGAAACTATTCCAATCAATAGAAAAAGAGGGAATCCTCCCTAACTCATTTTATGAGGCCAGCATCATTCTGATACCAAAGCCGGGCAGAGACACAACCAAAAAAGAGAATTTTAGACCAATATCCTTGATGAACATTGATGCAAAAATCCTCAATAAAATACTGGCAAACCGAATCCAGCAGCACATCAAAAAGCTTATCCACCATGATCAAGTGGGCTTCATCCCTGGGATGCAAGGCTGGTTCAATATACGCAAATCAATAAATGTAATCCAGCATATAAACAGAGCCAAAGACAAAAACCACATGATTATCTCAATAGATGCAGAAAAAGCCTTTGACAAAATTCAACAACCCTTCATGCTAAAAACTCTCAATAAATTAGGTATTGATGGGACGTATTTCAAAATAATAAGAGCTATCTATGACAAACCCACAGCCAATATCATACTGAATGGGCAGAAACTGGAAGCATTCCCTTTGAAAACTGGCACAAGACAGGGATGCCCTCTCTCACCACTCCTATTCAACATAGTGTTGGAAGTTCTGGCCAGGGCAATCAGGCAGGAGAAAGAAATAAAGGGTATTCAATTAGGAAAAGAGGAAGTCAAATTGTCCCTGTTTGCAGACGACATGATTGTTTATCTAGAAAACCCCATCGTCTCAGCCCAAAATCTCCTTAAGCTGAGAAGCAACTTCAGCAGTCTCAGGATACAAAATCAATGTACAAAAATCACAAGCATTCTTATACACCAACAACAGACAAACAGAGAACCAAATCATGAGTGAACTCCCATTCACAATTGCTTCAAAGAGAATAAAATACCTAGGAATCCAACTTACAAGGGATGTGAAGGACCTCTTCAAGGAGAACTACAAACCACTGCTCAAGGAAATAAAAGAGGATACAAACAAATGGAAGAACATTCCATGCTCATGGGTAGGAAGAATCAATATCGTGAAAATGGCCATACTGCCCAAGGTAATTTACAGATTCAATGCCATCCCCATCAAGCTACCAATGACTTTCTTCACAGAATTGGAAAAAACTACTTTAAAGTTCATATGGAACCAAAAAAGAGCCCGCATTGCCAAGTCAATCCTAAGCCAAAAGAACAAAGCTGGAGGCATCACACTACCTGACTTCAAACTATACACTACAAGGCTACAGTAACCAAAACAGCATGGTACTGGTACCAAAACAGAGATATAGATCAATGGAACAGAACAGAGCCCTCAGAAATAATGCCGCATACCTACAACTATCTGATCTTTGACAAACCTGAGAAAAACAAGCAATGGGGAAAGGATTCCCTATTTAACAAATGGTGCTGGGAAAACTGGCTAGCCATATGTAGAAAGCTGAAACTGGATCCCTTCCTTACACCTTATACAAAAATCAATTCAAGATGGATTAAAGATTTAAACGTTAGACCTAAAACCATAAAAACCCTAGAAGAAAACCTAGGCATTACCATTCAGGACATAGGCATGGGCAAGGACTTCATGTCCAAAACACCAAAAGCAAGGACTTCATGTCCAAAACACCAAAAGCAATGGCAACAAAAGCCAAAATTGACAAATGGGATCTAATTAAACTAAAGAGTTTCTGCACAGCAAAAGAAACTACCATCAGAGTGAACAGGCAACCTACAACATGGGAGAAAATTTTCGCAACCTACTCATCTGACAAAGGGCTAATATCCAGAATCCACAATGAACTCAAACAAATTTACAAGAAAAAAACAAACAACCCCATCAAAAAGTGGGCGAAGGACATGAACAGACACTTCTCAAAAGAAGACATTTATGCAGCCAAAAAACACATGAAAAAATGCTCATCATCACTGGCCATCAGAGAAATGCAAATCAAAACCACTATGAGATATCATCTCACACCAGTTAGAATGGCAATCATTAAAAAGTCAGGAAACAACAGGTGCTGGAGAGGATGTGGAGAAATAGGAACACTTTTACAATGTTGGTGGGACTGTAAACTAGTTCAACCATTGTGGAAGTCAGTGTGGCGATTCCTCAGGGATCTAGAACTAGAAATACCATTTGACCCAGCCATCCCATTACTGGGTATATACCCAAATGACTATAAATCATGCTGCTATAAAGACACATGCACACGTATGTTTATTGCAGCATTATTCACAGTAGCAAAGACTTGGAACCAACCCAAATGTCCAACAATGATAGACTGGATTAAGAAAATGTGGCACATATACACCATGGAATACTATGCAGCCATAAAAAATGATGAGTTCATATCCTTTGTAGGGACATGGATGAAATTGGAAATCATCATTCTCAGTAAACTATCGCAAGAACAAAAAACCAAACACCGTATATTCTCACTCATAGGTGGGAATTGAACAATGAGATCACATGGACACATGAAGGGGAATACCACACTCTGGGGACTGTGGTGGGGTCGGGGGAGGGGGGAGGGATAGCATTGGGAGATATACCTAAGGCTAGATGACGAGTTAGTGGGTGCAGCGCACCAGCATGGCACATGTATACATATGTAACTAACCTGCACAATGTGCACATGTACCCTAAAACTTAAAGTATAATAAAAAAAAAACCTTCCAAGTAAAAGAAATCTATGATAGTATTTATGGCATACTTTATTTTTAACTATGAAATGCTAGAAATACCCCTTTAAAAGCAGATGTCAATCAAGGAAAGTAATTCAGCATTGTATCAGACATCGTAGCAAGTGTAGTAAGGTACAAAAAAAGTAAAAAGTGTAAGGATTGGAAAGGAAGATATATAAAGCAGACAATATTCAGAGGTGACAAATTATTTGAATTAATAAAGCTTAGTGAGATTCAGATTCATTATATTCAAAGGTCAGTTGCATTTTCAAACATGAGCAACAGTATCAATAGCATGCTCTTTTCTTTTAGTTTTGGTTTTTCTTTTTTGAGGCAGAGTCTCCCTCTGTCACCTAGGCTGGAGTGTAGTGAAGTGATCACAGCTCACTGCAGCCTGGACCTCCCTGGGTCAGGTAATCTTCCCACCTCAGCCTCTTGAGTAGCTGGCACTACAGGTGCACACCACCATGGCTGACTGATTTTATTTATTTATTTATTTTTGTATTTTTTGTAGAGAAATGGTTTTGCCATGTTGCCCAGGCTAGTCTTGAAATCCTGGGCTCAGGCAATCCACCCACCTTGTCCTCCCAAAGTGCTGAGATTACAGGCATGAGCCACCATGCCTGGCTAGTATGCTCTTTTCAAAAGAAGAAAATGGTGACATGTCACCTAGTAACAAATCCTACAAAAGATGAGTAATAATTTTACGGTGAATTTGTTTTTAAACTTCATAAGCATCATTAAAGAAAACCTACTTAGGCCAGGTGCAGTGGCTCACGCCTGTAATGCCAGCACTTTGGGAGGCTGAGGCAGGCGGATCACAAGGTCAGGAGATCTAGACCATCTTGGCTAACACGGTGAAACCCCGTCTCTACTAAAAAAATACAAAAAAAAAATTAGCTGGGCATGGTGGCAGGGACCTGTAGTCCCAGCTACTTGGGAGGCTGAGGCAGGAGAATGGTGGGAACCCAGGAGGCGGAGCTTGCAGTGAGCCGAGATTGCGCCATTGCACTCCAGCCTGGGCAACAGAGCAAGACTCCATCTCAAGAAAAAAAAAAAAAAAGAAAACCTACTTAAATGGAGAATACACAGTGATCATATTTATGAATCATAGCCTTAGAATATAAAATCTCTCAGTCTCCAAATTTCACACCATTCCAATCAAAATCCCAACGTTTTAAATAAGTTTTATGAACTTATTCTAAAATGTATGGGTGACCAGAGGGTGAAAAATAGCCAAAATTCTTCTGAAGAGAATGAATAAAGTAGAAGGACTTTCTCCACTAATTATCAAGGCTTGATATTTCAGTCTTCAAGACCTTAGGAAGGGAAGGATTTTTAAACAAGGCACACCAAGCATTAAATATATTGAAATTTTATATATTTGATATCAAACACATCATTAAAAAGGTGAAAAAATAAGTGACAACTGGAAAAATATATTTGCCACTTATGTGCTGTCAAGTATCAAATATTCATAAGTACATATAATGTATAAAGTGTATATACACGCCCACACATTGTGTAGGTGTGCATATATTTATATACATGTTGAATATCCCTAATCCAAAAATCAGAAAATCTGAAATCTGAAACACTCCAAAATCCAAAACTTTGAGCACCAACATGACACCACAAGTGCACTCTTTCACACCTGGTCTCATGGACAGGTCACAGTCAGAATCCAGGCACACAATGCAGTTTATTCAGCATCTGCAAGGGGAAAAAGACCTTCCCAGCCTTTTTCAGCTACGACGTTATCTTTTCCGTGCATCCTGAGTCCCCACTCAAACATACCCCCACAAAGGGTGATAAAAATAGCACATGTGCAGGCCAGACACACTGAAGGCAGGCTCTCTATCATGCCCCACATGAAGCCAAGTCCTGTGGACATGACTCACTTATTCTCTGCTCTGTGGTGTAAAGATACCATGAAAATGTCAAAAAGACCTGTAGACACCCTTATAAGTAATAAGAAAATAAGGAAGCACTTATGTTTATCTATAGTTTGATAGAAAACCAAGCTGTTGGAGGAACTGGACAGTGGCATAAGTGTGGTATATCTTTCAGAAGAGTATGTCATTGGAATGACCACCATATATGGCCTGCAGAAACAGAAGGATAAACTGTTGAAGTTCTATGCTAAAAGTGATGAACAGAAGTGAATCAAAAATAGAAAAACACTACATACAGCTAAAAATGAAGATCTCAATTGTGTATTGGAAGAGTTGATTCATCAGTGTTACAGTAAACATATGTTGCTTAATGGTATGCTGATCATGAAACAAGCAAAGATTGATCATGATAAACTGAAAATTAACGGGAACCATGAATACGCGACAGGCTGGTTGCAGAAATTTAACACAAGACATGGCATTGCATTTTTAAACCTTTGTGGTGATAAGGCATCTACTGGTCACAGGTCAGTGAAGAAATTCATTAATGAATTTGTCAGGGTCATCACCGATCAAAATCTGATGCCAAAACAAGTCTATGCTGCTGATGAACATCACTGTTTTGTCCTTACTGCCCTGGAAAGACACTGACTACAGCTGATGAGGCAGCCCCTACAGGCATTAAGGATGCCAAGGACAGAATATCTGTGCTGAGATGTGCTAATGCAGCAGACACACATAAGGGTACACTTGCTGTGATAGGCAAAAGCCTGCATCCCTGGCTGTTTCCAAGAAATTAATTTCTTACCTGTCCATTATTCTGACAAAAAAAAAAAAGTCATGGACAATCAGGGACTGCTTTTCTGACTGGCTTCACAGACATTTTATATCAGCAGCTCTTGCTCACTGCAAGGAAGCTAGGCTGGATGATGACCACAAGAATTTTTTATTCCTTGATAGCTATTCTGCTCATTCTCCAAATGAAATTCTCATCAAAAATGTTTATGTCATGTACTTTCCCCAAAATGTGACTTCATTAACTCATTAGCTATGTGACCAGAGCATTCTTAGATAAACGAAGAGTGAAAGTGAGAACACTTTCTTGACCAGTATGCTAGCAGCAGTGAATGGAGGCTATGCGTGTGGAAGGTTTTCAACGTGGTTTTGTCATGACAGGTACCATATATGCTGTTGTGTTCTCTTGAAACACAGAACTAAGGCCACAGTGGTACACGCCTGGCACAGCCTCTGGCCTGTGACTACATTCAATGAAGGTGACGAACAAGATGGAGACTTCGAAGGATTCCACATGTCAAATGAGAAAAAAAAAAGTCTGACCTCCTTATATATGCAAAAAAAATTATTTCAGAGTCTATCAATAAACGGGAAGAAATTGATATTAAAGAAGTTTGTACCTTCAATAATGAGGCTCCAGTTGTTTATTCATTGGTGGATTGTGAAATAGCCAAAATGATTTTGAATCAAGGTGATCGTGATATTAGTGATGATGAAGATGATGTTAATACTGCAAAAAAGTGCCTCTAGACAACATGATGAAAATGTGTGATGGGCTTAGTGAAGGAGTAGAGCAGCATGCATTTATAACAGAACAGGAAATAATGTAAGTTTATAAAATCCAAGAGAGACATCTAAGACAAAAACTGTTGTTAATGAGGCAGATGACTCTGGAGGAAATCGTTTAAAAGGCCTTCCAGCAGTATGTCTCCTCATCCCTAGAGGGCCCATGCTTCTGATGTTTCTTCCCACCTAAAAAAAATAAAATACAGTCTATTGTAGCCTTTTAATCGAAACACAAACACAGCATCATAGCTAGAGGCTGAAAGCCTGCCGTTGTTTGCTTGTTGTTGCTGCTGTTTAACAGCTGAGCCAGGTATTCTGGTGATGCTGCTGTGCTGCTACACACATTATTTTTTCACTGTGTTAACGGGGTGTCATAGCTTTTATTGTTAAGTACTTATGTGTGAATAAGCATAAGAAAATGATTGCTTATTGGTAGCGTAGAAATTCAGTCAAGAATGATGATCATGCCAAAAAACCACAGACTGTCCACATGAGTTCAATGTACACAAACTTTGTTCCATATAAAATTATTAAGTCTTGTACAAAGTTGCCTTCGGGCTACGTGTATAAGGCGTATATGAAACATAAATGAATTGAATGCTTAGATTTGGGTGCCAACCCCCAAGATATCTCATGTATACGCAAATATTCTAAAATCCAAAATCTGAAACACTTCTAAGTCCTATGCATTTTGGATAAGAAGTACTCGACATGTATATAGCAAGTATATATAAAGACTACTTATTAAATTTGCAAGAAGAAGCCCAAAATAGGAGCAAAGGGCATGTATGTGCAACTCACAAAGGAGAAAACACAAATTGTAAATAACCATGTGTAACTTGTTCTGCCTTATTAAAACTCCGAGAAATCTAAAGTCAGATTATAATGAAATGCTATTTTACACTGACCAGATAGTCAAGTATGAACAAGTGCCATCAATGATTTGGAACAAAAGGAATACTTGTACACGACTAGTAAGATTAAATTGACATAAACTACTTTGGAAAATATTTTTACAAAGTTGTTTACAATAATCTTGTAAAGTTGAACATAAAATATAACAGTTTCATCTCAAGATGTATATATCTGGATTTTAGGGCCTTAGAGAAACTCTTGCATGTATACACAACCAGAAGATATGTACAAAACATTCATGATAGTATCATTTGTAATAATGAAAACCTAAAAGTATCCAAATAAATAAGTGAACTGTGGCCCGTTTACACTTCTATGTCTTAAATAGCACTAAAAATTAAAGAGCAATAGCTTCCTGCAACATAATATGGAATGTCAAAGGAAATTGCAGAGCACTCATGAGTTTTTTTTTTTTTTTTTTTTTTGAGATGGAGTCTCACTCTGTTGCCAGGCTGGAGTGCAGTGGCAAAATCTTGGCTCACTGCAACCTCTGACTCCCCGGTTCAAGTGATTCTCCTGCCTCAGCCTCCTGAGTAGCTGGGATTACAGGCACACGCCACCATGCCCAGCTAATTCCTGTATTTTTAGTAGAGACGAGGTTTCACCATGTTGGCCAGGATGGTCTCGATCTCCTGACCTCGTGATCCACCCGCCTCGGCCTCCCAAAGTGGTGGGATTACAGGCATGAGCCACCGCCCCCAGCCTACATGGGTATTTTTTAAAAAGGCAAAAGCAAAACTAAATCATAAGTGTTTTAGAAATGTAAATATATAATTTAAAAGGTTCTATTTTAAAAGCAAGAGAATAATCAACAAAATTATAAATTACGGTTTTAGAGAGGTGAGGATGAGACCCAGGAGGAATATGCAAGTAGTTTCAATGGTATTGGTAATATTCTAGTGGTGCTGTTGTGTGGTATATTGATGGTTGTTTACTTTATTCAATAAATACATACATGTTAAATATATCAACAGTATTCCATAATACAAACGCCTTAATTCAATAGATTTCGTTCTAACGTATAGAATATTTAATTGGGGGACGTCCAGGTAGAGATGTTTCGTCAGCCGATAGTTAAAAATATTTATTATTCTGAAGAGAGGTATAAGCCAGATTTGCAGCTTGGGGAGTTATCACTATAAATATCTTTACAGATTTGGAGACCGAATTTCTCATTTTAAAATGTGAGAATTCGGCAGGGCGCGGCTCACGCCTGTAATCCCAGCACTTTGGGAGGCCGAGGTGGGTGGATTGCCTGAGGTCAGGAGTTCGAGACCAGTCTGGCCAACATGGTGAAACCCCGTGTCTACTAAAAATACATAAAAATTAGCCGGGCGTGGCGGCGTGCATCTGTAATCCCAGCTACTTGGGAGGCTGAGGCAGGGGAATTGCTTGAACCAGGAAGGCAGAGGTTGCAGTGAGCCGAGTTTGGGCCACTGCACTCCAGCCTAGGTGACAGAGCGTGAGACTCCATCTCAAAAAAAAAAAAGAAAAAAAAAAGTGGGAATTCAAGAATGGAATAAATGAGAATGGATAAGTTAGAATGTATGATGTATATTCGTAAAAAAGTTAAAGAGATCAGAGAATTTCAATTTAAAGAAAAGGGCATGTTTTCTTAAGAGAGCAGCCACTGTCCTGGAACACCTGGATACATCTTAGCAAGAAAGGATGGTGGGTGATGTCTGAAACCAGAAGCTTAGGAAAGGAAATAGGTGGAAGTTTAGAAAGGATTGTCTCAAGAGAGGGTTTGTGCTATAAGGTGAACATTCAGGGAAAAAAATATATACATACTTAAGGACACATGTCCTGTATGTCAAGAGTGGGAATAGAATTAGGCCTTTTAAAAACATAGCTGTCTTCAGCCAGGGTCATTGGCTCATGCCTGTAATCCCAGCACTTTGGAAGGCTGAGTTGGGTGGATCGCTTGAGGCCTGGAGTTCAAGATGAGCCTGGGCAACATGGCAAAACCCCATCTCTACTAAAAACACAAAACTTAGCTGGGCGTGGTGGCACATGACTGTAATCCCAGCTACTTGGGAGGCTGAGGCATCAGAGAATCGCTTGACCCCTGGCACAGGGGGAGCGGAGGTTGCAGTGAGCCGAGATTGCACCACTGCACTCCAGGCTGCGTGACAGAGAGACTCCATCTCAAAAAAAATAAATAAATAAATAAAATAAAAAGCTGTCCTCATCTCAGTACTTTCACTAGTGCAGAAATTGATAAAATGAAAATGCAGAAACACTGAAAAGTCTTCATCCGAAGCATCTTCCAGAAATTCCCGTATCCTCCTTTCCCAGGATAAGTGAAAGAACATCCACAGATGATAATAATTCATCCACTGGGCTAATTTATATTTTACAGAAAAAGAAGTAGGAAACTTGAAAATGAGCTCATGTTTCATTTCCTGAGGCCCTGCTATGAGGATTCAGTTTGTCATAGGTGTTCATTGCTTGCTGAAACCCTTCTTGCTTTCTAGGCTGAGACATTTGAAACTTTCTTTAGGAAAAAGAAAAACAGTTGCTTAGTCATCTTCCAAAGGGATGGACCATAGCAAGCACTCTTGAGGCTCTTTGTAGTGGCTCCCAGGGAATAATTATTGTTTCTGTTGCTTTGAACCTTCCACCTCAGTGACTGGCAGTGCTAGCATAAATGGTATTTGGCTAATATTAAGAGAAAATGTATTTAGAAATAAGCTAAACTAGCACCTCCAGAACACTTTGCTGTATGACTATGGAGAAGCATCTGACTCAAAGGGAAAGGGGCTTTCAGTTCCAGGCAAAGATTGTCTTTGGCTTAAGTCGGGAGAAATGATGGAAACAGGAAGTTTTTCTGTTGCTCTTTCCATGAGAGGTTAGTTACAAAGTGATGATGACATGGTGATAAAGTAGAGGCCGGAAGAAACGGGATGGCAATTATATGACAATACAGACCAGGAATGGGCCTCGAGTTTTTAAGGTAGCATTAGATCAGAGAGAGAAGAGAGTTGATAAATGTATGGACATACCAAATCAATCTCTATCAGTCTTCCTTTCACTTGAAATTAGGGGACAAGGGAGACATTGTGAAAATTAGCCCAATCTTGCCATTGTAGAGAGAAGTTAACTCAGTCCTTAGAAATACAGCCCAGCTTCCATTCATGGTAATAATAGTTACCATTTATTAATGTTAGTCATTATTCTGAATATTTTACATGTAATTTTCATAAGATTCTCATACAGGCAACTCTCTTTGGTAAATATTATATTACCATCCCCATTTTACAGATGAGAAAAATAAAACACAGAGGTTAAATAGCTTACCCAATGTCACACACTAGTTCATGACAGAGCAAAGTTTTCTTTGTATCTGGGCAGTATGAGCCCAGAGCCTTCTCTCCTGCCCACTGTGCCTCCAGCAACATTTCTACTTGGAGCTGTAAGCGAGGATGTTTAAGGGAGGTGCAGAGAAAACTATCCTAGAGCAGACAGTTGCTGACTCTGCACACATTATGCATGTCTGTTTTAATCTGTGTTCTTGTCTCCTTTCCTAAATTTCTAAAACTCTGTATTAATTATTGTAATTACAAACTGTGGATGACAGCCATAGTAGTTATTTCCACAATTTGAGTTTGTGGAAAAGGCAATCAAGATTATCAAGTAGTTGGTATAAATAACCCATAACCTGGAAAATTTTTTACTTTTGTTTTTTTCTTTTTTGAGTTGGGGTCTCGCTGTGTCACCCAGGCTGGAGTGCAGTGGAGCCATCTTGACTCACTGTAACCTCTGCTTCCCAAGCTCAATCAATCTTCCCACTTCAACCTCCAGTGTAGCTAGGACTATAGGTGCATGCCACCATGCCTGGTTAATTTTTGTATTTTTAGTAGAGATGGGGTTTTACCATGTTGCCCAGGCTGGAATCTGAGAAAAGTTTTAAGATGAAGTTGCAAAGAAGGAAATAACTAGGTGGTTGGCAGAAGAAAAACCAGAAAAGACAAGAAGGCCAGGGAGAGATTAGAGATTTTTTCTACTGTTTTCACAAAATAATACAATATAATATAATAAATGCCATACAATAAATATAATGGTATACAAAAGAAAAACAAGATATATTTGGGATATTGATATGAGAGAAATGAACATCAGAAAATTAGAAAATTGGTGTTCTTAGTATTGGAATAACCACAAAATTGTCTGTGGTTCTATGTGGTCTGATGAAAGAAGGAATCCTAGTACAGGATCCTAAGGATCTGGATTTGAGAAAGAGCTTTGCCATTTGAGAGCTGTTTTCATTTGTGATTTATATATTCATTCATTCAGCAAGTATTGTTGAACATCAATCATGTGCCCACGTTGTTCTAATTGTTGCAGATGCAATGGAAATGTTAGACCAAGTCACTCTCCTCATGGAAATGTATAGTGCAAGGCAGGGGTCAGCAAACTTTTTTTGTGAAGGGACAAACAGTAAATATTTTAGGCCTTACAGCTTGTATGGTCTGTGTCACAACTACTCAAATCCACGGGTGCAGTGCAAAAGTGAGCACAGACAATACAAAAATGAAAGAGCTGGGCATGGTGGCTCATATCTACAATCCCAGCAGTTTGGGAGACCAAGGCTGAAGGATCATTTGAGCCCAGAGTTTGAGACCAGCCTGGGCAATATAGTGAGGCCCCATCTCTAAAAAAAAAAAAAATTAAAAATTAGCCAGGTATGGTGGTGTGCACCTGGAGTCCCAGCTGTTGAAGAGGCTGAGGTAGGAAGATTGCTTGAGCCTGGCAGGTCGAGATTGCAGTGAGCTGTGATTGTGCCACTGCACTCCAGCCTGGGCAACAGAGTGAAATCCTATCTCAAAAAAAAAAAAAAAAAAAAGAAAGCAACAAAAGGACATACTGTGTTCCAATAACACTTTATGTTTTAAAAACAAGTGGTAAATTAAATTTAGCTGGCAAGCTAAAGTTTGTCAATTCTTGGTCTAGAAGAAGAAACAGACACAAGCCAAAAAATTATGCATATGATAACACGTGCAAAGATCCGGTGGCGAGAAGACATATCAAGCTTTGGAGGCACTGATAGGAGACCAATGGAGCTGCTTCACGGAGAGACACATGAGTGAGGCTGGAAAGGGAGGAAGGGGCAGGCCAGCAGGGTCTTGTAGGACACTTAGGAGTTTGGTCTTTACAATATTGACAGTTGGCAATTTTTTGATTATTTTAAGCAGGATGAAGACATGATCAGATTTGAGTTTCAAAAGCTCACTCACTGCAGTGTTAGAATGAGTTGGGTTAAATTTTCTCATCTGAAACATAAGGATGGATACACTTGCCCTGTGTATTGAACAGGTCATTGTGTAATCAGTGATCACACAAGATTTATACAAGGTGCATAGAAGTGTTTTATGAAATATAAATGCTATAGAAAATTACACAGCAATATTTTACAGGAAGCAATACCACCAGATGGTCATATTCTTTCAAGTTTTTTCTGTGAACAAAGGCAGTCTGAACTCATAAAAGAAATCTTTTTGTTTATGTTATCAGGCTTCCCTCACCAGGGTAACTACCCCTTAGGGAGTTCACTAAAGAGAAGGAATGTCTTTCACTCTCTCATACTTTCTCCTCTCCCCTCTCCCAAGCACATCTGAGTTGCTGCCTGTTCTTCACACTTAGCTCCAAACCCATGAAAAATTGCCAAGTATAAAAGCTTCTCAAGAATGAGATGGATTCTAGGGTGTCTTCACCTGAGAAGCAAGATAAAGAGAATTTCGTGGGTAAGTTCCTTTTTCCTGTCTTAGGCTTGTTTTTTACATATATGGCAAAGCAGGAGTTGTAGCATTATAGACAGGTATAGAGTAAGTATGAGATATATTTGCAGAAATCGGCCTCAATTTCATTTATAGCCCAGGATTTTGAATTCATTGCTTATGCTGATTTCATTTGCTTCTTGAACGGCAGTCTATAACTTGCTTTATTTTTCCTTCAATTTTAGATAAAGTTGGTGTTTATCTTTGAATTTCTTCTTTCTGTATGAAATCCTTCTCAGGATTTTGAATTCATTGCTTATGCTGATTTCATTTGCTTCTTGAACAGCAGTCTATAACTTGCTTTATTTTTCATTCAATTTTAGATAGAATTGGTGTTTATCTTTGTATTTCTTCTTTTTGTATTAAATAACAAAGATATGTTGAAGAGGCTGACTTTTCTCCAACTTCAAACATTTTCTGATGATGCTGAGATTAAAAAGAAAAGTTGGTTTGAGCTGTATCCTGTTTGATAAATGGAGAGAAGTTGAGAAAAAAAACTTAGCTTATAAGTACCAACTACTATCATTAATACTAATGACTATTATGTGTTACAAAGCATTTTGCTTGCATTATCTCTTTCAATTTTACAATAATTCTGAGGTAGATCCTCTTAGAATCTCATTTTACAAATGAGAAAACTGAGCATTGGAAAGTTTAAAAAGTTGTTCAGAAAGTGATTATGATGATGGTGTGCGTGTGTGTGTGTGTGATGATGGTGTGAGTGTGCGTGTGTGTATGACCTAACCTGTGCTCTGTACCTTATGTTGCCAAAAAAGCCATAGTACATGTTAGAAATAGAGAACACGTTTGGCATTACTAATACATAAAAGAAAAAACTAGGCTGCATGCACTGGTGCATGCCCTGTAATCGCAGCACTTTGGAAGGCCAAGGCAGGCAGATCACTTGAGCTCAGGAGTTCGAGACCAGCCTGGGCAAAATGGCAAAAACTCATCTCTACAAAAAATACAAAATTTAGCCAGGTGTGGTGGCACATGCCTGTGGCTAAGTGGGAGGTTGAGGTGGGAGGATTGCTTGAGCCCAGGAGGTTTAGGCTTCAGTGAGCTGAGATTGCACCACTGTACTCCAGCCTGGGTGACAGAGTGAGACCCTGCCTAACAAAGAAAAAAAAATGGAATAAAGAAAGAAAAAAGAAAAAGTATACATTTAGAGACATTTACCTGAATTGGAAAAGAAACTTTTCTTTTGAAGTAGGCATGAAAAGCTTGAAGGCAGTAAATATCATCTGGAAATGCAAGCGGGAGATCTCAAGAGTCCCCTTATTTATCCTTCATGAGACATTTAGTTTCCATTTTAACAGGTGAAGACATCAACTGGGTAGATGGCATGACTGAAGCTGTATCATCAGTGAGATTCTTGAAAGTACTCATGAGTTTTCTTGGTTTCGATATTTGAATATGAAAAACTGGCACTATCACAGAATGAACAAAATGGGGCTGATATATTTGCAATGTCTGATTTCCTGTGCTTTTGTAGTTTTTTAGGAGAGATACAGTGTGGACCATTCTCTGAGATCTGTGGACTAAGTTTGCCCTTGCAACTCAGATATATATAAAAAATATATATAATACAATATAACATATATAACATATATCTTATATAATATAGTATATAATGTATGATATATATTATGTAATATAGTATATATAATATATTGTGTAATATAGTATATATAATATATTGTATAATATAGTATATATATTATGTATTCTATAGTATAGTATATAATATGTAATAATATATATTATATAATACAGCATATATAATATATATTATGTATTATAGTATATATAATTATATATACTATATACTATAATATATAACTTGTAATATGTACTTATGAATACTTGATATACCTGACAGCACATAAGTGGCAAATATGTTTTTCCAGTTGTCACTTATTTTTTCACCTTTTTAATGATGTGTTTGATATCAAATATATAAAATTTCAATATATAATATATATAAAATATATGATATAAAATATAATATATTATATATAAAATATATGATATATAATATATTATATATAAAATATATGATATAAAATATATTATATATAAAATATATGATATAAAATATATTATATATAAAATATATGATATAAAATATATTATATATAAAATATATGATATAAAATATATTATATATAAAATATATGATATAAAATATAATATATTTTATATAAAATATATGATATAAAATATCATATATTTTATATAAAATATATGATATAAAATATAATATATTATATAAAATATATGATATAAAATATAATATATTATATATAAAATATAATATATTATATATAAAATATATGATATAAAATATAATATATTTTATATATAATATATGATATAAAATATAATATATTATATATAAAATATATGATATAAAATATCATATATTTTATATGAAATATAATATATTTTATATAAAATATAATATATTATATATAAAATATATGATATAAAATATATGATATAAAATATAATATATAAAATATATGATATAAAATATAACATATTATATATAAAATATATGATATAAAATATAATATATTATATATAAAATATATGATATAAAATATAATATATTATATATAAAATATATGATATAAAATATAATATATTATATATAACATATAATATATTATATAAAATATAATATATTATATATAACATAATATATTATATAAAATATAATATATTATATATAACATAATATATTATATAAAATATAATATATTATATATAACATATAATATATTATATAAAATATAATATATTATATAAAATATAATATATTATATATAAAATATAATATATAATATATACACAATAGTATATATTATATAATATACATACTATATATTTTATATATATTTAGTTATATGAATTAATATATATAATATATAATATATAATTAGTATATATAATATATATTAAAAATCTTAATATATATATTAAGGCAATGTTATTCAGTCCTGTAAGCATTACAGACATTTGTCTTCACAAATGGTGAGGAAATTATTTAATATATAAATAACTGAGCCCTTGTTATCCTTTCCAGCAGGAACATTATGTGGGAGTGTGCTGCTGGCACACTTTATTTATTTTATTTTTAGAGATGGGGTCTTGCTCTGTCGCCCAGGCTAGAGTGGAGTGGTGCAATCTCAGCTCACTGCAACCTCAGCCTCCTGAGTAGCTGGGACTACAGGCATGCGCCACCATGGCTGGCTAATTTTTGTATTTTTTTGTAGAAATCAGGTTTCATCATATTGCCCAGGCTGGTCTCGAACTTTTGGGCTCAAGTGATCCTCCAGCCTCAGCCTCCCAAAGTGCTAGGATTACAGGCATGAGCCACTGTGCCAGGCCTGGACCAGCTTTTGAAAGCCACTTGTGTGCATGTGTTTCTAACTCCAAGCTCATGACCTCACAAGGGTAGATTAGAATCACCTGAAGGGGTAGGTGATATTTACACAGTGGAAATGGTATAAATTAAGGCTTTCTTCCTTTCCCCAAGGGTCCAATTTTTAGACATTTATTATCACATCACTATTAATGGCTTTGACATTCTCTTCTGCCCCCCTTTTATTCTTTTTTGATTTGTTTTGTCTTCTAAGAGTTAAAGTGAATTGGAATCTAGATCACAGAAATCTTAGATGCTCTTCTCAAAATTAACATGCAAAAGAATCTTCCTGGGGAGCTCCTTAAAATACAGATTCCTAGCCCCTACCCCCAGAAGCTCTGGTATTTAGTCTGTGTCTCTTCTGGGCTTAAGATTTTGCATCCAAACCAGCTCCTGTGAGCTGGTTTAGCTGCCAGGCTAAGAGAGCATTTTGAGTAGGACTATATTCCTTTTCAGCAATTCTGCACTTTCCTTAAAAGTGTTCCTTAATGCAAGCTGTGTGCATAGAGAAAAAGGAAGGAGGGAAGATGAATTACAGGGGATGAAAAGATAATGTTTACCCCTCGTGTTTTCCTTTAGATTTCATCTTTGATGATCAAAGTCCTTCATTCTCTACAGAGAGAACCAGAAATTTGCTAAAGTTCTATTTGCTGACTGTATCTTCACAGGATTGGAAGTGAACATAGAAAGGGAGATAGAATGGTTAACACTCATCCCCAAGCTCAGGAAAGGGGATTGTTCTCATTCCACATACTTCTAATTTTTCCTCTGGGAAGCATCTGGTCTTCCCTGCTTTGATAACACAAAGCACTTCCTTTTTGTAAAACTTGACATGATAATTTTAAATTTTACTTTTAAAAATGGTAAATATAGGCTAGGTATAGTGGCTCATGCCTGCAATCTCAGCACTTTGGGAGGCCGAGGCAGGTGGATCACCTGAGGTCAGGAGTTTGAGACCAGCCTGTCCAACATGGTGAAACCTTGTTTCTACCAAAAATAAAAAAATTAGCTGGGTGTGGTGGTGCCGTTCTGTTATCCCTGCTACTGGGAGGGAGGAGAATCACTTGAACCTGGAAGGCAGAGGTTGCAGTGACTCGAGATCATGTCCAGGGGCAACAGAGTGAGACTCCATTTCAAAAAACAAACAAACCAAAAAAAAAAAAAAAAAAAACCAGGTAAATATGTCAAAGAAAACTTAGAACAATGAAAACCACTTATACTTCCATTATTTAGAAATAGCCGCTGGGGGAAAGAGCAAGACTCTCTCTCAAACAAAAAAAAAAAAAAAAAAAAAAGAAAGAAAAGAAAAAAAAAAAAGAAATAGCCACTGTTAATATTTTGGTTAATATTCTTCCAAAATTTTTTCTATTCTATATATATACTTCTATATACTTGTGATTCTACTGTCCCTATAATTTTGCATCTTACTGTTTGTTTCTTCTAACATCATACCATAATTATTTTCTCATGCTTTTATAAACTTAAAAATATATACATAATATGACATTGTGTAGATATATCATAATTTGCTTAATTATCCCTCCATTGTTATATTTTCAGGGTGGTTTTCATTTACCACTGTTATAAATAACATTGTAATGGGACTTTGGACATAAATCTCAAGGACGAAGTATTTTTATTTGTTGTTGTTGGCAGTGCTGTTATTTCAAACAGAGAGAACTGAAAGCATGGGAGAATGGGGAGAAAGAAGAATGATAAGATGATGCAAGGAAAACATTTTTTCTTTATTTGCTTCTTCTTTTTTTAAATTTTTTTTTGAGACAAAGTCTCTCTCTCGCTCTGTTTCCCAGGCTGGAATGCAGTAGCGCGATCTCGGCTCATTGCAAACTCTGCCTCCCGGTTTCAAGTGATTGACCCACCTCAGCCTTTTGAGCAGCTGGGATTACAGGAGTATGCCACCACACCCAGCTAATTTTTGTATTGTTAGTAGAGATGGGTTTCACCATGTTGGCCAGGCTGGTCTTGGACTCCTGACCTCAGGTAATCCACCTGCCTTGGCCTCCCAAAGTGCTGGGATTACAGGCATGAGCCACCGTGCCCTGCCCTATTTTCTTCTTGAAATGATGTGTGAGTGAGGGTACAGTCAGGCGGAATGTATGGAGAAAAATGCAAGGACATATGGTTCTTTGGTTAATTGACTTTTTTGAGAGAAAATAGAATCTTGTCTGATGAACCATGATTTCTATACAAGGACTTTCCAACAGATCAGTAAATCTATTATGTTGCTGAACATCACCCTCATCCTGTACTTCAAAGTACTTAAAAGTATGCACTGCATCCATTCAGCATCCTCTGTGAAGCAGGAGGTGCAGACAAAAAATAAAATACCTGCATTCAGAGCACTAAAAATTTACAGGGAAGACACAAAAGTTAGCTACAAATTACAAGGTCCTATAAAAAAAGTTATGATAGAGGGTGTACAATCATGTACTGCTTAACAATGAGGATACATTCTGAGAAATACGTTGTCAGGTGATTTTGTCATTGTGAGAACATCATAGAGTGTACCTACAGAAACTTCAGTGGTACAGCCTACTGTACACCTGGGCTATAGGGTACAGCCTCTGGCTCCTAGGCTACACACCTGTACAGCATGTCACTGTACTGAATACTGTAAGCAGTTGTAACACTATGGTAAGTATTTGTATATCTAAACATAGAAAAGGTACAATAAAAACACACTATTATAATCTTATGGGACCACCATCGTATATATGGTCCATCATTGACTGAAACATCATTACGTGGTATGTGACTGTATTAGAAACTCAAAAGAGGAGCACCCAAAGGTGAGGGTGACAGAGAAAAATCTTCCTGGAAAAGAAGGGGATGTTTGAGCTGAGGCCTGCTGAGGAAAATGTGGGATGCAGAAGGGGGCTGAGGAACACAAAGACCTGTGCAAAGGGACAAGATGTGTGAGGACCTAGGTTACTTTCTCTACTGTAGGGGGTATTCATGTGATGTTAGCACATGGCTTGACTCCTTCATCTGGATCACCTAGACCCACACTGAAAGACCATCAAAAGTCCTGCTACTTGAAAAACAAATGACGAATGTAGGAAGAGCCCGTGTGTGAAGCCTGGGCTCTGAGTGGCAGCCTTGTGGTTGTGGCTGTGTTGGGGTGATGGTGATGGTATTCAGCATGAGGAAGCTGCTGTGGGGGGGGATGCCTCCAGGGCCTGAAGAAGGATGCTCAAAGGGACTTTGATTTTGTTGGCAAGGTGTATATTCTTAAGCCAAATGGTGGGTTTAAGGTATTCAATGCATTATTTTTACACCTTTTTGAATGTTCACTTTCAAAATAATGCCTTAAGTATTTTTTAAGAAAAGAAAAGAGAGAAAGCAAATGGTAAAAGGGAACATACAGTAGATAATGTGTTGTAAACTTCATGCAACTACTGAGCACAAATCATCCTTCTGGAGTTGAAATGTAAATCTGCCTGTTTGGAAACCTCTTAGGATTATGGAATTTTGTATTCATAGGACTAGCGTAGATAATAAGATCATCATCCAGCTCTAATTTACTAATTCTTCACTAAAGACCTGATATTTCTATATTTTTCTCAAGGTTCCAAGGGTTATCTGAAGGAGCTTATAATGTCAGTGGCCAGATTAGCCAGTAGAAGCCCTCAAGGGTCTAGAGCTTTTATTACATAATCTTGAAAATTTAGCTCTTGCATATATAGAGAAACCATTATCTAGATGGACCAGAACATCCACAATTGATATTTAGAATCCGATTTGGTAAAAGAAAAAAATGGAACAAAATAAAGTGTACATTTTCAAAGCAAAAACTGTACTGAACAAAGTTAAATGGCCAAGGAAGACTTTATTCAAAGCTATTGCAATGGAGGAGAGAGGCCAGAACTCAGTCTGAGCTCAACTCTACTGAAGCAAGGGGTGGTAGGGTTTTTAAAGGCTGGAGTGAGCTACTGGAAGAGTACTGGAATCCCTGAGGGGGAGGTCATAAGCCATCTAGTGTATTTTGTATATCTTTATGACGTGACAAAAATGATGAGACAGGTCTCAGTCATTTTAGGAGGTTTATTTGTCAAAGTTTATGCCTTTCTCTGAAGATGATTTTGAGGGCACTGAATTTAAAGAGGAAAGAGTGGGGTATTGAGAAGTACACAATTTTCATGTAACAGAGGGATAGGGGAAAATAGTCACTCATGCCTGTGTCTGGCTCTGTGAATCTGAATTTTTATATAAGGTAACAGACAGATAGGGGAAAATTCAGGGAATCTGCATTTTATATAAGGTGACAAAGATAAATGGGACAGGGAACAATTAGATGTGCATTTGTGCCAGGTGGACAGAGGGGTGATGCAATTGTAAAGATAAGCTATCCATTTACATTGCTATGGTGAATTTTAACAGAAATGCTTTAGGGTAAACATCTTGGAGCTCACTAGGAATTTCCTTGTGGGCAAAAATATGAGGGAGATGTGTAGCTTTTCAACTTGTAACCATCTTATTTAGGAACCAAAAAGCGAAGGCAGGTTTTTGTGACCCAGTACCCAGTTTGATGTTTCCCTTTGGCTTAATGAGTTTGGGGTCCCAAGATTTATTTTCTTTTCACAAGAAAATAACAAGTATTATCTGAAACAAGGTAGTTTCACAACTCGGAGAAAGGTGCCCACTGAAGTTAGGCTTTTACTTCCAACAGAAACTGATAGATAGGGGTGCTATTTTCTTTGATGTTTATATTCCAAAGGTTAGCTCCCGAGACCTTGAGAAATTTAGTCCTGGGTTGTGAAACTGGCAAGAAGCTTTTCAAAAGATTTAAATCTCAAAGAGGCAGAGAAAGAGTTTATATAAGCTAGTATATCCCATTAATGAAACAATAAAAAATAAACATATTTTAAAAACAAAGAAAAAAGAATTTATAATGACAATTTTGTTTTTGTTGTTTTTTGTTTTATTATTATTATTTTTTTTTTAAAGAAAATGCCCTAAGAAAAGGGAGATTAGGGGCCTAGGGTCAGGAAGAAGCCCGTCTAAAATTTAGTCAAGCTGAGATTTGCTTTAAGGTTTTGTGCCCACTATTATATCTCTGAGATTCATCCATATTTTACATACAGCCGTAGTTTTGTCTTTTTTTCTTGCTGAGTAATATTCCTTTGAATATGAATACACCACAACTTCATTTATCCATTCTACTGTTGATGGATTTGGGCAAACTTCATATCTTGGCTTCTGTGAATAAAATGGCAATGAACATTGTTGAACATATTTTTCTTTATCATCAGTAGTCATTGCTCTCAGGTATTAGTTGGAAGTTGAATACTGAGTCATAAAGTAGATACATGTTTAGCTTTAGTAGACACTTCCAAATAGTTTTTGAGGTGATTGTACCAACTTAACTTCCAACAGCACATATGAGTACTCTAGTTGCTCCTCAACCTTGCTAAACATGGTATTGCCAGTCTTTAATGTTTACTATTCTGGTAGCTGCGTACTGGAATCTTACGGTGGTTTTGACTTTCATTTTTTTGATGTGTAATGTACATCATCCTATTCTGATTGTTTAAAATCATGTCATAATACTTAACAGTTATTTCTGCTAAGAAACTAAGAGACTATTTATGATAACACAGATTTGTGATAAAATATTGTAGGTAGTATTGATCTAATATTTAAATACTCTTGACCAAGCTGAAGTTGAGAAATAAGCAAGCAAGTCACCTAGGCTGTTTTATTTACTATAATTCATTTCTGTTTCTAATATAATTTAAGTTGGGCTAGTGATACAGAACATTCTCTCCTACTTCCTGGCTCACACAAGTAGCCAATCTTGCCTTGAGTGTTGGGCCCTGGTCCTAAAGGGTATTTAATCTCCTCTGGTGTAAACAGCTGTATCTAAGCACCAGGAATAATGCCCTGGGGATGTGCCTCCACCGATAAACCTTGGCTTTGCCTCACTCCCTAAGTCAGTAAAGGTAGACACGCACCACTGTCTGTTTGTGGAATTTGTGGGTGTCACCTTACTTAATGAGAGATTAAGATGATGGTGGCAACACTAAACCAGGAAGTTTTCTGGTTGCAAGATGAAGAGTTGGCTTTGGTTACCTCTAAAGTCCTTCCAGCTGAAGTTCATGGGTGCCTCTCTTCTTGTCAGTGGCTCTGGGCCTCAGCTTCCATAGCTGATGGCTCTACCTTTTTCTTTGCAGATTGAAAGGAAGGTATTGATTAAATATTTTGCTGCTGTTGTCACAGCCACACACAGGGGGAAGTCTCCACATATTTCACCAGCTGCAGACTTCCTAGAAGTAAGTGCAGCAGAGTAATTAACCTAGTATCTGTTGTTTCTATTGTTTCTGTAACTGCCCGAGGGATTCTTCCTGCCAGCTGCATAAAGAAAGACCAAGGCATTGTAATAGAGGCATGTTTCCCATTTTATTCTCCAGCACAGCGTTTGGCATAGAACTGATAACATATTTGTTAAATGAATGATGAAACCAAGGGCAATTTGTTTGGGGCAGCAAAATCCAGTTTTCTACTAGGAAGTAGGCATATGACATGGCTTTATGGTTATGCGACAACTGTCCAGAGAATACACACATTTGTGGATTTGGTTCAAACAGATGATCAAATGTGGTCATCACTTAGTGACCAAAAAGGTGTTGTGCAGCCCCTTTTTCTTCCATCATCCCCTCAGAGCCTTGTATAGCTTGAAGTAGGGCGATTTCTGAAGAACTCTGTATTTAATAATACAATCCCAGCATATCCTTTCAGTCAGAATTGTAATCTTCAAAAACTGTTCTCAGTATAGCATCCTAGTTTCAACTGTGGGAGTGAGTGGGGAGAGAGAAAGGCTGCCAGGAAGAGTTACTCTGTGTGGTCTCATTCCCAGCTGTGCATGCTCACAAGGCTGAGCTGGGAGCCTGCAGGGAAGGTGACAGCAGCACTCACAGCCCCACTTTAACTGGCAGCTAATGAGACCCCCAGGCTCCACCAATTCTCCCAGAAGCCGCGGCCTGGGTGATTCTAATGCTCCAGTGTAAATCTTGGAAGAATAGTCACATTCTCTTCTCTTGTCTCTCTCAGCACGTCTATTACCTAATGGAGCTGAGCCTCATGTGCACGTGTAATGATGCAAGGGCTTGATGAACTCCAGAGGCGAGCTTGTAGGTCAGTGCGATTTTCTCTGTGACAAACACTTGCTTGTGCAGCTGGTGTTAAGGCTGTGTCTACTTTGGAAATGTCCAGGGCTTGGCTCCAGGCATTAAGCACAGCTGGTGTCCTGTTGGAGTCCCAGCTGCCTGCGTGTGCTGTGCTGCTAGTCATAGCCCCAGAACAGCCCAAGGTTTCTGAACACCAAATATTTCAGTGCCGGGAGGGAGGAAACACACCAAACATGACAGGAACTGTGCTGCCTTCACAATACTTTTACCAAGATTTTATAAAGATGCATATTAGCCCAGTGAGACATATATAAGCACAGTTATTACAGCCTTGTCTGTATAGGCAAAATTGCAAATAACCTTAATGATCAATAGGAGAATGGTAAGTAAACTGAGACACAGGTGTAAGATGGCATAGTACGCAACAATAAAGAAGAGTGAGGTAGATGAGTAGGTAATGCCATGGAAATCTATACACCATATATTAAGTTAAAGTAGAAAGGTGGGTACAGTGTAATGCCATTATCACAAAATAAAATTTACAAATCAAAGCCAGTGTTTTCTAAATGTAGATATATGTATGTAAATACATAGGAGTGGGTCTATAGAGAATGCACACCAAACCGGTAACTACAGAACTTCTCTAGATAAAAGTGGGACTGAGGAGAGGATGGTTCAGGGAACTTTAGTTGTGTTACTTGAATTTTTTTTTCCAATGAGAATGTATATCTATAGGCTCTGTCATGAATACTAAAAAAGCACTAATAAAATTTGACAAAGATTCTATGAGAATGCATAAAGTGTCTTTCCATCTTGTGTAATGATAGTCTGATTCACCTCCATGTGGGTCCAAAGCTTTGGGAGGTGATATTTTAGAAATTTAAATTTCAGAGTATTCAGGCAAGCCCTTATTGTTCAGAATATGTATGTATTTGGAGCATATAAAAGGCCATTTGTACTCAAAAGGTTTTAATACAAAATATGTATCTAAAATGTAGTTATTTTCACCTATCAGAAAGTAACGACTGAGAAGGTTGAAATGATTTAAGGAGAAAAGGACATGTGGGAATAAGCACTTCTATGCTGTTGGTGAGCGTGGAGGTTGGTACAAACTTTTTGAAAGGCATTTATCATCTATCAAAATTGTATGACCTAACAGTTCTACTACCAGGGATTTATCCTACACAAGTGCACAAAAACACACATTTAAAAACATTCATCAAAACATCGCTTATAAGAGCAAAAACCCAGAATTCTCCTAAATATTCATGAATTTGGCTCAGGTCTCAAAAAATTAGTAGGAGTAAAATGGGTAACTGGGGATGGATTTGAGGTAGTATCATTTAGGTTTAGTGACTTTCTGCAACTGGATAGGGAAGAGGCAATGATGACCTGCCTAACCTGGGCAAAGGGGTGGATGGTGAAGGCATTAACTGAGATAGACAGTATATGGCGTTTGTAGGGTGAGCTGGCTGGGGATATCTAGTCCTAGTGCTTGTGTATGGAGAATATAAATCAGCTGGAGGAGATCATGGGATGCGAATGGGGTTGGTTGTCAAGGAGAAGGGAATAAGGAGGAACAAGGATTTAAAAGGAGGCAAAATGGGCCAGGTGCAGTGGCTCATGCCTGTAATCCCAGCACTTTGGGAGGCCAAGGCAGGAGAATCACTTGAGGTCAGGAGTTCGACACCAGCCTGGCCAACATGGCGAAACCCCGTCTCTACTAAAAATACAAAAATTAGCCAGGCGTGGTGGCAGGTGCCTGTAATCCCAGGTACTCAGGAGACTGAGGCAGGAGAATTACTTGAACCTGGGAGATGGAAGTTGCAGTGAGCCGAGATTGCGCCACTGCACTCCAGCCTGGGCGACAGAATGAGACTCTGTCTCAAAAAAATAAAAATAAAAGTAAAAATAATTAAAGGAGATAAAATGGTGACTATAAAGAATTCTAAATTAAAAGGGTCAGCCAGACCTGCTTATTTTACAAACAAGGATCCCTGGCCGGGCGCGGTGGCTCACGCCTGTAATCCCAGAACTTTGGGAGGCTGAGGCGGGCAGATCACAAGGTTAGGAGATTGACACCATCCTGGCTAACATGGTGAATCCTCGCCTCTACTAAAAGAGACAAAAAATTAGCCAGGTGTGGTGGCGGGAGCCTGTAGTCCCAGCTACTCGGGAGGCTGAGGCAGGAGAATGGCGCGAACCCGGGAGGCGGAGCTTGCAGTGAGCCAAGAGCGCGCCACTGTACTCCAGCCTGGGCGACAGAGCGAGACTCCGTCTCAAAAAAAAAAAAAAAAAAAAAAAAAAATCCGGAGACTTCAGAAATTATATAATTGATGTAAGTAAAGCTACAGAGTTTTAGGTGGCTGAAGTAGGATTTTAACTCAGTCTCATCTTATTGCAAAGCAATATTCATTAAGCCAAAATGCACCTGCTATCATAATGTGTGATTAGCGAGAAGAGATCTTATGTGATGAGCCAACATAACAAAACTTTTATGAAAAGTTAGAAAGGGCAAATATCAACATCTGACAACAAGTCCCTGGAATACATATTCATCTGGAAATGGGAATAAAAGTAGAATACCTGTTTAAAACTGTAAATGTTAATGTATGGCCCAGGAGCCATATAAAAGTAATCTTATTTAATCCTCATCAAATTCTCTAAGGCGGGTAACTTCTAGCCCCATTCTACAGATGAAGAAACAGAAACCCAGAGACTGAGTGGTCTTCTATCCTAATGCTTTAGAATTGGTAAGTGACAGAGCTCACATAAAAACTCATACCTCAGGATTTTGCAGGATATTTTTCCATGTACCACATTGTCTCCCTCTGGGGATAATAGTACTTACCTACCTGCCTTAAAGGGTGCTTTGAATTTTACCTCGAGAATTCACAGGACCCAGACATCTGATGATTCTGGTGTGGACGGTCCAGAGATTACATTTTGAGAACCACTGTTTATGTGTTTTGAGAATAATAAACCATGGCAGCCCTATAAAATGTAATAATAATTATTTCTGTTTATTGTTATGATATTTTTCTTGGAAGGAATAAGTCAATTTTAATTTTTAAAAACCTGAATAAACATTTGAATGTATGTACGTGTGTGTGACTACATCCATGGTGTAAATGGATTTAGGTTTTCTATGCAGCCACATCAGGCTTGGCCAGCTGTCTGGATAGGTTCCACACCCATGCAGCTGGGTGGCTTTTTTAATAACCACATTGATCACATATTTGCTTCCTTCTCATTTCCTAGGTGTCAACAATAAACGGCTTGGTGTATGTGGCTGGATCCTGTTTTCCCTCTCTTTCCTGTTGGTGATCATTACCTTCCCCATCTCCATATGGATGTGCTTGAAGGTAACACCCTGGGAAATAAACTGGGCTATCTATATGAACTGACAAACCATTAGGACTAAACGTTCGCCCTTAATCTCCTAGATCATTAAGGAGTATGAACGTGCTGTTGTATTCCGTCTGGGACGCATCCAAGCTGACAAAGCCAAGGGGCCAGGTATGAATGACGCGGTGGCTGCCCCTGAAAGATCAGGGACACCTAATACTACTGCTACCACCTTCAATATTTTTCCTGGTGGTGCCTATTGAGAGTCAAAGAAAAATTGCTAGAAGCTGGGGCTCTTGCCTTTTGGTACAACAGAAGAATGCCACCTTTTAATGCAAGTCAGTGGGAATGACCACCAGTTTGAGAGTTTGGAAATCTGGCCCGGCCTCCTAAGTCTCCCTCTGAGAGATTCAGTGAATGTGAGCAAAGGGTGGCTCTGGTTACATTGGCTGAATGTCACTTATTACCAGGGCCACCAGGAGAATGTGGGAAGAATAAGAGGCAAAGTAAATGGCCAACGCACACTATTAAGTTACTCAAGGAGAGTATATTGAGAGCTGGTGTTTGATGCTCACTCTTTGAAAAGGGCTAATGGAAAAGCAAAAGGTAATTTCCTCTCATGGCAAGTAGACACATAGAAAGATAGAGCTGGAAGCCATTGTACGGCGCCTTTGGCCAAATCCCTTGGTTTTGAAAACAAAGAACATGAGGCCAACATAAGTTTGATGAGTTGTCTAAGATTATTCTTACAGTTAGAAATAAAGATGAGTTTTCAGGCCTTCTAACATCTAGTATAGTATAGTGTTTATTTCCATCCTTTCTTTACCACCTTGAAAAAGAAAATATTCCAAATAGTCATGTTTTAAAAGAAGGTGGTTTTATTTCTTTGTTTGTTTTTTGTTTTTGCCCGGGGTTGGGGTGGATACTAAAACTATAAGGTACTAAAACTCCCCGAAGTAAGATATTGATTTAATACTCATAACTTCTCTGAGCATATATCTAGTTGAACCATAGGAAATTGCTAAATTTGTTTTGACTCCCAAATATGGCAATTTCATGGGATTAATTCTAATACTCTGGAAATGAGGGGCTATCAAAAGCACTGTCTTAGAAGGCATATGAAAAGCAATTGTTACTAGCTATATTTCTCTGATAACATTTGCTTTCTGCCCCCATTATGGCTTATTTGAATAAATTGTTCTCTCTGCGACTGGAAGGTCTCGGGGTAGGAACTTTCCTGAGCACCACGATGCTCTATGTGCTTTGCCCTTGGCCATAAGCCATGGATCTGTTAATATATAAAAAAATTATGGGAAACTTCAAGAGGAGAAGCTTGTGAAGGAGGCTTCTTGGCTTTCCTTCTTTTTTTTGTTTTTCTTTTTTTTTTTCTGAGACAGAGTCTCGCTCTGTCGCCCAGGCTGGAGTGCAGTGGCGTGATCTCGGCTCACTGCAACCTCTGCCTTCCAGGTTCAAGTGATTTTCTCACCTTAGCCTCCCGAGTAGCTGGGATTACAGGCACCCACTATCATAAGCGGCTAATTTTTGTAGAGATGGGGTTTCACCATGTTGGCCTGACTGGTCTTGAACTCCTGACCTCAGGTGATCCGCCCGTCTCGACCTCTCAAAGTGCTGGGATTACAAGCATGAGCCACCACGCCCAGCAGCCATTTCAAGTATAATCTTACTTGTCTAATTTCATAAAGGACCTAAGAAAAAGAAGGTAAAAACTACTTATAGATGTTCTTGTGAGTTTGGCAAAGCAAGAGTCATTCAACTGAGGTATAACAGCCCAGGATTAACTTCCTCCTGGTTGTGTTCCACCTGGTGGGGCTAAGATTATAAGTTAAAATAAAATTGGATCCAAGAGAAGCAGAACAGACAGAACTTGGAGGCCTCTAGAGAAAAATATACCATTTTTAAATGAATTTTCCCCTAAGATTTCACTATTAAATGTCTCAGGATAACAACTCTCGTCATACGTGTCTCTGGGGTTAATGAGTTACCTCAGCATGTCATAAGGACAAGAGGGAAACAAGCCAAATTGCTAATGGAAAACCTCTCCACTTTCATAAATTGTAAATTATTCTTGAATAATAACTGACACTTCATGAGCATTTAATACATACCTGGCACTGTATTTAGTACTTTATTTCATCATGATGTTGAATCATGCTTAATCTTCACTACCAGCTTATATATATTAGGTAACCGAAGTGTTAGGTGAGTTTTCCCTGGTCACAAGGCTACTAGGTAGTAGGTTGGGACTTAACTCTGTCTAGTTCTCAGGTCCATGATCTTAACCACAGTGACCTGGCACCAAAAATGGAAGTAAGGTTTAGAGGCCAAAAGAAAGAAAGCACTTCACCAAACACTGTGTAAAGGGGTGGTGATACTGCCACCCCTTTACACGGTGTTTGGCCCCAGAACTGGTTTCTGCTGTGAAAACAAAAACAATAATGCAAAGCCTTTTTGATTAATGGAAATATATTAGTGTCCCCATCTTGCTGACATTCCTTGTGGTTCTAATCTTTGTAGCTCTCACAGTAAAGAACAACATTCACCAGGTTAATGTTAAGAGTTCCCAGGGTCCTTAAATGAACTTTCTTATGCCCATCCTTCCCTGACCCAGCTCCAACTTAATGCCTCACAAATCAGAAAGAAGTAGATGTGTTTACAGCAGGAGAATGCTATTGTACATGAATTAGATCATGGCTGTGGATAAACTATTAACTCTGGAATACATTGATTTAGAGGAATGTGAGACCCTGGGAAGATTTTAATTCAATAATCCTTCATTACTATTTAAATTGACTGAGAATGTTGGCAGTCACTGATATTCAAAGCCAAATCTATTACTTGAATCTGTTACATAAGTATCTTTATTATAAGAAAACTACTTTCCAAAATATTTTATTTTTTTGGTGCAGTATTTTAGAGCAAATACAGAATACCAGATCATGTCATTTTTCCTCTAAACACTTTAGTCTGTATATCTAGCTGATAAGAACTTTATTAACACCATGCTGCTTTGGTCTGAGTATTTGTGTCCCCCCAAAATTCATAGGTTGAACCCAATCAGCAGTGTAATGATATTAGGAGGTGAGGACCCTGGGAGGTAATTAGATCATAAGGGAATCACCCTCACGAGTGGAATTAGTGGCCTTGTAAAGGAAGTCTCAGGGAGCTGTCATGTCCCTCCCAGGACACCACATGACCATCTATAAATCTGGAAATGGGCCCTCACAAGACACTGCATCTATGAGCATCTTGATCTTGGACTTCCCAGGCTGCAGAACTATATGAAATAAACTTCTGTTGTTTATAAGCCACCCAGTTTATGGTATTTTGTTACAGCAGCCTGAACAGACTAAGACATATGCCATTATCACAACCAGTACAATGAACAAGAACACCTTAATTTTTTTTTTTTGACAGAGTTTTGCTTTTGTTGCCCAGGCTGGAGTGCAGTGGCACGATCTTGGCTCACTGCAACCTTTGCCTCCTGGGTTCAAGCAATTCTTCTGCTTCAGCCTCCCGAGTAGCTGGGATTACAGGCATGTGTGACCATGCCCAGATAATTTTTTTTTTTTTTTTTTTTTTTTTTTTTTTTTTTTAGTAGAGACGGGGCTTCACCATGTTGGCCAGGCTGGTCTTGAACTCCTGACCTCAGGTGATCTGCCTGCCTCGGCCTCCCAGAGTGCTGGGATTACAGGCGTGAGCCACCGCGCCCAGCCTTAACATCTTTTAATATGCATTCTGTGTTCAAATTTTCCACTTGTCCCAAAGATGCTTTTCACAATTGGTCAGAATATTATTTTTAGTTAATGTCCAATTAAACACTTGGATAGAAGTAGATTGTTTTAAAAATAAAAACCAAAAATTAAATGTCAGGGATCTTTAGCTTCTTACCAAAAGACTTCACTTCGCAGGCAATTACTTTTCTTTAGTCACTGACCTAGAGGATGAAATCATTTTCCTCAGAGTTTCATGTGTGCATATTGAGGATCATCTGAGAAACATGTATCGCCCCATGTAAATGATGCACTATGCTGCTATGAGACTACTTGTAGTTATTTTCAACAGAGCAACATTTTAAACTGATTTTTTCTCTCATAGGTTTGATCCTGGTCCTGCCATGCATAGATGTGTTTGTCAAAGTTGACCTCCGAACAGTTACTTGCAACATTCCTCCACAAGAGGTAGTACTGATTAAGGATATGTCACTCGAAATTAAACTTGTATTTTCTCTATTATAAGGACAATTACAATTTTATAGTTCACTTTTAAACTATAGGAGGGAAGATGAGCTGAGTACCCGCAGAGACCTGCTTGAATTGCCCTTCCTTGGTGGCTCCCAAAACTACAAAGAATGTGTTTTGCCAAATGAGAATGAAGCCAAGAGCAAGGGCTGAATTGCTAGAAGACTTAGAATGGCCTGGTGTGAGAAAGCCTGACAGCAGAGATCTAGTTAGCAGGGAAGCTGGGATGGAGAATGACAGAGCAGAGGCTTGGAAGAGACAGACAGTCACTGTATGAAGGAGCTGAATTGAATCTGACAGAGGGCAGATGGAAGGCAGTGGCTGGTTTTGATACCACCCTCTCTATCACCTTCTCAGAATTTTTTGTAATATCCACATGAGTCACATTTGCTTCTGACTTTAAATTATTTCTGTGTTTGGATGCAATAGAGGGGGCAGGCATAAGGACAGAGGAGAGGCTGTACAGGGCCCACTTGTGTTTGTATTTTGCGTAAGTCTTTTTTTTGTTTGTTTGTTTTTTTCTTTTGAGACAGAGTTTCACTCTTGTCGCCCAGGCTGGAGTGCAGTGGTGCAATCTCGGCTCATTGCAACCTCTACCTCCCGGGTTCAAGTGATTCTCCTGCCTCAGCCTCCCAAGTAGCTGGGATTACAGGTGCCTGTCACCACGCCCAGCTAATTTTTGTATTTTTAGTGGAGACAGGGTTTCACCATGTTGGCCAGACTGGTCTCTCGAACTCCTGACCTCAGGTAATCTGCCTGCTTCGGCCTCCCAAAGTGCAGGCATAAAAGGCCTGAGCCACTGCACCCAGCCCACATAAGTCTTTTAATTCTTGAAGTACTACAAGTAAATAACCAAAATAGTAACTCAGCAATAGGGAAGAGGAATAGAGTTACCAATTATCATATCACCCTCTCATAACCAAAGTGGTTCAGGTTAGAGGAAGAGAAATTCAGGACCTACGATATGGGAGGGCAATGGTGATAAGAAGACGAAAATCAACATTTATAAATATATGTTAATTTTCTTCTGTCTGGTTCAGGAAACTCAACCAGGACTCAAACATGATGTCTTCATGTCACTTAGGAACTGCAGAATACTTACTTTTGAATTCAGCCCCAGGTCAGACATGGTGGCTCACGCCTGTAATCATAGCACTTTGAGAGGCTGAGGCAGGAGGATTACTTAAGGTCAGGAGTTCAAGACCAGCCTGGCCAACATGGCGAAACCTCATCTCTACTAAAAATACAAAAATTAGCTGGGCATGGTGGCATGCACCTGTAATCCCAGCTACTCAGGAGACTGAGGCAGGAGAGTCACTTGCACCTGGGAGACGGAGGTTGCAGTGAGCAGAGATTGCGCCACTGCAGTCCAGCCTGGGTGACGGAGCCAAACTCCATCTCAAAAAAAAAAAAGAAAGAATTCAGCTGCAGTCAGGAGAGGTTGGGATGCTTAGTGACCTACAGTAGGGACTTTTCTAGCTCTGTAATGGACAGTTCTAGGTTCTGCTTCCATAGTATACCCAGAAATCTCTCATTTGCTCCAAAACATCCTGTCACATTATTCAGAATGATTGATGCTGAGCCTCTCCATAGAGCGAAATCGATTTTTCTTTACATGGTCTCTGGTGCCATCTATGTTTTCTAAGAATCACTGCTTCAAGTCTGATAAAAACTGAAAAGAAAAAAGAGTACAGGTATCAGGGAAACAAGTGTTCTACTTCTGCTTAGAAGACTGAAGATAATAGAATGACACAAGGGCTGTACTGTTAACATTTAAAATGGAAGGGCCTGTTCTTAGCATGTCAAGTCAAGGGTTTCTGCCTATAGGATGTAAAAGCTTCTTAAAGATGAAGTCACAGGGGTAGGTATGATGACATCTTTAGAGGAATTGCGTATCAGCTGGGAAGATATTCTATCCAAGCCAGGACAGGTTTTAGGTGACTGTAGCATGAGTTGTCGTTACTGCTCTCCTTCTGTGGAGGATGGCTCTTGGGCTGGCTGTCACTTTGTCAGTAGTGGTGAAAGTCATAAATAAGTGATTTTGCCCTGTTCTTACTCCACAGATCCTCACCAGAGACTCCGTAACTACTCAGGTAGATGGAGTTGTCTATTACAGAATCTATAGTGCTGTCTCAGCAGTGGCTAATGTCAACGATGTCCATCAAGCAACATTTCTGCTGGCTCAAACCACTCTGAGAAATGTCTTAGGGACACAGACCTTGTCCCAGATCTTAGCTGGACGAGAAGAGATCGCCCATAGCATCCAGGTAAAGACACCATGAACTAATAGCCTGTATCTTTAACTTGTTAATTTTAATTATCAGTGATTATTAAATGTCAGCAGTTCAAAGCATCCCCCACCACATGCATGCTTGCACACACTCACACACAGACAACTGCTCTAGAGGTGAGCTTCAGTTGTGATTTCACTTACCTGTTACTGCAAGAAATATATTTAAATATCTGAGTGCAAGAAAGCAGTTGCTGAAAATGTGCTCCTTATCCATTTTCTTTGGAATTCAAACTTATGAATTAACGTCTTACAAGTATAGTCTTTTTTGAAGAAGTTAGAGATCAGATTTATTTTTAGGTTAGATTATTCCAGAAGTGCAGCCATTTCTCAGGTAGCCTATATATTTAAATAAAGTGTGAAAGTTAAATTCAATTGAGACAGCATAGACCTATCATCTCTAGAAATTCTTACACCATGCCACCAATATCACTAATAACATTAATAGTAATGATAATTATGATATCAATAAAGAGGTAACAGCTATCGATCTCATCTCTCACACACACGAGTTTATGGACAAGAATACTTCTGTATTTTCTTAGATGAATTACATTTGGGTTCTGAGCTTCCTTTCTGTAAGTCAATTATATAAAGAAATTCAGCTTTGGTTCTTCTTGGCCTCTCCTCTAGTCCCTACAGTAGAGGAAAGGTCCCAAGCTTTTATAAGGCAGTAGGAGTTCTGCATGATAATTCTCCATATTGTTTATATGTGCCCCACGAATTTAACAACTCAAAGGTATCCCATCCACAGCCAGGTCACTGACTTCTTGTGAGGTCTCAGTATCTCAGGTGTCATATCCTGCAGGGATCACAGAAAGGCAAGGGAGGGATCACTGCCCCCACCTCTTTAGGGGAGCTATCCTTTTGATCCTACCATTTCTCAAGACACTCATCTTCTCCAGGATGACCAGCAAGATATCTTCAATGGTTTTAAGCTTTTACGAAAGACAAGAGTATCTTTGACTTTAGGCTGCTTCTGCCTTGAAAAATATGCCTTGCTTCTTTAAAGCTGGCCATAGAGCAGAAGTTAAACAGAGCGAGATAAATAATATCTCAAAAAGGACCCAATAATAATATGCATTGAGTCATTGCTGGGTACTGAGAGATATCTTATATGTATTGTCTCCATATCTAATAACAGTCCTGAAAGAAAACCTTTTATAGGTAAGAAAACTGAGAGCCAGATAAGTTAAGAAACTGTCCCTATGATTCACAACTGCAAATGGCAGAGCCAAAGCAAAATCCAGGTCTGTCTGAGAAACCCGTTCATTGCTGCCTGCTTGATACCAGGTACAAGCACATTTGGGATATTTTCTCAAATCTAGATGGATCTCATATACCTCCTTGGGATTGGTTTTGGGGTAGATCCTGCTGATAGACACCCACTAAAAGGTCTGCCAGATTTAATTCCTGAATTCTTAAAGAGATTCACTTTAAATTCCAAAAAATGATCAATAAGAATATTAACTCTTATTCTCTTCCTAAATTGTCTCACTCCAAATGCTGTAAATGCAAAAGAAAAAGAAAAAAAAGAAAAATGTATCTTGAAAGTATAAAACATATCAGAAACATACATCATATCACCTGTCTTTCTTATTAGTCTTCCCTTTTAATTTGGAAACAGACTTTACTTGATGATGCCACCGAACTGTGGGGGATCCGGGTGGCCCGAGTGGAAATCAAAGATGTTCGGATTCCCGTGCAGTTGCAGAGATCCATGGCAGCCGAGGCTGAGGCCACCCGGGAAGCGAGAGCCAAGGTAAGTGTTGTGCAGTTCACACATGGAGGGAGAACTGCCTAGTGTTGGGGCCAACAAGGATAGGACTTGAACAGAAGATTGGGTCTGTCAATTATTTGCATGAGAAAGGGGTTTCTTTTCACAGTTTTACTGAGAATTTTCCCTGAATTAAAAGGTAACCAGCAGCTTACTGTACCTTGAGGAAGTTTGGTAGCAGGTCTTGGGTTAAGAGGATGCTCAGTAACGTACTGAGCAACTTAGCCAAGTAGGTCCCAACTCTAGCCGCATATCAGTGTTCCCTGGGGAGAATTTAACAAAACAAAACAAAATACCAATTTCCAAGCCTTACTTCAAACCCAGGCTTGAAGCAGTCTTGAGTGGGCTAAGAAACCTCTATTTTCATAAAGCTGGTGACTTAGATGTAGCCAACATGGAACCTGTCTTTTGCGCATTGTTGTTCTTGTATATTAAACGTTGCTGGAATAAAAGGGGGCAATTAAATACAATCCAGGTAAGAATTACAAAATGTAAGTGCACCCTGGCTCTGAATGTCCTTGAAATCTGTTGAGATTCTGACTTTCATGCCTGTGTGGATAACTTTCCTGAAGTATCAGAAATCTACTGGGATCCCAAGCCTTTGTGTATCCTCTTTGGAAACTTACTTGTTAGCTGATGAAGGTGTTTCTTTGACTCAAATCTGGTTTATCTGCTAAGCTCCAGCAGCTTCCAGGAAGGGACTCGGCAATGATAGAAGAGAGATCACTTTTGCACACAGGCAGATGGCCACAGATGAGGCAGCTGAATCACTCCTGGACAGTCTGAGAGCTATAAAGAGTGATGTACTTAAGAGATTGCCAGTGTTACAAGGCTGGCACTTATTGCTGCTTGTAATCAAGAGCCAAGAGAACTAGAAACAATTCTCGGTTTGTAAGAATGACACCAAAGTGGCAACAGAATGAACTTAAAAACATCTAAGATAACTAAAAATGATAAAAACATCAGTTAGAGGCCTTAAATTTCAGACTTCTCTGGAAATGAATGCAGCAAGTAGTGAGGCTCCAAAGTGCTTCCAGGCATTATTAGGGTAGATGCCAAGTATTCATTTGTATTCAAGAGAGTACTTTTATTTTTGTTTGATGATAAAATCTAGGGACCTACGATTTGTACAATATCCCTCCTTGCTTCCTGCAACCTCCTTGAATTTCTCTAATTATGTTAGGAAGTGAAACTTATCCTCGCCAAAGAAGTAGATGAAACACATGTGGCAACATGGGGGCTGGGGAGAGGGGTATCAATACAGACCCAGAAAAAGAAAGAACTAGTTATAGTGTAAACTTTTATTTCTGAACGATTTTATTTCTGTCATTTCAGGTCCTTGCAGCTGAAGGAGAAATGAATGCTTCCAAATCCCTGAAGTCAGCCTCCATGGTGCTGGCTGAGTCTCCCATAGCTCTCCAGCTGCGCTACCTGCAGACCTTGAGCACGGTAGCCACCGAGAAGAATTCTACGATTGTGTTTCCTCTGCCCATGAATATACTAGAGGGCATTGGTGGCGTCAGCTATGATAACCACAAGAAGCTTCCAAATAAAGCCTGAGGTCCTCTTGCGGTAGTCAGCTATTGCATAGAGAGTGGTGTCTATTCCTATGGAGAAGCCAGTAGTTAGAAACGGTGAGAATTCCAACACTGTTCATGTAACAGTAACTCCATAGATGGAAGAGCATTGGCAGGAAAAAGCTCTAGAGGCTATACAGAGAAGAAAAAAAGAGCAAAAATGAGACCTGTATATTACTTTTATTTTTAGGACCATAATCAACTTTGTAATATTCTTATATAATTAATTAGTGGTGGTCTCCGACTTTATAGCAGGAACTTTCTGGTAGTATGAGAAGAAATCATTGGGTGACTATGACTAATGTTTCAGAATTACTTTTTAATTGTTTTAAAAAGCACTCCAGATAATTTATAGAGTAACATAGGCCTCATATTTACACTATATGTTCGCTTTATAATTCCGAAGTTGTTATTTGCTAAATCTCCAATGGTTGCAATCAAACCCCACAATGCTGAAAACAGAGATTGATTTTGATGTTAAGAACAAAAGAAGTATGGAAACTTCCAGGCTCAAACATGTCCCCCGTGCCACAAGGCAAACTGCGATGAGCTCACAGTCCAGGTCTCTTGCTGTGTGTCCTGCAGGGAGTGGCCAACTCTCCACCTTCCAGCACCATTATCAGAGGGTGGGAAAAGGCACATGAAAGTGGCCAGCTCCTGTCAATTTATTTGCTTACAAGGGAGAATGCTTGGAAAGGTTGCATTGGTTGAAACCACTGAGGAGCATCACCCTGGGGATTTCATGTTTTCACTCTGTTCTTAGTCCCAGGAGCCACAGGTAATCGAGAATGTTTGTGAACTCTATCCACATCCCCTCCCCCACCTGCCAAATAACCTGTTCAAAACAAAGAAGGCATAGAATATAAATGAATTTCAAAAGTTACTTTTTGGGAGGTTATTTCGTTGCCATGGTGCAATTTCTTTTTGGAATCAGTTTTGAGAAATGGGCTAGAATTTTTAAAAGTTATTATTTATGGATCGTCTTTGTGTTACACTGTGCTTAGCCCTTTAGGGATGCCACAAAATATCTTTATTTTACAGATAAGGAAGTGATATTATGAGGCTAAATAATGTGGCCAAGATTCCCCAGCTAGTGAGTGTTGGATTAAGATAGAAAACCATGTCTCAGTCCAAAGTCCTTGCTCCTAAACATCATCAAGTTTTATTTTGAGGAAGTGTGAGCCAAGGAGAGAGAGCACTCTAGTTCCTTTTTGCTGTCAACACCAAACTTTTAGGTTCTGGAAGTCCAGGCACCTACTGTAGTGTCCAGGACTACATGTGCATGCACACATATGTGTATGTGTGAGCACACCATTCCCACGTGCTTCATGCTCCTTTTCACACTCCACACATACCCTCCATATAACCTCCCCACCCTCACATCCTCCACCTCTGCTCCCATCCCCTCCCTGTCCTTATCACACACATCCTTTCGACACATAGGCATCAGCTACATAGTGCAAAATGGGGATCACGCTCTATCTTTGTTTCATAACCCTCCCCCAACCCCAAGAAACCGTATGATTTTTGGACAATCCACAGCTTCTGAATCTAGTGCTTGATCCTACTGACTTGATGACTCCAGCACTCATGTTTAACCCACTAAGGCTCATACATTTTCATTATTTACTAAGAACTTGCCTTTTAACAGGGATTGAGGACTTAGGGACATAGGCAGAAACCTAAGATAGGTCACCCACATCAGCCAGAATCTGAGTCCATGAAGTTATGCTATTTAGACACTTAACTGATAGCCCTTACATCTTCACAACAATGACACAGGTTCAACCCAGGCCAGGGCACCTCCGACACTGAGAGCCATGCGAGAAGGAGGCTCTGCTTATACAAGGACATCTTGGTGGCCCACTGCAAAAATCTCTTTTTAGCCTTGTTCCAGAAGTCTAGAGTTATTCCTTTTTTTTGGTTTCAGTGATTTGCATTAAAAATGCAAATCTTTCCTGGCAATGTACATCAAACTGTAAACTAGTGGTTCTTGCTGGAGGTAAACATTGTCTCACTCATTTAGAACCTCTTTTTTAAAATGTACAACCTGCTTGCATCCCTGTGGATTGGCAATGGGGGTATGAGAGCTGTATCAGAATATTTGAGGCTGTGGGAAATGCAGTTTGAAAACTTCCTGGGAAATTCAAATTATTCCACCTCCTCCAGTACAAAGCTTCATTAATTCTTTAGCATTATAATAAATCACTTACTGCCTTAGTTACTAAAGGCTGACTAAAGAAGGCTCCTATGAAGGTGAGTATATTTTGTGGCCAAGGGTCTGGAGAAGAATCAAGAAAGGGTCAGAGTTCTTCTGGAATGTGAATGCCAAGGCTGATATTCAAAACACAGTCATATGCACCTCTAGAATAAGACTAAAGGTTTTTTTTTTTTTTTTGCTTGTTTGTGTTTTTTTTTTTTTTTTGTCTGTTTGTTTTCTGGGGTGGTGGGGGAAGTTGGAAGGCAGGGTGAGGCCAGAAGGGGGAAAGAGAAGACAACCTCTCTTGTAGAGAGAAGTGTCCATTCTCCTTGTAATGCAGCTCCAGGGCTCACGGTCATCACCACCGATATTGAAGCCAGTGCAGATAATCCCAATCAGGTGGTTTTCCTGTTTTAACAACAGGAAAGGATTGGCATGACCATAGTGCTGAAGCAGGGTTCGAAGTCCCCAGTCATCACAGACATCGCCCCTTTGTTGCTGGGCCTGGAGGTAATACCAGTGATACTGGTGGTGCTATTTCAGTGAGTTCAGGCTGTAGTAACAAAATACCATAAATTGGGTAGCTTATAAACTGTCAATTGAAATTTATTTCTCATAGTTCTGGGGGCTGGGAAGTCCAAGAATAAAGGTGCAAGCCTATTTGGTGTCTGGTGAGAGACCAATTCATAGACTGGGCCCTCTCCCTGTGTCCTCAGTTGGTGGAAGGGGTGAGGGATCTCTCTGCCTCTATGTTATAAAGGCACTAATCTCAATCAGGACAGCTCTCACCTCATGACCTAATCACCTTCCAAAGGCCTCACTTCCTAATATCATCACATTGGGGGTTAGGATTTCAACGTATAAATTTTGGGGGTGACACAGACATTCAGACCATAGCAGATGCTTGCAGGTGGAATGCTAGTTGTGGTAAATGTTCATTCCAAGAGCTTCTGAGCTGCCAGAGGACAATGGAAAGGCACTGAGAGATTGAGGAATGGGGGAGATGCTGCAAAGGAGTCTGGACTGGGGGAAATGAAACCTGGAGAAGACTTTGAAGGTCATCTAATCCAGTGGTTTCTAGCCATTATTTTTAAAACCTCGAAATATTCTTTAAATAAAAATTTAAAGTGAAACCCAATAGTTATATGTCATATAATACACTTTTGGTCAATGAAAAACCACAGAAACAATAGTAGTCCCATAAGATTATAATACTGTAATTTTACTGTACCTTTTCTATGTTTAGATACACAAATACTATTGTGTTACAGTCACACATAGTAACATGCTGTACAGGTTTGTACCTAGGAGCAATAGGCTATGCCATATAGCTTGGGAGTGTAACAGGCAATACCATCTAGGTTTATGTAAGTACATTCTGTGATGTTTGCAGAACAGATTGCCTAATGATGTATTTTTCAGATTGTAACCTGATCATAAAGTGATACATGAATGTATATACAATTGACAAAAAGGGAGCTCCTCTGGCTGCAGTAGTGAAGGAGGGCATGGGGCTCCATCTGCTGATCTCTTTCTTCCCCTCACTCCCAATTCCCTTTCACAGTGGTCCCTTTTAAAAACCTCTTGGAATCATTGCATGTAACAGACTAGGAAACAGAGACCCAAAGAAGTGAAGTGGCCTGCCTAAGGTCACAGAATCAAGATATGACAGAGTTTTGATCAGTATGGCTCTCAAATCTAAAGCAATTGAGTGGCGGGGAAGACTAACGTTTCCTACTTCACATTGAATGTTGGGTCAATCCAATTTCTAGTGGTTGTTGGCATCATGCACACATTTCACTAAGTGTATTTGGCTGTGCCCTACTTGGAGCAGGGATTCCTTGGTAGGTGACCACTTTCCAGGTCCTAAATGGGATATGAGAGAGTGAGGGGCAAGATCCCCCTTTGGCTCTGCTCTTGCAGTTAGCTTCACTTACCTAATGTAGTCTTTGCTCTTTCTCTCCTTCCATCCCTCCCTTAATCCTTCTTTCACAGGATTCCCTGACACTAGAATAGACAAGCTTTCACTTCTTTCAAGCCTAGCCCTTAATGTTCTAAAGGGGAAAATAAAGCAATTTATATAGTCCTTTACAGTGATAATTGCCTGGCTTGGAAGGTTATTGTCTTGCTATAAAATCCTGTTTTTTCAATGTCAGATGCACTTTATATTCCTTCCAGTGCATCCTAATTATGTCTTACTCCCAATTCCATAAAAAGTAAATAACTCAAGCATCATGTACTCAGAAAGGCAGAAAAGAAATTTTAAATAACTTTAGAATATCTTCCATTCCTAAAAATACTTAACTATATTATTTTCATTCTTGGGACATAAGCAAAGTAGCCATTATCTTTTGAGCCATATTCATTTTTTTTCCTCAAATGAGGTACAGAAATGGCCTATCTGTTTTTGCTTCCTTTAGGTTGGGTGGATAAAGAGATGATATTGATTCTATTTACAAAATTGACCTCTCTCTCTGCAGGTTTCTCAGGACTCTGTTGCTTATTTGCATGGGATTTTTTTTTTCTCTTTAAGGACCATTATTTAATATCTAACATAGAATTCAGAGATGAAAGGGTGCAGAGAAACCAACTGGGTCTGAGAGTGGCAGCAACATGGCTCATATCTTGCCAATCCATCCCTTGTAGTCAACACGATTGAAAAAATAAAGGGGGTTTAGACTTTTTTTTTTTCAGAATACAATTTGCCACTTTTCCTTGTCAGAGCTGTGGCCTAGGAAACACACTTCTACATGTTAATGTACAGCTTCCTCATCTTGGGTCTGTGGATGGATATTATGACCTTCCACTCCCAGGCTGGACATGTTGGTGGAAGTGGGTAAAGTAGCAGCTGAAGCAGCGGATGTCCAAACAAACTAGTTAACTAGTTATTATTGGAACACCTGTGAGCTCTGCAAGTCTGCACACTGACCTCAGAGTTCCCAGGATGCCAGCATACACAGACAAGCTTAGTATTCCCTTGAGTTAACTGTTTTTTAAATGCTCTTCATTAGGAAATGATGCTGATCAGCTGGGGCAACCTTCTGGGAGGTGGTGGTGGTGGTGGTGATGGAGGACGTGGAGAGGGGAGGAATGGGTGGAACCTATCATGGAACTTCTCATTTCCTATATGCTGAGAGTAGGTTCTGAAGATAAAAACCTCTTTCAATCTGTGAGCAGTGTCTTAAGTTCATGAACTGGGAATCTATATTAGTTTGGGCTCCTTCCAGATCAGACCATGAGCCAAGGATTTTGTCTAAGTTTATGTGAAAGGTTATGCCAGGAAGTACTCCGAGGGAATGGGCAAGTGAGCTGGGAGGGAGGAAAGCCAAAGAATTTTGTTGTTGAATTTACTGCTGGAGCTGATGGGGCTCAATCCCACTGAGGACGCTCTGAGAAGTTGTGTGGAACACATCTCAGAATGATCTCATTAAGGGACAAGGAAGCTGTGCTATATAGCCACCAAATTCTATTCTTCATTGGTTGAGAACATCAGGAGAAATTGTGAATGAGTTTGAAATGGGCACCAAAAGATTAAATGGAGGTCTCACCTAGCTCATCTATCCAGGTGAGCTCCACCTTTCATCGTCATTGAATTATTTTACAATTCTTTAAGTTGTAGAAAATAGATAGCAATGTAAATGATTTTTGCCCATAGGAATGCAGTGAATACGACTGACTGTTATCCAGTGGATAGTGACCAGTTTTGTACCTGCTATGGTTTGTCTCTACCAAAACTCATTTTGAGGCTTGGTCCCCAATGTAATGGCATTGAGGGATTGTGGGGGAGGGGGGGACTTTAAGAGGCATTTAGGTCATGAGGGATCAACTGTCAAGAAGAGATTAATGCAGTGCTTCGGAGGTGAGTTCTCACTATCATGAGACAGAATTAGTTACTGCAAGAGTGGGGTTATTACAAAGAGAGATCACCCCTTGTGTTTTCTTTCTCTTTTGCAAGTACCTGCTCAACACTCTCACATGTGATCCCACCATGTTATGACACAGCATGTGGCCCTTGTCAGATGCAACTGCCCAATCTTGAATTTCACAGCTTCCAGAACTGTAAGAAATAAATTCCTTTTCTCTACAAATTAGCCAGTATGAAGTATTCTGTTACAGCAACAGAAAATAGACCAAGATAGCATTTATTTATAAATTCATGTCAGGACTCTCATTCTAGATATATGTGTGCCATTTTGAGTTCTCCTTTGAGCCAGTTGTAACATCTTAGTAGTCCCCTCATCAAGCAATGAGTTAAATAAATTTGTAAATACTCATTCATTTTATTTTTGTATGAAAGTCATCATTTTACCTTTTGGGAGAAAATAATCCTTTAACAAGGGTACACTTTTAGGGTTGGTTCTCTGTCAGGAAGTACAGCCAGAGAAGACCCCAGGCAGAGACTCAGGAATCTTTTAGTATTTATGAGCAACATCTGCAAGTGATCTTTTGAATATGCCAAGGGGATATGAGTGAAAACCAACAACGTCTGCTATGGAGTCTTAGCAAAACTTCTCAAGAGAGCACCTCCTCCACCTTCCCAGACCCAAATTCATACCTGCTGTGCACCTCCTCTCAAGTGTCACTTTTCAGTAAAGCTACCTTGGATTACGAAATAAAATATTATGATTTTTCAGATATCTTTCTTAGCCACATACATTTGCGTTGTCAAAAGTAGCAAACCTTTTATGATAGAAAGGCTCCAGAAGGTAAAGGCCGTATAAACCAGGTTGTTGTCTGCTCACTGCTGTGCTCCTAACACCTATAGTGGGTGCTTAATAAGTATTTTTCTGAACACTGTGGCATGAGGTGATCTTTATCAAGGTCAATTGGAAAATTAAATGGTACATTAGAAGCCTCATGCTAGGTGTGCCTTCTGGAGATATTAAGATTGACCGATGAATTTAGTAAGGATGCTGATAATGCTACTTTTCAGAAATCTTCTATATCACACATAATCTCATGACAGTAGGAATTGCAGGCCACTGAATATTCAGACAAAAACAATCTGATTGGTACCATGACAGGGATGTTTAAAAAGGGACTGGATGGTTAATATAAACAGTGAGTTTCATAGCCATCACTAGTGGAAGGGAAAGATGCTGGGAGACCACTTCTCTGGGTTTCCCATTGTTTCTACATGATCATGGAGAATCATGTGAGAGTAGAACAGTCCCGAATCAATTGCATAGTCTCCCTAGAAAACCCCAGCACATCCCTAATCTGTCCCAACCCTTGGGTTGCTGAAGCTAAAAACCACATTTCCTAGATGCCCTTTCAGCTGCCATTACAGACGTTTATAAAATTCATCCAATAAGATGCACAGATGTATGGCCTGAGTTTGGAACTGAATTAAGTGGGAGAGTCAGAAGCAGGTGACGCATCCATTTTGCTTGCGATGATCTAGCAGGCACAGTGTGGCTCTGCATCTGGTAATTTTGGTGGTCTTTTCTTGATTCCTGGATAGAAGCTCGGGTATTATATTGCTGCAGCCAAAAGATGCAGTAGCAGCAACTGTGTAGGTTAGTGGTAGGCGAGGGTAAGGTGCGGTAACAAATGAATTTCAGGGGCTTAACATACAAAAATTTTATTCCATTTTTACATAACAGTACTGTATGGAGGGGCTCAGAAGGGTAGCTCTCCTTGGTCTTTCAGGGACACACATCAGCACATAAAAGCATTTCCCACCTCTGTGCTCTTTCCCAGTTGGATTTCTGTGCCTGAGTTTAATTTGGAAGTCACGTGTTTGCCTTTCCTTCTATTTTCTTCTCTTGTCTTCTATTTTTACATGGACATGATTTCAATGATATCGTCTATGTATATGATTTATTATTCTTTATTTCTTTTAAACTCCAGACATACGTTTCCCAATTTTCATAACTGGAGTCTGTATCTTCCTTCAAAACAGCTTATTCTTTTATGTGACACTGCCCTGATTGGAGAATGGATGCATTTTACTAACTCGGGAACACAATATATCTTATTTATTTCTGTACTACTCAGGATAATTAATGCTAACTGGTGCAATTGTAAAACCCCATTATCTCAGTGACCTAAAACAAGAAAGACTTATTCCTCACCCTTGTGACGTTTGATTTGGGCCAGGTGGCCCTCCTCGGTTGCAGCAACTCTACCTGGAGCATATAACCCCCAAAGCTGTTGTGCTGGGAAGAGAGCTGTCGAGGAGCACATGACACATCCATTCACAGTCCATTCCCCAGAACTGCTGACATGGCTCTAATCTAACTGCAAGAAGGTCTGGGAAGTGGAGGGGGACCACATGAAATATTTGGTGAGCACTGACTTTCTACATCACACTTATTTCTTTAAATCAGATTAAATATACTCTGAGCCCCACCTATCTGGTCTGGTGGGAAACCTCATCTCAGCCATTATGGGAGGTCCTCTCCCTTTCTTCCATAGGTTCAGTCCGAGCTTCTGGGTCTCAAAAAGTGGGGTGACTTAGTCCCTGGTTGTCACAATGTTTACCACGCTCTTCTGGCAATTCCATGTCGTCGCTGAACATGAGTTGCCAGGATGTGACTGCTGGGCTGCGCTGGTGCTCGTGGGCCCTGACCCCTCTCAGAAGTCCTCCCATGGCTGCTGACTCAGCATCCTGTGGCTGTTCCCCCGAGACAAGGCTGTGCATGCAGGCAGGTCCCTAGTCTTTGCCCTGTGCATTCTACTTCTGCGGAAAGCTCAGAATTGCAGTCAGATGCCACATTTCTGCTTTCCTAATAGAGCACTCCTCTCCACCCCCTTTTGCTTTCATGGATCAGTTAGATTGATTCCTTTCAGTGAGCTTGTGGGGTTGAGAAAAGATGTGAAACCACAATCGCTACATTCCTAAACACTCATCTATCTACTTTTATTAATGGCTTTGTTTACCCAGCCTGTTAGGCTTAACATGGTATCATCTTTGATATTTTCCTTTTCCTAGCCTTCCATTCATAATGTCATATCAACTTGGTCTCCAAAATGTCTCATATTGCTTTTTGCTCATTCTTTGAAATTGTTTTCTCACCTCTATTACCTCATGTTCCAAATGCCCAGCTGTGTGGCAGACACACCTGAATGTGTTCAGAGTTCCATGCGTGGCCAACCAGGAGATTCATTCCTTACCTATGAGGAATATCTGAGCTCCTGTCTAATCCTATAGGAACACAGGCCATACAGGGGATGGAGGCCCTCTGTTTTGGGTTAGATGAAGGTTGCTAGGTGGAAGTTGTTAGGGGAAGAGAGCGAGTGAAGATGCTATATAAAATGCATGCTTTTTGCAAGCAGTTGCAGTTCTGCCTAGCCTGCCACTACTGGACCTCCCTGTTAGTAAGCTATCCGTATGCCATGTCTTGTTCTCTGGCTCTGGGTCCCTGGCCTCTTGAACCTGGTGCCTTCTCTATTGAGGTTAAGAGGGGTTCAGCACCACAGCATCTAACTGATTTTTCTGACCTCATGCTCTCCTTTTCCAAACTATTTTACACATTATTTCTGGTTATAAAGGTGCTATTTTCTTTTGACATTGCCAACCATACCTCAATAATTTGGAAAAATACTACTTCATTATATTTTGAACTTGTAAAAGTATGCAAATGTACCTAAATGTAGAACACCAAAATAAACTCACATGATCCCACTACCAAGCTCCAACAATTACCAAATTTTGCCTATTTTGTTCTATCTACGTTTCCCCCTTTTTTCTGGAGTATTTATAAAAGAGTTTCAGACACTATATTGTTTAACCCACTATCTAACTCTAACCAACAAGAACTAGGTGTTACATAATATTATACATATTATATGTATATAACTATATATTATATATAGTTATATACTATATATATAACTATATATTGTATATAGTTATATACTATATATATAACTATATATTGTATATAGTTATATACTATATATATAACTATATATTGTATATAGTTATATACTATATATATAACTATATATTGTATATAGTTATATACTATATATATAACTATATATTGTATATAGTTATATACTATATATATAACTATATATTGTATATAGTTACATATACTATATATATAACTATATATTGTATATAGTTACATATATAGTATATAACTATATATTGTATATAGTTATATACTATATATATAACTATATATTGTATATAGTTATATACTATATATATATAACTATATATTGTATATAGTTATATACTATATATATATAACTATATATATAACTATATATTATAGAGTTTAGGCAACATGGTTCTTCCAAATTCAGTGTTGAGCCAATGTGATAGGTTGCCAACACATGGAATCCAACGATGCTACTCAACATCCTGAAATGTGAGAAAGACGATGAGGTGCTAGGCAGGCAAACAACAGAAGGACCACCTCATAGTTTATTTTCTTCTTTTGCATAAGAGGCACAGGTTGTAGTAACAGGAAAAATATATATAATTTACAACTAATATGACAATGCAGTGTCTCATCTGGAGAATTTTCATGAAAATTTACTTCTTTGAATTCAGTCTAATCAAGGGCACAGGCTAGTTGCAAAATATCGCTCTGGATTTTATGAAGTCATTAAAATATCTTACATTTTTGTATAACAGAATTTCTTAATCTTCTCTAGGTCCTCCAAGACTGTCAAAATGGAATATATTTCCTTGATCAAACACCATTATAATGTCATTTACTCCCTCTTTTCTATATCTATTCAAAATCTAAGAAATAAAAGTTATATTTCTGAAATCAACTCACAAAATAGTTGAGCCAACCCTGTGGCTTTTTAAACATTGAGTTGTTAGCTGGGTGCGGTGGCTCACGCCTCTAATCCCAGCACTTTGGGAGGCCAAGGTGGGTGAATCACCTGAGATCAGGAGTTTGAGACCAGCCTGGCCAAAATGGCGAAACCCATCTCTACTGAAAATACAAAAATTACCCAGGCGTGGTGGCGGGCACCTGCACTCCCAGCTACTTGAGAGGCTGAGGCAGGAGAATAGCTTGAACCTGGGAGGCGGAGGTTGCAATGAGCTGAGATTGCACCATTGCACTCCAGCCTAGGCAACAAAGCAAGACTCTGTCTCAAAAAATAATAATAATAATAAAATAAATAAAAATTGAGTGTTTGAGGAAATCAAAATATCTCCAGACATAGTTGTTTATTCAGTAAAAAACAAAGACTGCCTAACTGATGCTGGGGGGACTGGAATCTTGGAGAACATGAGAGAAGACTCCAGGTGCTCCATTAGCGAGTGCTACAGAAGAGCATAAACCAACCCCAATACCCTTGCAAATGTGGGGTCTCCTTCAGTCTTCCCATCTGAACCTGTGGACTTGCTAAATCTTTATCTGAAAGACATGGCACTCAAGCCTTAGGCTGCTCTAGTCCAAGAAAAAGAATACCAGTATAATATATTTCCAGAAGTCCTTCTATCATTTTTTAAAACTGCCAGGATAGAAATTTCTCTGCCAACATAATTTTGCTTGCTTGCAACTTTGTAATATCTCTATTAGAGAAAGAAAACAATCTTCCTCAGTGGTCCAAATCAGAAAGGAAAAATGCTGATTGGATGATATCCCTGTCAATCATCTTAGGTATAAAAGGGAGGCAGGCATCCCAAGGGAGAGAAGCAGAGGACAAGTCATGTTGAGAGGGTCTGCCTCTGTGTGTATATCTATTTATCTGTCCCTCCATGTGGTTGTGGGGACAGGGTAGAAGATAGTGGGGTGGCCTCTATTCTGCTGGACCTGTAAATTAAAGAAAGCCAACTCACTAGCAGATTGTTGGGGAAAAAAATATTGATTGCAAGAAACGTGATTGGTATGTAATGTTGTTTTGGATATAAATTCAAACTGTTGAAAATCCCTCTGTCTCTTGGATGTCTGAACCTTTTATTGTTTGCCTTATGAAAAGAATTTATTAATTAGAGACTTTGGCAAGGAGAAGGTAATCTTTACTGTTCTTCAGTCAAAAATTCATTCCTCCAGATTTTCCCCCAAAACATTTGAAAGACCCACCCAGACACCTGTATCTCCTTTGTTCTCCTGAATCTTGTTTCTATGCTCACAACTCCTAGAGGATCTGTCGTGGCTAGACCAATGGCCCAGAGGACTGGACATTGCTGGAACAGATGACTCATCATTGTTATTCACACACTTTCCCCTTTATCCTTTTCTGAGGGACTTGAGTGCTACTTGAGAGAAGGGAAGAAAGAGTCTAAAATTTGACTGATTTGATTTTGGCTGTAAGACTCTTTGTTTTTACTTCTTTGGTTCTGGGTATAACAAAGTATCTTGGAGTTGGCCTAACAGGTCCTAGACGTTCTTCTAGAATCCACTTAGCTCTGTCCCCAAGACAGATTCAAAGAGATACACTATAGGAGTGGAGGATAGAGGTGTCCAGGGTGCAGGTAGCAGAGCTGTGAGTCTAGTGGCAGACAGAAAAAGATGCATTTTTCTGATTCTCTTCCACCCCTCCAGTCTTGGTTTGATCACATTATAATTCACTGTATGGCATCCTTCATAGTATAATAGTAACTTAATACAATAGGATAAGTATTTGTATAATTCTGACTTAAAGTCTTTCTCTTTCACACTGTAAGCTCATAAGGATAGTGAGTACCTGGCTTAATCACCAATGTATCCTATTACTTACCATACTACCTTGTACATAGTAAGTAGCTAGTAGAATACTCATTAAATAAATTACAAATGCAAAAATTTATAAGCCATTGCAAAGGAATAGTCAGACTAGCAGTTACAACTGTTACAAGTGGTTGCTGACCCTTGCCGCTCTCTCCTCATGCCAGCAGCCGACGGTGCTGTCTTGGTGGTTATGGTCATTCCTGTACTTCTTACAAGCTGTGGGCATCTTGTGGTTGTCTGGTTTGGGAGCTGCAGTATGCAACTAGGGCCCTCCACCACTGCTTTTCATCAGGCTGCCTTCAGTAAAGTCTATAGGTGTCATCTGAATTCATAAAAATTGATTTCACTTCGAATCATAGAGCAGTTCCAGCATGAACATACAATTTGCTACTGAGAGCCACAGATACTCAAGTTCTGATGTAACATGTCGACTTTACATGGATATTGTGTGTTTACCCTATATTATAAATTTGAAGCTGCTATGATGACTACTGATCCTTTTATCTTTTCGAATGTCATGTGTATATTTTCTTTAGCCATGCAGTTAGACATTTTTGTATTATTTGATTGTATTTTGCTACATATGACTCCCATTTATCCATGAGGGATGTATTCTAAGACAGCAGTGGATTCCTGAAATTGTGGCTAGTACCAAATCCTATATATACTATGTTTTTTCTTAAACATACATACCTATGATAAATTTTAATTTATAAATTAGGTAAATTGTTATAAATTAAAATTATGGTTAACAGATTAATTATAATAACTAAGAATAAAGTAGAACAATCATAACACTGTTCTAAAATAAAAGTTATGTGAATGTGGTCTTTCTCCCAAAACATATCATTATACTCTATTCACCCTCCTTTTTGGGATCTGTTGATCTGAAAGCTGAGATGGCTACTCAGTGACTCATGGGCAGGTAGAGTATACAGAATAAATATGTTGAACAAAGGAATGATTCATATCCCAGGTGGGACAGAGCAGGACAGTATATTTCATCATAATACCAGAAAGGCATGCAATTTAAAACACGTACCTTATTTATTTCTAAAATTTTCCATTTCATATTTTTGAACCTTGATTGACCATGTGTAACTGAAGTTGCAGAATGTAAAATCTCAAGTAAGGGGTAAATACTGTATTACAATCGGCTTAAACCAAACTTTGGCCATTTCTTGATGGGTTGGGCAGTTGGGAAAAGGGAGCAGATGTCCATGCAGGAATGTGTTCTCCCAGATCAGCACCATGGGTGAAACTGTGTGAGCTTGGTTCATATTTATGCAGGTTACAGACGTATTTGAAACTCAATCATACAAATAATGTCAAATCCAACTGTAGTGGTAATTAATACTTTGTCCTCTTTTTGTGAGTATTGATTTTATCTCTTATTGTATTGGCCTTATTGTAAATGTTTTTGTTATTGTAAGACAGATCACATCAGTTTTTGGAGGGTGAGAGGTGGGGACAGTGGAATACAAAAATATATAAGTACCATACAATAGTTAATAATAAGTCTTCAACAAAGTCATTCCCAATTCCAACCCGTCTAAATGTCGGAGCATTAATGTATGTGTGCAGAAATGGCATTGGAATAGATACTGATTGGCACAAAGTTTGCCAAGGTAAAGGCAGTGCACTTTTAAAAACAGTTACAGTAACACTTACTGCAGAGATGAACACCTTTTTACAGCAGATTAAGCACACTTAAGAAAGGATCCTAGCTAGAAAAACAATCTCTACACTAAAACAGGATTTGGTCAGCAGCTAACAGAGAGCCCAGCAGACAACGACCAGACGCAACTTCAGCTGCTCTCACTGAGCCATTGTTTTTCAGCGAGTGCGAGCTTTTCTCTACTTCGGTGAGATTCTCTGCCTTAGACGAGTGTTCAGGAGAGCACATATTTTTTTTTTCCTGACTTCCTTAAACCACGAAAAAAGAGGGCATACAATCTCTACAGACTGTAGGACAAATTAATTTCAAACAAATAGAAAAAAAAAGTAATAAAACTGAATGGCTCTGTTTTCTGGAGGTAACAGAGTTGAAAATAATGCAGTGATAATGAAACAAAAAAACTCCTGTTGAAAGCAGAAAGCTTAAATAACCATTCTTGGTTTGATATTGATTCACATTTCTTCTTTATCAGGTTCATTTATTTGCGTCATTTCTGCCATGACGAACTCAGTCTTTTCCTTTTTACCACATCAGTTCCTTCCTATCCACAGGCCCTTGAATCTTTGCCAAGGGGCCACTGCCCAGTGATAAAAGTCTTATTGCTCAACTCTCATCAACAAGTCATAAAAAAACCTCACTTCCATGATTAGCTCTGGAAAATCAGTTGAACCCTAGCCTTCAGCTTCACAGGGGGTATGTGTGTCTATTTTATTTCTATAAAGAGGTGGGGGAAATTTAATCCTTGAAAATAGTAATTGAGTAATTTCAACCTAAGATTGTGATCAAATCAGGCATTTAGGAATGGAGAATAGATACCTCTCCTTACTCTTTTCACCAATTGTTACCATGCAAAAGTATCTCATACTTTAGTTGTCTGAGTATTTAAATCTATTCATTAAGGTTACTTGTTTCTTTTAAATGAAATGAGCAGCTTTAATGACAGATGTAAATCAGGGTCTAGAAATCTTTTTTCTTTTTATCCTCCACCTAGGACCAAATCTATGACCTAAGTTGGAATCTTTCCAGATAAAAAGTTGATTCTAAATATAGCATTAACAGAAGGTCAGAGGCAGTTGGTAGTGTCAATATGATGTGGCAGTCGAAAAGGTGAAAGTAGTGTTGATTGTGATGGAAATGGTGAAGGGATGTGGTGGAAGGCAGTGTCAGTTTACGGGACGTGAGGAGGGAAGAAGCTTGGGTCTTCTGATGACAAATTCTATACTCTGCTGTTCTTAAAATGTCACTTTGAGTTATTAAATGTTTTAGTCCATTCAGGCTGCTATAGCAGAATATCACAGACTGGATAGATTATAAACAATAGAATTGTATTTCTCACAGTTCTAGAGGCTGGGAAGTCTGAGATCAAGGTGCTGGAAGATTCAGTGTCTGGTGAAGGCTCACTTTCTTGCCTATAGATAGCCATCTTTTTGTTGTTTCTTCACATGGTAGAAGGGTAAGAAAACTTTCTGGGGTCTCTTTTATAAGGACACTGATCCCATGTATAATGGCTACACCATCACGACCTAATCACCTCCAAAAAGCCTAACTCCTAATACCATCACCTTGGGGGTGAGGATTTCAGCATATGAATTTCAGAAAGACACAAATATTGAGTCTTTGACATTTAGCCCCTGGCCTCCAAGGATGTACTTTGAAACTACTTTTGCAAAAATTATAACAGTGAGAAAATTATGACAGTTACAGTGGTTTGACCTGACTCCATCTTGCTTCCAACCTCCATGCTATCCTTGTTCATTCTTGGGCATAGGCCAAACTAGCTTTGGGAGAAACTTAGTTTATAGTTTAACTTTGAAACAAAGATAATAACAGCTCTTCCTTGAGAGAAACCCCCTTCTTGCCTGCAGACCAGACTGCCTTTGTTGGGATAACAAATTTGCCAGAAGATTAGAAATTATGGTTTAGGAGTCATGCAACTAGAGGCCACAAGATGCTAAACCTCCCCAATTGCTCCTAGGGATACCATCATTATTAGTTTAAAACCTAAGATTAGTGCTCAAGATATTTTTCAGACCCTGCACTCAATGGATCAGCTGGCACCACCCAGATTGATAAACTGACTTATCTCGTCTTGTGGCCCCCCACCCAGGAACTGGCTCAGCAAAAGAGGACAGCTTTGACTCCCATGATTTCATCTCCAACCCTACCATTCAGAACTCCCCACTCCTGGGCCTTCTACCTACCAAATTATCCTTAAAAGACCTGAGTGCTCAAAATTTCAGGGGGATTGATTTGAGTAATGATAAAACTCCAGTCTTCCATTCAGCCATCTCTGTGAAAATTAAACTCTTTCTCTATTGCAATTTCTCTGTCTTGATAAATTGGCTCTATCCAGGCAGCAGGCAAAATGAACCTGTTGGGAGATTACAGTGTCTTTCTAAACATACAAAGTATATTGATTACATCTCAATTGCCTCAAAAGTCTCAACTCCTAGCATCAACTCTAAAATCTGAGATCCAAAGTCTCATATAAATATCTAAATCAGATATGGGTAAGACTCAAGATTCATCTTCAGATAAATTACTCTCCAGCTGCAAATCTGTGAAACAAAATAAATTATGTTTTTAAAGTAAAATGGTGAGACAGGCACAGGATAGACATTTCTCCCAACATGAAAAAATAGGAAAGAAGAAAGGGTTAATGAATCTTGATGAATCTCAATCAAGTTCGAACTACAAGGCAAACTCCATGAGATCATAAGGGTTGAGAATAATAATAATTTGGTTCAATGCTCTGATATCTAGGCTCACTGGGACAGACTCTCATCTTCTGGACCTACTCTGTGTCTTTCCAGAATTCATACGTTAAAATCTAACTTGAGAAGGAATGTACAAAGACTGACTTGGATTTTACAAGACAGGCTCACAGAGCCGTTTGGCTAGAAACACATGCTTTTCTTCAAGACAAGGGAAGAATTACCTTGAAGGCAATTCAGAGACCATCACGGCTGCCTCTTTGGTTTTAAAAGAGGGGCCATTGCCTTACTTTCAACAGGCCAGATGACTCCGCCCGCACATGGGTGCGTGCGCGTGTGCAGACACACAGACACACACACACACACACACACACACACACACACACACCTGTGAAGTTAAAGGCTAGGATTCAACTGATTTTTCCAGTGCTGCAGGTGAGGGAGGAGAGATCTACCCAGCAGGGCTCGTGCACCCAGGGAACTGCTGGACGGCGCTGCCTCCACAGCTCTGGACAGAGACATCTGACTTGTTGAAAGCAGGCGAGGGCGCCACTTCAGCAACCAGGCCCAGCCAGACTCGGCTTTGCCCACAAGCCCATCCCAACCTCACTCACCAGAACCGGACTGCACAAGTCTCTGATGCTTCTCCATGGAGATGGTCTTTGTTTCATTTATGGAAGAAGGTGACTCACCTGAGAGTGAGCAGACTCCGAATGCCTCTGGAAGGTGAAATGTTTCAGCCTGGGCCAGGCTGGAAGGCACGAGGGTGTGTGGTCAATCCCTCACCTCTGCAGGTTTCCTGGTGCTTGGAGTTAAGTGACAGGTGGAGCTGCTGCCTCTGTGGGCTTCGAACATGAGCTCCCTAAGGACAGGGGTCTTTTGGGTAGGTTGTGTCCAGCAACTCATGTTAGTCTGGTCTTATTAAGAAATCACTTCAGGGCACAAATACTTCCATGAACCTGCTGAGGGCTGCATTCAGCCATCTGCTCTGCTATCTGTGAGACAATGTATGCCTGTCCTTCTCTTTCTGGAGAGTGTGAAGTGGATGAATGGGCTAGAGGAGGAGGGAACAAAGTGGTGGACTGAGGACCTGGACAGTGGGCTTCATGGCAAAATACTTGGGAATGGTTTAGTTGTTGGGAAGACGACCTGCTCTTGTTAAAGCCAGCATGGTTCTGAGTTGACATCCTGCCTTCCTATGTTTAATCTTCACTGCCACCTGCCACCTTCCACAGCCCTGCCCAATGGTCCTCCCCACTCTGGGGCAAAATCAGCTTGCTCTCAGCACCTGCTGAGATCGGATTCTTCTGCCAAGGGCCCCAGGTTCTCAGCAGATATTTGCAGGGATTTGATTAGCTTTGATGGAAATTTAGGGAAGGGAAGGAACAGAAAGTCCTGAAGCCATGTTACCCCAATTCAGATCGTCCTTCTCAGTTGGAAGTAAAGAGAGAGTATAAAGAACGGGTTTCCATCTTCTGCACCTTAGGTTCTTTGCCCACCAGGGGTCTCAGGGTAGCTCTGCACAGCCAGGTAGGAGGAAGAATCTCCAACTGCTCTGCTGTCTGTCAGACAACATATGCTCATTGCACACTGGCAGACAGACAATACTATAGTGGGAATGGGGTGATGGGCCTCCCTGGAAACAGCCTCTCTCCCATCCCCCCTCACTCTTTCGTGCTTGGGGCCTTTGCTTCTCCTCCTTTGCTTGTGGAGCTGCTTAGTGTATAGCTGCGTAAATTCACATAGGGCTGAGTAAGATTGAGATCACTCAACCTGGCCAACTTTTCCCAGGATCTCTCAAAAACCCCCACCCAGGGATGAGAACTCAGAATGTAAACTGAGTCACTATGGGGGATGAAGATCTGGCATAAACTGTATTTTCCAGGCACATGTTTGGCTCAGGAAGGGAGGCAGCCTCAAATGAGCCTGCGATACTATGCAGCCAAGGCCTGCAGAAGACCTCCTGGCGTTATTAAACATGTTTATAAATTCAGTCAAACAGCGATTTAAAAAACCCTCTGTGAATTACAGCAGTTCATGAATCAACTTCATGAAGCTAACCTGGGCATAAAGGAGGAGGCTGTCTATTCTTAACAGAGTGGCAGCCTCCTGGAATAACATTTCAAGTAAATAGGCAGGAATAGAAACTCCCTTGATGTCATGACAAGACCATTTTGTGAGAAGTAATGTATTTGCATTGCAAGGATTCTAGGTGACACACTAAGCATGCCTTAGACAAGGGTATTGATCATGGGCCTCAGAGGATTGCAATCCAGGACAAGGGCAGCCCAGGAGAAGGGAATCCTCTGCAGGCATGCGCTGTGAGTGAGTCAGCAGACACCTAACTCTACATTGTGGGAGCTGCCCTGGAGACGAGGTCAGCATGCTGTAAGTGGGTGCAGGGAATTCTCTTCCAACATGATGGTGGTCTACGGTAGGAGGCAGCCAGGTGAGGACAGGGATGGAGAGCATCCCAGGAGGGAAGGCATATGTGAAAAGCAAAGTGCAGATGGGCAGAAACCAACAGAAACAGGGGTTTCTGTGGAGGGACTGGACAATGGAGAGAGTGGTGTGAGGAGAACCCAGGGAGACAGAAAGGGCTGTGGCTCTCAGGGGCTTCTAGAACAAGTGAGGAAGCTTGGATTAAATACAAAATGCCACAGGAGGCTACTGGTGGGTCGTAAGCAGAAATAATGTTATCTAACATATATTCTTAAAGATTGTGTGTGTGTGTGTGTGTGTGTGTGTGTCTGTAAGCATGTGTGAGTTATGTGGTGGTTGTGTGTGAGTGTATGAGTGAGTGTGAGTGTGTGCATGTGTGCATGTGGTCATAAGTATGAGAGTGTTATGAATGTGTGTGGTGGTATGTTTGTGAGTGAATGCATGTGGTGGTGTGTATATGTGTGTGTGTGTCCATGCATGTGGAAGGGACTGGAGGGAAGCAGGAAATGCGGGCAGGGTATGCAGCTGGCAGGGTAACTGATATTGGCTATGGTCACATAGAGGTGACTGTGGCTTAGAGTCAGACAGTGGCCATAAAGGTGAAGAAATGAGAGATTCAAGTTATATTTTGAAACTGAAATGGGCAGGGCACAGTGGCTCACACCTATAATCCCAGCACTTTGGGAGGCCGAGGCAGGTGGATCACCTGAGGTCAGGAGTTCAAGACTAGCCTGACCAACATGGTGAAATCCCTTCTTTACTAAAAATACAAAAATTAACCTGGTGTGGTGGCATGTACTTGCAATCACAGCTACTCAGGAGGCTAAGGCAGGAGAATCGCTTGAACCTGGGAGGCGGAAGTTGCAGTGATTCAGGATTGTGCCACTGCACTCCAGCCTGGCAGCTCGGGCAATGGAGCAAGACTCTGTCTCCAAAAAAATAAAAATGAAAAGAAAGAAAGTGAAATGAACAAGGCTTGGAGATGTGTTTAAACTGGGTGAAAAATACTAACAGAGGTATAAATGATAAGTCCTACATTTATGGACTCAAGCAAATGTTGGATAAAGGTAATGGTGCCATTTACTGAGACAACAAAGACATAAATGAGAACAGGCTGGTGAGAGAAGGAGGCATTCGGGACACCTTCACTGGGGATGCCTTGGAGTGTAGCTCTCAGGTGGGCCAATGCTGCACAGGAGAGGAGTCCGGGCTGGAGGTGTGGCTTTAGACATTGTTGGCATATGGATGGACTAGATGCCATTGGGGGGATGAGATCACCCAGGGAGAGGCATGTGCATGTGGATCCTGTGTGCTGTCCTCCTAGAATGTTCCAGAGGCCAGGCTTTTCCTTAGAGAACCTGCTACCCCTCTGACCCCCCAAACACGATTATGTATTGTTTAAACATTGCTTCCATTTTGGCTCTGGAGGACAGATGGTGGGGCACTGCCCTGCTTCACACCTCTGACCCCCCAAACACGATTATGTATTGTTTAAACATTGCTTCCATTTTGGCTCTGGAGGACAGATGGTGGGGCACTGCCCTGCTTCAAACCTCTGACCTGCAGCAGGTAATGTGGCAGATCAATGAAAGGAAGTCATTACCCCTCACCAGCTTTACAGAGTTATAACTGACATATACAATTGGATATATGTAATGAGCTTTGATATACACATACATTGTGAAATAATTACCACTATCAAGCTAACGAACATATTCGTCACCTCGCATCGTTACATAGTGTGTGTGTGTGTGTGTGTCTGTAGTGAGATACGTAAGACCCACTCTTAACAAATTTCAAGCATTCTGAAGGTTGATTTGGCAAAATAAAAATTAAAACAGCCTCTATATAAGAAAAAAGTTAACAAAATAAAAGACAACATGTGCAAAATATTTACCACATATACATATCAGATGAAAAAGTCTTGATTTTACAGAGAATTCTTTCAAATCAACAAGAAGAGGACACTAATTTAAAATTGGGCAAAGTACTTTTTTCCAGATCTACAAGTGATCTATGCATATAGGCAAAAACATTTAATGTTCCTGGTAAGACAAGGAATTTAAGAGAAACGAGGAATTGAAATACTGTTTTCTATCCACAGAGTTTGCGAGAATGAGGAGCAGCATACTTACACTGCTGCTGAAAGTTTAAGTTGTTGATGACTTTCAAATAGAAAATTTGGTGGTGAAGTACCACATTTAAAAAATGCATATGCCCTTTACCCTTCAATTCCATTATACTAAAATTTCTTTAGGAAATAATTAGAGATACATGCAATTTGTTTTCCTCAGTCTGCTTAAAACAGAAATGTAGTAGAGTAAGGTACTTCACTTACTCAGGTTACCTACTTTGCCTCTGTAAGTATTTGAGTTTGTAACTCCTGTTTTATAGTATATTATATAATATATAAAGAAAAAGAAAAAAAAGATTGATACTTTAAAAGAATTATTACAAGATACAGCTTTCCTTTATGCATTTATGGTAAATATTTGTGAAAATACTGAATTTGTTTAAGGTAAAACTGTTTTTTTCGAAAAATTTTTTTCCCACCTTAGATTTTTTTTTTCCCTAATTAGTGTAAATCAACACAAGAAAGCAAAATTTGCCTCCATAAAGTGAGTCAACACGTGAAATTTAGGGGACATGCAGAAATCTAGATTTCAGGCTTTCCTTAAAGAATCAAATCTGCTACCAGCTGAGCCCTTATCACCATTTAGCCTGCTGTGCAGAGGTTGCCCCTTCATACGGGCCATATGCTATCCAATTTCCTACTGTGACTCTCTAGTTACTTCACTTACTCAGGTTAACTACTTTGCCTCTGTAAGTATTTGAGTGTGCAACTCCTGTTTTATAGTATATTTTGATAATGATTTCAAGGATTTGAAGACAGTTTATACTTGATATAAATAGTAATTATTACATAATTACTAGAAATATAAAAACAATTATGAAAATAGTAATTGTATTTATCACTCACAGGGCTTACCAAATAGTCATACTCGGGTTTTTGATTTATTACAAAGGCTGCTCTTCAATTAATGTAGTGAGTACACAGGAGGACAGAAGATGTTAGTGGTTGTAGTGGCTGTTTAATAAACAGTTTATTGCACTGGCAAAGGGCTGGAGCAGTCCATATGGGCCTATGATGTTAGGTCCTTATGGAGTTCTATATAACCTAAACTCTAATCATGTTAATCCTCACAGGCTAATAAATACTGTGTTTTCTTCAGAAGAAAATTAATATTTCTCAATTTCTATTATTTTTATTTTTGTGAATTGGTATTTTCTGTGAAATTTTAGTCTCTTCAGAAGTAAAGGGAATCTTTTGATTTGTGCTTAGAGATTTTATTATTTATACATTTTATTATATGCATATGTTTTTATTATATATAGATTTATTACATATCAGCTCTTTATTACAATGAAAGGATACAAAGCAAAATTAGCAAAGGGAAAAGGTGTAGTGGTAAAATCTGGAGGAAATCAGGCACAGGTTTCCAAGGATCTTCTCCTGTGGGGTTACCAGAACGTACTTCATTCCTTCAGCCTCAAAATTTGACAACACATGTGCAGTGTTGTCTATCACTACCACAGTCTTGTTAGAGGCTCAGTGCTCAAGTTTTTAATGGAGGCTAGTCACATAGGCAATCTCTCTCTAATGTACTCAACTTCCAGACTCCCAGAAGGAAAGCAGCTGTTCGGAGACAACTGCATTGTTTATGCAAACAGTTTAGGACACAGTGAACCACTCATCTCAGTTAGGGAATATTGGGGACTCTCCCAATTCCAAGTTCCCAAATGCCAACCAGAGGCCAGCCAGGCAAGCAGGCCTTTCTAAAGATGGCAGTCTCATGCCTGCTATATGAAATCTCCTCTGCACAGCAGTTATAGTCCCTACTTAATTTTTGTTGTTGTCTTAACATTTTATTTTAAATGCAAACAATATAATGATATAACACGGTACTGGTTTCAGTTGTAGGATCCATCTAAACTTGCAAGACTGGTTACTTTTTTGGCTTTTGGTGAATAACAGTATTTGTATGTAAGTTACTATGGCAATATTAGGTAATTATAATTTGTCCTTCTTATCTGATTAACATTTCAGTAAAATTGTTAGATGAAGTAAGCATAATAATTTCTAATTTAAAATTACAATAAAAATTGTCTTATGTAGATGGTCCACTTTTCATTCATATTGTGTCAAATTTCTATTTATAACTGCAAAATAAGATGAAATATTTATCATTTTTATCAATTTTTCTCTTGGCTAAGTATGCAATTTAAATTATAGGCTTTACATATTTTTGTATACTTCGGATTTGGGAGATAATGCTCATATTCTCTTACTTTGACCTTTCATGATCTCTAATTTTCAAGATGTCTATATTAGTCTGTTTTTCATTACCATAAAAAATACCTGAGACTGGGTAATTCAAAAAGAGACTTATTTGGCTCACTATTCTCAAGGCTGTACAACCATGGCACCAGCACCTGCTCAGCTTCTGGTGAGGCCCTGGCAACTTGACACTATTTCCCCAGAATTTCTTCTTAAGCTTCTGTCTGAATTAGTGGTACGGTTCAGAGAAGAGAAGCTCTTAAGGAAGTGATCTTTCCAGCGGTTCTTTTCACGGGAGGTAATCCGGCAGGTGCATTTGAGCCTTGTTTACACCATACATGGGGCGGAGAAAATAGCCGGAATTAAATAAACTTAACAGCGTCTTCCCCAAAAGAGGATTCATGAGAGTAAGTACGTTGATCTCTCTTGAGCTCTTCTCCACTGGCAGCTGGAAAGTCTTTGCAAGGATCCTTCTCCCTGGACTTCCGTCTGTGTTTTTCCATGCTTCAAGATATGGTGCCCATAGACCTAGCTTCTTGTGATAGGGTGTTTTATCTTAAACTAAACAATTTCAGCTGTAGAGCTGAGGTAACTGTGTTGTGTCATAAAAAAATAAGTACAGTAATTTCCCCTTATCCATGGGGGATACTTTCCAAGACCACAGCGAATGCCTGAAACCGTGGCTAATGCTGAACCCTATATATACTGTTTTTTTCTAAACATATATATCTATGATAAAGTTTAATTTATACATTAGGCACAGAAAGAGTTTAATAACAGTAACTAATAATGAAATAGAAAAATTGCAACATATACTGTAATAAAATTTATATGAATATGGGCTCTCATAACATCTTATGCTGTAATCTCCCTTCCTGTGATGATGTGAGGTGATACAATGCCTATATGATGAAAGGCAGTGAGATGAATGAAGTAGGCATTGTAATGTAGTGTTAGGTTACTATTGACCTTCTGACATATAGTAACCTGCTTTGGGTGATTGTGGATCAGGGAGCCATGATGTTGATGGTTGGATGTCAGGAGCAGACTGGGAGTATAGCATATAAAGTGAGAATACACCGGACAAAGGGAAGATTCACATTCTGGGTGGCATGGAGCAGAATAGCTCAAGATTGCATCACGCTTCTCAGAATGGCATACTATGTAAAATGTATGAATTGTTTATTTCTGGAATTTTCCATTTAATATTTTTGGACTGTGGTTGACTGTAACTAACTAAAACCACAGAAATCAAAACTGCTGATGTAATACTGTGAAATATGTTTGTTTTTCAACCCTGTTTCCTGGCATACAACTCATAAAATCCTTAGAATCTCCAAAATGATGTCTTTTGTATGCTAATTATTGAATGATGGCTGGCAGCACCAGCGTGGGGGCTGGTCACCAGGAAGAAGACCAAGGCATGATTAGAGGGCTGGGACTTTCAGCCCCACCATCCAGCCTCCTGGGAGGGGAGAGGGGCTGAAGGTTAATCACTGATGGCCAGTGATTAAATCAGTCATGCCTATATAATGAAGTTTTCATAAAAACCCAAAGGACTGGGTTCAGAGAGCTTCCAGATAGCTGTACACATAGAGATTCCTGGAGGGTGGAGCACTCAGAGAGGGCATAGAAACTCGGTGGCTCTTCTCCCATACCTCACCCTACAATCTCTTCAGCTGTAGTCTTTGTTTTTGTTATTGTGTTTTGTTTTGTTTTTGAGAAGGAGTTTCACTCTTGTTGCCCAGGCTGGAGCGAAATGGTGTGATCTTGTCTCATTGCAACCTCCGCCTCCTGGGTTCAAGTGATTTTTTTGTATATTTTGGAGAGAAGGGGTTTTCACCATGTTATCCAGGCTGGTCTCAAACTCCTGACCTCAGGTGATCCACCTGCCTCGGCCTCCCAAAGTGCTGGGATTACAGGCGTGAGCCACCGTGCCCCGCCATCTGTAGTCTTTGTAATTTCCTTTATAATAAACTGGTAAACGTGTTTCCCTGAGTTCTTTGAGCAGCTCTAGGAAGTTAATCAAACCCAAAGATGGGGTCATGGGAACCCCAACTTGAAGCAAGTCAATCAGAAGTTTTGGAGGCCCCGACTTGCAACTGATGGTTGCAGAGGAAGTCGTATGAGACTGAGCCTTCAGCCTGTGGGATCTGATGCTATCTCTAGGTAGATAGTACTAGAATTGAATTGGAGGTCACTCAGCTGCTGTCAGCTGCAGAAGTGATTACTTGCTTGTTGGTGGGGAAATACCCCACACCTTTGGTCACAGAAGTGTTTTGTGTTGATGATTGTTGTTGCGCTGTGAGGGCATAGGAAAAACGTGTTGAGTGTGTTTTTTCTATACATATAGTGGATAAGGGGGGATTACTGTATACTCTATCCTAACTGCTCCTAGTTTATTTGTTCAGAAATCATGATCCTTAAGTTTGACATTCTTTGCTTATGATACTGATCCTGCTAATGATAACATTGTCAGTCTGATATGATTTTGTTAGGATTATGACTACTGTACACCACAGTTAACTTGTAGGTATCACATTTTGATAAATGGTATTTATTAAATAAATACATTTGATAAAGACAAAGAAGAGAAAGTAAGACTTCTTATTGCATTAATTGCCTACCAATAGTATAGTTAATAGTAATCCTAGTATAATCTGCAGGTATATCCCAAGGGAATGCTTTGTAAAAAATTGTCAGAGTCCAGAGTTATTAACTCACATCTTATCTTTCTTATGAGCAGCAGGGCTAGATAGAAGTTAATCATTTTTATTAATCTCCTCAAAGTGTTTGGTGTTGTTGGTTTTTCCCATTTTTTGTTTTAATTGGTTTCATCTTTGATGTCTGATATGGTTTGGATGTGTGTCCCCACTCAAATCTCATGTCGATCTATAATCCCCAGTGTTAGAGGTGGGGCCTGGAGAGGGTGATTGGATCTTGGGGATAGATTTTCCCCCTAGTTCTGTGTCTCAGTAGCAAGTGAGTTTTCATGAGATCTGGTTGTTTAAAAGTGTGTGGCACCTCCCCCACCCCCTTCCTCCTGCTCCAGCCACGTGAAGTGCTGGTGACCCCTTTACCTTCCACCATGATTATAAGCTTCTGAGGCCTCCCAGAAGCTGAGTAGATGCCAGCATTATGCTTCCTGTACAGCTTGCGGAACCATGAGCCAATTAAACTTCTTTTCTTTATAAATTACTCAGTCTCAGGTATTTCCTTATATCAATGCAAGAACAAACTAATACAATGTCAGAGTCCTTTTGTCCTGCTGTAACAGAATGCTATAGACTGGGTAGCTTATAAACAACAGAAATTGATTTCTTACAGTTCTGGAAGCTGTGAAGTCCAAGATCAAGGTGCTGTCAAATTTGGTGTCTGGTGAGGGACCACTTTCTGCTTTATAGATGTGTTCTTTTTCCCTATGTTCTCACATGGCAGAAGAGACGAAGAAGCTCTCTAGGAACTCTGTATAAGGGCTCCAATTCCATTCATGAATGAGGGCTTGGTCCCCATGACCTAGTCACCTCCAAAAAGCCTCATCTAGCAATAACATCACCTCTGTGATTAGGTTTTAACATATAAATTTTGGCGGGGCACAAACTTTCAGACCATGGCAGATGTTTACTATTTTCTTTCGTCTGCTTCCTTTGCGTTTAATTTCCTCTTCTTTTTTTCTAGTTTCTTAAGGTAGCAGTCCAAGTAATTGATTTGGTACTCTTCTAATGCAGGATATTCAGTGCTAAACATTTTTATTTAAGGGCTGTGTAGCTGCATTCCATAACTTCTGATATATTGTGTTTTCAGCATATCGAATGTTCAAAATACTTTCTAATTTCACTTTTTATTATCTCTTTGACTCAGAGTTATTTGGATGTGCATTACTTAGTTTCCAAATAATTGAGTTTTTCCAGGGATATTTTTATTATTGGTCTCTAATTTGATTGCTTTTCAGTCAGGAACATACTTTGTATGGCTTAAATCCTTTTGACTTCATTCTTTTATTAACATTTATTGTATGATCTAGAATGTGGTCTATTTTGGTAACTGTTCCATGGGTACTTGAGAATAGCGCTATTCAAGTCTACTCTGTCTTACTGATTTTCTGCCTTCTTGTTCTATCAGTTCAGTAAGGGGTGTTGAAATCCCAGACTATACCTGTGAATTTGTCTATTTCTTTTTGCAGTTCTATTCATTCTTGCCTCCCATATTTTGAAGCCGTCATGTTATTGTATGAATAAACATTTAGAACTGTTATGTTTTTGTTATTATGAAATGACCTTGTTAGTGCTGATAATATTTTTGCTGTGAAATCTCCTTTGGTATCAATACAGCCACTTCCCCTACGTCTTGTTTTGGTAAGTGTTAGCATGGTATATCTTGTTCTATTCTTTGAGCCAATTTGTATCTTTACATTTAAAGTGCATTCTTTATAGGCAGCATATTGTTGGGTCTTGCTTTTTTATCCAGCCTGAGATTCTGCCTTTAATTGAGGTTTTTAGAACAGTTTCATTTATAGTGTGATTATCGAGTTAGATTTGTCTGTCATCGTGCTGTTTGATTTCTATTAGTCCCAGCTCATCTTTGTTTCCTTTTTCTGCTTTCTCTGCTTTTTTTTTAGATTAGCCAAGTAATTTTTATGATTTAGTTTTATATCTCTTTTTTGACTTGTGAGCTATAGCTCTTTTTTTTTTTTAAATTTAGGTACTGTTGTAGCTGCATTCCATAACTTCTGATATGTTGTGTTTTCAGCTGTTCGAAATCCATTTTTTTTTTTTTGAGATTTTGAGACAGAGTTTTGCTCTATTGCCCAGGCTGGAGTGCAGTTGTGGGATCTCGGCTCACTGCAACCTCCACCTCTGGGGTTCAAGTGATTCTCCTGCCTCAGCCTCCCGAGTAGCTGGGATTAAAGGCATGCACCATTATGTCCAGATAATTTTTTGTATTTTTAGTAGAGACGGGGGTTTCACCATGCTGGCCAGGCTGGTCTCGATCTCCTGACCTCGTGATCTCTCCGCCTTGGCCTCCCAAAGTGCTGGGATTACAGGTGTGAGCTACCACGCCCGGTCATTCGAAATACTTTCCAATTATACTTTTTATTAACTCTTTGACCCTGGGTTATCTGGATGTGTGTTACTTGGTTTGGCTGTCTTAGTGGTTGCTTCAGGATTTATAGTATACGATTTTAACTTATCATAGTTCACCTTCGAGTAATATTATACCACATCCTATACAGTATAAGAAAATTACAATAGAATACTTTTATTTCTTCTCTCCCAGCCAGCTTCTTTCTGGATCTGTAAAGTTTATAAAGTTTTCAGCTGTTTTTTCCTCAAATGTTTTTTCTGCCTCTCTTGCTTTCTGGGGGCTTCTATATTAGCCGCTCGAAGTTTTCTCACAATTCACTAATGTCTCAACTTTATGAATCTTTTCTTTTGTGATGTCTAATCTGTGCTTATATTTATCTAGTGTAATTTTCATCTCTGACATTGGAGTTTGCATCTCTACAAGTGCAGTGTGATTTTTAAAAGTATCTTTATGGCTCAACTTACCTTGTTGAGATTTATTTAGGGATACGGCTGAGTTATTTACAAACAGCTTGATCCTGTCCATTCTTGCTTTTATGATTTGGGCTAATTCCTCATTCCTGAGGCAAGATCTTTCTGATTATTTATTGTCCTGTGAATTAGGAGTCTTTTCCAGCCTGCTCTTGGGAATGGACACCCTTCCTCACACTATGTGATCACCAGGCACAGTTTCCTTTAGTGTTTTTAGATTTTTTTCCCTTGTTGTTGGAGAGTTTCCTAGTACACATGCCATGTTCAATATTCTGCCAAATACCCAGGAGGGTATCTCTGCATCTCCAGGGTTCTTTCTCTGTACCTCTGTTTTCTCTCCAGTGTTCTGACCTGTGGTTTCTGTCTGCTTTGGTTTGACCAGGCTCTCAGCTTCATCACTCCAACTCAGGGAGACTGCACCTCAGTTTGTTAATTTCTGTGCCATGACCTGGAAACGCTTTCAAGGCAGAGAGCTGGAGCATTCAGAAGGCTTACTTTATATTTTTCTCCTGTCTTCTAGGAATTATTGTCTTCTTTGCCTGAAGTCCACTGTCTTGAAAATTATTTTAAAATATTTTTTGTCTGTTTGTTTTTGGTTATTTTAGCTAAGAAGGAAAATCAGTACCTGTTGCTCCATCTTGGCTAGAAGCAAATTGTAATAGATCTTCAGCACATGCCATAGACTGGATAGAATGCTTTTTCCCCCCTTTGCTTAACTGCTTTCATCTTATTCTTCATTTCTCAGTGTAGCCGTCTCTTCCTCAGGGAAATCTTCCCTGGGCCCGGTATTGATTAAATTCTCTTATGTCAGCATAGAACTCTGTTATCTTTTTCTGTCTTTGTTCTTCACTACACTATAAGCTAACCAAGAGCAGAAGTTTTGTCTGTTTTATCTGCAGAGCTTAGTATAGTGTCTCTTACATTTAGGCACTCATATATTTGTTCAGTGTATGAATGAGTGAATGTTAAAATATGCAGTCCTTCATAGTTAAAAAGCACTTATAAATTTTATTTCTGCCTTGTTTTCTCCCTGATACAGGCTCTGTTAGCCTGGATGCAGTTTGCCTATGTGAAAGATCAGTAGAACTTAAAAATGATCACAGTGAATAACTTACAGTAGAAATTGAAAAAATGATAAATGAGTTTAGTGTACTACCAAAGGAACTATCTGAAACAAAAGAAATTAGGTCAGGCGTGGTGGCTTACGCCTGTAATCCCAGCACTTTGGGAGGCTGAGGTGGGCAGATCACGAGGTCAGGAGTTTGGACCAGCCTGGCCAACATGGTGAAACCCTGTCTCTACTAAAAATACAAAAAAAAATTAGCTGGGTGTGGTGGCACATGTCTGTAGTCCCAGCTACTCAGGAGGCTGAGGCAGGAGAATTGCTTGAACCTGGGAGGTGGAGGTTGCAGTGAGTCGAGATCGCACCATGGCACTCCAGCCTGGACGACAGAGCGAGACTCCATCTCAAAAAACAAAAACAAAAACAACAACAACAAAAAGAAATTACATCACAGCTAGAGAGCCAACAAGTTGAATGGGAACAAAAACTCAGCAATTTGAGGTATGACATTCTAGTTTAAAAGAAATTTTTGGACTACTTACTTTATAATAACATACATAGGAAAATTTTTGTCATTATTGACTTACCTTTTGGGTTGTAACAGTGGAGAACATCTTTTGGTCTTGTGGAGTGTGAAACTCTTCAAAATAATATAACAAGCTCTTTTTAAAAATTATTATTCTTATTTCTATTTTGTAGAGATGGAGTGTTGCTATCTTTCCTAGGCTGGTCTTGAACTCCTGGGCTCAAATGATCCTCCTGCCTCAGCCTCCCAAAGTTTTGGGATTATAGGTGTGAGCACTACACCCAGGCCAAAATAATATAACAAGTCCTTAACTGTGAATACTTCTACTATCATAATTAATTATAATTAATAATATAGTATTATAATAATTAAATTAATACAATGAATTCTATTATAATAATAATTAAATTCATATATTTTAAATCATAATATTAATGGCTTTATAGGAGTCCATCATATGGAAATCTCATTATTTATATAATAAATTAGATGTTTAATTTTTAAATATTTTTGCATTATAATAAGTACGGTGAGGAACATTTGTTATAAAAATCTTTTTCTACATTTCTAATTATTTACTTTAAATAAATTCTTCAACATAGAATTATTTGGTTAAAGTATAGAAACTTTTAAAAATGGTCTTTGGTCAATATTTCTAAATTGTTCTCAAAAAGATTTATATTAATTTGTAACTCAACCAGCAGAGCAGTCAAAAAAGAAACAAAATGTGTGGGGTAACACGTATTAGATTCTTTGGCCTAGTCTTTGGTTATAATAATTTATAGATATACGTTGTGTGAAAGACATCTGAAGGTGCTATTTATATTACACTGCAAATCATTTTTAGGGGTACCTGCAATATTTCATAAAGATGAGAATTTATAAAATTGCTTTTAAACAGTAACTTCTTTTTAGTTAGTTAACTTTAAATGATCTGTCCTAATTACAGAGGTGTGGTAAAAAGGAAATTTTTGACATGTAAATTTATTGAATAATTTCCAACATCCTTTTCAATAATATTAACTGAAGTTACTAGTAATGGAAACTCGCCAATGGGCAGAGTATTCTTTCCTCGCCACCTTTCAAGACAGACATCCTTCGGAAGAGACTGAAGTAAACAATTAGATATCTGAGAACTAGAAAGGGAAAATATTTAAGAACATAGAAATTTTATTAGGATAATAAATTAACTGATGAAGTGGCAGATCACAAAATGAACGTTTTATTTTCTAACAAAATGAATTTTAAGATAAGCATATTTAACTGCAGATTTACTTTAAAACAAGAAGAAGAGAAGAAATGCTGATATGTTATATGAAAAAACTAGGGAAGATTTAGGCAGAAAAGAAGAGGAATATAAGAAAGAAATCGAAGTGAAACAACAACTTGAACTCAGTCTCAAATGATACTAGACATGGAATGGAAGACTGCAAGAAATAATTCACATCAGTAACATTAATATTTGTTAAAAATTTCCTATTTCTAACTTTGTTTCATCAATATCACTTATAGTATGTTTTTGATTTAATACATATTGTTTAGGTCTAAAACAAACCAAAAATGTTATCTTATCTTAAAAATGAACTATGATATTTACAGCTATAGTTATTTGTTATAAATCTTGGCATCCAAGTAGTGTCTTATTTCAGTACAAAGAGCTTTTGAAAATAATGATGTCATAATATACACTTGCTGATAATTTACTGATAAGTATGTCATTCCTAGTGAAATAGTTTAGTGTATTTTATTCTATTACTGTTTCAAACATGAAGAGAAAACAAAAGTTATTGCAATAGAAAATAACTGCATGATTTTCTAAAAAAAGCTCTATAAATGTCATCTTATTTACTACTGGTGCTTTGAAATAAAAGGCTACTTGTGTTATTTGTATACTTATCCCACAGAAGTAACTTGGATTTGGTGGAAGAACACTAGAAGTAGAATCAGAAGACTTGGGGAAAATCCTGTAGCTCACTTACATTTTTAACCTCCTCTTTTCAGAATTGTGATAACTAATGTGATGTGTATATGTAGAAGTACTTGCTAAAATGCCTAGCTTTATCATTCGTTAATGAATGCAATTCTTATAACTGACTATAAAAACATTAGAAAAGTAGAATGTCTATAGAACCTTCTCAGGACAAAGAAACTTAAATAACTTTGGGAAATTTAATCTGTCCAAATATATGCAGTGCGAAAGTTCTTATTATGGGGTCATGTATAAGTTAGCCATCAGGGTGTAAACCCTATTTATTTATTTATTTATTTATTTACTTTGAGACAGAGTCTCTCTCTGTCACCCAGACTGGAGTGCAGTGGTGTGATCTCAGCTCACTACAACCTCCACCTCCTGGGTGCAAGCGATTCTCTTTACTCAGCCTCCCGAGTAGCTGGGATTACAAGCATCCGCCACCATGCCCAGCTAAGTTTTGTATTTTTAATAGAGATGGGGTTGCGCCACGTTAGCCAAGCTAGTCTTGAACTCCTGACCTCAGGTGATCCGCCCGCCTTGGCTTCCTAAAGTGCTGAGATTATAAGCATGAGCCACCGTGCCTGGCCAGGGTAAACAATTATTATTATTTTTTTTTGTTTTTGAGACGGAGTCTCACTCTGTCACCCAGGCTGGAGTGCAGTGGTGTGATAGCTCACTGCAACCTCTGCTGCCTGGGTTCAAGCGATTCTCCTGCCTCAGCCTCCTAAGTAGCTGGGATTACAGGCAACTGCCACTGTGCCCGGCTAATTTTTGTAGTTTTTTTAGTAGAGACGGGTTTCACCATGTTGGTCAGGCTGGTGTCGAACTCCTGACTTCGTGATTCACCTGCCTCGGCCTCCCAAAGTTCTGGGGTTACAAGTGTGAGCCACCGCGCTCGGCCCCAGTTTTTTAACATAGTCCAAGTTTTTAATTTTTTATTTTATGCCTTTGGATTTGTTGTAATTCAGGGAGGGGCTTATCCAATTTTGAGATTCTTAAATCTTCCCTAGTGGTTTCTTTTTTACTTTCACAGATTCATTGTTTTCAAATAAATTTTTGAACTTTTGGTAGTCTATGGTCTATTAGGTTTGAGGTTTTGACCTGACTTTTTCTCCAGTTGGATATCCACATACGGCAACCCTTTCATTGTATAAATGTACAGGTTATTCTTTAATTTTAGAGGAAATTGTGATATGTAATTTTATTGAGTGGTAGCTAAAAGTTTCCTTTGCTTTACTTAGATTTCTCATAGACACGAAGATATGTTGCATGAAAATTGCATGTTGAAGGGAGAAATTGTCACTCTAAGACTGGAAACGGACACAATAAAAACCCAGGAAACAGTAACAAAAACAGTATCTGACTGTAATGGAGAGCTGAATGTTTTGACAGGTGAGAGCAGGTGAGAGATTATTGCTCAGTTCTGAACTGAAGAAAGAAAAAGAAAACACGGAAAGACTGGAAACAGAAGTTGAATCCTATGGTTATACACTGGCTGCTGCTATATGTGATCTTGATCAAGGCAAGATATCAAGGAAACACCTAGAATTTGCTCTCCAGAGTGCAAGAGATGCTTGTTTACAAGAAAAAATAAATTTTGACATGTCTAACCTAAAAAGTAACAATGAAATTCTTTCTCAACAACTTTCTGAAGCTCAAAGTAAATTCAGTAACCTAACAATTTAGTTCCATAACACAAGAGATGCTCTCAGAGATATAACTTTGGTTTCAGAACGTCTACAAAGAGATCTACGCCAAACACGATGTCAGATGAAGGACACTGAACAAATGTATGAAAATGAGCAAGATAAAGTGAGTAAATGCACTGCAAAGCAGGAAGCCATGGAAGAGAGATTATCCCAGCTACAAAATGAAAATATGCTGCTTCAACAGCAACTAGATGAGGATCACAAGATGCAGATACGGAAGAAAAGATAATTAATACTCAAGACCAATTTCTTGGGAATGAAAAGCAACGTTGTTCACTAGAAGATAAATATAAGGAGTTATTAAATGAGTGTGATCATTTAAAAGAAATACTATATCAATATGAAGAAGAGAAAGCAGAAAGAGAACTAAGTATTCAGAAAGATAAATATTTTTCAAACCTCCTGAAGGAAAATTTAAAGTCATATTTGCTGGTAGCTAAATGTTTAGTCTAGTTGAATGTAAAAATAGATGATTGATTTATTCACTGTATTAGCTTAGAAATGCCTTATTTTCAGCAAATAATAGTTAAAGCTGAGAGATTTGTTTGTTTGTTTGTTTGTTTGTTTGTTTTAGACAGTCTCGCTCTGTCGCCTGGGCTGGAGTGCAGTGGTGTAATCTCGGCTCACTGCCACCTCCACCTCCTGGGTTCAAGCAATTCTCTTGTCTCAGCCTCCAGAGTAGCTGGGACTACAGGCGCATGCTGCCATGCCCAGCTAATTTTTTGTGTTTTAGTAGAGATGGGGTTTCACCGTGTTGCCCAGACTGGTCTCGAACTGCTGAGCTTAGACAATCCACTCGCCTCCGTCTCTCAAAGTGCTAAGGATTACAGGCGTGAGCCACTGCGCCAGGCCCTAAAGCTGAGAGATTCTTTACTTTGAGTAATGACGTTATGTTACTTATCCAATTTTAAGAGTTTGTTACAAATTATTAATAGATATAGACTAATATTAATAATGTAGCCTTACACTGCTGAAATAATTTTAATGCCTTTACGTTGCCACATTTTAAGACTATAATGTAGCAGATAAATGGAAATGCTCATAATTGAAATGAGTGTTTTGAAATTAAGATTTGATTAAATGAGTTACTTTGACAGTTAATTCTAGATTTCCCAGATGAACTGAAGTGTACTGTTGTATCTTGTAATACTTTTTCTTCATTAGCTGTTCACACATTTTAGTTGGTATGATTTTATTTTTATTCATGTCAATTTGACTTAAATCTGAAAATATTTCAATCTCAAATTACATGTTGTTATGACCACTTGACTTTTAAAAGGCATCTACTTTTTATTAAATAACAATTTGGGACAAATGTGGTGAATTTTAGGAAAACCATATTTGATTTATTTTTCCCACTGGTATAGGTAATTTAATATTATTAGAAATCATTTGCTTATAATTTTTATTTCAAGGCTCAATGACCATTATTTGGATATAATTTTGTCCAACAATGATAAGTGTAATTATCTGTGATCTTTTAGTTTGGCAATGGACCCCCCAGTTTCAGACTAATGAGGGGTGGTGGGATTCACATATAGCAGAAATGCTGTAAGTAGGGGAGAGTCATGGCAGCTGAGGTCAGGGAGGTTACCTAAAGGGCCTCAAAGGCCATTGGAATTTTTCTTTCATTCTGGAGACAGGAATCTATTGGAAGGATTTGGGCAGGCAATTGAATAAGTGAGGACCCCTGAGGTTGATTGGAGCTTCTAATAAAAAAAAAAGAGGAAAACGTTCCACAGTGTAGAATTTACCACCACCAGTCTTCCCTACATTATCCATTTCTTTTTTGAGACTTCAGTAGGTTGTTAAGCATTGCAGAATTATCGAGGGCTGAATGAATGGTGGGCTAAAACTGTTGTCTAGTAACAGAACATCTATCTGGCAGGAAGATAACATCTGTGTCCTTAACTGGATTCAGTAATAAATAGCAATGTGTGCACATGAGGAAAAAAAGATGAATTGTGTATGTGGTGATATTTTTCTTTCTTTCTTTTTTTTTTTTTGAGACAGAGTTTCGCTCTTGTGCATTTAAAATGGACATTGTGTTTCTATCACCCAAATAGAAAATGGAATGTTTCCCAGTACCTTTGAAGACCCCAGCATGACTTTTTTTCTACGTATTTGCTGAGTACTTAGGTTTGTTTTCTGATTCTAATTACTGTTTTTCTCTCATTGTCTTTCTCTACATGATTTTGCATTCGTTTCATTTTGTTAACATTGTACTGGCAAAGATCTCTAGAGCTCTTCTTAAAACAGCCTTTAAGGGCCCATGCATTATCTCTCTGCTCATTTCCTTCCTTGTAAAACTCTTGCCCGTTTCCTTTTCTTCCTTAACTGAGACTTCACAGATGTTTTCTTTTGTGTCCATTTTTCTACTTTGAATAATCTCCTTGGTGTTTTCTGCATGTATTTTCTTCTTATAGACTGTTGTCAATGGGTATCAAAATGTATTTTTGTGTCTTTTTCAAACTTATATAAGTATGCTTTTCTCTTCACCTGGGATACTGAGCTCTAGGTTAGAGCTCATAATTAATAATAGTTTAAAGTTTTATATTAATATACTAAAATGCACACTAGTTTATTAATTAATATTAACTCTTTATCTGCCATACATGTCATAAAAATTTTCTTCATGTTATTTACCTAAGATTATACTTTCGTTAAATGTTTTCCAACTCTTTTAGTTTGAAACAAATGAGAGAGGATTCTAATTTATGGATTTGTTTCTTTTGTATGTTAGAATGTAATATCTCTTTAAATAATTATTAAATATTTACCCTTAAGAAATTTGATTTACTCGTTCTGTACATTCCTGCAGCTATAAGAAACTCTTACAAATGACAGAAAAGAAGCTCAATGAATGTGAAAATGGCAAGTTTAGTTTTTATGGAGATGTAAAGACCAATCAATTTGATGTAGATATTCAGATTAATAATCTAAAATATAAGGTAATTTTTAATCAGTTTTGGGACCAAAAAAAATCACTTATTTTGGGAAATAGAAATCTCTCAATGCTTTGAGTACTGAAAGAAAAAATTTTCCTTTTATTTTATGTACTTGATACCAGTGAAAACGATAGCATTTTAATATATCATTTTTACATAATATAAAGGGTATACTGCTGATTCTCTTGTGTCTTGAACCCTGGCCAATGGTCTAAATGCAAGCAGTACGCCATTATATGACTTCAAATCAGTAGTACCAAATCAGGTTGTTTTTGTTTTTGTTTTCATTTTATTGAGATATAATTAACATATCACACAATTCACTCACTTAAAATATACAATTCAAGGGCTTTTAGTATTTTCACAGTTATGCAATCATCATCACAATTAATTTTAGAACATTTTTATCACCCTAAAAAAAACGCTTACATCCTTTACCAGTTTCCCCTTCCTTGCCCAGCCCTAGGGAAACAGCTATCCATTTTGCTTGTGTAGATTTGCCTATTCTGGACATTTCATATCATTCAAATCACCACACGTCGTGTTTTGTGACTGGCCTCTTTCACTCAGCCTAAAGTTTTCAAGTTTCATCTGCGTTGTGGCATATATCAGTACTTAATGTGTTCTTATTGCTGAATGATACTGCATTATATGGATATAACAAACATTTTACTTATCAATTCATCCGTTGATGGACCTTTGGATTGTTTCAACTTTTGGCCATTATTAATAAAGCTGCTATGAAGTTTCAAGTACAAGTTTTTGTGTGTGCATATGATTTTATTGCTCTTGGGTATATACTTATGAGTTGAGTTGCTGGGTCATACGGTAATTCTATGCTTAACTTTTTCAGGAGCTGCTGGTATGTTTTCCAAGATCCTAGATATAAGTCCCTTATCAGATATATACTTTTCAAATATTTTTTCCTACTCAAAGTTTTGACTTTTTACTTTCTTGATAGGGTCTTTTCAAGCACAACACTTTTAAATTTTGATGAAGTCCAGTTAATCTATTTTTCCTTTTGGTATTATATGGAAGAAAACACTGACAAATGCAATCACAAAGATTTATCCCTATTTTTTCCTAAGAGTTTTATAGTTTTAGCTCTTACATTTAGCTATTTTGTTTTGAGTTAATTTTTATATATGGTATTTGGTGGGAACCCAGCTTTATTCTTTTGCAAGCAGATATCCTGTTGTCCCAGCATCATCTGTTGAAAAGACTATTCTTTTCCTATTTAATTACTTTCTTACCCTTGTTGAAACTCAGTTGACTGTAAATGTGTACATTTATTGTTGAATTCTCAATTCTAATACATTGATTTATATCTATTCTTATGCCAGTACCAAAGAAAATTTTGTGAGAACTCTTTTTTAATCATGTTGCATGTCACCATTTGTCTTAGGTCATAATAAAAATTCAATTTTGTGGAACATCTTTAACTTCACTGTTTGCTTATTGAAGGAGCCTGTGGCCAACATAAGTCAACCTTGCTGACTCCATGACATGATAGGAAGTCAGGCTAACAAAGGAATGGACAGAGTCCTTTCCTTTATTCCCCCATTCATACCTTTAATGTCTCACCCAGTGTATCCCTCTACAGTCCCATTTTCATCAAATCGTGGTCACAGGATCTGCTGATACAGTCTACTGTTTACTACATTATGTTTTATTAACTCGCTATAATTCATAGAATGATCTGTAGATTTTTACTATCCAGGAAGGAGAAAAGTCTGGGCTGTCAGCTGTTGTCATTGGAAACTGAGCTCATCATATGTCATCTTTCAGTTCATAGTTAGATCCTCTTCCAATCTCATACCTTATTCTTGTGTATAATAGTGAGCTGATCCTTTTCTTGGTGCAGATTGTGTGTTTTCAGATACCACAATTCCCTGTATTTACCTTTCTTTACTTAAACCAATAGAGATGCACAGCTATACTTTATAGCTCAGTACATGGTTTTAAAATAGTTCAACCGATTTAATGAAAAATTTCCAGGAGTACAGCACTTAAAAAGCAGAAAATGTTCAGGCAATTTATCAGAGACAGATAATTGTCAAATTAGTTATTTGAATTTCAAAATTTCAGAGCCAATTTGTATGTTATGGAGAAGCATTGTAGTACGATGTAAAGATAAGATGGTCTTAGCTTCTTTATATAAAGAAACTTGAAGGTAAAGGAGAAATTGTATTTAATTTCTCATCATTTCAAAGCGTACTACATTTATTTTACTTCTGAGAAGATTAAAAATGATTCCACGATGTTCTCCTTATTTCCTCACTGAGGAAAGGAAAGTGAAGATTAAAATATTAGATTTATTAATAAATACTGAAAGCTGCTTGCTTCTTTTAGAATTTCAGTTAATTAAAATCAGGGAAAATGTGTGATTTCAGTCATTAAACCAAACATTTCTAGTTGTTTTCCAGTGATTACGCTTCACATAATGTTTCCTTGCTTCTCAGTCTTTCTTATTCTCAAACTTGTGGGAAAATTCTAAAGAGGCACATTTGCTTAGCTATAAGAGTTTGTAAATGAAGGGAACTTCAGAAAAACTTCCTCCTCAATAGCTCTTATGTCTTTCTTCTAGTTATCTACTGTTTCTCATTAGCATTGTTTGCCATTAATAAATTGATCTCAATACTGATTAGATCCTACTTTAAAAGAGACTAATATCTACTGTGTAATTTATGATTCTTATTGTCTCTTTTTAAAAATCTTTTCTGTTTTTGTTTTCCAACAATTACACAAAGTGTAATGGCTGAAAACAACAACATGTATTTAGTTCAGGAATCTGTGGTTTGGGAAAAGCTTGGCCAAGACAGCTTGTCCCTTTTCCTTTCAGTTTCCTTGGGAACAGCTCAAAGGCGGGGGGACGGGAATCATCTGAAGGTTTGCTCCCCCACTTGTCTGGTCATTGATGCCGACCACTGACTGGAACTTTATCTGGGGCAGGCAGCCTGAAAACCTACTAGAACTCCTGCGCTCTCTTAGCAATTTACTTCTAATGAATAGAATGTGGTGAAAATTATACTAATACTACGTGACTTTTAACATTAGGTTAAAAAAGGCTCTGTATCTTAGACTGCTTGCCCTTGGAACCCCAGACCCCCATTGTGTGGAAGCTCAGGACACATCGCATTCATTAGAAGCAAATCATTAAGGTTGGCCCATATTCTATTGTTTTATGGGATACATATTTTTTCTTTTGCTTTTAATTGATACATATACACATATTTATGGAATACAGAGTGAGTAATATCTTGATACATATATACAATGTGTAATGTTCAAATCAGGCTAATTAGCATATTTACCACTTCAAATACTTAACATTTCTTTGTGTTGTGAATGTTCAAAATCCTCTCTTCTAGCTTTTTGAAAATATGCAATAAATCATAGTTAACCATATCCACCCTGCAATGCCACAGAACACCAAAACTCATTCCTCCTACCTCAGCTATAATTTTGTATCCATTAACCAGCCTCTCCTCTCCTGCCCACTACCTTTCCCAGCCTCTAATACCTACAATTCAACTCTCTACTTTCATGAGCTAATTTTTTTTTAAGCTCCCACATATGAGAGAGAACACACAGTATTTACCTTTCTGTGCCTGCCCTTAACATAATGTCCTCCAGACTTGTCCATGTTGCTGCAAATGACAGGATTTTATTTCATTTTATGGCTGAATAGTGTTTCATTTTGTATATACAACATTTTCTTGATCCATTTGTCTTTCGATGAACATTTAGGTTGATTCCATCTCTTAGCTGTCGTAAATAGTGCTACAACACACGTGGGGATGCAGGTGGCCCTTTGATGTACTAATTTCCTTTCTATCAGTTAAATGTCTGGTAGTGGGATTGCAGGGTCATATGGCAGTTCATTTTAAGTTTGTTGTTGTTGCTGCTGTTTTAGTTTTTGAGAAAACTCTACATTGTTTTCTAAAATGGATGTATAAATTTACATACCCACCAACAATGTATAAGAGTTTCCTCTTCTCTGCATCTGCACAGTATTTGCTACTGTTTGTCTTTTTGATAGCAGTCATTTGAACGGAAGTGAGATATCGTATTGTGGTTTTTATTTGTATTTCCCTGATGATTAGTGCTGTGGAGCATTTTTAATATTTTTTGGCCATTCCATGTCTTCTTTTGAGAAATGTCTATTCAGATTCTTTGCCCACTTTTGAATCAGATTATTCATGTTTTGCTGTCAAGTTGTTTGAGTTCCTTGTATATTCTGGATATTAGTCCTTGTCAGATGAATAGTTTGGAAATATTTTTTCCCATTCTATAGGTTATCTCTTCACTGTTGATTGTTTCCTTTGCTGGGCAGAAGCTTTTTAGTTTAATATACTGTCTGTCTATTTTTTTTTTTACCCGTGCTTTTGAATTCTTTCTCATAAAATATTTGCCTAGACCAACATCCTGAAGAATGTCTCCTATGTTTTCTTCTGGTAGTTTTATAGTTTGGGGTCTTACATTTAAGTCTTTATTTAATTTTGAGTTGATTTTTGTATATGGTGTTAGATAGGGGTCTAGCTTCATTCTTCTTCATATGGATATCCAGTTTTCTCAGCACCATTTATTGAAGAGGGTATCCTTTCCCTTGTGTACGTTCTTGGCATCTTTGTTGAAAATCAGTTGGCGGTAAATATGTGGATTCATTTCTGTGTCCTGTTTTCTGTGGCCTTAAACTCCAAGAGTCATTACTCCTTGGAGTGCAGTTCAAATTAGCATATAACATTTGCAGTTTAGAAAAAGGCTTATGATATTGAATCCATAATACCGGATTCATTAATTAGAATCTTATTTTCAAAGTTTTACTCGCAGAGCCATTTATAGAGTAAGACCTAAACAACTCAATATGAAGTCCGTTAAACTTCTTTAGAAATTATAGTGGGTAGTGATGGGGGAAAGGAATAAGAGGCCTTCTACTAAGAGGTGACTTAGAGCCATTTTAAAGAGGAAAGACAGAGAAATAATTATAGAAAAATACATGTCTAAGATCAAGTGCAAATATTGTGTGGCAGAGTTGATAAGAGTAAAAAATACACTTACGTTACTTCTGACGGCTTTAACTTTCTTGATTTTCTAAGTAAGGGTCCACATTTGAAGAATCTACTACAGAAGAGATAACATTTTTTCATGGCTGAATTTATTTCACAAACTGTTATTGGTTTTGTGTTAGAATTATTCTAAGCCTATTTCCTTTGTTACCAAACTATATATTATTTTATTCATGAAGATCGATGATCTTACAGCAATGGAAGCTATGTCTTTAATACGTCTAAATCTGGATACAGAGAATAAATTTTTTCAACAGGAGTTATTATCTATGAAAACAATACAAAAAATGTGAAAAACTACAGAAGAAAAAACCATGTTTGAACAAGAAGTAATAGACCTCAAAAGTCATGTAGACATAAGTATGGTAGAATGTGGTCAAGTCAAACAATATAAACAGGAGATTGGAGAAAGAGCAAGACAGCGTATAGAAGAATTACAAGAAGTCAATCTATAAGTTTTTTTTTTAATCTGGTTAGTTTATTCATCTAAGATGTACTTTCATTTCACTTTAAATTATATTTTCAACATATATGTTGTATCTGTTTCCTCCCCTTACTTTATATATTTATAAATTTCTAGAAGGAAGGTGGCATCTGTTTATCCTTTTAAATATTTCAATTTTCATCACTGTTATAACTAAATCAGTCTTTCAGAATAATAATTTCCCCTATAGAAATATTTGATTATTAAGACCAGCAGGCATAAAATATGACTATCAAGAAAAGAAATAATTGTGATTTAGAAATTATGCCAGACTCTTGAATTGTTCTTAAATTACGTTGTTGAGTTTAAAAAATTTTAAATTGATTTCATTATTCTTTGGATTATTAGATTACATGAGTACTAACATAAGAATGATTTACTTTTTTATAATTCAGATTTAATTCAAATACAAATTTCAATTTACTTGATATTGTTGACAAATATTTTAAAGTTTAGCTTCTTTTTTTAATATTTGAAATTGCTCTGTATTTTGACTCAAAACAAAATAAAACAAATATACAATAATAATTTCGGTCATTATTTTAAAAATGTAGCTGTTTAATTTGCTTTAGACAGAAGCAGCATCTAAAGAACATTTAGAGCAGTTAAGATGGCATGATATTACTTCAATAAATAAGATGGAACTCAAAATTAAAGCTCTGGAAGCTGAGCAGTCCCAAATGTAAATTGCTCAAGAAAACTTTAGTGATAGCGAATTAGAAAAACAGAAGCAGCTATATCTAGAAGAATTAAAAGAGAATCTTTGTTATATGAACTAAACACGTAAGTCAAAACATAGAATCATAGAAAATAAATTAAGCTCATTAATTTGCCTCGAAAGCATAATTTTTAGTGAGACAGGTTTAAGATATTACTGGGAACTGAAAGGTAACTAGATAATACAATTTTGGAAAATGATGTTAGTAAATGAACTTACCTTTAAAATGTTAGTCCAGGATACTTTATATCTCTCTCCCAATTTTTTTTTTATAAGGCTTTTTTTCCCCTTAATATTCTCATGTAGTTAACTTGATCTGTTAGTTTTTAAGCTAAGTAATTTTGAAGCTTTATAATTTAGACAGTGATATTGTTCTAAAATTGCTTGTCAGCGTTTCTCTAAATAGTAATGTTGAGTTTAACTATTATTTGAAAGACTACAACTTCATCCAAAAGAGTCAAGTTTTTTTTTTCTTTCCAAGATGGCAGATGATTTTTAGCATGTCTCAGTTACTTGGAAATAGCAAAATGATGCATAGAGACCAACTCCCTGAGCTTTAATTCACTTAGGAAAAGGGGAATCCACTGGAATTGTGAAGGACACCCCAGATCTCAGGGAGAAGAATGCAGGCAAACCGCCCCCGCGATGGTATCCAGCTGATAAAAGTGAGCGAAGCTCCAGTACCTGAGAGAGGCAAAGAGCTTCTGTCTGTGACTCGTCTTTCCACTGGGGATCTGAGCAACCCAGGCCAAGGGAGAGCATTTTGTTTCTCCCAAACTCTGCAGCTAACTTGAGGGGAGGCTTGGAGATGCTGGGAGGGAAACACAAGGAAAACTGCAGATATTTTCCCAGATCCAGGACCAAGAGCAGGACACCATTTTTAATCTGGGTGAGTACAGGGTCAGACATTCTTTGGGAACCTGGCAGTATGGCTGTTCAGGCATTTTCGTCTGGGCCAGAGATTCTCATGCTTGCTCTGGAGAAGGGTAGGGGTTTCCACACTGGGGTAATTGTGGAAAGCACCTCAGTAGTAGGCACTGGAATTGTATTTTCCTCCATCACAGGTCTGGGATAGGAAGAGAGCCGCCTGGTGATATGCCTGGGTTTGGGATGAAGAGGGTTCTGCAGTTTCTCCTGTTCAATGAGACTTGCAGCCAGGGCCAGCTTGGTGACCTGGAACTGGTCTGCATGTGCCATTGCTGGGTGCCCCAACCTGTTCCTCTGAGATGTTGTACAGTGGGTCCCTCTTTGCTCCACCCCCCAGGCTGAACTCTAGGCATTTGGAGCACCCACTTTCCTGGAGCAATAGCCTAAGCCACCCCATCCTTTTTGTGCAGAGATCCTGGTGCGAGAGGAGTCCTCCCTGGTTCAAGCCCAGGCAAATCTCTCCAGGCATTCAGAGAATCCATTCACCTGGTTCAGCAGCCTGAATTGTCACACCTTTCCTGTACAGAGATTGTGGTACAGCAAGGCCCTCTCTACTTCATGCCCAGGCATATCTCCAGGCAGTCAGAGCACCTGCTTGCCAGGACCAGTAAGCTGAGCCATCCCACCCTTCCTTTGCAGAGATTGTTGTGGAGCATGTGTTTTGTGTGCTAACACAAAAACACACAAGTTACATAGCTCACAGACCGCATAAAATAACCATGCAATAGAAATGACAAAGCAACCAGCTATCAGCTTCGCCATAGGATCAAAACCTCAGAAACCAATATTAACCTTTAATGTCAACAGTATAAATGCCCTCACTTAAAAGGTACAGAGTAGCAAACTGGATGAAAAAAAATCAAGACCCGTCTGTTTGTTGCCTTCAAGAGACCCATCTCACATATAATGACACCTATAGGCTTGAAGTAAAGGGTTGGTGAAAGAGCTATTATGCAAACAGAACACCAAAAAGGCAGGGGTTGTGATTCTTTGGTAAAGCAGACTTTAAACCAACAACAGTAAGAAAGGACAAAGAAGGGCATTACATAATGATAAAGGGTTTAATTCAACAAGAAGACTTAACTATTCGAAATATATATGCACCCAACACTGGAGCACCCACATTCATAAAATGAGAACTTCTAGACCTACAAAAAGACTTGTACAACCACACAATAAATAGTGGAGAACTTCAACACCCCACTAACAGAGAGTATTAGATCATCGAGGCAGGAAACCAACAAAGAAATTCTGGACCAAAATTGGATACCTGATAAACTGAACATAATAGACATCTACAGAATACTCAATTCATCAACTACAGAATATATATTTTTTGTTTCTGCACACAAAACATTCTCTAAGATCAAACACATGTTTGCTCGTAAAGCAAGTCTCAAGAAATTAGAAAAAATCCATATCATACCAACCACACTCTCAGACCACAATGGAATAAAAATAGAAATTAGTACCAGGATGAGCTCTCAAAACTACACAATTATATGAAAATGAAAAAACTTGCTCCCGAATGACTTTTGGGTAAACAATAAAATTAAGTAGAAATAAAAAACATTATATGAAGTAAATTATAACAAAGATACAACATACCAAAATCACTGGGATGCAGGAAAAGGAGTATTAAGAGGAAAGTCTGCAGCACTAAACACCTACATCAAAAAGTTAGAAAGATCTCAAATTAACAATATAACATCACACTTAGAGGAACTAGGAAAATAAGAACAAACTAACCCCAAAGCTAGCAGAAGAAAAGAAAGAAATAAAATTAGAGCAGAACTGAATGCAAATGGAGACCCAAAAATCCATACAAATAATTAATGAAACCAAAAGTTGGGTCTTTGAAAGGATACAAAATCAATAGACAACCAGCTAGATGAGCAAAGATAAAAGAAGATCCAAATCAGCACAATCAGAAATGACAAAGATGACATTACAACCAATCCCACAGGAATACAAAAGATCCTCAGAAACTATTATGAAGACCTCTGTGCACACGAACTAAAATATCTAGAGGGAATGGGTAAATTCCTGGAAACCTACAACCTCCCAAGATTGAATCAGGAAGAAATTGAAACCCTGAACAGACCAATATTGAGTTCCAAAATTGAATCAGCAATAGAAAACCTTAAAAAGCCCCCATGAAAACAGCCTCAAACCTGATGGATTCACAGCTGAATTCTACCAGTTGTACAAAGAAGAGCCGGTGCCAATTCTGCTGAACCTAATCCAAAAAAATCAAGGAGGTGGGACTCCTCCCTAACTCATTCTATAAAGACAGTGTCAACATGATACCAAAACCTGGCAAAGACATAGCGAGAAAAGAAAACTACAGGTCAATATCTCTGGTGAACATAGATGCAAAAGTCCTCAACCAAATACTACTGAATCCAGCAGCACATCAAAAAGTTATTTCACTGTGATTAAGTAGACTTTATTCCTGAGATGCAAGGTTGGCTCAACAAATGCAAATCAATAAATGTGATTCACCATATAAACAGAATTAAAACCATAAACCACATGATTATATCCATAGATGTGGACAAAGCTTTTGATAAAATCAAGCATCCCTTCATGATAAAAATCCTCAACAATCTAGACATCAAAGGAACAAACCTCAAACTAATAAGAGCAATCTATGACAAATTTATTTGCCAACATCATGCTGAATGGGCAAAAGCTGGAAGCATTCCTTTTAGAGTAATACAAGGATGTCCTCTCTCACCACTCCTATTCTACATAGTACTATAAGTCCAAGTTGGAGCAATCAGGCAAGAGAAAGAAATAAAATGCATCCAAATAGGAAAAGAGGAAGTCAAACTCTCTCTCTTTACTGATGATATGATTCTATACCTAGAGAACCCTAAAGACTCTGCCAAAAGGCTCCCAGAACTGGCAAATAATTTCAATTTCAGCAGAGTTTCAGGATACAAAATCAATGCACAAAAATTAGTAGCATTGATATATACCAGTAACATTCAAACTCAGAGCCAAATCAAGAATGCAATCTCACTTACAATAGCCATAAAAAAGTACTTAGGAATACATCTAAGTAAGGAAGTGAAGAATCTCTACTAAGAGAACTACAAAACACTGCTGAAAGAAATCAGAGATGACACAAATAAATGGAAAAGCATTCCATGCTCATGGATTGGAAGAATCACTATTGTTAAAATGGCCACACTGCCCAAAGCAATTTACAGATGCAATACTATTCCTATCAAACTACCAATGCCATTTTTCACAGAATTAGAAAAAACTATTCTAATCCTCATATGGAACCAAGAAAGAGCCCAAATAGCCCAAGAAGTTCTAAGCAAAAAGAACAAAGCTTAAGGCATCACACGACCTGACTTTATACTAAACTTTATGCTATATACTGTCAGGCTACAGTAACCAAAACAACATGGAACTGGCACAAAAATAGACACATAGACCAATGGAACAAAACAGAGACTCCAGAAAGAAATCTGCACACCTATACCCATCTGATCTACAAAAAATTAGACAAAAATAAACAATGGGGAAAGGACTTCCTATTCAATAAATGGTGCTGGGATAACCGGCTAGCCGTATGCAGAAGATTGAAACTGGACCCTCCCTACCTTTTACCATATACAAAAGTTAACTCAAGGCCAGGCGCGGTGGCTCACATCTGTAATCCCAGCACTTTGAGAGGCCGAGGCGGGCGGATCACGAGGTCAGGAGTTTGAGACCAGCTTGGCCAACATGGTGAAACCCCATCTCTACTAAAAAAAATACAAAAATTAACCAGGTGTGGTGGCAAGCACCTGTAATCCCAGCTACTCAGGAGGCTGAGACAGGAGAATTTCTTGAAACCAGAAGGCGGAGGTTGCAGTGAGCTGAGATCATGCCACACTGCACTCTAGCATGGGCGAAAGAGCGAAACTCCATCTCAAAAAAAAAAACAAAATTAACTCAGGATGGATTAAGGATTTAAATGTAACACTTCAAACTATAAGAGTCTTAGGAGAAAACCTAGGAAATACCATTCTGTATATTGGCCTTGGGAAAGAATTTGGAGTTCTCAAAAGCACTTGCAACAGAAACAAAAATTGACAAGTGGAACCCAATTAAACTGGAGCTTCTGCACAGCAAAGAAACTATCAACAATGTAAACAGATGACCTACAGAATGAGAGAAAATATTTGCAAACTATGCATCTGAAAAAGGTCTAATATCCAGAATCTATAAGGAGCCTAAACAATTCAACAAGCAAAAGACAAAATGACCCCATTAAAAAGTGGGCACAGACACTTCTCAAGAAAGACATAGAAGTGGCCAACAAACATACGAAAAAAAAAAAATACTCAACCTCACTAATCATCAGAGAAATGCAAATCAAAACCACGATGAGATACCATCTCACACCAGCCAGAATGGCTATCACTAAAAATAAAAAAAAAGGGCCGGGCGTGGTGACTCACACCTGTTATCCCAGCACTTTGGGAGGCCCAGGCGGGCAGATCACGAGATCAGGAGATCGAGACCATGCTGGCTAACACGGTGAAACCCCGTCTGTACTAAAAATACAAAAAGTTAGCTGGGCGTGGTGGCACACACCTGTACTCCCAGCTACTCGGGAGGCTGAGGCAGGAGAATCACTGGAACCTAGGAGGCGGAGGTTGCAGTGAGCCAAGATCACGCCGCTGCACTCCTTCCTGGGCGACAGAGCAGAGCGAGCTTCCGTCTCAACAACAACAACAACAACAACAAAACAAAAATAAAAAATGACAGATGCTGGCAAGGCTGCAGAGAAAAGGGAATGCTTATACACTGCTGGTGGGAATATAAATTAGTTCAGATACCATGGAAAGCCGTTTGGAGATTTCTCAAAAAACTTAGAACCACCGTTCAACCCGGCAATTCCAATGCTGGGTATATATACAAAAGAAAATAAATCATTCTTCCAGAAAGACCTATGCACTCGTATGTTCATCACAGCACTTTTCACAATAGCAAAGACATGGAATAAACCTAGGTGCCCATCCACGGTCGACTGAATAAAGAAAATGTGGTACATATACACTATGGCCATGAACAAGAATGAGATCATATTCTTTGCAGCAACATGGATGCAGCTGGATGCCATTATCTTAAGCGAATTAACATAAAATTAACAGAAAACTAAATACTGCATGTTCTTACTTATAAGTGGAGCTAAACATTGGGTACTCATGGCTGTAAATGTGGCAACAATAAATGATGGGACTATTAAATGGGAGAGGGAAAGAGGGAGTCAGTGTGTGGAAAACTAACTCTTGAGTGCTTTGCTCAGTACCTGGGTGATGGAATCAATCACATTCCAAACCTCAGCATCAAGCAATATAGCCATGTAACAAACCTGCACATGTACCCCCTGAATCTAAAATACAAGTTGAAATTATTAAAAAATGTTTTCTTCCAATATATAAACATGTACTCTCTCTCCATTTATTTAAATATTCTTTGTTGCCTTTCATACGTGTTTTGTAGTTTTTTCACATATATATCCTGTACATACTTTGTTAGATGTATAATTGTATTTCATTATTTTTGATGCTGTTGTAAATTGTATTTTTTAAAATTTCAAATTCTAATTGCTCTTTACTGATATATATGAAAGAAATGGACTTTTGCATATTAACCTTGTATTTTGAGACCTTGCCAAACTCACTTATTAGTTCCAGAAGTTTGTATTGTTCTTGTTGTTGATAGGATTTTCTAGTTGTTCAATAATGTAATCTGTGAGTAAAGAAAGTTTTATTTTTCAAAAGTCAAGTACGGCCGGGTCCGGTGGCTCACGCCTGTAATCCTACTACTTTGGGAGGCCGAGGCGGGCGGATTGCCTGAGCTCAGGAGTTCGAGACCAGTCTGGGCAACACGGCGAAACCCCGTCTCTACTAAAAATACAAAAAAATTAGCCATGGCGGCGTGCTCCTGCAGTCCCAGTTACTCTGGAGGCTGAGGCAGGAGAATCGCTTGAACCCGGGAGGCGGAGGTTGCAATGAGCCGAGATCGCGCCACTGCACTCCAGCCTGGCCGACAAAGCCAGACTCCGTCTCCAAAAAAACAAAAACAAAAACAAAAAAAAAAAAGAAAAGAAAAGAAAAGTACTATTACTCTTGGCACATTCTGGCACTGGGTGAATTAACTTTCTTTGTTTGTGATCTTTGTATTATCACTAGAGGGCGCCATGAGACAAACTATCCTGTATGGTTTTTTCATTACATAAGGGCATCCCTGTGAAATAGGTAATGATTAACATAAGGGTGAAGGGAATTATAATTCACAAACTAGTTAAAAATAACACCTTGCTCAGCCTGAAGGGGATGAGTGCAAGACAGAGGGCAGGCCCCACCTCTGATGCCGTGGTTGCAATGCTAGGAGCTAATTGCCTTTAAAGTTGGCTTGAGTTCTTTTTGATCACCAACTCAGCTCTCTCGTTTTCCCCTAGAATTGTTGCTCTGAATTATTCCTCAGTGCCAAATGCTTAATTTTTCCCAGGTAATGAGTGAATTGTACAAGGGTGGTGAAAGAACATGCTTGAAAATGTCTTTGAGGGCTAATTTTTAAAATCTCTAAATTGGTTTCCTAAACACAATTAGTTTTGGCTTTTAAAAAAAGTTTTAGTTTATTAATTGTATAAATTTAAGAAGCACAACATGATATATTGACATATTTATACATAGTGAAATGATTATTACAGTTAAGCAAATTCATCATCTCACATACTCTTTAAATACAAGTATTTCTGAATGGCATCCTCAAGAATCTTATAAGCAGAGCCATCCCAGAAGACAGTGAGTGCTACCTGTTAAGGCTCAGGCAAGAGAAAAACGTAGGCAAGGTGATGGGACCGGGAGAAAAGATTGAGGGATTTATTGAGTCAAGACCAGCTCCGTATCAGTCACTTTTCAGAGTTTTGAAATGCATCTACAAGAGTGCCTGTGAAACACTCTTAAAACAGGCAATTCTAATTCAGTATGGTATGGCATTGAATAGAGATGTACGAGATGCATGGAGTAAGGGGAATTGGGGAGTAATCTACATGGCTTCTGGAGGAACCTCTGAGTCATGGCCCTGGAAGTGTTAGAGGTAGGTCCTGAGAGTATGTGAGCATTTGCCTTGGAAGGTGCCTAGCCCACCATCACTGACTGGGGAAAGCATGGCTAAAGTACCCAGGCATGGAGGGATGTATTTGGAGCACTGAAAGCCATTGGTATGGCTAGAATTTAGGGCAATAAAACTAAGAGAGAGAAAATGGCCAAAATCCCGGTCAAGGTGGCATGTCCATGACTCTTCTGAGGAAACCCAAACAAGGGAGAAAGGGGGTGGTTAGCAGAGGTCCCTGATATCCCCTCCTTTTTCAGAATATCTAATGATGATTCCACCTTTCAATTGAACACCCGTAAAATCAGAAACCCCAAATTCTGTTGTGCATGACTCATTGTCACGGACACATCTGTCCTCTTCTCCTGTGTGTACTTTCACTTTGCAATAAAAGCTTCTTGAGCCTTTGTCCCTGAATTCTTCGTAGTGATGGTGTCAAGAATCTGGACGCCAGGTGGGGCTGCGGTCTCACAGGTATCTGGAGACCCTCCTGAGCCCTCTGGCAACATGATTTCCTGGCTTTGTTCTATTTAATTTAGTTTAATTTAATTTTTTTTGAGATAGAGTTTCACTCTTGTTGCCCAGGCTGGAGTGCAATGGTGCGATCTCAGCTCACTGCAACATCCACCTCCTGGGTTCAAGTGATTCTCCTGCCCCAGCCTCCCGAATAGCTGGGATTACAGGCATATGCCACCACCACACCTGGCTAATTTTGTATTTTCAGTAGAGGTGGGGTTTCTCCATGTTGGTCAAGCTGGTCTCGAACTCCTGACCTCAGGTGATTCACCTGCCTTGGCCTCCCAGTGTGCTGGGATTAGAGGCATGAGCCACTGCGCCTGGCCTATTTACTTTTTTTTTAAATAAAAAAGTATAAACAAAGTTGCGGTTGTGCTTTCCTTATTAATGTTGGACTTCAAGCTACCTCCACCAACTGAAACATAATCTCAAGCTGAATAAACAGGCCATGGAGAAAGCAGGAGCGTTTTTATTTAAAATATTTAAGTATTTCACTCCATACAGAACTAACGGAACTTTTGATTTAGTATTATGCATAACATAAAAATTAGCAGTTTATTAAGCTTTTCTATTTCCTCTGGCAATATTTATTTTCTGCTAGGCTATTATTCTACACACTTCAAAAGCCATTAATGGCACCCTTTTCTAACCAAACAGGACAATGATTAATGTCACCAAGACATTTTTCTCTCCTTTTCCTTTCCATAATCTGTGCCAGGTACTGTATTAAGTCACTCAGTAAAAATTCCAGGGATAAAAGTTCTGAATTTCTATTCATAGAAATGTGAGGAAAATGTGTGATTTAATGGGAAAGCAAGAATAAAATAAAAGGGAATTTTAAAAAGTCATTTAGGCCGGGTGTGGTGGCTCACGCCTGTAATCCCAGCACTTTAGGAGGCCGAGGAGGATGGATCAACTGAGGTCAGGAGTTTGAGACCAGCTTGGCCAACGTGGACAAACCCCGTCCCTGCTAAAAATACAAAAATTAGCTGGTCGCAGTGGCGAGCACCTGTAATCCTAGCTACTCGGGAGGCTGAGGCAGGAGAATTGCTTGAACCCAGGAGGCAGAGGTTGCAGTGAGCCGAGATTGCACCATTGCCCTCTAGCCTGGGCAACAAGAACAAAACTCTGTCTCAGAAAAAAAAAAAAAAGTTATTTAATAGTTTTCATTTCCCCCTTGTGAATATGGGTAAAACCACCGCAGCCTCCCAACAGCCAGGACAACACTGGAGTCATTAACACTCAAGATCATTTTCCAGTGTTTTCGGGTGCCCCTCTCAGAGCATCTCCCGTGTTCTGAGTCTGTTTCTTTACCCTCTGAGCTTTTATATCTGATCTGGTGTTTCTTACCCAAAGGCAGTTGCCCTCAGCAACTGGTAAAGTGTTCAAGGGTCAGTGAAAGGCTAAAAAAAATGTATGTAGGAGGAGGCCATCCCAAGGTTGGGCAACTACTTCTACCAAAAGAGAAAAAAAGTCCTCTACTTAAATTTGTTATACAAAAAATATTCTTTATCTAGAGAGTTATTTCTTTAGCATAAAAACAAGCAAGCTGATGAGAAAGGTACTTCATTTTTATCTAGTAAAATTTATGTACTATGAATGTATTTGTGAATGGGGTATAAAGAAATTAATACAATCTATTACAGATAGGAAGTATAAGAAGAACTTTTGGGGGAAAGATAACAATGTTACTTTAAGAGTTTTTTAATTCAAGTCACGTAAAAATGTACATTTTACATAGTGTTCATTAATGATAAAGTAAATTTCTTTCAATAAAGCCTTCTCCCTTTATCTGATATTGAGTTATCACTTTTATAAAATTTTTCTCATAATTCTATTGTCATGTCACTAGTTTTATAAGGCCTGTCTATAATGTTATGATCACAGAAAGATTATGGAAAACTATCTCTTAAAATATTGCAAAAGCTATTGGTCAAAAAACTTGTAAAGGCATTGTATATCATATTGTCATTGTCACCAAAAATATTATGTTTAGTAAAGAATTTTAGAACCTTTTCTGGGCATTTAGTGAGAGAACACCTTTTGCACAAAAGATTTAAATAAAAACATTCTAGATGGGAACACTTGCAATATAGTTTGAAGTATCCCCACACAATTTCATAATTAAGTAGAGAACTACAGTTAATTAGATGTTTCAAAAAATGCTACTACTTTTTGAAAAGCATAAAAGTTACAATTAAAAGGCTGTATATTGTTTTCTTTGTTTCTAATTCTAGAAGGTCATGAAACAAAGAAACCAAGTTTGTAAACTGGTTTTAATCTATATTCTTTTTTCAAGTAAATTTTAAAAATCTTTGTTTCCCATATGGAAAGGAAGATTTTTTATTCATATGTAAAAAAATTAGTTGCAATGCAGATAGAATAATATTTCTACTTAATATTTTGCCAGTAGAATTTTCACATATTATGTGACAGTACCACTTTCTTCAGGTACATATTTAAAATTCTGTCCCGAAAAGTTAATAACATGGAATGTATTTAAAATTTTAATTTTCCAAAAGAGGAAAATGGAAAGTGTATTTTAAGGAGAATTCTACCAAAGTGAAAAAACTGATTGAACTCTTATAAAGGTCAGAGTTTTGCTAAGAATTAGAAAATAATGCGTTTGTTGCAAAATATGACTTGAATTGTGTAACCTTTGTAACTAGTAAAAGAAAACGTTGCCCTTCTGAAAGATGTATATTCCATAGACTAATATTAATTGCACTTTTTATTAGACTAATGTCAAGAGCATTACACATATATATTCTCTTTTATCTAAACTTAAAATAAGTAGGATTTTTATTTTGTTTATGTAGTTAATTTTTCTATTTACGCAATCCTCAAGTTAGGTCTTGTCTCTAAAAGTATGAAAGATCATATTTTATAAGTGATCTATCATTTTCATGATAATTTCTCTGTTTAACTTAAACATTATGAATATTTGGCTTATTTCAGATGCAGCAAGAGTTGATAGAAAATATAACTAGAGAAGTAGAAGAACGTATGTTGCCAAAATTAATTAATTAAATTTAGATTAATTAATTGATTCCTGAAATAAACTATAAATAGCAAGTGGCTTTCCTCTCCACTGTTTGTATTACAGTAAGTTTTTTTTCCTATATACATTTCATAAAAGACAGAAACACATAAATACTCATAATGGAGAATATACTTATGCTTCATTAATTCATCATGTTCCATAGCTTTAAAAAAATCTCAAGGAACCTAACTATCTCTTTTGTTCTGGCTCTAAACCGTCTTCATTTCTGCCATCCCTAGGGAACTGTCAGCTAGCACACTGAAACTGCACTCAAGAAACAAAGTCATCATCAGCTTCTCAAAGACATGGTAGTAATTTAAGTCCAAAAGACCAGAGTCATCTAGTAATACTTAGCCAAACAATTAGAGTTCAAAAACAGTTACTTGACAGGTGATGTTTAAAATCTCCAATTATTTATTTTGTGATTGGTTTACTTTTGCACTCAGGAAATGCTCTAAGTTGCTTGGAATGCAATAAAAACACCTACATCAGTTTGGTTCTTGTCAAGTTATTCAGCCTTGTCTCTTGCCACATACCCTACTCTACCCCTTTGCTCTAGCATTCAGCCAAACTGGACTATATAGAATTCCACAGTGCTCTTTCTAATCTCTTTGCATTTGCTTCTTCCCTCTATGTGCCACATCTTTTCCTTGTCCTTCAGATATCAACCTACATATTGCCTCCACCAAAAAGCCTGCAATATTGACACAAAACTGGGATAGGTGTCCCTTCTGTGTGTTCCAATAGTGTCCTGTTTTATACCTGTCATGGTATCTATGATTCTGTAAAGAAATTGCCTGTTTGTTTTTTCAGGTTGTATCATACGATTTTTGAGAAGTGAACTGTTCATCTTCATCTTGTAACTCCACTGCTTATTGTCACATGGTTGCTGAATACAGGAATGAAGAGTGAAAAAACCAAAAGCTCTGATACTTAACCACAATGACAGTTCAATGCACAACTATGGGCAGATTATATTTAATATTAAACAGTAATTTTGTATCATGGTCATACGTACATATTTTTCCTTCTTATTAAAACAGATAAAGTTCTCAACTCTCTTTTACTGACTTACACTTAGTTAACTATGAAATATTTTAGGTAAGGAGCATCATTCTTTCATTTTCTTTCCAGGTGCTGCTGAATTTGAATCTGAGTCTTCTATGTAGAATCTACTGATGAGTTACATCTAAATCAAGATCTAGTTTGAAAAGCATCGTGAGAATATGTGCCGATTTTAAGAAAAATTATATAATCCATTCAGACCCACCATGGATTGCATTTAGTTCTTGTGTCTCTTAGACTCTGTCTGGAGCAGCTCCTGTTTTCCCTTGACCTTATAACCTTGAATCTTTCAAAGAGTAAAGTCCAGTAATGTAGAATGTTCGTCAATTGGGTGTTTCTGGTGTTTCATTGTGATTAAATTTACATCATACTTTTTTAAAAATTCAGCTTTAGTTCCAGGGAGTACATGTGTAGCTTTGTTACATGGGTATATTGTGTCAGGCTGAGGTATGGGGAACAAAGAGATTTTACATCTTTGGTCAAGTATATCCTGTACAGAAGTGATCCTGTAATTGTCTCATTGCATCTTATCATGTGACCTACAATTTTGATTTGTCCTGTTACTTAGTATCCTGTGGGGAGGTAATTTGAGACTATGTAAATATCTCTCTTCCTCCTAAAACCCTCAATTTATTCATTTACTTGTATCAATATGGATCCATGTTTTATTTTCTTCAATGGTTTATAATTTGTTAATTTTAAGAAAGCATAGTTTTCTTTTCAGAAATGTTCTACTTTGACAATGTCAGACTTTTTAATACAGTGTCATGACTTCTCCACTTCTTGGGAGCACTTCCAGCATCAATGGTGGCACTTTGTATGGGTTCCATGGTGTTATTTAAGTTTCACAGTATTGCATTAAAAACAATGAAAAAGGCCAAGCGTGGTGGCTCACGCCTGTAACCCCAGCACTTTTGGAGGCTGAGGCGGGCAGATCACTTGAGGTCAGGAGTTCGAGACCCACCTGGCCAACATGGTGAAACCCCGTCTCTACTAAAAATACAAAAAATTAGCCAGGTGTGGTGGTGGGTGCCTGTAATCCCCACTACTGGGGAGGCTGAAGCAAGAGAATCACTTGAACCCGGGAGGTAGAGGTTGCAGTTAGCAGAGATCATGCCGTTGCACCCCAGCTTAGTTAACAAGAGCAAAACTCTGTCTCAAAAACAAAACAAAACAAAACAAAATGAAAAATATGCAAGAGCCGTAAGTCATCACTTTTTACTGTGAAATACAATTTCCTGGATAGATGAACTGCTTCTGCAGAGATGATTAGCATCACAAGGCATTTTAAGGGAATACCTGCAACACTTCAGCTCACTGCAGAAGCAACAGGTGGCTATGAAATCATTCCAGTAGTACAGTGTGTATTATAGTTAATTTTATGCAGTTATGATTTAATGCTGCCTCTTTATATTTGTTTACATTTCTCTCAGCTGTGAATGGTGCCATGTGCTGTATGTGCATAAATTTTGATAAATTTTAACTTTTTATAATAGATTGCATATATTTTATGGTAGTAATGATAAAATAGATGAGTATCTACCTATATTTTTTGTGCATTCATGACATACCTTTTTCTTAATTTATTTCTAGGCCATGCAGATTCATCTATAAGCTGTTTCAAATGGTCACAAATCTCCAAAAAAATTTCAGTCTATTTATTGAAATAAAAAGCTGCTTATAAGTAGACCCATACAGTTCAAACCGTGTTGTTCAAGGGTCAACTATATTTGTAATTCCCTTTTCTGACACAGCTTGACTCCCTTCATCCTTAGTACAGAGTAAGTCCTCACTTAACATGATCAATAGGTCTTCTTGGGAACTGACTGACTTTAAGTGAAGATGTGAAACAAAATTAATTTTACCATAGGCTAATTGATATAAGCAAGAGATCTGTGCCTATGACATATTTCTGGCCACAAAAACATCACCAAATGTAAATAAAGACCAAAACCACTTGTAATATTGAACATTAAAATAAATGTTAGCTTCACATACATATAAGGAAGAAAGAGTAATAAGATATTATTTACCCATTGTTTGGTGAATCAGCGAATGATGGCAGTTGTAGTGGTGGTGGGTGAAATCAAGAAATGAATGTTGGCAAAGTGCAATTTGTAAGGATCACCTCCTACCTCCATACAGTTAAAACCAATCACAAATATGGCAGGCTCATGGAGCACTTTTGTACGACATCATTGTGTATTGCAGCATTTGTATGATTATCATAAACTTTACAAATTTTTATTTTACAGTAATTTGCATTCATGTATTTGTTCCTTGTCCAACATGCTTATCCAGTTCAGGGTGGCAGATGACTGGAACCTATCCAGCAGCTCAGGGGCCCAAGTGGGAACCGGCTCTGGACACGCTATTGCATGGCACACTCACACACACCCAGATTCACTCAGACTGGGACCATTTAGACACATCGGTTAACCTAATGTGCCCAGATTTGGGATGTGGGAGGAAACCAGAGAACCTGGAGAAAAACTCACGCAGACTTGGGGAAACCATGTAAACTCCATACACACAGTGGCTTTGGCTATGATTTCTTTTTCTCGTCAATGTTATAACAAAACGGCATTATTCCAGGACTTGCTGTATTTAGTTATTTGTTTAACCCCGAGTGTGTAACCAATCTTTTGTGTCCCTGCTCCCATGCAGATGCACTCTTCACTCCCACTTGGGACTCTTCTACCTTTCATTGGTTGCCTCTGCCATTTTTCCTCCCAAGTGGATGCCATCTTCACCTGATCCTTCCTCAGACACCCTGTGCCAGGCTGCCCTCTTATGCAGATGACCCATCCTCACCTCCCTTAGGTGCTGAAGACACATGCTCCATCTGTGTGTGGGTGCCTCCTGATATTGTTCAGTCTTTCATACCTCATTTCTTTTGCCCACCTTACAACAATGATCTCAATTGACCTCCAGCACTGTGCAGGGTGACATGGCGCCACTAGAGCCCTTCTCATTTCATTCAGGCCCCAATCCTTCACTCTGGATCAACACAACTCCCTGTTTTGTCCCCACCCTTGTGAGCTGAAATGTTCAGGAAGAGAAAGGAGGAAAAAACTTCATATACTTTTTATAATCAAAATGTAAAGCTTTACAAAGCAAGGATTTTGATTGGAATTGAATTGAATACATAATTTAGAGAGAAAAGACTATATTGAATTTCCCCAAACTATTAATATTTTAGTAGTCTATCTTATTAACTCTCAACGTTTAAAAAATTTCTTATAGAGGTCTTGCATATGTATTTTAGATCCCTAAATATTTGATACATTTGATCCTATTACAAATTTTATCTTTAATTTATTTTCTGTTTGTTTCTTGCTTATAGAAATAAAATTGATATTTTGTATATTGATCTTGAATAGTTTAGCTATATTGCTACACTTAGTTATATTTTTTCTTATTTGAATATTTTAGCTATAGATTCTTTTGGATTTTCTATATACACAGACATATTATCTGTAAATAGTAAGTCTTGTATCCTTTCTAATTCCTAGAGCTTTTGTTTCTTTTTTTCTACTGTAAGAATACTGTTAAATAAATATAGAGATGGTAGGCACTCATATCTTGTTGAAATGGCAATGGGAAAATAATATTTTTCAGTAAGTATGGAGATGGTGGCCTTTTGTTTTCATGGTAGATATCATTTATTACTGTGTTCATTTTCTTTTGTTGCATAACAGATTGCCACAAACATAGCATCTTTAAACAACAAACATTTATTATCTCACAGCTTTGGTAGGTCAGGAGTCCAGGCAGGTTTTCACTTGATCTTTTCCTCAGAATCTTACAAGGTTGTAACCAAGGTGTCAGCTGGGCTGCATTTTCATTTGGAGGCTTGACTGCAGGAGAATCTGCTTCCAAGTTTATTCAGTTTGTTGACAAAATGTATTTCCTTGTGATGGAATGACTGAGGTCCTCAGCCATCTGCTAATCCTTGGCTGACTATCCTAAAGTCCTAGAGGTTGCCTAAAGTTCCTAGAAGCTGGTTACAGTTCTTGGCCATGTGGAATTCCTCAACAATTCCTCATCAAGCCAGCAAGAAAAGCCTGTCACCTCAGGGCTTAAATCTGGTTAATCAGGTTCACTCAGGATAATCTTCCTTTTGATTAACTCATAGATTAACTAATTTTGGACCTTAATTACATTGGCAAAATTCTAATAGCCAGAGGCAGTCACGATCAAGAGAGGAGGATTCTGTAAGGTGAGAATGCTGAGGGGCAAAACTCATGGATGTTACTATTAAAATTGTATTAATGAAGTTCTCCTCTTGTACTAGTTTTCTAAAGTTCTTATTATGAATAAATGTTGTATTTTATCAGGTAGTTATTTTGCATCTAGGAAGATAATCATTTAAAAATTAACTTTTTTTTTTTTTTGATGCAAGGTCTTACTCTGTCGCCCAGGCTCAATTGCAGTGGCAGGATCATGGCACACTGCAGCCTCAACCTCCCGGGCTCAAGAAGTTCTCCCATCTTAGCCTCCTGAGTAGCTGGTGAAGTGATGTCTGGGGTAATACCCGAGGTTTGTTTCCTCACACCAAGGAAATCAAGGATGTGGACACATAAGGAGTAAGGTTAAGAGTGGACGCTTAATAGGTGAAAGAAACAGAAAAGCTCTCTCCTGTGGAAAGAGGGGTCCTGAGTGGGTCTTCCAGTCTGTGGCAAAATGCAAGGGGTTATATAGATGAGCTTGAGGAGGCAGTGTCTGATTTACATAGGGCACAAATGATTGGTCGGACCAGGTGTGCTATTTGCATAAGGTGTGAAAAACTGGGTAGGGCTAGGTGTGTCATTTGTATAGCATGCAAAAAAGCTGGCTGCCCCACCCTAATATTTTATCATGCAGATGTGTTCTCTACCTAGCTGGTGCCATGTTGCTTGCTTCTTTACTGTACACGTGGTGACAAAGAAAAGGGAAGATGGAGCTTCCATGTTGAACATGCCTGGCCATGAGGTAGCCCTTTTCTTTTGGCACAGCTGCCGGCATTCACCTGTGTAAGCTTCCAGCTTGCTTATCTATGTCTGCAGCTTGATTTTTCAGGCTGCTCTTTGTTAGAAAAGAAATTACTTTGGGGCTGCTTTGTGTTAAAAGGGAAGCCTTGCTGAGGACTCCTTTACCCTCACTATCTTCCTAAATAATTTATTTTTAGCTCTTGTATCACTGGGATTATAGGTGTGTGCCACCATGCCCAGCTAGTATTTTTGTAGAGACAGGGTTTTGCCATGTTGCCCAGGCTGGGAAATCAAGTTGTTAAATGTGTTGAATTACATTACATTATTTGCTTATGTTAAACCAACTTTGCATTTGTCAGATAAACTGACCTGGATTCGTGATATTATTTTGGTTTTATATACTGCTACTTTTAGTATGTTAATATTCTAGTTAGAACTTTTAAAAAGTCTCTCTTTTTATATAATTATACAAAGAATTTTCAATACTTCAGCTCCATTTACATTCCTCCAAAATTATATATATTGTTGCTTTCTGTTGTAATTCTCTTATAACTTATAAAAATACTAGACATTTTATAATTTTTATATAATACTGTCAATGTTCCCCTAAATTTATCTATATATGTAATACTGGTAATATATACATATTTACAATGTAATATATGATATATATACTATACTGTATATAATATAATATGTAATATATAATATAAAATGTGTTATACATATTTAATCCTGGTAATGAATCTCCATTTAAAAATTCTTTATTTCTCCTTATTCTTGACACATATTTTCATTAGACGATTCTAGGTTGCTAGCTATTGTCTTTCATCACATGAAAGATACCATTCTACTGATTTTTGGCTTCCACATTAATAATTGCTATTGAGAAATCAGCTTTCTGTATAACTGTTCTCTGGTAAATGTAATACATTTCCTGCTCCGTCCCTGTTACCCACCATCTTAACTTGGTTAGGGTTCATTTGGCTTCTTTTTTTTGTTTTTTCGAGACAGAGTCTTGCTCTGTCGCCCAGGCTGGAGTGCAGTGGTGCCATCTCGGCTCACTGCAAGCTCTGCCTCCCCGGTTCACGCCATTCTCCTGCCTCAGCCTCCCGAGTAGCTGGGACTACAGGCGCCCGCCACCACGCCCGGCTAATTTTTTGTATTTTTAGTAGAGACGGGGTTTCACCGTGTTAGCCAGGACAGTCTCGATCTCTTGACCTCGTGATCTGCCCGCCTCGGCCTCCCCAAGTGCTGGGATTACAGGCGTGAGCCACCGCGCCCGGCCCATTTGGCTTCTTGAATCTATGGTTTGGTGTCTCCCAACATATCTAGACTATGTTGATCTAGCCTCCATATTTCTTAACCTCTCATGTTTTCCATGATTTTGGGGAGCCTATTTTTGTATTCTGAATTATTTCTTTTATTTTTATTTCATTAATTTTCTCTTCTACTGTGCCCAGTCTGCTGGCTGACCTGTCCATAGAATTTTAAATTTAGGTTGCATTTTTTTTCAAGAACAATTTTTATTAAGACCACTATTAGTAAAAGGTTTCAGTCTTTAAAAATAATCCCAAAATCTGTGAGTAAGAGCAAGTGCTAGGAAATAAACACTAAAGTATAACAGCAAATAGTGCTCTTGTGTGTGTTATGTTAAACTTTTTATTTCATTAAATCCATCTTTTCTCCAATTTAGACATTTTTTGTAGAGACGGGACTTCACTATGTTGCCCAGGCTGGTCTCACTCCTGGGCTAAAGTGATTCTCCTGCCTCGCCATTGGAATGTATGGGGATTACAGGTGTGAGCCACTGCATCCAACTGACATTTTTTAAGTTAGTCATTCATAAAATAAGAGTGGCTGTCCTTCTGAATTTTGTTCATGTCACCTTTTAGGCATATTGCATAATATGTCAATATCCCTAAGAGATTACCAGTTGATGGTTCCAGTTTTACAAAAGAAACAGACAAGGAAATGTTCTTGTCATTAACAGAACTATGACTTATTTATCTGCTCAGTGGGTTACAGAGAAACAGCACTATTATGTGTAATTAAAATAGAAAAAAAGAGATCTTTCCAGGCGTGAGTGTGTATTTATAATTTCATGGTAAACACATATACTTCTAAGTGAAGATTTCCCCATATTTATAGTGTTAAAAGTTCTTAAAATAATCCTTTCACAAAAATAAGGCAGCATTATGCTGAAAAAGCATTATTTCTGTGTCAAAAGTTACGCCCTTCAGTCTTAATCTGCTATCACCAGCTGTCAGCTACTTCTTTAAAGACCAAATATTTCTTTGTCAGCAACACCTATATGGGACCCACTGGCTGTCCAGGTGTGGTTTACAGCCTAAATGTCTAACACTGTCAAACAAGAGCTGCATTGTTGTTTCACAAGCCTGAACATGCTGAGCCAGTCCCAGTGTTTTCTGCACATTTTGGCAGATGTTAAAGAGGCAATAAATACTGGAACTTCTCTTCCCAGTTGTTCTTGCTTTTGCCCCCAGTCTCATAGCACCTGTCACAGTAGTTGCAGCACTCAGTCTGGGAAGCAATGCCAATGTTAAGACGAACTCCAGATAGTGGAGAGCCCCGTCCATTCAGCAGGAGGGTTTATAATTGCAATGTGGGAAAGGCACTCATGCTGGCAGAACCCATCCTTGCCTCCCAGAGGTCCAAGGTGGCACTTGGGTATGTGTCTATCTGGTGAATACCATTCCTGTGGTCTTCAGGCTGGCCCTGCAATCAGTGGTCTGGGCCTGCTTCTGGCACCTGAAAGCAGAGGCCAGGAAGAGAAGCAGGATGGCAAGTACAGGCTACAAGCAGGACCATCTGTGAATCATGGGGCTCTACTGGGCCCCACTGCTCCCTGGAGCCCTGGGTTGGATTTGTTTTCCCAGAGCCCCCAGCACCCTCTAGACAGCAGCACAGAACTGGGGCTTGGGAGCCACTGCTGTCTCAGCCCATGCCTCTGTCCTGTCCAGCTGGTGGGCCCTTATTGCCTTTACACAGTGTCCAATTTCCTGGGCCAGCCATCTTAGTAATGGTGTTGTTTTTTTTTTATTTATAGAAATTGTACTTGGGTCTTTTACAAATATACTAAAATAATATAGTTTTCTATTCGTCAAAGAGAAAAACATTACATGGATATAGATATGTAATTTTGGGTCATTGTTCTAGACTTTTTTCTAATGCTACAATAGAATAACATAACGATTAATTTATAAAGAACAGAAGTTTATTTGGCCCATGGTTCTGGTGTCTGGAAAGTCCAAGAGCATGGCACCAGGCGAGGGTCATTCCATGGCAGAAGGCATCACATGGCAAGGAAGTGCATACATAAAACAGAGAGAGACAGGAGGGAGGGCAAACTTACGAGAAGCTCACTCGGATGATAACTAACCCATTCCCATGATAATGGCAGTATTCCATTGATGAGAGTGGTGCCCTCATGGCCTAATCACCTCTTAAATGCTTTCCCTCTTAATGCTGTGACAATGCCAACTAAGTTTCCAACTTTTGGGGCACTCATTTGAACCATAACATTCTGCTCCTGGCCCCCAAAATTCATGGCCTTATCACATACAAAATCATGCCATCTCAGTAGCCCCAAAAGTCTTAGCTAATTTCACAATCAACTCAAAAGTCCGAAGTGCACAGTCTCATCTAAATCAGACCTGGGTAAGACTCAAGGCACGATTTATTCTGAAGCAAATTTCCTCAAGCTGTGAGAATGTAAAATAAATTATCTATTTCCAGGCATAATGTCTCTCTGAGGATGTTCTAAGTCTCTGCTGCCCTCACCTGCCTGAGGCTTGTGCTCTAGAACCCCATGAGTGGCCCACAACAAAGATGCAGGGGACTTAGAGAGAACTGGGTAGGCATGATAAAGCCAGGGGCCTAGGCCCAGTGCAGTGGCTCATGCCTGTAATCCCAGCACTTTGGGAGGCCAAGGTGGGTGGATCACCTAAGCTCAGGAGTTTGACACCAGCCTTGGAGGCCCTATCTCTACAAAAAATTTTAAAAATTAATTGAGTGTGTTTGTGCACACCTATGATTTCAGCTACTCAGGGGTCTGAGGTAGGAGGATCACTTGAGCCTGGGGGGCAGAGGTTGCAGTGAGCTGAGATTGCACCACTGTACTCCAACCTGGATGACACAGACCCCATCTCAAAAAAGCAACAAAACAAAAAACCCCCGAAACAGCCAGGGGCCTGACTATCATGTGTGGACACACAATAAGTCGGGAGCAGCAGGATGGAATGGAAATGGGTAAATGTTCATGCAGCCAGGTACAGTTTTACTGATGGCTTCTGAGGAAAGGGTGTGCACAACTTCAGAATAGCCTTAGGTTAAACTTGATTCTGAAAGTGAAATTTGATTGTTGTAATAATATAATATTAATTTATATAAAAGATAAAGGAGAAAAGTCTCTATATTTCTAAGAGAAAACTCTCTCCTGACTGCATTAGGCTGTTGAGGGGGTGGGGGTCATTGCTTTTCTTCTCTGTTTTACTTGGGAGGGGGGATTGGGGAAAGCAAGGCTGAATGTTGACAATCTCTTCTTGCTTCCAGTTTGAAATCTCATGGAGCAGAAAGCTAGTTTTCCATTTTGCAAATGGTAGTCAAAGATGTAAAGAGAATTGTCAGATGGGGACTGCAATTGCTAGTCAGTGAGCCTAGAAAGCCACTAGGGGTCCGTCTGACAGCTCCAGCCATAGTGGAAGGTCTTTGCTGAGTCCAAGGGATTCTCATTTAACTAAGACTCAAATAAAGCTCCTCACCCCATGCTGTCTGAGCTTAGCATCACTCAGCGCGAGGGGTCTGTATATACTCCCAAGAGGCCTCCATCCACAGGATAACACTGCATGTGAATTTGTTTTCTTCCCTACTATGCAAACCCCAATCTGATTGGTAACTGTTCAAGATTCAGAGAAATAAATTTATTGAACCAAAATATTGTGTATCTTTTTATATTTCCCTAAGTTATATATCACTTTTCTTATCATTAGTATCCAGTGAGTAATTATTCTGCCATTTTAAATGATAGTATATTCTTACAGAAAATTTTTTCTTTCTTTCCTTTTTATTTCTGAGAATATGTGCTAAATACCCTTAGGTTCCACCTTCCAAACTAAACAGAAGACTGGCATGTTCCCTGTTCACCAGGTAGTAGCCCTCAGCTCACAGATTTGCTGTTTACAAGAACATCTAAAGCCTTCTGCACAGGGCTTCACCAAACTTGGGAAATGGCATAGGATCTCCTGTGTGGGAGGGCTCTGTGCAGGCTGTGCCCCTCCCAGGCATGCTGCTCTGCGTTCAGAACCTGGAAGGCGTTCTCCCCAGGGTCTGGGTGGGGTGGTCAAAGAGCAGCTGGTTATGAAGAGAGGGCTTTAAGGCTTTAAATCCTGAGGATTAATTATTTCTATGAAAAGAGGGATCTGGGAGCAGGAGTCCTGATAAAATCCCCCATGGCAGGTCTGTGATTTCAGAGAATAAAAGCTGCAGCCCTCGGTAGCCTCTTTTCCTACCTGCCGTCTGCACACTGATCAGTGGCCAGGGCAGGCTTTATCATGAGGGAGGTAGGCAGAGGGCAGTCTTGGCCAGGGGGTTGGATTCAGGTTTAGAGTAGTTTTTTAGCTGTCCCTGGAGGGCCTGGGAGGTCGGTAGGAGGGAGAAGAACAGGCCAGCAGCCTGGGATGACAATATGGAGTAAGGCCTCCATGCAGATATTGGGAAACCAGGGTCCAGAGAGGACAAGGTTTGCTCTGTCTATAAACAGGCCTGGGATCCAGGCTCTGAATCTCGCCATGACTCTATCCCCACACCAGGGGCCTCTCATAAGCCATGGCCTGCAGCTTTCAAAGGACTGGCTCCTCACCCTGCCCCTTGATCAGCCCAAGGACCCTTCACGTTTAAGGAGGGTGGAGAAGATTCGGGAACCATTTATATTTTTCCCTGATCTCTGGACCCTCTTTCACTCACTTCCAAAAGGCTGGGGAGGAATCAGAAAGGCCTCTCAGACTGTGGAAGCCTGAGGTCTTGTCCCCTCAAGTGAATATGGTGTTGGTAACATGAGAACTGCTTGAGAGCCAAGGTCACTTTATTGTTTAAATTAAATCATAATCCTCCCCTGGCTACTCTAAACTATGGGGATCAAAAAAACTAATAACAATGCCTTAAAAGCATGATCTGAATTTACATTTGCTGCTACTTTTATTAGAAGCAGCAGCAGTGTGTAGCTAGTGTGAGCACCAGGCTGGAAGTCAGAGATTCTGGATTTAAACCCCAGCTGTGTGACCTGCCAGTGTAGACTTTAGGTTTCTCATCTTAAAGAAGGGGAGGCTAGAAATAGCTGCTTCCGTTTCCATTCAGTCATCATCTCACTCATTTAACAAGCATATGTGGCTCATTGACTCTTTACCAGGTGCCATTCCAGACACTAGGGTTCGGCATTAAGCATTCAGACACTGCCCCTGACCATGTGACTCTCAGGTCCCAATAGCAAGAAGGCAGACAATAAACAGACAGGCACTTACATAAATAAGATAATTTTATCTTACTTGCATTTGTGGTGATGCTAGTATAAACAAACCTACTGTGCTGCCAGTCCTATAAAAGTCTAGCACATACAGTTATACACAGTGCATAATATTTGCTAATGGTACTAAATAACTATGTTATTGGTTTATGCGTTTAGTATCTTATACTTTTTATTATTCTTTTAGAATGTACTCCTTCTACTTATATATTTAAAAAGCTAACTATAAAACAGTCTCAGGCAGGTCCTTCAGGAGGTATTTCAGAAGAGGGCATTGTTATTAAAAAAAAATAGGGAAAAAACTTCAGGACATTGGTCTGGGAAAAGATTTTATGAATAAGACCTCAAAAGCACAAACAATAAAACCAAAAATAAGCAAATGGGATTATATCACCCTAAAAAGCTTCTGCACAGTAAAGGAAACAATCATCAGAGTGAAAAGACAACTTACAGAATGAGAGAAAATATTTGCAAACTAATATACTATATTTTTATGGTTATTTTAGAGTGTATTCCTTCTGAAGCAGGAAATTTTACCTGACCCCTTCGCAGGTGGGAACTAGAGTGCACAGGTGTGTTGGTGCCAGCAGGGATGGACTCCATTCACTTGGTCCTGCTTCATTCCACCCCTCGCAGGAGCAGGAGCACATGCGAGTGGGTGCAGGAGCCGAGGTGAGTGCTTTTGGGTGCTGGCAGGAGTAAAACTCCATGTGGCCCCGTGGCAGCATCTAGGGGGATGCCCACGACTCCTGAAGGCCCAGAAAATGTGTCACAGTCACTGCTCTTTCAACTTGGTCATCCATGGATGGCTTAAGTATTAACAGCTCAGTGGAGCATCAGTGTGACTGCCCTTTGCACCCATACCCAAGTTCTTGTCTGGCATTCAGGAGGAATGAGGTCACGTGAACAAATTGGAGATGGTAAATGTGGGGGTTTTATTGCTGATGAAAGTGGTACTCAGCAGGAAGGGGAGCTGAAAGGGGAATGGAGTGGGGAAGTAATCTTCCCCTGGAGCAATGCCATCAAACCGTCCCTCTGAAGTCAAGCCTCTTCTCTCTAATGTCCAACCATAGGTCTCCAATATCCAGCTGCTTCTCCACTATTCCTCTCTGTTGGTGGAGTCTGGGGTTTCTATGGGCACAGGACAGGGGGCAGGGTAGGCCATGGGTGGTTTTTGAAAAGGCAATATTCGAGCAGGAAAACAGCAATGAATGTTCTGACTTTGGGCTGTGGTTCTAGGCTTGAGGGTGGGGCCCTTGCTGGGGACCCACCTTCTTCTGTCCGTAATTTCCCTGCCTCCTGTCCCTATCGCTTTTACTTATATAAAAAAAGTAACTGTAAAATAGCCTCAGGCAGGTCCTTCAGGAGGTATCCAGAAGAAGGCATTGTTATAGGAGATGAGAGCTCCATGGGTGTCATTGCCCCTGAAGACCTTCCAGCGGGACAAGATGTGGAGGTGGAAAACAGTGGTATTGATGATCTTGACCCTATGTAGGCCTCGACTAGTGTGTGTATTTGCGCCTTAGCTTTTAATAAAAAAATTTTAAACAGGAAGATAAGTAAGTAAATAAATGTAAAAATAGAAAAAAGCTTATAGAATAGGGACATATAGGATATTTCATACAGTCAAAAAGCAAAAAAAGAAACATAAAGAAAAAATACATTAAGCTAATGTTAATTTATTATTAAATTATTATTAAAATAATAATAATTATTATTAAAATTCACAAGAACAACTTCCAGTCCCACAAGCTCCATTCAGGGTAGGTGCCCTATACAGGTGCACCATTTTTAATCTTTTACCATATTTCTATTGTACCTCTTCTGTGTTTAGATACACAAATGCCTACCATTGTGTTCCACTTGCATATAGTATTTGGTAGAGTAACACGTTGTATAGGTGTGTAGCCTAGGAGCAATAGGCCATACCACATAGCCCAGGTGTGTAGTAGGCTATGCCATCTGGGTTTGTGTAAGTATACTCTCATGTTCACACGGTGATGAAGTCACCTAACAACACATCTCTCAGAATGCATCCCCATCATTCAGTGACTCATGACTATATGAATTTAGGGGGACATCAGGTCTGAGGACACAGATGTCATAGTCATCAGATGTATGGTCTTTAAAGCCATGACACTTGATGGACACATCCAGATAATCAGTGGGGGTTAGGGAAGGGAAGAGGCAGGGAAGATACAGCCCTGAGTGGCCCCACAGAGAGAGGACTGGCCAGGAAGGGGGAGCCAATACAAGAGGAGGTAAAGGAGGTGGCCATGGGGTAGACCAGGGCTAAGGAATGCATGATGCTGACTGCTGTTAGGATGCAATGGGACACAAAATGTGATCATTTTTGATAAATCCTAAAGCCCTGTTTAACAGCTAGTCACAGTGTGTCCCTAGGTGTGGGCCAAGAAAACTGGTGGCCATAGCAATGAAGAAGAGATGATAACAAGAAACTACCTAGGCCACCAGTTAGTGATTTCTCTGGGCCTGGAGGAAGCACAGCTAGAATGTGCAGAGAAGGGGAAGGAGAGGCGTCTTCTACAGACATAGCCACCAGGACCATGATTGTCCTCTCTCCTTACTTAGTGTGGATCTTCCCCCCTCTCTGCTTCCTCCCTCACCACTGTGGGGTACTCATTTACACACTTCCTCACTCATTCTTTCATTTCTGTGGCAGACCTAGAGATGGGGGCAGCTGTATGGAGAAAGATAGGATCAGAGTTCACGATGTTGGGGTGCTTACAGCCCCTCTCAAGAATGTCATGATATAGAACCAGGAAACCTTTGGAGAGGACCCTTCCCAGCCACATGTCAGCAAGCACACGTGGACACAGAGCCCAGGATGCTTCAGAGATAAAGGAATGCCACAGAAGGAAACTGTCAGAGGGTGAGAGTTCATCCATGACTTTGTGTCACTGCAGTTATGTCCTTAGAGATTTGTTTTGCTCAAGGATTTTCAAGGGGAGTTTTGTTTTTATCTGAGTACAAACACATTCAGGCTGTCACACATTCCAGCCAGTGATGTTTTTGACAAAAAAAAAAGACCCTTTAAAAATGTTTTTACTTATTCCAATTCCTTGGGCCAAGAAAAGAGACACAGAACTATGCACAAGTTAGGGGTGATAGGGCAGGGGGAATATTTTAGAGGGAGCTTGAGGCTGTATTTTCACTTTCTTCTGGGCCATTTTCTAAATGGGCTGGAGCAGCTCACCATGCTCAGGCACTATTTCAGGAGATGGCAGAGGTCCTGAGATGGCAGGGGCCCCTGCTCAAAAGGTCAGAAATGCAAGCTGCCTACTCTCAGCTTGGATTTGGCTAAGTTGGCCTCTGGAGCACATGGTGACTCTCTGACAGGCTGGTTCCTACTTGCTCCTTCAGAGAGACTATTTTCTTTATAGAGAGTAGAAAATGAGGAAAGGAGACCCACTGGTCTCAGCTGCGAATGAGCATTTCCAGGCCAGTGTTTGCAGCTGTGTCTGAGCAGGACACTCCCAGGGCTACTTGGGTTTCCTCCATAGTCTTTACTTTTTAAGCTTTCCCCACCTTCGCAGAAGAAAAACATCTCTCCCATCAACTTCAGGGAAAGCAGCAAGTGTCTTTTCATGGGGGAGATATTCTTCTGCACGTAAAGTGGAAAAGGGCTGAGAAAACTGGGAAAATCATGATGTCACACCATTGAAATGCGTCTACTGAAGGAGAAGGACAGAAAGCCGAGGTAGAGTTGAACAGGGGCCACTGGAACCTGTGAACTGTCTCCAGGTCCTCAGGTAAAGGGGTGAGTGATAGTGCCATAGCCTTGTGCACCACATTTTTTTGATGCTGTTGTGGTCATGAGATGGGAGAGTTCCCTTGATCCCCTCGCAGGACTTGTGACAGGGGTGTGCCTCATTTACTTGCCCACTGTGTGCTCAAACCCCTTGTGGGAGAGGGAGTATGCAGGTGAGTGGGTACAGGAGCTAGGGCGAGTGCTTTTGGGCTCTGGCCCAAGGGCAGCATTTGGGGGTGTGTTACAATTAAGCTCTTTTAGCTTTGCCATCTGTGGACAGCTTGAGTATTAAACAGCTCAGTCAAGAGTCAGTGTGATGGCCTTTTTGGGTTCCTGCACCAAGTGCATCCTGAATTTTTGTCTGGCGTCCAGGAAGAACCAGGTCACACGAATGGTTTGAAAGATGATGAATACGGAGTATTTTATTAAGTGGTGGAAGTGGCTCTCAGCAGATGGGGAGCTGGAAAGGGGATGGTCTGAAAAGAAGGTGATCTTTCCCTGAAGCCTGGCCATCTCAGGCCAGGTTCCTCTTTGAAGTCACGCCATCTGAAGTTAGCCGCTTCTATCCATAGTCTCTGATGCTCAGTTGCCTCTTCCGTTCTTGACTTTCAGCTGCTTGTCTCTCTGCCAGCTGAGGTCTGGGGTTTATGTGGGCACAGGACAGGGGGGCAGGGCAGGCCAAAAACATAATCTTTGGGTGGGAAAAAGGGATAACTGTCCTCATTTAGGGCTGTGGTTTCCAGGCTTGAGGGTGGGGCCTTTGCTGGGGAACTGCCCTCTTCTACCCAGTATTTCCCTGTCTCCCGTCTGTATCACTGGCAGGTTTAGGAGAACCAGGAGTTATTGTCAGAGCCCTTCACAATTTAAATAATGACAGAATGTTCTGGCTGGACAAATAAAGAGGTTGGCATCTGAAAATGAGACTAGGTGAGAAAGGAAAATAAAAACTCAGCACCCCAATTCACCATGACAAAGGAAAAAAGCTGGAATCTGAGTTAGGCAAGAAACTGCCTTTCCTCTGGTTCCTAAGCTGATAGCGACAGATAAAAGGCCAGATAACTCCACAGGGAGCTACTCTATGTTCACTTTATCTTACTTAAAGTGTCGATTTGCTGAGTGTGAGGCAAATACATAATTGACTATTCTACCACCTACTTCTTTTCTCCTGCAACATGTGGATCCAGTAACGTGACCATATCTTCCCTCCTTTCCCTCAAGCCTGCTTTTCCCTTTTAAATATTGAAGCCCTCAAAACCATCTTTGGAAAAAATGCACAGATCACACATTTTTCCTGTGGTTTTGTGTCCCTTTTCTTCAGGCATGTCCTTAACCTTGGCTAAATAAACCTCTAAATTGATTGAAACGTCTCAGATTCTTTTTGGTTGGGGAAAGTAGGAGACAGATGTGGGCAGTGCAGCATCTCAGTTGTGCAACCACTTCATGATGGGGAGGACAGGCCATGTGACTCATCCCAATTCAACTAGCATCTAGAGACTGGCTCTTTGTAAAATCTTTTTATTCAGAAAGTGACTATAATACCGTCTATGATGAAGCTCTTTTCCCCACTTCCCCCAGCCTTGTAGGCTCTTTTCCCTTCTCCTGCAGCACTCGTGGCCTATCCCTACATGTGGCTATACCATGGTCAAGGGATTTCAAGCTTGGATTGGCAACCGTGAGACTAGGAGTCTATTGAGGACAGGGGCTATTGTGTCCCAGCTCTTAGCCTGTTACCTAACACATAAGAAGTCCTTCTATAGATGCTGGCCAACTTGAATTACACCAAATGGAACCAGTCACAGAAGAGGGCCAGTAGAGTTCAGGCGGGTGTGAGTAGTCTCTCCTGGCCCAGGGATGGACACTGAGCTTCCACTCTGGCTCCAAGAAGTTGAGAACCTATGGATTGGTTTCTACTGAGGTCTGGGATTGTCAAGTGGCAGGTGTCATCTTGGAGGCCTTGACCTTCTGTTATGGCAGATGCTCAAGGACTTCTTAAAGCTAATTTTGGTCCGGTTTTTGGGTCCTCTTTCATCTCTTCCCCAGGCAGCTAACGGACAGCCTTCTAGCACATGTTCTTGTCAGATTTGTCACCTCTCCTAATAAGGTTTCCTCCCACCTGGCCCCCATAGAATTTCTCACTTAGTCACTGAAGGAAATACAAAGAACCAGATGGGAAGCACTTTGAGTATATGTCAGGTGGGCAACACAATCTCACTGCTGCTGAGCAGGCTAAGAAATTGCCCATGTTGTGTATTGACTGCTAGCTATAAACAGAAGGTCTTGGGCTCCCCCATTTGGTTCTCTGATAATCTCATCTTTTCTGATTTCAGCTCTTGAAATATACTTTCAGCTTGCAATGAGAAGTGGTCAAAATAAATAGACCAGTCTGTTTCCTCATATAGTTGTAGCTGAGAACACAGAATGTCTTCAGGAAAGATGGTCCATGGAGAAATCTCTCTGATCATCATCCTAGGTATTGCTGCTTGTTGTAATTGTTGCTTGTTTAGTTACTTTTCTGGCACAGTCTTTGTTCAGCCACTGTAGTCTTTACTCAGTTTTGTTGTTAGCTAGTGATTGTACAGATCGTTACTTAAGCTTGAGACCAATTAACATGTCAGTCTTTGCTGAAAGATTATGCAAGTGTTGGAGCATGCCTTCAATACTCAACCAAGCAGTTTAAAACTCTATCTTAGTCTTCACGTTCCCTGCATAGAGCCTCAAACTCAGCCAGAAGTAAGAGCTTAAGGCCTTCTCGTGTATTTTCCTGTGTATGTGCATAGTGCTACACATATGTATGAACTTCCTTATTCCTATGAATATGCCTGAGATTTTAAAAGTCTCTATAAACATCTCATTTTTCAGCATTTTCTTTTAAGCTTTCTGGTTAATGTGTTGTTTGATCTAACTGTTATTCATCACATCTAGCAGATAAAACATTTTAAACACTTGCCTATACATGTTCTTGTTTGTTTGTTTTCATTTTCCTCCCCACCATCCCTCTGTGTATAGGTTTTTGGTACTGCATGAGCGCTAAGTAAAGTTACGTAAAGAGAAGTCTTTCCAGTCTAGTCCTAGGATAGCACCAGACAGGTCAAATTAATGCCAGTTCTTTAGGAATTAGGCTTTAGAAACACTCAAGCTCTACTCCATTCTACTGTATTTTGTAACAGGAATACTGTTATTTTTCAAGACTACCACTGAGCTGGGGGAAAGGGGAATGCAAGTTACAACACAATAAAACGTGCTGTTCTTCTGGAGAGCCAGCCTTTCATTTATTTATTTATTTTTGAATGCATGCATCCAGATTTCTGTAAGCCTTTGGTTAATTTCTAAAGTTCTGAAAAAGCTGATTCTATCATATTACTTGTCAGATTTTTGTTGCTTTTATTGAGAGGTGAATTTTCAAAGGCTCTTACTCCATTGTTTTTACTAATGTCACTCCACTCTGGTTATTTTAATAGAAATAACATAACTTAATAACACAATATGCCATGTTTAATGGCTCCCTAAAAGTAATTCTGTGATATATAGAGTTGTTCTACATGGGAAGATACTGAGACAAGATATGAGAAAAAAATTAGAATAAAAATATTGTTACATTAATATTGTTTCAAATGTTAAAAGATAATTGTCAAGAGGAAAAATGATTTCCTTGTGCTTACGATTACTGGAGTCCAACATGTTTAATGATGGTGGATGGAGACAGACTAAAATTTATCATGGCCCCATTCACTGGAGGATTTGACATTTATTGAAACTGAGAAGTCGCTAACAGAAAAAACAGAGATGATCTTGGAAAGGAGGAACCATGAGGGACAGCTTTATTCCCTTATAGATGGCCAATGATCTCTCTGCTTTAGTCACAAATCAATATTCCAGTGGCACCCCAAATGAGTTCCTCATCATTTCATCATCTCCAATCCTTGGGACCCAGACACATGTCACTTTCTCTCCCACTGCCTACAATGCTGTGCCAGCTTCATTTCAGTTTTCACATCAGCACTTACTTTAGGGGATGACAATGGATGAGTTCTGTACATTCATGGTGATCAATAAATAAATAATGGGATTAGTTTAGAGAGAGTAATTACAGTGATTGGGAAGATGGAGTCAGTCCTAAATTTAATACATAGAATTTGTTTAATACGTATTGAAGGACTGGCAAAGGAAAAAAGAAACATTGAAATAGCAAAAAATAATCTCAAGTTTCTTCTCTCTATTAGAAACAAAGCTACTGTAAGAGTTAAAGAAAGAGGAAAGAAACATGAAAAATGGCTCAACAGTCAAAGACAGGTTTATTCTGGAGAATAAACATGAGAGGGGCTTCTGGCTGATTTCGGTCAGGAGCACTCTCTCTTACAGTGTAAGAGTATTTATTGGTTTGAGGGTGAGAGAGATTATCACAGGTTTGGAATGTTTTCTGTGTGGGGGAGAAGTTTATGTCAGGGTTGGAATGTCTTTGGCTGGAGGGGCGGTTATCTTGGGGCTGACATCTTTCCAACCAGAGGAGAAGTTATCTTGGGGCTGGCATGTCTCTGGTAGGGGAGAGTTTTATCCTAGGGTTGGAGTGTTTCTGGTCGGAGATGTCATTTGTGGTTTATGGTCATGCTGACCTTAGCCATTAGGCTGATGCCCTTTGGATTTAGGCAGTTTTTGATTGAGGGGAACTTTAGAATGGCGGTGTTTGTCTAAGATGGCGATGGTCCTGTTCTGTCAGCTACTTCTTAGGATCATCATAAAGATTCAATGAGATAACATGTAAAGCAACTAGCAATGAGACATCACAAAAATATTTACCAATAAAGGACCATTTTCTCTTCCCAGCATGAATAGATTGCTATAAATATATTACTAATTATTCTAAATATAGAATATAGTGTCTCACCTAGTCTCCCTACCCTGGGCTGCTCCAGCCAAGAACTATTCTTCTGGTATGAGAAATGCTGCCTTTGTTTACCACTGTGCTCACTAAGCCATGGTATTCTGTAGACTTCCACTTCCACTGCCATTATATTGTGGTGGGAGTAGCAAGTCTCCAGAGATGCAGGAGAGTATTAGGTGAGGCAGGTGCTGAGATCTCTTACTTAGAGGGTTGGTTGATGTCACTAGAGCTCAAATTGCTCCTCAATTTTCTCCCATCTCTGTTGTGTATGGTTATTTTAGAGGAAGAATTATAGAGCCAGTAGACATGAGCATATGGTGAGTCTGAAATCAGTCAGGTTCATATGTAGGTTTTTGTTCATATTTTAATTATTTTCACAACAAAACCATCTCCAGGCCCACACATCTCCTAAGTCTAATGAGATTTTATTCAGTTCTATCTAAAAAGGAACTTGGCCTCAGTGTTGTTCTTTTGCTGCCTGTACTTATATCACATAATCTTGCAATAATTTCAGGAAAGTATTAATACTGGAATAATATTCATTACTATTTTAAAGCCTCAGCTCCTGTTAATCAATTCTCATTTCAGTTTTAAATCCCTTCAAACAATAGATGCTGCCACTAATTTTGGCCAAAATTTTCCTTTCTTGATGATAGAAACAGCCCTCACCTAAAACACTAAAACATGGGGCTTACCCAAGAAACCTGATTTGAGACATTGGGCTAAACTTTTAAAGATTACCCTTTCATAGACATCAATTCTTTGGTCTTTAGAGATGGCTGTTGTAATCATATTTTGTTCACCAATTACTTTGGGTTTATAAACCCCTGCTTCACAGAAAATTTGTGTTCTCTGCCTGTGATTTTGTAGTTTGTGTAGTGCACAAAGATTCAAGACAGAGGATGCACATAAGGACTGAAATAAAAACTTTGAGTGATGTGCTGAAGTGTACATGTTTTGGCTGGTAAGAGTTAATTGTTAAATTTTCAGGAATTTTTCCAACTAGCTGATGGCACATTGATAACTTGGAATTGATGATGATAGGAGCATTTGCATTAGGAAATCAGCAAAAGCTGATTTGGGACTCTGCTTTCTTCAAAGAGCTGATTGTTAAAATATCCCAGCACAACACTGGCTTGACTTACCACACCATGCATTCCCTGTGAAAAGTCCTCTTCCACTTACTAAGTGTATTAACTGTGTTTCTGATGCTCTGACATCTGGGGCCCTGCTGACCCAGGACATACTGCCTCTCCCAGGGCTAGCCAATTCCTAGAGACAGTAGATGACTAACCTGTGTTAGTCATCTACTTTCACATGCAAACCAACCCATCCACAGCCCACACTCTAGGCCGTTATTCACATGCCCTAATCACCCCAGAACTAGGTACCAAACAACTAGAGACATTCCCTATGCCCTAAGGACTGCTGAAATTATTTAAACTAGCCAGTCCTAAACCTGTTTATCCAGCCTCACGACTTCTGCCTCAGACACCACAATGAAAGGTTTACCCATGGTTTCCCCTAGCTCCCTCTGCCTCCTGACCAACCCTGGTGCTTCTCCATGTGGCCCTCCATGGTGCGGTGTGCCTCCTCCTCTTGCGATCTGTGAGTATAACATGCTGTGTTTTTAATGGCGATCTTCTCCTCATCTGCTGGCATTGTTGTACTTATATAATAATACAATCTACATTTTAAAACACCAAATTATGAGCCTGGGGTCTTCATCTCCAGGGATGGGGCTACTTTTTTCCAATTATCTACACAGACTAAGCACCTGTTTTAATGCACACACAAGTGTCTGTAAAAATAACTGAATCATGACTGAATCATGACTCTTTCCTTCTCTGGTTCCCTTCCTGAGGCTTCCTGAAGGCCAGGCCCTATCCCTAGCAGCTTGGACATTTCTTCACCACACCGGCTAAACACCCCAGAACTAGGTACCAGACAACTAGAGACTGTCCCTATGCCCTAGAGACTGCTGGAAGTATTCAAACTAGCCAATCCTAAACCAGTTTACCCTGCCTTATGACTCCTGCCTTAGACATCACAATGAAAGGTCTACCCATGTTTTTTTCTTCCATGGTGAAGATTGGTTGAGCTGCACTTTTCTGTTACTGGTCACAAACTTTCTCTTACAACACAGCCGTTTTTCTCTCCCCAGTCTTGAAAGTGCTAGAAGATCTTTGACATAGCAATTATTTTTCTTCCACTTCACCTTCTTTTTTGTATTTTGTCCTTTTCTTGGGATATTCTTCAATGTCTTAAACAAGATGTCTTTGCATTTCCTTTTGGTATTAAACAGTGGTGGCCTCATGTTAAAAATCTGACCTTATAACAAATCAATTGATCATTAACTGAGGTGACCAGACTACATTGGCAGTAAAGACCAGATTAGTTAATTCATCCTCATCAGTGCACTGGGCAGGAGTTCCTAACTATAGCAAAGTCTAGTCACACTGCTTCCTGGGACAAAGAATTAGTTAGTCCAAATATGTTGTTTCCTTAAAATACACATTTGCCTCTGATGAGCCTCTGGCTACACTCTTTATAACTAGTGGGCAGATGCCAGGACCCTGCAGGTGGATTCTACTGGGGAGAGGCAAAGTTTTACCATCAGTATGAGTGGCAGTGGAAGCACAGGTCCCAGTCCAGAGAACTAAGTTTAAGGCTCCAGAACCAGAAAGAAAATAACTGACATTCATTGTAGCCTATGGGAATCTGTGATTTTAGCATAAAAAATTAAGTTACAGAATGCACCAGAATAACTTGGCCATTTGAACATTTATATTGATATGGGCTTTATTTATATTACACACTTGGTATATTTTGAAGGAAAGCAAGCGTAGTTATGAAACACAAGCGGCAGCAAGACTTATTGTTGACATGAATTTATGACTGAATGGCTCCAAATTGTTTGCAAAATTAGATTCCCAGGAATAAACGTCAATATCCACCAATATGTAGTAACTTAGTAAATGTATGATAAAACTAGACCCTGATAGTTTTTGAAAAATTCTCATGCGAAAATAAAAAAGGCTATTAAATTCTGCAAATAATTCCATTACACACAGATATGTCACTCAGAGGCTAGATAAATATAAATTTACTTAGTGTTATGGAGGGCACTTGGTAAGGAAGCAGGCACGTAATACAATTATAAAACACAAAGCTCCTTGTCCAAGAGTTTTCTTTTATAGACAAATGGGCTTTAAAAATATCTTGTGGTGGCTCACGCCATTGTAATTCCAGTACTTTGGGAGGTGGAGGCGGGAGGATCATCTGAGGTTGGGAGTTCGAGATCAGCCTGACCAACATGGAGAAACCCTGTCTCTACTAAAAATACAAAAACTAGCCAGGCATGGTAGTGGGCACCTGTAATTCCAGCTACTCAGGAGGTTGAGGCAGGAGAATCACTTGAACCCTGGAGGCGGAGGTTGCGGTGAGCCAAGATCATTCCATTGCACTCCAGCCTGGGCAACAAGAGCGAAACTCTGTCTCAAAAAAAAAAAATCTATCTCTCTCTCTCTATATATATATGTATGTACATATATGTGTGTGTATGTGTGTGTGTGTGTATATATATATTTTGCCAACAACTTGCATTTGAATTCCTGAAGTCACAATGGAAGACTGACTTGACTACTTTTTGTAATGTGCATAAATTTAGCTTTTACAGAAATTATCTTTTCTTCTTACTCAGTAGTTGCCTTTCTCTATTTTAAGTGATTTTTATTGTACTGCTCTTTACTTTTAATGCTAGCTTTTAAAAATTTACATTCTTATTTTTTCTTCTTTCTTGAGGTGCAATACTGACAATTCTTATCTGAGAGGATGATCCAAACATTGGGGAAAATAAAGATCCATAGTAGAAATTCACTTAAACTGTGACAATCATGTAATCAGTGTAGGCAACATTTGGCATAGTAAAAGAACATTGTGCATTTGATAATTATAATTTTAAAAACTTCAACGCTGTTAACATTTTAACACTTTATTTCAGTTATTTAGTTCATTTTAAGGTATTCGGTCATCCAAAAGAACTACATACATGTGATATTTGACTTATTATTCTTAATTAAACCATCAAAGTAATTTTTTTTACATCTTAAATGTCAATGTTGAACCTCCATTGAGAGAAAAATCAAGGCACATATTGTCATCATTTTATTTAGTATGATGCTTTTGATCTTTTGCAGGAAGTTCTTTTTTCTTTCATCTGAAAGCCTTAACATTTTACACAGAAGGGATACTGCACAAATGCTGTGTGGACTTACCAGCTTTCTGATGAATGAGGATGTTAATTACATATTGAAAGTGGTAATGGTTTTGAAATGAAAAAGAGAGCATTATTGGAAGAATGAAAAATACATCTCAGAAAGAAACCTATAGTTCAACAAATTAAAAGAAAGAAAGAAAAAAAGCAAAAGTAGGTGTCAGGGCTGGACCAGCTTTGTTGTTGTTATTGTTCTTTAGCAAACAAAATATTGAAAAAACACAAAGCAAACAAATACCAGGGGAAAGAAATTAAATGTGCTTGAAAGATAGGGAAGAAAGATACTGAGTGTCTAAGGAGCTATTACTGCTGTTCAAAAGTTTGCAAATTTAATATTCTGATTTTTCTCCTAATAAAATAAAATTAAGAAAGACATTAGTGTATTTTGTCAACACTAGTTCAAGAGAGAGTCAGTTTTCTTTCCTTATGGAGAAGTTTCTGATGTACTCTTCCTGATGGAAACTATAGAAAAATATCATGTCCTTCTATTTTAACATGTTTTATCAAAATCAAAATAGTTACCAAAATCTCAAAGCATTTTGTTTCTTAGTATCAAAATCCATGGAAAAGGGGAGAAATCAACATTAAGGGATAATTTGAACCTATATATAATGTTTCCTTAACAATTAAATGTTATTACCATGCAATAGTGCAATCAATTCTAGGAAAACACCTCCAGGAAATATATTAACCTCTGAACTAATGTTAAAGAAGCTCCCATGAGAGTATGTTTTCACAAATGAGCTTTCTGTTGACCTTTTTGTAAAACTTCATATAACGTATTTCAGTTAAACCTATGATGCCTTTAGTGTTATCTCTTTCCTAGAAATGAGATGTTTGGTTATTTTATGTCTGTGTGTGTGTATGTGTGGCTGTGATAGCACTGGTATTTATAGTTTCCTGCTAAATTACGTATTTCTGAACCTTGGTAAACTGAACAGATTGAACGTTTGGGTCCCATTTATTGGCCATACGCTTAGTGAAGACACTTGTTTTCATCCTTTTATTACTGCTGTCATGTCTAGAAACATGAGTTTCAAAGAATGGCAATGTGCTTGTTTTCTGATTAATACAATTATGAAAGTTTCAAATTTGTAAAACATTTACATTTTTAAACATATTATTTTCTTTACTTATTAAAGGACCAAATTGGCTTCCAAGTCAATACTAAATAAGTATTTTCAAAAAGCAGAAATAAAATATCCACCTTTTAAAAGCAAATGTCATTGTATTTAGCTCTATTATTGGTACTTTAAAAAAATTTTAACCTGGGAATATTTTAACTCTCAGCATTGAGATGTATAAGGAAAAGCTCTCTGTGATATTTACACAGGTCCATTTACATTTTTAATGTTGACTTTGGAGTTGGCACACTGGAAAAGAATTAGAGGTAAGATGACTTGATAAAGAAGCTTTTTTGCTGCTTACAGAACTAAATCCCTTCATATTGAGCCTAGAGTTGGTCCTTCTTATCACAAATGCTATGCAGTGGCTTGGCAGCAGGATGCTAGCTGACCTTTATGCAAATTGTTCAAACACTGTGGATTCTTCTGAGAGGGTGGAATTCAGAAGGTGCTAATGCTGCTAACGAGCTGGAAGAAGAGTTTATGTGCTAAGTGTTATTCTTGGAATAAAGTGGGCCTATCTTTTACTAAGAGGAAAAGAATGTGCAGTCCCACCCACAGCTCTACAAGGCACTCCCCCAGTGAGGTTTTGCGAAGGTCAATTTTACTAAGTTACTGGTTTGAATCATTTTGTATAAATCTGTCATCAGAATGATCCATACCCAGTAGGGCTCTTTTAGACAAACAAGAGTGGAGTCTGCTGTTGTTATTCTAGAAAGATTTTTAAATTATGGTTCACAGATAATGACTGTTGTGTTTTTGGTTCAGGAGAGAATCTAATGCATATCCTGACACTTTAGTCCAAATAAAGAGCTGCATTCAGTTATAACCTTCCCAAGGACAGCAAGTGGAGCTTGGTTTCTATGCAATCCCTCAGAATAGCCAATCCTAGGTGAGCACCAGTAAATGTTAACTAAGGGCAAAAATGGGAATAAATAAGATCATCATTAAAATACATATTTCAGTGCTTCATGATTCACATGCTTAGAAGAGCCACTTGAATAATATTTATTTTTGGTTTTATTTTTACTATATAATATCAACAAGACCTTGATTGGAGTCAGAAGCCACTGAGTATCTAAGGAGCTATTATTGCTATATCCTGTTCTCTATGGGAAGTTATTTTATGTATTTGTTCTGATAGTACCAGAATAGTTCTCTAAAAACAAAATGCTAAACATAAGGGTCTATTTTATTTAACAAAAAATTTACCATATTCTTCCCACTAACAAGAGTTTCAAAAAATAATTAATGTATATTAAATTACATACTTAGTAAATAGATATTAAGAAAAATAATGCAAAATCCCAAGTACTTTATATTTTAAAAAGCTATATCTGCCTATTTCCCACAGATTCTCTTTTTTCAAGGGAATAAAGGGAAGGAAAAAGGGAGAGAGGAGAGTAAGAGAATAGAGGACAGAGAAGGATAAATATTTGGTAGGATAGGATAGAAATGTTCTGCATTTTATAAGCTCTCCAATTTATATAAAGTAGCTTCATTAGAATATGCATTGTAGAGTGAAATTTGGTATAAAACCAGCTTGACCCAAAGCCTGAAAACAGACTTCGTACAGTAATGCTTCACCGATTGCTATATTCATTGACAGACTCCAAATTGCATGATAGGCTCGGAAGCTGTTAACTACTAAAATATCAGCAAGTTGATTGAGTATACTTGCTCTAACAGTCTACATCAATTGAACCCAATGGTAAGTAGGGAAAAGTCTACGCACTATTTGAAGTTCCCTAATTCATGTTCATTCCCATACAAATTATGAGGTAGCCAAAGAAGTAGCTAAGCATCTGCCAGAAGGTAAAGCAAAGGAAAGGGGAATGATTAAGAAATTACCACTATTTATCTTGCTAAATAAACTCCTGGGCTACACAGTACTTTCTGTTCATATAAGCCGTTAGTGGGACTTTTGAGCTGTAGATGATATTTTTGTAAATTCTCCAATGAAAGGATACTACAGTCTATTTTTAAAAAACTGAACATGAAGTGCAGAGCTGCCTAAGAGAAGAAAGGCAACTATTGGACATATGACCTCTCTCTCAGTATCAGTGTTGCTTCCTTATCTTGATCAAGAAATGGTTGATACTTACAGACACCAAATTAAGATGTGCACATCTGTTCTGAGAAGTTTGCCTTTTAAAATTCTGCAGTGACCAAGATGTCCAATGTGGCCAGCTTATGGCTAGAAGTCAAAGGGGATTCTAGCCAGCATCTGAAGGATAATCTGTAGGCATTATTCTTTTTCTCCTGACCTTATTTTTCTTTGAAACATGTTTACTAGCTTTTGGAAAGCTGAAGTTTTCCCCTTCTAAGCGAAATTTCTGCTATTTGGTAACAAACACATTGATGCAGAAAGGCAATGGGAGGCTTGCCAAGGAAGCTCACTCAAGTTCCTTGGCTTTGGGAGGTGAATGGTAAGCACTGTTACAAATTATATTTTTAAATATTGAGAGGGACCACATTGTACCAGTTCACTGAACTGGGGATGCCAGAGCGATGTCTTCTTGAACCAAATAAAAATATGGTCAATGATTCTGGCCACCTCCAAGACCATTTCTGGAATGATAGTTGCAGAGAGTCCCATCGTTTGGACCAGATGCTGGATAGAAAGCTAATAAAATGTCCTGTAGCCAATTTAAGTTCTAAATGTTATTGTGTGATTACGCTACTCCGAGGGATAACCTCATCTGTCAAAATGTTCCTTTATTCTATAAAGTATGTATAAGAGGCACTCTGATTATACACATTATATTAATAAATACCACTTTCTCCCTTCACCATCTGTAACAATGTTTCTTATTATCATTTATGGGTTCAATACTGCAAACATCTAGGCTCAGTTCTTAGAGAACATTGTCTTGTAGTGACTCTAACTCTATGGCATTTATTCATCACCAAAATCTCACCAACCCTCTAATTTCCCACAAATGTTGAGCACCAATAAGGTATATTACCATGCAAGAGCTCTACCATTACTCACTATATGCCAAAACAGAGCAGCATCTCTTAAAAATCTCTTTCAGAATTAACATATTCTTTGGTTTAATTTAAAATTAAATATGCAAACAAAACAAGGAGAGTCTGATGAGAATGAGAAGCAATTCAAATTCAAGTGAGTGAACTTCCTTCCCTCTATCTTTCCTTCCACTGTCTCCCAAGTAGTAGATCAGTTGATTTGTGGGTTGAGCCACCCTGGTCATAATTCTATGCTGTCTTCACCTATTTGAAAACTTGTCATAATAAACAGTGTGTTCACCAGTTTTCCAGACTAGCAACAAAAACCTTTCTAGTAATAATCTGTTATACAATTAATAAACAATGTGATAATTGCACCTTCAACATTCACACTAACATAGCAACAGTAGATTCCTCTTACACTTGTAAGAGAGTCTGTTAGCACCTTTTAATAGATTTATCTCCACTGCATAGAGAATATGTCTAAAATGAGGAGTACATTCCTCACATCATGGCTCTGTGTACATATGAGTACGTTGTTGCTGCCTTTGGGGCAAGAGGAAAGATGCCTTAATTTGTCCTTTGATGCAAAAAAGAGTATGGAGAATTCAAATCAAACTCCATTAGTACAGTCATATTCTCTAAGCAGCTTCATCACAGCCATCCTCCATTCTCTATGGTTTACCAGAAGTATTTAAGGTTCCATTGTGATCTTTTCCGAGGCACTTACGGAAAAGGTTGAATTCTACCTGCAGTCATCAAACTTCTGAGCTGTCATTGTGATGGCTCTGTGGGGGCACCATGGGCTCACTGCTGCTGGAGCCTTTCGGGGCATCCTTCCCCCTGAAACTTTCCTTGCCCCTGCACATCAGCACTGCAATGACAGTGAGGCAGATGGTGAGTAACCCTACCGTGGTGCCTCCCACCACAGTGACCAGGCTGACTGCAGAGCTGGGGCTGTTGAGCTCCCAGGGGAGGATGCCATCTGGAGGTGCTCTCCCATGGGGGATCTGCCTCTTGGTGCGGTCCAGGGCAATGTGCTGGATGTTTGTTCCTCGACTGTTTTCAGCACCAATCTCCCATGCCAGTGAGGGTGTGCTCCTGATCTCTCTCTTCTTCCGGCTCTTGGTGGTGGATTGGGGCTTTCCTTGACTCACCAGAGAATGGTACTCCACACTTCTTTTGCCAATACCTCGATTGGCATTGTCTTTCGATCTCACTGTATAGATCGTATGTATATACCATTCTCGGCCTAGAGCGACCTAGAAAGCACAACTCTATTTATTAGGAAATACTAGATACCATGTCAATCTAATCCACGACTCTTTGCAAGAGAAATTAATGGCAGAGATATTAATAAATGATTTTAGTCTGCAGAATTAACTTACTTAATATTTTTGAATGAGTACTAGGTGCAAGGCTCTGTGCAAAGCACTCTGTGATATATCCTGTGCAACTCTTAAGGGAGTGAATATGTGATACTTGTTGTCATAGAATGAGAGAGTTCTAAAGAACTATTAATAGATTATACAGTCTAGCTTATTCACTAAAAAAATGAGTAAATTAGAATATGCAGCAGTTAAGTGAGTTGCCCAATGTTACTCAACCAGTTAGTGGCAGAGGCAGGACTACAGCTCAAATCTTCTGAACCCCAGGACTCTTTTCACTGTGTCTTGCTGCTTATTGCATATAAGACCATAGGGGGAAAAAATCAATTTTCAAGCTTTTCTGGGGCTTTGGAAAAGGATGAATTTTCTGATGAGTCTTTGAAGCATGCAAGATTTAGGAAGGTCAGATGCTTTGAGATTTAATGGCAAAAATAAAAATAAAACATATCATACTTCAACTTCTTGTTTGAAAAGATTGAGAATAACAAACATGCTTTCTTAAGATCCTTCCTTAGGTTGAATGAAAATAACACATTTCTCCAGGCCATCCTGTCGGGTTAATTTTCAGTAAATATCCTAAAAGCCGCACTTGCTTCGGCAGAGATTTGCAGTGTAAGCACCTCTTGAAATTTGTGGCATTTGCTCAGTGTTGTGGCAGCTGCCTGTGTTTCCCTCCACCTTTGATCCCTGAGTCAGGAATTTGTATCTTGGTTTCTGAAATCTTTGAGAGTGGAGCTGTGCACAATTGCTTTCCTGAGTTCAGCAGTTCACACAAGATCACTCTAATTAAGATATTGGTGAAAAGTCAGCAGGAAGGAAGTTTTGAATAAGAAAAGCAGATTACTCAACTGTCAGACACAGATTTATATTCTGGGCTAAATAAGACTCTTCATTACACATAGTCTTAAAATAATATTAATACATTAATAAAAGTGATAAGAGCTATGAAAGCCAGATATATTGCTAACAAAAATAATAAACGCTGGGTTTATGGAGTGCTCACCATATGCCCAGCATAGGGTTATGTAGTTTATTTGCCATATCTTATTCAATGTTCCCATTAACTGTATGCAATATTACTATTACTGCTATTTACATATGAGACATCTGAGGCATATAAATGTTCCATAACTTGCATGTGGGTACACAACTACTACAAATGAGCTTGTTTTTGGCCTACCTGAAAGAGTGGTGTTGAGTCGACTTTAAATCCATCAGATCCAGGCTGATTCACTAAGAGAATGGCTTCAGGGTCATCCACTGCTAGTTTGGCATTAAATAGGACATTTCCAAAACTGGTCGCTTGTGTCTCTGGCTGAGCTTTGTCCTTTAAGCAGTAAGGAAAGTGGTGATTGCTGTAGATAATGCCACGGCTTTTGCCAGGACAGCATGTTTCTCTATTTGTTTTGTGCAAGTACAAATTACTATAAAATGTCACCATTTGGTTTACTAAAAATGATCATTTTGTTGGTTTTTCTATTTTTTTTAAGAGACGGGGACCTTCTCTGTCACCCAGGCTAGAGTGCAGTAGCATGATCATAGATTGAACTTCCTGACTTAAGCAATCTTCCCACCTCAGCCTCCCAAGTAGCTGGGACTCCAGGCATGTGCCACGATGCTCGGCTAATTTTTTAAAATTTTTTGTAGAGATGGGGTCTCACTATGTTGCCCAGGCTGGTCTTGAAATCCTGGCTTCAAGTGATCCTTCTACCTTGGCCTCCCAAAGTGCTGGGACTATAGTGTGGCCACTGTGCCCAGCCTTGTTTTTAAATATAAGACAAGGAGGCTGAACTTTGAAAAATCTATCTAGCTCATTTTTTGGGTCAAAGCACTTACCACAATTTTAAATCTATATAAGAGTGAAGGAGAGTCGGCTAAGCAGCCATATTCTGCATTCATTGGACTATACTTGGGAACATAGCCATCAGCTCCAGTGCATAGAAACACCTTCTCAATGCTGCAGTAAAAGGAGTCACCCAGATTCTGGACAGGATCCACCATGACACGACCATAAATTATATCACCTGAAATAGAGATGTGGAAATGTTATTTCTGTTATATGATAAGGTATATCAACGTGACACTGTAAACAGGTTATGACAATGAGGACACAGAGATTATTTCCTTGCCACCCTCATCTACTATCAAATGTTGAAGGCCTGTTTGCATGAGCTTCAAGATCTGGTACATTCTCAGGCCTCAGGTAAGACCACTTTGCAGACTGACCAGAAGTGACTAAAGATTTATTGAGTCTCAGATGCTCAGCCACTAGTGTGAATAATTTCAAAGATCTGGCCTATAATTTGGCATTAATAATATCCCATTGTGGTCCAAGTCCAGTTTACAAAAATAAGTTGATAAGATATATACTGATACAATATAGAATAACACTAAGAAAGAAAGTATCAATACAAAGCCTAATTAACGTTATTTGTTTCTGAAAGAGGGTTTAATGAAACCCCCTGGTGTTCAATTCTTTATTTCATAACTATTATTGAACCCCTACCATGAGTGCCAGGTATTTCTGCTAGGTATGTGTGCTGGGTGCTGAATATACACCATTGAGTAAGGCAGGCACAATCTTTGCCTGAGAGGCATTTACAGTCTCATGTAGCTGCAGCATTTAAGTTTACACAGATTGAAAAAAAACATTCGAGAAAATCATCTAGACTTGTTCCAAAAGTCACTTAGGTAAGACAGCTAGAGATTAGCTTCCTCAGAAAAAAAAGATACCCAGTTACATATACCCAATCGCAACGACTTCCCACACCAGCCAGAGTGGGTAAAGACCCAGTTACATTCTCAAAACCATAAAAAAAGCTATAATTTGCCCCCTCAAACACAATCCCCAAAAAGCAAAGCACAAAAGATATACATGACAAACAGAGCATCCCTCTCATTTGTAAAGTGATACCTTCTGCAAAAGCAACATCACTCTCTTGCCCGAATCCCATGGATCCATCAGACAACCAGAGACTCTTCTTAGAGAGCAGGTACATTTGGGTGTTCAAGCTAAACTCAGCAGCCACTGGATCACTGACCTAAAACCAAAGGTAAAAGTTCTTTTATGCATCAGTGGTTCTGATGGTGCACAAACATACTGTTCACAGATACATACATTCACCGTACACTGTAGAACACTAAACACTGCATCGCAATTTTCACACCCTACCAAGCTAACTCAGAGAGTTGTAACATTGCTTTTGTCCTTGAGAAGGCAAAACTGGTGGGATCAAGTCATTTTTTGAATGGGACTAAACAGCATTGCTTGAGCTCATTTCCACTGGTTTATTGGGGTATATAAAGGACTTGTAAATATCATTGTCAGTAGAAGGCCAACAGTAAAAATTCTTGAAAAAAAGATGCCATCACATTTTTTATAATACATAATGGCAATTAGGTACTTTGAGGTGGTTTGAGCTACAGGATTTCATTCTCTTTAGAGAAGAACAAGAAAAGAAATGCAGAAGTGCGGGGAAAATTCTCAAATCTCCAAGACAGCAAACTTCAGGAGGACACAAGATAAGATCAGATAAGAAAAAAATAACCATTGCATACATTTAAACTCTGAATTTTACATCCTGTACTAACAACAGATAAAGGGCAAATCTCTCCTCATTCTTTTATCCCTAGCTTCCTTAACTGTCTGATTTCTTTTCTTTTCAGCATGCAAGAATTAAAGTCATTCACGTGTGGATTTTTTTTTTTTTTACTAATAAATGAAAAACAAAGTGGGATTCTGCAAGTCATAAGATAGTAATTCTATAAGCCACACCTGTTGGAATCGGATGTCAAGGTCAAAGGTGACAGGTTCTCTGGGGTTGCAGGTGACTGGCAGGCGGTATTCCTGATGTGATGGGGCAGTGCATGGCACCAGCTTCACAGTATAGGTCCCTGAGTAGTCACGTACCTTTGAGGAGAAGATATTGATATATTACATTTAAAAATCTGAGGTGTAATCAGATGGCAGCAGCAGAAGAAAATTAATTAAGAGTCTTAGTCACTTACGGCAAAGTCAGAGACAAAGCTCCACTGCTGTACTGGCTGGTTATAGGTTGGTTCACTCCTTATGAGGCGGAGGGAAAATGTCAGGCCTGGATGATCAGCTGACATGATCACTGAGCTTGTAAAGGATGCTAGGAAAGTGCCAGTAATTATAATAATGATATAGTGGTTCAATTAAAAGAGTGCATAACAGTTTAGAGTTTTCAAAATAAATGATCATACATTATTTGCTTCTGTTTTTATAAGAAGGCTGCAAAGCAGTCATGGTTAGTATAATTATCCTCCTCTGGCAGATGAAGAAACTGGGCTGTGAGTGACTGTGTGACTTTCCAAAGATCACACAGCTAGGATGTGACTTTCTGATTCCTACTTCAGTACTGTTTCTGCTCTATAGTTTTGTCAAAAGATAATTGTACAGAAATGCTCAAATTGTTCAGAGCTACTTTCTGGGGAGTCACAGCAGCACAATAAAGGGTGATGTGAATGCATTTATTGTGCACTGAAGTTACGAGCTGAACTTAAAATAGTCTATTAGTATCCACACAGCTGGGCAAACCCAATTTATGAATGGAGTCTGATTTTAGTTAGATTGCCTGCAATCATGGCTACACAAAGATTCAGTTTATTAGAAAGGTAGGCATGTAGAAGAAAACTGTATAGACCAGAAAATCCTCATTTTCCAGAACTGTCAAATACAATAAAGCAAAATGATTTTTTTGGGTTCTTTCTTTCTTGTAGCTCAGTTCCATAAAAATACAATGAAGCCTCTTTCTCTTCCTAATTATTCAGCCCTATTCTCTTTTGTTAGAGTTCAAGTCCAGAAAAAGAAAAGCTATAAAGATGTTGAGTGAACTATTTTCCCTTTCCCAATCTAATATAAGCTGGCAGAAAAATGGCTTATTTTTTATTTGACTCTCCATGTTACTAAACTGGTAATATGGAGAGTCAAATAAAAAATAAGCTCTTTCTAGTGAAATGTCCTTGTTAAAAAAAAACAAAAAACAAATGAAGTTAGACGTGGGATTTTATCGACTGCTGCCTTGTTGATATTCAAAGCACAGCGAATCACAGTTAGTAAAATTGCATAGCCAATACTTATTAAACATAATTAACATGTCCAAAACTTAAATATGAAAGTGAAGTACCTCCTCTGACCCTATTAAAAGGGTTTCTCACAGTACCTAGCAAAAAGCTGTGAAAAGAGAAGTGCTTGCTGAATGAATCATCTGCAATTCGATTTGTACAATGGAAGCAAAGCAGAGAAAGAAATGATTATTCCTATGCTCTTTAAGGAAAACTTTACTTAAAATGAACTCAATAGGGTTTCCTTTTAATTTTACTCTAATTATTTTGCATTTTCTCTGAAAGTCTGCATAATGATAATTTTGTGGATTATGAGGTGAAGCTGAACAATTATCAAGCTCTCATGGAGATAATCCCACATGTACAATTCATTTGAGATTAAGGGCTTCAGTGGTAACAGAGAAGCACGCTGAAATGTGTGAAGATGGAAAATCTACCTCCTTTTTGTGTGAGGAGTGGTTGTTAAAAGATAACGGGGCTTACCGGGATGTGACAGCACAAATAAGCCATGGAACTGAGCCTCTGTCTTGAAGTGCACGGCCAAGCGCCCCTCATCACCGATGCGCATGCTGGTTGGATAGAGAGAACCTATAATGGGGAGAGTACCAAGAATGAAAATATATGTAGCCAGAGACCCCTTATGTACAGATTCCTTCCAAAAATTAATTCAGGTTTGACTTGTCTTTAAACATTCTGGGCAAAGGGTATTATCAGAAGAATTCTGAATAACAGAGGCAGAAGTATCTTCATTTTCTTTTCTAAGCAGAAAAGGGAGCCAAAATGAATTATTAAGTAACATGAGTGAAGTCACTATGAAATACACAGATTACTTACAATAGACCAAGTTTTTTTAAAATCTGAGTTTATAAAAATGAAGCTGTAAATTGAGAGGCATGACAAAATTGTCAAAATGATGGAGATTCGGACATGTAAATAGAAATAGGTTTGAGTTATCCAGAATTATTCCTAATTTTATAGACTTAAAGAAACCTCTGAAGCTTTCCCAAGAAATTTAGCAGTTTGATAAAATTTGGCTCCAGAAATCAGATGGAAACAAGAGATCCTATGTGGAGGTTGGGAACCACAGAAAAATCCTCATTAAGATTAACTTAAATATACATCTTCTAAAACAAGACACGGACTTAAAACATTTGAAATAATTTGGAATCATAACTCAGGGTTATCATATTACCTGTCACATAGCTCTAAAATAGAAACTATTCAAAATGAAACATGGAGAAAAAAAGACAACAACAAAATGAACAGAGCATAAATAGGTTTTAATCCACTTAAGAGAGTAGATTTACATTTGAGGTGCACTATTAACTCTGTTTTCCTGCTGGCTAGTAAAATGCAGTACTGGCATGACACTATGGATGTTTGTGGAATCGGAACAGTAATACATGTCTGAAAAAGAAAAAGCACTCGTCCTACTAATGGATTAGATTGATGCTTGTGGACTTTGAACTATGAGTCTAACATGGAGATTGAAACCAAGTTTTGCAAATGCTCGCGAACTCGAACTAGTGGCATTCACAATCCGAGTTCGCAGACATTCAACTAAAGTACCCCAGAGTAATAGAATTTTACATCAGAAAGAGATATTAGAAGTTGTGTCTATCATTCAGAAAAAGTTAAGTCCCAGAAAGGTTAAGCAATATGCTTGAGATCTCACAGCTAGTTAGTTGTAGAGTCATGACTAGAATTCAGGCCATAATTTGTATTTAATTTAAATGCACCTCTTTTTTTCAGAAATAAAAATGTGTAACTTTTTCCCTTGGTCATTTCTTGCTTTCGTTGGAGCTTCCTCTATCCATTTTCTAGAATTCAGAAAAATATATATGTTGTGTTATGTAACACATAAATAATTAATCACCTAAAATAGATCGCAAGGATAAAATATCCATGAAATATATAAAGTCATATTTAATAATCACATATTGCACAAAATTTAAAGCCCTAATATGGTTTAAAGAGTTTTTTGATGAAAAAGGTGAAATTATCTTATTATAGATAGAAAATGAAAATATACTGAAATTTGCTAGTACTACTTTTAGCAATGGCAAAAAAAAATCGTCTTAAATAGTTTAAATAGGTTACAAAACTATAGAATTTTCCAAGTCTTCTGAACTCACCTTGAAGTTCAGCCTCTGGGGGGCTGCCAATTCCATCATTCCACAAGATGGCGGTGTCGTACACAAAAGTTAGACGAAGCTCTGACTTCAAGTCAAAATGCTGCCAGCCTCCTACCCCCACGGGGGAATGGAACACGTAGGAAACATACAGAGGGACTCGAAGGGTCACATAGGACTGCACTAGGTTTAGGACCTAAAACAACAAAATTACATCAATCAACATGACTCAGTGTTAACTAAGTGGGCCTAATTTTGTACAAGCCATTTTCTCTTTTCGCTTAACTGAAGATTTTGAGTAATCATTGAGAAGAGGAAATGACAGCATTTTATAACACTATTTTCCCCTCACTTAATTTTGGATCGATTAAATAGTTGTTACTAATTACCTTCATTGGCAACAAAGGATATGTACCAGAAATCCTTAAGACAGTGCATTATTTTGAGCATACTATACTTACAAAATCCTCTTTAGAGCAGTTTTATGAAGATAGTTTACATACCATGTAATTCACCTATTTAAAGTAAACAGTTCAATGGTTCTTAGTATATTTAAGGAGCTGTGCAACCAACACAATCAATTTTAGAAGATTTTCATCACCTCCAAAAGGAAGCCTGTACTTATTAGCAGTCACCCCCAATCCCTCCTCCCCGTCAGTCCCTGGAAACCACTAGGTCTTTATGTATTTGTCTATCCTGGACATTTCATATAAATGGAATCATACAAAATGTGTTTTTTTGTGATAGATTTCTTTCATTTAGCATAATGTTTTCAAGGTGCATCCATGTTTGAGCACGTTTCAATACTTAATTCCCCTGTTAATGAATTGCAGCCCATTGTATGCACATATTACATTTCATTTATCTATTTATCACTTCATGGCCATTTGGGTTGTTTCCAGTTTTTGGCTATTATAAAAAATGCTGCTATGAGCTACTTTTTTATTAAGGGAATATGAAACATAGATCTGGAAGCAAATATATTTACTAATAACATATAACATTTATAATATCTCAAGAATAATTAGTTGAAATGAAGTGTCTTGCCTTGAATTTTATACTTTCCTCCTTCTGGTGTTTAGCAGATGGGTTGGGAATAGTGGAGGATAAACTAATATTTATATATTGAGTACTTACCATATTTCAGAAACTGTACTAGTTTCTGAATAAACACTATTTAATATTTTCACTCTCCACCATAATTATTTTGCATGTATGGATGGATAGTTGGATGGTCAATGGATGACGGATAGAAAGAGACAAAGATAAAATTAAGACTCAAAGGAAAAAGGTAAATGTCCCACAGTATTCTCTAAACCTCCTGAATGGCTCGGACAAGATCAGAACTCAGCTTTTGGCCCATGTTTTTTTTCTATTCTGTCTTACTTCATCGTATTCCAAACAAAGATGAAGGCAGTCCTAAGGTCATCTAACAAAGGCTATCATATTTCATTCTCAAAATAGCTCTGCACAATAGTAGGACAAATACAACTAGCCTCTTCTACACAAGAGGAAAGGACTTAGGTCAGATCACACTCCATAGAAGTTTGAGTCAGGCTGTCTGATTATGGTCTAGTTCTCCTTCCACACAGCTCACAACAAGAATCACAGGCATGAGTTAGCAAATAATTTAAATCATGAGAACTATAATTTAGAACATTCTTATGAAGTTAAAAGTAAACTGCTCATGTCACAAAAATGATGACCTGAATCCCTAATAAAAATATATAGAAAAGAACCATCAACCAAACCAGTTATTTCATTCTTAGCTGTATAGTATAGTAGTTAGCATTCCCTCTTACCTGCTAGCCTGGCCAGCAGGAGAGGTGCTTTGCATTAAAAGTCCTTTGAGACAGTAGTTTCTATGGGCGGCTGTTATTACCTCATTGAGCAATTGATTTTGAAGTGCAGGGAAATGGACGGTGACTAAGTCAACCCATATGCCACTAGTCCTTAAGATTAATATTTTACCTTACAATTTTAATAAACCATGATTTTAAAAAATAATTAGGTTTTAGGAATAGATTTCCAATTAAGCTTTATAGGTGCTAAGAATAATTTTTTCCAATGTTATATTCTATCCATCAAATGTTACTGAGTATGCTATTTTGGAGGGAATTACTAATACTCACTTCCTATGAATAAGTTACTTGGAGTACAGCTCCCCAACTAATTCTGATTTGATTTTATTTGATGTTGTGGTAAACTAGAGCTTGATCATTTTTGGACACAGAATCAGCATTCCATTGCATTTTCTTAGTACCCATGGCTAGGTCTTCTTTCTGTCTACTTAGAATCTCTACCTGGAGGAACTGGAGCCTAAATGAAACTATCTTGACCATCTAGATCACCTACCTTCTTCAAAAGTGAAGAGTGCAATGCAATCATTCTAACATTTAGATGTCAACTTAAAAAGCACTTAATTTTCTTTCAGCCTGTATCACAGGACTTTTCGAGGTATTTGTTTATACTGAAATAAATATCTGTCAAATCTTAAAGAAACCGAGACACAATGAGTGATTTCATATGTCCCTATTGCTGTTTGAAGTTTCTTCATCAAAGGCAAGCAATACTTTAAATTCCATATTTAAAAGGAAAGTGTAAAATGCAAATACCATGGAAAAAGTAACACACTGTCAAATTTATTCTGCTACACACTGGGGTAAGTATATATCCTGCAAAATAATTGAGAGTGGCTTACATATAAAAGAGTATCAGTGTACAAAGTATAAAACAATGGGATGGAAAAATGACCTCAAGTATATTCCAGCCTCAAAGTTTCATATATCTAAATCAAATACATAGTAAAAAAGAGGCATAATTATTCCCTAAAGCAACTAAGAAAAAAATTTGTTTACTTTTCCAAAATTATTCTATGTCTTCTGATAAGTACATTATAATTTCATGTTTTAAGTGAAAACTGTGATTGGGGTTGCATTTCTGTAGCTTATTCATGCACACTGAACGATGTTATCAGTCGCTGTTTACCTGTAAACAAATGGGAGAGTTAAGATTCTATGTCGCAAAACAGCTAGCCAGGACAATAAAAGATCAAATGATCTGCAGTCTTCAATTATTTTAAAAAATTGTTTTCAAGAGAAAAACTACCAAACTATCTGATAGTTCTAAGAACTTAATTTAACTTTAATAACCATTTTGCATCTAAAGTGTTTTTTATTGTGAACCCAAACAACTTTAAATTTTATTTACAAAATAGGTGTCACACACAAAGGTAGAGTGGAATCATTTATTTAATTCATCTCTATTTTGCTTTTCCTGCTATTTATCTGTGTTTATATTTTAGAAACTATTAAAATGATTTTAGAGTTAAATATCATTAGAGAAATTCCAAATTTGTTTTTCTTGGCAAGTAAAATTCTTAACTTTTATGAGTGATGATCTGACTCTTGTAACGACTTTGTTCCTCCGTAAGCTTCATGTCTGGTGTCCTCATGAGTACTTGGTATGTTCCCTGGCACAGAGTAGGTGTTCATGGAATATTTCTTTAATGAATGAATGTACAAATAAATGAGATGGCAAAATCAGATATAGTTTTAATAATAGCTGAAGCTAGATGTAGTCTAGCTGCATAAAAGTTAATCACACTTCATTGCTGTTAACAGATAACTATCCTGTTAACTAATAAGGTAAATAATCGAAATTGGGAGGTTGGAGAAGGCAGAAAACCCTTACAGAGTGTGTTGATTTTCATTTACAAAGAAAAATGCAGGGACTTGGCAATATTTTATGGTGGTAGCTTTAGCTACTAAGAACACATTTAAAAAATCAATTCTCTATCATGTTGTTCCTAGCAAAAGCAATTGCCAGTTGATAAAATGTGTTTGCACAGTGATTACCTTGAGCTGAGATGCCAAATTTGGGAAAGGACTAGAGGAGGGCAAGTAATGTCTGCTAGGCGCTTGGCCTGGGCTCTGTGGGATTGTTGAGGACAAACAGACCTGGGTCAGCACTGGCTTGCTGCAGGGGCTGTTTCCTGGGGTGGTCAATAAAACCACGAAGCCTCTGAAGCACATGGAGTCTGTGCTGATGGTTTGCTTTTTATTTTTCTCCATTTTCCCATCCTTAATGCTGAAATGCAAAAGTTTGGAAGGCTCTCATGACATTCCAAAATAGAGTATAAAGTAGAATTTACCAAGCATTTACTTTGCTTTCCTTCAGGTGCCATCTCATGAAATATGCTTGCATTCAACACTGATCTGCCTGTATTCAGATGAAGCTGTAGACCACTGTTGTTAGGACATGGATTTGCACCGTTTTACCAACAGTGGGTGTGGATGTTATCTGGCACGTATTTTCATGAATGCTGTCAGGCAGCATACTTGTACCAAGGACAAAGGAAAAAGTTCACCTGGCTTTCTTGCAATTGCATCCATGACCATATCCATTTCTCACATTCACTCACATTCAATTTAATGCCCAGATAAGCATTATGATGTGTTTAACAGCATAGGTGTACAAGCTACACGAACCTGGGCTAGTTATTTGAATTCTCTTTGCTTCAAAACTTGTACTTATCTCAAAGGGTTGTTGTGAGGCTAGAATGAGTGGAAATATACAAAGTATTTAGAGGAATGGCAGGCATGTAGTAAACAATCAATAAATGTAAGCTATTACAACTATCATTGTGCTTACTGTTATTGTTAGTACTATTATTAGATATTTTGTTCTCTTCACTATAAGCCAAAACTAATGGAGGAAAATTAGGGCAATATCTCAGAGGGTTGAATTTCTTCTACTTTAATTTTTATTTTCTTCTCCCTCACCTATGTGTAAATAATATGTGCGTGTATGTTGAGGTGAGGGTGTAGGAGACTATCAACAGCAAGGGGAAAAGTAGAAACTTAACCTCAGTGAAGAAGGTAGAAGAAAATGGGACCGCCATCTATGATGGTTAATTTTAGGTGTCAGCTTTACTAGACTAAGGGATACCCAGATAGTGGGTAAAGCATTATTTCTGGGTGTGTCCATGAGAGTGTTTCCAGAAAAGACTGGCATTTGAATCCGTGGACTGAGTAAGGAAGACCCATCCTCACTCAATGTAAGTGGGCACCACCAAATTGGCTGAGGCCTAGATAGACAAAAAAGGAAAAGAAAAGGACAAAAATAGTACTTATCTCAAAGAGTGGTTGTGAATTATCTCTCTCTCTTTCTCGGAGCTGGGACACTCTTCTTTTCCTGCCCTTGGATATCAGAACTCCCAGTTCTCTGGTGTTTAGACTTGGGGACTTAACCTGGGTTCTCAGGCCTTTGGCCTCTTGGAGTGGGCCACACCACTGGCTTCCCTGGTTCTCCATCTTGCAGATGGCCTGCCATGGAACTGTTCAGTCTCTACGATCTCGTGAGCTAATTCTCATAAGGAATCCCTTCTCATCTATCTATTCTATTGGTTCTGTCTCTGGGGAGAACCCTGACTAACACAACATCTCTAAGTTTCACTTCAAGAGAGTAAGCAACATGTTTTATTAAATTGTATTACCATTTAATTTACAATAAGGATTTTAGAATTTTATAACAAGATCCTAAAATCTCAATGATTTACTCTGAATCTGGTCATCACTATGATATTGATCATGATGGTTATGCTATTAATGTTTAACAATGCAAAAGCAGAAGTCTTTCAGAAGGAACTCATACAAGTTAGCCATCTTCCTTAAGAAAGTAGCACAGACTATTAAGAACTGAATTATGTTGTAATTCTTATATTGCACTCTCTTCTAGTATTATGGAACATAAGCTTTTCTAGCAGGAAAAACTTAACTGAAAACCTACAATTGCTGATTTTCACCTAATGGAGTAGGACTGTTGTCAGTTCCAATAGAGAAGCAGAGTAATGACTTTTCTAGCTGGCAGTCATAGGAAGAAAAAAAATACTGAGCACAAATAATTTGATAAAGGAACTGGAATTTTAAAAATCTAGCAAAGTATAGTCACTTTAGCTGATCTAAATTTTACAGTAAGATTTGATTTGAAGAATGAACACAGTAGAGGGCAGGCTTTGCATTCAAAATAAAACAGCCTTGCTACATTAAAAAAGTGGACAGATATAATAGGATAAAGCTTAGGCAGGCAAGTGCAGGGTTTTTATTACTGATAGAAAAGGCTACCTGTGTAACATGGACAAAAGACGGAGAAGTGCTGCCACTTTGTGGAGAAGATAGAAAACATTCTTAAGGGTAAAAACAGACTATAAACTAGATGAGATCCACAGAGAAGTTCAATAGCATGAAGTGATTTTTTTTTTTTTTTTTTGAGATGGAGTTTCACTCTTGTTGCCCAGGCTGGAGTGCAATGGCGCGATCTCGGCTCACCACAACCTCCGCCTCCCAGTTCAAGCGATTCTCCTGCCTCAGCCTCCTGAGTAGCTGGGATTACAGGCATGCGCCACCACGCCCGGCTAATTTTATTTTATTTTATTTTTTTTGACAGAGTCTCGCTCTGTTGCCTAGGCTGGAGTGCAGTGGCGTGATCTCGGCTCACTGCAACCTCTGCCTCCCGGGTTCAAGTGATTCTCCTGCCTCAGCCTCCTGAGTAGCTGGGATTACGGAGCCCACCACCACACCCAGCTAATTTTTGTATTTTTTTTTAGTAGAGACGGGGTTTCTCCATGTTGGTCAGGCTGCTCTTGGACTCCCAACCTCAGGTGATCTGCCCGCCTCGGCCTCCCAAAGTGCTGGGATTACAGGCATGAAGTCACTGCTCCTGGCGTATGAAACGATTTTAACAAGGAATGAGAACTACAACATAATCCTATTTCTATATCCAATTTTGTTTATACCAATAGATGCTGTGATGTAAGCAACAATCTGAGAGAAAAGCAACCAGAAAGGAAATAGAAATAATTTAGTAATGGATTGAAGGCAGCTTTGTAAGGAAGACATGAAGGAAGTAGAGATACCTGATCTATAAAGAAAAAGAGGTAGATTTGTTAATATGAGCCTTTATTTTTCTTCTAGGGATTGAATCTTTATTTTTCCATGTTTCTTTCAGGTGGCAAAAACAGGTTAGGAAAGAGGAATCTACAGGATGAACACTTATACGTGTTTAAGTAACTTGCTCAAAGACATACAGCTAGAAACTATCAGAGCCAAATTTTGGTCAGCATTTGCTTGATTCCAATATCCAGATTCCACCATCTTATACTGCTTCTCTATTGCTATTTCTATTGGCATTTTTAGCAATCCCTGTAAGTTACTAAATGTTGCTGCTTTTTGACAAGGTGGCTATGGTCATGTCTCACCACCTCTGAGTCCAATTCAACATCAACACCAGCAGAACTTGTCAAAGTCCACAGCTTTACTGTGGGATTATCTCATACTAGTTATCTAGTTTTTTCTTGCTACTGGTTGTTACATATTTCATTCAACACCTTATGAATATAGCACAAAAAAGGGCAGCCTAACTTTAGCTCAATCTGGAAGGGCATTATATAGTCTATATATCATTCAACACTTCAATGCATAAACCTACTTATGTAACTCCTTATTTAGTCCAGGTAAGATTATAGCATTGCTTTTAGTTCAAATACTCATAACAATTTTAAATCATGCCCTACATATTTTAGGTTCTCTATTGTAACCCACAAGAAGATCTTGCTTCCTTATCATTTTAACAACTTTGTTGCTGATGATGGGGTGGGGGTGAGGATTGTGTGTGTGTATGTGTATTTTATGTGTGAATGTGTAGTATGAAGAAGAATCAGTAACTGTAGAGTGCAAATAACAATAAGTTTTAATAAAAACACTTCTGACTATGTTAATGATAGATAAATGAATCAAAAAGCGAAGAAGAGGAGAAAAACAGAAAGAAAAAGAAGGAGAGTAAAACAGGAGGCTAAAAGCAGAGAAAGTTTTGTAAAATGTAGGGGAAGAAGAAAGTCAGAAAAGAGGGAGAAAAATTAGGCTGACTCCCAGGATTGTAAAACCTCACTTTAGGTGGCTCATGATACAACATCACAGGCATCTACACATAAACACAAAAACAACATAGTGTATACTTTGAAGAGAAGTCAGTATTTGGATTTTTATAATATCAGAGTAGATTTTGAGCTTAAGGCAATAATTATACAGCATCCTTTTCACATAGATATAATGTTTCTAGCCCATTGTCAAAAACTACGTATATTCTGGCCCATTGTTAAGAAATAGACACGGATTTTCACACCATCCATGCCAGTTGTCTGGTCCCTTGCTGTCAATAATTACCTACAACACCAAGATGGAAAACTGGAGTTGGGACTTAGTACAAATCTATGTGACAAAACAAACCAATTGGTTTATCCAGTGACCAAACTCAGATGTTATAAATCTGTACCTGTCCATCTGTTCCAATGGTGCCACCACAGTCAGCAAGGAGTTCTGACATGTCATAGTAGCTAACGAACTCCCATAAACAGGCCTCTAGGTTCAGGTTCCGGTAGAAGCGCAAGGTAGTGGAACCTCTGATGGACAAGCTGTACTGGTAAGGATATGTCTCTCCAATTATTTCTGGATTTTTGGTAGCATCAGTCAAGAAACCATAATGAGTCTTCACTTCAGTATAATCCAGGAGGTTGGAGCACTTGTGGTTTCCAACTCTTGTGCCATCAGGGCTGAGGGTGAGCTCAAAGTTGGAAAGCTCTCTAGTGGAGATCACGGGGAGCATGCCTATGATAAATCGAAATCATTGTTAACAGTCTTTCAAGTAGCCAAGAATTTTGAACACTTTAAAACTTCTTTATCTCTTAAGAAAACAAGTGTCATAAAATGCCATACAGCAGTGGTGTATGGCATACAGATCAAAGTGGTGTCCAGGCCCGGTGACGTGGCTCATGCCTGTAATCCCGGCACTTTGGGAGGTCTAGGTGGGTGGATCATCTGAGGTCAGGAGTTCAAGACCAGCCTGGCCAACATGATGAAACCCTGTCTCTACCAAAATTACAATAGCTGGGCATGGTGGCGGGTGCCTGTAATCCCAGCTACTTGGGAGGCTGAGGCAGGAGAATTGCTTGAACCCGGAAGGCAGAGGTTGCAGTGAGCTGAGATCGCACCACTGCACTCCAGCCTGGACATCAAAGGTGAAACTCCACCTCAAAAAAAACCCCTACAAAAAACAAAAAAATAAAAAAGTGGTATACTAAGAACCCTGGGGTTCCCCAGGAAAATTTCAAGAGATCCATGACTTAATCGCTATTTTCACAATGATAGTAAGTTATTATTTGACTTTGCCACCCATATTCTCTCACAAATGCAGTTTTTCAGAGACTACAAGATATGATAAATTGCAACAGATTGAATGCAGAAGCAGAGAATCCAGTTATCTTCTATTAAGTCAGACATTAATGATATCTTCAAGAATATAAAAGTGCCACTCATCATTTTTTTGTTTTATAACATAGTTTTTTAAAGGATGTATTTCATGTTAATATGTAATGTATTTCTTTTTGTAATTTTTAAATAAGTGAATAAATAACAATTCCTCAGTTTTAATTTAAAATCCAATAAATATTTATAGATATCACCCACATAAACAAAATCTCTTTGAGATCTTCAATAATTTCTAAGATGTCCTGGATCATAAATGTTGAAAACTGGCCATGCGTGGTGGCTCACATCTGTAATCCCAGCACTTTGGGAGGCCAAGGCAGGTGGATCACTTGAGGTCAGGAGTTTGAGACCAGCCTGACCAACATGGCGAAACCCCGTCTCTACTAAAAATGCAAAAATTAGCCAGGCATGGTGATGCACGCCTGTAATTCCAGCTACTTAGGAGGCTGAGGCATGAGAATCGCTTGAACCCGGGAGGTGGAGGTTGCAGTGAGCTGAGATCGCGCTACTGCACTCCAGCCTGGGTAACAGAGTGAGACTCTGCCTCAAAAAAAAAATTTTTATAAAGTTGAAAACTACCACCATTAAAAAGTACAGGCTAAGGACTGAAAATTTGTTCCATAAAGGGTCAAATAGTAAATATTTTAGCATTGTGGTCCCTGAGGTCTCTGTTGACTGTTCAATGCTGCCATCAGAGTGAAAGCCACTACTATGTGAAAGAAGAAACAGAACTGTGTGCAACAAAACTTTATCATGGGCAATGGATTTGAATTCCATACCATCTTTATGTCTCAAAAGTAGACTTCTTTTTTTTTCCCCAAACATTTAAAAATATAAAACCTATTCCTAGCTTGCAGACCATATGAAAACAGGCAGCAGACTGTATTTGGCCACAGGACATAGTGTGTTGAGCCCTGGCATAAGCAATACAGCAAAAGACTATGAACCAGTTCTTCTCTTTGAGCCTTTCACACCTCTTCCTCTCAGATTCACTCAGAGCAAAACTCCGGCCCCACAGAAGAAGTGGTCAGCCTCAACTACACTTCTGGCAGAACTGTGGCTATTGAACATTGAACAGTGCATTCAGAAAACGCAAAGCCAAGCCCTAGGAGTGGCAGAAGAGACCACTCTTTCTTTTAGGAAATAACTCTTATAGGTCTGTGTTTCCCTGATGGGTCCCTTCTCAGCCCTTTGCAGCTCAAGTCACACCTCCACATGGACCTACAGACTGGGTGGTTCAGGGACCAACATTATGCTATAAAGGAAGGAATGCAGATTCCTGACCACCTGCCCTTCCAATCCCCAGAAAAATCTCAGGTTGTAATAGGAAGACATAGCAGATGTTCTTGTTCTGGGGGAGGTAGATTCTACGTTGCAGCTCCTAATCGTATTTCCTCTCCCTTAGCTACATAAAATATAACTAACATATCAAGTAATTTTATTAACAATTTGCTATAAGTATAAAGTGATTTGAGTGGAAAATAACTTGAAAATGCCTTCCGCACATGGTAAAATATTCATAAAGTATGATAAAGTTATTGATGCACACATTCTGGTCATGGCTACCTAGCCAGAGAAAATAGACACAATATTTAATACCTGTTAGTTTCATTTTTTATTTTATTTAAATATCTTGGAAATGTCTTACAGTTACATGATAAATATTGAGAGAGACATAAAACTCCAGCTATAAAACTGCAACACATGTTGAAGGTAGGTACTAAGATATCAAATACTTTACTGTAACTTCAAGTTTACGATTGAAGATGCATTTGTACTCTTTCATAAAAGCTAGACTAGGTACCAAAGTTTTGTTTTATCGTGTCTGGATATGTATTACATCTACCTAATTTTAACGAATGCTTACACTGCCATAGTTATAAAAACAGGGTAGAACAAAGCTAAAACAGTTGAAAGAAGTGGAAGGACTTGAAGCTCAAGTTGCAAATTGAACGTTTATTTAAGCTTGGTTATTTAGAAGATGAAGGAAAATACAACAGGTAATGAGGAGTCCAAAACAATTCCATGGATTTGCTTACCCAAGTCACCTACCATCTATGTGTGGCATTGTGACAGTGAGCTTGATAAGGTTTGTGTAGTCTGCATCCTCAGGGCCTGTGTAGCGCAATTTAGCTGAGAACGGCTCTGCTCCAACAACCCCAGGTACACGGGGCTGACAAAGACCTTGAAAAAAAAAAAGACCATATTTATGCGAAAAGAAGGTAATCAATAATACCTAAAGAATGTTTTAGAAAATAGGAGCTATTATTTTTCTGTGTACTTTCAACTTCTCTGTGGAGTAGGGCATGGCTAAGAGTGTACATCACGTGATAAGGAATTAGAAGTCCACAGGGTGAGAAGTAATCACAGCAGACAGTTAGTGGCCACTTGACAATTTATGGATTGTTCAAACTTTGAGAAAAAATTTGTTACCATTCAATGTAACTTAATGTGTGCTGGTTATTCTAGGTCATGGTCATATTCACAAAATCATTTAAATATAAAGTATGAACAGATACAGTAAAAATGACTGAAAGTCAGTAGGATAAAAGTAAGTGTAGTTAAACCAAGTAAATGTTATTTTTACTCTAGAATAATATACTTATCATTAGTTATGTTTACATTACTTATAAGTGAATAAAACTAAAACTGTGCTCATTTTAGGAACAAAAACTAAAGTCTCCTTAAAAATCAGAGAGCAAAATATGTACAGTAGAGTTTTCTCTATAGATGTAATTTTTTACAGTATGTGTATTATACATTATAATCCATTTTATATTCATCTCTTTCTGTCTCATATCTCCCAGTGACCTTCAAGAATTTGGACATGAAACTCTTTCTCCAGTATTTCCTTTAGGAAAATAGTGGGGTTTCTATTTGAACATCATGAAAGGAACCAAGACGCTGAATTATAATTTCAGGAGAACTTGGAAAGATACAATTACTTATCTATTTGTATAAAACAGAGAAAATAGACAAATATGTATTAGAATAGCAAGGAAATCAGAGTCAGGCCCCAGCATAGAGGCTGTCTGATTTATTAAAAGAGAGAATCATTTTAAGGCATTATTTAAATATTTGATCCTGAATATATAGTAGTCACAGGTGGGACATATGACCTCTATGCAGTAAATTTACTTTTGAATGCGGTGTGCAAATAGATGATTTAGAAATAGAATCAAATATATACAACCGTTTTTAAGAAAAATCTCATTAAAAATTATTCTGCAGAGTGAAGGATTTATTTATACAGTGGATTTCCTGTCTTTCCAATGTTGTCCCCAGCCACATCCTATTCTCCATCCCCAATGTGTCTTTGCTCCAGCCTTAAATACAGTCTCTCTTGTAATACCAAGGTGTTAATTTGCACGTACCCCTCTATCTGGACTGCCCTTCCCCTCCCGTCCCCAGCAAAATCCTACTCACCCAACAACCAGCTGGTTTCCTTGCATGGCATGAGCTCTGTTCAGATCTGAGCCTTGCATACCATTTTGCCTTGTCTCCTGGTTTTTCCTCCTCTCCCTCTCAGAAGCTTCCCCATTTCTCTGCTTGCCATTCCCACAATATCCCGCATTCTTTCTTGCTTTTATGAGTTGTTGCTCATGCTTGTTTTCCTCTACTCTTTTCAGATTCAGCTTGAGCCTCCCCTCTTTGATAAGCCTTTCCTGACCCACTCAGGGTAAAACTAATCACTTCTACCTGTGCATTCCTGTGCCCTGTCTAGACTAAAATGTGTCTGCATCTTCAACTGGACCAAGAATTCCTCAAAAGCAGGGATCCTGTCTTCTTTATTTTATTGCCAGCACAAAGCATTGTGTCTGGCATATAATAGATACTTAAAGGTAGAATGAATAAATATTTTGTTTTCTAATACATAATTTTGTAAAAATAGATTTTAATTTTTCACTACTTACAAAATATATGGAATATGTGGGACATTGGAAGTATTAATAACCAGAAAGTAGACATTTGTAATATTGCACAGTATTCCAGTGATCTTCAGGGGAAAATGGCAATGACTGACCTTCTTCTCTGCTGATGGTTACAATAGGGCTCATGAGCTCCAGGCCTTCATCCCCATTGGTGTTCACAGCACGAGCTGCGCACTGTACCCGGGAGCCAGGCTGAAAGTATATGGAGTCCAGTGTGACCATCTTGGATGACGTAAAAAAGGTGTCGAAGTCCACTTCTCTCATAGGGCTGGTCACACCGTCAGGGCCCGCAGGTGCACTAATCAGCCACCGGTACCGCGTCAAAGTGTCATTGATGTTCTCACTTGCACAGATAGAGCCTGTTTTATCGTAGTCTGAATATTTGGGGTTGCAAGCCTACGGAAAACAAATGACTGTGTTAGGAACAGAGTGTAGAACAGGTGGAACGCATTCTTCTCCCGTTCTCTGCCATCGAGTTTTCACTGCTGCTTTCCCCAATTTCCACATGCTGTTTATACAGCTTCCGAATTTTGATCCCCAGGCATGATAACATTTATAAACATAATCTTGCATTTCAAACAGCTTATTGGATGTTTCTATTTCTAACTTAATATGTGTAAAATTGTTATTTATACCATAATCTCTTGAATCATCAGATTTGCCAGTTATCCTTATTCTCTCTTTTTTCCTCCCCCGCTTCCTGTCGCTCATCTTACCCCCCTTATCCAGTAAGTCATGAACTCGGCTGATTCTTCTTTAACAGTATTGCTTAAGTTGATGCCTTCCTTTCCATTTCCAGCAGCACTTCTCTGTCTAATTCAGCATCTTTTCTTCCAGTCCACTGACACACGACTGCCCTGTTAACCTGCCAGTTTAACCCCTCTGATCATTCTTCCATGTGAGAACTCTTCGCTACCCAACAAATGAAGTCCAAATTTCTTAATATGACATTTAAAACTCCCTATACTTTGACGCCAAATTATCTCTGCCTTGTTGACTCAATAAACATGTATTGTATAAGTGATTTTAGAAGTGCTGTTGTAATATAAACATAAGTAAGTCATAATTTTAGCTCACAAGGAGCTTAAACTTAGAGTCAAGAAAAGGCAAATTTTGAAAGTAGTGATAATTTGCTATTTCTTATGCTATTTTTTTCTAGCTGTAGCTCACGTTGCAGTCCCTTCTTCCTAGAATGACCTTCCCTTATCAGACTTGCATCCTAAAGAGTCAAAATTCCACCTGACCATCCCAAACCTCCCCTCATATATGGAGCTGCAGCTCTGACTTCTAATTTGTATCATTTTCATGATAGTGGTTATATCTTGCCTTATATTAGAGTTACCAATTCCTATATTCTTTTCTTCATCTCTAAATATCTTGAATGCAGACTTCATATCTTATTTATTTTTCTATTGGTGACAGACTGAGATAACACACTATGTACACATCAGTTAATGAACCTTTGTTCGGTGAAGAAAGAAAAATGGGAGCTTTATTTGATTAGTGTTATATATGCAAAGCTCAAGGCTTAAACCATGTAGTATTTTTCTACTTTCATTTCTTCATAACAAAGCCAATGCTATATTGATTATAATTATTTGAAATAATTATCTTACAATTTTCCTCAATTTTGTGAATCTCCTACTCACTGTGATACAGATGACAGGATAGCCAGACATGGGTTCAGCACTCTCCTTAGCTTTGGAAGTGTCGTCATACATCAACAGGGATACAATTTGAGGGACAGAAGGAAAAGTGACATCTGCCATGCTGCTCATTTCTTCTATGTACACAATGGCTTTCGTCAACTAGAAGGAAAAGACAATTATCACTGATTAGTGAAATATTAAACTTTTGATGCTTCTACCACACAGAACAATACTCACGATCCCTGGCAACCCCATGGCCTCGTTATGATGCAAATTGTCATACTCAGAGCCCCTGGAGAGCAACAGGCCCTAAGTGGCCTGCAGCACATGACCTTGGCACCTTGTTCACATCTTATGGTTCCAGGGAGGGCAGCTGAGCCCAGGGCAGTCAATCCAAAGGTTGGCCAGCGGCCCATGAGGTGTTTGGGCTCTAATTTATTTTTTTTTCTCCAGTTGTGATGACAGTAGCTAAATGTGTCTTGGGGTTGTGAAGGGAAATTTTATGAAGGAGTCAATTCTTTGACAGTGGGAGTAAAGCTGGAGGACATTCTGAAGGAAGGAATATCACAGAGGTCATGGGATAGTGTGAGCCTGGATGAAGCAGATGCCAGTAATAAGAAACTCTTTGAAGCAGCCAAGGGCAGAAGGCACTGCCTGAAACCCAGGCAGGGGAGAATTTGAGTTCCAGACAGAAGAGGAATCTATGAACACCTGCTGCTGGGCAAGGTGACAAGAACACCTTGCTGTGAGTTTGCCCTGGCTCCCTAATAACCTTCCAACATCTGACTACATAGCATAGTTTCCTGAACTATCTTTACGTGTATATTTTTAAAAGAAGCTTTCATCGCTGGAAGTAATTTGAGTGACTATCCTTTTCACCCAAAAGAATTTCATACGCTACTCCATAAAAATAATAATAAAAGATTCATCTTATGTGATGAAGACACAAAACTATATTTGATAAAGATTGCCCATACTTGAGTTTTAAATAACTTGATAAAAAGCAAGGCACTGTAGTAGAAAAACCATCAAGCAGTAAAGATTACAAAATGATAAAAATATTTAAGGAAAAACGTTTCCCAGCTTGAACTCATACTAAAGTGAAACAAATAAAAAAAAGTAATACAGTAAATGTAAGCAAAGACATAAAAAATTAATACATTCCAAAAAGACACGTAGTTTTAAAAATTATTTCCAATATAAAGGTCAACATTCTGTGGAATTATGTTCATTTTGAGGAAAACCTGGTTAGTGAGACAATATAAATTAAGTAAGTATAGAAAACAAGATTTAGGACTGCAACATTTTGATCATGAGGCTGTGGACATCAAATTCTGATAAAGCCAGGAGAAACAGACTTTGATTTGGAGGGTTAGCTAACTGCTTTGTGGGTTCGAATATGTTTTATGAGTTGTGGCACTGAATTAATAGTTCCCTCTTTACTCTGAGATGTTGCTTTCTCTCTGATGGTTAATCCCAAGGTCAATGAATCATTACTGACTGACATGGGGAAGGGAAGTGCACAGGTTTGGGGCTCAGTGGCTTCAGTCCTTGAGTTTCGACAAACATGATTTTTCAAAGAAAAAGATGCACATTTCTTGACTATGATCTAATCAGAACAAAACACATTTAGGTGGTAAAAAGAGATTATGCATATCTCTTTCACGTAAGGCTTGTTCAAAGTCTCCTCATTTTGTTGTACACTATGTGATTGCTTTTATGCATTTCCTCTGACAAACTGCTAGCCATGAATTTACATACACATTACATTACTTACCTGCATCTCTGCTATCATATTTTCATCAGGTTTTAGGTGAACAGTGAAGGCCTCTCTCATCTCTCTCACCCCGTCAAAGGTAACTTCGATTTCAACCACGTGCTGGGTTTCCCCTTCCTTAAACTCAATTTCTACAAATGTAACATCACAGATTTAAATCATTTGCATATGAATATGAGAAGTTTTCTATTTTTTTTTTTTTTTTTTTTTTACTGTGGCCTACAATGAGAAATACATTTTACACTGTGGTCCAGTATATTTGGGTGTGTGTGTAAAATGAAATCAAATGTTTAACAAACATCACTAATTCTTATTCTATGCATTTTACTTTAATATTTTCTTTTTTCCCAAGACTTTATTTTTTTAATTTTTTTATTTCCATAGAGTTTTAGGGGAACAGGAGGTGTTTGGTTGCATGAATAAGTTCTTGAGTGGTGATTTCTGAGATTTTGTTTCACCCATCACCCAAGCAGTATACACTGTACCCAATTTGTAGTCTTACACCCCTCACCTCCCTCCCACCCTTTCCCTGGAGTCCCAAAAGTTCATTGTATCATTGTTATGCCTTTGCATCCTCATAGCTTAGCTCCCACTTAGGAGTGAGAATATACAATGTTTGGTTTTCCATTCCTGAGTTACTTCACTTAGAATAATGGTCTCCAGTTCCATCCAGGTTGCTAGGAATGCCGATTTTATCTGAAGGAAAATTTTAATAATAAGACATTGGTTCGTTGGCCCACAGTTTGAAAAGATGCTGAATTATGGGAGGGACAATCAGTAGTTCTAATATTGGGATAGAATCAGAAAAATTAACCTCTTATTCTCCAGAATTTCTAAACCAATAGGACTCAAGAAAATGAATATGATCATAAGTATAATAGAGTGTGAATGGGATTTACATTATGTACATATGTAGAAGAGCTGGATAAATAATTGTTGACTTTTTTATAAAATACCAAATTATATTTCAAGAAGACTTCTTTGTGTTTTTCAGGGAAACTTAGACAAGTTATTTTAGATAAATGCTAATGATTTTTTTCCCTTCACCCTGTCCTTTCTCACTAAAAAAGAATTGCTTCTTTGTCATGAAAGTTAAATCTAGAATCCTAAAAAAAAAATCAGAATTATTTTCTTAACCACTCATTTCAAAATTGCTAAAAAACATGACAATTATCAGATTTTATTGAAATCGTAATTAAGCAGCTGATCATACTGTAAACCATGGATAAACTATTTTGTTGGTTTTACTATACCTTTTAAGATACCGTTTCAAAGGAGAAAATATAAAGCCTATAAAGCATAATTATCCCAATTAGAAGAGTCAACAGATGCCAGTTTCTGATGTAGCTGCAGTTCAATTATTATAATTCTAAATTACAAATCCTTTAGAGTCTGGAAGAAGAAAATGAATTGCCAGTGCATTTTCCTTTTTCTGCTTCAATTTTTAAATTATCAGGTACGAGGAGCAATTTTCTTCTCTTTATCTTTAAAGATTTTTTTCTTTTTCTTTTTAAAATTAGTTCTCTGTCTCTAGATACAGCAACTATTCCTATCAGCCTTCACATATCATAATGAGCCCATCAGTCTCAGATTTCTTATACCCTGAGAGAACTTACAGTTCTTGTTCCAGAGAAGAAAATAGCTAATCATTTGTTTGATTTGACCTGTATGATGTGACATTAAAAACTGGGTTTCTAACACTTAAATATCTGGGAATTTCATAAGAAAATAGAGATTTTTGAGTTTTTTGGCACCTTCCTGCATGGCAGAAGACTACGAACACTAGGCTGTGATAATACAGCCTTTTCTTGGCAAGGAATGGGCTTGCTGGCTTAATGACACTATAATCATTCCATTTTCTATCATATTTTCCTTGGTTTACTCGTTTTCATTGCTTATCTTAGACATGTAAGCATTCAAGGTTTTGTGATGCCTTGAGTTATACAAACCAAATTTCTTAGAATTTAAAAAATTAAATATTTATTTTAAATATTTGTTATTGTTTTCTGATAGTATACTTGCTGGACGGTGGTCAAGTTTTCTCATTCACATTTATCTTTTTCTGTCACTTTAGACTATTTTAGCATGAAAAAATTTCAACTTTTTTTCTATATTTAATTTTTTCTGGTTTTTTTTTTTGCAAAGAACTCACTTCAGTTTGAACCTGAAAAGGAGAAATTAGAAAATGTTTCAGAAAACTATTCCTTAAATTTTTAATATAAACATTATAAAACACATGTTGACATTTATTGGATAAAAGAGACCAACAGGTTTATTTAATGTTTTAACTTTTTTCTGACTTTATTTTTCAGTTTACTACATAGCTATAATTTTGTTTCCGTTTAGCAAAAGGAATCATTTTACTTCCAAGAAAAACATTTTTTGTTAAAAGTCATGTTATCAATATTTAAAAGACACTTCTTTCATGTAAAATCTGCTCATTATAGAAAGACATTTAATATTTTATAATTCAGTAGCTAATCAGTTTTGTTTTCCCTTCTCTGGGATTACATGTGATTTATTTCAAATATATATTTTGTTTTACATAGAGAATAATCTGGGGATAACTTTGAAGCTCTAGAGTAGTTCATCAAATTATAACCATTATATGGAAAGAATATACAAGCTCCTTTGTAGAAGACGCCATTTTTTATGTTGCCTCACTAACTTTATTACTGATTCAGTGATACCTATCAGTTGTTTTCTCAGCTTTGTTTGTAAATTAGATAAAGATGAATGCCTGACGTGCTAAGATCATCAAGAACTAATGACTCTTGATAGTGAGAGGTAGGAAAGGAGAAAACACAGTGAATAATTAGACTCCAAATAATTCATAAATGTAATATTGGACATAAAGTTACTTTTATTTTGTAAGCAAATAATTCAGAGAGAGAGCAAGTGAGAGAGAAGAACTGATTTGTTTTTTTTTTTTTTTTTTTCAGACGGAGTTTTGCGCTTGTCTCTCAGGCTGGAGTGTAATGGCGGATCTCGGCCTCTGCTTTCCGGGTTCAAGCCATTCTCCTGCCTCAGGCTCCCAAGTAGCTGGGATTACAGGCGTGTGCCACCACGCCTGGCTAATTTTTATATTTTTAGTAGAGACGGGGTTTTGCCATGTTGGTCAGGCTGGTCTTGAACTCCTGACCTCAGGTGATCCACCCGCCTTGGCCTCCCAAAGTGCTGGGATTACAGGTGTGAGCCAACGCACCCGGCCAGAACTGACTTGTTTTAATTACTGATAAAAGTAAATGGCAGGCTGAGTTTGGTGGTTCATGCCTTTAATCCAAGCACTTTGGGAGGACAAGGTGGGCAGATCACTTGAGACTAGGAGTTTGAGGCCAGCCTGGCCAACATGGTAAAACCCCATCTCTACCAAAAATACAAAAAATTAGCTGGGCATGGTGGTGCATGCCTGTAGTCCTAGCTTCTTGGGAGGCTGAGGTGGGAGGATCGCTTGAACCTAAGACACGGAGACTGCAGTGAGCTGTGATTACGCCACTGCATGCTAGCCTGGCCAACAGCGTGAGACTCTGTCTCAAAAAAAAAAAAAAAAAAGATGGTGACATGGCCCAACATTTGCAAAAGGAGAGGGATGAAAGACATCTCTAAGTGGCTCCTAAATCCTAGAGAATTCATTGTCTCTGTGGTTAATATTTCACTATACTTTTACTGTCCTTTGTTAACACAAAATTTTTTGGTTTAGATTTAGATTGCTGGTGTTCTCTAAACTAAAATAGATTATTATCACAGTTATCATGCATATTGCAATTACATAGAAAAATATAGGAAATTATTATTTAATCTGGTAACTACAATGAAGGTAAAACTAATAGAAAGCCAATTCAAACAGAAGGTTATTTAGCACATTTACTCAAAATTTCCCTAAGTCCTAACACATATACCCTGTAAGTCAAAAAGAAAAAAATCTTGGAAATAAATCCCATTGTGTTTGTTTTACTAAACGAGAGGAATTTAAAAGAGTATGTCTATATTTTAATTGAAACAGCTCAGAAACAGAAAGTCAAATACTGCTTGTTCTCACTTATAAGTGGTAGCTAAATAATGTGTACACGTGGACATAGAGTGTGGAATGATAAACACTGAAGGCTTGGGAGGGTGGGGGAGTGGCAGGAGGTGGGTATTGAGAAATTATTTAATGGGTACAATGTACATTATTCTGGGGATGGAGATACTAAAAGACTAGACTTCACTACTACATAATATAACCATGTAACAAAATTGCACTTGTACCCCTTAAAATTATACCCCCTAAAAAAGAGTGCCCTATTTTGATTTCAATTGGATGTTTCCCTTCTTTTCCTTAAGGGCACTGGCACTGAAACACAGAGTTGGCATGATCCATCAGGAGACAGGCCCTGGGAGCCCCATACCTTCTGACACAGGGTGGTAGTCTTCTCCAGAGGTGGCCGAGCCATCCTTGGTGTGGACTCTCACAATGGAAACCTTTGAAGTGTCTCCTTGGCGAATCACTGGAATTCTTATAACCACCGACTCTCCAGGTTCTTTGGGTTCAGTGACACTAAATTTGGTTTCTCCAAATTTAATAACAGTCTCTAAAATTGTGGGAAACAAAGACAAATGAAATTGTTAGTAAGGGGAATGCTTTTCCTCCATTTCTAATGTTTGTTTCCATGTGGGAGGGGATAAATGACTATTACACTCCTGGCTTCTCTCTGTCCCCTCACTCAAAATTAGTGACGTGTGTGGAAGGAAAAGCTGGCATATGTTGTCCAGCTCCTTCCAGGGATCTAACCAGCCCCCAGAGAGCATGTGCTGCCAGCTCTCTATATGTGCCATAAATTACACATGAGCAGGCCACTGAAGGTGGGTGGGAAGGGAGGAAACTGTTGGTCCCCCTGTACCCAAGGGTGTGTATAGAGTAGAGGGCCAGTATGGATGTTTGGGAATTAGTGTTTGGATATAAGCCATATTCTCCAGCATCAACTTTATCAGTTTTAATGGTTTATTTTGTTCCCCATTTGTTTGTCTTTTTGCTGTTTCTCAATTGCTTAAAAACCCTAGTCATAAAGCAGAGGAGGTGGGGGCATTTTTCTGAGTCACTTAAAACCTTGACTTGGCTGGATTTTAGTTTCTAATTTACAGTTGAACAAACAAAAAAAGATTTCTTACTATCAGCATCATCTCGGATCCTTATGAGAGTTTCATTTTGTTCACCAACTGCAGCCCCAAAGGGAGAGTTGCTTTGTGGAGTGCCGAGTACCAGGCGGAGCTCCTCTACCTCCTCATAGAGCACATCGTCCATCAGCTCAAGAATGCAGGGCTTTTCTGTCTCACCTGGAACAATAATGTCAGCAGGTCAATCACATCCCATAGGAATATATCTACAACTAGAATGTGAGCACCATAAGGGCAAGTTTGTTGATTTTCCCTGCTGTATCAGTGCAATAAATAGTGTTTGGCATGCAATAAGCCTTCAGCAGATATTTGCTGAATAAGTGAATAAATATTTAAGTATATGCAATGACCAGCACTTATTCGTATGGGGAATTTCTTTGATTTCTGTCTTTGAGCTCTGCCACTCATCTTAGAAAACAAGGGAAAAAGCACAAATGTCAATTTTATTTATGAATTTTTAGCATTACATTCAGAAAGCAAGATTAGCAGCCTTGCCCTGGTTGATCATTGTTAATCTGACCTCAACACTAGTTTCTAGTATTATTAACTTTTGACTTACTAAACAAATCATTGAGCCAAGTTTAATTCCTAGCATTGTAAAATCTGTACATTTGATATGCTTTTGTCCACTGAATAAGTTTTGAATAAACCATATATCACATCACTGGAAATCAATAAGTTAATGCAGATACCAAAAGGGCATTCATTCAACCTGTTAAAAATCGATTTCACTTTCCTCATTTATTGCACATAAAACCATGCCATATGCTTGTTGATATCGAGGAACTTGTATTTCCCTGATATATATTTCTGAGTAAAAATTCGGCTTCTTCAAATTTCACGAAAAAATTTCAAGTTCAAGCTTACCAGGGAGGAATGTGATGATGGAGGTATCAGTGTTTGGGCGTTCTTCAAAGTCCATCATCACCTGTGCAGACCCCTGCCGGGTGTAGCATCTCACTGAAGATCTGTACTGGACATCCCCAGTCCTATGGATCATTGTAACTATCTGCCCATCACTTTCGCTGCCAGTATATATTCGTTCTTTGAATTGCATCTTAGGCACTGCAAAAACAAAGGATTAAAGTGAACAGAAATTTCCTTGTGGAAAATGGCATTTCAGAAGATGTGATTTAGTGGAAAGAATAATGGAAAGTAAGTGAGAAGAACTGGATTCTGTCTCCATTCAGTCACTTGCCAATATTTTGACCTTGAGCAAATCACTTAAGAGTTTTGATTTCCTTACCTTTGACATTTTGCTCTGCCTGTTTGGTAAAGTAAGGGTATGCAATGAAATGTTAAAAAGTAGATAAAACCACAAACCTTAAGATATTTGTATCTACATGTTTCTTAGTCATGAGCCTTTCAGAATTTCCTGACGTGAAGAACACTGAATATTGTGCACATAATTACAAGCATAGTTTACTCAGATCATGTAGGTAACTTGACTGTGTGTGTGGTGTGTGTGATTTTTAGGTGACACCTATGCTAGGTTAATTACGTATAGGGCTCATTGACAATAGGTGAGACTCCTCCAAGCACTGTTGAAATCATCATGATTGAAGAGTGTTCAGAATTCCCTTGTGATGACGTGTCAGAGAGCTCTGCCATGTGTCCAGCAGAGGGTTGTCCCAGAACAGCATTTTTGGCACATTATTAAAGAAATTTGATGAGTGTCTAGGGGAAGGAGACGACAGAAAGTGTCTTGTGCTGTGAAGTGGAGAAAGATTATTGACACTCAGGAGTCTGTGCAGTTCCACATGGTTCCACCCAACTGTGGTGACGGGAATTCTTGAGGCACAATCAAGATACTGATGACATCACATTTTTTTTCTTTAAGGTTTGAGAGAAAGAATAAAAGTTTTATTCTGAGACTGTCTAATTCTATCAAAATCATCAGGAGGAGAAAGGTGTGGTCAGCTAGGGTATTTGTATGAGCTGGACTGTGTTCCTCTCAAATTCATATGTTGAAATCCCAACCCCCAATACCTGAGGATGTGACCTTATTGGTAGGCTGGGTCTTGACAGAAGTAATTAAATTACAATGAGGTCTTTAGGGTAGGCTCTAATCCAATGTGACTGGTGTCCTCATTAAAAGGGGAAAATTAGACAGAGACACATACAGGGAACACCATGCAAAGAGACTTAGGGACAACATGGCCATCTTCAAGCCAAGGAGAGAGGCCTGGAACCTCCTTCCCTGACAGCCCTCAGAAGGAAGCGAGCCTGCCAACACCTTAAATTTGGACTTCCAGCCAACAGCTATGAGATAATAAATTTCTGTTATTTAAGCCACCCCGACAGTGCTACTTTGTTATGGAAGCCCTAGCAAACAAACAAATATATATAATCATCTTGCTTATCATATATACATAAACCTTAGCTTATGATTTCAATTATCATTGTAAATTATAAAATTAATAAACACTCACAATCGGAGACAGAGTCATTTATGGACACTGTGGCTTTGCTGGGCTCGCCAAGGGCTGCGTTCATAGGCATGCGAAGCACCAGTTCAAATTTCTCAATTCCCTCCAGCGCTGGTTGTCCAAGGTCATCCAGAATGACAACACGAACAGGCTGCATGTTGACTCCAGGTGCAAAATCTAAATTACGGCTGATGCCCACATAGTCTGTTCCAGCTATGACAGTAACAAAAAAATATTCAGTTGGGGACTAATTAAATTTCAAAAAATTATAAGACATAAATTATGTAATTGTGTTTATAATTCTTCTTTTAAAAAATAGAGACCAGCATAACTCTACAGAAAAGTACATTTAATAAAAGGCAAAAGATTAGTATCTGGATAACTACTGTGGTGATAGATCAAAGACCAGCTGCTGAACTTTATCCATGTTTCATGGTTAGACTTTGGATTCATTATTTTAGCTTTCTGTGCTATAGTTCCTCTAACTTTAGTTTGAAAATTCTCTAATAAAGGTAATAAAAATCAGGCTTAGAAAAATCAGCATATCAATCAAATATGTGATCCTTATAAATTACATATGAAATAGAGACATTTAAAATTTTGTTAACATTAATTAAGTATTTATGTATCTTTGCTGGAGCTGCTGTAGAACATCCTACTCAGGTATGTGGTTGCCTGTTAGTTAAAGCAACACATTTAAGGGGTACCAGCTCTGCCCACACTCCATCCACCTTTGTCCCAGGCAATGAGAGAAGCTTCTACTTTTTGATCTTTAATTTAATATTTTTCAGACAAAGGGGGTTATATCTAGTGTTGATACCTCCACTTATATCTAAAGTAGTTAAAAACAAAACTGTCTTTTAATCTGTAGCCACTACATCCACAAAGATTGACAGTGGTGGGCAACAGATCGATAATATTTCTTCTTTCTTTGTTTTCATACCTTCTGCTCTTCTGACTCTCATTTTGTATCTACTTTACCTCCAAATGTGCAACTTTGCTTGAGTATATCTGTCTTTGATTCATTTTGTAGGATGTCCATATCTCCCTGTGGTTCTTTTTATATTTTTTTCTTTTCCTCTGCTTCTTCCCCTTTGCTCTTATTTCTCTCTCTCCCTCCCCTCATCTGTGATTTGAATCTTTCTCTTAAAAATGATTAATTTAGTTAAACAAAGGTTTAATGGGCACCTGCTACGTGCAAAGCACTATACTGCTTCCACTACATTAAAAAAGTTAAAACCTAAGGGTGACTTTTAAAATGGTATAACCTGTGCTTGCTTTGTGTGATGAATGCATGATGTGTGTATGACATGCATGTGTGTTCTCATGTGTGTGTACATGAGAAAGTTTGTATTGTTGGTCATTTAGAAAAAAAAGGAAATTTTGAATTCTATGCTTGCTGTAAACTTTATAATCAACTTTTTGGAGATGTGGATCCCGGAATAAAATGCAGATATGTGCTAGTTAGTACTTTTTTATAACGAAGTGTGGAAAAAACCTTTTGGATCTGAAGTATTTATAGGGACACATGGTTAAAATAAGGAGACAGCCAACTGAAGACACATGCCTGCATAATACCTAAATGTCATAGGTTTCTGTGGGGATAGATTATGTGCAGTAAGATGATTTTCCTGCTTATAATGCTACAACATTCAGCAATACTAGATTTGCTGAGAGTAGAGAACCACTTCATGGAAATATAGGCCTCAGTATACAGATCCTTTGAGTCTTAACGTTTGTAACCTAGTTTCTGATTCATGGCCTTTAAATGTACTTTCCCAAAGTAGTAAATAAAGCCTAGATTTACCTCCTAGAGTAATAATTTCAGCAAAAACAATATACCCAGCCAACTGCTTTAATAGAAGTGAAGTATTTCAGCTTTAAATAAATTTGTGCCATGGTCATTGAAAATTGCAGAACAATCAAAAGAGCCGAGTGGGAAACTGCTCACCATCTGCAGAGGGAGGATCTGTTTTCCGAGACCTCACTGTGACACTAGAAGACTTGGACAGGTCAGTGCCCGTTCTCCACACCTGCACTTCCACATAGCCAGCACTCTCATCCACAGAGTATTCCACATCACCGAAGTAAAAGATGGGTTCTGTTAAGAAAGGAACAGAAATCATTTCTGTTATTTTTATTTTTTCACATCAAACTCTATTGACATGCTTCCAAAGAAGAGTGTGCTTCCTCTTAGGGACTTCCTTATATCATCATACTTTTTTCCTTTTAGTGAGATAACATCTCTTTAATCTAAACTTTTCAGGTGAAAATATTAGTCCTTACAATCGAACATACACACAGTAAAGTGCCTAATAAAACATTCTCATCTTGAGGCATAAGTTTGTTTGTGCTTCATATGTGGGATTATAAGTGGCTTCTAAAAGTGCCTCTGGAAGCTTAGTTGGAAAAATAGAACTAAATGAAGCAAAACACGTATCTTTTTTTTTTTTTTTACTTTGGCCAAGCCACTCATTTTATTATTTCTTACCAAGTTCCCACTCTGGAACAGAGCTATTCCTTTTTGCATTATGCCATTTTCTGGTCCATTAGATTTGGGCTTATTTCGATGTATGTGAGTGTGTTATAATCACAAGGGTTAGAACCTACTGTCATAACTAGACTGAATATATGATTGCTAGTCCTGAAGACTGCAGGGCCTGACTGCAGGTTGCCTGTAGAGTATTGGAGATGCTCTATACCAAGTGAGACTTTACTAAATAAATAATCTCATATGAAGAGGTTAATATTAATTCTAAACACACATGAAAATGAGGCAAATTCAGTCACTAAACTAGGGCACATGCTTTGGGGTCTTCGTATTTTTTTCCAATACTGGTGATAAACTTGAATTGATCTAATCATTGTTTCTGCCTGACTCAAACTGTGACCAATGGTTTACCTTGTGATAGAGCTGCTAGAAGTCTGAGGTTTAGCAGTCAGCTGACCAATGATAAAACAGAGATTTAATTTGTGATCTTACTGTAAAAAAAAATTTATTTTGAGTTATATAGAGGCTCACAGGAAGTTGCAAAAGTAGTATATACTTCACTCATTTTGAGCTTATTTTTATAAGCAATTATTAAGAAAGATAAATTATATCACCCAGAATAAAGGTTAATGATAATAGTTACCATGTATGAACAGACACAGGTGAATGTACACACATAAGGTGAACAACCCTTTGACTTGACAGATTCTAGTCACCTGGCTCTAGTTTTACAAGATTCAAAAGGACTGAATCTAAAAGAACATGCAACTCACATTACTGTTCCTTAAGAAGGCAGGCCACTAAAAACATGATATCATGTTTCAGAGCAACTAATTGAATTCCCACACATACCAAATTAAGCAAAACTCTACAACAATGGCTCACAAAGCCACTTGGAAAGCCAAAGAAAATTCATTTTGTGCATTGTTCAAGTTGAGTATGATTTCTTTATTTTCTTGCCCCAAATAAATTACCTTTATTTAAACTGGAAAAGTTTGTTTTCTTTGTTTCTTCACATGGTGGGCATGATAAAAATCATACAGCCCCTTCAAATTCTTGAATAGTAGAAAACCAACCTTAGAAATTTTGTTCACATATTTTGGTTCGGGGGTGATAAATGTCCCTATAACATAGTTAGCCTCCTTCTTATCCTTTTGACTTGGACAGTGCTAGGGCACATGAGTGTAATGTGTATAGATGAAGGTGTTATCTGTTAACCTCAGTCAAAGCCAACCTCAATTACAAGCCAATACATTCCTGACATTTCCCACACTGAGGTAGGGCACAAAGGTGAAGACAGAGAGCTCTGAAAATGTATCTTCTGACCAGATGGCCAAACCAGGCACATCTGTAAGTCTTTTAAAAGGCTTCCGTAACTATCACAGAGGCTTGATCACCTGCATCCAACAAGTGATCTCTGTAAGTCTCTTCACATTCCTGGCAAACCACATCAGCACCCAAATTAGGTTTCTGAGTTATGGGAGAGAGCTGTGAAATGCAGTTAAGGGAGGACCTTTTATTTAACAATGATACCTCCCCATCTTCCTATCTCCCAACTCCTCACAGACACATAACAAAAAAGGAACATAATAAAATCAAATGAGTGAATATACAACTGCTAAACACCAAATAAGCTACACATCGGGGACCAAATGGTGTGTTGCATGTTTCAGACTCATTCTGTCAACTCCAAAACACGTAGTTTTACTTTATAGCTTAATGTGTAGTTTTTATAAGAAAAAATATGGAAGTCTTATGGGTGTAGTACTCTGAAAACTTCTAAGTTGTCATTCGAAATGAAGACGAATGAGTTACCATATATGTACAGACACATGTGTTTTATATGCATGTGTGTGTGTATCTGTGCAAGTGTGTACGTAAGCAAGACAGAGAGAGAGAAAGAAAGAGGCGGGGGTGGCATGGCACATGTGACAATGTTATAAAAATAAAAGGGATATGAAAGATGCAAACAACATTATTACGTTGCCTATTGCATAATATATTGTTATCTCCTGTAGAAAGAAGGAGGGAGACTGGAAATGGGATTTTAACCCTAAATCCTTCAACTTTAATGCAGTGCTAATAAGAGGAGTTAGAAAAGTTAATTAACTACTTCCTTAAAGCTTTTGATTATGAGTAGATTTATGTATATGATTTTTCTCCCTCTTTGTGCTCCACTCATAATGATTGAAAAACTGGTCAAATAATCAATTACAATTACTGAAGTTAAAGTTTGATGTGATTATTATGAGATTAAAACACATTCAGTAGTTTCCATAAGAAAAAAAAAAACTCTGCTAACTACCTAGTTTCTTGTGCCATGAATTAAAAAAATGGTTAAGCATCAGCATATTTTTTCAGTGTTAGATGAGTGAGAACTAAAAAGAAGTAATGATTATGTTTATTTCAATTTCTCAGCATCTTTTCAAAATATCTACAATTTGAATATTGTTTATAATCATTACCACTGGGAGAAAACCTTATGTAATATGAATGAGTTAAAGACACATCAAGCAGTAAGTTGAGTTATAGATGTCACTTAAGGAAAATAGCAAGATGTTCCTGGAACATTTTAATGAGTACTAAAGCAAGAGGAAGGAATAAAATAATAAATAGATGTGACTGTCATGCCTTTGAAAGGTATCTATGCAAAATCCAGAATAATTGCTTGTCCCTCAAAAATTATTATTCATGAGTAAGACTTTTAACTCACCTCTTTCTTTGGTAAACTTTTTTTTTTTTGGCCTAGAAACTTGGTTTCTTTTAAGAAAATAAGTAAACTGAAGATCTTTGTAGATCAGTTATGGAAATACCCCTACCCCAGTACAATTTGAAGTAAACTAGAAGCCTATTCAATTCTTTAATTCAGCTCCTAAATACATACTGTGCCTTGTACCATGTTTAAGTTCACAGACTTAATGGATAAAACAATCAGTGGAGGATATTATTACTTAGAATAAGAGGATGATCAAATAAAGCCACACATCTCATAGCCTACACCCAACTAAGACCATAAAACAGTCCTTGCTCATCACTCCACCACCCTCAGATGACACTCCAGAATGCAGAGGAAAGATAAGTTTATCCAAATTGTCTGTGAGCAGTGCAAGGGAGGTTTTGAATTGGCCTAGTGAGGGTGAAATTCATAAGGGAAGCCAAACTCTACACTCTATCCCTTGAGGTCTTTATACTTTTAAATAAAGGACATAGATCAAGGCATTGACTACAGAAAAGTCTATTTTAGCTCATTAAACATAAATGCGCTTCTCAAGGTTGGGGATACTTTCACTACCTACAGCACAGATAGGATCACATTTATTTCCTACAAACGTAGAAGAGGTGGACAGGTGAGCAATACAGCACAGATACCTGCAACAAAGACAAAGAGAAACAATTTAAGTTCTTTCCCAGAGGGAAAATTTTCCCAGTGTCTAGATGGATGTTTACAATTACATTGTGTCTCCTGAGATGAAAGGAAGAGGTGCCAGTAGTAATTGCTATCTGGAGCCAAATCTTATTTACTCAAGTGCGCATAGACCATCATTCAAGTAAGCTTTGTAGATCTAACCAATGTGTTTGCTTAGAACTGAATGAAGTAAAAGCTTTAATGCTGCCTTTTTTGTCCGGTGCTGAAAATAATACAAAGGAATTGTTTCCAAATGAGATCTTTCTTCTGAGCTGTATTGCCTAATCAATCCACGTCCCATGGGCACCTCAAGGTGAACTTCTCCATAACGGAATCCACAGGGTCACCTCCACTCCCCTTCCCCAGGTTTCTCTCTGTCTCATTTCCACTAATCCAGCTGTAGGCAATAACACCTTCCATTTGAGTTTTCCCAGCAACCACTTAACCAGGCTCTTAAGGAAAGTGGTCATCCCTCAAAGCAAATCTCATCATAGTACTCCCTTTGCTGAAAGCCTCTCAACTTTGCTTACTGTTCTTGGGATTATTCACAAGCTACTTAACATGGTTTACAAGACACTGAAACATTTGGTCTTGGTTTGCCTTTTCAACATCCTATTAGCCCCTTTTCTACTAAACAATCCAGTATCTTGAATGTCTTAAATGTGCCCCTCCCAGCCTTTGCTCTATGGCTCTGCTGCTTTGAATGCTCCTCCTTCCTCGTCCGGATACCTTCTGCTCTGCACATCTTCCAGGCCTCTGTTGAGAAGTCACTTCTGTGGGGAGCACCCTGCTTTCCCCTACCAAACAAAGCCCTTGCTCAACTTCTACCATCACTGTGCGTATGTCCCCCATTGTCTCTGAGTTCTCTAAGTGGAGGAATCAAGCTTCCTCTATTCACTGGTAACTTCCCTAACACTTAGTTTAATCAATGCAATAGGTGTGCAATCAATATTTGTAGAATGAATTAACATCAAAGTAGAATTATTTATTTGCTGCAGCAAATGAATAAATATTTCTGTCTCTGTGGTGGGTGAGTCAGAAGAGGACACTCTTAGCATCAGGCAGTGGCAGTTAAGAAGCCTCAGAAGGAAGAGCCAGTGATTTTCTTTGCAGTAAAAGGACTTTGCAAGGCTGCCCTTCGAATCGGCAAGAAATTCACGAGGAAGGAAAAGTGAATCAAAATGAACTCAAAGAGAAGAGGCTTTTTTTTTTCTTTTGTTTTGAAATACTTTGCCTTCACTGGTTCCCAAATAGGAAGTATACTAGAATTATCCTAGACAATTTAAAAATACAGACGCTAGGGCCTCATCTCCAACTTTCCAACTCAGAATCTCCAACAGCCGCTTCCAGGCACCTGTGTTTGTTTGTTAAGAGGTTTCAGTTTTTAGAGCAGTTTTAGGTTCATGGCAAAACCGAGCAGAAGATACAGAGACCTGCACATGCCCCTTGCCTCCACACAGGCCCAGCACTGTTTTTAAAAATCTTGACAGGCAACTACCTTGGAGTCAGCAATCCGCGTATTATTTTAGCTCATTTCAGCGTCTTTAACACTGGTAACTTAATTGCTAGATACCATAGTAGTTGTTTTAAATTCAGTACCTTATTTCATCCTCACAACCACCCACTGAGGTGTGTACTATATTAATCCCGTTTTCACAGATAAGGAAATTAAGGATTAGGGAGATTAAGAGATTTCCCCAAAGTTGTGCTGTACATCAGGGAAATAGCAGAACTAGGATGCATATCTAGATAAAGCCTGTGCCCTTGACTACTATTAAGGCAGGAAAAGAGTCATAAAAGTTTTTCACAAGATTTTTATGGACAAAGTTTTTACCTAGCAATTCAATATATGAGGACCTGTCATATAGAAATGCTAACCTAAGTGTTCAAAGATGCATACAAAGGATTGTTCATTGTATTTCATTCATTTGTATTAGGGTGCAATTGGAAACAAGCCCAAAATCCATCAGAAAGGGATTAAATTCAGTTCTTTCACAAAATGGACTACCAGACTATAAAGCATATATGTATGTGTGTGTGTGTGTATATATATATATCTGTGTGTGTGTGTGTATATATGCACATATATACACACATGTATACATATGTGTGTGTATATATATACATACACATATATATATATATATATATTTTAGTTTTATCCCCCAGGTTAAAAAATATTTGAGATATTGATGCTCTGTGATTCTATACCTTACACTCTCTACTTGGCTTCATCAGCAGCAGTGATAGATTAAAAATTAAAGGTCATTTGGGTTGCAGTGGGCCAATATTGCACCATTGCACTCCAGCCTGGGTGACAGAGCCAGACTCCGCATTAAAAAAAAAAAAAAAAAGGAGAAATCCCGGCAAGGTGGCTGAATAGGAACAGCTCTGGTCTGCAGCACCCAGCAAGGCCAACGCAGAAGGCAGGCGATTTCTGCATTTCCAACTGAGATACCCAGTTCATCTTATTAGGACTGGTCAGACAGTGGATGCAGCCCATGGAGAGCAAGCAGAAGCAGGGTGGGGCGTTGCCTCACCTGGTAAGTGCAAGGGGTCGGGGAACTCCCTCCCCTGGCCAAGGGAAGCCATGAGGGACTGTGCCGTGAGGAACTGTGTACTCTGGCCCAAATACTACACTTTTCCCATGGTCTTCACAACCCACAGACCAGGAGATTCCTTCGGGTGCCTATACCACCAGGGCCCTGAGTTTCAAGCACAAAGTTGGGTGGCCATTTGGACAGACACTCAGCTAGCTGCAGGAGTTTTTTTCATACCTCAGTGGTGCCCAGAATACCAGCAAGACAGAACCATTCACTCCCCTGGAAAGGGGGCTGAAGCCAGGGAGCCAAGTGGTTTAGCTCAGTGGATCCCACCCCCATGGAGCCCAGCAGGCTAACATCCACTGGCTTGAAATTCTTGCTGCCAGCACAGCAGACTGAAGTCAACCTGGGACACTTGAGCTTGGTGTGGGAAGGGGTGTCCACCATTATTGAGGCTTGAGTAGGCGGTTTTCCCCTCACAGAGTAAAAAAAGCCTCCAGGAAGCTCAAACTGGGTGGAGCCCATCACAGCACCGCAAAGCCACGGTAGCCAGACTGCCTCTCTAGATTCCTCCTCTCTGGGCAAGACATCTCTGAAAGAAAGGCTGCAGCCCCAGTCAGGGGCTAAAACTCCCATCTCCCTGGGACAGAGCACCTTGGGGAAGGGGCGACTGTGGGCACAGCTTCAGCAGACTTAAATGTTCCTGCCTGCCAGTTCTGAAGAGAGCAGAAGATCTCCCAGCACAGTGCACGAGCTCTGCTAAGGGACAGACTGCCTCCTCAAGTGGGTCCTTGACCCCCATGCCTCCTGATGGGGAGATACCTCCTAGCAGGGGTTGACAGACACCTCATACTGGAGAGCTCTGGCTGGCATGTGGCGGGTGCCCCTCTGGGATGAAGCTTCCAGAGGAAGGAGCAGGCAGCAATCTTCGCTGTTCTGCAGCCTCTGCTGGTGATACCCAGGCAAACGGGGTCTGGAGGGGAACCACAGCAAACTGCAGCAGAACTGCAGAAGAGGGACCTGACTGTTAGAAGGAAAACTAACAAACAGAAAGGAATAGCATCAACATCAACACAAAGGACGACCACACAAAAACTCCATCCTAAGATTACCAACAGCAAAGACCAAAGGTAGATAAATCCACGAAGATGAGGAAAAATCAGCACAAAGAGGCTGAAAATTCCAAAAACCAGAATGCCTCTTCTCCTCCAAAGGATCACAACTCCTCGCCAGCAAGGGAACAAAACTGGGTGTAGAATGAGTTTGACGAATTGAAGAAGTAGGCCTCAGAAGGTGGGTAATAACAAACTCCTCCGAGATAAAGGAGCATGCTCTAACCCAATGCAAGGAAGCTGAGAACCTTGAAAGAAGGTTTGAGGAATTGCTAACTAGAATAACCAGTTTAGAGAACATAAATGAACTGATGGAGCTGAAAAACACAGCACGAGAACTTCGTGAAGCATACACAAGTATCAATAGCTGAATCGATCAAGTGGAAAAAAGGATATCAGAGATTGAAGATCAACTTAATGAAATAAAGCGTGAAGACAAGATTAGAGAAAACATAATGAAAAGGAACGAACAAAGCCTCCAAGAAATATGGGTCTATGTGAAAAGACCAAACCTACGTTTGATTGGTGTACCTGAAAGTGATGGGGAGAATAGAACCAAGTTTGAAAACACACTTTAGGATATTATCCAGGAGAACTTCCTCAACCTAGCAAGACAGGCCAACATTCAAATTCAGGAAATACAGAGAACACCACAAAGATACTCCTTGAAAAGAGCAACCCCAAGACATATAATCTTCAGATTCACCAAGGTTGAAATGAAGGAAAAAATGTTGCGGGCAGCCAGAGAGAAAAGTTGGGTTACCCACAAAGGGAAGCCCATCAGACTAACAGTGGATCTCTCGGCAGAAATGCTACAAGCCAGAAGAGAGTGGGGGCCAATATTCAACATTCTTAAAGAAAAGAATTTTCAACCCAGAATTTCATATCCAGCCAAACTAAGCTTCATAAGTGAAGGAGAAATAAAATCTTTTACAGACAAACAAATGCTGAAGCATTTTGTCATGACCAGGCCTGCCTTACCGGAGCTCCTGAAGGAAGCACTCAATATGGAAAGGAAAAACCAGTACCAGCCACTGCAAAAACAAACCAAAATGTAAAGACTATTGACACTATGAAGAAACTGCATCAACTAATAGGCAAAATAACCAGCTAGCATCATAATGACAGGATAAAATTCACACATAACAATATTAATCTTAAATGTAAATGGGCTAAATTCCCCAGTTAAAATGCACAGACTGGCAAATTGGATAAAGAGTCAAGACCCATCGGTGTGCTGTATTCAGAAGACCCATCTCACGTGCAGAGACACACGTAGGCTCAAAATAAAGGGAGAGAGGAATATTTACCAAGCAAATGGAAAGCAAAAACAAAACAAAACAAAACAAAAAAAAACCAGGGGTTGCAATCCTAGTCTCTTAAAACAGATTTTAAACCAACAAAGATAAAAAAAGACAAAGAAGGGCATTACATAATGGTAAAGGGATCAATGCAATAAAAAGAGCTAACTATCCTAAATATATATGCACTCAATACAGGAGCACTCAGATTCATAAAGCAAGTTCTCAGAGACCTACAAAGAGACTTAGACTCCCACACAATAATAGTGGGAGACTTTAACACCCATTGTCAATATTAGACAGATCAACAAGACAGAAAATTAACAAGGATATTCAGGACTTGAACTCAGCTATGGACCAAGCAGGCCTAATAAACATCTACAGAACTCTCCATCCCAAATCAAAAGAATATACATTCTTCTCAGCACCACATAGCATGTATTCCAAAATCAACCACATAATTGGAAGTAAAATACTCCTCAGCAAATGCAAAAGAATGGAAATCATACAAACACTCTCTCAGACCACAGTGCAATCAAATTAGAACTCAGGATTAAGAAACCCACTCAAAACTACACCACTACGTGGAAACTGAACAACCTGCTCTTGTATGACTACTGAGTAAATAACGAAATTAAGGCAGGAAGAAGTAAGTTATTTGAAACCAGTGAGAACAAAGACACAATGTACCAGAATCTATGGGACACAGATAAAGCAGTGTTTAGAGGGAAATTTATAGCAATAATGCTCACAGAAGAAAGCGGGAAAGGTCTAAAATCAACACCCTAACATCACAATTAAAAGAACTAAAGAAGCAAGAGAAAACAAATTCAAAAACTAGCAGAAGACAAAAAATAACTAAGATCAGAGCAGAACTGAAGTAGAGACGCAAAAAACCCTTTAAAAAATCAATGTATCCAGGAGCTGGTCTTTTGGAAAATATTAACAAAATAGATACACCACTAGCCACACTAATAAAGAAGAAAAGAGAGAAGAATCAAATAGACACAATAAAGAATGATAAAGGGGAGATCACCACTGATCCCACAGAAATACAAACTACCATCAGAAAATACTATAAACACCTCTACATAAATAAACTAGAAAATCTAGGAGAAATTGATAAATTCCTGGACACATACACCCTTCCAAGACTAAACCAGGAAGAATTCAAATCCCTGAACAGACCAATAACAAGTTCTGAAATTGGCACAGTAATTAATAGCCTACAAACCAAAAGAAGCCCAGGGCCAGATGGATTCACAGCCGAATTCTACCAGAGGTACAAAGAGGAGCTGGTACCATTCCTTCTGAAACTATTCCAAACAATAGAAAAGGAGGGACTCCTCCTTAACTCATTTCATGAGGCCAGCATCATCCTGATACCAAAACCTGCCAGAGACACAACAAAAAAAGAAAATTTCAGGCCACTATCCCTGATGAACATCCATGTGAAAATCCTCAATAAAAAATACTGGCAAACCGAATCCAGCAGCACATTAAAAAGCTTATCTACTACGATCAAGTCGGCCTCTTCCCTGGGATGCAAGGCTGGTTCAACATATGCAAATCAATAAATGTAATCCATCACATAAACAGAACCAATGACAAAAACCACATAATTATCTCAATAGATGCAGAAAAGACCTTCGATAAAATTCAACACTCCTTCATGCTAAAAACGCTCAATAAACTAGGTATTGATGGAACATATCTCAAAATAATAAGAGCTATTTATGACAAACCCACAGCCAATATCACACAAATGGGCAAAAGCTGGAAGCATTCCCTTTGAAAACCAGCACAAGACAAGGATGCCCTTTCTCACCACTCCTATACAACATAGTATTGGAATTTCTGGCCAGGACAATCAGGCAAGGGAAAGAAATAAAGGTATTCATATAGGAAGAGAGGAAGTCAAATTATCTCTTTTTGCAGATGACATGATTGTATATTTAGAAAACTCCATCGTCTCAGCCCAAAATCTCCTTATGCTGATAAGCAACTTCAGCAAAGTCTCAGGATACTGAGAATGTGCAAAAATCACAAGCATTCCTATACACCAATAATAGATAAACAGAGAGCCAAATCATGAGCAAACTCCCATTCGCAACTGCTACAAAGAGAATAAAATACCCAGGAATACAACTTACAAGGGATGTGAAGGACCTCTTCAAGGAGAACTACAAACCACTGCTCAAGGACCTAAGAGAGGACACAAACAAATGGAAAAATATTCCATGCTCATGGATAGGAAGAATCAATATCATGAAAATGGGCATACTGCCCAAAGTAATTTATAGATTCAATGCTATTCCATCAAGCTACCATTGACTTTCTTCACAGAATTAGAAAAAACTACTTTAAATTTAATATGGAACCAAAAAAGCCCGTATAGCCAAGACAATCCTAAGCAAAAAGAACAAAGCTGGAGGCATCACACTATCTGACTTCAAATTATACTACAAGCCTATGGCAACAAAAACAGCATGATGCTGGTACCAAAACAGATATATAGACCAGTGGAACAGAACAGAGGCCTCAGAAGTAACGCCATACATCTACAACTATCTGATCTTTGACAAACCTGACAAAAATAAGAAATAGGGAAATGATTCCCTGTTTAATAAATGGTGTTGGGAAAACTGGCTAGCCATACACAGTAAACTGAAACCGGACTCCTTCCTTACAGCTTATACAAAAATTAACTGAAATGTATTAAAGATTTAAATGTAAGACCTAATGACATAAAAACCCTAGGGGAAAACCTAGTCAGTACCACTCAGGACATAGGCATGGGCAAAGACTTCATGACTAAAACACCAAAAGCAATAGCAACAAAAGCCAAAGTTGACAAATGAGATCTAATTAAACTAAAGAGCTTCTGCACAGCAAAAGAAACTATTATCAGAGTGAACAGGCAACCTACAGAATGGGAGAAAATCTTTGCAATCTATTCATCTGATAAAGGGCTAGTGTCCAGAATCTACAATGAACTTAAACAAATTTACAAGAAAAAACAAACAACCTCATGAAAAAGTGGGCAAAGGATATGAACAGATGCTTTTCAAAAGAAGACATTTATGCAGCCAACAAACATATGAAAAAAGCTCATTATCACTGGTCATTAGAGAAAAGCAAATCAGAACCACAATGAACACCATTTCATGCCAGTTAGAATGGCGATCATTAAAAAGTCAGGAAACCACAGATGTTGGAGAGGATGTGGAGAAATAGGAATGCTTTTACACTGTTGGTGGAAGTGTAAATTAGTTCAACCATTGTGGAAGCCAGTGTGGTGATTCCTCAGGGATCTAGAACCAGAAATACCATTTGACCCAGCAATCCCATTACTGGGTATATAGCCAAAGATTATAAATCATTCTACTATAAATGTCCATCAACGTTAGACTGGATAAAGAAAATGTGGCACATATATACCATGGAATACTATGCAGCCATAAAAAGGATGAGTTCATGTCCTTTGCAGGGACATGGATGAAGCTGGAAATCATCATTCTCAGCAAACTAACACAGGAACAGAAAACTAAACACTGCATGTTCTCACTCATAAGTAGGAGTTGAACAATGAGAACACATGGGCACAGGGAGGGGAACATCACACACTGGGGCCTATTGGGGGGTGGGGATCAAGGGGAGGGATAGCATTAGGAGAAATACCTAATGTAGATGATGGGTTGATGGGTGCAGCAAACCACCACAGCACATGTATACCTATGTAACAAACTAGCACGTTCTGCACATGTATCCCAGAACTTAAAGTATAATTTAAAAAAAGGGGTAATTTGCCATTTCTTTTTGGTAGCTTTGAAATTTTTTCCTCTCCTGTTAATATACTCGATAAGCAAAAAGAGGACTGTGCTCAAAACAAAATAAACATCTCTATGGACTAAAAATGAAGCAGAACATCATAGTGGTAGGTGAAGCCAAAGGAGTGTGGTCCTACTGGTCTCTAGTTCTGGAGACAGGCAATGAATCAACTCTTGAGGGGGATCACAGGAAACCAAACTAAAACAAAATTCAAGAGTGAGAGAGAAATATGGGTTTTTCAGGCTTTGAAGATGAAGAAGTTTCATCTACCTATAGATGGACACTGAAATAAATAAATAAATCCAAAGGACTCAAAATGTAAGAAATTCTGTTGAGCAAAGAAATCAATAAAATATGCTAGTAAACTCATTGAATTATTTTTTTCCATTCAATGTTGAACCTAAAAATTGAGATAACAGTAAGGAGGTTATAAATGGGGTTCAGTGAGTAGATGAAATATTTTAATGTCCTTGTCTTAGTCAAGAGAACAAACTTGGTTGCTCAGATGGTTAAATAACTCTTAAAATGATAAGGGTTGCCACCAAAAGGGCAGAAACTAGCAGAGAATAAAAAATAACTAAGAATAGGGAGAAGTTTCCCAATATTACAAGAAGCTGGGAAGGAGGAGAAACAAAGTTCATATGCAGAAAATGAAATAAAAAGCCCAAATGTATCAATACTAAGAACAAATGTAAATAAATTGTTTATTATTTAAAAGTTGTTAGCTTTATTATTAAAAAATATAGTTAAAAAAGTTTTTTAGGTTGGGTTAAAAAACAAAACCATATGCCAGTTATAAAAGACAGTTATCAAACAAAACTGCAGAAAAATGGGAAAAAGATAAGACTATAAAAAGTATATATACATACTTAATTTATGACATGCTGCTCTTGGGGACAATGGCAGTTAAAAGACACTAATAGAGACTTAACTTTTTTTTGCTTTTTTTTCGAGACACAGTCTCATTCTGTCACCCAGGGTGGAGTGTAGTGGCTCAATCTCAGTTCACTGCAACCTCCACCTCCTGGGCTTAAGCAAATCTTCTGTCTCAGCCTCCTGAGTAGCTGGGACTACAAGCGTGCATGACCACACCCAGCTAATTTCTAATGTAGAGATGGGGTTTTGCCATGTTTCTCAGGCTGGTCTTGAACTCCTGGACTCAAGCGATCTGTCCGCCTCAGCTTCCCAAAGTGCTTAGATGACAAGCATGAGCCACTGAACCCTGCTGAGACTTAACATTTTAATATGTACTGCTTCATATCTTTAAAACACCTAAAGCAACTATGAAAAATAGTAATATTGTTTAATTTTACATAGAGCACATTTTATGTTATATTGTTTGTGGGTTTTTCTGCAATGAAATTTTTTAACATGGTAGATAGAGAATGGTATGTATAAAATTATTATATCTTATTAAAAATAAACTACATAGTTTATTTTTTGATGCATAGAAAATAAGAAAGAATGTATGTTAAACCACTAACTGGTTATTTCCTAGAGCTGAGATTGTGAGGAAATTTCACTTCCTTTGCTATACATTTCTTGCATACATTCATTTGCTACCCATTTAACTTTTTCAAGTAGCATTGATTCCTTTTGCAACTAAGAAAAACGAAGAAGAAAAAAATGTTGATGAACTTCTCCCTGTAATAATATCATTAAAAAATTAGTTTTAAATAATTTAGGCATGGCCTTTCCCCACTTTTCTTTTTATTTTTCATTTTTTGAGACAGAGTCTTGCTCTGTCGCTCAGGATGGAGTGCCGTGGTGAGATCTTGGCTCACAGCAACCTCTGCCTCCCGGGTTCAAGCAATTTCCAGCTAATTTTTGTATTTTTAGTAGAGACGGGGTTTCACCATGTTGGCCAGGCTGGTCTTGAACTCCTGACCTCAAGTGATCCACCTGCCTTGGCCTCCAAGACAGGTAGGATTACAGGCGTGAGCCACTGTCCCTGGCCTACTCACTTTTCTTTCAATAAATACTTTACATAAACATACATTCTGAAAAATGAGCTCATATCTAGTCTTTAAAAAGCATTTTCAAAATTATTGTTGAAAAATTAAAGTTCAGGACCAGATGCAGTAGCTCACGGCTATAATCCCAGCACTCCGGTAGGCCAAGGCAGGCAGATTATCTGAGGTCAGGAGTTCGAGATCAGCCTGGCCAACATGGCAAAAGCCCATTTCTACTAAAAATACCAAAAAAAAAAAAAATTCAGTCTGGCATGAGGTGCACACCTGTAGTCCCAGCTACTCAGGAGGCTGAGGCAGGAGGATTGCTTGAAACTGGGAGGTGGAGGTTGCAGTGAGCCAAAATCACACCACTGAACTCCAGCTTGGGCGACAGAGCAAGACTCCATCTCAAAAAAAAAAAAAATTGAAGTTAAAATGTATATAAAAAGGGAAAGTTTAAAAATATATATCATTTTAAAGACATGTTTTAACATTTCTTTTTCTTGTCAACTATAATTTTCTCAGGGAGAGTAAAGAAAAGTCAATACATGTCTAGAATGATGACAATTTAAATACTGAACCTGCCCAAAATCTCAGTTGAAAATACATAGTGAGTCTTTCTTCAAAAAGATAATGATATCAGAGATTCTATCATCAATGTAGTTTCATTCTGGAATCTTCTCTTGCCTTTTTGAGAGTCATCACAAGTGTAAAATAAAATGTAAGCATCACAGTCATCAAAATTTTCCAACATCCAGTAGCATGTGAAGAGGCTTCATGAGTATTCTTTATTCCACAAATGCTATTGAGTTCCCTGCCTTCTAGAAGATTGTTTCAAAACTTAAAATATTTTTTCTATTCCATATGACAGCATACCCCATATATGAGGAAGAAGAAGGAAAAACTGGTCATGACCTACTAATTGATTTCTCGACTCAGTGAGGTGCAATTTACAGTTTCCTAAACTATTGTATATAAAACTGTTTCCCAAAGGTGGTCACAGATCTATACTGCAAGTACCCGAGGGGTTTTAAAACACACATTCCTGGGGCCTCATCTTAAATCAACAAAACCAACATTTCTCCGAGTCAAGGATTTTAAACTGTTTCAGGTGAATGTACACATATTAGAGTCTGAGAATCAGTCGTCACCCTTCAGCTGCTAGTCTGGGAGGGCAGAGTGATTGTAACAGGTGACAGCTGCTGTAGTGCAGAGGTTCCCGAGATGGAGAGCTGACACAGGACAGCAACCCAGAGAAGAAAAAATGTGAGCTGGACCTTCAATGCTTGGCAGCATTGAAGAGGAAAAGCATCTCAGATAAAGGAAAAGAAAGACGTGAGTGTGCAGTAGGTTGGGAAGTTGTGTGGCTGTAGTATAGGAAAGGGCGAAAGCCCAGGGAGGAAGTTAAGGTGAGAGCCAGGTTTTGCAAGTTCTTGCAATACATGCTAAGAACTACAGAAAAAAGGGAGTCAACGCTGATTTTTAAGCTGGAATTGAAATCATCAGAACTTGGTTTGCAAAAAAAGCAAACCAAGCATGGTGGATGGACTGAAGCAGAGTTAGACCATAAGCCGTGGGACCCTTGAGGGGAAAGTGCAATTCAGAGAAACAGTGAGGTCTTGAGCTAGGGCAGTGGAGGTGGGAAGATTGAGAAGTCAGATTCTAGAAGAGCTTCAGAAATACAGTGACAATGCTTTGTGATCAATCACATGTGAAGGACAGTATCAAAGTGGATGACTGGGTGATATCCTGCTTGATCAACTGGCCAGCTTTTTAATTTTGAAGGATATTTGTGTTGTCATTCATTGTGCCATTGCCAACTGATTTCTGGTACACAGTCATTTTCCTCACTTTCGTTTGTTATCTTTCCCAGTACTCTTGTATGATATATTTCTTTAAAATTATCTGGCTAAGAAAATCTATATATCAACACGCTTTATTCACATCTATGTGTCTTCTTTTAGAGAAGATTAAAATTCCCAACCATATTTTGTGGCTAAGACTATAGATGAGGGCATCCCCTAGATTTGTGCAGAGATAATATATGTAATTAAACATAAGGTTATAAGTACAATTGTTTGAGAAGACTGGTAAAAGTAATGTATTTAGTCAACATTATGTCTATTTTTAAAGACAAAAGTTGCAGAGAAACAACTTTTGAGAGCAAATCACTGATGGAAAGTAGCCAAATTGTGTGATGTGGGTAAAATAAATTTCACTCCAAACCTGTGTATTCCGTTTGTGTCTTTCAGTTTCCAGACACTATCTATTGTTTATTTGAATAAACAAATTAATTTGTTTATTCAAATAAAAAAATTATTCATAGAGGAATGGGCTCTATACTCACTTAATAGGTAAAATCAAGACACTGTGAAATCTAAAAAAAAAAAAAGGATATAATAAATACATTTTACTGAGGTCTCCATTTCCATACTACACTACATGGTGTACTATACTACAAATAGCATAGTAGGCCCCCAAATGCTATTTTATGTATCATAGTGTTTGTATTTTTTCCTATTAATGTTTGTCTTTTTGTATAAGACAAAAAATGAGAAATAATGATAAATAGTTGAGTTATCCATAGTTAATGAAAAAGTTTGATATATTTCCTTTCAAAATCATGTTAAAAGGAATCTTGGAAAGGGTTATTCTGCCATGACAGGCTGAAAGGGCCTCATTTCTGGAGAAGGCCCATATCATCATACTACGGGATATGATACAGACCTGTTAGAAACTCTTACTATCAACAGCCAGCTATCATAGGCTATAGCACAGTGAATGCCAATATGGATGCCTTTTCTCAATTAAATAACTTTGCTTTGTTAAGACTGCTTATGTTCTACCCCTTACTGAATCACTTTCTAGCAGTATGGCTTTGGGCATGGTACCTAATATGTGTGTGTCTCAGTTCTTCACCTGTAAAATTAGGGATTATGACAGCATATGTGTCATGGATTTGTTATAAGGACTGAATGAGAGAATATATATAACATGCTTATAGCAGTGCTTGGCTCAGATAATTTCTTGTCATATTATATATTTTGTTACATCTAAAACTGAATGTAATGATAGAGACTAGGCAAATAAATGACACCCTGCATATGTGAAAAAGGATATGTACTACAGCACTTATGTGATTAGAAAAAAAATCTGAAACCAGTCTAAATGCCCATCCATAGGGGATTGTTAAATATGTTATAGCCAGACTGTGGAATACTATATAACCATTAAAAATGAGCTGGGTTTATATGCATTGACATGAAAAGTTTTTCATAATATAGTCTCTTAAAATTTTTTTTAAATTAATTTATTATTATTAAGAGACATGGTCTCTCTCTCTCTGTTGCCCAGTCTGCAGTGTAGTGGCAAGATCATAGCTCACTATAAACTGGAATCTTTGGGCTCAAGTGATCCTCCTGCCTCAGCCTCCTAAGAAGGTAGGATTACAGGTACACAACACCATACCAGGCTAATTTTACTTTTTATTTTTGTATAGCTGGGGTCTCTCTATATTGCCCAGGCTGGTCTCAAACTCCTGGCCTCAAGTGATCCTCCTACCTCGGCTTCATAAAGAAATGGGATTATAGGGTGAGACCCTGTGCCTGGCCATTATGTATTCTTATGTGAAATAAGTACTTCGTAAGATAATACATATATCATCATGTAATAATAATAACCAATATTTATTGAGTACTTTCAGTGTACCTGAACTGTTCTAAGCACTTTATATATATTTCTGTCTTTATCTATCTACTAACTCAATCTTCCTAACAACCTTTGAGGTACAAACTATTATCATCCTCATTTTACAGATGAGAAAACTGAGATCCAGAAATTCAAGATCAATAACCAATAATTGAAAAGGAAGTAAGACAGCCTGCCTTTGGAATATTGTGCCACTTTACCAATAATTTACTCTAATTAAAATGAAACAAAAATGTGTGCATGTTATTGGATGTATGGAAAGATGCATCAAACTAAATGACCTCAAGGGAGAGGTGTGGCTTCCGTGAGGAAGATGACAAGACTCCTTCTTGGTACTCATGTAATAAGTTTGTGATAAAAGATATTATTACTAAACAAAGATTAACATGTATAACTTGTCTCCTTTAAACATAATCTCAGAATATTAGGCAAAAATATTAGAGAGTAGAAAGTCTCTCCTCTTCGTTAAGTTCTCTAAAACATTTTTACTCTTTAACAGGTTCAACTCTACCAACTGTCTATAGCATTTCACAGTGTTGTGGATGATTATGCTGTCTAGGGAACTGAGTAGTTACTGCACTTTCAAAAACATCATCTCACAGTCCTGAGGTCCTGCAAAGTTTGTGTCTTTCCATTCTTACATATAACTTACTTAACAGTTACTGCTATCAAGAAAGTCTTGCCTTCTCACACTTCTTCCATTATTTTTATGCCCTATTTCAGTGATCTATCCACACATCCATCTTCAAGCTTCCCAAAGGCAGGAATCACCTATTGTTCGTCTGTAAACTCCAATGAGAAACATACAGTCTGGTGTATGGGAGGTCATCAAAACAAGTGTGGAGGTATAAGCTAAGACTGACAACTGCCTCCCAAGTTTCTATTCAAAAGTAATCATTTTGGATGTAAATCTCATCAGGTATGTGAGAACACACCACTTAACATCATAGTTAATGTAATATTAATATTATAATCGCTACATTTACTGACTGCCCCTGCCCCAGTGACACCAGGATCTCTAGAAACCTTGTTATATTGTCTTAATGCTCACAACAGCTGTAGAGGTGATTATTTTTATCTGCTGTTTACAAATAAAATTAAGTCAAGACTCAGAGAGGTTAAATAACTTGCTCAACGCCACACAACTAGAATGTGGTATAAGGAGGATTCAAACATAAGGTACTCACATACAAAATCTGTACTGTAAAAAAATTAAATAGTACTTTTTCTGAAAATGGTTAAGAGTCTGGACATGTAAACATTTTAGATGTTTAGATTTTTAGAATATTTTCTTTAAAAGATGTGTAATGAGAATCTGATTAAAGAAAAAGGGAGGAACATGATATTCTACGTAAGAGAAAATTAGAATATGTTATACAGATCAGTATTCCTAAGTTGTGAGGATAAATTTCTTAATTAAAAGATTCTAGGAAGAGGGAAATAAAATGAGATGTCACTTTATGCTTAAACTCTCCATACCTTTAAAATTGTCACTGCTTCAAAAATCACCAATCAGAAGTCACATATGTACATTTTATTCCTGCTAACTAAAGTAAATTTTATAAGTAAGATTTTGAAATCAACAGAGACTGTGACATGAGGGTGATTTATTTGGGAATTCCAACAGCTGAATGAAGAAAGATGACGATTAATATGGTGTCAAACACAATCTGTGTGAGGTCTCAGGAATAAAAGCATGTGATTGACACTCAAACAATAAGTAATCTTGACCACAGGCTGCTTGACAACTGACACCTGAACACGCCTGCAGGCAGCACAGGAAGGGACTCCAGAGTAAACAGCAAAAGCGACTCCATTTCAAGTTGGAAGGAATGTGCTCCTTTATTGTGAGATCCTTCTTCCTCGGTTATCCTTGTGTTACTCTATATTAGCAGTCAACGCTATTGCATTGCTTCCTTGCGTTGTTGTACGTGGAAAAAAAAATCATTGTTCTGCAAGCCAGGGGTGCCACTCCCCCTCTCAGTCACTTACGAAATGCCCGACACTGGGGAAATCAACTTCTTTGGTTCTTGTATTTCTGGTCTGCAATATCCAATTTGATCTACGTGAAGTCAGATCTCTAAGCTTTCAGGTCCAAGCTATTCTTCTTGCCCTTCTGGGACGTTTGTGTTTTTCCTGTTGATATGATACTAGTTGGCAGCTATTTCTCTCATTCAACATTTATCCAATTGATTCATGCTTATTTCCTGCAGTCTTTATTGGAAGGATAGTAGGTGCTTCCTCTCAAGGAAAAATAGGAGTTAGAAAACCATTCTTGTCTTTAAGATGGTTTGTGTTTAAAGAGTAACCAAGAAGCTGTAAACATACGCATTATGATTTTTATATGACTTCTTATATCAGATAACATTTTGGCTTTAAAGAGAACAACTTGTTTAATCATTTGAACGTGTATTTTCATTTATAGAGAATAAAAACCTGTCTAATATATTTTTAAAATACAATTTAAAAATAAAGCAAGGCCACTTTCTAGAGTGAAAGGAGCACAGCCCTGAGTCAGGGTGATATGAGTGATGCTCATGGCAGAGCCTGTGAGTGATGGGGGTAAAAGGTAGCTCAGAGAGGAGCCTGGGTAATAGAACTGGACAGCTTAATAAATGGCTGACACAAGGAAATGCCAATTTAAGGCTACTGGTGTTCAGATACATGTAATGTCACTAAGGAGCTGTTCAGCATTTTCATTCTAATAGCTGAATATAAACTGCAGCAGCCAGAGCTTTCTAGGGCAATGACAATGCCTCACTGCAGGCTTTAGGTGGAAGGCTAACCACTGCTTTTCAGAGACGTACCTAGGAAAACTCAAGTAAGCTACAAAGCACATGTTTTGTTCTTAGATGTTTGATATTCTGTGAATATACTACATGTGGGTTTTTTTTTAATAAATAAGGCTTTATTCTTTGTGGTTAATTTTTTTGTATATTATAAAAACAGTAAGTAATAGGAAGAATATCAAGAAAGGTAGTCCTGGCCAACCCTCCTGCCTGCATACATTTAACCACCAATTTATTATCTGTTTTTTGAACACCTATTATGGATCAGGCACTGTGCTCCATACTGGGGATATGATAAAGACACAGCCCTTGTTTTCGAAGAGTTCTTAGTCTAGAAGTTAAAACCGAAAACAAACACAGCATTGCACAGTTGTCTTGGCAGTAATAATAATGACAGCTAAACATATTGGTATTCTAAGTGCTTTACATATATTAACTTATTTATTCTGTATAACAACCCTATGAGGTAGACAGTATTATTGAAACCATCTTCGAAAAAATTATATCAGTGAGAAAATTATGGCAGTGAGGGAGATCTGATCTAGCCCGCCGCCCCCCTCCACCCCCAACCTTTTCTTTAGCTTTCAAGCTGCCTGGGTTTAGGCTGGTTAACTTTGGAAGAGATTTAGTTTATAGTTTAAATGAAAACCGTCCTTCCCCAAAACTCAATTGCCTTTATGAAGCTAATGAGAGACCACCAGCCTACAGGAGGAGAGGAGTCTGAATTCTGATAAGGTGTAACTTCCCCAGTTACTCCTGCAAATAACATCACTTTTCTATTGTAGATAGGCATTTTGTGATATCCTTTCAGGTTTTGTGTGTATCTAACAGCATGGCTCCACCTAGAGCTGCTAACTGGTGGCTCCTGTGGCCCCACCCAGAACCAACTCAGCTCAAGAGGACAGCTTCAATTCCCTATGATTTCATCTCTGACCCAACCAATCAGCAGCAAGCACCCATTGCATAGCCACTCCCACTGTTTCCCTCAAAATACCTTTGGAAAACCCCTAACCTATGAGCCTTTGGTGAGACTGATTTGAGTAATAACTCTATCTCCTACATGGTGTGGCTGACCTCGTGTCAATTAAACTCTTTCTTTCCTAAAATGCCACGGTCTTTATTTGTGTACCGAGCCAGAATAACTCATCAGGCTGTTACGTTATGAGGAAATTGGGGCAGAGAAGGGTTAGATAATTATCCCAAGAACATATACCTTATAAGACAGAGCCAGAATTAGACACCGAGCAATATGGCTTCATAAGCATATCATGCCTCTCCTTGTATGATGTAATTCTAATTGCTTAGATTGTGCTACCCAATTTTACTACTTTATGTGACAAAACTGTCTCTTTCTCCTCACTCTTTCTTCTCTACATAAAATCATCATAACATATCTTTCCCACAATACTACCACTCTGTCCCCTATCACAAGCACCGGTATTTGATCTTAAAGTTTCTTTCTTCCTTTCACTTGAATAATCACTTGAAATGCTCTATCCATTATTTTCATATTCTCAGCTCTCATTAATTTTAAGCTCATTGAAACACGGCCTCATTCTCCAAAACACTCAAGAAATACTCTCTCCAAGTTGGCCAATGCCCTTCTTTTTGCAAAACCCAATTGCATATTGCAAATCTTTGTCTTTATCGTTGAAGAATTTAATACTATGGGCCACAACCTTTTTTCTTGCATCTTCATCCTTTTCTTTCCATATTACTGCTGTCCCCTGGTACTTCTCTCATCTCTTATCTGTTGCTTAATTGTGAATGTTTTCTCTTAAAGGAAGAATAAGATGACCATAAAGTTACTACTTTACCTGCACATGGAAAGTGCTCAGTCACCATAAGTTATTATTATTATTATTTTAATTATTGGCAGCTGAATTTTGAGGCATTAATATGAGTTAGCCAGCTGATGAATGAGGAGGTAGAGAGGGAGAATTTTTCTTCAAGTAGAAGCAGAAATAGAAACTAAAGATAAGTAGACAGCCTCATATGTTTGGGGGCTGCAGAGTTTGCTGTGGTATTGTATGCTGCTTGGAATGAGGAGATGGGGTGAACAAGGAAAGCAGGGAGCCATGGCCAGGCCATGCAGGACCTTGTGGTGGGAGCCTTGTCCTAGAAATTAGCAGGTGAGAGGTGTGCTCAGTGTTAAAAAAGGGGGGAACATGATGATGAAATGTGCATTTAGGGTTCTGGAGGATGAATGGTCTGGTGGAAAGGGGTGGGATATGAGCAAACTGGAAGCAGGCGGCCTAGCTAGTTGGCAAGTGCAAGAATCCAGGCAAGATAGGAAGTTCGTTTGGATCAGGTGATGGCAGTTCAGACGAGGAAAAATAATAAGGATATAATATTTAGAGATATGAAGGAGGTAGAATCAAGGAGTTGGGGTGAGGACTGAGAGGAAGGAATCCAGTACTCATAGAACCATTCACCAAGATTAGGGATAAGCGGGAATAAAACAGGGTAGGGCAAGGACTAAGTGTTCTAATCTATTGAGTTTTTCTCCTGATTTGTTTTGATGCTTTTCAGAATCTAAGACATTAAGTCTGGTAAGATGTGTGCCTACATCACTTTTCTTGCACTGTTTAAAAAGAAGAAGAAAAAAAGAGTTTTCACACATGACAAAATCATTGTGTCTTCCATAATTACATCACAGGGTTTGATGAAGTTTCCTTCTTCACAGAGATGTCAAGGGATGTGTTGAACAGAGTCATAAAATTTTCCTCAGGGAGCTAACCTAACATCTTCTACTGCAAAGCGTTGATTTGTCCTCTCAGTATACTGAACTAGATCGAATACATATTACTATTTAGATATACTGTCATTTTAAAAACTTCAAAATATATGTTGAGGACCAACATCACAGAAAACATGCATGCTAGGTTTGTTGGGAGGATAGCGATCCCCTGGAAAGACTTATAAAACTGTACTGTTTTCAACCCCCTATTTAGCGCAGACAGCATTCCACCAGTTTATGAGATGCAGACCGTGCACGCTAGACCCACAGGCATAAAGCAACACCTAGACCACTTCTAATTTTATCTTGTATTTATAGGATCATCTTGCAGCACTGAGACTGTGAAAGACTGTGGCTTTGGCTTTTTAAAGCCTTCTCTGGCAGGGAGTGTGCTCTCAAAAATTACCCTTCTGAATAAGTGTGATTCTTAAAAAAAAAAAAAAAAAAAAAAAAGAAAGAAAGAATGGGCTCCTTGTTGGCATTTTGACCACAGAGCTTCAGCTCTGTAGTATACTTCCTGGGCCTGTGAAACCCATTGTTTGTGAAACACCCTCAGGGAAATTGAAGCTGAGATATATTTCAGCTCTATAAGGTGTAAAAAGAAAGCTATTTTTTTCCTCTCACAATACCTATATTCTTGCTTTTTAAAAAGGTACACACGAGTAAAGATCTATCAGCTGTTTTATTTCTTTTCACAGGAATGTGTTTAAACTCAGGAACTGCTGAATTGTACTGTAACTTGGCTCATCCCAAATAGTGCAGTTGTCTTCACAATGGAGAGACTGTCACAGCCTAAAAAGACACGTGACTCTGAGCATCAGTTTACTGGCTGCCCACTCAATGATTCAGACTCCTCCATTCTTTGTGTGGAAGAGAACTGGCCTTCCGGGAGCCTGAGGCCAAGTGAGAGAACCTTCTGAAAGCCGTCACTGCATGGGGAGCCTGGACTTACCCTTTGCCTTGTTGGAGCTGTTTGTCTATTTCCGTCTCGAAGTTCTCTATAGATTGGGCTAGTGTCTTTCACCACTGTGTCCTTAATGTCCTGGAGACTGCCCGCCACTTAGCAGGGGCCTATAAGCACGTGAAGTGAGGCCAGGACAAATCCTTATGCCCTCTACCCTCGCACAGCATCTGGAAACATGAGAGATGTTAGGTGTGTGTTTTAAATGAATAAATGTGTGAATTCAAATTATTTCAAACGCCTGTTTCAGAGAGACAGAAAAAAGACCTGTTTCTTAGAAAAAAGAGAAAAAAAGATGATTTATTTCTCCAGTAGTATGAAGGAAAAGCTTCATCCATCATTTTAAGTGCTTCAAATGGTTACAAATGGCCTAGAGAAAGAAGGCATTTTTAGTTTTAGCTATATGTTTAAAATTTCAATATAAATTATTATTGTGATTATTTGTCACATACTTTACTGTTTGTCAAATAACAATAGCACTATATTTGACTGGGCAATCTTGTATCTTTCTAGGTCAGTGTAAGGTTCTCTACATAATTTAAGGAAGATTTTAGGCCAATTACAAAAAAAAAATGTATAAGATTTACAACACAGGAATAAATCAGGGAAAAGAAGATCTGATGTCCAGTCAGACAGGATGAAGGCCTATTTCTCAAGGAAAACATAACACCTATCTGTTCCCTCTGAAAGGTAACATTTATCTACAAAGAGAAGGAAGGTTCACAGAGAACATAGGGACACCATAAGGACTCCTAATGAGACAACTACTTCTGGTTTTATAAAGAAGCAAACTAGCAAGTTTCACATCTCTACAGTGACCACTGGTATATCCACCAATGTCAGAAAATAGTACATCTATTACAAAATGTTTTCTTAATATTTCATTCTAATACCATACGTGGAGATGCTGCTGTCTGTTTAGTAATGGAGGTACATGTTTTCAACAGTAGACCATAGGTGCATAGTGCATTTTCTAGACTTAAAATAATCATAGCCCTGCAAGTCCATGGCAGCATTTCACAGATGCTGGCCTCTCTTTACATCACTGAGGCATGCAGGCCAAGACTTTGAAGTGCTCTGTTTTCAGCCAAGTTGCCATGTTTGGCTTTTCAGCATTTTCTGTATGTTTTATGATTTCAATAAAAAGATATGCCAGACCTCTCTGGCCAGCAAATAATTAGGACTTTTTGATCACAACAATAGTATCTAGTAAGAGATCTTTTCCATTTAATCAACTTTTTGTGTATTTTATTGGTTTTTATTATAAAATTCATTTTAATAGTTTTAAATTTACAAATTCTGAAGTCTAGTATCTGAGAAGCTGCTTCTCAGATTTATGTGATTTTTAACACTAAAATGGAATTTTCTGTGACTGAGATCTTGAGGTTCCTATAAATGTTTAGTAAACTGCTTCCAGGGTTTTAGTGGTAATAAATCAGAAATATGTATTCTTTGATGTCTGTAAGATAGTATTGCATGGCCAGCATTCACTTTTCTGTTTGGAAGAGATGGGAATCAGGCAGATAGTGTTACTGGGAAAAAGACAAAACAAACTCAAGACAATATTTATCCACGAGGACTTGACAAGAGAGCCAAAATGCAATCTTTCAGAAAGGCAACCATTTTCACCGGGTCATTTGCTAGATGATGTGGAAAAAGCAGTGCTATTCCTTGTCCAATTGAAGTACCAGATTGAGACTGCACTAATAAGCTTTGCTAAAGATCCAAGGGGAGTTATAATTGATAAAAGATCAACAAGAATAGTTCATTTACAAGTTATTCTATTATCTATGACATTTCAATTATCAATATTCAGGTGCTATATGTCTATAAAAGTATATATAGCTTGTTTCATCTTGTAAACTTCCCTATTAGGATAACTAATAATAACTTTGAGTATTACATTGTAGAATCAGAAGGTCATTGTGTATATTAAATATACTTACTGCTAGTATAATATGAAGTGTGCTGCGTAGTTGTTAATGCCATAGTCTCTTTAGTCAGGCTGGCTAAATGCTTACCGGCTGTTTGACCTTGGGCAAGTTATCCAACCACTCACAGATGATAAAACCCAGGCATAATAAAACTTGGCTCATAATTTGTGTATGTGCATATGTGTATTAAATAATTCAGGTAAAAGATTTAGCACATCTTGGAAGGTGTTCATGATAGCTATGATTATATAAAAATATATGATATCTACAAAGCCCTAAAAAATAAAGACATAAGTTAATTTAATATTGTGAACAGCATGATCCTAATCGGTACCACAACCTTGATATCCTAAAACCACTCTAGCAGACTACATATCTGTAAATTTACACTCCATGAATTTGAGGGCTCATTTCTGGGTGAACCAGCCCTATGTCCTGCCACAGCTCCCTGTGCTCACTTTCTTGTGGGGAGAAAGGTCATTCTTCAGTGTAAATTATACAAAATGGTTAGTTTTTCTCATAAAGAAGTTTGGAGCCTTTGCCTTTTCTGGTAATGGTGGTGAAATGTTTTTATGTGACTAGCAGGAGAAATTCAAGTGGCTGCTTGCCAAGCTTGTGTGTGTGCAGTGGAACAAAGCTCTTTAATGCTTTTCCTGTGGTGAGCAGTGCATTGTATCAACAGTTTCAAAAAGACCAGGCAAGCGCACAGCAGCATAGCAGCCAGGGCCTTTGGAGGTTCTGGCCATAACAGGTTGAGTCAAATGGACTCCTATTGCTAACAAACCCACTACAGCAGTCTCTGATCTTTGCTCATTTGCCTTCTTCTTTGTTTTTAAATTTGTTTTTTAATTGACACTCTGTAATTTCCCATATTTATGAGGTGCAACTTGATGTTTTGATATATTTCTGTATTGTATAATGACACAATAAGGGTAGTTAGTATATCCAGCACATCATGCATTATCTCTTTGTGATGAGAACACTCAAAAGCCTTTCTTCTAGCATTTTTTTTTTGAGACGGAGGCTTGCTCTGTTGCCCAGACTAGAGTGTAGTGGTGCGATCTTGGCTCACTGCAACCTCTGCCCCACTAATTTTTGTATTTTTAGTAAAGACGGGGTTTCACTATGTTGGCCAGGCTGGTCTCAAACTCCTGATCTCAGGTGATCCACCTGCCTCAACCTCCCAAAGTGCTGGGATTACAGGCATGAGCCATCATGTCCAGTCAGCTTTTTTATAATATATAATATTTTATTGTTAACCATAGTCACACTACTGTGCAATAGAACACTGGAATTTATTCCTTCTATGTAATTGTAACATGTACCTATTAATCAACCTTTCTCCATCTACCTCTCCTTTCTCCTTTTCCCAATCTCTGATAACCACAGTTCTATTCTCTGCTTCAATGATATCAACTTTTTTTCCTTTGTAGATTCCACATATGAGTGACATCATGTGGTATTTGTCTTTCTGTGTCTGGCTTATTTCACTTAACATGGTGTCCTCCAGGTTCACCCATGTTGTCTCAAATGATAGGATTTCATTATGTTTTATGACTGTATAGTATTCTGTTGGGTTTTTATACCACATTTTTTCATCTATTCATCCATTGTTGAATACTTAGGTTGAGTCCATATCTTAGCTATTGTAAATAGTGCTGCAATAAACATGGGCATGCAGATACCTCTTCAACATATGGATTTCAAATATTTTCAGTAAATACTCAACTGTGGGATTGCTGAATAATATGGGAATCCTATTTCTAGTTAATTGAGGAACCGCCATACTGTATTCCATAATGGCTGTACTAGCTTACAACCTCACCAACAGTACGTCAGTGTTCCCTTTTCTCCACATTCTCACCAACACTTGTCTTTTTTTATAATAGCCATTCTAACTGAAGTGAGATGGTATCTTATTTTGGTTTTGGTTTGTGTTTCTCTGATGGTTAGCAATGTTGAACATTTTTTATATACCTGTTTGTCATTTGTATGTCTTATTTTGAAAAATGGCCTTTTGCCCATTTTTGATTAATATTGTTATTGTTGTTTTGCTATTATGTCCCTTATATATTCTAGATATTAACCCGTTTTCGCATCTATAGTTTGCAAATATTTTCTCCCATTCTGTAGGTTGTCTCTTCACTCTCTTAACAGTTTCTGTTGCTATGGAAAAGCTTTTTAGTTTGATATAATCCTATATGCCTATTTTTCCTTTTGTTGACTATCCTTTTGAAGTCTTATCTAAAAAGTCCTTGCCCAGCCCAATGCTCTGATGTGTTTCTCCTATGTTTTCTTCTGTTAGCTTCAGATTTTACACTAAGATCCTTAATCCATTTTGAGTTGATTTTTATATATAGTGAGAGGTAGGGATCTAGTTTCATTCTTCTGCACGTAGATAAACTAATTTTCCCAATACCATTTATTGAAAAGATTGTCTTTTCCCCAACATGTATTTTTGGTACATTTGTTGAAAATCAGTTGGTTGTAGGTGTGTAAATTTACTTCTGGGTTCTATATTCTATTCCATTGGTCTATGTGTCTGTTTTTCATGCCAGCACCATGTTGTTCTGTACTTACTATAGCTTTGTAGTATATTTTGAAGTGAGGTAGTATGAAGCTTCCAGCTTTGTTCTTTTTGCACAGGATTGCTTTGGTTGTTTTGGGTCTTTTGTTCTAGATAAATTTTAGAATTGTTTATTTCTATTTTTGTGAAGAATGCCATTGGCATTTTGATAGGAATTGCATTAATCTGTACATCGCTTTGAGTAGTTTGGCCATTTTATGACATTAATTCTTACAATCCACAAATATAGGATATCTTTCCATGTATTTGTATTATTTTACATTTCTTTCATCAAAGTTTTATAGCCTCAGTATAAAGATTTTTCACCTCCTTGACTAAATTTATTACTAGGTATCTTTTTTGTAGCTATTGTAAATGAAACTGTTTTCTTGATTTCTTTTTCAGATAGTTCACTAAGAGCATATAGAAATGCTACTGATTTTTGTATGTTTACTTTGTATACTGCGACTTTACTGAGTTTGTTTATTAGTTCTGTTTTTCAATGGAGTCTTTAAGGTTTTCTATATATAAGATCATGTCATCTGCAAACAGGGCACTTAGCTTCCTCCTTTCAAATTTGAATGCCTTTTATTTCTTTCTCTTGCCTAATTGCTCCGGCTAGGTCTTCATTTACTACATTAAATAGAAATGGTAAAAGCGGGCATCTTTGTCTAGTTCCTGACCTTACAGGAAAAGCTTACAATTTTTCCTCACTCTGTATGATGTTAGCTGTGTGTTTGTCATATATGGCTGTTACTGCATTGAGGTAAGTACCATGTGAATCTAATTTCTTGAGCGTTTTAATCATGATAGTAAATTTTTATCAAATGCTTTTTCTGCCTCTATTGAAATGATATTTTAAAAAATAATTCTTTCCGTTAATGTGCATATCACATTTATTGGTTTGCAAATGTTAAACCATCCATGCATCTCTGGAATAAACTCCACTTGACCACAGTGAATGATTTGTTTAATATGCTGTTGGATTCAGTTTGCTAGCATCTCGTTAAGAATTTTCACATCTATGTTCACTGGAGATCCTAACCTGTAGTTTTTCTTTGTTGTTATGTGATTGTTTGATTTTGAAATCAGGGTAATTCCAGCCTCGTAAGATAACTTTGGAAGTATTCCTTCCTCTTCAATTTTTTGGAATAGTTTGAGAAGAATTGGTATTAGTTCTTTATTAAATGTTTGGTAGAATTCAGCTGGGAATCTGTCCAGTCCTGAGCTCTTCTTTGATGGAGGACTTTTTATTACTGATTCAATGTCCTCAGTCATTACTGACCTGCTCAGATTTTCTATTTCTTCATGGTTCAATCTTGACAGGTTGTATGTGTCCAGGAATTTATCCATTTCTTCTACTGTAGTTTGGATATGGTTTGTTTGTCCCCACCAAATCTCATGTTGAAATTTGGTTTCAATATCAGAGGTGGGGTCTATGGGAAGTGTTTGGGTTATGGGTACAGATCCCTCATAAATAGATTAATGTCCTCCCTTGGTGGATGTAAGTGAGTTCTCATTTTATTAGTTCTCCCCAAAGCTGGTTGTTAAAAAGCTTGGGATCTCTCACTATGGGATCTTGCACCTTCTGGCTCCTCTTTACCTTCTGCCATGAGTGAAAGCAGCCTGAGTCCCTCATCAAAAACTGAACAGGTGCTAGCACCATGCTTTTTTGTACCTGCAGAACTGTGTGCCAAATAGTCCTCGTATCCTTATAAATTACCCAGCCTCGGGTAATCTCAAATGGACTATGTTATCAAATTTGTTGGCATATAGTTGTTTAAAGCAGCCTCTCATCATCCTTTGTATTTCTGTGGTATCAGTTGTAATGTCTCTTGTTTAATATCTAATTTTGTCTTCTTTTATTTCTTAGTCTAGCTAAAGGTTTTTCAAGTTTGTTATTGTTTCAAGAAATTAACTCTTCATTTTGTTGATCTTCTGAATTTTTTTAGCTTCCATTTCTTTTCTATTCTGAGATTTGTTTCTTGCCTTCTACAAGGGAACAAAACATTTCTCTAGTAAGAGAAACCAAAGAAAAAGGCATGTACAAAATGCCTGAAAATTTCAAAACAATGATCTTAAGGAAACAGCCAGATACAAGGAACCCAGTAAAACAACGCAATGAAATAAAAACAATTCATGGGAAGTAGAGCAAGATTGTGGAATAGAAGGCTATACCATTTGTTCCCTCCACCTAGGAACACCAAATTTTAGCAACCATGTGTACACAGAAAAGCACCACCACAAGAGCCAAAAATCAGCACCAGCTCTGCCACAATGGGGTAGAACAACAAGCAGGCCCTTAGGGTCCCTGAGTCAAGGTCTAGATTCTTGCACAGCACTTCAAAACCTTCCCTGGGCCAGAGGGGAGCCCACTGTCCTGAAGGCTGAGTCCTGTGCCTGCCAGCATTCACCACAAGCTAAGAGAAAAGCCCTTGGGCTTTATGCCAACATTGGTGGTGGCCTAGTAGAGCCCCCCATGGATCAGTGGTGGTGGTGGTCCCAGGGAGAGGCTCCTCTGACTGCGAAAAGGGGAGAGAAGAGCAGCAAGCACTTTGCATTGTGGTTTGAATATCAGCTTAACTGCAGTAGAATAGAACATCAGGTAAGTTGCTAAAGTTTTTGATTCTAATCCCTGGCTCCCAGACAGCATCCCTGGACACATTTGGGGCCTGGGGAAACTTGCCATTCTGAAGTGAAGGGCCTTGGGCAAGGCTCAGTACTTTACAGGCTTCAGGTGTGACTCAGCATAGTTCCAACAGTGGTGGCCACAGGTGTGCTTCCTCACCACACCCCAGGTTCCAGGTGGCTCAGCACAGAGACAGAGACGCTATATGTTTGGCAGAAAGAAAGGGAGAAGAACAAGAGCCTCTGCCTTGTAATCCAGAGAACTGCTCTGGATCTCAGCCAAGACCACCAAGGTGCTACCTCTATGAGTCTGCAAAAATCACAGTGTCTTGGGCTTGAGGCCCAAGTGCCTTTGAATACTTGGAAAGTCTTCCAAAGAAGGACAGGCACAAATAAGCCCAGACTGTGAAAACCACAATAAATACCTAACTCTTCAATGCCCAGACACTGACAAGTATCTACAAGCATCAATACCATCCAGGAAAACAAGACCTCACCAAATGAACTATATAAAGCACCAGGGACCAATCCTGGAGAAACAGAGATGTATGTCTTCTCAGAGAATTCAAAAGAGCTATTTTGAAGAGACTTGAAGAAATTTAAGACAACACAGAGAAGGAATTCAGAATATCAGATAAATTTAACAAATAGACTAAAATAATTAAAAAAGAATCAAACAGAAATTATAGACTTGAAAAATGTAGGCGACATCATGAAGAATGCATCTGAGTCTATTAATATTGGAATCGATCAAGCAGGATAAAGAATTAGTGAGCTTAAAGATAGGCAACTTGAAAATACACAGAAGAGACAAAAGAGAATAAAAAGCAGTGAAGCATACCTACAAGATCTAGAAAAGACCCTCAAAAGGGCAAACCTAAGAGTTATTGGCCTTAAAGAGAAGGTAGAGAAAGAGATAGGGGTAGAAAGTTTATCCAAAGGGATAATATCAGAGAACTTCCCAAACCTAGAGAAAAAGATAAACATTCAAGTACGAGAAGGTTATAGAACACCAAACCAATTTAACCCAAAGGAGACTACCTCAAGGCATTTAATAATCAAACTCTCAAAGGTCAAGGATAAAGAAAAGATCCTAAAAGCAGCAAGAGAGAGAGAGGGATATATATATATATATATATATATATATAGAGAGAGAGAGAGAGAGAGAGAGAGAGAGAGAGAGAGAGAGAGAGGAGAGAGAGAGAGAGAGAGAGAGAGAGAGAGAGAGAGAGAGAGAGAGAGAGAGAAAACAAATAACATATAATAAAGCTGCAATATGCCTGGCAGCAGACTTTACAGTGGAAACCTTACAGGACAGGAGAGAGGGGTATGACATATTTAAAGTGCTGAAGGAAAAAAAACCTTTTACCCTAGAATAGTATATCTTGCGCAATTATCCTTCAAAACTGAAGGAGAAATAAAGACCTTCCCAGGCAAACAAGAGCTGAGGGCTTTCATCAATGCCAGACCTGTCCTATGAGAAATGCTAAAGGAGGTTCTTCAATCTGAAAGAAAAGGATGTTAATGAGCAAGAAGAAATCATCTGAAGGAACAAAACTCACTGGTAATAGGAAGCAGACAGAAAAACACAGAATAGTATAACACTGTAATTGTGGTGTTATAAACTTCTCTCAAGTAGAAAGACTACAGGATGAATCCATCAAAAATAATAACTGTAACTTTTAAAAACATAGACACTACAGTAAGAAATAAAAAGAAACAGCAAAAAGCTAAAAGGTGGCAGGGGCAGGGGTGAAGTTAAACGGTAGAGGTTTTTGTGGGGTTTTTTTTTTTTGCTTGTTTTTCTTTTTGTTTCATTTTGTTTTTTTGACATAGGGTCTTGCTCTGTCACCCAGACTGGAGTGCAGTGGTGCAATCAAGGCTCACTGCAGCCTCAATCTCCCGGGCTCAAGCGATCCTCCCATCTCAGCCTCTCAAGTAGCTAGGACTACAGGTACACACCACCACACCTGGCTAATCTTTGTAGTTTTATTGTAGAGACAGGGTTTCACCATGTTGCCCAGGCTGGTCTCAAACTCCTGTTCTCAAGTGAACTGCCTGCCTTAGCCTCCCAACATGTTGGGATTACAGGTATGAGCCTCCATGCCCAGCCAAAAGTGTAGTTTTTCTTAGTTTTCTTGTGCATGTTTGTTTGGTTGTTATACAATCAGTGTTGTTGTCATTAGTTTAAAATAATAGGTTATAAGATAGTATTTGCAAGCCTTGTGGTAATCTCAAATCAAAAAGCATACAATGGATACACAAAAAATAAAAAGCAAGACATTAAAGCGTACCAACAGAGAAAATCACTTTCACTAAAAGGAAGACAGAAAAGAAGAAAAGACCCGACAACCAGACATCCAGAAAACAAATAACAAAATGGCAGGAGTAAGTCCCTACTTATCAATAATAACCTTAAATGTAAATGGACCAAACCCTCCAATAAAAAGACATAGACTGGCTGAATGGACGAAAAAACAAGACTCGATGATCTCTTGACTATAAGAAACATACTTCACTTATAAAGATACACATAGACTGAAAATAAATGAATGGAAAAAGATATCCCACACGAATGGAAACCAAAAAAGAGCAGGAGTAGCTATACTTATATAAGACACTATAGATTTCAAGACAAAAACTGCAAGAAAAGACAAAGAAGGTCATTGTATACTGATAAAGGGGTTAATTCAGTAAGAAGATACAATAATTGTAAATATATATGCACCCAACACTGGAGCACACAGATATATAAAGTAAGCATTGTTAGAGCTAAAGAGAGAGATGGAGCCCAATGCAATAACAGCTAGAGACTTCAAGTCTTCACATTCAGCATTGGACAGATCTTCTAGACAGAAAATCAATGGAGAAACATCTGACTTAATCTGCACTACAGAACAAATGGACCTAATAGATATTTACATTTATCCAACAACTGCAGAATACATATTTTTCTCCTCAGAACAGGAATCATTCTCAAGAACAGACCATACGTTAGGTCACAAAACAAGTCTTAAAACAGTCAAAAAAATTGAAATAATATAAAGGATATTCTCTGACCACTATAGAATAAAACTACAAATCAAAAACAAGATAAACTTTGGAAACCATACAAACACATGGAAATAAACAATATGCTCCGGAATGACCAGTGGGCCAATGCAGAAATTAAGAAGGAAACTGAAAAATTTTTTGAAACAAATGATAATGGAAACACAACATACCAAAACCTATGGGATACAGCAAAGCAGTACTAAAAGGGAAACTTATAGCTATAAATGCTTACATCAAAAAACAGAAAAAACTTCAAATAAATAACCTAATAATTCATGTTCAATAACTAGAAAAGCAAGAGTAAACTAAACCAAAATTAGTAGAAGAATTAATAAAAATCAGAGCAGAAATAAATGAATTTGAAATGAAGAATATAATACACAAGATCAATAAAACAAAAAGTTGTTATTGATAAACAACATTGACAAAACTGTTAGCCAGACTAAGAAAAAAAGAGAGAAGATCCAAATAAATAAAATCAGTGATGAAAAAGGAGGCATTACAACTAATATCACAGAAATTCAAAGGATCATTAGTGACTATGAGTAACCATATGCCAATAAATTGGAAAACAGAGAAGAAATGGATAAATTATTCAAAATTAATGTAATATAAAAAATTAATTTACCAAGATTGAACTGTGTAGAAATCTCAAACCTGAAGAGATTAATAACAAGATTAAAGCCATAATAAAAAGTTTTCCAGTAAAGAAAAGCTTGGGAGCTGACAGCTTCACTGCTGAATTCTACCAAAACATTTACAGAAGAACTAATACTAATCCTATTAAAACTGTTCTGAAAAATAGGGGAAGAGGGAATACTTTCAAACTCATTCTATCATTATCCTGATACCAAAGTCAGATAAAGACATATAAAAAAAGAAAACTATGGGCTAATATCTCTGATGAATATTGATGTAAAAATCCTCAATGAAATACTAGAAAACCAAATTTAATAATATATTTGAAATATTATTCATCATGACCAAATAGGATTTATTCCAGGAATGCAAGGATGGTTTAACATATGCAAATCAATAAATGTGTTACATCATATAAACAGAATAAAGGATAAAAACCATATGTTTTTTTCAATTGATGCTGAAAAAGCATTTGATGAAGTTCAACATCCTTCATGATAAAACCCTCAAAAAACTGGGTATAGACGGAACATATATCAACATAATGAAAACCATATAAAACAGACCCACAGCTAGCATCATACTGAATGGGGAAAACCTGAAAGCCCTTTCTCTGAGATCTGGCACATGAAAAGGATGTCCACTTTCACCACTGTTAACCAACATATAACTGGATGTCTCAGCTAGAACAATCAGGCAAGGGAAAGAAATAAAGGTCATCTAAATTGAAAAGAAAGAAATCAAATTTTCCTTTTTTTGCAGATGATATAATCTTATATTCAGAAAAAAAACCTAAAAATTCGACCAAAAATATTATAACTGATAAATTCATTAGAGTTGCAGGATACAAAATCAACATAAAAATCAATAGCATTCCTATATGTCAAGTTGAACAATCTGAAAAAGAAATTTAAAAATTAATTTCATTTACAATAGCCACAAATAAAATTAAATACTTAGGAATCAACTTAAACAAAGAAATGAAAGAGCTCTACAACAAAACCATAAAACACTGATGAAAGAAATTGAGGACACAAAAATGGAAAGATATTTCATGTGCATAGATTAGAAGAATCAATATTTTTAAATGTTCATACTACTCAAAGCAATCCATAGATTTAATGCAATCCCTATAAAAATACCAATAACATTCTTCACAGAAGTAGAAAAAACAATCCTAAAATTTATATGGAATCACAAAAGACCCAGAATAGCTAAATCTTTCCTGAGCAAAAGAACAAAACTGAAGGAATCACATTAACTCACTTCAAATTATACTACAGAACGACTGTAATCAAAACAGCATGGTACTAACTTGGTACTATCTACAGACACTTAGACCAATGAAACAAAAAAGATAACCCAAAAAACCAATCCGTACACCTACAGTAAACTCATTTTCTGACAAAGGTGCTGAGAACATACTTTGGGAAAAAGTCTCTTCAATAAATTGTTCTGGGAAAACTGAATATTCATATGCAGAATAATGAAACTTAATCCCTATCTCTCGCCTTATACAAACATCAAATAAAAATGGATTAAAGACTTAAATTTAAGACCTCAAACTATAAAACTACTACAAGAATATTTTGTGGAAACTCTCCAGGACATTGGTCAGGGCAAAAAATCTCTTGCACAATACCCCATAAGCACAGGCAGCCAAAACAAAAATATATACACCTACTACGTACCTGCAAAAATTTAAAAAAAAAAGAAAATTTAAAAAACAATTCAGGATCTGGATGATAAACTCCCCAAGTAGATATATATCATTAAAATGAACCAAACAGAAATCTTGGAGCTGAAAAATTCAATGAATGATATAAAAAATACTACTGAGAGTATAAAAAATAAACTAGATCAAGCAGAAGAATTTCTGAACTTGAAGACAAGGCTTTTAAGATAATCCGTCAAAGAAAAAAAATAACAATTTTAAAAAATGAAAAAATAAAGCCTATGGAACTTAACAGGACATAAATAAGTGAACAGGTATTTCCGTCAGAAGAATGTCAGATGGAGAAGAGATGGAGAAAAGCACCAAAAACCCAAAAACCTGTTTAATGAAACACAGACATACCTCCTTATATTGTGTTTTGCTTTATTGTTCTTCACAGATTTTGTTTTTTGGGTTTTTATTTTTAACATATTGAAGACCTGTGGCAAGCAAGTCTATCTGCATCATTTTTCCAACAGCATGTGCTCTCACTTTGTTTCTCTGCAGCACGTTTTGAAAATTTTCAGAATATTTCAAACTTATTATTATTACAGTTGTTATAGTGTCCTATGATCAGTGATCTTTGATGTTACTATTGTAATTATTTTGGGGTGCCACAAACAGCGCCCATAGAAGAGGTCAAACTTAATTGATAAATGATGCATTTGTCCTGAGTGTTCCACCAATCAGCTGTTCTCCCATTAGTCTCCCTTTCCTTGGGCCTCTGTATTCCCTGAGACACAAGAATACTGAAATCAGGCCAATTAATAAGCTTACAATAGCTTCTAAGTTTTCAAGTGAAAAGAAGAGTTTCATGTCTCTCACTTTAAATCAAAAGCTAAAAATGATTAAGCTTAGTGAGGAAGGTATGTCAAAAACTGAAACCAGCCTCTTGTGCCCAACAGTTATCCAAGTTGTGAATGGAAAGGAATAGCTCTTGAAGGACATTTAAAATGCTATTCCAGTGAACACACAAATGATAAGAAAGCGAAATAGCCATTTTGATGATACGGAGAAAGTTTGAGTGGTTGGGATAGAATATCAAACCAGCCAAAACATCCCCTTAAGTCAAAGCCTAATTCAGAGCAAGGCCTTAACTCTCTTCAATTCTGAGAGGGGCGAGGAAGCTTCAGAAGAAAAGTTGGGAGCTAACAGAGGTTCCTTCATGAGGTTTAGGGAAAGAAGCCGTCTCTAAATCATTAAAGTGCAAGGTAAAGCAGCAAGTGCTGACGTAGAAGCTGTAGCAAGTTATCCAGAAGATCTCACTAAAATGAAGGATGAAGAGGGCTACACTAAATAACATTTTCATTGGAGAAAAAACAGCCTTATATTTGAAGAAGAAGCCATCTAGGACTTTCGTAGCCAAATAAGAGAATTCAATGCCTGGCTTCAAAGCTTCAACGGAAAGCCTGACTCTCTTATTAGGGGCTAATGCAGCTGGTAACTTTAGGTTGAAGCCAACGGTCATTTACCAATCAGAAAACCTTAGGTAATTTAAGAATTATTCTAAATTTACTCTGTGCTCTGTAAATGGAGCAACAAAGCCTAGATGACAGTACATCCGTTTACAACATAGTTTAATGAATATTTTAAGCTGACCATTGAGACTTACTGCCCAGAAAAAAGGACTGCTTTAAAAATATTACTTCCCATTTACAATGCACTTAGTTACCCAATAGCTCTGATAGAGATATATAAGAATATTAATGTTGTTTTTAAATATGCTAATATAACATCCATTCTGCAGCCCATGGATTAAGGAGTCATTTCAACTTTGAAGTCTTATCATTTAAAAAATACATTTTGTAAGGCTATAGCTGCCATAGACAGTGATTTATCTGATAGATCTGGTCAAAGTAAGTAGAAAACTCTCTGGAAAAATTCACCATTCTAGATGTCGTTAAGAATATATGTAATTTGCTGGGTGTGGTGGCTCATGCCTATAATCCCAGCTATCATCCCAGTAATTTGGGAGGCTGAGGTCAGAGGATTGCTTGAGCCCAGGAGTTTGAGACCAGCCTGGGCAACATAGTGAGATCTTGTCTCTGCAAAAAACAAAACAAAACAAAACCATACATATATATATATATATATATATATATATATATATATATAACAGAGACAAGATCTCTGCAAAAAGGTCAAAATATCAACATGAGCAGGGGGTTGAAAAAAATTTATTCAAACCCTCATGGATGACATTGAGGGGTTCAAGACTTCAGTGGAGGAAGTAACTACAGATGTGGCAAAAAAAGCAAGAGAGCTAGAATTGGAGCCTGACAATATGACTCAATCACTGCAATCTTATCATAAAACCTGAGTGGATGAGAAGTTGCTTCTAATGAATAAGGAAAGAAAGTGGTTTCTTGAGATGGAATCTACTTTTGGTGAAGATGGTGTAAACATTGTTCAAATGACAACAAAGGATTTAGTTTATTATATATACTTAGCTGATAAAGCAGTGACAGAGTTTGAAAGAATTTACTCCAATTTTGAATGAAGTTCTACTGTGAGTAAAATGCTATCAAATAGTATCACAAGGTGCAGATACTTCATTGTTGTCTTATTTTAAGTAATTACCACAACCATCCCAACCTTCCGCAACCCTGATCCATAAGCAGCCATCAACATTGAGACAAGAACCTACACCAGCAAAAAGATTACAAATTACTGAAGGCTCTGACAATCATTAGCATTTTTTGGCAATAAAGTATTTTAAGTATTTTTTATTTAAGGTATGTACATTTTTAGACACAATACTATTGCATACTTAATAGACTATTGCATACTGTAAGCATAAGTTTTACATGCCGGGGAAAATGAAAAGTTTGTGTGACTTGCTTTATTGCAATAGTTGCTTTATTGTAGCGGTCTGGAACCAAACTCTCAACATCTCTGAGGTATTACAGACATATCAGAAAACTTCCCAAGTTCTAGGAGAGATATGGGCATCCAGCTTCAGGAAGCTCAAATTTGCTTTTCTTTTAATCTGTGCACTGCGCACTTCCTCCCTTATAAAACTATTCTCCATAAACAGCTGGCCTGGTGGGTTCTGAATCAAAGTTTAGAATTAAGTAGAAAGGGCTAGAAATTGGGATTCATGGGGCCACAAGTCCTCCCACAAGTGAAACATGGAGAAGTCTCTCTTCTCTGGACCCTCCTACTTGTATTTAGTGAATGACTCACTCACCCTCACAATGTTCATTTTTTTCCTACCCTCTCCCACTCATGTGTTTGTTAAAAGTGAATGAATCCTGTAATTTTGCAACCTTTCTCCGGAAACTATTACAAAAAAAAAAAAAGATGTTAAATGACTATCAAAAAAGTGGTTTAAATTTACCTGAAATGAGTTACAAAATGATGGAATGAAACCACACAACAGTATTTTAATTTCTATTTTTAATAGTCAAGATTTAATAACAGCTTATTTAAAAGGGCCTAAAGGTATATTTATTATTTGACAATTCCATTAATGTACTTAATACCGCACATTTTCACAATTTTCTTAATATATAACAAGTGATAATTACTATTTGTAGCTAACAGCCAAAAAATCTATACATTAATATTTAGTAGAAATATAGTCTGGTAACCTTTCATTATTCCACTTCACATACTCAATTTATTATAACTATAGATAAAATTCTACTGCAAGTAATTGACTTTCTTCACCCTCTCTTCTCTTTCTTGTAGATGTCATCTACCCTCCTTATTTCAACTGCCACCATCAGACATGTGACTTATAAATCTCAAACTTCAGCTTAGTTAGTTCTGTATTTTACCGGCCTATTGCCTGGTTTCACCTGCATGCCCTGCAGGTAGCTCTATCTTAGTATGTTTAAATAGAGTCTCATCTTCTTCCATCTTTCTTTCCCTAGACTAATTCCTTCTCCTAACCTCCTATAATGGTACCTCAGTTTTTTGGAGCTTCCACGCACAATCTTTTTTGAACGTAGATTTTTTTTCAATCCCTCTCCTCCTTCCTCCCTCTGTGATGTCCTAGTTATGTCAGGTTTTTCTTAGCAGTGAGTCCTTTCCTTTCTAGCCTCACCTCCTTACCCTACATTTCTTTTCACGTACACTGCTATATCATTAATAACCTTGAAACACTGCTCTGATTATTTAATTCTCTTATTCAAAAACATCCAGGTGCTTCCTATCAAATAAATGTGCTTCAAGCTCGTTTATCCAGGCTCTACTGCCAATGACTCTTATTTTTCTTTTGCTTGGTTTTTAAAGTGCTTTTATATAGATCATATTATTTGTTACTCAAAAAACATGCCATAAGGTAAGAAATTCAGGTAAAAATATGCTCATGCTTCAAATGAGGAAAATTGGCTAGAGAAGAAAGCTGGATTGGTTAAGAAGAAAGGTTGTTTGATCAGGAATTATTGGCTGGAAAATTGCAAAAATTTGTCTACAGCCCAGGACTCCTAACTCCCAATCCAAGGAGCTGGGCATTAAACCTTCCACATAAAAAGGGAGCCTGGCCAAACTGGAATGCTCACTGTGCCCAAAAGCCTTTCCCTCCCTCAAGCTTTCTCTCATGCAATCTGACAATACGTAGCCTTATTCTTCATTCATCTACATCCTTTTCATCTTTTAAATGCTTCATCTGTTCTTCCTCTGACTCAGAATGATTCATACAATTGCTTTTAATCACACTCTGCTCTCTTAGTCTTTTTACTGTTTCAAATTCTTACTAAAATAAATTATTCTTGTTTAGCTTTTTACATACTTAGCTTTTCCTTTCAAACAGATTTTAAGTATTGTGAGTTCTTGGCCTATATTTTAAATGTCTTTGTATCCCCCCACATACCGTATTTAGTATGTGCAGAGCAAAGATTTGCTACATGCATGTAGTTTTTGACATTGGATATTTTTTAAATGGCAAGATATTTTATACATACTGTTTGATTTATTTTGATTTTTGTTTTCAGACTATAATATCTACATTTTTCTATCTAGTATCCTTCTCATGTGGAAAAATTGGTATAATTTTTACTATTCAGTGAATCCCTGGAATGCTTTCACTTTGTTGGCACTTGCTAATCATCAACTGACTTTCAGCGAATTGTTAGAATCATCAACTATATTAAATAGGCTACCAATGGCTACATTGCATTAATATTCGGAGAAATTAGAAACTCATTTTTCTACTTTTTGATTTTTCATTTTGTTCTAACTCAAGTATACCAAATACAGAATGTGACTTTCTCAAGTTGTTACTTTAAAGGAATCTGGCCATTTCTTATAATGACTGTTCTGCCGTTAGTTTTTGGGAGCTTGCAAGCGTAATGCAAATAATTGTATTCAAACAAAAACAGATGGTGATTAGGTCTTTCAGCTAGGCACAAATGAATAAAAAAATTTCATTCACACACCCACCATACCATGATGTATTTTTCTAGCACTAGAAATGTTTTCTTCTCCAAGGTACTCCTGCTGTTGAGAAAGCTTTTCTGATGTCAGTAAGCTTTTGAACAGCACTGAACTGAGTTACATTTACCACAGAGCTCACCATGTTGCCTTTTACATGTGCCTGGCTTATATCTAGTATGGTAATTTTTGCAGGGTGGTCCAGGAAGCAAGCCACTTTAGCTAAAACCCCTGCGGGTTGTCACACAAAGGCAGAGAATAGATTCAGTTTGAATGTTCCTTAATTACCTTCCTAAGACTGACAGTAAAGATTAGTGAAATATTGTTAACACTGACTTAATACTGACCCTAGTGAAACAATACTGCGTATTAAATTGTAAAATTACTGAAGTACTGAGGACCAAAGACATCGATGTCAGATGTTTGATATCTGCACAAAATGAGAGCATTGTTCTTAACATCAGTTGTGTTGCTTGTGTGTAAACATGCTGCAGTACAAAAATTTTAGCCGTGTCTTAAAGACGCGACACAGGTTTCATCAAGACCTGTTCCTGTACTTCTAGCGCCCCTGACCTACTTGCACACAGTTAAGAGTTAGCACAGAGAAAAGCTTTGGCCTCAGCTGGACTTCTCAGACATTGCAACTAAGAGAAGTCACTAGTAAGGCAGGGCTTGATCTTCCACTCTGTGAGCACAAAAACATAATTTCATAATTTTATTGAGAGGTAATATAGCTTTAGAGAACAAATTCACATGTAAAATTTCAGATTTGCCCTGAGTTACAAAGTTATAAGGAGGTCCAGAGTTCAAGAGGGCTGACTAGATGCAGCTAGTACATGCCTCATCCATGGAAAGAAACCGAAATAGCAAATATTCAAACTTTGAATAGACAATCTAAGGGACCATATTGGGATTCAACAGAGAAGCAATGGGAAGCACCAAAAGCAAAGAAGGAGAGGGAAGCAAGGCAACCTGCTCAGCTGGGATTGGCTGGGAGCTGGGAGAACCTCCCACAAGTGCGGAAAGGGTAAGTGACAGACCCCCAGGGCTCCATATTCCCTCTACAAACTTTCACAATCCCAGCTACAGGAGACCCCTCGACCTATATGGGGCTTGTGATTGTCATAGGGAGATGCCTACAGGTTGCACAGAGGCATTGCTCTAGAGAGGAAACTTACGCTGAGTACCACAGGCTTCTGAGCCTTCAGCAGCTACAGCTTGGTGCCATTCTGAGAATCAAACCCCCAAAGGACTGTGTCTTATCCTGGAGCTGATGCTGCCACTGCTGCTACCATGCCAAGGAGGGGCAGAGACAGGCTGAGCATCTTCACATACTTCCAGGAAAAATCTTACTGCCATTGGGGTGGGCTGTTGTGGGACTGGGGTGCAATCAAACTGCACTCCCCACAGCTACCTATCTATTCTGTTCCCACTGAGATAGCCCTGCCTTCCTGGTGGCAGGCCCACAGGTGGGGATATCCTGAAAGCCCAGCCTCCAAAGGCCTGCGTTATGCCCTGGAGCTGGGGCTGATGTTGCCACTGCTGCTGCTGGGCCAAAAAAGGAGAGAAGAGGCCAAGCAGGTAATTGTCACTGTTGCCGGCTGCTGTGGGACTGAGGAGAAAGGAAACCATGCATCCCACAGCTACCTCCTTACTCTGTTCCCATTGAGAGTGGCCCCACTTGCCCTGGTGGCAGGCCCACGATAATCTGCTGTTTCCCACACCTGAGCACTCCACTGGTGGCGGGGGAACAACCCCACCTCGCTTATCAAAACCAGCACCTGAACACACTACCGGGGGTCCTGAAGACAAGTCTACCAGCCTGGTCCTGTCCTCTCAGTGTTTGAATACACCATCCAGGGGTCTGGAAATCATCCATCTCAGTTTGCCACTGTTGGAAGCTGAATAATGTTGGGATCTGAGGTTGGGGCAAACCAACCTGCCGATATCACCACAGATGACATCTACCCATATGTGCGTGCCCAATCTATTGCAGCCACCACAACAGACCTCTTGGGTTCCCACATTATATCCATGGTCCAGAAAACCAAGAACCCTCCCACATTCCTGGCCTACCACTGCCACTGATAGCATCTGAGCAAGCCACATGAAAGCCAACGAACTGGGCCACCATGACCCACTAATACTGGTACCAGCATATACTACCTTGGGGCCTACAGACAGGCATGCTTAGGTTACCACTGCCACCACTGGGGCTCAAAGACTGGCCTACCTAGCATCCTAGTTCCCAGAGCATCTTCAGCACAGCTTCTACTAATAATGATACCCTAGGCCACAGAGAAAATCACAGATACCATGGATGTTATTTACAGTCAATAAAATCATATGAATATTACACTACTGCATGCACTTAAATCAAAGGTAATGCACCCTCTCCAACCAAAACCATATATAGATCGTCAATAAAAAGTCATCACCTAAAAAAGTAAATTCAAAAAATTAGAAGCAATAGTTACACCAGATGCACAGATATCAACATAAGGACACAGGAAACATGAAAAAGCATGGAAAGAAATCTTCAAATAAGCATGATAATTCTCCAACAACAGACCTCTATCAAAAGGAAATTCACAAAATCCCAAAGAATTAAAAATGCTAATTTTAATGAAGCTCCGTGAGATACAAGATAATTCTGAAAAACAATAGAGAGAAATCAACAAAACAATTCAGGATATAAATGATAATTTTACCAAAGAAATAATTTTTTAAACAACCAAACAGAAATTCTGGAACTGAGGAATTCACTGAATGAAATACAAAATACATTCACAAGTTTCAACAATAGAGTAGATCAAGTGGAAGAAAGAATCTCAGAACTTGAAGACAGGTCTTTTAAAATAATCCAGTCAGACAAAAAGAAAAAGAATGATCAATGTCTTCATGACATTTAGTACCAAATAAAGCAACCACATATTCAAATTATTGCTGTCTCTGCAGGAAAAGAGAGAATGAAAGGGTTAAAAAACCAACTTAATTGCTGGGTGTGGTGGCTCATGCCTATAATTCCAGCACTTTGGGAGGCTGAGATGGGCAGATCACCTGAGGTCAGGAGTTCGACACTAGGCTGGCCAACATGGTGAAACCCCATTTCTACTAAAAATATAAAAATTAGCTGGGCATGGTGGTGTGCACCTCTAATCCCAGCTACATGGGAGGCTGAGGCAAGAGAATTGCTTCAACCCGGGAGGTGGAGTTTGCAGTGAGCTGAGATTGCACCATTGCATTCCAGCCTGGGTGACAAAGTGAGACTCTGTCTCAAAAACCCTACTTAACAGAATAACAGACGAAAATTTCCCAAGTCTAGCAAGAGACCTAGACATTCAGATATAGGAGGCCCATATATCCCCAAACAGATGTAACTCAGAAAGGTCTTCTCCACAGCACATTATAGTCAAAGTGTCTAAAGTCAAAGCAAAAAAGGATCCTAAAACCAGAAAGAGAAAAGCTTCTAGTCACCTATAAAGGAACTCCCATCAGACCAACAGTGGATTTCTCAGCAGAAACTTTATGTGCCCGGAGATAATGACATATTCAAAGTACTGAAAGAAAAAAAAGTCTGCCACTCAAGAATACTATATCTAACTAAATTATCCTTCATAAATGAAGAAGAAATAAAGTATTTCCTAGATAAGAAAATGCTGATTAAATTCATAACCACTAGATTGGCCCTACAAGAAATGTTCAAGGGATCCCTAAACTTGTAAGTGAAAAGACGACTTTCACCATCATGAAAACACACAAAACTGTAAAACTCATTTGTAATCCAAACTTACAAATGAGGAAAAGAAAGGACTCAAATGATACCACTACAGTAAAACACCAAACCACAACGACAAACAATAAGAGGGAAAAAAAGTAACAGATAATATATAAAATAACCAGAAAACAATTAGCAATATGACAGTAACAAAGTCGCATATATCAATCATAATTTTGGAAGAAAATTGATTAAATTCTCCACTTGAAAGATACAGACTGGCTGAATGGATAAAGAAAAACAATTCAAATATATGCTGCCTATAAGAAATGCACTTTACCTTCAAAGACACATATAGATTCAAAATAAAGTGAGGAAAAAGATATTCCAAGCAAATGGAAACCAAAATAAAATAAGAGTAGGTATACTTATATTAGGTAAAACAGACTTTAAGTCAAAAACAGTAAGAAAGAAAGAAAGAGAAAGAAGGTCACTATATATTGATAAAGGGATCAATTCAACAAGAGAATATAACAATCCAAAATACATATGCACCCAAAACTAGAGCACCAAGATTCATAAAATAAATATTACTAGGTCTAAAGAAAAACACAGACAGCAATACAATAATAGCAAGGGACTTCAACACCCCACTCACAGCACTAGACAGATCATTGAGACAGAAAATAAACAAAGAAATATTAGTTTTAAACTAGACTACAGAACAAATGATCCTAACAGATATTTAAATAACATTTTATCCCACAACTGCAGAATATACATTATTCTCATCATTACATGGAACATTCTTCAGGATAGACCATATGTTAGGCCACAAAACAAGCCTCAACAAATTTTTTAAAAGAAAAATTTTATCAAGCATCTGCTCAGACCATAATGGAATAAAACTAGAAATCAACAAAAAAGGGACTTTGGAACCTATACAAATACATGAAAATTAAACAACATGCTTCTGAATGACTATTGCAAGGAAAAAATTTAGATAGAAAAAAAATTTCTTGAAACAAATAAAAATGAAAATACATAAATTGTGTGATAGAGCAAAAGTAGCTCTAAGAGGGAAGTTTATAACAATAAATGCCTACATCGAAAATGTAGAAATACTTCAAATAAACAACATAATGATGCGCCTCAGGGAACCAAAAAGCAAGAACAAACCAAACCTCAAATTAGCAAAAGGAAAGAAATAATAAAGATCAGAACAGAACTGAAGAAAACAGAGACTAAACAAGAAATAAACCCACACAAAGAATCTGTGAAAGAAAAAGTTGGTTCTCTGAAAAGCTAAATGAAATTGATAAACCTCTAGATATACTAACCAACAAAAGATAGAAGACCCAAATAAACAAAATCAGAAAGGAAGAAGGAAACTTTACCACTGACATGACAGAAATACAAATGATCATCAGAGACTATTATGAACAACTACAGACTAACAAACAAACTGGAAAACCTAGAGGAAATGGATAAATTCCTGAAAATATACAACCTACCAGGATTAAATCAGAAAGAAATAGAAAATCTGAACAGTTCAATAATGTGTGGCAAGATTGAATCAGTAATGAAAAGTCTCCCAACAAAGAAAAGCTCAGGACTTAATAAATTCACTGCAGAATTCTACCAAATGTATGAAGAAGAACTTAACAGCAATTCTTCTAAAACTAGTACAAAAAATAGATAAAGAAGGAATACTTCCAAAATCATTATCAGGACAGTATTACCCTGATTTCAAAACCAAATAAGGACACAACAACAATAACAACAAAACTATAGGCCAATATCCCTGATAAACATAGATGCAAAAATTCTCATACTAGCACATCCAACAGCACATCAAAAAGATAATACACCGTGATCAAGTGCAATTTAAAACAGGGTTGCAAGGATGGTTCAACATATGCAGATTAATAATCATGATACATCACATCAACAGAATGAAAGATATAAACCATATAATCATCTCAATAGACACAGAAAAGGCATTTGAGAAAATTAAACATCCATCATAATAAAAATGCTCAACAAGACTAGGAATAGAAGAAACTTACTTCAAAATAATAAAGGCCATATATAACAAACCCACAGCTAACGTCATGTTCAACAGGAAAAAGCTGAAAGCCTTTCCTCTAAGGTATAGATCAAGATAAGGATGCCTGCTTTCACCACTCCTATTCAACAAACTACTGAAAGTCCTCCCCACAGCAATCAGGCAAGAGAAAGAAAGAAAAGGAATTAAAACTGGAAAAAAAGTAAGTCAAATTGTCCCTATATTCTGATGACATTATTTTATATCTAGAAAACCCAAAGACTAATGTTGCTGGCTAAATTGGATATCTATATGCAGAAGAATGAAACTGGACCCCTGTCTCTCACCATATACAAAAATCAAGTCAAGATGGATTAAAGACTTAAATATAAGACTACTATAAAACTATAAAAACTAAGAACTACTATGAAACTATAAAACTACTAGGAAAAAAATGGGGAAAACTTGGGAACATTTGTCTAGGCAGATTTTACAGCTAAAACTTCAAAAGCACAGAGAGAGAAATGAAAATAGACAAATGGGGCTATATTAAATTAAAAAGCCTCTAAACATCAAAGGAAATGATCAACAGAGTGAAGGGACAAACTATTGAATGGGAGAAAATAGTTGCAAACTATTTATCTGACAAGGAAGTAAAATTTAAAATATACATGGTATTCAAACAACTCAGCAATTTTTTAAAAAAATACAAATAATCCCATTAAAAACTAGGCTAAGGAGATGATAGACATTTCTCAAAAAAAGATATACATAGCCAACAGATATATGAAAAAATGTGCAACATCACTAAGCATCAGGGAAATGTAAATCAGAATCACAATGAGACAGCATCTTACCCGTTAGACTGGCTAATATTAAAAAGACAAAAAATAACAGAAGCAGGTGAGGATGCGGACAAAAGAGAACTCACACCCTCTTGGTGGAAATGTAAATTAGTACAATCACCATAAAAAAACAGTATAGTAAGCTGGGTGAGGTGACTTACACCTTTAATACCATGCTTTCAAAGGTAAGGTGGGAGGATTGCTTGAGTCAGGAGTTCTAGACCAGCCTGGGCAACATAGAGAGACCCCATCTCTACAAAAAATTTAAAGAAAATAGCCAGGTGTGGTGGTGTGCACCTTAGTCCTAACTACTCTGGAGGCTGAGGCAGGAAGATTGCTTGAATCCAAGAGTTCAAGGCTGCAGCTATCATTGCACCACTGCACTCCAGCTTGTGAAACATAGCAAAACTCTGCCTCAAAAAAACAAAACAAAACAAAAACAGAAACAAACAAAAAACCCAGAAAAAACAGTATAAAAATTTTTCAAAAAACTAAAAATAGAACCACCATACTATCCAGCAATCCTAGCACTAGGTATTTATCCAAAGAAAAAGATACCTATATATCAAAGGAATACCTGCACTTGTGTGTTCATTGCAGCACTATTTATAATAGCAAATATATGGAATCATCCTAAGTGTCCATTGACAGATGAATAAAGAAACTATCATGTATACTTATGAATTCACAAGCAATCAAGTGCATTATATTCACAGAACTGAAATATGGACATGGCATGAGAGAATAACCATAGTCATTTTGTAGGGGAATGGGGCTGGGGGGTTAGGGAGGTACTTTTTACAGTTGTTAAAATGCCTAGCATCAGAATTGCCATCCTCTGTTTTGGGGAACTTCCCCATTATCTGAGTCATGGTGGAATATAAAGAATATCTCATGACAACAACCAAAAAGTTCAGATAATTACTTTCCCCTACCATCTGAGTTAGGATGAAGACACAATACCCAGCCCCAGTTCTTTACCAGAACATTGACTGTAAAGCAAGTGACATGAGTAATAATGGCAGAGAGAAATTGCTCTGGAAGTAGCCACAGCAACATCCAGTTTCTAGGGTCATCCGTTCCAGAGGATCTCATAGGGTATCCTATATCCAGCTCCAACAGTGATGGCTCAAGTTCTGGTAGCCAGGGTACAACAGTTGCTGTACACAGTTATGGATGAGATCCAGGTACCTGTTTTCCCTTGGATTCTGCCCATTATCTAAACCTGATTTGCCAGCCACCTTAATGATTCTATGAGCTTCCCAACATCTTTTCAATAAAGTCTCATTTCGACAAAAAAAGAAAGAAAGAAAGAAAAAAGAAAGAAAGAAAGAAAGAAAACTATCGTGTATACACACAAGGGAATACTATCTGGCCACCAAAAGGAATGAAATCATGTCATTTTTCAACATCATGGATGGAACTGGAGGTTATTAAGTTAAGTGAAATAAGCCAGGCATGGAAAGACAGATACTGCATATTCTGCCTCGTAAGTGGGAGCTAAAGAAATTGATTCCCATTGAGACAGAGAATAGAATGATAGATACCAGAGGTTGGGAAGGGTATGTGGATGGGAGTGGGGATAAAGAGAGGTGTGTTTGTGAGTACAAATATGTAATTATACAGAACAAATTAGCTCCAATATTTGATTGCAGATTTGGGTGACTATAGTTAGCAATGATGTATTGTATATTTCAAAGTAGCTGAAAGAGAGGACTAGAGATGTTACCAACACATAGAAATGATAAATATTCAAGGTGATGAATATCCTCCAAATATCCTGAACTGATCATTGCACATTCTATGCATGTAACAAATACTCACATGTACCTCATAAATATGTACATTTTTGTATTAGTAAAAAACAAAAGAATTTTTTTAAAGTTACAAGGGATTCATTTATCTTTAGTCAGGGAATAGTTGTTTGGTTGATTCCTCATCTAGTATACCCACTACCAGAAAAGAACACAGCAATCAGAAAAAAAAAAATATGTTGGAAAGCCATATAGGACACCTCATCCAGGGTGTACAACAGGCTTGAACATTTTCCCTACTCCAACTGCAAATTTTTAGTGACTGCAATATTGGCTACCCTCAGAAACATCTCCTTCTTGACCAATGTTGACCTATATGTTTTTGGACCATTTTTTTCCGGATTCCATGCCAATTTCCTCCCTTCAGTGAGATCATTAGGTAATACTTATATTTTAATCCTTTTGAGGAGATTCAGGATTCATTACAGCCTAGTGGTAATGCACATGTTATCTGAGGTAAGCAGACCTAAATTTAGGACATATATTCAACACTTAACATTTGTGTGATCTTAAGTAATTTTCTCCAGGTCTCAATTTTTCCATCTATCAAATGGAGAAGATACTTATACCTATATCATAAAGTTGCTTTGAGGTTTAACTGGATTATTCATGTAAAGTCCTTAGTATATAGTAAAGTGGTCAAAAGTGGCAGCTGTTAGTATTGTATGTGTAGTATTGCATATGAATGAAATTTGACTTTCTCCCCATTGAACTGGGCATTCTTCTCTCCATGCTGAACTGATAAAACTGCACACACAGTACTGTATAGCTAGCAATGTTTTTATCATGTATAAACAATATGCATGACAGATAAAACATCAAGATATCAATTTATTAAAAAAAAACGAAGAATACACAGGTAAAACTAGTATCCCCATTTCAAACCCATGGAAACTGAAGCTTAGACATTAATAAAATTTGACCAAAAAGCTAGTAAGATAAGAAGTATACCAACAAAGATGGTCAAAAAGCAAATTCCTCTAAAATAAAGTTAATCTTTCCTATTATTTCAAAAATTGGTGAAATATTTGCACGTGGTAAAGAAAAATACACAAAATAAGCTGGTTAAAATCTTTTAGTAAGCAACAGGAATAAACAATGACATAGCTTGTCACATGCTGAATAGTGCAGAGTTAGGCATGTTTTATTAAACTCAGACACTGAGATGTGTTTGGTTCTTAGATTCTTTTTAGCACCTTCTTTGCTGGGATGGTCATACCCTTAATACTGACTATTCTATTTATCATTTGTCATCTTCTGTTTAGCATTCATGAAATCTATTCCTTTCCTTTAAATGAGAATTAGTGTAAATCCATCCATATTATAAATCATACTAGGTCCACTTTTGCAGGTCTCTTAAGTAATTTTATCTTTTCCTAAGATTTTTATCATTATCCATAGAGAGAGCTTGTCACAATGCCTCTAGCACAGAATGGTCTAGTGCAGAATTCCTAATCAGGCCTATATCTTCAGTTGCCTATTTGATATCCCGCATTTGAAGTCAAGCAGGCATTTCTTTCGTACTAGCATGCCTTAAATAAATTCATTGTTTTTTATTCCTAAGCCCATTCTACCTTTATTCTCCCCATCTCAGTGAACTGTACCACTCTTAACCCAACAGCTCTAACTAGAAACCAAAGCATCATCCTTCAGACTTTCCTGTCCAATCAATTACCATGACATGCCCATTCTTCCTCAGCACTATCTCTCAGATGCCTCCTGGTCTCTGCATCCTCATACAACCACCCTGTTCAGGCCACTGTCACCGATCACCTGTGTTGCTCCAACAGCCACCTGAGCTCTTCAATCTTTTCTTTGCATTGCAGCCAGAGCAGAGTGATATTTCTAAAATATAAATCTAATTTTGTCATTTTACCTAAAACCTTTTAGGTGTCACCTATTTCTATTGCAAGAATGAAACACAACTCTTTTATATGGCCACAGGGCCCTATAAGATTGACTCCTCGCCCACCTCTCCAAACTCTTGTTATTCACTCATTTGAGCTCTAGTTTTTTGCTGTATCCAAGCTTTCAGTTCCACGGAGGCATCCCATCCACTTAGCCAGTGCACTTGTGAATTTCTCACTCCAGAAACACACTTTCCTTCTCTCTTCACTGGGATACCTTGATATCATCCTCAAAGTTCAGCTAGAAAATAACATTTTTAAAGAAGTTTTTCCTGAACCTGGTTTGGGAAAGGTGTTCTTGTCTTAGTAGAGAACTTACCACATTTATTTTATGCTTGTCTGTTCACTTATCTGTGTACCCCCAAAGTCTGGAAGGTCCATGAATTAAGAGGCCATGGTTCTCTTGTTTGCTGTTATGTCCCCAGCACCTAGCCATGTGCAGGCACACAGGTGCTCAATTCACAGTTTTTGAATGAATGAGTGATATAAAATTCTCAAAAAATATTTATTGTAAAATAAAAATTTATTAAACTGCAATTCAACATTATCTAGATTCCATCTCATGATTTACTCCAACTAGGAAATCTTTCAAGTGGCAGGTTTCTTCTTTCAAAGAAAAAATTTGTGCGGTACATTATTAAGTCAAAAACTTCACAGTGTGAATTTATTTCAAATGGAGGGCACCACTGTATTTGCTTATACTTAATCATTTGATTTCAGGTAAATTTATTGTCTACTTTGTTTTATCTTATCCTTAAAAACCTTGCTATAGTGCCTCCCACATTACAGTACTGCAATGAAAATCGAATGATTAAAAAAAAATCCCAAATCAAAGTGCTTTGCATAAATGAGTGAATATTAGCTGCCTATAGTTGCAAATGTAGTAGTTTCCCCTTATCTGTGGAGGATACATTTTAAGACGCCCAAGTGGATGACTGAAGACACAGATAGTACCAAACCCTGTAAATACTAATAAATACATACATATAATAAGGTTTAATTTATAAATTTGGCATAGTAAGAGATTAACAACAATAATAAATAACATAGAATAATTATAACAACATATTAAAATAAAAGTTATGTAAATGTGGTCTCTGTCTCTCAAAATATCTTATTGTTCTGTACTGCAGGTAACTAATACCATGAAAAGGGAAACTGCTGACAAGGAGAGGACAATTGTATACACTCCAGAGACATTTTGATTCATGGAAAAATTGAAGGGACTTTTTTAAAATATATTTTTTGAGACCGAGTCTTGCTTGTTGCCCAGGCTGGAGTGCAGTGGTGTGATCTCAGCTCACTGCAACCTCCGCCTCCCAGGTTCAAGCAATTCTCCTGCCTCAGCCTCCTGAGTAGCTGGGATTACAGGCACGTGCCACCACACCCGGCTAAGTTTTTTGTATTTTTAGTAGAGATGCAGTTTCACCATGTTGGTCAGGCTGGTCTCAAACTCCTGACCTCAAGTGATCTGCCTGCCTCAGCCTCCCAAAGTGCTGGGGTTACAGGCATGAGCCACTGCATCTGGCCTAAAGGGACATTTTTGTTTTCATGGTTATCTTTGTATTATTTGTGTTAAGTATATGGTAGATGTAGTGATTTCCAATGACAAACAATAAGGACTTCCCATTAAATGACAAAAAATAGGGTTTGCTACAGTATGATAAAAGTAGATGAAGACATGAGGGAGGAAATATACTACTGGCAAAGTGCACTCACTCTTTACTTTAAAATACTTTCTGGCATTGAAAGTCAAGGAAGTGGTAAGATAGAAGCCAAATGAAATAAATATGTTGCTTTTGGCTTCTGTGCTTGATATGGCTTGGCTCTGTGTCCCCATGCAAATCTCACCTTGAATTGTAATAATCCCCATGTGACAAGGGCAGGACCAGGTGGAGATCATTGAATCATGGGGGCAGTTCCCCTATACTGTTCTTGTGATAGTGAGTGAGTTCTCAGAGCTGATGGTTTTATAAGGGGTTTCCCCTTTGCTTGGCTCTCACTCTCTCCTGCTGCCCCAGGAGGAGCTGCCTTCTGCCATGATTGTAAGTTTCCTGAGGCCTTCCCGGGCATGTGGAACTGTGAGTCAATTAAACCTCTCTTCTTTATAAATTATCCATTTTCAGGTATTTCTTCACAGCAGCGTGAGAACTGACTAATACAATGCTTTTTGTACTTTTGCTTTATTCTTCATACATGCACTTTTAGGGATGGTGGCCAAGGTAAGAAAGGGGTGAATAATCAAGATACATGAGAGACTTTTAAGCAGCAAATTCACACGTGGAAACTGAGTTCCTTGATGCTCTCACTTGAACAAATCCTGGCCTAGACTCTTTTCAACTGAGACACCAAAAAAGCATATCGACGAAGAGTTTTTCAGATGCTTTATATTAAAACATATATTTTTAAATGTGCTGTTGAAGAAGTACTGCATCTATTTTATTCACTGGTTCCAAATTAAATTTGTTGACTTTCCCCCTTCATTGAATCTCAGTCACTAGCAATCCTTGATGATCTATGAGAAGTAAGCTGTTTCAGTCATCGCCCAATTTTTCCTGCTTTGCCAAGTGCTCTTGTCCTTTTCACATGGGAATTTGGTTTATAATGGTAATTTTCTGTGCCCACTGACACCTTAATGGTGAGATTTTGTCTATGTGAATAATGCATTGTGGGAAACAATACAATGGGATTAATTAAAATAAGACTTCAAATAATCTATTTTGGGCTTGACTTGGATAAGTTTCAGTACAATAAAAGAAAAACGGGATTTGCATAATAATTAAATCACTTTGCCAAAAAGGTCATGTCTAGAAATTAAAGCTTTTAAGAGCATTTGTCTCACAAAATATTAGATTGATGCAAAAGTAATTGCTATTTTTGCCATTACCTTCAATGGCCAAAACCGCAATTACTTTTGTACCAACCTAATAAAAAGTTTAGTTGCCCCATCTTTGACTCAGCCATGGTATTCCTGACATGAGAACTGATGGTACAAATGGCAATTTAGTATTAGAAGAGTAGTCCATAAGCACCAATGCAGAAAACACTTCTGGACACATGTTATTTTCACTCAATAAAAGCTTTTCTAGTGAATTATAACAGCAATATTTTGAAGGATATACTTGAAAACCTTCCTCTCACAAACTCTGCAAATATAATAGAAACTCTTTTAAATGGAGGTTTTACAATAAAGTAAGAAATACTCTCACAAGACAGAATTGAAAAAAAAATAGAGTACTAGCTAAATGAGCTAATACTGTGGCTGTCCTGAGTGGGTTGCATTTGACTGCCCACACAGGAACAGGTGATGTAAAGTGGAAATTTGAAACTGAAACCCCACGAATAAAGTCTGGATACCAGAGGAGATGTGTGAGTTAGAATAAAAACCCATCCTCTTATGGAGCTTGTTGTTTCTGCCTAAATTCTGGACGGGGAAAAAATGTCTCAATAGGCCTCTCTAATACACAGATTTGGAGTCCTAATTCACATTATTTGGCACTGGAACTCCTCAAATTAAAAAAGAAAACATAACATAGAAATCGACCCTAGCAAATATAAAAGCAAAACTACTCTCAGGGTTTAATCCCTGAACTAGGATTGTATAGGCTTTCTACATATAAAATCTCATTGAAAGTCAATTCATAAGACAAAATTATTATATGCAAGGAAGTAATATACCATGAACAAGAAGCAGTTGAAGCGAAAAACATAAGATCTGGACCTTAGATCTTCAATAATAAAACTGCAACAAAGATTATAAAATAAATATCTAAATTATTAAATATATAAAAAAGAAACTATATGAAGAAAAAATAAAGCATGATAGAAAGTCAAAGATAAATATAAAAAAACTCCACACAGATCTTCTCAAAATGCAAATATAGTTATCAAAATAAATCTCAGTGGATGAGTTAAGTAGCAAATAGATATAGAGAGAATTAGCCAACTGGAAGGTAAGTCTGAGGCAAAAACAGAAATTAATGAAATAGAAAATAAAAAGAATAGAAATTTCCAAAAATTTCTATTCTTTTTTTTTGAAAAGTCAGAACCAAACATAGCTTTTTTTAAAAAAAAACTTGAATAAAATATACAAACTTCTGGAAAGATAAATTGAAAGAGAAAAGGAAAAGAGACAGACAGAGAGAGAGAGGATAGAAGAACATTATTAGTAATAAAATGGATACATAAATAGACATGCAATAGAGACTTTTAAGAATTTTATGATAATATAATTAATTTACAGTATTATTTTGAAAATGTAGATAATATACACAACTTTCTTAGGAAAAAATACATTAATAAAACTTAAGAAGAAATAACCATTTAAGGAAGCCAAACAATAGGCCAAAATCTAGCTACATACATACAGGCAGATTTATAATTTTACCAAACCTACAAAATTAAATTATGTCAATCTTATTTGAAGTTTACAGATTAAAGAAGGAAGATAGTACCTCAACTCAATTAATGAGGCCATTATAAACTTGATTCTAAAAATAAACAGATTTAAAGCCCCATATACATGCAAAAATACTAAAATGAAATATTCTTAAATTTAATCCAGCAATTTATAAAATTACATCATGAACAAGTAAGTTTCTTCAAGCATATATGGGTGGCTTAACACTAGTAAATCTAAAAATGCAATTCATTACACTAACAGATTGAAGGAAAAGATTATGTAATACGTTCAATAAATGCAGAAATTTTTAAAATGTTTAATACTTATTCCTGATAAAATCTCTTCTCAAACTAAATGTTTTCTTAACCTGATAAAATGTTACTAGAATCTTATAGTATACATTATTCTAAATGGGGGACCATTATAATATTTTCCTTTTCAATGAGAAAAAGACAAAAATGCCTGCTCTACTGCTTCCATCCAACATTATACTAAAGGGCACAATATGACAAAATAAATATGTAAAATGACGTTGAGAATTATCAAAGAAAAGACAAACTGTGATAAGTGAATGAAAAGAAATGATTGAGCTCTAAGTGCAGGTCCTAGGGACCGTAAGTCAATATTGTCAATTCTATAAAGTGTTGACATTTGATATCGCAGCCATTTCTTAAGTAACAGAAGATCTTCTGAAAGTATTTTTCACTGAAGTGCTATAAATCATCATTTAGTCAGTAAGGTGGTCTCTGAAAGACTCAACCAAAAGGATTCTGTGGGGACGCAGCAGTGGATAAGGTACAGTATTAATAGATAAACCATCCCAAACTTATTTCTTATTAAATTTCTTATTCAATGGAATACTAAACTGGATAACTGCAACTTTACTCTCAGGGTGAAGATTAAGCCTCAAGGTGAGCTTGTGCCATCTGCTATGTTAAGCAGTCTAAGGAATAATTCCTTCTGGTAGGTCATAATGATCTCACTGCAAGCTTCTGAAGACTTGAAAATATAGCACTCAAAGAGCTGTAAACTGGGTTTATTTTGCTAGTGCTATTTCAAGTAACTGTAAAGAAAGAAAATAACCCTCTAAATGAGTGCCAGGATATGAAAGACGTGGTTTACCCACAGTAGAGGCCCTAATGGGCTTATCTCATCTCCTCTTTTCAGTACTGTCCTTTTCTTTCTTCTTTAGATATGATGTGCTGTCATTTTCTCTCTTAATTTCTTGGTTTGTCCTGTTCTTACTCATCAATCTGTCTTTGATTTGCTCTCATGAGACCCATCCTCCCTGTGCCACCTCCTTTGTTCCTCCTCTTTTCTTTCTTCTTTTCCTTATTCTGTGACTGGACTGACCATTGCATTTTTAAGAAAATAATTGCAATATTCGTTGAATAACATTAATAAATATTGCTAAATTAATAAATAATAATAAATAATAAATAATAACATTAATAAATAACAATAATAAACTTAATAAATAACATTAATAAATAATAAATAAGTTAATTAGGAAATAACTTTAATCTTTATAGATTTCTCAATCATTACACTACCAGAAGAGATTAAACCACACTTACTTATTTTTTTCTTTTTAGAGCATTACTGGCTTTTGATTGGGGAAAGTGGAAGGTGCCTATCTATCTTCCTGACGATGGCAAAGTTTGCTGTCAACATTTTTGGGTTTTGTGCTGAGAAAAGGTGTGGGAGGAGGTTAGGAAAGGTTAAATTGGTGGCAATGGAAACCAAGGTGTGGGTAGGAAGAGATATGAGGCTGTGGGAACTGTGAGAAGTTTATTATAATCTGCATCTGAGATGAAAAGGATCTGTCTAAACTATAGTAGTGATGTTAGAAGTGGAAGGTAAATGACAGATGGGAGAAAACAGAGCAGTATGCATAGGACTTTTGATTTATTGAATAGTGGTTGAGTGAATGAAGAAGCAATGGCAATAATCACCAAGAGCATTCCTGACAAACTGCTGGTCTAATGTCTGCATGGTACTCAGTTGCCTCAAAATCAAAGTCCATGGCACCCAAATTTACCAGCCCTGTGTTCTGGGGTAAATAATTTTCTGGGCTTTCGCTACCCCACTTATAATGCCACTTGCCCTGTCTACATCAGTGAATTGTGAAGCTCTGATAAGACACTGACAATAGTAAAATGTTCTATGAATATTATATGATAGGACCATACCAATGGTTCCTCAACCTCATTACCACTAGAGACACGTTTTAAAGGTGGAGTAATAACATGGAAAGGTCATGATTTGGGGGCCATGATACTGACTTTGCTGTATACTAGCTTCGTAAGTTCAAGTTAATCAACTAGTCTCTCTAAGTCTCAGTCTTGTCATCTGTAAAATAGGGATAATGGCATCATCTTTCATTTTGCAGATTTAGAGATACATTTGTGAAAATGCCTGGCACTTAATAAATGTTTTTTTCTGTACTTTTATGTTTTTTTCTGCATGTGCATCCCATAGCAATCCATACAGGAAAGATTTTTTTGCCAAAAAAAACAAACTGAACTAAAGTAAACATGAATTACATTTTCTTTTTTTAAATTAAACCTACTTCTTTCTACCTGTAACAATTGATAGATTATCTAAAGAGCAGATAGGCATTTAGCATGGGCTATTAGATTTTTCTGAAATGATATTCAAAATATTGCTCTTTCTTTAAGATAAATTAAAGTTAAAATAAAATTTCTGTACTTTATTTAAATCAGAATAGAACTTCTTATTACACTGATCAATTAAGGCAGCAGTTAAAAATATTAGAGCAGCTTATACTTATAGGGTATTATATAAATTTAAGGTAGAATCAAGACTTTCAATACCTCTTGATAAAATAATTTCTAATTTTTCGTGTTTTCAAACATTTTCAGTAAAAACACAGATGTTGTTATGGATTCTACAGAATTGTTAGGATGATAAAGCACAATGATACACAAAGGTAGCAGAAGCTGGGAAGGGAGGAAAGATGGGGGATATGGGGGAAGATTAGTTAAAGGACACAAAATTACAGCTAGATAAGAGGAGCAAGCTCTGGTTTTCTATACCACTGTAGGGTGACTCTAGTTAACAATAATACATTACATAGCTTCAGCTAGCTACAAGGATGTTGATAATTCCCAACACAAAGAAATGATACATGTTTGACATGATGGACATGCTAATTATGCTGATCTGACCACTATATTTTATATGTGTCTAAACATCATTATGTACCCTATGAATATGCATAATTATTTGTCAATTTGAAAAACAAAATAAACCAAAAACAAATGGCAGAAACTAGAAGAAATTTTAACAACATACAGTAAAAGGTAAAATACCTATTATTCTCACAGCTACTATAAATCAGTAAGAAAATCAATTTGTATATAGACAATTCAAAGAAATACAAAGATCCAATAAACCTATGCAAAGGTCTTTTTAAAAGAATGTACAGAGGAGCCAGTACCATGCCTGGCACAGAGTATAACCTCACAAGACACATTATCACCTTCACCTCTCACATGCTTTGCCATTTAACTATCAAAGACCTTTCCTGGTAGATTATTTTCAGCTTCCTCAGTTTGGTCTTTTGACTGTCTTCCAGCTTCTTTCCAAACCGAAAGATTTATCCCCCAGTTTCTTCCTCTTTCATCTACCAGGAGGAAAATTTCAAGGGGGAAAGAAAACCAGCCCAGGGTTAGGGTGTCCCATCTCTCAGTTTACTGCTCTCTGCTTTACTTACAAGAGTATTCACAATATTTCCGTTTGCTCTCTGTATCCACACAAAAAAATACAAACTGTTTCTTGAACTGGGGAGATTAAGATCCTTTTGCTCCCTTCTCTATTTCTACTTCATGGCAATTTAGTTTCTCTGGGGAAGAATGATCTAGGATATTCTCTCCCTCCTGTTTTGGGGCAGAGTGGCTTGTTGGACTTAATTTTCCCTATGTTTACTAGTTATTCATTTAACAGCCTTGCCCGACAGGTTTCTTTGAAAAAACAGTTTCAAACACTGAGATTAAAGTTACAAAATATAAGCTTTTAAAAGCAAAACAAAACAAAAAACCAAGAAGGAAATAAATTAGATTTCAATTCTTCACCATGAAATGTCAAAAGTTTAATCACCTGATGGTACAGGGCTTGGTGAAAGAAACGGCGCAGCGGAAAAAACTCACATAATTGTGACTTTTGCCCTTTAAAAACATTAAATCAAGGAAGACAAACCGACAGATGCAGCCAACTTTGAAACCTAATCATATGAAAAAACCAAACATAAAATAAATGTGTATATTATCATTGTTTTAGATTCCCATTTTTTCTGTCTAGAAAGTTGTTCCTGATGTTGATCTTCCCGGGAAAAAGAATTTTCAAGTAAATTAGTACTCACCATCATCTTTGTCAGGAACGATTGTAACTTGAGCCCCTGGGAACTCTGATCCGATTCTTCCCCCCATGGGCATGCTCAGAAGGACATGGAAGGTTTCCTCCTCCTCGTACAAAGAGTCATCAATTATGACTATCCGACACAGTTTCTCCCGTTCATCTTTGTCAAAGCGGACAACACTGGTGTGGTCCTCAGGCCTGGATATGTAATCAGAGTAAGACAACACGGAAGTCGGCACAGTTCCAGTTGCTGTTCCTGGAAGCAGAGAGAATTCAAAAGATTTTTATGTAGAACATAAGACAAAGATATTTCCAGACACAATTATTTTCATACACAGCATTTTAATGGTCAGTTAGTAGACATGAACACCCCTAGAACTGCAATAGCAACTACGTACTGTTCTAGTATCATGAGTCAACTTGAGAGTGACCTCAAACCTATACACCTATAAGGAATATTACATTTCAAGTGTTCACTCCTGACTTTCCTGTCAATGGACTTTAGATCAACACAATGTTACAAATTAATAGCCCCTACTATTCTAAAGCTTACTATGCACAGGCAAAGTGCCAAGTGCTTCAAATACTTGTCTCCTTAATCCTCTCAACCACTCCACCTGGCTTTACACATTTGGTAACTGAGGTTTTCAGAAGTTGAACCACTTGGTCTGGACCCCGGAGTCCAAGGCTGGTCCTGAAGTCAGCTTTTTTTTTGAGACTGAGTTTCGCTCTGTTGCCCAGGCCGGAATGCAATGGCGTGATCTTGGCTCGCTGCAACCTCCGCCTCCTGGGTTCAAGCAACTCTTCTGCCTCAGCCTCCTGAGTAGCTGAGATTACAGGCGCGTGCGCGCCACCATGCCCAGTTAATTTTTGTATTTTTAGTAGAGGCAGGGTTTCACCATGTTGATCAGACTGGTCGTGAACTCCTGATCTCGTGATCCACCCGCCTCGGCCTCCCAAAGTGCTGGGATTACAGGCATGAGCCACTGAGCCCGGCCTCTGAAGTCGGCTTTTAATCACTCTTCTGTACTGCCTTTCAAATCATATACCTACGAATGAAAATTTTAACAAAAGTCTACTCTGATATCAGCATATATAACTTTTGATTTTGCATTTTTAGAAAATCTACTTATTTCCTAGAAAGGTGTTTAGTATATTAGTGAATATTATGTATTAATTTTAATTTTTTATTATATAAAATCACCTTCCATAGGATATTTGCTCATGAGCAAAACAAACATTTTGATATTTCTTTGAAATGAGTTGCAAACTGGTTTTAAATTAGTTTCTTTTCCTTGGGCACGCATCACTTTGCCTCTTTTTTTTTTTTTTTTTTTTTATATAGTAACCCATTTCTACTTGAGCAGGCTGGGTTGGGCTTTAGTTCCTTACAATCCAAAAAGCCTTGAGTATTGCAGTAAGTGACCAAGTGAAATCAGAAAGAGGACTCGTCAAAGGTGAAATCCTGAAGAAAGACTTCTAAATAAATCCTTTTCTGTATCTATGGAAAATTAATAAAGTATACCCCTCATGGTAAAATGTTATGGCTCCAATATGTTAAAAAGGCTTATTTATATCTTTTGGGGGTTATCTTAGTTTTTCGGCAAATCGAGCTACCTTGTTGGGTATAACAGACCACCATCAACTCCTGGCTCACATCTCCGCTCCTCCTGATGGGAATGAACAGCTCACCAACATCTTCTTCAACGGAGTATTTGGACTGGGGAATAAACACAGTTGGCTCTAGAGAGAAAACACAATTGCAAGCATTATTTTTGTCTGAGCTTCTTACCTCTGAAACAATCATACAGAATTAAAATTTCTCTAATGATTGATTTTTCCCCCTTGAATATTCTTTAGAATAACATAGTGGGAGGAAAAGGAGGAAGGAGAGGGGAAAAGAAGTGGGTATAAAGGGAATAGGCTCTGGGCCAGTGAATTCTGAAATCTAAAAACAAAACCCAACATGGCTTATATCTCTAGTAATTGCTTTCTTCTAAATAAATAAGTCATGCTGACACAGTTTTTATAAATCTAACTTTGTTCTCTTGGCACACATTAACACCTTCCAATGGAGCACCACTTGAGAGGTGGAAATGACCTCAAAAGTCATCTTGTCCCATCTCCCACTTTGCAGATGAGGAAACTCAGGCTCGCATAGTTGAACCTATTTGTCAATGGCTGGCCAAGTCAGGATTAGAACTCAGATCTTGAAATGTCTGTTCTGCTGTTCTTTTCATCCAAAGTGAGTTCTTTTTGGACAATTCATGATTAAAGTTACAATAATACATTGTTCAACATTTTAAAAAATAGCTGTTCCCTTAGAATTGATAAATCTATTTATCAGCTATAAGGAATATTTCCGTGGCTCCCTTTCACTCCTGACAGAATAACATATACAATATTACCAATGATTCTTTTTTAACACAGTCAAAGGGCATGTTAAATAATAAAAATGGCAAAAGTAAATTGTTAAAAAAAAATGCAGTTATCATGTAAAACAATAACAACCATTTAGTACAATGGTTTGACATTGTAAACCCCAAACAGATACTCTGGGATTTGACTGGGAGTTTGTTTCACAGACAGTCTCACACCCACACAGAAAACACTTCATGATTATTTTTAAAACAGTTAACCTTATGACTTAAAAATTATAAAAGACTGCTGGAACAGCAGATACAGCCTTGGAGGTCCATGCTCCACCCTGCTTCACCCTGCGCTGTGCCCCAGGAGCTGACAAATGGGAACCACGCCTAATGTTTCCCTTACATTCTGGCTCCTGGTTGGGTCGGCCAATGGGGAATACAGGAAGGAACTTGGAGGGCAAAAGCAGAGTGGGCCAGGCGTTTATTCCCTTGGTTTCCCTCAGGGTTTCCAGAGCTGGCTGCACACCCTCCACAAAAGGTTAGAGTGCCTGTGGAAGGCCTAGGGCCTAGCTCACTCTCTGGGCTCAGCTAGCCTCTCCTGTCCTGTGCCTAGAGGTGGTGATGGGGCTGCTCTCATTAGCCTCGAAGCATTTTACCATGCCTAGGTATTAACAGATCTTTGCCCCCTCCTTTCTAAAATAGTCACGTGATTCAATTCTTTTTAAATTACTCATTTTCAGTGTGCTATTTGTTTTCTCCTGGAGTTATGACTGACATACTAATTTTTAAAAAGCCCCCATTTTAAGAAATCTGTGAATATAAGATTTTGTAACTAATTATTTATTTATCAAATATGGATTGGGTGACATCGACTTGCCAGATACTGTGCAGGGGATACAGAAGTAACAAAATCCTTGGCCTCATAGGGTTTTTATTATAGTTGAGGGGTGGGGAGGAGGAAGAAAATATGTATACAAGAAAATAAGTAGTATATTAGGGACATATGGATAAAATAAAATATGCTGAGGGTGACAGGGAAAGCTGTGGCTGGACAGGGTGTGAGTAGAGGGGCCTAAGATACACAGGAAAGTCGAAAAAAAAAGTCTCTGGTAGAATTAGAATCTCATTTGAGCTGAGATTGGAAGGTAGTAATAAAATGTCCCATATGAACAACTTAAGAGAATTCCAGGTAAATGGATGGACAAGTGAAAAAGGCCTTGGGGCAGGTTGTGCCAAGTGTGTACAAGGAATAGCCAGGAGGCCAGTGTGCTTGAAGCAAATTGGACAAGAAGGAGAGCCTAAGATATGAGGGCTAGAGAGGTGGTGAAGGGGTGGGTGGTGGGCAGGTCACATGAGCCCTTCAGGACTATTGGAAGACCTTTGGTTTTTACTCAGAGTAAGATATAGAAATAAACAAAGACCAGATGGGATGAGAACAAGCAAGTGCTGTTTATTCAGAGCTTGCTTTAGCAATGGAATCAGCCACTATCACCTGTGTTTTGATAAAGACTCAAAGACAGGCAGAGAAGCAGGAATGCCTAATAGTGGAAAAAAGGGAAGGCTTCAGGTGTGACCTCATTGGAGGCTGTTGGCATGGGGAAGCTCTAGTGGATTAACTAGAAGTGGGGTATCCTATGGTTAGAGGTGCATATATGGTTCTGTCTGGTTGTTCCAAAATTCAAAGTGGAGACAAAAATTAGGAAAGCCATCATCAGATCCTGACCACTGGAGGCTGATTGCCAAAAAAGTTGTCTTTGGCTTTCCGGTTGCTGTAGGTTGTGCTGCAGAGTTGTATTTTAATGTGTGGTCTGGCTACTGGCTTTTTACATTCAATCTCTCAATATGAAATCATTAGAAGGCTTTGGAGATGGGGGGAAGGTTTCCATAATCTGACATACTTTAAGAACATAAGTTGTGACTGCTGTAAGATAAAGAGACACCAGGTCTAAGAGTTGAAGTAAAGAGCCTGATCAGGAGATTTTGCAACCATGCAGGCAAGCGATCATAGAAGCTTGGACCAGGCAGTGGCAGTGGAGGTGGAATGACAGGGCTGCATGCCGGAATATAAAGGTAGAGCTATTTGAGTTTTCTGACGGACCAGGTGTGGTATGCGCAAGAAACAGAAGAATAAAGGATGACTCCAAGTTTTGCTGTCTTGACCAACTGGAAAGATGAAATTGCTAGGTATACAGGTGAGGAAGACTTCAGGAGAATCAGATTTAGGAGTGGAAATCCACAGTTCCATTTTAAACATATTAAAATTGAGGTTCCTTTTAAATATCCAAGCTGACATGTCAAATTAGCCATTTGGGTATAGAATCATGGATGTCAGTGGAGAGGTCCGAATGGAAATCTAAACTGAACATGTTGATGGTATGTAGAGCCACGAGTCAAAATAAAATCACACAGGGGAGGATTATAGATAAAGAAGAGAATGGATCTAGGGATTCACCATGGGGCACTTAGAAGTCAGGGAGATAAAGAAAACCGAGCAAATGAGGCTGAGAAAAAGTCCTAGGGATGAAGACAACCAGAGGAGTGTGGGCCCCGGAGGCCAGTTACAAAAAGCATATCAAGGAAAAGGGAGTGATCAGTTGTTTCAAAAGCTGCTAACATGTCACATGAGTGAAGAACTGAGAGGTGATCATCAGATTTAGCAAATGGATGTCACCAAAAGTTGGCTATTTTCACCAGAACTGTTCCAGTGAAGTAGAGGGTGAATAAAGCCTGAATAAGTAGGTTTAAGAGAGTGTGTGAGGAGAGGAGCAGGTGACACCGGGCATAGGCATTTATTTCAAGAAGTTTTGCTTTAAATGGAAACAAGTGACATGGAGAGAAATGTCTTTGCTGGTTTTTACTTTTTATTTTTTTACTTGTGTATCAGCAATCTTGGTGGCTAGGGACATCCTCACCATCACTCAGGCAGCAAAAATACGAAACGCTTCACAGATTTGCTTGGCATCCTTGCACAGGGGCCGTGCTAACTCCAATTTCAGTATGTGACCTGCCCAAGTGAGTACTTTTTTTTTTTAATATTCTTTTTTTAAAAAATTTATTTCAAGTTCTGGGATACAAGTGCAGAACGTGTAGGTTTGTTACATAGGTATACATGGGCGATGGTGGTTTGCTGCACCTATCAACCTGTCATCTAGGTTTTAAGCCCTGCATGCATTAGGTATTTGTCCTAATGCTCTCCCTCCCCTTTCCCTCCACCCCCCGACAAGCCCCAGTGTGTGTTGTTCCCCTCCCTGTGTCCCTGTGTTCTCATTGTCTAACTCCCACTTATGAGTGAGAACATGCAGTGTCTGGTTTTCTGTTCCTGTGTTAGTTTGCTGAGAATGCCGGTTTATTTTTAAGATGAGTTTTAGTAAAAGCAAGAATTACACCTATTATTATGAAGTAAGGTTTTCACCAAATATAAAATTTCAATGTAGAAATTATCATAAGACTTGAGTACAAATAATACACCAAGTATCACTGAAAATTCAAGTCAAATATTCAATTAGTTTTAGTGAGTTTGTTTTCATTAACTTATGGAAATGTGCTCCGGTATCACCTAGATTTTGGCAGTCTTCAGGTCATGGACTCTGTGGCATTAGTATGAAATATTACAGAAAGTTTGATTTATTAGAGTTTTTGTTAACTTTTTTTTTAAGTTCAGGGTACAAGTACAGGTTTGCTACATAGATAAATGTGTGCCACGATGGCTTGCTGCACAGATTATTTCATCACCCAGGTGTTAAGCCTAGTACTCATTGGTTATTTTTCCTGATCTTCTTCCTCCGCCCACCCTCCACCTTCTGAAATGCCCAGTGTGTGTTGTTTCCCGCTATGTGTCCATCTATTCTCATCCTTTAGGGTTTGTTATGGGCTGAATGTTTGTGTTCGTCCTGTATTATATGTTGAAGCCCTAATCCCCAAGGCAGTGGTATTAGGAGATGCAGCCTTTGGGAGGTACTTTGGTGAGGTCATGAGGGTGGGGCCCTCAGGATGGGATTAGTGTCCTTATAAGAAGAAGAAGACAGAGGTATTTTTCTCTCCATGAGCATGCACCAAGGAAACGTCTTTTGAAGACTCAGAGAGAAGGTAGCCATTTCCAAGCCAGAAAGAGGCCCCTCACCGGGAACCAAATCTACTGGCACCCCAGTCTTGGATTCTCCAGCCTCCAGAACTGTGAGAAAGAAATGTCTGTTGTTTAAGCCACCCCAGTCTGTGGCATTTTGTTATAGCAGCCTGAGCTGACTAAGACAGGGTTGATTATTCATAATTCATTCTATACTTCTAATCTATACTGGCCAGGGTTTTCTTTTCAAATAAGTTATTCAGAAGTGGTCCATGTATGGGATTTTAATTTAATAATCTTTTTAAAGATTTAAAGCTCAAGCACCTGAGTTTTGATTCTTCCTAGGCCTTATGACACATGCAGGTTTGATTAAACAAGCCAGGACTTCTTGCCAGTGCCAGTAAGTTTGAATTAGGAATAAAAAAGAAAACCGAGTGTCTGGGCTGTGCCCTTCGCTCTGGAATTCACTCCTACAGTCAATCTGACAGAGTAAATAGGCCCAGTATCAAGTTTAGGTCTTCTGTTGACCTAACTTCTAACAGAAATATGTAGGCTGTGGGAAAAACTGGAAAAGGGTATCACAGAGACAAAGAAAGGCTTCCCTGATAGATTTTTCTGTTAACATTCCTTTTCAACTTCACGTTATAAATACAATGGAAGTGTCTATGCAGGCTGCTTCAAGTAAGCATAGAGCTTTAAGTGCAAAATTCCTAAAAGTGGCATTTGTAGACTACCCTTAAAAATTCTTAGCTAGTAGGCATGGAGTTCTCATTATTTGCTAAGCTCTATTCTAAACACTTCACATGATTGGCTAGTTTTATCCTTGCAACAACCTTTGAGGTAAGAATTATTATGACTCACTTTACCTCTGAGGCACACGTATGTTAAGTGAGCAGCTGAAAGTTAGGTTGGTAGGTGGTGATGCTGGGGTTTCAACCCAGAAACTCCATGTCAGAGCCCGCCCAGGCTCGTAACCACTACACATTACTGCCTAAGAGAAAACTGCTCAGGTTAGCCAGGAGTGGGAGCATCACTTACACCAGAGAAAAACAAAAGGCTAAATTGAGATGATAAAAGAGCAACACGAAGTACTGCTAAGGCAGAGAGATGGCCATTGCAGTAGAATCAGAAAAAACGAAGTTAGAAACAAATATTTTGAGAATTCTTTTTAAAATCCAGTATTTTCATAGAAATTATATATATATGATTGTATACATACACAATTTAAAAAGTATGTATACTTTTATAATATATGTACAATATGCATATTAATAAATCTTCACAAGTATTATGAAAAAGTATATAAAGTATATAGTATATTAGTATGTATATGGAATATAATATATGTATATCATAATATAAAAGTACACATGTCAAATCCCATTAACACATTGGATTGGAACTGCTGCTGTCTTTGTGAAGGTGTTCACTGAGAGACAGTTAAGGGCTACATTATAGAAATAGTCAACTCTCATAGAAAAAAAATGACTGCAGGGTCGTGCTCTCAAATGTTAACAATGGTTACTCTCAAGTGGTAAGGCTGCAAATGACTTTTTGAAATTAAGTGAATAGACCTCTGGGTTTTTTTTTTTTCTTTTTAGCAGTTTTAGATTTAGAGACAAATGAATAGAAAGTGCATATGGTTCCCATATATCCCTTCACTCCCTCTCATTTTCCACCATTATTAACATCTTGTATTCGTTTTTGACAATGAACATGTGTTACTTTTATACTTCCAGATTGATTTAATTACCCTTTATTTTGAAAGAAAGAGTAAAGTGAATGCATTCTTTATTAGTCCATGTGACTATATTGTAATGAGTACTGCAATTTGTAACTGCAGTTCTTATTTTTGGGTTTTGACTGTGCTACAACAGGCAAAATTGATTTCTCTGTTCTCAGACATAAAGTAGTTGTAGCTTCATTTGAAAGAGAATGTACATTTTATACCTTCTCTCAATTATATTCCACAGAGGATAAAAAATAAACAGACTCTGCTAAACAATGATAGAACAAAATATCTTCTAAAAATCTGCTATAATAGAACAAGAAAGGAAAAGAAAATAGAGTACATGGATGAAGGCACTGATGGTTCCTTGCCTTTAAGAAATTTGGCACATTCAAAAACAACTCAGAAGACATTCCAGATTCCAGTGCATTTTCAGGCCACTATGGTGCCCTCAGACTGGCCAACAAGTGGCATTGAATACAGCAGAGTCTGTCATTTATCTATTTGAACTTGGACAGCTTTCTTACATTTCTATGGTTTGTTTGTTTTACTCTAAGACAGACATAGTAATATAGACTAATTTTTACAGGGTCTTGAAAAAGAAATAAAGTAATGTAAACATACCCAAACCACATGATAATAAGTGCTATGAGTTCACATCAAGATAGCATGAGGTCCAAAAATTATCCTTTGGTACTACTATACAAATGTGTTGGTTAAAGTGAATCTTTGGGGCAAGGTGTGGTGGCTCACACCTATAGTCCCAGCACTTTGGGAGGCCAAGGCAGGCGGATCACTTGAGGTCAGGAGTTCGAGACCAGCCTGGCCAACATGGTGAAACCCCGTTTCTACTAAAAATACAAAAATTAGCTGGGTATGGTGGTGTGCACCTGTAATCCCAGCTATTTGGGAGGCTGAGGCAGGTGAATCACTTTAATGGGGAGGCGGAGGCTGCAGTGAGCCAAGATTGTGCCACTTCGCTCCAGCCTGGGTGACAGAGTGAGACTCTGCCTCTAAATAAATAAGTAAATAAAGTGAATCTTTCGGTAATCTTTGTTTGAATTATTAAATGTTTTTGTTTTGTAAATGGAGAAATTTCCAGAAAGTTTTTCATGATGCAAGTTTTATTTTGCACCTTTTTTGCTTATCCACTACTCAGTGTCAGAAACTATGTGCTATACTTTTAGCAAGTGTTTGAAATTTTTTGTTTGCCTTAAGATGACGACCTATGCTTCACACTGATAGTTTCTTTTTAAAAAATGGTTTGACTCTCACTGAAGTTGAAGCTCTCTCATGCCTGCTTTATCATTTCTGTATCATCATCTGCAGCGTACTATCGTTTCATTAATTCTGGACCTTGAATTTTGGCACATTCACCTCAAAATATCAGCTAGCCAGTGACCTCCTTATGTCAACACTGACAACGTGTAGAATTTCAAAAATAAGAATGAATGTTTGAGTTTCATATTGTAGTCAGCCTATGTCATCTGAATTCTATCATATGAAATCGGTTTGGCTCATTCAGAATACAGATTTTTGTCTTTTCTTTGTACTCATTAATATTAGGTTTTTAACCTTTAATGTTAAGTTCTACATTCCTTTAAAATAATGTGTTTATTCTCTATTAAATATTATATGGCATTAACCTGCCATGGGCCCACCAGAAATGATTACAGAGATCAAATATTTAATCCACTGGTTCCTGGCCATATTTTGGTATCATGGAAATATCAGAATGACTCAGTTTCTATCAGAAGTTGGCAGACATTTCAAGTGTACAAACTAAATAATTACATAAACTATTACAGGCTTTAGGTACCTGTACTAAGTATCTGTATTCAAATACCTCTATATTTGAGGTTGTTTTCTCCCAATAAATGTATATAGAACTCCATTTACTCTGGCTAGAAATTACTAAGTCAAAAAAGAATGGGATCTTTATATAAAATCAGACGTCTTAGCTCTTGTATATTTTCCCTTAACAAAAATGGAAATGTTTAACATTAACTAATATCTATATGCTTTAAAGAGCAAGGGAAGATAGTGTTAATTTCTGACAGCTTAGTAACTTAATACACGGAGGTTAAGAATCTTTATCCTAGAAGCCTTTCCTTCTCTCTCAAGACTGGATACTCCATAGATACTCCTTCTATGGGCTCCAGTTGCTCTTTTATCAGAGCACGTAGCATTCTATATTGTTAATTGTAACAATCTAGGGGAATGCAATCACCTAATTATATGATTAACTTCAAGGGTTAGTATGCCTTCTTCTCTACTACCTAGATCCTAGCAGCATTCCTGGCATAGAGTAGATGTTTAATAAGCATTTGTTGAATATACAGACACATTATGCAGGAGCTGAATTGGTCTTGATTATTTTCTTAGAATGCTTAGTTTTATTCACCTATATAATAAATTTGAGGCTTAATATATAATAGAAAGAGAAAAGAGAAGAGCATAAGACGGGAAGAAATTACTGTGTTGTTTTCATATACAAGATAAGTAAAACAACGTCACAGTGATAAGTTCACTGATTAATTAGGATTTGGGATATTACTTCTTTTCTAACCATGTAAAATGATAGAAGAACATAACTCAGGGGAAAGAAGAGCTCTAGAGGGGGAAACAATATATATATTTGAATATATATTGTTTAGTTTTATTATATATTTTATACATATTTTTTTTAAATACTGCCTCTGGCACTTATTAGTTGGGTGACTTGGGGAAAGTAAATTCCTTGACCCTCAGAGATCTTTGTAAATTGATATATAAATCACAGAGTTATAAACATAAGGTTTAAATGAGGTAAGTTTTCAAAGCTCTATTTCTCAGATTCCTCATCCAGAAAATGAGTTAAATGTTTCATGAACTTTAAACCCTTCCCAGTTGGAACTTTCTATGCGCATGTTAAAAGCAAGAAGAGGCTGTGTGTGGTGGCTGATGCCTGTAATCTCAACATTTTGGGAGGCCAAGGAGGACCACTTGAGGCCAGGAGTTCAAGACCAGCCTGGGCAACATAGTAAGACTCTTGTCTCTACAAAAAAAACAACCAATCAAAAAAACAAACAAACACAACGAAACAAGGAAACACTTATCTGGGCATGGTGGTGTGTACCTCTAATACTAGGTGCTTGGAAAGCTGAGGTGGGAGCTTTGCTTTAGCCCAGGAGTTTGGGGATGCAGCAAGCTATGATAGCTCCACTGCGCTCAAGCCTGGGCGACAGAGTGAGATACCGTCTCGAAAAAAAAAGGGGGTGTGGGGGAGACTGTAGAATCAATCTCAATGAGTGACTGAACTCACTCTTTACATGAGGGTCAGCTCTATTGATCGCAGAGCCATGGTTCCCAACCAGAGAGCCACAGACACTTGGAGGCATGGGGGCAGGGGGTGAGGTATTACAGTATATCCATGAGGGCACTGAGTATTGGACCAGGTTAAAGAAATAAGCAAGCATATAACTGTATGTGATACTTTTTCAGTGATGTAGACACTGATGTATTAAATAAAATACATAGTCATTTAAAATCTTCACCTATATAACAACTATATAATTTAAAAAATATATGGATACATGGCATTGTAAGACCATAATTATAAAATGTGAGAAGCCAATACATGTATATGTGTCTGTGTGTGTGTTAAAAAGTTCTGGGCTGGGCACGGTGGCTCACCCCTGTAATCCCAGCACTTTGGAAGGCCGAGGCGGGCAGATCACCTGAGGTCAGGAGTTCCAGACCAGCCTGGCCAACGTGGTGAAACCCCGTCTCTACTAAAAATACAAAAATTAGCCGGGCGTGGTGGCAACCGCCCGTAATCCAGGCTACTCAGGAGGATGAGACAGGAGAATTGCTTGAACCCAGGAGGCGAAGGTTGCAGTGAGCCAAGATGGCGCCACTGCACTCCAGCCTGGGCAGCGAGAGCGAAACTCCGTCTAAAAAAAAAAAAAGAGAGAGAGAAAAAAAGAAAGTTCTTTTTGTCATATAATTTTGGAACTAATGTTCCAAAACTTGCCAAATATAAAATTGAAAGCCTCCTGTAAACATCAAGTAAAATGCCTAAAATGGTTCATATGTCTACAAGGGACTGAATGAGAGAACGTATATAATGTGCTAAACACACTGTCTGTTGCATAGTAACTGCTCAACGAATTTCAGTCGTTACCATTATAAAGTAATGAGAAAAGCATAGACTTACATATGTTTACATAAACTTGCTAATAAGTAAAACCAGTTCCCAGCCTAAAATAAAGCCGAGTTGTTTATTCCTTCTTCTAAACGTCCCAATACTCTTCATACCTTGTTTTATCACATCACATTCTGCTGTGATAAGTTAAAGGGCTCTCTTTCCCATCCCCTGTGGTCTTTGACAGCAGAGATTCTATGCTATTATCTTTGCATTCCCAATATATAGTGCTGTACCCAGCACAAATATGAGCTGGATAAATTTTTAATGTAAAATTTTAATTTTTAAATTTGTTTTAATTTTGAAAACAAAACATCATAACATGTCCTAGAATGAATATGCAGAGGGAGAGCTTGTAGGCATAACGGCTCCTAGGGCAGGTGAATTTATATGCAAAGAGCTGGAGAGAGAGTACAAAAGGAAACAAAGTTTTTAAATGGGGGGAAAAGTGATCCTTTGTAAGGGAAAAAAAATACTCAATTTCTTAAAATGAAATCTAACATTAGATTTATGATGTTAGAAGTAAGAATATTTGCATTCTGCTTTATGTTTTATAGAACTCTTTCATGGGAATGCTGTAACATGATAATTATTACTTTTTCTTATTTTGTGCATTAGGAAACTAAATTTTATTAAAAGCTGTTTTATTTCAGGTCATACAACTAGAAATAGAGTTGGGTTTCAAGACCAATGGTCTTCAACAAGGCACAGAGCATACCAAGCATTATGGAAGACTTATCAGTTATCCAAGGATTTTCATGACTTGAAATAAACAGGGCTGAATTTTATCTATAAAATTCTGAAACAACTTAGATTATCAATACATGAAATGAAATTATGGCAAAGTTTCATTTGGTATAGCCTACACTAAGAAAAGATTATATAAGTGGGGGGCTGTGTATGTGGGGTGTGCGTATGTGTTTTGTTTTGTTTTTAATATCCTACTGCTTAGATATATCATGGGTGCAGAGTGTCACTCTGAGCTTATAAATAGGAAGGCAGAAATGAATTCAAGTGTCTTATTTCTTCAGGTAATACGGCAATTGTACTAGTTGGGAAATGAAATATCAAAAAATGGCTTCCAGTTTTAACTAACGAGTCAATTTATATGTATTAAAGCTGTCCTGGGCTTGTTTAAAAGAGAAAAGCTTTATTTTTCAAGCATATGTGCAAAGTTCAGGACCAAAAGAAAGTTTAGTTATTTATCTCTGGATAATGCAGATACAATTAAATGTAAGTAAATGCTAACTATTCTTTAATGAAAATTACAAACATAATTGAACTTCATATTTAACTAAAGGCAGAGTTGTTAGTTAAACAAATGATGTCAGAGCTCCAGTTTTCTTATTCACTTTCTTTAATTATGCTTAGTCTTTTAACACAGGGATTTCCACACAGGTCTCCATTTCATGTACTCTGTAGATTGTATCTTTGCAAACCATTTAAGAGTTTTCTGACTGACAAAATAAAGTAGGCTGGAAGTTTAAAAGAAAGTCATGTCTGGCTTCTGACAGGATCCTAGCTTTAGATGTTTCTATACGGTTTGTATAAATGCCAGCCCTCAAAAAGCTATTCAATCTTTTTTCTTTTTCTTTTTTTTTCTTTTTAAAACTTTCTGACTAGATCAAGACAAGCCAGGACTGTAGAAGTATGACGGGGAATAAAAAGGTCAAATTACACACAAAAGCATTAAGGTTCACTTTTACCAGCATCAGCCAAGGTGTGCATTGACAAGAAAATGTAATCTGACAGAAATTAACAGCAATGATTCAAAACACTGTGTTCACTACAAAATGGGGGTGGGTGGGGTGGGTATTATGCCACAAATGTGGAAACATATGGCCAAATAAAAATTTTTGGCTGGTAAATATATAAAGAAATCTTGAATAATTAAAAGTAATATGGGGAACACATTAATTCAAGAATGATCTCATTCTCAAACCGTTTGTTTCAAAGATATGTTAAGACATTTAAAGGACTCCAAAAAGTGATGAATTAATTCATTAAAAATGACATGAGCAATATTAAATGATAGAATTATAATAACAGGAAGAACATGTTGGTAATTCTATGGGTAGTTCATTTACTTGGAAAAGTATAGCATCCCTGGCTGGGCACAGTGTCTCATACCTGTAATCCCAGTGCTTTGGGAGGCTGAGTTGGGAGGATAGCTCGAGGCCAGAAGTTTGAGACCAGCCTGGGCAGCATAGCAAGACCGTGTCTTTACAAACGATTTTATATATATGTGTATATATATTCAATTATATATAAATATGTAAATAATTTATATATAAAATTATATAAAATATGTAAATAATTTATATACATAAAATAAAAGATTTTCTGGTAATATGAAAATTGTACTAGCTGGAAAATATAATTATGTTTATATATACATAAAATCTATTAATACAATTTATATATACTATATAAATATTTATATATTATACATATTATACATATATAGCATTCTTTCGTTACTTTTTAGTTTCCATTTTCCTGTCAACACATCTGAGAATAATGAATCATTAATCTAGAAGGTTCTCTCTATGGAAATTTCAAACATTGAATTTAAAACTGTAAGCTATACCCCTACAAGGTATTTTGTCATAGCAGCCCAACAGCAACAACATAAACCAGTTGACGATGGCTCTTACCATCTCCTGGATCAACGATCTCAACAGTGGCGACTGTGGGGAATTCCAAGGCAGCCAGCACGGGCTCTGAGAGTACCACCTGAAAGGTTTCAGACTGCTCATGCTCCCCATCACTCAGGATCCGCACTCGCCATGTGGCCCTGGTCTGGCCTGGGTTGAACTGCACTTGTTTCTGTGCTTTGCCCTTGAAGTCTTTGTCTTTTTCTGCAGTTCTGTCTCTTGTGCCAATACCTTCACAAAAACATAATATCATTTTCTTAGTTTCATTTTCGCTTGGATTATTAAGATTTTCCTTGTTAACTTTTTGCATGTCATTTTATCCTGAAAAGCAAAGTTGATCCTGCTTTGACCTCATGAAATGGAAAATTGGGAATGGGTCTGATGATGAAAGTGTTTCACTGTAGGTGTTGGGTAGTTTGTGATTCTGTTCTGCTTTTGCCTCAATTATGGTTTTGCTATATATGCTTTAAGCTACATTTGGATTAGAACTTCTTGTCAAACAAGACCAAGTAAATGTATATTCACATTGTTCAATATCCTTACTCCTACAAGTTATACAATCTTAAAACTCTTCACATTTACTTTTGCATGTGTTCCTGGATATTATAAAAAAAATAAGAAACATTCTCTAACTATAAAATATAAGCCAATAAGAAACTCCTCCATGAAAGAATTCTCTGACTCACAATCTAAGTCATAAATGGCCAAGTGGAATAATAAAAAGTGATAGTATTCTCTAAGCACTTAATGGAACTAAGATCCTTTAAAAAATGTAATTCAGTGTTTTTCAACATGGTCACTGCAAAATTTTTCTTTCTGGAACACCCCAGAATTCCATGAAATTAAATAAACAGAATTGGAGAGCTAAATATATATGGTTATTATGAGCAGTATGCTTGGCTTACTCTGGTAGTTCATTCAAGGTCAATTTCAGTTAGCTGGGAAGGTTGAAGGATCTCTGGGTCTCTAACTACATCGCAAGATGATCTCCATTATTACCATGCCAGGTACTCAAACCATAGGGTACATTATCCAAAAGCAGTGAAAACATTCAATGTCATAGAAAAATTATAAAACGGCAATGGTACTTGGACTTCTATATCCTTAAATACAGAACCAGAACCTCTTAATGAGTCAAGTTAATAGAATAATTTTCAAATATATTTCTCTAAACCTGAGCATTTTCAGAGAAGTGGGTAAGACAGACAGATGTAAAAGAGTTGGAAAAATAAGGCTGGGCATGGTGGCTCAGGTTTATCATCCCAGCAGTTTGGAAGGGCGAGGTGGGTGGATCACTTGAGCCCAGGAGTTCCAGACCATCCTGGGAAACATGGTGAAACCCCATCTCTACAAAAAAGACAAAAATTAGCTGGGTGTGGTGGCGCATGCCTGTAGTCCTTGCTACTGGGGAGGCTGAGGTGGATCACCTGAGCCCTAGGAGGTCAAGACTGTAGTGAGTTGTGATTATGCCACTGTGCTCCAGCCTGGGTGAGTGAGAGCCTGCCTCAAAAATTAAAAATACATAAATGCATAAATAAATAAATAAAAGAGGGAAAAATAAAGTCTTGTGATAGATTTTTTAAATCTTGAAAATAAGTTATTTGGAAGATTTTGCATTTAGTTAAAAATTATACTTTTGAAAAATTCCTTTTGTTCTTCAAACTAGAAATGAAACTGAACTAAATAAGATCCATTCAACCACAAATATTCATTGAGTACTTATTCCATGCCAGGCTCTATTCCATGTGCTGGGGCTGTATCAGAGAACAAAACAGACAAAAACTCTTGCCTTCGTAGTGCTTATATAAGAGTCATTTGAATATGTATTTATATATAGGAATATATCAATGACTGTTATTTTAATCTTAAAGTGAAGATGAAAAAGATTTTATTAAAAATATTTCTGTCTTACAGATCTCAGAACAATAACTAACATAAATATTGCATCATATTTTTCTTTTACAGTAGCAGGTAAAACATGATTCATTTAATGGCAAGAGAAAAAAGGGCACAGAACCAGGAATTGCAGGGCTGCATATCTTGTTGAATGCTGTAGACTTCCTGACAGCTCTCTGGTTCCTTGTGCACACAGAGTTGGTTGTCAGCACCTCTTGGATCCACTACAATTCACTGCCAAGATGCTGATGAAAGGAATCATTCTCTCTGAGGTTCCAGAACACATGCTGCTCACTGACCCATCTATCCCCAGTGGCATCACCAGCAAAATCTGTTAGTTTGCCTCTGATAGCTACTGCTCACTTTTCTGTTTTGTTTTCTTTCATCAGCAATGCATTATTTGTTTTTTTTGGAGTTTCAAAAGGGAGTTAAAAATAAAAATTGAGTAAGTGTGATACAATGAATGTCTGCTAGTTCCAACTAGTCCTCCTTCCTGCACGATAGTCAAGCCATCTAATATTAAATGAGTTGCAATACCATCTGATATTAAATGAGTTGCAATACCATATCCCAATTGTTGCTGCTAAAAACACCTATAATTTTTCACTTTTGTTATTAAATGAAACTGCAATTGGATCTTTTCCTCTGACATAGAAAAATAACAAAGTGGTTAAACAGGGTGTTTGTGGAAGGAGAGAATAGATTTTATATCCCATCCAGGCCATATAACAGTTGTGGGATCGTAGGCAAGTTATTAACTTATCTCAGTGGAGGATTTATGAAGCACTATGGTGCAGTGATTAAGAGCATGGGCCTTTTGCCCAATCTCAGCTCTGCCCCTTACTAGCTGGCTAACTTTAAACATGTCACAGCCTCTCTATTTCCTCACCTCATGGTACTCTTCTCATGGAGTTGACCTAGGTAGGGTATTGGGAAGTAGGCCCAGCAAATAACTCAATAAACATTAGCTATCATTGTTTCTTCATAGTTCACTACCTAACACAGCCCCTGGTATGTAATGAGTACTCAATAAAATATTTGTTGAGTCAGGGAATAAAGGATGGATGTAAGGTATAAAAGAGATAGATAAAGTGCTTAATGTACGTATGAAGTACCTTGCCTTTAATAAATATTCAATAACTGGTAGCAATAAGAGCTTTGAAATGCATATACTAATGTGGAATATAAATACATATCTAGTTTATTAGTTTTAGTGGTTATAAAATGAATAATAATCTTTGAGAATATACATCTACAAATTTCAGTAATTCATGGTTTCTTAGCTGTACTCAAGCGATACTCTGTCTTTTGCTATAATGCAATCTATCTCATTCTAAAAGTCCATAAATAAAAGCAGAGGTTGTATGGGCACAGTTATAAGCAACGTATTCATTGTAAAACTTGTATGAGGCTACCCTTCATTTTAATCTGGTTTCCATTCCAGGTCCTAGCATGAATTCCGTTACCATCTTCAATGACTGAAGGATGTGGGCCACACACAGAAGGCTTCCCAATTTTCTATCACCCCAGGTTACTAAGTAACCATGTGAAGTGAACCAAGTAAAGCCTATGAGCCTTTGTAGAACTGCCGTTAACCCCACATTCGTAGAAAATAATAGTGCATTGAAAAAAATAACAACAAAAAGAGCTCTTGTTTGACATTTTGGCATCCAGCTTAAGAAAAAAGAGGCAGTGGAGAAAAAAAAAGGCAAAAAAATAATTTTACAATCTTTTTCTACTGTTAACTTTCCCAATGTTATCCAGGGGCCTGTTGTGAGTGAAAAATTAAATAAACTCACCAGGAGTGGGAACTCAGGTAAAAAATAGATAAACCTATTTTTAATAATCGGTAAGGTGCTCTGTTTTTTAGTTATCATTTTCCCCATGATTTATTTGCTATATGTTCAAGTACAAAGCAGAGTTAAGACGAATCACTCCCTGATGATAAGACAGGATGTGCACATGTGCACAGAGAATATGTCCCTAAAAGAGAGCGCAGTGAGAGTGCTCAGAATATCCTAGGCTAAATACAAAGCATGAGAAGCACAGCCAGGTGGAGGCTCATGCAAAATGAAGATGGAAGCAGAGGCTGGGGGTGAGGCCGCGGGGAGACCAGCCCCCCTGCAACCAGAGCAACCTCAAAGACAGGGAAAGTGTCGTGTGAAAACCTGGTCTTCTAAAGTTAAAAGGAAAAAAAAAGAATTTTAAAAGTAAGGGGTAATTAATATTCAGAATCAAAACATGTCAGGGGAAATCAAAAAGAGTGGTGGGGTTCTGGCTGCAGCAAAATTACAGCGGGATGTGTGGGGGTGTCAGGGAGGGATGTTGGGGGTGGCAGGGGTGTGTATTTCTGTGCATAGAGGTCTACTCTTTGAGGATCTGGAAGTTCATGGACCCAGTAAAATTTCAAAATAATCATTTGGAGACAAGCATAGGTTTACTAACTTTTTACTTTGCCAACATTTTCCCAGATTGCCACCTTAGTTGATAATCTCACTCAATGAAATCTCTTTTTATCCCATGCAAATTCCATTGGTCTAGATGTCTATAAAATATATGGTACCAAAAACAATATAGTTGCTTCAGGTGCTGCCATTTTTATCAACATATTAAATATTTTGTGCCAACCATATTGCTGCTTAAAAGTACCAATATACTGCCAACTTTATTTTATGCTTCTATGAAAATCAAATATGAACTTGAGGCCGGGCGCGGTGGCTCACGCCTGTAATCCCAGCACTTTGGGAGGCCGAGGTGGGCAGATTACGAGGTCAGGAGATCGAGACTATCCTGGCTAACACGGTGAAACCCCGTCTCTACTAAAAATACAAAAAATTAGCTGGGTATGGTGGTGGGCACCTGTAGTCCCAGCTACTTGAGAGGCTGAGGCAGGAGAATGGCGTGAACCTGGGAGGCGGAGCTTGCAGTGAGCTGAGATCACGCCACTGCACTCCAACCTGGGCAACAGAGCGAGCCTCCGTCTCAAACAAAACAAAACAAATATGAACTTGAATTGGAGTTGAAAAAAGGTTTCATTCGTTTGCTTCTGACTCTTAGTTTTATTTAAACGAAGTAAAGCAGAAGAAAATCATTAGTATTTAACAATTTACTGTTGTTACAAAGAAAGGTCACGATACTCATGTTTCAGAAAACTTTTATCTTACGGGTAAATTACAGATTTGCCTAAGCTCATTCTAAGATCTAGTGACATTTATTTTTGTTTCGTAACTTATTAGTGTTCCTGCCAATTTTTATACCAGAAAAAGATCATATGTACACAGAAGGCTTGAAGAGATAAGTACCTTGACACAAACCTGTTGCTTGTTTCTTTAGCAGTTAGAGAACTTTTAAATTTTAACTTTAAGCTCTAAGTGAACTAAACTGATACTTTAATCACTGTAGAATTATAAACCTTTGCTAGAAAAATAAAATTTTAAAACAGAAATAAAAAATTAAACTTACTTATAAAAGAAGTTTCTCCCAAGTAACCTCTACGTTTAAGAACAACATCTAGAAATTTGGAGTCCTCATTGACCAGGTAATATTCCTTTTCAAAGGAGATCCATGCCCAATTCAGACGAAAATTCTGGTACGTTAACTTGTTTCCACCTTGAAAATAAAAATTTAAAGCCATAAATTAGTGCTTTCTTGAATGAGTGATCTTCAAAATTCCACAGATTACTTTAATGAAACAACATTAACAATCAATACAGCTACTTAGTTTGATACACAACTCTGGAATATGTACATGGAGATACAGCTTACAGTCTAGAGACTGTTACACATACATTCAATCGCTGACATAATTCTTCACAAATTCCTTGCTGTTTTAGGAGGGGAAGTAGGTAATGGGTAGGAAGTGCACAACTACCAGAGGCTATTTAGTTTAATCCTAAAACTAAATATCCAACTTGCAGGATAACTCACTTCCCACAAGGTGCCACTGGAGAGCAAGTTTTCTAATCAGAGGGCTGCAAGGCTCCTTTGTGATGTTCTAAAAAACACACACACAACTTCACAAATACTTTTTCCGGTTCACAGAGCAATTGGGTGGAAGGTTTTAATTATAACCACTTAAGGAAAAACAAATATCCCTTCTCCGCCTCCCTTCCCCACTATATTCCACTCCATTCCTTAGAGCAAACAGACAGTTCTTTTCATTGATTTCCATTCCACTCTGAAGATAAGGTTTTCCCCTTCCATCTTCCCACCAAAATGGAGTGGGCTGCCTATCAGCAGAAAATAAACCTTGTGTGTGATCTCTCTAATGTGAAAGCGACTATGTTGGGTAAATGAAAGGAAAAATGGTTATCAGCTGATCACTCTGCACGCATCCCTCTACTTCCTTTGATCTACACCAATTATTTCAGAGTAAGGTGAGGTTTACAAACAAAGGCATCAGTAATGCCTTTTAAGTCTTTCTGAAAGAGGGTGTAAAAAAAAAAAAAGCCCAAGTAACAAACACAGCTAGAGGCACAGTTTTCATTCTAGTTTCTTCTCTTTGCAGTTCACATAGAAAAAGAAATGAAAGAGGAAAATCTCAAAACTTTAATAGACGACAAAAAAAAAATCTACACAAGGGAAAACGCTGAGTGAGCGAAGACATGAAAATACATTCATCTTTGCTCGAACTTTTAAAAAATAAAAACTGCAGCAACTTTGAGCTATCAACTTAACAGGTACTAAAGATTAAAGAGAATACCTTGTACAACTGAGATTATGTAGGGAAATTGTTTTCTTGTTTACTGTTGTTTGGCTTTCAAATTAGCACAAGCCTTTTGGACAGCTATGTGCCAATGTGTGCAAGGGGCAAAAAGATGGTTATATCCTTCAATCTTGTCGCTCCTTCTGTGGGATTTTTGCTTTAAGAGAAGCAGAAATATATTTGTAAGGAACTATTCATTGCAATATTTTCTATAATAACCCCAAACCTTAAAAACTATCTTATAGTGTATCAAATCAATAAAATGTTATTCAACTCCCAAACAATAAATATGAAATTGTTGTTGGAACACCGAAAACACTTAAAAACACAACAACAAATGGTACTGATACTGTGAATGTAGCTTCGTAAAATGAGACATGATACAGGAGAAGCTGCTTGGTGTTTTAAATGATGGGATTATGGACTTTCCTATTTTTAGTTAATTTATCAACTATAAAATATAAATAGATTGGGGCCGGGCGTGGTGGCTCATGCCTGTAGTCTCAGCACTTTGGGAGGCTGAGGTGGATCACCTGAGGTCGGGAGTTCAAGCCCAGCCTAACCAACATAGAGAAACCCCGTCTCTACTAAAAATGCAAAACTAGCCAGGCATGGTGGCGCATGCCTGTAATCCCAGCTACTCGGGAGGCTGAGGCAGGAGAATCGCTTGTACCCAGGAAGCAGAGGTTGTGGTGAGCCAAGATCGCACCATTGCACTCCAGCCTGGGCAACAAGAGTGAAACTCTGTCTCAAAAAAAAAAAGATTGGAGAGCAGGAATTTTGTGTCAGTTTGTCCGTTTAACAAGGAAACTCATTCCACATTTTGCGCTGATGAAACTTACTAAACTTACTATGCCCAATGTCTGCTGCACCCTGAGTGCTGTTCTGGAGAGGAGAGGCCATGGGCTAGGAGGCTCCTCAGAACTGGAGTCCAAGGCCCACCCACATCACTTCTAGCTGCTGTCTGACTCTGACCAAGTTACTTCTCTGGATCTCTGTTTCCTTTTCTGGAGAGTCAGGTGAGGGTGACGCTAATTAGCGCCTGTGATTTCTTCAAAGATCGACTCAGGTAACCCATACACACACACAGTGCTCTGAGGTCAATAGTATCATTCAACAAATGCAAGCTCACTCTGCCCTGCCACGCCACGCATGCCCAAGCCCACCCTGCATGCCCACTGCTGGACTACTATTCGTCTGCCTTACACCCACCTGTGCTCCTTTCTCCTTTGCCCCTCTTGCCTACAGCTTTTGCCCATATCAAGTGGACTTTTCTTTGCAGATTTCCAGGTTCATCCTGACCTACCCTGATTGTTCCCCTTGCACTCTAATCTGCCCATTTGGAGGTCAAGCCAAGATTCTTGCAGCTCCTGGGATTTGCCACCCTCACTCTTTCCATCACCCTTGTCCTCTTGCCTAAAATGAGGACCCCTATTCTTCCTTGGCTGACACTTTCCATTCCTTATTGCTGCTCTATCCCCCTCCTGTGTGAAGCAGCTGCAGCTGCTCCAGCCCTTTCATGTCTTTGTGGTTCTGCAGCTGTTCTCTTATTGATTACTCTGTATAGTTGTGCACTTTAGTGGGTATCCTCTCATATTTAATTGTATTAATTTACTAATTGTACTAAATTGTACTAATTTACATCAATAATTGACAGTATCCATTCTTTCATTATTGCCAATACTTGTTCTCATTGTTTTTAAAAAATATTTTAAAAAATTATTGTGTTTACGTTCCATTAATTGGAACATCATCTAGAAAGTAATAGAAAAGATAGAATAACATGCAATTGATTAAATTAGTACATAAAACAGCTCTGATTTCAAAACAAATTATCAGATGAAAACACCTTTATGCCACACTCCTGTCCACTTTAAACTGTGGTCCCAGCAAGCCTAGGTTTCATTCCAAACTTCTTGTCATGCTCTACCAAGCTTTTTCTTGTCCATTCTAACACCTATGACTTCACATCCTATCACTTCCCCTTAAAGAGAAATATCCATCCTCTCACATCCAACCTCTCACTCTTTTCTGAACAAAGGTGGCTGTTTTTGTATGTGCTGTATCTTCTGCCCAGGACATCCTTAGTTTTTCTCCTCTTCCTGGGAATCCCTATTCCTCTAAATTTTAACAATTCTTAGCTAATTTTAAGATTTGATTCTAACCCTTTCCTGAGATATTCCAGAAAATATCATTCTCTTCTAAATATGGCACATTTTAAGAATATTGAGTCACTGAGGGCTTCTCTTTTCAGTTTTTATAAAACAGCAAGCCCAGTGCAAACTCCAGCCCTCTCTACCCCTTTATTCTGGTTAGTTTTTCTCTACGGTACTTTCCAAAATCTTATATCCTATATATATTTACTATTTTTTTTTTGTCATTTTCTGTGTTCTCCCACTGCAACACATGATCCAGGAGTTCTGGGAGCTCATTTAACTTATTGTTAGAAAAACATCTATTGCATCAATTAGAAACTCTAATGTCTTGGCTGAAAGTTTAGTGGTCCTTCATTTATTGAGCAACATAAATTTTCTATGTAAACATAACATATCTCTTTCATTACTGAATCTTTTTATTAAAAAACAGTAATTGGTTTAATGACACTCTTTCTAAAATGTTTGCATACTTCTTGAAAGATTTTAAGTGATACATAAATGTGAATTATTGGAATTTGTGTTTCTCTAAATGACACTCCCAGGGATTATTGATGACTAAAGGGCTATTTAACCCTTCCACTTCCTTTGTGGATGGTTTTAGAGATACCTAATTTCATCTCTACTTATATATCTGTAAAAATTATTTTCAGGTTTGTGCCTATGTTCTGAAAGGACGAAGTTGCCAGGTTACTGGTTAATCAGAGGTTTCGAATGACACATAGCTGAACAGTTTGCTAGTATTTCATATGTACAACCACCACCTTGAGATTTTACTTCAAAATAAAATTCAGAAAAAATATAAAGAAGCTTTGCTTTGTAAGACAGGGAGATGGCCCAAAGTAACTATCATAGAAAATTTAGAATTCCCACTAACACTGGGATTTTAAACCAGAGAATATAAATGAAACAGATACTTAACTAGAAAATATGCAGTCTATAAAGCTTAAATCTGAATGGAATTAAATACTACATAACTCTTCTGTACATTACACATGTGAATCAGATTTGGTTTCAGAATTTGTAAAATCTTAGGTACTCACTTCTTACGCAAGAGTGATATAGAGATTTGAGGAACCAAGCTGTAACTTATTGTAACTCTCTTTACTAAAACTGTGACCTTGTATAATTGAACTCTGTATTTTATTGAAAGAATAGAAAGATACCTTATTTACTAATTTGTTACCTATCACGTAAACTCCTCTAAAACCTCAATTCATGGAAATAATAAACATTGGCACTTTAACAAAAGCTACAGCTTACTGAACGTGAAATTATAGATGAAGTTAAATAACGTTAAAAACTGACAAATTTTTACTTAAACAAAATTTGTTGCCTTTCTAAAATAGATTCTGTCATCTATGGTGCATGAGGAGCTAGTCTCAGCACCTCATTGGAAAAAAATTAAAGTCCATGACTCAAGTCATAAATCCACACAACAGGTGCCTGACAGCTGATAACCACACTCCCAAATGCTCTGTCTTCAAATCCTGACACCAAAGCCATTAAGGTTTTGATGAAAAGACCTCTTTTGAACTTATCCAGCTGGTCTTTAGACTTCTTCATTTTCTTCAATTCAAACTCAGTCGTTTTTTTTTTTTTTTAGAATAACAAAGAATACCAAACTCCAATTAGCCCTCCCTAAAAGCTCAGGGCTGCCCGATCTCTCTAAAGACAAAGCATTTAATCTTCAATAATATGAAACTAGTGCCACAATTTTGACTTGTATTTGATAAAGGGGACGTGTCCATTCAGCTTTGACAACAAATTTCTTCTTGGAGAATAGTTACAAATAGAAAATATTGTTGGTAATTTCTAGCTTGGTAAAATCTCATTTGCCCAGAATAAAGTTCAGCTTCAAAGCTGAATTGAAAATCAACTCTACAGAAATTTTTAAAAGCTGGATGTAGTCCTTTAAATCAGCAATAGATATAGATATTTATATGAGAAAAGATTAAGATAATAATATTATTACCTACCTTATTGGGGAAATTAGATCATTTGATTTTCGTTATTGTTTTAGAGACATGGTGTCACTCTGCTGACCAGGCTGGAGGGCAGTGATGCTATCACAGCTCTCTGCAGTCTCAAACTCCTGGGCTCAAGTGATCCTCCCACCTCAGGCCCCTGAGTAGTTGGGACTATAGGTGTAAGCCACTGCACTGGGCAGATAATTTGATTTTTAAGCAGATTTTTAAGAAGTCTTGTTCTCTTAGACAGCAAGGACGGTGATTAGCAACCATGCAGCTACCATCCAAATCAATGCTAGTGATTATGGTGAAGATCTAAAATTAAAGTTAAAATAAGGGATTCATTTCATTGCCATTTCCGTGATAGGATTACCTTCTCTTGAACTTTGCATTGCCTCAGAATCTTCCATAGGAGAATCTCCTCGAGCTTGTGGAATCCTGTCCTCTGGCCCCTAAAGTCAGACTGACTTCACTCTTTGCTGAAAACCACCTGGTGCAGAGCTGAAGCCGACTTGGCTCTTACCCTGCCCCCAGGGGCTGGCATTCAACTGCGGGAGATGGCACAGGCACCTAGATAATGTGCACAAACTAGAGCCTGGCAAATGCTGTGAGAGGCACTGATAATGAGCTGTGGGAGTTCACAAGAGTGAGGGATTACTGTAGCCTGAGGGGATCAAAGACAAACTCATGGAAGAGATAGTGTTTAAATGGGGGCTTAAGTACAGGGTGGTATTTAGACATTCAGAGAGATGGAGGGGAAGGCGTTCCTGGAAGATTAGGTATAAGAAGAGAGATAAGAAATCCGGTTTAAAAAATAAAAAGGAACTTCAAAGAATTCAATGTGGTAGGCACTAGGACATTTACTAAATATTTAATTCCTTCTCCTCCTATTTAGGAGATTGGATATTAGAGACAAAGAAGGCAAGGTCAAGATACATCTGCAGCCCACCCTGGATCATCCAGAGGTGACTCAGGCACCGAGGGATGACAAGCTTTAGACTATTTGATAATTTCAATAATGATTAGTCCAATAGTAAGGTATTCAAGAATTGCTGCTTATGATAATTGTTCTATCATTTTCTCCCTTCCTTCTGAACACTCCCTCCTCACCATTTCCATTGCCTAACACATTCTGAAAATGAGGCAGCACAAACAAATATGGAGACTTGGTAGAGAAATGTAGAGAAAGAGGAATGGGACCGGGTGTGGTGGCTTATGCCTGTAATCCCAGCACTTTGGGAGGCCTAGGAAGGCAGATCACCTGAGGTCGGGAGTTTGACAGCCTGAACAGCATGGTGAAACCCCGTCTCTACTAAAAATACAAAAGTTAGCTGGGCTTGGTGGCAGGTGTAATCCCAGCTACTCAGGAGGCTGAGACAGGAGAATTGCTTGAACCTGGGAGGTGGAGGTTGCAGTGAGCCAAGATCACACCACTGCACTCTAGACTGGGCAACAGAGCAAGACATCATGTAAAAAAAAAAGAGAAAAAAAAAGAGGAGTGGCATGACAAAGACCCAGGACGTAGAGGGAAACAGGCACAGCACCACGACACACATGGGTTTCCACTGGACACACACAGCTTATAGTGATCTTTTGGGCCATTTTTAGGATAGCCATGTACAAGCACAAAAGAATAAATGAAGCTATGATATCTTAGTAATTGTCACACAAACTACACTGAATTGAGATCAAGTGTGGATTATTTCATACTCTACTCAATATTCAGACAAGCAACGGCCAGATTACATGGAGGTGGAGATGGGTGCTGACAAATATATCAATGTTCACCTTACAAGCCAAGAGTATCACAGTCCACATTACTATGTGTAATTTTGTTCCTTGAGGACATGATATGGTTACATATATACCCATCCCAGGTATATAATGTGGGTATATAATGGGTATTTGTACACAAGTTTCCAAAGACTGAAATTCCTATTCATCTACTATGCAAAAGACTAATATGTGGCTGATTCTCATTATTCCTGGATTCCATATTTACAAACTGCTCTACTCATGAAAATTTATGTTAGCCCCCAAATTAATACACTTGGTACTTTTGTAATCATTCTCAGACACGTGCAGAGGGGCATCAAAAAATTCTCATCACCTGACACTCTGTGCTTTGTTTCAGCTCTCATGCTGTAAAGAAGTATCCTATTCACAGTTTTTTTAGTGCCACATTTTCCATATTTTTCTGCTATTTGTTGGTGATTTTGCTATTTTTAAAAATGGTCCCCAACCAGCCAGGCATGGTGGTTCACGCCGGTAATCCCAGCACTTTGGAAGGCTGAGGCGGGCAGATCACCTGAGGTCAGGAGTTTAAAAACCAGCGTGGCCAACATGGTGAAACCCTGTCTCTACTAAAAATATACACACACACACACAAATTAGCCAGGCATGGTGGCACATGCCTGTAGTCTCACCTACTTGGGAGACTGAGACACGAGAATCGCTTGAACCTGGGAGGCAGAGGTTGCAGTGATCCAAGATCGCGCCACTGCACTCCATCCTGGGCGACAGAGTGACACTCCGTCTCAAAAAAAAAAAAAAAAAAAAAGGTCCCCAACCATAGTGCTGAAGCAGTGTCTGGCGTTCCTAAGAACAAGAAGGCTGTGATGGGCCTTGCAAAGAAAATTCGTGTGCTAGATAAGTTTTGTTCAGACTGTGAGTGTGCCGTGTTAATGAATCAACAACATATAGTTAATAAGGTGTCTTTAAATAGAAACACACATAAAACAAGGTTATAATTGATTGGTTGATGAAATGTGACCAGAGGCCCATAGAAACCTAACCCTGTATTTCCCCTAGGAGCAATGCTTCAGTATTTGCTAATTCAATATTCACTGTGATTTTACGGAAACGTAACTGCGCTGAATAATTAAAATCAACTGTATTTACTCAGTAAAAGTCACAATAGGTTATTCTTTGGGGACTCAAAAATAATGGAGCACAGGAGCAGAAAAATGTTTACCCCACACATTTTGTCTTGCTTTAATCAATCCCTTTTCTGGCATATGCTCAGGAGTGTGAATTGAAAGGAACCCTCACTGCATTCTCAGATGGGCAGCTCTGGCCTCCCTCCAGCCATCTGTCCCTGGCCATGACAATATTAGTATGTAGACACAGCTGTGGCTTGGGGGTGAAGGGTGTACTGGCTCCCGCATGGTTACCTGCTAATTTGAGGGTATACAAAGAAAATCTGTAGGATTGTTGTTAGCCTACGGGAAAGTGATATGCATGGAATGAATTCTAATGAAGAATCACCCCTAATCCTACTAGACAATTTTAGGATAATTCATTCTAGGATCTCAGTTTAAGCAACAGCCCACATCTGGGGTTCCCATCTTCCTGTGCTTAGGTGGGAAACTGGAGTGACAGACCTCATGGAAGCTGATTTTCTTGGGCTATAAAGGAGCCTGTGGAGAGAGAACTTGTGGTAATGAAAATGGATGTCAGGCAAAATAATGGACTCTATAGAAAAGTTTAATCATCTGAGTGTAGGGATTCAAAGTGTAGTGTAAGTTTTTTCATCTCTAATTCTTGCCCAGGCTCCTGGATGTATTTTTGGATTCCAGGGAAAGAAAGCAGTGTAAGTGGAAATTTAAAGAGATGCTTAATTAGTCTCTTTTTCACACCAGGGGCCAAGCAGCACACTTTGGATACCCTTTTCCTTCAATAGAGAATAACAGAAAATATCACCACACAGTTATGTGGCCCACCCCTGGGGGTTCCTGGGGCCACAGGGAGGGTTCCTCCTATGGGGGAGTTGGGCATAGCTGTGATAGGATTTCTAGTAGAGCTGTGCAGATGTTGGGCAACTGGGTTTACTATGGAAAGCACCTATCCTTGGGGCAGAAGTGATATTAAAAATAATCTTGACTGGCCGGGCATGGTGGCTCATGCCTGTAATCCCAGCACTTTGGGGGGCCGAGGCAGGCAGATCACAAGGTCAGGAGTTCAAGACCAGCCTGACCAACATGGTGAAACCCTGTATCTACTAAAAATACAAAAATTAGCCGGGTGTGATGGTGCCTGCCTGTAATCTCAAATACTCAGGAGGCTGAGGCAGAAGAATTGCTTGAACCTGGGAGGCAGAGGTTGCAGTGAGCTGAGATCGTACCACTGCACTCCAGCCTGGGTGACAGAGCGAGACTCCATCTCTAATAATAATAATAATAATCATCATCATCATCATCATCATCATCATCATCATCATCATCATCTTGACCAACCAGTGGCATGGGCTTTGACCAATCAGAACTGGCATAATATAGGCATTGGACAATCAAAACACAAAAAAGAGAAACCATAACACTCATCAAAAACAACTGGAACTCAAGTGCAGGTATAAACTGGCTGAATTCAGCTCAGCCTTGGCGACTCTGAAAATGCCTGCAGAGGAGAGCTGGACAGATTGAGGGCCATGGTCAGGGTGATTTTGATAATACGCACATTATCTCAATGCATCTCACAGCAACCCTGCAATTTAGGTATTTCCACATTCTATGCATGAGGTAAATCAGTGTCAGATTAAACTACCCACTTTACATTCCAAGGGGTGTAGTATGTGGTAGATGTAGCATTCAAGTGCAGCCTGCTAATATTATTCCTATACTTCCTCTGAGTCTTCATTTGACGTTGTTTAGGTGAATATCCTATTTGCAGGCTATTCTAGCTTAATTCTAATTTGCTTAACTTAATTTATAAATTAGTGCTATTGGAAAGAAGCAAAACTGTCATCCGAGTGAGTTTCCCTCTACTATCAGCTCTCATTCTAGTGAATAGTGAGGCCCTCAAATGATAAGTATTATGTGACAAAGCAAAGGGTATGAAAGCCGGTTAATAAATATTTGAGATGGATTTATAAAAAATTAACGCAAGCTAGGATTTAAGACCCTCTGGTTTGATGAATTAATTTGGAGCCAAAGCCAAAATCCAGGGAAGCTAGAAGGAAAATCCTCCTTCCAGGCTGACTAATGTGCATCATCAGGCCACAGCCAGGTTGGAATGGGAATCTGCAAGCCTGAGCCTGCAGGGATCCTCTGCATTTCTCTAAGCACAGCCCCCTCCCCCAGCTCCATTCAAAAATAAAATAAAATAAAATAAAAAATAAAATAAAATAAAAAGAATGTGTTAATTTTGATCCCCTGCAACAAAAAGGGGGGAAAAGGAAGGAAGAAACATGAATTTACATCCCCTCACCTAGAGTTTAAGCATATTTCCTTCATCAAACCTGATTTAATTGGGTAACACTGTACTTTCCTAATTGGGAGCTTACACTTAGTGGAATGAATGTCTGTACTGCTGGTATGCATGCCTAGGATAAGGAATTCAGGTGTACACCTACAGAGGACAAAGGACAAAGCAAATACATAACTGCAACATGAACTCTCATTTACAACATTCAGGTTATTGGATTATCATTTGGAGTCTAAATTACAAGCTAATTTTGTCATTTTAACACTGTGATATGAGTGGCTGAGAATTATTTGTTCCTGAAAATGCAAGTATAACACTGTATTCTAAATAAGAACACAAACTAACTCAAGAAATGATTATGTGTGTGAATAATATAAACGGATGCCAAGCATTTTAGAGCAGAATGAATGCTGGATTCCATCTTTTCTCAATGCTCCATTTCACTAAGATTCAGAAAGGGTGGGATGTGAATAAGATTACAAAGCATTTTAAATTCCCAGGGATTTCACTCCTGGTTTAGTGGTCTTTCCATTTAACAGGCTGTAATCTCAAATACTGTTCTTAAGCATAAGACTATTTTAAAATGTGTTTAAAATTAAGTATAATTATATGTGTATACATAATTTGGGAGGACTTACTTTATTTTCTTTAAAGCAGCCCAGATATAATTTTTTAAATTATTTTTCACTTGTATATAAGTTAAAAAAAATTTAAATACTATATTGTTATAGAAAAAATAACTGCTTTACCAAGAGTTAAGTTTGTCAAGAAGATCCACACCCTCTTCTCCCTCTGGGGAAGAGAAAAAATACAAAACAAAACACCTGGTGCAGCAAGATTTCGTGCATGCACTGCCTGAAGCTACGAATAAATTTATTAGATCTCTGGCAACACATTCTTAAAATAAACTTAATAGCCTTCAGGTCTCTGTTCAAACCAGAGCCTAATTCCTTTTGTGGCGCCAGACTTCTCCCCGCACCCCAAAGGAGACTCTGAGCTAAAGGAAAGCAGTGGTTCTCTACACTTCTCCACCTCTTTGAGTAACCGGTTTAGCACCATTTAGTTAATTCTCTGTGAAGTGAGGCTGTTTTCTAATTCCTATTTGTATAACAGTACCATACACAGACACTGTCATCACAATTAACATGGATTACAGTCTGAACTGTATCTTGGATTATCTTTTGAAAATGTGGTATATCCACATTAGGAGACAAAAATATAGAAAGGGAAAATACAAGTGCCTTCATCTGACAGTTAATAAGAAAACATTTTTTTAATCTGACTTGTTTCCATTATTACCAAAACTTAAATCTCATGGCTAGTATGAAGAGATTAGAGTGGGGTGGGAGAAGAAAAGCCATTCTATGAATTAAAATACTGTGAGTGAATCTTAACTCAGAATCCCAGAAAATTAGATTGAAAATTAGAAATAGGAACTTCCTGAAGATAATTTTAGTTTAATTTATTATTATTGTTTTTAAAATCTAAATCAGGAACATGTTCTTAGCTCTATTTGTTTTCAGCGGCAAAATCAAGATTTGAAAGTTTTAAACTCCTAGACTTAAAAAGACATATATAGCATTATACCTGGTTACTTAGATATTGCTCCTGTGAGAAACTAAATGAGATGTGTCATTGATATCTGTCAAAAAGGAAGGAGAGAAGGAGGGAAAGAGAAAGCAGGGTGGGAAGTGACAATGTGGTGGAGACAGACAGAGACAGGGACAAAGAGAGGATGGAGTATTACAGCATCAATGTCATACACTTGTTTTTCACATTTTCTTTTCATTTATTTCAGATTAGTTTTGCGAAGCTAGCTTTGCTGCTTAGCGTGTAGTATTATTTAATTAGTTGAACCCTTTGGTGATTGCTCTGATCCCTTTAGAATTGTGCCAGAGCCACAAAAGCAGCCCTTCTCATTAATTTCACTATCTCAGATTAATATAAAAGCTGTTCATTTTGTATATTTGGCTGCCAAAAGGAAAACACACACACACACACACACACACACACACACAGAGTAAGTACAAAAACAAGTTGGTGTGGTCTTAGAGCTCCAGTCCTTGTTAGAAAAAAAAAAAAGTTAGACAATGTACAGTTTTATTTAATTGATATTTTGGAACGAGGTCCATGAAAAGCACATATGTTAGGAAGTATAAAGTTGGTTTACATATAGTCCTTTCTGTGAAATGTAGACTCTAGTAAGGAGGGTAAACCAAATACTATACATACATTATAATACAAAATCTAAGGTGAAAAGCTAACAGAAATCTCCTGGGGCTCAGAGGAGGGAGGGGAGCACATTGGGTTGGAAAGACCATTAAAGGCTTGGCACAAGGGTCTGTGGATGGAGGATGGGCCCCTCCCAGAGGAAGGAACTGCAAGAAAACCGATTCAGGGAAGGACAAGTGCAGCATGTGTGTGGGCAGCAATAAGAGTCAAGCTCTGTAGGGTTTGTGAAAGGAAAAGGGGAGGAGGAGATAAGCTGGAAAACCAGGCTGCTCACAAAGGAAACTTGGGGCATAGAGAGACATAATTTGCACCACGCTTTAAGAAATATTGATTTGGAGACAGCAGGTGTTGGCAAGGATGTGGAGAAAAGGGAATTGCTGTACACTGTTGATGTGAATGTAAATTGGTACAGCCCTTATGAAAAACAATACAGAAGTTCCTCAAAAAAAAAAAAAAAAGAACTGTCATATGATCCAGCAATCCCACTTCTGAGTATATATTCAAAGAATATTAAATCAGGATATTGAAGGAATATCTGCATTCCCATGTTCACTGTAGCGTTATTTACAATGGCTGAGACATGGAATCAACCTCAGTGCTTATCCATGGATGAAAAAAACAAAAAACAAAACTGTGGTAGAATTGTTGGTGGAAATGTAAAGTGTAGTGCAGCCACTACAGAAAACAGCATGGCTTTGGGAGGCCAAGGCAGGCAGATCACCTAAGGTCATGAGTTCAAGACCAGCCTGGCCAATATGGCAAAATCCCATCTCTACTAAAAAGTACAAAAATCAGTTGGGTGTGGTGGTGGGTGCCTGTAATACCAGCTACTTGGGAGGCTGAGCAGGAGAACCGCTTGAACCCCAGAGGCAGAGGTTGTAGTGAGCTGACATTGTGCCACTGCACTCTAGCCTAGGCAACAGAGTGAGACTTCGTCTCAAAAAAAAAAAAGAAGAAAACAGCATGGCTAAAAACAGAACTACCATATGACCCAGTTATCCCACTGCTAGGTATATACCCAAAAGAAAGGAAATCAGTGTACTGAAGAGATATCTGCACTCCCAAGTCTACTGCAGCAGTATTCACAATAGCCAATATATGGAATCAATTTAAGTATTCATCAATGGATGAATGGATAAAGAAAATGTGTTCTATATACATAGTAGAGTATCATTCAACCATAAAAAAAATGAACTCTTGCCATTTGCAGCAATATGGTTGGTACTGGAAGTCGTTATACTAAGTAAAATAAGCTAGGCACAGAAAAACACAAAACACATGGATCTCACTCATAGGTAAGTCTCACTCCCGTTTTAAAAACCATCGGATCTCGTGAGACCCATTCATTATCACAAGAACAGCAAGGGAAAGACCGGCCCTCATGATTCAGTTACCTCCTACCAGGTCCCTCCCACAACACGTGGGAATTATGGAAGCTACAAGATGAGGTTTGGGTGGGGACACAGAGCCAAACCATATCAGAGGTACTCAAAGAGTCCATTCATTTTGATTAGTAAAAATAAATGACGAATAAATTTCTTGGAGGAGTTTTGGTCCTAAGCAACTATTTAGCCAAAATCCAAATGCATACTACATACAGGTAAAAGTTAGGCCCTACCCCTTTCCTTCTCTCTCTTTCAACTTAGGAAGAAAATGAGGATCAGTGTGACAAAATTTTTCTCCTAGGCCAAGATAAACTATGTTTTGCTGCACTTGGTTAATATAAAATGCAGGTGGCATTTTTGAATATGTGGAGGATTTGAGACAATGATTACTGCAGAGAATTCATACTAATTGCATGCATAAACTTTTTAAAGAGCAGACTTGGAAAGTGAATACATTGACTTTACAATTAATAATAAGGTCTAAACCAGTAGTTCTTGGAGAAGGGGCAATAATTTTGCCCTTTGGGGAATGTTTGGCGATGTCTGGAGATAGTTTTGGCTGTCACAAGTTGGGGAGGGGGTGAAGGGCAAGGCAGGGGGTGTTACTGACATCTAATGGGTAGGGGCCAGGGAGCTACAGATCCCACAAGGCACAGGACAGTCAGACCCTCCCACCCAACACACACACAAAGCATTAGAATTATCTGGCCCCAAATGTCAATAGCACTGGGGTTGAGAAACCGTGGTCTGTACTTGTTATATTGTGATATATCAACATTTATAACCTAACATGAACATATGATCTGACTTTTCTTGGTAATTCATGTTTTCTTATAAATTGAATTGTGAATATATATGATGAAATGATAAAACTGCCTCCTCTTCTTACATAAATATGCAGAACTTTTCAAGTCCATCATTGATGTGGAAAAGTTTCCTGTAGGAAGTGTTTATTCTCTTGTTGCAGAAAGTAGTTGAGCCAGTAATTTTCCTACTGTCAACATTTATGGCTAATCCTTTCGGAAGTTAGAGGTGAGGAAGGATCTTGAGAAATGCACCAAACTGTGTCAAAGTTTGATACTGTATGCATGATTTAGATTTCAGTATGAAATCAAATATGTGGGTGATGATTTCCATGTTAGATGTTTTAAGCAGATTAGGCTTCACCAACCCATGTTAGAGCCGAGAACACAAAATAGAAAGGCTTCCTAAGGTCACTGCAGATAGACAAGACTGGGCACTGAACACAAGTTATCCAGACTCCCATGTCTTTATTGTAGCCCAAAAGAGAAATACTACATGTTCCAATGCACATGTGCTTGTCAGTACACACACATGTACCTGCACACACATGCATGCACAGCCTTACCTTTGTTCTTACAAAGAACAAAAATGCCTTCCTTTCCAAAAACATAGAGCTCACAGCATCCTTTACATGTTTTTCCGTTGAACAATTTGGGAAAGCACTTCCCAAAATAATTTTTTTGAATCTTATTTTTCCTGGTAGTTAATAGGTATTACATTTTAAAAAAAATCACTCTATGTTAACTAAGGGAAAAATAAGCTGTATTAAGCTATGTAAACAACATTCTTACCTGCAGTAATTCCTAGGGTCTTTAATATGTGAATATGCACTGAGGAAGTCTAAGGAAGGGATTGGAGCACACAGCATTTCTCAATCTCATTTCAGCAGGGAACCTGTGTCTTAAGGCATCATGTTAAGACTCTGATCTACAGCGCATAATTTGGGACAAGTTGCCTTTGAGTACAAACCATCCAAAACACAGATATGAGCAGAGAGCCTGTGCAGTATCAATCACATGCAGGTCACATAATTTTCGTTTGTCATATTTGACACTAATAGTTAGAACTGCACATCATAATCTTGAGGAACAAATCCAAATACAATTTAAAAACTTCTTCCCTACCAGCAATACAAATTCTGGTTCATGTCATTTCCATTTCCTAATCCAAATGGCAAAATAAATATGTTAGTTTGTAGAATGCCAAGAAAAATATAAGTTCAGGTAAACACAACTGACTACTGGTATATTCGTTCCACAGACAGACCACATTTACTGTTGGAACACACGCTTTGCTTTTTTTGCAACTTAACTATATAATGCCCCAGCCCTTTTTTTTAATTAGTCAAATGCGGGATCAGATCTCAGAAGAGACAAAGGTTAGGATTTTGGCCAGTTCCAAAAAACACAGCTAAAATCACCAACAATGTACAACGAGCTATGTCGGCCTCCTGTTTTCAGTTGGATCTTAGTCCCTGTGGATATTTGAACCTTACGATCTGCCCAGCTCTGATAAGGGATTTAAAGGCTTACTAAGAAGAATGCTTCTGAAGCTATTAAAACTACCAGTATGGGAAGCATGGACTAAGCTGGGTTTTGGAAAAAGGATAATGCTGCAACATAAACTTTAAGGCTGATAAACAGATACAAATTCTGAAAGCACATTGTTTCCTAGTCTGCACTTTTTCCTCACCCTGATCAGTAACTGTTTCCCATGAGAATATCAATAAATACAACAGTTCTGTACTCATCAATTTTAGAAGGAAGCTGATAGACAATTCTGAGTCATTGATTTGCATCTCAACTGATTATGGTAATAATATTAATAAGTTGTATTGGAAAATACCTTTATTGACTGGAGAACCAAATGAGTTAGAAAATGAAAAGTAACTAAACTTACTTCAATGTTATTTATATAGACAAGGAAAAAAACACATAAATGTGTGTGTGTGTGTGTGTGTGTGTATTTGTGTATATATATTATACATATACACACTCACCAGGCACTCTGGAGATTTAGGGCAACAGATGAATACACACACACACACACACACACACACACACACATATTATATCAGCTTTATGCCCTCAAGAAACTCAAATTGAAAATTTTTATGAGAAGAGAAAATGCACACACAGAGTAAATCAGACCATGAGTACCCTTCAAAGAATAATAGGATAACTATCCTTTGGGAATACAGAAAATTCTCAGAATGCATTCTTAAGAGAGGAAAATCTCATAACTATCTTTTAATACCTTAATGATAACAAAGTGAGTGAGACTGTGGGGAAGATCTATATTTCTTCTGTTTCTTACTCTCTCGCCTCCCTTTTCTCAATATGGTGGGCAAGGTAGGTAGGGATTGGGACTCAAACAAGGAAATACCTGATAGAATGTACAGATGCTGTACTAAATGTATCAGAACAAGGGAAACTGGGCTGACCTGCCCAGGCTTGTGAGCAAGGTCTGCACTAGAATATCTGGATGGCTTTGGAAGCTCCAACCTGGCCGGTGTTTGGAACTCTGCACTGGTTTCTACCAAGGACCCAGGAAATGCTGCCAAATCGCCAAAGGTTGTCTCTGTGCACCTTCTGTCTTGGTAAAATCTTCTTCCACACCTTCATTTGTTCTCTGGAAGAAGTTAAATCTTCTTTTGGTCATTTAAAGCCCTCACTCCCTTCATGGCAGCCACTCAACTCAGCAATTTTACTTCTTCCCTCCTGACTTAAATGATAAATCCCTTTACTTGAATGCCATTGGTCAGGTATAGAGCGGCTTTTTATTAGTTATTCAGCCTAAAAAATGCATAAGCTTATCTTTTCAAGGTTTCCTATAAATGAGGCTCTTTGAGACTAAAAAATATTCTTCTAGTAGAAGAGAAAATTTTAATCATGGGTACTTCAAAAATCTTTGCCTACTTTAGACCATTCCTCTTAGGTAACTTACCCTGCACTCAATTCTCTGCCTCCCACCCACTGGCTCTGTCACTTCTAGGGAGAGAGATTCAGCTTAGAAAAGTGCTTTGGATATTGTGAGTAGGAATGTGGCCATTTTTATGTGTTATGGCAAAATCTTGAGCGAACCTTACTGCACTTTACACTCAACACACCTAGACATCATTACAAATCTTTCACTGGGAAAGGCCATAAGACATATGAATAGTAGCCTCATTGTGTACAGGTTTTCCCTACTTATCTGTTTTGCAAGCCTTATCAAAAGGTAAAATAGGATTGAGATGTTGTTATGCAGAAAAAGAGTTCACAGTTATCGAGCCTATGTTTAGAGTTCCTACTTAGCATAAGTGGTCTAAAGACCAATTTAGGACAGATGAACAGAGATGAATACAACTATAAGAGTTCCATAAAAATATGCACTTGCAAATCTAAAAATGAGTATTTCCACTGTGTTCCCTGAGGCAGGATTCCCTAATTTATATAATACAGAAATCATAAAAGTAAGAAATGGGATCAAATCCCTCAAATAGAGAAATTACATGAACTAGAAAGGGTACGATACTGGAATGTGAATTTAGCACAGGGAACAAAACAGAGGCCTGGCTGTGAGGAGCTGGGGAAGAAAGAAGGAGAGATGAGAAAGTCAAATACACACAGGGAGAAAATTCCTAACCTTGTCCCCGATAGGCAGAATAGTGATAATTACCCAGCATTGACTCTGAGATTTCTGGTTTCAATCGGATTGAAAATCAGAAAGCAGAAGCGAGATTAAAACCAGAAAGCTCACAGAATCAGTGAGCTTGAGATGCTGGAGACAAACAACAACAACAAACAAACAATAAAAGCCAACTGTTTTCTATGGAAAATCTATGGTGATCCCTGAAAATAGCGGATTAGGGTGCCAACCTAGACTCCTTAGGTCAACAGAGGGGGAGAAAGGAGGACATTTTAATAGAAAAGACAAAACCATATAGGAAAAACTGAAATAAACCTGATGTTTTTAGGGAAGTGATTAAATAGCAGCTCTTTATCTTTATTAGCAATTATACCACAATGAAAAATAAAGAGGTATACGATGAGATGTTATTGAATATGCCCATAGCTTTTCTTAAGTATGGGATAGAAGTTCAAGTAAAGTTTATTTAAACAAAATGTGTCTCAGGATTGGTTTTACAGCCTAGCTTGGAACTTCTTTAGGAAGACATTTCACAAAATATAAACAGCATGCTCAGCAAAGCTTTTCTTTTTAATATATTTATACTATTAAAAACATACTTCAAAATAATTTTAAAATAATTGAATCAGATTAGAATCTGGTTAATTTGTAAATATCCTCAATTTATTTCAGATTCTATTCTATATACTACTTATGTGTTCCTTACAGTCATATTTTCCATTTAGACATTACCTTAATGTTAGGATTATTGGATCATTCTTCCTAATTAATATTTTAATGGCAATGAATTCATTTGCTTTAGAGAAAACAAGGGCCAGAATATATACTGTTTGACTTCTAGTGCAAAACAGGTGATTCAGTGAGCTTCTATGTCATGTTAGTTTATAAACCACATAAATAATGGATTCAATTATTTGTTATTGCATCATGACCTCTGTGAGTGAAATTACTGTAGAAAAATCTGCCTAATTGCCTGGGTAGGAAAGTGGTACTACTTTTTCATTAAAGTGTTGGCTGTTTACTGTAAAATAATTGGAGCTGGCTGGGCGTAGTGGCTTACGCCTGTAATCCCAGCACTTTGGGAGGCCAAGGCAGGTGGATCACCTGAGGTCAGGAGTTCAAGACCAGCCTGGCCAACATGGTGAAACCCTGCCTCTACTAAAAATACAAAACTTAGCCAGGCGTGGTGGTGGGCACCTGTAATCCCAGCTACTCGGGAGGCTGAGGCAGGAGAATTGCTTGAACACGGGAGGTGGAGGTTGCAGTGAGCCGAGATCACGCCACTGCGCTCCAGCCTGGGTTGACAAGACCAAAACTCCATCTCAAAATAATAATAATAATAATAAAATAATTGGAGCCTTTAAAGTTAAGTAACAAGTTGGAGTCATTAAAAGAAAAGCTAAGATTTGCAATCAGCCTGGTCAACATAGTGAGACACCATCTCTACAAAAAAATTAACTGGGTGCAATGATGTACACCAGTACTCCCAGCTACTAGGGAGGCTGAGGCAGGAGGATCACTTGAGCTCAGGAGTTGGAGGCTGCTGAGAACTATGAGCCCACCAATGCACACCAGCCTGGGGGGAAGAACAAGACCCTGTCTCAAAAAAAAAAAAAAAAAAAAAAAAAGGATTTACCTCAAATCTGTAGAGTAATAACAACAGAGTATTTTAGATGCTTTTCTCCTGACTTAACAAATGTTAGTTGTTTATCTTCTTAGCTGACACTTTTTAAATTCAAAAATATCTTTGTGTTTATTCATTTTATCTTTTTTCCACCTCTCTCCATTCATTTCCATGAGAATTCGGGGGATTTATTTTTATTTATTTTGTTTCAAAAGTAGTTTACTGATTCTCATCATATTTACCTGTAATTATTTCTATAAAACATATATACCTTTGTATGTACTTACATATATATAATGTATACATAGTCATTTCATTAATCCATTTGCCCTACAAATCACTGAGAGTAGATATTATAGGCTTGGCACTATGCTGACGCTAGGGACGTAGATACAGAAGGCAAGCTCACAATATAGTGGGAGAAATGACAAAGAAAGAGAGCTTTATTGTTCTATTCAGTAAGGATTAAGCTAGTGGAGAAAAGGTTGCTATAGTGGTTTAGGGGTGGGGCACACAGGCTTGATGACTCCAGAGCACAATTATCAACAGCTATTATTACACTGCTCTGTAATCAAGTGATGCCTCTGGGCTTATTGAGAAGTACAAGACTTTCTGTACTTGCGCTAAATAGCCTCCCTCATACCATTTGAGATTCTGGGCTTGCTTTAAAATAGATTTTTTTCTTTCTTCCATTACTGTGAAATGTTAGCTGTCACGTCAGTTGCTAGTGATCCCTCTTTTGGGAAACTCTCTATTCCCATCCTAATATTAATTTTGAAATCTGCTGGGGGCCTGAAATAATGAGACAAACTAAATTCCATAGGCTCAGAGTGAGGCAAATATAAGAAATCTTGCCACATACTATACATATATATATGTATGTATATATATATTAAAATATCTCTCTATATAGCTATATATATTTTAAAATAGCATAATGGTAAGGAATGTACTATACAGAATGAGAAAAACCTGGGTAGAAAACTTACTCAAATATGCCAAGCATAAAGTTGACTTGAGCATCCCTGAGTTGTATATCTCAAGTGTATATTTGGATGCCAGGAGACCCTCACATTGGGGCTTGCCTGTCAGCAAGGTGGATGAGCTGGAGCATGGATTTAGTTAAATCAGTTTGTCCATCAGGAGCTTGTTTTTCTTACATGCTCATTCTTACCAGTGATCCATATAGAAAAGTTTGCCAGGTACATTGAGTTTTAGACCCATAAAGTGCTAACAGTATTATTGTCCTAGTTCAATGCCTAAACTATTCCAGAAATTCTGGTTCAGACTTCGCTATTGAGCCATTCCAAGCAACAATGGGATTGCTCAATTTGATGATTATTTAATGATTGCAATAATTCAAACATGTTGTTGGTTCAGTAGAATATAGGGAACCAAGTTAATTCCTAATTTAAGTCTCAAAATTCATTGAGAGAACTATTGTAGTGTACTGAAGACAAGGTTTGAGGCTCATGATTAGAAAAGTACACAAAGATGACCATTGATAATTCTACCTCACTGGGAAGCCCCACAAAAAATTACAGTCCAGTAAACGATAAAATGGCATAATTCCTCAAGAACAAAGAAAACAGGAAACAGGGCAAATGCAATGTAACATTTGAAATCTGGAAAGTAAATGGACAAGTGTAAAAGGCTAAGAGTATCAGAGACCGTCATATTTGAAATCATCATTGGGAAAAACCCAGCTACAACCTGATTTGTACCTAAGGACCATGGAAGACCCAAAAATCGATACTGCCAGGGAGCTCCTCACAGCTAGCTGTTATTTGCCCCCTGTGCCAAATTCACATTTCCATATGTTTTCTAGTCCATATAATTTCTCTATATGAGGAATCTGATCTCATTCTCACTTTCATAATCCTTGGACCATATAAATTAGGGAATTCTGCCTCACAAAATACAGCAGCAATATTCATTATTAGATATTGCAAGTGCATATTTTTATACAACCCTTGTAGTTGCATACATCTCTATTCATCTATTCTAAATTGTTCTTTAAACTATTTTTGATAAATAGGACTTGTAAAGACAGGCTCAATACCTGTTAGAGATACTTAAAACTTGGACAGTTCAAGAGCAGTGTAAGGAAGAAATGTTGACAGATGGGCAAATGACCGTCTAATTATTATTGTAATTTAGATGCTACTTTGCCTTATTTTAGTTCAATAACTCAAAACACATGTTCCGTTGTTTACTCATAGTGTATTTCCAGCCTCTGCTCAACATGTATTTTTTTCATTGTCAATATTTATCAGATGAACAACAAAAAAGTACATAGAAAAGCCTCAGTGTCTTTTTCTCCAGACAAGCATATTACACTTAAGCCATAGATTTACACACTTAGACTTTGGAAAGTTTTCCACAGGTGTATTGAATAAATGATTCCCACTTTCACACCCTCATAAAAATGCATGCCTAGAGCCACAGATACATAACGATTACTTTCTATGACTGATGAGCACAGCTGCTTCAACTCAAGTAAGGGAATGAAAACAACACTTTCAAAAGGGTAAGAGTTCGGGAGCCCATTAACTAAAGTGCTATTAAAGTTATAACTATCTGCAATTTGTGATGTGTCCAAAAAAAGCTAAAACTAAGTGTCTCTACCACCTTAATTCGCTCCTAACAATGACTTGCTTGAGTCAACAGCAGTCTGCACCCTGAATTGAGGGCTGATCTCAATTGTCCCTGTTCATGGATTTTTCAGAAAAATTTATTGAGCACCCATTTTGTGGTCATTCAGTGACTCATATTAGCATACATATGAAGGTCTTCATTAGGGAGAAATTCTGGTGGTTTGTGACTTGCTGGATATACTGATTTCTTCCATATTTGAAAATATGTTAAGAGAGCACTGGGTACTCCTGGCACCTACTCAACTTCATATTTCTGAATGTCTAACACTGGTTCCCTGACTGACCCCTTCTAGTGCTGAACCAGGCATGCATGAACCACACTTGCCTCTTGTGGTCATATTGGCCTAAGAGGCAGTGTGTTTTAGTGGAAGAAACACGTGTTTTGCAGGGTTTGAATTCCAACTCTGCCAATTACTCTGTCTGATGTGAGATATTTATTCTTTGTGCCTTAGTTTCCTACATTGTAACATGGTGATAAATACCTTATAGGGTAAGGATTTAAAATCAATGAGTATAAAGCAAAAGAACACATACTCTAATATTACTATGGACGTTTGTGTGTGGGTCTGTGATCTGCACAAACACAGAGAGTTGCATTGTTGAATAGTCAAACTTATTCTTTGCTTTCAAGAAAAAACTATCTTCCTCATCATTATATGTGAAGAAAAGGAGTCAAGAGTAGTGAGCAAGTCCTGATTCTTATCTTCTTCTAACAGTAACCACTAATAAAAGGGCAAGCTTCCAAATCAATGTTATGAATAAAAGTTTCCTACAACCTTAATATACAAGAACACAATTACTTTTTAAAGTGATAACATACACTGTGTTTCTATTTGCAATTAAAATTTTAATTATGATCAACATTAATTGATGCCCACAGGGCCAATAGCACTGTAGTAAATTTTTCGTCATGACAGGTGCTATAATGAAATCAGAGAACAGAATACAGAATGATTTATTTCTTTTCTTATGAGGAATAATGATTGCAAATAATTTCCTTTGTCTCTTTTGTTCTTCCAATGGAGAATATAAGAGAGAGAGCAACATGATCATTAAATTCATCTACTAGCTCCAATTAATCATCTCAACAATTGATGTACGTTAAACTTCATTTCAGAAGCTAGACCTCCTAATAGTGTACACATTGCTAAAGAACTGTTTGAAGATGTGCATGTTCAAAAATCTCAGTTTACTATCACTTTCTTATTTTTTCCCTCATTACAAGTCTTTAATGTTTATAAACTGAAGTAACATATCTCTCGAACATGAAAATACAGTATAAAATGAAATGTTTTATTAAATAACTTTTTCTCCACAGCCTAAGTATTTGAGCAAACTTATTCTACCACTTACATTACAATTACTTGTTTATTTAATATAAAAACATATTGAGAATATCCTAAAATAGATTATGATGATTCATAACTCAAAGTTTCTTTAGAACTTATAAAACACATGAAAAGTTCTTGTAAAATATGAAATTTTTGGCTTTGAATGGTTATACAATTTCAAATGGTTGTATTTATTGTAAAGAAACTTAAATGCAAGCCACTCTAAACTGAAGGATAATTATTTTGCTAGCATCAGTAGGCAGTGCTGTTCTCTGAAGGCTCTCATGCCTTAGCTATGTATGTAAATGTGAGGTTTTGATATCAGTATCACATGTGCTAAGTTAATGAAAAAAGCAACTTTAAATTATGCCATGTGTTCCAACTACTTTATCATTATCAGTAAAACAAATTCCAATCATGCACTATATAACCAAACAATACTGGAAAGGAATCCCTGCTCTTAGAACCACCGTGTAGAATCTCTCTGGGAAGTAGATGACTAGTTTTAAGGCTCTCCGTCCTGGGTGATGTGAGGGTGCCGCAGGTGTATGTAGTGACCACGAAAGAGCCAGTGAAAAAGGAAGAGTTGAGAGGAGACTTCCTGGAAAATTTGGGAGTTTGGTTGAGTCTTAGAGAGAAGGATGATCAGGGTGAGCTCATACTTTCTAGGAAGAACAGTATGGACAAAGGAAGCCAACCATAGGTGTAATGATTTGGTTTCATGAAGAGCCATGTTGGAATGGGGCAGGAACATGCTGAGAATGCTATGCTGAACTGTTGCTATATTTTTCTCCTTCCCATAAAAGTCAAAAGAGGATTCTACATAATCACTCCTGGTTCCTTTACACTTTATTGGTATGCCAGTAGGTCTCCCTGTCCCATTAAAATTGTGTTTATCAAGGCCACCAAACAAATGTAAGTTATTAAATCCATGGAGCAGTTTCAGGCGCTTGTCTTCCTTTATCTTTTTCCAATATTTTCCTGTTTTTAAAATTACATTCAATCATTTTAAAACTTTCTTAACAAAATAGTGATGATGATGATGATTATGACAATGATTGCTACTACTACTCTACCATTTCTGTTTCTACTGATACTCCCTCCACCAACAGCAATTATTGTGTACTTACTGTGGACTGGACATTGCCAAGCATTCTGTATATATGATACTACTTACTCCCCACATGAATATTCTGAGATAGATACTGTTATCATGCCTATTTTGAAATCAGGAAACTAGGCATTAGGAAAGTTAGTTACCTTGCCGAGTGCAATACAGCTAGTATTTCTAGAATCAAAGTTAAAAATCTCATCTGTTTCACCCCAGAATCTATTATCTTAACAGTGTGACACTACACTTTTGGTTTTATTCTGGGCTTTCTGAATGTCTCATTTCCATTTCCTTCATGGGCTTCTCTTTCTCAAGGAATCCCTTTGTTATTGTTGGCCTCCAGAGCTCTGTGCTCAGAGATAGGCTGGTCTCATACTCTGCATCTGACTGAACTTATCCAATCTCATGCCCCTGCACCCTCTGGTTCATAGATCACTCTAAAATCTGTAGACTCATCCAGACCATTTTTCTCATCTCTAAACCAAGATCATCCCCTTTCCTTTTTTTTCTATCTCTCTTTTTTTTTTTTTTTTTTTTTTTTTTGAGATGGAGTCTCACTCTGTTGCCCAGGCTGGAGTGCAGTGGCATGATCTCAGCTCACTGCAACCTCCACCTGCCAGGTTCATGCGATTCTCCTGCCTCAGCCTCCCAAGTAGCTGGGACCACAGGCATGTGCCACCACGCCTGGCTAATTTTGTATTTTTCAGTAGAGGTGGGGTTTCACCATGTTGCCCAGGATGCTTTTGAACTCCTGACCTCAGGTGATCCACCCACTTTGGCCTCCCAAAGTACTGAGATTACAGGTGTGAGCCACTGCTCCCAGCCCAATTATCCCGTTTCCATTGCACATGTCTGTCTAGATGTCTCGCCAGCACCTGAAATTTTCATATGTCCAAAGCTGATCTCCTCATTATTTTTTCCTGCAAAGCTGTTTCTCCTTTTGTGTTCCATATTGTAGAAAACAGTGTTTTCTTCCTTTCAGCTACCAGAGCAGAACATGAGGAGTCAAACCTGCTTCTGTGATTCAGTCACTCCCATACCTAATCAGCAACAAAGTCCTCAGCATCTCTGGAATTCACACCCTCTTTTCTTTGCCACAACAGCATCCTTATCTTTCTTCAATGGCTTTCTACCTGGTGTATCTGCCTCCCATTTCATATTCTTCTCTTCACCCCCATCCAATCTCCAATTAGCTCCCCAGTGATCTTCCTAAAATGCCAGCTTACATCATACCATTTCCATTTGAAAACCCTTAACTAACTCCATATTGACTTGAGGATAAAGTCTAAAACCTTAGAACAACACACCAAAACCTCATGACTTATTTCCTTACATTCCCAGTCTCATTCCCCTTGGGTGTCTCCACACCAACCCTTCACTTACATCACACCAGACTGTGTATTAGTCCAGATACATGATGCAGTCTCTCAGGGTTCCATTCAACTCTAATAAGTATTTAATGAAGGTCTCATCTATCACATACTGAGCACTGATCTAGGCTGTTTCCTTCACTGCTGTATCCTATTTTCTTGTAACATTCTTAACAGTCACTTAGTTTTAATTTACTATTAGTTTCAGCTGACAAGTAATACTTTAGAACTGGTATGTACCTCACAGATCAAAACAAAGTTTTCCAGTAGTTTTATGGATGGTGGATAATCTCTAGCAAACATTCGCTTTGCCATAGATTTTAGAGAGAAATATGCTAACATTGTTTTGTTCTTTCCTTTGGATGTCTCAGATGCTATTTTTAATTAAAAGAATCTAAATAATAAAAACATGTGCACTCCATCCATCTAGCATTAAAATGACAAAAGCTTAGAGACCTTCTTCGGTTCCTGATGGTTCAAAAGCTAAATCCATTAATTGATTTATTCAATTCAACAAACCTTGAAAATTTGCCACATTCAAGGGTCTGTATTAGGGGTGGCAGATGCAAAAATGAAGGTGACATAGTCCCCAAAGGGAAGACAGGACAGAACACACTACTGAAATCCCCACACATGATACACTCACAGGATTCTGGTGGGTAGGGGAGCACGAAGTGGCTTCATATTAGTCAGTAATGGTTCCCATGATGAGAATGTGCTCAATCCAAGTCTCCAAACATGGAGAAATTCGTTTAAGTAGGGAAAGGGGGTAGGAACATTTGAGCCAGGGAGACTGCCAAATGCAAGGCCACTCAAAGTGAGCTTTAAAGAAGAAAACAGAAAGAAAAAAAAAGAAAGCAGAAAAAAAAAACAAACGGTTTGCATTTGAGTTATGTATCTGTGCATCTTTCACTAAAAGTTAACACTGTCTGCTGGGTAATTTAAATTTCCACCAAAGGGAAATGTTTACTTTTTAGCATCAATATAAATTTCTTTACATGATGATTTTCAGTATTTATTTAAACTAGGACTACCCATTAATTTTTTCTTTATTTTTCTAATAGATGAGGTTTAACCATGAACTGTGGGTCTCCTTCTTCCATAATCCTCATGTTCAAAACAGTCTTACTATATAAGATCTTGCTGCATACCTGACAGTGGATAGAAAGAAAATGCCATATTAAATAAACATTTGTGTGTAAAAATAGAAACATTTTGTTGTAAACCGTCAAAAAGGTTTCACATGTTAAAATAACATAAAATCTTATAATGAAATATAAGTACTTTTTTTCTAGCTTTTTAAAAACAATACCTGTTCCATGGTTACAGAGAGGTTTTGATGATCTATCAGTTAATAAAATCATGGCACTTTTAAACAAGTTCCCTTCATACGTAAGCCTCTCAGCCACAATTACCAGTCATTTGTTTTTAGGTCCATTTGTTTCCTTTTGAAACAATTTTGTAGCTCCCTAAGGCCAGAAAACACATGCCAGTTAGAACCACTTGCTAAAAATCATTCTTACAAATAGGTTACTTTCTAGTTAAAAATTATCTTTCAAGGTTTGAGATACCTTGTATCATTAAGTGAGCCTCTGAGGCAAAGAAAAGCTGGGCTGAATAAACAGCGCAATCTAGTCTAGTACTGTGCTACTAGGTCTAGGGGCGGTTAGGATACACTGAAGCCCTTTCGCACAGCCTAAGGGATCTCAGTTCTGCACAAGGCCTCCCTCCTGGAAGATTATGCTCCTCCTTCTGCCACTGAAGGCTCTTCCTTTTCCTAAAGACATGGGGATGTCAGATTTTACACGAACAGCACCTCTGTGACTGTGAGGAGTCATTTGAACTAACTCCTGCTTATTCCCACATTAATTGCCTGGAAATACTGGTGGCGATGGCTCCTCAGATAGGGAGGCAGAGGAAACAGTCATTATTATTATCTAATCTTGCAGGTACTCCTGACTCCTCCCATGCTCACTGCCTGGAGCAGATTTCAGACAACAGAACCTCAGCTGCTAGGCCTACTTGAAAAGCCACTCTGTTTTAGGAGTAACAAAAACATTTTTGGACTCCTCATTATTGTATGCTAAGCTTTTCAGCAAAAACCATTTACGTTTTTTTAAGTAGTTCCTGAGTATGCATTTTTTTTAAGCGCTTGCTATAATTTCCTGCTGTGATGATAAAAAGTAATTCAAGTAATTACTATTTCAATAAATGATTTTTTTACTAAGAATAAAAATTGAAACTGAAATGACAAAGCAGTAGTTATCCTTTTCACAGATATAATCAGAGAGAACCATAAAAGAGAGCAGATAATTCCTTTCTTTAATGAACTTCACTTTCAAATATAGACATTACCGGCTGTGCATGTTTCTGTCATAGGCTTCTATGTATCTAAACTCAATCACATAATTTCTAACCTAAAGGGTACATTTATAATTTGCAATATGAGGATTGCTATAAACGGGATGATTTTAATATTTTCTATATAAGGGTGAAATTCAATTTCTAATCATTAAATATAGCATGATGATAAAATTCTTCATAAAAGGGACAGTGTCGTGAGGCTGAGGTTTCTTCATATAAATCAACAAAAATGACATATCACCCCAGATCGAATGCAGAATCAGATATCAGAATCCAGCTGTCCTCTATTAAGCCAAACATTAAAGAGATTTCTAAAAATGTATAGCACTGGCTGGGCGCAGTGGCTCACGCCTGTAATCCCAGCACTTTGGGAGGCCAAGGCGGGTGGATCACAAGGTCAGAAGTTTGAGACCAGCCTGGCCAATATGGTGAAACCCCATCTCGACTAAAAATATAAAAAGTTAGCCAGGCGTGGTGGTGCAGGCCTGTAGTCCCAGCTACATGGGAGGTTGAGGCAGGAGAATCGGTTAAACCTGGGAGGTAGAGGTTGCAGTGAGCTGAGATCGTGCCACTGCACTCCAGCCTGTGCAACAGAGTGAGACTGTGTTTCAGAAAAAAAAAAAAAAAAAAAAAAAAGTATAGCACTGCAATTCTTCTCACTAATATTTTCATTTAGGAACATATAGTTACTGCTAATTAAAATGTTATTTAATATGTCATAGGATTGCTGTTATTATATTCAAATGAATCAATGAATGAATGCTTTAAATTTCTTCAGTTTAGATTATGGTATATATCAGCAGATATTTCCCAAATGGAATCTCTTTGAGGTCCTCAACAATTTTTTTAAAAATAGAAAGAGGTTCTAGGTCCAAAAGTCTGAGAACTGCTGCTGTACAATATGTACAAGTAATAATTTATCACAAAAGGGTGCAGGGTTAAGGAAAAAGTCTTTTAACTAGTTATATATAAAGTATTTCATAGCTGAAAAAGAAAGAAATACGTTTCTTCTTAAAGACTCCTCTGGGTCTTTTCTTTTCTCATATTGTCCTATGCCTCCAGCCAGGCTCAAAATGTATGTGGAACATGTAAATCTTAGTAAACATGTGATTTTTGCGGGGGAGGAATGAGATAGGGTAACACATGTTATTTTGTTATGTTTCTTTGCTTTTTTGTTTTTTCCTGTTTCTTTTCTTTCTTTTTTTTTTGTGTGTGTGCAAATCAAAGCCTCTTTAAGACTGGTTCATTTTACCAGGTTTGTCCACTTGACTTTTTTTCTTAAATAAGAATACAGTTAATCATAAGGTGATCTAGTTTATAATGTAAACAATTGCTTTCCTTTCATTAACTTATACCACCTATTTATTTGGGCTTTCTAAATATTTGTTTAAGTGAACTATTTTTTTCTGGCTTATGCCAGAAGATTTATTTTTATCACTAATAGGGCATTAAAGACAGTTCTATCTAAGATATTTTGTCAAATGCAGGCAGCTTATATTTCCATAAAATAAATATCAGCAGTATTTAGCTCAATAGTTTTTGAATAATTGTTTAAAACAGTAAGACAGGTTGGATGTGGAGGCTCATGACTATAATCCTAGCACTTTGGGAGGCCAAGGCAAGAGGATTGTTTGAGGCCAGGGGCTCAAGACCAGCCTGGGCAATAGAGCAAGACCCTGTCTCAAAATAAAATAAAATAACATAAAATAAACAGTAAGACAAAGGAAAGGAATTTGATCTGCTTGCTGTAAATATATATAAAGTTTCTTGACAACCTTTTTTTAATTGCAAAAACCAAGATCCTCTAGTGTATGTTTTTTCCTAAAACATTCCATTAGTGGTTACTGAGATCTGGTGGGTAAGTTGCAACCAACATTTTAGCCAAAGGAATACAATAGAAAATATCAGTTTATGGTGGATAGTAAGGGGAGGTATCATCTCAGGAAACACTGTGCTCTTTTCATTGCTATTCAATTCTACTTCTATGCACTTGAGCTTTTCTATGATCCCTCACTTCTTTGCCTTCATTGAATCTTACCATCATTAGAAAAAAAAAAAAACCACTGGCTCCGAAGTCAACAGAGGCTCCTCTGTTCCTACTATCTACTTCCCACAAGATGAGGAGTAGGGGCTTGTCTATTTCTTTATTTCTTACTCCTCAGTGCCTCTTAGAAACTGATAGTTTCATTGCCACCTCTTCAAAAACCTTCACCTCTCTAGATGCCACAGTTTAGTATAGATCTGCAAAATATCCTTCCTCTTTACTTGATGTCTCTAGCAGATGGTTTACAGTTTTCCTCTCACTATCATCTGCTACCATCCCTTAAGTAACTAAAAAACAACAAACCTCCATGATAAAGCCTCCTTCACATTATCCATGTCAAAGATTCTCTTCTGGTATCATTTCCACCCCTATCAGTTCTTTCACCACTGTCAGTTACTGAAACAATATCCCAATAATACAGTAAAATTTCTCACTATTTACCAAGCCAGTGAGACCATGGCCTCCAGGCTCCTAAGCTCTGCAAGAGGTTCTCAGAACCATATAAAATAGTGTTCTCTACAGATTCTCTATGTAGTCAACACAGAATCTTCACTGGGATTTGGCAATTCTTTTACTAATTTCTTCTTAATTCCCCTTACTATTCTTGTTTGAATGATTTCTTTGAGAACTTCATCTTCATCAGTTTCTCCTGTGTGCTTCAGTGATGTTCAGAAGGACTGCACAGCTCGGGGCACCACATGTAAGCAGTGGAATTTCAACCCAGTTGTGTCTGATTTGTCAGTTCCCCCGGCTTTCCACACCACTTTTTCATAGGGGCTACATCTTGCTGATTTTGAATCACATATGGAGCTAGTAAAACCTACACAGAACAAGAGTTCAACAGACACTTGAATTGGCATTTAGTATGCTTTGAAAATAATGGCTGTCATAACTAAAGTAGTTTATTAAGTAAAAATAAATCACAAAATGTAATGAATACATAGCCATGATATTTTACTATTAAGCAGCAATTTCTGTTCAATTAGCAACACCCATAGACTAGTGAAGTCCAATCAGGAATTTGGCAAACTCTGACATGAAACCTGAATTGACACGTTCTGATTTATATGCAGCCCTAGCATTAAAAATCCAGGAGTGAATAATATTTAAGATTTCAACTTGAAAAGACTACTAAGATATGACATTTTGTCAGACGTAGTTGTATTATTTTAAGAGTATTTTAATGAAGCTTAGACATTATGCATCTTTACTATTAACATTCTTCCAAATGTAAAGAGACAATGCTCACTCCTATATTTCATATTTCTCTTGCAAGTTACCAATTTAACTGAACACAAAGTAACTGGTGGTATGGATATTCATTTCCAAGCTCTATGTGACACATCTCAAGATGAAAATTCAGAATCATCTTTTTTATACCAGGTATCAAATGCTGTTCATTCATGGGATTTCTTTTCACTAGCGGATTTTCTTCTAATGTGGTTATTTGCTTGGTTTCTGTTGTACACTGATGATAACTATTTTACAAACATGAACAGCAGCAGCTTGACCGAGGCCATTTAACATAAATCATTCTACTTGGGGCAAATGTTTGTTTTGTAGCTGGTGCCTACAAAACAAATTCCAGGAGCACAGGCCTGCCTGTCTGTTCATTTCCAAGTTATTTCTCAGTTGTTTCAAGTTGCCAAGTGCAGCATCTTGAACGCAATACTAATAATGATCTGTGATTAGTGAAGAGTTTTACTTTTGTGAAAATCCATAATCCGTAGATTGACCAGTCTTTTTTACTTTTCTAGAGCTGTCCCAGTTGATGTTGGTTGTTTTCATGTCCGGCGTGGTTACTGTCCTGCTTTCTCTCTCAAAAGTATTCTAGTTAGATAATAAAGTATATTGTTACCTAATTTCTTCAGATAATAAAACAAAAGGCCCATTTATCAAGCTAATGCATTCAACAGAAAACTTGCTTCTTGGCCAATATTCACTGGTATCTTATAACTCAAGGAATCCCCAAATAACATCTCTATGCTGTTTTAAAAGCCAATTTATCTAAGAATAACCTTTATTCATTTACTTTGTATGTTTTTGTCATTTTAATTTTCTTGATTGAAAAATAAAGTAGTTTCTAAATAAAATAAAATCAGTTAATCGGATATTTTATATCTATTTCCTCACAGGCTACATTTTCTAGAAGTTCACATAGACTTTGCAATGTCTGAAGTGTTTTCTTGCCACGGCTATGGGAGCATGTTCAGGTACAAAATTTGGAATGGAGCACTGTTATTTTAAAAAGGCAGACAGAAATTGAACAATGAGCATTAAGCTTTGCCAAAGAGTTTAAATCCAAAATAATTATGAATTCTTCAGTTTAGATAATACCCATAAGAACATTAATATTTCTCAGCAAAGAGGAAGGTAAGAACTGTGGTGAAAAAAAAAAAACTTACAGAAAACAAGGTTGCATAAGAAATTTTTATCGCCCTTTTGGTGTAGGTGAGTAAGTCTTTACACTTCAAAAACTTAAAGAATAATAATGTCTTTGAACCTTTTCTTTAATACACAAACAATAATATTTCTGCTGTTTCATTTTATTTTTCACTTATAAAATGAAGGCAATGAGTCTTGTCTAAATGACAAATCACAGTTCAATAAAAGCATTTTAGTCTTGTAAAAATAAAGCTGTGAACACGTATCTCAAAACACATAGGTGCAAATAATAGGTTTGGAGGAAGGTGGGAGTGAGGGTGAGCTGCCTGAGGAAGAGGTCAGGTATAATTTTTACTTTCTTCTTGCAAGTCTTTCCAAGAAAGTGCCAAGTCTTAATGAGACTCTCCAGCAATCCAACATTCCTTCCTCACAGAATGGGACACTGATTCACACTGATAGAACAGCGAAAGCTCACAGGGCTCCCTCTATCAAGCATGTAAGTACTTTAGCAACTGCCATGGTGCCATGTTCGCCTTCCCTGTACATCTTCCATATGTTACGTTCTCAAATTCCATTTGCATTTTTTACCACTGAATGATGGTGAACAGACAGAATCACTTTATAAACAAAAAGAAATATCATTTATAAAGAAGTTAAATGTATGACAAATCCCCACACTCTCCTTCTCCTTTTTTAAACAAATGTATCATAAACGTACTGAGCAGTCCAGTGGAAAATAAGAACATTTCAGTTAATAGCAAAGGCCGCTTCACGCTGCATCTAGACACAGTGCTACCGTGAGATGTGTGTGACTATCAAATTTTTGTTTATTTAACACTAGGCAAAGGCTGTGCTCTAATTCTGTTTCTAAATTATTGACCATCATGGGTTCACTCCCGTTAGGCACTCCTACACAATTATCCAAATAATTATACAAAAAAGAGAAAATATCCCCTCAAATGAAGAATTGCTCTCTCTACTTCATAGAGTGTAGCTTTATTCTGACTATTGTTTCTGTCTTATTTTTTAAAAATATGGAAGAAATCAAGTTAGCCAACATAAAACTACTTTATATTTACAGCCAGACCACAGATAAGACTATCATTTCTCCTGATGTTACTAACTCACTCTATGGAATACAAGTTTAAATACTCTAATTATGCACCTTAGAAAAGGACATATTTACTACAGTTTGATCACAAATGTGGAACGTCTAGATATAACGGAGCCCACATTTAACACTTAGGTAAAGTCTAAAGAAAGCCTCAATACACATATCACACATGCGGTATTTGTTGTACTGCATCACTCACAAACGAATATCATGTCTTTAAAGAAGTATTTTTTGGTTAAAAAAAAGTTGAATGAGAGTTAAATTCAAGTCCTTTAGTAAGACTAAAGATGACAGAAATAAAATTAGCACAAATTCCTAGTTAGGTCAAGAATTTAGTGATAATTATGAAAATAAAAAAATCACAATCTTAATGATATTGCAATAATGAAGATCATATGCTAGTATACCCCTGAGAGTATTCCAAATTTATATTCTTTTTAGACAGCAATGTGGCATTACATCTCAAGAATAACATAAGTTCTTATTGTGTTATCTCATAAATAAAATCATTCAGCAAAAGAAAAGCATCATATGTCATAGACACACACAGAAAATCATCATTCTAGCCCATAGAGTGAATCATGAGCTGTGTTCTTTGAAAGACAAGCTTTGTGGGACATTAATTGGTGTTATTTGAAAAAAAAAATGCCAGTGATCAAATAAGTATGAGAAATGCTGAGTTCAGGGTTTCTTTTCTTTGAGACTCTGTGACTACTGTGACTCTCTAAGAGAAGGATAGGAGGCCAAGGTGGGCGGATCACCTGAGGTCGGGAGTTCAAGACCAGCCTGACCAACATGGGGAAACCCCGTCTCTACTAAAAATACAAAATTAGCTGGGTGTGGTGGCGCATGCCTGTAATCCCAGCTACTTGGGAGGCTGAGGCAGGAGAATTGCTTGATCCCAGGAGGCGGAGGTTGTGGTGAGCCAAGATCGTGCCATTGCACTCCAGCCTGGGCAACAGGAGCGAAACTCCATCTCAAAATAAATAAATAAATAAATAAATGAGAAGGATAAGGTAGGCAGCATTTCCCAACATATTTGACTATGAAATTCTTACTTCATGCAATATTTCATGAGCCTGGTCTTTTGTAGAATATATTCATAAAAATAACAGTGTTAGCCAGGTACGGGTGGTTCACACATATAATCCTAGCACTTTGGGAGGTCAAGATGGGCAGATCACTTGAGCCCATAGTTCCAGACCAGGCTATGCAACACGGTGAAACACCATCTCTACAAAAAATACAGAAAAAAAAAATTAGCTGGGCATGGTGGTGCACACATATAGTCCCAGCTACTCTGGTGGCTGAGGTTAGAGGATCACTTGTGTATGGGAAGTGGAGGCTGCACCGAGCCCTGATCACACCACTGCACTCCAGCCTGGGTGACAAGAAAGACCCCATTTAAAAAAAGAATAATAATAGTGTGGGGATCCCTACAGGATGTTTCATTTGTTCCCTGTTATTGAGACCTTCTGAATAACTCAAATGGAGAACAACAAAGCTCACGCTCATTGTATACTCAGCCCTAGAGTTTTAATCCTGCTCAGTAAAAAATAGTAACACTAGCAGTCCTGTCAACGACAACATGTGACCTGGTCTTTATCAGAGATTCAGAAAATTACTAGATAGGAAAAAAAAAAGAATACAAAATACTCCACATTGTTTATGATATTGGTGTTGGGTGCTGAACACGGCAAAGCTTAAAACCAAGGACTCTAGTGCTTAATGTACCATTAACTAACCTCATTGATCTAAATATATCCTAAATGTCTACTTGTCTTATTTTCTTCATCCAAGAAATGGGCCAACCAATGTCCAGTGTGTACTTGTGAGGTTAAATATAGCTTACCTGAAAATTCTGGCAATGTTAGTGTAGTGTAACTGACTGCCATCTAAGCCATGCTCAGATTACAAGCTTGGATTAACTTGTAATTATAATCAAAGAGGAATGTAATTCATTCTATGGTTCTGATTTGTTCCATTTGTGCCATTACTAATATCATATGATAAAATGATGAAATATTGCCAGAAGCAAAACAGAAAAAAAGCTGAAGAAAGCAAGCTACTGGGAGGCTACACAGCATACAATGCATGAGGAGATGGCAACACTTACTGCGTAGATACTTGCTACCATTGTAATGTACTTGGTGCACATTGATTCACTAGGTGTGTATTGAGAGTTTACTTTGTGTCAAGTGCTATGCCAGGCACTCAATAAAATGGTGAACAATCATAGTCTCTGCCTTCATGCAGCTTGTAATGTTTTATCTATGAAATAAAAATTTTGAAATACATTTGAAGAGCAGAATGTTGATCTGGTTTTTGTTTTGTTTGTTTTGTTTTGTTTTTTGAGATGGAGTCTCACTCTCTCATCCAGGCTGGAGTGCAGTGGCATGATCTCAGCTCACTGCAAACTCCACCTCCCATGTTCAAGTGATTCTCCTGCCTCAGCCTCCCAAGTATCTGAGATTACAGGCCTGTGCCACCACGCTGTATTTTTGTATTTTTAATAGAGACGGGGTTTCACCATGTAGATCTGTATTTTTATAGCATTTAAAATAAATAAATACATAAAACAATATTGTACCCAGAATTATTCTTTTAGAATTACTTTTATGATGAAATAATAAAATTTATATATCCTAGATTCAAATCTAAAAGTTAAATACCTATGATTTAGAGGTGTTTTGATGCAATAGATGAAATTCTTTGCTTGAGTGCAGCTGAAACTGTACCAAAGGTATCAAAAACTACGTCCAACAAGCTCTGAAGAATTAAAACAATACTTTCTTCGCACCCTAATTAGATTCAATAAAGAATTTTAGTTTGTCAGGCTTGACAATCACCACCTTTCATTTCAACCAATTTAATTAAAGTACCTGGCAACTTGGCAGTTTTACCGATTAACTGAACTACCACTTAACTCTTTTAGAAACAACTATCAGATTCCAAATTAAGGTGCAGCAACAGCTGTAAGTACATTGTATTCATAATGGGTAAATATTTTTATTTCCTCCACCCACAATCATAGGTCTATGTGAAAATAGCATATAAGAGCAGTTTGGGCAACAGGACCGGGTTGGGAAGACAACAGCTGCAACTTCTTTGTCTGTGCTCCCTATGCCATAATCATTAGTAGTGAAGGAAACAACAAAAAAGAAATAATATTTTCCAACCTGAATGCACTTTTCAACATTTTTCCAAGGGTATCTGGAAGAGTGACAGAGTAGTTCTCAACCTGCCCCCACCCCTACACTCTCTCCCTATGCCACACACATGATAGACTCCATTTACAAACTTGTGCCTCTGACCCTGTATTAATTATATTTTCATATTTTCCATATTTTTGATGCTCTGGCATCTGCAGCCTTGCTGACTCAAGGGGAACTGCTCTTCTTAAGGCTAGCTAATTCCTAGAGATTAGCAAGCTGCTTCTCTAAGAGCATGCCTTCCATAGGCAAACTATCCGATCCAGAGCACATATTCCAAACCACCTCCTCTATCTGGCTCTGACATTCCAGGAGGCAATACATTCCTCTGCCCTAATCATCTCAGGGCCCGGTACCAGATAATTACAGATAGGCCCTATACCCAGGAGCCTGCTGAAATTATTAAAAACGAGCCAGTCATCGGTCTGCTTACCCTACCTCACTTTTCCCACAGAAACCACAATAAAAGTTACTGTCACTGTCCAGGCTTTTCTCTCGCCCCCTCCTTCCTAACCAACACCGGTGCCTCTCCATGGAGCCCTGCATGGCATGGTGTGCGCCCTCCTCATGGGAACTCTGAGTAACAAACATCTTTTCAATGGCAATTTGTCCTGATCTGTTGGCTTCAAGATACCTGAAGAATAATAAAACCTCCACTTTAAAACAGGCTCAGATTTTTTGAGTTCTACATCTCCATCTGAAATTACATCCTTGCCACCTCACTCACAGACATCGCCATCTTGACATGCCTAAAGCAAAACTTTTCATTTCCCCAAAATCACATCTCCCATGTCAGTAAAAAGCCTTGCCATTCATCCAATCGCTTGAACCTGAAAACTTTCCAATCCAGCTCTCCATAGATCTGCAAAAGTACATTAGATTATATCCTTCCCTTGCTTGAAAACTTTAAGTGGAAGAGAAAACTTTAAGTGAAGAGAACAAACGGGTCTGAATGACAGGCTTCCACTCAGTTCCTCCACTTTCTCTCTAGGTTACTTTACTTCAGCTGCACTGGGTTTTTCTCAGTTCTGAAGCGGTGAAGCTCTTTTCTACCTCAGACCTTGGCACAAAGAACAGGTGCCCAATTTCTCCCCGGTCTTTCCAGGGTTAATTCTTTTTTCACTCATCAGGGCTCAGCTTGAACAAAGCATAACTGGCGCTTTCTTTGACCATGCTTTGGATAGGTTAAGCCTCCTCTACATTTATTCATTTTTTCATTATTAGCTACCCACTTGTTTGTTTCCTTTTGTTTTAAACCACTCATCATGGCTGACAACCACCTAAAACCTTACCTGTTTACTTGTCTACTACTTGTTTCCCATGTATGTAAAGTATTATGAAGGCAGAGAGGCCACTTTTTCTTCATTGTTCTAAATCCTGCACCTAGAACTGTACTTGACACAAAATTGGCAGATAATGAGCAATGAACGAATAAATGAATGATGAATAAATTTCTGTGTATGCACTGCTATTTGCACATATAGATTACAGGCTATGGCCTATACAGCATAGGCTGGGAATTAAGTACAATTCCTCAAAGTCCTACCTCTAGCTTTATCTCTTTCTTTCCTTCCCTAAAAGGCAAGGTTCAAAACAAATATAATTTACATTTAAAATATTCCATTCCAGGACATATTTCCTTTTTCCCTAGCAACATCCCTAGCTATGGGTATAAAATCTGTTACCCAAGTATGTTTATCATACAACTTCCTGGTTCCTGGATGGACGTATGATCTTAACTACTACAATTAAGGTAAATCTCAGAATTTTTTGAGAGCTACTGCAACAAAAGTCTGGCTCTTCCCACTGGACTTGACTGTAACTGATAGGGGGCTAGTGTGCTGCAGCCTTCTTGCACCATATTGCTCTGGAGAATGAGGCTAAGGAACAAAGTTGAGCCAAACAAAGAAACAGAAAGGCCCCAGGTTCTCATAATGTTGGTTCTAACTACCCCTGAAATCAGCCTCCATGGCTTCAAATAAATTTACTTTTTTGTTTAAACAAATTTCAATTTTTTTAAATAACTTTCACAGAAAGTGCCCTAGTTGACATCAATGAGTGATAATGCTACTATTACCAAGATAATTTGTATTTTACATAAAAATTGCTTTAAAATCTTTAGTTCTGTAAATAATATCTTACAAATGATAGTGATAAACATATCTATATTTTGGACTTTTAAATCTAATACCACATCCCTGGTGTGAATTCTAACTCTGTCATATACTTGCTGTGAAATATTGGTTAAGTTTCATTATCTTTCTGAATCTCTGTGTCTTTAAACCACAAAATATTTTACCTTAAAATGTACTAATTTTATTTTAGAATGAAGTGAGAAAATGCATTAGGCTCCTGGCAGACATTAAACCAGGGTTAGTTTTCCACTGTTCTCAGATCTGACTTTCTATCTGCTGCCCACTCCTCCTTGCTGTACCAATGTACGTTGCCATCCCCAACTAGTTTTAGATGCAAGAAAACACATAGGATAGAAGGAGTAACAATGTGAGGGACCTTCTTAGAGCCTGGATATGCTGGGTCACCTGACTCAGCAAAGGAGTAAATCTAAAGGCAATACAAGTCTAACTCCAGAACATTTGAATTGTAGTGAACCCATTGTAGCAGAGCCAGTAAGAACACGGGCTGCAGAGTCAGGGTACTCTTGGCTTGCATCCTTCGTCTGCTACTTACTGTATGACCTTGAGCAAGTTATTTAGCTGTGACTGTTTCCTAACCTGTAAGAATGAGGATAAATAATAGAATCTCCTCTTAGGAGAGTAATGACAATTAAATAAGCTACAAACCATAAAGCTCTTGGAGCAGTGCCTAGATTCCACCTCTACAGGAAGCGATTTCAGTGATTATTTTCTAAATGGTACATAGCTAGTACCCTTCTTGACGTATAGTCATGAAGTAAATTTGTTTCATACAATGCATGCTTCAGGGCATTAGGAATCAGTTCTCGCATGGAGGTTGAGAAGGAATAGATATAGAAAGAACTCAATAAACATTAGCAATTATTGGAGTTCTTTTATGGAGACAATGAAGAGACAATTATGTCATGCACCCCCCACAGCAAGGATCCTAAAAATCTTTTCCACACATGTCTCAACCAGAAGGTCTTTTTTCCCATCCAGCCCCAGTTTAAAAGCCCAGTTGCTAGCTTAGCTAACAAAGGAAACTTTCTGCATATAAGCAGGGGCAAGGGAAAGTGTACAAATACTCTTAATTTTGTATTTTTAAAAATTAATCTGATCATATTTAACAAAATGAAAAATTGATGTACATACTAACATGTTTAAGATGAATAAACAAATTGACATAGACACATTCCCACGGACATCTCCAGCTGTTTTATTTTATTTTTTATTTTTTATTTTTATTTTTTTAAGATGGCGCATGCTCTGTTGCCCAGGCTGGAGTGCAGTGGCCCAATCTCGGCTCACTGCAACCTCCACCTCCCAGGTTCAAGTGATTCTCCAGCCTCAGCCTCCCAAGCAGCTGGGATTACAGGTGGGCACCACCACATGCAGCTAATTTTTGTATTTGTTTTTAGTAGAGATGGGGTTTCACCATGTTGACCAGGCTGGCCTCGAACTCCTGACTTCAAGTGATCCTCCCGCCTCAGCCATCCAAAGTGCTGGGATTATAGGCAGGAGCCACTGCACCTGGCTGCCAGCTGGGTTTTGCATACCTCGAAGTTTAAATATTCAACACTTTGACCTACAATTTTTCTGCAAAACTCTTCAACAGGTTATCAGACATGAGTAACTTTAAGATAAAGTACTTGAAATCTTATGTTTGATATTAACTCTGGGCCATAGATTGAATCTCTGAGGTCACGTGGACAGGCAGTAGGATGAAAAAAAAAAAAAAACGTTACCAGCTACACCCTCTGCTTGATTATTTTTATCCTTACACCATCTTGTTAGAACAGTGGTTCTCAAAATATGCCTCCAACGTAAATAGCATTGTCATTGCCTGAATCCCATCCAGACCTACTGAATTAGACACTCTGGGGTGGGGCCCCTCAATCTGTGTTAGAAGACACCCTCCAGGTTATTTTGATGCATGCTAAAATTTGATAACCACTGTTCAAAAAAGGTAGACTTAGCTTAGTCAGTGAAATCAGTACTAAAAAAAAAGAGGTCAGATGTCTAGGCAGGATTAAGGATTTACTCTCTTAAATCCAGTGTTTTTCAGTCTTGCCTGCAAATTAAAATTACTTGAGTTTGTTTAAAAAACATATATATATATATATTGGGCTGGACGAGATAGCTCATGCCTATAATCCCAGCACTTTGGGAGGCCGAGGCAGGAGACTTGCTTGAGTCCAGGAGTTCCAGACTAGCCTGGGCAACAGAGGGAACCCCCATCTCTGTATTAATTTTTTTGTTTTTTTAAAAAGGAAGGGCTAACATAGACCCTATCTCTATAAATAATTGAAAAAGTTAACCAGGCACGGTGCTCAGCTACTAGGGAGGCGGAGGCAGGAAGATCTCTTGAGCCCAGGAGTTCAAGTTTACAGTGAGCTATGATTGTGCCACTGCACTCCAGCCTGGGCAACAGAGTGAGATACTACCTCTAAAAAGAAACAACAACAACAAAAATCAATGTTTGTGTCCCAGTACCAGGGATTTAGATTACTGGGGCTGTCTTGGGCTTTGAAACTCTCCAGGGACTCTGATATCTGACCAGAGCTGATAACTTATTCTCTCTAAGCAGTAAGTAGTATACAGGAAGGACAGAAACAGCCATCATCTCCAAATATTATATTATCAGGAGTTTAATTTCTGGGATTAGTAGATTTTAGTACTATCAAGAGTTAATGAAACTATTTTATCCCACTAAAATGCAAGGGTAAATATTACTTAATTGACTTACCAAAAAGAAATTTGGCAAATTTCATTGAACTGGATTCATCCATGCTTAAACATAGCCTCAGAAACAAGAACTGTGAAATAGCTTGAGTATGCCTAGCCCGGCCAACTGCTCTTTCTCATAAAACTCATTATTAAACTGCCTTTTGGGTCAGTATCAACAGGGGATCACTGATACACCCAGCTCTGGTCTATACAGGCTCTGGAACTATTCTGCATTGAGGGTCAGCTTGCTACTGTTGTAAAACAAATGCACTCACTGACTGCAGCTACTTGTCTGGTGCTGCGTCCCCCTCCCTGGGTGGCTGCCTCTGCCGTGGCTATGCTACCTCTGCTCTGCTGTCCTCACCCATGGCTGCCTCTTTGTTTTACATGGCTTTCTCTCCATCTCTGACCCTACCTATGTTCTCTACTACTGTCCTGCCTCTAATGTCTTGTCAGTTTACATCACTCTCCTCAAGTTCCAGGGACATCTGGACTTAGTTTCAATGTCACTGTCAGCTGACAATATTTTTTTTTCTGCCTCTACCAAACACACAATTGCTTTTTCAAAAATTTCAATTATTTATTTTTTATATTTTATTTTAAGTTCCAGGGTACATGTGCAGGATGTGTAGGTTTGTTACATATGTAAACTTGTGCCATGGTGGTTTGCTGCACCTATCAACCCATCACCTAGGTATTAAACCCAGCATCCATTAGCTATTTTTCCTGATGCTCCCTCCCCCAACCAAACTCACAATTTCTTTAATCTTCATAGTGTCTCTTTTCATCAAACTCATGCTCAGAAATAGCCTTCTATTTCCACTTCTGATAATATCCTGAACAATACAGGATCCATATTGAGGAGAGTAAAAATGTATCTTAGAACTTGTTGTACCGAACTCCAACCCTCTGGACATCCTGACATCTCCCTCCTCACCAGTGAGGTTGAGAGGACTCATCCTATCTAGATTCAGTCTTTCCCCCTCTCTTTTGAGCCTGGTTGCTGTGTTCTGGTTTCTTTAGACTCTGTCATTTTGCCTCTTAACGTACTTGCAAAACCCTTCTCAGCATCTTCAATTGACCACTCAGTTGGACCAAGGAGTTTAACTTTCTGCCCCTTCTCTGTAGACCAGAAACATGCCCTTGACCTGGTCTAGCTTTAGGCTTTCAGGAATCCTGCCTGACACCTGATTTTATAAGGGTGTGTGATTCCTGCTAGGTTTCCTTTAGTTCATTAAGATCACCCTGGTCTGAATTTGTAAACCTAGGCTTTTGTGTGTCAGAATGTATCCAGAGTCAGAGATGCAATTAGAATCTGTCTGCGCATGTGTGAGTTCTATAGCTTTAAGCAACGTGGCTGGCATATACTATGAAGTCAGTAAAAATGTGTCAAATTGAACTGGCTACATTTAGTGTCAGTCTCTGTAGATAAACCTCTATCCCATTCTAGTTGAGACAGTACTAAGTGATTTTCTTTAAACTCTCCAGTAACAATAAGATAGTAGTAAATACGATTAATAATTCAGAAAATAGATAAAAGGAAAGTCACAGTACTGTTTGTACATGTTTGTAAGCCTAAATTAGAGGGAAATCCCACAGCTAAGACTAGCTGTGGGCCAAATGACATAGTAGGTTAGAAGGAAAATTGGCACTGTTACACTTCCCTTTCGATGACCTTCTTTGCTATCCTCTTCCCTCATTTCCTTTCCCTAAAATATTCCTTGTGTACTTAATATGTTGTTGGTAAACCTTCTCCAGAGGACCTGTAATGTCTGAATTTTACTTTGGGATTCTTGAAGACTTTTGCATCTGAACCTCAAAGAAATTAACCAGTGATGGAATGTATTGTGACAGGCAGCAAGTTAGATATTTTTGCAAAGGAGAACCTGTGTTTTGCATAGGAGAACCTGTCTGTAAATTTCACCAACAGGTAGACAAACCTAGACTTGACTCAAAATTACAATCATATCCAACAAGTAGGGTGACTGTGGTTGGCAGAATAATGGCTCCCCCAAAATGTACATGTTCTGACCCATGGAATATGTGAATATGTTAGTTTACACAGCAAAAGGCAATTAAGATTGAAAATGAAATTAAGTTTGCTAATCAACTTGCCTCGAGATGAAGAGATTATCCTAGATTGTCTGGGTGAGCCCAACAGAATCACAAGGGTCCTTTCAAGTGGAAGGAGAGACAGAAAGTCAGCACAGAGAGAGACTTAAAGATGACATGCTGCTGGCCAGGTGCAGTGGCTCACGCCTGAAATCCCAGCACTTTGGGAGGCCAAGGTGGGCGGATCACCTAAGGTCAGGGGTTCGGAACCAGCCTGGCCAACATGGCGAAACCCCATCTCTACTAAAAATACAAAAATTAGCTGGGCATGGTGGTGCATGCCTGTAATCTCAGCTACTCGGGAGGGTGAGGCAGGAGAATCACTTGAACCTAGGAGGCGGAGGTGTCAGCAAGCAGAGATTGTGCCACTGCACTCCAGCCTGGGCAACAAGAGCGAAACTCCATCTCAAAAAATTAAATAAAATATGATACGCTGCTGGCTTTGAAGCTGGAAGAAGGGGCTATGAGCCAAGGAAAGTGGCCAGCCTCTAAGAGCTGGGAAAGCCAAGAAAACAGATTCTCCTCTTCGGCTTCCAGATGAACACAGCCCTGACTACACCCTGACTTAACCTTAGACTCAATTGGAACTTCTGACCTCCAAACTGTAAGATAATAAGTTTGTGTTGTTTTAAGTCACTACATCTGTGATAATTTGTTATAGCAGCAATAGGAAATTAATATGGTAACTCTGAGAAATTTAATTCTTTGAGACTCAATTTCTTCCTAAGTAAAATGAGAATACTAGAAACGACTGACTGCTCCTGTAATAATCAAATGAGTGACCAGGGTAAAGTTTGTGTCACATATGAAGTATTTAATACATGCTGTTTCCTATCTCTGCCCTCTGTTTGCTGGCCCACCTACCAACCTGCCACCATAAATCTTGCAATGATGTCCACATTCGAAACTGGAGGTATGTAATTAAGAGATAATTGTTTAATAAATATTACAGAATAATCTCTTAAAATATTAGAGTAATTTTTTGTAGTGAAAGAAAAAGAGAGAGGGAGAAACTGGTAGAATGAGAGCCATTAGTAAATACTACAGAAACGCTGTGTACATACAGCTTATCGCTGGAGGATGTAAATTGACTTCTGAGCTAGTAGATGCTCTGAATAAGGATTCCAGGAATTCCAAGTTCAAAAGATTAGCCCAAACCATGCTTTATTTCCATTAATAATAAAAGGGAGAAGGAATTGTAAAGGGGGTCTTGGTCCCATCAATTCTTAAAAGCAGTAAGAATGCAGCTCGATTTCACCTGTTCACAGTAGGAGAAGGCAAATGGATGGGGTCCAGAAACACCTTTTCACCCCTGGAGTAGGGCTGTCATAATTAATAATGCTAACTAGATAAGATTCATTTAGTAGCTCATCTCTTAAACATACAGACTTCTTTAAAATACTGCAGTTTTAAAAATAAGTTATAGAAGGTAGTCATACAGTGGAATACAAAGCAATCATTAAAAACAACTGTAGATCTATATTCTTTGATCTAGAAAGGTGTTCAAAACATGCTATGAAACGTCAAAGCCAGGCTTCAGATGAGTATATGTTAAATGATGTCTTTTTGGGTAACACATATCATATGAAAAAAGACACAGTTAATTGCTAATTGCTAATTGTGATTCTTTCTGGTTGGTTATTTTTAGTTTTGTACTTGCTATTTCTCTTATAATGAGCATGTATACTTGTGTAAAAAGAAAACCTGAAATAAACTTCACTGGTGAAAACTCACTGTAATAGTCTTTCAAGTATTAAATGGCAATGGCAATGTTTTCTAGGAAAACACTCATATTTATCAAGATGAGGACTTCACCATCTATATCTGAAAGGTCATTTTGTCAAGTGAAGCTTGAATCGTGGGAACTTAGAATTAATAACTAGCCAAATCTCTTACCTCTTGTGCATTTGCTTTGTTATTTTCAATTAAAATCAGGAATGGTGGCTCATGCCTGTAATCCCAGCACTTTGGGAGGCCAAGGTGGGCAGATCACTTCAGATCAAGAGTTCAAGACCAGCCTGGCCAACATGGTGAAACCCTGTCTGTACTAAAAATACAAAAATTAGCTGGGCATGTTGATGTGTGCCTGTAATCCCAGCTACCTGGGAGGCTGAGCCAAGAGAATCACTTGAACCCCAGAGGTAGAAGTTGCAGTGAGCCGAGTTTGTGCCACTGCACTCCAGCCTGGGCGACAGAGCAAGACACAGTCTCAAAAAAAAAAAAAAAAAAAAAAGTACTTATGTAAAATTCTAATCGGACTGCATCCAGCTTTCCTACACGTCAAAACCTTTACTGCATATCTTGGTGGTTCCACAGCATTAGCACTGCATATTCTCAACTTTAACCTTCTTCTATATACTTCCATGTGGAAAGAGCTGTTTTCTGTTTTTCTAGGAACTCATTCATCCCAGTGGGGCAGGACATGGAAGGAGAAAAGAGTCCCATCTCCCTTTTGTTCCCCTAACCTATTTTAAAACAAAATAAATCAGTTTTAAGGCCCTTAACCATGGTTATTCAGTCTTGACTTGAATACTTCTAGTGACAGGAAGATTCTTATCACATGACAGCTCACTCAATGTCAGACAGCACTTGTTAGAGTTTCTGCTTCACGGTTAGTCAAATCATCTCTTTCTCTTTCTTCCAGTCAGTGATCTTGGTTCCAAATGAAGGTATTTACAAGCATTTATAGTATAAGCTTTCCATACCTGGATGCACAGCATTGGGAAAAAATAAAAAGGACATCTCACTCAAATTTTTGTCTATGCGTGTACACATACATATGTATGTAAAGTGTGTGTGCCTGTGCACATGTGTGTTTTGGGAAGATAAGAAAGAGCAGGCCAGGCGCGGTGGCTCACGCCTATAATCCCAGCACTTTGGGAGGCCGAGGCGGGAGGATTACCTGAGGCCAGGAGTTCGAGACTAGACTGGCCAACATGGTGAAACCCTGTCTCTACTAAAAATACAAAACTTAGCTGGGTGTGGTGGCAGGTGCCTGTAATCCCAGCTACTTGGGAGGTTGAGGGAGGAGACTTGCTTGAGACTTGTATGATCTCAGTGAGCTGAGATCATGCCACTGCACTCCAGCTTGTCCAACAGAGCAAGACTCTGTCTCCAAAAGAAAAAAAAAGGAAAGAACAGAGATGATTACTGAGCCAACAAGGTGGAGGTAGGTATGAGGAAAGGGAATGGGAAAGAAAGATATAGGAGAAGGTTTAAGCTGAGAATATTCAGTGCTGATGCTAAGGAATCACCAAGATATGCAGTAAGGTTCTGGGGTGTGGGAAAGCTGGATGCAGGCTGATTCGAATTTTGCATAAGTACCTATTTTGAAATGAAAATAGCAAAGCACACTGCACGAGCTGGTAGTGGGACAGACCACAGGAAAACAGTGAAAGTCAGCAGTGAAGAAAAGGTAGTAGACCTCTGTAAAGGTCTTTGTCATGGGTGAGAAAAGAAAGCTTCTAAATAGTTGATCCATGCAGAAAGCTCTCTTCTAGGTTTTTTAGGGGCTCGTTCATCCCAGTGAGACAGGACATGGAAGGGGAAGAGTCATATCTCCCTAGTGTTCCCTTTAACTATTTTAAAGTAAAATAAATCATTTGCCTTCTTGCTTATACTCTGGCGTAAATCAACTCTTCATTTACTAGGTAACTTTGGAACTCAAAAAATTCTAAGTGCAAATTATTTCAAGAAATAACTTATAGTCATGTAGCACTTTATGATTTATGACAAATTTTCATTTATATTATTTAATTTAAGCTTAGACTAAGGTTAAATTAATTTCCTTTCACAAAAAAAGGTATTCTTATTCATACATGGACTACTGGAGACTAGAAAAATTAACAGATTTTACCAAAGTGACAGAAAATAAATGGCCAAGATAGGATTTCTATCATTCTCTGATAGAATGATCATTCTAGATCCTGAGTTATCTCCATTAATCTTGAAATATACATATCTCTAAGACAATAGGGCCATTATATACGTCTATATAACACTATTTTGTAAAAAGCATTGCCTTCTAAATAAAAAAAAAAAACCAACTGGTGCATTAGAAGTGATTGTTGGGTAGATTAAAAATCTGATTAGGATTGATTGGGATCTGGAAACGAATCAGGTCTGATAGGTGTTCCACAGACTCTTGGCAAGTCTTGGTGTGTGGAGAGCTCTGGATTAGCCAGGAAGGGCCATGTGCATCTCCTTCTGCTCCTAGGCATTATTGGTCAAGTCTTCCAACATCTGGGGAGAGAGTCCACTTTTCGTTTATTTGGGAATGGCAAAGCAATCCTCTCTGCATCTCATCCACCCTTCCCTACTTTTTGAATTATTTCTTTTGGTACGTCACTATTTAAATGATCAAAACATGTGGTGGGATTTCTGGTGTACAGGGTTCTTTTTCCTTCTATTGCATTGGTTATCTTTGTCTCTTATAGAAGCCATTTGACAAAACACATTTAAATAAACATGATGTCAAAATTTTACAAATGAGGCCATAAAAATCTACAGAAATCATTTTTAAGTATATTTATTTATTCATTTATTTATTTCTTGGGACAGAGTCTCACTCTTGTCACCCAGGCTGGAGTGCAATGGCACGATCTCGGCTCACTGTAACCTCCACCTCCCAGGTTAAAGCAATTTTCTTGCCTTAGCCTCCCAAGTAGCTGGGATTACAGGTGCCCGCCACCATGCCCAGCTAATTTTTTTTTTTTGTATTTTTAGTAGAGGGGGTTTTCTCCATGTTGGCCAGGCTGGTCTCGAACTCCTGACCTCAGGTGATCTGCCTGCCTTGGCCTCCCAAAAGTGCTGGGATTACAGGTGTGACCTACCGCGCTGGGCCAATTTTTAAGTAATTTTTTTTAAATTAAGTTTTTTTAACTAAAAACTACATAAATACATCATGTACAACATGATATTGTGCATATATATACATTGTGAAATGACCAAATGTGTATACGTTGAAGTATGTATATATTGTGGAATAATCAAATCTAGCTGATTAACATTTGCATTGCCTCACATAATTATTATTTTTGTGGTCAGAACAGCTTACATACACTCTCTTAGTAATCTTTAAGAATACAAAATATGTCACTAACCATAGTCACCATGTCATATAGTTTTAAACTTACCTTCTTATCTAAAATTTTGTATCCTTTCACCAACATTCCCCTCCCCCAACCTTTGCTCAGTCTCACAACTTTTATACATTTGAATGGAATACATTGAATGTGACAGGATACAATTGAATGTTTTTGATCAACAAATTATAACTTCACTTTCAGAAGTATTTGATGTCTATACTTTTGATGTTATTTTAAATGAGGTTCTTGTAGCCCCATGCCCTGTGGTCATATCCCTTAACTCAGGATTCTAATTTCATTTCAACCACTGATTAATACAGGTTTAATACAGCAGATATTTTTACTGAGCAAGTTCACTCATTTGAATATGTGACTGACCAGCCACTATGTGCATGGCACGGTGCTTTACACTGCTCAGGACACAAATATGACTGTGACAAGGCCTCTGTCCCTAAACAGTTTATCACTAGAATCACAATGCCAACAACTCAAAGCTGGTTGGGTTATAATCAGTTCAATTAGAGTACCACAGATCCTGGTTTCCAAGCAGTAGCATTATTGTCATTGTAGCCTCCATAGTTCTTTGATGTTGGAGGCTGTCTCCTACATTGTGAGATGTTCAGAGGCATCTCTGGCCTCTCTACCCACTAGATATCAGTAGCATTCTACCCCTTTCCCCCAAGTGGGTAAGTCAAAAATGTCTCCAGTCATTGTCAAATATCTGGGAAGGGACAGTTGAGAACCACTGGTTTAGATACAGAAAAGATAGAGCTTACTTTGGGATGAAGAAATACAACAAGGTTTCATGGAATTTAATGTGTATGAGTGGTGCTTTAAAAGTAAGTAGAGGAACATGAAATTATACTTTGGGGAAGGGATAACATGAATATGTAGGTTGTCTTGTGAAATAAGCACCATAGGTGAAATCCATTTGAGAGAGAATACCGATAAATCACAGGAGATAAAAATGGAGCGATCAGTTAAGGCCATAGAATGGCTGGCCTTAAATCCATGAGCTAGATTAATAAACATATAACACAATCTAATCAGTAGATAAAGCAAGAAAATCAAATGTTTTTCAGTAGGTGACAAAAAATAATGCCATATAATAATATATCCATGATAAGAGTATGCATTATAGATTCATTAGGTTATATGTTCACATTCTTGTGCCATATAGTCCTTGTCACATTCCTGAGACACTGCTACGTTATGTTTTCAGGTTTACAGATGAGGGAACAAAAGCTCTGGGAGGTTAAGTGACCTGCCTGATATCACTCTGTTAATAAGTGGCAAAGCTGAGCATTAGACCAATTTTCCGAGTTTAAATCCAGAGTTCTCATTCATTTACAAATGCAAAGACTTCCTCTATGAAGCACTGTGGAGGAATTTGAGGTTGGGGAGACAGGAGAGAGAACACTGCTTAGAAAAGTACTGGAATAATAATTCAGTAACTCAGGCTACTAGGGTGCTTCCCACAAAAGATATGCAAAAGAGGGTCAAATTAGATATTGTAAATGAAAAATAGCAGGTTGTGAGGACTATTTGGACAGAGGATGGGGGAGGAGAATTAAAAGATGTTTAGATGGTTGAGCAAACAGACATACCACTGAAAGAAATGGGGATGATAGAAGAATCACATCTGATACAGGCACTTAATTACTATGAGAATTAAATGCTCAATCATGTTACTATCTAGGAGTAAGTCAGTAAGTAATAAAATATTTTCAGCTTTTTTAATACTATTTCCTAAGAGGCTAATTTTGGCACTAGTACCAGGAAAATTTTATTAACTTACTAAAGTATGAAACTGGTTTCCAAATAGTAATACACTGGAATCTCACAGGAAAAGTCTGTGTGTGTACTTGTGTGTGTGTGTGTTTGTGTGTGTGTGTGTGTGTGTGTGTGAGAGAGAGAAAGAGAGAGTAAGAGACAGAGAGAAAGAGAGAAAGAAAGAAAGAAAGAAAATGTGTATGTATATCTGCCTGCCTTAGGGCAACTGATAGGATAAAAATTGAAATGGGTACAAAATGCTTTCTATATTCTAATTAATAAATATACCAAATGATCATTAAAATACTTGAAGGGTCTATGTAAATATATTGTCCTTGAGGAAGAAAGAATAATATAGCAAAACTTGTATTTAGCTATATTGGTAGATTCAAAGGCGGCCTAATCAGTTTTATCTACTACTTATATTAAGGAAACTTGGGCTTGGTAATACAACCACTATGAATTAAGCAACTACCTAACAAGGCAGAATCATATTTGTCTAGAGTATTGCAGAAGAGCCCTTAGCCACATCCAGTGCATACACCACATGCTTTGGCTCTGCTCTGTTGCATCTAGTTCTTAAACTCTCAGGGGCTGGGCGCGGTGGCTCACGCCTGTAATCCCAGCACTTTGGGGGGCCGAGGCAGGTGGATCACGAGGAACATGGTGAAACCCCGTCTCTACTAAAATTACAAAAATTAGCTGGGGGTGGGGGAAGGCGCCTGTAGTCCCAGCTATTAGGGAGGCTGAGGCAGGAGAATCACTTGAACACTGGGATGTGGAGGTTGCAGTGAGCCGAGATCACACCACTGCACTCCAGCCTGGGCAACAGAGCGAGAATCCCCTCAAAAAAAAAAAAAAAAAAAAAAAAAGAAATTATCAGCCCCAGAGACCCACAAGATAAGCCACTGCATTTAAAACTGTTTGTGGTCACTCTCAGTGCTTGGGGATATTAATAACAAAGTGTTGACCACATTTTTAATCCAGGTTTTTAAATTTACATAAACTCGATTCACTTCAGTTTTTCCATAGAAAAAATTTCTTTAAAATCCTAAAGTGCTTTTAAATTTTTTGGGAAGTAGTAAGACTATTTTAAAAACTATCTATGCATGAATATAATACACTTATGATATGATCAAAGACATTAAAACTTTAGGAATCTTCTATTTAAAAAACAATCCATTCCTTGAAATATCAAAAATCAAATGCTATATGGTATCCATAATTCTAAGGACTCTATAACACATGGTTTTCACTACATTCACTATGTGTGCTCATACAGTGAATATTTAAACAATATGGTAAAAAACACAGGCTCCTAAGATAGCATCTTAAAACAAGTGATTCATTAATATTTCCAGATAGGTTTACTTTACCACATCATTTAGTAACATCACTTATTTTTTTAATCTAGTATAAAATGCTTTGCTAGTCCACTTTATCTCTTACTGCTATCTTCATCCTACATTAAATGAAACAGACATGAATTGTCATTTAACTGACTCTCTAATGTTTACTTTTACCACATACATACTGGCTGGAGGCGAAGACGGGGATGGGAAGGGAAAGGGAGCTGGTGGTTGTCTCAGTTTTATCAAAGTGATGCAGAGAAATGGGAGATTAAAGTGAGCACATTAAGACAAGGGTGTAAACTCACTCCATTCTCAACAGCATCCAGAACATAAATCAAGAAGGTACAATATGCTTATTACATGAACCAAGTCAAAGAAATGGCAGCATCTACAAATGCTGAAATATCTGGAAGTGATATCTCTACACTAGAAACATACCTAGGGGTGTACAAATAAGGACAGCAATTTCATTTATAAAGAGCAAGAGTTTGATGTCACCATAAAAGTGTGTGCAAACAATTACAGGAAAGTATATGTCCATATACACCTATGTGTTCTTGAAAGATATAGAAAGTAAGCACAAGCTTCCATTTATTTTTACACTATTTTTAACTGGTAAGCCTATTCTGTTTTTCTTTAGATTTTTCTCTTGACTTCTGAAGTTACTCCACATGCAACTTTAAGAGAAAATAGAAATCAACAATTCACCTATGCTTTACATTTATTTATGACTCACTCCACACGTATTTATTGACCTCCTACTAAGTGCCGTGTGGTGACTAAGGCAACTCAGCACTGAAGAAGAGACATAAATATGAATGAAACAGCTCTCGCAGTTGAGAAGCTTTGTAAACACAAATGTATATAAGGAGTTCCAGTACAGAGTGGTACATTTAGGGCTGGTATACCAATTGTTAGGGTGAAATGCATCTCGATTGATTAACAGATTAGCAGAAAGTTTAATGAAAACTTGGCAGAGCCAGGGTTCAAGGCCAAAATGCCTAGAAGAGCTCTCTTCTCATTGGTCCTGAAGTACATAGATTCACCTAATTAAACTTTGCATTCCAGTGAATAATTTTTGTGACTTCATCTACAAATAGAGATATTGAATATATGAGTCTCATATATTTTTTAAGTCTTAGAAATAGTTTGAATGTAATTGCTTTCATTCAGGAAAAGCTGAGTAGATTTAGCACCGTGACCAATATCATTGATGTTTTTTGTGTTTTTTTGTTGTTGTTGTTTCGTGACAGAGTCTCACTCACTCTGTCACCCAGGCTGGAGTGCAGTCGCGCAATCTCGGCTCACTGCAACTTCTGCCTCCTGGGTTCATGCGATTTTCCTGCCTCAGCCTCCTGCTGGGAACACAGGTATGTGCCATCACGCCCGGCTAATTTGTGTGTGTGTGTGTGTGTGTGTGTGTGTGTGTGTGTGTGTGTGTGTGTGTATTTTTAGTTAGACTAATTTTTCACCGTTTGGCCAGGCTGGTCTTGAACTCCTGACCACAAGTGATCCACTCATCTCAGCCTCCCAAAGTGCTGGGATTATAGGCATGAGCCACCGCGCCCGGCCATCACTGATGTTAAGAGCAATTTTCTACCAATTGGGACTACAAGTCACTTAATAATAAGCAGTTTAAGGGTAAAGTCATTAGAAGGGTTTGGTACAGTATCTGTGTCAAATCACGGTCCTAGGAGAGTACCCTTCAGCTTGTGAAAGCCACTTTAAATAAAAGATGACGTCAAAATAAAAGATTTTTAAATTATCCGTGTGATTTGAGGAGCAATTTGTACTATGATATAGCACTTATAAGCATTCTCATATAACATAGGTATATATACCTATGTAGTATATTCTGCATAATATATATGCATCTACATAATAGTCTAACAACCTTTTACATTATATTATATATTATTAAATATTTGTGCTGCCCCATACATCACTTGGTAAGCAATTATGTATTTGTATACATGTATGTGTCTATATATTTACACAGTTATATGTACATATATAATATTTTACAATTGGCATAATGATTTAAATTATTATATAAATCAATATATTGCTATATACATCCATGTTTTGAATCTAGCTTTGAGATCCAAATATGAGTTGTTATGGGAAACACAGCGGAGATGTCTGACCCTAAGGATAGGAGTAGAAGGTGTCAGGAAGAAAATGTGCCATCTCTACTGAATCTCATGCAGAGGAAGTGGGCAGGGGATTGAGGAAGAAAGGAAAGGCGAGTGTGCATGAAGTAGCATGGCATGTGCAGGAATCCTGAGTAGGCAGCATGGTTGCATTGGGTCAGACCTGCACAGTTTGTACAACATGGGAAGAGTCTGAATTTTATCCTGTGAGAGAACATTGAGGCTGGATGTGGTGGCTTATGCCTATAATCCCAGCACTTTGGGAGGCAAACGCAGGTGGATCACCTGAGGTCAGGAGTTCAAGACGAGCCTGGCCAACATGATGAAACCCTGACTCTACTAAAAATACAAAAATTATCTGGGCGTCATGGCGGGCACCTGTAATCCCAGCTACTCAGAAGGCTGAGGCAGGAGAATTGCTTGAACCTGTGAGGCAGAGGTTGCAGTGAGCCAAGATCGCACCATTGCATTCCAGCGTGGGCAACAAAAGAGAAATTCTGTCTCAAAACAAAACAAAACAAAACATTGAGAGTTATAAAGTAGAGACAACATCAAATTTACAGTTTAGAAAATTATGGCAGAAGAAGGGAGGAAAGACTTTTTTTAAAGATTATTTATTTATTTATTGAGACAGAGTCTCATTCTGTCACCCAGGCTGGGGTGCAGTGGCGCAATCTCAGCTCACCACAACCTCCATCTCCCGGGTTCAGGTGATTCTCCTGCCTCAGCCTCCCGAGTAGCTGGGATTACAGGCACACGCTACCAGGCCCAGCTAATTTTTGTATTTTTAGTAGAGACAGTGTTTCACCATGTTGTCCAGGCTGGTCTCGAACCCCTGACCTCAAGTGATCTGCCCTCCTTAGCCTCCCAAGATGCTGGGATTACAGGCATGAGCCACTGCGCCCGGTCTAAAATCACATTTGTATTTTTAGGTAATTTTGGAAACAAGCTATATCCAGGTCAGAGGGGAAGGCAAAAAGAGACAAAGAGATCCATTAGAATTGCACTGGAAGAAATATTTTCCTTCACTCAATAAATATTTATCGAGCACCTATATGTACTCAGGCACTGAGGGTATATCAATGAAAATCAGAGATAAAAATCCTGGCTCTCATGGACAGCATATATTATAGTGGGGGTCAATGGCTAACATGAATATAGCACTTACTTTGTGCCTATGATTATTTTAAGCAGTTTACATCTGTTACGTCATTTAAGATAAACTTCAATGTGGTTCTGAAGGAACCAATGGCCATGGAGAATGTGTGGGAATCCTACTCAACAGAAATTCAGGAACCAGGGAAAGCTGCCTGGATTTAGCACCTGGGTGGACACGGATGGTGAAACAAAATGACCCTGAGGTTTAGGTGGCAAGAAGAAACTGAGAAAACAATTTCCTAAAGGATTAAATGTAGCCTACCTTTCATAATTTTATAGCAGTGATGCAATGCACTTAATTTTTGGCCATTTCTGCATAAAATCAAGTAAAGCAAGAGAAGTATTACGGGGACACAAAATGGTTCTTTTCTTTCTTGGGGATTTCTAAAGTCTACCAACCAGTTTCACAACTTTATTTTCAATTTCTGAAGTGGCACTCTTGAACTATTCTTAAAAACACTGTTTTCAGTGTTCTCAACTCGTGCCTCTAACAGCTGGATAAGTAGAGTTAAAGGTAGCAGGTGGCACATTACAAAGATGAAAGGATTAAACCTTCCTGTGCTAAAAAATCCAGCAGAGGGATGGAGAACAGGCGCTTCTCTCTCAACCTGCAGTAATGTAGTCAGAGCTCTCTGGGAATAGAAAGAGGACAATTGTGTCCTCACTTCCTTCATCAAAAGCTACCATGAAGGCTGCTATTTTCTAAGCTTAGCATGAAATTAACATGCAGAAAAAAATGTTCTAAGTTGAAAACCAAATATAGCTATATAATTTTATTCCCTAATCTTTTTGTATAATTTCTTTGTTCCAAGAATACTAATACTCTGCAAAAAAATGAATCATATCTAATGGTAATTAGCTATAACTGAATAATTCATTCTAGAAACTTCTCTCCTAAAAATGTAAGAATTCTAAGTGTAAACCATCTGAAGGTACACTGTTTCTTTAACATAATATTCCCTCAGTGAAACATTGCTTATATGCAGCCACTTGGCAATTTTTTTTATAAAGGGCAGAACCGGATTAATAAATTAATAATCTTAGTAAACTTGCACTAACTGTTCTGAAACAGAATATTAAGAAAAACATTTTTTTCTCATTTATACAAATATTTTTGCTCTTAGAAAATGTACATTATGAAATCAATCCACATTTGTGAAGCAAGAACAAAAGTACCTATACTTTATTCATGTGTGTGATTCATGCATTCATCACTGTGTCACAAAGTTAAACTTCAATGAATCTTATTTTTCCTTATTTGCAATGAGGATTAAGTATGACATTTGTCCTTTTGAACTCATTGGGATATTGTAGAAAGGTACAAGGCTTTAATACTTATCAGGTAGGAAGTTTGTGATTGTAGATGTGAAATAAAATTTATTCATTACCCAATCATTACTTACAAAAATATTAAAATTACAAGATTCTAAAAAGCATATAGTTTTCCTCTAATCTCAGAAAAAGCAGGATTTTATATTTTCATAAAATAAAATCAAGAAGCATTCTTTTAGTACAAATTGTTTCCATAAGCAACATTGAGTTTTTGAAGGAACTTGTTAGGAGTATCTACATACACACAACACTCATTTTCCAATGACCCCAGTAAGGAATTTCAAGTTCCTTAATGCCTAAATTTAAAACAAGCTCTTCTCAGTGCCTAAATTTACTAGTTTTCTCAAAGGTACATTTATTTACTTGCTTTTTTCTCTATGATATTGACTAAATGGGGCATCTGGCCACTGGGGTGACTATATCATTCTCTATATAACAAAGCATATTTAGGCGATTCCAATATCTGAATAAACATGGCATTTAATCAATCTCTCCAACCACTTATGGCTCAGTGTATTAGAGATTTGCAATCAAAACTACCCTTTGAACCTCATGTTTGCTAAACCCAGATGTTTCGAAGGGTTATATTTTGATCAAATCAAGATACGGTATTAATCTTCAAGCCTATAAAGTTTACACTTCAACCCTTAAAAAGGAGAAATAAAACATGCAGGCTGAGCTTCAGAGATACAGTGGGTTTTTAAAAATTTCTGTTATTTGGCCATAGTGAAAACTCATTTGTTATCATTTTTGTAATGAAAATATTAGTTAAACTACTTACAACGTGTGAAATAACTTTGGAAGCCTCCGTAGCATTGAAACGTTGCACTACAGAAGGGCTCATCAGGTTCTGACTTTCCATCCCTGTGTATTCCCCCATCTTTCTACCAACACCAAATGAACAGTCTAACTGTATAGACAGCTGCTGTGAGAAAGACAGGAGAAAGGAAGAAAGGAAGAAAAGAAGAAAGGGAGGGAGGGGAAATAAAGAAAGAAAAATAAAGAACAGCATAGCTCTGGAAGCCCTCAGAGTAGCAGCTACAGCAGCAGCAGCTACCTGCATAGTTGTTACTATGTGACAGGAACTGTGCCGCATGAATGATCTTATTTTCATGAATTATCTACTTAATCTTAAAAAGAACCCTATTAGCTAGGTACTGTTATTATCCCAACTTTATAAATGAAACTGAGGCTGAGGAAGTCTCGGTCACTTGGCTCAGGGTCACGTCACCAATTACGGTAAGAGGCACAAGCAGTATTTGTTCCAGCTCTCACTCCTAAAGCTGCGCTTCTAACTGTGATGGAAGAAAAGATAAGCAAGATCAAAAGGCTGGCTTCCTGTATACACATTTCAAAGAAGTAAGAGGTCTCATAATTAATATGTTTCTAATGTCCTCTTAATTTCCTCCCTTAAACCTAGTCCATGCCCCTCTAGTCTATTTCATCTCCATAAATGGCAGCACCATTCTCTGCTGGCTGTAAAACCCAGAATCATGCTTACGGTCTCCTTTTTTCTTACCCTACACTCCAACTCATCAATAAGTCTTACAGATTTGGATCCAACATTATATCAAGCTTACCTTATTCTTCCCATATGACATCTGTCTTTCTGCATCGGCCTCATGTCAATCTTCCTGTTTCCCCTTGCTGCCCTCCTATAGATCCTCTACACCTGCAAGAATCATCTTTCTAAAACACAAATTGGAACACAATGCTCCCTTTCTTTAAAATGATTTAGTTTGGGATATGGTTTGGCTCTGTGTCCCCACCCAAATCTCATTTCGAATTGGAATTCCCATGTGTCGAGGGAGAAACCTGGTGAGAGGTGATTGGATCATGGTGGCGGTTCCCCCATGCGGTTCTCATGATAGCTAGTGAGTTCTCATGAGATCTGATGGTTTAAAAGTGTGGCACTTCCCTTCACTCACTCTCTCCTCTGCTACCCTTTGAAGAAGGTACTTGCTTCTCTTTCATTTTCTGCTGTGATTGTAAGTTTCCTGAGGCCTCCCCAGCCATGCATAACTGGGTCAATTAAACCTTTTCTTCACAAATTAGCCAATCTCAGGTAGTTCTTTAGACCACTGTGAAAACTGACTAATACAGGTGGATACTCTTTTCTTTAGCACAAAATCTAAATCACTCCTCTGGGTATACAAGGCTCTGCACCATCAGGCTTTGATCTAGCTCTCCAGCCTCATCTTGTTACCTTCTCTGGTTTGTTCATGGAGCTGCAGGCATGCTGGTGCTTTTCTGGTGACTTGAACACACAAAGCTCAGTCCCTTTGCACATGCTTTTGCTGCCACCTGGAAGGTTTCTTCTTCCCTTCCTCTAGTGGCAGCTTCATCCTGTCCTAAGTCTATACTTAAATACCACCTTTCAGGTGCCTTTCCTGACAGCTGTGTCTCTATCTGGGGCTTAATTATAACTGTCAGAATACTTTAAACAAAGTTTAACTCATTCGTCTACTTCTTTATCCTAAGGATGAATCTCAGGTCAAAGATCATGACTGTAATATTCATCACTGTATTCTCAGACCCCAATGGACACCTGAAACATGGTGAGTGGGTGCTCCAAAAATATTTGTTGAGTAATTCGATAAAGAAATTTACAAGGAATCTTGCTTTAGCCAATAAGATTCACCATAGAAACTCTGACCCTTCTTTTACATTGCATTCTGGTTATCTGTTGCATTATCTTAGGTTCTGGCAAATACAGAATAATACCAATTACCACTGTGTGCTTCTCCTTTGAAAATAACTTCCCACTTCTCCCAGCCATCAGAGCAAATGTAAAGAGACAGATTGAGATACTATCAAATTATTAACATATGCCACAAATAAATATTTGATTTGAGATTATGGTACTTTAATCACCTATGAAAAATATGCTTAGTGTTTAAAAGGTGACTATCATTTGTTCTGAGTAATATGAAATCATGTGAAATTTCTAGAAATCTTCCTAACAAGAATTCATTGTCACCCAAAGATTTAACAATTTAAAAAAATGTTCTCGGAACTAAAGCCAATGAAAACAGTATATTCATATAATGTATAATTTTGGAATGAATCTAAAGAATAATAATAAATAAAATTGAGTTTTACTTTTCTATCTAAAAGGTATAAAAACTTGAGTTTATACTTTTCTATCTAAAAGGTTTAACTTCGTTCTTGCACACAGTACAGGTACCTTAATAGAATCATGCTTTTAAAGGCAGGGATCTGGCCTAGAAACACCCTGATGACTTGATCTATTGTGAACTGCTCAATGAAGAGTGAAAGGCTTACAAACATTCAGCCACAGTAGCCAACACTCCTTCCCAAGATCTGTATTCTAGTAGACCTTGTGGTCTCTCACAGATTAAAAATATTTGTATCAGTGCCTGACATTACTTCACCATCTTATTATAACTCCCTAAGGCACTAGCATCTTTCCCCCTGGTTCTCATGTCACTAGCAATTAATTTTATTGCCAAGAATGCTTGCTTTTTTCTCTGAGCTGAATATGTCTGTATAATCTTTTAATGCTTGTACTCAGACCTCTCTTTTCTACTTACTCTATTTATATTTTTCCAGCCCTTGATTTAACTTCAAGCTAATTATCAGTAATTATTTTGCCTTAAACCCCAAAGTTATTGGTCATTTTCAAGCAAAAACTTGTACTCCTTCTATTAAAAATGAAAGGCTTCCGGTAGTCTCTTTGTGTTTGAGGAGTCAATCATCAAATACGGAATAACAATTCAAAAGCCTTGACCTTAAATGACATTTCATATACAGAAATGACTTTGCAGCTTCTACTATGTCAAGATACTATTTATAATATCCTTCAATAGCATATGAATCAAGGATCTTGGGGGATGGAAAATTGGGCACCAAAGGCATAATCAAAGACAGCAGCAAAAAAATGTCTGGCTGTGGCCCAGATAACACTATAATGGCCAACACAGATATTATGTCTGCCGCCCCAGTTTCAATGCCAAACTCAGCAGGCAGAACTCACTGAGACTGCATGCCTATGTCATATGAGAGGTTTCAAATAAGGAAGCAGCAAGCTGGTTTTCATAATGAATACAAATGTAAGACTCCTCCTACTCAATATGTCCAGCCAGGTGATCATGTATTCTAATTTTTTCTTAAGCCCATCAAGAAACAAGCTGGATCTGATGCTGAGGTATGTATTCTAATTTTTTCTCAAGCCCATCAAGAAACAAGCTGGATCTGATGCTGAGGCTTTGAGACTTAAAACAAACAAACAAAAAAGTTTACACGAGGACTTTTTAATGAAAACTAGAGATACTTTTTGCTGGTATTGTCTTCTACTTCTCCACCTGTCCTAATGTTATCTCATACCACACAAGAAAATACTGGGGTAACTGAAAATACAGTAGTGGTGCTGCTGGCTTGAAAATTTTAGTGACTTATAGGAAATGGTTATTTCCTTTTAGATTTTAAATTGTATAATTCTTTAATAATAAACCGACAAGTTTTTTTTTCTGAAAAGGCTTGTTTAAGAATAATATGAGCTCTGAACTGGTGGTTAATACTTCAATCTTAAGTACATTTCACTGAAGATTTTGAAGGAATTTTCACAGCAGTTGATTTAGTTAATTTCATGCGTTTAAAAATGTGAAAGCTTCACTAAAAAACTTTCCTGGTGCCATAGGGATTTAAATTAATGCTAGGATAGAACAACGTTCTAAAGGAATGCAAAGGGTCTACTGGGAATTGTTTATAGGAGTTTTTCATATAATACTATTTAATTGATCTTTATGTCAAAAGAGAGCAATTGTTTTTCTCCTGTTTATCCATTCATTTATTTAATGTTCGGTAAGTATTTACCTCGTGCTCAGCCTTGGCACTGAGGTACAAAGATTAATGATACCTTTTTTGATATGAAGGAGTTTCTTCCTTACTAATGGAGGTTTCCACATTAGCAAATAATCATAATATAAATTTTTACTGTAAATAAAGTTGGGGAGAAAAGCATAAAAAAGAGTGAGACTAATTATGTAATTGTGATGTTGGGAGCAACTTTGGAGAGGAAATGATATTTGAGCCTGGTGTTGAAGAGTGATTAACAATCATTAGGGTTGAGGGTGGGGCATGCCTGGAATAGTTATTTGAGACCAGCTTTCACATCACAATAAAGAGCTAGAAGGGCCCGACAAAGCACTTTCATGTTAGAATACCTTATAGAAAAATTACAGAGAGTTGAACACTGAGAAGGAATCAGATAAAAATGTTTGACTACAAAGAGGATAAAAGAATAAATATTTTATTTCTCCCTAACAAAATTCCAGAGTACTGGATCTGGAATTACAATTCAAAGAGGCAGTCAACAAAGGAAGATGTATTTCCCAGGTCTGTATTATTATAAGTTACCTTCGTGAAGATATAAAGCACGAAAACCAAAAGAAATGGAAGACAGCTAAATCCACAGGCAGTTGCTACATATATACACGAGCTCATTAGATGAAGCCGCAGACAGCGGGAATATATTCTTGAACTTCAGAGTTTGACCTTATACTTTGTAATGATGCATTCATGTATGTTGACTGGCCCAGAACACCTGGGTGAGTGCCTTATTCTGATATCACATTTTCATGCTCTTTACTAATATTCCAATAAGCATATTGCATTATAAAATAATCATTTTAAGAATTGCACTATGAAAGTAACTATTGGGTACTAGACTTAGTACCTGGGTCACAAAATAATCAGCACAACAACCCCCCTTGACATGACTTTACCTATATAACAAACCTCCACATGTACCTCTGAACCGAAAACAAAGGTTTTTAAAAAGAGAATTACACTATGATACCAAGAAAGAGTACTACAAAGTTTAGGGCACTACAACTTTTAAAGTATTTTAAAATAAAAATGCACATTTTAGAAAACACAAAGCTCTTTGTCTATCCTAAAAGCAGATCCTACTCTGACTTCACTCACATCTATTAAACATTCCTAGAAAGTTGGTCTGGAGAACCCAGAGAAGTTCAAGAGTTCCCCCTCTTATCCCTATCCTGAATAAGTGTGGAAGTTATCGCTTATTACTGAGGAAAGAATTTGAGATTGAAAGCAGCCTCTAGTTGCCCAGCTGTGCAGCTTGAAGGAGGAAAGTTACTTATTTTGGTGACTCAGTTTCCTCATCTGCCAAATAGAAATCATACTAAGTTTTTTTTGCTGTTTTTGTTGCTCACAGAGATGTTATGAAGGTAAAATCGCATAAGAAACAATAAATAACATAGAAGGTTTGAAATCTAATTGAAAGAACCCTAAGATACAAGGATCTGTGTATGTGTGTGGACATGTGCTATATCAACCAACGTGTATTAAGTCCAAATACAGTAGACTTCCCCTGAGGTAAAGACCCTGATGTTATCTGTTGCTCAGATAGTGCTCTCTTTACTTCTGTCATTTGGTAAAAGTCCCAAAGCACTCCAAAACTTCAAAGGTAGTAACCCTTTCCCAAGCATAGTCCTTTTAGTAATGGATAGTCACTAATCCATTACTACATCATAACAGAAGAATCCTGTGGCGAGCCAGATTCCCATGGTAACACAATTAAATCTGAAACAAGAGGTCTGAGCCTTCTGTTCTTCTCAATCTCTTCTCCTACTCTAAATCCCTTAAATTGAATTATGTTTTATTTTTAAGGTTATTCATGGATGATGGTTGCCCCACTAATTTCCTTAGATAGTTACTGTTATAAAATCAATCACGTTGATTTGAAGAAGATGCATTTATCAGATTGGAAAGCAAGCTGGACATACAGAGTTCTCAATTTTATGCCATTGTGCCCTGACTTGCTTCCCAGGGGTGAAATACTCACACATTTCATATTTCATCGGGATGACTTATAGATATGCCTACTATCATTGTATAGACTAGACGACAATAAATCACTACAGTTAATTAAGTTTAAACAGTATTGCACTTCTCATTCAAATGTCAGAAGATTTATACGGCAATGCAAAAATCCTAAAAAAATTTAAGAATCAGGTTAAAACAATTTAGGGATACCAATGTGACTTTTTAATCTTGCAGGTCTCTGTGTTTATTCTGTCAAAGGATAGTTTTCTTATATCAGGGGAATTAAAGTAAATTCTATTCAACAGCTTGCCAAAATCTGCCTGAGCTCCATAGGTAATGTTATGCCAGTAAAGAGGAAGAGGGTAAAAAAGAAAATCTGAAATTTTTATCTCTCACATGAAACTCTCTCTCTAAAAAGACTCCTAAAATGATATGTTCCTACTTCCATAAAGACAATCTTTGGAGGCCTTGCCACATTTTCAGCAAATTCAAACATAAACCGAGCCCCTTCAGCTAGTCATTCTTCACTTAATATTTTGCACTTAATATTTTGAAATATGATACTATAGAATGTTTTCCAAAATTGGAATAGAGACCAAAATTTTAAAGTAAATGCTACCATTCCACCCAGGTAAGGTAAAATAATGTGTGTGTGTTTGTGTATGAGCAAAAAAAGCAAAATATTTTATTAAAAAGTATAGAATATTTTAGTGTAATTGCAGCCATTGAATTTGAAACTTTTTTTGGTAATTTTACAGAAAGTCACACTTTTGCTATTGAGGTTTACTCAGTCATCCTAAGAGATAAACATGGTGTTTTAAACCAATAATTTCATCCTTAAATTTTTATATATGTTACAGAGATTTGGATTATTTCAGGGTTTCACTCTACAGTTAGTTACAATAGAATTTCCCATTTGAGCAGCAAAATTCAAGAAGGTTTTTTTTATGAGTTGATTTCCTTTTTAGAACTTCGTTTTATGCTAAGATGCCTTTCATCAATACGTAGAATACTAAACTATGATTTGGTTACTCAAAAAATAAAGGCACTCACATGATTGACTCTCTGATTCATAGTAGGAATCAAACAGTTGAACCCAACATAACACATTTTGTTTGCCTCTCTGGCACACACTCAACAATTGACATTTTTCAGAACTGTGATCATGTTGTGTCCATTGATATTTTAAACAAATACTATGTAATGCTTCAAAAAACATGGAGGGTAAGGATGCAGTATTTTTGAGATAGACGACATAATAGTGTGCCATTTTTAAAAAGCATCATAAGGAAACAGATAACAGAGTATGAATTATTTTTCTCCTTCCTCTCTCTGCTCTCTCACATATACCCTCAGTTCTGGTGTCCTGTTCACACAACACATGTACTAGGGGAGGTTCTTTTGCTTCAAAAGAAAACATGCAAGAACAAAAACATCTTTATGAGCAATCTGAAAGTGACCAGTTTTTCTCCTCACCCACAGGGTTAGGAAGACAAGAGATCCAAAGCTGAAAGGAGTATAAACAGCAGGCAGTTCTGGGGGAGTAATGAGAATAATATCGCCCAAAAGACTTAGCTCAGAAGTCACATCCTATACTCTGAAGTATTCTTCACACTTAACCAAGAAAAATTTTTAGCTGGACTAGGTCACAAAATCCCCCAAACTAAGAAAATCATTAGAAGTCCTGAGATTGGTGAGATAAAACAGACATTAATTTACTACTGATTTCTTGGTGAATGCAACACATTTTCCATCAGTATTAGTCCACACAGAACCCATGAGCAAATCAGGAAAAAGCAGCTCCTTTGGGCAGCTACACCTCAGTGAGCACATGGCTATGAGTGGAACTGCAGCTGAATTCCAACATCCTCTTACTGACTCAAGTAGGCAAACTCATGCAGGGTGTAATCTGAACAACTAGACATGGAGATCCTATTTATACAGATCTCTCTCTTTAGTGCTTTACAAATAGTAAGACAAAAGTGATATAACTAGAACTTTTATCTATAGCCATGACATAGTAGGATTGTGTCATAGTGAGATTGTAAAATTGTCTACAGCAAATACCAGGTTAAATTTAGGTGATCATGAAATATTACTTGATGAAGACTTCTTGTAATAATGTCATCAGAGAGCAACCAAGAAAAGCGTCTCTCCTTGCGGTCACTACCAGGAGAGGGGAATACTTACCACCATCTTCAACTGCAAAATAGAACATATCACTTGTGGCATTAGCCCCTTCTCTTAAGACATAGCATATTTTCATGTCATCAATGTCAGCTAGAAAATAACCAAAAAACAAGATGATTAATTACCAGAGTAAAATTGATGATTCATTATGGTAAATTTTATTGGCTATTAGTTTTCCTATAAACATGTTTAAATTCCTTTTTCCTCCTAACAGAAACAGTGCTGTCTTATTTCTCAGATCTCTAAGCCCCTAGATTTCAGCTGTCCCATGGACACCTGATCCCTCACACAGATAAATACAGTGCAAGAGTTAGTTTATAATAATAGCAAGGTGTTTCCCCTCCCAGTGGTATTTGCATGTTCATGCACCAAAGGAATGACTGTCTAAATATGGAATGTCAGGCACCATGACAGGTGGAAAGGAAGATATTTTGAGGCATGGCAGATTTCCTGGCACTCTTGAAATCACATCCTTTGCCTCCCAGTAGGGAACTGGCCCGCAGAGGACAGAGCTTTGCTCCCCAACACTGGCTAACTTTTCTTACTTTTTGTGCTGTAGCAGGCTATTTTTTAAGCTCTCCAAAGTTTGAGAGAAAAAAATAAGATGATATTTTCAAAAAATCACACACATTGAAATAACTGATGACTCCCTGTTGAGAACAAAAAACATCTAATAAAAGTGGAAACGGGCTGGACACGGTGGCTCATGCGTATAATCCCAGCACTTTGGGAGGCTGAGGCAGGTGGATTATGTGAGGTCAGGAGTTCAAGACCAGCCTGGCCAACATGGTGAAACCCTGTCTCTATTAAAAATTGGCTGGGTGTGGTGGTGCGTTCCTGTAATCCCAGCTATTCGGGAGGCTGAGGCAGGAGAATTGCTTGAGCCTGGGAGGCAAAGGTTGCAGTGAGCTGAGGTCGCACCACTGCACTCTAGCCTGGGCAAGAGAATGAGACCCTGTCTCAAAAAAAAAAAAAAAGTGGAAACCTTTATTCATGGCAGAAAGTTATATTGCCTCAGAAATGTTCCTTATGTTGTTTCCTACTTTATCAAATTCACATGCATACATTTGTTTTCATTATGAAGACACAATTTTTAAAACTTATTCATCCATCTTACCAGTTCCTTTCCTTAATGATGCCACACATACAACATAATAAGAAAAAAATCGTTTTGTTCTGTGATACTCATAATAGATCATTAATTGATCTGGGCCAATCAGTGAGTTTCTAAGACTACATAAAGTCAAGATCATGGCTAAAAATAGCTATGACAATGATAGGTAATATTTATCTGTCTAGTGTGTGTTCTATGGTTTTTTCATCTCCTAAAAGCTCTAGTAAGTTCATGCTATGGAATTCAAAGGCTTATAAAGAAGACAATGGCTTTATGAAATGTTAATCTCAAGTGAGGCAAGGCATTAGGATGGACCAATGATGCCACAAATTTCTATAGCTCCACTTTACAGATGTAAAATGTGTGGTCTACCCTGGCTCATAAAGTTTTGAAAGGTGACTCATTATTAGGAACACTTGCAGAATGGAAAATCTGATTTTATAGTTAATGGTACCCTCCTGCTAATAGAGGTATTTGGAGGTAAAACATGCCTAAGTCGCTTGATTCTCCCTTAGCACTTCATTTGTTTTTTAAAACAAAATATAGATATGTGGGTCTCACTATGTCGCCCAGGCTGGCCTCAAGCAATCCTCCCACATCAGCCTCCCAAAGTGCTATGATTATAGGTGTAAGCCACCTAGCCAGGCCCCATATTTCTAACTCTACTATAACTTTCCACACTTGCTGCCTAGTTTCACTTTTATCTTTCTGTATGGTTATCTTTCCCAGTAGATGAAAAACTTCTGGGATTTTTTTTTCCTATCTTAACTTCCCACAGCTCTTTGCTTAGGATATTACAGTAGCAAAGGCGCAAATGTTTCTCAATTTAAAATGAAAAGGCTGAGTAGGTAGATCACACTTGTATCTCTACCTTTGCATGTATGATGTTTCTGCCAGGGTAAGAACTGAAGCCCCTACACAACTCTTTGCCTGTTTACTGTTATAATTCTTAATTGTATAACCTTCACTTTATCAGTAAAAAAATGCAGTAAACTCTGCTGACTACACATCTTTACCACAAGAACCATGACCTCTGGCCATGTGGAGAAGACCCTCTTCCAATGTTCCCACCCCTTCAAATTGCATAAGAAAATCTAAAGGCTCTACTAGGAGAAAAGGCACTGTTTAGCATGCCCAGCATCTGTATCAATGTTTTCTTAAGCGAAATTGTAATCGTTAAGGGATAGTTTCATTGAAATAAATCCTCACTTCAAAACAGAATTTTAAGAACTTTTCTTTTTTCAGATAAAGAAAACATAAATGCAACTATATGGCACTCTGGTACCCAATTTTCCCTCCAAGTTAGGGCATGTGTTATTGATTAGTTGGAACATACTAAAACCTTTTATATTTTTCATATAATTAATTAATAATTCATGGTTCAAAAAAGAGCCTCTAAAAAAAGTAAGTAAAGACTTTCATCATCATACTGGTATTCTAAAGGCACCTCTACAAATAACATAAACACACGTTACATATTTATGTATATATAAATGTAATAACGTCTAGCTTTCTTAAGACACAAAAGTAGTAGAAATATAATCTAATAGCCAAAATGTAATCTTTTTAAAGCAAATATCTAAGAATTATCTAGATTTTCTTCTAGTTGTTAAATATACATTAAATTTATTTCAGTTTATCTACAAAATTATTCCATGAGATTTTTTTGTTTGTTTGTTTTTAATTCTAAGTTCATTAACATATCAGGCAGCCACATCTGGTTCAAACTCTTTGAAGACATTTCTGCTTTCCTGAAACTGGCTTATAAATTATCCCACAGAATATATCATTACGTACTTATTGTAGGGAAGAAAAATCCAGGTACTTGAGACATGCAATTTAGATCTGGGTTAAGGGGAACAGGGGCAACTTGGCAAAGAGGTGAAGTTTGAAATAAATAAATGATATCCATAATTTACCTAATTATACATTGTTAACTTTTCATCAATTTAATAAGTTTTAGAAAGGAATTAATTTTTTTCTTCTAGGAACCATTTAGTCAATCAATTTAGGAATAACCTTCTCTAGCTACCTGTGCTAAACTGACCTAATTCAATGCATTGAAAATCCATCAAAATATAGGTTTACCTTATCCCTTCATGATAAAGCAAAAACAAAAAGAAATAAAAGGACTGCATAGTCTTCACTCTTAAGCACTGCTTTCATTTCTCCTAGTGGAAAAAGAGCCATGGTAGCTTTCTGATGGCGCTTTCTCCGTTTTTTAAATCACTTATCTAATCTCCATAAATAACAGCTACGGATCAAAGTCTAGCCTTGACTTGTTTGAATGAGTGCCATGTGATTGAATACCAACAGCTTCCCTAGTCAATATTTTGGTTTATATTGGAATGTGATAATTTTCCTTAAAAATTCTTAAAAAGTCACATCACATAATAAGCATAACTTCTCTACATTTACAAAGATGACAAAAATTAATCATGGTGACTCAAAGTCAGTAAGAGAAAGAACAACTGCCTATAATGAAATAGCATAATTTTTAGAGTTCAAAATTTCAGAAATAATATTCTAATATTGTGAGCTGTTGGACTTAGTCCACAGAATTTAAATTAAATCATTTGCCTGTCTTCATCAAAATAGTCCTTTTAAAAATCTCTAAATCAGATTTCTTTTTCAGGTCAGAGGAGTAATTTGAAGAACCATTTTCTATTATCTAATATATTCCTTTCATTCTCTTCCCTCTCCATGAAAATAAACCAGTGTAAGACGGCATGGCATCGCTAGCCTCAGAAAGCCTTCACATAAAAGTTTCCTACTGGTCTGGCATGACACTTGGCACTTTGAGGTTTTCCTGTCCCTGCAGGCCCTGGGAGACATTCAGGCTTTTAGCCAAGAATCAGGAGGTTGGAGTGTGGAGCTATTTGCCAGCACCTCAAACAGAGAAGTAGTCCACTTTAACAGTGCATTTTGCTACTTCCATGTTTATTAAAGCATTTGTTATCTAAGAGTACAACACAGTTGCAGGAAAAGAACACCCCCACTGGGATGCCCTGGGGTTAAGCTCCATCTCTACCCATGGATCCCACATAGGAAAGATCTAGTGTCCATTCTGACATGGTGAGATTTTCATGAAAGCAACCCAAATCCCACTGTAATGAAAGTTGCATGTTCTGCAGAACGGAGCCCTGACTCCCAAGCCAGTATAGTGAATGGGCTTCTCCCTTCCCTCACTAAATAACTCTGCATAGGACACTTGTCCTTTCTGCCTCAGATTGTGTCCACCCACAAAGGAAATTCAGGTTAGAAAAATCCTGTTGCCTAAAGACCGCAGGTGCCTGAAGCAACTGTTTTTTGTCACTGTGTTTGCAACAGGTCAGAGAGGAGGTTCACAATGATGAAATAATTTCCCCCTTCTAATATTAAGCTTGTCTACTTATCTTCATGCTCTTAATAATGAATTAGATGTATATTTTGGTGATGAACATATTGTTATTTTACACATCTTTAAGTATACTTTCCTTTTTCATGTATATCCTAGTAGCATGCCCTGTAAATATCATTGTTATAACTCTAGATAGGTGTTTATCAATTACGTCTCTGGATGAGTATTTGCCTGTCATGAAATATTATTAACAATTTTAAAAATCAACAAAGTAAATAAATGTAAACAAATCTTTTAGTTACAAAGTTCCTAACAACTATAACCGTGTCAGAGCAATGCTCTTAAAATTTATTCAAAGTAACCTAAGTTTGAAGGCTTTTTTGGAATGGTAATTGATAATGACAGCAATGTGAATAAACAGTATTTAGAAAGCACATCCTTCATTAAGGTGCCAAAATGCTTCATGAACCACCTGCAGCATACAACACAGAGGATGCGTTGGATAGGTATGGCAAATGGAGCAGAATTGGAAAGCCTGCTTCGATTTTAATTCACCAAAGTTCACCTCCTGCTTCGGCAGCCTATCCTTGCCACTTTCAAAATACATCAGTACTCCCTCTAATGAAGGCCACTGAGATGGGAGGTAGGACAAGAAGGGAGCTGTCCTCCTAGGAAAGTGAGTCCCTATATTCTCCCCATCCCCTTTGTTTCCTTTCCTTCTCTTGGACTCTAATTTAATGCTCTGTTTGTGAGGCTTTTAGTGAAGCCACATTCTCAGGAAACAAGGATAACCAAGAAAAGAAACATGAAACATACCTTGTGTGAACTGAGTGATGCTGTGGTTGCCTTTGTCCAGGTTGAGAAGATATCCATGTTGAGGGGCCTCTGTCACGATAAATCTAAGAGAAATGTGTAAGCTGTCTCTGTCCTCCACTTTCAATATTTTGCTTGTGATCATGAACCCCAAGTGGCCAGTGGCTAGAGTGCGAAGTGTAGAGGCCCCCTTATTCACTGCGATTTGGGGGACACTGTTGTCAACAGCCAAGACCTGGATCTTCATCACTTGGGGTCTCCTTGTTTCAAACACCGTATCAGGAAAAACATAGAAGTCTGTATGGGTGCCATCAGTCACTGTGAAGGAGAAGCTATCTTCACTTGACTCAGTGCCATCATGTTTGTAGCTGATTAAGTTTTCATTCAAGTCTTGCTTGGTAAAAACCATGACAGGTCTGGTATTGTTGAATAGGAGATGGCCATGAATAGGCACCTGGGTGATAGTGAATTTCAGGAGCTTGTCAGGAGTATCTCTGTCTTCGACAGTGAGCTCAAAAGGAGTAATCAGCTTGTTTTCACTTTCACTGACAACCAGCTTGTGGATGGTGACCACTGGCTTTTTATTGTCCACATCGCTAATGGAGATACGGAATGTCCGAAAGACAGGGTTACGTCCATCGGTGACTTGAAACTCAAAACTGTCCATTTTCACTTCATCATCAGCTGTGTGGATGTAGTAGATTTTGTTTCCAGCCAGTTGCAGCTGAGTGAAAGACGTGATGGACACACCAGGCTGATCCGTGCATTCCAGGTGACCTCGCATGGGAGCCCTGGTGATGGTAAAAACCAAGTTTTCATCAGGACTGTTCAAGTCACTAGTGCTTAGTAGGTCTGTTGTAAGAGTGACTTTGCCACCTTCTTTCAAGGACACTCCCTTACTTATCACATCAGGGAAGACAATGTCAATGCTCCCGATGGACACATAAAAGTAACGATCTATGAGGGGATTTATTCCATCAGTCACATCAAATTTAATTAGGTCCCGAATGCCCTCTTGCCCCAAATGGACATACTGAATTAAGTTTCTGTCTACTTCATCCTGGGTAAAATTCATGCCCAGTGTGATATTTTCAAAGGCACCAGTAGGTTTTCGTCTCTGTAATAAGCCATGTCCTGGCCCATAACGAATAATATAAACCAAAGATTTGTCTTCTGAATCTAAATCTGTTGCCATTAATATTTTGTTGTTGATAATCTTGGTATCCCCAATTTCTATTTCTAGTCCATTATTGATAGTCATTCTGGGCGTCTCATCATCAACAGGGATAACTATAATGAGGACCGTCTTTTCCACAGAGTGCTTCCCATCTGTTAGTTTAATCACAAAACTGTCTTCCTGGGTCTCGGAGTCATCATGCTCATAAATAATGCTGGAACTCTCTATGATCTGATCCAAGGTGAAGCTTTCGACCAAAACCGTGCCATTTATCAGCTGATTCATGATGTGACCATGAGTGGGGAATTGGGTAATAGTGAAAGTTAAATCATCCAGGGGAACATCAGCATCAGCAGCATTGAGAATGGGTGTATCAATTACCAGACTCATGCCTTCCATCACCATAAATTCTCTCATAAACATCTCTGGCTGTTCATCATTGGTGGGAATGATTACAATGGGGAAGAACTGTCTCTCTGAAAAGTTAATGCCATCAGAACAACGAAATACAAATCGGTCCTCCACAGGTTCCACCCCTTTATGGACACTCTGGACATAGTTTATGTGGCCCTGCCTGAGATCTTTCAAGTTGAAAGCACTTATGGCAATCCCTGCTCTTGATTTCTCAGAGCCTGGTGCTGGAGAAATGTTTTCAACATAACCTGAAGTAGGCTGAATAACTATAGTGCACAAGATGTCATCATTCAGGGAGTCGACATCTTCAGCACTTATATGCACTGATGTTATAACACTTTTATCACCTTCCATTACTATCAACTGTTCACCTACAAAGATTTCTGGGGCCTGGCTATCAACAGGCAGGATGGTCACCCATATAGTAACTCCTTGGATAGTATTGCCACCAATTCTCCATTCTTGAGACATATCTGACAGACTCAGGTTAAAAGAATCCGCTTTAGGCAATAGGCCTATCTCACCACTGGTGTGGGTATATACAACAGAGCCCTCCAAGATGTCCCTTTGAGTAAACTGCTCTGCTGGAATGCCATTGACCAAGATTTCCCCATACAAAGGTGGATCTTCCAAGAGGAAAGTCAACATCAAGTCATCAGTTTCCTCATTGGTCCCCTTAATAACATTGGCAGTGATTTCAGTAGCCCCATTTTCTAAGACATCTAGATAGGACTCCAGAGTGCCAGTAGGATGGCTCAGTATGGGCACTTCATCATCCACTGGCCGGACATTTACTCTGAGAGTGATGGGCACCACATGATGTCTGTCACTGACTTCCAAGGAGCAGCTATCAGTCAGGGACTTGTCCCCATTATGGGCATAGGAAACTCGGCCCTGTTTTATGTCCTCCAAGTGGAAGAGACCCCCTACATGCAGGATCTGTCCAGACACTCTCATGTGGCCATGTTTGGGTGCCTGAGTGAGAGTGAAAGAGATATGGGCAACATCAGTGTCTACATCATTCACGTGCAACTCTGTCTCACTCAGGATGTGGTGACCCTTCTCCTGAATAGTGAAGCCGGTGTTGAGGATCTCAGGTGGCTGGTTGTCCACGGGATGCAAGTAAAGGGTAAAGGTACCTGGAGCCACATTCCCAGCTCGGTCTTCCACCTGGAACTGGAACTGGGCCACTCGAGTAGCCACGCCCAGTTCTTGACCCGGGGGTCTGTAAGCAATTTTATGATGGTTGATCTGGGCTTGGGTAAAATGGGTCACCACGACTGAGGGGTTGTCAGTCAAGACCAAGGTACCCAGTGGGGCTGGCAGGTGATTTTCGTCTGTGTCTGTGGGGGGCTGAGTCACTGTGTAACGTAGTTCTCGGTCATCTGTGTCCAGGTCAGTGTAGCGCAGCCACTTCTTCCTCAGTGGTGTGAGCTGGGATTCCTGTACCACCATACGAAGGGGACAGCCACTGCCCAGCTCCGGAGGGAGGCGATCCACAGGATGGATACGAATCACAAACCGCTGTAGCCCGGACTGATTAGGAGGGTCATGGTTATCCTGGACTCTAAATGTGAACTGGTCTGTGACTGGCCCAGGACTATGGGGCCCAGAGTGTCTATAGAACAGCCTGCCCTCTGTTATGTCCTGCTGCTGCCACTCTGTCACTGTTCGCTCATAAAATGCCCCCTCCTTCCTCCAAAGGCCTCTGAGAAGTTCCTGCTTCTCATGGGGAGGGTGAGTTTGGCGGAGAAGCAGATGCCCCGTAGTTAAGAAGGGTGACTCCAGCACAAAAAGCAGCAGAGAATCATCTGAATCCATGTCAGTTGCACTCAGGGAAAGGGGCAGGATGGGCACTGTTTCACCCTCTGCCAGTGTCAGCCCCGTGTTGGCATTGAGAACAGGTGGCTGGTCATCCACAGGCACTAAGGTGATGGGGAACAGAAACTGTACCTGGTGCCTGCCTCCTCCATCCACCATGCGAAGCACCAGGTTGTCGCTCAGCGAGCCGTCTCTGTCATCATGCTGGTAGACCACCTGGCCGGCTGCCAGCTCAGCCACTGTAAAGCTCTTGGGAGCAGAGCTGCCACTGGAAGCACCCAGAATGACAAGGTGACCATGCCGGAGCCCAGCCACCACCTCTAGCCGCACTGCTTCTAGGTCATCCTCATCGCTGATGACCAAGTTTTGCGGACCACTGCCTGCAGGGCCTGTGAGGGGCCGAGACTGACCCTCATAGAGAATAAGACCGGTATTCCGGGTGACCACCGGAGCCATTGTGTTCATGGGCTTCACCACTACCATGAAGGCAAAAGGGTCTGAAGCTGCTCCTTCTAGATCCACTACCTCCAATTCCAGTTCAAAGAGGCGCTCCTGGTCAGAGTCTTCAGAAGGGGGCTGGTAGGCAATCTTCAGGAGCCGCAGATCCCTCTGAGTGAAGGAGGAAAGGGGCAGGCTGCGATCATCGGTGCTCACCAAGTAGCCCTGGCCAGGCTGGAATGGAGAAGTAAGGTTGAAGATCAACAGGTCAGAGGGAGACTCAGCATCCTCGGCTGCCAGCATGTCTGGGGTCAGGGCCGTCAGTACAAACTGGTCCACCTCCATCATCATCATGGCCACGAAACTGGGCTTGGGTGCAGTGTTCTCGGCCCCTCCTCGGATCCTCACCAGAACCTGGAAGTGCTCGCGTTTCAAAGCAGGGCTGCCCACAGGAGCCCCTCGTGAACGCAGCTCCACCACCATGGGTATCCAGTCCCTGTTTGGTGAGCGACTGGCGGCTGTGTGGCGATAGCGCACGCCTAGTTCCTGGAAAGCTTTGCAGTCCATCAGGAGAGTCTCCGGGGCGCCTCCCTCTCTGGCTCCTCCAGGGACCTGCGGGTAGTGGAGGAGTTCTCCATAGCGAGGCAGCGCGCCCAAGCCGGACAGGATGCCCACGCGGCACTCCTCTGTCTCGGGCTGGAAGGCGAACTCCAGGCTCCGCGCGTCCAGGGCATTGCTGGTCCCCAGCAGCTCTTCCACGACCAGAGGCAAGTTCCGAGTCACAACCTCCAGCTGGGTGAAGACCACCTCCACCTCCAGTACCAGTGGTAGCACTACTGCCCCTCCGGGCGCGTCATAGCGCAGCTGCAGCCGGACGCGGTCCCGAGACGGGCTGCGCGCGCCCAGGTGAGAGTAGCGCACCTCGCCAGGGCCAAAGTCGCACGGGAAGCGCTTGGGACTCAGGCGGCCCGGTCGCTGGGCCAGTGCGTCGTTGTCTAGTACCGAAACCGCGCAGCGGTCCCCGGGCTGCACCTGCAACACCAGGTCATGCAGGGGATCCAGCCAGACTTCACGGCCGAAAGGCACCCGGAGTCCGCGGTTCGCCAGCACTATGGCCTCCTCAGCAGGGACCCCTGCAGCCCCCGCGAGACCAGGGGACAGCAACGCCCTGCCGAAGGCAGCGGGCTGTGCCGGGACGCGGCTTACCAGTGACAGGAGAAGCAGCAGCAGCAGCAGCAGCCGGGGCGGCGGTGGCGGTCCTGGTTGAAAGCTGGTGGAGTTGCCTGTCCGGCGCGAGGATAACCCGGGAGTCCCGGCTGAGTGCATGGTCCCGGTGTTCGGGCTTGGACAGGTCAGCCTGAGAGCATGCGAAGTCGGTCCCCGGGCAGACAACAAGAGACACCGCCGGGAAGTGCCAGGAACTCCGCGCGTTGCCCGCGGGGTCCTCCTGTAGCCGGGGCTGGGCCAGAAGGATGGCAAAGTTGCGCGGCGCCGTCCGGGCTGGAGCCGCAGCCGAGGAGCCGAAGCCTTCCCAGGCCGTCCAGCTCCGCCGCTAGCGCCTCAATCGCGCGGAGAATTGAATCCCTCCACTTCTACTTTCCAGGTCCCCGGACCCTGGGCTTTGAGGGAAATCCCTCCGCTCGCACCCCTTACTCCAGTCCTCCCAGGTGGCCAATCGTTGGTCGGGGGAGGAGGTGCGGAGCTGAGGGTTGGGTAGTAATTTCTGCCAATCAGCTCTTAGAGGCCAAGGCGGGGAAACTGCGGGGAGGGGAGGAGATAGAGGCGCAACAGGTTGTCCTGGAAGTGAGGGAAGAAGTGGCCAGGAGTTGCCCACCCCTGCTTGCGCTACTCTCTGGGCTGCTATTAATAGATCTGGTACTCCTGCAGAGGAGCCGGAACACACTGCTGTGCTGGGTTCACTTCATCTGCCGGCGACCGAGGGTTACCCATTTTAGCCACCCCCACCCCTCCGCCCTAGTCAATGAAATCCCGCGCAGGGCATGGCCATTTCCCAAGGAAACTTGCAAACCCAGGGGAAAGTTAGACGCAATGCTTTTTGAGTTTGAAGCGAAACCCAGAGCGTTTGAGAAGAAATTCTGGGGCATATTTGCAAAAGGACAGCTGGAATTAAAAGCCATAGCTAGAGCAGGTTGCACTCCAGCCCAGCCCCCTTCGGCGCGCCCAGACGCTGCCTTCTCCTCGTGAATTACAATGGGCACAGTCCTCCGATTGGTGAGTTTTTAACAAGCCCCTCCTTTGCAACCGAGGTTCACAGAGTAAAAGGGAAAAAGGGCATTTGGAATGCGTGAGAAATGCAGTCTGATCAGAATTGCTAGTCTTGCACCAAAGAATAAATTCTAGGGAATGTGGCCCCAGGCGCTCCCAAATCCGACTCTGTTAGGGTAGCTGTCATTAGAGACGTTCCTGTTCTCTTCGCAGTAATTAGACCAAGCACAAACTAAATCTACTTGTCAGCATCACATTTCTTTGCATGCCACGAAAATTGATAAATATCCGGAGGGCACACTAAAATAGTTTAGCTCTCATTTCAGCCAACAGGTTTTGAAGTCAGAGCTTGAGCTCTTCCTGCCCCCTTGTGTTTGTTTGGTTTTAGTAGTGTGTAGATTCCCTTTCTAAAAGGTTTTTTTATCAACTCTCCTCCCCCCCTCAAAAAAGATCCCTTGTAATTTAAACTTAATCATTTTCGGATTGGCTCCTAAGCAATCATAGTCAGAATGTTTTATTTAGGATAATATTTTTTTTCTCCAGTAATGCAAATCTGATTGCTAACAGGAGCATAGAATTGGAGTAATAGTCATAATTAGCCATAATTGCCCTTTTCCTGCTCCAAGGGATTTTGAATTTGGAAAAGAGGGAAATATAAGAAATTGTTAATGTCTTTTTACATTTCAGTCTAAATTGAAGCTAGAAGGTGCCTATGGGAGTAATTTCAGTAAGAAGTGCCTATCCTTTTAAGCCTTTGTGTTTTCAGCTTGAGCTCCTCCAGACCAGGATTTTGATCCTTGCTTGACACAGTTACAGCTATTTTCCAGGCTGCAGCACAAACTCTGTACATAAGTATGGCTGGGAGATGCCAGATTCCTTTCCATGAAACCTACTGAGTGGTGTCCGTTTCCAGGAATCATAGACAGGAAGTTCTAAAATCTTTCAAAAAGAAGCAAGAGATCAATTTAAAGGAGTCACTCATCCAAGCAAGTGTGCAAGCACGCAAACAAGTAACATTTAGTTAATTAAATATTAATTAAGATTATTCTGTGTGCTGTGCATTGTTTGAGGAGCTTTTAACTACAACTTAGAAACTGATGGATACATTTCACAATTTATTACAAAATGGGCATCCAGGAGCATAGAAGGGATGTGGCCCTTACTTTAAATACATTAGAAAATCCCCCATCTAACTCTTTACCAATTTCCTATTTGCTTTGTCATTATTATTTTATAATTTATATGATTATTTATTATCGCATACAGAATTCAAAATGCGGAACATGGGGGGAAATTCTGCTATTTCCTGTTCCAAATTAAAACAAATAAGATGCCAAGTAAACTAGAAAACCAATTTCAGAATATGGCTCTTTTTATAGTAAATTTCAAATTCTGGTTGTGTGTTTGTATTGAAAAATGTCATCTGGAAGCAAAGTGGCCTTATCCAGGCATTGTGACCCTGGGTAAATTCTGAGCAGAACCAGACTAACAGCTTGACCCTTGATGCTTCTTAGTGGCTCCAGGGTTTTCCTTTCCTCCTTTTAAAGTCCAACTCTGTTTGACTTGCAAGCAATGATAAGATCAGCATTTGAAGTATGGTAGTATGCCTCAAGGGCAGAGTTCAATATTTTGTTTCATGGTAAGAAAAATACAGGACCACATTTATTTTTACATAGCCTAAGGAAATCAATAAACTATAATCTTTTTGACTTTTTAATTTTGTCTGCCTTGATCGAAGTGATAGAATGATTTTTAGAGATTATTATTATTTTTTGGTAAATGTCTTAGTTATTTGTCTTGTAAATCAAATAGAAGGTAACTCAAACTATCATTTGGCTAAATATATTTTACATTGATGATCATTGACAAAACAATGAGATGTCAAATTTTTATTTGAGAGCAAATATTATTGATGAAGATCATCTCTGTTTAGGCTCCTAGTTCAGTGTTAAAAGATATGAATGCTAAAATAGCAAGAAAATTATTATTTTACAGTCAGCGTTCTCAATATCACTCAATTTCATGAAGAATAAGTTAGCAAATGTGATTTTTTTTTTTTTTTTTTTTTTACAAAATTCGAGCTTAACACTTCACTTCTTACTTCCTTAAGCCTTATAACGCTTCCTATACATACCATGGGCAAAATATTCCTTAAAATACATTCTTAAATTTGTTTGCTACTTTAAAGTCATACCAAAGTGTTGTCTCATATCAACTTAGAGTTAAAATTATTGATTGCTAAAACTCACAGACTAAGATTAAGCACTAGAGAACTTGTTTTCTAAAATAAAGGAAGCAATGTAATTAATTTATGATTCAGGCAAGGTATTTAGGTGGAAATACCTAATACCTAATACCTAGTACCTAGTAGGTCTACCTAACTATTACCTAACTACTACCTATTAGTAGGAAATACCTAATACCTAGTAGGTCTAGGACTGGAGGTCAGACTGGAACTAAAAATACATCTAGTTAAATTTTGAGAATTATAGTTTTCATTATATAGTTTATTTCATTTTCCTTATGCTTCTCCACCGGGTCATAAGATTCCAATAGAGAAGATTGCCTTATAGACACTTTTAAAATACTTACAGATGAATTATTGAAGTTTCTTGTGAAACATCTTTATTCATTCTCAACAAATGCTTATTCTTCAGTGGCATCAAAACCATGGTTTGACCATAAACACAAAACTTCATCGATTTCAGAGCAGCACTGAGGGGTGAGGACAAACAGCTACGGACTCATTAACCAAGAGGTGGGTTCCAGTAGCGGTTTTGACATCCACTAAATTATGACTTACAGCAATCCTCTTTATGTTTTGCAACTATAGTCTTCTCAACTGTAAAACAAGAGAGTCAGTCTTTGTGGACAAATTCCCTTTTGGTTTTAATAAGCTTGTGGCATAAGACCAAATTTATGGACGACCTGCTATTTTGCTTCCTCATGTCCCTTGGCCATTGGCTATAGGTCTCATTCTTGCCAGAAACACTACTAATCAAAAATGTATCACTGCTACTAGGTCAGAAAATGTAGAACTCAAATTCATGCCCCTTGCGAACGGCTCAATTGTTTCTGCCTAAAATATACAGAACAACATTTGTATTAATTGACGTGGACAGCTTAAATACAACATCTCTAAGTAACTATTTTTAAATAAAAAATAAAATTGAAATAAAAGTCTAGAAATGCAAAACTTAATTAAACTCATCATAAGGATAGGCGAATTTTCAAGATGGATTTATTATTGAGTAACATATGGCTTCACAAGCGCCCAGACTTTCCAGACAAAGCTATGTTCAGATGGGAGTCTATGTGGGGAAGAAGAAAGAGCACTGGACTAGAAGCCAGAAAACCTGTTTTGAAACTGGCCTTTCCATTTGCTTGCTGTAAAATATACAGAACAACATTTGTATTAATTGACGTGGACAGCTTAAATACAACATCTCTAAGTAACTATTTTTAAATAAAAAATAAAATTGAAATAAAAGTCTAGAAATGCAAAACTTAATTAAACTCATCATAAGGATAGGCGAATTTTCAAGATGGATTTATTATTGAGTAACATATGGCTTCACAAGCGCCCAGACTTTCCAGACAAAGCTATGTTCAGATGGGAGTCTATGTGGGGAAGAAGAAAGAGCACTGGACTAGAAGCCAGAAAACCTGTTTTGAAACTGGCCTTTCCATTTGCTCAATTACACATCTCTAAAAATGTGTAATTGAGGAGGAGGTCATTTATATACAAATATAAAATGAAATATGTGTTTATGTATAGGTATATATGCAAAGTGGAAATGAAGAGAAAGGATCATTTTTTTCAAACACCTTTCTCTCTTTTCTCTCTCTCTCTCTGTGTATTTTTTAGATTTATTTCTTATAATTTAAATGAAAGATTAGAATGTTTCATTATCATAAATGATAATATACCTATCAATTATATCTATTGGTTATTAGTTTTCATTTATCTGTATTTCCAGTCTTTCTAGTTGCTCCATCTTTGATTACAATTATGCTTAATTTTTCTCATCTGTAGAATAGCATTCTCCCTTAACTAAGATAGCCCCGCAATCTTTGCACACATCTGTGTCTTTCAGAATCCTGTGAATCATGTACATCTGCTTCTTCAACTTTTTCATCAAACTGACTCATGAACCTTCTATAAGGTAACGTCACAAGTTACCTTGACCACAACTCCTATCTCTCTCTCCAGTCCATCAAGTTGGGGAAAATCTGTTTCCACAGTGTATCTTACAACTGTCTTCTCTTTCCACTACTGTCTGTCATTATCCTAGCTCAGTTCACCATTATTTTACATCCAAGTTTCTTTGAATTATAACCTCTCATTGCTTATTGAATGAAACTCATTCTCTTCATCTTTACTTTCCATACTAAACTACAGATTTTTTTGTGAACACACCAACTGTCTTGCTTCTAGACCTTTCCTCATCTCACATGTTTTTACCCTTAATTGTTGGTTCACTCTGCTCTTTTTTTTCTTCTGTAACATTATCCCTGTCTGTCCTTGGGAATCAGTCAGCCTTACAGACCATGTAATGCTTCCTCATTTCATATTAGAGGAAACAGAGACAAGGAGGTTAAGACCTGGGAATCAAGCTGAAAAGAATGAGAGATTCCTGATTCCAAGGACTGGTGTCTATATCCTACATTATGGACAGTTTGACCTGCAAGGATGATGTCAAATCCTTCCTTTTCCGTGGAATCTTTGTCATCTATGCACTTTAATACAAACTGCGCAACTTTTAACTGTTTTTCACCACCTTCTTCCTTTTGCACCAACTCCATTGTGTATTTCTCATGTGAGGCCACTCTCTGCTACCATAAGCTGTGTTACACTTGCCTGTGTTCTTGTGCCTGTTACTATTTTGAAACCATCTTGAGCTCACAGACTGCATCTTTCTCATCCTTTAACCCCGTAAAAGCCTTAATAAATACTTGTCACATTAAATTCGATTACAGTTTATTCTTTCTCAAGTACTTTCAGTTTAAATAAAACTCAGCCAGATTTCACAACAGCTTTGTGAGGGAACCAAGCATATTATTCAGTTTTCTTAGTAACAATCAACAGAAACTGACTTTGGCTGAATTAAGCAATAGAGAAATGAAAATATATTGAATAGTTCCCATAATTCCTGGAAAGACTCAGGATCTCGGAAGATTGAGCATAAAGATCAAAACAAATGAACAGGAACCAGAAGTTGAGGCCACCCCAAGTAATGGTCTGGTGGGTACTGCACTGTGGTCTCTGCTGGACACTGGGCCCTGCAGTGACCCCTACTCTGGCCAGCACCTGGTATGAGTCAGCAGCCCTGAAGCTTCTGTCTCTGTTGCTCTTGGACTCTGTATGTCACTGTAGCCACTGACCAATAAACATTTCTCTGTCACTGGGAATTCAAAAGTCTAAGCAGGATGGTATTATTCAAGCTTAAGTCATAGGCCTATGCCCTGGCTGCCCAAAACACAGGAGAACAAGGAGTAAGTGTTGGCCTTTTGGACTCCTAGTGTTGAGTGGCTCCCCTACCACTAAGAATCCTGCTATGGCAGTTTCTCACTTCATGGTGGGGGAGAGGTTTAATTCAGGGAAGCTCAACACAGTCACGACTCATCATAACAGGACAAGTATGAACATTAGCATTTTATATTTGAGGAAACTGAGACATCACAGGGTTCAGTAATTTTTAGAAGTTTGCATAAGTATGGATGAAATTAGAATTAAATAAATTAGTTAGATAAAATTAAAGGACTTGGAATTTAAGTCATCTAACTACTACTTTGCTGCTGGTCTGTTCTTTCTTTTCCAAAATTATATGACAAAAACAATTTTTTTTTTTGAGATGAAGTCTCGCTCTGTCGCCAGGCTGGAGTGCAGTGGTGCGATCTCAGCTCACTGTGACCGCCGCTTCTTGGGTTCAAGCAATTCTCCTGCCTCAGCCTCTCGAGTAGCTGGGACTACAGGCACATGCCACCATGCCCAGCTAATTTTTGTACTTTTAGTAGAGACGGTGTTTCACCATGTTGACCAGGATGGTCTCTATCTCTTGACCTTGTGATCCACCCACCTCGGCCTCCCAAATTGCTGAGATTACAGACGTGAGCCACCGCGCCTGGCCTGTTCTTTCTTTTACAACCTGAAATATACCAGTTTTTACTTTCAAGAAAATTTGGCAAATCCTTCCTGTTCTTTTCTTATGCAGAGAAGGGGTGACTGAGGACTTCAGCAAGGAGAAAGTTTCCTTGGAGACTTTTCTTCTGACAGGCTTTGGAGGTGGAAATTACAGGATGTGCACAATTGGGAAACTACTCAATCCACACAGCTGTGAAAACCCTTCATATTGAGGAAAGTCATAAAGGGAAAAGGGAAGGGAGAAAGGCTGGGTCATCGTGGCTGCAGAGACCTGAGCAGAGCCAGCAATAAACACTCAGTGTGAGCTGAGTTTCAGCATAAAAGGCTTGACTTGCTTCCCTTTAAAATAGTTAAGTTTTCCCAAACGTCTGATGATGCCATTTGTTAAGATCTTTTTAAAGCCAATGATCCTGGGGCATTAATATTCCTGGATTTTTCACCTGTAAGTTTTCAAACAAAATTCAGTACAAAGGAAAATTTAAACACAGTTTAAACAAGAGACCACCACTCAGCTGAGCCCAGAAAAACTAAACAAAGAACAAATAAGGAAAAAAAATTATCTTACCGAAATTTACATTACAAATTTTAAAAATGATGAGAAAATTTCTGTAGGTTTCTTGCAGCAATCCTATTTTTGAGTCTTATTAACAGGCCTCCACTGTAATACCTATGATGTCCTTGGGAGATGAATTGTGGCATTTGACGAAAGACCCTCTGAGGTAGAATGTTCTCTCCTTTCTACTTCTAACTTCAGGGAAGTTCTGTAAAGCAGAGTAATCTAAGGGATATAACTTAAATTTAGAAAGAAAATTGTATTTTAATATGAGGCTAATGTGCACATACTTTTAGAGAGAAAAATAACTCTTATTTTATAGCTTCAGAAGATAATTATAAAGCTATAACACAGAGAAACAATTGCAGATTTATTGTCAGAAATTATGGTTTAAGATGAATCAGTTCTTGAAGATAACTTCATTGGTAAATTACTGAAAAAGTCCTTAAAATATTCTTGTTTCCATTTTTTTTTTGGTTTATGAATTAACCTCTAGATTAATTATCAGTAATTTTCCAGCCCTCTCCTAGAAAGATGCCTGCCTTGTTCATGCTGGTGCCCTATCTAGGATCTCAGGCAGTGTTCCTAAATTGCTTCCAAGAAGCTTAGCCAGTTCCCCAATCCCCTGCCTTCCTGTCTTGACTTCAGCCTATAACTTGTGCCACCTAGGATAGGTGGTCATTTGGCTGCTGCTAGAAATCTTCTAGTGGAAAGAAGCTTGCTGCTCCAGGTGGAAGCCAGGCTCATTCCTAAAACACTATAATTATTAGAAACACCATCCTCTATAAAGGCAAAACTGCCTCCTGTGACTTCTATGTGTTCTCTTCTCCAACATGAAACAGAATCTATCAACTCTGTCTTCTCCAGGACAGCTCTTCAGGTTTTCCAGGTCAGCAAGCACATTCTCATCGTGTGACCGTATCTCCAGACTAAACATTGCTGCTTCGTTCAACTGTTCCTTGGGGCATGTTTCCCAGACCCTCATAATTTTGTTTGCTCTGCTTTTCCAGTGTCTCCTTTAAAAGGTGGCACCAAGACCCAGGTAGCTAAGCTGAGATTTGAACCCAGGTAGTACAGATGCCATGACTGGGTTCTTCTACACTAGACTCCTGTCTGTCAACATAGTTGGTCCATTATTTGTGTTTCAAAGATATATCCAAGTGAAATAAGCTCCACTATTCTATTAAACAAATTTTGAAACGGCAGAAGGAAATTAGTTGGAAAGATCTCCAGCTCCATTTTTACCTCTTAAGTTCTCAGAAAAGCAAAACAACAACAAAAATCAAAATTAAAAGGAAAAGAAAACCCACGAGTCCCTCAGCACCCAGATCTGGAAGAACTTGGTGAAAAGCAAATGGAGACAAACGTTTAATGCCACAGCCTTCGTGAGATATAGGAGAAAACAGCATCTTGTCGGCAGCCTGGACAGTTCAAACGCAAGTGTCTCCAGCAGGCTGTTTGTCCGGCCAAGAAGATTGTGCGCCTGGAGTCTTCCATGCTCTTCATTTCTTCTTCATTCAGGGACTCAGGAATCAGAGCTGAGCAGAGACCCAGGCCCAGCACTGGGACGACAGTGCACTCTGGAAGCAAATGACTAGCTCTGGAGGTGTGACCCGGGGACGGAGCCAGGGAAGGAGACTTTGGAAGGTCGTCCGTGTGGTATTTTATACTGTAATTTCTGAGTATTCATTTTTCACAAACTGTACTGACTCAAGGGGAGCTGATTTAATAGGATCTGCTGCTGTATAAATGAATCTTCCAAAGCTCAAGAAAAAAAGGAAAATTAAAAACGTGACTAAGTTATGGAGGGTGTATATGCTGTTATCAGAATTGTTGGAAAGGAATTAATTAATTCTTAGTATATTAGTTCCCTCTTGAAATGGGAGAGAATATTTTTATTCCTTTGAAACAGTTATCGTAATGTCAAGAATTTATTCTAGGAACTAATCCAAAAGTGAAATGAATGCTATACAAAAATGTTTATGGTAGTATTATTAATAAAAGAGAGAAGGCACAAAAAAAAACTAAGTGTCTCAAAGAAAATGGAAAGATAAATTAAAATTTAATATTGATTCATGGCCAGGCGCGGTGGCTCACACCTGTAATCCCAGCACTTTGGGGGCCCGAGGCAAGTGGATCACCTGAGGTCAGGAGTTTGAGATCAGCCTGGCCAGCATGGTGAAACCCCGACTCTACCAAAAATACAAAAAAATTTAGCCGGGCGTGGTGGCACATGCCTGTAATCCCAGCTACTCGAGATGCTGAGGCAGGAGAATAGCTTGAAACTGGGAGGCGGAGGTTGCAGTGAGCCAAGATGGCACCATTGCACTCTAGCGTGGGCAACAAGAATGAAACTCAGTCTCAAAAAACTATATATATATGTATATATATATATATATATATTCATGATATTGGTATGTATATATTTGAGATGATAATTATGTGAGGAAAAGACACAGAAAATTTATATTAAGTATGCATTCCTATGATTACAATCTATGAATTATGAGATACAAACAAGAACTGGACGAACAGGCAAAAAAAAAAAAAATCATTGGCCTGTACTGATGGCTTTGTGGATAACTATTTTTTTCTTTTTAGTTACCACCTTTGTTAGATTTATAACAAAACGTGTTCATAAATTAAAGAGTTAAAAGTCATATGCTGATAAGGGCATTATGCTGATAAGTCCACAATGGACTGCATATATGATGGTAGTCCCATAAGATTATAATACCTTATTTTTACTGCACCTTTTCTGTGGTTAGATGTGTTTAGATACACAAATACTTTCATTGTGTTATAATTACCTACTCAGTACGGTAACATGCTATACAGGTTTGTAGCCTAGGAACAATGGGCTATACCATATAGCCCAGGTGTGGAGTAGGCTATAACATGTAGGTTTATGTGAATACACTATAATATACACACAATGATGAAATCGCCTATCAATGCATTTATCGGAACGTATTCTCGTCATTAAGCAATGCATAACTATATTTAGATTTGTCTTAAAAGCTGCACTAAATTCTCTTGAAAGGTGAGTGGAAGCCCCACCCTAGAACTGAATTTGTACAACTCAACAGGTTTAAATATGATTGCTTAAGACAGATATTGATCATGCTACAAACCATTTCTTTCTCTCCCTTCTTTTAAGACATTGGGTCCCACTTTAAGAGCAATAGTTATGATAAAACCTCATATGCAATGTGCTTTATCAATGAGCTAGGTTTTGATACTTTGCTGCCAGAAATGTACACATTTTCTCACCTATTATAAAACATTAGTGGGCTGCTTCTATCACATTTATAAACCTTTAGTGTTAGTAGAGTAAATAACTTGTCACTGAGGGCACAAAATAAAACATCATTGGTATTGCTTCCTAACAAATATCAGTGTTTGTATATCTTTACTCAATGGATATATTTACATATGAATAAGATTTTTCAATCAAAACACATTCAAAATAATGTTATTTATTGGGATTAAAAAAACTCCAGAGAATAATATGTATGTGGCACACTATCTTAGCTGGGCATGGTGGCAGGTGCCTGTAATTCCAGCTACTAGGGAGCCTGAGGCAAGAGAATTGCTTGAACCCGGGAGGTGGAGGTTGCAGTGAGCCAAGATCGTGCCATTGCACTCCAGCCTGGGCAACAAGAGCGAAACTCTGTCTCAAAAAAAAAAAAAAAAAAAAAAAAGAGAGAGAAAGAGATATTGGAAATAATTTTCAGATTGCTAATGCAGTTATTTGGCAATATCTAAAAATAAGTACAAGAAGGGTTTATTACATCTCCTTCCTCTTCCTTTATATCCATTTATTGGATGTGTGACCTTAGGAAAGTTACTTAATTTCTGTCCTTCATATTGCTGGATTTTTTAAAATGATTTTTAAAGAAGAAGATATGTCATCTTAACCCTATGTTAAGAATTAATATGTTTATGTTTATATTTTGTTTTCAAATGTGAGCTATAAAACATAACATAAATATCCCAAGATTTTGAATAAATCTCAGTCTTTTTCCCAAAAAATTCTTACTGAATTTGAATCGTTTAATAAATTAACAACCAATTTGCAATATTTAAATGTGTAGATATACAATGCACTATTAAATTTTTAATATGTAATTAAAATTGTTCCATAAGGATTTGTTACTGAAAATTTTAAACTCTGGTTTAATTCAGCTTTGTCAAAATATGTGGATATATTAGTCATGGTTCTCCAGAGTGACAGAACCAACAGAAGATCTATCTATCTATCTATCTATCTATCTATCTATCTATCTATCTATCTATCATCTCTCTATCTAAATACAGATATTTATATCTTCTATGTGTGAATGCCTGAGAACCAAAAGAGCCAATGGTAAGCGTTTCCTTTGGAGTGCAGGAAAAAACTATTATCTTAGCTCAAAAACAGGAAGAGAGTGAATTCTCCCTTATTGCACTTTTTATTCTATTCAGACCTTCAATGAATTAAATAAGGCCCACTCACATGGGAGAGGGCAATTTCCTTTACTCAGTCTACTGATTCGGTTATTAATCTCTTCTAGAAACACCCTCACAAACACATCTATAATAATTTTCAACCAAATAATCTGGGTACCTCATGGCTCAGCCAAGTTGACACATAAAATTAACTAATACAAGTCAACCATTTGTCATCTTGGTATCCATTCACATCTCTTTAAACCATATATAATCTCCAAATGAAGAAAATAACCAGATTATAATTCCACTTAACATGATACAGGTATCCTGTGTACGACTGAAAACTCAGATACATGTATCCTGTGTACAACTGAAAACTCATTAACCCTTTCCTTAGAAGAGGTGGTAAAGTCCTTGAATGATGTAAAATTAACAATACTTAAATTTTATGATATAAAATTGATATATCTTATATTACATGGTGAGGAAATAAGAGAGGAAAGAAAAAGAGATTTGCTACATATATGCACATACAGACATATTTATAACAAAATAAGGAAGAAATACCAGTGACAATTAATCCTCACTTCTGTAACTGGTCATGTGGTCATAGATGGTATTTATACCTGTTTTTTTTTTTTTTTTAAACTATCTATTTTGTATTCCTCAGCCAGTCATTATTCTTTGTCTAATGGAGTAACCCAAACTTTCATTCTAAAGTGTCTGGGCCATTAGTAGTCCTGTGTGCATTGGTTGTTGTAGTTTTCCGTTGACCTCAATCATAGGGTATAGTAATACTAAGAGATGCCCTAAGGGATCTTCTCTACTCTTGACATACTCTTCCTTAACTCCGTTGTGAAGTGGTAGTCCAATTTCCCTTCGGTAGTCAAGATGAGTCATCCCATCAACACAGTAATCCCTACTTTGCCTGTTGATTCAAAGGCATGAGAAGTTCAAAGTGGCCAGGTGGCAGTCTTAATTTCCTCTTCAATGGCATCATTATCTCTCTCAGTGGAGGCTTCTTCCAATCAGAACTAAGACCTCTAGGCCAGCAAAGCCTAAGATCGTGGGAACAGAAAGCAAAAATTTTACTAGTGGGTCACTAGGTTTAATAGTGAGTTATACCACTTTTATTTCTTTCCCTTGATTCCTGGACTTGAATTCTTGAATCTTGACTATCACAGAGCTCTTCAAGGATGCTGGAGCATCACTCACAGATTTATTTCTCACATTATTGGTTAAAGGTATGACTTTGTCAGTGTGGGTGAGTAGGTCTTAAATGACCAATCCACTCTAACAGTGTGATCTCCTGACGCTTTTGAATCACTTCCTCTGTGTTAAACCAAGGCACATTAAGCATTTTTAGTTCACTCACTGTGGGCTGCCTTTTGGTCCATGTTTCAGCCACTCAACCAAACAAAATGTTAGAGCCCTTTCTAACTTCCTAGGATGCAACATTAAATGCAGAATCTCTACTTAGTGAGCCATTATCAACAAATTTGGCTTGATCCGACTTCATATTCCTTCCACCATTATCCAACACCATTTTTATGCATTCCCACACATGTTCCCCTGAATTTCTGCCTGTATAAAATGGAAAATCCACATAGTTATTTTGGAGTGCAGCACACCTCCTCATGGGTCACACTTTGTACTTCACCTTTAGGGTAGAAAATAGATTTCACAAGGAATAGAAGTGGAACTAGTAGGGCTAATGAAACTCAACATGACCATAAGCAAGAAAATTTGACCCCAAGTTTTTCCCGAAGAGCACACATTAATGTAAATGTGTACACGCCCACATCTACTGTACTGTCATCAAAGGAAGGAAGGCTATAATTTTATAAAAAGGCTGTTAAATTTCTTTGATCTTTTCCTGATAAAAAGCTATTACGCTGAAAGATATTCATACCGAATTCTGGTTATAGATCATAGCTGTAATGTCTTAAACACCAGTGAACATTTTTTTACAGCTATTACACTGTTACTTTAGACTTTGAAATAAAATAACATTTTAAAATGTGTATCTTGCCACTTAAATTATAAAAGCAGCCTTCTTCTTTTAATTATGTAGCTAAACAAATATTTTTTGACATATTGATACTTACTCTTTCTAATTCCTCAAGATTTCTTCTTGTTGATGTCTGTCTGGCTGCGTACTTGAGTATAGCTTTAGAGTGTGGGTGGATGGATTTTGCAAAAATATGCATTTAAGCTAGATGAATCTTAACTCAGGAAAAAATAACGTATCATTGGGTTCTGTGTTTTATCTAGAAAAACATGGCTTTTATCGGGTATGCTGTTAGAGGTATACGATGTAAAAGAAATTGCCGTTTTACCTTCAGCCATGATGGGATATTTGACTTCAGCTATTTACTGTCCATGTTCCCCGGAGCATGTAGCTTACAATACTCACAATATTATTATATTCCCAGACATGCTACTGGAGGTGCTTCAAAATAATGCCTTAGATGCTGGGTCTGCTACAATGGTCCCTGTAGGAGAATATTACAGAAATAATAGAAAAAGATACATATGTGCATATAAAATATATAAACATATATTTTATGCAATAGAAATAGTAAAAAGTTAATAAAACCTTTCTTCCTTTGAGATGGTATTACTCTGATGTCACCTGGGAATTATGTGACTGAAAGTGCTTGTGTATTATAACTGTAAATATCAACATATTTTGGAAGTGTTCTGGATAATATTAGAGAGAGGGAAACCAGACTATTAAAAGAGCTAGTTAATGTCTCTAAATAAAAATTGATTCTAAATATGGCTTCTTTCTTGAAGTATGTTGCAAGTCCTAAGACTGGTTATGTGAATAAAAAAATCTATTGAGATATCAGAATTCATTTGACTCCTCCAATATAACATAATTATTATTTTTCCAATATCACTGAAAGGGCAGATTAGGTTTTAGTAATACAAAAATCTGGAGAAGTGGTGGTTCTGATTTACTAAGATTTTACAAACTAGAAATAAAAATCAGGCAATCCAGTAGAGACATATAAAATGTCGATATTCCACTTTGCTGATGGCATTCTGCATCAGTGGCTCATTGACAGAGTCATACATTACATGTATAATGCTAATTAGCTAGAGCAGGGATTCTGTGCTCCAGGCTTATTCCTTCATAGGCTGACTTGAATTATAGGCAGTGCCCAGGGCATACTGACTTTATGAGACACTGAATCCATCACAATGCGGTGGCTTCTTCTGGGAGGGAGAGTGGTGACCAGAGTCCATCACAGAGGCATGGAGACCCTTAGGTAATAAGGTGACTGGTCCTTCTTAAAGGAATGAGAAGTAATACTTTCTTTATGGAGGGTGGATGGGTCAGCATCTTCTCCTTATAGGAAAGTAGAAAAGAACATCAGGGTTGAGGCAGACCATATCTGGTTCATAACACACTATCTGATTCATAGCAAGTATTCAGTGAAGGTTTGCCAAATGAATGTTGTATACATGTTTTAGAGGCTGAAGTCATAAAGATAAATGAGCAAAAAGCTCTGTCCTAGGACTCTCGCCACTTCACTGGGGAGAATGGCAAACAAACCAATAGTGAAAAAACAATGTGGCAAATATTATAAGATGGCTATGTCCTGGGTGCAGTGGAAGAACAGTAGAGGGAAACATTCTCTCTACCTGTGGGGAGAGCCAGACAAGTTTTCACAGCGAAGACAAAAACTCAACTGAGCCTTAAGTAAGGGAACCATAAACAGTCATCAAGGAGACAGATAGGAAGGGCATCTCATTGCTGAACCTGAGGTCTCCCTGACCAATTCACATACTTGCTGCTGGTGTTTAGCTGGATACCTGCCCTGCTGAGCCTCTGATCACAGAAATACCTTAGAGTATGTTCTCAGTCTCCCCTTAAATCAATGCAACTGGTGCCCTCTCTCTCCTTTCTCCTGTATTGATGTACTGCTTTAAGCTTTGTTCACTCTACCCATTTTTTTTGCTTAGTGCTGCTCATGTTCTGTCTAGCCTGATCCCCCACCTATGAGCTATTTTTGACAATGGATTTCTTTTCACTTTTCCAGTCTCAAGAATAAGAGTTTATGATAATTGTTACTGTCAAAAACCCATGGTGACAGGTACATCGTGACTTGAAAAAACACTGTAATATTTAGGGAGAAATGTGTTACATTGAGGTAGAAGTATTTATCTATGCATTCAATAAAATTAATAGGTACATACTTCGGTACTCTAACAGGGTGTAATTGTTGAAATAGTCTTTACTACATAGTCATCTGTGAATTCTTTCTTTGAAAATACCTTTTTCATCCCCCACAGTTTGGAATATTGTTCAAAAGCTCTGATGAGTAACTCTTCTGTGTCAGACACTGTTCTTGCTGCAAAAGGATAAAGTTACTTAACTGACTCCCTCCTTTGCTTCTTGCACTAACTCAGTTGTTCTCAACCAGGGCAATTTTGGCCTCCAGCAGATATTTGGCAAGGTTTGGAGATATTTCCGGTTCTCACAATTGGTGGAGGAATGCTACTGCTCTCTAGTGGGTAGAGGCCAGGGATGTGATAAAGCTTCTTCAATACACAGGATATCTCCTGCATAACGAGGAATTTTCTAATCCTAAATGGCAGTACTGGCACAGTTGAGAAACTCTGTCCTAGCCTTGTATAGAGAATGCTGTTTTTGCTTTGTACAGATCTCCAAGGCGCACCCATCTCCTAGCAGTTGTGAGTATTGGCTGGTAAACATTCACACCTTCTCCTTTCTCAGAGAATTACCCCTATCCAGCCAGGAGCCCCCGCAATAGAGTGGCTAAGACTCTCATCAGACCAAAGCCACCTCAGACCAAAGCCAATGAGACCAACTCTGTGGGGTAATTCATACTTCAGAGCTTTCCTGTGGGATCACATTGAAGCTAGTCTCTATTTGAGACTATATTCTTGCTTAATTTTTCCCCTGAACTTTGCTGCTTCTGTCACTTCACTTCCAATTTTCTGAGCTCTTCCTCAATAAATTGCCTGGGCAACGATCCCTATCTTGGGCTCTGCTTCTGTGAAACCCAACCTGAGACAACTTGACTTGAATAAATTAAATGCTAAAACGTGGCTTCCACACTCTCTACTCTACATTGGGGGTGATAGATTCTAGACTTTGATAGTAACCTCATTTTCTTCAGGTCTCACCTGATAAAGGGTAAAAATTAGATTATTTTTGCATTGAGACACTACTGTCTCTGAATCAATTCCTCTCTCATAAACCTGTCCTCATCTTCTAGAAAGCCAGAAAAAGATCCCATTAAAATTTATCACTATTTTGAGAATCTTTGCCAGTGTCTCACATATAATCCCTATTTCTGTGTACAAGATCTTTTCATGACATTTGCTATTGGTGTCCTCTATGTGATCTTTGATTCTTCACCCAGAGTACCATCTCCTAGAACCTTTAGATGCCAATATGATTCTGCCTTTTACTGAGGCATTCACCTACCTACCCATTCACCATTCAGCCTACCACTCACCCATCTGCGTACCCATATATCCGTCCATCCATCCCTGCATGCACTCACGTATTTATTCAACAAGTGTGAAGAGTGTATTTTCTGTGTCAGGCAGCAGGAATGCAACAGTAGCAAACACGAAGTCAGCCTCTGCCTTCATGAAGCTTGTTGCTCAGTGGTAGACACTGATTTAAAAAAAGACATCACTGTAACATAGACTGTCAAAGGATTTTGAGGTGACCACTTAGTAAATGAAACAAAAACCACAAAGAGAAGTTTATGGTTTACTGTAGTAAAGAAGAACTACCTTGGTCAAGTACAGTCTCTCTCTGAGGAACAGACTGTTCGTATCATTTCAGGGAAGAAGGGAGGGAGTTTGACAGATTTTCAGGAGTGGGTTGACATCATCTGTCGAGACATAATTATCCAGATGAGGCTACCTTGGATTGGTTGACACTTACAGGCAAGTTTAGAGGACTGAGTCTGAGTCTATTCTTGCCTGGCTGATTCCTGATAGGTAAGGAGCTGTTACTGACTGCTGACTTACAAAATAAAGTGTGTTCCCTGGGGCAAGTTGTCATTGTGTAAACTGAATTTAAAGGAGTTCTGGTGGCTACTCTTACCATGGCTACAGAATAACCTATCTTTTCCTAGGAATATAGATTTTTTAAAGTTATCAAGTAAGATTTACCCATGATGGGCTATTTTTTCCCCCCGGCTTTTCTGCTTCCTGTGTCTTGGTTACTATTACAGAATTAGCATAAACATTTGAGAAGAATTTACTTTTGATTAACTCTAAAATCTCTTTCTACAATCAGCTTAAGAAATTAGTTTTTAGACTAGATTAATCAGTTTTTAGTACAAGATTATTATAATCTTAAATGTGCTGGGTTTTAGATGGATTGTATATGAACACCTTTTCTAAAATTGGGCATTTTTTCCCCCAGCAGCTTTATTAAGATATCATTCTCTAATACAAATTTACACATTTAAGATGTACAATATGATGTTTTGATATATGTATACAATGTAAAATGATTAAATCAAGTAAATTAACATATCCATCACCTCACATACTTTTTGGTAGTGAGAACATTCATTTTATTTCATTTTTTCTTTCATATCTAGTGCCACAGATGTAGTGAGAACATTTAAAATCTACTCTTGGCTGGGTGTGGTGGTGCGCACCTGTAATTCCAGGTACTCAAGAGGCTGAGGCAGGAGAATTGCTTGAACCCGGGAGGTGGAGGTCACAGTGAGCCGAGATGGCACCACTGCACTCCAGCCTGGGCAACAGAGCAAGACTCCGCCTCAAAACAAACAAACAAACAAACAAACAAAAAACTACTCTCCTAGCAAACTTCACGGTATTAACTACAGTCACCATGCTGTACAATCGATCTCCAGAATGTCTTCCTTTTGTTTAGCTGAAACTTTGGCTCTTTGACCAACATCTCTGCAACTGCCCCACTATCTCCTAACCCCCATATCAGTCTCTGGTACTCTGGTAACCACCATTCTGCTTTCTGTTTCTACAAATTTAACTTTTTTCAGGTTACACATATAAATGAGACCCTGCAGGATTTGTCTTTCTATGCCTAATTTTTTTTCACTTAGCATAGTATCCTCCAGGTATATTCATGTTGTTGCAAATGACGTGGTTTTATTTATGTGTGTGGCTGAATAGCATTTTCTCTCTCTCTCTCTCTCTCTCTCTCTCTCTCTCTCTCTCTCCATCTATCTATATATCATCTATCTATCTACCTATCTATCTATCTGCAACATTTTCTTTATCCGTTCATTCACTGATAGACACTTAGGTTGATTCCATATCTTGGCTATCGTGAATAATGCTGCAACAAACATGGGAATGAAGATATCTCTTTGACATACTGGTTTTATATTATTTGGATGCATGCCCAGAAATGGGATTACTGCATCATATAGAAGTTGTATTTTCAGTTCTTTGAGAAATTTTTCTACCGTTTTACCTAATGGCTATACCAATTTCCATTCCTATCAGCAGCGTACAAGGCTTGAGGCTTGCACCCTATGAAACCACAGCTGGAGCTCGACATTGTCTGGGGCACAGGGCACCAAATCCTCAGCATGGGGACCCTGGGCCCAGCCCATGAAACCATATTTCCCTCCTAGGCCTCCCAGCTTGTGATAGGAGGGGCTGTCATGAAGATCTCTAACATGATCTGGAGACATTTTCCCCATTGTCTTGGGGATTAAAATTTGGCTCATTACATGTGCAAATTTCTTCAGCCGGCTTAGATTTCTCCTCAGAAAATGGGATTTTCTTTTCTATCGCATTGTCAGGCTGCAAATTTTCCAAACTCTTATGCTCTGTTTCCCTTTTAAAACTGAATGCCTTTAACCCACCCAAGTCACCTCTTGAATGCTTTGCTGCTTAGAAATTTCTTCCACAGATACCCTAAATCATCTCTCAAGTTCAAAGTTACACAAACCTCCAGGGCAGGGCCAAAATGCTGCTAGTTTCTTTGCTAAAACATAACAAGAGTCACCTTTGCTCCAGTTCCCAAAAAGTTCCTTATCTTCATCTGATACCACCTCAGCCTGGTTTTCATCGTCCATATAATTATCAGCATTTTGTTCAAAGTCATTCGTCAAATTTCTAGGGAGTTCTAAACTTTCCTACATTTCCTATCTTCTTCTAAGCCCTCCAAACCCTTCCAATCTCCGCTTGTTACCCAGTTTCAAAGTTGCTTCAACATTTTCAGGTATCTTTTCACCAGTGCTCATTCCACTGGTATCAATTCACTGTATTGGTCCCTTTTCATGCTGCTGATAAAGACATACCTAAGACTAGTAATTTATGCAGGAAAAAGGGTTTGTTGGACTTACAGTTCCACATGGCTGGGGAAGCCTCACAATCACAGTGGAAGACAAGAAGGTGCAAGCTTGTGCAGGGAAACTCCACCTTATAAAGTCATCAGATCTCGTGAGACTTATTCACTATCATGATAACAGCATGGGAAACACCTGCCCTCATGGTTCAATTACCTCCTACCGGACCCTTCCCACAACATGTGGGAATTTAAGATGAGATTTCAGTGGGGACATAGCCAAACCGTATCATGTTCCTACCATTTTTACTGCTGCTCTGAGGATATGCTGAAGATGGCAACACTGCTCCTCCTGTCCCTTTAGTATCTACTGTCTAAGTTCTGCTAAAATCCAAATCTATTCATCCAATATGGGGACATGGGAGGGCCACCTGGGGCTGAGCCATCAACCCCAAGTGAGATGTCACAAAGGAAGCATCAGCAGTTAGTGGGCCCAGTACAACCATCATAGGGAGTGGGGAGAAGGACTCACTCTTTGACATATCAAGCAAGAATGACAGTGTAGGGGCCGGGCATGGTGGCTCACCCCTGTAATCCCAGCACTTTGGGAGGCTGATGCGGGTGGATCATGAGGTCAAGAGATTGAGACCACCCTGGCCAACATGGTGAAACCCCGTCTCTACTAAAAATACAAAAATTAGCCAGGCATGGTGGTGCACAACTGTAGTCCCAGCTACTCGGGAGGCTGAGGCAGGAGAATTGCTTGAGTCCAGGAGGTGGAGCTTGCAGTGAGCCGAGAACGTGCCACCGCACTCCAGCTTGCCAACAGAGTGAGACTCCGTCTCAAAAAAAAAAAAAAGGAATGACAGTGTAGGGTGTTTGCAAATTTGGGGTGGTGGCTTTTTTAGGGGAGAGGAAAGGTTACTGTTCTGTAATTCCACATGATCCCCTAGGCTAGCATGGCAGTAACACAATTTATAATTATATGATCCTTTGACTCTATACTTGCCTTGCCAATACTTTTACAGCTAATACTTTCCTCATATTTCTGAACAAAATAAACATTAAAAAAATTCTGAATAGACCTTGTTGTGATAGCCTGGGTATTAACTTCCATGGCAGTAATTACTGGCTCATTTTTGTGTAGTATTAATCCCTGTGACAATTTTATCAAGGTTATTGGCTCCTTTCTAGTAAACTGCATGTCTGCACGTTCATCCAAATTTTGTTTGCAGTTCCAGGGACTTGAGGGATATGAACTTTTCAAGTTCATCCAGTCAGTCCAGGAGCTTGTAGATCTGAGATTGAGAACACCTGTTCTACAAAAACTAAAAAAAGAACATTATTTTGATTCCATCTGATTCTCTTGTCTTCTGTTTCTTTACAGAAAATTTTGAATTTTAATACTATTAAACCAAGGTTGATCAATCTCAGACCATTTTTTACTAAACAATGTTTGATTCTGTGGGTAGTACTCAATGCCAAATTTGTTTGCCCTGTCATTCAGCTTTAGCGGATCCGATGTAAACATTCAAATGGAAATTAAAAGTATGAAAATAGTGTGTGGAAATAACACAGGCTTCTTTGACAAAAAGTCCTTTTTTTTTTTTTTTTTTTTTTTTGCTCAACTTGTGTTAACTTGGTGTTTTCACTGATTACTCCATGACTACGGGCAAATCACTTCACTTCAGGCCTGCTGTTTTTCCTATGAAATGGGAAAACCTTCCCTCTCTGTAACCCAGTGATTGGCACTGTGTGTCTGTCTTTGATTCTCAAGGGTTTGAAGGTTCTAAGATTTCTGGGACTACTGCAGGCAAAATACCAATCATACGTATTTGACGTAATTCACTCTTAGGCAGATTTTATTATGCAAACACTAAAATGATACAACATCAAGTTTGAACATGTAGAGTGTGGTTATTGTCTCTCTACTGCTGCATGTCTCCTTCTGTCTTGGTTAGTCTGAAGAAAAGCAGTACTGACAGTTTGAAAAGGAGATACATGTTTCTAGAGACAGACAAAATGCAGTTGTCCCACATGCTGTGTGGGGTACAGTAGACACTTGATTAGTTTTGGGTTTGTGGCCAGTTAGCTAGTTGCAAAACCTTGGTTCCTGGGATCAGTCTTTAGTTTGTGTCATTCATTCATTCATTCATTCATTCATTCATTCAGGTGTGTTAGGCTCTGACCTCATATTGTTGAATTAAAATAAAACCAAACCAAACAAAGCGAAGCAAATGGGCTCTGCTACAGTAGACCTTCCAATTTAGTGCAAGCAAATAATAAACAAGCAAATTGCAAATTTTGTCAGCATCATGAAAGAAACAAGATGCCCACAGTAACCTAATGTTCATGACTTTACTAAAAATTCTCCTATTTATAATGTGAAACTGCAATGACACATTGAGATTTAATAACAGACTCTATAATCCAAACAGATAAAAAACCATTTATTTTGCACACTGGTTACTTCATGGAATTAACAAAGACGGGATTGTTTTTGCTGCTGTTTGGGGAACCAACACTTTAGAAAAATTGTAGACCCTATACAACATCACAGGAAGTGACAACTTTGATATTAGTGACTAGAGGGAGGAGTCTCTGGAGCTCAAGTGATGCAGTGAGGGGAGGTCAAAATTTCTGAGGAGAAATTGCAAGTTAACTAAATAAGGGAAGGGTAATAAGGAGAAGAGGATTTTGGGAAAAGGCATTTATGTGAAAAGATTTGAGAGAAACTGGGCAGCTGAATTATTGCGCACTTTAAAGAACTGAGAAAAGTTACTGATTACCTTTAAATTTCTCAATTTTGGCTTTGGTTGGCATTACTTATGGGAAAACAGAAACATGAAAACAGAGGGTGGCAGGTATGGGAAGAAACTCTAATGTATTGAGCACTGCTTGTTTAGAGTTCATATGATAGTCCGTATGCTAGTCCTAACTTACTATGTAAAAGGCTAATCTGATCATTTCAAAAGATGTTCTTTAGTTCACCAATGCATTATGTAGTTAACATACCAGTCACGCTGGCTGTGCTGGCAATATGTGTAGAAGTGTATGTGTGTGTTTCTGTGTGTATGTGTGCGTGTTTCACACATTTAAACTCTTCCCGAGAGAGGATTTTTGTCTGTTTGTTTTGTTTTGTCTATTTTTTTTCCAGAAAAGTGATTGGCATTTAGCGGATGCTCAATAAATATTTGTTGAATTAAAGAACCATGTTCAGTTTTATTACCAAATTTTTAAAATTGACTTCATGATGTCCTGAATTAACACAAAATACAAACAAACAAAATAAAACCTTATTGGTATAATTAGCGGGAAGTGCCAATATAATCCCATTCCCACCTAGAACAGCTAAATCCTGATATTCTGGAAAACTAAACAGCTTTCCTAACAGAACAGTGCTGAAATACAGCCTATTCCTAATTGTGTCTTCCAGGTGTTACATGGACTGCAGAGAAATTCAGCATCTTTTTTTCCGAAAGAAAGGGAATATAAGGTGTATATAGTAGAAGTATATAGGTAGAAGGCAAGTAAGGGAGTGTGTAATGTACAGGAAAGGCTGCCGCTTCCCAAGGGTATAGGGCAGCGTGAGATAGAGGGATCATTTACAGCCGGTCCCGCCATTCTATCTTCTGGCCATACACACATCTGGGTAACAGGGCAATTGTTTCTCAGAACCTTATTCTATTTTGGGCAGTGGAAATGTTTTGCATCCTTTTAGAAGCTAAAATCCCATACCTCCTCCTGACTCCTACTCTTACCTTGCACACTCATTCAGGGCTGGGACACCTCAGTGGAAGGTGACATTTTCTCAGTGTCTTATTTTAAAAAGTGCATTCCAGATTTCTTTGAGAAAAGAAAGGAATAATCTTTAGAGCAGGGAAACTACCTCTCAGGGCTTGCATCATGGGAACTAAACTATTAAATGGATAGAAAAGACACAAAAATCCTACACATCATAAAGGCAAAAAATAAGTTTCCCTCATCCCTCTTGTTCATCTTTTTGTTCCTAGAACCTAGAATAGTGTTAGACACATGATTTGTGCTCAAAAGTTTGTGAATGAAGAATTTTACTCCATAGTTTCCACTCAAGTCCTTGAGTGATGGTGGGGATGGGGGTTAGGTGTATAATGTTGAACATTTCTCATGTAAAATCACCAGCAAGTGATGAAAAACAATATCATGTGCCTAAAAAATAGGCCTCTAAAATGGCAAGTCACATGTAAATGTTAGAATTTTAATCGAGAGTTGATGCTTACAATAAAAAAATATATTTTCTATATGTTCTTTTTGGGAGAAAAACTTCCCGCCTAGTTTTAACATGAAGACAGAATTGGCTCAATTGTTACTTCCAGAGAGGAAAGGGTTAAAATTGCTTCTGTCTAAGTTTTTCTGTGTCAGCTTTCTTTTTATCTCTACTGGAAGAGTTACTGCCTATAAGCAGCTGGGGTCCTGTCCAAGTCTTCAGTTCAATGATTCATACGAGTTCTCATAGTAAGAAGAGGGTTTGGAACTGATTTTGTAATCAGTCTCCTTTTTTTACTAAGCATGGTTGGCAGATAAAAACAGAGCACTTAGAATAAAAGGACATTGGAAACTTCTGCCCCCTGTTTTCTTCTTCTAGAGAGAAAAGAAAGAAAAATATTTCATGCCTATTTTTAAAGCATATTTTCAGAACCCCTTACAGAAGAGGTCAGAACATATGAGGCTATTTTATTTTATTTTAAAAATCTCTTCTGTAATCTATTCACTGATAAAAAGCATAGCTCAGGAAAAGATGCTGAGAGTTTCCAGATTTGGAAAGTCTGGATGAATGAAGATTTAAAAGAGGGCAATTAGTGTGCTTGTTAAAGTGCATAATTTTTCCAGTTACCACCCCCATCCTCACCTGGTTTTCATGTTTCATGAAGGTAATAAAACGTGATAAAACCTCAATTTTGTTATTATCAATAAAATTCTAGATAGCTCTGCCGGCAAAGCTTTAGGAAAAGGAGAGTCTGTATTCTTGGATAATCCTGCTTTTCTTTAGGGTGTATGCTAAGGACACACAAAATGGACTTTTATCCCAAGTTTGAGTTTAAATTTCTAGGATCTGTGTGAGTCTCAAATACCTTGGATTATATAGATACGTGTATATATATACATATATATATATATATATATATATATATATATATATTTATTTATTTATTTTTTCTTCTGGGTTCCTGGAGACAAAATAATGAGTACACAAAGAGAATGATTTAAGTTGTTTTATATTATTATATGTTGTCTTTCTCTTTTGAAACATAATTTATTTTTATATATTCATATCAATTTCCATATTCTTCAGTTTATTATAGCAATATCATCTATGTATGCAAAAGTACAGTATTATGGTGACTTCTGAATATCTCACAAATAACAAAGATTACTTAAAATATTCCTTTTCAAAGATAAATATTCAGTCCTTTTAAGTTTCTCTTTTGTCTCTAGCTAGCCTAGCCTTTCACAGACTTTTGAATAAAACCAATTACAGTGCTATGTCATATCCATGGCAGCCTGGCTCTGAATCATGCTGCAACTTCAGCAGCTGCCAGCCAGCGCACAAATTCAATCATGTGCAGTTCTAGAGACAGTGGAAATATGTATATTGTAGGTTTCTCTCTCTACTACTTTAGTTCAAATTAAAGCTTTTACAGGGATAGGGAGATTTTAGATTCAAGTTTAACAAGACCCAAGATGGATAGTAGGGTCTAAGTGTAGTAAGTTAGATTTCAGCCCAGGGCTTCAACCCAGGGTAAGAAATGGACAGACGATTAAGCAGAAGCTCAGACATAAGAGCTGGGTGCATATGGAAGGATTGTGTGTGGGTGCATATGTGTGTGTGTGTGTGTGTGTGGTGGCAAGGAAGTATATTGGAGAGGAAGGCTATAGGTGAGAGACACACATATTTAGGCAGCAAGATTTAATTATAACCTGCTCCTATACATTAATGTGCCTGAGCCTATTGGAATGCAGACTGCTATGGAGAGGACTGGCTCAGTATCTGAGCTGAGCAAAGTCTGAAGGTTTAATAAAGGTAATACCTGCAGATGAGAAGAGCTGAAGAAGTTAGGCAGAACTGGCCCATCTTGGAAGCAACCCAGGTCAAATCCTATGACCTGAGAATGTGTGTCTTCAATACATATGAAAATGACCTTTCTCCACTCATCATCAGTTTTAATAGCCTTCAACCCACCCCACACAATCAAGTCATATATAAATATTGTAACTGTTTCTAGTGTGACAGAACATAAAACATGCTAGTGCATGAAATAGAGAAACTCACATTTGGTTGTATTTGTTTTGTGACAGTGTAAGGAGCACAGGATTTTCATCAATATAGAAGCTAAAAGTCATTATATACCATGAATGTCATCTCATAGAGATGTTCACTGTTACTTCAGCTTATGTTCTGTTAATTATGAAGATTCCTTTACACATGGATTTCTTACATAGTATTATTGGAATTATTAAATCATTTTCACATAGTAGCTATTCAATAAATAATTTGGAGTGTAACTTGAAATATTAATACAAAAAATTAAAATATAATTATTTTCATTTTGAGAAATGAGTTATAATGTTTAGTTGGAAATTATCATTAATTCTGCTTAGCTCAAAAATACCAGTACTTAGGAAAGAATTAATGGAAATGTGAATTTCTACTGATTGGGCAAATTTTTAAAACTAATGTTTCATTGAATACAAATCAGGGAAAAAAGTATTTAGCAAGAAACCTTTGTAATCCATTCCAAGATAATGAAAGAGAAACAAAGGCTGTAATTGATAAGAAAACAAAACCAAACTACAATAACACAAATAAACCAGAATCTTTTCTTTCATTTGCCCTATTTTTAGATCAATGTGACTGAGTTAAAGAAAATTGTTCTGCTTAATGCAATCAATTTTCTTTCCTTTGTAATTTGGCAGAGAAATTAACTTTAAGTCTAATCTTTCCACTTAATTGTAAAGTAAGAAGACTTAAAGAAAGTTTAAGAACAACTAGAATTAATCTTTAACCAAAGCTAAAATAGCAACTCAGTCATGTGGCTCAATAATTAATGAATGCAGTACATTTAAGTAAGTGTGGTATCTATTTCTTAATCATGAATTTAAACCAAATGACCTTGGATGATATCATATCACATACTTAGAAAATTTAACTAAGTATGTCTTGTCTGAAAATTAAACATGAAGTTTTAACATATTATATTCCGTATTCACATATTTTTGTAGTCATCTGAACTAAATCTTTTCTTACTGGAGCTTAATGGTACAAACCTTTGTTTAATTCTGTTGACTTGTTTTCAATAAATAGCCTTTAAAAATGTCCTAAAGAGCCTAAAGAAGAGAGTACGCTCCTTTGCAGAGGTTATTTCTTACCTTTACCTTTTTAAACGAATAGCAGAAGTATTTTAAAGTGAAAACAGCATATTTTTTGCTTTTTCCTTGGTTCAATAAAAGAAAAAACACAACAAAATAGGAATTTCTCAAGAAGTACAACTTTATGATTTTGGGTTTCTTTTTTAAGGAAGTTATCTAAAAATATAACCTAGCTTATTTTTAAATCAGCTTGGATTGAATCTTGGCAATTACATGGCAGCACAGATGAAACATGGATAGAGAACCTTAAGGGACCAGTAGGGCTTATAAGAATCATTTTTATTTATCTATAAGAAGACAAAGACCAAAGGTATGTTAAAGTAAATCAAGCAGGCAGTGGAAAAAACAGACTATTATGACTTGATGACAAAGAGGCATTTTCTTGCTTGGATATTCAGATAACAGATTATGAGGTCTCATGAAAACAGGATTCATGAATCAAAGCTTCTCAGTTTAACTGTAGTCACTAAGCTGTTTGGATTTAGTAGATTCTGAGATATATTGCTATACATCTCTCCAAGATTTTGTTGCTAGAGATATACAGAAATTCAAGAATAGTCCAAGAATTTTAAAATCTGCGAAAAAAATCTCTGTATCTTTCATCAGTTTTCATTCTGATGAAATCTAAGAGTCTGCCCAGAAGATAGATTGGTCCACAAGTGCATGATATCACAAACAGCAGTAGTGTTGATAGGAAATAGAGCAGATCTGAAAACTTCTTTAAAAGACATCTCATCTCTGGGCAGGAGGGCTACCTTCAGAAGGGTGATTTAAGGGAAGTTTTCTGGGCCAGAACTCAGACAGACCATTTAAAAATATTATTATAAGCAGCAGCAACCATATTTTGATCACCTACTATAAATAAGGCTGTATGCTCTGCTTAATAAGGAAATAAAATACATCATTTTTTACTTTCAAGACATTTAAACAGTATTTGGAAGGACATCTCATTACTGAAAATAGTTAAAAGTGAAGTGAAGGACAGTGGACATGTCACTAGCCTGTGTGAGGTTAAAGTTTGAGTAAGTCTACAAGCAGAGGGATTTCTGAAGGAAGGAAGGAGAGTTCTCTGAATAAAGAGGGGACAGAGAGATAACGTTTATGCCAGTTTGATTGGAACAGAGAACTCTGAAGGTAAGTAGGGCCAAGACTGCAAAGGTAGGCTTAGGGGCCAATTGTAGAAGATGTGAATAAAAAGTGACTGAAAAGTCTTGTTAACTTTAGACTGGAGTTCTCAAAGGTGAGTATTTCAGAAAGATTAATAAGTTGTGACCTTCAGAACGAACTGCAAGTGGAGAAATAGAAGTGCAGAAAACAGGAGGCTACTGAAGTAGTTTAGATCGAAAGAATCTGAAATTTTAAGAAGGAAATCATAGGAAATTGCTGATATTTTACCATTTTTGACCCATGTAAATAGACATTTCATATGGTTCTATCTAATAAGGTGAAGGATCAGTAAAATTTAATATCTGAAGAAAATATATGTAGGTAACTTGGAAAAAGATGTTACCACAAACAGAAATAAGAAAAATTAGGGCCAGGCACGATGGCTCATGCCTGTAATTCCAGCACTTTGGGAGGTCAAGGTGGGGAGAGGATCTCTGAAGTGTAGAAGTTTGAGATGAGCCTGGGTAACATACGAAGACCCTTGTCTCTACAAAAAAAAAAAAAAAAAAAATTGCCAGGCGTAGTTGTGTGTGCCTATAGTCCCAGCTACTCAGGAGCCTGAGGTGGGAGGATTGCTTGAGCCTGGGAGGCAGAGGTTGCAGTGAGCCAAGATTGCACCACTGCCCTCAAGCCTGGGCAACAGAGTGAGATCCTGTCTCCCCCGCCCCCTCTCCCCCAAAAAAAAGAAAAGAAAAGGAAAGAAATGTTAGGGAAGGAAAGCCACGTGGTAGATGAGACCAAGTTGAAGAGTTCAATTTTAAATATATTGTATTTTAAGTGACAAGTAGAAATGTCTGTTGGTGGCTAAAGATTCAGAACTGGAGTTCAGGCAAAGTCAAGAATGAAAATGTGGACTTGGAAATTCACCCTACAGGAAGGAGCCTGTGAAGTCAGGAGAAGGACCAGGATCTCTGAGTAAGGGAGAATAGGGTGAGAAAATAAGATCAAAGACACTCATTTTAAAAGTGAGGGGGCAGATGGTGTAGTCTTTGGAAATGGAAGAGGAAATGGAATAATTCAGTGGATACACAGAGTGTGGAGTGAGTACGAGCCACTGGACTGAATGATCAGGAAATGATTCATAATCTGGAGAAGTCAGTTCAGTAGTACAGAGAGGGTGAAGCCAGACTGTTTAGGAAAAAGGAGGCCATGGATAAAGGTTTTCATGGCTTTCTTCCTAGAAGAAGAGGACCACAATACTGTGCTCTCAGTTTGGCCATTTAATAGAAGTAAAGTGCAGTGCACTTCATGACTTCCATTCCCAAAGAAGGATGAGGGGTTATCTCTTTAGTTTTGTGCATGTTTAGACTTCTCCATGACACCCAAAGTTTTTCCCTAATATTCCCTTACATTCCCTTAGAATGTAAATATATAAAACTGTCTTAAAGAGGTTTCAACTGCAATGAAGAATAAGAGCCATGTTTATTATTTTGGTGTTAATTGTGTTCCTGTGAATTCCCACCCCAACCTGAGCTGCCAGGCTCCACGCATTCACACTCAGACACAGGGCCTGTGGGGCAGTTTGCATGGGGTGAGACTGCCAGCGACCTTGATCAACAGTGGAGATAAGACTGCCAGAGGCTGGCACATGCAGCTGTGGCCTGCAGGGAGCTCCTTCTTGTTCCAGGTTTTTCTTTAACCAGAGCAGCAGAACTTTAGTCAAATGCCATTCATTGCAATAATTGTTAGCTTAAAAAATTATAGCTTTTATAAATTTGGAAAGGAGAAAAGGAAACTTTATTTTTTATAAAGGATTATAATCTGTAAGGTGGCCTTTCTGCAGGCTGGCAAGTGTGTCTCCAGAAGAAATTAGAGATAGGCATTTTAAAGAGGAGGAGTTGGGGTAGGAGTTTTATATTGAAGGGGTTGGCTAAACATATATTTAACCGGTCATCGAAGGAGTTATGAATATTTATGAACGTGGTCTTGACACATGCGTATTGAATAAATATGTAACATATGACCTATGTTTTCTTTGGGATGGAGACTTATTGTCTAAATGTACTATAATTAGGTTCTATATATTAAAAGGTCTTTTTAGTACATGAAGGCACACAAGTGTGTAATCTCTGTAAACCAGCCAGAACTAGTCTACAGTTGCTGCATTTGTTATTAGGAGAAAGTTATTGAAATGAGTCTCTTGTCTAATTAAAACTGTAGTTACGGCTAATGGAACAGGGGTTTAGTCAGTATCTTGAGGAGCTATAAATTGCTTAATATGGTTTATTTTGAGGCTGATGGTTAGTTATTAGAGAAAAAGAAAATTCTTGGCAGTTAGAACATAGTTTATTTTTTAAGTGTAGGGGATATATGACTTAATTCTTTCCTAGCCTGGCCTTGAGTTTTGTCTATAATTTAGTATTTTATTGTCACAAAGAGTCTGTTTTGTTAGTTTATGATTTTCATCTTAACATTAATGTTGGTTAGTTGTGTCTAAACTACAAAGGGAAAGGGGTACAACAAGGCGTGTCTGATCTCTTGTCTCATTATGGTTGGGAACTACGTTTTAAGGTTTGGGGGGGGTCTTTTTGGCCAAGGAGTATCTGTTTAATTGATTGGGGGCTCAAGCTTTTATTTTCAGTTTATACTACCATGACTCAATACATGGTCTTATTAATTCCAATTTATATAATTTCTTTCTAAGTCATTCTCATATTTTTGTTTCCATGGTTGTTACTTCCATTTTTATCTTATATGTATATTTTTTATTGGGTTGAGTTGTTGAAAACTACTTTGAGAAGATTCGTTACAGGAGAAACTACATCAGCACCATGTGAAAATTACAAATAAAACATCACAATCTGAAGAATGTAATAAGAAGAAACTTTTTATGAGAAAAAAGTTAATCAGATCACATTCACATTGCCATATTCAACTGTACACTGAATCCTGATTTGAGTAATTGAAATATTTCAGAGATTATAATGCTAAAGAGCATTTTCTTAAATTTTTTTTTAACTTTGATATGGTTACATTTGTAGCTTTAGTATTAAACTAGACTTTTAATTTAGACTCAAATTAAACTTTAATATTGCATTAGTAGAGAAGTTTTCTCTAGTAGCCAGCATACAGAAATAGGATTCTATATACTTTTGCTATTTTATGCATAATACCCGTTGTTAAACCCAAGAACTAGATGTCTATACACCCTGCCTGCTGTGATACACACTGTCAGGGAAGTGTGCTTAGGAAAAGCATGCACCAGAGCTGGGAAGAGTGGAAGAAAGACAGAAGAGCATTCCACTAAGTGCTTATATTAATTGCATTTTTTTTTTTTTTTGACGGAGTCTCTGTCACAAGGCTGGAGTGCAGTGGCGCGATCCTGGCTGACTGCAACCTCCGACTCCCCGGTTCAAGTGATTCTCCTGCCTCAGCCTCCAGAGTAGCTAGGATTACAGGCATGCGCCGCCACGCCCAGCTAATTTTTGTATTTTTAGTAGAGACAGGGTTTTACCATGTTGGCCAGGAGGGTCTCGATCCCCTGACCTCGTGATCTGCCCTCCTCGGCCTCCCAAAGTGCTGGGATTAATTGCATTTTTAAAGAGTTTGTTTTCAAAGTTCTTTGTAGTTATTTCTGATTTTCCAGAAAGTTACTGCTAATCCCTTAATATTGCCAGCATTTCTTATTCCCAATAGGTTTATTCATTTGTTAACTTCATTGATGAATGCAGAAAGTGCTGCATGAAGAACATAAATTGAACATTTTCTTCACATAAAAATGAAAGAGTTAAGGACATGACATTTTACCATGAATAAAAGCATTAGAGTCTACTGTTGTGAAGAGAACTAGGGAAGCAGAGTTCAGACATGAAAAAATTGCATCTGGTCCTCAAAGAATTAATCTGGCCTACCCCGGACACGTCAGTATACCCCAAAGTCACAGAAATATATATCCAGAAAAATGCAATTTAAAATGAACAGAAAACGAACATAGTTTCTATACCTTTCAATAGGGGAATATGTGGTCTCGAATCATAACTGTGCCATTCAGCCAATAGAATCCACTGAGTGTCAGCTGCTGTTCTGGGCATTGGGGATGTGGAAGTGGGAAGTCTCTGTTCTTACGGGATGTAACATATATACCTCTATTGCTCCTGCTGTGTGCCAAGCTCTGTGCAAAGACTGTGGTATGGAGAGGCATGGTTCTTTTTTTTTATTTTTATTTATTTATCTATTTATTTTTTGAGATGGAGTCTCGCTCTGTTGCCCAGGCTGGAAGTCAGTGGCGCAGTCTCGGCTCACTGCAGGCTCTGGGAGAGGCATGTTCTTAGCCTTAACATTAAAGCCTCCAAAGAAGACAGACTCTTAAATCCTCAAATACAAACAATGGTACAATGTACTAAGTAGAAAATCCCTCGGTCAGATAATAAGTTATTGGAAGGTAAGATTTATTATAGGAAGACTACTGACTTAACTAAAGCTAGTGAAAATGCTTTAGCTAAGAGCCTGGATGCTCAGAAAATATACATGGCACAAGAAATTAATCTTAACTCTTTTTGTTGTCTCATTTTGGGGATTGGCAAAGCCAAGAACAATGGGTGGCAAGTACCCTTGCATCATAAAAACCTTGTTAGAGCATCTATGCAGGACTTTAATTTATACTTCCCATTGGATAGTGTTGGTCCAGCCATTCTGAATCAATCCATTCTTTTATTTATTTGTTCTATGTTTAAAGAAGCCCTCTAGAGTAACGAATGGAGAACTTAGTTTTACTGCTCTTGCTTGATTGCAGAAACATTTTTCTGCTCATGGTGCAAATGTCAAGTAAATAGTGTCTTTTAACTGTATTGCTGTGACAATGATTGGCTTTGCTTCATTGTTTTGTACATAACCAAGGTGCTACCTACTGCCAGAAAAGAGGCTGATAAACCATCCAGTCTCCTCTTTATTACTAGGTCATGCTGTTTTGTCTGTATAGTCATTCACCAATCTCTTTAGCTGGGTATAAATGTCTCCCAGAGTTTTTTGCAGTGTGTATCAAAGAGGAAGCCTAGCATCATAAAACTTTCTCCGACCTTTCCTTCAGCATACTTCAAACAATTCCTTTAAACTATGTTTGACCTATTATTTTGGTAAAGTTTCACAAACCAAATAAAAATACAACTATGCTAATTTTACAAAGGCATTCGTAGTCATTACTTAGTCCTCACAATTATTTTAGAAAACAAAACATGTGTCTTGGTTACAAGAAACAGCTGCCACCTAAAAAGGAGAAGGTGCTGGTTTGAGCTCTTGGCATGAGATCAAGGTTTTCATTTTTTTCCCCTAGCTTTTCCTCATGGAATTAAAACAACAGGATGAAAAGTATTGTAACATAAATATTTTTCATTAGATTTTAAATTGATATACTAGTACAAATCCACAGACAAATGTTTATTTGGTCAGTGTTACCTTTGGTTTTTTATTTTGTACATGGTGCTTTTGACTGGGATTGCTTCTAACGTACGATATCAGGTCTAGGTGAGGAATAGTCGAGTCAGCAAGGTTAAAGGAGAGCCATTCATAACCTAAGACAACTCAAAAAATAGTCTTTGTACTCTCTAGAGTAGCGGTTCTCAAGCTGTGGTTCATGTACCACTGAGGTTCCTTGACATTGTTCCAAGGGGTATGCAAGGTCAAAGCTATTTTCCTAACAACACTAGGATGTTATTTGCCTCCTGCAATGTGTTGGCATTTGTACTGAGGGGGCAAAAGTAATAGAGGGCGAAACCCCTGGTGTCTTAGCATATATCAACACAGTGCACCAAACGATACTAGCAGTCATTATATAGATATATATTTTCACCACACTCACATTTGCAGTTCAGAATATCTTTAATGAAACAATATGAAATATTAATTTTGTTCAGTCTCAATGTTTAAGATTATTTATCATGTAGGGCAAATGTGAAGTGTGCAGAAAGCATTTTGCTCCGTACTAAAATGTGATGGATGTCTTGAGAAAAAGTGTTTGTGCAATTGTTGGAGTTACAAGCTTATTCCACGAAACATCATTTTTTTAATTGAAGGAATGACTGGCAGGCAAACTATGTTATTCAGACTTGAATATTTTACACATTTTTTCTTGAAAATAAAGAAAATGAGACAGTCAGTTTATACAAAACAACTGGCAGTATTTGTTGTCAGTGATAAAATTTGAGATTTCGAGAAAAAATAGCATTTTGAAAAACTTGTAACTAACAAATGTAATTGTTTGGTGTTGAATAATGAAATGTGTTAACATTTGGGGGCTCCGTGTAACTCAGTGAACCAATATTTTACTTGTGACCAATGCATGTTACAAAATTGTTCATGAATAAAAGACCCATTTTTTGTTCAAGATACAAAAAATGGATTTGTAATGTAACAATACAACACCTTCATTGATACGGTTTGATTGCTCATTGCAACTGATCTTTAAGAGACTACACCTTACTGCGTTATGGTTTCATATTGAAGATTATTTGCAATTAGGCCACTAAAGTACTCTTCCCTTTTCCAACTATAAATCTATGTGATGCCAGATTTTCTTCATATGCTTTAACCCAACAACAGACCACAATAGATTGAATGTAAAATTCAGCTGTCTTCTATTATGCTCGACATTGAAATATTTGACAGAAATGTGAAATCATGCCAATTTTCTCACTGTTTTTTTGTTTTGGAAAACACAGTTATTTTTCATAAAACATGTTACTTATGTTAACATTAATGGGTTATTTTTATTTTGAATTGAATAAATACATTCTTAAAATTTGTCATATTTAACTTCTAACATGGTAAGTACTTAAAAAAAACTATGTAAGCCAAAGATCTTTGAGGTCCTCAATAAATTTTAAGAGCATGAAGAGGCCATGGGGCAAAAACATAAGGGAACGGCTGGGTTTTTTTGTTTTTTGTTTTTTTTTTACAGTATTATGTGGGAACAACCAGGAGTAAAATTAAAAATGGAACAAAACAAAACAAATAATACAATGGAAAAAATTGGGAGAGATCATTGTCTGGTGATATGTCAAGGTTGTGTAAGTGATGGAACATTTACTAATATGTCATTTTGGCTTTTGTGAAGGGAATTACTGACATCTTAAGGTATAATTTAGATTGTGGAGATATTAGTGTATTTTTCAGGCGCATAATTTAAGTGAGCCATTGTGGCATAGTGTGATATTGTGGAAGTGGGAGTAGGAGAGCCTGAATTTGCATGCCCGCTTCACCATATAAGAGTTGTGCTGTCACTGGATAAATTATGTTATTTTTCTATGTCTCAGTTTCTTTACTTGTAAAACAGGAATAAAAATATTAAATTACTTCTTATCTGACTAAATTGTTATATGGATTGAATGAGATAACTAAGTAGAAGTATGACTGTATCACAGTCATTATAAAATATGAAATAAATATAAAATATTTATGAAATTTATGAAATCCATTATTCTGCTTCTTCCCATCTCATATCTTTTCCCACTTCCAGTATTCCCATGCCTATTTTCAGTACCTAATATTTTAGTTAATCACTTAACTGACAACATTGATCCCTTTTCCTAAAATGCTGAAACATTTCTTTTCTAATGCATCCTAAGTGGGCAGGTAAGTGCAGCACAGGATGTGTTTCGTATGTCAGTAACTAATGGGAATGTCCAACATGCTGATTTCAATAAAGCAACACCATGTGAAATATGCCTAGGAAAATAACATACACATCAAACTAATAAGCAGGGAGACCATACTTAATACTTAAATCTTTAATTTTTTGTAATGTTCCTAAATCTTTACAAATAGGTTAGGGCCTCCAGACATTTTTCTTGGGTTAGAGAATTTTTGGAAATGTTCCAGGATTTCTAATACTAGAAGAGGAAAATTCTTCAGCAGTGGCAAGGATGAAGAGATTAACATAGCAAATAGGGATTTTGTAATGAAGGTTTTTCATGTTAGGGTTTACATTAAACTAACTTGGTGCGTGTTTACCATTTTTGTGTCTTTACTCAGTGCTATTTTAGCAGGACTTGAAGGAATTAAGGGTCTTGATTGGAAGAAATAAACACATTGCTTTATTTTACACCAGAGAAAGTATTAGGAGAGAAAATAATCAGAGGAAAGAATCTTTATAAAATTGACCTTTTGACATCAGTCTGTCAATTTGTCTTGCTTCACAGAATTTGTCCCAAACTAAGCTTTCATGCACAAAATCTTCTGCTACTTTACAGAAAGGAAGAAAGAATGAGATTTTAAACATTGTGAGGAGAACATACCTGACTTTGGAGACTGATAGTAGAATCTGGGTCAGTTCATTCCATAGGCAGGTCGCATTAACCCCCATTCAATCCCATAAAGACAAAAAGAGTCCTTAATAAAGCACTGCAGCTGCACAGACGTTGTTGGATAAATGTAGATGCAGACAAACATTTATTATTTTATGCTGTGAATATATCAGAAGTCATAGGCCTCTTTCAAAGAGTTCTGTGCCCCCAGCACATAATTCTTTCAAGGGAATATTTTCTTAGATGTTAGACCACACCTAGATTTCTAAGTAGGGAAATATTCGTATATTCCAATGCCCTTTCTCCAACGTTATTATGTAATTATATCTGAATTCTGGAGAATCAACATTCTTGCCTTAGGCTTAGCAACAGTTTAGTTAATTTTCCCACTGTCGAGTTGATAAAAGAATGAGACAAGATTGTATGAGATTTATTATATAACCTCTTCTCTAAGGATTCTAAAATATTTTATTGTTAATTGATTATTCTACAGAAGCATGGAGTTTTAAATTCCTTTTGCTTGAGTTTTACTCCTTACTTCCATTTTCCTATTTTAATTATCATCTCTCCTTTGTTTCTTATTCTTTTTTTCATATATTTCTTTTTATTTGTTCATTTCCCTCCCCTCTATTTATATTCATTTATTTACACTTCTCCAATTTTGCCCCCTAGTTTTGTACCAAATTGCTAGCCAAATTTTTTCTTTCGTTTCCTCTAATCTACGCATTATAAAAGTACAAGTGGTAGTTAGTTTAGAAACAGAAATCCATTACAAAGGCAATTTAGGATGTGTTCCTCTAAATTACAAATGAGAGAGACATGTTTTAAGTTTGGGAGAACATTATAAGTAGTTTCATTTGAGTGTCAATGGAAGAAAATTTCTTTCAGGATATGAATAAAGGTAATTTTAAAAAATTTTCTAACATTTCTTAATAGCATAAGCATTTGAATGCTGATATTCATTTTGTATTTGAGAGTTTAATAAGCAAATAGTCAAAACTTAGTCATAGGGTATTTATATTCCTAGCAACTAATGAGTATTCAATAAATGTTTGAACTGAATTGTTTGTTGAAGTAAGAAAAGAAATTCCACATTGGCGGTTCTCAAGTACACTGCTATATTGAGGCTGTAGTTGAAGTTCAAATGCAGATACTTAAGCTCAAATGGAATGATTAATGGCTCTCATTGCATAAATAAATAAGCTAGGAATGCCAAACTATTACTTTAGGTACATGCCTAGAAACCTATGAAGGTAATAGCCTGAAAAGGCTCTATTGCTATTTTCTTGGTTGTTGTTTGTATGTTACATCAGATGAGTTAAGGAGCATTTTCCTGGTTATAATTTTCTGATGACAAAACATTCATTTAAAATGTTTTGTTTCATTTAAAATATTTAAAATGTTTGAATATATATTTTATCTCCTTGTTAATGACAGCTCTTTGTAGCTGTTTTAAGTAAGTTTATTTTTAAAAATTTCAATGTTCTCAGGCCATTTCTACTCTAGGGTTTGATTATAGCAAACCGTTTGCCACTGAAAATGATGGGCTGAGATAGAAGTTTTATAGAACAGCAAGTTGACATTAACATTTGTAATATATGTATGGCATCAGAAACAGTTCAATCAGAGAAACAGAATCAGAGAATCAGTAGGAGATACACATTGAGAGATTTGTCATAAGGAACTGGCTGATGTGACTGTAGGAGGCTGGTTGGCCAAGTCCAACATCCATAGGGCAGGCTGTCAGGAAGCGCAGGCTAGAGCTTGGGAGTTGAAGCTGCCATCCGTAGTTTCAAGTGGAATTTCTTCTTCAGGGAAGCCTCGGCTTTGCTTTTATCGACTTTCAACTGATTGACTCAGGGCCACCCAAGTTATTTAGGATTATTTCCCTTACTTAAAGTCAACTAATTATGGACTTTAATCACATCTACAAAGTATCTTCACAGCAATGACTAGATTATTGTTTGATTGATAGCTAGGAATGGTAGCCTAGTCAAGTAGACATATCAAAAGACCATTACACCCAGAAACACTTCAGATTACATTTAGTAATTTCTCTCCCCCAGTTGTTTAGTGCCTTTTAATGTTTTGTTTTGTTCTGTTTTTCTATGTTGTGTTGATTTAAAACACAGGCCTCTTTTCCAAAAAGGTTTATTTTTTCCAGTCAAAGACAGTTGTTGAAAGCCCGATTATTCCACTCATAATACAGCTAGATAACATGATCATTAGTTTAGAACATCGTTAAATCCCTACTGAAGCCTTATGTCCTATTAGGCATTTTCAAGTTGAGCTAAATAGAGAGTCATGTCCTTCTTGGGCCTTATAATCTAAGAAAAAAGTATAAATAAATACTTAAAGTTAATAAAGAAATAAAATATATCTCGTGTTTTTATAAAAGGCCTATATAGTTTTTGAAGCATAAAGACTTGTGTTTATTATACTTTCCTAGGAAGCATCTTGATTTTATATTATAAGTGACCATCTAAAATCAATCAGTCCTCAGCCTACCTTTAGTGAAGATTTATGATATATAGAACTTGCCTCAAGACATTTGGGAATTTACAGACTGACTGGGAGAGATAAATCATATTCATCTGAAAGATAAATAAGAATGAATTCAAAGGCATATGCATGTAAACAAATACAAGAACAGGTTTCCTGTGTCAGTATGAGGTAGTATTTGCAGCACTGTGGTAAGAGTTGAATGGCATAACACTAAGTAATGCAAATAGACTCATAGGTTTTTTGTTTGTTTTCTTCTATAGAGCATGTCATCCTCCTTGCAACCCTGGAAGGGTTTATGATAAACATAAACATTATTACGTCCATTAGTGGCAAGAATTATGCAAGAGCAGAAGCCCAAAACACTCATCCACAATCATTGTCAGCTAATCATATACAAAATCGGGACAAAAATCTACACCAGTAGCATTTGTACCACATTTTATTTGAAATCAAAATTTGAGACAGTCTTATTCAGCAGTTACACAATGGATCATAGTCTATTTCAGTTGAAGTAAGCACTTTTTATTAGAGCAATTACAAATGCCCAATGCTTCGCAAATTACACTCTGTTTCATATTTAATTTGCTCCCAACAGCCCCAATACACACACACACACACACACACACACACACACACACTCACACTTCTTTGGCCATACCTTTCATGTCTTCCCAATATTTTCTATATCTTCTTTCTTCCTCAGGACTCTGCTGAAAACTCATTTTTTTAATGAAGTATATAAAATGAAGTCTGTGTATACGTTTGCTGTATTTTGCACTTTTTATTTATTTTTTATTTTTTGGAGAGGGTCTTGCTCTATAACCCAGGCTCAAGGGCAGTGACTAGATCTTGGCTCACTGCAATCTCCACCTCCTGGGCTCAAGCAATCCCCTCACCTCAGTCTCCTGAGTAGCTGGGACCACAGGATGTGCTGTCAAGCCTATTTATTATTATTATTATCTTTTGTAGAGACAAGGTTTTGCCATGTTGTCCAGGCTGGTCTTCAACTCCTAGGCTCAAGCGATGTGCCTACCTTGGCCTCCCAAGTTCTGGGATTGCAGGCGTGAGCTACAGCACTCAGCCTATACTGTTTTATGATTTTCATATTTGGTATTAATTCTACTTTGGATTTTTGCTTCATTCACATAAATACAGTTATGTATATTCTTCCTCCAATAAAAATGTTTAAAAATATTTTCAGTGATGATAATGTTTTGGCATCCATTTATTGCTAAAATTACTACTCTATATGCAGGGAAACTGTTACAGAATTTAAATTGTTAGCTTATGTATTGCATGTATATGTATTTAAACACCATTCTCTTTGGGTGGGGACTGGACTTCCTGTCTACTTGGTAATGCAGGTTATAAAATTAAAGTACAGAAATGAAGACAGCAGTAATGATGAATACCAGTTTCTATACATGGAGGGAAAAGAAAACTTTTTGGAGTGATCAAAATATTTGATTTGTTTTCAGTGTGGGTCACATGTATGTATTATTTGTCAAAACTCATCAAATGCTACGTTTGGAATTTTCTCTTTCACAACGTGTAAATTACATCTTAGTAAAAATTTGTAAGTAAAGAAGAGTGGGATACTGGAAGAGTTAAATAGGAAAGGAGGAAAATTTTATGCAAATATGTATTATTGAGCTGTTTCCAGTCTTGCTGTGCACTAAATTTAGAGAAACACTACAGAGCGATTTTTAGATCACATACCACTGTGATATGGCTTCTCTGTCTTCAGTCTTCCATGCTAGCAGGATTTTTGTTCTGCTGTAAATTTTGTCTCACTTTTGTCAATAGCAGTATCAAGAAGAGCTCTTTGAGTAGAAGAAATATAGCCAGAATATAATGGAGGACTAAAAACTGGGCCCAGTTTTTATTTTAGGAATATCTTTATTTCACAAACAATATTTTTCCAAAGTATGATGTCTGCTTAACCCCATATAAATTTAATAAAACATACATTTATAGTCAGAAAGTATCTTTATACCATATGCTTTTCTTAAATTTGAAAATATTTTTATTAATTTTTGAAACTAGGTCAGAGAAATGTTTGCCAGGAATTTCTATTGCTAGAAGACATAATTATTCTTTATTCTTCTGCCTAGAATATCTTCTCACTTTTCTTTCTGGTGAACTCTTAATCATTCTTAAAAACACATAAAATATTACATTTTCTATAAATAGTCTACATTTTCTCTGAGGTAGCCACATCTTCTTTGCTCCTAAATAATTCACCCATCTCTCCAACAGTACACATGTCATATTGTAGTGCAATTATCTTGGCCACCTTTGCTTCTCCAGTTAAACAGCAAATTCTCAAATGTAGACTACATTTTTCTCACCTTTTGGATTACTACAAATCTGTATATTATGCTAGGCAGAGGATAGATGCTTTAAAATATTTGTTGAATAAATGAATTATTTAGTGAAAAACATATTAAGAATAATTTTTATACTCTCCATTAGCCAGTATTGGCCAACATAGAATTCCTTAAAATAATACATGTTTGTGATAAAGCTTGATATAAAAGCAGGAAGTGGAGATTTGGCTCTTGATTCAGATTATAAATGAGCTATTGATTGATGATTCAGCCCAAACATATTCATTTCTCATGGTATAAATATATCCTTTAAAAATTTTTCATCTCGTTTTCCTGCCATTCTCCTCCCTGAACTTTGTGCTCTAAATCACCAGACTCCATTCTGCAGGCTTCTGTTTATTTCCAATTTTTGGCCTGCTTTTCTGCACTTAGGAAACTCCCATCTACTCTTTAATACGAAGTCAAATGTCTTCTGTTTTATAAATCCTTCCTAGTCTTCCCTGTAATAGTTATCTGCCTCTTACTCTATTATCCAATAGTATTTGAATGTATTTCTTTTTTTATTTTTTTTTATTTCATTTTTTGAGACAGTCTCGCTCCGTCGCCCAGGCTGTAGTGCAGTGGCACGATCTCAGCTCACTGCAAGCTCTGCCTCCCAAGTTCAAGTGATTCTCCTGCCTTAGCCTCCCGAGAAACTGGGACTACAGGTACCTGCCACCATGCCCAGCTAATTTTTTGTATTTTTAGTAGAGACAGGGTTTCACCATGTTAGCCAGGATGGTCTCGATCTCCTGACCTCATGATCTGCCTGCCTCGGCCTCCCAAAGTGCTGGGATTACAGGCGTGAGTCACCGTGCCTTGTGCTCGGTTGTATTTCTATTACAGCCTTGTCACTTTGCATTTATTTTTTGTTACTCCTATCAAATGGCAAGTATCTCAATGCTCAACAAATATTTGTTACCATTTGAACAAGACAATAAGCACCCATTTCTACTTTCAATATGCAAACTAAATAACCAGAAGATGAAATTCATGGCAAGGGGAAAACCCTCTCAAATATATATGAGCTTAAAAAAAAGGCAAGAGATGAAACTTGAATATCATTATATAAATTAATTGTGACTGCTCTTTGGATAAGACCTTGTCCAATTTGTTGTTGTATCCCCAGGGCCTAGAATAGTGCTCAACACACAGCACAAGTCAATAGTCATTGAGTCAAAAAATATATGTATATAAATTGAGGGTTATATATGAGATTCCTAAGGTGGGTTTGCTTCATGATCCTGTTTGCTATGTTCCATGATGTGCAAATGGACATAATAGCTATGTGACTGTCAGTTCTACCACCAGCCTGCAAATTTCACAAAGGCAAGGACTGTACGTATTCATTGGCTATGTAGTACTTCTAGGTGTCCATCAATTGTTTCTTCAATATTACTAAATACCGAAGCCCTAGGCATTTGTAGGGTAGGGTTATGCTCTGATAGAAAAGAAAATAATTCTTATGTGTTTCTTTTATTCTGGTTATTTACATTATCACTCTAATAATGATTGAATTCATTTGAGGCCATTAGGTGATTCATTTGACATTTGAGGCAGAGATAATACCTACAGTCAAATATCTTGATATTCACATAATAAAATTAAGCACAATATTTATGTGTGAACTATAATTGAATACTAAAAATTTTAGAAAGTGGAAATTGATTTAGTTCATCCAGAAAATAAATTATATGTGCAGTATGGTGTAGTATAGCCCAGTATAGTGCTTAATACACTCTTATGATTGAGTTAAAGAAAGCCATTTACTCAGTGGCAAAAGTTTACATTCAGCATTGCAAAGAACTCCTCCCCCCACCCCCCCTTTTTTTTTTCTTTCAAATAATAACCTCCCAAATCAGAAATGTTACCTTTATCATGAATGTTTTGGACTTTCCTCTAATGTAGATGTCATGTATGAGTATTGTCTACAACTCTTATATGTATATATGTTCTTTTAAAAAACTTCTCTTGCCAACTTTTTTGTTTTTTGAGACGGAGTCTCACTCTGTCACCCAGGCTGGAGTGCAATGGCGCGATCTCCGCTCACTGCAAGCTCCGCCTCCCGGGTTCATGCCATTCTCCTGCCTCAGCCTCCCGAGTAGCTGGGACTACAGGCGACCGCCACCACGCCCAACTAATTTTTTTGTATTTTTAGTAGAGACGGGGTTTCACCGTGTTAGCCAGGATGGTCTCGATCTCCTGACCTCATGATCCGCCCACCTCAGTCTCCCAGAGTGCTGGGATTACAGGCTTGAGCCACAGCGCCCAGCCACCAACTTTTTAAAAATTAGCTTTTGTTAGAAAAAAATTGGGTTCTGGTCGGGTGCAGTGGCTCTTGCCTGTAATCAAGCACTTTGGGAGCCGAGGAGGGTGGATTACTTTGAGGCCAGGAGTTCGAGATGCATCATCATGCCTGGCCAATGTGGCGAAACCTCGTCTCTACTAAAAAAATACAAAAATTAGCCGTGCGTTTTGGCAGGCGCCTGTAATCCCAGCTACTTGGGAGGCTGAGGCTTGAGCCTGGGAAGCAGAGGTTGCATTGAGCAGAGATCGTGCCATTGCACTCCATCCTAGCAAGAATCCATCTCAAAAACAAAACAAGACAAGACAAAACAAAACAAACAAACAAAAAAAACCCCAAAAACAAACAGGAAAATAAGCGAGTTCTATTCTCTCTCTCTCTCTCTCTGCATCTCAGGAAGAAAGGAAAGCTTTATCTTGTAAGTTCACGACACAGAAATATGTTGAAAATAATTTAATATATTTGCCACCACATGGTCTTTTTTTTTGAGACAGAGTCTTGCTCTGTTGCCCAGGTGAGAGTGCAGCTCACTGCAGCCTCTACCTCCCAGTTTCAAGTGATTCTCCTGTCTCAGCTTCCTGAGTAGCTGGGACTACAGGCACACATCTTCATGCCTGGCTAATTTTTGTGTTTTTAGTAGAGATGGGGCTTTATCACGTTGGCCAGGCTGGTCTTGAACTCCTGACCTCAAGTGATCCTCACACCTTGGCCTCCCAAAGTGATGGGACTGCAGGCGTCAGCCACCGCACCTGGCAGCCACCACATGGCCTTTGAACGCTTGGAGTGATGAAATCTGTTGGATTTAAAGAAATAAAATTCATCTAAAAAAAGGTGAGGTTAACTTTTTTATGAAAAGCTCAAGAACGTTAGCTTTTGATCCTGTAAATCTTGGATGCTGGGAGTAGAATCAAGAGTTTTGGGATGGTGTTGGCTAATCTATTGTCAATAGGTTAATTCCTTTAGGTTAAATAAGTTCATGTCTCCATGTTCCATAATGTACACATTAGCCTGGATAAGCATTAGTCCAATACAGATTTCCATGGTGATGGAAATGTTCTATGTCAGAGCTGTCAATAGCTACACGAGATTATTGAGCATTTGATATGTTGCCAGTGTGACTGAGGAACTGAATTTTCCATTTATTGTTTATTAATTTAAATTTAAATAGCCTTTTATGATTGGTGGTTACTATATTGGACAGCACAGCTGAAAGGCCATTATTAAGGAAAAGGCCCAGAGCATCCATGAAAATTGGTCTATGCTATGCATCCACTAGAGGGTAGTAATAGCAAAAAACAGGCTTCTATATTTGCACAAACAAATAATTTACGGAAATGGTACCTTCATTCTTTCTACAGTCAGGAATGTAGGATTTTGAAATAGCGAAAATCGCCACAAAGTAAAGAGATTAAATGGGATTTCTTATTGCTTACTTAGAGCAAAATATTAAGAAATATTAAAATGTGCCTAGTATTTCAATTTGCTTTAAAGTGATTGAGGACCCTTGTGAATAAAAAATTACTAATTACCATTCATGGGAGAATGGTGAAGCAGTGGTTAACTTGAAAGAATCCACCTTATTGATACCAAACTTGCAACAAATTTACCTGTGTTCACAAGTGTGTGAGCTGTGATCATTCAAGGCGACACATGAAAGTGAAAGAGCTCATACCTACTTTCCATGCCTTTGAATATTTCATGTCTTTGTCATTCTATAAAAGATACACAATGTGAAAGCAGCAGCAACCTGTATGATGGTTATATAATTTGTTGTTAAATCTCTTAGCAAACCATGCGGAGTTGGTGACCAAGACTTTAAGTTAGGTGTCTAGTGTAGCCAGTTCTCAGAAGAAAAGCAAATCCAAGCCCAAAAACTCTCCTGCAAATGTATTAATGATCAGGATCAGAATAGAAGTGATTGTGGAGAGGATTCAGGGAAAGGATGCTCACCTTTTGCAACAAGTGACCCACAGAATCTGCGACACTTTTTTTTTTTTTAAATGAAAATAACATTGTTGGCCAGGCACAGTGGCTCAAGCCTGTAATCCCAGCACTTTGGGAGGCCGAGGTGGGTGGATCACCTGAGGTCAGGAGTTCGAGACCAGCCTAGCCAACATGGCAAAACCCTGTCTCTACTAAAAATACAAAAAATTAGCCGGGCATGGTGGCACGTGCCTGTAATCCCAGCTACTCTTCAGGGGGCTGAGGCAGGAGGATCACTTGAACCTGGGAGTTGGAGGTTGCAGTGAGCCAAGATGGCGCCACTGCACTCCAGCCTGGGTGACAGAGTGAGACTCTGTCTCAAAAAGAAAACAAAAAACAAAAAACAAAAAAACAGAAAACTTTCTGTTTTTGTAGCTCATAAAACGAGGGTGGTAGTAGTGCCTATCTCACAGTGATCTTCAGACAATTAAGTGAGTTAATACATGTATGTGCTGACAATAGTGTCTGGCACATAGTAAGCAAGCACCCGATGGGTATTTACTACTGTTAGTATTGTTCTTTTCCTCCTTACATTTAACAACTATGCAGACTATTCTCTATTATCCAGGAATTGTTGGCAATATTTGTGACTCTTACTTCTCTTCACTATCTCTATCCAGTTGTTCATCAAGCCCTGCCCTTTAATCCTCTGCAATTTATAAGTTTTCTTATATTCTGGGATTATTTCTAAATTGAAAATGTACTTTCTTTACATATTATGATTAAGAATGTTGATAACCCATGTACGGTAATACCCCTTCTCCTTTTCTCTTTTGTTCTTAAATCTGTTCATGTATTTTCAAATCAATCCTGCCTAGAGTGCAGATGAATTCTCACCTCCCTGTGATTCATTGTCATTGCTCCACCCTGAGACTCCAGCATACATTGTTGACATATGGGTATCTTCAGTTTACAAAGAATCCCAGAATATAAGATAATATACACATTGCAGAGGATAAGTCTCCAGCCTTTTTTCAACAAAACAATCCACTTTATTTAAAAACATTAAAATAGAAATAACTTGTTTAGAAGTTAAAATAAGATAACAAATACACAATTAAAAGTAAATCCCTCAATGTAACTTGAAGTTTCTTTTTAATGACAATTATAGTTATCCGTTTCCTCCTCTCCTTTATAAATAGTCTGTACATATACAGGCATGTGTAACTCTGTTCTTTTGTATTCCAATGAGAGCAACCTGTATATAATATTTTGTACCTTAATTTTTATTATTTTGTATTTTAATGTAATTTTTATTGTAACCAATATTGTAAAGGTAAATGGCATTAAAAATCAATTAGTTCTACAAGATATAAAACTAAAATAGTAATTAGCTCCCCTGCTTCTGATTCTTAATGTCCAGAGGCAGGTGGCTTTTTTTAAATTTATTTACCTCCATGTTTCTAAATATAATGTTTATATTGTTATTTCTAAATTTTTCAGTTTCAAGTGTAAATTGTATATTTTTTGAGACCTTGCATATCAGAAAAGTTCTTAACTGTACTTTCCTAGTGGAGTGACAATTTTGATGGTTGGAAAGAATTTTCTGTCTGATATTTTAAAGCCTTGCTCCATTGTCTTCCAGCTTCCAATTGTTCTGAAACCTGGTGGCACTGTGATCCTCCACCCTTTGATTTTGATCATTTTTTTCCTGTCAGTAATTTTTGTAATTGTCTCTTTGTGAACAGAGTTCTGGAATTTTTCTGATGCTGTCATTTCATGAAGGTCTTTTATTGTCTTGGAAACTTGGGCTTTTTCAGTCTGGAAACTCATGCTTAGGCCTGGGAAAACGTATCATCTCTCTACTTGTGTTCTCTATTTTTCTGGCAGTCTCTTAGGTAAATATTGATCTCTGATCTTCTTAGGTATTTTATATATTTTTCTTTTTGTATTTTCTTCTACTTTCTGAAAAATTTCTTCAATTTTATGTTCCAGCTCCTTTTTTTTTTTTGGCATTTTCTGTTCCTGCTATAATATGTTCAAATTCTTTGAGTTCTTTTATGTTATCAAAATGCTTCTTTTAAAAATACCATTCTATTTTAGGTTAAAAATACATTTTTTTACATCTTTGAAGGACTAATTAGAGTTTTGAGAAGTTTGCTTCTATGACTTATATTTTCTCTGTTCTTTCCTTGATTATTTTGGCCTTTGTATTTCATGTTAGAAACTGATTAGAAGCTGTGTGTGTGTGTGTGTGTGTGCATATGCACATGCTTGTGGGGGTTGAGGGGGTTTCTCTGGTGGTAGTTCTCACTATAGGATAATCTGGCTGGGTTATTTTGTTGCAGAAGCCCTCAACAGTCAGTATCTGTATGTCTTCTCTCTTGGCTTGGTTGGTTTCCCCAGAAAGGAACTCTTATTTCTTCCTGGAAAGATACGGAATATAAGCCAGACAGTGTTTTCTCAGTTGACTTGGTAAAATAGTAGGAGATTTTCCTTTTCATTATGTAGGTTTTCACTGAACCTCCAACTGTCAGCAAGCTAACTCCACTGCCAGCTGAGCCTGGGATTCGGCCGTATGTTGCTCCTAACTCAATCTTTCTGGAAGGCCAAGGAATCTTCTGCCTGGGGTGACGTGAGGCAGTTACCTGGCTGGATGGGGTAAGAAACAGGATTTGGGAGGTGAATTGCTGCTAACATGAACATTTCACCCAAATGCTACCTCATTTTCAAAGGTACATGGTACTTTCCATTTCTGTCCTTTTTGGGGTTTCCACAACTCAGATGGTCTTGCTGCTGGCTTTTCTCTGCAGCTGGCTCAGGTCATGGCTGCCTCTAGTTTGTCAGGTTAGTTACCCCCATTTACCTGCTTTCCAGCTCCCAAAATCTGACTGCAGGCACATCTTCTTCTGTATTTCCTTGGGTATATTTATGCTTAAAAAAATCCCTTGACTGCCATTTTAGTGCAGTTTCAGGAGGGAATAGAGGGAAGCACAGGTACAGTCTCCTACTTTTCTCTCCCATACTTGCCATAGTCGTTCAGTTACCCCCATAGATTATTTCATCCGACCCCTGTCTGGGTTTTAACTGCATTGAGTCTGTTTTTTTGTCATCATTTTTCAGCTCCCTACTTACAATTTTGTCCTATTCATTTCATTGTTTACATGATCCTTCCTCAAGTGTTGTTGGAAATACGCTGCTTCTTTTAGGATGTCTCTAGGGGCTCCTAATTAACTTAAAAAGTAAAATTCTACCTAATGAGCTCAAACTGTATAATCCATGCTTCTTCTGTATACTTTGGCTCCTTGTCATAAAACAAACAAACAAAAACCAAGATGATTAATTGCAATCGCCTGGAGGGAAAGACTGTGGTGTCAGAGTCCACTTCTCCTCTCATCATCTGTTCTGTGTAGCATTTTTGCTCAAACACATGAACTTTTGTAATTCTGTCACCTAAATTGTGTTTACCTACCACCAAATGGCTAACCAAAACTTAAATTGATTTAAATGTTCATTTTGCATTTTCGAAGTCAGGGTTGCAGAATAATTTCCATTTACTATTTTTATGCCTTGAATAGAAATTAAACAAATTTATTAATATCTAAGTGTCTTAAAGAAACTAAAATTTAGTTAAATTTTTACATTTTAAAATATTTTATATTTATTTAGAGACTAACAAATCCATATCAGATGTGTCATATCTAACTGTAGTTGTGAAGATAATTTAATAATGATGTACAGATTAAAGGCTTCCTCAACTCCAAATTTAATATAGTAAAATTACTTTTTACAGGCAGTATGTTCACAGTAGCAATATGTATTAAAATAAATGGTATTTTTACTCTGTATAGGTTTTGCTTCATGTGAAATTACACTTAAACTTTTCTAAAATAAAAATAACCAGTGAATCTATGAAACGTATGTTGTCTCAGTCTTGTCAGAGTACACACAAATATTATTTACCAAATACTTGGTAGTAACTATTCTGAAAATGGATTTCCTGTATTACAAATGCCTTCATCATTCTCAGCCAGAAAAGTCTACAATGGTCTCCTAATGCGAAGTTAAAGTTTAATCAGTTTTTGTTGATAACATGCATTGATGGAGAGTGGTCTGACCTGCTCAACTTGTTTTAAATGACATACCATTCAGAATAGACTCGGTTCAGCCTGACATCACCAGTTTCCCAAAGTGCTGGATGCACACTGGCAGGTTCTCCTATTCACTAGCCACCTGTGCTTTCAAGGGGACCCATCTGAACAATGTTTAAGCCCTTTTAACAAAGTTTATGTTGATATCTGTGAAGTTTAAATGTATTATAAAGTTTAAGATCAGAAAATAGTACAATTATAAATCCTTATACATCCTGGGCTTTTGGATTTTAAATGATTTCCAGAGGTTTATTTTAACAATTACACTTAAGAAAAAAATTAGTTTTGTCTGATTATATTTATTTTTCTGACATAGCACCATTTAGATAGCCTTGTAAATTAGGGAGAGGGGAAATCCTGACTAATAAATGCTGAAAAAACAATAAAAACAAGAGCAGTGGAGCATATCACTATAGAACAAACACAAATGAGCTCAAAGATCTTGGCTATCAGTTCATCATATATTGTTTCTTGTTCTACAAATTATAAAGTGGCTTTTGTCAAGGTTATTTAAACAAGGAGCTATTGATCTCTTTATTGTGATAAAGGGAAAACTTCAGCCAAATTACATTTAAAGGAGTTTAATTGAGCAATGAACAATTCGTGAATCAGGCAGTCCCCAGAATCACAGCAGATTCACAGAGACTCCAGGGCAGCCACGTGGTGGAAGGAAATTTATAGACAAAAACAGGGAAATGACAGGAAGAAATTGGCAGTGAGGTTCAGAAACAGTTGGATTGGTTACAGATTGGCATTTGCCTTATTTGAGCACAGTTTGAACACTTAGCAGTCTATGAGTGGTTGAAGTATGGCTGCTGGGATGGGCCAAGACTCAGTTGTTGTTACAGGCGCATACTCCTAAGTTAAGTTTTCAATCTTGTCTGACTATTAAGCTAGGTTACACTTTATCCACAAGAACTCAGATATACAAGTATGGAATTCTTCTCGGGCCATATGTAGTTTGCTTTAATAATTATTAATTTTCACAAAAGATTATGTCTAAATTTTTAAAAGAATTCATATAACGTACACAATTTTAAAAGATTCTATAGAAGCTTACGGCAAAACTTCCATAATGATTCCCCGAGAATGCTAAGATGCAAAAGAGATTTACTTAGTGTCAGGACACGTGCACATCAACGAATCACTGCAAAAGACAACAGACACTGAGCACCACTTTGTACTAAGTGGTGGAAGTCTCTAAGGGGAACCAAGAAGTAGCTCTTTCCTTGCCCAGTCTACACAAAACAAGACCCAGACATAAGAGAAAGAATAAGGTTGCCCTCATTTCTAGGGCACATCTTACTTCCAGGTTTGCTCCCAAGAGGAAGAGGCAGGGCATGCCTGATTTATTCTTACCAAATGTATCAGTCTGTTAAGTCACTGCACTTGTATGTGACTGAGCAGTGACATGTAGAAAACCCAGAAGTCCTTAGGATACTTTCCCTAACACCAAACATTATGGGTGCCACACTTTCCCAACTCTAGCCCCACATTAATTATTGATAATGAGCATCCACTGAATGCTTGTTTGGGCTCTTTCCAGGGGACAAGTAAAGAGCCATCCACTTAGTGTTTCTAAAGCTTTGCCACACGTACAGTATAGGGTTGAAAATATCCCGATGTATGTGTGTTGTCTTTCTCATCCATAACCAGAAATGCACAATAATCTTCAGAGGGTCCTACACCTTCCTTAGATCCTCTAGGGGGTATGTGATCCAACAGGTTAGGAACCACTGCCCTCTAGGGAATGCAGTAGATTCCTGACCTCTTGCTTGATGTTTAAACACAGCTGTCTGGTGTCTCTGAGAACGCTGATTGATTTGAGGCAGTCATTTCACATGAGCGTCCTGGAATTATTCTAGCTCAGTCCACTTTAATCACTCAGATGGCCCCACAGTTCTCTTATGTCAGCATAGAAAATTGATAAATCTACTGGGTCCTGATTGGGCCTTGTCTGAGATTGATTTTTCATCTGGGGAATGTATGTGGAGGGGCTTCTCCAAGTCTTTGGCAACTTTCTGTGAAATTCTTCTTTTAAGGTGCTATGTCCTTGATCCCATGCCGAGTCTACATATTTGGATTCTTCAGTCTAATGAGATTGAGGGTAGGGGGTGGAAATGTGGGAGAAAAGATGACCTACTAGATGAGGCACTTTTACATGAGTTTTACATTCAACAAATATTTCTCGGGCACCTGCTATGTGCCAGACACTGCCCTATGCCATAGGGGCTTTAAGGTGATTGAGACAAGAAGCTCACATTCAATTTGGTAAGGGAGTAGATTATAGACATTATCTAATTTTTCATATTCTCATATGGGGCAAAGCCAAGGCCATCATATATTCCCACTGAGTGCAGACTCCAACAGAAAGGAAAAGAAATAAAAAAACTGAAATATTTCAACATTTAGGAAGTGATTTTATCTATAAACGCTCAACATGGATACAAATCTTTCAAACTAGAGTCTGAAAATCTTATCTCCCTTTAGAGGAACCACTGTATTGGTAACAAACAGAACTAAACTGAAACAAGTGTCCTCAGAATTATAGGGGCTGGTTCAAATGATACCTATTTTTGAAAACAGCATGAACAAGACAGTCTCCCTTCTGAATCTGCTTGTCATATTTTGCTTGAGCAAGGGGAACTCCAGAGGCCATACAATTCCCATCTTGTTTCCCAACATACCTTCATGAGTTGGGACCCAAACCAATGCCCATTTTGTCGTCTCTCCTACCATTCTTTCATCCAAAAATAAAATAATTTTCATCTTCTTTAAGCCTTTTGCTCTGTGTGTCACCATCTGAGAACCTTAAACATTGGCCATCCTTAAGTCTCCATCATCTTAATATCTCTCTCCCTTTGCACTTTTTAGCCTTTCTACGTTTTGAAGGCTTTAAATGACACTAAATGGTCTCTATCAGTGATATAAATCAAATTTATTCCAGAATCATTTTTGAGCAAGTCATGTTTGCCAGAAAAAGTGCAAGGTGCTGGGAACAGGTGGTGAATCAGGTAAACATGGCCCCTGAAGTTGTGGAACTTCATCTAGTGGAAGAAACAGTAAACACTGAAAAGCATACACACATGGCAATAGTGACGAGCCCAATAAAGGAAACGCACAGAGTACTAAGAGAATGCAACACTATGTGACCAAATTTAGGTTGGAGAATCAGGCACGCTCCTTCTGCAGAAATGATGCTTCAGTTATGATCTGAAAGATAGCAAGACACCATCTGCCTTGATGAGGTATTAATAACATGACAAGAAGTGTGCATTATGTGTGCATTATGAGTACAATGTACTCCTGGAACATTTTATCTTCGTAGGAAGCCAAGTATTAAAATATTGTTTTTGATGGAAACCTTCTTTAAAATTACATGAAAAAATTTGACTTCAATTAAAGTGACAATAGAAGGATTAGTACTCACTTGAATTGTGTTATTAAAATAATGCCATCTGCCACTATCATAAACCCCACTGCAGAGTTCAGATAGTATTATAAATAAGGAAAGCATCTCTCTGTTACACTGATGATGCCTGATTTAAGCTCAGTGTTTTTAGTGGTGTGCATGGCCTTTACAGTGCATGTGCCTTAGTCTTATTTCTGCCAGAAATATCTTTGTGTTGTCCTCCACTGTGGCAGAGCCTTTATATTTTATATGTGAGCATAAAATACAACAGGTGGCCTATTTGAACATTCTGATTATTTCCCCATTGCAAAATACTTTGCAGCAACCTAAAACACTTCGCAACAACCTAAAAAATTAGTAACAATGAGGCAGCGACCAGATAGATATCTGATGTCCCAGGGATAATGGGGCCATAGCCAGGGGTGGGTTGAGCTGACTACCAGCATTTTGGGATGCAAGTTAGGAAGCACATAAGATGACTTTAGTATGGCAGAAAGAATAGGTGCAATGTGCCTCACAAATAAATTCTCATTCCAAGGTCTGCTCTTTCTTGCTTTCCATTCAAAAGCCACCAACCACGGCATTCCCACCTTCTAGTTTACATCTGCCATAAATTTCTATCTTCCATTTGGTCTCGTTTATTCTCCATTTTTCTTCAAGCATCTTCATGGCTTTAAAAGCAGATTCCTTTACCTCAATTTTGATTTTCTGAAATATCTGTCAAAAATGTATTATTCCTCAAAAATAATGTGTGGAATAATATTTGTAGCATAGCATGTACTTATCAATGCCTTAAACAGAATATATTAATTTGGATTTAATTTGGAGAATGTTAAATCTTACTTTTTGAGTTTAGTAGCACCTAGAAAATGTAAGCTCCTGACTTGAACTGTTAAATTAGATATTATGTTTTAAAAACAACATTTTGCTTATTTACTTATTTATTTACCACTGAAAACAGGTGAAAGGCAGTAAACTGTAGTTCTCAGCAACATTAAATTTGGAATCAGATGGACCTTGGTTCAAATAAAAGAGGATAAGGATCTTAACCTTACGAGTTTATCATGATGACCGAATCATACGACACTCCCAGCATTTACAGGGCTTGGGGTCAGGGTACAAATGGAGACCCACATCTTCTATGTCTAGATATTTAAAAGTTAGATATAACACTAATCGCTATTAAATTAAAATGTCCTCTACCCTCTGCCTTCACAAATACATCTTCATAATGACAATATTAACAAAAACATATAAACCTATGTTTTGTACATGACTAAAAATTGCCAAAATGTTAGACAGCTGAGTTTATCATTATATATCTGGAAGTTTTACTGATGGGCCAATGAGGTTTAGGTGAATAATAAGACAAATACATACATAATTTATAATTATTATTTATTCTATAATTTTTTTTTTTGAGACGGAGCCTTTCTCTGTCACCCAGGCTGGAGTGCAGTGGCACGATCTCGGCTCACTGCAATCTCCGCCTCCTGGGTTCAAACAATTCTCCTGCCTCAGCCTCCCCAGTAGCTGGGATTACAGGCACTCACCACCACGCCCAGCTAATTTTTGTATTTTTAGTAGAGACGGGATTTCACCATGTTGGCCAGGCTGGTCTCGAACTCCTGACCTCGTGATCCGCCTGCCTCTGCCTCCCAAAGTGCTGAGATTACAGGCTTGAGCCACTACGCCCGGCCTAGAATTTATTTTTGATGCCACTTTAGCAAAATCACTATGTTGTAATCAACATTTTCATTCACTGTACATTGTTTTCTATTATCAGTAATGATTTAAGGAGTAAAAAAAATTATATTTCTAGCCAAACGATAAATATTTATGTATTTTTTTTTACTAAAATGTAAGTTTTATTTAGGTTTTGAGAGAAGTTATTTTTCTTTTAAAAGTCAACACTATCAGCCAGACACAGCAGCTCATGCCTGTCACCCCAGCAATTTGAGAGGCCAAGGTGGGCGGATCACTTGAAGCCAGGAATTCAAGACTAGCCTGGCCAACATGGTGAAACTCCATCTCTACTAAAGAAAAAAAATGCAAAAATTAGCCGGACGTGGTGGTGCATGCCTCTAATTCCAGCTGCTCGGGAGGCTGAGGCGTGAGAATCACCTGAACCCCAGAGGCAGAGGTTGCAGTGAGCTGAGATCTGGCCACTGCACCCCAGCCTGGGTGATGGAGTGAAACTGTGTCTAAAAAAAAAAAAAATATATATATATATATATATATATATATATATATATATATATATATACTCAACATTATTTTATAAAATTCAAACATAAATTTCAAAGGTAAATACAAACTACAGTTAATAAATATCAAGTACTTAAATAAAAATTGAATATAGCTAAAGTTAAAATATTTTTGAATATGTAATTACATCTTATTAGAATTTTACAGAAATGAAATTTGTAATTCCAGTGTTCAGTGGCATCCAGATGACAATTTGTAGAATAAGTGGTGTGTTGGAGTGTTTGTGTATATTTCTACCCTGCTTAGCCATGTTACACTGGCAGCTTGAAATCAGTCATGACAGAAGTATGTAAACTACGAAAATTGGCCAACACTACAGTTCGGGCTTTTCCCCCAGAGAATCGGCTTTTAAATATTTGCCAGCACACTACTGAGTATTATGTTTCACCCAAGAGAAGCCTATGATGTGATCGGAACTTTTCAGAGAGAAGAAATTATCAATTGAATCAAATGCTGCTGGAAAATTGAATGTGATGAGGGAAAGAACCATGTCTATAAATGTGTTAACAGTGAAATTCTTGGTTCTTTGATAAGAGAGTTTAAATGGGGAGGTGACAAGGAAAGGCAGACTGGTCTGTTTGAAGACCAATGGAAAGTAAAGAATTGTAAATCTGAGGTATAAGTATTTTAAGAAGTGTGGCTACAGGGGAAGCAGAAAATTGGGATGGTGAATGGAGAACAGTTATAGTTCATTTAAGGTGACTCATCGTTGACATGATATATGATTTCCCCTTAATGAGAATTAAGGACTTAGGTTATTTAAAAATGTTCATTAAAATCAATGTTATAAAGTCTTCTTATGGGAATAGCTCTCTATAGCATACATAACATTGTGTTACTTCGATCCAGAAGACCTAGAAGGTGGGGGTTATATTCAAAATATTTATATAACATTAAACATCATTTGAAAGTACAAAGAATAATTTTTCTTTAGCTGAAATTGAGTTGCATAGCTCTTTAATTATACATTCGTGATGATATACATTAGAGAGATGGGTTTGGAATTAAACTGTGCCAAATTAACAAGAGGCTGTGTCTATTAAAACTAAAAACCGAGCCAATATCTTTGCAATATTGTTAAATAATAATCATATTGTATCTGAAGGTTTAAAATAATTATTAAAATTTTGAAGATAATAGTTAATGTTCATTGGGTCGTACTATTGCCTAATCTGTGACAAGCACATCTGTCATCCCATTGTCTCTTCATAGAATCATCTCCAAGACATTATGAAGTAGGAACTGTTACCTCTCCCCACTTTATGGGTGATTAGATAGTTTAAGTAACTTGATTAGGTTTATAGAGATGAAGTTTGAACTCCAGCAGTTTTACTGATTCCAGGTGGTTCAGAAAACAGCATCTAGGGCTTTCTTTTTTAGGTCAAGGAATTGCCTATAAATTTCTCCCTGCTATAGATCATGAGGTTCTTCAGTATAGAAATGGATTCTTTTTCTTCCTGGCACCTTGTCGTATAGCAGCACAGTGTCTATACACAACATGTGCTTAACAAACATATGCTGCACTGGATAGTTAGTTCAGTGATAGAAACTGCCTCAATTTTAACAATTATTTTCACAGAAAATATAGGATTTATATAGTACTAATTTTAAGCAGCAAAGTCAACATTCAGAAAAATCTGAATGAAGTTCTAAATCTTCAAGAATGTTACTATTGTACCCTACCTGGGAACTTTGCCTAGAATCTCAGTTCTACCCCATCACTCTTGTCTGAATTGTCTGAATATTACTGCCTTCTTGCAAAGTTGCATTGCTGGAGGTTTATCTTCTCACACGTAATCTATTGGCAAGTGAGATTTTTTTTTTTAAAGACTCAGCATTACTTGAAATCAAAGACAAAAGGGTGATCGTAATGAGTTTAAGAGAATGACTATGTATACTCATGTATTCATGGCATCTGTGTGCATTAATTTTCAATATGATTTATCCTAAGTGAAAAAAAGATAAGTATCATATTTGATCCAAAATATTTTTTTGAGTAGAAAGAAAGATTCTAAGATTAATTTTTAAAAACTGTGATGGATGAATAGAAAATATGAAGGGAGAGGTTAGTTAGATGGGCTCCATTTGTTCATCAGTTAAGTTTGATACATAATTTATTACAGTATTTACTCCCGACATCAAAGGAATTTTAGTTATGACTTAGATTGCCATGCATCCTTGTGTTAACAGGATGACTTGGGGCTTCTGTGATAATTATAAAATGATGGCAGTACCTATGAAACCTACAAGGGAAGTCTGGGACTACGTCAGAGAAAGTAGCATTTGTGGAACTTTTGAGCCAGATACCACTAACATAAACTGTTCCTTTTCATTTCATTTAAGAGTGTTTCAAAAAGCCCATAGATTTAACAGTGGCACAAATATGGATGGTCATTTTGGTCACAAGGACTAACAAATCTCTGTGGCTAACAGGAGGAAGGGTTCTTAGGAATTCAAGAATAATAACTGTTGTATAAGACCCTTAGCAACAGCGTCTATGTCATCTCTCCTTCTGCCTTAAACATGACTCAGCTCTTTTAGATTCTGCATCTCTGGGGTCATTTTGTCATTTCCTCTCAGAAATGACAGATCAAAGAGATCATTCTCTACTCCATCCATATTTTCTCTACCTATAGCATCTCTTCTTAATAATTCAGCTCATTCATAATTATTACATAACAAACTTTTTTTCCTCATAATTCTTTAGTTTCTCTTCCAGTTACTAATGGTCCAATTCTTTTAGTATGTCCCTATCTGAATTTCCAAGAGGAAACGATCTCATTGACCTAGCTCTTTCTTACTTGGGTAGAATGTTTTGAACTCAGGTCACTTCATTATCATTGGCAAGCCTGTAGATTAACCATTTTATGTTAGCTATCTAACCCTGATTTAATAGTTATAATGGAACCTTGAGAGTGTGCCAAGATAATTAACTGGGAAACAATCATCTTTATTTATTTTATTTTATTTATTTGTTTAAAGACTGTCGTGTTCTGTGGTCCAAGCTGGAGTACAGTAGTGTCGTCTTGGCCCACTGCAACTTCCACCTCCTGGGTTCAAGTGATTCTCCTGCCTCCGCCTCCTGAATAGCTGGACAGGGTCTTGCTATGTTGCCAAGGCTGGACTCAAACTCCTAGGCTCAAGCAATCCTCCTGCCTCAGCCTCCCGAAGTGCTGGAATTACAGGTATGAGCCACTTCACCTGGCCCAGGTTCTTTTTGATCTCACAAGCAGAGGGAGTTTCAGTGTCTGACCAGGCTGTTTCTTTTCTGTTGTCCTGTAAACTCAAGAATTTTTGTTAGTTACTGTTTTCTTACTCTTTGGGGGCAGAGTTTGAGTTTAGGCATCTCAGCATATTGTTTCTTCTCTTATCTACTATCCTGTAAACCTAAGAATTTGGCCATTGGTTTCCTTAAGTCTTTGGGGCACGGTTTCATATGTATATACCACATTATGTTTATCCATTTATTTGTTGATAGACACTGAAGTTGATTCTGTATCTTGGCTATTGTGTATAATGCTGCTATGGACATGGTGGTACATGTTTGAATTCCTGCTTTTAATTCTTTTGAATATATACTGAGAAGTAGAATTACTGGATTATATAACAATTCTACTTTTAATTTTTTCTCACAAACATGTTTTTAAAAATGTATTGGATATATGTAGTTTTAAAAAATTTCATTGACAATGAGCCTTGAAGCTAAAATGAAAAAATACTTCAGTTATCTTAAGAGAATGATTTTAGGAAGTAAATATTAAGATATAATTTCTGTTGGCAATTAACAATTCTGCTGCAAAGTACACATAATTCACTTGTTCCCTTTAAATAATCCATTATAGCTAGTCATGGAAACAGAACTTTATTCTGCTAAGAATCTCTGAATGCAATGTAACTATTCTTGGAATCTTGAACTAAAACAGGGGAAAAAATAATATCAGACTGCTGAAGTTGAATAACAGTTACTGAAAGGGACTCTAATAGATTTTTGGGAACCCTACTAATGCTATAACTGCTTTTCAGTTGACAACACAGTTTTTTTTTCTAAGCCCAGAGCCAATTGAATAGCAAGTCTTCCTTTGGATGTATGTTCATGTAAAATGCTGATAATAATTATTACAAATGTAAGCTACAACTATATATCTTGTTTATGCCAGTTACCATGTCTAACATTACACATGATCATATGAAATACAGCAGATTACAAGGTAGCTTTGTACACTTATCATTTTATTAATAGCAGAGCCTGCAGCTGCCCCCAACCATCCCCCCTCCTTAATGACTCCTGAGTTTTAGCTGGGCATATGACAGAATGCTTTCCAAATCTCCTCTACAACTCTATTGCACTAATAGAATATGAACATAAGTGACTGTTACAGAGAAGAAATAAACTTCTAATTTGTTTAAGATATCACATTTTGGGGCCTCTGTTTTAGTAGTTAGGTCTTAAACTTACTGTTACAATTTCTTTTATGGATAAGAAAATGTTACTTAACTTGCCTAGCTAACTCAACCAGGTTTTGAACACTGCAGATGGAAGCCCAAATCTCATACTCTTAATAGCTATGATGTTCTACTTCACACCTTGGGAACATCGTGAACATCATATACACTATCATTAGCATTCCTCTACCACCTCATTTTTCATGAAGCAAAATCATGAGCTTGCTGCACATATCAAGACAGCAGGAGCAACAAGGCGCATAAGGTAGGGAGGAGTCGAACCAGTCAGCATGTCTGGAATAGAACATGGCCTCAGTGCTGGCAAGAGCCTACATTCAAGAAGGGGAGATAGATGGAGCCCTAAAACAGCATTGCATGCCCAGAGACCATAACTATTAGGCTTTAGTCAGGCAGAATTCATAAACATTTCTGTTTGTAGCACTCAAATACTCACAATTTTTCAGTGCCTCCTTACTGTCTTCATGGTGTAGAACCAACTCCTTAGCTTAACATATAAGGCCTACCTCATCTCTTCCAAGCCTGTCTCTCCAGGCTCATCATCTCTCCATCCTATTTATGTGCTTCTGTGGCCCAAGAGCAGTGAAATAGTCTTCCTTGAATATACAACGCTTTCATAACTTTACTTTTGCTTGTCCTCTGAATTGTGCTAAGGGTCTCTTCCCTGAGCCATCTCCATTTAATAGATTCCTGATTAGGACTTTTTATAAGTCTGATTCCAGCACTCAGAATGCCTGGCACAGTTAAGTACTCAATGCATGTCAGTTGGATAAAAGAATAAGGGATTATACTAAAGTATAATTAGTAGATTAAAATTAAATATAAAAGTATAGCTTATTATACAATATATATTAGATATGAGAAAATGATAATAATTGTATTATGGCATCATTTTACATTTGTATGTATTGAAATATATTGTTACTTTCATACCTGGCTGCCAACTATAAGATCAACCTGTCAGCTATGACTATCTTTATAGGAAAGAAAAATAATTAGACCAGCAATGAGAAAATACGTTATTTATTAATTGAATGCTGTAATTTATTAGAGAAAAACAAAGCAAAACAAAACATGGTGAATTTATTTACTCTTAACATTTTATTTTTAAAATTGTATGTATTTATTTTGCATAACATGCTATTTTGAAGTATATATACATCGTGGAATGATTAAGTCTAGCTAATTAACAAATGCATTTACCTCACAGTTATTTTTGTAGTGAGAACACTTAACATCCAGTTCATTAGCATTTTTAAGGGTACAGTATGTCGTCAGTATTGTCATCATGCTGTACAGTAGATGTCTTGATCTGAGTCCTGCTCTCTAACTGTAAGTATATATCCTTTGACCAACATCTTCCTAATCCCCTCATCCAACATAACCATTCCAGCCTCTAGTAAACACCATTCTAATCTCCATTTCTATGAAATCAACTCTTTTAGATTCCACATATGAATAAGAACGTGTGATATTCTGAAGCAGCCTCGTTTGTCTGGGGTAATATCCAAGGTTCGTTGTCTCACGCTGAGGAAATCAAGGACACAGAAACACAAGGAGTGAGGTTAAGAGCGGAGGTCTAATAGGCGAAAGAAAAAGAAGAGCTCTCTCCTGCAGAAAGCGGGGTCCTGAATGCATTTCCACTTCCGCGGTGAAATGCAGTAGTAGCCTTTATAAATGAGCTTGAGAAGGTAGTGTCTGATTTACAGAGGGCAGGAAAGATGGGTCAGACCAGGTGTGCTATTTGCATAAGGCACGAAAAACTGGTTAGGGCTAGGTGTGCCATTTGCATAGGGCACAAAAAGCTGGTTGTCCCCACCCTAATCTTTTATTATGCAGATGGGTTTTCTACCTGGCAAGCGCCATGGTGCCTGATTTTTTACTGTGCACGTGGTAACAAATAAAAGGGAAAATGCAGCCTCCATGTTGAATATGCCCGACCCCTGGTAGCGTTTTTCGATTGGCACAGCTGCTGGCATTCACCCACGGAAGCTTCCAGCTTGCTTATCTATGTTTGGAGCTCAATTTTTCAGGCTGCTCTTTGTTAGAAAACAATCATTTCTCGGGCTGCTTTTTGTTAGAACGGAAGCCTTGCCAAGGACTCTTTTACCCTCACTATCTGCCTAAATAATTTATATCTCCTGTATCAATTTGTCTTTCTTTGCCTGATTTAATTCACTTAACTTAATGTCCTCTAGGTTCACCCATGTTGTCACAAGTGACAGAATTTTCTTCTCTTTTTTTATGGCTGAATATCATTTTATTGTGTATATATACTGCATTTTCTTTATCGTTTCATCACTAAGGGATGAACACTTAGGTTGATTTCATATCTTGGTTATTGTGAGTAATGCTGCAGTGAACATGGGCATACAAATACCTCTTCAACATACTGATTTCATTTCCTTTGGCAATGAGATTGCTGGATAAAACGTAGCAACTGAATTCCAATATGTGAAGAAAATAATTTTTATCGAACTTTTGAATTTTTATGTGGTTATTGGAGTGAGTGCTATTATGAAAAAATTGAGTTGTTCTGGGCTGTCTTTTAGAATGTCTCCATTTCTGTAAGTTAAAACACTTGGCAATACCAGCATCTTATGAAATACTAATGAACAAAATCTATAAAATAAATTGTTGGAAGTTATCCACTGGGACCCTCTCTATGGAATGAGAGGCATTGATAACTAATGGTCTTAATTAGTGTATGATGAAGACAGTTAACATTCTTGATCCAACAAAATCCATGCACTTTCTATTTTGAAAAAAGATAAATGTTGCTATATGGCCTGGCTTCTATATCCAAATGATCTTTCCTTCCATTGGTGCTAACCAGATGTTGTAACTATGAAGGATTTAAATTTCTGTTAATGTCAGAAGCAGCAAACACCGGGGGACTAGCGAACATCATGTATTATAGCATTGATGGCTAAGGATACTCTCTGACTTAGAAGACTGGTGTGGGAAATGGACCATGTGACTTTTCATGGTGCAACTAACTCTAAGTTTCTGACATTGAATACAAATAGGAACTTAGCATTTGTTTTGTTTGATTCTTATAACCTTTGCCATGAAGAAGTAACAATCAGAGATCTCTTCTGAAGAATATCTAATAAAAATTTATACAATAATTCTAAAAATGCCAATATAATAGTAAATATGAAAAAGTAAGCTTCAATATTAACACAATCATTTAATTTTTTTGAAAGGCCACTTTTAACATATGAAAAATTTTCAAAACATACTGCAAAGTTGAAAGAATTTCACAGAGAACCTCTTTATACCTACCATCCAGTTTCTACCATTTATTGTTTTAATATGTGTTGCTCCATCTTATTTTTGATGCATTTTAAAGTAGATGCAGAGATAAATATACTTTTTCCTGAATACTTTGGTATGCATAAAGTTAATTAGAACTTACTTTAAAAATGATTTTAATTTAGAAGTTACATATAATGGAATGTCCAAATCTTTAGGATACATTCGCTTAAGAAATAGAAATAATATATGCTCTTTTATCTAACTGAAATTTTGTATCTTGTGACTATAGTTAAAAATAATATATTGCATGTTTGAAAAGTGCTAAGAGAGTGAATGTTAAGTGTTCTCACTGCAAAAATGATAACTATATAAGGTAATGTATAGGTTGATTAGCTAGACTTAATCTTCTACAATGTATAAATACTTCAAAACATCATGTTATACATGATAAATACATAAACTTTTATCTGCCAGTTAAAAAATATTTAAATGAAAAGAACATGCCCAGCACTTTAGGAAGTTTTCTCATGCCTCCTTCTAGTCAATTCCTGCTATTGCTTCTCTGGAAACAACTGCCATTCTGACTCTTTGCCACCAGAGATTAGCATTGCCTCTTCTGGGACTTCATGTAAAAGTCATCCTATGACTAGGTGGTAGGTATATCTATGTTCTCTCTAAAATTCTTTCAACTTTGCAGCATGTTTTGGCAATTTCTTATAATATGTGTTGGCTTCATTCACATGACCTACTGTTTTTGGGATTCACCCACGTTGTTGCCTGTTTCAATAGCTTATTTAGTTAATATTTGTGAGCATAAAAGAAAGCGAACCTTAATATTACACTCAATATCACTCATGATAATGCATTAAGTACACTAGATATTCAATGAATGTCCATCTAATTTATTAATAACTGAATGAATGTTAAGTAGATCTTCCCCGAAAGGCACATGTTAAGACACAATAAACATTTTCTGTCTGTCATTTGCCACATAAGCCACAACTGGTCAGGTTGCTGACAGATGACATAAAATACACATAAGTATCAAGTATCTGAACCCATTCAGGAGCAGCTGTGTCACACGTCATGGATCAGGTGTGAGTGCATTAGAGACACCATCCATGGCAGTTTATAAAATATGTTTTCTTCTCATAGTCCTGTGCAATAAGAAAAGCCATGAAAATAACCATGAAGTTATTCACATAAAATAGAAGCTATAACTGTATATGGTGATAGCACTGTATTGTAGTTAATGCTTTCAATGCTTTAGTTAGTGAATACCATATAAATGGAGAGAAAAATCTTTATGTATCTTATAAAATAATAAATATACTGTGAGTTCAAAACTGGAAACAGCCTACCCCCATTTATTAATTACTATTACTAAATGTATTAATTTCACCCCAATTGAAGACTCAAAAACAGTATGAGAGGCCTAGTCATTTATCAAAGTACAAATAAGAAGAGAGAGAAAGAGACAGACACACAGAGAGAGAGAGAGACTGAGAAAGCCAAATGTTCAAGCATGCCTCAGTAAAGAGAAAGTTGAGATAAAAAGTGACAAAAGTTTTTAAACTGCTGAGACACATATACAGCCGGAATCCATGTACTACTGGCCCCAATGAGCAAGAGATTATACACACCTTCCCTGTATCCAGACCCTCAGTGCCTGTCAGGAAAATTTTGATTTTGTGACCATGGATCAAAATCACTGCCTCAGGAAAATGACAATTATAATATATATATTGGCCAGCACACTTACAAACGTGAATACTAATCACAAAGAGCATAGGACTCAAGGTTACACCAAGCATATGTAAACATAAATTAGTTCAAAACAATTCTCTAAATTAACGTGACATTCTTCAACTAAAATTAGGCCTGTGGGCATTTAGAGGAATTTAGAGTCAGAAGATAGATCAAGTACCTCAAGGAAATCCACAAGGAAGTGCATTACATACAATGAATGAGCCCTTGTTGAGTGACACGTGATCATTTTTAAGTTTTATACACTGGTAGGCAAACTACTGTTTGCAATCATGCAAATTATTTGAAAAACATTAAATTGGAACCTTGATACAAGTAGATTGGGGAGTCATTTGGGGACTTCAATTGAACACATTTCTAAATTATCACAGATTCAGTTAATATTACATATGTGAAACATTTAACATAGAAAATGATATATAATTACATACATATAAATTGTAAGATATATAGACATGCATGAATACACAAATACGCATAGTTCTGTATCTATATCCATTCAATGAGTATTTTTTAAAGAATTTTTTTCTTTTTTGCTAGGCACAGTGGCTCATACCTGTAATCCCAGCACTTTGGGAGGCTGAGGCAGGAGGATTCCTTGAGGCCAGGAGTTTGAGACTAGTCAGGCAACAAAGCAAGACCCCGTCTCTACAAAAAAAACGAAAACATTTGCCAGGCTAATTGTGTGATGGTATGTGCCTGCAGCCCCAGCTACTCAGGAGGCTGAGATAGGAGCATTATTAGAGCCCAGGAATTTGAGGCTCCAGTGAGCTATGATCATGCCACTGCATTCCAGCCTGGGTGACAGAACAAGATTCTGCCTCTAAAGAAAAAAAAAAAATCTGTGACAAGCGCTGTATAACGTACTAGAGAAACACTGATAAACAAGATAGGCAGTTCTTGTATTATTTGAAATTTATCATACAATACAATTTCAGACTATATTGCATATCATAGTTCAGTGGTTTCCAAACCATATATATGTATATACATATACATATGTATATGTATATATGAAATGTGTATATGTTTATGTATGTATATGTATTCATATGCATACTTTTATTATGTATGTATATGTATTCAGATGTATACTTTTATTTTAACACAATTTCAGATTTAGAGAAAAATTATGAAGATAGTAGAGTTTCCATATATTCCCACTCAACTTCCCCTATTATTAACATCTAACATGAGTTTGGTGTATTTGTTATATTTGTTACAATTAACGAACCAATATTGACACACTATTATAAACTAAATTCAACACTGTACTTTATTCAGGCTCCCATCCAGGATAGCACATTACATTAGTTGTCATGTCTTCTTTGGCTCCTATTGGCTCTGACAGTTTCTCAGAATTATCTTGTTTTTGACAATCTTGCTTGTTTTCAGGAGTACTGCTTAGAAGCTTTGTATAATGTCCCTCAACCGGACTTTGTCTGATGTTTTTCTTGTGATTAGACTTCACTTATGTGTTCTTGGGAGAAAGACCACTGAGGTAAAGCGCCATTCTCATCACATCATATGAAGTGTACATACAATTAACGTGACCTACCACTGTTGATGTTAACCTTGATTACCTAGCTGAGACAGTTTTTGGTCAGGTTTCTCCCCAGCAAAGTTATTCTTTTTCCTCTTTTCACACTCTACTCTTTGAAAGGAAATCACTTTGCATAGCCTACCCATAAGGAGCGGGGAATTATGTTCCACCTCTTTAAGAGCAGACTGTCTGTAGGATTCTTTTGCGTAGTACATTTGTCTATTCTTCCCTCACTTATTTATTTTTAATCATTTATATTACTATGAACTCATGGGTATTTATTTCATGCTTTGGGTTATAGTTCAATGCTACTTAATTTTTCTGCTCAAATTGTTCCAGCTTTGGTCATTGATGGATCTTTCAGCCAACTTTTGTGTCCCTTTGTCATATCTCCATAATTTTTTGTTAACACTTCTTTCTAACACTACTCCAGGCTGATCTTGTATATTTTTTCCCCAATCCTCAAATCAGCATTACTCTAAGAAATCCTGGTTCCTTTTCTGGAGAATAATATAAGAAACCTGGAGCCAGGCATAGGTATGCTCTTTGCTACTGGGGTATCATTAATTTAGGGCTGATGAGAAATGAAAATATATGTGTGTGTACCAACTATATATATATATATACATTTTTATACATATTTCTATAGGTAACCATATGTATTTATGTTTAGCTAAACATGAATTCATACTGGCATATCCAACACTAATCCATTACCATTGAATGATTCTATTCTTTCCCTGTGTGAAATAAAATATCCTACACATAATGAATTTTTAAAGCCTTTACTGAAAATACTCCAACCACCTTAGAATGAACCCTAAACTTGCATGGAGGTTCTAGAGCAGACAAACAGATGCCCATAGTCATTTACTTGAGTGATGCACTTCCACCTTCCAGGAATATTATTCTCTTCAGCAGACTATAAGCCTCCTGAAAAGATATATAGTCAGATAATTCAACTCTGGCAATTAATTAAAGCTGCTTATTATGCTAACACATTACCAGTTCTTAAACCTAATAGACACACAGGGCAAATACACACAGAGCTTTTCTTTAAAAACTAATTAGACATCTCAGAAAACTCTAGCCTCAGTGTTTCTTTAAGGTCATTTTTCTCTAGCACTACATTATTTTCTTTCTGAAATTGGCTCATCACAGGGTTTTTGTAACATTGTGTTTAGCAAGACTTGCCAAATTTGTCCTATTTTTTTCCTTGGCGTTCCCTGGACATAGCCATGGGTGATGATTGCCTCTTTTCTATAAAATACATATTGCAAGCTCAGAGTAATAGGGATATACTTGTAAGACCCAGTTATATGTTGGAATTATAGTCTACAAAAGTTAAAGGTTGCATATAGTTTGTGAATTATTTTTTGGATAATGTAAAATCAGATTACTTTTTGATAATACTGTGTTGAAATAAATATTTTGGATGAGATTGGTAGAAATGATAAGCTGAAAAAACATTTAAAAATACTTTACTAAAGGGAATCATAATTAGGCAGAAAGAGTTTTAGACTAGGAGGCAGATAACTTGGGTTTTTAGTTTTAATTTTGCCATTATTTCTGGGCAGGTTTAGGGAATGTTTCATCTTCTAAAAAGAACAAAAATAAGATGAGATATGGGGACCTTATTGATCGCTAAAATCTCTTAGAAGGGTGACAAATGCTAGGTATTTGTAAGACCAAAGCTTCAAGCATTTTAGCATTTTTGGAATGCTTAGCTGTCTGATGTTATCTTTACATGAGGAAAGACGACTTATGAGGAAATTTCTTTGTAAAATGTCATATTATTTCATTAGTTTCCATGCTTTCTTTTTGCTTTTATGATTTTTAACAGAAAATTTAAATTTTAAAAATTGACCGAGCATAAATTTGTCTCAGTATGTCTCAAAATGAATTGTTTCTCCATTATTCTGAATTATCAGGAAACATTTTTGTGACATAGAGTATGGTATTTAATATTCCTCACACTTTGTCAGGACATAGTACACATTGTGAAGATGAGCAATGCATGTAGCAGCTGGCCCCTTCAATGTTTCTTCTTTAAGAAAGGAAAGTGGTTGCAAGTTTGCTTTGCTCTCCACTATCTACTTAGTATAACTCCGTACAGAACAAAAGACAGCAGGAACAAACACTTTACATTACTTCAAACCTTTTTTTTTCTACACAAAGCTGGCACAGTGAAGGTTCTCAGTACACATTTGCTACATTCTTCAATTGCATGAGTGAATGAATGGGTAAGTTCCTCAGAAACCTACTATTTTAAGTATATTGCCATTGCCAGGGAAGAGTTCAAAGAACTAAGCCTTGACTTTAGGCTTGACTTAAAAAAATATTTCATGCTCTTCTCTTATCCTTTGGCATTCACCTTTGTGTGTCCTACAGAAATTATTGCTTTGAGTGAGAAAGCCAACACATTTCATAATGTGAACTGTGAAGCTGGTGCAGTTTCAGTGGATTCTCACTATAACCATCATGTCTAAGTATATACACCAAGGAAAGCCAGTTTGGGCCATATAAGCATTATACACTTGTCAGATTTAAATAAACAGATTTCCTGAGACTATGATGTGCTGGTAGGAGGTCCTGACCTTCCACTAACAGGTCTTTTCATAACTGACTCCCAGTGGAAATCTTCAAGTATTTGAGTGTCAATGATCTCCCAGTGGCTGAAGCATGGAAGAGACTGCCTTCTTGGTGAAGGCATTCCAGTTGCTGGAGATCCACGAGAAGTCTGCCTGGCAAACTAGATACTGAGTTCTTCTACAACCAAGCCAAATCCCACTGCTTCCAAAGAATACCTTGAGAAGAAAAGTCAGTAGATCATCTCATATGCACCTGCAACTTCTCATGTCAGAAAAGAATCACAGGTAGAACCGATTTTTATCATTTCAAAGATGATTATTTATAGAAGCTGATAAATCTAATATGTTGGAATTCATAAATATTACTATAAATGTATATTGCACAGTATAGTAAATATAGTAAACAATAACACAGTACATTTCAAAATTCTTAAGAGAGTAAATTTCAAATGTTCTCACCACAAAAATGATGCATGTGAGATGATTGTTATGTTAATTTACTTGATTTAATTATTCTACATTGCATTCTTAGATTATAAGATTATATCTTCTACCCCATGAGAATATACAAATATAATTTGTCAATTATAATTATACAACTAAAGAAATTTTCAAAACTTTAAAAATATTACTCTAAATGTTTTGTTTTTGTAATATTGCCTAAGGCTTTTCAAATTTGGTTTGTTGCTAATATAAGAGAGTCATGTATTGGTAATATGTTGTTGTCTAGCTAGTTCCTATATAGAAAAGAAGATTTTGAAAGTTCTCACTACAATAAATGGTAAATGTTTAAGGTAATAAATTTTCTAATTACACCGATTTGATCACTGCACGATGTATACACTCATGGAAACACCACATTGTGCCCCATAAATAGTACAATTATTTATGTCAATTAAAAATAAAATAAAACTTAAAAAGACACGTAGCTCACTTGAGTACTTCTAAGATCCTGTCTTCAATAGAAAAAGGAAACATTCTTTCCTAGTCTTAGTTGAACTTTTATGTATACCAAAGTAGTATTGCAAGCATTGAAAGCTTCTGATCAAAGGTCCTAAAATATTCCTCTTGAATTCCTAGTAGTAAACGACATTTTCTTTTAAGGTAACAAAGATTGTAGTTTTAGATTATTAGCATCAGCAGTCTAATTTAACTCTTGCAGTGGATGTGGATGTGCTTGAAACAAAGGGTAATCATGTTTTAAAATATCACTTCCAGTGGCAAAATCACTTAACTGATTGTGAATGATCCTTACCCCTGAGATTTATAGTTTATGTAGTTATTGTGCTCATTTCATTCAAATTCAATATCAATTTATTCAATATAACTATTTTTCAATGTATTTTAAAAATAGCATCTCTTCCCTTGCTCCCGTGACAGCTCAGTACAGGAACGTAAGGGCCCTGCTCTTCCTTGTCTTCACCCAGGAACACACAGGCTGCCCCGTCCTGTGACTGTGTGCTCTCCAGACCCTCAAATCCTTACTGGTTATCTGGAGGATGGGGAAAAGATGTAGAGGCTCTCACCAAGGTTTTAGAGCCATGTGATTGTCATCTTCATATCCCCAGAAATCTAATCATGTGATTCATACTCTCTAAAATTTGAGAACAGTCCTCATTTAGTACTGGACAGAATTATGGCCCTCAAAGTTCATATGTTGAAGGCCTAACCCCAACGTGACTGTTCGGAAACAGAGCCCTTAAGAAGGTATATAAGGTTAAATTACATGATAAGGATGGGGCTCTAATTCAATAGGATTGGTGTCCTTATAAGAAGAGGAAGAGATGCCGGGGGTATGCACAGAGGAAAGGCCATGTGAGGACACAGAGAGAATGCAGCCATCCATAAGCCAAGGAGAGAAGCTTCAGGAAAAACAAAAACTTACTGATGCCTTGGTCTTGGACGTCCAGCCTCCAGATCTTTGAGAAACAAACTTCTGTTGTTTCAGTCACTCAGTCTGTATTTTTTGTTATGGCAGCCCTAGTTTGCTAATATACTTTGTTATATTTAGAAACATGTCATAAAAACTCTTTGAAGTTTCCCTTACATATTTCCTAAATTCACCTCTTTTCTTTTATTCCCACTATCACTATCTTATTTATGATGCTTATTCCATATCTGTCCTATCTCCAACCTGACACCCTCCCAATCAACGCAAGGCTGCCAGAGCACCTAAAATGTGCATGCAAGCATGTGACCTTACAGTATAAAATCTTTCAGAGGCTAACCAAGCCTTTAGACAAAATCCAAATAACCAAGTGTAGCTATGATGAACTCGTTATTAAATACCTGCCTATCCAGCTATTATCTCTTGCCATCTGTCACCCAATTTCCACAAATGGCCATGTGCCAGCCCCATAGAATTGCCTAAAATCCTCTGAACGCAGTCACTACTTCTGACGTTCCAGATTTTATCTTCATCATGGAAAACTCTCACCACTTAACTAGCTTCTACTGGTCCCAAGGCTCAACTTAGCTTAAATCTCCTGGACTATTATCCATGATTTTCCTTCATCCCAAGATTCTCCTTTCTTTGTGATTCAGTAGCAAACTCTCCCTGCAAACTCTTTTCTAACACTGGTCATATTTCTGTAGTGGTTTTAGCTGCTTTTCTCATGAGATGTGGCCTTTATAAAAGCAAGGATTCTGTCTTTCAAAATAAACATTGAATAAATGTTTTTTTGCCTGCATGCATGAATGAATCCAAGATCCAATTTATTTCTGCTTTTATGGCTTTCAATCAAATGGCAGAAATTCACTACAGAAATGGAAATATAGCTTCACTACATTGTCAGGATAAATTCATTCAAATGTCCACCACTTTTTTTTTCAGGTTGTCTTTAGTTGGATTTCAGAACCACAAAAAGAGATTTAGCACTGCCTGCTTTCCTTGGAGCATAAAAGTTCATGTTTAGGTTGAAAGTTGCTGTATTATTCTCTTTGAAGAAGCAACATTAATGTTTGCATCTTATTAGCCAACTATGTGAATGGAGAAAGTAGGACTGTGTGGTCTCCGTCTTTAAAGAAGGTGGGTGGTGTGTTTTGTTAAACAACGTATCCACCCCAACCCACTAGGGTCAACCACAATTCAACAGTGACGAAGATTTCTAGACCACCTGGGTTTAGTAGTCATGCCCTACTCTTTTTGACTAGGGAGACCTAAAAAGGAGAAATCAGTGAACCAAGTGCATGGAATTAGTCCAAAGGAACAAATATTAGAAACAGGTGTGAGATATTTCCCGGGGAAAATGATGCATTAATTTATTCTAACTGGCAGTGGACCATGCCATATTTCCTGAAGAATTAGCTACCTTAAAACATTTTCACAAAGGAGTTAAGAATAAACATGCTTTTTTTTTTCATTTCAAGCCAACTTCTTCAAAGCCCATACATCTGTATAAAAAACTTTTAGGCAATTATGAAACTACAAAAATGTTTTATTCCTCTTCTATTTCCCAATGATAATGTATCCTTTAAGCATAACCATATATATGAAGCACATTTTTATTATAAGGAAAGCTTGTAATCTATGTTTTATACTTGTCCCATATTCTAGTCTTATAGCAAAATGTCACAGCATCTTGATGTTTAGTGTTATGTATTTTTATGTCCTGCGTTTTTCACAGAAGGATTAGAGGTTTTGGCATTGACTATGTTACTTGTTGAATACCTTAGTTTGAATGGCATCACATTTTACAAAAAAAGTTACTTGACTTCCTGAGGTTATCGGGATGTTTGGTATTATCTACAGGAAATTGGGTTGCTACTATAGAATAGTTTGAATAAGAGAGCAGTACATAAAGATTGAAATTTATATCTGCAATCCAGACTCTGTCCCAAACTCTAGATAGATCTATCCAAATGCCCATTTGGCTTCTCCACTTCGGTGTCTAATGTGTCCAGAGCAAAAATTATTTATTTCTCCCACCATTCCTGTCTGCTCCCTTTGCTGAAGCCACAGTGGCCTCTGTGCTGTCTCCCGGACCTGCCAAGCAACTTCTTAACTCAGGGCCTGGAATGCTCTTCTCAAGTGTATCAGCCAGAGTTCAATGAGAGATAGAACCCATAGGACATAAAACTGTTTAGTACATGGGATTGGCACTTGAGGGGCTTGGCTAAGCCAATCTGAACATCGTAGGGCAGGCAGGTGGCCAGGGAGGGAGCATAGTAAGCATGGCGGAATTCCACTGGCATGGGCTGAAGCTGTTATGGGCAGAATTGTTTTTCTCTCTCTGGGAAGTCTCAGTCCTACTTTTAAGTCCTTTCAACTGATTAAGTTGAGTCAACCATTATTTTCCAGGATGATATGCGTTATTAAAATCAACTGCCTCGGGAGTTTAATTAACGTGCAAAATAACTTCACAGCAACACCTAGATTAGTGTTTGAATAACTGGGAACTGTAGCTTTGCCAAGCTGACACCTCAAAAAAGCCATCACAGTCAGATATCCTTGTGGCCTTTTCTCTTACTTCCTTCAAATTTTGGGTCATATCTCACCCTAGAGTAATCTCCCCTGGCCGTAGTCTGCTGATATCACATCACTTTCCCATAGGGAGAATAGGGGCAACTCCCACCCCTATTCTCATCATCCTACCATTTTCTTTCTCAAGGCACTTAATCCCTACCTTTCATTTTATATACTTGTTTATTCTTTTTCTACCCTTATAGAATGCAAACTCCATCAGAATACTTTTTAATACTTTCACTGTTTTATTTTATTGCTCTATCCTCTGTGTTCAGAGCCTGGGGGAGAGTAGGTATTTGATAAAAATAAATTGGATAAACTATAGTTATGAATGATATATAGAAAAAGACACTAATTTAAAAGTGTGAATTTTGAAGATGGTTATTGCTTCCTTCAAATTTACCAATTCCTTTGGTAAATCAAAATCAGAAAGTTTAAAATACAATGACATTAACAAAAATAATTTTCTCCTATTGATAAACACACACACACACACACACACACACACACACACACACACACACACACACACACTCTTTCATTGATGCCCCAAAAGACCTGGATTAAGAATGTTGTGGATATTTGGTTTATGTAGAAATATCCATGACACTACAGTAGGTAATAGTTGCCCCCCAGCATATAATCTGAACTTTACTAAGACTAAGTAAGTTTAGTTATTTTAAACCAGGAAGAGTAATATTAACTTAGTAGTTTTTTCCCTTTATTTCTGACATTTTGCCCAATGACACATTTTTGTGAATCCCTGTAGGTCAAAAGGGTTCTTTCACTCCAGCTGTCTTAAAACTTCTCGGAGGTTTCCTGAAATCAAATCTCCATTCCACCCACGAGATATCTACAACCCATTTGCTTGTTGGTATCCTGACTGCATCCCCAAACTTCCAAATTGTACATAAATTCTTCTCAAGTTTTGAGATATGTAAAGGCAGCAGGGCTTCTTTTTCTGTGCTTCTCTTAGCTCTTTATTTTACTTCCTGAGAGCGTCATTGGTGGCCTTTTCCTACAGGTCGTCTTCCAGCTGCTATGATGCATTCATGACCCTGGCTATTAAGGGCAGCTATGAATGGAGTCAATGTTATTCAGATCATTTGCCTTATCATTCCTGTTTACTAGACTCTGAAATGTCCTGGGGATGAGCACCCATGTCTGTATAGCTAAGACAAGGTCAGATACATGTTCTCACGTAATCATTATGATAGTATTTTATGCAATATGCGAAAGCATTCTTTGTACACCTTACTTTCTTGCGCATTGTTTACTGTGCTGCGTTCTGGAAGAGGGCAAAGGTTTACTTTTGTTGTAAGCTCACTAGAAATGCTGATTAGGAAAATGATAGAGGAGACTCTGGCTCTGCTTGTGACCCTGGAAATAAATGCTGCTTCTTTCATCTGTGCAGTCACCTATTACACTGCTGCAACCAAATACACATTTAAAGGAAAGGCAGAGACACACAAAGATTTCAAAACAGTCTTGTGTCTTCATCCTCTGGCCCATGTTTTCAAATGTCAGACTGGTATCTCTCACACAGGAGAGCTCAAATACAAGAGTGAAAACTGGTCAGACACCCTACCCCTGTCTACTTTCAAAAGTATGTGAAATGACTTATTTGCTGATGACATTTTTATTTTATTTTCATGTGTGGTTTGACATTCATAAAGAGGCTTTTAGAACATTGCTGTAGTTCTAAACATTGCTTGTAGACAAGAAATAAAAATTAACTGCTTTGTATGCATAAATCAACTTTCTTACATCTGAGTCTTGTTCATGTCTGTAGCAAAATAAAAAGCAAGACGGTAACCGCTCCATTTTAGTGAACTATTATAGATAGGAAACCTTGTCGAAGTAGGAAATTTCTTTTCTTTTTTTAAATTACTTTTTAAATTTACTACTATCTCTATGCCTTCTAAAATGTAATACAGTGAATTAACCTAACTAACTACTATGGTTTGAATGTGTCCTCCAAAGTTCAGGTGTTGGAAACTTAGTCCCTGTATTAGGCCATTCTTGGATCGTTATAAAGAAATACATGAGATTGACTTTTTTAAAATTATTTTTAATTTTTTTTGAGATGGAGTCTTGCTCTGTCACTCAGGCTGGAGTGCAGTGAAGCGATCTTGGCTCACTGCAACCTCTGCCTCCCGGGTTCAAGCGATTCTCCTGCCTTGTCCTCCTGTGTAGCTGGGATTATAGGTGCCCACCACCACACCTGGCTAATTCTTATGTTTTTAGTAGAGATGGGGTTTTAACACATTGGCCAGGCTGGGTCAGGCACAGTGGCTCATGCCTGTAATCCTAGCACTTTGAAAGGCCAAGGTGAGTGGATCACTTGAGATCAGGAGTTCTAGACTGGGTAATTTATAAAGACAAGAAGTTTAATTGGCTCAAGGTTCTGCAGACTTTATAGCAAGCATGGCACTGGCATCTGCTCGGCTTCTGGGGAGGACTTGGGAAGCTTCTGACTATGGTGGAAGGGAAAGGGGGAGCAGACACATCACATGGCATAAAGCAGGAGTAGGATGGAGGGCAGGTGCCATACACTTTAAACAACTGGATTTCCCGAGAGCTCTCTCACTACTGAGAGGACAGCGTCAAGCTATGGGTATCTTCCCTTATGACCCAAACGCTTCCTACCAAGCCCCACCTCCCAAATTGGGGATAACCTTTTAACATGAGATTTGGGTGGGGACAAATATCCAAACTGTATCAGTCTCCAGTCAGCAGTGTTAAGAGTTGGGACTATAAGAGGTGGTTAGGCCATGAGGCCTCTGCCTTCATAATTGAATTACTGCCATTAACAAGGGAGTGAGTACCTGATAAAAAGGATGAGTTTGGCTCTGTTTCTGCTCTGTCCCATGCTCTCACTTCTGCCTTCTGTCAGATGCTGGTGCAGTGCTTGCACTTCCCAGCCTCCCGAGTTATGAACCAAATAAACCTTAATTCTTCATTATTTGCCAGTCTGTGGTATTATGTTATAGCAACAGAAAATGGACTAAGACTCTGACTATCTTGGTTTTGATGATTTAGGGACCAGGTTCATGTTCCTTAATTTCGAATATTCTCTTTAACTACATCACAAGATTATTTTAATATAAAATTAAAGACAAAACTCTGTTAGAAAGAAAATTATAGCATCTCTGCTGGCTAGTAGACATGATTATTCAAATAGGTGACCTGTTAAGACTACTATTTTTAAAAAAATTTCTTATTTTCAAGGCTTAGACAAAATTGTTAAAAAAATTTTTTTTTATAACTGTAATTCTAAATAACCAGGCAGAAAAGATCCACATTGCAGCATGATTAAGTTGCCCATTGTCTGCAAATTTTACCATATGGTCATTGTTATCTCATTAGGGATCCTTTTACCCCTTCCTCCAAGGTCAGTGATTTCTTTGGCAGTGTCCCCACAGACATTCGGATATTCTACTTTTAAATTACATACACTCCAAATGTCTACAGCCACATCCATACAATGTTTATTTCCTGTGTCTGATCTTCTTTCAAACCCCAAATTGTATACAGATATTTCTTAGGTTGTGAGAGGTAGGAGGGAATTAGTTTTTTTTCTCCATGATTCCTATCTTCTCTCTTAGGACTTGATTTTATCTCCACTTGGAACAGTCTCATCTTGTGTTCCTCTCTTACCTTCCTCAGCCTTTGTCCAAATATCACCTTACCAGTGAAACTGTCACCTTCCATTCTATTTTAAATTTTAAACTCTTCCTAATTTATAAATTTCAAAAATTAAAAAAAACAAATTTCATTATGGCTTGGATGCAAATAAAAAATAAACCTGTATCAAAGATTCATTAAATGCACTAGTTAATGGGGGTGCTAATTAATTAACAAGATCTTATTAATCAATGAGATGTTCAGAACAGTTCAAAAGGGAATCTCAAAAATCTGAATGTATGTGTAAATGTGTGTATGTATGTATAGACATATATATATATATACATACAGTCAGTAGGGCTAAAATGAAGTAAGTAATAGATGCAAAACTGGTACATATTCTCTGGGGCAATAAAATGTTTTGGGTGATTTTTTCTACAAGGGAGAAATCAATTGGAACTCTACCAGATAAAATTCATTTGCATTGTAAAGGACACTAATTATTTTCACTACTATGATTGTTCTATAAGTTAATTTCTAGGGGCCGGGCACAGTGGCTCACACCTGTAATTCCAGCACTTTGGGAAGCCAAGGCAGGTAGATTACCTGAGATCAGGATTTGAGACCAGCCTAGCCAACATAGTGAAACCCCGTCTCTACTAAAAATACAAAAATTAGGCGGGTGTGGTGATGCGTGCCTGTAATCCCAGCTACTTGGGAGGTTGAAATGGGAGAATCACTTGAACACAGGAGGCAGAGATTGCAATGAGCCAAGATCGCCCCATTGCACTCCAACCTGGGCAGTAAGAGTGAAGCTCCATCTCAAAAAAAAAAAAAAGTTAATTTCTAGCCCTACAGAGATATAAAATAGTCCATTCAATAAAAATAACCCAGAAGTTCATATTCTGATATTTGCAGGGCTTGGGGCTAGCATGCAAAGGAAAACCTAAGCCTCTCATTCTTCTTACCTCAGTTTCCTCCGATAGTAATACACAGGTACATGCCTGCAGAAACCCCAGTCTTTGGGCCTCCACATCGGCACATACCTTTGATTCTGCAGACTACTTGCCAGACAGGAGGTTCGTGGCCAGTGACAGGACAGAACAGGTGTTTCTAAAATGGGGACCCCAGATCAGGAACCCAGTTGGCCAGGTCTAGTAACTGTAATGGCCGTCTACCATGTGGCATACTTTACTTATTTATTTGTTCACTGTCATCCCTCACTACCTGTGGTCAAGAATTTTGTTTTCTGTTTCATTTACAACTACAATTCCAGCTTCTGGAAAAATATTTGACACAAAGCAAGTATCAATACATATGGTTGAATTAAATATTGCCTATTACACAGATCATATTCACAAACAGACATTGCAGGAAAGAATGATAGTTTGAATATCACCACACTCAATTTTAAAACAATATAAATGTGTTTAAATAGATTTTTTTTTAAAACTGAAACACATATCTTCAATAGTTCTGCTACTGGACATATTGATAGAAAAATTACCATTTTGTAAAATAAACTTTGTGTCTGTATAATAATTGCCAAAAGCCTAAAGTTTGCGACATCTTTTTGATAAATTTTCTGAGAAATGAAAATTACATGAAAAAAAGAGAAACATCTAAAGCTTCAGACGACCCAGTTTGAGGTATTTTGGGGTCTATTGTGTCTTCACAGTCCTTAAGGCAATCATTTCTACGTGGTCCCCTTAGATGCTGTTTCAAAGGCTGTGAGATGATGTCATGGAGTTATTACTTTAAATCATCTTAAAAATTTTTATGATTGTTAAGTCATACCAAATAAAACATAAAAACTATATTTAATAAATTTGAATTTTACTTTTTAAACATTTCAAATTATGCTCTTAAGAATGGACAAGAAAATTCCAGAATATCAGGATACAATTTTTGATAATATCCACCCAATAGCCTTATTTCCTGTAACTATGTTTTTTGTCCCTTAATTATCCTGTGCCTCTCCCCCAACTGAAAGTGGGGTATTCATTCTTTCAGAAAACCCTAGACAAAAAAGGAAATTCCTTTCAGTTTTAAAATAAATACAATGTTTTTAGTTCTTTGGAAAATCATAGTCTAAAAGCAAGCGCTTTTGATTTGTAAAATTCTGACTTTGTTGAGTGAGGAAATGATGATTTTCTTTAAAATCTTGAAAGCCAAGCTTTGAATACGCAGATGTTTTTACTAAGAACCATGGACTAAGTTGGATGAGTCACTAAGTCAATTGCTTTCTGAAAGACAGAGGGGAGCCCTTCTTAAGACTAGGAGAGGAGTTGGGAGGGAGAGTAGAGCCAAAGACTCGAATCTTATGTCTCAGATTTGAAATCCCGGGAAGTAGGGTTGGGACACTTGGATAGGTTCCGGTGGGTGGGTTAAGAGTCACAAGCTTGTGCCACTCCTGCCTGAATGCTGCTCTGAAAGTCTGCAAGCCTTTCAAACAATGACATGGCATTCATTGGAACGGGGATGGGGACCCCAAGGCACTGAGGCACAATTAAGAGGAAGGGTGTGTATGTGGGTGAGTGTGTGGGGCAGAGCAGCTGAACATCTGCTTTCTGAAGTGCAGAGGCTATTAGAAGTCCAGTGTATTGGAAGAGGCCACAGGAGTGGGAAGCTAGTACTGAGGAGAATGGGCATCTCCACATTCATGAGCAGGATGTCCCCACCCAGTGCTCACAAGACCTGCAGGGCTGCCAGATTCTCAGTTGCATGCATGTGGGACTTAGAGTCAGAAACCAAAATGCTGGCTAGGCTATAAATTTCTGGCAATAAGCTCATTATTTAAATTCTCTAAATGTGCCTCTTTCAACTTCAAAAAGGGAGCTAAACTGTCTTCCTTATAGGATTGTTTGGAGGATTAAGTGTGGAGTGTGCGTGTGTGTGTGAGAAAGTGTCTAGCACTGTGCTAGATGCATAATAGGCACATCATGATTAGAATCCACGTCTACACCTATGGTTGCTCCAACCGCACCACAGTGAGAAAAGGCAAATGTGGTTTAAAACACAAAAAAATTAAGCCATCCAATACATTCTTTACCACAAACATGAAAAGAAGCATCGTGCACACATTTAACCCTTCTTTTCTCTTTCCCTTTCCTTTTCCCTCTTCCTGTGGTGAAAGTGGAAATGAAATCTACAGTAGCTATAATTTAGTGAATGCTTAGATCTTTGATTTCACAGAAATGGGCAATTTAGCCTTAAAATAGGTATGAGTGTCTGTAATAAATTAGACTCAAGATTACCTTCTATTAAAAAGCAATAAAAGTAAAAAAAAGTAATAAAAGTGTAAGGGTCATTATTAATGCATGCAGTTACCTATTCTGTCATCAAAAACATCTCTACATCATAGATGTAGGAGCTAGAATAGTCCACCACGTAGCTGCAGTGGCAGCTGTCCTGTTGTGGCCTCTTTTGTTTCAAATGCAAGTTTGAGCAAAGTGTATTTTTGACAAGATGTTTTAAAACGGTGTGCCTAAGAACCACTAATCCATCATCTGGGTGCCTAACACCAAATAACACAAAACTCTCCTCATAGCTAAACTACAGCAGTCATTAACAAATCAAAACCAAATGACTTGGAAATGGAGATGGAGGAAATGAATGTTTTTTTTAAAAAAAAAATCAATGAAATGATTTAATAATGAAAAGAATGATAGAGGAGGAGTCATACAATTTATAATTAATCTGACTTTGTTATTAGTTTATTTTTTTAAAACTTGCAATAACATCCCTACCTCATTTAGAAAATATTTTTTTGTGTAACCTCACCTAATTTTAACCCTGTCTTTATTCAGGATTTTTAAAAAACATTTATGTGCATAGTTTATAATATTATCTATGGAACCTCACTCTGTTATTATGTTGCTTGGCAAATATGCCCTTTAGTTATTTTATGGATGTATTTCTTTTCAGTTCTTTTTCATTATAAGCTTCATGAAGACAGGAATAGTACATTACTTTCCCTTTTTCATTACTTTGGTGTATATTTATACTTAATCGACATTTTATTCACAGTATAATCCAAAATTAAGTCATATGTACGGTAAAATTCTGTTCAAAAGGGTATGAATATATTTGGAGTATATTGTACTTTTATAATAAGCGTCATTCATATTTATTGAGTACTGAAGATGTATACGTCATCTGTTAGCTTTACTTAAAAATTATTTTTATGTACCTTTAAAGAATAATGCAAAGTCATTGGGACAAATTTCAAGTATTATGAACAAATAAGAAAAAAGTTAAAATTGCTTCTCCAATACCACTTTTTGCTTTGTAGTTTGGTGTACATTCAGACTTGTTTTTTTTTCTTTTTTCTTTTATCGACCTAAAACTTCTCAACTGTCCTCCTATGTGCTTTTTCAACTTGCTCTATAAAAACTCACAGGATGAAATTCTCATTTCCAGGACCTCTTTTAGTTCAGTTTCATAAAGAATTGACAAAACTGGAAATAAAGTCAAACACAATTGTGTACTATTTTATTCCTAACAATTTGTCTACTTAACATTTTCCTTTGACCCTTTAAGATGACTGTAAAATCAGTTGAAATAATCTGCTTTAAGAGAATGGGAAAATGAATGTCATTTTCTAATTGTAGTAATAGTAACTTATTTATTTCTATGCTTGAAATGCAGTATTTGGAAGCTTCTTCTCACTTTTCTAATAACTCTGTCTTTATAATCAGAACAAAGGCAACAATAAAGTCACTAGTTGCAAATAAGCCCAGTAGCCATCTGGCCTTCTCAGTCATCCAATGTTGGAATCCATTTTACAGAACTGGCCACTGGGTTATTGTAAACCTTCTTTGAACTTCTGTAGTAATAGGGAATTACCTTCTAAGGCAACCCTTCCTTTTTCAGAGAAATCCAACATGTAATTTGTCAGCTTTAAATAATATTTTTTATACTTAGTGTTTCTTTACCTAGAATTTTTATCCATTGGGTTTATTTTAAATCCAATGGGTAAAGTTTAAGTATTAGATAAATATAATCCTCCTTTTTGAGTGACACTTTAACATAATCATCTCATCCCTCCTGAATATTCATTTTTTCCAACGTAAACCTCCCCAGTTACTTCAACACTTCTCTATTTCATATGGTTTCATATTTCTTGACCAACCTGGTGATCTTCTTCTGCTTATATTTCTATTGGATCAGTTTCTTCTTAAATATAATGCTCGGAACTGAAGATCATAGTCCCAATAAATTCAAATAGAACAAAAATTTCCTTTGCATGTTTTAATTGAAACTCCTAATTCATTACAGAATAATTTTATGATAGAGATTTAAGATTTAGATTTAATTCACTTCACATAATGTGGGTATCTTCCTTTAATCATTCATTTCAGACATTACGTTGTGACAATAGAGTCTTTCTAGTTTAGAAAGATCCTAAAATCCAGGTAAGGTGATCACATTGAGAGATAGTTAAAGTAAAAGTAAAAATACATGGCTCCCTATCTTGCTTTCTCATGTAGAAGCATCTGCTTCTCTTACAACATCAAAGGAGACACTGAAATGTGAGCGTTAGATATGAAGCTGCCAAATGTTTGATGAGTTGCATTTCTTTAATTTCAATGGAAGGAATACAGTGGGAGTGTGAGAGTTCATGCTCCAAAGCTGGATTGTAGCAACACACAGCAGAATGAGAGTGGGGAAACGGGTTCTGATAAAGTGAGACTTTTAGTGTTAGTGCCTTTTTTCTCATGCATCCTGATATATCACATTTCTCTATAAGAAGATAGTGAAATAACACTGATAACGATTGAGCCAGAGACATTGTGGACAAAATAGATTAGAAAAAGACCCTCAGATATTACTACAGGTTATGGAGTCTTTACTAATTCATGTCGAACTTGAGTTGCACTTTCCTCTTTCCTTCTACTTTTCAGTAATTTGTAGGTAAATGTTCAGGGCTCATAGTGTCAAAATTGTGATTAACACTGAAATCCTAATTTTATTTTTTCTAATTGAAAGTATAGTTTAACAGAGATCACATTTGGCATTTGGAATTAGCAGTTAACATTTTGAAACTTCATCACCATAGTTTCCAAGTTAGATTATTATAGATCATGGTATTTGACTTAATGGTCTTTTATTGTGGGATAAAAGTTCTTTGTAGAATCACATGTTTTTCCTGCACTGTGAGATTTTAAAGATTTTTATACCCGGGGAATAAAGGTGAAGATTGTTTATTAGAACTGAGTTATTACTTTGAGACTTTGTGTCAGAAGCAGGCTAAAAGCACACAGTTCCTTAAGCTGAGACACAATGTATGAGATAGGCAGGTTTGATTCAAGGCTGAGTACCTCTGTTTATTTAAATTCATTCAAAGGGATGAAGTGACCTCAGCTAAAAAGAGAGGCAGAAGTGGAGAAGGAATATAAGCAGGGGCTTCATTAATTCAATAAACCTTCAATGAGATGTACTATGTCCCAGGAAGTAAGCGAGGTTTGGGCTCCTGCCCTTGAGGAACCCAGAGTGAAATAAGGAAAGCAGGACCATAAGACTGATCTGAAATATAAGTTCCATATTTGAGCGTGAGCAAAGCACTGGTGCAGAGCTAATGGACTGTGAAACCGGGGTGTCACCCCTAAGTTGTCTGCACTTGTTTCCTCATCTGGCTTCCTACACTCACATCAAAGTTGTGTGTGTGGAGTTGGTAAAAAGTGTGTGTATTAGGAGTTGGTGAAAGTGCTTTGCAAAATGTATAATATCATTATATAAATAAAATACAATGCCTAGTAGAAATGTAATAATCCAAAGACTATAAATATTCAAAATAAGGCGTACATCATAATTATGATGGAGACATTTGGAAAGGCTTAAGAGAAGCTGAACTTGGAAGATTAAATACAATTTTGAAGGAAGATAAGATAATTCATGCAGAATGAACTCTGTGATCAGGGATTGAAAGTGGAGGGTGTATTCCAGAAAAGTCAGGTGTGACTAGAATCTTCAGTGTGTAGAAGACTGGAGATAGAGAAATAAGTCTGGGAGTTGAGGTTGGTATCTGATTACAAGCGTCTTGATATCCACACTAATGAGTCATACATCACTTTGTAACAAACAAAGGGCTGTTTCTGAGCCAAGACCATGACAGCATCAGGTCTGTGCTTTGCTGATAGTGTGGATGGTGGCTGGGACAGGGGAGAGAGCCCATCCTGAGGGACGGTCAAATCGTAATAAAGTAGCAACAAATAGCTAAAGCGTGGAGTGTAACAATGTGGATTAAAAGAATAAGACAGGGCCAGTGCGGTGGCTCACGGCTGTAATCCCAGCACTTTGAGGGGCTGAGGAGGGTGGATCACTGAGGTCAGGAGTACGAGACCAGCCTGACCAACATGGTGAAACCCTGTCTCTACTAAAAATACAAAGAATTAGCCTGGGCATGGTGGCGTGTGCCTGTAATCCCAGCTACTTGGGAGGCTGGGGCAGGAGAATCGCTTGAACTGGGGAGGTGGAGGTTGCAGTGAGTTGAGATCACGCCACTGCACTCCAGCCTGGGTGACAAGAGTGAGACTCCATCTCAAACAAACAAACAAACAAAAAAAAGAATAAGACAGGTAGAACTGATTGACCGGATTTTCGGTTCAAATGAAGACAGAGGAGAAGGAACTAAAGATGATTTGGGGGTTCTCTGCTTGATGGAAGTGGGGTATGGAGGTGTCATGACTTGAGACAGGACACGCTGTGGGGTGAGGAGAAGGGTTGAGGATTAGAGAGAAAGTTCCTAAAGTGCAGGGATTGTATTTTATTCATTGTTCTATCATCAACATAGTCCAGTGCCTGGCATATATGTAGCACTATGATTTCTTTGAAGATAGCAGTAAATACATGCATGAGGGAGGAAGGAGACCAGCATGGTTTGGGACATGTTGAGTTTGGGCTTCCATCCATGTGAAATTCTCTCTCCTCTTAACTTCCTCAAACTCCCATAACATATATTTTTAATATCTTTCTGAAGCATTTACCTTAGCTATCTCAGCTTTATAGCTACTTAGTAATTGGCCTTATCCCTTTTACAAGACTAAAAATACCTGGGGGTCAGGGTCTATTCTGATTTATGACAATATGCAACATAGTGTTTTATAAATAAGTGTCTAGTAAATAGATGACAGATTGCGTATGAAGCTTAGAGAGAGATGTTTTACGTCTTTGATTTCTCCATACGTTCCTTAAACTTAGCAGTGCTTTAATAATAGTTGATGATTTATTTGGTATGGTTCACACTGACCTTACTAACCAATTTAGCAGCAACCTTATAATTTATTGATAATATGTACAGGAATATGTATAAGAACTACTCTGCTAATTACTGCTAACTCATAGGAATTAATGCCCTATATGCCCTCCTAAAATCTCTGAGCAGGTTATTAGTGGGCCTCATTAAACAAATTCGTTTTTAAAAACATTTCTTGTTTAAAACTCAGCTCATAATTAGGAGACTTCAGAAAGAAGACAAATACAAACCAAAATGAATTCTGTTTGAATTTCATGTTATGTTATTATCTTTGGAGCTGACCTCATCTTGACACCTTCAGAGAAGCTGGTACTGCCAGATTCTGTTAAACAAGGTGACTTTGATAAAGGCCATTCCTCCCTTCAAGCCTCAAAATTGACCTGAGCGAAGAAATCATCCAGAAATATGATGACAAAAAGCTTAGCTTGTAAATCTAATAGACATTTTGTCATGAATGCAAAGTCCATACTGATAACTACTTCTTCTCAAATCCTAAAAACAAAATTACTCACTCATTTAGAGATTTAAACTTACAATTTTCATAGTAAGAGATGATGTCAATTCGAAATCACTTGTTTTTCACTGTGTAAATTTAAATTTTTCAAGTGGCTTGTAAACTAGCGAATTTTATGATTCAGATTGCTGCGGTAGTCTGTAAGTTTGTGATATCAATTATATCAACACCATAAAAACAAAGTTATGCCATGGAATGATGCTTTAAGGCGATCCTAGTGATCATCCTTCCACCCAGGCCCTCATCTTGCCCTTATTTGAGTGAGAGAAGTCCAGGTGAAGCAGTTTGGACAAGTTACCCAAGCTGAAATTGAGCAACTGGGCTGAGGTTTAGAACTACAAGTTTCTACCCTTGGAGATTATGTATTTATCTCATAGAATCATAATATTTGCGAAAGTGAAGATTTTTATTTAAATTATTATTATTATTGTTCATTTATTTTTTTTAGACAGAGTTTCTCTCTTGTGGCCCAGGCCGGAGTGCAATGGCATGACCTTGGCTCACCCCAACGGCTGCCTGCGGGGTTCAAGCGAGTCTTCTGCCTCAGCCACCTGAGTAGCTGGGATTACAGGCATGCGCCACCACACCAGGCTAATTTTGTATTTTTGGTAGAGACGGAGTTTCTCCATGTTGGTCAGGCTGGTCTTGAACTCCCGACCTCAGGTGATCTGCCCTCCTTAGCTTCCCGAAGTGCTGGGATTACAAGCGTGAGCCACGACACCCAGCCTGATTTTTACTTAAATATTGAAAATATTATATAAATTGACATGCTTTATTCTGTTTTCTAAAAAAGTATACCTATTTTTTTCTTTCTACTTTTAGGTTGAGGGGTACATGTGCAAGTTTGTCACATGAGCAAATTACATGTTGCTGACGCATAGTAATGATCTCACTACCCAGGTAGTGAGCCTAGTACTGCATAGGAATCTTTCCAACCCATGCCCCCACTCCACCCCCCTCTCTCAAGCAGTCCCCAGTGGCTATTGTTCCCATCTTTGTGTCCATGTGTTTTCCATGTTTAACTCCCACTTATGAATGACAACATGTGTTATTAGGTTGTCTGTTCCTACCTTACTTAGCTTAGGATAATGGCCTCTAGCCCCATTCATGTGGCTGCAAAGGACATGATTTCATTCTCTTTTTATGGGTTCATAGTATTCCATGGTGCATATGACCACATTTTCTTGATTCAGTCCATCATTGATGGGCATCTTGGTTGATTCCATGTCTTTGCTATTGTGAATAGTGCTGTGATGAACATATGTGTGCATGTCCTCTTGGTAGAATGATTAATTTTCCTTTGGGTATATACTTGGTAATGGGATTGCTGGATCTAAAGGTAGTTGTTTTAAGTTTTGAGAAATCTCCACACTGATTGCTGCAGTGGCTGAGCTAATTTACATTCCAACTCACAGTGCATAAATGTTCCCTTTTCTCTGCAACTTCGCCAGCATTTGTTGTTTCTTGACCTTTTAATAATAGCCATTCTTACTGGTGTGAGATGGTTATCTCATGTGGTTTTGATTTGCATTTCTTGAATGATTAGTAATAATGAGCATTTTAAAATATGTTTGTTGGTGCATGTATGCCTTCTTTTGAGAAGTGTCTGCTCCTGTCCTGTCCTTATTTTTTAATGGGGTTATTTGATTTTTGTTTGTTGAATTAAGTTACTTATAGATTTTGGATATTAGATCTTTATTGGATGCATAGTTTGTGAATATTTTCTCCCATTCTGTAGGTTGTCTTTTTACCCTGTTGATAGTTTCTTTTGCTGTGCAAAAGCTCTTTACTTTAATTAAGTCTCACTTGACAATTTTTGTTTTTGTTGTAATTGTTTTTGGGGACTTAGTCATAAATTATTTGCCAAGACTGATGTCCAGAATGGTATTTCCTAGGTTTTCTTCTAGGGTTTTTTATTGTTTCAGATCTTACATGTAAGTATTTAAACCATCTTGAGTTAATTTTATATATGGTGAAAGGAAGAAGTCCAGAGTTAAGTAAAAGACTTACTTCATACCTTCCCTGTGCAGACCTGCAATGAGTTATTTCTCCAAGGAGCCTTGGTTTCTTTCAAGGAGTGGTGTAATAGCCATGGAAATGGACCATTCAGATCTCCTTCTGTGGAAAGCATAATTGACTGACAGCACCAGAAGCTGCTTTTCTGTATCCACCATCAAACCCGTGCAGAGCCTACAGTTCCCATGGTTGCATGCAGCCATAACTGAGCATGGCAAGGCTATAAAGACAGGCTCATTCTGGAAAGATGCAGGACTTTTACATCAGGGCTCTCAATTGGCCCAGCTGAACTTTTCTCAGAAATGTGCAGCAGCCTGACACACTTCCTCCCTACCCTCTTTTCTTCCCTTCCTTCCTCCTTCCACAGACGTCGGGTTTGCATCTTCATCTGAGGACTCTCTCTACCTTCTTCTGCTCCTTCTCCTAACAAACCTCTTGCACGTGGAGTAGATCCAGTTTTGATGTCTGCTTCATAGTGGACTTGAACTAATGCAAATAACAATTACAAACAAAAATCTGGATGTTAGGGATACTCATTGCCACTGACGTGTCACTGCTTCTAGGATCTTTCTGTAGATAGAGCCAAGAGATTTACTTTTCAAAAAATATGAGCTTATATTGCTATTTCCAATTAAAATTTAACAACATAGTTTTATTTCTAAACTTCTTTGTATCTTCTTTCTCTTACACTGGAAATCAAGATTTCTAATAATATTAAGGTATTTACTTATTTGCTTTATTCTATGCTGTAATACAACTATAATATTTTTAAAATCACAATACCAGTAGCACCACTATTGCTAAATATACAGAGTCAAGTTTAAGACTTCTTTGCAATTATTATTGTCCTCAGAATATTTTCCCCTAGAGATCTACAGGGTAGTATGTTCAAAAGTTTCCTGTAATTCTTTTCTCTGTGCATTAATGTTAACAATGCTATATACAGATAGGTTCATTTCTTTTCATTTGTATTGTTTTAGAATTTGTTTTTCTTTTTGATTTAATATAAATGTTTTAATATATAAATCATATAAATGTTAAATAGTCCAAATTATACTATATTAAAAAGTATGTTTAATATACTTTTTAAAGTATATCAAAAGGTATACTTTAAAAAGATTTTATTTCATTCCTTAGTTTCTCCATCAGGTTCCTATCTACATCCTATAGTTAACCATTTTCATTAATTTGTATTTATGCTACCTGTGTTTCTTTTAACAAAATGAAGCAAATGTTATATGTACATATATAGGTATTTGTATACATTTTATAAATATAAAATTTTTTTCCCTTTCAGTCTCACATGAAATGAAGCCTACTAAATATAATTAATAATGTGTTCCTAAAAATGCTCCATTATCTCTCTTAGAGTGTATCCCTTTTCTTTCATATGGCTACATACAACTTTGCTCCTGTATATATGATAATTTATTCAAACCACACTGCTCTCATAATGATCCTTGATAAATAAACTTATACATAAGTGTTTCAGGTTTGTAAAGTTCAAGGTAGACTCCTAAAAATGATATTACTTGGCTAATGGGTATATATATATATAATTTTCTTAAACTATTACAAAAATCCCCTCCATAGGGTTTGGATCATTTTGTACCTCCCTTTGCATATATTTGAGTGTTTGTAATTCTAATGCTTCATCACTGAGTCTATTGTCAAGTTTCTCAATATTTATAATCTAATAGGTGAGAGATAGTATCATAATATAGTGGTATTTTGCAATTTCCTGATTATGAGATAGATACTTTTTTCCCATATGTACAGGGATTTTTGCTTTTATTTTTCCATGAACTGTCTATTCATTTTTTTTTGCCCATTTAGTAAAAATTGTAATATTCTTTTCTATTTTTTATTTAGTTGTGTGACACATAGCAATGTTTTGGTAAATGATGGACTATATAAATGACAGCGATTTCATAATATTATAATGGAACTGAAAAATTCCTAGTGCTTAGTGATGTAAAGTTATAGTGAAACACATTACCTTTTCTATGTTAAGATCTGTTTAGACACACAAATACTTACCATCCTGTTACAATTGCCTACAGTATTCAGCATAGTAACATGCCCTACAGGTTTGTAGCCCAGGAGCAATAGGCTATACCATACAGCCTAGCCGTGAAGTAGACCATACCATAGGTTTGTGCAAGTACACCCTATGATGTTCACACAATGACGAAATCACCTAATGATGCATTTCTCAGAATATATCCCTGTCATTAAGGGACACATGACTATAGTTATTTTTCTCATTTAATCTCAGGGATATTAGTCCCTTTTTCTTCCTAGTTAAAACTGCAAAAAAAAAACCCTGAAAAATATAGTCATAATTTGTCATTTACATTTTCACATTTTATCATAAAGTCAAATGTATTTATTTTTTATGTTTTCTCATTTTTAGGTATATGTATATGAGTTCACGTTTTTACACTTACAGCTCTAAGGCAGGGAGTTTATTCTTGTGAATAGTGTGAGATATAAATATAATTTAGCTTTTTCCAAATGGCTCTTTAGTTGATCCAACATCATTTATTAATAAATCATTTTTTCCCAGTGATTTGTGATTATATATCTAATAAAAGACTGTCCTAAATTACTTGGGTGTGCCCAGTCATATCACAGAAATTCTTAAAAGAGGAGAGCCATTTCTGGCTATAGTCAGAGAAAGATGTGATGATGGAATAAGGGTCAAGGAGATGCTGTGTTGCTGGCTTAAAGATGGAGAAAGAGATCCATGAGCCAAGGAATACAGCAGCCTCCAGAGGCTGGAAAGGACAAGGAAATGTGTCCTTCCATAGAGCCTCCAAGAAGAGATGCAGCCATGGCTAGACCTTCATTTGGTCCAGTGAGATGTGTGTTGGACTTCTTGTTACAGATCTGTATGATAATACATTTGTGTTGGTATAAGCCACTAGGTTTGTGGTAACTTGTTAGAGCAGCAATAGGAAATCAATACAGTGTCCACATATATTTTGAGAATTTTTGGTTTTTCTCCATTGGTCTATCTGTTTGTTCATGTGTAGTACCTTACTATTTTAATGGTAGACTTTGTGGCATGTTGTTATATGTGTGACTTAATTCTTTAAACCTAAGAGAATATTTTAGCTCAACTAGAATTTATTATAACAATAATAAACTCTAGTGTAGGTTGGCTTCATGTTATTGACTCATAATATCATGGCCAACTGAAATATTTTGAAGTTAATAATGTGTACCTCTAACACTAAACTTAAGAGAGAAATTGTTTAATGGCTGAGCATCAAATATGTAGCCTACATCTTTGAGAAATGTTATGGGAGAATATAGTATCAAGGAAAGTCAGAGTTAGGTACAGGGAAAAGACACAAATGTCCAGAATTCATAAATTAAATAAATTTAAAATAATTGAACATCTGTTTGCCAGATCCTATGTTGAAGACGAAATGGTACATGCCTCATAACCCTTGCTTTTAAGAAGTTCACCATCCAGTGGGGACACAGGCAATTTCAGTGCAGTGTGATTAGTGACTGGATGGGGAGGAAGCTTAGAGAAGGCAATGTCTGTGACTGAATAGACCTTGCCAGACAATAGTAGAAAGGGAAGATGCTGGGAAGAAGGAAAAGTGAAACTTTATGTGTTATAATGAAGAGATCAGGAGCCCCTGGGGAAAAGAAAAGGTAAAATTGAAGGGCTGGTTTGGCAGGTTAGTGGATGTGGACTTAAACCCGAAGACAAAGGGAAGAGAGGATAAGGAAACCACCAAGAAGATATCTAAGAGGATAAAAAGAAAACCAAAAGTACAAGGTGTCTGTGACATCAAGGGAGAGAGAATGGTCAAGAGCGTCACACATTTCAGAAAGGCAAAGTAAACTAAAGAGCATCTATTTATTTATTTATTTAGTCTATTGGCTAAAGCAACAAGAGAGCCCTGGAAATCTTGGTGTATAATGACATAATAGAGTGGTGGGAAAGGAAGCATACAAGGCTAAGAAGTAAATGGGAAGTGAGAAAGTGGATCAAAAAGAAGAGATAGTCACTGGAATGGAAAGTACAGCCAGAGAGGTTTTTTTGTTTATACTGAGAGAAATTGAGAATGTTTTCATGCTTGTTAAATGGAACCAGTGGAAAGCAAGAGGTTGAGGGTAAAGGAGAGCAGGCTGGAAGAAACTGCAAATCCAAGCACCAGTGGAAAGATAGAAGCATCTTCAGTAGGGAGCGGGTGGGAATCGTTTTCTCTAGAAGAAAGAAAGAAAAGATGGGTAGTTTGTAGTATCTTACATGGCAAAAAATGTGAAGAATTGTCTCTGTAATGAGTTTCCTTTTCTTTGCAATTAGGATTTGAGGCCATGTGCTTAGATTAGGATCTGGCAAATAGTAGGTGTTCAATAAATATTTCTCAAATAAATAAATAAAGTGTGGGAGAGGAGAAGATGGTTAGCTAGTAAGTTCTAGAAAGTTAAGCAAGGTTGAGGGAACATCTCTAGAGAAAAGGAGAACTTCCTGGGAAAGGAAAGGGTGGTAACTAAAGGCCTGGTTCAGATAAGTACCCTACCCCCATGGGTAAGGAGAAAAACTCTCCTGAGAGGACATTGTGTGATTATTTTCCAGGCTGTTCCTGGAAGCCTCGAGATTGGCAGTGGGGGTCTCGCAAGCATCTGTGAATGGGAGTAGGGCAAGATAGTTGGAGAAAGTGGCAAGCCAGTGAAAAAAGTAATTGCTCTGGAATCCAGGTTGAATTGAAGAAAGTAAAGATAGGATATTAGACCTTTTCAGATAGGTAGGCTGCAAAAATTTTCTCCCATCCTAAAGGGAGCTTAAACAAATTTACAAGAAAAAAAAAAACAAACAACCCCATAAAAGAGTGGGCGAAGGATATGAACAGACACTTCTCAAAAGAAGACATTTATGTGGCCAAGAAACATACGAAAAAAAGCTCATCATCACTGGTCATTAGAGAAATGCAAATAAAAACCACAATGAGATACAATCTCACGCCAGTTAGAATGGCAATCATTAAAAAATCAGGAAACAACACATGCTAGCGAGGCTGTGGAGAAATAGGAACACCTTTACACTGTTGATAAATTAGTTCAACCATTGTGGAAGATGGTGTGGTGATTCCTCAAGGGTGTAGAACCAGAAATACCATTTGACCTGGCAATCCCATTACTGGGTATATACCCAATAGATTATCAATCATTCTACTATAAAGACACATGTACATGAAAGTTTATTGCAGCACTATTTATAATAACAAAGACTTGGAACCAACCCAAATGCCCATCACTGATAGAGTGGATAAAGAAAATGTGGCACATATACACCATGGAACCATGGAGTACTATGCAGCCATAAAAAAGAATGAGTTCATGTCCTTTGCAGGGACATGAATGAAGCTGGAAACCATCATTCTCAGCAAACTAACACAGGAACAGAAAACCAAACACCACGTGTTCTCACTCATAAGTGACAGTTGAACAGTGAGAACACATGAACACGGGGAGGGGAACATCACACACCAGGGCCTGTTGGGGGGTGGGGGACAAGGGGAGGGAGAGCATTAGGACAAATACCTAATGCATGCATGGCTTAAAACCTAGATGACCGGTTGATAGATGCAGTAAACCACCATGGCACATGTATACCTAACTAACAAACCTGAACATTCTGCACATGTATCCCAGAGCTTAAAGTAAAATTAAAAAAATAAAAGAAAGTAAAGATAGGTAAACACTCTTAGGTTTGGAGATAGCAAAATCAGAGGTGTCGAAGTGGTGGAAGAATTGGTGTAGTGTGAATAATTGAGTGAGATAGTCATGATTGTAGCAGGTTGTCATTAGTCTGGATTTGAGAATTATGAAGAAGAGCCATTCTGGAAGATAAGTCAGCTGGTTTAGTTAGGGCTGTGATCAGTGATACCTGTAATGGAATGGGGGATGGAGGTGATGACTCTTGGAGATCAAGAGGCTGGCTTTCTGGGACCATATGGGTTGCCACTGATGATGCCATTGGCCAGATGATAACAGGGATTGGGTAGAAAGACAATACAGCAGGTATAGAAGTCTTGAATGAAGTGCTGTGTGTAGAGGGGTGTGAGGAGGTGGTAGTGAGACTGACTGGCTAATAGAAACACTTAGTCCAATTACAAATATTTGTGGCTTATCTTTAATCTAAAATCCCAAAGTCTGAAATTTCAAATCTTGGCACATATCTGAAAATAAATGATCTCATATAACTAACATATAATTGGAAAACATTTCCAGAAATTTAAAACCTTGCCACCAATTTGTTCTCTAGTTGCTATCGCTCATTTGTCTGAAAAATAAAATTAGGAAAAAACATCCTCTGAAAGTTGAGTGAAGTATTTGCTTTCCACACAAAACCAGGGTTAACTGGTTTTGTCTGGGTACAGGATGAAGTTTTAACTTTTTATGCATGAATGTAAGCAAAATATAACCAAGACACATTTGCATCCATTGCTAATCGTGAGAGCTTCTTTTAATTGCTCTTTCCAATGAAGCAGCCATCACAAAGTTCAGTGCCTTTTATTTTTCTGAGTCCATTGAAACATGGTTGATTGGTTAGTTTGGAAACTGAGTTTCTTGTATAAGAAAGTGTTTGTTTATCAGAGAATAGGAATCCAGAATTTTATCTGAAACATGGTTGATTGGTTAGTTTGGAAACTGAGTTTCTTGTATAAGAAACCGTTTATCAGAGAATAGGAATCTAGAATTTTATCTGAACCTGGTTGAATTTTTTAAAAGTTATGGACAAAATCTTGGGAAACATGTAATGAAGAATGATTATTTTTCTTAAGGTTTTAGAAAACCTAAGGGCAAAAGCCATAGAAAGAAGTATATATAGAAGACAGAAATAAAAATATAAAAGGGGGGGCTTAAGACAAAGAAATATTGATGCCTTGAGTAAAGTAGAGGTGTGTTTGCTGTGATGGAATGGAAATTAGATTTTGTTGAGTGCAAATGTTGGCTTTGATACTCTCTCACCATGAGATATTGAAAAAAAGTTATATAACTTCTCTGAGCCTCACTTTCCTCATCTGTGAAGTAGGTATAACAATACAAATGACTAGGATTATTGCAAAAATTAAAGCAGATGCCTTTACCTAAAGGGCCTAGTGTTGAGTCTGACATATTGGAGATGCTCAGTAGTGGTTTCTTTCCCTCTAGGAATGTTTTATTTAAGGTCATCAGAAGGCTATTAGCTTTTCACTGGCATCTAGTTATATATTAATTTTTAATTGTTATTCTAATTTGTGTTAAATTTAGCCAAATTTCTGTGAAGAAAGACCATAATGATCACATCAGGTATAGCAAACTGAGGCTCATTCCTTCCTATTTTTGGATGCTGTATATACAATAGCCCTGGCCTGAACCAGCCCCACACTATCACTGTGCTAGTGATAGGCAGGTGGAGCCCAGTGCCGGGCCAAAGTGCTTTGCTTTCTCATTTTGCCGATACCTTGATTAGTCAGCACACATTCCTGCCCAATCTCGTTGGAGATTTGAATTACACATTGTTTGTTAAATCTGATGCTTGGCCAAAGAGGTACTTAATGGCACTTATGAAAGAACTAACGATCAAATGACACAACCTTGCCAAAGCATCTTTATCTTTCTGGTGAGTGATATTTTAAGCCTAGATATGCTTCTGGTTCCTTTGAAGAGCTTGTACTCCATATAGGGCTTGCCTAAAATGACCATGTTTGAAGACTACGAATAATAGCTGGAAAGCTGAGGTTGCTTCATGTTGCTACCTTCCAGCCTAAGGGGAAGAGGGCTTACTTTGAAGTTGGGAATAAGTGCTGGTTGTTGAGAGCTGGTCTCTGCACAGAGTGTTCCAGAAAAACCCTACTTCAAATTCCATTCTTAACGTGTCAGTGAAACACATACTTTTATACTCTGCTATACTTATTTTATACTTAGCAAAAAATCCAATTATATATTTTTAAAATGTCAGAGAAACAGTAATTAGGTATGTGACATCATTTGTATTTTTCCAGTTTATTAATGATGAGAATACATTCTCAGAAATGCATCACTAGGGGATTTTGTCATTGTGAGAATATCTTGGGGTGCACTTACACAAACCTAGGTGGTATAGCCTACTACACACCTAGGCTATATGGAATAGCCTATTGCTTCTAAGCTACAAACCTGTGCAGCTTGTTACTTTACTGAACACTGTAGGCAATTGTAACACAATATAATAATTTTTATATCTAAACATAGAAAAGGTACAGTTAAAATATAAAAGGTTAAAAATGGCACACCTGTGTAGGGCACTTACCACGAATGGAGCTTACAGGAGAGTGGGAGTTGCTCTGGGTGAGTCAGCGAGTAAGTAGTGAATGAGTGTGAAGACCTAGGCCATTACTGTACACTACTATAGACTCTATAAACACTGTTCACTTAGGCTACCCAAAATTTATTCAATACAAAAATATTTTTCTTTCTCCAAAAATACATTAGCCTTAGCTTACTGTAAATTTTTAACCTTATAAGCTTTTGAATTTTTAAAAAATGTTTAAACTTTTCTGTAATAATGCTTAGCTTAAAACACAAACACATATAGTTGTATAAAAATTCTTTCTTTATATTCTTGTCCTATAAGCTTTCTTCTATTTTTAAGCTTTTATTATTTTTTACTTTTTAAACTTTTCTTACTAAACACTAAAACACAAATGCACACATAAGCCTAGGCCTACACAGGGTCAGGATCATCAATATCACTGTCTTCCGCCTCTACATCTTGTTCCACTGGAAGGTCTGCAGGGGCAATGACACCCGTGGAGCTCTCATCTCCTGTGATAACAATGCCTTCTTCTGGATGCCTCCTGAAAGAACTGCCTGAGGCAGTTTGATGCTTTTTTATAATTAGAAGGAATACATGCTAAAATAATGATTAAAAAGCATAATATAGTAAATACATAAACCATTAACGTAGTCACTTATCAGCATTATCAAGTATTATGTATTGTGCATAATTGTATGTGCTATACTTTTATACCATTGACAGTGCAATAGGTTTGTTTACACCAGCAACACCAAAAACACATGAGTAATGTATTATGCCACTGCATTAGGACAGCTACTACATCACTAAGGGATAGGATTTTTTGTCTTACAGGACCACTATCATACATGCGGTCCCATTTATTTATTTATTTATTCATTTATTTATTTTTGAGTCCGACTCTCACTCTGTCACCAGGCTGGAGTGCAGTGGTGCAATCTCGACTCACTGCAACCTCCGCATCCTGGGTTCAAGTGATTCTGCTGCCTCAGGCTCCCTAGTAGCTGGGACAACAGGTGTGCACCACCATGCCCAGCCAATTTTTGTATTTTTAGTAGATACGGGGTTTCACCATTTTGGCCAGGATGTTCTCAATCTCCTGACCTCGTGATCTGCCTGCCTCAGCTTCCCAAAATGTTGGGATTACAGGCGTGAGCCACCGTGCCCGGCCCATGGTTCTTCTTTGACCAAAACGTCATTATGCCACACGTGGCTGTGTATTAAAATGCATGCAGGAGAAAATTCAACTTTAATAATGTTGATGAAGTAAGTAGTTCACATACTTCAAAGAAAAAATAGACAAGTAAACAAACATAAATACAAAAATGAATAGGCAGGAGCCCCTTATCCCCTAGTTTATAGTCTGGTGAGGGAACAAAGACATGCCGAAACACAAAACAAAATTCAAGAAGAAATATAGCTGAGCTACATAGGTAGCATTAAAGACAGATGATTAAGTTCTTAATTTCCCCTGTGGGAACCAAGGAAAGCAAGCAGGAAGAGGTGAAATTTAAAGGAAAAGTTTGATTATATATAGGAGGTCATGAGTCAGATGGGCATGTGGTGGTGGGTAGTGAAGAGGGGACAATGTTCTAGGTAGAGGGGGGAAATGTCCAAAGTACATGTGGTCTTGAGAATATTAAGTAGTTAAGCAAGGCTATGAATAATGAAGGTTAATTGAGACTGAGAAATGGAAGATGAATACTATATGAATATTAAGATAAGATTGACAAATCATTTTCTAAGGTCTTAATTTCTAAATGGCTGGTCTTCTATGATGACTGGTAGAGGGGCTTCTCTGAGTAGAGAGTGTTAGGGGAAAGCCTCTGTTGTTAAAGCAAATAGGCTTTCTATACTGTAGATGTGTGGGCAGCTGCCCCCACCCACCTTACTTTAAGAGAAATTGACGTGGAGGTTGCCCTACTTAAAATCCTTGTGAACTTGCTTGTGTGCTTTTATTTTTATTTTTAAGTAATGAACTAGGACATTCCCTAAGTTAAGAATTAATGAGCCACTGTATTTCTTGTAAATATACTTTTTAGCTTTACCTCTTGATCTTGATGGTTGGTGAATATAAAGTATATGTTTTGTGTACATATGTGATATTGTTGGAATGCTGTTGTAATCACACCAATGCTAAATTAGCATTTGAGTGGCCATAGCGTGCAGTGCTATCCCTTAGGCCACAAGGTAATCCAAAAAGAGTTAACTTTTTAAAATTTTTTAGTCTGCATAATAATGTGCTAAGAATTTCATATGCAGTGTTGCATTCAAGTCTCACTGTTATCCTGTCATTTAAAATTGTTATTATATAGTTATTATGTATTATTCTCACTTTACAAATGGAGAAATTAAAGCATTGACAGGTTGAGTATTTGGCCACTGTCACACAGCTGGGATGAAACACAGCTGGAATTAAAACTCAAGTTTTTCTAACTCTAAAACCACAGTCTTAACTATTAAGTAGTGTGAAATTTTACTGTAACTTTTAGATGAAAATATAGCCACAAGAAGTGATTTTTTTTCCCCTTACAACATCATAACCAGTGGTCAGAGCTGGAACTCACTTCTAGGCTGCCTGACTCCAGATGCCATGTTCTTTACATGATGTGCCATATAAATGCATGGACAGCACAAGGAACAAATAAGCCCATAATTCAACAAGCAAAAACTATTCAAAATATGTTTCTTTTATCCTGAGTTCTATCAATGGATGGACCTAGTCATAAATCAGCTCTAAGATAATTATATTAGTCAGTGATACTCTTTATGAATGTGATAATATACTAAAATTATTCATAATCCTCCCATTTTCTATTTAGAAATTGTATTCTCAGAAAATCACCTCTATTTTAATCAATGTGTACATTCAAGTGATTCCAAGTAAAGTTGCAAAGATATTTTCAAAAAAATTGACAGCTATAATATTTGTATGGAGCCAGGCATGGTGGTGCACTCCTCTAGTCTCAGCTACTCAAGAGCTGAGGCAAGAGGAGTGTTTGACCCCGGGAGTTTGAGATCAGCCTTGGGCAACATAGCAAGCCCTCATCTCAAAAAAATAAAAAATAAAAAATAAAAAAATATGAAATTTCAAAGGACCTTAAAGAAAAGATGAATACAGTAAATAAGTATAAAATGTGAATATATGTTATATTAAAGAATCAAGACATAATAAAATATGATATGTAAAATGTTGTAATTTTATCCTGATTAAACAAATAAACTGGAGGATTTACTAAGAAATACACAAAAATTTTCGAACTTAACAGATGACAAAGCTGGATTTCAATTTTGTATCATTTTACTTTCTTTTTTTTTTTTTTTTTTTTTTTTTTACTTAAAAAACAAACACCTATGACAGAATGTCCATTGCTGGTAGTGTTAAGACTAGCTTGTTACAGGCCATTTCTTCACACTGGGAAAAACTAGAAAACCTCAGTAAAATATATTTTTTAAATTTTGTGCAGCTATCTGACAGCTACAAGGGAGCAAATAAGTGCTACCTTGAACAGGTGATAAGTTTACTGAGTTTTATTTCGCATAATGGCCAGACCAAAGGAGACGTATCTCCATTTTCATCGATAATTTTTATTTCCTTAAAAAGAGGATTTGATTTGTTCACAAGAGGCCCTCCTATTGCATGGGGTTTCAAACAGACTAGGTGGAAGTGGATGTCTTCTCTAGTACCAAATCCATCTGTAATTGCCTTAGGCAATGAAGGCATGAATCCTCAGTCAAATCATCCATGGCCAGAAATGCAAGTTTCATTTTGGATAATCTAAAGCCCAGCAATTTTGGCAGAGTAGAAACCATTTGAGCGTGTTTTTGAAGTTTCTTTTTTACAATTTTAGAGACTCTTCCTGAAGTACAATCAGCATGTGGTTAAAGCCAAGGAAACACAAATAAGCCATTTTCATTCTCATTCAAAACTTTTGTATAACTAAAAATATTTTATCTGGTTTGGCTCTGTGTCCCCACCCAAATCCCACCTTCAATTGTAATAATCCCCACATGTCAAGGGCCAGACCAGGTGGAGATAATTAAATCATGAGGGTGGTTTTCCCCCTACTATTCTTGTGATAGTGGGTGAGTTCTCATGAGATCTGATGGTTTTATAAAGGGCTTTCCTTTTTGCTCAACTCTCATTCTCTCTCCTGCTGCCCTGTGAAGAAGTGCCTTCCATTATGATTGTAAGTTTCCTGAGGCCTCCCCAGCCATGTGGAACTGTGAGTCAATTAAACCTTTTTTCTTTATTAAAAAAAAAAGAAATTGTATTTTCAACGATTTCTCTTTTAATCTTGTATTGCATTCTCATTGAGAAAGCTTGTAAGATGAAAACTTGAAAAGCAAATCGTCAGTGTAAATATCAGAGATATAAAATACATTTAAAGATTGGGTAATGTATTAATACATTCTCTACTGGGGATTGTTTCTGTAAATATCAGAATAAGGAAGCAATATGACATCTCAGCTATTCCAGGCATTGGAAAAGCAGCAAGATAAAAATAAAGAAGAATAGTAAATCATGTTTAGAGGCTTATAAATTTAATATCATTGATATATCACTGTTGTTCCATAGAGCTAATTTAACTGGGTAATATTGATCACTGGTGATTATACTTGTTATTCAAGACCCTAGTCTGTTTATGTTTTAAAAAGATCTCTTGAGTAAGACATCCTTAAAGATATATTAACAATAGCTACAACTTAATGTAGTTCAATATATACCAGGCACTACTGCAAGCCCTTTAATAATATTAATATATCGAATCCATTTAAGAACTGCATGCGGTAGGTATTATTATTTCTGTTTTACAAATGAGGAAACTGAAACAAAGAGAAATTAGCTTCACCGAAGTCACATATATAGAAAAATGGAGGTGCTAGGATTTTTGGAGGATTCCAAAATGGAGGACACACAGAATTTGGTTCTAGACTACAGGTTCTTAATCATTTTGTGTTTTTCCAGTAAATGGCAGTGTGGTTTAAAAAATCAGATTCAAGTTTGACAACTTGTTCAAATGAAGCTAAAATAAATTAAATGATGTATTGGTTCTAAATAGAATTTATATGAAAGCACAATAACATATTACCTTGCTGAAGTTTTACCAAACACACACACACACACACACACACACACACACACACACACACTACTCTCAATGTATGATTTTATTATAAAATATTTATTTGAGTACTACCCATTCTCGGTGATACTATACAACAGTTTTCTTTCTATTGCTTCTCATGAGAAGATACCATAGATGAGAAGTCAACCTAAAATTTACACAGCAACTCAAGTGTTTAACTCAGAAATTTAACATTCTCATGAGTTAAATTTGCACAGATGGCAGAAAAGGCCATCTGGTCACTTAAATTAAATACATCTTTTTCTACTTAAAATCATTTTTCACATACGTTGTTAATAACTCAGGACTCTCTTCTAAAGGGCTTTCCCTTCTCCTTTCTGGGGAAGGAAAAAACGTTGGGAAGCACTGTGGTAGCTGCTGTGAAGTGTCTGTGTCATCATTTCTCTTACTACTGAGATGTATCTCTCACATGGGCTTTTCTGTTGGTCTCTGTTCTGACAGCATGTGCTGCCGCTCTACTAGGACTCACATGTCCTTGGGAACTGCATCCATCACTGGTATCTTTGGTCCCATTCTTAGCCCCTTATGTTGGTCCTGACTTCCATACCTTTCTTGCCTGGACTCCACCTTCTCTCAATCGAAGGCCACTGTTATCTCTTTCTTGGCTCCTGCCGTAGCATGCAGGCAGCTCTGGATCTCTTCCCTGTCATATAGGCGGGGAACTAAGAGCAGCACCTCCAGCCCTCTCTCTACTGGCCTCTTGAAAGGATGCAACTAGGTACCTTCTAAGTGTAGTATGGGCATGGCCCCATACAAATCACCATGGGAATTTGAGTACCATATTAAAGTAGGACAGAAGAACTCCCAAGATCATTGGATATTTGTAGAAAATAGTTTTACAAGTTTGTCATTTGTCTATCTTTGCTTGTTTCGATCCCCACTCTCTCTACTATTTCATGTTTTTTCTTTATTTAAGTACACTTCTTGCCTTTCTTAGAAACATGTCATCTGTTGTATCTCAGAGTCTGTTACTAAGGTAAAATTACATGTGGATTATAACAGAAACTCTGAATCCAAGCTGCCAGTGTGCAAATCCCAGTTCCATGACAAGAATTCAATACACTTGGGTTAATTCCTTAATATCTCTGAGCCTCAGTTTCTTCATATATAAAATGAAACTAGTAATGGTTATAAGGTTGTTGTGAAGATGAAATAAGTTAATCTATTGAAGCACATTGAACAGTACCTGGCACGCTATCAAACATATCAGAAATGTTAACATCATTGAATATAATGTTCCCTCTTGTCAGAATGGTATTTTTCTTTTTTCTTTCTGTCTTTAAGATACACCTCAGTCTGTTTTTTTGTTTTTTTTAAGACAAAGTCTTGCTCTGTCACCCAGGCTGGAGTGCAGTGGTACAATCTCAGCTCATTGCAACCACCGCCACCCAGGTTCAAGTGATTCTTGTGCCTCAGCCTCCCGAGTAGAGAGGATTACAGGTGCACACCACCACGCCCTGCTAATTTTTGTATTAGTAGAGACAGGGTTTCACCATTGTGGCCAGGCTGGTCTCAAACTCCTGACCTCCAGCAATCCTCCCGCCTCTGCCTCCCATAGTGCTGGGATTACAGGCATGAGCCACTGTGCCCGGCACACCTCAGTCATTAAGATACATCTTAATCTCATATTTTTTCAGAAGACTGTCATGAATTTTACCTAAAGTTATTATGTTATGGCCCCATAAATATATAGCCCATAATATTTCTATGGTATTTGTGGTAGTTTATTCTAGTTGTTATTTTACTTATCTCCCCCATTAGGCTGACATAATTGAGAACATCATATTTATCTACATGTTTTCAGCATTCTGCACAAAGAATAGCAAATAATAGGCACCCATGAATATTTACTTAATGTATAAATGAGGTGAATTTCTCTTGCCCTCTTTCAGTTGAAAGTAGTAAGCACTCTCTTCTGTGGGGTCTACACATGCATGCTTGGAGGCATTGTCTCTGGGATGGGTAAACAATGTGCCAACAGCCGGACATAATCTGTCCTGCCCCCTCCTCCAACCTCTCCTAATCTGAGCCTTCCCCTCGCTCACTCTACCCTACCATAGTCACCTGTTCCTTGAAAATCCAGGCACTTTTCTCAGAGCCTTGGCGTTTTTTTCTTCTTCCTGCTTGAGATGCTCTTCTCTCAGGTATCTTCATGGTTTGCTCTTACATTTGACCCAGTTAGCTGCTTGAATGTCACAAAATTAGAGCGGTCTTCCCTGGCCACTTTACAGGAGATAGCACCTCTTCTCTACCCTTCCCGGAGACAACCCTCAAGTGTCATACTCTGCTTAATTATTTCTCCAGAGCATTTAACATGTCACTTGATACATTGGTTTATAGTCTATGTCCTTCCACCAGAATGTACACTTCATGATGCCAAGGATGTTGTCTGCTTTATTCATAGCTGTATCCTCAGCACTTAGAATGGTGCTCAGCAGATAGATGTTAAATGAACAGAGAGATGAAAGAATGAATGAAAAGTGAATGAATGAAACAAGACATGTAGATTGAGAGGATCTGACCATTTCTCCTATCTGAGATACCTTAGTGAGCGCCTGGCTTGCTACAGTCCTGCAGCAAGGCCTTAACTCTCCCCTGAGCACTGTGTCCTTATTCACAACTGAAATTTGAGGGCTAAACATTGGGCACATATAGACATAAAGATGGAAACAAGAGACACCTGGAAATATAAGAAGAGGGCGGAAGGGGGGTTGGGCAAGAGTTGATAAACTAACGCTGGGTACTATGCTCACAGCCTGGGTGACACATTCATTTGTACTCCAAACCTCAGCAACAGTCAATATACCTTTGCAACAAACCTGCACATGCACCCCCTGATTCTAAAATAAAAATTGAAGAAAATTATAATAAAGGAGGGACACCTTATCTCTGCTTTGTGTATCTGAGCTTGTCTTTTCCCCAGTGTCCTGTGATCTGTGGGGACACTGTGCTTCATATCTCTCCTCTAAATTTCTTTCTCCCGCCAGATGGCACTATGCTTCAATATTTAAAGCTACAGATATGGTGAACTCAGTTGTCTTTATTCTTCTCCAAGCTATGTGGACCTTTATACTTAATAAATGGGCTCCAGTTCCAAGATATGAAAATGTTAATGACATATGCTGAACTAACAGTCCTAACTGCTACTCCTGTAAAATAAAAAGCAGCCGAGCTATATTATGCTTTATGAAATATTTATAACTGCCAAACACAAAGGCAGTAAGAACATTGGTTTATACAGCAAAAGCCCAAAGAAACTCTATTTAAGTGAAGATTAATGTGGAAATGTTATCACATTCTCACACTGCAAAACTAAATTGATATAGAGGTGATAAATGTGGATAGACGTGGAATATACATATAGGCACACATTATACATTTTACCTGATAAAATATACCAGCTGAATTTGCCTAAGGAAGCTGCTAAAGTCAGATTTGATGCAAACGATTTGTGGAAGTTACCTTGTGGGGCAGCCCAACTGCTAGAACATTTCATGGAAGTTCTATATTGATGGAAGAGAAATTTGTAATTATTTCTCCTAAATAAGGAGAGAGGCCCATTAGGTGTGGGATTTTGCTGTTCTCTTTCAAATTTGAATAGATATACAGAAGGTATGTAGAAATCAACATGATTCTTTTCCTTTATTCACATATAATTGTAAATAACATGGGTAATACAATTTCCAAATCTTTTATTTACTTAAAAATGTTGTTAAAGTAGTTGGAATGGTTCCTAGATTTTAATATAATAACATATTCCACAGGCAGCAATTTGAAAATCTTTGAGAAGTTTAAAAAATATCTGGCTTACAATCATCTCATTAAGGTATAAAATCAGGGCTTCTTGGAACCTTTAAATTATATTTTATCTGATTGTTATTCTCAGATCTACAGTTTTTTAAAAGACAAGTCTCTGGTTCCTTATAGATCTCTCTATCAGCTTCCCTCCATGCACATTTGGCTCATGAATGTATGAAATACTTTGGACGTATTTCTATTAACTACTATTGCTTTCCTGGGGAAAAATACATTATAGTTCTCTTTTATTTAGATTAATGAGTTTTAGGTTAATCTGTCGTGAATCCTCTGTAAATCAGATTCTTGATAGTTAATAATATTTCATCTTTGTATATTTAAAATCAGTTCACATGTTAAGTTAAAGATGAAAAAGAGAACTAAATCAGCAATATTGTTATGACATAATGCATAAATTAATGTGCATGTATGTCTGCTTTAAGTTTAGTTTATAGAAGTTTTAAAAAATGAAAATTGGCATTTTTCTACAAAGAATGATGGATTTTTTTCACTTGTAAAAACATTTATTATTATTATTTTTTTCATTCCAACTTTTACTTTAGGATCAAGCGGTACCTGTGCAGTATTGGTACAGGGGTAAATTGCATGTCTCAGGGGTTTGGTGTACAAATAATTGTGTCATCCAGGAAATCGGCATAATACCCAATAGGTGGTTTTCAATCCTCACCATCCTCTCAGTCTCTACCTCAAATAGACCCCAGTGTCTATTGTTCCCTTCTTTGTGTCCATGTGTGATGGTCAACCTGATTGGATTAAAGGATACAAAGTATTGATCCTGGGTGTGTCTGTGAGGGTGTTGCCAAAGGAGATTAACATTTGAGTCAGTGGGCTGGGGAAGGCAGGCCCATCCCTAATCTGGTGGGCAGAATCTAATCAGCTCTCCAAGAATATAAAGGAGGCAGAAAAACCTCAAAGGCGAGACTTGCCTAGCCTCCCAGCCTACATCTTTCTCCCGTGCTGGATACTTCCTGCCCTCCAACATCGGACTCCAAGTTCTTCAGTTTTGAGACTCGGACTGACTCTCCTTGCTCCTCAGCTTGCAGACAGTAGATTGTGGGACCTCATTTTTGTGTAAGTTAATACTTAATAAACCCCTTTTCTACTTAATACTTTTCTTTCTTTCTATCTATCTATTATCTATCTATCTATCTATCATCTATCTATCTATCTATCTCCCTCTCTCTATCTCTTATTAGTTCTGTCCCTCTAGAGAACCCTGACTAACACACCATGTATACTCAGTGTTTATCTCCCACTTACAAGTGAGAACATGTGGTATTTTGTTTTCTTTTCATGTGTTAATTCGCTTAGGATTACGGCCTCAGTTCCATCCATGTTGCTGCAAAGGCCATGAAGAAAATAATGTTAATGACATTTAACCTCCCAACATGTATCTCTTCTTTTTCTTTTTCTTTGGGAAATTTTTTGTTTGTTTGTTTTTTAGAGACAGGGTCTCTCTCTGTCACCCAGGCTGAAGTGCAGTAGCACCATCATAACTCCCTGCAGCCTAGAACTCTTGGGCTCAAGTCATCCTCCTACCTCTGCCTCTGGAGTAGCTGGGACTTCAGGCATGCACCACCATGCACAGCTTTTTTTCTTTGACAGCACTTATTGTGTAAACCATGCATGCTGGCCCTTGATTATTCTATATTATCATTGCATTTTGTAGTAAGGCTTTACCCATGATATGATATGTTTGGATTTACTGACATGTCACTTTTTTTAATGCTGAGTATTTGTCTTAGTCCATTTAGTGTTGCTATAAAGGAATACCTGCAACTGGGTAATTTATAAAGGTCAGAGGTCTATTTGGCTTACGATTCTGCTGGCTAGAAGATTGGGCATTTGATGAAAGCCCCAGGCTGCTTCCATGGCATGACAGGAAGCAAGAGAGATGGGAGGTGCCAAGCTCTTTTTTAACTACCAGCTCTGGAGGGAACTAATACATCGAGAACTCACTCCCATTCATGAGGGATCCACTTCCATGACCCAAACACCTCCACGCAGGCGTCACCTCCAACACTGGGGATCAAATTTCAACATGAGGTACGAAGAAGTCAAATATCCAAACCATAACAGAATCACTATTTGTAGATTATGAAACATTCCTATTACGAATAATTAGAAAGGAGAAAACTATACATTGAGAGAGTAAAAAGAAGGTAAAGAAGATGGCAGGGGCCCAGGTGCGGTGGCTCACCTTTGTAACCCCAGCACTTTGGGAGGCTGAAGCAGGTGGACAACTTGAGGTCAGGAGTTTGAGATCAGCCTGTCCAACATGGTGAAACCCTGTCTCTAGTAAAAATACAAAAAAAAAAAAAAAAAAAATTAGCCAGCTATGGTGGTGCATGCCTGTAATCCCAACTACTCAGGAGGCTGAGGTGGGAGGATGGCTTGAATCCTGGAGGCGGAGGTTACAGTGAGCGGAGATCATGCCACAGCACTCCAGCCTGGGCGACACAATGAGACTCCATCTCAAACAACAATAACAACAATGACAACAACAACTTGATGGTAGGGAACAAGTAGAATATTTAGCAATGAAGCCTTGTGGATATTAAATAACAGAATACAGAACAGATGAGAGCTTTGGGCCCAGGCCTTAAGAATAAACGGTTGGTGTCTAGAGGAGAGAAGGAGCCGAGGAGATATATTTCAAAAAGGCTCACCCAGGCAGATTCTGACAAGAGCGGTTTGGAGAGATCATCTCTAAGCCTTTTGGCTAAGATCAAGTAAAGAGTGGTAGTTCGAATGTAGGAAATTCAGCTCCTATGCTATAAAATAGGAAACACATTGAACATATGTATAGACAATTATCCAAATAGTGGATTAGCAACAATTAAAGGAAATTAATTTACAATCACCTAAACAGTTAAGGGGTAAGAGCAATTAGCTTTAATTAATTAGCAACCTACTAAGTTCAGTGTTTTTGCCAAATCTATAAATGCTACTTGAAATAAACAACTTATAACCATTGGTTCAATTTAGAATCACACATGTTAGGCACAAGAAGTTGAGTGGAAATCCTCAAGGAGAAAAATTAAAATACGCATGATGACTGTCTCACGATGATATGGTGCAGCCTAATGCAACCCTAATGCATGGTCAGAAGACTCCCTTGCAAGGACATTTAATTGACTGATCCTTTGATAGGAGATTAGTTTTCCTTGTACCAATAGAAATCTGTTGGATTCTCAAACCTGTTCTCACTGACATAGTAAGAAAACAGTTTATTACTACATTATATTGATGCTGTGAAAAAGGTTACCCTAATATAATAAAATTTAAAATTCTCCCATTTAGAACTGAACTTTGTTTTGATGGAGCAACAATTTATAAAAATGATGACTGACTTTTGTTAGCTTTGGAAAATGGGATAGTTACACTAAAAACTTGGGGTTGAAATACTCTAAAGGAGCTTCAAGTATTCCAGTGACAGAAAAAAAATCTATTTTTGAACACATTTTTAATTTTTCAGGGTGAAAAATTTTGGGGGGATTTTAAATTCTCTGTAGGATAGAAATATACTTAATAACTGGAGAGCATTTGTACTGATACCTTATTAAAGAAAGGTGAACCTTTTTCTCTGTATCATGTTGCTAGCGCTGTAGCATATGGGTTCAACTCTGATTTAACGGTCATTATAAAATTATGTTTTGTGAACTTAGTTGAATGTTATAAAAGAACGTAGTACTACAACATTACAATTAGAATAGGAACAACTCAGCATTCTCTGTTACATGAGGAATCAAAGAGAAATTGGAAGTCTGCAACCCAGAAGAGGACCCTCACCAGAAGTTGACTGTGCTGACACTCTGGTCTAGGAATTCCAGCCTCCAGAACTGCAGAACGTCACCCCCTGTTATTCATGCACCATCTCCACTTTATTGGAAATGTTCTTGACCAGCAATGGAAAAGAAAGAACATACTGCGGTTTTGTTTGTTGTGGGGCTCAGGCTTTCTCTGAGCACTGCATAAGTACGTGGTTCATGGGAAAAGGGTCTGATAGAGAATGGGGCTCAGGCTTTCTCTGAGCACTGCATAAGTACGTGGGTCATGGGAAAAGGGTCTGATAGAGAATGGGGCTCAGTTGAATCACTTTGGCTGAAGAGATGTAACAAATCATAGACGTAAAGTCAACACCCTTCCTATTTTACAAAGGAGAAAACCAAAGCTCTGTAAGTGCTATCCGGTCTCAGGACCCAAGAGCCATGGTGAGGTCTGGTTTCAGCTCTGCTAGTATTGGACAGCTCTCGTGAGCCCTCTTCAGGAACTGCTGACATACCACTTTCTTTCTAAAGCTTTGACCTCCACATGCCCCTTAGTTCTTAGGAAGATGGAATTCAACAGAAAAAGAAAGGGAATAAAAGAATATTGTTCCTTGACCCTTTGGATAATCTTTCAGGGGAAATAATTAAGAGTCATTCATAACTGTTGGAGAAGATGTGTGTATGTCTGTATCTTACTAGTCCCAAGAAGATATATAGACAGAAAGCGAAAGTGACAGAAAGTTTTCAGTGGGACTTCTCTAGTACTATATTCCATTGATCTTACTTGAGTGGAATAGCTGTGTTCCTAGTTAACCATATACAAACAACATCCCAGGGAATATTGGTTTCTAGGAAAGGAATTCTATACACCTTTCTCCTCACTTAACCCCTTTTGTCTTCCTACCTGCCTAATTTCACCAAGAAGAGATCTAGATGTCAGAACATGGGCTGATTGACTATATTTTCTAAGAATAAAATTTTATAAGGAGAATTATTAATATATCTATACTAACTAAACACATCCACTTACCTGTTTTTCTGGTACTCTTGGATATAGTCTTTTATAGGATTTGAGCTGTGAATAGACAAAGAAGATCATTTGTCCAGCTTTGGTTTTAGTTTTTCTAGGACTGCATTGCACAAGCCTTTTCCCAGGGTGCATCCTAGCAGCTTAGCTCTTCAAATCTCAGCATTGGTATGTGGGGCTGCTGTTCAGCAAATAATAAAAATTTAGTTGTTTTGTCATCTGGACCTGCATTGTTCTTGAGTGAATGGTTGTCTAGGTGGTTCTGAAACTCTTGACTTCTCTAACTATGATCTTACCACTATCATAATAACACTTCTTTATTCTACCTTCATTTAATTGTTTGAAATGATAAGGCCAGTTAATACATTTCCTGATATCTAGTAGGCCCCTGAGAATACACTCAAATACATACAAAGCTTCTTCCATGGAATACGGCCCTTTGGGGGTCATAATATTACACTATGAGCGCTGATAATCTTTCTGTCTGAATATTAGTGCGGACCACAACAATATTGGAGGACAATCCTGGCTTTGCCTCTGGATGCTCTCCCATCCCAAACTTTGTGTGGGTGACTTTCTAATGAGATGTGTGCCTTTGTAAGGCTGCAACCTTTGCAAGAGAATGTCAATGCTATACCCAGCTTTTCTGGCTCTTTAAGCATGCATTCTATGCTTAGCCAGCAATTTGAATAGTTTTATTTGAGCCAGTTTTTCTAGTGGTCGGTGCTTAATATGTCTTTAATTAATACCAAAAGCTCAACTAAGAGAATTAGTATTTATGGAAGACTAAAGAAAAAGCAGACCACCAATTACACTAAAATTAAATTTTAAAGACTTACTATTGTTTTTAATTAAAAATTGTTTTCAAGCAAACTTCATGCAGCCCTCTAAGAATTAAAAGTTGATTGTTTTCTGCCTGGAAGCCAAGATCCTCCACTAGAACACATTTTGAAAACCATTGCTATAGTGACTCTCAATTTTCTCATTGTATTGTTCAGAACAACAGACTGCTACAGAGGTGGACAAAATTGTTCTGGCTTCCTGTCGAACAGCTTTTATTGAACTACACATTGCCAAGATTATATGGGTTTACACTGAGAGATAAGAAACAGCCTTGTTTTTGTTGTTGAAATTCCTATGCATTATATTGCATGGCTTGTTATGCATTAGTACCTAAGGTTTAAGTTTCTTTCCATTCTTGTAATAGGAAAGAGTTTGTTTATATCTTACGGATTCTGTAGATTACATCACTGATTATATCTCTGGAAGGCATAGAGGCATATTTCTGATTCTTCTGTAAAACCTAAGTAGGATTTGATGGTTTGTAGTAACCTAACTTTTGACTATAATATGTCCTTGATGTTTTCCTTTTGCTTCTGTAGGTTTTTCTATTTTTTGCTGAGCTACTTTTTAATGCAGTCATGAACTGCATGACAATATTTGATCAATGATGGTAGTCCTATTATAATACCATATTTTCACTGTAGCATTTTAATTTTAGATATGTTTAGATACACAAATGCTTACCATACTGTTACAATTATCTCTAGCATTCAGTACAGTAACATGCTATACAAGTTTATAGCCTGGGAGCATTGGCTCATATAGCCTAAGTGTGTAGTGGGCTATACCTTCTAGATCTGTGTAAACATACTCTATAATGTTCACACAACAACAAAATCCCCTAACCACACATTTATTGGAAGGTATCCTCATCTTTCAGTGATGCATGACTTTTTTATGTGTTAGGATCGGTTTCCAATGTTTTCAGCAACACCACCCTGAATCATACAATATGATCTGAGTATGTGTGTGTGTGTGTTTATACATATACATATGTTTGTGCATGCACCCATATATGTTATATATATTTATTAAATATACATATATATTATATACACATTATATCCATTTATATAAATCTATACAGATGTTTATATACAAAGAAAAGTTCAAAACATTGATCATTGTAATCTATGGTAATAACATTATAGATATGCTTGGTATACTGTTTTATGTTTCCTAAATTGCATTCAATGATATATTTTATTTTGAATCAGAAAAAAGTTAAAATTATAGAAATTTAAATAATACATAATTTAAAATTCTGAATACTATAGGGAAAGAGTAAACTTAACATTTTTCTAGGTAGTTATCTAATTTCTCAGAATTATTTTTGAAAAAAGCCATCATTTCTCTGTTAATATAAAATGCCACCTTTATTATAGACTAATTTCCTATCATTTGTCAGATGCTAGCATTATTTAGTCCAACATTGATTCCCTGTTTCCTTCTTAGAAATATGAGTGTTAATTTTTAGCTAGGTAAATAACGTACAAATGAAACTATGATTTCCTGCCTTCTTTATGGCAAGATGTGGTCACATGTCTAGGTTCTGGCCAATGAAATGCCATCAAGATTACCAAGTGGGCCACAGGGGAAGGCTGATTAAAGGGAACTCATTCATTGAAGAGGAATTCCTTTTTTACTCCTTTGGCTTTACTTTTCCTTCTGCCCTGCAGTGTGGAAGTGATGGATGGGTTCCAGCAAATGTATTGGACTAAAACATAACCCAGAGGGTAGAAGCCACACTTAGGATGGAACTATACACCAAAAATATCCAGGTGGAAAGCTTCAGTTATTGATGAACTTGGAGCTGTCTTGCCAGCCCTAAACTATCCGCCTCCAGACTTCTTTTATGTAAAATATAAATATGTAGATTCTATTTATACCTTTGTTCTTTGGAGTTTTTCTTTTATTTCTAGCCTTTGAACTTCTTCCAATCAGTATGGGCTATCTTATTTTAATTATTGAAGCACTTTAATGCATCTTAATAATTGGAAGTGTACTCTCCTTTACATTTATTTTGAAGGATTTAGCCTCATTTTTTTCAATTAAACAAGCTTCAGTAACATTTTTGTATTCACAAGACATTTTTCAGCTATTTTTATCATAATTATATTACACTTAGGCCATATTAATTACACAGGATGAGAATGTTTACACCATTAAGTTCTACTCCAGTGTTATAATATGCGTCTTCATTTGCTAGTCTTTTTTATATGCCACAATAAACTTTTTGTAGTTTACTTTGTCTGGATTCTGCGCATTTCTTTATAAATTTATTGTAATCTATTTATAACTTTTGTTGTTACTATGAGAAAAGTATTTTTACTCACTGTTTTCAAACATTATTATCGGTACATTGAACACTGTGAAGTTTGGAAATCGGACATTTTTCTGAATTCACTTTTGAGTTTTAATCACGTTTTTGTTGGTTTTCTTAGTTTTCCTTAGTAGGCAATAACATAATGTGAAAATTATGATTTCTGCTATTTATTGGCCTGGATTATTTATTAGTATTGCATCGATTATAATGTCTTGATAATATACATTTAATAAGACTGGTAAAAGAAATACACTCCTAATGTTTCTGACTTTAAAAATAGTTGCAATTTTTCACCATCAAGTGTTATCTTGGTTTTGATAAAATTTTTATTATATTGGAGATTGTTCTGTAGTACACTACCATGTCTTCATTTGTGCTGAATTAAAAGAAAAATATTCTATAATGTGGTTATTAGCATTCTCTTGGAAGTTCTACTAGATGGATTTTTTTGAGAATTAAAAAAATATATTTATGAAGTAAAGATCTAGCCTATTCAGATATCTATCATTTTTTTTTCACCTTTTATTTTAGTTTTGGGGGTAGATGTGCAGGTTTGTTACATTGGTAATTACATATTAGTGAGGTTTGGTGTACAAATGATCCTGTCACACAGGTAGTGAGCATGGTACCCAATAGGAAGCTTTTCAACCCTTGCCACCACCTCACCCTTCCCCATCTGGTAGTCCCTTAGCGTCTATTGTTCCCACCTCTATATCCTGTGTACTGAATTTTTAGCTCCCACTTAGAAGTCAGAATATGTGATATTTGGTTTTCCATTCCTGTGCTAATTTGCTTAGGATAATGACCTCCAGCTGCATCCATGTTACTGTAAAGAACATGATTTCATTCTTTTTATGGCTGCATAGTACTCCATGGTGTATATGTATCATATTTTCTTTATACAGTCCACCACTGGTGGGCATCTTGGTTGATTCCATGTCTTTGCTATTAAAAATAGTGCTGTGATGAATGTACACATCCATGTCTTTTTGGTAGAACAATTTATTTTCCTTTTGGCTCTATACCCAGTATTGGGATTGCTGGGTCAAATGGTAGCTCTGTTTCAAGGTTTTTTTTTTTTTTTTTTGAGAAATCTCCACACTACTTTTCACAGTGGTTGAAGTAATTTATATCTCCACCAACATTATATAAGCATTCCCTTTTCTCCAAAACCTTGCCGACATCTGTTATTTTCTGACATTTTAATAATAGCCTTTCTGACTAGTGTGAGATGGTATCTCTTTGAGCTTTTGATTTGCATTTCTCTGATGATCAGTGAAGTTGAGCATTTTTTCATGTAGTTTTTGGACACATGCATATTTCCTTTTGGGAAATTTCTGTTCATGCTCTTTGCCTGTTTTTTAAGGGGATTACTTGTTTGTTCTTGATGAATTGTTTAAGTTCCTTTTAGATTCTCTATGTTAGACCTTTGTTGAATGCACAGTTTGCAAATATCTTCTCCCATTCTGTAGGATGTCTGTTTAATCTGTTGATAATTTTTTTTTTGCTGTGCAGAAGCTCTTTAGTTTAACTAGGTCCCACTAGTCAATTTTTGTTATTGTTGCAATTGCTTTTGGGAACTTTGTCATAAATTCTTTGCCAAGTCTGATGTCCAGAATGACATTTACTAGCTTTTTTCTATGATTTTTATAGTTTTGGGTATTACATTTAAGTCTTTAATCCATCTTCAGTTAATTTCTGCATAGATCTAGTCAGCTTTTCTAACACAATTTATTAAATAGGGAGTCCTTTCCCCATTGCTTCTTATTGTTGACTTTGTCAAAGATCAGATGGTTTTAGGTGTTCAGCTTTATTTCTGAGTTCTCTAATTTGTTCCATTGGTCTATGTTGTCTGTTTTTGTACCAGTACCATGCTATATTGGTTACTGTATCCTTGTAGTGTAGTTTGAAGTTGGGTAGTGTGATGCCTGTAGCTTTGTTCTTTTATGTAGACGTGTTTTTGTTATTCAGGCCTTTTTTTGGTTTCATATAAATTTTGGAACAGTATTTTAAAATTATGTGAAAAATGTCATTGGCAGTTTGATAGGAATAGCATTGAATCCATAGACTGCTTTGGGCAATATGGCAATTTTAACAATATTGATTCTTCCGATGTATGAACATGAGATTTTTTTCCATTTTTTTTTTTATCATCTGTGATTTCTTCAGCAGTTTTGTAGTTCACCATGCAGAGATCTTTCATCTCCTTGGTGTATTCCTTTCATCTCCTTAGATGTATTCCTAGTTATTTTTTCTATTTTAAATGGGATTGAATTCCTGATTTGGCTCTCAGATTGAATGTTATCGGCATGTCAAAATACTACTGATTATTGTACATTGATTTTGTATCCTGAAATTTTACTGAAATTGTTTATCCATTCTAGGAGCCTTTTGTTGGAGTCTTTAGGATTTTGTAGGTATAGAATCATATCATCAGTGAAGAGTGATAATTTGACTTCTCCTTTTCCTATTTGGATGCCTTTTATTTCTTATTTCTTTCTCTTGCCTGATTGCTTTGGCTAGGACTTCCAGTACTACATTATAGAGGAATGGTGAGAATGGGCATTATTGTCTTGTTCTAGTTCTTAAGTGGAACGCTTCCAGCTTTTTCCTGTTCAGTATGATGTCAGCTGGGTGTTGGTCATAGATAACTCATTATTTTGGGGTGTGTTCCTTCCTTGCCTATTGTGTTGAAGGTTTTTATTATGAAAGCATGTTGGATTTTATCAAAAGCTTTTTCAGCAGCTTTTGAGATTATCAGGTGGTTTTGTTTTTAATTCTGTTGATGTCATGAATCACATTTATTGATTTATGTATGTTGAACCAGCCCTTCATCCCAGGAATAAAGCCTACTTGATTGTTGTGAATAAACTTTTTGATATGCTGCTGGATTTGGTTTGTTAATATTTTGTTGAGGATTTTTGCATCTTTGGTCATTAGGGATATTGGCCTGTAGTTTCATTTTTTTCATAGTGTCTTTGCCAGATTTTGCTATCACAATGATGACGTCTTTGTAGAATGAGTTAGGGAGGAGTCTCTCCTCCTATATATTTTGGAACCGTTTTAGTACCACAGTGACCATCTCTTCTTTGTATGTCTCACAGAATTCAGCTATGAATCCATCTGATCCAGGACTTTTTTTGATTGGTACATTTTTTGTTATGGATTAAATTGTGAAATTTAATATTGATGTGTTCAGGGCTTTGATTTCTTTCTGACTCAGTTTTGGGAGGTTGTGTGTTTCTGGAAATTTATCCATTTCCTCTAAATTTTCTAGTTCATGTGCACAGGGGTCTTCATAATTGCCTCTTAGGGTTTTTGTATTTCTGTGGGATCAGCTGTAATATTGTTTGTCATTCCTGAGTGCACTTATTTGGATTTTCTCTTTTTCTTTGTTAATCTAGCTAGCAGTCTATCAATCTTGTTTATTCTTTCAAACTACCAGCTGTTGGCTTTGCTAATTCTTTGTATGACTTTTTTGCTTATAGTTTTGTTCAGTTATGCTCTGATTTGGTTATTTCTTTCCTTCTTCTAGCTTTGGGGTTACTTTTTTGTTTTTCTAGTTCTTCTAGGTGGGATGTTAGATTGTTAATTTGAGATCTTTCTAATGGCTTCACATAGGCATTTAGCACTATAAACTTTCCTCTTAAAACTGCTTTAGCTGTATATCAGAGATTTTGGTATGTTGTGTCTCTGTTTTCATTAATTTCAAAGACTTTTAAAGTTGCTGTCTTAATTTTATTGTTTACACCAAAGTCATTCAGAAACAAGTGTTTAATTGCCATGTAATTGTGTGTTCTTCAGAGATCTTCTTGGTATTTATTAGTATTTTTTATTTTTTTTGAGACAGGGTTCCACTCTGTTGTTGAGGCTGGCTAGAGTGCAGTGATGTGATCTCAGCTCACTGCAACCTCCGCCTCCCAGGTTCAATGGATTCTCCCACCTCAGCCTCCGGAGTGGCTGGCACTCCAGGCATGTGCCATTATGCCTGGCTAATTTTTGTATTTTTTGGTAGAGACAGGGTTTCACTGTGTTGGCCAGGCTTGTCTCAAACTCCTGACCTTAAGTGATCCGCTCACCTTGGCCTCCCAAAGTGTTGGGATTACAGGCATGAGTCACCGTGCCTGACCTTGATTTGTATTTTTTTCCACTGTGGTTCAAAAGTATGGTTGGTATGATTTTGATTTCTTTAAATTTATTGAGACTTGCTTCAAGGCCAAGTATGTGGTCAATCTTACAGTATGTTTTGTGTGCAGATGAGAAGAATGTATATTATGTGGTGGATGGGTAGAGTGTTCTGTAGATATCTATTAGGTCCATTTGGTCAAGTATCCAATTTAAGTCCAGAATCCCTTTGTTAGTTTTCTGCCTCGGTAATCTAACACTGTCAGTGGGGTATTGAAATCCCCAACTATTATTGTGTGAATGTCTACATCTTTTTGTAGTTGTAGAAGTATTTGTTTTGTGTATCTGGTTGCTTCAATGTTGGGTGCTTATATATTTAGGATAGTTAGGTCATCTTGTAGGATTGAACCCTTTATCATTATGTAGTGTCGTTCTTTGTTCTTTTTTTACTGTTGTTGGTTTAAAGTCTATTCTATCTGACATAAGAATAACTACCCTCGCTCCTTTATGTTCCATTTGTATGATAGATCTTCATCCAACCTTTACCTTGAGTCTATGGATGTCATTACATGTGACATGGACCTCTTAAAAATTGGAGATGGATGGGTCTTTTTATTTTTTAATGTAACTTGCCACCCTATGCCTTTTAAATGAGGCATTTAGACTGTTTACATTCAGGGTTAATATTGATACTTGAAGTTTTGATCCTATCATGAAGTTTTTTGTTGGATGTTTTGCAGTCTGTATTGTGCAGTTGCTTTAAATGGTCTGTGGGCTGTGTACTTAGGTGTGGTTTCCTGGTAACAGGTATTGTTTTTCATCTCCGTATTCATAACTCTTCTAAGGATCTCTTGTGAGGCTGGTTTAGTGGTAATGAATTCTCTTAGCAATGCCTTGGCTGAAAAAGATTGTATTTCTCCTTCATGTATGAAGCTTAGTATGACAGGGTGTGAAATTCTTGGTCAGAGTTCCTTTTCTTTGAGATGCTGAAAATAGGCCCCTACTCTCTTCTAGCGTGTAGGGTTTCTGCAGAGTAGTTTTTCTTAGCCTGTTGGGGTTCCCTTTTTTTGTGATCTGACCTTTTTCTCTAGCTGCATTTAAGATTTTTTTCTTTAGCATTGACATTCTGGTGACTATATCCCTTGGTGATGTTTGTTTTGTATAGTATCAGTAAGGTGGTCTCTGAATTTCTTGTATGTGCATGTCTAACTCTCTATCAAGATTAGGGCAATTTTCTTGAATTTTGTCCTCAAATATAATGTTTACTAGGTTGTTTACTATCTCTTCTTATCTCCCAGGCATACTAATAATTCATAGGCTTGATTGCTTTTCAAATCCCATATTTCTCAGAGGCTTTATTCATCTATTCTAATTCTTTTTTCTTTATTTTTATCTGACTGGTTTAGTTTGAAAGACTGATCTTCAAGCTCTGAAATTCTTTCTTCTGCCTGGTCTATGCTACTAAAAAATATGCTTTCAATTCTGTTTTGAAATCCCTTCAGTTTTTCAGTTCCAGTGGCTTTGATTGATTTTGTTTTAAAATGTTTTCCTCTATCCTTATTTCCTGGATTGCTTTAGAAGTTTTTTTCTGTTTGTGTGTTGATTTGCAATCTTACCTTGAATTGCACTGAACTTGCCTGCAATCCATGCTCTGAATTCTCCATCTGCATCTCTGTGCCTCCTTTTCTGCTAGGGACCATTGCTAGAGAGCTACTGTGAGCCTCTGGTGATGTCACAATATTCAGACAGAATTCTCACACTGGTTCCTTCTCATCTGGAGATGGCTGTAGTGGGCAGGCTGTTTTGGCTCTGCTTCTACAGACCTATGCAGCAGGTTTTGTATTGGGTTCAACCTACAGGCCAATAGATGACATTTGCAGGTAAGAGCCAGCTACTTACTGCACAACAGGGAGGGTATGGCCCTGATCTGTTTACTGTGACGTGTTCTTTGCTGTTTCAGGTGAAGAGCTGGATAGTGGGGTTCCTGGTGTTCCGTGGAAGAGGCCGGACACAATTGGGCAGAGCTGGAGCCTCTGGCTTGCCCATGTGTATCCCAATGGCAAGCACAGGCACCAGCCCTGAAAAGGGTGGCTGGGAGATGCTCTTAGGGACATGCCCCAGAGATCTCTGTGTGGGGCAGAGTGAGGAGGCTTCACTGGCTCCCGCATGGTAGACAGACATGAACAGAATCTATTTCCCTATCACACCCATTGCAGGTACTTCAGATGCACACTGTAGTCTATCTCCAGACCACAGTGTGGTTGATTGAAAGCCTCAGGAAACCTTGTTTTCCAGAAGAAAATAAACTTGATGTTTTCTTTGGGCCTATCATTATCATCACTATGATTATCATGTACAGTTTGCTTGAATTTACCACAAAATTCAATGCTTGCTTAATATTAAAAAATGAGACGGTTGTTCTCCAAGATTGTGTACATTATTATTTAACCATCTTCTTCTAAATAAAGGACGATGAAAAACTTAAGATTTACTCTAGTTTTCCTCTGCCAGTTCAATGACATACTGCTTGAGAAATGGAAAAACTGGAGTTTCAACTCCCTATTTAGTATGGCAGCTATTCTGTTCCTGGCACGGCCATTTGTGTTGTGTTGTGAGCCCATTAAAAGTGATTCTATGTTTTTTCCATAGATGTCGTCTTTGGTAGTTGGCATTCTTCCCAGAGGAAGATAATGGGAATCAGACATGCTTCTGATTGTCCCACCAGCCAGCTGCCGGTTTCAGCCCAAGCCATTCTGAATTGGAGGATGATGGTCTAGCTTTACTTCTCAAATAGGCTACTCCTTCCCACATGGTCAGGTCAGCTTTTTAATTAGTTAATTTTTTTCCTCCAGCCCCACCAGTACTATATTTAGCAGAAATATACTACTTTGTAGTAAACACTACTCTCTTCCAGATTGATTTAACTCTGACAAAATAAACAAAGTCTTAGGCCAAGTGTGGTGACTTACTCTTGTAATCTTAGCACTTTGGGAGATCAGAAAGATCACTTGGGCCCAGGAATTTGAGATCAGCCTGGACTGTGAGACCCTGTCTCTACAAAAAAAAAAAAAAAATTAGCCAGGTGTGGTGACACATGCCTGTAGTCCCGGCTAATCAGGAGGCTGAGGCAGGAAGATCGCTTTTGCCTGGGAGGTCAAGGCTGCCCTGAGCCGTGAGCTGTGATCAAGCTACTGTACTCCAGCCTGGAAAACAGAGCAAGATTTTATCTATACTAAAAAAATTAAACAAATTAAAAGTCTTTCTATTCTTGTTGTTCTGGTGACTATTTCAATAAAAGTCTAGGAGAGGAGGAATTTAAAATGGGCATTCGAGTCACATCTGTTCATTCAGCAGATAATTTTGAGTACTGCCTCTGTTCCAGGCACTATCATAGGCATTGAGTGGTGGACAGAGAATGATCATCCTCACTTGCGGGGAGAGGATTCAGCCTCTTGAGATCTTACTTGGAAATTATCCCATCTATTCATTTTGAATTACATCTTATCTTGAATTATGAGTATTTAATGTAGCTGGCTCAATTTTGAAACAAAGTGATTTATAAATAAATAAGATGAAATATTAACTATATATACATAAAAGAGATTTCACTTGAGGTCCATCATTCAAGCACAATAAACCATCACTAAATATTCTTGAACACTGGCTCCATTGGGTAACAGTCTCTTTATGCTGCCATTCTTTAATTGTGTAGCATGCGTGATATCTAAATCTCTAGGCGCTTGCAGAATGATTATATTGTTTATTGGAAACACTAATAACAAATAACTTTAATTCTATTTTGTATTTTTCATTGTAAAAATTGATTGACATATGTAGTTATCTCAGACTCTTTTACTCAAACTTTTTAAAACGATTGATGCAATTGTATTCTCATAAGTTTTGGAGGCTTCTGTAGCCAAAAAACAAAAATCAAAGGCATAGGAATGTTAAATAGTAAATATTTATTTTCATATGCTGGTCCAAATAACTGGATCAAATCCTTTCTAAAATAGTAGTTACGCAGCATTTCCATCTTTATAATACATACAATTATAATATTAAAAAATCCCTATAGTATTATTCCATTTCAATGCTCTGCTACAAATCTTTTTCCATTTATTTGGTATATAATTTTTGGATAATACACCCATTCTTTCCTGATCATTTTTGTTCAGACTGTAGGTTTAATGCATATAATTCTGCATTTCTTCATCATAATCATCATTTCTAGCATTGGTATTCACTCACTGGAATGTCATGTCTATGTAAATGCTAATCCATTTCTCATTTTTCTCCTGTAAAATATTCTTTTTTTCTTATTTCTTTATTTAAAGTAGAAGCTTTAATTGTGTCTGGGTAAATTGCCACAGTTCCAGTGACAGCTTTGGAGCCTCTGATTAAAAGTCATTTACTTACAAAGAAGCTCTGTTCTCTCTAAACCAGTTTAGATGCCTGAGGCCTTTTGGTATTAATGGTCTCTACTGCTGCAGCCACAGAAATGCCTGTGATTAAAGTAATTACTAGTTCTTTAGTTGTTCATTAAAGCAATCCTGTAAAAAATTTGTTTGAATTACTAGGTAGTGACTTATCTGTGCATTACACAAGCTCAAGACAATATGGCTTATTCATATCAGCACAGAAGAGATAGGACAGACAGAACACAGCCCCAGAGTCCAGCACCTAAACAGGGCAGAGGCAGAGAAAATGCACTAGTATCACAGTTGACACTAGATTCTAAAACCTAGAAGGGCAGCCACTGGCCAAAGACTAAGGGTAGTAATGAGATTTTCAATCAGGCATTTTGTTACTTACCGAACATTTTTCAAAGTCCATTATGTCCCATACTCTATTCTGCAGGTCGCAGACGAAAAATCAGTCTCCTGGGAAAGCTCTCAGCCTGATTGAGAAAGGAGACCTATAAAGAAACAATTACAATACAGCACTCAAAATGTCACAGGGGAAAAAGTTTCTATAGAAAATGGAAGACAATGTCTAAATTCAGCGGCCTAAAGTGAGCAATTCCGTGAATATTTACCTCCTAGTTAATCTGTCATGACCCATTATGTTAATAGTTGGGAGACTGGCTTCAATTCTGGAAAAGACGCAGGTGTGAAGAATCTGAACGTATTTCCAAACTAGGGACTAGAAGAGGGCTTCAGTGCCAGTGGGGGCTTGGTGCCAGGGATAGGAAGTGAACAGAGACAAGGTTAAAAGGCAAGATGTCTGAAAGGGAGTAGTTGTTTAGGGGTGAAGAGGCAGAGAGAACACGGGTAGTTTCTAGTGCTTTAGGGTCCTGAGTATAATTTGCATCACCATTTTTAAGAAGGAGAGATGGGTAAAGCTGGAATCCCAAAGTCACGGTTGCCTCATGACATTAGATCTTGAAGGAAAAATTAACTGTGTTTCTCAGTAGGTGGTAGTAAAGATGTGGCTGCTGCTTTAATTCCAGCCTAGGTCAGTACACACTCAGGACCTGGAATGTGACTGAACATGCATGTCAAGGTGTCAATTACTCCTCCTTAAGGAGCTAAACTTGCAGGTGCAGAGGGAGGGAGACTAAATCTCACAAATGTTTAATGATAATAAAAAAGATATGCACAGAAATTTTTATTTTCATTGTACGAGGATTTTAATGCTTTATCTTAAAAATGTGTAGAATAACTGTTCTTTAAAAGTTGCCAATATGAATATTATTTTGTATGAACCTGAAGTGTATAGAACGTTGCATAGTTTTCACAAAATACTGAAAACTAATTAACTGGCTGAGTACAGAGAATATTATTTCTCTGTATATAAGAGTTTCTCAACTTTGGCACCTTTAACATTTTGGACTGGAGATCTCTTCGTTGTTGCGGACCGTCCTGTGCATTGTAGAGTATTTACAGCACCCCTGGCTTCTAAAAGCTAGGTGCCATTAGCATGCCCCCTTCCCCATCACACTTCTGAAGTCAGTACAATAAAAATATTTCCAAACACTGCTTTATATTTTAGAATTTGAATAGTTATATAACATTATATTATTTGCTCCATACATACATTTCCTAAAATGTTTCTCAATTCCTTTCCTAAAGCATGACTCAATTTCCTTGAGATGAAGGACATTTAAAGATGTCATCAAACCTCATCAGTGGGGGATATTTTAAGAACAACCACCAATATTATTACCCTGGAGACACTTAATTCTATCACCCTTCACTGGCCACCACAAAAATAAACCAAATAATTAAAAAAAATTCCAGACCTATTAAGAAGACTCGTTGCTTTTCTAGAATTATCACTAAAGCTTGATTTTTTTTTTCAAAGTGAACAATCAACCAAATGCATTGGAGATATTATGTTCACCAATGGGACTGTAAATGACAAGTCCACACGAAACCCCTGAGAGGCACTGAATACACTAAGTTGCCTCTTTTTATTGGTAATATGTTTAAAATAAGCAATCAATGTATAGAATACGTTTCATGGTATCACATCCCAGTTTTATTCTTCCTCATATGGTTGATTTTGTTATGACAAAATAACATCACTCTTCATGTACATAAATGCACTGCTTAGCTTCCAGAATAGTGCTTGACATTCAGTAAATATTTGTTAACTTAATGACTGGATTGTCACAAGATGCCATGGCATTACCAAGTTCTCTTTAACAGCAAAATTTAAGTCTTTTACTGACTAATTTGAAAATAAATTATTTTGCAAGATTTTCTATTTCAGTCTTTGTAGTGGATGTCATGGTGCACAGCCTTTGTGAAGCACTCATTTCCCCAGGAGTCAGTAATTCTGACTGCTGATGGCTCATAGCTGAAAACTTCCTAGGAATTACCCTCCATCAGTAGAAGCTGGAGGCAACCTGCATCCAATGGTGGTTGATTTAGTGATACAATTTGGACATCTCTAAAGGATTATCCTAGCTCCAGTGCTCGCTGTGGGAAAGATGAAAAGTTGTTTCAGTTGCATAATGGCTCAACTTCTTCCTCTGCCCACTCCCCAACAGATGCTTTTCCCCTAGCAGTCCCCAGAAAGCTTTCTGTATACAAACATCCATCCCAAGATCTACTCCCCTGGGGACCTGATACACAGCAGGTGGTGCCAGGAGCACTCCACAAAAGAATAATCTAAAAAGGGAATTTGAACTGAATAACCCGTAACCTATTGAGAGAGATCATTGGTAACAGGTGGAAAGAGGACAGGGCCTGGTGTGCTGTGGCAATGCAGTTGATAAAATTCTCACCAATGCTGAACTGGGATGAGCTAGTGCTGTTCTCAGTGGCGCGATACTTCTCCCCTCTCTGGAAACGCTTGTTGAAGCCTGAGACAATTCTGATAGAGATGATGTATGTGTGTTGAGGGAGAGGGGATGATGGTGTTACTGGCATCTAGCAGGTAGTGTCCAGGGATGGTGCTTAACAGAACGGACCCCTGCCCCCCACAAGAAAAAAAATAACCTGTCGAAACGGCAGTAGGGTTGAGGATAAAAACAAAAAACAAACAAGTTACAGTGAAAGGAATGCACTCGCTGATGCAGTCTTTCAGGTGTTGGAGAGGCTAGGGGAGATTAGTTAGTATGAAAACAATTGAATGAGATGGTTCTTACTTGAAAGATAGAGGGTGAGTAATCACCAATTTAAAGCAGAGTGTGAAAGTCAAGGGCCCCTTGGCAGCACATCTCTACAGAAGATCCTGGGCATGAGGCCGAATGCTTAATTATAAGGGTAGTTGAACTGCAGTGAAGTTTGAATCCTCAACCTAAACAAGACCATTCTGTCAAGATTAGAGCTGAGATTGGGAGGAGTGAAACCTCAAAGTTGGGATGTGACACTTCAGTCAACTCACTTGAAAACCTTGCAACCCAGGTTACCTCTACCGCTTCTGGTCTGCATAACTTCCCCCATCCCCAGCCCTGCTTGAAGATAACAGAACACTCTGCCTTTCAAGACCAGGTGTGCTGCCCGGAGAGGATTGACTTCTACCTCCCTTCTTGACAACCAGACCAATGAGGAGGGCCAAGTAACAGTAGAACCCATTCAACAAAGTGCTGGGCTTGGCGAGAGGGAAAAGGAACTCTATCTGAGAGAAGCTGCGGAGACTTAAACGTGAACAGAGGAGTATACGTGGACTTAATCCAGAGGGTGCTGAAGCAAGGGAGATAGAATATGAAGTTGGGTAAGGGAGAGTTTATAGAAATAAAATTACTCTAAACGCTCTAAAAAGGACCTCAAGGAATGATGCTAATCCAGTGCTAGGTTGTCTCTTGGAAACTTGGAAAGTGAAGGCTCATGCTAAGTGAAGCAGAAATGCTAGAACTGCCATTGTAGATGATGGATGAAGGGACCAAAAGGCCCATAGAGCTGGAAGGGCCAGAGTAGATACACTGCATGAGGCCTCCATCATTGTGGGCTCCTAGCACCCCAATTTTACTGGGGAGTCCAGTTCTATAATAACATCTCTTATCATCAGCCCAGTCCTAGAGGAGACCACTGCCACTGAGCTCCTCTTCAGTGTTGGGACCCCTTCCACCTTATTACTTCTTAAGTGGTGTCTTCTGGGCTGGTGTTTCCTGAACTGATATACTCCTGATCCCGAATCTCATTTTTTTTCCTCTACACTTAACTGCTTCTTAGGTAACAACAACAACAACAAAAAACCAAGCGTGTGCGCGCGCACACACACACACACACATAGACACACATCAATGAGTTTCTCATCCTGTGTTGCCTAAGTGAGCCTAACCCTGAGGCCATCATGGTACTCAGAGAACAGGAAACCCTACCCCAAGTAGACCCAGGCCACCTTTGCATTGCTACATCAATAGAGAAACATGCTCCTGTAGTTTCCATTTTGAGGGGGAAAATCTTCCCATTGCTCTCACACTCTTTCTTAGCTACCCAAATTTCTCTGTACCCCATATTCCTGGGTGCTCACCTGACCTACTTTGCTTAACTTCTAAGATCAAATAAGAGTGAACATTTCAGGATGTTAATATTTTATACATATTTGAAATGTCATGTTATAAAATTGATCCCAATAAATTGACACAATCTATTAGAAATTAAACTTGGGTAAACATTATAAAAAGTTATAGCAACATAACTAACTGGTTTTTATTGGAAAACAACAATACCATAACTTTCAGTATATTTGTAAGTCTTTAAATTCTAGTTTTATACTTTTGTTGTAGAAGGTCATCTCTATATGGATTTTTAAGGGAGTTTCTTACAGCTTATTAGAAAATGTTTTTATTTGATATGGCCTTACTGAAATTTGATATGGCATCTCTTGGCAACACCACATAGCACTCTGCTCTTCCTCCTTTTTTCCCCCCAAAGCCAGCCAAAAATCAATAGAATTCACACATTTCCCTTAAGTAAACACGTTTGAGCCAGAAAACATTTTGCATGTCAGGTGAAAGATATATTTTATCTTGTTGTATTTCTTTTCAGTAGAGCTTCATGGCTCTCTGGAACAAAATGTTTTCAATCTTGATGTTTGAGCTCTCTGAGAGATTCTATGAAGCAAAGCAAAAAGCAACCAGATGCTTGACACATATTATTGAATGTAATATATTGCAATTATATTGCACATTATATTCTCTAGATGAGAAGGTATAGCCTGTAAGTACATCCAAACTCAATAAAACTGTGTAGAGTGAATAACTCAACAATGTCCCCCCAAAAAAAGTTAGTTAAAGAAATAGATTTGTCTGATGAATGCATGACAATAAGAAAACATTATGAAACATTATATTATGGGGAAAGGAGCTAAAAGGAGTACAAGATAAATGTGAATATGTCACATAATGAAACAATAAAATTCTGAATCAAGCTATAGAGAGAGAATATTTGAAAACCTGGGTAAAGTGTTTATGGCACAACACAGACAATATTATTTAATGCAATACTGCACATATATTTAAGCAGAAATTTTATTCCACTTATGAGCATTGTGTACCAATTTTTGATGTATTTCAATTATTTCATGTGCAATAAGAGATCAGATATGATTACCAGTTTCTACCGTCTTAGGTTGTGACCTCAAGATTTGCATAGGATATATTCACTCATATTGGAATCTGCTACTTTTGTGATTGAGTTTGATTCAATTAACATTTCAGATTTTCCAAGAAGTATATCAATACGTATTTGTTATTTATTCACTAATTAGTATTAATAATTATAATTTAGTAATAGTACATTCACACAATTATTCAAACTTTCATGAGTATTTGCTGTATACTCATGAAAACCACAGTAAAACCAAGCCAATAAAATGAGTTTTGACTTCATAGCTATGTCTTCAATTTCCTGAAGCACTCAAAACACAGCCTCCTTTTTTGGTATAGTCTTTCCTGAAAATCTGGGTATAATGAAAATAAATGACAAAATATTAACAGCTCAAGAGAAAAGAAAAATGAGAACTTCCTAATTCTTAGCCTTTTTTACCTTGAAGGTCAGCTTTTACTTTTCCTCCCTATTTCTTTTTTACGGTACAAATTTTTATTCTTGATCCTTTTAGAAATATTCTATCTCGTACCAAGGAGGGCATGGTTTATTCTTCCAATCTGGGTGACTTCTTTCCACCAGGATGATTGATAAACACCCAATAACCTACAATAATCTACTTTTATAGTGCAGCTGCCAAAACTTAGGTTAATTAGGCAAGAATAACTCATTGAATTGGGGAGATAATGTAACAGAATGCCCAGGTGGGCTTTTCTAAAGTCCAGCAAACATTCCATGGTGTGTTTGTCAATTCAAGTCGAAGAGAATTGTTCTATGGGAATACAAGTAATCCAAGTTCACTCTTATTTGAGGTTTTTCCACCAGTTAAAATGACAAAACACCTTGCCACTCTTCTTGTTGCCTGCCAGTCTGCTGAAGATAACTCCTGAGTAAGCATGCACGAGTGTGCACAGGACTTATACACACAGATCCTCAGAAACATTTTAGAAAATGCATGCAAGATAAACATATTCTTGAAGAAAAAAATCTCTAAATACTTCCCCATCCATAATGGAAGTGGCATTTTGTATTATACACAGAACCCAGTCTAGTTAAAAAAAAAAACAAAAACCATTAAAGTGTGTTCACAAGATGGTTCTTTAATTTTTGTTAAATAAAAGTACTCTCTATCCCACATATATGCCTTCAGTAGGATATAGAACTTCCAGAAGCTTTGAAGTTATATATTATTTTTAATGATGTAACAAATACTTATTGCATTTATTCTAAAAAAACAGATTTTCCTGTGTTCATTATACACCAGATCATCTGCATGTTTTTACATACATTATTCCACTTAATAGTCACACTATGTCTAAAAATACCACTATTATCACTGTTTTACACATGTGAAAACTAAAGCACCTAGATGTAAAATAGTGTTCACAAGGTCACACAGATAATGATAAGTGATAAAGGATTCTTGTATACCCCTTATCCAGATGTCCAAGTTGTTAATAGTTTACCATATTTGTCTTATTCACTCTATATAAATGTCATTATTATTATATATACTATACATTTCATAGAAAGTCATTTTCTGACATAGTGTCATAGTATCCCTATATACATCAGAGAATATTTCCTAAAAATAACAATACCAGCCTATAAATTTTCATGAAAATAAGGAAATAAATGTTGATTCAGTACTTTAAAACAGTGGATAGGTCTTGTTCAATTGTCTCCAATTTCCCTATCAATGTCTTTTGTATTACCCATTTACTTCTGGTGTACGATTCAATGTAGAGTCAAAAATGGCCCCTAATTGCCATGTCTCTTTATTATCCATCAATTTGAAACAGCTTCTTAGTTATGCTTTCCTTTCATGACCATAGCAGTTTTAAAGAATATATTTTAGTTCGTTGCAAAATGACCTCAATTTGGATTTTTCTTTTGTTTTCTTGTCATTATATTCAGGTTATACATTTTTGACAAAATATTACAAGGGATGCTGTGTTTTTTTCAGTGCACAGTATTTTTTGTGGGTACATGACAACAATCTTTCTCATAATTGGAGATGTTGGATTGTATAATTTAGTTGTGATGGTGTTTACAGGATGGTTCATTATAAGCTAATTGATCAGTGTTTGTATTTACTAAAAAGTAAAGGGGGAGTTCTGACATGTAAAGAACATGGAAGACGTCACTTTGATCCTCACAAGGAAAATGCCGAACAAACAGAAACTCGACAGTATATCCACCAGAGATTGGAAGTTACAGGGAAAATCACCACCCTGAAATTTGGAAAGATAGGTTAATATAGAGAATCAAAGCCAAGATTAGTTCACCAGCAACGAGTGCAACTTGTATTCAGTGTTATTCCAAAGGTCCTAGCTAGTTCAATAAAAAAGAGAAGGAAATAAGAGGTATATATATATACATAGAGAGAGAGAGAAATAAGTAGTAACATTGTCTTTGTTTGCAGATGATATGATTGTCTATGCAGAAAATCCCAAATAATCAATAGAACTAGAGCTAATACATGATTACAGCTAGGTTGCAGGATACAAGGTTATTTTGCAAAAACTCAGCAGCTTTCCTATGTACTAACAACAGTTGGGATTTAAAATTAAAAACACTACACATTATCCCCCAAATAATGAAATACTTAGCTCTAAATTTAACAACACATGTACAAGTTCTGAGTGAGAAAATCTATAAAACTATCATGATAATAATCAAACAAGATCTACCTAAATGGAGAAAGATTCCATGTTCATGAAATATCCATAGTGTAGAAACATTCAGTGTTATCAAGATGTCAATTTCCCCCAACATAATCTACAGATACAATGTGATCAAAACTCCAGCAAGTTATTTTGTGGCTATCAACAAACTATATCTAAAGTTTATGTGGAGAGTCAAAGACCAGAATAACCAACTCAATATTGAAAAAGAAGAACAAAGTTAAAGGACCGACACTTCCTGACTTCGAGACTTACTATAAGGCAGCAATTATGAGGAAAGTGTGATATTAGCTAAAGAATAGACAAGTAGACTGTACTTGTCTATTGTAACAGAATAGAGATCCTAAAGTGAACTCACACAAATATGTTCAACTGACCTTTGACAAAGGAGCAAAGTCAATTCAATGGAGAAAGGATAGTTTTTTCAAACAATAGTGCCATATCAATTGGACATTTATATGCAAACACATACGTCCATGCGCACACCCACACCCACACCCACACACACACATTTTTATTTTTCACAAAATTAACTTGAAATGAATAATAGACCTAACTATAAATTGAAAAACTATAAAACTGGTAAAATAAAATATAGGATAAAATCTAGATAACCTTGGTTTTATGATGAGTTTTTAAATACAAAAACAAAAAGACAATCCTTGAAAGAAAAAAAAGTTGAAGTTTGTTAAAAGTAAAGATTTCTGCTCTGTGAAAGATACTCTTAAGAGAATGAAAAGAGAAAACAGATCCTGGGACAAAATATTTGTAAAAAATATTTTTGATAAAAGACTGTTATCCAAAAGGTACAAAGAGTTCTTAAAGCTCAACAGCAAGAAAACAAAAAACCCAATTTAAAAATGAGAAAAATGTCTTCTCTTTACCTCGGAAGAAAAGTAGATGGCAAGCAAACATATTAAAAAATGCTCACCATCATATGTAATTAGGGAATTACAAATTAAAACAACTGTGAGGTACCACTACACACCTATTAAGCTAATTAAAATTTTTTAAAAAACGATAATATCAAATGCTGTAGAGAATGTGGAGCTATAGCAACTCTAATTGCTAGTAAGAATATAAAACGGTACTTTAAGAGATAGTTTGGAAGTTTCTTACAAAGGCAAACAAGATCTTACATATTACCCAGTGATCCTGCTCTTAGATTTTACCCAACTGAATTGAAAACGTGCTTACTCAAAAACCTGCACCTATTTACAGCTATATTCTTAATCACCAAACCTGGAAGCAACCAAAACATCTCTCCTTCTTTCCTTCCCTCTCTTTCTCTCTTCTTTTCTTTTCTTTTCTTTTTTCTTTTCTTTTCTTTTCTTTCTTTCTTTCTTTCTTTCTTTCTTTCTTCTTTCTTTCTTTCTTTCTTTCTTTCTTTCTTTCTTTCTTTCTTTCTTCTTTCTTTCTTTCTTCTTTCTTTCTTTCTTTCTTTTTTCTTTCTCTCTCTTTCTTTCTTTTTCTTTTTTCTTTCTTTTCTTTCTTTCTCTCTCTCTTTTCCTTCCTTCCTTCCTTCCTTCCTTCCTTCCTTCTTTCCTTCCTTCCTTCTTTCAAGTTTTGCTCTTATTGTCCAGCCTAGAGTGAAATCGTGCGATCTCGGCTCACTGCAAACTCCATCTCCCGGGTTCAAGCAATTCTCCTGCCTCAGCCTCCCTACTATCTGGGATTACAGGCATGTACCATCATGTCCAGCTGATTTTGTATTTTTAGTGGAGATGGGGTTTTACCATGTTGGTCAGGCTGCTCTCGAACTCCTGACCTCAGGTGATCCACCCGCCTCGGCCTCCCAAAGTGCTGGGATTACAGGCGTGAGCCACCACGCCCAGCCCAAAACGTCTTTCAGTAGGTGAATGCATAAAAATACCATGGTACATCTATAATACAGGATATTATTCAAGGAGAAAAAGAAATAATTTCCAAAGCCATGAAAAGAAATGGAGGAACCTCACAAGCATGTTGCTAAGTGAAAGAAGCCAGTCTGAAAAGACTAAGTACTCTATGACATTCTGCAGGGAAAAAAAACTGTGAAGACGGTAAAAAGGTCAATAGTTTTCAGGGGTCCTGGTGACTGGGAGTGGTGGGAGGAATGAATACATGAAACACAGGAGATTTCTAGGGCAATGAGACTATTCCATATGATACTGTAATGAGATATACAGCACCTATATTTGTCAAAACCCATGGAACAGTGAAATACGAACAGCAAAACTTAATGTAAACTATAGACTTTAGCTAATAATAATGTATAAGTGGTGATATATTAATTATAACAAATGTACCACATTGTGGCAAGATTTTAATAATAGGAGAGACTGTGTGCTTGGAAGGGGTATATTTAAGAACTCTGCATTATCTGCTCAACATTTTTGTAAATCTAAAATTCTTAAAAGTGAAGTTATTGATTTAAAAAAAGTACATAAACAATTGAAATTTAACAATGAAAATTTCATTGACACCATTTTGATTTTTGATTCCATATTGCCCATAACCTTTAAGAAACAAACACATATTAAGTTTTGCTATTAGAACATAGGCAGTAGCCAGGGAGTCATTACAGCAGGCCTTGGGTGAGACCCAGTGCTGGGCTGACTTCAGGTCTGACCCAGTGCAGTCATAGTGATGATGGACACAGGGTTGCTTGTGTTACTCCATTCCCATCTATAAGTGGCTCAGAACAGAGAAAGAGACTATATTTGGGAGAAAGTAAGAGAAGAGAACAAGAGTCTCTGCCTAGTAATCAAGATAATTCTCCTGGATCTTGTCCAAGACCGTCAAGGTGGTGCCTCTATGAGTCTGCAAGAACCACAGTATTACTGGGCTTGGGGTGCTCCCTAAAACAGATACAGCTAAGATCATAGCACCTGAGTCCTTTCAAATATCAGGAAAGCCTTTCCAAAAGGGATGGCTACAAATAAACCCAGATAGTGAAGGCTACAATAAATTCCTAAATACCTAGCTCTTCAATGCCCAGACACCCTAAAACATCTACTAGCATCAACACCATCCAGGAAAACATGACCTTACCAGATGAATTAAATTAGGCTCCAGGGACAAATCCTGGAGAAATAGAGATATGTGACCTTTCAGACAGAGAATTTAAAATAGCTGTGTTGAGGAAACTCGGAGAAATTCAATATAACACAGAGAAGGAATTCAGAATTCTGTCAGATAAATTTAACAAAGAGGTTAAAAAAATAAAAAAAATCAAGCAGAAATTCTGGAGCTGAAAAATGCAACTGGGGTATTGAGGAAGACATTAGAGTTTTTAAAAATCAGAATTAATCAAGCAGAAGAAAGAATTAGTGAATTTGAAGACAGGCTATTTGAAAATATATGAAAGAGGAGGAGACAAAAGAAAAGAAATTAAAAAAATTGAAGCATGCCTAGAGGATCTAGAAAATAGCCTCAAAATGGCAAATCTAAGAGTTATTGACTTAAAGGAAAGTAGAGAAAGACATAGAGGTAGAAAATTTATTCAAAAGGATAACAGAGAACTTTCCAAAACTACAAAAATGTATCAATATCCAAGTACAAAAAGGTTATAGAAAACCAAGAGGATTTAACCCAAAGAAGGCTACCTCAAGGCATTTAATAACCAAACTCCCAAGGGTAAAAGATGAAGATAATATCCTGAAAGCAACAAGGGAAAAGAAACAAATAACATACAATGGAGCTCCAATATGTCTTGTAGCAGACTTTTCAGTGGGAACTTTACAGGCCAGGAGAAAGTGGCATCACATATTTAAAACGCCAAAGAAAAATCATTCAAGCATGAAGGAGAAAGAAACACTTTCCCGAATAAACAAAAACTGAGGAATTTCAATACCAGACCTGTCCTACAAGAAATGCTAAAGGTAGTACTTCAATCATAAAGGAAAGGACATTAATGAGCAATAATCACCTGAAGGTGTAAAACTCACTGGTAATAGTAAGTACACAGAAAAACACAGAATATTATAACACTGTAACTGTAGTGTGTAAACTACTCTTATCCTAAGTAGAAAGACTAAATGATGAGACAACCAAAAATAAGAACTACAACTTTTCAAGGCATAGTCAGTACAGTAAAATATAAATAGAAACAGCAAAATGTTAAGAAGGGGAAAGAAGGTGTAGAGTTTTAATTAGGTTTCATTTTGCTTGTTTCTTCATTTATTTCTGCAAATAGGATTACGTTATCAGGTAAAAATAATGGGTTATAAGATTGTATTTGCAAGTCTCATAATGACCTCAAATTAAAAAACATACAATAGGCACAGCAAATAAAAAGCAAGAAACTAAACCATATCACCAGAGAAAGTCACCTTCACTAGGAGAAGACAGGAAGGAAAGAAAGAAGGAAGAGCAGACCACAGTACAACTAGAACACAAATAACAAAATATCAGGAGTACGTACCTACTTATCAATAATAACATTGAATATAAATGGACTAAACTGTCCAATCAAAAGACAAAGAGTGGCTGAATGGATGAAAAAAACAGGACCAACTGACCTGTTGCCTACAAGAAACACACTTCACCTGTAAAAACACATAGACTGAAAATAAAGGGATGGAAAAATATATTTCAGGACAATGAAAACCAAAAGATAGCAGGAGTTGCTAGACATACATCCGACAAAATAGATTTCATGACAAACATGTAAGAAGAGACAAAGAAGGTCACTATATAATGATAAATGGGTCAATTCAGCAAGATGATAAAATAATTTTATATATGCACTCCAACTACTCAGGTATATATACATATACATAGAAAATATTAATTAGAGTTAAAAAGAGAGATAGGTCCCAATACAATGATAGCTGAAGACTTTAACACTCCACTTTCAGCATTGGACAGATCTTTCAGACAGAAGGTCAACAAAGAGACATTGGACTTAATCTGCACTATAGACCAAATGGATCTAATAGTTATCTACAGAATATTTCATCCAAGAGCTGCAGATTTCACATTCTTTTCCTCAGCACATGGATCTTTCTGAAGGATAGACCATATCTTAGGTCACAAAACAAGTCTTAAAACATTCACTCCTGTAATTCCAGCTACTTGGGAGGCCAAGGCAGGAGAATTGCTTGCTGGGAGGTGGAGGTTGCAGTGAGCCGAGATCATGCCACTGCACTCTAGTCTGGTGACAGAGCAAGACTAATCTCAAAAAAAAAAAAAAAAATCATTCAAAAATCTGAAATAATATCAAGCATCTTCTCTGAGAACAATGGAATAAAACTAGAAATCAATAACAAGAGGAATTTTGGAAGCTATACAAATACATGAAAATTAAACAATATGCTCCTGAATGACCAGTGGGTTAATGAAGAAATTCAGAAAGAAACTGAAAAATTTCTTGAAACAAATGACAACAGAAATACAATATACCAAACCTAGGGGATACAGCAAAATCAGTAAATCAGTACTAAGAGGGAATTTTTTCTTTTTTCTTCCTTTTTTTTCTTTCTTTCTTTTTTTTTTTTGGTTTTGAAACAGGGTCCTGCTCTGTTGCCTGTCACCTAGGCCTGAGTGCAGTGGTGTGATCTCGGCTCACTGCAACCTCCACCTCCTGGGTTCAAGTGATTCTTCTGACCTCAGGTGATCTCCCTGACTCAGCCTCCCAAAGCACTAGGATTACAGGTGTGAGCCACTGCACCCAGCCCAGTACTAAGAGGGAATTGTATGGATATAAGCACCTAGATCAAAAAAGGGGAAAAACTTCAAATAAATAATCTAACAACTCATCTTGAAGAACTGGAAAAGCACGAGTAAACCAAACCCAAAATTAGTAGAAGATAAGAAATCATAAAGATCAGAGAAGAAATTAAAAAACTGAAGTAAAAACAAGACAAAACATCAATGAAACAAAATGTTTTTTTAAGTTAAACAAAATTAGCAACCTTTAGCCAGACTAAGATAATAAATCCAAATAAATAAAATCAGAAATTAAAAAGGAGACATTACAACTGATACTGCAGAAATTCAAAGGGTCATTAGTGGCTACTATAAGCAACTATATGACAATAGATTGGAATATCTAGAAGAAATGGACAAATCCCTAGACACATACAACCTACCAACATTGAACCAGGAAGAAATAAAAAATCTGAACAGACTAATAAGTAATAAGATCAAAGCTGTAATAAAAAGTCTCCCAGTAAAGAAAAGCCCAGGACCTGATGGCTTCACTGCTGAATTCTACCAAACATTTAAAGAAGAACTAATACCAATCCTATTCAAATTATTCCAACAAATAGAGGGGAGGGGAATACTTCCAAACTCATTCTATGAGGCCAGAATCACCCTGAAACCTAAATCAGACAAAGACACATCAAAAAAAAAAATACCCACCCCCCAAAAACACTGAAGGCCAATATCTCTGATGAATATTGATGCAAAAATTGTCAACTAAATACAAGCAAACCCAATTAAACAATACATTAAAAAGATCATTCATTATGACTAAGTGGGATTTATCCTTGGAAAGTAAGGATGGTTCAACATATGCAAATCAATCAATGTAATACATCATATCTACAGAATGAAGGATAAAAACCAAATGATCATTTAAATTGATGCTGAAAAGCATTTAATAAAATTCAACATTCCTTCTTGATAAAAACCCTTAAAAAGATGGGGATTGAAGGAACACACCTCAACATAATAAAAGCCATATACGACAGCCCACAGCTAGTATCATACTTAATGCCGAAAACTGAAAGCCTTTCCCCTAAGATCTGGAATACGACAGGGATGCCACCACTGTTATTCAACATAGAACTGGAAATCTTAGCTAAAGCAATCAGACAAGAGAAAGAAATAAAGGGTATCAAAATTGGAAAAGAAGAAGTCAAATTATACTTGTTTGTAGATGATATGATCTTATATCTGGAAAACTCCACAAGAAAACTATGAGAATTGATAAACAAATTCAGTAAATTTGCAGGATACAAAAATCAACATAAAAATTTGGTAGCACTTCTATATGCCAACAGGGAACAATGTAAAAAGGAAATTTTAAAAAGTAATTCCATTTATCATAGCCACACATAAAATTAAATACCTAGGAATCAACTGAAGAAGTGAAATATCTCTATTATGAAAACTATAAAACACTGATGAAAGAAATTGGATAGGACACTAAAAAATGGAAAACGTTTTCCATGTTCATGGATTAGAAGAATCAATATAGTTAAAATGTCCATACTACCCAAAACAATCTACAGATTTAATACAATCCCCATCAAAATACCATTAACATTCTTCACAGAAATAGAAAAAGCAATCCTAAAATTTATATAGAACCACAAAAGATCCAGAATAGCCAAAGCAAAATGAACGAAACTGGAGGAATCACATCACCTGACTTCAAACTGTACCACAAAGCTATAGTAACCAAAAGAGTATGGTAGTGTCATAAAAACAGACACATAGACCAATGGAACAGAATGGAGAACCTAGAAACAAATCCACACACCTACAGTGAACCCATTCTCAACAAAGGTGCCAAGAACATATACTGGGGAAAAGACAGTTTCTTTAATAAATGGCACTGGGAAAACTGAAAAGCCATATGCAGAAAAATGAAACTAGACCCCTGAAAAGCCATATGCAGAAGAATGAAACTAGACCCCTGAAAAGCCATATGCAGAAGAATGAAACTAGACCCCTGTCTCTCACTATATAAAAAAATCAAATAAAAATGGATTAAAGACTTAAATATAATACCTCAAACTATAAAACTACTACAAAAAAACATTGGGTAAAATCTCCAGAACATTGGTCTGGGCAAAAATTTCTTGAGCATAACCCCACAAGCATAGGCAACCAAAGCAAAAATGGACAAATGAGATTCCATCAAGTTAAAAAGCTTCTAAACATCAAAAGATACAGTCAACAAAGTGAAGAGACAATCCACAGAATGAGAGAAAATATTTGCAAATTACCCTCTGACAAGGGATTAATAACCAAATATATAAATAACTCAAACAACTCTACAGGAAAAAAATCTAATAATCTGATCAAAAATTTGAATAGACGTTTCTCAACAGGAGACATACAAATGGCAAACAGGCATATGAAAATGTGCTCAAGATCATTAATAATCAGAGAAAGGCAAGTCAAATTTGCAATGAGATATCCTCTCACTCCAATTAAAATGGCTACATCCAAAAGACAGGCAATAACAAATGCTGGCAGGATGTGAAGAAAAGGGAACACCTGTACACTGTTGGTGGGAATGTAAATTGGTACAACCACTGTGGAGAACAATTTGGAGGTTTCTTGAAAAACTAAGAATTGAGCTACCATATGATCCAGCAATCCCACTGCTGGGTACATACCCAAAAGAAAGGACATCAGTATATTGAAGAGATGTCTGCACTCCTATGTTTGTGGAAGCACTGTTTGCAATACCTAAGATTTAGAATCAATCTAAGTGTTCATCAAGAGATGAATGGATAAAGAAAATGTGGTACATTTACACAATGGAGTAGTATTCAGCCACAAAAAAGAATGAGATCCGTCATTTGCAACAACATGGATGGAACTGGAAATCATTTTGTTAAATGAAATAAGCCAGGCACAGAAAGACAAAAATCACATGTTCCCACTTATTTGTGTGATCTAAAAATCAAAACAATTGAATTCATGGATATAGAGAGTAGAAGGATGGTTATTAGAGGCTGGGAAGGGTAATGGGGCACTGGTGAGGAGACGGTGATGTTTAATGGGTACAAAAAATAGTTAAAGAATAAGACCTATTACTTGATAGGACAACAGGATGACTAGTGTCAGCAATAACTCAATTCTACATTTAAAAATAACTTAAAGAGTGTAAGTGGATTGTTTGTAACTCAAAAGATAAATGCTTGAGGCAGTGGGTACCCCATTTTCCATGATGTGCTTATTTTACATGCCATGCCTGTATCAAAGCATCTTATGCATCCCACAAATATATACACTTACTGAGTACCACAACAATTTAAAAAAATTGCTATTGTACCAAAGAATATCCACCATTATTTGAGAAGACTATTAAAATATCCTTTCCTTTTCAAACTACGTATTTGTGTGAGATTAGATTTTCTTTACATACTTCAACCAAAACAAAATGTCACATCAGATTAAATGCAGAGCAGATGTGAAAATCCAGTTGTCTTCTATTAATCCTCGTGTTAATAAGATTTCCAAAAAATGAAGCAATGTTAATCTTCTCACTAATTTTTGAAAGAATATTTTAATTAAAATTGTTATTTATGTAAGTACATAATGCACTTATTATTTTAATTTTTAAATCAATCAAATATTTTTATGTAAGTGGGGAGCTGCTTTGAAAGTAAGTAAATATTATTTAGATAAATATTGTTTCTTATCAAAATTTCACTTATTTTTAAAAAATCTATTGATAATCATATCCCAAATCATTTTTTACTGCAGTTATTGCCAAATGGTGATATTCTAAGTTCATAATTCTTTCTACATTTATTGCTTATGTTTTACTATAATGTAGAGCAATCCCTTCTCTCCAATTTCTTTGACTCATTCATTCATTCATTTATATATTTATATCAGCATTGACTCATGGATTCTTATTTTACTCCATGGGTTATATTTTATTATTATCATTATTTATTTGCTGTCCTAATTGTCCCAAGTTTGGACAGTAAGAGCCCCTTCAAGATGGCTCCTCTGCTCTTTTGACATATCCATATATTCTTTGATTCCTTCTTTTCATTGTGATACTGCAAAATGTTCCAGTCCCATCTTACACTTTCCCTGCTCTGGAATCACGCATTTTCCCTGGAGTCTTGGCTTTATTTAGTGGAGTATTTAGTATCCAAGATCTGGGTGCCAAGTGTGTTTCTTGCTACTAGGCTTCCAGACCTTCTCAGCAGGAAGAACTAGGAACACACACACACACACACACACACACACACACACACACACACACACAGGCACGTGTAGGCCCATGTAATCTGCATCTCTGTCTGTACCCATCCATCCGTGTTTAAAAACCAAGAGTTTACAGTTTCCAACTCAACATTCAGGATTTATTTTCACCTTCCTCCTTTCTATATTTGTATTTCCCCAAGTAGTAAGAATTCAAGGTCCTGTAATTATCAATATATTCACTTAATTTTTATATCCTGCATATAACCATTTAACCACATGGGTCTTTTCCTTCCCCTCAACCCAAGCTGCAGTTCCTCTGGTTATAGGTTATTCTAACATGATTAAAGCCCCTCTTTCCTAGTATACACTCTCATATTAAAGGGAACAGTAAAATAGTTTATTCTTTTGTTCAGAATAATATCCAGGGGTATAATGTATGTTACCCATGCAGGGTCAGCTGTCTAATTTTGCCAGGCCCAGTGCAAAATGGAAATACAGGACCCCAGCAGGGACAGGGAAGTCAATCTCTCCTTCCTATTTGCTGTCATCCCAACCCACAGCTGACAGGGTGACCATGCAAGAAATGGCAAACCTCTGCACTGGCATACACTTAGTACCTGGATCAGTTGTGAATGATACGTTTGCCCCCAGGAAACATGCTGTGGCACTGCCAACCCAGGCTTGGGATGACGAGCACCATGCTCCTTCTCCAGACTCTGCAGGGAACACACAGAGACCTTGACTTTTCCCATGACCCTTGTCTGGGCCCCCAGCAAGGTGGAGGTCAAGAGGATGCAGGGCGTTCTCAACAGATGTGACCTGGTTACTGCCCTAGATATAGGGGTCAGCGATCAAAGAGTGGGATCAAGAAAGGGAGTCAGGGCATGTCCCAAGGCCACAGAGGATGGAGGTTAGGCTGCCTGGAGCTCCTCCCATGGAGTCACGGAGGTGGTTGGAGGCAGCATCATGTGTGGGCTGAGGTGCCTAGTCCCCGGCACATGCTCCACTGACCCATTGGACTTCACTTACAAAACATAAACTCAAAGATAACACTATTAAACGTTTCAAGACAGCAACCAGAGAGCATTCAACTCCAAATGTTCAAGTGCAAGGACTTCTAAAGTGGGGTCTTGTGCAATTGCACTGGACACGTCCATGAAGTCAGCCCTGTACTTATTATACAGTGACTATGTTAAGGGCACTCCTCTTTGTCCAAGCCCCTGGAGACAGAATGGTGGTGGCAGTATGGTCCGTGGGGACTTCAAGAAGGAGTGAGTGGAAACAAAGGGAAGTGGAACCCTGTGGCATGAGCAATGGGGTAGTTGGACAAGAGGTATTACCATTCAAGAACTCCCTGAGAGAAAATACCAGGTCCTGCTATCATGCGGCGGAACTCAGAGTGCCAGGCTTTGTAGTATTTATGCAAATGTGACTGGAATTGTAATCAAAGGATGTTCAAACTGAAAGGGTGGCAACACTTGTACCTCAATCTTTCCTGCTGGTCTATTAGCTCAACAGCAATTGACACCTGCAAAGTTTGTCTTTTGTTTCAGAAATCCCTGCTATGTGCTTGTCACAGGAGAGGCACTCAACAAATGTCAGCTGAATGTATCAATAGAACCCACACAAGTTCAAACATCACATTCAAGGTAATTCGGTCTAGTTAATATTCTACTTGGTTGAACTCTTAGTATTATGAAAATATTTTTTCTTCCTTGCTAAATTATGGAGCTCAGTAAAATTTTGCAGGTTGATCTAGGAAGAGAATTATTATTTTTAGTATTTTTTCTAGGAGGTAATTTCTTCTGAGAACCAAAAATCAAAACAAAACAAATATGCAAGTCACATTTTAAGACATCCATTAGCCTTTGGGATGGCCAGGTGCACACAAATAAAGTGAATGCTACACTAACAAAATAACCAGGAATCAGCACACACGGTTATTTAATGTCAAACTATGTGATGCTTTATGTTAATTTATCCAGGGACAGAAGTCTTTCTGGAGAATTTGGTAAGCAACTTTCTCATGCACTATTTGCAGTAATAGAATAGGAGTAAACTGTGAATGTGAAGAACCTCTGCTGCAATACTGAGTCCCTGGAGCCTGCGCACTGTCCAAAGGTCTTATGTGACAACACTGTCCAAAATGCATCCCTCTCTCTGACTCATTTCTTAATTCTCCACCTTGAGGAGAGTAACATGGAGATACTAGAAGAGAATGTCAAGAAAAGACATTTTTGCATTCTGTCCTTTTTGGCATGTCTTCTGGGACTCCACCTTTGAGATAAATAGAGGTGACCAGGACGCTTCATTGAGTGCACCTCTCTCAGGCCTTTCTACCCTCAGATAAAGCTGGTCCTAGGAAAAATTCTGAACTTGGGGATGTTTCCTCTCAGTGATCTCAGTAGGTCCTTTCTCTCTCTTTATCCTAACTTGGGCATCTAGTGTTTTAATGACTTTCTATTATAGCTCATCAAAAGATGTTCTCAAGGTGTAGTGGTTAAAGCATTTAACCAGAGTTAGAAGGCCTATTCAAGGTCGTATTCTACAGCTTACTGGTAATTTGTAACCTTGAGAAAATAATATTTTCTGAATTTCTATTTCATCATCTTTAAAATTTGTATATTGGTATTGTCTTGTGAATTATTTATGTTTACAGTGTAAAATCTGTTCAAACATGAACTAGTCAAACATTTGAGAAACGTACTGTGATCAAGGAGGGGATTAAGCTTGATGAGTTAGCTTTTTCATTTTCATATTAAATTTAATAGAGAATTTAATATGAAAATGTTGTCTTTGTTATATTTGTCTTTTGGGCAAATAATAAACATATCTTGGTAGAATTCAGCAAGTAAAGCGTGTTTATGCAGGTGTACATATTTGATAAGAAGAGTCGTGAAAGGGGACATTGAACAATGTATGTTGCAGCCTTCTGTTCTCATTCTTTAAGGCTCTCTTGCTCTTAAAGTTTCAGACTCTGAGTCATGCATCACAATTTTTAAAAAATCAACACTTTAATGATGTAACTAAACTACGGTGAGAGAACCAAGGAATTCACAACCACCAGCCAATACTCCCAGTTCATCTGTTTTGAACTTGATTGACTCAGCAATTATGCTTTGATGTGGTAAAAAGGATACTGGGCAGTTGGGATAGACGTGAAATAACTAATTTTAACAATGAACTGAATAGGAAAATTTCTGTCTTCCCTAGAGCTTGCCTATATTGATTATGTCTGAGGCTTTTCTGTCGTAAGTCTTAAAACCAAAACATTCTTTAATACCTATATGAATATCAAAAGGCTGATGAAAGACCCAAATACAATAGTAATAGCATAAAATATTGTGTTTGTCTAAATGATGATGTGGTATGTAAATAACCTGTTTAAAATTGAGAAAAAAATGTCAGGGCACATTATTTGAACTATTTAAAAGTATGGAACAATACTTGATCAGAAAACGCATCACAAGAAAACCTCATAATTTCCTGATTGATGTTCCATAAAATCGCCTAAGTTTGTGTCCCTCAAAATAGTTATCAAGTTGTGGAAAGACATTTCTACTCCCATTAGAGAAACATTAAATCTTAAACTTTAAATTAAATGTTAAATTATCATCGATTTACCAGCTATACCGAACTCAATGAAGTAGTCTATTATCTATATGCCTGCAAAAACATTTACATTGCTTTAAAGACATTTTAATTTCTCTAATGGCTCGAGGAAGAGGCTTAGAAGTTAATACTTGGAATTAATTGATTTGCTGAAGGTATTTGTCAGCAAGGAAGATAGCACACTTAAAGGGGGGTAATTAAGGATAGTTTAATAAAGAAACCATTTACAAAGGCACGAGCTTGGCTAAGGAAACCAGCAAGGGATGGCACACTGAAGGACTAGCAATAGCAGGAAGCCCTTTCCATCTTAGATCTGAAGAGGAATGGATATTAGAATCTGGAAAGAAATGCTGCCATTGCTTTAGAAGTAGCTGTGGTCATAGCAGGAGGATGCCAAATAGGTGATTCAGCCTTTGATAGAATGACACACCATTGCCAGCCTGCAGCCTGGCAGAGGTTAGCCAGGGAATAAATACTCTGATCACATGTCCTTCCACATGTAGATCTGCTGCTATTCCTTTCCATAGACCAAATCCAATGGAGGTCAGAGGGAGCATGTGCAATTCAAGTTTTCCTTCCCAGGTCGCCGAGCAAGTTGGAGAAAAATTGAGTGTGAATATAGAGGGAAAATGGAAAATCTCTTGCACACTCAGCATTCATTTTGTCAAAAATGTTTTACCTTACAACAAATTTAAATCTCCCAGAAGCATACTTCCCTTCAAGAAAAATCTACACAGTCATGACTGAAGACACATAACTTCCATTCTTCATGCTGAATATTTCAGCTACATTTTATTGTTTTCCTACATGAGGCATAAGTAATGCTGGACTTGCTCCAAGTTTTCTAAAACAATTTCATGGAGCAGTCAGTTTTAAGAAAAGTTTTCACTATCACACGCTTGATGACATTTCATAGCATAAAATATACCTATGAATTTCCTAGGGATTAGTTTTTCTATTATTTTTTCAAAGACTGCATTCACTAGCTTACACATATATTAAACTGGGGTGTGGGCTATTTTTGTGGGGACTGGGAGATGCTCTGTTTTTTCAGAATGATAGTTGACTTAGGCCGGGGGTGGTGGCTCACACCTGTAATCCCAGCACTTTGGGAGGCGAGGCGGGCAGATCATGAGGTCAGGAGATCGAGACTATCCTGGCTAACACGGTGAAACCCCGTCTCTACTAAAAATACAAAAAATTAGCTGGGCGTGGTGGCAGGCACCTGTAGTCCCAGCTACTCCCAGCTACTCGGGAGGCTGAGGCAGGAGAATGGAGTGAACCCGGGAAGCGGAGCTTGCAGTGAGTGGAGATCACGCCACTGCACTCCAGCCTGGGCTACAGAGCGAGACTGCGTCTCAAAACAAAACAAACAAACAAACAAAGAATGAGAGTTGACTTATAAACATGTATACATTAAATCATGCACTTGTTTAGATGAGTTTAAAAGGTTAATTGCCTTTGAAGATTTGCTGTTGTTCTCACTTGTTGAAAACAATTTTATGAATACATTAATTTTAAGGGTATATACAGATGGTATGAATAGAAAAAATTAGCTACCCATTAATGAATTTGTAGGTGAAAATATCTTAGACAGGTGTTCTAAAATGAGGAAATGGACATGATGAATTACTTGAATATGTAAAGAGAAAACACACTATGGCATTCCACTCAATGAATTCCAATACAATTTATTAGATTTATTTCCGTCTGTTCTGTCTGAATCCATTTAAAGTTGCTTTGTAACTAATCCACAGCAGCGACAAAAAAAGAAGCTCATTTCACCTTTTCATCCACACCTAAATTCATTGCCATTTTCTCCTTGGTCCTTGAGGAGTGACTAACAGCAGTAATTATTTTCCTTTTTTGCTATCTGAGAATGTGTTTTTGTTTTCCTTTAAACTCTGATGCAGAAATCACTGCTTCTGTGCACTTGTGGAAGTGCTAGCAATCAATATAATTTAACAAAATGCTGAACTGAAAATTAACTAGAAAATAACACATGAAGTAATTTGTATGAAGTGTAAATTAGGTAAGAATGAAAACTGCGATGATGGGTTTTGTGTATTTCTTTTTTTTTTTTTTTTTTTTTTTTTGAAACAGGGTCTCGCTCTGTCACTCAAGCTGGAGTGCAGTGACATGGTCTCGGCTTACTGCAACCTCTGCCTCCTGGATTCAAGCAATTCTCTGCCTCAGTCTCCCGAGCAGCTGGGATTACAGGAACCCGCCACCACACCCAGCTAATTTTTGTATTTTTAGTAGAGATGGAGTTTCACTATTTTGGCCAGGCTGGTCTTGAACTCCTGACCTTGTGATCCACCCACCTTGGCCTAACTCATCTTTGGTTCATGGTGGAGTCTATGTTTTTGCTTCATAGATGATAAATTCATAAGTTAGGGGTAGACAACAGTTTTTTTAAAACATCTTTAATAGGCATTTTTGCTGAAGGTTATGAAGGAATCTTACCATAATCTCAAAACCCAATAAATCTAAAATATTAGAAATGATTTTTAAAAGATAAAGATTAGTGTACTGTAGTCTGAAAAAGGAAATGATATTGTCTTAATAAAAATTACCTATATTTAAATATTATAGTGGGCTCTTAAATTCATGGGATAGAATATATTCTCCATTGAAGCCATCATTAATGAGTCAATCAACCATAAATTAACCATTAGTTTGTCTTTTAAGCAGAATGCTATATCTCACCCAGGAGTGATGTAGCAGGTTGATAATTTAATAAATATTACTATATTTAGAAAAACATTAACTGTTAAAGACATAAGGTTTCATAAAAATAAAATAATAGTAAAAATATTTTTCACATTATCGTAATCAATAATTATTTGGAATAACTATTATTTACTTTAAACTTATGTAAGAAATACTGTGCAATAATAATTTAAAGAATATTGGCCAGGCACGGTGACTCACGCCTGTAATCCCAGCACTTCAGGAGGCTGAGGCGGACAGATCACGAGGTCAGGAGTTCGACACCAGCCTGGCCAACATGGCGAAACCCTGTTTCTACTAAAAATACAAAAAATTAGCTGGTCGTAGTGGTGGGTGCCTGTAATCCCAGCTACTTGGGAGGCTGAGGCAGGAGAATTGCTTGAACCGAGGGGGCAGAAGTTGCAGTGAGCCGAGATTGCACCACTGCACTCGAGCCTGGGCAACAGAGCGAGACTCTGTCTCAAAATAATAATAGTAATAATTTAAAGAATATTAATGTTAGAATTAATGATATGTGGATTAAATTCTAGCTTTAACATTTACCACCTGTGGGAATGTATTTGGATTGTTTCCATTTTCTTAGTCTCTTTTCTCATCTGTAGCTCATGTGGGTTTTGTGAGGATTAAATGAGATAATATAATGCCTCTGAGAAGGCCTGCAATGAAGTAGAAATGCAATAAATTTTAGTTCAGTGTTTTTCACTTTACTTTCTGCTTTTTTGTTTTTCTTTCTTTCTTTCTTTCTTTTTTAGAGACAGAGTCTCGCTCTGTCACCCAGGCTGGAGTGCACTGGTACAATGTCAGCTCACTGCAAACACTGCCTCTCAGGTTCAAGCGATTCTCCTGCCTCAGCCTCCTGAGTAGTTGAGATTACAGGCACGTGTCACCACACCTGGCTAATTTTTGTATTTTTAGTAGAGACGAGGTTTCACCACGTTGGCCAGGCTGGTCTCGAACTCCTGACTTCTTGATCTGTCCGCCTCGGCCTCCCAAAGTTCTGGGATTACAGGCCTGAGCCACCACGCCTGGCCCCTTTTTGCTTTCTTTAAATTTGAAAGCCATGGAAAAGCATAAAAGCAAGTTTAGATTTTAAAACCTACTAAAAAAGAGTAGCTATTATGGAAGCATCAAAACCACTAAGAGGAATGTAACAAAAACATTTTCATTTACTTGTTTATTTAACAAATACTCTATTATTCACTATGTGCCAGACACTACCTTAAGCACTTTACAAATATGAATTCATTTAACCCACATAACAACTCTGTGAAGTAGGTGCAGGTATTATTTCTCATTTTGTAGGTGAGGAAACTGAATTGCAGACAGTTTCAATAAGTTGCCCAAATTCACACAGCTACAAAGTGCTATATTTTTAAACAACAACAACAATGAAACACAAGCATTCTGCTTTCAGAGTTCATGCTTTTAAGCCTTGCATTATGCTACCCACTTATGTGATGATGAGGATAACAGCGATAATAATAATGACTAATATTTGCATTTCACTTAATGTGTGCCGTGCACCTTCTAAGTATCATACAAGTTTATAGTCATAGTGATTATTCTGCCATATAGATGAGGAATATGAACCACAAAGATGTTAAAGAGCTATACTTGCCTAGAGTAGAAGGGATAAGGAATCTATATTTGGATAAATATTGTCTGGTTTCAGTACCATAAACATTTGAAAATGTAGGGTCCTGCTTTGGTTAAAGTCATAGACATGTTTATGGTATCCGTTGGATGATCACTTTTCCATATCAAAGTACCAGTTGGTCTAGCGTGCTAATTACATCTTGGCCTTCTGAAAATCTCTATTGGTCACTGGCAGGGAGAATGGGCTCTATTTGCACTTGACAGGCTACTGTTGCTATAGCAACCTGTTTCCGCAAAGCTTCTGCCATTGCCTCCTTAGAGTACCCAGAGCTCCATTTTCAACCTAAGCGTGTCTGTGACTGTAACACTGATAGGTCATTTTATTATGTACCTGTTAATTCTTGTAGAGTAACAAGTTCCATTCAACCTCTAAAATGCTTCCTCAATCTGTTCATACTATTCCTCACACAGCCAGCTCATCCCATTTATCCTATAACTGGTCCCCTTTTCTTCAAGTCTCTTCCCTTGCCCTCTAATTTATCCTCCTACTTCTACCAGCATTATCTTTCCAAAATACAGCTTGGGGTTTTTCGGCATCTCCCTGTTTTCAAATACCTGCTATGGGATGATGTCCAAATGTCTTGATATGACAAAGTAACCTAAAATAAATTAGAGGTACAGAGAGATGATGTGCTAGTAATAAACAAGGATGCCTAGAATAGTAATGTTGAACTGCAACTTGATTTATTTGACATTATAGATATTACTAATCCAAAAGAAGATAAAATGATGGCCTTGAAATAAATTGTTTATCTTGGGCAATAAAAAATAAGTAACTATGAGTTGTGATGTAAATTATATTCATGGATTATTCCTACCCCAGTAGTTTGCATAGTATGGTTAGTTTTTAAAATATTTATCTTGAGGGGAAATACCTACTGTCAAACTCAAGGACTTAGTTTTCAGGAGAAAAACTGTGAGCAAATAATACAATGTAAATAATGAGTTTATAATACATGCATTTTAATAGATAAATAATGTAAGCAAGTTACATGTTTTAAATACCATTTCAGTTAGAAATTGTAATTAGGTAGTTGAGAGGAGTTTTTATACCTTTGGAAAGTGCTTCGACAACTTTATACAACCCACACTCCAACTCTGGCTGTGAAATTGTTGCTCAGTTTGAATTCTCCATCCTTAGAACAAGTAATTATGATAAAATGAAAAAAGAAAACCCTGCACCCCATCATGTTCTTAGCAAAACTACATAGCATAAACTCATGCTACAGGGTTCCAAATAGTCCAAGCTATTTTAGAACAACAGTGTCTATTTTTCATTTTGAATTACTGCAATTTCAGTAGCAGCTGTTGCACTGAAAATTATAATGGTCAACATTTAATCAACACAGTGTTTTTTTCCTTTCATCAATCAATCATTTGCTTCAGTTAGCAGAAAAATCTCAAACTTTTCGTTCCTAGTTACTTTAAAAGCTTCATTATAATCTGGCCCAACCTACCGATCTCCCATTATTTCCCACTACTTCCTAACATGCAATCTGGGCTCTGTTTCAACAGTTTCCTAACTAACACACCAGCCTCCCTATTCCTCCCGTTACTTCACACTTCTAAAAAACCATCTGTTTTTCCCCTACTCTGTACAAACACAGTCTTTTTTAATATCAAGAGCTAGTCTCACCTTCTCAAGAAAGTTATCTTTGCTTATGTTCATGTGGCTTTATATGGTTTCCCTATCACTAGACTTCCATAAACCTCTTAATTTCATCTCTTAATTGCACAGTACTTGTCTTGTTGCCCCACTTTGATTGCAAATTTAATGAAGCAAAAATCAGATTTCAAATTTTTCTGGTTCCTTTGCAATATAAAACAGTGTTTCTGTACAAGAAATATCTTGGTATGTCCTTGTGTGTGAATAGAGCAACATTCACTGCTCTTTCTTCTGAATTTCTGTAATATTTTACATTAACAGCATCTTATTCTCAGAGTCAAGCCCTTGAACAAAGATACTTACATATGCCTCAGCCTTCTGCATGCAACTTGAGTTTTTTCAGTCATTGCCATCATTCTTTAGGTATCTACTCTGTATTATGCAGTGTGCTAAAGCCACTGGAGAAAACAAAATATGTAAAATTCTGTCATTAAGGAACTCACAGTCTAGTGACCTTCTGGGGACCTAAGACCTTCACATGAGGTGGGATTGGGGCTGCAGCAGTCTCGGGGAATTCATAGAAGAGATCCACTGATCTTGCTCAGCATGGGAAGGACAGAATGGTTGATCTGGGTATTAAAACAGGAGCAAGCCTTTGCCAGTAGAAAAGGCACTCTGGGGAAGCCTATTTAAGTAGCAGTAGTAGCTCATGCAAACTCTCATATATATATATATATATATATATATATGAAATAAAGCATGGTGTGTTTAGAGAACAACAAGCAGTAGGATGAGAAGAGAGGATAGTAGTGAAAGAAAAAGTTGAAGAGGTCAGTTGAGGCTGGGCACAATGGCTCAAGCCTGTAACCCCAGGATTTTGGGAGGGCGAAGCTCAAGAATCGCTTGAACCCAAGAGTTTGAGAACAACCTGGGCAACATAGTGAGACCCTGTCTTTAGAAAAAATAAAAAATTAGCCAGGCATGGCGGCACATGCCTGTAGTCCTAGCTACTCAAAAGGCTGAGGCATGAGGGTGCTTGAATCCAGGAGTTCGAGGCTACAGTGAGCTGTTATTGCACCACTAATACTCAGCCTGAGAAACAGCATGAGACCCTGTCAAAAAAAGAAGGAAGGAAGGAAGGAAGGAAGGAAGGAAGGAAGGAAGGTAGGTGGGTGGGTGGGTTAGAATCAGAAATATTGATCACTGATGAGGATATTCTGATCAAGGCATTCTCCAATTTGGCTATATATTATTGCTTGGAAAACTAAAAATTATATATAGACCTAGGCTTACAACTCAGACCTGGCAGGTGATCAGAATCATCAAGGGTGGAACAAAGAGTAAATGGTGCCATAGTATCATAACATTTTTCAGGAGATTGATAGACATTTAAATGACTGTCTTCCTTCTTCTAAGTATTTTGACATTGAACAATTTTAATTTCCAATGTCCTTACCCAATTCCCTTCTTAAAATGTCATCTTTATGCATATATTTATAATACATCTATATAATGTAAAATATATGATGATGATACATATTTTTGAGCACTTAATACATGATACTTTACAAATATTACCTGTTTCCATACATCACCTCTATAATCATACTAATGATACAAATGATTATTGGAGCACTGAGAGGTTAATTAACCCGAGCTCGGATTTGAACCCAACCACCCTGACTGAATAGCCCATGTGGTAAACCACTATTCCATACAGCCACCCTGCCAAGTGCGGAGCAGGTGTTGTCACCACGCCAGGCTGTGGACAGATGTTCCAAGTTGTAACCACCCGTGGGGTATTCAAGCCTAGGGAGGTCATCTGAAATAACACAAAGGGAGAGGGACAAAAAGCAAAAACACACACAAAAAAGAAGTCGCTTTTAGCTCTATGTACTCTTCCATTTGAATAAGCGACTCCTAACCATTTCTTTGTGCTGAATCTGATAGAAAGCTGAGTACACATAAAAAAATCCCTATCTCAGAATGGGAGACTTTGACACCAGATAGGGAATCTCCAAGTCAGGTGCTAGACAGCGGTGCTGCAGAATTCAGCCTCAGGACTTTCTGAGCAGGTTTTCACTGAGGGTTTGTCAATAAAATGTTTGCTGATTCAACTTGTATGGGAGCACTTCATGTTTGAGAATATTTCTATATCACATCTCTAAATCACTACTTGCACCTGTGACATTTTTCCCTTTGCTAATCAAGAGGTGTCAGTTTATGGAACAGCCAGATACAGCCATTTCTAAAAGCAAATGCATTTCTATTATATTTTTGTTTCTTATAGTTTCTTTTTGCTCATTGTTTTTTCTGATTTGACTATCAAATATTATTCATTACATATAGCAGTTTAATTTGTTGACATGGGTGAGAAAAGTTAAAACATTGCTTGCAAAATGGGAATTGATTTATCAGTAGAATTTGAAGTTCAGAAAGAGAGATGAGTCAACATTTTTCTTTGGTTGTTTATTTTTAAGATAATGCATTCAATGGTTATAAGTAAACTCAGAAAGAAGCACACTATATTAAATGGGTATTTTAAAAATATTTTAGAATTTTGGCTCAGATATGTAAATGGATGAGGAAAAGTATTTTTACTTTGAAATATTCTAAAATTAACATTCTGATATGCTGTTTTAGATGAATTACTAAAAGAAATATAAAACTTAAAAAGCGTATTTTAATGTGTTATTAAAGTCAAATGATGATAATAGTAGGAAAGAAAATTTCACTCGTAACTTATGTTTAGTATTTTTATATTAAAATTTACCTTCTTATGACCAAGATGAAGTACAATAAAATACTCAATATAGTTAACAAATCAATGATAGGAAACTGGCAATTTTATTCATCCAAGTAGTAGTCTTTAACTTACAGAAATTATAATTTAACAAAAGCTGACAACACATTGATTTAATTTATATTTTTATTTTAATGTATTATGTTAAAATATAATTTAGTTTTTTAGAAAGAACAGGGTTTACTGAATGGTCGTTACAAACATTCAGTCTGTGAATTTGAATATCTAAAGAGCTAAAAGACAAAGATCAATAGAAGAAGTTTCTAATTTGATAAACTTGAAATTAAAAGAGGATTTTTTAAAATGTAAACAGAATCATTAGAAAGACGCTATGTCTTCTGATTAATATTGCCTCGTTTCTCAGCCTGCTCAGTACTTTTCAATATGGTTTCTTTTCCTCCACAGTAACAAGATGTTTAGCTGGGCACATGGCCACTCAAAATGAAGACTTCATTCTTGGCCTGCCTTGCAGGAAGATATGGCCACGTGACTGAGATCTGGCCTATGGAATGTGAATAGAAATATATTGCACCTCCCCCTTTCTTCTTCTTCTGATCATTTTATCCAGTTTCTTGGAACTTGGATCGGCTGCTGAAACTCCATCTCATATTATGAGGGGAAAGGCCATAGTCCACTAGAGTTACTGGTATAGGAAGCTGGAAAAAGCCTGTGTCCCCAAGGAATTTTTTGAGCAACGCTATCATGTCACTCCTGGATTGACTGCCTACAAGACATTTTTAAATGTGAGATAAATAAACCTTCATATTTTTAATCAACTATTTTTTTCTTCTTTTACTTGAAGCAGTATTTTATTCTAACTAAAACAAATTAAGAACTAAAATTTAGTAAACCTAAGGTATTTCATTGCATCAAAAAACTTATGAAATAATTTAACACTGTAATTATCGAACATAAATAGATAAGCTAACAAAAGGATATGTAGGATGACAAAATGAACTCATCCAGCAGTTTCAAAAATCATGTCAGTCTTTAATTTTTTAAATTTGAACTATGCTATACATAGAATATAATATACATAATTGCACATGTACAATTTTTAAAAATTAGGATGAAATGAGCACCTATATGACCACTGCTAAAATTAACAAATAAAGCACCCACTCTCAGTATCTTTAGAGCCTTCTGTGTACTCCTCACTAATACATCCCTCTCCTTGGTCTATATCCCAAATGTAACTGCTTCCCCAGCTTTGTGTTAATCAATCACATATTCTGCAATGTATTTTTATCTGCAAGTAACATCAGAAAAGTTTGTTTAGAATTCGTTGTTTTTTAGCATGACATAAATTGAGTCATATCAGTGCTTTAATTTTAATATTGAACGAGAAAAAATACAACATTGACTAATTCAAGTTTGATATTCCCACGGAATGTTTGGGCACCATAGACCCACCAAAAGTTTTCCCAAGAATGAATGAGTCTTAAGATTCCTTAAGATCCCAGTTGCAACATTCTTCAAATAATAGTTATTGATTAGTGTAAACAACTCCTCATCTGCACTCTGAATTATAAGGGATTTTGATTTGAACCATTTCGATTGAGCCTATATAAATTTGCTGTAAATCATGAGAGTATGCTCTAAAGATATTTCATCATAGCTTATATATCATTTTTTTCTTTGTCAGAATTGAAGGCAAGGCTGAATAATTATAATCATGTTTATATTTAAATCCAGAAATATTACTTTCTCTATCATTATGAAACTAGTGGTTTAACATGTTTATTAATGATTTCACCCAAAAGACACTTCAAAACAGACATTATTGCTACTTGTTTAGTTTTAATCTTCCAAGATAATGACATATATGTTCTGCCATAATTTTTGTCTAATTTTTGTACCCATTTGTATCTTTCTTAATTGCCTAATTAAAAGAGTGTAACGCAGGTTTTATAAGTTGAATTATTGCTGAGATACCTTATGCTTACAATATTATGTGTGTGTGTATGAATTTCTAATCTGTGTCAGGTCATAATCATTTCAGTTTCAATGAGTTAGGAGTGACAGCTGCTTAGGAAACAACTTGTTTCTATTAAAGCTAGCATATTTGTCATTAGAGTAAGGATCTCTTTGGCAGTTTATTTTGTATTGTTAATAATTATCATTATTTTGACTATAGGGCATTTAATTTCCACATTTAACATTTGGTACTGTTATGTAAGCAACTGACTCATAAAATAAAATCCAAACTGTCAACATTTTTGCAATCATAGGGAGGACAAGTAAGCAAATTAGATGAATACAAGACCTAAATTAAGGGGCATGTGAATCATACAGAATTTATTAATAAGAATGTGGATGAACTATAGCACTTCATTCTATATTGATGCTGAATTAGAGTTCATTTGACTTATGGTAGTTACTAAAATGTCCTTTTTCTTTTTTATTAAAAATGGGGATATCAACCATTTTATTTATTTTAATGTTGTGTATGCCTGGGAGTAAGAAAACATGTATAAAATATGGTACACATGGTGACGACTGAGGGCGGAAGCATGGTTATCACTGTCTGCAACATATCCATTGTTGTCCCAGCAATCTTGATCTGACTGACATATTATAAGAGAATTACTCAAATGGCTACAAGTTACAAACCAATTAGTTTGGGTTATTATAATGAGTCCTCAGCCACAGACAATTAGATGCCCCCTTTTCTGTATAGATCCCTGATATTCTAAAAGCCTGAAAGCTGCTGTGGAGCATTCGCTATCCTTCCCACATTTGAATGAAATAAATTGATCACAGAAATATCCTGTGATGTACCCTAAGAGAAAGAGCCCTCCTATCAGACACCCTGGGTTTTAACCCGAACTCTGTCATTTATTTTAAAAAGCTGTGTAATCTTCAGATATTTGTTTAAGTTCTTCATGCCTCAGTCTTTTCATCAGCAAAGTGGGAAAAAATAGTAATATTTGATAGGGTTGCTGTGTGGACGAAATGAGAAAACACATTCTAAGCCCTTAGAAAAAAGCTTAGCATATTATAAGCACTAAAAAACTCAGTTTTACTATCATCCTAAGTGACATTTACAATTTCTAGATAATTAAATGAGTCTAGAATCGTTTTACTTAAAGTACCAAAGAAAATCACAGGCAGATGTGGGTACAAGTGCCCCAGAGTCCACGGTCTTAAATTGACACCTTCTCTATCTTATTTCTGAGAACAAAATTTTAAATTCCTCAAAATATGCCACAAGAATTATGGCATTGGACATCTAAAAATTGAGCTGTATCCATATTTTGCTCATGTAGGACCAGAAAAACTTTATAAATATTTTGGCTCTAACAATTTTTTCAGAGTGCTGGGGCAGACCTATGTCTTAGCCATTTTTGTACACACGGGATTAGCCCATCTTACAGATAGTGGGCACTCAAAAAATGTTGGTTGAATGGGTAATTTCTTAGTTTTGGTCTGTCTGCTCTGCAAGACGATTCCTGATCTGAAGGCATTTCTCAATCCTCATCCCATTGTCCCGCAATTTATTGGGTCAAGCTCTACGTATGTAGAAAATGGCCATAATTTTTACATTTCTTATTCTCGTCTATATCAAAATCCTGAATTTCTCCATGAATATCATGTAATTTCTGCTTATTCTATAAAGTAAGTATAAAAAAGAATACTTTGTCAATGAAATAAATAGCAGAATTTAATGACATTAAAATGTTGCTTTGGAGACCACATTTATTATCTTATGTGTCCAATAGAGTGTGCTGGTGTACTATATAACAGTAGAGGTTTCGGGCAACGGTGGTGCATTGGATTTATTTCAACTATTTGGTTTGCTTAACACAGTTAAATTAAAGAATGAGACTACATCCCTTAATTAAAACAAAATAAAACAAAATGACAATTTAGTGTACCATGTGAATATTTACAAGAAGAGAAAATGAAAATGATAACTGAATTTTCCTTTTTATATGGGCTCATGATTCAATATCCTACTTCATGGATATAAAATTGTAACACTTCTGGTTTATGCATACTAAAACTGTATACTCTTGCTTAGTTATGTCTAACAATTTAAGCTTTTCCTATTTAAAAAAAGTGCCTTGTATTTTGCATAGGTTATGACTCATAAACTCATCGTATTTCTGTTGATTTTATTCAACAGTAATAAGACCCTTTCCAGGGTTATGATTATAAGAGTATATTAATGCATTTAATCCAGTATTTATTTTTCAAAATTAACCTGAAGTGGCATACAAAACTGTCATTAGCAAGCAAAAAAACAAGATGAACAAAAATCATACTAAAAATACTCCCAATTGATTAATATCTAGTCATATTTTATTTTTCATGGAATAGTTAAGCATTTAGACAAATTCATGCTCCAGTTGCAGTTTAGGAGCAAGTATCTTTGTGATTTCATTTTCCTTGTGTTATGTATGTGTGTATGTGTGTGTGTGTCCCGTGGGAAACTGGCCAAGAACATGGCTAAATAAGAATCCATGTTTATGCTACTTGGGAAACTGGGTAGTCTGGCAGTGTATTGGCATTTTTGATTCTGTACGATATGGCAAGAATTTTCAACTCAGATGCTGTAGTAGACATTTGTCATTTTTTTTTGACTGCTCAGTATTTGCATTCTCTGCCTATATTTGGAATAGTATTAAGAGATCTGAGTCTTAGAGGGAGCAGAATCAACCTTATAGAAACAGAAAATTAGAGATGCTCATTTTTCCATCCTTCTTTGCACTAGGCATGGAAACTCTAATAATCACATTCACCTGTTCCACAAGTGGGATTGGGAGCTCACTGGGGCCAGAGAAGCGTAAAGTCATGAGTCTATGTTACAGTGATAATTCTCAGAGCATTAGGGCCCACAATGCACACTGAAATATTTATGTTTCCTCATCAGATAAATTCTGTGTATGATTTAGGCTTTTGTTCTCAGCTATGTAACATAAAGCATATGTTACGAGGCCTCCTGCTGATTCTGTAAAATGCCGATTTTTTTTCCAACTCACATCAATCAAAGTCAAATTCTGTTGTTATTCAATAACACATAATGGTGAGATATTTGTGATTTTGAGGTTATATTTCTTAGCAAAAGGAATTTAAAGCTTACTATCAACATTACTGTAGAATATAAAATTTTAATGAATTGTGCAAATCAAAGGGGAACAGATCAAACACCAGGTTGGTCAGAAGAGACACAGCTTTGAGCAGCCAGTGGCAAAGCATTGTCATGTGGCAATTAAAGCAGGTGACTAATGCTGGATGGAATCAAAGGATGCAAATCTCTACAGTAGACTCTTAAATTGAACTTTGAGCGAGTTCCTGAGCAGAGTCTGAGGAAAGACCTTGAAATAAAAAAGCAAGAGTCAGCAAAGATAATGTGGGACAAGACTAAGATACGTACAAAATCTTTAGCAGAGCTAATTAGATAAGAAAAAGAGAAATGTAAATAAACATAAAGTATTTTCTTTTCACCTGTTCTTTGATGAGAAAATATAAAATTTTATATCAAAATCTTACAAAATCATATATAATTTTATTGAACTTATTTTAAGTGTAAAATGTAGTTTTCATTAATTTATATTGAATCTATTAATTGAATATCAATTCTATTAACTAATTCTATAACTGATCTCTAACACAGTGAGTCTAAAAGCAAATGAATGAACAAGTCAAAGGAAAGAAAGGAAAAGAAGGAAGGAATGAAGGAAGGAAGAAAGGAAGGAGAGAAGGAGGGAGGGATGGAGGGAAGAAGAAAGGAACAACAATAGCAACTATCATTCTCATGCTTTGTAGATTGTTCAGGAATGAGTGGAAGCCCCTGAGATTTTTCCTCTTTCTTTGGGCAGTGCATACAGCTTTTTGTACACAGTACTTGCCATGAGGTGCAGGAGTGTGGATTTTCTCTTGGAGAATCCTTCTTCCTCTACAATGCAAAGCATTCTGATTGACTCCTCCAAAAGCAGGTTCCAGGTGTTTCCTTAAACACCTCAGTATTATTTTTGAATTGTATAGTGCTTCCGTTTGAGATTTGTGTTCATTGAATCTGATTTGAAAATGAGTATCCTTCTAGCTTCCCAAGAATCTCATTTCCTTTTTTCAATAAATGAAACCTGATTTCAAGGGAGGTGCTTGGGTTCCATGTTGCTCATTGGTTGACTTACTGTAGACACTGGCTTGGTTTTATTTAAGTAACAGTGAAATTTTCCAGCCGTGGCTCCTACCACAGTTATTTGTAGTTATAATATCTCTATATAGGTATTTCCTATCCTGCATTCATTTCTCCCAAGATTATCTGTGGAGTGCTGACATGCAGAAGATAGAATGGACAGGGTTTGCTGAACAACTAAAAAGAATGAGAAAGATTGGGAAATCTTGCATGATTCTAGTTTAGACAACATTCTCTGAGATGAATACATAGAATAAAAGAGTAGGTTTGTTGGGAAAGATGATATGTTCAGTTTTGGATATATTTGGTTTGAGGTGCTTGATGGGGTGTCAATATGAAGAAGCTAACAAGGTATTTGGATGTGAAGCAGTTTATGGTGGAAAGAAGATAGATTGCGAGATCAGGCTGACTGGCATTCAGATATTTGCTTGGCAACTTTCTAGCAGCAGGACTCCAAATGCATAACAAATGTGAGATTTGGTTCTCTCACTGAAGAATGGGAATAATAGTACTTGCAGGTAAATTCCCAGTGTTACTTATCTCTGCTGAGTTCATCTTTTGGTGGCTGAAAACTGATTACATAGACAATGAAAATGGAAGAATGGAAAAATGAGATAAAATGCTCCTTCCTTAGGAGTATCTTGTAAATGCAACTTCTTATTAACTGTTAACTGATTTCATCGTAATTTGGAGTTTCCATTCCCTCTGATGGCGGGGGAGGAAAATCTCAAATAAGCTATTAAAATGTAACAATCTCCTCAAAACTGCCTCCTCATAGTGACTATGAAGTCAATTTGAAGAATTTAAAGTTTAAACTCTCTCTTCTAGCTTTTTTTTTCCCCATTAAAACATTTTTTGCCTCTCCATCCAACTTCCTAAGAGGACATCTGAGTGCGGAGGAACGTGTTATTCTCATCCAAGAGGAGACTGCGGTGAAGGTAAGGGCTCGGGAACTGCTGTGTTCCCTGTTAGCTCTGCCAACAGCAAGTGACATAAAGTTAGGTCTGGAAACCTGAATGAGCAGGGCAGAGTCTCAGCCATCCCACTGCGCTAGTATATCCACTGTTGAATTCTATGTTTGCTGATCATTGCCTTAGGTATGAATTCTAAACTAGTAGTTTCCCCTGTCCAGATCCCTGACTTCTGGGGTCCACAGATGCTCTTATCCACCTGCGCTCTTTTCCAGGACTCATAAAGCCTCCTACATGTCATCCAGAGATTGTAGAAGGGGCTGTGTCTGCTGGGGCACAGTCTCAAGCCCATCTATCGTGTCTTTCTGTCACTTTGTATTTGTGGCAACACATAGTATGCTGAAAAAATAAAGAAATTATAACAAGGGACCAGGTATTATTGGATTTTTCTCCAATTTATTTAGTCCCCTTCTTCCTTTCCCTCTCTCCCCTCTGTCTCTCTACTTCTCTTTCTCTCTCTCTCTTTCTCTCTCTCTCTCTCTCTCTCTCTCACACACACACACACACACACACACACACATACTCAAATGATCCTCTTCTCCACATTCCCACTGTCTGTTTTTTCCATTTTTGCCCCAGTTTAGGGATGAAGGCACTAGATATTTCTTATGACTCAGGTAGCATCTTCACCCACTGTAAGGGCCCACGCAAATCTCCCTCCTCTCCAACAGGAAACCTTCCCATGAAGAAAAACTTGCATGCCTTTCTGGAACCTTCCTTATATCATTATTTTCCCCCACTCTATGGGCTTTTTTATTCTAGAAACTTATCTTTCCCCACCTTCCCTAGGAACATACGTTTCATGGATTTGCCTGATGGTAAGAAAAATTAAAAACATGTATTTCCAAGAGGGAGATGACACTGGAGGATTTTTTAAAATTTATCATCCCTATTAGATAAAATTGGACAAAGTATACACAGGCTGCAGATATAAGAGAGAGATTGCAAAGAGGTTTCAGGTTGCATGCTTGCTTGTGACTGATTTTCTGAACTTCTGTGTGGAGAGGTCTTTGGAGACCACAGCTGACTTGGCAGAAAATGGTTACGATTGATTAGCCATGTCCACTATGAGAGTGGGTGAGACGGGTTGCATCATAGGTTGTACATAATTGCCATCACTGATATAGTAAAAATGTCCTGGAATTTGGGGTCAAATAGATTTGGTTTATATTCTAGCTTTTCAGCTTGTTTTCTGTTAAATGCACTTATATTCTTAGATATTAATTACTTTTTGAAATATATGCGAATTATTTTTAATTTTATATTTTATATACACACACTCTAGAAGCCTTTAAAAAATTACATCTTGGCTTTGTGTATCTCACAGTTTCAAATGAGATATATTTCTTTTAAAAACAAAATAAATTTTGATATATTGATTCAAAGGTATTTTATCTAGTGTCCATTGGAGTCAATTCTATCAGCAAGCTGCTCGTATTTCATAGGAAATTATTGAATTTTATTTCCAAAAAATTCAGGTGATGGTGACAAAAAAGGGACATTTTATGTGCCTACAGTAAAAATTTGTCTTCTGTTTTATTGTGCCCTGGGAAAATATTCCATCAGGACAAAATTTGAAATAACCAATTCATTTGAACAAATAAGATTTATTTTTCCCTCTGGACAATTTCTTGTTATTTGTTTATGTTATTTCTGTACTTTATCTATATTATTATTTATATTAAATAATATATAGATTTTACCTATAAAATGGGAAGTACTGGCTATATTACCTTCACACTCCACTAGTTACTAATATATGACCATGCATCACCAAAACAGATGTTTTGTGTGTTTTACCAATTAAATTATGTCTGGGGCCACATTGTTCATTCCATAGGAAGATTCAAATAATGCCCAACTGGTTTGATTATTTTTGTCAAGAGGAGGACACAAAAGGTGAGCTGGCAGAGAGGCAGGGAGTGGAATGGGTTCCCAGAGGGCGTTAACCATTTATTGCTCTTTTCAACCCTAACTGTGCTGCTGGGACAAGGGAAATAAGGAGAGGGAGATGAGGCCTAGAAAAGTGGCACCTGGGAGCATGAGGAGCTCTCAGATCTGTCAGCGGTATACCTGGGTTTCTAGGAGGACATGGTAGAACAGAAGATGTCTGTGGATTAAGATGTCATGCCAGCACACAGAGAAGACATTCACATGCGGGACATCAGAGGCTTCAAAAGAGCCAACATTTAGGTGCTGGGAGCACAAAAGAGCAAACGGTCTGGACCTGCCTAGGAAGAAGAGGCTCTGACCTTCACCAGAAAGGTCCACAAACTTGCCACTAGCAGAAGGAAAGCAGTCTCTCAGGAGGACTCATCTTTCTCCCAACCACAGGCACTTTTGCCCTAGTGGGCCCCTTTCTCCATGCAAAAATATTAAAAATTATATTTTAGGACTACATTGGTATAAAGGTAGAAATAATCCAGGCTGGACTCATGGTTACCTATTCATTATTCTTATATTGGTTTTACTTCCTATTTTATTTATTTATTCATTTATTTTAAAACATGTTTTGTGGGTCTCTAAAAATATCGTGGGTCCTGGGCCCTGCACTTACTGTATGTATTGGGAAAGTCACTTGCCACCCAGGTAGATAATGTGTACTTGGGACCAGAAAGAAGGAGAGGGGAAATGCCTCTTTAAAAAGGAATTTGTGAGATACAGCTATAAGTTGGACATTTGCTGAGGTCTTAGTAACTAATTAAACTACAAAATGACAGACACAAATTGAGAAAATGAGAATATGACAAAAATATTTTAGGTAAATTTGGGGTTCAGAGTCAAAGGTGGAATATGAAATTTTAAAAATGATTTTCATGTTTGCACATATGCAAGTGGTATTAAATAATATCCGATGAAAAATAAGTAAATATAATTATATTTATGTTTATGCACCTAGTTAACGCAGAACTGAGGATATTTAAGTTATTTTATCTTTGTTCCCTATTATTTATATTCAAAAATTTTAATTAAGTTTTTGGAAAATTTAGAAGATTTTAATAAAGGGGTTTCAACTATATTTATTAACATGACTGAAGTCCAATCGAGTCCAAACTATTGAGTTACATTTGTTCTAGGTAATGTTCTGCATTATCTAGAATACATCATGAGTTATATCACTATTCCGTGAGCAGAATGTTATAAGGTGGAGAAATTATACAACCAAATGGTCAAGTTAGTTTTTGCATCAAACTGCGTATTAAATAATTTGTACCAAAATCTCAATTTTTTGACCTTTGGTTATATATTGCAACAAGGAAAAAGAACGAATTATGTTTACAAAATCCTGAGAGAGCGCTCTGTTCGGGAGAATTATTGTTATTGGTTGTTTAATACTTTTATGACAGAATCGAGAAGGTATTTAAAATGAGGTAATAAATTGTGATCAAATATTATATTTGTTAGTTTTTGATGTGTTAAAACCACTCCAAAACTTAGTGACTTACAATAACTTTTTTTTAGCTCAGACTTTGTAGGGTTGAGCTCAGCTGGGCAGTTAATCTGGTCTGAGACAGCCTGGTCTGATCTTGTCCAAATTACCCATGTTTCTGCAGTCAGCTGATGGGTTGCCTAAGATCAGTGAGTCTATGATGGGCTCATGGCTGGGAAAATTGGAGCCTCTCTTCACAGGGTCTCTCATCTTGTGCAGGCCAGCCGGGGCTTGTTCCCATGACAGTGCAAGGTTCTGAAAGAGTGTGGGTGCATGCAAAGCCTTTGTGTTCTGGGATTGGAACTTGCACACATTGCCTCCTCTACATTCTATTAGCTAAAGCAAGTAACAATGTGATCCCTGATTCAGATTACATTTCATCTCTTGATGGGTGAAGCTACAAAGTGACTTTGCAAAGGGCCATGAATGCAGACAAGAGAATAACAAGCAATCTACCACAGATGTTACCATTAGATTTGCCCGTGACATGGTTAAAATGTAATTGGCTATCCCCATTAGACTTGCCCTTTTTTTCTTCCAGACGATGAAATTACAGGGGTCAATATATCTCTATCTTTTGAAGGAACTGAGTGAAAATACACATAGACCTAGCCACAGGTCTCACAGACCACCAGGGCCATTTGTTTCTCCCAGCAAACTTTGCCAGGTCTTCTGTGCAGGATGACTAGAATGCTTGAAACAACTCCATATTTAGCAAAAGGCTGACTGCAGGGAAAGTAGGATCTGAATAATTTTGGCATTGGCATAAACAGGGAAGGAGGAATTTTTTCTGAAGAAGCAACATCAAAAGATAATAAAGCCCTTTGACCAATATCTAGCACTTAAAGTTTTGAAATTTCTCATTCGTTGTTCTTAAAAGAATCAAAATAAGGTATAACTTTGAGAAGTTATTCATTTCTAAATTTGGCAAGTTTCCAAAGACCTTGACTTAGAAAAATTGTGGCCACTTAGGTTTATTTCTGAACTCCTGTTTTCCTTCAATGTAGACCAAAATGTAAGCTCTTTGAGGGCAATCATGTTGTTTATCAAGTTTATCAGTATTAAGTTTGTCTCTATATTTCAGTTGTCTGGAATAGTGCTCGAGATGACAGGTGCTGAAAAAATAGTTTGTTAAATGCACTGATAATGAAAGGCACTTCTCTTTGCACCTCAGCAAGCTGATATTGTCCATACTTTTATTATATGACAAGATTCAACATCACTCAAATGAAAGTGTAAAGGGCTGCAAAGTAGCGTAAGATACTATCCTTCCTAAGGGTATATTATTTGCCTTGATACTGCAGCATGTTATTTTGTTTCTAGTGAAAAGTATAAAATATTTTAAAATCATAAAGATGCTAAACTTTTAATTATGAGCAAACACTGCATATGTGTGTGTATTTAATATCTGAAAGCATAAGTATAGAATGGTTCCCAAATGTTAAAAGCAGATGGAAGTGGGAAGAGAGAAATTTTGATAATGGTATTGTTTTTCTCCACTCAATAGAAAGATGATTAGAGTTAGGTAAAAATATGTTTTCCAGTTGTCATCTTAAAATAGAGACACAGAACACAAAAGCATAGGTAAGCCTAATTAATTGATAATTTTCTCATGAATTTAAAGCAAAACTCAAGCACAAAATATTTGTATTCTATCTCTGGCATTGCAGTGTTTGCTATTAACTTCATGTGAAAAGCTGCAGAGAGAGATTTGAGATCCTTGTTTGACTGATGAGTTCCTCTTCTGAGTTCTGAAAGACAGGTGACCATTTTCCCCAAATCCATAGATATTTTCAAGCAGAATATAAAACAAGTCAGTGTTCAGATGTTTGGTGCAAGAGGAAATTTACATATTTTTTACTGAGATAAAAACATTTTTATAAAGGCAAATGTTTTGCATTTAATTTTTAAAATCACAGCTGGCTGTCTATGTTACTACAAATCCTTAGTGTCTTTTTCCTTGACCTATCATATGTGCACAGTGATACCCAGATACAGCTACAACTATGTGGAACATGTAGGTTCTACTGTTTGAAGTCAGATTGTTAATTTTTCCAAAATCAAGCCTCTCTTTAATCACTGTTTCTCTTTTGAGTTGTTGTTTTTTAATTATTGTGATTGGTAAGCCCTATTAGTGCTTATTAAGCTAAACGATCTTTCAGCTTTGAAAACATAGCTTTGATTTTTCAAATCATATAGAGAAAAAGATAAACTAAGAGGAATTTGGTAAAATTTATGACAACTTTCAAAACTATTATGGATATTTTTAATGCTCAATTGAAACCACTTGATTTTTTTAAAAGTTTATGTAATTAAATATTGAGATGGAAAAGTGTCAAGCAGCTTTTTGACTAAAGGCATCTTTCTATGACATTAAAGTTTGTAAAAGTAAGTTTCAGATCCAAATAAATCTCATGGTTGACAGATGTTAGGCAGAAAATGCTCACATTTTCTGATTTGGCTGGGAAATTACAGAAGTTCTTTTTTTTTTTTTCCCATTGCACTCAGCTGATATTGCCACTGTCCTAAGAAGTATGCTCAGAGATCCCAGCATCTCATAGCCAAACTATGGGACACAACAGTATACCTGGCCACTGTTTCTTCTTTTTCTCCTGGTCCTTTGCCTCATTCATTTATTCCAAATATTTGTTGAGTTTTAACTATTTGCCAAACACAAGGTATCGTTAAGACTTGGCCAAATTGTCACTTGCTTGGTAAAGTTTTATCTGACCTCCCCAAAAAGAAGTAGGGGAGGAAGGGGGTTGGAAACTAGAGTTTGGGTAGCTGGATTGTGATTTTTAGATGACCTGGAGGACTGTCTACATTGCATTGTGCATCTAGAAATACGTCCTTCCATTGTTTTCCCTTGAAGGCTCATTACTTGAATATAGCATCTCCTTAAGAAAGAAGAGATGCAAAAGAAAGAGGGGTAGAAAAAAACAGTTTAAGAATTTAAAAGTACACTTTTCTGGGTTCTCATTCAATAAAATGAATGTGTGCCTGAAAACAAATTAGATATACCAGTATCAGAAATCTAACACTTGTATGCTTAAAGATTTTTAAGGCACCTTCTATATATCCTATATTATTTTATTTTTGTTATCCTTAGCATTTTGGTAAGTGTCTTTAAAATATTTTAGCCTATTCTAATGAGCTGAGAGAAAAAAAATCTGTTTTTGCTCCAACTTGTGTTGAAAGACCATGACAATTACTGTTACTGGGTTACAAACAAACTGAAAACTTAGTGGTGTAAAACCACCATCTTATCATGCTTTGATGTTGTAGTTTAAGAATCCAAACAAGGTGGGAATGGCTTGTCTCTCTTGTTTGATGTCTGGGCCCTCAGCTGGAAAGACATGAAGGCTGAGGGTGACAACTAAAGGCGAGCAGAGAAGAAGCCCAAATCAGCTGCAGGCGCCTGGTACCGAGCATGGTGCCTGTGCGGAGATGATGAAAAGGCAGGACTCGGCTGGGGCAGAGCCTGGGATACCTGCACATGCTTTGGGTTTCTTACAGCACCAAGCTGGGTTCTCAGAAATAGTGTTCCAGGAGACATCTGGAGGATGAACGTTCCAAGAGAACCAGGCAGAAATGGCATGCTTTCTACGTGTTGCTTCCATTTAATTGGTGGTAATTACATTTACATTCCTTCCAGGGGAGTGTCAAGGAATGTGAAGATACGCATCAGAGCTGCATTAACTGCATTAGGGTTGTGTTACTGCAGCCATAGAACATGAAAGGGAGGTGTAGGGGATGCAGAAGTTGAAAAGAGAACCCAAAAAAGAAAAGGGAAAAGTAAATGGGAAAGAGGATGTAGTTTATTTCACAGCTGCTTGTTTCCGGCAAACAAGTCTCCATTTGAAGTGCTTACTGCTTAAACTTTGGATAGGTTTATGTTTTGCTATCTCCATTCAGTTGATTATTCAAATGGAAATAACTATCTTTTGCTTCTTTCCACTCCTACCCCTTCCAAACTAATTCTTCAAGGGTTTCCATTTCTTACGATATAGTCTGGATGTTTGTCCCCTTCAAATCTCATGTTGAAATGTGATCTCTAGTGTTGGAGATGAAGCCCAGTGGGAAGTGTTTGAATCATGGGGGTGGATCCCTCATTAACGGTTTTGAAGTGGCCTCATTGTCTGGGGTGACACCCAAGGCTTGTTGTCTCACAGCCATGGAGATCAAGGATGCAGACACACAAAGGGTGAGGTTAGTAGCAGAAGTTTAATAGGCAAAAGAAAGAGAATAGCTTGCTACCACAGAAAGGGGTCCCGGAAAAATGGTCTGCTGATCTGTAGTGAAATGCAGGGGGTTTTATAGATGAGCTAGTGTGGAGGCCGTGTCTGATCTATATAGGGCACAAAAAACCAGTTAGGACCAGGTGTGCCATCTGCATAGGGTGTGAATTGCTGGCAGCCCCCACCCCAATCTTTTATTATGCAGGCGGGTTCTCTGCCTGAGCTTCTCCGTGTTGCTCATTTCTTTCTTACTATATACATGCTAATGAAAAAGGGAAGGAGGACCCCCCATGGTGGACATTCCTCCTCCTGTACAAGCTTCCAGCTTCCTTATCTATGTTTGCAGCTCCATCTTTCAGGCTGCTCTTTGTTAGAAAAGAAATGATTTCTCAGGCTACTTTTTGTTAAAAGAGAAGTTCTGCAGAGGACTCTTCTGCCCTCACTATCTGCCTAATTTCTTTCTGTCTCCTGTATCAGTTTGGCACCCTCCCCATGGTAATGAATGAGATCTGGCTCTGTAAGTCAACACAAGATCTGGTGGTTAAAAGCAGATACTTCCTCCTGTCTTTCTTGTTCCCTGTCTTGCCATGTGACACACCTGTTTCCCATTTGCCTTCTGCCATGAGTGGAAGCTTCCTGACATCCTCACCAGAAACAAATGCTGGTTCTATGCTTCTTGTACAGCCTGCAGACCCAAGAGCCAAAATAGATCCTTTTTCTTTAAAAATTACCCAGCCTTAGGTGTTTCTTTGTAGCAGTGTAAGAGGGACTAACACAGCCTGTTACATTGCTTACTCAGTTCCCAGTGTTCAAAACCATCTCAGGCTCTTTCCCCTCCCTCGTACCCAGGGCCAGGTCCATGGGCTGGGACGTGTGCAGTCCCACAGACCCCATGCTGAGAAGATCCCCTCCCCACATTTGGTTTAATGCTCTGCATTCAACATCTGGACTCCCTTTGTTTCATCTTTGAAATTAATGTTTTGTAAGTGAAATATGATGGGACAAAGAGCAAGTGCAGGATCAGAGGAGAGGAGAGATGTCAGGCGGTAGGGTTGTGGCCCAGCAGCAGCTGGGGGAACAAGGGCAGCGCACACAGCAGCTGTTCTGTTGGGCAGGCACGGGCATGCCTTGGGGAAGTCTGTGGGCTAGGAGGCTCTGAGGACATGGCTTGGTAGTACTAGGGCCCAAATTGGTGATAGCAGCAGCAGAAGTGACCATGACTAGGAGAGGAAAGATACTTCACCTGGAGGAAAGGCTAGTTCCTGCACTAAGAGGCCAGCTTACCCTCTGGCTCGAGCACCTGTCATTGCAGTGCGTGTGCAAATGTTAATTCTCCAGCCAGAGTGCTGGGACAGGCACTGCTGCAATCAAGGAGTAAACTTTCAGTAAATATTACAAAATAACTGTGTACACATGAACATTGCAATAAAGCATATTAGAAAATGATTAGAATTCTATAAGAACTTAAAATCTCTGGTTTTGTAAAGTGCTACAACATTGCAAAATAAATATCCACAGATTTAGAAATGAAATTAAATTCAAATATCATCACATCCAATGGAAAAGAACATATTTTCAATAAAACTTCTAATGAAAAATTATTAATAAGAAAGATGATTTTAGACTTTTTTCTTATAATTGAAAATATGGTGATAAAATACATAAACAGCTGTTTTTAATGATACACAAATAATGAAGCTATTTTAATAACATATCCACATAACCTCCAAAAGTTACATGAAATGCCAGAGAAATACTAAAATGCTATTGTATAAATTTACATTTTAAAATGAATTTACATTTAAAAATTACACAAAATTGATTTGTGTGAAGTTAATTTTTTTTTTTAGAAAAAATTGTTCCATGACCTCAACTCTAGCTGTAATAAAACATAAATTTTGTAATAATTTATCAGTAATTTATCTTTATGTTTTTACAGCCTATAAAATGCCCTTAACAGTTTCAATAACATTTACATCAGCGAAAAGACCTTTCTCAAAATTAAAAATTATCAAAACATTATTTGAGATCTTGCATTTACCAAGAGAAACTGTTCACTTTCAATTATTTAACTGAAAACAAAGTATTTTGAATTAAAAGTATGTAACATGATGACATAAGTCACTGCAGAAAAGCCCAATAAATTTGTGTTCAATCAACATATCACATTAATATTGTGATTTGTTGTATTATATAAAATTATGATGCCAAAATATTATCTTTCTGCAATTTTGAAGTTTATGTTTTTATTTCTATTACCCCCTCTTATAATGTGTAAGTAATAGTATTTTAAAGGAATAAGCTTTATATTTTCCTTTTGTTTTGAGATGGAGTCTCACTCTGTCACCCAGGCTGGAGTGCAGTAGCACGATCCCCACTCACTGCAACCTCCACCTCCCTGGTTCAAGCTATTCTCCTGCCTCAGCCTCCTGAGTAGCTGGGATTACAGGCACGCATCACCACACCCAGCTAATTTTTCTATTTTTAGTAGAGATGGGGTTTCATCATGTTGGTCAGGTTGATCTCGAACCCCTGACCTCATGATCCACCTGCCTCAGCCTCCCAAAGTGCTGGGATTACAGGCGTGAGCCACTCCGTCTGGCCTAAGCTTTATATTTTAATACCTTTATTGGTACTTTTTTCCTGATTTTTGAAAAGGGGGCTCTATCTTTTTTCAGTTTTCAGATCATTTATTTGCACTGGGCTTTGCAAATTTTGTAGCCAGCCTCTCCTGTATCCCATTAATCTAATCAGTTTCCAAATTACAGTTTTAGAACATTACCTCTAAAACCTGTCTCTTTCCCTTCCCCTCTGTTCCTACTGAATTGATAATCACTCTATCACACAGATGAGTGTAACAGTTGCCTAAGAATTTCTCTAGCTTCCAATCTTCTGTCTGCTTTAGTCACACTGTTTCTAAATCATGTCTCTGATTATCTTATTTCCCTGGCCAAGAGTTGTAGCACTTTCCTCTGCCCAATAAGTAAATTAGAACCCTTTGCCCAATTAGCTAAGGTCCTCTAATGATCTGCCTTCATTTGACCTTGGAAATCCTTTCTTCTACGAGTTATCTTCAAGCAATCTGTAGGCCAGTCAAACATCGCTGTTATTCTTCAGACTCACCAATCTTTTCCTACCTTCAATTTCTGCTGCTGAGCTGTGCATATTATGTATGTTCAAAAGTCAGAATAAATGCATGGATGAATAAATAATTACAATCATAATTTAGGAAGAAGTTGCTGTGAGTCTCTGAAGAGAGTCTTTTTCAGTATGCTTAAATTATCTCCAAAATACGATTAGAAATTAATCCAACTTTAAAACAAGAGTTCACCAAGCACAGAGGAGGATGCCTTTAATGAGCAATTATTACAAAAGCTAGTAAGATCCCAGTTTAGTGGGCTGAAGCACTTTTGCTGAGTGAGTTCAGCTTTTTCATTATTTCAAACCTAGTATTTTCCATTCTGCGGTCTCAAATACAGATACAATAACCTGCATTTAAATATGTCGGGTAAAATGCTGGCTTCTTACCAAACTATAATCACTTCTCTCTAGTATTTTCTATCACTTCTCTGCCGTTCAAAATCTATATTGTCAATCTCGGTTGCCGTGGGGATTTTAGTCTGTGGTTTTCGACTGCCTTTTTTCACTACTCTGAATTGCCTCAAACCCATGAGAGCAATAGAGAAAAAGGCCAGCGAGAAGTTAAAGAAGAGAGCTGATGTGATCAAGAACTATTTATGGAGAAATGATGTTTGGTCTGAGACCTAAAAAGTGGGTAAGATTTTAACAAGACAGGTGAAAGGGTAAAATCATGAGCTAGCAACCAAGATTTGCCATGGTCTGAAATATGGCCAAAGGTCCAGTCTTTTGAGATGGTTAAATGTATATTAAAGGAGCAATGGCCTGGAAGAGCAAATTAGGAAGACATAAATCATGAAAGAATTTAGATGTCATGCCTAGAAGCCTATTATTCATTCTGTATTCATGGTAAAATTTGGAAAGTTTTGAGCGAAGTGATGACATAATCAGAAATATTTTGGTGGAAATATACTGACAGCAGTATATAGGATGAATTGCAAGGTGAGAGAAGTAGGGTGCCCTTGTATATTTATGAATTATTTCTTTAATTTTCAAAGCTCTGTTACTGCTTTTAAGTTCAGCATTATTTTCTTACTAAAACACCGCAGGAGGCATCATTTTGAAGGGATAACTTTCCAGAAGTCTTATAATTTTGCCCAGATAATACAGCAAATAATAAACTCATAATGAATGACTTCAATAGGAACACTAAATTAGCCACAGGAAAGCATCCAGTCTAGTGAGTACATAAATGGAACATATGGGCTTTCAAAAGGAGACTTCTGGAGATGATTTCCTTAGGTTCTTAAAATTTCCAAATGATAGGACATCTGTATTAAACTATACCACAATCTATTCAACATAGGTGCCATGACACTACATTCAGAAAGTAATCAGAAGATGGAAGCCATTCAACAATGAATGTGAACAGGCTAAGAGTGGTAGGAGAGAGCATCAGGCCACTTATAACATGTGTTTATATTTCAGCCTCTTACCTCCGGCTAGAGAGAAATTTTATCAGTCAGTATTTGGTTTCAAACAAAGAAACTACCTAGTGTTTCAAGCAATAAACGATTTATTTCAGGTGGTTTCAAAGCCCCTGGAAGAAATACAGCTGTCATACTTAGGTAAGGTCAATTGTAGCTCCTAGTTTTGTGTCAAGCTTTCAAAGAATCAGGAAGTTACTATGCTGCCAGGTCAGGATCTGAAGGAAACACTGCATGGTCACAGCTGCCTGCACAACCAGGTCAGGTGCTTTGAATGAGAATACCTGGAAACTGTTGAAAAACCTCACAACTCTCAGGGACAGGAACCTATCTGCCAGTAGTGAAAGAGAATGGTGGTTTCTGCTTCTCTCCTGCCTTCCCTGGTTCATGCAAGTGCTTGATCTGTTTCTTCAAACTAGCACTCGTTTCACACCCTCTTATGTGCTCTGCAATAGTACAGAGACTGGAGCCTAGGAGCATCATTTGCAGTACATATACACCATGGAATAATATGCAGCTATAAAAAGGAATGAGATCATGTTCTTTGCAGGGACATGGATGGATCCAGAGGCCATTATCCTTAGCAAACTAACACAGGAACAGAAAACCAAATACCACATGTTCTCACTTGTAAGTGAGAGTTAAATGATGAGGACAGATGGATACACAGAGGGGAACAACACTCACTGGGGCCTATTGGAGGGTGGAGGGTGGGAGGAGGGAGAAGATTAGGAAAAATTACCAATGGGTACTAGGCGTAATACCTGGGTGATGAAATAATCTGTACAACAAACCCCCATGACATAAGTTTACCTATGTAAACAAACCTGCACATATGCCCCTGAACTTAAAATAAAAGTTAAAAAAAATCTACATAAAACTACCCTCCAAAATCTAGTTAGTAAGGAATAATGATCTTTGACTACAGGGCATTGTGTATGGTAGTGGTTCAGAATTGTTTTCTGAACTAGGGCTAGAACTTGCTTGCAGATGGCCATGTCTATTTTATAGCAGCACAGAAAGAGGACATACTGGGAAAGGTTTCCCTAAAATATCCTCTTAACTCAAGCTTCCATTAGCAAGTCAGAAGTGTTATGATCTAGTATGGAATTTCATAAGGGTTAGGAACCTTTCTCTCAGTAAGATAAAAGCATGCACAAATGGGCCCTTATTAAGCTAGTCTATCCATGTGATTATTAATTTATTCAGCTAATAATTATTGAGCATCTATTATGTCCCAGACATGGATAATGAAAATGGAAACATTAATGGCCATATTATTTGAATATAGTACTATTTACTTAATCATTTTTCTATTTTAGACACTTAGAGAGTTTTCATTTATCCTCTGTTATAAATACAACTCTAATGAAGAACTTTGCATGTAAATATTTGTCTTTCTTTCTGATGATTTCTTAATGCCTTCACTGATGATTATTTGATTGAAAGGAACAAAAGTGTGTTCAAGTAAAGAGGTAGTTTCAATAAGGGCACAAAGGATGTGGATTGATATGCACAGGACCTAGTGTAATTTTTTTATGAAACATAAAAAAGACCTTCAAGGAAGATGGAAACATTGTTCCAGGCACTGTGCTAGGAATATAGTGGTGAATAAGTGAGACATATCTCTATTCCCTAGAGCTGTCAGCTTAGCCTTTGAGTTGTCACTCTTCCCATTCATGCTTATCTAGAGCATCTATGGCCTTGATCCACTTCTTTCCTGCCTTCTTTGGGACTTCACTCCATCAGTTATATATACATTTTTTCCTATTTTCCTAGCATTTTCTCTCCACTTTTTCTTCCACCTACATGTTATTAACAAGATCAAGTTTTTCCACTTTAAATCACAATTCTTCCATAGATCTTATGCCCCCTTATAGAGTCTATTTTATTCTCTCCTTCCCTTCTCAGCTAAACCTAATTTCTCCTGCTTGTAGTGCCCACTTCTTCGTTTCCCACTCACTATATAATCCATAGCAATCTACTTCATATATTCAATACTCCAGTGAAGCTGCATTGGTAGAGGCCACACATGACTCTAATAATCATAGTTTCAATAAATACTCTTTAATCACTGTCTTTCTGGACCTCTCTGTTGTATATAACACAGCTGACTGGCTATATTGTAATGCTCGACTCTTTTAAATGAGAAAAATCTTTTCTCGTTTTCCTTTTTTTGATCTGATTGCTGCTTCTCAGTCTTTTTTAATGGGCTCTTTATTTACTTCCTTCTCCTAAAAACTGGCTTTTCTCAGGGTTTTCTCCTTGACCCATTTCACTGTACCCACATATCACCTAACATAATCTAGATTGCCTTCAGTGAGTTAATATACACCATAAAATTGTAATGCAGAATTCTTCATACATGTGGATGCTTTCTGGGGATGAGGTTCATAGCTTTCATTATAGTCTCAACATGATTCACCCAAAGTCAATTTAAAATCCACTGAATGCTGTGCTATATCTTATCTATCAGTTCTTGTTATTTTTTGATATCTCCAAAATCCACCTAAGCTCCTCGCTGAGTTTTAGGTTCAATCGAGTCTGTTCACTTTGCCAGTAATGACTTTTCTTACTCCTTATTATACTTTTCAAGGAATTTATTTCCTCATTCCCTTATACCTTTTAGTTCCTGCTCACTTTCCATAAACCAGCACAGGTGTCATTCTCTCCAAGGTATACCAGCTCAGGTATCATCCAAAAAATCCAGAAAAAAAAGATCCATGTTTTAACTATCTCTTTTCTGGTAACAAACTATGAGTTCAATAGTTTTAAAAAGTAAAAAACAAATCCTACTGTGTAATAATGGATCACCTTTCTTCCTTTTTCCTTCCTTTGTGCCTCTTTTCTCATTTTCTCCCTTCTTTGCACTGCTGGATCCAACTCTCTGACTGGTATTAAATTATATTTTTTCCATAAAATACACACTTATGTAAAACATTCATGTAAGAATAAATGGTATTTTTTGTGTGCTCCCATACCACTTTGTTGTGGAAATGCATGGCAATTGCCTATTATTATGTCAACCTTCCCTAATGGCAAATATTTTACTTAAAGCCTTGGGCAATGTCTTATTCCTCATTAAAATTCCAGTGATTAGTGAATACTATTTAACGATGAAACTAAGCCTGACTTCTTTTGCTCTTTTATTATATTTTTCAAATTGCACAGAAAATCTTTTTTACATGACATGGCATTAGTTTCACTCTTGCCTATTTTATGACATCAGGGTTTTTTTTTTAATTCAAAAGAAATTACTAGTTTGTTTTGACTTTGACATGTGAAGGGCTTGAAAGGCATCTCCCCATCACTTTAATTAAAAAAAAAGCTAAAAAATAACCTCTTTGACTTTAGCTAATGACTTTTCTTGGACTCATTAGAGAATTGAGCTCACAGGACAAACTGCTGCCCCCCAAATCTGGAAAGAAAGACAAATATAGAGAGTCAAAGCTGAATACAGAGAATCACAGCTAAGTTTGGCTTATGTAGAGTAGATGTCACAGCAGATATAAACTGAAAGAAACATTTAAATGGTAATTTTGGTAAATTGCTGGAGACTGAGTGTGGGCTAAGTGTGAGAACTCTCATTGGCACAGCCTCATGGAAGCCACCCAGATTCTGATGGTAAAGATCTAAGAATAATACCCCATATTTTTGACAGGTAGAAGAGAAAAGTAACCATATCAAAATATGCACAAAACATTTCCTATAACAAAGGCCTATTCTTCAAGAGAAAAAACTTTACCAGATCTTTATCAAACCAGAGTGAAGGTTATTGTCCAACTCCAGTATCCTGTCTCACCTAAGGGGAGAAACAGAAAAGCTAAGAAACAATTGGGAAGGTAATAAGCCAGGAACATGTGACCACTAAAAGGCTGAGACTTATTTGTTAGATTATTGAAGGCTCCCTCCCTCATACCTTACAACCACATCAATCAGGCTCCAGTCTAGTAACAGTGGGCTACAATGGGAAGAGCCGCAAGGTGCAGACTCCTCTTAAGAATGAGTTCTTAGGGAAATCCAAAGACCCGAAGGTAACCAAAAAACAAGCACATCAGGAGAAACTGAACTCTCTGGCACTTACAGCTATAGCAATCATTAAATATACATAACTCTTAGCCATATTAACATAAAATCTGAGAATAAAGGCTTATTTACTGCATTTCCTATTACCAAATAAACTGTGTCCAGCTTTGAACAAAAATTATAAAGCATGCTAAAAGGCAAATGAAAAAGCAGCCTGAAGAGGCAAAGCAAGCTTTAATACCAGATTCAGATATAATGTGCATTTTAGAATTAATATAACTAATAGGTTAAGAGCGCTAATAAAAAGTAGGCAACATGCAGAAAAAAAAGAAAGCACAAGTTGGATAAAGTTAGCAGAAAGATGAATACTTTAAGAAAGAATAAGAGTAAATGCTAGAAATAATAAACAGTATAATAAAAGAGTATGTTTGATGGGTTCATCAGGTGATTAGACAGGGCCGAGGAAAGAATGTGTGAGCTTGAAAATAGATCAACATAAACTTTCCAAAGTAAAATGCAAAGAGAAAAAAATAAATTTTAAAATCAGAACAAAACATCTTGAATTCTGGGATAATTTTATAAAGTATGACATATGCATAATGTGAGTAATAGGAGAAGAAATAAAGTAGAAGAAATATTTAAAGTAATAATAAATGAGAATATTCTGAAATTAATTATAGTTACCAAACCATAAATTAAAGTAGAAGAAATATTTAAAGTAATAATAAATGAGAATATTCTGAAATTAATTATAGTTACCAAACCATAAATTTAGGAGGTGCAAAGAACACAAAGCAGGTGAATACCAAAATAGTTACCCATAGCCAAATTGTATTCAAATTGCAGAACATTGAAGACAAAAAATCTTTAAAGAAGCCAGGAAAAAACGGCCATCTTACTTATATAGGAAAAGAATAAAAATTATGCAGACTTCTCATCAGAAGCCATGCAAGGAAGAAGAGAATGAAATGAAATATTTAAAGTAGTTAAAGAAAAAAACACACAGAACCTAAAATTCTACATGTATTGAAATTATTCTTGAGAAGTTTCTCTAACAAATATAAGTTGAAAAAATATGTTGCAGTAGACATGCCCTACAAGAAATGTTAAATGAAGTTTTTCAGAAGGAATAAAAAATATATAGGTCAGAAATGCATATATATGTAAAAAAAGAGTGTCATAAAATTAATCAATAAAAAATTAATTCTTTTCTTATTCTTATTTAATCTAATAGACAGTTATTCAAATTAATAATGGTAAAAATATATTGAGTGATTATAGCTTATGAATAAGTGAAATAAATATAGCAATGTTACAAAGAATGGGGGGAAGAAATTGGTAATATTCTTTTATAAACCACCTGCACTACCTGTGAAGTGGTACAGTGTTACCTGAAAGTGGATGTAGGTTTTTAAAAATATATATTGCAAGGTATAGAGGAACTATTTAGTGTTTTCTAAAAAAAAATACATACCATATGCTAAGAGGGGAAAAAAAGGCATTATACAATTTAATTAGATTATCTGATTCAATTAAATCAGAGAAAGCAGAAAAATAACAAAAAGAAAACAAAAGTACAACAAATAGATAACATTTACAAATATGGTAAATATTAATCTAACTATATGAATAGCACTTTAAATGTGAATGATCTAACAAACAAACTCAAAGGCAGAAATGGTGAGAGTCATTGAAAATATAAGGCCCAATCATATGCTATCGATAGGAAGTCTACTGTAAATATAAAGACACAAGTAGGTCAAAAGGATTGACAAAGCTGTATTGTATTAACACTGATCAAAAGAAAGCTGGATTAGCTGTATTAATTTCAGGCAAAGCAGACTTCAGAACAAGGAAAATTTTCAGGAATTAAGAAGGGAATTACATAATGATAAAAGGATTGATTCTCCAAGAAGACATAAAAATCCTTAACATGTGTGCTCCTATAAACAGAACACCAAATTCATGAGGCAAAAATGAATAGAACTGCAAGAAACAATAGACAACTTGCTATTATAGCTATTATAGAGACTGCAACATGCCTCTTTCAGTATTTGCTAGATCCAACGGGCAGAGCACTGCTAAGGAAGTAGTTGAAATGAACAGTACCATGAGATAAGTTGATCTAATTAACATTTATAGAATACTTCATTCACCAGCAGCAGAAAACACATTATTTCAATTTTCCATTGAATATTCACCAAGATAGACCACATTCTTTACCACAAACACACTTTAACAAAAAGAATAGATATCATGCAAAGTGCATTCTTAGACCACAATAAAATTATATTAGAAACAATAATGGAAAGATATGTGGAAAATCCCCCAAATATGTGGAGATTAAACACTATACTTCTAAATAACAGGTTGGTCAAGGTAAAACTCTTAGAAGAAATTTTTAAAATATTTTGAACTTAATGAAAATAAAAATATGACCTTAAATGTTGTGGGATACAGCAAAAGCAATGCTTAGATGGAAATATATAGCATTAAATTCATATATTAGAAAAGAAGAAAGATCCAAAATTAATTAAGCTTCTACCTAGGAAACTGAAAATAAAGAACAATTTAATCCTAAAGCAAGAGAGAAAGTAATAAAATGTGGAGTAGAAATCAATGAAGTTTAAACAGAAAGCCAATACAGAAATTCAACAAAGTAAAAAGGTGGCTCTTTGGAAATACCAATAAAATTAATAAGCCTCTATCCAGGCTGACTAGAAAAAAAAGGAGAGAGAAGACAAAAATTATTGATACTGAAAATAAAAACAGAAGTTATCAATACTGATTTCTTAACCATTAAAAGGATAATAAAGTAGTATTATAAACAACTTTATGACAACAATGTTGGTAATTTATTTGAAATGGGCCACCTCCTTGAAAACACAAACTACCAAAGCTCAACACAGCCAAAATAGAGATACGGAATAGGCTTGTATCTTTTAAATAAATTGATTGATAAATTATAATCTTAAAAGAAAAAAAAGCACCAATCTGGATGGTTTCATTGGTGAATTCTCCCAACAATTTAAAGAAGAAATGATAGGAATACTCTACAGTCTCTTCCAGAAAAGAGGAAAGACTTCTTAACTTGTTCAATAAGGCCAACATTATCCTAATACCAGAGCCAGGTAAAGACATTATAAGAAAAGAAAACTAAATCAATATATCTCATGAACATTTATATAGAAAAACTTCAAGCACACTATTAGCATATAAAAATGTACCACACAAAGTACATAAAAATCAGTGTTATCAATACCTATGAAATACCTTCCCCTTATAGTAAAAAGGTTAGTTTAATGTTAATATTTTAAATCACAAGAAAAATTAAAATCTCATTGTATTCAACAGTTTTAATTATATATGCTTAACATATTTTTCAGTATTTACAGCATGAAACTGCAGGCTCTCATATATATTTAATATTCTATAAATGGTGATTACATGGCTCCTGAATGAATGAAATTCAACCACTCTGATTTTATTTACTAATCTCCAGTAGATAACTTGATGAACAGCAAACTACTTTAAATCTAAAATCCAAACCAAGATACAGGAAAAGCTAAAGAAAAGAATGGTACAAAATTGAATAAAATCTTTCTATATTACTGAGAATTGGTGATCCTAGTTATGAAACACATATTTTCATGCTGCATATACCTATTCGTCAAAGCTACTTGTCTCAAAGTAAGCAGATGAAAATAATTACCCATTTCATTGTGCTCAGTTTATTCAGTCATTATGGATGTCCCAAAATCAGAATGAGTGTTATCATGAAACACCTTATTTGTAAAAATGGTCAACAAATTAATGATTATTAAAATAAACTTTTCTCAGAAATTAAATATTTTAGGCAATAATGACATGCTTTTCTATTTGCCGATCCTTTCAATTGCCCTCTGCTTAGCTCAAACTCCTTGGTGCAGCTAAACTCATAACTCAAACGTTTCTTCCTTCCTTAATTGCTTCAAGTTGCATCTGAGGCTATGCTGTGAGGAAGCATCATGCTGACACTGTCAACCCCACATAACTTAAAGGAGCAAATTATCAGGGTTTTTTTTTTTCCCTAGCTATCTAGACTATTTATTCACCAATATGTCAGAGAGGCAATGTCTGCTTTTAGGACACTTACATCTTATATGATGTATTTGCCATTTGTCAGCGCAGCCAACTGAGAGTGCCTAAGCCTTTACCTTACTGTATTAAAGAAACTTTAAAATAAAGAATACATTTTTGAAAAGTTAAACTTAATAGTCATTTATGGTTTTTATTAGACATCTTCATTGACTTGTCATTTTATGTCTTTAAAATATGCTTCCATTTGTCAATGAAATATTAAAATGTATATTTTCTCTTTTATATAAATGATAACATACATTTTAACACACTCAAATAGTTCATGGAAAAAATACCTTGGTGGAAAGAATAAGAACTATGTCTATTTCAGACTAAATTTATTTGAATTTAATAGGAAGAAAGCTTGATAGAAAGAATAGAAATCATAATGACTCTGTATTAGTCTGTTCTCACACTGCTATAGGAAATGCCTGAGATGGGTAATTTATTAATATAAAGAAAAGAGGTTTAATTAGCTCACAGTTCTGCAGGCTGTACAGGAAGCATGATGCTGGCATCTGCTCAGCTTCTGGGGAGGCTTCAGGAAACTTAAAATCATAACAGAAGATGAAGGGGAAGAAGTCATGTTTTACATGGCTGGATCAGGAACAAGAGAGAGGGAGGGGGAGTTGCTACACCCTTTAAAACAACCAGATCTCCTGACAGCTCACTCACTCACTGTCACGAGAACAGCAACCAGGGGATGGTGCTAACCTATTCATGAGATGTCCGCCCCCATGATCTAATGAACACCCACCAGGCCACCACCTCCAACACTGCGGATTACAATTTGACATGAGATTTGGTGGGAAAACAGATCCAGACCATATCAGATTCTTTCAGATTTAATTTATTTAAATTTAAGCTAAGCCAACTCCTTTAAGTATTACAATATAAGGTTTTAATGACATTAGTACCTAATTGTAATTGACTTAATTCTTTCTCTCTCTTCTATCTCCCTTGTTTACCCTCTCTCTCTTTCTCTGTATTCTTGGCTAAAGTTTGAGGATGTACTAAAGTGTCTTAGGATGTCATTTGTCTGTTTGGGTAGAATGACTGCAACTATCTGCAGAGATGATGCCTTCATAGGGCTCTGTAAACTCAGGCTTAAATTTGTCTTTCAGAATCACAGTAGCAGCTCACTCATTTTCAATAGACATCTTAGAGCTCTTCACCAGCCCCACTGGAGATGGTAACCTGCCTGAAATTCATTAAGGAAATGCCAATCCTGAGGTGCCTCTTTCTAGAAGGCTTGTTTGTTTTTTTCTGCATGGAGGCATTATCTACTGATCTTATGCTTACACTTAATTCTTGTTTAAATTGATTTCATTCTATTTAGCACCATTTAATATGCTATCTCAGAGGAATTTATGTATTTTTATTTATTACATCATCTCTCCAGTAACTTAGTTATTATTTACTTATATATATTCCCTAACCTTTAATGAAATGTCTAGGACAGTTTCAGAAAAGAAAAGACATACATTTTAGAGTAATTGCATTGTTTTCCTTTTAGAAGGCAATTCATAGACATTGTATTCACCATAACCTCCCTATTGTTAACTCCTTCAGGACAGGTTCTGAATTCCATTCTTCATTATGTTCCCAGAACCTAGTACAGTGCATATTATATTTAGTGGTCATTAAATGTATTTTAACTAATTGGGCCGTGTTATCAAATCACTAAGACAACAGTAATAAAAGATGGCAATATATGTCCTACTTGAAGAGAGAACTCAACATGTATAGAGGTGAGCATTGGATCTATTTTCTTTTTTGACCAAAAAAAAAAAGTTCGGGAATAGCATAGTTCCAGGTTTAGACATTGTATTAAAATGAATGGGGACTGTTGGCAATTTTATTTGGGAAACAATTAACAAATTAATCTTATTCAACACTAGTCCATATGGGATGTAAAAGGTACCATATGCATAGTTTGCACCTGTGAATGAACAACTGTTCAGTCGTCATAATGATAGGGGATTTGCATATAGTCTTTCATTCTTTCAAGGTAATTTGCAGCTCTATTATGAATCAATGAACACAATATATTTAATCATTTTACCAAGACCGTGATATGCTCAATTAACAAAATAAAAGTTAACCAAAAGACCAAGATCATGGGTATGACTGTCTCAAGTCAGAATAAGTTTATTCCAGCTGAAAAAATGATCACTTTACAGATACAGTAATACATTCAAGATGTCATCGAACCTACGAAAATTGGAATGCCATTTCCTAAACTTCAATCATTTGGGGAACACCTCTGCATTCTTTTTTTTTTTTGAGACAGAATCTCGCTGTGAAGCCCAGCCTGGAATGCAGTGGAGTGATCTCAGCTCACTGCAACCTCTGCCCTCCAGGCCCCAGTTCAAGCAATTCTCCTGCCTCAGCCTCCCATGCATTCTTGTTAAAATGTCTGTTGGTATATACATAACCCTATCAATAATTAATATTTGTAATTTATTATTTTACTGCATATTTTTCTATAAAAGAAAGAAAATATTATATAGATGGAGTGGATGTCACTTTTGTCCTTCAGGACCAGTTTTTTCAATTTCCCAAAAATAGCTCCTGTTATGAATTTAGCATCCATTGAGTGAGCCATCCCTATTGATACATATAGACATAGATTGTTCATTTTATCCATTCTATTTGTAGACATAGCTTGTTCTCACTTTTTTTTTAAGTTTCAAGAACTGCTACAATGAATAGTTCCATAAATGTCTCCTGTTACACATGAGCAGCCTTTACAAATGTGCTAAACATTGAAAAATTCTTCCAAAGTGGTTGCACCCAATTACCTCCCACCTGCAATGTATGAGATTTCCTTTTTCTCTACAACTTCATCAAAATGTGGTGTTACCAAAGTTTTAAAAATATTTTTTGTATGTCAATCTGATTATTGTGCAATGGTATGTCACTGTTTTTAGATTTGCATTTTTTCAATTACTAGTAATGCAACTATATTTTCATATATGTGTTAGTCATTGCATTTCCTTTTATCTAAATTGCCTTTTCAAATGCTTTGATTATTTTTCCATTAGGCAATATTTTCCACCTTGATTCTTAATTAACTGTCTGCACTGCATGTTGCAGATATCTTTTCTCAGAATGTAACTTGTCATTTTACTTGGCTTATGCCTTTTTTGGCAAAAAAAGTGTATATATTTTGCCATAGTCAAACATTTGTTTGTGCTGTGTTTTTCTTCATGACTTGTATTTCTAGGTTCTTATCTAGGGAACCTTTCCTACTCCAAGGTCGTAAATATAATATCTATTTTATTCCAACAGTTTTAAAGTTTATTTTCACATTTAAGAATGTGACCCCCTATGATTTTTCTTATGTTTGGTGTAAAACAAAGTTATATACATATATACATTTTATATATATATATATATTATAAAGCCAGTTTTATATATTATAAAACCTTAACATTTATTAAATGGCTTATCCTTCGCTAATGATTAAAATAATTCCTCAGTCATACATCAAATACCTCATATACAATATCTGGCATTGGACTCTAATGTTTTCCATTTTTAATTAAAACTACACTGATAAAATACTGTATTAATTATTATAGATATATACAAATGCTTGGGGAGGGCAAATCTCTTGTGTTTATTTTTCTTCAGATAGATTTTTATGCTTTTATTCTTTATGCATTTTAGAATCAGTTTCCTTATTTTCAGGAAATATCTTGTAGAAATGTTGATTGGCGGGTTTCCTTATATCTATAGATATTTTGATGAGAAACAACATTCGAAAATTACTACTGCACCTTCTCATCCTTGAACTTACCCAGTTACATAAAATGCAGTGGTGCCAGACCAATCGCTTCCCTGTTGAAGTTTGTGATCAAAAGGGAGGAGACAAACAAGGAAGCAATCAATGTATGAAACATGAGTTGGCGAATGGTGCTACAGAGAAACAGCCCAAGAAAGTGGACAGAGGATGCCAGGACAGAAAACAGAACTTTATGTGGGAAAGGAATTAGGGACTGCCTCACTGATCATGTGACATTTGAACAGAGACCCAAGAAAGTCAGGGGTGTTTTGGGGACAGGCATTTCGAATAGAGGGAACCGACAGTGCCAAGACTCTAAGACTCTAAAGTGGAAATTTCCTGGTTCTAGGAAAAGCAAAAAGACTGAAAGACTGGAGCAGGTTGAGTGGAAATGAAAACAAAGGGTAGCGCAGTGGGTGAGGTCAGAATTGCAGTAGGGACTAGACCAGGGATCTTGTCGAAACCTGTTATGGACTCTGGCTTTATTCTGAATGAGAAACGAAGACTGGCAAATTTTGGATGGATCTACCCTGTATTGTAGAAGGATCGCTGTGCCTGCTGGTGATGAGAATACACTGCAGAGGGGCACAGGCAGAAGGAAAGAGACTAGCTGTGAAAGTAGCCCACTGATGACTTCATTTTATGTCCTTCAATAACAATTTTATAAAAATTCCTAATGTTCTCCTACAACTTACATTAGATACTGTTGATACGTACATATCTAACATATGTAGGTATGTTAGATACTGCAAGATTACTCGGCTCTTTTTATTTGCTCTAACAGATTATAGAATTTTTCTCAGCTTTTTCAGGTATACCATCATAGCTTCTGGAAATAATAATGACGACTTAATATCTTAGATATCTTCTTTCTCTTCCTTTTTCACTTTACTTTGTATTAGTATCAGTATTTTCCTTTTTTTGTGTGTGTGTGTGGTTGTTGTATTTTGTCTTTGTCTTACCTAGGTCCTCTGTTAATTTTGACACAATTGTGATCCTTTAAAGTTTCACTGATAATTATGCAGCTTGTTTCAAATTTTTAATAAATATCTTTTACCAGATTGAAGAAGTTCTCTCATCCTAATTTAATAAGAGTAAGTATCATAGGCAAATGTGAAATTTCATCAAATACTGTTTCTACACCTTTTGATGTGTTTATATTTTTTTCTGTTATGATTTGTCATTGTAGTGAATTACATTGATTTCTTTTTCTGACAATGAACCATTCTTATATTCCTAGGATAAATCTACTTGGCAGTAATGTATATTTTAATACACTGTTTTGTGTATTTTTTAAAAGGAATTTTCGTTAATATACTTGTATTTATGTTTATAAATTAGATTTGACTGCGGTTTTCTTTTCTTGTTTTTTCCTTGTTTAATTTTCATACCAAGTTCATACTTGCTTTATGAAATGAGTTAAGTTGATGCCATCTAAAAAAATACTTAAAAGCAATCTGTAAAGAGTAGAAATATTTTGCACCTTCAAGGACTGGCAATATTTATCTCAGACATTGTCTGTACCAAAGAAATTGATAATTTTTCTTGTCTTGTCTTGTCCTGTCCTATCTTTTTTTTTTTTTTTTTTTGAGACAGAGTCTCACTCTGTCACCCAGGCTGCTGGAGTGCAGTGGCACATAATCTGGGCCCACTGCAACCTCCACCTCCCGGGTTCAAGCAATTCTCTGCCTCAGCTTCCCCAGTAGCTGGGACTACAGGCGCACCACCACGCCCAGCTAATTTTTGTACTTTTAGTGGAGATGGGGTTTCACCTTGTTAGCCAGGCTGGTCTCGAATTCCTGACCTCAAGTGATCCACCCGCCTTGCCTCCCAAAGTTCTGGGAATTCAGGTGTGAGCCACTGTGCCTTGGCAAATTGAAAATTTTTCTATATTAGAATTGAGAATCTTTTGAAAGACACAAAAAAGAAAGTGAAATAATAAGCCAAAGATTAAGAGAAGATATTTGCAATATGTATAACTGATGAGGAACAACATCTAGAAAATACATGAAATACTTATTTAAAATTAAATTGAAAAGGTAATACAAAACATTAGTAAAATCCAATACATTAATATAACAATGTAATATAAGAGTAAGCACTTTACAACAGAAGAAATCCAAATAGCCATTAAATATAAACAGATGCTGAACCTTATTAGTAATCAATAAAATGCAAATTAATACCACAATGATACCACTATACCCCATCAGGTTGAGAAAATGTAAAAGTCTGGCAATACTAAAGTTTGAGGAGAAACAGAAATTTTCACATACTACTTTAGGGAGTGTGAATTGTCACAACTATTTTGGCAAACAAAATTATGCATTCCAGTCCTAAGTACTGAATTTGTGGACACATATAACCAGAATAATATATAAAAATGTGCCTAGCAGCATTATTCTCAGTAGCCCCTAAACTGGAAACAAACCTAATGTCCATCAATAGCAGAATGCACAAGTAAATTAGGGCATACTTCTATAATAGCATGATAGAAAACAATGAAAATAAATGAGCTATGGCGACTCACAACGAAATGGCTGAATTTTAAATATGCAGTGTTGGGAGAAAGAAACCAGACACAAAAGAGTGCATAGATTATAAATTCACTTATATAACATTCAAATACAGCCATAACTAAACATATTTTATTGTGCCAATTTATTATTGCTGTGTTACTAATTACCCCAAAACTGTGTGGCATAAAATAACAGCTACTTTATTATTTTATTGAACCTGTGGGATTACAGATATTGCTTCTCTCTACCTCATAATGTTTGGGGCTTCAGTTTGGGAGACTTGCATGGCTAGAATGTCTCAAACAGGTAGGAGCTGGAACCAACAGAAGGTTCTTCCTCCACGTCTCCACCTGGGCTCAGCTGAGACTGTTGGTCACAGTGCCTACAAGCAATCCGCCATGTTGATTGGACTTCTCACAGCACGAAGACTGTTTCTGAGAAGGCGTTTATGGAGAGTAGGCAATTGAGGAGACTTGGGCAAAGGCTGCATAAGCTTGAAAATCATATAGTGTCACTTCTGCCATACTGTACCAGTCAAAGAGGTCACAACCCTGCCAGATTCAAAAAGAAGGAATATAAGCAAAATTCTCAATATGGAGTGTGTCAGAGGATCTGACAATTCCAATAAAAAGTCTCCATCCCACATTGGATCCCCATCTCATTCTTCCTTCTTGAAGGCAAATGTTATTACTAGATTTTTAAAAATTCTTCCATTATCAATTCATTCAAATATGTATTATATCATTTGTCTTACCTAAATAGGATTATATGTACTTCCATGCCTTGTTTTATCTCCCATTATTACTGGGTTTAAACACTTGCAAATATCCCTTTTAAACAGAAAGATCTAATACTCCACCAGTTAATTGAATCAAGCTGAACTGTAGTAACTTTACTTTCATTGTACTAATTTTAATTACCATCTACTTATGGCAAAGAAGAATTCCTTTATAATATATTTAGGTAAAATTTTAAAACTTGAGTCAATTTAAAGAAAAAATATAAAAGTCCAAAGGACATTCCAATCAAGATAGGCCTAGAACCACTGAAAGAATCATTAAATAATATAGTTAGGATGCACACAGTGGCTCATGCCTGAAATTCAGCACTTTGGGAGGCCAAGGCAGGAGGATTGCTTGAACCCAGGCATTCAAGACCAGCCTGGCAACATAGGGAGACCCTGTCTCTACAAAAAATTTAAAAATTAGCGAGGCATAGCGGTGCATACTTCTGCTCCCAGCTACTTGGGAGGTTGAGGTAGGAGGATCACTTGGGCCCAGGAGATTGAAGCTGCAGTGAGTCGTGATCATACCACTGCACTCAGCCTGGGCAACAGAAGAAGACCCTGCCTCAAAAAAAAAAAAAAAAAAAAAAGGGAATATAATAAGCAATTATGAAAGAATGAATACAAGTGAACTGAGAGGATGTGCATTGCAAAAACAAACCTAAGTCTAGTGAATTACACACCTTAGATAGTACTTTTACTACTATTAGTTTTGTTTTTGTAAGATTTGGAACTAAATTTCTGTAAGACAATAATATGGACTTCAAAAGGGAAAAGGATAAAGGAGTAGTTAAAACATGGTAAGTTGCTTATTTTCTGGAGAGAAGGATAAGAATACTGAAAACCTCATAAAGTTCTTAAAAATTAATATTTAATAGCAAAACAAACTGTAAATTTAGGATCAACATTAGCAAAGCATAGCAGAAGGCTGGTAGAACAAAACAACTATTAATACAGTGCAAGAAGAAGGAAAAATGAGACAAAGAAATGAGATAAAAAAAGGCCTGGCATATAAAAGCTACCAGATACACACAAGCAACATCAGTGTGCTCTTCTAAACATTGTTGTAATTGTAAAGTGTTGCTCCAGATTCTCTGACACACTCTATATTGAGAATTTGGTTTATATTCCTTCTTTTCTAACCTGACAGGATTGTGACTTCTTTGACTGGTACAGTATGGCAGAAGTGATGCTATATGATTTTCAAGGTTATGCAGCCTTTGCCCAAGTCTCCTCAATTGCCCACTCTCCATAAACGCCCTCTTAGAAACAGTCTTCATGCTGTGAGAAGTCCAATCAACATGGCGGGTGGCTTGTAGGCACTGTGACCAACAGTCCCAGCGGAGCCCAGGTGGAGAAACAGGGGAAGACCCTTCTGTTGGTTCCAGCTCCTACCTGTTTGAGACATTCTAGCCATGCAAGTCTCCCAAACTGAAGCCCCGAACATTATGCGGTAGAGAGAAGCCATACTGTAAACAATATATTTACATTACCTGTCCAGAATTACATTAAGTTACAAACAGGAAAAATGAATTAGCATCAAACTAAGATGTTTATTGACTTAATAAGGGAGTAGTGAAAAAAATTGAACACTTAGTAAATTTTTTACTGTGATTCAATCCTATTTAATATTATGTCTATGAACCACCTAAAATTATCTCTTGGTCAATGACAAACAGCCCACATTTCAGAAAACATTGCAGTAGTGAAAAAAATCTCTTCAAAATTAACATTATTTTGTTCAAATAAAATATGCTTCTCTGTAACTGGCTCACGTACAAGAAATATTTCCCATTGAGAGGCTCTAGCCCATTGAGAATGCAATTATTCTGAAGATAGAGACGAATTCAAAATACTTAGAAACCCTTGGCAAGAGTAATGCAAGAGAAGTACTATGAATCTTCCTGAAACTTTTTTCACTATAACTTTGACCATTTTCTCTTAGAATTTGGGATGTCTCTGAAAAATGCTGTATGTTTTCTTAAGGGATTTTTGGTTGAATTCATATCTAAAGATGACTGAACTGGCTACAATCTAAAGACTGATAATAAAACATCCTAATTATCTTCATGAGATGAAACGTCCTCTTTTCTTTTTTACTAAATGAATACAGCCGTTCAATAAAAAATTGATTAAAAGCATTGGTAAAATATTCCAGTTTGCTTTCTCTTTTAAAATACAATTTATTTAGCTCAGACTTACATTGTTTTTTATTACTCACATCTACTTTAGTAACTCTTATTTAAAATATTCAATTTGCCCTCTCTTTCAAATGGACTTTCCGAGAGCTTTTGGTACTATGAACTCATTGTATGGTGAAATGTGGTCTGAAATAAGTCTCCTGACATTTTGCTTTAATTAGACAAGTAAATGCTAAAAGCTGCGGCATAAAAGGCATCATTTGATGAGGTTCATGAATCCGAAGAAAGCCATTTTCTACAAAATGTGCCACAGATCCAGCTCTGCTGGCATCCAGTTCTGTATTTCAACTTTATATCTTTTCTTGCATTCACTGTTAGCTGTCCACGGACTCAAAGAATATTAGAACCTCAGAGATCACTTATTTTTTCCCTCTCATTTGCAGAGACCCACAAAGGTTAAGTCTTACTCAAAGTTACAGTGAGTCAATGGCAGAAATGAGAAAACTCATTATTTCCCATGACATTAAGCTCCTGGAACATGAGCAGTGCCCTGGCAGATTACAGATGTCCTTTTGGAATGCTTCCAAATTCAATGTTCTCTAAGCTGTTCTTTCCAACCATTTCCACATCATAATACACAAAGAAAATGATATAATATTTGTAGAGTATGCTGAGGTATAGAGATAAGCCTGTTTTCAGAGGCAATTGGCCTAGAGGGATCACAAAGGAATTGCTGTTCCCATACACCTGGAACCGATTTTCTAGGGCAAGGAGGCAGGAAGCCTTGCTCTGACTGAGGATATACCTGACTTCTTTGCTAACCCATTTACCATGTTGAGGATGAGTACCCTGGAATTAGTTCCCAAGGGGTCTGGGAAGGGAACAGGGGGAAAAAGAAGGCCTATATAGTTATATCAAGATGTTCTGGGGTTAGTAAATATCAGGCCACAAACACATTTTCTTTCTTCATCTTTTCCTTTTCACTTTCAGAAAACTTCATCAAACAAAGGAGAATGGCTCTCCATCCTGTTCGTTGCATATAGCAAGGCAGTGTTCACCAGACACTATGCAGATCTTTCCTCTAAGACTCGGAACTGGCATAATCTTTAGTGTCTTTAAGCTTTTTATTTTTACTTTTTAATGTTTGGTCATTTTACCTTTTTAAAAATTAGCAAGTACATGATAATTTCTATCTAAATGTTTGGGTCTGTTAGCTTACAGGTCCAGAAAACATAAATATAAATGAAGAAAAGGCAAATGTATGTATTGAGTGCTAGTTTGTTTATTTTCTATTACAAAATGCCTATTCATTTTAGAAATACAGACAAGCAAAGGGGAGATGACTGATTAATCATTTCCCTGATACAAACGTAATTAGCATATCAAATATTTTTCTAGTTCTTTCACTATTTCTGTGCATACATTTAAAGTAAAGCTGCCATTTAAAAATCTTCTACATAATGCTTTATAAGCTGCTTTTTTATGCCTTGTGAATATCTTTCCAGATTATTAGTTATTCTTGTGAGCACAGTGATTCTCAATATTTTATTTTTCTGTTACATGTCTCCTGAAGATATCAAAACACTCCTATGAGTAACAGTGGATGACTACAATAGAGTTTTTTCAGGGGGGAAGGCAAACTCCCCCAACTTCCACATGGAATGCCAAAATCTGAAAATAAGAATATGAGGGACCTAAGAGAGGTAATCACCCATCCACCATGACATGTAAAATCATAAAAATAGATTTTCTTGGTTAATGCCTATAAGTTTTCTTTTGCTGTTTACTCTAAACAGTTTTGACAAAGTTATGCCAACTTATGTATCTTATATATAAATATATATATACATTTATATTATATAGAAGCATTAGATTTTTAATATATTATTTATATTATATATAAATGTATATTTATAGTCATATATATTTCATAGAAAAGCAATTTTGAAATCAAAGCCTTTCCTTACCTGTTACTCTCAAAAAGCTGATGACAGACTTAAGTTTGTTTATGTAGGTTAATTTCAAATTGAAGATTAGCAAACAAAAATGCATAGTGATTTATACTTAGAGCATGTAAAATAAAGCATAGTAGCTATTTATATACTTATTCCCTGTTCTCAAGAAGTTTACAGTTATATCAAATGGGATATTTTGACTGCAGTAAAAAAGTCACAATTCAAAATATCTTCCCCAAAACAACATTCATCGCATGTAACAAGAGGTCAAGATGACCCAGGCATGGCAGCAGGCTCTGGCTCGGCTTCCCCGTGGTTTTCTTCACTCAGTCTCCCTAGCTTGGCAGTGAGGTGGCTGCAGTAAGCCCAGAGGTCAAATGCAGACAAAGCCACATGCAGAGGAAGAAAGCAGTGGAACCTTCTTGTCTTTCTTTCTTAGCCATGAGCAAGCCTTAACTGAAACCACTGCTCTTCCCCTTGTTCATTGGCTGGTCATCAATCTGTTCCTAAGCTAACTCCTGGCAAGGAGTTATAGAATTGCCAGGACACCTGAGATTTCTTTGGAGTGAAGCAGATGCTGAAGAGCCCTTGCCAGAACAACCTATTTGGGAAGTTGAAGAAAACACACATGGAAGTAAATGACAGGCAGTATGTGATTAACAATGCGGATGCCTAAACCTGGCTAGTAATCAGAATTTTTAATAAACTAATAAGTACATCATCCTTTCAAAAATATGATTCAGTAGGTTTGGGGTGAGGCCAGATATTCTTATGTTCTCAATCCCCAGATGACTCTGATTCTATATTATAATACAATAGCTATTCAACACCATAGTAGTTCATTCAGCTCCTTAAAGAAGCATGCATATGCCACATAACAGAGAAATTCTCACATTAAATAAGGGAAGAAAATGATAACATATATTCCAGGGTAGAATGGCATGCTTTCAGGCACAGTGGTGCATAAACTACCAGCCACAAGGTAATTCTGGATATACTGCCAATTTCTCTTGAGTTCTCTGTCCTGGCCCAGAGATCAGCTCCCTTTATCACTCTCTGCAGGGTTTCTGGGCCTCTTCTCTATGTAATCCCCCTCCATCTGGTTGCCAACCTCTAGCTGAAGTTCGTGCCCCTACTGGCAGCCTGTTCTCACAAATCCTTAATTCTTGCTCTCTGGAGGCAGTGCTCATCTTGTCTGTATATTAGAATCACCAGGAGAGCTTTTAAATATGGGCTGTAGATTTCCTCTTTCTGCTGTAACGTGCAATGAATTTAACAGTCAGCACTGCTATCTTTACAACAAGGAAAAGAGGTAAAAATTGAAAATCAGTGACTTTCCTTGGATCCATCAGAGAACTGAGGTTGCTGCACAAACTGCCATCCCAAAACCTGGAGAGAGGGGCACATCCAGAGAGATGCAGCAACTCAGATCTCCTTCCCCAAAAGCCGCTGGAGCTAACAGTCGATAGGAAAAGGTAATTTGGATGGACTCCTGGAGGCTGAGTGTGGACTAGCATAAGACTAAGTCATTTCTGGAGCTGCAGTTTGAATGAGGTGCCACACTTTCATGGGCTTTCTCTCTAGAAAGCCCACCAGGTTCTCATGGTGCAGATCACAGTAAGATACTTCAGTATCTCTGACAGAGGAGAGAGAGTAACACCGGGAAACACTCCCAAAGATTTATCCATTAAAAACGCCTACTCTTGGCCGGGCGAGGTGGCTCATGCCTGTAATCCCAGCACTTTGGGAGGCTGAGGCGGGCGGATCATGACGTCAGGAGATCGAGACCATCCTGGCTAACACAGTGAAACCCTGTCTGCACTAAAAAAAAAAAAAAAAAATTAGCCAGGCGTGGTAGCGGAAGCCTGTAGTCCCAGCTACTCGGGAGGCTGAGGCAGGAGAATGGCGTGGAACCTGGGAGGCGGAGCTTGCAGTGAGCCGAGATCGCGCCATTGCACTCCAGCCTGGGCGACAGAGCGAGACTCCGTCTCAAAAAAAAAAAAAAAAGGTCTATTCTCCACAGGAAAGGACTTTGCTAGGGCATAATTCTGAAATTTTATCTCAGTTGAGGAGAGGAATTCTTCCCTACTTCATCTTCCTCTAGCCTTTCTATATCACCTAAAAGTGATACCTTCCACACAGCCAACTAATCAAAAAAGAAATACATAGTAATTATATACATATAATACATAGTTAATAGGCTCAGGACTTCATGGAAATAGATAAAAATTCTGCAGCCAGGGAAGAGACTGGGTGTTGAAAGGAGAAATTCTATACTATAAGAGAACAGAAGCGTCATAGCCCCAAAGTAGAAGCCCACTAAAAGACTGAGAGTCAAAGGAATGTTATAGAACGCTTCTTCTTCCGCAAACTTTACCACAACAGCAAAAGGAGCCCAGTATAATAACAGTGGATTGCAGCTGAAAGAACTGCAAGACATAGATTCTCTCTGAGGAGCAGCAGACAATGAGCCCCTGTACTAAGAGGAAGACAAAAACTAGGACACCAAAGGAATTTGGAGCTTCAGATACCTATAGCTACAGCAAACAGCAAACACAGCCCAACTCCTAGTCAGATTAGCATAAATTTGGATATTAAGTTCTGAAGAGACAAAGTCATCAAAACCAGGCTCAGATATGACACAGATACTGGAATTATCAGACAGGAAATTACTAATAACTACGATTTAAAATGTCAAGGGCACTAGTGAGAAAAGTAGACAACATGTTAGAACAGATGGGTAATGTAGGCAGAGAAATGGAAGTGATAGGAAAGAATTAGATTGGAATGCTAGAATTTATTTATTTTTAATAGCAAAAAAGAAGAATGCCTTCAATGGGCAAACTGGTAAGCCTGACATAGTCAAGGAAAGAATCAGTGAACTTAAAGATAAGTCAGAGGAAATCTTCCCAGTCTGACATGCAAAAAGAAAAAAAATTAAAAACAAAAGGCCCACAAAACAGAACATCCAAAAACTATGGGGCTATATTGAAAACATATTTTTCTCCAGCTCACATAGACCACATGCTGGGCCATGAAATAAACCTTATTCGATTTAAAGGATGGAAATAATGTTTTTAAAATACTATGGAATTAAATGGGAAATCAACAACAGAAATATATTAATAGCTGTAAAATCCTCAAATATTTGGTAATTAAACAGCACACTTTTAAATAACTCATGGATTAAAGAAGCCTCAAGGTAAATTAAAAATATTTTAAACTAAATGTAAATATAAAATGAAATGTCAAAAATTGTTGGATGTAGATAAAGTAATGGTTAGAAGGGAATTTATAGCATAAAATGCATGTGTTAGAAAATAATAAAAATTTAAACCCCATAACCTAAGGTCCCAGCTTAGGAAAGTAGAAAAAGAAAGGCTAATTATATCTAAAACAAGCAAAAGAAACAAATTAGTAAAAATTAGAGCAGAATTCAACAAATTGGAAATCAGGAAACAATATAAAAAATCAACAAAACCAAAAATTGATTTGCTGAAAAGATCAATCAAAATGTATAAACCTGCAGCCAGGGTAACCAAGGAAAAGCAGAAGAAATCACCAATATCAAATATGATAGAGGAGCCATGACTACTGATCCCATTTAAAGGATATTTAAAGGATGCCTATTTAAAGGATAATAGGCAAATACTACAAACAACTCTTGTCCAACAGATTTAATAACCTACTTAAGTACACAAAATTTTCAAAAGACACAAACCATCAAAACTCACCCAAGAAAATGAAAATAGACAGAAAAGCCCTATATCTATTAAGTAAATTGATTCAGTAATTAAAACTTACCAAAAAAGAAAGAACCAGGCCCAGGTGGTTTTATTGGTGAATGTTACCAAACATTCAAAGAGAAATTATACTGATTTTCTACAATTTCTCCATAATGTAGAAATAGAAAGAACACTTCTTATCTCATTTTATTAAACTAACATTACCTTAATGTCAACATAAGGCACTGCAAGAAAATAAAACTACAGACCGACATGTCTTATAAATGAAGATGCCATCGTTAATCAAATAGTAGCAGATTGAATCCAGCAATATACAAAAAGGTTAATACATCAAAACCAAATGGTTTATTCCAGGAATGCAATATTGCTTCCAACTTTCACAAATAAATTAATATCATGTATCATATTGACAGAATGAATGGGAGAAACCATGTGATCATATCAATAGATTCAGAAAAAGCAATCAACAAAGTTCAATACCTATTCATAATAAAACTCTCAAAATCATAGGAAAAGAAGAGAAATCCTTAACCTAGTAAAGGGAATAACTAAAAATCCTAGAGCTAACATCATACTTAATGTGAGACTGAATTAATTCCCCCTAATATTAGGAAAAAGGCAAGGATGTCCTCATTCATCATCCCTATTTATCATCATTCTTTAAGTCCTAGATATTAAAATGAAACAAAAAATGAAATATATAAATATTGTAAAGGAAAAAATAAACCTGTGCTTATTTGCAAATGACATGATTAGCTAAATAGAAAACTCTAAATACAAATGTATGAAATAACTTCGCTATGGCTGTGGGGCAAAAGATGCTTACCCAAGTAAATCCAGAAATGAATGGTGACTGCAAAACCAAAACAAAAGGAACTAATTATAAGTTCTGTACTCTCCTTGGTAAAGCTGCTTCCCAGATTGACAATTCTGAAACCACTATACATGTATAGTACAATGGAACATGTAAAAATGGTGGGAGGCTGGTGGGAACCAGGTTTTTCACTTTTGTAATGGGAGGTTCTAGACAGGTAAGAGGGAAGGCTACAATAATCCATGTGGTATGGATGATACCTCGAGCCATCAATATGAGGTCATGTCTAGCTTTGCATACATACAGGAAGATACATGTAGAGATATTTATAGATAGGTGTTTATTTGTGGGTTAGTATACGCACATGTATTTCCTTGTTCTCTCAGCTGAGAAAGTTCAGAAGCAACGCCATCTCAGTAGCCATGACTATATTCAACTCACAACTGATTTTTAAATACCATTCTCAAATAAAAGAAACTAGAGCTTCTTGGGGAAATGGATGAGTCTAGGATTGGGGTAAGGAATACATGAGATAATTCTGGAACATCTTGTAGCAAAAGAAAATAAGAAAGTAGTCAAAAAACATGATAATAAAAGTATGTAAAAAGGACACAGGAGTCATTTGAAAGAGAACCTGCTAGCCAAATCTAGAACAATTTAAGCAACAAAATAAAGTAGCATTAAACTATAACCCAAAGTATAAGATAAATATCCATGAGTCCACACTGATGTAAACAAGGTATTGAATAAATAAATAATGGAAAAGAATACATTTCCTGTGTAGACTAATTCCAAATAAATTATATAGTTATTACTTCCTCAAGGAGATGAGGCATAACTCCCCACCACTTAAGTGTGGGCTAGATACAATGGCTCCTTTCCAAGGAGGATGAAAGAGAGGAGAAGCCTGTCAAATGCCAGGTGATCCGCACTGATAAACCCCTCAGGTTGCAAGTACCCTGGATATGATGTGATGAGTATGGCACTTTGCTGTGATCTTCCTCCCCAGAATCACATACATCACATAATCCCAAAAAACATCAGACAAGTCTAATCTAGATTGGATCCCAGAACAGAAAAAGAACATTAGGTAAAAATGAAACAAACCTGAATAAAGTATGAATTTTAGTTAGTAATAATGAATTAATATTGTTTTACTGTTTGTGACTCACATAGCATACCAATGTAAGATGCTAATAGCAAAGGCAGATGGATGTGGGATTTATGGGAAATCTGTACTATCTCTGCAACTTTTCTGTAAACCTAAAACTAGTTTAAAATACAAAATTTATTATATTTTTATTTTATGTATAATATATACAAAATTATTTATAATTATGTCCATTGCTGCCATAAACAAACTACCACAAACTAGGAGCTTAAACAACACAATTTAATATTATCTGGCATGGGGCTCACTGGACTAAAATCAAGATAACAACAGAATTATGTTCCTCTCTGTAGACTTTAAGGTAGAATTTGTTTCCTAGTTTTTCCCAGTTGTTAGCAGAATTCAGTTCCTTTCCATTGTAGGACTGATATTCCTATTTATTTGGTTGATGTCAGCTGAGGGCTATTCCCAGTCTTTGAGGTGCCCCATATTCCTTGGCTCATGGGCCTTCTCTCCTCTTCAAAGCCAGTAATTATAGGTCCAGTTGCTCAAACTCAAATCTTTCCTTTCTTCTGGCCCATCCCTGACTTTAGCCAGGAAGTGGTCTTTGATTTTAAGTGCTCCTGTGATTGGATTCTGCCCAGTAATCTTGCTGTCTCAAGGTCTGTTACCTGAACCACATCTGTAAAGTCCTATAACACTGGCAGATTCTGGAGATTAGAAAAGGAACACATTTTGGGGCCAAAATTTTGCCTATCATGTTTATTTTTAAAAATTGACTTATGCTCAGAATCTACCTCCAAATTAATTAGATCATCATCTCTTGGCGTGAAACCTATAGACCTTGGTAATTTCTAAAAAGTACCCAGAAAATTCTAATATGCACGTAGATTTTAGAACCTCTGTTCTAGAAGTCAGCAGGAGTGTCATTCTCATGGGCACTAGCAATAGAACCTCATCCCTCCCTTCAATTGTAAAGTTAGTTTGTATAGCATAGTTGCCACATACATACCTGGCATCTTAAGTCATCAATCAATATTTCTGATTACTGAATATGGGGATCTCTTTGATGAAAAGCCAGTGAGAAATTATCTTTACAATTCTTATCTTAAAAATTTTAATCAACTTTGTTTCTAAAAGGATGTAGGCCTTGTGTATATTATACTCTTAATATAGTAGTGTCTTCTAAAAACTTGTATACACAGGAGCTAAAAGCTCCTACAACCACGTACTTATTAAACCTCAGCCATCCTCTGGGGAGAGAACTGGCTCATTTCTCTTGGTTTCTTGCATACAAACATAATGGAAATTCTGAAATACTGTTCTGGGCTGAACCACTGAGACTCGTGGATATGGCTGTTTCAACAAATGCTTTTACTTTAGTGGTACTCTAGAGATTGAGATTTGAAGCCATAATTTTTTTTCTCTCTCACAGGATATCTTACTGGTGAAAGGAGCCATTTTTCTCTGGTATAACTTAGTACTTTCAGACACAAGCCAGATTTAATTAAAGGGTGCAATTAAATGTAGTTGAGTCTTACATCCAAAAACCACTCTCCTTTTACTTGGTTGAGTATAAAGCAAAGAGAATAATAATGTACACTGAATTTTCAGAGTGAGAAGAAAATGAATCAATTTTTCTTTATATCCTGAACTTTCACTGCTCATTTCTTAATCTTCAACTACTTAGATTTTGATTAAAAAAATAAACTCTGTAAATTTATAAATTCTGTCAGGGTGCCAGTTTTTGCCATGAGATTATTTAAAGAAAATAGTATCTCTTCCAAATAAGAAATATAATAATATGAATGAAAGGTAACTTACCTTTGTTTAGTATCTACGAATGCTAAATGCATATCTTATTCATCATATGCTAAATGCATATCTTATTCATTACTAATGCTAAATACATATCTTATAACCATCTAAATGCCATATCAAAATATATAGAAAATATATGACTAGACTCATTGCTATCACACCAGTCCAGATCATCATCATCTCACTCCTACACTACTGCATAAGCCTCCTAATTTTTTCACTGCTTCCATTCTTGTAGCCCTACAGTAAATTCCCCACAGAGCAGCAAGTGTAATCCTTTTAAAAACTATACTTAATTATGTCACCCTCCTGCATAGAATATTCTAATGACTTCCCATTACTCTAAGACAAAATCTAAGGTTTTTACCTTGGTGTGGTGGGCAAAATGCTAAAATGGCTCTCAAGATACCCACCCTGGTGTACCTATCCTTTATAATTCCCTTCCCTTAAGAGTGAGCGGGGTCCATGAATAGGATACAAATTGGCTGTCACTTTTTTAAGTAGGTTACATTATATTGTGAATGTGAAGGGATTTTGCAAATATAGTTAAGATCCCAGATCAGTTGATCTTAAGTTAAATGAAAAGGAAATTATCCTGGGATGCTTGATTTAGATGAAATCCATTGGAAGAGAGACTGAAGACTTCCTGAAAATAGCTTCCCGTGCCTACCTTAAAGAAACAGGCATTTTGTTAATTAGCTATTGAGTGGGCCACATGGCCAGTGCCTGAGAGCAACATCCAGAAGCTGAGAACTAACAAGAAAATGGGTTATTCAGTCATATGCTTTCAAGAAAACAAATTCTTTCAACAACCTGAATGAATCTGGAAGTGAACTCTTAACCAGCTGAGCCTCCAGATGAGGATGCAGCCTGGCCAACACCTTGACTGCAGCCTCATGAGACCCTGGGCAGAGGACCCAGTTAAGCTGTGTCTGGATTTATGATCCATGGAAACTGTAAGATAATAAACGTAAGTTATTTTAAGCCACTAAGTGTGAGATAATTTGTTACATAATGACAAATACACTTGGCCTACATATGCTGTCACAATCCTGTTCACACTATCAGTCACCATCACTCAGTATGTTTCAACTACCCTGATTTTCTTGTCAATGCTTGAACACACCAGTGTGATTCCACCTCAGGGAATTGGCTCTTGTTCTTCCTCTGCCTCACCTCTTTAGAGAGTTCTTCTTGACCACCTTGTCTAAAACAATATTTCAACCATGATTTATCCTCTTCCTTGACTTTAATTTTCTTGTTAGTTCTTATTGCTACTTAATATTATGTATTAATTTATCTTTTAAATTTCTGTATTCACCCACCAGAATGTAATCTCCATGAGGACAGTGACTTTGTATCCTTATATCCAAATTTTATTATCTTAGAACAGGCCCTGAACCATGCCTAGAACAGAGGCTGGTACAGAGAAGGTGCTCAAAAATGTTTGTCAAATGAATAAATTTTATAGGTTAAAGTCAATAAGCAATATATAGTAAGGTTAGGATTTGAACAATGACCTCGCCAACCTGAATGAAAGCCTATTCACTTTCAAATACAAAATTCAGGAGTAAAGAAAAAAAGATAGTGTGATTTTATGCAAAATGTTTCTTGATGATCTCTGACACCAAAACGTTTGATCTTTTTGGGTTTATCATTTTGATTTGGTGTTTCTTTAAAAATATACTAATTTAGCTGAAAGTGTCCTTAAATATTCCCTTACTGTACATTTTTAATTTTACAGGTGAAGACATGAAAATCTAGGGATATTTAGTTACTTGTCCAATATCATATTCTTTGATAGAGAAATCGTGGAAATCAGAGAAGTGTTCTATCTTACAAACAAATTTTATTTTAAAACAAAGTAATCACAAACATTTAATATTTTGCTAAATGGTACAATCATACAAGAATCATACAAATTGGTGCCAGGATGAGGAGTTGGGGAAGGTGTCTTCAACATGATTGAGTCATATCATCAGATTGTGTGGTTTTACTTTGCCTTTTTGGAATAGTTTAAAAGCAAAATAATATTCCATCTCCTTTTTCACAAAGAAAAGAGTTTTGTAATATCAAATAAAATAATACAAGTCCAAATCAAAGTAATATTTATTTTCAACACTGATTAAAATAAGAGGTTTCCTCCCATTGAGAAAATAACACTCATTACAGGCAAATTTTGTTCCAAAATTCATTTGCTATGAAAAAGATGAAGACTCCATCCCCATGCAGCTACCTGGAACCAGAGAACACTCAATAGAAATTCTGAAATTAGTCAAACAAATCATGGCACTTTTGGTTTTAAAACTAGAGTAGCTATTAAGATATATGTTTAGGTCTCAAGCTGTAATTTAGAACCAACAAACACATTCTCTGTCCCTGAGTAGTTGCTTATATGTAAGAAGAACAGCTGAAGATTTGTCCGACCATGGATAGCACCATGGCAGGTTAAGTTTTTGCTGCTAATTGCCCTGATCTTGATAAGAGCAGCCGAAGTAGAAAAATAATAACTACAGCATGAAAAAAGTAGGTCTACAGAACAGATGCATCTTTCTCTTGTTGACCAGGGGATGTCATAAAGTAGGTGCTAGGAACTTGAGGAGTGCTATCGTTTGAATGTGTCCCTCAAAATTCATGTGTTGGAACCAATCCGTACTGAAACAGTGTTGGGAGGTGGGGCCTAATGAGAGGTATTCAGGTCATTAGGGCTTTGCCCTCATGAATGGATTAACGCAGATTAAAAAAGGGCTTGGGGTTGTGAGTTCAACCTCCTCCTCTCTCACTTTCTCTCTGTCTGGCATGCCCTTCTACCTTCTGCCATGGGATGACACAGCAAGAAGGCCCTCAGCAGATGCACCCCTTTGATCTTGGACTTCACAGTCTCCGGAGCCATAAGCCACATAAATATATGTAGATTATAAATTCCTCAGCCTCAGGAATTCTGTTACAGCAGCATAAAGCAGACTAAAAGAGTGTTTCAGAATCTGCCTGTTATGGTGACCTCTTTGATGAGACAACGTTTACTTATAAGTTTTCAAGAAAGTAGGACTACTACTAATATTTATTTATTTATAATACAAACACTTAACACAGTTCAATTTATTCTTTTAATAAATTTCTAACTAAAAAATACAGTATTGTTAATTATACATAAAATATTGTACAACAGATCTTTGAAACTTACTCATCTTGTGTTAACTGTATTTGCTACCCATTTAACAGCAACGCCCCATTTCCCCCTTACCCCAAACCCCCGGCAACCACCATTATACCCTGTTCCTTTGAGTTTGACTATTTTAGATACTTCATATAAATGGAGTCATGTACTATTTGCCCTTTTGTGGATGGCTTATTTTACTTGGCATATGCAAATCAAAACCGTAATGAGATAGTACTTCATACCTGTTAGGACAGCTATTATCCAAAGCAAGACATAACAATGTTAGTGAGGATGTGGAGAAATTGGGACCCTTGTACACTCTTGGAGGGAATGTATAATGGTGCAGCCAGTATGAAAAACAGCACAGCAGGTCCTCAAAAAATTAAAAATAGAGCTACTATATGATCCACCAATCCCACTCCTGGTATATACCCAAAGGAAAGGAAATCAGTATATCAAAGAGATATCTGCACTCTCAAGTTTGTTGCAGCTGTGTTTACAATAGCTAAAATATGGAATCAACCTGTGTCCACTGACAGAAGAAAACATAAAGAAAATGAGGCATAATATACATATACATGTATATTATACTCTGTTCCTTTGACTTTGACTATTTCAGATACTTTATATGTGATACTTCATATATATGTGTATATATGTGTGCATATATATTCATATATATATGTGTGTGTGTATATATATGATGAAATATTACTAAGCCTTAAAAAGAATAAAATCCTGCCACATGTGACAACATGGATAAACTTGGAAGGCATAATTTCTTTTTGTTGAATGTGAAGGCACTGTTAAAAGCAGCGGTGTGCTAGAGCTGGCTCATACCATCTCCAAAGATCCAATTAGCACATCTCTACCTCTGAATTCAGTGATGTCACATTGGCAGCTTGAAATTGAGTTGGGGGCAGGGGAGGGGGAAGATTTGCACAATAGAAATTGGCAAATTCTATAATTTTGAGAATTTTTTTTCTGGTTATCATTTTACAAGGATTCCTCTGGTTCTAAGCATTCTTTGTGTATTATTTTATGTAGTTCTAATTGAAAACATATTGCCATTTTTCATATTTTGAAAAGAAAGTGAGGCAGATGAGGCAGAGAACCTGAGAAAAGCAGACAGGGTCACATAGTTATTACCCAGTAGAGCCAGGGTTCTAGTTAAGGCACTCCGAATCCAGACCTTTCACTACATTCCACTGCCTCCACAATTGACAGTAAAAGATTAGAAATTAAAGAGCTTTCACTTCCTCTTTGATGTCAGTATATGGCCTAATGTTAGTTATGCTGAATAAGGAGGTAGTCTCTAGCCTTCCAGATTGCCTTAGGTGCTTGAATGTGAAAGAATTGTCCTCACTCTTAAATTGAAAGTGTTAACAAGATAGAGTAGTCCTCTATTTACAGCCAACCCTTAGTAATACCAATTCATAACTGTCCCAGTATGGGAATTCCTCAAACATTTGTCCTGATTAAGCTAGAATCCTGGGCCCACAAAAATATTCAAGCACAACCTCCATTACACATGTCTGGAACATTTATAGACAAATTTCATTATGGACAAAATATATTTATGGAAATACAAATGTCAATAACCAAGCAAGCATAAGAATCAAAAATGACAATTTTTGACAGGGGATGATTAGTCACATGATTCTCCTCATTAAAAATTGAAAGCTTAAGTTTGAGCAGGTGTATTAGGGTCCTAAAGTCCTTTATTCAACAGTTAGAAAGTCATGGTTTCTATTTCATCTGCTTCCTGCAAGACAATAAAGTTATCACAAAGGGAGATTAAAGGGATCTGAGATCCCACTTAATAATTTTCTACAGAACCAGCACTAAACAAGTGTTTGTTAGATGACTGAATTAATTATAAATGTATAAGAATTCAAAATGTACTTTTTCCTCAAAGATGGCATGTTTTAATTTTTTGCCCTAATTCTGCAATCATATCATAGGCAGGTCCCATAGATTTTTAAATTAAATCCAATTAATCAACTATAATGTTTCTGCATGTATGGTTGTTCACTCATTTAATATTATTAGTAAAATGGGTATATGGTGAAGGGAATTTCAGATAAATTGTTTCAGCATGATTATAATATTTTTTACATCTATTTTTAAAATTCAATGAAGTAATCTATTTTTTTTTCTATCAGTATAAATTGTCCAAAGCTCATGGATATTTACTGTGTTCCCATAATTTTCAGTGTAGTACTTTGGTTGCATTGTGACATTAATTATGGAAAGATAAGATCTCCAATTTTCAGAATCTTTTTGTTGGTTTCTTGGTCCACAGTAAAGGGCTATAATATAGAAAAACCCATATGGAGGCACCGGAAGCCTTAACCAATTTTTGTACCCTCCTCCATGATGGTTAATGTTACGTGTCGACCTGGCTAGCCTGTGATTCCCAGTTGCTTGGTTAAACATCAGTTTAGATATTACTGTGAAGGTATTTTTTAGGTGTGATTAACATTTAAATCAGCAGCCTCCAACTGAAGCAGATTCCTCTCCATCATGTGGCTGAGTCTCATCCAATCATTATAATAATAATGATTGGATTATATAATAATAATCCAATCATTATTATTATTAAGTTGGAGGCCTTAATAAAAAAGACTGAGGCCCCTAAGAGGAAGGAATTCTACCTTCCAGCTGACATTTGAATTCAAGACTGCATCATCACCCCTTGCTGGAATTTTCTGCTTGCCAGCCTGCCCTGTGAATTTTTAACTTGCCAGTCTCCACCATTGCATGAGCCGACTCATTTTGTTTTTTTTTTTTTTGTTGGTTTGTTTTTGTTTTGTTCGGTTTTGTTTTGAGACGGAGTCTCACTCCGTCACCAGGCTGGAGTGCAGTGGCATGATCTCAGCTCACTGCAACCTCCACCTCCCTGGTTCAAGCTATCCTCCTGCCTCAGCCTCCTGAGTAGCTGGGGCTATAGGTGCACACCACCACCCCCAGCTAATTTTTTTGTATTCTTAGTAGAGATGGGGTTTCACCATGTTTGCCAGGATGGTCTCGAACTCCTGACCTTGTGATCTGCCCGTCTCAGCCTCCCAAAGTGCTGGGATTACAGGCGTGAGCCACTGCGCCCAGCCAAGGCAATTCTTAAAAACAATTATCTAACTCTGTACACATTTCATTGGCGATTTCTCTGGAGAATGCTAATACAACCTCCATCTCTTACAATGTAAAAACAAAAAGCAATTCTGCATTATTTCTTTTTCTCTCCACTTCTTATGATTCTGAAAGTTCAATCAATCACACTTCCAGCCTCTATGACTACAGATGTGGGCCTGTGACTTAGGTGGGACAACTAGGAGTCTGGAGTTTCAAGACTGAAGCAGTGAGAAGAGCCATTTTCCAATAGCAGCTGCCTACAAAGGCTGTTGTCATTTCAGCCAGGATTCTGGAAACTGTTCCCTGTCTTGTCCCTCCTAAGGCTAGCTGTCTAGCTTTTCTTTTATCATTCTGTGAGATATTCAGTATTTCATAAGAAATGGAATCTTTTTACTTTTATTTCAGTTTGCCAGAAGTCAGCTTCTATAGATAGCAAACAAAAAAAAAGCCTAATTTATATGGAAATGGATATGAGGATGTTTGAAAGCAAGACCATCATAATCAGACTGTCCTGGATTTTCATCTCACTTACTGCCAGTAGGACTCGAAGCACCACATTATTCCTCTATTGCTGCATAACAAATGATCACAAATTTAGTGGCTTAAAACAACATTCATTTATTATCTCACAGTTTCTGAATGTCTTTTATCTGGATGCCAGTTAGCTGAGTCGTCTTTGTAGGGTCTGACCAGGGGGAAATCAAGATGTTTCCTGATTTTGGTGGTTCCTTGGAAGAGGACCCTGAGTTTCAGTTGGGAAGCTCAAGGCAGAATTCATGCTTTTGCAGTTGTATGATGGAGGTCCCTGCCATTTTGCAGGCTTCCATCCAGAGACAGACTGCTCTCGTTTTCTAGAGGAGGCTCCCAGGTCCTGGGTATGTGACCCCCACCAACAGGTCCTCTCAAACCACCAATCTCTCTGACAAGATCTGTACATTTTTTCATATAAATACCTAAAGAAATTTTGGCTAAGACTGGAGTATCACTTTTTATTGTTGCTGTTATCTAAATTAGTATGAAATTATTGAATATTCTTTTTGGTCAAAATCTCCAGGTCTATTTTTCAAAGTAAAGAGACTGGTTGTGTGAGAGGACCTGTGGATAGGGGCCACATACCCAGGATCCAAGGGCTCACTGAGTAGATCAAGCTCAGCCGATCTTCCTTTTGATTAATTCAAAATCAACCAATAACAAGAGGGGTTTACCATCCAGATTTATAGGTTCTACCCATGCTGAAGGAGAGGGGAATTATGTACATCATTAAGGGGTGGAAAGTGTGCACATAACAGGTTAGGATTCTTAGAGGCTCCGTTAGGATTCTGCCTACCACAAGCAGATTTCTCTAGGTATTTGCTTTCTTTTGTGAAAAGAGGAAAATAATTTCTACTTTTACTGCTGTTGTAAAGATGAAGTAAAATAATTATGTAAATGGATTAGTAAGAGCTCAGTTCATAGTAAGCATTCAATAAATAGAAACTGTTATTAATCAATGAGTCTCGGTGCAGTGGCTCAAGCTTGTAATCTCAGTGATTTGGGAGGCTGAGGCAGAAGGATCACTTGAGTCTAAGAGTTCGAGGCTGCAGTGAGCCAAGATTGAGCCACTACACTCCAGCCTGGGTGAGGAGGTAAGACCATGTCTCTAATAAATTTAATTAATTAATTAGAAATCAATAATGTTCATTGAATTGAATAAAATGTCTATAATGCGTTTTCAAAAGTCCAATCCCATTGAAAGTTTAAATGAGTTTTAAGAAAATAAATTTAAAATATTTTATATATTATAACATTTTGTGAAAATTCTCTTAATACATTAAAATCCAGATAATCTGTAAAATGTGTTTTCTTCTATGATTTGATCCCCAGTATAACATTATAAAAGCATATAAGTATGATTTATTCCTTTACTCTCATTTCTTAACACATTAGTTGATAGATTGTAATAGATTGCAATATAATAAAAAATGTAGTGAATCATTTTCTTATATAAAACAAATTTTTTTCTAAAGATTTTTGTTTGGCTACAAATATCATTCTCCTCTATATGTAGGATTTGTGCTCAAAATCTCTTAAAAGTAAAAGTATTCTGCCACTTTACTCAATACCTATTAACTTCTCTCCTGATTTTTTCAAGTTACACTGATTTCCCCCCATTTATTGTTCTTGTCAAGACCATCATATTTCAGTTTGTTTTCTGCTTCTGTTGCTAAGAAACAAAGTTGCCTCTTTATGTAGGGTCCCCAAGTGCCAGCTTTGCTAATCAGTTAGAAATACATTTTCTTTGGGATTTATTTTCTGGATAATAACGTTTACTCTTGATGTTGGCTGACCATTGATGTGATGACAGTATTTTTGTTATTGCCGCTAAGCTACAGTACAAGAAGCTATACATTTACCAGATGTTAGCTTCAGCAAAGAAAATCAATGACTTTACTGCTCCACTAAGATCCAACCATTTGCACAGGATTTATGCTTTTAAAATTTTCTACAGGGCGGGTGCCTGTAGTCCCAGCTACTCTGGAGGCTGAGGCAGGAAAATGGCGTGAACCCAGGAGGCGGAGCTTGAAGAGAGGCGAGATCGCGCCACTGCACTTCAGCCTGGGCGACAGAGTGAGACTCTGTCTCAAAAAAAAAAGAAAAAGAAAAAGAAAAAAAATTTCTACATAATGACTATTTTGTAAATTCTTTCATCCAAGAATTTGATTTGATTCAACACAAAGAAATGAAATAAGCATTGCCTCTTCATTGAAGATATAAATGTGTTTCTAGGGACATTCTTTTTCCTCTGAAACTGTATATTCTTTTCAGGCAATGCAAGAATTCTCTGATAATACAGAATTCACAGTGGATGAGCATTTTCCCCCTGGTCGGAGGTGTTATCCATTCCACCCACGTTAGCATGGTCAAGTGGAATCACCCTGAAATGTGGTGAAGGCCACCTTGGACTATTCCCGATTGCATGTCCTGTCTGTCCAGTTGCTCAGCCTCTAGGAGTACTGGTTTCCCCCAAGTGAAAATAACAACAGCTTTCTACGAAATAGTGTACTTGAAATCTCTTTGAAAATAGATGCCCCATATAAACAATATAGGCACAATTGTGATAGTATTATATTGGGCTAGAGAAGGAAATAATTCTAAGATTCTTCTGAGTTTCTTTTTCTAAGGAAAATAACAAAATATATGTCTTGAAGTAAGCATTTAGTTATTTAAATGTTGAAATAAATACCTCTGTAATTCTATTTGGTGCTAGAGAGTGCTAAGTAATTAGAAGTGCATCTACTGAGAGTTATCCTGTGAGGGTTTTGCATGTGAAACAAGATGTATTGTGGTCTCTATAGTTTCTGTAAAGTTTAATAGAGCTTTAATTCTGTTACTGGGATTTAAAATTCTCTCTTGACTGAAGCACCAGAAATCTTCCAGTATTTCTTGTTTTCCTAAGATAGAACTGAGAATATGTGGCTTATCAATCCTAGATATTATGAATAATGTAGGTATTAGGTAACAATAAGCTTATGTTTGCAAAGTACTGGAGATTTGGAGATGAAAGCCATTTTGAGCTCAATGCTTCATTGCCCTTCTGGCCTAAAAACAAACAGGCTTAATTAATCAATTGAAATTTGTTTGAAACAATTATTTCCTAAATTCTTATGAAAGCTAGAAATTCTGTTTGAAAATGGCCTATTTAAAAGAACATTTTAGTGTTAACAAGAATTCACTGTACATGATGGGTGACAGTAGATGCATATTGAATGAAAGAACAATGAAATATAAATAAATAATTTAGATTTTTACTGAAAGAAAAAATAGTTTTGTATGATAAAACAGGTCAGACTGAGAAAAAGATATATATGCAGTTAGCTTATTTGAGCTCTGGGAGTAGTAGGGGAGCAGAAATGTGAGAAAGAGAAGCCAGCCAATGGCAGAGTAAGCACCTGGGGCTCAATTCTGATAAGGAATTCTGGGAGACTATGTTTATACATGAGGGTGAAGGTGCTGGGTATGTATCTACCAACTACATATCATATTAGCTGCTCCCAAGGACATAAATTCCTGGCACGTCCAGGCAGCCCTTTACATGGGTTACATGGTGGGACAGGCTCTTGTGACCACTGAAAGTCCTCAAGCACAAACTTGCAGGTGCTTGCAATAGGAAGCCCTAGACGGTAGGGAAATGGTGTATGCTGAGGGCTCTGGGCAGAGCACACTGTTGATACCTGCACATTTGTTCATATTATCAACTAATGAAATTTGTCTAATACTAGAGTGTCTCCTTTTATTGTTGTTAATTAAATATGAATAAAACTATTGAATATTCTTTTTGGTCAAGATCTCCAGGTCTCTTTAACAAAACTTGTTGCTATGATTTGCCAACATTATATGTTATGTATTAAACATTTATTGAACACCTTCTATTTGGAAATAATTCTGCTATTACTTGGGAAATAAAAATAAGTAAGATAGTGCTTTAGCTCTGAAGCAGGGAATCATACTTGTAAACAAATAGTTTCTAAAAAAATGTTGAAGGTCCACATGATAATTTGTGTCAACTACTGTTGGAGATGATATCCTTTATTTCCTTTATATCCTTCTGAATAAAGGTGTTCTTCCCAATGTATTGCTATTCAAATGCCATTTTATAGGAAACTGAAATCAATGTCATCACTGAATTCATCTGTCATAAGGAATAAAGCATTAAAATTAGCATTAAGGTGGCCGGGCGTGCTGGCTCATGCCTGTAATCCCAGCACTTTGGGAGGCTGAGGCAGGAGGATCACCTGAGGTCGGGAGTTCGAGACCAGCCTGACCAACGTGGAGAAACCCCGCCTCTACTAAAAATACAAAATTAGCCCAGCGTGGTGGCACATGTCTGTAATCCCAGCTACTCGGGAGGCTGAGGCAGGAGAATCACTTGAATCCAGGAGGCGGAGGTTGCAGTGAGCCGAGATCACGCCATTGCACTCCAGCCTGGGCAACAAGAGTGAAACTCTGCCTCAAAAAAAAAAAAAAATTAGCATAAATGTATTTCTATAAAGATATGATTTTCTGTCTCTGTGAAGGATTAAATAAAAAGATGTGACTTTTCATCAGGTGCAGTGGCTCACACCTGTAATCCCAGCACTTTGGGAGGCTGAGGTGGGTGGATCAACTGAAGTCAGGAGTTTGAGACCAGCCTGGCCAACATGGTGAAACCCCGTCTCTACTAAAAATACAAAAATTAGCCGGGCATGGTGACAGGTGCCTATAATCCCAGCTACTCAGGAGACTGAGGCAGAATTGCTTGAACCCCGGGGCAGAGTTTGCAGTGAGCCGAGATTGCGCCACTGCACTCCAGCCTGGGCAACAGAGTGAAAATTCGTCTCAAAATAAATAAATAAATAAATAAAATAAACATGTGATTTTCAACAACTTTTAGGAGAAATTAACTTCAGAATGAAAAAAATAACTCAATTATTTCCTTATATTATTGAAACTTTCTATTCCTCTAGATTTACAGTGTATTTTGCATGATTATATATAATAATTATAACTTAGTGGAGGAAAGTAAGACATACATAAAGAGGCTCAGGGACTATATTATTATTATTATTTATTTTGTTTTTCAGAGGGAGTCTTGCTCTGTCACCCAGGCTGGAGTGCAGTGGCGCAGTCTCGGCTCACTGCAACCTCTGCCTCCTGGGTTCAAGCAATTCTGTCTCAGCCACCCGAGTAGCTGGGATTACAGGCCTGCATTACCACGCCCGGTTAAATTTTTGTATTTTTAGTGGAGATGGGGCTTAACCATGGTGGCCCAAGTTGGTCTCAAACTCCTGACCTCAAGTGATCCACCTGCCTCGGCCTCCCAAAGTGCTGGGATTACGGGTGTGAGCCACCGTGCCTGGCTGAGGGACTATATTCTTTAGCAAATTCTTTTTGCAAAGATTCAATCTTAAGAGAAACAGTTCACACCTAGCCCCTGGTTACTTTTGATTTTTTTTTCAAAATGAAAAGGTCATGTGTATTTGCTTTTGGACCCTGGGGGATAGATAATCAAGGCCTTGTTACTGTCTAGGTCATCACTTTGCACCATAAGAGACAAAGACAATCAAAGTGACCTGAGGAGTTTTGTCCTCCATCTATATGCTACCTTGTGGTAAGATCTAAGGGTTAACAGCTTTGTTCACAAGCATGCCTTATCCTTGTAATTGGGCCGTGGAGAGCCAGCATCACCAAACGCAAGACAGCCCACCTGAACTTGTGAAAGCTGGTCTGATACATGAGGGATGGCAACTACAAAGACTGACATAAAAGAACCAAATGGGACCTCCAAGACCAAGAGGGGAACAAAGTTGATTTCATTATACACTGGGTTCCATCAACCAAGAATAAAAGGAAAGGACACATTTTTTTGCTTTTAGATGTGTTGTCTTTTTCTCTCCTCTTTTTTCTGCTTAAGTAACTGCTATGTTCAGAAATGTTAGCAACAATCAAATTCCAGTTCTGACAGGAAACAAATGCCATTTTCTTCTCTCTTAGTCGCCCACTGAATTGTTACTTTTCATTCCATCAACTAAAGGCTTAAAAAGGTAAATTAGGCCGGAGGCGGTGGTTCACACTTATAATCCCAGCAGTTTGGGAGGCTGAGGTGGGTGGATCATTTGAGGTCGGGAGCTAAAGACCAGCCTGGCCAACATGGTGAAACCCCGTCTCTAATAAAAATACAAAAAATTGGCCGGGTGTAGGTGGCAGGAGCCTGTAATCCCAGCAACTTGGGTGGCTGAGGCAGGAGAATCGGAGACAGAGGTTGCAGTGAGTGAGCCCAGATGGCACCATTGCACTCCAGCCTGGGCAACAAGAGTGAAACTCTGTCTTAAAAAAAAAAAAAAAAAGGGTAAGTTAGTCAACTAACTAATGCTACCTTTAGATAAAGCAAATACTAACTGAAAAGGAATCTATCAATGTCTGATGGAATCAATTTTATATACATGCATTCTCCATTAATTCTCCACAAGCCATTAAAAGGTGATCCCTTCACACTTCACACATAAGATATTTTCCAATGTTAACCAATGGAATAAAAGGAAATGAAGAGACTAACTTGAGATCCAATGAGATTTCTTTTTATCATGCATTTGAAATGTAATTAAATCAAACTTATTTTATTTATTAAATTGTTTCCTTATAAAGAGTTTTCAAAAATAAAATTTCCATATATTTTAAAAATTGGACCTGTTTTCTAAGACAGAATAGGTTATATGTCATTTTGCATTTTATTTATGATTTTTCTGGCATATTGTCATGGCAACATTGTGTTTTCTCATATGGAAATGCTAACTTTGAGCAAATAAATTATACCAAATGCTTTCCTCCTAAGCAATAGAAAAATCCTCTCTACTGCCTTGGCAAATTCTGAGAGAATTTAGAAACAAAAGCTATTCATCCGTTTATCATATTTTAGGAGAGAGATTTATGAGTATGAAATAAAATAAATGTTACTTTTAAAAAATTTGCAGTAGTTGGATAAACAAGTTTCCTTATATGACATATTTGTACATACATTTTAATTATATATCACTTATAATTTTGTAACTTTTTAAACAAGTCAAAGTTGAAAATTATACAATTTTTTAAAGTTTTAATTACAGGGGTATAGTAAATTAGTTGCTTATACTTTTAATTGCAATAGTTTAATTTACTACAGACATTTTATTTAATAATGTATTATGTAAAATAACCTGCATATTTACACAAAAACTATTTTTGTATTTCCTATATTCAAATATTTTTAATGTGAAGTTAATGGTAAGAAAGGGGAGGGGAATATGTATCTTTATATGCTTTAAGCTTAGGATAGAAAACAAAATAATCCCACAGAAAATAGGTTTCAACAGGCAGCTCAAAGGAAAGATAAAAGGTTTACGATTCCTAGAAAATACTTAAGACTGTGCCTTTATTTTTCCAAATACACACTATCTTCCCTTTGCCAGCATTTGCACAAAACATACCTTCATTCATTCAACAAATCTTTCTTGTTCATTTACTTTATATCAGACACAATGTTATGAAAAAGCATAAAGGGTAAAAGAGAAGACTAAATATTCCACCTTAATCGATCTTTGATTCATATGATACATACAAAGATTTAGTGATATGATAAACAAAAAAGAGATAAATGGCAAACTATTTTATATTCTAAAACTCTAATTTTTAGTCTAAAATAAGATTTCCAAACAGTATTCTCTGTATTTCTCTGTCTCTCTCTTTCCCCTCTGTCTCTCTCCAAGCCATTATAAAATTATTATGAAAAGGCTTCTTTAGTGTCAGACTTTGCCTGGGTTAAAATCCTAAATCTACCACTTATTAGTCAAGTGACTCTGGGCAATAAGTGAATTTCCAGATTGTATTTTTCAGGTTGTATGTTTCAAAGTTGACCACAACATTGTCTCCCATTCTATAAATTATTTCGCAATTTGACCTTGTTACTCCCTGTCAAGATGTGGAGATTAATTCTTCTCCACTTGAGAACTGGGCTGGCCTCATGACTTACTTACACCCAAGAGAATGTGGTGGAAGTGACGGTGCATGGATTCGGACACAAGGTGAGAAAAGCTCATGCAACTCTGCCTGGTTGTCTTGGGACAGTCGCTCTGGGGAAACTCAGCTGCTATGAAAGCAGTGCGAGTACCCTGAGACTGCCAGGATTCAGAGACTAAGTTTGGTCACTCTAGTTGGCAGTTACAACTGAGGCCAGTCTTCCATCCATCCCAGAAATGGCAGTGGAGTTGTCTTGAGCTTTCCAAATCCGTGTACCATAGAAGCAACAGTAAATTACCCTGTCAACAGTGCAAGGAGTAGAAAAATCACCCAGCCCAGTCCTGTCCAAATTCTTTTTCCACAGAACCTATGAGATATAATAAAATCGTTTTCATTTTGTGCCAAGTTTTTTTGGGTAATTTGTTATATAGCAATGATAACTGCAACAATACTAATGAGAGGTGACAGCGTGCTGGCAGTCCTCAGAGCCCTCGCTTGCTCTCGGCACCTCCCCTGCCTGGGCTCCCATTTTGGCGGCATTTGAGGAGCCCTTCAGCCCCCGACTGCACTGTGGGAGCCCCTTTCTGGGCTGGCCAAGGCTGGAGCCCACTCCCTCAGCTTGCAGGGAGGTGTGGAGGGAGAGGCGCCAGCGGGAACCAGGGCTGCGTGCGGCGCTTGCGGGCCAGCTGGAGCTCCGGGTGGGCGAGGGCTTGGCGGGCTCCGCACTCGGAGCAGCCCACCAGCCCTGCTGGCCCCGGGCAATGAGGGACTTAGCACCCGGGCCAGTGGCAGCGGAAGGTGTACTGGGTCCCGCAGCAGTGCTGGCCCACCGGCGCTATGCTCGATTTCTTGCCGGGCATTAGCTACCTTCCCCCGGGGCAGGGCTCGGGACCTGCAGCCCGCCATGCCTGAGCCTCCCACCCACTCCATGGGCTCCTGTGCGGCCCGAGCCTCCCCGACGAGCGCCATCCCCTGCTCCACGGCGCCCAGTCCCATCGACCACCCAAGGCCTGAGGAATGCGAGCCGACGGCGCAGGACTGGCAGGCAGCTCCACCTGCAGCCCCAGTGCGGGATCCACTAGGTGAAGCCAGCTGGGCTCCTGAGTCTGGTGGGGACGTGGAGAACCTTTATATCTAGCTCAGGGATTGTAAATACACCAATCAGCACCCTGTGTTTAGCTCAAGGTTTGTGAGTGCACCAATTGACACTCTGTATCTAGCTGCTCTGGTGGGGCCTTGGAGAACCTTTATGTCTAGCTCAGGGATTGTAAATACACCAATTGGCACTCTGTATCTAGCTCAAGGTTTGTAAACACACCAATCAGTACCCTGTGTTTAGCTCAAGGTTTGTGAATGCACCAATCGACACTCTGTATCTAGGTGCTCTGGTGGGGCCTTGGAGAACCTGTGTGTCAAAACTCTGTATCTAACTAATCTGATGGGGACGTGGAGAACTTTTGTATCTAGCTCAGGGATTGTAAACGCACCAATCAGCGCCCTGACAAAACAGGCCACTGGGCTCTACCAATCAGCAGGATGTGGGTGGGGGCCAGATAAGAGAATAAAAGCAGGCTGCCCTAGCCAGCATTGGCAACCCGTTGGGGTCCCTTTCCAAACTGTGGAAGCTTTGTTCTTTAGCTCTTTGCAATAAATCTTGCTACTGCTCACTCTTTGGGTCCACGCTGCTTTTATGAGCTGTAACACTCACCGCGAAGATCTGCAGCTTCACTCTGAGCCCAGCGAGACCACGAGGCCACCGGGAGGAACGAACAACTCCAGACGCTCTGCCTTAAGAGCTGTAACACTCATCGCGAAGGTCTGCAGCTTCACTCCTGAGCCCAGAGAGACCACGAACCCACCAGAAGGAAGAAACTCCGAACACATCTGAACATCAGAAGGGACAGACTCCAGACGTGCCACCTTAAGAGCTGTGACACTCACTGCGAGGGTCCGCGGCTTCATTCTTGAAGTCAGTGAGACCAAGAACCCACCAATTCCGGACACACTGAGTACGTTACTTGTTGCAATATACATAGAGACTACATTATCTAGGATGGAAAATTTTAAAGTAGAAAGCATTTCAATTAGTCCTTCGAGGGATATGACTCATTCAATGTAAGAGTAGCAGACTAACTCTAAAACTAAGACAATAATACTTCACATCTTTTGTCACTTAGTTGGTTTCACACTTTAGACATTCCTGGGGAAGGAGATAAATATATGTATTGTATCTTATCTGGAGAATAAGTTTCATATTTTCATTGTCTTAAAATATTTCAAAATATTTTTCTAGTTTTTAATATATACATTTTCAGGTGAGAGTTTACTATGTATAGAAAAGTTTGTGATACCTATATATTTTTCTCCTTGTCAAGATGTGGAGATTAATGCGGGGATAGGAGACTAAAAAGGAAAGGATACCAAATATTGGTTGAAATTGGAAGTAGCTGTAGGACAATTTTCCCAGATTTCAGGAATAATGCAAAATTTCCTTGTTTTTTGTTTTTCTTTAAGAATTTGGGTCTATTTCTACTACGAATTAGATGTAATGCAGGAGTATTTACAGATTCTTCATAAAGGACCTTAAAATAAAGGAGATCTTTGAATTTCAATAATTACTTCCCATTAAATCCATTTTTGTGTGATTCTTCCTTCATTAATAGTATTAAAAGTTGTTACAGGTCATAGAAATTGTGAGAAAGCATACATAAAGCACACATTAACAATGATAAGAACGACTGTGATTAAGAACAATTCCCTCATTGTGACTATACAGCTATCACAATTCTCTCAATTAACCAGGTAAAATGTTATGATCTAATGTTTCTTTGAAAGGATTAATAGGCAAAATCTTTAAACTTTTAAAACTTCAAACTAAATAACACAAAGAGTGTCTACTGAGTAACTAAAAAGGAAAGCATTTGCTGATGCAAACAGCATGAAGGCAGAGGCTGAGCACCTAGTGAGCAGCACCGTGTCAGTAGCTGAAGACAGTGTTCAGTGTTGATCCAGTTATTTCTGCATGTTGAAGTCCATTAACATTCTATGAAAAGTACAGATGTAGAAATAAAGAAATCCTAAGGTGCCTTTAGGAACCATGCAGAAGAAAATTATAAGCTTCTGATTCATCCATGTGAAATGTAATTGATGATGGAAAAGATAAGCTAGATGAGAAAATAAACAGAAGCATCAAGGTAGTGTTGAGAAATGATCCCATGGACCCCGTGTGACAGGCTGAGGAGGCATCAGTGGTGGCAGAGCTTCAGCTCTTACAAAGTCCACGCAGTCAGCCTCGTCCAAAGTGAGGGTACCATCAGCCCAGTCACAGATCCCTTCGTTGTGGTTCCAGTGTCACGATTTTTTTTTTTTGTAATCAAAGAATCCCACTTTAGAAAATTTTCTCCTGTTTACTTATTTATTTCTGACTTGGGGATGGGAGACTAAAGAAGAGCAGAGTTCAGGCATTCCACACTTGCTGCAAGCCATAGTACCTTGTTTGGAGCAAAGTACTGCTAGTATTTATTGACTTTAGAGTCAACATTCACTAAAACCTTAAAGACTGAAGGGGAAAAAGTAAATCTAACTGGATAAAGTGCAAATAAACTGGTATCTTAAGGAATTATATAAATGATCCAAATTAGATTAGAAATGTTATAAACTCTCTGAGAAACAAGCAATGCTAGAGAGATTGCTTCTCTTGCATGCTTGTGTTGGCTATAGCAACCAAACTTTGGGCTACAAAATTAGAAATATATCTCTTTGCTGGTTCTTTAATTAACTAAAGTGAAAGACTCCTCAAAAAATCCAAGAGATATTGTCTAACTTACTGACTTCTTTCTTGACAGATTTTCATGTAAACTCAAGCTGGAAAGATGATTTTTCCCTCTTTTTAGATATAATAATAGATTTTATAATATTGTCTTCTGGTATTTCATAAGAATCAACGACTGACTATCTTTTTCAACACTTTTCTTTAATGACATAGTTATAATTTAAAATCTTTTTTAAAAAAAATTTTCAATCTGATTAAATTCCCTGACATTTTGTAACTGTGTCTCATAATTGATATATGTTTAACTAATGGAACACACTTACTGTTATTATGACCTGCTGGTTACTGAGATGAGGGGAAAAACGTATTTAGAAATACTTTTCACCCCACCAATAACTGTAAGAAGTATGAAACCAACTTTAATTGGCTACTGTAATAAAACTATTTGATCTACTCTGATAAAATTAGTTTAGAAACCAAACCAGGAGATGCAGAAAATTGAATATGGTGAAAAGGGTTTGAAGAGACACCTTCTCAAAATACTGTCTACTGAAAAGCAAATGAACAATTACTCCATTTTTCAAGAATCAGAAATCAGGAAAGAGAAAAGATCATGTCATTACATGGTAACTATTTTACTGCTTTGCTTTTAATATTTCTTAGAAGATGGTCTAAAAATGAAGCAGAGCAGATAGAATTAAAAGGTGTAGTTCTTCTGCTATCATATTTTGGAGATTGTTTAGTTTAAAATGGAATATAAACTTGAAACAAGAGAATCATTCAATTTTCCAAATCAATAAAGACTGAAACTCTAGGTAAAAAATTAATGGTGGGTATATTTTATTAGTCTATTAAAAGAAAATATCTCTGTATCAATTCTTTCTGAGGGTTTATGATCTTGACTTTGCCTTTGATATAAATAGCTAACTATAAAGTTATCATTTTACTACTTTTGTCTATCTTTATAACTGAAGAAAGCCAATGACATGGGCAATCATATTTGTTGCTAGTGTTTCTCCTGGAGATTGCTAATAATCAGTTAGTCCGAAGGTAGATCACTTTGTCAGAGCCACAAGGCAAACATGTAACCTAGGTAATAAATAAATAACCTGCTTACTTATTGTAGAAGATTGAAAAATATGGGTAAATCTATGAATAACATGATTTATACTCTTAGACTTGGCCAAATTTTCTGGTCACTCTGATTAAATTTTTAAAAAGTGAATTATATTAGCAAGATTACTGGCATGGCTCCTTTAAGAATACATGACACTGGCACTAGTTTTTTAATATTTCATCAAAAGAATCTATGTAAAATACATGTTGATTTACTGTATTTTGTGATTTACTTGTAGAAATGTGACAATGGTGGGTTGTTACATGTCCAAAAGAATAGATATGATGATCAATTATTTTCATTTTACAAATAACATTGTACCTTCCAGAAAAAAGGGATAGATATATATTTTCCTTTTTCTTCCACTAAGTCCAAATTAAAACTTTATAGATTACACATTTTTAAAAAGCATAAGAAAACTCTGAAAGGTAGAGAGAAGATGGTGAACCAGCCAAATATCTTGCAATATGAGGAGACACAATGGTGAGTTCTCTGGGTTTTCTTTTAACCTCAGGTACCCCAGATTTGGAGCTGAATACATTGGCAACCTGGAAATGCCAAAGGATGCAGACAAAACAACAACAACAAAAACCTTCTAATAATGGCTTGACTTCTGGAAACCATGGGCCAGAAAAGGGACAAACAAGCAGGACAGAAAACTTTTAGACAGTAACTTCTCTACTCCAGGCAGTATACGCACAAAACTGTGGCCCAACCCAATCCATACAAGCAAAGGCTGTTGGAGGCCTAAGTTTGCCTCCTCACCAGGCTGCAAAGAAGGGCGCCATCTGCTAGGTGGTGTCAGGGAAGGCCAAATAGAAAGGCAGAACTTTCATCCTCACTGGCTAGTGATGAGGTCTTACCTCTGGTGGAGTCAGCAGAGACCACATGGAAAGCCTGCATTTCTACTTCCACTTGACTATAAACAGACACCTGCTCTGCATCTCTGATAAGCTGGCGTCTGAAGAAACGTGCTGGAGAAGGAGAACTATCACCTAATGGTAACCACACCACGTCCGCTGCTATGTCAGTGGTGATCATGTGGGAAACTGGAAATGCCACTCCCGCTCTAAAGTAATGAGAAGTCTTCCTTATTTCGGTGTCAGTGGAGGCTAAGTGGGAGAACTGAACTACCTCTTTCTCCCTGTGGATACCTATTTTATGGTCTCATAAAGTTAGTTGTATCAGAAGATTTAAACAGGATCTACAGTATTATGTCAACATAAAAATAAGCCTAAATCTCAATCAAAAATCACTCATACCAACAATCAGGAAGTTCTCAAACTGAATGAAAAAAACTAAGTAATACCAAGCTGACAGGAATGTTCATATTATCTGAAAAAGAATGTAAAGAAATCATGGTGAAGATGCTTCTATGAGCAAATTACGATATGTCTAAAGCAAATAAAAAAATAGAAAGCCCCAGCAAAGAAACAGAAAGTCTCAGCAAAGAGAAGATATAAATAATCTACTGGAGATTTTTATATCTGAAAAATACAATAAATGAGAAAAAATCTTCAGTGGATCAGCTCAACACAGATTGAGAGGACAGAGGAATCAATGAATTGGAATGCACAAGAACAAAAATAACTCAATCTGAATGATGAGAACAAATCAACTAAAAATTGAGCAGAACCTTAGGAACTAGTGGGAATGTAACAAAAGAGCTAAAATTCATGTTATCAGAGTTCCAGTAGAAAAGGAGAATGACGGCAGGGCTGAAAAAGATCTTGAAAAAAATAATAGCTGAAAAGCTCTCAAAATTAGCAAGAGACATAAACCTAAAGATTCAAGAAGCTGAGCAAGCTGGACATGATGGCATGTGCCTGTAGTCCTAGCTACTCAGGAGGCTGAGGCAGGAGGATTGCTTGAGCCCAGGAGTTCAAGACTGCAATGAGCTATAATTGCACCACTGTTCTCCAGCCTGGGTGACAGAGAGTCTGTCTCTAAATAAAGAAAGAAGGGAAGCAAAACCAAACAGGATAAACTGAAAGAAATCCATGCCAAGATGCATCATAATTAAACTTCATAAAATTAAATACAAACAAAAATCTTGAAAGCAGCCAGAAAAAAAAATGACATCTCACTCATAGAGAAGAACAATCAAAAGACAGCAAATTTCTCACCAGAAACCTTGGAGAAGTGGCACTTCTTCAAGATGTTGTAAGAAAAGAACTGTCAACCTAGAAGTCTTCACCTAGCAAAAGAAATATCCTTCAGAAATTAAAGGGAAATAAAAATATTATGAAATAAAGGAAAGCTAAGAGAATTTGTTGCCAGCAGAACTTCCTTAAAAGGACTACTAAGGAAGTTCTCTAAACAAAGAGAAAATGATAAATGAAGAAACTGTGGAACATCAGGAAAGATCAAAGAATGTGGTAAGCAAAAATATGAGTAAATATAAAAGGTTTTCCATCTGTTCTCGAGTTCTAAATTGATAACTGAAGCAAACATTATAAACTGTCTAATGTAGGTCTAAATATATATAGAGAAAATATTAAAAACAATTATAAATGAGGGAAGACAAAGGGATATCAATGTAGCAAAGTTTCTATACATCTCTCAAACTGGTAAAAATACAGCGGTAGACCCTAAGTTATATATGTGTAATACTTAAAACAATGACAAGTAAATGCATTCAAAAGCACTATAATTAAAATTAAATTCTAGAAATGTCCAAGTAAGGAAGGCAAGAAAAAGAAAACAGAAACAAGTAAAGAAAAAAACAAATACAAAACAACAACAAAAAAATAAAATGGCAGGCTTATGCCCTAAAGTATGAATAATTATGTTATATTAAATGGTGTAAAGATACCAATAAAAGGCACTTGCAGAGGGAATTTAAAAACATGAGATATGTATATGCTATGTATATGCTGCCTATAAACTCACTTCAACTATAATAATATTTGCAGGTTGGAAGTAAAAAAATAGAAAAAGATATATCATGTAAATCAGGTAAATTGGACTTCAGAAAAAAGAAAATTACTAGAGACAGAGAGGGTTATTATGTAATGGTAAAAGGGTAAGGCCACCAAGAAGATATAGCATTTCTGACTATATATGCACCAAACAATTAATAATGTCTATACTTATAGACTGGATAAATCAATCCATAATAATTTATACTTAATATAAGAGCAGAAATCAGTGAAATCCCAAGCAGTACTACAATAGAGAAAGTTAATGAAGGAATGAGCTGATCAATTGTAAAGGTCAATAAAATTGACAAGCCTCTGTCAAGGCTGACAAAGACAAAAGAGAGAGAAGACATGAATAACCAATATCATGGATGAAACATGGGCTGTAAGTAAAGATCTTGCAGACACCTAAAGAATAACAATGCACTGCTGTGAACAACTCTACACACACATTTGACAACCTCCATGAAATGTATTACTTTCTTGAAAAATACAAAGTGCCACAAGTCACCCAATGTGAAATAGATACTTTGAGTAGTGCTATAATCATTAAGAAAATTAAATCAATAATTTTAAATCTCCCCAAAAGAAAATCTTCTGGCCCAGATACTTTCACTGGAATACTTTACTAGATGTTTAAAGAAGAATAAACCTGATTCTACACAATCTCTTTCAGTAAAGAGAAGAAGGAACATAAAATGTATTAGACAATGCTCCTTCTTCTTCAATTCTGATTCAACATAGGGGTTGGGATCTAGATTTAGGCAGAGTTCTTAGACTTGACACCAAAAGCATAATTGGAAACAACCCATATGTCCTTCAGTGTGTGAATGGTTAAAAAAACGGCGCTATACCCATACCATGGAGTCTCACTTAGCAATAAGAAGGAACGGACTTCTGATCAATGCTACAACATGAATAAATCTCCAGAGAATTATGCTGGGTGAAATAAAAGCAATTCTAGAAGATTACAAACTGTATAATTCCATCTATATATAATTTCTAAAATGACAATATTCTGGAAAGGAAGAACAGATTATTGGTTACCATGGATTAAGGAGAAGGTGGGGGTAGGAGAGAGTGACTGCAGCTATAAAAGAGTGCCATGAGGGATTTTTGGTGATGGATGTTTTGTATCTTGGCTGTATCAATGTAAATATCCTGGTTGTGACACTGTATTATAGTTTTACAGGGTGTTACCATTGTGCGATATTGAGCAAAGAACATATGGGGTTGTTTTATAATATTTCCTACAAGTGCATGTAAATATACAATTATCTCAAAAAAGTTTAATGGAAAAATTGACATATTACCTGCTTTATCTATTTAATTTGTTTTCCATACTTTTTCAATTTTTGATTTTGTTTTTTACTCTACTCTTATTAGATTGGCATGAATTTCAAAGCATAAATAAATAAAACATGCCAAAGGTTTAAAAAACACTTAAATAAATTTGATAACACTAGAATCCCAAGCTATATAATTGTGAAATATTTATCAATGAAATTACAAAATATTTGAAATTTTTCTTTAACATACTGTAGCAAAATAAGCAAAGAATAAAACGAAGTGGTAAAATCTTGATAACTGCAAAATTTGCATTATGGATGTATGGGGGTTTAATCAAACAATTCTTACTTCTGAGTATGTATGAGAATTTTCACAAAAAAATGATAAATGGCAAAATATGAAGGATTCCATTCACTTTAACTTCTTGGTAATTACATAAATATGCATCTGTATATAAATTATGATGTTCAAAGTCAATGTCATTTTTATGCTACGTGTCTCAAAGATGAACTGTATTTGGATGTCACATGGGCATAGTGATTTAACAATGATTTATATTTTTGGAATTTAAGAATGAGGGGAGAGCTGTAGTGCTCAAGATCTATGCTTCTCTCATTTATGTGTTCGGCTTCTTAAAACTGAAGAGCCGATTACAGAAATGTAAGTAGGTAGATGTTAAATCATGATGTTTTCACTACTATTATGTTTTGATAATGCATTAAAAACTTATTTAAATCATACCTTAATTACTGGTATTACCACGTAAGCAATAAAGGGTGTTTTAGAAATAGCACTGCCTGTTATTTCCATTTCTAAATATTCATCTAATTCCTGCCTTCTCCTGATTTCCTGCTGATTTACACAGCTGCCAACCAAAGGATTTTCAATGCCATATGAACGTTGAAATATGTTAAACTATTCAATCTGTTCTTTAATTTAATTAGGTATGAACTCTATCTACAATAGAATGATGAGTTTAATTTTCTCCCTTCTGGAGTCTAAAAGAGAACCTCGTTTGGGACTTTGCAAACATAGAAGTCATGGGTATTCTGCTTTGTAATTACTATGTACTTTGGGGACAATCTGGCCTATGTGAAAATGCACATGTTTGATCAGCTGTCTGAATAAGATTTACAATTTTGTCGAACATCAGTAGGCACTGAGTATTCTTGTTAATAGCAGTTAATAGTTGTATTCTAGTTCATTTATCTTACTTTCTTTTCTTTCTTTTTTTTTTGTGGGGGGTGGACAGAATTTCATTCTTATTGCCCAGTCTGTAGTGCAATGGCATGATCTCGGCTCACTGCAACCTCTGCCTTTCGGGTGCAAGCAATTCTCCTGCTTTAGCCTCCTAAGTAGTTGAGATTACAGGCATGTACCACCACATCCGGCTAATTTTTTTTTTTTTTTAGTAGAGACAGCGTTTCACCATGTTGGTCAGGCTGGTCTCGAACTCCTGACCTCAGATGATCCACCGGCCTTGGCCTGCCAAAGTGCTGGGATTACAGGCGTGAACCAGCGCACCCGGCCCTTACTTTCAAATACCTCTTCCTGTACCTTACTTCAACACTTGAAAAATTGCATCACACCCAGAATTTCAGTTTCAACCATCTCATTTTCAGACCACTGAGTTCTGCATTTCCACCTCATGAGCTACACTAAGTGCCCCCAACCTCACACTTAAACAATGTATTGTCTATCAGGATCTCCAATCTATTTATCCTGTTACATTTTCATTGTCTTTAACTCCTACAGCCAGCTGAGATTTTATGAATCTCATTGTCACCGTTTTAATCACTGAGAAACTCATACCTCAGTTAAACCCAACTTTTAATGCACTCTGCCTCTCTAACGCTGTATATAAATGTAGTTGGAGAGAAGATTGCCACATTGAGTAGAATCATTCTAAATAGTAATCACAAATCATATCTGTTAGTCTTGTCTAGCAATTTGACACTTGCCTAGTCAATTGACTTCCATACTCAACAGAACATTACCTCATACTTTTCTCTCCTCAAATCTCCCTCGTTCCTTTTCCCTTCTTTTAAAGTTATAACCTTTTCTCAACAATATTCAGAAATATTTTTGATACATACTGACTAGACCCTATTCTAATCTCCTGGAACATTCATATTCTTTCTACATAGGTTTTATGTCTGAGAGAGAATGAAAATAACATATATGATAAATGATATAGTACCTTAAAGGTATAATATATTTATCTAGTTCCATGCTTTTAAGTAGTATCTATATACTCATGGCACCTAAATTTATAGCTGCAATTCAACCTTCCGTCTTAAGCTTCAAATTCATATGTCTAGTTTCATCCCTGACATTATCACTTTGATATCCAAAAGATGTCTCAAATTTAACTTGTACAAAATATATTTTTTGTTAATAAGATCTTATAGCACAATTATATCATAATGTTTGCATATGTTTAAAAAACAAAATCAATGTGAAATTCATCTTTTACATTGCCAACATATTCTTAACAGTCAATCATCAATAAAGGAAGATAAATTGAGAGCCTTTGGTGTTGGCTTGTCTTTTAAGGTTCTTTTTTAAAAAATGTAACAGTTATTTTAAGGTCAGGGGCACATATGTAGGTTTGTTACATAGGTAAACTGGTGCCATGAGAAGTTGTTGTACAGATTATTTCATCACCCAGGTTTTAAGCCTAGTACCCACTAGTTATTTTTCCTGGTCCTCTCCCTATTTCTATCCTCCACCCTCTGATAGCCCCCAGTATATATTTCCCTCTATGTGTCCATGTGTTGCCATCATTTAGCTCCCACTTGTAAGTGAGGCCATACGGTATTTGGTTTTCTGTTTCTGCATTAGTTTGCTAAGGATAATGGCCTCCAGCTCCAACCGTGTTCCTGCAATGGATATGAACTCATTTTTTATGGATGCATAGTATCCCACGGTGTACATGTACCACATTTTCTTTATTCGGTCTACCACTGATGGGTACTTAGGTTGATTCCATATCTTTGCTATTGTGAGTAGTGTTGCAATGAACATATGCATACATGTACCTTTATAATAGAATGATTTATATTCCTTTGGGTATATACCCTGTAATGGGATTGCTGGGTCAAATGGTAATTCTGAGGAATTGCTACACTGCTTTCCACAATGGTTGAACTAATTTACACTCCTAACAACAGTGCATAAGCATTCCTTTTTCTCTGCAACCTTGCCAGCATCTGTTATCTTTTTTGACTTTTTAATAACAGCCATGCTGGCTGGTGTGAGATGGTGTCTTATTATAGTTTTGATTTGCATTTCTCTAATGATCAGTGATTCTGAGCTTTTTTTCATATTCTTGTTAGCTACACGTATGTCTTCTTTTTAAAAGTGTCTGTTCATGTTCTTTGCCCACTTTTTAATAGGGTTGCTTGTTTTTTTCTTGTAAATTTGTTTACATTCCTTATAGATGCTGGATATTAGACCATTGTCAGATGCATAGTTTGCAAAAATTTTCTCCCATTCTGTAGATTATGTGTTCAATCTGTTGACAGTTCCTTTTGCTGTGCAGAAGCTCTTTAGTTTAATCAGATCCCAGTTATTATTTTTTTTTCCTTTGGTTGCAATTTCGTTTGGTGTTTTCATCATGAAATCTCTGCCTGTTCCTGTGTCCAGAATGGTATTGCCTAGGTTGTCTTCAAGGGTTTTTATAGTTTTGAGGCTTTGTGTTTCTGCAAAAACCTCAGCTTTTCACTGTGCCTCAGCCACCACTGTGGCTGACTCTGTCACTCCCAGACCCCCTTGCTACTCCCATTTGTTCTGAGTTTGTTGAGATGCTACATCACATAGTACAGAAGTCTGACTTCCCGAGCAGCTTCTGAAGAGTTGGCTGATGTAAGTTAGAATTGCCCTTTCTGTGTGAATGGCTGTGTCTTTCTAGCTTATTGTGAAGCAGTGACCAGCACAGGAAGCAATAACTAGCACATCACCTGGTATTTCACCCTATCCTTCTCAGTCCTATCTACCCCTTTTTCTCTTCTTTTTCCTTGAGGTTGTGTCTCTCTAATCAGACACATTCCTGATATTTTGAATGCTGTGTTTACTTGGTTAGCAAAAATATCACATAGTTAAAATTTGAAGTTGAACATGATATTAAACACCTCTTTTTACAAATGAGAAACCCAAGGCCAAGAGAAACTGCATGATTTGTCTAAAGTAAGAGTCTGACTTCTAGCAAATATAGACTTATTTCTTGTTTCTATAGCAAAACATAATTCCACTAGAACATAAATTTACAGGACCCTGAAGATACATAAGCTATTTGGTTATCATATCATTGCTATTCTACATAACACCATCAGAGAATCACTTTAACCGTGATGAGACCAATCCATCATCAGATGATAATATGTCATCATTATATGTTCAGATTTTGTGCATTAAACCCCAGATTATCATTCAGTAAAATTAGCAATTTCAAACCAAATGCAAAGTTTTCAACATTTTTTCAGGTAACCATGTTTATATAAAAATCAATTCACCTTTTAATACAAAGGATTACTTTTGAAGATGCTGAATGCTCTGATTTTTTTCTCCTAATCTGAAATTGTTGGAATAAAAAGAGTAAATATAATATAGCCTTCAATACCCCATTTATTTACCAAAAGAAAACCATTTCTAGGCATAATTATGTATAATTTAATATCTTAGATTTTCAGGTTCTATTTCAAAATAAAATATATGTATATAACCAGCATGTTTGTAATCTGTTACTCAGTTTTACTTAGACCATGTATACTAAGTCAAAGCAAAAGAAAAAGCCCATATGAATATGTAGATATTTATTCTCTAATGTCATATTCTATGGAAGAAAGAAAAGGAAATCATTAGCAATTTATTTTGTTTTTTCAAATAAATATGTTTGAAAGGGCTGAGGAATGTAGAGGTTTTATTTAAAATACAAATATAAAAATGAGCTACTCCAGAGCTGGTGCTCCAGATCCATTGAGCACACCTTTAATGCATATTCCATCTTCTTCCTCAACTCTCTGCTAAGTGGCATGCATAAAGATGTAAATATCCTCTGGCCAAAGTGGTATCAGGAAATAGTTTTAACCAGGGCATCACTTTGAGAATGGTGGCATTTCCAAAGTGAATTAAAGATTTTGAATATTTATAATATGCTTTTTGGAGAAGAATTGAGATGCTTAATATCAAAGAAAGCTGGTTTGTATCAGTATTATGTGAAGTTGTCCAAAGATGTAGTGGGCAGCTTCATAAATCTGAGAGCTCTCTTTACCAGGAGTAGACCTCACTAGAAGAAGATTGAATAGTCATTTGATAGTAATGATGTAGAGGAGATTTAAATATTAATAAATGGATTAGATTGTTTTTAAGTCTTCTTCCAGTTCTGCTTTTTGTTTTCTAGAGGAGATGCCTTCTGCATCACTGTATGTTCAGACATCATAATCAACCTACAGTAAATTTTACCTATATTTTTTCTGCACACTTGCTATTTGTCAGTTAATTATGTTTATTGTTGATTTCTAGCACCAAGTTTGTTAAACATCTGTAATTTTAATTTTGAACATCTCCCAACACAATAAAAGTATTGTGCAAAATAAATAAAATTTTATTACTGATAAAACTAGGAGATATGTTTGTCCAAACTATTAAAGTGTTTGACATGCCATGTTAGCAGACATGCCACGTTAGCAGAATATCATATTATATCAGAATATCATATATATCAGAATATCAGACATATCAGAATATCTGATATGCCACATTAGCCGAAATCATATAGATGATAAGGCAGGGTCAAAAAGTGGAACTCTGAATTGTGGGCCATGGTCAATTTTGTTTGGCTGGCAAGAGTAAAAAAAGAATTCACATGCATACACATTCTTGCATCCAAAGGAACTTCATTGTAGGTAGAAATTCCTACCAGCTCTTTTCTCATAAGAAATCCCTGCAAACATATGGATGATTTATTGATTTGAAAATGAGCAGTCCATTTTAAAATTACATATGTACATATATACACATACATGAGTATACACACACACACACACACACACACACACACATACCCTGCAGGGAGCAATAAAAGACCTGAAACATGCAAAAGTAGGATAGTCATTAGAAGACTGCTTCTACTGAGTAGATAAACGTAGTGCCCGACTATTATATATTTTATTTTATATTTTGTGATGTTTTGATAGTTTCATGAATTCAAATAACTTAACAAAAATACAAATCTTTTGAACAGGGATATGAAAGCTCAAGGCTGACAGAGTGGAACAAAAGAATAAGGCGAAATACAATATGCTAGAAGAGTTGAAGAGAGAAGTAGAAAAGAAAAAGTAATGACAAAACTTAAAGCTCTTAAAGCAGCACATATGAGAACAAAAATGCAAAAGAGCATAAACACAGATGAGAAAGTTGAGAAAATATAAATTAACAAAATTAAAATTTAAATTAAATTAAATTAAACATAGATATGAAATATAGACAAAAATATAGCAAAAGTTCACATATTCATAACTGATTTCCCTGAAGGAAAGTGGCAAAAGCAACAGAACACATAACACTTGCATATATAATTGTAGAAAACATTTTAGTAATAAGGATTTCAATGTATTAGTTAGAAGCTAATTCTAAAAATTCCATTCTGGTTATGACAGAATAACAAGATCCTAATATACTTTCTCTTCTTAGAAAACCAGAAAACGATTCAAAATATAGGAAGCAGTAGTTTTCCAGATATTGGACAACATGGAACACAGGACCCTGGCCCTAGGAAGAGAATAACAACTGATGTGAGCCCTATCATTGTATCTACAGTATAGACAGAAAACCAAAAACAACTTCGATGTCACATTGAGTTGAGAGCAGAAAAAACCAGTGTAGCTAGCTAGAATTGGTGGGGCAGACAACGAGGTATGAGGGAGATGAACAAAGAGAGAGTTTTAAATACTTGCATAGTGTCTTGAGTTTTTGACTAAGTACTAATATGCACATGTCTGAAAGAAAACTACACAAGACAGAGGAAATAATTATTACAAATGAGAAGCTGAAGCTCACACAGAATTGGGACTAGATCATAATCTCACAGCTTAATTTACCTGAGGCATTGGACAGAATTTTCTGAAGGGTGATTAGGTTAAATTAGGTTTAGATAATAGGTTCTCTAGATCTACACTTAAAAAGCTTAAAGAAGAGCTCAGAAAGGGTCCAATGGATTCCAACTAACTTAACTGAGTGTCAAAACAAAATCAAACAGTATTTAAAAAAATACAACAATCCAGTGACCAAAACCATAAAATTCACTATGGCTGGCATCCAGGAAAAATATTACCAGACATGTAAAGAAGCAGGAAAATAATCAGAAAAAAATTAATCAATAAAAATTGACTGAGAAATAAAAGAAATTATATTTAAAACCAGCAAAGAAGAATGTTAAGATAATTATTAGGCCGGGTGCAGTGGCTCACACCTGTAATCCCTGCACTTTGGGAGGCCAAGGTGGGTGGATCATCTGAGGTCAGGATTTGAGACCAGCCTGGCCAACATGGCGAAACCTGTGTAGCTGGGATTATAGGCACCTGCCACTATACCCAGCTAATTTTTTGTAGTTTTAGTAGAGCTACTCAGGAGGCTGAGGCACGAGAATCGTTTGAAGCTGGAAGACGGAGGATGTAGTGAGCCAAGATCGTACCACTGCACTCCAGTTTGGGTGATGGAGTGAGACTCCATCTCAAAAAAATAATAATTATTATAGTTATTATATATAACTAAAATAATAATAATTATAGTTATTATATATAAATATAATAATTATTACAGTTATGATTATATTATAGTTATAGTTATGTTATTATAACTATAATAATTATTATTATAGTTATGTTCCATATTCTTTTAAAAAGTGGAGGAAAAATAAACATGATGAAGGGAGAAAGGAAAGGCAAAAATGTCCCAAATAGAAAATGTAGAGATGGAAAATATGATATCTGAAATATGTATATATACCACATGGGATGAATAGCAGTTAGACACCGCAGAAGAAAAGGTCATTTTACCTGGACACATAGCAATAGAAACCATCCAAAATGAAACAAAGAAAGAAAATAGATGGAAAAAATGGTATTAGGGAACTGTGGTACAATATCAAGCAGTCTAACGTAAATGTAATTGGAGTTCCAGAAAGAAAGAGGTGGTAAAGGAAAAAAATGATTCAAAAAATAGTAGCTAAAAGTTTTCCAAATTTGATTAAAAATATAAATCCACAGCTCCAAAGAGTTTCACGAACCTTAAGTGGAGTAAACGTGTAACGAAAATCATCCCTAGGCATAGCAAAATCACATAGCAGCTGAAAACTAGTAATAATGAAAAATATTCTTAAAAGCGAACATAGAAAAAAGACCAAAATAGGGATAAGAATAAGGGACAAAGATAAGAATGAAAGCAGACTTCTTTTCAGAGACAATGCAAGCTTGACAATAGTTGAGCAACATTTTATACGTATAAAAGAAAATTTATTAACCTCCAATTTCTGACTCAGTAAAAACATCATTCAAGTGAAGACCAATGAAAGAATTGTAAGTTGAGATAATTATTGCCAGCAGACATGCACCATAAAGGACATTCTTCAGGCAGAAGAAAATGATACCTGAGAAGCCCAGCTCCCAGTAAAAAACCTACCTGTGATTTCTTTTCAAGTCTGACCATAGGCAATTACTAGAGCTTTCCCTAGCTTAATGCACAGCCAGTGCATTTCAGTCCCTGAAGGGAGCTGCCGACAAGGAGTCAGGCCCCCGTGGCAGGCCATGCTGTTATATTATCTGAGTTCCTAGCCCAGGTGCCTTCTTTTGGTGTCTTCTTTATGGGGATCTTCAGCTGAGGCCCTCCTTAGGCGCCCCTGTCTAGATCTCCTTATCATTGCAGGGAGGTACCTGGAAGACACTTTTCTACACTCTAATTCACTACTCAGTACTTTTGCCCCCCAACACTTCCTTGTCTCCTCCCCCTGCCCCACCCCTTCCACAAAATAGCAGGAGCTTTTTGTCCAGGGCTCCCTTGGCAGTGAGATGACTCTGCATCTATGCTGATCCGCCTGACCCTTAGTGGAACACCATTCCATGGGAGAAAATAAAATAGTGTGGGGAGTTGACACTTTCTCCCATTTTTCTTCTTGCTGATACTATTATAGTGAGTGATGAAGACTTGACTGCTATTTTTATTTGTCTTATTGTTTTAACCTGCTACTCTAACACCTGGAGGCATAGATCTCCGGAGCTCTGAGCCCTTGACAATACCAAAAGGTAATTTGGCTCCACACAAAAAATAAAGGGTCAAAAAGAGCCACTGGAAATAACAAACACATTGGTAAACAAAATATTTTTCTCCTTCTTAATCTCTTCTAAAAGATAACTGATTGTTTAAAGCAAAAATAACATGTATTATGAAGCATATGTGGGAGTAAAATGTACACAGAATGTGAAGAGAGGAATTGAGGCTTACAGGTTCAAGGTAGTTAACCTATACATGAAGGGGTCTGTCATTATTTGGAGGTAGACTGTGTAGGTTTCAGAGGTATATTGTAAACCCTATATCAACCAGTAACAACTATAAAACAAAGTAATATAGCAAATATGCCCATAGTAGAGATATTAATAAAATGGAATTCTAAAATAATTAAAAAATTCCATCTATAGTAGTGGCAAAAGATAATAAAAAGAAGTCCAAATCCAACAAAATATATGGAAGAGCTCTATATTAAACACTAAAAACTTTTCTGAGTAAAATTTTAAAACACATATATAAATGGACAGCATATTTACTGACTGAAAGATTTATTGTTGAGGTTTAAATTCTCCCCTAACTGATGTATAGATTTTGTGCAATCTACTCAAAATTGTTGAAGATTTTTAGATAGAAAGAGACAAGGAGATTGAAAACTTGATATGGAGGTGCAAATCATCTAGAAGAGACAAAACAATTTCCAAAGAAAGTGTAATGTTGGAGGTCTTAGACTACCTGATTTCAATGTATACAGGAATAGCTTGGAGATATTGAGGGTTCAGTTCCAGACCACTGCAATAAAGCAAATATCACAATAAAGCTAGTCAAATTTTTTTTTTGTTTCCCAAGTGCATATAAAAATTATGTTTACACTATACTGTGGTCTATTAAGTGTGCAGTAGCATTATGTCTAAAAATGTGCATGCCTTAATTAAAAATTACTTTATTGCTAAAAAATTGCTAACTGCCATCTGAGCCTTCAGCAAGTCATAATCTTTTTGCTTGTGGAGGGTCTTGCCTCGATGTTGATGGCTGCTGACTGATCACAGTGGTTGCTGCTGAACATTGGGATGGCTGTGGTAATTTTTAACAATATGACAATAGTGAAGTTTGTCACATTGATTGACTCCTCTTTTTACAAAAGAAGTCTCTGTAGCATGTGATGCTGTTTTATGGCATTTTACCCACAGTAGAACTTTAAAAAATGTAATCAGTCCTCTCAAACCCTGCCACTGCTTTGTCAACTAAGTTTATATAACAGTCTAAACTAAATCCTTTGTTATCCTTTTAAAAACGTTCACAACATCCTCACCAGGAGTAGATTCCAACTCAAGAAACTGCTTTCTTTGCTCTTCCATAAAAAACACTTTTTGTCTATTCAAATATTATGATGAGATTGCAGCAATTCAGTCACATCTACTTCTTATTCCAGTTCTCTTGCTACTTCCACATCTGCAGTTATTTCCTCCACTGAATTAACTGTAGCCCCTTGATCCATGGGCTACAGAATAGATGTTGTGTTATCATTGCATAAAAGCAAAATTAATCTCTTTGTACATCCCCATCAGAGTTCCTGAGTGGTCAGGTGCATTGTTAATGAACAGTAATTCATTTTGAAATGAATCCCTCTTTTGAGTAGTAGGTCTCAACATTTGGCTTAAAATATTCAGGAAACCATGCTGTAAACATGTTCTGTCATCCAGGCTTTGTTGTACCATTGATGGCACACAGGTGGAGTAGATTTAGCATCACCCTGAAGTGCCCTAGAATTTTCAGATTAAGCATTAACTTCAACTTAAAAATCAACAGTTGCATTAGCCCCTGAAAAGATAGCCTGACCTCTGCAACTTTGAAACCAGCTATGAAAGACCTAGATGGCATCTTCTTCTAGGAAAAGTCTATTTTGTCTATATTAAAAATCTGTTATCTAGTTTGCCTGCCATCATTAATTATCTTATCTGGATCTTCTGGATAACTTGCTGCAACTTCTACATCACTGCTTGCTGCTTCACCTTGCACTTTTGTGTTATGGAGACAGCTTCTTTTTTAAAACCTTATGAATCAACCTCTGCTAGCTTTGAAAACTTCTGCAGCTTTTTCACCTCTCTTACCCTTCATAGCATTGAAGAGAGTCAGAGTTTTGCTCTGGCCTAGGCTTTGGCTTAAGAGAATACTGCGGCTAGTTTGTCTTCTATCCAGACCCCTAAAACTTCCATGTCAGCAATAAGGCTGTTTCACTTTCTTATCATTCGTGTGTTCACTGGATAAACACTTTTAATTTCCCTCAAGAACTTATCCTTTGCATTCGCATCTCTGCTGTTTGGTGAAAGAGTCCTAGCTTTTAGCATGTCTTGGCTTTCAACATATTCTTCTCACCAAGATTAATTAGTTCTAGCTTTTGATTTAAACTGAGAGACATGCAATTCTTCCTTTCACTTGAACACTTACAGGCTATTATTGGATTATTAATTGGGCTAATTTCTATTATGTAGTATCTCAGAAAATAGGGAAGCCTGAGGAAAAGAACAGAGTTGGGAGAACAGCCATTCAGTGGAGAAGTCAGAACACACACTACATTTATCTGTTAGGTTGGCCACCTTACTGATATGGGCATAGTTCATGGTGCCCCCAAATAATTACAATAGTAACATCAAAAGTCACTGATCACAGATTACCATAACAAATTAAATAATGAGGAAAAGTTTGAAATATAGTAAAAATATCAAAATGTGGCACACAGACAAGAAGTAAGCACATACTGTTGGAAAAATGGTATTGATAAAGTTGCTCGATGTAGCATTGCCACAAACCTTCAGAATAAGCATTAATTTCAACTTAAAAATCAACAGCTGCCTTAGTTCCTCAAAAAATAGTTAGCCTGTCCTCTAAAACTCTGAAACCAGGAGCAGTCTTCTCTTTCTTAGCTATTTATACAAAAAAAAAAAAAAAAGAGAGAGAGAGAGAGTGAGAGAAGCAAAACACAGTATTTGTAAAGTGCAATAAAGTGAAGGGCAATAAAACTTGGTATGTCTGTATGAGAAAGCTCTAGCAACTGAAATAATTTTGTATTGGTGGAAAATATACGTAGAGATAAATGAGATGGACTAGAGAACTCAAAAATGGCGCTAAATCTATATGATCAACAATATTGGTGGGAGAATTTCATGGGGAAAGGAAAGTCTTCTTAGCAAACAGCGTTGGAATGATTAGTTACCTATTTGGAAAAAAAAAATCAACTTTTACTTTGCACCATATACAAAAATTGACTATAAATTGATGATGTACTTAAATATAAAGTTAAAACTATAGAGAATCTAGAAGAAAAAATATCAGAAAAACCTTTGCAACTTTGAGATAGGAAAAAGTGTTTTAGGTAGAACACTCAGACCACAAAAATATCTAAAAATCAATAAATTGAATGTTATACAAAGATTTAAAAAATAATTATTTGAAAGAGTTAAAAAGTGAAAAAGCCACTCATAAACTAGGAGAAAAATCTTTGCAAATTATATATAACACAAAGGACTTATATCCAGAATATTTAAATAGCACAATTAAATAACTCTTAAGCCTCAATAATAATAAGAATGAATCAATACAATAGCAAGTAAAATATTTTTGAACAGATATTTCTGAAAATTCAGTTTACAAGTGGCCAAAATGTACACATGAAAAGATGTTCGGTGTCATCAGGAAATGTAAACTAAATCCACAGTGAGATACTACTAACTCACCTATTGGAAATACTAAAATTAAAAAAAAAAAAACCCAGGCCATCAAGAGATGGCAAAAATGTTGATTTTATACTTTACTGGTGGAAATAAAATGGTGCAACCTTTCTGAAAAATAGTCGGGCAATTTCAAAAAATGTAAATATACACCCATAATGTTACCAGCTATATAACTCGTAGGTAATTACTTAAGAATAGAACAGTCTATGTTTACATAAAGACTTGTACATGAATGCTCATAACAATTTTGTCTGTAATTACCACAACCGAGGGGGGAATGTTCATCCACTGGTATGTGAGTAAAAAAAATATAGTACATTCATACAGTGAACACTACTCAACAATAAGCAAGACTGAACTACTTGTAGACACAACAAAATAAATTAATTTCAAAAGCATAATGTCAAGTGAAAGAAGCAGACAGAAAAGTATACATACTATATGTTTTCATTTATATAAAATATAAAATTCTAACAATGAAAACAAATGTATAAAGAGAGCAGATCAGCAGTTGCTTGGAATCAGGGGTGGAGGGAACAGTGAATTTTGAAGACACATGAGAAAACTTTTCAATGGAAAGTAAATGTTTTATGTCTTGATTGTGATGATGGTTTTCACAGGTGTATACATTTTTCAAGTTTTGTGAAATTGTATATTTAATACATATGCAGTTTGTTGTATATGAATTTTACCTCAATACAATTATTAACAAAAGGTCAGCATTATCCTATGACCAAGTAGAGTACATAAAGAGGATGAAAAAAGGTTCACTATTATGAAATATATAATTCAACAGAATATTATATTTAAGAGAAACTATTTCCATATGCTGGAAAGTCATTCAACAAAATGCAATATTCAATCTTAGTTTTAAGCATTTATAATATAAAGGAATAGATGCATATTTAATATTTCTATACAAATATAAATCCATTCATATGCATATACACATAAATATACATACACAAAGACACACATGAGAGGGAGAGAGAGAGAGAAAGAGAGGGGGTGAAAGAGATGACAGAGACAGAACATAGAGCTATTTATTGGGAGAATTCCTAAATTCAGTGTCATGCCTAAAATGAAAAGCAGAAGCATTCCCATTCAAGTCAAATATAAGACAAAGTTACCTTTATCATCACTACAATTTAATATTTTTCTATAATTAATACCCAAAACAATAAAATAATAAATAGTATATAAATATTGAAAGGAGAAAATAAAATTATCTTTATTTGAGGTTGATATAATACAACTGAAAACTTCTAGAGAATTGAATGGAAAAAAAATCATAAAAAATAACAGAATCCAAGAGGCTAGCTGGTTACATTATTCAAAGACAAATTTAATAGCTTACCTTTCCATAAGCACCAGTGATTTAGAAAGTAGTTTGGAAGAAAGAAAATGACTTCAACTTTCTCCAATATATATTAAATGGAAAAAAGTACAGAATCCTGGCAGATGCTACTCTTTGTGTTTAAAAATCAATAAATACTATCTTGTATGCCCAATTTATTCCTAAAAGACACATAAACAGTTTAATAGAGGTAATATATTATAGAATTTGTAGAGTCTTCTCAAGATACACATGTCTAATTATGAAAGGTGAGTTCTTGGAATCATTTATCCTTTTATGTTCTTGCTGCCTACCATGCTGGCATCACCTGTGGGCTTGTTAAAAATGCAGATGCTCAGACCTCACCTCAGTCATCTTGAATCAGAGTCTGTATCTTAATAAAACTATTTGGTCACTGATATGAACATTAAAATTTTTGAAGCACTGCTCTAAGTAAACAATTTATATTTGGTTGAGAATAATGAAATATTTTTTGAGAGAGCCAAGGAAAAAACAACTCTTTTATAAATTAATACAAACAAAAGAAAAGTCAAAGTCATCATCAGAGAGTGATTTTAAAAAACCCTCTTTCTTTGATTATGTGTTTTAACCAATTGCTATATGTTCTTACCTCTGCACAGCTATTCCTTCTTTCACACTTAAGCTTTGAAAAAGAACAATTATTTTTAAATAATTGCTTTACTTATTTAGAGAAGTCTTTTCCAGAGAGAATTTTGCCTTTCACTAATTTAAGCAGCATAAAACAACACACACCATGTGCTATTTTCCATTCTCTTGAAATACCCAGAGTTATTAATTTCAGTGTTTTATTTGCAAAGTAAAGGGTAAGTTATTATTTTTAGCTATGACATCTTTATAACTATATAGAGATGGCAAACAATTATCGTGTTAATCAAAAGAAGTAAAGCTGCTTTCATTATATGAGTAAAGATGTCCTAGATTTCCTCCATTATAAACTACCTTTCCATTTCCTCTAGAAACAATTTTAGAAACAGATATACTTTTGAAATTTGATGTTTTTCAGAGTTAGCATTATGAGACATTCATGTAGGGCCAAATTTTTTTAAAAATATAAAGACAGGTTCAAAAAATCATTGACTGGCTAAATATAAACTACAGAAAAATAACAAAATGACACAAGGCACTGATCTAGAGTATCTTAGAAGAGGACCTGAACTCTCATAACGAGTGTGGCAGGCACAATTCCTGTTTGATAAAAAGAGCTTAGTGAGAAATAATAAGATATGAGAGAGACTTAATATGAGTAATAAATGATAGATTAGTTGTCTAAAAATTAATTCTGACTCCTTGGAAACTCTAATGTAAATCTCAGCAAGCTTGACATACTGTGTTTTCCATTGAAGACAGGCAGTGAACTGGGTAATCTGTTCAAAAAAACTTAAGAACTACCAAGACTCTTTCATGAAATGATAGATATTCAAATGTATTATCTATTGTGTATGAAATGAACTTAAACTGTTTGGAGAAAAGTATACGGAAATCCAAGAGACCTAGAAGAGCTATAACAATCTTGAAAAAGATTGCAGAACTTACACTTACTGACTTCAATACTTATTGTAAAGCTACGATAACCAAGGCAGTCTGATACTGGCATAAGGATAGACATGTGGATCCATGGAATAGAATAGAGACCAGGCACGGTGGCTCACTCCTGTAATCCCAGCCCTCTGAGAAGCCGAGGCAGGTGGATCACTTGAGCTCAGGAGTGCAAGACCAGCCTGGGCAACATGGTGAAACCCCATCTATATAGAGTCCAGAAAGAATACTTTACTTTTATGGTCAATGGATTGTGACAAGAGTGCCAAAACAATTCAGTGGGGATAGAACAGTCTTTTCACAAGCAATGCAGGGACAACTGGATTTCCATATGCAAAAGAATGAAGTTGGATTCCTTCCTCATATCATACAAAACAATTAATTCAAAATGGATTATAGACCTATAAGTAAAAGGTAAAATTATAAAGCTTATACAAGAAAATATAAGAACAAATCCTTGTGACCTTGGGTTAGACAAAGCCAAAAATAGATAAAATAAGCTTCATCAAAACTAAAAGCTTTTGTGCTTCAAACAATACTATTAAGGGGAAAATGACAATGAACAGAATGGGGATAAAATATTAATATTGAAAATTATGTATTTAGATTTCTACCTGGAATATTTAAGGAATTCTTAGAACTCTATAATTTTAAAAATGATCACCCAATTTAAAAAATGGGTGAAGGATCTGAGTAGACATTTCTCCAAAGAGGTTGTAGAAATGGACAATAAGCTCATAAAATGTTGTTCACCATTATTAGTCATTGGGGAAATGTAAATCAAAACCACAACTAGATACCATTTTACACCCACTAGGTTGGTTGTAAACAAAAGGATTGCCAATAATAAGTGTTAACAAGGATGTAAATTGCAACTGGTACATTGCTGGTGAGAATGCAAAATATTGTAGCCACTTTGGAAACAGTCTGGCAGAAACTTGAAAGGTTAAACATAGAGTTACATGACCAAGCAACTCCACTGCTAGGTAATACAAACAAGACAAATGAAAACATACCACACAAAAACTTTTACAGGAATGTTGAAGAAGCACTTTTAATAATAGCCCAAATACTGGGACAACCCAAGTGTCCCTCAACAAATAGGATATTTTTAGACAATAAAAATGAATCAAATACTGATGATACATGTCACAAAATGAATGAACCCTGAACACATTATGCTAAGTGCAAGAAGCCAGTCACAAAAAATTATATATTGTATAGTCCCGTTTATATGAAATGTCAAGAATAGATCAATCTATGTAGAGAGATAGTAGATTGGCCAGGCGCAGTGGCTCACACCTGTAATCCTAGCACTTTGGGAGGCCGAGGTGGGTGGATCACCTGAGGTCAGGAGTTCGAGACCAGCCTGGCCAACATGGTGAAACCCCATCTCTACTAAAAATACAAAATTAGCCGGATGTGGTGGCGCATGCCTGTAATCCCAGATACCTGGGAGGCTGAGGCAGGAAAATCACTTGAACCTGGGAGGCGGAGGTTGCAGTGAGCCAAGATTGCACCACTGTACTCCAGCCTGGGCAACAATAGGGAAACTCCATCTTGAAAACAACAACAAAAAAGAAAATGTTCTAAATTGATTGTGCTGATGGCTGTACAACCTGTAAACATATTTAAAACCATTATATTGTACCCTTTAAATATGTAAATCTTACGGTGTGTGAATTATATCTCAATAAAGCTGTTGAAACTGTTTTAGGGAGCTTATGTTAAGTCCTTTTTCCTTCTTTTATATAAAATTTAAAGAAAAAGGAATCTTTCAAGACAAAGGGATAAATAGTCTGTTTCCTCAAGTTCCAAGCTGCCAAGAATTTTTAAATGTATATTACAAAGGTAAAATAAATATCTACATGATCAATACATTTACTGTAACAATACTTTTACCCCACACCATTTAATGTATAAATATTTACATGCTTTTCACAACGGAGGAAAGTTGGGCCAGTATGTTGAAATACTTTAAACTTTTTAAATATAAATCTTCCACAATATACAGTTTCAAGTAACTGCTTCAGTACATAATTTTTGAAAAGTTTCTATTTTGATAATTTCTAGTAAAATGTGGATTTCCATTCCATTGGGTTTATGGTATTTACATAACTAAGATACAGCCTATTGCTCTAAGACACTATTACATTACTGAGATTTGAGTAACAAGATAATAAGAAATGTAACATTATATGACATTAATGTTTTTTAACCAAGTACCAAGTGAAAATATATTAATAATTTTACTAGCAATGTGTTAGTGATATTGTAGTGCCATAAAGGAGAATTTGCTCCTTACATGAAAAATAATTAATATTTGCAAGATAACTTCAGCTGAAATATTAATGTTAAATCAAAAATAGGAATAAGTATACTGTGAAGTCAAATGGCTGGCAGTTGTTTAACTGGTCACTGCCAGATTCAGGGCTTGATTCTTGGGCCTTGGTCACTCTTGCACATGGCTGTGAGATCATCATCAGCCCTGATTCCTCACAGCTCAAGATGTCTCTTGTCAGACAAAGATAGAGGGAATGATGCAGGAAGACCATTGGAAACTAACTCATCCCTAAAAATTTGAGGTATGTATTCAAGAAAGCACTTAAAGAAGCATAGTTAAGCTCTGTTTACCAGGCAGTGCGCAAAATGCTGATGCTATAAAGAGGAGGAGGACACGGCCATGGCTTCTAGGAGCTCTTACCCTATTTCAAAGCTCAGAGCAGTAACAGGGCCAGGCTAGATGGGCCCTTGCAGGCTCTTGCAAAGATTTACCCTGAAATAAATGAAAAACACCTATTGCTGGGTTTTAAGTAGAGAAGTAAATTTTCTGATTTCGTATGCAAAGGGTAGCTCTGGCTGCTCAGCTGACTATACGTTGTAGGGGGACAAGGGTATGTTGGGAGACTATCAGGATTGTCTAAGTGAGAAATGGTGTGGCTTTGGCTGCAGTGATAGCTCTAGAGGTGGTGGGAACTGGGCAGATTGCAGATATACAGATTTATGTATCCAGGATTCATGACATACCAGAGTCTGATTTATGATTCTGGATACAAAGAGAGATGGAAAGAACAGAAATGACAACTGCTAGGCAGCAGAGAAGGTCAGAGAGTCGTTCCAACATCTCAATTTCAGAATGTGGTGTCAGGAAGTGAACTAAGAGATGGCAAGCACAGGGCCTTGGTGAAAATTTTCTGGGAGTGCAAATAACTACCTCCTGAGGTACAGAAGCTCTGAAGAGGGAAGACACGTCAATAGGGTAGCCATGGCTAAGAAATGGCAGGGAATCTTCACATCTAGTTTCCATGGAAACATTAAGTCACCATGAACCAGTCTGGGAAAACAGGAGCCCATGTGGATTACAAACAATGGAAGGAGCTTATGACACTTCGCAGAAATAATGTCTAGCCATCCTGCCCCCTCCCCTGTCCACTCCAGCAACCATTGAAAAGTGGTTTGACAGAGATTTGCATTCCAAGGAACCTACCATGACACTGAAGTATAAAAGGTTTATAATTTTTCTGCTTTCTAATGATTTCTCAGGCTATTGCACCTTTTAAACTGAAAACTCCAAAACTTTCCATTTTGAAATCAAATCTTTATATATACAAAAGTCTAGGAAAACAGAATATATTGTGTAGTCATGTATACAGTCAGCATTTTTGAGCATATAGCATGTGCTTAACATTATGCTATATGTAGAGAATGAGAAGAATAATCACAAAAACTCAGCTCCTACCCTTGAGAAACTCACAATTATGAAGAAATATTCTACTGTGTGTATGGAATGAGAAAAATCAGCACAAAAATTCATGCCCTGCCCTTGAGAAGCTCACAATTAAACTAAAAATACATAAAATGGCATACATTCAATATGGTAAAACTTCTCCTAGTCTATGTCTAGGAGTTTGATCATTCTTGGCTTGGTATTTAACATATATTTGATGATAATTTATAGTAGCACAGGGTGGTGTCCAAAGAAAGTAATTTGAAACCAATAATTTTTAAAAATAAACTGATTATGGAAGGAAAATATCACTATTTAAATGAAGACATAGCAAATGTTTTCTTTTGAACTGAGAAAAATACTTTATAAATAAAGGGAAGATTTTGAAAAATAGTCACAAGAAATTATAAAAGAAAAGGACTTAGGACTTTAATTTTTAAAAAGATGATATTGCCTTTGCTACCTCAGCCACAAATTTTAGACATCTTGTACAGTAACTTGAACAAAACAGACAGGGAGGCCTGAATGACTATGCCCAACTAGGTCATTCAGTTCTGAAAACACATTGTTCATACATACCTCTAAGCAAGAGTGGTAGGCAGAATAATGCCTGCACCCTGCCCCGACAAACGTGTAAAGATGTTCATCGTGATCCCCAGAACGTGTGACTACGTTACGTTACATGGACAAAGCTAATCAAACTTGCAGATAGAATTAAAGTTGCTAACCAGCTGACCTTAAAAACAGGAAAAGTATCCTGGATTATTCAGGTGGGCCCGATATAATCACAGGGTCTTTAAAAGATGGAAGATGGAAGCAGAAGATTCAATGGCAAAGTAATGCAATATGAAAAAGACTAACTCTCTCAAAAGAATGCAGAAAACTTCAGGAACTAATAAGCTATCACAGCAAGGTGCAGGGTACAAGGTTGATACTTAAATGTGAATCACCTTTCTATATACCAGCAATAAACAAATAAAATTTAAAATTAGAAACAAAATACCATTCACATGAGCACAAAAAAACAGAATATGTAGATATAAATCTAACAAAGTATGTTCAAGACTTATATGAGAAAAACTACAAAACTCTGTAGAAAGAAATCAAAGAACTAACTAAATGAAGATATTTTATATTCATTGGTAGACTTAATAGTAGCAAGATGTGAGTTATTTTCAACTTTATAGATTCAATGTCATTCCCCATCAAAATCCTAGCAACTTATTTTGTGGATATCAACCAATTGATTATAAAGTTTATGTGGAAAAGCAAAAGATCCAGTGTAGTCGACACAATATTGCATAGGAAGAACAAAGTTAAGGACTGATACTACCCAATTTCAAAGCATACTAAAAAACTAAAACAATCAAGACAATGTATTAATGACCAAAAAACCCCAAAAAACAGGCATATAGATCAATGAAAATGAAATAGACTTAAATAAATACACTCAGCTCATCTTTGACAAAGAAACAAAAGCAATATGGAACAAAAATAGTCCTTTCAATAAACGATGCTGAAACAACTGGACATCCACATGCAAAAGGTTAAATTTAGACACAGACCGTATTTCCCTCACAAACATTAATTTAAAATGGATTACAGGCCTAAATGTAAAATGTGAAACTATGAAACTCCTAGAATATAACCTAGGAGAAAAATCGAGATGACCTTGGGTGCCCTGATCCATGAAAGAAAGAATTGATAAGTTGGGCTTCATTAAAATTAAACAATTTCTGCTCTGTGAAAGACAACGTCAAAATAATGAAAAGATAAGCCATAGAGTGGGGTTAAATATTTGCAAAAAAAGTCCGATTCAAGGAACTGTTATTCAAAATGTACAAAGAACTGTAAAAACTTGATGAGAAGAACACAAACAACATTATTAATAAATGGGCCAAAGACTTTACTAGACACCTCACCACAGAAGATATACAACTGGCAAATAAGCATATGGAAAGATGTTCCACATCATATGATATCAGGGAAATGCAAATTAAAATGAATTGAAAAAATTCAGACCACTGTCATCTCCAAATGCTGGGGAGGATGTGGAGCAACAAGAACTCTCATTTATTGCTGGTGGGAATAACAAGTGGTACAGCCATGGTGAAAGACATTTGGTAATTTCTTACAAAACTAAAGATATTCTTCCTGAATGATTCAGTAATTGCACTGCTTGTTGTTTACCCAAGGGAGTTGAAAATTTATGTCCACACAAAAACCTGCACATAGATGATTATAGCAACTTTATTCATAATTGCCAAAACTTGGAAGCAACCAAGATGTCCTTCAGTAGGTGAATAAATTAACTGGTACATCCAGAAAATGGAAATTCAAACCATTAAAAGTCAAGGAAGAAACGTAAATGCATATTACTAAGTGAAAGTAACCAATTTGAAGAGGCTACACACTGTATTATTCCAACTATATGACATTTTGGAAAAAGCAAAACTGTGGAGACAGTGCAAAGATCGGTGTTTGCCAGGAATGGGGTGTGGGAGAGATCAACAAACAGAGCACATAGGATACACTGGGCAGTGAACCTACCCTGTATGATACTGAAATGATAGATGCACGTCATTATACATATGTCCAAATTCATAGAACGTACAACACCAGGAGGGAACCCCAGTGCAAACTATGGACTCTGGGTGATAATGATCAGTCAATGTAGACTCATCAATTGTATAAAAAGAAAATTACCACTCTGATGGTGGGGGATATTGATAATAGAGGAGACTATACATGTGTTGAGATTGGGGTTAGAATATGGGAAATCTCTGTACCTTCTTCTCAATTTTGCTGTGAACATAAAAACTGCTCTACAAAATAAAGGCTACTTGAGAAATTTTAAAATATTTGAGCTTTTTATACTTTAAAAAATGATCTACCTGGCAAGGAATGCTGGCAGCCTTTAGCTAGAAAAGTCAAGAAAACTGGTTCAGCCCTAGATCCTCCACAAAGGACAAAGCCCTGCATACACCTTGATTTTAGCCCCGTGAGACCTATTTTAGATTCCTGACTTTCTGAACTACAAAATAATAAATTTGTGTGTTTTTATTTAGCTGGGATCTCACTCCGTTGTCCAGGCTGGAGTACTGTGACACAATATCGGCTCATTGCAACCTCAGCCTCCCAGGTTCGAGCGATTCTCCTGCCCCAGCCTCCCTAGTAGCTGGGATTACAGGCGTGCACTACCACGCCTGGCTAATTTTTGTATTTTTAGTTTAGACGGGGTTTCACCATGTTGGCCAGGCTGGTCTGGAACTCATGACCTTAGGTGATGCACCTGCCTTGGCCTTTCAAAGTGCTGGAATTACAGGTGTGAAATTTGTGTTGTTTTAAGCCACTAGGTTTGTGGTAACTCATTACAGCAGTGATTGCAAATTAATGTAGATAGCATAGGATAGTGCCTGTTCAAATATTCCCTACTTCCACTCCCTCCCTTCACCGTGAATGCATAGTTATTTCTGACAAAACTTATTTTCTTAGTCTTTGTAATCCCAGGCTCTAGCATGGTTCTTGTAGGCACTTGGTAAATATCTGTTGCATCGACATGAATGAAAGCATATCTTTACCTTTTGTTGTTCATTTCAGGTTTATCTTTTCCTATTATATAAATTTTTTATGGTCTCATACTTTGGGATTGACAGTACTCCCACTGACAGACAAAACAGAACAATAAATTTGGAAATTTCGTATTCCTAATCGGATATTGAAGTAGATTGTTATGAATATCCATTAGTAGTTCACTTCCCCTGCTGCCTTGCTTTTCTTATTCTTAGATTCAAGCACACTGTTCGGCTCTTATAAATCACTCCAGTTGCCACTTTAAAAGCCTCTAAGAATGAATGCATCCTGGAACATAAACGCTGCAAATATAGTCTGAAACAAAGCCTGTGGAAACCTGCAGAAAGCCTGAGGGGCTCTAATTTGGAGTTATAAATCTCAACATTTTCTTTTTCCTTCCTCCACTAAGCCACTCATCTCCCATTTAATGTTATTCAGTTGTTACTACTTACAATCATACATCTACAGGGGTCTCTTTTTTCAATAGTTACATTAAAATACCCTGTCTCACAGGTAGTGAGATTGTGAAAAATGATTTTCCATTCATTTTAACTATTTTTTAATCTAAAATTAGTCATATACTGACAAACCTGACTTTGTTTCCTAATCACTGTCATGGAATTATTCATATAGTTCTGAGGACTTTGAACATTTAACACTTTATTCAAAACATTTCACAAACTTTAAAAAATCTTTTAAATTAGAAAACAGAGAAAAATCCCAGAAAAATAAAATTTAATAATCCCATTACATTATCTTAAATTATGTAAGTAACAACTTTAAAGTTCTGGTACTTATCCTTTCAAACCACCTTCCTATTTAAAAATTCTCATCAATTATCTTTAATATGTGCTTCTAGTTGACACATAATTTGAAATTATTACATTTGGTTAACTACTGAAAACATTTTAAAGATGAAAGTCGAAATTGAAACTTTAAACACCAGATTAATTTTGAGAACAACCAAACCAGCACTCAACAGTTAGGAGCTTGTCTGGCACTGCTAGCCATGCCCTGGTGTTGCAAGGACTTGGTCCAGCAATCCTACCTAGCCCTGCGTATTCTTCTGTGAAAGATAAACAATTATTAGAACAGCAACATCAGAGAAGGCAACTTTATGATCCTGATAGATTAAGACAAATAAAGATCATTCTATAATAATGATATCTGAACACAGAAGGAAAAATTTTTCTAAGTGACAAAAATGACCTCCTATCTTGGCAAATATGAGTGATTACTCATATTATTTATGTAAAACTTTTTACTAAGTACAACTTTAGCCTCATTCTTGTCTACCCTCCTTCTAGACAGGACTGATTGAGATACTCAATTATAGAATTATCCTTGCTCCTAACAACACTCAATCCAGAAAAAGAGCTGTGCTTCTGAATCTTCCATAAGGTCACATAACCAAACCCCAGATCTTACAGTAGGTCCTTTTTAATAACTTCTTACTGGGATGTCCCACTGTTCCCCATGGTGTGTAGTATTTGTCATTGTAACTAGCAGGCAATCCACCTCATTCAACTAAAGGTATGTTTCTGGAGGTCTTTGGCTTCACATCAAATTGATTATAAAAGCTGTTTGTCAAAATGCAGTATGTTATTTATATATTCAATAAAGCTTTTTTAGCATTTACTATATGTCAAGCTTACTTGTAGGTGATGAAAGTTCAGTAGTGAATGTGAAAAACATATAGTACTTATGGATGACTATGGTTTGCATGTTCATGTCCTTCCAAAATTCATCTGTTAGACCCTACTCTCAAGGTGATGGTTTTAGGAGGTGGGGCTTTGGGTAGATGGTTAGACCATGAGGACCTTGCACCCTATGAATGGGATTAGTGCCCTTATAAAAGCCTGAAGGAATTTGTTCACCCAATTTGCCATGTGAGGTTGCTGCAACAAGGTGCCATCTACGAGGAAGAAGGCCTTCACCAGGCACAGAATCTGCTGGTACCTTGATCTTGTATTTCCCACCCTCCAGAATTGTGGGCAATAAATTTCTGTTATTCATAAATTACTCTGTGTAAGGTATTTTGTTATAACAGCCAAAACTGACTAAGACATGGACTCAACATTATACTGGAATATGACAGTCCTGTTTAAAGAGAATAAGCATTTCTTCAAGGTAGGAATGAGAATCCATTTAATGTAACAAGTTTTTTCTCCAGGATACTTGTTGCATGTAATGGTCTCTCTATAGCTCTGTTCCTAGGTTTTCACTTCAAAGAAATATACACTGGAAAGAAATTAACCTACAACATATAACATTTGTAAAAGAAAAGTTATAAGCCAGCTGTGCCTTTAAGAAAGTATGTACATGTGTTCTAAATATGATAATGTGCTTTTTATCTAATGCACTGTATCATTTTAGAAAGATGTTTTCTTATAAATTCTCTAAGATTTCCAGCATCTAAGCATCAAAACATTTGTAATTCAATCATCCTAATTGTCTAAACCCTGCACTCTTTCATATGTGGATTGATTTTTTTTAAGCTTCGCTGTTCCTAGATTTTCTAATTTTCATGGGGGGGGTGGGGTGCCTTCAAATCTTATGAGAAACTTCTTAGGACTGTGAACGAGGCCTATTGCTTTTAGAGAGAAAACATTTAGACAGCTGCTTCCTCCTAAGTGTTGAGTGTCCCACGTTAGACAGGCAGTCTCTTTTTATACTTTAATAGTGTCCCATGTTAGGTAGGCAGCCTCCACTAACATGTTGAAATTGCTATATTACCATATATAATTTTATCTGAGAATATTTTGTTATAAAATGTCAAAATGATAATTTCTGCAGTTCAGAAGAGTGTTATTTAATTAAGATAGATTAGTGCAAAAAAATGTAATGAGTAACACAAAAACCCTCCATCCCCCTTTTATATTGGCAAGTAGACTACTTTCTGGGACAATTTGTTACTTTATTTCCAAGTTATACATCCATCTGATATTTGACTCATAGGAGTCCCACTAGAATACAATGGTAATGAATTTACAGGGTGAGCTTCAGAAAATGGATGCATTGTTGAACACTTTTTACCCTGAAATCCATTAATATTATCAGTCCATCACCATTTTACGTTATGATTAAACTGGATGTAAAGAAACATCTCCTAGTTAGAAAGGTAGAGACTGTCAAACAGAAAATAAGCTGCAGGTTTGCAACACAATCTTTCATAAAATAGCCCTGGTGTGACTCAGAACAAAACAAGATTTTCAAACCATTTTAGTTTCAAAATTCTATTTAGAATTTAGGGTACTTCTAGATAATCTGAAATTAGTTATCATTTACCAGTGATAAAAAAACAGTGAGCAAATTAATTACTAACATGAAAGAGCTATAATCTCTCATAATTAGACTGATTTTAAAAGTCCATGTGGGTGGACTGTTATTAAGTATTGGCACAATTTGTTCCTGAGTAGGTGGCAGTGCTGTGCCCAATGTGTCAGGAAAGAAGGCTAGATCCAAACTCATGCAAGAGGATTTTATCAAAATGAATTTAAAATTTCAGGAGAATTAGCTGCATTGTCAGACTTGCTTTTAGATAAAATATGAACTCCTTAGCATACACGGGAATACAACCTTTCATGATCTTGCATTTGAATACCTGTGTAATCTCAGCCCCCAACAATTCTCAATTTGCACACAGTGCTGTAGACATATTAACCACTTACCATTCACTGAGTCTATTTCCCCAGTCTGCATGATTTTTAGACTCTTTCTTCTTAGCCAGGAAAACTACTTCTATTCACTCAATGTCTCAAGACAGTATTCTACTTATGTTTCCAGATTCAGTTCCAGTATCATGTCTTCTAAGAAACCCCCCTCTCTTCAGAGTTAAGTGTTTTTCTCTGTGTTACCATAGGACATTGTGTAAATGACCACTTTAATAATTATCACATCGCTTTGAGCACTCATTTCCTCATCTGCTTACCCTGGACTACAAAAACCTTAAGTGCAATAACATTATCTCATTTGTATTTGTATTCCCTAGTCTCTCTATAATTTAAATTAATAATTTAATTAATGAACCTAAATGACTCAATCTATATTAATAAATACATTATTTATTAATGTGTGCAACCCCAAAGCCTATTTTCATTTGTTTATTTGTCTGTTTTTGAGACATGGTCTCGCTCTGTCATCCAGGCTGGATTGTTGTGGTGTGATCATGGCTCAATGCAACCTCCATCTCCTGGGCTGAGGCCATCCTCCTACCTCAGCCTCCCAGGGAGTTGGGACTACAGACACACATGCCACCACATCTGGCTAATTTTTGTATTTACCACACCTGGCTAATTTTTGTATTTTTTGTAGAGATGGGTTTTCGCCATGTTGCCCATGCTGGTCTCAAACACCTCAGCTCAAGCAGTCCACCCGCCTCAACCTCCCGAAGTGCTGGGATTACAGATGTGAACCACTATGCCTGGCCAAGCTACCTATTTTCAAGTAGACTAGCTGGATAAAATCTTTCTTATTTTAATGAATTTAATCATATACATGTGCCTACTTGTGGGAGTTTTTGCGGTTGAAATTAGGATAGGAGCAGATATTTGTATACCCATGTTCATAGCAGCATTATTCACAATAGCCAAATGGTGGAACCACCCAAATATCTACCAACAGATGAAGAGATAAACAAAATATTATATATACATTCGAGGAATATTATTAGCCTTAAAAAATTAAATTCCAACACATGCTATAATATGGAGAAACTGCTAAAACATTATGTTCAGTGACATAAACCAAGCACAAAAGGATAAGTATTGTATAATTTTACTTCTATCTAGAATAGTTAAATTCATAGAGACAAAATGTAAAATATAGTTATCAAGAGTTTTGGGGAGGGACGAATGGGAGTTCTTGTTTAATGGCTATAACTTCTGTTTGAGATGATGAAGCAGTTCTGAAGACGGATAGTGATGACAGTTGCACAATGTGAATATACTTAATACCACTGACCTGTCCATTTGAAATGATTAAGATGGTATGTTGTTTGTTATGTATATTTTACAATTTAAAAAAGAATTATATTATAACATGTAACACATGCACATAGGATCTCTAGGTGACATGGATGTAGATGTTTTGGAACATTCAAGGCTGGGCCAAAGTTAGAATAGAGGTTAGAGAATAGCTCCCTCTTAGAGGTCCTCCACTCATTCTAGGAAAACGTGCCTCCTATTGGCCACAGGATGTTTGGGGGAATAATGCAAAAGGCTTGGGACACCACTTAATCTACATGAGGCTCAAGGGACTCATGCAAAAGAGCTTGTTCCTAGCCTACAATCAGAATATTGACTTTTCTATAGGAATGAGACCAAGAAAAGGCAATGAAGTTCGTGGAAAAAAGCATCATGAGTCAAGAAGTTTGGCAGAGTAGGCCAGACTGAAAACAGGCCTCAATGTTGGCAGGAAGATTCCCTTTAGATACACCAGAACACTGCACTTGACCATCCCTTCTCCCTTTCCCAAAGTATCTTCGTGGCCCAAGAAGTAGAGAGCGGTAGTAAGAAGGCAAAACAGAACATGTCACAAGGGGTCAATAGCTTTCTTGGGGGAATGAGTCTAAATGAACTAGTCATGAGAAGAGGAGCTTTCCTAATGAAAGGAGAAAGAGAAACCATAGAGAGTGATGGCTTAATAATGCAAGGTAGGTCCATGTTGGTGGCAGTGCCAGAAGCATTAGGGATGAAAAGCAGCTAGGCAGCAAAACGCAGGTGTCAAGGGCAGAAGCACAACAGCAACTAAGAATGTCAGGAGCAATGGATTACATGATCGGGGAATTGCAGAGCTGCTGGCCACAGCTCAGGTGATGAATAAGAACCAGGAAAAACTAGTCACCTTCTAATTAAGTGTGGAGGTTCAGAGCATTGAGATATGGGGTATTGCTATAAATGGGAGCAATTAGAACTTACCAGTGTATAAAACCAGAGCTCATGAGGGTTTTATATGGTATGGATATACTTAAAATAGCAAGATTTAAGTCTTGGTTTCATGGAAACTGTGTGATTTCATACCACACTAATGGCATTTATTTTATTCTCTGATTAATGCTTAAAATATTAATTATACCTGTTTTATCCACCTTCAACCTCCAGGCTGAAGAACCCCACAGAGAACCCTAAGAGTTAATTATAGGCAACAATTTGAGAAGTGTCTTTTCATATCCTTTGCCCACTTTTTGATGGGGTTGTTTTTTTTCTTGTAAATTTGTTTAAGTTCTTTGTCAGATGGATAGATTGCAAAAATTTTCTCCCATTCTGTAGGTTGCCTGTTCACTCTGATGATAGGTTTTTTTTTTTTGTTTTTTTGTTTTTTTGTTTTTTTTTTTTTTTTTTTTTGCTGTGCAGAAGCTCTTTTGTTTAATTAGATCCCATTTGTCAACTTTGGCTTTTGATGCCATTGTTTTTGGTGTTTTAGTCATGAAGTCCTTGCCCACGCCTATGTCCTGAATGGTATTGCCTAGGTTTTCTTCTAGGGTTTTTATGGTTTTAGGTCTTGCGTTTAAGTCTTTAATCCATCTTGAGTTAATTTTTGTATAAGGTGTAAGGAAGTGGTCCAGTTTCATTTTCTGCATATGGCTAGTCAGTTTTCCTTTACCATTTATTAAATAGGTAATCCTTTCCCATTTCTTGTTTTTGTCAGGTTTTTCAAAGATCAGACGGTTGTAGATGTGTGGCATTATTTGTGAAACCCCTGTTCTGTTCCATCAGTCTATATTTCTGTTTTGGTGCCAGTACTATGCTGTTTTGGTTACTGTAGCCTTATAGTGTAGTTTGAAGTCAGGTAGCATGATGCCTCCAGCTTTGTTCTTTTTGCTTAGGATTGTCTTGGCTACATAGGCTCTTTTTTGGTTCCATATGAAATTTACAGTAGTTTTTTTTCTAATTCTGTGAAGAAAGTCAATGGTAGCTTGATGGGGATAGCATTGAATCTATAAATTACTTTGGGCATATGGCCATTTTTATGATATTGATTCTTCCTATCCATGTGCATGGAATGTTTTCCAATTTGTTTGTGTCCTATCTTATTTCCTTGAGCAGTGGTTTGTAGTTCTCCTTGAAGAGGTCCTTCACATCCCTTGTAAGTTGGATTCCTAGGTATTTTATTCTCTTTGTAGCAATTGTGAATGGGAGTTCACTCATGATTTGGCCCTCTGTTTGTCTATTATTGGTATATAGGAATGCTGTGATTTTTGCAAATTGATTTTTTATCCTGAGACTTTGCTGTAGTTGCTTATCAGCTTAAGGAGATTTTGAGCTGAGACGATGGGGTTTTCTAAATATACAATCATGTCATCTGCAAACAGAGACAATTTGACTTCCTCTCTTCCTATTTGAATAGCGTTTATTTATTTCTCTTGACTAATTTTCCTGGCCAGAACTTCTAATACTATGTTGAATAGAAGTGGTGAGAGAGGGCAGCCTTGACTTGTGCCAGAAGACATTTGTGTGGCCAAAAAACGTACGAAAAAAAGCTCATCATCACTGCTCATTAGAGAAATGCAAATCAAAACCACAATGTGATACCATCTCATGCCAGTTAGAATAGAGATCATTAAAAATTCAGAAAACAACAGATGCTGGGGAGGATGTGAAGAAATAGGAACACTTTTACACTGTTGGTGGGAGTGTAAATTAGTTCAACCATTATGGAAGGCAGTGTGGCGATTCCTCAAGGATCTAGAACCAGAAATACCATTTGACCCAGCTATCCCATTTCTGGGAATATACCCAAAGGATTATAAATCATTCTACTATACAGACACATGCACGTGTATGTTTATTGCAGCACTGTTCACAATAGCAAAGACTTGGAACCAACCCAAATACCCAGAAATTATAGACTGGATTAAAAAAAGTGACACATATACACCATGGAATACTATGCAGCCATAAAAAAGGATGAGTTCATGTCCTTTGCAGGGACATAGATGAAGCTTGAAACCATCATTTTCAGCAAACTAACACTGGAACAGAAAACCAAACACCATATTTTCTCACTCATAAGTGGGAACTGAACAACGAGAACACATGGACACAGGGAGGGGAACATCACACACCAGGTCCTGTTGTGGGGTGGGGGACTAGGAGAGGGATAGCATTAGGAGAAATACCTAATGCAGATGACAGGTTGATGGGTGCAGCAAACCACGATGGCACATGTATACCTGTATAACAAACCTGCACGTTCTACACATGTATCCCAGAACTTAAAGTAAAATAAAAAATAGTAATAATAATATGCAACAATTATAGAAGCTATATCTCTTAACTTGAACCATAGATTTTGAAGCCTCTATCTGAATCACCATCATCTGCTTTAGAACTAACTTTACTTCTGAGTTAAATGGGTACGTCAGCATAAACACAACAAGGAGCAAGAATGAGAAAAAAGCTCTTCCTCCACGCTACAGGCTCTATTACAGCCCCCTGGAAGGTATTCCATTTCACCCCACCACTGAAAATGTTTATGATGGAAAACAAGAGATTCCTTCAAAAAACAGTTCTCCAAATATCGTCTCCTGATATATTAAACTAAAACACTGCATAAGGAAAAAAATGACTAACTCTTTCCACGCATAAGAAAAGGAAACCGTAAATTGTTTTTTAAATTCTGAATTCAGTTTTTTTGTTTAGCAGGCAATGCCTGGTTTGTTCAAAGGCAGAAAAAGAGAAGAAATGAAATAAAAACATTTAATAGAAGCAGAAAAAGAATTGAGTTGAAAACATATGTAAGCAGGGGAGATACTTCTCAGGTAATTGTTCAACAATTCCTTATTCTCTTATAATTGTCTGCTCTTTGCGATTAATCAGTCTGGGGACACACATCTGGTCCAAGTGGGACAAGCAGATTCTTTCTTCCCAGTTTGAAACAGGAACCAGAGAATAATGGGCACTACCAGTCACTGAAGCTAAGTCCAATAAAAGATTATTTTATTTTCCCTTTTCTTTTTTTTTTTTTTAACCTTCATATCATAGCCAAGTCCAGGAAGATTATTTTACAGAGCAAAAGTGTCTGTTACTTCTGTGCTAAAGTCCCCAGGGCAGGCTAGATCCTTTCCCTTCCTAAGTCTTAGTTATTCAGCCTTTTCTGTTTTGAGATGAACTCCAGTATCCTTCAAATAAATTTCTTTTCTACTCTTCCTCCTTCTTTCATATTAAGATTGCCTGAATTGATTCCTGCAGTTTGTATCCAAAAGAACCTTAATAAATGTGGCATTTATGGCATAAAACTTTTGAAACTTGAAGCAACCCAGTAAAATTTCTCAATAAGCATGAACAGAGACAGGATTCTTTCGGATATCAGTTCAAGTGACAGGAAGAGGATGATGATATTAGGACAGAGAAGGACCAGGGGCCACATTAAAGCTCAGACCAGATGGGCCCCAAAGCTCTAGAAATCTCTCTTTATCTAGCTCTTTGTTCCTAAATGAACTGTTTAGTAGTTCTTTATTTTACACAAGTCCCAAATAGCATCAGATGTTGCTGAATTAGTAATCTCTAAACCTGAATGTTCCTAAATACCCTTCATAATAGTCAGACATTTCTTACAGTTTATCTTTAAAAAAAAAAAAAGGTAGAGGGGAAGAGTGCTTTGCTGGTAAGGGATGCCACTGATGAAATGACTTGTTACTTAAACTGGATACAGGGTTGGGATCTGGGGGAACCCATTCCTGCTCAAAATTACCCAAGAAAAATTTCATAAAAGTGACCAAAAAGGTCTTAGGAGTTGTAGAATAGTCAAGGGGGATTACTGTAAATGAAATTACATTTATGTCTCCAGTGTTAGTAGCTGTTACACTCACACAATTCATCTTTATTATATTAAGAGTCAAAGGAGCTACAAGACACAGTAGATTATATCCCTGGAATCAGGATACCAGGTCCAGAAAGGTCACCCACTGAAAATTAAGCCAGAAATAAAAAGAAGTTATATCACATGTGCTGAACATTCACATTTATTAGTTATATTATCCCAGGAAAGGTTTTTTTTTCCCAATCCCCTTTTTATAAATGAAGAAACTTAGTGTCACAGAAGTTAATTAAGTTAGTGAGGGATACAAGGCTAGTAAGTAATAGGGCTGGGATTCAAATAGATCTGCTCAAATCTAAATTCCATGCTAATTACATGGGTTGTGAAAGTTTAGTCATCAGGATAAGTAACGAAAGTTAAAGGCTGATTTGTACATATTTAGATGATGAGACTAAAATAATTCACATGTGTTGATCTTGAAAATAAGACACATCCTTAGAAAAAAATGGGACTGGAATGGAAATGAGATATTTTAAAAAGCTACAATAGAAATAGATTGTGACTTTTTTGAGGTAGCATAATAAAGAAGAACCTTAAAAGAGAGACTGGGAGAAACAGCACTATTTAGGATAGAGCTAGTATTTCTGATTCTACTGATTGGAACTACTTACAGAAATTATTTAACGCTAATATCAAATGTATGGGGCCTAAGAAGAAAGTAATAATTTCTGAGTGACTAGAAGCAAGGGATAGTAAGTCTGCATATAGATGTATGTCAAGGATCAACGATATCTTGATTTGTCACTGGTGAAATTGAAGGTGAAGGAACAGATAATGTTCTTGTGCGTCCCTTGTCTACACAGAGACTTTCAAATGGTGCCAATCAACAATGAAAGTTTGTTAAATGAATGCAAATAGATTTCTAATCGTTATTTAAATTCATATTTAACATATGGATTTTATATAGTCCTCAAGAAGTAGCACTAATGTCTATGTTGGGAAAAACTTGGACTTTATGTTATTATTACATCTTATACAAGCTCTGCTTTCAAAGATTCATACATAGTAATCATGGATTCTCAACTGGCAATTTCTTCAAAAACCAGGGTCATAAAATAAAAATGTTCTTCATTGAAAAGTGCTTTATTTGATTTTTCAGCTTTTTCTAATGACTGATTTATATTTAGAGCACTTCTGATTGATTACGCAAAAAGCAATGGGATGTCTGAAAATATTCCTTTTAAGTCAGTTCAGGATAGTTATATGACCATAGCATCAATGTTGTGGTAACAGAGTCATTTTCATCTAATTGCTTAAAGCTGTATTTCCACTGTGTCAAATGTTAAAATATTTCACTATGTGAAATGTAAAAAAAAGTTTCATAATCTAACTGTCATTAAATAGAAACCACACATGTTCATATATTTAAGTAACACATAAAATTGTACCCTATTGCATGGTTGAAAGTGCTATATTTTGATAAAGAAAATATAGTATTAAATATGTTTATTTAGAATAGAAAAGTACACTAAGTTAAATTTTTAGCCTAAAGCCAAGCCTTTGCAGTAAAAGTGTTTCTCTAATGCTGTACAACTGTCCTGTAAAAAGCACGAAAATTATTCAAATTACTTACCAGCTTTGAATATATAGCCACATTTACAAAGTAAAAAAAAAAAGCCTTTTTTTCCTGTGATATTCATAAATCTCTGGGATTCTATAAAAACAGAAACGACTTCTTTGTTTACTCTTGTAATATATTAAGTACTCCCTACTTGTATATAAGTAGTACTATATTATCCATGCCCTAAAACATACTTGCTTTCTTTGAACTTTATTTTGCTATTAATAATTTATTGTTTTTTGAATCTTTAGTATTTTATATCAAAAATGCATATTCACTATAAATCTTCACAAATGGGAAGAAAGCAGAAAAGAAAATAGAAAAATAATCAACTAGAATTGCATTATCTAGATATAACCAGTCTGAACATTTAGTGAATATGATTCTAGACATCTTTCCAAACAAAATACATAAGACATAGGGAAAGATTATAGGTTATACTATACATATTATTTAAGCTGTATTAATAAACCAATGTAATTTCACAGAAACTTAATAGAAGACACAAACATTGAAGTAAAATTAGATATTCATTCACACATATTTGGGATATAGATTTATGCTCACTGTGAGGCCAAGGAAACCCGAATAGAGAAATGTAGTTAACCACATTTAGTAGAAAGAAACCTTACTGAATTTAATTCAGTTACATCATACAAGCAATTACTCAGACTCGCATAGGTACTTCCAAGTTCTTCAGTATGCAATGACTGGAAGCAAAATATACCCTTTGTAGGCATTACTCAAATATTTATTTTTATATTTGGTAGTAGCAAGGTTATTAATTGGAAAGGTTAGGGTAGCATTTCCAGAGAGTAGAAAAGCATGTAGCAGTGATGTCTAGAATATCAAGGATTCCTTTTACATTCTTCCTTTGGGGTTTCAGGGTGACTTTCACTGGGAACATAGAAAGACATTGGCATTAGTGGGATTGGTTTATGATTTCTGGGCATTAGCCTACAAAAAGTAAAACATAAAATTGTACCCTAGTGCATGATTGAAAGTGCAATATTTTGGTAAGGAAAATATAGTAGTAAACATTCCTATTTAGAATACAAAAGTATACTAAGTTAAATTTTTAACCTAAAGCCAAGCCTTTGCAGTAAAAGTGTTTCTCTAATGCTGTACAACTGTCCTGTAAAAAGCATGAAAATTATTCAAATTACCTACCAGCTTTGAATATATAGCCACATTTACAAAGTTAAAAAAAAAAGTCTTTTCTCCTACTATATTCTCCTGTGATAAAAATTGCTTTGGTTTCTTGCTAGAGCATAAGCCTTACCTAAAGCCATCCACAGATTATGGTATCATCCATTTTCCTGTAAGAAAAGGGATTAGGACAGCAGAAAATCAGGAAAAAAGAAAGTAAAATAAGGCTTTCACCATGGCAGATAAGTCTTGGCCTTACAAACAGATCTTGGGAAAGCTTTCCAAGTCTAGAGTGTCATCTGCTTCTGGGGACAAACTTTCCTAGTCAGCTTTACCTCAAGTTCTCCAACAGGTGTGCAGTTCCAAAAGTCTGGAGGGGCCCTTTTGATTGATGAGATGTTGGACCCAAGATTTGAGGCCCTGAAATTTTACTGCAGTGTGTGTGATGAGAACTTGGTATTTTCCCTTCCATTGAGTTTCAAGGGCACTCTTTCTTTGATGTTGTTTCCAGAAGATCCAATCTACAGGTTCCAGATTGTGAAGAGTGTTATTTTCCTCAATTGTTGAAAAACAGAAAGTGTCCTTTACCTGCTGAAAATACACTTGGGCATAACGCATTAAAACCTTGCAGTATTTAGTCATATCACAGTTTCAGAGAGTAGGAGATAAATGAGATTCTATTAATAGAAGCATAGGCCTTCCAGTAATAATTTCATGAGGGGGCCAATCTATATTTCCCAGTGGGAGTGGACCTGATTGGCATTAAAGCCAGTGGTAATGTTTTTGGCCAAGGCAATACAATCAATTCAACTAGCTTTGCCAATTTTAGTTTCAAAATATCACGTGTCCTTTTGATCTTTCCAGAAGACTGAGGTTGATAGGGGCAATGGTAGTGCCATTATAGCTATAACAACTTTTTATTTTACTTATTATTATTTTGAGACACAGTCTCATTCTGTCGCTCAGGCTGGAGAGCAGTGGTGCAGTTAGACAGCCAGGTGTGAGGGGGTCCCTGGAGAAACTCCAACCAGCCTGCCCACTGAGATGGAGTCTTGGGAACATGGAGGAGCCTGGCCCCTCCTCATCTTGTGTGGAAACTGGGATTCACAGCTTCCAGGAACTGCAGATACTACATCCCAAAGTTTTGCCTAGTGGCCTCATCGTTATATGGGCTCACTAGAAATGTAGTGTCAGAGACTTTATTGTGGGAAGAGAGTCATGAGCAGTGGGAGGGATGTGCTCTAGTAGGAACTCTGGCCTTCTGAGAGTCCCTGTTTCCCCCTTTGCTTCTTTTTCACCCAATAAAACCCTGCTTCACTCACCCTCCAAACTGCCTGCAAGCCTAAATTTTCATGGCTGTGGGATGGACAAGGACCCCCCATCTTTAGCTGAACTAAGGAAAAATCCTACAACGGCTCCACTGGATGGAGTCTCTCTGAGTCCACTGTGGCTCAGGAGGCTGTCTGATTTGCTAATTTTTCTGTCCTCAATCAAACTTTGTTAAAGTTAATTTGTCTAAGGTTTTTCTTTTAACAGATGGTGTCAGAGGTGGAATCCAAAATAGAGCTTCCAGCAAGCCCCAGGAGCACTGAGGGACCAAGCACGGGACCTGCTGGGCCCTGGTGTCCACTGTTCTCTCACAGCAACTGCAGGTCGTGGTAAGTTCTCGCTCAGATTCCAAATCTCTACACTTTTGAGTTTCGAGCTCTCTGGGTTTGTTTGAGCAAGTTCCTGATTAAAACTGGATTTGGAAGTCACTACCGAGACTGAAATAGGGGCAGGATCAGATTGGGTTTGATAATTAATTGGCTTGGATCCAGTTAGCAGCCTCAGATGTCTGACTGGATCAGACAGAACCTGTAGTATATGGCAACATTGCAGGGTTGTAAGTTTTGGTTTCAGAAATTTGCAGAGATGTTTTTGTTCTACCCCATTTGTTTATTTTTTTCTTGTATGCTTGGGTAGGGAAGAATCATTGGCTAAGGTGATCAAGAAAATCTGAGGCAAAGCCAAAGTTCAAGATAAAAATAGGTTCCTTTCTTAAGAATCCACCTTCCAGTTATGCCTACATTTACATGTGTAAGTATCAGGTCCCAGAAGCAGCAAACACTTACAGAAATAGCAAAATCTTACTAAAAGTAACTTAAAATTACAATGGAACAATCCAAACGAACACTACTGCACTGAAAGAAGTGCATTTGAAAATGAGGGTTCCTGAATTAGTCTCCTCTAGGGTTGTCTATTGATATGCAAAAGATTCTAAAGAGATTTCAATATTTTTATTGTTTTTAAAATAATTTTTATAAAAAGCAAATAAAAAGCTTAAGTGCCTAGCTGAGAAGAAAAATTAAATCTGCTAATCTTCTGGCTTAGTTACTATCCTGCCCCAAAGGTGAAAAGAAAGCTATCCTAGATCAAGTGTTTATAAAAGGTAGGACCTCAGGTAGAGTGGGCTTGCTTACTTTTCAGATCTACCCATGCTGAGTCCATACATTAAAAAATACTTTCTTGGCCGGGCGCGGTGGCTCACGCCTGTAATCTTAGCACTTTGGGAGGCTGAGGCGGGCAGATCACGAGGTCGGGAGATCGAGACCATCCTGGCTAACACTGTGAAACCCTGTCTCTACTAAAAATACAAAAAATTAGCCGGGCGCGGTGGCGGGCGCCTGTAGTCCCAGCTACTCCGGAGGCTGAGGCAGGAGAATGGTGTGAACCTGGGAGGCGGAGCTTGCAGTGAGCCGAGATGGCGCCACTGTACTCCAGCCTGGGCAACACAGCAAGACACCGTCTCAAAAAGAAAACAAACAAACAAACAAAAAAAACTTTATTTGTCCTATTTCTTAATGGGATCCTCTCTGAACCCGGTCATTTTAGCTAAGAAACAGCAGCTAAGTTAAATGCCTTTTAAAAAATATGTCTTTCTAGAATTTAACTGGCTATTTTGAAACGCTTTTGTAAAAGAACTTTACATCTATAAGAAGATCTCCATGTGTAAGGTGTCTACCTGTAAACGTTAGAAACTCTTATTGTTGTTTTAAATTACACAAGTCATGCCTTTGTTTAAGGTGCTTTTCTGGCTGTCTTGTCTTTACTGAACTTTTACTTATACCATTTTTTCCTTGGTTTGAGCAATACTTAGGGCTAAAATCTTAGCTCTGTGCTTAAAAAATATACTTTTCTTTTTGTTTCACCTAACAGTTGTTCCTTTAGAAGTGCAAAATTGTTACCTGGTTAACAATTGCTTAGGGCTATGAAACAGGAAATTGGAAGATTGATAATCTAAATGGGGAATAGAATAACTATTTAAAAGCCTGCAAATAAACCTTCATGAAAGCTATAACATCTGTTTCTCTCTGTGTGTTTGTATGTCTGCAAGTGGTTTGTATATGTGATAATACTTGGTAAATATAGCAGATTTTAAATTGTTGGTAAAATAGGAGTGGCTTCAAAATTATCTGTTAAATATAATTAGAAACTTGCTTGTTTTGACTGTGAGCTATGTTTTTGGCTTTTAGCCTCTGGATTTAGGGGTCTGGATAGGTGGCCATGGTGAGGCCTGGAGACATGATCTCAGTGTCTAGACCAGCAGTTACAAAATCAAGCCCATTATGGCCCTTCTTCCCTGCCCCAGCTTTGCCTCCTGGTTACTCTGAGAGGAGTTAGATCCTCCAGGCATCTTCACAGCTCTGTGTTCTGCCCTGAGCTCTACACCGGGCATATAAATCCAGGACTGAGTCAGGCTCTGCCCGGCATAGCCATCCTGGGTGCCACCTGGTTACTTGAGACCCAGGATAACTAGGAAGACATTAGGGAGGGTACCCGTGTAATAGTTTCAAAATTCTTTTCAATGATTTTAAAATCTTAAGATATGTTCAACTAAATGACATATAATGATGAAAGCTCTAGTCATTTGTAAATTAAAATACTAAAACATTAATAATTAAACATAAGTTTAAGTTTATATACTTTACCATCTTATTTTTATATAGTATAGAAAAGTTAAATGTATTTAGATCTGTTAATAAACAATAATTTGAGGAAAATATCTTTCTAAAATATTAAAAGTGGTTTTTATCTATCAATACTGATATAAAATAGTTCAAAATTGCTTTCTACGGATTTCACTAAAAATTAGGTTTACTAAGAGTTAAAGTTAATACATGCAATTAAAACTACTAGATGTGAGAAGACAATTCTGTATAGAAAGTGCATAAACAAAATCAAGCTATGCTTTTGATTAGGGAAGTTATAAAGGCATAAAAATGTGTTGTTAAAAAATGTTGTCTAGTTCATGTTACTTAAAGTTTGTTTCAAATTGAAAAAAAGTTTAAAAGGATGCAGGTAAACTAAAATATGAAAAGTTGAAAAATGTTAAGAGATTATAAACGATTTATGGAAATCTAGTGTGGTCAAAAGCTGACTGAGGCTGAAAGAGTTTGTCTATAAGGTTTTATTAAAATTAGCTTTATTGATATTACACTAATATAAAAGTAAAATGTATTTTTCTTTTTTGAACAAAAATTCTATGTAATATTAATAAGTGACGTTTTATTTTTTGCAATTTCCTCGAAAGGTAAGAAAAATAAACTTAGTGAACTGCAAAAAATAAAAAAGAGAAGAGAGAAAGAGAGATAGATTCTGTCTCATGAAGTCTTTGTCGGATCTTTTGATTGTTTGGAAAACTCAGTCTCCTCTATCAAATAGTAAACATGTTTGTTTTTTAAAATATTTTAATTCACTATAGCTAAAAGAGTGACTATTATTTTATAATGACCTGTGATTCTATTTTGGTCAAGTGCTTTAAACTTTTGACATATTTGACAGGCTTCCCGATATCAAAATTAGCTCTGAGTTAATTTTTTGAGATCTTTTTATAGATGTAAAATTCTTTTACAAAAGCATTTCAAAATAGCCAGTTAAATTCTAGAAAGACATATTTTTAAAAAGGCATTTAACTTAGCTGCTGTTTCTTAGCTAAAATGACCAGGTTCAGAGAGGATCCCATTAAGAAATAGGACAAAGAAAGTTGTTTTTTTTTTTCTTTTTGAGACGGTGTCTCGCTCTGTTGCCCAGGCTGGAGTACAGTGGCGTGATCTCGGCTCACTGCAATTAGCTTCAAAATTAGATCTTTGTTTTTTAACCTATAACTTTGGGATGCTACAGAGGGACCCTGTAGCATTCAAAACAGAGATAAACAGGATTCTTTGATATGGCAAATTATGTGGAAAACATTGTCAAATAAGAAATGATGTTTAACCTTTTTCGAGTTATATTTTAATTAATGTTATTAATATCTGTTCCAAAATTGTATAGAATTCCTAAAATTCTCAAATGTTTGGATCTATGCTATCATTCATATTTTTTGCTGTTATGTTAAATAATTGTAGGCCACAGAAATAACAAAATTTTCTTGTCAATTGTGTCTTTATGACCATTTTAAGTTTTTCCACAGTTCATGGCTTAATTTTGATGCGCTTTCTGAAGACTTCACAAGCACGCAAAATCCTAGAGTACTGTGTGTTTAGAGATTCATGAAAATGATGGAAAGGACCTTGATGAGCACTCTTAAATACAGGTTTTTAATAGCTTTAGGATCATATCATTTGGACTGGATAAGAATTCCCGGAACTCTAATGAAGAGACTGACTGGTTTGTAAAACTGCTAACCCAAGCAGGACAAAAAATAGTTGAAAACCAAGAAAATACTTTGCTAGATTTTCATGCTAAATCAGCCAGTATTGAAATTGTTTAAATGTGCAATTTGAATGAACTCCATAGTCCAAGTCAAACTATCTGTGATAATTCATCAGTTATCAGTGCTATGTCCTAAATTGGAAAAAAGAAACTGGTATTTAAGAGAAGATAAGGCCGGGTGTGGTGGCTCACGCCTGTAATCCCAGCACTTTGGGAAGCCGAGGCGGGCAGATCATGAGGTCAGGAGTTCGAGACCAGCCTGGCCAACATTGCAAAACCCCGTTTCTACTAAAAATACAAAAATTAGCCAGGCATGGTGGTGGGTGCCTGTAATCCCAGCTACTTGGGAGGCTGAGGTAGAAGAATCGCTTGAACCTGGGAGGCGGAGTTTTCAGTGAGCTGAGATTGCGCCACTGCACTCCAGCCTGTGCGACAGAGTGAGACTCCATCTCAAAAAAAAAAAAAAAAGGAGAACATAAGTCCATTGTTAAGCTTAGACTCATGGAGAACCTGAACAGCTGCCTGGTCCTTTCTGACTCCTTAAAGCTGTCATTACTAAAAGCTTTGAATTCCATGACTCATCATGAAAGAAATAAAATGATCCCAATTAAAATTATATATATTGATTTGGTTGCTGTTCTAAATCATTAACATAGCTTACAGTTAGTGTTTGATTTGTCAAACCCATATTCCTGGGGAGACAATCAAAACTTCAGGTATATCTCTGCTACCTGATGGGACATTTAAACATTTAAAGAAGATTTTCATTATATCGTCATTTGCAATGCATGTTATCTGGTTGTATAAAAGCTTTCCCATGCCAGAGGGCTGATGTCATAGCAGTAGCTAAAAGGTTATTATGAAATGTATTTTTGTCATGGAACATTCCTGGGCAATCTTCAGTGATAGAAGCACTTGTTTCACTGGAAAGTTGTAAAACAGTTAATAAGGTATTCTAGATACAGTAGCTTTAGGCAAAGCTAACTGAACTGAGTGGATTGCTTTGGTCAAAAATATTTCAGATTGATGACACTCAGATCCACTTCCAAGGTAAAACAGAAGGTGACACTTTATAAAATAGTCTTACTGGAAGGTGTATGAACCTGATAATAGAACCTCATGCAGCCTTCACTACTGAATTCTGATAGAGCTAAATGCTGCAATGCTTTAATACATTATGCCAAGGTATATTTTTACCAGGTAAAGAAAGCTTCTCATGTTCTATTGACTGAGAATAATCAAACCCTTCATAATCTAGAACTTAGAGATTGTATCTTTTGAGAACAACATCAGAGAAAGACTGTCTTTGCCATCCACACAGCAGAAAAACGTTGGGACCTTGGGCCTTGGGTTCATAATATCACAACTCAGAAGGGTCCCTTGAGACTCTTGGAACTGTACACCCATCAGAGATCTTAAAGTAAAGCTAACTAGAGATGCTTCTCCCCACAAGCAAATGACAACCTTAAAGTGGACGCTTTGTCCCAGTATCACAGATCAAGACTTCTCTGCTATTATGAGACTCTGATCTCTCTATTTTTCCTTGCTTATGCCTCTATGAATAAGAGAACTGAAAAGGATCTCTCTTGTACATTTGTAGGGTATATTTGTATTTGTGGAGGATTTTGTAGCCAATCTAATATATGGACAATTTTATGCCTTGAAAAATGGAAGATGAAGGGCCAATGTGAGCTAGGAATTTTAATGGTATCTTTGTTGCTTCATAATCAGTCAGAAACAGAACATTGGACCACTCCTCTTAACCTACATCATAGGTTAAAGAGAATGTTGCCAGGAGGCCTTCACTCTTCTAGATGGGTAGCATTTGTTAGGTCTCTTTTTCCATAGTTTGGAGTAAATAAGGCAATGATTAAAAATTTATTCTTTATAAAAGGCTCAATAGCAGATTCTACTGTAAAGGCTATGGTTACACAGCAGACTTTAAATTCTTGTAAAAACATTGTGCTAAATAATAGAATTGCTCTTGATTACTTATTGGCTAAACAGAGAATTACCTGTGCAGCTGCTGATACTTCAAGTTGTACATGGAGGAATACATTGGGCATTATAGAAATTCAGCTGTAAGGAATTAATGAAAAGGCTGCTTGCTTAAAAAATAGACTCCTTATCTAGCTCATTCTGTGATCTATTTGATTTTAGTTAGTTTGTTTCATGGGGACCTTGGCTAAGGAGCATACTCTAAACTCTTTAAACAACTTCCTGATAGTCATGATAGTAGTCTCCCAGCTGCACTGTATTCTCGAAGAAGTTTTAAATGTTTGGATGTAGCCATCCATATAATGCCAAATGATCTCTATTCAACCAGAATGACAAAAACTCAAAGAGATGTATGACCCATGAGCTCACTGTACCCTACGAATGATGTACTGAGACCAGAAACCCAAAATGATGGCAACTGAGAGTGGCACTAAAACCGTAAGTTTTAGTTATACTCTCACCTAAGTGAGATGAAGTCTTCTCTGTTGCCCAGGCTGGAGTGCACTGACGCAATAGCTCACTACAATGTCCACCTCCCAGGTTCAAGTGATTCTCCTGCTTCAGCTTCCCAAGTCACTGGGATTACAAGTGCATATCACCACACCTGGCTAATTTTTGTATTTTTAATAGAGACAAGGTTTCACCATGTTGGCCAGGCTGGTCTCAAACTCCTGACCTCAAGTGATCTGCTCACCTTGGCCTCTCAAAGTGTTGGGATTACAGGTGTGAGCCACCATGCCTGGCCAGGGGGACATTTTTTTAAACAAAATTATGGGAGGCCATTGTTTCAAACTGAGCTTGTGAAGTAGGCTCCAACAGACCAGGTCAAACCAAAATGGAGTCACTCATGCTAAACATGACATAATCAAACTGAATCATTGACTCAGATAGATCCTAAAATAGACCTGGCTTTGTTTTTCTCTTGTAAACAGTAGATTCAACACAAAAAGGTCCTCTCTACTCTAACCCTTACAGAAAAAAAAAATTACCTGACATTTACAATAATGACAGTGACATCAATGCCTAATGTTTTGGTCTATTTCTCAAAGTTGACCAAAAGGGGAGAATTGTTAAGTTTATATTAAACCTGCCTCCTTACTTATTTTAAGTTTAGCCTAAAAGTTTCCCTATACATAGTAAACTGAAACCTCACTTGATGTGTAAACAGACTAACCTACTCTTGTGTCAGTCACTGAGTTCTGTCCAATTAAAGGTGGCCAACTGTTCAAACCATGTTCAAATAAGGCAAATGCCAAACTGTAATGCATCTGGCTGTTTCTTATCTCACTTCTGTTTTCTGTATGTCACTTTCCTTTTACTGTTCATAAATGTTCTTCCACTACGTGGCTGCACTGGAGTCTCTCTGTGTCCACTCTGGCTCAGGAGGCTGCCCGATTCATGAAACCTTCTTTGCTCAATTAAACTCTGCTAAATTTAATTTGTCTAAGGTTTTTCTTTTAGCAACGTTCATGGAGCTTCACTTTATAGGGACAGGGAATATTAATTGTCAGAAAACAAAAATGAAATACAGAAATAGCTTGATTATTTACAGCTTGGCTCAGCATTTGCCACATTTGCACATGGTCTGACCAGTTAACAGACTATGATTGGCTTAAGCTTAGCTACTATGATTGGCTAAGACTAAGCCACAAGTTACAAAATATACTCTTAATTTAGATTGCAGTCTGTTTACACACTATGTTAGGTTAAGGATGTAAGTACAGAGGCAGCTTTAACAATCTAATTTAACAATATTATCTAATTTAACAATATTATCCAGTGGCATAGAAAGAATAATGTGACTTTAGGTTTTTACTAAATAAATAAATGTAGAAATATCCTAATAGAGGACACAGTGGCCAAAGTATACTCCAAAAACATACAAGTCATAATAAGATTTAAGTGAGATTTTAATGACAGGTTTTTAAAAAATTGTCTTAAGAATAAATCATTCAAACCATGGTAAAATAGTTGACAATCGGGAGGCTGAGGCAGGAGAATGGCATGAACCCAGGAGGCAGAGCTTCCAGTGAGCTGAGATGCGCCACTGCACTCCAGCCTGGGCGACAGAGCGAGACTCCATCTCAAAAAAAAAAAAAAAAAAAAAAGTTGACAATGATTATTTGATATTACTGCCCAACAATAAAATGCGCTGTAGTCGCCTCTGTGGAAGTCTTCTATTTATATTGGGAGGAACTCAGAAATGTCAGCTAGGTACCTGTTAGGTACAACTTCTTAGAGTAGTTTTTAAAAATCTCTAATCAAGTTCTCTCAGTGTTTCCACAAAGAACTTCTTATAATCAGGGTGATTGATGCCCCTTCAATCAGGGCAATTATTTGTGTGGGGAAAAATATAGTATGTTGAAATAGGTCTCTTAGTCATAGTCAAAGGAGCCACTTGGCCACTCTGAAGTTAGAGAAAAGAAAAACAGCTTCTACATAGAAAAAGGAATGACTTGGGAAATCCAGCATAGTGCAATACTATGCCATACTGCTGGTATACCAAAAAGGAATCTATGGCCTAAGCAATATTTAAAGTCTTCTTTTAAGGTAATGGGCTTTTGCAATAAGGACAAATGACTGAAAGAGGGCATTACCTTCCTCAAATATTTTGTATTCTAACACAGAGTATGTGGGATAAAAAAGAGTAACCCACACACTCTATCAAAATACCTGTTCTGTCAGTTTTACTAATTTTATAATTCTACATGTTGCAAGGGAAAAAGCTGATCAGGCTGAGATTAGGTAAAGAATATCTTAAACACACAAACATTCTATGCTTTTTATTTTATTTTTTCAAAGTATTTTCAGGTTCATGGCAAAATTGGAAGGTAGAGAGATTTGCCATATACTCCTCCTCCTCCCCCTGCCGTATGCATATCCTCCTCCATTACCAACATCTTCCACCAGAGGGGTGCATCTGTTACAAAATGATGAACCTACAGTGACACATCATTACCACCCAGAGTCTACAGTTTACACTAGGGTTCCCTCTTGGTGGTGTACACTCCATGGGTTTGGACAAATGTATAGTGGCATATATCCACCAATACAGTATCATACAGGAAGTTGCGCTGCTCTGAAAATCCCCTGTGTTCTTCCTATTCATCCCTCCCTGACTCCAACCCTGGTAATCACTGATCTTTTCCCTGTCTCCATAGTTTTGTCTTTTCCAAGAGGTCATAGAGTTGGAATCATATGGGATGTAGCGTCTTTCAATGAGTAATAATGTATTTACGTTTTCTTCATGTCTTTTCACAGCTTGATAGCTCTTTTCTTTTTTGTACTGAAAAATATTCCATTGTCTGCATGTACCTGTTTATCTTTCAGGGTTAACACAAGTCTCTTAACATTTAAAATTTTATTTTGTTGTCAGTTATTGTTCATTGAATACTTATTAAAAACAGAAAGATAATGTATGATTACAAATAAAACTATTTTCCAGAGTTAATGGCATTGCTATACATCCGGATGACTCATTGCTGAGTTTGCCCTGATTTGTTTTGTTCATTTTTCTACTTGATGCATTTGCTCATTGGTAACCCCCTACCCCCACCAATAAGAAAAACAGTTTTTAAAAATTATCACTTAAGAACCCAGAGCCTCTTTAGATGAAAAATAAATTATAACTTCAGAAAAGGAAGTACCAATAAAAGCCATCACACGTGTTCACAATTTAAATCATTCTTGGCCAGGCACCTTGGCTCACACTTGTAATCTCAGCAATTTGGGAGGCCAAGGGGAAAGGATCCCTTGAGGCCAGGAGATCTAGGCCAGCCTGGGCAACAAAGCGAGACTCCATCTGTACAAAAAAAATAAAATAAATTAGCCGGCCATGAAGGAGTTCCAGCTACTCATGAGGCTGAGGCAGGAGGACCACTTGAGCCCAGGAGTTTGAGGCTGCAGTGAACTATGATGCCATCATTGTGCTCCAGCCTGGGTGACATAGTGAGACCCTAAACAATTAAATCATTCTCATGAACTTATTGGACAGAATTTATTTAGGCAGCGATTGCATGGATCGGTACTAATTACTATATATAAGGTTTTAAAGATAAAGACCCTCTGCACAAGCAGTTTATCACACACCAGAGTTTACATTCATTGAGGAATATGTGCCAACCAATGTCCTAAGCACTTTTTTGGCATTATCTCATTTAATTCTCACAGTAATCCAGTGAGATTCATGTGACAATTTTCCCCAAATTTATAATTTAATATAATAATAAGAAGAAAACAAAGCCATGAAAATAATTTGTAGGCAAGGGCACATGCATGGGATAAAAATTAAGCTGATGGGAAGATTAAAAGATGGAACAGAGTAAAATTAAGGGATTACATTAAGTCTGGAAGATGAGAATTGAACAGTGTGTTACAGAGGAAGAGTAAAGAGCCCACTATTTCTCAGAAGTCAGTAATTACAGACTATATTATTATCAGGTATCAGACTTTAAAACACAGGAATTACAATATGTCAGCCTACTCAGGAAAGGCAGAATTTTATTTCTGAAGTGTTTTGACTACTAATCTGGGATACCAAGACCTCTCTACTCATCACTTAGTGAATTGTTGGACTACTTTCACTTCATAATATAAAATTAACTCAGTGAGCAAAAGCTAATTGTCAGTTTTATGATAAGATTAAGCTCTCATTTCTATCGGGGTGAACTGAAGAACTTTCTCTTTCTTTTTGAAAAGGAATAAATGGCTCAGGTCATTTCCAATTTAAATAATTTACTGGAATCAGGGAGATTGCCCTAAACCCATAAAGACCAATAAATCCTTTCCTCATTTTCTTTCATAAAACATGTCCAAGCACACTATATCCAGTGCTGACACTGCTCCTGGGCAGAAAGACCTAAAAATCCCAGAGGAAAAAAAAAAAAGAACAGATAAAAATCTCCATTCTCCCTGATGGCCATACTGTTTTAGTTATCTTTATTGAAAACTGTACTTTTGGATACATTATTATGTCTTTTGAAATATATGTGTCAGAATACCTATTTTTCCTTGAATAATAAAAAAAGGTAAATGGGTATTTTTCATAATCACACTAAGATTTTACAAAATAATTTTAGATGAAAGATTACATAATGATTTTCATTAAATAGTATCACAAAGTGAATTCAGATGAATTCAGACCCTTTGGTGAGCTGCCCCCTTACCCATGCAAAACTGGTAGTTTAGGAAGATTAACCTAGGGTCTAGAAAACAAAATGAATCCTATTTTTTTTCTTCTTAGAGTCACTTAACAGAATGGAAGCCAAAATTCTGCCTCTAAAGTCCCCAGTAGAAGTAAATCACAGTAGTGTTTTCTGATTCTCCCTGAGTGTGTCATGGTTTGTGCGGGTGCCCCTGCTGTAAAGCACAGGTTTGAGAGATGGAACAGTGCGATTACCTCGTTGTGTTCCTCTATGAGAAGGATGACAGACTCTGCGTACAGGGGAGGAAATGAAGGTCGTGAGGTTGCAAGTCTTTCAGTTCCTGGACTGCACCAAGAGCACCTATAAATAGCACACCAAGGCTTAAGGTGACACATGCCTCTCAACAGCATGCTTAATCCATGTACATTCACAGTCCTCACTAACTTTTTTCAGACATTTGTTTCAAAGTAGCTATCAGTTACTGAGATAAGCCCTTTAATGTATGTGCTTTACATACATGATCTCATTTAGTCTTTCCACAACCACAGTCTATAAGGTAGTACTTTCCAGGGCAACAACATAAATTTCCAGAAATTAGTGCAGGGTATAGTTTAAGATTAAACCCCACAGCGTAACCACTGTGCTGTGAGATTGAATGACATTTAATTCATTTACATGAGTTGTAAATGCCTAGCTATTAATAACAATTAAAATTCTGTTTGCATATATAATTTATATATTCAATATATAACATATACATTTAAAATATCCATTTTAATTATAGAGTTCAGTGGGTTTTGATAAATACATATATCTTGGAAACAAAAAACATTATTTATATACATAAACTATATAATTACATTTTATTATATATAAAATAAACTATATATATTCTAACACCACAGGAAGTTCTCTTGTACCCTTGCCCTTTGAAGTTGAACCCCTTTTATGCAGCCCAAAGGCAATGTCACTTTTAAGTCATATGATTATAGGTTAGCTTTGCCCATTTTTAAACTTCATATAAATGGAATAATATAACATAAATGAAATAATATAACATTTTATTTTATACTGAGCTTTTTCATTCAAGATTATGTTTTTTCTAGATCGTAGGAAACAAGATTATGTTTTATTTAGATCCTGGAAAAGAAGATTATGTTTTTTTAAGGTTCACTCATATTGTTGCATATATTTTTGTTATTGCTGAATGTATTTGTGTGAATATATCACAATTTGTTCATTCACCTATTGATGGAAATGTGGATTGTTTCCAGTTTTGTTCTATTATGAAGAAATCTACAATGGACACACCTATGCCATTATTTTGTGACATATATCTTTTATCTTAGGTAAAAATGGTAAAAATGTAGGAGTAGAATTGCTAAATCACAAATTTTTTCTTTAGCTATATAAGACACTGTTAAACTGTTTTGCAAAGTGCACAACTTTATATTCTTATTAGCAATGTAAGAGAGTTCCATTTGCCCTTCATCCTTGTCAACACCTAGCATTATCAGACGTTTTAACTCTCGCCCCCCCTAGTGTGACATTTCACGGTGTTTTAATTCCTTTGATAGCTAATTATGTTGAACATATTTTTCTGTTTATTGGTCACTAACATCTTTTCTTGTTTCAAAATTCCATTCACACTTTTGAATATTTGTTTTATTACTGAGTCATAGGATAATACATATTTTTTTCTTCCAGGTTATAGATTAAAATTTTATTTTCTTAATAGTATCTTTTGAAGAATAGAAGTTCTACATTTTTGGTAAACTCTGTTTTATTGATCTTTAAATTTTATTGTTAATCCTTTGAGTCTTATGTAAGAAATACTTCCTTAAACCAAGGTCATATACACATTCCTTCATTTTCTCTAGAAGTTTTGCATTTAGCTTTTATGTCTAGGTTTGTGATCCATACCAAATTAATTTTAGTGGAGTTGAACCGAGATTCAATTTTTCTTATATGATTCTCCAGTTCTTCCAGCATCATTTGTTGAAAAGATTATTCATTACACATTGAATTACTTCAGTGCCTTTGCTGAAAATGAATTTACTATATGTATGTGGATCTATTTCTAGATTCCATTGACCTCTTTGCCTATCATTGTGCCAAGACCATATTGTCCTGATTGCAATAGCTTTATGATAAATTGTGAAACCAGCTAGTAAAAGATTTCTAACACAATTATTTTTAAAATTGCTTTGGCTATTACGGCTCTTCTATATTTCCATATACATATGAAAATTATATTTTAAATTTTTACAAAATGTCTGTTTGGCGTTTGACTGCAATTTCATGGAATGTATAAATAATTTTAGAAAGTATTGACATCTTAACAACATTGAGTCTTCAAATTTGCGAATATATCTCTCTGTTTTGTGCATGTGTCTTTTACATTTTCTAGTAATATTTTATACTTTTGACATTTTATACTTTTAAGTGTGGAGGCTTTGTACATGTCATTAAATTTATTTTTAATTTAATTATGTTTTTGATACTATTTTAAATGTACTTTTATTTTAACTTAATTTCCCAGTTGCTTGCTGCTAACATTTAGAAATACAATTGATTGTTAAAATTTGGACATTACATCCTATGACTGCTAAATTCACTTATATTTTCAAGTAGATTTTTGTATATGCATTAGAATTTTCTTTTTGACAATTATATTATCTTTGAATATAGGGAGGTTTACTTATTTCTTTCCAAGATCTATGCTTGTATGTATGTATGTATGTACACATGTATGTATGTGTGTATGTATTTATGTGTTGCCTTTTGGATTTTTTAGGACATCCAGTTACAATGTTGAATAATAGTGGTGAGAGTGAATATTCTTGAATTTTCCTGATTTCGGGGAGGTACAAGTTCAATATTTAACTATTCAGAATGAAGTTAGCTTTAGGTGTTGTTGTTTTAACAGATATCTTTATCAGATTGAGGAAGATCTCTTCTTGTTTTTGTTGCTGAAAGTTTAAATGGGACATTGAATGTTCCCAAATGTTTTCTGCATGTATTATGATGATCACATAAATTTCTTACTGATTTATTTTTAACTTCATTGACTCTTTCCTCTGTCATCTCCACTTTGCTGTTGATATCATCCAATGACTTTTTAATTTAGGTATTGTATTTTCAATTCTAAAATTTCAAATTTAAAAAAATTGTTTCTACTTCCCTGCTGAGAACTTGTCTTTTATTTTTTTAATGTGTACTCAGCTTTACTTTATAAAACATGCTACATTAGCTGCTTTGAACGCTGAAAAACTCCAACCTCTGGCTCTTTTCCCAGAGTGCTGTTTTCTTTGAAAATTGGTCAGATTTCCTGGCTCTTTTTATGTCAAATAATGTAGAATTGGATGGTGGACATTTTGAATATTATTTTGTGTAAACTATAGGGCTTGTTATGATCTTCTGGAAAAATGTTGCTTTTATTGTTACTTGATTTAGCAAGTAATCATCCAGGTAAGTTAAGATCACTTGTTCAGCTTACCTTGTGTGGGTGGTGGTTCAAATACCACCTTAGTTTTCAAAGCTTATGCTATGCACCTTTGTCTGTTACACACATGTACCATTTGGGAGTTAGTCTGAGACTTGGGCCATGACTGAAGCCTTAGTTTGGTTTTCATCACCTTTGTTATACTGTTTTGGGTCAGTTTCATCCACACATAGCTAAAGGGTAAGCCTGAGACTTGTGCAGGTTCACATATAGGATTAGGAAATCTCCTTTTTCAGCTCTTTTCTCTCTGGAATTCCCACACACACACTCTGCCCTGTGTGGAACTCCTTTTCAGATATCCCTGGTCAGATGTACAGGATTTTTATTGAAGTGTTAGCTTCCTGTGCCACTGCTCAGGATGGTAAGAAAACTTACCATCCCCACTCCACGTCATATGGTTGCCTTTCTTAATTTTGACTTCTCTTCACAAGCCACCCACTTTTGTTCACATTTCAGAATACTCAGGTAGTTGGTATTGTATTTTGTCTAGGGCTTTTAATTGTAATCAGTAGGAGACAGAGCTTATAGTAGGTGTTTCTTGTCATGGCAAAAGAAGAACTTGGTGTAGGCGCTTATTATTTTGGGTATAGACTTCTAGTTAATAAAATTTTTTTAGCATGTTAAAGATGTTGTTTCATTGGTGATCTACAACTTTCATAATGAGAAGGCAGGTCTTATTCTTTTTGGAATTCTTCTGCATGTAATATGTCTCTGCTACTTCTTTATAGGTATTTTTCTTTATCAATCATTTGTTTTCTGAAATTGACTATGATATGTCTAGATACAGCTTTCTATTTGTTTTCCTTGGTCTTTACTGAGCTTCCTGGGTTTATGAGTTACTGTTTTTAAAGAAACATGGAATTTTATTTTCTGGCCAGTATTTCTTCATGCATTTTTCTGAATCATTCTCTGTTTTCTTTCCTTCTAGAATGTCAGTTGCAGGGATTTTAGATTATTTGCTACAATTCCACAAACTATTACACCTTTAATTCATCTTTTAAACTCTCCTTTTCTGTCCTTCAATTTGTATGGTTTTTGCCAACTTGTCCTCAGTTTTAATATTTCTTTCTATTGTTCTATCTTTTCTGCTATTAATCACATCAAATAATTTTATAATTGAAGTATTGCATTTTGAATTCTAGGATTTTCTTTTTCATCTTTTTTATACTTTCTAAATTATCCCACTTTCTTCCCTTTGTGTCTAACTTTTCCTGAAGAATCTTTATCATACTTATCATAGTTATTTACAATCCTCATCTGTTAACATCAATAATTTAGCTCTTTGTAGGTCTACTTTTTTTTGACTAATTTGTTTCTTAATCTTAGGTGATGTTTTCATGGGTATTTTTTGCAAGTCTACTAATTTTTTATTGTATACTCTACATTGTGTACAACACATTGTAGCAACCCTAGATTAATTTATCCTTTTCTGAAGAGTGTTTTGTTTTGTTCTTGCAGGCAATTACATTAGTGGTAAAACATCTTAAATATGTAGAAACTTGTTTCAGGTGTTGGGGTGAGTCTATTTGGGCTCTGCCCCTACCCCAGGTGAACATATTTTTCTTTGGATCTAGTCAATACTTCCATGGTATATATCTTTAAGAAGTTCAGAGGAGAGGCTGGGCGTGGTGGCTCACACTTGCAATCCCAGCACTTTGAAAGGCCGAGGTGGGCGGACCACGAGGTCAGGAGATCCAGATCATCCTGGCTAACACGGTGAAACCCCGTCTCTACTAAAAATACAAAACATTAGCCGGGCGTGGTGGCGGACGCCTGTAGTCCCAGCTACTCGGGAGGCCGAGGCAGGAGAATGGCTTGAACCCCGGGGGCGGAGCCTGCAGTGAGCCGAGATTGCGCCACTGCACTCCAGCCTGGGCGACAGAGCGAGACTCTGTCTCAAAAAAAAAAAAAAAAAGAAGTTCAGTGGAAATCCCAGGGTATTCGCAAACACCCTCTAGCTTGTGAGAATTCTAATTCCAAAGTATGTTTTCCCCGCAATGGGTAGCCAGCAGCAGCTGAAATCTTTGTCAACATTTTCAGTTTTGTACAAGTTTTTCTCTAACTGGGCTCCTTGGAGTATCACCCATGCAAGCACAGCTCAGAGATTCACCAAAAATTTGGTAAGTGTTTAAATGCATGTTTGAGAGCTGCCCCTCTGTGGGCTCCTTCTCTCTGGGATTTTTTCTTCTTTACTTTTAGATGTTCTGGCACGCCCAAATTCCATCACCTCACTATTGATTTCTGCCTAGTTTCTAGCTTCCCTTGCATCAGGTTTGGAGAATGCCTTCAGGGGACTATACAAATAAAAGCAATATAATTCATGTATGCAGAGATGAATGATTCATGTTTTCAGCTCTTTTTTTATTTTGCGGTTAATCATTGACCAATTTTATTTGTGTGTATATGTGGCAGGTATGTGCTGAATTTGGTGAATATGATAAATTTGACTTTAACTTTTCCCAAATTAAGTAAATATATATATATGATATATTTAAAATATCTGCTATTTTATATTGTTGATTCATAGAAACAAAATCAATTAGAAAAAATTAAAAATTGATTATATCTTTAGGTGTTGCAGGAAGAGCATAAAGATTTGAGTCACTAAACTGTTCTACTCTTGGATCTTTCAAAAAATGGCAATGTGATTTTTGAAAAATCACTTAATTCATTTTTCAAATAAATATATCCTCTTGAACTTCAAAGAATTAAAACTTCTCTGTCTTAACATCATTGCCGGTAGAGAAATAATTCATTTAAAATATTTTTGATTGCCTACTATATTTTCCAAGCGCTGTGTAGGCACGGGAGATAAAACAATGAAGAAAATACTGATAATTTTAGTTAGTGTGCAACTAAATTTAACTTTTAACCTTAAGTTCAATATGGCGGGAGCATCAGTTGATACATATTTTTGAAAAGGAGTCATGCATTATGTATCAGGTACCCTTTTTTGAAAATATATTTTTTACCAAGCAACACTATTTCTGGAGTCTAAGAAACTAACTAGAATGCATCTAAAAACTTATTAACAATAGTAGAACTCAGGTATTCATAATATAATTGTGATTAGTAAAAAATGTTACTACTATATGATAATAAACTGTAGCCATTAAAAATATTGTTTACAAGGAAGGTTTAATGATGTGAAAAATGCTTATGATATATGTATAATGGACAAAAAAAGCAAGAGCATACATAGCTTGATCTGAGCAAAACAAAACAGTGTGTACAGATGGCAGAAAATATACCAAAATCTTAACGGTGCTTATTGCTTGGTGGTAGGATTATTGATAATTTTATTTTCTATTTCTTGTTTTTCATGTTTTCCATTATTTTTTCCCAGTCATTGCTATTGTTCATACTTGTAATTACACAGTAATGTAATGTTTTTTATATAATTGATTTTTCATTTTATTTTTGATAATTATGATATGTATTATGTGACATACTATTTGATAATTTTTATTTATGTAATATTTAGAAGAATATGATATATTATGATGATCATTTGATAAATTTTATGTAATTTACTCCTTTAAATTAAGTAAAAGTAGCTGCTCAAGTGTTTTAATTATTACAATAAGTGGAAATAAGCAAATCTTCCTCCTTAAGAGGCCACTACTATCATATCGTGTTTGTAAACCAAATCCAAGTGTATATTTCTCATACAATAACTGCATTGAAATAGTAAAAATCAACAATGGGAAGAATTATATAAGCTACAAGCAAAACAAAGTACATGTAGCAAGAATCATATAAAGCAAAACAAATAATAAATGAAAACAAAAAGTAAACTGGGGCAAAGGAAGCCATTCTACATTGACAGAATAAATAACACACCATGATGATTTAATAACAGCATCAAAACATGCAGAGAAAACAAACTATAAATGCAAAGGGAAAGTAGCTGGAGCAACCACTGTGAAAAGCTTTAACACAACTATTTTAGCTCTTGACTGAGAAATAAACAATAACCAAAAAAATAGACAAACCAAATTTGAACAAGATACGTCATGAAGCCTATATTTTAACCCTGTACCCTATGGAGAGTGACTTTTCATTTCAAGCATCCTTGAATAATTTTCAAAAGCCTTTTTTTTGTACTAGACTTCCAGGAAAACTGCATTATATTCAAGGAAGCAGAAAT